>NC_000019.10:15060000-20060000 GCF_000001405.40 Homo sapiens | reverse complement strand
TTAATCACCTGGGTGCAGGCGGGCTGAGTCCGAAAAGAGAGTCAGCGAAGGGAGATAGGGGTGGGGCTGTTTTATAAGATTTCGGTAGGTGGAGGAAAATTACAGTCAAAGGGGGTTTTTTTCTCTGGCGGGCAGGAGTGGAGGTCACAAGGTACTCAGTGGCGGAGCTTTTTGAGCCAGGATGAGCCAGGAAAAGGACTTTCACAAGGTAATGTCATCACTTAAGGCAAGGACCGGCCATTTTCACTTCTTTTGTGGTGGAATGTCATCAGTTAAGGTGGGGCAGGGCATTTTCACTTCTTTTGTTATTCTTCAGTTACTTCAGGCCATCTGGGCGTATACATGCAAGTCACAGGGGATGCGATGGCTAGGCTTGGGCTCAGAGGCCTGACAGTACTTACATTCATCTTGTGTCAGCTTTTTTTTTTTCATGTAGACTTATCATTTAGAATGTGCTAGAGCAGCCTCTATGAGGGGATCTCTTCTTTGATTGTACTCCACTTGCTGTAACACCAAAGGATGCAGAGCCAGGTGGATCCTACCTAGAATCTGCAGATAAGGTCTGGGCTCTGCTTCGGATTTACAAATAAGGGCCGGAGTTTGGATAAAGAATGTACAGAAAACTAACAAAAGGCATTTTCTGCATTGTGAGATATCAACATACACATCTTACAGCCCCCATTCGGGAGTGTGGTTCTTTGAGATTTTTCATATCTTGTTCACCTGCTACAGTTATGTGAGAGGACCCAGGAGGAAATAGAATCTGATGGCAGAATCTGTAACTATAAATAAGCATCTTAGGAGTGAGAGATCAAGGCCGCAAAACATCCAGAGCCATGACCACAACTATATTTGCCTTTAAAATGTGATTTTTGTATTTTACCTGAAAAATTAGTATTTTTGTTCTTTCTTTTATCCAAGAGCTAGCAAATAAGGACAAATGATCCAGGTTCTGGAGTTCCACCAAGGCAGTTCCATTTTCTATTTAGAATCAGCCTGAGTCTCTCCAGAGTGGCTTATCACTGGACTATCAGCCCAGGGTCACTGGGAATTCCCTCAAAATCACCTAGGTGTCTTTGAGGCATTTGAGGATGTACAATGCAGAATTGTGTCAGGCTGACAAGAGTGGTTAATTCTGCTTCTGTCTCAGTGTATGAGAAATGAGTCATCTGTGTTTGTTCATCCCCTCATACAAGAGGTGTCTTTGGTTGGTACCCAGATGAGAGTTTCTCCAGTTTCCTGGTACTTGGATAATAAAGAAGGAGGAGATCTGAAGACCGAAATAGATAAACTAGTTGCTTCAATTTCACATGGCCATTAAAAAAAATACATGAAGCAGTCATAGTTTCTACAATCCAGAAACTTTTAGTCTACACTAGCGACTGGATAAATAATTGAATTGTGCATCATATGGTTGGTACAATAAAAAGATGTGTCCAACACCTTGGGCTTTATTTAGGCCACTTTCTTTATATTGTTGTGACTTCTGATTCTACATCTGAAGGCACATTTAGGAACAGAAGAATTGTTATTATAATTTCTTTTTTTTTTTTTAAATGGAGTCTCTGTCACCCAGGCTGGAGTGTAGTGGTGTGATCTCGGCTCACTGAAACCTCTGCTGCCCTGGTTCAAGTGATTCTCCTGCTTCAGCTTCCTGAGTAGCTGGGATTACAGGTGAGGTGCCTGCCACTGTGCCCAGCTAATTTTTGTATTTTTAGTAGAGATGGTGTTTCACCAGGTTGGTCAGGCTTGTCTCAAACTACTGAACTTGTGATCTGCTGGCCTCGGCCTCCCAAAGTGCTGGGAATACATGTGTAAGCCACCATACCCGGCTGTAAAATTTGTATTTCCTTTACCTTGCTAAGTGTACATATTTATTTTCTAATAAAATTTCCCTAAAAATGCCAGGTATGGTGGCTCATGCCTGGAATCCCAACAGTTTGGTGGGGGGCCTGGACAGGTGGATCATGAGGTCAGGAGCTTGAGACCAGACTAGCCAATATGGTGAAATACCATCTCTACTAATAATACAAAAATTAGCCAGGTGTGGTGGCACACCAGGCTGGGCAACAAGAGCAAAACACCATCTCAAAATCAATCAATTAATTAATTAATTTAAAAATCAGACTTTATTAAAGATCTTCTGGAAAAAAGAAACCTGCAAAACAAGGTCTTCAACTTACTGTACATATTAAAATTTGAGAGGTGCCTTCTAACACAACATGTCTTTTCCATCTGAAAAATATTCACAACTCATTCCATATGAAGAAAATATAGCACTGAAAAATATACACGTTCGTGAGGCTGGGTGCGGTGGCTCATGCCTGTAATCCCAGCACTTTGGGAGGCTGAGGCAGGTGGATCATTCCCGAGACCAGCTCGGTCAGGGAGACCCTAACCCAGCGGTGCTAGAGGAATTAAAGACACACACACAGAAATATAGAGGTGTAGAGTGGGAAATCAGGGTTCTAACAGCCTTCAGAGCTGAGAGCCTGGAGCAGAGGTTTACCCACATATTTATTAACAGCAAGCCAGTGATAAGCATTGTTTCTATAGATTATAGATTAACTAAAAGTATTCCTTATGGGAAATAAAGGGATGGGCTGAAGTAAAGGAATGAGTCTGGCTAGTTATCTGCAGCAGGAGCATGTCCTTAAGGCAGAGATCACTCATGTTATTGTTTGTGGTTTAAGAATGCCTTTACATGGTTTTCTGCCCTGGGTGGACCAGGTGTTCCTTGCCCTCATTCCGGTAAACCCACAACCTTCCAGCGTGGGCATCATGGCAATCACAAACATGTCACAGTGCTGCAGAGATTTTGTTTATGGCCAGTTTATGGCCAGATTTTGGGGATCCTGTTCCCAACAGATCATGATGTCAGGAGTTCAAGACCAGCCTGGCTAACATAGTGAAACCCCGTCTCTACTATAAATACAAAAATTAGCCAGTCGTGGTGGCAGATGCCTGTAATCCTAGCTACTAGGGAGGCTGAGGCAGAAGAATCTCTTGCACCTGGGGGAGGTAGAGGTTGCAGTGAGTCGAGATTGAGCCAGTGCACTCCAGCCTGAGCAACAGAGTGAGACCCCATCCCCCTCCAAAAAAAAAATATATATATACACATGTTCTGTTCACGCCCTTAATTTTATACTTATTATCTAGAAAAATATCATTATAAGAACTGATGTTGTGGATCTTATGCTGCTCTTTTTTCTCAGTTAGAGAATACATTAGAGAATATTTCTGTGTTGAAAATTATTTTATTGGATAATTTTAGTCAGTCCCATAAGTCAGAGCCAGTTCTCTTTACTTTGTCATTACACCTTAAGTCAAATTAAAAGTTCTGTCCATGGCCACATGGTAAAAATGTATGTGTGTGTGGGTGTGTGGGTGTGTGGGTGTGTTTCAGGGACCATTGCAATTTAGAGACGTGGCCATAGAATTCTCTCTGGAGGAGTGGCATTGCCTGGACACTGCACAGTGGAATTTATATAGGGATGTGATGTTAGAGAACTACAGAAACCTGATCTTCCTTGGTGAGGATAACTTGAGTACATAATTCATAATATACCCTAAAGGTTTTATTTCTCATTTTTGTAGAATGTGTTTTAGTCATTTATTCTTTGCATAAAAGAGTTTCAGATCCCCTTTTCCCAGAAAATCTTCAAAATTTGTTCATTTAGATAAGAATTTCAAGATGTTTCATCGTAATCCTAACTTTCCACATTCCTGAGTTGAGCTGTATTCTTCACTGTAAATTAGTGGCAATTCCAGAAATTTAGTGGCATAAAATATTGATTGTTGCCGCACCTGAAAATCTAATTGCCACCACCAATTTTTGATTCAATAGTACCAGATAGTAAAATTAAGAAACCTACAAATTGAAAGTATTTTCTAAATATTTAGAAATTTCTTTTATAACTTAGTATTTTTGTATTAATTTACTAGACTATTTTATCACATCCTCTCTGCCGAGCACATTACTAGCTTGTAATTAGAGAATGCGAGCAAGATTTATGTTTCTTATTTTTAATAAAACAGGTATTGTTGTCTCTAAGCAAGACCTGATCACCTGTCTGGAGCAAGGAAAAAAAAACCTTTGACTATGAAGAGATGTGAGATGTGAGATGATTTGCATGGTATGCCAGAAGTAAATGAGATAATTAGTAGGCACTCCATATTTACTAAAATAGTTACTTATAAATTTAAGTTTGCTGCAGGCAATAAGGAATTATAAGATTTTTATCTACTTTCTTCAGCCTATAACTAAATAATAACATAGTTTATTTCCTAATATATGTTTTACACATCAGAGGGTCTAACCCTATTCTGCAAAATATATATCTATATATATATTTTTTTTTTTCTATGTTTAACAATGTAGGTCGGGCGCGGTGGCTCATGCCTATAATCCCAGCACTTTGGGAGGCCGAGGCGGGTGGATCACAAGGTCAGGGGTTCGAGACCAGCCTGACCAACATGGTGAAACCCTGTCTCTACTAAAAATACAAAAAAATTAGCTGGGCATGGTGGCAGGCGCCTGTAATCCCAGCTACTCAAAAGGGTGAGGCACAAGAATCGTTTGAACCCGGGAGGCGGAGGTTGCAGTGAGCCGAGATCGCACCACTGCACTCCAGCCTGGGCAACAGAGCAAGACACTGTCTCAAAAAAAAAAAAAAAAAAAAAAAAAAAAAAGTAAGGCTATTCTTTGCTTCTAAAGTTAGATTTCAGCAGTTTCATCTTGTGTAAGAATAATGTATATTTAAAACATAAAAAGTAACTCTAGTTTTTTAAATGCTTTTTTATTAAAAGTTTCTCATTAGAATCTATTTATAACTATACTGCATATTCTCTCAAATTCTATTGCCACACAGTGCATGCCAATGATTCAAAATACCTGCATTTAATAAGTACACAGTAACAGCTAAATACTGCAGTTACTGAGACAAATATTTTTTAATTATTTTTTTGAGATGGAGTGACACCCTGTCACCCAGGCTGGAGTGCAGTAGTGCAATCTTGGCTCACCGCAACCTCCACCTCCTGGATTCAAGCAGTTCTTATGTCTCAGCCTCCCAAGCAGCTGGAATTACAGGCATACGTCATCACGCCCAGCTAGTTTTTATATTTTTATATGAGATAGGGTTTCACCACATTGGCCAGGCTGTTCTGAAACTCCTGACCATAGGTGATCCACCCGCCTCGGCCTCCCATAGTGCTGAGATTACAGGTGTGAGCCACTGCACCCAGCCTGACAAGTTTTTTTTAATGATACATCAATGTTGCATACCAGGTTTTATGAGAGTAAACATTTCTCTTATTATTGTTTTGAAGTTTCATATTAGTGTGTTTTTTCAGTGTAGGTTTTTTTTTTTTTTTTGGAGATGGAATCTCACTCTGTCACCCAAGCTGGAGTGCAGTGGTACAATCTCAGCTCACTGCAACCTCTGCCTCCCGGGTTCAAGCGATTCTTCTGCCACATCCTCCCAAGTCCCTGGGACTATAGGCACGTGCCACAATGCCTGGCTGATTTTTGTGTTTTTAGTCGAGATGGGGGTTTCACCATATTGGCCAGGCTGGTCTCGAACTCCTGACCTCGTGATCTGCCTGCCTCAGCCTCTCAAAGTGCTGGGATTACAGGCATGAGCCAACGCGCCAGGCCTCATTTGTATTTCAATAGGGTCTCATTCGGTCAACCAGGCTGATTTGCAGGGCTCACTGCTGCCAGAACCTCCCAAACTCAGATGATCCTCTCATTTCAGCCTCTCAAGTAGCTGATTTACAAGTATTTGCCATCGCACCCAGCTAGCTTTTTTGTATTTTTTTGTAGAGACAGAGTTTTCCCATGTTGCCCAAGCTGGTGGTGAACTCCTCAGGTCAAGTGATCAGCCCATCTTGGCCTTCCAAAGTCCTAAGACTACATTTCATTTTATTAAGTAGTTTACTTAATTTATATTTAAAATAATTTATTAAGGAAATGAAGTTATTACTAGTTATATTGTTATTGTTTTATGTGTTTCTAGTAGTTATATTTTTCTCATTTTCTGTTTTACTTGGTTTCTTTTTTTTTTTTTTTGAGACGGAGTCTTGCTCTGTCACCAGGCTGGAGTGCAGTGGCGTGATCTCGGCTCACTGCAATCTCTGCCTCCCGGGTTCAAGTGATTCTCCTGCCTCAGCCTCCCGAGTAGCTAGGACTACAGGCACGTGCCACTAAGCCCAGCTAATTTTTGTATTTTTAGTAGAGACAGGGTTTCACCATGTTAGCCAGGATGGTCTCCATCTCTTGACCTTGTGATCCACCCGCCTCAGCCTCCCAAAGTGCTGGGATTACAGGTGTGAGCCACCACACCCAGCCTGTTTTACTTTCTTAATTTTTATTTAACTTTCTATTGGCATGCTTTGATTGTATTTTATTTTGCATACTTTCTATAAATATTATCTTTGTAATCATCTTGAAAACTGAAGATTACACACACCTTTTTTTTTTTTTTTTTTTTTTTTTGAGGTGGAGTTTTCCTCTTGTTGCCCATGCTGGAGTGCAGTGGCGCTATCTCGACTCACCGCAACCTCTGCCTCCCAGATTCAAGTGATTCTCCTACCTCAGCCTTCCGAGTAGCTATGATTACAGGCATGCGCCACCATGCCCGACTAATTTTGTATTTTTAATAGAGATGGGGTTTCTCCATGTTGGTCAGTTTGGTCTCGAACTCCCTACCTCAGGTGATCCACCCACCTCGGCCTCCCAAAGTGCTGGGATTACAGGCGTGAGCCACCGCGCCCGGCAACCTGATGGGTTTCAAATGACCCCCCGGGTGCTCCACATCTCAAAAGTTGCTCCCATGAATCTGGAATGCTATCTGTTCCTTGGGGATCAGGTCCCACCTGTGTCTCTGAGACACTGACTTGAGATGAGGCCAATGAGTTCAAGCATAAATTGCCTAAGTCATCATCAGCTTCATGTTGTGTTCTGGAGCTTGTCCACTTAAGAGGGTTGATTTAAAAATGGCTCACAAGACACATGCCTGGGAAACGGAGTTTTCTCCTTTGCTCTTAGCAGATCTTGGGCAACCCAATAATTAACCTTCTTGATTTCTCAACTTTCACATTTGCGAAAAAGGCGCTAATGCCCGTGACATTTCCCTGAAGACACAGTCCTTGTCACCCCCTACAAAGCTCTGAAGTTGTGCACAGGTGGGCCAGGTGGCTGATTTCTCTCAAAAGCAGCTGAGCTCGCGCTCTGGCTAGAGAAGGCAGAGGGCTGCGGCACAACGGACATTGTCTCAGACATCAGGACAGTTTCCATTGCAGTTTAGGAAAGAAGGCAGCTCCCTGGGCTGGAAATGACGCAACACTCTGGAAAGACCCTTGGGTGCGGGTGAGAGAGGCAACCCAGCTGCATAGGGCCAATGAGAGGAGGCCGAACCACCCGATTTGGACAAAGGTGAGGTATACTTCCTAGCCTAATACCCTCCTCAATGCCCAGCCCAGACCTACCCTTCACGTCCCTAGCTGTATTCACTCTCCCTGGCAACGGGGCGGCATGGAATTGGCTGCTAGCAATGCTTTGGACACCGGTAAGTCCACACCTCTCAGCCCCTACCTCCAGGACTACGCACCGCCCCCATGCATACTGGGATTGTAGTTCTGAAGCTACCTACTCATTGGCTAAAAACCGTGAAGAGACTACAGCTCCCAGCATATCAGGCGCGGCGCGCACCGCCCTGCCCCTTCCTCTAGTGCTGCGAACTGCTCCCGATCCTGGTACAGGCTGGGATTGTAGGTCCCGTAGCCTTGTGGCCAAAAGGCTGGGAGTTGCCATGAGACTACATCTCCCAGAAAGCTCAGCGAGGCGCGCGCCGTTCTGCCGCTTCTTCCAGTGATGCGCACAGTCCCTGATCCCTGTGCGCGCTGGGATTGTAGTCCCGCAGCCCTGCCATCGCTGGCCGGCATTGGTTAAGAAATTTTAGCTCCCGGCATGGTGGGCGAAGCCTCCACCTTCAGCGTCGCTCCTCCATGCCTTCAGAGCAGTTCCGCCCTGCGGAGGGGGAGCCTTCCTGTTCTTTAACCTCTCCTACCTGACGGGAGTGAACGTAGCCAGGGCAGCTTGTCTCAGCAAGTAACTGTGATCCCGCCTCCCCCAACGTGCTGGTTTCCTGACTTCCAAAGTGCCGAAAGTTTGATTTCTCACAGACCCTCAAGGGTCTGGGATCGTTTCCCAGCCTGCTCAAAGTTGCCATGGTACTCACCCTCTGGGAAGTTGGAACACTCAGTGACACCATGTGTTCCTTGAAACTAATCTGTGTCGCCTTTTAGGCTTTTGAGACCACTTGAACTCTGACTTTGTGGCATTTATTACCAAATCTACTAAAATGGGTCAACTGTCTGATTTTACCTCCTTTTCCACACATGTTGGTTAGGTAATTTGTTGATTAGACATGGTTTCCTCCAAAAGGGGATTATCTCTTCCTGATTGCCTCCAAGAGAAGGATGAAACGGTTGGGGGCTCTAAGGATCTATTTCCCAAATTTGAGATTCCACATTGATCATTCCTGGGCAAAATGTGGCATTCTTTTCCATAACCACAACCTTAGGCCAGCCTGAGTGCCATCGCAGCCCAATAGGGCTTATGGGACTCCAACTTAGTTCTGGTTAAGTTTTGTGTAAATATACTTGTCTGTATTTCACCTGGCTCTACTGGATAAAATGTCTAGGAGAAAGTAGGAGGTAAGAAGAATATGGGTGAAATTATAGGTAATGGAATGGGACACACTGGTTCTGTGGAGGTAGAGAGAGAACAACAACCTAAAACCCAGGGAATGAACAACTTACCTCAGAAGTTATGGAGAATGAAGGGGCATTAATAAGTTTTTGTCTTTCTGAATTACTCCTTGTGCAACCCAGAAAAGAGTATGGGAATCCTTTTGGGCCAGGATAGGAGTAGTATTTGTTAGACCAGAAGGTAAGGCAGAGGCTGTGAATTCATCTCCTCCTTTTGGCTGCCCATATTACCCTTAAGAATCCTTTGAGACTATTCTGTCTCTGTGATGTAGGTGTGGAATTCTAGGGGGCAGCGTGCACACTCAATGCCTAGCTTCCTGAGACCACAGTTCCTTCAAATGATGGATGATATGGTTTGGCTGTGTCCCCACCCAAATCTCATCTTGAATTCTAGCTCCCATAATTCCCGTGTGATATGAGAGGGACCTGGAGGGAGGTAATCGAATCACGGGTGTGTGTCTTTCCCAAGCTGTTCTTGTGGTAGTGAATATATGTCACGAGATCTGATGGTTTTATAGAGGGCAGTTGGCCTGCACATGCTCTCTTGCCTGCCACAGTGTAAGATGTGACTTTGCCTCTCCTTGCCTTCCTCCATGATTTTGAACCGACCGCCCACCTCCAGCCATGTAGAACTGTGAGTCAATTAAACTTCCTTCCTTTATAAATTACCCAGTCTTGGGTATGTCTTTTTATTAGTAGCATGAGAACAGGCTAATACTATGGAGAACAGCTGCTTTTTTCAGAAGAGACTCAGTCCCCCATAGGTAAGCTGAAGCTGGAAGCTAGGCAGCATTGATTACATTTTCTCCTTCTGTGAACTGGGGCTTCTCTTTCTGAGAACTGGGGCTCCTCCTTCCCATTTCCTACCACTTAGAGATGAATCTGTATTAGTCAATATGTGCGTAAATTAGAGACATAGGTAAGGGAATCTTAGACAGCCCCCAGCATAGCTTGACTCTTGCCTATTCTCTTCCCACTTTATGAAATCAATTATGTTGGCACAGAGAGATACCTTAAGATGGGGTCTCTCAGGAGCAATTAGAGCAGCATACTTCTAGAGAAGCTGATAAGACAGAGCAGGTGTGCCAGTGAGGATCAAAGCTTTTGTCCACATTTTTGAGTCAATCTGTGTGTGACAGATGACTTTGGGAAAGATCCCAGATCCCTGGAAGGAACCATTAAGAGAGGATTCATGTAGATCAGAACGCTTGGGCGTGTGTTCATCAGTGATCTTCTAAGTCAAATTCTCAGGGTTAAGTCTGTGGAAGGGCTGCAGAGCAATGCTTCCCTGGGAAAGCCTCTGATCATGTGTAAAATATGTGGCTCTGGCACAGGGAGACATCTTTATCTGACAGAACATCGTACTTTTGTGGATGTGGGATTCTTTGCCCTTCCTTAGCAGAGCACCACTGACGGATTGTTTGATAATCGTGCATACATAGGCCTTTTTGTTTTGAATTTCTTAAATATTAGAACAGGAAAAAACATTTTTATCCACTTTCAAATTGAGTAAGAGCGTGAGCAACTTCAGGGAAAATGTCACAGGAGGAAACTCTGGGGCCCTGCCCATCCCCAGAAACCTCCAAAATCCTGATACAACCTGTAGAATTCACCTTATCAACACCAATTTATTTTTCTGTATAGATTTATCTTTCATTGGACCTTTATTTTGTTCTATGTCATGAAGAATGAGTCATTTCTTTCCTTTGTGATAGGAACATCGGTTTTTCACACGTCAAGTATTAGTGATGCCATCCTCCACTAGTTTTTCCTGCTTATTAAATTTTTGCTGTGGTTTAAGTATTTGTGTCCCCCTCCAAATTCATATGTGGATAGTATTAGGCATGCGACCTTTCGGGAAGTGACTAAACCAAGAGAGCTTCATCTTCCTGAATGGAATAAGTGAGGTTGAAGGGAGTGTCCTTGTCTCTTTTGCCATGTGAGGACACACCAAGAAGGTATCATCTGTGAGGAACTGGGCCGTCACCAAACACCAAATTTCTTGGTGCCTTGATCTAGCACTTTCCAGCCTCCAGAACTGTGAGCCATAAATTTCTGTTGTTTTTACATTACCCAGCCTAAGTTATTTTGTTACAGCAGCCTGGATGGACTAAGACAGTTTCTTAGGCACTTTAGTCTATTTCTGAATTTTTAGTTCCAATGATCTATTATTAGCTTTTTTAATCAATCAAGATTTTTCCCACG
This sequence comes from Homo sapiens, assembly GCF_000001405.40. NCBI lineage: Eukaryota > Metazoa > Chordata > Mammalia > Primates > Hominidae > Homo > Homo sapiens. The sequence goes on along the minus strand of NC_000019.10, from coordinate 20,049,020 downwards.
GCTGGCCAATATTATCTGTGTTTTGTTGTGTGTGTTTTTTTTTCCACAGTTTTCTTGGCTTTTCTTGGCTTTTCATCTGTATGCTGTTTTATTTATTTATTTATTTATTTATTTATTTTTGAGACAGAGTCTTGCTTTGTTGCCCAGGCTGGAGTGCAGTGGTGCAATCTCGGCTCAGTGCAACCTCTGCCTCAGAGGTTCAAGCAATTTTCCCGCCTCAGCCTCCCAAGTGGCTGGGATTACAGGTATCCACCATCATGCCTGGCTAATTTATGTATTTTTGTAGAGATGGGGTTTCACTATTTTGGCCAGGCTGATTTTGAGCTCCTGACCTCAGGTGATCCACCCGCCTCAGCCTTCCAAAGTGCTGGATTACAGGTGTGAGCCACTGCACCCAGCCTATATGCTATTTTATAGTAAAATGCCTACCTCAATATCTAATGATATCTATATTAGAACAAAATTAAATTTCTAAATTACCTTAAAGACAATTGATATTGATAGTATATTGAGTTTTTCTGCCTAAGAACATGTAAGTTTTCTATTTGCTTATGTCTACATTCATATATTGTATGAACATTCTGTCTTTTCTGATATTCTGTAAACGTTTTTGTAATATGGATTCCTAGATAGTTTATTTTATTCTGCTAAAAAGTAATCTGAGACGCAATAAAATTGTAAAGAGTTTGAGTAGGAGCAATTGATTAATTATAGGACACCAGTCTAAAAGAGGTTTAGTGTTTCATTGACAGTGTAAGAGGCAACTATTTATTGGGAAAATGTAGAAACAAAATAAATTACTCAATTAGTGGTAGTTAGAAACTTGTTTCTTCTCGGTTTTTGGTTTCTTTGCCTTGTTGAAAAGTTCCTAGCTATATAAGGTTGTTGGCTACTTCTGATTGGTTGAGATTCATTTCTGTTTTTCTTTAAAATAGGCAGCTACAAGAAAGAATTCAAGTTAAGTTTTGCTTATGTTTGGAAATCAAGCAAGGTTGAGGTTACTTATGAGGCCTAACTGATTTGGTCTGCTCAGGAATTCTTCAGGCCTGACCTCCATTTTAATTTACCTTAACAATCTTTTTGTCATTTTATTTTCCATTCCAACTGAAATTTACAAATTATTATTGTTGTACATAGGTTGGTGCATGTTGTGTATGTCTTGAAGGCATGTCCTGCTTTCCAACTGATTTGTAGTATGTTATTGAATTTGCCACATTTATTGGAATAATAAACTGCTATCCCCCAGTTACAGCAAGAGCTATCAGTTCTGGGGAGATCAGGTTGAAGATGAAGCAGAAGCGAAATCAGCTCTTCAGGCCAGGTGCCATGGCTCATGCCTTTAATCCCAGTACTTTGGGAGGCTGAGGCAGGTGGATCACTTGAGATCAGGAGTTCAAGACCAGCCTTGCCAACATGGTGAAACCCCATCTCTAGTAAAAATACAAAAATTAGCCAGGCGTGGTGGTGCGTGCCTCTAATCCAGCTACTTGGGAGGCTGAGGCAGGAGAATCACTTGAGCCCAGGATGGGGAGGTTGTAGTGAGCTGAGATCGCACCACTGCACTCCAACATGGGCGACAGAATGAGACTCTGTCTCAACAAATGAACAAAGAAGGAAACAAAAAACAAAACCAGATTTTCAACCCACACATGCAGTAAAAAATTCCATGTGGATCAAATGAGTCATTATCAAAAGTTTAAAATACTCTCAAAACATTAATGTTTATCTCATCACTATGTAATATGGAAATTATAAGACCAAAAAAAAAATACCCAAATACTTTTTATTTTATTTTATTATTTGTTTTATTTTATTTTATTTTTTTGAGACGGAGTCTCGCTCTGTTGCTCAGGCTGGAGTGCAGTGGCGCGATCTCGGCCCACTGCAAGCTCCGCCTCCCGGGTTCACGCCATTCTCCTGCCTCAGCCTCCCCAGTAGCTGGGAATACAGGCGCCGGACACCAAGCCCCGCTAATTTTTTTGTATTTTTAGTAGAGATGGGGTTTCACCGTGTTAGCCAGGTTGGTCTTGATCTCCTGACCTTGTGATCCGCCCGCCTCGGCCTCCCAAAGTGCTGGGATTACAGGCGTGAGCCACCGCGCCCGGCCCCAGACTTTTATTTTTTAAATACAGATAAAGTCATTTATATGATGAAACACTGCATTATTTCAGTGTAAAATGCCAATAGAAAATATACAAAATTAAAGAACATAATATATAAAATAACAATGCTGGTATTAGATTTAATATCCTACAATAAAATAAGATCAATTGAACCTATAAAATGGAAGAAAGTTTAAAATTAGGCAGATATTATGAATCAGGTGAGGAATAAATACGTGTGTCACTAAGTACTTAATGTATCTTGTCTTAGATTTTATATTAAATAATAAAAAGTAAAAAAAGTAGCATGGTAATTTCACCATGAGTTTATCAAACTGCAAAAAATAGAAACGCTTCTCTATTAGAGAATGCTAATTAGTTTGTATCCACTAATTTGTGGATATCCGTCCTCCCTGGACTCAGGCTGAGAGAGTAAAGAGCTTCAGCTTTTTCTGAATTTAAGGGGGAGAATATAAATATACATATTCATTTTGATACATTGTACAATATACAAACATATATGCATGATTACATGCTAATTTTTTTTCTGATTATAAAGAAATGCATAACTGTCATAAGGTATCCAAAAGACATCAAATGTCTTACATGAAATATAACACATGAAATGTCAGTAGTCTTGGCCCTCAAGAAAACCCAGAGTTCGCCATTCTGAGTACATTGTTCAAGTTTTTTTCCTAGGACCACCACAGGTTCTGTCATTTACTACTACAATGAGTGTAAAAGTGTCTGAGAAGTAGCAGATCTTTATTTTTTCTGCAGGAGCTACATTTTCTGTTTCCAGAGTATTTGAAATGTTTGTTTTTCAGTGCCGTAAAGAAATAGCCCTTGAACATAAATTTAATTTATTTAGTAAGGGCATTTTTACTTCCTGCAGAAAGGGTATACTCGCCAGCAGTTTTGCCACAAGAGTACATCGAACAAAAGAGACAGGGTTATTTATAACCTGACGTATCCACCCTACTGCTGGAATGGGACCTCACATTCTGCATTTGTCCCGATTGGCTAGCAACTTAGAACTTTTTAAAAGAGACAAAGGTAGAGGAGAACAAAGGAAGTAGGAAGTAACTTGTGGAATGCTGAGAAAGGTAAAAACACTTTTAAATAAGGAAGAGGAACAGGCTATGACCTAATGCTTGCTTGGACCAGTATAAGCATGCCAGGGCAAATATTTAGGAGCACAGGTCTTTGAATAAATTTTGCTTCTAAGAGAAGTTACTATTTATTCATAATTAGATGGGGAGGAAAGTCTTTGAAGAGGAACCTCTACTTTACTTTTTACACAGAGTCCAGGATCTATAAGGCCCTAGTTGCTAAAATAACTCCCAGTTTCCTTCCCAGGGAAGACTGTGTTAATCCATCCTCTGTTTCTCCTCACCTTGGAAGAGTCAAATTCTTGCCTAACCTAGCAGTGCTGTTTCTGGCTTTGAGTTTAGTTTCTTTGGAATTACCCTCATTTGGATTGGGCTGTGGTAAAGAGGAGTTTAGGTGACTCTCCTCTCTCTAAGCACAGAGCCCCATAGTCTATCCCTAACCTGTATTTGTGGGTCATTCTCTCAGCTGAGGCTCTTCAGCCAGTGTCAAGAATGAACATGAAGAACATAGCTCTTGGGGATGATTGCCACATTTCTCAAAGCCCCCTGAGGGCTACAAGCCATTTCCCATCCTCAATCTCAAAATGAAACCCAAACAAAGACGCAGATTAGTATCCCTGATCACACACCAACAAAACACATTTATTTTGTAATTTATTTTCTCCTGATCACCGTTATGGTTGAATGCCTCTTTATGCTAGAAAAGTCCATTTGTATTTCTTTTACTATGGCATGTTTTTATAGGTTCTGTCTTATTTTTATTAAGTTCATGTTTTTACTCTTCATTATCAGGAGTTCCTACCATATTTTATTTGCAAGCCATTTCTCCCACATTATTCTGGAAGGCTGAAGCCTGTCGATGCATCCAAAAATAGATCTGTCCTGGATCTTTTCTCACAAGTCAGCCAGCTGTCAAGACACCTGAGATGTGATTCTTTCACATGGCAGAGCCTCTCGTCAAAACATGAACTGAGCTTCCTCTTATCTTATGGACAGCTGATGCGTGGAGGTGGATTTATGAATTGGCCTCATGCTGCACTCAAGCAGTTTGGCCAGGACTCAATGCTCATTGCCAAGATGAAAATCAGCAAACTAGCAGTTTGCTTTTATGATGTTCTCCAGCCTGCAACCAAGACACTTATCCTGGCCACTTCTTCAGCTCTGACATAAGGTTGTGCTGATATAAATGCAAACCCAGCTCTATGTCTACCAAACACCTATATGGCTAGGACTGCAAATGGAGCATTTAAGCACCAGGCAAGAGGTCTTCCCAGTTTCCAACCAGACTTTGTAGAATTTCCCCAAAATACTGACTTAGCCTCTTTCAGACCCTATCTCCCAAAGAGAATCAGAGAGGGGCTCTGGAAGCCATTTAGACTGTCTGGCCTCTTCCCTAGTGAAAATGGACTTGGATACAAAAAGGCAACCTACTGACCTCAAAGATACCAGCCCAGATACTGAGCATGGACCTCCTGCCTCCCCAGGACAGACGTCATCTAAGCCAGATCAAAGCCCACACTGTTCCTCCATGTGCACCTTTCAGACATGTTCCTGAACAGCCCTCTAGAATTGTCTGGAGATGGGACAAGAGGTGATGGAGCTCCAGGTTCAGAATGGCTGCCTCATCCCTCCCTCCTGAAAAGTCTATACCTGCTGATTAGAGCTCTCACACCTTAAGGGGCTTAGCCCTCCCCAAGTAAGTGTTCCCTAAAAGGACCTTCTGGTCTTTTTCTACTCTGAGCAGAGTGCTCAGAAATGACACCCTCTATGCTAGGGAATATATGACCTCCACTCCCACACGACTTGGTTGACTGATGAACTGATGCCCTGAAGAGGAAAAAGAAGCAGGAACAGCCTGTTTCCCCAACCGTGATGTCTGTTGGAGGAACCCCAAATAATACTGGGTGGTAAACACACAGGCACTGCCTAATAAAATTAAGGAAATTTAAGTTGAATGTAAAGGGAACTTATATGTCATATACAAAATTTAAGTTAGTGAATTTTAGAAGAAAACTTTGTAAGGGCATTAACATATAATTTTAATATATAATTTTAATTTAATTAAAATTAATAAATTTAATTTTAATAACAATTTAATAGGAAGCTATAAAAATTATCTGCACTTGCTGTGTAAACAACTGAATTTTGGGTAACTATGTAAAGGCCATCTATGGGCTTCAAAAGGTATCTGCTACTTAATGTTATAAGACATTTACTTTCAAATATTTGCTATTTTTAACCAGTGCCTTCCTATGATATGAATTTTCTTCTTTTTTTCTTTCTTTTTTTTTTTTCCTGCGATGGAGTCTCACTCTGTCACCCAGGCTGGAGTGCAGTGGTATGATCTCAGCTCACTGCAAACTCCACCTCCCAGATTCAAGAGATTCTCCTGCTTCAGCCTCCTGAGTAGCTGGGATTACAGGCACCTGCCACTGTGCCTGGCTAATTTTTGTATTTTTAGTAGAGACGGGGTTTAACCATCTTGGCCAGGCTGGTCTTGAACTCCTGACTTCGTGATCCACCCGCCTCAGCCTCCCAAATTGCTGGGATTACATGCGTGAGCCACTGTAACCGTTCCTATATGAAAATGTTTTATTGTGAGGGAGCATTTCTATGAAAACAATAGTAGGAATTTTGCCAATTTGCATTATTAAAATAATAAAACTTTTTGGTGAGTTTATATTTTTCTTAACCAAATGCTCCTACAGATAGCATATTGCACAGATGTTTTGATTTGTCCTTTCACCTTAGGTCAATTTTTCTTAATTTTATTCATCCAATTGTATTTACTTTAGATAAAAGAGACTCTGTAGTTACCATGTGCTCTATGGATCCGTACTTTGTTAGAAATATGAATTCTCAGTCCAAACTCAGACCTATTTTATAAAAATCTAGATTTTAAATAATACTTTGAGGTAACTTATGGGTACATTAATGATTAAGTGGAGTAATTCTGTTCTTAAAAGAGGAGATGTTTATATGAGTGAGTTGATTTGTCCAAAAGGTACAGTTAAGATCGTACCTTTCAATGTATATACATTTTATCTAAAAAAAAACTAAAAAATTAATAAAGGGATGGGAAATGGGTTGAAATATCAATGAAACAAAAATGGCACATGTCAAGTTGCTGTTAAAGCTGGGTGACAGGTCTATTATACACCTTCTTTGTATTTTGGATATGTTTTTAATGCTCTGTAATAAAACACTTGTACAAAATGACAAAGTTGATCTACACTTAGCTCTTAAGCTCTTACTTTTGTGAAGAGAAGGAGAAAGTGACTGTCGGGCATGAGCAAGTCTGATTCTATTTCTTGGTTACACGAGTTTGGTCTGTAATAATTCATCAAGTTTTCCATAAATGTTTTGCGCATATATTTATGTATGCATGCTATACATCAATCAAAATTTAAATATTACATGTTTGCATAATAGTTATAAATTAATATTTGAGAATAATAGTAATGCTTTATTTTGTTTTCTTTTAAAGGCAGACACGTGGCGGGGTGCAGTGGCTCACGCCTGCAATCCCAGCACTTTGGGAGGCCGAGGCGGGCGGATCACCCGAGGTCTGCCCAACGTAGTGAAACCTCGTCTCTACTAAAAATACAAAAAATTAGCTGGGCGTGGTGGTGCATGCCTGTAATCCCAGCTGCTGGGGAGACTGAGGCAGGAGAATCGCTCGAACCTGGGAGGCAGAGGTTGCAGTGAGCCGAGATCCGCGGCACTGTACTCCAGCCTTGGCAACAGAGCAAGACTCTGTCTCAAAAAATAAAAATAAAATAAGGTAAGATAAAATAAAATAAAATGGACATGTGTGCTCAGGGCACCATCAGATGTATATTAATATTCCAAGTTATTGATTCATGTTCTAACCTTTGGGTGACCCCCTAGGTCTTTTAATTTTCACCTCAATTCGGTAAGTAGCATGGTTTTTTGTTTTTGTTTTGTTTTGTTTTTTTGAGACGGAGTCTTGCACTGTCGCCGGGGCTGGACTGCAGTGGTGCAATCTCGGCTCACTGCAACCTCTGCCTCCCAGGTTTCAAGGATTCTCCTGCCTCAGCCTCCCAAGTAGTTCGGATTACAGGCGCCCGCCCCCCCGCCCGGCTAATTTTTTGCATTTTTTGCATATTTAGTAGAGACGGGGTTTCACCACGTTAGCCAGGCTGGTCTCGAACGTCTGACCTCGTGCTCCACCCGCCTCGGCCTCCCAAAGTGCTGCGATTACAGGCGTGAGCCACCGCGCCCGGCCAGTAGCATGATTTTAACTTTTTGGGATGTGATTTTGTTTTCAGCAAGGTTCTCCCCTGAGAATGATGCTCACCGGGACCAGGGCACACAGCACAGTGCCCTGTGCATAGTATACACTGAGCACACATGGAACCAGGTTCAATCAGGAACAAAGCGAGTAGCAGAGGTTGGTTCTGCAAAGTATAGTAAGTGGGAAATGAGTTAAGATTGTAAGGTCACAACTCAGCAGCAAACGTTTTTACATGCATTTGAAAAACCATTTATAACTAATTCATCAAAACTGTTGATGAAGGCCAGGTGCGGTAGGTCACACCTGTAATTCCAGCACTTTGGGAGGCCGAGGCGGGTGGATCACGAGGTCGAGAGATCGTGACCATCCTGGCCAACATGGTGAAACCCTGTCTGTACTAAAAATACAAAAAGTTAGCGGGCGTGGTGGCAAGCGCCTGTAATCCCACCTACTTGGGAGGCTGAGGCAGGAGAATCGCTTGAACCCGGGAGGCGGAGGTTGCAGTGAGCCGAGACCGCACCATTGAACTCCAGGATGGGCAAAAAGAGCAAAACTCTATCTCAAAAAAAAAAAAGAAAAAGCTGTTGGTGAAAAGCAGTAGTTTGGGTACTTGGCTACACACTGTAATCACCCTGAGAGCTTTAAACCATATTGTTGCCCAGATCCAACTCCAAGGATTCTAATTTAATTGGTCTGTTGCAACTTGGGCTTCAGGGATTTTAAGTTTACATCCTGCCCCGCCCCTCCAGTCATTCTCCACACCCCCCGCCGCCACCACCACCCTCCCCACGAAGTCTCACTCTGCAATGGCGCGATCTCGACTCACTGCAACCTCCGCCTCCCACGTTCAAGCCATTCTCCTGCCTCAGCCTCCCGAGTAGCTGGGATTACAGGCGTGTGCCACCATGCCCGGCTAATTTTTGTATTTTTAGTAGAGATGGGGGTTTCACCATGTTGGCCAGGCTGGTCTCGAACTCCTGACCTCAGGTGATACGCCCGTCTCGGCCTCCCAAAATGCTGAGATTATAGGCGTGAACCACCGCTCCCAACCCCGCAGGTGATTTTTATTTGCCAGGGGTAAGAAGCACTGGATCTGATGAAGAATGCATTAGCTGTGAGTGATTTTCATGTATGCTGCCGGGATTTGCCCCATGGCAACTCTGGAGACTGGGGTTTTAGAAAACATCCTTGCCCTGTTAAAAATTAGAAGATGACTTCAAGACATACTCAGCTGCTTGGCTAAATTGCAGAAAGAGAAAATGCCTTCTTCAGAGATCTTTTTTTTTTTAAACTTGGTTTCACTCTGTCACCCCGGCTGTAGTGCAATGGTGTGATCGTGGCTCACTGCAGTCTTGGTCTCCCAGGGTCAAGTGATCCTCCCGCCTCAGCCTTCTGAGTAGCTAGGACTGCAGGCGTGCACCACCAGACTTGGCTAAATTTTTAATTATTTTTTGTAGAGATGGGATCATCGCTATGTTGCCCGGGCTGGTCTTAAAACTCCTGGCCTCAAGTGATGCTCCCGCCTCAGCCTCCCTAGTTGCTAGAACTACAGGCACAGGCTACCACGCCTGGTTTCTTTTTTAAAATGTGGCTACTAGAAAATGTAAAATTCATATGTGCTTCACAGTTTATTTCTTAGAGAATTGCCTCCCTTGCGACATCTTAGGCTGCCTGCTCAAAAGACTGGAGGCTAGGAAAATGATGAAATCTGAGATTTTAAAATAATTGTCATTATATTGTTTCCATTTGTGAATAACATATGTATACTATTCACAAATAAAGATAACTTTATATACAAAGTTAAATGCAAATGTTCCCCAGGAAGGGCCAGTTTCCAATTCAGGAAGGAAGCGCGCCAGAAAAGGGTTCAGGAAAAACCTGTAACTCTTGCCTTATTCAACACATTCTCAGATCACGCCTCCTGTCACTCATGACCTGAGGGGGCGGGGCATGGAACTGTATCCAATCATGGGCGCTAGAGTGGGAACTGTCCAATCAGGTGCGCAGCCAAGGTAGAGGGGGCGGTGTCCTGGAGCTGGCGGGGCCTTTGTCTCGCTCCAGCCAGAGCTCAGGGTCCATCTTCATTGCTTAGTATCCTCTGCTCTAGTAGTTCCCGGTGACTGTCGCAGCCTCTGTTGCCCTCTGACTTGCAGATGCTGTGAGATCCAGAGCTAAGACTCCACGACATCCCGGAAGCCGAAAAATGGTGAGTGTGCCAGGCCGCGCATCCCGAGGTGGGGGCAGGGCTGGTTGAAACCGGCCGGAACCGGCAGTGACGGGACTGGGGCCTCCCAGCTGTCAGCTCCGGAGTCTGCGGACTGGAGTCCCCGGCAGGCACAGCTCGGCCGTCGATCACCTCCGGGCACAGGATGCGAGGTGGGCCAGCAGCCGGGACCCTGGGCGGGCATCCCGTTCCGTTCTCCCGCTTCCCGCCCGGAGCCCACCCTGGGAAGAGCCGCGCGCGTTCTTGCGTCTGCCCCGACTGCGGGGACAATGGAAGCGTCCTCAGGGCAGAGTCCAGACCCCGTGTGTGGTTTGTGCGTGGGAAGTGCTGTGATCCCGGGGGTCCTCAGTCTTTTCCTTCTCCTGTTTAAAAACTATGGGAGTCACCTTTAAAATGTTGAAAACTTATTGAAGTTAACAGTGATTTATGCTCAGAGAGCACCCAGCCACGGTTTGTGGTTGGGGGTCCAGCCGAAGAGCTTGAAGGAAAGTTTTTTATAAAGTGCAGGATGAAGCAAACCGAATTCAGTAACTGACTCGTTCCAGTTATGTAGTCATCTTATTTAGACTATTCAGGTTGTCATTGCCTGGTTATGTAATCAGAAGTTAATTGAAGGTTTGTGGTTGCTTAAATCTGAAAAATCTGAATTTTGTTTCCCCCTAAGGTAGCAATTTACAAGAAATGTATTTGCCTTTGATTTTTTTTTTTTTTAATGTAGGAACTCAGGGTACTAGAGCCACCTCAGTCTAACTGCCTGCTATTTATTTAACACTCCACAGAAGTGGTTTTCTCTTGGATTTTCCAAATGTGTGACAAACAGAATCTCAAAGCTACCACTCTGTTGCCCCAGCCTAACTCTGACTTGCAGTTGAATTTTAAATTTTCAGTTCTTTCCTGACATTCTTCAACACCAACTTCCCCTCTCTAATTCACAACATTATCAACTATTAGTCCTTTTTTGTACATTTCAGACACAGTATTTTGATTGATCATTATTTCAAAGAGCAGCGGATGGCACTTTTTAGAAAAAGAATTGTTTTTCATTTGCAAACATTTTACAGGAGATGAAAGCAGAGAATAATCCCAACACTCCACCATGAAAAAAAAAAAGACCAAAAAACAAAAACCTTTGTGCCAATCTCCCTTTAATCTTTCCTAGGCACAGACACCTTATCAGAATGTTTTTGGGTTGAGGTTCCACTTTGGAAACTTCACAGGGCAATGCATCCTCAGCCACCCTGTGTTATTTTCCTGGTTTTGAGTTTCAGAACTGTCTGGGGATGACATGAGATGCCCACAGTGGCTGTGTCTCCTGAGGTGTCTAGTGAATATCAGCCCCTGGGCCATCTCCTCTCAGGGGCAACCCTGCCAGGTATGGGAATGTGGCCTCTCTGTGGAGTGGTTGGTGCATTGTGCCTGGGAGAAATCAGGTATACCTTTCCTCTGAAAGCAAATCCATTAGGACATTAAGATTTTCTTCCCCAACTCCCAGTTTCCATTTCTTAGAGATACAGTGCTGGCCAGGCAATTTGGATGCTAGTATTGAGGAGAAAATTTTCTCAGATTGGTGAAGAGAGAAAAAAAATATCCCCAAGGACAAGGAACACCCAACCCAGTGAGGCAGTGCAAAAACCTGCAAAGCAAAATGCATCTAAGGGACACAGTGGGGCACAGCACAGTGGCTCTTGGTAGAATGGTTATTGTCCACTTCAGTGAGCAGGATGGGGCGGGAAAATGTCCCAAATGATAGAATGGCTTGACTTGACATCTGAGTCAGATATGTCTGTGTTCCAATCAGTATTGCCGCTTCCTGAGTTTGTCACCTTGGAAAGATTTCTTTGCTTATTTTAACTTCAGTTTTTAATTAAGTGTAAATTATCAGTAGAGCTTGAAAGGTAGTCTGTACTGGCAACCTGGTTTTTTCACCAACCCAGGCTTCTGTGCCACCTGATTATAGTCTCATCTGCCTGCATGGACACAGGAAGAAGTCAGAGCATAGCCTCTCCTGGGACACAATCTATAGCATGAACCAGTCCTTCCGTAACCCTGCACTGTCCCACCCATGGCTTCTAGATAGCAACTTTCCCTCGTTTGCCTTTTAGTTCCCCCACAAACCCTTTTTTTATGTGCACACAGTGTGCCCAACGCCACCCCTCAGTTGTCAGATGTCCAGTAGTTCAAGACCATGGGCCTAGACCTACCTTTTGCAGAAGCAAATACAAATTAGAAATAAGGGGCTTCATTCCCCCACTTGAAAATGAGGGAAGACATTTTGTTCTTTTGCCTTTTCCTGAAGGATAGAATTTAGAAAACTTTTATTATTGATTGATTGATTTTTTTGAGACAGAGTCTCACTCTTTCACTTAGGCTAGAGTACAATGGCATGATCATAGCTCACTATAACCTTGAACTCTTGGGCTTAAGCAGTCTTGCTACCTCAGCCTCCCAGTTACCTAGGACTATAGGCATGCACCAACTTGCCTAGCTAATTTTTTTTTTTTTTTTTTTTTCTTTTTTTTTTATAGAGACAGCATCTCACCATGTTCCCGGAACTGGTGTCGAACACCTGGCCTTAAGAGATCCTCCTGCCTTGGCCTTCCAAAATGCTGGGATTACAGGCATGAGCCACCATGCCCGGCCTAGAAAACTTTTATATGTACCTTTTTTCTCTGCTTCTTCAAAATATATGTAAATCTTTTTTTTTTTTTTTTTTTTTTTGAGATGGAGTTTCACTCTTGTTGTCCAGGCTGGAGTGCAGTGGCACAATCTCGGCTCACTGTAACCTCTGCCTCCTGGGTTCAAGCAATTCTCCTGCCTCAGCCTCCCGAGTAGCTGGGTTTACAGGTGCCCGTCACCACACCTGGCTAATTTTTTGTATTTTTAGTAGAGACAGGGTTCCACCATGTTGGCCAGGCTGGTCCTGAACTCCTGACCTCAGGTGATCTGCCCACTTCACTCCAGCCTGGGCAATAGGAGCAAAACTTTGTCTCAGAAAACACGAAGGATAGGATTTAATTCAGCAATCCAGAAAGCTAAAGGGTCACAGATACAGAAGGGTATCTCTTCAGTATCTGGAGAGATAAAAACGATAGGTGTTTTCAATAGAAAACTGCTGCTCCAAGGTAATTACTAATATGTGCAGGCTGAAGGGCTTATGCTGCGATAGCAAGACCAGCTCAGAGTACGCTCTGTACCTTGGTTTCTATTTATATTTTAAGAACAGTTGGCATAGTTATATGTACTCTTGTGTAGACAAACTGCATCCATTTAAATTAAAGAGTATTTTTTCGGCTGGGTGCAGTGGTTCACACCTGTAATCCCAGCACTTTGGGAGGCTGAGGTGGGAGGATCACCTGAGGTCAGGAGTTCAAGACCAGCCTGGCCAACATAGTGAGACTTCGTTTCTACTAAAAATACAAAAATTAGTTGGGTGTGGTGGTGAACGCCTGTAATCCCTGCTACTTGGTAGGCTGAGGCAGGAGAATTGCCTGAACCTGGGAGGCAGAGGTTGCAGTGAGCCAGGATCACACTACTGCACTCCAGCCTGGGCAAGAGAGTGAGACTCCATCTCAAAAAAAAACAAACAAACAGTATTTTGTACAATAGTGAATATAACAGCACAATATTTATTTTGGACAAACTGCTTTAAAATAATGATTTTGATATTCTGTATTCTTTTGAAATATAAATTATTTTAACTGAATTAATATTACAGATAATTTTCTAATACTACATACGTTATGACTAATATGTTAAAATTGTTTATCCTAAGATATTTATATCTTATATCAAAAGAAAATAGGCCAGGTGCGGTGGCTCACACCTGTAATCCCAGGAATTTAGGAGGCTGAGGTGGGTGGATCACGAGGTCAGGAGTTCGAGACCAGCCTGGCCACCATGGTGAAACCATGTGTCTACTAAAAATACAAAAATTTGCTTGGCGTGGTGGTGGGCGCCTGTAATCTCAGCTACTCGGGAGCCTGAGGCAGGAGAATTGCTTGAAACAGGAAGACAGAGGTTGCAGTAAGCCAAGATCATGCCACTGCACTCCAGCCGTGGCAACAAGAGCAAAACTCCGTCTCAAAAAAAGGAAAAAATATAGTAACAAATTGTTACAATAGATATTAACCCCACCTCTGTCACATCAATTAATATGCTTATTAATTAATCCAACAGGTATGATTATAGGTCAGCATGATTTTAGTGTCTATATGTATATATGTATTTGAGACAGAATTTCAGCCTGTTGCTTAGGGTGGAGTGCAGTGGCATGATCTCCACTCATTGCAACCTGTGCCTCCCAGGTTCAAGCGATATTCTCATACCTCAGCCTCCTGAGTAGCTGGGATTACAGGCACGCACCAACATGCCCGGCTGGTTTTTGGATTTTAGTAGAGACGGGGTTTCGCCATGCTGGCCAGGCTGGTCTCGAACTTTGGACCTGAGGCTATCTGCCCGCCTCAGCCTCCCAAAGTGCTTGGATTACAGGCATGAGCCACCGGGCCTGACCTTATTTTTTCTTTTCTTTCTTTTTTCTTTTTTTTTTTTTTGAGATGGAGTTTTGCTCTTGTTGCCCCAGACTGGAGTGCAATGGCGCAATCTTGGCTCACCGCAACCTCTGCCTCCCAGGTTCAAGTGATTCTCCTGCCTCAGCTTCCTGAGTAGCTAGGATTACAGGCATGCGCCACCAAGCCCGGCTAATTTTTTTAGTAGAGAGGTGGTTTCACCATGTTGGTCAGGCTGGTCTCGAACTCCCAACCTCAGGTGATCCGTCCGCCTCGGTCTCTTAAAGTGTTGGGATTACAGGCGTGAGTCACCGCGCCTGGCCCTATTTTTTCATTTTACTAACTTAGGCATGCGGCATTTACAGAACTAATAAATGCAACGGATGCAGTCACCCACCCACGGATATAATAGCTCTTCAGTTAGCTATGCCGCAAGCTCAGATATAATTCCAATATGTGAACAACGTTGGTTTCCTATTCCTCATCAAAAGATGCTGGTGGATGTTGTTAGATGGCTTCCAATATAAATCCCTAGTCCAATGGCCAGCAGATGAGACAGCAGCAAAGATGGAAGAAAAACCTCTAGAAATTCTGGATAGAATATGTATCTGTTCTTCAGAATGCGTGTGTTTCTCATGCTGAGAGTAGCTGTGCACTTTGGTTCTTTAAAGAGAAACATTGGGGGGAATTTTTTCTTGCTCACTTAACCAATCCCATATCTAATCTGAGTATTCCTTCAATATGCTTTCAATTTCTTTCTTTCTGTCAATATAATCTTCCACAGACTAATAACTGTTTTTCTCTCCAATGCCTTGGGTGTTTCAGAAGCTCTGTTGGTTCCTTGTGTCTGTGAGTGAGGTGGGCTGTCACGGTGACAACTCGTGGAGCAACTCCATCCAGACTTCTTGCTGGGCATCCAGTAGTACTTTTTCCATGTCATCGTTGTCAGTAGAAACTGAGGCTGGAGGCCGGGCGTGGTGGCTCATGCCTGTAATCCCAGCACTTTGGGAGGCCAAGGCAGGAGGATCACTTGAGGTCAGGAGTTTGAGACTAGTCTGACCAACATGGCAAAACCCTGTCTCTACTAAAAATACATAAAATTAGCCAGGCGTGGTGATGGACGCCTGTAGTCCCAGCTACTCGAGAGGCTGAGGGAGGAGAATCACTTGAACCTGGGAGGCGGAGGTTGCAGTGAGCCGAGATCACGTCACTGCACTTTAGCCTGGGTGACAGAGCGAGACTCCATCTCAAAAAGAAGAGAACCCCAGAAACTTAGGCTGGAACACCACTTTCATTTCCATTATTGTGAAAATACAATTCTAACCAGGAGTGCTCCAGGCCCTCCTCCTGCAGCCCAGGGCTCTGCTCTGTGGCATGGTGCTGGAGCGCAGATGCAGCAGTGAGGGTCTGTGTGGGCTGCAGGCTGTAGGCTAAGCTTCATGGGCAGAAGCACCATGGCCCAGTACTCTGAGTCAGGAACCATTGATTTAATATATAAATAGCCAAGAACATAGATCCCTCTTCCACAGTTTCTTTTTTGTTTTTTTGAGACGGAGTCTCCCTCTGTCACCCAGGCTGGAGTGCAGTGGTGTGATCTCGGCTCACCGCAACCTCCACCTCCCAGGTTCAAGTGATTCTCCTGCCTCTGCCTCAGCCTCCCAAGTAGCTGAGATTACAGGTGCCCACCACAACGCCTGGCTAATTTTTTGTATTTTTAGTAAAGGCGGGGTTTCACCACGTTGGCCAGGCTTGTCTCGAACTCCTGATCTCAGGTGATCTGCCCACCTCGGCCTCCCAAAGTGCTGGGATTACAGTAGTGAGCCACCGCACCTGGCACCACAGTTTCTACAGAGAAGTAAAACCCTACCTTCAGCAAGTACCTGAATTTGGCTCCAAGTTGCAAAACTACCTCCTGTCATGAAGATGTGGGAAGTTTATCTTTCATAGAATATAATCAACTGACCTCCCCAATTCCCAGGTGGGTTTAGGATAAACTATCTACGACAAGTGAGTGCTGTCACGTGGTCTTCTTGAGGACTAATTATGACAACCTTCTTTCTATCTTTGCAATCTCTTAGCAAATTGCCTGCAATTAATGTCACATTCTGGCTTAATTGTGTAATCATATGGTTTTTGCTTTGTGTTCTGCCATTGTGGAGAGTTTTTCTGGGGTTGGAGATGATTGTGCTTTTAATTACATTTTTGAAAACACTGTCTGAAATGACCAGGTATGATATAAACATGTAAGGTACCCATCAGACTTCACCCTAGAGGGTCTTTCCCTCTTGGGCTTCAAGTCACAACCCACAATTGTGCAAACCCCAAATTGCAGGCAAAATGGTCTCTCTGCCTATTTGTGATCTATAGTCCCTTGTAGAGCAGTCAGATCAGATTTCTACAAAAATAACCTTACAGGGCAGCAACCAACCATTCCACCTCTTTCAATGTCCCTGGCATCTTCAAATCTGAAATGAATTCAGAGACAAACCCTGTCAGGGTTACACATATGCATTGATTAGACCTAAGAATTTAAAATGTTCTTTTCCTCCTCCTGTACAAATGCCTGAGAATGTGCAAAGGGCACCTGCTACTTTCCCATACCTCTGCAACCTAAATCTGAAACCCCCAAATTTGAATCCAGGCCCTGGGATTTGAGAAAGTAAAAGAACTTTTATCTGAGGGATGCAAGTTCTGTTAGTTATCAGGCTCAGAGAGACATTAAAATGAATCCAGAATTATGTCCTACTTCTCCTTTGAGCAATGTATTCACCTCTTGAAACTGCTTGTTACTGCCACACATAGCTATAAATTAATCTAATAATGCCACACAGGACACTATAGCCCACACCTTCTAGCTTAACCCTGTATGGCCAATCACTAATCAATGTTATTCCTGTAAACTAATGAGAATCCTTGACAAAGAACTTTTTATCGGCCCACTTTTCTATTCCCCTTTTTTTAGCCATTCTCTTGCCTCAGCCTCCCGAGTAGCTGGGACTACAGGCACCCGCCACCTCGCCTGGCTAATTTTTTGTATTTTTAGTAGAGATGGGGTTTCACTGTATTAGCCAGGATGGTCTTGATCTCCTGACCTCGTGATCCGCCCACCTCGGCCTCCCACAGTGCTGGGATTACAGGGGTGAGCCACCGTGCCCGGCCGACATATCATTTATAATGTGTTAGAGCAGTCTCCATGACTGGATCTCTCCTCTGGTTTTGCGCAGCATGCTATAACACCCAATAATGCACAGCCAGGTTGATGTCACTAGAATCTGCATATAAGCACTGGCTTCTGGGACTCATGAGACAGGACCTGACTTTGGATTGAGAATGTACAGAAAGCCCATAGGAAACATTTTCTGCATCGTGACAGGTCAACATCGACATTTTAGAGCCCCACCCTTCAAAGTGTGGTCCTTGAAAATTTCCAGATCTTGTCCTCTGACCTGCTGCAGTTGTGTGAGAGGCTCTTGGTGTAAATAGAATCTGATGGCAGAATCACCCCAGCAGTGGGGGGTCCAGGCCACAAAATATCTACAGCCATGACCATAACAACCACACCTACCTGTAAGCTGTGATACTGGAATAAAATATTCCTGTCATTCCTCTTACCCAAGCTAACTGATTAAGGACAGGTGATATCACATATGGGTTTAGGATCTGAAGCTCTACCAGGGAAGTTCTATTGTCTATTCTGTTCCCACAGAATCAGTCTCAGTGTTTCCTGTTTGGATTGCCATGAGGACATCAACCCAGAGTGACTGTAGACCCTCTTCCCAGCACCTGAGAGTCTTTGAGACATTTGAGGTTGTTGTGTGCAGACTGGGGTGAGGCTGACAAGAGGGTCTAATTCTGCTACCATCTAAGAGGGAGGGGAATAAGTCATTCAGTGTTTCTTCTCTTTCTCACAAAAATAATCTCTTTGGTTGGTTCCTAGATGGGAGTTGTTCCAGTTTTCACTTGGGTGAAAAAAAAGGAGAGCTGGAGACTGATCAACCAATTACTTTCATTTCATATGGCGATTAGAAAAACAGATGAGGCAATCATAATCTCTGCAATCCAGGAACTGTGTCTGTGGCAAATGAATAAATGGCTGAATTTCACACCATGGAGTCAGTACAAAAAAGGGACGTGTGCAGGGGATTTAGGGCCACTTTCCTTATGTTGGGAACTCTGATGTCACCATCTGAAGGGCCACTCATGAACAGAAGAGTTGTTATTATAGTTATTTTTTCTTTTCTATTTTTTGAGGTGGAGTCTCGCTCTGTTGCCCAGGTTGCAATGCAGTGGTGCAATCTTGGCTCACTGCAACCTTCGCCTACCGGGTTCTAGTGATTTTCTCCTGTCTCAGCCTCCTGAGTAGCTGGGATTACAGGCGTGCACCACCACGCCCGGCTAATTTCTGTGTTTTTAGTAGATATGGGATTTCACCATATTGGCCAGGCTGGTCTCGAACTCCTGACCTTAGGTGATCCACCCACCTCGGTCTTCCAAAGTACTGGGATTACAGGCATGAGCCACCGCGCCCAGCCCTATAGTTATTATTTCTATTGCTTTTACCTTGTGAAGACTAAATATTTAGCTTCTAATATACATGTCCTAGAAAACACTATGCATTTTGGTTAAATTCCTTGTTACTGTATGTTATAAAATAGACAGGGAATTGGGTGAAATAGATTAAAATCACACAAACCTGGGGAGTCAAGTTTCTCTTGGGCAGGCTTAGAAAACACAGAATTGGAAATACCCCAGTGACATGGAGATCAGAATTCTACCTAGGGCCCTCTCCCTGTCCCAGCCTTACCCACGTTTCACCTCTTCTGAGGCCTCATCCAGGTCCGGCTCCACCTTGGAATCTCCATACAGAGTTGATTAAAGGAGATCAGAGTTTGGCTCCTGCTGCCTCTCCAGAGTGGTTGTTCACAATTCTTCCAAACCCAAAAGCAGATAAATGGAAGCAAATAACTAAATATTTTTGGTCTTTAATTTTTTTTTTTAATTAAAACCACTGTTTCTAGAGGCATACCACCTAGCAAACCATTTTCTATTCCTGCATATCCAGCAGTTGCTCCAGGAATCACAAGAAAGTAAATATAAACCCAATGCTGAGAAATCCCTTTGAACTACACTTAATTTTCCCGTTCTGTATTTCATTCTTGTGTCTATCTTCAGCTTTTATTTCAAGCTTTTTTATTTTTTTTAATTTTTTTTTTTTTTTTGAGACAGGGTCTCACTCTGTCACCCAGGCTGGAGTGCAGTGGTATGATTTCTGCTCGCTGCAACCTCTGCCTCCCAAGTTCAAGCAGTTCTCCCACCTCAGCCTCCCAAGTAGCTGGGGCTACAAGTGTGTGCCACCACACCCAGCTAATTTTTGTATTTTTAGTAGAGATGGGGTTTCACGATGTTGGCCAGGCTGGTCTCAAACTCCTGACCTCAGGTGATCCACCTGCCTTGGCTTCCCAAAGTGCTGGAATTACAGGCATGAGCCACCGTGCCTGGCCTATTCCATGCATTTAAAAAAAAAAGAAAACAAAAGAAAGGCTGGGTGCGGTGACTCACGTCTGTAATCCCAGCACTTTGGGAGGCCGGGGCGCAGGCAGATCAACTGAGGTCAGGAGTTCGAGACCAGCCTGGCCAACATGGCGAAACCCCATCTCTACCAAAAATAGAAAAATTAGCTGGCCGTGGTGGCAGGCACCTATAATCCCAGTGACTCAGGAGGCTGAGGCAGGAGAATTGCTTGAACTGGGGAGGTGGAAATTGCAGTGAGCCAAGATCGTGCCACTGCCCTCCAGCCTGGGCAACACAGCAAGACTCTATCTCCAAAAAAAAAAAAAAAATCAGTGATAGAACAAGAAGAAATTTAAATGCTGGGCTTTTCATATAAATCCAGGGAATTATGGGACAGTTAGTACCCACCTCCCAGGGTGTTATGAGGATAAATTCACATTATGTCATCTTCCCAGCACAATGCTCTATAGTGTGCTTCTGAGCACACAGCGCATGCTCCATAAACATCGCATTAATGCATGTGCGCGTGTTGTTTTCCAAATGCAGACTTACTCAGACATGAGCTGCCTCTGGAAACTTTAAAGGACCAACAGAGAACGCCATGTTTTAGAATAGTGATTGGTGGTTTTTATTTTGGACCAAAAGCATTTGTGTTCTAAGAAGAGTGTAGGTATAAGGGACTGTGTGCTGTGGCGCTTTGTCTAGTTGAGTGCTGTTATAAGTGATCTAGGGCAAGCAGGGTCAGCATTAGCTGTGAATGAAGCCAATCCGTGGACTCCTTTCAAGCCTGCAGAATTGACTGGGCACGGTGACTCACACCTGTAATCCCAGCACTTTGGGAGGCTGAGAAGGGCGGATCACCTGAGGTCAGGAGTTCAAGACCAGCCTAGCCAATATCGTGAAAGGCCATCTCTACTAAAAACACAAAAATTAGCCACCCGGGCATGGTGGCATGTGACTGTAGTCTCAGCTACTTGGGAGGCTGAGGCAGGAGAATCACTTGAGCCTGGGAGGCAAAGATTGCAGTGAGCCGAGATCACGCCAGTGCACTCCAGCCTGGGCGACAGAGTAAGACTCTGTCTCAAACAAACAAACCTGCAGAATCAAATTAGTCTGGGGCTTGAAATACCAGATGATTTCTCCGAATATTAAAGTTTAAGAGGCAATTCTTAGCTAAGTGATTGTCAGCTCATCACATTCTAGTTAGGATTAAATGGCCAGTTTGAAGAAATACCCTTACCTGTGTCCTCTCGACGGATTATGTTGGCCTGGGTGGAAGCATCCATATTGTTTTAATTAAGTGTCCCATGTAATTGTAAGATAAAGCCAGAGGCAATCATGAGGGCTCCCAGACATAAGTGAGAATTGAGTTCAGCCTTTTTGTGTGTGTGAGACAGTCTCACTCCGTCACCCAGGCCCCAGGCTGGAGTGCAGTGGCGCGATCTTGGCTCACTGCAACCTCTGTCTCCTGGGCTCAAGTGATTCTCCTGACTCAGCCTCCCCAGGCTTTGTTTTTTTTTTTTGTTTTTGTTTTTCTTTTTTGTTTTTTTAGATGGAGTTTCGCTCTTGTTGCCCAGGCTGGAGTGCAATGGTGCGATCTCGGCTCACCACAACCTCTGCCTCCTGGGTTCAAGTGATTCTCCTGCCTCAGCCTCCCAAGTAGCTGGGATTACAGGCATGCGCCACCACACTCGGCTAATTTTGTATTTTTAGTAGAGACAAGGTTTCTCCATGTTGGTCAGCCTGGTCACAAACTCCCGATCTCAGATGATCTGCCTGCCTTGGCCTCCCAGAGTGTTGGGATTACAGGCATGAGCCATAGCGCCTAGCCCCCAGGCTTTGTTTTAAAGAGAGGTCATGGGGCCTGCTGTGCTTGGTTTTCATGGGAGCAGGGGAGTGGGGCCCTATGGGCCCTTTGCTGCAGCAGAAATTGCTGCCATCTCTGGCATGGAAGGGCATCTAAAGGCAGGAAACTGGAGACTCACATTTTAGTCTTTAGGTAGAAGCTCACTGTTCCTGAAATTCTCCTGTGACAATGACAAAGGACAAGCAAGTGTGGCCTTTTCTGTGCCTTTAAGGTACATCTGCCTGTGGGTGCGGTGGTAGCAGGTGAAGGGGTTTTGCTGATGCTTTAAAAGGCGTATGCTCAAGTTACAGATGTGATTTTCCAGATAATATCACCTGAGAAGGAATCCCAAAGGGAAGAGCAAGAGGAAGAAATGGCTGGTTCTCAGGTGAATGTGTCCCAGCTCAGGGGTGATGTTCTCTTTTCGTTCTTGAATGTCTTGGCTTTAGAACTTACAAACTTTTACTTCTCTACTTCTGATGTTCCTACCTAACCAGTTTGTTTTAGATACTTTTTTTCCTCCTTTTCTTCTTATAAATATTACTTCTTACTATAGTAGTTAAGAGGCGCTGAAAAATACTTCTCTTTTATATATCAGAGCCTTCTCCTTTATTCTTTGTATCCAGGCTTCTTACATACCATGACCAGTTCTCACCATCGAGTGTATGACCTGTAAGAATAAAAATGTTCTCTTTGTGACTGGGCACAGTGGCTCATGCCTGTAATCCCAGGACTTTGGGAGGCTGAGGCAGGAGGATCGCTTGAGGCCAGGAGTTTGAGACCAGCCAGAGCCACCTGGCAAAACCCTGTATCTACTAAAAACCCAAAAAATTAGCCAGGTGTGGTGGCACGTGCCTGTGGTCCAGCTACTTGGAAGGCTGAGGCAGAATCACCTGAACCCAGGAGGCGAGGTTGCAGTGAGCCGGGATCATGCCACTCACTGCACTCCAGCCTGGGCGATAGAGTGAGACTGTCTCAAAAATAAATAAATAAATAAAGTTCTCTTTGTGTCACATCAATGTGGAAAGGTGTAGATACCTAAGATCTCTATTAGGGATGGTATAGGGTCCTCAGATATTAGTGAAGAGGGGAATGTGTATTGTTTAGGTTCCATCTGGATGTTCCATCAGCTCTATGCAGAAACAGGATGTTTTTTTTTTGAGACGGAGCCTCGCTCTGTCGCCCAGGCTGGAGTGCAGTGGCGCGATCTCGGCTCACTGCAAGCTCCACCTCCTGGGTTCACGCCATTCTCCTGCCTCAGCCTCCCGAGTAGCTGGGACTACAGGCGCCCACCACCACACCTGGCTAATTTTTTGTATTTTTCAGTAGAGATGGGATTTCACCATGTTAGCCAGGATGGTCTCGATCTCCTGACCTTGTGATCCACCCGCCTCAGCCTCCCAAAGTGCTGGGATTACAGGCGTGAGCCACAGCACCTGGCCAGAAACAGGATTTTAAAAATGCACATTTAAAGAGGATGTCACTAATTGCCCAGAATAACTCAGAATATTCTGGAAAAGAGAATAGTTAGATAAGACTTGCTCTTTCAAATGCTGAGGAAAGGCTACTTAAATACATTATTAGAGGTTATAAAACCTGGGAGATATCTGTAGCTTGAACTTTGCATAAAGATGTTTCTTTATGCTTAGATTCAGGTTATAATTTACTTTTTGTTGCCAATAATATCATAGCTCTGATGATTGTCTGCCCATGTGTGTTGACACTGTACATCAATTTGTTCTATTGTAGTTCATGTTAATTTCTTTTTTTTTTTTTCTTTTTTTTTGAGATGGAGTCTCGCACTGTTGCACAGGTTTGAGTGCAATGTCACAATCTTGGCTCACTGCAATCTCCGCCTCCCACATTCAAGCAATTCTGCTACCTCTGCCTCCCGAGTAGCTGGGATTACAGGCACGTGCCACCATGCCCAGCTAATTTTTTGTATTTTTAGTAAAGATGGAGTTTCACCATGTTAGCCAGGATGGCCTCGATCTCCTGACCTCGTGATCTGCCCACCTTGGCCTCCCAAAGTGCTGGGATTACAGGCGTGAGCCACCGCGCCTGGCCCAATTCATGTTAATTTCAATCACTTGGTTAAGGCTCTCTGTGACAGATTTTTTTTAATTATAAAGTTAATTATTTTTATCTTTATTATTCGTAAGTACCTTGGGAGATTTACTGACTGATGTACATAAACCATCACATTTAATCTGCAAACTTCCCTTTCTTTTTAGATTCTCTTTGCTTAAAGCTTGCTTTGGAAAATGAAGGCTCATCTTTGTTTACTAGTCAGATAAACTGGGGCTCAACCACTTTGTGTTTGACAAAATATTCTTGATTCGGATGCCTTGGTATCAACTGGCTAGCTTTTAGAAATTCAGAAACTCAGGCTTCACCTGAGATCACCTGGATCAGACTGCATTTTAACAAGATCTGTAGTTCATTGTCACGTACATTAAAATTTGACAGATACCTTCTAACCCATCATGACTTCTCTGTATGAATAATATTTACAACTTATTCTATAATCTGTAGACATAAAACTCAAACTGTATATGCCTGTGTTGATGCCCTTAATTTTATAGTGATTATTTAGAAAAGTATCTACATTGGTTTTGTGGATTCTGTTTTCCTTTTTGTTTGTCGCCCAGGCAAGGAGTGCCATGGCATGATCTCAGCTCACTGCAACCTCTGCCTCCTGAGTTCAAGTGATTCTCCTCCCTCAGCCTCCCAAGTAACTGGGATTACAGGCGTGCACCACCACACCCAGCTAATTTTTGTATTTCTAGTAGAGACAGGGTTTCACCATGTTGGCCAGGCTGGTCTCAAATTCCTGACTTCAGGTGATCTGCCTGCCTCGGCCTCCCAAAATGATGGGATTACAGGCGTGAGCCACCGAACCTGGCCACATGGATTCTGTTTTCTTTCCTCAGTGTTAGAGAATACATCAGAGAATATATTTGTTAAAAATAGCAGATTGAATAATTCCAGTAACTCTCATAAGTCACAGCAATTCTCTCTTTTCACATGGAGTCAAGAACTCTGCCCATTGACAGTTGGTCACTATGTTTTGTTTTGTTTTTCAGGAACTGTTGACATTCAGGGATGTGACCATAGAATTCTCTCTGGAGGAGTGGGAGTTTCTGAACCCTGCTCAGCAGAGTTTGTATAGGAAAGTGATGCTAGAGAACTACAGAAACCTGGTCTCTCTGGGTGAGAATAACTTCAATACACAATTTCTATTTCACACAAAAGATTTTATTTTCTTCCTCTGTAGAATGTTTGGTGGGGATTTCTGCTTTGTATAAATGAGTTTTAGATCTCTGCTTTCAAGGAAAACTTGGGGATTTGTTGGGATAGAGAAGAAAATTTTCAAGATGTTTTATGTTTACATTAACTTTCTTCTACCTTGAGGTGATGGGCATTTTTCACTCTAGTTTAGTGGTAATTCTATTTTTTTATTTTATTTTATTTTATTTTTTGAGACAGAGTCTAGCTCTGTTGCCCAGGCTTGAGTGCAGTGGTACAATCCAGCTCACTGCAACCTCCACCTCCTGGGTTCAAGTGATTCTCCTGTCTTAGCCTCCTGAGTAGCTGGGACTACAGGTGCCCACCACCACGGCCAGCTAATTTTTGTATTTTTAGTAAAGAGGAGGTTTCACTATGTTGGCCAGGCTGGTCTCGAACTCCTGACCTCACGTGATCCACCCTCCTTGGCCTCCCGAAGTGTTGGGATTACTAGTGTGAACTACCCTACCCAGCCTTTAGTGGTAATTCTTGGAATTCCATTATAAAAATTCCTTTATAAAATATTATTGACCAGACCTTAAAATCCAACTTCTACCACCAATTTTCGATTAAGTAGTATTGGGTAGGGAAGCTAAAGACCCACAAATATAAAATATTCTAAACTTTCTGTTTAGAAATATTATTTTGTTACTAATTTTCTTTTCTTTCTTTTTTTTTGAGATGGAGTCTCGCTCTGTTGCCAGGCTGGAGTGTGCAGTGGCGCAATCTTGGCTCACTGTAATCTTTGCCTCCGGGTTCAAGTGATTCTCCTCCCTCAGCCTCCCAAGCAGCTGGGATTACAGGCACGTGCCACCACACCTTGCTCATTTTTGTATTTCTAGTAGAGATGGGGTTTCACCATGTTGGCCAGGATGGTCTCGATCTCCTGACCTCATGATGTGCCTGCTTTAGCCTCCCAAAATGTTGGGATTACAGGTATGAGCCAACGCGCCTGTCCTTATTATTAATTTTCTAGAATCATCTATAATATTCTCTCTTATCTACAGAGCACAACACTAGGTTGGTAATTGGAGAATCCCAGCAAGAATCACATTACTTTTTTCTAATAAAACAGGTCTTACTGTTTCTAAGCCAGAACTGATTAGCCGTCTGGAGCAAAGACAGGAGCCCTGGAATGTGAAGAGACATGAGACCATAGCCAAACCCCCAGGTAGGTTGGATGAATGAAACACATGCCACAGGTGAAAGCTCCAAAGGCCAAGAAGGAAGACAGACTTCAAGAGTTATTTGAGAAGCTCTGCTCCAATGGAGATGATTTTTGAGGAACGTGATTGTTTATTCTTGCTCTTGTACAGAGGCATCTTCTGTCTAATGCTCCTAAATTCTCTAAAAAGTAACCTTACTTTGAGGTTATAGTGAGAGCCAAAGTCCTCTTCATGGCTTATAAGAGACTTTATTATCTGACTGCCCTTTCATTGTCTTGGGGCACACAGAAATATATGTGTATTTTTGAGGAACTCTATGTTAAACTATTTTTTTCTTTTTTTTGAGAGAGAGAGTTTCGCTCGTGTTGCCCAGGCTGGAGTGCAATGGCTCAATCTTGGCTCACCATAACCTCTGCCTCCTGGGTTCAAGCGATTCTCCTGCCTCAGCCTCCCGAGTAGCTGGGATTACGTATGCCACCACGCCCAGCTAATTTTGTATTTTTAGTAGAGATGGGGTTTCTCCAAGTTGTTGAGGCTGGTCTTGAACCCACGACCTCAGGTGATCCACCCACCTCAGCCTCCCAAAGTGCTGGGATTACAGGCATGAGCCACCATGCCCGGCCTTTAAACTATTTTTTAAGGTTTTTGTTTTGTTTTGTTTTGGTTTTGGGTTTTGTTTTTGTTTGTATTATGTCTGAAATGTGTGAGAGTATTCGTGATAACGGTATTTGGTTCCAAAATCCCAGTAACACCACAAACAGATGTGGTGTATTTTCTGCTTTATGATTTCTTATGAAGTTTCTTTCTTTCTTTTTTTTTTAATAATTTTTTTTTTTTTTTGCGACGGAGTTTCACTCTGTCACCCAGGCTGGAGTGCAGGGCGCCATCTTGGCTCACTGCAACCTCTGCCTTCTGGGTTCAAGCAATTCTCCCACCTAAGCCACCCAAGTAGCTGGTATTACAGGCGTACACCACCATGCCCAGCTACTTTTTGTATTTTAGTAGAGATGGGGTTTCACCATGTTGGCCAGGTTGATTTGGAACTCCTGACCTCAGGTGATCCACCCGCCTCGGTCTCCCAAAGTGCTGGGATTACAGGTGTGAGCCACCGTGCCCAGCCCCTTATGGAATTTTCAAATGTGATTCTACAAAAATTCCTACTCAGTAATTTTGTTATAATGCTAAGCATCTCCCTAAATATAAGAAAATCTAATGTTATTTTATTTCTACATTTTATATTTTTAGTGTGAACTAAAATTGGTAATTTAAACTTTATTTTCCCAGATTCTTCAACTATATTAGTTGAGGTGTGTATACATATACACACAAATAAACCCACACATATACGTGTGGGGACCGTGTGGTTACTTTTCACAAATTAAAAGTATATAACTATTTATTATGTAAAGTGTAATGATTTTGTATATGTAAACATTGTGAAGTGATTAATACAGTTAAGTTAATGAATGCATCTGTTAACCTCACAGAGTTTTTTGTTGTTGTTGTTTTTTGTTTTCTTTCTTTTTGAGACGAGTCTCACTCTGTCACACAGGCTGGAGTGCAGTGGCGCAATCTTGGCTCACTGCAACCTCCGCCTCCCAGGTTCAAGTGATTCTTGTGCCTCAGCCTCCCAAGTAGCTGGGATTACAGGCTGGTCTCAAACCCCTGGCCTCATGTGATCCACCCTCCTTGGCCTCCAAAAGTGCTGGAATTAAGCCACCATGCAGAGTTTTCTTTTGCAGTGAAAGGTCTGCTGTCTTACTAAAATTTAAGCATATGGAGCACGTTTGTCCAACTCATGTCCTGCTGGCTGCATGCAGTCCAGGATGGCTTTGAATGTGGCCAAACACAAATTTGTAAACTTTCTTTAAACATGAGATTTTTTTAAAAGCTAATCAGTTACCATTAGTGTTAGTGTATTTTATGCGTGGCCCAAGACAATTCTTCCACTGTGGCCCAGGGAAGCCAAAAGATTGGATACCCCTGATATAGAGCATTATGATTAACTATAGCCATGATGCTATGCATTAGATCCCCAAAACTTAATTCATTTCAGGACTGGAAGTATATACTCATTGAACATCTTCCCATTTTCCCCACTTCGAGACTGGGTCAACCAGCTTTGTACTCTCTGTTTCTATGAGTTCATCCTTTTTAGATTACCCATAGAGCTGAGGATCATGCATTATTTTTCTTTCTGTGTCTGGCTTATTTCACTTAGCATAATGTCTTCCAGGTCCATCCATGTTGTTGAAATGTTGGCAGGATTTCATGATTTTTTTATGGCTGAATAATACTCTATTGTGTATATGTGTCATATTTTCTTTATCCAGTCAGGGTCCACAAACATTCAGGTTGTTTTCATGTCTTGGCAATTGTGAAATGAACATGGAGATGCAAATATTAGAAATACTGATTTTATTTCCTTTGGTTACATACACAGAAGTGGGATTGCTGGATTATGTGGAATTTTTTTAAAATTTAATTTAATTTAATTAATTTATTTATTTTTGAGATGGAGTCTCACCCTGTCACCCAGGCTGGAGTGCAATGGCACAATCTCAGTTCATTGCAACCTCCGCCTCCCGGGTTCAAACGATTCTGCTGCCTCAGCTTCCTGAGTAGCTTGGATTACAGGTGCCTGTCACCACGCCCAGCTAATTTTTGTATTTTTTAGTAGAGACAGGGTTTCACCATGTTGGCCAGGCTGGTCTCGAACTCCTGACCTCGTGATCCGCCTGCCTCAGCCTCCCACAGTGCTGGTATTACGGGTGTGAGCCACTGTGCTTGGCCTAATTTTATTTTTTAAAGAACGTCCATACTGGTTTTCATAATGACTCTACCAGTTTACAACACACCAACAGTGTACAAGATTTTTTTCTTCAGAAACTTGTCAACACTTGTTATCTCTTTTTAAAAATGTTTTTATGCTTAAAATTTCTTTCTTTTTTTTTTTTTTTTAAGAGAAGGGGTCTCACTGTGTTGCTAGGGCTGGCCTTGAACTCCTGGGCTCAAGCAGTCCTCTTACCTCAGATTCCCAAAATGCTGGGATTACGGGCATGAGCCACCATACCCAGCCCTATTCTTTTTGTTTGTATGAATTTGTGGGGTACAAGTGCAACCTTGTTACACAGATAGATTGCATGGTGGTGAAGTCAGTGCTTTTAGGGTATACATCACCCAAAAAATATAAGTGTCTCTTGATAATAGACATCCTAACAAATGTGAAGTGATATTTTATCATTGTTTTGGTTTGCACCTGCCTGATGACTGGTGATGTTGAGGTCCTTTTCTCATACCTGTTGGCTCTTTGTCTTCACTGGAAAAATATCTATCCATTCAGTCTGTTTTTCAGTTTTGTTCTTATTATCATTCTTATTATTGTTTTTGCCTTTGATTTGTATGAGTTCCTTATATATTCTGGATATTAACTTCTTATCAGGCGTATGGCTTGCAAATATTTTTTTCTATCCTGTAAGTTTCCTTCTATTATTTTCTTTGCTGTGCAGAAAATTTTCAGTTTGATGCAGTCCCACTTATTTATATTTGCTTTTGTTGCTGTGCTTTTGGTGTCATACCTCAAAAAATAACTGCCAAGAACAGTATCAAATAGGATTTTCCATGTTTGCTGGATTATATAGTAATTCCATTTTTAATATTTTGAAAAACCTTCATAGTATGTTTTTTACAGTAGTTGCATCATTTTTGCCTACCAGTGGCTCAAAAGGCCTCTCAATTTTCCATATCCGTAACACTTTTTTTTGGGGGGGTGGTTACAGTTGTTAATGGCTCTCCTAATGGGTTTGAGGTAATATTTTACTGTGATTTTACTTTGTGTTGGTCTAAAAGTTAGCAATCTTGAGCATCCTTTCAAATGCTTATAGGCTATTTATGTAACTTCTTCGGAGAGATGTCAGTTCAATTATTTGTCTGTTTCTTAATCAAGTAACTCACTTTTTGTTGAGTTTTAGACATTGTTTATATATTGTGAAAATTAACTCCTATCAAATATGTGATTTTCAAATATTTCACCCATTTCTTAGGTGACATTTTCACCCCACTAAATTTTTCCTTTGATGTGCAGAAATTCTGAAGTTTGATGTAGTCCCATTTCTCTATTATTTGTTCCTTATGCATTTGATTTCAGAGCTAAGAAAATGACATCAAATTCTTGGTCTTTTGTAACAAGAAATTAGTGCCAAGTCCAATGTCATATTTTCCCCCATATACTTATCTAGGAAGTTTGTTATATTTTTATGTTCAAGTATTTAATCCATTTTAAATACTGTTTTTATATGGTGCATGTAACGGAAGGGCTCAACTTTATTTTTTTCATGTAGATACTCAGTTTTCAACATCATTTGTTGAAAAAACTGTTTTCTTCCCCATTGTGTGGCCATAGCAATCTTATGTAAGGTTATTTGATTATGTACACACGTGCTTAATTCTGAGCTATTTTGTTTTATCATCCATTTATTTTTCTTTGTGCTAATACCACATTATTTCTATCTTTATAGCTTTGGGTAATGTGTTATAAAACCAGGAAGTGTAATACCTCTTTGTTGTTCTTTTTAAAGGGTGTTTTGCTAGTTATAGCTCCTAAAAGAATTTGAGAGGCTGGGCGCGGTGGCTCACGCCTGTAATCCCAGCACTTTGGGAGGCCGAGGCGGGCGGATCACGAGGTCAGGAGATCGAGACCATCCCGGCTAAAAACGGTGAAACCCCGTCTCTACTAAAAATACAAAAAATTAGCCGGGCGTAGTGGCGGGCGCCTGTAGTCCCAGCTACTTGGGAGGCTGAGGCGGGAGAATGGCGTGAACCCGGGAGGCGGAGCTTGCAGTGAGCCGAGATCCCGCCACTGCACTCCAGCCTGGGCGACAGAGCGAGACTCCGTCTCAAAAAAAAAAAAAAAAAAAAAAAAAAAAAAAAAGAATTTGAGAATCTTAACTATATTTCTGCAAAAAAAAAAAATAAAAACTACCATGGAGATTTTGATAGATATTACATTGAATTTGTACGTGGCTGTGCATGTTGACATCTTAACAAAATGAAAT
Source organism: Homo sapiens (assembly GCF_000001405.40). Lineage (NCBI taxonomy): Eukaryota > Metazoa > Chordata > Mammalia > Primates > Hominidae > Homo > Homo sapiens. The sequence continues at coordinate 20,017,954 of NC_000019.10, read as the reverse complement.
TATCTGATCCTTGAGCAAGAATATGTTTGAGTGGGTTTAATTTCCACATTTTTTGGATTTACGGTTTTACTTCTGCTTCTGATTTCTAGTTTCATTCCATTTTGGTCAGAAAATATACACTGTATGATTTCAGTCTCCTTAAATTTATTAAGACTTGTTATGTGTCCTAACAGAATGCTCTGTGTGTAATTGAGAATATCATGTATTCTGCTGCTTTTAACTGGAACGTTCTGTATGTGTCTCTTAGGTCTAATTGGTCTGTAATGTTTTAAGTTTTTTATTTTCTTATTGATCTATCTGGTTTTTTTATATTCATGATTGAGAATGAGGCCGTGAAATCTATAATTATTGTGCTGCTGTGTATTTCTTGCTTACCTTCTGTCAATATTTGTTTTATATATTTGAGAGTGCTATGTGTTATAGTTATATAACAGTTATATGTGTTATAGATTCCCGGTAAATGGATCCATTTTGCCATTATATAATACCAATCTTTATCTTTTGTAACAATTTTTTACTTAAAGTGGATTTTGTCTAACTATGGCCACCCCACCCACTTGAGCTTACTGTTTGCATGGAATATATTTTTGTATCCTGTCACTTTCAGCCTGTTTGTCTCCTTAAAACTAAAATGAGTCCCCTAAAGACGCATATTGTAAGATTTTGTTTTTAACTCATTCAGCTATTTTACTTTTTTAAAGGGTTCAATCTGTTCATATTTAAAATAATACCAGAAAGAAATAAAATTACTAGTTGCGTTTTGTTTTCGATTACGTTCTGTGCTTGTCATAAATACGTTTTCCCTCATTTCCTCTCTTACTGCCTTTGTTTTTGTTTTGTTAATTTTGTAGTGGCATACTTTGATTCCTTTTTCATTTTCTTTTGCATATCTTCTATAGGTATTTTTGTGATCACCTTGAAAAATGAGAGTTTATGAAACATAACAATATGCTTAAATCTCATCTTTACTTCAGTTGAATATAAAACTATACCTTTTTACATCCTTTGTTATTAGTGTCACATTATATCATTTCGTATTGCGTATCTATTAACAGATTTATGCAAATTTGTGTTTTGGTTTATTAAATTCTATGGCAAGATTTTCAGTTTTATGCATTATTATTATAGTAGAGAATTGTAGATCTGTGTATATATTTACTTTACCATTTCTTATAGAACTATACACATGGTGACAAAGACTGACAGCTTTTGTTTACCTTATAAAGTCTTTATTTTTTATCCTTATTCTAGAGGTAAATTTTTCCAGGTAAAATTTTCTTTGTTGGCAGTATTATTTTGCTTTTATGACTCAATATTTATAAGTGAAATGTCTTTAATTTGCTGATACCATCTATTACCTCATTAAGTTATCTGTTGTGGCTCTGTAATAATTTTTTTAACTTAGTTATTGTATTCAGTTCCACAATTTTTGTTTTTTTAAAAAATACTTTTAATAGTTTTTTAAATCTCTGTTGATATATCATTTCCTCATGCACTATTTTCTTGATTCTGTTTAGTTGTCTACATTCTATTTTTGCTCATTGAACATGTTTAAAATGATTATTTTGAATTCCCTGTCAGATAATACAAGGATCTTCATTTCTCAAAAATTGATTTCCGAAGAATCATTTTATTCCTTTAAAGGAATATATTTCCTGTCTTCTCTCTATGCCCTGTGATCTCTGGATGACATTTGGAAATTTATAAAATAAATATTTATAGACTGGCTCTATAGACTGACTCAGCCCCCCAAGTAGCTGACAGTACAGGCGAGTGCTACCACGCCTGGCTAATTTTTGTATTCTTTCTAAAGATGGAGTTTCACCATGTTGTCCAGGCTGGTGTTGAACTCCTGAGCTCAAGCGATCCACCCGCCTCAGCTTCCCAAAGTGCTAGGGTTACAGGCTTGAGCCACCATGCCCGGCTTAGTTTGTATAATTAAGTTGCCTGCACGTAAAAAGCTTTCTTTGCATTTTCATCTATATTCCTCAACGTTTATCTGAATGATAGCATAATTTATTCCTAATTCATAATCAGTGTTTTATACCGTATTTTACAATATTTATATTGTTCTTACAGTAAAAGATGTAAGTCTTTTCTTTGCTTCTGCAGGCTAGATTACAGCCTTACCATTTTGTGTAAAAAGAAGAGCAACATATTAATAAGTTTCCCTAGTATTATGTAAGTGCTTATTTCTTAAAAATTATTTTCTCAAAGCTTTTTATGAATAATTATAATGGGGTTTCTGTGAAATATTAATGCTCTAACTGTATGCTCTTGATTCAAAAATGTATGCTTTTTATGGATAGCCAGTCATGGTTGAAAATTGTAGCTATCTAGAAGAATTCTTCATCAGTACTCCACTATGTTTATTCAGAATTTTATGGGTTATAGTTTCTTTTAATTTTGCTTTGCAATTTTATATTTATTTGTTACAGTTTTTATAATAGGCCATTTGACATTCATTATATTTTTTAGTTTTTATTCATATATTATAATTTTGTATGACAGTATTCAGCTCTGTACATTTTAAGACAGTGTGAGGCAAAAGTCAGATATGAATCAGCCATATGTTTATTACCAATTTAATTATCTCTGTGTTTGACTGAATAGGTTTTACCCCATTTTGTTTGTGACTCTTATATTTACATTTTTGTTGGTCATCAGTGATGGTTTTATCCTGTTTAGATGAGGAGTCATGAGAATTGTTGTAAATTCAACATCTATTCATTGGTGGATGTATATTTTCTTTTTGTGAGAGAAACACTTGTGATTTGAAGGTAATTTTTGAAAAGCTTTATAACTTTATTTTAGGTGTAATTGTTTATTTTTAATTGTGCAAAATACATAACATAAAATTTAGAATCTTAAATATTTTCAGTTACACAGTTCTGTTGTATTGGGTATATTGACATTGTCGTGCAGTGTATCTCCACATGTTTTTATCTTGGGAAACTCAAACTCAACATACACGAAACTACTCATTTTCCCCCTTGACTGACCCTTTACAAACACCTCTCTATTTTGTTTCTGAGTGTAACTACTTTAGATGTCTCATTTAAATGGATTTATACAATCCTGTCTTTTTATGGCTGGCTTATTTTACTTAGCATCATGCCATCAGATTTCTCTTTATCGTACATGTTAGAAGATTTCCTGCTTTTTTTTTTTTTTTTGAGATGGAGTCTCGCTCTGTTGCCAGGCTGGAATGCAGTGGCGCAATCTCGGCTCACTTCAACCTCCGCCTCCCAGGTTCAAGCGATTCCCCTGCCTCAGCCTCCTGAGTAGCTGGGACTACAGGCACGTGCCACCACGCCTGGCTAATTTTTTTTTTTTTTTTGTATTCTAGTAGAGACGAGGTTTCACCATGTTGGCCAGGATGGTCTGGATCTCCTAACTTCATGATCCGCCCACCTGGGCCTCCCAAAGTCCTGGGATTACAGGCATGAACCTACACGTCCGACCCAATTTTCTGCTTTTTAAAAGCTGAGTATTATTCCATTATTTGTATATTATAAATTGTATTTTTCTATTCATTTGGTGAGAGAAGTTTGGGTTTCTTTCACCTATTGATTTTTGTGAATAATGCTACAATTAATATGGGTGTGCAAGTAACTATTTGACCATATACATGAAAGATAATATCTGTGCTACATTCTTTTTCATTGGTCTAATTGTCTGCCTTTATGCTAGTACTAAACTGCATTTATTACTGTAGTTTTGTCATGTGTTTTGAAATCAGGAAGTGTGATGCTTCCAACACCTTTCTTTATTTTAAAGATTATTTAGCTCTTCATGGTCTCTTGAGATTTTATTTGATTTGGGCATTGCTTTTTTATTCCTGCAAAAAATGAAATTGGGAATTTGAAGGGGATTGCATTGAATCTGAACATTACTTTGGGCACTGTAAAGATGTTGTACAGTATTAATTCTTCAAATCCTTGAACACGAGCATGCTTAAGAATGTGTTTAATTTCCATATATTTGTGGATTTTTTTCTATTACTAATTTTTAGTTTCATTCCATTTTGGTCATAATAATAGTCTATAAGATTTCCATTTTTAAAAGTTTGCTAGGCCAGGCATGGTGGCTCACACCTGCAATCCCAGCACTTTGGGAGGCCGATGCAGGCGGATCACCTGAAGTCGGGAGTTTGAGACCAGCCTGACCAACATGGAGAGACCCCATCTCTACTAACAATACAAAATTAGCTGGATGTGGTGGCACATGCCTGTAATCCCAGCTACTAGGGAAGCTGAGGCAGGAGAATCGCTTGAACCCAAGAGATGGAGGTTGTGGTGAGCCCAGATCGCGCCACTGCGCTCCAGCCTGGGCAACAAGAGCGAAACTCAGTCTCAAAATTAAAAAAAAAAAAGTTTGCTAAGAATGGCTTTGTGCCCTAACAAGTGGTATATCCAAGAGAATGTGTTATGAGCTATGGAGAAGACTGTGTATTCTGCTATATGTCCATTAGGTGTAATTTTTAGAGTGCTTTGAAGTCCTCTGTTCTTATATTTAATATTCCACCTTGCTTTATAACTTATTACTGAAAGTGGGATATTGAAATATCTTACTATTATTATATTGCTGTGTATTTCTTCAATTTTGTTAATGTTTACTTTATATATTTGGGAACCCTGATGATAATATATATGTTATAGTTTTCTATAACATATATAAATTAATCTTTTTATTATTATATAATGTCCTTCTTTGTCTCTTGTGAGAATTTTGACTACAGTATATTTTATAACAGGGTTTGACCTAAAATGTAGTTTGCCTTATGTAATTTTGACCTAGTTTCTTCTCATTTGGTTAACATTCTAATAGAATGACTTGTACCATTCTTCTTTTAGTCTATTGTCTTCTTCAGATTGAAAGTGAGTATCTTGTAAAAAGAATGTAGTTGAATCTTGTTTTTACACCAGTTTATGTCTTTCGATTGGGAAGTTTATTCCATGAACCATGAATTTTAATTTTCTGATAGAGAAGGGGTTACTATTGCCATTTTATTGTTTTGATTTTTGTTGCTGTTTGTCCTTCTTTTTCTCCCTTTTTATCTCATTTTTTCATGTTTCTTGGCTGCTTTTATGTCTTTTGAGAAATGACCATGTCCTTTGACCACTTTTTAATGAATTATTTCTGTTTTTCTTGTTGATTTAAATTTCTTTTTTTTTTTTTTTTTTTGAGACGGAGTCTTGCTCTGTCGCCCAGGCTGGAGTGCAGTGGCGCGATCTCGGTTCACTGCAAGCTCCGCCTCCCGGGTTCGTGCCATTCTCCTGCCTCAGCCTCCCGAGCAGCTGAGACTACAGGCGCCCGCCACCATGCCCCACTAATTTTTTGTATTTTTTAGTAGAAACGGGGTTTCACCGTGTTAGCCAGGATGGTCTTGATCTCCTGACCTCGTGATCCACCCGCCTCGGCCTCCCAAAGTGCTGGGATTACAGGCGTGAGCCACCACACCTGGCTTGATTTAAATTTATTATAGATTGTGAACATTAGTTCCTTGTCAGATGCATAGTCTACAAATACTTTCTCCCAATAGGTTGTCTGTTTAGTCTATTGATAGTTTGTCATTTTTGATTGTGCTTATTGGATCCTTTTTTTTCTTTGTTAACTTAGCTAGTGATCTAGTGATCTTGTTTATCTTTCAGAAAAATTTATTTTTTTGATTAATTGAATGGTTTTCTTGGTTTCAATATTATTTTGTTCTGCTCTGATTTGAATTATTTCTTTTCTTCTTCTAGCTTTGGATTTACTTTGTTCTCGTTTTTCTCATTTCTTTATGCATGGTATCAGGTTGTTAACTTGAGATCTATCTTCTTGATATAAAAGTTTAGCACTATAAACCCTCCTAACACTGCTTTTGCCACATTCCAAGGTTTTGTTACATTTTGTCACTGTTTTTTTTTTATTTTGAGATGGAGTCTCACTCTGTCACCCAGGCTGGAGTGCAGTGGCGCAATCTCCGCTCACTGCAACCTCTGCCTCCTGGGTTCAAGTGATTCTCCTGCCTCACTCTCCCAGGTAGCTAGGATTACAGGCGCCTGCCACCACGCCCGGCTAATTTCTTATATTTTTAGTAGACATGGGGTTTCACTATGTTGGCCAGGCTGGTCTTGAACCTCTGATCTCGTGATCCGCCTGCCTCGGCCTCCCAAAGTGCTGGGATTGCAGACATGAGCCACCACGCCTGGCCTCGTCACCATTTTTATTTGTTTCAAATAAGTTTCTGATTTCTGCCTTAATTTCATTGTTTACCCAAAAGTCATTCAGGAACAAGTTTAATTTTCTATATTTGTGTAGTTTTGAGGGTTCCTCTTGCTATTGAGTTTTGAGTTTATTTCACTCTGTTTCAAGAAGATGATTTCAATTTTTCTGAATTTTTGAAATCTGTTTTGACTGAGCATGTGGTCAATCTTAAAGTATATTCTGTGCGCAGATGAGAATGTATGTGTGTCTTCATTAGATGAATTATTCTGTAGATGTCTATGGTCAAGTGCTGAGTTTAAGTCCAGAATTTCTTTGTTAGTTTTCTGCCTTGATGATCTGTAATGCTATCTGTAAGGTGTTGTCTTCCGCTATTATTGTGTGGCTGGCTAAGTCTTTTTTTTAGGTCCAGTAATAATTGCTTTATAAACATGGGTGTGCCAATGTTGAGTGCATACATATTTAGGATAGTTAAATATCGTTGATTTATCTATTTATTTATTGAATCCTTTATTATTATGTAATGTGTTTGTCTTTTTTACTGTTGTTGGTTTAAAATCTGTTTTATTAATACAAGAATAGTGACCACTGCATTTTTTTGTTTGTTTTTTTCCCATTTGTGTGATAGATGTTACTTTTTCCCTTTACTTTGAGTTTATGGGTGTCATTATACGTGAGGTGAGTTTCTCGAAGTCAGCAGAAGGTTAAGTCTTGGTTTTTTTTAAATCTGATTTGCCACTTTGTGTCTTTTTTTTTAATTAAAAAAATTTTTTTTTCTTTTTTGAGACAGTCTCGCTCTGTTGGCAGGCTGGAGTGAAGTGGCACGATCTCGGCTTACTGCAACCTCTGCCTCCTGGATTCAAGCAATTCTCCTGCCTCAGCCTCCCTAGTAGCTGGGACTACACGTGCACACCACCACGTCCAGCTAATTTTTGTATTTTTATTAGAGACAGGGTTTCACCATGTTGACCAGGATGGTCTTGATCTCTTGACCTGGTGATCTGCCCGCCTCAGTCTCCCAAAGTGCTAGGATTACAGGGGTGAGCCACCGCACTGGCCAGTTTTTTAAATTTTTTAATATATTTTTTGAGACAGAGTCTCGATCTGTCACCCGGGCTGGAGTGCAGGCGCGATATCAGCTTACTGAAACCTCTGACTCCCAGGTTCAAGTGATTCTCCTGCCTCAGCCTCCCGAGTACCTGGGACTACAGGAATGTGCCACCACTCCTGGCTAATTTTTGTATTTTAGTAGAGACGGGGTTTCACCATGTTGGCTGGGCTGGTCTCAAACTCCTGACCTCAGGTGATCCACCTGCCTCAGCCTCCCAAAGCGCTGGGATTACAAGCATGAGCCACTGTGCCTGGCCACCACTTTGTGTCTTTTAAGTGGAGCATTTAGACTGCTGTGTTCAAGGTTAATATTGATATCTTAGTTTTTGTTCCCTTCATGCACTCTGTAGTCTTGATTGTACAGTTGCTTTGTAGGGTCTGTGGGCTATGTACTTATGTGTGTTTTTGTGGTAGTAGGTATCATTCTTCCATTTCCATATTTGGAACACTCTTAAGCACCTTGTGATGCCAGTCTAGTGGTAGTTAATTCACCTAGTGGTTGCTTGTCTGAGAAATATTTTATTCCTCCTTTGCTTATGAAACTTAGTTTGCTGGAACATAAAATTCCTGATTGGAATTTCTTTTTTTTTTTTAATCTCTTTTTTTGTTGTTGTTGAGATGGAGTCTCGCTCTGTGGCCCAGCCTGGAGTGCAGTGGTGCAATCTCAGCTCACTGCAACCTCTGCCTCCAGGGCTCAAGCAATTCTCGTGCCTCAGCCTCCTGAGTAGCTAGGACTACAGGTGCACGCTACCATGCCAGGCTAATGTTTTGTATTTAATAGAGGCAGGCTTTCACCATGATGCCCAGGGTGGTCTTGAACTCCTGAACTCAGGTGATCTGCCCACCTTGGCCTCCCAAAAAGCTCGGATTACAGACGTGAGCCACTGCACCTGGCCTCTTTCTTTAAAAATGTTAAAAACAGGCCCCTAATATCTTCCAGATTGTAAGGTTTCTGTGGGGAGGTCCACTGTTTGATAGAATTCATTTTTTAGGTAATATGGCCCTTTTCTCTAGTTGCCTTTTATTTTTGTATTTCATGTTGACCTTGGAAAGTCTGAATACTATGTGCCTTGAGGATGGTTGTCTTGTATAGTATCTCAAAGGAGTTCCTTGAATTTCTTGTATCTCTGTGTCAACCTCTCTAGCAAGATGGGAAAATTTTTCGTAGATTATATCCTTACGTATGTTTTCCAAGTTGGTTACTTTTTTTCCTTCTCTCTCAGGAATACTAATGAGTCATAAGTTTGACCCCTTTACATAATTCCATATTTCTCAGAAGCTTTGTTTTTTTGTAGTGAATTCTTTTTTCTTTACTATCTTCTGACTGGGTTGATATAAAGGAGCAGTCTCTGAGCTCTGAAATACTTTCATCTGCTTAGTCTATTCTGTTTTTAAGGCTTTCAATTGTATTTTGAAAGTCCTGTAGTAAAATTTTCAACTTTTAAAGTTGTGTTTGGTTCTTTCAAAGGAACTAGTGAGATCCTTTTGAGGTAACGAAACACTCTGGCTTTCTGTATTGCCAGCTTTCTTTCGCTTTCACATCTGAGGGAGCTGGTGCTTCTTTTCCTTTTGAATTTTCTGTCATTTGGATGGGGTGTTAAAATTTTTTTATTTCTTTTTTTCCTTGAGGGTTTGGCTGTGGTGTATGTTGTGTATAATCAGTTGGTGTCATTTAAGGTTGTTTTCAGAGGGCAGAGGTTCTGTCTAGGTCCCTTGGTTGTAGATAAGTTCCTGCAGTGGATTTCATAGAGTGCTTCATGTTGAAGCAATGTATTCTTGTTTGGTGGTGTAATTCAGGCTTCAGTCCAAGTAGATGGCACTTAAGAGTGCTCTGGGGAGGGAAGATAGTGTGTGAGAGATTATTTTCTTTCCAAATTTATTTTGGGGCCTTGGTGATATTCCCTTCAACTGCTGGCACTGCACCCAATTCCTTTGCTCCAAGGAGGGCTTTGGTGGTCTGTGCTTACCCTTCCTTAGGGACAGTTCACACTTTTAGGTCACCAGGAGACCCATATTTATCAGGGGTCCTGCTGTTCTCCTTTGCTTGCAAAAGTAAGGATGGGTTATGGAATGTGTCTGTGAGTCGTTTGGTGATGCCATGGCTCGAGGATGGAACACCAGGCAGGGCAATTGCACCATGGGTTTGCAACCAGTATTGCACCTGCAGCCCAGGATTTTTAGTCCAGCAGGTAGTTGTGGGGCCCACCCAGCTTGTGGTCCCCCAACTCAGCAGGTCTGTCTCCAGTGTCTTCCCTGGGAGCAGGCTGAATTGGCTAGGCTTGTCCCAAGCCATCTGCATTGAAATTGCTGAGTTCTTCCAGATGTTCTATGCTGCTAGGCTTCCTGGGATGGAAACCATGACTGGTCATCTGGCCACACCCTTCCCAGTTTATTCATGTGAATGAAGGGGAACTCAGCTCCCATGCTGGCTCATGATCCCATGACTTCTCTGTGTGCTGACAGTGTGGGCTTCTACCCCACTTAAGCTCAGACCACATATATCAGCTTGATATTATCAGGCAGTGTGCTGAAGACCTGGGCAGTTGGCACTGGGCCCATGGATTTGTCCTCTGGCCCTTTGGGGTCAAGCACCATCTGTGATATAAGTGGATGCCATGCTGTGGGCACCCTTCTGCAGGACCAGCCAGGTAGGTCATCTTGGACGGTGCCAGCAGGCAAAGTGGTGCATGGATCAGATTCACCTCAGTCCCATGATAGCTACAACCTTGCTCTCTCTCAGCCTGGCAGACAGCAGCAGATGGATCCCCTCAGTGCAAGATGCAGAGCCTCGGAGGATGGGCACCTATGGTCAGCTACAGCTGCACAGCACAGTGAAAACTGCAGATTTCCACAAGAGTTTAAGCTGTGCCTCTGCCTATTCTCCAGGTGGCTCCCCCTGCCAGTTCACAGATGTATAGGGATCATATGAGAGTCTATAATCAGGAGCTCAGACTAGATTTAGCTGGGAAATGCCTTTCAAGGAGAAGGAACCAAAGTGAGAATCTCAGAGGTCCATGGCTAGACTGTGTTGCCCTGGGGTTTCTTCACATATCCCTTCCATAAGACTGGTCTGGATCTACGAGCCAGTCCTGGTGCCCAGTGACTTTGAGCAAGCTTCCCATCTTCCTCTTCAACCACAGTTTCTGCATTACCTCTGAATTAAGCTTTTTCTCAAAAGATCTGTTTAAAGTATGATGTTTTACTCAACATTTTGTTTTCTCTCCTTGGAGTGAGTGTTTCCCAGCTGCATCTAGTAAGTCATCCTGTCCTTTTCTTAATTTTCTGTATTAGATTTGTAAAGTATATGTATCTGAGTCTGAAAATAACAAGTGGGATATTTTGTTAATTTCATATTTCAGCTATGTCTTCTCATTACACTGAAGACCTTTTGCCAGAACAGTGCATGCAAGATTCATTCCAAAAAGTGATACTGAGAAGATATGGAAGCTGTGGACTTGAGGATTTACACTTAAGGAAGGATGGGGAAAATGTGGGTGAGTGTAAGGATCAAAAAGAAATTTATAATGGACTTAACCAATGTTTGTCAACTCTACCTAGCAAAATTTTCCCATATAATAAATGTGTGAAAGTCTTTAGTAAATCATCAAATCTAAATAGAGAAAACATAAGACATACTACAGAGAAACTTTTCAAATGTATGCAATGTGGCAAAGTCTTTAAATCTCACTCAGGCCTTTCTTATCATAAGATAATTCACACTGAAGAGAAACTCTGCATATGTGAGGAATGTGGCAAAACCTTTAAGTGGTTCTCATACCTTACTAAACATAAGAGAATTCACACTGGAGAGAAACCATACAAATGTGAAGAATGTGGCAAAGCTTTTAACTGGTGCTCGAGTCTTACTAAACATAAGAGAATCCATACTGGTGAGAAACCCTACAAATGTGAAGAATGTGGAAAAGCCTTTCACTGGTGTTCACCCTTTGTTAGACATAAGAAAATTCATACAGGAGAAAAACCCTATACATGTGAAGACTGTGGCAGAGCGTTTAACCGGCACTCACATCTCACCAAACATAAGACAATTCACACTGGAAAGAAACCCTACAAATGTAAAGAATGTGGGAAAGCCTTTAACCACTGCTCACTACTTACTATACATGAGAGAACCCATACGGGAGAGAAACCCTATAAATGTGAAGAATGTGGCAAAGCTTTTAACTCATCATCAATTCTTACTGAACATAAGGTAATTCATAGCGGAGAGAAACCCTACAAATGTGAAAAATGTGACAAAGTCTTTAAGAGGTTCTCATACCTTACTAAACACAAGAGAATTCACACTGGAGAGAAACCCTACAAATGTGAAGAATGTGGCAAAGCTTTTAACTGGTCCTCAATCCTTACTGAACATAAGAGAATTCATACTGGAGAGAAACCCTACAACTGTGAAGAATGTGGAAAAGCCTTTAATCGGTGCTCACACCTTACTAGACATAAGAAAATTCATACTGCCGTCAAACGCTATAAATGTGAAGAATGTGGCAAAGCTTTTAAACGGTGCTCACATCTTAATGAACATAAGAGAGTTCAAAGAGGAGAGAAATCCTGCAAGTATAAAAAATGTGGGGAAGCTTTTAATCACTGCTCAAACCTTACTACGTAAGAATTTTTACTAAAGAGAAATCCTACAAATGTAAAGAATGTGGCAAATTCCATAAATCTTGCTCAAGGCATTGAAATCACAAGATAATTCATACTGGAGAGAAACACTACAAATGTGAAGAATGTGGGGAAAGTCTTCAACCATTGCTGACAGCTTATTGCACAGAAGAAAATTCATGCTGAGAAAAATTCTGATTTTAAAGAATGTGGCAAAGCATTTAATAACTACTATGAACTTACTCATCAGAGGTTTTGTGCTAGATAAAAGCAATGTAAGTGTAATGATACACATTACATTTATCTGTGGAAAGATGTCACCAAATAAAAGCCTTAGAGTACACAAGGTGTAATGATAGTGATACATTACATTTGTACATGGAAAGACTTCAAAAATATAAGCCTTAGAGTACACAAGAGTTTTTATACTGAAGAAAAACATTACAAATATAAAGATTGTTGCAATACTTTTACTTATGTTACAGATTTTGTTGTACATAGGAGAATTTATACTGAAAGGTAACCCTCTAACAGTTGCTCAAATTTTATTCCATTTTAGATAATTTACATTGGAAAGAAACCCTACAACTGTAATGAATATGAAAAAAATTGTTTAAAAAGTACACCTTAGAAAACACTAGTTTAAGGCCGGGCGCGGTGGCTCACACTTATAATCCCAGCACTTTGGGAGGCCGAGGCAGGCGGATCACGAGGTCAGGAGATCGAGACCACGATGAAACCCTGTCTCTACTAAAAATACAAAAAATTAGCTGGGCATGTTGTCGGGTGCCTGTAGTCCCAGCTACTGGGAGAGGCTGAGGCAGGAGAATGGCGTGAACCCGAGAGGCGGAGCTTGCAGTGAGCCGAGATCGCGCCACTGAACTCCAACCTGGGCGACAGAGACTCTGTCTCAAAAAAAAAGAAAGAACGCTAGTTTATATGAAAGCATTTAACAGATGCAGTAAATATAAAAAATTAATAAAAAATTAAGTCTAAATGAACATCAGAAGATTCACAGTAGAAACCACTAAGACGCTAACACTTTCAATGTTATTCTAAATCAGGGCATTGATTATAAAGAGTAATTCAAGGTTAACATAATTTAGTTAGCCTAAACAGAAATAGGAGATTAATATTTTGAGACTTAAACAATTATATTCAAAGTACACTTTTTGCATTGAAAGAATTTTAGATTTTTACAAAGGCAAATTTTGATGTAATTGAACTCTCAAATTACTTGATGCTGTGTCTTTATTCCTAGTGTCTGTATGAAAGCATGTGGTCAATTTCTGCTGCTCGGGGTTTGAGAAGTTCTATATTAGGATGTCATTTACATACTTTTCAACAGAAGATTGAGGACACTGAAATATGAGGTGTGTGAAGAAAGTACACAGAGAAACTTTTGTGGTTGACTTATAAAACTTGTAAGTGCTGCATGAGATAGATGTTCAGAGTAATAGTCTTGTGCATTATTCAAATTTTAGTAAATTGTTTTACCAATTGCACATTAGATAGTATAGTGGATTTTGTAATGCTTTTCTTAGACTGTGTGAACTTAGTTTCAATAAAACAATTATTTTTAATGTGTTAAGACAGTTGTGCATTGAATTAGGTGTTATCCTGCCACCAACATTAACCTATTTTACCTTACTCAAGTCTCTAGGTAACAGACGGTAACAACATACTATTCAGTAATATAGTGGAATGGCATCTCTAGTGATTCTTATCCTTAGTGACTTTAAACTTCAAATACGTTGGAGAATATTGTTTCCATAGGTTACATTTTTATTATTTTTCTTCTAATTATAGAGTCATTAAGATGATTATTATGAAAATTACACAGGCATATAATCAAAAGCCATATATTTCTGAATCTTAAGTGAGTATGTAGAAGATGTTATCTCACATTTTTCTTTGAACATGCAACCTCTGTGGCCTTCCAGACACACATAGACTCTTTAAGTTTTCACTTACATGAAAGTTTAATATACAAATATGTTACTCTAAAGATAAAGTGTAAGGGAATTATGAAGCAAGTAATTGTATTTGAATGTGGATGTGTACCTATTTTGAGAAGAAAGAAAATATGTTAGAACAAACTGGTAATTTTTAAAGTGTTGATAAGTTACTACCAAACTGGAAACCTCAAACAATTTCAAAGCAAATCTATTTTTCCCATTTGTATTGAATTCATTTTTTCAAAATCTTGTGGTTCCTAGTTCAGAATCTCCTTAAGTAAATCTAGGTTTTACTTGCCTGGTATTGATAGTAGACCTAATGCATAATTTTCTTTTTTTTTTTTTTGAGACGGAGTCTTGCTCTGTCACCCAGGCTGGAGTGCAGTGGTGCAATCTCTGCTCACTGCAAGCTCCACCTCCCAGGTTCACGCCATTCTCCTGCCTCAGCCTCCCCAGTAGCTGGGACTACAGGTGCCCACCACCACGCCCAGCTAATTTTTTTGTATTTTTAGTAGAGACGGGGTTTCACCATGTTAGCCTGGATGGTCTCGATCTCCTGACCTTGTGATCCACCCGCCTCAGCCTCCCAAAGTGCTAGGATTACAGGCATGAGCCACCATGCCCGGCCAGTTTTCTTGTTCCAAAGTTTATAAAGTATTCTTTATATAATCTGCTCGGGAATTATTGGAATAATTTTTACAAAATTTAATGGTGCTTGCAAAATAATTTGAACATGTAATTTCATAGTAAATATGTTGTAACATTTTATTTAGTACATTTTTTTTCAATTGGAGAACTCTAAGCCAATCTTTCCTTTGTTGCTCTTTTAATTTTTTTTTTTTTTTTTTTTTTTTTTTTTTGAGACGGAGTCTTGCTCTGTCGCCCACGCTGGAGTGCAGTGGTGCGATCTCGGCTCACTGCAAGCTCCGCCTCCCGGGTGCACGCCATTCTCCTGCCTCAGCCTCCCGAGTAGCTGGGACTACAGGCGCCCACCACCACGCCCGGCTCATTCTTTTGTATTTTTAGTAGAGACGGGGTTTCACCGTGTTAGCCAGGATGGTCTCCATTTCCTGACCTCGTGATCCGCCCGCCTCAGCCTCCCAAAGTGCTGGGATTACAGGCGTGAGCCATTGCGCCTGGCCTTGTTGTTCTTTTAATTTTTATAATTAACATTGAGTTTATTGATCTTATTGGGTTAATTTCTTTAGGTGAACACTAGGGAGATGTCATCAGTCATGGTAGTGTTTGTTTCTTTTTTTATCAACTCTTACGTCTCTACATCAGACATGGTGTTGTTTAGTCATAAATGAAGTGAACAAACACAGAAAAGCACTACCATGTGTAATACACACTCCATAATTAGTGTTCCAATTGGAGTGAGTTGGTGGCTCCAGGAGATTAAAATTGCCGTGAGGACATCACCATTTAATATTCAGTGGACATCCTGTTAATATTTACTGTGTTTAACTCTTCAGATAGAATTGAGGCCCTGTGATTATCTGCTTTCTTCATTGAATTATGCCAAGCAGCTACAAAAGGGACTGCGCAAGTTAAGTGCTTAATATACGTGTATTTAGTGAATGGAGCCTAACCACAGCCTTCCAAAATATCTAAGTGGGCCTGAGGCCCGTCTTTCAGCACCCAGGGACCTCTGTTATGTCTGTGTGAAGGACAAAGATCGGCTAAAAGAATTGCCTTGGGAGTCCAAGGCGGGCGGATCATGAGGTCAGGAGATCAAGACCATCCTGGTCAACATGGTGAAACCCTGTCTCTACTAAAATACAAAAAAAAAAAAAAAAAATTAGCCAGGGGTGGTGGCACACGCCTGTAGTCCCAGCTACTCGGGAGGTTGAGGCAGGGGAATCGCTTGAACCTGGGAGGCAGAAGTTGCAGTGAGCCAAGATCACACCACTGCACTCCAGCCTGGGCAACAGAGACTCCACCTTAAAAAATAAAAAAGAAATAATAACTATAATAACTCTTCTGTTCATAAGTGGCCCTTCAGATGGTGACATTAGAGTTCCCAACATAAGGAAAGTGGCCTAAATCCCCTGCACACCTCCCTTTTTTGTACTGACCCCATGATGTAAAATTCTGCCATTTATTCATTTGCCACAGACAAACTTCCTTTACAAAGGCAAAAAGAGCATTGCTTCAGATTGTGAATGTATTTGGACACAGGGTCATTAAAGAGGTAATTAAGCTTGTGAGTTCATTGGCATGGGACCTAATTAAATATAATGGGTTCTTATAAGAAGAGGTAGTAAAGACAGAAGCACAAGAGAAGATTCTGTTAACACAGAGTTAGAAGACAGCCATCTACAAGCCAAGGAGAGAGGCTTGGAGAAGTCATTCCACCAACATCTGTTAGATTTCTAATTTCCAGAACTGTAAGAAACTAAATTGCTGTTTTTAAGGCCCTTCATTCTGTGATGCTGTGTTATGGCAGTCCTAGCAAACGATTACAGCCTATTAGTACACACACACAATATTCCCTGCAGCATGACTGACATGGAAATAGGATGTTATACCAGGCTGCATCAGCACTGAAAGACTGAACCACGGTGGGGAAGAGCCTCACTTATGGAATATTATAAAGACATGTGCATGCACACCTCCTTCCCTGATGGGATATGGGGATCAGTTCTTGAGATGACACATTGCAGGAACATGCGTAAAGTAGTCTCACCCCCTTTTTTGGTACAGCACATTCCCCCATTTTTGCATAAAAACTTCCCTAGTCATAGTGTTGGCTTTTAAGTTTTGGAGAAGTTCTGTAGGACTGAAGCTGCATGCCACAGGAGATGCCTGGGGTGGGGAGTTAAAACAATACAAACTGTAGCAACATGCAAAAATGCTCATGGCTTGATGTAAAGTGAAAACAAGATGAAAGCCTTTCCTCTAATATTTCTACAAGTATGTGAACAGAGACTTTCCACCTAACCAAGTTGCCACTGGGACGAATGAAGGCCAGATTGTATTGAAACAGGACTATGAGTCACTCCTGGGAAGGCCCTAGGACAGAGGTCAGAGAGTTTCCATATTTCAGTCTGGGACCTGGGCCTGTCCTGGTCTTCTCAGGTTCCTAGCTATAGAGACCTCTAGGTGCCTGCTCTCACCACAGCCCAGTGCTGGCCAAGGTTAGTGGTGTAGGGCACCTGCTCTTTTTCCAAAGAGATGGAGGAGTTAGACTCATCAAACAGCTCCTCATTAATCTGAATGCGGCTCTGTAAACAGTGCCCAGCAGCCAAGCTAAAAAAGATTGATTGCCTGCCTTGTTTTTACCATAGATGACTCCTCTATTGAAGTTTTGCTCTTCAGATCAGGCACATAGGAACATCTGCATAGATCTTCAGCCAGGAAGGAAACCAGAGGACAGCTTAAAGTCTTGGGATTCACATCTGAGTAGATAAACTTCGTCCCCATTTTGCCAGCCATGACCTGGGTATGAAAATGACAGACCCACAAGAGTTTCAACATTTGACAACCTGGTTCTGTCCAGGAAGAATGCCCTCACCTCTTGATGCCCCTGCAATACATGGCAGTGGGGGGTGGTGTGGGGCTGTCTAGATGAAACGACAAGAGAGGACTGGCCTGGATCTGTTCTGGGTTGCCCTGTTATCTGTGGGTGCACCTCATTAGAAATGAGGGCTAAGTGGACATCTGCATTATCGGAGAAGGCTTTTACTTTGAGCCTTTGTAAGGCTAAAACTCAGAAATGTAAGAATACCATGGAAGAGCATGTTACTCTCTTGAGCATCTCTCACCAAAGAAGCTGGATACAGAGTTGTCTCTAGGAGGTGGGGTCCTGGTTTCCTAAGTTCTGTTGGGTTCCATCACCAAGGAAGTATGTTAGACTCTTCAAGGTTCCTTCCACTGGGCCCCTTCTTACTATAAGACCTATCCAGAGGCCCCGCCAGGCTACTGATTACTCAGCCTCCTCTCCCATGTCAGGCCTCCATTTGTATGTAATTATGAAATCACACCTTCCCCTTAATTCCCTGGGAAGACCTAAATGCAGCCTTGGTTTTATAATAGAAGAGACAGCTGGGTCAGAACCTTGTTTATCTTACCATTTCTGTGACTCAGTAAAAGCCATTGTCTATTTTCGGGCTTCCCCAGCCTCCTACCATACACAGTGGGGATTATGCTAGCATCTACCTCCTAGGGAATTTATCAGGTGTATATAAGACAAAACATATAAAAATTATGGTGTAGGCTGGGTGCAGTGGCTCAAGCCTGTAACCCCAGCAATTGGGAGGCCGAGGCAGGCGGGTTGCTTGAGGCCAGGAGTTCGATACCAGCCTGTCCAACATGGTGAAACCCCATCTCTACTAAGAATACAAAAGTTAACCAGGTATGGTGGTGTGCACCTGTAACTTCAGCTACTCAGAAGGCTGAGGCAGGAGAATCACTGGAGCCCAGGAGACAGAGGTTGCAGTGAGCCGAGATCGTGCCATTGCACTCTAGCCTGGGCAACAGCGAGACTCCGTCTCAAGAAAAAAAAAAAAGAAAGAAAAGAAAAAGAAACATGCAATGATAATTTGGGTCCTGACATCAGCAAGCTTATTATTCACAGGCTTCAGATGGCCATATTAGTTCCAACCAACTTCAGCCCATTTTTAAAAAATCTCTTAAGCAAAGGAAATTTCAGTGTTTCAACAAGTTGTTTCTTGTCATTAGGAAAACCCAACTTATTTTAGTCATAGGTTTTGTTTTGTTTTGTTTCAACACTTTGGGGACAAAAATTCAGCTTCTGTCCAATGGAGTACAGAATGATAGGGTATCATTTTTGTCGCAGTTCAGGCTGCCATACCAAAGAACCATGGACTAGGAAGCTTATAAACAACAGAACTTAATTTCTCACACTTGTAGGGGTTGGAAATGTGGGATCAGGGTGTCAGCATGGCTGAGCTCTGGTGATGACTCTCCTGAATTGCAGACTGCACACTTCGGGTTTTATCATCTGGCAGAAGGAGGGAGAGAGCCCCCTGGGGTATCTTTTTTAAAGCCAGTAATCCCAATCATGAGGACCCCACCTTCAGGACTTAATGATGCCCCACCTCATAGTACCATTACTCTGAGGGTTAGAATTTTCACGCAAATATAGGGGGAGAAATCATAACTCTCAAGATTATATATATATTTTTCTAAAAGCTGTCATTTTCTTCCTACTTGCTCCCTCAGTCTCTCTTTTTGTGTTTTTCTGTTTAATTATCTATTTCTGTACTGTATTCCTCAAACTGAAAAGGCAAATTCCAATGCTACGAGATGCTCTATGTACAGACCCACATAAAAAGAACTGAGGGAGTGCTCAGGCCAATAGATGGAAGAAACGTGGGCTCTCAGGCCACACAAAGTCTTGCCAATTTCCACATGAGTGAGTTTAAAGCTGATCCTTCCCCAGTCCAGCTTCTGTTGAGAAGTCCAGCTTCTTATGAGGCCTAAGCCTCCTAAAGACCTTGAGGAAGAGGCACCCCACTAAACTGTGTCCAGTTTCTGGTCCCCACAAATTGTGAGATAGTATTTGTTGTTGAAAGGTGCTAAGTTTCAGGGCAATGTTGTAAGAAAGAAGCAGATAACTAGCTTCATCTCCCAGGCCCCAAGATTCTCCATCCTTCTGCTTCTCTGTCTCAGGCTCTCTGCGGCCATAGTGGTCCCTTTCTAACTTCTGCCCAACTCACACCTGTGAGATTCTTTACTAAGGGTGGCTTCTTCTGACACATTCTTTTGCAGCGCTGGCTCCCTATTGTCATTGTCATCATGGTATAAATGTCATCTCAGTGAGGCATTTGGGTCACTCCATGTCATGATTTCCCAGCTCTTCTGTCAACATTCTACTTTATATTATAGCAGTTGCTCTTTTCTTTCACGTATACTTGCTTTAGTGTTTTTGGTCACCTGTCCTCAGACTGGTCCTCAGGGTACGGTGCAGGTATGATTCAATCATTTTCTGTACCACATGTTGGGTCCACCAGGGTAGCTGGCACAGGGTGAGTGTAAGGGAAAGACTGGCTAAGTGAATGCATGGGGGAATCTCAAATTCTCCTTCCTGCTTTTGACCACTTGATAATATGGGGATCGTTAATAATAACTCAAGGTGCATGACCTCGGTGTGACTTCTTTGCTCCAGCTGCTCCAGCAAAGCTCAGTGGGCACCAAAAACCCAGAAGGCTCTCACCACCTAGAGGCCATCACTGGCACTGCAGCCCCATGCAGGAGCCTCACAGAACAAAGCTATTTTTATGTTTGGGTCCTCAAGACACTGGCTCTCCAGGGTCCCAGGGGACAAAGGAGCAGCATCCGGAGGCTCCAAGTGCGATAAGAGTAACCTTGGAAGCCTCCGTTGTCCTCTCTTTGCCTCCACCTTTTGGGGTGTGCTCTTTACTCATGAGGGACAACCCCTCATCCAGGGAAACTGTTTTCTACCACTTCCAAATGATCATCTCAAGAACACAACAGGAACTAGTATTTTCCCTGGGCTTCAGACTCAGAGTCCAGTTATATGGCACATTTCGCTCTATCTCAGCTTTATCTACCCAAGATGCCTCTGGGGTGACCATGCCTCACTCTGAAGGACTTCCAGGGAGTAGAAGCATTTTTGCAGTCTCAGAGCAAAGAGTCTTGGTTCACCAATGAAGAACAAAGGCCAGCAGACACTTATGGGTATGTGAAACCATTGAGGTCACCCACTTCAAGTACTCTTATTTATGAGGTATGAAAAGGCTTTGCTGTAGCCATTGTCTATGCTAGGCTGAGATGGGGACATAGCTCATTTCCATTTCAGGTACCTACAGAGTTGGACAGTAGGACCCCAGTCCTGTCCTCTTGAAACTGACCTGGAGATGACCCCAGCTGATGGAGAACCCTGGAAACCTGGAGGATCCTCCTGCTCATTCTCTGTGCCCCTGGACACGTAGCTAGAGGAGTGCATGCACTGGCTTATAGCAGAGCTGCCACTATTCTGGGTTTTTTTTTTTTTCCTTGTCTTATGCCTGGTTTCTGTCTGCCTCTTCTCTATCCTCGCTTCCATGATCTTTCCCTGAGAAGTGTTTCTGTGTGTGTGTCTGTGTGTGCTTATCTGAGAATATGGAGACAAAAATAGCCCATGTGGAGAAGGAGAGCACAGGGCTTTCTATTATTTAGGGGCTCTAATTTCCAGCCTCTTTTGGGGCCTCAGTTTCCCAATTTTAAAATGAGAAATTGGGATGGTTTTTCTTTTTTTTAATTTCAATAGGTTTTAGGGGAACGGGTGGTGTTTGGTTACATGGCTAAGTTCTTTAGTGGTGGTTTCTGAGATTTTGACGCACCCATCATCTGAGCAGTAAACACTACCCAGTGTGTAGCCTTTTATCCCTTACCCACTCCCATTTTTCCTCCCCGAAAATTCATGTATCATTCTTATGCCTTTGCATCCTCATAGCTTAGCTCCCACTTATAAATGAGAATACATGATGTTTGGTTTATCATTTCTGAGTTACTTTACTTAAAATAATGGTCTCCAACTCCACCCAGGCTGCTGAGAATGCCATTATTTTGTTCCATTTTATGGCTGAGTAGTATTCCATGGTATACCTGTACCACATTTTCTTTATCCACTCAATATTGATGGGCATTTTATCTAGTTCCATATTTTTGCAATTGCAAATAGTGCTGCTATAAACATGCATGTGCAAGTGTCTTTTTCATATAATGACTTCCTTTCCTCTGGGGAGATAGCCATTACTGAGATTGCTGGAACAAATGGTAGATAACCTTTAGTTCTTTAAGGAATCTCCATACTGTTTTCCATAGTGGTTGTAACTGCAGAAGCATATGCTCCTCAAGAACATGGATTCAGACTCCTCAATAGTTGATGAAATATTGGAGTGGGATGGGTTTGTGTGCCCATGGGTGCTCAAGCCTCCTTACATCGCTAATGCAGATGGACATAGAGCTTGAGGCAGCAAGGTCTCTTTTCCTGAGCTGGCTGATTTCAATACAATGAACCAAGGTCTCTGATCTTGAAGCTGGTCCCACAAGACACCCCACCTTCAGCCACCATCTGCTCTGTGCCTCCCATATCCTGTGGGGCCCATGGCAACCCCATGACAATGAGGGAGCACAGGGCACTGGAACTGTGGGCCTGGGGAAGACACAAACACTTTTCTATTTCTCCCAAACTTTCGAGTGTGTTGTCAGATACTTAATTTTGATTATGACTGAGATGTTATGTTCATGTATTTACAACTGTTTAAATGTAATATATTTTGCAAACTGTGGGATAATGTTTTTCACTTTTTTTTTTTTTTCCTCTTCATGTGTTCACAGATGGGTGGCCAACTCTGGAGCCCAGCCTGTTACTGCCCACTCTGGTGGTGAATCCTCCATAGTCTGGTATGGAGGTAAAGTTAAATATTAAATTTGAACTTAATTGAATCTGGACACAAACAATGGTCACCAAGTCCTGGAACAGGTTGTGTGAGCCCCTTGAGGCATTCATCCCGCGCTGTTTCAGAGAAATCTCTAATTCAATCTATTCCTATACATTCATTATTGAAAAACAATAGTCAAGCACAAAAACAAGTTGACCTTTTTGCGTTCCTTGAGCCCATTCGTAAAAGGCCCTCATGACTAAGCCTCATGCCAAAAAACTCATTACAAAAGAGCTAGGGTCCCAGATAGCGCCAAAGCTTCATGAGACCTCTCCTCATCTGTGCGCGGATGAGTGGCCGACTCTGGAGCCCAGGTTGTTTCTTCCCAGTCTGGTGGTGTAAATATATACAGTCTGGTGAGTGTAAACCTTTTCCATTCTCCTCTTCCCATTGCAATTTGCTTATTATGTCTGCAATCTGCTTATTATATTGATTTGCTTATTATATTATTTGTTTATTATATCTGCATTGCCATTTACGTGGTATAAAACTTCTTACCCTTAAAAGTATTGTGTGTGGGTCTTTTCTTCTCCCCTCGCGGGTTTCCTGCACAGAACATTTTTGGTGTCACAAACAGTATTTGGAAACAAAAGTATGCCGCTTTTTGGCCAGAAGGATGGGGCTGGAGGCTCAGGGACTTCCCATGTCTCAGGATGGGAACTCCCCCAGTTTTCCCCCTTGGCAACTGAATGGTCAAGGGGAACTGGCCTTTGTGAGAACTGAGAATCTAAATTAGTGCAATTTAAACCTTTGACTGTGCGGGAAGTGCTGCAGGAGATTCCAGTCAGCAAAGGAGATGCTGAGGGATCTCCCAGAGTGGATGGTGTTTGCTTACTGCTTATAAGTTAATGTGTCAAGATACGGGCTGGTTGCTATAAGAGAAATGTAAGTTGGAAAAGGAAAATGCCAGTGTGATTTCCAGACTGGCCCTGGCCCAATGCCAGGCCTATATCTTGACTGATCAGGCTCAAAGCTATCACCCTATTGCTGAAAAAAAGCAGCTGTCAGAATGACTCGGTCAGGTTAAAACTGAAGAACTACTTTGCTGGGGCTTGGAGCAGGTAAAAACCCAGCTCCTATCTCAAGGATGGGAAATTAAGCTTAGCAAAATTCAAGGACCTGCACAAACTGTAAAATACCTTGGCATCCTATGGAATGCAGAGATATAGTCCATCTTACAAAAGGTAAAGGGGCTAAAATACTAGAATTTGCAACCCCTACCACTAAAAAGGAGGCCCAGACATTTATTGACATCTCTGGATTCTGGAGACATCATATTCCTCACTTGAGTAATATTTTACAACCTCTGCATGCAGCCACTAGAAAACACTATGACTTTCATTGGGGAGAGACAGACAGCATGGCTTCTGAACAAGATAAACAAGCGGTGCAACTGGCCCTGGATCTATGGTCCATACAGGATGGGCCAGGAGAACTGCAAGTAACTGTCCTAGATCAACAGGCTAATTGGAGCCTTAGAAACAAGATGGGAAGAGGGTACCTTTCAGGTTTTGGACCCAGAAACTGCCAGAGGCCAGAAAAGCTTATACCCCTTTCGAGAAGCAATTGTTAGCTTGCTATTGGGCTTTGCTGGAAATGGAACACCTCTGCTTCAACCATGATGTCTTTATGAGGCCCGAAATTCCTATTATGACTTGGGACTTGAGTTCCCCCAAAACCCATCAGATAGGACATGTCCAAGAAAGTAGCATCATAAAATGGACATGGTACATACAAGACCAGGCTAAGTCAAAACCAAAGTGAGTATCACTTTTACATAAGGATGTACAAAATCTCCCAGCTCAGGAAACCACCGAGCAAGTCCTGCAGATAGGGAAGGAAACCTCCCCCACCCAATGGGGCAAATCCTTTAAAGAACTAAGCCCAGAGGATCAGAAACATGCTTGGTTTACTGATGCATCCACCAAATACATTGGTGGGAATCAATGCTGGAAGGCTGTGGCTTATAATCCTATTAAAAACAAAAGCATTTCTGATGAAGGAAGGGGTGGGAGCAGCCAGTTAGCTGAACTAGTAGCGGTTCCCCTGAGCTATTCAGAAGGAGACCAGAGGGATTTTTCACTTCTATACCAACTCTTGGTCAATACCAAATGGTCTTACTACCTGGATGCCCCAGGCAACAAAGCAAATGGTTAATTGGGAATAAAGAGGTTTGGGGAAAACAATACTGGGGAGATATCTCAATCCTAGCACACACTACCATTATCACTGGTTTTTTGTTTTGTTTTGTTTTGTTTTTTGTTTTTTTTTTTGAGATGGAGTCTAGCTCTGTCACCATTCTGGAGTGCAGTGGCACAATCTCGCTCACTGCAACCTCTGCCTCCGGGGTTCAAGCAATTCTCCTGCCTCAGTCACCCAAGTAGCTGGAATTACAGGCACGCACCACCATGCCCAGCTAATTTTTGTACTTTTAGTAGAGACGGGGTTTCACCATGTTGGCCAGGATGGTCTCGATCTCCTGACCTCGTGATCCACCTACCTGGGCCTCCCAAAATGCTGGGATTACAGGCGTGAGCCACCGCACCCGGCCCTGTTTTCCATATTGATGCTCATGAGTCTCTGCTTTCTCTTGACAGACTACTTAATCAGCAGGAAGAACAGCAGGCCAAAATTTCCACCATAACGGTAAACATGAATGCGGATGAATGGATTACAACGTGTTCAAGCCTTGCAATGAGAGGCATTATAATGTATGGTGCTATAATTGATAGCGATTACCAGGGAGAGTTAAAGGTCATTTTATACACTCCAGATTCTTTTGCTCTAAAACCACAAATGTGGGTTGCTCAATTGTTAGTGGTACCTTGTCAACAACCCCTGAGGAAATCTCTGCCCCAACAGAGGCTACATACAGAACTGGGGGATTCGGATCCCCTGGTACAGGTAGCTTAAATCCTGGAGCTGAAATATGGGTACAGCGTCCATCAGATCCTGACCCTAAGGCTGGTGACTTTGTAGCTATGAAAGCAGGAAATGAAGGCATAGTACAATTTCCTAAAGATGAAAAACAATATCTTGTTCCCCTCTGTTTTTGTTATTACAAGAAATAATCTATCTACTACTCGTCAGCACCTGTGTCTTTGTGTCTGAAGCCAAGAATAAATTCATCAACTTGGTAGCCACTGCTGCAACTGAAGCCAACCGCAGTCAATGTTGGCTATATGTTGAGTTGCCGGAGGCCGCCTGGAATGTGCTACCTTGCAGAATTGTCCCTGACAACATTTCTGAATGGCTATATTGTTACCAGTAGGGCCACAACAACAACAACACTTGCAATCCAACCTGGGCTTCCTTTCACCACACTAAGCAATCTATCTTTGCCAAGTCAGACAAAAGATGAACTCCACCCTCCCCTTGCATCAAAAGCCTTGGTATCCTGCCCAATAATCCTGGAATGGAATATACTGAAAACCTGCTGTGCTGGTGGCCGGATTCCATACAGTTCCCACTCTGTCTGGAGACCTTAAATGGCTCCTCTAATGTTTATTTGGGGTTTCTTCAGACATTTGTCAACACATACTCCAAATCAACAACATTGCCCCCAATGAACCACAATCTCTTTCCTATTTTAATAAGAGATTAGTACACTATGATTACAGTAGATCCATTGCTGTCCCCTGGGGGGCCCTCTGGGTATGCAGATCCTATGGGTGGTGATACCTGTCCCTGCATTGGATGGGGAGATGCACTTGGGGGTGGCCATTAATTACATTCACCATCCAGGTTAATATTCCCCTCCCCAGTAATCTAGATGCTTACAAACATCGCTGGTTACCAATGCACTGGACTCCCTGGTGGTGGTACCCTATCACAGTATTCTCCCCTGCCGCCCGTACAATCTTGCTTCAGCAACAAATTAAAAGATTTACCTTACATGTAGAAAAAGCTCTTAATGATAGTAGCACTGAATTTATGTTGTTATCAGATGAATTTGCTCATCTGAGTACTGTTGTGTTGCAAAATCAAATGGCATTAGATATGCTTACCGCAACCCAAGGAGGGGTTTGCACCTTACTGCATACTGAATGTTGTGTGTATATCTCTGGCAGTTCTCACAATATGACTCTCCTTGCAAAGCCATGGTGGGTGTGGTTTTTATTAATTGTGCTTTTAATTCTCTTGTCCTTACCCTGTATCTGTAATCTATATCAATTATGCCTTCCCCTTGTATCTGTAAGGGTATTTTCCTACAATTGAGTATCCAATTGAGGCCGAATGTAGAGGACATGTTAAATATTAAATTTGAACTAAATTGAACATGGACACAAACAATGGTCACCAAGTCCTGGCACAGGTTGTGTGAACCCCTTGAGGCGTTCATCCAGCGCTATTTCAGAAAGAATCTCTATTTCAATCTATTCCTATACGTTAGTTATTGAAAAACAATAGACAATCACAAAAACAACTTGACCTTTTTGTGTTCCCTGAGCCCAGTCGCAAAGGGCCCTCATCACTGGGCCTCATGCCAAACAACTTGTTACAAAAAGAGACAGGGTCCAAGACTGCACCAAGGCTTCAAGAGACCTCTCCTTGTTTGTGCACAGATGGGTGGCCGACTCTGGAGCCCAGGCTGTTGCTTCCTGGTGTGGTGACGAATCCCCCATAGTCTGATGAGTGTAACTATATCTGATCCTTTTGAACAAGGTACTTTGCTATTCCTTTTATGACCCCACCTCCTACCTCCAGCGAAAATGTCCTTGGCACTGTCTCTTCCAACATCAGAGAGAGACACCACTTATGGTGGTGTGATGGGACACGTTTCTGGTGGTGGCACCAGCATATATTAGATGTGCTTGGGCTTAACACCAAAGAGTTACAACAGGCTGTTAAATGGAATATTATGAGGACTACATATTTTTAAATAGGGTGAACTATGGACCACATAGTTTGGTTTTGTACATTTATTTACATATTTTCCCTTCTCCCTTTCCCATTGCAATTTGCTTATGATATCAATTTGCTTATTATATCTGCATTGCCTTTTAGGTGGGATAAAGCTTGTTTACCCTTAATGGTATTGTGTGTGTGTTTTCTTCTCCCCTCATGCATTTCCTGCCCAGAACACCATATTTCTCAGAGGCCTTATTTGTTCCTTTTTATTCTTTTTTCTTTAATCTTGTCTGCTTGCCTCATTTTGGCAAGGTGGTCTTCAAACTCTGATAGCCTTTCTTCTGCCTGTCAATTAGGCTATTGATACTTTTGTATGCTTCATGAAGTTCTCATGCTGTGTTTTTCAGCTCCATCAGGTCATTTATGTTCCTCTCTAAACTGGTTATTCTACTTAGCATTTCCTCTCACCTTTTATCAAGTTCCTTAGCTTCTTTGCATTGGGTTAGAACATGTTCCTTTAGCTCAGCGGAGTGTGTTATCACACATCTTCTGAAGCCTACTTCTGTCACTTCATCCATCTCATCCTCTGTCCAGTTCTGTGAATTTGCTGAAGAGACATTGTGATCATCTCTAGGAGATAAGGCCTTTCAGAGGGTTTTGGTGATTCTTTCTCATCTTCATGAGTTTGTCTAATTTCAACATTTTGAGGCAGCTGACCCTTGGATGAGTTTTTTTGTTTGTTTGTTTTGAGACAGAGTCTCACTCTGTCACCCAGTATGGAGTGCAGTGGCACAGTCTTGGGTCAATGCAACCTCTGCCTCCCAGGTTCAAATGATTCTCATGTCTCAGGCTCTCGAATAGCTGGGACTACAGGCATGCACCACCACACCTGTTTAAGTTTTGTATTTTTTAGGAGAGACTGGGTTTCGCTACATTGGCAGGGTGGTCTCGAGCTCCTGACCTCAAGCAATCTGCCTGCCTCAGCCTCCCAAAGTATTGGGATTACAGATGTGAGCCACTATGCCCAGCCTTGGATGGGGTTTTTGTGGGTACGCTTTTGTTGTTGATGCTGTTGTTGTTTCTTCCTGTTTGTTTGTTTGTTTTTCTTTCAATAGTCAGGTCCCTCTTCTGTAGGGCTGCTGCAGTTTGCTGGGGGGTCACTTCAGGCTCTATTCATCTGGTTTACTCCTGTACCTGGAGATGTCACTCAAGGAGGTTGGAGAACAGCAAAGAATGGTGCCTGCTCCTTCCTCTGAGATCACTGATGTCAAGAGGCACCAACCTGAATCCAGTATGATTGCTCCTGTATAGGGTGTCCGACAACCCCTATTGAAGGGTCTCACCCAGTTGGGTGGCACGGGGAGCAGAACCCATTTAATGAAGCACTTTGACTGTTCCTTGGTGGAGGGGGGTGTTTTGATGGGTGGAAACCCAGTCATCTGGGCTGCCTGAATTCCACAGAACTAGCAGAAAGAAAGGCTAAGTCTGCTGGTCCACAGAAACTGCAACCACCTCTCCCGCTAGGGGTTCAGGCCCAGGGAGATCACAGTTCTGTCCCTGAGCCCCTGGCTGGAGCTGTTGGAGTTCTTGGAGGGAGGCCCTGCCCAGTGAGGAGGGATGGGTGAGGGTCAGGCCTGAAGAGACATTCTGGCTGCAGTCAGCCACAGCCGGTGTGTTGGGCTGTGGGGAACACCTCTTGAGACCAAGCTGTCCAGCCTCCCTGGCTCTAGCAGGGGAAAAGTGTGGTCAGGAGCTATAGATATGGCTGCTGCCTTTCCCCACCCAAGGATCTTAGCCTGTTAGGCAGTTGTGAGTCCCCGTGCTGGCTGCTGTCCCTCCCCCAAGGAGCTCAAACAGCTTAGACAGCAGCCAGCCACAGCTGTGGTGTTGGTCACCCCTCCCCTGGGAACTTGGCAGGCTTAAGCAGATTCTAGCTGAGAGGCTGTTGAGAATCTACTCAGCTCCAGGGTTGTGTCAGGCATAATAAGTTCCTCTTCAAAGGATAGCTTCCTTGTTCTTTGTTCTGGAAATCAACTTCCTTGTACCTTCCTGCTCCTAGCTACCTGCTCTGTAAACAACTCTTCCAACCAGTCCCAATCTGTAACCCACATCTCTTCTTTATTTGGAAGAATTCCTCCTCACTCCTAGTTACCTACTCTGTAAACAACCTTCCTGCCAGTCTTGATTTAGAATAGCCAATCGAGTTAGAGTGTGTGGTCTGACTCCAGCCAATGAGGAGAGGATGCAGAAGTAGAGACTGCATTAGGGATACAAACCCCTTCCCTCTCTTGTATGGTGTGCTCTCACAACAGCCAGAGACATGAGCAGCACCTCTCTACAGAAGTAAATTTGCCTTGCTGAGAAATTCCTTGTTTGAGTGCTTGTTTTCTTTGTGACTCCAAGCTCTTGTTTCCAACAGTTGGAACCTTAGGCTCCAGTGGCGTGGGTTCACAAATTGAATCTTCTGGTCCATGGGTTTCACAGTTCCATGGAGAAAGCACAGTTTCCCAGACTGGGTAGCCTGCTCACTCACCGCCTCCCTTGGCTGGGGTTGGGGGCTCTCCAGCCCCATTTGGCTGTCAGGTGGGTTGCCACACCACATTGCTTTTCCTTCTTCTCCATGGGTCATGCCAGCCACCTAGTCAGTTCTGATGAGAGAACCTGGATACCTCAGGTGCTGGTGCAAGATTTACATGCTATTATGGTTCTTTTCTATGGGATGCTGCTTCTAGTCAGCCATCTGGGCCCCACCCCCACCAATTTTTCTTTGAATGTCTGATAGAATTCAGCTGTGAATCCATCTGGTTCTGAACTTTTATTTTTGGTTGGCAATTTGTTAAATTATTATTCAATCTGGCTTGTTATTAGTCTGTTCAGAGTTGTTGTTTTTTTATCTAGGAGGACTGTACATTACCAGGAATTTATTCATCTCCTTTAGATTTTCTACTTTCTGCATGTAAAGATGTTCACAGTAGACCTGAATGTGATCTTTTGTATTTCTGTGGCATCAGTTGCAATATTTTCTCTTTCATTTCTAATGGAGCTTATTTATATCTTCTCTCTTCTTTTCTTGGTTAATTCTGTTAATGGCTTAACAATTTTGTTTATCTTTTCTAAGAGCTAGCTTTTCATTTCATTCATCTTTTGAATTTTTTTTGTTTGTTTTAGTTTTATTTAGTTCTGGTCTTTCTTTTCTTCTGCTAGGTTTGGGTTTGGCTTGTTCTTGTTTCTCTAGGTCCTTGAGGTGTTATTTTAGCTTGTCTACTTATGCTCTTTCAGACTTTTTGATGTAGGCACTTGATGCTATGAACTTTCCTTTTAGCACTGCTTTTGCTGTATCCCAGATGTTTTGATAGGTTGTGTCATTATTATCTTTAGTTCAAAGAATTTTTAAATTTCTGTCTTGATTTCATCCAGCAATCATTCAAAAATGGGTTGAACTTAAGTTTAATGTTTTATTTAATATCCATGTATTTATTTAATTTCCAAAATTTATTTAATTTTCATGTATTTGCATGGTTTTGATGGTTCATTTGGAGTTGAATTTCAATTTTATTCCACTGTAGTCTTAGAGAGTAGTTGATATGATTTTGATTGTCTTAAATTTATTTATTTATTTATTTATTTATTTTTTCTTTTTTTTATTTTGTTATTATTATACTTTAAGTTTTAGGGTACATGTGCACAATGTGCAGGTTAGTTACATATGTATACATGTGCCATGCTCGTATGCTGCACCCATTAACTCGTCATTTAGCATTAGGTATATCTCCTAAAGCTATCCCTCCCCCCACCCCCCATCCCACAACAGTCCCCAGAGTGTGATGTTCCCTTTCCTGTGTCCATGTGTTCTCATTGTTCAATTCCTACCTGTGAGTGAGAATATGCGGTGTTTGGTTTTTTGTTCTTGCGATAGTTTACTGAGAATGATGATTTCCAATTTCATCCATGTCCCTACAAAGGACATGAACTCATCATTTTTTATGGCTGCTGTCTTAAATTTATTGAGACTTGTTTTGTGGCCTATCATATGTCTATCTTGAAGAATGTTCCATGTGCTGAAGAATAAAATGTATATTCTGCAGTTGTTGGGTAGAATATTCTGTAAATATTTGTCAAGCCCATTTGTTCTAGGGTATAGCTTAAGTCCATTTTTTTTTGTTATTGTTGACTTTCTGTCTTGATGACTTGTCTAGTGTTGTCAGTAGAGTATTGAAGTCACCCATTATAGTTGTGTTGTTGTATTACCATCTATCTAATTTCTTAGGTCGAGTGATAATTGTTTTATAAATTTAGGAGCTCCAGTGTTAGGTGCATATATATTTAGAATTGTGATATTTTCCTGTTGGACTAGTTTTTTTTTTTGTCCCTCTTTATCTTTTTTTAAAAACTGTTTTTGCTTTAAAGTCTTTTTTGTCTGATGTAAGAATGGCTACTACTGCTTTCTTTTGGGGTACATTTGCATGGAATATCTTTTTCCAACCCTTTACCTTAAGTGAGTCATTAAGTGTTGGGTGAGTCTCTTGAAGACAACAGATATTTGTCTTCTTATCCATTTTGCTATTCTGTATGTTTTAACTGGATCATTTAGGCCATTTACATTCACCGTTAGTATTGAGGTGTGAAGGACTATTCTATTCATTGTGCTAGTCGTTGCCTGAATACCTTCTTTATTGTATTATTGTTTTATAGGCCTTGTGAGATTTATGCCTTAAGGAGGTTCTATTTCATTGTATTTTGAGGTTTTGTTTCAAGATTTAGAACTCCTTATAGCAGTTCTTATAGTAGTGGCTTGGTAGTGGTGAATTCTCTAAGCATTTGTTTGTCTGAAAAAGACTATCTTTCCTTCATTTATGAAGTTTAGTTTCACTGGATACAAAATTTTTGGCTGATACTTGTTCTGTTTAAGGAGGCTAAACTTAGGACCCCAATTCTTTCTAGTTTTTAGGGTTTCTGCTGAAAAATCTGCTGTTAATCTGATATGTTTTTCTTTATAGTTTACCAGATGCTTTTGTCTCACAACTCTTAAAAATCTTTCCTTCATATTGACTTCAGATAACTTGATGACTGTGTGCCTAGGTGATTATCTTCTTGTGATGAATTTCCTTGGTGTTCTTTGGACTTCTTGTATTTGGGTGTCTAGATCTCTAGCAAGGCCAGGAAAGTTTTTCTCAATTATTCCCTCAAATAAATTTTCCAAACTTTTAGATTTCTCTTCTTCTTTGGGAACACCAATTATTGTTAGATTTTATTGTTTAACATAATTCTAAGCTTCTTGGAGACTTAGCTCATTTTTAAATTCTGTTTTGTTTGTCTTTGTTAGATTGGAATATTCAAAAGCCTTCTCTTTGGGGTCTGAAGTTCTTTCTTTCACTTGTTTGGTTCTATTGTAATTTTCCACTATATTTTGCATTTCTTTAAGTGTGCCTTTCATTTCCGGAAGTTGTGATTGTTTTTTATTTATGCTGTCTATTTCTCTGGAGACTTTTTTCATCCATATCCCGTATTTTAAAATTTTTTCATTAAGTTAATATTCACCTTTCTGTGGCGTCTCTTTAAGTAGCTTAATAATGGAATTTATGAATTCTTTCTCTGGCAATTCAGGGATTTCTTCTTGGTTTGGATCCACTGCTAGTGAGCTAGTGTGGTCTTTTGAAGGTGTTAAAAAAATTCTTGCTTTTTTATATCACCAGAATTTTGTTTTGGTTCCTTCTCATTTGGGTAGTCTATGTCAGACGTAAGACCTGAGGCTCTAGGCTGCTGTTCAGATTCTTTTGTTTCATGGGGTGATCCCTTGATGTGATGGTCTCCCCTTTTCTCTTGGGATGGGGCTTCTTGAGAGTCAGACTGCAGTGCTTGTTATTGCTCTTCTGGGTTTAACCATCCAGTGGAGCTACTGGGCTCTGGGCTGTTACTGGGGATTGTCTGCAAAGAGTCCTGTGATGTGATCTGTCTTCAGGTTTCTCAGCCATGGATAATACCACCTGCTCTGGTAGAGGTAGCAGGGGAGTAAAGTGGACTCTGTGAGGGTCCTTTGTTGTAATTCAATTTAGTGCACTGGTTTTTGTGAATGCAGGTTGTTCTAGCAGTGAAGTTGTCACATGGACAGACTGAGGACTTCTGGGTAGCTAGAATGTTACAATGTTACAGGTGATGAAATTCGCTGTTGTTTTCTCCTTTATTGTAGTGGGGTTGTTCTTTTTTTTTTTTTTTTTTTTGAGATGGAGTTTCACTCTTGTTGCCCAGGCTGGAGTGCAATGATGTGACCTCGGCTCACTGCAACCTTGGCCTCCCGGGTTCAAGCAATTCTCCTGCCTCAGCCTCCCGAGTAGCTGGGATTACAGGCATGTGCCACCACGCCCGACTAATTTTGTGTTTTTAGTAGAGACGCGGTTTCTCCATTTTGGTCAGCCTGGTCTCAAACTCCTGACCTTAGGTGATCTGCCCGCCTCAGCCTCCATAGTGCTGGGATTACAGGCGTGAGCCACTATGCCCAGCACATTTCTCTATTAAATATTAAAGACTAGTTTGGCTCAGGAATTTGAAGATTAACAGAAAATTTCCTTTTTAGCAGAACATTTTAAGGAAGCACAGAATCCAGAAAGACACACTGACTTCACTGTCTGTCCTTCATGTATCAGACTCAGCATTTTCTGAGCCCTCCATGTGAGCCTCTTTCTTTCTTCAGAAATCATAGAAGAGAGGAGACTGTTCCAAACTCCTTCATTTCTCTGGAGACACTAGAGGGCTGTCATTGTTTTTCTTGTTTGTTTGTTTTTGTTTTTGTTTTGAGATGGAGTCCCACTCTGACGCCCAGGCTGGAGTGCAGTAGCAGGATCTTGGCTCACTGCAATCTCCACCTCCCAGGTTCAAGAAATTCTCCTGACTCCACCTCCCAAGTAGCTGGGTTTACAGGCGTGCACCACCACACCCAGATAATTTTTGTGTTTTTAGTAGAGACAGTGTTTTGCCACGTTGGTCAGGCTGGGCTTAAACTCTCAGGTGATCCACCTGCTTCAGGAGGGAGCCACCATGCCCGGCAAAGAGCTGTAATTGTTATTGGTAAATTGTAACTGGAGCAAATTTTTCAAAATATCTCTATTTTTTTTTCAAGTTCAACAGCTCATTTTACTTTATTCAGCTATGAATAATAGAGATCTATCTATACTGACTTAAAACACGTAAGTTATATTTTTTTCACATAAAAACTCAGGAGTTAGGCATACCTGGGCCAGCATGGCAGCCTCAGGAAGCCTTTAGGGATGTCTCTGCTCCATCACCCCTGACATTTGTTTTCCATTCTTCATGGTCCAAGATGAGGCTGAAGATCCAGAACATCTATTAACACCCATATTTTAGAAGGGCAAAAAAGCTCTTTTTAAAATCATTGTTGTTTTATCTACTCTAGTTCTGAATCTTTTTTATTTGTGGGTTTTTCTTCCAACTTCTATTTTAGGATCAAGGGCGCATGTGCAGGTTTGTGAAATGGGTAAATTGCATGTCACTGGGGTTTGGTGTACACATTATTTCATCAGGCAAGTAGTGAGCATGGTACTTGATAGGTAGTTTTTTTTTAATTTTTTTCTTTTGAGACAAGAGTTTCGCTCTTGTTGCCCATGCTGGAGGGCAGTGGCACAATCTCTGCTCACTGCAACATCTGCCTTCTGGGTTCAAGCGATTCTTCAGCCACAGCCTCATGAGTAGCTGGGATTACAGGTGCATGCCACCACACCCAGCTAATTTTTGTATTTTTAGTAGAGACGAGGTTTCACCATGGTGGCCAGGCTGGTCTTGAGCTCCTGACCTCAGGTGATCCACCCGCCTCAGCCTCCCAAAGTGCTGGGATTACAGGCGTGAGCCACCATACCTGGCAGAAAGGTAGATTTTTGATCCTCACCCCCCTCACCCTCTATTCTCAAGCAGACCCTGCTGTTTATTGTTTTTCTCTTTGAGTTCGTGTGTACTCGTTGTGTAGCTTCCATTTATAAGTGAGAATATCCAGTATTTTGTTTTCTGTTCCTGCATTAATTTGCTTATATTAATGGCCTCCAGCTGTATCCATGTTGCTGCAAAGGACGTAATTTTATTCTGTTTTATGGCTGACTTGTATTCCATGGTGTACATATGCCACATTTTTCTAATTCAGTCCACTGTTAATGGGCACCTAGATTGATTACATATCATTGCTACTGTCAAAAGTGCTACAATGAACATATGTGTGCACGTGTCTTTATAGTAGAATGATTTATATCCCTTTGGGTATATATGTGGTAACAGGATGGCTGGGTCAGATGATTTAAAGTTATTTGAGAAATCTTCACATTGCTCTTTCCACAGTGGCTGAACTAACTTACACTCCCTTTTC
Organism: Homo sapiens; assembly: GCF_000001405.40. Taxonomy (NCBI): domain Eukaryota; kingdom Metazoa; phylum Chordata; class Mammalia; order Primates; family Hominidae; genus Homo; species Homo sapiens. The sequence continues at coordinate 19,982,420 of NC_000019.10, read as the reverse complement.
CCTGCAACCTCATCAATATTTATTGTTTTTTGGCTTTTTAATAATAGACACTCTGACTGGACTGAGATGGTGTCACATTGTGGTTTTTATTTGCCTTTCTCTAATAATTAGTGACGTTGACCATTTTTTAAATATGCTCTTTGGCTGTGCATATGTCTTCTTTTGAGAAGTGTCTGTTTATGTCCTTTGTTCATTCTTTAATGGGGTTGTTTATATTTCGCTTGTTGATTTGTTTATGGTTTGTTTGTTTGTTTGTTTTGAGATGAAGTCTCTCACTGTCGCCCGGGCTGGAGTGGGCTGGAGTGCAGTTGTTCAATCTTGGCTCACTGCAACCTCCACCTCCTGGGTTCAAGTGATTTTCCTGCCTCAGCCTCCCGAGTAGCTGGAATTACAGGTGCCCACCACCAGGCCCAGCTAATTTTTTGTATTTTTAGTAAAGACGGGGGTTTCACCATATTGGTCAGGCTGGTCTGAAACTCCTGACCACGTGATTCACCCACTTAGGCCTCCCAAAGTGCGGGGATTACAGGTGTGAGCCACTGCACCTGGCCATTTATGTTTCTTTATAGATTCTGGATATTAGACCTTTTTCAGATGCATAGTTTGCAAATATTTTCTTTCATTATGTAGGTTGTCTGTTTACTCTATTGATAGTTTCTTTCACTGTGTAGAAGCTCTTAAGTTTAATTAGGTCCTACTTGTCAGTTTCTCTATTTGTTGCAGTTGCTTTGGGTGTCATCATCGTGAAATCTTTGCCAAGACCTATTGGCAGAATAGTATTTCCTAGGTTTTCTCCTAGGGATTTTACAGTTTTAGATTTTATATTTAAGTCTGTAGCAAATGTTAGGTGGATTTTGTACATGGAGAGAGATAGAGGTCCAGTTTCAAACTTCTGCATATGGCTAGTCCATTATCTCAGCACCATTTATTGAATAAGAAGTTCTTTCCCCTTGGTTGTTATTGTCAACTTTGTCAAAGATCAGATAGTTATAGGTGGGTGGCTTTATATCTGGGTTCTCTAACCTGGTCCACTGGTCTATATGTCTGATTTTTTACCAGTACCATGTTATTTAGATTACTGCAGCTTTGTAGTATAGTTTGAAGTTGGGAAGTGTGGTGCCTCTAGCTTCGTTCTTTTTGCTTAAGATTACTTTGGCTATTTAGACTCTTTGTTGTTTTTATATAAATATTAGAAAAAATTCTGGGGAAAATACTATTGGTAGTTTGATAGGAATAGCATTGAATCTGTAAATTGTTTTGGACAGTATAGCCATTTTAACAATATTGATTCTTTTTATTCATGAGCATGGAATGGTTTTCCATTACTTTGTGCTTTCTCTGATCCCTATCAGCAGTGTTTTGTGATTCTCATTGCAGAGATCTTTCACCTCCCTGACATAATTTTATTTGATATTTTTGCATTCACAAATACTGATTTTCTCTATATACTTATGGTAATTTAGTTTTTCTATGCAATATTTGACCTTCTACTCATGTTTCAAGTCCCTTTTCTCAATTGCCATTCCATTATGTGCTCCTTCTTGGTTAAGTTAAAAAGTCTTCTAATTCCATGAGGAAACCATTTTTGCATTCAACAAATTCCACTTATTTTAAGATGATGCTAAATCAGAACATTTATATTCTACTTGAATCTTTGAATCATTATAGATATTTGCCAATAAATTATGCAATCATATTTAAATGTAAAATTTTCATATGCATTTTTAAATAAATATGTACAAACATTCTTTAAAAAGCTAACAAGAGGTACATGTTTTTAAAATATGTGTCGTTATTTATTTATTTATTTTTTTAGACAAAGTCTCGCTCTGTCACCCAGGCTGGAGTGCAGTGGCTTGGCTCACTGCAGCTTCCACCTCCTGGGTTCAAGCAATTCTCCTGCCTCAGCCTCCTGAGTAGCTGGGATTACAGGCACGTGCCACCATGCTCAGCTAGTTTTTGTATTTTTAACAGAGACGGGGTTTCACCACTCTCGATCTCCTGACCTCGTGATCAACCCACCTCAGCCTCCCAAATTGCTGGGATTACAGGAGTGAGCCACTGTGCCTGGCCTATGTAGATTTTTAAAAAATATATATCTGATGTTGAGACAGCATATATTAACTATTGTTAAAAACATCTTCAACTCCTGAAACTGCCTCCTACAAGGAGGTGATTTTAGAAATGTTATTTATTCTATTTGTATCTAAGCTCTCTTCACCTGTAAAATGGGAATAATAAAGCACTTCATAGAGTTATAAAAATTATATGTAACACACTAATACAGTAGTTTTATAGTGCTATGTATACAGTGTTATCACACTACATATATTTATAATAATAAAAAAGCCAATGGCATCTTTTATATTAAAGTTTTTTGCAAGAAAAGCCAATGGAATCTTTCATATTAAAGTTTCATATTTAATTCAAATGTATTTCAATGAAATAATATAGGTGAAAATTAAATTACTAAAATAGAAAATGCCTGACAACATGTGAACTAGGTGTCAACCACTGAAATTTATTTTTAAAAGCACAGGCTAAATGAAAATAATGTGTAAATATCTATATGTGTGTGTATGTGTTTATATCTGTGTGTGTGTGTGTGTGTGTGTGTGTGTGTAGAAAGAGAGAGAGAATCAAAAAAATCTTAGTGAAAGAAAAGTGGAGTTTAAAAACAAAGTTATAAGTTGAAAACAATAGTATGTGGAAAAATAGTCCATTTTAGTTGCCACCATAAAACAGACCTTATGTGTCTATGCAGAATATTCTCACTCTGAATGAAAATATTAGTAACTGGAAAATAATGAATGGCCTCCAGGGATTTGGTAATAGGAATGATCTTTTCTCAGACAACAGTCTGATTATTGGGGAATTTTGTTTATTTGTTTGTTTGGTTTTTTTTTTTTTTGCATTTCGTTACACCAGGTGGATACTAAAGTCCACAGATTTGATTCTCAAGCACCTGGCTATAGCCAACATCTCGGTCATATTATCCAAAGCAGCCTTACAGACAATGACTGTTTTTAATTTAAAGCATTTCCTCAGTGACATTGCATTCAAATGTGTTTTCTATGTTCACAGAGTGGGCAGAGGTGTGTGTATTGCCACCACCTGCCTCTTAGGTATCTTCTTTTTTTTCTTTTTTGAGACAGAGTTTTGCTCTTGTCACCAGGCTGGAGTGCAATGTCATGATCTTGGCTCACTGCCACCTCCACCTCCTGGGTTCAAGTGATTCTCCTGCCTCAGCCTCTCAAGTAGCTGGGATTATAGGTGCTTGACACCACGCCCAGCTAATTTTTGTATTTTTAGTACAGACGGGGTTTCAACATGTTGGCCAGGCTGGTCTCAAACTCTTGACCTCAGGTGATCCACCTGCCTTGGCCTCCCAAAGTTCTGGGATTCTGGGCATGAGCCACCATGCCCGGCCCTCTTGAGTATCTTCTAACTATTATTATCAGCCACATCAGGTGGGCACAGTTGAAACTACAAGCTCCCAAATACATTGGGCCCTCCAACATCTTGTCCTGGATTGTAAATACACTGGTAAATACCATTTTTTTCTATGCATGTGATTGGCAAATCGAACAACAAAAACAACACAAAAAAGATTTGGGATGCTGTTCTTCATTAGATAATAACAGAATTATAAGATTACTATGTACTGAATTATCATCATTCCATGGTGTTTTGTGTGTTAGATACAGTTAGGTTCACTCTTCAAATACCTTATCCATTTTCCCCATTCTTTATTCTATAATTCCAAATATTCCTTACCTCACCTGTGCCCCAACTTATCTAACTATGCCTAGACATGCGTGAACTTCCTACAACCCCAGTCCCAGTCCACATTCCTTTCCTTATTAGGGAATAGGTTACTTTTGTAGTTTCCCCATAAGTGACCCGCCTTCTTTCTCTCTTACTTCCCTTACGTGACTACCTTATCTAAAAAGTTTTAAGTATTTAGCCAATCGGGACTGGTTTAGACTGTGCGGTCCAACCCTAACCAATAGGGGAAAGATACAGAAGTAGAAGCTGTGTCAGAGATAATAAAAACTCCTGCTTCCTTTGTTCTGTGCGCCCTTGCCATTGCTTAATTTACGAGGTGAACCCTTCTATAGAAGTAAATTTGCCTTGCTGAGTGCTATTTCTTGTGCAGCATCAAAAATCTGTTCGTAACATGTGTTTGAGACTCATAATCTGGACCAGTGGCTCCAAGATTTTTATTCTGTACAAGTGGCCAATGAGCACATGAAAAGATGCACAACATCTTTGTTCATTAGAAAGATGCAAGTCAAAACCACAGTGATATATCACCTCACACCTGCTGGTACAGGTATATTTCAGAGGACAGATCAGTGTGGGTGAAGATGTGGGGAAATTGAAACCTTCATACAGTGCTGGTGGAATGGCAAAATTAGGCAGCAGTTTTGGAAAACATTTTGGCAGTTCCTCCTGAGGTTAACACAGAGTTACCACATGGCTTAGCAATTCCACTTCTGAGTATATACTCAACTGAAATCAAAATAGGTCCACACAAAAACTTGTATATGCATGTCCATAGAAACATTTGTTATAGCCAAAAAGTGAAACCAGTGTAAATGCCTATCCATGGAGGACTAGATTGACAAATGTGATGTAGTATACAAGGCAATAGTATTCAGCCAGAAAAAGGAATGATGTACTAATATGGGACACAACATGGATGGATATTAAAGACATTATGCTTGATGAAAAAAACTATACAAGGCCAGGTGCGGTGGCTCACGCCTGTAATCCCAGCACTTTGGGAGGCTAAGGCAGGTGGATCATGAGGTCAGGAGTTTGAGACCAGTCTGGCCAACATAGTGAAACCCCGTCTTTACTAAAAATACAAAAAATTAGCCAGGTGTTGTGGTGTGTGCCTGTAATTCCAGATACTCAGGAGGTTGAGGCAGCAGAATCACTTGAACCCAGGAAGCAGAGGTTGCAGTTAGCCGAGATCGTGCCATTGCACTCCAGCCCAGAAGATAGTGTGAGAATCCATCTCAAAAGAAAAGAAAAGAAAAAAGCTATACAAAAAGCATCATATACTTTATGAATCCATTTGTATCAAATGCCCAAAATAGGCAAATCCTTGGAAACAGAAAGCGGGTTAGTGGTTGCCAGAGGCCGGTGGGGAAAATAGAAAGTGGCTTTTGATGGGTGTGGGGTTTCTTTTTTGGGTAATTACACTGTTCAAAAATTACCTAGTGCTAATGATTGTAAAGCATTGTGAATACACAAAAAGACACTGAACTGTAAACCTGAAAATAATTAAGATATTGAATTTGATGTTATGTGAATTTCATCTCAATAAACATAATTTTATAAACAAACTTCAAGCCACTGTTGCCAGTGATAAAGACTAGATAATATGCTGTAAATGCAGCAGAAAAACACAGAAACACTAAATAAGCCGAAAGGAAAATTGCAAATAAAATCAAAACGAAGTCAACAAATTTCTACTGAAGCTGTAGTCACCTAGATATCTAAATAACAACAAAAGATAGGCACACATATTAAAATGTTTATTTAACTTCTGAGGAATCAGCATACATGATAACCAGTACAAAAAAAATTCAAATATACAGCAAAAGCAATATAAATTGGAAATATTTAAATAAATATATAAATGGAGGGAGACTCGTATTATTGTATTGTGAGAGAAGAAACAATTTACACTCTACTGGACAAGACATTGTGAATGTCTTTCAGTGACCTAAACCTTAGAAAAAGTTGTAAAAGCACTCAAAGAGAGTACTGGCTAGAGTGTGATAATCTGTAGTGGTGTCCTCTAGACAGGGCAAAGTATTTTATTGATGACACATTTTTTTCTACAACAAAGTCAATTGAATAGCTAGAGTTTCTTTAAAAAGAGGGTTCAGTCATTAGAGTGACTAGATTCTAATCATGGGCATTTCTAGGCCTAGGCCAGTTCATGGCCAAGTTGACATGAGTGGCATTCAAAAGTCTAGAGTATTACAAAGATGAGTGAAGGACAGGCCCACATGGACATAGTGGGTGTGACTGAGCACTGGGGTCTTGAGAGGCCAAGGCCAGGTTGAAAATCAGGTTGATTAATGCAAAGCTCACTGGTTTAGTCCTTTTTGTGATATAGGAGAACCTGAGACTGGGTAATGTATAAAGAGGTTTATTTAGCTCATGGTTCTTCAGGCTGGGAAGCACAAGAGGAATGGAGCTGGCATCTGTTTGGCTTTTGGTGAAAGCCTCATGTTGGGAGAAAAGCTGAGTGTTGGGAGAGAAGCTGAGGCAGGGCTTGCATGTCTGCTAGACTTGCTGGCTCCTTGCTTCTAGCACTCTCGTTATCTCAAGCAGCCATATGTTTCTCATTCACTTGATACACTGTTTCCTTTCAACCCCCAAATCCTCATCACCTGTTTGTTTGGCACCAATAAATAGCATGGGCTCCCAGAGCTTGGGGCCTTCACAGTCTCCACACTCGTGATGGCCCCCTGGTCCCACTTTCTCTCTCAAACTGTCTTTTTCTCAGTCCTTTGACTCCAACGGACTTCGTCACCCCCACGACCTGGTGTTGGGTCTGATCACCCCAACACCTCATGTTACTTCCACTCATGGTAGAAAGCAGAAGGGAAGCAGGTATGTGCAAAAAGATTATATAGCAAGAGGTGAAGCAAAAGGGAGATAAACTTGAGAAAGCCAGATTTTTAAAAATCTATTCTTGCTGGAAACTTTGAGAGTGAGAACTCATCTCTGCAGGAGAGCATTAATCTATTTATGACCTAAAATCTCACATGAGGCCCCCCTCCCAACACTGCCACATAGGGGATCAAATTTCAACATGAGTCTTTTTCAGGGACAAACTACATCTAAACTATACCATTCACAAAAGCCCATGTCTAGGAAAAGAAGACTTTGAAGCTCTGATAGACATAAAAAGCAGACTTCAGGCCGGGCACAGTGGCTCATGCCTGTAATCCCAGGACTTTGTGCAGATGAGGTGGGTGGATTAAGAGGTCAGGAGTTCAAGACCAGCCTGACCAACATAGTGAAACCCCGTCTCTACTAAAAATACAAAAATTAGCTGGGCGTGGTGGCGCATGCCTATCATCCCACCTACTCAGGAGGCTGAGCGAGGAGAATTGCTTGAACCCGGGAGGCAGAAGTTGCAGTGAGCTGAGATCATGCCACTGCACTCCAGCCTGGGTGACAGAGTGAAACTCCATCTCAACAACAACAACAAAAAAACAGACTTTACACTCTTAGCAAGAGCAGAACTACGTACGGTTCCCCTTGGTATATTTGGACACCTCTTGTGGGAGATCTCCTGTGCCCAGTGCCTGGACTCTTCCATGCTTATGTTTCCTGCTGCCACTCTTGAGTACCTGATGCCCCATATCCTGGAGCTTGCGAGCAATGAAGCTCATAATAGCCACAGAAGGTACAGTTATATTACATATGATTATATATGTATGTATGTATTATATATATACATATTATATATTATCTAGAATGTATATAGACATATATATGTTTTGGACAAAGACGTATTCAAACAGTAGTTAATGGTTATTAAATATTCAAGATTAAAATTATTTATAAATATATATTTTTAAAACACAGTTACTCATCTTATTCTTAGCCGAAACACCTGATCTGTCTAATAAGCACATATTCCACAGAACTACATAGAGTTATCAATGGCTAAATACATTTTATAGGGAAAAGCATACTATATAGAAATTCTGCCTTAATTGATGAACTTAAAGCCCCAAGTGTTATAAGCACTTTCATGGCTGCATTAAGTTAAAAATAAGTGTTCCATCAAGTAGTGGGTCAATCTAACTCCTTCCTCCTGATTATCAATATTTGAAGTTTTCACCTATTCACCAAAGACTCAAATGGCATTCTCTGGCATCTCTGGTCTTTTCATAGACAGAAGGTAAGAAGCTTCCCAGCCCATTTGAAGTTCAGGGTCAGATGGCCTGTACTAGAAGTTCCAGTTTACCATGTACCAGCCATGCGATTGTGTATATTTATTTATTCTCTCTATGCAGCCATCTCCGCCTATGTACTTTTTTTTTTTTTTTTTTTTTGAGATGGAGTCTTGCTCTGTCACCCAGGCTGGAGTGCAGTGGTGCAATCTCGGCTCACCACAACCTCCACCTCCCGGGTTCAAGCAATTCTCCTGCCTCAGCCTCCTGAGTAGCTGGGATTACACGCGCCCGCCACCACACCCAGCTAATTTTTGTATTTTTAGTAGAGACGGGGTTTCACCATGTTGGTCAGGCTGGTCTCGGGCTCCTGACCTCATGATCCACCTGCCTCGGCTTCCCAAAGTGCTGGGATTACAGGGTGAGTCACAGCGCCTGGCCATCTCTGCCTATGTAAAATAAGGATGATGAGTTCCTCTATCTTTGGGTTATCCCAAAGAATAAGTCAATCTGAGCTTAAGTTTGAGCTTAATGCGATGCTTGGCACCCCAGGGCATAACACAGGATGCTAAATTGAGCACCTGTATTTTACAAAACTATAAAACTTTGGGTTTCTTTCCTCTCCTGCATTGCCACACGTATTTGGTTTAAACTCTAAAGCTGTTAAAGTTGAATAGATGTGTAGACAAGGATTGAGATTAAAATTTCATTTACCACAGCATCAAAAAGAATAAAATACACATAAATAAATTTATTCAAAGAGGTAAAAGATCCATACACTAAAAACTCTAAAACATTAATAAAATAAATTGAAGACACTAAAAAATTCATGAGACACCGTGCTCATGAATGGAAAGAATTAATATTGTGAAAATGTCCATACTACCCAAAGTGATCTACAGATTTAATGCAATCCTTATAAAAATTCCAATTATATTTTTTACAGAATTAAAAAGTAATTCACAAATCTTTATCAATTCATGAAAGACCCAGAATAGCCTAAGCAATCTTGAGGAAAAAGAACAAAGCTGGCGGCATCACACTACCTGGTCTCTGAATATATTACAAAGCTACAGTAAGGCCAGGTGTAGTGGCTCACACCTGTGATCCCAGTAGTTTGGGAGGCCAAGGTGGGTTGCTTGAGCCCAGGAGTTTTAGACCAGCCTGGGCAACATAACAAAACACCATCTCTACAAAAACTACAAAAATTAGCAGGGAATAATGGCACAAACCCGTAGTCTCAGCTGCTTGAGACACTGAGGTAGGAGGATCCTTTGATCCTGTGAGGTCGAGGCCACAGTGAGCCATGATCAAGCCACTGCACTCCATCCTGGGCAACAGAATGAGACCTTGTCTCAAAAAAAAAAAAAGCTACAATAAGCAAACGGCATGGCACTGGATAAAAATAAACACACACTAATGAAGCATAATAGCAAGTCCAGAAATAAATGTATCTACTTCATTTCTGGTGAGAAAGGAACAACATTTTCACCAGTAGGCTTCAACTTTAAGCATTCTATCAGTGAATATTTATCTGTAGATTATTTTTAATCTAACTTCAAGCATTCTGTAGAAGGCCATATGAGGGCAGCTCAGATAAATGTGTACATAAAATTTTTATGTATTTATAGTTAATGAGTAATCATCCATGAAAAACTTACCTTATATTTCTGCAGTTGAATTTTTTGCAATTGGTCTAGTTGGGGGGACAGGCAATAAGAAACAGATAAATAAATAAATGTATAATAAGAAACTAAATCAGTGGCCTGAAGAAAAATTAGAGTTCTGTTTAAAACAATAAAGAGAGCCAGGTGCAGTGGCTCACGCCTGTAATGCCAGCACTTTGGGAGGTCCGGGCAGGTGGATCACCTGAGATTGGGATTTCGATACCAGCCTGACTAACATGGTGAAACACTGTCTCTACTAAAAATACAAAATGCCTGTAATCCTAGCTACTCACAAGGCTGAGACAGGAGAATTGCTTTAATCAGGGAGGCAGAGGTTGCAGTTAGCCGAGGTCGTGCCATTGCACTCCAGCCTGGACAACAAGAATAAAACTCCTTGGCAAAAAAAAAAAAAAAAAAGAAAAGAAAAAAGAAAAAAAAAAGAAAAGAAAAAGAAAGAGAGAGAAGTCCTACTTAACAGTTTTTTTTAAATCTCTGATGAAGAGTCAATCAATATCTTTCTCTCAAAAGGCAAAAAGAAAAAATGGTGGCTAGGAGACAGGACTAACTTGTATCTCCCACTTGGATGGACAGAACAGCATGTGGAGACTCTCATCATGAACTTTTGCTCCAAGAACTACCATAGAAACATACCAGGAAAACCAAAAGAATGCACAGACTCTTTGAAAGAAGTGGCTTGCCACTGCAACCTCTGCGAGACAACTGAAAAACAGAAAGTGCCAAAAGTGTAAGAGACGGAACATTCACCTCTAAACACACATACTCAAAACCTGAAAATCCAGATCACCAGAGAAGCATTTAACCTCACCTAGAGCCGAAATGAACTTAGAGAGCCAAGCAAAATATAAAAGTAGAAGAAGCAGTGGGAAGAGCCCTACAGGCACTCTTGGTCCTCAGGGAAGCCGTTTCTGACTTTATCTCACAGGGGTCCTTGGGACGGGCTGCCAGTGGAATTGGGGAAGAACCACAGGGAGAAGGAAACTGCCAGCTAAACTTTGTAATAGTTTTGACCTAGTGTGAATTTTCCTTGGCAGAATCGGTGAGGGGACAGTGAATGGGAAGCACAGATATGGGCACAGAATCCATGGCAGGTGGTGAGGGGTGGGGCCTGAAAGCCCAGGTTGCTTTCTCAATGGGGAGGCTTATAGCCTGGGGCAAGATCTCAGTACTGCTCACCAACTGGATATAAACTTGATGCTGTTGGTGGGTAGGGTGTGAGTGAAACTGGCCTTGCTGGCTTCATGGGAGCTGAGTGAGGCCTGTCACTGCTGGCTTTCCTTCACTTCCATCCTGACCTATATGATACAGCAGAGGCAGCCATAATCCCCCTGGAAACATAACTCCATTGGCCTGAGAACCATACTCCCAACCCCACAGCAGCTGCAGCAAGCCCCACCCAAGGAGGGTCTGAGCTCAGACATGTCCAACCCTGCCCTCACCTGATGGTCTTACTCTACCCACCCTGGTAGCTGAGGACAAAAGACATACTCTCTTGGGAGCTCTATGTTCCCACTCATTGCCTGAAAAACATGAATACTTATCCAGGTGACCTGGTGGCAAGCTTGCATACCCCCATATTACCACAGCTGATGCTGTCTTAAAGCTGCCACCTCCAGGTTGGAGGCCAACCAACTCAAGCCCTTACAGTAACTCACAAAATAATGACCCCTGCCAGGTGGGGTGGCTCACACCCATAATCACAGCACTATGGGAGGCTGAGGTGGGTGGATCACCTGAGGTCAGGAGTTTGAGACCAGCCTGACAAAAATGGAGAAACCCCCTCGCTACTAAAAATGTAAAATTAACCAGGCATGGTGGAACATGCCTGTAATCCCAGCTACTCAGGAGGCTGAGGCAGGAGAATCACTTGAACCCAGGAGGCCAAGGTTGCAGTGAGCCAAGGTCGTGCCACTGCACTCCAGCCTGGGCAACAAGAGTGAAACTCCATCTCAAAAAAAAAAAAAAAAAAAACCCACTCCAATAAAGGAGAAAACAACAGCTAATTCCACCTGTAACATTGTAACATCCTGGCTACACAGAAGTCTTCAGTCTGTCCATGTGACAACTTCACTGCTAGAACAACCTGCATTCAAAAAAACCAGTGCACTAAACTGAATTACAACCAAGGACCCTCACAGAGTCCACTTTAGTCCCCTGCTACCTCTACCAGAGCAGGTGGTATTATCCATGGCTGAGAAACCTGAAGACAGATCACATCACAGGACTCTTTGCAGATACTCCCCAGTACCAGCCCAGAGACCAGTAGCTCCACTGGGTGGTTAAACCCAGAAGAGCAATAACAATCCCTGCAGTCTGACTCTCAGGAAGCCCCATCCCAAGGGAAAAGGGGAGACCATCACATCAAGGGATCACCCCATGAAACAAAAGAATCTGAACAGCAGCCTAGAGCCTCAGGTCTTACTTCTGACATAGACTACCCAAATGAGAAGGAACCAAAACAAAATTCTGGTAATATAAAAAAGCAATAATTTTTTTTTTTTTTTTTTTTTTTTGGTTACAGAGCCTCACTCTGTCGCCCAGGCTGGAGTGCAGTGGCATGATCTCGGCTCACTGCAAGCTCCGCCTCCCAGGTTCATGCCGTTCTCCTTCCTCAGCCTCCCAAGCAGCTGGAACTACAGGTACCCACCACAACACCTGGCTAGCTTTTTGTTTTTTTAGTAGATATGGGGTTTCACCGTGATAGCCAGGATGGTCTCGATCTCCTGACCTCATGTTCCACCCGCCTCAGCCTCCCAAAGTGCTGGGATTACAGCTGTGAGCCACCATGCTTGGCCAAAAGCAAGAATTTTTTTTAACACCTTCAAAGGACCACACAAGCTCACTAGCAGTGGATCCAAACCAAGAAAAAAATCCCTGAATTGCCAGAGAAAGAATTCATAAATTCCATTATTAAGCCACTTAAAGAGACACTACAGAAAGGTGAATACTAACTTAATGAAATTTTTAAAAAATACAGGATATGGATGAAAAAAATCTCCAGAGAAATAGATAGCATAAATAGAAAACAACCATGACTTCTGGAAATGAAAGGCACACTTAAAGAAATGCAAATTATAGTGGGAAATTACAACAATAGAACCAAACAAGTAGAAGAAAGAACTTCAGACCTCAAAGACAAGACTTTTGAATATTCCAATCTAACAAAGACAAACAAAAAAGAATTTAAAAATGAGCTAAGCCTCCAAGAAGCTTGGAATTATGTTAAACAATAAAATCTAACAATAATTGGTGTTCCCAAGGTAGAGGAGAAATCTAAAAGTTTGGAAAACTTATTTGAGGGAATAATTGAGAAAAACTTTCCTGGCCTTGCTAGAGATCTAGACATGCAAATACAAGAAGTTCAAAGAACACCAAGGAAATTCATCACAAAAAGATCATCACCTAGGCGCATAGTCACCAGGTTATCTGAAGTCAATATGAAGAAGAGATTTTTAAGAGCTGTGAGACAAAAGCATCAGATAACCTATAAAGAAAGACATATCAGATTAACAGCAGATTTCTCAGCAGAAACCCTACAAGCTAGAAGCGATTGGGGTCCTCTGTCTAGCCTCCTTAAACAGAACAAGTATCAGCCAAAAATTTTGTATCCAGTGAAACTAAGCTTCATAAATGAAGGAAAGATACAGTCTTTTTCAGACAAACAAATGCTTAGAGAATTCACCACTACCAAGCCACTACTGTAAGAACTGCTAAAAGGAGTTCTAAATCTTGAAACAAAACCTCAAAATACAATGAAATAGAACCTCCTTACGGCATAAATCTCTCAAGGCCTATAAAACAATAACACAATAAAGAAGGTATTCAGGCAATGACTAGCACAATGAATAGAATAGTCCTTCACATCTCAATACTAACGTTGAATGTAAACGGCCTAAATATTCCAGTTAAAAGATGCAGAATAGCAAAATGGATAAGAGTTTACCAACGAAATATCTACTGTCTTCAAGAGGCTCACCCAACACATAACGACTCACTTAAACTTAAGGTAAAGGGTTAGAAAAAGATATTCCATGCAAATATACCCCAAAAGAAAGCAGTAGTAGCCATTCTTACATTAGACAAAACAGACTTTAAAGCAAAAACAGTCAAAAAGAAAAAGACAAAGAGGGACATTATGTAATGATAAAGAAACTAGTCCAATAGGAAAATATCACAATTCTAAATATGTATGCGCCTAACACTGGAGCTCCTAAATTTATAAAACAATTACTACTAGACCTAAGAAATTACATAGATGGCAATACAATTATAATGGGGGACTGCAATACTCTACTGACAACACTAGACAAGTCATCAAGACAGAAAGTCAACAATAACAAAAAAAAAATGGACTTAAGCTATACCCTAGAAGAAATGGACTTGCCAGATATTTACAGAGCATTCTACCCAACAACTTCAGAATATACATTTAATTCATCAGCACATGGAACATTCTCCAAGATAGACATATGATAGGCCACAAAACAAGTCTCAATAAATTTAAGACAATCAAAACCATATCAACTACTCTCTCAGACTACAGTGTAATAAAATTGAAAATCAACTCCAAATGAACCATCAAAACCATGCAAATACTTGAAAATTAAATAAATTTTGGAAAAAACATTAAACTTAAGATCAACCCATTTTTGAATGATCGTTGGATGAAATCAAGATAGAAATTAAAAATTCTTTGAACTGAAAGATAATAGTGACACAACCTATCAAAACATCTGGGATACAGCAAAAGCAGTGCTAAAAGGAAAGTTCATAGTATCAAATGCCTACATCAAAAAGTCTGAAAGAGCGTAAGTAGACAATCTAAGATAACACCTCAAGGAACTGGAGAAACAAAAACAAGTCAAACCCAAACCTAGCAGAAGAAAAGAAAGACCAGAACTAAATGAACTGAAACAAACGGAAAAAAAATACAAAAGATAAATGAAATGAAAAGCTAACTCTTAGAAAACATAAATAAAATTCATAGGCCATTAACAGCATTAACCAAGAAAAGAAGAGAGAAGATCCAAATAAGCTCCATTAGAAATGAAATGGAAGCTATTGCAACTGATGCCACAGAAATACAAAAGATCACATTCAGGGCTACTATGAACACATTTACATGCAAAAACTAGAAAATCTAAAGGAGATGAATAAATTCCTGGAAATGTGCAATCCTCCTAGATTAAAAAAACAAACTCTGAACAGACTAATAACAGGCAGTGAGATTGAAATAATAATTTCACAAATTGCCAAGCAAAAACAAAAGTTCAGAACCAGATGAATTCACTGCTGAACTCTATCAGACATTCAAAGAAAAATTGGTGGGGGTGGGGCCAAGATGGCTGACTAGCAGCAGCATCCCATAGAAAAGAACCATAATAGCATGTGAATCCTGCACTGACATCTGAGGTATCCAGTTTCTCTCATCAGAACTGACTAGGTGGCTGGTGTGACCCATGGAGAGGAAGGAAAAGCAGTGTGGTGTGGCAACCCACCTGACAGCCAAATGGGGCTGGGGAGCCCCCAGCCCCAGCCAAGGGGGGCAGTGAGTGAGCAGGCTACTCAGTCTGGGAAACTGCGCTTTCTCTATGGAACAGTGAATCCCACTGATTAGAAGATTCAACTTGTGAACCCACGCCACTGGAGCCTAAGGTTCCAACTGTTGGAAACAAGAGCTTGGAGTCACAAAGAAAATGAGCACTCAAACAACGAATTTCTCAGCAAGGCAAATTTACTTCTGCAGAAGAGGCTGCTCATGTCTCTGGCTGTTGTGAGAGCACACCATACAAGAGAGGGAAGGGGTTTTTATCCCTAATGCAGTCCCTACTTCTGTGTCCTGTCCCCATTGGCTGGAGTCAGACTGCACAATCTAAACTAACTGGATTGGCTAAATAGAGAAAGGCGGGAAGTTTGTTTACAGAGCAGGTAACTAGGAGTGAGGAGGACTTCTTCCAAATAAGAAGAGATGTGGGTTACAGATTGGGACTGGCTGGAAGAGTTGTTTACTGGCAGGAAGAGCAGGTAGTTAGGAGCAGGAAGGTACAAGGAAGTTGAATTTGAGAACAAAGAACAAGGAAGTTACCCTTTGAAGAGGAACTTACTGTGCCTGACACAACCCTGGAGCTGAGCAGATTCTCAACAGCCTCTCAGCTAGAATCTGCTTAAGCCTGCTAAGTTCCCAGTGGAGGGACGACCAGCACCACAGCTGTGGCTTGCTGCTGTCTAAGCTGTTTGAGCTCCTTGGGGGAGGGACAGCAGCCAGCACGGGGACTCACAACTGCCTAACAGGCTAAGATCCCTGGGTGGGGAAAGGCAGCAGCCATATCTATAGCTCCTGACCACACTTTTCCCCTGCTAGAGCCAGGGAGGCTGGACAGCTTGGTCTCAAGAGGTGTCCCCCACAGCCCAACACACCGGCTGTGGCTGACTGCAGCCAGAATGTCTCTTCAGGCCTGACCCTCACCCATCCCTCCTCACTGGGCAGGGCCTCCCAGCAGGAACTCCAACAGCTCCAGCCAGGGGCTCAGGGACAGAACTGTGATCTCCCTGGGCCTGAGCCCCTAGGGGGAGAAGAGGCTGCATCCTCTGTGAATCAGCAGACTTAGCCTTTCCTCCTGCTTGCTCTGAGGAATTCGGGCAGCCCAGACGAGTGGGATTTTCCCTAGCAAAAAGCCCCTCCTCCACCAAGGAACAGTCAAAGTGCTTCATTTAATGGGTTTTGCTCCCCATGCCACCCAACTGGGTGTGACCCTTCAGCAGGGGTTGTCAGACACTCTATACAGGAGCGATCCTACTGGTATCAGGTTGGTGCCTCTTGAGTTCAGAGATCCCAGAGAAAGGAGCAGGCACCCTTCTTTGTTGTTCTCGAAACTTCTTGAGTGACATCTCCAGGTACAGGAGTGAAACAGATGAATAGGGCCTGAAGTGACCCCCCAGCAAACTGCAGCAGCCCTACAGAAGAGGGACCTGACTATTGAAAGAAAAACAAACAAACAGGAAGAAACAACAACAGCATCAACAACAAAAGCATACCCACAAAAACCCCATCCAAGGCTGGGCGTGGTGGCTCACACCTGTAATCCCAACACTTTGGGAGACCGAGGCAGGCAGATTGCTTGAGGTCAGCAATTCGAGACCAGCCTGGCCAATATAGTGAAACCCTGCCTATACTAAAAAATGCAAAACTTAGACTGCCGTGGTGGTGCATGCCTGTAGTCCCAGCTACTTGGGAGCCTGAGACATGAGAATCAATTGAACCTGGGAGGCGGAGGTTGCAGTGAGCCAAGATTGTGCCACTGCACTCCATACTGGGTGACAGAGTGAGACTCTATTTCAAAACAAAACAAAACAGAACAAAAAAACTCATCCAAGTGTCAGCAGTCTCAAAGATGGAAACTAGACAAACTCATGAAGATGAGAAAGAATCAACAAAAACCCCTGAAAGGCCCAAGTGCCTCTTCTCCTCCAAATGATCACAATGTCTCTTCAGCAAGGGTGCAGAACTGGACAGAGGATGAGATGGACGAAGTGACAGAAGTAGGCTTCAGAAGATGTGTGACAGCACACTCCGCTGAGCTAAAGAAACATGTTCTAACCCAATGCAAAGAAGTTAAGAACCTTGATAAAAGGTTAGAGGAACTGCTAAATAGAGTAACCAGTTTAAAGAGGAACATAAATGACCTGATGGAGTTGAAAAACACAACACAAAAACTTCGTGAAGCATACGAAAGTATCAATAGCCAAATTGACCAAGCAGAAGAAAGGATATCAGAGTTTGAAGACCACCTTGCCGAAATGAGGCATGCAGACAAGTTTACAGAAAAAAGAATTAAAAGGAGCAAACAAAGCCTCTGAGAAATATGGTGTTCTGTGTAGGAAATGCATGAGGGGAGAAGAAAAGACACATACACAATACCGTTAAGGGTAAACAAGCTTTATTCCATGTAAATGGCCATGCACATATAATAAGCAAATTGATATAATAAGCAAATTGCAATGGGAAGGGGAGAAGGGAAAAAACATGTATATATATTTACACTCATCAGACTATGGAGGATTTGTCACCAGACAGGGAAGTGACAGCCTGGGCTCCAGAGTCAGACACCGCACTCACCATACTATGGAGGATTTGTCACCACAGCAGGAAGAAACAGCCTGGGCTCCGGAGGCGGTCACCCGTCCATGCACAAACGAGGAGAGGTCTCTTGAAGCCTTGGTGCGGTCTTGGACCCTAGCTCTTTTTGTAACAAGTTGTTTGGCATGAGGCTCAGTCACAAGGGCCCTTTGTGACTGGGCTCAAGGAACACAAAAAGGCCAACTTGTTTTTGGGATTGCCTATTGTTTTTCAATTTCTAACGTATAGGAATAGATTGAAATAAAGATTTTTTTCTGAAACAGCACTGGATGAACGCCTCAAGGGGCTCACACAACCTCTGCCAGGACTTGGTGACCATTATTTGTGTCCACATTCAATTTAGTTCAAATTTAATATTTAACTTTCCCTCCACATTTGGCCTCAATTGGATACTCAATTGTAGGAAAATACCCTCTCAGATACATGGAAAAGGCATAATTGATATAGATTACAGATACAGGGTAACACAGGAGAATTAAAAGCACAATTAATAAAAACCACACTCAGCATGGCTTTCCAAGGAGAGTCATATTGTGAGAATTACCAGAGATATACACACAACATTCAGTTTGCAGTAACGTGCAAACCCCTCCTTGGGCTGCGGTAAGCATTTTTAATGCCATTTGATTTTGCAACACAATAGTACGCAGCTGAGCAAATTCATCTGATAACAACACAAGTTCAGTGCTACTATCATTAAGAGCTTTTTCTACATGTAAGGTAAATATTTTAATGTGTTGGTGAAGGAGGAATGTACTGGTGGCAGGGGAGAATACTGTGATAGGGTACCACCACCAGGGAGACCAGCACATTTGTAACCAGTGGTGTTTGTAAGCATCTAGATTACTGGGGAAGGGAATATTATCCCGGATAGTGAATGGAATTAATGTCCACCCTCAAGTGCATCTTCCCATCCAATGCAGGGACAGTATTGCAACCCATAGGATCTGCATACCCAGAGGGCCCCCCAGGGGACAGCAATGGAGCTACTGTAATCATAGTGTACTAATGTGTTATTAAAATAGGAAAGAGATTGTGGTTCATTGGGGGGCAGTGTTGTTGATTTGGAGTATGTGTTGACAAATGTCTGAAGAAACCCCAAAGAAACATTAGAGGAGCCATTTAAGGCCTCCAGAAAAAGCGAAGCCTGTATGGAATCCAGCCACCAGCACAGCAGGTTTTCAGTGTATATTGTTCCAGGATTATTGGGCAAGATATCAAGACTTTTGATGCAAGGTGAGGGTGGAGTTCATCTTTTGTCTGACCTGGCAAAGATAGATTGCTTAGTGTGGTGAAAGGAAGCCCAGGTTGGATTGCAAGTGTTGTTGTTGTTGTGGCCCTACTGGTAACAATATAGCCATTCAGAAATGTTGTCAGGGACGATTCTTCAAGATAGCCCATCCCAGGCAGCCTCCGGCAACTCAACATATAGCCAACATTGACTGTGGATGGCTTCAGTTGCAGCGGTGGCTACCCAGGTGATGAATTTATTCTTGGCTTCAGACACAAAGACACAGGTGCTGACCATTAGTAGATAGGTTATTCCCTGTAATAACAAAAATGGAGTGGAACATGATTTATTTTTCATCTTTAGGAAATTGTACTATGCCTTCATTTCCCGCTTTCATAGCTACAAGGTCACCAGCCTTAGGGTCAAGATGTGATGGACGCTGTATGCATATTTTGGCTCCAGGATTTAAGCTACCTGTACCAGGGGATCTGAATCCCCCAGTTCTGTATGTAGACTCTGTTGGGGCAGAGATTTCCTCAGGAGTTAATTGTTGACAAGGGTACCACTAAAAATTGAGTAACCAGCATCTAGTTTTATAGCAAAAGAATCTGGAGTGTTATTGTATAAAATGACCTTTAACTCTCCCTGGTAATCACTATCAATTACACCACCATACACTATAATGCCTCTCTTTGCAAGGCTTGAACACATTGTAATCTATTCATCCACATTCAAGTTTACTGTTATGGTGGAAATTGTGGCCTGTTTTTCTTCCTGCTGATTAAATAGCCTGTCAAGAGAAAGCAGAGATGCATGGGCATCAACATGGAAAACAGGGCTGCACATGGTGGTGAAGGGGGCCTGCCCCTCCACACCTGTGGGTGTTTCTCACAAGGTGGAGATGAGAGACTGAGAAAAGAAATAAGACACAGAGACAAAGTATAGAGGAAGAAAGGTGGACCCAGGGGACCGGCGCTCAGCATACGGAGGACCCGCACCCGGCACTGGTCTCTAAGTTCCCTCAGTATTTATTGATCACTATCTCTTTCATCTCAGTGAGGGGGATGTGGTACGACTACAGGGTAATGGTGGGGAGAGGGTCAGCAGGAAAACATGTGAGCAAAGGACTTTGTGTCATAAATAAGTTTAAGGAAAGGTGCTGTGCCTTGATGTGCACGTAGGACAGATTTATGTTTGACTTTACACAAACATCTCAGTGTCGTAAAGAGCAGTATTGTCGCCAGCATGTCTCACCTCCAGCCATAAGGTGATTTTCTCCTATCTCAGTAAATAGAATGTATGATCAGGTTTTACACCGAGACATTCCATTCCCAGCGATGAGCAGGAGACAGATACCTTCCTCTTATCTCAACTGCAAAGAGGCCTTCCTCTTTCACTAATCCTCCTCAGCACAGACCCTTTATGGGTGTCGGGCTGGGGGATGGTCAGGTCTTTCCCTTCCCATGAGGCCATATCTCAGGCTGTCTCAGTGGGGGGAAACCTTGGACGATACCCAGGCTTTCTTGGGCATGAGGTCCCTGCGGCTTTCCGCAGTGCATTGTGTCCCTGGGTACGGGAGACTGGAGAATGGCGATGACTTTTACCAAGCATACTGTCTGCAAAGACATTTTTAACAAAGCACATCCTGTACAGCCCTAAATACATTAAATCTTGAGTCAATACAGCACATGTTTCTGCGGGCACAGGGTTGGGGCTGGGGTTACAGATTAACAGTATCTTAAGACAGAAGAATTTTTCTTAGTACAGATCAAAATGGAGTTTCTTATGTCTTCCTTTTTCTACATAGACACAGTAACAGTCTGATCTCTCTTTCTTTCCCCCACATGGTGGCTGACGCCTGTAATCCCAGCACTTTGGGAGGCTGAGGTGGGCGGATCACGAGATCAGGAGATCGAGACCATCCTGGCCAACATGGTGAAACCTTGTTGAAACAGTGATAACAGTGAAACAGTGATAATGGCAGTGTGCAATGGATTGAGATATCTTCCAAGTATTGTTGTCCCCAAACCTCTTTATTCTGAATTAACCATTTGTTTCATTGTCATTGGGGCTTCCAGGTAGAAAGACCATTTGGTACTGACCAAGATTTGGTATACAAGTGAGAAATCCCTCTGCCTTCCTCCTGAATAGCTTGAAGGATGGCTACTAGTTCAGCTAACTCGCTGCTCCCACCCCTTCCTTCATCAGAAATTTTTATGTTTTTAACAGGATTATAAGCCACAGCCTTCCAGCATCAGGTCCCACCAATGTATTTGGCGGATCCGTCTGTAAATCAAGCATGTTTCTGATCCTCTGGGCTTAGTTCTTCAAAGGATTTGCCCCACTGGGTGGGAGTGAGGGGATTTCCTTCCCTACCTGCAGGACTTGCTCCATGATTTCCTGAGCTGGCAGGTTTTGTGCATCCTCATGTAAAAGTGATACCCACTTTGGTTTTGGCTTAGCCTGGTCTTGTATGTACCACGTCCATTTTATGATGCTCCTTCTTGGGCATGCCCTATCTGGTGGGTTTTGGGGGAACTCATGAGCCAAGTCATAATAGGAGTTTCGGGCCTCATAAAGACATCATGGTTGAAGCAGAGGTGTTCTGTTTCCAGCAAAGCCCAATAAGAAGCTAACAATTGCTTCTTGAAAGGGGTATAAGCTTTTCCGGCCTCTGGCAGTTTCTGGGTCCAAAACCTGAAAGGTACCCTCTTCCCACCTTGTTTCTGCCTAAGGCTCCAATTAGCATTTTGATCTAGGACAGTTACTTGCAGTTCTCCTGGCCCATCCTGTATGGGCCATAGATCCAGGGCCAGTTGACCCACTCATTTAGCTTGTTCAGAAGCCATGTTCTCCTTCTTTCCCCAGTGAAAGTCATAGCGTTTTCTAGTGGCTGCATGCAGAGGTTGTAAAATGTTACCCAAGTGGGGAATATGATGTCTCCAGAATCTAAACCAGCCAATAAATGTCTGGGCCTCCTTTTAAGTAGTAGGGTTTGCAAATTCTAATATTTTAGCCTTAGCCTTTTGTAAAATGGACTATATCTCTGCATTCCATAGGATGCCAAGGAATTTTACAGTTTATGCAGGTCCTTGAATTTTACTAAGTTTAATTTCCCATCCTGGAGGTAGGAGCTGGGTTTTTACCTGCTCCAAGCCCCAGCAAACTAGCTCTTCAGTTTTAACCTAACCGAGCCATTCGGACGGCTGCTTTTTTCAGTAATAGGGTGATAGCTTTGAGCCTGATCAGTCAAGATATAGGCCTGGCATTGGGCCAGGGCCAGTCTGGAAATCACACTAGCATTTTTCTTTTCCAACTTAAAATATCTTGTAGCAACCAGCCCCTCTCTTGATACATTAATTTATTAGCAGTAAGCAAACACCATCGACTCCAGGGGATCCCTCAGCATCTCCTTTGCTGACTGGAATCTCCTGCAGCACTTCCCGCACAGTCAAAGGTTTAAATTGCACTAATTTAATTCTCAATTCCCACAAAGGCCAGTTCCCCTTGACCATTCGGTTGCCATGGGGGAGAACTGGTGGAGTTCCCATCCCGATATATGGGAAGTCCCCAAGCCTCCAGCCCTGTCCTTCTGGCCAAAACCTGCACCTTTTGTTTTCAAATCCTGTTTGTGACACCAAAAATGTTCTGGGTGGGAAACATGCAAGAGGAGAAGAAAAGATACACACAATACTTTTAAGGGTAACAAGCCTTATACCACATAAATGGCAATGCAGATATGTGGGTGGCAAGCCACCCAGGTGCCAAGGCAAGAGACTGATGGCACGAGCTGTTCCAGTATAATAAAATATATAAAATAAGAATAGTTATACTAGATATAGATCTTAGATATGATTATATATGAATATCATTAATCATTAGTTTATAGCAATTATTCTTTATTCCAATATTATAGTAATCCTCACTCTACAATCATAACCTAGGAAAAACCAGGCCATACAGAGATAGGAGCTGAGGGGACATAGTGAGAAGTGACCAGAAGACAAGTGTGAGCCTTCTGTTATGCCCAGACAAGGCCACCAGAGGGCTCCTTGGTCTAGCGGGTAACGCCAGCATCTGGGAAGATGCCCGTTGCCGAGCGGACCATGGTCTAGCGGTAAAGTCAGTGTCAAGGAAAAACACCTGCTACTTAGCAGACTGGGAAAGGGAGTCTCCCTTTCCCTGCGGGAGTTTAGAGAAGACTCTACTCCTCCACCTCTTGTGGAGGGCCTGACATCAGTCAGGCCTGCCTGCAGTTGTCTGGAGGCCTAACCGTCTCCCTGTGATGCTGTGCTTCAGTGGTCACGCTCCTAGTCTGCTTTCAGGTTCCATCCTGTACACCTGGCTCTGCCTTTTAGATAACAGTAGCAAATTAGTGAAAGTACTAAAAGTCTCTGATAAGCAGAAATAATGGCATAAGCTGTCTCTCTCTCACCTCTCTCTCTCTGCCTTGGCTGCCAGGCAGGAAAGCGCCCCCTGTCCAAAGGACACGTGATTCTTATGACCTTACCTATCATTGGAGATGGCTCACACTCCTTACCCTGCCCCTTTGTCTTGTATCCAATAAATATCAGTGCAGCCTGGCATTCGGGGCCACTACCGGTCTCTGCATCTTGGTAGTAGTTGTCCCCCGGGCCCAGCTGTCTTTTCTTTTATCTCTTCGTCTTGTGTCTTTATTTCTACACTCTCTCATCTCTGCACACAGGGAGAAAAACCCACCAACCCTATGGGGCTGGACCCTACACAGATATAATAAACAAATGATATAATGGGCAAATGATATAATAGGCAAATCAATATAATAAGCAGATTGATATAATAAGCAAATTGTGATGGGAAGAGGAGAATGGAAAAGAGATATATATATATTTACACTCACCAGGCTATGGAGGATTCACCACCAGACTGGGAAGAAACAACCTGGGCTCCAGAGTCGGCCACTCATCTGTGCACAGAAGAGGAGAGCTCTCATGAATCTTCAGTGCAGTCTGGGACCCTAGCTCTTTTGTAACAAGTTTTTTGGCATGGGGCTTAGTCATGAGGGCCCTTCACGACTGGGCTCAAGGAACACAAAAAGGTCAACTTGTTTTTGTGATTGTCTATTGTTTCTCAATAACGAATGTATAGGAATAGATTGAAATAGAGATTTCTCCTAAACAGCACTGGATGAACCCCTGAATGGGCTCACACAACCTGTGCCAGGACTTGGTGACCATTGTTTGTGTCCACATTCAATTAGTTCAAATTTAATATTCAAATTTGCCTCCACACCAGACTATGGAGACTCACCACCAGACCAGGAAGCAACAGGCTGGGCTCCAGAGTTGGACACCACACTCATCGGACTATGGAGGGTTCACCACCAGACTGGGAAGCAACAGCTTGGGCTCCAGAGTCATCCAGCCATCCGTGCACAGACAAGGAGAGGTCTCACAAAACTTCGGTGCAGTCTGGGATCCTAGCTCTTTTTGTAACGAGTTGTTTGGCATGAGGCCCAGTCACGAGGGCCCTTCACGACTGGGCTCAAGAAACACAAGAAGATCAACTTTTTTTGCGATTGTCTATTGTTTTTCAATAACTAATGTATAGGAATAGATTAAAATAGAGATTTCTCCAAAACAGCGCTGGATGAATGCCTCAAGGGGCTCACACAACCTGTTCCATGACTTGTTGACTATTGTTTGTGTCCATGTTCAATTAAGTTCAAATTTAATATTTAACTTTTCCTCCACAAATTCCCCCATCTTGATTAATTGGCTCTGTCTAGGCAAAGGGCAAGGTGAACTCCTTGGGCCATTACACAACCTCTGCCTCCTGGGTTCAATTGATTCTCCTGCCTCATCCTCCAGAGTAGCTGGGACTACAGGTGTGCACCACCACGCCTGGGTAATTTTTTGTATTTTTGGTAGAGATGGGGTTTCACCATGTTGGCCAGGCTCGTCTCAAACTCCTGACCTCAAGTGATCTGTCCACCTTGGCCTCCCAAAGTGTTGGGATTACAGGCGTGAGTCACCGTGGCTGGCCCTAAATGACTTCTTTCTATCTCCTATAACAGTTTGAAATTACTTAAAGGTTGTTTTGAATTGAAATAATAAAAAGAATATAGGTAAAAACAAAATAGAAAAAATTTAAAAAATTACAAGAGATTACAAAATATATATGTAAATCTTGAGAGGTCAAAAATGACAAATTTGATTTATTTATAAGGTTTATTAAAATTAGCTTTAGTATTCAAAATACACTACTACCAAAGTAAAAGTTGATTTTCTCTTGAACAAAAATTTTATGTATTATTAATATGAAAGCAAAATACTTCTGTTCACCTTTTGAATAAATTCAAAAAGAGAGAGTAAAGAAGAGAGAGAATTTCCCCAAGCTCTGGGGTGGGCTTGGCTCAGCTCAGGGAGGAAACCCTGCCTGAAAAGGCTGCAGCTTAGGTTGTCAGTCTTTCTTCACTCAGCCCAGCATCTGATGACATCTTCTGTCACTCAGGGCCTGAAGGGGCGGAGCCTTAAGCATTATCCAGTCAGGGACGCTGGGCAGGAAATCCTCAAATCAGGCATGAAGCTGAAGCGAACAGGACGACTTCTGGGTTTGGTGGGGCCTTTGTCTCTCGCTGCAGCGGGAGCTCCAGGTCTGGTCTTCACTACTCTGTGTCGTCTGCTCCTAGAGGCCCAGGCTCTGTGTCCCTCTGACCTGCAGGTTTTGGGAGATCCACAGCTAAGACTCCAGGACCCCCTGGAAGCCTAGAAACAGTGACAGTGCCAGTCCGACATCCTGAGAGTGAGGGAGGGGCTAGTTGGAACCGGGGTGATGTGGCTGTGGCGGGACTCAGGCCTCCCCACAGTAATCTCCACAATCTGCGCCCGAGTTCTCCTTGCCCAGCTTGGCCTCAGTCCCCTTCAGCCATAAGACGGCAGCTGTGCTGACAGCCAGAATCCCGGGTGAAGGGGGCCTGCCCCTCTACACCCATGGGTATTTCTCGCAAGGTGGAGATGAGAGACTGAGAAAAGAAATAAGACATGGAGACAAAGTACAGAGGAAGAAAAGTGGGCCCAGTGGATGGCGCTCAGCAAGTGAGGACCTGCGCCCGCGCTGGTCTCTGAGTTCCCTCAGTATTTATTGATCACTATCTTTACTATCTCGGCGAGGGGAATGTGGCATAACTATAGGGTGAATGTGGGGAGAGGGTCAGCAGAAAAACGTAAGCGAAAGACTCTGTGTCATATATAAGTTTAAGGGAAGGTGCTGTGCCTGGATGTGCACGTAGGCTAGATTTATGTTTAACTTTACATAAACATCTCATTGTGGTAAAAAGTAGCAGAGCAGTATTGCCGCCACCATGTCTCGCCTCCAGCCATATGGCAGTTTTCTTCTGTCTCAGAATAGAATGTATGGTCGGTTTTACACCAAGTCATTCCATTCCCAGAGGCATGCAGGAGACAGATGCCTTCCTCTTAACCGCATAGAGGCCTTCCTCTTCACTAATCCTCCTCAGCACAGACCCTTTACTGGTGTTGGGCTTGGGGGCTGTAAGGTCTTTCCCTTCCCATGAGGCCATATCTCAGGCTATCTCAGTCAGTGGAAACCTGTGTAATACCCAGGCTTTCTTGGGCAGGGGTCCCTGCGGCCTTCCGCAGTGCATTGTGTCTCTGGTTAATAGAGAATGGAGAATGGCGATGACTTTCACCAAGCATTCTGCGTGCAATCACATTTTTAACAAAGCACATCCTGCACAGCCCTAGATCCATTAAACCTTGAGTCTACACAGCACATGTTTTTGTGAGCACAGGGTAGGGACGAAAGTTACAGATTAACAGCATCTCAAGGCA
The DNA here is from genome assembly GCF_000001405.40 of Homo sapiens. NCBI lineage: Eukaryota > Metazoa > Chordata > Mammalia > Primates > Hominidae > Homo > Homo sapiens. The sequence continues at coordinate 19,955,601 of NC_000019.10, read as the reverse complement.
GAACAATTTTTCTTACTAGAGATCAAAATGGAGTTTATTTTGTCTTCCTTTTTCTACATAGTCACAGTAACGATCTGATCTCTCTTCCTTTTCCCCACACCTGGGTGTCCTGCCTCTTCCCTGTGCAGCGACTGTGCCCTGGCCTGGAGCCCTGTCTGGGCAGCTCTGCGCCTGCAGTGTGGCGTCTCTCCCAGATTGTGCAGGGACCACGGGAGGGTGGTCAGGGGAGAATCCTGACTCGGGGTGCGGGTCCATGAATGGGAAGAGCTTTGGACCATGGGGTTGACAGTTTCTCTTTTCTCCTATTAAAAATTTATGGGGCGAGCCTAGGTGGCTTACGCCTGTAATCCCAGCATTTTGGGAGGCCAAGGTGGGTGGATCACTTGAGGTAAGGAGTTGTTGGGACAACGAAGTTCCTCTTCAAAGACAACTTCCTGGTCATAAGTTGTAAAAGCTGTAAATCAACCCTATCCCTTCTTCTTTCCCCTTCTCCTTTTCTCGCAAAATCACGAGTTTACCCTATTTGGAAAAAGTTTAAGGGTAAGCCAACCGGGATTGTGCGTCGGATCCCCGGAGGCTCACGCCTGTAATCTCAGCACTCTGAGAGGCTGAGGCGAGTGGATCATGAGTTCAGGAGTTGTAGACCAGCCTGGTCAACATGGTGAAACTGAGTCTCTACTAAAAATACAAAAATTAGCTGGATATGGTGGCAAGCACCTGTAATCCCAGCTACTTAAGAGGCTGAGGCACAACAATTGCTTGAACCCAGGAAACTTAGGTTGCAGTGAGCTGAGATCATGCCATTGCACTTCAGCCCAGTCAACAGAGCAAGACTCCATCTCAAAAAAAAAAAAAAAGTAAGCATCTTAAAATTTCCTTCCCTTATATAAACACTGTGTTTGAGTAATTTCACTGGAATTTTCAAACACTTACTTTCAAAAACAAAGTGAATAACTCTGACATGGAAATTAAAGCTTGAACCTAGTGATTCCAAGCTAAGGCTAATATTAAGCCTGCAACAGAGGGTTGTTTGTTTTGTTTTGTTTTTTGTTTTTGGTGTGTGTGTGTGTGTGTGTGTGTGTGTGTGTGTGTCTGTGCACCCAGGCTGGAGTGCAATGGTGTGATCTGGCTCACCACAGCCTCTGCCTCCCAGGTTAAAGCAATTCTCCTACTTCAACCTCTGGAGTAGCTGGAATTACAGGCATGCACCATCACGCCCGGCTAATTTTGTGTTTTTAGTAGAGACGGGATTTGTCCATGTTGGTCAGGCTGGTCTCGAACTCCCGACCTTAGGTGATCCGCCCACCTCGACCTCCCAAAGTGCTGTGATTACAGGCATGAGCCACCGAGCCCGGCCAACAGAAGGTTATTAAAGGCCCAGTTACTTTTTTCTGGGGAGTCTCCACTGCAGATGTCCCAGCCTGCTCACCCCAGCCATGGAAGGATCCTTTATTCTGAGAGAAGCTACAGAGCCCTGGAAAGCTGGGGCCCCACAGGCAGATGCAGTTAAGATTAAGGTGAAAGGAAACTGGGAGGTTCTTACTGATGATGAAGTTGTTACTGTTTTGAGGCATTTTTTAGACTGTGTAAAATAAAAATGTTAGATTTATGTAAAAAAAATTCCAAAAAATTATTGCAACAGGAGGAAGTACCAACTAACTATAAGGAAGGTCTTTGTGGCTTGCAAAGATGTAGGCTGAAAAGGGCTTTCTTTCCTAGGGAGGAGCAAACAAGATTAGAAAGTAGGTGGGAGGGGAATGGCAAATGGAGGGTGAAAAAGTCAGATTTTAGATCAGAGAATGTGTTACCCTGAAATCAGCATGCTCTTAGGAGGGACATAAAATGGGGTTGTATGTTGACTCAGACTGAGGGTAGCTCAAAGTTCAGGAGCCTAAGGGAGGGATATAAGCTTAAATTTGATTAAGAAATATTTTATTTTAGGCCAAGTGAGGTGGCTCATGCCTGTAATCCCAGCACTTTGGGAGGCCAAGGCAGGCGGATCACCTGAGGTCAGGAGTTCGAGACCAGCCTGGCCAATATGGTGAAACCTTGTGTCTACTAAAAACACAAAAATTAGCCAGGTGTCACAGTGGGCACCTGTAATCCCAGATGCTCGGGAGGCTGAGGAAGGAGAATTGGTTGAACCCAGGAGGCAGCCATTGCAGTGAGCCGAGATCAAGCCACTGTACTCCAGCCTAGGCAACAAAGCGAGACTCCATTAAAAAAAAATAATAATTTTGATCACTGAAGACAAATTCAGCTGATTTTTCTAATGAGAAAAAGGAGAAAATCTGCAGAGTGTGTGTCTGGCTGTGTGATAGGTAAAACAGAGGACTATCTAAGTCATAATGGGAAGAGTGTTTCTTTCCATAAACTGTTCCTGGAGCACACAAAGGATGGAGAATTTTATTAATCACAAATATTTTCCAGGATTATCTATGTGTTTCATCTTCCCCCATCTCTTTTCTTTGTTCTATGCATTTCTTCCACTTGGCTTTTCCTGGGCTGCATCTTATATATTAAAACAGTAAACATAACTACAGTGTTTTCCTGAGTTCTGCGAGTAGCTCTACCAAATTATTGAACTTCAGGGAGGCGATGGGAGTCCCCAGTTTTTAAATAGTGGCTCCGAAGCATAGATGGGCCTGTGGGGTTTGTGGCTGGCATCTGCAGTGAGGACAGTGTTGTGGGACCGAGCCCTGAATCAGGGTCTGTGCTGACTCTGGGTGGTGTCAGAATTCAAATGTTAGACAATGAGTTGGTGTTGGAGGATAGTTTGATGTTCAGCAAACTACAGATTTGGTGCCAGAAAAAAAGATATTATGGAGGCCTGGCCTGGAGTAAAACTCTGGGTTTCTGGAAATGGGAGGCTCTGCTCTCCTGTACACAGGCTGTCACACTGCCCATTTTCCTGTGATTCCAGGTCTTCTCCCAGGGTGACAGAAGACTGAAAACTTAGAGAAAAGGACCTCTAAGAACAGACACCCCTGTCTTGCATCTGCCACCACAGGATTTCCACCCACTCACAAACACACACACACTAGACATTGATGTGTCCACACTCCTCCCAGGACTAGGCACCACCCTCAGGAACTTCACCACTGCATTTTTGATCCTAGTGTTTCTTGCCAAGAACCCACAAGTGTCTACAAGTCTTCTGGCATATCCCCACCCTCAGACACTGAATCTGCAGCAGCAACTTGTTTTCTCCACCAACCTAAGCTTCTGGGCCACCTGTTCATGATCTCATCTGCCTGCATTCACACAGAAATAAATCAGTACAGCCCCACCTGGGCCACTATCTGTAGTGAAAATCAGTCCTTTCAGCTACATTGCACTCTGCCATCCAGGGATATTTTTTCTTTTAGCTTTTATTTTTGGTTCGGGATATACATGTGTCTTTGTTTTACAGCTAAAATTATGTCATGGGGGTTTGGTGTGCAGATTATTTTGTCACTGAGGTACTACCCGTAGCACCAAACAGGTCTGTTTTCTCATCCTCTTAGTCCTCCCACCCTCCACCCTCATCTAGGCCTCAGTGTCTGTTGTTCTTCTCTTTGTGTTCATGTGTTCTTATTATTTAGCTATTACTTATAAATAATAACATGCATTTGGTTTTCTGTTTCTGTATTAGTTTTCTCTTTTTTTGTTGTTTTTTGTTTTGTTTTTTGAGATGGAGTTTTACTCTTTTTGCCCAGACTGGAGTGCAATGGTGCAATCTTGGCTCACTGCAACCTTCGTCTCCCAGGTTCAAGCGATTCTCCTGCCTCAGCCTCCCTAGTAGCTGGGATTAGAGGTGCATGCCACCATGCCCTGCTAATTTTGTATTTTTAGTAGTGATGGGCTTTTTCCATGTTGGTCAGGCTGGTCTCAAACTCCCGACTGCAGGTGATTTGCCCACCTCCCTCCCAAAGCGCTGGGATTACAGGCACAAGCCACCATGCCCAGGCTCTCCGTTAGTTTTCTAAGAATAGTGGTCTCCAGGTTCACTGATGTTTTTGCAAAGGACATGATCACTTTTTTTAATGGCCACAGAGTATTCCACGATGTTTATGTACCATATTTTGTTTTTACTAAATCTTTTATTTTATTTTATTTTTGGAGACAGGGTCACACTTATGGCCCAGGCTAGAGTGTCATAGCATGATATTGGCTTACTTTAGCCTCAACCTCCCAGGCTCAAGCAATTGTCTCCTACCTCATCCTCCTAAGTACTTGGTGTGGGGGGACTACACATGTGCTTTACCACACCTGGCCAATTTCTATTTTTGTATTTTGCATGGAGACAGGATTTTGCCCTGTTGCCCAGGCTGGTCTCAAACTTCTAAGCTCAGGCAATCCACCTGCCTCAGCCTCCCAGAGTGCTGGGATTACAGGCATGAGCCACCGCGTCTGACCATACCGTGTTTCCTTTATCCATTGATAGGCATTTAGGGCCTGTCCATGTCTTTGCTATTGTGAATAGGGAATCAACTGTATTGTTCTTTTTGAGTGGGTATGTATTGTAGCTGGAACAGGGAGTTCCTGGTTTGAAAGGACAATGTTAATGTTGGGAGTAAGGCAGACTAGGGCGCAAGTGCCTGTCCAGTTAGTAAGGAGACAGAAGTATGTTGTGGACCCGCAGAGAAAGAAGATGCCTGAGGTATTTATGCAAACAGACAGGTGGATTGAGAGTAGGTGTTGCAGTTTGTAGGTTCCCCACTTGGAGGGACTTGGCTCAGCTTCAGCAACCCAGAGTGAGAAAGAGACAGAAACCCCTTTGAGCACTCCTGTCCAAGGAAGGGGTTTCCATGTTTGAGAGGTGGGAGGGAGGAAATGCAGAAGGGCTGAGTAAAGAGACCGTTGACTTCAGGGGAGACTGAATAATCCACTCAGAGTGAGATATGGGAGGAAGGGTGAGAGATGGTTCGGGTTGAGTTACAGGCAGAGGGAAGGAGGGTGCCTACGTGTACGTGTCCATTGGAAGAGGTGATGCATAAGGGGGCTTGGCCAAGTCTTGTGGTATGGAGAGTTATGAGACCTTGGATGGTGGGGTATGGGAGTTTTGAGTCATCATAGTTGGCAATATAGATTGAAGAGGAGCTTGGTAGCTCTGTCAGTGAGGGCAGTGGGATAGTTTCCAGTGAGAGTGAGGGCTCTGTCTACAAAGGCAGGTCCCTTTTGGATGTTGTAAGAGAAGTGAATGGGAAAATGGTCTCAGGGCTAAGAAATTGGGATAGCTGAGTAGGCAGTAGAGGAAAGGCAAAAATAGGTCCAGAAACTGGAAGCAAATGTTGAATTGGAGCACAGTAACAAAAAGTGAGTGAGGTTGAGAGATCATTCGAGACTTGTAGAAGTGAGAAGGGACCCTGAGGAGGTAGAGGCCATGGGGCTGGCTGTCAAAAGAATTAGGAATCTGAGGAAGAATCAGAATCTGTTGTTGGAGAGAGGAGCTGGTAGGATCCATACAGGGAGGTGGCTTCTTCTAGGGGGTCTATGAGGTGGCTGATAGCGTCCCATGGATGGTCAAATTCTCCTTGCAGATGGGCAAGGTATAGGTGGGTTAAGACTTTTCCTCATGTGGAAATGGGGAGAGAAGAGAGGGATTCTAATATTTGGTATGCTGTAGGGTGAGGCTGTTCCTTGTCACGAGGACCTTGGCATCTGTAGCAGGGGCAGAAGTGATATGTAAAAGAGTTACCGCTCGTGGGCCTTCTTCAGGGATGGGCGTCAGGCAGAGTTTGGTTGGACAAAGGAGGGTGCTGGAGGATTGGTGGAGGACAGTCTGTGGTTCAGTAGGCACTGCAGGAGCCCTTTTTACTCTGGAAAGATGGTACCAAGAGGCATGTCCTGAGTTTGGCTGCAGTGGGGGTTGTAAGGATAATTTGAAAAGGGCCTTCCCACCTTGGTTTTAGCCTTGTTGGGTTAAGAGTTTTTAGGAAGACATACTTTCCTGGTAGGAGAGTCCAGTCAGTGGGGCCTTTGTGGGGTTTTGGGAGGGCTTGATCATTCACAGAGGAGATGACGGATAAGGGAGAAGGTTGGGAGATATTCTCCTAGCTGGGAGTCGAGAGGAGGCCTGTTTTGTAAGAGGAAAGGGCGTCCATACATTAACTCAAATGGGCTAAGGAAGAAGGGTGATTTCGGACTTGCTCTGATGCAGGCCAGTGCTATGGGCAAAAGGGAGGTCCATGGTTTTTGGACTTTAAGCTTGAGTTTGGTTAACTGAGCCTGAAGGATCCCATTTGCCCTTCTGACTTTTCTGGATGACTGGGGCCATTATGGGATACGGAAGCACCTCTGGACGCCAAGGGACTGAAAAACCTGTTGGATGATCTGGGAGATGAAGCTAGGGCCATTGTCTGATTGTATGGAGTGAGGGAGACCAAATATAGGGATGATTTCTGTTGTAAGGATTTGAGAGACTACTGCGGCCTTTTCTGAAGAGGTACGTAATGCCTCTACCCACCCAGAGAAGGTGTCTATAAGAGTAAGAAGAAATTTTGTCTTCTTGACGGGAGGCATGTGGGTGAAGTCTACCTGTCAGTCCTCCTCTGGGAGTGTTCCTCTGAGCTGATGTGTAGGAATAGGAGGAGAGCGGAGGGCCCCTTGGGAGGAAGTAACAGAGCATATATGACAGTTTGAGGTTATGTGTCTTAGTGAGATGAATAGGTGGGGGGAGGAGAAATAAGGGCAAAGGAGTAGGTACAGGAAGTGTGCACCGATATGGAAGGATTGGTGAAGAGATGTTAGAATTTATTTGGTTTGTTCTTGGGGGAGGATGAGCTTTTGACTTTTGATTATCCAGTCCCCTTGAAAGGAGGCTTCTTGCTGTAGTAGCAAAGCCTTCTTGGTGGGGGAGTACCTGGGTTGGATTGCTGGGGTAACAAGGAGGACAGGGGCAGGGGCTGATGAGAGGGAGGCTTCTTTTGCAGCCTCGTTGGCTTTTCTATTCCCTTTTTGATATTTTGTCTCATACTGTTTCACGTCCCTGACAGTATATAACCCCTGCCTAAGTTGGGAGGCATGCAGCCTGGAGGAGCTGGTAAATAAGGGGGCCGTTTTTAACGGGGGTTCCTTTGGCAGTAAGGAATCTCTTTTCTGCCAGATGGTGGTGCGAGAATGAAGAATGTGATCGGTATAATTAGAGTCTGTAAAAATGTTGACCCGTTTGCCTTTTGAGAGGGTTAGGGCCCTAGTGAGAGCTATGAGTTCTGCCTTTTGGGAGGAGGTTCCAGGGGGTAGGGGCTTAGCTTTAACTACTCTGTCAAGCATATCCAGCAATTTTATTGGAATTGACGGACTTGGAGGAGGAGCCATCTATAAATAACTGGTCATCAGGATCAAGAAGAGGTTCCGGGGAGATATTGGGAAAATGATGCAGCAGGTGATCAAGGATTTCAGTACAGGAGTGGATGGGAGAAGAGGAAGACACTGGAGGTAGAGATGCAGGACTGAGGGGAGCATTTTTGGAGAGGCAGAATTCAGGATTCTCAAGAAAAAGAGCATGGAGTAGTTGGATGTGGGAAGGAGAAAAGGTGCTCAGTACTTGGGAGGAGAGAAGATCTTGTAGATTATGTGGGCTATATATGGTGATGTCTTGGCTGAATGTTAGCTTTTTGCTTTCTAAAGCTAGCATGGTGGCTGCTGCTAGGACTCTGAGGCAGGCTGGCCATCCTCAGATGGTGTTGTTTAGTTGTTTAGAAAGGTAAGCTATAGGAGTGAAGGAAGGAGGACTTCCTTTTTGTTGACCGAGGACGCCAAGGGCTATTCCATGGTTTTCAGCTGTGTAGAGGGTGAAAGGCTGAGAGATGTTGGGCAAAGATAGAGCAGAAGCAGTTACAAGAGCTGCCTTTAGTTTGAGGAAGCTGGGGATTATGTTGTGTGAAGGATTTAGGGGCTCATTTGGAGGGCCTTTGGCTGCCTCATAAAGAGGGCAGGCTAGGAGGGCAAAATTAGGGATCTTGCTAGTTCTAAGAAAGAAAGGATTTCTCTTTTGGAGAAGGGTGGACGTAGACTGTCTATCTCCCGTGCTGGGGTCATGGCTTGGGCTCTGAGGGAGAGTTGGACTCCTAAGTTACTGTTGGGGTGGAGAGTTGTGCCTTAGAGGGGGAAACCCTATATTCTTTATCAGCAAGGAAGTTTAGAAGGGCAGTAGTGTGGGTTTGAGAGTCTTTTAGGGAGGGGCTGCAGAGGAGGAGGTCATCCACATACTGAAGGAGCCAGCAAGGGGAGAGGTTTAGCGATGTGAGGTCTTGGGCCAGAGCTTGCCCAAAGAAATGGGGACTATCTCTAAAGCCTTGAGGGAGGACTTTCCAAGTAAGTTGTTGAGACTGGAGGGTTTCAGGGTCAGTCCAGGTGAAAGTAAGAAGATCTCGGGAGTCAGGGTGAAAGGGAATAGCAAAAAAGGCATCTTTCAGATCAATGGCAGTGTAGTAGGTTGTGTTGGAAGGGATAAGGGAAAGGAGTGTATAAGGGTTGGGAACTATTGGGTGGATGGGAAGGACTGCCTGATTGATAGCCTAGAGGTCTTGGACTAGTTGATAGGAGCCATTTGCCTTCTTAACAGGAATTATGGGGGTATTATATGGAGAATGAGTTGGACTGAGAAGGCTGCGCAAAAGGAGTTTGTTTATGATGGGCTGTAAGCCTTTTTGATGAGCTACTGAGATGGGATATTGAGAGATGTTAGGGAATTTGGAGGCGTCTTTTAGCTGGATTTTGATAGGATCGTGGTGTGTAGCTAGGGAAGGGGTAGTAGTATCCCACACTATTGTATTAACCAGAGAAGAGGAGAGTGGATACTGGGGAGAGGGGCCCAGGGCTGGTTCAGTAGCAGAAAGGAGTAGGTGAGAGTCTGGTTGTGGGGAACAGAGGAAGGTAATGGAAGCCTTTAATTTGGTTAGGAGGTTTCTGCCTAGGATGGGGTTAGGGTAACAGGGCATGATAAGAAAAGGGTGTGAGAAAACGGTATGAAATAGGGAACAGGTAAGAGGCTTGGTGGTGCGTGGACTCGAGATGAGTCCATTAACCCCTACAACTGAGACCTGGGAGGGATGAGTTGGTCCTGAGAATTCAGGCATAGTTGAGTAGGTGGCCCCAGTATTGATTTAAAAAAGAGATCGGCTTACCTGCTGCTAGTAGAGTTACCCTGGGCTCTGATGCAGTGAAGGTAGATGGGGCCAGGGGCCCTGGGCCTCGTCAGTCTTCAGTGGCTAGACTAAGGAGCTGTGGGAATGCAAGTGATACTTCACCTTTTGTCTCTCCAAAAGGGTGGTGGTTTTGCAGTACAGGCTTTTCTGTCTGCCTGTTAACAGGACAGTCAGACTTCCAGTGGCCTGTCTGCTGGCAGACTGGGCAAGGGCTTTTTGGCATTCATGGATTAGGGCATGCTCATGCCCAGTGGCCTTCTTTGCTTCACTTTAAAAAAGGCCTGGGAGAGTTAATGCTATTGGGTGTTTTGTGCCCTTGGGTACTATGGCGAGGTTGGCAGATAGCCACTGCTAGAAGCTGGTATTTAGCAAGATCTCTTTAGGCTTTATCTAATTTATTTTGCTCATCCCTGTTATTGAAGACTTTGAAAGCCAGATTAGGGAGGTCTTGTTGGGGGTTTCAGGGCCATCTTCAGCCTTTTTAAGTTTGTGCCAAATATTGGGGGCAGATTGGAAGATAAAATGGGTATGAAGAACAATAGCACCTTCTCAGGAGGCAGGATCAACATGGGTATATTTTTGGAGAGCCTCCATAAGACAGGAAAAAAAATTGGGCAAGGTTTTCATTGATCTTTTGGGAGATTTCTTTGAGCTTTTTAAAGTTTACAGCCTCGTGGGCAGCCTTGTTTAGGCCTGCAATGAGGCAAGTAATCATATGATTATGGGATGCCAGGCTGGGGTCTGTGGGTTGGTACTCCCAAGGAGGCTCCTGCCAGGGTACTGCAGCGGCTCCTATGGGCTTGGTAAAATCTTGCTGATGGAGATCATCAGCACGCGTCGGGGCTGCGAGCCACACTCTTTCCTTCTTTTCCAGAAGGAGGGTAAAAGACAGGATAATATAGAGATCATGCCAAGTGAGTTCATAAGACTGAGTAAGATACGTACATTCTTTGATATAGGTATCAGGATCGGAGGAGAAAAATCCGAGACATTTTTCAACTTGGAAGAGATCGGAAAGGGAGAAGGGGATGTGGACACAGACGATCCCTTTGGCCCCTGCTGCTTCCCAAAGGGGCAACAAGGGAACTGGCTGCTTGGCCTGAGAGTGGGTAAGGGGTGGTGATGGGGAGGACTCAGAGTCAGAAGGAGGGTTGTTGGAGAGAGGGGGAGAAAGAAGTAGAGCCAGAGCGGGGGCATACGGAGGAGGATCATGATGCTCTGGCAGAGGATCATGATGTTGACGGGGAGGGGGAAAATTGGTGGGGTCAAAGGAAGAGGAGTCATCAGCTGGGGCGATGGGGAGGGTAGTAGGGGATGAGTCGTCGGCTGGGGTCGTAGGGAGGGTGGTAGGAGGCAAATCAGGTTTAGAGCAGGCAAGGAGGATTTGGAAAGTAGAACAGGACTGGCAGAGAGAAGGGTGGCTATGGAGAGTGAAGAAAGCCTGAACATAAGGAATCTCAGACCATTTCCCATTGCGGTGGCAAAAGTTGTCTAAGTCTGTAAGCATGTTGAAATCAAAAGTGCCATTTTCGGGTGATTGGGAGCCATTGTCCAATTTGTATTGAGGCCAGGCAGTATTACGGTAGAAAATAAGCCTCTTAGGATGGACCCTTGAATGGAGGCTGAGAGCATTGAGGTTGTGCAAAAGATACCCAAGGGGGGTGGTTTTAGGAGGGGTAGAATGAGAAGCTCCCATGGTAAATAGAGGAGGGGGGTAGAGGAAGAAGAGACTGCCAGTTGACAAGGATGGCAGGTGAGGGCGTCCCCTGTCCCACAAGCCCTGTCCGGAATGTAGGAGGTAGCTGCCTCCTGAAATGGAGAAACCAGAGGACTGGAGGCTGAAGAAAGCCCTTGGCTCAGCGCTGGGTCTTTTGGGAATGCAGAGACAGTCAAGGGTTCCGGGTAAATGGCAAGACTCTCTCTCTTACCCCTTTGGAGGCTCTGAAGGTGAATGAAGTCACCAACAATGGGAGAGTCTAGGAGATCCTTTGGGCCTTCAGCAGGTTTGGGAAGGGGAGGGTGGCTAGCAGGGGGTGGCAGGAGAGGGGGAAAGGCACCTAGGCTCCAGCGCACAATGACCAGCAAGCCTGGGAGGAGGGAGAGTGTGAGAGAGAGAGTGACAGAAAGTCCTCTAGGGACGCCCGGCCAGAGTCTACCTCTTCCCAGGTTTTGACACCAAAATGTAAGGTTGGCCGAGAGAAAGGACAAGTAGACCCAAAGTCAGGCAAGTAAGTTTATTAACCTACCGGGCTGGTCCACAGCAATCAGAAGAGGTAGCCCTGAGCTTACAAAGTGAGGGGTTTATGTGAGATGAGAGGGGCTTAAGGGAGTTAACTTTGCCGCTAGATAGTTTATCAGTTAGGAACAGGCACAAAGGCAGTTTATCAGTTTACCATGAACTTGCAACACCTCATCATGTGACATTTATGGCGGCAGCTAGCTGAAAAACAGGAGTTCACAGGAATGTGTAATTAAGGTTTGTTCATATTTCCTATGACCTCCCCCATGCTGCCCATATGGCTGTAATTAGGGTTTGCATGCTGTACCATGACTGCAAATTCTACTGTGGCACCTAGATAAGGGCTTAGGAATGCAGCTGCAGAGTATTCAGGGTAAGGGTATCTGGACTCATCCTGGGAATTCGGTAGTATTTTTTCCATTTCACCATTATAAATAGAAACTGGGGCTGAAACACTGCTTACATTCCCATTATTGTGAAGGTGTAAATCTACCCATGAGGCCTGCAGGCTCTCCTCCTGCAGCTCAGGCCTCACTCTCTGATGTGACACTAGAGTGCTGCTGTGGCAAATGGGGTTCACATAAAATGTGAGCTGTGCTCTGGGCTGTGCCTCAGTAGCAAATTGTAGAAGTCAACAGAGGACACTAGTAACCAGGAGAAAGCAAGCAGGAGTGCTGTAGCCCAGTGCCAGGGAGTGCAGAGACACTGCTCTAAAATGTAAATAGCCAAATCAAGATAGAACCCTATTCAACCATTTTTGTAGCAGAGTGAAATCTTACCTTCAGCAGGCACCTGGCTTCAAGCTGCTAAGCTACCTCCTGCTATGAAGATGGGAAAAGTTTATTTGTCATTGAATATAAGCAATTAGCATACACAGATGGCCTCTTCAATCTCCAGATGAATTTAGGATGAATTATGTATGACATGGTGCTGGAAATTCTTCTACTTGTGGACTAATTTTGGTGACCATCCTTCTGTCTTTGCAGTCTCTTAAGCAGATTGACTATGATGCATGTCACATTCAAGTTCAATTGTGTAATAAAATGTTTTCTTTCTATCTTATTATTGTGGAGTTTCTCTGAGGCTGGAGAAAATTTTTCTTTTAATTATTGTTTCCAAGCATGGTCTAGAATTAGCAGACATGATATAAACACATAAGGTGAAAACCAGAATTTACTCTAGAGGGGACTTTCCCTCTCAGACTTCCAGTCAACTCACACCTGTGCTACAAAGTGCACACTGTCCCCTAAATATGCAGGCAGAATTGTGTCTCTGCCTATATGGTATCTATAATCCTCTACAGTCACTTCTAGAGAGGTTAGGTCCAGATTTCTACAAACTCCACGGGGCACCAATCAATCATTGTATCTTCATACCTGAAACTGATTCAGACACCACGGGGCCCAAAAACCCAATCAGAGTAACATGTGTGCATTGAGTAGACATGTAGACAGAATCTCCACTTTCCCCTTCCTCCTCTTGCTGAAATGCTCACAAATCTGCAGTTAACACCCGCTGCTACTCCAGCCGTTCAGGTTCTAAATCTGCAGCTCCAAATTTTGAATCCAGGTCTTGAGATTTGGGAAATAAAAAACTTTTATCTGGAAAATGCAAGTCCTTTGGTTATCAAACTCAGAGAGACATTAAAATGCAAGTGTAGTTACGCCTGTCTTCCCCATTTGAAATATGTATTCATCTCTTGAAACTGTACACTATTGCCCCAAGTAGCTATAAACTAATAATGCCACATTGGACACTATATCCCGTACCCTAAACCATAACCATATATATACAATATATATCTCATCAATAATCAGTTATTTCTGTAAATAAATAAAAATTTCTAACAATCAACTTTGTATCAGCCCACTCTCTGTCCCTCTCTTGTTGTCATTACAAATCCTCTTGTAACTGCTGCTAATCAAACTGTAGATTCCAGGCAACTTGAATCTTTGCTCCCAGGTTATAATTCTTAAGTTTGACCAAAATAAAGTGTCTACTTATATTCATGTTGTGTCAGCTTTTTCTCTTTTTTTCATGTAGATTTATCATTTAGAATGTGCTAGAGCAGACTCTATGAGGGGATCTCTCCTTTGATTGTGCTTCACTTTCTGTAACACCAAAGGATGCAAATCCAGGTGGATCCTGCCTAGAATCTGCCAATAAGGTCTGGCCTCTGCCTTGGATTTACAAAACAGGGCCGGACTTTTGATTGAGAATGTACAGAAACAAACAAAAGATATTTTCTGCGTTGTGAAATGTAAACATAGACATAGCCTCCATTTGGGAGTGTGGCTCTTTGAGATTTTTCACATCTTGTTCATTGACCTGCTACAGTTATGTGAGAGGCTCCAGAAGGAAATAGAATCTGAGGGCAGAATCTGTCAGTGTAAATAAGCATCTTAGGAGTAAGAGATCAAGGCCCCAAAGTATCCAGAGCCATGACCACAACTACATTTACCTGTAAAATGTGATACTGGAGTAGAGTATTTTTGTTCTTTCTTTCAAGAGCTAGAAAATCAGAACAGGTGATCCAGGTTCAGGAGCTCCACTAGGGCACTTCCATTTTCTATGTAGAATCAGCCTAAGTCTCCAGCCTGGCTTATTATTGGGCCATCAGCCCCAGATCACTGGGAATCTCTCACAATCACCTAGGTGTCTTTGAGGCATTTGAGGATGTCCAGATGGAGTCTCACTCTGTGTCCCAGGCTGGAGTTCAGTGGCATGATCTCAGCTCACTGCAACCTCTGCTGTCCAGGTTCAAGTGATTCTCCTGACACAGCCTCCCGAGTAGCTGGGATTACTGGCACATGCCACTGCACCTGGCAAATTTTTGTACTTTTAGTAGAGACGAGGTTTCACCATCTCATCAGGCTGGTCCTGTACTCCTGACCTCGTGATCCACCTGCCTCAGCCTCCCAAAGTGCTGGGATTATGGGCGTGAGCCACCACATCCGGCTGTATAATTTCTATTTCTTTCACTTGTTAAGTGTACGATATTTATTTTCCAATAAAATTACCCTAGAAAACCTTAAGGGGTTTGTTTAAATTGCATATTAGTATATAGTATAAAGTTGACAGGGCAGTGGCTAGAAAATATTTAAATTACAGAAACTGTTGGATTTAAGTTTCTTTTAGGACATTTAGAAGAAACAAATCTGGTAGTACCCCAGTGACATAGAGAACAGAATTCTACATAGGGTCCTCACACTGCCCCAGACTTGTTTACATATATTCTTTTTGAAGGCCTTATTTAGGTCTGACCATACCCTGGAGTCTTGCTCTCAGAACTGATTAGTAGAGATCAAGAGTTTTGGCTGGTGAATCCTGCTGCCTTTCTAGAGCTGGTGCTCACAATTTCCTGAAACCCAAAAGCAGATGAATGGGAAAAATAAAGTATGTATTATAGAGTCTTAGCTTTTAAGTTTTCTATTAAAACCAGTGCTTGCAGAGACATTCTATTTAGCAACTTGTTTTCTATTCCTGCAGATCCAGTAATTGCTCCCCAAGTAACAAAAAAGTAAACATAAACAGAATAAAATTTTCTCTAAACTGCATTAAACTCATCCTTTCTATATCTTTTCTATCTGTCTATATTTAGCTTTTATTTCTTACAACTTTTTAAAAAATTTGATGACAGAGAAACAGAAGAATAAAAATGCTGGGCCCTTTATCTAAATCCTGAAAATTCCTAAACCCTTAGTACTAGCTCCCAGGGTATTATGAGAATTAAATCACATAATGTGTTATGCCCAGCACAGTGCTCTGTATCATACTCTTGAGCACATAGTACTTGCTTAATAAACATTGCAGTAGTACATGTGTACATGTTGTTTTTTAAACCCAGACTTATTCAAACATTGCTGCCTTCTGTTTCCTCTATAAACTTAAAGAGCCAGCAAAGAATATAAAACTTTAGGATGGAGATGGGTTGTCCTTATTTGCACGACAAGTATTTGGTTGTGAGAAGGGTGTTAAGTGTAAGGGACCCTGTGCTCTGCCTGCTTTCTCTAATGCTAATAATGAGCCAAGGGGGAGCAACATCAGCATTGACAGGAGACTTGTTTAAAACACTCTTTCATAAACCCTTTTCAAACCTGCAGAATCACCTTACATAATGTGGGACCAAAATTACCAAGTGATTTATACTTGTGCCCTCCCCACAGCTTCTGTTTATTGTTCTGGGTGGAAGGATCCATGTTGTTTTAATGAAGGGCCTCATGTGACTCTAAGGTGAGGCCAGAATCAAGTATGAAGGCTTCAAAATACATTTTCGAGAGTTAAGTTCCACCTTTGCACTAAAGGGTGGTCACAGGGCCTGTTCTGTTTGGGTTTGGTAGGGACAGGTCAGTGTGGTGCATATTTCCATTACTGTAGCAGAAATTGCTGGAGTCTCTGGCAGGGGAGGGCACCTGAGGACAGGAAAGGAGAAGCTTATATTTTTGTCTTCATGGAGCAGCTCATTATTCCTGAATCTATTCTGTTTAAAAGACAGCAGTAAGTGAATTTTTCTTTTTCTGCCAGTTGATGTCATACTAGCAGGTAAATGTGGTACTGACACCTTTAAAGGCATATTCTCCATATGCAGGTGTAACTTGTCCAGAGAATCTCATCTGAGAAGGAATTCCAGAGGAGGAGGAGAAAGAAAAAAATGGCTTTTCTTCAGGTAAACATGTGTCAGATGAAGAGCTGTGTCCACTCTGCCTCCTGGACTGCCATGCGTTTAGTACTCACAAACCTTTACTTCTCTACTTGTGTTTTTCCTCCCTAAGGAGTTTGGTTTAACTACTTCTTAAAATTCTTATGATAGTCAAGGGTCTCTGGAAAACGTTTCTGTCCTATGTCCCACAGACTTCTCTACATTCTGTACGTCATAGCTTCTTATATGCCATGCAGAATGCTCCGCAAGAATTTATGACCTGCAATATTAAAAATGTTCCCTTTGTGGCTGTTGAACATGGAAAGATGTGGATACTCAAGGTTTCTATTGGGGAAAACTGTGGCCCTTAGTAAAGATGGAGAACATGTAATGTTGAGGCTCCAGCTGTGTGTTCCATTAGCTCTATGCAGAAGAGGATTAAGAAAATGCTGATTTAAATGGAATGGCATTTATTACCCAGAAAGTTCTGAAAAAAATTATTAGGAGATACTTGCTCTCTAGGGTGCTAAATGAAGCCTAATTAAAATTCCTACTAAAAATTACAGAACATAGGAGTTACCTGTATTTTGAAGTTTGCATAAACTGTTGTTTATGGTTAAATTCAGACTAGTTTACTGTTTTGGGGAGGAATATTTCAACAGTGATGCTGTGTTCTTCTGTGTGCAGTAGCACATCATAAAAATTTGTCCTAGTGCAGTTAATGGTTAATGATTCACTTGGTGAAATAGCTGATTGATTTTTTTCACTGTAGAGATAACTATTTTTCTCTTCATAATTATCTTTATGCAGCTGCTCTACACAAGTGATCACATTTAATCTGGCAGTTCTCCTTTTATTTTTTCTACATATTTTTCTTTAGAAAATGAAGGCTCTTATCTTTGTTTACAGGCTAGAAAAACTGGGAAAACACAGGCTCTACCACTTACTGGATCTTTGACAAAATATCCTTATTAGGCCAAAAACGTTAGCATTACTGGTAAGCTTGTTAGAAATTCAAAAAATCAGCGGGGAGCCCTGGCTCATGCCTGTAATCACAGCATTTTGGGAGGCCAAGGCAGGCAGATCACCTGAGGTTGGGAGTTTGAGACCAGCCTGACCAACATGGAGAATACCCTGTCTCTACTAAAAATACAAAAATAGCTGGGCGTGGAGGCACATGCCTGTAATCTCAACTACTCAGGAGGCTGAGGCAGGAGAATTGCTTGAACCCAGGAGGGGGACACTGCCGTGAGCCAAGATGATGCCACTGCACAGAAGCCTGGGCAACAAGCATGAAACTCCGTCTCAAATAAAAAAGAAAAGGAAATAAATACGTAAATCAGACTTACTCCAGATCTTCTTGGAAAAAAAAAAAAACCTGCATAAGGTCTTCAGCTTATTGTACATAATAAATTTGAGAAATGCCTAAGTGAATGTCTTTTCCATCTGAAAAATATTCACAACTCATTCCGTATGATGTAAATATAGCACTCAAAAATGTACATGTTCGTGTTCATGCCCTTAATTTTATACTTTATTATCTAGAAAAATAAAATATATGAACTGTTGTTCTGGATCTTATGGTGCTTTTTTTTTTTTATCATAGTTAGAGAATAATATTTCTGTTTTGAAAATTATTTTATTGGATAATTTTAGTCAGTGCTATAAGTCAGAACCACTTCTCTTTACTCTCTCATTTCACCTTAAGTCAAATTAAAAATTCCACACCTGGCCACTTGGTAAAAATGTGTGTGTTCTTCAGGGACCATTGCAATTTAGAGATGTGGCCATAGAATTATCTCTGGAGGAGTGGCATTGCCTGGACACTGTACAGCGGAAGTTGTATACGAATGTGATGTTAGAGAACTATGGAAATATGGTCTTTCTTGTTGAGGATAACTTTAAGACATAATTCATAATATACCCTAAAGGTTTTATTTCTCTTTTATGTAGAACTTTTTAGTAATCTATTCTTTGCATAAAAGAGTTTCAGATCCCCTTTTTTCAGAAAATCTTCAAAATTTGCTCATGCAGAAAAGTCTCTTCAAGATGTTTCATCTTAATCCAAACTTTCCACATTCCTGATTTGAGCTGTATAATTCACTCTAAATTAGTGGTAATTCCAAAAATTTAGTGACAAAGTATTCTTGCCCCCACCTGAAAATCTAATTGCCACCAATTTTTGATTCAGTAGTATTAGATAGTAAAATTAAGAAACCTACAAATTGAAAGCATTTTCTAAATATTTAGAAATTTGTTATAGATTAGTATTTTGTAATTAATTTACTAGAATATTTTATCACATCCTCTCTACTGAACACATTACTAGCTTGTAATTGGAGAATATGAGCACGATTCATGTTATTTATTCTTAATACAACAGTATTGTTGTCTCTAAGCCAGACCTGATCACTCATCTGGAGCAGGGAAAAAAACCTTTGGCTCTGAAGAGACATGAGATGATTGCCAACCCCCCAGGTAGGTATGAGTGAAAATGAATACAACGGAAAACACAGGTAAGAAGTCTCAAAGTCAAAGAGAAAACCAGTTCTTAAAATCTAATTTGGAAGTTGTATTCCAAAGGAAATATTTCCTGAGCAGCTGTTTTTTTTGTTTCTAAATTTTGCTCTCACAAAGGGGCATCTTCTGTCTTATGCTTTTAAATTCTCTAAGGATTCTACTTTTCTTTCAGTGAACTTCCTTCAAGTTCACAGTGAGAGCCAAAGTCCTCTTCATGGTATATAAGAGACTGCACAATCTGGCTGCTTTTCTATTGTTTTGGGGACACACAAATATCTGCATGATTTTGATAAACTATTAAGTTTTTTTCATCATGTCTGAAATATGTGTTAGTTTCTGTTGCATTTTTGCTCATTTTTTTGCACAATCCATTTGGTTTTTATTAGAATACAGTCTTGAAATACAGCTTGACATTATAAGTATGATATCCTTCTGCTTTTTTTTTCCTCAAGATTGCTTTGGCTATTCAAATTTTTAGTTTCACATAAATTTTAAAATAGTATTTTCCATTATTGTGAAAGAAATACCACTGCAAGTTTTGATAGGAAGTTTATTGAATCTGTAGATAACTTTGGATAATACGGCACTTTAATGATATTTACTTTCAACCCAGAGATAAAATGTTTTATATTTATTTGGATTTTCTCTAATTTTTTATTGATATTTTTATTGTAAAGATTTCTTACCTTTTTGGTTATTTTCTCAGAGATTTATGTATTTATTTTTTGAGAAAGTGTCTTGCTCTTTCTCCAGGCTGGAGTGCAGTGGCATGATCTCAGTTCACTGAAACCTCCACCTCCCTGGGTTCTAGCGATTCTCCTGCCTCAGTCCTAATTAGCTGAAACTACAGACATGCACCACCATGCCCAGCTAATTTTTTATATTTTAGTTGAGATGGGGTTTCACCACGGCCAAGATGGTCTCGATCACCTGACCTTGTGATCCGCCCACCTTGACATTACAGGCATGAGCCACCAGGCCTGGCCAGACATTTATTATTTAATGCTATAGTAAATACGATTTTCTTTTTTTTTTCTTTTTCAGATGGAGTCTGGCACTGTTGCCCAGGCTGGAGTGCAATGGCACGATCTCTGCTCACCACAACCTCCACCTCCCAAATTCAAGCAATTCTCCTCCCTCAGCCTCCAAACTAGCTTGGACTGCAGGTGCTAGCCACCATTCCCAGCTAATTTTTGTATTTTTAGTAGAGATGGGATTTCAACATGTTGGCCAGGCTGATCTGTAACTCCTGACCTCAGATCATTCACCCGCCTTGGCCTCCCAAAGTGCTGGGATTACAGGCGTGAGCCAAAGTGCCCAGTGTGTTCCTCTGTTTAATTAGATAGTTTAAGTGTATAAAACCATACATATACATGTATGTTGATTTTATATTTTGTTAATTTACTGAGTGTATTTATTAGTTTAGACGGGTTTTAATGTACTGTTTAAGGTTTTTCAAATATAAGATTGTATGATCTACAAACAGCAACATTTTTCTTCAATTTCAATGGCTATTTTTATTTCTTTGACTAATTCTTCTGCCACACACTTCCAGTGCTACATTAAAATAGAACCAGACAATGGGCATAATATAGTTTTGTACTGGTGTCTGAATTTGATGGAGCAAACACCTTTTCAAGTTTTCATAAACTGATGTTAGAAGGTAAAGATCTTTCGTTGGGCCCTTAGGGTGATGAGATGCCCTCTGAATTTGTAGTGATGAGGGGTTTTAGCCTGGTCACAAGGTTGCTGGGTCTGCACTATAGTCCACCTTTAGCTGGCTTGTTAGAGGGGGTTGGGGAGTTGAAATCTTCATTTTAGTTTTGGACAGACTAAATATCCTTCAGGACTTCACTCTGTACGGCAGACACTAGGGCATGTTTTGGCAGTCAGGTCTGCATATGGTGGGCCTTGTATCAGGATGTGGATGAGTGTGGCTTTCAGTGAGTACCAGAGAGCATTTCCTCAGGTTAACTGTGTGGGTTTCTATATAGGCAGAACTGACCTTAAGCTGTGGCTCAGGTAACTGAAACTGAGTCATTGAACCACTTCAGGTACCGTAGTAAAGGCCAAGGTCTGCAGGCCTGCCTACATGGCTGTAAATGGGCCACTTCCTCCAGGTCTCCGAAATGGCAGGACCTCTGCCAGACTGTGCCTGGGAGGAGTTTGGGATGGTTACAGAGTAAGTTCAGAACTCTCAGTGTATAGTAAGGTGTGAGGACCACTTGAAGGCTTTGCCACATTCTTCACACTTCTAGGGTTTCTCCCCAGTATGAATTATCTCATGTCTACTAAGGCTTGAGGGTGAAATAAAGGCTTTGCCACATTTATCACACTCGTATGGTTTCTCTCCAGAATGGATTTTCTTATGTGAAGAAAGGGTTGCAGAATGGTTAAAAGCTTTGCCACATTCTCTACATCTATAAGGTTTCTCTCCAGTATGAAGTATCTTATGTGTAGTAAGGTGTGTGGATAGGTGAAAAGCTTTGCCACATTCTTCACATTTGTAGGGTTTCTCTCTAGTATGAATTTTCTTATGTTTAATAAGGGTTGAGGACTGGTTAAAAGCTTTGCCACATTCTTCACATTTGTAGGGTTTCTCTCCAGTATGAATTTTCTTATGTTTAGTAAGGGAAGAGGACTGGTTAAAAGCTTTGCCACATTCTTCACATTTGTAGGGTTTCTCTCCAGTATGAATTTTCTTATGTTTAGTAAGGGATGAGGACTGGTTAAAAGCTTTGCCACATTCTTCACACTTGTAGGGTTTCTTTCCAGTATGAATGATCTCATGTTTACTAAGGGTTGAGGATGCAACAAAGGCTTTGCCACATTCTTCACATTTGTAGGGTTTCTCTCCAGTATGACTTCTCTTATGTGAACTAAGGGTAGAGGAGTACTTAAAGGCTTTGCCACATTCTTCACATTTGTAGGGCTTCTCTCCAGTATGAACTCTCTTATGTCTAGTTAGGACTGAGGACCAAATGAAGGCTTTGCCACATTCTTCACATTTGTAATGTTTCTTTCCCATATGAATGAACTCATGTCTACTAAGGGTTGAGGATGCAATAAAGGCTTTGCCACATTTATTACACTTGTATGGTTTCTCTCCAGTATGAATTCTCTTATGTGTAGTAAGGATACGGGAGTACTTAAAGGCTTTGCCACATTCTTCACAAACGTAGGGCTTCTCTCCAGTATGAATTTTCTTATGTTTAGTAAGTGTTGAGGATTGGTTAAAAGCTTTGCCACATTCTTCACATTTGTAGGGTTTCTCTCCAGTATGAATTTTCTTATGTTTAGTAAGTGTCGAGGATTGGTTAAAAGCTTTGCCACATTCTTCACACTTGTAGGGTTTCTTTCCAGTATGAATGATCTCATGTTTACTAAGGGTTGAGGATGCAATAAAGGCTTTGTCACATTTATCACACTTGTATGGTTTCTCTCCAGTATGAATTCTCTTATGTGTATTAAGGGCAGAGGAGTACTTAAAGGCTTTGCCACATTCTTCACAAATGTAGGGTTTCTCTCCAGTATGAATTTTCTTATGTGTTATAAGGGTTGAGAACTGGTTAAAAGCTTTGCCACATTCTATGCATTTGAAAGGTTTTTTTTCAGTATGTCTTATATTATGTCTATTTGAATTTGAAAATTTATGAAAGACTTTCCCATATTTATCACATTGAAATACTTTGCTCTGGGTAGTTGTACTACACTGGTTAAGTCCATTATAACCTCCTGTGTGCACCTTACACTCATCTACACTTTCACACCTTTTTATTAACTGTAAATTTCCATGTCCACGTTTTTCATATCTTCTCAGTATCACTTTTTGGAAAGAATCTTTTATGTTCTGCTCTGGCCAAAGATCTTGGGCAAAATGAGAACATATAACTGAAAGAAACAATAAAAACACATTACTTCAATTGCTAGACTCAGATAAATATACTTTACAAATCTAACCTATAAAATTATACAAACTACATAACTAAGATGACATAGTAAAATACCACAAGCTGTAATGTCTTCCTGAACATATAAATGTAACAAAAACATACAAACCAAAATGGCACAAATGTAACTGGTAAGGCAGGTAAATTTAACTCCATCTCAAAAACAAACAATTGAAAAACAATATTTTGAAGATGTCTTTACTGCTCAATTTAATCTACAGATTTAATGCAATGTCTTTCAAATGACTCACAGCATTTTCAAAGAAATAAAAACAACAAATTTAAAAGTATATGGAATCCAAACAGACAATAAAGTACCCAGCAATCTTCAAAAACAGGAACAATGTTACAGGCAATACCATTTCTGATTTCAAAACACATCAAAAAGCTACAGAATTAAAATAATTTGGTATGAGTATAAAGGTGAAAAAGTAGACTAATAAAACAGAATGCAGCAAATATATTACATTAACTTTCACATAATTATTGTAGCATTGTTACTGCAAGCCACTAGGTAAAAGTAATCGAAATTTGTGTCACCAAATCATTCAGTAGACACAAAAGTACAGGAATTATCACTCAGTTTTCAAAAAGCAGAAAATACTGTAACAACTATTAAGATAAATATTGATGACATTATGCAAAATAAAGTGACCCAGCCGCAAAAAGACAGAGATTGGATGAGATATATAAAGCAGTTATACTCTTAGAAACAGAAAACAGAGTGGTGTTTGAAAAGAACCACAAAATACAAAGGATTGGTAGTTATTTACTGTGTACTGAGATTTAGCTTTGCAAGATAAAAAACACTCTAGTGATATGTTGCATAACAATGTCAATATAATAAGACCAAACTGAATATTTGGAAATATATATATATTTTGAGATGGAGTCTCACTCTGTCTCCCAGGCTGGAGTGCCTCCTGGGTTCTAGTGATTCCCCTGCCTCAACCTCCTGAGTAGCTCGTACTACAGGCATGGGCCACCATGCCTGGCTAATTTTTTGTATTTTAGTAGAGATGGGATTTCACCATGTTGGCCAGATGGTCTCGATCTCCTGACCTCGGGATCCACCCACCTTGGCCTCCCAAAGTGCTGGGATAACAGGCGTGCACCTGTAGATACACCATATAAAATAATTTTTATATCAATAACAAACTGGAAAATATAGAGGCATAGTTTTTATTCAATTGAAGTTGTTATGAGATTAAAATATATTGTTTTAACTTTAAGATGTATGTAATCTCCAGTTTTTGAGATGATTACTAAGATATTATTTATACAAAGTATGCAAAAGAAAATAAAATATAATCAAAGCATGCCAGTACAAAATTAAATGAAAATTAAGTAAGTAAAACAGGAAATGAGAAAAATATAACTACTAGAAACACATAAAACAATAACAATATTAGTGGTAATAACAACTTCATTTCTTTAACCAATCATTTTAAATATAGATTAAACTACTAAATAAAATGAAATGTAATCATAGGAATTTGGAAGTTCAAGATGGGCTGATCACTTGAACCCAAAAGTTCAAGATCAGCCTGGGCAACATGGCAAACCTCTGTCTCTACAAAAAATACAAATAAGCTGGTTGACAGAGTGAGACACTATCTCAAAAATAAATGAGGCTGGGTGCAGTGGCTCATGCTAGTAATCCCAACACTTTGGGAGGCTGAGGCAGGCAGATCACCTGAATTCAGGAGTTCAAGACAAGCCTGGCCATCATAGTGAAATCCCGTCTCTACTAAACTTACAAAAAATTAGCTGGGCATGGTGGCATGCACCTGTAATCCCAGCTACTCAGGGGGCTGAGGCAGGAGAATCACTTGAAACTGGGAGGTGAAGGTTGCAGTGAGCTGAGATCATGCCATTGCACTCCAGCCTGGGCAACAAGAGTGAAACTCCATCTCAAAAACAAACCAAATAAAATAAATAAATAAATAAATACAAATATAAATATATATATAAATAAAATTATATAAAGAAAAAGATATAGAATGCCTAAGTGGTTTTTTTAAAAAAGCATACAGTGTGCTGCCTACAAGGGACTTACTTTAGCATTAAGTCAAATAGGCAGAAAGTAACAGAATGAAAAAAATGTATATTCCATGAAAATAGCAACCACAATTGAGTAAGGTGGTCATAATTATATTAGACATAATATGCTTTAAATCAAGTACTTCTACAAGACAAAAATTGATATTATATTGTGGGCAGCAAGCCACCTAGGTGCCGAGGCAGGAGACCAAGGACATGAGCTGTTCCAGCATAATAAAATATAAGATAAGAATAGTTATACCAGATATAGATCTTAGATATGATTATATATGAATATCATTAATCATTAGTTGGTAGCAATTACTTTTTATTCCAATATTATAATAATCCTCGATCTATAATCACAACCTAGGAAAAGCCAGGCCATACAGAGATAGGAGCTGAGGGGACATAGTGAGAAGTTACCAGAAGACAAGAGTGAGAGCCTTCTGTTATGCCCAGACAAGGCCACCAGAGGGCTCCTTGGTCTAGCAGTAATGCCAGCGTCTGGGAAGACGCCCGTTGCCTAGCAGACCGCGGTCTAGCAGTAGCCTCAGTGTCAAGGAAAAACACCTGCTACTTAGCGGACCAGGAAAGGGAGTCTCCCTTTCCCTGGGGGAGTTTAGAGAAGACTCTACTCCTCCACCTCTTGTGGAGGGCCTGACATCAGTCAGGCCTGCCTGCAGTTATCCGGAGGCCTAACCGTCTCCCTGTGATGCTGTGCTTCAGTGGTCACGCTCCTAGTCTGCTTTCAGGTTCCATACTGTACACCTGGCTCTGCCTTTTAGATAAGAGTAGCAAAATTAGTGAAAGTACTAAAAGTCTCTGATATGCAGAAATAATGGCATAAGCTGTCTCTCTCTCTCCCTCTCTCTCTCTGCCTTGGCTGCCAGGCAGGGAAGGGCCCCCTGTCCAGTGGACACGTGACCCACGTGACCTTACCTATCATTGGAGATGACTCACACTCTTTACCCTGCCCCTTTTGCTTTGTATTCAATAAATAACACTGCAGCCAGACATTCGGGGCCACTATCGGTCTCCACGTCTTGGTGGTAGTGGTCCCCCGGGCCCAGCTGTCTTTTATCTCTTTGTCTTGTGTCTTTATTTCTACAATCTCTTTTTTTTTTTTTTTTTTTTTTTTTGAGACGGAGTCTCGCTCTGTTGCCCAGGCTGGAGTGCAGTGGCGCGATCTCGGCTCACTGCAAGCTCCGCCTCCCGGGTTCACGCCATTCTCCTGCCTCAGCCTCCCAAGTAGCTGGGACTACAGGCGCCCGCCACTACGCCCGGCTAATTTTTTGTATTTTTAGTAGAGACGGGGTTTCACCGTTTTAGCCGGGATGGTCTCGATCTCCTGACCTCGTGATCCGCCCGCCTCGGCCTCCCAAAGTGCTGGGATTACAGGCGTGAGCCACCACGCCCGGCCCTACAATCTCTTATCTCTGCACACAGGGAGAAAAACCCACTAATCCTGTGGGGCTGGTGCCTACGTTATATGATGGTAAAGTGAGTTGATTTAGCAGGAATGTATAACTAAAATATTTATCTATCTATATGTATATGTGTACATAACATCAGAGCTCCAAAATATATAAAGCAAATATTGATAAAAGTGAAGCGAGATATACATAGCAACATAATGATTGTAGACATCAAGACCCAGTTTGCAATAATAGAAAATTCAGGTAAAAAATAACAACCAAAAAACTTAGACAACATTATAGACTATATTGATTCTTTTGCATATAGAGAAATACTTGAGAGTGCATAATTTATAAAGAAAAATTGTTTATTTGGCTCACAGCTTGGCAGAGTGTATAAGAAGTGTGTGCCAGCATCTGCTTCTGGTGAGGATTTCAGAAAGCTTAAAATGAAGGTGGAAGGTAAAGAGTAACTGGACATATTATATGGTAAGAGACAGAGCAAGTATGAGGTGAAGAAGCCACGTTCTTTTAATGAACCAGCTCTTATTTGAATTGATACAGTGTAAACTTTTTGGTTACCGAGAGGATGTACCAAGCCATTCATGAGAAATTTGCCCCCAATGACCCAAACGTGTCCCACCAGGTCCCATAGCCAACATTGAGGATTTATATTGCAGCATGAGATTTGGACAACATAGACATCCAAACCATATTATAGACCAACTAGGCTTCACAGACACACACAAAACTCTCCAGTCAAAACCAAGATAATACACAATATTCTTATTTGCACCTGGTATATTCTGTTAGGACACATAACAAGTTTTATTAAATTTAAAAATACTGATTGGGTGCCATGGCTCTTGCCTATAATCCTAACACTTTGGGAGATCCATTGGTGTCAAAAGTTTGAGACCAGCCTGGGCAACATAGTGAGATCCTAACACTACAAAAAAGCAAACAATTAGCCTTACATGGTAGTGCATGTCTACAGTCCTACCTACTCAAAAAACTGAGGTGAAAGAACAATCACTTGAGCCCAGGAGGTTGAGGCTACAATAAGCTAAAATTCTGCCACTGCACTGCAGCCTGGGTGACAGTAAGATCTTGTCTCAAAACAACAACAAATCAATTTAAAAACACTAAAATTATGCACTGGGTTGTTTTCTAATAAAACCTGAATAAAACTAGAAATTAAAAAGCAAAAGTCAAACTGGCAAATTCAAAAATATGTGAATATGAAACACACTCTTCAATATATTCTTGCTCAGGGGTCAAAAATTTCATTTTTCAAAGATATCAATACAACCTACAGTTAAAAGCTACAGTAACATAAACAATATGATACTGACACAAACATAAACAGATGAAAGAACAGAATAGAGAGCTCAGAAATGAACCATTTTGTATATGATCAAATGATTTTCCACAAAGTTGCCATGTTTACAAAATAGAGAAAAATAATCTCTTCAAGAACTGATTATCAACACTGATAAAGTTGGCTTATTTTCTTGAATGATACAAAAACATATTTTAAATAAACTACTTAGACATAAAAATACATAAATGGAAAAAAGTATTCATAAATCTATATCCAAAACATGTTAACACAGGCCAGGTGCAGTGTCTCAAGCCTGTAATCCTAGCAACTGGGGAGGGTGAGGTTGGCAGATACCTGAGGTCAGAAGTTCGAGACTAGCCTGGCCAACATGGTAAAACACCATCTCTACTAAAAATATAAAAATTAGCTTGGCGATGTGGCATGCACATGTAATCCCAGCTACTTGGGAGGCTGAGGTACAAGAATTGCTTGAACCAGAAGGCAGAGGTTGCAGAGAGCTGAGATTGCACCACTGCACTTTAGCCTGGGCAGCAAAGCAAATCCATGTTTATTGTAATCAGTATTCACAAAAGCCAATAGGCTGAAGCACCCTAGATGTCTCTTGACTTATAAACATATTAAAAAATGTAACATATACATACAATGGAATATTATTCCACCTTAAAGAGAATAATCTTGTCACCTTTTTAGATGAACCTTGTGAATATTATGTCACCTGAATTAATCCAGTAACAAAATTATGGATACTGTATGATTCCACTTATGAGATATCTTAAGTAGTCAAAATCATAAAAACAGAAAGTAGAAGGCTTGTCTCTCAAGGTATGGAGAGAGGGTAAAATGAGCAGTTGTTACTTAATGGACATTGAATTTAAGTTTTACAAGATGTTAAGTTTCTAGAAGTCTTTTGCATAACAATGTGAATATACTTAACATGCCTGAAATGAACAGCTTTTTTTGAGATAGGGTCTCACTCTGTCACCCAAGCTGGAGTGTAGTGGCACAATTTTGACTCCCTTCAATCTCCCAAGTAGCTGGGACCACAGCTGCACACCACCATGCCTGGCTATTATTAAATTTTTTTCATAGAGAGGGGTCTCCATATGTTGCCCAGGCTGTTCTCAAACTTTTGGGCTCCAGGGATCCTCTTGGCTTGACCTCCCAAAATCCTGGGATTACACATGAGCACCACAACCACACCTGGCCCTGAAATATAAACTTCAATAAATTTAAGATGGTAAATTTTATGTTATGTGTTTTTAAAACAATGTTTTTAAAGAAAAACTGAAAAAAATACAGAATTATAAATCTTTTTGAAAATTACCTTCAAATCACAAAAGTGTTTCTTTCACAAAAAGAAATATACATTAATCATTAAACACATGGTGAAAATAAGACTATCTCCATGACTCTCACTTAGACAAGATAAAACTACCATCGAAAATCAGCTAAGAAAGAATATAAGCCATAACTAAAATTGGAGTCATATTTATAGATATACACATATACATATATAATCTGATTGATAGACATGCATAATTTATTTCTTAATTAAACCTCAAATTGACTTAAAGTGTACCAACAGAATTACAAATTGTCTAAAATTATAATACTTAAGTAAAATCAAAAAACACAAGAAACTAATGTTAAGAAACCTACAATGAGGCTGGGTGCAGTGGCTCACACCTGTAATCTTAGCACTTTGGGAGGCTGAGGCACGAACCACAATCCCTTGAACCCCGGAGGCAGAGGTTGCAGTGAGGCAAGATCACGCCACTGCGCTCCAGCCTGTGCGACAGAGTGAGACTCTGTCTCGGAAAAAAAAAAAACCCTACACTGAGAAAACACACTAATATGGAACTTTGAAACAATAATAGAAATGTTTCCTCATAAAATCTAGTATGCAACATTGATGTATCACAAAAAAAATAATTGTCAGGCTGGGTGCAGTGGCTCATGTCTGTTATCTCAGCATTTTGGGAGGCCAAGGCGAGTGGATCACCTGAGGTCAGGAGTTCAAGACCTGCCTGGCCAATGTAGTGAAGCCCCGTCTCTACTAATAATACAAAATTTAGCTGGGTGTGGGGACACATGCCTGTAATCCCATCTACTTGGGAGACTGAGGCACGAGAATGGCTTGAACCTGGAGGTGGAGGTTGCAGTGAGCCAAGACCGCACCACTGCACGCTAGCCTGGATGACAGAGATTGACTCCATCTAAAAAAAAAAAAAAAAAAAATTCTAGGTAACTGCAATATTTAGCTTTTAGTTTGTACTCATGAAGTGCAGGTATTTTGAATCATTGGTATGCACTGTATGGCAGTAAAATTTCAGAGAATATGCCGTATAATTATAAATAGAAGATTCTAATAAGAAACTTAATAAATTAGCATTTAAAAGAACCTAGAGTTACTTTTGTTTTAAATATATGCTATTCTTACACAAAATGAAACTGCTGTAATCCAATTTTAGAAGCAAAGAGTAGTCTTACATTTTTAAATAAAGAAAATACATATTTTGCAGAATAGGGTTAGACCCTCTGATATGTAAAACAAATATTAGAAAATAAAGTATATTATTATTTAGATATAGGTTAAAGTAAGTAGATGAAAATCCTTTAATTCCTTTTTGCCTGCAGCAAACTGAAATTTACAAGTAACTATTTTCGTAAATATGGAGTGCCTACTAATTATCTAATTTACTTGAGGCATACCATGCAAATTCTAGCATATTGTCCTAAATATCTGAATCTCAAATTACAGACAAATTTGAAGTAGAAAATAGAAAGTAAAAATCTACAGGGAGAGTGACATCAGTAAGATGAAAAGATTAAAAGTGCCCTATTTTCATATCCCCTTACAGCAAAAAAGATCTCAACCATCCTTGACAAACATGCCTTTATGAGAAAACCAGGCATTATGGTTCACAACTGTAATGACAGCTCCACGGTACATTAAGGTTTGAGAACTGCTTCAGGTCAGGATTTTGAGACCAGCCTGGATTATGTAGCAAGATGACATCTCCAAAATAAGTGCCTCTAACAGAAATTTGAGATCCGGGGAGGGAGTTGTGAAATGCTGTTAAAGCTGAAGATTGGACGTGTTCTATTCAGAAGGGAGGCCTTCATTCAGGTGGGAAACTACAGGACCCCTGTTCTTGGCTACAGCCCAGGATAGAGTTCAGCCAACTTGGTCTCACTGAGAATTCTGAACTTACTCTGTAACCATCCCAAACTCATCCCAGCCACAGTCTGGGAGAGGTCATGCCATTCCAGAGACCTGAATAAAGGCATCCATGTACAGCCATGTAGGCAGGCCTACAGACCTTCGCTTTTACTGCGTTCCCTGAAGCAAATCAATGATTCAATTTCAGTTGCCTGAACCACAGTTTATGGTCAGTTCTGTCTACATAGAAATCCACACAGTTGGGCCAGGCGGGGTGCCTCATGCCTGTAATTCCAGCACTTTGGGAGGCTGAGGCAGGTGGATCACCTGAGGTCAGGAGTTGGGAGACCAGCCTGACCAATATGGAGAAACCCCCTCTCTACTAAAAATACAAAATCACCCGGGTGTGGTGGCACATGCCTGTAATTCCAGCTACTTGGGAGGCTGAGGCAGGAGAATCTCTTGAACCCAGGAGGTGGAGGTTGCAGTGAGCCTAGATTGCACCATTGCACTTCAGCCTGGGCAACAGGAATGAAACCCCACCTCAAAAAAAGAGAAAAAAAAAAAGAAAGAAAAAAAGAAACCCACACAGTTACCTGAGGAAATGCTTCAAAAATCGGTTTATGAAAACTTGAAGAGGTGTTTGCTCCATCATATTCAGACACCAATACAAAACTATATTGTGTCCATTGGCAATACATCTATTTGAATGTAGCACTAGAAGTATGTGACAGAAAATTATTCACAGAACTAAAAAAAATCCGGCTGGGTGCGGTGGCTCACGGCTGTAATCCCAGCACTTTGGGAGGCAGAGACGGGCGGATCATCTAAGGTCAGGAGTTTCCGACCAGCCTTACCAACATGGTGAAACCTCATCTCTACTAAAAAATTACAAAAAATTAGCCAGGCATTGTGGCAAACACCTGTAATCCAAGCTACTCTGGAGGCTGAGGCAGGACAATTGCTTGAACCCAGGAAGCAAAGGTTGCAGTGAGCCGAAATCATGCCATTGCACTCCAGCCTGGGCAACAAGACTGAAATCCCACCAAAAAACAAAAGAAAGAAGAAAGAAGGAAGGAAGGAAGGAAGGGGACAGTTCCAAGATGGCCAAATAGGAACAGCTGCAGTCTACAGCTCCCAGTGTGAGCAACACAGAAGACGGATGATTTCTGCATCTCCAACTGAGGTACCGGGTTCATCTCACTGGGAATTGTCGGACAAGGGGTGCAGGACAATGGGTGCAGCACACCAAGTGTGAGCCGAAGCAGGGCGAGGCATCACCTCACCTGGGAAGTGCAAGGGATCAGGGAATTCTCTTTCCTAGCCAAGGAAAGGGGTGACAGACAGCACCTGGAAAATTGGGTCACTCCCACCCTAATACTGCACTTTTCTGACAGTCTTAGCAAATGGCAAACCAGGAGATTATATCCCATGCCTGGCTCAGAGGGTCCTACACCCATGGAGCCTCGCTCATTGCTAGCACAGCAGTCTGAGATCAAACTTTAAGGCACCAGCGAGGCTGGGGGAGGGGCGCCTGCCATTGCTGAGGCTTGAGTAGGTAAACAAAGCATCCAGGAAGCTCGAACTGCGTGGAGCCCACCACAGCTCAAGGAGGCCTGCCTGCCTCTGTAGACTCCACCTCTGGGGGCAGGGCATAGCCAAACAAAATTGCAGGAGAAACCTCTGACAGCTTGGAAGACAGTAGTGGTTCTCCCAGCATGGAGCTTGAGATCTGAGAACAGACAGACTGCCTATTCAAGTGGGTCCCTGACCCCTGAGTAGCCTAACTGGAAGGCACCCCCAAGTAGGAGCAGATTGACACCTCACACGGCCGGGTACCCCTCTGAGATGAAACTTCCAGAGGAATGATCTCTGGAGCAGCAACATTTGCTGTTCACCAATATTCGCTGTTCTGCAGCCTCCGCTGCTGATACCCAGGCAAACAGGGTCTGGAGTGGACCTCCAGCAAACTCCAACGGACCTGCAGCTGAGGGTCCTGACTGTTAGAAGGAAAACTAACAAACAGAAAGGACATCCACACCAAAACCCCATCTGTATGTCACCATCATCAAAGACCAAAGGTAGATAAAACCACAAAGATGGGGAAAAACAGAGCAGAAAAACTGAAAATTATAAAAATCAGAGTGCCTCTCCCCCTCCAAAGGAACACAGCTCCTCACCAGCAATGGAACAAAGCTGAATGGAGAATGACTTTGATGAGTTAAGAGAAGGCTTCAGACGATCAAACTTCTCCAAGCTAAAGGAGGAAGTTCAAACCCATGGCAAAGAAGTTAAAAACCTTGAAAAAAGATTAGACGAATGGCTAACTAAAGGAACCAATGCAGAGAAGTCCTTAAAGGACCTGATGGAGCTGAAAACCATGGCACGAGAACTATGTGACAAATGCATAAGCATCAGTAGCTGATTTGATCAACTGGAAGAAAGGGTGTCAGTGATGGATGATCAAATGAATGAAATGAAGCGAGAAGGGAAGTTTAGAGAAAAAAGAATAAAAAGAAATGAACAAAGCCTCCAAGAAATATGAGACTATGTGAAAAGACCAAATCTACATCTGATTAGTGTACCTGAAAGTGATGGGGAGAATGGAACCAAGCTGGAAAACACTCTGCAGGATATTATCCAGGAGAACTTCCCCAATCTAGCAAGGCAGCCCAACATTCAAATTCAGGAAATACAGAGAATGCCACAAAGATACTCCTCAAGAAGAGCAACTCCAAGACACATAATTGTCAGATTCACCAAAGTTGAAATGAAGGAAAAAAGGGCAGCCAGAGAGAAAGGTCAGGTTACCCACAAAGGGAAGCCCATCAGACTAACAGCTGACCTCTCGGCAGAAACTCTACAAGCCAGAAGAGAGTGGGGGCCAATATTCAACATTCTTAAAGAAAAGAATTTTTAACCCAGAATTTCATACCCAGCCAAACTAAGCTTCATCAGTGAAGGAGAAATAAAATCCTTTACAGACAAGCAAATGCTGAGAGATTTTGTCACCACCAGGCCTGCTCTACAAGAGCTCCTGAAGGAAGCACTAAACATGGAAAGGAACAACTGGTACCAGCCACTGCAAAAACATGCCAAATAGTAAAGACCATCGAGGCTAAGAAGAAACTGCATCAACGAATGAGCAAAATAACTAGCTAACATCATAATGACAGGATCAAACTCACATATAACAATATTAACCTTAAATGTCAATGGGCTAAATGCTCCAATTAAAAGACAAAGACTGGCAAATTGGATAAAGAGTCAAGACCCATCAGTGTGCTATATTCAGGAAACCCATCTCACATGCAGAGACACACATAGGCTCAAAATAAAGGGATGGAGGAAGATCTACCAAGCAAATGGAAAACAAAAAAAGGCAGGGGTTGCAATCCTAGTCTCTGATAAAACAGACTTTAAACCAACAAAGATCAAAAGAGACAAAGAAGGCCATTACATAATGGTAAAGGGATCAATTCAACAAGAAGAGCTAACTATCCTAAATATATATGCACCCAATACAGGAGCACCCAGATTCATAAAGCAAGTCCTTAGAGACCTACAAAGAGACTTAAGACTCCCACACAGTAATAATGGGAGACTTTAACACCCCATTATCAACATTAGACAGATCAATGAGACAAAAAGTTAACAAGGATATCCAGGAATTGAACTCAGCTCTGCACCAAGCAGACCTAACAGACATCCACAGAACTCTCCACCCCAAATCAACAGAATATACATTCTTCTCAGCACCACACTGCACTTATTCCAAAATTGACCACATAGTTGGAAGTAAAGCACTCCTCAGCAAATGTAAAAGAACAGAAATTATAACAAACTGCCTCTCAGACCACAGTGCAATCAAACTAGAACTCAGGATTAAGAAACTCACTCAAAACCGCTCAACTACATGGAAACTGAACAACCTGCTCCAGAATGACTACTGGGTACATAAGGAAATGAAGGCAGAAATAAACATGTTCTTTGAAACCAATGAGAACAAAGACAAAACATACCAGAATCTCTGGGACACATTTAAAGCAGTGTGTAGAGGGAAATTTATAGCACTAAATGCCCACAAGAGAAAGCAGGAAAGATCTAAAATTGACACCCTAACATCACAATTAAAAGAACTAGAGAAGCAAGAGCAAACACATTCAAAAGCTAGCAGAAGGCAAGAAATAACTAAGATCAGAGCAGAACTGAAGGAGATAGAGACACAAAAAACTCTTCAAAAAATCAATGAATCCAGGAGCTAGTTTTTTGCAAAGATCAACCAAATTGATAGACCGCTAGCAAGACTAATGAAGAAAAGAGAGAAGAATCAAATAGATGCAATAAAAAATGATAAAGGGGATATCACCACCCATCCCACAGAAATACAAACTACCATCAGAGAATACCATAAACACCTCTACGCAAATAAACTAGAAAATCTAGAAGAAATGGATAAATTCCTCAACACATACACCCTCCCAAGACTAAACCAGGAAGAACTTGAATCTCTGAATAGACCAATAACAGGCTCTGAAATTGAGGCAATAATAGCTTGCCAACCAAAAAAAGTCCAGGACCAGATGGATTCACAGCTGAATTCTACCAGAGGTACAAGGAGGAGCCGGTACCATTCCTTCTGGAACTATCCCAATCAATAGAAAAAGAGGGAATCCTCCCTAACTCATTTTATGAGGCCAGCATCATCCTGATACCAAAGCCTGGCAGAGACACAACAAAAAAAGAGAATTTTAGACCAACATCCCTGATGAACATCGATGCAAAAATCCTCAATAAGCTGGCAAACCGAATCCAGCAACACATCAAAAAGCTTATCCACCATGATCAAGTGGGCTTCATCCCTGGGATGCCAGGCTGGTTCAACATACACAAATCAATAAACATAATCCAGCATATAAACAGAACCAACAACAAAAACCACATGATTATCTCAATAGCTGCAGAAAAGGCCTTTGACAAAATTCAACAGCCCTTCATGCTAAAAACTCTCAATAAATTAGGTATTGATGGGATGTATCTCAAAATAATAAGAGCTATTTATGACAAACCCACAGCCAATATCATACTGAATGGGCAAAAACTGGAAGCATTCCCTTTGAAAACTGGCACAAGACAGGGATGCCCTCTCTTACCAATCCTACTCAACATAGTGTTGGAAGTTCCAGCCAGGGCAATCAGGCAGGAGAAGGAAATAAAGGGTATTCAATTAGGAAAAGAGGAAGTCAAATTGTCACTGTTTGCAGATGACATGATTGTATATCTAGAAAACCCCATCGTCTCAGCCCAAAATCTCAAGCTGATAAGCAACTTCAGCAAAGTCTCAGGATACAAAATCAATGTGAAAAAATCACAAGCATTCTTATACACCAATAACAGACAAACACAGAGCCAAATCATGAGTGAACTCCCATTCACAATTGCTTCAAAGAGAATAAAATACCTAGGAATCCAACTTAAAAGGGATGTGAAGGATCTTTTCAAGGAGAACTACAAACCACTGCTCAACAAAATAAAAGAGGATACAAACACATGGAAGAACATTCCATGCTCATGGGTAGGAAGAATCAATATCATGAAAATGGCCATACTGCCCAAGGTAATTTATAGATTCAATGCCATCCCCATCAAGCTACCAATGACTTTCTTCACAGAATTGGAAAAAACTACTTTAAAGTTCATATGGAACCAAAAAAGAGCCCACATTACCAAGTCAATCCTAAGCCAAAAGAACAAAGCTGGAGGCATCATGCTACCTGACTTCAAACTATACTACAAGGCTACAGTAACCAAAACAGCATGGTACTGGTACCAAAACAGAGATATAGACCAATGGAACAGAACAGAGCCCTCAGAAATAATGCCACACATCTACAACTATCTGATCTTTGACAAACCTGACAAAAACAAGAAATGGGGAAAGGATTCCCTATTTAACAAATGGTGTTGGGAAAACTGGCTAGCCACATGTAGAAAGCTGGAACTGGATCCCTTCCTTACACCTTATACAAAAATTAATTCAAGATGGATTAAAGACTTAAATGTTAGACCTAAAACCATAAAAACCCTAGAAGAAAACCTAGGCAATACCATTCAGGACATAGGCAGGCAAGGACTTCACGTCTAAAACAACAAAAGCAATGGCAACAAAAGCCAAAATTGACAAATGGGATCTAATTAAACTAAAGAGCTTCTGCACAGCAAAAAAAAAACTACCATCAGAGTGAACAGGCAACCTACAGAATGGGAGAAAATTTTTGCAATCTACTCATCTGACAAAGGGCTAATATCCAGAATCTACAAAGAACTCAAACAAATTTACAAGAAAAAAACAAACAACCCCATCGAAAAGTGGGCGAAGGATATTAATAGACACTTCTCAAAAGAAGACATTTATACAGCCAAAAGACACATGAAAAAATGCTCATCATCACTGGCCATCAGAGAAATGCAAATCAAAACCACAATGAGATACCATCTCACTCCAGTTAGAATGGCGATCATTAAAAAGTCAGGAAACAACAGGTGCTGGAGAGGATGTGGAGAAATAGGAACACTTTTACACTGTTGGTGGGACTGTAAACTAGTTCAACCATTGTGGAAGTCAGTGTGGCGATTCCTCAGGGATCTAGAACTAGAAATACCATTGGACCCAGCCATCCCATTGTTGGGTATATACCCAAAGGATTATAAATCATGCTGCTATAAAGACACATGCACACGTATGTTTATTGCAGCACTATTCACAATAGCAGAGACTTGGAACCAACCCAAATGTACAACAATGATAGACTGGATTAAGAAAATGTGGCACATATACACCATGGAATACTATGCAACCATAAAAAAATGATGAGTTCATGTCCTTTGCAGGGACATGGATGAAGCTGGAAACCATCATTCTCAGCAAACTATCGCAAGGACAAAAAACCAAACACCGCATGTTCTCATTCATAGGTGGGAATTGAACAATGAGAACACTTGGACACAGGAAGGAGAACATCACACACTGGGGCCTGTTGTGGGGTGGGGGGACGGGGGAGGGATAGCATTAGGAGATACACCTAATGTAAATGACGACTTAATGGGTGCAGCACACCAACATGGCACATGTATACATGTGTAACAAACCTGCACGATGTGCACATCTACACTAGGACTTAAAGTATAATTAAAAAAAAGAAAAAAAAAGAAAGAAGGAAGGAAGGAAGGAAGGAAAGAAAGTCACTGAAATTGAAGAAAAATAAGTAAAAAGTTGCTGTTTGTAGATCATACAATCTCATATTTTAAAAACCATAAACAGTATATTAAAAACTGTCTAGCTAGGCGTGGTGGCTCATGCCTGTAATCCCAGCACATTGAAAGGCCAAGGCGGGTGGATCACCTGAGGTTGGGAGTTTGAGACCACTCTGACCAACATGGTGAAACCCCATCTCTACTAAAAATACAAAATTAGCCAGGTGTGGTGGTGGTGAGCTGAGATCGTGCCACTGCACTCCAACCTGGGCAACAAGAGCGAAACTGTCAAAAAATAAAAAAAATTTAAAAAGCTGTCTAAACTAATAAATACACTCAGTAAATAGTAAATTACCAAAACAGAAAATTAACACACAAGTATATGAATGGTTTCATGCACTTAAAAGAAACTATTTGACAAAATAGAGGAAGAAAAATCTTATTTAATGTAGCATTAAAAAAAACTACTGGGAAAAAAATTAACTAAGAGATAAAAAATCTTTACAATAAAAAAATTAGAAGATCCAAATAAATTTTAAAATATTTTATGTCTATAACTTGAAGAATAAGTATTATTAAAGTGTCATATTATCCAAAGTAATCTACAGATTCAATAAACTTCCTATCAAAATTGCAGTGGTATTTTTTTCACAGTAATGGAAAATACAATTCTAAAATTTACATGAAACTACAATAAAAGTGTGAATAGCCAAAGCAATCTTGAGGAAAAAGAACAAAGCAGAAGCATATCATATGTATAATTGCAAACTATACTTAAAAACTATGTAGTAATAAAAATAGAATGGACTATAAAGAAAAATGAACAAAAAAATGCAACAGAAACTACTCTCACACATTTTAGACCTGATGCAAAAATAGAACTAAAAAGTAGTTTTAGTTTTTCAAAATCATGCAAATATTTTTGTGTCCCCAAAAGAATGGAAAAGCAGCCAGATTGTATAATCTCTTATATGCCATCAAGAGGACTGTGGCTCTCACTGAGAACTTGAAGGAAGCTCACCAAAACAAAAGTAGAATCCTTAGAGAATTTAAAAGCATAAAACGGAAGATGTCCCTTTGTGAGAACAAAATTAAAAAACAGAAACAAAAACAAAAAACAGCTGCCCAGGAACTATTTCCTTTGGAACACAGCTTCCCGAATCACATTTTAAGGACTGGCTTTCTCTTTGGCCTTGGGACCTCTTACTGTGTTGTCTGTTGTATTCATTTTCACTCACACCTACCTGAGGGGTTGGCTACCATCTCATGTCTCTTCATAGTCAAAGGTTTTTTTCCTTGCTCCAGATGGGCGATCAGGTCTGGCTTAGAGACAACAATACCTGTTTTGTTAAGAATAAATAACATGAATCTTGCTCATATTCTCCAATTACAAGCTAGTAATGTGCTCAGCAAAGACGATGTGATAAAATATTCTAGTAAATTAATACCAAAATACAAATTTATAACAGAAATTTATAGATATTTAAACAATACTTTCAATTTGCCGGGTGCAGTGGCTCACGCCTGTGATCCCAGCAATTTGGGAGGCCAAAGCAGGTGGATCATGAGATCAGGGGGAGGCCAAGGCGGGCGGATCACGAAGTCAGGAGTTGGAGACCAGACTGGCCAACATGGTGAAACCCCATCTCTACTAAAAATACAAACATTAGCAGAGCATGGTAATGCATGCCTGTAGTCCCAGCTACTCGGGAGATTGAGTCAGGAGAATTGCTTGAACCTGGGAGTCGGAGGTTGCAGTAAGCCAAGATCATTCCACTGCACTCCAGCCTGGGTGACAGAGCAAGACTCCGTCTCAAAAAAAAAAAAAAAGGAAAAAGAAAATACTTCCAATTTGTAGGTTTCTTAATTTTACTACCTGGTACCACTGAATCAAAAATTGGTGGTGGCATTTAGATTTTCAGGTGGGGGCTACAATATTTTACGTCAGTAAATTTCTGTAATTACCACTAATTTAGAGTGAAGAATACAGCTCAACTCAGGAATGTGGAAAGATTGGATTAAGATGAAACATCTTGAAGAAATTTTTGTTTTTTTCTCGAGAAGTAATCTTGCTCTGTCATCCAGGCTGGAGTGCAACGGCACGATCTCGGCTCATTGCAACCTCCGTGTCCTGGGTTCAAGCAATTCTCCTGCCTCACCCTCCCAAGTAGCTGGGATTACAGCCGCATGCCACAACGCCTGGCTAATTTTTTGTATTTTTAGTAGAGATGGGGTTTGACCATGTTGGCCAGGCTGGTCTCGAACTCCTCGCCTCAGGCAATCTCCTCCGCCCTAGCCTCCCAAAGTCAGAACTATACAGGCAAGAGGCACTGAAGAAATTCTTTTCTAAATGAACAAATTCTGAAGATTTTCTGGAAAAAATGGATCTGAAACTCCTTTATGCAAAGAATAAATTACTAAAAAACATTCTACAAAAAAGAGAAATAAAACCTTTAGGGTGTATTATGAATTATGTATTAAAGTTATCCTCACCAAGGAAGACCAGGTTACTGTAGTTCTCTAACATCACATTCCTATATAGATTCCGCTGTGCAGTGTCCAGGCAATGCCACTCCTCCAGAGAGAATTCTATGGCCACATCTCTAAATTGCAATGGTCCCTGAAAAACACACACACACATTTTCACCAAGTGGCCATGGGTGGAATTTTTAATTTTACTTAAGGTGAAATGAGAGAGTAAAGAGAAGTGGTTCTGACTTATAGGACTGACTAAAATTATCCAATAAAATAATCTTCAACACAGAAATATTCTCTAATGTATTATCTGAGAAAAAAAGGGCAGCATTAGATCCACAACATCAGTTCATATATGATATTTTTCTAGATAATAAAGTATAAAATTAAGGGCATGAACATGAACATGTACATTTTTGAGTGCTATATTTACATCATACAGAATGAGATGTGAATATGTTTCATATGGAAAAGACATGTTGAGTTAGAAGTCACCTCTCAAATTTTAATATGTACAATAAGCTGAAGACCTTGTTATGCGGGGGTTTTTTCCCAGAAGATCTGGAATGAAGTCTGATTTTTTGAATTTCTAACAAGCTCACCAAAAATGTCAATGTTTTTGGCCCGAGAAGGATATTTTGTCAAACATCCAGTAAGTGGAAGAGCCTGTGTTTTTCCAAGTTTTTGTGGCCTGTAAACAAAGATAACAGCCTTCATCTTCCATAGAAAACTATATAGAAAAAAAAAGAAAAAAGGACAACTGACAGATTAAATGTGATGGTTTATGCAAATCCGCTGGATAAGGATGCTTAATAATGAAGAGAAAAATAATTAACTATAGTGAAAAAATCTGTGAGAGAGAGCTACTTCACCAAGTGAATCATTAACCATTAACTGCACTAGGACAAATTTTTCTGATGTGTTAATGCACACAGAACACAGTATCACTGTTGAAATATTCCTCCCAAATAACGTAAATTATAATCTGAATTTAACCATAAAGAAACATCAGTTTTATGCAAACTCCAAAATACAGTTAACTCCTATGTTCTGTAATTTTTAGTAGTAATTTTAAATAGGCTTCATTTAGCACCCTAGAGAGCAAGTATCTCCTAATAATTTTTTTCAGAACATTCTGGGTAATAAATTCTATCCCATTTAAATAAGCATTTTCTGAATTATCTTCTGCATATAGCTAATGGAACACGAGTGGAGGCTTTTACTTTACCATCTTTACTAAGGACCACAGTTTTCCCCAATAGGAATCTTGAGTACCCACATCTTTCTGTGTTCAACAGCCACAAAGGGAATATTTTTAATAATGTGGATCATAAATTCTTGCTGATAATTCTGCATGGCATATAAGAAGCTATGACAAACAGAATGTAGAGAAGTCTGTGGGATATAAAAAAGAAATATTTTTCAAAGATCCTTGACCATCATAGGAATTTTAAGAAGTAGTTAAATCAAACTCACGGAGGAAAAACAAAAGTAGAGAAGTAAAGGTTTGTGAGTACTAAACGCATGGCAGTCCAGGAGGCAGAGTGGACACAGCTCTTCATCTGACACATGTTTACCTGAAGAAAAGCCATTTTTTTTTCTTTCTCCTCCTTCCCTGGAGTTTCTTCTCAGATGAGATTCTCTGTACAAATTACACCTGCATCTGGAGAATATGCCTTTAAAGGTGTACCACATGTTTACCTGCTAGCATGACATCTTCTGGCAGAAAAAGACAGAAAAAGCCACCCATTTCTGTCCTTTAAAACAGAAGAGATTCGGGAACAATGAACTGCTCCATGAAGATAAAAATATAAGTTTCTCCTTTCCTGTCCTCAGGTGCCCTCCCCTGCCATAGACACCAGCAACTTTTGCTACAGTAATGGAAATATGCACCACACTTACCTGTCCCTACCAAACCCAAATAGAATAGGCCCTGTGACCACCCTCTAGTTCACAGGTGGAATTTAACTCTCATGAATATATTTTAAAGCCCTTATACTTGATTCTGGAATCACCTTAGAGTCACATGAGGCACTTCATTAAAAAAACATGGATGCTTCCACCCACAACAATAAACAGAAGCTGTGGGGAGGGTACAAGAGATTTCAGCAAATTGGTCATGTGATCCTAATGAGAAGCCTGGGCTGATAACCACTAAGCTAAGCATTGCCTCTCAAGCTTTAACGAGCTTATAAATCACTTGATAATTGTGGCCGCACATTCTGTAATGTGATTCTGTATGTTTGAAGAGGGTTTATGAATGAGTGTTTTAAACAAGTCCCCTGTCAATGCTGATGTTGCTCCCCACTGGCTCATTATGAGCATTAGTTAGAGAAAGCAGGAACAGCACAGGGTCCCTTACACTTAACACTCTTGCCATAACCAAATACTTCTAGTAAAAATAAGGACAGCCCATTCCATTTAAAAGTTTTATATTTTTTGCTGGCTCTTTAAAATTTACAGAGGAAACAGAAGACAGCAATATCTGAATAAGTCTGTATTTTAAAAAGAACATGTACACAGGTACTAATGCAATGTTTATTAAGCAGGCACTATGTGCTAGAGTATGATACAGAGCACGGTGCTGGGCATAACACATTATATGATTTAATTCTCTTAACACCCGGGGAGCTGGTACTAAGTGTTTCTTAATTTTCAGGATTTAGATAAAGGGCCCATTTTTATTTTTTCTTCTGTTTCTCTGTCATCAAATTTTTTAAAAAATTGTATAGAATAAAAGCTAAATATAGACAGATGAAAGAGATACAGAAGAGTTTAATGTAGTCTAGAGAAAATTTCATTCTGTTTATATTTACTTTTTTGACTTGTGCAGCAACTACTGGATCTGCAGGAATAGAAAACAAGTTGCTAAATACAATGTCTCTGCAAGCACTGGTTTTAATAAAAAATTTAAAAACAAACACCTTACAAAACATACTTTTTTTCCCGATTTATCTGCTTTTGAATTTCAGGAAATTGTGAGCACCAGCTCTAGAAAGGCAGCAGGATTCAGCAGCCAAAACTCTGATCTCCTTTAATGAGTTCTGTGAGGCAATACTCCAGGGTAGGTTCAGACCTAACTAAGGTCTCCAAAAAGGATGAATCTGAACACGTCTGGGGCAGGGTGAGAACCCTATGTAGAATTCTGTTCTCTATGCAACTAGGAAACTTCCAGTTTTGTTTTGTTTCTAAGCTTACCTAAAAGAAACTTAAATCCCAGAGTTTCTGTAGTTTTTATCTTTTCTAGTCACTGCCCTGACAACTTTATACTATATACTAGTATGCAACTTAAACAAATCCCTTAAGGTTTTCTAGGGTAATTTTATTAGAAAATAAATATCTACAGTTAGCAAGGTAAAAGAAATAGAAAATATACGGCCAAGCGCGGTGGGTCATGCTTGTAATCTCAAGACTTTGGGAGACCAAGGCGGGTGCAGAACGAGGTCAAGCAGTTAAAGACCAGCCTGATCCAGATGATGAAACCCCGC
The DNA here is from genome assembly GCF_000001405.40 of Homo sapiens. Taxonomy (NCBI): domain Eukaryota; kingdom Metazoa; phylum Chordata; class Mammalia; order Primates; family Hominidae; genus Homo; species Homo sapiens. The sequence continues at coordinate 19,911,936 of NC_000019.10, read as the reverse complement.
CTCTAGTAAAAATACAAAAATTAGCTAGGTGCAGTGGCAGGCAACTGTAATCCCAGCTACTCGGGAGGCTGAGAAGGGAAAGTCACCTGAACCCGGGCGGCAGAGTTTACAGTGAGCCGAGATCGTGCCACTGCAAGCCAGACCAGGTGACAGAGTGAAACACCATCTCAAAAAAAAAAAAGAATTTATAACAATTATTTTGTTCATAAATCTCCCTTCAGGTGTAGACATCAGAAGTCACAACAATATAAAGAAAGTGGTCTAAAGCCCAAGATTTTTAACACATCTATTTATTATACCAACCATATGATGCACACTTCAATTACTTATCCAGTAGCTAGTCTAGACTAAAAGTTTCTGGATTGTAGGAACTATGACTGCTTCATGTATTTTTTTAATGCCCATATGAAGTGGAAGGAGCTAGTTTATCTATCTGGGTCTCCAGATCTTCTCCTTATTATCCAAGTACCAGGAAACTGGAGAAGCTGTCATCGGGGTACCAACCAAAGATATCTCTTGTATGAGGGAATGAACAAACACAGGATGACTCATTTCTCTTACACTGAGACAGAAGCAGAATTAACCACTCTTGTCAGCCTGACAAAATTCTGCTCTGGACATCCTCAAATGCCTCAAAGACACCTGGGTGATTGTGAGAGATTCCCAGTGACCCAGGCCTCATGGCCCAATGATAAGCCAGGCTGGAGAGACTCAGGCTAACTCTGAATAGAAAATGGAACTGCCCTGGTGGAGCTCCAGAACCTGGATCACCCATTCTGATTTGCTAGCTCTTGGGTAAGAGAAAGATCAAAAATACTCTACTCTAGTATTACATTTTACAGCTAAATATAATTGTGGTCATGGCTCTGGATACTTTGTGGCCCCGATCTCTCACTCCTAAGATGCTTATTTACACTTACAGATTCTGCCATCTGAGTCTATTTCTCCTGGAGCCCCTCACATAACTGTAGCAGGTCAATGAACAAGATGTGAAAATCTCAAAGAGCCACACTCCCAAATGGGGGCTGTAAGATGTCTATGTTTACATTCACAATGCAGAAAATGACTTTTGTTCATTTTCTGTACATTCTCAATCCAAGTTCTGGTCCTTTCTTGTAAATCCCAGGCAGAGGCCAGACCTTATCTGCAGATTCCAGGTAGGATCCACCTGGCTCTGCATCCTTTGGTGTTACAGCAAGTGGAATACAATCAAAGGAGAGATCCCCTCATAGAGACTACTCTAGCACATTCTAAATGGTAAGTCTACATGAAAAAAAAAAAAAAAAGCTGAAAGAACATGAATATAAGTAGATAGTTTACTTGGGTCAAGCTTAAGGATTATAACCTGGGAGCAAAGATTCAAGTTGCCTGGAATCTGCATTTTGATTACCAGCAGTTACAAGACAATTTGTAAAGACAACAAGACAGGGACAGAGAGTGGGCTGATACAAAGTTGATTGTCAGAAATTTTTATTTATTTACAGAAATAACATCGATTATTGATTACATATATATTATTATGGTTTAGGGTATGGGATATAGTGTCTAATGTGGCATTATTAGTTTAATTTATAATTACTTGTGGCAATAGTGAACAGTTTCAAGAGATGAATACATAGTTCAAAGGGGGGAGAAAGACATAACAGTACTTTCATTTTAATGTCTGAGTTTGATAACCAAAGGGACTTGCATTTCTTAGGTAAGTTTTTTTTTCCCCCAAATCTCAAGACCTGGATTCAAAATTTGGAGCTTCAAGTTTAGGGCCTGAACGACTGGAGTAGCCACAGGTGTTTACCTGTACATTTGTGAGCATTTAGCAAGAGGAGGAAGGGGAAAGTGGAGATTCTCATGTCTCTATGTCTACTCAGCACACACATGTTACTCTGATTGGGTTTCTGGGCTCCATAGTTTCTGAATCAGTTTCAAATCTGAAGATACAAGAGTCACTGAAAAAGGTTAAATGATTAATTAATTGCTGCCCTGTGAAGTTTGTAGAAATTGGGTCTAGCCTCTCTAGAAGTGACAGTAGAGGAACTATCAATACCAAATAGGCAGAGACAAAATTCCACGTGCATATTTAATGGACAGCATGCATTTTGCTGCGCAAGTATGGGCTGACTCAAAGTCTGAGAGGGAAAGTCCCCTCTACAGTAAATTCTGGTTGGCACCTTATGTGTTTATATCATGTCTGGTAATTCTAGACACTCTGTGGAAACAATAATTAAAAGAAAAATTTTCTCTATTTTCAGAGAAACTCCACAATAATAGAACAGAAAGAAAATGGTCTTATTACACAATTAAACTTGAATGTGACATACATCATCATCAATCTGCTTAAGAGACTGCAAAGTCAGAAAGATGGTCATCATAATTAGTCCACAAGTAGAAGAATTTTCAGCACCATGTCATATATAGTTCATCCTAAATTCACCTGGATACTGAAGAGGCCATCTGTGTATACTAATTGCTTATATTCAATGACAAATAAACTTTTCACATCTTCATAACAGGAGTTGGTTTAGCAGCTTGAAGCCAGGTGTCTGCTGAAGCTAGGCTTTCACTCTGCTACAAAAATGGCTGAATAGTGTTCTTTTTGGCTATTTACATTTTAGAGCAGTGGCTCTGTACTCCCTGGCACTGGGCTACAGCACTCCTGTTTACTTTCTCCTAGTTGCTAGTGTCCTCTCTTTACCGCTACCATCTGCCACTGAGGCACAGCCCAGAGCACAGCTTACATTTTATGTGAACCCCATTTGCCACAGCAGCACTCTAGTGTCACATCAGAGAGTGACGTCTGAGCTGCAGGAGGAGAGCCTGCAGGCGTCATGGATAGAATTTCACCTTCACAATAATCAGAATGTGAGCAGTGTTTCAGCCTCAGTTTCTACTTATAATGATGACATGGAAAAAATACTTCTGAATTTTCAGCATGAGTCCAGATAGACATATCTTCAAAAGTTCTCACTGTGACAGCCCACCTCATTCAGACACCACGGGATACTAATAGGATTTCTGAAACAGACACCCAAAGCATTAGAGAGAAAACCAAATCTCCATCTGAGCAAGATTTTTTTTTTTTTTTTTTTTTTTTTTGAGACGGAGTTTCACTCTTGTTGCCCAGGCTAGAGTGCAATGGTGCGATCTCGGCTCACAGCAACCTCCGCCTCCTGGGTTCAAGCCATCCTCCTGCCTCAGCCTCTGGAGTAGCTGGGATTACAGGCATGTGCCACCATGCCTGGCTAATTTTTGTATTTTTAGTAAAGAAGGGGTTTCTCCATGTTGGTCAGGCTGGTCTCGAACTCCTGACCTCAGGTGATCTGCCCACCTCGGCCTCCCAAAGTGCTGGGATTAGAGGCGTGAGCCACTGCGCCCGGCCAGCAAGATTATTTTGAAAGAAAAAAGGTAAAAAGATCTCAAGAAAAAGCTCAGATTAGATATAAGATTGATCATCAGCCAGAAAATACGCCCCTAAAAGCAATTTATTTCTAAACACCCAAAGTGCACAGCTACTCTCAGTATGAGAAACATGAGCATTATGAAGAAAGAGGGCAGATTTTCAGAAAAATTTTATAAAGTTTCTTTTCCATCTCTGCTGCAGTCTCATTTTCTAGCCATTGAATGGGGGTTCTATATGGAAATCATCTGTCAACTTCCAACAACACTTTTTGATGAAGAAATAGAATCTGACTGTGTTCATACAGTGGAACATATTAGACCTTGTAACATAGTTAACTGAAGAGCTATTATGGTTTTTGGTGGCCACATCACCTGTCTTTATTTGTCCTGTAATAGCAGCGTTCCAATTTAGTGAAACAAAAGATACTAAAATTGTGTTTACCCATAATGATCCCCATTGAATAAAGTAACAAACATGTCAGACTAACTGTAACACTTTGGTAGTAAATTTTCTTTGGATATTAGATATAAATAAGTATGAATATTTTAATGTACCAGTAGTAATGTATGTAGCATTTAAAAAAATTGCAACTATACTTCAAACACTTTATATTTCAAAAGTATAAATAACAATATTAAAATAACCATTTAAGTGATTCATTCAAAGTAAGTATTGCAGCTTTATATTCATACTATTGTAGAATATACTGTTTATGGCTCACACCTGTAATTCCAGCACTTTGGGAGGCTGTGGTGGGTGAATCACCTGAGGTCAGGAGTTCAAGATCAAGCTGGCGAACGTGGTAAGACTCCATCTCTGCTAAAAATACAAAAGCTTAGCCAGGTGTGGTGATGCATGCCAGTTACTCGGGAGGCTGAGGCAGGAGAATCACTTGAACCCAGGAGGCAGCAGTTGCAGTGAGCTGAGATCATGCCACTGCACTGCAGCCTGGGCAACAGAGTGAGACTCTGTCTCAAAAAAAAAAAAAAAGAAAAGAAAATGCTGTTAAATTTATATGAATGCAGGTTGTCTGCAAATACTACACATAACTATGCTAATTGTTCTGAAGTAATAAATAGAAAGCAAGGCACAACTACAGACTCCACTGTTCAGTTTACACACTGAACTGTTTTTGCTTTTGCAGTATAAGCACTTCAGCCTGCAAATATTTGATAATTAACTTGAATAATCAGGTTTCTGTCAATGGAACTTAGTATCTTTTAGTCTTTATCATTCGGTATTGCTAAATTTAATCCTATTTTTGTGCTAAGCTTCTGTGTGCTCCTAAAATGAGCTTTTATCTAAACAAATCTGTGTCTACTTTGAAGGACTAAAAATGGAAAAAATAAACTTTTCAGAAGCCAAAACAAAGCAATAAATCTGAAGTACTAGATAAAGACAATCTGGGGTCAGAAAAAATTACAAAAAGTTTATTTAGCTGTTAGTATGATTTACATATATGTTTTAAAAAGCAGAAAAAACATCTATATATAATCTAAATCCCTAAAGAGAAGAGAGAATAGCAAAATTTTTTTGGGAACTTTTTAAAGAATTTTTGAACTCTTGGACACCTCAATTTTGCACACTAGATGCACCTGAAAGAATCTTTATGGGGGAAAAAGCAGAAGAGAAAAAGATGTTATAAAAAAATCCATGAGTGCACAAGACCGACAGAATAGAGAGCCCAGAAATAATGACACCCTCCTACAACCATCAGATTTTTGCCAAAGCTGACAAGAGAAATGTGGGAAGAATTACTTATTTCATAAATGGTGCTCAAATAACTACCTAGCACTATATAGAAGACTGAAACTGGACCCCTTCATTACATCATATACAAAAATCAACTCAGGACAAATTAAACACTTAAATGAAAAACTTAAAATTATAAGAAACCCTGAAAGATAACTAGGAAATACCATTCTAGACACAGAAACCGGCAAAGACTTCATGATGAAGCTACGAAAAGCAACTGTAACAAAAGCAAAAATTGACAAATGGGACCTATTTAAACTAAAGAGGTTTTCACAGCAAAAGAAACTGAGTAAACAGACAACCTACCAAATAAAGGAAAACATTTGCAAACTTTGTCTCTGACAAAGGTCTAATATCCAGAATTTATTAAGAACTTAAACAATTTTACAAGAATAACCAAACAACCTCATTAAAAAGTAGGCAAAAATAACCATGAACAGATGCTTTTCAAAAGCAGGCATACATGTGACTAACAAGCATATGAAAAAAAAGTTCATCACTAATCATTACAGAAATTAAAGAAAAACCACAATGAGATACCACCGCACACCAGTCAGAATGGCTATTTTTAAAAAGTCAAAAGGTAACAGATACTGGCAAGGTGCAGAGAAAGGAGAAAGGAGATGCTTATACTCCGCTGGTGGGAGTGTAAATTAGTTCAACAACTGTAAAAAGCAGTGTGGCGATTCCTCACAGAACTAGTAACAGAATTATCATTTGACCCAGAAACCTTATAATTGGGTATATACCCTGTCAGGCCGAAGAAATATAAATTATTATATTATAAAGACACATCCACATTCATGTTCATTGCAGCACTACTCACAACAGCAAAGACATGGACAGGCCATAAATGCCTATCAATGGTAGAATGAATAAAGAAAATACAGTATGGTCAGATGCGGTGGCTCATGCCTGTAATCCCAGCACTTTGGGAGGCTGAGGCTGGTGGATTGCCTGAGCTCAGAAGTTTGAGACCAGCCTGGCAACATGGCAAAATTCTGTCTCCACGGAAAAAAAAAAAATTGGCCAGGTGTGGTAATGCATATGTGTAGTTTCAGCTACTTGGGAGGATGAGGTAGGAGAGAATTCCTTGAGCCTGGGAGGCTGAGGCTAAAGTAAGCCAATAGCATGCCATGGCACTCTAGCCTGGGCCATAAGTGAGACCAAAAATAAAAGATTTAGCAAAAACAAAATATGGAACATAAACATCATGGAATACTCTGTGGCCATTTAAAAAAAAATCATGTTCTTTGCAATAACTTTGATGAAGCTGGAGACCATTATTCTTAGAAAACTAATGCAGAAATAGAAAACCAAATGCATGTTGTTATTTACAAGGGAGAGCTAAATAATAAGAACCCATAAACACAAAGAGAAAAACAACAGACACTGAGGCCTAGTTGAGGGTGGAGGGTGGGAGGAGTAAGAGGATCAGAAAATATACCTGTTTGGTGCTATGTTTAGTACCTCAGTGAAAAAATAATCTGCACACCAAATCCCCATAACATAATTTCAGCTGTATAACAAACCCACATGGGTACCTCAAACCAAAAATAAAAGCTAAAAGAAAAAAAAAAATCCCTGAGTGAGAGAGAGCACAATGTAGGTGAAAGGACTGATTTTTGCTACAGATAGTGGCCCAAGTGGGGCTGTACCCTGATTTGTTTCCGTGCGAATGCAGGCAGGTGAGATTATGAACAGGTGGTCCAGACCCTAGGTTGGTGGAGAAAACAGGTTGCTGCTGCAGATTCAGTGTCTGGGGGTGGGGATATGCCAGGAGACTTGTAGACACTTGTGAATTCTTTGAAAAAAACACAGATCAAAAATGCCACGGTGAGGTTCCTGAGGGTAGTGCATAGTTCTGGGAGAAGTGTGGACATGTCAATGTCTAGTGTGTGTGTTTTTGTGAGTGGGTGGGAATCCTGTGGTGGCAGCTGTGAGAAAAGGGAGTCTGTCATCAGAGCTCATTTTCTCTAAGTTTTCAGTCATCTCTCACCCTGGGAGAAGACCTGGAATTTCAGGACAATGGGCAGCGTGACAGCCTGTGTAGAGGAGAGCAGAGACTCCCATTCCCAAACACCCAGAGTTTTATTCCAGGCTAGGGCTCCATGATATCCTTTTTCTGGCACCAAATCTGTAGTTTGCTGAACATCAAACAATTCTCCAACACCAACTCATTGTCTAACATTTGAATTCTGACACCACACACAGCACAGACCCTGATTCAGGGCTCAGTTCCACAACATTGTCCTCACTGCAGATGCCAGACACAAACCCCATGGGCCCATCTATGCTTCTGAGCTGCTGTTTAAAAACTGGGGACTCCTATCACCTCCACGAAACTCAACAATTTGGTAGAGCTACTCACAGAACTCAGCAAAACACTGTAGTTATGTTTACTGGTTTCATATATAAGATGCAGCCCAGGAAAAGCCAAAAGGAAGAAATGCATAGAACAAAGAAAAGAGATGGGGAAAGATGAAACACATAGATAATCCTGGAAAATATTTGTGATTAATACAATTCTCCGTCCTTTGTGTGCTCCAGAAACAGTTTATAGAAAAACTCTTTCCCTTATGACTTAGTGCTCTCTTTTCTTACCTATCACACAGCCAGACACACACTCTGCACATTTTCTCCTATTTCTCATTCAAAAAAAAAAAAATCAGCTGTATTTGTCTTCGGTGGTCAAAATAAAATATTTCTTTTTTTTTTTTTTTTTCCAGCCAGAATCTCGCTCTGTTGCCCAGGCTGGAGTGCAGCGGCGCAATCTCGGTTCACTGCAACCTCTGCCTGCAGGGTTCAAGCAATTCTCCTGCCTCAGCCTCCCAAGTTTCTAGGATTACAAGCGCCCGCCTAGTTTTTGTATTTGTAGTACACACAGGGTTCCACCACGTTGGCCAGGCTGGTCTTGAACTCCTAACCTCAGGTGATCCGCCTGCCTCTGCCTCCCACAGTGCTCGGATTACAGGTGTGAGCCACCGCGCCTGGCCTGAAATATTTTTTTCTGTTTGTTTGTTTTCAGAGTCTTGCTCTGTCGCCAAGCTGGAGTGCTGTGGCTTGATCTGGCTCACTGCAACCTCTGCTTCTCGGGTTCTAGCGATTCTCCTGCCTCAGCCTCCTGAGTAGCTGGGAATACAGGTGGGCGCCAACATGCTGAGTTAATTTTTGTATTTTTAGTAACGATGGAGTTTCACCACGTTGGCCAGGATGGTCTCGATCTCCTGACCTCGTGACCTGTCCGCCTTGGCCTCCCAAAGTGCTGGGATTACCAGCACTGGTAATCCCAGTGCTGGCCTCCCAAAGGCATAAGCCACCGGGCCAGGCCTAAAATAAAATATTTCCTAATCAAACTTTACTTAGGTTTATCTCCCTTCCTCAGGCTCCTGAACTTTGAGCTACCCTCACTCTGAGTCAACATACAGCCCCACTTTACATCCCTCCTAAGAACATGCTGATTTCAGGGTAAGACATTCTCTGATGTAAAATCTGACTTTTTCACCCTCCATTTGCCATTCCCCTCCCACCTCCTTTCTAATCTTGTTTGCTCCTCCCTAGGGAGAAAAGCCCTTTTCTGCCTACATTTTTGCAAGCCATAAAGATTTTAGAGTTAGTTGGTACTTCCTCCTGTTGTAATACTTTTTTGAAATTCATCTTTTACATAAATTAACGTTTTTATTTTACAAAGTCTAAAATGTTCCTCAAAACAATAACAACTTCATCGTCAGTAAGATCCTCCCAAAGGCCGGGCGCGGTGGCTCACGCCTGTAATCCCAGCACTTTGGGAGGCCGAGGCGGGTGGACCATGAGGTCATGAGATCGAGACCATCCTGGCTCACACGGTGAAACCCCGTCTCTATTAAAAAAATTTTTTTTAATTAGCCGGGCGTGGTGGTGGGTGCCTGTAGTCCCAGCTACTCGGGAGGCTCAGGCAGGAGAATGGCGTGAACCCGGGAGGCGGAGCTTGCAGTGAGTCGAGATCGCACCACTGCACTCCAGCCTGGGCGACAGAGCGAGACTCCATCTCAAAAAAAAAAAAAAAAGATCCTCCCAGTTTCCTTTCATCTTAACCTTAACTGCATCTGCTTGTGGGGCCCCAGCTTTCTGGGGCTCTGTACCTTCTCTCAGAATAACGCCTCCTTCCATGGCTCCGGTGAATAGGCTGGGACATCTGCAGGGGAGGCTCCCCAGAAAAAGCTAAATAGGACTTTATAAACTCCTGTTGGCTGGGCCCTGTGGCTCATGCCTGTAATCCCAGCACTTCAGGAGGCCAAGGCAGGCAGATCACCAGAGGCCGGGAGCTCGAGACCAGCCTGACCAACATGGAGAAAACCCGTCTCTACTAAAAACACAAAATCAGCCAAGCATGATGGTGCATGCCTGTAATCCCAGCTACTTGAGAGGCTGAGGCAGGAGAATCGCTTGAACCCAGGAGGTGGAGATTTCAGTGAGCCATGATTGCGCCACTGTACTCCACCTGGGCAACAAGAGCAAAACGCAAAACTCTGTCCAAAAAAAAAACCTTCTGTTTTAGGCTTAATATTAGCCTTAGCTTGGAGTCACTAGGCTCAAGCTTTGTCATGTCAGAGTTATTCACTTGGTTTTTGAAACTCAGTGTTTGAAAAATCCGTGAAATTACTCAAACACAGTATTTACATAAGGGAAGGAAATTTTAAGATGTCTATTTTTTTTTTAAGACGGAGTCTCACTTTGTCACCAAGGCTGGAGTACAATGGCAAGCTCTCGGCTCACTGCACCTCGCCTCCCAGGTTCAAGCAATTCTCGTGCGTCAGCCTCCCAAGTAGCTGGGATTACAGACGCCTGCCACCAATCCCGGCTAATTTTTGTATTTTTAGTAGAGACGGGGTTTCACTATGTTGGCCAGGCTGGCCTAGAACTCCTGACCTTGTGATCCACCCGCCACGGCCTCACAAAGTGCTGGGATTACAGGCATCAGCCACCGCGCTGGGCCAGGAAGGGGATTTAACCCTAACGCAGTTCCGGTTTTTGTGTCCTTCCCATATTGGCTGAGGTCCCACCGCACAATCTAAGCTGATCCTGGTTGGGCTAGACACAAACTTTTTCCATATAGGGTAAACGCGCGATGTTTTGAGAAAAGGAGAATGGGGAAAAAGAAGGGGTAGGGTTGATTTACAATTTTTACAACTTATGACCAGGAAGTTGAGTCTCTGAAGAGGAACTTAGCTGCCCTAACAACTCCTCAAGTGATCCGCCCGCCTCGGCCTCCCAAACTGCTGCGATTACAGGAGTGAGCCACCTTGCCCAGCCCCATAAATTTTTAATAGGAGAAAAGAGAAACTGTGAACCCAACCCACTAAAGCTCTTCCCATTCGTGAACCCGCACTCCGAGTCAGGATTCTCCCCTGACGACTCTCCCGTGGTCTCTGCACAATCTGGGAGAGAAGCGGCTCTGCGGGTGCGCAGCTGCCCAGCGAGGGCTCCAAGCCAGGGCACAGTCACCGCACAGTGAAGAGACAGGACGCCTGGGGGCTGCGCTATAAGCGCAGCCGCCATCTTATGGCTGAAGGGAACCGAGGCCGAGCTGGGCAAGAACTCCGGCGCAGATTGTGGAGCTGACTAAGGGGATACCTGAGTCCCGCCACCGTCACTTTCCACCGGTTCCAACCAGCCCCTCCCCGTCGCTTGGGATGTCGGACCGGCACTCTCACCATTTCTAGGCTTCCAGGGGTCCTGGTGTCTTAGCTGTGGATCTCCCAATACCTGCAGGTCACAGGGCCACAGAGGCTGGGCCTGTAGGAGCACAGGACACAGAGTAGTGAAGAGGAGACCTGGAGCTCCGGCTGCACCGAGAGACAAAGGACCCGCCAAACCAGAAGCCGCCCTGTTCGGTCCGGCTGCTTGCCTGATTGGACGTTTCCAGCCCAGCGTCCCTGATTGGATAATTCTTAAGGTCCCGCCCCCTCAGGACCTGAGTGACAGAAGATGTGATCACATGCTGGGCTGAGTGAAGAAGAGTAACAGCCTAAGCTGCAGCCTTTTCAGCCAGGGCTTCCTCTCTGAGCTGAGCCACGTCCACCCCAGAGCATGGGAACATTCTCTTTTTTACTCTCTCTTTTTGAATGTATTGAAAAGGTGAACAGAAGTATTTCGTTGTCATATTAATAATACCGTTGGAAGTAAAGTGTTTGGTGTCGCAAAGTGAAACCAGTACTCAGGCAAAAGTTTTTTTAGTAAGGCAATTTACTTCTGCAAAAGGTTTTTGTTTGCATTAATCACGATCGCAAGAGCACCCTGAACAAAGGAGGGAAGGGGTTTTTATTTTTAACGTAAAGTCTCTTCCTCTGTGTTACTCCCCCATGGGCTAGGGTCGGACCCCACAATCTAAACTGACCCGATTGGCTATTTGTAAATATTTTTCCAAATAAGGAAGGGAAGGGGCATGTATAAGTCACAGTGGTGGGACGTGTGGTTTTGAAGGGTGGGAAGGCTGCAGAGTGAGTAATCAAGGGAACAGATGTGAATTATTGATTAGAGCTGTTGGGAAGGAAGGTTGTTACAGTAACTAGGGGCAAGGAGGCATGGAGAACAAGCAAGTTGAGTTTGAGAACAAAGAACAAGAAAGTTAAGACTAAACCTTTGAAGAGGAATTTTATTGTATTTTACAATTTCCCCCTTTTAATTTTTATAATTAAAAAAAAACCTTTTTTTTTGAGATGGAGTTTTTGCTCTTGCTGCCTAGGCTGGAGTGCAATGGCACGATTTTGGCTCACTACAACATTTGCCTCCCAGGTTCAAGCAATTCTCCTGCCTCAGCCTCCCGAGTAGCTGGGAGTACAGGCATGTGCCACCACGACCAGCTAATTTTGTGTCTTTAGTATAGATGGGGCTTCTTCATATTGGTCAGGCTGGTCTCTAACTTCTGACCTCGGGTGATCCGCCCGCATCAGCCTCTCAAAGTGCTGGGATTACAGGCGTGAGCCACTGCGACCACACGCTTTTTAAAACTTTTTAAACATACCTTTACTTTGTTGTTTGACTTGATCTTTTAAAAGGAAAAGTTTATCTGAATAAGGTGGAGGAGAACTAAGGGAGGTTTTCGTAAGTGTCGTTTTTATAAGTCTTTGTACTAGCCCACAGATGCATGGTATGACACAACACCCAACAAGAATTAGTACACCTATTACAACTATAAGAGAAGTAAGAATTGAGGCTATGACTTTTTTTCGTTTACTGAACCACCTCTCTAGCCATTCTGAAAACGTGTTATTGACCCCAGAATTTTTAGCTAATTCATTGGATAAAGTGGTAAGTTCGTGTAAGGCCCTTCTTATGTTCCTATTGGGGGCAGTATTGTTTGGGATGAAGGTACAACATTTGAGTTTTAATCATAACACAAACTCCACCTTTTTCAGCTAATATTATGTCCAGGGCCATTTTGTTTTTCTAAGTTATCTGGCTAGTAGGCCTTAATTGGTTGGCTATTTCTTTGACAGCATTTCTGGTGTAATTAATAAACTAATATTGATTATAATAGATGTGATTTATCTATCTAATCTACATTTTTATTAATAGTTACCCGTGGAAATATTGATTTAAATCCTGCAGCTATTTGATCTTGGGCTTTGAATTCATCAGGTACCACCCGTGGGACTCCAGTTGTGTCTAAATAAACTTGAAAGTCAAAAGACACATAAGGGGCTTCTCTTATTTTACAGTGTTGTGGTTTTTCTTTTTCTAGTCGATGAAATGCCAGAGTGAAAGGGATAGCCAACTGGACAACAGTGCAAGTGCCGTTCCAGTTACTTGGCAGAGTGTCCAGTAAGGGTCCACCACAATACCACCATATATTTGCTCAAAGATGAACAAGGGAAGACTGACTGGTAAGATCTTGGAAAGGCTTAAGCTCACTGTATCCCATTAAGTCTCCAAGAAATGCCAAGTTTTCCCCTTGTCGTGAGAGACACGAGGTAAAATTGACGCTAGGAGATGGAGGCTGGATGGCTCTTGGGGCCTGACCCACAGGGTGTTGGACTTTAAGAAATAGCAGAGAGAGAGCTCAGCAGGATTTATTACCCTAGGCTGTGGGGTCTTGGAAAAGAGCTACTATACAGTTTATGCCTGGTCAACTAGAAGACCATCTGAGTGGGAAAGGGACAATTTGGGCCTCTGGCTGGCCGCGTGCACAAGCATAACAATTGCTTTTGCTTAATGTGTGCACAGAATATTTGATCCATTTTAACCAGGCATTTGTATCTTGGTATCTTGTTTTAATTGTTAAAGTTTGCCTTAAATTAGTTACTTTTACAATATCTATTTTAGTCTTATCACTGGGCATAGAAGATATGACAGTCTGGTTAGAAAAGAGCTTAGAAGAGAGGGGAGTGAAGAGCATGAGGGATGATTAGACGCATTTTGAAAGACCCTATGAGATTTGTGCCAGCCAAGTTGGGTCTTATGCCATAGAAGCAGCTCAAATCAAAGTGGGGTTAGGATCCATAGAAGTGGGGGTGAGAATAGAAATTTGCACCAGATTACATTGGTTAAACTGGCAATTGGAAGGAGTGTTTCCTTTAGCAAAGCAAATATATGGCTTTAAGGACATACAACCACTTGTTGATGAGGTCCAGCCCTGATATTCGATTGTTTATAAAACATCATTCCAGCTGTGGCAGGCCTGTTTTTTTTACATTTGTTAAAGAACAGGAGTCGTGTTAGGGGGAGCCTCTTGTCCAAAAGTGACAGAGATATTTCTCTGAGGCTGAGAGCTGTTTTTGACTCTGGAGATTTTCACAGGGCATAATGAGGCAAGCACTAAAGGAAATAGTTTGGGGTGAGCCCAACCTAGTTACATTAATAACGAGAGGATTAGCAATAGAAGGGGAAAAGGAGAAGGAGTAACAGAACAGATGGAAGATAGGTAAATTTTCTTAGCTTTAGTTTGGAAGGGTTCTCCCCTGGAACTATGGCCCATGATTCTGGAGAGGGTGTAGCAGGACGAGCCACAGACAAAACTCCTCAGACACCGAGTTAAAGAAGGAAGGGGTTTATTCAGCCAGGGGCATTGGCAAGACTCCTGTCTCAAGAGCTGAGCTCCCCAAGTGAGCAATTCCTGTCCCTTTTAAAGGTTCACAACTCTAAGGGGATGTGTGTGAGAGGGTCATGATTGATTGAGCAAGCAGGGGGTACATGACTGGGGGCTGCATGCACCGGTAGTTAGATTAGAACAAAACAGGATAGGGATTTTCACAGTGCATTTCTATACAATGTCTGTAATCTGTAGATAACATAACCGATTAGGTCAGGGGTTGATCTTTAACTACCAGGCCCAGGGTGTGGCGCTGGGCTGTCTGCTTGTGGATTTCATTTCTGCCTTTTAGTTTTTACTTTTTCTTTCTTTGGAAGCAGAAATTGGGCATAAGACAATATGAGGGGTGGTCTCCTCCCTTATTCCCCCACTTTGAGACTCTCAATAGTGGGAGTTCTCACTTTTATTTTTACTACCTATGTTTTCTTGCAAGACAGATCGATAGTGATTCATATATTACACTTGTGCTGAAGCATTTTGGTGAACCAAGGTAACAATGAAGCTTTTTATCATCTGAAGAAGTACAGGTAGCAAACAAGGGAGCAGTAAGCAGATTCCTATTACTATTATAACTTTTATTATAAGAGTTTTAAATCCTCTTAGCGCTGGGAACCATTTTCTAAACATGGCCCCAGGATCAAATCCATGCCACACTTGCATGGGCACGTGTGCCAGTTTTGTCATATCTCTAACTATGTCTTCAACAACTGGCCCTTGATTATCTATGTGTAGGCAGCAATTAGTAAGGTTAAATTTCCTGCAGACCCCTCATTCAGCTGCTGGCAAGTAGTCGAGGGCTAATCTATTTTGATATATAGCATTTCTCATCTGAGTTTCTTGCCAGGCCAGAATAGTCAAGGCTCTGCTGGTTTTATTAGTGATTATTTTTAAGACAGCTTGTAACCATATGATTCGGTTGATCATGTAAATGGGGGTCCGGTATCCCCATGAGCCATCTTGTGCCTAAGTAGCAGGCCTATAATATTGTATGATTCTCTCAGGGGGCCATTTATCATTTTTTCAATTTCTTATAGCTATGATTCTCTTTTCGCGGGAAGCGTAGACAGGGAAGCCAAGGAGTTTGCCTGTTTTTATGGGCAGTAGGAAGAAAGATGGTTTAATAGTGCCAATAACACAACTACCTGCCTACTGGTCAGTAATCTGTCATAAGCTCTATGCCTACATATCCAGTATAATCCAGTGGGGGCTGTCCAGTCCCGGTGGGACTCCAGGTGGGTCCAGTTTGCAACTTTGAGAATTTACTAAATTTTCTCTCTGTGTGATTTGAACTCCACCAAGTGATTGTTTTTGTGGTACCATTATACAGTTTCTGTCTCCGACAACTAAGTCATCCTACGCGGTGAGTGAATTCTTTTCCTTCTCTAGCTATGCAATATTGTTTAATAATTGAGGCTTTTAGGATCAGAAATTATCAGGGTGATTCTTTTGAGCCAGGAATTCATCAGGTACTGTAGGTACTAATTCTCAGGCTTCCCATGGCCATTGATCTCTTATTACAGCTTCTCCACATACATAACATGAAGTGACATTGAGAGACTGGGCTACATGCTTGGCTAATTGCAAAAACAAATTTCTTGTTTTTCCTGGAATTTCTGGTACTGGCACATTTAGTTCATCATAGAAAGTTTGAAACACTGGCTCAGGAGAGTCTTTGTAAGCTTCTCGAACCAAGATATTTACTCAAGGATCCAGTCTGGCCCCGTCGATTCCTAAGGTCACATGCTCCTCTTTTTTTCTAGCGAGGATCAAGGGGATTGGTTATGACTAGCTCTAAGGGGTTACATTGTCCCTGAGTACAGGAAGGGCCATTTTTTCCTTTCTGAAGGTGGGATGGATCTTTTTCATTTTTTTTTTTAATCCAAGTGGCCTAAATGACACAAGACCAGTGTTCACATTTATTTCCACACAGTGCTAATTTATGACAGTTGTATTTATTTTCTGCCATATAGCCTCTTTTC
This sequence comes from Homo sapiens, assembly GCF_000001405.40. Taxonomy (NCBI): domain Eukaryota; kingdom Metazoa; phylum Chordata; class Mammalia; order Primates; family Hominidae; genus Homo; species Homo sapiens. Next base: position 19,895,735 of record NC_000019.10, on the reverse strand, counting down.
TAATTAAGAGAACCACACCTTATTCCTAACTTATTACTATTAATGACAGCACAGGCATCAAATTTTAAGGTGACTTGTTTGGGCACCCCTTTTTCTTCTGTTTTAGCTAACACTTTACTCATATCATTTATGAGCCCCAACCAGTCCTCAGTCCTTAATCTTATTTAAAAAACTGTCCCTCCAGGGTTCAAGCAATTCTCCTGCCTCAGCCTCCAGGCATGCACGACCACGTCCAGCTAATTTTTGTATTTTTAGTAGAGACGGGGTTTCACCATATTGGCCAGGCTGATCTTGAACTCCTGACCTCAGGCAATCCACCTGCTTCATTAAATTATGCACTAAAAGTGTATAATTACACTGTTTGTAATACAAATGATAAACGCTAGAGGTGACGGATATCTTATTTACCCTAATGAAATTTCTACATATTGTATGCCTGAATCAAAATATACCATATAAGGCATAAATATATACACATACAATATACCCACAAATACTAATAATAAATTTCAGTAAGAAAAAAATAGGCAGGGTGCGGTGGCTTATGCCTGTAATCCCAGCACTTTGGGAGGCCGAGGTGGGCGAATCACTTCAGGTCAGGAGTATGGGACCAGCCTGGCCAACATGGTGAAACCCCGTCTCTACTAAAAATACAAAAATTAACCAGGCATGGTGGCGCACACCTGTAATCTGAGAACTCCCACGTTCAAGCAATTCTCTTGCCTCAGCCTCCTGAATAGCTGGGATTACAGGCATGTGCCATCATGCCCAGCTAATTTTTGTATTTTTAGTAGAGGTGGGGTTTCTCAGTGTTGGTCAGGCTGGTCTCGATCTCCTGACCTCAAGTGATCCATCTGCCTCAGCCTCCCAAAGTGCTAGGATTACAGGCATGAGCCACTGCACCCATCCCATACAACTTTATATTTAAAGAACCATAAATATTATATTAAAACCTGTCTAAACCAATAAATATACCTGGCTGTATTTTAATATTTTTAACTATAATTAATAATTTCTTTCTGTCACTATAATGTAGAAAAGCATTACTCTGAAACCCCACCTTATTTTTTATCTTTGCTTATTAATAAAATAATTCATTATGATTTTTGAAAAAAAGTTTTAAGATGTTCCGCATACATGTTAATGTAGGTTAGACCATCCAAAAGACATTCAAAGCATCAACATTAAGTCATTGGCTAGGATTATAGAAATGAGAACATGAACCCCCACCTTACACATTACTTAATATCAGTTAACTACAAAGAGCCTCTCCACTTATATTTTCATCATGCATCTTACATTTTAATGTCCTTACTCTTTTATAGAAAAGGTCATACATAATGCCCAACTAATAAAAAACAATCTCTAATATCTCTAATGCAGCAACAATTGATCACATGCTTTCACATGTGAATATAATAGGAATAAAATAGCATAAAGCAATGTGAAAGCTGTATTATATCATTATTCACTTTTCAAAAAAATTTTTTCAAGAAAACAAGTATACTTTCAATGTAATTACAGTGCTTCAAAAATCCACTTTTTAAAAAATTATATAGAAATAATTTATCTAACAGCTGTAGCTGTGGATTAGTTTTTATACTGAACATTCTGATTTAGTGTAATGTCTGAAGTGTCAGTGCCTTAATTATTCTATGGAAAATTCTCTGATATTTACATAGAATCAATTTTGAATTAAATATTTTTTGATATTTACTGCATCTGCAAAAATATATTTTGGTATAAACCCTCTGGTGTTTTCTAAGCTGTCATTTTTGGAAAAGAAAAGTCTTTCCATTCATTACATTTGCAGTACTATTCTCAATATAAATTCCCTTGATTCCCTGAAACAAAGCTTGAGCAACTGCTTCAGGGTTTTCCTCTAGTACTACATGTGTGCACTAAGATCTGTGACACAAGTAAAGGCACTACAACCCCCTTTATATTTGTAATGGCTGTCTTCAGAATAAATATTCTTCACTTTAAAGACTTCTATTTTCTGAAAGATTTTTTGACAGTAATTGCACTTTTAATGCTTTATTAACTATGAACCTTCTTCTGTTCAGTAAGATGTGAGTAGGCATTAATGGTTTTTCCATATTCTTTGTATTTGCACAATTTTTCTCAAGGATAAGAGCTTTCCTGTGAAATAAGGTATAAGCACTAATAAAATATTTTGCCACATTCTTCACACTTACAGGAGTTTTGGCAGTATGACTTCTATCACCTACAATCATGTATGACAATCATATAAAGGCTTTGTCACATTTTATACATTTCTAGGGTATTACACTAGTATAATTTATTTTTATGTATAGGAAATGTGGAGGTGTTGGTAAAAGCAATGTCGCATCTTTCAGGTTTCCAGATTTCCTCTTCAGCATGAATTATCGCCATGTCTCTTAAGAATTAAGAACTTGTAGCCAGGCATGGTGTCTCTTAAGAATTAAGAACTTGTAGCCAGGCATGGTGGCTCACGCCTGTAACCCCAGCACTTTGGAAGGCCAAGGCAGGTGGATCACCTGAGGTCAGGAGTTCGAGACCAGCCTGGCCAACATTGTGAAACCCCATCTCTACTAAAAATCCAAAAATTAGCCAGGCGTGGTGTTGGGCACCTGTAATCCCAGCTACTTGGGAGGCTGAGGCAGAAGAATGGCTTAAACCCAGGAGGCAGAGATTGCAGTGAACGGAGATCATGTCATTGCACTCCAGCCTCGGTGACAAGAGTGAAACTCCATCTCAAAAAAAAAGGAATTGAGAACTTGTTATAGGTTTATAGGTTTTGCCACATTCTTCACACTTGTAGGGCTTCTGTTTGGTATGAATTATGTGTAATAAGGGTTGAGAACTTCCTTAAAAAGCTTTGTCACATTCTTTATATTTGTAGGGTTTGTGTTCCATATAAACTCTCAAATTTACTAAGAGTCGAGGGCTGGTTAAAGGCTTTCCCACATTCATCACATTCATAGGGTTTCTCTCCAGTATGAATTATCTTATGCTAATTAAAAGTGGAGGAACATTTAAAAGATCTGTCACATTCTTCACTATGTAGGGTTTTCGTTCAATATGAATTTTCTTATGTTTATTAAGGTCTGAGGACCAGTTAAAAGCTTTGCCACATTCTTCACATTTGTAAGGTTTCTCTCCAGTATGAATTCTCTTATGTGTAGTTAGAGTTGAGGATGCAGTAAAGGATTTGCCACATTCTTCACATTTGTAGGGTTTCTCTCCAGTATGAGTTCTTTTATGTTTGGAGAGGATTGAGGGCCAGGTAAAGGTTTTGCCACATTCATCACATTTGTAGGGTTTCTCTCCAGTATGAATTTTCTCATGTGAAAAAAGGGTTGTGGAATGGTTAAAAGCTTTGCCACATTCTCTACATCTGTAGGGTTTCTCTCCAGTATGAAGTATCTTATGTGTAGTAAGGTGTGAGGATAGGTGAAAGGCTTTGCCACATTCTTCACATTTGTAGGGTTTCTCTCCTGTATGAATTCTCTTATGTATAGTAAGGTTAGAGCAGTGCTTAAAGGATTTGCCACATTCTTCACAGTTGTAGGGTTTCCCTCTAGTATGAATTTTCTTATGTGTGGTAACGTGTGAGGGGTGCTTAAAGGCTTTGCCACATTCTTCACATTTGTAGGGTTTCTCTCCAGTATGAACTATCTTATGTGTAGTAAGGTCTGTGGATCGGTTGAAGGCTTTGCCACATTCTTCACATTTGTAGGGTTTCTCTCCAGTATGAATTTTCTTATGTGTAGTAAGGTTTGAGGACTGCTTAAAGGCTTTGCCACATTCTTCACATCTGTAGGGTTTCTCTCCGGTATGAATTCTCTTATGTGTAGTAAGGTTTGCAGATTGGTTAAAAGCTTTGCCACATTCTTCACATCTGTAAGGTTTCTCTCCAGTATGAATTTTCTTATGTGTAGTAAGGGTTGAGGACCGTTTAAAAGCTTTGCCACATATTATACATTTGAAAAGATTTATTCCAGTATGTCTTGTCTTATATGTGTTTGAATTTGAAAACTTATGAAAGACTTTTCCATATTTATCACATTGAAATATTTCTTTCTGGGTAGTTGTCAAACATTGGTTAAGTCCATTATAACCTCCTTTGTGCACCTTATGCTCACCCACGCTTTTACAGCCTTTTTTTAACTGTAAATTGTCATGTCTGCATTCTTCATATCTTCTCAGCATCCCTATTTGGAAAGAATTTTGTATGTTCTCTGGCCAAAGGTCTTGGGCAAAATGAGAACTCATAACTAAAAGAAACAATAAAAACACATTACTTCAATTGCTAGACTCAGATAAATATACATTACAAATCTAACCTATAAAATTATACAAACTACATAAGCAAGATGACATAGCAAAATACCACCAGTTCTGATTTCTTCCTGGACACATAAATGTAACAAAAACATAGTGACAAAAATAAAATTGTAAAAAATTTATAAATGAGTTAAGTGTGTGAAGGGCTCCAGGTGAGCAGAATGCAAATAGCCACATAGAAGAAAAAGAAAGCTCTGTTAGTTATACCCAACACAGCTCTTCCTGCTGCCCAGTATAACATTGTGCTTTTAAAAGTAAATTGCCAGTTGGGCATGGTGGCTCACGCCTGTAATCACAGCACTTTGGGAGGCTGAGGTGGGTGGATCATGAGGTCGGGAGTTCAAGACCAGCCTGGCCAAGATGGTGAAACCTTGTCTCTACTAAAAATACAAAAAATTAGCCAGACATGGTGGCGGGCACATTTAATCCCAGCTACTCGGAGGGCTGCGGCAGAGAATTGCTTGAACCAGGGAGGCAAAGACTGCAGTGAGCCAAGATTGCACCACTGCACTCCAGCCTGGGCAACAGAGTGAGACGCCATCTCAAAAAAAAAAAAAAAAAAAAAAAAAAATTAAATTGTTGGCCAGGCATGATGGCTAATGCCTGTAACCCCAGCACTTTGGTAAGGCAAGGCAGGTGGATCACCTAAGGTGAGGAGACTGAGACCAGCCTGACCAACATGGTGAAACCCCATCTCAACTAAAAATACAGAAAATTAGCCAGGCATGGTAACAGGTACCTGTAATCCTAGCTACCTGAAGGCTGAGGCAGGAGAATTGCTTCAACTGTGGAGACGGAGATTGTAGTGAGCTAAGATTTTTGCCACTGCACTCCAGCCTAGGTAAGAGAGTGAGACTCTGTCACACACACACACACACACACACACACACACACACACACACACAAATATAAATTGCCAACTCCTGGTTTCTTTTTTAAAAATAAGAAAAATATTGGCACATACATCTTTATTTCTGGCATCTATGAACTTTTTTAGACACCGGCTAATGTCTCCCATGACATAAAATGCTGAAACAGTGATATGTTAGAATGACAGTTTGAGTCTGCTGAGTCTAAAGGTAAATGTTACAGAAGCAGAGAAACTGCAGTAATCCAAACAGGAATGGCTGTAGCAAGTGATTACTGATTATTAGGAAGAAATATGAATAAGCCGATTTAACTAAACAATAAACACAAAATTTTAGACAAGACACATCCTAAAAACATGTTTGAGAAATTCCCAGAATCTCTAGCCAAAACAATTGATTTCAGACTACACAAGGACAAAACTATATTATAAAGATTGGCACAGGTAGCTTTTTGTTAATGCCTGAATCTCACTCAAAGATTACAATGTATACAAAATATTTGGGCAGCATGGCCCATCAAAAAAATTATAAAATTTTCAAAAGCAGCCATAAAAAGTGAATAAAGTAATTTTTAAAATTCAGAATAAATTGAACAGGCCAAGCTTGGAAGCTCATTCCTGTAATTCTAACACATTGGGAAGCCAAGGTAGGAAAATCACATGAGGTCAGGAGTTTGAGACCAGCCTGGCCAACATGGTGAAACCCTGTAACTACTAAAAATACAAAAATTAGCTGGGCGTGGTGGCATGTGCCTGTAATCCCAGCCACGTAGGAGACTGACACACGAGAACTGCTTGAACCCAAGATGGGAAGCTTGCAGTGAGTGACTGTACCACTGCTGGCCAGGCTGGGCAACAGAGCAAGCCTGTCTCAAAAAAAAAATAAAGTAGGACAGGAACAGTGGCTCATGCCTGTAATCCCAGCACTTTGGGAGGCTGGGGTGGGTGGATCATTTGAGGTCAGGAGTTCAAGATCAGCCTGGCCAACAGAGTGAAAGCCTATCTCTACTAAAAATACAAAAATCAGCCAAATGTGGCAGCATGCACCTGTAATCCCAGCTACTGGGAGGCTGAGGCAGGAGACTCACTTGAACCTGGGAGGGGTAGGTTACAGTGAGCCAAGATCATGCCACTGCACTCTAGCCTGGGCAACAGAGTGAGACTCTGTCTCAGAAAATAAATAAATTAATTAATTACATAAAAGAAATTGAATGATATTCAGTAAGTGAAATAGGAACACAGACGACTACTGAAGATCAGAAAAATGAGGATAAACAAGAAAAAATATTAAAATAGAAAAAAACAAAAATTATGGATATAAAAAATATAAAAATAACTTAAAAATTTCTTAAAAGAAAAAATAATGTAAACATGAAGAAGCTGAACAAACTAGGATACACAAAAAGATATTTATCACAAACACACCTATAAGCAAAATTTCAAAAATCACAGATAAGAAAAGAATTTTGGGTGCTGCAAGATAAAAATGATGTGTCATTTATAAGCATAGTCTTATAAGATAACCAGTGAATTTATCAAAAAAAATTTTTGCAGAAAATAATACCATCGGCAAAATTGTACTATCATATAAAAAGGAGTCCTTCCAAAATAACCAAATCCTAAGAAAGTATATTGGCACTGCATATGCCCTACCTATCAAAGATGCTGAAAGAAGTTTCTTCCACTGAAAATAACATAATACAAGAAAACAACACATGATCATATGAAAATACATAACTTTCTGGAGAAGATATGCACATACACAAAAATAGAATTCCTTACTTATTATCATAATGGCACAGAAAGCACTTTTAGTTATTCTCTAAAATGCAAAAGATGGAAGTAGAGGAATTATTATAAACATCTGTTAATGAATATATAACATAAGTAGAATTAGCAAAATCAATAACAAAGTTGAAGGCAGATGTAATGAAGAATGTTTGCATGCAACTGAAGTTAATTTTTTACTGCATTAAAGTATATTGTTGGATCTTTTAGAGGTTTTATGTAATCCCCTAGATACCACTAAGAAACTACCTGCCTAGATACACAAAAGAAAATAAGAAAAAAATTAAAAGCATATCAATACAAAAATAAAAAAAAAACACAAAAAGACAGAAAGAGAAAAAGAGACAAAGATAAAAGAATCAAATAAAACAATAAAATAACGTTGGCCAGGCGCAGTCGCTCACGCCTGTAATCCCAGCACATTGGGAGACCAAGGCGGGTGAATCACTGGAGGTCAGGAGTCCAAGACCAGCGTGGCCAACATGGAGTAACCCCATCTCTACTAAAAATACCAAAAATTAGCCAGCATGGTGGTGGGTGCCTATAATACCAGCTACTCAGGAGGCTGAGACAGGAGAATTACTTGAACCTTAGAGGCAGAGGTTGCAGTGAGCCAACATTGTGCCATTTCACTCCAGCCTGAGTGATAGACCAAGATTCCGTCTCAAAATAAATAAATAAATAAATAGATAACATTAGTAAGTTTTTCTCTTTCGGAAAACTATTTAAATATATATAATTATCTTTCCAGTCAAGAAACATACTTTCAATAAAAAGGTTTATTAAAAAATTTTATCAGCCTGATCAACATGGTGAAACCCCATCTCTACTAAAAATACAAAAATTAGCCAGGCGTGGTGGGGCATGCCTGTAATCCCAGCTACTCAGGAGGCTGAGACAGGAGAATCACTTGAACAAGTGCACTGCAGTCTGAGTGGCAGAGTGAGACTTCTTCTAAAAAAAAAAAAAAAAAAAAAATTAAAAATCAAGATCCAACTTGCCTTTCTACAAGAGTCACCTGAGATCTAATGACAAAGACTGAAAGTGGCAAGACAGAAGTAGAAATTTCATGTAAATATTAACCAAATGAGAGCAGAAGAGGTCAAAATAATATTACACAAGCTACATCTTAAAGTCAAAAACTGTCATATTTTATAAAATGTACTTTAAGTCAAAACTTCAAAAAGACGAAGAAGGACAATATATAGATCACCTGAGGTCAGGCATTCAAAACCAGCCCGGCCATCATGGTGGAACCCTGTCACTAGTAAAAATACAAAAAAATTAGCCAGGTGTGGTAGCAGATGCCTTTAATCCCAGCTACTCAGAAGGCTGACGCAGGAAAATTGCTTGAACCCGGGAAGCATAGGTTGCAGTGAGCTGAGATCGCACCATAGCACTTCAGCCTGAGCAACAAGAGTGAAATTCCATCACAAAAGAAAATAAATAAATAAATAAAATTATATATAAAAAAATAGAATGCCTGAGTGGTTTTTAAAAAGCATACAGTACGCTGCCTACAAGAGACTCATTTTGCATTGAGTCAAATAGGCTGAAAATAAAAAATGAAAAAAAAATGTATATTCCATGAAAATAGTAACCACAATTGAGTGATGTGGTCATAATTATATTAGACATAATATGCCTTAAGTCAAATACTACCATGAGACATAGACTGGTATTATTTTATAGTAAAGTGAGTTGATTTAGCAGGAATCTATAATCGTAATATTTATCTATCTATATAAATGTGTGTATATAACATCAGGGCTCCAAAATATATAAAGCAACTATTGACAAAAGTGAAGCAAGACATACATGGCAACATAATAATTGTAGACATCAAGACTCCATTTGCAGTAATAAATATAAAATTCAGATAAAAAATAAGAAAAAAACTTAGCTAACATTATAGACAATATTAATTATTTTGCATATAGAGGAATACTTGAGAGTAGCATAATTTATAAAGAAAAAAGGTTTATTTGGCTCACAGTTTGGCAGACTGTATAAGAAGTGTGTGCCAGCATCTGCTTCTGGTGAGGATTTCAGGAAGCTTAAAATCATGGTGGAAGGTAAAGAGTAACTGGACATGTTATATGGTAAGAGACAGAGCAAGTGTGAGGTGAAGGACCCAGGTTCTTTTAATGAACCAGCTCTCATTTGAATTAATAGAGTGAAAAGTTTTTGGTTACCAAGAGGATATACCAAGCCATTCATGAGAAATTTGCCCCATGATCCAAACGTGTCCCACCAGGTCCCATAACCAACATTGAGGATTTATATTGCAGCATGAGGTTTGGACAACATGAATATCCAACCCATATTATAGACCAACTAGGCTTCACAGACACATGCAAAACTCTCCAGTCAAAACCAAGATAATACACAATATTCTTATTTGCATCTGGTGTATTCTGTTAGGACACAGAGCAAGTTTTATTAAATTTTAAAATACTGGGAACAGTGGCTCTTGCCTATAATCCTAACATTTTAGGAGACCAAGAAAACAGGATCCCCTGGGGCCAAAAGTTTGAAACCAGCCTGGGCAACACATTGACATCCTAACACTACAAACAAGCACACAATTAGCCAGACATGGTAGTGCATGTCTGTAATCCTAGCTACTCAGGAAACTGATGTGAAAGAATCACTTGAGCCCAGGAGACTGAGGCTACAGTGAGCCAAAATTATGCTACTGCACTCCAGCCTGGATGACGGTAAGATCTTGTCTCAAAACAACAACAACAAAACAATTTTAAAAGACTAAAATTATACACTGTGTGTTTTCTAACAAAAACTGAATGAAATTAGGAATTAAAAGCAAAAGTCAAATGGCAAATTCAAAAGCATGTGAATATAAAACACACTTCAACATTCTTGCTCAGGGGTCAAAAAATTTCATTGTTCAAAGATGTCAATACAACAGTTAAAAGCTACAGTATCAACACTGATAAAATAAAGTTGGATTATTTCCTTGAATGATACAAAAATACATTTTAAATAAAATACTTAGACAAAATAAACTAACAAATATTTTAGAAAAAATACAAAACAAGCCGGGCACGGTGGCTGATGCCTGTAATCCCAGCACTTTGGGAGGCCGAGGCGGACGGATCATGAGGTCAGGAGATCGAGACCATCCTGGCTAACATGGTGAAACCCCGTCTCTATTAAAAATACAAAAAACTTAGCCGGGCATGGTGGCGGGCGCCCATAGTCCCAGCTACTTGGGAGGCTGAGGCAGGAGAATGGCGTGAACCCAGAAGGCAGAGCTTGCAGTGAGCTGAGATTGCGCTACTGAACTCCAGCCTGGGGGACAGAGCAAGACTCCATCTAAGAAAAGAAAGAAAGAAAAGAAAGAAAAGAAAGAAAAGAAAGAAAAGAAAGGAAGAAAGAAAGAAAGAAAGAAAGAAAGAAAGAAAGAAAGAAAGAAAGAAAGAAAGAAAAGAAAGAGAAAGAAAGAAAGAAAGAAAGAAAGAAAGAAAGAAAGAAAGAAAGAAAGAAAGAAAGAAAGAAAGAAAGAAAGAATACAAAAAAAAGACATGACATTGGTCTTGGCACCATTTTTTTAGGTACGACATTAAATGTATGAGCAACAAATAAAAGAACAAAAAAGTTTAACTACACTATACTTCAAAATTTCTGAAAGAAAAAAATTTCAGGAGTGACAACGTCCCTTAGAAAATAGTTGAAAACATTTACATATTACTTGTTAAAAGAGTTAATATTCAAAATATATAAATGACTCTTAAAACTAACAGTAAATTTGAATAACTTGATTTAGAAATGGACAAATTTTTCTCAAAAAAATACACAAAATTGGAAAATGCATTTGAAAGCACACACAAAATTACTAATTTGTAGAGAAATGAAAAAAGAAACATAACAAACAAAATCACCTCATACCCATTAGAATGGCCACTATAATTTTTTTTTGATACACCAAATCTGTTGATGATGCAATAAAAATGAAACCCATGTTGACTGCTGGTGGAAAATAATGATGCAGCCATTATTTTAAAATGTTAGAAATGTTCCTTATTTATAAATCTATATCTAAAATACATAACACAGGCGAAGTGTAGTGGCTCAAGCCTGTAATCATAGCACACTGGGAGGCCAAGGTGGGCAGATCACCTGAGGTCAGAAGTTCAAAACCAGCCTGGCCACCATGGTGAAACACCATGTCTACTAAAAATACAAAAACTAGATGGGTGATGTTACGTGCACCTGTAATCCCAGGAACTTGGGAGGCTGAGGTAGGAGAATCGCTTGAACCCCAAAGGCAGAGGTTGCAGTGAGCTGAGATCACACGACTACACTCCAGCCTGGGTGACAGCGGGAGACTCGATCTCAAAAAAAAAATAAAAATAAAAATAACAAACAACAAAAGAAACAAAATATGTAACACAGGACCTGGAAGACATATTTGAAAATATATGTTTATTGTACCAGTATTCACAAAAGTCAAAAGGCTGAAGCAACCCAGATGTCCCTTGATTTATAAACATATCAAAAAATGTAACATATACATATGATGGAATATTATTCCACCTTAAAAATAACCATCTTGTCACATTTTAAGATGAAGATTGAGAATATTATGTCACCTGAATTAAACCAGTAACAAAATTATGGATACTATATGATTCCACTTATATGAGGTATCTTTTTTTTTTTTTTTTTTGAGATGGAGTTTCACTCTTGTTGACCAGGCTGGAGTGCAATGGCCCGATCTTGGCTCACTGCAACCTCCACCTCCCAGGTTCAAGCGATTTTCCTATCTCAGCCTCCCGAGGAGCTGGGATTATAGGCATGCGCCACCATGCCTGGCTAATTTTTTTGTATTTTAGTACAGACAGGGTTTTTCCATGTTGGTCAGGCTGGTCTCAAACTCCCGATCTCAGGTGATCTGCCTGCCTCAGCCTCCCAAAGTGATGGGATTACAGGTGTAAGCCACCACACCCAGCTATATGAGGTATCATAAGTAGTCAAAAATCATAAAACAGAAAGTTGAAGGTTTGTCTGTCAGGGCTGGAGAGAGGGTAAAATGAGCAGTTGTTACTTAATGGGAATTAAGTTTTAGCTTTATAAGATGTAAAGTTTCTAGAAGTCTTTTGCATAACAGTGTGAATATACTTAACATGCCTGAAATGAACAACTTTTTTTTGAGACAGGGTCTCACTCTGTCCCCCAACCTGCAATGTAGTGGCACAATTTTGAATCCCTCTCAATCTCCCAAGTAGCTGGGACCACAGGTGCACACCACCATGCTTGGCTATTATTAAATTTTTTTTATAGAGAGAGGTCTCCATATATTCCCCAGGCGGCTCTCAAACTTTTAGGCTCCAGGGATCCTCCTGCCTTGGCCTCGCAAAATCCTGGGATTACAGATGAGAGCCACAACCACACTTGGCCCTGAAATGTACACTTCAATAGATTTAAGACATTAAATTTTATGTTATGTGTTTTTAAAACAAGTTTTAAAGAAAAACAGAAAAAAATACAGAATTATAAATCCTTTTGAAAATTACCTTCAAATCACAAAAGTGCTTTTCTCACAAAAGGAAATATATATTCATCATTAAACACATGGAAAAAATAAAACTATCTCAATGACTGCTCACTTAAGATAAAACTACCATGGAAAATCAGCTAAGAAAGAATATAAGATAAGCCATAACTAAAATTGGGGTCATATTTATAGATAAACACACATACATATGTAATCTGATTGTAATAAACATGCATAATTTATCTTTTTTTTTTTTTTTGAGACGGAGTCTCGCACTGTTGCCTGGGCTGGAGTGCAATGGTGCAATCTCGGCTCATTGCAACCTCTGCTTCCCAGGTTCAAGCAATTTTCCTACCTCAGCCTCCCAAGTAGCTGGGATTACAGGTGCCCGCCACCATGCCCAGCTAATTTTTTGTATTTTTAGTGGAAACAGGGTTTCACTATGTTGGCCAGGCTGGTCTCAACTCCTGACCTCTTGATCCACCCACCTCAGCCTCCCAAAGTGTTGGGATTACAGGCGTGAGCCACCGCATCCAGCAATTTATCTCTTAATTAAACCTCAAATTGACTTAAAGTGTACAAACAGAATTGCAAATTGTCTAAAATTGTAATACAAATTAAAACCAAGACACAATAAACTGATGTTAAGAAACCTACACTAAGGCCGGACACCGTGACTCACATCTGTAATCCCAGCTCCTTGCAAAGCTGAGACATGAGAACTGCTTGAACCTGTAAGGATATTCGGTCTGTCTAAAAATAAAATGGAATTACAACTACCCAAGCCCCTGTAGCAAGCCAACTAAAGGTGGACCCAAAGGTAGACCCAGCAGCCTTGTGACCAAGCTACAACCCCTCTTCACTAAAAATTCACAGAATATCTCATCACCCTAAGGGCCCAATAAAAGAAGATCTTTACCTTCTAAAATCAGTTTATGAAAACTTGAAGAGGTGTTTGCTCCATCAAATTTAGATACCAATACAAAACTATATTGTGCCCATTGTCAATGCTTCTTCTTCTTCTTTTTTTTTTTTTTATTGAGACGGAGTTTCGCTCTTGTTGCCCAGGCTGGAGTGCAATGGTGTGATCTTGGCTCACTGCAACCTCCGCCTCCCTGATTCAAGCGATTCTCCTGTCTCAGCCTCCTAAGGAGCTGGGATTACAGGTGCATGTCACCACACCCGGCTAACTTTTGTATTTTTAGTAAAGACGAGGTTTCATCATATTGGTCAGGCTTGTCTCGAACTCCTGACCTCAGGTGATCCACCTGCCTTGCCCTTTCAACATGTTGGGATTACAGGTGTGAGCCAGGGAGCCCAGCCGATGCTTCTATTTTAATGTAGCACTGGAAGTATGTGGCAGAAGAATTAGTCAAAGAAATAAAAAAAAATCCATTGAAATTGAAAAACAGTAAGTAAAAAGTTGCTGTCTGTAGATCATACAATCACATATTTAAAAAACCATAAACAGTATATTAAACCCTGTCTAAACTAATAAATACAGTCAGTAAATTAGCAAAACATAAAATTAACATACATAAGTATATGTATGGTTTCATACACTTTTTTTTTTTTTTTTTTGAGTAGGAGTCTAGCTCTTTTGCCCAGCCTGAAGTGCAATGGGGTGATCTCGGCTCACTGAAACCTCTGCCTTCCAGGTTTAAGCGATTCTCCCATCTCAGCCTAACGAGTTGCTGGGATTACAGGCATGCGCCACCATGCCCAGTGAATTTTTGTAATTTCAGCAGAGACAGGGTTTCTCTATGTTGGTCAGGCTGGTCTCGAACTCCTGATCTCAGGTGATCCATGCACTTTGGTCTCCCAAAGTGCTAGGATTACAGGCGTGATCTAGTACTTTGGGAGACCACCCCCAGCTATGGTTCCATACACTTAAACTGCGCCCAGCTACAGTTTCATACACTTAAAACAAACTATCTGATAAAATAGAGAAAAAAATCTTATTTACTATAGCATTACATAATAAATTTCTGAGAAAAAAATTAACCAGGGATGTAAAAAACCTTTACAATAAAAAATAAATAAAAAAGGAAGATCCAAATAAATTTTAAAATATTTTATGTCTTTGGATTGAAAGAATAAATATTAATAAAGTGCCATATTATCCAAAGTGATCTATAGATTCAATACACTTCCTATCAAAATTGCAGTATTTTTTTCACAGTAATGGAAATTCAATTCTAAAATTTACATGAAACTAAAATAAACTTTGAATAGCCAAAACAGTCTTGAGGAAAAGGAACAAAGCAGAAGAATATCATACTTACAATTTCAATCTATATTTGAAGACTTTATAGAAATAAAAACAGAATGGACTGTGCAGAAAAATAAACAAAAAAAATGCAAGATAAACTAATACTCTCACGCATTTCAGACCTGATGCAAAAAGAGGACTTAAAAAAATAGTTTTAGTTTCTCAAAATTATGCAGATATTTGTGTGTCCCCAAAACAATGGAAAAGCAGCCAGACTGTGCAGCCTCTCATTCTCTCTTTTTTTTTTTTTTGTGAGATGGAGTCTCGCTCTGTTGCCCAGGCTGGAGTGCGATGGCATGATCTCGGCTCACTGCAACCTCCACCTCCTAGGTTCAAATGATTCTCCTGACTCAGCCTCCCAAGTAGCTGGGATTACAGGTGCCCACCACCACGCCCAGCTAATTTTTGTATTTTTAGTAGAAACGGAGTTTCACCATGTTGGTCAGGCTAATCACGAACTTCTGACCTCCCGTGATCCACCTGCCTTGGCCTCCCACTGTTCTGGGAGTACAGGGGTGAGCCACCACTCCTAGCCCGCGCAGCCTTTTACATGCCATGAAGAGGACTTTGGCTCTCACTGTGAACCTGAAGGAAGCTCACCAAAGGAGAAGTAGAATTCTTAGAGAATTTAAAAGCATAAGACAGAAGATGCCCCTTTGTGGGAGAAAAAAAAAAAAAAAAAAACAGCTGCCCAGGACCTATTTCCTTTGGAACACAGCTTCCAGAATCACATTTTAAAGACTGGTTTTCTCTTTGACATTGGGACCTTTTATCTGTGTCATCTGTTGTATTCGTTTTCACTCGTACCTACCTGGGGGTTTGGCAATCATCTCATGTCTTTCCATAGTTAAAGGTTTTTTTCCTTGCTCCAGACAGGTAACCAGGTCTGGCTTAGAGACAACAATACCTGTTTTATTAAAAATAAATAACATGAATCTTGCTCATATACTCCCATTACAAGCTAGTACTGTGCTCAGCAGAGAGGATGTGATAAAATATTCCAGTAAATCAATACCAAAATAATAATTTATAACAGAAATTTCTAAATATTTAGAAAATACTTTCAATTTGTAGGTTTCTTATTTTACTATCTGATACTACTGAATCAAAAATTAGTGGTAGCAATTAGATTTTCAGGTGGGGCAACAATATTTTATGCCACTAAATTTCTGGAGTTACCACTAATTTAGAGTGAATACAGTTTTCAGATTACTTTATGCTGTTATTTTATTCCTATTGTATTCACAAGTGAAAGCATGTGATCAATTGTTGCTGCATCAGAGATACTACAGATTCTTTTTTATTGGGCGTTATTTGTGACTTTTTCTATAAAAGAGTAAGGACATTAAAATGTAAGATGCATGATGAAAATGTAAGTGGAGAGGCTCTTTGTAGTTAACTTATACTAAGTAATGTATGAGGTAGGGGTTCATGTTCTCATTTCTCAAACTTAATGTTGATGCTTTGCTTTGTCTTTTGGATGGCCTAGCCTACATTAACATGTACGCAGAACATTTTAAAACTTTTTTTCAAAAACATAATGAATTACTTTATTAATAAACAATGATAAAAAATAAGGTGGGGGTTCAGAGAAATACTTTTCTACATTAAAGAGAAAAATTATAGTTAAAAGTATCAAATTTGTATATTATACTAATTGCATTTTTATGTAATAAAATGCAGTACATTTAAATATTATTAGATTATGTGTGAACTTAATTTTATTTAATTTTTTTTTACCATGTTAAGACTATTGTTTGCTTAATGAAGCATTATTATGCTACCAACTTTGACATATCCCACCTTACTCAAGCATGTAGGTAAAACATGGTAGCAATATACTATTTGGTACATAGTGGAATATCATGTCTAGTAATCACTTTGCCAGTGACTTTAAACTGCAAATGAGTTGAAGAACATTTTTCCCATCGGTTAAATTTTTATTCTTTGTTCTTACTGAAATTTATTCTAGTATTTGTGGGCATACAGTATATGTATATATTTATGCCTTATATGGAATATTTTGATTCAGGCCTACAATATGTAGTAATTACATCAGGGTAAATAGGGTATCCATCACCTCTAGCGTTTATCCTTTGTAGTACAAACAGTGTAATTATACACTTTTAGTTATTGTGAATGTACAATTAAATTGTTATTGATTACAGGGTTATCTTTGTGGTCATAATAAAAATTATACAGAAATATAAATAAAATATGGCCAGGCGCAGTGGCTTATGCCTGTAATTCTACCACTTTGCAAAGAATAAATTACTAACAAACATTCTACAAAAAAGAGAAATAAAATCTTCAGGGTATATTATGAATTATATATTCAAGTTGTCCTCACCAAGGAAGACCAAGTTTCTGTAGTTCTCTAACATCACATCCCTATATAAATTCCGCTGTGCAGTGTCCAGGCAATGCCACTCCTCCAGAGAGAATTCTATGGCCACATCTCTAAATTGCAATGGTCCCTGGAAAACACACACACACACATAATTACTAAATGGCATGAGAGGAATTTTTAATTTGACTTAAGGTGAAATTAGAGAGTAAAGAGAACTGGTTCTGACTCAAAGGACTGCCTAAAATTATCCAATAAAATATTTTTCAACCCAAAAATATTCTCTAATGTATCCTCTAACTCTGAGAAAAAAGAGCGGCACAAGATCCATAACATCAGTTTATATATGATATTTTTTAGATAATAGAGCATAAAATTAAGGGCATGAACATGAACATTTTTTAGTGCTATATTTGCATCATATGGAATGAGTTGTGAATATTTTTCAGATGCAAAAGATGTGTTGAGTTAGAAGGCACCTCTCAAATTTTAATATACACAATAAGCTGAAGACCTTGTTGTGCAGGGTTTTTTTTTATTCCGGAAGATCTGGCATAAAGTCTGACTTTTTGAATTTCTGACAAGCTCATCTCTAATGCGAATGTTTTTGGCCCAAGAACGGTATTTTGTCAAACATTGAGTAAATGGAAGAGCCTGTGTTTTTCCCAGTTTTTCTGGCCTGTAAACAAAGATAAGAGCCTTCATTTTCCAAAGAAAAATATGTAGCAAAAAAGAGAAGAAAGGATAGACGCCAGATTAAGTGTGATGGTTTATGCACATCAGCTGCATAAAAATACTTAATGAAGAGAGAAATAATTAACTCTATTGTAAAAAAAAATCTGTCAGAGAGCTATGTCACCAAGTGAATCATTAACCCTTAACTGCACTAGGACAAATTTTTATGATGTGCTAATTCACACAGAAGAACACAGCATCGGCCAGGCATGGTGGCTCACGCCTGTAATTTCAGCACTTTGGGAGGCCGAGATGGGTGGGTCACCTGAGGTCGGGAGTTCGAGACCAGCCTGACCAACATGGAGAAACCCCGTCTCTATTGATAATACAAAATTAGCTGGGCGTTGTGGCACATGCCTGTAATCCCAGCTACTCAGGAGGCTGAGGCAAGAGAATTGCTTGAACCTGGGAGGCAGATGTTGCAGTGAGCCAAGATTGCACCATTGCACTCCAGCCTGGGCAATGAGAGTGAAACTCTTCTTAAAAAAAAAAAAAGAAGAAGAAGAAGAACACAGCATCACTGTTGAAATATTCCTCCCAAAGAAAGTAAATAAAATCTGAATTTAACCATAAAGAAACATGTTTTATGCTAACTTCAAAATATAGATAACTCCTATGTTCTGTAACTTTTAGTAGGAATTTTAAGTAGGCTTCATTTAGCTCCCTAGAGAGCAGGTACCTTAATTTTCTTTCAGAACTTTCTGGGTAATAACTGCCATCCCTTTTAAATAAGCATTTCCCTAATCCTATTCTGCATAGAGCTAATGGAACACACAGATGGAGCCTCAACATTACATGTTCTCCATCTTTACTAAGGACCACAGTTTTCCCCAATAGAAATCTTGAGTATCCACGTCTTTCCATGTTCAACAGCCACGAAGGGAACATTTTTAATATTGCAGATTATAAAGTCTTGCTGAGAATCCTGCATGGCATATAAGAAGCTATGATGCAGCAAATGTAGAGAAGGCTCTAAGGTATAGAAAATAAATATTTTACAGAGACTCTTGACTATCATAAGAATTTTAAGAAGTACTTAAACCAAACTCATTAAAAAAAAAGCAAAAGTAGAGAAGTAAAAGTTTGTGAGTACTAAATGCATAGCATTCGAGGAGGCAGAGTGAATACAGCTCTTGATCTGAAACAGAAAAGCCACTTTTCCCTCTCTTGCTTCTCTGGAATTCCTTCTCAGACGAGATTCTCTGTACAAATTACACCCGTATCTTGATAATATGCCCTTAAAAGTGTCAGCACCACCTGTTTACCTGCTAGCATGACATCAAATGGCAGAAAGAAAAAAAACACAGAAAAAGTCCACCCTTTTCTGTCCTTTAAAACAGAAGAGATTCAGGAACAATGAGCTGCTTCATGAAGATAAAAATATAAGTTTCTCCTTTCCTGTCCTCAGGTGCCCTCCCCTGCCACAGACACCAGCAATTTTTGCTACAGTAATGGAAATATGTGCCACACTGACCTATCCCTACCAAACCCAAACAGAACAGGCCCTGTGACCACCCTTTAGTGCAAAGGTGGAACTTAACTCTCATGAATGAGAGCACTGCCTGTAAAGTTTTAATGAGCTTATAAATCACTTGATAATTTTGACTCCACTTTATGTAATATGATTCTGCAGGTTTGAAAAGGGTCCATAAATGGGTGTTTTAAACAAGTTCTCTGTCAATGCTGATGTTGCTCCCCCTGGGCTCATTGTTAGCATTAGTTAGAGAAGCAGGCACAGCACAGGGTCGCTTACACTCAGCACTCTTGTCACAACCAAATACTTCTGGTACAAATAAAGACAACCCAACTCCATCCTAAAGTTTTATATTCTTTGCTGGCTCTTTAAAGTTTACAGAAGAAACAGAAAGCAGCAATGTCTGAATAAGTCTATATTTAAAAAACAACATGTACACATGTACTAATGCAATGTTTATTAATGAGGTACAATGTGCTCAAGAATATGATACAGAGCACTGTGCTGGGCATAACACATTATGTGATTTAGTTCTCATAATACCCTGGAAGCTGGTACTAAGGGTTTAATAATTTCCAGGATTTAGATAAAGGGCCCAGCATTTTTATTTCTTCCTCTGTTTCTCCATCATCAACTTTTTAAAAAAATTACATAGAATAAAAGCTAAATGTAGACAGATTTCAAGATAAAGAAAGAAAGAGTTTAATGGCTGGGCGCGGTGGCTCACGCCTGTAATTCCAGCACTTTGGGAGGCCGAGGCGGGCGGATCACGAGGTCAGGAGATCGAGACCATCCTGGCTAACACGGTGAAACCCCGTCTCTACTAAAAATACAAAAAATTAGCCGGGCGTGGTGGTGGGTGCCCGTAGTTCCAGCTACTTGGGAGGCTGAGGCAGGAGAATGGCGTGAACCCAGGAGGCAGAGCTTGCAGTGAGCCGAGATCCACCACTGCACTCCAGCCTGGGCGACAGAGAGACACTCCATCTCAAAAAAGAAAGAAAGAAAGAAAGAGTTTAATGTAGTTTAGAGAAAATTTTATTCTGTTTATATTTACTTCTTTTTTTGTGACTTGAGGAGCAACTACTGGATCTGCAGGAATAGAAACCAAGTTGCTAAATAGAATGTCTCTGTTAGCACTGGATTCATAGAAAACTTAAAAACTAACACCCTCTAATACATACTTTGTTTTTCTGATTTATCTGCTTTTGAGTTTCAGTAAATTCTAAGCACCAGCTCTAGAAAGGCAGCAGGATTCACCAGCCAAAACTCTGATCTCTTCTGATCAGTTCTGTGAGGCAAGACTCCAGGATAGAGGCAGACCTAAATAAGGCCTCCAAAAAGGGTGAATCTTAACAGACCTAGGATAGGGTGAGAACCCTATGTAGAATTCTGTTCTCTATGCCACTAGGGTACTTCCAGTTTTGTTTTTTCTAAGCTTATCTAAAAGAAACTTAAATCTCAGAGTTTCTGTAATTTGTTTGTTTGTTTGTTTGAGATGGAGTCTCTCTGTCGCCCAGGCTGGAGTGCAGTGGCGCGATCTCGGCTAACTGCAAACTCCGCCTCCCGGGTTCACGCCATTCTCCTGCCTCAGCCTCCCAAGTAGCTGGGACTACAGGCGCCCACCACCACGCCCGGCTAATTTTTTTGTATTTTTAGTAGAGACGGGGTTTCACCGTGTTAGCCAGGATGGTCTCGATCTCCTGACCTCGTGATCCACCTGCCTCGGCCTCCCAAAGTGCTGGGATTACAGGCGTGAGCCACTGCGCCCGGCCTGTTTCTGTAATTTTTATATTTTCTAGCCACCGCCCTGTCAACTTTATACTATACACTACTATGCAATTTAAACAAATCCCCAAAGGTTTTCTAGGGTAATTTTTATTTTCTTTTTGGAGCTCTGTCGCCCAGGCTGGAGCGCACTGGCATGATCTTGGCTCACTGCAACCTCCGCCTCCTAGGTTCAAGCTGTTCTTTTGACTCATCCTCCCGAGTAGCTGAAACTACAAGCGTGTGCCGCCATGCCTAGCTAATTTTTGTATTTTTAGTAAAGACAGCGTTTCACCATAATGGCCAGTCTGGTTTGGAACGCCTGACCTTGTGATCTGCCCGCTTCGGCCTCCCAAAGTGCTAAAATTACAGGTGTGAGGCACTGCACCAGGCCTTCCTAGGCTAATTTTATTAGAAAATAAATATGTGGCTGGGCGCGGTGGCTCCTGCCTGTAATCCCAGCACTTTGGGAGGCCGAGGCGGGCAGACCACCTGAGGTCAGGAGTTAAAGACCAGCCTGACCATCATGGTGAAACCCTATCTCTACTAAAAATACAAAAAATTAGCTGGGCATGGTGGTGGGCACCTGTAATCCCGGACACTCTGGAGGCTGAGACAGGAGTATCACTTGAACCCGGGAGGCCGAGGTTTCAGTTAGCTGAGATCCCGCCATTGCACTCCATCCTGGGCGACAGAGACTCTATCTCAAAAAACCAAAAATTAATTATAATAACAATTCTTCTGTTCATGAATATCCCTACAGGTGTAGACATCACAAGTCACAACAATATAAAGAAAGTGGTCTAAATAAAGCCCAAGATTTTGGACACATCTATTTATTGCACCAACCATATGACACATAATTCAATTATTTATCCAGTAGCTAATCTAGACTAAAAGTTTCTGGATTGTAGGAACCATGACTGCTTCATTTTTTTTAATGGTTATATGAGATGTAAGGAAATACTTTATCTATTTGGGTCTCCAGATCTCATCCTTGTTTCATTCAAGCACCAGAAACTGGAGAAACTCTCATCTTGGTACCAACCAAAGAAACCTCTTGTATGAGAGGATGAACAAACACAGGATGACTCATTTCTCTTACACTGAGACAGAAGCAGAATTAACCACACTTTTCAGCCTGACACAATTCTGCTCTGGACATCCTCAAATACCTCAAATACACCTAGGAGACTGTGAGAGAATTCCCAGTGTCCCAGGGCTGATGGCCCAATGATAAGCCAGGCTGGAGAGACTCGGGCTGATTCTAAATAAAAAACAGAACTGCACTGGTGGAGCTCCAGAACCTGGATCACCTGTTCTGATTTGCTAGCTCTTTGGGTAAGAGAAAGAACAAAAATACTCTACTCCAGTATCCCATTTTACAGGTAAATATAGTTGTGGTCATGGCTCTGGATACTTTGTGGCCTTGATCTCTCACTCCTAAGATGCTTATTTACACTTACAGATTCTGCCATCAGATTCTATTTCTTCCTAGAGCCTCTGACATAACTGTAGCAGGTCAATGAACAAGATGTGAAAAATCTCACAGAGCCACATTCCCAAATGGGGGCTGTAGGATGTCTATGCTGACATCTCACAATACAGAAAATGCCTTTTGTTAGTTTTCTGTACGTTCACAATCCAAAGTCCGGCCCTTTTTTGTAAATCTGTGGTAGAGGCCAGAACTTATCTGCAGATTCTAGGTAGGATCCACCTGGCTCTGCATCCTTTGGTGTTACAGCAAGTGGAATACAATCAAAGAAAAGATCCCCTCATAGAGGCTGCTCTAGCACATTCTAAATGGTAAGTCTACATGAAAGAAAAAAAAGCTGACACAACATGAATATAAGTAGACAGTTTATTTGGGTCAAGCTTAAGGATTATAACCTGGGAGCAAAGATTCAAGTTGCCTGGAATCTACACTTTGATTAGCAGCAGTTATAAGAGGATTGGTAAAGACAACAAAACAGGGACACAGTGGGCTGATACAAAGTTGTCAGATATTTTTATTTATTAACAGAAATAAACTTGATTATATATATATATATATAATAATATATATATATATATATAGTTATGGTTTAGGGTATGGGATATAGTGTCCAATGTGGCACTATTAGCTTAATTTATAGCTACCTGTGACAATAGTGAACAGTTTCAAGAGATGAATACATAGTTCAAAGGGAGGAGAAATACATAACTGCACTTTATTTTCAACGTCTCTCTGAGTTTGATAATCAAAAGGACTTACATTTGTCAGATAAAAGTTTTTTATTTCCCAAATCTCAAAAACTTGGATTCAAAATGTGGAGCTGCAGATTTAGGACCTGAATGGCTGGAGTAGCAGCAGGTGTTACCTGCACATTTGTAAGGATTTTAGCAAAAAGACAAAGGGGAAAGTGGAGATTCTTGTCTACACATCTATTCAATGCACACGTTACTCTGATTCGGTCTGTGAGCTCCATGATGTCTGAATCAGTTTCAGGTCTGAAGATGCAAGAGTCATTCTAAGAGAGATAAAACGATTGATCACTGCCCAGTGAAGTTGGTAGAAATGTGATCTAGCCTCTCTAGAAGTGACTGTAGAGGACTATAGATGCCAAAAAGGCAGAGACACAATTCTGCCTGCATATTTAGGGGACAGCATGCACTTTGCTGCACAACTCTGAGCTGACTGGAAGCCAGAGAGGGAAAGTCCCCTCTAGAGTAAATTTTGGATGGCACTTTATGTGTTTGTATCATGTCTGGTAATTCTAGACAGTGTTTGGAAACAATAATTAAAAGAAAAATTTCCTCCAGCCCCAGAAAATCTTCACAATAAGACAAAAGAAAGAAAATGGTTTTATTACACAATTGAACTTGAATGTGATATGCATCATCGTCAATCTGCTTAAGAGGCTCCAAAGACAGAAAGATGGTCACCATAATTAGTCTACAATTAGAAGAATTTCCAGCACCATGTCATACATAGTTCATCCTAAATTCACCTGGAGATTGAAGAGGCCATCTGTGTATGTTAATTGCTTATATTCAATGACAAACTTTTCACATCTTCATAACAGGATGTAGTTTAGCAGCTTGAAGCCAGGTGTCTGCTGAAGGCAGGATTTCACTCTGCTACAAAAATGGCTGAGTAGCATTCTATCTTTTTGGCTATTTACATTTTAAAGCAGTGGCTCTGTACTCCCTGGCACTGGGCTACAGCACTCCTGCTTGCTTTCTCCTGAATGCTAGTGTCCTTCCTCTCTTGACCTCTACCATCTGCCACTGAGGCACAGTTCAGAGCACAGCTCACATTTTATATGAACCCCATTTGCCACAGCAGCACTCCAGTGTCACATCAGAGTGAGGCCTGAGCTGCAGGAGGAGAGCCTGCAGGCCTCATGGGTAGAATTGCACCTTCACAATCATGGGAATGTGAGCAGTGTTTCAGCCTCAGTTTCTACTTGTAATGGTGACAAGGAAAAAATACTGCTGAATTTCCAGCATGAGTCCAGATAGAGATAGCTCCAAAAGTTCTCACTGTGAGAGTCCACCTCATTTGGACACCATAGGATAGTAATAGGGCTTCTGAAACAGACATCCAAAGCATTGGAGAGAAAAACAGATCTCCATCTGAGCCAGATTATTTTGAGAGAAAAATGTAAAAAAGATCTTTTAAAAAAGCTCAGGTTAGATATCAGATTGATCAAATGAGCCAGAAAATGTTCCCCTAAAAGCAATTTCTCTCTAACCACCCAAAGTACACAGCTGCTCTCATCATGAGAAACATGAGCATTACGAAGAAAGAGGGCAGATTTTCAGAAGAATTTTATAAAGTTTCTTTTCCATCTCTGCTGCTCTCTCATCTCCTAGCCACTGAATGGGGGTTCTATATTGAAATACATCTGACAACTTCCAACAACACTTTAAGATGAAGAAATAGAATTTGACTGTGTTCATATAGTGGAATATGTTACAACTTGCAACACAGCTAACTGAATAGCTATTATGGTGTTTGGGTGGCCACATCACCTGTCTTTATTTTTCCTGTAATAGCAGCATTCCAACTTAGTGAAATAAAAGATAATAAAATTGTGTTTACTCATAATTATTCCTATTGAGTAAAGTAATAAACATGTCAGACTAATATCTACTCTAACAATTTGGTAGTAAATTTTCTTTGGACATTAGATATAAATATCTAACTATGAATAATTTTAATGAACAGGTCATAATATATGTAGCTTTTTTTTTTTTTTTTGAGACACAATCTCATTCTGTCACCCAGGCTGGAGTGAAATGGTGCAATCTCAGCTCACTGCAACTTCTGCCTCCCAGGAACAAGCGATTCTCCTGCCTCAGCCTGCCAAGTAGCTGGGATTACAGGCGCGTGCCACCACACCCAGCTAATTTTTTATTTTTAGTAGAGATGGGGTTACACCATGTCAGGCTGGTGTCGAACTCCTGACCTCAGGTAATTAACCTGCCTCAGCCTCTCAAAGTGTTGGAATTACAGGTGTGAGCCACTGCACTCGGCAATGTATGTAGTATTTTTAAAAACTGCAACTATACTTCAGTTAAAACACTTTATATTTCAAAAGTATAAATAACAATATTAAAATAACCATTTAAGTGAATCATTCAAAGTAAGTATTGTGGCTTTATGTTCATACTATTGTAGAAAATATTGTTTTTGGCTCACACCGGTAATACCAGCACTTTTGGAGGCTGAAGCAGGTGCATCACCTGAGGTCAGGAGTTCGAGACCAGTCTGACCAACATGGTGAAATCCTGTCTCTACTAAAAATACAAAAAAGTAGCCGGACATGGTGGTGCATGCCTGTATTCCCAGCCACTCGGGAGGCTGAGGCAGGAGAATTACTTGAAACCAGAAGGCAGTGATTGCAGTGAGCCAAGATTACACCACTGCACTCCAGCCTGGGCAACAGAGTAAGACTGTTTTTTAAAAAAAAAAAAAAAAAAAAAAAAAAAGGCCAGGCATGGTGGCTCATGCCTGTAATCCCATCACTTCGGGAGGCTGAGGCAGGCAGATCACCTGAGGTCAGGAGTTCAAGACCAGCCTGATCAACATGGAAAAACCGCATCTCTATTAAAAATACAAAATGAGCTGGGCCTGGTGGTGCATGCCTGTAATCCCAGCTACTGGGAGCTGAGACAGGAAAATTGCTTGAACCTGGGAGGCAGAGTTTGCCTGAGCCGAGATCAAACCATTGCACACCATCCTGGACAACAAGAGCAAAACACCTCGAAAAAAAAAATGTTTAATTTATATTAATGCAGTTTGCCTACAAACCCTACACATAACTATCCTAATTGTTCTGAAGTAATAAATAGAAAGCAAGATACAACTACAGACTCCACTGTTTATGCACTGTTCTTGCTTTTGCAGTATAAGTACTTCAGCCTGCAAATATTGGATAATTACCTTGGATAATCAGGTTTCTGTAAAAGAAACTTAATACCTTTTAGTCTTTAGCATTCTGCATTGCTAAATTTAATCCTATCTTTCTGCTAAGCTTCTGTGTGCTCTTAAAATGAGCTTTTATCTAAACAAATCTGTGTCTAATTTAAAGGACTAAAAATGAAAAAAATAAACTTTTCAGAAGCAAAAATAAAGCAATAATTCTGAAGTACTACATAAAGATAATCTGGACCCGAGAAAATGACAAAGGGTTTATTTAGCTGTTCATATGATTTACATGTATTTCAAAAAAAGCAGAGAAAAGCATCTACATATAACCTAAATTCCTTAAGAAAAGAGAGAATATCAAAATATTTTTTAAGCTTTTTATTTATTTATTATACTTTAAAGTTCTGGGGTACATGTGCATAACGTGCAGGTTTGTTACATAGGTATACACGTGCCATGAAGGTTTGCTGCACCCATCAAACCATTATTTACACTAGGTATTTCTCCTAATGCTGTCCCTCCCCTAGCCCCCCAATCCCCTTTTTTGGAACTTTTTAAAGAGTTTTTGAACTCTTGGACATCAGAATTTTACACACTGTATGCACTTGAAAAAATGCTTATGGGGGAAAAAGCAGAAGAGAGAAAGATATTATAAAAAAAAGTTCATGAGTGCACAAGACCAATGCAACAGAATAGAGAGCCCAGAAATAATGCCACCCTCCTACCATCATCAGATTTTTGGCAAAGCTGATAAGAGAAATGTGGAAAGAATTCTCCATTTAATAAATGGTGCTGGAATAACTAGCTAGCACTATGTAGAAGACTGAAAGTGGACCCCTTCATTACACAATATACAAAATCAACTCAAGATTAATTAAAGACTTAAATGAAAAACTTAAAATTGTAAGAAACCTTGCAAGATAACCTAGGAAGTACCATTCTAGACACAGAAACTGGCAAACACTTCATGATGAAGCTACCAAAAGCAATTGCAACAAAAGCAAAAATTGACAATGGGACCTATTTGAACTAAAGAGCTTCTTCACAGCAAAGGAAACTATTAACAGAGTAAACAGACAACCTACAGAATAAAAAAAATTTGCAAACTTTGCCTCTGACAAAAGTCTAATATCCAGAATTTATTAAGAACTTAAACAAGTTTACAAGAAAAAAAAAATCTCATTAAAAAATAGGCCAAAAAAACATGAATAGATGCTTTTCAAAAGAACATATACATGTGGCTAGCAAGCATATGAAAAAAAAAAAGCTCATCACTAATCATTAGAGAAATTAAGAGAAACCACAATGAGATACCACATCACACCAGTCAGAATGGCTATTTTTAAAAAGTCAAAAAATAACAGATGCTGGCAAGGTTGCAGAGAAAAGGGAATGCTTATACTCTACCTCATAATTGGGTATATACCCAAAGAAATATAAATTATTGTATTATAAAGATACATTCATATGTATGTTCATTGCAGCACTATTCACAATAGCAAAGACATGGACAGGCCCTATCAGTGGTAGACTGGATAAAGAAAACACGGTATGGTCAGATGCGGTGGCTCATGCCTGTAATCCCAGCACTCTGGGAGGCTGAGGCAGGTGGATTGCCTGAGCTTAGAAGTTTAAGACCAACCTGGGCAACATTGCAAAATCCTGTCTCCACAGAAAATACAAAGAGAAAAATTGGCCAGGCGTGGTAACACCAGCGTGTAGATCAAGCTACGTGAAAGGATGAGGTAGGAGAGAATTGCTTGAGCCAGGGAGGTTGAGGCTAAATAAGGCTGCATCACTCCACAGCACTCTAGCCTGGGCAATAAGTGACACTCTGTCTCCAAAAATAAAATAAAATAAAAGATTTAGTAAAAACAAAATATGGTACATAAATATCATGGAATACTCTCTGGCCATTTAAAAATAAATGATCATGTCCTTTGCAATAACATCAATAAAGCTGTAGACCATTATTTCAGAAAACTAATGCAGAAACAGAAAACCAGACATTCGCCATCACACCCAGCTAATTTTTGTACTTTTAGTAGAGATGGGGTTTCCCCATTTTGGCCAGGCTGGTCTTCAACTCCTGACCTCAAGTGATCCATCCACCTCGACCTCCTGAAGTGTTGTTATTACAGGCGTGAGCCACCGCGCCCGGCCCCATAAATTTTTAATAGGAGAAAAGGGAAACTGTGAACCCTGACAGATATAATAGATTCCTCTTCAAGGGCCTAACTTTCTTGTTCCTTGTTCTTAGGACCAACTTTTTTGTACCTCTTTGTACCTAGACACCCGCTCCGTAAACAACCCAAACCGCCTGTTCCAATCTGCGACCCGAACCCCTTCCTTATTTGGAAAGTAGCCAATCGGGTCAGCCTAGATTGTGAGGTCAGACCCCGGCCAATGGGGGAAGGACACAGAGGCAATAACGGCGTTTAGGGTTAAAAACCCCTTTCAAACTGGGAGGCCGAGGCGGGCGGATCAACTGAGTTCGGGAGTTCAAAACCAGCCTGACCAACATGGTGAAACGGCATGTCTACTAAAAATACAAAATCAGCCGGGTGTGGTGACGCATGCCTGTAACCCCAGCTACTCGGGAGGCTGAGGCAGGAGAATCACTTGAACCCGGGAGACGGAGGTTGCAGTGAGCCGAGATCGCGCCATTGTACTTTAGCCTGGGCCACAAGAGCAAAACTCCGCCTCAAAAAAAAAAAAAACCTTCCTTCCTTTCTTCTGTGTGCTCTTGCGATCAGGTCGGACGCGAGCAGCACTCTTCTTCAGAAGTAAATATGCCTTCCTGTGAAATTTTCTAAGTGCTGGGTAGTTTTTTGTTTTGTGTTGTTTTGCGGCACCAAGCGCTTGTTTCTAACAACCTCACGGACCAAAGCTCTTCCCATTCATGAACCCGCAGGGAACCGAGTCAGGATTCTCCCCTGACGACCCTCCCGTGGTCCTTGCATGATCTGGGAGAGACGCGGTGCTGCGGGTGCAGAGCTGCTGAAAGAGGGCTCCAGGCCAGGGCACAATCACTGTGCCGGGCCCCGGATGTCACCGCAGCCGCCATCTTATGGCTGAAGGGGACTGAGGCCGAGCTGGGCAGGGAGAACTCCGGCGGCAGATTGTGGAGCTGACTGTGAGGAAGCAGAGTCCCGCCAGAGCCACTTCCCACCGTTCCAAACAGCCTCTCCCCTCTCTCGGGACGTTGGACCCGGCACTCACCATTTCTAGGCTTCCAGGGGTCCCGGGGTTTAGCTGTGGCTCTCCCAATACTTGCAGGTCACACGGCCACAGAGGACGGGCCTCTATAAGCACAGGACACAGAACACTGAGGATAAACCTGGAGCTCCCGCTGCAGCGAGAAACAAAGGCCCCCAGAAACCATGTGGTTCGCTCCAGCTGCGTGCCTGATTGGACGGTTTCCGGCCCAGCGTCCCTCATTGGATAATGCCTAAGGCCCCGCCTCCCCAGCCGCTGAGTGACAGATGTGATCAGATACTGGGCTGAGTGAAGAAAGAGTGACAGCCTAGGCTGCAGCCTTTTCTTTCTTTCTTTCTTTCTTTCTTTCTTTCTTTCTTTCTTTCTTTCTTTCTTTCTTTCTTTCTTTCTTTCTTTCTTTCTTTCTTTCTTTCTTTCTTTCTTTCTTTCTTTCCTTTCTTTCTTTCTTTCTTTTTCTTTCTTTCTTTCTTTCTTTCTTTTCTTTCTTTTTTCCCCCCACCGAGACGGAGTTTCCCTCTTGTTGCCCAGGCTAGAGTGCAATGGCACGATGTTGGCTCACCGCAACCTGCACCTCCCGGGTTCAAGCGATTCTCCTACCTCAGCCTCCCATGTAGCTGGGATTACAGGCATGCCTCACCACGCCCGTCTAATTTTTTGTACTTTTAGTAGAGACAGGGTTTCTCCGTGTTGGTCAGGCTGGTCTCGAGCTCCCGATCTCAGGTGATCCGCCCGCCTCGGCCTCCCAAAGTGCTGGGATTACAAGCGTGAGCCACCGCGCCTAGCCTAGCTGGAGCCTTTTCAAACGGCTTCCTCCCTGAGCTGAGCATCCCATCCCAGAGCATGGGAAAATTCTATCTCATATTCTCTCTCTTTTTGAATGTATTCAAAAGGTGAACAGAAGTACTTTGCTGTCATATTAATAATACATGAAATGTTTGTTCAAGAGAAAGTCAACTTTTACTTTGGTAATAGTGTATTATCAATACTAAAGCTAATTTTAATAAGACCTTGTAAAGCCAGGTGCGGTGGCTCAGGCCTGTAATCCCAGTACTTTGGGAGGCTGAGGAGGGCAGATCACTGGGTCAGGAAATCGAGACCATCCTGGCTAACACGGTGAAACTCTGTCTCTACTAAAAATACAAAAAATTACCCGGGCGTGGTGGCATGCACCTGTGGTCCCAGCTACTCAGGAGGCTGAGGCAGGAGAATGGCTTGAACCCAGGAGGCAGAGGTTGCGGTGAGCCAAGATCGCACCACTGCACTCAAGCCTGGGTGACAAAGTGAGACTGCGTCTCCAAAAATGAATAAATACATAAATAAAACCTTGTAAATAAACAAAATTTGTCATTTTTGACCTCTCGAGATTTACATATATAATTTGTAATCTCCTGTAATTTTTTAACTATATTTTATTTATATCTACATTCTTTTTATTTTTTCAGTTTGAAACAACCTTTAAGTAATTTCAAACTGTTATAGGAGATAGAAAGAAATCATTTAGGGACAGGTGCGTTGGCTCACGCCTGTAATCCCAGCACTTTGGGAAGCCAAGGTGAGTGGAATACTTGAGGTCAGGAGTTAAAGACCAGCCTGGCCAACACAGTGAAACCCCATCTCTACTAAAAATACAAAAAATTAGGCGGGCGCGGTGGCGGGCGCGGTGGCGGGCGCCTGTAGTCCCAGCTACTCGGGAGGCTGAGGCAGGAGAATGGCGTGAACCCGGGAGGTGGAGCTTGCAGTGAGCCGAGATTGCGCCACTGCAGTCCAGCCTGGGCGATAGAGCGAGGCTCCGTCTCAAAAAAAAAAAAAAAAAAAAAAAATTAGCCTGGCGTGCTGGTGCACATCTGTAGTCCCAGCTACCACGGAGGCTGAGGCAGGAGAATCGCTTGAACCCAGGAGGCGGAGGTTGTGTAAGGCCCAAGGGGTTCACCTGGCCCTTTGCCTAGACAGAGATGATTCATCAAGACAGGGGAATTTGTGGAGGAAAAGTTAAATATTAAATTTGAACTCAATTAAACGTGGACACAAACAATTGTCACGAAGTCCTGGAACAGGTTGTGTGAGCCTTCTGAGTTGTTCATTCAGAGCTGTTTCAGTGATATCTCTATTTCAATCTATTTCTATACATTAGTTATTGAAAAACAATAGACAATCACAAAAGCAAGTTGACCTTTTTGTGTTCCTTGTGCCCAGTTGCGGAAGGCCCTCGTGACTGGACCTCCTGCCAAACAACTCGTTACAAAAAACTGAGGGTACCAGACTGCGCCAAAGCTTCATGAGACCTGTCCTCATCTGTGCAGAAATGAGTGGCCGACTCTGGAACCCAGGCTGTTGCTTACCACCTTGGTGGTGAAACCTCCATACTCTAGTGAGTGTAAATATATATATATATATATATATATATATCTTTTCCTTTCTCCTCTTCCCATTGCAATTTGCTTATTATATCAATGTGGTTCTTATATCAATATGCTTGTTATATTGATCTGTTTATTATATCATTTGCTTATTATATCTGCATTGCCACTTACGTGGAATAAACTTGTTTACCATTAAAGGTGTTGTGTGTGTGTCTTTCCTTCTCCCCTCATGTGTTTCCCACCCGAATATTTTTGGTGTCACAAACAGGATTCGAAAACCAAAGTGTGCCACTTTTTGGCCACAAGGACGGGGCTAGAGGCTCGTGGACTTCCCATATCCAGAGATGGGAAATCCCCCACTTCTCCCCCTTGGCAGTTGAATGGTCCAGGGGAACTGGCCTTTGTGAGAATTGGGAATCTAAATTAGTGCAATTTAAACTTTTGACTGTGCATGAAGGGCTGCAGGGGATTCCAGTCAGCAAAGCAGATGCTGAGGGATCTCCCAGAGTGGATGGTGTTTGCTTACTGCTTATAGGTTAATGTGTCAAGATAGGAGCTGGTTGCATCCTATGGAATGGGAGGAAATAGTCCATTTTATCAAAGGCTAAGGCTAAAATACTAGAATTTGAAATCCCTGCTGCTAAAAAGGAGGCTCAGAAATGTATTGTCTTGTTTGGATTCTGGAGACATCATATTCCCCACTTGGGTAACATTTTACAACCTCTGCATGCAGCCACTAGAAAACACTATGACTTTCACTGGGGAAAGAAGGAGAGCATGGCTTCTGAACAAGCTAAACAAGTGGTGCTGCTGGCCCTGGATCTATGCTCCATACGGGATGGGCCAGTAGAACTGCAAGTAACTGTCCTAGATCAACATGCTAATTGGAGCGTTAGGCAGAAACAAGATGGGAAGAGGTACATTTCAGGTTTTGGACCCAGAAACTGTCATAGGCCGGCAAAGCTTATACCTCTTTCTAGAAGCAATTGTTAGCTTCCTATAGGGCTTTGCTGGAAACAGAACACCTCTGCTTCAACCATGATGTCTTTATGAGGCCTGAAATTCCTATTATGACTTGGGTCATGAGTTCCCCCAAAACTCACCAGATGGGGCATGACAAGGGGGAGAACTGGGATATAGGAAGTCCTTGAGTTTCCAGCCCTGGGATCCAGAGTCAGACACCACACTCCCCAGACTGTGGAGGATTCACCACCAGACCAGGAAGCCACAGCCTGGGCTTCAGAGTCGGCCACTCGTCCACGCACAGACGAGGAGAGGTCTCATGAAACTTCGGCGCCATCTGGGATCCCAGCTCTTTTATTTGGCATAAAGCCCAGTCACGAGGGCCCTTAGTGACTGGGCTCAAGGAACACAAAAAGGTCAACTTGTTTTTGTGATTGTCTATCGTTTTTCAATAAGTAAAGTATAGGAATAGATGGAAATAGAGATTTCTCCAAAACAGCACTGGATGAATGCATCAAAGGTCTCACACAACCTCTTCCTGGACTTGGTGATCATTGTTTGTGTCCACGTTCAATTGAGTTCAAATTTAATATTTAACTTTTCCTCCACAAATTCCCCTGTCTTGATGAATCAGCTCTGTCTAGGCAAAGGGCAAGGTGAACCCCTTGGGCCTTACACAACCTCTGCCTCCTGGGTTCAAGCGATTCTTCTGCCTCGGCCTCTGTAGTAGCTGGGACCACAGGTGTGCACCAGCATGCCCGGCTAAATTTTTGTATTTTTAGTAGAGATGGGGTTTCACCATATTGGCCAGGCTGGTCTTTAACTCCTGACCTCAAGTAGTCTGCCCACCTTGGC
This sequence comes from Homo sapiens, assembly GCF_000001405.40. Lineage (NCBI taxonomy): Eukaryota > Metazoa > Chordata > Mammalia > Primates > Hominidae > Homo > Homo sapiens. Next base: position 19,861,824 of record NC_000019.10, on the reverse strand, counting down.
CTCTCAAAGTGCTGGGATTAGAGGCGTGAGCCACAGTCCCTGTCCCTAAATGCTTTCTATCTCCTATAGCAGTTTGAAATTACTTAAAGGTTGTTTCAAATTGAAAAAATAAAAGGAATGTAGATATAAGTAAAATATAAATAGTTTAAAAATTACAAGAGATTACAAAATATATATGCAAATCTCGAAAGGTCAAAAATGACAAATTTGATTTGTTTATAAGGTTTTATTAAAATTAGCTTTAGTATTGATAATACACTATTACCAAAGTAAAAGTTGATTTTCTCTTGAACAAAAATTTTACGTATTATTAATATAACAGCAAAGTACTTCCGTTCACCTTTCGAATACATTCAAAAAGAGAGAGCAAAAAAGAGATAGAATTTTCCCATGCTCTGGGGTGGGCCTGGCTCAGCTCTGGGAGAAAGCCCTGCCTGAAAAAGATGCAGCTTAGGCTGTGACTCTTTCATTGCTCAGCGCAGCATCTTATCACATCTTCTCTCACTAGGTCCTGAAGGGGCGAGGCCTTAAGCATTATCCAATCAGGGACACTGGGCTGGAAACCGTCCAATCAGACACCCAGCTGGAGCGAACAGGTCGACTTCCGAGTTTGGCGGGGCCTTTGTCTCTCACTGCACCTGGAGCTCCAGGTCTCATCTTCACTACTCTGTGTCCTCTGCTGCTGGAGGCCCAGCCCTGTGACCTGACGGTTTTGGGAGATCCACAGCTAAGACGCCAGGACCTCCTGGAAGCCTAGAAATGGTGAGTGCCGTCGGACATCACGAGAGCAGGGGAGGAACTGGTTGGAACCGGTGGGAAGTGGCTGTGGCGGGACTCAGGCCTCCCCGCAGTCAGCTCCGCAATCTGCGCCCCAAGTTCTCCTTGCCCAGCTCGGCCTCAGTCCCTTTCAGCCGTAAGATGGAGGCTGCGCTCACACCCGGGCCCCCCGGCGTCCTGTCTCTTCCCCTCGCAGTGACTGTGCCCTGGCCTGGAGCCCTCTCCGGGCAGCTCTGCACCCACAGCGCCACGTGTCTCCCAGATCGTGCAGGGACCACGGGAGGGTCCTCAGGGGAGAATCCTGACTCAGGATGCAAGTTCATGAATGGGAAGAGCTTTGGTGCTTGGTCTTCACAGTTTCCCTTTTCTCCTATTAAAAATGTATGGGCCCTTGCGCGGTGGCTCACGCCTGGAATCCTAGCACTTTGGGAGGCCGAGGCGGGCGGATCACTTGAGGTCAGGAGTTGAAGACGAGCCTGGTCAAAATGAGGAAACCCCATCTCTACTAAAAATACAAAAATTAGCTGGGTGTGATGGCGAATGTCTGTAATCCCAGCTACTTGGAAGGCAGAGGTGACAGAATCGCTTGAACCCAAGAGGCAGAGGTTGCAGGGGCTGATATCTTACCACTGCACTCCAGCCTGGGCGACAGAGCAAAACTCTGTCTAAAAAAAAAAAATATGAGAGTCGCCGCAAAAATATCAAATAATTTAATTAAAGAGTGATTCAAGAATTGTTGAGCACCCAGCTATAGTTTGTACTTTATGGTCCATGGTAGGGGCTTGAAGGAAAGACATTTATAAGGTGCATGATGAAGAAAACCATATTCAATCGTTGGTTAGGTATAGTTACGTAGTTTCTTATTTTGTACAATCGAGGTGGAAATGTCCTAGTTATGATTCAGAGCTTAATTGGCAGTTTATAGTTGTGTAAGCTTGAATTTTATTTCCCTTAATATAGTAATTTAACAAAAAGTGCAATTAATTATTTTCACACCTCACAGGGAACTGATTTTTCCCTGGCATTTTTCACATGTGTCCCAAGCAGGGCCTCAAGTGTACCCCATGTTCCTCAATTAATCATTCTTTAAAAAGCATGGCATAACACTATTGAAAATATTTGTTTTCTGTTTGTAAATATTTCCCAGGAGAAGAAAGCAAAGAATAATCCCCTGACACTGTATTGTAAAAAATATTTGTGTCTTTTTCTTTTTTCTTTTTTTTGTTTTGCTTTTTGAGACAGAGTTTTCGCTCTGTTGCCAGACTGGAGTGAGGTCCTACAGTTGTGCAGCCGCGCGATCTGGGCTCACTGCAACCTCCACCTCCCGGGTTCAAGCAATTATCCTGCCTCAGCCTCCTGAGTAGCTGGAACTACAGTCATGTGCCACCATGCCCAGCTAGAGAGGTTTCACCATGTTGGCCAGGATGGCCTGGATCTCTTGACCTCGTGATCCGCCCGCCTCTGCGTTCCAAAGTGCTGGGATTACAGGTGTGAGCCACCGTGTCTGGCGCCTCTTTTTCTTTTATTTTTCCAGAGAACTTACCGGAATGTTTTTGGGTCAAGATTACCCTTTGGAAACTTTGTAGGATGATGTGTCCTCAGCCAACCTTCAGTTTTTTTCTGGTCCTGGGTTTTAGTACTTTCTGGGAATAAACCAACATACCCACTATGGCTATGTCTGCTAGAGTGTCTAGTGACTATTATCTCTTGGGTCATTTTCTCCCATAGGACCACCTGAAGCATGGAGTGTAGACTTTCAAGGGAGCAGGTGGCAGCCTTGGGGCTGAAAGGCATCTTCTGGTGCACTTTTTTTTTTTTGAAAAGCTAACCCCTTGAGACATGAAGATTGTCTTCACTCAACCTGGCTTTCATTTCTAGGAGACACATTGCTGGTCAGTCAATCAGATGCTGGTATTGAGGGGAAAACAAATAATTTCTGTCTTCTGGATTATCTTGTGGGAGGGGCAGAAAAATAGTGAAAAAACACTCCAAAAGACAAAAAACTGACCCCAGTGAGATGGCATAAATAACTTACAAAGTAAAATGCACCTGGGGCACTCACTGGGGCATAGTGCAGTGTCTCCTGGGAGGGTGGTTATTGCGCATGTAAGTGAACAGGATGGGGTGGGTGATTGGATCTGTACCTTGAAAAGATTTGTTTACTTATTTTGACCTCAGTTTTTTTTTAGACAGTCTCCCTCTGTTGCATAGGCTGGAATGCAGTGGCTTGATCTCAGCTCACTGCAACCTCTACCTCCTGGGTTCAAGTGATTCTCCTGCCTCAGCCTCCCGTGCAGCTGGGATTACAAGCATGCAACACCAAGCCTGGGTAGGTTTTTGTATTTTTAGTAGAGATGGGGTCTCACCATGTTGGCCAGCTTGATCTTGACCTCAGGTGATCCACCTGCCTCACTCTTCCAAAGTACTGGGATTACAGGCATGAGCCATAAACACTGTATTCTACAATCCTATGAATATTAAGCCACAATACTTACTTTGAATTAATCGCTTAAATGGTTATTTTATTTATACTTTTGAAATATAAAGTGTTTTAACTGAAGTATAGTTGCAATTTTTTTTCTTTTTCTTTTTTTTTTTTTTTGAGACGGAGTCTTGCTTTTTCAGCCAGGCTGGAGTGCAGTGGCTTGATCTTGGCTCACAGCAACCTCTGCCTCCTGGCTTCAAGCGATTCTTCTGCTTCAGCCTCCCGGGTAGCTGGGATGAGAGGCGCGCTGCACCACGCCAAGGTAATTTTTTTTGTATTTTTAGTAGAGACGGGGTTTCACCATATTTGCCAGGCTGGTGTTGAACTCCTGACCTGGTGATCCACATGCTTCGGCCTAACAGAGTGCTGGGACTACAGGTGTGAGACACTGCACCTAACTGTAGTGGCAATTTTTTTTTTTTTGAAACAGAGTTTCGCTCTTGTTGCCCAGGCTGGAGTGCAATGGCGCGATCTCGGCTCACTGCAACCTCCGCCTCCCAGGTTCAAGGGATTCTCCTGCCTCAACCTCCTGAGTAGCTGGGATTGCAGGCATGTGCCACACCTGGCCTAGCTAATTTTGTATTTTTAGTAGAGACAGGGTTTCTCCATGTCGGTCATGCTGGTCTCAAACTCACGACCTCCGGTGATCCGCCTGCCTCAGACTCCCAAAGTGCTGGGATTACGGGCATGAGCCACCATGCCCAGCTATGTAGTTGCAATTTTTAAAAATACTGAATACATTATGACCGGTTCATTAAAATTATTCATACTTAGATCTTTATATCTAATATCCAAAGAAAATTTACTACCAAATTTTTACAGTAGATATTAGTGACAAGTTTATTGCTTTATTCAATAGGGAAAATTGTGAGTAAACACAATTTGTGTATCTTTTATTTTACTAAATTGGAATGCTGTTATTACAGGAGACAGGTGATGTGGCCACCCAAAAACCATAATAGCTCTGCAGTTAACGATGTTGCCAGTTCTAATATGTTCCACTATATGAACACAGTCAGTTTCTATTTCTTCATCAAAAAGTGTTGTTGAAAGTTGTCAGATGTATTTCAATATAGAACCCCAATTTAATGGCTAGGAGATGACAGACCAGCAAAGATGGGAAAAAGGCTATAAAATTCTTCTGAAAAACTGCACTTTTTTTTCATAAGGCTCATGTTTCTCATGCTGAGAGTAGCTGTGCACTTTGAGTGTTTACAGAGAAATTGCTTTTAGGGGAATATCTTCTGGCTGATCAATCTTATATCTAATATGAGCTTTTTCTTAAGATCTTTTGAACTTTTTTCTCTCAAAATAATCTGGCTCAGATGGAGATCTGTTTTTCTCTCCAATGCTTTGGGTGTCTGTTTCAAAAGCCCTATTCATATCCGATGGTGTCTACATGAGGTGGACTTTCATAGCGAGAACTTTTAGAGCTATTTCTATCTGGACTTATGCTGGAAATTCAGCAGTATTTTTTCCATGTCCCTACTATAGGTAGAAACTGAGGCTGAAACACTAATCACATTCTCATGATTGTGAAGGTGTAATTCTACCCAGGAGGCCTGCAGGCTCTCCTCCTGCAGCTCAGGCCTCACTCTCTGATGTGACACTAGAGTGCTGCTGTGGCAAATGGGGTTCATATAAAATGTGAGCTGTGCTCCAGGCTGTGCCTCAGTGGCAGATGTTATAGGTCAAGAGAGGACACTAGGCTGGGCGCGGTGGCTCACGCCTGTAATCCCAGCACTTTGGGAGGCCAAGACGGGCGGATCACGAGGTCAGGAGATGGAGACCATCCTGGCTAATATGGTGAAACCCCGTCTCTACTAAAAATACAAAAAATTAGCCAGGCCAGGCATGGTGGCAGGCACCTGTAGTCCCAGCTACTCGGGAGGCTGAGGCAGGAGAATGGCATGAACCCAGGAGGCGGAGCTTGGAGTGAGCTGAGATTGCGCCACTGCACTCCAGCCTGGGCGACAGAGGAAGACTCCGTCTCAAAAAAAAAAAAAAAAAGAGGCCACTAGTAACCAGGAGAAAGCAAGCAGGAGTGCTGTAACCCAATGCCAGGGAGTACAGAGCCACTGCTCTAAAATGTAAATAGCCAAAAAGATAGAACCCTATTCAACCATTTTTGTAGCACAATGAAAGCCTACCTTCAGAAGGCACCTGGATTAAAGCTACTAAACTACTTCCTGTTATGAAGATGTGAAAAGTTTGTCATTGAATATAAGCAATTAGCATACACAGATGGCCTCTTCAATCTGTTCATAGGATGAACTATGTATGACATGGCGCTGGAAATTCTTCTATTTGTGAACTAATTATGGTGACCATCTTTCTGTCTTTGCGATCCCTTAAGCAGACTGATGATGATGCATGTCACAATTAAGTTCAATTGTGTAATAAAACCATTTTCTTTCTGTGCTACTTTTGTGGAGTTTCTCTGGGGCTGGAGAAAATTTTTCTTTTAATCATTTCCAAACACTGTCTAGAATTACCAGACATGATAAAAACACATAAGGTGCCAACCAGAATTTACTCTAGAGGGGACTTTTCCTCTCAGGCTTCCAGTCAACTCACATTTGCACTTCAAAATGCATGCTGTCCCCTAAATATGGAGGCAGAATTGTGTCTCTTCCTATTTGGTATCTATAGTCCTCTAGAGTCACTTCTAGAGAGGCTAGACCACATTTCTACAAACTTCACAGGGCAACAATCAATCATTTTACCTCTATCAATGACTCTTGTATCTTCAGGCCTGAAACTGATACAAAAACTATTTAGCCCAGAAACCCAATCACAGTAACATGTGCATTAGTAGACATAGAGACATGAGAATCTCCACGTTCCCCTTTCTCCTCTTGCTAAAGTGCTCACAAATGTTCAGGTAACATCTGCTGCTGCTCCAGTCCTTCAGCCCCTAAATCTGCAGCTCCAAATTTTGAATTTAGGTCTTGAGATTTGGGAAATAAAAAACTTTTATCTAAAAAATGCAAGTCCTTTGGTTATCAAACTCAGAGACATGAAAATGAAAGTGCAGTTATTTCTCCCTCCTTTGAACTATGTATTCATCTCTTGAAACTGTTCACGATTGCCAAAAGTAGCTATAAATTAAACTAATAATGACACGTTGGACACTATATCCCATATCCTAAACCATAACTATATATATCTAATCAATAATAAATGCTATTTCTCTAAATACATAAAAATTTCTGACAAACAACTTTGTGTCTACCTACTCTGTTCTTCTCTTGTTATCTTTACAAATCCTCTTGTAACTGATGCCAATCAAAGTGTAGATTCCAGACAACTTGAATCTTTGCTCCCAGATTATAATCCTTCAGCTTGACCCAAATAAACTGTCTACTTATATTGATGTTGTGTCAGCTTTTTTTTTTTATTTCATGTAGACTTATCATTTAGAATGTGCTAGAGGAGCCTCTATGAGGGGATCTCTCCTCGGATTGTACTCCACTTGCTGTAACACCAAAGGATGCAGAGCCAGGTGGATCCTACCTAGAATCTGCAGATAAGGTCTGGCCTCTGCCTGGGATTTACAAAAAAGGGCTGGTCTTTGGATTGTGAATGTACAGAGAACTAACAAATGGCATTTTCTGCCTTGTGAGATGTCAGCAAAGACAGCTTACAGCCCCCATTTGGGAATGTGGCTCTGTGAGATGTTTCACATCTTGTTCATTGACCTGCTACAGTGATGTGAGAGGTTCCAGGAGGAAATAGAATCTGATGGCAGAATCTGTAAGTGTAAATAAGCATCTTTGGAGTGAGAGATCAAGGCCACAAAGTATCCAGAGCCATGACCACAACTATATTTACCTGTAAAATGTGATACTGGAGTAGAGTATTTTTGTTCTTTCTTTTACCCAAGAGCTAGCAAATCAGAACGGGTGATCCAAGTTCTGGAGCTCCACCAGTGCAGTTCCATTTTCTATTTAGAAACAGCCCGAGTCTGCAGCCTGGCTTATCATTGGGCCATCAGCCCAATGATATCTAATAATCTCACAATAACCTAGGTGTCTTTGAGGCATTTGAGGATGTCCAGAACAGAATTGTGTCAGGTTGACAAAAATGGTTAATTCTGCTTCTGTCTCAGTGTAAGAGAAATGAGTCATCTGTGTTTGTTCCTCCCCTCATACAAGAGGTGTCTTTGGTTGGTACCCAGATGAGAGTTTATCCAGTTTCCTGGTACTTGGATGATAAACAAGGAGGAGATCTGGAGACCCGAATAGATAAACTAGTTGCTTCCATCTCATATGGCCATTAAAAAAAAAACCATGAAGTAGTCATGGTTCCTACAACCCAGAAGCTTTTAGTCTAGACTAGCAACCAGATAAATAATTGGATTATGCATCATATGGTTGGTACAATAAATAGATGTGTCCAAAATCTTAAGCTTTATTTGGGCCACTTCCTTTATATTGTTGTGATTTCTGACATCTACACATAAGGGATATTTATGAACAGAGGAATTGTTATTCTAATTACTTTTTAATTTTTGAGATAAAGTCTCACTCTGTCACCCATTCTGGAGTGCAGTGGCACAATCTCGACTCACCGCAAGCTCTGCCATTCAGATTCAAGTGATACTCCTGTCTCAGCCTCCTGAGTAGCTGGGATTACAGATGCCTGCCACCACGCCCAACTAATTTTTATATTTTTAGTAGAGACAAGGGTTCACCATCTTGGTCAGGCTGGTCTTGAACTCCTGACCTCGTGTTCCACCAACCTTGGCCACCCAAAGTGCTGGGATTACAGGTATGAGCCACAGTGCCGGCCATATAATTTCTATTTATTTTACTTTGTTAAGTGTACGTATTTATTTTTTAATAAAATTACCCTAGGAAACCATAAGGGATTTGTTTAAATTGCATATTAGTATATAGTATAAAGTTGACAGGACAGTGGCTAGAAAATATTAAAATTAGAGAAACTCTGGGATTTAAGTTTCTTTTAGGTTAGCTTAGAAAAAACAAAACTGGAAGTACCCTAATGGTATAGAGAACAGAATTCTACATAGGGGCCTTGCCCTGCCCCAGACCTGTTCAGATTTATCCTTTTTGGAGGCCTTATTTAGGTCTGACTCTACCTTGGAGTCTGGCCTCACAGAACTGATTAGAAGAGATCAGAGTTTTGGCTGGTGAATCCTGCTGCCTTTCTAGAAGTGGTGTTCACAATTTCCTGGAACACAAAAACATAAACAGGAAAAACAAAGTGTGTATTTTAGGGTCATATTTTATAAATTCTCTATTAAAACCAGTGCGTGCAGAGTCATTTAGCAACTTGTTTTCTCTTCCTGCAGATCCAGTAGTTATTCCACAAGTCACAAAAAAGTAAACGTAAACAGAATAAAATTTAAACTATGTTAAACTCTTCCTTTCTATGTCTCCTTCATCTGCCTATATTTAGCTTTTACTCTTTACAGTTTTTTAAAAATTTTGATGACAGAGAAACAGAAGAAGAAAAAATGCTGGGCCCTTTATCTAAATCCTGGAAATTATTAAACACTTAGTGCCAGCTCCCAAGGTGTTTCGAGGATTAAATCACATAACGTGTTAGGCCCAGCACAGTGCTTTCTATCATGCTCTTGAGCACATAGTACCTGCCTAATAAATAGTGCATTAGTACATGTGTACATGTTGTTTTTTTGTTTTTTTTTTTGGAGATGGAGTCTCACTCTGTCACCCTAGGCTGCAGTGCAGTGGTGCAATCTCAGCTCACTGCAACCTCCGCCTCCTGAGTTCAAGCAATTCTGCCTCAGCCTCCCGAGTGGCTGGATTACAGGCACGCGCCACCATGCCCAGCTAATTTTTGTATTTTTAGTAGAGACGGGGTTTCACCATGTTGGCCAGGATGGGCTCGATCTCTTGACTTTGTGATCTACCCGCCTTGGCCTCCCAAAGTGCTGAAATTACAGGTGTGAGCCACAGAGCCCGACCCATGTTGTTCTTTAAATACAGAATTATTGAGACATTGCTGCCTTCTGTTTTCTCTGTAAACTTTAAAGAGCCAGCAAAGAATATAAAACTTTAGGATGGACATGCATTGTCCTTATTTGTACCAGAAATATTAGGTTGTGACAAGAGTGCTGAGTGTAAGCAACCCTGTGCTGTTCCTGCTTCTCTAACTAATGCTAACAATGAGCCCAGGGGGAACAACATCAGCATTGACAGGGAACTTGTTTAAAACACCCATTCATGGACCCTTTTCAGTCCTCCAGAATCACACTACATAAAGCAGGGCCAAAATTACCAAGTGATATATAAGCTCATTAAAGCTTGAGAGGCAATGCTTAGCTTAGTGGTTATCAGCCCAGGCTTCTCATTAGGATCACATGGCCAATTAGCGGAAATGTCCTGTGCCCTCCCCACAGCTTCTGTTTATTGTCCTGGGTGGAAGGATCCATGTTGTTTTAATGAAGGGCCTCATGTGACTCTAAGGTAAGGCCAGAATCAGGTATGAGGACTTCCAAATACATTCATGAGAGTTAAGTTCCACCTTTGCACTAAAGGGTGGTCACAGGGCCTGTTCTGTTTGGGTTTGGTAGGAACAGGTCAGTGTGGTGCATATTTCCGTTACTGTAGCAGAAATTGCTGGTGTCTGTGGCAGGGGAGGGCACCTCAGGACAGGAAAGGAGGAACTTATATTTTTAACTTCACGGAGCAGCTCATTGTTCCTGAATCTCTTCTGTTTTAAAGGACAGAAATGAATGAAATTCTTTTTTCTGCCATTTGATGTCATGCTAGCAGGTAAACATGTGGTACTGACACCTTTAAAGGCATATTCTCCATATGCAGGTGTAATTTGTGTGGAGAATCTCATCTGAGAATGAATTCCATAGAAGCAGGAGAAAGAAAAAAATGGCTTTTCTTCAGGTAAACATGTGTCAGATGAAGAGCTGTGTCCACTCTGCCTCCTGGACTGCCATGTGTTTAGTACTTAGAAAACTTTGCTTCTCTACTTCTGTTTTTCTCCCTAATGAGTTTGGTTTAACTACTTCTTAAAATTCTTATGATAGTCAAGGGTCTCTGAAAAATATTTCTTTCCTATATCCCAGAGCCTTCTCTACATTCTCTACATCATAACTTCTTATATGCCATGCAGAATTATCAGTAAGGATTTATGATCTGCAATATTAAAAATGCTCCCTTGTGGCTGTTGAACATGGAAAGATGTGGATACTCAAGATTTCTATTGGGGAAAACTGTGGTCCTTAGTAAAGATGGAGAACATGTAATGTTGAGGTTCCAACAGTGTGTTCCATTAGCTCTATGAAGAACAGGATTAAGAAAATGCTTATTTAGGCCTGGTGCGGTGGCTCACACCTATATTCCCAGCACTTTGAAAGGCTGAGGCGGGTGGATCACAAGGTCAGGAGTTCAAGACCAGCCTTGCCAAGATGATGAAACTCCATCTCTATTAAAAATACAAAAATTATCCGAGTGTGGTGGCGGGCATGTGTAATCCCAACTACTTGGAAGGCTGAGGCAGAGAATTTCTTGAACCCGGGAGGCAGAGGTTGCAGTGAGCGGACATCGCGCCACTGTACTCCAGCCTGGGCGACAGAGTGAGACTCCGTCTCAAAAAAAATAAATAAATGCTTATTAAAACGGGATGGCATTTATTACCCAGAAAATTCTGAAATAAATAATTAGGAGATACCTGTTTTCTAGGGTGCTAAATTAAGCCTACTTAAAATTACAGAACATAGGAGTTATCTGTGGTTTGAAGTTTGCATAAAACTGATGTTTCTTTATGGTTAAATTCAGACTATAATTTACTTTTTTGGGGAGGAATATTTCAACAGTGATGCTGTGTTCTTCTGTGTGCATTAGCACATCATAAAAATTTGTCCTAGTGCAGTTAATGGTTAATGATTCACTTGGTGAAATAGCTCTCTGATGGATTTTTTTCACTGTAATTATTTTTCTCTTCATATTAAGTATCTTTACGCAGCTGATGTGCATAAAGCATCACATTTAATCTGGTGGCTGTCCTTTTTTCTTATTTTTTTCTACATATTTCTCTTTGGAAAATGAAGGCTCCTATCTTTGTTTACAGGCTAGAAAAACTGGGAAAAACACAAGCTCTTCCACTTACTGCATGTTTGACAAAATATCCTTCTTGGGTCAAAATATTGGCATTACTGGTGAGCTTGTTAGAAATTCAAAAAATTGGCCTGGCCCGGTGGCTCATGCCTGTAATCCCAGCACTTTGGGAGGCCGAGGCGGGCAGATCATCCAAGGTCAGGAGTTCGAGACCAGCCTGGCCAAAATAGAGAAAACCCCATCCTACTGAAAATACAAAATTATCCAGGTGTGGTGGTGCATGCCTATAATCCCAGCTACTTAGAAGGCTGAGGCAGGAGAATCACTTGAACCTGGGAGGCAGAGGTTGCAGTGAGCTGAGATCACATCACTGCACTTCAGCCTGGGCAACTAGATTGAAACTCCGTCTCAAAACAAAACAAAACAAAACTTGAGATGTGCCTTCTAACTCAACATGTCTTTTCCATCTGAAAAATGTTCACAACTCATTCTGTATGATAAAAATACAGCACTCAAAAATGCATGTTCGTGTTTATGGCCTTAATTTTATACTTTATTATATGGAAAAATAGATGAACTGATGTTGTGGATCTATTTTCTCAGAGTTAGAGAATACATCAGAGAATGTATGTTTCTGTGTTGAAAAATTATTTTACTGGATAATTTTAGTCAGTCCTATAAGTCAGAACCAGTTCTCCTTACTCTCTCATTTCACCTTAAGTCAAATTAAAAATTCTGCCTATGGCCACTTGGTGAAAATGTGTGTATGTGTGTCTTTTCGGGACCATTGCAATTTAGAGATGTGGCCATAGAATTCTCTCTGGAGGAGTGGCATTGCCGGGACACTGCACAGCAGAATTTTTATATGGATGTCATGTTAAAGAACTACAGAAACCTGGTCTTCTTTGGTGAGGATAACTTGAATACATAATTCATTCTCTTTTTTTGTAGAATGTTTTTAGTAATTTATTCTTTGCATAAAAGAGTTTCAGGGCCAGGTGTGGTGGCTCACACCTGTAATCCCAATACTTTGAGAAGCAAAGGCAAGTGAATCACGAGATCAGGAGTTCAAGACCAACCTGGCCAAGATGGTGAAACCATGTCTCTACTAAAAATAAAAAAACTAACTAAGTGTGGTGGCGGGTGCCTGTAATTCCAGCTACTCAAAAAGCTGAGGCAAATAATTGCTTGAACCCAGGAGACGGAAGTTGCAGTGAGTCGTGATCGTGCCACTGCACTCCAGCCTGGGCAACAAAGCAAAACTCCATCTCAAAAAAAAAAAAAGAGTTTCAGATCCTCTTTTTTTAGAAAATTTTCAGAATTTGGTAATTTAGAAAATAGTTTTTTCAAGAGGTTTTATCTTAATCTAAACTTTCCACAGTCCTGAGATGAGCTGTATTCTTCACTCTAAATTAGTGGTAATTCCAGAAATTTAGCGACATAAAATATTGTTGCCTCACCTGAAAATCTCATTGCCACCATCAATTTTTGATTCAGCAGTACCAGGTAGTAAAATTAAGAAACCTACAAATTGAAAGTATTTTCTAAATATTTAGAAATTTCTGTTATAACTTAGTATTTTGGTATTAATTTACTAGAATATTTTATCACATCCTCTCTGCTGAGCACAGTACTAGCTTGTAATTGGAGAATATGAGCAAGATTATTGTTATTTATTTTTAATAAAAGAGGTATTGTTGTCTCTAAGCCAGACCTGATCACCTGTCTGGAGCAGGGAAAAAAACCTTTCACTGTGAAGAGACATGAGATGATTGCCAAACCCCCAGGTAGGTGCGAGTGAAAATGAATACAACAGACAACACAGATAAGAGGTGCCAAGGTCAAAGAGAAAGCCAGTCCTTAAAATGTGATTTGGGAAGCTGTGCTCCAAAGGAAATAGTTTCTGGGCAGTTTTTCTTTTTTCTTTTCTTAAATTTTGCTCTCACACAGGGCATCTTCTGTCTTATGCCTTTTTTTTTTTTTTTTTTTTTTTTGAGACCGAGTCTCGCTCTGTCGCCCAGGCTGGAGTGCAGTGGCGCAATCTCTGAATCTCTGCTCACTGCAACCTCCACCTCCCGGGTTCAAGCAATTTACCTGCCTCAGCCTCCCGAGTAGCTGGGAGTACAGGAGACCGCCCCATGCCCCGCTAATTTTTGTAGTTTTAGTAGAGATGGGGTTTCACCATATTGTCCAGGCTGGTCTCCAACTCCAGACGGTGTGATCCGCCCACCTCCGCCTCCCAAAGTTCTGGGACTACAGGCGTGAGCCACCGCGCCCGACTATGCTTTTTCTTTTTTAAGGCAGAGTTTCACTCTTGTTGCCCAGGCAGGAGTGCAATGGTACGATCTCAGATCACCGCAACCTCCCTTTCCTGGGTTCAAGTGATTCTCCTGCCTCAGCCTTCCGAGTAGCTGGGATTACAGGCCTGCGCCCCCACGCCCGGCTAATTTTGTATTTTTATTACAGAAGGGGTTTCTCCATGTTGCTCAGGCTGGCCTCGGACTCCTGACCTCAGGCAATCGGCCCGCCTTGGCCTCCCAAAGTGCTGGAATTACAGGCATGCGCCACTGCGCCCAGCCCTGTCTTATACTTTTAAATTCTCTTAAGGATTCTACTTTTCTTTACGTGAGCTTCCTTCAATTTACACTGAAAGCCAAAGTCCTCTTAATGGCATGTAAAAGACTGCACTGGCTTATTATTCATTGTTTTTGGGACACACAAATATCTGCATGATTTCGAGAAATTAAAACTATTTTTTAAGTTCTCTTTTTGCATCGGGACTGAAATGTGTGAGAGTAGTAGATCCCGTTGCATTTTTTTTGTACATTTTTCTGCACAGTCCATTCTGTTTTTATTACTATATAGTCTTGAAATATAGTTTGAAATTGTAAATATGATATCCTGCTTTGTTCTTTTACCTCAAGTTTGCTTTGGCTATTCAAAGTTTATTTTAGTTTCATGTAAATTTTAGAATCGTATTTTCCATTATTGTGAAAAAAATACCACTGCAATTTTTATAGGAAGTTTAATGAATCTATAAATCACTTTGGATAACATAGCACTTTAACAATACTTATTCTTTCAATTAATACACATAAAATAATTTAAAATTTATTGTGATCTTCTCTAATTTTTTTCTTTTTTTATTGTATGGATTTTTTTACCTCCTTAATTTTTTCTCACAAATTTATTATTTAATGCCATAGTAAATAAGATTTTTTTTCCTCTATTTTTTCTTTTTTTTTTTCTTTTGAGATGATGTCTTGCACTGTTGCTCACTTCAACCTCCACCTCCTGGGTTCAAGCAATTCTCTTGCCTCAGCCTCCTGACTAGCTGAGATTGCAGGTGCCTGCCACCACACCCAGCTAATTTTTAGTAGAGACAAGGTTTCAGCATGTTGGCCAGGCTGGTCTCAAACTCCTGACCTCACATGATCCACCCGCCTCGGCCTCCCAAAGTGCTGGAATTGCAGGCATGAGTCACCCTGCCCAGCCTCTTCTTCTATTTTACCAGATAGTTTAAGTGTATGAAACCATACATATACTTTTATGTTAATTTTATATTTGGCTAATTTACTGAGTATATTTATTAGTTTAGACAGGTTTTAATATACTGTTTATGCTTTTTCAAATATAAAGTTGTATGGGCCGGGTGCAGTGGCTCACACCTGTAATCCCAGCACTTTGGGAGGCCGAGGTGGGTGAATCACCTGAGGTCGGGAGTTCAAGGCCAGCCTGACCAACATGGAGAAAACCCCCATCTCTACTAAAAATACAAAAATTAGCTGGGTATGGTGGCACATGCCTGTAATCCCAGCTACTCGAGAGGCTGAGGCCAGACAGTCACTTAATCCCGGTAGGCAGAGGTTGTGGTGAGTTGACATCGTGCCATTTCACTCCAGCCTGAGCTACAAGAGCAAAACTCCATCTCAAAAAAAAAAAAAAAAAAAAAAAAAAAATATATATATATATATATATATATATATAGTTGTATGATCTACAAACAGCAACTTTTACTTATTTTTCTTGAATTTAAATGCATTTTTAAATTTCTCTGACTAATTCTTCTGCCACATACTTCCAGTGCTACATTAAAATAGAGCCATTGACAATGGGCAAAATCTAGTTTTGTCTTGGTGTCTGAATTTGATGGAGTAAACACCCCTTCAAGTTTTCATAAATTGATTTCAGAAGGTAAAGTTGTTCTTTTGTTGGGCCCTTAGGGTGAGGAGATGCCCTCTGAATTGGTAGTGGAGAGGGGGTGTAACTTGGTGACAAGGCTGCTGGGCCTGCACTAGGGTCCACCTTTAGTCGGCTTGTTACAGGGACTTGGGTTGTTGTAATTCCCGTTTTATTTTTGGACAGACTGCATATCCTTCAGGACTTTGCTCAGTAGGGCAGACCCTAGGGCAGGTTTTTGCAGTCGGGTCTGCATACGGTGGGCCTTGTATCAGGATGTGGGTAAGTATGGCTTTCACTGAGTACCAGAGACCATTTCCTCAGGTAACTGTGTGGATTTCTATGTAGGCAGAACTGGCCATAAACTGTGGCTCAGGTAACTGAAGCTGAGTCATTGAACTGCTTTGGGGACCCCAGTAAAGGCCAAGATCTGCAGGACCTGTAGTTTCCCACTTGAATGAGGGCCTGCCTTCTGAATAGAACTCTTCTCAATCTTAAGCTTTAACAGTGTTTCAGAACTCCCTCCCTGGATCTCAAATCTCTCTTACAGACACTTATTTTGGAGATGTCATGTTGCTACATAACCCAGGCTGGTCTCGAAATCCTGGCCTGAAGCAGTTCTCCAACCTTAATGTACCATGTAGCTGTCATTACAGGTGTGAGCCATAATGCCTGGTTCTCGAATAAAGGCTTTTTTTTTTCTCTCTCTGAGATGGAGTCTCACTCTGCCACCCAGGCTGGAGTGCAGTGGGGCCATCTCAGCTCACTGCAACCTCCACCTTCTGGGTTCAA
Source organism: Homo sapiens (assembly GCF_000001405.40). Classification (NCBI taxonomy): domain Eukaryota; kingdom Metazoa; phylum Chordata; class Mammalia; order Primates; family Hominidae; genus Homo; species Homo sapiens. The sequence continues at coordinate 19,845,528 of NC_000019.10, read as the reverse complement.
GCAATTCTCCTGCCTCAGCCTTCTGCATAGCTAGGATTACAGGCGTGCATCACCATAACCGGCTAATTTTTTTGTATTTTATTAGAAATGGGTCTTCACCATGTTGGCTGGGCTGGTCTCAAACTCCTGACCTCGTGATCTTCCAGCCTCGACCCTCCAAATTTCTGGGATTAAAGGCATCAGCCACCCCGGCTGGCCAATATAGGCATTTTTGTCAGAAATAGCTGACTTTTTTTTGCTGTAATGGGATATGAAAACAGGGCACTTTTAATCTTTTCATCTTACTGATGTCCTTCTCCCTATATATTTTTACTTTCTATTTTCTATTTCAAATTTGTAATTTTAGATTCAGATATTTAGGACAATATCCTAGAATTTGTATGATATGCCTACAGTAAATTACATAATTAGGAGGCACTCCACACTTACCAAAATAGTTACTTATATATTTAAGTTTGCTGCAAGCAAAAAGGAATTATAGGATTTTCTTCTACTTTCTTCAGCCTGTATCTAAATAATACCATAGTTTATTTCCTAATATTTGTTTTGCATATCAGAGGGTCTAACCCTATTCTGCCAAATATATATATGTATGTATTTTCTGTATTTAACAATGTAAGGCTGTTCTTTGCTTCTTAAGTTGGATTACAGCAGTTCCATTTTGTGTAAGAATAGCATATATTTAAAACATAAAAAGTAACTCTAGTTTCTTTTAAATGCTTATTTATTAAAAGTTTCTCATTAGAATATTATTTATAATTATACTGCATATTCTCTGAAATCTTACTGCCACACAGTTCATGGCAATGATTCAAAATATCTGCATTTGATGAGTATACAGTAACAGTTAAATATTGCAATTATCTAACAAATTTTTTTTTTTTTTGAGATGAATTCACACTCTGTCACCCAGGCTGGAAGTGCAGTGGTGCGATCTTGGCTCACTGCAACCTGCACCTCCCGGGTTCAAGTGATTCTCGTGCCTCAGCCTCCTGAATAGCTGAGATTACAGGCATGTGCCACCACGCCCGGCTAATTTTGTGTTTAGTATAGTCGGCATTTCTCCATGTTGGTCGGGCTGGTCTAGAACACCCGACCTCAGGTGATCCACCCGCCTCGGCCTCCCAGAGTGCTGAGATTACAGGCGTGAGCCCATGTGCCCAATTTGTGTGTCCTTTTGGGTATCTTTTTGATGAAAATTTTGTTCCTCCATTTTTAAATCAAGTTATTTAACTTTATTGTTTAGTTTTAAGAGTTGTTTATATATTTTGAATATTCACTTTTTTCACATGTAATTTGCCAATGTTTTCACCCATTTTCTAAGTGACGTTGTCACTCTTCAATTTTGTTTGGATGTGCAGAAATTTTAAAGTCTAGTGTAGTTAAACTTTTATTTGTTGTTCATGCATTTAATGTGGTATCTAGGGAAATGGTGCCAAGACCAATGCCATGTCTTTTTCTCGTTTTTTTCTACAAGATTTGTTAGTTTATATCTAAGTATTTATTTATTGAAAGAAGTCTCACTCTTGTCCCCCAGGTTTGAGTGCAATGGCTTTATCTCAGCTCACTGCAACCTCTGCCTCCGGGGTTCAAACGATTCTCCTGCCTCTGCCTCCCAAGTACTTAGGATTAAGGCACCTGCCACCATACCCAGCTAATTTTTTTTGTATTTTTTAGTAGAGACGGGGTTTCACCACATTGGCCAGGCTGGTCTCGAACTCGTGACCTCAGATGATCTGCCCACCTTGGCCTCCCAAAGTGCTGGGATTACAGGTGTGAGCCACCACGCTCGGTCATAAGTACCTTATTTAAAATATATTTTTGGCCAGGCGCAAAGGCTGAGGCACTAAAATGGCTTGAACCTGCGAGGCAGAGGTTGCAGTGAGCCAAGATCGCGACACTGAACTCCAGCTTGGGCCACAGATGAGACTCGTCTCAAAACAAATCAAAAACAAAACAAAAGAGAAGGAAGGAAGTGGATTACTCACAATAGCTAAGGTATGGAACCAACCTAAGTGTCCATCAATAGGTGGAGAAAGAAAATGTGGTATATGTACACAATTAAATGCTATTCAGCCCTTAGAAATAAGAAAGTCTTGTTATTTGCTACAACATTCATGAACCTAAAAAATATTATGCTAAGTAAAATAAGCCAGCACAGAAAAACACACACACAAAAATCCTATTTATTTTTTTGGAGACGGAGTTTAGCTCATTGCCCAGGCGATGGTGCAGTAACACCATCTCAGCTCACTTAAACCTCCGCCTCCTGGGTTCATGTGATTCTTCTGCCTCAGCCGCCTCAGTACCTGAAATTACAGGCTCCTACCACCACGTCCAACTAATTTTCATATTTTTAGTAGAGATGGGGTTTCACCATGTTGGCCAGGCTGATCTTGAACTCCTGACCTCAAGTGATCCACCCATCTCGGCCTCCCAAATTGGTGGGATTACAGGCATGAGCCACCGGGCCCAGCCCACATAATCCTATTTCCATATAAAGTGTAAAAAAAAAAAATTTAAACTTGCCCAGCGCAGTGGCTCACACCTATAATCCCAGAACTTTGGGAGGCCGAGGCAGGCAAATCACTAAATGAGAAGTTCAAGACCGGCCTGACCAACCTGGTGAAACCCTGTGTCTACTCTAAAAATACAGAAATTAGCTGGGGGTGGTGGTGCGTGCCTGTAATCCCAGCTACTCAACAGACTGAGGCAGGAGATCCGCTTGAACCTGGGATTTGGAGGTTGCAGTGAGCCAAGATCGTGCCATTCCTCCCCTCCAGCCTGGGCAACAGAGCAAGACTCCATCTCAAAAAAAAAAAAAAATTCAACTCATAGAAGTAGGCAGTACAATAAAAATAAATAAATAAAATTAACACACATCCACTATGGGGATTTTTGTCTGGTTAACAGAGCTTCATGATCTTTCAGAGATTATATTTGCTTTCATCTTCTTCATCCTTCTGTTCTTCAGCCAATGGATGAAAAAAGATACAGAGAAGATACATTTACTTTTTATCCACTTCGCTTCTACTCACTACTAGTCAACATGGGTACAGCTGAGAATAACAGTTTTCTGGCAGGAGAGCCACTTCTAAGCAATAAATAAGACACTGAAAAAAAAGTATAAATCTTTCATAGAAAGCTAATGGATCTTAAGAAAAAACAAGCATATGCATCAATAATGCTTCTGGTAAAATTAAGATTCATTTTGTTGATTTCTATTGAGCTCCCATAGTATTTTATCAAAAACTAGCAAATATATAGCAGAAAAGGAATATTATTCTAAATAAGAATATTGTGGTTATTTTGTCAGTATAAGTAAAAATATGACCTCACACTAATAGTCTCACCTATAGTTGTACAACTTCAAGTGCTATTTTTTATTTAAAATTTTGTTTCATATAAGTATTCAATTTATATCACACTCCTTTGCCATTTCAATGCCTTCTCCACTTTATATCGTGGAAAACAGGACAGCAGGTCCCAGGAAAGCACGTGGTGCTATTGCTGCTTTAACAATGATCATGAAGAGCACTTGTCTGGGTGCGACTCACATGTCAAACACTGCTAATTGGCTTAAAGTACTGGTTTTCTAAATTTACCAGTAATATAAAATTCTCAGCAAAGAAGACTTTATCTTATTCAAATATGTTTTATGGGATTTCACTGACATTTAAGTGTCTGAATTATCTGGAATACTGAAATTTTCCATTAACCCAAATTGAGTACTATAAACTTTTACTAAAAGCTTTTCTGAGGCAGAGTAAGATTTATAACATTTTATTATCGTATAGAAGAAGTGTATTAACCACGTTTTCAGTAATCACTCTGAACACAGCATTCTCAGTCCCCAGTATGCACCGTGAGTCACTCAGGGGAAACTGGTTTCTCTATGAAGAGGCAGAAGAAAATGCTGAGTGGAGGCACCACACTGCACAGCAATGCTTTCCACATGCACCTATGAGGGTCTTCATTTAATTGGGCTGATATTTGCATGGCTAGATACTTACTGAATTTAGTCATACTAGTTTTTAGAAGCTAATGGCATCCGTTACCCATTAATTTTATACATTTGCTTTTTTCAAAAACAAATCTTTTGTTAATTTACTCTAAATTGAGATGACATTTACAATCTTCAATTTTTCAGTATTAAAGCAAATCAGAGAAGAGCAATGTGTGTAGACAGTGTGCATTTTCCTGCCTATCAAAATTTTTCTTTCATTGCCTTGGAAACCCTGAGAAGCCATCTATAAAATATTCCCTTTGAATACTTTAGCCAGGATGTTAGATTTCAAAAGGTGCAAAACAATCATTGAGCAAAGCCAAATCTTGTCTGTTTCTTGTTAGTCGTCTGGCCATCTCCAAAAGCATGGCAATTAGGCCAACCCACTGAAAAGTTGTGGTCTTGATTAATTTTATCTCATTTCAAATGTTTTCTCTAATAGTTTTTTCATGTTAATCTAAAAGAAACTATCTACACAACTAATTATGTATTCAAGAAATATTCATATTAAGTTCTTTACAGTTTAATCTATTACAGTATAGTAGAATCCTCTATAATTAGAAGTTAATTATAAATTCACTGTTTTTGAGGTTTTTCAAATGTGAAAACAAAAAGGTATGCCTTTTGAAGTAAGTTCAATTCTAGGACATTACCCACTGGTTTTCATGGCATTTCTGTAATGAATAGTGTAAACCTGGGTCACCAGAATGGTGCAGAGATGTTGACTGAATTAGAATAAGTTCAACCTTATTGGTAGACTATCAGTATCCCAGAGGCTGATCGTTCACTACAGCTTACTAAATGTTGTTCCTTAATGCCAGTGAGCACTTTTAGCCAGGTTACCCTTTTCCTCCCATTAATGTAGTCTTTTTGTGGTCTCCTGTTTCTCTTAAGCTATCCCAGATGAGAGGTGATTATTTCTTGCATGAATGAGATTCCCCTTTTTTCCATCTGCCATAGGAACCTCTTATTCTCCCTACTGGGAACAACATGCAAGAGGCAGAAATGATGACAATATACAAGCATGTTTCCTGCCATGTGGCCACCATAAGCAGCTTACAACATGTTCCACCTATAGAAGTCACTTTCAGGCCAGCAGGGGTGTTTTCCTATAATGTGTCTTTTTCTCTTAAAAACACCTCTGATTAAGTTTAGCACAGTCAGGATAATCTCCATTTTGATAAACACAAAGTCAACACATGGGTAACCTAATTTCATGAGTGATGTCCCACCACAGTCACATTTTTACACTCGAGAGTATTCCACCGCAGGTGTGCAACAGACTGGGAATCCAGGGTATTATCTTAGAATATTGCTTACCCACCTGAATAAACTTTTAAAAGTCTTTCTGCTGCTTTTCTTATCTACATAATCAAAGATATCACCTGCAAATAATAATTAATAACTTTCCAGTTTAATTCATTACAAATATTAACATCTTTTTTTCTGGCTTCTTTATGTACTGTTTTATACATTCACACACAGAACAATAAAAATATACCAATTATTCAATTGTGGTTAAATTTTCATTAAAATAAGTGTTAAAAATGATTTTTTGTTTGAAGAGGGCTTTTATTGTTGTAGTCAAGAGTGTTATTTCTGGAGACAAAATTGCCTGTGCTTTAATAGGCAGATTCTGGGGAGAATCTGAGACATAAGCCATAAAATTTTACATTAATAAATTCAAGACAAAGCAGAAAGTGTGGATTTGCTTTCAGCATTTTCAAGGTGTTTAGTTTTTTATTAGTTACCCTATTAAAATAATTCATTTTGTTCCAATAATTGCTCTTTTCTTCTGAAAATATGTACAAACTCATACTCACACAAACACACTTACTCACTGAATAATTTTCTTACACCTAAAGTTATCTTCAGAGTAATATGTGTATATTTAACTATATGTAAATTAAAACTAAAAGTGTATATGTTTGCAGGCAGAGAGACCACATGTTCAAAAACAATTAAATAACAATTGTTTATTAATAATTTTTCAGGACTAAGAATGTAAGAATTTTATTTATATTTCTTTCACTTTTTTTTGAGAGGGAGTCTCGCTCTATTCCCCAGTCCGGAGTGCAGTGGCATGATCTCAGCTCACTGCAACCTCCACCTAAGGGATTCAAGCGACTCTCCTGCCTCAGCCTCCAGGCTTGCACTACCATGCCTGGTTAATTTCTGAATTTTTAATAGACACGGGCTTTCAGCATGTTGGCCAGGCTGCTCTTGAACTCCTGACCTCAGGCAATCCACCTGCCTCACTAAATTATACACTAAAAGTGTTAATTACACTCTTTGTAACAGAAAAGATAAATGCTAGAGGTGATGGATACCTTATTTACCCTAATGTAATTACTACATATTGTATGCCTGAATCAAAATATGCCATATAAGGAATAAATATATACACATACTATATACCCCAAAATACTAATAATTAATTTCAATAAGAAAAAAGAATAAAAATTTAACCAGTGGGAAAATATTCTTCAGCTGATTTACAGTTTAAAGCCACTGGCAAAGGGATTACTAGAGATGTTATTCCACTATGAACCAAATAGTATATTGCTACCATCTTTTACCTACACTGTTGAGTAAGGTTAAATAGGTTAAAGTTAAGTGGCATAATAATGCTTCATTAAATGCACAATAGTCTTAACATGGTAAAAAAATAAAATTAAGTTCAAAATCTAACAATTTTGAAGTGTACTGCATTTTATTACATAAAAGTACAACTAGTAAAATAATATACTAATTTAATACTTTTAACTATAATAATTTTTATCTCACTATAATGTAGAAAAATATTACTCTGAACCCCCACCTTTTTTAATCTTTGTTACTAATAAAGTAATTCATTATAACTTTTGAAAAAAAAGTTTTAAGATGTTCTGCATACATGTTAATGTAGGTTAGGCCATCCAAAAGACAAAGCAAAGTGTCAACATTAAGTTATAGGGTACGATAATACAAATGAGAACATGAACCCCCACCTTATACATTACTTAGTATAAGTTAACTACAAAAAGGCGCTCCACTTACATTTTCATCATCCATCATAGATTTTGATGTTCTTACTCTTTTATAGAAAAGGTTCTAAGTAATGCCCAATTAGTAAACAATCTCTAATATATCTGATGCAGCAACAATTGATCACATGCTTTCACATGTGAGCACAATAGAAATAACAGCATAAAGTAATATGAAAACCATATTACATATTTATTCACTTTTCAAAATTGTTTTTTCAAGGAAACAACTATACTTTCAATGTAACTACAATGCTTCAAAAAAATCTACTACTTTTAGGCCGGGCGCGGCGGCTCACGCCTGTAATCCCAGCACTTTGGGAGGCCGAGGCGGGCGGATCACGAGGTCAGGAGATCGAGACCATCCCGGCTAAAACGGTGAAACCCCGTCTCTACTAAAAATACGAAAAATTAGCCGGGCGTAGTGGCGGGCGCCTGTAGTCCCAGCTACTTGGGAGGCTGAGGCAGGAGAATGGCGTGAACCCGGGAGGCGGAGCTTGCAGTGAGCCGAGATCCCGCCACTGCACTCCAGCCTGGGCGACAGAGCGAGACTCCGTCTCAAAAAAAAAAAAAAAAATCTACTACTTTTAAAGTTATATACAAATAATTTAACAGCTGTAGCTGTGGATTAGTTTTTATACTCAACACTCTGATTTAGTGTAATGTCTGAAGTGTCAGTGCCTTAGTTATTTTGCTGTAAATTATCTGATATTTACATAGAATCAATTTTGAATTAAATTTTTTTATATTTACTGCATCTGCAAAAATATATTTTAGTATAAGCTCTCTGGTGTTTTCTAAGCTGCAGTTTTTGAAAAAAAAAAAAAGGGCTTTCCAAATTCATTAGCAGGACTCTTCTCCAATATAAATTCCAATGTTGAGCAAAGCTTGAGCAACTGCTTCAGGGTTTTCTTCTAGTACAAATGTGTTCAATAAGATCTGTGACACAAGTAAAGGCACTACAACCCACTTTATATTTGTAATGGCTGTCTTCAAAATAAATATTCTTCACTCTAAAGGCTTATATTTTCTGAAAGATTTTTTGACAGTAATTGCCCTTTTCATGCTTTTATTAACTACGAGCTTTCTTCTGTTGAGTAAGATGTGATGGGCATTAATGGCTTTTCCATATTCTTTATATTTGTACAATTTTTCTCAAGGATAATAGCTTTCCTGTGAAATACGGTGTAAGCACTGATTAAAAGTTTTACCACATTCTTCACACTTGTAGGAGTTTTGCCAGTATGAATTATCTTACCTACAATCAGTGTCACAACCATATAAAGGCTTTGTCACATTTTATACATTTCTAGGGTTTCACATTAGTGTAATTTATTTTTATGTATAGGAAATTTGGAGGTGTTGGTAAAAAGCACTGTCACATCTTTCAGGTTTGTAGATTTCCTCTCCAGCATGAATTATCACCATGTCTCTTAAGAATTGAAAACCTGTAGCCAGGCATGGTGGCTCATGCCTGTAACCCTAGGACTTTGGGAGGCCAAGGTGGGTGGATCACCTGAGGTCAAGAGTTCGAGACCAGACTGGCCAACATTGTGAAACCCCGTCTCTACTAGAAATACAAAAAATTAGCCAGACGTGGTGGTGGGCAACTGTAATCCCAGCTACTTGGGAGGCTAAGACAGGAGAATGGCTTGAACCCAGGAGGTAGAGGTTGCAGTGAGCCAAGATCATGCCATTGTACTCCAGCCTGGGTGACAAGACTGAAATTTCATCTCAAAAAAAAAAAAAAAAATGGAATTGAGAACTTCTTATAGGCCATGCCACATTCTTCACACTTGTAGGGTTTCTGTCCAGTATGAATTACGTGTAATAAAGGTTGAGAACTTCCTTTAAAAGCTTTGTCACCCAAATGTCCAACAATGATAGACTGGATTAAGAAAATGTGGCACATATACACCATGGAATACTATGCAGCCATAAAAAATGATGAGTTCATGTCCTTTGTAGGGACATGGATGAAACTGGAAATCATCATTCTCAGTAAACTATCGCAAGAACAAAAAACCAAACACCGCATATTCTCATAGGTGGGAATTGAACAATGAGATCACATGGACACAGGAAGGGGAATATCACACTCTGGGGACTGTGGTGGGGTGGGGGGAGGGGGGAGGGATAGCATTGGGAGATATACCTAATGCTAGATGACGAGTTAGTGGGTGCAGCGCACCAGCATGGCACATGTATACATATGTAACTAACCTGCACAATGTGCACATGTACCCTAAAACTTAAAGTATAATAAAAAAATAAATAAAAAAATTTTAAAAAAAGCTTTGTCACATTTTTTATATTTGTTATATTTGTATGAGTTTATGTTCCATATAAATTCTCATAGTTAGTAAGAGTCGAGGGCTGGTTAAAGGCTTTCCCACATTCATCCAGTTTCTCTCCAGTATGAATTATCTTATGCTTATTAAAAGTGGAGGAATATTTAAAATGTTTGCCACATTCTTCACTATGTAGGGTTTCTGTGCAATATGAATTCTCTTATGTTTATGAAGGTATGAGGACCAGTTAAAAGCTTTGCCACATTCTTCACATTTGTAAGGTTTCTCTCCAGTATGAATTCTCTGATGTTCAGTTAGAGTTAAGGATGCAGTAAAGGCTTTGCCACACACTTCACATTTGTAGGGTTTCTCTCCAGTATGAGTTCTCCTGTGTTTAGAGAGTAGTGAGGGCCAGGTAAAGGTTTTGCCACATTCATCACATTTGTAGAATTTCTCTCCAGTATGAATTTTTTTGTGTGAAAAAAGGATTGTGGAATGGTTAAAAGCTTTGCCACATTCTTTACACCTGTAGGGCTTCTCTCCAGTATGAAGTATCTTATGTGTAGTAAGGTGTGAGGATAGGTGAAAAGCTTTGCCACATTCTTTACATTTGTAGGGCTTCTCTCCAGTATGAATTCTCTTATGTGTAGTAAGGTTAGAAGTGCACTTAAAAGTCTTTGCCACATTCTTCACATTTGTAGGGCTTCTCTCCAGTATGAATTCTCTTATGTGCAATAAGGGTAGAAGTGTACTTAAAGTCTTTGCCACATTCTTCACATTTGTAGGGTTTCCCTCCAGTATGAATTTTCTTATGTGCAGTAACATGTGAGGGGTGCTTAAAGGCTTTCCCGCATTCTTCACATTTGTAGGATTTCTCTCCAGTATGAACTATCTTATGTACAGTAAGGTGTGAGGACCTTTTGAAGGCTTTGCCACATTCTTCACATCTGTAGGGTTTCTCTCCAGTATGAATTTTCTTATGTGTAGTAAGGTTTGAGGACGAGTTAAAAGCTTTGCCGCATACTATACATTTGAAAGATTTTTTTCCAGTATGTCGTATCTTAGGTCTGTTTCAATTTGAAAATTTCTGAAAGACTGTCCCATATTTATCACATTGAAATATTTTTCTCTGGGTAGTTGTCAGACTGTGGTGAAGACCATTATTACCTCTTTTGAGCAGCTCATGCTCATCCACACTTTCACAGCCTTTTTTTAACTGTAAATTGTCATATCCACATTTTTCATATCTTCTAAGTATCACTTTTTGGAAAGAATCTTTTATGCTCTGCTCTGGCCAAAGGTCTTGGGCAAAATGAGAACACATAACAGAAAGAAACAGTAAAATCACATTACTTCAATTGCTAGACTCAGATAAATAAATATACTTTACAAATCTAACCTATAAAATTATACAAACTACATAAGCAAGATGACATAGCAAAATACCACCAGCTCTAATTTCTTCCTGGACACATAAATGTAACAAAAACGTACTGACCAAAATACATGTGTAAAAAAATGTATAAATGAGTTAAATGTGTGAAGTTCCCCACGTGAGCAGAATGAAATAGCCACATAGAAGAAAAAGAAAGCTCTGTTATACCCAACACAGCTCTTCCTGCTGTCCAGTATAATATTGTGCTTTTATTTATTTATTTATTTTTTGAGATGGAGTCTTGCTCTGTTGCCCAGGCTGGAGTGCAGTGGTGCGATCTTGGCTCACTGCAAGCTCTGCCTCCTGGGTTCAAAGGATTCTCCTCTCTCAGCCTCTGGAGTAGCTGGGATTACAGGTGTGCGCCACCATGCCCTGCTAATTTTGTATTTTTAGTAGAGATGTGGTTTCTCCATGTTGGTCAGGCAGGTCTCAAACTCCCGACCTCAGGTGATCCGTCCGCCTCGGCCTCCCAAAGTGCTGGGATTACAGGCTTGAGCCACCGCACCCGGTTTTGCTTGTAGATTTTTAAATTTTACTACCTGGTGTGACTGAATCAAAAATTGATGGTGGCAATTAGATTTTCAGGTGCGGACAACAATATTTTATGCCACTAAATTTCTGGGCTTACCGCTAATTTAGAGTGAAGAACACAGCTCAACTCAGGCATGTGGAGATTTTGGATTAAGATTAAACATCTTGGCTGAGCGCAGTGGCTCACGCATGTAATCCCAGCACTTTGAGAGGCTGAGGCGGGCAGATCACGAGGTCAGGAGATCGAGACCATCCTGGACAACACGGTGAAACCTCATCTCTACTAAAAATACAAAAAAAAAAAAAAATTAGCCAGGCGTGGCGGCGTACGCCAACAGTCCCAGCTACTCGGGAGGCTGAGGCAGGAGAATAGCGTGAACCCGGGAGGCGGAGGTTGCAGTGAGCTGAGATCGTGCCACTACACTCCAGCCTGGGTGACAAAGCGAGACTCTGTCTCAAAAAAAAAAAAGATTAAACATCTTGAAATTCTTTTCTAAATGAACAAATTCTAAAAATTTTCTGGAAAAAGGGCATCTGAAACTCTTTTACGCAAAAAATAAATTACTAAAAAACATTTCACAAAAAGGAGAAATAAAACCTTTAGGGTACATTATGAATTATACATTCAAGTTATCCTCACCAAGGAAGACCAGGTGTCTGTAGTTCTCTAACATCACATCCCTATATAAATTCCACTGTGCAGTGTCCAGGCAATGCCACTCCTCCAGAGAGAATTCTATGGCCACGTCTCTAAATTGCAATGGTCCCTGGAAAACACACACACACACACGTTTTTACCAAGTGGCCATGGGCGAGACTTTTAATTTGACTTAAGGTGAAATTAGAGAGTAAAGACAATTGGTTCTGGCTTATAGGACTGACTAAAATTATCCAATAAAATAATTTTCAACATAGAAATATTCTCTAATGTATTCTCTAACTCCGAGAAGAAAGAGCAGCATGAGATCCACTACATCAGTTTATTTATGATATTTTTCTAGATAATAAAGTAGAAATTTAAAGTCATGAATACGAACATGCACATTTTTGAGTGCTATATTTACAATATACAGAAGGAGTTGTGAATGCGGTGGAATAGTTAAATATTAAATTTGAACTCCGTTGAACGTGGACACAAACAATGGTCATCAAGTCCCAGAACAGGTTGTGTGAGCCCCTCGAGGCGTTCATCCAGCACTGTTTCAGAAAAATCTCTATTGCCATCTATTCTATATGTTAGTTATTGAAAAATAATAGACAATCGCAAAAACAAGTTGACCTTTTTGTGTTCCTTGAGCCCAGTCACGAAGGGCCCTCGTGACTGGGCCTCATGCCAAACAACTTGTTACAAAAAGAGCTAGGGTCCCAGACTGCACCAAAGCTTCAAGAGACCTCTGCTTGTCTGTGCATGAATGGGTGGCCAACTCTAGAGCCCAGGCTGTTGCTTCCCAGTGTGTTGGTGAATCCTCCATAGTCTGGTGAGTCTGGTGTCTGACCCTGGAGCCCAGGCTGTTGCTTCCTGATCTGGTGATGAATCCTCCATAGTCTCGTGAGTGTAAATATATATATATATACACATCTCTTTTCCCTTCTCCCCTTCCCACTGCAATTTGCTTATGATATCAATTCGCTTATTGTATCTGCATTGCCATTTACATGGGATAAAGCTTGTTTACCCTTAAAGGTACTGTGTGTGTGTCTTTTCTTCTCCCCCTGTGCATTTTCCACACAGAACACCATATTTCTCAGAGGCTTTGTTTGTTCCTTTTTATTCTTTTTTCTTTAATCTTCTCTGCAAGCCTTATTTCGGCAAGGTGGTCTTCAAACTCTGATATCCTTTCTTCTGCTTGGTCTATTCGGCTATTGATACTTTTGTATGCTTCATGAAGTTCTCATGCTGTGTTTTTCAGCTCCATCAGGTCATTTATGTTCTTCTCCAAACTGGTTATTCTAGTTAGCATTTCCTCTAACCTTTTATCAAGGTTCTTAGCTTCTTTGAATTGGGTTAGAACATGTTCTTTTAGCTCAGCAGACTTTGTTATTATCTGCCTACTTCTGTTAATTCATCCATCTCATCCTCTGTCCAGTTCTGCACGTTGCTGAAGAGACATTTTGATCATTTGGAGGAGAAAAGGCACTCTGGCCTTTCAGCATTTTTTTGTTGATTCTTTCTCATCTTCATGAGTTTGTCTAGTTTTGATCTTTGAGGCTGCTGATCCTTGGATGGTTTTTTATTTTTATTTTTATTTTATTTTTATTTTTATTTTTTAGACAGAGTCTTGCTCTATTACCCAGGCTGGAGTGCAGTGGCATGATCTCGGCTCACTGCAACCTCCACCTCCCAGGTTCAGGTGATTCTCATGTCTCAGACTCCCAAGTAGCTGGCACTACAGTCATGCACCACCACGCCTGGCTAATTTTTGCATTTTTTAGTAGAGACAGGGTTTCGCCATGTTGGCCAGGCTAGTCTTGAACTCTGGCCTCAAGCGATCTGCCCACCTCAGCCTCCCAAAGTCTTGGGGTCACAGGTGAAAGCCACCATGCCCGGCCTCGGATACGGTTTTTGTGGGTACTTTTTTGTTGTTGATGCTGTTGTTGTTGCTTTCCGTTTGCTTGTTTTTCTTTCAATGGTCAGGTCCCTCTTCTGTAGGGCTGCTGCAGTTTGCTGGGGGATCACTTCCGGCCCTATTCATCTGGTTTACTCCCGTGCCTGGAGATGTCACTCAAGGAGGTTGGAGAACAGCAAAGACAGGTGCCTACTCTTTCCTCTGGAATCTTTGACCTCAAGAGGCACCAACCTGATGCCCATAGGATCGCTCCTGTATAGGGTGTCTGACAACCCCTGTTGAAGGGTCTCACCCATTTGGGTGGCACAGGGAGCCTAACCCATTTAATGAAGCACTTTGACTATCCTTCGGTGGAGGGGTGGGGTGATTCCTGAGGGGAAGCCCACTCATCTGGGCTGCCTGAATTCCTCAGAACTAGCAGGAGGAAAGGCTAAGTCTGCTGGTCCACAGAGACTGCAGTCACCCCTCCCCCTAGGGGCTCAGGCCCAGGGAGATCAGAGTTCTGCCTCTGAGCCCCTGGCTGGAGCTGTTGGAGTTCCTGCTGGGAGGCCCTGCCCAGTGAGGAGGGATGGTCAGGGTCAGGCCTGAAGAGACACTCTGGCTGCAGTCTGCAACAGCCAGAGTGTTGGGTTGTAGGGGACATCTCTTGAGACCAAGCTGTCCAGCCTCCCTGGCTCTAGCAGGGGAAAAGTGTGGCCAGGAGCTATAGAGATGGCTGCTGCCCTTCCTGAGCCCAGGGAGCTTAGCCTGTCAGGCAGTTGTGAGTCCCATTGCTGGCTGCTGTCCCTCCCCCAAGGAGCTCAAAGGGCTTAGACAGCAGCCAGACACAGCTGTGGTACTGGTCGCCCCTCCCCTGGGAACTTGGCAGGCTTACGCAGATTCTAGCTGAGAGGCTGTTGAGGATCTGCTTAGCTCCAGGGTTGTGTCAGGCATAATAAGTTTCTCTTCAAAGGATAACTTCCTTGTTCTTTGTTCTCCAAATCAACTTCCTTGTATGTTCCTGCTCCAAGCTACCTGCTCTGTAAACAACCCTTCCCACCAGTCCCAATCTGTAACCCACATCTCTTCTTTATTTGGAAGAAGTCCTCCTCACTCCTAGTTACCTGCTCTGTAAACAACCTTCCTGCCAGTCTCGATTTAAAATAACCAATCGAGTTAGCTTATATTATGTGGTCTGACTCCAGCCAATGGGGACAGGACACAGAAGTAGGGACTATGTTAGCAATAATAACCCCTTCCCTCTCTAGTACAGTGTGCTCTCACAACAACCAGAGATGTGAGCAGCACCCTTCTGTAGAAGTAAATTTGCCTTGCTGAGAAATTCCTTGTTTGAGTGCTTGTTTTCTTTGTGACTCTGAGCTCTTGTTTCCAACAGTTGGTACCTTAGGCTCCGGTGGCGTGGGTTCACGAGTGGAATCTTCTGATCCATGGGTTGCACTGTTCCATGGAAAAAGCACAGTTTCCCAGGCTGGGTAGGATGCTCACTCACTGCCTCCCTTGGCTGGGGGGTGGGGGCTCCCCAGGCCCATGTGGGTGTCAGGTGGGCTGTTGCCCCACACTGCTCTTCCTTCTTCTCCATGGTTCATGCCAGCCACCTAGTCAGTTCTGATGACAGAACCTGGATACCTCAGGTGACGGTGCAGGTTTCACATGCTATTATGATTCTTTTCTAAGGGATGCTGCTTCTAGTCAGCCATCTTGGCCCCATCCCCATCAGTTTTTCTCTGAATGTCTGATAGAATTCAGCTGTGAATCCACCTGGTTCTGAACTTCTTTTTTGGTTGGCAATTTTTTTTAATTATTATTTCAATCTCACTGCTTGTTATTAGTCTGTTCAGAGTTGTTTTTGTTTTTTAATCTAGGAGGGTTGTACATTTCCAGGAATTTAGTCATCTTCTGTAGGTTTTCTAATTTGTGCATGTAAAGGTGTTCACAGTAGCCCTCAATGATCTTTTGTATTTCTGTGGCATCAGTTGCAATATCTTCCATTTCAGGTCTAACTGAGCTTGTTTGGATCTTCTCTCTTCTTGGTTAATGCTGTTAATGGTCTATCAATTTTGTTTATCTTTTCTAAGAGCCAGCTTTTCATTTCATTTATCTTCTGTTTTATTGTTGTTGTTGTTTCAGTTTCATTTAGTTCTGCTCTCATCTTTGTTATTTCTTTTCTTCTACTGGGTTTGGGTTTGGCTTGTTCTTGTTTCTCTAGTTCCTTGAGGTGTTATCTTACATTGTCTACTTAAGCTCTTTCAGACTTTTTGATGTAGGCATTTAATGCTATGAACATTCCTTTTAGCACCGCTTTTGCCATATACCAGATATTTTGATAGCTTGTGTCATTATTATTGTTCGGTTCAAATAATTTTTTTTTTATGATCACAAAGAGGCCACATTTTTTTTCTTTTGATAGAGTCTCACATTGTTTCCCAGGCTGGAGTGCAATGGCAAGATCTCGGCTCACTGCAACCTCCACCTCCCAGGTTCAAGCAATTCTCCTACCTCAGCCTCCCAAGTAGCTGGGATTACAGGTACCTGCTATCATGCCCAGCTAATTTTTTTTTATTTTTAGTAGACAGGGTTTCACCATGTTGGCCAGGCTGGTCTCGAACTTCTGACCTCAGGTGATCCACCCACCTCGGCCTCCCTAAGTGCTGGAATTACAGGCATGAGCCACCACACCCAGCCTGAGGCCTCATTTTTTTTTTAATTGACAACTCAATCTCTAGATACATACAGTATTGAATGAATTATAAGTGGATCAACAATTATATTATTGATACAAACTCATGAGCATTTACATAAAACTACTGCTCTAGGTTTTGGTGTGTTTTGTGCCAGCTACTTTAGGGAATGAAAGAAACATAAAGGACCTCAGCTACTTGAATTCATGAGAATCAGCTTTCAAAAAAAGCATATATGTCATTTCATAGAATACTTAACATGTCAAACCCGGGAAAATCAGTAACTACGTGACAAAAGGAACACTTTTAAAGAAAGGTTGATGATAAAAATATTAGGCTAAAATATTAAAAACTTTAGCAACTGGACCGAGGAATCAGAAAGTGTATGCACACAGAATTTTAAGAAAAGATCCCCATGTTCTCCTGCACAATGAGGACCACATTCCAAAAGCATAATTCTGGGTTGCTACAATGTCTTCTCTGCTACAAACCATTGTTTCAAAGGTGAAAGAAACAAGATGGTAATTCACATAAAATGGTTTTAAAATTCTTCCCACTCAAAATAAAATACTATGATCTCCATCAAATTATAAAGAAATTCTATCAAAATGTCAACCAAATAAAGAAATCAGACCATTTGCCTTCACTGATTGCCTCAGAGGGCAGAGCATGTGTCACCTACAAGGAAGGGGAGATGGGGGTAGAGTCCCCATTCTCCCTTGGCCTGTGGAGTGGGGGTGGACAGGAGCACTTTGGCTTCCCTGGGGATTTGCTTCCTCACATAGGGAATTGAGGGAGGTGGGCTAGATGGCTTTAAGAGACCCCACAACTAAAAGAATCAAAGTCACCTTGAGATCCCATCTCTGAGCAGACATATAGGGTGGCAAAAGAAATGGATTAAAAAACAGGTGGATGACATCTTTCTCACCTTTTGATACCATCACTCAGAACTAATCTGTACTATAGTTGAAGAAAATCTTTGCCCGGTACTATTAAAGGGTACGCAATGAGGCATCTGAAAATAAAAATTTTCATACAAATGTACTAAAAGGCTATGTTAAGTTTGGTTGGAAAAAACAATGCACCACCATGTTACTACCAGCAGTCAGGACGTCCTATCTCAGATTTTAGGAGTTGCCGATCTGGTTGGGAGAAATGCTGAGGGGGATGCATGTTCAAGCCATTCAGTAGAGAGCTAAGGAGTGCACACGGTCCAGGAAATGGATAAACAGGTGCCCAGGAAGGCAACTTTAATGAAACTGTTTCTAAAACAAAGGATGTAAGAGACCTAAATGATCCAAAGAGAGTGATGGCTTCTCATTTTCTGTCCCCTACAGGGAATACAAATATCATTTCTTCTGGAATCTAACACACTGGCTTCATTTTCAAAATGCATCACTTTATTTTCCTTACAAGGCAGCAGCATATTAAACACGTGACAGTCACATGATTTCTGCAGTGAGCCCCAAGGCTTCCACCAGCTTTCCTGGAACCTACGGCCAGAAGAGTCCTGAGATTTCAAATATTAAAGCTTTCTCCACAGCCACAAGTTCCTTTGATGTTTGGGTTATTGAACACAAACTCACTGGATAATTTTTCTTCAACATAGTCCATCTCTGTTCCTAAAAGTGTTAGCTTTGCTTTCTTTTCAATGAATACTCTGACTCCATCTTGAATAACTTCACCAGAATCTCCTTTTGTCTTTGTATATTCTAGAATATAAGAAAGGCCATTACAGCCTCCTGGCTCGCACACCAACTTTTACACCTACATGCTCAGGCTTATCTTTAAGAAGTTGTTTTATCTTGTTTACTGCTGAAGGTGTCAGGGTGAGGGCGGCCCAGGTGGGCTGAAGTTTCCTCTTGCTCACAGCCCAGACATTTGCCCGGACTAAGGCAGCCGACATCTTTGCTGTCCTGGCGCTCCGGTACCTCCAGCCGGAGCTCGGCCGCCTCAGCCTCTCTCCATGGACATGGCGAGTGCATTCAGTTCAAAGAATTTTTAAATTTCCATCTTGATTTCATCCAACACTCATTCAGAAACAGGTTGATCTTTAATTTTTAAATTTAATTTCCGTGTATTTGCATGGTTTTGATGGTTCATTTGGAGTTGATTTTCACTTTTATTCCACTGCAGTCTGAGAGAGTAGTTGATATAATTTTGATTGTCTTAAATTTATTGAGACTTGTGGCCTATCATATGTCTATCTTGGAAAATGTTTCAAGTGCTGATGAATAAAATGTATATTCTGCAGTTCTTGGATAGAATGTTTGTAAATATATTTTAAGTCCATTTGTTCTAGGATATAGTTTAAGTCCATTGTTTGTTGTTGTTGTTGACTTTCCGTCTTGATGACTTGTCTACTGCTGTCAGTAGAGTATTGAAGTCCCTCATTATTATTGTGTTGTCATCTATTTCATTTCTTAGGTCTAGTAGTAATTGTTTTATAAATTTGGGAGCTCCAGTGTAAGGTGCATATATATTTAGAGGTGTGATGTTTTCCTGTTGGACTAGTCCTTTTATCATTATATAATGTCCCTCTTTGTCTTTTCTTTTTTTTTTTTAACTGTTTTTGCTTTAATATCTGTTTTGTCTGATGTAAGAATGGCTACTACTGCTAGCTTTTGGGGTACATTTGCATGGAATATCTTTTTCCAACCCTTTCCCTTAAGTTTAAGTGAGTCCTTATGTGTTGGGTGAGTCTCTTGAAGATAGCAGATATTTGGCCTGTAAAATCTTTTTTTTTTTTCTTTTTTGAGTTGGAGTTTAATTCTCATTGTCCAGGCTGGAGTTCAATGGCATGATCTCGGCTCACCGCAACCTCTGCCTCCTGGGTTCAAGCTATTCTGCTACCTCAGCCTCCTGAGTAGCTGGGATTACAGGCATGCACGACCACGTCTGGCTAAATTTTGTATTTTTAGTAGAGACAGGGTTTCTCCATGTTGGTCAGGCTGGTCTCAAACTCCCGACCTCAGGTGATTCACCCACCTCAGCCTCCCAAACTGCTGGGATTACAGGCAGGAGCCACTGCACCCAGCCTGGTAAACTCTTATCCATTCTGCCATTTTGTGTCTTTTAAGTGGAGCATTTAGGCCACTAAATTAGTAGCATTTAGGCCAATAATCACTATCAATTATACCACCATACATTACAATGCCTGTCATTGAAAGGCTTGGACACGTAATCCATTCAAGTTTGCAGTTATGGTGGAAATTTTGGCGTTATTGATAACTTGCTGATTAAATAGTCTGTCAAGAGAAAGCAGAGATGCACGGGCATCAACGTGGAAAACGGTGATAATGGTAGTGTGCGAAAGGATTCAGATATCTCCCCAGTATTGTTTTCCCCAAACCTCTTTATTCCCAATTAACCATTTGTTTTGTTACCATTGGGGTATCCAGGTAGTAAGATCATTTGCTACAGACCAAGAGTTGGTATACAAGTGACAAATCCCTCTGGCCTCCTCTTGAATAGCTCAGAGGATGGCTACTAGTTCAGCTAACTGGCTGCTCCCACCCCTTCCTTCATCATAAATACTTATGTTTTTAACAGGATTATAAGCCACGGCCTTCAAGCATCGGGTCCCACCAATGTATTTGGTGGATCCATCAGTAAACCAAGCATATTTCTGATCCTCTGGGCTTAGTTCTTTAAAGGATTTGCCCCATTGGGCAGGGGAGGTTTCCTTCCCTAACAGCAAGGCTTGCTTGGTGATTTCCTGAGCTGGGAAGTTTTGTACGTCCTCATGTAAAAGTGATACCCCGTTTGGTTTTGGCTTAAATGGACTTGTATGTACTATTTCCATTTTATGATGCTACTTTCTTGAGAGTGCTCTATCTGGTGAGCTTTGAGGGAACTCATGACCCAAGTCATAATAGAAATTTCAGGCCTCATAAAGACCTCATGGTTGAAACAGAGGTGTTCCGTTTCCAGCAAAGCCCAATAGCAAGCTAACAATTGCTTCTTGAAAGGGGTATAAGCTTTTCTGGCCTCTGGCAGTTTCTGGGTCCAAAACCTGAAAGGTACCCTCTTCCCATCTTGTTTCTGCCTACCGCTTCAATTAGCATGTTGATCTAGGACAGTCACTTGGAGTTCTGCTGGCCCATCCCGTATGGGCCATAGATCCAGGGCCAGTTGCACTGCTTGTTTAGCTTGTTAAGAAGCCATGCTCTCTGTCTCTCCCCAGTGAAAGTCTGCATGCAGAGGTTGTAAAATGTTACCCAAGTGGGGAATATGATGTCTCCAGAATCCAAACAAAGCCAATAAATTTCTGGGCCTCCTTTTTAGTGGTAGGGGTTGTAAATTCTAGTATTTTAGCCTTAGTCTTTGGTAAGATGGACTACATCTCTGCATTCCATAGAACGCCATGGAATTTTACAGTTTGTGCGGGTCCTTGAATTTTACTAGGTTAATTTCCCATTTCTGAGATAGGAGCTGGGTTTTTACCTGTTCCAAGCCCCAACTGACTAGTTCTTCAGTTTCACCCTGACCGGGCCACTTGGACAGCTGCTTTTTTCAGCAATAGGCTGATAGCTTTGAGCCTGATCAATCAAGACATAGGCCTGGCATTGGGCCAGGGCCAGTCTGGAAGTCAGATTAGCATATTCGTTTTCCAACTTACATTTCTCTTCTTGCAACCAGCCCGTATCTTGACACATAAACTTATAAGCAGTAAGGAAACACCATCCACTCTGGGAGATCCCTCAGCATCTTTTTTGCTGACTGGAATCTCCTGCAGCACTTCATGCACAAAGGTTTAAATTGCACTAATTTAGATTCTCAATTCTCACAAAGTCCAGTTCCCCTGGACCATTCAATCACCAAGGGGGAGAACTGGGGGAGTTCCCATCCCAGGGTATGGGAAGTCCCCGAGCCTCCAGCCCTGTCCTTGTGGCCAAAAAGAGGCACACTTTTGGTTTCAAATCCTGTTTGTAATGCCAAAAATGTTCTGTGAGGGAAAGGCTCAAGGTGAGAAGAAAAGACACACACACAATACCTTTAAGGGTAAACAAGCTTTATCCCACGTAAATGGCAATGCAGATATAATAAGCAAATGATATAATAAGCAAATAAATACAATAAGCAGATTGATATAAGAAGAAGATTCATATAATAAGCAAATTGCAATAGGAAAA
Organism: Homo sapiens; assembly: GCF_000001405.40. Classification (NCBI taxonomy): domain Eukaryota; kingdom Metazoa; phylum Chordata; class Mammalia; order Primates; family Hominidae; genus Homo; species Homo sapiens. The sequence goes on along the minus strand of NC_000019.10, from coordinate 19,823,859 downwards.
GGAGAGGAGAAAAGAGACATATATATATTTACACTCACCAGACTATGGAGGATTTACCACCAGAGTGGGAAGCAACAGCCTGGGCTCCAGAGTTGGACACTCGCCCATGCACAGAGGAGGAGAGGTCTCTCATGGAGCTTTGGCACGGTCTGGGACCCTAGCTCTTTTGTAACGAATTATTTGGCATAAGGCCCATTCATGAGGGCCATTCGTGACTGGACCCAAGGAACACAAAAGTCAACTGGCTTTTGCGATTGTCTATTGTTTTTCAACAACTAATGTATAGGAATAGATTGAAATAGAGATTTCTCCAATACAGCGCTGGATGAATGCCTCAAGCAGCTCACACAACTTGTTCCAGGACTTGGTGACCATTGTTTGTAGCCATGTTCAATTGAGTTCAAATTTAATATTTAACTTTTCCTCCACACCAGACTATGGAGGATTCACCACCAGACCAGGAAGCAACAGGCTGGGCTCCAGAGTCGGATACCGCACTCATCAGACTAGGAGGATTCACCACCAGACTGGAAAGCAACAGCCTGGGCTCCAGAGTCAGCCACCCATCTCTGCACAGACAAGGAGAGGTCTCATGAAGGTTCCGCGTGATCTGGGACCCTAGCTCTTTTTGTAATGAGTTCTTTGGCATGAGGCCCAGTCATGAGGGCCCTTCGCGATTGGGCTCAAAGAACACAAAAAGGTCAACTTTTTTTGTGTGTGTGTGATTGTCTATTGTTTTTCAATAACCAATGTATTGGAATAGATTGAAATAGAGATTTCTCCAAAACAGCGCAGGATGAACACCTCAAGGGGTTCACATAACCTGTTCCAAGACTTGGTGACCATTGTTTGTGTCCACGTTCAATAAGTTCAAATTTAATATTTAAGTTTTCCTCCACAAATTCCCCTGTCTTGATGAATTGGCTCTGTCTAGGCAAAGGGCAAGGTGAACCCCTTGGGCCGTTACACAACCTCCACTTCCTGGGTTCAAGTGATTCTCCTGCCTCAGCCTCCAGAGTAGCGGGGACTATATGTGTGCACCAGCACACCCTGCTAATTTTTTGTATTTTTAGTAGAGATGGGGTTTCACCATGTTGGCCAGGCTAGTCTTGAACTCCTGACCTCAAGTGATCTGCCCACCTTGGCCTCCCAAAGTGCTGGGATTACAGGCTTGACCCACCGCGCCTGGCCCTAAATGATTTCTTTCTACCCCCTATAGCAGTTTGAAATTACTTAAAGGTTGTTTCAAATGGAAAAATAAAAAGAATGTGGATAAAAATAAAATATAAAAAGTTAAAAAACTTACAAGAGATTACAAAATATATATGTAAATCTGGAGTGTTCAAAATGACAAATTTATTTCTAAGGTTTTATTAAAATTAGCTTTAATTGATAATACACTATTACCAAAGTAAAAGTTGATTTTCTCTTGAACAAAAATTTTACGTATTATTAATATGACAGCAGAATACTTCCGTTCACCTTTTGAATATATTCAAAAAGAGAGAGAGTCAAAAAGAGAGAGAATTTTCCCATGCTCTGGGGTGGGCCTGGCTCAGCTCAGGGAGGAAGTCCTGTTTGAAAAGGCTGCAGCTGGCCAGGCTTGGTGGCTCAAGCTTGTAATCCCAGCACTTCGGGAGGCCGAGGCAGGCGGATAACTTGAGGACAGGAGTTTGAGACCAGGCTGGCCAATATGGTGAAACCCCGTCTCTATTAAAACTACAAAAAAAAATTAGCCGGGCATGGTAGCAGGCGCCTGTAATCTCAGATACCCGGGAGGCTGAGGCAGGAGAATCGCTCGAACCCAGGAGGCAGAGGTTGCACTGAGTCAAGATGACGCCATTGCAATCCAGCCTGGGCAACAAGAGTGAAACTCCGTCTCAAAAAAATAAATAAATAAAATTTTTTTAAAAAAAGAAAAGGCTGCAGCTTAGACTGTCTCTCTTTCTTCACTCAGTCCAGCATCGGATCACGTCTTCTGTAACTCAGGACCTGAGGGGGCGGGGCCTCAAGCATTATCCAATCAGGGACGCTGGGCTGGAAACCGTCCAATCAGCCACGCAGCTGTAGCGAACAGGACGGTTTCCGGCTTCCGGCTTTGGCGGGCCCATTGTCTCTCGCTGACGCCAGAGATCCAGCTATCGTCTTCACTGCTCTGTGCCGTCAGCTCCTAGAGGCCCAGCCTCTGTGGCCCTGTGACCTGCAGGTATTAGGAGGGTCACAGCTAGGACGCCGGGACCCCCTGGAAGCCTAGAAATGGTGAGAGTGCCAGTTCGACATCCCGAGAGAGGGAGAGGGGCTGGTTGGAACTGGGGAGGAAGTGGCTGTGGCTGTGGCAGTGGCAGAACTCAGGCCTCCCGGCAGTCAGCTCCACAATCTGCGCTCCAAGTTCTCATTGCCCAGCTCCGCCCCAGCCATAACATGGCGGCTGCGTTGACAGCGGGTCCCCGGGGTGTCCTGTCTTTTCCCTGCGCAGTGACTGTGCCCTGGCGTGGAACCCTCTCCGGGCAGCTCTGCACCCACAGGTCTTTCCCAGATTGTTCAGGGGCCACGGGAAGGTCGTCAGGGGAGAATCCTGACTCGGGGTGCGGGTTCATGAATGGGAAGAGCTTTGGTTCGTGGGGTTCACAGTTTCTCTTTTCTCCTATTAAAAATTTATTGGGCCGGGCGTGGTGGGTCACCCCTGTAATCCCAGCACGTTGGGAGGCGAGGCGGGCTGATCAGTTGAGGTCAGGAGTTCAAGACAAGCCTGGCCAAAATGGGGAAACCCCATGTCTACTAAAAATACAAAAGTTAGCTGTGTGTGATGGCAAATGTCTGTAGTCCCAGCTACTGGGGAGGCAGAGGTGGGAGAATCTGTTGAACCCAGTAGGCGGAGGTTGCCGTGAGCTGAGATCGCGCCACTGAACTCCAGCCTGGGCGACAGAGCAAGACTCTGCCTTAAAAAAACACAAACGGGGAGGGGGGAGTCACCGCAAAAATATCAAATAATTTAATGAAAGTGTGATTCAAGAATTGTAGAGCACCCAGCTACAGTTTGTTGTTTGTAGTCCATGGGAGGGGCTTGAAGAAAAGACATTTATGAAATGCATGATGAAGAAAACCAAATTCAATAATTGATTAGGTATAGTTACGTAGTTGTTATTTTATTTTATTTATTTATTTATTTATTTGAGTCTCGCTCTGTCGCCAGGTTGGCGTGCAGTCTCGCGATCTCCGCTCACCGCAAGCTCCGCCTCCTGGGTTCACGCCATTCTCCTGCCTCAGCCTCCCCAGTAGCTGGGACTACAGGCGCCCGCCACTACGCCCGCCTAATTTTTTGTATTTTTAGTAGAGATGGGTTTCACCGTGTTAGCCAGGATGGTCTCGATCTCCTGACCTTGTGATCCACCCGCCTCAGCCTCCCAAATTGCTGGGATTACAGGCGTGAGCCACCGCGCCCAGCCTAGTTAGGTAGTTTTTAAATTTGTACAATCGAGATGGAAATTTCCTGGTTATGTAATCAGAGTTTAATTGGCAGTTTATAGTTGCTTAAGCCTGAATTTTGTTTCCCCTAATGTAGTAATTTACCAAAGAATACACTTGAGTTTTGTTTTTTTTCCTTAGAAGTGGGAATCTGGGGACTAGAGCTTCCTCATTCTAATTGCCTGCCACTTAATTATTTTCACATCCCACAGGGGACTGATTTTCCCTGGCGTTTTTCACATGTGTCCCAAGCAGGGCCTCAGGTGTACCCCATGTTCCTCAATCTTTTTTTTTTTTTTGAGATGGAGTCTCACTCTGTCGCCATGCTGGAGTGCAGTGGGGCGATCTCACCTCACTGCAACGTCCGCCTCTTGGATTCAAGCGATTCTCCTGCCTCAGCCTCCTGAGTAGCTGGGAGTACAGGCGCGTGCCACCACGCCCAGCTAATTTTTGTATTTTTAGTAGAGACAGGGTTTCACCTTGTTTGCCAGGGTGGTCTCTATCTCTTGACCTCGTGATCCGCCCGTCTCAGCCTTCCAAAGTGCTGGGATTACAGGCGTGAGCCACTGCGCCTGACCAATAGTCATTTTTTAAAAAGTATTGCATAACACTATTGAAAAGATTTGTTTTCTGTTTGTAAATATTTCCCATGAGAAGAAAGCAAAGAATAATCCCCTGACACTGTATTGTAAAAAATATCTGTGCCTCTTTGTCTTTTATTTTTCCAGAGAACTTACCGAATGTTTTTGGGTCAAGATTACCCTCTGGAAACTTAATAGGGTGATGTGTCCTCAGCCAACCTTCAGTTTTTTTCTGGTCCTGGGTTTTAGTACTTTCTGGGGATAAACCAAGATACCCACCATGGCTATGTCTGCTAGAGTGTCTAGTGACTGTTAGCTCTTGGGTCATTTTCTCCCATAGGACTACCTGAAGTATGGAGTGTAGCCTCTTAAGGGAGCAGGTGGCAGCCTTGGGGTTGAAAGGCAGATCCTGGTGCACTTTTTTCTTTTTTTTTTTTGAAAAGCTAACCCCTTGAGACATGAAGATTTTCTTCACCCAACCTAGCTTCCATTTCTTGGAGACACATTGCTGGTCAGACAATCAGATGCTGGTATTGAGGGGAAAACAAATAATTTCTGACCCCTGGATTCTCTTGGGTGGGGAGCAGAAAAGTAGTGAAAAAACACTTCAAAAGACAAAAAAAACTGACCCCAGTGAGAGGGCGTAAAAACTTAACAAAGTAAAATGCACGTGGGGCACTCACTGGGGCATGGCGCGGTGTCTCCTGGGAGGGTAGTTATTGAGCATGTACCTGAACAGGATGGGGTGGGTGATAGGATCTGTACCTTGAAAAGATTTGTTCACTTATTTTAACCTCAGGTGTTTGTGCTGTTGTTGTTTTTGTTTTGTTTTGAAACAGTCTCTGTTGCACAGGCTGGAATGCAGTGGCTCGATCTCAGCTCACTGCAACCCCTGGCTCCTGGGTTCAAGTGATTCTCATGCCTCGGCCTCCCCAATAGCTAGGACTATAGGTGCCCGCCACTGCGCCCGGCTAGTTTTTGTGTTTTTAGTAGAGATGGACCAGGCTGGCTTCAAACTTCTGTTCTTAAGCGATCCACCTGCTTTGGCCTCCCGAAGTGCTGGGATTACAGACATGAGCCACTGCACTCAGCTGCATCAGTGTTTTAACTGTAATTTGCATTTTATTAGTAGGGCTTGAAAGGTAAAAAAATATTTACAAAGCACATAAAAGAGATGAGTTTTAAAAAATTAGTTTCTAATCATTCTATTTGTTAATAATTCTCATTTACCTTTTTCTTTCCCAGAGTGAGTTCAGGAATTTTCTCAGATGTGTTTTTTATGGCTGAGTGATTTCAAACAGAATTCTAAGCCTTAGCTTTAAGAATGCTAGCTACCAAGGAAAAAAGTAGAGAAAATCTCTCTTCCATTTTGTCTGTAGACAATGAAAATGTTTCCACAGGAAAATCTGGTAGATAATTGATGAGTTATATAGATCGTCAAAACATCAGTTCCTCTTTTTGCAGGGTAAATTTGTGACAGTGAATATCTTGGTTCTATTTCCTGTTGTCTTGATTTCTGAGTTTAATGCTAAATTATATGTGATGAAATGTGGTACCTTCTAGAAGTGTTCCCATATGACTAATTTTTTACTACATTGTTTTTAATATAAATAATAAAATAATACGTTGTCTGAAAGAAGTAGATATATTTGCTTTTCTTATGAAGGTATAAAATGCAAGCACCTTAGCCAGGTGTGGTGGCTCATGCCTGTAATCCCAGCACTTTGGGAGGCCGAGGGGGGTTGATCACTTGAGGTCAGGAGTTCAAGACCAGCCTGCTCAACATGGTGAAACCCTGTCTCTGCTAAAAATACAAAAATTAGCCAGGTGTGGTGGCACATGCCTGTAGTCCCAGCTACTTGGGAGGCTGAGGCAGGAGAGTGGCTTGAACCCGGGAGGCAGAGGTTGCAGTGACCTGAGATCGGGCCATTGCATTGCAGCCTGGTGACAGAGCAAGACCGTCTCAAAAAAAAAAAAAAAAAGCACCTTAAAATTTCCTTCCCTTACGTAAACACTGTGTTTGAGTAATTTCACAGGACTATTGAAACAGTTTCAAAAACCAAGTGAATAACTCTGACATGGAAATTAAAGCTTGAACCTAGTGACTCCAAGCTAAGGCTAATGTTAAGCATGCGAGAGGAAGTTATTAAAGGCCCAGTTAGTTCTTTCTGAGGAGCCACCCCTGCAGCTGTCTCAGCCTGCTCACCCCAGCCATAGAAGAAGCCTTTATTCTGAGAGAAGCCACAGAGCCCTGGAAAGCTGGGGATCCACAGGCAGATGCAGTTGAGGTTAAGATGAAAGGAAACTGAGAGAGTCTTACTGATGATGAAGTTGTTATTGTTTTGAGGTACTTTCTAGACTTTGTAAAAAAAAAAAAAATCAGATTTACGTAAAAAAAATTCTAAAAAAGTATTGCAACGAGAGGAAATACCAACTAACTATAAGATCTTTATGGCTTGCAAAGGTGTAGGCAGAAAAACACTTTCTTTCCTAGGGAGGTGCAAACAAGATTAGAAAGGAGGTGGGAGGGGAATGGCAAATGGAGGGTGAAAAAGTCAGATCTTAGATCAGAGAATGTTTTACACTGAAATCAGCATGTTCTTAGGAGGGACATAAAATGGGGTTGTATGTTGACTCAGACTGAGGGTAGCTCAAAGTTCAGGAGCCCAAGGGAGGGAGATAAACTTAAGTTTGATTAAGAAATATTTTATTTGGCTGGGCGTGGTGGCTCACACATGTAATCCCAGCAAGTTGGGAAGCCGAGGCAGGTGGATCACCTGAGGTCAGGGGTTTCAGACCAGCCTGACCAATATGAAGAAACCCTGTCTCTACTAAAAATACAAAAAAAATTAGGCAGGCGTGGTGCTGCCTGTTGCAGGCTTACATGCCTGTAATCCCACTGGGAGGTGGAGGTTGCAGTGAGCCAAGACGGCGCCGTTGCACTCCAGCCTGGGCAACAAGAGCAAAACTCCCCTCAAAAAAAAAAAAAAAAAAAAAAAAAAAGGAAATATTTTATTTTAGGCCAGGCTGGTGGCTCACGCCTGTAATCCCAGCACTCAGCCTGTGGAGGCCGAGTTGAGCAGATCACCTGAGGTTGGGAGTACGCGACCAGCCTGAGCAACATGGAGAAACCCTGTCTCTATTTTAAAAAACACAAGTCAGGCGCAGTGGCTCAAGCCTGTAATCCCAGCACTTTGGGAGGCCAAGGCGGGTGAATCACGAGGTCAGGAGATCGAGACCATCCTGGCTAACAGGGTGAAACCCTGTCTCTACTACAAATACAAAAAAATTAGCCAGGCGTGGTGGCAGGTGCCTGTAGTCCCAGCTACTGGGGAGGCTGAGGCAGGAGAATGGTGTGAACCCGGGAGATGGAGCTTGCAGTGAGCTGAGATCGCACCACTGCACTTCAGCCTGGGCAGCAGAGCAAGACTCCATCTCAAAAACACCACCGAAAAAACAAAAATTAGCTGGGTGTGGTGGTGGGCACCTGTAATCCCAGCGACTCGGGAAGCTGAGGGAGGAGAATGGCTTGAACCTGGGAGGCAGCGGTTGCAGTGAGCCAGGATAGTGCCACTGCACTCCAGCCTGGGCGACAGAGTGAGACTCTGGCTCAAAAAAAAAAAGAAAAGAAAAGAAAAGAAATATTTCATTATGACCACTGAAAACAAATTCAGCTGATTTTTTTTTAATGAGAAAGAGAAAATGTGCAGAGTGTGTGTCTGGCTGTGTGATAGGTAAGAAAAGAGAGCACCATCTAACTCATAATGGGAAGGGTGTTTCTTTCCATAAACTGTTCCTGGAGCACACAAAGGATGGAGAATTTTATTAATCAGAAAAATTTTCCAGGATTATCTATGTGTTTCATCTTTCCCCATCTCTTTTCTTTGTTCTGTGCATTTCTTCCATTTGGCTTTTCCAGGGCTGCATCTTATATATTAAACCAGTAAAGATAACTACAGTATTTTGATGATTCTGTGAGTAGCTCTACCAAATTATTGAACTTCAGAGAGGTTATGGGACTCCCCAGGTTTTAAACAGTAGCTCAGAAGCATAGATGGGCCCTTGGGGTTTGTGACTGGCATCTGCCATGAGGACAATGTTGCGGGACTGAGCCCTGAATCAGGGTCTACGATGACTCTGGGTGCTGTCAGAATTCAAATGTGAGACAATAAGTTAGTGTTGGAGAATTGTTTGATGTTCAGCAGACTCTACAGATATGGTGCCAGAAAAAAGATACCACGGAGGCCTGGCCTGGAATAAAACTTTGGGTGATTGGGAATGGGAGGCTCTGCTCTGTCGTACACAGGCTGTCACACTGCCCGTTGTCCTGTGATCCCAGGTCTTCTCTCAGGGTGACAGAGGACTGAAAATGTAGAGGAAAGAAGCTCTGATGACAGACCCCCTTTTCCCACAGCTGCCACCACAGGATTCCCACCCACTCACGAACACACACACTAGACATTGACATGTCCACACTCCTCCCGGGACTCGGCACCACCCTCAGGAACCTCACAATGGTATTTTTTGTTTTTGTTTTTGTTTTGTTTTGTTTTTGAGATGGAGTCTCGCTGTGTTGCCCAGGCTGGAGTGCAGTGGCGCGATCTCGGCTCACTGCAGGCTCCGCCTCCCGGGTTCACGCCATTCTCCTGTCTCAGCCTCCTGAGTAGCTGGGACTACAGGTGCCCGCCACCACGCCTGGCTAATTTTTTTTTGTATTTTTAGTAGAGATGGGGTTTCACCATGTTAGCCAGGATGGTCTCGATCTCCTGACCTCGTGATCCTCCTGCCTCAGCCTTCCAAAGTGCTGGGATTACAGGCATGAGCCACAGCGCCCGGCCCACAATGGCATTTTTGATCCTAGTGTTTCTTGCCAAGAATCCACAAGTCTCTACAAGTCTCCTAGCATATTCCCACTCACAGACACTGAATCTGCAGCAGCAACCTGTTTTCTCCACCATCCTAGCATTTTGGACCAGCTGTTCATAATCTCACCTGCCTGCATGCACACGGAAATAAATAGAGTACAGCCCCACTGGGACCACTATCTGTACCAAAAATCAGTCCTCTCACCTACATTGCACTCTCTCCCACCCAGGGATTTTTTTTTTTCTTTTACCTTTATTTTTGGTTCAGGGTACACATGTAGGTTTGTTACACAGCTAAAATTATGTCATGGAGGTTTGGTGTGCAGATTACTTTGTCACTGAGATACTACCCATAGCACCAAACAGGTATGTTTTCTGAACCTCTTAGTCCTTCCATCCTCCACCCTCAACTAGGCCTCAGTGTCTTTTGTTCTCCTCTTTGTGTTCATGTGTTGTTATTATTTAGCTCTTACTTATAAATAATAACATGCATTTGGTTTTCTGTTTCTGCATTATTATTATTATTATTATTATTATTTTGAGATGGAGTTTTGCACTTGCTGCCCAGGGTGGTGTGCAATGGTGTGATCTCGGCTCACTGCAACCTCCACCTCCTGGGTTCAAGCAATTCTCCTGCCTCAGTCTCCCGAGTAGCTGGAATTACAGGCACGTGCCACCAACCCCGGATAATTTTGTATCTTTAGTAGATACGGGGTTTCTCCATGTTGGTCAGGCTGGTCTCAAACTCCGCACCTCATGTGATCCACCCCCCTTGGCCTCCCACAGTGCTGGGATTACAGGTATAAGCAATCACACGCAGCCTCTGCATTTGTTTTCTAAGAATAATGGTCTCCAGCTTCATCAGTGTTATTGCAAAGGACATGATCTTTTTTTTTAGTGGCCACAGAGTACTCCATGATGTACCATATTTTGTTTTTACTAAATCTTTTATTTTATTTTATTTTATTTTTGGAGACAGGGTCTCACTTATTGCCCAGACTAAAGTGCCATGGCATGATATTGGATTACTTTAGCCTCAACTTCCCAGGCTCAAGCAAATCTCTCCTATCTCATCCTCCCAAGTAGCTGGGACTACATGCGGGCGTTACCACACCTGGCCAGTTTTTCTCTTTGTATTTTCTGTGGAGACAAGATTTTGCCATGTTGCCAGGCTGGTCTCAAACTTCTAAGCTCAGGCAGTCTACATGCCTTGTCCTCCCAAAGTGCTGGGATTACAGGCATGAGCCACTGCATCTGACCATACCATATTTTCTTTATCCAGTCTACCATTGATAGGCATTTACAGCCTGTGCGTGTCTTTGCTATTGTGAATAGTGCTGCAATGAACATGCATGTGGATGTGTCTTTATAATATAATTTATATTTCTTTGGGTATATACCCAATTATGAGGTTCCTGGGTCAAATGATAATTGTTTTTAGTTCTCTGAGGAATCACCACACTGCTTTTTATAGTTGTTGAACTAATTTACACTCCTACCAGCAGAGTATAAGCATTCCTTTTCACTTAAATGGTTATTTTAATATTATTTACACTTTTGAAAGTGTAAAAGTTTTAATTGAAATATAGTTGCAATTTTTAAAAATGCTACATACATTATGACTAGTTCATTAAAATTATTAATGCTTAGATATTTATATCTAATATCCAAAGAAAATTTACTACCAAATTGTTATAGTAGATATTAGTCTGACATGTTTATTACTTTATTCAATAGGGATAATTATGAGTAAACACAATTTTAGTATCTTTTATTTCACTAAATTGGAATGCTGCTATTACAGGACAAATAAAGACAGGTGATGTGGCCACCCAAACACCACCAACATAGCTCTTTAGTTAGTTATATTGCAAGCTCTAATGTATTCCACTATATGAACACAGTCAGATTCTATTTCTTCATCAAAAAGTGTTGTTGGAAGTTGTCAGATGTATTTAAATATAGAACCCCTATTCAATGGCTAGGAGATGAGAGAGCAGCAGAGATGGAAAAGAAACTTTATAAAAGTATTCTGAAAATCTGCCCCCTTTCTCCATAATGTTCATGTTTCTCATGCTGAGAGTAGCTGTGTACTTTGGGTGTTGAGAGAGAAATTGCTTTTAGGGGAATATTTTCTGGCTGACTTGATCAATCTCATATCTAATCTGAGCTTTTTCTTAAGATTTCTCCTTTAATTGTACTCCACTTACTGTAACACCAAAGGATACAGAGCCAAGTTGATCCTACCTAGAATCTGCAGATAAAAAAGGGCCAGACTTTGGATAGAGAATGTACAGAAAACTAACAAAAGGCATTTTCTGCATTGGGAGTGTGGCTCTTTGAGATGTTTCACATCTTGTTCATTGACCTGCTACAGTGAGGTCAGAGGCTCCAGGAGGAAATAGAATGTGATGGCATAATCTGTAGTGAGAGATCAAGGCTGCAAAGTATCCAGAGCCATGATCACAACCACAACTATATTCACCTGTAAAATGTGATACTGGAGTAGAGTATTTTTGTTCTTTCTCTTACCCAAGAGCTAGTAAATCAGAATGGGTGATCCAGGTTGTGGAGTTCCACCAGGGAAGTTCCATTTTCTATTTAGAATCAGCCTGAGTCTCTCCAGCCTGGCTTATCATTGGGCCAGCGGCCCAGGGTGACTGGGAATTCCTTCAAAATCACCTAGGTGTCTTTGAGGCATTTGAGATGTCCCATGCAGAATTGTGTCAGGCTGACAGGAGTTAATTCTGCTTCTGTCTCAGTGTAAGAGAAATGAGTCATCTGTGTTTGTTCATCCCCTCATACAAGAGATGTCTTTGGTTGGTACCCAGATGAGAGTTTCTCCAGTTTCCTGGTACTTGGATGATAAACAAGGAGGAGATCTGGAGACCCAAATAGATAAACTAGTAGCTTCCATTTCATATAGCCATTTAAAAAAAAAAAAACATGAAGCAGTCATGGTTCCTACAATCCAGAAACTTTTAGTCTAGACTAGCAGCTGGATAAATAATTGAATTGTGCATCATATGGTTGGTACAACAAATACAATGTGTCTAAAATCTTGGGCTTTATTTAGGCCACTTTATATTGTTGTGGCTTCTGATGTCTACATCTGAAGGCATATTTATGAAGAGAAGAACCGTTATTATAATTTCCTTTTTTTTATATTTTTGAGAGGGAGTGCAATGGTGTAATCTCAGCTCACTGCAACCTCTGCCACCCTGATTCAAGTGAGCCTACTGCCTCAGCCTCCTGAGTAGCTGGGATTACATGTGCCTGCCATCGCATCCGGCTAATTTTTGTATTTTTAGCAGAGATGGGGTTTCACCATCTTGGTCAGGCTGGTCTTGAACTCCTGACCTCGCGATCCACCCACCTCGGCCTACCAAAGTGCTGGGATTACATGCGTGAGACACTACACCCAGCAGTATAATTTCTATTTCTTTTTCTTTAAGTGTACGTATTTATTTTCTAATAAAATTACCCTAGAAAGGCCAGGCACAGTGGCTCATGCCTGTATTCCCAGCACTTGAGAGGTCAAGGCAGGCGAATCATGAGGTCAGGAGTTTGAGACTAGCCTGGCCAATATGGTGAAATGCCATCTCTACTAATAATACCAAAATTAGCCAGGCATGGTGATGCACACCTGTAGTTCTAGCTACTTGGGAGGCTGAGGCAGAAGATTCACTTGAATCTGGGAGGCAGAGGTTGCAGTGAGCCGAGATCGCACCAGTGCACTCCAGCCTAGGTGACAGAGTGAGACTGCATCTCAAAACAAAAAAAGTTACTCTAGAAGACCTTAAGGGATTTGTTTAAATTGCATATTAGTATATAGTATAAAGTTGACAGGGCAGTGGCTAGAAAAGATTAAAATTGCAGAAACTCTGGATTTACATTTCTTTTAGGTAAGCTTAGGAAAAACAAAACTGGAAGTACCCCAGTGGCATAGAGAACAGAATTCTACATAGTGTCTTCACCCTGCCCCAGACCTATTCAGATTCACCCTTTTTGGAGACTATTTAGTTCTGACCCTACCATGGAGTCTTGCCTCACAGAACTGATTAGAAGAGATCAGAGTTTTGGCTGGTAAATCCTACTGCATTTCTAGAGCTGGTGCTCACAATTTTCTGAAACCCAAAAGCATATAAATGAGAAAAATAAAGTATGTATTTTAGGGTCTTAGTTTTTAAATGTTGTATTAAAACCAATGCTTGCAGAAACATTCTAATTAGCAACTTGTTTTCTATTCCTGCAGATCCAGTAGTTGCTCCATAAGTCACAAAAAAGTAAATATGAATAGAATAAAATTATCTCTATAATACATTAAACTCTTCCTTCTATATCTCTTCCATCTGTCTATATTTAGCTTTTATTCTATACAATTTTTAAAAAAATTTTGATGACCGATAAATAGAAGAAATAAAAATGCTGGGACCTTTAACTACATCCTGGAAATTATTAAACCCTTAGTGCCAGCTCCCAGGATGTTATGAGAATACCCAGCATAGTGCTCTGTATCATACTCTTGAGCACATAGTACCTGCTTAATAAACATTGCATTAGTAAATGTGTACATGTTGCTTTTTAAATCAAGACTTACTCAGACATTGCTGCCTTCTGTTTTGTCTGTAAAGAACCAGCAAAGAATATAAAACTTTAGGATGGAGATGGGTTGTCCTTATCTGTACCAGAAGTATTTGGTTGTGACAAGAGTGCTGAGTGTAAGGGACCCTGTGTTGTTCCTGCTTCTGTAACTAATGCTAATAATGAGCTAAGGGGGAGCAACATCCGCATTGACAGGGAACTTGTTTAAAACACCCATTCATGGACCCTTTTCAAACCTGCAAAATCACACTACATAAAGTGGGGCCAAAATTACCAAGTGATTTATAAGCTCGTTAAAGCTTGAGAGGCAATGCTTAGCTTAGTGGTTATCAGCCCAGGCTTCTCATTAGGATCTCATGGCCAATTTGCAGAAATCTCTTGTGCCCTCCCCACAGCTTCTGTTTATTGTTGTGTGTGGAAGCATCCATGTTGTTTAATGAAGTGCCTCATATGACTCTAAGGTGAGGCCAGAATCAGGTATGAGGGCTTCAAAATACATTCATGAGAGTTAAGTTCCACCTTTGCACTAAAGGATGGTCACAGGGCCTATTCTGTTTTGACTTGGTAGGGACAGGTCAGTGTGGCACATATTTCCATTACTGTAGCAGAAATTGCTGGTGTCTGTGGCAGGGGAGGGCACCTGGGGACAGGAAAGGAGAAACATTCTTATTTTCATGGAGCAGCTCATTGTTCCTGAATCTCTTCTGTTTTAAAGGACAGAAATGGGTTAACCTTTTGTTTTTCTGCCAATTGATGTCATGCTATCAGGTAAACATGTAATACTGACACCTTTAAAGCATATTCTCAAGATGCAGATGTAATTTATTCAGAGAGTCTCATCTGAGAATGAATTCCAGAGAAGAAGGAGGAAGAAAAAAAATAACTTCCCCTTCAGGTAAACATGCATCAGATGAAGAGCTGTGTCCACTCTGCTTCCTGGACTGCCTTGTGTTTAGTACTTACAAAACTTTACTTCTCTACTTGTGTTTTTCTGCCCTAATAAGTTTGGTTTAACTACTTGTTAAAATTCTTATGATAGTCAAGGGTCTCTGAAAAATATTTCTTTCCTGTATCTCAGAGCCTTCTCTTTATTCTCTGCATCATAGCTTCTTATATGCTATGCAGGATTCTCAGCAATAATTTATAATCTGCAATATTAAAAATGTTTCCTTTGTGGCTGTTGAACATGGAAAGATGTGGATACTCAAGATTTCTATTGGGTAAAACTCTGGTCCTTAGTAAAGATGGAGAACATGTAATGTTGAGGCTCCATCTGTGTGTTCTATTAGCTCTATGCAGAACGAGATTAAGAAAATGCTTATTTAAATGAGATGGCATTTATTACCCAGAAAGTTCTGAAAAAAATTATTAAGAGATACCTGCTCTCTAGGGAGCTAAGTGAAGCCTACTTAAAATTACTACTAAAAATTACAGAACAGAGGAGTAATCTGTATTTTAAAGTTTGCATAAAACATGTTTCTTTTTTTTTTTTTTTTTTTTGAGACAGAGTCTCGCTGTGTCACCAAGGCCAGGGGTATAGTAGCGCGATCTTGGCTCAGTGCAAACTTCACCTCCCGGGGTCAAACAATTCTCCTGCCTTAGCCTCCCAAGTAGCTGGGATTACAGGTGCCCGCCACCACGCCCGGCTAATTTTTGTATTTTGTAGAGATGAGGTTTCACCCTGTTAGTCAGGCTGGTCTCGAACTCATGACCTCGTGATCCGCCCACCTCGTGCCTCCCAAAGTGCTGGGATTACAGGCGTGAGTCACTGCGCCTGGCCTAAAACTGATGTTTCTTTATGGTTAAATTCAGACTATAATTTACTTTTTTGGGGGGAGTATTTCAACAGTGATGCTGTGTTCTTCTGTGAGCATTAGCATATCATAAAAATTTGTCCTAGTGCAGTTAATGGTTAATGATTGGCTGGGCAGAGTGGCTCACGCCTGTAATCCCAGCACTTTGGGAGGCCGAGGCGGGCGGATCACGAGGTCAGGAAATCGAGACCATCCTGGCTAACATGGTGAAACCCCGTCTCTACTAAAAATATAAAAAATTAGCCGGGCCTGGTGGCGGGTGCCTGTAGTCCCAGCTACTCGGGAGGCTGAGGCAGGAGAATGGTGTGAACCCGGGAGGCGGAGCTTGCAGTGAGCCGAGATCGCGCCACTGCACTCCGGCCTGGGCGACCTAGCGAGACTCCGTCTCAAAAAAAAAAAAAAAAAAAAAAAAAAAAAAAAAGTGGTTAATGATTCACTTGGTTAAGTAGCTCCCTGAGAGATTTTTTTCACTATAGAGTTATTTTTATTATTAAGTATCTTTATGCAGCTGATGTGCATAAACCATCACATTTAATCTGGCAGCTGTCCTTTCTTATTTTTTTCCTACATATTTTCTTTGATAAATGAGGGCTCTTTGTTTATAGGCTAGAAAATGTGGGGGAAAACACAGGCTCTTCCACTTACTAAATGTTTGAAAAAATATCCTTTTGGGGCCAAAAACATTGGCATTACTGGTGAGCTTGTTAGAAATTCAAAAAATTGACCGGGCGCGGTGGCTCACGCCTATAATCCCAGCACTTTGGGAGGCTGAAGCAGCGGATCACCTGAGGTTGGGAGTTCAAGAGCAGCCTGACCAACATGGAGAAACCCCATCTCTACTAAAAATACAAAAAAAAATTAGCTGGGCATGGTGGCGCATGACTAATCCCAGCTACTCGGGAGGCTGAGGCAGGAGAATTGCTTGTACCCAGGAGGCGGTGTTTCCAGTAAGCCAAGATGGCGCCATTGCACTCCAGCCTGGGCAACAAGAGCGAAACTCCATCTATAAATAAATAAATAAATAAGAAAGACTTTATTTCAGATCTTCTGGAAAAAAAAACCTGCATAACAAGGTCGTCAGCTTATTGTACATATTAAAATTTGAGAGGTGCCTTCTAACCCAACATTTCTTTTCTATCTGAAAAATATTCACTGCTCATTCCGTATGATGTAAATATACCACTCAAAAATGTACATGTTCGTGTTCATGGCCGTAATTTTATACTTTATTATCTAGAAAAATATCATATGTGAACTGATGTTGTGGATCTTGTGCTGCTCTTTCTTCTCAGAGTTAGAGAATACATTAGAGAATATTTCTGTGTTGAAAATCATTTTATTGGATAATTTTAGTCCTATAAGTCAGAACCACTTCTCTTTACTCTCTCATTTCACCTGAAGTCAAATTAAAAATTCCACCCATGGCCACTTGGTAAAAATAAGTGTGTGTGTTTTTTTCAGGGACCATTGCAATTTAGAGATGTGGCCATAGAATTCTCTCTGGAGGAGTGGCATTGCCTGGACGCTGCACAGCGGAATCTATATAGGGATGTGATGTTAGAGAACTACAGAAACCTGATCTTCCTTGGTGAGGATAACTTGAGTACATAATTCATAATATTACTCTAAAGGTTTTATTTCTCTTTTTTGTAGAATGTTTTTTAGTAATTTATTCTTTGCATACAAGAGTTTCAGATCTCCTTTTTCCAGAAAAATCTTCAGAATTTTTTCATTTAGAAAAGAATTTCTTCATGATGTTTCATCTTAATCCAAACTTTCCACATTCCTGAGTTGAGCTGTGTTCTTCACTCCAAATTAGTGGTAATTCCAAAAATTTAGTGGCATAAAATATTGTTGCCCCCACCTGAAAATCTAATTGCCACCACCAATTTTTGATTTAGTAGAACCCAGTAGTAAAATTAAGAAACCTACAAATTGAAAGTATTTTCTAAATATTTAGAAATTTCTGTTATAGGCCAGGCTTGGTGGCTCACACCTATAATCCCAGCACTTTGGGAGTCCGGGCGGGTGGATCACCTGAGGTCAGGAGTTCGAGACCAGCCTGACCAACATGGTGAAACCCTGTCTGTACTAAAAACGCAAAAATTAGTCGGGCGTGGTGGCACATGCCTGTAATCCCAGCTACTCAGGAGGCTGAGACAGGAGAACCGCTTGAATCCTGGAGTTGGAGCTTGTGGTGAGCCAAGATCGAGCCATTGCACTCCAGCCTGGGCAACAAGAGTGAAACTCTGCCTCAAAAAAGAAAAAAAATTTCTGTTATAACTTAGTATTTTAGTATTAATTTACTAGAATACTTTATCACATCCTCTCTGCTGAGCACAGTACTAGCTTGTAATTGGAGAATATGAGCAAGATTCATATTATTTATTCTTAATAAAACAGGTATTGTTGTCTCTAAACCAAACCTGATCACCTGTCTGGAGCAAGGAAAAAAACCTTTAACTATGAAGAGGCATGAGATGATTGCCAAACCCCCAGGTAGGTGCGAGTGAAAATGAATAGGACAGACAACACAGATAGAGGTCCCAAGGTCAAAGAGAAAGCGAGTCCTTAAAATGTGATTTGGGAAGCTGTGTTCCCAAGGAAATAGTTCCTGGGCAGCTTTTTTTTTCTTTTCTTTTCTTTTTTCTTTTAATTTTGCTCTCACAAAGAGGCATCTTCTGTCTTATGCTTTTCAATTCTCTAAGAATTCTATTTTTCTTTCGGTGAGCTTCCTTCAAGTTCACACTGAGAGCCAAAGTCCTCTTCATGACAGATAAGAGACTGCACAATCTGGCTGTTTTTCCATTGTTTTGGGGACACACAAGTATCTGCATGATTTTGAGAAACTAAAACTCTTTAAGTTCTCTTTTTGCATCAGGTCTTAAATGTGTGTGTGAAAGTATTAGTTTCTGTTCCATTTTTTTGTTCATTTTTCTGTTTTATTACTATATAGTCTTGAAATGTATAGTTTGAAATTTTAAGTATGATATCCTTCTGCTTTGTTCTTTTTCCTCATGATTGCTTTGGCTAGTCAAAGTTTATTTTAGTTTCATGTAAATTTTAGAATTGTATTTTTGATTACTGTGAAAAAAAAACACTGCAATTTTAATAGGAAGTTCATTGAATCTGTAGATCACTTTGGATAATATGGCACTTCAGTAATATTTAATCTTTCAATCCATAGACATAAACTATTTTAAAATTTACTTGGATCTTCTCCAATTGTTTCATTCTTTTTTTTTGTATTACCTCCTTGGTTAATTTTTTCCTCAGAAATTTATTATTTAATGTTATAGTAAATAAGATTTTTTCTTTATTTTATCAGATAGTTAAACTGTATGAAACCATAGATATACTTTTATGTTAATTTTATATTTTCCTAATTTAATTAGTGTATTTATTGGTTTAGACAGGTTTTAATGTACTGTGTATGGGTTTTTTTAATTACACTTTTAAGTTCTAGGGTACATGTGCACATCATGCATGTTTGTTACATAGGTATACATGTGCCATGTTGGTTTGCTGCACCCATTAACTCGTCATTTACATTAGGTATCTCTCCTAATGCTATCCCTCCCCCATCCCCCCACCCCATGACAGGCCCCGGTGTGTGATGTTCCCTGCCCTGTGTCCAGGTGTTCTCATTGTTCAATTCCCACCTATGAGTGAGAACATGGGGTGTTTGGTTTTCTGTCCTTGTGATAGTTTGCTCAGAATGATGGTTTCCAGCTTCATCCATGTCCCTGCAAAGGACATGAACTCATCCTTTTTTGTGGCTGCATAGTATTCCATGGTGAATATGTGCCACATTTTCTTAATCCAGTCTGTCATTGATGGACATTTGGGTTGGTTCCAAGTCTTTGCTATTGTGAGTAGTGCCGCAATAAACATACGTGTGCATGTGTCTTTATAGTAGCATGACTTATAATCCTTTGGGTATATACCCAGTAATGGGATCACTGGATCAAATGGTATTTCTAGTTCTAGATCCTTGAAGAATCGCCACACTGTCTTCCACAATGGTTGAACTAGTTTACACTCCCGCCAACAGTGTAAAAGCGTTCCTGTTTCTCCACATCCTCTCTAGCATCTGTTGTTTCCTGACTTTTTAATGATTGCCATTCTAACTGATGTGAGATGGTATCTCATTGTGGTTTTGATTTGCATTTCTCTGATGACCAGTGATGATGAACATTTTTTCATGTGTCTGTTGGCTGCATAAATGTCTTCTTTTGAGAAATGTCTGTTCATATCCTTTGCCCACTTTTTGGTGGGGTTGTTTTTTTTCTTGTAAATTTGTTTAAGTTCTTTGTAGATTCTGGATATTAGCCCTTTGTCAGATGGGTAGATTGCAAAAATTTTCTCCCATTCTGTAGGTTGCCTGTTCATTCTGATGGTTGTTTCTTTTGCTGTGCAGAAGCTCTTTAGTTTTATTAGATCCCATTTGTCTATTTTGGCTTTTGTTGCTTTTGGTGTTTTAGTCATGAAGTCCTTGCCCATGCCTATGTCCTGAATGGACAAAATTGACAAAATTGACAATATAGTTGGAAGTAAACCACACCTCAGCAAATGTAAAAGTACTGTGTTTGGTTTTTTTAAAAATAAGATTGTATGATCTACAAACAGCATTTTACTTATTTTTCTATTTCAATGGATTTATATATTTATTTCATTAATTCTTCTGCCACATACTTCCAGTCCTAGATTAAAATAGAAGCACTGACAATGGGCGCAATATAGTTTTGTATTGGTGTCTGAATTTGATGGAGAAAACAAAACACCTCTTCAAGTTTTCATAAACTAATTTTAGAAAGTAAAAAATCTTTTATTGGGCCCTTAGTGTGATGAGATTCCCTCTGAATTTGTAGTGAAGAGGGGTTGTAGCTTGGTCACAAGGCTGCTGGGTCTGCACTAGGGTTCACCTTTAGTTGGCTTGATACAGGGACTTGGGTAGTTGTAATTCCCATTTTATTTTTGGACAGACTGCATATCCTTCAGGACTTTGCTCCATAGGGCAGACATTAGGACATGTTTTTGCACACGGTTCTGCATATGGTGGGCGTTGTATCAGGATGTGGATGAGTGTGGCTTTCACTGTGTACCAGAGAGCATTTCCTCAGGTAACTGGGTGGGTTTCTATGTAGGCAGAACTGACCATAAACTGTGGCACAGGTAAATGAAACTGAGTCATTGAACTGTTCCAGGGACCACAGTAAAGGCCAAGGTCTGCAGGCCTGCCTACGTGGCTGTAAATGGGCACCTTCCTCCAGGTCTCTGGAATGGCAGGACCTCTGCCAGACTGTGGCCGGGAGGAGTTTCGGATAGTTAGAGAGTAAGTTCAGAATTCTCAGTGGGACCAAGTTGGGTGAACCCTATCCTGGTCTGTAGCCAAGAACCAGGGGTCTTGTAGTTTCCCACCTGAATGAGGGCCTGCCTTCTGAATAGAACACTTCTCAATCTTAAGCTTTAACAGCATTTCACAACTCCCTCCCTGGATCTCAAATCTTACAGGCACTTATTTTGGAGATGGGGTCTTGCTACATAACGCAGACTGGTCTCAAAATCCTGGCCTGAAGCAGTTCTCCTACCTTAATGTACCATGAAGCTGTCATTACAGGTGTGAGCCATAATGCCTGGTTTTCTCATAAAGGCATTTTTGTCAGGGATAGCTAACCTTTTTTTGCTGTAAGAGGATATGAAAATAGGGGACTTTTAATCTTTTCATCTTAGTGAGGTCACTCTCCCTATACATTTTTACTTTCTGTTTTCTATTTCAAATTTGTCATAATTTTAGATTCAGAAATTTAGGACAGTGTGCTAGAATTTGCATGGTATGCCTGAAGTAAATTGGATAATTAGTAGGTACTCCATATTTACTAAAATAGTTACTTGTAAATTCAAGTTTGCTGCAGGCAAAAGGGAATTACAGAATTTTCATCAACTTTCTTCAGCCTATATCTAAATAATAATGTAGTTTATTTCCTAATACTTGTTTTACATATCAGAGGGTCTAACCCTATTCTGCAAAATATATATATTTTTTATTTAACAATATGTCTATTCTTTTCTTCTAAAGTTGGATTATAGCAATTTCATTTTGTGTAAGAAGATATTTAAAACATAAAAAGTAACTAGTTTCTTTTAAATGGTTATTTATTAAAAATTTCTCAGAATCTTCTGTGTATAATTACACTGCATATATTCTCTGAAATTTTACTGCCACACAGTGCATGCCAGTGATTCAAAATACCTGCATTTAATGAGTACACAGTAACAGCTAAATATTGCAGTTACGTAGACAATTTTTTTTTTTTTTTTTTTTGAGATAGAGTCACTCTCTGTCACCCAGACTGGAGTGCAGTGGTGCGATCTTGGCTCACCTCAACCTCCACCTCCTGGCTTCAAGCAGTTCTCATGCCTCAGCCTCCCAAGTAGCTGCAATTACAGGCATGTGTCACCATGCGCGGCTAATTTTTCTGTTTTTAGTAGAGATGGGGTTTCACCATGTTGGTCAGGCTGGTCTTTGAACTCCTGACCTCAGGTGATCTGCCCGCCTCGGCCTCCCATAGTGCTGAGATTACAGATGTGAGCCACTGCGCCTGGCTGGCCTAACAATGTTTGTTTAAATGATACATCAATGTTGCATACCAGATTTTATGAGTAAACATTTCTCTTATTATTGTTTTGAAGTTCCACATTAGTGTGCTTTTTCAGAGTAGGTTTCTCTTTTTTTTTTGAGACAGAGTCTCACTCTGTCACCCAGGCTGGATTGCAGTGGTGCGATCTCGGCTCACTGCAACCTCCGCCTCCTGGGTACAAGAGATTCTTCTGCCACAGCCTCCCGAGTAGCTGGGACTACAAGCACCCGCCACCACAGCCGGCTAATTTGTGTATTTTTAGTCGAGATGGGGTTTCACCATGTTGGCCATGCTGATCTCAAACTCTTGACCTCAGGTGATCTACCCTCCTGAGCCTCCCAAAGTGCTGGGATTAAACAGGCTCAAGCCTCCATGCCCGTCTTTTTTTTTTTTTGAGATGGATTCTCGTTCTGTTGCCCATGTTGGAGTGCAGTGGCATGATTTTGGCTCACTGCAACCTCCACCTCCTGGGTTCAAGCGATTCTTCTGCCTTAGCTTTCTGAGTAGCTGGAACTACAGGTGTGCACCACCATGCCTGGCTAATTTTTGTATTTTTAGTAGAGGTGAGTTTTCACCATGTTTGTTTGTCAGGCTGATCTTGAACTCCTGACCTCAGGCAATCCACCCGCCTTGGCCTCCCAAAGGGCTGGGATTATGGGCGTGAGCCACGGCACCCGGCCAGGTTTTTTTTGTTTTGTTTTGTTTTCTTTTCTTTTTTTATTTTTTTTAAAAGGGAGTTTTGCTCTTGTTGCCCAGGCTGGAGTACAATGGCATAATCTTAGCTTACTGCAACCTCCACCTTCCGGGTTCAAGTGATTCTCCTGCCTCACCCTCCTGAGTAGCTGGGACTATAGGCATGCGCCACCATACCTGGCTAATTTTCTATTTTTAGTAGAGACGGGGTTTTACCATGTTGGTCAGGCTGGTCTCAAACTCCTGACCTCAGGTGATCCGCCTGCCTCGGCCTCCCCTAGTGTTGGGATTACAGGTGCGAGCCACCGCTCCCAGCCTGAAACAGGTTTTTAATCCTGTCTACGTGAGTAGTCATAAAAATTCTCCTAATTTCAACATCTATTTATTTATGAATCTATATTATTTTTGTGTGGGGGAAACACATAACAAAATGTGTTATCTGTCAAAAACACATAAGAAAATTTATAATAAAATATTTCTAGGCCAGGCGCAGTGGCTCACACCTGTAGTCCCAGCACTTCGGGAGGCCAAGGCAGGCGGATCATGAGGTCAGGAGATGGAGACTATCCTGGCCAACATGGGGAAACCCTGTCTCTACTAAAATACAAAAAATTAGCCAGGTATGGTGGCGCATGCCTGTAGTCCCAGCTACTCAGGAGGGTGACGCAGGGGAATTGCTTGAACCTGGGAGGCGGAGATTGCAGTGAGCCGATATCTTGCCACTGTACTCCGGCCTCGGAGACAGAGTGAGACTCCATCTCGAAAAAAAATAATATATATAAATATATATATATATATATATATTCTGTTTAGTTATATTAATTATGTTGACATATTATGCAACATATCACTAGAATATTTTTATCTTGCAAAGCTAAATCTCAATACACATTAAACAACTACCAATTCTTCACATTTCCTAGCACTTTTAAAACACCACTCTTCGGTTTCTAAGCATATAACTGCTTTATATATCTCATACAGTCTCTGTCTTTTTGTGGCTGGCTCGTTTTATTTTGCATAATGTCATCAATATTTATCTTAATAGTTGTTAGAATATTTTCTTTTTGAAAACTGAGTGATATGCCAGTATTTTTATATCTACTGATTTGGTGACAGAAATTTGCATTGCTTTTACCTGTTGGCTTTCGGTAGCAATGCTGCAGTAATTATGTGAAAGGTGATATAATACATGTGCTGCATTCTGTTTTATTAGTCTACTTTTTCATCTTTATGCTCATACCAAATTGTTTTAATTCTGTAGCTTTTTGATGTGTTTTGAAATCAGAAATTGTAATGCCTCCAACATTTTTTTTTTTTTTTGAAGACTGTTGGGTACTTTGTCTTTTTAGATTCCATATAGTTTTGGATTTGCTGTTTTTATTTCTTCAAAAATACAATGAGAAATTTGAAAAATATTGCATTAAATCTATAGGTTAAATTGAGCGGTATAGACATCTTCACAATATTAATTATTTCCTTTTTGATTGTTTTTGAGATGGAGTTAAATTCACCCGCCTCGGCCTCCCAAAGTGCTGGGGTAACAGGCATGAGCCACCGCACCCAGCCAAGTTTATTTCAACAAGTGCATGCTCAAGAGTGTATTGTATCATTTCTATATATTTGAAAATTTATCAATTATTTATATTATTGTCTTATACTCTAATTCCATTTTTGTCATAGAAAGTAATCTATGAAATTTTAGTTTAAAAAAATGTGTTAAGACTTTGTTTTTGACCTAACAGGTGGTCTATAAAGAGGAATGTTTTATGAGCTATTGAGAAGGCTATGTATCCTGATGATGTTGAGGAGTGTTCTCTATACCTTCATTAGAAATAATTGTTTTTTACTGCCTTCTAGTCCTCTGTTCCCTTACTAATATACTGTCTTGTTTTATTATTATTACAGAAAGTGGGGTATTGAAATATCCTACTATAATTATATTGCTCTATTCAACTTTGTTAGTATTTGCTTTATATATTTGAAACCCCAATTTGAGACACACACACGCACAAATACACACATGGATAAACAAATTTGTCATAGGTTTCCATGAATTAATCTATATATTGTTTAATGTCCTTCTTTTTTGAAGTTTTAACTTAAAGTACATTTTATAAAATATGACAGCTTTTGACTTTAACAATGTAGCTTGTGTAATATTATTTTGACCTCTTCTGCTCTCATTTTGTTAGTATTTACATGAAATTTCTACTTGGTCTTGCCACTTTCAGTCTTTTCTTATCATTAGATCTCAGCTGACTCTTGTAAAAAGGCAAGTTGAGTCTTGATTTTTAAAATTTTTTAATGAGCCTTTTTAGAAGTATGTCTCTTGATTGGAAAGATAATTATATTTAAATAGTTTTCTGAAAGAGAAAAACTTACTGTTAATAAAATAATTGTTTTGATTCTTGTATCTTTGTGTCTTAATTTCTCCTTTTTAAGTTTTTTTTATTTTTGTGTTGACATGCTTTGAGCTTTTTTCTTATTTTCTTTTGTGTATCTATACGGATATTTTCTTTTTTTTTTTTTTTTTTTTTTGAGACGGAGTCTCGCTCTGTCGCCCAGGCTGGAGTGCCCTGGCGCGATCTTGGCTCACTGTAAGCTCCGCCTCCCGGGTTCACACCATTCTTCTGCCTCAGCCTCTCGAGTAGCTGGAACTACCGGCGCCCACCTCTACACCCGGCTAATTTTTTTTTTTTTGTATTTTTAATAGAGACGGGGTTTCACCGTGTTAGCCAGGATGGTCTCCATCTCCTGACCTTGTGATCCGCCCGCCTCGGCCTCCCAAAGTGCTGGGATTACAGGCGTGAGCCACCGTGCCTGGCCTCGGATATTTTCTTAGTAGTACCTTGGGGGATTATCTAAAACCTCTAAAAGATCCAACAATATATTTTAATGTAGTAAAAAATTAACTTCAGTTGCATACAGAAATTCCTCATTATTACATCTACCTTCACATTTGTTATTGATTTTACTAATTATATTTTTTATGTTGTCTATTCATTAACAGATGTTCATAATTTCCATACTTTTATCTTTTAAACTGTACCATTATGATTAACATAACTAATTAACATTAGTTAAGTAAGAAATTCCATTTTTATGAATGTGCCTATCTTTTCCAGAAACTTACATATCTTCAGATGATTATGTGTTGTTTTCTTGCATTATGTTATTTTCTGTGGAAAAAAACTCCTTTCAGCATCCTTGATATGTAGGGCATATGCAGTGCCAATATACTTTCTCAGGATTTGGTTATTTTGGAAGGACTTCTTTTTATTTGGTAGTACAATTTTGGTGATGGTACTATTCCCACTTGACATCTTTTTTTATTATAACTTTAATAACAATATCACAGTTTCCTTTTGACCTACAAAAATGTTTTTGATCAATTTATTGGTTATCTCATAAGACTATGCTTATAAATGACCATCATTTTTATCTTGCAGCTCCCAAAATTCTCTTCTTATCTGTGATTTTTGGAATTTTGTTTATATATGTGTTTGTTATAAATAGATGTTTGGGTATATCCTAGTTTGTTTGTTCAGCTTTTCAGCTTTGCCCTATTTACACAATTTTTTCTTTTAAGAAATTTTTCACTTAGTTTTTGTATTTTTTACACCCACAATTTTTGTTTTCTATTTTAATATTTTTTCGTTGTTATCCTCGTTTTTCTAATCTTCAGTAGTTGTCTGTGTTCCTGTTTCACTTTGTGAAAATTAAATTTATTTTATTTGTTTTTTTTTTTTTTTTTTTCCTGAGACGGAGTCTCGCCCTGGAGTGCAGTGGCGTAATCTCAGCTCACTGCAACCTCCGCCTCCCACATTCAAGCAATACTCCTGCCTCAGCCCCCTGAATAGCTGGGATTACAGGTGCCTGTCAACACGGCTAGCTAATTTTTTGTATTTTTAGTAGAGACAGGGTTTCACCATGTTGGCCAGGCTGGTCTCAAACTCCTGACCTCATCTGATTTCCCCACCTTGGCCTCCCAGTGTGTTGGGATTACAGGAATGAGCCACCAAGCCTGGCCTGTTCAATTTATTTGGAATTTTAAAAATTATACACTTTTTATTGTTGCTTTTGAAAATTTTATAATTTTTTTGATGGGGCCATGTTGCCCTAATATTTTGTATACATTGTAATCTTTGAGATTTGGACATGAACAAAAAGCTACCTGTTATGATTTTTATAATATAGCTCTGTCCTCGCATAGTCTGAAAATCAATCGTCTTGGATAGCGATTCTTGGAATTTCTCAAACATATTTTTAGGATGTGTCTTGTCTAAAATTTTGTGTTGTTTAGTTAAATCGGCTTATTCTTATTTCTTCTTAATAAATCAGTAATCACTTGCTACACCCATTCCGTGTTTGGGATACTGCAGTTTCTTTGCTTCTGAAACATTTACCTTTAGACTCAAAGTGTCATTCCAACGTATATTACCATTTCATGTCGTGGGAGACATTAACCAGTATTTTAAAAAGCCCCTAGAGGCCGGGCACGGTGGTTCATGCCTGTAATCCCAGCACTTTGGTAGGCCGAGGCGGGCGGATCACGAGGTCAGGAGATTGAGACTATCCTGGCTAACACGGTGAAACTCCATCTCTACTAAAAATACAAAAAATTAGCCGGGCATGGTGGCGGGCACCTGTAGTCCCATCTAGTTGGGAGGCTGTGGCAGGAGAATGGCGTGAACCCGGGAGGCGGAGCTTGCAGTGAGCCGAGATTGCGCCACTGCACTCCAGCCTGGGAGACAGAGCGAGACTCTACCTCAAAATAAATAAATAAATAAAATAAAAAATAAAAATAAAAAAGCCCCTAGAATCCAGAAATAAAGATGTATGTGCCAATACTTTTCTTGTTTTTTAAAAAAGAAACCAGGGGTTGGCAATTTACATATTTGTGTGCATGTGTGAGACAGAGTCTCACTCTGTTACCTAGGCTGGAGTACAATGGCATGATCTTGGCTCACTACAATCTCTGCCTCCACAGTTCAAGCAATTCTCCTCCCTCAGCCTCCCAAGTAACTGGATTACAGGTATCTGTTACCACACCTGGCTAACGTTTTGTAGTTTTGTAGAGACGGGGTTTCACCATCTTTGCCAGGCTGGTCTTGAACTGTTGACCTCATGATCCACCTGCCTCAGCCTCCCGGAGTGCTGGGGTCACGGGTGTGAGCTACCACACCGGGCCCGCAATTTACTTTTAAAGGCACAATGTTATACTGGAGAGCAGGAAGAGCTGTGTTGGGTATAAGTAACAGACTTTTCTTTTTTTCTATTTTTCTATGTGGCTCTTTGCATTGTGCTCACCTGGAGCCCTTTACACACTTAACTAATTTATAAATTTTTTACAAATGTATTTTGGTCAGTATGTTTTTGTTACAGTTATATATCCAGGAAGAAATTACAGCTTGTGGTATTTTGCTGTGTCATCTTGCTTACGTAGTTTGTATAATTTTATAGGTTAGATTTGTGAAGTATATTTATCTGAGTCTAGCAATTGAAGTCATGTGTTTTTATTGTTTCTTTCAGTTATGTATTCTCATTTTGCCCAAGACCTTTGGTCAGAGCAGAGCATAAAAGATTCTTTCCAAAAAGTGATACTAAGAAGATATGAAAAATGTAGACATGACAATTTACAGTTAAAAAAAGGCTGTGAAAGTGTAGATGAGTGTCCAGTGCACAAAAGAGGTTATAATGGACTTAAACAATGTTTGGCAACTACCCAGAGAAAAATATTTCAATGTGATGAATATGTGAAATTCTTGCATAAATTTTCAAATTCAAACAAACATAAGATAAGAGATACTGGAAAAAAATCTTTTAAATGTATAGAATATGGGAAAACTTTTAACCAGTCTTCAACCCGTACTACATATAAGAAAATTGATGCTGGAGAGAAACGCTATAAATGTGAAGAATGTGGTAAAGCCTATAAGCAGTCCTCACACCTTACTACACATAAGAAAATTCATACTGGAGAGAAACCCTACAAATGTGAAGAATGTGGCAAAGCCTATAAGCAGTCCTGTAACCTTACTACACATAAGATAATTCATACTGGAGAGAAACCCTACAGATGTAGAGAATGTGGCAAAGCTTTTAACCACCCTGCAACCCTTTTTTCACATAAGAAAATTCATACTGGAGAGAAACCATACAAGTGTGATAAATGTGGCAAAGCCTTTATTTCATCCTCAACCCTTACTAAACATGAGATAATTCATACTGGAGAGAAACCCTACAAATGTGAGGAATGTGGCAAAGCTTTTAACCGTTCCTCAAACCTTACTAAACATAAGAGAATTCATACTGGAGATGTACCCTACAAATGTGACGAATGTGGCAAAACCTTTACCTGGTACTCAAGCCTCTCTAAACATAAGAGAGCTCATACTGGAGAGAAACCCTACAAGTGTGAAGAATGTGGCAAAGCCTTTACTGCATTCTCAACTCTAACTGAACATAAGATAATTCATACTGGAGAGAAACCGTACAAATGTGAAGAATGTGGCAAAGCTTTTAACTGGTCCTCAGCCCTTAATAAACATAAGAAAATTCATATTAGACAGAAACCCTGCATAGTGAAGAATGTGGAAAATCTTTTAAATGTTCCTCAACCCTTAATAAGCATAAGATAATTCATACTGGAGAGAAACCGTATGAATGTGATGAATGTGGGAAAGCCTTTAACTAGCCCTGGACTCTGACTAAATATGAGAATTTATATGGAACATAAACCCTACAAATATAAAGAATGTGACAAAGCTTTTTAAGGAAGTTCTCAACCCTTATTACACATAATTTATACTGGACAGAAACCCTACAAGTGTGAAGAATATGGCAAAGCCTATAACAACCTGTCAACTCTTTTTGTTTTTTGAGATGGAGTTTCACTCTTGTCACCCAGGCTGGAGTGCAATGGCACGATCTCAGCTCACTGCAACTTCTGCCTCCTGGTATCAAGCCATTCTCCTGCCTCAGCCTCCCGAGTAGCTGGGATTACTGGTGCCCACCACCATGCCCAGCTAATTTTTGTATTTTTAGTAGAGATGGGGTTTCATCATGTTTGCCAGACTGGTCTCCAACTCCTGACCTCAGATGGTCCACCCACCTCGGCATCCTAAAGTGCTGAGATGACAGGCATGAGCCACGACGCCCAGCCACAAGTTCTCAATTCTTAAGAGACATGGCGATAATTCATGCTGAAGAGGAACTCTACAAACCTGAAAGATGCAACAGTGCTTTTACCACCACCTCCAACTTTTGTATACATAAAAATAAATTATACTAATGTGAAACCCTGGAAATGTATGAAATGAGACAAAGCGTTTATATGGTTGCCACACTTGATTGTAGGTAAGAGAATTAATGCTGCCAAAACTCCTACAAGTGTGAAGAATGTGGCAAAACTTTTGAGTGCTTACACCTTATTTCACAGGAAAGCTTTTATCCTTGAGAAAAATCGTACAGATATAAAGAATATGGAAACGCCATTAACGCCCACTCACATCTCAACAGAAGGTTCATAGTTAATAAAAGCAATAAAAGTGCAATTACTGTCAAAAAATCTTTCAGAAAATATAAGCCTTTAAAGAAGAATATTTATTCTGAAATCAGCTATTACAAATATAAGGGGGGGTTGTAGTACCTTTACTTGTATCACAGATCTTGTTGCACACATTGTGTACTAGAGGAAAACCTGAAGCAGTTGCTCCAGCTTTATTCAACAACATGGAATTTATATTGGAGAAGAGTCCTGCAAATATAATGAATTTGGAAAGACTTTTTTTTTCAAAATCTATAGCTTAGAAAACATCAGAGAGTTTATACTAAAGTATATTTTTGCAGATGTAAATATGAAAAAAATATTTAATTCAAAATTGATTTTACGTAAATATGAGAATTTACACTAGAATAAGGCACTGACACTTCAGACATTACACTAAATCAGAGTATTGAGTATAAAAATGAATCCACAACTAAAGCTGTTTTTGTATATAACTTTAAAAGGGAGATTTTCTGAAGCATTGTAATTTCATTGAAAGTGTACTTGTTTCTTGAAAAAAATTTTTGAACAGTGAATAATGATGTAATACAACTTTCAAATTTCTTTACGCTGTTATTTTATTCCTATTGTGGTCACATGTGAAAGCATGTGATCAATTGTTGCTGCATCAGGGATATTACAGATTCTTTTTTATTGGGTATTATGACCTTTTCTATAAAAGAATAAGGACATTAAAATGTAAGATGCATGATAAAAATGTAAGTGGAGAGGCTCTTTGTAGTTAACTTATATTAAGTAATGTATAAGGTGGGGGTTCTCATTTGTATAATCCTAGCCTATGACTTAATGTTGATGTTTTGCTTTGTCTTTTGGATGGCCTAACCTACATTAACATGTTGGCAGACCATTTTAAAACTTTTTTTTTCAAAAATTATAATGAATTACTTTATTAATAAAGATTTTTAAAAAGTGGGGGTTCAGAGTAATAGTTTTCTACATTATAGTGAGAAAAATTACAGTTAAAAGTATTAAATGAGAATATTATTTTACTAACTGTACTTTTATGTAATCGAATGCAGTATATTTAAAAATTGTTAGATGATGTGTGAACTTAATTTCATTTTTTATACCATGTTAAGACTATTCTGCGTTTAATGAAGCATTATTATGCCACTAACTTTTTTTCTTTTTTTTTGAGATGGAGTCTCGGTCTTTCACCCAGGCTGGAGTGCTGTGGCACGATCTCGGCTCACTGCAACCTCCACCTCCCAGGTTCACACCATTCTCCTGCCTCAGCTTCCTGAGTAGCTGGGACTACAGGCACCCGCCACCATGCCCGGCTAATTTTTTTGTATTTTTAGTAGAGATGGGGTTTCACTGTGTTAGCCGGGATGGTCAATCTCCTGACCTTGTGATCCGCCCACCTCGGCCTCCCAAAGTGCTGGGATTACAGGCGTGAGCCACCGCACCTGGCCATTATGCCACTAACTTTAACCTATCCCACCTTAATCAAGGGTGTACTTAAAAGATGGTAACAATATACTGTTTGGTACGTAGTGGAATAACATCTCTACTTGTCACTTTGCCAGTGGCTTTAAACTGCAAATGAGTTGAATTGTTCCCATAGCTTAAATTTTTTTTCTTATTGAAATCTATTACTAGTATTTGTGGGTATACAGTATGTGTATATCTTTATGCCTTATATGGCATATTTTGATTCAGGCCTACAATATGTAGTAATTACATTAGGGTAAAGTATCCATCACCTCTAGCATTTATCCTTTGAATTACAGTGTAATTATACATTTTTAATTATTTTAAAATGTACAATTAAATTGTTACTGACTACAGGTTTATTTTTATGGTCATAATAAAAATTATACAGAAAAATAAATAAAATATGGCCAGGTGCAGTGGCTCAGGCCTGTAATCCCAGCACTTTCCAAGGCAGGTGGATTGTCTGAGGTCAGGAGTTCAAGACCATCCTGGCCAACATAGTGAAACCCCGTCTGAGGAAGCGCTCCTTTCGCGGGGGCACTCGCTGTGGATGAATAAAGTACACTGACACACATTCTGCTCTGCCAGTCCAGCTGAGGGTCCGAGCCGCTTACAGGCTCCAAGGTGAGTTCTGTAAACAGTTGCAACTTGGCTCTGATCAGATAGTGAGGCTTGCATTTATTCAGTAAGACTAATTAACAAAAGTTGTGAGTAAACACCACTAGAGGGTAAAATTAAAGGCCAGGTTCCCAGGCCTAAAGCAAACACCATTTGTGGGTAATAAACTGCGGACCCCCGAGTAGGCGGCAGTAAAGTACCCTCAGCAGGACAAAAGTTAGTCTTAAGCCCATATAACTAAACAGGTTAGTAAGATAAACTTCCTACATTCCTTTTCACTTGCACCCTAATCTTCCTGGCCTC
The DNA here is from genome assembly GCF_000001405.40 of Homo sapiens. Classification (NCBI taxonomy): domain Eukaryota; kingdom Metazoa; phylum Chordata; class Mammalia; order Primates; family Hominidae; genus Homo; species Homo sapiens. The sequence goes on along the minus strand of NC_000019.10, from coordinate 19,791,264 downwards.
CTGCAAAGAGACCCTGGCTGCCTTCAGCCAAGCAATCAAGCTATGCAAACTCTCAGGCCTTTTAGGACAGCTTTTGACTGTTACTCTTTTAAATATTTTTCCCACCAGCCTGATTGAACCCCAACACCCAGCTCTACTAAAAACACAAAAATTAGCCAGACATGGTGGCACACACCTGGAGGCTGAGGCAGGAGAGAATCGCTTGAACCCCGGAGGTGGAGGTTGCAGTGAGCTGAGATCACGCCACTGCATTCCAGTCTGGGCAACAGAGCAAGACTCTATTTCAAAAAAAAACAAAGAAATAGAAATAGAATCCATGTATTTCTGAATCCTGAAAAATTATTAGTAAATGTTTATTATATAGTTTTCTTTGAACATCTGGTCTGTCTGCAAACATATAGACCTTTTTTTTTTTTTTTTTTGAGATGGAGTCTTGCTCTGTCCCCAGGCTGGAGTGCAGTGGCGTGATCTCAGCTCCCGGGATCGAGTGGTTCTCCTACCTCAGCCTCCCGAATAGCTGGGACTACAGGCATGTGCCACCATGCTTAGCTAATTTTTGTATTTTTAGTAGGGATGGGCTGTCACCATGTTGGCAAGGATGGTCTCGATCTCTTGACCTCATGATCCGCCCGCCTGGGATTACTTATATGAAATAAAATTTTAAATAAAAAATAGCATTTGATTACAACTATTGGTGAGACTATTAGTGTGAAGTCATATTTTTACTTACATTGACAAAATAACCATTCTGTATATTGGATATTGACTTCTATTGACAAAATAGCCATAACAATATTCTGATTTAGAATAATACTCCTTTTCTGCTGTATATTTGCAAGCTTTTATCAAATATTACGGGAGCTCAATAGAAATCAACAATATGAATCTTTATTTACCACAAACATTATTGATGCCTATGCTTGTTTTTCTTAAAATCTATTAGCTTTTTATGACACATTTATACTTTTTCAGTTGTTTATTACTGAGAAGTGGCTGTCCTGCCAGAAAACTGCTATTCTCAGCTGTATCCACAATGACTAATAGTGAGTGGAAGTGCAGTGGATAAAAGCAAATGTGTCTTCTCTGTATTTTTTTTCATCCATTGGCTAAAAAACAGGAGGATGCAGAAGATGAAAGAAAATACAATCCCTGAAAGATCATGAAGAAGCTCTCAATCAGACAAAAAACCCCATAGGAGATTTTTTTTTTTTTTCATTATTGTACTCTCTGCTTCTATGAGTTTAAATTTCTTTTACACTTCACATAGAAATAAACCTAGGCTTACATAGAAAGAAACCTAGGCTTTTGGCCAGGCATGGTAGCTTAAGCCTGTAATTCCAGCACTTTGAGAGGCAGAGGCAGGTGGATCACCTGAGGTCGGGAGTTGGAGATCAGCCTTACCAACATGGAGAAACCCCATGTCTACTAAAAATACAAAATTACCTGGGCGTGGTGGTGCGTGCCTGTAATACCAGCTACTCGAGAGGCTGAGGCAGGAGAATTGCTTGAACCTGGGAGGCGGAGGTTGCTGTTAGCCAAGACCGCGCCACTGCACTCCAGCTTGGGTGACAGAATGAGACTCCATCTCAAACAAAACAAAACAAACACAAATGAAAGGGAAGGAAGTGGATTACTGATAATAACTAAGGTATGGAATCAACCTGAGTGTTCATCAGTAGGTGAATGGAGAAAGAAAATGTGGTATATGTACACAATGAAATGCCATTCAGCCCTTAAAAATAAAGTCTTGTTATTTGCAACATTCATGAATCTGAAAGGTATGCTAAGTAAACCCAGCACAGAAAAAAAAAAAAAAAAAAATCCTTTTTTTTTTTTTTTTTGAGATGGAGTTTCACTCTTGTTGCCCAGGCTGGAGTGCAGTGGCATCATCTCAGCTCACTGCAACCTCCGCCTCCCGGTTTTAAGTGATTCTCCTGCCTCAGCCTCCCTAGTACCTGGGATTAGAGGGCACATGCCACCATGCCCAGCTAATTTTAATATTTTTAGTAGAGATGGGAGTTTCACCATGTTGGCCAGGGTGGTCTCGAACTCCTGACCTCAAGTGATCCACCCACCTCAGCCTCTCAAAGTGCTGGGTTACAGGTGTAAGCCACCACACCCAGCCAGAGGCCTAGGTTTCTTATTAGAAGATAGACTGTGATACTGAAAGCAAATAAAATGGTACATGTTACCTGGCTGCATTTCAAACAGGTGATGGTGACACTGCACTGAAGCACCAAAGGTGATTCTTGTTGGCCAGGCCAGAGCTCCTTGTGAAAAAGGTTAGGCCCACTGGTATGTCTGAAGCGTCCTAGCTGGATGGACAGAACCCCATGAGCTGTTTTGATTAGACTCTGAATTTAAAACACCTTGGTGCCCAGTAATGAGGACATTTTCACATTTAGCATAACGTGATTTGGTGTGTGGCTTGGATTTGACAAATCTTCACTGAGCTAATGGCTGATTGGATTTACTTGGCCTGAATGGAAAATAAAAATCACCTCTGAGCACTTTGGTGGTCTTTTTTATACATATAGATATGATATCGGTGGCTAGATAAACATATACACAGAAAGGCCAGGCACGGTGGCTCATGCCTGTAATCCCAGCACTTTGGGAGGCCGAGGTGGGTGGATCACCTGTGGTCAGGAGTTCGAGACCAGCCTGGCCAACATGGTGAAACCCCATCTCTAGTAAAAATACAAAAAATTAGCCAGGTGTGGTGGCAGGTGCCTGTAATCCCAGCTATTCGGGAGGCTGAGGTAGGAGAATCGCTTGTACCCAGGAGGCAGAGGTTGCAGTGAGCTGATATTGCACCATTGCACTCCAGCCTGGCCAACAAGAGTGAAACTCCATCTCAAAAAAAAAAACAGAAAATGGGTAACATAGGTATGTCAATGTAATTCCCATTATTGCATATGTCCTGTAGACAAGCCTCAGAATAAGTAGGTCAGAGGTTGCTTTCCTTCTCAACTTCTGCAGCCCAGATGAGTTTAATAAACCACTTAGATCAGCTTAGATGGATATAAGTCAATCGACCCAAATGGCAAATGTGAATCACACAGGCATACAGTGAGAAAGGAAGCAGGGCCCTGAAATGCTAAGCTGGAACTAGAGTCTAAGATGGCTTTACCAAAAACATACTTCCCAGGCCATGCACCTATATGTGAAGCTTTATTGATGTTTAAACATAACCTTGTATGGCTGTTTTCCAGTCTGAGATGGTATGGATCCATATAGGTGAGAGTAAGTTTATATCTGCATCCGCAGTGTAGGCTGGGGAATTTAAAATGTTGATTAATATCTATTGTATACATAAATATCTACATAGGCAAAGTCATATAATTCTATATGTTGTGTTTACCCATGTATAATCTAGATACAGATCTAGCATTTTTTTTCATATGCATACAGAATAAAGATATAGGAGGTCAAAGGATAAATGGGTATTTGTACTTACAGCAATGTAAAGAAAAACGTCAATAAATGCAAAATCTTATTTGCCATTTAAATTTTGTCCACAAGAGCACACAAATGGAGGTATGCTCTGACCTGCATCTTGCTGCATTTAATGTTTTCTTTTTTCCCTTTTTTTCTTTTTTTCTTTTTTTTTTTTTTTTGAGATGGAGTTTCGCTCTTCTTGCCCAAGCTGGAGTGCAATGGCACGCAATCTCAGCTCACCACAAGCTCCACCTCCCAGGTTCAAGCAATTCTCCTTCCTCAGCCTCCCGAGTAGCTGGTATTACAGGCATGTGCCACCACATCCGGCTAATTTTGTATTTTTTAGTAGAGACGGGGTTTCTCCATGTTGGTCAGCCTGGTCTCGACCTCCTGACCTCAAGTGATCCACCCGCCTCGGCCTCCCAAAGTGCTGGGATTACAGGCATGAGCCACCATGCCTGGCCAATTCTGCAGGTTTGAAAGGGGTCCATGGATTGGCTTCATTCACAGCTAATGCTGACCCTACTTGCCCTAGATCACTTATAGCAGCACTCAACTAGACAAAGTGCCACAGCACACAGTTCCTTAAACCTATACTCTTCTCACAACATAAATGCTTTCAGTCCAAAATAAAAACCACCAATCACTATCCTAAAACATGGCACACTCTGCTGGTCCTTTAAACTTTACAGAGGCTGGAGAAGGCAGCTCATGTCTGAGTAAGTCTGCATTTGGAAAACAACATGCACACATGCGTTAATGCAATGTTTATGGAGCATGCTCTGTGTGCTCAGAAGCACGCTACGGAGCTGGGAAGATGACATGAATTTATCCTTATAATACCCTGGGAGGTGGGTACTAACTGTCCCATAATTCCCTGGATTTATATGAAAAGCCCAGCATTTACATTTCTTCTTGTTCTCACTGATTTTTTTTAATTTTTTTATTTTTTTTTAATGCATGGAACAGGCCAGGCACGGTGGCTCATGCCTATAATTCCAGCACTTTGGAGGGCCAAGGCAGGCGGATCATCTGAGGTCAGGAGTTCACGCAAATCAGGGGGCCCGTGAAAGGCAACTGAGCAGGGATCCATGGGAAAGACACCCTCAGAGGCACAAGATTCTCTCGTTACCTTTCAGTTTGCTGATACTTCAGTTAAAGTCTCCTGGGAAACGTCTGCATTAGGTTCTTCCTCTGTAGTTCTTCTTACCTTGCCTGTAAAACAAAACCTATCTAGTGTCTGCATAGGTTTCCACTTCTTGTCCCCACCTGAGGAATGGAAAGCAACGGCACAGTCCTTGCTCATGTTTTGGAGTGAAAGGAGCTTGAAGGTCATGTGAGCTTTGCCAAGGCTTCTCCTGGCCTCATGTCAGATACAGCTCCTAACTCCCAAGCAGCCTACCATAGTGTCCTCCTTTTTTTGCGTGTGTGATGGGGTTTCGCACTTGTTGCCCAGGCTGGAGTGCAATGGTACAATCTCGGCTCACTGCAACCTCCGCCTCCCAGGTTCAAGTGATTCTTCTGCCTCAGCCTCTCAAGTAACTGGGATTACAGGCATGCGCCACTAAGGGAGGAGACCACTCCTCATATTGTCTTATGCCCAATTTCTGCTTCCAAAGAAAGAAGAAGTAAAAACTAAAAGGCAGAAATGAAATCCACAGGCAGACAGCCCAGCGCCACACCATGGGCCTGGTAGTTAAAGATCGAGCCCTGACCTAATCGGTTATGTTATCTACAGATTACAGACATTGTATAGAAAAGCACTTTGAAAATCCCTGTCCTGTTCTGTTCCATTCTAATTACTGGTGCATGCAGCCTTCAGTCACTTACTCCCTGCTTGCTCAATCGATCACGACCCTCTCATGCAAACCCCCTTAGAGTTGTAAGCCCTTAAGAGGGATAGGAATTGCTCACTCAGGGAGCTCAGTTTTTGAGACGTGAGTCTTGCCAATGCTCCCGGCCGAATAAAGCCCTTCCTTCTTTAACTCGGTGTCTGAGGGGTTTTGTCTACGGCTCGTCCTGCTACATTTCTTGGTTCCCTGACTGGGAAGCGAGGTGATTAACGGACAGTTGAGGCAGCCTGTTAGGCGGCTTAGGCCTGCCCTGTGGAGCATCCCTGCGGGGGACTCCGGCCAGCTTGAGCGATGCGGATCCTGAGAGCGCTCCCGGGTAAGCAAATTCCCTGGTGGAACGCCTCACCAGAGCAGCGTGTGGCAGCCCCCGCGGAGGATCAATGCAGTGACTGAACACCGGGAAGGAACTGGCACTTGGAGTCTGGACATCTGAAACTTGGTAAGACTAGTCTTTGGAACTTGCCCACTCCATTTGAGTGGAAGTGTGGCCTGATCACCTATGGCGTGCCTGTACCGGCACTTTGGTTTTTGTTTTTGACTTGACTTGGATTGCTTGATACTTTGGTTTTGGTTTTGACCTTGCTTGGATTTCTAGATACCCCGATTTTGGTATTGATTCTGGTTTGGTGTAAACTGTAAAAGTATGTGTGTGCCCTTTTTACCCGTTATTTGTTTTGTGGTGTGCGTGTGGTGCGAGCGTGGTGTTTTGTCTTGAAGAAGCATGGGTCAGGCACAAAGTAAGCCTGCCCCAGTAGGAGCTATGTTGAAAATTTTCAAGAAAGGATTTAAGGGAGATTACAGTGTTACTGTGATACCAGGAAAACTTAGAACTTTGTGTGAAATAGACTGGCCAGCATTAGAGGTGGGTTGGCCATCAGAAGGAAGATTGGACAGGTCCCTTGTTTCAAAGGTACGGCACAAGGTAACCTGTAAGCCAGGGCACCCAGACCAGTTCCTGTACATGGACACTTGGTTATAGCTGGTTTTAGACCCCCACCCCACAATGGTTGAGAGAACAGCAGCATAAGCAAGCTTGCAGAGGCAAGGAAAGACCAGCAGAGAGAGAAAGAGGAAGAGACAGAGAGATAAAGAGGGAGTCAAGGAAAGAGAGAGAGAGGCAGAGAAAGAGAAAGAGACAGAGGCAAAAGGAAAGTCAAAGAGAAAAAGAAAATCAGAGAAAGAAAGAGAGATATACAAGTAGTTAAGAAAAAAGTGTACCCTATTCCTTTAAAAGCCAGGGTAAATTTAAAACCTATAATTGATAATTGAAGGTATTCTCCATAACCCTATAAGACTCCAATACCACTTTGTTGTCAGTGTAAACAAGGGCGTATTCTGAAAGCACTGAGGCCACTGATAACCCGTAGCCTTCCTATCAAAAATCCTTAACCCAGTAACCCGCAGATGGCCCAGATGCATTCAATCTGTAGCGGCAACTGCTTTGCTAACAGAAGAAAGTAAAAAAATAACTTTTAGAGGAAACCTCATTGTGAGGAAACCTCATTGTGAGCACACCTCACCAGTTCAGAAGTATCCTAAGGAAAAAAAAAAAAAAGTGTGATTTAACATTAACCACTGAAAATTCCCTTAACCCAGAAGTTTTCCTAACAGGGCATCTAAATCTTAATTACCATACAAAGGTCCGACCAGACCTAGGAGGAACTCCCTTCAGGACAGGAGGATCAATCGTTCCTCCCAGGTAATTGAAGGAAAAAAAAAAAGCCATCTATACCAATTCTAAATTAATTTGGACAAAACAAGGTCTTATTAATGGCAAAGGATAATTAAAATCCCAAACTTACAAGGTTTTCAACAAAAGTAAAGTTTGCTAAAAGTTAACAGTGTAACATGTATTATAGTAACTTCTAATCTTGTGGCCTTAGACAGTCTCGTCCACAGACATAAAGGAAGTTCACTTTGGAAAAGAATGGTTATCATCTTTGAAAAAAAAGGGAAAAAAGTGGGGGAAGAATTTATGTAAAAAGAGTGTTATATGGTAAATTCTTGTCCTGAAATAAAGAAACTGGTTGTTTAAAGAAAGAAAGGTTTGTAATAAGTCAGAAAGTTGAGGCACGTCAAAGAATTGTCTGCAAAAGTCATGAAAGAGAAAAATGTTATAAAAAAAGAATTTATGCAAGAAATGTTGTATAATTTAAAAGTAGCTAGGCCTCCTGAATGTAAAACTATTGAAAAAAACAGTTTATGTGCAAGGTGTATAAGGAAAGTAAAATATACCTTTGGTAAAAGGATTATAAGGAGGCATAAGAATGTAAATTTTTACCTACATTAAAAGGTTAAAAAAATTATTGTTTTGAAGGTTTAAGCAAGTTTTTAAACATTAATTTTAAAGAAAATTCTGTGTGTAAACATATTAGCTAAAGTTAAAGGGGTATCATCCAGTTTTTTTGTGAACTGGACATTAAAATAAAAACACAACGGGTTTTTCTTAAAGCACTAACGTACTCTTTAACAAAAATTATAAAAGGTTAAAAAGAGTCTATAAAAATCTTACCTTATGGTCTGACATTAAAAATTGGATAAATATATCTACAAGGTTTTATTAAAATTAAGTTTCACATTAATAACACACTAATATAATGGTGAAATTTAGCTTATCTGGTATAAAAATCATACAAGAAGCATTATTAAATATATAATGGTGTTTGGCTTTCTTTGGTCTAAAAACTAATAAAAGCAGGTGCTAAAAGAAATTTCTCAGTAGAAAGGCACCAAAGACTATAAAGTCCACTGCTGATGTCCCCACATTTAAAACAAAAGGTCAGTTTCTTAGAAATTATATACTTGGTTTATCTTCCACTTTCCTTTACCTCAAAACTACAAGTCTTTTAGCACATGTACCACCCCTAGAATTTCCAGCAAACCAGCACCAGCCTAAAGATCACATTCTCATCAAAAGGTGAAAAGAAAGGAGCCAGGCTAGGAAGGCCCCTACCTTGTGCTGCTAACCACTGAGACTGCTGTTCGTACAATGGAAAAAGGATGGACTCATCACAACTGAGTCAAGAAAGCACCGCCCCCTCCAGAGTCTTGGGCCATAGTCCCAGGGGAAAACCCTACCAAACTAAAGCTAAGAAAACTTTTAACTCTTTCAAAATCTGTTCTATTACTCTTTCTTCTTTCCTCATTCTATTGCTGACCATCTAGTTATTAACATAACCAAGTCAATTTTGCCTCAAACTATTGCATTTAATGCTTGCCTTGTTATACCCTGTGGGGACTCTCAAGTGAAAGACAGCTCTCCACTTCAGAAAAGTACCTCTGTCCCCCCTGACTCTCCTCAGACTGGGCATTAGTAAATTAGGACTATTTAATCTGGGGAAATTTTGATAAAGACTCCAGTGTCAACCAGGAGTCTTGCTCCCCAACGTAGAGCTTTTATGCTGTAGTTGGTCCAACATTCTGTGGACCACTAAAGAGCAAGTGTGGACTGCCCCAAATGGTTTTTGTAATTCCCTAAAATCATGCATTCATTTTACTAGAGGATCATATAAGTTAAAGACTTAAAACGAACTTTGGCAATTAAGACAGGATACCAACATGCAAATGCCTGGTTGGAATGGATCAAATATTCCATCCCACGTTAAACAAAAGCAATTGTTATGCTTGTGCACATGGCAGGCCAGAGGCCCAGATTGTCCCCTTTCCACTAAGGTAGTCCTCCAGTTGACCAGGCATGGGCTGCATGGTAGCTCTTTTTCAGGATTCTACAGCCTGGAGTAATAAGTCGTGCCAAGCTCTCCCTGCTATATCCCAAAGTCCGGCACCCTGCAGGTCAGTCCCCGAGGGCCATCCAGCCTCCATCTCCCAACACTAAGTTCACTTTGTGTCTCTCATGATAGGGAGAAAAACTTAGCGTTCCTTGGAGACCTGAAGGGATGCAGTGAGCTTAAGAATTTTCAAGAGCTTATCAATCAGCCCTTGTTCATCCCCGAGCTAATGTGTGGTGATATTGTGGTAGACCTTTACTGGGCATTCTGCCAATAACTGGAGTGGCACTTGTACTTTAGTCCAATTGGCTATCCCTTTCACCCTGGCATTTCATCAACCAGAGGGAAGAAAAATAAGACATCGTAAAGCGAGAGAAGCCCCTTATGGGTCTTTCAACTCTCACGTCTATTTAGATGCAACTGGAGTCCCATGGGGAATACCAAATCAATTTAAAGCTTGAAATCAAATAGCTGCAGGATTCGAGTCAATATTTTGGTGGGTGACAGTTAATAAAAATGTAAATTGGATAAACTACATCTATTACAACCAACAGCAACGAGCTTTTCGTGAGTTAAAAGAAAAACTCATGTCGGCGCCAGCCCTGGGGCTACCTGACCTGACAAAACCCTTTACACTTTATGTGTCAGAAAGAGAAAAAATGGCAGTTGGAGTTTTAACCAGACTGTGGGCCTCCTAAGTAGCTGGGATTACAGGCGCCTGCCACCATGCTCAGCTAATTTTTTTGTATTTTTAGTAGAGATGAGGGTTTCCCCATGTTGGCCATGCTGGTCTCGAACTCCTGACCTCAGGTGATCTACCTGCCTCCGCCTCCCAAGGTGTTGGGATTACAGGCGTAAGCCACCATGCCTGGCTAAACTTAACTTGAATTATTTCTTATAGCTGCCTATTTTAAAGAAAAACAGAAATGAAGCTCAACCAATCAGAAGTAGCCAACAACCTTATATAACTAGGGACTTTTCAACAAGGTAAACAAACAAAAAACCAAGAAGAAACAAGTTTGTAACTACCACTAATCAAATAATTTGTTTCTACATTTTTCCAATAAATAGTTGCCTCTTACACTGTCAGTGAAACCTAAACCTCTTTTAGACTGGTGTCCTATAATTAATCAATTGCTGTTACTCAAATAAACTCTTTACAATTTTATTGTGTCTCAGATTACTTTTTAGAGGAATAAAATAAACTAGGAATCCATATTACACAAAGGTTTACAGAATGAGAAAAGACATACGACATTCATAAAATATATGAATGTAGACATAAGCAAATAGAAAAATTACATGTTCTTAGACCGAAAAACAATATACTATCAATATAAATTGTCCTCAAGGTAGTTTATAAAATAAATTTTGTTCTAATATAGATACCATTAGATATTGGAGGTAGGCATTTTACTATAAAATAGCATATAGGCTGGCTGCGGTGGCTCACACCTGTAATCCCAGCACTTTGGGAGGCTGAAGTGGGCAGATCACTTCAGGTCAGGAGTTTGAGACCAGGCTGGCCAACGTGGTGAAACCCTGTCTCTATGAAAATACAAAAATTAGCCAGACATGATGGCAGGTGCCTGTAATCCCAGCTATTCAGGAGGCTGAGGCAGGAGAATTGCTTGAACCTGTGAGGTGGAGGTTGCAGTGAGCCAAGCTGGTGCCACCGCACTCCAGCCTGGGCGACAGAGCAAGACTCTGTCTCAAAAATAAATACATACATACATACATACATACATACATAAAATAAAACAGCATATAGATGAAAAGACAAGAAGAGCCAAGAAAACTCTGGGGAAACAAAAAAAAAAAAAACAGATAATATTGTCCAGCCCTGTGAAAAATCTTGATTAAAAAAGCTAATAGATCAGCTGGGCGTGGTGGCTCAGGCCTGTAATCCCAGCACTTTGGGAGGCCAAGGTGGGTGGATCACGAGGTCAGGAGATCGAGACCAGCCTGGCTAACACGGTGAAACCCCATCTCTACTAAAATACAAAAAAAATTAGCTGGGCGTGATGATGGGCACCTGTAGTCCCAGCTACTTGGGAGGATGAGGCAGGAGAATGGCGCAAACCTGGGAGATGGAGCTTGCAGTGAGCTGAGATTGTGCCACTGCACTCCAGCCTGGGTGACAGAGCAAGACTCTGTCTAAAAATAAATAAATAAAAGCTAATAGATAATTGGAACTAAAAATTCAGAAATAGACTAAAGTGCCTAAGAAAGTGTCTTAGTCCATTCAGGCTGCTGTAACAAAATACCTTAGGCTGGGTAATGTAAAAACAACAGAAATTTATTGCTCACAATTCTGGAGGCTGGAAAGTGCTAGATCAAGACACCAACAAATTTGGTGTTTGATGACAGCCCTGATCCTCATAGATGATACCTTCTTGGTGTGTCCTCACATGGCGAAAGACAAGGACACTCCCTTCAATGTTATTAAAAAGGGCACTTATTCCATTCAGGAAGATGGCGCTCTCTTGGCTTAGTCACTTCCCGAAAGGTCGCATGCCTAATACTATCCACATATGAATTTGGAGGGGGACACAAATATTTAGACCAAACCAAAAATTTAATAAACAAGAAAAACTATGTGGAGGATGGCATCATTAATACTTGACATGTGAAAAATTGATGTTCCTACCACAAAGGAAAGAAATGACTTATTCTTCATGTTCTTCATGACATAGAACAAAATAAAGGCCCAATGAAAGATAAATCTATACAAAAAAATGAATCAGTGTTGATAAGGTGAATTCTACAGGTTGTATCAGGATTTCTGAGGTTTCTGGGGATGGGCAGGGCCCCAGAGTTTCCTCCCGTGACATTTTCCCTGAAGTTGCTCATGCTCTTATTCAATTTGAAAGTGAATAAAGGCCAGGCGTGGTGGCTCACGCCTGTAATCTCAGCACTTTGGGAGGCCGAGGCAGGTGGATCACAAGGTCAGGAGTTCAAGACCAGCCTGGCCAACATCATGAAACCCCGTCTCTACTAAAAATTAGCTGGGCATGGAGGCACGCATCTGTAATCCCAGCTACTTGGGAGGCTGAGACAGGAGAATCGCTTGAATCTGGGAGGCAGAGGTTGCAGTGAGCCGAGATTGCGCCACTGGACTCCAGCCTGGGAGACAAACCAAGACTCCATCTCAAAAAAAAGAAAAAAAGTGGATAAAAATGTTTTTTCCTGTTCCAATATTTAAGAAATTCAAAATAAACAGGCCTATGTATGCGTGATTCTCAAACAATCAGTCAGTGGTGCACTGTTAAGGAAGAGCAAAGAATCCCACATCCACAGAAGTACAATGTTCTGTCAGATAAAGATGTCTCCCCGTGCCAGAACCACATATTTTACACATGATCAGAGGCTTTCATGGGCAAGCATTGCTCTGTAGCCCTACCACAGACTTAACCCTGTCAATCTGACTTAGAAGGTCACTGATGAACACATGCCCTAGTGTTCTGATCTACATGAATCCTCTCTTAATGGTCCCTTTCCAGGGATCTGGGATCTTTCCTGAATTCATCTGCCACACACAGATAGACTCAAAAATTTAGACAGAAGCTGTGATCCTCACTGGCACATCTGCCCTGTCCTATCAGCTTCTCTAGAAGTACACTGCTCTAATTGCTCCTGAGTGACCCCATCTAAGGGTATCTCTCTGTGCCAACATAATTGATTTCATAAACCGGGAAGAGAAATAAGCAAGAGTCTAGCTATGCTGGGGCTAACATTCCCTTATCTATGTCTCTAATTTATCCAAATATTGACCAAAAAGATTAGTGGTGGTAGGAAAATGGAAGGAGGAGCTCCAGTTCACAGAAGGAGAAAATATAATCAGTGCTGCCTAGCGTCCAGCTTAAGCTTACCCATGGGGGACTGAGTCTCTTCAGAAAAAAGCGATGGTTCTCCATTGTATTAGTCTGTTCTCATGCTGCTAATAAAGACATACCCAAGAGTGGGTAATTTATAAAGGAAAGAGGTTTAATTGACTCACAATTCCACATGGCTGTAGGTCAGGGCAGTGGGGTTCACAATCATGGAGGAAGGCAAGGATGAGCGAAGTCATGTCTTACACGGTGGCAGGCAAGAGAGCATGTGCAGGGGAACTGCCCTCTATAAAATCATCAGATCTTGTGACATATATTCACTACCACGAGAACAGCTTGGGAAAGATGCACACCCGTGATTCGATTACCTCCCTCCAGGTCCCTCTCATATCACACGGGAATTATGGGAGCTACAATTCAAGATGAGATTTGGGTGGGGATACAGCCAAACCATATCATTCATCATCTGAGGGAACTGTGGTCTCAGACAGCTGGGCACTGAGAGTGCACGCTGCCCCCTAGAATTCCACACCTACATCACAGAGAGACAGAACAGTCTCAAAGGATTCTTAAGGTTAATGTGGGGAGCCAAAGGAGGAGATGAATTCACAGCTTGTGCCTTACCTTCTGGTCTAACTAAAACTACTTTTGTCCTGGCCCAACAAGATTCCCAGACTCTTTTCTGGGTTGCACCAGGGGTAATTCAGAAAGACAAAAAGTTATTAATGCCCCTCCATTCCCCACAGCTCCTGAGGTCTAAGTTGTTCATTCCCTGGGTTTTAGGTTGTTGTTCTCCCTCTGCTTCCACAGAATCAGTGTGCCCCATTCCAGTACCTATGATTTCACCTGTATTCTTGTCACCTCCTACTTTCTCCTAGACATTTTATCTAACAGAGCCAGGTGAAACAGAGACAAGGATATTTACATAAAACTTAAACAGAACTAAGTTGGAGTTCCATAACCCCCATTGGGCTGGGATGGCACTCAGGCTGGCCTAAGATTGTGGTTATGGAACAGAAAGACACATTTTGCCCAGGAATGATCAGTGTGGAATCTCAAATTTGGGAAATAGATCCTTAGAGCGCCCAATCGTTTCATCCTTCTCTTGGAGGCAATCAGGAAGAGATAATCCCCTTTTGGAGAAAACCATGTCTAATCAACAGATTACCTAACCAACATGTGTGGAAAAGGAGTTAAAATCTGACAGTTGACCCATTTTAGTAGATTTGGTAATAAATGCCACAAAGTCAGAGTTCAAGTGGTCTCAAAAGCCTAAAAGGTGACACAGATTAGTTTCAAGGGACACAAGGTGTCACTGGGTGTGCCAACCTCCCAGAGGGTGAGAACCATGGCAACTTTGGGCAGGCTGGGAAACGATCCCGGACTCTTGCAGTTCTGTGAGAAATCAAACTTACCGCAACTTTGGAAGTCAGGAAGCCAGCACGTTGGGGGATGCGGTATCACAATTTCTTGGTGAGACAAGCTGTCCTGGTAGCTTGTCCTCTCCCATCAGGTAGGAGAGGTTAAAGAACAGGCAGGCTCCCCGTCTGCATGGCGGAACAGCTCTGAAGGCATGGAGGAGCGAGGCTGAAGGTGGGGGCCTTCGCCCATCATGCCGGAAGCTGAAATTTCTTGTTACCTGCAAGTGATCGCAGGGCTGCAGGACTACAATCCCAGCGTGCACAGGGATCAGGGACTGTGCGCATCACTGGAGGAAGGGGCAGAGCTGCGCGCGCCTGGCTGAGCATGCTAGGACATGTAATCTCATGGCCAGTCCCAGCCCTTCGGCCACAAGGCTGCAGGACTACAATCCCAGCCTGTACCAGGCTCGGGGGCGGTTCGCAACCCCAGAGGAAGGGGCAGGGCGGTGCGCGCCGCGCCTGGTATGCTGGGAGTTGTAGTCTCTTTACTGCTCTCAGCCCATGGGTAGGTAGCTTCAGAACTACAATCCCAGTATGCATCGGGGTGGTGCGTAACCCTGGAGGGAGGGGCAGACACTTAACCTGTGTCTAAAGCACTGCTGGCCGCCGATTCTACGCCGCCCGGTCGCCAGGGAGAGTGAATACAGCTAGGGACGTGAAAGGCAGGTCTGGGCTGGGCATTGAGGAGGGTATTAAGCTAGGAAGTATGCCTTACCTTTATCTAAATCGGGCGGGTCGTCCTCCCCTCATTGGCCTTGTGCAGCTCGGATTCCTCTCTCACCCGCACCCAGGGGTCTTCCCAGAGCATTGCGTCGTCTCCAGCCCAGGGAGCCGCCTTCTTTCCTAAACTGCTATAGACACTGTCCTGATGTCTAAGACAATGTACTTTGTGCCGCAGGCCTCTGCCTTCCCTAGCCAGAGCGCGAGCTCAGCCGCTTTTGAGAGAAATCTGCCACCTGGCCTACCTGTGCACAACTTCAGAGCTTTGCAGGGGGTGACAAGGGCTGTGGCTTCAGGGAAATGTCACGCGCACTGGCACCTTTTTCGCGAATGTGAAAATTGAGAAATCAAGAAGGTTAATTATAGGGTTGCCCAGGATCTGCCAAGAGCAAAGAAGAAAACCCCATTTCCCAGGCATGTGTCTTGTGAGCCATTTTTTATCAACCCACTTAAGTGGACAAGCTCCAAAACACAACATGAAGCTGATGATAATTTAGGCAATTTACGTTTGAAATCATCGGCCTCATCTCAAGGCAGTGTCTTAGAGACACAGGTGGGACCTGATCCCTCAGGAACAGATAGCGTTCCAGCTTTGTGGGATTGACTTTTGAGATATGGAGCACTTCGGGGTCAATTGAAACCCGTCAGGTTTCACATCTCTGCTTTGGATAGAAAGCCCATCACCCACAGCTGTCAGAGATGTTCCTTGACTCACTGGGGCTCATCTGTTGAATTTTTCTATCTAGATAATGGAAACATCTAGGAGCACTTCTGCTTCCATGTAAACTCTTAATAATTGATGTCCCTAAAATTCTGTGTTCTCAGGGACAGTTCCTTTGGTTCCCAGATGGTACCAGCTTTCATGTTGTTACATCTAATATGTAAAAACCTGGATGTTAACCTCCAAGACATTGTTCACGTCACACATTCCAGTATTTTTCATTTGTGATTTCTGAATGTAGGACAATATCAAAGAACTGAAAACCTGGTCATAAAAATTGGACCCTATTACTGCACTTAGTGAATAATTTACCCCTTAGGGTTAATTACACCTGAGTTCATCAGCACCTGTGTAAAGAAAGAAAAAAAAATTGTGGCATCTGCCAGGCGCAGTGGCTCAAGCCTGTAATCCCAGCACTTTGGGAGGCCGAGGCAGGTAGATTACCTGAGGTCAGGAGTTCAAGACCAGCCTAGTCAACATGGCGAAACCCCATCTCTACTAAAAATACAAAAATTTGCCGGTCGTGGTGGTAGGCGCTATAATCCCAACTACTCGGGAGGCTGAGACAGGAGAATCGCTTGAACCCGGGGGGCGGAGGTTGCAGTGAGTCTAGGTCAAGCCACTTCATTCCAGCCTGGGCGAAAGGGCGAAACTCCATCTCAAAAAACAAAACAAAACAAAACCACGTGGCACCTATGCATGTGGCAAGATGAGGAAGTATAGGGAGACCACAGCACATTTCTAGGGCTCTTCTTTTGTTTTAAATAGTGCCTGTGGGGAAAGTCTATGTGATCCAGAGCACACATCCCTTCCCTAGCCCTCTGTTTTCATCCTCCTCCTTCCTGTGCCCTCTTTAGGTGAGGGTGTCTGATTACCCTCGCCCACAAGTGTTGTATGGGGATGTTGTAACATAACCATATCCATCTTCTCAAAATGAGGATTAATAGAGAGGAGTGTCTTGGGACTTGTGTTCAGATGCACTGCTGTTTGGTGTGTGGCTGCTCTCAGCAGTCCCACGGCAGCTGTCTGAAAAGATTGGTACAGATGTAGCCACAGCTGGTGTTCACAGGGCTGGGTGCTTCTTGTGGTTTGGTGTCTTTTGTTTAGATTTTGTGGCTCTGACCCTCTTCTGCTTATCCATTCCTGGTAGTATCTGCGAGGTTGCCTCGTTTGTTCCACTTGTTTCCTGGAAGCTTGTTGTGTAATTTTATTTCCCAGGATCTTTGGGATTCTATTCTCACTAGACCAGTCACTGTCCACTGGCCCTGTACTTATCTTGCGGGAGCCCCCATGTTCATCCTTTCCAGTGGAGCTAGGAAGAATTCTAGTTACTTCTAAATCTTCTAATTCTGATGCTGTTGGGCCATTTATTAAGCTGGGAATTTTGTCTTTGGGCTCATGGACATTATTCCAAAGGTTGTCTTGTCTTTGGGCTCATGAACATTATTCCAAAGGTTGCAGTGAGCCGAGATCACACCATTGCACTCCAGCCTGGGGTACAAGAGCGAGACTTCATCTCAAAAAAAATAAATAAATAAATAAATAAAAAATAAAATTATGATTTCAGTTTCTTCCTAGTGTAGGGCAATTCAAAAATATCAGTTTTTTAATTGGGTAATTATAATAATTTATGTTTTGAGTGATTAAATCATTTCATCTAAGCTGTTAAATTTTATGTGTATAGAGTTATTCATATTGAAGTCCCAACCCTCATTGGGACTGGGTATGGAGAGGGAGATTTTTAAGAGGTAATTGAGGTTAAATGAGGTCATCAGAGTGAGGCCATAATCCAGTATGACTATCATCATGATAAGAAGAGATAGAGGCCAGGCACTGTGGCTCACGCCTGTAATTGCAGCACTTTGGGAGGCCAAGGCAGGCGGATCACTTGAGGCCAGGAGTTTGAGACCAGCCTGGCCAACATGGCAAAACCCTGGCTCTACTAAAAATAAAACATTAGCTGGGCATGGTGGCGCACACCTGTAATCCCACACCTGTATTCAGGTCACTAAGGCAAGAGAATCACTTGAACCCAGGAGGCGGAGGTTGCAGTGAGCCGAGATTGTGCCACTGCACTCCAGCCTGGGAGATAGAGCGAGACTCTGTCTCAATAAATAAATAAATGAATAAATAAATAAAATAAAGGAGAAGGGACAGAGAAACACTAGAACGGGCCAATTAGAAGAAAAAGCCCTGCCGGGTGCGGTGGCTCACGGCTGTAATCCCAGCACTTTGGGAGGCTGAGGCGGGTGGATCACGAGGTCAGGAGTTTAAGACCAGCCTGGCCAAGATGGTGAAACCCCGTCTCTACTAAAAATACAAAAAAATTAGCCGGGCGCGGTGGCAGGCGCCTGTAATCCCAATTACTCAGGAGGCTGAGGCAGGAGAATCGCTTGAACTTGGGGGGCGGAGGTCGCAGTGAGCCGAGATCGTGCCACTGCACTCCAGCCTCGGTGACAGAGTGAGACTCCATCTCAAAAAAAAAAGAAAAGAAAAGAAAAAAAGAAAAGGGCCATGTGAGGATACAGAGGAAGGTGGCGCCATACGCAGAGGGCTCAGGAGAAACCAGCTGTCCTGGGACCTTGATCTTAGACTTCCAGCCTCCAGAACTGTGAGATGATTTATTTTAACTCACCCAGACTCTGGTATTTTCTTATGGCAGCCCTAGACGACTAATACACTTTATTATTCTTTTTATGTCTGCAGGGTATGTAATGATATCCTTTGTTTCTTTTTTTTTTTTTTTTTTTTTGAGATGGAGTCTCGCTTTGTAGCCAGACTGGAGTGCAGTGGCCCGACCTTGGCTCACTGTAATCTCCACCTCCTGGGTTCAAGCAATTCTCCTGCGTCAGCCTCCCGAGTAGCTGGGACTACAGGCACCCACCACCACGCCCAGCTAATTTTTATTTTTTGTATTTTTAGTAGAGACAGGGTTTCACCATATTGGCCAGGCTGGTCTCGAACTCCTGACCTTGTGATCCACCTGACTCAGCCTCCCAAAGTACTAGGATTACAGGCGTGAGCCACCGCGCCTGGCCGATATCCCTTGTTTCATTCCTGACAGGGTAATTTGTGTCTTGTCCTTTCCCCCACTTAGTCTTGCTTGAGGTTTGTCTATTTAATTGATCTTTTCAAAAAAAATCAGCTGTCTGTTTTATTGGTTTTTCTCTATTACTTTCTGAGTCTCAACTTTATTTCTCTTCCTATCTTTATTATTTCTTTCTTAATACTTCTTTTGTTTGGGTTTAGTTTATTAAGTTTGACCTTTTCCCAGGTTATCGATGTGGAAAATTAGATTATCTGGAGACTTAGTTTTTTTCTTTTTTTTCTTCTTTTTTTTTGAGACAGTCTTGCTCTGTCGCCCAGGCTGGGGTGCAGTGGCGCCATCTCGGCTTACTGCAAGCTCCGCCTCCTGGGTTCATGCCATTCTCCTGCCTCAGCCTGGGACTACAGGCACCTGCTGCCACGCCCGGCTAATTTTTTTTTTTTTTTTTTTTTTTTTTTTGTATTTTTAGTAGAGACCGGGTTTCACCGTGTTAGCCAGGATAGTCTGGATCTCCTGGCCTCGGCCTCCCAAAGTGCTGGGATTACAGGCTTGAACCACCGCGCCCGACCAGCCTTTTCTAATATATGAGTTTAGTGCCATCAGTTTCTTCAGTACACTGCTTTAGTTGTGTCTTACAAATTTTGATCCATTGTCTTTTCATCATCTTTGTGGTCAATGTATTTTTTGTTTTCCCAGGGACTTCCCCTTCAAGCTTGCAAGAGTTGGAGATGTTTGCATTGTCTTCACATTATTGATTTCTAGTCTGACTCCATTATGATCCGAGAACACACTCCGTGTAATCTGATTTTTAAAATTTGTTGAAGTTTGTTTCATGGCCTAGGAGATGGTCTATCTTACTTTATGTTCCATGAGCCCTTGAAGAGAATGCATATGCTGCTGCTGTTGATTAAATTACTCTACAAATGTCAACCAGATCCTGTTGATGAATGATGGTGTTGAACTGTTGTCTTTTTTTTAGATTTGCTGCTGAAATTTTCTCTGTTCTATTGTTTAGAGAAAAATGTCAATATCTCCAACGATAATTGTGTATTTGTCTTATTGTCTGTTTCTCCTCTGTTTGTTCCAGTTTTTGTTTCACATTTTTCATGTCTGTTGATTTATGCCTACACATTTAGGACTGCTGGGTCTTCTGGGTGGATTAAGCTTTTTATCATTATGTAATTTCTCTCCATGTCTCAATTTTTTTCTCTGAAATCTACTTTATCCGATATTATTGTAACTACTCATGCTTTCCTTGATTACTTGTATCTTTTTCCAGCTTCTTATACTTTATTTATTTATTTTAAATTTATTTTTGATATGGAGTCTCACTCTGTTGCCCAGGCTGGAGTACAGTGGCGTGATCTCGGCTCACTGCAACTTCTGCCTCCCCAGTTCAAGCGATTCTCCTGCCTCAGCCTCCCAAGTAGCTGGGATTATAGGCACCAGCCACCACACCTGGCTAATTTTTGTATTTTTAGTAGAGCCAGGGTTTCACTATGTTGGCCAGGCTGGTCTTGAACTCCTGACCTCAAGTGATTCGCCCACCCCAGCCTCCCAAAGTGCTGGGATTACAGGCGTGAGTGAGCCACCACGCCTTGCCCAGCTTCTTATACTTTAAATTTACCTTTTTTTTTCTGATTTTATTCTGCTTTTTTTTTTTTTTTTTTTTTTTTTTTTTAGTATTTATTGATCATTCTTGAGTGTTTCTCGGAGAGGGGGATTTGGCAGGGTCATAGGACAATAGTGGAGGGAAGGTCAGCAGATAAACAAGTGAACAAAGGTCTCTGGTTTTCCTAGGCAGAGGGCCCTGCCGCCTTCCACAGTGTTTGTGTCCCTGGGTAGTTGAGATTAGGGAGTGGTGATGATTCTTAGAGCATGCTGCCTTCAAGCATCTGTTTAACAAAGCACAACTTGCACCGCCCTTAATCCATTTAACCCTTAGTGGACACAGCACCTGTTTCAGAGAGCACGGGGTTGGGGGTAAGGTTATAGATTAACAGCATCCCAAGGCAGAAGAATTTTTCCTAGTACAGAACAAAATGGAGTCTCCTATGTCTACTTCTTTCTACACAAACACAATAACAATCTGATCTCTCTTTCTTTTCCCCACATTTCCCCCTTTTCTATTCGACAAAACCGCCATTGTCATCATGGCCCGTTCTCAATGAGCTGTTGGGTACACCTCCCGGACGGGGCGGCTGGCCGGACGGGAGCTGCCCCCCACTTCCCAGATGGGGCGGCTGCCGGGCGGAGGGGCTCCTCACTTCTCAGACGGGGCGGCCGGGCAGGGACGCTCCTCACCTCCCAGATGGGGTGGCGGCGGGGCAGAGACACTCCTCAGTTCCCAGACGGGGTCGCGGCCGGGCAGAGGCACTCTTCACATCTCAGATGGGGCGGCAGGGCAGAGGTGCTCCCCACATCCCAGATGATGGGCGGCCAGACAGAGACGCTCCTCACTTCCTAGACGGGATGATGGCCGGGAAGAGGCACTCCTCACTTCCCAGACTGGGCGGCCGGGCAGAGGGGCTCCTCACATCCCAGACGATGGGCGGCCAGGCAGAGACGCTCCTCACTTCCTAGACGGGGTGGCGGCCGGGCAGAGGCTGCAATCTCGGCACTTTGGGAGGCCAAGGCAGGCAGTTGGGAGGTGGAGGTTGTAGCGATCCGAGATCACGCCACTGCACTCCAGCCTGGGCAACATTGAGCACTGAGTGAGCGAGACCCCGTCTGCAATCCCGGCACCTCGGGAGGCCGAGGGTGGCAGACCACTCGCAGTCAGGAGCTGGAGACCAGCCCGGCCAACACGGCGAAACCCCGTCTCCACCAAAAAATACGAAAACCATCAGGTGTGGCGGCGCGCGCCTGCAATCGCAGGCACTCGGCAGGCTGAGGCAGGAGAATCAGGCAGGGAGGCTGCAGTGAGCCGAGATGGCGGCAGTACCGTCCAGCCTCGGCTCCGCATCAGAGGGAGACTGTGCAAAGGGGAGACGAGGACCGTGCAAAGGGGAGAGGGAGGGGGAGGGGGAGAGGGAGAGGGCTTATTCTAAATTTACCTTTTTATATTGGAAGTGAGTTTCTTCTAAAGAGAATATGCATGGTCATATTTATTAATCAGTGTTGTCAGGCCGGGAACAGTGGCTCACGCCTGTAATCCCAGCACTTTGGGAGGCTGAGGCGTGCGGATCACGAAGTCAGAAGATCGAGACCATCCTGGCTAACACGGTGAAACCCCGTCTCTACTAAAAATACATAAAAAATAGCCGGGCGTGGTGGCGGGCACCTGTAGTGCCAGCTACTCGGGAGGCTGAGGCAGGAGAATGGCGTGAACCTGGGAGGCGGAGCTTGCAGTAAGCCAAGATCTCGCCACTGCACTCCAGCCTGGGCGACAGAGGAGATTCCGTCTCAAAAAAAAAAAAAAAATCAATGTTTTCAATCTTTGTCTCTAATTGATTATTTTATTTTATTTATTTATTTTTGACTGGTGGCAGTAGAATTTATTCAAATGTGCCTTAATACAGGTGCTAGGGCTTGCCGGTGGTGCTCTTGTTATATAAGGGCCGGACATTCTGCCGGTTTTCCGTGAGCAGTGACATCAGGAAGTTTACAGCCAGGTGAATGTTACACACATCGTCTGTGTGTAACATCGTCTGTCATCTTCACGTGGCTGACAGCCACAGCCAGACATAGCACCTTCTTCATTTGGGTGTTGATTGTGAACTTCACCTCATCCACTTTGGCCAGCATGTTTTTGTTGTGTGTCAGCGGAGATCTACTTGGTTAATTCAGAACATTTAACAGTTAAGTTAATTTTGTTAAAACTAGCCTGATACGTTGTTTTCTGTTTGTTCTCTCTGTTTTGTTCCTCTGTGTGATTTTTACTTTCTTCATGTAGATAATTTGAACATGTTTTAAAATTTCATTTATTTGTAGTGTTTTTGAGTATAGCTTTTTTAGTGTTAGATCAACGTATTACATTATATTCAGAAATTATCGTAGTTAACAATGTTTCAATTGTTCCTTGATATTCAAATACAATTTATAAAACACAAAAGGGAAAGAAAGCCTATTGTATCTACCCTCATTTTATCCCAGCATAGAAGGCACATTGGATAAAAGTTTTGTTTGATAAGGTGTCTTTCCTGGTCTTTTTGGCTGAAGACAGGAGTCTGTTGTTGGGTTTGCTTTTTGTTTTTTGGGGTTTTTTTGAGACAGTGTCTCTCTGTCACCAACGCTAGAGTGCAGTGGCATAATCACAGCTCACTGCAGCCTCAACCTCCCCAGGCTCAAGCCATCCTCCCATCCCAGACTCCCAAGTTGCTGGGACTATAGGTGTGCACCACCATACCCAGCGAATTTTTTGTAGAGGTGGTATTTCACCTCTACAAAAAATGATGCCCAGGCTGGTCTTGACCTCCTGAGCTCCAGTGATCCACCCGCCTCAGCTTCCCAGAGTGTTGGGATTATAGGCGTGAGCCACTGCACCTGGCTGAGAAGTATCTGGTTAGATCCTTTCCCATTTTAAATTTAGATTCTTTTTTTGTTTGTTTTTTGCTATTAAGTCATTTGAGTTCTTTGTATATTCTGGTTATTAATACCTTATTGGGTGGGTATTTTGAAAATACTTTCTGCCATTCTGTAGCTTTTCTCTTTACCTTGTTAATTTTTTTTTTTTTTTTTTTTTTTTTTTTGCTATGCAGAAGCATTTTGGGTTGATATAACCCCATTTGTTTTTGTTTTCGTTGCCTGAGCTTTTATGGTTTTACTAAAAAAAAAAAAAAAAAAAACCACTATCCAGACCAGTTTGTTCATTTTGGGTAACTGAAACTTTGTATCCCCCCAACCCCCGTTTTTCTTTCAGCTCAGCTTCTGGAAAACACCATTCTACTCTCTGCCTCTACACGTATAATTACTTCATATTTCACATGTATGTGAGATCATGATGTATTTGTCTTTCTATGTCTGGCTTCTTTCAATCGTGCCTTAATGTGTACCTTAGTATCCTTCAGGTACATTCATGTTGTCACAAATGAAAAGATTTACTGGCCGGGCGCGGTGGCTCACGCCTGTAATCCCAGCACTTTGGGAGGCCGAGGCAGGCTGATCAGCTGAGTTTGGGAGATCGAGACCATTCTGGCTAACACGGTGAAACCCCGTCTCTACTAAAAATACAAAAGATTAGCCAGGCATGGTGGTGGGCGCCTGTAGTCCCAGCTACTCGGGAGGCTGAGGCAGGAGAATGGTGTGAACCCAGGAGGCAGAGGTTGCAGTAAGCCAGGATCGCGCCACTGCACTCCAGCCTGGGTGACAGAGACTCCATCTCAAAAAAAAAAGAAAAGAAAAGATTTACTCCCTTTTTAAGGCTAATATTCTATTGCATGTATATACTACCTTTACTTGACACATTCATGTATCCTTCATGGACATTTAGGTGGCTTCCATATCTTGGCTATTGTGAATAATGCTGTAATAGACACAGAACTATGTAGCTCTTCAAGATCCAAATTATATTCCCTTTGGATGTATCCCCAGAATTGAGTTTAATGAATCAAACTGTAATTTTTTTTTTTTTCGAGACGGAGTCTCACTCTGTCACTCAGGCTTTAGTGCAGTGGTGCGATCTCAGCTCACTGCAACCTCTGCCTCCCGGGTTCAAGCAATTCTCCTGTCTCAGCCTCCCGAGTAGCTGGGATTACAGGTGCGCACCACCACTCACAGCTACTTTTTTTTTGTATTTTTAGTAGAGACAGGGTTTCACCATGTTGGCCAGGCTGGTTTTGAACTCCTGACCTCAAGTGATCCTCCCACCTCGGCCTCCCAAAGTGCTGGGATTACAGGCATGAGCCACCACACCCGACCTATAATTCTGTTTTTAACTTTTTGAGACAACTGTATGTTGTTTTCCATTGTTGCTGCCAATTTTAATTCCTGCCAGCTGTGTACAAAAGTTCCAGTATCTTCATAACTTTAGCACGCTTGTTTGTTTTTAATATACCTGTCCTCACAAGAGTGAGGTGATGCCTCACTGTGACTTAAATTTGCATTTGACTGACATTTAATGACACGGAGCATTTTTTAAAATATACCTGTGGCCATTCTTATGTCTTCTTTGGAGAAATGTTTATTTAGGTCATTACTCATTTATTAATCTTGTTATTTGGGGTTTGCTATTGAGTTGTAGAAATTCCTTGTATTTTTGGATATTAACCCTTTATCAGATATATTATTGGCAACTATTTTTTTCTCATTCCTTAAGTTGCCTTTTCATTTGTTGAATTTGTCCTTTGTTCAGAAGTTTTTCTATTCGAGGTAGTCCCACTTGTCTGTCCTGATTTTATTGCCTGTTCTTTGTCTTACTATTTTGTTTTTTTGAGACAGGGTCTCATTCTGTTGCCCAGGCTAGAGTGCAGTGATGCAATTTTGGCTCACTGCAACCTCTGCCTCCCAGGTTCAAGCAGTTCTGCCTCAGCCTCCTGAGTAGCCAGAACTACAGGAGTGCACCACCACACCCAAATAATCTTTAAAATAGATTTAGTAGAGATGGGGTTTTGCCATGTTGGCCAGACTGGTCTCCAACTCCTGACCTCAGGTGATCCGCCTGCCTCAGCCTCCCAAAATGCTGGGATTATAGGTGTGAGCCACCACACCCGGCCTGTTGCCTGTTCTTTTGAAGTCTAATTTAAAAAAAAGCATCTCAATGTCCAAAGTTCTGAAAATTTTTCCATATTTTTTTTCTAGCCATTTTATGTTTTCAGGTCTTATGTTTAAATATTTAATCCATTTTAAGTTAATTTTTAATATGGTATGAAGTAAGAGTCCACATTTATCCTTTTGCATATAGAGATCCAATTTTTCCAGCACTATTTACTTAAAAGACTCTCATTTCTCTGTTGTGTATTTTTGGCACCCTTGTTGAAGATCAGTTGATTGTATGCATATATTAGATTTATTCTGGGACTCTCCATTCTGTTCCATTGTTCTTTATGTCTGTTTTTATGCCAGTACTATCTTGTTTTGATGGCATTGCTTTCTAATGTTTTGAAATCAGAGAGTATAATATCGTCAGCTTTGTTCATCTTGCTCAATACTGCTTTGACTGTTTAAGGTCTCTTTTGGTTCCAAGTAAATCTGTAATTATTTTTGTCTAGTTTAATAATAAATGCCATTGGGGTTTGGATAGGGCTTGCATTTACTTTCTATATCACTTTGGGAAGCATGGACTTTTATTTTATTTTATTTTATTTTATTATTTTATTTTGAGACAGGGTCTTGCTGTATCACCCAGGCTGAAGTGCAGTGGCACAATCATGGCTCACTGCAGCTTCAACCTCCTGGGCTAAATCAATCCTCTCACCTCAGCCTCCAAGTAGCTGGAATCACAGGCATGCAAAACTATGCCGGGCTAATTTTTGTATTTTCTGTAGAGACAAGGTTTCACCATGTTGCCCAGGCTGGTCTTGAACTCCTGAGCTCAAGCAATCCACCTGCCTTGGCCTCCCAAACTGCTGGGGTTATAAGCATGAGCCACCATGCCTGGCCAGCATGGACATTTTAACAATATAAATTTTTCCAGTGTATTTTCTGTGCCCCAGGAACAGGCCAAAAGCTGTTTCAAAAAAAAAAAAGAAAGAAAAAAAGAAAAGAAAGGAAGGAAGGGGAGGGGAGGGGAGAAGGGAAAAGAAAAGAAAAAGAGCAATTATCTACATAGGATGGCATGATTTTCCTCCAAAATCTTTCCTGTGATTAACACAGGAGCTTTCCAGAAGCTCCAAAGATCATCTGTATCTGCCATCAACAATTTCAGCACCTTTGACTCTATTGGAAGACATGACCCAAGTGACACGACAGCCTGGATCTGATGTAGAATATTCTTTTCTGCTGAGTAAAGAAAAGCTAGCAGCTTTTTGGGTCACAGGGTAAATGGGCCAGAGTAACTTACCAAATGAGAAATATGTTACCTTCAAAATCAAAAGGCCCACTAGAGTTGTGCCTCTTTTTTGTTGTAGTAGAAGCCAAATATAACAACTTACTCCTCTGCTTCCAGGGGATACGTTGGCATGTCCCAAACCATTGGGACCCTATAAATCTCACAAAGATAGAAGGCTTCTGAAATTTTGTTGGATTAATGTCCTACATCCTGACATAAATTTCATACCAGTAAGTCTAGAGTGAGCTTCTCATACCAATAAGTCTAGTGAGTTTCTTGCTCACTATATTCAATGAGCATAATACCATCAATGTAAAGAACCAGTGTGATAGTTTGTGGAAGGAAAAGGTGACCAAGATCCCAGCAAACTAAGCTGTAACATAAGGCTGAAGAGTTGATATATCACTATTATTGACTGAACTATGTCCCTCTAAAATATATATGTTGAAGCTCTAACCCTCAATGTGACTGTAATTGGAGATAGGCCTTTACGGAGGTAATTAAGATTAAATGAGAGCCGGGCGCGGTGGCTCACGCCTGTAATCCCAGCACTTTGGGAGGCTGAGGCGGGTGGATCACCTGAGGTCAGGAGTTCGAGACCAGCCTGGCCAATATAGTGAAACCCCATCTCTATGAAAAATAAAAAAAATTAGCCAGGCGTGGTGGCGGGCGCCTGTAATCCCAGCCACTAGGGAGGCTGAGGCAGGAGAATCACTTGAACCCAGGAGGTGGAGGTTGCAGTGAGCCGAGATTGTGCCGTTGCACTCCAGCCTGGGCAACAAGAGCGAGACTCTGTCTCAAAACAAAACAAAACAAACAAACAAACAAAAAAAGGTTAAATGAGGTTATAAGGCTAGGGTTCTATAAAAAAAAAAGTCATTATAAGAAGAGAAAGAGACATTAGAGATCTCCCTTACCACAAAAGCACAGAGGAAAGTCCATGGAAGGACATAGAGAAGGTGGTCACTTACAACCCAAGGAGAGAGATCTCACCAGATGCCAGTTCTGATGATCTTGATTATAACTTCTACCTTCTGCAACTGTGAGAAGAAAATACATTGATTAAGTCACTCAGTCGGCATGCTGTTACAGAAGCCCGAGCCAATTACTAGTGTGTGAGGTAGGACAGTGACGGTGTGTTTCTGTCTTTGCCACCTGAAAGCGAACTGCTTCTGGTGGTATTTATTAACAATGATAGAGAAAAAAAAGTATTAGGCAGATGAATAGCTGTACACTAGGTACCAGGGATGTGTATATTTGCTCAAGTAATAAAACAACATCTGGTACAACAACTGCAATGGGAGTCTCCATATGATTTAAGCTTACGTTTATCCAGTATAATTCTCCAAGATCTCTTATGTTTATTCAGTGACTTACATAGGATGAAATGAGAGCCATGACCCTTGGATGGTTCCTTTTTTTTTTTTTTTTGAGACCAAGTCTAGCTCTGTCACCCAGGCTGGAGTGCAGTGGCACGATCTCAGCTCGCTGCAACCTCTGCCTCCTGGGTTCAAGCGATTCACCTACCTCAGCCTCCCGAGTAGCTGGGATTATAGGTGCATGCCACCACGCCCGGCTAACTTTTTTTGTATTTTTAGTAGAGGTGGGGTTTCACCATGTTGGTCTCCAACTCCTGACCTCATGATCCGCCCACCTCGGCGGGCTCCCAAATCTGAACTCAGCACTCCCAAAGTGCCACCTCTCCCAGCCTACCCTTGGATCTTTTAAGACCTTCCTGGTGGCCTCAGTCTCTGAAATCCCTGTACGAATGTGCTGTTGCTTTTGGTTGACTTTTTCCTAGGAATACGCAGTTCTGATGACTTCATCTTGACCTTTTTTTACCAAAATAGCTCTCGCTCCACTGGTCAGGGAACCAGTTTGGCATTCTACCAGTTGCTGAGTATGTCTAATCTAATTATGTATTCCAGAACGGGGAAGATAACCGAAGGGTGGTTTGAGAAACCCACCAGGCCAACTGGGAATTAGAATTGATTCAAAACTCCATTGATCGCCTGACCTCCATAAGCTCCTACTCTGGTAAATGCCCTGCAATGTCATTTCAGTTCTCCTGGAATTAGTATCAGTTCAGAAACTGTATTCAGTAATTCCTCAAAGGTCTGATTATTTCTTTTTTCCCAATGCAAAGGTTCTCCGGTAAAAGGCCATAGTTTTCTTTGGGGAAAAGAGGGGGACAAATTAACAGTATATATTTGTAATAGTATACTGGATTTCTTCCTCATAGGGACCCAGCATCTCATTGATTCAAGGAGTTCTGGGTCTATAAACTAATTCGAGACTGGAAATTAATTGAGAAGCCAAGCCAGGTGTGGTGGCTCACACCTGTAATCCCAGCACTTTGGGAGGCCGAGGCAGGTGGATCACAAGGTCAGGAGTTCAAGACCAGACTGACCAACATGGTGAAACCCCATCTCTACTAAAAAAAATACAAAAAGTAGCCAGCGTGGTGGCACGCACCTGTAATCCCAGCTACTCGGGAGGCCAAGGCAGGAGAAGTGTTTGAACCCAGGAGGTGGAGGTTGCATTGAGCCGAGGTTGCGCCACTGCACTCCAGCCTGGGTGACAGAGTGACACTCCATCTCAAAAAAAAAAAAAATTGAGAAGCCATAAATCTTTGGTTTTGTTTTTTGTTTCATAATTCAGGTTTGGCTTTGTTTGACTTGAACTTTTCTACTTATATAGATCAAGTAAAAACTTAGTAGTCTTCCTGTCTATTCTAATTCTTTTTTTTTTTTTTTTTTTGAGACAGAGATTCGCTCTTATTGCCCAGGCTGGAGTGCAATGGTATGATCTCAGCTCAGTGCAATCTCAGCTCACCGCAACCTCTGCCTTCCGGGTTCAAGCGATTCTCCTGCCTCAGCCTCCTGAGTAGCTGGGATTACAGGCATGCGCCACCACACCCAGCTAATTTTGTATTTTTAGTAGAGATGGGGTTTCTCAATGTTGGTCAGGCTGGTCTCAAACTCCTGAACTCAGGTGATCCTCCCGCCTCGGCCTCCCAAAGTGCTGGGATTACAGGCATGAGCCACTGCGCCCTCTATTCTAATTCTAGGAAGCCCATGAGTCAAACTATTCTTATTGCTTGCTTTGACTTTGCAGTCTGTTAAATAACCATTCCCACCATTTTTTTCACAGCTGCAGTTGAGTGCTGCCACTTAAATCCTGCAGTCCCGAGATCCGGTTATAACCAATGCATTTAGATTTTTCATTTCGGTGGCAACAATCTTCATTGTAAGTTCTGTCCTACAGAGAAGTGTGGTGATCAAGCTCTTTGGAGATACTGGGACTCCTCTCACAAATGTATGTCTCACAGTTATGATGAATGGTGTATCTCCTGGATCTTCCTCAGTTGAGTATGTTTTAAAGGAAAAATACACTTTATCATTCAAATCTTTCAAAGCTTTTGAATCACTTTATAGCAAACCAATGAAGATCCAGCATTTCATTCTTTCTTTTCTTTTTTCTTTTTTTTTTTTTTTTGAGACAGAGTTTCACTCTTGTTGCCCAGGGGCTGGAGTGCAATGGTGCGATCTCGGCTCACCGAAACCTCCACCTCCCGGCTTCAAGTGATTCTCCTGCCTCAGCCTCCTGAGTAGCTGGGATTACAGACATGCACCACTACACCCAGCTAATTTTGTATTTTTAGTAGAGAAGGGGTTTCTCCATGTTGGCCAGGCTGGTCTCGAACTCCCAACCTCAGGTGATCCTCCCACCTCAGCCTCCCAAAATGCTGGGATTACAGGTGTGAGCCACCGCACCTGGCCCTCATTTTAACTTTTTAATATCCAATGTTTTCTGAATGAATACCCCCACTTTAAAAGTAGGCATCCTGCAAGCCTGGGAATTTAATTTTTGTTGTAATTCAGCCAGTTATGGGATGAGATGCTATGATTTCTTTTCAGCATTTTGAGCCCTGAAGCTGCAGGAGTTAAGTATCTTCTTCAGGGCTACATATAAATTTTTAGGATATTAATGCAGTACTTGTATTAAAAACTTGGAATCCCTGACTTAATCCTTTTCTTTACCCAGTTTGTCCAGCAACATCAGAAGCAAATATCAAATCTCATTATACTCGTTAGTCTGACAAAAAGACCCAGATTGTATACAAAATCACCTGGATACTTGCACCTTTTAAGTGTTTGATTAGCAGTATCTAATGGTGATATCTTGTGTATTTCTACTACCAGATTACGCCAAAAACTATTCAAGTACATTTTACTATTAAAAATAAAATCAAGGCTGGGCACAGTGGCTCACGCCTATAATCCCAATGCTTTGGGAGGCCAAGGTGGGCAGATCACCTGAGGTCGGGAGTTTGAGACCAACCTGACCAACATGGTGAAACCCCGTCTCTACTAAAAAGACAAAAATTAGCAAGGTGTGGTGGCACACGCCTGTAGTCCCAGCTACTCAGGAGGCTAAGGCAGGATAATTGCTTGAACCCAGGAGGCAGAGGTTGCAGTGAGCTGTGATGGCACCACTGCACTGCGGCCTGGGTGACAGAGCAAGACTCTGTCTCAAAAAATAAATTATTTAGGTTCTTTATTTGATCAAAAGACTACAGTAGAAAAAATATGTAATCACTTTAGTATATCCTTGAATAAAATATGTGATGATTAAGAATACCAAATAGGATAATAGAAACTTCTGGCTGGGAATGGTGGCACATGACTGCAGTTCCAGCTACTCAGGAGGCTGAGGTGAGAGAATTGCTTGAGCCCAGGAGTTTGAGGCTGCAGTGAGCTATGATTCCATCTGTGACTAGCTACTGCACTCCAGCCTAAGAAACATCAGAGATCATGCTTTGAAAGGAAGGAAGGAAGGAAGGAAGGAAGGAAGGAAGGAAGGAAGGAAGGAAGGGAGGGAAGGAAGGGAAAAGGCAAAAATAAAATTCTTATTAAGCAAAGATATTTGTGCAAACATCATAATCAACAGCAAACATCAGAAGTGTTTCAATAAAGAAAAGTCTAAGACAAGGGCCGGCAAGGCCTCTCCCATTTATCACTGTGAGGGATGCCTGAGTCTGGACCAGAAGAGAGAAGAGGAGGAAACAGGAAAGAATGTAAGTCAAAGAATTTGAACTGTAGTTATCCACAGAGGCCATGAGTACAAATAGAAAAGCAGGGTAATCGATTTCAACTTTCAGAACAAAAACTGTTTAACAACATTCAGGAAATTGAGCAAATGCACATTGTATATATAATAAATCTTGAATCTTTCATACTAATAATAAACATACAGTAACAATAACAAAGAGTCAGCCTCCATCCACATTAGCAAACGTGCCATGAAATCGACTTAGAAGACATTCCCAGGCCTATGTGAAACCATAAAACTTTACTGAAAACCATAAAAAGACACATTGAGGCCGGGCGTGGTGGCTCACACCTGTAATCCCAACACTTTGGGAGGCCAAGGTGGGCAGATCATGAGGTCAAGAGATTCAGACCATCCTGGCCAGCATGGTGAAACCCCATCTCTAGTAAAAATACAAAAGTTAGCTGGGCGTGGTGGTGCGTGTCTGTAGTCCTAGCTACTCGGGAGGTTGAGGCAGGAGAATCGCTTGAACCCAGGAGTTGGAGGTTGCAGTGAGCCAAGATCGCGCCACTGCACTCCAGCCTGGGCAACAGAGTGAGACTCCATCTCAAAAAAAAAGACACATCAAAGACTAACAAACCAAATCCTTACATTAGAAGAAGTAGTGAAATAAAGATACTAAAGATCCAGACTCAGTGCACTTCAAACTTTTTGAAATAGCTATTCTAACAGATGTGAGGTGACATCTCATTCTGGTTTTAATTTGCATTTCTCTGATGATTATTGAACTTGGGCTTTTGTTCATGTACTTTTTGCTCATATGCATGTCTTCTTTGAGAAATGTCTATATCAAGTCCTTTGCTAATATTTTATAGTATTTGTTTTCTTGCTGTTGGACTGTTTGAGTTTTTATACATTTGTGATATTAATGCATTATCAGACGTATAGTATAGAAATGTTTTCTGTCATGCAGATGCTTCTTAGAGACAAGGCCTCACTCCATTGCCCCTAGGCCAGGCCTGGTGAGTGACAGCAGCCCTGGTGCCCCAGCCTGCTAGGGCAATGTGTCACCCAGAGGCTTCAAGGCCCTTCTCACCATGGTACCCACCTCCTCGAAGCTGCCTCCCAAAGCCCTCTAGCTGCTGCTGCAGCCACAACAAGTGCCACCACCAGGGGCCTTCCAGCTGCCAGTGCAGGCTTTCCAGAGCCGGGGACTGGGGAACCTGCAGTCATCACCTCAGCAATTCTGGTGGCAGCCAGGCCAGCCAGGGCAGCGATGATGACCGTAATGAAAAGTGGGATGACAGCTCCACACTGGTGGATGAGTTGAGAACACCAGGCAGAGGCATGTACCTGGTCTTTGATGGTTCAGTGGACCTGCACTACCATTGCAGTGCAAAGTGCAAGAGTTGAAGCTTGGAAACCTTCACCTAGATTTAGGAAGATTCATGGAAAAGTCTGGATGTCCACGCAGAAGCCTGCTGCACGAGTGGAACCCTCATGGAGAATCTCTACCAGGGCAGTGTGGAGGGGAAATGTGGGGTTGGAGCCCCCACACAGAGTCCCACTGGAGGACTTCCTAGTGGAGCTATGAGAAGAGAACCACTGTCCTCCTGACATCATAATGGTAGATCCACTGGCAGCTTGCACTCTCAGCCTGAAAAAGCTACAAGTACTCAAGGCCAGCCCTTGAGAGCATCTACAGGTGCTAAACCCTGGAAAGCCACAAGTGTGGTGCTGCCCAAGGCTTTGGGAGCCCACCCCTTGTACCAGCACGCCCTTGATGTGGGATAGGAGGTCAAAGGAAGTTATTTTGGAGCTTTAAGATTTAATGACTGCTCTGCTTGGTTTTGGACTTGTGTAGGCTTGTAGCCCCTTTCTTTTGGCCAATTTCTTCCTTTTAGAATGGGAATGTTGATCCAATGCCTATACCCCCATTGTATCTTGGAAGTAACAAACTTGTTTCTTATTTTACAGGGTCATAGGCAGAAGGGACTAGCCTTGTCTCAGATAAGACTTTGGACTGTGGACTTTTGAGTTAATGCTGGAATGAGTTAAATATTTGCAGGACTGTTGAGAAGGCATGGTAGTTTGTTTGTTTGTTTGTTTGTTTGTTTGTTTGTTTGTTTTTTGAGACAGAGTCTCCCTCTGTCACCAGGCTGGAGTGCAGTGGTGCGATCGCAGCTCACTGCAATCTCTGCCTCCTGGGTTCAGATGATTCCCCTGCCTCAGCCTCCCCAGTAGCTGGGACTACAGGCCTCCATCACCATGCCTGGCTAATTTTTTGTATTTTTGTAGAGATGAGGTTTCACCTTGTTGGCCAGGATGGTCTCGATCTCCTGACCTTCTGATCTGCCTGCCTCGGCCACCCAAAGTGCTGGGATTACAGGCGTGAACCACTGCACGCAGCCGGTAGTATTTTGAAATATGAGAAGGACATGAGATTTGGGAGAGACCAGAGGTGGAACAATATGGTTTGAATCTGTGTCCCCGCCCAAATCTCATGTTGAATTGGAATCCCCAGTGTTGGAGGTAGGACCTGGTGGAAAGTGATTGGATCATGGGGCGGTTTCTCATTAATGGTTTAGCACTATCCCCTTAGCGCTGTTCTTGTGAGAGAGTTTGCATGACATCTGGTTGTTTAAAAGTGTGTGGCACCTCCCCCCACACTTCCTCCTGCTCCAGCCACGTAAGACATGCCTGTGGCCGGGCGCGGTGGCTCACGCCTGTAATCCCAGCACTTTGGGAGGCTGAGGTGGGCGGATCACGAGGTCAGGAGATCGAGACCATCGTGGCTAACACGGTGAAACCCCGTCTCTACTAAAAATACAAAAAATTAGCCAGGCACGGTGGCGGGCGCCTGTAGTCCCAGCTACTCGGGAGGCTGAGGCAGGAGAATGGCGTGAACCTGGGAGGCGGAGCTTGCGGTGAGCCAAGATCGCGCCACTGCACTTCCGCCTGGGCGAAAGAGCGAGACTCCATCTCAAAAAAAAAAAAAAAAAAAAGCAAAGACGTGCCTGCTACGCTTTCACCTTCCACCATCATTGAAAGTTTCCTAAGGCCTCTCCAGAAGCCGAATAGATACCAGCATCATGCTTCCTGTACAGCCTTTAGAACCATGAGCCAATTAAACCTCTTTTCTTTATAAATTTCCCAGTCTCAGGTGTTTTTTTATGGCAATGCAAGAACACACTAATATAGCTGAGTTATTGGGGCCACATCAGTGGAACCTATTCAGTGGAGTCATGTGGGACCTGGTCAGCAGGGCCTGGCGAATAGGTCCTTGTGAGTGGGGGTCTGGTCAGTGCTGACCTGGTCAGCAGCAGCCTGGTCAATAGCACCTGGTCAGTGGGGGCCTGGTCAATGGGGACACAATCATTGGAGACCTAGTCAGAGGAAGCCTGGTGAGCAGGTGCCTGGTCAGTGAGGACCCGGTCTGCGGGGACCTGGTCAGAGAGGACTGGTCAGAGGGCCTGGTCACTTGGGGCTACACCAGTGTGTCCTGGTCAGCATGGGCCTGGTCAGCTGAAATGTGGTCAGTGGGGGCCTGGTGAGTGT
Source organism: Homo sapiens (assembly GCF_000001405.40). Classification (NCBI taxonomy): domain Eukaryota; kingdom Metazoa; phylum Chordata; class Mammalia; order Primates; family Hominidae; genus Homo; species Homo sapiens. The sequence continues at coordinate 19,755,961 of NC_000019.10, read as the reverse complement.
GACCTGGTTATTGGGGTCCTGGTCAGTGGAAACCTGGTCAATGAGGCCCGGTCAGTGGAAATCTGGCAATGGGGGCCCAGTCAGTGGAGGTCTGTTCAGTAGGGACCTGGTCAGTGGGGACCTGGCTACTGGGGTCCTGGGTAGTGGGGCCTAGCCAGTAAAGGTCTGATCATTAAGGACCTGGTCAGTGGGAACCTCATCAGTCAGTGGAGGGACCTGGTCAGTGGGGTCTGGAATTGGGGGGCCTATCAGTGGGGCCTGGCTAGTGGGGCCTACTCAGTGGAGGTCTGGTCAGTGGGGTCCTAGTAAGCTGAGGCCTCATCATTTGGGGCCTGGTCAATGGGGACCTAGGGAGTGAGGGACTTGTCAGTGGGGCCTAGTCAGCGAAACGTGGCCACCAGGAGCATAATCAACTGTGGTCTTGTCTGTGGGGGCCTGGTCTTTGGAGTCCTCATTAGTGGGGCCTGGTCAGTAAAGGTCTGTTCAGTAAGGACCTGGTCAGTCAGAACCTCGTCATTTAAGGCCCAGTCAGTGGAGACGTTGACAGAGGGGGCCTTGTCAGTTGGGCCCAGTCAGTGGAGGCCTGGCAGTGGAAGCCTCATCCGTGGGTCCTGGACAGTGAGGACTGGTCACTGGAGGTCTGATTGGGGGTTTTGTGAGTATAGCCCAGTCAGTGGCGGCCTAGAAGTGGAGGCCTCATCAGGGGGTCCTGGCTAGTGGGGTCTAGTCAGTGGTGGTCTGGGGTCCTGGTAAGTTGAGGCCTCATCAATTGAGGCCTGGTCAGTGGGGCCTGATCATTGGGGTCCTGGCTAGTGGGGCCTGGTCAGTAAAGTTCTGGGTCATTGGGGTCCCGGTTAATGGGTCAGTAAAGGTCTGGTTATTAAAGACCTGGCCAGTCAGAACTTCATCAGTTAAGGACCTGGTCAGTTGGGACCTGGGCAGGTGGAACCTTGTCAGTTAAGGACATGGTCAGTTGGGACCTCATCAGTGAAGGAAGTGGTCAGTTGGAATCTTGTCAGTTGGGCGCAGTCAGCCTGGCAGCAAAAGCCTCATCCGTGGGTTCTGGATAGTGAGGCCTGGTCACTGGAGGCCTGGCCGTGGAACCTGGTCAGTGAGGGTCTGGTCACTGGGCTCATGGGTAGTGGGGCCTGGTCAGTAAAGGCCTGGTCATTAAGGACCTGGTCAATCAGAACCTCATCAGATGGGGCCCAGTCAGTGGAGTCCTGGTCAGTGAGGCCTGGCTAATGGGCCTCGTAAGTTGGGTCCCAGTCAGTGGAGACCTGGTCAGTTGGAGGCTTGTCAGGGGACCAGGTTGGTGGGGCCTAGTCAGTGAAACCTGGACACTGGGGACATGATCAACTGGGATCTTGTCAGTGAGGACCTGTTCAGTGGGGTCCTGGTTAGTAGGGGCTGGTCAGTAAAGGTCTGGTCACTAAGGACCTGGTCAGTTGGAATCTCATCAGTTAAGGACCTGGTCAGTGAGGGCCTCCTCAGTTGGGCCCAATCAGTGGGGGCCTGGCAGTAGAAGCCTCATGAGTGTGTCCTGGATAGTGAGGCCTGGTCACTTGAGGCCTTACAGTGAGACCTAGTCAGTGAGGGTCTGGTCACTGGATACTGAGCTGTGGGGCCTGGTCAGTAAAGTCTGGTCAGTAAAAACATGGTCAGTTGGAACCCTGTTAGTTGGTCCCTGTCGGTGGGGCCCTTGTCAGTTGGGCCCAGTCAGTGGAGGTCTCTCTGGTCAGTGGGTTCTTGGTAAGTCGGGCCTCATCTCTCGAGGCCTGGTCAGTGTGGACCTGGTCAGTGGAAGCCTCGGCAGTGGGGGCCTTGTCAGTTGGGACAGTTAGTGGGGGTCTGGTGACTTGGGACCTGGTTAGTGGGGGCTTGGTAATTGGGGTCCTGGGTAGTGGGGCCTAGTCAATAAGTGACCTAGTCTGGTCACTAAGGACCTGGTCAGTCAGAATCTCATCAGTTGGAGCCCAGTGAGTGAGGGCCTGGTCAGTGGGTCTTGGTTATTGGGGCCTAGTCTGTAGATGTCTGGTCAGTGGGGTCCTGGTAACTCAGAGTCTCATCTATGGGGACCTGGTCAGTGGGGACCTGGCCAGTGGGACCTGGTCAACGAGGGTTTTGTCCATTAAACCTAATCATCAGGGCCTGGTCAGCTGAGACATAGTCATTGTGGCCTAGTCAGTGGGGGCCTGACAGTGGGGGCCTGTTCTATGTCAGCAGCGCCTGCTCAGTGATGGGCCTGGTCACTGGGGCCTAGTCCTTTTGGGCCTGGTCAGTGGAAACATGATCAGTGGGGACCTGATCATGGATGATCTGGTTAGGACTGACCTACTCAGCGAACACCTTTCAGCAGGTTCTTGTCAGCAGAAACCTGGTCAGAGGGTGCCTGGCCAGTAGGGCCTAGTTCTTAGAGTCTGGCAGTGGGACCTAGTCGGTGAAAACCTGGCCAGAATATCTGGTCAGTGGGACTTGGATGTGAGGGCCTAGTCAGTGCGGGGAATAGACACTGGGGGACTGTTCAGTCAGGAGGGACGTGGCCCAAGGGGACATGATGACTGGAAGCCTGGACAGTGGAGGCATAACCAGCAAAGACATTACCAGTCAAAGTCTCATTCATGAGGCCTAGTTAGTGGAGTCCGGGCAGCGAGGGCCTTGTCATGAAGACCTAGTCAGTGGGGTCTTGTGCCTGGTCAGTGCGAACCTGGTTTCCAGGAGCTTGGTTAGTAAGTAACTCATCAGCGGGGACCTGGTCGGTGCAGCTCTGGCCACTGGCTGACTGATGATTGGACCCAATCAGTGGGGGCCTGGCTTGGCTGGGGGGTGGAGCAGCTGCCTAGTCAGCCGGGGCCTAGTCACGGGGAGCCCAGTCAGTAAGGCCTGGTCAGTGGGGCCTCATCAGGGGGGGACTTTTCAGTGGGGTCCTGGTCATCAGGGCCCATTCAGTGAGGGCCAGGTCATGGCAGAGGCCCAGTGCATGGGGCCCTGGTCAGCAGGGGCCTGGTCAGTTGGACCCAGTCATCCCAGGACTGGTCCTCAGGGGCCACTCTGACTTCACGGGCTCCCCTGACCGTGCCAGTCCTCCAGCCTATAGCCAATGGTGTCCTTTATATCTCTCCCGGCACAGGCCCAGGACATGGAGATGCCCGATGCTGGGAGGAGGCACAGACAGCAGGAAGGAGAGAAGGAAGGAACTTCCATAGTATGGATGCCTACGAAGTTACAACACGTGGTTCCATCGCCATGTTCTCTGTTTATTTCCCACATAATTCTCTATTCTAAACTGGCCTCAGTTGAGCACAAAACCATCCTTGTACTACCACAAATAGTTGGCCATGGCTCTTTGATAGCAGTTTTTATTCTGCTGTGGAAATTATCCTTGAACTGGAAAAAGTCCCCAATCCAACATCCAGTCACTCAACACTCTCATCTTTATAAAGAGCTGCTTTCAAATTCTACATCGATTTTTGGAAAAATATGTATTGCTCTGGTAAAAAGTGCTGCATCTATGATCTCAAACCTCTCCCTCGAATTGGATGGAGATGGTGAATTTCAGCCAAAGTGGCCAAAGAACTCGTGTCCCACGCTCCTGAACGCCATCAGCCCCCGCACCTCCATCATTCCTCCTCCCACGAGTCTCCTGCTCCCCGTGACTTTGGTAAGAGCTCCTCTGTGAACGTGGAGGATGTCTGGGAATTTGATGCGTTGCTGCTTGGACAGCAGTAACAGGTCCGAGACAGAATCCAGGTCCTGTCTGGGCCAATCTGGGAAGAGCTTGACGATGGTATTGTAGGCACCTCCGGTGAAGGTTGATGGGCTGGTTCAGGCCCACCCAGAAGGCCTGCTGGGCCCACTCCAAAGCCTGGCTGAGGCCGCGGGAGGGCTGGCCCCCTGCCGATGCTCCTTCTCAAAGCCCCTCACCTGCTTGCCGTGAACTCCATGCCCTGTGGCTGAGCAGCAGCGCCGTCATCCACCTTCTTGAGAAAGCATATGAAGCTGTCAATCATGCTCTCCACCTCCTGCAGGTCGAGGGCAGTGGTGGTGCAGTGCTCAGGGTCAGGAACGAGCTGGCACCCACCATGTCACCTTTCTCGCACCACCCACCTCCCATGACCAGGCCACGTATCCAGTGTTCGTCTTCGATACCCACATCCACTCCCCCAAGTGATGCCCACCTTCTCGCTGACCTGCTCTGCTTGGATCGGAGGCAGTTTTCTTATTTTCTTTCCTCAAGAGGTGCTGTGCCATACAGAAGGCCTTCCTCTTGCCTTGTTTCCAGGCCTTCTCTCGGTGCTGCTGAGGCACATCAGGAAGTGCTGGAGGACGTGGCACTGCGCCAGCACTGGGCGGCCGGCCGTGTAGCTCATCCCGCAGATCGTGCTCTACCTGTGCTTGGAGATGAAGTCCTCCTGGAAGCAGCTCGTGGCCCACTTCTCAGGTAGGTGGGGCACAGACATAGCCAGGAATGTCACCAGACACGCATCCAGCCAGTCCAAGTGCTTGTTGCGCCGTGCACTGGGACCTGCCTGTGCGTGGTCACCAGCTTGCAGGAGAGGACGCTATTCATGCCCTTGAACTTGTTCTACTGAGCGGTGTCGCTGGTAGTGCACTGGAAGGAGTAGGGGTTCTCCTGCCACTTGAGGCCATAGAGCCACAGAGCCACGCACAGCTTGTCCCCGTCCTTCACAGAGCCCAACGCCTCGCCAAGCACAAGGCCTCCCTGCCTGACTTGACAGGTGGGGAAGCGGTTGAGACTGCGCCTCATGGTGGCCAAGCTGTTGCCACCACGGGGGCTCAGGGAGCCACTGAGGACCAGGTGTGAACCGCCACTAGGCTCATCCACCATCACGGAGCTGCCATCCCACTTGTCGTCCTAGGCATCATCACTTCATCACTGCCCTGACTGTCCTGGTTGCCACGAAAGAGCTGCTGAGGCCACGGCTGTCGGGCACGCCTGCCGTCTGAAGCCTGCACCGGCTGCTGAAAGGTATTCAGTGGTGGCACGTGCTGCGGCTGTAGCACCGGCTGGAAAGTGTCAGGAAGGGGTCTCAAGGAGGTGGGCAGCATACCGGGCATGGCCTCGAAGCCTCCTGACAGCATGTTGGCAGCGTGGCTGAGATGCTGGGGCCACCATCACCTGCCAGTCCCAGCTTGGAGTCATAGATCACCTGCACGGCACAGATGAGGCTGGGAAGAGGCCACAGTCACTGTAGCCATGGACGCTCTTGAGCAGCCCTTGATGTCCTGCTCCCGCACAGGCTCAGCACCTCGTGTTCCTGCAGCAAGTTCTTGCCGGGGTTCTCTGACCTGAAATGGTACAACAACCGGGTGAGGTGTGCCATGTCCCCTGCGTGGCCATCGGTGCTGCAGCTAAAGGCCCATGGCACCCCGGTGCCCTCCCCTACCAAGCAGGGCTGGGGTTGAGGCCGGGCCCCTCTGGACCTAGGACTTGTGCCCTGGGAGGGGACTCTGTCCAACAAGTCAAATCAGAGGCCACAGGGCATGCTCCTGGCTGGCCAGGGCTGGGAGGACACCACGTTCACCCCTCCCTCTGGCAGCCTGAAAGGGACCAGCTTCCCTGTTGAGAGGGACTTCATAAGGCCCAGGAGCCATCTGGGGCTGCAGAGCAACTGGCTGGGAGCTGCCCTGGCTCCTTCCATGCCATGCTAGTCATTGCCCACCAAGAGGGGTCCGATGCAAGTGCCCCCATGCAAGGGACTTATCTCTGGACCTGCCTCTCAGTTCTCACGGGGCCCAGCAGGGCCTGGTGTTGTGGCCAAGATGGGGTTGCAGGGCTGGGCCCCACTGATGGTCCTGGGGCTGTGTAGGGTGGATGTGGAAGGGACGGAGCACAGCATCCCTGTTCAAAATTGCACAATGGGAACCACGGGCCTCTGACAGCCAAGTCTCTGGGCAGCTTCGGGAGGGAGTTCAGAAAATGCATGGGTCCATTCTGAACCCTCAGGATCCCCAGAGAGCAACCTGCTGCCCTGAGCTTTCTGGAAGCTCCTTCGTGCCCCTGGGCCTCAGTCTTGGAGACTGCCAGCCAGGTCAGGGTGGGAGAGGACCAGGGTTGCATTCCGGGGTAGGGGGCTGGCTGCATGGACCCCTGGAGCTAAGCTGGTAGGCAGGGGCGGGCCAGCCCATCTCCCTTGCAGAGGGGCTCAATGCCAGGGTATGCTCACAGAGGCCTGGGTGCCAAGGACCCTCGATTGGGTTTGGCTGAAAAAATAGCAGATGCGAGCGGTCAGCTTCTCCTCCAAGTCCATTAAGTCCTCACAAGGCTGGGCCCCACAGACCTGGGTCTCTGGTGTCCTCAGCATCCCTGTGTGGCTTCTTGAGTCTGACTCTGAGGACACCCCTGCAGGCTGCTGATCACAGAGCAAGAGGTGTGTGGATCCCTCAGGGCACGGGGAGCTGTTGGGGCACCTCACGTCACTCCTGGGGCTGTGGCTTAGGATTCAGGCTGGCTCCAGACTTCCTCCTTCACCTCCTCATCCCAGGGCTGTGTGGCCTGGGTAGCAGCCCTAATTCAGAACCAGGTGGGAGAGGCCTTGGCTGTCACCTAGCCCCCTTGCCACCTCACACAAGACACTATCTCCACAGTGGGTGAGATGGTCCCAGGCACGGGGCCCCCTTTGCCCTCCAGGACCGTCCACTCCATGCCTGGACGGGACCATTCCCACACCTGCACCTGGCTGAACTCTTGGATCTGGCTCTGGCCAGGGCTCCTATCCGTGTCCTCTCCCCAAGTCCTCTGGGTCAGTGACACTGATTCTCTTTTTCCCCTGGCTCAAGGCTTATTGCCCTGACGTCCTTGGAGGGGGATTCTGGAGTGAGCGGCCCCTGCTCCTCTCAGCATCTGTCGATGTTGGGATGGTGGTTAGGGAGCTCGCACAGAGGAGAGAGGATGTAAAAAGCATAGGGGGCGTTGAGGGTTCTTTCTCCAGTCCCTGCCTGTCTGAGCAGCATGTCCAGTACATATGCGCTCAGCACCTGCCCAGAAGCTGCTTAGTGTAGAGGAGGAAAAGACAGAAAAAGAGGTGCAGGAGGAAGGGCCAGGTAGTAGGGCTGGTGGGGCCGGGGCCCTCTCCACTATCGAATGCTCCAGAGGATGACTTAGGAGAGGGGACCTGGTGCTGGAGCCCACGAGGGGGTGGCAGATCCCAGCACTGGCTCATCAGTTCCCCCACAAAGGCCTCAAAGTGCCTGAGCACTGTGGCATCCTCCAGGGCCCAGGCCTGGGAGCACCGGTCCTGAAAGAACTCCCTCCCACAGGGTGGACTGGGACAGGTTCATGGTCGCTCAAGGGACAGGAAGGGCATCAGGCCGGGAGGGGTTCCTGGAAGGGGTTGGTGCCCACACCCCGTTTCCAACACTGCCACCTCCCACTGAGCAGCACTGGGTCCTTCTGTGGCCAACCCTGGGGTCCAGCTGTGCACAGGAGGCCATGGCCGGGGGAGGCCCGGGCAGGGAGGTTCCCACCACACTCCCACCTTTCACATGGATCACTCATTTCAAGGGTGGGCTCAGGGTCTGGGAGAACCCACTATGCCCTGCCCAGCCCTACAGGCCAGGCCTGGCCATCCCTGGCCATCCCTTCTGATGAGAGCAGAAGGTCATGGGGACAGAGGCCTCAGGCCAGCCAGGCTGTGTCCCATGAGTTCCCCAGGAAACCTCAGACACAGGGGGACTTGCTTCTGTGAACCTCGAAGGCCGTGGGCGCCATTGCCATTATTGCATGCTTCATCTTCAGGCTGAACCCGAAGGGGATCTGTGGGGACAGCAGGTGTGAGAGGACCTGGCCCTTCCAGGCTGGGAGCTGGTGGCCCAAGCAGGGCCCACTGTGGTTTCAGTCCCCTGGAGTGCCAGGGACCCGTCCCCATGGGATGAGCTGCCACCATGAGGCTGGGTCAGAAGAGGTCTTGCAGCTCCTCATGGAGGGGACTCATCTCAGCAGGGATGTAGCTCCTGGAGGGAGGGGCTCCCCAGGGCCTTGGACTTCCCCGGGCTCTTCCAAGTGGAGACCTGGCCCGTTCTGCCCTGGCCTCTGCTGTGGGATGCCCCCTCTCAGGTGTTGCCTGGCTTGTGTGCCCTGTGGGGACCCGCCTGTGCCTCCTGCTGGGTGGGGGTGAGCCAGGTCCTCCTGGGGAAGCCGGACCCCTGGGCTGGGGGAGCCAAGCAGTGCGGGGCAGGAGGGTCCCTGGACTGGGAGCTTCCAGTGCCTCATTACCCCCATTTAAAGCACCAGAGGAGCCAGTGTAAACGTGGAATTCTGGGCATGCAGCTCATCCTTGTCCTGATGGGAGGAGCAGAGGTGCTCAGGGCCCCTTGGGCTGCCCCCAAAACATCCCTATTTCAGGCCCCTCTGCAGCCCTTCCCTGAGGGACAGAACACTGGGCGGTCCCCAGGGCACCCCGCCACACCTGCCCCCCGCATGGACCTTCGGTGGACACACTTCCCTTAGCCCAGCTCAGCCAGAGCCCAGTCCCCGTCCCAGAGCCTCTGCCTGCTCCAGAGCAGAAAAAGGAAACCCAACTACAATCCCATGGAGAACCCCACATCCCAGGTCTGGCCCCTGCTGGGACTCAACCTCTCACCCCCTATGAGGAGGAGCCAGAACCTCCCTCTACCCCTGATCCCCAAGCCTCTGGGGAAGAGCCAAGGGGACCGTCTCCTCACCAAGTCCTCATAAGCTTCGGGGATGATGTCCATAACACGTGTCCCGGGTGGGCTTAGAGTCTCTGGAGCCTGGCACAATTTGAACTGCAGAATCCTGAGAGCCCACAACCTATCACAAAATCAAAGCCTGCTCCCAAGACGTGGAGCCGTCAGCTGGAAGAGCTGGCACTGGCAGGGGTCCTCAGACCCCCAGGTCTCCCACCCTCCCATCTGGCCCCTCCAGCATGCAGCCTTGGCCCAGGGGAGGAGGGGCAGGAATGTCCCCGGGATCCTGGCGGGAGGAGCTGCCCAGTGGGGGCCCTGAGCTGAGGTATTAGGAGGAGAGGCCTGCCGTGGAGGCCAAGAGGGAGGAACGTGGCAGGCAGGGGCCAGCAGGGTGAGCGGGGTGGGTGCTGGGGGTGCATTACTGTCTTCTGGACATTCATAGGGTCAGGCTAGGGGACATGCGATGAGGAAGCATTACTGTCTGGGTTTCATCTGCCTGTCTGAGGGTGACGAGGACGGCTAGGAGCACAGTCAGCCACCAGGAGGCAGGAGGACCCTCAGGGAGGTGAGCGTTGCCTGCGCAAAGTCGGGGTTGGAGGACCAAGCCTCCGGGATACAGAAGGTAGCCACAGGGAGGCTGTGATGCCCTCTGCTGATGGGGATGAGAGGCATCTAACTCAGGGTGTGGGGGTCCCTATCCAGTCCCAGGCTCCTGCATGACCCACAGCAGGCAACATCCTAGAGGCTCCAAACGAGCTGGGGACACAAGGAAGGCTCCTTGCCTGGAAGCTGAGATCACCTAGCCAGGGTGACCATCCCCAGGCCTGGCTGTGTGAGTCCCCATGGGCAGCTGTCCACCTACCCTGCAAGGAGTGCCTCTCACCAGCCAGCAGCTGGGCCACCACTCAGAAGGTATCTTTTCTGGGCAGATAGAGGAGAGTGGCAGCAATGCAGCTCATGGCCCTGCAGTAGCCCAGCTCCTGCAAGAGTCAGAGTCACCATGGAAGGATGTCACCTGGGAGGGCTGAGGTCACCTGAGAGGACTGATGTCATTGAGGAGGCCTGCCACAGGCCCTGTGGGATTTGGGGTGCAGCCTGTTCACCCCTCTCCTGACACTGGGTGTCAGGACTGAGCAAGTCACGCACGTCTCAGTTGACAAGGAGTCCAGAGAGATTCCTGTAGCGAGTGTCCAAGCCCACATGGCCCGAGAGGACATAGGAGAGGACCGTGGATGTCCCTCCCCCTCAGATGCCAGGCCAGGGAGGCCACCGTGCCAGGCTTGGGACAGCATCTGTGAGCTAGGCTGGCCAACAGGGCGGGCTGGGGGCCCACCGCATACAGGGTCCTGGGAAGACCCAGGGGCTGCCTGCCAGGTATGAGAGGGAGGCTGGGTCCAGACCCTGTGTGTGCAGCCCATGGAGCCAGCTCAGTGGCTGTCCCTCCAGGAGTGATCTGGAAACTGGGGGCACAGTGGGAGCAGGCACTTCAGGAACCCCCTCCCTGTCTGCTGCGCTCCAGTGGGGTTCGGGCGGAGGGGACATTGGATCCCTGCCAGTTTTCCAATGAAGGAACAGCTTCCGCGGGATCCACACTCATTTCGTGACAAGAGCGACGTCCATCGGGTACTTTGGCAACTTGTCAAAAATGCCTCCTGGGAGGACCACTTTGGGACACTGACCAGCTCCTGGACCTTGGGGCAAGCCCAGGAGGAGGGTGTCATTTCTTGTTCTGAGATTGGGGGTCAGGCTCAGGTCAGACCAGGAGTCTGTGCCTGAGCCCTCTCCATCTCAGCATGACCCCTCTGAGACCCTCCCTCCCTGCCTCGCTTGAATGTTCAAGCCAACAGCGAGCTTGAGTCCTACCGGCTGCGTCTTGGTAGGTGTCAGATACTGAATTTTAAAGAAGCAATGACACCCCCTACCCAAGACACCCGTGCCTATGAATATGGGAATGTGACCCGCGAATATTGTTGCCTTGGAATACTCATGGGATTAGGTGCAATATGCCACCAGGACAAGAAAGACATGCTGCAGCCTAGGAAAGAGAGAAAAGAGGGTTTGGGTTCACACGGATGCTGTTTTGTTCTCTCTATCGTGTTCCAACAAGGAATCCAATTCCAGGTCCAGATGATGCGCAGAATAAGCAGTGAGCTCTTCAGGGCCACTGAGTTTTATGAAATGTTTTGGTGAAAGTGGATTTTACTATTCCCGGGTTGAAGATTGTCTTGGTGGCCTTCAACTGTGAGTGACGGTGAATCAAGCTGTGGACGTGGCATGCAGGTTTTACATGGCCATCAGTTTTCAAATCAGTGGGATCAGTCTCTGAGAATCTTCTGGGACATGTGGCACGAGTCCACCGAGTTTCGTGCAGAGCCGCCCAACGGGTTCCCAAAGGGGCTGTGCCCTGTCGCATTCCCACCTGGCAGGGACAAAGGTCCCCGGGACCGCACATCGTCTCGGCATTTGGTGTCGTCAGTGTGGCTTGGGAAGGCTCCCGAGCCCCTCATCCTGCCGCCCTCCCGTAGGTTACTGAACTTTCCACCATTTCTCATGATTTTGTTCATTGCTCTCTGTCTCCTCGGGAGCCACCTGGGCTCCGGCCCCACATATCCCAGCCAGGCCCAGGGCTTGCAACCAGGAAGGCACTCAGTCTATTGTGCTAGCTGCTCCCTGGGCCTGGAAAGCTTTTGGTAGCTCTGTCACCCCTCCTGGGTGACCCCTGCCTCTGCTCTGGTGAAGCTCCCATCCCTCTGGTTCACGCCATCTCCCCAGGGCTCTCCAGCCCTGCAAGCCTTAATTGACACTGCATTGTGGCCAAAACATCATGTGGTTTCTTAGTGTATGGCTGACATCCAGGTTGATCTGGTGGAAGTTCCAGGGGGGACCTCTTTCCCTTCATCTTCATGACCTCCAGGGCAGGGCCAGGAAGAGGAAGCAGCCTCTGAACAGAGAGAAGACTGGCTGCCCCACACGGCAGTCGTCCACAGGCAGCCCGGAAGGAAGGAAGGAAAGAAGGAAAGGAAAGGAAAGGAAAGGAAAGGAAAGGAAAGGAAAGGAAAGGAAAGGAAAGGAAAGGAAAGGAAAGGAAAGGAAAGGAAAGGAAAGGAAAGGAAAAAGGAAAGGAAAGGAAAGGAAAAAGGAAAGGAAAAAGGAAAGGAAAGGACAGGAGGAAGGAAGGAAGGAAGGAAGGTTGGTTTCCTTCTGCAGAAAGCTCCTCCTCTGGCTTGGTTCCTTACAATCCAACTAGTCCTGGAGCTCAGCTCACCTTTGGTGCTGGCATCACCGTCTCTGCCCAGGATGTCCGCCTGACCATGCCCCCTCCACCTTCAACCCAGGCTCTGCGTTCCCTCCAGCTGGAGGCTTGGGCTCTCAACACAGCCTGGCCTGTTTGTCCTCCTCTGGCTGACTTCGGAAGGGTCATACCTCGTATTTCCACCAGTTCTCGGCCTTCACCTTCTCGACATCCAGGAAGTGTGACCACACTTGGCCCCACATCTATGGAGAATGCCTTTATACACGCTGTCTATCAACTTGGGACAGAACACTCTGAAGAAACAGGGTCTGGGGCAGCCCCAGGGAGGATCGGAGCCTGAGGATTCTGGAAGTCTCCAGTCTCTGACTTGTTGGTTTTTCAGGGGATGTGCAGTTTACCTAGGACCAGGCCTCCCTCCCACGATTCAGAGTTATGAATTCTCATCTTGACCTATTCCTTCCTTCGGTTTGCCAGGGGGTGTCCCTATCCCTGAGATAGTCCTGGCTCATGCCCTGGCATCACACTGTCTCCAGCAAGTTGAGGTTTGCAGGGACAAACAGGAAAGCTGGTGACCAGACCTGCTGTCCAGGGTGAGGACAGTGTGTCACCCACCCTCTGAGAGGCAGGCAGTGCCAGGACCCAGCCATGGGAGCCCATCCCCCTGACTCTGTAGAGAGCGGTCACGGGGGCCCTCCCTCCCCATGTCACCTCCTTGCCACTCCTATATCCCTGCCCGTCTTGAAGCATCTGGAGCCATTTCTCTGTGCCTCTCATCTCCTGACGTCTTTGCTGTCAACTATGACCAGAAGTTAGCGGAGCTACCAAGGCTTCCTGAAGCAGCCTTTGGATGCTGTATCCTGGGCTCCGAGGCCCTGACGGGACTGAACCACAAAAAGAACCAGGAAAGGGCAGGCCCCGGGGACTGAGACCCTCTGACTGAACAGGCGTCTGTGACCTGGCCTCACGACCTGGGACATGCCATCCTCAGGCCACAGACACTGGACTTTGGTCAAGTACTAGCCTCCAGGTGGGGTCCTGGTGCAAGCAGACAGCAACCCCCGAGCCGTGACTGCGGTTCTCAGTTTGGAGTTTGGTCAAACAACCAATGGGGACAGAGTCTTGGGGTCAGGTCCAGCAGGAACTGCCACCCCTCCCAGGGACAGCCTGTCTCTCCCACTCACCATCGCTGGTGCCCACGGGCTGCTGACCACCTGCCAAGTCCTCCTGTCCCTGGACCAGCCTCTCAGGCAGCAGGTCTTACCTTTGCCTCCAGGGCACTGATCGATGGCAGCTTTGTCTCACTGTAAGGCAACCCAGACAGAGCTGAGGGCCTGTGCTGGGCCGGGAGCTGTCCTCCTCCTTCCCTAGCAGTCCTAGGGAAGGACCAGCCGTGTCTCTCCCCACCCCACCCCTGGTCTTAGCCCAGGAGACACACAGGGAAGGTAGGAAGAGGGTCTCCCTGTGGGCTGACGCCTGTGAAGGGACAGGACCTGGGAGAAGAGGGGTGTGTGGGTGGGGCAGGGACCACTAGGGCCCTGTAGAGCATGGGCTTGGGCTACACAACAGGGCTGCCCCTCCTGGGCTAGAGGCAGTGCCCTCTGCAGGAGCTGAGAAAGTCCAGTCCTGAGAAAGGACGTGTATGGCCCAGGGTGGGTGACTGGGCCCCAAAAGCAGTCCTCGAGGGAGTGACCACATTACCAGGCCAGGATCCTGAGACCTGCCCAGTGCACTGAGGGTGCACCTGGGGCCTGTCCCACCTGATGTCCCCAAGTGCCCCGCAAGGTCTGATCTCTCAGCCTCCATCTACCTCCCCCGGGGGGTGGGGGCTTGCTTTGAGCTGTCCCCACCTTTCTGGATAGAACTAATGTACTTCTTACATATATTGATTGATGTCTCATGTCTCCTTAAAATGTATAAAAGCAAGCTGTGGGCCAGGCGCAGTGGCTCACGCCTGTAATCCCAGCACTGTGGGAGGCCGAGGCTGGTGGATCACGAGGTCAGGAGATCGAGACCATCCTGGCTAACACATAGAAACTCCATCTCTACTAAAAAGTACAAAAAATTAGCCAGGCGTGGTGGCGGGCGCCTGTAGTCCCAGCTACCTGGGAGGCTGAGGCAGGACAATGGTGTGAACCCGGGAGGTGGAGCTTGCAGTGAGCCGAGATCGCACCACTGCACTCCAGCCTGGGCGACAGAGCGAGATGCCGTCTCAAAAAAAAAAAAAAATTATCTGGGCATGGTGGTGGGTGCCTGTAATCCCAGCCTTTCAGGAGGCTGAGGCATGAGAATTGCTTGAGTCTGGGAGGCAGAGGTTGCAGTGAACTGAGATCGCGCCACTGCACTCCAGCCCGGGTGATAGTGTGAGACGCCGTCTCAAAAAAAAAAAAAAAAAAGCAAGCTGTGTCCCAACCACCTTGGGCACATGTCGTCAGGACTTCCTGAGACCATCACGGGTGCATCCTCAACCTTGGCAAAATAAACTTTCTAAATTAACTGAGACCTGTCACGGATTTTCTGGGTTCACCTCTCAAAGGGTAAAGAGTCATGCAAATTAAGACAAGTGGCACTGGTTCCCTGACCAGGAATCGAACCTGGGCTGAAGTGGTAAAGGCCCAGCATATTAGCCCCTGTACCACAGGGTGGAGTATAAGTTCAATAAGAATCCAAAGCAGGCAGTTTGAGCATTTAAAGGACTTTGACAGGGGAGGAGTTTCTACGCTAGAAAGGAGATTGGCACGAGCTGGGGAGATGTGTCCTGCCTCAGTGAGGCCTTTCTAAAAAAAAAAAAAACCCATCCCTGGGTGGTGAGGGTGGGAACAGAGGACTCACTGCCGAATCCCGAGGTGATCGGTGACTTTGTAGCTGTCAATATCCTCAGGCCCCACGTCTGCAGGTGCCTCTGCTCAGCATCCCTGTGACCCAGAGGGGATTCAGGGTGAGGGGGCCGAGGTGAGGGGTGTGGGGGCATGAAGTTCCCAGCAGCTGGTCCTGGCCCTGCATCCGGAGGGAGCCCAGGACACTCCGACCAGGATACAGCTGGAGATGGGTGGCCTCGCCTCCCTCGAGGGAACAGCCCGACCCGGACCTGCTCACACTTGTCAATGATGTCCCGCTCCTGCGCGGGCAGGGCAGCTGTAATCCTTTTCCATGTCCATCCTGCGAGACAACATTGTCCAAAGGCCACACTGCACCTGGGTGCTACAGAGAACACCCAAACCGCTTCCACCCAACTCTGAGACGCCGCCGGCCAGGTGAACCCCATGCCACCACCGCTCCGGGTGAAAAGGGGCCAGATCTAGGGTCCCCATGCCTGCTGGGGTCTCTGGAGTCCCTGCCCCAGCCAGAGGTGGGCTTCTTCCTGAGGATTTGAGAACAGGGGGACCTGGACACAGAGGCCCATTGTCCCCAAATGCCCTAAATCAGGCACATAAGGGAGGAACGGTGTCCATCTGCTGAGGGTGAGGGGCCTGTGGTGCGCTATTTCAGACACCTGCAGGTAGACTGGGGTCAGGGATCAGAGAGCTCCATATGCTCAGCCTCCTGGGATCACGCAGGGACCATGAAGATGCCCAGTTTCTTACAGGGAACAAGACACCTCGTGACTGCTCCGTTTCACCCCCATCTCCACTCCCTCTGGCCAGTGAAGCCGCTTCAAGAATAACATCAGCCAAACGGGAGGGTGCTTGGTTTGGGGTCAATGCAGCCTCTCTGCTCATGAAGATGTCTCAGGTGAAGGGACAGTGGATCCCAAGTTCTGAGCTGTCAATACAGGAAGGACCCTCGTGTTCCGGGGTCACTGAGAAAGAATGAGAACTCTGATGACTTGGTCCTGGAGAACTCCAGAGGGTCCCTTCCCATGAACATTCGGAACAAAGAAAGGGCGAGGCCCGTAAAGGAACAGAGAAAGGGCCTTGTGCGGAAGAGCCCCAGTTCCCGGTGAAGAGGAGGAACGATCATCACCCTCCAACCAACCCTCCGGGGCGCCATCATTTTCCACAACTGCCCAAGGACAGAGGGCTCCCCACCCCACTCCCAGACAAGAGATCCCATATGTCCAGTGGGTCCCACAGCGACCCCCACTGACTGCACCCAAAGTCTGGGTTGATGAGATCTTCTCTTGCAGGGACCCACCTTAGGACACAGACCTGGATGGAAGACCACCCTCCACCCCACCCACAGGGGCTCTTCCAAGGCCAGGCTCTGTCCTATTGCTGTCAAAAATTTTGGAAAGATTTGGGATCGAGGGCATAAGGGGCACCGCGTAAGGGAGTGAGTCCCACACAGCACAGGGCAGGGGTGAGAGCATGGCCCAGGGTCACGTCTGGGTTCCTGGACCAGTGACCGCCCTTATAACCTCAGATGTCTCACCTGTCGAATGGGTATACTTGGGGACAGCACCCACCCCCTGGAGTCACCACGAGGATGAACAAGACAACCGTGTACATGGTCAGCACAGAACAAGCACTGGTGAGTGCCCAGGAATGACCCTCTTTGGCAGCTGCCCAGAGACCAGCATCACCCACCAGGCAGTGACTGTCCCCAAGTCAGCAGGGAAGGAAGAGAGCAGGTCATGCTCTTGAGTCTGATCTGGCAGCTGTTCGGAGATGTGCCTCTTGCCTAGAAAAGAGCCCTACGTGCCCAGCACTCACAGACACTGGCGTGCCTCTGACTGCTCCGTGACACAGAGGCAGGCAGGTGGGCATTTGGCATGGTGATATTTTGGGGTCACAGCACCCACAAAGGGCCGAGAGTCAGCGTCCTCCACCCCCTGCACTGTCAACCTGAGTATGTGTGATGTGTCTGTGCATGTGAGCATCCCGTGTGGGTGAACATCTGTGTGAGTGTGTGTGTCACACTCACGTGCACACCCACGTCCTCATCACTGTCACCCTAGGGCCCATGGTCAGCATCAGAGCATCCATGGGTGCTCCTCAGTCTCTGCCCTCTCCATATGGGTCTGTCCTGGGGATGCAGACAGAGTAGGGGCAGAGGGCTGAAGGCAGAGGGCAGAGAGCTGAGGGCAGAGAGCTGAGGGCAGAGGGCTGAGGGCAGAGGGCTGAAGGCAGAGGGCAGAGAGCTGGCCCCTCCCTTGGGGGACTCAGGTAGTATGTAAAGTGCTAGGTCTAAGGGGCAGGCCTGGATTCAACTCACCTTCTCACCTCCTCCTCCCAGTAGACCTCTGGGGGTCTGTGACTCAGGGATGGAGGCAAGGAGGCATCAGGGACAAACTGTTTACCTGAGGTCACCCAGCAGCCAGCTGACCAGTTCCCACTGACCCAGTCCCTGCTGACCAGGTACCACTGACCAGTTCCCCAATGACAAGGCCCCCACTGACCAGGCCTTGGATGACCAAGTCCCTGTTAACCAATCCTCCCAGACCAGGTTCCTATTTTTTTGTTTGTTTGTTTTTGGACTTTACTTTTTTTTTTTTTTTTTTTTTTGAGGCAGGGCTCACTCTGTCGCCCAGGCTGGAGTGCAGTGGCACAATCTTGGCTCACTGCAGAGTTGATCTCCTGGGCTCAAGCAATTCTCCCACCTCCACCTCCTGAGTAGCTGGGACTATAGGTGCACACCACCACCCCCAGCTACTTTTTGTATTTTTAGTAGAGAGGGGGTTTCACTGTGTTGCCCAGGGTGGTATAGAACTCCTGAGCTCAAGCGATCCTCCCGCTTAGGCCTCCCAAAGTGCTGGGATTACAGGCATGAGCCACCACACCCATCCCCTGACCAGGTTCCTAATGACAAGGCCCCCGCTGATCAGACCACTGACACGTAGTGCCCAAAGTCCTCTACTAATGCCCCCCGCCCAAACTCAGCCCACAGACCCTCCCCTTCCTGTGGCTGCGCCCGCAGGCCAGCCCCTGGGGGTCTTCTCAGGACAGGGCTCCTCATCCAGGACACAGGGAGGGACGGTCAGCCTCAGGCTCCAGGTGCCCCCACAAGGCTCTCTGGGCCCATCTCCAAGGGGACAGTGAGGGGTCCTGGCACCACCTGGACATGTCATCTGGCCCTATTCCTGAGCCTTGGAGCCAGAGGAACAGAGGGATGTTTGTCAGGACAGGCTCCCCCTTCTGCTGGGCCTTCCAGGGCTCTTCCAGCAGAGCCTGGATCTAGAGACACAGTAGAGGCAGCATGGTAGCCAGCCCAGGAGCCCCCAGGCTGGGCTGAGGACCACATACAGAGACTCTCCACAGGCAGCCAGGAGACTCTTTGCTAGTTTCACCACACCTGAGCAGATGGGCAGCAGTTCTTCCCACTGGGGCCTAGTGAAGGTGCGTGGGGGGAGGGTGCTCTCCACCCCTGCTTCTAAGAAAAATGGCTAGTTCCAGGGCTGGAGCAGAGAAAATACAAGATAAGCTTGGAACATCTCATGTTCATCATCTTATGTTAGGCCAGAAAGTAGGGAAGTGCTCAAAGGAAACCAGTGACAAATCAAAAAAACATTAAGTCAGCTTGACATGACCACCACATCGGGGGGCATTTGAGCAGCAAATTAACATGCTTTCCTTCCCTTCTCCCCTCTTTGTTGGTTTTGTTTTGTTTTAGTTCTTTATCCACGTTGAAGAAATGAAAGAATAAGAAAGCCATCATTTGGGGCCAGGTAAAGTGGCTCATGCCTATAATCCCAGAACTTTGGGAGGCGGAGGCGGGGGGATCACTTGAGGCCAGGAGTTTGAGACTAGCCTGGCCAACATAGCAAGACCCCATCTCTACAAAAATGAAAAAATTAGCCAGGCGTGGGAGCATCGGCCTGTGGCCCCAGCTACTCAGGAGGCTGAGGGAGGAGGACCGCTTGAGGCGAGGTTGCGATGAGCAACGATCACAATGCTGCACTCCAGCCCGGGTGACAGAGGGAGACCCTTTCTAAAAAAAAAAAAAAAACAATAAAATAAAAAAAGAGTGAAAGAAGAAAGAAGAATTGGAAGAAGTGGGGAGATAATCTCACACTTCAAAAAGATAAAACCACTACTGGGCATTTGGCTGAGAATATAAAATGAAGTAGAGACAAGAGAAATTATATAGATCACATAACTGATATAATAAACAAATTTATTAAACCCTGTCTTTACCTTATGTGTTATTAGCATAACTATTATGATAGTTTGATTTGAATCAAAATACAGAGTAGACAGGCATGGCCAAGGTGATACAAACAGGCCTATTTTTAGTTGAGAAGAAAGGCAACTCAGCCGGGCGCGGTGGCTCACACCTATAATCCCAACACTTTGGGAGGCCGAAGCGGGCGGATCATCTGAGGTCAGGGGTTCGAGACCAGCCTGGCCCACATGGTGAAACCTCGTCTCTACTAAAAATACAAAAATTAGCTGGGCATGGTGGTGCGTGGCTGTAATCCCAGCTATTAGGGAGGCTGAGGCAGGAGAATCACTTGAACCGGGGAGGTGGAGGTTGCAGTGAGCTGAGATTGCAGCACTACACTCCAGCCTGGGCAACAGAGTGAGATTCCGTCTCAAAAAAAAAGAAAGGCAACTCAATATTCTGCTGAGACACAATATTCCATCACGTAAAAAGTTAAAGGCTTGGGAATATTATTTTAGCTTTGAGGTATCTGTATTACCACATTTAGAAAGAGTTCCTAAATTGGCTGAGTATGGTGGCTCACACCTGTACTGTATCCCAGCACTTTGGGAGGCTGAGGCGCGTGGATCACTTGAGGCCAGGAGTTCAAGACCAGCCTAGGCAACATGGTGAAACTCCATCTCTACTAAAAATACAAAAATTACAGGCGTGGTGGTGCATGCCTGTAATCCCAGCTACTCGGGAGGCTGAGGCAGGAGAATCGCTTGAACCTGGGAGGCAGAGGTTGCAGTGAGCCGAGATCGCACCACTGCTCTCCAGCCTGGGCAACAGAGCAAGACTCTGCCTCAAGAAAAAAAAAAAAAAGACAATACAAAAATGTTTTATTTAAACATTTTTTAAAGAGTTCCTAAATCAGCCAGGCGCGATGGCTCGTGCCTGTAATCCCAGCACTTTGGGAGGCCTTGGCGGGAGGATCACTTGAGGTCAGGAGTTCGAGACCAGCCTGGCCAACAGAGGGAAACCCCGTCTCTACTAAAAATACAAAAATAAGCTAGGCGTGGTGGCGCGTGCCTGTGATCCCAGCTACTCGGGAAGCTGAGGCAGGAGAATTGCTTAAACCCGGGAGGTGGAGGTTGCAGTGAGCCAAGATCGCACCACTGCACTCCAGCCTGGGCAACAGAGCGAGACTCTGTCAAAAAAGAAAAAAAAAAAAAAGGGAGAGAGAGAAATTGGTGAGGAGGGCATGACCAGCAGTTCAGTAATGGCAGAGAGAAAGGCAAACAGGGAAAAGGGCTAAAGTTGGAGAGCTAGCCTTACCTCACTCTAAGAGTTGGCTAACCTCACTCTAAGTTTCAGCTCAGGCGTGATCTCAGAGTGTGACCCTTCTCAAAAAATAAAACAATAAAACAATAAATAACATATCAATGCCTAGTATAGAATGAATCTTTTGTGTGTGTGTGTGAGACAGGGTCTTGCTCTGTCACGCAGGCTGGAGTGCAGTGGCACAATCATGGCTCACTGCAGCCTCAACCTCCCAGCCCCCAGTGATTCTCCTGCCTCTGCCTCCTGAGTAGCTGGGACTACAGGTGTGCACCACCACACTCAACTAATTGTTTTATTTTTTGTAGAGACAGGGTCTTGGAATGTTGGCCTGGGCTGGTCTCAAACTTCTGGCCTCAAGCGATCCTCGTGCCTCAGCCTCCCAAAGTACTGGGATTACAAGCATGAACCACCATGCCCAGCAAAATTGATAACTTTTGTATTTCAAAGGACACCACCAAAAAAGTGAGAACACCTTTTGGGATCCTTGTGCACTGTTGTTGGGAATGGAAAATGCTATGGCTGCTAGGAAAAAGAGTATGGCCATTCCTTAAATAAATAATAAATACAAAGTAATCATATGATCCAGGAAGTCTGCTTCTGAGCATACCCTAAAAAACTGAAAGCAGCAACCCACATATTTGTTCACCCATGTTCATAGACATATTATTTACCATAGCCAAAGGCAGAAGCAACCTAGGTGTCCAGGAAAGGATAAATAAGGCCGGGCGAGGTGGCTCATGCGGTAATCCCAGCACTTTGGGAGGCCAAGGTGGGCAGATCTCTTGACCCCAGGAGTTTGAGACCAGCCTGGGCAACATGGCGAAACCCCATCTCTGCTAAAATTACAAAAATTAGCTGGGCATAGTGGCACATGCCTGTAACCCCAGCTACTCAGGAGGCTGAGGCACAAGGATTGCTTGAGCCCAGGAGGTGGAGTGCAGTGAGCCGAGATCACGCCATTGCACTCCAGTCTGAGCAACAGAGCAAGACTGTCTCAAAAAAAAAAAAAGAAAGAAAGATAAATAGATCCAGAAAAATCCAGAAATTTGATATCTACATACAATAGAATACAATTCTATTCTATTGTATGTAGATTTAGGAACTGACTAATTTAGGAACTCTTTAAAAAATGTTTAAATAAAGCATTAAAAAGAAGTAAATTGGGGACAGGCGAGGTGGCTCACACCCCCAGCACTTTGGGAGGCCAAAGAGGGCAGATCACCTGAGGTCAGGCGTTCGAGACCAGCCTGGCCAACATGGTGAAACTCTATCTCTACTACAATACAAAAATCAGCCGGGAGTAGTGGTGGGCGCCTGTAATCCTGGCTACTCAGGAAGCTGAGTCAGGAGAATCACTTGAACCTGGGAGGCAGAGGTTGCGGTGGCTGAGCGCCACTGCACTCCAGCCTGGGCAACGAGAGCGAGACTCCATCTCCAAAGGAAAAAAAAAGAAGTAAATTGGCCGGTGGCAGTGGCTCACACCTGTAATCCCAGCACTTTGAGAGGTCGAGGCAGGAGGATTGCTTGAACCTAGGAGTTCGAGACCAGCCTGGGCAACAGAAGGAGACACACATCTCTACCAAAAATTAAAATTAAAATTAAAACAATTAGCCAGGCCTGGTAGTGCGTGCGTGTAGTCCCAGATACTTAGGAGGCTCAGGTTGGAGGCTTGCTTGAATCCAGGAGTTGAAGCCTGCAGTGAGCAATGATCACACCACTGCACTTCAGCCTGGGCTACAGAGCAAAACCCTGTCTCTTAAAAAAAAAAAAAAGAAGAAGAGGCCGGGCGTGGTGGCTCACGCCTGTAATCCCAACGCTTTGGGAGGCCGAGGCCGGCAGATCACGAGGTCAGGAGATCGAGACCATCCTGACTAACACAGTGAAACCCCGTCTCTACTAAAAAAATACAAAAAATTAGCCGGGCGTGGTGGCGGGCGCCTGTATTCCCAGCTACTCGTGAGGCTGAGGCAGGAGAATGGCGTGAACCCGGGAGGCGGAGCTTGCAGTGAGCCGAGATGCGCCACTGCACTCCAGCCTGGGCGACAGAGCGAGACTCCGTCTCAAAAAAAAAAAAAAAAAGAAGAAATAAATCCTAACACATACTACAAGGTGAAGCTCGAGGACATTATGCTAAGTGAAATAAGCACGTCAGGAAAGGACAAATACTTTATGACGCCATTTACATGAGATTCCCACAGTCAAATTCACGAACTCAGACAATGGAATGGAGGTTGCAAAAGACCCTGAGGGAAGGAGGTGCACGGGGAGTTGTGCAACGAGACAGATTTCAGTGTTGCAAGATGAAAACAATTCTGGAAATTGGCTTCACAATGTGAATGTATTTAACAGTACTGAAGAGAACACTTAAAATGGATGGGAGGCAAAGAACACATTCGGTTTAAACGCAAACGTCCTGGCGGGGACAAGCCGGACTGAAGCCAGGCCAGCTCAACCACGCCCCTTCCTGCTCCGCTGTCACTCAGTGATAAAGAGGCGGGGCCATTGGATCTGTCCAATCAGGACCTCAGCTGAAAAGATGTGAGCGGCGCCACGCTGGGCCTGCGCAGTGCGGACGTCGCCATTCCTGGCCCATGGGAAGATTGCGTTTCACCTGCTCCTGAAGGCCGAAGGTGGCTCTAGCGCATCCTTTGTCGCGCCGTGACCTGCAGGTACTGACAGATCCGTAGGGAGGACACCGTGACTTCCCGGACGCTGGGAAATGGTGAGTGTGCGGGGCCAGTGTCCGAGGGGAGGTTTCTGGTTGGAACCGTCTGTGGCCGAGGCCGGGGACCTCCTTGCAGTCAACTCCGGGGTTTGCAGACCCGGGGGCCACCGCGGGCGCAGTTCGGCCCTCGGTCCTCTCTGTGGGAGCTGGACCCGCAGCCGGGAGCCCCAGCGTCCTGTCCCGTCCCCGCGGGGCGACCTCGGCCCCCGGTCCTGGAGCCCTCTATGGGCAGCTCTGCGCCCGCAGCCCCGCGTCTCCCCGGATTGTTCGGTGACAGCGGGAGGGTCCTGGGGAGATCCCATCTCGGTCTGTGGGGTTTGTGCGTTTAAGAAACCACTTGGTTGGAAACCTTACGATGAATCCACGGGTGCGTTTCCTCACTTGTGAGAACCGAAGCCTGGCTAGGTCCTTGCTGCCGGGGTCAGGTTCCTGTGGCTGTTCAAACGCCCCTGCCCTCATCACCAGGGACTGACCCCCTCTAGTGCTCCCAGCACTCAAGTCTGGGGGTGTTTTTGACCTTCTGAATGTGGGCTTTCTTTTCGAACTGCGGGGAAGGGGACTCCTTATCTTAACTGATCAGAAAGTTTGTGTTTCTTCCCTTTGGACTCCTTGATCAAATATTAATTCTAGCCACCCTTAATTCCAGTTTCCCTTCGCTCTGGGTAATTTTGTTCCCTTGCGTGAATGTGTGCGATTTTTAGTTTCTTTGGTTTCTGGATGGAATTAATTGTGAGCTTGTTCAGGTTCTTTTAAATTTTCTTGTTTGTGTGTGTTTATCTGTGTGGTTTCTACCCAAGAGATTTCGCCTATGTTGGAGTGCCATGATGATGCAAAATCTCTGTATGTCATTTGTTCCGTATATAAGTGGTAAGCATTTTTTTTTGTGTGTGACGGAGTCTCGCTCTGTCGCCCGGGATGGAGTGCAGTGGCGCGATCTCCAGCTCACTGCAAGCTCCGCCTCCCAGGTTCAAGCCATTCTGCCTCAGCCTTCCCAGTAGCTGGGACTACAGGCGCCCGCCACCACGCCCAGCTAATTTTTTTGTATTTTTAGTAGAGACGGGGTTTCACCGTGTTAGCCAGGATGGTCTCGATCTCCTGACCTTGTGATCTGCCCGCCTTGGCCTCCCAAAGTGCTGGGATTACAGGCGTGAGCCACCGCGCCCGGCTAAGTGGTAAGCTTTGAGGTGTTTGTGAGAGTGATGTTTATGACACACACCACTTTGATACATTCTGATTGTAAGTGTATGTTGTGATTTTTTCTTTCCTCGTGTGGTTGTAATAGGTCAGTGTGTTTTTCTCTGAGCAATTAACCAGTGGAAGGTTCCTAAGTCTAGAGTCATTGTGGGTAGTTTTGTTGTTGTTTTTTTTCTTTTTTTTGAGATGGAATCTCACTCTGTCGCCCAGGCTGGAGTGCAACGGCATGATCACAGCTCACTGCAACCTCTGCCTCCCTGGTTCAAGCAGTTCTCCTGCTTCAGCCTCCTGCATAGCTGGGATTACAGGCACCCACCACCACACCCGGCTAATTCTTTTATTTTTTAGCAGAGATGGGGTTTCACCATGTTGGCCAGGCTGGTCTTGAACTCCTGACCTCAGGTGGTCTGCCTGCCTCAACCTCCCAAAGTGCTGGGATTACAGGCATGAGCCACCGCGCCTGGCTGATTGTGGGTATTCTTTTGATGCTGATATGTCAGTTTGGGTACCATATCTAGTTTGGGTACCCTATCCTGAAAGGTGTAGTATATAGTTTTTCAGAATTGGAATACTAATTATTTTTGTATAAAATAATCAATAAATAATGGTTTTTCTAAGGTGGTTATTTGTAGATTATATCTTTTATCTGTCTGTGTACTTGGGTCAAAAGCTAGTTGTGAGTCTCCTCATCTTAATTCAAGTAGGCTTAATATACGTGACCTTGAATCTTCACATCCTGATGGTTTGGATGTATCCAGTTGAACTACAGCTGCTTTATGCCAGTGTTTTGTAAATAATTTTCCTGATTGTATTGGGTTTCTTTTTTTATATTTTCTTTCTTCTTTTGAGATGGAGTTTCACTCTTGTTGCCCAGGCTGGAGTGCAATGGGGTGATCTCGGCTCACCGCAACCTCCGCCTTCCAGGTTCAAGCGATTCTCCTTCCTCAGCCTCCCTAGTAGCTGGGATTACAGGCATGCGCCACCACGCCCAGCTAATTTTGTATTTTTAGTAGAGACAGGGTTTCTCCATGTTAATCAAGCTGGTCTCGAACTCCCAACCTCAGGTGATCCGCCCGCCTCAGCTTCCCAAAGTGCTGGGATTACAGGCATGAGCCACTGCGCCCGGCCTGTATTGGATTTCTTATGTTATTCCAAGTCTGAGTTAGTATAAGTACTTCGCTTAGTACATTGGGTTTGCAGTCAGTCTTTCACCGTCAAGTTTATTAATGTAAATAGATTGGTTTTTAAGATGCCTACCTTGTAATTGATACTGTAATTAAACACCTTTTGATATTCTGTGAGGTCATTTATATGAGTCATCATTGATTGTATTTCATTGTCTGTGAGATAGAGGAGAGTATGAAAGTGGTAGTTGACATGTGGGAGTTAAGTTTGTGTTTAAAATCAAACCCTGCCCTTAAATAAAACTGCGGGCTGGGCACGGTGGGTCACGCCTGTAATCCCAGCACTTTGGGAGGCCGAGGCGGGCGGATCACCTGAGGTAAGGAGTTCAAGACCACCCTGACCAACATAGTGAAATCCATCTCTACTAAAAATACAAAAAAAAATTAGCCGAGCCTGGTGGCACACACCTGTAATCTCAGCTACTCAGGAGGTTGAGGCAGGAGAATTAGAATTGCTTGAACCCAGGAGGCAGAGGTTGCAGTGAGCTAATGCCACTGCACTCCAGCCTTGAGACTCTGTCTCAAAAAAAACTAACTAAATAAATAAAGGTAGTTTGCATATATTGTAGCCAAGCTTGCCACGAATGTGAATTTAGTATGTGTTGAATTATGTCACATTCTGAATGGTGCTGTGTCTGTTCATTCAGTTTGATTTGTAAAGCTTATCGGTCTAGGTATATGTAGCCATTTTAGTAAATTATATTGAAAAATGGGTGAGGGTAAGGTTTTTCACCTGTAGGATGATGAAATACAGCTCTAATATATGTTAAGGTGGAAGCATATTAATGTTGGTCATCCCTTAAAATATGTGTCTCATTGGGTGATTCTGTACATTTTTTTTTATAAGTTTCTCAGTTGTGGTGTTTAATTGGTACCCTTGAAAACAAGTATATTTAGGACAACTCTGTCTACATAATCTTCTGTTGTTTTAGCATGTGTTTCAGAAGTCGTGTGTGTAGGCCCAGGTGTGGTGGCTCATGCCTGTAATCCCAGCACTTTGAGAAACCGAGATGAGTGAATCACCTGAGTCAGGAGTTCGAGACCAGCCTGGCCAACGTGGTGAAACTTTGTCTCTCCTGAAAATACAAAAAATTAGCTGGATGTGGGGGCTGGCGCCTATAATTCCAGCTACTCGGGAGGCTGAGGCAGGAGAATTGCTTGAACCCAGGAGGCTGAGGTTGCAGCGAGCTGAGATTGCGCCATTGCACTCCAGCCTGGATGACAGAGGAAGACTGCCTCAAAAAAAAAAAAAAAAGTTGTGTGTGTAAAGTGATGAGGATCAGTTAAGATTATTGGGTGGGCCAGGCACAATGGCTCACACCTGTAATCCCAGCACTTTGGGAGGCCAAGGTGGGTGGATCACGAGGTTAGGAGTTCCAGACCAGCCTGGCCAACATGGTAAAACACTGTCTCTACTAAAAAATACAAAAATTAGCTGGGTGTGGTGGTGGGTGCCTTTAATCCCAGCTACTTGGGAGGCTGAGGCAGGAGAATCGCTTGAACCTGGGAGGCGGAGGTTGCGGCGAGCTGAGATCACGCCACTGTACTCCAGCCTGGGCAACAGAGCAAGACTCCGTCTTGTCGGGGGGAAAAGATTACTGGGTGTAATCTTTGTTTCCAATCTAATTCTACTATGAGGATTTTTTTAGTTCTGTCAAAGAATTGTGGTTCTGTCAAATAAGTTTGACTTTTGGCATAATTATAACAAGGTTGGAAGGCAAAATTTCTCAAAAGTGGAAAGTTAGAGAATCATTATAGTATGTCTTATCCTCTTCTATTATATATCACAGTCCAATGGGTATCCCAGTGGCATTGGTATTTTTTCCCGTGGAGGTCTGAAAGTTGGGTATATGTAATATGAATGATTGGTGTGATAGCTGTGTCTGGTGTTGTACCATCTTTTAGATCTGCTTTGTAATCATAATCTTTACTTCCTTCGAGTTCAGATTGGTACCAGAATTCACATCAAGTATCAACAAATGACTCATAGGAGTATATATCATATTTAAGCTTGTCATGTTAGTTCTTCCAGTATATGTTTTTTTTTTTTTTTTTTTTTGAGACGGAGTTTCGCACTTTCGCACAGTCTGGAGTGCAGTGGCTCGATCTTGGCTCACTGCAACCTCTGCCTTCCAGTTTCAAGTGATTCTCCTGCCTCAGCCTCCTGAGTAGCTGGGATTACAGGTGCCTGCCACCATGCCTGGCTACTTTTTGTATTTTTATTAGAGTCGGGATTTCACCATGTTGGCCAGGCTGGTCTTGAACTCCTGACCTTGTGATCCACCCACCACGGCCTCTCAAAGTGCTGGGATTACAGGCATGAGCCTCTGCACCTGGCCCCAGTATATGGTTTGACTGTGGTACTGGGATTGGTGTTTGGTCTGACAGATTGCTTTTATCTAATGATCTGTTTTGTTTTGTTGTTGTGTTTTTTTGTTTGTTTTGTTTTGTTTTGTTTGAGACAAGAGTCTCACTGTGTTGCCCAGGCTGGAGTGCAATGGTGCGATCTTGGCTCACTGCAACCTCCACATCCCAGGTTCAAGCGATTCTCCTGCCTCAGCCTCCCGAGTGGCTGGGATTATAGGCATGAGCCACCATGCCAGCTAATTTTTGTATTTTTAGTAGAGACGGAGTTTCACCATGATGGCCAGGCTGGGTAATGATCTGTTTGGATTGGCATGTCTGTTTCTGGTAGCATTTTTCTATTATTATGTGTGCTGTCCATTGGTTTGAGATGTTATTGAATGCTTGATTATAGCTACATACATTGGTTGAGTCGCATTTATGTGGTCTTCTAAGGGGTGTTTGGGAATACATGCCAAGCGTCTATAAAGATGCATTGATTGGATGTGTGTGTAGAAACTCTTTAGGCATTCATTTCAAATGGTCTGAGACTACATATTATTAGTCCCTTGATTTTTCTGGCAGTTGTTCAAAAAAGAATATATTTTCATCAAGTACATGTGGAGTGTGTTCTGGTAATCGTGTGATTTTAGGTATGAGTTGGCATTGTTGGATATCTATGTATTCGAGGCTCAGGAATTTTTACGGTGGCTTTAGTAGGAGTGGTAGGAACAGAAGTAGTAGTAGTAGTAGTTGTTGTATCTGTTATATCCCTTTTATATTCTAAAATATTTTAGGCTGCGTGCATTGCCTCACACCTATAATCCCAGCACTTCGGAAGGTCAAGGCGGGAGGATGACTTGAGACCAGCAACATAGGGAGACCCCATCACTACAAAAAAAGAAAAAAATTAACTATTTTAGTCTATTTGTGTCAATCCTATGTTTTATATTAATTATTGGATATGTAATATGTATCTGATTAAACATAACACTGTAACAACTAAGATATAACAGTACTCGGCCTTGAGGCTCCAAGATGGCCAAATAGGAACAGCTCCAGTCTACAGCTCCCTGCATGAGCAATGCAGAAGATGGGTGATTTCTGCATTTCCAACTGAGGTACCAGGTTCATCTCACTGGGGCTTGGCAGACAGTGGGTGCAGCCCATGGAGCAGGGCGGGGCATTGCCTCACTTGGGAAGTGCAAGGGGTCGGGGAATTCCCTTTCCTAGTCAAGGGAAGCCGTGAAAGATGGTATCTGGAAAATCGGGACACTTCCACCCTAATACTGCACTTTTCCAACAGTCTTAGCAAATGACACACCAGGAGATTATATCCCATGCCTGGCTCGGAGGGTCCCACACCCACGGAGCCTCTTTCACTGCTAGCACAGCAGTCTGAGATCAAACTGCAAGTCGGCAGCAAGGCTGGGGAAGGGGCGTCCGTCATTGCTGAGGCTTGAGTAGGTAAACAAAGCGGCTGGGAAGCTCGAACTGGGTGGAGCTCACCACAGCTCAAGGAGGCCTGCCTGCCTCTGTAGACTCCACCTCTGGGGGCAGGGCATAGCTGAACAAAAGGCAGCAGAAACTTCTGCAGACTTAAATGTCCCTGTCTGACAGCTTTGAAGAGAGTAGTGGTTCTCCCAGCATGGATTTTGAGATCTGAGAACGGACAGACTGCCTCCTCAAATGGGTCCCTGACCCCTGAGTAGCCTAACTGGGAGACACCTCCCAATAGGGGCCAACTGACACCTCATACAGCCGGGTGCCCCTCTGAGACGAAGCTTCAAGAGGAAGGATCAGGCAGCAACATTTGCCGTTCTGCAATATTTGCTGTTCTGCAGCCTCCGCTGGTGATATCCAGGCAAATGGTCTGGAGTGGACCTCCAGCAAACTCCAACCAACCTGCAGCTGAGGGTCCTGACTGTTAGGAGGAAAACTAACAAACAGAAAGGACATCCACACCAAAACCCCATTTGTACGTCACCATCATCAAAGACCAGAGGTAGATAAAACCACAAAGATGGGAAGAAACCAGAGCAGAAAAGCTGAAAATTCTAAAAATCAGAGCACCTCTTCTCCTCCAAAGGAATGCAGCTCTTTGCCAGCAATGGAACAAAGCTGGACGGAGAGAATTACTTTGATGAGTTGAGAGAAGAAGGCTTCAGATGACTGGTAATAACAAACTTCTCTGAGCTAAAGGAGGATGTTCAGACCCATCGCAAAGAAGCTAAAAACCTTGAAAAAAGATTAGACGAATGGCTAACTAGAATAAACAGTGTGGAGAAGACCTTAAATGACCTGATGGAGCTGAAAACCGTGGCACGAGAACTACTTGATGCATGCACAAGCTTCAGTAGCTGATTTCATCAAGTGGGAGAAAGGGTATCAGTGATTGAAGATCAAATGAATGAAATGAAGTGAGAAGAGAACTTTAGAGAAAAAAAGAGTAAAAAGAAATTAACAAAGCCTCCAAGAAATTTGGGACTATGTGAAAATACAAATCTACATCTGATTGGTATACCTGAAAGTGACGGGGAGAATGGAACCAAGTTGGAAAACACTCTTCAGGATATTATCCAGGAGAACTTCCCCAACCTAGCAAGGCAGGCCAACATTCAAATTCAGGAAATACAGAGAATGCCACAAAGATACTCCTCGAGAAGAGCAACTCCAAGATACATAATTGTCAGATTCACCAAAGTTGAAATGAAGGGAAAAATGTTAAGGGCAGCCAGAGAGAAAGGTCTTGTTCCCCACAGAGGGAAGCCCATCAGACTAACAGCAAATCTCTCGGCAGAAACTACAAGCCAGAAGAGAGTGGGGGCCAATATTCAACATTCTTAAAGAAAAGAATTTTCAACCCAGAATTTCATATCCAGCCAAACTAAGCTTCATAAGTGAAGGAGAAATAAAATCCTTTACAGACAAACAAATGCTGAGAGATTTTGTCACCACCAGGCCTGCCCTAAAAGAGCTCCTGAGGGAAGCACTAAACATGGAAGGGAACAACTGGTACCAGCCACTGCAAAAACATGCCAAATTGTAAAGACCGTTGATGCTAGGAAGAAACTGCATCAACTAACAAGCAAAATAACTAGCTAACATCATAATGACAGGATCAAATTCACACATAATATTAACCTTAAATGTAAGTGGGGTAAATGCTCCAATTAAAAGACACAGACTGGCAAATTGGATAAAGAGTCAACACCCATCAGTGTGCTGTATTCAGGAGACCCATCTCACGTGCAGAGACACACATAGGCTCAAGATAAAGGGACAAAGGAAGATCTACCAACCAAATGGAAAACAAACAAAAGTAGGGGTTGCAATCCTAGTCTCTGATAAAACAGACTTTAAACCAACAAAGATCAAAAGAGACAAAGAAGGCCATTACATAATGGTAAAGGGATCAATTCAACAAGAAGAGCTAACTATCCTAAATATATATGCACCCAATACAGGAGCACCCAGATTCATAAAGCAAGCCCTTAGAGACCTACAAAGAGACTTAGACTCCCACACAATAATAATGGGAGACTTTAACACCCCACTGTCAACATTAGACAGATCAACAAGACAGAAAGTTAACAAGATATCTAGGAATTGAACTCAGCTCTGCACCAAGCAGACCTAATAGACATCTACAGAACTCTCCACCCCAAATCAACAGAATGTACATTCTTCTCAGCATCACATCGCACTTATTCCAAAATTGACCACATAGTTGGAAGTAAAGCACTCCTCAGCAAATGTAAAAGAACAGAAATTATAACAAACTGTCTCTCAGACCACAGTGCAATCAAACTAGAACTCAGGATTAAGAAACTAACTCAAAACCACTCAACTGCATCGAAACTGAACAACCTGCTCCTGAATGACTATTGGGTGCATAACGAAATGAAGGCAGAAATAAACATGTTCTTTGAAACCAGTGAGAACAAAGACAAAACATACCAGAATCTCTGGGACACATTTAAAGCAGCGTGTAGAGGGAAATTTATAGCACGAAATGCCCACAAGAGAAAGCAGGAAAGATCTAAAATTGACACCCTAACATCACAATTAAAAGAACTAGAGAAGCAAGAGCAAACACATTCAAAAGCTAGCAGAAAGCAAGAAATAACTAAGATCAGAGCAGAACTGAAGGAGATAGAGACACAAAAAACTCTTCAAAAAATCAATGAATCCAGGAGCTGGTTTTTCAAAAAGATCAACAAAATTGATAGACTGCTAGCAAGACTAATAAAGAATAAAAGAGAGAAGAATCAAATAGATGCAATAAAAAATGATAAAGGGGATATCACCACTGATCCCACAGAAATACAAACTACCATCAGAGAATAGTATAAACACCTCTACGCAAATAAACTAGAAAATCTAGAAGAAATGGATAAATTCCTGGACATACACCCTCCCAAGACTAAACCAGGAAGAAGTTGAATCCCTGAATAGACCAATAACAGGCTCTGAAATTGAAGCAACAGTTAGTAGCGTACCAACCAAAAAAAGCCCAGGACCAGATGGATTCACAGCCAGATTCTACCAGAGGTACAAAGAGTAGCTGGTACCATTCCTTCTGAAACTATTCCAATTAATAGAAAAAGAGGGAATCCTCCCTAACTCATTTTATGAGGCCAGCATCATCCTGATACCAAAGCCTGGCAGAAACACAACAAAAAAAAGAGAATTTTAGACCAATATCCCTGACGAATATTGAATCAAAAATCCTAAATAAAATACT
The DNA here is from genome assembly GCF_000001405.40 of Homo sapiens. NCBI lineage: Eukaryota > Metazoa > Chordata > Mammalia > Primates > Hominidae > Homo > Homo sapiens. The sequence goes on along the minus strand of NC_000019.10, from coordinate 19,723,484 downwards.
GGCAAACTGAATCCAGCAGCACATCAAAAAGCTTATCCACCATGATCAAGTTGGCTTCATCCCTGGGATGCAAGGCTGGTTCAACATACACAAATCAATAAATGTAATCCATCATATAAACAGAACCAAAGACAAAAACCACATGATTATCTCAATAGATGCAGAAAAGGCCTTCAACAAAATTCAACAGCCCTTCCTTCATGCTAAAAACTCCCAATAAACTAGGTATTGATTGGATGTATCTCAAAATAATAAGAGCTATCTATGACAAACCCACAGCCAATATCATACTGAATGGGCATAAACTGGAAGCATTCCCTTTGAAAACTGGCACAAGACAGGGATGCCCTCTCTCACCACTCCTATTCAATATAGTGTTGGAAGTTCTGGCCAGGGCAATCAGGCAGGAGAAAGAAATAAAGGGTATTCAATTAGGAAAAGAGGAAGTCAAATTGTCCCTGTTTGCAGATTTTATGTTTAGAAAACCCATCGTCTCAGCCCAAAATCTCCTTAAGCTGATAAGCAACTTCAGCAAAGTCTCAGGATACAAAATCAATGTGCAAAAATCACAAGCATTCCTATATACCAATATCAGGCAAAAGAGAGCCAAATCATGAGTGAACTCCCATTCACAATTGCTACAAAGAGAATAAAATACCTAGGAATCCAACTTACAAGGGATGTGAAGGACCTCTTCAAGGAGAACTATTCAAGGAGAACTACAAACCACTGCTCAATGAAATAAAAGGGGACACAAACAAATGGAAGAACATTCCATGCTCATGGATAGGAAGAATCAATATAGTGAAAATGGCCATACTGCCGAAGGTAATTTATAGATTCAATGCCATCCCCATCAAGCTACCAATGACTTTCTTCACAGAATTGGAAAAAACTACTTTAAAGTTCATATGGAACCAAAAAAGAGCCCATATAGCAAAGACAATCCTAAGCCAAAAGAACAAAGCTGGAGGCATCACGCTACCTGACTTCAAACTATACTACAAGGCTACAGCAACCAAAACAGCATGGTACTGGTACCAAAACAGAGATACAGACCAGTGGAACAGAACGGAGCACTCAGAAATAATACCACACATCTACGACCCTGATCTTTGACAAACCTGACAAAAACAAGAAATGGGGAAAGGATTCCCTGTTTAATAAATGGTGTTGGGAAAACTGGCTAGCCATATGTAGAATAAGGTGAGACATAGGAGATCTTAGAAAGGCTAAAGGTGATCTTGGAGAAACTAAGTCTCCATGCTGGGAGTGCACTGTTGCTGTCAGTCTGCAAATTATTAATCAGATACTGTGCTTGGCAAGCAGATGGTGTAATTTGTCATTTGTCTGCAGTGGTGTGTATGCTTGTGTTACCCTGGTTTATGTGGTTGGAATTTAAGTAATAACAAGACAGTAAAGTCACTCTGATGACTAGCAGAGGTGAATGAGAAAGGCGGTAAGACCAACTGAGAAGCTACACAAATTTGTAGCCAGGTTGTTCTTTTTTTTTTTTTTTTTTGAGACTGAGTCTTGCTCTGTCACCCAGGCTGGAGTGCAATGGCGCAATGTTGGCTCACTGCATACTCTGCCTCCTGGGTTCAAGCAATTCTCCTGCCTCTACCTCCCTAGTAGGTGGGATTACAGGTGGCTGCCACCATACCTGGCTAATTTTTGTATTTTTTAGTAGAGACAGGGTTTCACCATGTTGATCAGGCTGGTCTTGAACTCCTGACCTCAGGTGATCCACCCACCTCGGCCTCCCAAAGTGCTAGGATTACAGGCATGAGCCACCACACCAAGCCCAGGTTGTTGTTCTTAAGCAAGTAAACGAGTTATTCCAGTGATGGCTACAGGTGATGTTGAAGTTAAAAATACGAGGTGAGTGGCAAGTAAAACTGGATTGAAGTATACCTTCAATTATTCTTATGGAAATATTGATGCAATCAGTGACTTGAAGAAAACAGTGTAGTGCCACTGTTGTAAAAGGTGTAACAAATCTAGGTCTAGTGAGAATTTGGAGAAAAGTTGGAGATTTTGCATAATTCTAAGTCTCCTCTTTTACCTGTAGTCAATAAGTATTTTCATATCCATGGGCCAAGATGTCCTGCTGGGAGATAGAGTTGGCATTTAGTCAAATGCTCCCCTTGTAAGGTATAATCTTTGTATCATTGTCTTCCTTATCCTTTGTGACTATTAAGGTTGGTTGATTAAAGTAAGAGTAGGAAGGGCCGGGGGTGGTGGCTCATGCCTGTAATCCTAGCACTTTGGGAGGCCAAGGCGGGCAGATCATGAGGTCAGGAGTTCAAGACCAGCCTGACTAACATGGTGAAACCCCGTCTCTACTAAAAATACAAAAATTAGCCGGGCATGGTGGTGCGTGCCTATAGTCCTAGCTACTTGAGAGACTGAGGCAGGAGGATCACTTGAACCCGGGAGGTGGAGGTTGCAGTGAGCCAAGATCGCGCCACTGCGCTCCAACCTGAGTGACAGAGCAAGACTCTGTCTCAAAAAAATCAATAAATAAATAAAGTAAGAGTAGGAGGTTGTTCTTATGAATGCTTTCTCTTTTATTTAAATTAAAACATGCCGGGTTAAGAGCTTCTTGGGATGTGCTCACTTTGTCTAGGGTTTTCAATTCTCTTTTTAGTAGCCTGGTTAATTTCTATATACATCTTGCTGCTGTGGGATTATAGGGTAGGTGGAAATTCCATTGTGTATCTCATTGATCTGATGTCACTTGTGTAGTCCTTGATGTAAAATGAGTTCCCTGATTATTTTTAATTTTAGGGGCTTCCAATTATTTTAGGAGCTCTTAGAAAATTGAGCTGCCCAATTTCCTGGCAGGGCATGGTGGCTCATGCCTGTAATCCCAGCACTTTGGGAGGCCGAGGCGGACAGATCACTTGAGGTCAGGACCTTGAGACCAGCCTGGCCAACATGGCGAAACCCCGTCTCTACTAAAAATACAAAAAAATTAGCCAGGCATGGTGGCAGGCGCCTGTTATTTAAGTTACTCGGAAAGCTGAGGCAGGAGAATTACTTGAACCCAGGAAGCAGAGGTTGCAGTGACCCGAGGTTGTGTCATTGCACTCCAGCCTGGGCAACAAGAGCGAGACTCCATCTCAAAAAAAAAAAAAAAAGATATGTTTTATGTTCCAGAATGTGGGCTACCTTGGTGAATGTTCCATGTGAACTTGAGAAGAATGTATATCCTGCTATTGCTGGTCTAAGTGTTTTGATTTTCCGTTCAGTCCAGTTGTTTGATGGTACTGTTCAGTTCAACAATGTCCTTCCTCATTTTCTGCCTGCTGGATCTGCTATTGCTGATAGACAGGTATTGAAGTCTCCAGCTATACTTCATGGCTCCATGCAGTTCTCCCTGCCGTTCCATCAGTTTTGCCTCATTATTTTGCCACTCTGTTTTTATGCACATACACACTAAGGATTGCCTTGTCTTCTTGGTGAATTGATCACTTTGTTATTACATAATGCCCCTGTGTCACTGAGATTTCCAGGATGTGAAGTCAGCTTTGTCTGAAATGAACATAGCTGTGTTACTTTTCTTTTTCTTAGTGTTAGCATGGCATATCTTTCTTCATTCCTTTATTTTTAATGTATCTATAACTGTATATTTAAAATGTGTTTCTTTTCAACACCGTATATTTGATCCATTATTGACAGTATCTGTCCACCATTTGTTGTATTTAGACCATTGATGTTTAACATGTTATTGATTTAGTTGTATTAATGTCTCCCTTTTTCTTTTTATGTTTTTCTATTTGTTGTTGTTCTTCCTTTCCCATCTTCTATTCTTTTTCTACCTTATCTGCTTTCATTAAGCATTTTACTTGATGCCATTTTTCTCCCCACTTAGCACATCAATTATAGTTTTTTGTTGTTTTTTAAGTTTTACTCATTGCCTTTGAGTTTGTAGTACATGCTTACAAGTAACCCAAGTCCTCTTGTAAAGAACACTGTACTACCTCACTGGTTGTGCAAGTACCTCATGAAAAAGTATTCCCAATTCCTCCTTTCCTGTCCTTTGTAACATTGCTACCATACGTATCATTTATCCATAAGCTGGACTTACCAAATATATTGTTCCTGTTAGTGTTTTGGACAAACTCATCTGTCAGATTACAAAAAAGAGATTGTATTTTACTTGTATTTATTTTTTCTCTAATACCCTTCTTTATCGTTTTTCTTTTTTGTAGGGAATTTTTTAACAGTTCTTTCAAGGCAGGTACGCTAGTGACAGATTATCTTTTCTTATCTCATAAAGCTTTCATTTCTCTTCCATTTTGAGGGATATTCTTGCTCTATACAGAATTCTATGTGGTTGGGGGTTTTGTCTTATAATGTTTTAAACATTTCACTCCAGTCTCTTCTTGCTTTCACTTTCTGTAAAGAGTCTTGGGCTGGTCCTGGTGGCTCACGTCTGTAATCCCAGCCCTTTGGGAGGTCGAGGTGGGCAGATCACTTGGGGCCAGGAGTTTGACACCCACCTGGCCAACATGGCAAAACCCCATCTCTACTGAAAATACAAAAAATTAGCTGGACATGGTGGTGCGTACCTGTAATCTCAGCTACTCGGAGGCTGAGGCAGGAGAATTGCTTGAACCCAGGAAGTGGAGGTTGCAGTGGGCCAGGATCGTCCCACTGCACTCCAGCCTGGGCAACAGAGTGTGACAATGTCTCAAAAAAAAGAGTCTGACTTAATTCTTTTATGTTTTTATAACAAAGATGTTGTTTGTTCCCCCTGTAACTTCTTTCAAAGTTTTTCTTTGTCTTTTAATTTTCTCCTTGAATATGATACACCCAGGTGTGGATTTGGGGGTATTTATGTTGCTTGGCATTCCTGGATATTTCCTTTCATGTATAACATTAATTTTGGGAAATTATCAGTCATTATTGCTTCAGTTATTTCTTCTGTTTCTTTCTTGTCTTTAGTTAGTACTATTATGTGTATGTTCCACTTTTTGTAATTTTCTGACAGTTTTTGGATCTTCTGATGTCTTGTTTCTCCTTTTCAGTTTGACGGGTTATACTGACAGTTCTTCAAGATCACTCATCATCTCTTCAGACATTTCCACTGTATTGATGAACCTGTAAGGCTGTTCTTCATTTCTGTTGCAGTGTATTTTATGTCCTTCGTTACCTTTTGATTCTTTGTTAGAATTTCTATATATATGCTTAAATTGTCTATTTTTTCTTTCATATTGTTCAACATTTCCATGAGAACCCTTAGTATATTAATCATATTTGGTTTAAATTTCTGATCTGACAATTCCAACATCTCTTCTATACCTAATCTGGTTCTGGTGCTTGACCTCTGTCTTCTAATTCTGTTCTTAAAACCTTTTTGTATTTCGTATAATTTTTGTTGAAAACTCGACAAGATGTACTGGGAAAAAGAAACTGAGGTAAATAGGCCTTGAGTGTGAGGTTTTAGGTTTATCCTACTGGGTTTTGTCTCTGTTTACTGTTTTCAGTAGCCGTAGATGTCAGAGGTTAAAATTTCCTTTGATGTCCTTGCTTTTCTCTCTCCTGTCATCTTTGGGCTTCTCTAGACACTTGTTAAATAAAGTCTGAAACATGCAGAAAGAAACAGTGCAATATTCTTTCATTGCAGTCACCTGTTTTTAAACAGAAACCCTAATGACAATAGTGGTAAGGTGTAGGTGGAAGGGAAACATGTTATAGTCCTATGATTTGATCTCAGTCTTTTAGTGAGCCTGTGCCCGAGCTGTGATGTTTTGTGATATGATAAGAAAGATACTTAGTCTTTGTGTGTGATTCCTAGCACAGAGCTCCTAAATCCCTTGAATTTCACAAGTGAGAAGGGTGAAAGGATCCTCCTTGTTTGCAAAGCAGCACTCTTAGGAGATCCTAGATGACTTTAGGATTAGGATTGGTGACCAGAAAGACCTGCCCTTGAACTTTCAGCCCTAGCCCCCAGCCTCACAAGAGAAAAGAGGAGCTGGAGATTGAATTAATCATTAGTGTGTAATGATTTAATCAATCATATCTGTGTGTTGGGACCTTCATAAATATTGGGGTTCTGAGAACTTCCATGTTGGTGAACATATTGAGGTGCTGTGAGGATGGCACACCCAGGGAATGCATGGAAACATCCCACCTGCTCTGCATACCGACCAATGGGCCTCTTCCACTTGGCTGTTCCTGAGTTGTATGTTTTGTAATTAAACCGGTGATGCTAAGTATATCACTCTCCTGACTTCTGAGGGAGGCCCTAGTGAATTACTGAACTATAAAGGGTGGTGTGGGAACTCCAGATTTGTAGTTGGCGTGTAGAAGCATGGGTGGCCTGGGCACCCTACCGTGTGGCTTGCATCTGACATGGGGGCAGTCTTGTGGGACTGAGTCCTTAACCTGTGGAGTCTGACTAATTCTGGGTACTTAGAATTGAATTAAATTTTAGGGCACAGTCGATGTCAGAGATTTGGAGAATGGCGTTGGAAAAGACACCTTGTATTGGTGTTGGGAAGACAAAAAACGGTTCACCTTCACACATGCTTCTGTGTCCCTGCCCCCAGGTCACATAGGCTTTGGTAAAATCATAGTAGGTTGGGCTTTTGTTGAAATGGAATTTTTTGAGAACAGGTCTTCTTAAGAAGAACATTATGTTCTGGGAATATTACAAAACTGTTACTTTTCCTATTCATCTCTCAAATTTTAGAGAGAAAACTTTGCCTTATGACCCTCAATTCTTTAATGGATCCAAGAAGGGTAATTGATTTGATGTTTATTTTTTACTTGCACGGCTGGGATTGACAATTTCTACGTTCCTTACTTGTGAGACCAGAAATTGGAAGTCTCTGACTTCATTTTTTTGTGATGTTTGATGGATGATAGCTTTAAAATCTCATTATTGCCAGGCATGGGGACTCACACCTATAATCCCAGCACTTTGGGAGGCGGAGGCAGGCAGATCGCTTGAGCCCAGGAGTTCAAGCCCAGCCTGGCCAACATGGCAAAACCCTGTCTCTACTAAAAACACAAAAATTAGACGGGTGTGGTGGTGCACATCTGTAATCCCAGCTATTCAGGAGGCTGAGGCACAAGAATCGCTTGAACCTGGGAGGCGAAGGTTGCAGTGAGCCGAGATCACGCTACAGCACTCCAACCTGGGCAACAGCGAAACTCGGTCTCAAAACAAATGAAATAAAATAAATAAAATAAAATCTCATTCCTCCTTTTCTACTATGTACCCTACATCCAGATGTGGTAGGAAGAAAGCCTGGGTCACCCTCATTTGGTGCTGGTGAGACATTCAATCCACATTAGCCCCTGCTTGTATGCTTGAACTCCCACACTAGCCCACTCCCTAACCTCAGTGAAAACCCCTAGCCAGCCTACCCGAGTCTTCCCAAAGTCTCAAGTAAACGCGTAATAAACCCTCTCCTGGTATACAAATTTTGTAGAGGTGTAAGTTGCCATACGTTCCTCCTCAGGCCTGAGCTCTAACTTCCTAGTAATCTCCTAGATCCATGAAATGTGAGAGAGAGAAAAAGGAAGAACTGAGCCTGTGATAAATATTACACAAACAAGTTGAAATTAATACTTCTGCAAAGAAATATTTTCATTCAGCCAGCTGGATTTGAGTACTTATAGTGGAACAGGAATTAAAAGAAATTTTAAAAATGTATAAGCAAAAACTCAGTTGTATGTAAGAAAAACCAGTTCCCCCTGAGGAAGAGAAAGATCTGAAGTCCTTTAAAAATTGACTGCCTATTTTTCTGTAGCTAGTGAGCCTTATCTCTCCCTTTCCCAGGCATTGTGAAGACTGTTTCTCTAGCTGTGCAGCTGCAAGGTCACTAAACAGATAATCTCAAGTCGTAAAACATGTTGTCGTTCCTTGAAAAGTAAGAAGTAATGTAATGCGTGTTTTAATTGAATAACTGTCTTTGTTTCTCGCTTCTGTAATACACTTCCCCCTGCACAAATCTCCTCCCCACCCCACGAAATGGTTAAAAGGTAGCTTGACTCTGTTTGGGGCTCAGTTCTTTGGATGTTAATCCAACTGGGTGGGTGCACCTAAATAATTAAATAATTCCTCCTCAACCCCTCAATCTCTCTGATTCCTTAATTACTCCACTGCAGTAGTGGCCTGGAGTCCTTCAGGACATGGCCAGCAGCTCCTTGTGACAATTTAGCTTTCCACAGGCCTCCTGGCCTCTCGTTTGTTGATGGGAATAAAAGAAAAGCCTACAGTTCTTGAAGGTGTATTTATTTATTAAAACCTTATCCAGATTGATTCCATGCGTAATGAAATGCTGAGTGATATGGTACGTAATAAGGTAGGAAATGAGTTTTTCTCACAAGGGATTAATGGTCTTAAAATTTGTTTCATTTGTATAGCATTTCTCTTACTTTTCCAGTGTGAGCTTGAGTCCACCTTTAGAGAACAATAAGGTTTCACATGATCACAGTAAAAATTTAGAAGTAATTGACCAGGCACAGTGGCTCACGCCTGTAATCCTAGCACTTTGGGAGGCCGAGGCGGGCAAATTGCCTGAGCTCAGGAGTTCGAGACCAGCCTGGCCAACATGGTGAAACCCCGTCTCTACTAAAAATACAAAAAATTAGATAGGTATGGTACACACCTGTAGTCCCAGCTACTTAGGAGGCTGGGGCACGAGAATCATTTGAGCTCCAGAGGCAGAGGTTGCAGTGAGCCAAGATCGCACCACTGAACTCCAGCCTGGGCAATAAAGCAAGACTCTGTCTCAAAAAAAAAAAAAAAAGAAAAAGAAAAAGGAAAAAGAAAAAAATAGAAGTAATTTCTGTGTGTTCATGACAGCATGAATTTTATGAGGAAGTCAGTGTGGACAGTCGTAGTTCTGACAGCTGAGTCATACACCAAATGTTTGGAGAACACAGAATTGTATGGGAACTTCTTACAAATCAAGTATAGATCCCCAGTACTGCCAGTCTTACCCATCCTCTGTAAACATATGTGGAATGTTTCAGGACTCAGTCTCCTTTGAGGATGTGGCCGTGAACTTCACCCTGGAGGAGTGGGCTTTGCTGGATTCTTCACAGAAAAAGCTCTATGAAGATGTGATGCAGGAGACCTTCAAAAACCTGGTTTGTCTAGGTAAGGATATCAACATTTCTTTCCTCAGTTAAATATAGAACACAGAACAAGTGTTTCTTGCTCAACAGCTGTGTTCCAAGATTTGAAATGTGGAAAGGGAATCTTTCAGTGATTGAATCAGACAGTCACAGCTAATCATGAAACTAGACTGTAACAATTTTCTATAATTTCTAATAATTTTTAATGGTCTTTCTGGGTATGCATTTTAGGAAAAAAGTGGGAAGACCAGGACATTGAAGATGACCACAGAAACCAGGGGAAAAATCGAAGGTGAGTTGCATCCACAGAAAAATAGTGGCCCGTGGGGGAATTTCAAAAGAAAGCAAGCAAAACAATTAAGCACAGCTTCAAATTTATTTATTCCTAGAAAACTTTCACTGAAAATGTTTTCTTAAAAACATCATAGATGTTCAGGATGTGAAAAATAAATCACTTCGAAATAGCATTTAGAAACCCCTTTTATAAATATTATTATTTTGGCCAGGCACAATAGTTCATGTAGGTAATCCCAGCAGTTTGGGAGGCTGAGGTAGGAGGATCACTTGAGGCCTGGAATTCAAGACCAGCCTGGGTAATATAGCAAGACCTCATCTGGGGAAAAAAAAAAAAAAAGGCCTGGCACAGTGGCTCATGCCTGTAATCCTAGCACTTTGGGAGGCCAAGGCAGGCAGATCATCTGAGGTCAGGAGTTCAAGACCAGCCTGGCCAACATGGCAAAACCCCATCTCTACTAAAAATACAAAAATTAGCCAGCTGTGGTGGTGTGCTCCTATAATCCCAGCTACCCAGGAGGCTGAGGCAGGAAAATTGCTGGAACCCAGGAGGCAGAAGCTGCAGTGAGCCTAGATCGTGCCACTGTACTCCAGCCTGGGCAACAGAGCAAGACTCCATCTTGGAAAAAAAAAAAAAATTAGCCAGGCATGGTGGCACTCTCTAGTCCCACCTGCTCAGGAGGCTGAGATGGGAGGATTGGTTGAGCCCAGGAATTCAAGGCTTCAGTGAGCTGTGATCATGCCACTGTACTCCAGCCTGGGTGAGAGAATGAGACTCCATCTCTTATTTAAACAACAACAACAAAAAAATTGACTGTTTTGATCATAACTATGGTTGAGTCTTCTTCCAGAGCATTGAATATATTAACTTTAAAACAATTCAGACAGGGCAGATATCCTATACTTTTTCTGAAAATGGTTAAAATGTAATTCTCATACCTACTAATAAATACAAAATAATTAAAAAGCCACTAATAATGTGCTATTCATTTTTTACAGATGTCATATGGTTGAGAGACTCTGTGAAAGTAGAAGAGGTAGCAAATGTGGAGAAACCACTAGCCAGATGCCAAATGTTAATATCAACAAGGAAACTTTTACTGGAGCAAAACCACATGAATGCAGCTTTTGTGGAAGAGACTTCATTCATCATTCGTCCCTTAATAGGCACATGAGATCTCACACTGGACAGAAACCAAATGAGTATCAGGAATATGAAAAGCAACCATGTAAATGTAAAGCAGTTGGGAAAACCTTCAGTTATCACCACTGCTTTCGCAAACATGAAAGAACTCACACTGGAGTGAAGCCCTATGAATGTAAACAGTGTGGGAAAGCCTTTATATATTACCAGCCATTTCAAAGACATGAAAGGACTCATGCTGGACAGAAACCCTATGAATGTAAGCAATGTGGAAAAACCTTTATATATTACCAGTCTTTTCAAAAACATGCTCATACTGGAAAGAAACCCTATGAATGTAAACAGTGTGGGAAAGCCTTTATATGTTACCAATCTTTTCAAAGACACAAAAGGACTCACACTGGAGAGAAACCCTATGAATGTAAGCAATGTGGTAAGGCTTTCAGTTGTCCCACATACTTTCGAACTCATGAAAGAACTCACACTGGAGAAAAACCCTACAAATGTAAAGAATGTGGTAAAGCCTTCAGTTTTCTCAGTTCTTTTCGAAGGCATAAAAGGACTCATAGTGGAGAGAAACCCTATGAATGTAAAGAATGTGGAAAAGCCTTCTTTTATTCTGCAAGCTTTCGAGCACATGTAATAATACACACTGGGGCTCGACCTTATAAATGTAAAGAATGTGGGAAAGCCTTCAACTCTTCTAATTCCTGTCGAGTGCATGAAAGAACTCATATTGGAGAAAAACCATATGAATGTAAACGATGTGGCAAATCATTCAGTTGGTCCATTTCTCTTCGATTGCATGAAAGAACTCATACTGGAGAGAAACCTTATGAGTGTAAACAGTGTCATAAAACCTTCAGTTTTTCAAGTTCCCTTCGAGAACACGAAACAACTCACACTGGAGAGAAACCCTATGAATGTAAACAATGTGGTAAAACCTTCAGTTTTTCAAGTTCCCTTCAAAGACATGAAAGGACTCACAATGCAGAGAAACCCTATGAATGTAAACAGTGTGGGAAAGCCTTCAGGTGTTCAAGTTATTTTCGAATTCATGAAAGGTCACACACTGGAGAGAAACCCTATGAATGTAAACAGTGTGGAAAAGTTTTCATTCGTTCCAGTTCCTTTCGACTGCATGAAAGAACACACACTGGAGAGAAACCCTATGAATGTAAACTATGCGGTAAAACCTTCAGTTTTTCAAGTTCCCTTCGAGAACATGAAAAAATTCACACTGGAAATAAGCCTTTTGAGTGTAAGCAATGTGGTAAGGCCTTCCTTCGTTCCAGTCAAATTCGATTGCATGAAAGGACTCACACTGGAGAGAAACCGTATCAATGTAAACAATGTGGAAAAGCCTTCATTTCTTCCAGTAAATTTCGAATGCATGAGAGAACTCACACGGGAGAGAAACCCTATCGATGTAAACAATGTGGGAAAGCCTTCAGATTTTCAAGTTCTGTTCGAATTCATGAAAGGTCTCACACTGGAGAGAAACCTTATGAATGCAAACAATGTGGAAAAGCCTTCATTTCTTCCAGTCACTTTCGACTGCATGAAAGGACTCATATGGGAGAGAAAGTCTAAGAATATAAGCAACATTCTGAAGCCTTCGGTTGTTCCAGCTCCTTCTGAATACACAAAAGAGTTCATACTGGACAGAAGCTGTGTGAATACAAACATTGTTCTAAAGCCCTTAATTGTTCCAGTTTCTTTTGAGCACGAAAGAATTCCCACTGGTGAGAAACAGTATGAATGTAAACATTGTGATTAAGCCTTCAGTTGACCTAATTCATTTCAAAGACAGGACTCGTGCTGCAGTGAAATCTGTTTTGTTTTTTGTTTTTTGTTTTTTTAAAAAAGGCCAAGCTTGTTGGCTCATGCCTATAGTCCCAGCACTTTGGGAGGCCAAGGTGCAAGGCAGGCAGATCATTTGAGGTCAGAAATTCGAGACCAGCGTGGTCAACATGGTGTAACCCCATCTCTACTAAAAATTACCAAAAAATGAACCAGGCATGGTAGTGCATGCCTCTAATCCCAGCTACTCAGGAGGCTAAGGCAGGAGAATCACTTGAACCTGGAGACAGAGGTTGCAGTGAGCTGAGATCACGCCACTGCATTCCAGCCTGTGCGACAGAATGAGACACTGTCTCAAGAAAAAATAAAAGTGGGAAAATCTTCCAACTGTCCTCTAGAGTGTGAATATATGAAAGGAGTCAGAGTGGGGTGAAAGTCTATAAATGTAAGACATTTGGGAAAGCCTTCACACAGCCTTTTGAGCACACATGAGAATGTATACTGGAGAGAAACCCTATAAATATTAAGAATGTGGGAAATTCTTCATCCTAGTTCTTTTGTTGTTGTTGATGATACAAAAATATTTTCATTTAATAAAGATTGTCAGGTTATATTTAATAAGAAAGAAAGTATCATGTAAACAGCCCAGTAATAAAATTTTACAATCTTATAAATTATAACATTTTTCTTTAAAACTGGAACATATTCTCATTATGCTTTCCAAAGGACATATTGATTTAGATGTGACTCATTCTTCAGTGGATTCTACAGAAGAAACCATATGAGAGCTAATTTCCAATTCAGCAACAGCATTTTTTACTTCTGTAGTTATTTTTTTCTATCCAATCTGGCTGAGTCTTGGTTGAGTAGTTCATGCTGCTATTTGAGGTCTCTGGGTATGAGGTAGGGATCCTTAAGTTTTCTCTCATAATATGTCCTCTGTTGAGACCTACACTATTAAGATTTTCAACACAAGGTAACTCTTGGACTGGCCTTGTAGTAAAAATGGAGAGTAAACATTTGACGCACTTTGTCTGTAGAAGCTTGGTGCACACTGCTGCTGGTATCTCATTCGTTCTGTAGATGGACTTCTAATTTTTCTCTTTCTTGTCTTGCTCTTTCTTCAATCTCTCATTTAAACTTCTCTACATATTCTATAGCACGTTCATTTCCATATGACTTTTTAGATTTACTACTTCTGTTACAGGCTTGCCAATGCACCACAGTGTAGCAGTTTTTTGTTTTCTGAGGTACTATGTGGAGTTATTTGTCTTACTTCCAAGAAGATTAAGGAATGCAGACACAAGGGTGAGATTGGAGCAAAAGTTTAATAAGCAAAAAAAGAAAGCTCTGTGCAGCAGAGAGTGGAGCCCAAATGGGTTGCCCACTATGAGGCTGGGTCTGGGATTTTTATAGACTGGAAAGGGGAAGAAATGTGCTGACTAGTCTGAAGGCTGTCTTGGCAAAGCATGATTCAGCCTGGCCCAGGACCTTGGCCTGGGACCAATCAGAGGCTGAAGTGATGATTCATAGAGGCTAAAGAATGTTTAAAAAAAGGAAGTGCCCACCAGAACCCACCAGAGCCCACCAGGTATATGCCCATAAAAGGAGTAGAGGCTATTTCCTGGAAGCCCACTAATTATACAAAGGACTAAGGCATTTCTATGTTGGGCCTTGTTCCTTTATTTAAGTGGGCTAAAGGTTTGTGCAAGTTTCCTTATCTGAGTGGGCTAAAAGTTCTATCTGTGCAGCTGTGGGCATATCTCTAGGCATGACTCCCTGTGCTAATTATTATTATTTTTTAATCCAATCAGAGACCTTGTTATATGTGGGAATAAGGCACTAACCAGTGGGTCGGGGGCTCTCCAAAAACCCTTCCCTTGCTGTTTACCTGAGGCAAGCTAGCTAACTCCTCTCACTTCTTGTTCCAACACCTTTTTATTCTTCTCAAATTCTTTACATTTCTGTTGTATCGTTTTCATAGATAATAATTCCTGTTGAAGAACTTGATTGTTTTCAGCCAGATACAGACATTTTGAAGATGCACCTTCCAGTTCTGCTATAAGATTATCAGTCTTATGTTTTATCTTTTTAATCTGAATATCCATTTCAAGTTGACTGGTTTTTAAATATCCGTGGAATCTAAACTCTTCAGTTTCATATTCATTTAACTTTTCTGTCATTTCTGAGTTTCTTGTGCATCCTAGTTCATTTTGAGACCATGAAACCATGCACACATTTAAGAGCAGCTTCTTGAATGTAAGCAATATGGAAATGTCTTCAAGTACATATGCAACCCTTTCCACTGCCTTAGGACAAATTGAAGGACTGAGGAGAAAGGACTTGGGTCCCAACAGGCCTTTCTTGGAACCCCGTCTGAAGTTAAGAAACACTCCCAGCCCTTAGCTTACGTACGTGACTGCACAGAATTGAGAGGGCTCCCACAATCTGCCTTTGAACTTTTCATCAGTGTCCTTGGGTCAGATCTTTGGGGATGCTGTGGTTCTGAAAACAAAGGTACATCCCACAGTTCTCCAGTGGGATCTGCCTGTGGACACCCTAATTCATGGCTGTCAACATCATGTTATTCCAAGGCCGTCTGGAGGTCATGTCCAGCTCCGTTTCCCATCCAAACCCACACTGTGGATTCTTGTTGGTAAATGCATTTAAAAGTTCACACTAAGGCCGGGCACGGTGGCTCATACCTGTAATCCCAGCACTTTGGGAGGTCGAGGTGGGCAGCTCATGAGGTCGGGAGATTGAGACCATCCTGGCTAATGCGGTGAAACTCCATCTCTGCTAAAAATACAAAAAACTAGCGAGGTGTGATGGCACGTGCCTGTTATCCCAGCTACTCATGAGGCTGAGGCAGAAGAATCACTTGAACCCAGGAGGCGGAGGCTGCAGTGAGCCAAGATCACACCTCTGCACTCCAGCCTGGGTGACAGAGACAGACCCTGTCTCAAAAAAAAAAGAAAAAGAGAAAAAAAATAAATAAATAAATAAAAGTTCACACTAGACCATTTTTCTGTGACAACCCAGGTAGCTCTAAAGTGAGGGCTGAAGAAGCTGTGGCAGAATGTGTGTCATGCCCCTTGACCATACAAGATCCACTGTCCCATAACCACCAGCTCTGCACCAACCACCACAGAAGTCTCAAAACCAACTGTGGCATCATAGAGACATGCCCTACCATGTCCCAGCTACAGAACACAGTCAGACGAGATCAGGCACGTTCAGGGTAGTATGGCCATAGACTGCAGGACACGATCAACTTCTTACCTTCCCTAATTTGCCCACCCCAGATTTTCTGGCACATTCCACCTGGCTTAGGCACTGACAATGACAAGGTTTCTCCTCAGTGCGTGTCACGTGTGCTGCTGCAGGGCTGGTTTCGTAGCCTTGCCTCCAAGGCCAGCACTTAGTGCTTCGTGGAACAGAACCCACCCTGCAGAACTCCAGCCTTGTGGTATACGGGAAGCCGCTATATCAGAGAGGCGGCACCGGCCATGGAGCCGACTCGCTTCATGTCACTCCCAGAATGCAAGGTGTACTGAACTCCCAAGAAACTGTCCT
The DNA here is from genome assembly GCF_000001405.40 of Homo sapiens. Lineage (NCBI taxonomy): Eukaryota > Metazoa > Chordata > Mammalia > Primates > Hominidae > Homo > Homo sapiens. The sequence goes on along the minus strand of NC_000019.10, from coordinate 19,707,565 downwards.
GACAGCACCGAAGAGTTCCTCCTTTGCTGAGCTGTGCAGCCATGGTAGGTGTCAGGCCCTTCCTTTGGTGGAGGCAGTGCCCACTGTTACCTGGATAGCAAGTCAGAGTGTCCTGCCAGGGATGTGGCAGGAATGAGGGAAGCCAGCTCACCATCCAACCTCACAACAACTTCCTGTCTCTCCCTGGATACCAGAAGTGATATTTCTGTCAATTCAAGATGTTTAGTCTGAGTTTTGTAGGCCTCCATCCTACCCCAACAGCAGATGTGGGTCAGGGGGCAGCCTTGCAAGGCTTGAGCATGGTGGGGTCCCGTGAGGCCATCTGGGGCGAGGTCTGCTGGCAGATGAGCCCTTAGTGAAGGTGAGAGCTACCAGGAAGAGCTCAGAGGAGGGCATGCAGCTGAGCCATGAGATCCACGCCTTTGCTGCCCTCATTGTGCTCTCAGTGGAAAAGCAAACTGACACACGGTCAAGTCATGAGGGATGTTTCTGGAATCATCTACAATTTATAACAGTTGAAGGGCTGGAGCAGCAGCATCAATCCATTTCCAGCCCTTTTGCATCCTTGAACTCCCATTTTCTACTTTTACAGAAAAGCACTTCTTAGAGTCTATATGCTCAAGTATTGTAAAATGTCTTCCCCATCAGCATGGGCTAAGGAGCCACTTTTTGTGAGAGGCTTGGGGGCCGGAAGCACCTCTCTGCCACATGGGATGTGGGTGAGAACAATTCAGTCTTTGAAGATTAAGTGTATGTGAGCTTATGGCGAGGTTTGTGTAAAACCTGTTTGTGTGTCTGTTTGAGTCCTACAATTCAATAAGTGTTTTTTTGTTTTGTTTTGTTTTTTTGAGACAGAGTTTCGCTCTTGTTGCCCAGGCTGGAATGCAATGGCATGGTCTTGGCTCACTGCAACCTCTGCCTCCCGGGTTCAAGCAATTCTTCTGCCTCAGCCTCTGGAGTAGCTGGGATTACTACTCCACCACGCCTGACTAATTTTTATATTTTTAGTAGAGATGGGGTTTCATCATGTTGGCCAGGCTGGTCTCAAACTCCTGACCTCAGGTGATCCACCCACCTCCCAAAGTGCTGGGATTGCACCACCATGCCCGACTAATTTTTATATTTTTCGTAGAGATGGGGTTTCACCATGTTGGCCAGGCTGGTCTCAAACTCCTGACCTCAGGTGATCCGCCCACCTCCCAAAGTGCTGGGATTACAGGCATGAGCCACCACACCTGGCCGATTCAATAAGTATTAATCTCCTTGATATAACAGGTTCTCTAGTTGGTGTAATGAACAAATCTACACTAATATCCCTGTCTCCTCCAACCTGACATTCTAGAAGAGAACATGAGAATAAGCAAAAATATACAGTAGATCATAGTGGTTATTCCTCAGGAAGGAGAGAAACCTGGAGTAGAGGGGGCAGGCCTGGGGTCTGTGTGTCTCTGCAAGCATCTGTTGGTATCTCTGGGCCATTTTTATCTGTGAGTTTGTGAGTTTATGTGTCTGTCTCTGGGTGTGTCCACCTGTGTGTACAGTGAAAATGGTTATGATCTCTTGTTGGTCTGGGAGGCTGTGGGGGCTGTGTGTGTATATTTTTTAATCTAGATTGCTTTCACTTCATTTTCTTGCCTGATTTCCCTGACAGCATCTCCCTTAACACATAGAGTAAAACTAGTTAGGGCCGGGCGCAGTAGCTCACGCCTGTAATCTCAGCACTTTGGGCGGCCAAGCGGGCAGACCACTTGAGTCCAGGAGTTTGAGACCAGCCTGACCAACATGGTGAAACCCCGTCTCTACTAAAAATACAAAAATTAGCTGGGTGCGGTGGCATCTGCCTGTAGTCCCAGCTACTTGGGAGGCTGGGACAGGAGAATCACCTGAACCTCTGGGAGGTGGAGGCTGCAGTGAACTGAGATGGTGACACTGCACTCCAGCCTGGACAACAGAGTGAGAACTCCGTCTCAAAAAACAACAGCAACAACAACAACCTGTTAGTGCATACATCCTTTTTTTCCTGATCCAGTTTTTCACCATCAAAATGATGTGGGTTTTTCATATATGGCATCAATTGAGATAATTGTCATTTTCCATCATTTTGCTAATGTGGTATATGACAATGATCAGTGTTCATATTTTCAACCATTTTTATGTTCCAAGAATAAATCTCACTTGGCTATGTTATGTAATGCTTTTAATATGTTGCTTCCTATGGTTTGCTGGTGTTTATTTCAGGATTCCTGCATCACCATTCACAGTAGGAATTAATGCAATCTTCCTTGCTGTCAAGCCATTTCACAGCTGCTTGTGAGTCCTGCCCTGAGACCTCAATTATGTAATAAGCCTTTTTATACTCACTCACTATGTTTCTGCCACATAGAACCACATGTTCTGCGTGTCAACATCAGAACCACGTTTTCAGGTGACACTGGCAGTTGTCACCATGAACAAGATGTCTGGATGCTGGTCACCACGCCACAGGTCTGTTCTCTCGTCCAGGTTGCTAACCTGCTCTGCTGCCCAGCAGCCAGTGTGTACTTTGAGCTGCTGCTTGCTGCCCTGTGTTGCATTGCTGAGGCCTAGCCAGCCTCAGTTCCGGATTCAGCTGAGGTAAGTCAGCAGTTTGCATAATTCCTTTACATTGAGGAGCAGAAGTATGGGATTGCAGCACCCCCCACCCCTTTTTTTTTTTTTGAGATGGAGTTTCGCTCTTGTTGCCCAGGCTGGAGTGCAATGGCACGATCTCCGCTCACCACAACCTCCGCCTCCCGGGTTCAAGCGATTCTCCTGCCTCAGCCTCTCAAGTAGCTGGAATTACAGGCAAGTGCCACCATGCCTGGCTAATTTTTTGTATTTTTAGTAGAGACGGGGTTTCTCCATGTTGGTCAGGCTGATCTCGAACTCCCAACCTCAGGTGATCCACCTGCCTTGGCCTCCCAAAGTGCTGGGATTACAGGTGTGAGCCACTGCACCCAGCTGATTGCAGCCCCTCTTACACAGTCCTGGGTCATATGTTTTGGCTGGGACCTAGCTGTGGTTTTTTTGTTTTTGTTTTAGTTTTTGTTTTTCTAGACAGAGTCTCACTGTGTCGCCCAGGCTGGAGTGCAGTGGCGGGTTCTTGGCTTACTGCAACCTCTGCCTCCCAGGTTCAAGTGATTCTCCTGCCTCAGCCTCCCAAATAGCAGGGATTACAGGAGCATGCCACCACACCCAGCTAATTTTTGTATTTTTAGTAGAGATGGGGTTTCATCATGTTGGCCAGGCTGGTCTCGAACTTATGACCTGAAGTGATCCATCCGCCTCGGCCTCCCAGAATTCTGGGATTATAGGTGTGAGCCACTGCACCCGGCCTAGCTGTGGCTGTGTATTTTAGAATGAAGCTGTGACTAATGCTGGGTATTGGCCTTCATCTAGGGTGCAGGCTGGTGGGGAGATTTTTTTTCTTCTGTGCAAGTTGTGGGCCCATCAAGTAGTCATTCCTGAAAAAGTAGTCATCTGAAAAACAGAAAGAACAAAAAGAGTGGGGACTGGGAAGCTGCTATTAGATGGTGTCTTGAGGTCCACACTCTCCAGGACCCTTAAATACCTCTGCTGCTGCTGTTGCTGCTCACGCCTCTAACGCAACAAAGACCCAGATCCTCCAAGGTTGTCAGAAATAACCCTCATGGCATCCTTTAGTTCAGCAAAGATGTTAGTTCAGACCTAAATAAAGCCTTGTGTCCTTAAACCACACAAAGCATCTCTCACCATGCAGGAGGCCCCTAACTGATAGTAGTTATTTGAAGATCTCTGGAGGAAAAAAAATAACACATGCTGTAGTAGAGAGGGCCCTCCCCTCCCCAGAGTATTTCCAGTGAGCAGAAAACAAAAAGTGAAGGAGAGCCGGGCGCGGTGCAACACGCCTGTAATCCCAGCACTTTGGGAGGCTGAGGTGGGTGGATCGTCTGAGGTCAGGAGTTCGAGATCAGCCTGGCCAACATACCGAAACACCGTCTCTACTGAAAATACAAAAAAATTAGCTGGGCCTGGTGGCGGGTGCCTATAATCCCAGCTGCTAGGGAGGCTGAGCCAGGAGAATCGCTTGAACCTGGGAGGCAGAGGTTGCAGTGAGCCAAGATCGCACCATTGCACTCCAGCCTGGGCAACAAGGGCGAAACTCCATCTCAAAAAAAAAAAAAAAAACCACAGTGAAGGAAGGAAGATAGATTTTTGTTTTCTTTATTCCAACAAAAAAACCTGAAACAAAAGTCCATAATTTGAGCCATTTGGAAACTGAATGTATACTAAAAGCGTCTGACAAAATTCAACACCCCTTTCTTGATTAAAAAAAGAACAACCTAACAAACTAGGAATAGAAGAAAAATACTCAACATAATAAAAGCCGTATTTGAAAACACAGCTAACACCATACTCAGCAGTAAAAGACAAAACTTTAAAAGGACACTCCTGTTGGACATACCACCGGCCCTCGCAGACCAATTAGATGATTAAAAAAAAAAAAGGCATCCATATTGGACAGGAATACGTAAAATTATCTCTTTTTGTTAATGGCAAGATCCCTGTGAAGAAATCCCTAAAGATTCCATTTTTAGGCCAGTCATGGTGGCTCATGCCTATAATCCCAGCACTTTGGGAGGCCGAGGAGGGCAAATTGCTTGAGTTTAGGAGTTCAAGACCAGCCTGGGCAACATGGTGAAACCCTATCTCTACAAAAAATACAAAACTTGGCCAAGCACAGTGGCTCACACCTGTAATCCCAGCACTTTGGGAGGCCGAGGTGGGTAGATCACTTGAGGTCAGGAGTTTGAGACTAGCCTGGCCCACATGCTGAAACCCCACCTCTACTAATAATACAAAAATTAGCTGGGCGTGGTGGCACGCACCTATAGTCCCAGCTACTCAGGAAAGCTGAGACATGAGAATTGCATGAACCCGGGAGGCAGAGGTTGCAGTGAACCGAGATTGTACCACTGTACTCCAGCCTGGCCAACAGAGACAGTTACAAAAAAAAAAAAAACTATACATATACACACACACACACACACACACACACACACAAATACAAAAATCAACCAAGTGTCGTGGCTCACACCTGTAGTCCCAGCTACTTGGGAGGCTGAGGCAGGAGGATCGCTTGAGGCCCAGAGGCAGAGGTTGCAGTGGGCCAAGATTGCTCCACTGCACTCCAGCCTGGGTGACAGAGCGACACCCTGTCTAAAGAAAAAAGAAAGATTCCATTTTTAAAACTTAAAATTAATGTAGTTCTTCAGTATCCCTGGGGAACTGGCTCCATTGTGCCCCTTGGTACCAAAATTTATGGAAACTCAAGGCCCTTATATAAAATGGCACAGTATTTTTATAGAAATGTCAACCTAAGGCCAGGCGTGGTGGCTCACACCTGTAATCCCAACACTTTGGGAGGCCGAGGCGGGCGGTTCATGAGGTCAGGAGTTTGAGATCAGCATGACCAACATGGTGAAACCCCATCTCTACTAAAAATAGAAACATTAGCCAGGTGTGGTGGCATGTGCCTGTAATCCCAGCTACTCAGAAGGCTAAGGCAAGAGAATCACTTGAACCCAGGAGGCAGAGGTTGCAGTTAGCTGAGATCATGCTACTGCACTCCAGCCTGGGTGACAGAGCAAGACTCCGTCTCAAAAAAAAAAAAAAAATTCCAACCTAAAAGAAAGAGGCTGAGGCACAAGTATAATTTAACAAGTTTACTGGAGCCAAAGAGAGAACAGCTTCCTGGGAGACTCGGACCCAAGTGACCTTGGATATGAACTCCGTTCCGCCTTTGTCACAAGCAGGCGTGTGTTTTGTTTTTTGTTTTTTGGTTTTTGGTTTTTTTTTGCGACAGAGTCTTACTCTATCACCCAGACTGGAGTGCAGTGGTGCAATCATGGCTCACTGCAACCTCCACCTCCTGGGTATAAGCGATTCCCCCACCTCAGCCTCCTGAGTAGCTGGGATTTCAGGCACCTGCCACCACACCCGGGTAATTTTTGTATTTTTAGTAAAGACAGGGTTTCACCGTGTTGGCTAGGCTGGTCTCAAACTTCTGACCTCAAGTGATCTGCATGCCTCTGCCTCCCAAAGTGCTGGGATTACAGGCATGAGCCACCACACCTGGCCACAAGCAGGTTTTTAAAGGCAAAATGGGGTACAGGGAGTGGCTGGTATAAAGTCGTCAGGAATTCTCATTGGCTTACAGAAATGACATTGATTAGTAATTGGCTATCCATTGTTAAGCTATAGGACATGGGTTATAGTGTCTGGTGCAGCATTAGCGGTTAATTTACAGCTACTTGTGATATACAAGTCCCCCATCTAAACCAAAACCAAAGAGGGTATCACTTTTACATGAGGATGTACGAAACTTCCCAGCTCAGGAAATCACCGAGCAAGTCCTGCAGATAGGGAAGGAAACCTCCCCTGCCCAATGGGGCAGATCCTTCAAAGAACTATGCCCAGAGGATCAGAAACATGCTTGGTTTATGGATGGATCCACCAAATACATTGGTGGGACCAGATACTAGAAGGCCATGGCTTATAATCCTGTTAAAAACATAAACATTTCTGATGAAGAAAGGGGTGGGAACAGCCAGTTAGCTGAACTAGTAGCCATCCTCCGAGCTATTCAAGAGGAGGCCAGAAGGATTTGTCACTTGTATACCAACTCTTGGTCAGTAGCAAATGGTCTTACTACCTGGAAACCCCAGTGGTAACAAAACAAATGGTTAGTTGGGAATAAAGAGGTTTGGGGAAAACAATACTGGGAAGATATCTGAATCCTGGCACACACTACCATTATCACTGTTTTCCATGTTGATGCTCATGCATCTCTGCTTTCTCTTGACAGACTATTTAATCAGCAGGATGATCAATAGGCCAAAGTTTCCACCATAACTGCAAACTTGAATACAGATGAATGGATTACAACGTGTTCAAGCCTTTCAATGACAGGCATTGTAATGTATGGTGGTGTAATTGATAGTGATTATTGGCCTAAATGCTACTAATCTAGTGGCCTAAATGCTCCACTTAAAAGACACAAAATGGCAGAATGGATAAGAGTTTACCAGACCAGGTGCAGTGGCTCATGCCTGTAATCCCAGCACTTTGGGAGGCTGAGGTGGGCGGATCACCTGAGGTTGGGAGTTTGAGACCGGCCTGACCAACATGGGGAAACCCTGTCTCTACTAAAAATACAAAAAAATTAGCCAGACATGGTGGTGAATGCCTGTAATCCCAGCTACTCAGGAGGCTGAGGTAACAGAATCGCTTGAACCCGGGAGGCGGAGGTTGCAGTGAGCGGAGATCACGCCATTGCACTCCAACCTGGACTAGAACTAAACTCCAACTCAAAAAAAAGATTTTACAAGCCAAATATCTGCTGTCTTCAAGAGACTCACCCAACACATAAGGACTCACTTAAACTTAAGGCAAAGGGTTGGAAAAAGGTATTCCATGCAAATGTACCCCAAAAGCTAGCAGTAGTAGCCATTCTTACATCAGACAAAACAGACTTTAAAACAAAAACAGTTAAAAAAAAAAAAAGACAACGAGGGACATTATATAATGATAAGAGGACTAGTCCAACAGGGAAATATCACAATCCTAAATATACATGCACCTAACACTGGAGCTCCCAAATTTATAAAATAATTACTACTAGACCTAAGAAATGAAATAGATGACAACACAATAATAATGAGGGACTTCAATACTCTACTGACAGCAATAGACAAGTCATCAGGACAGAAAGTCAATAATAACAACAACAACAACAAAAAATGGACTTAGAACTATATCCTAGAACAAATGGAGTTAAAAAATATTTACAGAAATTCTACCTAAGAACTGCAGAATATACATTTTATTCATCAGCACTTGAAACATTTTCCAAGATAGACATATGATAGGCCACAAGTCTCAATAAATTTAAGACAATCAAAATTATATCAACTATTTTCTCAGACTACAGTGGAATAAAAGTGAAAATCAACTCCAAATGAACCATCAAAACCATGCAAATACATGGAAATTAAATAAATTTTAGAAATTAAATACATGGAAATTAAATTAAAAATTAAAGATCAACCTGTTTCTGGATGAGCGTTGGATGAAATCAAGATGGAAATTTAAAAATTCTTTGAACTGGATGCGCCCGCCATGTCCATGGAGAGAGGCTGAGGCGGCCGAGCTCTGGCTGGAGGTACCGGAGCGCCAGGACAGCAAAGATGTCGGCTTCCTTAGTCCGGGCAACTGTCTGCGCTGTGAGCAAGAGGAAACTTCAGCCCACCTGGGCCCCCCTTACCCTGACACCTTCAGCAGTAAACAAGATAAAACAACTTCTTGGCCAGGCATGGTGGCTAACCCCTGTAATCTCAGCACTTTGGGAGGCCGAGGCGGGCGGATCACGAGGTCAGGAGATCGAGACTATCCTGGCTAACACGGTGAAACCCCATCTCTACTAAAAATACAAAAAATTAGCCGGGTGGGGTGGCGGGCACCTGTAGTCTCAGCTACTCAGGAGGCTGAGGCGGGAGAATTGCTTGAACCTGGGAGGCAGAGGTTGCAGTGAGCCGAGATCGCAGCTGGGCAACAGAGTGAGACTCCATCTCAAAAAAAAAAATTCCTTCATTATTGTTGTCATGCATTAAAGCCCAAGAAAGGCAGGCCTAGGAGAAACTTTTTGGTGGGCTTTTGTTACATCCCAGCCCTTATGTAAGGGCGCTGGCTTTTAATATTTAACTTAACCACTCAGTCAGTACTGAAACAGTTGTTATGGAGGCCTGCGTTAGTGAGACCTGGCCTGCCACAGTCTCACATTCTTCAGATAAAAGTTCTTTTCTCATAACCTACACTCATCTTCCTATATACTTTAAATCATCTGTAGGTTATTTATAATACCTAATACAATGCAACTGCTGTGTAAATAGTTTTTATAATAAGTCATTTAGGAGATAATAAGGGGGAAAAAAGCACATATTCATTACAGACACAGCCATCCAATTTTTTTCTGAATATTTTCAATTCGTAGCTGGTTGAATCCATAGATGCAGAACCCAGGAATATGGAGGGCTGACTCTATGGGATTTCAGCAAAGGCGAAAAAAACAAAATCAGCAAGAAAAATAATAATGAATTGTGTTTCTACACACTAGTGGTGACCAGGCAGAAAAGAAAATTAAGAAAACAATCCCATTTACAATGGCACAAAAACAAATACTTGAGAATAAATGTAACCAAGAAAATAAAAGACTTCTACACTGAAAGCTACAAAGCATTGCTAAAAGAAACTAAAGAGGCTGGGCGCAGTGGCTCACACCTGTAATCTCAGCACTTTGGGAGGCCGAGGCAGGTGGATCACCTGAGGTCAGGAGTTTGAGACCAGCCTGGCCAATAATGGTGAAACCCCGTCTCTACCAAAAATACAAAAATCAGCCGGGCGTGGTGGTGCGTGCATGTAGTCCCAGCTACTCAGGAGGCTGAGGCAGGAGAATCACTTCAACCCAGGAGGAAGAGGTTGCAGTGAGACAAGACCACACCACTGCACTCCAGCCTGGACGACAAGAGGGAAACTCCATCTCAAAAAAAAAAAAAAGAAAGAAAGATACAAATACCTAGAAAGACATCTGTGATATTATGAAATATTTATTTTGGTTTGTTCCTGTTTCCTTGGCCTACAGCTCCTAAAAGCCTTGGAATCAAAGTGATGTTGAGGTGACTAGTGACTGCGGGCCGTGCATAGCCTCAGGATGGGGTGGTTGCCAGGGGAAACAACCATGTGATTAGATGGTTAGGATACTCTGCTTCACCCCTGACTCCCCTGTGTTACTGGAAGGAAGGCCATGAGTGTGAGTTGTCCAGGTCCTTGGAGTTTTTGAACAAAGAACTGAAGAAAACACACAAAGGAACGAAACCCAGGACCGAAGCCGCAAATGCAAGGATTTATTAAAGGGAGAAAGCACATTACAGGGTGGAAGTGAGCCCGAGCAAGCAGCTCAAGGGACCAGTTACAAAGTTTTCTGGGTTTTAAGTACTCCTTTCAAGGTCCCCATCAGTTACCCCTTATCTGGATGAAGGATTTGGCTGGTGGCTAATTAAAGGCTGAGGTGAATTGGTGCCCTCTGAAGATGAAGGGATGGGCCATGCTTGGCCCGCAGCCAATCCAGGGCACTTTCCATCTGAGATGTTGGTGGAAGTGGGAGGGCTGGAGGGAAAGTAGCCTTCCATCCTTTGCTGCTCCAGGCTTGGGGAGATGGGGTTTTTTCTTTTGGTTTAGCTTTAGGCAGTTGGCGTTAATTGGCCTTAGATTCTCTGCCCCAAGACCTTGGTGTTTTCCTTTGACCCAGCTTTAGGAAGTCAGCACAAATTGGCCTTAAGTTCCCTGCCTCACCTGGAGGAGAGAGGTGCTGAAGTTTAAGTCTATCACCAATATCCAATGATGTAATCAAGCCGGGCGCTTGATTACATCATTTCTTCAGACCCCCAGTAAAATTTATTTAATCCTAATGGTCCTGTTAAGAATTCCAGGCTGGGCGCGGTGGCTCACGCCTGTAATCCCAGCACTTTGGGCAGCCGAGGCAGGTGTATCAGAAGGTCAAGAGATCGAGACCATCCTGGCCAACACAGTGAAACCCTGACCCTACTAAAAATACAAAAATTAGCCAGGCGTGGTGGCAGGCACCTGTAGTCTCAGCCACTCGGGAGGCTGAGGCAGGAGAATGGCTTGAACGTGGGAGGTGGAGGTTGCAGTGAGCCAAGATCGCACCACTGCACTCCAGCCTGGTGACAGAGCAAGACTCCATCTCAAAAAAATTAATTAATTAATTAACTGGCACGTGAGGTGAGGGCAGTCTTATGGCACTGGGACCTGAACCTGTGGAATCTGATGCTATCTCCAAGTAGCATCAGAATTTAGTTCAGTTAGGGGGCAGCCTCCTGGTGTCTGCTGGAGAGGAATGCTCTGCAGACTTGCTTGCTTGGTGTGTGTGGAAAGAGCCCCCACATCTGGTCGCAGAAGTGTTGCATGTTATTGTTTGAGAATAAGAAAAAGAACTATTGTGTTTTTCTGTATTCTCAGAGAATTCCATGCTCATAGATCAGATGACTTTATATTGTTTTTTTGTTTTTTGAGACAGTCTCACTGTGTCTCCCAGGCTAGAGTGCAGTGGCACGATCTCGGCTCACTGCAACCTCAGCCTCCTGGGTTCAACCAATTCTCCTGCCTCAGCCTCCTGAGTAGCTGGGATTACAGGCATGCACCACCACATCTGGCTAATTTTTGTATTTTTAATAGAGACAGGGTTTTGCCATGTTGGCCAGGCTAGTCTCAAACTGGCCTCAAGTGATCTACTGGCCTTGGCCTCCCAAAGTGCTGGGATTACAGGCGTGAGCCACTGCATCCAGCCCAGATGACTTAATATTGTTAAGATGTCTCCACTACCCAAAGTGGTCTACAGATTTAATACAATCTGCACCAAAATTTCAACTGCTATTTTGCAAAAATAGTATATATATACTCCCTGTTTTTGCAAAATACAAAAGGATGCCATTGAAATATCTGTACACACACACTCACCATCAGAGATCATAAGAGAAGTGCAAATTAAAAGCATAATGAGGTCGGGCATGGTGGCTGACGCCTGTAATCTCAGCACTTTGGAAGGCCGAGGCAGGTGGGTCATCCGAGGTCAGCAGTTTGAAACCAGCCTGGCCAACATGGTGAAACCCTGTCTCTACTAAAAATACAAAATTAGCTGGGCATGGTAGTACATGCTTGTAATCCTAGCTGCTGGGGAGGCTGAGGCAGGAGAATCGCTTGAACCAGGAGGCGTAGGTTGCAGTGAGCTGAGATCACGCCACTGCACTCCAGCCTGGGCAACAAGAAACTCTGTCTTAAAAAAAAAAAAAAAGCACATAATGAGATATTTCCTCACACCAATTAGAATGGCGAACATCAGAATAGCAGGCCAGAACTATAATAATAATAATAATAATAATAATAATAATAATAATAATTTAAAAAAAGAATAGCCGGCCAGGTGCGGTGGCTCATGCCTGTAATCCCAGCACTTTGGGAGGCCGAGGCAGGCGGATCACGAGGTCAGGAGTTCGAGACCAGCTTGACCAACATGGTGAAACAAAAATTAGCTGGGCATGGTGGCACATGCCTGTAATCCCAGCTACTCCGGGGACTGAGGCAGGAGAATCACTTGAACCCAGGAGGCGGCAGTTGCAGTGAGCTGCGATCATGCCACTGCACTCCAGCCTGGGCAACAGAGCAAGACTCCATCTCAATAAATAATACATAAATAAATAAAAAGTTTTGGTGAAGACATAGAGATATTGGGGTGCTTATGCATTGATGGTGGGATTGTAAAGTGGTGTAGCCATTATGAAAAACAGCATTGTGAAGAACAGGTTGTAAAAAAATGAAGGCCAGGCATGGTGGCTCACACCTGTAATCCCAGCACTTTAGGAGGCCAAGGCGGGTGGATCACGAGGTCAGGAAATCGAGACCATCCTGGCCAACATGGTGAAACCCCATCTCTACTAAAAATACAAAAATTAGCTGGGCGTGGTGGTGCGCACCTATAATTCCAGCTACTCAGGAGGCTGAGGCAGGAGAATGGCTTGAACCCAGGAGATGGAGGTTGCAGTGAGCCGAGATCATGCCACTGCACTCCAGCCTGGAGACAGAGTGAGACTCCATCTAAAAATAAATAAAAAAAAGAAAAATGGTATGACCATATGATCCAGTAATTCCACTTCTGGGTGTATATCCCAGAGATTTCACAACAAGATCTCAAAGAGAAGAGAAAGAAACTTTGTCAGTTGGTACGACACCGATGAACCCTGAGGACATTAGGCTGAGTGAAATGAGGCAGTCATCAAACAATAAATACTGTAGGATTCCATTCATATGGACTAGCTGAAGTAGTCAAAATGCAGAAACAGTGCAGCAAGGTTGTTGCTGAGAATGGGGGCTGTAGAATGGGGCTGGGGTGGTGGGCAGTTGGAAGTAGTGTTTAATGGATATAGATTTTAGGTTTTGCAAGATTGAAAAGGTCTGAAGATCTGTTGCCCAACAGTGTGAATAGATTTAACACTGCTGACCTATACACTTGGGGTTAACTTGGTATATTTAATTTTTTTTTCAGACAGAGTTTTGCTCTTGTTGCTCAGGCTGGAGTGCAGTGGCATGATCTTGGCTCACTACAAACTCCGCCTCCCAGATTCAAGCAATTCTCATGCCTCAGCCTCCCAAGTAGCTGGAATTACAGGCACACACCGCCATGCCCAACTAATTTTTGTATTTTTAGTAGAGATGGGGTTTCGCCATGTTGACCAGGCTGGTCTCGAACTCCTGACCTCAGGTGACCCACCTGCCTCAGCCTCCCAAAGTGCTGGGATAGACGTGAGCCACCATGCCCAGCCGTTATATTTAATCTTAAGAGTTTTTGCCACAAGAAAAAAATAATAAATCTTCAAACCTTTTAAATTTAAAAGAAACTACTAAACAGAATTTCCATGTGACATCAGTTTTTGTTGTAGGTAGAAATAAATAGAAACATATGTCCACACAAGACCTTGGGCATGAATGTTTATAGCAGTGTTATTCATGACAGCCAAAAGGTGGAAACCAAATAATCCATCATTGAATGCATGGATAAAATATGTAATAGCCAGACAATGGAAAATATTAATAATTCCATCATAAATCTAAATGATGTACAGGACCATACTACAACATGGATATCCCTTCAAAAAACTATAGTAAATGAAACCCAGTTAAAAATTCCCCGTATGGTATGATTTCATTCACATGAAAGTCCAGAGCAGAGAAATCTGCTGAGAAAGAAAGTCAATTGCTGACTGCCTAGGGCTGGGTGTTGAGTAAAAAAAATGGGAGGATTGGGGGAGTGGATACCTAAAGGGTACAGGGGTTTCTCTTTGAGGTGATGCAAATCCACTGTGGTGATGATTGCATGTATCTGTGAATATACTATACCTATGAATTATGCACTTTAACTGGGTGTATTGTGTAGGATATGTATATTTGAATAAAGTGGTTGAAATAAGTAAATTCATTAGGAGTTTTGGTCCAATTTAACAGTATTGAGTTTCCAGGTTTATGCCAAATTTACGTACCCCTTTTTTGTTTTTCTTTTTTCTTTTCTTTTTTTCTTTTTTTTCTTTTGAGACAGAGTCTTGCTGTGTCGCCCAGGCTGGAGTGTAGTGGCACAATCTCGGCTCACTGCAATCTCCACCTCCCGGGTTCAAGCGATTCTCCTGCCTCAGCCTCCTGAGTAGCTGGGATTACAGGCGCGCACCACCACGCCCGGCTAACTTTTGTATTTTTAGTAGAAGCAGGGTTTCACCAAATATATCGGCCAGGCTGGTCTCAAACTCCCGATCACAAGTGATCCGCCCACCTCGGCCTCCCAAAGTACTGGGATTACAGGCATGAGCCACCACACCCAGCCTTTTTTTTTTTTTTTTTTTTTTTTGGTGACAGTCTCACTCTGTCACCAAGGCTGGAGTGCAATGGCTCAATCATAGCCCACTGCAGCCTTCACCTCCTGGCTCAAGCAATCCTGTCACCTTAGCCTCCTGAGTAGGTGAGACTACAGAAGCAGGTGACCACACCCTGCTAATTTTTTTATTTTTAATACAGATGGGATTTCACTATGTTTCCCAGGCTGGTCTTGAACTCCTGGGCTCAAGCGATTGGCCTCCCAAAGTGCTGGGATCACAGATGTGAGCAAATGCGTGTGACCTGTTTTTCTTAAATATACCAGTGAGAATAGGAATTTGATTGCCTTGGAGATATCATGGCTTTTTACATTTCAAAATTCTCTTAAGAGTCAGGAGTGGTGGCTCAAACCTAGAATCCCTTTATTATATACGGTGACATCACTGTTAGATGTCTGTGTTTCTAAACAAGGGTGACAGTTTTTTTATATATTCAAGATAGTAGTTCTTTGCTGTATGTGTAGTTTGAAAATAGTTTCCCACTCAGGAGCTTATTTCATCATCTTAACTGGTTGTTTCTTTTCTCCTTTTTTTTTTTTTTTTTTTTTTGAGACAGAGTCTCACTCTGTTTCCCAGGCTGGAGTGCAGAGGCGCAATCTCAGCTCATTGCAACCTCCACCTCCTGGGTTGAAGCAATTCTCCTGCCTCAGCCTCCCAAGTAGCTGGGATTACAGTCGCCCGCCACCACACCCGGCTAATTTTTGTATTTTTAGTAGAGATGGGGTTTCACCATGTTGGCCAGGCTGGTCTCGAACTCCTGACCTCAAATAATCCTCCCACCTCGGCCTCCCAAAGTGCTGAGATTACAGGCATGAGCCACCGTGCCCAGCCTAACTGGGTGTTTCATAGAGCTAAAGGGTTTTTCATACAAAATTTTATTTTATCCATTTTAAGTGCACCATTCTGTGGCATGAATTATATTCATAATGTTAAACCATAACCATGCCAGGTGCACACCTGCAATCCCAGCACTTTGCGAGGTCAAGGCAGGAAGATGGCCTGCATCCAGGAGTTGGAGACCAGCCTGGGCAAAGGAGACCATCTCTACAAAAAAATAAACAAAAAAAAATTTAGCTGGGCCAGGCGCGGTAGGTCATGATTTGAATGAGGCCAGGCACAGATTACACGCCTGTAATCGCAGCTGAGATTACAGGAGGCTGAGGCACGAGAATCACTTGAACTTGGGGGTCAGAGGTTGCAGTGAGCCGAGATCGAGCCACTGCACTCCAGCCTGGGCAACAGAGCAGCGATACTCCGTCTTGAAAATAATAATAGTAGTTAAGTGTGTCCAGTTTACTGATTTTGAACTTTAAGCAAGACTCTGTCTCAAAAAAAAAATTGTGGGATATGCTGGACGAGGTGGCTCACGCCTGTAATCCCAGCACTTTAGGAGGCTGAGGTGGGTGGACCACTTGAGGGCAGGGGTTCGAGACCAGCCTGGCCAACATGGTGAAACCCCATCTCTACTAAAAATACAAAAAAAAAAAAATTAACCAGGTGTGGAGGCGCACGCCGGTAATCCCAGCTACTCAGGAGGCTGAGGCAGAAGAATCGCTTGAACCCGGGAGGCAGAGGTGGCAGTGAGCCGAGATCACACCACTGTACTCCAGCCTGGGCAACAGAGCAAGACTGCATCTCAAAAAAAAAAAAAAAAAAAAAAAGCGGGGGTGGGGAGGATATAGCAAAAACAGTGCTTAGAGCTACATTTAGAGCATTGGATATATACATCAGAAAAGAAATATTTAAATCAGTAATGTAATCTTGGGCTGGCGCAGTGGCTCACGCCTGTAATCCCAGCACTTTGGGAGGCCGAGGCGGGCGATCACGAGGTCAGGAGATCGAGACCGTCCTGGCTAACACGGAGAAACCCCGTCTCTACTAAAAATACAAAAAATTAGCCGGGCGTGGTGGCTGGCACCTGTAGTCCCAGCTACTCGGGAGGCTGAAGCAGGAGAATGGCGTGAACCTGAGAAGCGCAGCTTGCAGTGAGCCGAGATCGCACCACTGCACTCCAGCCTGGGTGACAGACCAAGACTCCGTTTCAAAAAATAATAATAATAATGTAATCTTCCACCTTAAGAAACTAGAGAGGGCCGGGCGGGCGTGGTGGCTCACGCCTGTAATCCCAGCACTTTGAGAGGCTGAGGCAGGCAGATCACAAGGTCAAGAGTTAGAGACCAGCCAGACCAACATGGTGAAACCCCGTCTCTACTAAAAATACAAAAATTAGCCAGGCGTGGTGGCGGGTGCCTGTAATCCTAGCTACTCGGGAGGCTGGGGCAGAGAACCACTTGAACCCAGGAGGCAGCGGTTGCAGTGAGCCGAGATTGCACCACTGCACTCCAGCCTGGGCAACAGGGCGAGACTCCATCTCAAAAAAAAAAAAAAGAAAGCCGGGCGTGGTGGCTCATGCCTGTAATCTCGGTCCTTCGGGAGGCCAAGACAGGCGGATCACCTGAAGTCAGGAGTTCGAGACCAGCCTGACCAACATGGAGAAACCCCCGTCTCTACTAAAAATACAAAATTAGCCGGGCGTGGTGGCACATGCCTGTAATCCCAGCTACTCAGGAGGCTGAGGCAGGAGAATCACTTGAACCCGGGAGGTGGAGGTTGTGGTGAGCCGAGATCACGCCATTGCACTCCAGCCTGGGCAAAAAGAGTGAAACTCTGTCTAGAAAAAAAAAAAAAAAAAAAAAAAACTAGAGAGAAAAAGAGCAGTATAAACTTTTATCTGGCCAGGTGCAATGGCTCCACCTGTAATCCAAACACTTTAGGAGGCCAAGGCAGGTGGATCACTTAAGGACAGGAGTTCGAGACCAACCTAACCCATATATCAAACCCCATCTGTACTAAAAATACAAAAAATTAGCAGGCAGTGGTGGCTCAAGCCTATAACCCCAGCTGCTCGGGAGGCTGAGGCATGAGAATTGCTTGAACCCAGGAGGTAGAGATTGCAGTGAGCTGAGAGCACACCATTGCACTCCAGCCTGGGCAACAAGAGCGAAACTCTGTATAGATAAGACAGATAGATAGACAGACAGACAGACAGATAGACAGATGATAGATAGATAGATAGCCAAGTGTGGTTGATAGAGCCTGTGGTCCCAGTTACTTGGAAGTCTGAGGCTGGAGGATCGCTTGAGCCCAGTTTAAGGCTACAGTGAGCCATCATCACGCCACCACACTCCAGATAGAGTGAGACCATCTCTAAAATTAAAAATAAATTCCAATCCTGGAACACCCTGTTTAACTTACATTGGGCCACGTAAACTTATTTAAACTGGTGGGGTCTCAGAGTTCCCATTTCTTTGTAAATGATAAAGATTTAGTATTTTTTTAAGAGACCAGGTCTCACTATATTGCCCAGGCTAGTCACAAATTCAGGCCTCAAGTTATCCTCCTGCCTCAGAGGCCACAGGCACACGCCACCACACCCAGCTAATTTAATTTTTTAAGATATGGGGGTCTCTGGGACAGGCGCAGTGGCTTATGCCTGTAATCCCAGCACTTTGGGAGGCCGAGGCAGGCAGATCACCTGAGGTCAGGAGTTTGAGACCAGCCTGACCAACAGGGCAAAACCCCATCTCTACTAAAAATACATAAATTAACTGGGCGTGGTGGGAGGGGCCTGTAATTCCAACTACTCAGGAAGCTGAGGCACAAGAATTGCTTGAACCCGGGAGGTGGAAGTTGCAGTGAGCCGAGATCATGCCATTGCACTCCAGCCTGGGCGACAGAGTGAGACTCCATCTAAAAAAAAAAAAAAAAAAAAAAAGATATGAGGTCTCATAACTTTATGAGTAGCTGTAGCCCCAGCTACTCTGGAGGCTGAGGCAGGAGAATCGCTTGAACTCGGGAGGCAGAGATTGCAGTGAGCCGAGATCGCGCCATTGCACCCCAGCCTGGGTGACAGAGCGAGACTCCATCTCAAAAAATATATATATATAAATACATATTTTAAATTATATTTATATATAAATATATTTTAAATTATATTTATATATAAATATATAAATATAATTTAAAATATATTTATATATAAATATATATATTTTAAATTATATTTCTGTATAAATATATATAAATATATAACAAATATATAATTTATTTATATATAAATATATAACAAATATATAAATTATTTATATATATAAATATATAAATTATTTATATATATAAATATATAAATAATTTATATATATAAATATATAAATAATTTTATATATTTATAAATAAATAATTTATTTATATATAACATAAATATATAATTTATATATAAATATATAACATAAATATATAATTTATTTATATATAAATATATAACATAAATATATAATTTATTTATATATAAATATATAACATAAATATATAATTTATATATAAATATATAACATAAATATATAATTTATATAAAAATATATAACATAAATATATAATTTATATAAAAATATATAACATAAATATATAATTTATATAAAAATATATAACATAAATATATAATTTATATAAAAATATATAACATAAATATATAATTTATATATAAATATATAACATAAATATATAATTTATATATAAATATATAACATAAATATATAATTTATATAAAAATATATAACATAAATATATAGTTTATATAAAAATATATAACATAAATATATAGTTTATATATAAATGTATAACATAAATATATAGTTTATATATAAATATATAACATAAATATATAGTTTATATATAAATATATAACATAAATATATAGTTTATATATAAATATATAATAAATATATAGTTTATATATAAATATATAATAAATATATAGTTTATATATAAATATATAATAAATATATAGTTTATATATAAATATATAATAAATATATAGTTTATATATAAATATATAATATATAGTTTATATATAAATATATAATAAATATATAATTTATTTATATATAAATATATAATATAGTTTATTTATATATAAATATAAATATATTATTTATATATAAAAATATAAATTTATATATAAATAATATATTTATATATAAATATATAATTTATGTATATATAAATATATAATTTATTTGTATATATATAATTTATTTGTATATAAATATGTATATATATAATTTATTTGTATATAAATATATAATTTATTTGTATATAAATATATAATATAAATATATAATTTATTTGTATATATATAATTTATTTGTATATATATATAATTTATTTGTATATAAATATATAATTTATTTGTATATAAATATATTAATTTATTTATATATATAAATATATATTTAGATATAAAAATATATTAATATATTTATATATTATATTATATATAATTTTTATATATTTATATATAAATATATTAATATATAAATATATAACATATATAAATATATTAATATATAAATATATAACTTATATATAAATATATATTAATGTAATATATAAATATATATTAATGTAATATATAAATATATATTAATGTAATAGATAAATATATATTAATGTAATAGATAAATATTAATGTAATAGATAAATATATAATTTATTTATATATTAATATAAATAAAAATATATTAATATTTAATATAAATAAAATATATTATATATATATATATTTAAAAATGTATCAGGTGGGCCTTAGTCCCCAGGAGGGAGGGAAAGCAGTAGGGATGGAGTGCCGGTAGGGATGGAGTGCCAAGGGCCTGGGCTCTGCCTGCCTGGGGGAATCCGTTGGTGTCACTGGGACATTACTCTGGAGGGCTTGTGAGTTGGTTGTGTCTGCAGCTGTATGTGCAGTGACAAGGTCGTGATTTTGTTTGTCTGAAGGGCTATGTGTGTATGTCCATTTTATATATTTTTTATTATTTTGTTTTATTTTGGAGACATAGTCTTGCTGTGTCCCAGGCTGGAGTGCAGTGGCACGATCTCGGCTCACTCCAACTTCATCTCCTGGGTTCAAGCGATTCTCGTGCCTCAGCCTCCCTAGTAGCTGGGATTACAGGTATGTGTCACGACGCCTGGCTAATTTTTGTATTTTTAGTAGAGACAGGGTTTCGCCATGCTTGCCAGGCTGGTCTCGAACTCCTGACCTCAAGTGATCTGGCCGCCTCAGCCTCCCAAAGTGCTGGAATTGCAGGTGTGAGCCACCATGCCCAGTCCTTAATGATTTTTAAGCGTACAGATCAGTAATACCAACTATACTAACCTGGGGTTGCAACCAATCTCCAGAAAGTTTTCATCTTGCAAAACTGAAACTCTGTACCCACTGAATAACAGCTCCTCACTTCCCCCTCTCCTCCTTACCTGCTAGCAGCTAACATTCACTTTCTGATTTTATGAATTTGACAATTTTCCATGGATCATCTGTGTAGGATCACACAGTATTTGTCTTTTCGCGAGTGGCTTATTTCTGCATAATGTCCTCAAAGTTCATCCATGTTGTAGCATGTAAAAGGATGTCCTTTTATAAGGCTAAGGAATATTACATTGTTTGCATATACAATTTTTTTTTTTTTGAGGCAGGGTCTCCATTGCCCAGGCTCGAGCGCAGTGGCACAATCACAGCTCACTGCAGCCTCGACCTCCTGGGGTCAAGTGATCTGCCTGTCTTGGCTTCCCAAAGTGTAAGCCACTGCGCCCGACCAGTATATCCTTAAAAATGAAGGGAGTCGTGGCCGAGCGCAGTGGCTCACGCCTATGATCCCAGCACTTTCGGAGGCCGAGGCGGGTGGATCACAAGGTCAGGAGTTAGAAACCAGCCTGGCCAACATGGTGAAACCCCGTTTCTACTAAAAATACAAAAAATTAGCCGGGTGTGATGGAGCACGCCTGTAATCCCAGCTACTCTGGAGCCTAAGGCAGGAGAATCCCTTGAACCCAGGAGGCAGAGTTTGCAGTGAGCCAAGATCGCACCATTGCACTCCAGCCTGAGCGACAGAGCAAGACTCTGTCTCAAAAAATAAAAAATAAAAATGAAGGGAGTCGTGGCTCACACCTGTAATCCTAGCACTTTGGGATGCTGAGGCAGGCAGATCATGAGGTCAGGAGTTCGAGACCAGCCTAGCCAACATGGTGAAACACTGTCTCTACTAAAAATACAAAAATTAGCTGGGCGTGGTGGTGCATGCCTGTAGTTCCAGCTACTCAGGAGGCTGAGGCAGAAGAATCACTTGAACCCAGGAAGCAGAGGTTACAGTTAGCCAAGATCGTGCCAGTGTACTCCAGCCTGGGCGACACAGCAAGACTCTGTGTCAAAGAATAGTAATAATAATAATGAAGGGAGTCTCTTGTAGGTAGCTTATAGTTCAGTAGTGTTTTTCATGTGTTTTAAAAATCTATTCAGCCACTCTATATATTTTGATTGGAAATTTAATCCATTTACATTTAAAGTAATTGTTGGCCAAGCATGGTGGCTCACACCTGTAATCTCAGCACTTTGGGAGGTTGAGGCAGGCAGATCACTTGAGGTCACAAGACCAGCCTGGCCAACATGGTAAAACCCTGTCTCTACTAAAAATACAAAAATTAGCCAGGTGTGGTGGCATGTGCTTGTAACCCCGGCTACTCAGGAGGCTGAGACAGGAGAATCGCTTGAACCTGGGAGGCAGAGGTTGCAGTGAGGTGAGATCATGCCACTGCACTCCAGCCTGGGCGACAGAGCGAGAACTTGTCTCTAAATAAATAGAGGCCAGGCATGGTGGCTCACGCTTGTAATCCCAGCATTTTGGGAGGCAGAAGCAGGCAGATCACCTGAGGTCAGGAGTTCGAGATCAGCCTGGCCAACAAGGTGAAACCCCGTCTCTACTAAAAATACAAAAATTAGCTCAGTGTGGTGGTAGGCACCTGTAATCCCAGCTACTCAGGAGGCTGAGGCAGGAGAATGGCGTGAACCAAGGAGGCGGAGGTTGCAGTGAGCTGAGATCGCGCCAGCCACTGCACTCCAACCTAGGCAACAGAGTGAGACTCTGTCTCAAAAAATAATAAAATAAAATAAAATAAAAAATAAAGTAATTGTTGATAGGTTAAGACTTACTATTCCCATTTTAACTGTTTTCTCACTGTTTTATAGATCCTTTGTTCCTTTCTTCCTCTTTCTGTCTCTCTTTGAGAGTTAATGATTTTCTGCTTTGATTCCTTTCTCTTTTGCGTATCTGCTATAGGTTTTCTCTTCTGGGCTACCATGAGGGTTACATAAAGAATCTTAGCTCTCGAAGTCTATTTTAAGCTAATAACAACTTAACTGATTGCATACAAAGGCCCGGCAGTTTTACTCCGTCCCGCCCCCCCACCCCCACAATATGGACATTTCATTTCATGAGTCTCATGTGAGACTTTTGACTTTTGAGTTAATGCTGGAATGAGTTAAGACTCTGGGTGACTATTGAGAAGGGATTATTGTATTCTGCAATATGAGAATATGAGATTTGGAGGGATAGGGGTGGAATTATATGACTTAGATGTGTCCTCTCCAAATCTCTTGTTGAAATGTGGTCCCCAGGCTGGGCACAGTGGCTCACACCTGTAATCCCAACACTTTGGAAGGCCAAGGCGGGCGGATCACGAGGTCAGGAGATCGAGACCAGGCTGACCAACATGGTGAAAACCTATCTCTACTAAAAATACAAAAATTAGCTGGGCGTAGTGGTGTGCCTGTAATCCCAGCTACTTGGGAGGCTGAGACAGGAGACTCACTTGAACCCAGGAGGTGGAGGTTGCAGTGAGCCAAGATCGCGCCATTGTACTCCAGCATCGGCGACAGAGCAAACCTCCATCTCAAAAAAAAAAAAAAAAAAAAAAAAAAAAAGAAATGTGATCCCCAGTGTTGGCTGTTGGGCCTAGTGGGAAGTATCATACCATTGGGGCTGATCCGTCATGAATGGCCTAGCACCATCCCTTAGGGATGAGTGAATGCTCACTCAAGAGAGTCTGAGACCTCCCCCTCTCTCTCCCTTGCTCCTACTCTTGCCTTGTGACATACCTACTCCCACTTCACCTTCTGCCAAGAGTAAGAGCTCTGAGGCCTCACCAGAAACCCAGCAGATGTGATACCATGCTTCCTCTATAACCTGCAGAATCGTGAGCCAATGAAATCTCTACTTTACAAATTACCCAGTGTCAGGCATTGCTTTACAGCAATGCAAAACTGACTAAACACCACAGGATCTTTGGGAGGCTGAGGCGGGCAGATCACCTGAGGTCAGGAGTTCGAGACCAGCCTGGCCAACATGGTGAAACCTGACCTGTACTAAAAATACAAAAAATTAGCCAGTCGTGGTGGAGGGCACCTGTAATCCCAGCTACTTGGGAGGCTGAGGCAGGAGAATCACTTGAACCTGGGAGGCGGAGGTTGCAGTGAGCCAAGATTGTGCCACTGCACTCCAGCCTGGGCAAGAAGTGTGAAACTTTGTTTCCAAAAAAAAAAAAAGGGGATCATCCCAATAGATGCAAAAAAGTTCAATACAACTTGATGAAACACTCAATAAATAATGAACAGAAGGGAACTTCTTCAAACTGAATTAAGGCATTTATTAAAAACCTGCAGCTAACATCATACTTGATCAGGAGACTAAATGCTTTCTCCATCAGATTAGATAAAAATATTGTCATATCACAGGGCTATCCTTAAGTCAAAATGAACCATCCAAATAATACTCAGAAATAACGACAAAGAGTAAAGAGCAAAAAATGGGAATGATTCACATGAGACAATACTCTATGGTAAACTTTACATACTGATAAATTGATACCAAGTCCTTATTAGCAAAGAAAATGGAGTCAACATTGTATCATGCCAAAAAGAGTAGTTTTCCCCATAATAAAGGAAAGTGGAATACATATGATGGGTGAGGAATATGCAGAATCTGCCACATAACACCAGTAAGAAATCTCTATTAATAAAGACTCATGGGCCGGTCGCAGTGGCTCACTCCTGTAATCTCAGCACTTTGGGAGGCCAAGGTGGGGTGGATCACAAGGTCAGGAAATCAAGACCATCCTGGCCAGTACAATGAAACCCCGTCTCTACTAAAATACAAAAAATTAGCCAGGCATGTCGGCACGCGCCTGTAGGAGGCTAAGGCAGGGGGATTACTTGAACCCGGGAGGTGGAGGTTGCAGTGAGCCAAGATCGCGCCACTACACTTCAGCCTGGCGACAGAGCAAGACTCAGTCTCAAAAACAAAAGAAAACAAACAAAAATAGACTCATTTTGTAATGGCCCATTCATCACAGAACAATTAAACACTACATAAAAATTAAACCTGCTTACATATTAGAAATAAATTTCACTTCACCCACAGATCCAACACTTTAAAATGGATAGAAAAAAATGAAAACCAAAATGGATAGAAAAAAATTTTATTAACTAACTTAGGATAAAAACACTTCCTATTAAACCTCAGGTACCACTGCTTAAAGAGTATCATTCTCACATTTCCTTGCAAAAGTGGAAACCCATAATCCAAAGATCCTTTTTAAGAATGAGTCACAGGGGCCGGGCAAGGTGTCTCATGCCTATAATCTCAGCACTTTGCGAGGCTGAAGAGGATGGATTCCTTGAGGTCAGGAGTTCAAGACCAGCCTGGCCAATGTGGAAAAACCCTGTTTCTACAAAAATACCAAAAATTTAGCTGGGCATGGTGGCGTGCGCCTGTAATCCCAGATGCTTCGGAGACTGAAGCAGGAGAATTGCTTGAACCCAGAAGTCAGAGGTTACAGTGAGTCAAGATCGCGCCACTGCACTCTAGCCTGGGCAACAGAGTGAGACTGTGTCTCGGGAAAAAAAAAAAAGGCCAGGCGCGGTGGCTCACACCTGTAATCTCAGCACTTTGGGAGGCCAAGGAGGGCGGATCACAAGGTCAGGAGTCTGAGACCAGCCTGAACCACATGGTGAAGCCCCGTCTCTACTAAAAATACAAAAAAATTAGCCAGGCGTGGTGGCATGTGCTTATAATCCCAGTTACTCAGGAGGCTGAGGCAGGAAAATTGCTCACACCCAGGAGGCGGAGGTTGCAGTGAGCCGAGATTGTGCCACTGCACTCCAGCCTGGGCGACAGGGCAAAACTCCATCTCAAAAAAAAAAAAAAAAAAGAAAGAAAAAAGAATGAGCCACTGATAAATGCTATATATTTATAACTTTGTGTAATAACTCATTCATGATTAAGTTTTTGAGCATTATATAATAATTAATTTGCATCAGGCTTTCAAAATTACTTACGTTTATAGGATTTCTTTCGAGTGGATGTTCTCACATGATTAATTTTTTTAGACAGGGTCTCACTGTTGCCCAGGCTGGAGTCCAGTGGCGCAATCTCCACTCACTGCAACCTCGACCTCCCAAACTCAAGCAATCCTCCCACCTCAGCTTCCTGAGTAGCTGGGACTACAGGCGAACACCATCATCCCTGGCTAACTTTTCTATTTTTTGTATACATGGGATTTCTCCAGGTTGCCAGGCTGGTCTTGAATACCTGGCCTCAAGCAATCTACCCACCCCAGCCTCCCAAAATGCTGGGATTACAGGGGAGAGCCACTGTGCACAGCCCATGTGAATTTTAATTATTGTTAAAATGGAAGTTTCCTGTATTTTCCAAACTACTAACGTTTCCATCCAGTGTGTATTCTTCGATTCATACCATCCATCTCCAGTGTGCACTGACACGTGTCTTTGAATGGAGATGAGAGCAATGAGAGTTTCCCCATATTCTGTACATTTCTACAATTTTTCTCCAGTATGAGTCCTTTTATGGCTCTGAATAGAACTGGAATATCTGAGGTCTTTGGATTTTTTTCCAGTTAGTCTTTTCATATCTTTGGAAACTGAATGTATTCCCATATTCCTTACATTCATAGGATTTCTCTCCTGTATAAATGAGAATTATTTCTTTCCCTTTTTTTCTGAGACAGAGTGTCACCGTCATCCAGGCTGGAGTGTAGTGGCACGATCTCAGCTCACTGCAGCCTCAACCTCCCAGGCTCAAGGGTTCCTCCCACCTCAGCTTTCTGAGCAGCTAGAACTACAGGGATGCACCACCTCACCCAGTTAATTTTTTTTTTCTTTGGAGATATGGGGCCTTCTTTTTTTTGTTTGTTTTGAGACGAAGTCTCGCTCTGTCACCAGGCTGGAGTGCAGCGGCGCGATCTCGGCTCACTGCAACCTCCAAGTCCCTGGTTCAAGCAATTCTCCTGCCTCAGCCTCCCGAGTAGCTGGGACTACAGGCACACACCACCACGCCTGGCTAATTTTTGTATTTTTAGTAGAGACGGGGTTTCACCATGTTGGCCAAGATAGTCTCCATCTCTGGACCTCGTGATCCACCCACCTCGGCTTCCCAAAGTGCTGGTTTTACAGGCATGAGCCACCACGTGATATGGGGCTTTTTTGTGTGTGTGTGTGATGGAGTCTCACTTTTGTCGCCCAGGCTGGAGTGCAATGGCGTGATCTCGGCTCACTGCAACCTCCACCTCCCAGGTTCAAGCGATTCTCCTGCCTCGGCCTCCCGAGTAGCTGAGATTACAGGTGCCCACCACCATGCCCAGTTAATTTTTTTGTATTTTTAGTAGAGACGGGGTTTCACCATGTTGGCCAGGCTAGTCTTGAACTCCTGACCTCAGGTGATCCACCCGCCTCAGCCTCCCAAAGTGCTGGGATTACAAGCGTGAGCCACCGTACCCAGCCGATATGGGGCCTTCTTATGTTGCCCAGGCTGGTCTCAAACTCCTGGGCTCAGGTGATCCCCCTGCCTCCTGCCAAAGCACTGGCTACGCCCGGCCAAATGAGTTCTTTCATGAAGTCTAAGGTAATTTGAAAAAGTAAAGACTTTACCACACTGTTTACAATCAAAGGGTTTTTCTCCAGTGTGAGTCATTTCATGTCTTCGGAGGGAACTGCACCACCCAAAGGCTTTACCACACCTTGTACATTCATATGGCTTTTCTCCACTATGAGTTTTTTTATGTCTTCGAAAACAACTGGGATAATTGAAGGTTTTACCACATTTATTACATTCATAAGGTCTTTCTCCAGTGTGAGCTCTTTCATGTGCTTGAAGGGACGTGGGACATCTAAAGACTTTGGCACATTTTTGACATTCGTAGAGTTTTCCTCCACTATGAGTTCTTTCATGTCTGTGAAGGGAACTGGAACAACTGAGTTTTTTCCCACATTCCTGACATTGGTGGGATTTCTCCAGCGCGTGAGATCTGATTTCATGTGTCCGAAGGTAACCTGCGGAAATGAAGGCTTTACCACATTGTTTACATTTGTAAGGTTTTTCTCCAGTGTGAGTTCTAACATGAATTTGAAATAAACTGGGATAATCGATAGGTTTTCCACAGTATTTACATTCATAGCGTTTTTCTCCAGTATGCATTTTTCCATGTTTTCGAAAGAAACTGGAAACTGTGAAGGCTCTCACTATTTCCCTACATTTATAGGACCTCTTTCCAGTGTGAGTTCTTTGATGGATTTGAAATAAATTGGGAGAATTAAAGGCTTTCCCGCACACCTTGCATTCATAAGGTCTCTTTCGAGTTGGTGTTACTGTGCGCCGTGCACCACTACTGGGGGAAATGGAGGCTTTCCCATGTTGTTTCTGTTTACGGGGCGTCTCTCTCCATTCCCCACCACACTCAGATCGTTTGTGTCCAGCATGAGCTCTCATGTGCCTGTCCAGGAATGAATGACGGAGGAAGACTTTCCCACACACGCTGCATTTGCATGGTTTCACTCCAGTTTGACTTTTCTTGTTCAGGTGACAATCAGGAATCTGGCTGAAAGTTTCTCTGTGTTCATTCCCTTCTTTACGTCCACAGAGTCTCTCCACCAGACTTCTATGAAAAATGACAAACGCATTATCAATGCTTGGTTTATTAATGCTTTTCTACTAATTGACATGTCTTAAGACTTATGCTGCTACCAAAATCAGGAAAAGTGGAGGTTTTCTCCTGGGTCAGAATTATTAGAAAGGAAGTGTATTGATGATTCTGCTACCCAGCTCCCCATAGCAGTTATCCAAACAGTGACATCCATGTCACAGATTCTTAGTACCCTGTCCAGACACTCAACATCTACATTACATTGAAGGATAGATTTTTGGTAGCAATCTTCTAATAATCAGTTAAAAACCTAACATTGTACTTATTTGTCTTGTATTTTTTTAAAAATTTTCCTGACCTACTAAGATTCCCTCAAGAGACACTGCTTCCTCTTGTGAGTGGAGATTACCTTAGCTTAATCCCCAGGTTTTGGTACAGATTCTCAATGTCCTGGTCTTTCCATTGGATTCCTAAAATGTAGACCCAGAGAAATTATTATGAATTATTTAAAATTACAGAAAAATCACTAGGTTCTAAGTTCATTAAACACTGCCACAATGCCTGATTTTTTTTTTTTTTTGGAGACAAAGTCTCACTCTGCCACCCAGGCTGGAGTGCAGTGATGCAATCTCTGCTCACTGCAGCCTCCGCCTCCTGAGTTCTAGTGATTCTCCTGCCTCAGCCTCCCGAGTAGCTGGGATTACAGGTATGCACTACCACACCCAGCTAATTTTGTATTTTTAGTAGAGATGAGGTTTCGCCATGTTGACCAGGCTGGTCTCAAACTCTTGACCTCAGGTGATCCACCTGCCTCAGCCTCCCAAAGTGCTGGGATTACAGGCAGGAGCCATCACACCCAGCAATACTTCTGCATTTCTCAACATTATCTCAACATTATCCCAAAGTGCTGGGATTATAGGCATGAGCTGCCACAATTGCCCACCCCCCACTTTTTTTTTTTTTTTTTAAAGAGACAGGGTCTCATCATGTTGCCCAGGCTGGTCTCAAACTCCTGGACGCAAGCAATCTTCCCACCGTGGCTTCCCAAAGCACTAGGATTACAAGGGTAAGCCACTGTACCTGGCCCACGATGCCCCATTTATTCACCAACGTATTCTCTTTCCACATTCCAAACTGTGCAACCACACTGGTGACCAAAACACACTTGTCTTCTAATTGACTAAGGAAGGAAATGTCCTTCTTACCGACCGAGGCCAGGTTCCTGAAGGTTTCCAGCGTCACATCTCTGTAGAGATTCTTCTGGGAAGGACTCAGCAAAGCCCACTCCTCCTGGGTGAAGTTCACAGCCACATCCTCAAAGGCCACTGAGTCCTGAAACATCCCACAGGTGTGGAGGAGGAGGGGTGAGACTCAGCACTGGGGATCTCTACTCAATACATGAGTGATCCCATGACGCCGGGCTCTCCAAACACTCACTCCATGATTGAGTCATCGGCCTCCTCCTATCTACACGCACTTCCTCCCTCGCAGCAGTTCCAGTGTGAGAACTGACCTACTCAGAGAGCCAGCCACAGAGGAGGACCACCCTCTCTGTGGTGGGTCCAGGGAGTCAGTTGTGCTGCTGCGTTGCCCCAAATGCTCTTTGCAGAGTGAATCTCTAGTACCTGTCACAACAAACTCCCACCACCTGGTGTGCAGACAGCGCTCATTTCAGCAGTCCTGAGTCTGGGTATCCTTAGAAAGGCCTGTTTACCAAGTTCGACCTTTGCTACTATCGGGGTCAACTTAGACTACGAGAGGGATCCCATCAACTTAAGTGACAAAGTGGCTTACTGTGGCTAAACGGTTTATGGTATTGACAAACAGGATGGTACTGACTGAACTGTTTTCCTTCTGAAAGCCTACTCTTTTGTTCCAAACTAGAAGTGGTGCCTAGGGCACTAGCCCCAGAAAAACACTCTGGGCACAGAGTCTTTAATGAGCTTTCCTGGGAGACAATATGTCACACGTGTTGTCACAACTTGTCCCCTGGGGAACTGAGCTCATCCCATGTGGTTATACCAAGAGAGAATATCCTGAAGCTTGCAAGCAGTTTACTCTAGACCAAATTTAATCAAGTAGTAAATAAGATTCATGATCAATATTTAATTGTCCTAATGGAAGAATTTTAAAATTTCTGTCAGGTAATGTCAAAGCAGTATGGAGTAAGTGGAAAGATAACATGTGTTCCTAGAAAAAACTCAATAAGATGTCCCTTCTTCCAAATGATATCCTTACAAAATTTCATAAATACCCAATACAGCTGGGTGTGGTGACTCACACCTGTAATCCCAGCACTTTGGGAGGCCGAGGCAGGTGGATCACTTGAGGACAGGAGTTTGAGACCAGCCTGGCCAACATGGTGAAACCCCATCTCTACTAAAAATACAAAAAATTAGCCAGGCGTGATGGCGCATGCCTGTAGTCCCAGCTATTTGGGAGGCTGAGACAGAAGAATCACTTGAACCCAGGAAGCGGAGATTACAGTCAGCTGAGATCATGCCACTGCACTCCAGCCTGGGCAACAGAGCGAGACGCCGTCTCAAAAAAAAAAAAAAATCCCCAAAACAGACATTTTAGGTAAACAAAAGCTACTTTTCCAAACCTCCCACCACCTGGTGTGCAGGAATTAACATCTAATAATTGTCAAAGCCTTCTGAATAGCAGGTGGATGGCTTACCTAACACCAAAGATTTCCAAACCATCACATTCAGGACAGCATACTATTAGCAGAGAGATAAACAAATAGATCAAGGAAAAAGAAGAGTCTTCAATGGGCCAGTATTCATATGAAAACTTGGTTAATAACAGAGCAGGCATGTAGAGTAGTAGGGTGGACCACTTGAGGTCAGGAGTTAAAGACCAGCCTGGCCTACATAGTGAAAACTGGTCTCTATTAAAAATAGAAAAATTAGCCTGGCATGGTGGGCCTGGGCAACAGAGCAAGACTCCACCTCAAAAAACAAAAAAATTAAAAGTTATAGCCACCTCTAGAAAAATTTTTTAAAAACATTAGCAGGGTATGTTAGCAGGTGTCTGTGGTCCTAGCTACTTGGGAAGTTAAGGCAGGAGGATTGCTTGAGCCCAGGAATTCAAGGTTGCAGTGAGCTAGGATTGTGTTACTGCACTCCAGCCTGGGTGACAGAGTGACACTTTGTCTCCAAATAAATAAATAAATAAAGATTGATATAATATTTTTTGAGATAGGATCTCACTCTGTTGTCCAGACTAGAGTGCAGTGGTACAATCATGGCCCCTGCAGTCTTAACCTCCCAGGCTCAAGTGATCATCCCACCTTGTTCCCTACTACAGGTGGGCACCACCACACCCAGCTAATTTTTGTATTTTTTGTAGAGATAGGCTCTCCCTGTGTTGCCCAGGCTCCTCTCAAACTCCTGGGCTAAAGCGATCTGCCCACCTTCGCCTCTGAAAGTGCTGGGACTACACGCATAAGCCACTGTGCCCGGCCTATTATCTTTAAATGAGGCTAAGTCATAGGTCAATAGAATGATTCCCCTCACCTCACCCCTTACACTCACAGCAACAGCAGCAGAATACATACATACAGCAGAGGACAAAAAACTGTACAACTCAGGCTTAATTTCAGAAGTCCTTTAGAATACTTCAGTAAATTATATAACTGATTACGTGGACAAATGTCTACACATACACAATATACCAAGACTGAGTCATGAAAAAACAAAAAATCTGAACAGAGCTGTAGTAGCAGGAGATTGGCATAGTAATAAAAAAAAAATAGCCAGGCACGGTGGCTCATGCCTGTAATCCCAGCACTTTGGGAGGCCAAGGTGGGTGGATCCCCTTAAGTCAGGAGTTCGAGACAGGCTAGCCAACATGGTGAAACTCCGTCTCTACTAAAAATACAAAAAATTACCTGGGCATGGTGGTGGACGCCGGTAATCCCAGCTACTTGGGAGGCAGAGGCAGGAGAATCCCATGAACCCGGGAGGCGGAGGTTGCAGTGAGCCGAGATCATGCCATTACACTCCAGCCTGGGCAACAAGAGTGAAACTCCATCTCAAAAAAATAAAATAAATTAAGAAAAATAATAAATTGGCTGGGCGCGGTGGCTCATGCCTGTAACCTCAGCACTTTGGGAGGCAGAGGAGGGTGGATCACAAGGTCAGGAAATTGAGACCATCCTGGCTAACACGGTGAAACCCCGTCTCTACTAAAAACGCAAAAAAGTAGGCTGGCATGGAGGCAGGCACCTGTAGTCCCAGCTACTGGGGAGGTTGAGGCAGGACAATGGCATGAACCTGGGAGGCAGAGGTTGCAGTGAGCCGAGATGGCGCCACTGCACTCCATCCTGGGCGACAAAACGAGACTCCATCTCAAAATAATAATAATAATAATTTTAAAAACCTCAACGAATACAAAACCCAGGACACCAAATAGTTTCACTGCTGAAATCCACCAAAAATTTAAAAAAGAATTGCTATCAATCCTCCTCAAACTCTTCCAAAACTGAAGAGGGGACATTTCCAAACTCCCTCTATGAGGTCAAAATTATGCTGACACCAAAGACAGACACTACAAAAAACAAAACTACAAATGCCCTTTATGAATATCAATGCAAAAAATCCTCAAATAAATGCTAGCAAATCATACCTGACAGCATATTTAAAGGATTATATGACATCATCAAGAGAGATTTATCCGCAAAATGCAAGGATGGTTCAAATATGAAAAACAATGGGGCTGGGTGCGGTGGCTCACGCCTGTAATCCCAGCACTTCGGGAGGTCGAGGCGAGTAGATCACTTGAGGTGAGAAGTTCAAGACCAGCCTGACCAGCATGGTGAAACCCCATCTCTACTAAAAATACACAATCAGCCAGGTGTGGTAGCCCACACCTGTAGTCCCAGCTACTCGAGAGGCTAAGGCAGGAGAATCACTTGAACCCAGGAGGCAGAGGTTGCAGTGAGCTGAGATCACACCATTGTACTCCAGTCTGGGCAACAGAGGTAGACTGTCTCAAGACCAAAAAAGTCAGCTACATTTATATGCACCAAAACTGAATAATGTGAAAAAGAAATTAAGAAAACAATACCACAAACAATAGCACCAAAAAGAATTGAATAGGCCAGGCGCGGTGACTCACATCTGTAATCCCAGCACTTTGGGAGGCAAAGGCAGGTGGATCAAAAGGTTAGGAGTTCAAGACCAGCCTGGCCAAGATGGTGAAACCCCGTCTCTACTAAAAATACAAAAATTAGTCGGGCGCGGTGGCAGGCACCTGTAATCCCAACTACTTGGGAGGCTGAGGCAGGAGAATCGCTTGAACTCAGGAGACAGAGGTTGCAGTGAGCTGAGATCGCACCACTGCACTCCATCCTGGGCAACAAAGCAAGACTCCATCTCAAAATAATAATAATAATAATAATAATTTAAAAAGCCTCAACAAATATAAAACCCAGGACACCAAATAGCCCAGACTGGGCGACAGAGTGAGACTCTGTCTCAAAAAAAAAAAAAAAAAAAAAAAGAATTGAACGCTTAGAAATTACAAAACCAAGAAGTCGAAAGACTACTTGTACACTAAAAACAACAAAATGTTGCTGAATGAAATTAAAGACAAATTGAAAAATATCTTGTGTTCATGTGTTCGAAGACTTTACATTATTTGGCCAGGTGCGGTGGCTCATGCCTGCAACCCTAGCACTTTGGGAGGCCGAGGTGGGTGGATTACAAGGTCAGGAGTTCAAGACCAGCCTGGCTAACATGATGAAACCCTGTCTCTACTGAAAATACAAAAATTAGCCAGGTGTGGTGGCACGTGCCTGTAATCCCAGCTACTCCGGAGACTGAGACAGAAGAACTGCTTGAACCCAGAAGGTGGAGGTTGCAGTGAGCCGAGATCATGCCACTGAACCCCAGCCTCGGCGACAGAGCAAGACTCCAATTCAAAAAAAAAAAAAAAAAAAGCCAGCACATTGGCTCATATCTGTAATCCCACCACTTTGGGAGGCCAAGGCAGGCAAATCACCTGAGGTCAGGAGTTTGAGACCAGCCTGGCCAACATGGTAAAATCCCATCTCTACTAAGAATACAAAAAAAAAAATTAGCCAGGCGTGGTGGCATGCGCTTGTAGTCCCAGCTACTCAGAAGGCTGAGGCAGGAGAATGGCTTGAAACCAGGAAGTGGAGGTTGCAGTGAGTCAAGACCGTGCCACTGCATTCCAGTCTGGGTGATAGAGCAAGACTCTGTGTCAAAGAAAAAAAAAAGACTTTACATTATTTGGAAGGTACTACTACCCAAAATGATCTGCAAATTCAATACAATCCCTATCAAAATCCCATGTCTGGTTTTTTTTGTTTTGTTTTCTTTTTTCAGAAATAAAAATACCAGCCAGTCACAGTGGCTCATGCCTATAATCCCAACACTTTGGGAGGTCGAAGTGGGAGGATTGCCTGAGCTCAGGAGTTTCAGACTGGCCTAGCCAACATGTTGAAACCCCGTGTCTACTAAAAATACAAAAAATTGGCTGGGCGTGGTGGCAGGTGCCTGTAATCCCAGGTACTTGGGAGGCTGAGGCAGGAAAATCGTTTGAACCTGGGAGGCAGAGGTTGCAATGAGCTGAGATCGTGCCACCGCACTCCAGCCTGGGCAACAGAGACCCCCCCCGCCAAAAAAAAAGCCCGTTCTAAAATGCATATAGGGCTGAATGTGATGGTTCACGCCTGTAATCCCAACACTATGGGAGGCCGACGCAGGAGGACCATGAGGTCAGGAGTTCGAGACCAGCCTGGCCAACATGGCGAAACCCTGTCTCTACTAAAGCTAAAAAAAATTAGCTAGGTGTGGTGGAGGGCACCTGTAATCCCAGCTACTCAGGATTCAGCTACCGGGTTCAGCTACCGGGCGTGGGGGAGGGCTGAGGCAGGAGAATCACTTTAGCGGAGGTTGTAGTGAGCCAAGATTGTACCATTGCACTCCAGCCTGGGCAACAGGGCAAGACTTTGTCTCGAAAGTAAAAAAATAAAATAAATAAATTTATAAATATATATATAATCATACATAAAATTTATAAATATATATAATCATACAACTTATAAATATATATATAATCATACATATAATTTATATATATATATATATACACACACACATTTTTTAAGATGGGGGTCTCACTATATTGCCCAGGCTGGACTTGAACTCCTGGGCTAAATCGATTCTCCCGCCTCAGCCTCTCAAGTACCTAGAATTACAGGTGTTTGCCAGTGTTCCTGCCCTCAGTTCATCTTGAATTGCTGTTACAAGCCGTTGAAGTCAATTTTTAGAAAAGAACAAAGCCTACTGAAATTTTTCTTGAAGTCTGAAAATGTCTCGTGAATAAAATGATTATGATGTAAAAAGCATACGTTGAAAAATATCTGCCGGGCACGGGGGCTCACGCCTGTAATCCCAGCACTTTGGGAGGCCGAGGCGGGCGGATCACGAGGTCAGGAGATCGAGACCATCCTGGCTAACACGGTGAAACCCCGTCTCTACTAAAAATACAAAAAATTAGCCGGGCGTAATGGCGGGCACCTGTAGTCCCAGCTACTCGGGAGGCAGAGGCAGGAGAATGGCGTGAACCCGGGAGGCGGAGCTTGCAGTGAGCCGAGATCGCGCCACTGCACTCCAGCCTGGGCGACAGAGCAAGACTCTGTCTCAAAAAAAAAAAAAAAATCCTAACACCTAAGGTGATGGTATTAATATTACGGGCAGCAACTCTGGGAAATAACTGGGATTACATGAGATCATGAGAGAGACCTAGGAGTACAGATTAGTATCCTTAGGAAAAGAGATGAGTATCTATCACTTTCAGATGTCATTCAGTATTTTTTCCATAATAAACTATTCAGTAAACAAAAGATCATATCTGACTACTTCTAGATGTTGCCAAACTTATCCCAAAGGATTCAGCGTTAATCTGTCAAATCCAGATAACACAAAACAGAACAGAGTTATCCACCATCACAAATTCCCCAACCTGCAAAGGAGAGGAGCTGATGTGCTGGTGAATCTTTGTAAATCACTAATTTCTGCTTATCTACCATGCCTTTTTTTATTATGTATTTTTTGAGATGGAGTCTCGCTCTGTCGCGCAGGCTGGAGTGCAGTGGCGCGATCTCCAGCTCACTGCAAGCTCCGCCTCCCGGATTCACGCCATTCTCCTGCCTCAGCCTCCAGAATATCTGGGACTACAGGCGCTCGCCACCACGCCTGGCTAATTTTTTTGTATTTTTAGTAGAGACGGGGTTTCCCCGTGTTAGCCAGGATGGTCTCGATCTCCTGACCTCGTGATCTGCCTGCCTCTGCCTCCCAAAGTGTTGGGATTACAGGCGTGAGCCATCGCGCCCGACCTACCATGCCTTTTTTTTGTGGGAATGTATTCATATTCTGCAGCCATAATGGAAGATTTCCTTTTTTTTTTTTAAAGACAGGGTCTCACTCTGTCGTTCAGTGCAGTGGCGCAATCACAGCTAACGGCAGTCTCAACCTCCCCGGGTTCAGGTGGCTCTCCCACCTCAGTCTCCTGAGTAGCTGAGACTACAGGCATGCGCCACCATACCCGGCTAATTTTTGTATTTGTTGTAGAAATGGGGTCTCGCCACTTTGCCCAGGATGGTCTCAAACTTCTGGGCTCAAGAGATCTTCCCGCCCCAGCCTCCCAAAGTGCTGGAATTACAGGCGTGAGCCACCTGGGCAGGAGAATCGCTTTTGACTTCCAGAGCAGACTGGGCAACATAGTGAGACCTTGTCTCTACAAAAAATAAAAACTAGCCGGGCGTGGCGCATGCCTGTGGTCCCAGCTTCTTGGAAGACTGAGGCAGGAGGATTGCTTGGGCCCCAGAGGTTGAGGCCGTAGTAAGCCATGACTGTGCCACTGCATGCCACCCTGAGCTGCCTCAGAAGGGAGAAGTTTCTTTCTACTGTTTCTGGCCCCACCCCACCCCCAAGGGCCAGCAGGGAATCCCTCTGGAATTTCCTAAGGAAACTTCTTTTCAAAAGACAAGAACTCCTCCCTAGGAGGCTCATCAAACAACCAGGAAAGATTAACCACGCCAGGACAGACTTTTCACCCGTTCTTCCGAGGGCAGCTGGAAGAAGTCCCTGGACGGTCCTGAAACCCAGGACCAGAAAGATAGGAGGGTGGGCTGAGGACCCAATACCCTGTGAAGTTCCCAAGAGAAGCCTCCACCCAAAGACTGTCTGATAAGGTGGCCGCGCCTAGGGAAGGTAAAAAGAGGGCAGGCACAGTGATTTTTTTTTTTTAACATCGGAGTGTCAGGGGGTTATTTTCTGCTTTGCTCGCATGTGAAATGTTCACAAACGGAAAATGAACTTTTTAAGAAGTGCCATCTAGGGCTCCTTGGAAAAGATGACAGTTAAAACACTGGGTCTTGCCAGGCGCAGTGGCTCAAGCCTGTAATCCCAGCACTTTGGGAGACCGAGGCAGGCAGATACCTGAGATCAGGACTTCAGCACGGCCAACATGGTGAACCTGTCTCTACTGAAAATACAAGTTAGCCGGACGTGGTGGCGGGCACCTGTAATTCCAGCTACTCAGGAGGCTGAGGCAGGAGAATCACTTGAACCCGGAAGACGGAGGCTGCAGTGAGCCCAGACAGTGCCACTGCACTCCAGCCTGGGCGACAGAGTGAGACTCCGTCTCAAAAATAATAGAAATAATGATAATAATAATAATGTGAAGTGGATGTACTGGAGGGAGAACTTAGGGTTGGGGAATGCGGGGAAATTTAGGGATTTACTGCAGCCCTGGGAGGAGCGAAGCTGGGGGACGGGGTCGTGGGTTTGAAACCCAGCTTCCCACACCTTTGGAAGACTCCGAAGGAAACGGGGACCGCCTAAGGGAGGAGGAACTGGGGACCCCACAGGCCACGGCTCCTCCCGCACGAACCCCACACCCGAGGCGGGATTCCCCCTAAGACCCTCCTGAGGCCCCCGCACGATCTGGGGAGACGCGGGGCTGCGGGCGCGGAGCTGCCCTGAGAGGGCTCCGGGGCCGGGACAGGACACCCGGGGTCCCGGCGGCTGGTCCAGCTCCACCCGGCGACCGAGGGGACCAAGGGTCGAGCTGCGCCTGGGGGACTCGGGTCCCAGACCCCCACAGTCGCCGCGGGGAGGCCCAGGTCCAGCCACTGCCGGTTCCGACCAGCTCCTCCTCAGGTCTCCGGACGCCCGGCTCCGCACGCTCACCATTTCCGGCTTCCGGGTGTCCTGGGTCCTTCCTGGGGCTGGAGCAGCCAGAACAGGTCCCACACGACAAAATCAGCCGTATCCGGGGCACCAGGGGCTCCCCGAGGAACTAAAACCCGGACCCGAATGGGGGGCCGGCGGGAAATGAGACCGCTTCGGGCTTTGGAAGTTGCCCCTCCTCCCGGCGCACCTGATTGGACAGTTTGCCGCACAGCGCCTCTGACTGGCTGGTGCCCCAGGTCCCGCCCCTGGGGCTTGAGCGACAGGAGAGGTGATCGGAATCCTCAAATAATCCGCTCGCTGTGTGGGGTGTGACTGACAGGTGCTACCCACAGCCCCTCGCTGGGACCTTGGACCTGGACTTGCATGGAAGCAGAACTTGCTCCCGTTAGGGTCAACCCAACCAGACTGTTCCCCTCCTTCCCCCATCAGTCTTACAATACAGTCCTTTGTGACCGCCACACAACTCCCCCCGGGCTAGAAGTAGACCTCCTCCCCACTGACCCTTCCAGTAACTGTTTGTTCAAAAGACTTCAGCTGAACCGGCAGACAGTTCCAGGATGCGGTCACAACACCTGCCCACCTTGCATAACAAAGCTGGCAAAAACATCTCCAGGATGCGGTCAGGACACCTGCACCCCCGACTCAGTTCTCACACCCCAGCCCAGTTCCTCGCCCTATAAAGCCCTGCTGTAGTCTGTAAGCGGGGCTGCCTCCTCTAACTGTGGGGGAGCAGCCCAGCAGGTTAATAAAACTTACTTGACTGACTTCAGGTCTCTTCGTCCTTTCGGCTGACCTTACAGCTCCTGGTTTTCCGGAGCAGGCCCTGTCGGCTTCCTGTACTCAGTGGGTCCTTCCTGCTGCTTTTTTTTTTTTTTTTTGAGACGGAGTTTCGCTCTTGTTGCCCAGGCTGGAATGCAATGGCACGATCTCAGCTAACTGCAACCTCCGCTTTCCGGTTTCAAGCGATTCTCCTGCCTCAGCCTCCCGGGTAGCTGCGATTACAGGCGCCCACCACCACTCCCGGCTAATTTTTGTATTTTTAGTAGAAATGGGGTTTCACCATGTTGGCCAGGCTGGTCTCGAACTCCTGATCTCGTGATCCGCCGGCCTCGGCCTCTCAAAGTGCTGGGATTACAGGCGTGAGCCACCGCGCCCAGCCGCCTCCTGCTTCTTTTTCCGGAACACCGGTCACATGAGTGTGCACGGAATTCCAGACTCCGTGTTCAGTGAAGCCATCCCTCCACCTTGGAGCTGGAGAGACTCCCAGGTCACAATGGAACAGGTAGGAGGCCCTGATGTCCTCCAGAGATCAGGAATTTATGAGGCTATTGGTCCCATGGCCAAGGCTTCCTACACGTTACTTCTTCTCAGGCTACTCCTTTTCAGCCAAGAAAATAAAAACATGCCTTAAAGGGAACAAAATTATTAAATGCAGGGAAAAACTGGAGTAAACCACTTTTTTTTTCTTTTTTTTTGAGACGGAGTCTGGCTCTGTCGCCCAGGCTGGAGTGCAGTGGCACGATCTCAGCTCATTGCAACCTCTGCCTCCCAGGTTCAAGAGATTCTCTTGCCTCAGCCTCCCGAGTCCGAGTAGCTGGAACTACAGGCATGTGCCACCATGCCCGGCCAATTTTTTTTTTTTTTTTTTTTTTTTGTATTTTTAGTAGAGACGGGGTTTCACCGTGTTAGCCAGGATGGTCTCGATCTCCTGAACTCGTGATCTGCCCGCCTTGGCCTCCCAAAGTGCTGGGATTACAGGCATGAGCCACCGTGCCCGGCCTGGAGTAAACATTCTATAAAGGTATTGCTACCAGAAAGGGGTCCAGTCCCAGACTCCAAGAGCAGAAGCTTGGACCTTGTATGGGAAAGAATTAATATTGGAGAAAAAACTGAAAAAGTAAGTATATCGAACTGTATCATGGGACAGAAACATGTCATTCCTATTTTTACTGAAGATTATCTTATTTGATACTATGTGATTATTAAGTCCTATTACATTTCCTTTCTCCTTTTACGAAGTCATGTATCTTAATAATATGCAGCCGGGCACGGTGGCTCAGCCTGTAATCCCAGCACTCTGGGAGGCCCAGGCAGGCGGATCATGAGGTCAGGAGTAGGAGACCAGCCTGCCCAACATGGTGAAACACCGTCTCTACTAAAATTACAAAAATTAGCCAGGTGTGGTGGCGCATGCCTGTAATCCTAGCTACTAAGAAGGCTGAGGCAGGAGAACTGCTTGAACCCAGGAGGAGGAGGTTGCAGTGAGCCGAGATCACAGCATTGCGCCTGGGCGACAGAGCATGACTCCATCTCAAAAAAAAAAAAAAAAAAAAAAAAAAAAAAAAAAAAAAAAAAACCAGAGCCGGGCCCGGTGGCTCACGCCTGTAATCCCAGCACTTTGGGAGTCCGAGGCGGGTGGATTACGAGGTCAGGAGTTCAAGACTCAGCCTGGCCAAGAAGGTGAAACCCCGTCTCTACTAAAAATACAAAAAATTAGCTGGGTGCAGTGGCAGGCGCCTGTAATCCCAGCTACTCGGGAGGCTGAGGCAGGAGAATCGCTTGAACTCCGAGGGCAGAGGTTGCAGTGAGCTGAGATCACGCCACTGCACTCCAGCCTCCAGCCTGACAACAGAGTGAGACTCCGTCTCAAAAAAAAAAAAAAAAAAAAAAACCAGAATATGCAGTGGGTGGCCGCAGCGGGTCACACCTGTAGCACTTTGGGAAGTCGAGGCAGGCAGATCTCTTGAGGCCAGGACAGGAGTTCCAGACCAGCCTGGCCAACATGGTGAAACCCTGTCTCTCCTAAAAATACAAAAATTAGCAGGCATGGTGGTTCATGCCTGTAATTCCAGCTACTAAGGAGGCTGAGGCAGGAGAATCATTTGAACCCAAGAGGCAGAGGTTGCAGTGAGCCTAGATTGCAACACTGCACTCCAGCTTGGGCAAGAGTGAGACTCCGTCCCAAGAAAACAAAACAAGACTAGGACTGGGCACCGTGGCTCACACCTGTAATCCTAGCACTTTGGGAGACTGAGGCGGCCAGATCATTAGAGGCCATGAGTTTGAGACCAGACTGGCCAACATGGCGAAACCCGTCTCTACTAAAAACACAAAACATTAGACTGGGAGCGCTGGCTCACACCTGTAATCCTAGCACTTTGGGAGACCAAAGTGGGCGGATCACAAGGTCAGGAGTTCGAGACCAACCTGGCCAACATAGTGAAACCCCATCTCTACTGAAAATACAAAAAATTAGCCAGGCATGGTGGCACGCGCCTGTAGTCCCAGCTACCCGGGAGGCTGAGGCAGGAGAACCGCTGGAACCCAGGAGGCGTAGGTTGCAGTGAGCTGAGATCGCACCACCGCACTCCAGCCTGGGCAACAGAGTGAGACTCCGTCTAAAAAAAAAAGTACAAAAATTAGCCGGAGCGGTGGCATGCGCCTGTAATCCCAGTTACTTGGGAGGCTGAAATGGGAGAATCGATTGAACTCGGAAAGTGGAGTTTGCAGTGAGCGGACATCGCGCCACTGCACTCCAGCCTGGGCGACAGAGTGAGACTTCATCTCGAAAAATTAAAAAAAGAATATGCAACAATATAAGCTACAAAATTTAAATATCCAATAAATTTTAAGTTTAAATAAATTTGCTGTATCAGAGGACAAAAAGAAACATAAAATAGTTACTGTTTGTCACACATACTGTTTAATCCTACTAATTGGTACTGTTAAGTAGTCCTATTGTGGTTTTGTTCAAATAGCATTTATGCAACAGTACAGTTAATAATATAGAACTATATAATTTCTTTTTTTTTTTTTTTTCAGACAGAGTCTCGCTCTGTCGCCCAGGCTGGAGTGCAGTGGCGCGATCTCGGCTCACTGCAAGCTCCGCCTCCCAGGTTCAGGCCATTCTCCTGCCTCAGCCTCCCGAGTAGCTGGGACTACAGGCGCCTGCAACCACGCCCGGCTAATTTTTTGTATTTTTAGTAGAGACGGGGTTTCACTGTGTTAGCCAGGACGGTCTCGATCTCCTGAACTCGTGATCCGCCCGCCTCGGCCTCCCAAAGTGCTGGAATTACAGGGGTGAGCCACCGCGCCCGGCCTAGAAGTATATAATTTCAAGTAAACACCAGTTTTTCATTTTTTATGTTAAAGTGGTAATTTCTTTTTTTTTTTTTTTTTTTTTTTGGAGACAGAGTCTCGCTCTGTCGCCCAGGCTGGAGGGCAGTGGCACAATCTCCGCTCACTGCAAGCTCTGCCTCTCCAGTTCGCGCCATTCTGCCTCAGGCTCCGGAGTAGCTGGGACTACAGGCGCCCGCCACCACGCCCGGAGAATTTTTTTTTTTTTTTTGTATTTTTAGTGGAGACGGGGTTTCACCGCGTTAGCCAGGATGGTCTCGATCTCCTGACCTCGGCCTCCCAAAGTGCTGGGATTACAGGCGTGAGCCACCGCGCCCGGCCTAAAGTGGTTTTTGTAATTCATTTTTCTTTTTTTTTTTTTTGAGACAGTCTTGCTCTGTTGGCCAGGCTGAAGTGCAGTGGAGCAATCTTGGCTCACTGCAACCTCCGTCTCCCGGGCTCAAGCAATTCTCCTGCCTCATCCTCCCGAGTAGCTGGGATTACAGGCATGTGCCACCACGCCCGGCTAATTTTTGTATTTTTAGTAGAGACGTGGTTTCACCATGTTGGGTCTTGAACTCCTGATCTCAGGTGATCCACCCGCCTCGCCTCCCAAAGTGTTGGGATTACAGGCGTGAGCCACCGCGCCCGGCTAGTATTTGTAATTCTTATCTATCACATTAAGGCTCTTGTCCGGTGTGGTTGTGTTCCGGGGCGGTCCCCGACCCCGCCCCTCACAAGCCCCGCCCCCCGCACCGGGCCCCGCCTCCTGAACTCCGAAGCTCCCGACCCCGCCTCCGCAGGGTCCAGGCTTCGCCCCTGGTGACAGGTGGTGCTGGTGTAGTCAAGGAGGAGGGCTCGCTTTTTTTGGTTCAGGTTGTCATGGTGGCGCCCAAGCCCGCCTTGCCGGCCTTGTCTTTTCCGGTCTCAGTCCGGCGTGGCAGCGGAGGCAGGCACCGTTAGGTCTTCCAGTCCCTCTCTGTCATGGCGACGCCCAGCCTCTTCTTCCGGCCACAGCCTGTCATGGCGGCACCCGAAGTAGTCCCTGCCGGGGCCAGCCTGTTCTGTTGCCCTGGCTCTTCCTAGTCCAGGCTGCCATGGCGGCGCTCAGGGCTTACCGGAAGTAAAACTTCGGAAGTGAGGCGTTCCTCTGCCCGGAAGTGAGCGCGGCGCTAGGAAAGATGGCGGCAGCGGCGGCGGTGGGCAACGCGGTGCCCTGCGGGGCCCGGCCTTGCGGGGTCCGGCCTGACGGGCAGCCCAAGCCCGGGCCGCAGCCGCGCGCGCTCCTTGCCGCCGGGCCGGCGCTCATAGCGAACGGTGACGAGCTGGTGGCTGCCGTGTGGCCGTACCGGCGGTTGGCGCTGTTGCGGCGCCTCACGGTGCTGCCATTCGCCGGGCTGCTTTACCCGGCCTGGTTGGGTGCCGCAGCCGCTGGCTGCTGGGGCTGGGGCAGCAGTTGGGTGCAGATCCCCGAAGCTGCGCTGCTCGTGCTTGCCACCATCTGCCTCGCGCACGCGCTCACTGTCCTCTCGGGGCATTGGTCTGTGCACGCGCATTGCGCGCTCACCTGCACCCCGGTAAGTGTGTACACGCGAGCCCGACCCCCAGCACGGTCGAGCCTCGCCGTGGGTCCCAGCTGCGGCCTTCCTGTCGGTCACCATCGCGACCTGGGCCACTCATCTGCCTGGCCTGGATTCCCAGGGGCACCCTCTACACTTTGGCGCAGGCTTAATCATGACCCCACTGCTGACTTGCTGTGCATGCCTGGTGCGGGTTATTTCCTTTTTCTGAAGTCCTCCCTGTTATGGTCATTTAGATTCAGTGATGTAATACTTGTAAAAGGCTTAG
The DNA here is from genome assembly GCF_000001405.40 of Homo sapiens. NCBI lineage: Eukaryota > Metazoa > Chordata > Mammalia > Primates > Hominidae > Homo > Homo sapiens. The sequence goes on along the minus strand of NC_000019.10, from coordinate 19,662,999 downwards.
CGCAGGGCCCAGCATACGTCGCCCAGGTCAGGTAGGAGTTGTTTATACTAGTTCCCATATTAGCGACTACTCTTGTTCTGGAAACGGCCCTACCTTCCATCTCATCTGTCTCCTACCTTGGTTTTCAAAGTGTAAGGCGAGATCACTGGGATAGGTTTCCCCCATCTATGAAGCTTAGTTGGTTCTTAGACTGAACCAAGTCTTGCTGTCCAGTGCTTAGTGGTCTTCCATACTGTGATGGAAAGGAGCATGAAATGCAGTTAATTACAGTGTTGAAGAGAGGCAGAGGTGTTTATGAGCGAGTCATTTACATGATGTCTTTCCGCAAAATGAGGGTGGTGATACTGAGTTCTGTCGGGGATACAACAGCAAGCAAGGTCGCGCTCCTGACCCACAGTTTAGAGTTCTGAGTGACCAAGTGTCGTCGGAGGAGTTGGTGACTGTGAGCTTCCCTGGGCCTGAAGCAGTGACTGTGTCGTCTCTCTCTGGGCCTGCCTCAGGTGACACCAGCAGGTTTGGAGCCATGGACACTGAGGTATATCAGGAAGCTTCCCCTCTGATTCCAGGAGTGTGTTTGCCTCAAGAAGAGGAAAAGGGAACAGCATCAAGGGCTACAGAAAGACAGAAGCCCCCCACCCTGGCTGGCTCTGAATGTGGGTAGAATCCTCATTCTCCTCTCCTGAGAGACAACCTGTTCTGTCCTTCAAAAAGACTTATCTATCCCAGGGGAGGAGCTCAACGTGGTAGCTTTGAGGTAGTACAATGAAAGACACCAATGAGGGACAAAATAAAGGAGGGGTTAAGGGGACTGTGGCACCGCTCAAACTTCAGCTGCCTTTTGACCTGCAGCTAAGCAGCTTAGCTCTTAACTTCCTCTCCAGGGATGGAGAAGTGGGAGGAGCTGAACAGCCATCAGCCAGGAGAGGTGGATCTGGGTTTGATTCAGATCTCAGAAAGGGCCGCTTCTGCTCTCTGAGTTTCAGTTTCCCCCTTCTGTAAACTGAGAACCGTAACTAACAACTACTGGGTGCCATCTTGAGAAGCGGAGATGATATCTGCAGAGTGCCCGCCCTGGGGCCATCACAGCGTATAGCCTCTTGTACCTTTCTTCCGTGACGTCACGTTTGTAGTTATGTGATTGTTGTTATTTGCTGCCTGCTTTGGAGGCCCATGAACCACCCGTGCGGTGGCGCTTTGTTTCTGCGGGTCATCATTGTGCTCCCCCCATCTCCATGCAGCTCGTCTCCATGCAGCTCGGTCTAGCAGAGCAGCAGAGGAATGGATGGCGGTTCACGGGGTCCAGGGAGCACTGAACGAGTTCCATTCAACATTTCTGTGTCTTAGGTGCTGGGGAAACAGCAGTGAACAAAACAGGCAAATCCCCCTGCCTTTGTGGTGTTACTGGGAGGGAGAACTCATAGTCAGCAGTTGATGCCAAACAGAGATGACATCTAACATCAGGACAGGATGGGACATTGCCGGGAACTTTAGATGGGGCAGCCAGGGAGGGGCTCCTGAGAAGGTGATGTTTCAGCAAAAGCCTGAGGCAGCAAGGGAGCTGTGTGACTGTGTATTCCGGGCAGAGAAAACAGCACATGCCAAGGCCCTTTGCTGAGGCACGATCGAGCCCCATGTGCGTGTGGAGCTGTGGAGTGTAGTGAGCAGGGTTGGTGGAAGAGGCAGAGCTGAGCAGGAGGCCGGGGGCCTGTGATGGGGCGGGGGCTTGGCTCACGTGAATTGAGGACGTACTGGGTGGGTGCCTGGCAGCGTTCTTCCTATTTGAGTTCATGTCACCTTCAGCAGAGCAGAGCCCTGGGCATTAGGTGCTGTCTGTGCACCCAGCTTCCCAGCTTTTTTTGTTGTTGTTTTTGTTTTTGTTTTGTTTTTTGGGGTTTTTTTGTTTGTTTGTTTGTTTGTTTTTGAGATGGAGTCTGGCTCTGTTGCCCAGGCTGGAGTGCAGTGGCACAATCTCGGCTCACTGCAACCTCCGCCTCCCAGGTTCAAGTGATTGTTCTGCCTCAGCCTCCCGAGTAGCTGAGACTACAGGTGCCTGCCACTATGCCCAGCTAATTTTTATATTTTTAGTAGAGACGGGGTTTCACCATATTGGCCAGGCTGGTCTCAAACTCCTGACCTCGTGATCCCCCCTGCCTCAGCCTCCCAAAGTGCTGGGATTACAGGTGTGAGCCACTGCACCCAGCCTTTTTATTTTGAGACAGAGTCCTGCTCTGTCGCCCAGGCTGGAGTGCAGTGGTGCAATCTCGGCTCACTGCAAGCTCTGCCTCCTGGGTGCACGCCATTCTCCTGCCTCAGCCTCCCAAGTAGCTGGGACTACAGATGCCTGCCACCACGCCCAGCTAATTTTTTGTGTTTTTAGTAGAGATGGGGTTTCACCGTGTTAGCCAGGATGGTCTCAATCTCCTGACGTCGTGATCTGCCCACCTCGGCCTCCCAAAGTGCTGGGATTACAGGTGCGAGCCACTGTGCCTGGCTGGTTTTTTGTTTTTTTTTTTTTAATTGAGATAGGATCTCACTCTGCCACCCAGGCTGGAGTGCAGTGTTGCAATCTCAGTTCACTGCAACCTCCGCCTCCCAGTTCAAGGGATTCTCCTGCCTCAGCCTCCTAAGTAGCTGGTATTACAGGTGTGCACCACCGTGTCCGGCTCATTTGTGTATTTTTAGTTGAGACAGGGTTTCGCCACATTGGCGAGGCTGATCTCAAACTCCTGATCTCAAGTGATCCGCCCACCTTGGCCTCCCAAAGTGCTGGGATTATGGGTGTGAGTCACCGTGCCCAGCCTTGTGCTCCCAGCTTTAAGTGTGGCACCAGAGGCACAGCAAGATGGTCTCGTTTGTCCTGATGACAGACGAGGGAGTGACAGAGGCAGCACCAGAGCCCAGTGGCATTTCAGAATATACCCATAGAGCTGCTGCACCCAAAACCTCCCGGGGGGGTCTTGGAACTGTAGGTTGAGAAGAGCTAAGCCACAATGCTTTCTTTGTCTCTGTCAGGAGTACGACCCCAGCAAAGCGACCTTTGTGAAGGTGGTGCCAACCCCCAACAATGGCTCCACGGAGCTCGTGGCCCTGCACCGCAATGAGGTAGGGACTGCCTGCTGGGCTCCTGGAGGAGGGGCTTGAGTAGGATTCCCAGGCGCTGACACCCCAAGGTCAGGGGCCTCTGTGGCAAACACACCTTCTACCGCAGGGCGAAGACGGGCTTGAGGTGCTGTCCTTCGAATTCCAGAAGATCAAGTATTCCTACGATGCCCTGGAGAAGAAGCAGTTTCTCCCCGTGGCCTTTCCTGTGGGAAACGCCTTCTCATACTATCAGAGCAACAGAGGCTTCCAGGAAGACTCAGAGATCCGAGCAGCTGAGAAGAAATTTGGGAGCAACAAGTGAGTCCTTGATTTGCCTGTAGCACCTTTGCCTTTCTGTCCTGCTCCCCTCCTGATTCAGGGTGCCTAGGAAGCGGGACAGAGGCATCTGCCCTTTTATTTATTTATTTACTATTATTTTATTTTTATTTTATTTTTTATTTTTGAGACTGAGTCTCGCTCTGTCACCCAGGCTGGAGTGCAGTGACGCGATCTCAGCTCACCCCAACCTCCGCCTCCCCGGTTCAAGTGATTCTCCTGCCTCAACCTGCCAAGCAGCTGGGAATACAGGCTCCCCCCACCACGCCTGGCTAATTTTTGTATTTTTAGTAGAGATGGGGGTTTCACCATGTTGGCCAGGCTGGTCTTGAACTCCTGACCTCAGGTGATCCTCCCATGTTGGCCTCCCAAAGTGCTGGGATTACAGGCGTGAGCCACTGCACCCGGCCAAATCTGCCCTTTTAGCCAAATGTCCCAGGTGACTGTGATGCCGCTTGAGCAACATGCTCTAAGTCCAGTCTCCCCTGAACTTGCCTGCTGGCAGGAACCCCAGAGGGTCTGCAGCTGGAAGCCCGTGCCCTGGGGTGTGAGACCTTGAGTGTAAGGTTCTTCACAGGAGTCTAGCCTGTGGCCCCTCCTCAGCAACAGCTTTATTTTAAATTCTTTTAAAATGTTTATTTGTGTAGAGATGGGGTCTCGCCGTGTTGCCCAGGCTTGTCTCAAACTCCTGGCCTCAAGCAGTCCTCCTAAATCAACATCCCAAAGTGCTGGGATTACAGGCATGAGTCACTGCACCCAACCTAAACATTTCAGTCCTCACTGTTTCGAGTCTACGCATCTCAGCGCTTCAGAATGGTGATGGAAGACCGTGACCATGTCTGCCCTTTTGTACTGAGTACAATGGCCAATGTGCGGTGCACACCCTCTCCCTTCATCTTCACCAAAACTGCAAATGCTGACACGTGGCTGGGAGCCGGAGAACTGGGCTCCAAACCCCATCATGGCCTTGTTACGATGGTCCTCAACCCAGAAACCCACAGAACACCTAGGGAGCTCTTTCCTGACTTAATCACTGTTCAGAGATTACAAATATGTTGACTACAACTATCAATCTAATACAAGGATTTATAAGAAACATTTAGCAACTTCCCCTACCCCAAGGTTGGCCAGTCACATTAATGGCCTGTGGCAACTACGTTCCCTTTCATGCTGTTCTTACTCAACGCAAAGGTACCCAGCAAGATACAAGGGAAGGGCTTATTGTTTGATAGCAGTGGGGTTGCTCTTTGGTTTCCTCTTCTCACATCCCATACATAAGACGTCCATGCAGTTAAAGGGCAGAGCGAGAATGACCCTCGTTGACATGACTGGTGCCCTGATCAGATTGGACTATGGCACAGAGTACTGCAGAACACACCCTTAGGCCCAAGTCCTTGCATTCTCGAGCCTTTTTTTTTTTTTTTTTTTTTTTTGGAGACAGGGTCTTACTCTGTTACCCAGGCTGGAGTGCAGTGGTGTGATCATGGCTCACTGTAGCCTTGAACTCCTGGGCTCAAGCATTCATCCTGCCTCAGCCTCCCAAATAGCTGGGACCACAGGCACACACCACCACCCCCAGCTAATTTTTAAATTTTTTGTAAATAGAAGGTCTTGCTGTGTTGCCCAGGCTAGTCTCTGACTCCTGGGCTCAAGCACTCCTCCTGCCTCGGCCTCCCAAAGTGCTTGGGATTACAGGCGTGAACCACCCTACTCGACCCATTCTGGGGCTTTAATTCAGGAATCATAGAAAATCTCAGCTTTGGTGGGGCTGGGTCTCAGTGTCTTCTGCTGTCTGTAGCTTCAGGGCCTCCATCTTTCAATCAGAGGTTCCTTCTCTACTTGCTGTGTCACTCGACCAGATGACGGGCTCTCGTCTGACACCAGCCCCAGGCTGCCAGGAAGAGCATATTGCAGATTAAGGAGCTTCATCTGTTTTATGCAGAGCCGAGGGCTGTGGGCGGGCAGCATGTCTACCCCAGGCTCAGCCAGGATGAGGGAGAGCCACTGCCAAATGGATCCTCCTATCTGGAAGCTCGCCAGGGCTCCCGACGCCCACATATGGCTCTTGGTTTCTTGAGAGCGGCCTGCCATGCTCAGGTTGGAGGGGTCAGGGTGGAGACTCCATACCCCAGAGGCCTTGCCCTGGGAACAGGATGGGGCCTGGTCTCTTGCAGGGCCGAGATGGTGGTGCCTGACTTCTCGGAGCTTTTCAAGGAGAGAGCCACAGCCCCCTTCTTTGTATTTCAGGTAAAGCAGCAGCTCTGGCCCATCTCCCCATTTCCTCCCTTGGGGCTTTCCTAACCGGATCAAGCCTGCCCACCACTTCTAAACCTGGAAGCCTCTCCCCACCCTCACATATCAGATCCGGTGGGTGGAAGGGGCTCATGGGAACAGGGCGGGTAGGGCAAGGACAGACAGGCTGGTATCCCACAGGTGTTCTGTGTGGGGCTCTGGTGCCTGGATGAGTACTGGTACTACAGCGTCTTTACGCTATCCATGCTGGTGGCGTTCGAGGCCTCGCTGGTGCAGCAGCAGATGCGGAACATGTCGGAGATCCGGAAGATGGGCAACAAGCCCCACATGATCCAGGTGTGGCTGCCAGGGAGACCCAGGTTGGGGGTGCAGCACAGGTGCGGCTTCTGTGCTGACACCCATGCCCCGCCCAGGTCTACCGAAGCCGCAAGTGGAGGCCCATTGCCAGTGATGAGATCGTACCAGGGGACATCGTCTCCATCGGTGAGGCCGGGTTCCGCTCAGTCCCAGTGGGAGCCCCAGCCTCAGGGCCTCTGGCCAACCCTCCTGCCTCTGCCCTGCAGGCCGCTCCCCACAGGAGAACCTGGTGCCATGTGACGTGCTTCTGCTGCGAGGCCGCTGCATCGTAGACGAGGCCATGCTCACGGGGGAGTCCGTGCCACAGATGAAGGTACTTGGTGGAGGATGGGGATCCTCAAGCTGTTCAGGAGGAAACAGGCCAGGAGGTGGAGGCCCAGGGGGTGGCGGGGATCCCCCTCAGGCACAGGCGGAGGAGGCAGTGTGGGCACAGATGAGCTCTGTGGACTGGGGAGCCGGGTGGTGGGGGCGAGGAAGGAGGTGAGAGAGCCAAGGGCATCCAGGGTACATTGGTGCCCTGGGATGTCAGACCAAGGTGGGCTGGGAGCAGTCCAGAGGGGTGAGTCCCAGACGAGGCCAAGTGCAGGCCCCAGAGAGCAGGCACTGTGAGTGCAATGGGGAGAAGACAGGACGGGGTGAGGGTGAGGATCTGGGAGCTGGGTGGGATGTATTGGTCGGGTGGGGATCCCCCTGGCTCATTCCAGCCTCAAGGTCCAGCTGTCCAGGAACTCAGATGGAGAAGGAAGCAAGGTAGGCCTGGCCATCCAGATTCACGATCTTCCTCCCCAGGAGCCCATCGAAGACCTCAGCCCAGACCGGGTGCTGGACCTCCAGGCTGATTCCCGGCTGCACGTCATCTTCGGGGGCACCAAGGTGGTGCAGCACATCCCCCCACAGAAAGCCACCACGGGCCTGAAGCGTAGGTGCCTCATGGGCGTCTGGGGGTATCTGGGCTTCCACCCCCTTTGCCCGTCTGCTTGATCATGAGGGAGTCAGGACGAGGAGACAGGCATGACGGTGACTCTGCTTCTCTCCCCAGCGGTTGACAGCGGGTGCGTGGCCTACGTCCTGCGGACCGGATTCAACACATCCCAGGTGCGGGGCCAGGTCTGGGGAGGGCGGGCCCCAGGGCAGTTGGACAGCCAAGGTATCAGCCCTTTCCGACCCCAGAACATCTGCCCCACGGGCTGACTCTGGCAGCACGGCCCTGGACCTGGGCCAGGGTGCAGAGGCCACCCCAAGACCAGGCCCACGCTTCCAGGCCTGAGCTGCTGGAGGGAGTCCAGACAGCAGAAAGGCTGTTCCTCCATTCCTCCAGGGCAAGCTGCTGCGCACCATCCTCTTCGGGGTCAAGAGGGTGACTGCGAACAACCTGGAGACCTTCATCTTCATCCTCTTCCTCCTGGTGTTTGCCATCGCTGCAGCTGCCTATGTATGGATTGAAGGTAAGCGCCACGGCCTCTGTGGTCCCCTGCGCCCACCCTCCGAGGCTCCAGGTTGGCAGGCCCTGTCTCCACAGGTACCAAGGACCCCAGCCGGAACCGCTACAAGCTGTTTCTGGAGTGCACCCTGATCCTCACCTCGGTCGTGCCTCCTGAGCTGCCCATCGAGCTGTCCCTGGCCGTCAACACCTCCCTCATCGCCCTGGCCAAGCTCTGTGAGTGTGTCAAATGGGATGGGGTGCCGAGTGGGCTGGGGCCAAGCAGGACCCCTGACCTCACTCCCGCCCCTAGACATGTACTGCACAGAGCCCTTCCGGATCCCCTTTGCTGGCAAGGTCGAGGTGTGCTGCTTTGACAAGACGGGGACGTTGACCAGTGACAGCCTGGTGGTGCGCGGTGTGGCCGGGCTGAGGTAAGCATCAGGGGCCCTGCAGCAAAGGTCACCCAGATGGGGTTTCTGGGAAGTCGAGAGACAGGTGGCCCATCCACCCCAAGCCCTTGCAGTGAGGGCCCGTCAGAGGCCCTGCCTCGGGTTCATTTCCAGGGGCTCCCCACAAAGTCCTGGGTGTCAGCCATGGTAGCGGCACGGGGGCTCAGCTCAGGCCTGGAACATCCCACACCAGCCATGCACCACATGACCCCCAGGCACAATGCCTGGCTTCTGGGGGCATCTGTGAAGCAGGTGCAGGTCTCATAAAGACCCAGTTGGCGCCCAAGCCACCCCAGTGACAAGCACGGAATGAATGGCCTTGGGGGTCCTTCTGCTGGTGGGGATGCAGCTTCGCCCTACCCGCCTGCACTCTGTAACCAGCTGTTCCCCGACCTTGCAGAGACGGGAAGGAGGTGACCCCAGTGTCCAGCATCCCTGTAGAAACACACCGGGCCCTGGCCTCGTGCCACTCGCTCATGCAGCTGGACGACGGCACCCTCGTGGGTGACCCTCTAGAGAAGGCCATGCTGACGGCCGTGGACTGGACGCTGACCAAAGGTGAGGGGCTGGGGCCTCAGGCCCAGCAAGGGGGAGCCACTGGCTCTCACAGCCCTAGGCAGGTGGGCTGCACCCCTCAGAGCATCTTGGGGACAGGCAGGCCTACAGCTCTGATGCTCCCCGAGGTGGGTGGCCAGAGGCTCACTTTAGACCCAGGATAGGCCACGTCCTTGGGTGTCCCTCTGGGTTGGAATCTGCCCTGCCCTGGCCGAAGCCACAGTGCCAGGGTCCTCCAAGCCCAGGTCTTCCAGCTCTGGACCAACACCTGCTCTAGCCCAGAGCCCCGATCAGGCCCTGGGGGAGGCAGGAGGGAGGTGGGGGAGGCCGGGGTGAGAGGTAGGGGCTTGGCTGCCTCTTTGGAGCAAAGCCCCTCAGGACTCGTACTTATTTGTTTCCAGATGAGAAAGTATTCCCCCGAAGTATTAAAACTCAGGGGCTGAAAATTCACCAGCGCTTTCATTTTGCCAGTGCCCTGAAGCGAATGTCCGTGCTTGCCTCGTATGAGAAGCTGGGCTCCACCGACCTCTGCTACATCGCGGCCGTGAAGGGGGCCCCCGAAACTCTGCACTCCATGGTGAGCTGGCCCCAGCCTGGGGCAAGGGGTGGGGGCGCGGGGCAGCCCGTGACATCCCCCTGCATTCCCTGCAGTTCTCCCAGTGCCCGCCCGACTACCACCACATCCACACCGAGATCTCCCGGGAAGGAGCCCGCGTCCTGGCGCTGGGGTACAAGGAGCTGGGACACCTCACTCACCAGCAGGTACGGGCCCAGGCTCCCCCTGCCTTCACCATGTGCCTGGCCCGTCAGCTCCTCCCTGAGTCACCTCCTGTGTCCCACAGTGCCAGGTTGAATGGTTGTGATTTTGTCCTCCTTGCCCCGCCTCCAGCTTCTACCTTTGGAGACTCCAAATGGCACTCAGTCTGTCCACTGCTGTGGGGACCCACCCAGTCCTGGCTCACGCAGAGCACACGCAGGGCTTACCTGCCCCAGTCCTGGTGTGTCCCTAGCTCTACTCTTTTGCCCTGGTCTTGGGCAGGGCTAGGTGGCATCCTCAGCCCTCTCACCCATCCATCCTCCACAAAGCCCACCCTCCGCCTCCACCACCGGCACATCTGCCGCTTGGCTTCTTCCTGGGCTCTCGTTCTTTCTGCTTGCACCCTACAGCTGCGGATCCTTCCAGAATTTAGCCTCAGGTTGCAGTACTGTGTGCAGAGCCCAGGCCACAGCTCACAGCCTGCATGCTCTGCCCCGTTCCTGCACCTGGAGCCCCCTTCCCAGTGACACAGGTCCTCATCGCCTTCATAGTGGCCACTTCTGAGGCCTTTCCACCCTCTCTGGATTCCATTCTCACCTCCTCTCTCATGGCACTCAGCACTCCGATTTCTGTGACTTTCTTGATCATGCGTCTCCCCTGGTGCAGTGTGAGCTCCCTAAGGCCAGGGGTCTGTGCCCAGTCTGTGGTATGTGGTGGAGCCCCAGTGAGTAAGAGTTCCTGGCTAAACTCCAACATTATTGGGAGAGTCCCTACTTCATTGACTTGGAAGCTGAGCCACAAGGGACTCTGTGATGTGCCCATGTCCGCAAGCAGGACATAGAGCCACATTCGGGGGACCCAGACCCCCCAGTCACTGCCAGATCCCACCCCTCAAGCGTGCCTGGTACCCTCCTGGCATTTCTCCCCTCCCAACCCTCGCATGTGCCCACTACGGGAACAGGGCCTTCCATTGTCCCCTTGGCTCCCAGCGCATGGTCAGAGCTCAGGAAATGCAGAGTGTGGGCAGAGGGAGGGACAGATGGTGAGGGTGCCCCTGTCTGTCCGCAGGCCCGGGAGGTCAAGCGGGAGGCCCTGGAGTGCAGCCTCAAGTTCGTCGGCTTCATTGTGGTCTCCTGCCCGCTCAAGGCTGACTCCAAGGCCGTGATCCGGGAGATCCAGAATGCGTCCCACCGGGTATGGGACGGTGCTCGGCTCCACCCTCTGCATGGGAAATAGAGGCGAGGAGATGACAATTACAGCTTCGTGGTAGGGGTGGGCACCCAAGTCTCACAGGCTGCATGTTTTAGCTGAGCAAGATCATAGCTCAGGTGCTAACATTGCCACTGGCCCAAGGACACTCTGGGACCCGCCTGTGCTGGCTCCTCTCTCCTCCACAGACCACTCCCTTCACTCCCCGCATCATGGGAAGATGGGGGCACTTCTCTCCACTTCCCCGTTCCACCGCCGTCCTGGAGAGAAGGAAGCTGAGGCTGGGGAGTTGGGTGGGGGGCACTGTCTGCCTGTCCTGGTGGCTTCTGGTGGCTTGTGTTTTCTATTTTGGGACTTAGGGTGTCTTTTAGGGTGTAAGGGGTGAGTGAGCCGTCTCAGAGGATGATGGCTCTGGGTCACATGGGTGATGTGATTAGTCCCCACCAAGCCCAGAGGTCATGGTCCCATCCTCCTCTTTGCTGAAATATTACCCCCATGGGCAGCTACCAAGCCAAAAGGGTCCACCTCAGGGGCAGGTTGTTCATTTGTATTGCAAATCCAAGCTAAGGGTGTCTTCAGAAGGACGCACATACACGTGTCATTTGTGTAAAATGACCTGGGTGGGGGTGGGTTGTGGCCCTTGGAAGCCCATTCAGCATCTCGGTTAGAGGCCCAGGATCTCCCACTGTGGCCTACCTTAGAAGGAGACTTGGCAGCCTTGTCTCTGGCCTAGAGCTTGGCCCCAGGGTGCCATGCTGAGCCTCTGCCCCTCTTTACCCAAGGTGGTCATGATCACGGGAGACAACCCGCTCACTGCATGCCACGTGGCCCAGGAGCTGCACTTCATTGAAAAGGCCCACACGCTGATCCTGCAGCCTCCCTCCGAGAAAGGTGAGGCCCTAGCCTGGCCCACAGTGGGGAAGGGGGACCCTGAGTCCAAGAACAGCTCCCATCGCAACAGCCCACCTGTGTACCAGGCCTCAGCAGCACAGTGTCTTCAAATGCCTGGCACCACTAATCACAGCCCTGGCCCACTGGGCACCTCGGACAGCATGTGAGCGTTCACTGGGTCGCAGGTCCCAGGATGTGCGGCATGTAGGTGTTTATTTACCATAATGAGGCGATAGTCTGACTGCCAGCTCGGGTTTCCTGTGCACTCATGGGCAGATACTGCTCCTACCACGCTTACTCCCCATCCTCAGTGTCATCCTCATTTCACACCCTCTTTGGCCCGGCAAGCTGCCCATGTACCGAGTGCTCCCTTCCCGAGCACAGGGACTGCTGGCATCCTCAGCCACAGTTGATGGCAGTTTGCCCAGTGCTCAGCCTGACCAGACCCCAGGCGGAGCGCTCCGTGCGTGTTACTGCGTTGGTCCCTCCACCCCATCCTGCACCACACGGGGTGGCTTGCCTTCCCCACACCACAGAGGAGGAAGCTGGCTGGGTCAGCTCTCGGGGCCCTGCTTTGTAGAGAAGGGACAGAGGCTCAGAAGTGAACCCACTTGCCCAGGTCACTTCCAATCCATGGCTAAGGATTGGAATCCAGACAGCCTGATTCCAGAGCTCAAGGCTCCAACCTCTCCCCAGTGACCTCTTTGAGCAATGCCCTGGATTCAGATTGATGAAGAGGCAGACATAGAGACCCAGCCCCTCCCAGCTAGAGGTGTGGGGCTTACCAGATACCTGCCCCAGAGCTAGAGGTGAAGCCCCTGTGGGCGCACGCAGTTCAGGACCTGCATGAGTGTTGACAGGGCCCTAAGAAGAACCACATGGAGCAGTGTTGCCACAGGGCTGCTGGCAGCAAACATTCACAGGTCTGGGCCAGAGCAGCTTCCGGAACCTCCAGGCCACCTCTCAGAGGACTCGGTCCCTGCCCTCCCTCTGTTCTATTGGTCGCAGGCCTCCCCCTGTCCCAGCCCCAGCTACCGGGGTCTTCCAGGGCCTGGGGATTGTGGGCAGGTGGCATGGAGCGGATGAGCAGAACTGTTGATTGACAAGCGAAGCTGGTCTAGCAACAGCTGCAGCACAAGCCAGGTGGAAGTGTGCTGCCCTTCAGCTTGAGATGGTCCAGGGTGAGCAGGCAGTGCCAGGAGGGCTGGCGGGCCGCCCTTGGCCATCCTCAGCGCCCAGCATCCAAGCCAGGGCCAGCCAGCAAGAAAGGGGAAGTGGAGCAAGAAGATGTTGAGAACTCAGGGGCCCTGTCAGAGTTGGGAGGGGGCCCAGCCCCGAGAAAACAGGATTTCAGAGAGGCCACGGGCGCAGGGATAAATGAGGTGAGGGCCTGGTGTGGGGTTTCCCAAGGAGAGCGCAATAGCCCCCTTCTGTGTGTTTCAGGTTAGGGGGCCTTGCATGAGGTGGGGGCATGGCTTAGCTGGGGTCAGACTGCCCAGGTTCTAATCTGGCTGTGTCCCGGGCTCTCAGGCAAGTAGCTCAGGCCCCAGGCTCTTGGTTCCACCCTGTGCACCTGAGGGACATTCTTTGTGGAGTCCCCAGAGAAGGGCTGGGGGTCACCTGGGTGGGTAGGGAGGTGCGGGCTCCAGAGAGGAGAGACTGGCTGGTGCTGGGGTCCGAGTGGAGGGAGGGTGCTTCTGAGCCCGGTCAGCCAAGCCCCCAGCCCTAACCCTAGGTGCTGCCCGCAGGCCGGCAGTGCGAGTGGCGCTCCATTGACGGCAGCATCGTGCTGCCCCTGGCCCGGGGCTCCCCAAAGGCACTGGCCCTGGAGTACGCACTGTGCCTCACAGGCGACGGCTTGGCCCACCTGCAGGCCACCGACCCCCAGCAGCTGCTCCGCCTCATCCCCCATGTGCAGGTGTTCGCCCGTGTGGCTCCCAAGCAGAAGGTATGTGCACAGCCCTAGGGGTCAGGGGCACAGCGGTAGGCACGCAGCCCCTGCTCAGCCTGTCTCCGCCCATACAGGAGTTTGTCATCACCAGCCTGAAGGAGCTGGGCTACGTGACCCTCATGTGTGGGGATGGCACCAACGACGTGGGCGCCCTGAAGCATGCTGACGTGGGTGAGTGCTGTGGGCTAGGGTATTTCGTTTGTGGACGAGGTGTTGAGGACATGTCACTGAGCTAGAAAGACAGACCTGGCCCTTGGTGACAGCCACGGGGGCACTAATTCCTGTGAGGATGGGAGGGGGTGGCAAGGTCAGGGGCTTTGAGGGCAGGAAGGGATGCGAATATCCCAGGAACAGAGCAGGGCGGAGGCCAGAGGCCAGGAGAGAGGCAACAAGTTGGGAGAGTGACTCAGAAAACCCAGAGCTGAAGCCATGAAGATGGTTCATAGCCCCAGATCTCTGTCAAAAGCACACAGATGGCTGAGCACTGTGGCTCCTGCCTGGAATCCCAGTGCTTTGGGAGGCTGAGGCGGGAGGATCACTTGAGTCTGGGAGTTCAAGGCAGTGGTGTGATCCACTCTAACCTAAGTGACAGTGCAAGACCCTGTCTTTTTTTTTTTTGACGGAGCCTTGCTCTGTCACCCAGGCTGGAGTACAATGGCACGATCTGGGCTCACTGCAACCTCCATCTCCCGGGTTCAAGCGATTCTCCTGCCTCAGCCTCCCAAATAGCTGGGATTACAGGCACGTGCCACCATGCCTGGCTAATTTTTGTATTTTTAGTAGAGATGGGGTTTCACCATGTTGGCCAGGATGGTCTCCAATTCCTGACCTCAAGTGATCCACCCGCCTTGGCCTCCCAAAGTGCTAGGATTACAGGTGTGAACCACTGCATCCCACCGAACCCTGCCTTTTTTTTTTTTTTTTTTTTTTGAGACAGTTTCTCTCTTGTTGCCCAGGCTGGAGTGCAATAGCACGGTCTCAGCTCACTGCAACCTCTACTTCCCGGGTTCAAGCAATTCTCCTTCTTCAGCCTCCCAAGTAGCTAGGATTACAGGCGCCAGCCACCATGCCCATCTAATTTTTGTATTTTTAGTAGAGATGGGGTTTCACCATGTTGGCCAGGCTGGTCTCCAACTCCTGACTTCAGATGATGCGCCTGTGTTGGCCTCCCAAAGTGCTGGGATTACAGGTGTGAGCCACCTCACCTGGCCTTTTTTTCTTTTTTCTTTTTTTTTTTTTGCAAGAACTCAGGTGTTAAATTGAATTTTAAAGATCAATCTTACGTTGGTTTTTTTGCTTTTCCAATATTTATCTGCTTTTATCTACTAAAGCATTTATTGAGTGTTGTTTGCCTCCTAGAATCATGCTCCTTGGCTATTTCTTTTGAAATCAGTTTAGGTTGTTTTGTTTTGTTTTATTTTGAGACTGTCTCGCTCTGTCGCCCAGGCTGGAGTGCGGTGGTGTGATCTCATCTCACTGCAACCTCCGCCTCCCGGGTTCAAGCGATTCTCCTGCCTCAGCCTCCCGAGTAGCTGGAATTACAGGCACATGCCACCACCCCTGGCTAATTTTTGTATTTTTAGTAGAGACGGGGTTTCGCCGTATCAGCCAGGCTGGTCTCAAACTCCTGACCTCAGGTGATCCGCCCACCTCAGCCTTCCAAAGTGCTGAGATAACAGGTGTGAGCCACTGCGCTCGGCCAAAATCAGTTTAGTTTTGACCTATCTCGTGTTGTGTGTTTTTTCATTGCATTTGTTGTGGGGGTTTATTGTTGGTGGTTTGTTTTCTTAAAGTAGTTTGTAGAAAGCAACACGGGCACTCTCTGAGGTCTCCTTAGGGTGTCAGGTGAAATGGGGAAGTCTGGGAACTGTCCTCACGGGAGCCAGCTGGGGGACTTCAGGACCAGTGGCTCTGAAGCCAGCAATCTTCCCCTCCGTGGAGCCTGCTCCTCCGGGTCTGACACCCTCCTGCCCCCCAGGTGTGGCGCTCTTGGCCAATGCCCCTGAGCGGGTTGTCGAGCGGCGACGGCGGCCCCGGGACAGCCCAACCCTGAGCAACAGTGGCATCAGAGCCACCTCCAGGACAGCCAAGCAGCGGTCGGGGCTCCCTCCCTCCGAGGAGCAGCCAACCTCCCAGAGGGTGAGTCCCAAGAGGGGAGGTGCTGCACCCCATCCTGGCCAGGGCTGACAGCCTGCTGTCTACCCTGCAGGACCGCCTGAGCCAGGTGCTGCGAGACCTCGAGGACGAGAGTACGCCCATTGTGAAACTGGGGGATGCCAGCATCGCAGCACCCTTCACCTCCAAGCTCTCATCCATCCAGTGCAGTGAGTTGCCTGCCCCCGCTCCCCCTCCCTTCATTCCCCCCTTGGCACCCCTACCCACACCCACACCTGCCTCCCCACCACCCTGCAGTCTGCCACGTGATCAAGCAGGGCCGCTGCACGCTGGTGACCACGCTACAGATGTTCAAGATCCTGGCGCTCAATGCCCTCATCCTGGCCTACAGCCAGAGCGTCCTCTACCTGGAGGGAGTCAAGTTCAGTGACTTCCAGGCCACCCTACAGGGGCTGCTGCTGGCCGGCTGCTTCCTCTTCATCTCCCGTTCCAAGGTGGGCCCCAGAGGTGCTGGAAGGCCAGGGATGCATGGGCCTGCCAGGGCCAGGCTGATATAGGCACGGGAATTGTCATCCCCAAGTTACAGGACCCAGGGCCCCAGAGATGGGGGCTGTAGCTGGGATGGCTCAGGAAATGCTGGCAGGGCAGGTGTGGACTGAGGCTCCCAGACCCCTCCAGGTGGTACAGCTTGGCGTCCACACCTGTCCACAGGTAGGGGTCCCAGGGGTGGGCCCCACAGAGCCCCACAAGCAAGGAACAATCATCAAGAGGGTAAAAAAACAACTAAGTGGGTCATAGGCTACACAGGACAGGCTGGTGGACAGCTGGGGAGGCCTGTGCGACACCGACACTCAGGCCAAGGCGTAAAGAACCAGGGGGGCCAGCGGCCAGGAACTGGACACAAAGGCCCCAAACAGGCATGGGCTGACGCAGGGAGTCCCCGGTGGCTGGAGGGGGTGGGAGATTGGCTGGGCGGGACTGTGCCTGTCCCGTGGGCTCCAGGGAGGGCAGGATCTGCTTCATGATTCTCAGGCCCCTGTGGCTGCCATGGGGAGCCTGGATGGCGGAGCCGGGGCCAGGGAGGCAGCCCTGGGCTCAGGGGTGAGAGGCAGGCAGGGATCCAGGGACTGGTGCTGACCCATGGAATCCCCCAGGATTTGGTGGTGGCTGTACACAAGGTCTCCCGGGAGGCAGGGGATGTTACTGCCTGCTGTGTGGGCAGGGTGGCCCCAAGTGAGCCAGATCCTGACTCCCCCACCCGCCTTGCTGCTGCAGCCCCTCAAGACCCTCTCCCGAGAACGGCCCCTGCCCAACATCTTCAACCTGTACACCATCCTCACCGTCATGCTCCAGTTCTTTGTGCACTTCCTGAGCCTTGTCTACCTGTACCGTGAGGCCCAGGCCCGGAGCCCCGAGAAGTAAGTGCTGCCTTGGAGGAGGTGATGTCCCTGCAGCTGAGAATAGCAGGAGGATGACTCCACAGACTTCAGCAGGAGAGGCTGGGGGTTGTCCAGGGTGTCCAGGGAGGGGCACTAGGCCAGGCAGAGCCCTAGCTCTGTGCCAGGGCAGCAGGAAGCCACACAGTGTGTGTGAGCCGGAGCAGGAGAGGGGGCCCTGACTCCCATGTGTCCTTGCAGGCAGGAGCAGTTCGTGGACTTGTACAAGGAGTTTGAGCCAAGCCTGGTCAACAGCACCGTCTACATCATGGCCATGGCCATGCAGATGGCCACCTTCGCCATCAATTACAAAGTAAGGCCTGGGCCCTGCCCAAACATTCACTGTCTGCCCACCCAGCCCCACCCCATGAAGCCATCTGTCCCTCATCCCCACAGGGCCCGCCCTTCATGGAGAGCCTGCCCGAGAACAAGCCCCTGGTGTGGAGTCTGGCAGTTTCACTCCTGGCCATCATTGGCCTGCTCCTCGGCTCCTCGCCCGACTTCAACAGCCAGTTTGGCCTCGTGGACATCCCTGTGGAGGTCAGTGGCCCTGTGGAGGTGACCCTGGGGCTCAGCTTGATGGGTCCCTCCTATGGCAGTGACCCTGAGCTGGGCTGCAGGTCTCCAGCTCACCATCCCTCCCTGCCCCGACAGTTCAAGCTGGTCATTGCCCAGGTCCTGCTCCTGGACTTCTGCCTGGCGCTCCTGGCCGACCGCGTCCTGCAGTTCTTCCTGGGGACCCCGAAGCTGAAAGTGCCTTCCTGAGATGGCAGTGCTGGTACCCACTGCCCACCCTGGCTGCCGCTGGGCGGGAACCCCAACAGGGCCCCGGGAGGGAACCCTGCCCCCAACCCCCCACAGCAAGGCTGTACAGTCTCGCCCTTGGAAGACTGAGCTGGGACCCCCACAGCCATCCGCTGGCTTGGCCAGCAGAACCAGCCCCAAGCCAGCACCTTTGGTAAATAAAGCAGCATCTGAGATTTTAAAAAGCCCTGCCTCCACCTCGTCTGTGCCACACGGTGTTTGCTGGGGGCTCGGGGACAGAGGGTCACTGAGGAAGGTCCCAGCACCCTCCCCACAGGCGTGTGATGTTGGTGAAACCCTCTGGCACTTTCAGCACTTGAACATGGACTTGTCCCTGCCCAGAGAATTCAGTGCATATTTTCTAGTTTAACAAGCACCCCCATATTTCTGAGGTCTCTTTCACATTTTAACAACTCAGGTGCTGAGAGAAGCCTTAGGATGTGTGATATTTTTTTCTTTCCCATAATACATAACAGCATGCCTTTCTCTCGGGTGGTGTCTGAGACTTGAGGAATATGATCTGCATCATTACAAGTATTGACTCTGTCCGGTGGCTCAAGCCTGTAATCCCAGCACTTTGGGAGGCCAAGGCGGGCCCATCACAAGGTCAGGAGATCGAGACCATCCTGGCTAACACAGTGAAACCCCATCTCTACTAAAAATACAAAAAATTAGCCAGGCATGGTGGCGAGTGCCTGTAGTCCCAGTTACTCGGGAGGCTGAGGCAGGAGAATGGCGTGAACCCAGGAGGTGGAGCTTGCAGTGAGCCGAGATAACGCCACTGCACTCCAGCCTGGGCAACAGAGCGAGACTCCAACTCAAAAGAAAAACAAACAAGTACTGACTCTGTCATGCTCTTTGGGGGCCTGCGCTGCTCTACCATCTCATGTCACAGTCAGGGAGCTCTGGCTGAGCATCAGCCAGGATGTGACCTGGAAACCTGGCTTGGCTCTTAGGTTGATAGTGTTATTCCTTTCAATGGACTCACTCATCACAACTCAAGAACTGCAGAGTAGGCAGCACGGAGCCAGTCAGAGAATCCTTGCCTCCTTAACAGCCAAAGCCTTTGGACACAAAGTTATAAACATACTTTAAAGTCTATTTCCAGCCCCAAAATTCCACTGTGCTGGGGGTGGGAGCATTTTTATAACAGGCGGCTTGTGGCAACCCCAGAGCTGGTGCTTTTGGACAAACCTCCACTCCCTACCTAAAAGGGCTGCTCCCTGGTGTGCTGTAATTGGGGCCTTGAGCCTGATCCAGCTTTGAGGGTCACGGAAGGGGCGTCCCCCAGGCCAGGGGTTCTCCAGCCCGAGTATTAGAATTTTGGTTGGAATCGGACAGAATATCAGGCCTCCACCAGGGGGCGCCATGGCTCCAGCGAGGCCCAGGTGGTTTCAGGGCTCCGAGAGACAACCTGGGCAAGGGGATCACCAGGGTCGCGGGTTGTGGGAGCTCCTGGGAGAGGCCCCCCGGGACAGGTGGACTCTGCAACCATTCAGGGAGGAGGGGGCTGGGGCTCCGTGGGATTTGGGGTAGCACAAAGATCTGAGAGGGAACCTATGGCCCAGATGAAGTCTTAGGATGCCCAGGTCAGGGGCACTGCAGCCTCGAGTGGTCGCTCAGGGGGCCCTGGCCCGACCCAGTTTCAAGCGGCTCAGGTAGAGAAGGGCACTATCAAGGCTTCCGGGCTACGGGGGCGTGGTCTGATGCGGGGGCGTGGCCTCCGCTGGGCAGGGCGACGCGGAACCGAGGCGGCGGCGGCGGCTGCGGCGGCAGGAAATCGGGGCTCGGCCCCGCCGGCGCGCGACCCCATCCCCATCCCGGTCCCTGCAGAGCGATCCCCGGGCCCAGATATGGACGCAGCAGAGCCGGGTAGGGGGTCGGGGATCCGGGAGGGGCCTCCCCCGACCATCCCCTGCTTCCTACATTGAGGGCACACACTTGTCCCGCTCCGTCCTGAGAGCCAGGAGAGGAGTTCCTGAATGGGAAGGACCCAGGGATCCTCCATTGTGGGGAGCCCTGTGCCCGGATGGGTTCAGGACCCCAGCCCTTCACTCCCCCTCCCCCTTTTGATCCCTCACCCCAGACGCCTGGGGGAGGGGGCCCAGGAAGGGGAAGTGACTGCTTCTGCTTCTGATTTTTGTGATGGGGGCAGGGTGCCACGACTGCTGAGGGAGAGGGCAACGCGGTAGGATCCCCACAGGGCCCCTCTGTAGCCCTGGGGAGTCGGCAGTGCTGGTCTAGGCCCCTTAGGAGAGGGGGCAGGGGGGCAGCAGTAGAAATGTGGCGGGGTCCGACTTGGTGTTTCCGGCCGTCTTTGTGTCTGTGTTGTGTATGTGGAGTGTCATTCGGTCTTTATGTCCCTCACGGCTTCAGTCTCTCCATGTGTGTTTCTGCCCCAGGCTCTGCCTGGCTGTCCCTTGTGTATTTCCATCTGTCTAGCCCGTGGTTCCATTGTCAGACCGGCTTTCTTCTCGGGACAGCCTGGTTGCATCTGGGGCATCTGTTTTGTTGGTTTGCTTCTGGGTGCAGGCAGACCCAGGGAGTGGGTGTCTCTGTTCCCCGAGCAGCTGTCTCTGGTCTCTGGTGGTGTGTGAGTCCATCTGCCTGCCTCGAGTTGGCCCCAACCAAGCCCCCCCCAGCCCTCTCTTTCTCTCTCTCACTCTTCCCTTTCTCTTCCACCCCCTCCAAATGAGACTGGTTGAGGTGCCGTGGGTGGAGGGAGGCAGTGGTTAGCCCATGTATTACACTCCCCTCCCCTAGGACTCCCCCCAGGTCCTGAGGGCAGGAAGAGGTACAGTGACATCTTCCGGAGCCTGGACAACCTCGAAATCTCACTGGGGAACGTGTGAGTCTGAGCCTGGATCACCCCCAAATCCTGCCAAGATGCCCCAAGCCCCTAACCATTTAGGTGCCTTGCAGTCCCATTTGGAACCTGTAACATCTGGACCTACATACCTAATAACCAGAGAAGTCTAGGATGGGACCCTCCAAAATGCCTCGGTATCCTAAAAGTGTCCCCCTAAATAGACTGGAAATCCCCAAAGTGGTCCTAGAACCCCTACATATCCTTGTAACCCCTTAAAATATTTGCGATCCCTATAATCCCACTCTATGAACCTCAAAGTTATCTGGGGCCCTTCAGATGCTTTTTCAAGTCCTATTTAAAAAAAACTCACCTGATTCCCCCAAAACACCATTCTTCAGACCTCCCAGACACAAGAGATGCCACAGAGGTGATGTTTGCCACAAACAACCCTAAGGTCCCCAGCACCCCTTGGCAGGACAGACTGGGTGTAAGGTGGCATCCTGACACACCTTTATCCCCCAGGACCCTTGAGATGCTGGCTGGAGACCCTCTACTCTCAGAAGACCCAGAACCTGACAAGACCCCTACAGCCACTGTTGTGAGTGGGGAGTAGGGGAACAGGGAGGAAGACCTCAAGCAGAGGGGGCCTTAGGAAGGCCAGGCCCCTGCCCTGTTTGCTTCTGAATACTGTCTCCCTCCCGCACAGACCAACGAAGCCAGCTGTTGGAGCGGCCCCTCCCCAGAGGGTCCTGTACCCCTCACAGGTAGGGGGGTCTGGAGGCCAGGACAGTGGGGACAGACAGGAGTCTTTCCTTCAACAAATCACCACTGATCCCCTGTTCCATGCAAGGCATCGTTTAGGTTTTGGGAATATGGCAGTACACACAACAGATCTCAGTCCCAGCCCTCAGGGAGACCCCAGGCAGGGTGGAGGCTGAGGTAGGAGG
This sequence comes from Homo sapiens, assembly GCF_000001405.40. NCBI lineage: Eukaryota > Metazoa > Chordata > Mammalia > Primates > Hominidae > Homo > Homo sapiens. The sequence goes on along the minus strand of NC_000019.10, from coordinate 19,641,626 downwards.
ATCACTTGAAGCCAGGAATTCGTGACCATGCTGGGCAACAGTAAGACACCATCCCTACCAAAAGAAAAAATATTTTTTTAATTAGCTGGGTGTGGTGGTGTGTGCCTGTAGTCCCAGCTACTTTGGAAGCTGAGGCTGGAGGACTGATTAAGCCCAGGACTTTGAGGCTGCAGTGAGATACGATTGTGCCACTGCACTCCAGCCTGGATGACAGAGCAAGACCATGTCCAAAAAAATCAAACACAAGGCCGGACGCAGTGGCTCACGCCTGTAATCCCAGCACTTTGGAGGCTGAGGCGGGTGGACCACGAGGTCAGGAGATCGAGACCATCCTGGCTAACATGGTGAAACCCCATCTCTACTAAAAATACAAAAAAATTTAGCCGGGCGCAGTGGCGAGTGCCTGTAGTCCCAGATACTCGGGAGGCTGAGGCAGGAGAATGGCGGGAACCCAGGAGGCGGAGCTTGCAGTGAGGCAAAATAGGGCCATTGCACTCCAGCCTGAGCGACAGAGCGAGACTCCGCCTCAAAAATAAAAATAAAAAAACCCATCAAACACAGGCCGGGCACGGTGGCTCATGCCTGTAATCCCAGCACTTTGGGAGGCCGAGGCGGGCAGATCACCTGAGATTGGGAGTTCGAGACCAGCCTGACCAACATAGAGAAACCTCGTCTCTACTAAAAATACAAAAAATTAGCCGGGCATGGTGGCGCATGCCTGTAATCCCAGCTACTCAGGAGGCTGAGGCAGGAGAATCGCTTGAACCCGGGAGGCAGAGGTTTTGGTGAGCCAAAATCGCGCCATTGCACTCTAGCCTGGGCAACAAGAGCGAAACACAGTCTCAAAAATAAATAAATAAATAATAAAATAATAAAAAATAAAAAACAAAAAACAGTGAATCTGTAAAATTGCAACCAGGACAAGTGATCCCAAAGTAGTGTTTGGGGAGCTGTGAGGCTGTAGGACAGGTGCCACTGGGCTGGTCTGGGGGCTTAGGGAAGACATCCATAGCAGACTAGGGTGCAAAGGTCAGAGGTCCATCCATCTTCCCCAGGGGAGGAACTGGACTTGCGGCTCATTCGGACAAAGGGGGGTGTGGACGCAGCCCTGGAATATGCCAAGACCTGGAGCCGCTATGCCAAGGAACTGCTTGCCTGGACTGAAAAGAGAGCCAGCTATGGTGAGGACCTCTTCCGCCCAGCCCCAGTTACCAGGCAGTCCCCAGACCCCAGCTAGACCCAGAGCCCGGCTCTCTCTTCCCCCAGAGCTGGAGTTTGCTAAGAGCACCATGAAGATCGCTGAAGCTGGCAAGGTGTCCATTCAACAGCAGGTAGTCATGACCAGACCCCCCCGGAGAGCCCAAGCCCCCTAGAACCCCACCTTTGTCCCCCACAGATCTTCAGTATCCTCCTACACCACTCTGTCTTCCCCAGAGCCACATGCCTCTGCAGTACATCTACACCCTGTTTCTGGAGCACGATCTCAGCCTGGGAACCCTGGCCATGGAGACAGTGGCCCAGCAGAAAAGAGACTACTACCAGGTGAGGGGGGCAGGGTGGAATGTTACAGAGGTCACCCTGCTATCCTGCTGTCCTTCAGGCCTGATCCCCTCGTTTCCCAGCAAGCTGGGAGGAAGGCACCACTACCAACGTCGCCATTTCATTGATGAGGAAGCTGAGGCCCGGGGATGCTTGGGAACTTGCCCAAGGTTACCCAGCAAAGATTCAAGCTGGGCTTCCTGTGCAATTGCAAAACTTCACTTTACTTTTTTTCTTGAGACAGAATATCTTGCTCTTTTGCCCAGGCTGGGGTGCAATGGTGCGATCTCAGCTCACTGCAACCTCCGCTTCTTGGGTTCAAGCAATTCACTTGCCTCAGCCTCCTGAGTAGCTGGGATTACAGGCGCCTGCCACCACGCCCGGCTAATTTTTGTATTTTTAGTACAGATGGGGTTTCACCATGTTGGCCAGGCTGGTCTCCAACTCCTGACCTCAGGTAATCCACCTACCTCAGCTTCCCAAAGTGGTGGGATTACAGGCGTGAGCCACCACGCCCAGCCAAAAACTTCGTTTTTGTTTGTGGGGAGGGGAACGAGGTGCTGAGTGTTCTCAGGAGGAAAGCCTTGGTGTCTCTGCTTCCAAGCAGAAAGGATGGGGTGACTACATGAGACTTCTGGACTCAGGGGTCGGGGAGAGCAGGTCTGGAGAAGACCCCAGGAGGAGAATACTGACTCAGAAAAGGGTCCAGCCTGGCACGGTGGCTCATGCCTGTAATCCCAGCACTTCTGGGGGCCAAGGAGGGAGGATTGCTTGAGCCCAGGAGTTTGAGACCAACCTGGGCAACATAGTGAGACCCCCTGTCTCTACAAAAAAAAAAAAAAAGTTTTTTAATTAGCTGGGCCTGGTGCACATGTCTGCAGTGCTAGCTACTAGGAGGCTGAGGGTGGAGGATTGCTTGAGGCCAGGAGTTCGAGACTAACCTGGGCAACATAGTGAGATCCCTGTCTTTATCTACCAAAAAAAATTTATTTATTTATTTTTTTTTTTGAGACAGAGTCTCACTTTATCATCCAGGCTGGAGTGCAGTGGCATGATCTCAGCTCACTGCAACCTCTGCCTCCCGGGTTCAAGTGATTCTCCTGCCTCAGCCTCCCGAGTAGGTGGGACTATAGGAGTGTGCCATCACATCTTTATAATTTTTGTATTTTTGTAGAGACGGGGTTTCACCATGTTGGTCAGGCTGGTCTTGAACTCCTGGCCTCAGGTGATCTGCCCACTTTGGCCTCCCAAGTGCTGGGATTAAAGGCATGAGCCACTACACCTGGCCAACCAAAAAAAAAAAAAAAAAGAAGAAATTGTTTTTTAAATTAACTAGGCCTAGTGCACATGCCTGTAGTCCTAGCTACTGAGAGGCTGAGGCTGGAGGATTGCTTGAACTCAAGAGTTCAAGTTCAATGCTGCAGTGAGCCATGATTGCCCACTTGCACTCCAACCTGGGCAACAAGAGCAAAACTCCGTCTCGAAAAAAAAAAAAATAGAGTCCAGAGGTGGCAAAGCACATGGCGCAGGAATGGAAGGACTGGGTGGCTGCTTCTGGGTTGGCCCTAAGGCAGCGTCTCCATCCCCATCCCCAACCCTTGCCAGCCCCTCGCCGCCAAACGGACTGAGATTGAGAAGTGGCGGAAGGAGTTCAAGGAGCAGTGGATGAAGGAGCAGAAGCGGATGGTGAGGCTTGGAATTGGTGGAAGGGTAGGGTGAGAGAGAGGCCGGGACGCTGACCTTCTCATCATCCCCCAGAATGAGGCGGTGCAGGCACTGCGGCGCGCCCAGCTGCAGTATGTGCAACGCAGCGAGGACCTGCGGGCACGCTCCCAGGGGTCCCCTGAGGACTCGGCCCCCCAGGCCTCGCCGGGACCTAGCAAGCAGCAGGAGCGGCGGCGGCGCTCGCGAGAGGAGGCCCAGGCCAAGGTGGGCACCCGGCCCCGAGCCCCTGTAGCGCTGTGGCGCCCCCTGCCCTCCACTCTCGCCCACACGCGCCCCACCCCGCTCCTGGCCTCCCGTTTCCCCAGGCGCAGGAGGCCGAGGCGCTGTACCAGGCCTGTGTCCGCGAGGCCAACGCGCGGCAGCAGGACCTGGAGATCGCCAAGCAGCGAATCGTGTCGCACGTGCGCAAGCTGGTGTTTCAGGGGGATGAAGTGCTGAGGCGGGTGAGGCCCATCCCCAAGGCCATCCTCCCCTCACCCCGTTGGGGCCCCGACTGAGTGCCCCACTCCTCGCCCCTAAGCCACCCTGGAGACACCAGGACTAGGCCATTTCCCTCGACAGCCAGTTCCCGCCCCCAGACCCACTGTCTCGGCTCCGCCCCATGAGGTCCTGTCCCCTGGATGACCAGCCCCTGCTCTGACCATGCCTGGGTCCCCTGGCCGACTGCCCTAGTTCCTAAGCCGCCCAGGTGCGTCCCAAACCCTGACCACGTTCGCGTCTCTCAAGCCCCGCCCCAGCTCTGGCCCTGCCCCCAGGCTCCCAGGCTCCGCCCCTCCCCAACCTGCTGTCTCCACCCGGCAGGTGACGCTGAGTCTCTTCGGGCTGCGGGGGGCGCAGGCAGAGCGTGGCCCCCGCGCCTTCGCCGCCCTGGCCGAGTGCTGTGCGCCCTTTGAGCCGGGCCAGCGCTACCAGGAGTTTGTACGGGCGCTGCGGCCCGAGGCCCCGCCGCCCCCGCCGCCCGCCTTCTCCTTCCAGGAGTTCCTTCCCTCCTTGAACAGGTGGGTCACTGGAGCAGGGAGTCGGGAACGAGCCCCGGAATCGCGATGCCAGGCTGTTGGCACCGCAGGCTGGTTACTCGAGGTTAGAGAACGCAAAGCCTTAGTGGAATTTAGTACTCCAGGCTCTCGGGGGCCATAGGAGGGTGAATGGGTTGTCCCAGTCCTAGGGGCAGGGGCAGGAATGTGGGGCTACTGTATTTCAGGGGCCACAATGCCCTGGGTGTCAGGGTTTGCAGACCCAAGTGCTTGGAGTTGGTACCTAGACATGATGCCTGGGTGCCATCACCCCAGGCCAGTTTCCTGGGATTCAAACCTTCAAACTTCTGTCTTCTCAGCTCCCCTCTGGACATCAGAAAGAAGCTCTCTGGGCCTCTTCCTCCAAGGCTGGATGAGAATTCAGCTGAGCCAGGCCCTTGGGAGGATCCGGGCACAGGCTGGCGCTGGCAAGGTGAGTGCAATGAGGGCCAGGTGGGAGTGGTGCCAGGAGTTCGTTCCACCAACACATAGGTGGGCTGCAGGAGTGGGGTTTGTGAGCAGGGGACCATCCTTATTGACCTGTGCCACCTAGGGACTCCAGGCCCCACTCCGGGCAGCGATGTGGACAGCGTGGGTGGCGGCAGCGAGTCTCGGTCCCTGGACTCACCCACTTCCAGCCCAGGTAGGGATAGGACCTGGTCCTGACCCACACTCCACCTGTGACCATCCTCCAGCCCCTGGCCAAGCTCTGACCCTCAATCTTTAACTATCTTTGACCTCTGACCTACCCCACACCCCTGACCTATTTCCTCAACCTCTTTTTTTACCTTTTTAAAAATTATTTATTTATTTATTTGTTTGTTTATTTGAGACAGTCTCATTCTGTCGCCCAGCCTGGAGTGCAGTGGCGTGATCTCGGCTCACTGCAACCTCCACCTCCCAGATTCAAGCGATTCTCCTGTCTCAGCCTCTGGAGTAGCTGGGATTACAGGTGTGCACTACCACGCCGGCTGATTTTTGTATTTTTTAGTAGAGACGGGGTTTCACCATGTTGGCCAGGCTGATCTCGAACTCCTGACCTCAGGTGATCCACCTGCCTCGGTCTCCCAAAGTGCAGGGATTACAGGTGTGTGCCACCACGCCCGGCCTTTTCTTTTCTTTTCTTTCTTTCTTTTTTTTTTTTTTGAGACAGAGTCTTGCTCTGTTGCCCAGGCTGGAGCGCAGTGGTACGATCTTGGCTCACTGCAACCTCCGCCTCCCAGGTTCAAGCGATTCTCGTGCCTCAGCCTCCCGAGTAGCTGGGACTACAGGTGCCTGCCACCATGCCTGGTTAATGTTTGTATTTTTAGTAGAGACAAGGTTTTGCCATGTTGGCCAGGCTGGTGTCAAACTCCTTGCCTCATGTGATCCTCCTGCCTCAGCTTCCCAAAGTGCTGGGATTACAGGTGTGAGCCACTGCGCCCGGCCTATTTCCTCAACCTCTTGATCCAGCTTATGAACCACCCCCCTCAGGTTGCTGACCCAATTCTCCAACCCTTAACCACTGACCTGTCCAATCCCCCTCCTGACCTCTGACCCCTTGGGAATTAGTGGGTGGTTCTGGAAGCCCTAAAAACCAGGAGTGCCTCCCATAGCCCAGGAATCTCCCATGATTCCTCTGACCCCAGGCGCTGGCACGAGGCAGCTGGTGAAGGCTTCGTCCACAGGCACTGAGTCCTCAGATGACTTTGAGGAGCGAGACCCTGGTGAGGCTGAAGCAGGGTAGGTCAGGATGGGACAGGGCAGGGCACCAGGCACTCCTGACCCTGTCTCCCTGCAGACCTGGGAGACGGGCTGGAGAATGGGCTGGGCAGCCCCTTCGGGAAGTGGACACTGTCCAGCGCGGCTCAGACCCACCAGCTGCGGCGACTGCGGGGCCCAGCCAAGTGCCGCGAGTGCGAAGCCTTCATGGTCAGCGGGACGGAGTGTGAGGAGGTGTGGCCTGGGTTAATGACCAAATGACCTTTGCTGACCCTTGATCATCTCCCTGACCTGAGATTCCTACAGCCTTTCTGCCCCTGGGACCCACCCTAACCTGATGTCTCCCATGAGCCCCCATTCCTTGAGGATCCTTGTAACCTTCTCTTCCCCTACTGGTCCCTAATGACCTCCCTGTCCCTGTGACCTTCCCCACAGTGCTTTCTGACCTGCCACAAGCGCTGCCTGGAGACTCTCCTGATCCTCTGTGGACACAGGCGGCTCCCAGCCCGGACACCCCTTTTTGGGGTTGACTTCCTGCAGCTACCCAGGGACTTCCCGGAGGAGGTACCCTTTGTGGTCACGAAGTGCACGGCTGAGATAGAACACCGTGCCCTGGATGTGCAGGTGCTGCCCTGACCCTTCATCATCCCCAGAAGTGACCTGACCGAATCGATGGCCTATCACGAACCAGGTGTCTGTTTTTCACCCTCACCCTGCAGGGCATTTACCGGGTCAGCGGGTCCCGGGTCCGTGTGGAGCGGCTGTGCCAGGCTTTCGAGAATGGCCGAGCGTTGGTGGAGCTGTCGGGGAACTCGCCTCATGACGTCTCGAGTGTCCTCAAGCGATTTCTTCAGGAGGTTGGTGCTCAGGACACTGAGGGGGACGCGGGCAGGAGCCCTCCACAGCCCACCCACACTCGTGTTGCGCCCTCCGTTCCACCCCCAGCTCACCGAGCCCGTGATCCCCTTCCACCTCTACGACGCCTTCATCTCTCTGGCTAAGACCTTGCATGCAGACCCTGGGGACGACCCTGGGACCCCCAGCCCCAGCCCTGAGGTTATCCGCTCGCTGAAGACCCTCTTGGTACAGCTGCCTGACTCTAACTACAACACCCTGCGGCACCTGGTGGCCCATCTGTTCAGGTGTGCATGGGTCCCTGAGCCTTGAAACGCGACCCTTTTCCCTGGACATGCGACTACTAACTTCCCTGGCTGACCCCTGACACTGACCTCTGACCTTTGACCTGTGTTTTCTGAACTCTGAACCTTAATCCATGATTCATAACTTTGGGTACTGACCCCTGACCTCCAGTTCTGGATATGTGGCTGCTGGTCTCAGACGACTTACACCTGTGACATGGGCAAGTCACCTCTAGGCTGGCCTGCGTGTCCCACCCTTACCCTCAGACCAATGAGCTTGCATCCTGTACCCTGACCTTTCTCTTCACACCATCCCCAGGGTGGCTGCACGATTTATGGAAAACAAGATGTCTGCCAACAACCTGGGCATTGTGTTTGGGCCGACACTGCTGCGGCCGCCGGACGGCCCGCGGGCAGCCAGCGCCATCCCTGTCACCTGCCTGCTGGACTCTGGGCATCAGGCCCAGCTTGTGGAGTTCCTCATCGTGCACTACGAGCAGATCTTTGGGATGGATGAGCTCCCCCAGGCCACTGAGCCCCCGCCCCAAGACTCCAGCCCAGCCCCTGGGCCCCTCACAACCAGCTCCCAACCGCCACCCCCGCACCTTGACCCAGACTCCCAGCCCCCAGTCCTAGCCTCAGACCCCGGCCCAGACCCCCAGCACCACAGTACCCTGGAGCAGCATCCCACGGCCACACCTACCGAGGTAAGAACCCACTGGGCCCACAGCTATGGAGAGGGCCTTATCTCTGTTCAATTCTCTTACCTTCTCTTTCACCTTCCTTCCTTTTTAAAATTTCCTTCATTCTCTTCCTCCCTTCCTCATTTAACTTATGTTCATTCTGGAAGGAATAGTGAGGAATGAGCAGTGGGCAGTGATGATGTAACAAAAGGGGACAGCCCTGCAGAGGTACTAACATGGGTGATCATTCATTCCTCCAACAGAATATTTATTGAACATGTATTTTGGGCCAAGCATTGTCGTAGGCATTGCAGATACATCCAGGAGCTAAATATCCAAAGACCCTGCCCTCTCAGTGCCTGTGTTTTAGTGGGGAAAGAACAACCATATACATGACACAAAGTCAGTTATCTGGAATGTGATGAGGTGATGATGATAAGGGTAATGGATCATGAAAAGGTAGAGTAATGGCTGGGCGCGGTGGCACACGCCTGTAATCCCAGCACTTTGGGATGCTGGGGCAGGCAAATCACCTGAGGTCAGGAGTTCGAGACTAATCCAACCAATAAGGAGAAACCTGTCTCTACTAAAAATACAAAAATTAGCCAGGTGTGGTGGTGTGTACCTGTAATCCCAGCTACTCAGGAGGCTGAGGCAGGAGAATCGCTTGAGCCCAGGAAGCAGAGGTTTTAGTGAGCCGAGAGCATGCCACTGCACTCCAGCCTGGACAATAGAGCAAGACTTTGTTTCAAAAAAAAAAAAAAAAAGTGGAGTAAGACACATGACACCAGGGAGCAGCACGGTGGGAGGTGGAGTTTGTATCACTAAGTAGGATGGTGGGGGCACGTCTTAGAGAGCAGACGGACTTGAGCAAAGACTGGAAGGACATGAAGGAGTGAGCTGGCAACATGGAGATCAGGTGAAGGGTGTTCCAGGCAAAGGGAACAGCCAGTGCAAAGGCCCTGAGGTAGGATCGTGCCTGGTGTGTTAGGACGCAGCCCCATCCTGTAATGAATGACAGGAAGGTGGTATGAAGTGATACCAAAGAGGAGTGGGCCCAGGTGGCTCTGCCAGCTATCCTGACCTTGCATCTGCTATTCACAGGCACAGACCACCACTGAATGTGCACCTGCTGTGCAGGGGACACTATAGAGGCTTCCTGTTGTCCTCTCCACAGTCCTGAGAGGTAGACAGTGTTAATGAAAATCATTTACAGATTAAACAATGAAGGCTCTGAGCAGTTAATGGCCCTAAAAGGGGACTGTAAGCAGTTGGAATCTTTTATTTTTTTTTGGAGACAGAATCTCACTGTGTTGCCCAACTGGAGTGCAGTGGTGCGATCTCGGCTCACCACAACCTCCGCCTCCCGGGTTCAAGCAATTCTAATGCCTCAGAGACAAGGTTTCGCCATGTTAGCCAGGCTGGTCTCCAACCCCCTACCTCAAGTAACCCACCCACCTCAGCCTCCCAAAGTGCTGGGATTATAGGCGTGAGCCACCACACCCGGCCGCAGTTGGAATCCTTTATTTTTTTAGACGGAGTTTCATTCTTGTTGCCCAGGTTGGAGTGCGATGGCGTGATCTCTGTTCACCGTAACCTCCACCTCCTGGATTCAAGCGATTCTCCTGCCTCAGCCTCCAGAGTAGTTGGGATTACAGGCATGCACCACCACACCCAGCTAATTTTTTTTGTATTTTTAGTAGAGTAGGGGTTTCTCCATGTTGGTCAGGCTGGTCTCAAACTCCTGACCTCAGGCGATCCGCCCTCCTCAGCCTCCCAAAGTGCTGGGATTACAGGCATGAGCCACTGCACCCGGCCTAGAATCTTTTTTTTTTTTTTGAGATGGAGTCTCGCTCTGTCACCCAGGCTAGAGTGCAGTGGTGCCATCTTGGCTCACTGCAAGCTCTGCCTCCCAGGTTCACGTCATTCTCCTGCCTCAGCCTCCCAAGTAGCTGGGACTACAGGCACCCGCCACCACACCCGGCTAATTTTTTTGTATTTTTAGTAGAGACGGGGTTTCACCGTGTTAGCCAGGATGGTCTCGATCTCCTGACCTTGTGATCCACCCGCCTCGGCCTCCCAAAGTGCTGGGATTACAGGCTGGAGCCACTGCACCCGGCCGCCTGGCGTAGAATCTTTAACAAAGGTCACCAGTCTGGATCCAGAGCTCAGCTGTGAACCAGGAAGATAGCAGCACCCGCTGCTCCGGATTGCTAGAACAGTCCATGCCCAAGGCCTGTGCTGCTGGTATCTTGCTGCATCTGCCATTCCTGAGAGCAAGGATCTCTCCTGCAGCAGCCCAGAGCTGGGAAGCGGCTGCTGGTGAACTGTGGGTCTCTGAGAGCTGGAATGCCTCATAAAGTGCTCGGGACAGTGTCTGATGTGTAGACACTGCCAACCATTTAGCTAAGGATGGAACAGTAAAGTTGGTAAGGTTGCAGAGAGCAGCCCAGGATAGTAGTTCAGAGGCACCACCTGGTCCTAATGTGGAGAGGGCTGAGCCACTCCCTGGGCTGGCCATTTGCTAAACAAGGATTTTCCCACCCTCATGGAGCCCACGGTCCAGACTCAATGAATGACACTGCTCTATGCTGGAAGGGCAAGCAGTACACTTATTATTATTTTTGAGACGGAGTCTCATTCTGTCACCCAGACTGGAGTGCAGGGGCATGATCTGAGCTCACTGCAATCTCCACCTCCCAGGTCCAAGCGATTCTCCTGCCTCAGCCTCCCTAGTAGCTGGGATTACAGGCATGCACCACCACGCCCGGCTAAATTTTGTATTTCTAGTAGAGACGGAGTTTCACCATGTTGGCCAGGCTGGTCCCGAACTCCTGACCTCAGATAATCCACCAACCTCAGCCTCCCAAAGTGCTGGGATTACAGGCATGCACCACCATGCCTGGCCAAGCAGTACACTTATAAGGGCATCGTCTATCCCCAAACACCAAAACTGCAAAGGATGACAGGTGCACAGTCAGTGGTGGTCCATGCCCTGTGCATAGGAGGAGTTCAATGGTAGTCCACACCCAGTGCAGAGTAGGTGCAAAGTCAGGGGTGGCTGGCAGAGCCACCTGGGCCCACTCCTCTTTGGTCTCACTTCCTACCACCTTTCCCTCATTCATTACAGGGTGGGGCTGCGTCCTAACATACCAGGCATGCTCCTACCTCAGGGCCTTTGCACTGGCTATTCCTTTTGCATGTCCAGGAACAAGCCCTTGGCTCTCCAGGAATCTCAAAGAACTGGGATTTTAGTGTTGGGGTCTCATTCTTGGGTTTCTCCCTGCAGATTCCAACTCCACAGAGTGACCAGAGAGAGGACGTGGCTGAAGACACCAAAGATGGGGGAGGGGAAGGTGAGTATGTTAGAGAGAGGCTCAGGAGTTCTGGGGGTGCCCTGGCCCCAGGGTGGCTTGCTAAAAGATGACTCCTGGGGGGATATACAGAGAACTTGGAGGTGCTCTGCACTGACCACCCACCCCGTACACAGTGTCCAGCCAAGGCCCAGAGGACTCACTCCTGGGGACACAGTCTCGTGGCCACTTCAGCCGCCAGCCAGTGAAGTATCCCCGGGGCGGTGTGAGGCCTGTAACCCACCAGCTGTCCAGTCTGGCCCTGGTGGCTTCCAAGCTGTGCGAGGAGACCCCCATCACATCAGTGCCCAGAGGGAGTTTGCGGGGGCGGGGGCCCAGCCCTGCAGCTGCCTCCCCTGAGGGCAGCCCCCTGCGCCGCACCCCGCTGCCCAAGCATTTTGAGATTACCCAGGAGACAGCCCGGCTACTCTCGAAATTGGACAGCGAGGCTGTGCCCAGGGCCACCTGCTGCCCGGACGTCCAGCCTGAGGAAGCCGAGGACCATCTCTGACCACCCTGGCACCTTAAATAAGGAAGAGGCCCAGATTGTGAAGACGGACCCATATATCCCTACCTCCCACCACCTAGTGGCCAAACACCCCGCCAGGAGTTCAATGCTGGGAGAGGTCCAGAGGGTTCCTATAAGGAAAAACTATTTAATACATGACCTAGGGGAGGCCTAAAACCCTTTTGGGGATAATGTCCCAGAGTCCCCCCACTAGACACAGGTCACTGCCAAGCATCAGGGCCACTCGGGCTCAGAGGTCACTCAGGGTCAATACTCAGGGTCAGTGCAGGTTATGAGATCCTTGGGGTCCACCCTAGTCTCTGACACCTGGGACAGGGGTGCTTTTGCTACTTTGGTTGTGGTCACTCCCCCACACCTGCCTGCCTCCTTCACGGACTCGAAGTGACCTTCCTGGAGGAGGTGGGCAGCTCAGACTCCACATGCTGGTGGTGCCTGAGGTCTGATGGCCTCTAATAAACTGTGTCCTATATGCCCTTGGGTGCATCTCTGCTAGGGGAGAGGCCAGCATGGGTAGCACTCCTTGCCCCCATTTTACAGATTAGGGGAATCAAGGCCTCTTTTTTTTTTTTTTTTTTTTTTTTTTTTGAGACGGAGTTTTGCTCTGTCTCCAGGTTGGAGTGCAGTGGCACGATCTCCGCTCACTGCAACCTCCACCTCCCGGGTTCAAGCGATTCTCCTGCCTCAGCCTCCCGAGTAGCTGGGACTACAGGCGCCTGCCACCATGCCCGGCTAATTTTTTTGTATTTTTAGTAGAGACGGGGTTTCAGCATGTTGGCCAGGATGGTCTCGATCTCCTGATCTCGTGATCGTCCCGCATCGGCCTCCCAAAATGCAGGGATTACAGGCGTGAGCCACTGCGCCCGGCCTCAAGGCCTCCTTCTTGCATCATCAAACACCCTGCAGCACCTACGTAAAGGCAGTTGGAGCTGGGTCGCAGCACCCGGCTGAGTCACGCCAGCCCGGCCCTCCCGGAGCTCTGCGTCCCCGATCCGGTCCTGCATAATCAAATACAGTATAACAAAGTACCGATAACCGGGACAATGGGGCTGTGTGCTCCGGACCGTGGGAGCCCGGGGCCGCCGCAGGGAGGCCGAGGGAGGAAGCCACAGGGCAGGGCAGGGCAGGGCCGGGCTTTGCAGGGGGCAGCGCTGTCCCAGGGTGAGGGGTACGGGGGCGGGATTGCAAAACCCTAGCGTGCGCCCGATGATCAGCTGGGGCCGCAGAGGTGGGCCTCGCACAGGAGGCCGCGGCTCGCTGATACTGCGAGCTGGCAAAGCCGAAGCTGGGCGGGGGTCCGGGCGGTGGGAGCCAAGTCGGATCAGGGAGTGGCTTGTAACTCGGCGGCCGATTGGACACGAAGAAGAGAGCGGGGTGGGGCTGGGAGGGTTGGGGGTCCGGAGCGGGGGCGCGGACCCAAGACCACCTGGAGCTCCGCCCGGGCAGCGCGGGGTCACGGCGGGAATTTTCGGGTCGCCGAGTGACTCAGCCCCGCAGGCTCGAAACTGCGGGCGCATGAGGTGTGCAGGTACCGGGGTGGGGGTCCCGCGCCGGAAATAGGGGCGACTGAGGGGCCGCGAGGCGGGGAGGAAACAGGGGGGCTGCGGTTCCGGGCGACACCGCCCCCGACGCGGCCGTGGAGGCGGGGCTCCCCCAGGTGGCGGGGCGGGGCAGGGCTCCCCCAGGTGGTGGGGGCGGGGCGCCGGGGAGACCCCGCCTCCCGCGCCCTCTCAGCAACCCGCACAGGGCGCACCCGGACGCTCTACCGCTCCCGCCGCAGTCGCCGGGCCATGGGCCTCGAGCCCGCCCCGAACCCCCGCGAGCCCGCCTTGTCTGCGGCGTGACTGGAGGCCCAGGTGAGGCCTGCACGGACGGGAGGCGGGCGGGTGCGGGCCTGGGCCCGGGGGAAGGGCGCGGCACGTGCCTGCGGGGCCAGGACGCCGCCCTCTGATCCCTTAACCCCCTACCCCTTCCCCAGTCTGGAGACGCCTGGAGGCCCGGCCATCCATCCCTTCCCCAACCGCTGTCTTTGTCCCGGAGACCGCCAGTGTCCTCCGTCCCACCCGGAACAGCCTATTGCCCCGCCCGCTTGGGAAGCACTCGCGCCCAAATCCCGCCGACTAACTTCTGGGGCCGCCTCTCTGTCCACTCCGATCACCTCCACGCCTCGGCACCGCCCCCTCGCAGGGTTCTAGCAAGTGACCTCACCCTTGTGTGCACACGCTCCCGGGTCTCTGCTCCCTACACTGACTCCGGCACCAAAGTGATCCTCCCTCATCTCTTCCCGCAGCTCACACCCCTTTGTCTTTCCCTAACCCTCCTCTCCCCACAACCCAAACCGGGTCACACATTGGCGGCAGGTGGGCTGGGATTCGACCATAGATGGGTTTTGTTTCACTTCTGGTTCAAAAACCTATTGACTTGGGTGATGTCTTGCACACAGGTCTTATTAGTAGGTAAGAAACAGCTGCTCCTCCACCTCCACCCCAGCCCCATGGAGCTTGCTTTTTCCAGGCCACCGTAGTCCTCACCACTGCCACTTTGCTTCGAGGTATCTGAATTTGAGACCCTTGTCCTTCCTGCGCTGACCCTCCTCTGCAGCTGCCGCCCCTCCCTGTGTCCTTCCAAGAAGTGCCACATGCACTGATCTCTTGTGTCCCCAGATGGTCATCATGGGCCAGTGCTACTACAACGAGACCATCGGCTTCTTCTATAACAACAGTGGCAAAGAGCTCAGCTCCCACTGGCGGCCCAAGGATGTGGTCGTGGTGGCACTGGGGCTGACCGTCAGCGTGCTGGTGCTGCTGACCAATCTGCTGGTCATAGCAGCCATCGCCTCCAACCGCCGCTTCCACCAGCCCATCTACTACCTGCTCGGCAATCTGGCCGCGGCTGACCTCTTCGCGGGCGTGGCCTACCTCTTCCTCATGTTCCACACTGGTCCCCGCACAGCCCGACTTTCACTTGAGGGCTGGTTCCTGCGGCAGGGCTTGCTGGACACAAGCCTCACTGCGTCGGTGGCCACACTGCTGGCCATCGCCGTGGAGCGGCACCGCAGTGTGATGGCCGTGCAGCTGCACAGCCGCCTGCCCCGTGGCCGCGTGGTCATGCTCATTGTGGGCGTGTGGGTGGCTGCCCTGGGCCTGGGGCTGCTGCCTGCCCACTCCTGGCACTGCCTCTGTGCCCTGGACCGCTGCTCACGCATGGCACCCCTGCTCAGCCGCTCCTATTTGGCCGTCTGGGCTCTGTCGAGCCTGCTTGTCTTCCTGCTCATGGTGGCTGTGTACACCCGCATTTTCTTCTACGTGCGGCGGCGAGTGCAGCGCATGGCAGAGCATGTCAGCTGCCACCCCCGCTACCGAGAGACCACGCTCAGCCTGGTCAAGACTGTTGTCATCATCCTGGGTAAGTGGGGCCCCCAGGGGGCAACAGGGACCCTGCTTCCCCCTATCTCCCACAAGACACTGCGAAGCAATGAACAAAACAAGCTACCTGATAGAGGGTGATGGGGGATGATTTAGGTGGGGAATGTCCTCCAAGGAGGTGATAATGTATGTGAGCAGAGGCCTGAATGCTGAGGATAGGAACAGAGAGCCTTCCAGGCAGAGGAAACGGAAAGTAAAAACCTCAAGGCAGTACGAGGCCAGAGCCTCTAAAGAGGAAAGTGGGCTTGTGAGGAGGAGAGATCAGCAAGGCCTTAAGGGGCACGGACAGGAGTCTTATTTTGAGTTTCATGGGAACCCCTTAAGAGTTTTTAGCAGTGCTAGCCGGGCACAGTGGCTCACGCCTGTAATCCCAGCACTTTGGGAGGCCGAGGCGGGCAGATCAGCTGAGGTTGGGAGTTCACGACCAGCCTGACCAACATGGAGAAACCCCATCTCTACTAAAAATGCAAAATTAGCCAGGTATGGTGGTGTGTGCCTGTAATCCCAGCTACTCGGGAGCCTGAGGCAGGAGAATTGCTTGAACCCAGGAGGCGGAGGTTGTGGTGAGCCGAGATCACACCATTGCACTCCAGCCTGGGCAACAAGAGCGAAACTCCAGAACTCTGTCTCAGAAAAAAAAAAAAAAAAGGAGTTTTTAGCAGTGCTAAGCCTGTTTTAACAAAAAGCCTTTAAATTGTTTTTTAATCTATATGTATTTTTAATTTTTTTTTTTTTTTTTTGAGACAGAGTCTCGCTCTGTCACCCAGGCTGGAGTGCAGTGGCGCAATCTCGGCTCACTGCAACTTCTGCCTCCCAGGTTCAAGTGGTTCTCCTGCCTCAGCCTCCTGAGTAGCTGGGACTACAGGTGCGTGCCACTATGCCTGGCTAATTTTTCTATTTTTAGTAGAGACCAGGTTTCACTATGTTGGCCAGGATGGTCTCGATGTCTTGACCTCGTGATCCACCCGCCTTGGCCTCCCAAAGTGCTGGGATTACAAGCATGAGCCACCACGCCCGGCCCATATTTTTAAATTTCAAAATTTATTTTTGTTTTTAAGATACAGGATCTTACTCTTGCCTAGGCTGGATTACAATGGCTCCATCATAGCTCACTGCAGCCTCAACCTTCCGGGCTCAGGTGATCCTCCCGCCTCAGTTTCCTGAGTAGCTGGGACTACAGGCATGTGCCACCATACCTGGCTAATTTTTTATTTTTTGTAGAAACGAGGTCTCACTATATTGCCTAGGCTGGTCTTAAACTCCTGGCCTCAAGTGATTGTCCTGCCTCAGCCTGTCAAATGCTGCAGTGAGGTGTGATCGTGCCGCTTCAGTGAGGTGTGATCGTGCCACTGCACTCCAGCCTAGGTGACAGAAGGAGACCCTGTCTCAAAAAAAAACACACAGGCCAGGCGCAGTGGCTCATGCCTGTAATCCCAACACTTCGGGAGGCTGAGGCGGGCGGATCACGAGGTCAGGAGATCGAGACCATCCTGGCCAACATGGTGAAACCCCATCTCTACTAAAATACAAAAAAAAAAAAATATAGCCGGGCATGGTGGCACACACCTGTAGTCCCAGCTACTTGGGAGGCTGAGGTGGGGGAATTGCTTGAACCTGGGAGGCAGAGGTTGCAGCAAGCCAAGATTGTACCACTGCACTCTAGCCTGGCGACAGAGCGAGACTCCATCTCACACACACACACACACACACACACACACACACACACACACACAAAATGTCCAGTGCCTTGGCCACTGTGTACCAATTAGCATAGATGTCCCATCTTAGCAGGCCTTCCTGTCACACTGCAGAATCAGGGAAACAAGCAGCTCTTGCACTGCAAACTTCACCACTATTGCTCGAGCTCTGGAGACCACTCCAACCCCAAACTGAGAGCTGTAGGTGCCGGGCCTCTGACAGCTTGCCCTGCTCACTTCCGCCTCTGTCCCACAGGGGCGTTCGTGGTCTGCTGGACACCAGGCCAGGTGGTACTGCTCCTGGATGGTTTAGGCTGTGAGTCCTGCAATGTCCTGGCTGTAGAAAAGTACTTCCTACTGTTGGCCGAGGCCAACTCCCTGGTCAATGCTGCTGTGTACTCTTGCCGAGATGCTGAGATGCGCCGCACCTTCCGCCGCCTTCTCTGCTGCGCGTGCCTCCGCCAGTCCACCCGCGAGTCTGTCCACTATACATCCTCTGCCCAGGGAGGTGCCAGCACTCGCATCATGCTTCCCGAGAACGGCCACCCACTGATGGACTCCACCCTTTAGCTACCTTGAACTTCAGCGGTACGCGGCAAGCAACAAATCCACAGCCCCTGATGACTTGTGGGTGCTCCTGGCTCAACCCAACCAACAGGACTGACTGACTGGCAGGACAAGGTCTGGCATGGCACAGCACCACTGCCAGGCCTCCCCAGGCACACCACTCTGCCCAGGGAATGGGGGCTTTGGGTCATCTCCCACTGCCTGGGGGAGTCAGATGGGGTGCAGGAATCTGGCTCTTCAGCCATCTCAGGTTTAGGGGGTTTGTAACAGACATTATTCTGTTTTCACTGCGTATCCTTGGTAAGCCCTGTGGACTGGTTCCTGCTGTGTGATGCTGAGGGTTTTAAGGTGGGGAGAGATAAGGGCTCTCTCGGGCCATGCTACCCGGTATGACTGGGTAATGAGGACAGACTGTGGACACCCCATCTACCTGAGTCTGATTCTTTAGCAGCAGAGACTGAGGGGTGCAGAGTGTGAGCTGGGAAAGGTTTGTGGCTCCTTGCAGCCTCCAGGGACTGGCCTGTCCCCGATAGAATTGAAGCAGTCCACGGGGAGGGGATGATACAAGGAGTAAACCTTTCTTTACACTCTGAGGTCTCCAAAACATTTGTTGTTATCAATTCAGTGTTTCTGTCCCTGTGTCCCGGAATTGTCTACCTTGGCCCAAGTCCAGAAAGGATCTTTCAACATGGTATCTCCTTGGCCCTGTGCTCGCTCTTCTTCAGTCTGGCTGGCTGTTATTCCATCTCTCTCTTTTTTTTTTTTTTTTTTTTTAGACAGAGTCTCACTTTGTAGCCCAGGCTGGAGAGCAGTAGCACAATCTCAGCTCGCTGCAACTTCTACCTCCCAGGTTCCAGATTCTTGTGCCTCAGGAGAAGCTGGGATTACAGGCGCGTGCCACCACGTCCAGCTAATCTCTGTATTTTTATTTTTATTATTTATTTATTTGTTTGTTTATCTTTGAGAGGGAGTCTCGCTCTGTCACCCAGGCTGGAGTGCAGTGGCTTGATCTCAGGTTACTGCAACTTCTGCCTCCTGGGTTCAAGCGATTCTCCTGCCTCAGCTTCCCGAATAGCTGGGTTATAGGCATCTGCCACTACACTCGGCTAATTTTTGTATTATAGTAGAGATGAGGTTTCACCAATGTTGGCCAGGCTCGTCTCAAACTCCTGACCTTGAATGATCCACCCACCTCAGCTTCCCAAAGTACTGGGATTACAGGTGTGAGCTACCGCGTGCCTGACTAATCTTTATATTTTTAGTAGAGATGGGGTCCCACCATGTTAGTCAGGCTGGTCTCGAACTCTTGACCTCAAGCGATCCACCTACCCACCTTGGCCTCCCAAAGTGCTGGGATTATAGGCATGAGCCACCACGCCTGGCCCCTCTCTCTTACTGGGGTCTTGAATCTGTTTCTCTCTGCTTCTGTTCTTTGTTTCCCCCATCTGTTGCTCTGCCTCCATCTCACTGCCTGTCTCCCTGTCTTTCTCTGCAGCTCAGAGTAGTGTCTGGACCCTATGAGCCCCCTCCCTCCCCACTGCCCTTTTGTTTGAGCCCTGATGGTTCAAGGTCACGTGCCCAGCCGTTTCTATCCCATTCCCCACCACCTGTATTCATACTTCCAGCCACAGGTTGTGGGGTTCAGGTAGTGGGATGCAGGATTTGAGCATGACCATTTCTCAAGCTCTTCTGATGTGCCTGGCATACTGGTAAACACTTTAGGTGCTTTTTTTTTTAAATTTTTTATTTTTTTGTGATGGAGTGTCACTCTGTCCTCCAGGCTGGAGTGTAGTGGTGCAATCTCGGCTCGCTGCAACCTCCGCCCCCGGGTTTCAAGCGATTCTCCTGCCTCAGCCTCCCAAGTAGTTGCGATTACAGGCACCTGCCACCGTGCCCGGCTAATTTTTGTATTTTTGTTAGAGATGGGGTTTCACCATCTTGGCCAGGCTTATCTTGAACTCCCGACCTTGTGATCCACCCGCCTCGGCCTCTCAAAGTGCTGGGATTACAGGCATGAGCCACTGTGCTGGGCTTTTTTTTTTTTTTTTTTTTGAGACGGAGTCTTGCTCTGTTTCCCAGGCTGGACTGCAATGACGTGATCTCAGCTCACTGCAACCTCTGCCTCCCAGGTTCAAGTGATTCTCCTGCATCAGCCTCCCGGGTAGCTGGGATTACAGGGATATGCCACCACACCCAGCTAAATTTTTTATTTTTAGTAGAGATGGGGTTTCACCATGTTGGCCAGGCTGGTCTCGAACTCCTGACCTCAGGTGAGCCGCCCGCCTCAGCCTCTCAAAGTGCTGGGACTATAGGCGTGAGCCGCCATGCCTGGCCTTTTTTTTTTTTTTTTTTTTTTGAGACAGAGTCTCACATGATCTCAGCTCACTGCAACCTCCGCCCCCTCCAGGTTCAAGCGATTCTTCTGCCTCAGCCTCCCAAGTAGCTGGGACTACAGGCATGCACCACCATGTCTGGCTAATTTTTTGTATTTTAATAGAGATGGGATTTCACCATATTGGCCAGGCTGGTCTTGAACTCCTGACCTCATGATCCGCCTGCTTTGGCCTCCCAAAGTGCTGGGATCAGTCTTTCTGATTTTTATGTGAGAACACTGATTCAGACAGGTTGTGATCTGGCCCATGGTAAACACAGCTTGGAGATGGCACATACAGGCCCCGAGGGACCAGAGAGGCCCCTAGGAAAGGGACTTCAGATTCCCACGAAGCCCAGGGTTGGTCCCAAGCTCAGCTGGGCTTTCCCTACCTCACCCCACAGCACCCAACCCATGAGTGCCAGATCCATCATGAGCCCCCTCTGAGATGCTCAGGGAGGCCCCCTCCAAGGCACAGTGTGTGCCAGGATGTCATTCTCTGCTCCCACCTCACCAGTGAGGAGGTGGGGTTATGTCCCTACTTTTGAATCCCATGCTGAATAACAGCTAGAATTTGAACCCAGGTCACTCAGAGATGTGAGCCGCCATGCCCAGCCACCTGTGCCAAATTCTTAAACCACTGAAATATGCATTGTCAAAGAACCCAAAACTCCCAGGTCCTTCTATATTAAATGGCCCTGGCCGAGCACTTTGAGTGCCAAGGCTGCCAACTAATTTCTATGCAGTAGAGACCCCTGATGACCTCCAAATGGCAACAGTGGGACGGGTGAGGTGGCTCATACCTGTAATCCCAGCACTTTGGGCGGCCGAGGCAGGCAGATCACCTGAGGTCAGAAGTTTGAAACTAGCCTGGCCAACATGGTGAAACCTCATTTCTACTAAAAATGCAAAAATTAGCCGGGCGTGGTGGTGGGTGCCTGTAAGCTACTCAGGAGGAGGCTAAGGCAGGAGAAGTGCTTGAACCCAGGAGGTGGAGGTTGCAGTGAGCCAAGGTCACGCCACTACACTCCAGCCTGGGCAACAGAGTAAGATTTCTGTCTAAAAAAAAAAAAAAAAAAAAAAGGCAACTCTGTCTCAGGCGCTCTGAGCTGGCTGTTCACATCAGCTCCTCCAGGTTTTAACCTGCACCCCGTGGGTCTCCTTCGAGACCATTTCCTCTTGTCGATCTCCCGTCTCCACCAAGTGGCTTCAAATTTTTGTCTCTGCTGGTCCCTGAAGCTTTCAGTGCCCACCCCTCCAAGTTCTCTGAAGGATACTACTTTGTTGGGGTTGGGGGCAGGTTTTGCTCTCTCACCCAGGCTGGAGTGCAGTGGCACAAACACAGCTCACTGTAGCCTCGACCTCCTGAGCCCAACTTATCCTCCCGCCTCAGCCTCCCAAGTAGCTGGGACCATGACCAGCTAATTTAGCTATTTTTTTAATTTTTATTTTTGTAGAGATGGGGTCTCACTATGTTCCCCAGACTGGTCTTGAACTCCTGGGCTCAAGTAATCTCCCACCTCAGACTCCCAAAGTGTTGGGATCATAGGTGTCAGCCACTGCACCCAGCCTGAAGGCCACTACTGTTCAGGCCTCCTGGGCAGTGCTGTGCTTGTGGGTGACCTTTTGAACAGGCACTGGTCTCCGTGGCTCCCATGCAATCTATTACTTTCTGTCATTGGAGCCAAGTGTCGGTTTCCTTCATCAGAGAGCTTTCCCTATTGTCCAGACACTCGGTCAATGTCTTTCATTTTTCACTCCCTGCCGTCCCCTTTGGAGTCTCCCGACGCTCTCCAATCCAGCCATACCAGATGGTGTTTGAATTTCCTCCCCAGCAGCAATGGAGAGAACGTGGGCCCCACCCTGGAAGGGCTCCCAGCCAGCAGGCTGAGGACCTTTTACTGAGCCCACATCTGGAGACTGTCCTCATAGCAAATAGGCTCCAGGAGGTTCTGTGACTTTGGAGAAGAGATTCATGTCCAGGCCATTACTTTTTTTTTTTTTTTTTTTTTTTGAGACCTGGTCTCCGTCAACCAGGCTGCAGTGCAGTGGTGCAATCATGGCTCACTGCAGCCTCAAATTCCCAGGCCCAAGTGATCCTCCCACTTCAGCCTCTCAAGTCCCAAATAGCTGGGACCACAGGCGTGCACCACCACGGGGTCTCACTATGTTGCCCAAGCTGGTCTCAAACTCCCGTGCTCAAGTGATCCTCCCGCCTCTGCCGCCCAAAGTGCTAGGATTACAGGCATGAGCCACCGCCCAGTTCCTTTTCTTGTGCACTAGGAGCCTTCGATGCTGTGTCCTAAGGACTAGAAACAAAGATGTGAGGATTCGCTCTGATTTGGGGTACACTGCAGGGGAGTCTCTCAGTAAACATCCTTCCTTCATTCGGTAACCACGTGGTAGCATTTTCTATGCCCAGAACTGTAATCTGCGAAGATGAATAAACAAGCGAGGTCACTCTTCAGCTGGACCTTGAAAGGTGACTGGAATTGATTTCTGCAGTGGAGAAAAGCGCTGCGTTCTGACCTCCTCGTTGCCATCAACCACGCACGCCTGCGCCCCGCCTTAGCCAGGTGAACGGGGCGTGGAAAGCTCTAGAGGAAGAGCCAGGGGCCCCAGTGGCCCACCTGATGGGGCTGAGGATGCAGGGAGCATTAGGGGGACTGAGCAGGGGTCTGGGGCTTGGGGCTTCTGGAAATGAATGGGGGCTGTCGATCAAGCTATAAGAGGTGTGGGGTTCTGAGGAGGAGGGGGTGGCTTGGAGGAAGAGTTGGGGTGCTCTGGGGAGTGAGGGTCTCTGAGGACCGAGGGCTTTGAGGAGAAGGGGGCCCTGAGGAGGAGCAGGAACTCTGAGGAGATGCGAGTGGGGCTGAAGGAGGCGTGCACCGCGCGAGATGTGAGGGATGGGGGCCTCTGGCTGGAGCGGAGCCAGCGCTGCCCTCTCTCAAGGGGAAGGAGGGCGCTTATGAGAAGTGCCGTTGCCTCGGCAACCCCAAACCCAGTCCAAGCCCGGAGAGGGGGAAGTTCGGGGCGAGTCCCGGGGGCGGTGCGTGGCGCCGGTTGGCTGACGGAGATGAAGGGGCGTGTCTGTAGGCGGTGCAATACACGGGTTGGCTGGCGATAGCGGCGGTGGGCGTGGCTTAGGCGCGAGCGAGAGCGGGCGCGGCGCTCAGGCAGCGGCGGTTGGCTGCGGCGCCAGTGGTAGTGCTCCAGGCTCGACGGCACCCTCACAGCGCCCGCCCGGCCCTGCCGCTCATGGCCGCCCCGCCGCGCCCCGCGCCATCGCCCCCCGCCCCGCGGCGCCTCGACACGAGCGACGTCCTGCAGCAGATCATGGCCATCACCGACCAGAGCCTGGACGAGGCACAGGCCAGGTGCTGCCCGCGGGCTCGGCAGGGGCCACGCAGGGTCGTGGCAGTGAGGTTGGCGGGCTGAGGGGACGGGGCGTGGAGGCCAGACTGACGAGGGGCGCTTGAGGAGGGCTGGAGGGGGGTCCCGAGGACGAAGGGATGTATGGGGTTCAAACGGAACGGGCTGGATAGGCCTTATGGGGCCGAGCAGTGGCGTGAAGGATTTTCAGCAGCTCATCTTGGGGCGAGAAGGTTGGGTTTAGGGGTTTAGGGAGTAGGGCTGAGAAATGGGCACGTACGGGACTTTTGACGAGTGAATGACTAAATGGGTACGTTAATGGGACTCCTGCGGCTGGAAGTTTTTTTGTTGTTGTTTGACACGGTCTTGCTCTGTCGCCCAGGCTGGAGTGCAGTGGCGTGATCATGGCTCACTGCAGCATCCACCTCCCCGGCTCAGTTGATTCTCCTGCCTCAGCCTCCCGAGTAGCTGGGACCACAGGCGCACGTGCAACCACGCCCGGCTGATTTTTTTGTATATTTTGTAGAGACAGGGGTCTCGCTATAGTTGCTTAAACTCCTGGGTTCAAGCACTCATTCCGTCTCGGCCTCCCTAAGTGCTGGGATTACAGGCGCGAGCCACCGAGCCCGGCCTGTGGGTGGGAAGTTTCCAGGGCAGATGATGGAGAGTGAGTGGCTGGGAATGGGACTCAGGAATGTCTGCAGGAGACTGAAGAACTGAACTGGGGTAACTTGGTGTGGGAACCATCGAGAACTTTTGGGAAAAGGGTTAGTAGAGGAGTGGGTGGAGATGGAAGACCTATTTTCTTTTTAATGAATTCAGCAAATTTTTATTGAATCCTTACAATAACTGGATAGGGAACCGGGTGCTGACATAGTCCCTGCTCTCGAGTACATGATTTAGGGGAGGGAATGTAAATAGCAAAAAATAAGGACTGGGTGGAGTGGCTCACATCTCTAATCACAGCACTTTAGGAGGCTGAGGCAGGAGGATTGCTTGAGCTCAGGAGTTCGAGACCAACCTGGACAATGTAGTAAGACCTCGTCTCTACTAAAAATAAAATTAAAAAATTAGTTAGGTGTGATGATGCAAGCCTGTAGTCCCAGCTACTTAGGAGGCTGAGGCTGCAGTGAGCCGAATCAAGCCATTGCACTCCAGCCTGGGTGACAGAGCTAGACCCTGTCTCAAACAAAAGCAAAAAAGTATAAGCCAGGCATGGTAGCATGGGTAGGTAATCCCAGCTGCCTCCCAGTGGGAGGATCACTTGAGTCCAGCAGTTTGAGACCAGCCTGGGCAACATAGTGAGACCATCCTGTACCAATCTGAGAAAAGAAAAAAATAAAATAAATGGCAATAAAAGCTGTAGGGATAGGGGTTGCATGCTATAGGAAGCCAGGTGGAGAAGAACATCTTTGGAGAGGACAGCACCTTCAGAGGCCCTGAGGTGGGAAAGAGGATGTAAAAAGCGGAGTCTGGCTGGGAAGAGAAAGTTCCTAGCCAGGGAGGGAAAGAGTTGAGTTTAAAGGAAGGCTGGGGCCAGGTGCGGTGGCTCACGCCTGTAATCCCAGCACTTTGGGAGGCCAAGGCAGGTGAATCACGAGGTCAGGAGTTCAATACCAGCCTGGCCAACATGGTGAAACCCAGTCTCTACCAAAAATACAAAAATTAGCTGGGTGTAGTGGTGCACACCTATAATCCCAACTACTTGGGAGGCTGAGGCAGGAGAATCACTGGAACCTGGGAGGCGGAGGCTGCAGTGAGCCGAGATCACACCACTGCACTCCAGCCTGGGCGACAGAGCGAGATTCCGTCTGAACAAAAAATAATAATAATAATAAAGGGAGACTGGAACCCAATTACATGGGGCCTACGAATCTCAGTAAAGAGTTTTGTTTGTTCAGCCAGGCACAGTGGCTGACACCTGTAATCCCTGCACTTTGGGAGGCCAAGGTGGGCAGATCACCTGAGGTCAAGAGTTCGAGACCAGCCTGGCCAACATGGCAAAACCCCATCTCTACTAAAAATACGAAAATTAGCTGGGCGTGGTGGTGCATGTCTATGGTCCCAGCTACTTGGGAGGCTGAGGCAGGAGAAACACTTGAATCCAGGAGGTGCCTGGGTTCAAGCGCCACTGCATTCCAACCTGGGCGACAGAGTGAGACTCTGTCTCCATAAAAAAATAGTTTTGTTTTTGTCATCTGGATAACAATCAATAGGGAGTTCGGACTATTTATTCCAGTTGCAATGGGGAAAAATAAAGGAGTTTTTAGACCTCCCATCCCGTTTACCTCCACTCACCACTTGTCAGCCAGCCAGGATCCGTAGAATCTGCTTCACAAGGCAGCCCACTGTGTCTGGGTCCTGCAGTGATTATTACAGAAAAGGAAAGGAAAGGACTGAAGTCCTTTTGGAGGATGAGGCCTTGTTGAATGGGGACTGTTGTAAGGTGAGGGACGGTCTCTGGGTATGGGACTAGGGTCTGGTGGTGTGGACTGTGTACCCACTAGAGCCCTGTAGTGGGGAGGGGTTACAAAGCCAGGTAAACAGCAGTCCTAGGAAGGAAGAGGCAGATAAAAAGGTGGATAATGCATGCATTTGTTCTTCAATGAATTGTGTGTGTGTGTGTGTGACGGACTCTCACTCTGTTGCCCAGGCTGGAGTGCAGTGGCGCTATCTCGGCTCACTGCAACCTCTGCCTCCCGGGTTCAAGCGATTCTCCTGCCTCAGCTTCCTGAGTAGCCGGGACTACAGGCATACGCCCCATGCGTGGCTAGTTTTGTATTTTTAGTAGAGATGGGGTTTCACCGTGTTGGCCAGGCTGGTCACAAATTCCTGACCTTAGGTGATCTGCCTACCTCAGCCTCCCAAAGTGCTGGGATTACAGGCGTGAACTACTGTGCCTGGCCTGTTCTTCAATGAATTTTTAACAAATTTGGCCGATATTTATCGGACCTTTACAATATCTGGGTACTGAACTGGGTTCTGGCATAGCTCTCAAGTTCTTCCTGCTCTCAAGTTCATGGTTTGGGGAGAGAAAGTAAATTTGTTCTTCAAACTTTCTTTCCTTTGCTTCTCAGGGAATGTTGACACTTTTTGTAGTTTCAGATGCTCTGTTTGAGAAATTAGAGTCCTTGTCACCATACAACTATTTCTTTGGCTTTTTTTTTTTTATATAAGGCCGCGCTCTGTCACCCAGGCTAGAGTGCAGTAGTGTCATCATGACTCACTGCAGCCTCAACCTTCTGGGCCCAAGCAATCTTCACACCTCAGCTTCTTGAGTAGCTAGGACCACAGGCCTGTGCCACCACGCCTGGCTAATCTTTCTTTTTTTTTTTTTTTTTTTTTTTTTTGGAGACAGGGTCTCACTCTGTCACCCAGACTGGAGTGCAGTGGTGCAGTCTCAGCTCACTGCAACCTCTGCCTCCCAGGCTCAAGCAATTCTCCTGCCTCAGCCTCCTGAGTAGCTGGGATTACAGGCGTGTGCCACTACCGCCTGGCTAATTTTTTTTTGTATTTTTAGTAGAGACAGGGTTTCACCGTATTGGCTAGGCTGGTGTTGAACTCCTGACCTCAAATGATCCACCCACCTCGGCCTCCCAAAGTGCTGGGATTACAGCCCTGAGCCACCACACCTGGACTAATCTTTCTATTTTTTTAGGTCTCCCTATGTTGGCCAGGCTGGTCTCAAACTCCTGAGTTAAGAAATCCTCCCGCCTCAGCCTTCCAAAGGTCGAGGATTTCAAACATGAGCCACTGAGCCTGGCTCCTCCAACTGTTTTCATTGTGGTTTTTTGTTTGTTTGTTTGTTTTTGTTTGTTTGTTTGGCTGTTTTTTGGTTTGGTTTGGGTTTTTTTGAGACGGAGTCTCATACTCTGTTGTCCAGGCTGGAGTGCAGTGGCGCGATCAGGCTGGAGTGCAGTGGCGCGATCTCGGCTAGTGAGCAACCTCCGCCTCCCGGGTTCAAGTGATTCTCCCATCTCAGTTTCCCAAGTAGCTGGGATTACAGGTGTGCACCACCACACCTGGCTAGTTTTTTGTATTTTTAATAGAGATGGGGTTTCACCATGTTGGCCAGGCTGGTCTCAAACTCCCGACCTCAGATGATCTACCCGCCTTGGCCTCTCAAAGTGTTGGGATTACAGGCGTGAGCCACTGCGCCGGGCCATGTTTGTTTGTTTGTTTTTGAGACAGGGTCTTATTCTGTCACCCAGGCTGGAGTGCTGTGGTATGATCTCAACTCACTACAACCTCTGCTTCCCAGGTTCAAGTGATTCTCCAGCCTCAGTCTCCCAAGTAGCTGGGACTACAGCCTCAAACCACCAATGAATGGCTGGCTAATTTTTGTATTTTTTGTGGAGATGGGGTTTCACCATGTTGTCCAGGCTGGTCTTGAACTCCTGAGCTCAAGTGATTCACCCATCTTGGCCTCCCAGAGTGCTGGGATGACAGACGTGAACCAGTGTTTTTATTCTTTTTGGAGCATTGTACCAGGTGCTAGAGAAACCAAGATGGCTAAGATGTTCTCTGCCTTCTTGGAGCCCACTGAGAAGTAGGGTGTGTGGGAGACCAACTTGTAAATAATTGTTATAACAGGAATGTGCTGTGTAGAGGTAATTCCTAGCACAGAAGAGCTGTGCCAGGAGAGGGTGCCTTCCGTGATGTCTGTTAGGCTAGTCGGAGAGCAGTGGCTTTATTATACTTTGTGTTCCCAGAGCCAGGATCAATGCCTAGCACCTTGCATTCAGTAGTTTCATGACACTGAGGAGATTCTAGAGGGATTAGTAGGAGTTGGGAAAGGGGGAAGATGGTTTTGACACACCCAGGAATGTCACCGCAGAGGCAGAGCTTTGGGTGTGTCCTGGAAGCTACTTTTGTACTTTCCAGACCGGGATATTGCTGCTTAAGGGGTGAGCTCTGCTCAGATGTGGCCTTCCTCAGGCCCAGCACAGCCCCAGGGCTGCTGCATTTTCCTTGCAGCAATCTCCTGAGATTCTAGTTTCCCTAGACAGGCTTTAGATTTAGAATGGAATGCAGCCAGTTACTTTTTTTTTTTTTTTTTTTTTTTTTTTTGAGACAGAGTCTCGCTCTGGCGTGTTCTTGGCTCACTGCAACTTCTGCCTCCTGGGTTCAAGAGATTCTCCTGCCTCAGCCTCCCGAGTAGCTAAGATTACAGGCGCCTGCCACCACGCCCGGCTAATTTTGGTATTTTTTTAGTAGAGACGGGGTTTTGCCATGTTGGCCAGGCTGCTCTCAAACTCCTGACCTCAGGTGATCCTCCCACCTCGGCCTCCCAAAGTGCTGGGATTACAGGCATAAACCACCACGCCCTGCCAGCCAGTTACTTCTTTACCATTTTCAAAGATAGCTCTTTTTGTTTTAAGGCTAAGAAATTAGGCTGGGTGCAGTGGCTCACGCCTGTAATCCCAGCACTTTGGGAGGCCGAGGCAGGAGGATCACCTGAGCTCAGGACTTCGAGACCAGCCTGTGCAACGTGGAGAAACCCCACCTCTACTAAAAATACAAAAATTAGCTGGGCATGATGATGCCCACCTGTAGTATGTGTCAGCTACTGAGGAGGCTGAGGCAGGAGAACCGATTGAACCCTGGAGACGGAGGTTGCAGTGAGCCGAGATCGTGCCACTGCACTCCAGCCTGGATGACAGAGAAAAAAAAAAAAGAAATTAAATGGTGTGGTGGGGGGCGTTATTCATGCTTGATAACACAGGTGTTAGGTAGCTGGTTCCTGGTTTCTGGCCTCTTTCTGAATTGGGATGACCCCCGGGGCTTTTATTTCGAGACTTTGAAGCTTCAAATCTCCCTCATTTCTTTGGACCTAGCCTTTAGATGAACTCAAAGCCCTAAAGTTCACTCAAGTCCAGACAAAAATCATCCATCCTCAAATGGGCTATTTCCACCCCTCTGGAGGAAATACAGCTCCTCACAGTAAACCCTGCAGCCTGGTAGATTACCAACCTGGGCTGGGAAGCAGATTGTCTCTTCTGATCAACTGATCCTGTGAGGCTTTTGAAAATCTTTCTGATCCTGCCCACTCTCAATGTGCCAGTCACCCCTTTTATCACCCCAGCAGTCAGTTGAACTCAACTGTTTAGCAAGAAGGAATTTTTCATCTCAGTCGTGAGGCCCTCTGAACATGTTTTGTTGCCGTAAGTTTGTTTTCAGAAGGAAAATATAGCTCTCTCTTCAAACCTGGGTTTTTTGTTTTGTTTTGTTTTTTTCTTGAGACAGAGTCTCACTCTGTTGCCCTCGCTGGGATACAGTGGTGCGATCTCAGTTCACTGCAACCCTCGTCTCATGGGTTCAAGCAATTCTGCCTCAGCCTCCCGAGTAGTTGGGATTACAGGTGTGTACAGGTATGCACCACCATGCCCGGCTTAATTTTTGTATTTTTAGTAGAGACACAGTTTCACCATGTTGGCCAAGCTGGTCTAGAACTCCTGGCTTCAGGTGATCTGCCTGCCTCAGCCTCCCAAAGTGCAGGGATTACAGGCATGAGCCACTGTGCCTGGCCTTAACATTTTTTTGTAGATACAGAGTCTCACTATGTTGCCCAGGCTGGTTTTGAACTCCTGGGCTCAAGCTGTCCTCCTGCCTCAGCCTCCCAAAATGCTGGGACTACAGTCATGAGCCATCCCACCCATTCTAAATGCTCACTGTTATAATGTTTTAGGAGCAAGCAGTGTGGTGTGTGAGATGGCATACCTAAAACCAAAAATGTATTTGGAAGTTGGTTTTAGGCAACCCAGCAATGCCTGCATAGGTTTTCTTAGGAAGAAAACATATCTCTGAACTTTTCTTTCTTTTTTTTTTTTTTTTTTTGAGACAGAATCTCACCCTGTCACCCAGGCTGGAATGCAGTGGCATGATCTCGGCTCACTGCAACCTCTGCCCCCTGGGTTCAAGTGATTCTCCTGCCTCAGCCTCCCAAGTAGCTGGGATTACAGGCACCTGCCATTGCACCAGGCTATTTTTTGTATTTTTAGTAGAGACGGGGTTTCACCATCTTGGCCAGGCTGGTCTTGAACTCCTGACCTCATGATCTGCCCGCCTCGGCCTCCCAAAGTGCTGGGATTACAGGTGTGAGCCACCATGCCCGGCCTTCTCTTTTTAATTTGATTTTTACTATTATGACCTCAACTAGTAGAGATTTGCATAACTTTCTTAGTCCCTCCAATATTTCTGCAGATTGACTTTGCCTAGATATGGATTAAATTCCTATTATGAAGGGGAGATAATGAAGTGATTTTGACTATCCTTTAAACTTACTGAAGAGGCAAGGTGTGAACTGATACCTGAAATGTGTTCCCCTAGGCTTGGTACTTTTGCAATAGTGAATATAAGGTCAGAACACATATACTTATAAAGTATGTATACTTATGTATGTTCTGACCTTATATTCATACATAGTTATAAAGCATGTCAGTGAGCATTCAGCCTTCCGCACACCCATTCAAAGAATGCAAGGGTTCTAGGGGGAATTTATGATGTGGAATTTCCCAGAGCCAGATAGCATTAGCATGAGAGGATCTATCAGTCCAAACCTGGGAAGTAGGATTTCATATTTAAAATTTTCTTTTTCAGTATCCCTAAAGAGATTAATTAGATGCCAGTTGACTTCGTGCCTTGTAGTCTTTCTTCTTAGCTTGCTTGCAGGCTTAGCTTGACTTGGTCTAGTGCCAGAGGAGTCTTGCTGTCTTTGGTGTACTTTTCCTAAGAGTTGAATTGTGTTGGTTTTTGTTGTTTGACACAGAGTCTTGCTCTATCACCCAGGCTGGAGTGCAGTGGCGTAATCTCGGCTCACTGCAACCTCCACCTCCCAAGTTCAAGTGATTCTCATGCCTCAGCCTCCTGATTAGCTAGGATTACATGCATGCGCCAGCCACCACACCCGGCTAATTTTCATATTTTTAGTTGAAACGAGGTTTCACCATGTTGGGCAGGCTGGTCTTGAACTCCTGACCTCAAATGATTATCCCGCCTCGGATTCCCCAAAGTGCTGAGATTACAGGTGTGAGCCACTTTGCCCAGCTTGAATTGTGTTGTTTTTATTTTTTTGTAAGTTTTTTAAATTTTTTATTGTTTTCGAGATGGAGTTTCACTCTTGTTACCCAGGCTGGAGTGCAATGGCACAATCTCTGCTCACCGCAACCTCCACCTCCCGGGTTCAAACAATTCTCCTGCCTCAGCCTTCCGAGTAGCTGGGATTCCAGGCACGTGCCACCACACCCAGCTAATTTTGTATTTTCAGTAGAGACGAGGTTTCTCCATGTTGTTCAGGCTGGTCTCGAACTCCCAACCTCAGGTGATCCGCCCGTCTCAGCCTCCCAAAGTGGTGGGATTACAGACGTGAGCCACCGTGCCTGGCAAATTGTGTTAGTTTTAAAACAATTCCCTGAAGCTATCTAAAAGTCTTTTGGCAAAATCCCCTTTGAAATAGCTTTATTAATGAAAAGTAAAGCCATGTGTAGAATTTCACAAAGGAGCAAGTACCACTCACTCATTTAAATGACAGCTACCGAGTGCCTCTATCAGAACACAGTGGTTGATGATGATGACAATAAGGATTTCCCTCATTTACCCCTCCCCAGAACCCTAGGAAGTGGGTGGTTTTTCACTGTTTGTTTTTCTTTCTTTCTTTAGTTTTTTTGAGACGGAGTCTCGCTGTGTCGCCCAGGCTGGAGTGTGGTGGCGCAATCTCGGCTCACTGCAAGCTCCGCCCCCCGGGTTCACGCCATTCTCCTGCCTCAGCCTCCCGAGTAGCTGGGAATACAGGCACCCGCCACCACGCCCGGCTAATTTTTTTGTATTTTTAGTAGAGACCGGGTTTCACCGTGTGAGCCAGGATGGTCTCGATCTCCTGAGCTCGTGATCTGCCCTCCTCGGCCTGCCAAAGTGCTGGGATTACAGGCGTGAATCACTGCGCCTGGCTCTTTTTTTTTTTTTTTTTTCATATGGATTTTTGCTCTTGTTGCCCAGGCTGGAGTGCAATGGCGCGATTTCGGCTCACCACAACTTCCGCCTCCCGGGTTCAAGCGATTCTCCTGCCTCAGCCTCCCAAGTAGCTGGGATTACAGGCATGCACCACCACGCCTGGCTAATTTTGTATTTTTAGTAGAGACGGGGTTTCTCCATGTTGGTCAGGCTGGTCTCCAACTCCTGACCTCAGGTGATCCACCCGCCTCAGCCTCCCAAAGTGCTGGGATTACAGGTGTGAGCTACTGCGCCTGGCTCTTCACTGTGTTTCTAGATAAGGAATCAAGTGGCCAGATAACTGGAGGGTAGTTGGATGGAGATTTGGGCATGCTCTATTGAACTCTGAGGCTGTACTGCCTGCCACCTGTCTCTGCTTTTCCCAGGGATCCTACAAAACTCACTTAAATCTGACATCGCTTCCTGCTCAGAGGAGCCCAGCTGATTGGGTGCCGTGGGAGATCAGACAGTCAGGCTCGGGCTTTACAGGACACTTTTAAAAGTACATTCTCGCAAATTAAATGTCATCTACTCAATAAACATGTATTTTGTGCCAGGTCTGGTGCTGGGCTTGGGAATGCAGCAGTGAGTTCTGAAAGGAGATTCATTATTTGGAGAGGCAGACATTGGAGAGTGCGGTGACACGGGGACCAGAGAGGGCAATGAGGAGTTAGCCCTTCAGCAAGACTAGAGCTTGTAGAGCATGGGCAATCAGAGTGCATGACTCTGGAGTCTAGGTGAAGTCAGGCGGGGGACAAGGAGCCTTGAGGAGATGGCCAAGATCTGGACTTGAGGCTTTGCCTAGGCAAAGAAAGTGGATGCGGCATTGTAGGCTTGGTGCAAGCATGCATGCAAGGCAGGCGTGGAGCATGAAGGCATGCATTGTGGTCCCATCGGGCATGAGTGGTGGGCGTGACCTTGGAAGGGAGACTCGGGGGTGACTGCCTGCCTCAGCTGCTGTCCGACCAAGCATGGCCTTGAACTCCTTGCCAGGTAAGGAGTGAGCACGCGGTTTGTTCCAGACTTGTACAGTGTAAGTACTTTGCAAAGTATTCTGACCTTTCTAAGGTATTTGTCCTGGTTTGTTTTGTTCTGTTTTGTTTTGTTTTGTTTTTGAGACGGAGTCTCACTCTGTTGCCCAGGTGGGAGTTCAGTTTTCTTTCCTTTTTTTTTTTTTTGAGACAGGGTCTCACTTGCCTAGACTGGAGTGCAGTGGCACGATCTTGGCTCACCACAACCTCCGCCTCCCAGGCTCAAGCGATTCTCCTGTCATAGCCTCCTGAGTAGCTGGGATTACAGGCGCTGGTCACCACAGCCTGGCTCATTTTTGCATTTTTGGTAGAGACGAGGTTTCACCATATTGGTCAGGCTGGCCTCAATCTCCTGACCTCAAGTGATCTGCCCGCCTCGGCTTCCCAAAGTGCTGGGATTACAGGCGTGAGCCACCGCGCCCGGCCTGCAGTTTTACTTCTTAAGAGCAGGGAACATAAGTTCTAAATTTTTGTTTGTACCTAGGTTTGTCTCCAGGAGATGTATAATATTGCTGACTGCTTTTGTCAGCTAAAATAATCCTTCTAGAACTGAGAATAATCAAGGATAATCGATCTATCCTTGGTTAAGGTGTTAGAATCATTGTTGCTTTCAGGAAGACTTTTTCAAGTAGTATTCTATTCCATAGGGACTGAAATCTCTGAATATATCTTTAAATGAAATTCCCAAGTAATTTAAAATGATACCTTGATGAGGAAAACAGATTGTTCTATAATTTGGGAAAGTAAATT
Organism: Homo sapiens; assembly: GCF_000001405.40. Taxonomy (NCBI): domain Eukaryota; kingdom Metazoa; phylum Chordata; class Mammalia; order Primates; family Hominidae; genus Homo; species Homo sapiens. The sequence continues at coordinate 19,607,746 of NC_000019.10, read as the reverse complement.
ATAGCTAAAATTATCAGCTAAAACATACTGTTGGTAGATACCAGAATGTGGATTATGTTTTTATTCATTTTCATGTTCCTTAGCCCTTATACAAGGACCAGCATATGGTACTTCCACAATAAATGTTTGTCCCATAAATATTGAATAAATGAGGTTGAAGGGGGATAAAGCTCTATGCTTTCACTTTCTGGCATTTTCTATATGACTCTCAATTGTTTTGCTATAGATTTTGAATATTGGTTTAAAAATGATATTCAGAATTTTGGTTTTGGGCTTTTTTTGTTTTTGTTTAGGTTAGAAGACTCCTTGGAAGTCAATTTAAAAGATTTACTGTTCTTCCTTTTTTTCGAATTTTTCTCATAAACATTAGCATTTTAAAAAACTCAGATATGTGGCCAGGCGCAGTGGCTGACGCCTATAATCCCAGCACTTTGGGAGGCCGAGGTGGGTGGATCACTTGAAGTCAGGAGTTCTAGACCAGTCTGGCCAACGTGATGAAACCCCGCCTTTACTAAAAATATAAAAATTAGCCAGGAGTGGTGGCGTATACCTGTAATCCCAGCTACTTGGGAGGCTGAGGCACAAGAATCGCTTGAACCTAGGAGACAGAGGTTGCAGTGAGCTGAGATCATGCCACTGCATTCCAGCCTGGGCAACAGAGCAAGACTCTGTCTCAAAAACAAACAAAAAAATTCAGATATGTGGATTTGGTAGAATATGTCATATACTTGTGTTTTTTGTTTGTTTGTTTGTTTTGAGACAGAGTCTTGCTGTGTCACCCAGCCTGGAGTTCAGTGGCGCGATCTTGGCTCACTGCAACCTTCACCTCCTGGTTTCAAGTGATTGTCATGCCTCAGCCTCCCAGGTAGCTGGAATTACAAGCATGTGCCACCATGCCTGGCTAATTTTTGTATTTTTAGTACAGACGGGGTTTCACCATGATGGCCAGGCTGGTGGCCAGGCTGGTTTTGAACTCCTGACCTCAGGTGATCCGCCCGCTTCAGCCTCCCAAAGTGCTGGGATTACGGGCATGAGCCACGGCACCCAGCCATAACGTGTCATATACTTGTTAGACATACCAGCACCAACCCCATTTTTCTCCCAACGGTCCCCATTCTCTGGCTTCCAGTCTATCTCATTATCAACTCTCTATTGCTTTATAAGAAATCACCGCAAGCCTAGCAGCTTAAAACAGCAGATATTTATTATCTCACAGTTTCCTTGGGTCAGGATTCTGGGCACAGCTTAGCTAGGTCCTCTGCTTAGGGTCTCACAGGGCTGCAGTCAAGGTGTTGGCTGGGCTATGTTCCTATCCAGAGCATGGGGTTCTCTCCCAGTGTCGCATGGTTGATGGAAGAATTCACTTCCTGCAGTTGAAGCACAAAGGTCCCTGCTTTCTTCCTGGCTGTCAGTTGAGGCTGCTCTCAGCTTTAGAGGCTGCCTGCAGTTCCTGCCACCAGCTGTCATGACATGGCAGCTGGTGCCAGTGGGTGACTCTCTAGTCATCTAAGGTGGAGTCTTAGATAACAACATAACCATGGCAGAGATGATACCATCACCTTTGGCACATTGCAAGTCACAGGTACTTCCTGAACTCAAGGAAAAAGGATTATATAAGGACATGACTCACTGGGGGTTACCTTAGGGTGTGTCTGCCAAGTAAGTGATTTCATCCCCTTGGGGAAGGTCTCACTAGTCAGTCCCCTTTTCCTCACTGATTTGCAGCAGCTGCTTGATCACTGCTAGCTCAAAGACATGCTCAAAGCTTGGGAACTTGTTTTCTTTTCATAGTAAGCCACAGAAACTATGAAATTACTTTGTATGCATTAAAAAGTGCTTTCTACTGTATCTAAAGTAAAATATTTTATAAGGAGAAAACTGGTAAAAAAAAAAAAAAAAAAAAAAATCCTAGAGCCTTTACAGAAGCAGAAGAGCCAACTTCATTTTCTTTCCTCTTATTGTTAAAATTAAGTTTCCAGGCCAGAAACAAGGCTCACGCCTGTAATCCTAACACTTTGTGAGGCCAAAGTGGGAGGATTACTTGAGCCCAAGAGTTTGAGACCAGTCTGGACAACATAGGGAGAACCCGTCTCTGTTTTATTTATTTATTTATTTATTTATGAGACAGGGTCTCACTCTGTCGCCCAGGCTGGAGTACAGTGGTGTGATCACAGCTCACTGCAGCCTTGATCTCCTGAGTTCAAGCGATCCTCCCACCTCAGCCTCCCTAGTAGCTGGGACTACAGGCATGTGCCACCAAACCCAGATAATTTACTTTTTGTATTATTATTATTATTGTTATTATTATTATTATTATTATTATTATTATTTTGAGACAGAGTCTTGTTCTGTCACCAGGCTGGAGTGCTGTGGCGCAATCTCAGCTCACTGTAGCCTCCACCTCCCAGGCTCAAGTGATTCTCCTGCCTCAGCCTCCTGAGTAGCTGGGACTACAGGTGCGCGCCACCATGCCCAGCTGAATTTTGTATTTTTAGTAGAGACGGGGTTTCACCACGTTGGCCAGGATGGTCTCTATCTTTTGGCCTCGTGATCCACCTGCCTTGGCTTCTCAAAGTGCTGGGATTCCAGGCGTGAGCCACTGTGTCTGACAGTTTTTTGTATTTCTTATAGAGCTGGGGTTTCACCATGTTCCCCAGGTTTCTTCTATTTTTATATTAAAATATATTTTTTTTAAAGAGAAAAAGTTAAATTTCCAGAAGATGAGCTATAATCAGAGTCCATTTAAATTAATGTTAATACCACTTCTATGGAAAGAAAATGTTTAATATTTTAAGCTGAATATCTCGTGTGATCAATGACTGTATACCTTATAAGAAAGACTAACATGGCCGGGCATGGTGGCTCACACCTGTGATCCCAGCACTTTGGGAGGCCGAGGCAAGTGGATCATGAGGTCAGGAGATCGAGACCATCCTGGCTAATACCATGAAACCCTGTCTATACTAAAAACATAAAAAATTAGCTGAGTGTGGTGGCACGCGCCTATAGTTCCAGCTACTCAGGAGGCTGAGGCAGGAGAATCACTTGAACCTGGGAGGTGGAGGTTGCAGTAAGCCAAGATCGCGCTACTGCACTCCAGCCTGGGTGACAGAGCGAGACTCCATCTCAAAAATAAAAATTAAAAATAAAGAAAGACTAATGTTCAGGTTAGATTTTGGGAAGTTCATATGTCATCTCATCCCCCACAAACATTTTATATTTGAAGTTCAGAGACAAAGATCTTAGTTCTGCACCCCAGTTGTATTCCTTTTTTTTTTTTGAGATGGAATCTCGCTCTGTTGCCCAGACGGGAGTGCAGTGATGTGATCTTGTCTCGCTGCAACCTCCACCTCCTGAATTTATGTAATTCTTGTGCCTCAGCAAGTAGTTGGGATTACAGGTGTACACCACCATGCCCATCAAATTTTTGGCATTTTTAGGAGAGACAGGATTTTGCCATGTTGGCCAGGCTGGTCTCAAACTCCTGACCTCAAGTGATCCCCCCATCTCAGCCTCCCAAAGTGCTGGGATTACAGGCATGAGCCACCATGCCCAACCTCTCATGGTGTTAATCAAATCTGATTTCTGTTGTGAAGTTATTGATTTTCAGATACATTATTCAGCTGTGGCTTTTAATAATGGATCTTTTAATAATGGACGCTTGGATGACAGAGTTATAGGATTTAAAATCATCATAATAGTAAATGTTAATAGCATAGTACTCATCAAAGTTGTTCACAGAAGTTCTGCTACATGCACATACCAGCTACCCTATTCTTTTTTTTTTTTTTTTTTGAGATGGAGTCTCGCTCGCTGGGATGCAGTGGCGTGTTCTCGGCTCACTGCAACCTCCACCCCCTGGGTTCAAGCAATTAAATTATCCTGCCTCATCCTCCTGAGTAGCTGGGATTACAGGCACATGCCATCATGCCCGGCTAATTTTTGTATTTTTAGCAGAGACATTGTCTCACTATGTTGGCCAGGCTGGTCTCGAACTCCTGACTTCAAGTGATCTGCCCACATCAGTCTCCCAAAGTACTGGGATTACAGGCGTGAGCCACTGCGCCTGGCCATTTACTCTATCCTTGCATCATCAAATTCTCTCTCTAGACTGGCTTTTTGGCATATAAACATGTGCTAGTACCTCCTATCTTTAAGAACAGTCAAAGACAACAGGCTGGGCACCGTGGCTCATGCCTATAAGCCTGGCACTTTGGGAGGCTGAGGCTGACCAACATGCCAAAACCCCATCTCTACTAAAAATACAAAAATTAGCTGTGTGTAGTGGTGGGCACCTGTAATGCCAGCTACTCTGGAGGCCGCAGGAGAATCACCTGAACCCATGAGGTGGAGGTTGCAGTGAGCCATGATTGCACCACTGCACTCCAGCCTGAGCAATAGAGTAAGACTCTGTCTCAAAAAGAAAAAAAAGAAAAAAAGAAAAAAAACCCCTTTGACTTACCCTTTGGCCTTGCTTTGTACCCGGGATTTGTTTTAATCAGGTATGGTAAGATGACACACATGGAGACAACTGCCCTGTTGAAAGGGAAGTTTATTACTTACAGCTCCAGAGGAGGGGGCACACCATGCCAGGCAGGGCCACATGGGGAAGCACCTGGGTCAGTGGGCGACAGTGGAGAGAGGGAAAGCACGGCCCAGAACTTTTATAGTGATTTCCTCAGGAAGGAATGGGCATGGCATGGCATGGCAGGCAAGTTTGAGCAAGCTTAGGTTAGATAGTTTAAATAATTTTGGCAGGCTCTGTGCTAGAGGAGTGGTCTCTAGTTGGTCAGTACCTGGCCCTGGGGTGATTTAGGGCTGGGAAATTATTGGCTTTGTGTGTGAGCATTAAATGAAGAAGATGATTGGGAATGTGGGCTTTTGATTGGTTGATTTGCATATGAATGGCATGTTCTTTGGCAAGTTGTTTGCTGTCTGTAGTAATAAGCTAGCCCTGGGAAGGGCAGTCACTCCAAGCCCCACAATGTCAAAGCAAGATAAAAAAAAAACATAATTAATAGTCCAGGCTCATGCCTATAATCCCAATACTTTGAGGGGCCAAGGCGGGGGGATCTCTTGAGTCTAGGAGTTCAAGAACAGCCTGGGCAATATAGTGAGACTTAAGCTCTGCAAAAACATTTTTTAAAAATTAGCCAGGCATGGTAGCACCACCCGTAGTCCCAGCTACTCAGGAGCTGAGGCGGGAGGATTGCTTGAGTTCGGGCACAGCATGGCCACTGCAGTCCAGCCTGGGCAACAGAGTAAGACCCTGTCTCAAAAAGAAAAAGAAAAAAAACATGATTAACACACACCCTGTCTTTTAGCACCTGTTATGTTTGTTTGATCTCCCTTATGATAAACATCAAAGACTTTGTGATTGCTGCTTCCGCTTCCTCCTCACCTCCACATTCTCTCCCAACCTTGTTCCCTCTCCGCTGAGTCACCTATGACCTTCATGTTGCTAAATCCGAATTCTCTTTATTCATTTATTTATTTATTTATTAGAGACAGGTTCTTGCTATGTTGCCTAGACTGGTCCTCCCACCTCAGCCTCCCATAGTGCTGAGATTACAGGCGTGAGCTACCGTGCCCAGCCTCAGATTCTCTTCTGGGTTCTTATTCTGCTTGATCTCTCAGCAGCATTTCTCACAGATTACTCTTCTCTCCATGAAATTCTTCTCTTGGCTGAGCGCAGCCTGGGCAACATAACGAGACCCTGTCTCTACAACAAATACAGAATTTAGCCAGGTGTGTTGGTGCGTGCCTCTTGTCCCAGCTCATTGTCTCGCCATGTTGCCCAGGCTGGTCTCAAACTCCTGAGCTCCAGCGATCTGCCTGCCTCGGCCTCCCAAAATGCTAGAATTACAGGCATGAGCCACCGATTTTACATTTCGGTAGGTCAGAAAGCCCACATGGGCACAGTGGGCTAAAATCAAGGTGTTGCCCAGTGAGCCCATGGGCTGGTTCCTTGCCTTTTCCAGCCTGTTGAGGCCACCTGCATTCCTTGCTCATGGTCCCTTCCTCCATGATCAAGGCCAGCAACATAGTATCTCTCCAACCCTTACATCATCATGACTTTCTCTGCCCACATCTGGGAAAGGTTCTCTACCTTTAAGGGTCATGTGATGACAGTAGGCCCCCCCAGATAATCCGGGTTAATCTCTCCATCTCAAGGTCCTTAAACTTAATTACATTGGCAGAATTATTTTTCCCATTTTTTGTAAAGTACCATATTTAGGGTTCTGAGGATAAGCATGTGGACCCTTTTGGGAGCCATTATCCTGCCAACCATAGTTCCCAACCCAAGCAAGCAAAAGCCAGAGTTGTCCCCATGACTTTCAAGGCCCTTAGAGTCAATCTCCACTTGCCAGTCTAACTTCTCGTAGCTCTCTCCCTCACCCCTAACACTCAGCAGCCTGGTCTCAAACAGCCAGTACTGAACCCAGTGTGTTCTCACAGGGCCTTTGTGCTTGGCTGTTTCTTCTGCCTAAACCATACCTCTCTCCAGTCCTTTTCTTGGTTGATTTCTCCTTCTCATTCTGATCTCAGCTTTGATGTCACCTCAGAGACATGGAAATTCCAAAAAGCCTTCTAACCATCACTGTCATGTGACCCCAGTTGCCCCAGAGCAACTGCCACGGCTGATGGGTTTCTTGTTGGTGTGTATTTTTGGTGTCTCACTCCCTCCCTCTTAACTGCCACATGTGTAAAAACCTTACCTGTCTGTGTCTCTGATGCCAGAATGGTGTGTGGCACATAGTAGGTACTCAGTAAACACCTGCCAAGTGACACTGGAAGAGGATGATTGGTGCTTCTGCTTAGGCACCAGGATACACCACTGCAGGACCATAGTGTGAACACAGATTTCAAGTTGTTGGACCTTGATATTTCATAGTTCTTTTTTTTTCTTTCTTTTTTTTTTTTTTTTTTGAGATGGAGTCTCTCTCTGTTGCCCAGGCTGGAGTTCACTGGTGCGATCTCAGCTCACTGCAACCTCTGCCTCCCTGGTTCAAGCAATTCTCCTGTGTCAGCCTCCCGAGTAGCTGGGATTACAGGTGTGCACCACCACGCCCAGCTTTTTTGTACTTTTAGTAGAGACGGGGTTTCACCATGTTGGCCAGGCTGGTCTCAAATTCCTGACCTCAGGCGATCCATCCGCCTCGGCCGCCCAAAGTGCTGGGATTACAGGCATGAGCCACTGCCTCTGGCCTTTTTTTTTTTTTCTTAATGACAAGGCCTCTGTTATGCTGGCTGGAGTACAGTGGCATGTTCATAGCTCACTACAGCCTCTAACTCATGGTCTCAAGCCATCCTCCTGTCTCAGCCTCCTGAGGGATTGGGACTACAGGCATACCACCATGCCCAGCTAATTTTTAAATTTTTGAAGAGAATGGGTCTCACCATGTTGCCCAGGCCGATCTTAAATTTCTGGGCTCAAGTGGTCCTCCTGCCTTGGCCTCCCAAAGCGTTGAGATTACAGACATGAGCCACTAATGCCTTACCATAGTTTTTGATGAGTTATTTGCATTGTTTAAACTTTTGCATATAGTGGGAAATGTTTTGAATATTTGTATATTGCTTTACATTATTATTATTATTATTATTGAGACAGAGTCTCACTCTATTGCCTGGGCTGGAGTACAGTGGCACAATCTTGGCTCACTGCAACCTCTGCCTCCAAGGTTTAAGCATTTCTCCTGCCTCACCCACCTGAGTAGCTGGGATTACAGGTGCATGACACTGTTCCTGGCGAATTTTTTTTTTTTTTTTTTTTGAGATGGAGTCTCACTCTGTCACTTAGGCTGGAGTGCAGTGGCCTGATCTCGGCTCACTGCAACCTCTGCCTCCCGGGTCTAAGCAATTCTCCTGCCTCAGCCTCCTGAGTAACTGGGATTACAGGTGGGCACCACCATGCCCAACTAATTTTTGTATTTTTAGTAGAGACAGGGTTTCACCATGCTGGCCAGGCTGGTCTCGAACTCCTGACCTCAGGCAATCCGCCTGCCTTGGCCTCCCAAAGTTCTGGGATTATAGGCATGAGCCACTGTGCCTGGCCAAGTTTTGTATTTTTAATAGAGATAGGGTTTCACCATGCTGGCCAGGCTGGTCTCAAACTCCTGACCTCAAGTGATCCACCTGCCTCGACCTCCCAAAGTGCTGGGATTACAGGCGTGAGCCACCACGGCTGGCCTTTATATTGATTTTGTGCAAATCAAATTCACATGAAATATGATTGTACTGCATTTTCATAAGGCGACTTATCTACAGTCAGAGTGGCAGATCTCGTTTGGTTTGATTTCTCAGTATGGAAGATCTTTACTCTTGGGGACAAGATGATGACTATTCTTTTCTCACACCCTCCTCTGTCACCTCCCTTTCAGAAAGCATGCTCTGAATTGCCATCGGATGAAGCCTGCTCTGTTCAGCGTGCTCTGTGAGATCAAGGAAAAGACAGGTAGGCTGTTTAGAAGACACTTTCTGGCCGAGCGTGGTGGCTCATGCCTGTAATCCCAGCACATTGGGAGGCGGAGGCGGGCAGATCACCTGAGGCTGGATTCCAGACCAGCCTGACCAACATGGAGAAACCCTGTCTCTATTAAAAATACAAAAATTAGCCAGGCGTGGTGACGCATGCCGGTAATCCCAGCTACTCGGGGGGCTAAGGTAGGAGAATCGCTTGAACCTGGGAGGTGGAGGTTGCGGTGAGCCAAGATCGCGCCATTGCACTCCAGCCTGGGCAACAAGAGTGTGCGGTGAGCCAAGATCACGCCATTGCACTCCAGCCTGGGCAACAAGAGTGAAATTCTGTCTCAAAAAAAAAAAAAAAAAAAAAGGCACTTCCTGTGTGTGACTAGAGCTGCGGCAGCACACCTCTGATCTTGTCTCAGCCCTTATGTGCATGGTGGGCCGTTTTGCTCATCCCTTCTGTCTCGCAGAAGACGGCTAGGATGTTTTCTTTCTGCCTTATCATTGCCCTGGTTTCCAGTATGCACACTGATTTATTTTGTAGTTTATAACTGAGAAATACTGTTGCAAATCAGTAACAAGCAGCTGCATTCTAGGTCGAAGACCTAAGAGGTGCTTAGCATTCAGTCATATAGAAAAAGGAAAAATGACAGACTTAGGGAAATTGAATAAGAACAGTTTTGTCGGCTGGGCACAGTGGCTCATACCTGTAGTCCCAGTACTTTGGGAGGCCGAGGCAGGTGGATCACGAGGTCAGGTGTTCAAGACCAGCCTGGCCAAGATGGTGAAACCCCCATCTCTACTAAAAATACAAAATTAGCCAGGCATGGTGGCACATGCCTGTAATCCCAGCTACTTGGGAGGCTGAGGCAGGAGAATCACTTGAACCCAGGAGGTGGAGGTTGCAGTGAGCCGAGATCGCGCCATTGCACTCCAGCCTGGGCAAGAAGAGTAAGACTCCGTCTCAAAAAAAAAAAAAAAAAGGAAAGAAAAGAAAAAGAAAAGTTGAAAAAATAGTACAGAGAGTTCTCGTATCTCCTTCTCCGGGCTTCCTGTCTCGTCAACACCTTCAGAGCCATAGTACAAATATGGAAACCAGGAAATTACGCTGAGTACAATGATCTTTAACTGAACTACAGACCTCATTTGGAGTTCCCCAGTTTTTGCCCTAATGCCCTTTTCTGCCCTGAATCCCACGTTGTATTTAGTCATCATGTCTCTTTGGTCTCCTGTGATCTGTGACCTTGTCATCCATGAATGACGCTGACCATTTTAAGAAGCGCTCAGTCATTTTGTAGAACATCCCTCAGTGCGGTTTGTCTGATGTTTCCTCTAGATTGGACTGAAGTTGTGCATCTGTGGCCAGAGTCCCACAGAGGCAATGTGTGTGTCCTCAGCACATTGTGTCAGGGAAAACATGCTGTCAATATGTCCTGTCACTGCTACCATTGACCTTGATCACTTGGTCAAGGTTAATAACAATTTGAAAGTAGCTTATAAGTGGGGCCACCAAATAAGATGAAGATATTTAAACCAAGGGTCATCTGCACAACGTGTCACTTGATTTCTTAGAGTGAGTTGGTCTCTTGAGGTCAATTATTTGAATTTTGTGTGTCACTTTGGAGCATAGCACTTCATATTTGCTGAGGCTTGTGGAAAGTGTGTGTATATGTTGTACAAAAGTGTGCTTCTTTCTGAACACTGTTTTGGTGCAAGATTGATGTGTACTTGACATATATAGTAGTTGAGAACAGCAAGAGGGTCTGAATTCTGCCTCCACCTCTGGCTGCATGACCCTGGTCCTTGGCTGAACCTTTCTCTGTTCCTGGTCCTCCTCTGATTTGTGGGGCAATAATAATACTTAGCTCATGGTTACTGAGGACTGTTGAGGGCTGTGTGAATTCATATATGTAAGGCTGTGGGCATGGTGCCCAGCCTTCAGAAGAGATCTGGTGACTAAAGGAGAAATTCAAGTTTAAATCTACATTTAAGTTTCGCCTAAATGCTATGAGGACATGATGTCCCTAACCCTCCCCAGTGTAAATTTATTTTTATTTTTATTTTTTGGAGATGGAGTTTCACTCTTATTGCCCAGGCTGGAGTGCAATGGCACGATCTTGGCTCACTGCAATCTCCGCCTTCCAGGTTCAAGCAATTCTCCTGCCTCAGCCTCTGAGTAGCCGGGATTACAGGCGCCTGCCACCACACCCAGCTAATTTTTTGTATTTTTTATTAAAGATGGGGTTTCACCATGTTGGCCAGGCTGGTCTTGAACTCCTGACCTCAGGTGATCCGCCTGCCTGTCTGCCTCCCAAAGTGCTGGGATTACAGGCGTGAGCCATCACACCTGGCCTTTTTTTTTTTTTTTTGGAGACAGGGTCTCACTCTGTCACCCAGGCTGGAGGGCAGTGACATAATCTTGGCTCACTTCAGCCTCCTGGGTGGGTGATCCTCACACCCCATCCTCCCAAGTAGCTGGGACTACAGGCACGAGCCACGTTGCCCAGCTAATTTTTGTATTTTTTGTAGAGAGAGGGTTTTGTCATGTTGCCCAGGCTGGTCTCAAACTCCTGGCCTCCCAAAATGCTGGGATTATGTGTGTGAGCCACTGTGCCCAACCAGGCTCATATTCTGTTCTGCCTCTGCCTGCTTCACCCAATTCTCTAAGGAGCCCTGATTCCTTTCAGAGTAAATCTTGGCCTTTGATGTGCTCATTGCTGTTGGGGTGTTGCTGCTCTTGGACACTCTTAGGACACAGAGCTAAGGAATATTTGTGGGTTATTACAGATGCGTGTGTACACACACACACGTGCGCACACATTCACATCTGTTTTCCTATGTTTTTATATATTAAAAACCATGAGTTCATTATGATATCTTTATTTTTGTTTGTTTATTTATTTATTTATTTATTTATTCTCACTCTGTTGCCCAGCCTGGAGTGCAGTGGTGCAATCTCAGCCTCCCAGGTTCAAGCATTTCTCCTGCCTCAGCCTCTGAGTAGCTGGGATTATGGTGTGCACCACCACGCCTGGCTAATTTTGTATTTTTAGTAGAGACAGGGTTTCATCATGTTGGCCAGACTCGTCTCAAACTCCTGACCTCAAGTGACCTGCCCGCCTCAGCCTCCCAAAGTGCTGGGATTAGAGATGTGATCCACCGCACCCAGCTTATTTTTATTTTTGAGACAGGGTCTCACTCTGTCACCAGGCTGGAATGCAGTGGTGAAGTCACAGCTCATTGCAGCCTCAACCTCCTGGGCTCAAGCAATACTCCCACCTTGGCCTCCCAAAGTGCTGGGATTACATGCATGAGCCACTGTACCTGGCCCACTCCAATATCTTTAATTCTAGTTCACCACAGGGTTCCCACTATTTTTCTCTCTTCCCAGGTTTGTGACTCCTTCCTCCAACAGTGAGAGCCTGCTCCTGTTGTCCTCAGTACTTTTGCTTGTGTAATCAATCTCCCACCTCCTTCACCCCCAAGTATACTTAATCCCCCAGCCAAGCAGACCCCTCCTTGTCCCCACCCCCCAGCAGACTGCTGCTGCTGACAGCCCCCACATGATATGCCCCCTGTTGGTCTCCAACACCCAGTGCCAGGTCATCCTCCCGACGGGGCCAGATGCTGGGCTGTGATGCCCCTGGCTTCCTGCCCACCTCATATGCCTCTCATGGGTATGTAAATATCTGATGACCTGTCTTATCTGTTCCTTATTTAAATTGTGGGGAGCAGATGCCATGGAAATGGAAACACAAAGGTTAGGCTTTCCTGGGGAACCAGACACACAAGTTTCTTGTTAGCGGTGAACTGGTTTTAAGCAAATTTGCCCTCAACTCCCTGGCAGCACTCCCTGATGGTGCTTCAGCATTCGTGTGGTAAGCTGGACAAGCGGGGGCCCTGTACCCGAATGAGCCCCAAGTACTGCAGGCTGAGGGAAGCCGCTCAGAAGGACACAGCCAATGTGTATCCACCCCCTGGAGACACTGGCTGTGGTCACGTGTTTCTTAGTATTGTGGAATTGTGTAATGTTGGTCCCTTTCACTTTTCACCTAATAAAAATAAGCCAGTGTCAGGACCACTTGCTGAGGCATGTGTACCAATAGGCACAGGCAGCCCAAGTTGTCCCTTGCTCACCCCTGACCCTGACCCCAGGAAGCAGCCTTTGGGGGCTCCCCACTGCCCACAGCGGATGTTTAGCAATGCAACATCTGGAATTTAGTAATAATAAAAAACTATTTTAAAAAGTACTTTTTAAAGGCTGGGTGCGGTGGCTCACGCCTGTAATCCCAGCACTTTGGGAGGCCGAGGCAGTTGGACCACCTGAGATCAGGAGTTCGAGACCAGCCTGACCAACATGATGAAACCCCGTCTCTACTAAAAATACAAAAATTAGCTGGGCGTGGTGGCATGCGCCTGTAATCCCAGTTACTCAGGAGGCTGAGGCAGGAGTATCACTTGAACCCAGGAGGCAGAGGTTGCAGTGAGATGACATTGCGCCACTGCACTCCAGCCTGGGTGACAGAGTGAGACCCTGTCTAAAAAAAAAAAGTACTTTAATCAACTGTAGTCTCAGGAAGCTGTCATTCTTGACCTTCCTACCAGTGAGCTGCTGGGGCTGAACGAGAAACCAATTTTTGAGAGTGTGGGTGTTCAGCCTGGGCACGCCTCTTCATAATTCCATCTGCCCCTGTGTGGATGTTACTGCATGAGTCTGTTAGTCTCAAATTCAGCAGTTTCAGGAGGGAAAACAAGAGTTGATACCAACTGTTGCCAGTGCAGCTGAGATGTCTGTCCATTTCAACCGCTGGTGTCGCCCCACCTCCCTACCCCCATCTGCCTAGGCTTTGAGGGCCATGCTCAGGACTCTTTTTTTTTTTTTTTTAGACAGAGTTTCACTCTTGTTGCCTAGGCTGGAGTGCAATGGCGCAATCTCGGCTCACTGCCTCCCAGGTTCAAGCAATTTTCCTGCCTCAGCCTCCCGAGTAGTTGGGATTACAGGCATCTGCCACCACACCCGGCTAATTTTTTGTATTTAGTAGAGACAGGGTTTCACCCTGTTGGTCAGGCTGGTCTTGAACTCTTGACCTCAGGTGATCCGCCCGCCTCGGCCTCCCAAAGTGCTGGGATTACAGCCATGTGCCACCATGCCCGGCGACATTTTTAATTTTTTATTTTTTATTTTTTTTTTTTTTTAATTAAGACACAGAGTCTCACTGTGTTGCCCAGATTGGCTTCAAACTCCTGGGCTCAAGTGATCCTCACACCTCAGCTTCCGCACACACCACCATGTCTAGGGGTCGCTGAGGACTATTTTTGGGGGGATGAGGTCTTAGTATGTTGCCCAGGTTGGCCTTGAACTCCTGAGCTCAAGTGATCCTCCTGCCTCAGCCTCCCAAGGTGTGGGGTTACAGGCAGGCGCCACTGTGCCTGGCCACTCAGGACTTTTGATTCCTCCAAGCTGAGTCCCAAGGCCGCTGCAGGGCTCAGAGCACCGGCCACCTGGGCATTTCCTTGGAAGCTAATGCTTTCTTCCCACTGACTGGCTCAAACATCTGGGTACAGGGTATGTTTTGGGGTACAGTAGGACAGGGATGAGACAGCAACTGCTCCTCCCTGAAATGCACAAGCCTGGAGCTGAGGGATGCCTGTTCCTGAGTGTCACCTGGAGTGTCCAGGTATCTTTTTATATCAGGAAGTGCAGTCAGTGAGTGCTGTGGGTCCCACCTGTGGGCCACCTGCCTTGATGTCAGGAACACCTCAGCCTTCTAGTCTCGGAGACAAACCAGCCAGTGGCAGGAAAGTAAACAGGATTTCGATTCTGCTCCATCTGTCCTCATCCCGTGACTAGGAATGGCCAAGTCTCAGCCCAGAGGAAACTGTTCATGGTCCTGATCCTGCACCCTGTGGTACCCACGGGCCGCCTCTTGAAGGGCAATCCCATGAGCCGGGGTCCTGGCGTGCTTCTCGATTTAACCCACAGTTCTCACATTTCCCTCTGGCTGAAGTCTGCAGCAGGCCTTATGGTAAAGACCAAACTTCCACAGAGCATTTAAAGCCTGGTGGGGCAGGACATGGTGGCTCACACTTATAATCCCAGTACTTTGGAATCGCTTGAGCCCAAGAGTATGAGACCAACCTGGGCAACACAGTAAGACCCTGTCTCTACAACAACAACAACGGCAAAGATTAAGTCTGGTGGGTATTGATGGAGCCTGGGCAGGCAGCTCGGGGCTTCCTCGAGTTGTTCCCCAGAGCCCTGCACAGCCTCGGGCAGACCCTTTTCTCCCGTTTTACAGATGGGCAGTGGGAAGCTCTAAGAGACAGGGGCCTCCCCAGGGCACACCAGTCACCCACAGCCAGGCTGCATGCCGCCCCACCCCGTACACTGTCCTCACTCATGAAAGGGACCCAGGGCCTGTCCCTCATGGCCGGCACTCATGGGCCCCACACACCCACCTGTGTCATCTGAACAATGACCATTCCTGGCCAGCGCAGGGTCTAGGATGCGCTATGTTCTCAGGGTCTGTCCCGGTGCCTTTCTGTTTTTGTTGATTGAAAAACTGTTTCTGGTGACTGATACATACTAACTGAAATCCCTTTCATCCAGTTCCCCTTATGAGGTTCAGAAGATTCAGTGTCTGGGGGCCTGACTTAGAACACAGGGCTTATCACTCACAGCAGCCTGAAAAGAACGTGGTCCTCCATGTAAACCTGGCATCACCGGATGCACTGCCAGCAGTCCCTGGTGAACCCCAGGAATGGCCTGTCGGAGGTATGCAGGCAGGTCCCTCAAAGCTTGTCTCCTGGGGTCAGCTTCACCACACCACAGTGTCTGGGTGTTCCTGCCCTGCGGTGGTCTCTGAAGGCCAAGGACACCCTCAGCGTATGCATTTCCTCCCAAACCCTCCTTCCCAGAAACAGCTGTCCTCCTCGGTGTCTAGAGGAGCTGTTCTGAGAACAAAATAAACCCTGATTAGTTGCAGAGCTTTGAATTTAGCTGGGAGAACCAGATACGGGCCACAGTCCCTTTGCTGAGACCCTGGGACTAGGTATGTTGCAGAATTCGAAAGCGTTGGATTTAAGATGTGTCACGTTGGCCAGGTACAGTGGCTCACGCCTATAATCCCAGCACTTTGGGAGGCTGAGGCAGACGGATCACCTGAGGTCAGGAGTTCGAGACCAGCCTGGCCAATATGGTGAACCACCCCCCCACCTCCCTCACCCACCCATCTCTACTAAAAATACAAAAACTAGCTGGGCATGGTGGCGGGTGCCTATAATCCTAGCTACACGGGAGGCTGAGGCAGAAGAATCACTTGAACCTGGGATGTGAGGTTTGCAGTGAGCTGAGATCACACCACTGCACCCCAGCTTGGGCGACAAAGTGAGACTCTGCCTCTAAAAAAATATAAAAATAAAAAATAAGGTTTGTCACATTGATGTTCCCAGTGAGGACTGAGGCGTGGCCTGAATTCACACAGTGGTGTTTGGCACCAGAGCAGGGACAGCCTGGCACGTTGGAATGTGTCAGGCTTTACCTCCACATGAGCATGAGTGACAGCTTGTGTGAAAAGCTTCGGATCTCAGATCTCGAGTGGGTAGGCAGCTCCGAGGCGGTGTGCTGAGCCCCAGAGGCCCCTTGCAGACCCACTCGGCCATCCCATCCTGGGCCGTTCTTGAGAAGGGGCCTGCTTTGCCTTCTCCACCCTGTGACTGTGTCTCTGGGGAACAAGAAGTTTCTCAGCCAGGGCTGTTGTGCTGCAGGAACCCTTGCTGTGCTGTAGGAACGCACAGAGCCCCATTCAGAGGAGTAAATGTAAATAATGCATAACATCAGGGAATGCCTTTTTGTCTTCCTGACTAATGATTGGCCTTGCTAGTAGTTGGCAGGCATAAGCCATTCTCATTCTTTCCCTTCCTCGTCAGCTGGTCGGATCTGTTGCAATTACAGAATCGGGTTCTGTAAATTCAGCCAGGAAGCTGGGGTGTCATGGTGCTCATGGGGCTTTCCTGGGTCCTAGCAGTCACCCTGAGGCCTATGAGTCACCTCTCTGGAACTGAGATCCTTTTTCTAATTAGCTGTACCCTGGGGCTGAGTCCCATGTACATTTCTTTAGGGTTCTTGTGGGAGTAGACCCCGGCAGCTGGGGGACTTATTCTCCAGGTTGATTGGAGTATCCTTTCCTCCCCTCAGTCTCAGGGTAACTCACAAATTGAGCCCCTGAGTCTCATCAGCTGGGTGGCTCCAGATACTCAACGCAGGGCTGTTTACATTTGAATTAATTAAAACCAAATGCAATTAACCAGTGCATTCCTCAGCCACACCAGCCACATTTCAAGTCTCAGCAGCCACACAGGGCTGGTGCCTCCTATAATAGAAAGGTCTAGAACATCCTATCATTGCCAAAGTGTCTGTTGGACAGAGAAGTGGATCATTGTATATAAATATACAGATTAAGGAATCTGAAAACAACCTGATGTCCATGATAACTAGAAAAACAAAATGTGTGTCCAGGCGCCATGGCTCACACCTGTAATTCCAGCACTTTGGGAGGCCAAGGTGGGGGGATCATTTGAGGTCAGGGGTTCGAGACCAGCCTGGCCAACATGGTGAAACCCCGTCTCTACTAAAAATATAAAAATTAGCTGGGCGTGGTGGCATATGCCTGTAATCCCAGCTAATCGGGAGGCTGAGGCGCGAGAATCACTTGCACCTGGGAGGCGGAGGTTGCAGTGAGCGGAGATCACGCCACTGTACTCCAGCCTAGGTGACAGAGCAAGACTCTCTCTCAAAAAAAAAAAAAAAAGAAAGAAAACAAAACAAAACGTGGTCCATCCATGCAATGGAGTATTATTCAGCCATAAAGAGGAATGAAGTATTGGCACAGGCTGCAACATGGGTGCACCTTGAAAACATGATGCTGGGTAGGAGAAGCCAGATGTGAAGTGTCACATCACATGCTGTGTGATTCCATCAATATGAAGAGTCCAGATCAGGCAAATCCATAGAGACAGGAAGACTCGTGGTTGTCCCGGGGCTAGGGAGGGGGCGTAAAGAGTGACTGCTCATAGAGACGGGGTATCTTTAGGGAGGATGAGAATGTTAGCTAGTGGTGGTGGTCGCACAACCTTGGAAATAAACTAAAAACCACTGAAGTATTCACTTTAAGCAGATGAATTATATGGCATGTGAATTATATCTCAATAAAGCTTACCTCAAGGATTGAGGGTCTTTGGTAGGGGCCGTATCTAAAACAGTGTGCCTGTAGCTTAAGGCCTTAGTGCACATACACATTCTTATGAATTAGCACTTCTTTGCTGCCTCTTAGGGCTTAACCACTGACGGAAACTGTCTTGTGTGCTTGCACTTTTCTGGTTTGTCTTCTGACCTCTGACTCCTTTCCTGGAAGACCAGCATCAAGAAAGCACAAGGCAGATCTGTGGTTCATCTCTGCCCTGTTGTGGGATTGGCACACCGTAGATACTAGGGAGCTTCTTTTTTTCTTTTGAGATGGAGTCTCGCTCTGTCACCCAGGCTGGAGTGCAATCGTGCGATCTCGGCTCACTGCAACCTCCACTTCCCGGGTTCAAGCGGGTCTCCTGCCTCAGCCTCCCAAGTAGCTGGGATTACAGGTGCCCGCCACCATGCCCAACTAATTTTTGTATTTTTAGTAGAGATGGGATTTCACCGCGTTGGCCAGGCTGGTTTCGAACTCCTGACCTCAGGTAATCCACCCGCCTCGGCCTCCCAAAGTGCTGGGATTTACAGGCATGAGCCACCGTGCCTGACCAGAACTTTTTTTTCTTTCTTTTTCTTTGTCTTTAGTTATTTATTTATTTATTTTAGACAGAGTCTCGCTCAGTTGCCCAGGCTGGAGTGCAGTGGTGCAATCTCGGCTCGCTGCAAGCTCCACCTCCTGGGTTCGGGTTCATGCCATTCTCCTGCCTCCGCCTCCTGAGTAGTTGGGACTACAGGCGCCCACCACCACACTCCTCTAATTTTTTGTATTTTTAGTAGAGATGGGGTTTCATCGTGTTAGCCAGGATGGTCTCGATCTCCTGACCTCGTGATCCGCCGGCCTCGACCTCTCAACGTGCTGGGACTATAGGTGTGAGCCACCGCACCCAGCCTCTTTTTACGTTCTTTTTTTGAGTCAAGATCTCGCTCTGTCATGCGGGTTGGAGGCACTGGTGTGATCATAGCTCACTGCTCCCTTGAATTCCCGGGCTCAAGTGATCCTCCTGCCTCAGCCTCTGGAGTAGCTGGGACTACAAGTGGGCACCACCATGCCTGGATATTTTTTTGTGGAGATGGGATCTTGCTGTGTTGCCCAGGCTGGTCTTAAACTCTTGTCCTCAAGCAATCCTCCCTTCTCAGCCTCTAAAAGTGCTGGGATTACAGGGATGAGCCAACCTGTCCAGCCCTGGTGAACTTATTGATAGATCAGTTCCTTGGGAAATTCTTTTTAGAGTAGTCAGGGCATTGGATGACCTAAAACTCTTTGATTCGCAGGCTGGGAATTGGTTGGTCATGGTTAGTGTGCATGTTGCTAGGCTGGTTACCTCCCTGTGTGAGACTCAGCCAAAGAGGCACCACACCTCATGGTGACTGTAGCCCAGCTCCTGAAGCTTCTAGACCTTTCCCCCATGGCTCTCATTTGTTGTTGTTTGAAATTAGAGCATTTCTTCAGATGAAAAAATTGGGCCACACGGTGGCTCACACCTGTAATGCCAGCACTTTCGGAGGGTGAGGCGGGTAGATCACGAGGTCAGGAGTTCGAGACCAGCCTGGCCAACATGGTGAAACCCTGTCTCTACTAAAAATACAAAAATTGTGTGGTGGCCAGCTTAGTTGGGAACTATGGCTAAACATCATCCTGATTTGATCTTTTGCCGCAAGCAGGCTGGTGTTGCCATCAGATGACTGTGTGAAAAATGTGATGGCAAATGTGTTATCTGTGACTCCTATGTGCGTCCCTGCACTCTGGTGTGCATATGTGATGAATGTAACTATGGATCTTACCGGGGCTCTGTGTGATCTGTGGAGGCCCTGGGGTCTCTGATGCCTATTATTGTAAGGAGTGCACCATCCAGGAGAAGAATAGGGATGGCTGCCTGAAGATTGTCTATTTGGGGAGCTCTAAGACCTCTTCTATGAACGCAAAAAATACGGCTTCAAGAAGAGGTGATTGGTAAGTGGCCCCTTCCTCCCCACCGCCCCACATCAAGCTGCTGCAGCTTTCAGAAAAGATGCCTACTATTACCAGCAGAAAGGGAGCAGAGCCCAGAGCATCACCAGGAGTGCCTGCTGGTGTACTGGCAGCTTGCCACCCCCTCCTCTCCCTTCACCCAGGCATGTAGTAGGGATGTAAAAGGATTCTTCACAGAGCACTCTGGGACACTGTATCGGAGAAAAACTGATAGATTAATTAATGTTTTTTCTTGAATTCGAGAAGCAAAGATCTGTTCTCCATATTGATATGTGCTCCCTCAACCAAGATCTTCTAAAAAGAAATAATATTTTAGTCTTCTGCTTGAGTAGTTGACTGTGAAACTACGCTCAGTGGAAAACATGTTCTTGCAGCAGCTCTGTGGCAGCTGTCCTTGAGGAACCTTTGGTGTGTGGTGGGAAGCTATCAGAACAAGAAATGTAGGCATTTACTCTTTTTTTTTTTTTTTTTTTTTAATTTGAGACGGAGTCTTGCTCTGTCACCCAGGCTGGAGTGCAATGGCTCGATCTTGGCTCACCACAACCTCTGCCTCCCGGGGTCAAGCAGTTCTCCTGCCTCAGCTGCCCAAGTAGCTGGGATTACAGGAGTCCGCCACCACGCCCGGCTAATTTTTGTATTTTTAGTAGAGATGGGGTTTCACCACGTTGGCCAGGCTGGTCTCAAACTCCCGACCTCAGGTGATATGCCCGCCTTGGCCTTCCAAAGTGCTGGTATTACAGGCGTGAGCCACTGCTCCCGGCCTACTGTTTTAACACTTGTACTGGTGTCATGTTATTTTCATTCTGAGAAATTGGAAACCCTTTCTATTGCTATTAATAAAGTTCGTGTTTATTTTCTGGTAGTCAAAAAACAAAAACAAAACAAAAAAACAAAAATTAGCTGGGTGGGGTGGCGGGTGCCTGTAATCCCAGCTACTTGTGAGGGTGAGGCAGGAGAATCACTTGAACCTGAGAGGCAGAGGTTGCAGTGAGCCAAGATTGTGCCACTGCACTCCAGCCTGGGCAATAGAGTGAGACTGCGTCTCAAAAAAATTAAAAAGAAAAAGAAAATTGTTTATGGTAGATAGAAGCCATCAGTGAGTGCTGTTTTTCTTTTTCTTTTTCTTTTTCTTTTTTTGAGACGGAATCTCACTCTGTCGCCCATGCTGGAGTACAGTGGCGCGATCTCGGCTCACTGTAACCTTCACCTCCTGGGTTCAAACGATTCTCCTGCCTCAGCCTCCTGAGTAGCTGGGACTACAGGTGCATGCCACCACGCCTGGCTAATTTTTTGTATTTTTAGTAAAGATGGGGTTTTACCGTGTTAGCCATGATAATCCTGATCTCCTGACTTCGTGGCCTCCCAAAGTGCTGGGATTACAGGCAGGAGCCATCATGCCCGGCCAAGTGCTGTTTTTCTTAGCTGTGGCTCTTAAATGTTTGCAACTCCTCACAGGGGCTTGTTTTTCCAGATGTGCTGCCTGGCACATCTGGAAAAATATATATTACAGCACTATATATTACAGTGTTTTGCTGTCTTCCTTTTGCCCTGTTACCACATGCAAGGACAGTAGCACAGAAAAACAAGCCTAAACCGCATATCATTTTTACTCAGCATTAGCAGCTCATATAATTGTTTGTTTATTTTTTGAGACAGGGTCTTGCTCTGTCTCAAAGAGACAGGCTGGAGTACAGTGGCATGATCATGGCTCAATGCATTCTTGACTTCCCAGGTTCAGGTGATCCTCCCACCTCAGCCTCTCAAGTAGCTGAGACTACAGATAGAAGCCACCATATCCGGCTAATTTTTGTACTTTTTATAGATGGGGGTCTTGCTGTGTTGCCCAGGCTGGTCTGGGACTCCTGGGCTTAAGTGATCCTCCCGTCTCAGCCCCTCAAAGTGCTAGGATTACAGGCATAAGCCACCACATGCTCAGCCTATTTATTTTTTAAATGTACAGAACAGTAGGCATTTTTTTAAAAATCACATACTAGTTTATTTCAGAACTGCAGTGTTTTAATTAACAAACATGTAAACATATGGAAATGAAATTAATTTGCATATTTGATTGTGGTTCCAGCATCTTCATTTCTCACGCGTCCGTGTGAAGAGACCACCAAACAGGCTTTCTGTGAGCAACATGGCTGTTTATTTCACCTGGGTGCAGGTGGGCTGAGTCCAAAAAGAGAGTCAGCAAAGGGTGGTGGGATTATCATTAGTTCTTATAGGTTTTGGGATAGGCGGTGAAGTTAGGAGTAATGTGTTTTTTGGGCAGGGGGTGGATCTCACAAAGTACATTCTCAAGGGTGGAAAGAATTACAAAGAACCTTCTTAAGGGTGGGGGAGATTACAAAGTACATTGATCAGTTAGGGTGGGGCAGAAACAAATTACAATGGTGGAATGTCATCAGTTAAGGCTATTTTCACTTCTTTTGTGGATCTTCAGTGGCTTCAGGCCATCTGGATGTATACGTGCAGGTCACAAGGGATATGATGGCTTAGCTTGGGCTCAGAGGCCTGACACACTTCAGTTGTGACTGGTTGTGATGTATTTTAATTAGAGATGACGGAGATTTGCCTAGTGTGATAATCCCTCAGTTGGGTGAATATCTAGTGTGTGGCAGCCACTATTTCAGAAACTGATGAGTGTTTTTTAAGGGTTATTCTTTTTAAAGTCCTGTGGATCTGAGAAACTTCCATGACTTAAGATAAGGATTTATCTAGAATGTTACTTTTTTTTTTTGAGATGGAGTCTCACACTGTCACCCAGGCTGGAGTATAGTGGCGCAATCTGGACTCACCTCAACCTCTGCCTCCCGGGTTCAAGAGATTCTCCTGCCTCAGCCCCCCAAGTAGCTGGAATTACAGGTGTGCACTACCACGCCCAGCTAATTTTATATTTTTAATAGAGATGGGGTTTCACCATGTTGGCCAGGCTGGTCTGCCTCAGAGAACAGAACAAAGCCTGTTCTAGCGCCTGTCCTAGAATGTTACTTAAATGAACTAACCTGTGGGATGTGGCCTAAAAGGTAAAGCCAGGCAGTTCTTAATACAAACAGGCTGGGCTCCAGAAGTCTCCTTGTTTAGAGTTAAGGAGTAAACTCAGTGCCCATGATGCCCAGGAAACCATAAGATAAAACAGCCCTTGGGCCAGGAGGTGGCTCGCGCCTGTAATCCCAGCCCTTTGGGAGGCCAAGGGGGTGATCACGAGGTCAGGAGCTCGAGACCAGCCTGGCCAACATAGTGAAACCCCATCTCTACTAAAAATACAAAAATTAGCCAGGCATGGTGGTGCATGCCTATAGTCCCATCTACTCAGGAGGCTGAGGCAGGAGAATCGCTTGAACCCTGGAGGTGGAGGTTGCCGTGAGCCGAGATTGTGCCACTGCACTCCAGTTTAGGCAACAGAGTGAGACTTCATCTCAAAAAAAAAAAAAAAAAAAACCAGCCCTTGGTCATGTCAGACCACACCTTGAGGTCTGTTGGGGGCAGTGTGGAGGGGAGGGGAAGTTGTCCATTACATCCATGACTCTCTGGGTTACTCCAGCTGTAGGGACACCCTTCAGCCTGTGAGTGGGTCACATCTTCTTCGTCATGCCTTGCTGCCTGCTGGTCTGTCCCCCTCCCGAGTTTCTGGTCTCCTTGACTGGACCCTGCTGGTCTGAGCCGAGGAGGGACCTCCCTGTCTACCTGTGTCTGATTTGAATCAGTGGCTTTAAAATATCTCCAGGAAGACTGGGGTTTGCTGTGGGGCTTGAGGACATGCCCATTATCAGGTTAAGGAAGGTTCTTTCTATTCTTTGATTTGCCTGTGGGTTTTTTATTTTTTTGAATCAGAGTCTCGCTCTGTCACCCAGGCTGGAGTGCAGTGGCACGATCTTGGCTCACTGCTACCTCCGCCTCCTGGGTGCAAGCGGTTCTCGAGCCTCCACCTCCTGAGTAGCTGGGATTACAGGTGTGCACCACTACACCCAGCTAATTTTTCTTTCTTTCTTCTTGAGATGAAGTTTCGCTCTTGTTGCCCAGGCTGTAGTGCAATGGCATGATCTCGGCTCACCACAACCTCCGCCTCGTGGGTTCAAGCAATTCTCCTGCCTCAGCCTCCCGAGTAGCTGGGATTACAGGCATGTGCCACCATGCCCAGCTAATTTTGTATTTTTAGTAGAGATGGGATTTCTCCATGTTGGTCAGGCTGGTCTCCAACTCCTGATCTGAGGTGATCTTCCCGCCTCAACCTCCCAAAGTGCTGGGTTTACAGGCGTGAGCTTTTTCTATTTTTAGTAGAGATGGGGTTTCACTATGTTGGCCAGGCTGGTCTGGAACTCCTGACCTCAGGTGATTCCCCCCAACCCCAGCCTCCTAAAGTGCTGGGATTAGGGCATGAGCTACCGTGCCTGACCAGGTTTGCCCAAGGGTTTTAATTGATTTTGTTAATTTTCTGTATCTTTTTTTGGTGGGAGAGGGGGTCT
Organism: Homo sapiens; assembly: GCF_000001405.40. NCBI lineage: Eukaryota > Metazoa > Chordata > Mammalia > Primates > Hominidae > Homo > Homo sapiens. The sequence continues at coordinate 19,583,598 of NC_000019.10, read as the reverse complement.
TACTTTGTCGAACTGGCTGGAGTGCAGTGGCGCAGTCAGCTCACTGCAGCCTCAAACTCCGGGGCTCAAGCGATCTTCCTGTCTCAGCTTCTCGAGTAGCTGGGATTACAGGTGTGTGCCACCAAACCTGACTCATTTTTTAAAATTTTTTGTAGAGATGGGGTCTTGCTATGTTGCCCAGGCTGCTCTCAAACTCCTGAGCTGAAGTGATCTTCCCACCTCAGCCTCCCAAAGTGCTGGGATTACAGGGTGAGCCACTGAACCTGGCCTTTCTGCATCTTTGTTTTGTTTTGTTTTGTTTTGTTTTGTTTTGTTTTTTTGAGACGGAGTCTCGCTTTGTTGCCCAGGCTGGAGTGCAATGGCACGATCTCGGCCCACTGCAAGCTCCACCTCCCAGGTTCAAGCTATTCTCATGTCTCAGCCTCCCAAGTAGCTGGGATCACAGTAAAGACGGGGTTTCGCCATGTTGGTCAGGTTGGTCTTGAACTCCTGACCTCAGGTGATCCACCTACCTCAGCCTCCCAAAGTGCTGGGATTACAGGCATGAGCCACCGCGCCTGGCCACCTCCGCTCTCTTGCTGGGAAAGAGTTCATGACGCAGGCCTGAGCTTGGTGTTCCCGGAGCCCGGGTGAAACAGGAGTGTTCCCTTTTCCCCCTTGCAGGGTGTGTGACGGATGTGGCTCACTTCTTCGGTGCCCCACAGCTCAAACCCCTAAGGGGGAGCATGCAGTCAGACAGGTGGGGGGAACGTGGTCTCCAACCCCACAGCAGCAGCGCAGCGTCTTAGGGTTGTGTTTATAGCTCCCAAAGCCCCAGTGGGCATGCGTTACAGTGTGCTCTTTCAGCTTAGCTGAAAGAGAAGCAGGCTTCTTGTGTTAATCAGCTCAGTTAGACCCTCTGCCCTATCTCAAGGACAAAGGGCTTTCTATATTCTGGGGTTCTTGCCTTAGTGTACTGGAAAAATCGGATCACATGTGGGCATGGAGAATGAGTACAGGGTTTTACTGAGTGGTGTAGGTAGCTCTCAGCAGATGGATGGGGGGCCCAAAGGGGGTTGGATTGGGAAGGTGGTTTTGCCCTGGAGTTGGGCCGCTCAGTGACTGGGCTCTCCTGGATTTCCCTTGGTGTCTGCATTGTTCCACCATCAATGGCCCGCCAGTGTCTATTGGTGTGTTCTTCTGCTGGTGTGTTCCTCTCGACTTCCAGCTGCTTGTGTGTGTCTGCTTAAGGTCTCAGGCTTATTTGGGCACAAGATGTGGGGCGTGGCAGGCCAAAAGGCAACCTTTTGGCCACAAAAACAGAAATGCTTGTTCTCACTTAGGTCCGAGGGCACAGGGCCGAGGGTGGAGCCCTCGCCAGGGACCCCGCCCTTCTCTACCCAGCACTTCCTTGCCCCACTCCCGTATCACTGGGAAGCTAGATTGGAGCTGAGAGGTGAGAGGAGTGTGCAGCAGCAGGATTTGGGGGGTGGGAGGAGGTGCCAGGAGCAAATGAGGCCAGATCCCAAAGGTAGGGGGCCTTGGGTTCTCATGGAAGAGTCCTGCTGGCCTTCTGCCTTCACTGTGTTGGGCTCCCCAGCCTCCTGCTGGGGCCACCCCACGATGTCCTTCACATCCCAGGGCACTCTCCTGGGGAATCAGGCGGTACCACTTCCTCCATAGGCCTCTCACAGCCAGTCTCGTCTCCTGCTGCTCAGAGCACCACCCAGCCACTTGGAAGCCCCCACCTATTCTCACACTGTCACCTTGCATCGTGGCAGGAACACCTTCCTTGGCCAATAACCTTATCCAGTCCCTCAGCTCCCAAAGCCAATGGCAGCACCGCATGACCTGGGTTCCCGCAGCCTTCCTGACACCCCTGGGCTGGCATTCTTGGGGTTGGACAGGCCTGCTTCCCACCAAACAGGTCTCCCAAAGTGAGTAGGTCGCTCCTCCTGCAGCGTGGCCTTTGTCTCCCCTTCCTTGTTTGGTGTCCTGGTGTTTTCTCCACTGGAAGTGCTGGAGCAGGCGCTCTGCCCTGTGTCATCACCTCCCTGACACAGGAACGTGGAATGCCGGCTCCTTCCAAGTGGCAGTGCCACCGCCACCCGCAAGACAGTAATGACGCAGAGGGGAAGCAGGCATCCTACAGATGCGTGCGAGGAAATAGGTTTACTCTCAATTCTGGACTGTTCCACCCCAGCTCTTACGGGCCCTGAGAGTTTGGATCTGGGACTGGGGTGGTTCAGAGGCTCATCAGAGCTTCCAGCAGCAGCTCAGGCTCAGCCTTCAGGCCCCTCCAGCCTCAGGCACGGTTTTGGCCACCCCAGCATGGTGGCCATGTAAAACAGAAGCAAGATGAACTACTGGGGAAAAGAAAGGAAAAATAAAACAGACATACAAGTCAGTAAGGCCAAAAGTTGTGTTAAATTCAATAGACATCAAATTACTCTGTCAAATTGCAATACATTTCCATGTGCGGATGCTGGTGTCTGTGCTGGCCTCGCTGTAGGCAGGTGACAGGTGTGGGCTGGCCCAGAGGACAGATCACCTTTCTAGGAGTCCTACTCTAAACAAGGTAAAATCTGGTCGGGCGTAGTGGTTCATGCCTGTAATCCTAGCACTTTGGGAGGCCAAGGCAGGAGGATCACTTGAATCCAGGGGTTCAAGACCAGCCTGGGCAACATGGCAAAACCTCGTCTCTACAAAAAATATAAAAATTAGCTGGGCAGGGTGGCGCATGCCTGTAGTCCCAGCTACTCAGGAGGCTGAGGCGGGAGGATCACTTGAGCCCAGGAAGTCAAGGCTGCAGCGTGCCACTGCACTCCTGCCTGAGTGACCTCCCCAGTAGCTGGTGTTTTTTCTTTTAAGCAGTTGAGGTCTAAGTACAGAAGGTTATTTACCACCTGCCTCCCCTATCCCTGTCCTCCAATATCAGAGGCCTTGTTTAGGGAGGAAACACTCTCACTACAAATGAAAGTGGCTCCTGGTGAGCACCTTGCCAGAATGCCTTGTAGAACTCATTTCCTTATTACCTTTGGCTCTTTGACTACAAGATAAGCTGGAGCTGATGGAAGTTGAGCTCTCCTTCTGAAAACTGGAACAGGAAAGTTAACCTCAGCCCAGGTCCCAGTTACCACGCTGGGTCCCACCGGCAGAACTGTGGCCAGTGGCCCCGTTCTTTCTAAGGGTCACTGGTCAGGAGGCCAGTAGCATAGGAGACCCCGGTAGCAGCAGCAAGACCCTGGTTCTTATCCCCCCAGGGCAAGCAGCAGCCACTTGTCATCCTCAAAGCTCAGGCCCAGCACTCAGTAGGTGCTCAGTAAGTGACTGAAAAAGCCTCAAAAGGTTTCTAGAAAGCAGGAAGTCCCCATGTTTTCTCCTTCATGTCGATTCTCACCTGTGCAGAGTCACCGGCACTGTCAGTTCCAGACACGGTGGGTGGGCCCGAGGGCAGGCGGACATGCTTGTCTGCGCCTGCGCCTGTGTGATCAGAGCAAGCTGTGACTATAGGTACTCATTGCAACTCAGGTCGGCGCACTAGGCTTTGGCTCTCTGTCACCAAAGGACTCCTCAAAGAGAGATTTGGCCGCCTCTCACCAGGCGTCAACCCTCTGTCCCAGATTCCACAGTTTAATCCGTCTCCAACGCTCATTCCGGCTGTGGATGGTGGGGGGAGATGGGGAGGAGGCTCAGCCTCCACGATCGATTGATTGGCACAGGAGGCCCTGCCTCTGCTTTTGAGGGGCCAGCTTCTTGCTGATTTGAGACAGCAGGGAGAGCGTGAGGTGAGTGTTTTGCTTAGTCCCATACCCTGATGGGCTCTGGGCCGGGCCTGCGGTTCTATGTAATTCCATCCAGTCAGTTGCCTGGGGCAGCTCCGTTCACAACTGGGGCTTGCGGCCAGCGGAGTGACCACTGACAGCCACATGACTGGAAAGTGGCAGACCCGAGGGGTCAGTCAGGGCATCTGATTTAATCCATGGGTTAGCCTTCTCCCTATGGGGCTGGGGTCCCAGAGATGGTTCCCACTTGCTGTGGGAAGGAGGCGGGAGCACAGCCCGCTGCCAAGTGAGAGCACTGCTGAGTGGGTGAGGGGGCAGGTGAGCAGCTTGGGGAAGTCAGGGCAAAGGAGGGTTCCCTCTGAGCCTTCTGCTTTTCCCCACGTCTTTGTTCCTGGGGAGAAAAATTAAAGCAACTTGGGGTTATGTTACTGTCTTAGTCTACTCAGGCCACCCTAACAAAATGCCACAGACTGGGTGATTTTTTTTTTTTTTGAGACGGAGTCTCACTCTGTTGCCAGGCTGTAGTGGCTTAATCCCGGCTCACTGCAACCTCCGCCTCCCAGGTTTAAGCGATTCTTCTGCCTCAGCCTCCTGAGTAGCTGAGATTACAGGCACACGCCACCATGCCCGGCTAATTTTTGTATTTTTAGTAGAGATGGGGTTTCACCATATTGGCCAGGATGGTCTCGATCTATTGACCTTGTGATCCACCCTCCTTGGCCTCCCAAAGTGCTGGGATTACAGGTATGAGCCACCACGCCCGGCCCAGACTGGGTGGTTTACAAAATAGAAATTTATTTCTCACAGTTCTGGGGCCTAGAAAGTCCCAGACGAAGGTGCTGGCCAGGTAGTTCATTATGAGGCCTTTTCTCTTGGCTTGTAGGCGGCCGCCATCTTACTGTGAGCTCACATGACCTCTTAGGGAAAGCGAGCTCCCTGAGGTCTCTGCCCATCAGGACATTAATCCTATCAGATCAGGGCCACATCCTTATGACCTCATTTAACCTTAACTGCCTCCTAAAAGCGTCACCTCCAAATAGTCACGTTGGGAGTTAGGGCTTCGACATGTGAATTTGGAGGTGACACAAACATTCGGCTCACAGCATTGCCATATTGTTTCTTAGAAAAACATAATCCCGATTTTATTTTATGTCATTGTTTGATTTACTGGAGTTTCTGCCACACACAGTAAGTTGGGAACAGAAGGAAGCCTGGCAGTTTGAGGAGGGGGGTACCTTTGTTTTAAGTCTGTTTCCCCATGTCAGTGCCTCCGACAGATGGTATCCCTGAACCAAGCTTCTGGTACCTCCAGCCTCCCTGCCTGCCAGTCAAGGGCCCTGGGGGAGCTGAGGAGCACAGCTGAGAAGCTCTGGAACAGTCACCGGAACTGAGCTTGCTGTAATTGATGGTAATGCATGTCTAATGACCATAATTAGGCCAGCATCAGTGTACGGGGAGCACAAAGGCACGGTGCTGAGGAAGCTGTTGTAGGCACCACCCAAGAGGCAGCTGGCAGGGCAGATGTCCCCAGCATGGACTGATGGTGGTGACCAAGGCACAGCGTTTCTCCTCGGTAACTTAGCTTTTTAAGTTTTGCTTTTGCTTATAACACATATATAGCAAAAATGCATTTTTTTTTTTTTTTTTGAGATGGAGTCTTGCTGTTTCCCAGGCTGGAGTGCAGTGGCATGATCTTGGCTCACTGCAACCTCTACCTCCTGGGTTCAGGCAGATCTCCTGCCTCAGCCTCCCAAGTAGCTGAGATTACAGGCTTGTGCCATCACACCTAGCTAATTTTTTTTTTTTTTTTTTTTTTTTTAGTAGAGATGGGTTTTCACCATGTTGGCCAGGCTAGTCTCAAACTCCTGGCCTCAAGTGATCTGCCTGCCTCGGCCTCCCAAAGTGCTGGAATTATAGGCATGAGCCACCTTGCCCAGCCTCAAAAGCATAATCTTTTTTTTTTAATTATTATTTTTTTAGATGGAGTCTCCCTTTGTCGCCAGGCTGGAGTGCACTGGCGCGATCTCAGCTCACTGCAACCTCTGCCTCACAGTTCCAAGCGATTCCCCTGCCTCAGCCTCCCAAGTAGTGGGGACTACAGGCACGCGCCACCACGCTTGGCTAATTTTTGTATTTTTAGTAGAGATGGGGTTTCACCGTGTCAGCCAGGATGGTCTCGACCTCTTGACCTCAAGATCCACCCACCTCCCAAAGTGCTGGGATTATAGGCGTGAGCCACCAAGCCCGGCCAAAAATGTGTAATCTTAAAGAAATAAGGCTTATCACATCTGATTGCCTCATAATGGCACCCTCAAGAGACACAGGTGACACCACAGGGCCCGAGGGTGACAGGTATGCTGTCTGTGCCCAAACTCATGCACATCTGCACCCTTCTGGTCGCCCACGATTACAAACACTGTGCCTCCTGTAAATACATCTTTGTAGGTGTCAGTACCCCTGTAGGATAAATTCCAGGTACAGAATGGGAATTTGGAGATTAAAGATTATGCACTTTTTCAAGGTTAACCAGTATCTCAAAACTCTTCTCCAGAAATGCTGTACAATGCATACCCCATGAAGAGTAAATGGAAAGGCACAGGTGTTCTCACTTTAATTTGAGAGTTTTTTTTTTTTTTTTTTGACATGGAGTCTCGCTCTGTTTCCCAGGTTGGAGTGCAGTGGCACAATCTTGGCCCACTGCAGCCTCAGCCTCCTGAGTAGCTGGGATTACAGGCATGCACCACCATGCTCAGCTAATTTTGTATTTTTAGTAGAGATGGTGTTTCACCATGTTGGCCAGGCTGGTCTTGAACTTTTGACCTTAAGTGATTCGCCCGCCTCAGCCTCTCACTGTAATTTGAGAGTTTTAATTGGAGAACAGTAAGTCCTGTGGGTTTTGGTATATTTTTTTAAAATCCTCGGGCCAGGTGTGGTGGCTCACAACTATAATCCCAAGCACTTTGGGAGGCCAAGGTGGAGGCTCGCTTGAGGACAGGAGTTTGAGACCAGCCTGGGCAACATAGTGAGATGCCATCTCTACAAAAATAAAAAATTAGCCAGGTGTGGTGGCATGTGTATAGTTCCAACTACTCAGGAAGCTGAGGCAGGAGGATCGCTTGACCCCAGGAGGTCGAGGTTACAGAAAGCTATGATGATGCTACTATATTCCACCCTAGGCAACAGAGACAGACCCCAAAAATAATAAATACAATAAAAATCCTCAACACTTAGTGTGGTACCTGGCTTGTGATGGGCTCTCAGATGTTTGTTGTTGGATAAGTAAATGATTTAAAAAAAAAATTTTTTTTTTTGGCCAGGCACAGTGGCTCACACCTGTAATCCCAGCACTTTGGGAGGTCAAGGTGCGTGGATCACGAGGTCAGGAGATTGAGATCATCCTGGCCAACATGGTGAAACCCCGTCTCTACTAAATATACAAAAATTAGCTGGGCATGGTGGCGTGTGCCTGTAATCCCAGCTACTTGGGAGGCTGAGGCAGGAGAATTGCTTGAACCAAGGAGTCGGAGGTTGCAGTGAGCCGAGATCGTGCCACTGCACTCCAGCCTGGCAACAGAGCGAGACTTCGTCTCAAGAAAAAAAAAATTTTTTTAGAAACAGGATCTCACCATGTTGCCCAGGCTGGTCTTGAACTCCAGAGGTCAAGCAGTCCTACCACCTCAGCCTCCCAAAGTGCTGGGATTATAGATATAAGCCACCTCGCCCAGCCCCTAAATACATAAATGAATGAATGAAAGAATGCCACATATTCTGCGGCAGCCCTGCATTTCACACCCACATGAACACACACACTCTCATTACACTGCATGTGCCAACATTGACCATGCTCCTTTCCCTATTTCAAATGGGCCTGTAATGGAAGGTGTGGAGGTGGCTTTCCTCACCCCGGCTGTCAGAGCATGCTGGGGTCCTGTGTGGAGGGACTGAGTCCTGTGTATCCTCCGCCCACACATGACACCTGGCCGCGACCTCCATGGGTGCTCAGGAAGGAGCTGTTGAACAAGATTCAGGGGCACGTGGGACATCTGTGCTTGTCAGAGGCTGTGCAAGGCTCCGCGAGGGAACAGTTCCAAAGGCAGGTCCAGAAGGATGTTAGAGGCTGGGTTTCTTTTGAACAAAAGAGCAGCATGATGTGTTTGAAAAGGGTTGGCCTGCAGGTGTGCATGAGGGATGGGAGGGGAGAGACTTTCCTCCGCAGGTCACAAAGGGCAGGAGAGGGTTAGCACAGTAGGGACCTAGGGAGGGATAAGTGGAAAGTTGATTGTTGAGGCAGAATCAATAGGATTTGAAAACAGAGGGACTACAGAGAGGACAGCCATTGTCTGTTTTGAGCCAGGAGAGATTAGGAGGAGAGGGGAGGGTTATTACGAGGAATAGGCAAACACAGGCTAATTCTGGGAGCGGCCTTTACCTGGCTGTCCAAGGGTGTCCACTTGCTGTGACTGTCACCCAGATCTGTAAGGCCCAGATTGTAGGCACAGCACCCCATGAGCATCATTCCAAGTGGGCTGTCCTCGCTCATGGGTGCTGGCAGTGGGAGGAACTAAAACAGACAGCTGGAGCTTTTTTTTTTTTTTTTTGAGACAGAGTCTCGCTCTGTTGCCCAGGCTGGAGTGCAGTGGCGCAATCTCGGCTCACTGCAAGCTCCACCTCCCGGGTGCACGCCATTCTCCTGCCTCAGCCTCCTGAGTAGCTGGGACTACAGGCACCCGCCACCACGCCTGGCTAATTATTTTTTTTGTATTTTTATTAGAGACGGGGTTTCACCGTGTTAGCCAGGATGGTGGAGCTTCTTGAAGATAAAGTAAGATTGTTAGAAAATTGAGTCTCCAGGCTGGGCGTGGTGGCTCACGCCTGTAATCCCAGCACTTTGGGAGGCCGAGGTGGGAGGATCACCTGAAGTTAGGAGTTCGAGACCAGCCTGTTCAACATGGTGAAACCCCGTCTCTACTAAAAATACAAACGTTGTAATCAATAAACGATTGAATTCTCTTGAAACAAACAAAAAACAAAAATTAGCCAGGCGTGGTGGCGCATGCTTGTAATCCCAGCTACTCGGGAGGCTGAGGTAGGAGAATCGCTTGAACCCAGAAGGTGGAGGCTGCAGTGAGCTGAGATCCCACCACTGCACTTGAGCCTGGGCGACAGAGAGAGACTCTGTCTTTAAAAAAAAAAAAGGAAAAAAAAAGGAAAATTGGGCCACCAAACTGGAAGGCTGTCTGCCAGCTAATAAAAGGGACACTTTTCCTTCAGCCATCTCAGAAAGAGCCTCGGTGCAGCCCAAAGAGACTGAGTGAGCCGGTGAGGAGGGTCCTTGAGTGTGAGGTGGTGGGAACCTTCAGTTCAGCCTGGCACTCAGGGAGAGGGGGTGTTTTCTGAAGCTCTGAGGCCAAGGGCCACAGTGGCCACGGGCTGCAGGGAGCTGGCACCAAGTATAGCCTGTAGTGTCTGCTTAAATAAGTATGTGGAGGCAGAGGAGGGCGTCTATGAAGAGACAGGGCCAAGCTTGAGTGATATGCACAAAAGCAGTTTGAGGAATACCCACTCTGATATAGTTCAGCCTCCCAAGGGGATGTATCCTGATGCCCTCATTCCTGGTGATGATTTTTCATAGACTTGGTGGTAGAAATTTTAGAAACAGGCCAGGTGCGGTGGCTCACGCTTATAATCCCAGCACTTTGGGAGGCCGAGGCGGGTGGATCGCTTGAGCTCAGGAGTTCGAGACTAGCCTGGGCAACATGGTGAAACCCCGTATCTCCTAAAAATACAAAAATTATCTGGGTGTGAGGCTGGGTGTGGTGACTCACGCCTGTAATCCCAGCACATTGGGAGGCCAAGGTGGGTGGATCACTTGAGGTCAGGAATTCGAGATTAGCCTGGCCAACATGGTGAAACCCTGTTTCTACTAAAAATACAAAAATTAGCCAGGCATGGTGGCGAGCGCCTGTAATCCCAGCTACTCAGGAGACTGAGGCAGAAGAATTGCTTGAACCCAGGAGGCAGAGGTTGCAGTGAGCCAAGATTGTGCTATTGCACTCCAGCCTGGGACACAGAGCAAGACTCCATCTCAGAAAAAAAAACAAAAAAAGGAAAATAGAGTTGCTGGCGGCTTTATTTTATGGTTCTATCATAATTTACTTAACCAATCTCATGTATTAGCTATTTTGGCTGTTTCTATTATAGTTTATGTTCTTATTATCAAATTAGACAAATTTATGTCTAATTTGCATGACTAATTTGTGCCATGGACATTCGCTGCCTGGGTACTGGAGACTTGTGGTTAAGTCTCTGCATGTCTGCAACTTTGTGCCGCCATCTATTCTACCTTGAAAGTTTAACAGGGTGTGTGGATTCTTCTTGAAATCTTCCCACTTTTCTCATATTGCTTTTTCCAATTTTAATTGAGTAAGAAACAGTTTTGGAGAAGGTGGGACACTATCCTATATGTGTGTGTGTGTGTGTGTGTGTGTGTGTGTGTGTGTGTGTATATTTTTTTTTTTTCTTTTTTTTGGAGATGGAGTTTCGCTCTTGTTGCCCAGGCTGGAGTACAGTGGCGTGATCTCGGCTCACCGCAACCTCCACCTCCCGGATTCAAGCGATTCTCCTGCCTCAGCCTCCCAAGTAGCTAGGATTACAGGCATGTGCCATCATGCCCGGCTAATTTTGTATTTTTAGTAGAGATGGGGTTTCTCTGTGTTAGTCAGGCTGGTCTCGAACCCCTGACCTCAGGTGATCCACCCACCTTGGCCTCCCAAAGTGCTGGGATTACAGGCGTGAGCCACTGCGCCTGGCCAACACTATCCTGTATTAAGCACCAGGTTTGTGGTCAGTCCTTGGATCTGGTTGCTAATTTTTTTTGTCTCTTGTTCAAAATCCTGGTTTATAAAATTTGTTGCATGTGTGCTTAATAAACTAGCACTAAGTGTTGAAGTGGAAATCTCTTTTTTTTTTTTTTTTTTTTTGAGACGGAGTCTCGCCCTTGTCACCCAGCCTGGAGTGCAATGGCGTGATCTCGGCTCACTGCAACCTCCGTCTCCCGGGTTCAAGCAATTCTCCTGCCTCAGCCTCCCAAGTAGCTGGAATTACAGACACTCGACACCATGCCCGGCTAATTAGTAGAGATGGCGTTTCTCCACGTTGGCTGGGCTGGTCTCGAACTCCCGACCTCAGGTGATCCGCCCACCTTGGCCTCCCAAAGTGCTGGGATTACAGGCGTGAGCCACTGCGCCCAGCCTGAAGTGGAAATCTCTAAGGAAAATTCTTACAAGGATATCGCTTGAGTTCCTTCAGTTTTGACTAGTGAGTTTTTGACAGAAAAGGTTCATCTGTTATGTAGGGAATAAGAAAGGGACACTTGTAAATGACTATATGATATAATCAAACGGAATTGTCATCTGAGCACTAATTCGGTAAGTAGCTGACCTTATTAAGATAGCCTGATTCTGGCCCGGTACGGTGGGTCATGCCTGTAATCCCAGCACTTTAAGAGGCCAAGGCAGGCGGATCATGAGGTCAGGAGTTCGAGACCAGCCTGGCCAACATAGTGAAACCTTGTCTCTACTAAAAATACAAAAATTAGCCAGGCATGGCGGCACGCATGTGTAGTCCCAGCTACTCGGGAGGCTGAGGCAGGAGAATCACTGGAACCTGGGAGACAGAGGTTGCAGTGAGTGGAGACCATGCCATTGCACCCCAGCCTAGGTGACAGAATGAGATTCCATCTCAAAAAAAAAAAAAAAAAAAAAAGCCTGATTCTAAGAGAACACTTTTTTTTTTTTTTTTTTTTGAGACGGGGTCTCTCTATCCCCCCAGCTGGAGTGCAGTGGCAAGATCTCAGCTCACTGCATCCTCTGCCTCCCAGGTTCAAGTGATTCTCCTGCCTCAGCCTCCCTAGTAGCTGGGATTACAGGCAGGCGCCACCACGCTTGGCTAATTTTTGTATTTTTAGTAGAGACGGGGTTTCACCATGTTGGCCAGGCTGATCTCGAACTCCTGACCTCAAGTGATCCGCCCGCCTCAGCCTTCTAAAGTGCTAGGATTACAGGCGTGAGCCACTGTGCCCGGCCGTGAAGCCACCTTTTCACTCAGCCCCACCTGCACAAGCTGCAGCTCCAGGCTTTTTACTTGGGAGAATGCGATGCCATTGGCTGTGCTGCCCATGGCAGAATCTGGGAATGACCCTGGAGTCTTCCCTTCTCTGACACCCGTGTCCCAGGACACGAATCCTGGGGGTTCTCTGACTGCCCTGTAGCTGACCTGCAGACCCCACAGCTGTGTATACCTTGATGGTGGCTGCCCTTTGACTGCTTCCCCTGCAGTCCAGCCCTGCCCCTATCCAGGTCCCCTCTCTGCAGAGCTGGGACGGCATTTCCAAATTGTAGGGCCCATTATCTTGTTTCTCTGCTTAAAATCTTTCAGTGGGTTATTTCATCTTTTCTGGCACTTTCTTTATCAGGCTTTTCCTATCCAGTTTTATAACAGCACCCCCACCCCAACACACACACACCCCACCCACCAGCCACAACAGGCCTACAGCTGCACAGTCCTGGGCCCAGGCCAGCCACGCTGCCAATGCCAGCCTGCCACTTGCCTTTATCAGTATGCAGCATCTTGGGTGCCCCCTCTTCCCCAGCACTTCTTGAGACTCGGTTCAGGGGTTCAGGTGACCCCAGCAACAGGCGCCTGCCTGGCCCTGCTGCGTGCACACAGCTGTGACCAAGGTTTGCCCTCACAGGCTATGCCAAACTGCGACCTGTGTCTCCCCGTTCCTCCCCAGACTGCGCTCTAAGGATGGCACTTGGACCCATGTCTTAGCGGGGTGCTCAGTGTCCATCATCCAATTTGGTGATAAAGTGGAGTATTCCTTTCTCCCGAAGGGTTCTATGCAAAAATCTTCAGACATAACACCAGTGCTCACATTTTCTCATGGTTTGTTTTCTCTCCAGAAAATGAATTGTGACTTGTCCCGGTCTCTCTTATCTAGTGGTAAGCATCCGTGGCATTCAAGACGAAGATCCCCCTGACGCCCAGCTCCTGAGGCTGGATAACATGCTGCTGGCTGAGGGCGTGTGCAGGCCCGAGAAGAGAGGAAGAGGAGGAGCGGTGGCCAGGGCCGGCACAGCAACACCAGGTGGCTGTCCAAATGACAATAGCATTGAGCACTCTGACTACAGGGCCAAGCTGTCCCAGATCCGACAGATTTACCACTCTGAGCTAGAGAAATATGAACAGGTGATCTTTCTGCATGGAAGAGTTTCTGTCATGTGAATGCGCATTTGTCAAAGCGAAACACGGAACGCTAACCACCTTTCTTTCGTGGCGCAGAACAGGGAGTCCATGCAGTTGGTCGCTGCAGAGGTGGTCCATTGTTACTGAAAGCCCTTTCCATTTACTTAACAGTCACCCGCCGGTGTGTGAACTACAGGGGGTGGCAGGCGGCTGCTCCGCTGTGGAACCTGCTGCCCTGTGCCACCCTGCTGCCTAGTCACAGGCCGGCGTGTCTGTGCTCCCACCCCAGGCCTGTCGTGAGTTCACCACGCACGTCACCAACCTCCTCCAGGAGCAGAGCAGGATGAGGCCTGTCTCCCCTAAGGAGATTGAGCGCATGGTCGGCGCCATTCACGGCAAGTTCAGCGCCATCCAGATGCAGTTGAAGCAGAGCACCTGTGAGGCAGTGATGACCCTGCGTTCGCGGCTGCTCGATGCCAGGTCAGGGCCTGTACGTACCCAAAACCTCAAGGGCCGGCTCTGAGGGACTGGAGGGAAATAGTGCTGGCTTGGGTTGAAGACAGCCCTGGAGGCTGTGTCTGCAGTCACGGTTGGAGGCCTCACAGCCTCTTGGGAAGAAGGCCTGAAGTATTGCTGTTTTCATTTTTATTTTATTTTGTATTTATTTATTTATTTATTTGAGACGGAGTCTCACTCTGGTGCCCAGGCTGGAGTGCAGTGGTGCGATCTCCACTCACCACAACCTCCGCCTCCCAGGTTCAAGCGATTCTACTGCTTCAGCCTCCCGAGTAGCTGGGATTACAGGCTCCCGCCACCATGCCCAGCTAATTTTTGTGTTTTTAGTAGAAACGGGGTTTCACTATGTTGACCACGCTGGTCTCGAACTCCTGACCTCAAGTGATTGCTGTTTTCAGAACTACTGGAAAATCATACTCAGAACTAGAGGTGGGGGTGGTACTGGAGTCCCAGCATATTAATGCCTACGAAGGCGGCTGTTTTTGCAGGCGCAAGCGGCGGAATTTCAGCAAGCAGGCGACGGAAGTGCTGAATGAGTATTTTTACTCCCATCTGAACAACCCTTACCCCAGCGAAGAAGCCAAAGAAGAGCTGGCCAGGAAGGGCGGCCTCACCATCTCCCAGGTGACGTTCTCTCCTGCCACGTCTCGCCACGCCTGGGAGGAGTGGATGACTAGGTCCCATGAGGACACCCAGGGAAGTTTGTTAAATGTGTGCAGAGGCCAGGCATGGCTGCTGGAATCCCAGCACTTTGGGAGGATGAGGTAGGAGGGTCGCTTGAGGCCAGGAGTTCGAGACCAGCCTGGGCAACATAGTGAGACACTGTCTCTACAAAAAATTTAAAAAATTAGCTGGGCTTGGTGGTGTGCACCTGTGGTCTCAGCTCCTTCGGATGCTGAGGTGGAAGGATCACTTGAGCCCAGGAGGGTGAGGCTGCAGTGAGCTATGATGGCGCCACTGCATTCCAGCCTGGGTGACAGAGTGAGATCCTATCTCTGAAAAACAAAAAAAGTGTGGAACAGGAGCCAAGTCTCCAGGCTCTGAGTCAGCCAGGCCAGCTCAGATCCAGGCTCTGCATTACAAATGTGGGACTCCAGCGCTCTCCCCGTTCATCTGTGAGGCAGGGGTGCAAGTGTACCCACAGAGAGACCTGAGGACTTCCTGAGCGATGCAGATGGAATGCGAGGTCCCAGAGGTGATGCTGTGGAGTGTGAGCTCCCTGAGGGACACAGACGGAGTGTGAGCTCCCTGAGGGTTACAGACAGAGTGTGAACTCCCTGAGGGATACAGACAGAGTATGAGCTCCCTGAGGGATACAGATGGAGTGTGAGCTCCCTGAGGGATACAGACAGAGTGTGAGCTCCCTGAGGGTTACAGACAGAGTATGAGCTCCCTGAGGGATACAGACGGAGTGTGAGCTTCCTGAGGGATACAGATGGAGTGTGAGCTCCTTGAGGGATACAGATGGAGTGTGAGTTCCCTGAGGGATACAGATGGAGTGTGAGCTCCTTGAGGGATACAGATGGAGTGTGAGTTCCCTGAGGGATACAGATGGAGTGTGAGCTCCTTGAGGGATACAGATGGAGTGTGAGTTCCCTGAGGTGACTGAGGTGGAGTGTGAGCTCCCTGAGGGATACAGATGGAGTGTGAGCTCCCTGAGGGATACAGATGGAGTGTGAGCTCCCTGAGGGATACTGATAGAGTGTGAGCTCCCTGAGGGATACAGATGGAGTGTGAGCTCCCTGAGGGATACTGATAGAGTGTGAGCTCCCTGAGGGATACAGATGGAGTGTGAGCTCCCTGAGGGTTACAGATGGAGTGTGAGCTCCCTGAGGGATACAGATGGAGTGTGAGCTCCCTGAGGGATACTGGTAGAGTGTGAGCTCCCTGAGGGATACAGATGGAGTGTGAGCTCCCTGAGGGTTACAGATGGAGTGTGAGCTCCCTGAGGGATACAGATGGAGTGTGAGCTCCCTGAGGGTTACAGATAGAGTGTGAGCTCCCTGAGGGATACTGATGGAATGTGAGCTCCCTGAGGGATAAAGATGGAGTGTGAGTTCCCTGAGGTGATTGAGGTGGAGTGTGAGCTCCCTGAGGGACAGAGATGGAGTGTGAGCTCCCTGAGAGATACAGATGGAGTGTGAGCTGCCTGAGGGATACAGGTGGGGTGTGAGCTCCCTGAGGGATACAGATGGAGTGTGAGCTCCCTGAGGTGATTGAGATGGAGTGTGAGTTCCCTGGGGGATGCTGTGGAGTGTGAGCCCCCTGAGGTGACGTGGTAGAGAGTGTGAGCTCCCTGACTCTATAGCCTGGTAGGCAGCCACCAGTGTCCTCTGTGGAACTGGGGGTGAAAGAGGGAGACACTAAGACCAAGAGGCTAAGAAATATTTCCGAAGGTTTTAACATGGAAACAGTAAGTCCAGGCAGCCTATGGCAGCAAGCCAGGTCCAGGCCATACCCCCGTGGCAGCATGAGTGTGTGGAACAGGGCCTGGGTGCCGCCCTCCCACCTGGGCAGGCACAGCCCCACAGCCTCTATGGCAGCAGGAATGGCAGGTGCTGACCCACAGCATGGCTTGCTGCATGTCACCACAGCCCTCCCTACTTTGCAGTTGGAGGGGCTGAGTTTCTAGTCCTTCACCACCATGCTCTGCTCCAACCCAGGCTAAGTCCAGTCAAGTCTCTGTGACAGAGAGCAATTGGAACCCCTCGGGGTCACGCAGGCAGCAAAACATCCTGAGGTCATAGTCACATATGACTTTGCTCATCGGGATCTGCTGTGGTGTCAGAAACAAGGCCAGAGCTGGAGCAAGGGGCTGCGCCTCTGGGTCTTCAAGGCCCCTGGAGAAGCGTGAGACATTTGGCCCCCAAGGAACAATTGTCTGGAGGACAACCAGGGCTGCTTCAACCAGGATGGAGCCTCTGGGGCCTCCCATGTGGATCAAGAGAAGGCTGCTCACACCCCCGGGGTAGGCAGACACTATGTTTGGAACAGAGAGCACACAGACAGGGATCCTTCTTTTTATACTTAACATTGCAAGGATAATGTAAGTACACCAAATGTTGGCCAGGCATGGTGGCTCATGCCTGAAATCCCAGCACTTTGGAGGCCAAGGCGGACGAATCACCTGAGGTCAGGAGTTCGAGACCAGCCTGGCCAACATGGTGAAACCCCGTGGCTACTGGAAATACAAAAATTAGCCAGGCTTGGTGGCACATGCCTGCAATCCCGCTACTGGGGAGGCTGAGGCAGGAGAATCATTTGAACCAGGGAGGCGGAGGTTGCAGTGAGTTGAGGTCGCACCACTGCACTCCACACTCCAGCCTGGGTGACAGAGTGAGACTCCGTCTCCGAAAAAAAAAAAAAAAAAAAGTACAAAAATTAGCCAGGCTTGGTAGCACGTGCCTGTAGTCCCAGCTACTGGTGAGGCTGAGGCAAGAGAATCACTTGAATCTGGGAGGCAGAGGTTGCAGTGAGCTGAGATCGCACCGCTGCACTCCAGCCTGGGTGACAGAGTGAGAAAAAAATGTTTGAAGTAGCAAAGGTCATCCACAATCCTCTTCCATCCCTCAGCTGTTTCATTTCTGTGTGTTATTATACTATACGTTTATTTTACTTGCTTTGGGATACTGAAATGTGGCCCTGGATGGACGTCTCCATGCCTGTAGGAAGGCGCTGGCCCTGGGGTGCTCACCCATGTGAATCTGCCCAGGGGACATTTTTGTTGTCACGACTAGAGAAGGGAAGTGCTCCTGGCACCCAGTGGGTGCCAAGGATACCGCTCAGCACCCTGCAGTGTACAGGACAGCCCCCACAGAGCAGATGGAGCCCAAGCATCAGCAGTGCCACCAAAGGTGACAAGCCCCTCCCTGGGGGACTCCAGTGCCAGTTTGCAGTCAGAGCTGGGCTGATTCCACCTTGGCCATGGACTAGCTCCTTTTTCTCCTGCCTCTGCTTTCTTACAGCAGGGACGATAACAGCTGCCTCCCAGGTCCTCATGAGGATGAGGCAGAATGATATATGAGGCTGGGCCTGGAATCCCAGCATTTTGGGAGGCCAGGGCGGGAGGAACTCTCAAGCCCAGGGGTTTGAGACCAGCCTGGGCAACAGAGCGAGACCCTATCTCTAAAAAAAAAGAAAAAATATATTTTTTTTTCTGAGACAGGGTCTCACTCTGTTGCCCAGGCTAAATTGCAGTGCGATCTTGGCTCACTGCAACCTCTGCCTCCCAGGTTCAAGTGATTCTCCTGCCTCAGCCTCCCGAGTAGCTGGGATTACAGGCATGTGCCACTGTGTCCAGCTAATATTTGTATTATTAGTAGAGATGGGGTTTCTCCATGTTGTCCAGGCTGGTCTCGAACTCCTGACCTCAGATGATCCCCCCACCTCAGCCTCCCAAAGTGCTGAGATTACAGGCGTGAGCCACCACGCCCGGCCAAAAAACCTTTTTTTAATTAAAATTAAGAAAAATATATGAATATATGAGAAGTGCTTATCCTAGCACCTGGTACATTCCAACTACCCCTTCAGAGTTCACCTTGTTTTCATTTGATAAGTTTGGGATTCGATCGCAGTTACTGGGTCCCCAGGTCTCCCTGGCTCTCACTTTTCCTGAAGAGAACACGGAACGTAACCTGCCGCCTGCTGCATGGCAGCCAGAGGCGCTGTCCCTCCCGGCCCACCTCAGACAGTCTTGTTTTCCTTCCAGCCCCTTCCCAGGTTCAGGTTCCAGCAACATCCAGTTTTAGGCAGCAGAGTTCTAAGACACGCCAGCTCCAGGGTGTCCTCAACCCATGTGGACATCTCCCTGGGTCCGTGGTTCAGAGGGCGCCACCTTCTCAGTCCCAGACTCTTCATAGCCCCAGGGTGCAGTGTTGTCTTCTAAGGCAGTGGGAGCAACGGGCACCCCAGGGAACCCACAGACTGCGTCGTGTCTCAGAAGTCGCTGGGTCAGCTCCTCCAGTGACTCCTGTGTGTCCGCAGGTCTCTAACTGGTTTGGCAACAAAAGAATCCGGTATAAAAAGAACATGGGGAAGTTTCAAGAAGAGGCTACCATTTACACGGGTAAAACGGCTGTGGATACCACGGAAGTTGGGGTCCCAGGGAACCACGCCAGCTGCCTGTCAACACCTAGCTCCGGTGAGTGAGGCTGGCCCAGGGACAGTCATCTGTACCCATGTGGACGGCCACTGAGCTGCATCTGGGGAGGCCACAGTGGGACCACATCTCCCTTCCCCCAGTGGTCAACTCTGTGTAACTCTTTCTTCTGTTTCAACTGTGAGAGTTCTGTTCCTCTTGGCCATGATCCCAACCAACAGATACCTGTGCTTTGGGGACAGAATGGCGATACTAATAAGAAAAGACATGAAAGGTCTGGGTGCGGTGGCTCACACCTGTAATCCCAGCATTTTGGGAGGCCAAGATGAGTGGATCACCTGAGGTCAGGAGTTTGAGACCAGCCTGGCCAACATGGTGAAACCCTGTCTCTACTGAAAATACAAAAAAAATTAGCCCGGCATGGGCTGGGTGCAGTGCCTCACACCTGTAATCCCAGGCCGAGGCGGGCGGATCACGAGGTCAGGAGATAGAGACCATCCTGGCTAACACAGTGAAACCCCATCTCCACTAAAAATACAATTCACAATAGCAAAGACTTGGAACCAACCCAAATGTCCAACAATGATAGACTGGATTAAGAAAATGTGGCACATATACACCATGGAATACTATGCAGCCATAAAAAATGATGAGTTCATGTCCTTTGTAGGGACATGGATGAAACTGGAAATCATCATTCTCAGTAAACTATCGCAAGAACAAAAAACCAAACACCGCATATTCTCACTCATAGGTGGGAATTGAACAATGAGAACACATGGACACAGGAAGGGGAATATCACACTCTGGGGACTGTTGTGGGGTGGGGGGAGGGGGGAGGGATAGCATTGGGAGATATACCTAATGCTAGATGACGAGTTAGTGGGTGCAGCACACCAGCATGGCACATGTATACATACGTAACAAACCTGCACATTGTGCACATGTACCCTAAAACTTAAAGTATAATAATAATAAAAAAAAAGAAAGAAAAAACAAATTATCTGGGCGTGGTGGTGGGCGCCTGTAGTCCCAGCTACTTGGGAGGCTGAGGCAGGAGAATGGTGTGAACCTGGGAGGCAGAGCTTGCAGTGAGCCAAGATCGTGCCACTGCACTCAAGCCTGGGTGACAGAGCGAGACTGTCTTAAAAAGAAAAAAAAAAGACAAGCCATGAGGGGACATGAGTAGTGTGGTGGGGAGGGCCCGCTGGCCTGCCTGGGTGGGGGCTGAGGAGCAGAGGCCGGATGCTGAGGAGGGGCAGGAGCCACATTCGAGGCCTCCTGCCGGCTGAGGGGCTGGGTGGGTTCCACCTGAGGAGGCGCCACGACTCTGCCCACCCCGGCTCCCATCTCTTCCAGGCTCCTCTGGACCCTTCCCGCTGCCCAGCGCTGGGGACGCCTTCCTCACCCTGCGGACTCTGGCCTCTCTCCAGCCTCCTCCTGGGGGAGGCTGCCTGCAGTCCCAGGTGAGTCTCAGGCACTGTCCCACAGCGCCCAGGTGGGTGGTAGGTTCTCAGAAAGGGTCGTCTTGTCAGCCACCCCTCGGCCTTGGGGCAGCTTCCCCAGAGGTCCCAGCAGCCACACAGGCCATGCTGCGCGGCCACCTCTGGGGCACAGCTCTGCAGGGCCCCACTCTGTAATGACTGTGCCCTCCCCCACCTCCACTTGTCACCACGGCAGCCGCTGGGAACAGTCAGTGGGGATGAACCCCAAGATGAGGGCTTTGGCTGTGGAGGGGAAGGGCACCTCCTAGAGGACTGTGGGAGGACATGGTGTCCTTCCCTCGAGAGGGAGGGGCAGGCAGCCAGCAGAGGAGGCCGGAGGAGAGATGGGGCCTTCCCTCGGGCTCAGACCTCAGTGCCGCAGCTTGGCTGGGAAGGCAGCGAGTGGGGACCGTCTTGAAGACACTGAGGAGGCCCAGGTGTCATGTGCCCAGCACAGGCACGAGGCTGTGTGTGTGGTGTGTGCCAGGGCACTGCAGAGCCGGGTGCCCCTCCCAACTCACCACTCTCTCCCAGGGGTTCAGAGAACGGATGCCTCCTGTGCTGTCTGTGGGGTCCCACCTGGTCCTGGGAAGCACACGTCCCACACTGTCCTGCTGTGGCAGCTGCCCCCCATCACCATGCAGCCCCCAGCCAGGGACACACGTGAGGGGCCTCACCTTGCCCTTTGCACCCCTGGGACCTGACTACGCGCCAGCAGCTGTGTGTCCACCCCAGTTCAGAGCAGAGTGCCCCCAGGTGGTGCACCCGTCTGAGCTGCTCCCACACTCACGGGCAGAGCAGTCCCAGCCACTTCCTTAACCTGTACCGTGCCCACCATAGTGGGGGTGGGTCCTGTGGACAAACGTCTTAGCGCCGTTGGACGTGATGCCGTCTCTGCACTGCAGACAGAGCCCCCACCCCTTATGACAAGTGGTTGCCTCCCACCCTCCTTGCTGCCCAGCCAGGCCAGTGTTGGGCCAGGTTTCAGAGCCCCTTTTTCCCACCGAGTCTCACCATGACGCTCCGGGCGTCATCATGGGCTCCAGGCCTGACCTTGCCTCCCTGCCCCTCGCCGGGCAGGAGCCCTTGTTGTACCCGATGCCAGTCAGTCCTTTGCCTAAGCCCCAGGGAAGCCACTAGAGGCCAGTTTTCCTGCCGGGGAAGCTCGTCCATGTCCCATGTCAGGTGGCAAGGCCAGCTGTGACCCAGGACCGACCCCTCCATCCCTTCCCTCCTCCACTGAGCTGGAGGTCATCTGTGGATCTTTTCCAAGCCTTCCCAGGGACCCCTGGAGGCTCCGCCTGCAGCACGTGGGCTGGGTAGTCACCAGTCTCACGGCCACCCACTCTGATGCTCAGTCTCTGTCGTTTCAGGCCCAGGGTAGCTGGCAGGGGGCCACCCCCCAACCTGCAACTGCCTCACCTGCTGGAGACCCTGGCAGCATCAACTCCAGTACATCTAATTAAGTTTGGGGGATAAGCAGGAAAGAGCGCTGCGTGAGCTGCCATGTATCGCCAGCCGTTGCTTTGTTACTGAACGTGCCGCCGACGACCTCAGAAAACCCAGATGGGTGGTGGTGCCCATGAGCCCCTGCTCCTCAGCCAGGCCCGTGGCGCCGGCTCATGTGTCTGCTGCGACTCGAGATGGCCTGAAACGCCACTCATTCTCCCACTTCAGTTCGTTTTTTTGACAGTAATTTTATGGTAACGCTATGAATTGAATTGTCTGTTCTAGGACTGGGCACAGATTTTCCCATTAAAATTTTTGACTTATTTTAATTCCGATGTCTGTTTGCCAGATTTGTTTTGGGTGGTAGTTGACACCGGTCACAGCTGCAGTGTCATGTGTGCTGTGATTTTGCCACTCACCTGCGCCGCTCAGGCACAGACTCCCAACACTGTCTTCTGTGGGACCGTATCATTCTGTTCTGATTTTAAAATGTCCTGGCTGGGAGCAGTGGCTCATGCCTGTAATCCCAGCACATTGAGAGGTCGAGGTAGGAGGATTGCTTGAGCCTAGGAGTTTGAGACCCGTCTGGGCAACATAGTGAGACCTCGTCTCTACAAAAAAATTCTGCTTTCAGATTTTTTTTTTTTTTGGGGGACAGATTCTCGCTCTGTCACCCATGCTGGAGTGCAGTGGTGTGATCTCGGCTCACCACAACCTCTGCCTCCCAGGTTCAAGCGATTCTTCCGCCTTAGCCTCCCAAGTAGCTGGGATTACAGGTGCCTGCCGCTATGCCCAGCTAATTTTTTGTATTTTTGGTAGAGATGGGGTTTCACAATGTTAGCCAGGCTGGTCTTGAACTCCTGAGCTCAAGTGATCTGCCCGCCTCAGCCTCCCAAAGTGCTGGGATTATAGGCTTGAGCCACCGTGCCCGACCGCCCCCCACCCCAAAATTTTTTTAATTAGCTGAGCATGGTGGCGCATGCCTGTAGTCCCAGCTACTCAACAGGCTGAGGAGGGAGAATCACCTGAGCTCGGGATGTTAAGGCTGCAGTGAGCTGAGATCACGCCACTGCACTCCAGCCTGGGTGACAGAGTGAGACCCTGTCTCAATTATATATATTTATTTTATGTTCGGAGCTCAATTTTACTGGGAATTAGTTTTGCACTTTTTTCGGGTTTTGCTCTATTTGCTCTTTTGCTGTTTTTTTGTTTTGTTTTGTTTTGTTTTGTTTTTGAGACAGAGTTTTGCTCTTGTCGCGCAGGCTGGAGTGCAATAGCGCCATCTCGGCTCATTGCAACCTCCACCTCCCAGGTTCAAGCGATTCTCCTGCCTCAGCCTCCTGAGTAGCTGAGATTACAGGCGTGCGCCACCATGCCCAGTTAATTTTTTTGTATTAGTAGAGACGGGGTTTCACCATGTTGGCCAGGCTAGTCTCGAACTCCTGACCTCAGGTGAACCACCTGCCCTGGCCTCCCAAAGTGCTGGGATTATAGGTGTGAGCCACTGCGCCCAGCTGGTTTCTGTTTTCAGTTGAAATGTCATTAAAGACGATAAACTTCCAAAGCACTTTTCCTGCATACTGTGCGTGAGGTCCTGTTGGCCCACTGCTGTGCACGGCTTAGAGCTTGGCATCCCCCAATTCATGTTTGGGTGCTGGACGGCACCAAGAACCAGGGCCCTGGGCTCTGTGCAGCCTCGGGTGTTGCGGGGCCCAAGGCATGACTAGGTGGGAAGAGCATCCAGGGACTAGAAGCCTGGAGTCGTGGTACCTCTGCCCACCCCCTGCTCATAACCTAGTCAGCCCTGGCATGGGATTCCCTCCCTACGGTGGTGTGGCTGCGCTTTCTACCATTTGCAGCCAGGAAATGAAGGCAACTCCCATCCCCACCCTAAGTTCCTGTTGTCACATCCAGTCTGCCTGCCTCATGGCCCCCTGCAGCCCAAGACTCACAGACAGAGGGCATGTCCCTGCTCTTGTGAGCTACATTCCAGACAGAAGTTATCAGAAACACACGCAAAAGTTGGGGGGTGGGTTCAGGGCCAGTTTCCAAGAGAAGGCCTTTTTTATCTTTTCTCTTTTAAATTGTGGTAAAATATACATAACATAAAGCTTCCCCTTCCCCTTTAAAAAACATTTTTTTGGCCGGGCGCAGTGGCTCACACACGAAGTGTAATCCCAGCACTTTGGACGGCTGAGGCAGATCACGAGGTCAGGAGATCGAGACCATCCTGGCTAACACGGTGAAACCCCGTCTCTACTGAAAAATAGAAAAAATTAGACGGGCATGGTGGTGGGCGCCTGTAGTCCCAGCTACTGGGGAGGCTGAGGCAGGAGAATCGCGTGAACCCAGAAGGCAGAGCTTGCAGTGAGTTGAGATCGTGCCACTGCACTCCGTCTCGCTCTGTCGCCCAGGCTGGAGTGCAGTGGCACGATCTCGGCTCAGTGCAGCCTCCACTTCCTGGGTTCAAGCAATTCTTGTGCCTCAGCTTCCTGAATAGTTGGGATTATAGGCATGCACCACGCCTGGCTAATTTTTGTATTTTTAGTAGAGATGAGGTTTTGCCATGTTGGCCAGGCTGGTCTTGAACTCTTGATCTCAAGTGATCTCCCCACTTCAGCCTTGTGCCCTGCCAAGTATGCCATTTTTGAGTGCACAACTCAATGAAGTGAATATATTCACAACATCATCACTTCTATTTCCAAAACTTTCTCATCTCCCAAAAAAAGCCTTGTCCCCATGAGCAGTCACTCCTCATTCCCTTTCCCCAGCCTCTGGCGGCCACCAGTCTGCTTCCTGTCTCAGATGTGCCTGGTCTGGAAATTTCAGATCAGTGGGCTTGTGCACTGTGTGGCCTTCATGTCTGGCTTCCTTCACTCAGCATCGTGTCTTTGAGGTTCATCCACGTTGGAGCACGGGCCAGTGCGCCTTCTGCTTTGTGGCTCAGTCCCATCCCAACTGGGGAAGGTGCCTTCTGAGACAAGGCCTACAGGAGGTGAGCATGAGCGTACGGAGAGCACTGACCCTACCTCGAGGTGTCCACACACACAGAGGAGGGGCAGGAGGTGCCAGCCCTCGGGGGTGCCCATTAGACTCAGCATCTTCACAGCCACTCCAATGCTGCATCCAGGACAGACAGCAGTGAGGGGCATAGGAGGGTCCTGGGACCTAGGTGGTGGATGGTCAAGTGTCGCTGAGTTCGTGATGGAGGCGAAGGTGGCGCCACAGTACTTGCTGATGAAGAGGAGTCACGGTGCCCGAAGTCTCCGGTGGAATAGACGGGGATGGTTTTGAGGGGGAGACCGGTTCAGCTCCACGCTGTCAGGCCCAGGGTGTCCGTCCCCCAGCTGCACATGGGAGTCGCACTCATGGGAGAGGCCTGCTCTGCAGAGAGCAATTTGGAAGTCAACGGAGGCCAAAATATGGGACAGAAACTAGGAGAGGATGTCATAGAAGCAGAAAGAAGGACAGACACCAGGAGCAGAAGTGAAGCTCCACCAGGATCAAGAAGCCACCTCCAAGTCCAGCATCGGGTGTGACAGCTTCAGTGGAGTGATGGGGCCACAACTACTAGAAAATCGGAGGCTCTAGCCTCGTCAGCCCTTGGGGGGATTCAGAGCAAAGAGGTCACTGGGGGACATGCGGTGTGGGAGGGAAACTAAGGCTGTGAGCCCGGGAGAGCTGCTGGGCAGGTCCTTGAGGGAGGGAGAGGGCAGGACCTGCCGGGCAGCTCCTCTGGGTGCTGAGGACAAAGCGGTGACTGGATGTGCCTGCCAGAGGCTGGAGCTGAGCCTGTGGGCAGCTACGCCTCCAGCTCCCGCCCGCCCTCCTCTGCCTGTAGCGTGAATGCAGATCACGGTTCAGAGATTCAGAGCTAGGCCTCTTGGGGGGTTTCGATAAAAGAAATCCCCACCCCGGTCAAATTCGTTGTGCGCGTGTGTGTGTGTGTGTGTGTGTGTGTGTCACAGAGTCTCCCTCTGTTGCCCAGGCTGGAGTGCAGGGGCATGATCCTGGCTCACTGCAACCTCTGCCTCCTGGGTTCAAGCCATTCTCCTGCCTCAACCTCCCAAGTAGCTGGGACTACAGGCATGCGCCACCATGCCCAGCTAATTTTTGTATTTTTATTAGAGACAGGACTTTGCCATGTTGGCCAGGCTGGTCTCAACCTCCTGGGCTCAAGTGATCCGCCCGCCTCGGCTTCCTAAATTGCTGAGATTACAGGTGTGAGCTGCTGCACCCGCCCCACCCCCCCAACCCAGGTCAAATTCTGCACACAAAGTCACACTTTATTAATATTTTATATTGCACTATTCAAATGTGCCTAAAAGTTGGCTGCATGATAGTAACCAAGCCATAAAGGTGATTACAGGGACACAGGAGTCACCAGGGACTTGAACTGCCTGCTAGCTGTGTGGGTGCTGATAGGCGTCTCCACATAACAGGTGGGGACAATGAGGCTCAGAGGCTTTGTGACCTGCACCCCGAGCCCCTAGATAGGAGGAAGCAGCAGGGCGGGGGGCTCCCAGCCTGAAGGCAGTGGTGGTGGGTACAGTCTGGTACAGCCGCCCAGGAGGGCAATTTTCTAGAATCTATTCATATTAAAAGTGGACACGTTGAGGCTGGGCATGGTGGTTCAGGCCTGTAATCCCAGCACTTTGGGAGGCCAAGGTGGGAAAATCGCTTGATGCCAGGAGTTCAAGACCAGCCTGGACAACATAGTGACACCGCTGTCTCATAAACATTTTTTAAAATTAGCCAGATGTGATGGACACCATAGCTACTCAGGAGGCTGAGGCGGGAGGATCACTTGAGCCCAGGAGTTCAAGGCTGCAGTGAGCCGTGATCATGTCACTGAACTCCAGCCTGGGAGACAGAGTGATAACCCATCTCTATAAAAAATAAGAATGCATGTACCCTTTAGTCTCATCAATTCCCCTCCTGATTTTTTTTTTTTTTTTTTTTTTGAGGGGAATGGGGACAGAGTCTTACTCTGGTGCCCAGGCTGGAGTGCAATGGCGTGATCTTGGCTCACTGCAACCTCTGCCTCCCAGGTTCAAGCAATTCTCCCGCTCCAGCCTCTCGAGTAGCTGGGATTACAGACACCTGCCACCATGTCCGGCTGATTTTTGTATTTTTGTAGAGACAAGGTTTTACCATGTTGGCCAGGCTGGTCTTGAACTCCTGACCTTAAGTGATCCACCTGCCTCAGCCTCCCAAAGTGCTGGGATTACAGGCATGAGCCACCACACCCAGCTTTTTTTTTTTTTTTTTTTTTTTTTTTTTTTTTTTTTTTTGAGACAGGGTCTCACTCTGTCACCTGGGCTGGAGTGCATTGGTGCAATCATGGCTCACTGCAGCCTTGACCTCCTCGGCTCAAGCGATCCTTCCACCTCAGCCTCCTGAGTAGCTGGGACTATAACCATGTGCCACCACTCCTGGCTAATTTTTGTGTTTCTTTTTATTTTATTTTATATTTTATTTTATTTTATTTTATTTTAATTAATTTATTTTGAGACAGAATCTTGTTCTGTTGCCGAGGCTGAAGTACAGTGGTGCGATCTCAGCTCACTGCAACCTCTGCCTCCCAGGTTCAAGTGATTCTCCTGCTTCAACCTCCCGAGTAGCTGGGATTACAGGCATGTACCACCATGCCTGGCTAATTTTTGTATTTTTAGTACAGACAGGGTTTCACCATGTTGGCCAGGCTGGTCTCGAACTCCTGACCTCAGGTGACCTTCCCGCCTCAGCCTCCCAAAGTGCTGGAATTACAGGCATGAGCCACCGCACCCAGCCTATTTATTTTTATTATTAAATAAATAATTTTTTTTTGAGGGGAGGGGGGACAGAGTCTCGCTCTGTCACCCGGGCTGGAGTGCAGTGGCGTGAATCTCAGCTCACTGCAACCTCCACCTCCCAGGTTCAACCAGTTCTCTTGCCTCAGCTTCCCGAGTAGCTGGGACTACAGGCACCCACCACCAGGCCCAGCTAATTATTGTATTTTTAGTAGAGATGGAGTTTTGTCATGTTGGCCAGGCTGGTCTTGAACTCCTGACCTCAAGTGATCCGCCTGCCTCGGCCTCCCAAAGTGGTAGGATTACAGGACTGAGCCACCATGCTGGCCTACTTATTTATTTAGACATAGGGTCTTGCTCTGTCACCCAGGCTGGAGTACAGTGACATAGCTCACTGCAGCCTCGAACTCCAGGGCTCAAGTGATCCTCCTGTCTCAGCCTCCTGAGTATCTGGAACTATAGACACACACCACTACCTCTAGCAAGAGTGTTTTGCAAATGGTAGCTAAATACCTGGAGTGTGTGATCCTGACTGGGGTAACCGCCTCTGCCCGCCCTTGGACCACACATCACCCATATTGTGGGTCCAGCTGGGACGGGATGGTGGGCTTTCAGCTCTCAGCCTTCCTCATTTTGAAACAGCAAGAATTTGGAAAGTGAGGGATAATGCTTTCAATCTCTAGACACATCCAAATCTGTAGGAGCCTCCGCTGAGGGAACTGGGGACCTGCATTTTATTTAATTTTTTGAGACGGAGTCTTGCTTTGTCACCCAGGCTAGAGTGCAGTGGCGCGATCTCAGCTCACTGCAACCTCTGCCTCCCGGGTTCAAGCGATTCTCCTACCTCAGCCTCCCAAGTAGCTGGGATTAAGGCGCCCGCCCTCATGCCTGGCTAACTTTTGTATTTTTGTAGAGATGGGGTTTTGCCATGTTGGCCAGGCTGGTCTTGAACTCCTGACCTCAGGTGATAAGCCCGCCTTGGCCTCTCAAAGCGCTAGGATTACAGGTGTGAGCCACCATGCCTGACCTGGGACCTGCATGTTAAATGGGGCCACTGGCAGCGTTGTAGGGACTCCCAGTGGCCCGTGGGCACATGGATTGAAGCAAGAATCCCCAGCAGATCCCAAAACGAGTGGGGGACCATTTGAGGAGGGAGCCAGTGATGTTCTCACCTTCCTCAACGAAGTGCTAGGGAAACCAAGGCACAGAGAGGGAACCCTGGTGATGTGTACTGTCCCCTGCGCCCGCGTTCTGGATTCCCCAGCCTCCCACCTTGACCACCTACCTGGGACCCTCACAGGCCCATAGTGGCTCCTCCAGCTCCCAACAGACACCCTCAACCTGGTCCAGCCCAACCTGCCAGAGCCCCAGACAGGGCCGGAGTCTTGGGTTTGAGTCCTGCCTCTGCACCCTGCTTGCTCCCCTCTCTCCCTGAGCCCATTTGCCCCTCTATAAAATGGGCACATGTGCTCCTGCTCGAAGGGCTTGGTGGCAATCCCATGAGCACAGAAAGGTGCTGACGGCTGTGTCCATGCAGGGGTGCTCTCGCAAGGTCTGGGATTCTGTTTTTCCTTCTTGCCTTTGGGGACACCCAGGCTGGGAGAAGGGGGCCACTCATCTGCCAGGCTGGGAGAGCTGGAGGGTAGACGGGAGGTTGGACCGGCCCCATCTCCCTGCCCCTTCTCTACTGGGCCGCCAGGGGGCGATCTTACAATAGAAGAGGATCCGGGCATCTCCCTCTTCGCTGACCCCTCACTGCCCCTGAGTAAGCTCATTCCCACCGCAGGGAGGGCCTTTGCACTGGCATTCCCTCCGCCTGGCTAACTGCTGTACCCCTCCCTAAAACCCCTCGGAGCCCCCGGCCCTCCCTGGCTTTCTTTTCCCCTGAGCTGCCCCGTCCTCACCGCCAGCCGGTGTCCTGAGACCTTAGCTAAGGGGCTAGGAGCGTCCGCAGGGGCGGGCGCCTGGTCTTCCTCCTGGCACTGGTTCCCTCTCCTGGGATAGAGATGGGGCAACTCAGGCAGCCGCGGGCCTAGCTCCAGTCACTCTAGGTCAGTCGCCCCAACCCTTGGCTCGGAATCGACCCCTGCCCCAAGTAACGGGGTAAGGGGCTGGGCCGTGTGGCCCTAGGGAACGGGCTGCCCCTCCCTGGGCCGCAACCTTACGCCTGCCTGGCCCATGGGGGTTTTTTGGACGGAAGCGGGTCCCGGAGAGTGTTGAGGGATGAGGAGAGGCGTGGTGTGTGGGGAGGAGGTCTCTGGCGTCAGTCTCCCCACGTGGGTCACGGGTGGAAGTAACCTGCAGGTTTGCTCAGGCCAAGCAAGGTGTGCAGTGGCACCTTCAAGACCCCCATATGCAGTTTCAATTTCCCCCACATAGAGTTTCAAGGTCTCCCTCATAGTTTTAAGATGAAAGTTTTGGCAGGGTGTGGTGGCTCACATCTGTAATCCTAGCAGTTTGGGAGGCCAAGGCGGGCAGATCAATTGAGGTCGGGAGTTCGTGACCAGCCTGGCATCATGGTGAAGCCCTACTAAAATACAAAAAATAGCTGGGCATGGTGGTGCCCACCTGTAATCCCAGCTACTCGAGAGGCTGAGGCAGGAGAATAACTTGAACCCGGGAGGTGGAGGTTGCAGTGAGCCGAGATTGCACCACTGCACTCCAGCCTGGGTGACAGAGCCAGACTCTGTCTCAAAAAAAAAAAGATGGAAGTTTCTAGGGCCCCTTCATCAGTGCTTGGCAAGGCCCTATACCCACTCCCTAGTGAACATTTCTGTTCCCCTACGACTCCAGGGGGCATTTCAAGACCTAACACACTAGGACCCTCGATAAAGTTTGGAGGCCCCCACACTCTGGGGAGGAAATTGAGGCCCTGATTCAGATGCCTTGTCCTGGGCGGGGGGGCGGGTAGCGATTGCTGAGGGAGGGTGGTTGAGGCTGCCTGGGACACCCCAGCTCAAGTCCCTGCCCCTCTCCTGTGCGTTACTGAGGGTGACAATTGCAATTACAGAGCGCCTAACCCATGCCAGCCTTGCAGTCACCAGTTCCTGAAGAGGCAAAGGCCATTGTTGGTTTATTCCCCAGCTGGGGAAACAGGCTGTGAGGTTGAGTGAGGACAGGGCTTAGGTCTGACCCAAGAGGCAAGATTTTGCAGTCAGGAGTCTCTGTAATGACCCAGGAGGGGCTCATCTAGCACCCCTGTGCCCGCTGAGGAGACTACGGGAGCCATGGAGGGTGTTTGAGCAGAGAAGTAACCCAAGCCAGCCTTAAGCTAGGGACACTGCAGCAGGCACCCCCATGGCCCAGGCTGCAGCTCCCCCTTTGGCCACCAGGCGTTGTCCCGGCCTGACAAACGAGGTTTCCCAGGCCCTTGTCCTGGAGCCAGTGGGGAACTGGCTCCTACTTCCAGAATCTGCCACCACATCTTCAGGACGTAAAAGAAACCCCCTGAGCTTCTGTTTCCCCACACCGCCCCCCCGGCCCTCCCCCGCAAAGTGGAGCACTAATGGGACCAGCCTCCCCGGGAGAGGTCAGTGAGGAGATGCAAGTGAGGTGCTTCCGCATCCAGTGGGCACTCAGTGGATGTGTGGGCCACCAGCCCTGCCCGCGGCGCAGGGCAGACAGACAGATGGATAACCCTGAGACATGGCTGCAGGGTGAGGAACACGTTTCGCAGTGAGATACTGGGGTCCACTGGGACCTGCTGATCCTAGGGGCCTGAGGGGACATCCGGAGATCCAGAAGGAGGTGGAACCCCAGGGAAAGGAGGGAGTGCCCAGGCTGCACTGACCTCCCATCTGTGTGGCCAAGGAAGCCCGAATTTCCCATAAAAAATCAGCCTAGTTCGGAGCTTGCAGTGAGCCGAGATCGTGCCACTGCACTCCAGCCTGGGCGACAAAGCAAGAATCTGTCTCAAAAAAAAAAAATCAGCCTAGTTAACAGGCTTCCGGCTGCCTGGCATGACAGCTGGAAGGGAGTGAGCCCTCTGTCTTCAGGGGTGTGCAAGCTGACAAGGGGTCTTCAGCAGTGGCTGGCCAGGGGCTGGGCCAGGGGGCCACGCCAAGAGGCCTGAGTCTCCAAGAACACAGCAGGAGGTAAGTCACAGCCTGACCAGAGGGCACTAAGGATGGCACCGCCCAGCTGCTGGATTCCCCAGTCAGACAACAAGTTCCAAAGGGTTAGAGAACGGACATTCCTCGGCTCTGGGCGCCGAGCAGGCCACTCCTCCCTGGTGAAACGTAAGCTGGGCCTGGCCCCGTGGGCTGCGTGTTTTTCCAGTGGCTTTTTCAGCCACGGCCTGACCACAACCCAGATTCCGTTGGGTCGGCCATGTCCAAGTGTTTGTGTTCAGCTGGGCCAGATGGCAAGCGGGGCCGAGGCTGGGGACCCAGGCCTCCCAGAAGTCCTGGCGAAGCACCCCCAGGCCCTCACTCCAACATCCCTCTGCCTAGAAGCCCCTGCCCCGTGAAAGCCACTCAGCAGCCAGATAACAAAGGACAGGGGATGATCTCGCTGAGAAGTCCCAGGGGGATCTTGTATGTCCCGGGAGGAGGGGCCTCCCGGCCTGGCCAGGATTCCAGGTGCAAAGATGCAACTTTTGCCAACGCAGACTTCTTTGAGCTGCACCATTCTGGCCCGCAAACTTTTGAGTTGGTTTGGGACCAGGTCAGCAGCCACAATTGCACGTCAGCAACCAGGGCTGTGTGTGAACAGCTCTGCTTCCCTGTGGGCCCTGAGCAAGGTATGTCCCGCTCTCAGCCTCAGTTTTCTCAGCTGTAAAATGGGGATCATAATAGAATTTTCCCTATGGGTTTTTGACAGGATCCAACCCAACACACGACAGGTGCTTCACACAGCTGAAGTATCTTCTATCCCTCCTGGCTGAGTCAGTGCTGCCTCCCCTATCTGACTGGAAGCTCCCTGAGGGCAGAGGCTGGGTCCTCAAAAGGAGGTAGTGAATTGGGGTTTGTCTGTCTCCCTCCCCTGCCCAACATCCTCACAGACAAAAGGTAAACCTCAAAACCAGCATTAAGACTTTTGGACATCTGAGCTTGGTTTGGTAAACTCCTACTCACCCTTCAAAGCCCAAGTCAAAATGCCCTCTCTTCCAGAAAGCCTTCCCTGGGCCCTCCTCTGGGTTTTCCCAGCCCCTGGCCTTTGGGCTGGCCAACCTTGGCCCTGCAGACTGGAGTATCTGTGGCCAGTGCTGCCTCCCCCTCCTGACTGGGGTTCTGTGGGGGCCAGTCCTGGTGCTGAGTTTGTGTCTGATGATGCACATCTGTATCCACAGGTCTGCATGTAGCCATCACATGGGTACGTGTGTGCCCACTGTGTGTGCATGGGTCCCTGTGCTGGGCCCCAGGATGGGCAGCCAGGCCACCTCCCACCAGACAGTGCTGTCTTTATGAGGCCACAGTCAGGCTGGGATACTCTGGCTGGGCTGGGAGCTTATTCTTCCACCAACCCTCAGCCGGGAGGAACTGGGGTGGGAGCAGCCGGCCTCAGGCTCCATCGTGCTGGCCCCATGCCCTGAACGCCACGGTTAAAGCTGCAGCTCCATCTGGGGCAAGGAGGGAGGCTGGGGCCCAGGGAAGGACTGAGTCCCGAGTGGGAGCCCCCGCCCCCACCTCAGAGGCCCCGCCAGGCAGCCTTCAAGGACATACCTGAGGTTTGGCAGCCCCCAGCCTAGCCAGCCCCCAGGGCTGAGTCAGCAGGAAGGGATTCAGGACTTCCCTGGAAAAGTGGCTGGGACCTTGAGGCCTCCCGCCAGTCCCCAGCCCCAGGGCCGACCCGCTCCCCAGGGCCCCGAGAGAGTGGGAGGTGCTGCCTGTGCTCGGCATGGCTTCATGTGCCTGGTGGGGCTGAGTTGTGGAGGGTCGTGGGGGGTTGAGACTGGCCAGCTGGGAGTCTGGGGGTCAAGTGTGTCCCGATGTGTGGGGTGATGATGGGTGAGTCAAAGGGGAGCTGGGCACAGGTGCGCACAGGTGTGCACAGGTATGCACAGGTGCACGCAGCTGCAGGCACCGCTACCTGACCCTAAGCGTGGGCCTTTCTCTGTGTTGAGGGTGCATCTGTCTACCCGTGCTGCTGTGATGAGGGGGGACAGTGTCCAGCGTGTCCCATGGGTCTGGTGTGTCTGGGCTCATGCTCTTTTCGAGTGCAACTGCCTATGTGGCTGTCCTGAGGGTGACAGTGTCACCAATCAGGTGACGAGAAGTTGGCTAGGAAGTATGGGAAGGAGGGAGTCATGCCCCTGACTACAGGGGACAGGGATGGGGCGTGACGAGGGCAGCGTGACCTCGAGATCGATGACAGGCGTGTCTGGCTCTGTGTGACACACTCGCCCTGCCTAGGGTAGTGTTTGTTTCCCTGCATCCACCTCCAAACCTCAGGGTCTGCTGATTCCCCGATGGCCGGGGTCTCCTCCCTCCTGCCTGCCCAGACCCCCTCCACCCTCGGCCCAGGGGTCTAGACTTAGCTCCTGCCCTGGGAGGGCTGAGGCATCGGGACATGGCATTCTCCTGGTCTGCTCTCACCCTGTGGCATCCTGCCTTTGTTTCCACCATTAAAGCACAAGCACTTCCCCCACCTGACCAAAGCCAGGTCTCCCCGCCAGGCTGGCTCCAGTCTTTGGGGTCTGAGGCTGGGTCAGACCCAACTCTGAGGGCTGATGAGAGAGACAGACGGGGCTAGGGAAGTGGTGGGTGGCCACGCCAGGTCCACGAGGCCCCAATGGAGGAGCCAGGGATGTTCAGCCAGGACAGGAGGCAGCTGGCGGGGAGAGGGCGCTGGGCTGCAGGGTTTGGACCCTGGAAGGGCCCCCAAGTAGGAGGGAGCAGACCCCAGTTCCGTGAAAGAAGCATGTTGTAAGAAGCTGAGTCCTGCACCAGCTCCAGGGGAGTCTTTGTCACGAGATATTGTGTAACCTTCTCCTGCTTCAGCACAACCCATAGCTCCCTATTGCTCACCAGAGAACTCAGGCTCCTCACTCAGCATTCGAGCCCCTGCTCACCTCCACTTTGTGTCTCCCTTCTACTGCCGCCCTCCGTGGGTCTCCCTCCTCCAGCTTTCACGTTCACCTTTCCAGCTCCCTGGTATGCCCTTCCTGCCTTGGCCACCCAGCAAACTCCTACACATCCTTCAAGACCCAGTGCTTATGTCCCCTTCTCCAGGAAACATTGCCCTTCCCCAGCCCACAGTACCCCATTTGCTGTGTGACCCTGAGAAGATTCCTCCAGCTGTGGAATGGGGGTAAAAATCATCCTCCCTAAAAGCATATTTTGGGGATCCCAAGGCAACAGATTTATACTAAATGCCCTTAAAGTGAGTTAGGCTTTGCGGGGGCTGGCTCGGAGGGCTTACAGTCAGTCAACGCTCAATGTGTGTTCATTTTTATCTCCCTCCTCTTGGATTCTGTGGTTTGAAGACTCTTGTTTTAAACATTTTACTGTTCCAAGATTTTTTCCCCATCATGGTGCTAGGAATTTTAAGAACCCCTGGTTCTAAAATTATAAAAGTCTAAAATGCCGTGGGCGGGACCAAGGGCCTGTTTGTGCCCTGAGCTGACCCAGGGTGGCTGCAGCTGGGGGTCTCTTCGAGGGGGTCCCCTGCCCCTCACTCCTCCCAGACTGAGGGGGTGTGGTCTGGCAGCCCCAATTTGGTTGGGGGGTAGACAATGGATTTACCAGGAGGCGGACGGTAGCCCAGGTTCCAGGAGGGAGGGGGTGGGATTCCTGGCTTGAGGGCTGCAGTTGGGGGAGACAGGCAGTGTCAAGAGGCACAAGGCTGTTGACTCAGGTTGATGGCGTCCTTCTCTTGGAGCCTCAGTTTCCTCATCTGGAAATTGTGGCCAAACGCTGCCCTCTTGCAGAGTTATCAGCAGGGATGGGGAGGAGCTGGACTCTAGCCCCGTGCCCTGCCCAGCTTTTGCTTCAGCCATGTCCTCCTCCTGAGATGCCCTTCCTGGCCCAGGCGTGGTGACTGGGGAGGGGGCTTCTGGAGGATGCCCGTCCACCCCTGCCCCACCCTAGGGAAGGGGACAGGGCTGGGCCAGCTGCCCGCTCCATGCCTGGCTGGCCGCCCTAGCCTGGCAGCGTCGGAGGCCCCAACACTTTCTCAATGAAAGGTATTTGGCCGTGGAGCCTGACACCTCATCACCCTCCGCCTGGAAAGCTGCAGCCAGCTTTGCCCGCTTCAAGTGGGAGCGCCCCCATTCCCACCCCTCCCCAGGACCCCCACCAGGCAGCCCTGAGCAGGGTTCTGTGGCAGGCAGGCCGGGAACCTAGGTTGCCTTGGGAGGGGCCTGTGCCTCTGAGCCTATCAGCTGGGGGTATAGAGACAGTAAGTTCTGGATAAATGTGTGTTCTCCCAAGCCCTGCCAGCTCCCTCAGGGACCTCTCGCCTCTCTTGCCTGTCACAGCCTATCGAGGGTGAGGCTGGGGTGCCAATGTCTGGGGCTGCCCAAACCCAAACTCCAGCAGAGCCCTTAGGGCCCACCTTCAGAGACCAGGGGTGACGCCTCGCATCTTGGGCTTCTCCCATGCCTCCAGGCCCCCAAGTCCACCCTAGGGCAAAGGAAGTGTTTCCCTGACTGAAAGGGTGAGAGCTGCGGAGGTTCGGATTTGCCAAGACCTCAGCCGAAGGGGGGATGTGGCCAGTGGACAAGAGCCAGGGACCCTCTGGGTGGAGCACTGGCCCAGGGCATATTGGGGTATGCACGTGTGAGCCTGTCTCCCCCTAGAGAGATAGGCTCTCTCAGGTCCCCTGAAGTTGCTAGTGCAGAGCTCACACCTCTAAATGCTGGATGGGTGAATGATGAGATCGGGGGTCTGGAGAGGGGAGCCAGTGAATGGGTGGGAGATTGAAGAGGAAGTGGGTGGTTGCCCCCTAAGCTAAGGGACGCTCCATACCCCCACTCCCTAGGGGGTGTCAGCCAGGGACAAGTCTCCCATCCCAGGTGCCCTGGAGGCCACTCCAGTCTTGCCACATTGATGCCTTCATCCCCAGACCCTGGGGAATCACACACCTAGAGCTATAGGGGGCTCAAACCTGCTGGGATTCATGCCAGACCCCAGGACTTCAGTTTTTCTGTCTGGACAGTGGGGGTGTGGTCAGGACAGCGCCGGCCCTGTGGAGCGCCAGGAGGACACACGTGCACACAGACTGCCAGCCAGCCGTGATTCTGCCGCCTCCAGACCCAGGGTCCTGGCAAGGTCAGAAAGCCCTGGCCTCGGGCAGCCCCGTCGCCACATGACCGAGGTGTGGCCGGGGTTCAGGTGGGTGGGGCCCAGGGTGGGGCTGCTGTGGACTCGACTGAGGAGGTCCAGGGTGGCCTGGCTTGCTGTTGCCTGCCCCAGAGGCTCCCCTGCCAGGGCCCCTCCCTGCCTGCTGTAGCCCCGGGGCATACGGCCAGGCACAGCCAAGGAGTCCAGGCCAGAGCAGCAGGCTGCCACTGTGTTCAGCGGTCACAGCCGCCCGTGCTTCTTGCCCCCGGCACCCGCGTGTGCCTCCGCGTGTTTCTGCCTGAAAGGTGTATCTGGGCCGGGCAGCCCCAGCCTCCATCCTTCCTCCCTAGAGCCTGACACCATGAGTTGGAAATAAAGCATTTTTAATTCAGCCCCCGGAGGGCCTGCCCAACGCCCCGGGCAGGTCTCTAAGCACCAAACACGTGAGAATTGTTCCCCTCAGCCCCAGAGCCTCCCCCGCATGGGAACCCCTTCCTCCTTTTCACTGGGCCCAGCCTGGACCCCACACCCCCACTCACACCCACAACCAGCTCCCCACACTTTGTTTCAATAAATAACCCCAAAAACAAAGCTCGGGGCAGGGGACCTGGTCTAGCACTGAGCTCCAAACAGGCAGAGGGGACTTTGTGCCAAACGCCAGAACTCCCAAGGGTAGAAGATTGAAATCAGGGTCAAAATACGCACGAGAAGTCAGAGACGGCTTCTGAGCTGGGAGCGGGTCCCTTCAGGCTAGGGTTGAACGTCGTCCCCTGGGTGCTGGCCCCAGAGTCACCGCAAACTCCATTCCATACCACACAGCAACAATTGTCTTCCTGGTGTTTCTACCATCGGATGCTCTGGGTTCTTGTCTGACTCTGAGTTCTGGAAAGGGGCGGGAAAGGGGACCCAGACACCTGGGGAGGGGGCTGTCTGGAGAAGAAGGAGGGGCAAAACTTCCTGGGGTCAAAGGAGTCTGGAGGGAGGTGGGAAAGCGAGGCCCCTGCCCAGGTCACTGCCGGACCCTACCCCGGCGGGTGCGGAGGGGACCTGAGGCCCGGGCCTGTGCCTGCGCCGCCTCGCTCATCTCCCTGCGGATGTCACCAAGTGCTGTCGCCGGGGACTCCAGCAGCCTCTGGAAGAGGCTGGGTCGTCCGGCCGGTGGCTCCCGGCACTGGAAGGTGACGGCTGTGCCGGCATCAGCCTTCATCTCTCTGGAGAAGCCGTCAGAGGAACCATCAAAGCAGCGGCCAATGGCGATCTCCTTGGCCAAGCGTGGGCTCTGGTCAGTGACAGTGTAGACGCCATAGTTGTGGCCCAGAGGGTCTAGGGGGGCCAGCATGGAGAAGGCAGCTGGGTCCTCCGCGGGCACCGGTGGGGGGTGCCGGGTCAGGTAATCCCGAAGGAGTCCGTTGACGGCCACGCGCCGGCAGCTGCCCTGGGGCATAATGGTCACCAGCGTCCTGTCCACCTGCCGCTGGTCGAACAGCATCCCGCTGCACTTGAACTCCACGCAGGCTGCCGAGGTGCCCGGACGCTCGGGGTCTCGCACACTCCGGGCATCCCGAAGTCCGTAGAGCTGGCCGCGGGTGCGTGGGTGGCTGCCCCCTGCGTTGTGGGAGCGGACCATATACTCCTGGGGACCCTGGATCTTCACCTTGAGGAAGCAGGCCCGGAACTCCTGCGGGTTGGGCCACCAGGCCAGGAGATCGCCAGTCCAGGAGGCAGGTGTGCCCTCTCGGAAGGGGACCACGTTGTACTCGTACTTGTCCGCCTCCACCCTGGCGAAGCGGAAGTGGCTGGCAGTCACCGGGGCCCCCTGGCATTCCCGCAGGCTGCGCCACGGGTACACAGGCCCATTGGCCTCGGCGGGGTCACCTGGCCTGGGCTTGGCGAGGTTGATGCGGAAGCCGTTACGCTTGAAGGCGGGATCGTCGTGGTCCGTCCGACGGTACCCCAGCCTGTCCAGGTAGGGCTGGGTGACGCCCACGGTGGCCGGGAGTGGGCGGGGCAAGGAAGGGGCCGGCTCCAGCTCCTCGCCGCCCAGGGTGGCGGTGACCAGGGCGGTGTAGGCGTCTGGCCTGTCGGCGTCGCAGAAGGCGGGGAGGCAGGCGCCATTGGGGCCGGTGACCGCGCTGTCAAAGCGGCCCCAGGCACGGGGGTTGGCGGAGAAGCCGGGGGCGGGCTCCAGATTGACCAGCGTGACCACCACGCCCTCCACCTGCTCGCTGGGGGTGAACTTGTCGTTGGCGTAGGCGCGCACCTTCACGAAGCAGCGGCGGCGCTCAGGCACGTCCAGATTGAACAGGCGCCGCTCCCGGATCTCCACGTTGCCCACCAGGAAGACGCGCTCCTCCCGGCGCACCCGGGGGCCCGAGGACCCCTCGCGCCGGAAGCCGCTCTCCTCCTCCCACAAGCCGGTCTCGGGGTTCAGCGACCACAGCTTGAGGGCCTCCACGTGGCCTGGCATGTGGATCTGGCTGGCGGCCACCCGCACGGCCACCGGCCCCACCTGCAGCTGCTCCGCGGAGCCGGGCGCACGGAGGTCCACGGAGAACATGCCGTAGGTGCGCAGTGGAGCCAGCTCGCCGTCGCTGTCCACGAAGCGCAGGTCACTGGGGGCAGACGCCGCCGAGGTGAGGTCTCGGGGGTCCACGAACGTCACCCGGGCCTCCACAGGCCCCGAGTAGGGTTTGCCGTCGGCTCTGCGGAAAGCGCCAGAAGGCAGGACCAGCTCGCCCAGGGGCGCCTCATCTTCCAGCTCGCCCAGGGGGATCGTGTTGCTCTGGCTGGTATGTAAAATGACCGGGGCTTTCTTCCGCATGGCCTTGACCTCGTGGTACACGCCGGCACCTCGAGGATCAAAAGGCAAGACCCGGACAGCGTCCATGAACTCACCGCTGGGGTCCACAAAAGTCACCACCAGCCGCTGGGTGGAGGGCGGCACCTCAATGGTAAAGTCGCCCTGGTAGGCGGTGAAGCCGATGGGCTCCTGGCCCAGCAGAATCCTGGCGAAGCGTAGCGGCTCCCCGGAGTCAGCAGCCACAACACGGCCCCGGACCAGCCCCCGAGGGGGCAGACACTTCTGGCAGCCACACTCTGCCACCACCTTCACTGGGAGGACGTAGCCAGGGCAGTGAATCTCCCTTCTCTCCAGACGGCGCACAGAGCAGCAGCGGGAGCTGGCGTCCCCGCAGCGGGGGCTGGAGCCTGCCAGGCTGGGGCAGCGGGTGTCGGGACAGAGGCCCACATCCAGGTAGGCAGGGCCACTACCTGGCTGACCACAGTCCTCAGGGAGCTTGATCAGGTACTCTCGGGGCCGGGGGTCGCAGGCTGGCTGGCCTGGGGCTGGGGACAAAGAAAACATGCAGGTCAGGGCAGGGAGGAGGACTTCATGGAGGCCAAGGCTGGGGACTCTGTCTGCAGTCAAGGACTCCACCTAAGGGACAGGGGTCTGCCCAGGGTAAGGACTGAAGGTTGGTGCTCAGAGTGGTATGGGGGCTCAGTGGAGGCCTAGGATTGGATCAGTCTGAAGTGGGGGCTCCATTTGGGGTTGAGCTTAGCTACAGTCCGGGTTCCGTTTGGGTGAAGGCTTGCTCGGGGCTGTGGCCAAGGACACTCACCAAGTACAGTGAGCCGGGCAGTGCCCGAGCGCACGGCACCCGCCTCATTCCATGCCTTGCAGTGGTAGATGCCAGCCTGGTCTGGGCGCAGTCCCCGCAGCTCCAGGTGGGCCCCGTACCCATGAGCTCGCCTGTCCAGCAGGGTCCCATTGTGGAACCTGGATGGCAGGTGAGCGACACCATAGGACTCAGTGGGAGGGGCTGTGTTGCCCCCAGTCTGCAGGCTGGGGAGCTGCAGAGAGGCTTTGCCAAAGTCAGCCTCCTCCCCAGCAAGACTGGCCCCATTCAGCCTCCTTGGTAGTCCCTCTCCCACCCAATTCATTCCCCGTTAACGCTTTCCCCACTCTCCAGATGGGAAACCACATAACAACATGAAATTGAATCTAACCCCAAAGCCACAGAAGATGCCCCTGAGCCCGGGGCGGGCGCTCACCAGGAGTATTTCTTGGGCATGGGGGTCCCGGAGGCTTTGCAGCAGAAAGTCACATTCTGGCCAGCCTCTCGCACTCGGGACTCAGGGTGTTTCACCAGGTACGGCTTCTCTGGGGTCAAAGGTGGTAAAGATCAGAGCTTCTCCCACCCACCCTTCCTAGGAGCAACGTCCCCATCCTCTCCTTTCTCCCAGAAATGCCGACTCACTCTGTGCCTTCGCCAATGACTGTGTCACATCTCATTTCTTCCTCTCTTGATCGAGTGCTAGAACTTCCTCCCCAGATCCTCAGCCCCTTCATGCCCCATGTTGCAAGGGTGCTTACCCAACTTATCAAGGATGATGGTGACCACAGAGATGGATCCGTTGGCCTGGGCCTGGGCCTCCCCTGCAGAGAAGCCATCCATCTGGGCCCTGATGTTGGCGCGGCTGTCAGCACAGACACCAGGCACCCGGAAGGTTCCGTGAGCATCGCTGGTGGCCACAGTGCCAGGCTGGTCTCGCAGGGAGACCCTGGCTCCTAGCAGTGGTTGCCCAGATGGGGTGACCACCGAGCCCAGGAGGATGTGGTCCGGGCATTCACAGGTGTCAAGGCTGCACCCTGGGGGGATATGGAGAGGAAGCAGGACAGAGAAACCTTCACACTCCCTCCTGAGGAGGGCTTTCCATTCAATCAGTCACTCAACAAATATGCCTGGGGCCCCCCCATAAGGTGCCTCTCAGAGGCCTCAGCATGGCCCTGCTTGGAGCAGTCCCTAGTGTGAAGGGGAGATGGGCTAAGTGGTCAGGACTGGGCCAGGGCATAGGAACTGGGATCCAGAGACGTAGGGAAGAGGTCCTATAGGAGGGGACAGGAGAGGTAAGTCTCAAAATATGGCACTGCCCTTTCCAGCAGAAGAGAAAATGTCTGGACAGGGGCTGGGGGCCCAGTAAGGGGCTGGATCTTGGGCTGAGAACAACTGCCCCCCTTCCCAATCCTGCGGTTTCTCCATAAAATGGAAAATTCCACTGGAAACTTCAGGGCACAGGCACCGGGAGAGCAGAGCCAGGCGCGATGGGGTGGGGACCCCAACGCCCCATTGGCCACCATGTGCCCCCACCCTGTGACGGGCTCCCCGGAGCAGCCTCCAGGCCGTGTTTGTGGAGCCCAGGCGCTAGCGGAATTTCCAGTCTCCTCCTGGCTTGCCCGGTGTCTGGCCCTGGGAGGGCCTAGGCATCATGTCTGCCAGGCTGTGAGCGGGTGTCTGTGTGGGCGTGGGGGACCGGGGTGGGGGCTGCAAATGCCATGCACGTGTGCACCCTGAGTGCATGAACTGAATTCTGTTTCCCCACGAAGACATCTGTACAGTCTGGAATGCACACAGGGGAAGCACCCCCTCCTATCTGCCCATGTCTGCCTGCACAAGAGCCCCCTGGCATCCACCTGTCCAGATGTGCATAGTTACCAGTGCTCCTTGGGCCCAGGAGGGAAGGAAGGGCTGGTCTCCACCTGGCTCCAGAGTTTGGGTCCTCCAGGCTCCGCCCCCGCACCAGGCCCCGCCCTTCACAGCCCCGTCCACGAGGCCCCGCCCCCAACTAGCTCCTCCCCTCTAGGCATCGCTCAGGAGAAGCACTGCCTCTCTACATCCAGGCACCGCCTCTAACTCCACCCTCTCTCCCAGGCTCAGCCCCTAACCTCCCCTTCCTCCCCTCTGTACAGGTCCCAGCCTCCAGACCCCGCCCCTCCTACCTGGACACCGAGGCCGCACGCACTTCTGCGCCTCCAGAGGACGCCCGGGACACGCATCCCCAGCGGGGCTTGGGCAGTGGCGGCGGCGCAAGCGACGGCCTGGCCCACAGCTCCCCGAGCAGGGACCCCACGGGCCCCACGCGCCCCACGAGGCTTCTGCGGAAGGCAGGGACGGAGATCAGGTGGCCGCCCTCCCCAGGAACTGCGCCTCCGGGTAACCTGGGACTAAAGGACCCTTCTTCCCCAACCCCCTCACATATGTGCATCCAAGGGCGGACACTCCAGAGAGCAGATCTGCCATCGCCCCCACCCATGCTCCCCTAGGCGCGCCTGTCGAAGACATAGTTTAGGTACCGACCCACCTCCCCACCCCCGCATAAGGTCCCGGGGATCAGTCCTGCTTTTCTCCCTGCATCCTGCACGCATTTGGGCTCAAGACACTCCACAGAACTGAGCTCTTACAGATGCTCAAATGAGGGCAGCGGGAGGGAGATGCGTTCCAGGGGGCCGGACATGGGTCCTGACCCGCTGGGCCTCCTGACGGTGCACTTGGGCCCCGCGCTGTTCCCAGCGCCTCTCTTCAAAAGCCCCGCCCTGCCTGGCCCCGCCCCCTGACGTCGTCCTACGCCTAAGGGTCCCCCGGCTCTTCCCAGCCACGCCCACACCCACACGGTCCTGCCCCTCCCAGCCCCACCCACCACGACTCTTCCCGGCGTTCGCCAGCCCCGCCCATTCAAAGCCCCGCCCCCGTCATCCAGCCCCGCCCTCACCTAGTGGGCAGCGGAAGCGCACGTGGTAGTTGGAGCAGCGGCGGCCACGCGGTTGCTCGCGGTTGAGGCACCAGAAGCCGCGCGTGGGGTTCAAGTGCACGCGCTCGCCGACGGCGGACGGCAGGGCCCAGTCCGTGGTGCGCGCTTCCAGCGCCAGCGGTCGCGGGCACACGCGCGCTGGCCCGTAGTAGAAGCGGATGGCAGCCAGGCTCTCGAAGTCGCCGTCGCCTCCGGGGTGGTCCACGTTGAACCAGGACGTCCACTCGCTGGCCTCTGCGGGCACCGCACGCGCTGGGACCAGGGCGGCGGCCTGTAGGCCCCCATGCATGCGTGCAAAGGCCTTACTTGCTGTCTCAGCCCCCTCCCCCGGTGGGCACCGGCTAGCCGAGCGCGCCCACGACCCGAGCCAGCGGCCTGAAACAGGTGCAGGGCAGACTGGGTTCCCCGCGACCCCAGTTCTGCCGCCCAGGGCCTGACCTGGTCCATCCCGGTGCGCTGAGCTCTTGCCTCTGTCTGACCGGCCTCTCACTTAGATCTTGAACTTGGGGCATCACCTCCAGGGGCTGTCATGTCCGGGGACCAGGACGGCGCCGGGCCCTTCGTCTAGTGTGTGCCCTCTCCTCACACGACCCCAGTAGCCCAAGCCCCACCCCCAACAAGCCCGCAGCAGAGACGGGACTCCGAGGCAGGCTAACTCACCTTCCCAGTCCTCCAGGGCTGGTGAGGGCTGGCCGGTGTACA
This sequence comes from Homo sapiens, assembly GCF_000001405.40. Taxonomy (NCBI): domain Eukaryota; kingdom Metazoa; phylum Chordata; class Mammalia; order Primates; family Hominidae; genus Homo; species Homo sapiens. The sequence continues at coordinate 19,539,735 of NC_000019.10, read as the reverse complement.
CGGACCGTCTTTCCAGGCCCAGTGCAGTCGCCATTGGCTCCTCGGTGGGGGTGGCGTCTGTGGGTGAGGAGTGGGGAGAAGGAAGCACGCTGCTACTGATGGGGACCGCTGGGAGCCTCCTTTTAGGCAAGGTGCAGCCACGATCATCCCCCCCCTTTTTTTTTTTTTTTTTGAGACGGAATCTCCCTCTGTCACCCAGGCTGGAGTGCAGTGGCACGATCTCGGCTCACTGCAGCCTCTGCCTCCTGGGTTCAAGTGATTCTCACACCTCAGCCTCCTGAGTAGCTGGGATTACAGGCACGCTCCACCAGGCCTAGCTAATTTTTATATTTTTAGTAGAGACGGGGTTTCACCATGTTGGCCAGGTTGGTCTCAAACTCCTGACCTCAGGTAGTCCGCCCGCCTCGGCCTCCCAAAGTGCTGGGATTACAGGCGTGAGCCACCGTGCTTGGCCCATGATCCCCATTTTAACAGGAGGGAAAATTGAGGCTCTGAGAGGCCAGAACCCAGCTCTAGCCCCAAGGGCTGCCATACACTCTCCTCCAGCGCGCTGCCCATGACCACCACCAGGCCCCCAAAGCCAGGTACCTCTCTCTGACCTAGCCCTAACCCCCCGGCTGGGGAAGTGCAAGTACCACCCAGTTCCCCTAGGCTAGAGTCTCCCTCCCACTATGTTCAGCTGCCGCGAGATCAATCAAGTTCAGCTGGCTGTGCCTCTGCCCTCAGGCTGGGCTCCCCCTCATCCACTTGGCCTGCTGGAAGCCCCTCCCTTAGTCTGTCTTCCATCCCTGTACTACAGTCCGAGCTGCCGGGAAGTCCTTGGAATCTAGACTGGCTTCTCCAAGATAGGAGCTGTCCAAGATACTCCCAGCAGAGTGATGAGGTCAGACAAGCCCCTTCCTTCTGGGTGCCTCAGTCTCCTCACTTGAGAAGTGGGCCCGTCCCCCGCCCCATTGAGTGTTCCAGGGATGGGCATTTCTTTCTCCAGCGGTTGGAGTGAGTGCGTGTGTGGGAGTTAGGTGGGAGGGGCCAGTTCCGACCCCTTCGGTCCAGGGTGGGAGACCTGGCCGGTGATTCAGAGTCCAAACCCCGGGAGGAACCCTAGGTTCTTATCCACACTCCCGGCTTAGCCAAGGAAGAGAATGGATGAGGCCCGCTCCGCGCCCCAGGTGGTCGCGGGGATCCGACTGGTGAAGGGGACCCAGTCCCCGGGGAAGCGCGTGGGTCCCTGGGTTCTCTCCCCGAGTGCGGCTTCACCCAAGGCCGGCTGCCAGGCCCTCGGGAGCCTCAGGGGCTGGGCGCGGGGGCTGGAGGCGCCTCACCTCGGGCCCCCGCCAGGTGCGCAGCGACGACACAGAGACAGAGCAGTGGCAGCAGCGACGCCATGGCCGGGGCAGAGCGTCCGAGGGAGGGTCCGGGCTCCGCGGCGTGCTCGGGTCCAACTCCGGCGGGTCTGGCGGCCGCTGGGACTGAGAGTGGGGGCGGGATGCGACCGCAGATCCCGCCCTGGCCACGCCCCATTCAGGCCACGCCCCCTGGCCCTGGGTGACGGCGCTCGAGCAACCCCTCTGGGTCGCCCCCCTTGGTGCGTCTGGCTGTGCCTCCGTCCTCAGGCTGTCCTGGGTTCCCCGTGGCCTGCTGGAACTCCCTCCCCGAGCCCACTCAGTCCTCCAAGCTGCATCCCAAGCTGCCTGAGGGAAGTGTCACTTGGAATCCAGCCTCAAGCTGCTCGGACCCGCTTTAGGTGGCTGGAAGTCCTGTCTCGCGTCTCACTTCGATCCTATAGGCTTTAGGCCACCCCAAACAGTCTGGGAGTCCCACCCTGAATCTACCCTCCATTCTTCTGGCTCGAGTTTTCTTTCTTCTTTTTCTTTTAATTTGTAGAGTCGGGATCTTGCTATGTTGCCCAGGCTGGTCCCAAACTCCTGGCCTTAAGCGATCCTCCAGCCTCAGCCTCCCAAAGTGCTGAGATTACAGGCAGGAGCCACCGCCCCCAGCCCTAGCTGAAGTTTTCTAGGCCAGCGGGAAGTCCCACTCCACCGCCCTTCTCATGCTCCCCGCCTTGGATCACCCAGGGACCGTGTGAAGTCCCTCTTCGAGTGTGCCCACCCCCGCAGCGGGCCCGGTGCACAAAGGAGGCGGAGGCGAGGCGGCGGTGGTGGGAGGGCTGTTTATTGGCGAGGGTCCCTGCGGTGTGGCCGCGGGTGGCGGTCACAGTGCCGCGACGCAGTCGGTGCCCGTGTATCCCGGCAGGCGCAGAGCGAACTTGCGGCGCACGTCATCGGGCACGAACCTGCCGGCCACGAAGTGGTGGCGCCCGGAGAAGCGGCCAGCGCAGCGCTTGGGCGCCGCGAGAGACACCAGCACGTCAGGCCGCAGCCCGTCCTCCGAATCGCTGCCGGTCTCTGCGTCCCAGCCTGAGGGAGGAGGGTCCGGGGGGATTGGGAACTGGGAGGGTGGCCTGCCCTCAGCCTAGAGTCCATCCTGTCCCTGCCTCCTCTCCTCTCCCCTCCAACACTGAGCCTCTGCCCTCAGACCAGAGTCCTGCTGCCCCACCCCCACTTCCCCTCCCCCATCAGACCCAGCCTTTTCTCTCTGGCACATGGGTCCTGGTGAGACTTGTCGCCCCCTAGAACTCTGCCTCCGCCCTCAGACAAGTCTCTCCCAGTCCTTGGAGGTGTTTCCCTCCCAATCAGACCAGAGCTTCTGCACTCAGACTTTCTGCTTCTGCTCCTATCCTACTATTCAATCGCCCTCCTCCATCTGACCCAGCCTCTGTCTTCAGTCACCCAGGCTGGAGTGCAATGGTGCAATCTCGGCTCACTGCAACCTCTGCCACACGGGTTCAAGCAATTCTCCTGTCTCAGCCTCCCGAGTAGCTGGGACTACAGGCACACGCCACCATGCCTGGCTAATTTTTGTATATTTAGTAGAGATGGAGTTTCACCATATTGGCCAGGCTGGTCTCGAACTCCTGACCTTGTGATCTGCCCACCTCGGCCTCCCAAAGTGCTAGGATTATGGGTGTGAGCCATTGCGCCCAGCCTGTTTGTTTTTAAGATACAGTCTCTCTCTATTGCCCAGGCTGGAGTGCAGTGGCACGATCTCAGCTCACAGCAACCTCTGCCTCCCGGGTTCAAGCGATTCTCCTGCCTCAGCCTCCCAAGTAACTAGGACTACAGGCGTGCACCACTACACCCAGCAAATGTTTGTATTTTGTAGAGACTGGGTTTCGCCATGTTGGCCAGGCTGGTCTGGAACTCCTGACATCAGGTGACCCGCCCACCTCGACCTCCCAAAGTGCTGGGATTACAGGTGTGACCCCTGCACCCAGCCTCCGTCACCTCTTGAATGAGCCTCCACTTTCAGCCTAGGAGCCTTGCCTTCTCTCCTATCTCTGACTTGATTCTGGGGCCACTCACCAGAAGACACTGGATCCTCCCTCAGACTTTAATCCTTCTCTGACCCTAGCCACCACCCTCAGACTAGAGGTTCCTAACCATCCCCTCTGACCTGACAGAGCCACCCTCTCTGTCCTAGGCTGAGCCTGCAGCCTCCCTACTCAGATCAGACAGCACGCCGCCTCCCTTGGTGCCCCTGCTCTGTGGCACCTGCTGGGATGTCCCTGGGATCCCGAGAGCCAGGGGACATCCCCCGGAGTCCAGCCACCCCCACGGAGGGTCCGGCTGGCCAGCGGCTGTTTGTTCCGTCTGCCTGTCGCCTAATGGTTCCAACAGGCATGGGGCGGCAGCCAGGGCGGGCGCGGCCTTTGCCGAGTGAGCTCACGTCTGCCCAGGCAACTGGGCCAGGGGTGGGCAGAGGGCATGTGGGCTGGGCACTGGGGTGGAGGAAAGAGGAGACCTGGGGTCACCTGGGGTGGCAGCCTCGATCTTCCCCATCAGAGGGATGGGTGTGACCCTTAGCCTCAGCCAAGTGTGGGTCCATCCAAGCTGGGGAGATTGAGGTTCAGACAGGCAGGGGCGACCAGGAGCTGGGGCACAGGGGCCTCCACCCAAGCCCCCCAGGCCCCAATGTGCCCCCCTCTGCCTGGCATGCCTGAGGGGATGTCCAGGCTCACGAGGGGGATGGACAGCAGCTTGAGCGTGGCCAGCGCGCGGGTGCAGGGGCCCCCGACCTCGCCCGGCTCCACGCCGGGGCCCAGTACGGCATCCACCACCAGCCCATAGGCTTCGTTAATGAGCTGCACCTGGGGAAGGCAGGCAGGGTCAGGGTGGCCCAGGGCCACTGCACACCATGTCCCCCTTGCTTGCCACCCAGCGCTGACCTCAGTGGGCAGGTAGCTCAGGAAGGGGATGTCCATCTTCTCGCACTGGGTGGTCAGGTCCCGATGCAGCAGGTCCAGCGAGCGTGTGGGGTAGAAGATGGTGGGTTCATACTCCTGGGGGTGGGAGAAGAGGGGGTCAGACTCCCCTGACCTGGTCACCAGCACCAGACCCTGCCTGGGACAAGCACTGGGCATATTCTATAACCTGGCCCTGCGTCAATGTCCCCCTGGGAAGCTATCAAAAGAAGGCAGTGATTTCTGCAGGGGCAGGGACTTTGGGAGGTCGAAGGGGTCCTTGCTACTTACAAACACCCGCAGGTGCCGGGCACAGACCAGCCCCACTGCCCCGTTCTGCTCCGGGCCACACACGACCAGCACCGTCCTCTGCTTCCGGGAGAGAGCGGGCAACGGGAACGCCTGGTGGTAGGGGACACAGCAAAGGCACAGGCACAGTCCAGATTCCTCCTTGCCTGGAGAGGAAACTGAGGCCCGGAGTAGGGGAAGGGATGGGGCTTGGGCCTGGAGGCAACAGGATAGGACAGGAGGTGAGCTGTTCTGGATGAGGGGTTGGGCCTCTTGGGGCCTCAGTTTCCCCGCTGGAGATGCAGAGGCCCGGTCTCAGGCTCTGCCAGGTCGGTGCAGGAAAAACGTGCATCCAGCCACTGCCCGTCGCCCGGAGTGCGGTTTGTTTATTCTCCGCCTGAGTTGCAGACATTCTTCCACCTTTCTCACCGCGGGCCCACCCCCGCCCATGTTTCCAGACCTCAGCCCCTCCTGGAGGCTGTGGAGTAGGGGAGCCCAACCTTAGCCACGATGCCCTGGGGCCTCTCTGTCTCTCTCTGGCTGTCTCTGTGTCTCTCTGTATCTCTCAGACTCTCCGTGTCTCTGTCTCTCTGTGTGTCTCTGTCTCTCTGTATGTCTCTGGCTCTCTTCATGTCTCTCTCCCCACCTGTCTCTGGCTGTTTCTGTATCTCTCAGACTCTCTGTGTCTCTGTCTGTCTGTCTCTGTCTCTCTCCGTCTCTGGCCGTCTCTGTGTCTGTCTGTATCTCTCAGACTCTCTGTGTCTCTGGCTCTCTTTGTGTCTCTGTCTCTCTCCATCTGTCTCTGGCTGTCTCTGTGTCTGTCTGTATCTCTCAGACTCTAGTGTCTCTGTCTTTCTGTATGTCTCTGGCTCTCTTTCTCCATTTGTCTCTCTCTCCATTTGTCTCTGGCTGTCTCTGTATCTCTCTGTTATCTGTCTCTCTCCATCTGTCTCTGGCCATCTCTGTATCTCTCAGACTCTGTCTCTCCAGGCATTTTGGCCCCAGCCCTGCCCTGATTCTGCGTGGCCCCAGCCCCTTCTCTCCCAGACTCAGTTTGGCCTTTATCAAATGCGATGACAGTGCCACCGCCTGACAGGCACTCTGGGTGTCTCTTGAGCCCCAGCTGTACTTTAAGCTCCAACCACACAGACAGCAGATTACTCCCCTTTCAAGTATCCTCCCCAAAGGCTTAGCGCAGTCCTGACCTGCCATGAACATGCCTGCGATCCCAGCCACACCGGGCCCAGAGCCCAAGACCCAAGACTGGGACTGAGGGGCTTCTGGACAGACAAGGGGCTTTCAGTGCAAAAACCAGACAGTTGGCCACTGAGCGCCAGGCGAGTAGTGACTACTGGGTTTCTTTCTGGGGTTTTGATTTTCCTTCTCCTTTGGGCGCCTCACCCGGGATCTATTTCATTTGGAAATACAAACATTTAAGTCCACATGAAGAAAAACATTGAGTTTTTAAAAAGTATACCGTGGTAATAAGAAGAAAAAGAGGAGGAGGGGTGAGGAGGGAGAGAATGGGGAGGAGGAGGATGGGGAGGAGGTAGGGTAAGTGGGAAGGAGGAAGGAGAACAGGAGGAGGGGGAGGAGGAGGGAGAGGAAGGAGAAAGGAGAGAAGAAAGGGGCGGAAGGGGAGGAGGAGGGAGAGAGAAAGGAGGAGGAGGGTAAGAGGAGGGGGCAGGAGGAGGAGGAAGGAGGAGAAAGGCGAGGGGGATGAGGAGGGCAGGGGAGGAAGAGGAGGCAGTCACGCTAGAGCCTCGACTGTATGGGACAGTTTTCTGAGGCGTTCACGTTTAGGGACTGACTCGTCAGTACCATTTATTATGCTGTTGCAGAGGAAACTGATGCCCAGCACTGCTGGCTGCACGGTGAAGCACTCCATAGTATGATTATTGCTATCACCCTTGTGTCATCCTCCTGGCCCCTCGAGGTGTGGGGGTTTACTCCAGAGCCAGACACACCTGGGTTGCAGCTCTGCTTCCATCCCCCTCTGACCCAGGGCAGGCCCCTCGCCACCTCTGAGCTTCAGTTTCCCCACCTGCAGAACAGGGTTGTTTAGGGGTGTTCAGATCGCAGGAGCAGATGTCCCTGGTGCCCAAGACCCAGGAGGTGGCAGAAGCAGGCGGGTCACATGTGCAGGAGGGGTTGCACTTCCAGGGTCGTGGCACTGTCCCTGCAATAACCTCCACCCTGGCCTTCTCTGATACCAGGGGTCTCAGGTCCCCATCTGGCCTGCACCAGCCATGAGCCTCTCTGGGCCTCAGTTTACCCATCAGGCTGGGGTAGGCCCAAGCAAAAAGGGAGTTCTTGAGGGGTGAACCACCCTGGTCACAGCAGTCATGCAGCTCAGGAGAGTTGGCCGTCTGGTTGGGGTCAGGGTTGGGGGTCAGGGGTCAGGTACCTTGGTCACAGCCACGGCACTAGCATGACCGCACAGCTCCACGAGCTGCTGCCGCCCAAAGCGATAATCCTCCAGCAGCTCCCGCTCCAGGGCGGCTGCCTCCGCGGTGCTGGGGACAGAGTGGGATGGGACACTCAGAGACACACAGAGACAGAGCCTCAGATGGAGCCAGAAATGTTCCGCCAAGCTTCTGAACCCGGTCCCAATGCCACCCTCCCACCCCGTACCCCCGAGTAGCGTCTGCAGCCTTGAGCTGGGGATGCCCTCAGTTTCACCGTGCGACGCGCGGGTTGAATCGAGGCCTGGCGGGCCGCGGTGTGGGAGCCAAAGCCCGAGGCGCGGGCGCCCTCTGGTGGCAGAAGATGCGCTGGCCGCGCGTTGGTTCTACTGCTCCAAAGCGTGGGACACGGAACCGGACCTAGACGTCCCCAGCTCCCAAGGCGGAGGGAACCAAGAAAGGGGAATGGAGCATGAAGGACTTCGATGGGGGCGATGGGCTGATTTCAGGCAGTGGGAGCCACGGAACAAGCTTCAGGACGCTGAAAGGGGTGGACAGGACTGGGGGCATCTGGGGTCCATGGGTTTTTAAGGCTGCAGTGTTTGATGGCACACTCAGCGGGGAGGCCTTGGGGCCTGGGGCTATGAGACCCTTTGGTGACCGATTTTCAGGGGCAGTGACATAATTAGATTATTTGTGGCCAGGCCGGGCGCGGTGCCTCACATCCGTAATCCCAGCACTTCAGGAGGATGAGGCGGGTGGATCACTTGAGGTCAGGAGTTCCAGACCAGCCTGCCCAACATGGTGAAACCCTGTTTCTACTAAAAATACAAAAAATTAGCCAGGCATGGTGGTGGGTGCCTGCAGTACGAGCTACTCAGGAGGCTAAGGCTTGAACCTGGAGAATCGCTTGAACCCGGGTGGCAGAGGTTGCAGTGAGCCGAGATCGTGCCACTGCACTCCAGCCCGGGTGACAGAGTGAGGCTCCGTCTCCAAAAAAAAAAAAAAAAAAAAAAAAAAAAAAGGTTATTTGTTGCCAGAAAATGTGGCTACTTAGCTGGAGGTGAAGCTCTGCCATCCACTTCACTGAATGACTGGGGTCCGTCTCCACCTCTCGGAGCAAAACTGAATATTCGGGTGACCTACACAATTGGTCAGACTAGGCTGGGCGTGGTGGTGGACACCTGTAATCCCGGTGACCCAGGAGGCTGAGGCAGGAGGATCACTTCAATCTGGGAGGTGGAGGCTGCAGTGAGCTATGATCACGCCACTGCACTCTAGCCTGGGCGACAGAACAAGACCTTGTCTCTAAGATAATAATAAAAAACACAAACATAAATAAAAAGAGCCAGGCCTAGAAAAGTTGGAAAAACAACTAATGATTCAGAGAAGCCGAGTGGCTTGCCCAGGATCATGCAGGAAGCAAGTTGGGAAACTGGGTCTTTCCCCCTTGGTGTCTCCAGAGCCACAGGACATGAACAAAGACATAGAGCCAGACCTACAGATGGTGGATGTTTTGAGGGGATGAATCCTGAGACTCTTTCCTTCAACTCTCTGAGTGGGAGATGTCTGCCCTCTGGCCAATTTTGCAGCATGATAAGGCCAGGTAGGCAGAGTGCAGGAGAAGGAGGACTGCTATGGGATGGGAGTCAGCGAGGGCTTCCTGGAGGAGGAGGCCTGGCACATCGTGGCAGGTAATGCAGGGGCAAGAATAGCAAAAGCCAAGGCCCTGGGGTGGGGAGGAGCCTGGTATGTTCAAGGGGCAGAAGGGAGGCTGAAGCAGAGTGATCAAGCGGACAGGGCAGGCAGAGCCTCAAATCCCAGACTGAGGAACATGGTGAAGAGGACACTTCGGGGGTCCACACATAAAGACGGAGACAGAGACTCAGGGCAGGAAAGTCACATGCCCTGGGACACCCCAGTAAACAGAGCCAAATTCAAACCTCAGCCTGTCTGCAGCTGACATAGGATGAAGTTGAAGGACGGGGTGAGGAAAAGGAGCTCATGGTGAAGTCAGACAGAGTCCCCCCGGGGCAGGCCAGCGCAGCTCCCAGGAAAGCACATAGGAGGTGCGTTTGCATTCGGGGTGAGGAATCTGGCAGGCTGGGAACATGGCTCATTCCTCCACCTCCATCTTGTGACAGCTCTGACTGCTGCCCCCGCAGGAGGGTGCAGGGAGGAAGTGGAGGGCGGGAGGGCGATGCATTCCTCTTCTTCTGTCCCAAAGCTTTGGCCTCTAGCAGCCACTTGGAACATTCTCTTCCTGTCTAACTGGTCATTAGAATAATGGGGGCTCTGTGGGCAGAGGGTCGTCCAGGTTAGGAACCTGGGGGTGGGGCACAGCAGCAGCTGTGGGGTGGGGGTGGGAGGCTGCGTGGGAATTGGAGCCTGGTGAAGGAGGGTGGCAGGCAGGGCAGGTCCCTTCTGCTGTTGTGGGATTCTGGGGGTGTTCAGTGGTGCCTTTTGCTATCCCGAATCTCGGCCCCTAGATGAGAGAAGCTTCAAGGCCCCAAGGATTTCCCTGTCAGACCCAGGAGGCCTGAAGTGGCCTGGGTCCAAAGGGAACTGGGCCTGACACTCGCCAAATGCTTCCAGGAGGGGGCTTTCTGGGAGGTGAAACCTCAGGCCAGGGTGGCCATGCCACACTCACCCTGCTCTCAGTCCTACCTGCTTCTCTCCACCTCACACCTCTGCCCACCAGACCACCACGGGGGATCACCTGGCCGCACACAGCAGCCTCCTGCCCCCAAAACTCAACATGAGCCTGGGGGGGCTTTGAAAACTCGAACACCAGATTGCATCACCGGGTCCCAAACCTGCTGATGGCTCCCGAGGGCTCTGGGAACATTCAAACTCCAAACTCCTCACCATGCCTAAGAGGCCCTTCTGTGTCTCCAGCCTCGTCAGCCAGTTCCCCACTACGTTCTAGCTCCTACCCACCCCTGAGAGCCCCCTCACTCCCCTCACTTAGCATTTGAGGCCCCCCTCACCTCACCCCTTCACCCCAAGGTGAAGTCACAGCTCCTAAAACACTCTTCCCTAGACTGAGTCTGGACATCGGCTGAGGGGACACGTGCCCTGCTAGGTGGGCAGTGGGCAGGAGCTGTTGGACGCATCTGGTTCACAGTGAGGTCAACAGCCTTGCCTGGGGTCCCATGTCACAAAGGCTGAGGAGGATGAGGTGAGAGTCACAGCCACGGCGCCAGTTCTAGATCCCAAACTCACCAACCTCTGGCAAACAGGCCCTGCGTTCCAAATCTGCTCTAGCCATGACTGCCTTCCCCAGGCCTGTTTCCTCCTCTGGACAAGGGAGGTGGTAGCATTTGAGCTAAGCTCCGCTCTTCCCATGTCGGCAAGTGGGGGCTGCAGCTCCAAGGCCCTGGGAGAGATGGAGAGTGGGGGTGGGCCACGGTTGGGGTTCGGTGGGGGAGCGACCAGCGCTGCTGATGAATCATTCATGAGGGGCGGGCTGCCCCGGAGGCAGTTTCCCCAGCAACGCAGCTTAGTGTCTCCAGCAAGATGCCAGGAGGGTCTCGGATTCCCGGGATTCCCAGGCCCGTCTTGGCCATATCCCTGCCTCCGGTTCCCCACCGTGGTCATGCCTCTGCCGTTGAACCTCCATCCCGGCTGTGCCCGTCTCCAGTCCCCGGACCCCATTCTGTCCCAGCTATGACCCTGCCTCCGGTCCTACGGGCTGCTCCTGGCCCCATGGGAACCATGCCCGTCTCCAGCTTCCCTCTCCCCAGCTGACCTGAGGAAATGCCGCTCTTCGGGCGCCTCCGACGGGTCTGGGCCGGCTGCGCTGCTCATGGCCGAGGTGAGCCCGGGCGCCGGGCGCTGCCGCCACCGCCACCGCCTTTTAAGCGCATCCGTGGAGGGAGGGGACGCCCCCTCTTCTCCTCCCTCCCGCCCACCCTGCATGCCCGCCAATCAGGAAGCGCCGCGAAGGCGCTGCGCGTCACCATTGGTCGGTGGACTCAGACGGACTTCACCCTTTCGTGCCAGGAGCCCACAGCAGAGGCACCTGGCCAATCTTGGTTGCTTCCCCCGACTTACTTTCCCTGCAGATATCCCCGTGTCTCTGAGCTTCCCTCTCAGGGAGCGAGGAGCCCCTCCGCAGACAAATACCCTCGCCATGCCTACAATTGGCAGGGCTGCACAAGGTATGGTGGCTCACGCCTGTAATCCTGTAATCGCAGTGACACGGGAGGCTGAGGCGGGAGGATCACTTGTATCCGGGAGGTCAAGGCTCCCCCCACTCTCCAGACCTCCGTGGAGAAGGTCTGACCCAAAGCTGACCCAGGGGCCCCCAGCCTGGAGAGGTAAGTGGGCTGCTGACAGGCATGGTTTCAAAAGGGAGGCAGGAGAGTCCAGGTATATCGGAGGCAGAGAGGAGGCCGCCAGTGGATCCAGGGGCAGCCCCTAGGTGTGTTTTGAGGTCACCCTGTGCATATCTGCTGCGTCCCCATGCTACATGTGATCCGGTGGTGCCTAGCTGGGCCCTCTCCCCCTTCTTTCCCCCAGTCCCCAGGAAAACAGGCAGGCCAGGTCTGCAGAGCATTTATTCCGTCCCAGTGGGGAGGGGCAGGGATCCAGGTGGCCGGAGGGCACAGGGCCTACGTGTACCACATGAAGCCGTGGCTGGCATGGAGAGCCTCCTCTGTGGTGCGCAGCCCGTACAGCTCCCCGATCAAGGGGGGCACCCAGCGGGTTGTGTGGAACACAGACTCCCCCACCTGTGGGGACAGTGGGGTATGGGTAGAGGCACAGCCACCCATATACAGCCTGCTAGGACCCATCCCCCAGGATCAGTGGCCCCTGTGCGTGGCAGGCGCTACAGCCTTCCCTTGTGGGACCTGGCACCCACCACCCCCTTGGTCCTGGGGTTTCTATAGAAAGCTGTGGGAGCTCCCCAACCCCAGGCCCTGTCTCTGCCGTGGCTGGCACCTCTGCCCTCCCAGCCGGGACCCACCTTCCAGTCGGGCACGTCCTTCATGATGATGGCCTCCTCCTCCAGGTTCTCCCGAAGCATCTGCAAGGTCCTGTGGGGATGGGGCCGATGGTGGGGGTGGGGCCTCAGTGCCCTGAGGGGCCCCTGCCTAGGGCCCCTAGTAGCACCCCTTCAAGCCTCCCTCCGACCCTGTCTCCTTTTCCCCCAGCCAACTCCTAGCTTTTCTCTTGCCCCAACCCCAGTGCTGCCTCCTCCTCCAGGAAGCCTTCCGGTTCGCCCCCTTGGGTCTCCACTAAGTCTCCACGCCTGAGGATGCAGCTGACGGCACAGGGCGATGGCCCCCACGTGCATTCTGGCCACCTTCGGGGATGCAGGTCAGGCCCTGCAGCCTGGGGCCTTCCGGCCAGTGACCTCCCAACCTTGGCCCCTGCGGTGCTACCTCCGGTCGGTTTCTGCCTGTAACAGTGGCAACAGCGCGATGCGAGCCTCGAAGTCCTCGATTTGTAGGCGCCTGTGAAAGCCCGAAACCCACACTCAGGTCAGACCAGGCTAGGTCGGGGGAGCACAGGCAGCACAGACCTCAGGGGCCAGGGTGCTGCTGGGGGAAGAGGCGGAGGGGGGCGGGGAGGCAGGCAGGGGGCAGGGCGAGGGTCGCGGGAAGGGCAAGGGCTGTGGGCAGAGCCCACCAGGAGCCTGAGAGGAGGGCGGGTGCAGGCAGCTGCACGGGTGACTGCCCACAAGACTGTTGGCTTTCTACTTTCTTTTCAATTAAAAACTTTTTTTATCCTAAAAATAACTCTGCCTGATGATCGCGACGAAGAGGGGGTGACTTCATCACGGGGCTCTGGGCCTCACAAAACCACGTCCCCTTCATCTCAAAATAATCAGTGTGTGAGGCTGGGGCAGGCGGGGCCACAATCTTTCCTTTCTTCTCCCTGCTTTCTGGCAGTTTCCAAGTTCCCTGCAATGACCCCCATCTCCCAGTCCTGCCTGGCCTGCGTTGGGGTTGGGGGAGGGGTGGGGAAGGAGTGCCCAGCCTGTGACACAGGGAGAGGGGGGCGCCTGGCCCTAGTTCATCTGGCCCTGTGTGTCCACTGCCTGGTGTGGTCTGGTTTGAGCCTGGTCACCTCTGACAAAATCCTGCTTAGAGGGCCCGAGGCAGGCCCCCCACTCATATCCTGTCCTAATCTGGATCCACGGGTCCCAACCCTCCTCACTAGACACATTTTTTGGGGTGGCGAGGACAGGGTTTCCCTCTGTTGCCCAGGCTGGTCTTGAACTCCTGGGCTCAAGCAATGCTCCCACCTTGGCCTCCCAAAGTGCTGGGATTGCAGACATGGAGACATCTCGAGGACAGAGCCTAGAAGTGGAAGTGCTGGGTCTGGATCTGCACTTTCTGGGGCCTGGGATTGCACAGCCAAGTCCAAGGGGCCCGTTCACCCCTCGCCAGCACAGACAACAGCGGAATGCTACAGGACCCCGACAACTCGCCGGGGGGGCACTTTCAGACAACGCCCACCAGGGGCCCTACCTGCGCTCACGGTTCCACTTCATTATGCTCCAGTGCCCGTAGATCAGGGTTCCAATCCCTATGGCCAGCATGCTGTAGCCTGTGAAGAGAGGCGCTGCTCAGCGGGCCAGCCCGCCCCCAGACACCCTCCTCCACAGCTCCAGGCGCTGCCCACTCTGCAATCAGGGGACACTGGCGGCTTCTCAGGAGTGAGGCTGCTTGGACTGTGACACCTCTGCCCCCATGCCAGGGGTTTTCTGAAAGGTACAAGCCAGGCAGCAACCTCAGGAGGCCTGAGGGTCTAGATGGTGGTTGCTAGGGGGGCCCCAGGTCCATCGTGTTCTAGAAGGCTGTTTGGACCCTGGGCGGCAGGCTGGCCCTGAAGTGGAAGGGCAGTTCTGACAGTGTCCATGGTGGCTCCCGGCCACCTGGGCCACAGTTCCGCGTGCTGCCCTGCGGGGGCTGCACACAGCTGCCAGGGACAGGCAGTGCCCTGTGGGGGCTGCCCAGCCACCCCCCGGACTCTAGGGGTGGCCGTGCTACCTCTTGGCTCTGCAGGGTGAAGCCCCCTGCCCTGCACCCCAGGAAGGACCTAGGCCATCATGAATATTTACTGAGCACCAGTGGGGCCTTGCTCTAATCCTGACTGACAGGCTGGGGGCCCACTGGGATCTTCAGAGAGGCCTGGGCTGTCTGGGATCTGGCTCCCAGGCTCACCCTGCACCCTCCAGATCCTTCCAGCCCCAGTCTCTTCTCTGGACAGGCTTTGCACTTGGTGGGATGAATGAAAAGCTCAGGTAGGCCAGGCTCCAGTCAACACCCAGGAAATGACCAGCAGGTGGAAGGCAAGGCCATCTCCAGGCCTCCAGGGCACTGGCCCTGCTCTATGCCTGCTGGGGCTACTCTGTGCCTGCCGGGCCCTGCTCTGCACCTGTCATGCTCTTCTGCCTTCAGCTCTGCTCCAGCATGGAGCTCACGGGGGCACCTCTGCTAGACCCGGAGATAAATGAGAAACTGGCTCAAATTTGTACCTGGTTATTTAACCTGTTAGAAGCCCAAGTCAGGGCTAAGACATTTCCATACTACAGGTAATGAGGGTGTGCTGGGTCCGGGCTCAGAGGCACATCTCTGGAGAGGCCCAGGGTGCTCAGGGCCAGCTCCCAGCTCTCAGCCTCCTGTCTAGCACATGGGAGGTTTCATCAGCTGCCTTGTTCATTTTTTTTTCCTTTTTTGGTTTTTGGTTTTGAGACAAGGTCTCACTCTGCTACCCAGGCTGGAGTGCAGGGGCGCAATCATGGCTCAATGCAGCCTCCAACTCCTGGGTTCAAGTGATCCTTCCACTTTAGCCTCCCGAGTAACTGGGACCCCAGGTGTGTGCCATGTCCAGTTAACTAATTTTTGTACAGATGGGGTCTTGCTATATTGCCCAGGCTGGTCATATCTCGTTCTTTTCTTTTTTTTAATTAATTTATTTTTGAGACGGAATCTCACTCTGTTGCCCTGGCTGGGGTGCAGTGGCAAGATCTTGGCTCACTGCAACCTCTGCCTCCTGGGTTCAAGCGATTCTTCCACCTCAGCCTCCGGAGTAGTTGGGACTACAGGCGCCCACCACCACGCCAGGCTAATTTTTGTATTTTTAGTAGAGACAGGGTTTCACCATATTGGCCAGGCTGGTTACGACCTCCTGACCTCATGATCCACCTGCAAGTGCTGGCATTACAGGCGTGAGCCACCGTGCCCGGCCATATCTCATTATTTTCCACGGCTACAGAGAACCCAGGGGACAGACCTGGGCTGCCCTCAGCCTTCTGGTGCAGAAAATGGGCCCTTGGGGAGAACCTGCACCCTCACACCTGCGCACTCATACGCAGGCCCATCTGTAAGATAAATTCCAAAGAAGAAATAAATTCCAAAACTTATCCCACAGCTGTGTGTACAAGACAGCGTGGCACTGGCATAGAACAGAGATGTATGAGATGACAGAAACAATGCAGGGCCTCTTGTATTTGCATGCAGCCTGCACAGGGCTCTTCCTCCTCGCCAACCACAGGGGGGCCAAGGCCCCAGGCCTCAGAGTCTGTGCCTTAGGAACTGCTAGTCTGGTGGGGAACATGGTGAGGGGCACGCACAAAAGGGTGTGTGGACCATTCTTTTTGTTTTTGGTTTTGGAGACCGGGCCTCTCTCTGTTGTCCAGGCTGGAGTGCAGTGGTGGGATCAAATTTTTTCGGCTCACGCTTGTAATCCCAGCATTTTGGGAGGCTGAGGTGAGAGGATCACTTGACTAGGAGTTTGCAACTAGCCTGTGCAACACAGTGAAACATTTACAAAATACGTATTTTATTTTATTTTTTGAGACAAAGTCTCGCTCTGTAGCCCAGGCTAAAGTGCAGTGGTGCGATCTCAGCCCACTGCAACCTCCGCCTCCCAGGTTCAAGTGATTTTCCTGCCTCAGCTTCCTGAATAGCTGGAATTACAGGTGCACGCCACTGTGCCCAGCTAAATTTTTGTATTTTTTAGTAGAGACGAGGTTTCACCATGTTGGCCAGGCTGGTCTGGAACTCCCAACCTCAGGTAAATCCATCTTCCTCGGCCTCCCAAAGTGCTAGGATTACAGGCATGAGCCACCATGCCCGGCCCAAAATACATATTTTTAAATTAGCTAGATGTGGTGGCACGTATCTGTGGTCCCACCTACTTGGGTGGCTGAAGTGGGAGTATCACTTAAGCCCAAGAAGTCAAGGTTGCAGTGGGCTGAGATGGCACCACTGTACTCCAGCCTAGGTGACAGAGAAAACTTTGTTTCAGAAAACAAAACCAAAAACAAAAACAAAAAAAAAAGAAAAATATATTTTTCATAGAAACAGGGTCTTGCTATGTTGCCCAGGCTGGTCTTGAACTCCTGGCCTCAAGCAATCCTCCCACCTCAGCCTCCCAGAGTGTTGGGACTACCAGTATGAGCCACTGAGCCCGGCCTTGGCCATTCTTAAGAGAAGACCAAAATAAATAAAAACCCATCCTGTGTTCAAGAATTGGAGCACTTAGCATTGTGCAGATGGCAACGCTGTGCAAACTGATACAGATTTGAAACGCAATCCCCATCAGAATCCCAACCATTTCTTTTCCTGTTGCAGAAACTGACAAGCAGGTTGGGAAATTCATATGGAAATGCAAGGGACCAGAACAGCCAAAACAATTTTGAAAAAGAACAAAGTTGAAAGACTCACACTTCAGTATTTCAAAACTTATCCCACAGCTGTGTGTACAAGACAGTGTGGCACTGGCATAGGACAGAGATGTTCATCAATGGAACAGAACTGAGAGTCCAGAAATAAACCCTCACATTTATGGTCAATTGATTTTGGACAAAGGTGCCAAGATAATTCAATGGGAGAGAAAACAGTCTTTTCAACAAATGGGATAACCAGACAGCCACATGCTAAAGAATGAGGATGCGTTCCTTCTTTATACCATCCACAAAAATTAACTCAAAAGGATCAAAGACCTGCCGGGCGCAGTGGCTCACGCCTGTAATTCTAGCACTTTGGGAGGCCAAGGCAGGCGGATCACGAGGTCAGGAGATCGAGACCATCCTGGCTAACACGGTGAAACCCTGTCTCTACTAAAAATACAAAAAATTAGCCGGGCGTGGTGGCTGGCACTTGTAGTCCCCGCTACTCAGGAGGCTGAGGCAGGAGAATGGCGTGAACCCGGGAGGCGGAGCTTGCAGTGAGCCTAGATCGCGCCACTGCACTCCAGCCTGTGTGACAGAGCAAGGCTCCATCTCAAAAAAAAAAAAAAAAAAAGGATCAAAGACCTAAGCGTAAGAGCTGAAACTATAATACTCTTAGAAGAAAATGTAAGTCACTCTCTGTGACCTCAAACTAGGTTTCTTAGATATGACACCAGAAGCACAAGTGACAAAAGGAAAAATACAGAAATTGGACTTCATTGAAATTATTATTATACATGTATTTTTGAGATGGAGTCTCACTCTGTGGCCCAGGCTGAAGTGCAGTGGCACAATCTCGGCTCACTGCAAGCTCCGCCTCCCGGGTTCACGCCATTCTCCTGCCTCAGCCTCCTGAGTAGCTGGGACTACAGGTGCCCGCCACCGCGCCCAGCTAATTTTTGTATTTTTAGTAGAGATGGGGTTTTGCCATATTGGCCAGGCTGGTCTCAAACTCCTGACCTCAAGTGATCCACCTGCCTCTGCCCCCCAAAGTGCTGGAATTACAGGCATGAGCCACCGTGCCCAGCCCGGACTTTATTGAAATTAAAAACTTTTGTGCTGTAAATGAAACTATCAATTAGCTGAGAAGACAACATATGTATACACAATCTTACAACTCAATAATTCAATAATTTAAAAAACCCTACTAAGCCGGGCGCAGTGGCTCACACCTGTAATCCCAGCACTTTGGGAGGCCGAGGCGGGCGGATCACGAGGTCAGGAGATCGAGACGATCCTGGCTAACACAGTGAAACCCCGTCTCTACTAAAAATGCAAAAAATTAGCCGGGCGCAGTGGCAGGTGCCTGAAGTCCCAGCTACTCGGGAAGCTGAGGCAGGAGAATGGCGTGAACCCGGGAGGCGGAGCTTGCAGTGAGCAGAGATCGTGCCACTACACTCCAGCCCGGGCGACAGAGCAAGACTCCATCTCAAAACAAACAAACGAACAAACAAACAAAAAACCCTACTAAAAATATATAAAGGATTTGAATAGACGTTTCTCACAGACAGACATACAAATGGCCAATAAACACATGCAAAGGTGGTGGTTCACTCCTAGAATCTCAGCACTTTGAGAGGCTGAGGCGGGAGGACAGCTTGAGCCCAGGAGTTCGACACCAGCCTGGGAAACACTGAGGCCCCATCTCTTGAAAAAAATAATAAAAAATAAAAATAATAAAACACATGAAAAAATGTTCGACATCATCAGCCAGCAGTGATATGCAAATCAACGATCAATGACCAGAAAACTGAGCAAAAAAAGACCCAAAAAGAATTTTAAAAAACTCCACCATAATGAAATACCGCTTCACATGCGCTAGGATGGTGGCTATGATCAAAAAAATGGAAAATAATCAGTGTTGTTGAGACGTGGAGAAATTGGGACTCTCATACATTGCAGGTGGAAGCACAAAATGGTGCAGCCAATTTGGAAAACAATTTGGCAGTTCCTCAAAATGTTAAACACGAAGTTACCATATGATCCAGTGGTTTCTCTCTTAGGGGAAAGTTCACAAGGGAAAAATGAAAATCTACATCCATACAAACACCTGTACAGCATGAATCTTCATGGCAGCCATACTCACATTATTCACAGCAGCCAAAGAGTAGGTGGATGACCCAAGTGCCCATCAAAAAATGAAAACACAACACTTGGTGCTGGATATTAATTTGCCAGAAACAAAAGGCCACACGGTCTATGACTTCACTGATAGGAAATGGCCAGAACAGGCAAATCCACAGAGAAGGAAGCAGATTAGTGTTTGCCAGGGGTGGGATGATTGCTAATAGGGAAGACGGGGTTTCTTTTGGGTAATGAAAGTGGTCTAAATTCTGATCATGGCAATGGCCATACAACTTTGTGAATATACTAAAAAATCAATAAATTGGACACACTTCACTATATTATTATTATTTTTTTTGAGATGGAGTCTTACTCTGTTGCCCAGGCTGGAGTGCAGAGGCAAGATCTTGGCTCACTGCAACCTCCGCCTTCCAGGTTCAAGCGATTCTCCTGCTTGAGCCTCCCAAGTAGCTGGGATTACAGGTGTGCACCACCATACCCGACTAACTTTTGTATTTTTAGTAGAGACAGGGTTTTGCCATGTTGGCCAGGTTGGTCTCCAACTCCTGAGCTCAGGTGATCCATCCGCTTTGTCCTCAAAGGGCTGAGATTACAGGCATGAGCCACCGCTCACAGCCATTAAATTGGACAGACTTTAAATGGGTGAGTTGTGTGGTATGGTATTGGAACCTCAATAAATATATTAAAGACACAAGATGAAAAGGAAAGGGCTGCCTGCTAGGCTCAGGAGGGAGTGGGGACAGGAGAACTGGGTGTGGGAGATAGTGGAGGAGGTGGGGTGAAGTCACTTCAGAAGCGGCATGGATTAAAAGGGGCCTGAGCCAGCCGGGCGCAGTGGCTCATGCCTGTAATCCCAGCACTTTGGGAGGTTGAGGTAGGTGGATCATGAGGTCAGGAGATCGAGACCATCCTTGCAGTGAGCTGAGATCGCGCCACTGCACTCCAGCCTGAGTGACAGAACAAGACTCTGTCTCAAAAAAAAAAAAAAAAAAAAAGAGAACAAAAAGCAGCCTGAGCCAGCCCATCATGTCCTGGGACGCTGGCAGTGAGTGAATGGCTGACCCAGGCAGACAGAAGGGAGTGGGTGCCAGGCTTGGGGCCACCAGGCCTTGGACAGGAGCACAGAAGGTAGGTCTGGTGGGAAGGCCACTGTGGACCATGGCTCAGGAGAGGCAGGAGAGGAGGACAGAGGGAGAGGAGGCAGGGCCTGTGTGTTTGCTCTTTTTCTGCAGAGCAGGCTTCTTCTCAGAGGTCCTCCTGGCACATCCTGGCTTAAGTGGGCCCAGGTTATCCCAGGCCTCACCAACAACTAGAAATCCTGGCATGATGTGTTGTATCTCTTCAGCTCAGCTGTGAGCGCTTGGGGACAGGGCCCGGAACCATGTGCTCACTCAACAATGAAAGCAGGGCCATAAACAAAGAGCACACCAGCATAGGGGTATCCTCCTCACTCCTCCACCGGGAAAGGCTGGGGTGGGTGTGTATGTGCTGTAACAAAAGTCCACACCATTAGGAGACACAACCCCAGGCAGTGGTATTTAGGGCACTGTCTGGCACAGGGGGGGCCACTGCTCTGTGGTGAACTGGGAGAGGACCAGGGTATTTATACAAAAATGAGATGCTGGAAGCAGGGAGCTCAGGGAGCCTCCAGGCCTGAGGTCCTTCTGTGGCCTGGTCTGGCTGCAGGTCACACAGGTGCATATTTGGAAACAGACCTTGTGCTGCACACCTGAAGGGGTG
The DNA here is from genome assembly GCF_000001405.40 of Homo sapiens. NCBI lineage: Eukaryota > Metazoa > Chordata > Mammalia > Primates > Hominidae > Homo > Homo sapiens. The sequence continues at coordinate 19,519,226 of NC_000019.10, read as the reverse complement.
GGGTAGCCCAGGTTACACCGGAGAAGAATGAGACTCGGCCAGGCGTGGTGGCTCATGCCTGTAATACCAGCACTTTGGGCGGCTGAGGCAGGGGGACCACCTGAGGTCAGGAGTTCGAGACCAGCCTGGCCTACATGGTGAAACCCTGTCACTACTAAAAATACAAAAAAAAAAAAAAAAATAGGCCGGGCCCAGTGGCTCACACCTGTAATCCCACCACTTTGGGAGACCAAGGCGGGCAGATCATCTGAGGTCAGGAGTTTGAGACCAGCCTGACCAACATGGAGAAACCCCATCTCTACTAAAAATACAAAAAATTAGCTGTGCATGGTGGCACATGCCTGTAATCCTAGCTATTCGGGAGGCTGAGACAGGAGAATCGCTTAAACCTGGGAGGCAGAGGTTGCGGTGAGCCAAGATTGCACCATTGCACTCTAGCCTGGGCAATAAAAGTGAAAACTCCATCTCAAAAAAAAAAAAAAAAAAAAAAAAAAAAATCGCAGGGCATGGTGGCGCCCACCTGTAATCCCAGATACTAGGGAGGCCGAGGGAGGAGAATCGCTTGAACCTGGGAGGCACAGGTTGCAGTGAGCCGAGATCACGCCACTGCACTCCAGCCTGGGTGACAGAGCAAGACCTGGTCTAAAAAAAAAAAACACACACACAAAAAACAACAACCAAAAAACAAACAACGCCAGGCGTGGTGGGTCGTGCCTGCAATATTAGCACTTTGGGAGGCCGAGGTGGGTGGATAACCTGAGGTCAGGAGTTCGAGACCAGTCTGACCAATATGGTGAAACCCCATCTCTACTAAAAATACAAAAATTAGCCGGATGTGGTGGCATCCAACTGTACTCCCAGCTACTCGGGAGGCTGAGACAGGAGAATTGCTTGAACCCAGGAGGTGGAGGTTGCAGTGAGCCAAGATCGGGCCACTGCACTCTAGCCTGGGTGACAGAATGAGACTCTGTCTCAAAAAATAAAAAAGAAAGAAAGAAAAGAAAAAAGAAAAATGAGGAAATAGAATGCATTATATTCCTCCAATGTGTTCTGGGACAGCACTCATGGGCCAGATCTAGCCTGAAGCCTCTTTTTTTTTTTTTTAATTTTTGGTAGAGGTGGGGGTCTCACTATGTTGCCCAGGCTGGTCACAAACTCCTGGGCTCAAGCCATCCTCCCGCTTCAGCCTCCCAAAGTGTGGGGATTACAGGCATGAGCCACCTGGCTCACAGGCAATCTGTTTTTGTAGAGCCCCCAGGCTAAGAACACTTTCCATTTGTAAATGGTTGTCTCAGTAACTGAAACTTTCTGGCCAGCCAAACCCAAAATACTTGTCATCTGTCCCTTTTATAGAAAAAGTCTGCCAATCTCAGTTCTGGGATACAAGAAAAACAAGAGGAGGTTGGCCGCGGTGGCTCATGCCTGTAATTCCAGCACTTTGGGAGGCTGAGGCTGGAGGATCACTTGAGCCCAGGAGTTTGAGACCAGCCTGGTCAACATAGCTGCACCCTGTCTCTACAAAAAGTAGAAATAAAAAATAAAAAAACCAAGAAGGGGCTGGGGAGGACTTTTCACCTCACACTGATTTTTCTACTGTCTGAATTATTACGTTTTTAATTACCATGCTCATTTTTGTGTGTGTGTTAAAATTGAGGAATAATGTGCATAACATGTAATTTAAATGTAAAGTTTGATTTGTTAAGAGACATGCATTCTGCCGAGCACGGTAGCTCATGCCGATAGTCCCATCACTTTGGGAAGCCGAGGTGGGTGGATCACTTGAGCCCAGGACTTCGAGACCAGCCTGGGCAAGATGGCGAGATCCCATCTCTATAGAAAATACAGAAAGCTGGGCGCATGCTTGTAATCCCAGCTTCTCAGGAGGCTGGGGTGGGAGGATGGCTTGAGCCCAGGAGGCGGAGGTTGCCAAGAAATCACTCCAGCCCAGGCAACAGAACCATACCGTCTTAAAAAAAAAAAAAGAAATGTATGTATTCACTCTTAGATTACGTTTAAAAGTTTCTATTTGTCTGTTAACCTGGGGACTGAGTATGGGCGCCTTTTAAGTTCTCTTTTTCAATTTTCTGTGCTGAGCCCGATAACAAAATTTAACGTGTTACTTAAACATTTGAAAACTTTACGCCGGGCATGGTGGCTCACGCCTGTAATCCCAGCACTTTGGGAGGCCGAGGTGGGCGGATCATCCGAGGTTGGGAGTTCGAGACCACCCTGACCAACATGGAGAAACCCCGTCTCTACTAAAAACACAAAGTTAGCCAGGCGTTGTGGCACATGCCTGTAATCCCAGCTACTCAGGAGGCTGAGGCAAGAGAATCGCTTGAACCCAGGAGGCGGAGGTTGCGGTGAGCCGAGATGGCGCCATTGCACTCCAGCCTGGGCAACAAGAGCAAAACTCCGTCTCAAAAAAAAAAAATTGAAAATTTAAAGAATATGGATTCCTGTGACACCATGCAGGCGGGGGCTGCCAGCAGGGAACCACTGCATAGAACATCTTGTAAATTCCCTCCAGGTTCCGGGTTGCGGCCTCAGCTTTGCCTTGGGGAGCCGCGGCCTTCTTTGGGCCTCAGTTTCCCCATCTTAGAAATCCAAGGGTGGCTGAGGGCCAGAGCACAGGCTATGACTCAGTTTAACCCACTGTAAAACGTAAATAACTAGAGGGACCGATTTCCTGGGCTGTTACGAGAAGGAAGAGGAGCTGGGAAAGACCTCAACAAACTGCAGCACTTAGCGTTATTACAGAAGCTATGATGGATCCCCGGGCTCCGCCTCCGGTCACACCGCCGGGAAAACTGAGGCCCGCCTGTGTCCCCGGAACCCCGCCCCCGAGCCCCGAGTGCCCAGACTCTGAGACCCCGGCGCAGAGTGATACTGACCCGACAGTCCTCGACGCGGCAAGTTCCGTTTGTAGTCGATGGGCCCATAGCCCCCCGGCGGAGGCATGTCCTGCTTCACCTTTGACGCCGCCATACTCGCAGTATCCCACACTTCCGGTCCCGGGCGGAAGTGACTTACTGCCACCGCCATGATGAGTGTGGCGGAAGCACTTGAGATGGTCCGCGGCACGGCTAGGAAGTCCCGGACAGTAGTGTAACTATCCGACCGCGCGGGAAAGCTCTGGCGGCGGACCCTGGGTAGGAATGCGCTGCCGGGCTGCAGCTGAGGGGTCTTTACTCCTCTTTTGCCCAGACAGGGCGTGACTCGCCTTGGTTCTTGCATTATAGGCCCTCGCGTTCACCTTGCCTCTGGGGTGTTGCGCAGGCCAGTCAGAAACTCCGAGCTCTCAAAGGAGCCAGGTGCCCCAGTTAAGGCCCCTTTTCCCGTTTTCGCCCCGTCTAGGGACTCTACGCGAAGCCCAGGGCTCCACGTAGTCACGGGCTGGGTACATGATGTTGGGGGGCAGCTGCTGCTCGAAGTCGGACTCACCCCAATCCCTGGAACGGATTCTGCTCCCTGGTGGTGATGGGTATCCCTTGCTAGTGGCCTCTCATCGGAAACTGACCATTCAGGATGATTATGAGTCACAAAGCAGGGAGGCTAGGGTGGCCCCGGGGCGGGGTCCCGGACCCCCACCCTAAGGCGGAGTGACGCCCGCAGTCACTTCACAAGGCAAAAATTGTTACGGGGCAATAAAAGGCACAACAGCGGCCAATGTCTGGCAGTGGGCACATGGGGGTGCGGGGGTGTAGGTGCCAAGCGCCATGGCTTAGACCCGAGATTGGAGTCCGGCCGCCCCCCGACAGCAGCCGCCTCCTGCCCCCCGTGCGCCCTAGGCGCCACCATGTCGGGAGACAAACTTCTGAGCGAACTCGGTTATAAGCTGGGCCGCACAATTGGAGAGGGCAGCTACTCCAAGGTGAAGGTGGCCACATCCAAGAAGTACAAGGGTACCGTGGCCATCAAGGTGGTGGACCGGCGGCGAGCGCCCCCGGACTTCGTCAACAAGTTCCTGCCGCGAGAGCTGTCCATCCTGCGGGGCGTGCGACACCCGCACATCGTGCACGTCTTCGAGTTCATCGAGGTGTGCAACGGGAAACTGTACATCGTGATGGAAGCGGCCGCCACCGACCTGCTGCAAGCCGTGCAGCGCAACGGGCGCATCCCCGGAGTTCAGGCGCGCGACCTCTTTGCGCAGATCGCCGGCGCCGTGCGCTACCTGCACGATCATCACCTGGTGCACCGCGACCTCAAGTGCGAAAACGTGCTGCTGAGCCCGGACGAGCGCCGCGTCAAGCTCACCGACTTCGGCTTCGGCCGCCAGGCCCATGGCTACCCAGACCTGAGCACCACCTACTGCGGCTCAGCCGCCTACGCGTCACCCGAGGTGCTCCTGGGCATCCCCTACGACCCCAAGAAGTACGATGTGTGGAGCATGGGCGTCGTGCTCTACGTCATGGTCACCGGGTGCATGCCCTTCGACGACTCGGACATCGCCGGCCTGCCCCGGCGCCAGAAACGCGGCGTGCTCTATCCCGAAGGCCTCGAGCTGTCCGAGCGCTGCAAGGCCCTGATCGCCGAGCTGCTGCAGTTCAGCCCGTCCGCCAGGCCCTCCGCGGGCCAGGTAGCGCGCAACTGCTGGCTGCGCGCCGGGGACTCCGGCTAGAAGCCGGGTGGTTCCAGCCATTCCTGCAGCCAAGGGCACTGGGCCAGGGCGGCGCACGCGCAAGAGGCGCGCTTCGAGGGAATATGCGAAGCTGCCGCGTGCTGCTGCACATGCGCTTTTTCCCTTCCGCTTCCCTCCCTTTCTTCCCACGGGGGAGTCCGCAGTTGCCCTTGTTCGGAATCCACGTTCCCCGCGATCCCGGGAGCTGGAGGCGCATGCGCATCCGCGATTCCCTGCGACCAGGCCCCGAGAGGGCGAGACCAGAGGGGACGGAAGCATTGCGCCTGCGCGGAACTCTCAGCCTCTGCGCGGAGGGCGTCCCTTCCCAACCAGCCGTGGGTGCCAGGTTCCCGGTTGGAACCTGCAATAAACTCGCTGTTCCTCGCACCTGGCTCTAACGGTGGCCCCCATTTGCGGACTAGTGGAGAAGCGATCGCTCCATCCGGGGAAGGCAGGCGCGGGTACCCTATTTTAGAGTCACGCATGTTGAGGTTATTGCTCCAAGACTCAAAAGGGAGTCGGGAGGATTCGAGCCTGGACCTTTTGAGCTCCCCAGTATGGGCAAACTCAAAGGAGCTTTGTTGTCCCCGGGTCGTGATGTCGCTGTGATGATGGGCTGGGAAGCAAGTGGACCCCAGCGCCTCGCCGTCCACATCTTTTAAGAATGGAACAGCCAGGGGTGGGGCGAGGGTGGCCTGTCTCCACGTAAAGTAGGAGTTTATAGATAAGGAAACTGAGGCCCACATGGATGTCACTTGCCAAAAGGCAGAGCCAAGGGCCAGGCGCGGTGGCTCACGCCTGTAACCCCAACACTGCGAGTCCGAAGCGGGCAGATATCTTGAGGTCAGGAGTTCGAAAACAGCCTGGGCATCACAGCCGAGACCTCATCTCTTGTTTGTTTGTTTGTTTGTTTGTTTGTTTTTTGAGACAGAGTCTCGCTCTGTCGCCCAAGCTGGAGTGCAGTGGCACGATCTCGGCTCACTGCAACCTCCGCCTCCCGGGTTCAAGCGATTCTCCCGCCTTAGCCTCCCAAGTAGCTGGGACTACAGGCGCGTGTCCCCCCACCCGGCTAATTTTTGTATTTTTAGTAGAGACGGGGTTTCACCATCTTGGCCAGGCTGGTCTTGAACTCCTGACTTCGTGATCCACCCGCCTCGGCCTCTCAAAGTGTTGGGATTACAGGCGTGAGCCAACGCGCCCTGGACCCTGCCTCTTAAAAAAAAAAAAAAAAAAAAAAAAGGAAAAGAAAAAAGAAAGAAAAAGAAAAACCCCGGGCGCGGTGCTCACGCCTGTAATCCCAGCACTTCGGGAGGCCAAGGCGGGTGGATCACCTGAGGTCAGGAGTTCGAGACCAGCCTGGCCAATATAGTGAAACCCCGTCTCTACTAAAAATACAAAAAAAATTTAGCTGGGCACGGGGGCGGGCGCCTGTAATCTCAGCTACTCGGAGGCTGAGGCGGAAGAATCGCTTGAACCCGGGAGGGGGAGGTTGCAGTGAGCCGAGATCGTGTCACTGCAGTCCACCGTGGGCAACAAGAGCGAAACTCCGTCTCAAAAAACAAACAAAAAAGACACAGCTGTGATTTTTTTTTTTTTTTTTTTTTTTTTTTTTTAGGACAAGGTCTCTCTTTGTTGCCCAGGCTGGAGTGGCACGATCTTGGCTCACTGCAGTCTCTACCCGGGTTCAAGCAATTCTCATGCCTCTGCCTCCTGAGTAGCTGAGACTACAGGCGCAGGCAACCACGCCTGGCTAATTTTTTGTATTTTTAGTGGAGACAGGGTTTCACCATGTTGGCCAGGCTGGTCTCGAACTCCTGACCTCAGGCGATCCACCTGCCTCGACCTCCCCAAAGTGCTGGAGTTACAGGCATGAGCCACTTCACCCGGCTCACAGCTGTAATTTGAACCCAGATCTAGCAACAGTGACGTTGCGGGGGTGGGGGAAGCCCTCCCTGCTGTGGGTCCCTTTCCTCTCGGGAAGAGGGGGTGGGGGAGTCAGGGCGGGGCTGGGCGAGATTCAGCTGGACTCACTAGCTCGTTCCTTCCTCTGTTCCTTCATGTAGTCATGCATTTCTTGAGCACCTACTGTCTGCCAGGCCCCAGAGCTCATGGCGAAGAGACTTGGGCCCATCCCTGCCGAAAACGAGACAATTGAAAAGTCAAGTAAAATAAAAGAATGACATGGAAATAAAATAATTGTAAGTTGTGCTAAATGCCAGGTAGAGTTGGGAGGTGTTCAAGGAGGGACTCTGGGCAGGGCGTGGCAGCTCACGCCTATAATTCCAGAACTTTGGGAAGCTGAGGTGGGCGGATCGCTTGAGCCCAGGAGTTAAAGACCAATCTGGGCAACACAGCGAGACGGCCATCTGTACAAAAAATTTAAAAATTAGCCAGGCATGGTGGTGTGTCTCAGTTACTTGGGAGGGTGAGGTGGGAGAATCGCTTGGGCCTGGGAGTTCAAGGCTGCAGTGAGCTATGATCGTGCCACTGCACTCCAGCCTGGACCACAGAGTGAGACCCTGTCTCAGAAAAAAAAAAAAAAAAAAAAAGTCAAGGGACTCTGAAGGTAAGAGAAACAGTCCAGGTTGTTCCCCAGGAAGAGGGGAGCTGGCGTGTTTGAGTAAGGCCAGTAAGCTTATTTGCCTGGAATAAGGAGGGAGAGAGGGAAAGGAGATGGCAAGGTAAGGAGGAAATTGAGAGAGGACCCCACAGAGCCTGGGAGTGGTTCCCATTTGGGGTATATGGGGAAATGTATTAGGTATATTAGGAAATCCTAATCGTGCCTACCTGCATATGAGCCCTACATAGCTGCTCCTCTGGTGGGTCTCCCCATGCCCAGCCCCTGCTCACTCAGTCTCAATGGCTTTCTGGTGCCCTGGTGATGCAGTGCCAGCTCTATCTTCATCCCTCCAAATAGATACATGGCCCTGTCCCCTTCAGTTTTGCAGATGAGGAAACCGAGGCTAAAAGAGGGGCAGTGCCTAGCCTCCAGTCTTGGCTGGACCACATCAGAGTGGAGGTAGAAAACCCAGCTCCTGGGGCCGGGCATGGTGGCTCACACCTGTAATCCCAGCACTTTGGGAGGCGGATCACTTGAGGTCAGGCGTTTGAGACCAGCCTGGCTAACATGGTAAAACCCCATCTCTACTAAAAATACAAAATTTAGTCGGGCATGGGTGGCTTGCACCTGTAGTCCTAGCTACTGGGGAGCCTGAGTCAGGAGAATCACTTGAACCCGGAAAATGGAGGATGCAGTGAGCCAAGATCCCACCAATGCACTCCAGCCTGGGCAGCAGAGCAAGACTCTGCCTCAAAAGAAAAAATAAATAAATAAAATAAAACCTAGCCCCTAGCCCCTCTGGTTTATTCGAAGGGTGCTGCTCCTGACTGGGGCCATGCCTCAGACTCCCCACTTGGAAAATGGGCAAAACCCCATCCTTGGGGTAGTGGGCATGGCTTCAGAGTGGGCGTAGCTTGAGTACTGGGCCCAGGACCTTCCCTAGACTCCCACTGCACTTAGCTAAAACCCACGCCCTTGCCCCGTCTTCCCACCCAGTCCCACCACATTGCCCTTTTTGTTCTTGACCTGCCATGCTGGCTCCTATCTCCAAGCCTTTGCACACTCCTGGCACTTTTCCCCTCTTCAAGCCTTGCCTAAAATGTCACCCCATGCCCTCCTCTCAAGGTGCTATATGTTTCTGTCTGGATAGCTCCTGCCACATCTCCGGGGCCCAGGGCATAGTGCATGCCATCTGTCCACCGACGAATCTGTGGGAGCAGATGGGGTCAGGGTCTCTGCCTGCCATGTGGCCACAGACCCAAGGCTCAATTCAGAGAGGATGAGATGTCGGGGACAAGATGTCAGGGACGAGGGGAGTGTCCCATTTTCTCAGCTGGAGAGGCTATTTGAGACCATGACCCAGGACCCGCCCCTTGAATCTGCCCCAACTGCACTGACAAGCCTGTGCCCAATCCAGGGAAGCAGAGCCTCACGAGGAACCAAGAGCCAAGCCCAGGAGACAGCACCCCATAGGAATGTTTCTCAGGCCAAGCAAGAAATGCCTGTAGCAAGCCTCTGGCCCCAGCTACACGGTAGGCTGAGGTGGGAGGATCGCCTGAGCCTGGGCAACAGAGAGCCTCTAGGCACTCTAGCTTGGGCAACAGAGAGCCTATCTCAAAAAAAAAAAAAAAAAAAAGTGGCTGGGTGCAGTGGCTCACGCCTGTCATCCCAGTACTTTGGGAGGCTGAGACCGGTGGATCACATCAGGAGTTTGAGACCAGCCTGGCCAACACGTGAAACCCCATCTCTACTGAAAATTAACTGGGCGTGCTGGTGGCGGCACCTGTAATCCCAGCTACTCGGGAGGCTGAGGCAGAAGAATCGCTAGAACCTGGGAGGCGGAGGTTGCAATGAGCCAAGATCGCGCTACTGGACAGGCTGAGGTTCAGTTTCTACCATGTTCTCTACCAGCTCTGTGCCCATAAGACCAGGCACTTGGGAGTTGTGGGGAAGGTATGAGCTCCCAGGCCGGAGGCAAGGATGCTTCAAAGACAAGAAACGGCCAAGCGTGGTGACTCACACCTGTAATCCCAGCACTTTGGGAGGCCAAGGTGAGAGGACTGCTTGAGTCCAGGAGTTCAAGACCAGCCATGGGCAACATGGCAAAAATGTGTCTTTGCAAAAAATACGAAAATTAGCTGGGCATGGTGGTGCATGCCCATAGTCCCAGCTACTGAGGAGTCTGAGATGTGAGGATCACCTGAGCCTAGGGAGGTTGAGGCTGCAGTGAGCTGAGATCAAGCCACTGCATTCCAGCCTGGGCAACAGAGTGAGACCCTGCCTCAAATAAATAGCACCTAGGAAAACAGGGTCATGTTTTATGCACATTAAAATTCAGCAAAATGATCCCAGGTCTCACCTTAAGAATAAAACTTGAAACTATCAACACTTGAAAACATTTTTGCCAGGACGTCGTTCATTTTGGATCCAGGTTGGTGACTCTGTGCTTAGATTGCACATCTGTAATATCACATCCTGCAGCAAAGACACCATCGAGGCCCCCAGCCTGAAAATTGCTCCAGGAAAACCCACCACTCTAGCGTGAAGGCTGATGCAGCAAACACAAGCAAATTCCACTGAGAATTTTTTTTTTTTTTTGAGAAAGTCACGGTCTCTTACCCAGGCTATAGTGCAGTGGCGCAATCTTGGCTCACTGCAACCTCTGCCTCCCGGGTTCATGCGATTCTCCTGCCTCAGCCTCCCAAGTAGCTGGGGTACAGGCACCCACCACCACATCCGGCCAATTTTTGTATTTTTAGTAGAGATGGGGTTTCACCATGTTGGCCAGGCTGGTATCGAACTCCTGACCTCAGGTGATCCACCCACCTCAGCCTCTCAAAGTGCTGGGATTACAAATGTGAGCCACCAAACCCAGCCCCCACTGAGATTCTCATTCCTCTCTCCCAGCCCATGGGGTAAGTTTGCCACAAAGCTCCAGAGGAGAGGGGCCGTGGGGACTCCATCCCCACAGTAAGTGAGGCCCCAGCAGCAGATGCACCCCGCCCTTTGCTTCTCTCATTAACTAAGGGTCATCCTCCATCTCCCTCCAACCTGCCTGGGAAGCTAGGACGAAACAATACAGAGAAGCCAGGGCAGAAGGGACAAAAGAAAAGTCCAGTTGACACATCATCCATTTATTATCCTTCAGAGTCTAAAACTTCCTCGTGATACAACGTATAGCCACCCATTCCAGCCTGCTTATTGGAACTTCTATTCCCATCTGGTGGCAAACATTTCTTTTTACATTTGTTTTACTATCAAAGATTTAGAGTCACAATAAATACAAGTGACAGCCTCCACACCCAAAGAGCCTCCCCAATACCCTGCACTAGTGTAACCGTCTATTACACTTTAAGGATTATAAAATTGTTTGCTGTCCTTTTTTAAAAGCTCAGTCCAAGTTCTTTAGGTTAACGTCATGTGCAGCATAGCTCAGCATCAAAAACCCTACGGCAGAGCAGCAAGGATCATCCCTTCTGTGATGAGAATATTTGTATAGAGAAGTCTCTCCCCTGCCTCTACGTCCAATAGGAGAGCAGGAGCCACGGGGCCCAGCGGGGCTGCCACTGGGTTGCCTCATTCCCTCTGCCCTGAAGCTTTTGCTTCACCGAGGTCCGTGGAGTACAGGTAAGACCAGGCACAACTAGCACTGTGGGCTGTTCCACTCTGAGAAGGGCCGCTACAGACCTCGTCAGAGGGGTGGTTCCTGGTCACCGTAGAGTTCCTGGGATGAGGTCAGGACGGCCATAGCTGTGGGAGGTTCCAAGGGCACTTGGCCATTCCAAACCCTACCCCCAACCTCCCCTACAACAGGCGAGGTGTGAACTCTGAGATCTCCCCAGCCCTGTCTACAGAGCAGCTGACAGAGGGAACCGTTTCCAGGTGCTGTTGGAGGTTCATGTCACAGGTAACAGGGGACAGTTACAATCAGTTGGGCTGGGGGCTCCCACATTCTGACGGCTTGCAGGAACCTGATCCTGGTAGGGCTCTCGGGACCAGGACCCAGGCAGTGCCTGGTTTAAGAGGGTGTGCTTTGCTGTGGGTAGAACACCCTTAACATTAATCAATAGCTATCCTGGTGCGTCCAAACCCCACACCCAGAGAGGTACTTAATAATGCCTTCACCTGGAACATCATAAACGTCATAATACAACAACCCGCTTGGGGCTTATCGTAGAGGTTATGCTGCAAGGAACTGAAAGGAAATAATGGGCTAGAGTGTTCGAGACAGCAGAAATGAAGGAAAGATTAAGGCATCTCACACTTTTGCCCCCTGGGGGGAAAAAAAAAAAGTTTACATCACAGTATGTACGTTGTCCCTGATGGAATGCTCCCTGGGGACATGGGGCCGACCCTCTCCCTTTCGAGGGGCAGCAGTCCATATGAACTCACAAGGATGGGTTGACAGCCATCAGCCCTGGAGGAACAGCCAGGCCAGGCTGGGAGAGGTCAGGAGCTGGAGCTGGGGCTGGGGGCCGGCAGGTGCGGCTCGGATCTGGCCCCCTGGTCAGACCCAGCTGACCCAAGCTGGAGCAGGCAGAGGTGACTTCGGTCTGGATGCCTGATCCCCAGCCACTGCATAGAACTGAGGTTGGTTCGCTGGGGAGGGCTTTCAGTGGGAAGAAGCCAGCCTGGGTGCTCCTTCTGGGAGGAGCTGGAAGATCTGGCCCCTGTCATGGAACAGAGAGGGCTAACAGCTCAGGGTCGTAGGAGACAGGTATTTATTTGCCAGGCACACAGAAAAATGCGAGGAATAGAAATGCTTGCATACTCTTGATTTTTTTTTTTTTTTTTGGTGTAAAAAACACACCCTCCCCTCCCACCCCAAAAAACATCAAATTCCTTCCTTTTCCCCAAATCCCTGGATCTTGGAATGAAAGCCACCCTTCCCCAATCTGTCCTCACCTCCTTCAGCCCATCCAAGTTATGCACAAAAAAACAAAAATTAGTGAGAAATTTGGGGATTTGCACAACAAAAAATTAGATAATGTTTTCCAAAACTAGGTCTTCTATGCTGTGTCAAAAAAAGTTTCCTACAGACTGAGGATATTCACACGACAGGAGCCTGGGGGTTAAATGAGCCTTTATTAGAATGTTGTAGCAGTTGTGTTTGAAGGCGGTGGCCCTACAAAAAAAAAATTAAATTAAAGTCCCTAACTGCATGGGTAGGAAAACCAGGGCTGGAGCTCAATTGGAACCAGTGGAGCCCAGAACTCATGGAGACATACGTATGTACGTGGGCACGGGACGCCCTCGCACTGGCATGAAGCCGGCCCAGCCTGCAAGAGACACGGAACGGCTTCTGCCTTTCCTCACGGAACCAGTTTTTAAAGAGTGGGACGGGAAAGAAACAAAAATGAAACTAAAAGCAGACCTGATCCTTTTAAAAACATTTTTGTAGACTCTAAAGGGAATTACAAAAAAAAAAAAAGTCTGAAAGCAAATCCTGACAGCAACCCCTAGGTTTAAGGACAGGTTCTAAACTAGACCCAAACGGAAATCCTGACATCTGTGCGCAGCGGCTCGCCGCACACCTGGACGGCACCTCCTGACCTGCACACACCTGTGCACGCTCACCTCCCAGGAGCAAGGCCAGGGTGGCTTAAGATTGCGTCCATCGAAATGAATAGAAAAAAGGAAAAAATTTAATAAAATAAACCACAACAGAAAAACCCCGCGACAGTCCCCCCTCCAGCTTTCTGCTCAGGGCTGCTGCCGACCGGATCCTCTCCTTCTCCCTTAATGGGCAGCTTCTGGAATCCCTGCTTCTCTGGCTGGGTCTGTTCTTCAGTTTGTTCTTCTGCTAAGTCTGGAAGGTGCGGGGGCGGGGGTCTCCAGAACAAGCAGCAATGGAGGCGTTCAGCTGGAGCGAGGGCTGCCTCGGCCATCCCTGCATCTGTCAGTCAGTCACGGGGGCGGGCCGGCCGTCCCTGCCAGGGGCTGTGGCACCATGAGCCGCCCACCCTCCAGGGCACAGGGCCAGCGGGATGATGCAGCGTACAACAGGGACCCCAGGGTCTGCACGGTTTACTTTTAACTCCATCATCATGAGGTGATTAAAAAAAAAAAAAATCTTTCAACTTATAGATCGCCATGGGAAGGCAGTCAAAGACTGGGAGCCTAAGACAGGGAAAAGCAAAAAAATGAAACACCCCGCTCGGTTCAGAAGCCCCGGGCGCTGGCCTTGCCCATGCGCATCACAGTGTCCAGGGTGAGCCGCCCGTGTGCCGGCAGGGGCTGAACAAGGGGGCCAGGAGCAGAACCAGCCCCCAAGGTCCACTTTTCTGCTGGTGTCGGGCAAACTAAAGGCAAAGAGAGAAAGGAAGAAAGCCCACGGGAAAGGTCCCCCAGCGATGATCCTCGTCTGCCTATGAGGCGGCACCAGCCCCCTAGCCCTGATGAAACTTTGCAGCCAAGAATTGAGGTCTTGCCTCTGCAGCATGGCCGGTGCTTGCTCTTGGGGCGGGCACGGTGTCTTCCCGAGCCAGCGGAGGGTGGTGCAGTGGGTCCTTCTAGACCAGGGGCCAGGTGGGGGAGGAGGGAGCCCGTCTTCCACGGGGCCTGGCTCGCACTATTTCCACGTGGCTGACTGGGGGATGGAGCGGGGTGGGATCATGTCCAGGAGGTACTCTCGCTGGCGGTCCACGGCCGAGGAGCTCTTGTGCACCGCCAGGCTTGGGCTGACAAACGCAAGGGTCCCGCCTGCAACAGAACAGAGCGACCAGCTGAGAAGGCCCTCGTCAGGAGGGCTCCTGGGAGGAGCCCAGCCATAGCTGCCTAGACCCCAGCCCCAATACAGACTAAGGACCCAGGAGCCCTTGCAAACCCACCCACACTACTCCTCAATCAACGTTTCAAATCCCAGGCCCCCCCAGAGCTGAAGAGTATTTAGGCAGCAACTCAATGGCCTTGACATTGCCAGGCTCTGCCAAGGTAATCCCAAGTGTGGGGCAATCATCAGAGGGTGAGCAGCTACCTACGTTCTACAGAAATGAAGGTGCTGACCACGGTGCTGCTTAGAACAGTGGAAAACCATAAACAAATGTGTGCAACAGGACAATAATGCAGGATGGAATACTATGCAGCAATGAAAAACTATCTTAGCTGGGCACGGAGGCTCAGCCTAGAATCCCAGCACTTTGAGAGGCTGGGGGGTGGGAAGACTGCTTGAGGCCAGGAGATAGAGACCAGCCTGGGCAACATAGTGAGGCCCCATCTCTAAAAAAAATATCAGCTGGACATGGTGGCACATCCCTGTAGTCCCAGTTACTCCAGAGGCTGAGGTGGGAGGATTGCTTGGGCCTAGGAGATCCAGGCTGCAAGAGAGCTATGATCGCGCTACTGCATTCCAGCCTGGGCAACATAGCAAGAAGCTTCTCCAAAAGAAGAAAAAAAAAAAAAAAAAGGAAAAAAAAACTATCTCCTACCCTCAAGTGTTGTTGTTGTTGTTTACTGGTCTCAAACTCCAGGCCTCAAGCAATCCTCCTACCTCGGCCTGTCAAAGCACTGGGATTATAGGCACGAGCCACTGTGCCCAGCTCAAATTTTAATGCGTCCAGTAAGGGTCTCTCATTAACACACAAAGTAGCCAACGCAAGACACACATTTCCACAAAGGACCCTCAAGTGAAGGGGAGACACTGGGGAAAACCCTTAAATGTAATATTTGTTCACCTGGGGGAGGAAAATACAAGCCATTGCCACAGTCTTTTCTCTCTGTATTTTCCAAATTTCCATGATGGACAAATATCATTTTTATAATTGGAAAATAAATAAATGCCCCCACCCAGCACACGCAGAATTTTTGGCCAGAGTTGGAGGTAAGGGCTGCCCCAGACCCCTTGAGATGGGGTCTCACTCTTGCCAAGGCTGGAGTGCAGTGGCACAATCAGTGCTCACTGCAGCCTCAACCTCCCATGCTCAAGCGATCCTCCTCCCTCAGCCTCCTGGCTGAGTAGCTGGGACCACAGACACATGCCATGTGCTTGGCTAATTATTTTTTTGTAGACACAAGGTCTCACCATGTTGCCCAGGCTGGTCTCAAACTCCTAGGCTCAAGCAATCCTCCCATCTCGGCCTCACAAAGTGCTGGGATTACAGGTGAGAGCCAGCATGTCTGGCCCTAAGAGTATTTTTAGTGGTGGCTAATACATTTTGTGGAAAAAGCGTTCCCAGGTCAAATGTTCTTAGGAACCAACCCTGTGTGCAAGGGCAGCACTCCAGAAACCTGGCAACTGGGTCCTGCCAGGCGCTCTCTCAAAACCCCCGTGGTAACTCTTTTAGGAAATGGTGCTTTCAACTATTTATTTTCCCTCTAATCCTACCATCAGACACACAACTAGTGATGCCTTCATGCTCCCTTTCAAACTTTAAACACACACACACACACACACACACACACAGCTTCCAGATGACTTCCACCACCGTGCCCACATGCACACACTTATCGACTTCTACTTCTTTCTTATCCTTTCAAACTTCCCACAAGAGTAATTTCTGACCAGCCCGTGAGTCCTCAGCTGTCTTAAACCTGCTGAGCAGAACGTCTGGCTGGCTGGTTTGATGACAAACACACTCAACTGTCCAGGCTGCCTGGATTCCTCTGCAGCCGAACGTCTGCTGTTTCCTGAAGTGCCCCTGCAGAGCCTGGCACCTGGGCACGCCCCTCACTTAGGACAGCGGCAGGCTCAGCAGGCTCTCAGGCTCCCCCCACCACTCTGCCTGGGGCCTGTCTCATGATTGTCCTCTCCTACCTGCAGGGCCACAGGCTTCAGGGTGCATGTGGGACACTTTGCTTCCTCTCCCAGAGGGTGCCCATCTCCTTAACTTGGCCCTTCCTGACCACCTTTTCTTTCCCTATTTTTGACACAAGAAATATAACACTTTTGTTCTAATGTTAACACATACATGAAAAAATAAACAGGCCATCGGGACCATGCCAGGGACGGTGGGGCCGCACCTGACTCCGGAGAGCCCACTGGAGGACCTTCACCCCCACTGGTTGTTCTTCAAACACCGTCTCCGGCAAGGCCTCCACTACCTGCCCCGGGTGAGCCAGCCGCTGCCCTGGGCACACCCCCTGCCCCGCATTACTGTTCTACTTTGCACCACTCAGTGTGACCGCAGCATGGATGGCACAATGACAGAAAAAAGATGTTTGCTGCGGCACAAAGAGAAAAGGGGGACCCTGAGTGGGCAAGATAGGGGTGTGTGCTGACAAGAGTCCACATGGATGGCTGTGGGGGCACCCTCTGAGCCAGGCCTGGCCCATGTTTTGTCGGTCAAAGACTGAGCCTGGGTGCAGAGAGTGAGGGTGGTTACTATTTCCTATCTGCTCGGGGCTGTCACTTCTTCAGGGTATCCTGGTTAGGGGCAAGAGGGAAAGCCAGAGTCCGAGGAGGCTGAGCTTGGGAAGCGGGCCTGGGGGTTCACCCGCTGCACATGTGCCTCTGTTTCGGTTAAGGAAGGGTGAACCCCACAATGGGCAGGTCCCCTGGGGAGCCCTGTGGAGGTCACCCACCTGTGCTGAGGGGCGTCTTCTTCCAGTTGGAGGTGGCGCTGCCCTTGCCGGCGCTCACGGTTCTCTCAGAATGTCTGCCGGTCCTGCTGACCAGGGCTGTGGCCGAGGCTGAGTTCTGCAGTTTGGGTGACGGACTGAACGTGTGCAGGACACCTCGGGGCGTCGTGGCCGAACCCCGGGACAGCTGGCTGGAGGCCTGCAGTGGAGAAAGGGGGGTGACGGCTCATGCAGGGAAAAGACAGCAGCAGGCGAGACACTCAGCGCAGCCTCTCCTTGCTCTGGCTGACCTCTTCCCACCCACATGGGGTCCCTAAAGTCCAAAATCAGGAGACCAGGTAAGTTACACAGAGGGGTGGGGGAGGGGAGAGAGTGAAACAGAAACAGGGAGAGACAGACAGAAGAGGCAGCGTGACAGTCGGCGACTGACGTGGTCACGGGCTGCGGTGGGGGCGCGAGGCTCCCGGCGCCCAGTGCGGTTCTGACCTGTAGCACAGCCCCGTTACTCCAGTCGCGGGCCTCTCCTGAGCGGAACGCCAACTTACGCCGGGGTTTTATGACCTACACAAACGGGGGTTGAAAGCAAAGTCAGTGCGGTCCGCTGGCCGGCCCAGGGTGACCGAGGGTGAGCCCCACAGGACAGGCCCGTCCCCTGGGGACTTTAGGCGCCAAGTGGGGATCTTGAGAAAATGCGTTTAGTGAATTGCAAAGAACTTCCAAGAAAACAAAAATTGCCAAAAGGGAGCTTCGAGTCTACAAGAGGGTGGGAAGGAGAAGCATTAAAATAAAACAACACGAGAACAAAAAACTTGATTTCAAACTTGTTCCTCTCCAAATTTAGCAAGAACATTTTTCCAAACGCCCCTTTGGTATCTCAACGTGGCTTTCAGAAAAGACCTTGAAGACAAGCAGTACTTGTCAGCCGGCAGCCTGCAAGTGAGAGCTACAAAGTCTAAAGAAACTGCAAATTAGTGTTTTTGCCGCCCAACACCACCATTAACTGCAATTTAGACGTGCAGTTAACAATCAGGCGGTGCAGCGCAGGCGTGGGGTGGATCGCGGAACGGCCTCTGCCTCCTAGGGACGGCACTGCCGGCAGCAGGCCAGGCTCACCTGCTTCAGCACGGGGTGTGGGGCAGCGGTGGGCTCGGCCTTGGCCTGTGCAGGGGCCGTGCCCTGCTGCAGGAGCCGCTGCTCAATCTCCTGTTCCTGCTGCAGCGCCTTCACAAAGGCGGCCTTCAGCCGGCTGGTGTGCTCCACCTTGAGCGCCTTCTTCTGGTTGGTTGTCATGCAGTTCTCACACATGATGGCGCCGCTCTTCTCCTCCCGCCAGCGGCACGTGAAGTCCGTCTTGCACTGTGCACACATGTAGGGCTCCCGGGACAGCACAGTGGCGGCCGACATCCTGCCTGCTGCAAGCAGACAGCACATGGCTCACGTCAGAGGGCCAGGACGACAGTCAGGGCCCTGGCCGCCCCCAGCCCAGGATGCTGGAGTCTCAGTCGCCACAGTCTGTCCGTTCTGCAAATGCCTACTGGGCACCAATGACATGTGGACATGGGGCCGGCCAACGCCGAACAGCTTCAGAAAACGTCGGCCTCCTGTCCCACCCATCGCTGGACATGACACCACTGAGGACCAGCAGGGACCATGCCAAGCCCTGCCTCAGTGTGGTGGGCACCCTTGCTTGTGTACGAGTTAATAAGGGTGACAGGCAAGTCACCCAGCAAGTGCTTTGTGGGTGCTGAGGTACTCAGTTCATTCTTAGGACGGGGAACCCCCAAATGCGCCATGTCCTGATGAGGAAACTGAGGCCAAGAGAGACCAAGTGACCTGTAGATCACATTGTCACTCAGTGGCAGGGCAGGACTCACACCCGGGATAGGCCCCAGGCCTTGGGCTGCACCCACTGCACAAGGTGGGCAGCAGGCTACAGGGGCAGCAAGGGCTTGGTCCCCTTGTCTGGGGGACAGAATGCATAGTCTCCTTGGGGGCTGCAAGAGGTAGCTGGGGAAGTGTACATGAAGCATGTGCTCGGGCGTGAGGTCTGGGCGTATTTGTGCCGACCTTTTTTGTGTTCAGCACTTAGGGGCCTTAATTGCTCTTGGTCATCACAGACAATGTCAGAGGACTGCAGGGGCTGGGGGGTGGGGAGATGGATGTGGCGAGACTCTCGGCCTTCCCTCTCCTGCCTGGACTGGCCTGGCCCCTTCTAAGCCCCTGACCCATGAGACCGCCACCTGCAGCTTACATGCTCTGGTGACAACGGCACATCTCCTTGCACACGTCCAACCCATGGCCAGCGTGAGCGGCGCCAGAACCAGACATGGTGCGAGGCTGGGGGCTCTGGGAGGTGTCAGGAGATGCCTCCAGCAGGGCTCAAAGTCTCTCCCACAGTGAGGTCCTATCCTTGGCAACAGGAGAGGGAGACTGAGCCCTGATGAGGGAACGGCAGAGACAGACTGGTCTGGGAGAGCGGATGCCCGCACAGGCAGGGGCAAGGAGAGGCACTGGTCCCAACTCGGCCCCCAATCCTCATTTCCTACAGCAGCCCCAGGTGGCTCTTTTGCCGACATCACCTTGTCGAAAAGGAGGCACCAAAGGCACCAGCCGGGCTGTGTCAGAGCCTCACCTCCCCATAGCTCCCCCAGGTCCCTCCTGCAGCTGGGAGCTGGAGGCCATGCCCTTGGGGCACGCTGCAGTTAGTCTCGGTACCATCCTGTGGCCGGGAGTTACGAGAGCGACTGAGGGGCAAGGGAGTGGGTTACAAGCAACTCTACATTTGAGGGCCACTCTGAGGCTGCGCCAGGCCCAGCCCCACGCAAGTGTGGAGAGCTCTGCCTCTTGGGGACCCTGGGTGCAACCACATGGGGGCACCAGTTGATGCACCAAAGTACCCTAAGAGAGTGGGGAGAGCATCTTCCCAACCCCAGGTGCTGGGGGCACAGCTCGACCTGGCCCCCATGCCCTCCTCCCTCTGTATCCTGGGCAGTGCGCGGGAGGTGCTTCTCTGCACACACCCACCCCGCTGCTCCCAAGTCTGTGCTGGGAAGGCTCTGAGGCTGCCAGGCCCTGCCCCTGCCCTGGGCCCCTCACAGTCCTGCCGACTCCTCTGCTCTGAGAGTCTGATGCAGTCACCAGGAGAGGACTCAGCCTCCTGGCCTACTCGTGTCACCCCAACCTCAACCTGTGGGCAGAAACGTCCTTGGTCTCCATGTCTGGGGAGCAGGGGCTCCCTGGGGGCCAACTCGGCCACTCAGATCCACCCGCCCAGCCGTCTCCAATGCTGTGATCACCCCGTAGATGTCTTTTTATTCCTAAATCCCCCAGGACACAGTGCACTCCCACGCTGCCTGAAGAGGGTGATCATGCGAGCCTGCCCCTGGGCAGTGGGGTGGGCTGTCCCTCTCCCTCCTCAGAAGCTGGGAGCACTTGAGGCTCTGGAAGGTTCTGCCTGTGTGTCACAACTCCACATTGGCCTGAGAGCCCTTCGTGGAGGCCAACCCTGTCAGCCTCCCACAGATGTGCACCCTCACGTCTACCCCACCACACGCCAACGTCACGGAGGCCACTACTGCCCGTCCCCCTGGACCCTGAGCCTCTCGGGGCCTGGCTCTCAGAGGCCCCAACCGGAGGACAGTGTCCAGACTCCACAGTGGCACTGACGGTGTCCCTGCCAAGCCCACCCAGGACCATCCTGGCTAGGCAGCCCTGCCCCAGCCTCTGCTGTGTGTTGGAAAGAACCCACGGGGCAGCACCCTTGGAGGCCAGAGGCGGAAGCAGCCCGGCTGGGTCCAGGCCACTCACCTTGTGTCTCCAGTAGGTTCTGCACCACCTCCTCCAGGCCGACCAGGTAGATGAACTCGTTGTTGGCGGCGCTGGGCAGGAAGTTCATCTCTGGGGCTGGGGGCTTGGGTGGGGGGATCTCGAGTAGCGTCTTCTCCAGCTGTTTGCGCAGCGCCAGCTTGGCGGCCGCCTGTCGGCTTGCTGGAGACTCGGCAGAGGTGACCACAGAGGCCACACTAGTGGGGGTGGAGTTGGCCTGAGCGGAGGTGGCTGTTGTCCCCTTCAGTGATGCTGGGGTGGGCTTTGGGAGACAAAAACTCAGTCAGGGCGCTCCGTGCGCCTGCCCAGAGGAAGGCTCCCCAGCGCCCCGAAGCCCGAGGTCCTGTCAACTGCACTAACCAGTACCCTTGACGATGGCGTCCTTAACAAAAGTGAACCCAGCCATGATAACAGGCTCTCAGAAGCCAGGGCAGCAGGGAGAGGCGCGAGAAACACACCACCCTAGGTAGTGGCTGCTCATCTGCACATGTGCACCGAGGTTTACCAGATAAACCGCACACACTTAAAATCTATAGTTTGCTGTGCTCCGCCATGTGAATGTGAGGGCACCCATGTGGCTGTCACCAGGTTCTGGTGGTCACCACACTGCCCAGCAGGGCCACTGTCCTCTGGCTGTGGCCTGGCCTACTGCCTTCTCACAGGGTAAGAGGGTGCTCACCGCAGCACCCCCATGAGCCTCTCTGCATGTGCTCCCCTGGGATGCTAATGTTTGAGGTAGTCCCCGAGTCCTTATGGGGCGATGGGGGAAGCAGCTCCTAGGCCAACCTCTTCCCCTTGCCCTCCACCCAGTCCTCACCGCTCCAGTGCCACCTCACAGTCCTGCCTGGATCCCAGGAGCAGACCCTTGACTGTCTCCACCAGCCCCACAACTGCTGGATAGGGCTCTCCCTGAAACCCAGAACTGCCCACATGCCAATGTTATTGCTTTTAGGGGCTGAGGACCCCTCTGGAAATATGATGAAAGCTGTGCACCCCACCCCCAGAAAATGGACACACCCAATGACTTGCAAATGCCACACTGTGGGGCACAGGGTGTGCAGGATGCCTTCCCAGGGTCCCACCCCCCAAGAAAGGTTCCCAGAGACCGGCCTGCTGGTTTGTTGTCCCCTCAGCAACCAAGACCAAACCCAGGCCTCCCTCACCTCTGACCAGCCAGTTCCCCTCCTCCTTCCCCTCAGAGCCTCCCCCAGCCACGCTAGGAGCAGACCACCTTCTCTGCCACTGACTGCCTGTGCCCACCCTCAGGAAACAAAGACAAGAGAAAGGACTGGATAAAAGTTCACGGGTGGGCAGGATGTGGTGGCTCACGCCTGTAATCCCAGCACTTTGGGAGGCCAAGTCGGGCGGATCACTTAAGGTCAGGAGTTCAGGGCCAGCCTGGCCAACATGGTGTAACACTGTCTTGACTAAAAATACAATAACTAGCTGGGCATGGTGGCAGGCGCCTGTAGTCCCAGCTACTTGGGAGGCTGACGCAGGAGTATCTCCTGGGAGATGGAGGTTGCAGTGAGCCAAGATCATGCCACTGCACTCCAGCCTGGGTAACAGAGGGAGACTCTTGTCTCATAATAAAATAAAGATATTTGATCACACCACTGTACTCCATCCAGCCTGGGCAACAGAGCAAGACTGTCTCCAAAAAAGAAAAAAAGTCAACAGGTGTATGAAACTACCTGCCTGGGTCAGTCCAGGACTAGCCATCTTCTCTGCACTCGAACCTGACCTTCGAAAGCAGGCAGGGACACTGCCCAGAGCCTTGCTCTTGTCTGAGGAGGGTGGGCAAGAACAAACTGTGCCAAAGAGGGAAGAAAGAGCGAACACGCCCACCAACAAAAGCCCCTGCAGACCTGGTAATTTTATCTGTCAGCCAAGGCGCCTGTTTCCAGCCCACCCGCCCCTTGGTTCTGCTCTTCCCATCCTACTTCCAGTGGGTGGGGACAGACCCTCCCCATCTGAGAGGCTCTGTACAGAGGTGAAGGGACGTGCGGCTAAGAATAGGCGCACCTGGTGACATGAGAACATTTGCTGAGGAGGCAATCGGAAGAAGCCACTGCCGGGAGGGCGGCATGGGCTCCGGTGCCCCCCAAGGCATCTCCGGGCCCATCACCGGCCTCTCCTGGGCCTCGACTATCCCCCTAAACCTGCTGTGTGCCACATGCTGTTTCCTCAGCCATGGGGCTGGTAAGCAGACCCCACCTTCAGCTCAGGTCCGTGCATCGCCCCTCTCGTCAGCTGCCCACCTGTGCTGGATAGCAAGTCTGCCCACAAAACTTCTGCCCACGACCCAGACAGCCCTGTGGCCCCCAGGAGCTCAAGTCCAAGCCCCTGCCTGGCTCTGAAAGAGCAAGGCAGGTCATGCCACACAGCCCAGGGAAACACTACTGTGCCCCAGAACCTGGGTCCAAGGGGAGCAGTCACAGGTGGGACACACACTCTCCCTGGCACAGTGTGGCGCAGCCCTCACCTGTGGGATGTTGACGAGCAGGCTGGTGTTGGGAACATTGGCGACGCGGATGAGGCCCTGCTGGATGATCCTCTGTCCCTGAATCTGCACACTGGGCACCGACGCCCGGGGGGCCAGGAGGAGGGGCGGTGGCCCTGTGCTGGAATGTTGCCTAATGCTGTGGATTTGCTGTTGGGGTAGGGTGGGGAGAACAAGAAATCTGACTGAGATCAACAATGGAGCGGGACCGGAAGGCACAGGGCACCTTGCCCCCAAGGACTGGGAAGGGCCCTACTTTCAAGGTAGACGACTGCTGAGGCTGCCAGGTCTCCCCCATGTGCACAGCCCTGCTTACCTGAGCCCCCCTGACGAGTGGGGGCATGACGACCTGTGAGCTCGCCTGTGGCCCCAGCTTCGAGGACGCCTGCTGCCCACCTCGGACCAGGGGCGGGGGTATGACACTGCCGGGCATCCGAGCTGAAGAGGTCTGCCAACGATACCAAGACCCAGATTTACATGGACCGGACCCCCCCACACTTTTTTTAAAGCAAGCAGTTTTGCTGCTTTTATGAAAGTACATACTAGTTTTTTTTTTTTTTTTTTTTTAAGTAGCAGAGAAGTTAAAGAAAATTATGGATGGGCACAGTGGCACATGCCTGTAATCCCAGCACTTTGTGAGGCCGAGGTAGGCAGATCATGAGGTCAGAAGTTTGAGACCAGCCTGGCCAACGTGGTGAAACCCCATCTCTACTAAAAATACAAAAATTAGCCAGGCGTGGTGGCACGTGCCTGTAGTCCCAGCTACTCAGAAGGCTGAGGCAGGAGAATTGCTTGAACCTGGGAGGCGGAGGTTGCAGTGACCCAAGATCGCGCCACTGCACTCCAGCCTGGGCGACAGAGCAAGACTCCATCTCAAAAAGAAAAAAAGAAAAAAAGAAAAAAAAGCTGGCTGGGTGTGGTGGCTCACGCCTGTAATTCCAACACATTGGGAGGCCAAGGCGGGTGGATATCTTGAGCCCAGGGGTTTGAGAACAGCCTGGGTAACAGTGAAACCTCATCTCTACAAAAAATGGAAAAATTACCCAGGCATGGTGGTGTGTGCCTGTAATCCTGGCTACTTGGGAGGCTGAGGCAGGAGGATGGCTTAAGCCTAGAAGGCAGAGGCTACAGTCAGCTGAGATCGTGCCACTGCACTCCAGCCTGGGTAACAGAGCAAGACCCTGTCTCAAACAAACTAACAAGGCAAACGTATAACACAAAATTAAGAAAGATGACTACTGATTCTAGATACTGGAACAAGGAATAGTGACTCCACCCAGAGCCGTGCAAACCTGGGCTCACTCCTGAGTGAGTCCCACCAACGTGGCAGTTCATTCTCACGTGACACTGGCCGGCCCACGGCAGGATGGGCATGGTCACCCCCTAGAGCAAGCTGAGGGCTCAGGCCTGTTTGAGAGGGAGGGGCAGGAGGGCCTCTTCTGACCTCAGCCATATGGCTGGGAGAAAACCTCTGCCCCTCACCTGGAGGCCCTGGAAGGAGGCTCTCTGGCCGGAAGAGTCAACACGAAGGGAGATCAGGCTTGCTAGGGGCGCTCACTGGAAAGCCCCCTTCCAGTGTTGGCCATGATTTCTGTCTGTGACATTAACAGTGGCCTACTTTGGGCCGTGGGGCTTGGAAAGTGCACGTGTGCTTCTTCCCCTAGGCTGTGGGCTGGAGGGCCTCACTCCAGCCTACTCAGAAGGAAAGCGCAACCTCTTGCAGAACCTGGGCCAGGGCTGTTTGGGAGCCCGAGGAGCCTGTGCTTGACAGCAGCAGTGCCAGCAGGGCACCCAGTGAGACGCAGAAAGGACACTGACCTGGAGTGATGGCTTGCCAGCAGGAATGTTCTGAGTGCCCCGAACAAGCGGGGGAGGGGTGGTCACGGTGCTCCCAACAGAACCTGTGGGCTGCAAGAGAGCAGGACACCAGGAGGTGAGGGGCCACCGGGCCGGTCCCTCTCCTCACACGGAGTTGCCAAGATTTAATGCTGCCGAAGAGGACTGACTGTCTTCCTCCTCTACGGCATCAGGCGCTCAGAGGTTCTGCTTGAAGGCTGAAAGTGACCCCATCTGCAGTGGGAAGTGACAATTTCTACATGGGCCTAGAAGAGATTTTCCAGCAGCCCCACCCCCTACTCTCAGCATCACTTCTTGGCTGCTCCCTGACACCCACGCAGTATCCTGGCACCCGCTGTGCCCTCTAGGGGACAGAATGGCTGATGGTGGCAGCACTGCTGAGGCAAAGGACCCATGGCCCAGACAGGGAGATCTCAATCTCAGTGAGAAAACGGTGACTCTGGGCACTTTTTAAAGCTGCATGTTCCAGTAGAGAAGGGCCAGTGACAGACTTGGTGTCCCTCCATGAGTTTTCGACAAGTGACAAAGAAATAGAAAAAAGAAACCAGCAGGCTCTTTCCAATCCACTTGCTAACTAGGTAGGTGTAAGGTGGGGGGCGGGGAGGGGGCGCGGGGGCAGTGGGGGCAGGGTTTCAAAAAACAAACCCCAAGCCAGAGCAGAGAGAGTCCTGTCCTTCCTTCAGCTCCTGCTGCCCAGAACACACTTACTTTCTGGGTCACTGAGGCAATGACTAAAGTACTTGGAAGGTCGGAGTTTCCCAGAACAGAGCACTCAAAAAGCCTAACAAAATAAACTTAACCTCGCTGCCCATTAAGCTGCATCTAGAAGCAGCGCAACAGCGAGCTTCGGGCTCCAGGGAAGAAGAAACAGAAGCAGGACCCTCCCGACAGTTGGGGCTGAGATCCACGGGAGCTCAGCACACTTGCAGCTGGGAGGGGACTGAGACGCACACAGCAGGAGGGATGATGGTAGAGACTGGGGCATCCCCTGCGCCCACAGTGCAGGCGGCCTTTCTGCACAGAGTGCTTCACCCAGAAACATGCTTCCAGCGGCACCAGACATCTGTGCTCCACTTCCTTGACACCTGTTGTCTAAGTGAGCTTTAGGGCGGGCACAGTGGCTCACGCCTGTAATCCCAGCACTTTGGGAGGCCCGTGTGGGCGGATCACGAGGTCAAGAGATCCAGACCATCCTGGCCAATGTGGTGAAACCCCGTCTCCACTAAAAACACAAAAATTAGCTGGGTGTGGTGGCACGCGCCTGTAGTCCCAGCTACTCGGGAGGCTGAGGCGGGAGAATCACCTGAACCCAGGAGGCAGAGGTTGCAGTGAGCCAAGGTTGCGTCAATGCACTCCAGCCTGGCGACAGAGTGAGATTCCATCTCAAAAAAAAAAAAAAAAAAGTGAGCTTTAGACCCTCAGAACCAGAATACTCTAGACTGAAATTCACTTTAACATCTTGTAAGCTGAATCCAAAATGCACACTGGAGTCCACAAATGCGGGAGTGGGACCTTGCCCTATACTCCCTCAAGGAAGCCCTTTCACCTTTCTGGCCGCTGACATTGATGAGGGGATCAAGGCAAGGCCAGGCGCTCCTGCTGGCCCAGGAAGGAGGGGAGACAGGCACGCACCTTCTGGGCGGTGGCTTCCTTTTGTATTTGACTCTGCCGCAACTTTTTCAACAACACGAGTTTTGCTTCTTCTAACCTCAATTCTTCCTTCAGCTGCTTGATCATCCTTTCTCGTTCTTCAGGACTGCTTTTCTGCAGGGGCGAGAGGAACAGGGTTGAGAGGGAGCGTCCTTGGTGAGGAGCAGAGGCCCTGCCATCACTAGCTCCACCTGAGGGTGTCATGAGTAGGAAGGGCACAGTGGGGCTCCGGCGGCAGCGCCAACACGTGGCTCACCATGAGGGCCTCGGTGCTAGTCTCCTTCAAGGCCACCGTGGTCAGCCCATTCACTCTCGGGCTCGAGGGCTGCTCGTTGTCGGAGAGCACAATCACGTCAGGTGAGGGGGGTCTCCTCTCGGACTTCATGTCACTGTGGGGTGGAGACAGTAGTGACCAGAGCGCCCTTGACAGCTGGACCCAGTGCCCACCCCTGTGGACACATGGCAGGGAGCTGAGACCTCCCCGTCTGTTCCCTGTCTGCCCTGCATCCTCCACATCCCCTGCCCTGCCCCATGGCTCCCAGGCTGCCTCCTTCTTCTTACCCACACGTCATAGGGCACCCAATCCCAGTGCCCAGGTGGGCACCCTGATGGTAGGGACTTCATGCCTGCCGCCATGTCGCCAGGGCTGAGGGTGCGTATGCCCCTGAGCATGACATGGTGACTTTGGAAAACATGGCTGCTCCCTCTACCGTGTGCCTCGGATCAGGTAAACACTCGGCTCGGGATCCTGGGGCCCTGCTCAGTGTTAGCCATTGTGGGGGCTTGAGCATGCTGGGTCTGATGGCATGTGTGTGCCTCGCCACCAGCCCGCAGCCCCTGGCCATGGTGGAAACCCCTTGAAGGGGAGCCCAGCTCCCTGCGTGAACCAGATTTTCTTCTCTCCACTCAGGCAGGCCAAAGCCCTCACACCTGGCAGCCAACCTGTCCCCAGAAGACCGAGGGGTGTATCCACAGGCTGCCAGCTTGCTCACAAGGTGGCACCAGGTGCTAGATGGCCCTTCTTGGGCCCCACATGGCGGCAGTGGCTGTCTGTTTTGAAACTGACTAGGACACAAGTTCTCTCAAAGACCAGAGACTCTTCACCTGCCTGATCTACTCATGGACTGGTTTCTGGCTGGCTGCCTCCAGCCCCACGTGGATGCCAAGGTCATTCTGCCTGTTACCCTGCTGCCCACTCCGTAAGTCCCAGCTCAAAACTGCAACATGAGACAGTTCTCATGATTCCAGCCCCCACACCTTTTTCTTTCTAATGAATTTGCCACGGTCTGGGGAGCTCACTTCCACCTGTGAACTTGACCTAAGGCCTGTTCCTCCCCTTTTCACCGTCGGCCCACGGCATCTCACTACCAGTTGGGAAGCACCAGGGGACAATCGGGGAAGTACTTGCAGGCTTTCCTCTTTTGTTATTTTGTCAAAGTATGGTCACAAACGTCTAAGAGTGTGGCTGATGAGCTGCTGTTATTCATCAGAACTGGGAAACAGTGAATATCCATTCTGTGCTAACTGCAGGCCAGGCTCCGAGACAAGTGCTCAAGGCACCCCAAGTCATTTGACCCAGGCAGGAACACACTAGTCTGATTTTCCCTTTCCTGTGAACGATCCTCTAGGATGTATGTGTACAGCTGACACTACTGAAGGCGCAAGGCTGAACACCTGCTGTGGTGTCGCTGACCCAACGCAAGTCCCAAAGATGGCACTTTGTCCCCAACCAAGCAGCTCCATTTGCTGACGGCACAAGGCAAACTGTCCCTGATGATCTGGGTTCATTGTATTCTCTTTCTTCTTTTTTGAGATGGAGTCTTGCTCTGTCGCCCAGGCTGGAGTGCCGTAGTGCAATCTCGGCTCACTGCAACCTCCACCTCCCCGGTTCAGGTGATTCTCCTGCCTCAGCCTCCTGAGTAGCTGGATTACAGGCATGCACCATCATGCCGGGCTAATTTTTTTTTTGTATTTTTGTACAGACAGGGTTTCACCATGCTGGCCAGGGTGGTCTTGAACTCCTGACCTCAGATGATCCGCCCGCCTCGGCCTCATTGTACATTCATCGAAGTGAATCAAGTCCATTTTTTTTGTCAGCAGGAAAACCAGCCAAGGACAGACACGTCCTCTAGGTGGCACTGTGACCCAGAGAACAAACTCGGACAAAGTTAACTGGTTGCCGCAGCTCAAAGTTGTCCTGGCTCTTGCTGTGCCAGGGTCTAGTTGATAATTAGACCCCGGCAGGGTTGAGGAGAGTCGCTAGGATGAAGAACCTGACTCTGCTCTAGCAGCCCTCGGGACCTCTGAGGTCCCCTCCACACCCATGAGCTGCGTCCTCAGGGAAGGGTAGACACAGAGCACCAGAGGTTAAGGCTTCACCAATGCTACCCTGGACTCGCCAGATGCTGGACTCAGGAACCGCTTTACTTGCTCTCCTCTGGTCCCTCCTAATTCCACCCACCACAGCTACGTGGTGGCTGTACCTGAACGCTGGTCCTAGCCCTGATGAAGCAGCTTCT
This sequence comes from Homo sapiens, assembly GCF_000001405.40. Taxonomy (NCBI): domain Eukaryota; kingdom Metazoa; phylum Chordata; class Mammalia; order Primates; family Hominidae; genus Homo; species Homo sapiens. The sequence continues at coordinate 19,490,175 of NC_000019.10, read as the reverse complement.
CACCAGAGACCTGGGCGTGGACAGAAAGGTACGATTTCGAAGTATACAATCCCCCAGGCAAGGGGTTATCAGCCCACATTCTGAAGCCCAGAACCGGGTAGTTTGTTTCTAAAGTAACCCAGGACACCTCACTCAGGTCTTAGCAAACCGCCAGCATGTCTCTCCTTGCTGCCGGCCCCATGCCGCCCAAGATCGACTTTCAAGGTGACCTCAGGGCTCTAATTCCAGGTTCCCTGGACGTGTACACACACTGAGCACCTCAGAGGCAGGCAGTCCCAAGGCTTCAGCACAGAGGTGCAGCAGCTGGCCTCCACCCAGGTGGCCTCCAAAGTGAACAGGGGAGCAGGGGGCCAAGGCAGCATCTTGTATAGAGTTACAGACACAATTCCTGGGCTAGCATGAGCTGAAATGAAATGACAGCCAAGCTCTAAGGGACTTAACCCTTCTTATCATCTTATTGAGGGCGTGTGCTTCTTCCAGAGGTGAGATGTCTAATAAAATTCAAACCTGCCTGAAGGAAGAGGGTAGGCGAGGGGTCCAGACCACCTAGCAGCTGAAGCTGCCTGAGAGGGCTGCTCTGCCCACAGCGCTCCCTGGCCCCATCTTGGCCTGCGACTAATCAATAACTCATCCAAGAGATGATGTCACCACCCATCAATGATCACTCAGCATCCCAGCAGCCAGCAGGGAGTGAACTTCCTGTATGCTAATCAGGCCACCAAAAAGTCATGTGACAAAGGCATTTCCCTCCTTGGTCACATGACCCTTTAACTGTGCCTTCCAACGTGAAAACCATGGCAACGGCCAGTTCCAACCGGTTTGTGACACGCAGCCTTCATTTTGAGAAGGGAGGTAAAGGTTCAGGTACTGTCAGAAAATGGAGGCGCCAGGCTCACCCCAGGGCTGTGGAGCTGCAGGCACTTCCTGTGTGGCGCCAGCCCACAGGGGACTGTTGCTGCACCACAGGCTCCAGTCACCTCTACATACACCGCACACAGCAGGGTCACTGGCCCCTCTAAGTTTCTAAAATGAAAAACTTTGTTAAGCTCACTTTTTAAAGGAGAGAGGCTTTAAGAGTCTCAGTACTTTCTAAAAGAGATCTTTAATTCAGGAAAAAGAGCATGTGGCTCAAAATGATTGCAGGCATTATTTCAGGGAAATATTTAATTATAAAAACTGTCTAAAGTAAACAAAACCAGTGGAAATCTAGCCCAACATGCTGAGAGGGATGGCATCGTGGCCCAGGGACAGCGTCTGCCATTCACTCCACAGCAGCCGTCCCGGGCACCAAGTTTATTTGGAAGTGATGTGATAGTTCAGGACAAATCCCATAAGCCCGTCCTGCCCATCTTGAGAAGCCTTAATGTAAAACGTAGTGATCAAGAGATTTTATGTGACCTACAAAAATCCCTGGAAGCAGGCCAGGCTGTTATCAGCGTAAATGGTCTCACCCGCTCGCTGACACGCACCACCCCCACTCCCTGACCCGCTGGCACTGGCCCTGACCTCACAAGCACAGAAATTCTGTTACCTGCCAGGAACTTCCATAGAATTTCCTGGAGGAGAGGCCGGGATTATAAACTTAAATTGAGACACGATCCCACTTCCACAGCAAAAGGTTATGGCTTTCAGCTGCTCAGCAACCAGCGGCCAGTACGTGGTTAATATTTAGTGTCCCCTCAGCCAGTGCCGGGAAGGAGCTGTCCTTGGAGGCTGGGACCTTTGTGGTTCTCTGAACAGGCCTGCCTGGTATGCAGGAAAGACATACCCCTCTCCCTCATTCATTCATTCATTCATTCCTTACATCTGCTGAGAGCTCATTTAAAAAGCAGGTGCTATAGCAGGCAGTGGGGAGGAACCCCTGGATAAAAGGAATTTCTGTCCTTAGGGTTCAGTCTACCAGGATGGACAGACACAACAGGGGAGCGGCAGGTGGGGGCAAGGCTGTAGGTGGGCTTGGGGCTGGCCCCGTGAATGTCTGACCACCGCTGTCACCGCCATAGCAGCAGGGCAGCTTCTCCGGAACTTGTATAAATGAAGCGTGTCCTCCTTGCCCCAGACCTGCTTGATCAAAGTCTGTATTTCAGCAAGATCCCCCAAGTCTTGCACACACTAGGGAAGTTAGGGATGACCATGACCTGTAGCTCGTGAGGCCTCGGTACAAGAAATCCTCCTCCAGGCTGGCTTGGGGAGACAGGCAGGGCCCAGCAATGCCTTCTCCAGCCACAGAACCATTTCCCACTAGAACCTTTCCTCCTCACCTCTTTCAGGCCTAGCAGGGTGGGCTGCTGGCTGTGTGCAAGGGTGGGATGAGGGCTCTGCTAGAGCCAACACCAGCCCTGCCAGCTCACTTGTCCCTTGTGCAAACACTCATCTTGGGCTCACCAGGCCCTACCTGACATGAACCAAGCTGTTAACATCCCCCGCCCTCCTGGGGCCTGGCCCACAGACATGGCCCAGCATGGCCATGTTCTGCCTGCAGAACATCCCTCTTCAACATGCCTCAGGAAGCCTGCCCGGCCCTGTCCCCTTGCCTCGGGGTGAAGGTCATGGCAGAACTCGGGGTTCCACTCGGGGGAGTGCAGGTCTGAGCAGAAACCCCCCAGAGCTTCCCAAGAAGGGCTGGCTGGTGGGTCTGTGTTCCTTAGCCACCCCCAGCCCAGTGACTGGCCCACCCACCCTCGGCCCAGCAAGCCCATCTAAGTGCCTTTGGCTCCCTGCACGGCACCCCACCCCACCCCCCTATGAAGATGAGCCCTCCCTCCCCCTGCCTTGCAGGGTGACATGTCAGCACCTGTCTGACAAGCAGGTTCCTGCACCCTGAGCTGGGGGCCATCACGACCTCCTTCAGGTGGGTGTGGCACCGGCACAGCACCCAGGGACCTATGGCCCCACTCTGTGGCACAGCCTCAGCTCCCAACAAGGGACAAGGTGTTCCCAGGACCAGATGAACAAAGGGCAAGGGGGTATCCAGCCCTGGGGTGATACCACAGCCCCAGAGAAGGGGGCAAGCCCCCATGTCCTCAGAGCCAGGAATCTCCTCCTAAGTCTATGATGGCTGGGGATGGGGGAGAGGCTGGCTGAGCCTGTCATGTGAGGGTGCTGAGCCCTGAGCCCGCATGCTCCTGTGGAGTAGCTCCTTTAGCAAGCTGAGGCCTGGAGCTCACTGGCCACCCTTGCCCAGCCTTGGACTTCAAACGACTGCCGGCAAGTCAGGCTGTGGAGAGAGCCCTCACCCAGTGAGCTAGAAGACACCTGGGTCTCACTTGATTCTGCCTCTTGCAAGTGACACTTCCCTCTCCATGGCTCCTGCATGGCAGGGCAGAGGAATCCCTGTCCCGCAGCCTCTCAGGGCTGCCTGGTGAGGTGAGACTTCAGTGCTGAGGAGGCTCGGGCACCTTAGACAGCCGGCTGGCTGCAGGGGGATCAGGCAGCCCTGCTGATCTGAAAGTGCTCAGCTCAGGCCTCGGGAACAGTGACCTTCCTGAGAGCACTCATAGCCACCCTGCATGCCCCTAGAATGGAGAGAGAGGTTTGCCCCGACAGCCTGCGTCCCCTGCACCAGGTCCCATTCCCACCTCGGAGAAGGAAATGGAGTTGTTTGCCGGGAGCTGCCCCAAGGCTGTCATTTGGTGGGGCGGGAGCATCCTGCTGTCAGATCACATGCTGCCTCTTCAGAGCCAGCCGCCCACATCCAGCAGCCCCCAAAACCCAGATGGCAGCAGCACCACGGCCTCCAGAGGCAAGATGGATGCTCTGACAGGATGCAACCTTGAAGGGGATAGGAGCATGCAGGAGTGATTTTCTTTTGGATTGTCGGGCCTTAGAAGACAGTACTTCCTGGGGTCCCCAACACTGGGAAGATAAGGGCAGCAAACAGGCCGCCCGTGCCTTCGCCTTGCAGCTCCCAGATGGAAGCAATGGCAAACCTGAAACATCTGCCTGACCTGACAGCTTTCTGAGGAAAGAGTGGGAGCCCATTACAGAGCAGACAATCTCAGTAAACAGGTCCTGAAATGTGACACCTGAACATTCACAAACCCCCCAAGGGCAGACTGGGTCTGCTGGGGGCCTGGCAAGGCTGGGGAGCGCCCACTTCCTCCTCTTGCCTTGATGGAGGTTCCAGGGTTGGGGCTGTGAGTTCAGGAGGAACCAGCGCCACGGACTGATGGACCCCCTTGCACGGTGGGCAGCTGCTTCCCTCGTGCACATAGATGTTGTGCTGCTGGAGGAAAGGGAAACTCACTCACAAGGATTTCTGAATTGTGTGTCATCGTGCGTCTTTGTAAAGCAACAGACCCTGGAAGCCAAATTCCTATTTTTTGAGTCCAAGCGCTTTTGTGGATATGAAGAAGGAGCCCTAATACTCATGGCTGACAAACCCTGTACACCAGACCAAACTCTGCAAGGCCCCCGGCCCATCTCTGCAGTCCTGAGGAGGCCGGAGGCTCTGGCTGCATCTACTCATAGCCCCCGTAGTACTTGACCTGGGCTGGTTTTATGGCTCAATTCCCAAACTACAGAATGCAGAGGAAGTGACGTGGCAGCCTTTTCAGGTGAGGTCACAGAAGCCTTGCAGCTTCTGCCTGAGCCCTCGGAATGCTTGCTCTAGGAGAGCTGAGGTCTGACTGCCCCAAACCACCACGGGATCAGAGGCCCACACTAGCCCCCGCTATAGTGGGGGAGATGGAGACAGGCACAGAGACTGGTCCAGCCAGTCCCAGCTGTTTTGGCCATCACATGTGAGTGATGAAACCACTGGGGACACCCAGCCCAGCTGACATGCAACTGCAAAGACCAGAGGGCCCCAGCAACAGTGCCCAGCTGGGCGGGACCAGCCAACCAGCAGAACTGACAGACTGAAAAACGTCAATACCTCGCTGCTTTAAACCACTAAGCTAATGGAGCCAATGGCCCAGGCTGGCCCCTGGGGAGCTAACCCATATCACTGTAACTCCACTTCCTCCCTCAGATGCTACCCTGGGACAAAGCAGGGAAAGAGAAGGGGGAAAGAAAGGGTTTACCCAAGTAACTACCCACTGAGCCTTAAAGCACCCCCTGACAGAGGGACCAACAGCAGCCTGCACAGAGGCCCCCCAGACAGGTGCAGACTCAAGATGAGAACAGCTCTAGGAAGGTCATGTGGGAGACCAGAGCTGCCCAACAATGAAAGGGGCTGAAGAGGGTCCCATGGAAAAGGAGGAGGCAGTCTGCAGGCTGGGAGGCACCCCAGCTTCAGGCAGCACCTGGAGTGAAGTGAGTCAAGCCAGAAAGCAATTCCTCATGCTTCATCCAGTCTCTCTACCTGCCTTCAAGAAACACTCCTAGAAAAATCCTATGACAGGCTGGGCGCGGTGGCTCACGCCTGTAATCCCAGCACTTTGGGAGGCCGAGGTGGGCGGATCACGAGGTCACGAGATAGAGACCATCCTGGCTAACACAGTGAAACCTCGTCTCTACTAAAAATACAAAAAATTAGCCAGGCGAGGTGGCGGGCGCCTGTAGTCCCAGCTACTCGGGAGGCTGAGGCAGGAGAATGGCATGAACCCCGGGGGGCAGAGCCTGCAGGGAGCCGAGATCGTGCCACTGCGCACTCCAGCCTGGGCGACAGCCAGACTCCGTCTCAAAAAAAAAAAAAAAAAAGAAAAAAAAAAAAAGAAAAAGAAAAATCCTGTGACAGAGAAAAAGGACACAGTTATCAGTTCCCCAAGTTAGTCCTACCACTGAGCAACTTCTTTTTTTAGAGACAGGGTCTCACTCTTGTCAGGCTGGAGTGCAATGGTGTGATCATAGTTCAATGTAGCCTGGAACTCCTGGGCTCCAGTGATCCTCCCATCTTAGCCTCCCAAGCTGCTGGGACCACAGGGAAACACTACCACACCTGGCTAATTTTTTTCAATTTTCAATTTTTGATATTGAGACAGGGTCTCTCACTCTGTTGCCTACGCTGGAGCACAGTGGCACGATCATGGCTCACTGCATTTTTAAAGTTTTTGTACAGGTGGGGTCTCGCTGTGTTGCCCAGGCCAGTCCGGGCAATATCTTGTGTGTCAGGCCCCTGTGTAGTGGGTGTGCTGACATACAATTCTGGCAGCATTCACTGCAACCTGGACGTGGGGGCTGCTCACTGGGACCCCACGCAGTCCTCCCTCCTTTCCCAAGGGGTGGTGTTCACTCAGAGACACTCAGCTGATAGAAAGAGAGCTCTGTTGTCTAGACACAGGCTGTGCCCCAAAACTGAGGAACTAGGCCGGGTGTGGTGGCTAACACCTGTAATTCCAGCACTTTGGGAGGCCGAGGCGGGCGGATCACGAGGTCAAGAGATCGAGACCATCCTGGCTAACATGGTGAAACCCCATCTCTACTAAAAATACAAAAAAAAAAAAAAAAAAAATTAGCCGGGTATGGTGGCGGGCACCTGTAGTCCCAGCTACTCGGGAGGCTGAGGCAGCAGAATGGCGTGAACCCGGGAGGTGGAGTTTGCAGTGAGCCGAGATTGTGCCACTGCACTCCATGCTGGATGACAGACCGAGACTCAGTCTCCAAAAAAAAAACACTGAAGAACTCCTGGGGGTTGTCTGGTGTCCTCCCGAGTCACCCCGCTCCCCATGCCCTGAGGCCCACCTGCTTCTCGCCAGCCGCAGCCCCTCTGCGGTTCCCTCAACTCCCTTCTTAGCATCCATCACACTTCTCCCGCCATGTAACTTGAGCTCCTCTTGGCTGGGATGTGAGAGAAAAGCCCAGAGCCTGCTTTGTGGGGCCCAGGAAGACAGAACACATTCTGCTTCTCTGCCTCAGAGGCCGTGGAGGTGAGCAGCTGGGATGGGATTTTTGAAACTCAGCCATCATTCTTCCTGGAGACTTCAGGTCCAACGACCGCTCTGGGAATCCATTATGGTGAGCACTGCCACAGTGCTGGCTAAAGAGCTCAGGAAAAAGAGAGAGAGTCTGTGTGGCTGGCCCAGACCTCTGAGCCCATCCCTGCCTGCTCTCCTTTCCCCAGTACAGAAGGGAGCAGTCCCAGGTCCCCAGCTAGAGCAGAGGAGCCCCATGCAGTGCCCGCCCCCAGCATCAGCACAGCCAGGGGGCGGCCAGCCGGCGCTGCCAGAACGCCTTCTAGGAACGCAACAGCCCCTGAAGTCAAAGGGCCCAGCCAGGGAGGCCCAGAGGACCTCACTGTGACAGGGGCCAGTCTCGGGGGCGTGCAGAATAGCTTGGCTGAGGGTAGTAGAGACAAGCCTAGGAGACCTTAGTACCATGCTCATGTGGGCCAGCAGCCTCTACCCGCCCACAGAGGCCACTGCAGCCCAATCTTGTCAGCAGCTGACACCATGGGGGAGGCCACATCAAATCCAGCACGTTCTGCTTAGAAATACAGGAAGACACATGCATTAGAAATGACTACAATCGAAGAAATGAAAGGCTAACTTTTCAGGTTTCAAAAACCCAGTAAACACCTGCTGAGCCTTTATGATGGCCATTCCTAGGCCAACCACCAAAATTCACCCTTCCACATAATCCTCTCCACAGCTCCATCATTACCCCCAGTTCCCAGTACAGGGAACAATCTTAAGGGAGGGCCACATGACTTCCTAAGGTCACACACCAGGACCTGCAGACAACCTGGGCTCCTACAGCACCTGAGCTCCTGTGTGGACCCCTCACTGTGCCAGGACCCTGGGGGAACCCTAAAGAGGAGGTGTGGGGTTAGAGAGGATAGGCCCCATGTGACTGGCAGCTGCTAATTCAGGTCATCAAATATCTTTATTTGGAGACAAGCGTCTCCCTCTATTGCCCAGGATGGAGTGCAGTGGCGCGATCTTGGCTCACTGCAAACTCTGCCTCCCAGGTTCAAGTGATTCTCCGGCCTCAGTCTCTCCAGTAACTGGGACTACAGGCGCCCACTACCACACCTGGCTAATTTTTGTATTTTTAGTAGAGACAGGGTTTCACCACGTTGGTCAGGCTGGTCTCAAACTCCTGGGCTCAAGTGATCTGCCCACCTCGGCCTCCCAAAGTGCTGAGATACAGGCATGAGCCACCGCGCTCGGTCATATTTTATTTTTTTTGAGACAGGGTCTCATTCTGTAAACCAGGCTGGAGTGCAATGGTACAATCACAGCTCACTACAGCCTCGACTTCCTGGGCTCAAGCGATCCTCCCACCTCAGCCTCCTGAGTAGCTGGGACTACAGGCACGAGCCACCACACCCAGCGAATTAATTTGTTATTTATTGGTAGATATGGGAACTACTATGTATTGCCCAGGCTTGGTCTTGAACTTCTTGGGATCAGGTGATCCTTCCACCTCAGCCTCCCAAAGTGCTGTAACAGGCGTGAGCCACTGAGCCCCACTATGTCATTTTTGGAATAGTGAACCTTTATTTATGGCTGAAGGATCCTGGACAGCCAGTAGCATCCACAAGCTAAGTCCCTGAGGTGTGAAGGAGGAGGCAGTGTGAGGACACAGATGTGGCCCTCGGACTCTATCAAGAAATGATAACTTACCCAAATCACAAGACAAGTCAGGGGATGGTCAGAAACAAAATATGGCCAGGTGCGATGGTTCATGCCTGCAATCCCAGCGCTTTGGGAGGCTGAGGTGAGAGGATGACCTGAGCTTTGGAGTTCAAGACCAGCCTGGGCAACACAGTGAGACCCTGTCTCTAAAAAAATTAAAAAGCTGGGCATGGTGGCAAGCACCTGTAGTCCCAGCTACTCAAGAGACTGAGGCAGAAGGATCACTTGAGCCCAGGAGCTGGAGGCTACAGTGAGCTATGACTGTACCACTGCATTCCAGTTTGGGAGACAGAGCAAGACCCTGTCTTTTAAAAAAGGAAAGAAACAAACCTCAGAGGTGGTGGACACTCACACTGCAAGTGGGCCAAAGCCTGCTGGAAGGGGTAGGATGGTTGTGGAGCTCAGGAATCCAGGCTCCTGAGGGCCTGGTGTGGGGAGAGTAAAGGACAAAGAGGAGGAGAAACCCTGGCCACTGATCGCAGCACCCCTCCTGATGCTGGTCCCTACACCCATGCTAGGCCCACTTTCCTCCAGGGAGAAAACATGGTGAGAACTCCTCAAGCAGGGTGGAGGAAGGACTCCCTACAGCAAATGAACTGAAGGCATCTCCTGGGAGAGATGCCAGCTTCCTCGCCAATACACAGGGAGAGAGAAGTCACCTGTGTGCATGAAAGCCACAAACATGAAACACACACTGCTTCTGAAACGACCACAAACTTTCTCAATGAATGGAAAGTGCTCGCTGTGCCTGGAAACCTCCTGCCCCTCTTTTAAACATCTGCATCACAAGTGGCTGGATCCCCATCACTTGCACCTGTCCCCCTAGCCAGCTAGGTACACCCACAACCCAATCAGACCTGCTCCAGTTGCTCAGTGCAGAATGGCCACAAGTGACCCACGAGGACCACTGAGGGGGCTGGGTGCACCTCTGCAGGTGTTGGGGCGACTGGCCCATTCACCAAACCTCAATGAGGCCAAGTTTCTTCATCTGCAGAAGGGGACGCCACTCACCTCGGGGGGCAGTCATGAAATGCGATTAAACGTCAACCTCTGAGTAGTGTCTCTGTGGTATCCCATGACAAAGTACGACAGGAAGAAGCCCTCCTGCTGCATACTGCAGTGGAATGGCGCCATGAAGAGAAACGCTCGCGTGAGCATTCATGCAAAGCCTGGTGCTTCATGAAAAACACCCAAGGGTATCTGGTACCAGTGATAAAGTACGAGCTTCCATTAATCAAAAATCAGAATTTTGGAAAACTTATATTTGCTACTTGCTGTGAGCTCAACAACTTCCCAACGGATAGGTGGTGACATTGACAAATCTGATTTTGTGACACTAAATGATGATATGTGTATCTGAAACGTCTCTATAACCCAGTAAACTACTATTTTCCAACATTCAATGGTATTACAAACTCATACGTGAGTAAAATGTCATTCAGGGGAAGAAAAGATAAAACTGTCAGGCAGAAGAATCCCAAATAATTTATGCAGACAATTCACCTTTGAAGAGGTGAGCATGAGTCCCCATTCCTCAAGAGTAGGCTGTGTCGCCAGGCACGGTGGCTCACACCTGGAATCCTAGCACTTTGGGAGCCGAGGCGGGTGGATCACAGGAGGCCAGAAGTTTGAGACCAGCCTAGCCAACTTGGTGAACAACCCCTTCTCTAAAGTGCCTGTAATCCCAGCTACTCACAAGGCTAAGGCAGGAGAATCACTAGAACCTGGGAGGCAGAGGTTGCAGTGAGCCGAGATCATGCCATTGCACTCCAGCCTAGGTAACGCAGTGAGACTCCATCTCAAAAAAAAAAAAAAAAAAAAAAAAGAGTGGGCCACACATAGTAACTTCCTTCCAAAGAGGACAGTATGGAAATGGTGGAGCAGGGGAAGGAGGGAAGGGTAACTTTACAGTAGAAAAACCTGACAAATGGCACCTCACCAAAACGATCGTTCATTCAAGACCAGCAGTACCTTTGATATGATGTGACGAGAAGAGCACTTCACCCTCTGTGGTCTTCCTCCCCCAAATCCATCACCTGCCTGTGAGAAAAGCATCTGACAAATCCCAATGCACTGACATTCTACAGAACACTTGACCTCTGCTCCTCAAAACTGACAAGGTAACCCAAAACAAAGAAAGTACGAGAAACTGTCATAGTCCAAGGAATCTAGGGAGACGCAAGGATTAAATATAACGTAAGGGAAAAAGGACAGCTGGAAAAAACTGAGGAAATCAGAATAAAGTATGAACTCGGTTAAAATAATACATGGACCCTGGCTCACTACTTGTGACACATGTTCTGTAGTCTGTTAACAATGTGGAGACTGGGATGAGGTTTGCAGGACTGATCTTTGCAACTTTTCTGTGAGTCTAAGACTATTCTAAAATTAAAAGTTAGTTTTAAAAACAGATTTTTCTGTTCAAAGTGTAAAAGAGTCCCACGGATTTTAATGTAACCCATGTACAAAAAGCTCAATGATGAGGTTTCAGAGTCTAAGGGCCAACTCACCAGTAGAGACTAGCCACTCTGGATTTTGGTTTCTCATTAGAGGAGGAAACGCACAATGATCCAAAAAGCCTATGGAAACGCTCCTCCACTCTCCAACCTCTTCTCCATGCTAGTTACATTTTCTTCACCATGCTTCAAACCCTCACAAAGAACGCAAGAGGATGGACACAGAAATAGCCACGGGAACCTAGCAGCTGCCTTCTTAGTAAGCTGAGTATTAAAGAGATTTGCAAAATAGATTTTTAATAATAAGTTATTTATGCTAATATGTCACAGGTCTACTATAGTCATCTTTAAATGAATTAATAATAGGTTTTTTTTTGTTTTTTTTTTTTGAGACAAGGTCTCAACTCAGGTTGTCCAGCCTGGAGTACAGTGGTGCCATCTCAACTGACTGCAGCCTCTGCCTCCCAGGCCCAGGTGATTCTCCTACCTTAGCTTCCCGAATAGCTGGGACTACAAGTGTGCGCCACCACTCTGCAATTTTTTTGGATTTTTAGTAGAGACACTTTTGCTATGTTGCCCAGGCTGAAATTTTTTTTCTTTTTTTTTTGAGACAGAGTCTCACTCTGTCGCCGAGGCTGGAGTGCAGTGGTGCGATCTCGGCTCACTGCAACCTCTGTCTCCTGGGTTCAAGTGGTGCTTGTGCCTCAGATTCCCAAGTAGCTGGGCTTACAGAAGTGCGCCACCACACCCAGCTACTTTTTTTGTAGCAACGGGGATTTGCCATGTTGCTCAGGCTGGTCTCGAACTCCTGGCCTCATGTGATCTGCCCACCTCGGCCTCCCAAAGTGCTGGGATTACAGGCGTAAGCCACTGCGCCTGGCCAGTATTTTCAAATTTTCTAACACAGTAAATGTCAACAGACATATCCCACAAATCCAACTGCTGTCTGGGGCCCACAGATGGAAAAGGGGAGGTGCCAGTGCTTCAGGAAAAGGATTTCCCATCTCTGGCAGCCTCGACAGTAGTACAGAGGCTGGGATCCTGGGTCCTGTCCTGCTGATGTATCATGGCCCATGTAACTTTCTTTTTGCTGCCAAAGTTGTATTTTGAAAAGTGAGAGGTACTAAAAATTTAATAGGATTCACCCCAAAGATACACTATAATTGCTTATAAAACCTATTTAATCATCAGCCAACAAAATTTGGTCACCTTAAGGTTCTTACAGCCTTATGTGGCAACTGTACAGCCTCTATGTTTACCTAAGTCACAGAAAGCGGGCGACGCCCTATGGCTGTGGATCAAACACAGGAACATGGCTGGCCAGGTCACCCAGGACCTCAGTGTGAGGACGCTATTCTGAATCTTGTGCCCCACTGCCCCTAGACTGCTGGTCTCCGGGACTAGGAATCTCCTTCCTTCTCCAGCAAGTTGGCCACCTCTCTCCCGTCCAAATGCCTGAGAGATCCTGGGCTCCACCTAGGCTCAGAGCATCAACTCTCCCTTCTCCAGAGGGGGGTCCCAAACCCAAGGCCCAGTCCCAACTCTATGTTCCACCCTTCCTGCATCCAACAATCTATCCCAGACCACCTTTCCGGTCTCTGCTCCTACCACCGTGTACCTTCAGACTCTGACCCCTGCACCCGGTGCACCATGATTTCTGGGCTGCAGTCCCCCAGAGAGTGCCCTCAGACCACTCTTCCCACACCGCCTGCAGACACGCCAAGTCTCCTGGAGGCCTGGACTGATGGCTCTCTTTAGAATGCTCTTTGTACGAAAGCTATCAGGGCCCTGCCTTGAGGAATTCTGCATGGCATCAAGTCTCAGTCGCATGAACCCCCAAAGCTTTTCAATTTGATGACGTCACAACTATTTTAAAGATATAAGCTCTAAAAATCCGCAGTCCTATGGCACAGGTCCCAAGCAAGGGAGGCACATAGCAACATCTGGTATGTCTCCCATCTTTCCACCCATCAGACGTCCCCTCCCTTGTCTCCCACCCTCCAGAGAGAACGGTGGCATCTGCCCGAGCCTCAGCCACAGGTAACTCAGTGTTTCCAAAGGCAGCAGATCCAGCTTGGCTTCAGGCGTTACCCTGCCTTCCTCTCAGCACTGTGACTTTACACTATGGTGGAGCCTCAATTCACAGAGGAGACAAGAGGCATTCACAAAGTGGGGGCAGACTATCCCAGGCCACACAGAGATTCAGTACATGGCCGATCCAGGCTGTCAGACACCCACGTTCTTTTTTCTACCACCAGCTGCCCCCTCAGGCTCACAAATTATAATTCATATGCTCATCTTAAGAGAGAGAAGAAAAACCTCAGAAAGATCTCTTCTAACCAGGTAGGCTTTTCTTTTCTTCCAGGGGCATATTCTGCTAACCGGGAAAACACTGCCCCCCTGGGTGTGACGCCTGCCTGTCCCACCTGGGATCACACATGCCCCTGCAGGTTCCCAGGTATCCACTCCGTCTGTTTCTACCTGTTCTGCACACAGAGACCCCCAAGGCCTGGCGCCCACTGCCCTTCGCTCCACTCCTTCACCAGGTTAGGGGACCATGAGGGACAGGACTGGCTCTCGGCCTAAGGAGCACTCAGAAGCCGCCCCGTAGCCTCCAGGTTGGTTTCACTGCAACTGCTTGCAGCATGGCAGGGAAGCTGGCTGCAGACTGAAAAGCAACATAGCTAAACCCAGTTTCAGTGGGCACAGCGGAGTGCTGGTCAGACACCCTCCCCGTCTTGTCCCTGTGGATGGGACATTTAAATAACCCGCTACAGGAGCTGGGACATCAGTTACAGGAAGAGAAGCCTGTCAGTGAGTGACAAATAAGACAACAGCAGGAATACATGCTGGGAGGAGATATCAGAAGCCGCAGCAGCAAAACAGAAAGCAAGTCATTTAAAAAGAAGGAAGAGGTCTGCTTAATCTGCAAATCTGCTCAACTTACAGATGTGTGAGAAGAGTTCAGACAGAGAAGGCCAAACATTTACTGGTGATTACCTCGATGTCCATATAAAGTGTGGCCTCTGGTTTTCTGTCAGAGCCACCACAGGATAATAACATCCCCAGAGAGCCTGCACTGTCCAAGAGAGAAGCCCCATTTCAAAGTTAGGGATCCGAGTCCCCTCCATGACCAGAGGAGGGCGTCTAAAGGCAACAGGGAGCTGGCAACACCTTGGAGAAGCTGAAGTTCAGGAAGACCAGCAGTGATGCTCTTTTACCTGGCACCGGGCCGGCTCATGCTACGGCCCTCATGTGAGCTGAGGACTTGGGGAGTTAGAAACAGGGCAGTCTGTTATCCTGGTGCCCCTATATAATCTAACGATTCTTAGAAGTACAGGTGGACCCCTCACATTTCAGCGATTTCTGGGATTAGAGTCCCAGATAAAGGGAAATTGGATGAGGAGCCTGCAGGAAAGGGGTGACATAGAGAACAAGGAGGAGACAGACGGTGGCCACTGAGGTTTGGAGGGGCAGCGGCTAAGGCAGGGAAGGGAGCACAAAACAGATTCCCAAGGGAACATACCTCTCAGTTCCCATGAGCTAAGAAATGCCCGCAGGCTGTGGATTTCTAGTCGGAGCTGGTGAAGGCACTCCCTGGGGCCACCCAGCCTCTCCTGGAAGTTGCCCAGAAGCAGACAGAGAATTAGCAAGTGAAAGGCAGCAGCCAGCCCTCAACAGGTGCTGGGGAGGGGCTGGGGCAGTGGAGGGGGGGGGGCTCCAGAGAGCCGCCCACAGAGTACCCCGCTCCGGAGCCCCCTGTCTGGACCCTGACTCTGGGACAGGCCAGTGGTCACACAAAGGGAAAATGGCTTCTTGCTGTGGGACTTCCAAAGCTCTGGCACCCCGATGGGGGATTTAGGGGTTCAATCCCTGCCAAGAGGGCTGTAGGAGGCAGCCAGTGTGAGGGCCACAAACCATGTCCCTGGGCTATGAGAACCCAGCCCTTTCCTGAGCCCTCACGTCGACAGCTGTGCCACATTAGTCCATCGTCCATCTCATTCAAGGACGTGCATTCCTGTAGACAGCCGGCCGGCGGGCCGGGAGCAGCTGCGGGGAGGCATAGTCCTGAGAGCAGGGGGTGGAAGCTCAGCTCTGCACATCGCTGTGAAGACAACCCCTCCACCCGTATGCAGGCAGCCAACACAACGATGATAGGGGTTCTGTGGCACCAGCAACTGTCCGAGCATCCGCTATGTGACTGACTAGCACAAGGGGCAGTGGGCTCTTCTGCCTGGCCTCGTGCTTCCATCAAAGAGGGACAAGGGTGACGGGCTTAAGACAGAGCCACACGTGTAGGCCAAGTCTGGACCTCAACCTCTCTGGGGACCCAGTGGCTAAAACTATAAAGACTGAGAACAACAAGTGAAGACGGTATGCTGGACTGCCACACCTGTGAGTGTGAAAAGCACAGACCATTTTGGGGGAAAAGCCCAGTCGTTTCTCTAAAACGACTAACCACACACACAATTTGTAACCCTGCAGTTTAACCTGAGTGTTTACCAAGAGAAATGCTGACTCGTACCCACAAACAGACAATCTGCAGGGACCTTGCACAGCAGCGGGTGCTCACACCAGGCCCAAATTGGAGGCTGCACACATGTCTACTGACAAGTGAGAAGTGCCCTGTGCACACCACTCAGAGGCACACCAATACACACCAGGGGCAAATCCCAAAACACTCAGAAGGAAGCCGGACCCCAAAGAGCACTGACTCTGTGAGTGCATCCCTGGAAAACCGGAAAAGAGGCAAGACCAGTCTCATGAGGGGAAGCACCAAAACAGGAAGGGCTGGGAGTGCGTGAGGGCCCTTCTGGAGTGGGATGGTAAGGTTTCTGGGCCGTGATAAAGTTTGTGACCTAAATTCAGGGTTTGACTCACAGGTGCACACGTGAGTCAGAACTCACTGTCTCGGGCACACCAGGAGAGCCCCATGCTCACGTGGTTGTCGGGGTTGGGGGCAATTCCAGTGTCGACCTCACCCTCCTCTCCCTTCCCTGTAAAAAGCATCTGTCCAAACAGGAAGGACTCACTCTATCCGTGATCCTCAGAGACATCTTGCAAAAATTATGTGATGCACACCTTTTTTCCAGCTGGCCCCATTTTGGCACAGAACAAAACAAAGCCGTCCACACTCCCACGTTCTGGACAACTGGGTGGCTGGATGTCTAGGAAGAAGCAATATCACATTACTTTCTGATTTGTTTTTGGTTTTGGAAGGCTTGGGTGTTAATATGTGTTGTTTTTGTTTTTTTGAGACGGAGTCTCGCTCTGTCGCCCAGGCTGGAGTGCAGTGGTGTGATCTGGGCTCACTGCAAGCCTGACCTCCCGAGTTCACGCCATTCTCCTGCCTCAGCCACCCAAGTTGCTGGGACTACAGGTGCCCACCACTACGCCCGGCTAATTTTTTTTTTTTTTTTTTTTTTAAGTAGAGACGGGGTTTCACCATGTTAGCCAGGATGGTCTCGATCTCCTGACCTCGTGATCTGCCCGCCTCGGCCTCCCAAAGTGCTGGGATTACAGGCGTGAGCCACCGCGCCTGGCCTAACCTGCATTTTAATGATGGGCACGCATGCTCACCGTGGTGGGTGGCCTAACCTGTCTTAATATCAAATGATCAGCCAGTGCATTCTCTGGGCAGGGAAGTGACACAGATGTGTCACCCCACCGCCCTCTTGGTGACTGCAAAAGTCTAAAAAGAAAGACAACGGCAATGATTCTAATTGTCATCAAGGACACCAGTGTCACCAATTGCGACTGGTTTTGCAGGCCCAGTAAACAGACTACATTTCCAGTGTGTTTTACAGTCTGTCACTGGCCACAAGTGCTTGACCAGGGAGCTGAAGGCCAAAAAAAACTAAAGCCAAGATCAGATCTAACAGCACAGATGCTACTTTGAGCCCCAAAGTGGCCAAGGAACACACATCCCAGCCTGCCCCGTCCAGACCATGGGGCAGGCCTTTGGTCCAAGTGCTGCCCCCTCCCACAGCAGACAAGCCACTCATGGTACAAGGGGAGGTGGGGAAGAGAAGAGCAAGACACAAGAGCTGCCTGAACGCCACACACCACTAACGGGGACAACTTGCCAGATATCCACCTAGGCTGTGTTGAAGTCTGCCCAATCCATGGACCACGGAAGCCACAGCCCAGTCTCCTCCCAGGTGAAGTAAGGAAATGGAGACGGTGAGCCACATCGGCAATGGCAAGTCCTTCTTTCCAAGACCTCTGCGCTTTCCTTCATGACATGGTCTTCCAAAAAAATAGCTGCATAAATCAGATCCTGTCTTGATTACCTCTCTACCAGAGATCAGCATAGTACCTGGCATACAGCAGGTCTGGTCCTGGACCACTGACAATCCAATAAGAGTTGACACTTCAGAAAAGGCACATACAAACACATCCTCAGTGAGGTGTGGCCATTCACAGAGTTCTCATTCCCTCACCCCATGCAGGCCCAAGGTGACTGAGGGACCCTCAGTCCTTACCTTTCAGTTGCAGGACCCCTGGAGAAGAGCCGCATTTTTACTGAGCAACGTGCTCTTCCATCCAAAAAAAAAAACAAATCAAGGCTGGGTACAGTGGCTCACACTTGTAATCCCAGCACTTTCGGAGGTTGAGGTGGGTGGATTACCTGAGGTCAGGAGTTCAAGACCAGCCTGGCCTACATGGTGAAACCCTGTCTCTACTAAAAATACAAAAATTAGCTGGGCGTGGTGGCAAGTACCTGTAATCCCAGCTACTCAGGAGGCTGAGGCAGGAGAAACACTTGAACCTGAGAGGCAGAGGTTGCAGTGAGCTGAGACCACGCCACCACACTCCAGTCTGGGCAACAAGAACGAAACTCCATCTCAAAAAAAAAAAAGAAAAGAAAACAAATCAAGCTATTTCCATCTGGGTGTGGCCAGTTATTTCTGAAGATCAACCATTTGAAAGAAAGAGACTCTCCCCTACAGGAAAGTGCAGGACTGGATCTGCTACTTATCACAAAAACAAAACAGAAAGAACCGGCCTGGTGCCGTGGCTCATCTATAATCCCAGCACTTTGGGAGGCTGAGGCAGGAGGATCACTTGAGATCAGGAGTTCAGGACCAGTCTGGGGAACATAATAAACCCCATCTCTACAAAAAATTTTTTAAAAAGAACAACAGAAAAACCCCATCCAGGTGTAGTAGCATGCATCTATGGTCCCACCTACTTGAGTGGCTTGAGCCGAGGTGTTCAAGGCTGCAGTGAGCTACGACTGCACCACTGCACTCTTGCCTGGCCGACAGTGCAAGACCAACTCCAAAAAACAGAGAACCAAAAGCAGCCTCCTCTGCCTGCCAGCTCCAGCCTCATCTGACAGTCCAGACTCGGCATAGGGGCAGCACATGCCCACGACCTTTGGATTGGCCTCACAAAACCAACAGACTCACAACTTCTACCTCTGCGGGTTTTGTTTTTCTGTGTGCACATTTATGGATGCCACAACAGAAACCAAACTATTTTAACCTTCATTTAATTATTTATTTTTAACATCCATATTGAGGTATACTTTACATACCGCAAAATTCAGCCACCGTAAGAGTACCATTCAATGATTTCAGTAAATTTGTGCAATCATCACCACGATACAATTTTAAAATATTTCCATCTTCCCAAAACGTGCCCATGTGTTGTTAATCACTGCTCCCACCCACCCCCAGCCCTGTCCTAGTCAACCACTGGTCACTTTCCATCTCTCAAATAAATTTGCTTTTTGGGGGGACATGCCCTGTAAGTGAAACTATACAACAAGTAGTCCCTGCATCTGCTGTATCCTCCTTAGCGTGGCAAGTCTGAGATTCAGCCATGTTATGGCACACATGAGTAGTTTATAAAGCTGAACAGTAATCTGGTATATAGAGGTAGCAGGTTTGTTTTATCCATGGGACACTGGGTTGCTTCCACTTTTTTTTTTTTTTTTTTTGAGACAGTCTTGTTCTGTCACCAGGCTGGAGTACAGCGGCACGATCTCGGCTCACTGTAACCTCTGCCTCCCAGGTTCAAACAATTCTCCCTCCTCAGCCTCCCACGTAGCTGGGACTACAGGTGCACGCCACCACACCAGGCAAATTTCTGTATTTTTAGTGGAGACGGGGTTTCACCATGTTGGCCAGGCTGGTCTCAAACTCTTGACCTCAGGTGATCCGCCTGCCTCGGCCTCCCAATGTGCTGGGATTACAGGCGTGAGCCACTGTGCCTGGCCCTGCTTCTACTTTTCGACCAGTATGAATCATGCTGCTGCAGGTGTACCTGTCTGTGTGGACACATTTTCATTTCTCTTGGATAAATTGCTAAGTCATACGGTAAGTTTACAACTAACTCTGTAAGAAACTATCTGGGCTATTTTACATTCCTACCAGCAATGTATGAGGAATTCCAGTTTCTACACTTCCTCCTCAACACTTGTTACTTCCTTTTTTTTTTGTTTTTTACAGCTATACTGGAGCCTTGTTTTATGGTCCAATGTATGATCAACAGAGAACGTTCACCTACAATTGGGAGGATGTATTCTGCATTCACCAGGTATTCTACAGATGTCAGGCTAAGTGAGTTAATAATGTTCTTCAAGTCCTCCATACCTTGCCAATTTTGTCTAGATGTTCTACCAATTATTGAGAGTGGGATATTGAAATCTCTAACTATAACTGATTAATTTCCATCAATCCTATCAAGTTTATGTTTTCAGGTATTTGGGGGCTCTGCTGACTGTTATGTCTTCCTGAAATATCATATGAAATGTCGCAGCTGGGCACAGTGGCTCACGCCTGTAATCCCAGCAATTTGGGAGGGTGAGGCGGGCGGATCACGAGGTCAGGAGTTCAAGATCAGCCTGGCCAACATGGTGAAACCCTGCCTCTACTAAAAATACAAAAAATTAGCTGGGCGTGGTGGCGGGCACCTGTAGTCTCAGCTACTCAAGAGGCTGAGGCAGGAGAATCACTGAAACCCACGAGGTGGAGATCGTGCCACTGCACTCCAGCCTGGGTGACAGAGTGAGACTCTGTCTCAAAAAAAAAAAAACAAAAAAAAAAATAAAGTCGCAGTTTGGCTCTAGTAATTTTTTGGTCTTAAAGTGTCTTTTATCTCTTATTAATACAGTTACTCCAGCTCTCAAGCGGTTACTTATGGTACCTCTTTTTCCATCCTTTTGTATTATTCCTTGAATCTAAGGGGCGTCACTTATAAACAACATATAATTAAGCTGAATCTTGCTTCTTTTTTTTTTTTTCTGAGACAGACGGAGCTCTGTCACCCAGGCTGGAGTGCAGTGGCACCATCTCAGCTTACTGCAACCTCCGCTTCACGGATTCAAGTGATTCTCCTGCCTCAGCCTCCCAAGTAGCTGGGACTATAGGTGCGTGCCACCACGCCTGGCTAATTTTTGTATTTTTAGTAGAGACGGGGTTTCACCATATTGGCCAGGGGCTGCTATCAAACTCCTGACCTTGTGATCCGCCCACTTTGGCCTCCCAAAGTGCTGGCATTACAGGCGTGAGCCACTGCGCCCAGCCTGAATCTTGCTTCTTTACACTATCTGATAGTCCTTGCCTTTTGATTGAGGTATTTAGATCCTTCACAGTTACTGCATTATTGACATGGCTGGATTGACATTTGCCATTTTGTTTTCTACATGTCCTCTTGTTTGTTCCTTTATTTCTCAGTGAATAAAGAAACTGCCTTCTTTCGTGTTAAATATTTTTTAGTGTATAACTTTAATTCTGATGATCTTTTTTTCTTTTTTTTTGAGATGGAGTCTCGTTCTTTCATCCAGGTTGGAGTGCAGTGGCGCGATCTTGGCTCACTGCAAGCTCCGCCTCCCAGGTTCACACCATTTTCCTGCCTCAGCCTCCCAAGTAGCTGGGACTACAGGTGCCCACCACCATGCCAGGCTAATTTTTTTGTATTTTTAGTAGAGACGGGGTTTCACTGCGTTAGCCAGGATGGTCTTGGTCTCCTGACCTTGTGATCCACCTGCCTCAGCCTCCCAAAGTGCTGGAATTACAGGAGTCAGCCACTGTGCCCAGCCCTGATTTTTTTAAAAAACTATATTTTAAAGTTATTTTGTTCAGAGCTGCTCTAGGCATTACAGTAAGCATCTTAATCACAATCTATATAAGACTGATGCTAACTTGATTCCAGTAAGATACAGAAATTTTGCTCCAATATTGCTCCATTTAATTCCCCATCTTTTGTACTAATATGACATATATTTTATCTGTGGATATTATAAACCCAACAAATCATTCAAAGCCTTTGGTTGGCTTCCAGACTGCAGAACTAGTTAAGTCTTTCCAGTTAACCCATGCATTTACCATTTCCAGTGTTCTTTATTTCTTCTCATAGACTCAAGCTGCCAACGTGTCATTTATTTTCAGGCTGAAGAACTGGCAGGTCTACCAGCAATGGATTCCTTCAGTCTTGTTTACCTGACAATGTCTTTTTTGCTTTCATTTTTGAAGGACTGTTTTTACTGGTATAGAATTCTGGGTTGGCAGTTTTCTTCTTTGGATACTTTTAACATCATTCAACTCCTTTTTGTTTCCATTGTCTCGAGTCAGAAGTCAGCTGTTCATCTTATTAATGCTCCCCAGATGTGCTGAGTTGTTTTTCTTTTGCTACTTTCAAGATTTTCTTCTTTTCTTTGGCTTTCTACAGTTTGACTATGATGTATCTAGGTCAAGATCTCTTTGTACTTATGCTATTTAGGGTTTGTTGGGATTCCTGGATGAGTTTCTCCTCAAGTATGTTTTTGCCCATTATTTCTTCAAATAGTTTTTCTATCTTGCCCCAACCTTGGGCTAAAACAGAGCCGCTGTGTCTCCCCACTTGCCCATCTCCAAGACTGTCACTCTCATCTACAAGACCACAGGCAGGGTTGCTACCACTCTAAAATGAACAGTCCTCCTTTTCACCCACACAGCGAAGCTGTTGGTCCTCAAAGCTGACAGTGGCTGGACAGAACCTCTTTACCAAACAGATGGGAGAGGGCATAGGAATAGCTCCAGGCCAAATGCCATACAGTCTCACTGTTCTCACCTGAAATTCAGCAGTTACAGGCATAAATACTTCTCAGATTGTTGTATGCCCCTGCTCAATTTTTCCAGAATGCTGAGATTGTTTCATTTTGCTTTTGTCAATTCTGCCAATCTCCTCATTCAACACAACCAGAAGTTGCCCTCCACCCTCAATTTATGTAGAATATAAAACACTCACACAAGTTGGGAGACTGAGAGAGAAAAACTGCTGAGTTAAAGAGCGACAGGGAGCGGAGTAAAAGATGGAGGCAGAAAGCTGATTCTACTACTGTATCTGCCTCTGCATGCTCCAAATCATCCAACATAGCAATATGTACACTATACACACACATGCAAACATATATATTTCTTGATGATTCCAATTCACCAGCCACTAAAGAAAAAGGAAATTCTCTCTCCTAGAAGCCATCAGAAACTGCCTCTAGCTTTCAATATGCCCAGATTCGGTCATAAGATGGTAATAAGTTAGCATGAAAGAAAAAAAGGTAGTTTTGAAAAATACCCAAATAGAAACTCTATAAACAAAATACTATACAGCAATGAAAATGGATTAACTACTGGTATGCACAACAATATGGGTAAATCTCACAATGCTGAGTGAAAGCAGGAAGATAAAAGGTACATAGTATATAATCCCACTTATTTAAAGTACCAAAGCAGGAAAAACTAATCCATATTGTCAAGAAAGTGATTACCCTTGGAAGACAGTGGCAGCAAGCAAGCATGAGGGGGCTTCAGAGGTGCTAGCAATATTTTTTTGTTTTTTGAGACAGAGTCTCACTCTTTCCCCAGGCTGAAGTACAGTGGCGCGATCTCGGCTCATTGCAAGCTCCGCCTCCCAGGTTCACACCATTCTCCTGCCTCAGCCTCCCAAGTCACTGGGACTACAGGCACCCGCCACCACACCCAGCTAATTTTTTTGTATTTTTAGTAGAGATGGGGTTTCACCGTGTTAGCCAGGATGGTCTCAATCTCCTGACCTTGTGATCCACCCGCCTCGGCCCCCTAAAGTGCTGGGATTACAGGCGTGAGTCACCGCGCCCAGCTGAACTCTGAGTTTCTTTAACACTTAACTTCTCCCTCACAATCCACTGACCTACCCTGCAGGGGAACATGGTGATTACAGGAGAAAATGCATGTCAGCAACCCAGGAATGCACAAGGGACCCCATGCACATGGACTGCAGATTCCCATGAACATGGACTCCTCCTCTTCCTGCCCTGACTCCACACCAGCCCCTCACTGCTCACCCCTGCTGAGCTGTCATGGACTGGTCTCTGGCTGAAAACATAGAGAAAGGAAAAGGAGACTTGGACCTATAGTTTTATTTCTGGAACTTTAGAAGAGGACCTTGGTTTTAGAATGGGGACTGCAGACAGCAGAGTCAGACAGAAAAGCCCTCTTTGGACAGCAGGACTACAAAGTATATTTCCTCAGACTAGGAGGCTTTGTCAACAGGAGCAGGCTTGGGTTTTCCCATTTATCTTCCCATTTTAAACGCTGTGAACACCAGATGATCTCTGAAGTCCTCAGGATCCCAACAGTTTGGGTTCCAAAAACGAATTTGACATAAGACTGCAGGCTGGGGTCATCCTGTGGGGTTAGCTGACACGGGAAGGTGAGGAGCCACCAGCTGTCCCTTATGAACAGGCGTGGAGAGACAGGCCCTCCACAGGGAGAAGACTCCAGTGGGCGGTGAGGAGAGAGAGCAACGGGCCACAGAGGAGTTTGTCAGAGGGCCAGCCGGGAAGCTGTGGCCACACCACAGCCCTCAGTGGGTGTCTGGGCATGAACATTCTGGAGAGCTCCAAGGGGAGGGGTGATGCAAGAGCAGGTGCTGGGTCTGAATTTGTCTTTACAGAGAGAAAGGAAGGTTTTGAAGTCAAGAAATAGGTGGTAGATTGGGTCTTATTTTTATTTCAAGCTTTTACCTTAAGAGACTCATAAAAGGTGAATATGAGGAAAGTCACTCTTGAAGTAATCAGTGTTGACTAAGGACAAACCAACAGAGCAAGCCAAAGACCAGCACCAAGTGAACATGGAGTCGAGTGAGCATCCCGTACCCGCTCCGAGGAGGGTGCCCTGGGCTGGGCTCCCAACTCTATCCCTAGCCAAGTGACCAAGGTAGGTGTAGCATTCCTGGCCCTCTGACCTCTAGATCTGAAAAGCAGGGAAGCATAACCAAATGAATAACTCAAGTGTCCCTACAAACCAAAAGCACCGAGTTGGACAGACAGCAGGTGCGTGGGTGGCAAAGGCCTACTGATGGCAGGGGAGCTGATGGAATGTGCCACTCCTTCTCCTGTGAGACCCACACTCTGTGCCACTTGCAGTTGGGACCTGGGGCCCTGGAATGGCCACAACAGCACAGCTGCCAGTGGTGGGTGATGCCCGAGCTGAGCCTACAGCCCTCTCCACAACCCCGCCAAGCTGTTACCAACAGGCCTGGAGTGTGGCCAGCCCCAACCTGGGCACACTGGGCTTGTCTCCAGGTTCCAGCCCCTCCCGCTGGCTCCTCCCACTCACCTGTGTGAGGTGCGCATGTCCACGGGCCCATCGCCCACCAGCCCTTCGCCTCTGCCCATGGCCATGGCCGTGGCCTCTGTTGCCCTCAGCAATCCTTGGGTTGGACCTGCTCCCGGCTCAGGTGTCACCCTCATGTCTCCGTCAGTGTTTAAATCTGAAGCCAACAATCCTCTCTCCATTTTTATTTTCTTGCTCTCCACATCGTCCTCTGTTGGGTCCCGTTCAAGCGCTCGTTTCTGACTCCGTGTTCGGCATGCTTCTTCGGTCATTCTGAACTTGGGAGGGAGGAGAAGACACAACATTTTAACTGGGTGCAATGAAGGTGCCACCTTCTTGGAGACTTTTCAGTGTTGCTTTCAGTGTTTTCCTCCCTATGGGAAGGATGGCAAAAGAATGTACAACAAACGCAGGGCCCAGAAAAGCATCCCCAGGACATTTCATCACTGCCTTGAGGAAGGCTAGGCAGGAGGGGGGTGTCCCCAGCCTCCACTGTGTGGCTGAACATTGGTGGAGCCAAACTACACCCTGCCCTGTTGGGGGCCAGAGGCAGCAGGGTGCTGAACAGGAGCAGTGGAAGGTGGCTGCTTATCAGCAAGGAAAGGCTCAACAGCAAACAGAGGAAAAGTTGTTCTAGATCTCAACTACCTGCCTTTGGGATTTTCAGCACCTGCAATGTCTGGAATCCAGGAGGGCGGTGACTGCACTGTTCCAGGAGCAGGGTCGGGGCCTGGGACTAGCCCTATGCTGTGGTGACTCGAGTTAACCCCAGCTTCTCCCCTTCAGGGAAGGGAGGTCTCCTCACTCCCTGCTCACCTCTGGGGAGTGGGGACTGGGGATCACATTTAACCCTTTGGTTGCCAGTGAGGTACACTTTGAGTAGAGTGAGGCCTGGCCCATCAACGTGCCACTGCCCTGTACCTGCAGCACACACATATCTTGATTTAAAGAAGAAAGAAAAAGAAGAAAAAAACAGCTGAGTCAGTTTTTGATCCCATGACATCACTGGCTCCACATGACCCTTCCCAGGATTCAGTCGGAGAGACAAAGCACTTTCCAGAAAACCAGTCTGAACCGGTTCCAGACAACAGGCTGAAGTGTTGTTAACCCTCACGGAGACAGGACGACAGCACAGCGATGTCTGTCTGCAGGGAGGCGGCTGGCATTCCACAGCAGGGTCTGGGACACTGGCACTCTTAAAGGGGCTGCTCTAATCCCGGCCTCGACGTCCCAACAGGACAGGGCACAGGAATTGAGACAGAGAGAGTCAGGTTCTTAAAAAAGCATCCCAGTGTTTACCAGAGGACAAAAGAGAAATTTAGCAGCTGAGCTCTAGTGGAATTCCCGAAGTGTCACAGTTTTCCATGGGACAGTTGGTGCCCACTTGGGCCCCACAGAGAACCCCAATTCACACCTGTGGCATGCTCTATGCTGAAGCCCTCTGGTCCTATCTGTGTCCTCACAGGCAGGGCACTCATCTTGCCAGAGCCTTAGTTTCCTCACTGGCAAACACCCTGGGGAAGCCTGTCCCAGGTAGAGCCAGGCAGACCGTCTGGAAGCTGGGGGCAGCACAAGGCAACACAGGGGTCCTGTCGCCATCCATGGGACGCACTCCAGAGCTGACTCATCTGCAGCTTCCTTAAAGGAGCCAATTTCACAAATGAGCAATAGCGCAAGGCCCTGCCCAAATGTGCCCCCTCATGCACTCAAACTGAAAGGAAAGAAAGAGACAGCTGCTTCACGCTCCTGGAGCCAGAGGGAAAGCAGGCCGTCTACATGCGTGTTGTGCCAGTGTGGTCCAGCCAGGGCACCCGGGCACCGGCTTGAAACACTGGGGTCTCCTCAAGGCCAGGAAATCCCTGGTGCTTCACACAGGCCCAGAGCAGCTCTGTGCTCCCTACCCTGTCTCACCACCACCCAGGTGCCATGGCTGACCCTTAACATGACCAGGCTGAGGCAGGGAGACTCCGAATCTCAAGGGCACAGGTTTTCAGACTTGCCTCCACCTGTCCCCAGCCCCTCTGGCATCCCAGCCTGCACCTACCACCTATCCCACACCAACTGTGCGGCCTCCGCTGCCCCCGGCCACCCTGTCCACCCCCGCCCCCGCTCCTGCTCAGCTGCCCCTCAGCTCCTCCGTGGAATGGAGCCCAGGTAGAGGTCGAATGTGGAGGTCATGGCCTCACTTCTCTGGGGGAGGTGAGGAATGCTACGGTGTCCCTCTCAGCCCTGAAGTTCTATGGTCTCTGTCCTTCCTTCCTCCGACATGCCTTGCCCATAAACCCCATCTGAACTGCTCACTAACAGGTTGTCTGTCTTGCCTCCCATGAGACCACAGATAAGTCACTGCCCTCAGAGTGTGGGTCCCCTCCTCTCATTTCCCTCACTGTGGGAGGGGTGGGACATTTCTCCTTCAAGCACTGCCTTAGACAGCAGGTATGTGCACTCCCAGGCCCAGGGCAGGGAAAAGCCTGTTTAGGTGAGAGATGAGGGGAGGCCAGGACCTCGGACAAGTAAGGGCCCCACTCTACGGATGAAGCTTCCCAGTCTGGCCTTATAACTACTGTTGGGGATGAGGTCCCCAGGTGGACAGGGAGAATGCACCTCCACCTCCAGGACATAGCACCCTTCCCTGTGACTCAAAGAAACCCCCATGCTCCCCACTCTGCCCCTGTTCCAGCCAGGCAGGGCCCCTCCCAGCACAGCCTCCCACCCTGTAAGCTCTGGGCTCAGTTCCATGAAGCCCATTTGAACCCAAGACCCTGAATGAGTTCTCGAAGCTGCTCCAGCCCACATGGACAAGGTGGAACTGACAGCCAGATCAGGGGGGCCGTGCCTGTGTGGCCTCACTTCGTTCTCACTGGTATAGGACCAGAGGCTACCCAGAGGTTCTGAGAGATGCAGGATGGAGCAGGGCCTCAGGTGCCCAGCAGAGCTGCTCCCTCCAGCCCCAGAGACCTCTCTTGTTGGGCCCCCTGTTGTGGTAGCAGGTCAGGGTCCTCAGCAGAGGGCTGGCTGGCGTGTACTCAAGGTGCACAGCAGCTCACTATGAAGCCTAAGGCCTGGAACTCTGCCAATCCCAGGCCCGGCACTGACGGCTGGCCTCACAGCGCCCGCCTGCCCTATGCCTGTGCCTCCCAGAGGCAGGCCACTGCGGGGCGGGGCCCTGCGGCACCCCTCCCCCACCTCAGGAAGGACAGGCACAGCTGGAGGGGGTGGGGCCAGCCCCCGAGTGCAGGGGGCTCCTTTGGCAGGAGCCTCCTCCACTGCCAAGACCAATGACGCAGGGCCTGCTACTGGCCAATCCTCGGCCACCACAGGACACTTGCTCCTGGGGAGGGCAGGTGCCAGTAAGGAGTGGCTCCTCCCTCCTCGAAGCAAGCGGGACTAGTGCCCCCAGCACAACAGGGCTGGCGGCCACCGCACAGCAAGCACAGACCCAGGAGCAAAGTTGTCAGGAAGAAGAAAGCGCGACAGATGACTCCTGCAAAGAGCAGTGGGGGGTACATTAGAACACTTCCTAAAAGTAGGTGAAGAGGCTAGGTCACCCTGACTGGCAAATGAGGATTCATTTCAAAATTCCCAGTGACAGGGGAGAGTGAGGGGAAGGCAGCTCCGGTGGCGGAAGTTCCAGGCAAGGGTTGTGCGGGAGCTGCCAGTGCATGGAGAGTAGCCCCGTCCTGGGGGCTGAGATCCTCTGCCGGCTGCTGCCTGCACAGACAGATCCCAACAGCAGTGTGCCCATTTGAAAGAGGAGAGCACTGAGGCTGCCAGGGCTGCCTGAGACACAAGGTTGAAGGTCAGCCTCACCCTCCTCCTCACTCTCTCCAAACACCCCAGGCCGGACTGCAAGCCAGCACAGATGAGCAGCACCAGCAAGGCTGAGTGGGCATCGGTCTCCTCTGATACGTCCCGCACACACTGGGCTGGCAGGTGGTGGGGGCGTAGCCCAGCTCTTCCTCAACTAGGGGCCAAAAAGGACAGGTTCCAGCCACACTAGAGACCCCACACAGGTACAGCGCAGCTCTGACCGGGAGCACCTCCATGGGCTTTAGGGCAGATAGGAATGCTGCTTTATTTTCGTAAAATGCCACCATCCAACTGGCCTGAGAGCCTCAGGCAGAAAACATGTTCTAGAACAATTCCAAAAGGCTGACTGATGCTGTGGCAGGAACCAGAACTCTTAAAGAGGACTTGGGGGACAAACAGAAGGCACCCAGCACACTTCTGGCACACCAGGCCAGTACGCATCTCTTGATAATTAAAAGAGAAATTAAGTACATGACACAAATCATAAAACCAAACCCCTGAGATCACAATGCTAATACTAACTCTACCATAAAATGCCATCTGTGGCACCCATCACTAACATACCCATAGTAACACCCTTATTTCAGACAGGAAGAAAGTGAGGCTTCGCAGTAAGTGGGTTAAAGCACTGGCGGGAGCAGCAGGGCTGATGCTCTTAACGGTGGATTTTAGGCGTCTTTCTGCCTCCTCACCCGACAGCAGCTCACCGAGCCTCCACTGTGGGCTGGGGACTCAGTGGTGAACAAGACAGAGGGAACACCATCCACCCCCATGCTGGAAAACGAGCGAAATGACAGAGGGTGTTGGTGACGGTGCTGTGGGGACACGAGGCAGAGCACGGGGCAGTCAGAGCACACAGAGGGACGGGGGCTGGGTGGAACGGGCGGCACCGGAAGCCAGCCCTGAAGGAGACAGGGCCTGAGCGGAGACATGTGCTGGGGGAAGCACTGGCCCAGGCCGGAGGGGAGGAATCTGGCTTGCTCTAAAGGATCACCTGGCTGGAGGACTGCAGGGCAGGGGAGCGGTTCCTATGGTGCAGCTACACTGGGGAAGGGGACAGAGCAGAGGGGAGTTGGGGCACTCCGGAGGGGGTTGCTTTCTTTCACTTGTTTTTGCCTGAGCAACTGGACCAGTGGGGCTGGCTTTTCTGAGATGGGGAGGAGCAGATTTGAGGAAGGAAGGTTGGGCTACAGTTCGGATGTGCTGAGTGCGAGGCCCACGATGAGCCCCACGGAGATGCTGAGGAGCAGAGCCCTGAACCTGGGGGCAGCCACTGTCCTCAGGAGGCACAGGGCACCTCAGGGCACCTCTTCCTATCAGGAAGGAAGAAGGGCCCATGAAGCAACCAGTGCTGAGTCAGATGATGACAACGGGGTCCAGGTGCTAGCCTCGCTAGCTGTGAGCTGCGCCCAACACTCAAGACACAAGGACCCTGTAGGCACACAGCTGCAGCAAGCCTGCGCCCAGGTGCCCACCTCCAGAGCGCCCCTGTGGCCCTGCCCTTCACACAGATTGATGCACAGCACAGATGGGCCTCTGGACCCAGAACCCCTGTCTACTCTCCTCCCGGCAGCATAGCCCGAGGAAGCTCCCAAAGCCACATCCTGGATCTGTACCCCCTTCAGTGGCTCTCCCACTTCCTAAGAGTCAAACCAGGGTACCTTGTTGTGGCCCAGAAGGACCTGTTGAGGGGGTAAGGAGAGAATAGGTGGGCCAAGTTTTGGCATTGGCAGAGCCTGCCTGACAAGCATACTTCTTTCCCATGCAGAACAGACACCTCCATCTGCTCAGAACTGTGG
Organism: Homo sapiens; assembly: GCF_000001405.40. Classification (NCBI taxonomy): domain Eukaryota; kingdom Metazoa; phylum Chordata; class Mammalia; order Primates; family Hominidae; genus Homo; species Homo sapiens. Next base: position 19,460,008 of record NC_000019.10, on the reverse strand, counting down.
CCCGAGCCACTTCCTGACGCACATCTCTGAGTAACAGTGACTAGGACTCATTCCGGAAGGAAGCCACACCGGAAACAGCAGCTCTGGACTTCTCAATGTCAAACTTCATTAAGGCCAAGTACGAGAGATACAACTTAACTTGAGAGACAGAAAGGTGTTCCAAGCAGTCAGCTCCTACAACTAGACACAGCAGGGAACAGAGACTTGGTCTCAGCTCCATCACACACACGCTGGCTGGCCATGGGCCAGGGGAGAGGTCTGTCAATCAACCACAGGACCAAGGACACAAGATGGACACAGAAGCTTCAGTGGGCCAAGAGAGGATGCCACTGCCCCTTCTTCCACAGTGTTTATCAAAGATGTCCATGCAGCTTAAATTATCTACCCTCTGTGCCACATGCTAGATAGAGACTCTCAAATTCTAAACAGTCAACCCAAACTTTTTTCTTTAAGAACAAGGTCTCACTATGTTGCCCAGGCTGGACTCAAAACACCTGGGCTCAAGTGATGCTTGAGCTGAGCCTCAGTTTTCCCATCCCTACTTCACAGACAATGCTATGTGAAGAAAAATGGAAAGAACTGTGGGAGAAAAGTTGCAGAATAGCATAGTACCATTTACATGGTTTAAAAAAAAAAAAAAGGTGTATATAGGGAAAAAACTGAAAGTAACTTCACTAAAATCAAAACTGAAAGGAACTGGACCAAAATCAGTGGTAGTAATCTCTGAAGAGTAGATTATTAAGAAACTTTCACTTACTATAGTAAACATTTCTGTATTGCTTGAATTCTTTAACAGTGACTATGAATCAGTCCTGTATTCAAAGAAAGCAAGGATTAAAAAAGAAAACCAGATAAAACAACAGCCCCACCTGCTAAGGATGAGAATCAAAAGCACAAGTGTGAAGCCAGGCACAGTGGCACATGCCTGTAGTCCCAGCTACTCAGGAGACCAAGGCAGGAGCATCACTTGAGCCCAGGTGTATGAGTCCAGGCTGGGCAACATAGTGAGGCCATGTTTCTTAAAGAAAAAAGGAAAGAAAGAAACTAACAAAGAAAGACAGTACCTCATCCAGGCGAGGAGGAAGGAGGCTCCCTAGGGTGAGAAGCTCTGGAGAGAGGGGGAAGCTGGCTCCTCCAATACTCCAACGCATAGGACTAAGGACACAAGATGGACACAGAAGCTTCAGTGGGCCGAGAGAGGATACCACTGCCCATTCTTCCAGTGTTTATCGAAGATGTCCACGCAGCTTAAATCATCTACCTTCTGTGCCATATGCTAGAGACTCTCAAATTCTAAACAGTCAACCCAAACCCCCCAGCTCATTCCCACAGCCCGCCTTCTATATAGGCCACAAGCCTCCCTGAGTGGCCACAACCACCAGGCCACAGCGTACCTCACCAGAGCCCTGGCAACAATCTCCGTGCCACTCAGGAGCTTCATCTCTCACTGCAACTCAATGTTAAGCTCTCAATGGCAGAAACTTTTTTTCACCATTCATCTTCATTTTCAGTGTAGAGCAAACAGTATGGGCTTGGTATGCACTGCTGAGTTACGCCTACGTTTCTGTAAATTAGACTCATGAAGCATGTGATTCCCAGGGTTGCCCTACAGGGCAAAGAGGAGCAAACAAGTAAAGTGCTTTCATTTAAAACTCCAAGACATGGGGACTGAGATGGCGTCTCCCAGACTGAGGCCAGGGCAGGAAAAGGAATTAGGCGAGACGTTCCAGGCAGGGGAACAGCATGCGCCAAGCAGCTGAGCAGGGAGGGTTTCAGGCCAAGGAAGGGAAAGCCGTGGTGAGTCCTGAACTACAGGCTTTCTCAAAAGGAGAACAGATGTCTACTACTCACTGGCTGACGCTGGGTTCTTAACCCTTGGTGGCCTGAAAAGTAAAGACACACCAGAGATACAGACATCTTCTCTCTCTCATGTTATCAGGATGGACCCCAGCCTAGTCAGCTGGCTAGGAGCTCCCTGAGCCTTCAAAGACCCCAAACTGAGAGATCGTCTCCCTGCAGTGGTCCTAGGATAAGACCAGCAGTGGGGAGGTGCAAGCTGGCTGGAGCCAACTACCTCTCACTGAGAGCCTGCATGAGTTGGAGACGGGCATGTGTCATCCCACAAGGTACAGGCACAACTGAAGTCTGGCTGGGTGAAAGTCCAGGCTAGGTCTGAACTCAGGCTACCATGCCTCTGTCTAGGTGGCCACTCTGATAAGCCTTCCACAGTGTGCAAGGGGCCTTTTGTTAATCTTTTTTTTTTTTTTTGAGACACAGTCTCAGTCTGTTGCCCAGGCTGGAGTGCAGTGGCATGATCTCGGCTCACTGCAAGCTCCGCCTCCCGGGTTCACACCATTCTCCTGCCTCAGCCTCCCCAGCAGCTGGGACTACAGGCGCCCATCACCACGCCCGGCTAATTTTTTGTATTTTTTAGTAGAGACAGGGTTTCACCGTGTTAGCCAGGATGGTCTCGATCTCCTGACCTCGTGATCCGCCCGCCTCGGCCTCCCAAAGTGCTAGGATTACAGGCGTGAGCCACCGAGCCTGGCCTTGTTAATCATGTTTACACTGCTTTCACCTGAAGTGACAGGCACAGGTGGGGCTCAAAGGAGAGCTGCATACATGTGAGGAGGAGGATGGAACAGCCATCCTCAGATGTCTCCAGGCAAGACTGAATCTAGACTTGCCCTGCCTGGGGCTATGGAAGAAGCTCTGGGAGGCCCCTGGGAAGAACCTGCAGCCAGAAGGTATGAGCCCTCAGAATGTCCCAATCACTCACCAGATAACAGGCTCTGTGACAGCAGGTACAACACCTTGTCCATGTCCCTGAAGTGGCCCCACTTCTGCAAGAGTGTCAGTCACAGAGCAGGTGTGCTGCACATACTGGATGCGTGGGCAGAGGTGTCACAGATAGGAGTGCTCTGAGTTGAAGGACTGGATCGGACACTTCAAACTCACTTTCAGCTCTGGGATCCTCAGGGTTTCATCCAAATCTGTTGCTCCTTTGTAATTAATAGAAGCATGGGGATCTTCTAATTTTTAAGTGCAAAACACCCAACACTGATTGAGCATCTACCCCACAACCACCTGTAAGGTAAATACTCTCATCAGCCGCCTTTTTGCAGGTGGGGAAACCAAGGCACAAAAGTACCCAGTCAGCCATCAGAAGGCCCCATCAACCACTCAAAGAGTCAGACCTGAAGATTCCAAAGGACATGGGGAGCACTGGACCTGTACAATTTGGGCTTGACCTTGCCCTCTCACACCAAGAGGTCCAGATGAGATATTAAGTGATTACGACTTTACTGTCACGAATGAGAGCAAACCTTTTGGTGTTTGCCTTTGCCTTCAAAGTATGGTTAAGTTCTGCTGTAGCGCAACAGAGGCAGCACTCCTAAAAACACTGCGGGATGCAAACCCATGTGATAAAAACACAGGGCTTATGGACATAAGGGTTAGGGACACAGTACTCCAAAACTTCATCTATGACGTAAGATAGGAGCCCAAGCAATGACACATGTGGATATATGGGCAGCACAGCTACACACATGCTCAGTGGCTAAGAAATATACAAATGTTGCAAGTCTGACCCTCACCTCGGGGAAAACTTACTGCTTGCCGTGAGCATGGGTGGGCTGCCATTTCTGCTGGAGGGAGGCTGTCTGACCCCGGAAAGGGATAGGGTGTGGCCCATAACATGCGGGACCCCGAGGGGACTTGGAGCATGTCTGAGGTGTGGGCAGTTTTATTTCATGTACTCACAGGTGCTCTACTATATTAAACTGGTAACAGTTTTCTAGATTCACCTAATGCAAGAGTTGGCAAACTTTTTCTCTCTTTTTTTTTTTTTTTTTTGAGATGGAGTCTCGCTGTGTCGCTCAGGCTGGAGTGCAGTGGCGCGATCTCGGCTCACTGCAAACTCTGCCTCCCGTGTTCACTCCATTCTCCTGCCTCAGCCTCCCGAGTAGCTGGGACTACAGGCGCCCACCACCATGCCCGGCTAATTTTGTTTTTGTATTTTTAGTAGAGATGGTGTTTCATCGTGTTAGCCAGGATGGTCTCGATCTCCTGACCTCGTGATCCGCCTGCCTCAGCCTCCCAAAGTGCTGGGATTACAGGCGTAAGCCACCACGCCTGGCCAGTAAACTTTTTCTTAAAATGCTACACAGTAAATAATTTTGGCTCTGCGGGCCATTTAGTCTCTGTCAGGAATGCTCAGCTCTGTGGTTCTGACAGGACAGCTGTCCCTCCAGACCCTTGGAGGATTATTTCCAGGAACTCCCGGGATGCCAAAATTCCCAGATGCTCAATCCCAGATATAAAATGGTGTAGTATTAGCATACAACCTACGTACATCCTTCCATATGCTTTAGTGAGTCACCTCTAGATTACTTATAATACTCCATAAAATGTAAATGCTACATAAACAGCTGTTATACTATAGTTTTATTTGTATTATTTTATGTTGTATTGTTTTTTCCATTATTTTCCTTCAAAAAAAATTTTTTTTTTAAGACCCAGAGTCTTGCTCTGTCACCCAGGCTGGAGTGGAGTGGCGCGGCACAATCTCAGCTCACTGCAACCTCTGCCTCTGGGGTTCAAGCAATTCTCCTGCCTCGGCCTCCCGAGTAAGTGGGACTACAGGCACATGCCACCACGCCTGGCTAACTTTTTGTATTTTAGTAGAGACGGGGTTTCACTGTGTTGCCCAGGCTGGTCTCGAACTCCTGAACTCAGGCAATCCACCTGCCTCGGCTTCCCAAAGTGCTAGGATTACAGGTGTGAGTCACCGTGCCCAGCCCCCAAAAAAATTTTTTTAAGAGATGGGGTCCCACTGTATTGCCCAGGCTGGTCTCAAGCTCCTGGGCTCAAGAGATCCTCCTGCCTCAGCCTCCCAAGTAGCTAGAATTACAAGCACATACCACCATGCCTGGCTTACCCCAAATATTTTCAATCCACGGTTGGTAGAACTCAAAGACACAAAACACAAGGATATGGAGGCCCAACTGTACATACCTGAATGGGCGTGTCTGCGAATTAAACTCTATTTACCAAAACAGGCCACCACCTTGTGGGCCATAGTTTTCCAATCCCTAGCCTAGTGTTTCTCCTGAACAAAACCACACGCAACCATCGCAACATTTGTGTTACACCTCGACGGTCCTCTAACACATCAATTGTGTTGGAACAAATCTGCTTTTCCAAAATAAGCCTTATAGCAGAATGGACTACAGAGAAAAGTAGGTTTCAAAAACAGAAACCTAAGGGGGTGGGGGGGGGCACAGTGGCTCACACCTGTAATCCCAACTCTTTGGGAGGCCAAGGAGGGAGGATCACTACAGCCTAGGAATTCAAGATGAGCCTGGGCAACAAAGGGAGACTTCGTCTCCAATAAATTTTTTTTTTTTTTTGAGACAGGGTCTCACTCTGTCACCCAGGCTGGGGGCAATGTCTCCATCTCAGCTCACTGCAACCTCCGCCTCCCAGGTTCAAGCGATCTTCCTACCTCAGCCTCCTGAGTAGCTGGGACCACAGGTGGGTGCCAACACACCCAGCTAATTTTTTGTATTTTTGGAACAGATGGGATTTCACCATGTTGCCCAGGCTGGTCTCGAACTCCTGAGCTCAGGTGATCCACCCACCTCGGCCTCCCAAAGTGCTGGGATTACAGGCAGTGAGCCACTGCACCTGGCCTTCTGATAAAAATTTTTTAAGCCGGGTGTGGTGGCTCATGCCTGTAATCCCAGCACTTCGGGAGGCCAAGGTGGGCAGATCACCTGAGGTCGGGAGTTCAAGACCAGCTGACCAACATGGAGAAACCCTGTCTCTACTAAAAATACAAAGTTAGCCAGGCGTGGTGGCGCATACCTATACTCCCGGCTACTCCAGGGGCTGAGGCAGGAGAACTGCTTGAACCCAGGAAGTAGAGGTTGCGGTGAGCCAAGATTGTGCCATTGCACTCCAGCCTGGGCAACAAGAACGAAACTCTGTCTCAAAAGCAAAACAAAAACAAAAAATAAACAAAAAAAAAAAAACACAAAAAATTTGGCCAGGTGTGGTGGCTCATGCCTGTAATCCCAACACTTTGGGAGGCCAAGACGGGTGGATCACGAGGCCAGGAGCTCGAGACCAGCCTGGCCAAGATGGTGAAACCCCATCTCTACTAAAAATACAAAAATTAGCCAGGTGTGGTGGCGGGCACCTGTAATCCCAGCTACTCGGGAGAACTGCTTGAACCCAGGAGGTGGAGGTTGCAGTGAGCTGAGATTGCTCCACTGCGCTCCAGCCTGGGCGACGGAGCAAGACTCCGTCTCAAAAAAAAAAAAAATTTTAAAAAAATTAAAAAATAGCCAGTTGTGGTGGTACACGCCTGTGGTCTCAGCTACGCAGGAAGCTGAGGTGGAAGGACTGCTTGAATCCAGGAGGTCAAGGCTGCAGTGAGCTGTGATTGTGCCACTACACTCCAGCCTGGGCAACGGAGCAAGACCTTGTATGTGGGGGGCACAGCGGACAGACTCGAACGTGTAAATTAAATCCAGAGCAAGGACTCAAGGTTAACTCTTTTGACAAGTCAGAAGGAAATTTAGTTTCAAAAAGTGCTATGTGCAGACAAGACAGCTTGCTACAGGGTCAATTTTATACTGTCCCAAAAGCCCACACTTAGAACACTCAAGATAAATAGGTCCCTGGTAGAAGGAAATTACATGCTATAAACTCAATTGCTGCAGTGGATGAAACTTTAACCCAGTTACAGAAACAAGCACTCCCTAAGCACAGGTGCCCGAGAATCACACCAAAGCCCTAAGGAAAAGCACAGGGCTGAGAAGGACCTGAGGGGCATAAGCCCAGCCTGGGGGCCCAGGAGAAGCCTCGCTGAGGAGGGGAGGTTTCAGTCACAGTGCAAGCACAAGGTGTGAACCAAACACACCACTGAGGCTGATTGCTGGAGGAATGGGGGCTACAGGGATGCCCAGTGGCAGGAAGGGAGTCACAGGGCACGGGCTTCCCGGGTAACCAGGACTGGCCATCACCTTTGAGGACTGAGGGAGAGCGAGGTCGTTTGTGCCAGGGAAATCCTGAGGACACATTACCTGGTTTTGAGGGGACGCACAGGAGGACAAGGTCCACACCCAGCTAGTGTGACCTCTCCCAGCTAATGCTCTGCCATACACGACTGTCCCACTCTGGGGCAGGATCTGGACAGGCAGGTAACCTATATCATGTCCTGTCCCACAGAATGAATCAAGGTCCGAAAACAAAGTTACTGTGGGTGGCTAAAGGTCTGCGTGTGGTACATTTTGCCTGTGGCTTTAGCTCCTCAGCCCAGCCCCAGCCCAGGGATTCAGCAGAACCACCAGGACCTGTCCTGCCTACTGCCACTCCCTGCCTTGGTCCTTCAATTCTGCACGTCACTTCACCCCCCCAGGCCTGGGGGCAATCTATGTCCTGTCCAGCTCACACTGGGGCTCCCTGGACTTGGGGGCTGACATGGATTCTCTAAGCCTTCTGCCTGGTTGAGAGGCTGATGCAGTTCAACAGGTGGACAACCATTTTACAAAAACAGGAGACGGAACTAACACATTCTTCCGTCCTGTTGAAGGTGCCAAGTCACTGTTACAAAGGCTTCCCACAAGATGGGCAGTCTCCCCATCAACCTCTGACAGCCACAGCAAGGCTCTCAGTGCCTGAGCAGGGACTCCTTGGCCCCACCTGGGCTGTGGGATCCAGGGAAGCCAAGGGCAACAAGAAGACTGGGAAGGGGACAAGGAACACATGGCGCCCATGAAGTAAGAGCATCTGACCCTGTAGGAAAGGCAGAAGACAGACAAAGGAAACAGTGGGACAGCAGACAGACACCTCCTTCCCCTGCAAAGTATACACTAGTTAAACACAGAGCAATCCTGAACAACACACACGTATATACTCACACTCATACGCATGCACAGTTTTCATCCCCTCCTCCTACTTCTGAGTCTTGCTCAATTGTCTCAGAAAACATCTTTCTGGCCAGGAGCAGTGGCTCACGCCTATAATCCCAGCACTTTGGGAGGCCAAGGAGGGAGGCTCACTTGAGTCCATGGGTTCAAGGCTGCAATGATCGCACCACTGCACTGCAGCCTGGGCAAAGGGGCAAGACCCTGTCTCTAAAAGTAAGAAGAAAAAAAGTCTTTCTTCTGCATTTAATTCTGAACAAAAGAACAGTAGTTCTCAAGAGCAATCAGCGTCCACACAGCTACTGATCTACTTGTCTCAAGAATATGGAAAACCACAAAGTATGGTTTTCAGACACAAGGGCCGGAATCACCAAGTTGTAGAGCATGTGAAGGAGCCCAGAGCCCTGCTGAGTCTCACACGCATTCCCACCCGCCTACTTCACTTCAACCCACACTACTTCCTCAGCCCTGCAATTTCTCACCTAGCTGGATAGAGCCACAGAACGTCCTCAACTCACTGGCACTGCAACCTTGCGTGTTGGTTCTACTTCGTGCCAAAAACATGGTAATGTCAGCTTCCAGAGAAGCCACAATAACTGATTTGTTGACTGCTGCACATCTGGACAATGCGTGAACTCAGAAGGAAACTTCTGCAGCACGAGGAGCCTGATCAGTGCCTGGGACACCCCTTCTAATTCACAGCCCACCTGGCTGTCATCCAGCTGGAGTGCAGTGGCGTGATCTCGGCTCACTGCAATATCCGCCTCCTGGGTTCAAGTGATTCCCCTGCCTCAGCCTCCCAAGTAGCTGGGATTACAGGCACGCACCACCACAAACGGCTAATTTTTTTTTTTTTTGTATTTTACTAGAGAGGGGGTTTCACCGTGTTGGCCAGGATGGTCTCAATCTCCTGATCTCATGATCCGGCTGCCTCAGACTCACAAGGTGCTGGGATTACAGGAGTAAGCCACCACGCCCACCCCACTTTTTAAAAGTTTGAATCTCGGCCGGGTGCGGTGGCTCACGCCTATAATATCAGCATTTTGGGAGGCTGAGGCAGGCGGATCACATGGTCAGAAGTTCAAGACCAGCCTGGCCAACATGGTGAAACCCCGTCTCTACTAAAAATACAAAAAATTAGCTGGGCATAGTGGCGGGCGCCTGTAATCCCAGCTACTCGGGAGGCTGAGGCAGGGGAATTGCTTGAAACCGGGAGGCGGAGGTTGTAGTGAGCCGAGATCATGCCACTGTACTCCAGCCTGGGAGACAAGAGCAAAACTCCGTCTCAAACAAAACAAACAAAAAAAAAGAGTTTTTTTTTTTTTTTTTTTAATGTAATGAGGTTGCTTGGTGAAAGAAAGCATCCCAGTACAGAGGCCACACTTGTATTCACCTGAACACGATGAAGAAAAAGCCCCCACATACCCCCCAGCACCTTGTGGTACGGGGATCCTGACCGCCCCCTAGCCTGTGAGAGGAGGGCTGAAACCTTTAACAGGTCCTGAAGAGGAGGAGAAAGCTGAAAGCTGTCAAAAGGCACAGAACACACTCCAAAAAGACATGAGCAGCACACATCCAATTCAAGTGAAGTAGTACCTCCCCTCAGGCCACCAAATACATAAATATGAGCACCAGCGTTCCCTGAAGAGGGGGTGAGCAACAGCCCCCACAGGTGTTCCCTACCCAGCACTTCCAGGAAGACGCTATTTACAAGTGCCATGCTCAGCTCTGACAGAGGGAGAGGGGCATCTACCGCCTCCTAACAGGGCACATGTGACAACCCAGGTGTGCCCAGCACTGTGCTGCTGAATGGCAGGGTCCCTTGCCAGCACTTCATCTGAAATGCTAATGACCCACGAATATAAGCTGGTTCCCATCACCAAACAGTGGGCGGAATCTGACCAACGACCAGGACATCCATCCCATCATCTCTAGTTCTTGGTTCTAGAGCTACTCAGAAATGCAGGTAATTAAAAATGAAAGGGACCAGGTGCAGTGGCTCATGCCTGTTAATCCCAGCACTTTGGAAGGTCAAGGCAAGAGGATCTCTTGAGGACAAGAGCTCAAGACCAGCCTGGGCAACATAGCAAGACCCTGACTCTACAAAAAAACCTTTTAATATAAGATAAATAAATAAAACAATGAAGGAAGTAAAAAGAAAAGGCACCTCTGGCTTTCCCATTTACAAATAAATGCACTTACAATCTCATGTGTTTCAGGTAGAGGACTTGTAAATGATGCCTCCAAAATATTTTTTAAAATCAATTTATTAAGTTTTTTAGACAGGATCTCACTCTCTTGCTCAGGATGGAGTGCAGTGGCATGACTACAGCTTACTGTAGCTTCGACCTCCTGGGCTGAAGCAATCCTCCCACCTTAGCCTCCCGAGGTCACAGGTGGGCACCACCATACTGGGCTAATTTTTGTAGAGACAGAGTTTCAACCATGTTGCCCAGGCTGGATTTTTTTTTTTTTTTTTTGATACATTTAACAAAGTAAACCTGGAGAGCAAAACATCACAGAAACATACCCAGGTATATTAATATATACCCAAGTAACCATCAACGTTTTAAAAATAAAACCTTCCAGGTCTCGTGGCATGTGTGCATGTAGTTCCAGCTACTAGGGAGGCCAAAGCAGGAGGAGTGCTTGAGCCCAGGAGTTTGAAACCGCCTGGACCCTGTCTCTAAAAATAAATAACATCTAGATGGTCTGCAAATTCCTAATGTAACTCACACTAGGCCTGCACAGTGGAGAGCAGCTCTGGTAGCCTCTCACTCCAGCACCCTGTGCAGAGCAAAGCTGTTTTGGGCATAAGTTGTCTCTAGAAAATAGATCACTGATCCCAATAGCCAACAGCCCTCCCATGGTGTGCCCACCACTCAGACTCACCACGCTATTGTGCAGGGCCAGCCTGGGACAGACAGGTCCCCAGACCCCAAACTCCCTCTCTGGTGTCATCTGGGGGAAAAAAACTGGAGAAGCATAGTTCTTAATCAGGGAAGATGGTGTAGGGATTATGCCATCTTCCAGAGACACAGATGATTGCCTGAAAACTCCCAAAACCAGGGGACGATAGTGTCCACACACTGGCCATGAAAGAGCCCCACAAGGATCACAATTAGCTGCTTCTGTATATCGGCCCTGTGTCTCAGCTTGAGGGCCCTTCCGGGTAACACGAGATGAAAGCCTGTCTTCACCCCCAAGTTGTACCAGACAATAGGAAAAAGCACACCTAAACTGATCACAGGCTTATTATGAGGAGAAAGACAGGTAGCAAATAAGTGTCTTTAAAACTACTGCTAGGCCAGGGGCGGTGCACTTTAGGAGGCTGAGGCGGGCGGATCATTTGAGATCAGGACTTCAAGACCAGCCTGGCCAACGTGGTGAAACCCCATCTCTACAAAAAAAATTTAAAAATTAGCCAGCATGGTGGTGGGCGCCTGTAATCCCAGGTACCCAGAAAGCTGAGGCAGGAGAATTGCTTGAACCCGGCAGGCGGAGGTTGCAGTGGGCCGAGATTGTGCCACTGCACTCCAGCCTGGGAGACAGAGAGAGACTCCGTCTCAAAAACACAACACAACACAACACAACTACCAATAGCTCCCTGTGCTCACACTGGAGATCAGGACTTGGTTTCTGTGTGTGACATCTCAGAACTGTTCAGTGCCCAACACTGCCCTCATTTGAGGCCGTGCTTGAAGTGGCCCCACACCTGCGCCGCTGTTGGCCAGGGCCTGTGCCCAAGCCCAACCCTGCGGCCCCAGAGAGAGAAACAGACGCTGCCCAAGGAACACACGACATAGAAACAAAGGTGCCGCCTGTGAAGGGGGAGTCCGGGCAGTCTTAAACCTCCACAGGTAAATGGGGACCAGAGTCCCAGCTGTAGGACGTCACTGTGAGGGCTGGCCATGCTCCCCTTCTGTGGGAAGGGCCTGGCTCTCTGTCCCCTCCCAGATGCCTCCTGGACCGTGAGCCTACGTGGCCTACGAAGGGTTACGCCTGCCATTTCCATGCCATCTGCTACGTGCCCATCAGGCGTCACATCACAAAATGGGAGGCCTTAACCCTTCCAGGGCTGTAGTCTCTCAGGGCTGAGCCAGGCGAAGCTGTGGCCCTGACCACCAGCTCCATCAAGGCCTGAGACTGGAAACGGCAGGGAGGTCTGGCACAGAAAATTCCAAGGGCCAGAAAAGCCTTCTCAGTTCCTGGAAGGAAATGTCAAGTGGAAAGTGAGGGAACCAAAAATTCATCTGTTGCCATTTTCATCAGGGCACCCAGCAACGTGGTGACGCTGTGGGCTGGAGGCCCTGCCCAGGCGCCCTTCCTCAAGCTCCTCCCTACAAGCATCCTGCAGCATCACAGAGCCACAGGGAGGATCACAGCCAGCAGGGAAACCTACTTCTATGATGAAACAAACTATCTGCTCTCAACGCAGCCCCAGCCCGTGGGTCTACCCACAAACAATCCTTGCAGCAGGTTCCTGCACAGCTGTAAGGGCTGGGACAGAAATCCTACTTCTACCCTCTACCTTGCAAATGGAACTCTTCCCCTCAGGGGTGGGAGGAGTCTGTGTATAGACACCCACACCAACCTCTGGGCAACAGCTAAGCTCAGCTGTGCCATGAAGTGGGGGAGTGGGGGGTCTGTATCAGTGCTTCTTTGGTAAAACATGATACTTAATAATACGGAAGCAAAGCCCTGGCCAGAAGGTCCTGCTGGCCTGACCATAATCCAGCCACCCCTGTGCCCGTCCCCCAAGTCCAACCAACCCCTCTCCTGTTCTCTCAGCTGGAGCCACACTGACATCCTGGCTCACTCCCACCTCAGGGCCTTTGCATCTCCACTCCCCCAGGTCTCAGCTGATAATGCAAAGTGAGAAACGCTTCCCCTCCACACATGCCCCCCAGGGGGTCTCTATCCCCTTTCCTGCCTCATCACCACTTGACATGCTATTTATTCACCTCTCTGTTTGTGGGCTTCCACCCCCAGGATATCAAGGGACACCTATTTCTCTAGCACTACCATCCAAGGGCCCATGCAGGCACAATGCTTTGCACAGAAGAAGCAATGTATACGCATTTGTTAAACAGATTTGAAATAGTACTTTCAGAACTCCCAACTACCACTGCCCTTCAACCTCCTTCCCGGTTAATGCCAAAATGTCTTCATCCTGACAGAAAAGATAATGATCAAAACCAAACAAAACCTGGCCAGGCACTATGCAGTGGCCCACGCCTGTAATCCCAACACTTTGGAAGACCGAGGAGGGAGGATCGCTTGAGGCCAAGAGTTTGAGATCGGCCTGGGCAACATAGTGAGACTGTCTCTACAAAAAAATAAAAACAAAACAAAATCTTTACATCACCCCATATATGAAAATTAACTCAAAATGGATGAAAGACCCAAGTATTAGGAGCTAAATCCATAAAACTCTTAGAAGAAAAAACACAGGAGAAAAATGTCATGACTTGGTGTTTGGCAAACAGTCTTACATATAAGCACAATATCAAAAAAAGAAAAAAGATAATTTGGACTGCATCAAAATTAAAATCTTTTGTGCAAAGGGCATTATAGAATAAAAAAAAAAACACCCATAGAATGGGAAAAAATTATAGCAAATCATACACCTGATAAGGGTCTAGTGTCCAGAACATATGAAGGATCCTTACAACTCAGCAACAAAAAGACAAGCAACCCAATTAAAAAACAGCCAAAAGACTTGAACAGACATTTCTCCAAAGAAGAGAGACGAATCACCAATGAGCATGTGAAAAAGACTCTGTCTCAGTGTCATTAGTCATGAGGGAAATGCAAATCAAAACCACCATGAGAAACCGCTTCACACCCACTAGGATGGCTACAATCAAAAAAGCCAATTAAGTATTGGTAAGGATGTAGAGAAATTGGGACCCTCATACACTGCATAGTGCAAAGTAAAATGGTAAGAGTGACATGGAAAACGGTGGAAAGTAAAACGGTAGAGTGACGTGGAAAACAGTGGAAAGTAAAACAGTAGAGTGATGTGGAAAACGGTCTGCCAGTTCCTCAAAAAGTTAAACGCAGAGTTCCCACATGAGCCTGGGCAGGGCCTCCAGCCCACGGCATCACCATGCTCCCGAGTGTCCTGCAAGTCCACTTGTAGGTATATCCAAGAGAGCTGAATATAGGTATTCAAAAAAAAATGTGCAGGTGAATGTTAAAAGCAACATTATCCACAATAGCCAAAAAGCAGAAAACAACCCAAATGTCCATCAATGGATGAATGGATAAACAAAATGTGGTCCATCTAGACAATGGAATATTATTTGGCCATAAAAAGGAATGAAACTCTGACACAATGTGACTGAACTTTGAAAACATCATGCTAAGTGAAAAAAAGTCAGACAAAAAGGCCACATATTGCATGATCCCATTTATATGAAATGCCAGAAGAGGCAAACCCAGAGACAGAAAGTAGAATAAGTGGCTGCTGGGAGGGTGGAGAGCAGAGTCAAGGAAAAGGCAGTGACTGCTAATGGGGACAAGGTTTCTTTTGGGGTGGGGGTGATGAAAATGTTCTAGAATTACAGGTGATGGTTGCACAATACTGTGAATGGGTTAAATGCCACTAAACAACACACTTTAAAAACGTTAAAACTGGTGAATATTCTACCATGTGAATTTTACATGCTTTTTTAAAGAGGTGAGAAAAGAAAACAAAAACAAAAATACTAATTCCAATAGCCATGAACCCCTCTAGAGCTACTAAAATACTAACAGGCAAAAGCAGGTTTGCTGTGACCCCAACAGCACAGAACTGGGTCCTTCAGTAAACATGCTCCTTTTATACAACAAGACCCCAAACAACCACACTGCCATCAGCCATCAGCCATCAGGGTAGGCAGCCTCTATGTCACCACCAACCACGAGTCCTACAGGACAACTGCAGGAGGCTGCAGCAAGCCCACTGTACACATGGGAACTCAGAACCATCTCCCAGCTAAAGATCCAATGCCTGGGAGTATGAGAATGTGGGACACATAAGGGAGAATTCACCAAGGAGGAGCCAAGGCAGAAAGAGGAAGTGGCCTCAGAGGGCTGGAATCACAAGAGTTACTACCAGCAGAGCCCCACCTCAGCCAGGCCTTATCACAGGCCCTACACTGCCTAAAATCCAAATAAAACAAAACTGCCATGGTGGCTTTTTTTTTTTTTTTTTTAAGGGACGAGGTCTCACTCTGTTGTCCAGGCTGGAGTGCAGAGCCACAATCATGACTCACTGCAGCCTCAACCTCCAGGGCTCAAGCAATCCTCCCACCTCAACTTCCTGAGTAGCTGGGACTAAAGGCACGCACCACCACACCTGGCTAATTTTTGTACTTTTTGTAGAGACGAGGTCTCGCCATGTTGCCTAGGGTGGTCTCAAATTCCTGGGCCCAAGAGATCCACATGCCTTGGCCTCCCAAAGTGCTGGGACCAACAGGCATCATACACGGTGGTTTTACACTAACACACTATTGGGGAAGTGCCACAGGCCTCAACGTCACAAGGTGTTTCACTCATTTATTTGTCCAAATACCTGCTTAAGTTTCTACTTAGGGATCAGGGACACCCTTGGGGTGCCAACAACGATAGGCCTCCTACTGGGAGCTGCCTCAGGAGCCCCAAGGAGAACACTGGAGTGGGGGGCACAGCAGGCACAGCACATACCGGAGAGAGGCAGGGTTGAAGTCCCTCACACACTGTTCGCTGGGTCCCTAGATCACAACTCTAAGCACTACTGTTCACGAAACAAGTCATGTGCAAGTCCAGCTAACCACCTACTTTATCCACTCGTGATGGGCTACGACTGCTGTGGATGGGCAATACCAATGGGGAGGGGAGAATGGTTTTCATCATAGAGTCAGGGTACTGGAGTGGTAGTCAGATGTGCCCCAGGTACTGAGCAGGGAGGCGACAGGAAGGAGGCCCAGAAGCTCATGCCCTTAGCTGTCCAGTCAAAGCCAGAAAGCCTGATTCACCCACAAGGGCCTCAGCTTCCTCACCTGTAAAATGGGAACAGCACCCACTTTATTGCTAACACTTCCTGAGGGCTCCACGAAGAGTAGCTGTGAGTGTTGTAATTACAGAAAATAAGAGTGTGTAAGAGAGGCTGTCTGGTGGGCTGACAGGCCACGGTCCCCTCTGGCAATTCCAGTCTCTGCTCATGGTTTTCTGCTTGAATTTAAACTACTCCCAAGTGGTCTCCTAAACTACCCCCAAGTGGCCTCTACCTCAGCTTTTATAAATGGCCATTTCCCCTCTTCTAGATGATCCAGTCACGAAGCTCCCTGAGAAAAGACCTGGGCCAAACCCAATTTTCACACTTTTCTTTAAGGAAAATTTCAAATCCACCCACAGAGTAGATAATGGTGTGATTAACTGCAGGTGCTTACCACCCAGGTCCACGGCCATCGGGGACCACCCTCGTGTCCTCCACATGCCGCTCCTTTCTCCTTCTCTCTCCCACTAGCTTCCACGAAGCAAATCCTATGAAACATGCATTTGTGCTAAAGGGGTCAGTATTTATCTCTACAGAACAAGCATGACCACAACACTATGATCCCACCTTTGATAATTTCACAATCTTCCGTCTTTGTTGGAGTCATATCTGGCTGGAATCCACAGGTCCCCTTACTGACACAATCGTATGCTCAAAGAGTTAGGATGCTTGCCCTGTTTCCCATTGTTGGTTTTGCAAATGGCGTCCCTGTGGCGTAAGTGCACATACCCCCAATTTCTCATGAACTAGACCTTGAGGCTTGGTGAGTGCGTGTCCCTGTGGAAGCACAGGACACTCTCCTTGGGGGCTAGCAGCTAGGGAGAATCACTGTCTGGACCTTACAGTCTGGAACCCCTCAATTCACTAGGTGACTGCAATAAACTTAAAATTCTGTCATTTCATATTAATTTGCTAAAACACATCAATAGCTGTGCTGCCCATTAGCCACATGTGGCTATTTAAATAGACAAAATTAAACTCCGTGTCCTCAGTCATGCTATGTTAAACGGCACGCAGGGCAGACGGTGTAGAGCATCCCTGTCACCCTAGGCAGTTCTGCGGGCCAGCACTGCCATGCGAGGGAACCTTGCCCTCGCCCACACTCTCGTTCCTGGAGTGTGCAGCCCACAGAGAAGATGCAGGAAAAATGCCTGTTGCTTTCCCTCTACCCATTTTTAAATGGGTAGCTAGCTCTCTAACTCCTACCAAAGGGGACCAGTGAGCTTCTTCCTTGTCCTTTAAGCACCAATAAGAAACTGTGGGTTTTTTTTTTTTTTTTTCAGCTTGGGGGGTCCTGCTACATTGCTCAGGCTAGACTCCAACTCCTGAGCTCAGGCAATCCTATGGCCTTGGCCTCCGGAACAGCTAGGATGGCAGGTGCGTATAACCACAGCCAGCTTAAACCCTTGGGTTTTTCTTTTTGTGAGACACAGTCTTACTCTGTTGCCCAGACTGGAGTGCAGTGGCGCGATCTTGGCTCACTGCAACTTTCCGCCTCCCAGGCTGAAGCAATTCTCCTGCCTCAGCCTCTCGAGTAGCTGGGATTACAGGCGTGCGTCACTATCACCCAGCTAATTTTTATATTTTCAGTAGAGACGGGGTTTCACCATATTGGCCAGGCTGGTCTTGAACTCCTGACCTCAAATGATCCACCTGCCTCAGCCTCCCGAAGTGCTGGGATTACAGGTGTGAGCCACGGCATCCAGCCAGCCTTGGATTTTTAACACATCTAACTCAGGGGCTCCTTGTTCTTGTTCACTCTCGCTTGCCCCATCTGTGCCAGCAGGGCCCCTGTGGGTCCTTCTGATACAACCCCAGTGTGTCTTACACAATTACCATGTTCCCAATGCAGAATGAGAATTAAGCGTTTTACTTAAAGTACTTCAGGTCTTGGCCAGGTGCAGTGGCTCACGCCTGTAATCCCAGCACTTTGGGAGGCTGAGGCTGGAGGATCACCTGAGGTTGGAGTTTGAGACCAGCCTGACCAACATGGAGAAACTCCATCTCTACTAAAAATACAAAATTAGCCAGGCATGGTGATGCTTGCCTGTAATCCCAGCCACTCAGGAGGCTGAGGCAGAAGAATCACTTGAACCCAGGAGGCAAAGGTTGTGGTGAGCCGAGATCGTGCCATTGCACTCCAGCCTGCGCAACAAGAGTGAAACTCTGTCTCAAAAAACAAAAACCAGGCCAGGCACGGTGGCTCACGCCTGTAATCCCAGCACTTTGGGAGGCCAAGGCGGGTGGATCACGAGGTCAGGAGATAGAGACCATCCTGGCTAACACGGTGAAACCCCGTCTCTACTAAAAATACAAAAAATTAGCCGGGCGTTGTGGCAGGCGCCTGTAGTCCCAGCTACTGTTGGGGAGGCTGAGGCAGGAGAATGGCATGAACCTGGGAGGCGGAGCTTGCAAGGAGCCGAAATCACGCCACTGCACTTCAGCCTAGGTGACAAAGCGAGACTCCGTCTTAAAACAAAAACAAAAACAAAAACAAACCCAAATTTAAAAATTTGCTGGACATGGTGGTGCATCTGTTGTCCCAGCTACTTGGGAGGCTGAGGTGGAAGGACTGCTGGAGGCTGCAGTGAGCTATGATCACACCACTGCACTCCAGCCTAGGTGGCAGAGCAAGACCCTGCCCAAAAATAAAAATAAAAATAAAAAAGCTAGTGCTTTGGGTTTTTATTGCATTTTCCTTTTGTGTGGAAAATTTTGGTTCTTAATGACATTACTTACTTATTTTCTCCTACAATATATAACAGGAATAATGCTAATATTGTTACCCTGAAACCAAAACCAGGATTCCAAAAAACAGCTGAAGATTTTAAGAAAGTTGTTTTTAGCCGGGCATGGTGGCGGGCGCCTGTAATCCCAACTACTCGGGAGGCTGAAGCAGGAGAATCACTTGAAACGTGAAGGCGGAGGTTGCAGTGAGCCGAGATCGCACCACTGCACTCCAGCCTGGGTGACAGAGTGAGGGGAGGGAAGGAACGGAAGGAAGGGAAGGAAAGAAGGAAGGGAAGGAAGGGAAGGAAGGGAAGGAAGGGAAGGAAGGGAAGGAAAGGAAGGAAAGGAAGGAAAGGGAAGGAAGAAAAGGAAGGAAAGGGAAGGAAGAAAAGGAAGGAAAGGGAAGGAAGGAAAGGAAGGGAAGGAAAGAAGGAAATAAATTTGTTTACCTTTATTGGGTATCTCGCTAAAACATTTACAGTCAAACTACGTTTTAAAGTTATCAGAAATAAGTTCTGAGAGGTTAAGTCACCAATGTGTGTTACAACTGACATGTACCTAGATTCATTCATTTTTGTCTTTGGTTTTTAAGGGATTGCTTCCCCTTCCACTGCCACCACTTGGCTTTTGTTTTATAATTATGTGAAGCACGTACATGATGCTACAAAGAAAGGACACGTGAAAAAGTCTCCCAGTGCCCTCTCCATCCCTTCTCCTGGAGGTGACAATGTGGTTCCTTTATGGTGTATAAAAATAAAATGAGTGGCTGGGCACGGTGGCTCACACTTGTTATCCCAGCACTTTGGGAGGCCAAGGTGGGCAGACCACGAGGTGAGGAGATCGAGACCATGGTGAAACCCCATCTCTACTAAAAATATAAAAAATTAGCAGGGCGTGGTGGCGGGCGCCTGTAGTCCCAGCTACTCGGGAGGCTGAGGCAGAAGAATGGCATGAACCTGGTAGGCGGAGATTGCAATGAGCTGAGATCGCGCCACTCCACTCCAGCCTGGGCGACAGAGCAAGACTCCATCTCAAAAAAAATAAATAAATAAAAATAAAAAATAAATAAAAATAAAAATAAAATGAGCAAATCCCCCCACCTTTCCTTAGATAAGTGACAGCACACTCCATCTCTTCTTCCTTTACATTGTTCTTTTTTCTGCTTGTCATTTCAACTAGAAATCCCATCACCACCACAAATGAAGACATCACCTACTCCTTCCTCCCTTCACTCAGGGGCTCAGGCACCACCCTGTAGGCAGAGCCACCACCACAAGTTGCCCAGTCTGAACACTGACACATCTAAGTCATTCCCAGCTTTGTTTGTTTCCGGAGTGTTGTAATGAACACAATCCTTGTAATCCTTCCTTATTTCTGACCATGTTTCGGATACATTTCCAGAAGTGGATTTGCTGGAGCAAAGAGTAAACACATGTCTTTTTGCTTTTTTGTGTTTTTTGTTTGTTTGTTTTTTGAGATACGGTCTCACTTTGTCACCCATGCTGGAGTGCAGTGGCGTGATCTTGGCTCACTGCAACCTCCGCCTCCTGGGTTCAAGCGATTCTCCTGCCTCAGCCTCCCCGGGTAACTGTGATTACAAGCGTGCATCACCACACCCAGCTAATTTTGTACTTTTAGTAAAGATGGGGTTTCACCATGTTGGCCATGCTGGTCTCGAACTCCTAACCTCAAATGACCCACCCGCTTCAGCCTCCCAAAGTGCTGGGATTACAGGAGTGAGCCACCGCACCTGACCACTTGTCCTTTTGCTAGATGTTGCAAATACCCCTGAGAGAAGTTGTGAATTCCAAAAGCAACTACCACGGCACTACCTGACTCCCATCACTAGAACAGTGTCTACTCCATGTGCTTGCCAACCCAGAAATGTCTTGGTGGTGCTCCAACGTGCAGGATTCTTATATTAGAAAGACTGAGCATCATTCACACCTTGGTCCAGGCCCATGTGCATTACCTGTCCTGTGATGCAATCTGTTTTTCTACAGTCACACCCATTTTTTGATCCTTAACACCCAGCACTAGGCAGTGCGTGCCTGCTTAACAAAGAGGACCTGACAGGCCAAATTCAAGGGCAGACACCAAGTCCATGAACAGGCAAGACTGCCCCTGTGCCCATAAGAATAAATGTACACACAAGTGGGAGTTGTGTGTAGACTGTGTGCCTCAGACATGGGAGGGAGCTGCTGGGCACATTGAGGGCCAGCCCTCCTCCGGCCCTGCTCCCTCCACTGTGCTCATGTGGTCCTGGGTGACAGGAATGGGGACACCCCAGCCAATCACAGTCCATAATTTCCACTTAAAGCAAGTGTGGGCTAGTGCTGAGTGAGACACACCCAAGAGTGGGTGAAACTTGCATTTTGTGGAGAAAACCTAAAATCTATCAATATGCTGGGCTGTCTTACACACCCACAACAAAAAGTGCACACAAGCTGACACATTTATAAGTCCTGAAGAAATAATTATTCGGGGGTGGCTTCCGCCTATTTGACCACTAAGTATCATGTGCCACGACTGTTTATAGACTGTCCTTTTCTATCAAGTCCCTTCAAGCACAGGCCAAAGGAAAACCTGGGGTGGCCTCTGGAAATTCCCTTCTGAACTCCCAAACTGACTGCCTGAATGCTATGGCTGGGTCTTCCCTGCTGGCTGGCAACAGAGAAGAGGGAGGTTTCCTCCATTCATTTATTCATTGAACAAGTACCTACTGCTCAGACCATGTGCTTCTGAGTTAAGAAAGGGCCAGGCAGAGGGGTGGGTACCCAGCCTGGGGCCTAGGAGAAACTACAGCCAGCCCTGCTGCCCTCAAACAATGCCCTGGGCTGCAGGACAAGAGGCAGTCACTCACTTCCCTGGGCTGGCTGTGGGTGCTTCCCCCTCAACAAAGGGGGTGAGCTCAAGCTGGGCACAGTGGCCCACACCTGGCAGTCCCAGCTATTTGGGAGACTGAGGTAGATCACTTGAGCCCAGGATGTTGAGGCTGCAGTGAGCCATGAACACACCACTGCACTCCAGCCTGGGTGACAGAGCGAGAGCCTATCTCCAAAAAGGAGGTGAGCCAACATGATGAGAGCCATGTGGCTTTGTGACTCTGAGTCCCTAGTCCTACCCTCTGTTTCTGTCAATGCCTGACATCCCCCAAATAGTAGTTACAGCACAACAGCACCAGGTAATAGGCTCTGACAAGTCTCAACTCTCTGTAGGAAACTGGCACAGACTTTGAGTCTGAACTTGTCTCCAAAGAGTTTGAGAGCCCTGTGTAAGTGTCAGGGAATGTAAAATAGTGCAGGCGCCATGGATAACAGTCTGGTAATTCCTGAAAAGAGATTAACAGAAAGTTACCATATGATCCAGTAACTGCACCCCTAAGTATATACTAAGAAGAACGCAACACAGGCATTCAAACAAAAGCTTGTACACGAATGTTAAAAGCAGCACTATTCACAATAACTAAAAAAGTAGAAACAACTCAAATGTCCATCAATGAATGAATGGATAAACAAAATGTGGTTCATCCATATAATGGAATATCATTCAGCCATAAAAAGGAAAGAAGCACTGATTCATGCTTACAATGTGGATGAACCACGCTAACAGAAGGCAGACGCAAAAGGCCACTTACACAAGTATAAGAGTCCATTTACAATAAATGTCCACAACAGGCAAATCAACAGAAAGTAGATTAGAGGTCATCAGTAGAAAGGGGAGGGGGAGATGAGGAGTGACTGCTAATGAGTATGCTGTTTCCTTTTGGGATAATGAAAATGTTCTGGAATTAAATAAAGGTGGTAATTGTGGAACTCTTGAATATATATAAAAAACTGAATTGCACACTTCAAATGGGTGAATTGTATGGTATGCAAATTATATCTCAAAAAATTTTTTTGAGTGTAATTTGCCTGTATGCCCAACACTTTGGGAGGCCAAAGCAGGAGAATCGCTTGAGCCCAAGAGTTCAAGACCAGCTTGGGCAACACAGCAAACTCCGTCTCTACAAAAAATACAAAAATTAGCTGGGTGTGGTTGCACACGCCTGTATTCCCAGCTATTCAGGAGCCTGAGGCGGGGAGGATCGCTTGAGCCCAGGAGTTTGAGGCTGCAGTGAGCTATGATCATGCCATTACACTCCAGCCTGGGTGACAGAGTGAGACCCTGTCTCAAAACATAAAAAATAAAAATATAAGTACCACGAAAGTTTCATTTTGTTTGGAGAACATTCTGGAAATGTTTTCCTGACAACAGAATTACCTGACTATGCCCATATTTTCTTGCCATATGAAGAGCTGAAACCTCACAAAACTGACCGCAACACTTGTTCTGTGCCATGGTCAGCAGAGCAGCCACATCTCACACTGCGTGACCGGCAAGATCCTGTTCGATGGGGCATGAATCCCTAGGCAAGTCACCTGCCAACTCTGGCCCATGTGTGTCCCCATCTATAAAACGGAGCAGCTGACCCAGGGGCTGCCTCCAAGTTCTAAGACATCTTTCAGTTCTGCGTTCTTCTCCAGGTAGGTAGCCTTGGGCCAAAACGTCGCTGACCAGGCTTGATGGTAACAGAGAAAATCCAAGGTACCCAGCAATGCCCTGGTACAGCTCTTGACAGTCTCTGCCTAAGAGCTCCACGCAGCGGGGGCAGCTTAGCTTTGCCATGAGGCACGAGGCAAGGTAAGGGCAACCAGCTCCAAGAACCAGTGTGGGGCCCTGGGCTTTGCGGTGAATAAGGAAAAAGTCTAACGGCATCTATCACTGCTGGGAAATCATGGGAATGGCCAGAGGGCAAAGGCCACTGGCCAGGATTATCCTCTGCCCCTGCCCCTCAGAGAGGACAGGCTCATCTTATTTAGACCTAGGGTTTTCAAATGAATGACCAATCAGAATGGTTTCTTTTTCCCTGAGGCCTGAAGGGACGGGCCAGGCAGCCCCATACAGACTGCACAGTGTGCGATCCCAGGGGGCCTGCCTCCCTCCATCTTCTCTAGGAGGTGGCTGAAGCAGCACTCACTTTAAAGTGTCCAAGAAGCTGACCGAAGCCTGCTGGATGCGTGGAACCTTCCTTCCACAGACACTACACCCCAAGCACTCACCTGGCTTCGGGGTATGGGGTGCTGGTCCTACCAGTTGGCCATGGCCACAGTGACATCAAAAGGCTACTTGAGACAATGTGCTGACCAACCTAAAGCAAAGGACAGAGAAAGAAACACTGTGTTTCCAAGCAAGGTTTCTGGAACATACTGGCATTTCTAAAATGTCTCTAACCCCTGGAATTACATAGCAAAATTTCAGATTTCCTGAGTTTTGCCTCAGCTACCTTCCACAATGGGGACAGTCGGAGGAAACAAATTTCTACTGATCTCTGAGGTATGAAACAATACAGTGCTAACCAATGAACGCCAACGTCCCAGACACTGTCTTCACCAATACAGATGGTGACATAAAAAGCAGTCACACGATGAAATACAATTATTTTTATCTTATGCCCAGACTGGAGTGAAGTGGCACGATCTCGGCTCACTGCAACCTCTGACCCCTGGGTTCACACGATTCTCCTGCCTCAGCCTCTCGAGTAGCTGGGACTACAGGCACCCACCACTATGCCCGGCTGATTTTTGTATTTTTAGTAGAGACGGGGTTTTGCCATGTTGGCCAGGCTGGTCTCAAACTCCTGACCTCAGGCGATACACCCACCTCGACCTCCCAAAGTGCTAGGATTACAGGCATGAGCCACCGTGCCCAGCCCAGGGTTTTTATTATAATAGTAATGACATTAAAAACAGAAACAGGCCAGGCACAGTGGCTCACGCCTGTAGTCCCAACACTTTGGGAGGCCAAGGCAGGAGGACTGCTTGAGCCTAGCAGTTTGAGACAAGCCCGGGCAACATGGTGAAACTCTGTCTCTACAAAAAAATACAAAAATTAGCCAGGTGTGGTGGCGTGTGCCTGTGGTCCCATCTACTTGGGAGGCTGAGGTGGGAGTATCACCTAAGCCAGGGAGGTTAAGGCTGCAGTGAGCCAAGATCCCACACCACTGCACTCCAACCTGGGCGACAGAGTGAGACCCTGTCTCAAAAAACAACCCAGAAACCTAGCATTTAATAGGTACTTAGGAGTATGTTCCAGGTACTATGCTCACACAGCATCTCTGAATCCCCAAGGCAACCGTAGAGGCAGGTTCCTGGATCATGCCCATTTTACAGATAAGGGATCTGATGTGTCTGATCTTCAGGAACTTGCCCAGGGTCACAGAGCACACAGGCAGCACGCAGGGCTCATTCTCCCAATGTAACCTCCTCACCATCATGTTGTCTGTCATGGACCCCAGGGAAACCAGCCACCATTCCTGGTGAAGGCAGTGCTAGGTTTACCCTCAAGATGAGGGCATGATGTGCCTGGGAATGAGCGGACTTCACCCTCCAGACCGAGAGGGCTTCACCTCCAAAACCAAAGGTCATGGTCATCCCCATGGGATGCTGTCCAGAGAGAAAGAGGCTGCCTGTCTTACAGACAGGAAAACTAATGCTCTACAATATTCAGGAACTTCTCTTCCAAGGTCATAGAGAAAATGCCTCGGACTTCCACTTCCGGTTTGTATCATCAGACGTCCAGGGCTATGGGCCAGAGGCTGAACCTTAGGAACCAGCCAAATCCCAGATTCCCAAGCAGTTCTGTCAGTTGTAGCTTGCCAAATAGTGTCAACATCACCTCTGTTGTCATTCTTTGCACCCACAGGACTACCAGGAGCTTGCTCTGATATGAAACCTTTATTTTTAAACTAGGTTCACGGCAATTCACAGCTGATGGATGGCGAGAAACACTCCCACAGGAGAACTTGCAAAAATAAGGATAGGGGACAACACCAGTGAACTCTATGGAAAGACCTTTAGGCACCTCCTAAATGAGGCACAGGGCTAGCTCCTCAGGAAGAACCCTTTCTGCCGCTCTTTTTAGCCCCATTCAAGCTGAGAAACCCAATGGGCAGCATTAGTCCTAACTATTTTGTATCTGCCAATCCAAGACCTCTCTGCCCCGAGGGTGGGAAGCCTCAGAAGCAGGTGTCCTGTGCTGTTCTGCTGCAGGATCAAGGTCTATATATAAAAAATCAGCTGTGTTTCTACACACAGGCACAAACCAATCAGAACTCAAAACCTGAAAAAAGTCATCTACATTAGCACAAAAAAGGTGAAATACTTAAGGATAAAGAAACTACAATGAAACAACAAGAAAAATGAAAGAAGGCCGGGCACAGTGGCTCATGCCTCTAATTACAGCACTTTGGGAGGCCATGGCAGGCAGATCAATTGAGCTCAGGAGTTCAAGGCCAGCCTGGCCAATATGGCAAAACCCCATCTCTACAAAAAAAATTTTTGAAAATTAGCTGGGTGTGGTGGCGTGCACCTGAGGTCCCAGCTACTTCTCAGGTTGAGGTGGGAGGATCACCTGAGCCCAGGAGGCTGCAGTGAGCCGTGACTGTGCCACTGCATTCCTGCCTGGGCAACAGAGCAAGACCTTGTCTCAAAAAAAGGGGGGGTATGGGGAGGTACTCCTTGCAGTAATAAATGAGAATAATTTTATTTTAGTGTTACACTTTTCATCAATTTCTGTTGTATGTTATACACTCTCTGAACATGTTTAAAAGATGTTTCTAAAGTTGTTGTTTGCATGAATCAATCACAATAGCCTCACTTGTGTAAAATACTGTTTTATCTCAAAACAAAAAAAAAGAAAACTGAAGTATATGAAGACATGTGTCTTGTTCATGGGTCAGAAGGTATCAATTCTCTCCCAAACTGATCTACAGATTCAATGCAATCTCAATCAAAAATTCCCAGCAGATGGTTTGAAGAAATGACAAACTGATTCCAAAATCTACACGGAAGTGCAACGGACCTAGAATAACGAAAACAACATGGAAAAACAGGCACAAATTTGGAGGACTTACCACAACTGATTTTGAGACTTAACATAAAGCTACATCAAGACAGTATGACATGGATACAAAGACAAGCAGACTGACAAAATAGATGCACGCATGTGGATCACTGAGACTTGACAAAGATCCAACTACCCTACTCTGCGTGAACACAAGATGCACAAGATCACATCTTCCTGGGGCAGGGGGGTGGTGGAGGAAAGTCAAATCACAACAAACAGTACATCGTACCTACAGTGCAACTGGCAAGAAGTCTTAAGGTAACTTCTTTCACACTCTACCACTGCTTTCAAAGCCAGCTTGTGGCAAATCCATTCTCCCAGCAATTAAAATTTGGAGTTGTCCCCTTGGGCAGACTCCACCCACCACCCAGTCACTCAGGAAAGCCTGTTGGTTCTGCCATTAAATATATCTGGAGCCCAACCACTCCTCACACCTCCACTGGCCACACTGTCCTCTACTGGGATGGAGGTCTCCAAACTATATTCTCTGCTTTCACTCGTGGACTCAAAGTTCACTCAGAGTGAAGCCCATCCTCTCCTAACCCCAGAGGCCCACACACTGCCTGCAGACCCAAGCATCCCATCCCCACTTCAGCCTGCTCACTCTGTTCCAGCCATACTGGCCTCCTGGCCGTGCCTCCAACACACTAGGACCCTCCCCACTTTGAGGTCTTTTTATGTTTTAAACAAAATCCTAGTTCTGTCATTTCATCTATCAATTAACTATTCAATCTGCATCCCGAATTGAAAACGACCTTTAAAAAACGACTGTCAGCCGAACACGGTAGCTCATGCCTGTAATCCCAGCACTTTGGGAGGCTGAGGCGGGGTGGATCACTTGAGGTCAGGGGTTCGAAACCATCCTGGCCAACATGGCGAAACCTCGTCTCTACTAAAAATACAAAATTAGCCGGGCATGATGGCATATGCCTGTAATCCCAGCCACTTGGGAGGGTGAGGCAGGAGAATCGCTTGAACCTGGGAGGCAGAGGTTGCAGTGAGCTGAAATTGAGCCACTGCACTCCAGCCTGGGCAACAAGAGCAAAACTCCATCTCAAAAAACAAAAACAAAAACAAAAACAAAACAAAACAAAAACCACTGTCAAGCACAGTGGCTCACGTCTGTAATCCCAGCATTTTGGGAAATGGAGGCAGGTAGATCACCTGAGATCAGGAGCTCAAGACCAGCCTGGACACCATGAAGAAACCCTGTCCCTATTAAAAATACAAAATTAGCCAACCGTGGTGGCACATGCTTGTAATCCCAGCTGCTCGGGAGGCTGAGGCACGAGAATCACTTGAACCCGGGAGATGGAGGTTGTGGTGAGCTGAGATCGCACCATTGCGCTCCAGCCTCAGCAACAAGAGTGAAACTCCATCTCAAAATAAATAAAAATAAAAAATTAACCCCTCCGTGTGATCCCCCACCACCCCTGCCTTTGCTCAAATGTCTCCTCACAGAGGCCCACCATCCCGACCCTGCTCCTCTTCTTCCACAGCACCACCCCTCCCACACTCCACACAACACAGCTACTGTGTTGCCGATGAACTTTCTCACCCAGCAATAACGTACACACCACAAGGGCAGGGGTATCTGCCTGATGCCCGATTTTAGTTCAAGCACCTACAACAGTGTCTGACACATAAGTGGTGCTTAGTAAATTTTTTTTTTTTTTTTTTTGAGACCAAGTCTTGGTCTGTTGCTCAGGCTGGAGTGCAGTGGTGCGATCTCGGCTCACTGCAACCTCTGCCTCCTGGGTTCAAACAATTCTCCTGCCTCAGCCTCCCGAGCAGCTGGGACTACAGGCACGCACCACCACGCCCAGCTAATTTTTATATTTTTATTAGAGACGGGGTTTCACCATACTGGCCACACTGGTCTTGAACTCCTTACGTTGTGTTCCACCTGCCTCAGCCTCCCGAAGTGCTGGGATTACAGGTGTGAGCCACCGCGCCCAGCCGCTTAATAAATATTTATTGAATGGACGAGCAGGGATAGTTTAACCCTGAAGGAGAAGGGGCCGATCTGAGGAGCCCACTGCAGGAGCCCTGCAATACAATCAGTGCAAGATTCACAGAGGAGGAAACCAAGCAGAAGACCACTCAGCATGATCACAACTAGCAGCATTTCTTGAAAATACACTGTAATCGCTTTCCACTAATCTATCATTTGGACTGTTTTGCCATCCACCCCGTACTGGCTGAGTTCAGAGAGCTTTTACTGTTTTTATCTCCAACCCATACATTTAAAGCAGTATCAAGTAACCCTTAAGTGCACAATTACCAGCTCATAAGAGACTCTTCCGCTCCCTTGATAAATCATTATGGTTTGGCTTTGACCTTGCACCTGGGTACTACACACACACACACACACACACACACACACACACACACACACCCCTACCATACAACCCACCCAAACACAAGGACTTCTCAAACTGAGGGAAGATCAGCCTTGGTGAGAAGGTAGCTATGGCAATTTACATGAAATCAAGTCACTGCACTTTGGGCAACAGAAGTCCTTTCTTGCCATTTTATCCTCTCAAGCTCAGGCTAGCGAGGTCCTTTTAATTTGAGGAAAGGACACATGGCCTGACACTGGCCACTACCTGGGGAACTCCGGTTCCATGGGGTTGCTGGGGTTGCGGCACCCATGGCTGGTACAGTGATGGTGTCTCTGCAGCTGTCAGCACCTGATCCGGAAGCATGGGCTCTACCAGGTGCCCCTAGGAAGCCCCGTTGTCCCTTCCCTGGGCCCAGACCCACTGACCTATCACCATCTGTAGTCACCAAAAACTTGTGCTGTCTCTAGAATTTTTCAACTAGTTCTGCATCCAAACACAGCTTGGCTCCAGTCCAATCCTGGGAACATGACATGGCCAACAACATCCAAGGTGAAACCCAACAACACCGTTCACCTTCTCCCGCCCCTCTCCTAGGTCCTGCACAAACTGAATGCCCCCTTCACAGGGTCACCCAGACCCTCTTTGCTAATGGTCCCATCAAACTTTCAATGTGGGGAAGTCCCCAGCTCAATCTGGAAAGAAAAAACTGAAGCAAGGCAACAGCAGATCATCCTGAGGAAGCCCAGAAGTCAGGCTGGTCTACCATGCGCTGGCTGGCTGGCTGGAGAAGAATTAGCAGGGGCCACAGATCCAGTTTTCCAGTCTGGGGTCAGCACACTACTGCCTGCCACCTTAGTAAATAATGTATTTCTGGGAAACAGCCATGTCAGTACTCAAGAACACACTGTCTATGGCTGTTTCCACCTTTAACAACAGAGACCATAAGGCCCAAATCCCAATACTGAGATTTGAAGGGGGATCAGGAGGAAACTGCCCAATGAGCTACTCAGTAAAAAGACAGAGGTAGCCCTAGCCACAGCAGCAAGCTGCCGCCAAGAAGTCAGGGGAGAGGCACATTGAGGAGGTGTTCAGGTCGGTCCCTGAGCAGTCCCCGCTCTCCCCAAGGCACAGAGCCCCATCAACCCTCTGTGGGGAAGAGTATGACTTGGCAGACTAGAGATGCGGAGAATCAGCCCCGGGAGGACCAAGACCCAATCGTGAGGTTGGCCACACAAGCCCATCCTTGGCAACCAGAGCTGGCACTGGAGGCCGGAGTTCCCACCTCTGCTCTCAAACTGAGCTTCCCATTAGGGTGACAGCCAGTACATGTTGTAGGCCCCTGGTCTGCCCCTGCCTGTCTCCTCCCTCAGCCATGGGAACCACAGCCTCCTTGAAGGAGGAGACAGGCAGGGGCAGGCCGGCAGCCTAAGGCATGTACTGGCTGTCTTCCACTTCCACCATCTTCTACTCCCCATAATAAACCAGACGGCCCTCCTTAATTTCCCAGGTCCACCCAGCGTCAGAGCACCTCACCACGGCCTTCAAGGCCCGGCCCACTTCAGCCGCAAGTGCGCTACGTGCATGTGAAGGAGCATACACGTTCCATGCTCCCGCTCCAACCACCTGGCCTCCTTTCAATTCCTCAGACCCAGCACGCCTGCCTACTCCCCGTGCCAGACCTTTGCACGCACCGTTCCCATGGCCAGGAGAGCCCCTCCTAGCTCCCACCCATCCTTTGGGTTCAAGCACCTGTTACTCAGGCAAGCTCTCCCCCCCAGCCCCTCACCATGGACCACGATGCTGGAACTTTTTGCTGAAACTTGCTACTTGAAATCGAGCATCCCACTTCCCAAAGGCTCCATGCTCCATGGACACAAGGCGCTTGCGCATCACCTCATCTAACACCCACGTGGGCACGGAGGAGGAGACTACAAAATGGGGACCTCCACGAGTTGTCAGGACCCAACCAAGAGGTTTCTACCACCGGCTGGAGGCAAAAAAAAAAAAAAAAACATACAAATGCTGTCTTTAATTAAAATAGTTAATCAGTGCCAGGAAGAAGCCACATGGAGATAGGCAAGACTACAGCCATGGGCACGGCACAGCCCCTGGGGTGAGTCCAGAGCTTCGGGGCGCGGCCAATGTCCCCCTCCTGCCCCACCCCTGGCATGCTATTTGGGGAGCTGTGGGGACCCTGTGTCTGAAGGGCTTCCCTCAGGCCACCACTGAGAATTGAGAGTTGCCCCAGTGTCAGTGGTGCCCACACTCTGCACTCCCCGTATCCTTTCTTATGGCAGAGGCTGTGTCCCACCCTAAAACCCCATTCACAGTTCTCATGCGGGTCCAGAGCCCTGCCCTCTGGTAAGCTCAGACTCCAGCACCACACCCCTCTCGCTCCCTGGCACTCCAGGCCTCCCTCCAAACCATCCCAAATGCTCACGAGCTTCCTCCTAGCACATTCTGCCCAGCCTGGCTCACCTGGCAGTTAAACAGTGGGCCCAATGCCCTCCCGGGGAGCCTGCCTGCCTGCGTGGAACCTACCTCAGGCCTCCAGACCATCCTGAGAACCCAGTGACAGGCCCTGGCACCAGGCAGCTTCTCAAACAGAAGCAACTACTTCTTTCTTTTATTATTATGATTAATGTTGTTCCTCAAAACATTGCTACCTCTATCTGGATGCTCCTCTTATTGTTTCCACCCAGGCTCCCAGCAGCTGCCTGGGCAGTGCATGCAGCAGTCCTAAACTGCCTATCGACCCCAGATCTTAAGTGCCCAGAAACCAAATGTCTACGTGCAGATGACACTGAGGCCTTAGGAAGTGTCTGAAACATTTAAGTGTTTAGTATTTCAGATGCCTGATGTATTGCAGTATTAAAGGACACCAGAAGAAAATGTCACAAGAACAAAAGAGGAAATGACTTCTCTAATACTGAGGATCTAGGAACTGGTCTCGAAATAAAAATAAAATAAAAATACCAACACACTGCTGTATTAAAGGAAACTCACTGACAAACAGATATAGGAAAATAAAAAATACCTTCGAGGCTGGGTACGGTGGCTCACACCTGTAGTCCCAGCACTTTGAGAGGCTGAGGCAGGTGGATCATGAGGTCAGGAGATCGAGTCCATCCTGGCCAACATGGTAAAACCCTAAAAATACTAAAAATGTCCCTATTAAAAATACAAAAATTAGCTGGGTGTGGTGACGCACGCCTGTAGTCGCAGCTACTCAGCAGGCTGAGGCAGGAGAATCGCTTGAACCTGGGAGGCGGAGGCTGCAGTGAGCCAAGATCATACCACTGCACTCCAGCCTGGCGACAGAATAAGACTCCATCTAAAAAGAAAAAAAGAAAGAAAGAAAGAAATACCTTCAATCCCCAAGCAATGCACGGGAACAGAGACCTCAGATGTTCCTGGACACTGTTTCTCCCTAAATCCCCTAAAGATTGCAGGGGTCCTAGGATGACCCCACCTGTCCAGGGACTGAAGAAAACCCATAGAATATCCGCACTCTAACATTGTGATCCCAAGATGATGTCATTAAGAGCCTTCTAGAACCACGTGCATTTTTTTAACCCCACCCCCACCCCCAGTACTTAGCACAAGCTAGGAAATGAGTGTGTGTGCCTTTGTCCCTTTGTCCCCAAGCTAATTCTGAGAGGACAGAATACATGTTGTCATAAAGGTATAGAATATTTCTGAATTCAGAAAGGTTCATTTTTTTATTGTGGTAAAACGTACACAAAATTTACATCTTAACCATTTTGAGTTCACAGTTCAGTGGCATTAGGTGCAGTCACACTGTTGTGCAACCATCATCCATCCATCTCCAGAACTTACCATCTTCCCCAGCTGAAACTCTATCCCCATTAAATACTCACTCTCATCTCTCTGCCCCCAACCCCTGGCAACCCCCCTTCTTCCTTCTGTCTTTAAGAATTTGAGAGTCTAGGAACCTCATATAGGTGCAATCATAAGTGTGTCTTTTTGAGCCTGACTTCTCTTACTCAGCATAATGTCCTCAAGGCAGAGCCACACACATCACATGCCAAAGCGTGTACAGAAAAAAAGCACATGAGCCTGGTATACCCATGGTGCCAAACAAAGCATGGTTCTGAAACTCTGCTCCCCAGCTCAGCCATGCCACTGACATGCTTCACTACCAACTAGTCCTTCCCTCCGCTTCTCAAATAAGCCGCATAAAGAAAGCACTGGAGGCCGGGGGCAGTGGCTCACGCCTGTAATCCCAGCACTTTGGGAGGTTGAGGCGGGTGGATCGCTTGCGGCCAGAAGTTCGAGACCTGCCTGTGCAACATGGTGAAACCCCATCTCCATTAAAAATACAAAAAAAATTTGCCAGGGGTAGGGGTGTGTGCCTGTAGTCTCAGCTACTCGGGAGGCTGAGGCACAAGAATCACTGGAACCCAGGAGGCGGAGGCTGCAGTGAGCCAAGATCGCATCTCTGTATTCCAGCCTGGGCAAAAGAGCAAGATTCTATCTCAAAAAAATAAAAATTAAATTAAAAAGCACTGGAAACACATGGAATGGTGAGGTAACAGCAGCGGCCACACATTATGTCATAGATGGACAAGTCTGCCGGCCTGATCCCAGCTCTTAGCTGCAGAAGAACAGTACCTCCCGGGGACTCTAGCCTTGTCTCACAGCCATAAGCCAAGGAATGCTTGTTGTGTGAATGGAGATGACTAGCTCATCTTGGGTACAAACTTCTCCTCTAAGTTTGTGGAATAGAAGCCAGAGACATCCCAAATACACTTCCTGGAGCACCCAAGCTAGACACACGAAGACTTATATGGACCCACGGCTGGGTATGAGCCCTGAGCTCCCATCACATCTAACTCTAGACAAGGGAAACTCCAGACAACCCACCCATAGTGCCCCTACTAATTAACATCATTAAAAAGAAAACCACTATGTCTGCAGGGGCCAGGTGCAGTGGTTCATGCCTGTAATCCCAGCACTTTGGGAGGCCGAGGTGGATGGATTGCGTGAGCTTACAAGTTCGAGACCAGCCTGGACAACATAGCAAAACACCATCCCTACAAAAAATACAAAAATTAGCCAGGCGTGGCGGAGCACCTGTAGTCCCAGCTACGCTAGAGGCTGACATGGGAAGATGCCTTAAGCCCAGGAGGTGGAGGATGCAGTGAGCAGACACTGAGCCACTGCAGTCCAGCCTGGGCGACAGAGCCAGACCTTGTCTAAAAAAAAAAAAAGAAAAGAAAAGAAAAAGAAAACCACTATGTCCCCTGTCAAGTTCTGAGCTCCAAGCCTGCCTATAATCCCTTGGGCCCATGGGAGTTGCTGCACTGGGGAGCTGTCTGCCAGGCCGGTGTGTGGCTGAGTCCACAGATGCTGGGTGAAAAACAAAATGCCCAGTGACCCCGCCTGAGGTACCCAACTGGAACAAGAGAGCGGGCATTTCTTTGCCAATCATTTCAGATTGGAAATGTGCAAAGCATGCTAATTATGGCTTGGTCAAGTGCTCCTGAATAGAGTAAGGGGAAAGGGGGTAAACAACTATCTGGTGCTCCCACCTCATTCACCTCTAAACAGGCCATCTCCTTTGCACATGCACCTGTGTGACCTGTGACCACAAAGCACAGAGTCCTCTTGGGATGACTCTAATAAAGGGGAGGGGAGGGAACAGCCGAATGGCCAGGACCAGTCAAAATAAAAAAATTTGGGAGGATCCCAAAAGGCTCCATCTGGCAGAAGACACTGCCTCCATCATAGGAGAATGCACACAGAAGGTTCTAATGACAGCCAGCCTTGTCCCCAACAAATTGCCACCCAAATAGCCTCCCCACACTGCAATATTTCAACTAATTGTATTACCTTTACGGTCAGTGGCTGGGTTTTGTTCACTTAATGCCAAGAAATAAAACCTCCAGTTATTCTATTCTTATGGCAAGTTTTCTCAAGTTTGGGTTTTTTTTTTTTTTTTATTGTTGCACAGGCTAGTCTTGAACTCTTGGCCTCAAGCAATCCTCCTACTTTGGCCTCCAAAAGGGCTGGGATTATAGGTGTCAATGACTGCACCACACCTTTTTTATTTTTTGTAGAGATGGGATCTCACTATGTTGCCCAGGATGGTCTCAAACTCCTAGCTTCAAGTAATCATCCTGCCTCAGCCTCCCAAAGTGCTGGGATTACAGGCACAAGCCACCACACCCAGCTCAAGTTTGTTTTTCAAGCAGGAACAACACCTAACCTGTCATATGGGCAACCTCCTGGAAAGGTGAGGATGCTTCCTTCACCAATGCACAGCACAGTCGCTGCCTCTGAGGCCCCAGACCCCAACCACAGGTGTGTCACATGGTCAAAAGTAAAGCGCCAGGCCAGGCATGATGGCTCATGCCTGTAATCCCAGCATTTTGGGAGGCCGAGGCAGGAGGATCACTTGAGGCCAGGAGTTCGAGACCAGCCTGAGCAACAGAGAGAGACCCCCATCTCTACAAAAAATTTAAAAACTCAGTGGAGGTCAGGCGCAGTGTCTCACACCTGTAATCCCAGCGCTTTGGGAGGCTGAGGGGGGCAGACCTCTTGATCTCAGGAGTTCAAGACCAGCCTGGGCAAAATAGCAAAACTCCGTCTTTACAAAAAATACAAAAATTAGCTGGGCATGCTGGCTCATGCCTATGGTCACAGCTACTCAGGACGCTGAAGCAGGAGAATCACTTGAGCCTGGGAGGTGGAGGATACAGTGAGCCAATATCACGCCACTGCACTCTAGCCTGGACGACAGAGCAAGACCCTGTATCAAAAACAACAACAAAAACTTACAAAGCCACATGCAGTGGCTCATGCCTGTAATCCCAGCCCTTTGGGACGCTGAGGTGGGAGGATCACTTGAGCCCAAGAGTTTAAGACCAGCCCTAGAAAACAGTGAGACCCTGTTTCTATAAAAAATTTAAAAACTAGCTGGGTGTGGTGGTGCATACCTGTAGTCCCAAGTTACTCGGGAGGCTGAGGTGGAAGGATCACTTGAGCCCTGGAGTTTAAATGTTACAGTGACCCATGATCATGCAACTACACTCCAGCCAGGATGACAGAGCAAGACACTGTTTCTTAAAAGAAAAGAACATAAAGGTAGTTTCTAGGATACCATAGGGTCCACCTAGATCCGAATCCAGAGTGGCTGGGGAACAACTGGCCAAGCAGCAAGGTCAGTGCTGTCCACCCACAACCTTCCAGACACCTCCAAGTCCAGTTTAGGGCAAGTGGGAGGGCCTGGCAGACCTCAAGCCCCCACACTTCGCATTCATTCTGCCCACGCCATCCCCAACCCCCTCTACAACAAAGAATTCTAGAAATCCACCAAGCTTCCTTTGCTAAGAGGCAGAATTCAATTTCTCTGACCATCAGCTGCCAAATCAAACAGTCAATTCGGTAAATTCTCAGACTTGGCTGGAACCATCCACTAACCACGCCATGGCACCAATGGCCCTGGCTAAGGCCACGTGGTCAGCTCAGGGGGGCATTCAGCCCAGGATTCTCAGGGCCTTGCCCAAGAACCAGGCCAACAAGCTGGTTCTTAGTCCCAGAAGCTTCATCACTGCGGCAAACTGATGACGCACCACAGCCATCACAAAAATCATGTGATGACTGAAATGCTGCAAAGTATAAATGAAGAAACTATAACAATGGCAAAATCTATCAGCAAATCTCAGCCGCCACCGCATACGCCAATTAAGAGAGAAATAGGCCAAGTGTGGTGGCTCATGCCTGTAACCTCAGCACTTTGGGAGACAGACAGGAGGACTGCTTTGAGCCCAGGCGTTTGAGACCAGCCTAGGCAATACAATGGGACTCTGTCTCTACAAAATATTTTCAAATTAGCTGGGAGTGGTGGTGCGCACCTGCAATCCCAGCCACTCGGGAGGTTGAGGTGGGAAGATCACTTGAGTCCAGGAAGTCAAGGCTCCAGTGAGCCATTTTTGTGCCACTGCACGCCAGCCTGGATGACAGAACGAAATCCTAACTCAAAAACAAACAAAAGGCCGGGCGCAGTGGCTCACGCCTGTAATCCCAGCACTTCAGGAGGCCGAGGCGGGCAGATCATGAGTTCAGGAGATCGAGACCATCCTGGCTAAAACGGTGAAACCCTGTCTCTACTAAAAATACAAAAAATTAGCCGGGCGTGGTGGTGGGCGCCTGTAGTCCCAGCTACTTGGGAGGCTGAGGCAGAAGAGTGGCATGAACCCGGGAGGCGGAGCTTGCAGTGAGCCAAGATCGCGTCACTGCACTCCAGCCTGGGTGACAGAGCCAGACTCCATCTCAAAAAAAAAAAAACAACAAAAACAAAAAGAATAGAGAAATGCAAGGCTGTACACATACTCCACACCTCCTTGACAATGTATAGTATCAGACAATAAAAGTATGATTGGAAGATGCAAGAAGAGCAAGGGCTCCTCAGAGTGTTTCACAGAACTGTCAACTGTCCTCACCACTATCCCCAGCCCTTACAGGATAAACTGAGGCCAAGATGGAGGAAGCAATGCCTCCCTGAAGTCTTAGATGTCACAGAAGGGACACCGAGGCTTGGGGAAAGCAGGTGCCAGGTGGACGTGGGGCTCTGCCAGCTAGGAGGAGTTCTGCTTGTGTGGCCCAACAGCCAGCTTCCAGGGAGCAAGCAGAGAGAAAAACTGTGCTGGTGGGGGCTGGCACCTGGGGAACCCTGCTCCAAGAGGAGCCAGATAGCAAAGGCCAAACCGCCTGCCTCCTGCGGTGGGAAGCAAGCAATCCCAGAGCCTTGAAATATGCTTGCTGTTTCTGCCTCAAATGGCGTTTTCCTTGCTGGGAAGAGGCTTCAGTATGAAAATGCTGATATGTTATAAAGAACAATGTAAATTTCACTAGAATCACTGCCTAAAAATAAGAAGGTCT
Source organism: Homo sapiens (assembly GCF_000001405.40). Taxonomy (NCBI): domain Eukaryota; kingdom Metazoa; phylum Chordata; class Mammalia; order Primates; family Hominidae; genus Homo; species Homo sapiens. The sequence goes on along the minus strand of NC_000019.10, from coordinate 19,422,122 downwards.
GGCTGGGTGCAGTGGCTCACGCCTGTAATCCCAGCACTTTGGGAGGCCAAGGAGGACAGATCACCTGAAGTTAGGAGTTCGAAATCAGCCTAGCCAACATGGTGAAACCCTAGTCTTTACCAAAAATACAAAAATTAGCTGGGCATGGTGGTGGGAGCCTGTAATCCCAGCTACGTGGGAGGCTGGGGCAGGAGAACTGCTTGAACCCAGGGGGTGGAGGTTGCAGTGAGCCAAGATTGCACCACTGCACACTCCCAGCCTGGGCAACAGAGTGAGACTCTGTCTCAAAAAAGAAGAAAAAAAAAAAAGAGAGAGAAGGTCTGAAGAAATCTGTCAGACTACACAGCCTTAGGCTAGGTCCTCAGCAGACTTTACCTGCATCACCCCCAGAGTAAGACGGGGCCCCACAAGAGGCTGAACTCTGCCACACAGAGCCCATGTCCAACACGGACTAGGATGTCTTTCTTCCCTCGCACACAGTAGAGTGGCTGCACACATCAGGCTTCATGTCAGCAGGCAGGCAAACAAACACAGGGCCGGGACACACTCCACCCTCCACAATTCTAAGCCGTTGGTCCTTGAGAACCCAGCCATCCAACCCAGAGAAGCGCGCTGCTCTCAGTGTGGTCAGGGTCCCAAGTCAACCACAAAGTGTCACTGAAGCACAGCGCTGCCTAGACAACCCAACCTACATGCAAGACATGCCCTGGGAAACTGGTATGGACAGGCGAAGGGACAGTACAGGCCAGAAGGGGTGAGGAGGGGCAGGGCCATAGGGGCAGGGGCGTTAGTTCACTCATCCATTCAACTGGCTTTCACTGGGCCAGCCTTCTCTTCCTCCAAGGAGGCCTACTGCCCTCACCTCCCTGGCCCTCCCTCCCTCTATCTCAAGCCACCTCAAGCAGATCCAGACCCTACCTAACCCCTATGCCAGCACTAACATGCAGCCAAGCCAGGCCCTGCTTGTCTCTGTCCCCAGAATGGGACTGCTCGTGCATCCTCACAGTCCAGGCCTCCCCCATTGTCCGTCGGGCATTGCTGAGGCAGGATGGGGAGGACCTGACCCTCAACGGAGAAAGTTACCGCTAGGCACCTGGATTCAAACTGCTAGAGAAAAGCGCACTTCTGAAAACTTTGGGGACACCAAGAGAATCATCTCTAATATGTTGACAAGAGGTTTTGTTACTGAAAGAGGAAACAGTGGCTAACAATTACTGAATTCTTTATTTGGTGCCAGGCAATGTGCCAACACGTTACATGCCTGATTTCATTTAATCCTCATAACCACAGAACGAGGTACTGTCATCATACCAACACTCATACGAGGGACTGTCATCATACCCACACTCACACGAGGGACTGTCATCGTACCCACACTTCACACGATGGAACCCACACTGTTATCAGCACTTCATGCAAGGGACTACCGCCGATATCCACACCTGACAGAAGAGAAAACCGAGGTTAAAAAAAGTCAAGATGGGGCTGGTCGCGGTGGCTCACACCTGTAATCCCAGCACTTTCGGAGGCCAAGGCGGGCGGATCACGAGGTCAGGAGATCGAGATCAGCCTGGCTAACACAGTGAAACCCCATCTCTACTAAAAATACCAAAAAAAAAAAAAATTGGCCAGGCGTGGTGGCGGGCGCCTGTAGTCCCAGCTACTTGGGAGGCTGAGGCAGGAGAATGGCGGGAACCTGGGAGGCAGAGCTTCCAGTGAGCCGAGATCGCGCCACTGCACTCCAGCCTGGGTGACAGAGCGAGACCCCGTATCAAAAAAAAAAAAAAAAAAGTCAAGATGGGCTGGGCGCGACGGCTCTCGCCTGTAATCCCAGCACTTTGGGAGGCCGAGGCGGGCGGATCACCTGAGGTCAGGAGTTCGAGACCAGCCTGGCCAACATGGTGAAACCCCGTCTCTACTTAAAAAAAAAAAAAAAAAAAAAAAACTAGCTGGATATAGTGGTGCGTGCCTATAATCCCAGCTACTCAGGGGGCTGAGACAGGAGAATCGCTTGAACCTGGGAAGTAGAGGTTGCAGTGAGCTGAGATCACACCACTGCACTCCAGCCTGGGTGACAGAGTGAGACTCTGTCTCAAAAAAAAAAAAAAAAAAAAAAAGTCAAGATGGTTGCCCAAGGTCACACACTTAATAAGTCAGATGGGAATCCAGACCCAGGTCAGCCACCTCCTAGGCCCAGGCTCAAACCTGAACCGCTGTACCATTGAGAACAATCTGATTGAGACGGTCCTAGGACTGGATCCTTCCCAAGGCTCTGGGAAAACTTCCTCTACCAAAGATGTAGGTAGGCATCATCCAGGGCGGTGACTTACACCTGTCTCAGCACTTTGGGAGGCCAAGGCAGGCGGATCACCTGAGGTCAGGAGTTCAAGACCAGCCTGGCCAACATGGCAAAACCCCATCTCTACTAAAATACAAAAATTAGCTGGGCATGGTGGCTTGTGCCTGTAATCCCAGCTATTCGAGCAGCTGAGGCACAACAATCACCTGAACCTGGGAGGCGGAGGCTGCAGTGAACTGAGATTGCACCACTGCACTCCAGCCTGGGTGACAGAACAAGACTCCATCTTAAAAAAAAAAAAAAAAAAAAAAAAGATGTAGAGATCATTACAGACCCAGGATTCCTCTATTCCTCTAAGTGCACGTTAACCTAACCCTCTACTGAATTGCTAGAAACTCCCAGGACTGAGCCCAGCTGTAGAAGGCATGGAAACCCTCAGAGTTCCATGGGCAGGAACAGCCACCTGGCCTCTGAGTCCCTGTCTGCCAGTGTACGAGATGCAGGAAGGGGCTGGAAGGATCGACAAATACTACCCGGCCTGGGTCATAAACTAGGACCAATTCTCATCTTCATTTTCATTGTGACACACATGCATGCCAACTACATGCTTAGGGCACCACAGGAGCAAGCCAGGGTCCCTCGACAGGGAGTGTGTGCAGACATCCCTTCCTCCTTCCACCGAGTGCTCACACATGTGAGGCAATGAGCAGAGCAGGCACAGACCAGGGGGAGGGGACGGGTTCCCTGGCCACTGAATTCAAGGATGGTGGAGGGTACAGGCCCTGAGAGACAGCCCAGGCCCAGCTAGGAGGCCTTTTGGAGTGGGCAGTAGCCAGAGTACATCCCAGCCCACTCCCACCTAACTCATCTGATACTTCACTTCCACCCCAAAATGACCCTGTTTGGGTCTTGGTGATTACTAGTCAGATACCAAGTCATTTTTACCCAAGTGGCAAATCCCCAGGGCTCTTTTCCTTCCGGCGACCACAACCCCTCCCCACTCTCAAAACCAGTGTCACAGCGGGACACCCACCTGTCTTCTCCCCCAAACTCTGCCAAAAGAGCTAGAATCTGAAAACATTTGAGCAGTGCATGAAACAAGGAAACTTCCTAAAACCAGCAAGCAGCAGCTGTTAGAATAATTCATGTGGTTGTTTCAGAGACGTGTCTTAATCGCTCTGGGTCTTTCTGGAAAAGTGTCCAAAACCTCAAGCTGGAAAATCCTCAGAAATCTAGAAAATGTGGGTTCCCAACCAGCTCCCAGGGCTCTGGGTTCACACTGAGCCTCTTCCCGATACCTCCAACTGCTACAAAGATCTTTCTCAGGCTAAGTCAAGTCTGTGTTCCTCGAACTTCCATCCATCTGCTGCTATTTCATTCATAGGAACAGAGCAGAACAAACTTTTCCAATGTATGGAGATGGTCCCTTGGATATTTCATTCTTTCAACTATTACTTGTCACACTTTCACCTAACACAAAGCACTACAGTTTGGAGAGGGGGACACACGAGGACGGATCAAATTCTACACCTGCCCCTGGAGCTGGCCAGTCAGATGGGGTCAGAGAGCCATGCTCTCTTCATTCATGAAGGTCCTGATGGTCACATGGGGCCTCCACACCTCACCCACTGCATCCTCGGCCATCACAGCTGACAATGACTGCCCAGGGCCAATACCCAGCTGTCCCAGAGCACCCTCCAGGACCTAGCTCACTACCCCTAAAACCAAAGATCCACAATCTGAGGGCCTATGTCACCCTCCAGTCGTCATTCAGCTGCCACTGCTACGACACCGCTCCTGCCCGCCCTTTAGCTGAGTGCCCCAGATGTCTGCATCATGACACCCTGCCCTGTTTCCCCCACGAGGCTCTAAGACCCCGGAAGGCAGGAATCTCCCTCACAACCAGACACCCCTGGGGCTCAGCACTGGTCGAGCAGGGAAGGCACTCCAACAGTTGTCAAACAGATGAACTGTCCTCAGCCCTTGGTATCCAGTTAATCCCTACCCAATCTTCCTGCAGTGTCTCTGGCACCTGTCCCTGCTTTTTATTCCGTCAGGCAAATCCAAGGCCATATTAGCTCATGCCTGCCTTTTATCAATGGCCTTTCTTCTGCCCAATTCAAGTCGATATTGTCATGCTCAGAAACCTCTGAGGGCTCTCCATATTTTGAGAGTGAAGTATGAACAGTCTCCTGTTTCAGGACATCAACAATAACCACAGCAACCTGTGCTTTCGCCCTTAGTTCCCAGTATGACTTTCCATAAATCCTGAGGTCCAGGAGGGTGAATGGCCAACTCCACCCCCCGCACCCAACACTCCTCTAGTGCAGCGTGCAGAGGAACCCCTTCTCCACAGGAGCTGTGGATACCCTGAGACTGAGAGAGCCAAGAAAAATCATCTCTCTTCTCAGAATAGTGGGTGGGGGGGTAATCAGATGCCCCATCTTTTTCAGCTTCTGCCATGTAGTAAGAATTCTAAGTGTGGAAGACACTGGAGTAAGATGAGGCTATTCTCAGCCTAAGGAGCTGGTCAAGGGCAGGGGCCACTTACCCACAAGGACGTCTGCACCCCTGTCACTCATCCCAGCCCACCAACTAAGAAGCTCTGCTTAGAGAATCCTACAGCCAGCAACACATCTCCTACACCAGTCACTTCACTGTGTGGTGATGCAAAGCCCAGCTGCATTTCATTCCACAGGGTATCTGCCGAAGCAGCTTAAGCTCTAAAATGTCAACGGATTAACTTTAAAAAATAAGTTTTAGGCCGGGCACGGTGGCTCACACCTGTAATCCCAGCACTTTGGGAGGCCGAGGCAGGCAGATTACCAGAGGTCAGAAGTTCGAGACCAGCCTGGCCAACATGGTGAAACCCTGTCTCTACTAAAAATACAAAAATTAGCCAGGCATGGTGGTGCATGCCTGTAATCCCAGCTACTTGGGAGGTTGAGGCAGGAGAATCGCTTGGACCCTGGAGACAAGGTTGCAGTGAGCCAAGATAGAGCCATTGCACTCTGGCCTGGGCAACAAGAGCGAAACTCCGCCTCAAAACAAAAAAAAAGTTTAAAAAAAAAAACAACCAAGAGTAGTTTACAAACTCAGAAGACTGGCTAAACAGCTCAAAACTACTCCAATTTTTCCAAGCAATTTAAGTATTCTTTTCCCTAATGCAATAAACCAAGGCAACAGAGTAGAGCAGCTCCCTTCATCTTAAACTTCATAGAAGGTGAGTGTAAGATTCTGAGCTGCTCACTCAATGCTGAGCTCCTTCCCCAGGTAGCCACTGTCCACTTCTGCTGCCTTTTGCAATAGGGTCACCTGATCTCATCTCTGGAAAGTAAGAGTAACCCCCTCTGTATTTCCCAAGGGAGTGAGCAAGCCTGCCTGGTGCCAGCATCAGGAAAGGCCTTCAGTCCAGTCTTGAGCCAAGATCCTGGGGCCTTCCGGAACCTGCCACCACCCCCACCCCAAATCATCTCTCATCTGAACAAAACATGTTCAATTTCCTTAACCAGGTCTCATCCAGCATCCTTGGCAGTGTTAAGGCCCTCGCTCTTGCCCGGGACTAACACAGTCAACCACTGGAGCCCAGTGCAGGACCTGATATTTAGTTGGCTCCTCCCATTTCCATGTGCTCCTTTTTTGTATCTTTAAATGGTCACCCACATATCACTTGAAGGATGTCTACAAATTAAGTGCAATTACATCTTATAATAGATGGGGACCTGTAATCCCAGTGCTTTAGGAGACTAAGGTGGGAGGATGGCTTAAGTCCAGGAGGTCGAGGCTATAGTGATTGTGATCATGAGCCTCTGCACTCTAGCCTGGGTGACAGAGCAAAACCATGTCTCTTGGGGGGGAAAAAAAACCATACAGGGAAAAGTAGTTTTATGCTCTTAAAATGTAAAGTCGGCCGGGCGTGGTGGCTCATGCCTGCAATTCCAACTTTGGGGGAGGCCAAGGTGGGTGGATCACGAGGTCAAGGGATCAAGACCATCCTGGCCAACATGGTGATACCCTGTCTCTACCAAAAATACAAAAATTAGCTAGGCGTGGTGGCATGTGCCTGTAGTCCCAGCTACTTGGGAGGCTGAGGCAGGAGAATTGCTTGAACCGAGGAAGCAGAAGTTGCAGTGAGCCAAGAACATGCCACTGCCCTCCAGCCTGGTGACAAAGTGAGACTGTCTCAAAAAAAAAAAAAAAAAAAATATTAGCCCGGCATGGTGGCGCACGCCTGTAATCGCAGCTACTTGGGAGGCTGGGGCAGGAGAATCGCTTGAATCTGGGAAGCGGAGGTTACAGTGAGCCAAGATTGTGCCACTGCATTCCAGCCTGGGCAACAGAGTGAGACTCCATCTCCAAAAAAAAAAAAGGCTGGGCGTGGTGGCTCACGTCTGTAATCCCAGGGCTTTGGGAGGCCAAAGCGGGCAGATCACCTGAAGTCGCGAGTTCAAGACCAGCCTGACCAACATGGAGAAGAAACCCTGTCTCTACTAAAAATACAAAATTAGCTGGGTATGGTGACACATGCCTGTAATCCCAGCTACTCGGGAAGCTGAGGCAGGTGAATTGTTTGAACCCAGGAGGCGGAGGTTGCAGTGAGCTGAGATCATGCCATTGCACTCTAGCCTGGGCAACAAGAGCAAAACTCCGTCTAAAAAACATAAAAAAAAAAAAAGTAAAGACATCACCTACTCAACACTACTACAGTTTTTTGGGGTTTTTTTGGGGGGAGGGGGGCGGGGGCAGGTCTCACTATGTTGTCCAGGCCAATCTCAAACTCCTAGCCTCAAGCAATCCTCCCACCTCAGCCTCCCAAAGAGCTAAGGTTACCTGAGCCACTACACTTGGCCACTATAGTTTTTTTTTAAGGCTGCCCTGAGAAACCAGAGGCAGCCCTAAGTTCTCCCTCCCCATGTCCTGCCCCATCCTCACCCTACAGACACCCAAAATGACCTCAGGACTCAAAAAAAAAAAAAAAAAAAAAAAGGGGGCAGGGTGTGGTGGCTCACACCTGTAATCCTAGCACTTTGGGAGGCCAAGGTGGGCAAATCACTTGAGGCCAGGAGTTCAAGACCAGCTTGGCCAACATGGTAAAACCCCATCTCTACAAAAAAAAAAAAAGAGCTGGGCGTGGTGGCGTGCGCCTGTAATCCCAGCTACTTGGGAGGATGAGGCACAAGAATCGCTTGAACCGTGATGCAGAGGTTGCAGTGAGCCGAGATTGCACCACTGCCCTCCAGACTGGACAATGGAGCAAGACTCTGTTTCAAAAAAAAAAAAAAAAAAAAAAAAAGACAAGGCCCTGAGGAAGGAAACTGACCAATGGACCTACATAAATAAAGTAAGAAGGAAGCTAAAACAAAATTCACCAAGCCACAAAGACATCAGTAAGAACAACAGAGATCTGAAAGTCTAATTCCAGGAGAAAACAGGGATATATCCTCATTCCTTCTGCAAGTCAACCTTGGGCAGGCCACTCCTCCTCCGCTTGAGCCTCAGTTTCCTGTTTGTGCCCAGTGTTGGGTTCAGCAGAGCACAGTACACAGAAGAAAGTCCCAGGTAGAATCCTCAGTTTGTCTGCTACCCAACTCCCAAAAATAGTTATATTTCTAATCCTATAACCTGACAGATACAAACTAACAATAAGACTGCAATTACATTTGAACCTATACTCAGTATATGTTAATATACTTGCCCAAGAAAACTTCAAAAGCAGACCAGGCAACTCCTACCACCAACATCTGAGGCTCCCACCCCCTCCCCAGACTTCGGCATCAGGAAATGTTGCTTGTACAGTCAGAAAAGAGACAACAACAAAAAGACTCAACACTAAAAACTTGACCAAAAGTTTGGGGAAGGGAGGCAGGAGACAGATGGCCCACATACAAACTACCGAGGTCAGTTCATCAAACGAACGTATTAATAAAAACATCAAACACAGCCAGGCACGGTGGTTTACACCTGTAATCCCAGTACTTTGGGAGGCCAAGGTGGGTGGATCATCTGAGGTCAGGAGTTCGAGACCAGCCTGACCAACATGACGAAACCCCATCTCTACTAAAAATACAAAAATTAGCCAGGCAAAGTTATGGGTGTCTGTAATCCTAACTACTCGGGAGGCTGAGGCAGGAGAATCGCTTGAACCCAGGAGGCGGAGGTTCAAGCAGTGAGCCGAGATTGCGCCACTGCACTCCAGCCTGAGCGACAGAGTGAGACTCCATCTCAAAAAAACAAAAACAAAAACACCAAACACACCAGCAAACTCTCCCTGGGTTAGAGTGGCTATAAGAGAACCCTAGGAAAGGAGCTGACTACAGAATCCTCTGAAAGAACCACCACTGAACGGGGTGGGCATGAACCCTCGGCAAACCCAGGGACACTACATGAGAAGACAGAAAATGAAGTTCAGGTGTTCCGTCAATGATACGCAAGTCCTGAGAACAGCACAGGTCTCGAGAGTGACGGAACCAATTCAATCGATGCCTTCAAACCAAGAATTCAGTTCACCACTCTCCTACTTTCTCCAGCCACACTTGAGCAACAAGGAAAAATGTTCCTCTGCGGATGTGAACGAAGGTGGTAGCAGCAGTTTTCAAAACTTGCTGGCAGAGTGAGCCTGTGCTAAACACACAAGAGAACTAAAAATCTGCTGTCACTACCACCAAATTCCACCAACTTGAAACCCCAGCAACAAGAAGACAGATGCTCCTCAACTTATGATGGGTTTATTAGAATGCAGCCCCACTGGGAGTAGAAAATATCAAATGCATTTAACACAGCCACTGGTCCCATTTTACAATTATTCGACTTAAAATTTCTCAACTTTACCATGGTACGAAAGGGATCTGTGTTCAGGAGAAACTGTTACAAATCAAAGGGAGCTCCTCGACTTACAATGGGGTTACCTCTGATAAACCCAACATAAAGTTGAAAAATTTTAAGTCAATCCATCGTAAATTGGAGGCCTACTTTACTGGCCTAAAACCTGCCCACCTCCGAGGTCAGGGCAAGCAGCCGTCTCTAAGGTAAGAATGTGTTGAGTATAGATTCACAGCCACTGACTCAAAGGTTAATTGCACAGAATGGCTGTGACTGGAGAAAATGTTAAGTTGGTATTATTTGTAGAGTTAGGGCCACAGGGTTTTTCACATCCCTTCCAGATAATCTGATCAGACCTTTTTTATCCCCCCCGCAGACAGAGTCTCACTCTGTCGCCCAGGCTGGAGTGCAATGGCATGATCTCCTCTCACTGCAGCTTCAACCTCCCAGGCTCAACCGATCCTCCCATCTCAGCCTCGCAAGTAGCAGGGCCTACAGATGCATGCCACCACACCTGGCTAATTTTTTTTTTTTTAAGAGATGGGGAATCGGCCGGGCACGGTGGCTCACGCCTGTAATGCCAGCACTTTGGGAGGCCGAGGCAGGTGGATCACAAGGTCAAGAAATCAAGACCATCCTGGCCAACATGGTGAAACCCCGTCTCTACTAAATATACAAAAAATTAGCCGGGTGTGGTGGCGGGCACCTGTAGTCCCAGCTACTTGGGAGGCTGAGGCAGGAGAATGGCATGAACCCCGGAGGCGGAGCTTGCAGTGAGCTGAGATCGCGTCACTGCACTCCAGCCTGGCTGACAGAGCAAGACTCCGTCTCAACAAAAAAATTAAAAAAAAAATTAAAAATTAAAAAAAAAGAGAGAGAAAAAAAAGCGGCCTGAGACAGCCCACCAAAAAAAAAAGAGAGAGAGAGAGAGAGAGATGGGGGATTGCTACATTGCCCAGGCGGGTCTCGAACTACTGGGCTCAAACAATCAGCCTGCCTTAGGCTCCCAAAGTGCTAGGATTACAGACGTGAGCTGCCGCGCCCGGCCTTGACCTGACTCTTAGGCCTCCAAATTGTTAGCTTGCAGTAGGATTCTGTTATAAAGAAAACCAAGCTCCTCAATCTGAGTGTTACATTATATGTGATAACTGAGATATGAGGTGTTCAAGAATCACTGTGTAGTTGACATCTGGGGGGAGAAAGCTTTTTGGCTCTGAGGTAAATGGAGAGGCAAAGGCTGGAATACCCCTGACTGCCTGTAGACACTTTCCACTTGTCCTCACAGCATCCTGTTAGGTCAAAGATGCTGTCTCCGCCAACATAAGAGAAAGCTGAGGCCAGGTGATCAGGTGACCCACCCAACGCTGAAGAGTGGTAAACTGCATATCGTCAGTGACAAAGCCAGATCTGTCCAACTCCAAGCTGGCTGGAGAGCTGTCAGTCTGAAAGGCAAGTCCAGGAGGATGAGATTCACCCTGGCGCTCCCAGACACCACTGCAAGTACCATCAAACCACCTACTTCCAGCCTCCACCCAGAGTCCACTCAGTGACAGGGACCCCTCTCAGTTCTCTAAGGAAGGCTCCCATGACAGATCTGCCCGGCAAACAGCTTCCCATCTCACAGATGGAAGTCCGGATGCTGGCTTCCACAAGCCCTGGGCCAGGAAAGAGGCTGCCTCCTGGCTTGGGGCACAACCAACCCAGGCATTCAGTATCGTCAAGAAGGCCCCAAGGCAGTGGAAAAAATAGACAACGTCTGAAATCAGAAAGGCTGGGTTGGGTCCCAGCCGCCGAATAATGAGCAAGGTGACTATGGCAAGTATCACCTCCTGTGGGGAACTTTGCCTTCTTCACAGGAACATGGAGAGAGGGGAATAGGCTGGGGCACAAAGCTGAGGCATGCGCCCCAGTGTGGCTCCAAAGGGGGCATGCAGACAGTGACAGTTTGCCATGAGGGTGGTGTCATCCCCCACAGAAGAGGTGGGGCAGTTGTTAATGCTTGTGAACTCTGGCTCATCTGTTACAGTCATAACAGTACTCACTGAACTGCAACATGTGGAACACACAGGCACTGGGGTCGATCATTTGCACTTGTTATCTCACTCCCAACACAGCCTTCCACGGGAGATAGTAAGTACCCCCTTGACAGAAATGGGAAACAGGGGTGATGTTCAACAAGGTCTTTCGCTAGGAAGTGGCTGGGCAGAGCTCACACCAGGCTGTCTTGAGGCAAAGCCAGGGCTGTCCTGGATGCCACTAGAGACAGGCTGCTCAGCAATAGGCACACGGCCACACTTGGCAAAAAGCAGGTGCCCCCTAGACTCAAAGTGGCCTCCTTGGCACAGGAGGAGCTGCTGTGCCACCATAATGCAGCAGTATTTTTAAAGTGTGTGCTCGAAGGCACCACCTTATTTAGGCTACGTTTCAAGGTTCAAACCAGAATATCTAACCGGCAAGGCAGGCCACGCAGCGCCAGGTCCTGAGACGGAACTGCAGGAGGAATAGCTGAGGGATTCTTCAACAAATCCTTCAAACAAGTGGAATTTCTCCCCAATCCTGTACCACATGGCCACACCCCTCCCCACAGGCATAGCTACTATCTTTGAGGCCAAGCAGCAGGAAAGCCCTGAAGCCTTGACCACTCCACCCACCACCCCCATCCCCCACCCCCTGCCCCAAGAACTCCCACTTTGACTTGCTGGGAGCCCTCCTTTAGAGTACTGCTCATCTCCTGCCAGCAAATCCTATCTCAGAAGCTAGCCTCCAGCATCCTCGGAAATTGCAGGTCTTCAGCCCTTCCATATAAGGAACCCTAAAATCAGGAATCAGACAGAAAGGCAAGTTCCCTGACAAACTCACCTGTGAAGGTGCCTCTGGAGGCTGAGGAGAGACAAAGGGGGTACAGCGTACAGAGGAGCTGCAAGGGGCCCTGGCAACTGTGCAAACTGGTGCAAACGTGTGACATTCTCACTGAGGGCCCCTCTCTCCCACACCTAGAGGGTTTCGTGGATTCCCAATCACTTCCTGAGGCTACCTAAAGGTATTCTATTAGGGTAAATTCCTTTGTCTTCTAAAAGACTAACCTACATTTCCATCAGACAAAAAGAGGTCACAAATATAGTCTGGAAAGCACAAGGTGGGGGAGGGGCAAGAAGCCAACGGTCTGACACTCTCTTGACAAAAAAGTCCCAGATCCTGTTTGCGGGGATGCTGGGGAACCCATGCTCGAGCGGGATCTGTCCCCAGTGGTACCTTTGTTTCTGACAGTACGGGTCTCACTATTTCCACCTCGCTGCAACCACCAACCACTTCAAGATCCGTCTTTTTTTATCTCAACCTTCTTATTTTTAATACACTGCCTTCCTAATTCCATTCAAAGACATACCTTTGCACAGTTAGCACTTAAGTCCTGTTAACCTGGAAGACCCACAGTCTGAGGCCAGACTGTGGAAAGCTACCTCCCGAAGCAGCTCAGATAACTCAAAAGCATCCATTCTAACAAACGACCACACTTAGCAGGCAGCATAGTTCTGTATGCCTCAAACTATGACATTGCCAACTTGTTCTTCTGGTTCTGCCACACTTCCCAACCAGACAAGGGTTAGGAGGAAATCCCAGGGATGCTCTATTACCCCAGGACAGCTGCTCGAGAAGACTTCACCCACTCACCTATTTCATAATCTTCCTAGTTTTCTACAACCAGCATAAATTAACTCAATTATGGGGGGGAAAGGTCTAGAGAAAATAGCCCTGCCTGTTCCATTTGATGGCACAGAAACACCCCGAGTCCAAGCAGGTAGTTCTCCAGAAAAGCATCTGAGCTGCCCAGGCTTTGAGGTGTCAGTACATGCTAATGATGGTCCTTAAACAAATTCAGTGGTAAGGGCCATTACATTTTTGTCTCTGTTGGGAATTCATATATCCAAAACTCTGCTGGTCATTCTTAATTTTCTTCCAAGAGAACAAACACCAAAAAAAAAAAAAAAAAAAGCCAACATTTCAAGAATGGCTTTACAACTTTACCAGCCACATTCTTCAGAGGCATCCTTTAGTCATCTGCTAAGACCCAAAGAGGTCCCGGCTGTGAGCCTCACTGCACCAGCCCTTGCCTTAATCCCCTTCAAGAGGGTCCCCCTTCTTGTTCTCTGACCCCAGTAGGAGAAAGGTCCTTTCGGGCTCACCAGGTCACAGTGTCCTTCTCTCCTTGATCCCTGTAAGTTTCCCCATGTTTATAAGATTAATTACGACTCCTGGCCCACTAATCTCACTATAAACTCTACTGAGGAGGGATTCCTCGCAGTGTCGAAGGCACAGTATGCACTCTGATATTTGTTGAATATATCAATCTAGAAATCACTACCTGCAATGCCAGAAATTCAGAAAATAAATGATGCAAAACAAGTCAGAGGAGCTACTGAAGAGTTGAAAATTAGAGTATTTAAAACATGTTTCCTCATTAAAAACATACACACACACGCAAAATACAGAGACACTAAAAAGTTTTCTAAAAAAGAAAAACTATTGCTAATCCTAATGTAGAGACCTTTATTGACATTCTGGTACAAATCCTTCCAGGATTTTTTCCTACCGAAAGTAGCATTATATTTTTCCCTCACTATCAAAATATAAGATTATAGGATTTGCCAAATGATACTGCATTAATAGAGATGACTTGACATTTTAAAAAATGATGTCATCTGAGTGGAAATAACAATGCATCCGCCAGGCGTGGTGGCTCACGCCTGTAATCCCAGCACTTTGGGAGGCTGAGGTGGGCAGATCACGAGGTCAGGAGTTCGAGACCAGCCTGGCCAGCATGGTGAAACCCCGTCTCTACTAAAAATACAAAACTTAGCCGGGCATGGTAGTCCCAACTACTCGGGAGGCTGAGGCAGGAGAATTGCTTGAACCTGAGAGGCGGAAGTTGCAGTGAACCAAGATCGTGCCACTCCAGACTGGATGACAGAGCGAGACTCCGTCTCAAAAAAACAAACAAACAAACAAAACACACTGCATCCAAATCTTTCCATTCTCTATAGCCCTTCCAAGATGAGAAGCAATCTTCATAAAAACCAGCTTCGGAATTTTATGAGACAAATAAGAACTGAAAGATGAAGGAGGGGAGGGAATAAGTGAAGACAGAGGATACAGAAAATCCCTTGCAAATTTCCCACATCCTATAAACTGTTTCCTCTAGAAAAGGGCCAACTTTTCTGAGTCCAAAGCTGAAGAAGCGAATGCAAAGTAGCAACTAACTCTGTAGTTCAGTTCCTTAAAATCCAGCTGGTAACGCTGCTCCACTAGAACAAAGCAGGGCTAGCATGGTGTCCCCATGTCACCAGATTATCCCCTACATCCGCAAACAGAGGTGCCCTGGATCCTGGACAAGAAAATGGCCTTGTATTTTAGAAGCGCCAGGGAAATGCTCACTAGGGTTCGCAAACTGCAGCATTTGTGGGCTCTAGAGCACCAAGTACGGGCTGCCTGGCTCTGCCTCACTACTAAGAGGCCTTGAGCAAGCCGCCTGGCCTCCAGCAGCCCCAATTTCCTGACCTGTAAAGCGCAGATAATACTTCCCTACTCCCCACGGGATTGTTATAGGCACTGAATATGTCTGTGCAGGGGAGCTTAGCACACAGTAGGCACTCAAACCCGAGGGCTAGTATGAGCTATCAGCCCTCCACAGCTTGTGGTCAGGTCTGACAAACTACTGCTTAGCATATGTTAACAAACTGGTGCCAACAAACATTATTTCATGTAATCTAGTTTAAAAGAAAACTTGTAACGACTACCAGAAGAGTTAAGTCAGTCAACAGGACTACAGTCCAAGACTGAGACACCCGCACAGAGGGCTCTCAGTTTCTGTGCTGCCACAGCCAGGAGGTGTCACTGTGTGAATGGGCACACAGAACCAGAGATGTAACCAGCACTATGTACTCCAAGAAAACTGAAAGAAGTAAACTGGTAGGAAGAAAGAAAATTAAAGGCTCAAGTGACTCACTCGGACTTTGATCTAAAGAATCCACAGCTCTTAAGATAAGGATGAACTATACACCTAAAGACGTTAAGTCAGACCTACAAAATTTTGCCCTGTGCAAAATTCTCAGGGCAGAAACACGCACCTAAGGGTTGTCATTCACTTCCTAAGGGAGGGGTCACCATTCATTTCTGGGTCCCAGTGTGCGCACAATCCAAGTGTCCGTCAGGCTCTCAGCCTGGGCCCTGCCCATAAGCCTTTCCTTGTTGAAGTGATCAATTCCGATTCTTGGCAATAATCCCTTTAAAAGGCCAGCTGCTGCTGTCTAGTCACTGATGCCGACCCACTCTAGGTGGGAAAAAAGAAATCAATGGAGCCACCGCCTAGATGGGGAGGCAAATTTAAAGTGTCGGGCCTTGAGAAAGGCCGGAGATCAGAGAGGGGAAAGGGTCCCGCGGCTCCCGGGGGTTAGGCAGGAAGGGCGCGAGCTGGGGGAGGGCCGGCCCTCCAGGCGTGGGCGCGCGGGGACTCTTATTCTGACACGGGATCCGCCGCCGCCGCCGCCGCCGCCGCCGCGGGGTTCAGCGTTGCTGCCCAACCCGCCCCGGACCCCCGCCCCTGAGCGGGACCCCCGCCCCGCGCGCCCACGTGCCGTCTTCCCGCCGCCTCCACCCGTCCCGACCACTCGGAAGAGGCGCCTCGCGGCCCAGCCCTTCCCCCGACCCCGCAGGAAGCGCAGGACGGAAGCGGGGCGACGCCGCGACTTTCCGGGACCCCCGCCCGGCCCCCACGTGCCCGGGCCGCCTCGGGGCAAGGAACTTTCCAGGGCAGCGCAAGAAGACGCTCCCAGAATACAAGGAGTAGAACTCGCTCGCTCTCACTTTTCCACGCTCATGCAGGGGTCCTTCAGAGCCCCCCGAGGCCCCGACCCTGCGCGGCCCGCGCCGCTCCAGTCTCAGCCGTGCGTCCCCAGCCCCCGCCCCCCGCCAAGTTTGGTCCAGAACTTACCGGGCCGCGGGTCGGCCGGGCCCTAGGGCAGCGCGCAGGTTACGGGGGCTGCTGGTCCGGGGTCGCCCGCGGGGCCGGGCGGCGGAGGGGCCGGGGACGCCGGGCCGCGCGCGCTCGTTCCGCCTGTGGGGCCGCCCGGGCCCGCGGCGCTCGCTGCGCCGGTCCGCCCGCCCGCCCGCGCCGCCGGCCAGATAATGCGCCCCTCGGCCGCACACATGGAGCCCGGCGCCGGCGTCACCGCCCGGGACATGCGCACCAGGTCAGCGCGCCCGGCCCGCGGCCCCCAAAACACCGGGGAGCTCTTAAAGGCGACGCCGCCCGCCCGCGCCCGGCTGGGCGGGGCGTGGCGACCGAGGGGCGGGGCCTGACGAGAAGGGAGGAGCTCGTGGGCGGGGTTCCAGGCGTAGAAGGCGGGCCCCTGAGTTGAGGGGGCGGGGCCGGACGGTACCGCCCCGGAAGCACCGCCCCTCTCCGGCGCGCTCCCACGCGACACCTCGTTGGGCGCGCTGGTTTCCCACGCGGGCTCCGGCTGGCTCCCTCCCCGCCGAGTCCCAGCGCCCTCCGCAGGCCGAAGGGTCGTGGCCAACTCACCGGCGGCAAAGCCGGGCGGGCCGCACCCAAGGCTGACTCACGACGCGCTCACTGCTGACCTCGCGCCAGCTGAGCTGGGCGACCTCAAGCAACTCAGGGTTGCCTCTGAAACGCGGGTTAGAATGTCACCCCCGCGGGGTCGTCACGCGGAAGCTCTTCTCTGGGAACTTCGGCCCCGGTGTCTGTGGGGAGGGCGGGGTGTGGATCGGCTGAACGATCACTTCTCCAGTGCAGTGAACAGAATTCTACAAAGAAAGCTCCAGACCCACCCACCTCAAGACACTTGGGGACGACTGCTCTCCCTCTCCAGTTACCTCCCAATCTGCCCTCGTGCCTCAGGGAGAAGGTGAAAACCCCTCAAGAAAGCAAATCTGCACCCCTCCCTCTCCAGTAACAAGGAGGAAACACAGGAGACAGAATGAAAGCCTGAAAGAGAATGGACTTTGGAGATGTTAAACTACATAAAGCGAAATACAATTTCAATAGGGAAAATATCAAGTTCATGGAAAATCTACCACAAGAAGGCTCTCAATACCAAAATCAGGTTCTGAGGAATCCCCAAAACCGCCTCTTTTCATGTTGTTTTAAAACAAACGATTCCTGATGAGACACCTAGACTCCTGAAGAGTGGTGGTGACATGCTTTATCGCATACCCTAATAAATCTATATGTACAACTGAAACAAAAGTTTCACCAAACATAAATTTACCACATGCAACGTACTGTTTTCTTTTTTCTTTTTTTTGGAGACAGAGTCTTGCTCTGTCGCCAGGCTGGAGTGGTGCAGTGGCGCTATCTCGGCTCACTGCAACCTCCACTTCCCAGGTTCACGGATTCCCCTGCCTCAGCCTCCCCAGTAGCTGGGATTACAGGCGCGTTCCATCACACCCGGCAATTTTTTTTTTGTATTTTAGTAGAGACGGGGTTTCACCATCTTGGCCAGGATGGTCTCCATCTCCTGATGTCGTGATCTGTTCGCATCGGCCTCCCAAAATGCTGGGATTACAGGCATAAGCCACTGCACCCAGCCTGTACTGTTATTTCTATTCTACTTCATTTGAAAAGAAAATCAATGTAACGCCCAAGAATAATTGGGTCTCAACCGCAAACCTGAAAAACACTTCATGTAGAACAAATTTTACAAAATTGTTTTTCTAAAAAAAAAAAAAATTGTTTTTCTGCTGTATGTCCCCTTAAACAGAGTTCAAAAAAGCTCCTAATTCTGTGTTGAGTTCTACATACAATTGTCAACTTTTTGTAGTTTATTCCACCCCGCCACCTCACACCTCCCCAAACACACCGCCCTGCCCCCCAAAATCTTCCCACTACTTAATGCAACATCTGGCACAACCTCCCCTAGGCCAAAAGAGAATTCAACCTAAAAATGATACAAAATACAAACTGTTGACTCCCAATCACTTTCCCTGACCCAGTTATGTCACCAATTTGCTTTGCTTTGCTACAAAGAAATTCAAATGTTCAAATTCAGAAACCAAACAAACAAAACAGTCTTATTCTCAAACAGGTGACTCGGTATAGGAATTCAAAGAGCTCCCTGATCCCAAGCGCAAGGTTGGTTTAGGGCAACCATCCAGGTTTTTCACCCTAACATGGTGGCTGTATATTTTAAGAACTGCTTCATGCTACGATCATTAATCAGATGATGTATATTAAAGCAATACAAGCAAACTATTACCTCACTGCTCCTCACCTGGGTCTTGATTAATGTCAATTTAATTAACTACAAACAGAGCAAAGTGTGGTCAGGTGGGAGACCTGACACTTGAGACAGATATACAGATTCCAGAGTTTGAGCCAGCAAGCCCTGTGTGAGTCACCAGGGTGACAACCACCCCTTTTTTTTTTTAAGAGGGAGGCATCAACTGCAACACATTAATGACACACCCCTGTGGAGTGAGGGGTGCACTGGTGACAGGGCCTGCTCCAGAGGGCAGTGCCAACTTCTCAGCCAGGAAAGTCGGACGGGGAGTAGGAGGGGTGCAGGGTATGTAGGTGGGGTGAAATAGCTACAGGGTTTATTTCTGTCTGTCATAGGAAGACAGGGTCAGATGGGTAGATGGTAAGTGACAGTGAATCCAGATCTGCTTGGGGTCCCATAGGCTCAGGTTGGGTGAATGCTGAGGCTGTTTGGATTAAAGATCTTTTAGCCTCAGTGCCCAGTGCTGGACTAAACAGCAAATAGTTCAGCTGGGTGATTATGAAATATGATGCAATCACCTTCAGATGCCATACTAAAGCTGAAGAAACTCTAATTAAGAAACAACTAGGGCTAGAACCATGTTTTCTAAAAGTTTTCTCTCTGATCTGAAAACAAAGACAGTCAATACTTAGTGCTGGCAGGGCACAGTGGCTCACGTCTGTAATCCCAGAACTTTGGGAGGCCGAGGCATGTGGATCACCTGAGGTCAGGAGTTCCAGACCATCGTGGTCAACACAGTGAAACCTCATCTCTACTAAAAATACAAAAATTAGCCAGACATGGTGGTGCACGCCTGTAATCCCAGCTACTTAGAAGACTGAGGCAGGAGAATCGCTGAACCCAAGAGGCGGAGGTTGCAGTGAGCCAAGATCGCGCTATTACGCTACAGCCTGGCCGACAGAGCCAGAATCCATCTCAAAAAAAAAAAAAAATCAAAAAAACAAAAACAAAAAAAAAAAACCCTTAGTGATAGCCGTTGTTAATTAATACTGTACTTTCTTTTTTTCTTTTTTTTTTTAATGAGACAGAGTCTTGCTCTGTCACCAGGCTGGAGTGTAGTGGCGCGATCTCGGATCACTGCAACCTCCACCTCCCAGGCTCAAGAGATTCTCCTGTCTCAGCCTCTTGAGTAGCTGGGACTACAGGCATGCGCCACCATGCCCAGCTAATTGTTTTGTATTTTTAGTAGAGATAAGGTTTCACCATGTTGGCCAGGATGGTCTCAATCTCTTGACCTCATGATCCACCTGCCTCGGCCTCCCAAAGTGCTGGGATTACAGGCGTGAGCCACTGTGCCCGGCCCAATACTGTACTTTCAAAACACCTGTTATTTAGTTAAAATTTTCTTCCAGGCCGGGCACAGTGGCTCATACCTGTAATCCCAGCACTTTGGGAGGCCAAGGTGAGAGGATTGCTTGAGGCCAAGAATTTGAAACCAGCCGGGTCGACATGGTAAGACCCCATCTCTATAAAAAAGAAAAAATTAGCCCAGCCTGGTGGCACATGCCTGTAGCCCCAGCTACTCAGGAGGCTGGGGCAGAAGGATCACTCAAGCCCAGGAGTTTGAGGCTGCAGTGAACCATGATTGTGCCACTGCACTCTAGCCTAGGTGACAGAGTGCAACCCTGTCTCAAAACAACAACAATAACAAAAAACTTCCAAATTCATTTTAAACTTTATTGTCTTTCATAGACCAAACCCCACTAATAATAGCTAGGCCTCCTTCTACCTTAACTACAGCAAAAATAGACTAATGGTCTTTCGAGTGTACTCTTAAACTTCTAAACACCACCTGAGCCTGTCCCTATACAACTGAGGGACTGAGAAGAAATTGGGGCCAAATTCCATGTTTATGTCTGCTTTTATGGCAGAAATTGGCCAAAGGCTCCAAACTAGTATGAAACTACTGAAAAAGAGTAGCATCACCTACTGAATGTTCAAGGTACTGTCCTTTTTCTTTTCCTTTTTTTTGGTACTTTTTCAATCAGAAAATTTATTTGAAGTTCTTGGTGGACAACATACAAGATGACTTATGTGATAAACACTGATCGACAACTGAGAGACCACTCCTCCCAAGGATTTTGGAGCCCAAGAAGCCTACAGGCACATACTCCCGAAGCTGACAGGCTGGTGCCACTGAAAGACACAAAATGATTTCAATGCAGAAAATGTATTCATAAGAAAGACTGAAGAATCAGCCGGGCGCAGTGGCTCGCACCTGTAATCCCAGCACTTTGGGAGGCCAAGGAGGGTGGATCACGAGATCAGGAGATCGAGACCATCCTGGCTAACACGGTGAAACCCTGTCTCTACTAAAAATACAAAAAATTAGCTGTGCATGGTGGCACGCGCCTGTAGTCCCAGCTACTCGGGAGGCTGAGGCAGGAGATTGGCGTGAACCCGGGAGGCGGAGCTTGCAGTGAGCCAAGAACATGCCACTGCACTCCAGCCTGTGCGACAGAAGGAGACTCCTTCTCAAAAAAAAAAAAAAAAAAAGCCAAGTTTTTTTTCTTTTAATCACCTTTATGAAAAACGAACACTGACTACTTTTTTTTTTTTTTTTTTTTTTGAGACAGAGTCTCGCTCGTTGCCCTAGGCTGGAGTGCAGTGGCATCATCTTGGCTCACTCCAACCTCCACCTTCTGGCGTCAAGCGATTCTTGTGCCGCAGCCTCTGGACTAGCTGACACGACAGGTGCGTGCTACCACACCAGCTAATTTTTGTATTTTTAGTAGAGACAGGGTTTCGCCATGTTAGCCAGGTTGGTCTCAAACTCCTAGCCTCAAGCAATCCTCTGCCTCCCAAAGTGCTGGGATTACAGGCAGGAGCCACCACATCGGGCCCTACTTTCTGTACTTTGCATTCTTAGTACTCTAAAGTTTAAAATTGTTTTCATTAAGTTTAGGGACAATATAACAACAATCTCTAAGGGAGGATCATTTTAAAGTTTCTTATTTCACCCCAAATCCATGTTTACATGGTGAGATTACAATGCAATTGGCTGGGAAAGGAAAAGAAAAGAAAAGAAAAGATTAATTATTAAGTGATTTTGATTTCCTTAATACTTTGATACTCCTGATTCTTTCTTCAGGGAGGGACCAGAAAATAGCTACAGGGACTCTTACAGTGATGCTTTATGAAAAATACAGTACTTCCAATGTATCACCACTGCTACAAGAATCATCTTTGCATTCACAACATTCTCACACTAGATCAAGAGTTTGTGGGACATGGGTCAGTAGCCCCCGTTGTCCCCATCACCATCGTTTATGCTGAAAAGCTCCCTGAAAAACAGCTCTCTAGGGATGGTCCACTTTGTCAACGTGTGTTTGTTTTGAATGTCGTCTCTAACCACAATTCGTTACACTCAGTGTTTCTGCAGCGCAGGGTTCAGGCTCCATCTGCAGTTAGGCAGGCTCTTTCCAGACTGAGTCTCTGTGTGGCCCTGGCACTGTCCTGCTATTCCAGGGTTCTGAGCACAAATGCTCCCCTAAAGGGTTAAGCACAAACTGCTCAGAAGTGCTGTTGTGAACCGGAAGTGTATCTCCCACTCTGTCTTCATCTGCCATGTGTCACTAGTTGGCAAGGAATATCTCTTTTGTGTCTACATATGGTTTAAAAAAATTCCCACCTAATTTGGATGGAAGTAAACTGTTTTCTATGAATTAAAGATTAAAAAAAAAAAATCAGAAAACTACCAGGAAAAACAAAAAGGCTATATGACAGCCTCGAGTCTGGAAATCAGCCTATTCAAACCCCCCAAGCAGGGAAGGAGTGTTAGTCACATGATCGGTCTAATAAATATCCTTAGTTGGACATGCAGAAAAACGTATTTTTAAAACTTGGCATCTATTTCACACCCTACTCCCCATTTGTTAAATGGCAGATCTGCCAACTTAGGAAAACATTCCTCCCAAATGTTTTCCTAACAGGATGTATACTCCCCAAACCCCCCATTTATAGTGAAATGCCCGTAATTTATTTAAAAAACACAGGTGGAGTGCCCTTCTAGTTTGTTCTCTCTTTCACAGCTTGATAATAACAACCATGCCCTCTCACATGCCCACGTAATCAGGTCTATATCTAACTAACTCCTGTTTTGGGAAGACTAAGATATTTATTTCAAATTTAGGTCAAAAAGGTAACCTTCAATAGAGACAATTTGAGAGGTTAAATATAAAGGCTAAAGTTTGAAAATGCAGTGAAAGTTTAAAAATTGGCTGGGCGAGGTGGCTCACACCTGTAAGCTCAGCACTTTGGGAGACCCAGGCGGGCAGATCACTTGAGCCCAGGAGTTCCAGACCAGCCTGGGCAACATGGCAAAACCCCGTCCCTACAAAAAAGAATACAAAAATTAGCAGGCTTGAGCCTGGGAGGTCAAGGCTGTAGTGAGCTGTGTCACTACTGCCACTGCGCTCCAGCGTGGGCAACAGAATGAGACCCTGTCTCAAAAAAAAAAAAAAGTAGGTTTTTGTTTGTTTGTTTGAGATGGAGCCTGGCTCTGTCATCCAGGCTGGAGTGTGGTGGCATGATCTCGGCTCACTGCAACCTCCACCTCTCAGGTTCAAGCAATTCTCATGCTTGAGCCTCCCAAGTAGCTGAGATTACAGGCGTGGGCCACCATGCCTGGCAATTTTTTGCTTTTTTTTTGAGACGGAGTCTCACTCTGTCGCCCAGGCTGGAGGGCAGTGGCGTGATCTCAGCTCACCGCAACCCCTGCTGCCCGGGTTCAAGCGATTCTCCTGCCTCAGCCTCCCAAGTAGCTGGGATTACAGGCGCCCGCCACTGTGCCCAGCTAATTTTTGTAGTTTTAGTAGAGACAGGGTTTCACCATGTTGGCCAGGCTGGTCTTAAACTCCTGACCTGGTTATCCACCCGCCTTGGCCTCCCAAAGTGCTGGGATTACAGGCGTGAGCCACCACGCCTGGCCTAATTTTTGTATTTTAGTAGAGACGGGGTTTCACCATGTTGGTGAACTCCTGACCTCAGGTGATCCACCCACCTCAGCCTCCCAAAATGTTGGGATTACAGGCGTGAGCCACCACACCCAGCCGAAAGTAAGTTTAAATTGTTCTAGGCCGGGCACAGTGTCTCATGCCTGTAATCCCAGCACTTTGGGAGGCCAAGGTGGGAGAAGTCCTTGAGCCCAGAAGTTTGAGACCAGCCTGGGCAACACAGTGAGACAAAAGTTAAAAAATAAAATTAGCTGGCCGGGCATGGTGGCTCACGCCTGTAATCCCAGCACTTTGGGAGGCCGAGGCAAGCGGATCGCCTGAGGTCAGGAGTTGGAAACCAGCCTGGCCAACATGAAACCCCGTCTCTACTAAAAATGCAAAAATTAGCTGGGCGTGGTAGTGCATGCCTGTAATCTCAGCTACTCGGGAGGCTGAGGCAGGAGAATTGCTTGAACCCGGGAGGCGGAGGTTGCGGTGACCCGAGATCACACCACTGCACTCCAGCCTGGGCAACAAGAGCGAGACTCCATCTCAAATAAATAAATAAATAAGGCGGTTAGCAGTGGGTCACGCCTGTAATCCCTGCACTTTGGGAGGCTGCAGCAGCCAGATCACCTGAGGTCAGGAGTTCGAGACCAGCCTGACCAACATGGAGAAACCCCATCTCTACTAAAAATACAAAATTAGCCGAGCCTGGTGGCGCATGCCTGTAATCCCAGCTACTCAGGAAGCTGAGGCAGGAAAATTGCTTGAACCCAGAAGGCGAAGGTTGTGGTGAGCCGAGATCACGCCACTGCACTCCAGCATGGGCAACAAGAGCAAAACTCTGTCTCAACTAATTAACTAACTAACTAACTAAATAAAATTAGCCTGGCATGATAGCATGCGCCTGTAGTCCTAGTTATCTGGGTGCTGAGGCAAGGGGATGGCTTGGGCCTAAGAGTTCAAAGCTGCAGTAATGCCAGTGTACTCCAGCCTGGGCAACGGAGTGCGACTCTGTCTCAAAAAAAACAAAAAACTGTTCTGATGTATTAAGAATTTTAGACCAGCTTAAATGATAACAATTCTCAAAGGAAAAAGGTCAGAAGCAGCCCTGAAGTCTGTTCTCTTGAAGCTCCTTTGGAGGTTAAAGTCTACATATACAGTATACCATTACAGAGTCTAGATGGCTGATTTCACTGGCCATCATTGCTTCCTGATTGAAAATGTTTATTGAAAGCTCAATTTAAGGCCCGGTACGGAGGCTCATGCCTGTAATCCCAACACTTTGGTAGGCTAAGGCAGGCAGATCGCCTGAGGTCGGGAGTTCGAGACCAGCCTGACCATCATGGAGAAACCCCATCTCTACTAAAAATATATAATTAGCCTCATTACACATTACTCATTCTCCTGCTGAGGCAGGAGAATCGCTTGAACCCAGGAGGCGGAGGTTGCGGTAAGCTGAGATCACGCCATTGCACTCCAGCCTGGGCAACAAGAGCGAAACTCCGTCTCAAAAAAAATAAAAGCTCAATTTAAATACTATTTTGAGTTTAATCTTGGATCCTACTATAGCACATTTTAACTTTCTACCTTTGGAAGCAATTTTGGACTTTTCTTGCCAATGTGATCAGCTCAAACTCTGACTTTTAGAAGAGCATAACCTCCTCAGGTCAAGGGAACTCACTTGGCTGTTTTCAACTCCAGGTCTCTGCCTGTGCCCATGCTATGCCTCTTCTCAGAACACCTAGCCACTTAAGAAACCTAACGGCTGGGAGCAGTGGCTCACGCCTGTAATCCCACACTTTGGGATGCTGAGTTGGGCAGATTACGAGGTCAGGAGTTTGAGACCAGCCTGGCCAACATGGTGAAACCTCATCTCTACCGAAAATACAAAAATTAGCCCTGCATGGTGGCAGGCGCCTGTAATCCCAGCTACTCGGGAGGCTGACGCAGAAGAATGGCTTGAACCCAGGAGGTGGAGGTTGCAATGAGCTGAGACTGCACCATTGCACTCCAGCCTGGGCAACATAGCGAGACTGTCTCAAAAAAAAGAAAGAAAGAAAGAAAAGAAAAAGAAACCTAACAAACAGGTCGCGCACAGTGGCTCATGCCTGAAATCCCAGCACTTTAAGAGGCCAAGGCAGGCAGATCACCTGAGCTCAAGGTTTGAGCCTTTTTCCCAATTACCCCATCATGTTTCCTGAGGCACTTCAAGTCCATATGGAGAGTACAGTAAGGTGAGGCTGTAGGGGTTAAAGCTACAATGAACTAAGGGATCTCAACTGGGAAAAATCAACCAAACTAGGAACTTCCAGATCACTGGCCTTCAGACATGCTCAGCCTATTGGCCCAGTGTCAACTGGTTTGTTCTTGGGCAGTATTAACATCCACAGATTGTTGTCCAACCTCAGGTGCCAACCTCAAGAGAAACGGTCAGCCTAAATATGATTTTTTTTTCAGACGGAGTTTCACTTTTGTTGCCCAGGCTGGAGTGCAGTGGCATGATCTCAGCTCACTGCAACCTCCGCCTTCCAGGTTCAAGCGATTCTCCTACCTCAACCTCCCTAGTAACTGGGATTAGAGGCGCCCACCACCCAGCTAATTCGTATTTTCAGTACAGACAGGGTTTCACTATGTTGGCCAGGCTGGTCTCAAACTCCTGACCTCAGGCGATCCACCCGCCTCAGCCTCCCAAAGTGCTGGGTTTACAGGTGTGAGCCACCGTGCCCGGCTCCTAAATATGATTCTTTAACAACTACCTTTACTAGGCATCTACAACAGTCTGGCCGCTTGCTGTATGCTTACAAACAAACCAGCCCACAAACGAGGATTTGAGTTTAATTTTGAGGAAACTGAGGCTCAGAAAGAGTAGGCCACTTGAAGTTAGGCTATTTTTCTAAGGTCACATGCCAGCAAGTGGTAGAATCAGGATCAAGCCCAAAGTTTTTTGGCTCTAAAGTTTCTATGGCACAGGGACTCCCACCGTACTTTTATAAAGCAAAAAGCTGTAAGTAACTGCAAACGATTCTTCAAGAACACACTCTTCCTGAAGGACCTATCTACTGTCGGATTCTTTAAGTTCCATACACACCTCCAGGCAGCTCTTGGTGCAGACAAGCTCCCGAGGGGAACACTGTGATAATATAACAAGAAACCATCTTTTTGGCCGCCCTGCCAGATAGGCCTCTGAGTTTGTGGGTGTATTAGTTGAGACCCCAAAACTGGCAAGTACAGGTCCACTGGTGGCTTCCAGCTCTGACAAAGCGGCTTACCAAGGAAAAGGGGTAACTTGAACATGTTTTCTATTTTTTTTTTTTGAGACGGAATCTCGCTCTGTTGCCCAGGCTGGAGTGCAGTGGCATGATCTCAGCTCATTGCAAACCCCGCCTCCTGGGTTCAAGTGATTCTCCTGCCTCAGCCTCCAGAGTACCTGGGATTACAGGCGTGCACCACCACACCTAGCTAGTTTTTACATTTTTAGTAGGGACGGGGTTTCGCCATGTTGGCCAGGCAGGTCTCAAACTCCTGGGCTCAAATGATCCGCCTGCCTCAGCCTCCCAAAGTGCTGGGATTACAGGCGTGAGCCACCGCGCCCGGCCTTGAACGTATTTTCTGTGCTCAACTTGGAGCCCAAGAACTCAGCCTGTAAGGAGGGAGAACAGGAAGTCAGGAGGGAGCAAGCATCCACTTCCCAAGGGCAGCAGAGCCCAGAGGTGGGAGCCTGGTCACATGCACAGTTGCATTACTTGTCCACGCCCACTTCCGGCCTGGGCCTGCCTCTCCACCTCCAGAGTCAGAACTTGGGTGGAAGGGAAAAAAAAAGACAACCAGAAACTCTCCTTCTAACACCCTCCCTCTTGCCCTCGAGGCTGTGCCCAAAATGAATATCCCGCCTTGCTCTCCAGCCCCACCTCTCACAGATACACTTACTTAAGAAAAGCACCTGTCAAATCTAAGACTTCCAGCCTTGCCCAACATAAAAAAGTCTAAACAGCACCTTCCCAGTCCCAGTGTAAGAGGAAAGCCTGGGCCGGGAGTGGTGGCTCACGCCTGTAATCCCAGCACTTTGGGAGACCGAGGTGGGTGAATTTTCTGAGCTCAGTTCAAGACCAGCCTGGGCAACACAGTGAAACCCCGTCTCTACTAAAATACAAAAAATTAGCCAGGCATGGCAGCATGCCGCCTGTAATCCCAGCTACTCAGGAGGCTGAGACAGGAGAATCGCTTGAACCTGGGAGGCAGAGGTTGCAGTGGGCCAAGATCACACTACTGCACTCCAACCTGGGCAACACAGCGAGACTCCATCTCAAAAAAAAAAAAAAAAAAGAGGAAAGCCCGGGCAGAGGGAAATCCATGCACCAAGAGTCTACCAATACATAACAAAGCAGTCATCTATTGGAAATCTCATTATTCCTAAACCACCACCAACACCCAGGCAGCCCCAGCTTGTCTGAATGTTTTTAAGATTTCAACAAGGGAAGGGCTTTTAGAGCGGTTTATCACTTAGTGTAATATGCATTGCCATGAAGAAATGCCACAGGATTCCAAAAACACGTCTCCACTGACTTCAAGAAAGGCAAACTTGGCCAGGCATGGTGGCTCACACCTGTAATCCCAGCACTTTGGGAGGCCTAGGCGGGAGGATTGCTTGAGCTCAGGAGTTCGAGACCACCCTGGGCAACATGGTGAAACCCCCATCTCTACTAAAACACAAAAAATTAGCCAGCCGTGGTGGCAGGTGCCTGTAATCCCAGCTACTCGGGAGGCTGAGGTAGGAGAATCACTTGAACCCAGGAGGTGGAGGTTGCAGTGAGCCAAGATCACGCCACTGCACTCCAGCCTGGGCGACAGAGCAAGACTGTCTCCAAAAAAAAAAAAAGAAACAAAGGCAAACCTGAAAATGCTCCCTGCCGTGACCATTCTAGTTTCTCTCGTTTCTCCAAGATTACAGCCACAGTGGTCATGAATCAACTATCGCCAACAATCAAGTAGGAAAATGCCATAATTTCTGTCTCCTTTTAGAGACAGGAAACAGGAGCCCAGTGAGGAAATTAAAGAGGTAGTGAGGTTTCACTTCTACACCTCCAAGAAACCCCACCTGAAGCTCCCAATGAGGGTAGCTGCAGCACTTAGGGATATTCTCAAGAAACCTCACAATGTTCTTTCATTCATTTGCTTGTTTATTTGTCTGCAACTAAGATGTAAGCTTCTGGAAGGCCAGCTGTGTCAGTCCTGCTCACTGCCAGACCCCCATCACCAAGCATGAAAATGTTTTATCTTAGGCATGAAAGTGTTTGTTCCTGAATTATTTGTTCGCATAGGAAGTTACATGGGCCAGAAGATTTAACACTTTCTAATTTTTAATGTAATGTAAATTGCACTAGAAAACACACATACACCATATCTTATGGCCACACAAGTAAAGCTCTTAAGTGTTCACTTGTCCCTTATAATTTTTTTTTTTTTACACGGAATCTCACTCTGTCACTCAGGCTGGAGTGCAGTGGCCCGACCTCAGCTCACTGCAAACTCTGCCTCTCACTCAGGTTCAAGCCATTCTTGTGCCTCAGCCTCCCGAGTAGCTGGGATTACAGGCATGTGCCACCACGCCCAGCTAATTTTTGGATTTTTAGTAGACAGGGTTTTGCCATTTTGGCCAGGCTGGTCTCAAACTCCTGATCTCAAGTGATCCCCTGCCTCAGCCTCCCAAAGTGCTAGGGTTACAGGCGTAAGCCACCGCACCTGGCCCCTTATAAGCCAATTTAAAAGAATAAACTGGCCAGGCACGGTGGCTCACGCCTGTAATCCCAACACTTTGGCAGTCCGAGGCAGGCAGTTCATAAGGTCAGGAGTTCAAGACCAGCCTGGCCAACATGGTGAAACCCTGTCTCTACTAAAAATACAAAAATCAGCTGAGCGCAGTGGTGCACACTTGTAATCCTAGCTACTGGGGAGGCTGAGGCAGAAGAATGGCTTGAACCCAGGAGGCAGAGGTTGCAGTGAGCCAAGATTGTGCCACTACACTCCAGGCTGGGTGACAGAGCAAGACTCTGCTCTGTTTCAAAAAAAAAAAAAAAAACTTGACCGGACGCAGTGGCTCACGCCTCTAATCCCAGCACTTTGGGAGGCTGAGGCAGGTGGATCACGAGGTCAGGGATTCGAGACCAGCTTGGCCAAGATGGTGAAACCCCGTCTCTACTAAAAATACAAAAATTAGCCAGGCATGGTGGTGGGTGCCTGTAATCCCAGCTACTCGGGTGGCTAAGACAGAGAATTGCTTGAACCCAGGAGGTGGAGGTTGCAGTGAGCCAAGATCGCACCACTGCACTCCAGCCTAGGTGACAGAGCGAGACTCTGTCTGGAAAAAAAAAAAAAAACACACACACAATAAACTTGGGCCAGGCACACACCTATAATCCCAACACTTTGGGAGGCCAAAGTGAGAGAATCACTTGAACTCAGGAGTTCAAGACCAGCCTGGGAAACATAGCGAGACCCTGTCTCTACAAAAATACAAAATTAGCCGGGCATGGTGGCGCATGCCTGTAGTCCCAGCTACTCAAGAGGCTGAGGTGGGAGGATCACTTGAGCCCGGAAGTCGAGGCTGCAGTGAACTGTGATTGCACCACTGCACTCCAGCCTGGGTGACAGAGCACAAGACTCTGTCTCAAAAAAAAAAAAAAAAAAAAAAAGGAAAAACTCTTATTCAAAAGACACACCAGTATAAACAAAGGCAGTCAAGTTTCTGAGAGGATGAAGTCAAACTTAAAACTAGAAATCAAAAATAACACCATCCATTCATTTGGATGGAACCACTTGACACAGTAGTTATTTCCCAATTCCAAAAGAGGTCAGCTTATTTCTTATCATCAAGATCCCACAGGGATTTAATGCCCCCAGTGCTGTCTCCAACAGGAAGGAAACCCTGACTTCCCTAGCTATTTCAGTTCCATAAATCAACAGTTTTTATCGTCCAGAGTTAGAAGCTGGGCAGTGTTTGGACCCACATGCCTTTTAGACCTGCCCACCAACAGATAACCACATTACATTACATCTAATAAATGTACCTAGATCAATATCATTTCTAACTATCCAAGGTTTTTTATTGCTGTAAGGATCCTTCAAGTAAAAAAAAACAAGTTTAAAAAACTTCCTGTTAGATAGAGACTTGGTGGTGGCCCCACCATCCACCAAAGTGAAGTCTGTGGTACACAAGAGACATAGCATAATTTTAAAGGGGAGAGTGATCCCTTTAAAGTTGTTTACCTTAGTTCTTATATTTTAAATATAATAAATTTTGCTCCTTTCCCATGTAATGGAATAACTGTCCTTAAAAGAATTGAAAGAAATTTAAGATTGGTGCATATTTCTTTGCTTCAATACCAAAGTCAGTGTGTGTCTATATATGTGTGCATGAAAGAGAGAAAGAAAGGAGGGAAGGAGGAAGAGAGAGGGTATATTTCCAGGAAGAAAACAAACAAAAAAACCCACAACCCTTTCTTCAAACATAGGAGCAGCCCACCAGGGGCCTAGTTCAGATTTTCACCCATTATTTCCTCCTGGGTTTTAGCCGTCAGGGGCAGAATGCCATCTATTCCCATACTAGTAAGTGAAGAAGGCTGGGCCTAATTCACCAGCCATGATTCTATGGCTTTTACTAATTGTTAAGAAAAAAATCCTCTCAAGAAAAAAATTTTGTAAAATGTCCTGTCCACTCCCCTCTATTCCACTGCCCCCCGACCCCTGCCCCAGCCTCTAAGCTGAGTTAGCATCTCCACAGCCCTCTGGGCCTTGGGAGCTTGAGGTGCATTCTGATCTCCTCGTGGGCACTAAGCCACACACTGGCCCTCTCAAAGTACTATTATTGTGTGGCGTCAAATGGCTTTGTACATCACTTTCCCAGTCTTTTGTCCCCAAATCTGATCTATTACAATGAAAGAATGGCTCTTCTTTCAAGGTTCTAAAGTGTAAGAACAGATCACTCACCAGGTAACTGCTGGACTCACTCACTCAAGCAGTCTCATAATACGCATGTGATCCCTTAGGCGTACATAGTTCATCTATTTTCTTCTTCCCACAATTCTTCAAGTCCATTATAATCTTCTATCTTGCCTGTGGTCTAATTAGAGTAATACATCTCCCTACTTGCCCTTAATTCACAAATTACCCCATTTTACAGGGGGAGACACCAAGGCCAAGAGAAACACAAATGCCCTGCCATACAGTAAACCCATCTCACATCTGGTATCAGAACACAGAAAACTCTTGCTAAGAGACGCAGTAGGGGAGTGGGTTTTCCAAGAGACATACCAAGTTTCTTTCTCTTTGGGCATTTTTAGCCTTGGCAGAATATCAAGCGCTTCCTGGTCTGTGAGTCCAGGCCAGGAATACAACAAGCAGCCTTTACTGCACACCAACTGTGTGCCAGGAGCTGTGCTGTCCACCTCCAGTTCATCATCTCGGATTCATTCATTCATCCATCTAGTAAGCACCTCCCATCATCAGTAAGCAACTTGACACACACATTCACAGCAATGTGTTCCCTCGAATATTTAATAACATGCCAATTTTGTGCCATCACTTGTCCAAGGCCACATAACTAAGAAGGGCAGCACCAGAATCTGAACTGGCTCCTTCTGACTTCAAAGTTGTCCATTCCCTTTTTAACATCCCATCTGCTGGTCCTATAGGTTTTATTTAAAATAATAGGTCGGTCACAGTGGCTCACGCCTGTAATCCCAACACCTTGGGAGGCTGAGGCGGGCAGATCACTTGAGCTCAGGAGTTTGAGACTAGCCTGGGCAACATGGTGAGACCTCGTCTCTACCAAAAATACAAAAATATAGCCGGGCGTGGTGGCATGCGCCTGTGGTCCCAGCTACTTCAGAGGCTGAGGTGGGAGGATCACGTGAGCCAGTAGGGCAGAGGTTGCAGTGAGCCGAGATCGCACCACTGCACTCCCGCCTGAGTGACAAAGTGAGACCCTGTCTCAAAAAAATAAAATAAAATAGTAAATACGTGCAGGCACTTCTCTACCCTCACCTCAGGCACTTCTCTACCCTCATCTCAGTCCCAAACTCCCCTCCAACTTTCCCTTCCCCTGAGGGCAGTGCCTACAGCTGACCAGGAAGAGGCAGGAGAAGAGCAACCAAGTCTGCAGCAGCCTCCTGCCTGGACTTGACTTAGCCCAGCAGCAGAGGGCCCAGGAAAGTCTCCAAGCACTTCTCCCCAGAAGAAAATAGCTCGAGTTGAAACTTGTGTCCACATGGTCCACCGACAGATTTAGAACTCAAATTATAGCCTCGGCAGGAGTCTTCACAAAGGACTCAAATTAAGCAAGACCCAGATGGAAATGAACAGGAGAGAGACTGCCCTCAGTCAAACTGTAAAGTGAACTGCAGTTCCAATGGAGTCAGAGGGAAGAACTTGTTGAAATGCTAAACCAAACACTAGCGCAGCCTATACTTCAGAACTCTACTTCAGTCAAACTCTCCCCACATTTTTAGCTTGAGACTTGTGCGTGGACACGAAGTGGTTACAAGTTACTCAGGTTTCAAACTGAGTTCATTCCTGTCCTTTGGACCATCTCTCAATGCCAGCATTCATCTACTTGGGCTCCACAGAGCTCTGCATTTGGCAAAGCAGATAAAATTAGCTACTGGAGTGAACTTGGAATCCAGGGTGGGCCATTAAAAAAAGTACATATGAGATTTGTAAACGCCACGTAAAAAGTTCCTTTTGGGCCAGGCCAAAGTCACCTAAAACTTACAGAAATGTCGTCAAATCCTGTCCCTTGCCTCCCTTCCCCTGTTTCTGGATCTAAGGTGATCCATTTCCTGCTTCTTGCTCTGTCTTTCAAACCAAACTGGCCTACGAACTAGGGATCCTATTTGATCAAGGATTGAATCAGGGGGTCTCGGGAGAGAAAATGCAACAGGAAGAGATGAAGGAGAGTTTTCTTTTCCTTTTTATTTTGATTTTTTTTCAGCACGGGGAGGGAAGGTTAAGTTATACTATGCAGGGGGAGGACTGAGGGATGGGACAGGAAGTGGGTCACTCCCACAGCTTGACAGTGTGATAATGGGGATACAATGTTTCTCCCTTGTCCCTTTTGTCTTCACAAAGGCCTGACAACACTGTGATGGCCTCACGGCTGGAAAATGGAGTAACTAAGGTGGTCATCTAGTAGCAGCTCCTGCTCCCCCAAATCTAGCAGGTCTTAGAGGGACATGAGGAAATCATGCTTTTTGACTTTCCCCTCCAGCCACAAAATCCTCCAGGCTCCTGGAAACCGAAATAAAAGTCCAGAGAATACCCCTAGAGTGGCAACAAAGACTGAAGGAGGGGTACATTTCTGCTCTCTTCCTCCACAGTTGGGGGAAAGTGGGTGCCACAGACAGAAAGAGGAGAAGCTTGGCCGGGCGCGGTGGTTCACGCCTGTAATCCCAGCACTTTGGGAGGCCGAGGCCGGCGGATCACCTGAGGTTGGGAGTTCGAGACCACCCTGACCCACATGGAGAAACCCCATCTCTACTAAAAATACAAAATTAGCCAGGTGTGGTGGCACATGCCTGTAATCCCAGCTGCTCAGGAGGCTGAGGCAGGAGAATTGCTTGAACCCAGGAGGCGGAGGTTGCGGTGAGCCAGAGATCACACCATTGCACTCCAGCCTAGGCAACAAGAGCGAAACTCCATCTCCAAAAAAAAAAAAAAGGAGGAGAAGCTTGATGTGAGTGCTCCAAGGATAAATAAAGAGTTTCTCCCTTAGAAAATCAAGAGGAAAGCCTCTAGAAAGAGGGCAAGTGGGAGGCAACCCCACGGAATTCAGAGGGACCCCTCAGGGAAGTGAAGAAGATCCACAGTGTCTCCCATCGGGAGACGGGATATCTTGGAAAAGGGGAGACACACTTCAGAGATGTGAGGAGCCTACAGGAGTGGGATATCTCAAGTTAAGGGGAAAACCTCTGGAGAAACTGGGGACCCCTCAGAAAACTGCAGGATCCATAGAGCATTTGGGGGCCCAGAAGAAATAGAAAAGAAGGATACTGGTAAAGTAGGGGTATACCTCAGAAAACTAACGATCCAGTCAGATGGGCATTTCAAAGAAGTGGGGGACCCCCTCAGGAAAGTGAAGGCACTCATCAAAAAGCGGGGGCCAGGCACGGTGGCTCACACCTGTAATCCCAACACTGTGGGAGGCCGAGGCGGGTGGATCACCTGAGCTCAGAAGTTCGAGACCAGCCTGGCCAACATGATGAAACCCCCTCTCTACAAAAATACAAAAATTAGCCAGGCATGGTGGTGGGTGCCTGTAGTCCCAGCTACTCAGGAAGCTGAGGCAGAAGAGTCGCTTGAACCCAGGAGGCAGAGGTTACAGTGAGCCCAGATCGCACCACTGCACTCCAGCCTGGGAGACGGAATGAGACTCTGTCTCAAAAAAAAAAAGAAAGGGGGACAAGTCAGAAAAGTAGGACCACAGCTGAGAGAGGTGGGGGTGGGGAGATCCCCACAGAGAGGCAAGGCTTCCTCCGAGAAGCAGCAATGTCTTCTGAAAAGAGGGGTCCCCCGGGGAAGAAGGGGTTCCCCAGGGGTCCACAAAAGGTGGGGGATCCCTCAGAGAAAGTACACCCTGATAGAATCAGGGGTCTCTCCTTAGAGGAGTGAGGATAGGGTCTTAGAGAGGCCAGGGCCCCTCAAAGAAAGCGGGGGACCCTCAGAGAGGCAGAGGGTCTCTCAGAGAGATGGGGATTCCCCTCAAAGAGGCAGGGGTCCCTCAGAGAAAGGGACTCCCCTCAGAGGCGGGGGTCCTCAGATAGGAAGGGGTCTCTAGGGAGGCAGGGGTCCCTCAAAAGGATGGGTTCCTGAGAAAAGTAGAGGGACCCTCAGTGAAGAAGGGAGTCCCCTCAGATAAGCGGGAATTCTCAAAGAGTTGGGGATCCCCAAAGAAGGGAGTTAGTTCCTGTCAAAGGCAGGATTCCTCAGAGAGGTGGGGGTTCCCTCCGGCAGGGGTCCTCAGAGAGGCGGGGGAGCCCCTGATAAGAGGGGTTGTCCCCTCAGAGAAGCAGGGTCGCCTAGAGAGACAGGGCTCCCCTCGGAGAGACGGGGGTTCCCTAGAGACGAGGTCCCCTAGAGAGACGGGGTCCCCTAGAGAGGTGGGGATCCTCTAGAAAGGCACGGATCCTCTAGAGAGGCAGCGTTCCCCTAGAGAAGCGGGGTCCCCTGCCTGGAGAGATGGGAGTCCCCTAGAGAGGCAAGGGTCCCCTAGATGGGAAGAAAGTCCCCTAGAAAGGTGGGGGTCGCTAGAAAGATGGGATCCCCTGCCTGGAGAGACGGGGTCCCCAAGAGAGACGGGGTCCCCTAGAGAGGCAAGGGTCTCCTGGAGAGGAGGGAGGCCCCTAGAGAGGCGGGTGTGTCCCCAAGAGAGGCGAGGGTCCCTAAGAGAGACGGGGTCTCCTAGAGAGGCGGGGGTCCCCTGGAGAGGCGGGGGGGCCCAGAGCAGGGGCTCCCCTGAGGGGGAAGTGCTGTGGAGAAGGGAGTAAACTCGGCCAAGGTAGTGCGGGAGAAGCGGAAGCCCCAGAGAGCCTGGGGCACCGGAAACCGGGGACCCGCCAGCGGCGCCTGCCCCTTACTCACCGAAGTTGCTCGGCGCCCTCGCTGACGGCGGCCGACGGCCTCGGGCGGCGCAGTCCGGTCAGGTCTTGTGGCGTCCCGCGGAGGCGACTCCCTCAGGTGGCGCCCGCGGCGGCCGCTGTGGCGGCGGCGGCAGCGGCGACAGGACAGACGACCGACCGACCGACTGCGCGGGCGGCGCGGGGCGCGCTCGGGCGGCGGGGGTGCGCGTGCGCGCGCCGGGGCGCTGACCCTGGGCGGGAGGAGCCGCCGCGCAGCGCTCGGAGCCGCAGCTCAGTCTCGCGGCTCAGTCTCACACTGAAATTGCCCGCTTCACAGCCCGGCTTCCCCGGTTGCTAGGCAGATTTCGCCTCGCACACTTCCGGGTTGAGGCGCGTCTCTCCGAGTGAAGGCGCCACAAGCCAATGAGGTCCAGCCAGGACTCCCAGGACCCGCACCCCATGGAAGGTGTGGCCAGCTTCATGACAGACAGCGCATGACGACCAGTGAGTGCGCGGGCCGGCTGGTTCTCGGGATCGCGCCGCCGGCCGGGGCGGGTCCGAGGAGGCGGGACGGAATGACTGACAGGCATCCTGCCAATGGTAGATGGGAGCGGGCCGCAGAGCCACTCAAGGCCATGCGGGGGCGGGACTTAAACTTCGGGGCGGGAACCCCGCGAGGGGCGGGGCCTAGGGGGACGAGTCAATTCGTGGCCGGCTCCCTGGGACCCCGGAGGGCGGATCGCCTGGGCCACCCGGCGGCCGGCAACTGGCTGGGCAGGGGGTTCCCCGCAGTGCTCTGCAGGGGCTCCCCACCCATAATGCACCGGAGGCGGCCTTGGCCAGGCGGGCGTGGGGCAGCTACGACGGGCTGCGAGCGGCGCCTCTGAGGAGCCCGGGCGCTTCGTGGCCTGGCAGTGTTTCTAAGGGGCTCCGGTGGCCGCGCGCTCTTTCTGCCTCGTCTTGTGGCTTCGACCCTCTCTATCCAGGAGAATCTTGGAGATTCTGGCGCGCGCCCCGGTTCTGAGAAGACTCTGCTTCGGGATTCTTTTCCCTGGCCCCCGTTCTGAGGAGGATCTTCGGAAATCTTGCCCCGACCCCTCTTCTGAGAGAGTTTGGGGGTTTCTTGCCCTGCCCGGTTTTCTGAGGACAATTGCCGGGATCACGATTATGTTGTAGATTCGGGACCCCAGCTCTGTTTCCTAAGAAAACATGGGAGTTCGGGATCCCTAAGGAGCATTTGGAGAATCCAGGGTCCACCGCCTTTTCCGAGGAATATTTGGGGCACATACACTCCTTTTCTAAGCACTCTTGGGGGCCGCTCTCCCTGTCCCTCCTTTATCTGAGGAAAGTGAGGGCTGCGCGCCCCCCTCCACCTTCGTTTCTGAAGATATCTTGGGGATTTTCTGCCTCCCCTGTTTTCTCACTACACGAGGAATTTGGGACTTCAAGCACCTCGCCTCTCTCCAGAGAAGGATGGCAGGAGATGGGCGCCCCTCACCCCTTTACTAAGGAAATGCGACCGGGCGCGGTGGCTCACGCCTGGAATCCCAGCACTTTGGAAGGTTGAGACTGGAGGGTCGATTGAGCCCAGGAGTTTCAGACCAGCCTGGGCAACATGGCAAAATCCTGTCTCTACAAAAATTAAAATCAAAATGAAAAAATCAGCAGGGGTGGTGGCGCACACCTGTAGTCCCAGCTACTCCGGAGGCTGAGGTGGGAGGATCGTTTGAACCGAGAGGTCGAGGCTGCAGTGAGCCAAGATCGTGCCACTGCACTCCAGCCTGGGCGACAGAGCGAGACCCTGTCTCAAAAAAAAGAAAAAAGAAAGTTATCGGGCGCGGTGGCTCACGCTTGTATCCCAGCACTTTGGGAAGCCGAGGTGGGCGGATCACCTGAGGTCAGGAGTTCGAGACCAGTCTGGCCAAGATGGTGAAACCCTGTCTTTACTAAAAATACAAAAATTAGCCGGGCGTGGTAGTGGGCGCCTATAGTCCCAGCTACTCGGGAGGCTGAGGCAGGAGAACCGCTTGAACCTGGGAGGCAGGTTGCAGTGCGCCGAGATCCACCACTGCACTCCAGCCTGGATGACAGTGAGACTCCGTCTCAAAAAGAAAGAAAGAAAAAGAAAAATGCGAGGGAGTTGTGCTCCATGTGCTTTTCTAAGCAGCATCTGAGTGTGGGAGGAAGGGGTCCCCTTTTCCTGAAACTTCGACTTTCTGACGCCTCAGCCCTAGGACAATGCGGTGAGTTAGACCTTTTTAGAAAAGCAACCCAGGCCGGGCGCGGTGGTTCACGCCTGTAATCCCAGCATTTTGGGAGGCTGAGGCGGGCGGATCACGAGGCCAAAAGATCGAGACCATCCTGGCTAACACAGTGAAACCCCGTCTCTACTAAAAATACAAAAAATTAGCCAGGTGTGGTGGCGGGCGCCTGTAGTCCAAGCTACTCAGGAGGCTGAGGCAGGAGAATGGCGTGAACTCGGGAGGCGGAGCTTGCAGTGAGCGGAGATGGCGCCACTGCACTCCAGCCTGGGCGACAGAGGGAGACTCCCTCTCAAAAAAAAAAGAAAACGAAAGAAAAGCAGCCCATTTTGCCCCCTTTCCCTTTTTTTTTTTTTTTTTTTGACACAGTCTCACTCTGTTGTGCAGTGGCACTATCTTGCCATCTCCGCCTCCCAGGTTCAAGCCATTCTCCTGCCTCAGCCTCCAGAGCAGCTCGGATTACAGGCATGCGCCACCACACCAAGCTAATTTTTGTATTTTTAGTAGAGACAGGGTTTCACCATGTTGGCCAGGCTGGTCTTGAACTCCTGACCTCAAGTGATCCACCCGCCTCGGCCTCTCAAAGTGCTAGAATTACAGGTGTGAGCCACCGCGCCCAGCCTCCTATTCTTTTTGAGGAGAATTTTTCCATGCAGCTGTCCACTTTTTCCCAAGGGACACATTTGTGGCCCTTCCCAAATGTGTCCCGTTTGCCTCTTCAGCCCTGCAGTTTCCTTCTCTGCTGAGTAAGATCCTTCCAAGAAGCATTCCTGCTTCACAGTCACCCCCAGATAAAATCAGTCACCCCAAACTCTTGAAGAATCACCTGAGCCTGGGAGGTCAAGGCTGCAGTGAGCCATGATCGCACCACTGCACTCCAGCCTAGGTGACACAGTGAGACCCTGTCTTAAAAAAAAAAAGTCACCCCAAACTCTGGGAAGCAAGAGTATTTTTTTTTCTTTTTGTTTGTTGGTTCTTTGAGACAGGATTTTGCTCTGTCACCCAGGCTGGAGTACAGTGGCAAGATCATGATGGAACCTCCATTCCTTGGGCTTAGGTGATCCTCCTGACTCAGCCCCTGAGTAGCTGGTACCGCTAGTGCATGCCACAAGACCTAGGGGTTTTTTTGTTTGTTTTGTTTTGTTTTGTCTTGTGAGATGGAGTCTTGCTCTGTCGCCCAGGCTGGAGTGCAGGGGGGTGATCTTGGCTCACTGCAACCTCCGCCTCCCAGATTCAAGCGATTCTCCTGCTTCAGCCTCCTGAGTAGCTGGGATTACAGGCGCGTGCCACCACGCCTGGGTAATTTTTGTATTTTTAGTAGAGATGGGGTTCCACCATGTTGGCCAGGCTGGTCTCAGACTCCTGACCTCGTGATCTGCCCCCCTCAGCTTCCCAAAGTGCTAGGATTACAGGTGTGAGCCGCCGCGCCTGGCAACCTAAGTTTTTACATTAAAAAAAAAAAATTTAAAACAGAAGGTCTCCTTCTGTTGCCTGGGCTGGTCTCAAACTCCTGGCATCAAGCAATTCTCCCGCCTCAGCCTCCCAGTGTGGCCGAATTACCTTCCAATGCGCTAGAATTACAGGTGTGAGTCACCGTGCCCAGCCCCAACTGTGTTTGCACCGCTGCTAAAGCATGAAGCATGTACTGTGGCCTACCAGGGATCAGGGCCTTCACTTGTGTCTTCCCCCTTCACTTGATTCTGAACTTCTTGCCTCATTTCCCCTCCAAAGAACCCAGCTTTGTCCTTAGTAGGCAATCCCATTGAATGAAAGGAGTGAAGATGGCAGTAATGAATGAGAAAGACCTGCAACACTGATGATTCAATATGGCAAACTTCTTTTTTTTTTTATTTGAGATGGAGTCTTTCTCTGTTGCCCAGGCTGGAGTGCAGTGGCACGATCTCGGCTCACTGCAACCTCCGCCTCCCAGGTTCAAGCAATTCTCCTGCCTCAGCCTCCTGAGTAGCTGGGATTACAGGCACACACCACAATGCCCGGCTAATTTTTTTGTATTTTTAGTAGAGATGGGGTTTCACCATATTGGCCAGGCTGGTCTTGAACTTCTGACCTCAAGTGATCCGCCCACCTCGACCTCCCAAAGTGCTCGGATTGCAGGCGTGAGCCAGCAGGCCCAGCCGGCAAACTTTTTCGAAGAGACAGGGTCTTGCTATGTTGCCCAGGCTGGACTCAAACTCCTGAGCTCAAGCAATCCTCCTGCCTCAACCTCCCAAGTAGCTGGTACTGTGGTCGAAGGCTGCTGTGACTGGCATGTCAAACTTTTATTGTGCTTACTTTGTACACAGAAGTGTCCAAGGTGCAAAGATGCCTGAATTATATGCTGGAACTTGTGAGTAAAAATAAATGCAGTAAAGGGAAATAGGCTTGTTATACCAGGCAGAATATTATACTGAAGAGGTACCAAGAAACTGTTGTAGGAATGTAGAGGAGGAAGTGATTAAATGAGATAATGGATGTGAAAGTGCTTTGTAAACCATGAAACAGTATACCCAGTAGAAAAGATGATTATTATTGTTACAAGTGCGCTGATGTTCCTGGAAGAAAAATAAAGAATAAATTCAATCACAATGATGGGAGGTTGGCAGGGAGCCCTGTGGGGCCTGACTCCCTGAGCGAGCTCAACCTGTCCCCAAGTGGCAAGGCTGATAGAGTCCTTGGCTAGGGAAAGAAGCCATTGTAAACATGAAGACAAGCTGTTCCCAGAGCACCTTCTGTGCACCTGTGTCATAGTACTTACCACATCCTGCAAGTGTCTGAGGCAGTCCAGGTGGACAATAAACACTTGGACTTTGGTGGTTGGCAGAGCTGGGGTCGAACCCACACCTGCCAGTCCCTAGAGAGGCCAGTTACTGTCTTTACCATATAAGAAATCAGGGCTCATACCTGCAATTGTACCACTTTGGGAGGCCAGGGTGGGAGAATTGAGCCCAGGAATTTGAGACTCACCTGGGCAACATACCGGGACCCCCTCTCTACAAAAAAATAAAATAAAATTAGTGGCCAGGCACGGTGGCTCATACCGGTAATCCTGACACTTTGGGAGGCCGAGGTGGGTAGATCACCTGAGGTCAGGAGTTTGAGACCAGCCTGACCAACAAGGTGAAACCCCGTCTCTACTAAAAATACAAAAATTAGACGGGGATGGTGCAGGTACCTAAAATCCCAGCTACTCAGGAGGCTGAGGCAGGAGAATTGCTTGAACCCGGGAGGTGGAGGTTGCAGTGAGCCAATATCGTATCATTGCACTTCAGCTCTGGGCGACAGAGCAAGACTATGTCTCAGGAAAAAAAAGAAAGGCTGGGCATGGTGGCTCATGCCTGTAATTCCAACACTTTAGGAAGCCGAGGCGGGCGGATCACCTGAGGTTGGGAATTCAAGACCAGGTTGACTAACATGGAGAAACCCTGTCTCTGCTAAAAATACAAAATTAGCCAAACGTGGTGGCATGTGCCTGTAATCCCACCTACTCGGGAAGCTGGGAATCCCAGCTACCCTGGAGGTTTTAGTGAGCCGAGATCGCGCCATTGCACTCCAGCGTGGGCAACAAGAGTGAAACTCCATCTCAGGAAAAAAAAAGATCCAGCCATAAAATACAAGTGGGATGGCCGGATGTGGTGGCTCACGCCTGTAATCTCAGAACTTTGGGAGCCCGAGGCAGGCGGATCATGAGGTTAGGAGATTGAGACCGTCCTGGTTAACATGGTGAAACCCCATCTCTACTAAAAATACAAAAAATTAGCCAGGCGTCCTGGCACATGCCTGTAGTCCCAGCTACTCCGGAGGCTGAGGCAGGA
Organism: Homo sapiens; assembly: GCF_000001405.40. NCBI lineage: Eukaryota > Metazoa > Chordata > Mammalia > Primates > Hominidae > Homo > Homo sapiens. Next base: position 19,380,087 of record NC_000019.10, on the reverse strand, counting down.
GAATCGCTTGAACCTGGGAGGCAGAGGTTGCAGTGAGCCAAGATCGCACCCCTGCACTCCAGCCTGGGCAACAGAGAGAGACTCCGTATCAAAAACAAACAAACAAACAAACAAAAAAACAAACAAGTGGGATGTGGATGAGTTACAGTTGCCCTCTGTGCTGCTCAGTTTCTCATGTATGAAGTGAAGAGGCTGGACAATGAGCTGCTCTTTGATCCTGGTTCAATTCAACAACTATAAAGTAAAGTCATGTGCAGAGCACTGAGGGATTACTTAAATGAATAAGGTTAAATTCCTGCTCTCAGAAAGAATCCCAGAGACTGGAATGAAACTGAAATTTTCTGTGTTCTACTGTGTACCAGGCACTGTGGACACTTTGAGCTCACAATTCTCAGTGCAATCCTTAGAGACTGATGTTCTGATTTGTTTTTTTTTTTTTTTTTTTGGAAACAGAATATCATTCTGTTGCCCAGGCTGGAGTGCAGTGTCATGTCTCAGCTCACTGCATTCTCTGTCTCCCAGGTTCAGGCGATTCTCGTGCCTCAGCCTCTCAAGCAGCTGGGACTACAGGCACATGCCACCACACCCGGCTAATTATTATTATTATTTTTTTTTTTGAGACGGAGTTTCGCTCTTGTTGCCCAGGCTGGAGTACAATGTCGCAATCTCAGCTCACTGCAACCTCTGCCTCCCAGGTTCAAGCGATTCTTCTGCCTCAGCCTCCCGAGTAGCTGTGATTACAGACACTCGCCACCACACCCAGATAATTTTTTGTACTTTTAGTAGAGATGAGGTTTCATCATGTTGGCCAGGCTGGTCTTGAACTCCTGACCTCATGATCTGCCTGCCTCAGCCTCCCAAAGTGCTGGGATTACAGGTGTGAGCCACCACGCCCGACCTTTTTGTTTTTTTGAGTCGCAGTCTCTCACTATCACCCAGGCTGGAGTGCAATCATGTGCTCTCGGCTCACTGCAGCCTCTGCTTCCCAGGTTAAAACGATTCTCTTGCCTCAGCCTCCTTAGTAGCTGGGATTACAGGCATGAACCTAATTTTTGTATTTTTAGTAGAGACGGGGTTTCCCAATGTTGGCCAAGCTAGTCTTGAACTCGTGACCTCGTGATCCGCCTGCCTTGGCCTTCCAAAGTGCTGGGATTACAGGCGTGAGCCACTGCACTCATATTAACATATTAAGTTTTAGGTTCTTAATATGGTTCCGCTTTGCACAAGGACTCAACAGGGCTTAGACCTCGCCTCCCTTCATGTCACCATTCCTGCACATGGGCCCAATTTTAGATTCAGACAATACAAGTTTAGGATTCAGCTGTAAGTGGCCGGGTGCAGGGCCTCATGCCTGTAATCCCAGCACTTTGAGAGGCCGAGGCAGATGGATCACCTGAGGTCAGGAGCTCAAGACCAGCCTGGCCAACATGATGAAACCCCATCTCCACTAAAAATACAAAAATTAGCCAGGCATCTGCCGGGCGCGGTGGCTCATGCCTATAATCCTAGCACTTTGGGAGGCCGAGGCGGGCGGATCACAAGGTCAGGAGATCGAGACCATCCTGGCTAACATAGTGAAACCCCGTCTTTACTAAAACTACAAAAAATTAGCCGGGCGTGGTGTCGGGCGCCTGTAGTCCCAGCTACTCAGGAGGCTGAGGCAGGAGAATGGGGTGAACCCAGGAGGCGGAGCTTGCAGTGAGCCGAGATGGCGCCACTGCACTCCAGCTTGGGCGACAGACCCAGACTCCGTCTCAAAACAAACAAAAAATTAGCTGGGCGTGGTGGCAGGCACCTGTAATCCCAGCTACTCAGGAGATTGAGGCAGGAGAATCACTAGAACCCGGGAGAAGGAGGTTGCAGTGAGCCGAGATCGCACCATTGCACTCCAGCCTGGGCGACAAGAGCAAAACTCCTTCTCAAAAACAAACCAAACAGACCAAACAACCTACAAGAACAACAACAACAAAAAAAAAAAAGAAAGAAAGAAGAAAGAGATACCACGTGACAGAATCGCCAAGGATGTGCCTTCTTTTCCTTGGTGGTAGCCGTGATTGCATCTCTGCACCAAGGCGTTTCCCTTCCTGGCTCTGGGAAATCATGTGGGCAAACTGGCTAAGTGACATTCACATCCAAATAGGGAAATGGGAACGGAGCCAGGCCACTCCACAAGAGACAAGGGAGGCGGAGCCTCAGTGGTAGCTAGAAAAGTGAGGGTTCCCTGGTGCTAGCCTGTGAGACCTCCTGTTGATGCTGTACCCTTGGACAAAGGAAGCAGTGCCCACTGGCAATGAGGAATGATGGCTAATTAATACCAGTGGGAAGGGTAATAAGCAGAAGAGCTAAAGCACTCTGGTGTCAATGACAGTGGCGGTTCAGGTGCACAAAGCAAGGTGCCCTCCATCATTACCCCCTAAGATTATTGGACTGCATAATTCATTTGGGGCTGGGTGCAGCTACTCACACCTGTAATCCTAGCACTTTAAAATTGCTTGAGCCTGGGAGTTCGAGACCAGCCTGGGCAACATGGTGAGACTTTGTCTCCACAAAAAATAAAAAATTTAGCTGGGCGTGGTGGTGCATGTCTGTAGTCTCAGCTATTCAGGAGGCTGAGGCAGGGAGATCACGTGAGTCCAGGAATTTGAGGCTGCAGTGAGCTATGATAGTGCCACTACACTCCAGCCTGGCCAGAGTGAGACCCTGTCCCCCCATACCCCAAAAAAGAAAACATATTTATTTGGATTTGCCAAGCACTTTCAGGTTCACATATGTTAACTGTTAATCCATTACAACCTGCATCCTTTGGGAAGCCCATCAGAATTGGTCTTGGTTCTTCCAGGGAAAATGTGTTGAAAAAGTCAGTGTCTAGGCAGGATGCGGTGGCTTACGCCTGTAACCCCAGCACTTTGAGAGGCTGAGGCCGGCAGATCATTAGGTCAAGAGATTGAGACCATCCTGGCCAACATAGTGAAAACTGTCTCTACTAAAAATACAAAAATTGGCCGGGCACGGTGGCTCATGCTTGTAATCCCAGCACTTTGGGAGGCTGAGGTGGGCCTATCACCTGAGGTCGGGAGTTCAAGATCAGCCTGACCAACATGGAGAAACCCTGTCTCTATTAAAAAAATATATATAAAATTAGCCGGGCATGGTGGCACTTGCCTATAATCCCAGCTACACGGGAGGCTGAGGCAGGAGAATCGCTTGAACCCGGGAGGCAGAGGTTGCAATGAGCGGAGATCACGCCATTGCACTCCTAGCCTGGGCAACAAGAGCAAAACGCAAAACTTCGTCTCAAAAAAAAAAAAAAGTAGCTGGTCTTGGCGCGTGCCTGTAGTCCCAGCTACTTGGGAGGCTGAGGCAGGAGAATCACTTGAAACCAGGAGGCAGAGGTTGCCGTGAGCCGAGATCGCACCACTGCACTGCAGCCTGGCAACAGAGCAAAACTCCGCCTCAGGAAAAAAAAAAAAAAAAAAAAAAAAAAAAATATATATATATATATATATATATATATATATATATCTAATGTTACAGATTCTGGTTTATTGGCTAATTACTATACATTTTTTCAGTTTAAAAAAATAATCTTGGGTCGGGAGCGGTGGCTCACGCCTGTAATCCCAGCACTGTGGGAGGCTGAGGCGGGCGGATCATGAGGTCAGGAGATCGAGACCATCCTGACTAACACGGTGAAACCCCATCTCTACTAAAAATACAAAAAAAGAGTTAGCAGAGCGTGGTGGCGGGGGCCTGTAGTCCCAGCTACTCCAGAGGCTGAGGCAGGAGAATGGTGCGAACCGGAGAGGCGGAGCTTGCAGTGAGCTGAGATTGCGCCACTGCACTCCAGCCTGGGCTACAGAGCAAGACTCTGTCTCAAAAAAAAAAAAAGAAAAGAAAAAAAATCTTATTTTATATACGTCTCTCAGTATAATTTTTTTCATGACATTTCAGCGTGTTGATGATATGTTTATGTGTGCCTCATTTCGGTGCCTTAAAGTACTTTGAGACCAATATTTTGATAACAGTTAAAGAACTGTTAAGAATGAGATACTCTCTGGGAGCAGTGGCTCACGCCTGTAATCCCTCCACTTTGGGAGGCCGAAGCAGGCGCATCACCTGAGGTCAGGATTTCTAGACCAGCCTGCCAACATGGCGAAACCCTGTCTCTACTAAAAATACAAAAATTACGGGCGCCTGTAGTCCCAGCTACTTGGGAGGCTGAGGCAGGAGAATGGCGTGAACCTGGCAAGGTGGAACTTGCAGTGAGCCAAGATTGAGCCACTGCATCCAGCCTGGGAGACAGCGAGACTCCGTCTCAGTAAATAAATAAATAAATAAATAAATAAATAAATAAATAAAACAAAAATTAGCCAGGAGCGGTGGCAGGCGCCTGTAATCCCAGCTACTCAGGAGGCTGAGGCAGGAGAATCACTTGAACCTGGGAGGCAGAGGTTGCAGTGAGCCAAGAGTGTGCCATTACACTCCAGCCTGGGCGATAGAGTGAGACTCTGTCTCAAAAACAAGAAAAAAAAAAGAAAAAGTCATTGTCTATTTCCAGAGAGAAACAGACACAGCCAAACCAACAGGTTGGCCTAAATACTCCTGCTGCTTCACCAGAGAAAGTCAGGTAGCACCTGAATTATACAGAGGTGGGGAGCAGAGTATAGCTTTATTAGTGTTGGTTGGCTAGAAAATCTGGAATTAAGTCCAGATGGAGCTCAGGAACTCTTTCAGCCAGGCCTTTTTAGATCTCTAGGTCAAAAACCTAACAGCAAATCTTCTTGTAATTAAGTGGGATTAGACCCTTTTCTGAGGCAAAAGGTATTAGGTAGACACTAGACGCCTGAAGTATAGAAGACTTCTAAGTCAAAACAGTGACTTCCCTAACCAGGAAGGAATGCATTTCTGAACTGGAGGGAGTTCATTTTGGGCACTTGTGGCCACTTTGCATACAGAAGGGAGGAGCCCAACCCAGTGTTAGATGGGAAAAAGATGCCTTATGCTACTCAGGGAAAAGAATTCACCTTGAGATTCTGTAGGATCTGAGCTCTTTTGCATCCCAGACACACAGTTACATCTGAGTGTAACTGAGCCTAAAATACAGGTCAGGGCTTTCATCCACATGCATTTCAAGCCTTTCTCTTGGCTTCTTTTCCCCTCTTTTTGCCTTTTCTTCCTTTCTTTCTGATTTTAGAGACAGGGTCTTGCTCTGTTGCTGAGGCTGGAGTGCAGTGGCATGATCACAGCTCACTGCAGCCTCAACCTCCCCAGCTCAAGCGATCCTCCCACCTCAGCCTCCCGAATACCTGGGACTGCAGGTGCAGGCCACCACGCCTAGCTAATTTTTAAGTTTTTTTGTAGAGATGGGAGTCTTATTATGTTCGCCAGGCTGCCCTTGAACTCCTGGGCCCAAGCAATCCTCTCACCTCGGCTTCCCAAAATGTTGGGATTACAAGCGTGAGCCACCACACTCAGCCAACTTTATTATTATTATTTTTTAAAGAGATGAGGTCTCGGCCAGGCACGGTGGCTCACGCCTGTAATCCCAGCACTTTGGGAGGTCGAGGTGGGCAGATCACGAGATCAGGAGATTGAGACCATCCTGGCTAACATGGTGAAACCCTGTCTCTACTAAAAATACAAAAAATTAGCCGGGCGTGGTGGAGGGCGCCTGTAGTCCCAGCTACTTGGGAGGCTGAGGCAGGAGAAAGGCATGAACCCAGGAGGCGGAGCTTGCAGTGAGCCAAGATGGCACTACTGCACTCCAGCCTGGGCGACAGAGTAAGACTCCGTCTCAAAAAAAAAAAAAAAAAAAAAAAAAAGAGATGAGGTCTCATTATGTTGCTAGTCTCACTTTGAACTCCTGGGCTTCAAGCTAGCCTCCTATATCAGCCTCCCAAGTCACTGGAACTACAGGTGTGTGACTACACCCAGCTGAGCCCTTTTTAAGATCCAGGTCTCAGGCCGGGAGTGGTGGCTCACGCCTGTAATCCCAGCACTTTGGGAGGCCGAGGCAGGCAGATTACGAGGTCAGGAGTTCAAGACCGGCCTGGCCAACATAGCGAAACCCTGTCTCTACTAAAAATACACAAATTAGCTGGGCATGGTGGCGGGCGCCTGTAGTCCCAGCTACTTGGGAGGCTGAAGCAGGAGAATCGCTTGAACCTGGAAGGCGGAGGTTGCAGTGAGCCAAGATCACCCCACTGCACTCCAGCCTGGGCGACGGAGCAAGACTCTATCTCACCAAAAAAAAAAAAAAAAAAATCCAGGTCTCAGTGCCAGGCGCGTTGGTGGCACGCACCCATAGTCCTAACTACTTGGGAGGCTGAGACAGAAGATCACTTGAGGAGTTTTAAGGCTGCAGTGAGCCAAGATTATGCCACTGCACTCCAGCCTGGGTGACAGAGCAAGACCTTGTGTCTAAAAAGCAAGGGGGTGGCCAGGCACGGTGGCTCACGCCTGTAATCCCAGCACTTTGGGAGGCCGAGGCAGGTGGATCATGAGGTCAGGAGTTTGAGACCAGCCTCACCAACATGGTGAAAACCCTGTCTCTACTAAAAATACAAAAATTAGCTGGGGGTGGTGGTGCATGCCTGTAATCCCAGCTGTTTGGGAGGCTGAGGCAGGAGAATCGCTTGAGCCTGGGAGGTGGAGGTTGCAGTGAGCCGAGATCACGCCACTGCACTCTAGCCTGGGCAAAAAGACCAAGACTCCATTTCAAAGAAAAAGAAAAGGAGGCGGAGTGGGGTGGGGCCTCAGCTTGTGGACAGGCATTATGGTCACAGGAGCTACTCTTGTCCTTCCTGAGTTGGGACTGAGCACAGCAGCCCAGCCAGCTGGTAGGAGGGAGTGGCTGATCACTTGGGCCTGGGAGGAGTCAGGAGTTTATTCTGACCGGAAGAGGAAATGACTGTTTCGCAAAGTGCACTGAGCTTTGAGCTTTTTTTACCCCGCTGGTAAAATTATTTGTTTGAACTTCATCAGCTTCCTTTATTCAAGGATGTCATTGAGCATCTAGGGTGGCCACATTTAGCAAGTGAAAATATAGGATGCCCCATTAGATTTGGATTTCAGATCAGTCACGAATGAATACCCTTTTAGTATAAGTGTATCCCAAAGCATCTTCCATGTGCCAGGAGTCAGTCTGGGTTTGGATAATCCACTTAATACACAGACTGGTGCCTTCCAAGGAACTGGTCAAACACGAAGGTCAGAGTCTTTTGTGGCTTGGGAGACACAAACAGGCTGCAAAATCCACTTCAAAATCCACTTCCAGGTCAGGCACAGTAGCTCATGCCTGTAACCCCCCAACAATTTGGGAGGCTGAGGCAGGAGGATCGCTTGAGGCCAGGAGTTTGAGACCAGCCTGGGCAACAAAGCAAGACTCCATCTGTACAAAAAATAATTTAAAAATTGGCTGGACATGGTGGCTTACCCCTGTAATCCCAGCACTTTGGGAGGCTAAGGTAGATGGATCATTTGAGGACAGGAGTTTAAGACCAACCTGACCAACATGGCAAAACTCCATTTCTACTAAAAATATTAATACAAAAATTAGCCAGGCGTGGTGGCATGTGTCTGCAATCCCAGATACTCTGGAGGCTGAGGCAGGAGAATCACTTGAATCTGGGATGGGGAGTTGCAATGAGCAGAGATCACACCACTACACTCCAGCCTGGGTGACAGAGTGAGACTCTGTCTCAAAATTAATTAATTAATTAATTAAAAACTGTCTAAGTGTGGTGGTGTGCATTTGCAGTCCTAACTACTCTGGAGGCTGAGACTGGAGGATCCCTTGAGCCCAGGAAGCCGAGGCTGCAGTAGGCTACAATTGTGCCACTGCACTCCAGCCTGGGTGACAGAGCAAAACCCTTTCTCTAAAAAAAAAGAGTTAAAAATGTTGCTGGGCACGGTGGCTTATGCCTGTAATCCCAGCCTTTTGAGAGGCTGAGGTGGGAGGATCGCTTGAGCCCAGGAGTTTGAGAACTGCCTGGGCAACATAGTGAGACCTCATCGCTACCAAAAAAAAAACAAAAACAAAAAAAACTCTACTTTGGCCCCAAATTATGACCCGTGTGGGTGTCCCCAATTCTAGTTAGATGCCCATGTTGTATTGGTCAAAATGCCATTGCCGGACAGGCATAGTGGCTCACGCCTATAATCCCAGCGTTTTGGGAGGCCAGGGCAGGAGGATCACTTGAAGTCAGGAGTTTGAGTCCAGCCTGGCCAACATGGTGAAACCCTGTCTCTACCAAAAATACAAAAATTAGCCAGGTGTGGTGCTGGGTGCCTGTAGTCCCAGCTACTTGGGAGGCTGAGGCAGGAGAATCACATGAGCGTGGGAGGCGGAGGTTGCAGTGAGCCGAGATCGCACCTGTGTACTCCAGCCTGGGCAACAGTATAACAGCGCGAGACTCCATTTCCAAAAATAATAATAATAATAATAATAATAATACCATTGCCATCTCCTGCATCACAGATGATACAGCAAATGTTACCTGGGAAAGCGAAGCTGGATGTTTAGTTTCTTCGGCAGCCAGACACCAGTCCTGACCCTTTACACAGGAGTTAAGAGAAAGTGTCCTTTTCTGAGGTTAGGGATTGGGGCATGTTCAGCACTTGCTGACCGCAGTGGCTTTGAGTACTGAGGTAAGTTTCTTGAAAAAGTTTCTAGCAAGAGATGCTGTGGCCATGGGCTACAGTTCCTGTCACGGGGCTGAGTGTATACAGTCGTGGGATCTGTGTGCAAAGCCCACCCCGGTCTCGTACCCGGCTGACAATGCATGTGGGTGTCCCCACAGCCAGACCAGGCCTGGGTGTGGCCAGCGGACATTCCAGGACACACCCAGGGAAGGAGTGTGTCACAAAGAATGCCCTGAAAAAGAATCCCCTTCAGCGAGGAACAGTGGCTCAGGGCTGGAATCCCAGCACTTTTGGAGGCTGAGGCAGGATTGCTTGAAGCCAGGAGTTCAGGACCAGCGTGGGTAACATAGTGAGACCCTGTCTCAATAAAAAATTAAAATAAGGCTGGGCGTGGTGGCTCACACCTGTAATCCCAGCACTTTGGGAGGCTGAGGCGGGTAGATCACGAGGTCAAGAGTTCTATCTAGACCATCCTGGCCCACATGGTGAAACCCCGTCTCTACTAAAAATACAAAAAAAATTAGCCGGGCTCGGCGGTGAGGGCCTATAGTCCCAGCTACTCAGGAGGCTGAGGCAGGAGAATCACTTGAACCTGGGAGGTGGAGGTTGCAGTGAGCTGAGATTGCGCTGCTGCACTCCAGCCTGGGCGACAGTGAGACTCCGTCTCAAAACAAACAAACAACAACAACAACAAAAATAAATAAATTAATTAAAAAATTAGCTGGGAGTGATGGCACCTGCCTATGGTCCAAGCTACTTGGGAGGTTGAGGAGGGAGGATTGCTTGGGCCTGGGAGTTTGAAGCTCCAGTTCCTGGCTACATCATGCCACTGCACTTCATCCTGAGAAATAGAGTAAGACCCTGTCTCCACACACAAAAATTATTTTATTTTTATTTATTTATTTATCTATTTATTTATTTATTTTGAGACAGAGTCTCGCCCTGTTGCCCAGGCTGGAGTGCAGTGGCACAATCTTGGCTCACTGCAATCTCCACCTTCCAGGTTCAAGAGATTCTCGTGCCTCAGCCTCCTGAGCACCTGGTACTACAGGCACCCGCCACCACACCTGGCTAATTTTTGCATTTTTAGTAGAGATGGGATTTCGCCATGTTGGCCAGGCTGGTCTCAAACTCCTAACCTCAAGTGATCCACCCGCCTCGGCCTCCTACAGTGCTGGGATTATAGACGTGAGCCACCGTACCCAGCCCCAACATTTTTTTTCAATTTGACTTTAGATTGGAGTGGCCAGAGAGGAGGGGGACCAGGCCTAATTGCACCTGGTGAATTTTTAAATTTTATGTAGAGATAGGGTCCCATCATGTTGCCAGGCTGGTCTGAAACTTCTGGGCTCAAGTGATCCTCCTGCCTCGGCCTCCCAAAGTGATGGGATTACAGGTATGAGCCATTGACGCTGGCCAAAAAAAAAAAATTTTTTTTTTTGAGACAGAGTTTTGCTCTTGTTGCCCAGGCTGGAGTGCAATGGTGCGATCTCGGCTCACCGCAACCTCCACCTCCCGGGTTCAAGCAATTCTCCTGCGTCAACCTCCTGAGTAGCTGGAATTATAGGCACCCACCACTACGCCTGGCTAATTTTTTGTGTTTTTAGTAGAGACAGGGTTTTCACCATGTTGGCCAGGCTGGTCTCGAACTCCTGACCTCATGTGATCCGCCTGTCTCAGCCTCCCAAAGTGCTGGGATTACAGGCGTAAGCCACTGCGCCTGCCACCCCCCCCTTTTTTTTTTTTTAAGACAGAATTTCTTTCTGTCTCCCAGGCTGGAGTGCAGTGGCATGATCCTAGCTCACTGCAATCTCTGCCTCCCAGGTTCAAACTATTTTCATGCCTCAGTCTCCCAAGTAGCTGGGATTACAGGTGCCCACCACCACATCCAGCTGATTTTTGTATTTTTAGTAGAGACGGGAGTTTCACCATGTTGGCCAGGCTGGTCTGGAACTCCTGACCTCAAGTGATCCACCTGCCTTGGCCTCCCAAAGTGCTGGGATTACAGGCGTGAGCTACCGCACATGACCAAAGAGAAAAAAATTTTTTTTTTGAGACAGATTCTCACTCTTCGCCCAGGCTGTAGTGCAGTGGTGCAATCTTGGCTTGCTGCAACTTCCACCTCCCAGGTTTAAGTGATTCTCCAGCCTTAGTCTCCCAAGTAGCTGGAACTACAGGCACAAACCACCAATGCCCGGCTAATTTTTGTATTTTTTGTAGAGATGGGGTTTCACCATGTTGTCCAGGCTGGTCTGGAACTCCTGACCTCAGGTGATCCACCCGCCTTGGCCTCGAAAATTGCTGGGATTATAGGTGTGAGCCACCGTGCCCAATTTTTGTATTTTTAGTAGAGACGGGGTTTCACCATGTTGGCTATGCTGGTCTCAAACTCTTGGCCTCCCAAAGTGCTGGGATTACAGACTCCCGAAGTGCTGGGATTTTTTTTTTTTTTTTCTGAGACAGAGTCTCGCTCTGTCGCCCAGGCTGGAGTGCAGTGGCGTGACCTTGCCTCACTGCAAGCTCCGCCTCCCGGGTTCACACCATTCTCCTGCCTCAGCCTCCTGAGTAGCTGGGACCACAGGTGCCCACCACCACGCCCGGCTAATTTTTTGTATTTTTAGTAGAGATGGGGTGTCACCGTGTTAGCCAGGATGGTCTCGACCTTCTGAGCTCGTGATCCACCCGCCTCGGCCTCCTAAAGTGCTGGGATTATAGGCGTGAGCCACCGTGCCCGGCCTGTGCTGGGATTTTTTGCCGCACTTGGCAAAAAAATTTTTTTAATAAAAAGGATCCTCTTGTCATATAGGTTTTGGGTATAGGGAGAACTAGTTGCCAAGAAAAAAAAATCCCGTGAGTGGAGGAGCTGAGTAGGACTCAGGGGTCACTTCCTTCGGTGGGTACCAGAGGATGCTCCGGAGAAGAACAGCCTGGAGTGATTAGGTCACTTTTCCTGGGGAGCAGGTTGCTCAGGAAGCAGCATGGTGGCCGGTGTGTGAAGTATTAGGGGCATTTGGATCCAGGACCCGGCTCTGAGACACTTACTCGGGTTCCTTTAGGGTCAGGCCTGAGTCAAGCCAGGGCCTGGGCCGGTGTCTGGAGTGCCCCAGCCCCCTGGGCACGCGCTGTTGGGTTACACATTATACAAGAGAGTCAGGGACTGACCCTGGCCAGCAGACACTGTCATCAGCTGACCTGTCTGCCGTGTATTCTGCCCTGGATGTACCACCATCATCCACAAGTGCAGTTCTGGGCATGTGAGTCTCAGTCCAGTGGGGGCAGAAGGATGATGGCTCTGGTCTGGGGCCTCAGAGATTTGATTTCACACCTGAACACAGGGGCCCAGGCACTTTCTGAGCCTTCAGTGTCCTCCTGGATGTGCTTCCAGATGTCAGCTGAGTACAAGGTGGTGGTGGACTGGCCCTCCATAAATGCGACAGGCAGCCTGGTAGCCGCGATACCCTCCCAGTGTCCCCTGAGGGGTGGCCAGACAGGAGGGGACCAGGACCAGAGCCTGCAGTCCCCACCCGAGTCACTCAACTGTGCCAGTAGGGGACACAATTCCCCAGATGCCTGGGTCTTGGTGGCCCCATCGCCGAAGCTGGAATGTTGTCCAGCTCTGATCAGCTGGCCCAAGGGGGGCCTGCTTGCCTCCTTTTTTTTTTTTTTGAGACGGAGTTTTGCTCTTGTTGCCCAGGCTGTGTGCAATGGCGTGACCTTGGCTCACTGCAACTTCCACCTCCCAGGTTCAAGCAATTCTCCTGCCTCAGCCTCCTGAGTAGCTGGGATTACAGGCGCCCACGACCATGCCTGGCTAATTTTTTGTATTTTAAGTAGAGACAGGGTTTCACCATGTTGGGCAGGCTGGTCTCAAACTCCTGACATCAGGTGATCTGCCCACCTCGGCCTCCCAAAGTGCTGGAATTATAGGCATGAACCATCGCTCCCAGCCCTCCTTTTGGTCTTGTCACAGCGTCCCCCACCTCCTCCCCTGTGGTTGTCCCCCACCTACTGTGCGACACTCCCTTCTCACAGATGGTCAACACTCCCTCCCTTCTGAAACCCGTCATCAGGGGAACTATGTCCACCCTCTGAGGGCATCAGACATTGTCTGATGTGGTCTCTGCTGTGTTCCCAGCATCCAGCGCACAGTAGGTGCTTAATACATGTTTGGCAAGTAAAGGAGGGAATGGTGTCACCCTGACGCCCGGAGAACCCTGGCCATTGTCTTCTCCAACAGTTACAGGAGTGGTGTGAAGGTCACCCCACATCCCTGCAGATGAGCAAAGCCTGGCCAGACTGGGGTCTGGCAACATCCAGCCCAGTCTTTCTAGCTGGATTGTAGGTTCCCACCTGTCCTACCTGGTGGGGACATTGCCTGGGCAGCCCTTGCTGCTCCTGGGCCACCATGCCCCCTGGTGGCCAAGGCCAGAGCAGGCCAGGGGCCGCCAGTAGCAACTGAGGACACTTGCAGATGAAGACAGAGTGGGAGATACACTTCCGGTTCACGACAGGACTTCTGAACAGTTTGTGCTTAACCCTTTAGGGGAGGATTTGTGCTCAGAACCCTGGAATAGCAGGACAGCGCCAAGGCCACACAGAGACTCACTCTGGACAGAGTGTGCCTAACTGCAGATGGAGCCTGAACCCTGCGCTGCAGAAACACTGAGTGTAAGGAACTGTGGTTAGAGACGACGTTCACAACAAACACACACTGACAAAGTGGACTATCCCTGGCCGGGCATAGTGACTCACACCTGTAATCCCAGCACTTTGGGAAGCCGAGGCGGGTGGATCACCTGAGGTCAGGAGTTCCAGACCAGCCTGGCCAACATGGTGAAACCACATCTCCACTAAAAGTACAAAATAATTAGCTGGGCGTGGTGGTGTGCGCCTGTAATCCCAGCTACTCAGGAAGCTGAGGCAGGAGAATCGCTTGAACCTGGGAAGCAGAGGTTGCTGTAAGCTGAGATTGCACCATTGCATTCCAGCCTGGGCAACCAGCGAAACTCCATCTCAAAAAAAAAAAATAAAAATAAAAAAAATCAAAAAAATCAGAGTACTAAGAAAATAAAATTCATGTGGAAATTAACCTTTTCCTTTCCTTTCCCAGCCAATTTCATTGTAATCTCACCATGTGAGCATAAATTTGGGACGAAATAAGAAACTTCATCTTATTTATTTATTTATTTATTTATTTTGAGGTGGAGTTTCCCTCTTGTCACCCAGGTTGGAGTGCAATGGTGAGATCTCGGCTCACTGCAACCTCCGCTTCCCAGGTTCAAGCAATTCTCCTGCCTCAGCCTCCCGAGTAGCTGGGAATACAAGCACCTGCCACTACACCCAGCTAATTTTTGTATTTTTAGTAGAGATGAGGTTTCACCATGTTCACCAGGCTGATCTGGAACTCCTGACCTCAGGTGATTCGCCCACCTAGGCATCCCAAAGTGCTGGGATTACAGGCTCCTGTCACCACACCTGGCTAATTTTTGTATTTTTAGTAGAGATGGAGTTTTACCATGTTGGCTAGGCTGGTCTTGAACTCCTGACCTCAAGTAGTCTTCCCGCCTTGGCTTCCCAAAGTGCTGGGATTCAGGCATGAGCCACCGTGTCCCTCCTCTTTCAATATTCTTATGTTGAAATGTGATTGTATTTTTTTTTTTTTTTGAGACGGAGTCTCGCTGTTGTCACCCAGGCTGGAGTGCAACAGCACGATCTCAGCTCAGGTGTGAGCCACCGCGCCTGGCCTGTTTTTTCTTTTTTTTTTTTTTAACTGAGTCTCACTCTGTCACCCAGGCTGGAGTGCAGTGGCATGATCTCGGCTCACTGCAAGCTCTGCCGCCACGAGGGCCGGCTAATTTTTTGTATTTTTAGTAGAGACGGAGTTTCACCGTGTTAGCCAGGATGGTCTCCATCTCCTGACGTCATGATCTGCCCACCTTGGCCTCCCAAAGTGCTGGGATTACAGGCGTGAGCCATTGCGCTCGGTCCTCTGTTTTTTATTTATTTTTCAGACAGGGTCTTGATCTGTCGCTCAGGCTGGAATGCCGTGGTGGGATCATGGCTCACTCCAGCCTTGAACTCCTGGGCTCAAGTGATCCTCTGCCTCAGCTTCCCCAGTAGATGGGACTATGGGTGCGCACCACCATGCCCGGCTAATTTTTTTGTATTTTTTGTACAGACAGGGTGTCACCATGTTGCCCAGGCTGCTCTTGAACTCCTGAGCTCAAGTGATTCTCCTGTCTTGGCCTCCCAAAGTTTTGGGATTACAGTCGTGAGCCACTGCACCCAGCCTGTGATTGTATTTTGGAGGTGGGGCCTCTGGGAGATGATTATGTCATGAGGGTGGAGCTAGAGAGCGGGAAGCAAACCAGGAAGCAGGCCCTCGCCAGACTCCGAATCTGCTGGCACCTTGATTTTGAATTTCCCAGCCTCTAGATCAGTAAGAAATAAGTATTTGTTGTTTGTAAGCCCCTCAGTCTATGGTAATTTGTCAAAGCAGCCGGAATAGGAGGAGACAGGATGTGAGGTGGCCACTGCGAGGATTTCTGCCTGCGTATATTTCCTCAGGTGCTGGGTTCTAGAAGCTGTGTTCAAAAGAAAGTTGTCCATTTTCTTTTTTATTTTTATTATTATTTTTAGAGACCGGTTCTCACTCTGTTGCTCAGACTGGATTGCAGAGCTGCAATCGTGGCTCACTGCAGCCTCGACCTCCCAGGCTGAAGCAATCCTTCCACCTCAGACTCCTGAGTAGCTGGGACTATAGGCACACACCACTATGCCTAGCAATTTTTTTTTTTGTTTTTTGAGACGGAGTCTCGCTCTGTCACCCAGGCTGGAGTGCAGCGGCGCGATCTCAGCTCTGCCACCCAGATTCAAGTGATTATCCTGCCCAAGCCTCCTGAGTAGCTGGGATTACAGGCACCCACCACCAAGCCCTGCTAATTTTTGTATTTTTAGTAGAGACGGGGTTTCACCATGTTGGCCAGGCTGGTCTCGAACTCCTGACCTCAGGTGATCCACCTGCCTCGGCCTCCCAAAGTGCTGGGATTATAGGCATGAGCCACCATGCCCGGCCGCCTGGCAATTTTAAATTTAAAAAAAAAAGTGTTTTTTTTGTTTTTTCGAGAGGGAGTCTAGCTCTGTCAACCAGGCTGGACTGCAGTGGCGTGATCTTGGCTTACTGCAACCTCCACCTCCTGGATTCAAGTGATTCTCCTGCCTCAGCCTCCCACGTATCTGGGATTACAGGTGTGCACCACCGTGGCTGGCTAATTTTTGCATTATTTTATTTTTATTTTTATTTATTTTATTATTACTTTTTTTTAGATGGAATCTCACTCTGTGGTCCAGGCTGGAGGGCAGTGGCCTGATCTCAGCTCACCACAACCTCCAACCTCCCGGATTCAAGCGATTCTCATGCCTCAGTCTCCTGAGTAGCTAGGATTTACAGGTGCCCACCACCATGCCCGGCTAATTTTTTTGTATTTTTAGTAGAGATGGGATTTCACCATGTTGGCCAGGCTGGTCTCAAACTCCTGAGCTTAGGTGATCCATCTGCCTTGGCCCCCCAAAGTGCTGGGATTACAGGTGTGAGCCACCTCGCCCTGCCAGGTTTATTTATTTTTGAGAGGGAGTCTTGCCCTGTTGCCCAGGCTGGACTGCAGTGGCGTGATCTTGGCTCACTGCAACTTCTGCCTCCTGGGTTCAAGCGATTCTCCTGCCCCAGCCTCCCGAGTAGCTGAGATTACAGGCACCCGCTACCACGGCTGGCTAATTTTTATATTTTAGTAGAGACAGGGTTTCACTATGTTGGTCAGGCTGGTCTCAAACTCCTGACCTCGGCCGGGCGCAGTGGCTCATGCCTGTAATCCCAGCACTTTGGGAGGCCGAGGCGGGCGGATCACGAGGTCAGGAGATGGAGACCACGGTGAAACCCCATCTCTACTAAAAATACAAACAATTAGCTGGGCGCGGTGGCGGGCGCCTGTAGTCCCAGCTACTAAGGAGGCTGAGGCAGGAGAATGGCGTGAACCCAGGAGGCAGAGCTTGCAGTGAGCTGAGATCGCGCCACTGCACTCCAGCCTGGGCGACAGAGCGAGACTCCATCTCAAAAACAAAACAAAACAAAACAAAAACAAAACAAAACAAAACAAAAAAAACTGCTGACCTCAAATGATCTCCCTGCCTTGGCCTCCCAAAGTGCTGGGATTACAGGCGTGAGGCACCATGCCTGGCTGATTTTAATTTTTTTTTTTTTTTGAGATGGAGTCTCACTCCATCACCCAGGCTGGAGTACAATGGTGCCATCTTGGCTCACTGCCACCTCTGCCTCCTGGGGTCACTGTCTTCTGCCTCAGCCTCCAAGTAGCTGGGATTAGAGGCGTGCAGCACCACACCCAGCTGATTTTTGTATTTTTAGTAGAGACTGTGTTTCGCTATGTTGGCCACATTGGTCTTGAACTCGCGACCTCAGGTGATCCACCTGCCTCGGCCTCCCAACATGGTGGGATTACAGACATGAGCCACCACGTCCAGCTGATTTTAAATTTTTTATAGAGACAAAGTCTTGCTACGTTGCCCAGGTTGGTCTCAAACTCCTGGCCTCAAGTGATACGCCTGCCTCGGCCTCCCAAAGTACTGGGATTACAGGCAGATGTTTTATTTTTTATAGAGACGGGGTCTTGCTACGTTGCCCAGGCTAGTCTCAAACTTTTGGACCTGAACCATCATCCCATCTCAGCCTCCTAAGGAGCTGGGACTACAGGTATGCTCCACCACATCTGGCTTCTATCATTTGTTTTTTGTTTCACTATGTTTTGTTTAGAGAGCGGGTCTCACTCTGTCACCCAGGCTGGAGTGCAGTGGGGCGATCATAGCTTGCTGCAGCCTCAACCTCCTGGGCTCAAGCGATCCTCCTGCCTCAACCTCCCTCCCGCCTCATCCTCTAAGTGGATGAGGGATGACATGGATGAGGACATGGCTTGTGGGAAAAGGAAGGTCACTCACTTCCTGAGTCAGGGTCCCATGGATGCTGCACAGGGCATAGCCTACTCGGAAATGACTCAACAGGAGGAGCTGTGTGACCCTAGTCTGCCGGGCGCCCAGGCCAAGGTGACTGCCTGGGTGTAGGCTTTGTGTGAAACATTGGTCAACCCAGGATAGACCTGCTGTCCACATGCAGGTTCACACCTCCCAGCTGGGGGCTGCACACCTGCTGGAAAGGTGGCTGGTCCCATGGCAGGCTCGTCATGCTGTGCTCTGGTCCAGCTCAGGTTCAAGATGTGAATCCCATGCAGGGGCTGGAGAGGTATGAGATGGGCCAGATGGGCCCCTGCCTGTCTGTCTGGAGAAGATGATGTCCAAGCTGATGATGAAGGATAAGCAGAGTCTACCTTGAGTGAAAAGGCTGCCTGGTGCTGAACTGGTGGGGATGGGGCAGAAGGAGCCCAGGCATCGATGGTTGGGGTGCTGTGATCACCATGTTGAGACTCAAACACTCGCACAGGGCCGGTGTGGTGTCTCACGACTGTAATCCCAGCACTTTGGGAGTCCAAGGTGGGAGGATTGCTTGAGCTCAGGAGTTGGAGACCAGCCTGGCCAACATGGTGAAACCCTGTGTCTACTAAAAAATACAAAAAAATTAGCTGGGAATGGAGGCAGGTGCCTGTAATCCCAGCTACTCGGGAGGCTGAGGCAGGAGAATCTCTTGAATCTGGGAGGCAGAGGTTGCAGTGAGCCGAGATCACACCACTGCACTCCAGCCCGGGCAACAGTGCAAGACTCCATCTCAAAAAAAAAAAAAAAATTAACCGGGTGTGGTGGCACGTATCTATAGTCCCAGCTACACAGGAGGATGAGGCAGGAGGGTCGCTTGGGCCAGGGCGTTTGAGGCTGCAGTGAGGCTCAAGTGATTGCACCACTGCACTCCTGCCCGGGCAACAGAGTGAGACTCTGTCTCTAAACGACACATAGCAAAACAAAATACAAAAACGTTGCACATCCAGCAGAGCCCCTTGGGGCTCGAGGCTAAGATGGCTTGTGTATCTCTCATGGGGAACTAACCTGAGAGTGACATGAGGGCCTTCACACCATATGTGTGTGCTGAGCGGCCCTGTCTGTCCACAATAAAGACACAGGGAAAGCCCAGGAGAATTGAAAACACGTGGTCCAGCCAAAACTCACAGAGCAGCACTATTCACAGTCGCCACAAGGGGGAAGCAACCCGAATGTCCATAAAAGGATGGATAAGGCCGGGCACCGTGGTTCACGGTGGTAATCCCAGCACTTTGGGAGGCCAAGGCGGGCAGATCACTTGAGTCCAGGAGTTCAAGACCAGCCTGGGCAACAAGGTGAAACCCCATGTCTAGAAAATATAGAAAAATTAGCCTGGCATGGTGGTGCCTGTCATTCCAGCTATTTGGGGGGCTGAGGTGGGAGGATCCCTTGAGCCTGGGAGGTGGAGGTTGCAGTGAGCTGAGATCATACCACTGCACTGGGCTATAGAGCAAGATCCTGTCTCAAGAAAAAAAAAAAAAAGCCGGGTGCAGTGGCTTATGCTTGTAATCCCAGCGCTTTGAGAGGCCGAGGCAGGTGGATCACAAGGTCAGGGGTCTGAGACCAGCCTGGCTAATATGGTGAAACCTCATCTCTACTAAAAATCCAAAAATTATCTGGGCTTGGTGGTATGCGCCTGTAGTCCCAGCTACTCAGGAGACTGAGGCAGGAGAATTGCTTGACCCTAGGAAGCAAAGGTTGCAGTGAGCCGAGATCAACCCACTGCACTCCAGCCTGGGTGACAGAGCAAGACCCTGTCTCAAAAAAAAAAAAAAAAGATCAACAGTTTGGTCCATCCATATAATGGGATATTATTCACTCATAAAAGGAACAAAGCAATGATCCATGCTACAGTGCAGATGAACCTTGAAAACATAGTGCTGAGAGATCCCAGGCTACAAGAGGTCACAGGGTATGAGATTCCATTGATATAAAATATCCAGAACAGGCAAATTCACAGACAGGAAGCAGATTACTAGTTGCCAGGGGCTTGGGGAGGGAGGAGGAATGAGGAGTGACTGCTGATGGCAATGAATCTCCTTTTGGGGGAATGAAAATGTCCCAGAACTAGATAGAGATGATAACTGTGCAACACTGTGAACGTACTGAATACCACTGAGCAGTCCACTTTACAGATAATACTATTTTATATACATATAAAATAGAGCAAGACTCTGTCTCTGCTAATATCCTCCTGGGTTCAAGTAATCCTCCCGCCTCAGCCTCCTAAGTAACTGGGACTACAGGAACACACCACCATGCCTGGCTATTTTTTTTTTTCGAGGTAGAGTCTCCCTCTCTCGCCCAGGCAGTGGTGTGATCTTGGTTCATTGCAAACTCTGCCTCCGGGTTCAAGCGATTCTCCTGCTTCAGCCTCCCGAGTAGCTGGGATTACAGTTGTGCGCCACCATACCGGCTAATTTTTATATTTTGTATTTGTATTTATTTATTTTTTGAGAGAGAGAGTCTTACTCTGTCACCCAGGCTGGAGCACAGTATCAGGATCTTGGGTCACTGAAACCCTCCACTCCCTGGTGCAAGTGAATCTCCTGCCTCAGCCTCCTGAGTAGCTGGGACTACAAGTGCACGCCACCACACCCGGCTAATTTTTGTATTTTTAGTAGAGACAGGGTTTCACTATGGTGGCCAGGCTGGTCTCAACTCTTGGCCTTAAGTGATCCGCCCACCTCGGCTTCCCAAAGTGCTGGGATTACTGGCTTGAGCCACGGCACCTGGTTGCCTGGCTAATTTTTATACATTTTTTGTAGAGACTAGGTCTCACTATGTAGCCCAGGCTGTTCTTGAACTCCTGGGCTCAAGGGATCCTCCTGCCTCGGCCTCCCAAAGTACTGGGATTACAGGCGTAAGCCAGCACAACCTGCAAAAAAAGTTAAATTTGTTATGGTAATTTCACCTCCAAACAAAAAAATCTGGGCAAATAACTCCCCTCACTCCCAGGTGTATGGAGGCTGGTCCCCTCTAAGAATGCAGGGACCGGCTGGGCGCGGTGGCTCAGGCCTGTAATCCCAGCACTTTGGGATGCCAAGGCAGGTGGATCACGAGGTCAGGAGTTCAAGACCAGCCTGGCCAACACAGTGAAATGCTGTTCCTACTAAAAATACAAAAAATTAGCTGGGCTTGGTGGCGGGCACCTGTAATCCCAGCTACTTGGGAGGCTGAGGCAGGAGTATCGCTTGAACCTGGGAGGTGGAGGTTGCAGTGAGCAGAGATCGCGCCTCTGCACTCCAGCCTGGGCGACAGTGCAAGACTCCATCTCAAACAACAACAACAACAAAAAAAAACACAGGGACCAGGACACCTGGGTGCATGAGGGAGTCTGCCCCTGAGAGGGCTGGGAAGGGAGGATTCCAGGAGCAGGCTGCTGAAGGCCTCATATGCTGATGGAGCATGGGGTTCCTTCCTCTCTAGGCGAGGCCAGACCAGAGGAAAATGATCAGTGGAGGAGATGGGGACTCAGGCTTCCATTCACGTCATCTGGCTCAGGATTTGGGGACTGCATCCTCATGCTGAAGACCCCGCCACAGAGGGGGCCCCTGTGGGCATGGCAGCAAGGGTGGCAGCCGTCTTTGGGATGGCTCACAAAGCGGACAGAGGAAACAACAAAGACACAGCACGTGGCTCCTGTAAGTCATTTTACTTTGAATATATAGGAAACAAAATCCACAAACAGGAAGCTATGTTCTATGGTTATGTCTTTTAAACAATGTTCTGTATTTACAAATTGTTTTTTTCCCTAAGTAAAAGCACCAGCTGAAAAGTTATAGGCTGCTAAAACCGTTACAAATATTACAAACCCATTAAAAGACATTATGCCAAACGTACTTATTAAAAACCTTAACAAAACGAAGAGACAACTGACAACGCAACCAACCAATTGAGCCACCATGCTGGGCTGGGTGGCAGTTCCAATTTCCTTGCCTGTGTTTCTGATAAACGGGGCTGGGAGTGCTTATCCCAGGGAGAGGATCCTCGCCCACCGGCAGGTGACTACAGGGACAGAGCTGGGGAGAGGCAGCTGTGTCTCAAGGAAACATGGCAGCCTCACTTCCTGCTGTAGGTGGCCTCCTGGTCAGACCCCCTCAACCCACAGGACAAGGGCAGAGGCATACAGGAGGGTCTGGCCAGCTTTCGGCTGTTCATCTGTCAACAGAATGCCTTTCTGCGACCTTGTCCTCATCCACTGAAGGGTTTGGAGTTTTTGTTTTTTCCTAGACACTTAGCTACAGGACACTGTGTGATGTGTCCTCAGGGACTTGCTGTCTGCCTTCCATTGTTTTTTTTTTTTTTTTTGAGACAAAGTCTCACCGTCACCCAGGCTGGAGTGCAGTGTCGCGATCATGCTCACTGCAGCCTCAATCTCCTGGGCTCAAGTGATCCTCCTGCCTCAGCCTCCCAGTTAGCTGGGACTACAGGCATGCGCCACCGTGTCTGGCCTCTATTCTTGCAATTGAATGAGATGCTATGAGGCGCTGAGCGACCCACAGGAAAGTACTTATCAAAAGCTTTGTGTCATGAGAAGATGCGGCTGTGGAAGGAGGTTCAAAGCTTGCACACACGCACACACACACATGCACATGATTTGGCTTCCATAAAGCTCGAGTAGAATATTAAATATTGAGTACTGAGTTTTTAATTGTAAACTTAAGATCTCATCCTTAACTTTACATATACATAGATAACAGGGTGGTCATGAAAAGCACTTTAACATCAGGACAGATGTTAAGTTCTGAGGTTCTGTTTTCAACTGCTCTACATACAAAATGCCCTACAAGCAAAGAAAGGCTTAAATAAATAGATGGGGATGAACATGATGCACGCCGTGGTGACATGAGTGGTGTGCAGGGGTCGGACAGTGCGGAACCCGGGTGGGCAGGAGCACATTGTGGAGACACAAGTGGTGGCATCTCTGGGATGTAGGGGAGGATGTGGGGGGCTCCTTCAAGGTGGAGCTAGCAGAGGCCATGGCTCGGGAGGAAGACAGGACAGGGACAGTTTGTGGGCCAGTGCCACACGCTCTCCTATTGGCTTCATGGGCCTGGGGGCAGCCCTGGGTAGCAAAGGACAGGGCCAGGCTCTCCCCCTGGAGACCCAGAGATGGCGGTGGTCCTCTTAGGACAAACCCTCACCAGCCCCGCCCTCTGACCAGCCTGTCACTGGTGCTGATGTCAGGTGGTGGCCAGTGAGGAAGGGGGTTATTGACAGCCCTGCCTGTGGCTAAGGCACACCCAGCCTGGGAGCCCCAAGCAGCTGACCTGAGCAATCCAGCGTCCCTTTAGTCACAGACGCCAAAGCTCCCAGAGGCAGTTCCACTGAGTGAGGGTGACAAGACCTAAAACCACCACCTACCCTGCTGAGCAGGACCCCCACCCCCTGTAGCAGGGAGAGGCTCCTGGGCCCCAGAAGCTGGAGGGGGTGGTGTCTTGAGCCCTGACACCTGCTGCTGCTATCTTGACCCGACCACCCGCCCCAACTCGGAATGCCACACTGTGACCACTGGGGCACCTCCTGATTATCCAAGAAAAGTGGATAAAACCAAACGCTGCTGTCTGGGCCCAGCGGAGGCTCCCTGGGGCCTGGCTAGGGTGCGGGTTTCACACTGTGCCCCAGAGACCCAGCAGGGAAGGTGAGGCGGTGGAGGGAGTGGGGGGACCAAGAGGCTGAGCAGGGAAGGCCACAGATCTGCCAGGAAGAAAGTCCCTGGGCTCCAGATCTCGGGGGCGGGGGGCCCGTGCCACGCACTCTAAGCTAGCTGAGGAGGTGATCTTAAATTTAGGAGACGAGCCCACTCCCCCGCTTCCTGCCCCTCAGCAGCCACAAGATGGGGGAAGGTGGCTGGTGCAACAGGAGCCTCAGCTCCCAGCTCCATCTCCACAGATCTTCACCGCACACCCGTGTGCATCCACATGCACACCCGTGTTTACAATCACCTGCACCCCCACGGCGGGATGGCGAGTCCGGTCAAGGTGCAGATGTTTGGAAGCTGAGTTCCTGGGTCCCTGAGGGTTCCTGACCAGAGGCCCCAGCTGCTGCAGGGACTGATGCTGGAGAGAAAGCTGGGAAAAGTGCTGGGATCTGTGCTTCGTCCCACACTAGCGCCATTACTTCTTCCCTCCAAATTCAGGCCAGAAACTGGCATCCGGGCTCTGGAAATTGCCTTGAGCAGAGGAAACACTCTACTCCCGCTCGGCATCAAGGCCTGGGTGATGGAGAGTCAGGCGTGGTGCCCCTGGGGCACTGCCTGCCCTGGCACACAGGATTAGGACCTGCTGGAGGCCTGCACCCTACTCCTGGCCGACGTGACCCAGATGCTGAGGCAGGACTGGCACTGAGGTCCACTCTGAAGGATGGCTCTGGAGAGACAGCGCCTGTGTGCCACCTGTGAGCCTCTGCACTGGGGGTCCTGCTGCGAGGTGGGAACGGCTACCACCCCTCCTGGGAGGGCAGGGACTGGCCCCGCACATTCCCAGGACTTGGAAGCTCTAGAGACAATCAGGAAGGAAGCACGCCTCGGGGGCAGGCTTGAGTGCCGTCTGGGTGGAAGCCGGAGACGCGCAGGCCCTGCGGAGCTGGATGGCCCCATCAAGGCCTCACAGGAGGCTGGCCAGGCTGGTGTTGGGTCCATTCTGAGCTTGGAACTGCACGGGGGGTGGACCGTCTGTCCACTGTGGGGAGGAGAGGACATGCGAGTGAGGCACTGTGGACCGTTCCCAGGGAAGAAGAGGTTGGAATGCTGCCTTCCTTGGGCTGCTCACACAGCCGGGACTCTGTTCTCCATGCCCCAGTCCAATGGGCCCCGAGGAGACACCTGGGTCCCTTGCTTGGGTGGGGGTGCCCATGGCCATCTCCCCCATCAAGGGATCACCTGAGGCTGAGTTAGGGTTTGTTGGACAAAAGAGAAATACAGCCAAGGTGCCCCTTCCTCTTGCAGGTGGGGAGCCCGCTAGTCCTGATCCCGTCCCCTAACACCCACACCCGTACCGTGATGAGGTTGTGTTCGGGGAGGCTGCAGGCCTCAATGTGGTCCTGGAGCAGCTGCTGCGAGAAGTTCTGGTGCATCTGGGCGGCTTCATGGGCATCCATGGCGTTCCCACAGGCTTTATTCAGGTCTGAGAGTGGGACATGAGCATGGGGGCCCGCCTTGCCCTGTCACTGCCCAGGCCCTCCCACTCGGTGCAGATGGAGCCCTAAGGTCAAGTCCCAGCTGCACTGGTGGATCTCTGGGTGCCTGGCACGTCACTGGACCTGAGCCCTGTCTTGGGATCACAAAGCCCATGCGCCAGCCGCCCTCATAGGGCAGAACAGGGCTGGCTGGGCAGTGAAAGCCCAATGCCAGGCTTCTCGCCAGCCCTCCAGGGAGCCCATGGCCAGCCCTCAGGCAAACAGGCGCTCATTGGGGCAGGACGCCCAATGCCCATCCTGAGGCAGCAGCCCCAGGCAGCCCACTGCACATGGAGCACCCCGTCTCCTGTCACCTCCCCAGGGCCCCAGGCGAGTCTCCGGACCTTAGTTTCGTAATCTGGAAATGGGGGAGCTGCGGTAACAGCAATGATACCCGCTGAGTGCCCGCCCTGCTCCCAGAGCTAGCTGGCCAGCCCTACCCAATAGGTATGGCTGCTGTCTGCCTTTCCGGGAAGAAGCAAGGCTGAGAGCGCCACGGCTAACAGCCCAAGTCTACCAGATACCAAGTCGCAGCCTCTGTGTCCTATAGAGACTGAACCAGACCCCGAGTCAAGCGGATGCCACAAATGCACCCACTGCCCTCAACCAGGGTCTCCTGAGGAGCACCCCCTACCCATGCTAGAACTGGGGCTGCGGCCCACGGAGGCCTAGTCCGAGCTAAGGCTGAGCAGGACATGCCCAGCAGCCTTGATCTCTGGGGAGGGCCAGGCTGGGGCTGGGGAAGAGGGGTGGCCATTGCACTCACCTCTCAGCAGTGCTGACGACCACAGCTGTACCGACATGTCCGGGATCTTGCTGGCGAGCTGCATGGCAGGCACCACCATGTTGTTACTCTCCTGTCAACCAAGAGCAGCAAGGGGGAGTGAGGAGCCTGGACCCCACTTGCCGAACCCAGCCCAGGTTGGGGTGGGGATAATCTGGAACCCACCTACTGAACCCAGCCCAGGTTGTGACCTCCTTCTGCGTCTGGTGAACTCCTATGCTTACCTCAGAGCCCATCTCAAATGGCCCTCTCTGAAGTATCACTGAAAAACAAACTGCCCTCACTTCTGGCTCATGCCCTCACAGGGGCATGGCCAATGGACAACTTTGGGGGCTTCTACCTGTTCAAGCAGAGAAAAAGCACTGATGGCCGTTAGCCCTAGACCCACAATGGGGGCTGATCAGAAATGCAGATTCATATAGGGTTCCAGGTTTCAGGTTCTGAGAAGGGCAGCAGCCCCTCCGGTTTGTCTTCCACAATTGAGTTGGCTCTCATGGGAGGCCCCCGCAGACACGCAGGGGCTCTGGGGGCACCAGCATGTAAGAATCCTCCAATCCGGACTCCCTGCTTTGTGACTGCACAGGGCCACCCCAGTTGCAGCCCTAGCATCCTCAGGATGTGGCAGGAAGAGCTCAGTAAGAGCCATCAGGGCCCATAAATGCCCATCCCTGTTGCTATGGCAAGGGCCTGGAGACGGCAGACAGGAGCCTGTGCTACACAGGCGACCAGCAGTGCTGGACTGACCCTGTCTGGACCGAGGACTCAAAGCCCTGTAAGCCTGGATGTGGGGTTCAGGTAAGACCTGGAAAATTCCCTAGATGATGGCTCCTGGCAGCCCAGGGAGCACTTGGGAAGCCAAGATGGACACATCCCCAAAACCAACTCCTGAGACCTGGCTTTGACGCCACCAGATACTTCTCCAGAGTGCAGAGATGCTCCTCCTGAGACACAAAGCCCAACAACTCTACACTGCCCTGTAGCTGCACCTTGAAAGTGAGCTCCAGGTGGGTCTTGGAGCTTTTTAAAATTCACCAAGCCCTTTTGAAACCTCAGAGCAAGAAAAACTGCTCTCTTCCGCTAGGCCTGGCTTATTGTGAGCCTGGCTGGGCTCCCTGTAGAAAGCCAAGGACCTCTGTCTGAAAGCAGCCTGGGGAAGGAGAGTCCTCCTTCAGCGCTCCTGGGTAGGTTCCCCCAATGCCAGCTTGGGGTACCCCACAGAATCTGGTTTTGAAGACTTGAGTGATCCTGGGGGGTGTCCCGCTCTTGTGGACACTCTAGCCTAACAGGCTCAGGACAGGGCATCCCAAGCTCTTCTGGGCCCCTGGACCCTCACCTGAGCCCATTGTGGCCATTCAGCCGTCTGCTCCGGCACTTGTGCTCTGACTGCT
The DNA here is from genome assembly GCF_000001405.40 of Homo sapiens. Lineage (NCBI taxonomy): Eukaryota > Metazoa > Chordata > Mammalia > Primates > Hominidae > Homo > Homo sapiens. Next base: position 19,353,039 of record NC_000019.10, on the reverse strand, counting down.
GTGGTGCCCATCTCTGTGGCAGCCCCTGCCTAGCCAACCTTGCCCTGCCTGCACCAACACTATCCCGGCCCCCAAGGCTGCCACCTTTCTGGATGTCCCCAGCCTGACCTCACAGGACTGGCTTGGCTGTGTCTGGCTGTGTCTCCCCGAGATCTGGAGTCACTTAAGGCCAGGACCTTGGTCTGAGAGTTCTTGGGCGCCGCTTGTCACCCGACAAGGGCCCAGGGACACAGGGAGCAGAGGGGGATTCCCAAAAGAGCTCTGTAAGATGCCCCCACAACACCTAAAACATGGGCCAGGAGCAGCAGTGAACCAGCTGCTCAACCCTCCTTGCCCTGCTCCAGGCAGCTTCCAGGGGTTTCTACACAAATCAGAGCCAGTGAGGTCTGGGTTCCAGTCCTGATTCTGCGGTCTGGGGCTGTGTGACTTTAACCTCCCCATCTGACACACCCCCAGGCCACTTGCACTGTCCAGTGGGGACATACAGCCCTCACTGTGCTCAGAGGCTGAGGGCAGGGTGATAGCACATTCTAGAAGGAGCCAGCTACAGGTTTTGACGGGGTAGTGGCATCCCCAGTGCTGAGGCCAAGGCCCACCAGGGCCTGAGCTGCAGGGCCCATTCGCTGGCCTCTGCAAAGGCTTACCACACAGTTATGTGTCTGTGTGTTGCGGTGGGCGGGCACCACGTTTGTTAACAGCATCCATGCTGAGGGAGCCCTCAGATCACGTGAAACTTTACAGGCCAAGACACACATCTTGCTTTATCTGTCCTGTGGAAATGGCTACAGTGAGAATGGTTAAACTACAGAGTAGATGTGGCTTCAAAACACTCATTGCCATTAAGAAAAAAAAAAAAGCTTCCAATACAGAGGTGTGGAGAAAGGCAAATATAAAATTACCCAGTGGCTCACGTCTGTAATCCCAGCACTTTGGGAGGCTGAAGTAGGCAGATCACCTGAGGTCAGGAGTTTGAGACAAGCCTGGCCAACATGGCGAAACCCCATTTCTACTAAAAATACAAAAATAAGCCAGGTGTGATGGTGCTCGACTGTAATCCCAGCTACTCGGGAGGCTGAGGCAGGAGAATCCGTGGAACCTGGGAGGTAGAGGTTGCAGTGAGCCGAGATCACACCACTACACTCCAGCCTGGGCAAGAGAGCAAGACTTCATCTCAAAAAAAAAAAAAAAAAAAAAAAAAAAAATTACCAAACAGGCTGACAAGCAAAACCTCCACGTGGGAGACGTGGGCAGTGGGAAGGGATGGATGACAGAGACATGCAATTTTTTTCTGTTTTGCTTCTCAGCCTTTTAATTATGAACATGTCATATTTTATAATCTAGAAAAATAACTTTTTTTTTTTGAGACGGATCTCACTGTGTTGTCCAGGCTGGAGTGCAGTAACATGATCACAGCTCACTGCAGCCTCAACCTCCTGGGCTCAAGTGATCCTCCCACCTCAGCCTCCCAATTAGCTGGGACCACAAGCATGAGTCCACACACCCAGCTAATTTTTTTGTTTGGTTTTTGTAGAGATGGGATCTCAGATCTACTATGTTGGTCAGGCTGATATTGAATTCCTGCGCTCAAATGATCCTTCCACCTCTGCCTCCCAAAGTGTTGGGATTACAGGCCTGAGCCACTGTGTCTGGCTGGAAAATATCTTTTTTTTTTTTTTAAGAGATAGCATCTCTAGGGCCAGGCACAGTGGGTCATGCTGTAATCTAGCACTTTGGGAGGCTGAAGTGGGTGGATCGCTTGAGCTCAGGAGTTCAAGACCAGTCTGGGTAACATGGAGACCCAGTCTCTACCAAAAATAAAAAAATTAGCTGAGCATGGTGGCACACACCTGTGGCCCCAGCTACTTGGGAGGCTGAGGTGGGAGGATCACTTGAGCCTACAGGGGGTGAAGGTTACCACGAGCTGAGCTGAGATCATGCCACTGCGCTCCAACTTGGGTGACGGAGTGAGACTCGGCCTCAAAAAATAAAATTAAATTAAAAAAAAAGAGGGTCTCACTAGGTTGCCCAGGCTGGTGGTCTTGAACTCCTGGGATCAAGGGATTCTCCCCCATCCACCTCCCAAAGGGATACAAGCAATGAGCCACTGTGCCTGGCCAAAAATATCTTTTTTTTTTTTTTTGAGATGGAGTCTTGCTGTGTTGCCCAGGCTGGAGTGCAGTGGTGGGATCTCGGCTCACTGCAAGCTCCGCCTTCCTGGTTCATGCCATTCTCCTGCCTCAGCCTCCCAAATAGCTGGGACTACAGGCGCCTGCCACCATGCCCGGCTAATTTTTTGTATTTTTAGTAGAGACGGGGTTTCACCGTGTTAGCCAGGATGGTCTCGATCTCCTGACCTTGTGATCTGCCCGCCTTGGCCTCCCAAAGTGCTGGGATTACAGGCGTGAGCCACCATGCCCGGCCTTTTTTTTTTTGAGATGGAGTCTTGCTCTCACCTAGGCTGGATGGAGTACAATGACACGACCTCGGCTTACTGCAACCTCTCTGCCTCCTGGGTTCAAGCAATTCTCCTGTCTCAGCCTCCAGAATAGCTGGGAGTACAGATGTGTGCCACCACACCTGGCTAATTTTTGTATTTTCAGTAGAGATGAGGTTTCACCATGTTGACCAGGCTGGTCTTGAACTCTTGACCTCAAGTGATCTGCCCACCTCAGCCTCCCAAAGTGCTGGGATTACAGGCATGAGCCACCGTGCCTGTCCCAAAAACATCTTTTTTTTTTTTTTCTGAGACAGAGTCTCACTCTGTTGCCCAGGCTGGAGTGCAGCGGCATGATCTCCGTTCAATGCAACCTCTGCCTCCTGGGTTCAAGTGATTCTCATGCCTCAGCCTCCCGAGTAGCTTGGATTACAGGCGTCCACCACCACGCCCCACTAATTTTTGTATTTTTAGTAAGAGACAGGGTTTCACTATGTTGGCTAGGCTGGTCTTGAACTCCTGACCTCAGGTGATCTGCCCGCCTTGGCCTCCCAAAGTGCTGGGATTACAGGCGTGAGCCATTGTGCCTGCCCAAAATATCTTCTTAAAAAAAAAAAAAAAAAAAAAAAATTCAAGACCTCGTGAGATCAGTGGGTGAGAGTAGGCGAGGAATTGACAGGAAGGACTGAGGCGGCCAGTCCCACCAGAGACTGGCTGACCTTGGGTGGGGACCAATCCCAGGGGCCACTTGTACCCTGAGAGGACACTGTGTTGGCCAAGGATGATATGTTTGGAAGTCCGGCTGAGAGGAGACACCTCTCTGCCCCTCAGGTGTCAACACATAGCATGGGGTGGCTGCGTCATCCCCAGTAGCTCAGGGCAGCTCCTTTGGTTCTGGCTTCAGCTCCCCTGAGCCCTGGGGCTCTGCCTGCCCAATGTCTGAGGCCACACCCATCAGGCCTCCTGCCTTCCCCCCACACCCTCTGTGGGTGCCCAGCTCCTCTGGCCCTGCCTGCCCAGGCTGTGGGAGTCAGGGCATCCACCTAGACGTGCTCTTCGAGGGGCATAGGATGAACAGTGCCATGCCACCCTTAGGGTGCTGGCCGGCTCCTGTCCCTCAGCCAAGCCCCACAGGCACCCAAGCGAGGGGCCCAGGCCAGGGCACTCACCCTGTGGTTTCCCAGCACATAGAAGATGTGGCCCAGAAGCACGAGGGAGCAGGCTGTGAGCCGGTTCAGGTCCTCAGCATTGGACATCTTCAGAGTTTCCCGCAGAAATCGCCTGACAAGGAGAACATGGACGCTGATAACTGCAGGACGGGGCCTGGGCTACCCTGAGCATGGCCCTCACGCCACCCTCTGCCCCACACTTACTTGGCCTCGTTGTAGCGTCCCTGGAAGAAGGAGAAGAGCCCACGCACATAGAAGGCGGCTGCTCGGAGGCAGTGCGAGCTGCAGGGAGAGTGCAGTATCACATGGGGTGGTGATTTTGAGAAGCAGGTTTACAAAACGGCAGTGGGCAGCTGGGGGCTATTTCTGAGAGCCCCCACTGCAGACTGTCTGTGAGGAGGGGTATGGGGTGTCAGGGTGCAAGGGGCAGTCAGGGGCCCCAACCAAAGAGCACGGGGAGCCTAGGCCGTGCGTGGAGTGGTGCCTGGAGCGGCTCACCTGACAGGGAAGCTGTGGTCCGGGTTGATCCTCTCCAGCAGACTGTAGAGCTGCGGGGGAAAGAGCCAGTCAGCACCATTCTGCATCTTCACAGGAGAAAGGTCCCCAAGACACACTGCAGTGCATGGGAATTTCTCTACACCCCCGTCGGGACTGTGGCCTCCAGGCTGAGCCTGGTGACTGACCAGCAAGAGCAGCCTCTGGTGAGAAGGGCCGGGGGCAAGATTTCCACACCCTCAGCCAGCCCTGCCTGTGCCACCCTGTCCTGCAGTAGGTGACAGGGGCCTGGGCGTCCAGAAGGCCTTTGTATGGTCAGAGTGGTGCTGAGGGGCTGGCCTGGCAGTGGGTAGGTTGGCAGGCTGGGGCCCGTGAGCCCTGTGGGCTGTGGGGGTGAGTGGGTGGGATTTCTCTGGAGGTGCAGGGACCCCGGGAGGCTCTGATGGGGGCGTGATCTGACTGATAATTTAGCTGCCCTCTAGCTGCAGAGGCACAGGGGAGCCAAACTCCTCCTCAACACTGCGAGCCCACGTATGGCATCGGATGACTAAGCCGGGGCTGGGCTTTCTTTTTCCTTTGAGACAGGTTCTTGCTCTGTCGCCCAGGCTGGAGTGCAGTGGCTGGATCATGGCTCACTGCAGCCCTCAATCTCCCTAGCTCAAGCAATCCTCCTGCCTCAGTCTCCCGAGTAGTTGGGACCACAGGCCTGCACCCCACCAAGTTTTTAAAAAATTTTTTTGTAGAAATGGGGGTCTCCCTATGTTGCCCAGGCTGGTCTTGAACTCCTGACCTCAAGTGATCCTCCTGCCTTGCTTCCCAAAGTGCTGGGATTACAGGTGTGAGCCAAGCACCTGGCCTGATACACTTTGGAGGTAGACCCCCAGAGGTGAAGGAGATACTAGAACTGAGGGACATCCTAGGGCTGAGGGGGATCCCAGGGCTGAGTGGGCATCCCAGGGCTGAGGAGGGAATCCCAGAGCTGAGGGGGATCCCAGGGCTGAGGAGGGGATCCCGGGGCTGAGGAGGGGATCCCGGGGCTGAGGGGGATCCCAGGGCTGAGTGGGGATCCCAGGGCTAAAAGGGACAGAAGAGGGAACCTAACTCTTATGCAAGCATTGGTTCAGAAGCGCCACGTGAGGGCAACCCTGGGCATCCCCACCCAACACTGCAGCCAGTGAGTGCCCCTGATCCTGCAGGGGCATCAGCACAACCTGGGGACAAGGTGCTCTGGCTGCTGCCCCTTAGGACTGAGCCTCAATGCCTGGCCGACATCCTAGAGCAGACAGCTTGGGCTATAAGACCTTGTCTGTGTGATTCATACAGCTTGGTTTGTTTGTGATAAAGAGAAGTGTTCTGTGGCTATGGGAATGTTTTTGTCCCAGACCTGGCCTCCCCCGGCCATAGCCCGATTCACCTCTGGGTCGCCTTGTGTGTCTGTGTCGGGTGCCGCCCATCCCTCAAAAGGTGAACACCCTGGGGTCTGCTGAGATGTGCTGGTGCCCAGGACAACCCCCTGGTTCCCCAAAAAGAAGAGAACAGAGAGAAAGGATACCGAACATGAAGCATGTCACCTACTACCTCTTGGTGTCTATTTCCTTCCCGTATATACACACTCGCCAGGTTGGTGACGATGAAGGCCCACAGCTCCTGGTGGTTGGTGAGCTGGAATGGGAGGCGGGGACATTAGGGGGCTGGGTCGGGTGCTGTGACCCATGTGGCAGTGTCAGAGCACCCACAATCTCCACGGAGACTACTTTGGAAAAGACTTGTTCTTTTCATTTCAAACACACTTGTTTTGCCTCCTAAGCTCAAGGATAACACAGCTATTACTTCTTCTCATTATAAAACCATCATCTGCGTTACGGGGCAGTTAGAGAACACAGAAGAGGAAAACCAGCCACCCCAATCCTACCCTCAGAACATGTCGGGTTTTGGTCCATTTTCCACTGTCTCTCAGGACTGAGACCTGGTGGACCCTTCCTCCAGGCCACAGCCAGCAACCTGTGGGACCCAGGTGTCCACTGCCATCAAGGCATATGCTGGTCCTAGGCGGGGGTCACTCTTCATAGGGGGAAGTGGGGAAGAGGGGAGCTGTTGTCCCACAGGGGGCCAGCACAGGCCCCGCTCCAGGTAGGTGATGCTGTGTCAGAGACCAGAAATGCTGCTGATGACAGGTGGTGGATGGGCCATGGTCCCTGGCTCTTCTTGGCAAATGAGATCGTTCGTCAAGAGAGGGTCCAATCTATGTAGCTCAAGCCCTGCTCAGACCCTGGTTCCCAGTGGGGCTGGGCAAGAGGTGGAGTGAGCCCAGGAAGCACAGACCCCACCTGCACAGATCCCCTCCTGGCACACACCCAGGAGGCCCAGAGGATCTTCCGAATCAAGCACAGATGCTCTGAGACGTAGCAAGGTGGGAGATGTTTGTTTCAGGGCCACAGGAGGCGTGTGTGTTTGGGGTTAGGGGTGTTGGGGTTGCATCCTGGCTCCATCACTCCTGGGTGGGCCATGAAAAAGAGGCTCTCTTTTGGCCTCGGGGTGAGGACTCCTTAGGGTACATGGCCTTGGGAACTTTGACGCGGAACCAAACCAGCAATAGCAACCACTTGTGGGGAGTGAGACGGAGACGGAGATGGCAGGATGGCAGGGCCACGAGGAGGGTCCTGGCCCTGCTGCAGTCAGAGTGAGCCAGGGTCCTGGGAGCGAGGTGAGGAGGCAGAGGAGTGGGTGCTGAGTCAGCCCTTCCCTCCCAAGCATGCTGTCTGCATGTCAGGGCTCCTGTGCATCTCTGAGGCCAGTGGCGGGGGTGGCAGCACCCACAGGCCTGCGGGGTGCCGTGGAATGGGAACCCTGTCCAACAGTCAGGGCGCACACAGGACTCCCTGGTGACCTTGCCCGAGTGGCAGACAGAGCAGCCTCTGCTCCCTGACACCTCTCCTCAGGGCCCTTCCTGGCACCACCAGGAAAAAGGTGTCCACAGCCTCCATTTCCTGTGAGGAGGTTGAGGCTGAGGTGGGGACACAATGGTCCAGCCCTGGGCTGGGGCGCTCCGTGAGGATGTGGCACCAGCCTTCTTCCAGGGCCTGGCGGGGCCCCCGTCTAAGGCCAGGAGCCTGGGGTGCTGCTTCACCCTCTCCGGCCCAGCAGGACCAAGAGTCCTCCTCTGTCCAAAGAGCACCTGGGAGATGGCCCAGCTCCACCACTCCCCATGGGAGCCCTGAACCCAGGATGGCTCTGAGTTGTCAGCTGACACTTGAGCCAATCCAGCCTTGGGGGTGGGTGCCGCAAAAGTTCCCACTCAGGCATGAAAGTGGTGTCCCCGGACGCGTCGCACCTCTCCCTCACGTCTGCCCTTGGGTCAGCTCAGGAAGCCCCTGGCCCCATAGCTGTCCCTTATCCAGATAAACAGCGCGTCACTGCCAAGGCTGGCATGGGCTGACTACTGTGCATTGCCTCTGGGGCTGCGGCTTTGCATAGCTGACCTAGCGCGACTGCTGTCCTCATCACAGACCACGCCCGACTCCTTACTCAGAAGTGTGGCCCGCCCCGAGCAGCAAGGAGGGCCGGCACCTTACCCGCAGGGCCGTGGTGAACTGGGCTTCCGCGTTGTCCATGCAGTTGACAGAGACACAGTACAGGCCCTGGAAGAAGGTGGTGTTGTCATCAGGGCCGGCCCCTGGGGAGGGGGCTCAGATCAGAGACACGTGGTGTGCCCGGGGCCTGCACGGCTGCCCTGGAGGAGTATGACAATGGCTCTACCGAGCCAGCTGCAAGGCAGGTAATATGCTCACTGTCCCCACCTTTCAGACCCAAGCCAATGTGGGGTGGGACAAGATGCTCACTGGGAGCATTCCGGATCGTGCCTGGGAAGGTTATATGATTACCTATGGGAACATTCCGGATTCTGATTAGGGTGCTGTCAGGGGGTCCTTCACTGGGAATGTTCTGGATCTGGTTAGGTACTTACTTACTGAGAACATTCTGGATTCTCCCGGGGTGTTGTCACAGGGTTACTCACCAGCAATGTGTGCAGCTGTGCTGCATGGTTGGAGAAGAGCCGGGGGGACTGCTGGCACAGCTGGCAGACCTGGGAGATCTGCCGGGAGAGAGTGTACTGCCATCACAGGACTGCAACCTGGGACCTGGCGTCTGAGCAGCAATGGAGAGACCCCATAGCTGGTGGGTGAGCCCATGTCCTGTCTGACCAAACTGGGGTACAAAGCCCCAGCAGACACGTCCACCATGAGGGCAAAGGGCAGCCCAGATCCCATCGTGGACAGGGACCCTTGTCTGTTACTCGTCTCTTCCACTCTGTCCAACAGGTGTCTGGGTTGTAAAGGACCTCCAGCCTACTGAGGGCCCCCATGCCCTCTCAGGAGGGTGGGTACTGGGGGTAGAGTGTTCCTAATGGCAGGGTGGGGTATAACAATCACTGTCAAAGGACCCCCCAAATCCCCAGAGACCATGTGCGCTATCCCCTTGGTGTGCAAGCTTTTGGGCCATGGCCCATTAGTTTTTTGGGTTTTTTTTTTTGAGATGGAGTCTCACTCTGTTGCCCAGGTTGGAGTGCAGTAGTGCGATCTCGGCTCACTGCAACCTCTGCCTCCTGGGTTCAGGCTATTCTCCTGCCTCAGCCTCTCAAGTAACTGGGATTACAGGTGTCTGCCACCACACCTGGCTAATTTTTATATTTTTAGTAGAGGCGGGGTTTCGCCATGTTGGCCAGGCTGGTCTCAAACTCCTGGCCTCAAGTGATCCACCCGCCTCGGCCTCCCAAACTGCTGGGATGACAGGCGTGAGCCACTGCGCCCGGCCTCCACTGGTTTTTGTATGAGATTCTCTGATCAGTGGTGCCCATGCAGGGCTGTAAAACGCTGGCCGACAGCGAGACAGCAGGATGGGCTGGCCTGCCAGTATGCACTTGGCGAATTCAGTCTCTTGTCTGACACTGCTGAGACCCAACAAACTCCTGGGCCTTCCCGCCCCTCCTGCTTCCAGCCTTACCTCCTGCAGCGCCGTGGCCTTGTGACCCGTGACAAGGCGGCACATGATGATGTGCTCCAGCAGGATCACTTGGAAGGATGACAGGATGGGGCTGCAGTCCAGCACTATGGGTGAGAGTCAGGGGTAAGCATGCAGGGGAGGCCAGAGGAGGCGCCACCCCCAGCCCACCGTGCCCCCACCTCGTTCCTGTCTCCTGCCACACTGGCTAGGCACCCACCCCGTCATCTCCCCTAGTCCCCACTGCACCCTCTGAGTGAAGGAGTGTGTCTTGCTGTCCAGGTGGGGAGACGGAGCTGGAGCCAGAGGTTGGTTCCCACAGTGCTCCAAGAAGGGTTGGCTCTCACCCTCACCCTCACCCTACGTGCTCAAGAGCTTGTGGACATGGCAGGTTCTAGAAATGTAGAAATGTGGAAACCACCCTGGATCATGACACCATGCAGCAGAGCCTCAGGCAGTCGGGTAGGGGGACCTGGGCTGGGCCCCACCTCCCAACAGCCCCAAGCAACCATCCTCATATGGGAATAAGAGAAGCACAGGGCCTATCCGGCTTTGGGCTGCCTTGGCTCTGATGCCTTCTCCCCCAGCAGCACTCACGAGGGAGCAAACAGACCGACTAATGGGCACACTATACCAGCCAGGGACGTCTGCTCTGGGTTTGTGCTAGTCAAAGGTCCCTGGATGGATTAGACACTTGAGCATCTGGAAAGAACTCACGACCTCCAAAGGACATGCTGGTGGTCAGTGAGGGCTGAGTTCTGATCCTGGCCTCATCCCGAGTGTCCCTGTCACAACACTGATAATAATTGGGAAAAGCAGCTACCACCTGTTTCAACTGAGCATGACTGGGCACAAGGGACCTGACCAGTCAGGGAGGTACCCCCGACCCCAGGCCTGTCTGCTCTGCTCTGACGTTGGACACCAGCATTTATCAACTAGGGGTGACGAGACCCACCAGGCAGGGTGGCTGGGCGCTGCGGTCACACAGGGTCACTGGGCCCTGGTACAGCTAGCGTCTGGCCAGGCCGTCCGCCAGGGGTCGCTGTGGCCATGTGGCCAGCCGAGCACCTGACTTACTCTTGAGCTTCTCCAGCTGCATGAGGGCCTTGTCCGTGTACTTCTGCGCCTTCTCCAGGTAGCCGGCCTGCATGGAGTGCATCACAGTCACCTAGCGACAAGACCAGACAGCAGGGGTTACCAGGGCCCTCTCCCTCTCCCTGCCCCCGCCCCCAGCCCTGGCCCGGGCCCTGGTGGGGACGCACCAGGTAGACAAGCACACACATGTGCTCCTTGGGCAGCCAGTGGAAGAGGTCAGCGGGGTTGCTGGGCAGGATCTCATCATCGTGCAGTGTGGAGATGGTCTGGATGCACTGCTGCAGCTGCTTCAGACACGGCTTCACGCTCTTCACCTGTGCAGCACCCACACCCGAGCATCCACCTGAGCCTGGCCTCTCAGGAAGCCAGGCCCAGCCCAGCCACCCCTGCTCCTTCCTCTAGGGAGCATCTGCCTTCCCCTTCTGCCAGGGCCACCTCCTGCAAGATGAAGCCGCCCCTGCCGCACTCCCATGAATCAGCCAGGCTTTTGGGGCATGGGGCACAGCCAGGCGGGCAGCTGTGGGACTGAGGCTTGTCCACTGCCCAGTGTTGGGTCCAACACCAAGGCCCAGGAGAGGCCTATCCAGACCCTGCTGGAGCTGCACTTGGTCTTCACGCAGCCAGACCTGAGACGGCAGGGGGAGGCTGTGCTCTGAGGGGGTGGGAGGTGGCTTCCTGGCCCAGGAATCAGGCAGGCGCTGTGGTCCATCTCGCCCTGAGGCCCCGAGGGATGTCTCTGCAGCCCTTGCACCCTGAGGGAAGCGTGGCTGCAGTCTGCTCTGTGTCCCTATGCGCCGAGTGCAGTGCTTCACCCAATGGGCAACGATGGGTATGGATGGACGAACTGGGCAACCCCCTTACCAAGCCCTGTGGAGACTCGCCTGTGGCCCACTGCGACAGGGGTGGGTCTGAGTGGCACAGGGCAGCCCCCAGCCCCCGAAGGGCTGAGACTGTCACACAAGCACAGAGACAAGGAGCTCAAACACAGCCGCTCCCCACCCACGGCAGGGTCATGAGTCCAGTCTCGGACATGGCTGAGCACATCAGTCCCTACTCAACCCCACAGCCGGGGGCCAGACAGACAGCACCTGGGCATCTGCTGTGTGCAGGTGCCATCCCAGCACCTCTGTGGTTTATTCTCATGATTCCCTGAACTGCCATTGGAATCTCTGAGCATCCATACACTGAGCGAGTGTATGCAATGTCACACATAGTACTCCCAAAGGGAGGTGGGGTGGCCAGGACAGACCCTGTTCCCAGATACCAGCACTCGTGGCAGAGCAGGACAGGAGTGTGTGTGTCCGGGACTGGTATGACAGCCCTGTTGTGTGGCAAGGTAAGGCGATGACACAGCTGACCTCACAGCCCAAGACCCATTGGCCTGGGTACCACCCATACCCACTGGTCACAACCAGCAGCTCGCCTGAGAGGCGCCACACACCTGCCCGGCATCCAGATAGTGGGTGACCTGGAGCACCAGGAAGAAGACACGCAGCGACTCCTTCTGGATGGGGTTCCCCTGCCAGTTCTCCACGATCTGCCCGCAGAGGGTCAGCAGCGGGTGCACCTCCTGCAGCTTTCGCTCCATCAGCAGCAGCTGGGGAGGGAGAGGCGCAGGTGTAGGGTACAGGGCTTGCAGGGGCCCTCCCAGGACCGGGAGCACAGGGTCACCTGCCCACCTGCCCTGGGACTGCTGCCACCAATCCAGAGGGCAAGGCCAGCCTGAAACCCCAGCCCAGGCAGCTCCTAACCAGGCTCTTGCCTCAGCATGAATCCCATAGGGTGCAGCCTGAGTTTCCCTCCTGAACCCAGCAGGGCCCGGGCCTCACATTCCAGGCTGCTCACTGTGCCTAAGGGTCTGGGCGCCTAAGGGGCCATGCCATGGAGAGTGGGTGGGGTCTGAGCAGACTCTGTGGGGGCCCTGCCTCACCTCCACAACACCAGCTGCATCCAGCCATGCCCAGCCTCAACTTACCATCCCCTTGCTGAGGAGGAACAGCGCCCTGCAAAACAAGAGGCAGGGGTCAGGTCCTAGCAGGCCCAGGAGCCTCCTGGGATGACTGTGATTACCCCAAGGCTCACAGGACCTAATATGCCACCTCAGGGGACAGTTCAGTGGACAACAGAGAACAGTCCCCTTACAAGACTGCTCTGTTTTATCCTATTGTGTCTGTGTTTATTTTTATTTTTATTTATTTATTTATTTTTTTGAGACGGAGTCTCGCTCTGTCGCCCAGGCTGGAGTGCAGTGGTGCGGTCTCAGCTCACTGCAAGCTCAGCCTCCCAGGTTCACGCCATTCTCCTGCCTCAGCCTCCTGAGTAGCTGGGACTACAGGCGCCCGCCACCACGCCCGGCTAATTTTTTGTATTTTTAGTAGAGACAGAATTTCACCGTGTTAGCCAGGATGGTCTCGATCTCCTGACCTCGTGATCCACCCGCCTCGGCCTCCCAAAGTGCTGGGATTACAGGTGTGAGCCACCGCGCCCGGCCTGTTTTTATTTTTTTTATTATTTTTTTCTTAGAGTCTCACTCTGTTGCCCAGGCTGGAGTGCAATGGTGTGATCTCGATTCACTGCAACCTATGCTTCCCGGGTTCAAGCGATTCTCCTGCCTCAGCCTCCTGAGCACCTGGGACTACAGGCACCTGGCACCATGCCTGGTTAATTTTTTTTTTTTTTTTTTTGAGATGGAGTCTCGCTCTGTCGCCCAGGCTGGAGTGCAGTGGCGCGATCTCAGCTCACTGCAACCTCCGCGTCCTGGGTTCATGCCATTCTCCCGCCTCAGCCTCCTGAGTAGCTGGGACTACAGGCGCCCGCCACCATGCCCAGCTAATTTTTTGTATTTTTAGTAGAGACGGGGTTTCACCATTCACAGGATGGTCTTGATCTCCTGACCTCGTGATCTGCCCACCTTGGCCTCCCAAAGTGCTGGGATTACAGGTGTGAGCCACTGCGCCCGGCCATGCCTGGCTAATTTTTATATTTTTAGTAGAGACGGGGTTTCACCATGTTGGCCAGGCTGGTCTCAAACTCCTGACCTCATGTGATCCACCTGCCTCGGCCTCCCAAAGTGCTGGGATTTCAGGTGTCAGCCACTGTGCCTGGCCTGTATTTATTTTTCTTACATGGCTTAGACGCACTCACGTGAAAAGCCCAGAAGGCGGTTGGGTGCAATGGCTCATGCCTATAATCCCAGCACTTTGGGAGACCAAGGTGGGCAGATCACTTGAGGTCAGAAGTTTGAGACCAGCCTAGGCAACATGGTGAGACCCTATCTCTACAAAAAAAAAACAACAAAAAAAAACGCGGCGGTGGACACACAGCGTTGGGGCCAGTGGGCAGGCTTGGGTGCCTGAACTCAGGCTCAAACCCGCGCCTCATGGTGACTAATTTTTTTTTTTTTGAGACGGAGTCTCGCTCTGTCGCCAGGCTGGAGTACAGTGGCATGATCTTGGCTCACTGCAACCTCTGCCTCCCGGGTTCAAGCTAGTCTCCTGCCTCAGCCTCCCGAGTACCTGGGATTACAGGTACCCACCACCACGCCCAGCTAATTTTTGTATTTTTAGTAGAAACAGGTTTCACCATGTTGGCCAGGGTGGGCTCAATCTCTTGACCTCGTGATCCTCCCACGTTAGCCTCTCAAAGTGCTGGGATTACAGGCGTAAGCCACTGTGCCCGGACCCAATTTTTGTATTTTTTGTGGAGATGGGGTTTCACTATGTTCCCCAGGCTGGTCTTGAACTCCTGGGCTCAAGTGATCCTCCTACCTTGGCCTTCCAAAGTGCTGGGAATATACTGTGAGCTACTGTACTTCACCTGAAATGCCATTTCTGTTATTTGTCCTGGACCAAGATGGCCAAGCCCCTCCTGTTAACAGAGCAGGAGGGAAGGAGGGGAGTGGGTGCCTACCGTGTGTATTCAGATCCCACCACCCGGGCGTACTCGGCCCCTACACCCAGGAGGTCACAGGCCGACACCAGGTCCTTCTCAAGCGTGTGCAGTTGCTAAAAAGGAAAGAGAGCAGTGACCTTTGCTGCCAAACCCATCAGTTTTACGGTACCTGCCTTCGTGCTCTGTTAGCAAACTCAACCAAACCTCCCCACGTCAGTGAAACTGCCTGTGTCAGTTTTGAGCTAAATTAACCAAATTATCTTATCAACGCTAATTGCTTTGGGTACACAGCTCCAGTTGGCCTGTAGTATATATGTCATCTAAACTGAATGGTGCCTGCAGTGGACACTATCTAAACTTAATGGAGCATAGAACCAGCAGCCAAGGCTCACGGCACAGACCCCCAAGGCTGTGTGAGCACCTAAGGCTGTTCTGAGTGCTTTGTGGGGTCTGTCTTCAGTGGGGTGTCCCTAGTGTGTTCCAGGGCCGACAAGGAGGGACTCCCTCAGAGGCAAGTGTCAAAGTCTGAACAGGCTGAAAGGGAGGCACATGCCTGGCTTGACCCTGCAAGGCAATACCTATGGGGCTGTGGTGAAGAGCTCGGCCCTTGGGTGTGCGTGCACATGGTGCCTGCCAACTCTGTGGCCCAGGGGAGGTGACTCACGGCCTGGCCTGCTCCTTTGTCTGCTAATGGGCACAAGAGTGCGTGGGGAGATGGAAGGACACAGCATGTGTATGCAGCTTCTCATCAGGCCTGGGGGAGGAGGGCCTCGGGAACTCCTGGCTGCTGGGGGAGCTCTTCCCTGTGCGTACTTTTCTCAGCCAGACCCTCCTGGGGTGAGGGACTCAGCTGGAGGAACTCCCAACCCAGGGTCCACATACTGCATAGGTGTCATGGGAGGTGGCTAAGTGGTGGCCCGGAAGGCAGGCTGGGTCATGGAAGAGAGAGGCCGGGGGCCGGCCACCCGCCTGAGGGTCCCCAGTGCAGAAGTATGGGTGGAGCCCAGGACAGGAGAGGTGCCCCACGTGGTGGAGCCTGCCGGCCCCTCCACTGCAGCCGGGAAGGCCGAGTTCAGAGTCCCCCAACAACCGAGCACTGTGGAGCTCAGAGACCAGGGCTTCACCTATATCTGGGGGGGCCAAAGGGAGCATGAGGAGGAACTGTGTGGATCCCAGGATGAGGGTGTGCCCCAGCAGCCTCCAACGTGAGGGGCCCCATGTGGGACACAATGCTTGACATGGCCATTTGTGGCCTGATAGGCAGCCCCTTGGAGTCTCAGTGTAGCTCCTAAAAAAAACCCACAGTGGGTCTCTGGCAGGAAATGTTCCTGGGATTTCAATGAGTGCAGGCCAAAGATGAGATGAGAACGGCTGGGAGGGAGGGGAACCCAAAGACACCCAACAAGCAGCAGGCCCGCTGTCAGTGTTGGCCCCGGGGAAGCCCCGCACTCCCACCACTCACCCCTGGGTGTTGCCGAGAGCCAGGCTCAAGCCAGAGATGCTCTCAAGGATGGAGGCTGAAAGGGGCTTGTGTGCAGGTTAAGGAAATGTTCCCATGTCCCCACCTACTCCATGTGCCAGCCCGAGGGGGTCTGCGCATCGTGGACTCTGCTGTTCTTTGCAAATGGGGCAGGTGTGCCCCAGGGTCATGGTCCCTGCCGGGCACCCTCGTTCCCGGGCCGCGGTACTCACAGCGAGCTGGAAGAGCAGGCGGCAGTGCCAATATGGGGTCTGCTGTGAGATCTGGATCGCCTTCCGCAGCAGCGGCTTTGCTGCATCAACGGAATTCTGAAAGGAAATAGTCACGTTTGGGAATGTAAGAAAAAAAAAAAACAAGGCGGCAATCAAGCTGGATTCCTTAGCAGCAGCTGTGGTGCCAGAAGGCAGTTCCTGTTCATGCTTACCAAAGGATTTTTTGGGGTTGCCAATTTACTTTATTAAAAGTAAAAAAAGATATTTTATTGGACTCACTGGCTGGGAAGTTTCTGCATCACTCTTAAAATAACTTCTCATTCAACTGGACTGAAAGTAGTTTCAGTTCAAAATTCTAAACACTCAAATCAGACGCCAGTTCCCTTCTTTTATGTTCTCAGACCAGAGAGAGGCATCAGGGTGTGAAGCACACACATTCCCTGCTGCCAATGCCACCTTACCCGTCATCATTCTGAGGTGGGAGGAAGGCAGATTTCGGCTACAATTGAAATTAGGAACCAGATTAAGAAGAGAAACTGTACAGACTTGTCAGGTGAGGAACAGGCTGATCTTTCCAACAGTCTTATGTAGAAAAGGAAGCTGCTGGCCCTCCTTAGCAGGTGGCTACCCACCAAAGCCCTGGGGCTGGGGCATAAGAGGCAGGAAAGTAATCTGAGTGTTAAAAGCCACCGGGCTGGGCACAGTGGTTCCTGTGTATAATTTTGGCACTTTGGGAAGTCGAGGCAGGATTGCTTGAGGCCAGCCTGGGCGAGATCATCTCTAGAACAAATAAAAAAAATTAGCCAGGCATGGTGGTGCATGCCTATAGTCCCAGCTGCTCGGGAGGCTGAGGTGGGAGGATCACTTGAGCTCAGGAGTTTAAGGCTGCGGTGAGCCATGATTGTGCCATGCACTCCAGCCTGGGCGACAGAGTGAGACCCTGTCCTCCCACCCCGACCAAAAAAACAAAAAAAGCCGGAGGGATTCCAACTCCCGGAACCCCAATTTACCAATGTGCTGTCATGTCTTAGCGACACGGAGAGACACTTTGCTTTCAGAAACCTTAATATGTTCTTACCTCTTGACAGTACAATTCAGACAACAGACTTGCTGCTTCAAATTTAACATCTTCGAACTGCGGGATCTAGTGACGTCCAGTTAAGGAAGTACAGACACTGCGAAAAAGGTCGGTTTGAAAGGGCCACAGCTTGGGGCTCCTACCCTGCCAAGGTCTGCAGGGCACACACGTCCCTGCCTGCCCTGAAATTCCAAGTTTTCCTGTTCCCCCAGTGAACCTTGAGCTTGCTGCAGGGCAGGGCTTGGAGCTGGATGCAAGGTACGAAGAGAAGCACAAAGAGGAGCACAGCGCCCAAGGGCAGCAGAGGGCCAGGTGGGGGACACTCCAGGTGCTCTGTGGGCCGAGCCTCAACTCACAGGGCATGTCGGGAGGTGGGATTCAAGCTTTGATACATTCTTTTTATTTAAGTGGAGAATTCCTTAAAGGGAACCATACCAACACGGAAAGGATACTTGCTGTGATATCAACCACTGAAAAAGAAAGAAAACAACGATTAATTCTCAGGCAAACACCTGGCACCTGGTTACTGGCTCGCTCTGGGGCTTCCACAGGTTGTCCTGAGAACAGAGGCTGCCAGGTATCCAGGTAACAAGAAGGCGGCCCGCTTGGCCTGAGAGGGTAGGCTTACTCCCCTCCAATCCAGCCAGGGGAATGGAAGCTATAGAGCCCCAGTGGGTGCCTGGGCAGGAGGGGACATGCCCTTCTGACATCAGAGGAGGGGCTCGCACTTGGAGTCAGACCCCACAGGCCCATGGGTGGGAGCTGCTTCAGAAAGGAACAGAGCTCAGAGGTGACCTGGCCACAGCAAGGCCCCCAGGTGTCACACGGAAGTAGGGCTGGCAGTCAGAGGTCAGGCAGAGAGGAAGGACGTTCAGCAAAGCATAACACGAGAAATCAGTTTCAACTGGAGAATGGGTCTTGGGGGGCAAGGTTAGTCCTTCTGAGCAAGAGGCATTTGAAAGATGCTTGGCTATAAGCAAAGTCAGTCTCTCAGAGGGGAGGGAGGGGGCTCCAGGAAGGGCTGACACAGGCAGAACTGCGGGATGGCACTGAAGATGCACACCAGGAAGGCAGTTCAGACAACAGGCTCCAACTCAGGGACCACTGTGCCCTAAAGTTCCATGTTCCAACAGTTCCCAGGCTAGTCCAGGCCACTGACCACAGCCCATCAGACCACCCAGGGTCCCAAGCACACAAGCCTAACGCTGTCCCCAGCGACTCGCATGTGCCACACACATTCAGAGCAACCTGCACCTGACAAGAGCCTCGGTGGTTGCTGGAAGGTGGATCCGGAGCACAGCAGGAGACCCTAACTCATCGCACTCTGTGGGAGGACTGCATGGGGCAGGGCAGCATGTGTGGCAAGTATGGGAAGTGAGGGGCCAGTTCTCCAGGAAAAGGGGGAGCAGGAGGTGCTCCAGGCACTGAAAAGCCCATAAAAAAGGCAGAGGGCCAGGGAGGTGAGGCTGAAGCCCGATGGTCTCTGCCACTCATGCGGCAACAGCGGCCACTCCTAGCTGAGGGTCAGAATGCCCTGGTGTCACCCCTGGAAGCTGACTCAGTCAGGGGTGGAAAATGAAAGCACCTGCCCAGATGGGAGTTTTCAGACCATCCTGGATGCAGCAGAGAGTATTCACGAAGGGAGTGCGGAGGAGCCAGTGAGGCCTGGAGATCCACGGCTGGGGGCAGCCTTGGGGCTGGAGATCTCTAGGGCAAGGGTGAGCAGCAGCTGGGAATGTCACAGGCACTGGGAAAGCACAGAGCTGCATCGAGAGCAGCTACTGCCAAGACACAGGGGGCCAGGAGGACAGCTGTGGGAGAGAGCCCGAGCCCCTGACACACATGCACCCACACGCAGGAGCCCAGACCACAGGCCCTCTGCCAGCCCAAGCGTCTGCCTCCTGTGGTCCCCTCTTGTGGCACGGACAGGAGGGGCTCGGGGTCCTCAGAGTGGCGGGGCCAGCACCTGCCGTCAGAAGTGTGGCCCCAGAGGTGAGGCTCCTCAGCTAGAGGCTGTGTGTGGGGACAGTGGCAACGTGTGTGATGCAACAGAAGAGCAGAAGTTGGGGGCTTTTTTCCACAGAAGCTGCTGCATCCCACTGAGAAGCCGGGTCTAACACAAGAAGCTCTGGAAGGCCACCAACTGGAAGGGATGCCCAATCACACAGGAGAGAGGGGACTGTGACAGAGGAGCCGTACTAGAGCTGGGCTGAGGTCTCCCTGAACCCTGAGATTTGGTGGTTCTGATTTGGGCACCATGGGGCTGGCAAGGGGGAGCTCTTCAGACACAGTCCAGGGTAGACAGCACTGCCACACACAAGCAGCAGCCCCAGCCTGGGTGAGCAAGGTGCAAACCTGGCACCTGCAGCTAAGCCTGGCACCTGTGACAAAGCTGGCCCCATTTCTGTCACTGCATCCCAGCAGAGGTAAGCAAGGCGACCAGTCAACACGTGAATTCCCCCTCCTCCCTTTGGGCGGAGAAGCTTTCCTTTCCAGTCTGTGGCCATGGGATGCTCTCCCCAGAGCTGACGACAGCCCACACGTGCATGTCTGTGGCGGGTAGACTTCAAAAGGACATGTCCAGTCACTTCATGCCTCAGAATACTACACCCCCTTCTACAAAGCTTTGGCCTATGCCACCGAGCTCAGGCCCATGTGGGTCCAACAATGTCTCCTCATAGCAACAGCTTTTCCTTTTTTTTGAGACACAGTCTCACTGTGTTGTCCAGGCTGGAGTGCAGCAGTACAATCAGAGCTCACTGCAGCCTTGACCTCCTGGGCTGAAGTGATCCTCCCACCTCAGCCTCCTGAGTAGCCGGGACTACTGGTGCGAACCACCACGTCTGGCTAATTTTTTTTATTTTTTGTAGAGATGGGGTCTGGCTACGCCGCCCAGACTGGTCTCGAGTTCCTAGGCTTGAGTGATTCTCCTGTCTTGGGCTTCAAAGGTGCTGGGATTACAGGCGTTGGACATCGTGCTTGGCCAGCAACAGCTTTGTGTCCCTTCTCCATTTGGGGCCATGATGTGGCTAACATCAATCTATTCAGCACACAGTTGGACTGGACCTCATTTCTCCTGACCCCATGGACATCTCTTCTTTTTTTTTTTTGAGATGGAGTTTCGCTCTTGTTGCCCAGGCTGGAGTGCAATGGGATAATCTCAGCTCACCGCAACCTCCGCTTCCCAGGTTCAAGTGATTCTCCTGCCTCAGCCTCCCAAGTAGCTGGGATTACAGGCATGCGCCACCATGCCTGGCTAATTTTTGTATTTTCAGTAGAGATGGGGTTTCTCTACGTTGGTCAGGCTGGTCTCAAACTCCTGACCTCAGGTGATCTGCTCGCCTTAGCCTCCCGAAGTGCTGGGATTACAGGCGTGAGCCGCAGCGGCTGGCCAAGACATCTCTTCTTTACAAGCCAGATATGCCTGCTGCTAACGGGCTCGCCTCTCTGCCAGCTCCGTCCGTCCACGGGTGGGCTAGACAGAGAGGATCCCATCTCCCCTGAGGAAGGGGAGGCTCTCAGTGAGCACTGGTGAGCTGGGAAGTAATGTGCCCAAAGGCTCCAAATACAAGCATTCTCTTGTGGAAGGCGTCCACTAGCGTCAGTGGGTGTCAGGAGCGCTGACTGGGAGCCAGAGGATTGGGTTCAAGGTGTGGATCCACTGTGAGTTAGCGATGCTCTAAGGCACTGGAGAAATTACATCCTAGCGCTTTTTAACATCCGTTTCCCATGTAGCTTTATCGCCCACTTCAAATACATACAAACAGAGGACATTAGATAAAGCCCCTCTTTTTGTGACCGGCCTGGGCAACACAGCGAGACCCTGTCTCTCGCTCTAAAAAAAAAAAAAAAAAAAAAAAATCAGCCAGGCATGGTGGTGCATGCTGTAATGCCAGTTACTTGGGAGGCTGACGTGGGAGGATCACTTGAGCCCAGGAGTTTGGGGCTGCAGTGAGCTATGATTGTGCTGTTGCACTCCAGCCTGGGCAACAGGGCAAGACCCTGACTCTTACAAAAAAAAGCCCCATGATGTTTGACTTTAAAGTTGTGGCTGCAATGCCTGCAGCAAGCTGACATCCAGTAGGTGCTCGGGAAACATCTGCTGATCGAACGATGGCTTTATCCACTTGGATAATGAGTAGAGTTCATTAGAGGAAAGTGAGGGCTTCTGTGTAAGTGCAAATGGCCACAGAACGGAGGCGTATGCCTTTCAGACACAAAGCCCTAAATGGCATGGGATTTCTCCCTGTCTTTAAATGCCACTGCTTCTTCACTGGGACATCAGTGACACCTGGATCTCTCTGCATGAGGACACACATTCCTGAAGGGCAGTATGGGCCTGGTGTCAGGGTGAGCCAGTCAATTCCCCAGGGCCATCAATCTGACACCTACTAAATGACTTCACTTTTGTATCTTTGTTAGAGTTTTGTTTTTCTTTTTTTTTTGTAGAGACAGGGAAGGTCTTGCTATGCTGCACAGGCTGGTCTTGAACTCCTGGGCTCAGGTGATCGTCCCATTTCAGCCTTCCAAAGTACTGGGATTGCAGTTGTGAGCCACCTCACCCAGCCCTCTGTATGACTTGTAGCATATATTTGGAAATCAGAAAAATATATCCATCTCACAAATAAAGGATGTAGAATGCCTTACCCAAGGTTGCTACCTCATCTACGTGATTTTTTTTTTTTTGAGACGGAGTTGCACTCTGTCGCCCAGGCTGGAGTGCAGTGGCGCGATCTCAGCTCACTGCAAGCTCCACCTCCCAGGTTCACGCCATTCTCCTGCCTCAGCCTCCTGAGTAGCTGGGACTACAGGCGCCCGCCACCACGCCTGGCTAATTTTTCTTTGTATTTTCAGTAGAAATCGGGTTTCACCATGTTAGCCAGGACGGTCTCGGTCTCCTGACCTTGTTATCTGCCTGCCTCGGCCTCCCAAAGTGCTGGGATTACAGGTGTGAGCCACCGTGCCCGGGTGTTTTTTTTTTTTAACTTTGTAATGCTAAAAAGTAGCTTTTATGTTTCCTTCCTTATGATAGCAAAGCAGCCAAAGTGAGAGGCTGCAGGGAGCAGGGCAAGGAGGTGACTGTCTCCATCAGCAGCCCCTGGGGTCACCTTAGGGTTCTCAGGGAAAGCAAGAGAGGGTTGCAACAGGGCCAACAGGTTTCAAGTGGGGTGGAAGGGTCCAGACCAGCACAGCTCTGGTGCCTGGAGGATTCAGTCCAGGGCTGAGTGTTTCAAGGCTTCTTATTCCTTAAAACCAAAGTAACTTTTAAAAAAAAGGCTTTTTTTGATTGTAGTTTTTAGACATGGTATCCCTCTGCCACCCAGGGGGAGTGCAGTGGTCCTCACTGTAACCTCAAACTCCTGGGCTCAAGAGATCCTCCTGGCTCGGTCTCCCAAGTAGCTGGGACTACAGGTGCATCTCACCAGGTCCTACTAATTTTGTTTTTTGAGATGAATTTTCGCTCTTGCTGCCCAGGCTGGAGTGCAATGGTGTGATCTTGGCTCATGGCACCCTCCGGCTCCCGGGTTCAAGCGATTCTCCTGCCTCAGCCTCCCGAGTAGCTGGGATTACAGGCATGCGCCATCACGCCTGGCTAATTTTGTATTTTCAGTAGAGACGGGGTTTCTCTATGTTGGTCAGGCAGGTCTCGAACTCCTGACCTCAGGTGATGCACCCGCCTTGGCCTCCCAAAGTGCTGGGATTACAGGCGTGAGCCATGGCGCCTGGCAGGCCCAACTAATTGTTTTACTTTTTTGTAGAGATGGGGGTCTCGCTATCTTGCCCAGGCTGGTCTCAAACTCCTGGGCTCAGGAGATACTACCACCTCAGCCTCCCAAAGTGCCGGGATTACAGGCGTGAGCCACCATGCCTGGCCTGTTGTTGTTTTGTTTTTATAAGAGACAGGGTTGGCTGGGAGCAATGGCTCACGCCTGTAATCCTGGCACTTTGGGAGGCCAAGACAGGTGGACTGCTTGAGCTCAGGAGTTTGAGACCAACCTGGGCAACATGGCAAAACCCCATCTCTACAAAATATACAAAAATTAGCTGGGCATGGTGGTGTGTGCCTGTCACATCAGCTACTCTGGAAGCTGAGGCAAAAGAACCACATGAGCCCAGGAGGCAGAAGTGGCAGGGAGCTAAGATTGCGCCACTGCACTCCAGCCTGGGTGACAGAGTGAGACTTTATCTCAAAAAAATAAAAAATAAATAAATAAATAAATAAATAAATAATTAAAAAGACAGGGTTTTTGTCACCCAGGCCGGAATGCAGTGGTGCAATCATGGCTCACTGTAACCTTGAATTCTCAGGCTCAAGCACTCCTCCTACTTCAGCCTCCCAAGTAGCTGGGACTATAGGCATGTGTGGCTAATTTTTCAATTTTTTTTTTTTTTTAAGAGACAGGGTCTGGCTATGTTGCCCAGGCTGGTCTCAAACTCCTCCCGCCTTAGCCTCCCAAAGTGCTAGGATAACAGGCATGAGCCACCATGCCTGGCTCAAAATCATTTTTTTTTTAAACTACCCTATTGCTTGCAACACCTCTGGGATGGAAGCACAGCATTTAGCAGCTTCCCTGGCCTCTTGCTGCTGTGTGACTGTGGCTAAGCACATTCTCCTGCAGTGGCTGGGTGTCATCACAGGTGAGTCTGAGGTGGGCCTTACCCTGTTAATTTGTTGAGGATCCAGGGAGACCTTGCTCTGTGAAGCACCAATGCAGGGCCTGGCATGTAGTAGGTGCCAATGATGCTATAGTAACTGGCAATCAGGAAGTAGAAGAACCGGGGTGGGAGAGGAAGGGACCAGCTGGTAGAACCGTGAGGTGATGGTTCCTAAACAGATTTCACATCCTGAAGTCAGAGGTGACTCAAGAGTGAGAGGGAAGGAAATAGAAACAAAAACAGGAGGAAGCACAGATCACTTCATGAAACTGCGTAACGGCCAGCTCTGCACAAGTCTCTGCTCCCTGCAGATGGGACACGGAATTTAGCAGGACACAGTTGTGATCCTGAAGAATGAAAGAACTGCTTACGCTGGGCCTGATGAGGAGAGGCTCAGAACCTAGCCCTGTTGGGTCTTAAGAGAAAAGGAAGCATTTAATCACTTGCTGAGAAAGTGAACCATAGATGCTCAGGCTAAACCTGGATGCAGAATTAAGTATCTGACCAGCACAGTCTGGAGCTGCTTTCTAAGTCAGATGAGCAAAACCACCATTAAAAAGCAGCCCTGTTCCAACCACAGAGAAAGCACGCATGGCATTGACACAGAGAAAGCAAGCATGGCATACGCAGTCAGAAAACACCACTGTTCAAAGAATGACTGCCTGGATTATAGAAAATAGTAAGTTCTTCCAGAGAGGCGGCATTTAGTCCTGGGTGGCTTTCAAACCAGGAAAACCTAAGAATGATGGTGCACTTCCCAGGCCAAGGGATAAAAGGGACTGTGATCAGAAGTAAGAAAGTTAAAGGGGTGGCTGGGCGCGGTGGCTCACGCCTGTAATCCCAGCACTTTGGGAGGCTGAGGCGGGCGGATTACGAGGTCAGGAGATCGAAACCATCCTGGCTAACATGGTGAAACCCCGTCTCTACTAAAATTACAAAAAATTAGCCGGGCATGGTGGTGGGCGCCTGCAGTCCCAGCTACTTGGGAGGCTGAGGCAGGAGAATGGCATGAACCCGGGAGACGGAGCTTGCAGGGAGCCGAGATCACGCCACTGCACTCCAACCTGGGCAACAGAGTGAGACTCTGTCTCAAAAAAAAAAAAAAAAGTTAAGGGGGAAACGGATATGCAGGTACATTCTCTTGATTCAACAGCAGATGTCCAAATGACCAAGATGGATCTGTCTGCTTAAAAGACAGGTGGGAAAATAAGAAAAAAGCCATAGGGCCTGGAAGAGAGGAGAAGAATGAAAACTTACAGGGATGGGTGTACAGCAAGAAGAGAGAGAACAAGAGGAAAGCAAAATATAGAAGAACACAACCTGTCAGAATCTGCAGAAATGGCATTGCAAAATTTTTTTTTTTTTTTTTTTGAGACAGGGTCTCTCTCTGTCACCCAGATTGGACTGCAGTGGCAGGAACACGGCTCACTGATGCCTCGACCTCCTGGGCTCAAGTGATCCTCACGCCTCAGCTTCCCAAGTAGCTAGGACTACAGATGTGAGCCACCACGGGCCCGCTAATTTTCAAATTTTTTGTAGAGACAGGGTAGTGCCCAGGTTGGTCACTGCGAATTCTCTAGCCAAGAAATGTCTAAGTAAAGTGACAATGCTTATAGTCATCAACTATTTACTTAGGGGAGTCCCAGAGCAGCCAAAACACACCCACATCACTGCCAAAACCATACTCAGAGAAGGAAGGCTTTCAGGTAAAGTGTCCTGCCATGCACTGTAACAGCTCCAGAATCTGCTGAGCAGACCCAGGGAACAAGGCGGCCGGCAGGTGTTCTGAGGCCCTACAGAGGCAAGAGTCACCGAGACACCAACTACTGTGACCCCAAAAAAGCTGCTGAGGAGTTCGAGACCAGTGTGGCCAACATAGTGAAACCCCATCTCTAATAAAAGTAGAGGCCGGGCGCAGTGGCTCACGCCTGTAATCCCAGCACTTTGGCAGGTCGAGGCGGGTGGATCATGAGGTCAGGAGATCAAGACCATCCTGGCTAACACGGTGAAACCCCGTCTCTACTAAAAATATAAAAAATTAGCCGGGCGTGGTGGCAGGCGCCTGTAGTTCCAGCTACTCAGGAGGCTGAGGCAGGAGAATGGCATGAACCCAGGAGGCGGAGCTTGCAGTGAGCCGAGATCGCGCCATTGCACTCCAGCCTGGGCGACAGAGCGAGACTCTGTCTCAAAATAAATAAATAAATAAATAAATAAATAAATAAATAAATACAAGTAGAAAAAATTAGCCTGGCATGGTGGCAGGCACCTGTAATCCCAGCTGCTTGGGAGGCTGAGGCAGGAGAATAGTCTGAACCTGAGAGGCAGAGGTTTTAATGAGCTGAGATTGCGCCACTGCACTCCAGCCTGGGCAACAGAGTGAGAGTCCATCTAAAAAAAAAAAAAAAAAAAGCTCCTGGGGAGGCTGTGTGTGGTGGCTCACACCTGTAATCCCAGCACTTTGAGAGGCCAAGGCAGGTGATTGCTTGAGGCCCGGAGTTTAAGACCAGCCTGGGCAACACAGTTAGACCCTAGCTCTATAGAAAATATAAAAATAAATACAATCAAATTTTTAAAAAGTTGCTGAGGAAAGGAAGACATACCCTCTTTGACTCTGATGGGGATTCTTTTTTTAAAGTTTTGAGACAGGGTCTCGGTCTGTTGTCCAGGGTGGAGTGCAGTGGCACGATCACAGCTCACTGTAGCCTCAACTTCCTGGCTCAAGAATTGTCTTGCCTTAGCCTCCTGAGTAGCTGGGACCAGAGTCATGTGCCACCATGCCTGGTTAATTTTTGTGTATATATATATATATGTATATATATATATATATACATATATATATTTTTTTTTGAGACAGTCTCGCTCTTTCGCCCAGTCTGGAGTGCAGTGGCGCGATCTCAGCTCACTGCAAGCTCCGCCGCCCGGGTTCACGCCATTCTCCTGCCTCAGCCTCCCGAGTAGCTGGGACTACAGGCGCCCGCCACCACGCCTGGCTAATTTTTGTATTTTTTAGTAGAGACAGGGTTTCACCTTGTTAGCCAGGATGGTCTCGATCTCCTGACCTCGTGATCCGCCCACCTTGGCCTCCCAAAGTGCTGGGATTACAGGCGTGAGCCACCGCGCCCGGCTATATTTTTTTTTCTGGTAGAGACAGGGTTTTGCTATGTTGCCAAGGCCGGTCTTGAACTCCTGGGCTTAAGCAATCTGCCCACTTTGGCCTCACAAAGTCTTGGGATTGCAGGTGTGAGCCACCACACCTGGCCTGATGGGGACATTTAATGGATGATTCTTTCAAAGTTAGTTGACTTGATGAAGTAGACGAGTAAGTATGTTATATATCTTTCTAGACGACTTAAAATGCAGTTGAGGGCCAGGCA
The DNA here is from genome assembly GCF_000001405.40 of Homo sapiens. Classification (NCBI taxonomy): domain Eukaryota; kingdom Metazoa; phylum Chordata; class Mammalia; order Primates; family Hominidae; genus Homo; species Homo sapiens. The sequence continues at coordinate 19,326,156 of NC_000019.10, read as the reverse complement.
TGGTGACACACACCTATAATCCCAGCTACTCAGGAGGCTGAGGTGGGAGGATCGCTTGAACCCGGAGGGCGGAGGTTACAATGATTTGAGATTGCGCCATTGCACTCCAGCCTGGGCAACAAAGTGAGACTCTGTCTCAAAAAAAAAAAAAAAAAAATGCAGTTGAGGAGACCATTAGAAACTGACAGAAGCAGATAAAAGAGAAATAACCTTAAATAAAAATGTGATGACCAAGGAGGCTGGGGTCTCTTAGAGAGAAAGCAAAAGACAGTGAAAACAATAGGAAAGCTGGATGTAGCACTGAGTTCAGGGGCCAATAATAGGTTTTACCTAAGCACTTATGTTAGAGAAAATTAGTTCAGTGAAGAAGAGCAGAGAGATGCCGGGTGTGGTGGCATGCCTGTAATCCCGGCATTTTGGGAGGCTGAGGCGGGCAGATCACCTGAGGTCAGGAGTTCGAGACCAGCTTGACTAACATGATGAAACCTTGTTTCTACTAAAAATACAAAATTAGCTGGGCATGGTGGCACATGCCTGTAATCCTAGCTACTCAGGAGGTTGTGGTAGGAGAATCGTTTGAACCCGGGAGGTGGAGTATGCAGTGAGCTGAAATCGCACCACTGCACTCCAGCCTGGGTAATAGGAGTGAAACTCCTTCTCAAAAAAATGAAAAATAAAATAGGCTGGGTGTGGTGGCTCACACCTGTAATCCCAGCACTTTGGGAGGCCAAGGCGGGTGGATCACCTGACGTCAGGAGTTCAAGGCCAGCCTGACCAACGTGGTGAAACCCCTTCTTTACTAAAAATACAAAAATTAGCTGGGCGTGGTGGTGGGCGCCTGTAATCCCAGCTGCTTGGGAGGCTGAGGCAGGAGACTCGCTTGAACCCGGGAGGCAGAGGTTGCAGTGAGCCAAGATTGCGCCATTGCACTCCAGAGCCTGGGTGACAGAGCAAGACTACATCTCAAAAAATAAATAAATAAAATAAAAGTAACAATAAAAATAAAAAGAACAGCAGAGAGAATGAGCAAGGAGAAATGTCACAAACTATTGCAAAATACTGTTACACTGGGTTGGCTCTCCAAGAAGACACTGGAATCTCTTCAGCCATTTGCTTTTCAGAAGTAGAAACCAGCAAACCACCTCTAAGCGGAGAACATACGATTCTTTATTAAGTAGCTCTGGGGAAGGAAAGAATAAAAGTTGATAGCTCCCTGATTGGGAAAAAATGCACAATTAATAAAGAATGAAGATGAAAGAAAGCATGCTTATGTTGTAACACAAAAAAAATTCACAAACGTTGGTGGAAGGAAAACAGTATAGAAAACATTACTTTAACTAAAAGCTGGAAAAATTTTCAGTTGGGATGCGACTGACAAAAAGAACGGGATTTCCAGGCATAAAGTTGGCGTGAGCTACAGAGGGCACCATGTGGCTCAGTGGAAGACCCTTCAAGATTCAAAGTTCCATTTGACAGAGCAAAGGCACTTCGCAAGGAGAAGGGTTTAAATTATGGGTCCAAAAGCCAAGTGGTAAAGCGAGCAATTTGCAGCATGACTGCTTCTCCTAGACAGGGCTGAGTGGGCAAAATACGACAGTACACACAGTGACTATTAGCCACTGCCAGAAACAGGCTGAACAGCCCTGGGAGACAAGGGAAGGCAGGTGGTGGGAGTTGTTCATGGAGAGAAAGGAGAGTTTTAGAACCAGCACATCCACTGGAGATGCTGGGCCACCAGACCCCTCCCAGTCAATAAAGTCTGGTGCCTCATTTGATCTCAGCCTCATCATGACCCTGGAGAGACCCTGATACCATCTGCCAGTCCCCGACAGCTTAGGCACTCCTTGCCATCAACCTGACCCCCCGAGTGGTTCTCCAGGCTCCCTGCCCCACCCATTCAGGCCTCTGCTCAAATGTCACTCCCACAAATAGAGACTCTCTCACTACCTCTGCCAAAAATAGCTCCAAGTCAACTCCATCTCTTCTCCCTGGTTCAGTTCTCAAGGTTCTTCCATCACTGCCTAACCTCTTACTATATGCTTATCATTTGTCTTCCTCATGAAAACCTAGGCTTACGTGGGCAGAAACTGTTTTAGCCATTGCTGATCCCCCGGCACCAAAAATAGGGCTTGGCATCCTGCATGAGCTGAACAAGTATCTGTTGAATGAATCAAAGGAAAAAAAACTTCACCAAAACAATAATGATGTATCATCTTGGCATGTAACCTGGTTATCACTGAGCTGGAGTTTGAGCCTAGTTTTGTCAATAACTTGTTGTGCAGCCTTGGGCAAATCACTTTACCTCTCTGGGCCCATAATGCCTCCCTTTTGAAACAAGGCAGTTGATCAAGTGAGGACTAAAGTTGCCTTCCACGCTGGGCACAATGGCTCAAGCCTGTAGTTCCAGCACTTTGGGAGGCTGAGGCAGGTGGATGGCTTGAGCTCAGGAGTTCAAGCCCTTGTCTTTACAAAAAACACAAAAATTAGCTGGGTGTGGTGGTGCGTACCTGTGGTCCCAACTACTCAGGAGGCTGAGATGGGAGGACTGCTTGAGCCCAGGAGGTCAAGGCTGCAGTGAGCTGAGATCACGCCAGTGCACCCCAGCCGGGGTGATGGAGCGAGACCCTGTCTCAAAATAAATAAATAAATAAATAAATAAAACTGGCCAGATGTGGTGACTCACACCTATAATCCTAGCACTTTGGGAGGACAAGATGGGCGGATCACTTGAGGTCAGGAGTTCGAAACCAGCCTGACCAAATGGTGAAACTCTGTCTCTACTAAAAATACAAAAATTAGCCAGATGATGTGGTGCAAGCCTGTAATCCCAGCTACTCGGGAGGCTGAGGCAAGAGAATTGCTTGAACCCACGAGACGGAAGTTGCAGTGAGCCAAGACCGCGCCACTGCACTCCAGCCTGGTGACAAAGCGAGAATCTGTCTCAAAAAAAAAAGAAAAAAAATTATCTGGGGCTGGGCGCAGTGGCTCATGCCTGTAATCTCAGCACTTTGGGAGGCCGAGGGGAGTGGATCACAAGGTCAGGAGTTCAAGACCAGCCTGGCCAATACTGTGAACCCGTCTCTACTAAAAATACAAAAATTAGCTGGGTGTGGTGGCGCACACCTGTAGTCCCAGCTACTCGGGAGGCTGAGGCAGGAGAATCACTTGAACCCGGGAGACGGAGGTTGCAGTGGGCTGAGATCCTGCCATTGCGCTACAGCCCCGGCAACAAGAGCGAAACTCCGTCTCAAAATAAACAAATAAATAAAATAAAATAAAATAAAGTCTCCTTCCAACTTTTCAGTCTGTGAAACAAAGATTTGATCTATTCCTCAAGGCAAGTTGTTACTAGCTGAGGGTGGGCTTGGATTTACCTCAGATTAATGAGTTTTTAAAATCTGAGTTGATTCTTTTCAATAATTTTCTATTCAAGCAGGACAGAGCTGGGTAAAAGGTAAAAGGGAGGCAGGGGTCTGACAGGATCACAGCGCTGCTGTGAGAAAAAAACGACTCCACAGCCTGAAATTTTATTATTTTTTCCTTATTATCTTTTTTTTCTGAGACAGGGTTTCACTGTCACCAAGGCTGGAGTGAAGTGGCGTGATCACTGCTCACTGCAGCCACGACCTCCCGGGGCTTAGCTGATCCTCCCACCTCAGCCTCTGGAGTAGATGGGACTACAGGCCCGCGTCAGTACGCCCAGCTAGTTTTTGTATTTTTTGTAGAGACGGGATCTCACTGTGTTGCCCAGGCTGGTCTCAAACTCCTGGGGTCTAGTAATCTGTCTGCCTCCGCCTCCCAAAATACTGGGATTACAGACATAAGCCACTGAGCCTGGCCCTAGAAAGTTTATTAAAGGGGCCGGGCGCGGTGGCTCAAGCCTGTAATCCCAGCACTGTGGGAGGCCGAGGTGGGCAGATCATGAGGTCAGGAGATGGAGACCACCCTGGCTAACACGGTGAAACCCCATCTCTACTAAAAAATACAAAAAATTAGGCAGGCGTGGTGGCGGGCGCCTGTAGTCTCAGCTACTCAGGAGGCTGAGGCAGGAGAATGGCCTGAACCCGGGAGGCGGAACTTGCAGTGAGCCAAGATGGCACCACTGCACTCCAGCCTGGGTGACAGAGCAAGACTCCGTCTCAAAAAAAAAAAAAAAAAGAAAGTTTACTAAAGGGCAGAATGACAGCCACTCTCCCGCATTCTTTGAGGCACCAAGATGACACAAATCAAGTTGGGTCAGGGGAGGGACTCACTCTGACGGAAGAGGATGGACTGATGGATGGTAGAAGTCACCAGTGGATGGAGAAAAAGCAGGAGCTGCTTTTAGTTCCCCTAATACTGAAACTGAACAGCGGGGCCTGGAATCCAGAACCCCTGTTTCTCCTCCTCATAGGCCTCAAATGACCAACTCCAGACTCCGGGTCTCAGCTTCCCTCGTACGACACCAGGCATTATTGATGGGGGCACAAGACCCTCCAAAAACCACGATTACCAAACTTCTGTGTCCAAGGAGAATCATGCCCTTCCAGGTTCCTGAGAGACCAGACTTCAGATTCCCGGGAGAATGCCAGGGGTCTCGCCTTCGCCAACCCCTACCCCAAGTCACTTTAGGTGGAAGCGTTTGGGGCTGATGCTCCGGAAGCTGAACCAGGAGGAGCTAATAGCTTCAGGACCCTGTGATGTCCCCATCGCCACCAACAGGTGGGATCCTCCTGAAAACCAGACGATTTGCGGATCCTGTTGCTCCCAATAACAGGCAACTTTCAGAGTACGGTGACGGGGCTCCTGGAGCCCTGTCACCAGAAACGGGAAATAAGGCGTGGGGGGCGAGGCTTTCGTGTCCCTTGAGAGGCTGGTGGCTTTGGGGTCCGGCAGAGGCGGGTGGGGGTCCTGCGGCTTTGACGGAGGTCGCGCCCCCAGGTCGCCGAGGAGCGGCCCCCCACCCGCCGCGGTCGCGACCCGTCAGCCCAGATCTTGCAAGGAGCCCGCGACTCCTCCCTCGCGGCCCGGCCCGCGCTCACCGCCTTCTCCAGGTGGCTGCGCGCCTGCTCGCTGTTCTTGGTGTGGTGATAGAGAACGGAGCCCAGCTGCAGGTGTGTACGGGCCTCGATGCGCTGCGGCGGCTTGAAGGGGAACACGGCCTGCAGGCAGTGCACGCACAGGCGGATTTTGGGCGGGCTGGAAGTGCGGAAGTGCTCAGCGAAGCCCAGAAGCGCCAGGTACCACGAGTCGGCCGCCTCGGCCTGCGCAGCCTGGGCCGCCGCCGCCTGGGCCGCTGCCGCCGCCTGAGCCGCCATTTTGGCCTCCACAACAACAAGCCGCCGCCACAGGGAGGCGGAAGCAGGCGCGCGAGACGGGGCCGGGCTCTCCTCGCGGCTTCCGCGAGATCTGCCGCCCAAAGCATCCTGGAACATGTAGTTTGTATTTGGGATGACTGCCGCTCCGGGAAGGTGTAAAAGGGCGACGCCGTTTGGTTATCGTGACTGGGACTTAGGCATCGCTGATAGGCTGAGGCTTCCGTTTCTGGAGGTTAAAAAAAAAAAAACCCAGTCGTTCACGCAGTAATAGGGCGAGTCTGACCGAGGCGGACTACATCTCCCATCAGGCGATGCACACTATAACAGGGCCCCTTAAGGGGCGCCGGAGCATTGTGGGATTGGATGAGTCTCAAGATGGACAACCGGGATGTTGCAGGTAACAGCCCCCGCCTCCTCTCAGGCGGCCGCCTGGGTCCCTGGGGCTAGGTGTCTCCCCTGACTCCTCGGGTCCGTCCTGCTGCGACCCGTGGATCCCTCGCTTCAGCCCCGGGGCAGCCCACAGCGTCGGCTTCTGCACCTCTTGGTTTCTCGAGACCCCAGACCCAGGTTGCTGGCCGCCCCCGCTTGGTTTGCTGAGGACGCACGGATCTCCGTAGAGGCCGCCACCCGGCTCGGCCCTGCGTCCCGTTTCCGAAACAACCGCCTTCAGGGCTGCTCCAACCTCCGTTCCCCAATACGGCGACAACCTTGGGCTGTCCCTGCACCCCTCTTTTCGTCGCAGCTGGCCTCTGGCCTGTGTCCCGCTTTCTGGAAAAGCTGCTTTTCCGAAGTGCTTTGAGGCTCCCTTGACACACTTTCCCGCGTCTTTTGACCCTCACTTTGCTGCAAGCCTTGGCCTTTCTGCTTCCCCAGAATAGAATGCATTTACCCATCAGCAGATACTTAGGGCGTGCTCACTGTGTGCCAAGCAGTGTGCTGGGCGCTACGCATGCAGCGGTGACCGAAACAGGGCCCTGCCTTCCTGGAGGTTGCTTTCTACTGGGGTGTCAGTGCATTAATGAGAAAATATTTACAAAAACTTACGTATGATGTGAGGTTACGTATGATATGATCAGAGTGGAGGCTTCTGATATTGGGTAGTCAGGAAAGACCTTTTCTTTCTTTCTTTCTTTTTTTTTTTTTTTTTTTTTTTGAGACAGGGTCTCACTTTGTCGCCCAGGCTGTAGTGCAGTGGCTCACTGTGGCTCCCTGGGTTCAGGTGATCCTCCCACCTCAGCCTCCCTAGTAGCTGAGACCACAGATGCGCGCCACCACACAGCGAATTTGTGTGTTTTTTGTGTTGCCACGTTTCCCATGCAGGTCTGGAATTCCTAGGCTCAAGCGATCCTCCCATCTCAGCCTCTTAAAGTGCTGGGGTTACGTAAAGGTGTGAGCCACCACACCTGGCCCAGGGAAAGGCCTTTTCAAGCAGAGGACATTTGAGTTAAGACAATGAATGCCAGCTATGGGAATCCCTGGAGGGTGGAGCCTTCCACACAGAGGGGGGCCAGTAAATGCAGAGGCCCTGGTAGGATGGGCTTGTCCTTTTGAAGAATGTCAAGGATGAAGCAGAAGGGAGGGGAACCATCTGGCGGGGCCTTGAAAATGGCCTTTTAGAATTCTTTTTTTCTTTTTGTTGAAGCGGAGTTTCGCTCTGTCGCCCAGGCTGGAGTGCAGTGGCACGATGTCGGCTGACTGCAACCTCTACCTCCCGGGTTCAAGCCATTCTTCTGCCTCAGCCTCCTGAGTAGCTGGGATTACAGGCGCCGGCCACCGCACCTGGCCAGTGTTTTTGTGTATTTTTAGTAGAGACGGGGTATCACCATGTTGGCCAGGCTGGTCTCGATCTCCTGACCTCAAGTGATCTGCCTGCTTCAGCCTCCCAGGTGCTGGGATTACAGGTGTGAGTCACCATGCCCGGCTCAGACTTTTAAAATTTGGATTTTATTCTGAGTCCCATGGGGAACCTCTGAGGTGTCTTCCCTGTCTCCATACTATCACCCTAGTCTGAAGACATCATTGTCTGTTGCTTGGAGCCAGTGAGCCTCCCTGGTCTTGTTGCCTGTGGATTCTCTGGCCAGAATGATTACCTAGTAGCCAGGATGAAAATAAAACGACCCTGTGGATATTGGCTAGGTGTGGTGATCCATGCCTAAAATCTCAGCATTTTGGGAGGCTTAAATGGGAGGCTCCCTTGAGGACAGGAGTTCAAGATTAGCCTGGGGAACATAGCAAGAACCTGTCTCTACAAAAAATAAAAGAAAATAGCTAGGCCTGGTAGAGTGTGCCTGTAGTCCTAGCCACTCGGGTGGCTGAGGTGGGAGAATCTCTAGAGCCCAGGAGTTTGAGGATGCAGTGAGCTACGATCATGCAACTGCACTCCTGCCTGGGCAACTCAGCGAGACCCTGTCTCAAAAAAACAAAACAAAACAAAAAAAACGGCTGGGTGTGGTGGCTCACGCCTGTAATCCCAGCACTTTGGGAGGCTGAGGTGGGTGGATCACTTGAGGTCAGGAATTCGAGACCAGCCTGGCCAACATGGTGAAGCCCCATCTCTACTAAAAATATGAAAAAATTAGCCAGGCATGGCGGCAGATGCCTGTAGTCCCAGATACTCGGGAGGCTGAGGCAGGAGAATCGCTGGAACTCTGGAGGTGGAGATTGCAGTGAGCCAAGATCGCGCCATTGCACTCCAGCCTGGGGGAAAAGAGCAATACTTCATCTCAAAAAAAAAAAAAAAAAAAAAGAAGGCTGGGTTCGGTGGCTCACGCCTGTAATTCCAGCGCTTTGAGAGGCGTAAATTGGAGGTTCCCTTGAGGACGGGAGTTCGAGACCAGCCTGGACAACATGGCGAAATCCTAACTGTACTAAAAATATAAAAATTAGCCAGGTGTGGTGGCTCACGCCTGTAATCCCAGCTACTCAGGAGGCTGAGGCAGGAGAATCGCTTGAACCTGGGAGGTGGAGGTTGCAATGAGCCGAGGTGGTGCCACTGCATTCCATCTTGGCTGACAGAGTAACAGTTCGCCTCAAAAAAAAAAAAAAAAAAAAGCCACTGGGGCACGGTGCCTCATGCCTGTAAATCCCAGCACTTTGGGAGGCCAAGGTGGAAAGAATGTTTGAGACCAGCCTGGGCACTATAGCAAGACCTCATCTCTATGAAAAAATTTAAAAATTAGCCAAGTGAGGTGGTGCATGCCTGTAATCCAAGCTATTTGGGAGGCTGAGGTGGGAGGATTGCTTGAGCCGGGGAGGCGGAGGCTGCAGTGAGCTGAGATCACACCACTGCACTCCAGCCTGAGAAACAGAGCCAGACCCTGTCTCAAAAAAAGACCCAATGGATCTTGCATTCTTCATCTTAGTGCTTCTCCATCACTCCCCAAAGCCCTTATAATAAAGCACAGATGCTCTGACATGCCTCACCTCTGCCTGTCCCTGGAGCAGGCCCCTCTGACACTGGGCACTTGCTGCTCCTTGGATGTACCAGGCTTCTTCCTGCCTTGAGCTTTCACATCTGCTCCTTCTTCTGCCCAGATCATCTCCCATTTGGCTTTTCATGACGCTGGCTTCTTATTTGTTTTTTCTGGTTTAAATGTCTCCTCTTCTAGTGTTTATTTTCTGCCTGTCCTACCTGCATATGTACTCTCCTGTTACTTTTTCACCCTTTTTTGGTTTTCAGCAGAGCTCTTACCACATTGTGCACTTACTTTTTTTTTTTTTTTTGAGACAGAGTCTTGCTCTGTTGCCAGGCTGGAGTGCAGTGGCACCATCTCGGCTCACTGCAACCTTCACCTCCCTGGTTCAAGCAATTTTCCTGCCTCGGCCTCCCTAGTAGCTGGGATTACAGGCACATGCCACCATACCCAGCTAATTTTTGTATTTTTAGTAGAGACAGGGTTTCACCACGTTGGCCAGGCTGGTCTCGATCTCCTGACCTCAAGTGATCCGCCTGCCCCTGCCTCCCAAAGTGCTGGGATTGCAGGCATGAGCCTCTGCACCAGCCCGAAAGTTACTTTTTTATTATGGGTCTATTGTCTTCCCAGCCTGAAGCGAGTCCCACGTGGGCAGAGACCTGTGTTCTCTTGCATAGCACGTAGTAAGTACAGGGTATGGTATGCAGCAGGCACTCTGTAAGTGTTTGCTGAATAAATGAACTAATAGACATATAAATTAATCTGAACATCAGTTGCTCTCTGGCCTGTCACAGCTTCTTGGGGTGTTTGTGGAGTAAGGGTGATTTCCGACGTACTCCTTTTCCCTCCCCAGGAAAGGCTAACCGGTGGTTTGGGGTTGCTCCCCCTAAATCTGGAAAAATGAACATGAACATCCTTCACCAGGAAGAGCTCATCGCTCAGAAGAAACGGGAAATTGAAGCCAAAATGGAACAGAAAGCCAAGCAGAATCAGGTGGCCAGCCCTCAGCCCCCACATCCTGGCGAGTAAGTGCCTGCTGGGGCCTGGATGGGGCCTGGATGTGAGTCTTTGAGGGTCACCAGCACAGGGTTTGGCTTGTGAGGGCAGTCAGCATGTGCTTGCACCCAGCCATAGCCTGATGATCCAAGGAATGACCCAGATGCCCTTGGGAGGCTCACTGTGGCAAGAGAGAAATGAGGGGTATGTGGAAGCCCAGAGGACAGCCTGCCAACTCATCCACTCAGCAGTTATTTACTGCCAGCCAGCTGTGGTGCAGAGGGAAGGGGTATAACAGAGTAAAAATCTCTGCCTTGAGTTCAGGTGTGCTGCCTCACACCTGTAATCTCAGCCCTTTGGGAGGCTGAGACAGAGGATCACTAGAGGCCAGGAGTTTGAGACCAGCTTTGCCAACATAGTGAAACCCCATCTCTACTAAAAAATACAAAAAATTAGCTGGGCATTGTGGCACGTGCCTGTAGTCCCAGCTGCTCAGGAGGCTGAGGCACGAGAATCTCTGGGATCTGGCAGGCAAAGGTTGCAGTGAGTTGAGATCGTGCCACTGTACACTACCCTGGGCCATAGAGTGAGACTCTGTCTCAAAAAAAAAACAAAAAAAAACCTCTGCCCTTATGGGGTGACAAACTACTGGCAAAGGGATGCAGGTGCCGCCCCAGAGCTCCTGGAAGATAACAAAGGCAGTGTGTTCCCAGGCCCCGTGGCCACAGTAAGGCCACAGAGCTTTGCATCCTGAAAGCCCAGGTGGAGCTGGCCCACTGAGGAAGCAGAGAAAGGCCTGCCCAGCAGAGGGCAGGAAGGGGAGAGAGCCCATATGTGGAGGGCCAGCCTGAGCTGCTGTACCAAAGGGGCTGTCCCTTAGTGGATGGCAGGTGGATGATAGCTCAGCAAGGGTTTCCACTTGCCTGTCCTGAGAAACACTGAGGGCACCAAGGGTTTTGATCAAGGGGTGATGTTGTGATGAGGGTGACCAGATCCAAGCTTTTCAGGCTGGAGATTGATAATCTGAGAGGCAGGCCCCTTCCTCTGGGGTCTGGAGTGTAGAGTGTGTTAACCTTCCCCAAGGCCTTGTTCCAGCTCCAGCTTTTCCTTTTTTTTTTTCTTTGAGACAGGGTTTTGCTCTGTCACCCAGGCCGGAGTGCAGTGGTGGGATCATGGCTCACCGAAGCCTTGAGCTCTTGGGCTTTAGCAGTTCTCTTGCCTCAGCCTCCCAAGTAGCTGGGACCACAGGCACGTGCCACCATGCCTGGCTAATTTTTTTCTATTTTTGTAGAGATGAGGTCTTGTTATGTTGCCCAGGTTGGTCCCGAACTCCTAGACTCAAGTGATCCTCCCACCTTGGCCTCCCAAAGGGATTACAGGTGTGAGCCACTGCACCCAGCAGCGTTTGCCTTTTCTTCTTTCTTTTTCTTTTTTTGTTGCCTAGGCTAGAGTGCAGTGGCACGATCTCAGCTCACCACAACCTCTGCCTCCAAGTTTCAAGCGATTCTCCTGCCTCAGCCTCCCAAGTAGCTGGGATTACAGGCATGCGCTGCCACGCCCAGCCAATTTTGTATTTTTAGTAGAGGCGGGGTTTCTCCTTGTTGGTCAGGCTGGTCTCAAACTCCTGACCTCAGGTGATCCGCCCCTCTCAGTCTCCCAGAGTGTTGGGATTACAGGCGTGAGCCACTGCACCCGGCCAAGAACCAGCATTTTTATCTCCCAGTATTTGTTACCAGTGGTTTTCAGGTGGGAGCCGTTCGCTGTACTCTGCAGCCTGAATGTGATTTCTTGTCTTTCCTTGTCCCTACCTCTTCCTGGTCCCTCCTGAGTGAAGTGCTCAGGGTGTGAGTATGGGGGCAGGCCCAGGAACTGAGGGGTGCCCAGAATGTCCTGGTTGTTTAGTGTCAACATTGAACCTTCTTTTTCATATAAAATTACTTCTACTCCTTCTTTTTTTAAACTTTAAAGGTAATTCATGTACATGGTAGGAAATCCAGGAAGTAGAAGAGGGGTAAACAAAAAACCAAAGTCACTCATAACTCTGCAACACAGAGACAAGCACTGGTTGAGTGTTGAGGTGTTTTTCTGTTTTTTTTAATTTTATTTAATTAATTAATTTATTTATTTTTGAGACGAGTCTTGCTCTGTCACACAGGCTGGAGTGTAGTGGTGCCATCTCGGCTCACTACAACCTCCGCCTGTTGGATTCAGGAGATTCTCCTGCTCAGCCTCTCGAGTAGCTGGGATTACCAGTGTGCGCCACGATGCCCGGCTATTTATTTATTTATTTATTTATTTATTTATTTTATTTTTTGAGACAGAGTCTCACTCAGCCGCCCAGGCTGGAGTGCAGTGGTGTGATCTTGGCTCACTGCGACCTCCGCCTCTTGGGCTCAAGTGATTCTCCTGCTCAGCCTCCCGAGTAGCTGGGATTACAGGAACCCACCATCGTGCCCGGCTAATTTTTGTATTTTAGTAGAGATGGGGTTTCATCATGTTGGCCAGGCTGGTCTTTAACTCCTGGCCTCAGGTTGTTCCTCCCACCTCGGCCTCCCTAAGTGCTAGGATTACAGGCATAAGTCTCTGAGCCCGGCCATTTTTTTGTATTTTAGTTGAGACAGGGTTTCACTATGTTGACCAGGCTAGTCTTGAACTCCTGGCCACAGGTGACCTACCCGCCTCTGCCTCCCAAAGTGCTGGGATTACAGCCTTGAGCCACCGTGCCGGGCCTGTTTTATTTCAGAGGCAGGATCTCACTCTGTCACCCAGGCTGCAGTACAGTGGCACTATCATAGCTCACTGCAGTCTGGAATTCCTGGACTCAAGCTATCTTCCCACCTCAGCCTCTTGAGTAGCTGGGACTACAGATGTCCACTGCCATGCCTAGCTAATTTTTAAATTTTGTGTAGATGGGGTCTCACTATGTTGCCCAGGTTGGTTTTGAACTTCTGGGTTCAAGTGATCCTCCTACCTTGGCCTCCCAAAGCATTAGGTTTACAGGTGTGAGCCACTGCTCCTGGCCCGATGTGTTTGTCTAACAATTTTTTTTTATATTTGAGATGAAGTCTAACTCTGTTGTCCAGGCTGGAGTGCAATGGCGCGATCTTGGCCCACTGCAACATTCGCTTCCTGGGTTCAAGTGATTCTTCTGTCTCAGCCTCCCCAGTGACTGGGATTACAGGTGCCCGCTACCACGCCCGGCTAATTTTTTGTATTTTTAGTAGAGACGGGGTTTCATCATGTTGGCCAGGCTGGTCTTGAACTCCTGACCTCAGGTGATCCGCCTGCTTTGGCCTACCGAAGTGCTGGGATTACAGGTGTGAGGTCCCGCACCCGGCCTTTGTAACAATTTTTAATTCAAATGTATTTTGATGTAAGTAGAACCACACTGTAGATACTGTTTTATAGCCTGTCCTTTTGTTTTTTTTTATTTATTTATTTTATTTATTTATTTTTTTTTTGAGATGGAGTCTTGCGCTGTTGCCCAGGCTGGAGTGCAGTGGCACGATCTCGGCTCACTGCAGGCTCTGCCTCCTGGGTTCACACCATTCTCCTGCCTCAGCCTCCTGAGTAGCTGGGACTGCAGGTGCCCCCCACCATGCCCGGCTAATTTTTTTTTTAATTTTTAGTAGAGACGGGGTTTCACTGTTTTAGCCAGGATGGTCTCGATCTCCTGACCACGTGATCCACCCGCCTTGGCCTCCCAAAGTGCTGGGATTACAGGCGTGAGCCACCGCGCCTGGCCTTGTTTTTCCTTTAACATTGTATTTGATTGCTTGTCTAAAATTTCAACTTTTCAGGGCTGCCCCATCTTCCCTGTGGATGGCCCGTAATTTATTTAACCAGTGCCCCTTGTTGATGTATTTAGGTTATTTTAGTTCTGATGAACTAAAAATTATTCCTTTCTCCTATTTAAAGGAAAAAGGCTAGCCCTGTGGACTCCATGAGCTTTTTGCACCATTGGGTACATCCATATGGTGGAACGTCATGCGGGTTTAAAAAGCAGCGTATGTGAGGAATTTGAGATTGGAGCAGGATGGTGTGCTACAGTAGGAAATGGAAGAAGTAGAGTGTGTGCTGTGATCACAGCCTTATTTCCTCTGACTTCTAATTTAGAGAGCAAAATAAAGATATATACCAGTGTTAATAGTGGCTGTTGCAAAGTAGGGAGACATTGTTGGGTTTTTCCATTCCTTTCTGTTTCAGTTTTTCTTTTTATTTTTTTTTAAATGATCTTACTCTGTCACCCAGGCTAGAGTGCAGTGGCATGATTGCGGCCCACTTCCGCCTTGACCTCCTGGGCTCCGGTGATCCTCTGGAATGCTGGAATTATAGGCACACGCCACCACACCCAGCTAATTTTTTGTTTTGTTCGTAGAGATGGGGTTTTCTCCATATTGCCTAGGCTTATTTCAGTTTTTCTACATTTCCATTTGTTCCATAATGAGCCTCTGTTACTTTTTTTTGTTTTAAGAAACATGATCTCACTCTGTTGCCCAGGCAGACGTGCAGTGGCATGATCATATGTCACTGCAGCCTCAAACTCCTGGGCTCAAGTGATTCTCCTACCTCAGTCTCCCAAGTAGCTGGGATTACAGGGATGAGCCACCATGCTTAGCCAAAGCCTGTGTTTCTTTACCCATGTGGGCCTGCAGCTCAGAGCTGGGATCTGCAAGCATTTCTTTGGGCATCATACATTTCTTTTTTTTTTTTTTTTTTTTTTTGAGACAGAGTCTCGCTCTGTCGCCCAGGCTGGAGTGCAGTGGCGCAATCTTGGCTCACTGCAAGCTCTGCCTCCTTGGTTCACGCCATTCTTCTGCCTCAGCCTCCCGGGTAGCTGGGACTACAGGCGCCTGCTACCACATCTGGCTAATTCTTTGTATTTTTAGTAGAGATGGGGTTTCACTGTGTTAGCCAGGATGGTCTCTATCTCCTGACCTCGTGATCCGCCCACCTCGGCCTCCCAAAGTGCTGGGATTACAGGCGTGAGCCACCGCGCCCAGCCTGGGCATCAAACATTTCTAAGAAAACAGCCAAAGCAATCTTGCTGGAAGAATCACAGGGCATTTTATATTTTATCTTCACTCTCTCCCTCTTTTTTTTTTTTGCAAAGTATATGTTTTACTTTTTAAAAAATATGTTTTTAACAAGTTAGCACAAAGGCAAACCCAGGGGCCTAAATATATTTAAATCAAAGTTGAGCACAGCTGATATACTGTTGTCAGAGCTGCCCTTCATGCCTGTCAAAAAAATGGCATTGGCCAGGAACAGTGTCACATGCCTTTAGTCCTAGTGACTTGGGAGGCTGAGGTGGGACCATTGCTTGAGGCCAGGAGTTCAAGACCAGCCTAGGCAACATAGTGAGATGTTACCTCTACCAAAAAAAAAAAAAAAAATTAAAAAATTAGCCAGGCAGAGTGGCACATGCCTGCAGTCCCTGTTATCGCACCATTGCACTCTGCACTTTAGCCAGGGCAGCAGAGCAAGACCCTGTCTCTTAAATAAATAGGTCAGGTGTGGTGGCTCACACCTGTAATCCCAACACCTTGGGAGGATGAGGTGGGAGGATGGCTTGAGGTTAGAAGTTCGAGAACAGCCCAGCCAACATAGCGAAACCCCATCTCTACAAAAATACAAAAATTAGCCAGGTGTGGTGGCACATGCTTGTAATCCCAGCTGCTCAGGAGGCTGAGACATGACAATCTCTTGAGCCTGGGTGGAGGAGGTTGCAGTGAGCCAAGATTGCCCCACTGCACTCCAGCCTGGGCGACAGAGTAAAACTCTGTTTCGGATAGATAGATAGAGAGGGAGAGAGACAGAGAGAGAGAGACATGTAGGCCCTGCCTTGGAAAACTCTAAGGTCTAGCAGGAGGACAGACATGAGTCAGTAACAACCCAGATAATCAACTAGCAAGGGAGGACAGGTGCTGTGCAGAGAGAGCAGGAGCCATCTTGTTGGAGGGCCATTTGGACCTGGAGGGTTAATATTCAGGCAGAGATAATACATGGAGTATTGCTTTTATCAGAACAAGATTGTTCCCAGCTTACCGTACTGAAGCCTGCTGTGCGCACTTCGCAGTAGTCTCTTGAAATCTCTGGGGGCCAGTTTGGGGTCCCAGTAGGTGAGAGTGCTGGGGTGAGTTAGGGGCCATGATGGACGAGGTGATGGCCTCATCCTCATCCTCGTCCTCTGGTGCCCTCACTCCATCTCTAGCCAGCTCACCCTCTCTGTCCTCTGTCTTGGTTCTAGAATCACAAATGCACACAACTCTTCCTGCATTTCCAACAAGTTTGCCAACGATGGTAGCTTCTTGCAGCAGTTTCTGAAGTTGCAGAAGGCACAGACCAGCACAGGTGAGTGTAGGCCTCCCCTTTCCTTGTGCTGTCCTTGCATCTCCCCCTGGGGTTGCTGGGCACATGGGAAGTGATGGGTCCCACCTCAGACTCCTGCTCACCGGTAATCATAGATCGCCCTCATTCCACCCATGCGTGCACCAAAGGCATAAATAAATAAATAATACATAAATAATTTTTTTTTTGAGACGGAGTCTCGCTCTGTGGCCCAGGCTGGAGTGCGGTGGCGCGATCTCGGCTCACTGCAAGCTCCGCCTCCCGGGTTCACCCCATTCTCCTGCCTCAGCCTCCTGAGTACCTGGGACTACAGACGCCCGCCACCACGCCCGGCTAATTTTTTAAATATTTTTAGTAGAGATGGGGTTTCATCATGTTATCCAGGATGGTCTCGATCTCCTGACCTTGTGATCCGCCCACCTCAGCCTCCCAAAGTGCTGGGATTACAGGCGTGAGCCACTGTGCCCGGCCTTTTGTATCTTTTTAGTAGGGACTGGGTTTCATTGTGTTACCAGGATGATCTTGATCTCCTGACCTCGTGATCTGCCCGCCTTGGCCATCCAAAGTGCTGGGGTAATAGGCGTGAGCCACTCCGCCCGGCCAGTAATTTTTGTTTTTTTGAGAGGGCCTCACTCTTGCTCAGGCTAGAATGCAGTAGTGCAATCATAGCACACTGCAGCCTCAACCTCCGGGGCTCAAGCAAACCTTCCACCTCAGCCTCCCTGTAGCTGGGGCTACAGGGGCATGCCACCACACCTGGCTAATTTTTTTATTTTTTGTAGAGTTGTGATTTCGCCATGTTGGTCACGCTGGTCTTGGACTCCTAAGCTCAAGCAATCCACCTGTCTCAGCCTTCCAAAGTGTTGACATTACAGGCAGGAGCCACTGTACCCAGCCCAAGTAATAAATATGTAAATTAATACCAAGGGGGCAGGCTGGGCGCAGTGGCTCACGCCTGTAATCCCAGCACTTTGGGAGGCCGAGACAGGCGGATCACCTGAGGTCAGGAGTTCGAGATCAGCCTGACCAACATGGTGAAACCCTGTCTCTACTAAAAATACAAAAATTAGCCGGGCGTGGTGGCAGGCGCCTGTAATCCCAGCTACTCGGGAGGCTGAGGCAGGGGAATCGGTTGAACCCAGGAGGTGGAGGTTGAGGTGAGCCAAGATCATGCCATTGCACTCCAGCCTGGGGGACAAGAGCGAGACTTCGTCTCAAAAAAAAAAAAAATTACCAAGGGGGCAAATGTAGACCCTGCACTCAATGTGCTTACCCTGTAGGAGCAGAGACAGATAAGTCAGATTTCAGTCTGGGGCAGGTGGAGCCATGATGAAGCCTTCCCCACACTTGTGAGACCACTTTGGGAGATGGGAGGCATCCCCAAGCTGGGTCAGCTTGAACCCACCAGCAGGGGTGAGCAGGTCTTCTGCATACAGGGTTTTCAGAGACACCGGGCTGGCCCGAGACACCTGAGCTGCATCAGAGAACAATAGGTTCTGGGGCCTGCTGCGGCTGAGGTGCCGGGTGGGCACGCAGCTGGGGGCACCCAACAATGACCACCAGGGCACTAGTGTTCATCGGGTACCACCCCGTGTGCCAGGGAATGTGGACTCAGTGCCTGCCATGTCCCTTGCTCCGTGCAAGCAGACCACGTCTGTGCTCTCACTGAATCCTCTGGAGGGACACCTCTCTCTACCTCTGTTTCCCTTTGGTAGACGTCTGATAACACACGTCGTATTCTCTTCACTCAGAATTCATAGATGTCGGCTGGGTGCGGTGGCTTATGCCTGTAATCTCAGCACTTTGGGAGGCCGAAGGGGACAGGATCGCTTGAGCTCGGGAATTCAAGACCAGCCTGGGCAACATGGCTAAGTCTCCTCTCTACAAAAAAAATACAAATAATTAGCCAGGCATGGTGATGCATAACTTTAACCCCAACTAATGGGGGGGCTGAGATGGGTGGATCACTTTTGGGCCTGGGAGGCGGAGGTAGCAGTGAGTGGAGATCACGTCACTGTACTCTAGCCTAGGAGACAGAGCAAGACTCCATCTCAAAAAAAGAAAACAAAAAAGAATTCATAGATGTAACATTTTGCCTTTGATACTTCTGATCTTTGTTAATCATGAAAAATACTCACTGGGCACAGTGGCTCACGCCTGTAATTCCAGCACTTTGGGAGGCCGAGGCGGGTGGACCTCCTCAAGTCAGGAGTTCGAGACCAGCCTGGCCAATGTGGTAAAACCCCGTCTCTACTAAAAATACAAAAATTAGCTGGGCATGGTGGCACACCCCTATAATCCCAGCTACTTGGGAGGCTGAGGTGGGAGGATTGCACGAACCTGGGAGGCAACCAGCTCTGCTCACGTGAGCTGAGCTCACGCCACTGCACTCCAGCCTGGGCAACAGAGCGAGACTAAGTCTCAAAAAGAAAAAAAAAAAAGAAAAATACCAGAGGTTGAAGTCCTCCCATCCCCCTTTCTTACAGGAAGTAACTGTCGAGAAATTGTGTGTCTGACAACCCCTGTTGTCCTCTCAGTCAAGCAGTGTGTGCCGTAGTTTCAGATGTTTGACCCTTTATGCAGATGACGACATAGTGTGCGTTTTGTTCCAAGCTTTTTTCTCTTACTCGACGTTATTTTTTTTAGGTCTAGATGGTCCAACTAAATCTCATTGAGTTCTGTAAGCAGCTGGTTACCTCCATTTCCACACTTTCCATTTAGGAAGCTAAGGCTTAAAAAGATGAAGCCCCTGCCAGGCATGGTGGCTCATGTCTGTAATCCCTTTGAGAGGCTGAGCTGGGAGGATCGCTTGAATCTAAGAGTGTGAGACCAGCCTGGACAGCCTAGCAAGAACCCATCTCTGCAAAAAATAAAAATAAAATTAGCCAGACATGGTGTCGTGCACCTGTAGTCCCAGCTACTCTGGAGGCTGAGCTGGGAGGATTGCTTGAGCCCAGGAGTTCAGGAGGTAGAGGCTGCAGTGAACCATGATTGCACCACTGCACTTCAGCCTGGGTGATAGAGCAAGACCCTGTCACTAAAAAAAAAAAGATGAGGTCCCCAAGTGCAGAGCCAGCATCTTTCATGATCCGGGGGCCCTAGTCCTGCTCTCAGGGTGGTGAGCTGGCCAATTTCATGATGCTGCTCCCCACCAGACTCAGGGCTCTTCCTGAAGCTGTCACACACCAGCCTTGCCCCATCCCCTGCCTTGCTGTGGGTGCTTCTGCACTGTAGGTCCTCTGGACACCAAAGTGTGGGCTAGAATGGCTGGTCTCCAGGTCCTCACCTGGCCCCCTTGTCAGTGCCCCAGGGGATTCCCGGCCTTCTCCAGTGGGCAGCAATGCCTGTGCAAGGAATGGGACCCCTGTCTGTAGGTTGGTCGCCTACAGGTGTGCAGTGTGATATGCCAGGTGGGTAAATCGTCACCCGTGGAGCTTCTGCCCATGTCTCTGATTTTGGGGTTTACCGACCAGAGCCCATTGTTGCTGGTGAGACAGCTGGTCTTCGACCTCTGTCAGGTTTCCCAGGGAACAGCTAAGAAAAGTTAACCCAAGGCCAAATTCATCCTAGAATGAGGAAGGCTGGTTTGAGTCCCTTCCCCATCAGGTGTCAGGCTGAGAACACCCAGTAGGCTGGCCCCTGGCCAGTCAGCCTGGCCACAGACCTCCAAGGGAATGGTTGTAAACTGGGATTCGGGGACTCGGGTCTTACCCGGCAGAACTGACGTTCTGTCCCCAGAACTGTCCCCAGTCTGTGGGTGCAGCGCGACCGAGATGCCTCCAGCCACAGCGGCCCACTTCAGAGCCCCAGGCTGCTGCTTTTCTGGCTGGGGGACCACAACGAGTCCTTTTGCTCTTTGCCTCACTGTCCCCATCTGTAAAATCAGGGTGGCCTCCTCTGAGCCCCTGAGTTCTGGAAGTCAAGGACCCAGCTCCCCCGGGGCCCACAGCACCTAGGTTAGGTCGGAAGCCGGGAGAGGTGCCCTGCAGATCCCGAGTGCGCATATCCTTCCTTCTATACCAGACGCCCCGACCAGTGCGCCCAGCGCCCCTCCCAGCACACCCACCCCCAGCGCTGGGAAGAGGTCCCTGCTCATCAGCAGGCGGACAGGCCTGGGGCTGGCCAGCCTGCCGGGCCCTGTGAAGAGCTACTCCCACGCCAAGCAGCTGCCCGTGGCGCACCGCCCGAGTGTCTTCCAGTCCCCTGACGAGGACGAGGAGGAGGACTATGAGCAGTGGCTGGAGATCAAAGGTAAGTTGTGGGAGCTGCTGCTCCCCCACCACCAGTGCCCGTGCTCTAGCAGGTGGGATCTGTGGTGGGCAGGGCAAGTGCTGCCAGGGGCATGGGTGCTTTCGGCTGAGTTGCAGCCACCAGACCTCTGAGCTGAGCCTCAGGCCCTCTGAGGTGAGGAGAGCAAAGGAGGGTGAGGGGCGGGGCTGGGGTGTTGCTGGGCATCAGCGCGTGGGCTTCATCTTGGGAGCAGCGGGATCCATCTTCCACTCACACAGCGGCTCATCCCAGCCAAGGCAGGGGCGCACGCCCTTCTCGCATTTGCTCCAAAAGGGCATCCTCACATCCCTTCTAGGAGGAGCTTCTAAGGCTCTTCCGCTGAGCCCTTGAGGCCCCAAAGCACTGCCCCTCACCATGGGTTACCTGTCCCCTGAGTTTAGGCCAGAGGTATGAGCTGCAGGTTGGAGGGTGCTCTCTTCTATCCCTGGGAAAGGACGGTCACTGGTCACGGGTGAGCTTGTCCAGACCGCCCAGTGTAGGAGGGCAAAGGGGGGTGGCTGTGGTGACAGCATTGCCAGCAAGTCCAGCCCTGTCCACATTCAGGACGAGTCCCTGTGACACCTGAACTGTGTGAAGGGCTAGCCGGTGAGGTCACATCACCCTGACAGCACAGACTGAAGCGACTGTGGAGTTGTGCCATGACAGCCTTGAGATCCCTTGCTTCTGGCTGTGTGTCCGAGCGGATCAGAGGCCAGCTTGGCCCCCGGGCCATTAGAATGGAGCTGGCGTGTGTCCTTTCCTTAAAGGGGTGCCCCAGCAGCTCCAAGGGTACCCTGTTGGGAACTGCTGCATTACAAGGGGTATTGGCCATCTCGGGGCCCTTGAAGCCCATTATGACCCACTGTCTGCATGGCCTCAGAAACGCACCTGTTCCTGTAAACAGCAACCAGGTCAGGATTGTTGCTGGGCCCATGGCAGGAGGGCGACCTAGGGTGAAAGACAGTCACGGAATGCTCTCGGGACCTCACAGGGGCCCTCGTTGGGCTACACACTCCCCACCTCTCCCCCATTCCCAGCAGCCCAAGCAACAAGGGGAATAAGATTAGCCACAGGTCTGGCATGTTGCCCAGTTGCCAGGCACTTGCTGGCAGCGAGAAATTTCTCTTGTGCATCTCCTACAAGGACTGCAGTCTGTGTAGTAGCTGACAAACTCACAGCCTCAGAAACAGGCCAAGGGAAAAATGCAAAAGCAAGTTCCACATGGCTCAGTGGGGAGGCTAATCCGTATATAAAAATATATCTTTATAGCTCTGTTCACTGAAAAGGCCCCGAAATAATGATTAAGCCTGTGGCATTGAGCATCCCTAGCTCCCAGATGCTGGTCTGGAGATGCAGTTTCTCATGGAAACCGACTTCTTGGAGAAGTGGCTGGCTCTGGGTCTGGGCAGGAAGTGTATGAGATGATCTTGGAGCGCCTGTCCTGGCAGATGGCAAGGAGGCCATCAGAGACTCCTGGGGCCATGTCCAGAGCCCTCAGGAGCCAGCTTGAAGAGGTTCCACCGGCCGCAGAGCTTCTATGATGACACTAGTTGCCATGGATCGAAACCCACCCAGTGTGTTTAAATCAGAGCTCATAATGGTATTTTTTAAAAAAGAACGTGTCATCTTTGAAGGATGAAAGGGAACCGATGTATTATGCTGAAAACTGGTAAAGAAAGAAAAGAATTAAGCATTTCCCCCACCAAAACCAGGGGAAGCTGGATATATTTTCTGCTAGCTTCCAGCCTGGAGCTCACCACAGCCTCACACACTTCTCTCCCACCTAGTGTGTCTCACCAAGACAGTGAGACCGACTCCCCCCTCGTCATGGTGTTTTGTGCCTGGACTCGGGACGCCCGACAGCCTCCTGCATCTCACACTCTTCTCCCCCCACCCCCTCTGTCGTTGTGGTCCATAGAGAGAGTGTGCCTATTGACTGTGGGGTGTGTGAGTTGAACCCCAGTACTGACAGCCTCCTTAAAGTTTCACCCCCAGAGGGAGCCGAGACTCGGAAAGTGATAGAGAAATTGGCCCGCTTTGTGGCAGAAGGAGGCCCCGAGTTAGAAAAAGTAGCTATGGAGGACTACAAGGATAACCCAGCATTTGCGTGAGTATCTCCGGGGAAGGGAAGGCTGTGCTGTTGAATGCGTTTGCTGCACAGTCGCACGTGTGGGGCTGGGTGCTTGCTAGTGTGGGCCGGATGCTGTTCCAAGCGTTTTCTGATTCTCACCAGAAGTGACAAGTGGCTCCCATGTGGCACGGAGACTTGCTTTCGGGTCCCTGCTCGCCAGCCTGCCTTTTTTTGCACGATAGAAGCTGCAGGGATATGCCTGTCACAGATACTTATTTTCCCCTCTCTTCTGCAAACTTCCTCCTCTCCAGATTTTTGCACGATAAGAATAGCAGGGAATTCCTCTACTACAGGAAGAAGGTGGCTGAGATAAGAAAGGAAGCACAGAAGTCGCAGGCAGCCTCTCAGAAAGGTAGGTGGACGGAGCGGGTGGGAGATTCTGGGGAGGCCTGTGGACATACCGTGCCCCAATGCGGAATCGGGGTTCCTGGAGGTGCTGGAGTGGCACTGTGTGGCACCGGTGGTTGAGGCCTGTATTCTCCCAGGCATCTGGGGTCACTCTGGGAATGGGTCTGACACCACCTTCCCCCTCAGTGCTCCAAGGACCTGGTGAAGCCTGAGTGTCAGGCCACATTGTGGGGTAGACGGGAGCTCATGGAGGTCGAGGTCGCTTCTGGGAGAGCGGTTCAGGGCAGTACCCTAGGTAGAGGGGGCTTTTGCTTGTTGGTTCTTTGTTACATTAACAAGTGTTGATGAGCCCCAGCTTCCTCCTGGGCACTGAGGACAGGGCAAGGCAAGTGTAGTGTAGGGCCGAGGGCCTGGGGGACAGACACTGTCAGCTGGTGCAATTCTGATGGGATGAATTTCAGGGGAAGGGGAAATACTGGCTGGTCTTTGACTGCAATGACATAAAATCCCAGCCAAGTGCTGGTGGGTTGGTGGGGTGGAATTGATGTTCAGGCCAAGCGCAGGCTGCAGAGGTTTGTTCCTTGTGTTCCCTGTGGCCCTGTGCCCTGAGCCTCTCCCCAGGAGAGGAGGCCCAACAGCACCCCCTAACCATGTGACCTGGGGTGCTCCCATCTGCCTTCCTGCCCTACCCAGACCCGCAGTCACATTTGGATCCTTTGTCCTGGCTCATGTCCCAGGCCCTCTTGACCTCCCTTGTGGGACGGGGCGGGGGTCGGGGGTGGGGGCTTGAGGTGTGTTATGAATTCTGGCATCTGGTCCCAGTGTAGTAATCTGATTCCCATTTGCCTGTTTCTCTTTGCATCATTCCTAAAACAAACCCCACTTGTTGCCCTTGGGGTTCTTAGCAGAAATTAGGCTGTTGGGTGTGGTGAGTTGAGCCCAGTACTGACAGCCTGCTTAAAGTTTCACCCCCAGAGGACGAAGAGGTCAAGAACCTTGCAGAAAAGTTGGCCAGGTTCATAGCGGACGGGGGTCCCGAGGTGGAAACCATTGCCCTCCAGAACAACCGTGAGAACCAGGCATTCAGGTAAGGGGGGCCCTGCCAGGGAGGTGACCGTCACCCTGGCCACAGTCCCCCTGCAGGGGAGGACACTGGATCAGCATAGTCCAGCCACCTGCTGGGGTCCCACTGTGAGAAGCTGGC
This sequence comes from Homo sapiens, assembly GCF_000001405.40. Classification (NCBI taxonomy): domain Eukaryota; kingdom Metazoa; phylum Chordata; class Mammalia; order Primates; family Hominidae; genus Homo; species Homo sapiens. Next base: position 19,302,147 of record NC_000019.10, on the reverse strand, counting down.
AGGTCCAAGAGTCTCTGACCCCAGAGCCCAGCTCTGCCTCCCCACAGGCATGTCCCACGCACACACCAGCACCCCTGGGTAGTCTCTGAGGCAGGTGCACGGGGCCTTTGGGGCCTTTGTGTCTTTCAGGTGCCTCATGGAGAAAGTCTCTAGCACTTGCCCAGTTGCCTTTGGGACACACAGCAGCCCTTGGCCGGGGGCAAGTCAGGCTCTCAAGTGGAAATTCACAGTACTGTTCAGTTTATGTTGTGTACGTTCTCAGGGTCTCCCCTTTATGATGAGGGAAATGGCAGGGAATGGGGAACTTTAGGATCTGTGGAGGGGGAACACCCAGCCTGTGTGCGAGTTCCACAGAAGGGTGGGTGTGTGACAAGCAGCCTAGCCTCCCTGCCATCCCCGGCCATGCGGTCGTACCCTAGCCCCAGTGGCTGGGTCTGTGTTCACTGGCTCATCCATTCATTGGGTGGGTTTGGCACTTGCTCTGTGCCCGGGGAGGCGGGTGGGTGCCTGGGGGATGTGAGGGTGACATGCCCGTGAGCACACGCCTGGCCCCAGGTTACACAAGCCCCGACTCAATCAGTGAGGAGGTGTGACAGCACATGACAGTCCTGGGGCAGCAGCTGTCTGGGCTGGTTGATTCAGCAGCCCTAGACTTCATCACAGATGGGGCAACTGTGCTTCTGTGGTCACTGGCCAAGGTCGTGGAGGGTGGGCAGACATGGCCAGGCCAGGTCCAGGCAGACGAGGGCAGTGGGCCACCATTGGGAGGTGGGACTGAGGGAACATGGGGGCTGGGAACAGGGAGGGTCAAGGCTCAGCTGACCCAGTGAATGGGGACGGGGAGAGGGGCTGCTTGGGATTCAGGTGTGCCCCAGTCTGGTACCTGTGTGTCCAGGAGCCTGTGTTGGGGCCGTGGATTGTTTAGGCCTGGAGTTCAGGAGATGGATCTGCCTGGGACTGGAGGCCCCCCCGACAGGTGTCCTGAATGTCAGACTGGCCCTGGGGATCATTGAGTTGTTGACCACACCTCAGGGTTGGATCACTAGTCCACTCCAAGTCATCATGTCTTTCCTTCATTTGCCTGATTAAGGCTATATAAATAAGAAACCTAGTTTGCTGTCATTGTAGGTAGACACTGACTGTGGAACCCTTTCAAAGGAGAAGCAGGCAAGGATATGGAATTCTGTCCAAGGCCCAGAGCCCGGTGGCTCTGCTTGGTCAGAGGGGTCCAGGGCCCAGCCGCTGCAGCCCAGCCTCACCCCTGATGTCAGAACTGAGAGATGCTATTGGTGCAGGTGGCCCCGGCCCTCCTGTGTGTCCTTTCTGTTCTGGGGTGTTGCTGACAGGCGCCCAGCTTGTCAGGTGTGGCTGTCGGGGAGGCCAGGCTGGTTGAGGTCGCCTGGGGTGGGTACCCCGGGCAGCCAGAGGAGACGAGGCTGAAGGGAGCTCATTTCCGCACTCACTGCAGAGCCAGAGCCGGACCAGGAAAGAACTGGGTGGGTCGGGGGGACGACCAGGTATTCAAGCCCCTGCAGGGTGTGCAGGTTTGCTCCTGTGTTTAATCTCCATGCAGGGTCAGCTGTGAGGCAGCCCCAAAGCACAGAAATGCTAGTTAGACCCACATGGTTGGCAGACCTCCCCTCACCCCCAAATCTAACAGCCGCCTCATGTGGCCACTCCTGGCCCTTCCCTGTCACGCCTGTGGGCCAGGCATACCCCAGCCACTTTGGGAAACAATTTGTAACCAACTGCATGGCTATAAAGAAGCTGGAGGCCTGGTGCGGTGGCTCACGCCTGTAATCCCAGCACTTTGGGAGGCCAAGGCAAGTGGATCACCTGAGGTCAGGAGTTCGAGAACAGCCTGGCCAACATGGCGAAACCCCATCTCTACTAAAAATATAGAAATTAACTGGGCATGGTGTCATGTGCCTATAATCCCAGCTACTTGGGAGGCTAAGGCAGGAAAATCACTTGAACCCAGGAGGCAAAGGTTGCAGTGAGCCGAGATGATGCCATTGCACTTCAGCCTGGGTGACAGAGCAAGACTCCATCTCAAAAAATAAAAAATGAGGCTGGGCTTGGTGGCTCACACCTGTAATCCCAGCACTTTGGGAGGCCGAGGCAGGTGGATCACCTGAGGTCGAGAGTTCAAGAACAGCCTGACCAACGTGGAGAAACCCCGTCTCTACTAAAAATACAAAATTAGCGCATGCCTGCAATCTCAGCTACTTGGGAGGCTGAGGCAGGAGAATGGCTTGAACCCGGCAGGCGGAGGTTGCGGTGAGCCAAGATTGCACCACTGCACTCCAGCCTGGGCAACAAGAGTGAAACTCCATCTTGAAAAACAAAACAAAAAAAAAATGAAAAGCTGGAAACGCCCATCCCTTGGACTAGTCATTCTCCCATTTCTGAGATACATCCTGGAAATCATGTCAATAGAGCATCAGCTGTAATGAAAAGTCAGTAGGCCGGGTGCGGTGGCTCATGCCTGTAATCCCAGCACTTTGGGAGGCTGAGCGGGGTGGATCACGAGGTCAGGAGATCGAGACCATCCTGGCTAACACAGTGAAACCCCGTCTCTACTAAAAAATACAAAAAAAAAAAAAAATTAGCCGGGTGTGGTGGCGGGCGTCTGTAGTCCCAGCTAGTCAGGAGGCTGAAGCAGGAGAATTGCCTGAACCCGGGAGGCGGAGCTTGCAGTGAGCTGAGATTGTGCCACTGCACTCCAGCCTGGGCGACAGAGCAAGACTCCGTCTCAGAAAAAAAAAGGAAGAAAAAAAAGAAAAGTCAGTGACACAGTCAGCGTCCAACCTCTGTGGGTTAAATCATCAGCACATCTCCCCAGTGGAGTATGCCGCCTTCAGAAGGCACCCATGTGAGCTGGCAGCCCAGTGTGAGGGAACTGAAGCAAGGCCAGTCAGTGAACATGCTTCCACTGTTCTAATAGGAAAGGCTTATGTCATCAGCTTGAGGCAGAAATTTTTTTTAAAACTGGGATATGTATAGGATCACAGCTCTATTAAGATAAATCTTTGCTGAAACTGGCAGGAAACACCTTAACAGTGGTTATCCCTGGGTTCAGGGTGGGATTAGTTCCACCAGAGGGGAACCTTGGTGGTGCACCCAGCCGTGTTCTAGATGGGGTGTTGGGGGGCTCCACTTTCTCCCCCTCATGGGGGTCTACCATTGAGTGCCATTGTAACCCCCTCCCCGAGATGGGCAGACCCTCCAGGGGACTGTGATGCATCCTTGGACCATCCTGGAGGACACTCAGGGTGAAGCACCAGCTGAGACCAGGAAGGGGCCCCCACACCCCGATGCCTGCTCGCCCTAGCAAGTGAGCCTCCCCAGCTTGGCCTCTCAAATCCATGTCTGAACTCACCCGGCTGTCAAGTGTCTTTTCCAAATCTGACCAACTGTTCCCTTCTCTCCTGAACAGTTGTTGCTTTTACCTCTTAATCTTTGCATATGTTCCTCACTGGGTCACACGTGTACCATGACCCAGGATTACAGAGAAGATGCTGTCATCTCCTGTCCTTCTGTCCCACCCTCTTGAGGTACCGGATGTTAGCAGGGCCGTAGACACACAGGCTCACCTAGAAACTGTCTAAGGGGTCTCTTGCTGCTCGCTCACTATTTATCTTATTTTTTTGAGATGGAGTCTCACTCTGGTCCAGGCTGGAGTGCAGTGGCCCAGTCTTGGCTCACTGCAACCTCCGCCTCCCAGGTTCGCGTGATTGTCCTGCCTCAGCCTCCCGAGCAGTTGGGACTACAGGCGTGTACCACCACGCCCAGCTAATTTTTTTATTTTTAGTACAGACGGGATTTCACCATGTCGGCCAGGCTGGTCTCGAACTCCTGACCTCAGGTGATCTGCCCGCCTCGGCCTCCCAAAGAGCTGGGATTACAGGCGTGAGCCACCGCGCCCGGCCTCTGTAACACAAAGGGACTTCACAGCATCCTTGACCCTTTAATTCACATTAGTTGCACGCCTTGGTGCTATGACCATCCCTCCAGATTCACAAGTGCAGGTCCAGCCCCATCTTGTTCAGCACTGTAACATGCTTTCAGGGCTGTACATGCATTCAGTTCTCTCCCGTGTTCTGCCATGTGGAGCTGGGCCAAGACTCTCCCTTTTGGCATAGACCCCAAAGACAGTCCTGTGGACTGGGGATGTGTACGGTCCGAGAGGCGCCAGTAGGTGCGGAACATGGCTCTGAACCCAGCGCCACCTGCTGTGCTCCTCAGGCTGGGTAGGGACAGAGAAGACCTGTGCTCCCAGCCTCACTGGAAGCCACACTTCCCTGAGGCTGCCTGCCCCCACGTGGGGTAGAAATCAGCTCCTTGGTCCGTTCTGATGTTCATTGTCTCAAAGATGCATTTGAGAAGCCCTTGGGATCAAGACAAGTCCCTCTGCCCTGTCTCGTGTCTGGTGTCTCCCCACAATCTGAGATTTTTTGGTGTGAATGTCTCACTTTTCCCAGGCCCTGGGGAAGGGTCTGAGGGTCCCTGCCCTTTCCCTTTGTAGCAGGGTGAACAATGACAGTGTGATGGGTGCCTGATAAAGACAGGGTGAGGATTGGAGTGACTCAGTTCAAAGGAAGGGCATCGGGCCACCAGAACCAGCAGTCACTGCCAGGAGGCCTGGCAGGGCAGGAGGTCATGGTGGAGACCGTGACTATGACATGACCATATAGTGACCCTGGCCAACGTGGGCACACAAGGCCAGAACTGCTCCTGCCCAGAATCAGGGACAGGGCCTCGGGCCCAGCTGACACTGCACCCCCCAACTCTCCTTTGCAGCTTTCTGTATGAGCCCAATAGCCAAGGGTACAAGTACTACCGACAGAAGCTGGAGGAGTTCCGGAAAGCCAAGGCCAGCTCCACAGGCAGCTTCACAGCACCTGATCCCGGCCTGAAGCGCAAGTCCCCTCCTGAGGCCCTGTCAGGGTCCTTACCCCCAGCCACCACCTGCCCCGCCTCGTCCACGCCTGCGCCCACTATCATCCCTGCTCCAGCTGCCCCCGGGAAGCCAGCCTCCGCAGCCACCGTGAAGAGGAAGCGGAAGAGCCGGTGGGGGCCTGAAGAGGATAAGGTAGAGCTCCCACCTGCTGAACTGGTGCAGAGGGACGTGGATGCCTCTCCCTCGCCTCTGTCAGGTGGGCAGACCCTCTCCCCCTCCCTGTGTTGGAAGGGTCTGACTTCTTTCACTGAGCATAATGTCTTCAAGGTTCATCCACAGTGTAGCTTGTATCAGAATTTCATTCCTTCTGTGGCCATATCTTCCACTGTGTGTACATACCACATTTGGCTTACCCACTCATCTGTGAATGAACTCTTATATTCACAGAGGTTGTTTACACTGCTTGGCTGTTGTGAATAATACTGCTGTGACTATCTGAATCGTTTTCAGTTCTCTTGTCGGTATACCTAGGTGTGGAATTGCTGGGCCTATTGCAATTCTGCCTTTTTTTTCTTTTTTCTTTTTTCTTTTTTTTTTTGAGACAGAGTCTCGCTCTGTTGCCCAGGCTGGAGTGCAGTGGTGCGATTTCAGCTCACCATAAGCTCTGCCTCCTGGGTTCACACCATTCTCCTGCCTCAGCCTCCTGAGTAGCTGGGACTACAGGTGCCCGCCACCATGCCCGCCTAATTTTTTGTATTTTTTAATAGAGATGGGGTTTTACTGTGTTAGCCAGGATGGTCTCTATCTCCTGACCTCGTGATCTCCCGCTTCGGCCTCCCAAAGTGCTGGGACGTAGAGATGGGGTTTCACCATGTTGGCCAGGCTGGTTTCGAACTCCTGACCTCAGATGATCCACCCGCCTCAGCCTCCCAAAGTGCTGTGATTACAGGTATGAGCCACCACGTCTGGCCTGTAATTCTCCTTTTAACTTTGAGGAACCTGCAGGTGCACCATTTTACATTCCCACCAGCAGTGCACAAGGGTTCCACTTTTTCTGTATCCTCACCTTTTTTTAAAATAAAAAAAGTTTTATGGAGACGGGGTCTCACTATGTTGCTGAGGCTGGTCTTGAACTTCTGTCCTCAAGTGATCCTCCTGCCTCGGCCTCCCAAAGTGCCGGGATTATAGGCAAGAGTCATACTCTCATCTTTTTATTATAACCATCCTAAGAGGTATGAAGTGATATCTCGTCGTCTGGGTTGGCATTTCCCTAATGACCAGTGCTGTTGAGCTTATTTTCATATGCTTATTGACCATGTGTATAGCTTCTTTGGAGAAATGTCTATTTTAGTCCTTTTTTCCCCACGTTTTATGTTTTTGACATGAGGTCTCTGTCACCCATGTTCGAGTACACTGGCACAATCATAGCTCACTGAAACCTCTACCACCCTGGCTTAAGGAATCCTCCTACCTCAGCCTCCTGAGTAGCTGAGACCACAGACTTGCCCCACCATGCCCAGTTTTTGTTTGTTTTGAGACAGAGTTTCGCTCTGTTGCCCAGGCTGCAGTGCAAGTGGCACGATCTCAGCTCACTGCAACCTCTGCCGTCGGGTTCTTTTTTTTTTTTTTTTTTTTTTTTGAGAAGGAGTCTCACTGTGTTGCCCAGGCTGGAGTACAGTGTGGCACAGTCTCAGCTCACTGCAACCTCTGCCTCCGAGGTTCAAGTGATTCTCCTGCCTCAGCCTCCCAAGTAGCTGGGACTACAGGCGTGTGCCACCACGCCTGGCAAAATTTTTGTATTTTTAGTAGAGAGGGGGTTTCACCATGTTAGCCAGGATGATCTCGATCTCCTGACCTCATGATCCGCCTGCCTTAGCCTCCCAAAGTGCTGGGATTATAGGCGTGAACCACCGCTCCCGGCCCACCTCCCAGGTTCAAGCGAATTCTCCTGCCTTAGCCTCCTGAGTATCTGGGACTACAGGCACACACCACCATGCTCAGCTAATTTTTTTTTTTTTTGTAGTAGAGACAGGATTTCACCATGTTGACCAGGCTGGTGTTGAACTCCTGACCTCAAGTGAGCCACCAGGCCCAGCCTTGCCCAGTTATTATATAAACAAGGTCTCAGTATGTTACCCAGGCTGATCTCGAACTCCTGGGCTCAAGCCATCTTCTTGCCTCAGCCTCTCAGAGTCCTGGGTTTACAGGCCACTGCACCCAGCCACCTTTTCCCATTTTAAAGTTGGTTTGTTTGTGTTGTTGAGTTGTACGAGTTCTCTTTTATAGATTCTGGATATTAACCCCCTCGTCAGCTATGTGATTTGCAAATACTTTCTCTCATTCTATGGGTTGTCTTTTCACTTTAGTAATAGCGTCTTTTGATGCATACAACTTTTAAATTTTCTTTCTTTTTTTAATGTGGCCAGAAAGTATCAGTTTTTTTTTTTTGAACTGAAGGCAGACCCTCCAGGGGATGGTAGTGCCAGGGAGGGGGCAGGTAGTTGTGCGGTCTCCCAGTGCCTGCTGTAATCCAGCCCTCCCTAGAAATGGAATTTTAATGAAGTCAAATGTATCTATTTTTTCTTCTGTGGTTTATGCTTTTGGTGTCATTTTTAAGGAACAATTGCCAAATCCGGGCATGAAAATTTACCCCTGTGTTTCCTACCGAGAGTTTTGTACCTTTAGTTCTTAAATTTAGGTCTTTAGCCTATTTTGGGTTTTTTTTTTTTTTTTTGAGTCTCACTCTGTCACCCAGGCTGGAGTGCAGTGGCTACTCACTGCAGCCTCGACCTCCCCAAGCTCAAGTGGTCTTCCCACCTCAGCCTCCCAAGTAGGTGGGACTACAAGTGCATGCCAGCACACCTGGCTAACTTTTGTACTTTTTGTAGAGATGGAGTTTCACCATGTTGCTCAGGCTGGTCTTGAATTCGTGAGTTCAAGCAATCCTCCTGCCTTGGCCTCCCAAAGTGTTGGAATTATAGGCATGAGCCATTGCACCCAGGGTTTTTGGTCCATTTTGAGTTAATTTTTCCAACTTTATTCTTTTTTTTTTTCTTTTGAGACAGGGTCTCACTCTGTCACGCAGGCTGGAGTGCCGTGGCATGATGACAGCTTACTGCAGCCTTGACCTCCCGGGCTCAATTGATTCTCCTGCCCCAGTCTCCCAAGTAGCTGGGACTACAGACATGCTCTTCCATGCCTGGCTAATCTTTGCATTTTTTGTGTCGATATGAGGTCCCACTATGTTGCCCAGGCTGGTCTCAAACTGCTGGCCTCAAACAATCTTGCCACCTTGGCCTCCCAAAGTGCTGGGATTACAGGCATGAGCTACTGCACCCGGTCTGTTTGTGGATTCTTCAGGGTTTTCCACATTTAAGTTTGTGTTATCTGCAAACAGAAATAGTTTTACAGGTTCTTTTCCAACTTGGATACTTCTTATTTCTTTTTCTGCCTAATTCCTCTGGCTAGGACTTCTAGTACCGTATTGAATGGAAATGGTGGAAGTGTGCATCCTTGTCTTGTTGCTGATCTTAGGAGGAAAGCTTTCAGCCTTTTACCAGTCTGTGAAATGTATGATGTGTGGGTGTATGATGTTAGCTATGTGTTTTTTATATATGGGCTTTATTGTGTTGAGGAACTTCACTTCTTCTTGTTCTTTTTTTTTTTGAGACAGAGTCTTTCTCTGATGTGCAGGCTGGAGTGGTGTGATCTCAGCTCACTGCAACCTCTGCCTCCCGGGTTCAAGCAATTCTCCTGCCTCAGCCTCCCTAGTACCTGGGACTACAGGTGCCCACCACCACGACTGGCCAATTTTTGTGTTTTTGGTAGAGACAGGGTTTCACCATGTTGGCCAGGCTGGTCTCGAACTCCTGACCTCGGGTGATCCGCCTGCCTTGGCCTCCCAAAGTGCTGGGATTACAGGCGTGAGCCACCAGGCCTGTCTGGAAGTTCACTTCTGTTCCTAGTTTATTGAGCGTTTTTATCATGAAAATGTTTTAGTTTTTGTCAGATGCTTTTTCTGCATCAGTTAAAACAGGCCAGGCACGGTGACTCACGCCTGTAATCCCAGCACTTTGGGAGACTGAGGTGGGCAGATTACTTGAGGCCGGGAATTCAAGACCAGCCTGGCCAACATGGTGAAACCCCGTCTCTACCAAAAAAAATTCAAAAATTAGCTGGGTGTGGTGGCACACGCCTGTAATCCCAGCTACTTGGGAGGCTGAAGCAGGAGAATCTCTTGAACCTGGGAGGCAGAGGTTGCAGTGAGCCGAGATTGAGCAACTGCACTCCAGCCTGGGCAACAGAGTGAGACTGAGTCTCAAAAAAAAAAAGTAAATAAATACATAAAATCATCGTGTGGTTACTTTCCTTCATTCTATTAATTTGGTGTATTACATGGATTGATTTTCAAATGTTGAGCCATCCTTGCATTGCGGGGATAAATCCCACTTGGTCATGGTGTATAATCCTTTCATAAGCTGCTGAATTTGGTTTCCTAGTATTTTATTGAGGATTTCTCCATCTGTATTCATAGGAATATTCAATTGTATTTTTCTTTCTTTCTTTTTCTTTTTTTTTGAAATGGAGTTTTGCTCTTTGTTGCCCAGGCTGGAGTGCAGTAGCGCGATCTCAGCTTACTGCAATCTCCACCTCCTGGGTTCAAGCAATTCTTCCACCACCACACCCGGCTAATTTTTGTATTTTTAGTAGAGACAGGGTTTCACCATGTTGGCCAGGCTGGTCTTGAACTCCTGGCCTCAAGTGATCTGCCCATGTTGGCCTCCTAAAGTTCTGGGATTACAGGCGTGAGCCACCACACCTGGCCTATTTTTCTTTCTTTGTAGTATCTTTGTCTGCCTTGGGTATCAGGCTAATCCTAGCCCCATAGAGTAAGTTTAGAAATGTTCTCTCTTTTGTGTTTTTGGAAGAGTTTGAGGAGAATTGGTATTCTTTCTTTTTTTTTTTTTTTTTTGAGACGGAGTCTCACTCTGTCACCCTGGCTGGAGTGCAGTCGTGCAATCTCGGCTCCCTGCAACCTCCACCTCCCAGGTTCAAGCAATTCTCCTACGTCAGCCTCCCGAGTAGCTGGGATTACAGGCACCTGCCACCATACCTGGCTAATTTTTGTATTATTAGTAGAGATGGGGTTTTGCCATGTTGGCCAGGCTGGTCTTGAATGCTTGACCTCAAGTGATCTGCCCACCTCAGCCTCCCAAAGCACTGGGATTACAGGCATGAATCACTGCACGCGGCTTATTTCTTCTTTTAAATGTTTGCTTTACCAGTGAAGCTATCTAATTCTTGGCCCTTTTGTGTGTGTGTGTGTGTGTGTGTGTGTGTGTGTGTGTGTGTGTGACAGAGTCTCACTCTGTCACCCAGGCTGGAGTGCAGTGGCGTGATCTCGGCTCACTGCAAGCTCCGCCTCCCAGGTTCACGCCATTCTTCTGCCTCAGCCTCCTGAGTAGCTAGGACTACAGGCGCCGCCACCAAGCCTGGCTAATTTTTTGTATTTTTTTTTTAGTAGAGACGGGGTTTCACTGTGTTAGCCAGGATGGTCTTGAACTCCTGACCTCGTGATCCACCCGCTTCGGCCTCCCAAATTGCTGGGATTACAGGTGTGAGCCACCGTGCCCAGCCTCTTGGCCTTTTTTTGTTGGAAGGTTTTTTCGAATCCTGATTTACTTGTCTATTCAGATTTTCTATTTCTTCTTGTGTTTTGATGGTTTGTGTTTCTAGGAATTTGTTCACTTCATCTATCTAATTTGTTGGGGCACAGTTTATTGTATTTTCTTATGGTCCTTTTAACTTATGTCTTATTTTCAGTCGTTAGTTACAGCCCCTCCTTCATTTCTGATTTTAGTAATTGAGTCTTCTCTCATTTTTTTCTTAGTTTAACTAAAAGGTTTGTCACTTTTGTTGATCTTTTCAAAGAACCAACTTGTGGTTTCATAGATTTTTCTCCATTGTATTTATAGTCCTCATTTTCTTATCTCCACTCTAAACTTTACTATTTTCTTCTGTTAGCTTTGGATTTAGTTTGATCTTCTTTTTCTAGCTCACTAAGGTGTACGCTTAGGTTATTGGTTTTAGATCTTCTTTCTTTCTTATTTTTTTGTTTGTTTGTTTTTGAGATGGAGTCTCACTCTGTCACCCAGGCTGGAGTGCAGTGGCATGATCTTGTCTCACTGCAACCTCTACCTCCCGGGTTCAAGCAATTCTCCTGCCCCAGCCTCCCGAGTAGCTGGGATTACAGGTGGGCGCCCCCACGCCCAGCTAATTTTTGTATTTTTAGTAGAGACGGGGTTTCACCATGTTGGCCAGGCTGGTCTCGAGCTCCTGACCTTGTGATCCGCCCACCTCAGCCTCCCAAAGTGCTGGGATTACTGGCGTGAGCCACCACACCCAGCCTCTTTCTTTTAAAAATAAATAAATAAATAAATGATTGTTATATATATTAACTGATAGATTAGCTTTGTCAGTAATCTATAATAAACTTCTCTTCAAACCCTACTTTCAGAAATACAGTTTTCCTTAAAAATAAAAATAACAAAACTGTGTATATATAGCAAAGAGTTTTTTTTGTTTTTTGTTTTTTCCCTTTGAGACAGAGTCTTGCTCTTTTATCCGGGCTGGAGTGCAGTGGCACAATCTTGGCTTACTGCAACCTCTGCCTACCAGGTTCAAGTGATTCTCCTGCCTCAGCCTCCCGAGTAGCTGGGATTATAGGTGCCCACCACCATGCCCGGCTAATTTTTATATTTTTAGTAGAGACGGGGTTTTGCCACGTTGGCCAGGCTGGTCTCGCACTCCTGGCCTCAGATGATCCACTTGCTTCCGCCTCCCAAGTGCTGGGATTACAGGTGTGAGCCACCGTGCCTGACTTAGCAAGAATGTTTGTACATTGATTATCTAAACATTAAAAATAATAACACAAGCACACTCAGTTCTCCTTGTATAGATTTATGTACCATAACCAGTTTCTGCTCCTTCCCTCTCTCCTTGCCCGCAAGAACTTTCAGCCTTCCTCCATCACTTGGGAGCCACAGGAAACTGAAGGGTAATTTCCTAGGGGTCTCCAACTAGTCTCAGTGTGCCACCATCTCTTCCATTCTTCTTGTGTGATGGCGGGTCACATCTGCCAGTCTACCACCTTCTTAAAATTCTAGAAGAGAAGCAGAGCAGAAGTTCATGTTGCTCTTAGATCTCCAGACATAAATTTCCTATCACCCACACCCACCGAGATTAGGGGTTGGGGGCCGAGTACATGGCCCTTATATTCTTCCTAACTCCCTCTTAGTTCCTTGTATTCTTGACTTGAGGGATTTTTTCAGATGAAGAGTCACATAGGGCGACGTATGGGGGAAGGGGCGTGGAGCTTCCATGCCCTCCCTGGGCACGCCACCCTCCAGGAACCTCCATGAGTTCTGCTGTCCGGAACCTCTTTCTTCATTCATTCTTTTTTGTTTTTGTTATTGTTTTTTGTTTTTTGTTTTTTTTGAGGCAGAGTCTCCCTCTGTCGCCCAGGCTGGAGTGCTGTGGCACTATCTCGGCTCATTGCAACCTCTACCTCCCAGGTTCAAGCGATCCTCCTGCCTCAGTCTCCCGAGTAGCTGGGACTACAGGCGCCTGCAACCACACCCTGCTAATTTTTTTGGTTTTAGTAGAGACGAGGTTTCACCAAGTTGGCCAGACTGATCTTGAACTCCTGACCTCAGATGATCCACCTGCCTCAGCCTCCCAAAGTGCTAGGATTACAGGCGTGAGCCACCATGCCCAGCCCACGCCCAGCTAATTTTTGTATTTTTAGTAGAAATGGGATTTCACCATGCAGGCTAGGCTGGTCTCAAACTCCTGACCTCAAGTAATCTCCCCGCCTCGGCCTCCCAAAGTGCTGGGATTACAGGTGTGAGCCACCATGCCCGGCCCTGTATGACACCATTTTGGTCAGTGATGGACTGCATATATGACAGTGGTCATTATTAAAATTGTTATAAGATTATAGTACAGTATTTTTACTGTACCTTTTTTATGTTTAGATACATAAATACTTACTGTGTTACTTTACAGGTTTGTAGCCTGGGAGCAACGGGGTATACAGCTGTCCCTTGAACAACATGGGGGTTGGGACACCAAGCCCTGTGCAGTTGAAAATCTGAATATAGGCCGGGTTTGGTGGCTCACACCTGTAATCCCAGCACTTTGGAAGGCTGAGGTGGACAGATCACAAGGTCAGGAGTCCGAGACCAGCCTGACCAACATGGTGAAACTCTGTCTCTACTAAAAATACAAAAATTAGCCGGGCATGGTGGCACATGCCTGTAATCCCAGCTACTCAGGAGGCTGAGGCAGGAGAATCGCTTGAACTCGGGAGGTGGAGGTTGCAGTGAGCTGAGATCGCGCCACTGCACTCCAGCCCAGGTAACAGAGCAAGACTCCGTCTCACAAAAAAAGAAAAAAAAAGAGAAAATCTGAATATAAACTTTTTTTTTGAGGCAGGGTCTCACTCTGTTTCCCAGGCTGGAGTGCAGTGGTATAATCACAGCTCACTGCAGCCTCAACCTCTTGAGCTCAAGCTATCCTTCCACCTTAGGCTCCCAAGTAGCTTGGGACTATAGCCCTGTACCAGCACGCCTGGCTAATTCTTTAATTTTTTGTAGAGACAGGGTTTCACCACATTGCCCAGGCTGGTTTCAAAACTGAGCTCAAGTGGTCTGCCCACCTCAGCCTCTACATGTAACTTTTGACTCCCCAAAAACTTAACTACTAATAGCCTACTGTTGACCGGAAGCCTTATTGGTAACATAAACAGTTGATTAACATGCTTTTTATATGTTATATGTATTATGTACTATATTCTTATAATAAAATAAGCTAGAAGAAAGAAAATATTACTAAGAAAATCATAGGAAAAATTAGCCAGGCTGTGTGGTGTGCATCTATAGCTCTAGCTACTCAAGAGGCTGAGAGGCAGGAGGAACACGAGTCCAGGAATTTGAGGCTGCAGTGAGCTATGATCGTGGCACTGCACTCCAGCCTAGATGACAGAGGGTCCAAACAGAGCAACCAGACAGACCCTGCCTCTTTATTTTTGAGACAGTTTCACTCTATTGCCCAGGCTGTAGTGCAATGGCATGATCTCGGCTCACTGTAACCTCTGCCTCCCGAGACCCTGCCTCTTTTAAAAAAAAAGAAGGGAGGAAGAGAAAATATATTGACTATTTATGAAGCGGACATGGATCATCACAAAGGTCATCTTCATCAGTGTCGTGTTGAACAGCTAAGGAGGAAGAAGAGTAGGGGTTGGTCTTGCTGCCGAAGAGGTGGAAGGAGAGACAGGCACTCTGTAACTTTATGGGAATATCTCACAATTTCTGCCTGACTTCTTTTTCATTTCCCTAAAAATGTTTATATACAGTATTATTCCTTCTTCTACCATTTACACTTAGTTCCAGTGCCCATGTCTCGGGTCCATGTCATAAAAGAAGTCAGAAACAGTCTCGAATAATGAGAATCCTCCTACCAGATTGTCATTTTCTTTTCTGGTGCTGCTGCCGCTTCTCCGGCTTCTTCCTCATCATCTGGCACTCATTTGGAAGCACTCCTTTCCATCCAGCTGTCTTCTGTTAATTTCTCCAGTGTGGTATCTGTTAGCTCTTCTATTTTTAATTAATTAATTATTTTTCGATTTGGAGTGTTTGTGTGTTGCCCAGGCTAGAGTCCAGCGGCACAATCTCAGCTCACTGCAGCCTCTGCCCCTCTGGTTCAAACGATTCTCATGCCTCAGCCTCCCGAGTAGCTGGGATTACAGGCATGCACCACCATGCCCGGCTAATTTTTTGTATTTTTTGTAGAGATAGGGTTTCACCATGTTGCCCACGCTGATCTCAAACTCCTGACTTCAAGTGATCCGCCCACCTCAGCTTCCCAATATGCTGGGATTACAGGTGTGAGCCACCTCGCCTCACCTATGTTTTGAGACACGGTATCACTCTGTCACCCAGGCTGGAGTGAATTGGCACGATCTCGGCTCACTGCAGCCTCTGCGCTCTGGGGTCAAGGGATCCTCCCGTCTCAGTCTTCCGAGCAGCTTGGATTACAAGTGTGTGCCCATGCCTAGCTAATTTTTGTATTTGGTAGAGACAGGGTTTCACCATGTTGCTCAGGCTGGTCTCTTACTCCTGACCTCAAATGATCCATCTGCCTCAGCCTTCCAAAGTACTGGGATTACAGGCGTGAGCCACTTTGCCCGGCCTATTTTGTTGTTGTTGTTGTTGTTGTTGTTGTTTTGCTTTTTTTTTTGGAGACAGAGTCTCGCACTGTCACCCAGGCATGTGCCACCACGGCCAGCTAGTTTTGTATTTTTAGTAGACATGTGGTTTCGCCATGTTAGCCAGGCTGCTCTCGAACTCTTGACCTCAGGTGATCCACCTGCCTCGGGCTTCCGAAGTGCTGGGATTGTAGGCATGACCCGCTGCGCCTGGCCAGACCTATTTTTTTAAATTTTTATTTAATTTTTATTTTTTTATAGAGACAAGAGATTTGTTATGTTGCCCGGGCTGGACTCAAACTCCTGGTCTCAAGTGATCTCCCCGCCTCAGCCTCCCAAGCAGTTGGGACCACAGACATGAGCCACCCATGTCCAGCTTTTTAGTTCTTAAATTTCTCCAAGATCTATCTTTTGAAATCCCTTACCCTCTACCCGTTTTTGCTGTCTCTACAATCTCTTTCACGATTTCCTTCATGGACTCTGTTATAAATCCCATGAAGTCATGCACATCTGAAGACAGTTTTCTCTAGCAGGAATTTATTGTTTCAGGCTTGATGGCCTTTCCTGTAGTGTAACCCTTCCAGACTTTCATAATGTTCGCTCTGCTGAGGTTCTCTTCCGTAGCTTTGATAATCCTCTCCATAGAGTACGTGTGTTATGAGCCTTGAGGGTTTTTACGACCCCCCAATCTAGAGGCTGAAGTAGAGACCTTGTTTGGATGCAGTAGACCACTTTGATGCCTTCAGTGTTAAACTCATGAAGTTCTGGGTGGCCAGGGGCATTGTCCAATATCAAAAGAACTTTAACAAGCAGTCACTAGCAAGGTACTTCCTGATTTCAGGAGCAAACCAATCTAGAAAAAGAATTTTTGTTGTCCAGGCATTTTTACCTCCTGCCTTGGCCTCTCAAAGTGTTAGGATTACAGGCGTGAGCCACCATGGCTGTCCTGCCCTGGCCTTCTTGTTGTATAACCAGAAGACGGGCAGCTGGTGTTTATCTTTTCCCTTTAAGACTCAGGGGTTAGCAGCTTCATAGATAAGGGCAGCCCCGATCATAAACCCAACTGCATTTGCACAAAACAGTAGCGTTATCCTGCCTTAAGTTCTGGTGCTTGGCCGGGTACGGTAGCTCATGCCTGTAATCCCAGTGCTTTGGGAGGCCGAGGTGGGCGGATCGCTTGAGGCCTGAATTGAGACCAGCCTGGGCAACATGAGAAAACCCTGTCTCTACAAAAAACCACAAAAATTAGCCGGGTGTGGTGGTGTTCACTTGTAGTCCCAGCTACTTGGAAGGCTGAGGTGAGAGGTTCACTTGAGCCTGGGAGATTGAGGCTGCAGTGAGCCATGTTCACGCCATTGCACTCCAGCCTGGACAAAAAAGTGAGAACCTGTGTCCAAGCAAACAGAAATAAATAAATGAATTCTGGTGTTTGCTCCTCTTCCTTACTAATGTCTTTTTTGGCTCCCCCACCCCAATAGGGCACTTATGTCTGCATTAAAAAACCTATTTGAGGCCGGGTACAGTGGCTCATGCCTGTGATCCTAGCACTTTGGGAGGCCAGTGTGGGTGGATCACTTGAGGTCAGGAGTTTGAAACCAGCCTGGCCAACATGGTGAAACCCCATCTCTACTAAAAATACAAAAAATTAGCTGTGTGTAGTGGCAGGCTCCTGTAATCCCAGATACTTGGGAGGCTGAGGCAGGAGAATCGCTTGAACCCAGGAGGCGGAGGTTGCAGTGAGCCACGATTGCTCCACTGCACTCCATCCTGGGTGACAGAGCAAGACTCCATTTCAAAATAAACCTGTTTGAGGCTGGGCACGGTAGCTCACGCCTGTAATCCCAGCACTTTGGGAGGCCGAGGCGGGCGGATCACGAGGTCAGGAGATCGAGACCATCCTGGCTAACACGGTGAAACCCCGTCTCTACTAAAAATACAAAAAATTAGCCAGGCACGGTGGCGGGCGCCTGTAGTCCCAGCTACTCGGGAGGCTGAGGCAGGAGAATGGCATGAACCCGGGAGGCAGCAGTGAGCCGAGATCACACCACTGCAGTCCGGCCTGGGCGAAAGAGCGAGACTCCATCTAAAAAAAAAAAAAAAAACAAACCTGTTTGAGCACATGCATATCTTTCCTTCTCAATGATTTTCTTAATGGCATCTGGGAACTCATCTGCCACCTCTAGGTGGGCAGAAGCTGTTGTTCCTGTTATCCTGACATCTTCTTAAAGCCAAACCTCTTTCTAAACCTGTCAAACCATCCTTTGCTGCCATTATATTCTCCAGCTTTCGCTCCTTCGCCTTGCTTTTGTTCTAAATTGTCATATAGTGACTTTGCTTTTTTCTTAAATCATATTAAACCTTGTAGGTGTGTCATTCTGATAGCAGTCCTATACACATAAAAACTGCATTTTCAAAGTGAGATAAAAAGTTACTTCACAGAAAGTGCAAGGTTTTCACACCTGTTGACATAGCTGCAATAACAGCTTCGTGAATTTCTCTTCTTCTTTTTTTTTTTTTAACAGTGGTCCTTATGCTGGATTCATTTATCTTGAAATAGTGGGCAACTGCAGTTGCAGACCTCAATCTATGGCACATATCAAACAATTCAGCTTTTTCTTGTAATGTCTTGACTTTTCTCTGCTTCTTGGGAGCACTTCCGCCATCACTAGTGGCACTTTTTTTTGAGATGGAGTCTTGCTCTGTTGCCCAGGTTGGAGTGCAATGGCACACTCTAGGCTGACTGCAACCTCCATTTCTGGGGTTCAAGCGATTCTCCTGCCTCAGCCTCCCGAGTAGCTGGGACTACAGTCACTTGACTAGTGGCAATTTTTATGGGACCCATGATGTTATTCAAGGTTTACTATATTGCACTAAACCTGAAAAATACTTGAGAACCCTGAGAGATGTCTCTTTACCGCAATATGCAATTTGCTAAAGGGACAAACAGCTTGTGCAGAGATGATCAGTGTCATGTGGTGTTTTAAGCAGATATTCTCAACACTTGAGCTCATTACAATAGCAACAGGAGGCTACAAAATGATTACAGTAGTACCGTGTGCACTACAGCTAATGTTATGCAGTTAAGATTTAATCTGCTAGGTGCAGTGGCTCACGCCTGTAATCCCAGCACTTTGGGAGGCCAAGGCGGGCAGATCACAAGGTTGGAGTTCGAGACCAGCCTGGCCAATATGGTGAAACCCTGTCTCTACTAAAAATACAAAATTGGCCGGACGTGGTGGCTCACGCCTGTAATCCCAACACTTTGGGAGGCCGAGGCGGGCGGATCAATGAAGTCAGGAGTTTGAGACCAGCCTGGCCAGTATGCTGAAACCTGTCTCTACTAAAAATACAAAAATTAGCTGGGTGTGGTGGCGTGCCACCTGTAGTCCCGGCTACTCGGGAGGCTGAGGCAGGAGAATCTCTTGAACCCAGGAGGCGGAGGTTGCAGTGAGCCGAAGTCGTACCACTGCATTCCAGCCTGGATGACAGAGTGAGACTCTGTCTCAAAAACAGAAAAAAAAGAAGGAAAAAAAAAAACTAGCTGGGCATGGTGGCAGGTGCCTGTAGTCCCAACTACTCGGGAGGCTGAGGCAGGAGAATTTGTTTGAACCCGGGAGGTGGAGGCGGAGGTTGCAGTGAGCCGAGATTGCACCATTACACTCCAGCGTGGGTGACAGAGCAAGACTCCATATCCAAAAAAAAAGATTTCATCTACCATCTTTACATTTGTTTACATTTCTCTTGACTGCAAAACACATTATGTACAGTCTGTGTGCATAAGTTTTGATAAAGTTTAACTTTCTGCAATGTGTATATGTTTTATGGTAGTAAGTGATAAAACAGACTAGCATCTACATATATCTTATACATTCATTGACACTCCTAACTTTTTTTTTTTTTTGAGATGGAGTCTCACTCTGTCGCCCAGGCTGGAGTGTAGTAGCACGATCTTGGCTCACTGCAATCTCCACCTCCCGGGTTCACACCATTCTCCTACTTCAGCCTCCCAAGTAGCTGGGACGACAGGCGCCTGCCACCACGCCTGGCTAATTTTTTGTATTTTTAGTAGAGACGGGGTTTCACCGTGTTAGCCAGGATGGTCTCGATCTTCTGACCTTGTGATCCGCCCACCTTGGCCTCCCAAAGTTCTGGGATTACAGGCGTGAGCCGCCGTGCCTGGCCACACCTAACTTTTTCTTGATTTTTTTTTCAGTATTTCTAGGCTACGTGGTTCATCTGACTTTTTTCGAATTGTTGCAAATCTCCAAAAATTTTTTCAATATATTCATTGAAAGAAATCAGCATATTAAGTGGACCTGTATAGTTCATACCCATGTAGTTCAAGGTCAACTGTAATATCTAGTGTAGGTGTGCAGTAGGCGGTAGCATCTAGGTTTGTGGAGGTACAGTCTGTGATGCTCACACATTGGTAACGGCGCCTAATGATGCATTTCCAGAATGGTCCCCTCCATGAAGTGATTCCTGACTGTATTTGTGTCTTTGGGTCTGAATTGAGTCTCTTTTTTTTTTTTTTTAACATAAATAGAGATGGGGTCTTACTATGTTGCCTAGGCTAGTCTCAAACTCCTGGGCTCAAGCTATCCTCCCACCTCAGTCTCCCAAAGTGCTGGGATTACAGGCATGAGCCACCACTCCCGGCCAGTACTTGGATTCTTTCTTGTCACAGAAAGTTCAGGAGGCTGGGTGTGGTGGCTCACGCCTGTAATCCCAGCACTTTGGGAGGCCAAGGTGGGCAGATCGCCTGAGGTCAGGAGTTCAAGACCAGCCTGACTAATATGGTGAAACTCCGTCTCTACTAAAAATACAAAAATTAGCTGGATGTGGTGCCACGTGCCTGTAGTCCCAGCTACTTGGGAGGCTGAGGCAGGAGAATTGCTTGATCCTGGGAGGCGGAGGTTGCAGTGAGCCAAGATCGCACCACTGCACTCCAGCCTGAGCGACAGAGCAAGACTCCATCTCGGGAAAAATGAAAGAAAGTTCAAGAGACAGACAACGATAAGCACAATAATTACCACAGTTTTACACAATCACCTTTTCACCTCTCCCTTCTTAGCAGCAATTTCGGGGAGGGCCAGCCTATGGCCTGGTCTCTCATTTTCTTACCAAACCTACAAGGGTTGGGGGGTGGTCTCTTGTCATTGCATTCTGCAGATGATAATCAGTGACTGACACCCACTATCTCATGTCATATGGTGCCCCACTATGCAGCTATGCAGCCTGCACTGTGGAGCAGAAACATCACCCCCTCACTCCACCTTCACTGGCGCTCAACACACAGGTGCATGGAGGAGTCCGACGTGCCCTGTTGTGTGGCGCCATCACCTGTGTTTGCAAGATGAGGACAGGACCCCAAAAGGGAAGGCGACAGCCTTCCCAGGTCGGGTGGCCAGCCTCTTGGACCTGCTCGTCCAATTCAGGGATGATTGCTTTCTCGGTGCCTCCCTGGCCCCAAGGGCCTCAGAGATTCTAGGTCAAGGAGAAAAGCTACTGAATGAAGATTCTTATGCTTACCAGGGCTGTAGCCAGCAACTGCAGCCAGGGTGGAGGGTACCTAGGATTGGTTTGTCACTCAAGTGCCGAACCCTAGTGCTTAGATCCGGGTGCTTCAATGCGCACACACCCCAGCTCTGAGACACCCAGCAGGTGAAGAAGTCGCCCTGTGGCTTAGTTGGACAGAACAGGCTCCAAAGTCTGAGGCCCAGGTTCAAGTCCCACTGATCCATGTCCTCAGGGAGCATGGCAGCCCTCACCCGCCCGCTCATGTGGTGGAGTGGGCCTGGGGGAAAGGGACTGTGGGCATGCTCTAAGGCAATCAACCAGATGCTCAGACTTCGGCTCCTGCGTCTCCCCAACAGGGCTCCCCCACATCCCTCAGTGCCCTGTAAACCAAGGAAGGACTAAGAGTGCAAATGTGGGCCATTCTTAGCGGCAAAGCCCGAGTGTTGATGAGCTGGAAGGACCCAAATCTTTTCCCTTCCCAGAGGGCCCGCTGCACCCCTTTGCTCACCTTCTCCCCCGGGAAGCACCGCACCGCCCGAGGGGTGGTGGTTTCTGCCACCCGGATGGGGCTGTTGCAGCATCTTTCTATGTGTCAGTGTTACTGGAGCCTGCCAAGTTCCACAGCTGATGCCAAATTAAATGTCAGCTGCTCTGAGGATGGTTGGCTGCCTCCCCTGAAGGAGCTAAGGGAGTCGCACAGCTGAGTCTTACGCCAGACTCTGAATCTGTGCGCGCTTACACCTGGTGTCTGTTAGCAACGGAGCTGCCTTCTGAGAGCCCGTTTGTGCGTGCGCCCATGCATGCTGCCCACATGCCGTCTCAGCTCTCTTGTCTCTGGCTCTGCAAATTCCTGCCCTGTCACTCGTTAGCTGTGTGACCCTGAGTGAGTCCCGGAACCTCTGATTCTTGGTGTCCACATCTGCAATGTGGTGGTGCGTAGAGCCTGGCTGGAGAGGTCACAAGGACGTAAGATGCGGGGGTGCACGTGGCAGCACACAGCGGGACCCCGAGGCCGTCACGTACCACGTGGCACTGACAGTAATGATATGAGGTCCCCGTGTGCCTGGAGTGTCATGAAGGTGTGAGACTCACAGCACACCCCAGCGCAGGAGCGAGATCGGGGTGCACCTGTCAGGCTCTGACTACCCTGTGTCTTTGGTTTCCAGTTCAGGACCTCAAGGGGCTCGGCTATGAGAAGGGGAAGCCTGTGGGTCTAGTGGGCGTCACAGAGCTTTCAGACGCCCAGAAGAAGCAGCTGAAGGAGCAGCAGGAGGTAAGACTGCGGGGACAAGGGGACGGGGACATGGTCGGCGCCCATAGAGTGTTGTCCTCTACCCCCGGGTGCAGCGGTCACAGGGGTTCATGTGCTTCGCCAAGCTCCTGTGTTCAGGTGGAACCCATGGCCAGCGGGGAGGCTTCCAGGCAGGCAGGTCCCCCTGCCCCAGTAGGTGGCATGCCACCCCCCACTGCACCTGAGTGGCCTCTCAGCCTGCCTGGGAGACCACTGGCCCTTGGGGCGGCCCCGGTGGTCTGTGATCCTGGCCTGAGCTTTGTGGCTGCTTCTCGCCGCGCTCCAGGGCTGGTTCCCATGGGAGAGTCTACGTTGATGTTCTTTGTCCGCAGTCCTCTGTCGTGTCTAGTGCAGGACCATCCTGGTCAGCACAGGGCACCCTGAGGGACTTGAGGCCTCCCAGTTGTAGTTGGGCAGTGTCGGTGTTGGCTCCCCTGAGGAGCTGCAGGCGCTTGCCTGTCAGTCCCTGGGGTCAGCTCGCTGTGACCCCTCCTCCAGGCCCGCAGCCCCGTCACATCACCCTTGACCCTCCCAGGGGTCAGGACCCTGAGTCACCCTCATTCAGTGGCCAAGAGGTCCTCCGTGCTCCACACTGGGATTTAGAGAACCCAGGGCAGTACTCAGTACTTGCTAGAGTCCTTGCTCCAGTCCTGCCCAGGGGTCCAGATGAGCCACGTTCCGGCGGGGGATGCCCAGCACTGGAGGCGGGGAGCAGGAGCGGGGCTCCGGCAGGCCACAGCACCGTGCCCTGGCTCACTGGCGAGTGTGCCCTGCAGATGCAGCAGATGTACGACATGATCATGCAGCACAAGCGGGCCATGCAGGACATGCAGCTGCTGTGGGAGAAGGCAGTCCAACAGCACCAGCACGGCTATGACAGTGATGAGGAGGTGGACAGCGAGCTGGGCACCTGGGAGCACCAGCTGCGGCGCATGGAGATGGATAAGACCAGGGGTATGTGGGGCAGCGGGGTGGGCCGGGCTGGGCTGGGCATGGCCCCCCTCACCTGCCCTGGAAGGTTACCTGGATGCGCCACACGTGGTCTTGAGCTGCCATCCTGGTTTAGCCCCCAGCCTGCTTCCTGTGGCTGTGAGGCCTGGAGTGAGAGGCTCAGTCTCTCTGGGGCCTAGTTTTCTCCGTGGTGAAAAGGAGCAGTCCTGACATCGTGAGGGTGGAGAGCTGCACAGGGTTCACTAAATGCTGGGCTGCCTCACCAGGCAGAGGCTCGGGCTGGGGTCATGGCCTAGCCGCCTCCTTCCCTGGGGGCCCCAGGCTCCCACTGAGCCTCATACCTGTGCCCTGGGAGCCACCAGGCCTGCTCCCCTCCTTCCTGCTTCTCCCTCTTCTCACCTTTCTGCTTCTCTGAGCAGAATGGGCCGAGCAGCTGACAAAGATGGGCCGGGGCAAGCACTTCATCGGAGACTTCCTGCCTCCAGACGAGCTGGAAAAGTTTATGGAGACCTTCAAGGCCCTGAAGGTGAGCCAGGAGGGGCCCTAGCTCCAGCCTCTGCCACATGCCAGCCCCTCCTGTAGCTGCCTCACCCTGCAGGTGCCCAAAGTAGCCTGGCTACCCTCTCGATCACAGCAGGAGCCAGGCCTTTTCGCTGCAGGAGGCATCTGTTAATGACAGGCGCCGTCTGTGTAGGGAATTAGCAAACAGCAGCTCAGCTGCTGCCTCAGAAACATTTCCTGGGGCTGCGGGGGAAATTTTGCTTCCAGTGGAGCCAATTAAGTGCAGTTTACAGGCAAAGTGTTTCTCCGGCAGAAGTCCCCACGGACTGGCCTCTCCAGAACCAGAGTTTAACATTCTGCCTCTGCTGCTGTTGGGCTCCTGAGGAGAGAGGGCTGACATGGCACGTCCCCCATTATCTTTTTGAGGTTTTTTTATAAAACTGTTCAGGGCCTGATAACCTCATTAGTGAGGTGGTAACCTCGTTGTCCATCTCTTATTAGTACCTTGTACAACAAATTGCTCTCAGGACATGAACACGGGGCTTCTCTTTGCCAGTGAACCATTGCTTTATCTCAGGTGGATAAGGCCTGTGTAACTCATCCTCTTGCCCTTTTGACTTGGCCACCAGGGGTGCACAGTTTGGCACTAAGGCCCCGGGGACCCTGAGAAGCAGGAGGAGCTTGGTCTGTTTGTTCTCAAGGAGTCTGATCTGGTGAGAGGGAGGCAGATGGGCCACTGGTCCCAGCACTGATTGAAACCAAAGGCAGAAGGTTGGATTTGGGGGCCACCACAGCCCCAGCCCTGGTGGGTGACAGCTACCTCCTCACCTTGCAGGAGGGCCGTGAGCCTGACTACTCAGAGTACAAGGAGTTCAAGCTGACTGTGGAGAACATCGGCTACCAGATGCTGATGAAGATGGGCTGGAAGGAGGGCGAGGGGCTGGGCTCAGAGGGCCAGGGCATCAAGAACCCAGTGAACAAGTGAGTGTGGCCTTGTGGGAGGGCATGGCCATGAACTTGGGGTCTGTGGGTCCCCTGCCGCCTCCCCATTCCCACCCCTTTATGTCATCGCTTTTCCCTTGTGGCAAAATGATCACAGCACCCCACTGCACACCCCTTGTCAGGCACAGGCCTGCAGTGCAGGAGGCCATACGGGCTGGGTCCTCCCCAGTCCCAGGGCCTCCTTCCGTCCCCTCATGAGTATCTCCAGGCCAGATGGGGTGGGTGAGGGTACAGATGGGTCAGGCCTTGTCTGCCTTGTGAAGGGCCTTATTTGAATTCCCCATGAGTGCGAAACCACTCCCAGAGATGGGCAGGAGCTCTCCCAGGTGTGACCCTGGCCCCGAGTGCCCCCTTCAAGGCTGTCCTTGAGTAACCATCCTGCCATCCCAAGAGCTGCGACAACTTGCACTGTGGGCTCCTCCTTCCTGTGTGGGACCCTGGGGCCTAGGCCCCCCCCCCCCGCCCGCCCCGGGGGTCTCCCCTCCTTGACCATTCAGGTTCAAGCTTCTCTCTGTGCAGATATGTCCCAGCCCAGCCCTGCACCCGCGGGAGGTGCTGTTGAGAGCCCAGCTGTGCCCGGCCCCCCGGCCAGAGTTCTGGCCCCAGGTCCCTGCTCACATCCTCTTCTCCCTGTAGGGGCACCACCACAGTGGACGGCGCTGGCTTCGGCATTGACCGGCCGGCGGAGCTCTCCAAGGAGGACGACGAGTATGAGGCGTTCCGCAAGAGGATGATGCTGGCCTACCGCTTCCGGCCCAACCCCCTGGTACGCATGTCCTCCTGGGCTGCCTTTGCTCAGTCGACAGGAGAGGGTGGTGGTAGGAACAGAAGGCTCCCTTCCTTCCTCAGTCCAGCCAGGCTGGGTCTCACCAGCGAGCCCCCTACCACCCACCTGCATTCAAGCCCCCACCCGTCCCCCAAGCCTGCCCTGCCACCTCAAGGGTGCGGGCTCAGCTGCCTCCGGAAGGTTCCAGACAGGAGGAACTGCTGTCTTTAGTGCTAATCCCCTCCTCCTGTTATCTGTTTTGCCTTCCACAGAACAATCCCAGACGGCCTTACTACTGAGTGTTCTGGAAATACATACTTTCTGAATGACCAACCGTCCCTGGACTGTGGAATGTTCCGGCCTGCATTTCTGCCCACCCCTTCCGTTGTCACGAGTGCCGTGCCGTGTAATAAAGTCCCAGTGCTCATCCACCACAGATGCCTGGTCCTGTTGCAGGAAGCCCCTCCTGTTAGCAGCGGGATGCAAGATGCTGTCTCGGGGCTCTCCTTATTGGCCTGTGGAGTCTCCATCCCCGCTCAGCCTGGGTTGCACTGGAGGGGAGGAAGAAAGTTGTTTTCAGCATAGTAAAGCTGGAAGGCCAGGTGCAGTGTCTCACCCCTGTCATCCCAGCACTTTGAGAGGCCAAGGCGGGCGGATCACTGGAGGTCAGGAGTTTAAGACCAGCCTGGCCAACATGGTGAAATCCTGTCTCTACTAAAAATATAAAATTAGCTGGGCATGGTGGTGCACACCTGTCGTCTCAGCTACTCGGGAGGCAGAGGCAGGAGAATGGCTTGAACCTGGGAAGCGGTTGCAGTGAGCCAAGATTGCGCCTTTGCACTCCAGCCTGGGCAAGAGAGCAAGACTCTGTCTCAAATAATAATAATAATAATAAAGCTGGAGACTTGGCCACACCTGGGCTAAAGGAATGTCAGGAACCTCCGAGCCTAGCACTGTGCTGCAGAGGGAGGTTGGGGAGGGGTCTCCAGGCAGGGCCCCACCTTCCCTCAGACCTGTGGGGGCAGGTGGCTTCTGGGCACACCCATGTGCTCTCCTGGCAGGTGGTGCTGGCACGGCCCAGCACACAGGTGTTGGCTGTGGCCCTTCAGGTCCCACCAGTGTGGTAGGCACACGAGTCCCTGGGGCTTGTGTCGTTAGGGGACAGCCGCATGGATGCATGGATGTGCCATGCCAACATGTCAGGCAGCTCCTAGAAGGAAGGGCCTCAGAGCCGGAGGTTTTGAGGCAGGAGGGTAGCCCAGGCCACAGTGTGTGCCAAGACCCCCACATCTGCCCCAGGGCCAGAGCCCCACATTTGTGCCTAAGTCACCCTGGGGATCTTGTTAAGCTGCAGCTGCCGAGTCAGCTGGTTGGGCAGGGCCCTGGGAATTTGCATTTCCATCTGCCCCCACCCCCTCCACACACACCCAGTGGGTGCTGCCCAGCCCCTGCAGGCACCAGGGGCTCCCTATTCACATGCTTGGCATGGAGTCGGGCTCCTGGGCCAGCTTGTGTTCACACAGCCATTCAGCAAACACTAGGTGCCAAGTGTGGGGACCAGGTGGACAAGATCTACTCCAGTCAGCCAGGCTGCTGGGGATGAGGTCTGAGGCTGCTACTGAGAGGAACCAGGGAGCCGTGGTGGGGCGGTCTGCAGAGTGTCTCAGTGGGGTCTGAGACCAGGGAGGTGCCAGATGCAGTGGCAGAGCCAAGGCTGGGGTGATATACCACCCTTTGTTCTTTCCTGACGCTGTGGCTGAGGCAGAGCAAAGAGTAACATTGGTGGGCTTGGCCTGGGTGCCCATGAATGAGGGCTGCCCAGAAGGCAGTGGGCCAGGACCCTGAGCACAGCGGGGTAGTTCTCTGCAGCCAGTGGTTCAGGGAATCCTGGCACTGGGTCCCAGGCATTCAGCCATCCAAGTCACTTCTCAGTTCTCAGCAACCTGGAGGCTCACCAGGCTCAGGGCATGGACTTTACCCCTTGCCAGGGGACGAGGCCTCCAAGTGCTGTGTGCGTGTGCAGGTGCATCCTGTACACGGGACAAGGCCAAGCCCCTAGGCTGAGCTGGGCACAGGCACCCTGGCCTTGTGTGGAGAAGGTGGGGTGGGGGTGGCAGGCAGGGCTGCCTGGAGGAGGGGATGCTGGGGCCCGCTTACAAGAAGGCTCATTTTACAGACAGAAAGCAGGCCTGGGGGGTGTTGACCCTGCTAGAGTTGGGGAAAGTCCAGGGGAACCTGAACTTCACCCATGGGCAGTGGACACCTGGGGAAGGAGGCTGAGTCAGACCTGCGGCCAGAAGACCCTCTTGTGGCCCAGTTCAGGAAGACCTGTGACCCAGTTGGCATCAAGCTAAGGGGCTGCGTGCAGAATGGGGCCTGAGGTAGGGGCAGTGGTTAGAATTTGTGCCAGCTGCAGACTGGGGTCCCGCAGGGCAGGCGTCAGGTGGGCATGGTTCACCTTGCTGTCTGCAGCATCCACAAGTACTCCACATGGGCCAGAGTCTGGTTGGAGGGGGTGACAAAGACAGATGGTCTCCTTATTCTCCCCCCCAATACTGTGGCCCCCTCCCAGCTGTTCAAAACCTCCCACAGCCTCTCACAGCTGTCTCGCTTCTCATCACACCCCAGCAGAACCGACCTCCTTTCCACTGCTCAGTTCCAAGCCTGAGCCACTTTCCTCCCTGCCAGGAACACCGTTCCCAAACTCTTCACCAAACTGGCTCCATCCCGATATTCTAACTTCAGCCCCCACCCGCTAGGACCCCTTCTACCCTCTCCCCGAAATGAAGAACCCTAAACCCGGGACTAGCCTGCAAAGGGACAGCCCCGGAGTCAAAGCCTCACACTTAAAGACCCCTCGCAGTGGCTCACGCCTGTAATCCCAGCTCCTCGGGAGGCTGATGTGGGAGGATCTGTTGAGCCCAGGAGTTTGAAACCAGTCTGGGCAAAAAAGTGAGACCTCTGTCTTTACAAAAAATAACTAGCTGCGCGTGGTGGTGCATACCTGTAGTCCCAACTACTTGGGAGGCTGAGGTAGGAGGATCTCTTGAGGCTGGGAGTTCAAGGAGGAGGGCCACTGCACTCCAGTCTGGGCCACAGAGTGAGACCTCTCAAAAAACAAACAAAAAAACTTCACACCTGCCTGGAAACACGTTTACATTTGTGGCCACCTTATGAAAACTCAAATCTAAGCCCACTGAAAGGCATTTTGCACCCAAGAGCTGGAGGTTGCTCCATCCGTGCGCACAGGGAATGCCGACTTGATCTTTGGGTGGGGATGGGAAACTCTGGGGAATGCAGAGGTTTAGAAGCGCAGAGTCCAGGAGAAAATTTCCTTAGAACGAAGTTGTGGAGGCAGGGGAAAGAGGGGGCACGCCAGGACCTCCAGGGCGCACCCCTTGGCCTAAGAGCAGAAGCATCCCGAGGTGTTGTGTCCCAGCCTTTGACAGTGAGGGAAACTGAGGCTGAGTAGCGGGACGGCCATTGGAGACGAGGGTGTCGATGGTGAGGGGCGAAGGGGCGGGGCAGCTGCCAGGGGGAGGGCCGGGGAGGGGCCTTGGAGGCTCCCTGGGAACACGCAGGGCGGTCACGGCGGCCTGCCCAGGGCGCAGCGGGGTCGACCTTTGTGCGGGGCGGGTCCCTGGCAGCCTCGGCCCGGACTCGCCGCCAACGAGGAGCCGAGCGCCCTGGAGAACGCGTCGGGGCTGAGCCGGGGTCCAGCAGCCGCCGCTATGGACATCCCGCCGCTGGCCGGCAAGATCGCGGCGCTGTCGCTGAGCGCCCTCCCGGTGTCCTACGCGCTCAACCACGTCTCGGCGCTCTCGCAGTGCGTGCGGAGAGGGGCCAGGGCGGCCTTGGGGACAGTGGGGGCGGGCGGGGGCGGGGAGGACTGGAGGTGGGCTGGAGGGAGGATGCGCGGTCCGCGGACCTGGCTTCTGCGAGCCCTGCGCCCCAGCTCAGCTCCGACCCGGCAGGATTGGGGTGGGCCAGAAGAACACCCCCCTCTAACCGGAAGTCCCCTTCCCGCCGGGCTGGAGGCTGGGATGCGGCCGCTCCTGGGATGTTTGTGGCCTGGGAAGAAGGAATGATGAGTCCCCACAAGCCAGAGCTTTGGAGGGTTTCTGGGGTTTTCCCAGGGATGCGCCCTGCCTAGGTTCCAAAGTCACCAAGGGTAAAAGTATTGTCCCAGATAAGGCCCCGGGTACCTGACTCCTGCTCACACACACACACACACACACACACACACACACACACCCTACTCCATTGCCTGTCTCAGGCCTGTGACTTTCCTCTTGTTCAGGGCTGGCTAACCATGTCCCTAGACTCAGTTCCCCCTACTGGTTCCCTTTCCTGGTCCCTGTCTCCTAACCCTAGATCCTAGCCCTGTGGGTCCAGCCACCGGATAGTGGGCATCTGCAAGCCCCTCGTACTTCTAAACCCAGCTCAACCCAAGCCATGGGGTGGAGAGAGTCTTAACCATGAGCCTGGCTCCCTGGGTGGGAATACCCATCTCCATCTCCTGGGATCCTGGGTGAGCCAAGTTCCTCTGGGAGCCTCAGTTCCCTCATCAGTGTAATGGGCACGATCCTAGATCTCATCTCATAGTTACGGTTAAGGATTATAAACTGTGTACAAAGATTTGTCTTGGTCTCATCTGAGTACTATAATGTCATTGTTAGATGGGGTCAGGATGGAAATCTTGGGTTCTGAGGGGATCATGAGAAAATAGGGGCCTGGAGAGTGATGGACAGAGTCTTGAGTGTGACCCTGGACAACTGGACAGTACTCCCATCCTCTCTGGGCCTGGATTTGCCCACCTGGGTTGAGGGCTGCCCAGAGACCTGGCTTCTGTTATCTATGCAACTGGTTGACCTGTCTTATCAGGTTGTGGGTGCAGATCAGGGCAGGGGTAGGGTGGAGTTAATAGAGGCATTTGGACTTTAGCTGGGAGGAGCTGGGAGCGTCAGACAATGAAGTCTACAGAACTGAGCACTCGAGACCCTGTGGCTTGGGAGCTGGGCCTGGCCACAGAGGGGCTTGACGTTGTCGAATGACTGAACAGACTGAGTCAAACACATAACAAATGATGGGATAAATGGTAAAGTCAGAAGGGGCAGGCCAGGCGTGGTGGCTCATGCCTGTAATCCTAGCACTTTGGGAGGCCGAGGTGGGCAAATCACCTGAGGTCAGGAGTTCGAGACCAGCCTGGCCAACATGGTGAAACCCCGTCTCTACTAAAAATACAAAAATTAGCCGGGTGTGGTGGTGGGCACCTGTAATCCCAGCTACTTGGGAGGCTGAGGCAGGATAATCGCCTGAACCCAGAAGGCAGAGGTTGCAGTGAGCCAAGATTGCACCACTGCACTCCAGCCTGGGTGTCAGTGCTCTGTCTCAAAAAGAAAGAGAGAGAGAGAGAGAAAGAAAGAAAAAGAAAAAAAGAAAGAAAGAGAAAAGAAAAGAGAAAAAGAAACAGGCTGATGAATATCCCCTCTGTAGCTAGCCCGAGTTAAACAGTGATCCTTTCTGGGGAGTCAGGGAGCGCTTCATGGAGGAAGAACAATGTGGATGGGCCATGAAGGATGAGTAGGAGTTTGCCAAGTGGAAAAGACTTCTGGAAGCGGTTTCCAGAAGGAAGAAACAGCCTGAGCAAGGGCCTGGCACAGGGTGAGAGCAGTTTCAGGGAACAGCATTGATGGATGAACAGACACTTTAGTCTCTTCCCCTGGGGCTTCCAGGAGTCTGCCCCTTCCCCCACCAGGGAGAGTGGGGCGATGCCTCAGCACTGGGCCTGGCCTCCCTGACTTGGCTTCCCTCTCCACAGCCCCCTGTGGGTGGCATTGATGAGCGCCCTAATCCTGGGTCTGCTTTTCGTGGCGGTCTACAGCTTGTCCCATGGCGAGGTCTCCTATGACCCACTCTATGCTGGTGAGTCAGTGGGAAGCTGTGGGGAAGAAGACTGTCCAGGCAAGGGCCTCCACCCTCAGACTTGGGGGCCATTAAGGGGCCTCCTCCATCAGACTGGGGGCCCTTTAAGAGCTCCCATCAGACTGGAGACCTCAAAGAGATTTGAACACTCCCATTAAACTGGGGAACCTCAAAGAGCCTCCCCCTTCAGAGCTGGGGCTCCTAAGAACAGGGACTGCATCTCCTGCATCAGATTAGAAGCTCCTGAAAAAGAGTATACTGCCTCATCACTTTGAGATCTCCTGAGGGCAGGGACGGTGCCTCTCCCATGAGACTGGGGACTCCCAAAGGCAGGCACTGGGCCTCTGAATCAAACCAGGGACTTCTGAGAGCCAGGCTGTGTCTCCTCCATCAGACATGCAGAATGAGGCAGGACTGTGGTCATGCAACCTTTGGGGTTGGGGCAGGGACTGGGCCTGGAGTCCTTGCCTGGAATAATCTCATCCCTGACCTTAACTTCAAGCCCCGCCCACACTAAGCCCTAGCCCCACCCACACGTGTCCCCTCCCACACCTGACCCGGCCCGCCCACTCACTGCAGTCTTCGCTGTCTTCGCCTTCACCTCGGTTGTGGACCTCATCATCGCTCTTCAGGAAGACAGCTATGTGGTGGGCTTCATGGAGTTCTACACCAAGGAGGTACTTGGGGGACGACCAGGGAGCCCCCTACCGCACTGCCCGTCTGAGTCTCCCACCTGCCCCCACAGGGAGAGCCATACCTGCGCACAGCGCACGGAGTCTTCATCTGCTACTGGGATGGCACTGTTCACTACCTCCTCTACCTGGCCATGGCCGGCGCCATCTGCAGAAGGTGCAGGAGGCAGGGAGAGGGTGGCCCCTGACCCTGGGAGAGAAGTTGCATCCTCAGATGGGGTCCCAGGGCAGGGTGGAGCCAGAAGTGTCTGTAGGAGAAATCAGGACGCCTCTCTAGGGCTCCAGCCAGGGGTGGCCAGGAGAAGGTTCCAGGGAACGTCTCAGGTGTAGGTGGTGGCCTAGCATTGCTTACATCCACCCTGTGCCTGGGCAGCCACTTCTGTTCTTGGACAGAGGGTCTCACTGTTATTTCCCCGTTCAACTCCCTGTTGTCCCTTCCATCCTGGGCAAAACTGAAAGGGACCCGGAGCTGGGAAACCCACGGTGGTCTCCAGGCCCTGGCTGGGGCTCTGAGATTACGGAGTGACTACCTGCTGGTCACCCCTCCATCCCCTGCTCAGGAAGAGATACCGGAATTTTGGACTCTACTGGCTGGGTTCCTTCGCCATGAGCATCCTGGTGTTCCTTACAGGAAACATTCTTGGTAAGGACAAGGCTTTGGGAAATCCAGGTTCTCTTGGGCTTGGTCACTGCCCTGCACCTAGAAGCACCCCCATTGGATCCTCCATCCCTTCCCTGATGTCTGCAGAGGCCCCACCTCCCTCTTTGCGTGTCCACAGCCTCAGTCAGCAGCCCACCCCTTTCCGGTCCCTGTTTCCTCTTGGAAGGCGGGAGAACCCAACTCTGCTTCCTCCCCAGGCAATGGTTCCCAGCCCCAGGGGTTTGACCCAGAATGGTCTTGACACAGGAAGGGAATTTTAGGGTGAATCTTGGGGACAGGGTGAAAGCTTCAGGGGTAGGTCTTGGGAGGTAGAGCAGTGAAGGCAGTCTGGGAGGTTGGCATGGCAAAACCTCAGCAAAGGGAACACTCAAGGTGTATTTGTAGGAAGCAAAGAACCCACTGGAAGGTAGGATCCATATTCAGAAGGTAAATTGAGGCAGGCTAGGCTAAGGAGTATGGACATCATCCTGTGGGCACTAGGGAGCCATGGAAGGTGGTGGAGCTTGAATGAGGATGGTATTTCTGAATCAAGATGTCCAGCCAGAGAGGCCACGTGTGGTGGCTCATGCCTGTAATCCTTATGTTGCTCAGGCTGGTCTCCAACTCTCGGCTCAAGCAATCCACCTGCCTCATCAATCACTTGAGCCGTGGAGATCAAGATCAGCCTGGGCAGCATGGTGAAACCCTGCCTATACTAAAAGTACAAAAATTAGCCAGGTATAATCCCAGCTACTCAGGAGGCTGAGACAAGAGAATTGCTTGAACCTGGGAGGCAGAGGTTGCAGTGAGCCAAGATTGCATCACTGCACTCCAGCCTGGGTGACAGAGCAAGACTCTGTCTCAGAACAAACAAACAAACAGATGTCCAGCAGGGTTCTGGCATGGCTGATGCCCTCTCTCCTGCACCATGGAAGGCAAATACAGCTCCGAGATCAGGCCTGCCTTCTTCCTCACCATCCCCTACCTGCTGGTGCCATGCTGGGCTGGCATGAAGGTCTTCAGCCAGCCCCGGGCGCTAACCCGCTGCACCGCCAACATGGTGAGTGCCTTACCCCTCTTAGGCCTTGTCCCAATGTGCCTGAACTTTCCCCGTGTCAGTTGCTTTTGGTCAAAGACTTAATTTCTGTGGAAGGTTCTCCTTTGTCACAAGAAAGAAGGGAGGGCTGGGTGCGGTGGCTCATGCCTGTAATCCCAACATTTTGGGAGGCCAAGGCATGAGGATCGCTTGAGCCCAGGAATTGGAGACCAGCCTGGGCAACACAGCCAGATTTTTTAACTCTACAAAAAGTTAAAAAATTAGCCAGATGTGGTGGTGCATGCCTGTGGTCCCAGCTATTCGGGAGGCTGAGGTGGGAGGATCACTTGAGCCCAGGAGATTAAGGCTGCAGTGAGCTGAGACTGTGCTGCTTCACTCAAGCCTGGGCAACAGAATGAGACCCTGTCTCAAAAAAAAAAAAAAAGAAAAAAGAAAAAAAAGAAAAAAAGAAAGAAGGGAGGAGCCTTAGGAACCTTTATTGAGTACCTACTGAATACTTGTCATTGACTACCTCTCATGCTGTCTGTTTCTCTCCCCTGGGCCAGGTGCAAGAGGAACAAAGAAAGGGACTCCTGCAGCGTCCGGCTGACCTGGCCCTTGTCATATATCTCATCCTTGCTGGCTTCTTCACTCTGTTCCGGGGCCTGGTGAGTCTGCGCTGGTTGGTCTCCCCCTCCCCTGCCACCAGTCTCCCTTCCCTGACCCACCTCTCCCACACTGCCCTTCCTGTTTGATCATCCAAGGAAGTTCTTCATCAAGTCTAACCTGAGTGTTCCATGACAAAGCCCCATTTCTCCCAGCCAGCCCAACTTGAGCTGGGCTGGGAGAGGCCAGAGCAAGGGGTGTGGGCCTGGGAGGGTGGGGGAGGCTTCCTGTGGGAGGTATGTCTGAGGGTTCTTGGTATGTCTGTCTGCTCCAGGTGGTGCTTGATTGCCCCACAGATGCCTGCTTTGTCTATATCTACCAGTATGAGCCATACCTGCGGGACCCTGTGGCCTACCCTAAGGTGCAGGTGAGAGGGGAGCGGGGAGAAGACCACACCCCTGCCATGGGTAGGGGTCCACTGGGCCTCTTTGAAGCAGGTGCCAGAAGCACAACTCAAACAGGCAGAAGCCCATATGGAATTTACTGTCCTACCAAAAAAGGACAGATGTGGTCTTCAGGTATGGCTGGATCCAGGTGCTCAAGGTGCAGACTCTGGGCTCTTCTTTTCTTTTCTTTTCCTTTCTTTTCTTTCTTTCTTTTTCTTTTTTTTTTTTTTTTTTAAACAGAGTTTTGCTCTTGTGGCCCAGGCTGGAGTGCAATGGCATGATCTCGGCTCACTGCAACCTCCACCTCCTGGGCTCAAGTGATTCTCCTGCCTCAGCCTCCCAAGTAGCTGGGATTACAGGCGTGAGCCACCATACTCAGCTAATTTTGTATTTTTAGTAGATACGGGGTTTTGCCATGTTGGTCAGGCTGGTCTCGAACTCCTGACCTCAAGTGATCCACCCACCTCGGCCTCCCAAAGTGCTGGGATTACAGGCATGAGCCACCATGCCCGGCCTCTGAGCTCTGCTTTCTTTGCATGGCTTCACTCTCAGGCAGTCCCTTTATGGGGTGGCAGAGACAGCCTGTGGCAGCTTCAGGCTTCCATGCACCCCACTCAGCCACCCCAGAGCAATGTGAGCCCTTATTACCCCCGAGCTTAAGCACAAGTCTTAGGCAGGCTCAGATTGGCCCAGCGTGAATCACTTGCCCATCCCTTACTGAGCATCATGGACAGGGGGCTGGAATGCTCCGACTGGCTAGGCCAGGGTCGCATGCCACTTTCAGAGAAAGGTTAGTAGGTTTGGTGTATGTGTTCGGGGGTTGGGGGCAAGGATCCCCAAGGGAAATAGAGGAGCACTTTGCAGAGAGCCTGGGTGGGGTCTGAGGCCATCCAGATCCTTCCTCAGGGCCTCCACCTCAGGGGTCTCAGGAGACCCACCTGGGGTAGCTGCTCATCTCACAGGCTGGTGCCCCTCTCCTCCCGCCCCTGCAGATGCTGATGTACATGTTTTATGTCCTGCCTTTCTGCGGCCTGGCTGCCTATGCTCTCACCTTCCCTGGTTGCTCCTGGCTTCCAGACTGGGCCTTGGTGTTTGCTGGAGGCATCGGCCAGGTGAGGTGGCGGATGGGTGGGTGAGCAGGCATGTGGGAGGGAATTTCTGTCTACTCATCAATGCCTTTGGTGTCCTCCCTGGGCACTGTAATGATGAGCCCCCAAGAGGCCCCAGCCCCAGGCCCAATATCCCAGGATTCCCTAGTCTAGGGGAGACAAAGCCAGATACAGACACTCCAAGCCCCATGAAAATAGGGACAGGGGCTGTGAAGGATTCCAGAGGGGAAAGGTTTCCTAGAAGCAAGGCATAGGAGCTAGGCTTTGATGTACGAGGATGAGTTCTCCAGGCAGGGAAGGGCATTCCAGGAATGGGAACAGCACAAGGAGAAGCACAGAGGGAGAGAGTGACTTAGCAGGGCCATAACCCAGGTAAAGGCAGATAAGAGAAATTGGCAGCTGGATGCTGAAGGCTTTGAACTCTGGGACTAGGGGCTTGTACTGAGGGTGATGGGGCGTTTGAGGAGGAGTTTGAGCAGTGAGGGGCCCAGTCAGAGCTAGGAGCCTTTTTCTGGGTTCCTGATGAAAAGTGCTAAATCCTGGGCCCCGGCCAGGGAAGTAGGGACCAGGAAAACATTTAGAATCCACAGGATTTGTGCCAAGACCTCTGGGGTGGGGAAGACTGGGAGGAGGATCTGGAGCCAGGTCAGAGAGAGATGGGGTGCAGGGCCCAGGAGATGGGGTTAGGCAAGTTGGGGGGGACTCACAGACAAGTGGACAAGCACAGGGAGGGACAGACAGGACATGTAAGGGCAGGAATCTTTACAGACAGAAGGCCAGGTGAGGTGGCTCACACCTGTAATCCCAGCATTTTGGGAGGCCGAGGTGGGAGGGCTGCTTGAGCCCAGGAGTCTGAGACCAGCCTAGGCAACATGGCAAAAACCTGTCTCTACAAAAAGTACAAAAATTAGCTGGGCATGGTAGCACGTGCCTGCTGTGCTAGCTACTCGGGAGGCTGAGATTGGAGGATCACTTGAGCCCAGGAGGTTGGGGCTGCAGTGAGCCATGATTGTGCCACTGCACTCCAGCCTGGCCAACAGAGCAAGACCCTATCTCTAAATAGATAGATAGATAGATGGATGGATGGATAGATAGATAGATAGATAGATAGATAGATAGATAGATAGATAGAAATTTTAAAAATAGGCCAGGCATGGTGGCTTATGCCTGTAATCCTAGCACTTTGGGAGGCCAAGATGGATGGATTGCCTGACCTCAGGAGTTCGAGACCAGCCTGGGCAACATGATGATACCCCATCTCTACTAAAAATACAAAAAATTAACTGGGCATAGAGGTGCACGCCTGTAGTCCCAGCTACTCAGAGGAGGCTGAAGCACGAGAATCACTTGAACCCAGGAGGCAGCGGAGGTTGCAGTGAACCGAGATTGCACCACTGCACTCCAGCATGGGCAACAGAATGAGACTGTGTCTCAAAAAAAAAAAAAAAAAAAAACAGATAGATGGACTGGAGATGGGAAACAGATAGATGAGCAAAGCCCGAGAGGTGGGGATGGGCATCCCCTGGGTTCTGCCTGACCTACCTGGGGGGCTGTCGGTGATGCTGGGATTTCAGTTCCTTCCTGGCCCCTGACATCCATCTTCCCTGTCTGGCTACCAGGCACAGTTCTCGCACATGGGGGCTTCCATGCACCTGCGCACACCCTTCACCTACCGTGTGCCTGAGGACACCTGGGGCTGCTTCTTCGTGTGCAATCTGCTGTATGCGCTGGGCCCCCACCTGCTGGCCTACCGTTGCCTTCAGTGGCCCGCATTCTTCCACCAGCCACCACCCTCCGACCCCCTAGCCCTCCACAAGAAGCAGCATTGAGAGAGCTGTGGACTCAGGACCCAGGACTCTGTTTACGTGCCCAGTCAGCCCTACCTGGGGAAGCGGGGGTTGGGTGTTTTAGAGACAGGAGGGACATCTCCGGGTGTCTTTAGTCTTGGCTATGGTAGTTTCAGTCCAGTGGGTGGGATGGAGACCAACGACCAAGTGTTCCTGCAAGGAGAGCCTCCCACAGCTGTCACCATGCTCCAACTCCCACACAAACGCTTCTACCCCTTCCAGAACTTACCCATCATCCCCCCATGGATCCTTTCAGTAAAAACCCTTTCAATTTCCAAAATATCACTGCCTAAGTGTTTCAGGGTGCAGGGGCAAGGGATCCTCTTCTTGGCCCCCATGAGGGCCCACCTATCACTGCCATCGTGGTTGCCAGGAGTGAGAGGTGCTGGGATAGCAGAAGGCGGCCTCTGGTTGGTATGCACGGCTCATCTTCCAGATGGGAAAACCGAGGCTCAGTATGGACAAGAGACCTGCCCAAGGTCATGGCCAGAGAGAAAAGTTCCTGCTCTACCAATAAATCATAACTAATAGCATGATACATTTATTAAGCACCTACTGTATACCTTGACTGCTACATGCTGGATCTCACTCCATATTCCAGATGGGGAAACCAAGGCTGCAGGAGGTGAAGGTCCTGGTCTGAGATCATTCCCCCGCTCAGTCCCCAAGGCATGGCTGAGCTAAGAGATGGAGCCCCAGCCTGTTGGACCACAGAAACCACAACTCTGCCTCTCCTATCTGGTCGGGTTGGGCTCATTTTAGGGGAAACTGAGTCCTGGAAGGAAGCCAAGGTGTTAGGAGAAAGACTCACTGTTTGCTATTGTTTGATTTTTTGAAATTGGGTGAAAGGCCAGGTTTAGGGGCGACTTGGGCCTGGAGTAAGTCAGGGACCTTGACCAGATGTCCCTTTTCCTTTTCTTTCTTTCTTTTTCTTTTTCTTTTTTTTTTTTTTTTTTGAGACGGAGTTTTCACTCTTGTTGCCCCGGCTGATATGCAATGGCACGATCTTGGCTCACCACAACCTCCACCTCCTGGGTTCAAGCAATTCTCCTGCCTCAGCCCCCTGAGTAGCTGGGATTACAGGCATGTGCCACCACACCTGGCTAATTTTGTATTTTTAGTAGAGACAGAGTTTCTCCATGTTGGTCAGGTTGGCCTCGCACTCCTGACCTCAGGTGATCCTCCCATCTTGGCCTCACAAAGTGCTGGGATTACAGACGTGAGCCACCGCGCCCGGCCTAGATGTCCCTTTTTCTTGCCCCTCCCAACCCCTACCGGAGATCTACTGTATGTCTAGCTACTGGATCTTCACCAAAGAGTCAGCAGCAGGCTCAGAGAGGCCAACTGTCTCCTCCAAGGTCTCACAGCCAGTGAGGGGCAGACTTGAATTGGGGCCTGTGGCTCCAGTCCACAGCAGAGTGTGACTATCGTGAGGCCCCCACCCTGCACAGGGAGCGCCTTTGGGGTGCTGGAGACCAGGACTCCACTATGACTACCCAATGGACAGGTGGCCTGCAGGCCAAATGATCTCTTTCACCAGATCCCCCAGGTCCCCTGCCAAAGCACAGTAACCAAGATAGAAGACTCAGCCCCCTCCTCCATTTCAAAGATGGTTAAACTGAGGCTCAGAGAGGTTCTTCCCTGGCCTAAGTTCAGCTAGCAGGGTGAGGGAACTAGCTCTGCACTCCAAGTCCAGAGCGCTTCTTTCTCCGCCCGCGCTCCAGCCACTGCTCCAGGGGAGCGTGGGCCCCCGCGGCCCCTTTAATACACCCCGCCTCGCCCGCCTTCCTCCTCCCCTTGCAGGCAGACGCCGGGATTGCGCCGCCTGCAGGGACCTGCCCAGTCTTAACCGGGTGTGCGGGGAGCGCAGTCCGGGTGCGTAGGGGCCGCTCGGCGGGGGCCGCGCGGGCAAGATGGTAAGTGGGGCTGCGGGCGCGGGTGGTGTGTGCCCCGTCTCCCCAATCTTGGATTCTATATCTCTCTGCCTCTGAATCTATATCCCTCTGAGTTTCTTCTGTCTCTTCCTTTTCTCTGTCTCTCACCCTCTTTGATCTCTCTTTTTGGCACTCTAGGTTCTCTCCCTCTCCATTTCTCCCTGCCTCTCTCCATCTCTGTCATCCTCTCTGCCTTTTTCCTCTCCTC
The DNA here is from genome assembly GCF_000001405.40 of Homo sapiens. NCBI lineage: Eukaryota > Metazoa > Chordata > Mammalia > Primates > Hominidae > Homo > Homo sapiens. The sequence continues at coordinate 19,262,503 of NC_000019.10, read as the reverse complement.
TCCGTTTCTGTCTTTCCCTGTCCCTATCTCTCCCTCCTCTTCTCTGAGTCTCTCTGCCTCTGGCACTCTCCTGTCTCTCCCTCTCCCTTTCTGTCTCTCCCTCTCCCTCTCTGTCGCTCCCTCTGCCTCTCTGTCTCTCCCTCTGCCTCTCTGTCTCCCTCTGCCTCTCTGTCTCTCCCTCTCCATCTGTGTCTCTCCCTCTCCATCTCTGTCTCTTCCTCTGCCTCTCTCTCTCTCCCTCTGCTTCTCTGTCTCTTCCTCTCTGTCTCTCCCTTTCCATCTCTGTCTTTCCCTCTCCATCTCTGTATCTTCCTCTGCCCCTCTGTCTCTCCCTCTGCCTCTCTGTCTCTCCCTCTCCATCTCTGTCTCTCCCTCTACATCTGTCTCTTCTTTTCCATCTGTCTCTCCCTCTCCATCTCTGCCTCTCTCTCTTCCCTTCCCCTTTTTCTGTGTCGCGCACTCTCTTCTCTGCCTCTCCCTGCCTTTCTCTCTGTCCCTGTTCTCTCCCCGCGTCTCTCCCTCTTTCTCTCCAGCTCTCCCCCCTCCCTGCCCGCCCCGGCCCGGTTTGCTGCAGTCTCCTGGCGCACGGATAACCTTGCTGCCGCCGCTCCTCCAGCTCTTCCCCACCCCCCTATCCCCGGCCCGGGCCAGGGCCAGAAGGGGGCGGGGCAGCGAGCCTCGGGTTTTGGGGTGGGGGGGAATGAGGCGGGATCTGGGGCAGGACTGAGGGCGGGGGGGAGTCTAGGGGCGTGGGTTCTTGCAGAAGCTAGGATGTGAGGTCCCAAGAGGAGGAGGGGGAGTTCTCCAGGACCCCGGAAAGGGTGGGGACATGGGCGTGAGAGAGGTCCTCGCTGTGGGGAAGGCAGGCCCGGGAGGGAGCCAGGCCTCCGAAAAGCCAAGGCTGGGAGGCTGGACTGAGCGCCCCGTGCCCGCCCCCCAGGTGTGCGCTCGGGCGGCCCTCGGTCCCGGCGCGCTCTGGGCCGCGGCCTGGGGCGTCCTGCTGCTCACAGCCCCTGCGGGGGCGCAGCGTGGCCGGAAGAAGGTCGTGCACGTGCTGGGTGAGTCAGGGCCGCTAAAAGTGGTCTTCTCCGCGAAAAGCAGAAGTGGCCAAGTGCGGAGAGGGGTAGCGGGTAGGGCGTTCCTGACGTCCGCGGTTCCCCCAGCCACTCCCCATCTGAGCCCCTCGCCCTCTCCCTGAGCCCCTGGACCCTTCTGATTCCCCGACCCCCACCCGAGTCTTCCCACGTTCCCCTCCCCAGAGACACCTTCCCCAGAGGCCCCCTTCTGCCCCTAGGCCCCTCCTCTGAACCCTGCTTGGTTGTCCTCAGAGGGTGAGTCGGGCTCGGTAGTGGTACAGACAGCGCCTGGGCAGGTGGTAAGCCACCGTGGTGGCACCATCGTCTTGCCCTGCCGCTACCACTATGAGGCAGCCGCCCACGGTCACGACGGCGTCCGGCTCAAGTGGACAAAGGTGGTGGACCCGCTGGCCTTCACCGACGTCTTCGTGGCACTAGGCCCCCAGCACCGGGCATTCGGCAGCTACCGTGGGCGGGCTGAGCTGCAGGGCGACGGGCCTGGGGATGCCTCCCTGGTCCTCCGCAACGTCACGCTGCAAGACTACGGGCGCTATGAGTGCGAAGTCACCAATGAGCTGGAAGATGACGCTGGCATGGTCAAGCTGGACCTGGAAGGTGATCAGCCGGTGGGGAGGATAAACCTTGCTTCTGAGGAAGGAGGGGGGCGGGGATGGCAAGGGACATAAACCAAATCAAGTTGGCCTGCAGGCATTTAGAAGGTTGGTTGGGGTAGAGCCCCCATATCTGGTTCTGGGTGATTTTCCTCCCCAGGGACATTGGCGATGTCTGGAGATATTTTACGTTGTCACATCTGGAGAAGGCAGTTGCTACTAGCCCCTAGTGGGTAGAGGCCAGGGATGCAGCTATACATCCTACCAGGCACAGGATAGTCCCCCACAAGGAGTGATCCAGGCCGGGCATGGTGGCTCACGACTGTAATCCCAGCACTTTGGGAGGTTGAGGCAGGCGGATCACCTGAGGTCAGGAGTTCAAGACCAGCCTGGCCAACATGCCAAAACCCCATCTCTAGTAAAAATACAAAAATTAGCCAGGCATGGTGGTGCATTCCTGTAATTCTAGCTACTTGGGAGGCTGAGGCAGGAAAATCTCTTGAACCCGGGAGGTGGAGGTTGCGGTGAGTGGAGATCGTGCCACTGCACTCCAGCCTGGGCGACAGAGCGAGACTCCATCTCAAAAATAAATAAATAAATACATAAATAAAATAAAATAAAAGTGATCCAGTCCAAAATGTCCACAATGAGGACACTGAGAAGTCCTGGGATAGGATTCAGGCACAGTGAGATCCAGGCACTCACACCGTGTCAGGAACCATCCTTCTGCTCTGCTTCCCAGGTAGGCTTTCTTCCGACAGGCTTCTCTTTCTGGAACCAAGACCACAGTGCCTAGGCTTTCACTTCCCTGCTTAGCAACTGATTTCCTAGGAGCAGCAGCTAGAGTCCCAGAGTTGTCCCTCACTGGCTCAGCTTGAGTCATGTGCCCAACTGTGAGCCAATCACTGTAGCTGGAAGATGGGATGCTCTGATTGGCTCACCCTGGAGCTGGGAGGTGGGGTTTCTATTTGAAGAATTCCCTCCCATTTGATTGGCCTTTTCCAGTTCTCTTTAGAAGATTCTAGGTGAGATTTCAGGGCCCTTGCTTGCTGACCTCCCTAACAATAACAAATAACAACAATAATAGCAGCAGCTCTCCTTTACTGGACATTTTCTGTGGCAGGTGCTTAGTTGAAGAGTTCTCAGGAGTCTCTAATTTAATTTCCTAAAAACCCCAAGGGAGACAGCTATTACCAGCAGATGGACAACAGGCTCAGAGAGGTTAGAGCCTTGCCCAGGACAGTGCTAGTTGGTGGCAGAGACAGGATTCAATCCCCAGTCTGTCAGCTCCAGGCCTTCTCCCTGGACCCTGTCTGCCTCTTTCCAGGGTACCCCACTCACCCCCAACCCGCGTCCCTCAAACACAGACACACAAAATACTTGAGCTGAACGGACTGTGAGTCCAATGAGGGACAAGTTCCAAAGTCATCAGAACTGAAGGTAGAAGGGAACCCAGTGGGTACTCCCTTGGACAATGCTGGGGGAATCAAAGGGGTCTTCACCTAGGGCCAATCTTCCAGGGGGTCCTAGTCTAGGAGAGTCAGCACTGAACGCAGGCTCCGTGGGCTCAGGGCTGGACCAGAGGGAGGGACCCAGTACTGGCGGAATGTCAGAGGCACACAGGACTCAATGGAAGAGGGTTTGGGAGTTGGATTTTGAAGGATGAATAGGAGTTCAACAGGTAGAATAAGGTGGAAAGAGCATGAGCAAAGTCCTCCAGAGGTGGAAGGGGATGGACACAAATAGTATGTTAAGGGGGAGGGTCAAGTGAATCCCAAGCTTAAAGTGAAGGGAGACAGCTATATGGGGTGTGAGCTGGGGAGGATCGTGGTCAGGTCTGAGGCCAGAGTGAGGAGGAATGGACTGAAAGGTCCCGGTTGAAGAGTCACATAGCACCCCAGACGTCAGGTGCATGAGGGTGGGCTGGGGTGTACCTGCTGATCCCGTGCGCCCCCCGCCAGGCGTGGTCTTTCCCTACCACCCCCGTGGAGGCCGATACAAGCTGACCTTCGCGGAGGCGCAGCGCGCGTGCGCCGAGCAGGACGGCATCCTGGCATCTGCAGAACAGCTGCACGCGGCCTGGCGCGACGGCCTGGACTGGTGCAACGCGGGCTGGTTGCGCGACGGCTCAGTGCAATACCCCGTGAACCGGCCCCGGGAGCCCTGCGGCGGCCTGGGGGGGACCGGGAGTGCAGGGGGCGGCGGTGATGCCAACGGGGGCCTGCGCAACTACGGGTATCGCCATAACGCCGAGGAACGCTACGACGCCTTCTGCTTCACGTCCAACCTGCCGGGTGCGTAGGCCTCACCCCAAGACTGGCCTCTGCTGCAACACTACCCCAACCCCGGGGCCTTCTTCCCCACCCAGCTCTTAGCGATCAGAAACAGGAGACCCCTCTCCCAAGAGTGCCTAGGCGCAGCACACACCGCCTGGTACCAACGCTGGTTGGGCCTAGGCTGGGGTCCCAGGCTGCAAAGGAGGAACTGTTCCTGGATCCCGGGGCCGAGGCCAGAGTCCTAGGCTGCATGCGGGGGGCAGTCCTGAATCCCACCGAAGCAGGGTCCCAGGAGCCGCACTAATAACCCACCCCCCACCTCACCCCCGCAGGGCGCGTGTTCTTCCTGAAGCCGCTGCGACCTGTACCCTTCTCCGGAGCTGCGCGCGCGTGTGCTGCGCGTGGCGCGGCCGTGGCCAAGGTGGGGCAGCTGTTCGCCGCGTGGAAGCTGCAGCTGCTAGACCGCTGCACCGCGGGTTGGCTGGCCGATGGCAGTGCGCGCTACCCCATCGTGAACCCGCGAGCGCGCTGCGGAGGCCGCAGGCCTGGTGTGCGCAGCCTCGGCTTCCCGGACGCCACCCGACGGCTCTTCGGCGTCTACTGCTACCGCGCTCCAGGAGCACCGGACCCGGCACCTGGCGGCTGGGGCTGGGGCTGGGCGGGCGGCGGCGGCTGGGCAGGGGGCGCGCGCGATCCTGCTGCCTGGACCCCTCTGCACGTCTAGGCTGGGAGTAGGCGGACAGCCAGGGCGCTTGACCACTGGTCTAGAGCCCTGTGGTCCCCTGGAGCCTGGCCACGCCCTTGAAGCCCTGGACACTGGCCACATTCCCTGTGGTCCCTTACAAACTAACTGTGCCCCTGGGGTCCCTGAAGACTGGCTAGTCCTGGCAGAACAGTACTTTGGAGTTCCCTGGAGCCTGGCCAGCCCTCACCTCTTCTGGATAGAGGATTCCCCCAACTCCCCAACTTTCTCCATGAGGGTCACGCCCCCTGAGGACCTCAGGAGGCCAGCAGAACCCGCAGGCTCCTGAAGACTGGCCACGCCTCCTGAGACCACTTGGAAACAGACCAACTGCCCCCGTGGTCGCCTGGTGGCTGGACCCCCGGGATTGACTAGAGACCGGCCGTACACCTTCTGCATCTCACTGGAGACTGAACACTAGTCCCTTGCGGTCACGTGGGACACTGGGCGCCTCCTCCTCCCCCTCCTCCTCACCTGGAGAGACTACAGGAACTTCAGGGTCACTCCCCGTGGTCACATGGAGGTTGTGGGCCGAGGCGCTTATTTTCCCTTATGGTGACCTGAGTCCTGGAGACTCCCATTCTCCCCCTCTCCCTGAGAGTCCCCTGCAGTTTCTGGGTAACAGGGCACACCCCTCTAGTTTCATGGGCGAGCACCCCCATCTGCCACCTCAGACTGACACACAGCCAGCTGGCTCACTTACTGGGGGCCACGTCCCACCCCTCAGATATTTCTTTGAAGGGAGAGCAAACCCACCCTGTCCTCTGACGTCCCTTTCCCAACTGTCACCAAACAGACCATCTTCCCAGGCCTGGGGACCGGTAAGATCCATGTCACTAGTTATGCAGAGCAGTTGCCTTGGGTCCCACTGTCACCAAGGCAACCAGTCCTGCTGCTACCTGTCACCTAGAGTCACACACCCCTTCCCTCATCAGGCACACCCATGAAGACAGTGCCTCCCTCCTCCAGCTGTAACCATGGATACCACACATTTCTCATCTCATTGGCCCCCACCCCAGAGACCTCCACCTCAACTTCTGGCTGTCCCTACCCTGACTCACCGCCATGGAGATCACCCTCCCCGAAGCTGTCGCCAGGGTGACCCAACATCCAGTTCTCCGGCTCTCACCATGGAAACAAACTGTCCCTGTCCCCAGGCCCACTCCAGTTCCAGACCACCCTCCATGCTCCACCCCCAGGCGGTTTGGACCCCACCACTGTTGCCATGGTGACCAAACTCTGGAGTCCGAGGTAACAGAACACCTGTCCCCCTAGGCTTTTCCTTGTGGACAACGGGGCCCTGTTCACCAAGCTGTTGCCATAGAGACTGTCAACGTTGTCCTCATGACAACCAGACTTCCAGTTCTCAGGAACTTCTCATTGTGGGCCAGAAGTCCTGGGTGCCTCCTACTAGGGCTACCCTACTGCACCCCATCAGGGGCCTGATGGCTGCCCCTTCCCCAGACAGGGCTGGACTTCTGGAGCTGCTAAGCCACCCTCCGTTTGCACGTTAACTCTATGCCGGATAGCAGCTGTGCACGAGACAATCTTGCAACACCCGGGCATGTTTGTCGTCGTCCTACAAATGAGGAAACCGAGCCTATGGCGTGCCCTGGTCTGTTGAGATATGCAAGCACTGAGCTCCTCTTTTGTCCTCTGAGACCCCATCTCCATTCTCACCCAGTTCCTCTCTCCTTCCCTGACCCCCACCCACATTTCCCTCCTTAGAGATCCAGGAGGGATGGAATGTTCTTTAAAATTCAACACCCACCAGGCTCTAAGCGGCGATCTGTGCTAAGAGGTCAGGACCCAGCCGAAGTCCTCGGCGTTGACAGGCAGCTGGGGGGACATGATCCATGGACAAGGCCATCCCGGCCGTGGGAGACCCCAGTCCCGAAGTCTTGCCTGCAGGAGTACTGGGGTCCCCCTGGGGCCCTCTTTACTGTCACGTCATCTCTAGGAAACCTATCTCTGAGTTTTGGGACCAGGTCGGTTTGGGTTTGAATTCTGCCTCTTCTTGCTCACTGTGTGACCAAGTGACAAACTCCTTCTGAACCTGTGTTCTCCCACTGTACCAGGGCTGTTCTGTGGTCCCCGTGAGTGCCAAGCATACAGTAGGGGCTCAATAAATCCTTGTTTCTTTTGATGAATGAGAAAATGAGGCAGCCAGTGGGTAATTCCTGTATAAATGCACTTTGGTAGATAAGATGTTACAAGCTTGGGGGGCTTGGGGTTTTTTTTGTTTTGTTTTTTTGAGATGGAGTCCTGCCCTGTCGCCCAGGCTGGAGTGCAGTCGTGCAATCTTGGCTCACTGCAACCTCTGCCTCCCGGGTTCAAGTGATTCTCCTGCCTCAGCCTCCCGAGTAGCTGGGATTACAGGTGCCTGCCACCACACCCGGCTAATTTTTGTATTTTTAGTAGAGACAGGGTTTCACCATGTTGGCCAGGCTGGTCTTGAACTCCTGACCTCAGGTGATCTACCCACCTCGGCCTCCCAAAGTGTTGGGGTTACAGGTGTGAGCCACTGCGCCTGGCCGGGCTTGATTTTTATTCTCTTTGGAAGTGGGGTCCTTCATTCCTCCCCCACCTCCCCAATCTCTTGCTCCTCTTTCTTCCCCCATCCTGTGCCCACTGTCTCCCTTTAGCCACCCACCATGGGTCTGCTCCTTGTCAACTCTGTCCTGACTGGGTCATTGACAAGATCCAGGGCATGAAATTCGGGAAACTGGAAGGGGGGTTCCTGTACCAGGAAGGGAGAGACATTACAAACTTTCCCTGACATGAATATGTGGGCTGAGGGCAGGGGCTGAGGAAGCACTGGAAGTTTCTAGGATACAACAAAGCATGAAGAGAAAAAATAGTGTAAGGTCCTGACCGTGCACAGTGGATCATGCCTATAATCCCAGCACTTTAAGAGACCAAGGTGGGAGGATTGCTTGAGCCAGAAGGTCGAGGCTGCAGTGAGCCATGATTGTACCACTGCACTCCAGCTTGGGCGACGGAGTGAGACCCTGTCTCAAAAAATAAAAATAAGTAAATCTCCTCTTCCTCATTCTTCTGACAGTCTGAAGAGGATCAATGGTTTGGATTGAATGCATCATAATTTTGTAGTCAGGTTCCTAATGGTGGACATTTATATTGTTCTCAATATGTTTCTGCTAGAAGTAAGTATCCACATCATCACTCACAAGTTCAAGTATAACTGGAGGATGATATCAGAAGTTGTTTGTTCAGGCCGGGCACGGCAGCTCACACCTGTAATACCAGCACTTTGGAAGGCTGAGGTGGGCGAATCACGAGGTCAGGAGATCGAGATCATCCTGGCTAACATGGTGAAACCCCGTCTCTACTAAAAATACAAAAAATTAGCTGGGCGTGGTGGCAGGCACCTGTAGTCCCAGCTACTCAGGAGGCTGAGGCAGGAGAATGGCCTAACCTGGGATGCGGAGCTTGCAGTGAGCTGAGATAGCGCCACTGCACTCCAGCCTGGGCGACAGAGCGAGACTCCGTCTCAAAAAAAAAAAAAAAAAAAGAAGCTGTTTGTTCAAAGGGTCAAAACTCCCCATTTACCATTTTTTTTTTTTTTTTTTTTTTTTGAGACAGAGTTTTGCTCCTATTGCCCAGGCTGGAGTGCAATGTCACGGTCTCGGCTCACCTCAACCTCTGCTTCCCGGGTTCGAGCGATTCTTCTGCCTAAGCCTCTAAAGTAGCTGGGATTACAGGCGCCTGCCACTGCGCCCAACTAATTTTTCTGTTTTTAGCAGAGATGGGGTTTTACCATGTTGGCCAGGTTGGTCTCGAACTCCTGACCTCAGGTGATCCACCTGCCTTGGCCTCCTACGGTGCTAGTATTACAGGCATGAGCCACTGTGCCCAGACTAAAACTCGCCGTTTTCATAGTGATTTCCACATTTTCTTAGAGATGGGGCCAATTTATACTCCACAGGTAATAGATATACTCACCTGGCTGGGCATGGTGGCTCACGGCTGTAATCCCAACAGTTTGGGAGGCCGAGGCGGGTGGATCACCTGAGGTCAGGAGTTCGAGACTAGCCTGGCCAACATGGCAAAACCCCATCTCTACCAAAAATACAAAAATTAGCCCAGCATGGTGGCAGGCACCTGTAATCCCAACTACTCGGGAGGTTGAGGCAGGAGAATCACTTGAACTGAGGAGGCGGAGGTTACAGTGAGGTGAGACTGCACCACTGCACTCCAGCCTGGGCAACAGAGCAAGACCCCTTCTCAAAAAAAAAAAAAAGTACTCACCTGTTCCACACATCCTCATTAGCCTCATGTCTTGTCACTTTTTATTTTTGTCAATCTGATAGGTGAAAAATGGTATCTCAATGTGGTTGTTGCTTGCGTTTCTATTTGTGAGGTTGAACATCTCCAACCACCACCACCAACTTTGACCTTAGGTGCAGGCGGTCGAGCAAATCGTAAATCATTCACAGTTCAAGCACATTATCATCTTTGATATATGCAAGGATCTTTTTTTTTTTTTTAGATGGAGATCACTCTATCACCCAGGCTGGAGTGCAATGGTGTGATCTTGGCTCACTGCAACCTCCACATCCTGGGTTCAAGCGATTCTCCTGTTTCAGCCTCCTGAGTAGCTGGGATTACAGGTGCGCATCACCGCACCTGGCTAATTTTTGTATGTTTAGTAGAGACAGGGTTTCACCATGTTAGCCAGGCTGGTCTTGAACTCCTGGCCTCATGTGATCTGCTCACCTTAGCCTCCCAAATTGCTGGGATTACAGGCGTGAACCACCATGCTGGCCATCTTTTGATACATTTGTTTATTCTCTTATATTTTTATGTCCTTCCTTGTGAATCTAGATGTTCTTGCAAAATGTGTATTATTTTATTGAGTCTATATTGTAGTTTTAGAGCTGCTATTTCCTTTTTTGTAAACTTTTTTTTATATCTTTTGCCTGCTTGGCTAATGGATTTGTCTTTTTCCTACTGATTCGAGTGAGCCCTTCTTTTTTTTTTTTTTTTTTTTTTTCTGAGACGGAGTCTCTCTCTGTTGCCAGGCTAGAGTGCAGTGGCACCATCTCAGCTCACTGCAACTTCTGCCTCCTGGGTTCAAGTGATTCTCCTGCCTCAGCTTCCTGAGTAGCTGGGGCTACAGGCGCATGCCACCATGCCCAGCTGATTTTTGTAGTTTTAATAGAGACAGGGTTTCACCATGTTGGCCAAGATGGTCTCGATCTCTTGACCCTGTGATCCGCCTGGCTCGGCCTCCCAAGGTGCTGGGATTACAGGCATGAGCCACTGCGCCCGCTCCCTTCTGCAAGAAGACTTTTGCTTTCACTCTTTCCTCTGAGTGGAATGCCTTTCCTTTCTTTCTCTCCTCATCTAGTTAATGCGACTTCTTCTTTAGATTCCATTCCCCTCCTCGGGGAAGCCTTCTGTGACTACCCACTAAAGACCAAACCTTCTCTGTTCACCACTATCTCCCCAGCACCCAGTACAGTACATGGATCACAATAGCTGCTCGGGTAAATACTTGCTGAATGAATGAATGAATGAAGGTATCAGGTGGTGACGGGCAGGTTGAACTGTTAAAAAATTTATTAAAATGTCCAAGAAGTACATTAATGTCCACAGTGTCAGATACCACAGACCCACAGAACACTGCAGCTCACAGCAAAACCAGCAGGACCCAAAGCCGTTCACACGCACACACACTCATATGCGTGCCACGCACATGGCACACGCAGACACACACGCACATCCAAAAGGGAAAGATCAAAAGACAAACCGCCCACTTTAGAAAAGACCAGAGCCCCCTCCCACCATGGAGCCGAGGTGGGGGCAGGGCAAACGGCTGAGGGGCTCAAGGGCAGGGAGCATAAACCAAGACCCCCCAAAAAACACTGCATCCCCAGCCCCCCGCAAACAAAGGAAAATTTTTGTGTGACATAGATGACCAAAGATGTGTTATTATTATTATTTTAAACTAAGAAGAGTTATCAAAGTAAGAAGACAAACCTGTATCCCTGGGTTTTCTGAATAATAACCATAATAAGATAGATGTCTACAGGGAGGAAGATTGAAGACAAGGATAAGGGTTCAGTTTACACTTCTTAACCATTTCCTAAATGTGTATGAGGGTGCAATTATATTTCAATCTCCTCTCCAGAGTCCAGAGCAGGATTTGGGTCAGAACCAAGATGGGAGTTGGCTCTGACTTCTGGATTTGGAGTAAGGATTTGGTGATGGAGAGAAAGTGTAAGCAGAGCCAGAGTAAGGATTTGGTCCAGAAAACAGGACCAAATCCTTATTCCAAATCCTTACTCCTGTCGTGGTTGTGACTTCAAGCCAGTACCTTTCCTTTATATCTGAGCCTCAGTTTCACTGTGTGTAAAATGGGAAAGTAACAGTTTCTAAGTCAATGGGCTATTGAGAAGATTCAAGGAGATTGTATGTAAGTCTTTAGCATGGTGTCTACTTCTTAGTTGTCAATGGTCATTATTACTTCCCAGAAGGGATTCAGGCTCAGTTAACACATTTCTTTCTTTACTGAACCCCTAGGTGGACCATTCATTTGCTTATTTTTCTTTCCTGAAGAGGGCCATTCTCCACGGTGCTTTTTTAACCCTGATCCACAGATTTTACCCGGACTGCTGAAAGTGAGTAACAGACATGGAGGAAAAGCTGTGGATCTTTCCTGCCAGAGATGAGGGAACTGGATCCTGGCCCCTGGTGTGGAGAGACCTTTTACAGGTTGCACATTTGGGGGAGGAAGGCAAGGTGAGTTCTTTCCCACTTAAAAAATTAAAATCTACAAGAGAAAAATGTGTGTGTGTGTGTGTTTGTGTGTTTCAGTTTTAACACTGAGCATCTCTCTACAATATGACCGCAGGTAGGTGTCACTACTTCAAGTTTTAAGTGTTTCTAGACCACCAGGCAATGGCCAGGGACAAGGGTGGGGTGGGGCAGGAGTGGGACCCAGGGCAGGGGCACTACCAATGTCTGCTTAAGGACTGGGTATGTGCACTGGGCTAGAAAACTTGGCAGCACCTCCTTGGTCCAGGAAGGAGGTTCTTTGTCTCCCTGAGAGATGGAGGGGGAAGAAATCTGGGCTCATCTAGCCCTAAATATCCTCTCGTCTATTTGTGTGAAAGAGATTCATCACACATGCAGAACCACCAAATCTCAGCGCTGGACTAGACCTGGAAGGGTTAGCAATACACTCTCCCTCCATCACCTACATATTGCTTTGATCATTCTCACTCCTAACTCTGAAGGCATGGAGGGAGGTTGTCCTAAAAACATCCCTAAAATGCAGTACGTGGGATCTCCACACTGTGTGTTTATCCACCAAGACCAAAGACGGAACTTGGGCTGAAGTCCAGGGTAAAGGGAGAGCTGTTGTCAAGTTCAAAAACAGTGTGCTTCTGTGTAGCCTTCTATTCCCAAAGCTAATGACCCTACGTCCAGGCTTCTTCCTGGATTTAGGAATTCAGCCAACATTGACTAAGTCTGAATTTCTGGTGTGAAAAGCAATTCCTTCATGTGAATGCAAACATACACTCATGCACCCTCATCAAGGCCTGCTTCAATCAGCCTGGCAAACAAGAGACCAGACCAATGAGCTTTGCTACTTGTGCTTCCCTCAGCTGGGACACACTCCCAGAGTTCAGCCAGACGAGAATGAACTTTTCAGACACCTGGCTCCACCTGCCAAGAGGATCTTGTGTATGTAAAAAAAGGGAAAAGAGGAGCTTTGTACAAAGGATTATGTGTGTGGGGGATGTGGTTTGGGGTTCAGGGACTTCTGGACTCTCTTGTTTCTCTCTGGGTTCTGTCTCCCCAGGCGAAGGCTCCAGAGGAGGCATGGGAAAGGTGTTGTGCTTTCTTTTTTCTGGTTCTTCAGCAGAAATTCCCTTCGTCCTTCTCCCAGTCCTCCGTTGGGTGTTTCTTGTGTTTTCTGCGCTCCTTGCGGGATTTGTGGTGGTGATGCTGGTGGTGGTGTTGGTGGTGGTGGTGGTGTCGCCGCATCCGATGTGAACGTCTGGCTGCAGGGAAGTGAGGGAGGACAGGGAAGGGACAAAAGGTGGTGAGAGGCAGGTGGCCTGATGCAGCGGGTGTCCTTGGGAGAGAAAGTAGAGGAAAGAGGCCAGACGCGAGGGCTCATCCCTGTCATCCCAGCACTTTGGGAGGCCAAAGTGGGAGGATCTCTTGAAGCCAGGAGTTTGAGACCAGCTTGGGCAACATAGCGAGAACCTATCTCTACAAAAATAAAAAAATTAGCCAGGCGTGGCGGCACATGCTTGTAGTCCCAGCTATTTGGGAGGCTGAGTTTGGAGGATCCCTTGAGACTGGGAGGATGAGGCTATAGTGAGCTGTGATTGAGCCTCGCACTCCAGCCTGGGCAACAGAGTGAGGCTCTGTTTCAAAAAAAACAAAACCAGGCCGGATGTGGTGGCTCACGCCTGTAATCCCAGCACTTTGGGAGGCTGAGGTGAGCTGATCACATGAACTCAGGAGTTCGAGATCAGCCTGGCCAACATAGTGAAACCCTGTCTCTACTAAAAATACAAAAATTAGCCGGGCATGGCAGTGGACACCTGTGATCCCAGCTACTCAGGAGGCTGAGACACAAGGATCGCTTGAACCCGGGAGGTTGCAGTGAGCCGAGATTGTGCCACTGCACTCCAGCCTGGGCAACAGAGCACAACTCCATCTCTCTCTCATACACATACACACACACACACACACACACACACACACACACAAATGAAGGAAACATCAGACAGGCTGGTAAGTTCTCACTTATCTGCAAGGCTGTATTATCAGGCAGACATTAAGCCAGATCAATGTGTGGAGAAATAGGATGTCTTACTTGGAAACTAGAAATACCAAAAACCTATGTTGAGATCTCTGGGAGAAGCTACTTACGTTTGGTGCAGACAATTTGGGGCCTGTCCCACTTGCCATTGCTCCGGCATCGAATGGTGGCCACATGGTGCTGGGCAAATCCTTCATTGCACTGGTACCTTACAGTGGCATGGACATTGTACTTGGCCTTGCGGGCACCGATGAGTGAGGCATTCTCCACTGCCGGAGGGGGACCACAGAGCACTGGGACAGAGGAATCTCTAGTGAGAGAGGTGCTCACATCTGGGGCTAAACTAGTTGTTGTTGTTGTTGTTGTTTGAGACAGAGTTTCGCTCTGTCACCCAGACTGGAGTGCAGTGGCGCGCTCTTGCCTCACTGCAACCTCCGCCTCTCTGGTTCAAGCGATTCTCCTGCCTCAGCCTCCCAAGTAGCTGGGATTACAGGCACCTGCCTGTAATCTACACCTGGCTAATTTTTGTATTTTTTTGTTCCTTTTTTGAGACAGGGTCTCACTCTGTCTCCCAGACTGGAGTGCAGTGGCGTGATCTCGGCTCACTGCAACCCCTGCCTCCCAGACTCAAGTGATTCTCCTGCCTCAACCTCCCGAGGAGCTGGGATTACAGACATGCACCACCATGGCTGGCTAATTTTTGTATTTATAGTAGAGACCGGGTTTCGTCATATTGGCCAGGCGGGTCTTGAACTCCTGACCTCAGATGAGCTGCCCACCTTGTCCTCCCAAAGTGCTGGGATTAAAGGCATGAGCCACCGTGCCTGGCTCTTATTGTTGTTTTTAAAAGAGCGTCTTCCTTTGTCGCTCAGGCTGGAGTGCAGTGGCACAATCACAACTCACTGCAGCCTCAACCTCCCAGGCTCAAGGGATCTTCCCACCTCAGCCTCTCAAGTAGCTGAGACTACAGGTGCGCACCACCGAGCCTAGCTAATTTTTTGATTTTTTGTAAAGACAGGGTCCCACTATGTTGCCCGGGCTAGTTTTGAACTCATGGGCTCAAGCTGAGTTTTATTGGGAATGACACCCCCCTCAGCTCGTCAACAGGTCCCTGCCTCTGCCCAGTTCTTATCTCACAGGGCTGGAAGTGACTGTGTCTGTCTGTCTCTTCTACCCAAATCAGCAGCTCCTTAGGGACAGCAACCTCCCGGACACACCTCACTTTCTAATTCTTACACCAAACATAGGGCACAATGGGAATGAAGGAGACAGACGGCAATAATAATTATCTGAGCAAATAAAGGCCGGGTGCGGCAGCTCAGGCCTGTAATGCCAGCACTTTGGGAGGCTGAGGTGGAAGGATTGCTTCAGTCCGGGAGTTTGAGACCAGCCTGGGCAACACAGCAAGACCCTGTCTCTACAAAAAAATTTTAAAATAAGGGCCGGGTGCGGTGGCTCACACCTGTAATTCCAGCACTTTGGGAGGCCGAGGCAGGCGGATCACAAGGTCAGGAGATCGAGACCATCCTGGCTAACACGGTGAAACATCGTCTCTACTAAAAATACAAAAAATTAGCTGGGTGTGGCAGCGTGCGCCTGTAGTCCCAGCTGCTGAGGAGGCCAAGGCAGGAGAATGGCGTGAACCCGGGAGGCGGAGCTTGTAGTGAGCCGAGATTGCGCCACTGCACTCCAGCCTGGGCGACAGAGCAAGACGCCGTCTCAAAATAAATAAATAAATAAATAAGCCAGGCATGGTGGTGTGCACCCGTAGTCCAGCTACTGGTAAGACTGAGGTAGGAGTATCACTTGAGCCCTGGAGTTCAAGTGATCTGCAGTGAGCCGTGATAATGCCACTGTACTCCAGCCTGGGCAACATTGCAAGACCCTGTTTCAAAAATAAATAAATAAATACATGAATAAATGGGGGGGAGGATGTGAAAATTGACAAAGAAATGGAAACAAAAATAAACCAAAGTATAAAATAAAGGTGGATGTACAAATGTATACAAATGATTTCTTTCATATATAAAGATCTCTTAAAAATCAGTAAGATCAACAAGTCAATAGAAAACTGGGCAAAAGAGATGAATTGACAGTTCACAGGGAAAGAAATATATGCCAACAGGCTGTCAACATATAAACAGTTGGTTAGGCCAGACACGGTGGCTCACACCTGTAACCCCAGAACTTTGGGAGGCTGAGGCAGGCAGACTACTTAAGGTCAGAAGTTTGAGACCAGCCTGGTCAACATGGTGAAACCCCGTCTCCACTAAAAATACAAAAACAAAAAAAAAATTAGCCAGGTGTGGTGTGTGCCTGTAATCCCAGCTACTCGGGAGGCTGAGGCAGGAGAATCGCTTGAACCTCAGAGGCGGAGGTTGCAGTGAGCCGAGACTGCAATACTGCACTCCAGCTTGGATGACAGAGTGAGACTCCATCTCAAACAAACAAACAAAAAACAACTGGTTATTCTCATCCTTAAAGGCATGCAAACTAAGATAACAATGAGATACTATTTTTCCCCACTTAGATGAACAAAGAACAAAAGTTTAAGAATGTGCAGAGTTAGCAAGGGTGGGAGGAAACAAGCACTCTCATACGCTGGTGGAAAGTGAGAACTGGCTGCACTGACATTTACCAACTTAAAAAGATGAAGGCGAGGTGCAGTGGCTCATGCTTGTAATCCCTGCCCTTTGGGAGGCCGAGGTGGGTGGATCACCTGAGGTCAGGAGTTCGAGACCAGCCTGGCCAACATGGTGAAACCCCGTCTCTACTAATAATATAAAAACCAGCTGGGCGTGGTGGCATACGCCTGTAATCCCAGCTACTCAGGAGGCTGAGGCAGGAGAATCACTTGAACATGGGAGGCAGAGGTTGAAGTGAGCCAAGAGCATGCCTTTGCACTCCAGCCTGGACAACAAGAGCGAAACTGTCTCCAAAAACATAAATAAGTAAAAACAAAATAAGAATAAATTAAAAAAATAAAATATAATCCCACCCACCTTGGCCTCCCAAAGTGTTGGGATTACAGGCATGAGCCACCCCGAGCGGCCTATTTCCAGAACTTTTTCATCACAACACACCAAAATTCTATACCCATTAAGCACTAGTGACTCCCCCTTCTCCCAAACCCTAGCCCCTGGCAAATACTAATCTACTTCTTGTCTCTAAATTTGTGTACTCTGAATGCTTCATGAAAAAAAAAAATGAATCAAGGCTGGGCACAATGGCTTATGCATATAATCCCAGCACTTCGAGAGGCTGAGACAGGCAGATCGCTTGAGCCCAGGAGTTCGGGACCAGCCTGGGCAACATGGCAAGACCCCATCTCTACAAAAAATACAAAAATTAGCTGGGCATGTTGGTGCATGCCTATAGTCCCACCTACTCGGGAAGCTGAGGCAGGAGGATGGCTTGAACCCAGGCGGTGGAGGCTGTGATGAGCCATGATTATGCCACTGCACTCCAGCCTGGGCAACAGAGAACCAGTGAGCAAAAGTGACAGAGAGGAAAAGAAGCAGGGGGCACAGCATACCTGTGCCCTTCTTGCAGACATAGGGTAGGTTGTAGTTGCAGGGGACATCGTTCCAGCGCCCGCTTTCATGCGCCACCATCACCACACAGTCCTCGCCACCCGCGAAGAAATTGTCCGGCTGGTTCTCTCGCCAGTTCTCAAATTGCTGCAGGAATAGGGGGCAGGGAGTTGTTCAGGGGACCTCTGTTCCAGCCCAGGTTCTGGCAATTCCTGCTGTGGGACTCCCCTGGCCAGACCCCTCAAACTCACAGGGATTCAGTGTTCCCATCTCTACAATGGCCACTGTCCTGCCCATCCTGACGGGGGCCACCACTGTAATCCAATACACCATTCCTCTGGTTTGGAGGCTGCAGCATTCTCCTCCCTGGTCCTCCTGCCTCCCTGGGTGCCCGGCCGCACCCAGTTCATTTTCAACATGAATCAGTGTTAGATAAGTGGTGGGACAAGGCCAGGCCTGGTGGCTCATGCCTGTAATCCCAGCACTCTGGGAGGCCGAGGTGGGCGGATCACCTGAGGTCAGGAGTTCAAGACCAGCCTGGTCAATATGGTGAAACCCCATCACCACTAAAAATACAAAAAATTAGCCAGGCATGGTAGTGGGAGCCTGTAATCCCAGCAGGAGAATTGTTTGAACCCGGGAGGCAGAGGTTGCAGTGAGCCGAGATTGCGCTATTGTACTCCAGCCTGGGTGACAAGACCGAGACTCTGCCTCAAAAAAAAAAAAAAAAAGGAAAAGAAAAAGAAAAAAGATACATGGTGGGACAAATGGTGATCTCAGCCCGAAGTCCAGGAGGACTTCCCTGAGGAGGCAATGTGAGAGTTAAAGAATCAAAGATAGTAAGGATTCAAGGCCGGGCTCAGTGGCTCATGCCTGTAATCCCAGCACTTTGAGAGGCCAAGGGGGTCAGATCACTTGAGGTCAGGAGTTTGGGACCACCTTGGACAACAAGGTGAAACCCTGTCTCTCATAAAAATACAAAAATTAGCCGGGCATGATGGTGCGCGCCTGTAGTCCCAAGATACTCGGGATGCTGAAGCAGGAGAATCCCTTGAGCCTGGGAGGCAGAGGTTGCAGTGAGCTGGGTTGCATCACTGAACTCCAGCCCGGGTGATGGAGTGAGATTCTATCTCAAAAAAAAAAAAAAAAAGATAGTAAGGGTTCAGACAGGGAACAGCATTCCTAGCAAAGGGAACCACCAGTGTGAAGGCTCAGAGGCAGGACTGAACTTGTTCTGCTTGAGGAACAGACAAAGCCCAGTGGGGCTGGAGCTGCGTGATGGGGCTGGGGTGTGCTCAGAGAGTAGAGAGGGACCAGATCTTGCATCAGAGAAAAGGAAGTGAATTTTTAAAAATTGTGGCAAAATATATATAGCGCAAAATATATATAGCACATAATTCCTAATTTTAACCATTTTTGTTTTGTTTTGTTTTGTTTTGTTTGAGACAGAGCCCAGGCTGGAGTGTAGTGGTGCGATCTCGCTCACTGCTACCTCCGCCTCCCAGGTCCCGGTTCAAGCAATTCTCCTGCCCCAGCCTCCTGAGTAGCTGGGATTACAGGCATGCGCCACCATGCCCAGCTAATTTTTGTATTTTCAGTAGAGATGGGGTTTCACCATGTTGGCCAGGCTGGTCTTGAACTCCTGACCTCGCGATCCACCCACCTTGGCCTCCCAAAGTGCTGGGATTACAGGCGTGAGCCACCGCACCTGGCCAATTTTAACCATTTTTACGTGTGCAGTTTATTGTTATTTTTATTTTGTTGAGACAGAGTCTCTATTATCCAGGCTGGATTGCAGTGGTGCTACCTTGGCTCGCTGCAACCTCCGCCTCCCGGGTTCAAGAGGCGGTGTGCAGTTTAATGCACTAATTACATTCACAATGTTGCATAACCATCATTGTTATTTCCAGAACTTTTTCTTTTTCTTTTTTTTTTTTTTTTTTTGAGATGGAGTCTCTCTCTGTCGCCCAGGCTGGAGTGCAGTGGCATGATCTTGGCTCACTGCAACCTCCGCCTCCCAGGTTCAAGCGATTCTCCTGCCCCAACCTCCTGAGTAGCTGGGATTACACGTGCACGCCACCACGCCTGGCTAATTTTTGTATTTTTAGTAGACACAGGGTTTTACCATATTGGTCAGGCTGGTCTTGAACTCCTGACCTTGTGATCCATCCACCTCAGCCTCCCAAAGTGTTGGGATTACAGGCCTGAGCCACCCCGCACAGCCTATTTCCAGAACTTTTTCATCACAACACACCAAAATTCTGTACTCATTGAGCACTAGTGACTCCCCCTTCTCCCGACCCCAGCCCCTGGCAAACACTAATCTACTTCCTGTCTCTAAATTTGCCTACTCTGAATGCTTCATGAAAAAAAAAAATCATACAACAGCTGGCCTTCTATGCCTGGCTCATTCCACATTTTGTTTATTATTTTATTTTATTTTATTTTTGAGCCGGAGTCTCGCTCTGTCTCAATTTTTGAATTTTTTGTAGAGATGGGGTTTCGCCATGTTGCCCAGGCTGGTCTCAAACTCCACAACTCAAGCAATCCACCCACCTTGGCCTCCAAAAGTGCTGGGATTGCAGGCATGAACCACTGCACCTGGCCAACTTCTCCTTTATGGCCGAACAATATTCCATTGCATGGATGGACCACATTTTGTCTCTTCCTTCATCTGTTGATGGGTATTTTGGATGTTCCCACCTTGGCTATTGTGAATAGTGGGGCTGTGAACATTCATGTACAAGTTTTTGTTTGTTTGTTTGTTTTTTGAGACAGAGTCTCCCTCTGTCACCCAGGCTGGAGTGCAGTGACGCGATCTCGGCTCACTGCAACCTACGCCTTCCAGGTTCAAGCGATTCTCCTGCCTCAGCCTCGCAAGTAGCTGGGACTACAGGCATGTGCCATCACACCCAGCTATTTTTTTATTTTTAGTAGAGACAGGGTTTCACCATGTTGGCCAGGCTGGTCTTGAACTCCCGACCTCAGGTGATCCACTCGCCTCGACCTCCCAAAGTGCTGGGATTACAGGCGTGAGTCACCCACCACGCCTGGCCTGTTTTGTTTTGTTTGAGACAGGGTCTTGCTCTGTCACCCAGGCTGGAGTGCAGTGGTGCAATCATAGCTCACTGGAGCCTCAACCTCCTGGGCTCCAGCGATCCTCCTACTTTGGCCTCCCCAAAGTGCTGGGATTACAGGTGTGAGCTACCACACCCAGCCTCTTTTTCTTTCTTAGTACAATTTTTTGTTTGTTTGTGTTGTTTTGGAGATGGAGTCCTGCTCTGTTGCCCAGGCTGGAGTGAAATGGTGTGATCTTGGCTCACTGCAACCTCTGCCTCCCGGGTTCAAGTGATTCTCCTGCCTCAGCCTCCCAAGTAGCTGGGATTCCAGGTACATGCCACCACACCCAGCTAATTTTTGTATTTTTAGTAGAGATGGGGTTTCACCACATTGGCCAGGCTCTTCTGGAACTCCTGACCTCAAGTGATCTGCCTGCCTCGGCCTTCCAAAGTGCTGGGATCATAGGCGTGAGCCACTGTGCCCGGCCTCTGTGTATAAATTTAAAGGGTACAAGTGCAATTTTATTATATGCATATGCATATAATAAAATATATATCATCTAGTGGCAAAGTCTTGGCTTTTAGTGTATCCATGACCCGAATAATGTACATTTTTGTACCACTTTGAATCTCTGTTTTCAATTCTTCTGGGTATGTATCTAGTAGTAGAATCGCTGGGTCATGTGGTAACTCTATGTTTAACTTTTTATTTTTATTTTTATATTTTTAGAGACGGGGGTCTCACTGTGTTGCCCAGGCTGGATTCCAATTCCTAGGCTTAAGTGATCCTCCCGCCTCAGCTTCCCGATAGCTGAGACTACAGGCTCGTACCACTGTGCCCAGCTTCTATGTTTAACTGTGTGAGGAACCGCCAGATTTTTACACAGCGGGAGAAGGGGAATTTTTATCTTGAGAACAATGGAGAGTCTGGGAGGGCTTGAAGCAGGGAGGATGCTGAGCTAATATGTTTTTAGAGACAGGGTCTCGCTCTGTCACCCAGGCTGGAGTGCAGTGATGTGATCACAGGTCACTGCAGCCTTGAACTCCTGGGCTCAAGTGATCCTCCTCACTCAGTCTCCCAAAGTGCTGGGATTACAAGCATGGACCACCAGCCTGGCATATATATACTTTTTTTTTTTTTTGAGACAGGATCTCGTTCTATCATCACCCAGGCTGAAGTGCAGTGGAGTGATCTCGGCTCACTGCAACCTCCGCCTCACAGGTTCAAGCGATTCTCACGCCTCAGCCTCCTGAGTAGCTGGGATTAGAGGCGTGGGCCACCACACCCAGCTAATTTTTATATTTTTAGTAGAGACGGGGTTTCACCATGTTGGCCAGGCTAGTCTCAAGTGCCCACCTTGGCCTCCCAAAGTGCTGGGATTACAGGCATGAGCCATCATGCCCAGGCTAGAAATGAGAATATTTGAGAGACCATGGCTGGGGGACCAGGCAGAGTGAGTAGGGGAGGCATCAGACCCTAGTCTCAGGTTTGTAACCTCTGCAGCTTCGTGGGCGCGGTCTGTTTACTTGGGCTGGGGAAGTCAGGGGAGAAGGTTTAGCCTTCACTTGAAGCTCCTTTGCCAACTCCAGCATCTTGGAGCCACTAGAGACCTCTGACACCCAATTGCGATAACTTTGCACAAAAGGGTAAACTGAGGCCAGATGGCAGGGCTGATGTGGCTCAGCAGCCTAGGCCCGCAGCCCCTGCCACTCACCAGCCCGGTGTTGTCCGTCCACTGGAAATCTCTCTCCACGATCCTGTCGTTCAGGCCGATCCACGTGTTTTCATGCCCAAAGCCTGCAGGGTCGGGGGTTGTGGGTCTGGGTGTTCACCCATGCCTCTCCTGGCCCAGGGCACAGGCTGCAGGTGAGGTGGGGTAGGGTGTGGGAGGAAAGAATTCCTCACCTTCCCCAGCCTGGAGGTGGGCTGGGTGGGGGGAAAGATCTAGAAGGTGGAAATGAAGAGGGAAGAAGCAGGTACAGGGATGGAGGAGGACCCAGAGCCCCTCCCTCAGCCTCTCTGTGGGCTGGGGGCCGGGTGAGGTATGTATGGGAGGGGAAGACTCAGCCCCTTCCCCAGCCTGGAGGTGGGCTGGAGGTTGAGGTGGAGAGGGAAGGAGATAGAAGTGAAGTTTACAGAGGTGAGGGAGTACACAGATGCCCTCCCTAACCTCTGTAAGAGCTGGAGAAGGGAAGGGGGAAGGAAGGGAGAAGGAGAGAGATGAGGGGGAGGAAAAAGGAGGAGGAGTGAAAGGGAGGAGGGGCAGGAGTGGGAAGAAGGATGGGGAGGAGGGAGGAGGAATGGAAGGGAGGATGAGGAGCAGGAGGGAGGAGGGGGGAATGGGAGGAGGAGGGGGAGGAGAAAGGAGGAGAAAGATCAGTGGAAGAAGGAGGGGGAGGAGTGGGAGGGAGGATGGGGAAGAGAAAGGAGGAGGAAGATGAGTGGAAGGAGGAGGCAGAGGAATGGGAGGGAGGAAGGAGAGAAGAGGGAGGAGGAAGGGAAGGAGAAAGGAGGAGAAAGATGAATGGAAGGAGGAGGGGAGGAGTTGGAGGGAGGAGGGGGAAGAGTGGGAGATGAATGGGGAGGAGAAAAGAGGAGGAGTGGAAGGGAGGAGGAAGAGCAAGGGGAAGAGGAAGGAGAAGGAGGAGGAGTAGAAGGGAGGAGGCCTGGGGAGGAGCAGGAGGGAGGAGGGGATGAATGGGAGGAGGGAGAGGCAGGATGAGGAGCAGAAAGGAGGAAGAAGATGAGTGGAAGGAGGAGGGGGAGGGAAGGGGGAGGAGAGGAGAGAGGAAGAGGAGGAATGGGAGGAGGAGAGGGAGGAGGGGAGGGAGGATGGAGAGGAGAAAGGAGGTGGAAGATGAGTGGAAGGAGGAAGGGGAGGAGAGGAGGGAGAAGGGGAGGAGTAGGAGGGAGGAGGAGAAAGAATGGAAGGAGGAGGGAGAGGAGGGGGAGGGAGGATGGGGAAGAGGGAGGAAGAGGTATAGAAGGAGGAGGGGGAGGAGTGGGAGGGAAGATGGGGAGGTAGGAGGGAAAGGAAGGAGGAGGAGGGTAGGGGGCAGGCATGAACCCCTCTCCCAGCCTCAGTGTAGGCTGGAGGTGCATCCTCACCCCACCCTCCACAAGTGGGGACTCTGGCTACCCTCTTTTAGGGGGGTGAGGCATGGGAAGAACCGGAAGTAGGCCCAGGCTATCCCAGGGTTTGTGGCCAGGAGAAGCAGGAGTAAACCCGGGCACTGTTGCATCTTTGCAGAAATGAGAAGTAGGGGACAGGAGACGCCAGTGGGCGCTGGACGGGCAGATAGGTGAGAAGGCGCGAGCCAGTCGCTCAGGAGGGAGAGGCCCAGTGGGATACATCAAGGAAAAAGAAACAAATCAGGGAAGGAAGAAAGGAAGGAGTCACGAGGGATGGGATGGTGGCAAACGGAATAAACAGAATAAATGGATGGATGAGCAGAAGGCAGAGGGATAATGAATAAATCAATAAGTCCCGGATTACATGAATGGAACACTTGTCTCTCTCCTAGGTCTTTGAACACATTACAGGTGCTTCTCCCATCACCCTCCATCTCCTGGCCCTGTTTTGTTATCAGCACACATAGGATCTGTTGAATTACAGTATAGACTTATTTACTTAGATATTTACTTGTTTGTCTATATCCTCCCCAAGAAATGGTCACTCCCTGGGGACAAAGCAAAGTCAGCCTTGATTGCTGCTGTGCTGTGTCAATATTCCTGGAATGGTGCCTGGCATATAGCAGGTGCTCAGTAAATATTTGGTGAATGAATGAATGAAGTGAATGTATGAATTAACAAGTGAATTGACAGATTTCATGCATTAAGAAGCAGTCAGGGCTTGCGTTAATGAACACAGCTTTGGAAAGATGACGTCTTGAAAACCAGGGGAGGGATGCGATGCCCTGGCAAAAGGGCTACAAGTGCCACCCCTGCCCACCCTCCAGGCAGGTGGCCCCCTCCCCAGAGCCCCTACTATTAATGAAGCTGTGTTCCTCCGGTGAGTGGACGCTGGTCAGGTGGCCGGAGCGGCGGCGGCAGTCCTTCTCGGCATCTTCCCATGCCCTCCGGTGGGCAAAATAGCGGTAACAGTGGCCCTGGAACTTATGCCAGCCGCGGTCACAGCCCTCGGTGTCTGGGAGATGGGATAGGAGCGTGAGGGGGGGCTGGCCTTGGCCCAAGGCCTACCAGCCATGAGCACAGCCAGCCCACCAGAGAGAGGGCCCAATCCAAGGTCACTGCGGGGCGAAATCACCCCTCTCCCCATGCCTGGCCCCTCCTCCTGAGGCTCTGCTCTCCCAACCCTTTCACCTCCCATATTGACTTCTTTTTTTTCTTTTTTTTTTGGACAGGGTCTCACTCCGTCGCCCAGGCTGGCGTGCAATGGCACAATCTCGGCTCACTGCTACCTCCGCCTCCCATACTCAAGCAATCCTCCCACCTCAGCCTCCTGAGTAGCTGGGATTACAGGCGTGCGCCACCACGCCCACCTAATTTTGTATTTTTAGTAGAGATAGGGTTTCACCATGTTGGTCAGGTTGGTCTCAAACTCCTGGCCTCAAGTGATCTGCCCACCTCAGCCTCCCAAAATGCTGGAATTACAGACGTGAGCCACCACACTGGCCAAATCTTAATGTCTTTTCTTTGTTTCTGGAAGAGATTTAACTGGGAGATCATTCCCTGACACCCCCTCTCATTCCAATGCTGAAGGCTCCTTCTCTGATGTCGGGGCCACACCCTTCGTATGGACATGGGAGCTCAGACATTTCTCCACAGAAGACATACAAATGGCCAACAAGCACATGAAAAGATGCTCATTGTCAATGTCAAAACCACCATGAGATATCACTTCACACCCACTAGGATGGAGATATATATATATAAAATTTTTTTTTTTTTGAGATGGAGTCTGGCTCTGTTGCCCAGGCTGGAGTGTAATGGTGCGATCTTGGCTCACTGTAGACACCACCTCCCAGGTTCAAGCAATTCTCCTGCCTCAGCCTCCCAAGTACCTGGGATTACAGGCACGTGTCGCCATGCCTGCTAATTTTTGTATTTTTAGTAGAGATGGGGTTTCTCCATGTTGGCCAGGATGGTCTTGATCTCCTGACATGATCAGCCTGCCTTGGCCTCCCAAAGTGCTGGGATTACATATAATTTTTTTTTAAAAGGAAAAGTAGGCTGAGGATGGTGGTTCATGCCTGTAATCCCAGTATTTTGGGAGGTCGAGGCTGGTGGATCACTTGAGGCCAGGAGTTCAAGACCAGCCTGGCCCCATCTCTACTAAACTTCAAAAAAAAAAAAAATTGAGTCACGTGTGGTGGTAGGTGCCTATAGTCCCAGATACTGGGGAGATTGAGGCACAAGAATCACTTGAACCGGGAGGTGGAGGTTGTAGTGAGCCAAGATCACACCACTTCACTCCAGCCTAGGTGACAGAGTGAGACCCTGTCTCAAAAAATAAAAATAAAAAGAAATTAAAAAAATAAAAATTAGCCAGGCATGGTGGCACAAACCTGTAGTTCCAGCTACTGGGTAGGCTGAAGCAAGAGAATCGCTTGAGCCTGGGAGTTCAAGGTGACAGTGAACTATGATTGTACCACTGTACTTTCCAGCCTGGGCACAGAGTGAGAACCTGTTTCAAAAAAAAAAAAAAAAGGCCAAGCACAGTGGCTCATGTCTGTAATTCCAGCACTTTGGGAGGCTGAGGCAGGAGGATCACATGAACCCAGGAGTTTTAGAGCAGCCTGGGCAACATGGCAAAACCCCATCTCTACAAAAAAAAAGTAAATTAAACCTAGAGTTACCATATGACCCAGCAATTCCACTCCTGAGAGTATACACCAAAAAGAGTAGAGGGAAAAAAAAGAATGGCAAATAGTTATTCAAACAAAAACACATACAAGAATATATTCACAGCAGCACTATTGACCTTAGCCTCTGGAGGAAACAACCCAAATATCCATCAAACCATGAATGGATAAACAAAATGTGATATAGCCATACAATGGAATACTACTCAGCCATGAAAAGGAATGAAACACTGATTCATATTACAATACAGGTGAACCTTGAAAACATGCCAAGTGAAAGAAGCCAGACACAAAAGACACATATTTTGAGATTCCATTCATATGAAATGTCTAGAACAGGCAAATCCACAGAGACAGAAAGCAGATTAGTGGTTGCCAGGGACTGGGGAATGGGAATAGGGAGTGACCACCTAGTGGGCACAGAGTTTCCTTCTGGGGTGTTGAAAAAGTTCTGGAACTAGACAGAGGTGATGGCTGTACAACATTGTGATTGTACAGAATGCCACTGAAATGTACACTTTAAAATGGTTAATTTGGCTGGGCTCAGTGGCTGTAATCCCAGTAGTTTGGGAGGCTGATGTGGACAGATTGCTTGAGCTCAGGAGTTCAAGACCAGTCTGGGCAACATGGTGAAACCTTGTCTCTACAAAAAATACAAAAATTAGCCAGGCATGGTGGTGTGTGCCTGTAGTCCCAGCCTACTGGGGAGGCTAAGGAGGGAGGATCACTTGAGCTTGGGAGGTCAAAGCTGCAATGAGCCAAGATCGCACCACTGCACTCCATCCAGCCTGGGTGCCAGGGTGAGACCCTGTCTCAAAAAATAAAATAAATTTAGCTAGGCGTGGTGGCGTGTGCCTGTAATCCCAGCTACTCGGGAGGCTGAGGTAGGAGAATCACTTGGACCAGGGAGTTGGAGGTTGCAGTGAGCTGAGATTGTGCCACTACATTCCAGCCTGGTGACAGAGCGAGACTCTGTCTCAAAAAAAAAAAATAAAATAAAATAGGGCAGGCGCAGTGGCACATGCCTGTAATTCCAGCACTTTGGGATGCCAAGGTGGGTGGATCACCTGAGGTCAGGAGTTCAAGACCAGCCCGGCCAACATAGCAAAACCCCATCTCTACTAAAAAATACAAAAATTAGCCAGGCGTGGTGGCGGGCGCCTGTAATCCCAGCTACTTGGGAGGCTGAGGCAGGGAAAATTGCTTGAAACTGGGAGGTGGGGGTTGCAGTGAGCTGAGATGGCGCCACTGCACTCCAGCCTGGGTGACAGAGCAAGATTCCATCTCAAAAAAATAATAAAATAAAGTAAAATGGTTAATTCTATGTTACGCACAGTTTGTCTAAAAGAATAATTTATCTTGTGTCAGGCTCACAGCCATGGAACTGGAGGCAGGGACCTGGAGTATGTGGGGAAGCCTGTGGCTGGGCACCCAACCCCACTCTTGGTACTGTTTCTGGTGTTGCAATAGAAACTCACCTTTCTCACAAAAGCTGCCCCCATAGCTGGGGAGGCAAAGGCAGACAAAGCCATTGACCTCATCAATACAGGTGCCTCCATTCTCACAGGGGCTGCAGAGGCAGTCATCAATGTCTGGCAGAGAGGGGAAGAGACTGAGTTAGAGGTCAGCTTCCCCTTGGCTCTGAGCCCCCACAGGAAACTAAGCAGAAGATGGGGTCATGGTCCTACCATCCATCCTGGACCTAAGTGCAGCAGTCACAGTTTGCACAGATGGCCCAATGACTCTGCAGGCAAGGGGGTGGAACCTCATACAATTAACATAAATTAGCATTAATGAGAGCAGATGCCACTGGGGCAGCTGAGAGCCAGGATGTGCAGACTGTTCTACCTGACTCTAGAGAAGTGAAGGTTATACTCTCAAAAACAGGCTCATAGAATGCTGAAGCTGGAGTCTCTTTTAGGCATTTGCAAAGACTTGCACAGAGTCACAAAGCTGTTTGTGGGTAAAGCTAGATATTCATTGAGCTCCTCTTCTACTGGTCCATGTGTAGACAGTGCTTGAGGCACGTATGGCACTGGGCAAGTCACTTCCCCTCCTTGAAACTCAGCTTACTTTTTTTGAAAATGGTAATAATAATGGGCTCCTACTCAAGGATGATTGTGAGTAGGGAAGCAATAGAAGAGCTCAAGAAATTATATCATTTATATTTATTGTTATAATTCTGTAATCAGTCATGTGGTTGTGAAGGTTGTGAAGTCAAGATGACACATAGAGCTCAAAAAATTATGTCATTTATATTTGTTGTTGTAATTTCATAATTGGTAGTATTTCTTGTGTTGGGCTTTGAAGCTAGCACCCAACAGTTCTGGTGGCAGTGCTTATACCTCCCACCGACCCAGGAAAGGGCAGGATCTCCAAAGGGCCTTTGCAGGGAGGAGTCTCAGACATATAATTCCTTTGTCTTTTCCTTCCCACCTCTGACTGGTAGTAATGGGAGACAGCACACCAGAGATGAAAGCTCAGCTGTTTGATTCTGGTTCCACTAACTGGGCTGATTTAGCTGAATGCAAGGAGTGGGGTTTGGGAATGGAGCATCTGAAACCAGCTTTTTGTGATCTCTGAATTCTGAGGGCATGGCTGCTGGAGTACAACCCAAGGCTCTGGAGTCAAACAAATTCAGATTCAGATCCTGAGTCTGGGGTACTCACCAATCTCACAGTTCTCCCCGGCGAAGCCCTGATCACAGCTACAGCCATACATGGTGCCATTGGCATTACATGTCCCTCCATGAAGACAAGGGTTGTTCTCACAGGGATCTGAGTGCACTGCAGGATGGATGGGTAGTGTGGGGAAGAGTCAGGCCACAGATCTTTTGCCTTCCTGGAATCAAGACCCCAGGCCCCCAAACCACTCTAATCAAACCCTCTCTATGGAGCCCTCTTTATAACTTCCCCAACCAGCGGTCACCAACTCCCTCCCATATGACCCCTGTTACGAGGAGTTTACTGCTTCCAGAAACTGCCCCAAAGCATCTGGGGACTTTCCTGCCTGTAGCAAAGTCCTTCCTCAGACTGAACTGGAATGGGGCTCCCAGAGACCAGGGCTGCCTGAAGGACCTCGTAGAATGTCTTCTCCCAGAACATGGGCTTCAGTGTCCTCCCTGACTTCAGTGTCCTTCCCCTCCTTTGGGCACACCCTGCTCATCACTGTGCTTCTCATGAATTGGGGCACAGGAGTGGACATAGGTTCTAGCCTGGGTGACAGACTGAAAAAAAATCCTCATCCTGCTCCAGCCAACCCAGATCCTGTCAGGGCAGCATCTGACCATTCCACTGCCCAGTGGAATTAAATTTTTTGAAAAATTAAATTAAAAAAAAAGAGGCCAGGTGCCATGGCTCATGCCTGTAATCCTAGCACTTTGGGAGGCCAAGGCAGGTGGATCACCTGAGGTCAGGAGTTCGAGACCAGCCTGGCCAACATGGTGAAACCCCATCTCTACTAAAAATACAAAAAATTAGCTGGGTATGGTGGCAGGAACCTGTAATCCCAGCTACTCGGGAGGCTGAGGCAGGAGAATCCCTTGAATGCCGAAGGCGGAGGTTGCAGTGAGCTGAGATCGCGCCTCCAGCCTGGGTGACAGAGTGAGACTCCATCTCATAAAAAAAAAAAAGAATGAAATGCTTCATTTTTTGCACAGGGGCTGTGCTAATCTTCTCTATATTGTTCTAATTATAGCATATGTGCTGCTGAAGCGAGCACTACTTTACTTTTTTTATTAGAACAATCGTTTCTTGTCTGTATCTTTCCCTAGAGCACTGGTGTTCCATATGGCAGCCACATATAGATATTCACGCTTAAATCAATTAAAGTGAAATAAAAGTAAAAACGTCGTCCCTCAGTTGTCCTAGCCATTTTTCAAATTAGCGTGGATAGAGAACATTTCCATCCCTGGGAAAGTTCTAGAATGTTGCTCTAGGACGTCAGTTTTCAGAGGAGAGGGGATTTGGTTTCAACATATGGTCTGGGACAGAATAGGCACTCAGTAATTGCTTGCTAACGGAATGAAGGTAGCAGCTGGCCCTCCTGCGGTAGCTGAGGCCTGTCCCTGGGGTGGCCCCATGGATGGCAAACGGGCTTGTGGATGGCAGGGCCTGTGGCTGGACGACGGCCCTGCACGTGTGTGCACACGCACAAGGCTGCCAGGCGGCGGGACACATGAGCCCCGCCAGGTGCCCCGCGCTGCTGACACCTGCCCACGGACTGGCGGTGACTCAGTCACTCGCTGGTACTGCATTTATTTTTGGCTTCATTAGCATTTCTTCTGCAAGCGGCGGGTGGGTAGCTGCCTGGGTCTCCCCAGCACTGCCCGCCAATCTCCATCCTGCTGTGGTTGGCTTCATTGTGGAGCCCAGGATCCAGAAAAGTCCAAGACAGACTCAGCCTCAGCCCAGGTGCAGCTCCAACCCCCGTTTCCTTAGTGTTCCTATGTGGTCGCCCTCCCACCTCTCTGACTGCCCCTTCTCTATTTCTTTGGGCATTGAGCTTCTTCCCCTCTGATCATCTTTCCAGGGTTGATCCCCACCTAGCCCGTCTCTTCTCTCCTCACCACCACCCCAAGATTAATTTTTTTTTTTGAGATGGAGTCTTGCTCTGTCCCCCAGGCTGGAGTGCAGTTGCATGATCATAGCTCACTGCAGCTGCAACCTCCCAGGGTCAAGCGGTCCTCCCACCTCAGCACCCCTGAGTAGCTGGGACCACAGGTACCCACCATGCCCGGCTAATTTTAAAATTTGTTTTGTAGAGACGGGGTCTCACTATGTTGCCAAGGCTGGTCTCCAATTCCTGGGCTCAAGTGATCCTCCGTCTCAGCCTCCCAAAGTGCTGGAATTACAGGTGTGAGCCATCATGCCCGGCCTCATGTACTTTTTTATGCCAACGAGCTAAGCATTTCGCAGCCTAGTGGCTGAGACAGAAGCTCTGTTTTCCGGCCAGGTGCGGTGGCTCACGCCTGTAATCCCAGCACTTCGGGAGGCTGAGGCGGGCAGATCACTTGAGTCAGGAGCTTGAGACCAACCTGGTCAACATGGTGAAACACCATCTCTACTAAAAGTATAAAAATTAGCCAGACATGGTGGTGCACGCCTACAATCCCAGCTACTCAGGAGGCTGAGGCATGAAAATCACTTGAACCTGGGAGGCGGAGGTTGCACTGACCTGAGATCACCACTGTACTCCAGCCTGGGCGACGGAGAAAGACTCTCTCTCTCAAAAAAAAAAAAAAAAGAAACCCCATGTTCAGATGACCTGGATTCAAACCCCAGCCTTGACACTCCCTTAGTTGCATGGCTGCACAAGGCACTTCACCTCTCTGTGTCTGTCTCCCTATCTGCAAAGTAAGGATCACACTGGAGCTTTTCCCATAAGGACATTAAAAGGATTAACCAAGATAACTCCAGTAAAGTGCTTTGAATAAGCCAAGCACACTGGCAGTAACCCATAAATGTCAGCCTTTATCGATACGGGGTGGGGCGGTCGGCCTGCCTCCTGGACATCTAAGAAAAAAAGAACTGCCCGGCGCTACGGCTCATGTCTGTAATCCCAACACTTTGGGAGGCCAAGGCAAGAGGATCACTTGAGCCCAGGAGTTTGAGACCAGCCTGGATAACATAGGGAGACCCCATCTCTACACACACACACACACACACACACACACACACACACACACACACAGCCGGGTGTGGTGGTTGCATGCCTGTAGTCCAAGCTACTGGAGAAGCTGATGTGGGAGGATCACTTGAGCCTCGGTGCAGTGAGCTATGATTGCACCACTGCACTCCAGCCTGAACAACTGACCAAGACCCTGTCTGGAAAAAAAAAAAAAAGGAAAAAAAAAAAAAAGATCCCACCCCAACACAGCCCAGAAGTGACAGGCTGGATGATGAAACCTGCATCAGCTATTTCCATCATCATGACACTTTGCCTTCAAAAAAACGGGCACTAGCTTGGGCAACATGGCAAAACCCTGTCTATAAAAAATACAAAAATTAGCCAGGCCTGTTGGTGCACACCTGGTCCCAGCTGCTTGGGAGCCTGAGGCAGAAGGATCACCTGAGCCTGGGGAGGTCAAGGCTGCAGTGAGCCACGATCTTGCCACTGCACTCAAGCCTAGGTGACAGAGTGAGACCCTTTCTAAAAAAAAAAAAAAAAAAATTTGGGGGTGGGGGGTGCGGTAGTTAAACATCAATGGTGTTAATAAAAGTGTGCAACTCGACTGGGTGCTATGGCTCACAGTTGTAATCCCAGCACTTTGGGAGGCCAAGGCAGGTGGATCACCTGAGGTCAGGAGTTCGGGACCAGCCTGGCCAACATGGTGAAGCCTTGTCTCTACTAAAAATACAAAAATTAGCCAGGCGTGGTGGCGGGAGCCTGTAATCCCAGCTACTCAGAAGGTTGAGGCAGGAGAATCACTTGAACCTGGGAGGCGGAGGTTGCAGTGCGCCGAGATCACACCACTGCACTCCAGGCTGGATGACAGAGTGAGACTCAGTCTCAAAAAACAAACAAAAAAAAAGTGTGCAACTCAGAAAAAAAGACTTATTAATTAGCTGCTTGTTTTGTTTTGTTAGTTTGATTTCATGCAGGGTCTCGCGGTGGAACTATCATAGCTCACTGCAGCCTGGCTAATTTCTTTTTATTTTTAGTAGAGATGGGGTCTTGCTGTGTTGGCCAGCCTGGTCTTAACTCTTGAGCTCAAGAGATTCTCCCACCTCAGCCTCCCAAAGGGCTAGGATGACAGGCATGAGCCATCACACGCAGCCTCTTTTTTGTTTGTTTGTTTCTAAATTTCATTTGGCCAAAAAACTCAGCTTAATTTGGCAGAACCTAAGAAGGGCTGGAATTTGCAGGCTGAGCTGAGGCTGACCTGGCCCCAGGGAGAACAGGGCAGCCGATTTCTATGGACGCTGCTGGCCACAGAGTAGCTAAGACTCAGGCTGACTTGGGCTCCAGTTGAGGTGTGACCACTGATTAGCCAAGCGGCGTTTTACCTCCCTGAGCCCCGGTTTGCTATCTGTAGAATGGGGGTGATTCTCGCCCCTTGCATGGCTCCCCAGCACCCACTTTCCCTGTGGCTTGAGGTCCCCCACGAGTCAAATCACCGAATTCCAGCTCCCATTCACATTTGTCCAGGAAACCCTCCCTGCCATGCCTCCTCCCTCTGGTCTCGCCTGGGAGGCGTCTGTGTCCTGCTCTGTCTTCCTCAGACTCGGGGAATCCTGGAAAGCCAGTCCATCACACCACTGTCCAGCTCAAAGCAGATGTAGACATGGCTTGTACCTGAACTCATCCCCAAATCAGACTCTACTCAATGCCTCGCCACTCCCACACTTTGTTTTTGTTTTTGTTTTTGACAGAGTCTCACTCTGTCACCCAGGCTGGAAGTGCAGTGGTACAATCTCAGCTCACTGCAACCTCCGCCTCCCGGGTTCAAGCGATTCTTATGCCTCAGCTTCCCCAGTAGCTGGGATTACAGGTGTGTGCCACCACACCCGGCTAATTTTTATATTTCTAGTAGAGACGGAGTTTTGCCATGTTGGCCAGGCTGGTCTTGAACTCCTGACCTCAAGTGATCTGCCCGCCTCAGCCTCCCAAAGTGCTGGGATTACAGGCATGAGGCACCATGCCCGGCCACTCACTACTCTCACACTTTGTTCATTGGGATGTATGCTCTGTGCCCGAAATTGATCAAGCGCTACTTCATCTCCTGGCCTTTGCCAGTGCTCGTTCCTCTGCCAGGAATGTCCTTTCTGAAATTCAACTCCACCTGATAAGCTCCTACCTCCAGCGTCATGCCCCACTAGAAAGCTTCCAGATCCCCAGGGACAACCATTCCTCCCTGCTCTGGGATCCCCCAGCCCCTGCTCCCCAAGCCCTGACCATGGAGAGCTGGACAGAGCCCCGGGACTTTGTACTCACCCTCCTCCGCACCTGCATTCATAGGGGTCCCTGGCAGGGCTGGCTCCTCTCCACTTGCCACCTCCTCCCAGAAGCTCTCTACACCCGGGCTCCCTGCCAGGACCTCCAGTTCGAAGTCCTCTATGCCCAGGGTGACAGGCAGCAGGGTGCTGGAGGGGTCCCACGGTACCGTAGGCTCCCCTGAGGAAACTGAGGCAGACTCGCCCACACTGGCTGCAGTCGGTGTCCCAGGAGGAACAGCCGGTTTCCCTAGGGGACTGCTCTGATGCGGAGGCACTGAAGCTCCTGATGTTCCCTGGGTCTCCACCTGATCCTCTGGCTCTGGGTGGGGTTGGGAGCTTGAGGAGCCCAGTGTAGACATGGCTGGAACTCCAACCTTGTCCCCCTGCTCCAGGGTCGTGAGGGGCGTCACAATGCTTGTATCCAGGGCCACCTGAGGGCTCAAGGTGGTGCTTTCGGCTTCTTCAAACACCTGGGATCCAGGTTCCCAAATTCCACTAGCATCACTGGGGGCCGGCGTGACTGTGGAATCCATGGGATTCACAGTGGGTCCTTCATCTGTAGCAACCCAAGGCTCCAAATTTGGGGTGACTTTGGGTACCAAGAAGACTCCAGGGCTCCCCAGGGGGGCAGATGGGGAACTTGCATCCAGCCCTTTGCTGTACACTGAGGGCCAGGGGTCCTGCACCTCATCTACAGTGGCCTGCAAGCCAGAAGTGGGGCTTTCTGCTGTGTCGAAGACCCCAGACTCAGACCCCGGGATACCCCTGAGGCCCGTTGGCTCAGTGGCAGTCTCAGTGGGGACAAAACCTACAGCCACATTCCTGTTTACAGAAGGCCATGGGCTGGAGCTGGAGTGCTCAGCTTTGTTGACCTGAGCAGGGCTGGTCTCCCCAGTTTCTCTGAAGTCTGCCCTGGGGGACTCAGGTGTTGTGGGCATGGCCTCTCCACCCTGTCCTGTTGGGGTCAAAGAGAGAGGCAGGGAATACACCTTGGTCTCTGCAGCAGGGGAGGGTGGAGCCGTGGCGGTGGCCTCACCATGTGCCTCAACTCTATTGGCCTCGGTGGAGATGGGGGTGGGGTGTGGTAGCATCCACTCTTTGGGACCACGCAGCATGGCCATCATAGGGAGATCTGGGGAGGTGGCCACAGGGAATGCCTCCCAGGGGGCAGGGCTGGGAGCTGAGACAGTGGCCTCCAAGGGGGACCAAAACAGGTCTGGGGTGGCTGGCCTGGCACTGGGGCCCTCGGCTTTCTCTAGCTCCAGGACAGGGGCCCTGCTGTGGCCTGAGATGCTGGGTGGGACCATGGTAGGGGGCCACAGCCAGGGCTCTGGGGAGCTCTTGCCACCAGCAGAACCTGCAACAACATCAAGGCAATCATTACAATGATCTCTCAGCAGCCCCTTTGGTTGGACTCCAGGCCCAAGGGAGAGGGGGCTTCTGGGGCCAGAGGACCCAGCTGGGATTTGGAGCTTCCTCCCTCATTCTGAGTGTAGCCATGGCTACCTCTCTACCCTCACCTCCAGATCCCCAGGTAGGTCCCGCCTCCCCCAGAGCAACTCACCAGCTCCAGGCATATCCACCTCATTGGTCAGATCAGCCCAGGGGCTCCGGCTCTGGCCACTGCCCAACATCTCTGTGACTGCCATGGCCAACGGAGGCTCCATTTGGTTCACTGCAGCCTCTGAGGTGGGGGGCTGGGCGCTGGCCTCCATCCCCCCTTGCAGCCCCGGCTCCGGTTCCTGCTGCTGGAAGTAGCGCCCATTCAACCCTTTGAAGCGCCCCCTTCTCCTAGGCATAGGGTCAGTTGGGGCCACCTCCGTGTGTGAACTTGCTGCAGTGCCTGCCCCCATGTCGCTAGGGCTGGGGGCCACCGTGCTTAGCCACACTTCCCCAGTGGGCCATGAGGCCAGCATGGGGTCCCCAGGGGTAGGGCTGAGGGTCTGTTGAGACTCCTGCTTCTCCTCCAAAATCAGGGTTTCTTCTTCCCCACTGGACACCAGAGGCTCCTGGAAGTCAGGGGTGACCACCTCTTCCTCCTCCAGGGTGGGCTCCAGTTCTCTAACTGGGGGCCCCTCTGCTGACAGAATCTCCCCCTCATCCCCAGAGGATGGGGTCTCTAGGTCTCCATGTTGTGACGTGGGGTGATGAGCTGTGGGAGAAAGCAGAAGAGGTTGTGTTAGGCCCAGGGGTTGCCTGGGAAGTTCTGCTTGAAGTCTACCCACTTTCCAGCATGCTGCAGCATAAGCCTTCTGTGTACCTCTGTCTCTCCTAAGTAGTTTCTGAGATTCCCCCAGCCTGGGAGAGGGAAGTGCAAAATTTTCACCTCCACTGTTCAGGCTGGAGACCACCTGAGCCACTGTCAGGGTCAGAGTCAACTGGCTGCAGTGAGGACTCAAGAGAATTTGGGCCAGGCGCGGTGGCTCACGTCCGTAATCCCAGCACTTTGGGAGGCCAAGGTGGGTGGATCACTTGAGGTCAGGAGTTCAAGACCAGCCTGGCCAACATGGTGAAACCCCGTCTCTACTAAAAATACAAAAATTAGCTGGGCATGGTGGCACATTCCTGTAGTCCCAGCTACTCCGAAGGCTGAGGCAGGAGAATTGCTTGAACAAGGGAGGTGGAGGTTGCAGTGAGCCGAGATCACACCACTGCACTCCAGCCTGGGTGACAGAGTGAGACTCTGTCTCAAAAGAAAAAAGAAAAAAAGACAATTTGGCTCATGGGCAAAGCTCAGGTAGTGTCCAACTCTCATGAACTTGGGTCTGCCTGTTGAGGGGTTCAACTCAACCTTGGTGACGGATCCTCCCCTGGTACAGGTGGTGCCCCGTGGGCATGGTATGCCCATGCCAGGACTGGGGCAGCTTACTTAGAGGACATGGCTCCTTGGGGTTGATGCTTGCAGCTTCCAAAGCTGTCCCCACTGCCCCCCAACAAGGGCGAGTGTCATCCCTGCTCCCACATCCGGTGTGGTGCCCAGAGGTGGCCAATTGAGGCATTATCTCTTCCACGGGGGTGTTTCTGCGTATGGGCGTGGCTCTAGGTAGAGTATGCCCCACCTAGGGGCTTGTCTTTCAAGGTTATGGGGCCTCCGGACCTCAGGAGATACAGCCCACCCAGCAAAGGTGACTCCCCACCAGAGTGGCCTCCTCTGGAGCCCTGTTCTTTACCCAGGACGGGGCTCCTAGGGAAAGACTTGTCGTAACGGGTGTGGCCTTCACCCGGGGGCGTGGCCCTCACCCAGGGATGTGGCTTATCACAAAGCGAGCTTCCATGTGTCTCTCCCTTGGCTTGGCGAGGCTTTCAGGGACGTGGCCTTCGCCAAAGTGAAAGCCCTGGGGGCGCGGCCACCAGGGGACGCACGCACCTCGGAAGCAGTAGGCGTCGAAGCGCTCGGCGGGTGAGGGGAAGCCGGTCCGGTTAGCGAAGCGGTAGACGGTGCGCACGCCCGGGGCTGGGCCCCCGCAGCGCCGGCGCGGCGTCTGGATCGGGTAGCGCACGCTGCCGTCGGCCAGCCAGCCCGGGTCGCACTGGTCCAGGCCCTCATGCCAGGCCAGGTGCAGCTGTCCCACCGAGGCCAGCGCGGCACCCTGGCGGCGGCACTGTGCACGCGCGCCGGCCAGTGTCAGGCGGCGGGCCGGGCCCACGTAGAAGACCTCGCCTGCGGGAGGGGCGGGTGGAGGTCAGGGGGGCTGGGGAACCCTCCCCTGGAGCCCAGGAAGTGGGTCCAACTCCAAATAGTTCCGACCTGGACGTGTTAGGGTGGTGGTTAGAAGAGGCGGTGACAACCGCAGCTGTGCGTCCAGCTCCGGGATCATCCTTGTCCTTACCTCTCATGCAGAGCTAAGCCTCTTTTTACAAATGGAGTAACTCAGGCCCATGGGCAAGTCGGGCTTCAGAGAGAGGGAGGGGCTCGGTGAAGGGGGCTCACAGAGGAGGAAGGGGATAGGGACAGGGAGGCAGGCAGGGGACAGGGGATTAGAGAGGGAAAGAGGATCAGAGAGAGGAAGGGGGCAAAGGGAGGGAGGGGGACTCAGGGAGGCATGGAAAGCTCAGAAAATGAGTGGAATCATGTCTTGGTTGCAGGTTTAGGGAGGTATAAGACAGGGGAGTTGCATAAGGACCCCGGAGGATGGGAGTTGGGGAGAATAATAGATACTCAAAGAGAGGCGGAGGGGCCGGGTCCTGCCAGTCCCAGACTTACCCCCCAGCTCCCGGGCAAAGCAATACACATCGTAGAGTTCCTGTGGGTTGCGCCTCCCATAGCTCCGAACCCCTGGAAGGCTGCTACGGTCGCCATAGCAACCAGGACGGGACTGGGTGATAGGATACCTGACAACACAAGGGGAGGGTCCCTCTCAGATGTGTGCTCCTGGAGCCCCCAAGGAACCTCCTTCCCCATGAGCTAGTCTTCATCTCCCTGCCCTGTGTATCCCCCTCACCGAACAGTGCGGTCAGAGAGCCAGCCAGCATCACAGTTGTCAAAGCCATCCTCAAAGGCAGCCTGTAGATGCCGAGGGGCTGCAATGATGGCTGAGCTGAGACGGCAGGCCTCCTGGGCCTCAGCGAAGGTCAGTGCATAGCGGTCCCGGGCTGATCGGTAGTGGAACACAACACCTGTGGGGGAACATCCAGGATGGGGGGACAGTTGACTTATGCTGGAATCTTCAAGAACAGACCTACCTCTTGCAGAATGACTCCCCACCCCTGTCTGATAATAATAGACCTAGCGCCAGGCACAGTGTGGGTCGAGGGTGGGGAGCAAGATCCATATGCCCCCATTTTACAGATGAGGAAACTGATAACAATGGCCATAAAGGGTTACAAGTTAGCAAATATTTACAATGTGAAAAGCGTTTACGGCCGTTCAGGCATGTTGGCTCACTTCTGTAATCCTAGCACTTTGGGAGGCCAAGGTGGGCAGATCACTTTAGGTCAGGAGTTCGAGACCAGCCTGGCTAACATGGTGAAACCCTGTCTCTACTAAAAATACAAAAAATAGCTGGGCATGGTGGCATGCGTCTGTAATCCCAGCTACTAGGGCGGCTGAGGCAGGAGAATCGCTTGAACCCAGGAGGCAGAGGTTGCGGTGAGCCGGGATTGAGCCACTGCACTCCAGCCTGGGAGACAGAACAAGACTCCATCTCAAAAAAACTAAAACATTAAAAAAAAGAAAAGCATTTATAAGCATTATCTTATTGAACTCTTACAACAAATCTGATTGTTCTAGAGGAGGAAACTTAGGGTCAGAAAGGTTGAGGGACAGGTCCAGGCCCACGCAGCAAATAAGAAACAGAACCAGAATTCAAATTCAGAGAGATCTGACTCCAAAGATAGCACTCTTCATGCCCAGGGTTAGGCCCTGGAGGTGGCAGGAGGTGTGGAGAAGGCTGACAGAGAGTTTCTGCCTTTTAGGAATTAAGTGCATGCGCTAATAGGGAAGCACAGGCAGCAATGGGAGACCAAATGTGGTTCTTTTTTATTTATTTATTTATTTTTTATTTTATTTATTTTATTTTATTTATTTTTTGAGACAGAATCTCACTCTGTCGCCAGGCTGCAGTGCAGTGGCGCGATCTCAGCTCACTGCAAGCTCCGCCTCCCGGGTTCACACCATTCTCCTGCCTCAGCCTCCCAAGTAGCTGGGACTACAGGCGCCTGCCATCACGCCCAGCTAATTTTTTTCTATTTTTAGTAGAGATGGGGTTTCACCATGTTAGCCAGGATGGTCTTGATCTCCTGACCTCGTGATCCGCCCACCTCAGCCTCCCAAAGTGCTGGGATTACAGGCATGAGCCACCGCGCCCGGCCCAAATGTGGTTCTTGCCTGGCCTGGAAATGTGGTCCTGGAAGGCTTCCTGGAGGAGGTGACATGTAAGCCAGGATGTGAAGCCCTGGTAACAGGCTCACTGTGATTCAAATTCTGATTTAGGGATGAAAGAAATGGCTGAACAAGACAATGAAATGAAACACTTTGCTCTGGCTTATCCAACTGAGAGCTCTGTGTCCTCAGCATTGGACCAGTACAGTGTAGGTGCTCAATAAATGTTTGGCTGAATGTCCGGGCATAGCAGCTCATGCCTGTAATCCCAGCACTTTGGAAGACCGAGGCAGGCAGATCACTTGAGGCTAGGAGTTGGAAACCAGCCTGGCCAATGTGGTGAAACCCTGTCTCTACTAAAAATACAAAAATTAGCCAGGTGTGGTTGTGTGCACCTGTAATCCCAGCTACTCCAGAGGCTGAAGCAGGAGAATCGCTTGAACCCACGAGGCAGAGGTGCAGTGAGCCAAGATCACACCACTGAACTCCAGCCTGGGTGACAGAGTGAGACTCTGTCTCAAACAACAACAAAAAGAGTTTGGCTGAATGAATGAAATTGAAGTTACCTAGATGTGGAATTCACTTGCCTCACCACCAATCAGTTTGTTGTTGTTGTTGTTGTTAGCTTTTATCAATTTTCAGAAATGAGGCCTCTGAAAGGGGATGACTGGTTGACTCCATAAACTATGTGGTAAGACACTGTGTCCCCAGTTCCCAGTTTGGGGGCATGCAGGTTAAGCCCCAAGACAGGAATCAGGGACTTGCCCAAGGTCAATTTAAGTTAAGGGAAACAGGTTTCCCAGCAGGAGTCCACGGGATGTTTGCTGTACAATAATCCATTCACTGAGTCATTTATTGAGCATCTACTGTGTGCCAAACCCTGTTCTTTATTTTTAGTTTTTGACTATTTATTTATTTATTTATTTGAGTCAGGGTCTCCCTCTGTCACCCAGGCTGAAGTGCAGTGGTGCGATCTCAGCTCACTGCAGCTTCCAACCTTCCAGACTTAAGCGATCCTCCCACCTCAGCCTCCTGACAAGCTGAGACTACAGGCGCACACTAGCATGCCCTGCTAATATTTTTTTAAAAATTTTGTAGAGACGAGGTCTCACCATCTTGCTCAGACTGGTCTTGAACTCCTGGGCTCAAGCAATCCTCCTGCCTTAGTCTTTCAAAATGCTGAGATTAGAGGTGTGAGCCGCCACATCTGGCTTATTTAGTTGTATTATTATTATTATTATTATTTTTAAGATGGAGTTTCCCTCTTGTTGCCCAGGCTGGAGTGCAATAGCACAATCTCGGCTCACCTCAACCTCCACCTCCTGGGTTCAAGCGATTCTCCTGCCTCAGCCTCCCGAGTAGCTGGGGTTACAGGAATGTGCCACCATGCCTGGCTAATTTTTGTATTTTTAGTAGAGAAGGGGTTTCACCATCTTGGCCAGGCTGGTCTCGAACTCCTGACCTCATGATCTGCTGGTCTCGAACTCCTGACCTCATGATCCACCCGTCTCGACCTCCCAAAATGCTGGGATTACAGGCGTGAGCCACTGCGCCCAGCCATATTATTATTATTTTTGAGACAGGGTCTTGCTGTGTTGCCCAGGCTGGAGTGCAGTGGCATGATCAAGGCTCGCTGCAGCCTCGATCTCTTGGGACTCAAGCAATCCTCCCACCTCAGCCTCCTGAGTAGCTAAGACTACAGGAACACACCATCATACCTGGCTAATGTTTTGGAATTTGGAATTTTGTATAGACAAGGTCTCACTATGTTGCCCAGGCTGGTCTCAAACTCCTGAGCTTAAGTGATTCTCCTGCCTTGGTCTCCCAAAGTGCTGGGATTACAGACATGAGCCACTGGGCCCCCATCCCCGTTTTTTGTTTTTTGTTTGTTTGTTTGTTTTTGTTTTTCTAATAGAGACAGGGTCTTGCTATGTTTCCCAGGCTGGTCTTGAATTCCTGGCTGAAGTGACCCTTCCTCTTCAGCCTCCCAAAGTGCTGAAACTACAGGTGTGCACTACCACACGCAGCTCAACAAGAAGAATTTAATAAAGGAATTGGTTGCCAGGTGCGGTGGCTCATGCCTGGTAATCCTAGCACTTTGGGAGGCCGAGGTGGGCAGATCACGAGGTCAGGAGATCAAGACCATCCTGGCTAACACGGTGAAACCCCGTCTCTACTAAAAATACAAAAAATTAGCCAGGCGCTGTGGCGGGCGCCTGTAGTCCCAGCTACTCAGGAGGCTGAGGCAGGAGAATGGTGTGAACCCGGGAGGCAGAGCTGGCGATGAGTTGAGATCATGCCACTGCACTCCAGCCTGGGAGACAGAGCGAGACTCCCATCTCAAAAAAAAAAAAAAAAAAAAAAAAGAATTGCCTAAACAGGTATTTGAGAATTGTTCTTGCTTAATATTTAATATACATCTTAAATTAACTTACTTTTAAAAAATTGCCTCACTTAGAAAAAAACTTAAGTTTATTTTACAAGGAATTTTTTATTTCTATTTTAAATAGAAAGCCAGTATCCTTTGTCTTACATAAAATCAGATAACCATAAAATTGACTCCAAGTAAAATCCTGCCTAGACGGAGGATGCAGTGAGCTTAGATAGCACCACTGCACTCCAGCCTGGGCAACAAGAGTGAGACTCCATCTCAAAACAAACAAACAAAAATCCTGCCTAGATATTGTGGCCCCCAGAAGTCTGAGCTGGAGACTCCTCTCTCATAGCTAAAAAAGAGAGGTGTTAAAGACAAGATAGTACCCATACTGATACAGACGTTTTTTTTCTTTTGAGACAGAGTCTCGCGGTGTGGCCCAGGCTGGAGTGCAGTGGCTCAATCTCAGCTCACTGCAACCTCCACCTTCTGGGTTCAAGCAGTTCTCCTGCCTCAGCCTCCCAAGTAGCTGGGATCACAGGCATGCATCACCATGCCTGGCTAATTTTTTTTTTTTTTTTTTAAAGACGGGGTTTCACCATGTTGGCCACACTGGTCTCAAACTCCTGACCTCAACTGATCCACACGCCTCGGCCTCCCAAAGTGCTCAGATTATAGGCACCATAAAGACTTTAGGACTTTATCAGAAGAATTCAAAGGGAATCCCGGTTCAGAGAGTGATTTCTTTCCTTTTTTTTTTTTTTTTTTTTGTGACAGGGTCTCCCTCTGTCATCCAGGCTGGAGTGGAGTAGCCTCAACCTCCCAGTCTCAAGTGATCCTCCCACCTATGCCTCCCAAGTAGCTGGACTACAGGCATGTGCCACCATGCCTGGCTAATTTTTGTATTTTCTGTGGAGACGAGGTTTCACCATGTTACCCAGGCTGGTCTCGAACTCCTGTGCTCAAGCAATCCACCCGCCTTGGCCTGCCAAAGTGCTGGGATTACAGGCATGAGACACCAGGCCAGGTCTCAGGGAGTGATTTCTAAGGTGACATTCAGTGGGTGGGCTCCAGGCTCAGCCCTCCCTCTCCCCGGCCCCCGGCCCCTCCTTTGCCCCCAACTGACCTGTCACCTCCAAGGGCACCAGGTCCTGCTCATCCTCGATGCCCCTCACCACCTGGCAGCGGTACAGCCCAGAGTCACTGGCCCTCAGTGGCCCCAGAAGTAGCGTGGCGTTGGCTCGGCGCCGGGGGTAGGAAGGCAGTGACACTCGTCCCTGCCAGCTTTTGGCCACCCTCACGACATTGTCCTTGGCCACCAGGATGGGCAAGTCCTGTCGCTGGCCCGACGCAGTCCGCACCTTGGTCCACTTTATCCGAGGGGCATCTCGGGCTGCGCTTGGCCGTGGCTGCAG
This sequence comes from Homo sapiens, assembly GCF_000001405.40. NCBI lineage: Eukaryota > Metazoa > Chordata > Mammalia > Primates > Hominidae > Homo > Homo sapiens. The sequence continues at coordinate 19,219,027 of NC_000019.10, read as the reverse complement.
GGTAAAGAGACAGGGCAGGGCCACCAGCTCCGCCAGCGCAGCCTGCACTGACCCAGACCCCAGCTTCTGCATGTGGAGCCCCCTTTCGCTGGCATCGGTGATATCCTGTGTGCCTGGGTTGGAGAAGGTGGAGAGAGGGCCTGATTCAGAGGCAAGAACCAAGCAGGGACTGCTATTTCCCTCTTTTAAAAAATTTTTTAAAAGGGCTGAGCCAGAATTTGAACCTAGGGCCACTTGACCTCAGAATCCAAGCAGTGGCTGGACGCGATAGCTCATGCCTGTAACCCCAGCACTTTGAGAGACCAAGGCGGGCAAATCACCTGAGGTCAGGAATTTGAAACCAGCCTGACCAACATGGAGAAACCCTGTCTTTACTAAAAATACAAAATTAGCTGGGTGTGGTGGCACATGCCTGTAATCCCAGCTACTCAGGAGGCTGAGGCAGGAGAATCGCTTGAACCCGGGAGGCAGAGGTTGCGGTGAGCCAAGGTCGCACCATTGCACTCCAGCCTGGGCAACAAGAGCGAAACTCCATCTCAAAAAAAAAAACAAAAAACTATTTTTAGAGATTGAGTCTCACTCTATCGCCCAGGGTAGAATGCAGTGACATGATCATGATTCACTGCAGCCTCAAGCTCCTAGACTCAAGCAATCCTCCCACCTCAGCCTCCCGAAAGTGCTGGGATTATAGGTATGAGCCACTGTGCCCAGCCCCTTATTATTATTATTCTTTTATTTATTTATACTTTTGAGATGGAGTCTCGCTCCATCTCCCAGGCTGGAGTGCAGTGGCATGATCTCAGCTCACTGCAACCTCTGCCTCCTAAGTTCAAGCAATTCTCCTGCCTCAGCCTCCCCAGTAGCTGGGATTACAGGTGTGTGCCACCACGCCTGGCTAATTTTTGCATTTTTAGTAGAGATGGGTTTCACCATGTTGGCCAGGCTGGTCTCCAATTCCTGACCTCAACTGATCCACCTACCTTGGCCTCCCACAGTTCTGGGATTATAGGGGTGAGCCACTACACCCAGCCTTATTATTATTTTTTTGAGTCTGACTCTGTCACCCAGGCTGGAGTGGAGTGGCATGATCTCGGCTCACTGCAACCTTCGCCTCCCAGGTTCAAGCGATTCTCATGCCTCAGCCTCCCGAGAAGATGGGATTACAGGCATGTGCCACCACACCTGGCTAATTTTTGTATTTTCTGTAGAGACGGAGTTTCACCATGTTAGGCAGGCTAGCCTGGAACCCCTGACCTCAAGTGATCTGCCTGCCTCAGCCTCCCAAAGTGCTAGAATTATAGGCATAAACCACTGTGCCTAGCCCCTCACTTTATTTTTATAAGGACAGGGATTTCACTCCAGTGCCACTGATTCACTGTATGGCCCTGGGAGAGGCATTTTCCTTCCCTGAGCCCCAGTTTTTCCGAAAGGTAAAGCAAAAGACAGCTAATGAAAAGGAAATGGTGTTTGCAGAGTACCATCTTTGTAACAGGCACTTTATAGCAATCAGCTCATTTGATTTTCATAACCATCTGCAGAGTAGCAATGTCTCATTCTCTTTGGGGGGAGTTGAGGAAACTGAAGTTCAGAGAGATAATTATACTTGCCTAAGGTCACAGACCAAATCTGTGAGGGATTTCTAAAACCTGGGCTCTTGACCACCAGTAGAGGGACACAGACCTTTATTTCCATCGCTCCACCCTTGGCAGACATCACTAATCAATCTCTGCACTATTCTCATTTCTTTCTTTCTTTCTCTCCAGTTCATCTGAGCAAAACGATGAGAGGCGGGAATCTCCAGCTTCTGCTGACAATGACTAAAAATAACCTCTTAGGTATCCTGTTCGCTTTTGACTGTTCAAAGACCTTTTAAAATCTATTCTCATTTTATTCTCTAGCCCATGCCAGGAGACCAGCAGGAGAAGGCTCTGGAATTCAAAAGCTGCCCCATCTTGTCCATCCCCTAGACCCCAATCTCTCCCTCCCCACAAACCAACTCACCCTGTTCCCCAGCCACAAAGAGCAGCATCTGCAGCATCAAAAGGCCCAAGGCCCAGACAAACGGGGCCCCCATCCTGGATCTGGAACAAAATGGAGAGGGAGGGAGGGGTGAGCCACAGCCCAACCCTCCCAGATATTCAGCATTGCAGGACCAAACTCCCCCACTCTACAGATCAGGAAACCAGGGCTCAGAGAGACCAGTGTGTTATTCTAGGTCACAGAAGGAGCCAGCAAAGGGCTGAGCCAGAATTCGAACCCAGGGCCACTTGACCTCAGAATAGCAGTGGCTGGACGCGGTGGCTCACGCCTATAGTTCCAGCACTTTGGGAGGCTGAGGTGGGAGGACTGCTTGAGGCCAGAAGCTTGAGACCAGCCTGGGCAACATAGTGAGATCTTACCTCTATTTAAAAAATTAGCAGCCAGGCGTGGTGGCTCACGCCTGTAATCCTAGCACTTTGGGAGGCCGAGGAGGGTGGATCACGAGGTCAGGGGTTCGAGACCAGCCTTACCAACATGGTGAAACCCCGTCTCTACTAAAAATACAAAAATTAGCTGGGCGTGGTGGCAGGCGCCTGTAATCCCAGCTACTCAGGAGGCTGAGGCAGGAGAATTACTTGAACCCGGGAGGTGGAGGTTGCAGTGAGCCGAGATCACGCCACTGCACTCCAGCCTGGGCGACAGGGTGAGACTCTGTCTCAAAAAAAAAAAAAATTATCTGGGCTTGGTGGCGCACACCTGTGGTCCCAGCTATGCAGGAGGCTGAGGTGGGAGGATTGCTTGAGCCCAGGAGTTCAAGGCTGCAGTGAGCTATGATTCCACCACCACACTCCAGCCTGGGTGACAGCGCGAGACTGAAAACAAAACAAAACACAACACAACAACAAAAAACAATCCAAGCAATGAAGTCTGTGGTCAGAAGCCTGGGTGCTGGTAGTGAATCAAATCTGGAATTGGCTCACTGTTCCTTTTGTGTGATCTTGGGCAAGTTGCTTACCTTCTCTGTGCCTTACTTTCTTTGTGGGTCAGATGGGGATAACATCAGGTAGTTGAAAGGAATGGATGAGTCAATACATATAAAATGCTTAGAACTGTCTCATGCAGTAAGGGGTACATTTTAGCTGCTGCTATTATTATTACCGACCTTAACACAGCCAAGACTGAAATACCATTTTTCAAGTCAGCCTCCTCCATCAGACTGGCGGCTCCTAGAGGGCAGCAGTCTGTCCCAGTCCTCCCAGCATCCTCAGTCCAGGCAGCAGGCTGGCCTCTAAGCCATCCTTTAATCTGGGTTTGCTGGCTGACACGATTCGCAGCTTCAATTCCAGGATTTGGTTGTCACCAAGATTCTATTCTTGGTTTCTGGGATTTTGGAGGAGCCGCCAACTCCCAGCTGGAGGAAGGGGCTCACCCCTGCCCACCCATCCTCCTCCTGACTTCACACAGCTCAACAAAGATACTTCTTAGGCCCACAGAGAAACTTCAGTTGTGGGTCCATTTCCCTATAGGGGCTAGGACCCATAGGGATAAAGTGGACAATTATTAAGCGCCTACTGTGAGCAAAGCCCATGCCAGTCGTTGGGACACAGCAGTGCATTTCCTGACTTCACATTGTTCCAGAGACTAGGAATCCTGGGGAGGTGGTCCCTCCCCAAAACCTCCCACTCCTGCGAACCCCGGTCACCAGGGCTCAGGAGGTGGGCGCAGATGGAAAATTAGAACATCATCTGCAAACCCAATCCTTGCTCCCCGCCCCCATAAGAAATTATCCCTGAGGAAGGGGTGTGAACGGAGTCCAGAAGGGGAGGCTGTATGTGACAGCTGTCCCTTTCCCCAGTTCTCCTTCCCAGCTCCCAGAGTCCCCTGCTGGGAGGCCGGCCTGGGACCTGTCCGTGGTGCTGAACTCTGAGGCGGCAACGCAGCGGCAAAGCCCACCTAGTCCACCCCTGCCTCCTGCCTGCTAACACGATGCCTCAGGGACCAGAGAGGGCTAGAGGTTTGCCTCAGGCTGCACAGCAGGGTAGAGGTCAAAGCCAGACCCTGGACCAGTGCTCCCAACTACCAACTTGTAAACCTCAGCAACCTCTGCCTTCACCAGGCTGTTCTCATTTCTTCCCCTTGGAACCCTGAGCAAGTGTGGGGTCCCCTCATGGCTGTTCCAGGCCTGGCCAGGTATTAGAGAGAGACAGGACTCCGGGTTGCACCTGCCCCCAGCAGGGCCTTACGAGAGGACAAGGCCAGAGAATTCTCTTTCTCTCTCTCTCTCACACACACACACACACACACACACACACACACACACCCCGTTAACAGGTCAGACTACATCCAGATAGCTCTGCTTCTAATCCGGGACAAGCTGCTTCAATCTCTCTGTGCCTCAGTTTCCCCACCTGTAAAATGGAGATTATCCAGCAAGTACCACCTGCAGCTACTGTGAGGATGAAATGACCTAAGACTTGCAAAGTCCTAGAAATGTTAAATTTAAAAACAGCTCTTTAGACACAAAGCCTCATGTATACGCTAAAAATATACTGAGGTTGCCCAACATGGTGACAGACACAGTTTCAGGTGCACACCCCCCACACACACCCTCCCACTCCCTTCCACTCGCACCCTCACACACCCACACCCTTCTCTTAAAATACCTCCTCCCCAGGGCGGCCAGAGATGAGCATTTACACAGCTGTCTGGGGCCCGTGCCCTCATGAATAATGTACAAGCCTCATGCATATGCAAGCAGGGGCCTGCGGGGTGCTGGAGGAGGGGCAGCTCGGATCCATGTGAATGTGTGTGTGTGAGAGAGTGTGTGTGAGTGTGTGTGTGTAAGTGTGTGTGTGTCCCCTCCTTCACTTCACCCCCACCTCAAGTCTCCGTTAGCACTGAGTGAAGGTGAGTTTGCCAATGGGCATTTGTGAGTGTTTGTGACTGGGTGTGTGTCCGGGGTGTTGTGTCCTGGCAAGGGTGTGAAGGCGGTTGTGCCATGTGGTGGGTGCATGTTGTGTGTGTGAGCCTGCAGCAGCTCCGTGCACCGGGTGGAGCACATGGGACCTAGTGTGATCTGTGGATGTGTGTGAGTCTGAGTGACCCTCAGCAGGGGGCTGTGCGCACATGTGTGTGTTTCTGACCTGAGAGTCAGGGTGTATTAGTGTGCATGGGTGTGAATGTGGAACTCCGTGGAGGAGAAAGGGAGATGGGCTCAGTCATCATCCCGGGCTTCCCCTTGGGGATTTCAACCCCTGCTCAAGCTTTCCCTGTTAGCGCCCCAACTCTGAACACAGACCACGTCCCACACCCCCGTGCCAAGGGTGCACACTGCCAACCGCATGGAAAGAACCCTTGGCCCCTCCAGATACACAAGCGGGACACACACAGCCACGCACCCCAGACACAGACCCTGGGGAAACACACACTCACACAGATTCACAGTGACATTAACAAAGAGAGACAATATGGGCACTTACAAGACAGGCGGCGTGTCTTCTGCACAAAGACACACACCCACAGTCTCGGGCCCCCCCCCCCCCACATAAACCCCTTGATGAACGGAACAGCATCAGACATAGCTCCTCACTCACACGGCGATGCCAGCCCCTGGCACAAACCGAGATGGATAATTGTGGCCTTGGTGACCGATGGACACCCATCATTTTGCCACATGGTGATGTGGCCCTCGGCACAAGTTTTCTGACAAAGACACAACCACAGTCACATCAGACTCACAGGGGACCCTAGAACCCCTGGGCATACTCCCCCTCCCTGCCTGTCTGGGGTGGACACACACACAAAACCCCCATATCCTTGAGGGGGAACTTGATTTCAGAATGTCCATCAGCTATTGCGACGGCTGGGTTCTGGGGTCCCACAGTGCACCCACCCCTTCCTGCCTGCCCTGCCCCCACGTCCCCCGCTGGGGCCCAGAGCCAACCCTCTCCCTGGCCTGGCTGTTTCTCATTGATGCTGCCTGAGAGGAACAAAGCCCCACGCGTAGGGATGGGGGTCTCTCCTGCCCAGACAGGGCCCTTACTTCCCAGCCCCTTACTTCCCAGCCCCTGTGCCCCCAAACCAAGCCAGCGCTTCCACATGTGTCCATATGGACAGGTGGAACTAAAGGGGGTGGGGGTAGGGGTCTGTGTCATGCTGTAAGGACGTGGGAGGCTGTGAAGGTGCTGGGGGACAGCCCCCCCTCTGAGCTGGTATCCCTCACAGGTCCTGGGGATCCATAGCTGGGGGGTCTAGGGGACCCCCACCCAACATTCACCTGGGACACCCAGTGTGTTCCCTGGGATAAGGGACAACACCTCAACCCAAGGTCTAAGGGAATAACGGGGAACCACGTTGGGATGGGGACCCCCAGGACCTCCTCCCTGAGTCAGAACGTGGTGACCGGACCTGACCCAAAAGGACAGGGAGATGGCAGGGAGCCCCTTCCCCATGGCCGTTCGCTCTCAGCGCAGATACCCTTCCATTGGGCACAGGGTGATCTGGGGGCCCCCTCCCCACTGCAGTCCGGCCCGGAATCCTCCATTCAACCGCAAATTGGGAATCCCTACTTAAAATCCTGGGGTGTCTCGGCTGAGATACGGGGGTGCCCTGTTCCAGAGTCCCCCATTCGGCATCTGGGTGTCCTCTTCTTCCCTCCAAACTCGGGGGGCCCCTCCCCTAGCCCTGTTTCCCATTGCTCCCTCCTCAACCCTGAGACCCACCCCCAGCCCGGCCCCCTCCCCACCGGGGGGTAGTCTCCGGATTCCGCGGACAACCTTCCTCCCCAAATGTCTGTTCACCTAGCATTCCCAAGCCCCCTCCCAGTTCGCGCTCCCTCCTCAACCTAGGGCTCCCCTCCCCCGCTTCAGCCCCCTCCCCATTCTGGGGACTTCTCCCTGGTCTCAGGTCCTCTCCCTAATCCTGAGCTCTGTCTCTAATCCCGAAGTCTTCTCCCGCAACACGGCCCCCTCACGGATCCCCCACCTGGCTCCTAGCTCGGACGCATCCCGGGGCGGCCGCCGGGCACAAAGGACGCTGCGCTCCGACTCAGCCAGCTCCGCGCCGGGTCCAGCCCCTGCGCCCTGCGCTCCGCTGGCCCCAGCGCCGCCTCAGTGCTTATAAAGGGGCCGCGAGGGCTCTCTGCGCATGCGCCCCCGCCAGCCCGAGGCCTCTGGCTGCGCGAGGGAGGGGGCTCCCCTGCCTAAAATCCCCACCCCGCCCATTTTTTGGACACTCACCGCACCCAGGAGAAGATGGCATCGATTCTCCTCCCATTCTCTTTGCCCCAGGAACCGCGTTAAACGTCCCCATTATGCCCCAGGATGAGGCCGTCCCATTTTACAGGTGGGGAAACTGAGCCCCAAGGAGGCAAAGTCGCTTCCCAAGGTCACGCACAGAGGCAGAGCTGGGATTCGAACCTCGCCCTGCCTGATTCTCCAGGACTCACGTTCAAAGCAGTTTTGGCTACAATTACTGGTTTACCCCATTTACAGAGAGGAAACTGAGGCACGGACGAGACGGGGAGACTCCTTGTTCACACAGCTGGTAAGAGGCACGCAGGGTGGGAGTCCAGGTGTGTGACACCCCCGAGCTGTTTCCAGCAACTACAGCCAGATTGTATCATTCATTCATTCACCTTTGTCTGATCAGCATTTATGTAGCACACTCTATGGACTGGGTACTGCTGTTGACACATGAATAATTTTGCTTTATGCAGAGGCATAGGCATGTCCCTGCCATGAGACATGAGACCCCAATCTTTTTTTTTTTTTTTCAGACGGAGTCTTGCTCCGTCATCCAGGCTGGAGTACAGTGGCACGATGTTGGCTCACTGCAACCTCCACCTCCCAGGTTCAAGCGATTCTCCTGCCTCAGCCTCCTGAATAGCTGGGATTACAGGCACCTGCCACCACACCCAGTTAATTTTTGTATTTTTAGTAGAGATGTGGTTTCACCATGTCAGCTAGGCTGGTCTCGATCTCCTGGCCTCAAATGATCCGCCCGCCTCAGCATCCCAAAATGCTGGGATTACAGGCATGAGCCACCGCGCATGGCCTTGAATTACACATTTTAAGATGGTGAGTTTTATGTTATCTGTATTTGACCACCATTAAAAATATGGTAATGAGGGCTGGGTTCGGTGGCTCACACCTGTAATCCCAGCACTTTGGGAGGCCAAGGCGGGTGGATCACCTGAGGTCAGGAGTTTAAGACCAGCCTGGCCAACATGGTGAAACCCTTTCCCTATTAAAAATACAAAAATTAGCCAGGCGTGTTGGCAGACACCTGTAATCCCAGCTGCTCAGGAGGCTGAGGCAGGAGAATCGCTTGAACCCAGGAGGCAGAGGTTGCAGTGAGCTGAGACCATGCCATTGCACTCCAGCCTGAGTGACAGAGTGAGACTCCGTCTCAAAAAAAAAAAAAAAAAAAAAAAAGCCATGAGGAGGGAAATGTGCCCAGAGAGGGCAGGCTTTGCCCCTGCCTTCCTTCCTATGGTCGTGGTGTTTCTGTGCTGAGAATGGGCTCGCAGCGCTCCACCCTGGGTCCTATATCTGTGAGTGTGTGTTTAGCATCTCTGAGGGTGCGTGTCCATCTGGTAGGAGGATAGGCAAATGAGGGACAAGATAGCTTCCACAAGGTTATCAAAGAAAGGAGGCCTTGGCCAGGTGCCGTGGCTCACGCCCATAATCCCAGCGCTTTGGGAGGCCAAGAGGACAGATCATTTGAGGTCAGGAGTTCGAGACCAGCCTAGCCAACATGGTGAAACCCCATCTCTAATAAATCAAAATTAGGGTGTGGTGGCGGACGCCTGTAATCCCAGCTACTCGGGAGGCTGAGGCAGGAGAATCGCTTGAACCCTGGAGGCGCAAGTTGCAGTGAGCCGAAATTGGGCCACTGCATTCCAGCCTGGGCAACAGAGTGAGACTCCATCAAAAAAAGAAAAAAGAAGAAGAAAGGAGGCCAAGCACCGTGGCTCATGCCTGTAATCCCAACACTTTGGGAGGCTGAAGCAGGCAGATCACCTAAGGTCAGGAGTTTGAGACCAGCCCAGCCCAGCCAACATGGTGAAACCCTGTCTGTACTAAAAATACAAAAATTAGCCAGGCATGGTGGTGTTCACCTATAATCCCAGATACTCAGGAGGCTGAGGCAGGAGAATCACTTGAACCTGGGAGGCGGAGCGTGCAGTGAACCGAGACTGTGCCACTGCACTCCAGCCTGGGTGTCAGAGCAAGATTCCATCTCAAAAAAAAAAAAAAAGATTATCAAAGAAAGGGTAGGAATGAATGAGGGATAAGGGGGGACCCCAGGTGAGCAAGGGGTAGCCCTGGGGTCCAAGATGATACAGCGGGAAGCTGCACTGACTGTTTGACTCTGTGTCACAGAGGAGAGATGGAGGTCAAGGATCCCAGCTGATGTGAGTGTCTGCAGGTGACAGCTGTGTCAGCAGCACCCAAACAGCATGCAATGACTAGTCGGTGAGGCTGGAGCGTGCTGGGGGGTTGGCTGTGGCTCACACTGGGAAAGACGCTGAGAACAGCTGCGTGACGTGCGTGAGAACCGAGTAGCTCAGCCTCCACAAGTCTGGGGTTCAAACCCCCTCCCTGCCATTCGTAACAATGTGACTCTGAGTGAGCCATCTCATCTTTCTGTGTCTCAGTTTCCCCATCTGAAATGGGGATAGTCCAGGTGCCGGTGGCTCATGCCTGTAATCCCAGCACTTTGGGAGTCAGAGGCAGGAGGATCACTTGAGCCCAGGAGTTCAAGACCAGCCTGAGCAACACAGTGAGACCCCCATCTCTACAAAAAATAACTTAAAAGTTAGCAGGACATGGTGGCACACATCTGTGGTCCCGGCTACTCGGGAGGCTGAGGGGGAAGGATCGCTGGAGCCCAGGAGATTAAAGCTGCAGTGAGTCAAGATTGCATCACTGTACTCTGGTCTGGGTGACACAGTGAGACCCTATTTCAAAAATGAATAAAATAAAATGGGGGGAGGGTGGGCGCGGTGGCTCAAGGCTGTAATCTCAGCACTTTGGGAGGCCAAGGCAGATGGATCATGAGGTCAGAATTTGAGACCAGCCTGGCCAACATGGTGAAATCCCGTCTCTACTAAAATTCAAAATTAGCTGGGTGGGGTGGTGCACACCTGTAATCCCAGCTACTCAGGAGGCTGAGGTAGGACAATCGCTTGAACCCAGGAGGTGGAGGTTGCAGTGAGCCAAGATGGCACCACTGCATTCCAGCCTGGGTGACTGAGTGAGATTCCATCTTGGGAAAAAATTAAATAAATAAATAAATAAAATGGGGGATAATGAATGTCCCTACGTTACCGGTTGCTTGGAGAATGAAATGGGAAGTAAACACACAGGCAGGGACTGCTGTTTATTTTACAGGTGCTGGGGAAACTGAGGCTTAAGGAGCTAGGATCACCTGCCCGAGGATGTACAGAGTGAGTAGAGACCAGGTGGAAGCCAAGGTCTGTGGGCGCAGAGCTGAGCCCCAACCCCACCTATCCTCATCCTTCTGCTTCCCCCGCTTCTCCACTCCTCCCCACCCCTTGCCCCCACCCCCCGGCTCCTCGCTGGTGCCAGGGCTGAGCTTAGAGGGGCTGGCCTGGGGCCCAGGGGCGGGCTGTTGCCGGGGGCTTGAATGAGGCAACCTTGCCTGGGAATCTACTGGGCTCAAAGAGCTATTTATAGGCCTGAGCTGGGATTGGGCACCCCTCCCCAGCCCTGAGTGCCTTCTCTGTCCCCACCACCCCACTGGGGCCCTGGGCCAGGGGCTGCTGCCAGTGGGGGAGGGGTGGGGGATGGTACTGGCAGACCAGAGCAGAGGTGGGGAGGGAGGCTGGACCCTCCAAGAGAGCTGGGTCTCAGGGGTGGACAGTGCCTCCAAAGTGCCTCTGAACATGCCCAAGGTGACACATGGGTAAGTCACACACAATGCCACCAACAACCACTGACACACACAGTCACACCCCAGCCACACCCCAGCCACACTAACAGCACAGGTGGCTCACATGCAACCTCACCTGGCCACACACAGGTCTCACCCACCACACATGACCAAACCTGACCATACACAATGACACCCAGCCATACACAATCATACCTGGTCATGTACAACCACACCCAGCCATACACACCACACCCAGCCATACACAACCACACCCAGCCATGCACAACCACACCCAGCCATACACGCCACACCCAGCCATGCACAACTACACCCAGCCATGCACAACCACACCCAGCCAATGACAACCACATCCAGCCATACACAACCACACCCAGCCATATAAAACCACACTCAGCCATACACAACCACACCCAGCCATATACAACCACACTCAGCCATACACAACCACACCCAGTCATGCACAACCACACCGGGCCACACACAGGTTTCACCAACCATGCACAGGCAAACCTGGCCATATACAATCACACTCAGCCACACACAATCACACTTGGTCGTGCACAACCACACCCAGCCATACACAACCACACTCAGCCATGTACAACCACACCCAGCCATGCACAACCACACCCAGCCATACACAACCACACTCAGCCATGTACAACGACATCCAGCCATGCACAACTACACCCAGCCGTACACAACCACACCCAGCCATGCACAACCACACCCAGCCATGCACAGCCACAATGGGCCACACACAATCACATACACAATCAACCTGGTCAGGCCACACACAACCATACCTGGCCTGGGCCACACACAAGTCACACTTGCTCCACAACCGAAGGCAAAGCTATGAGCTGGGCTGCACCAGTGTCCCTCCACATGCAAACACACCCACTGCTGCTCACACCCACAACACCTTCGCCTTCCTGCCAGCAGCAAAGAGCCTACGTTGGCCCCACATTGCTCACACCCAACCAGGTTTCTAGTCACAGACACACCCACAGGTAGTGAGCACACAACCATGTTCACACCAACACCACCAATGCCACCAACCCCGAGATCTGTAGCCCTCCCAGCCACTGTTACAACAGCCACACACACGCAGCTCCTGGTGCTCCCATACACACCCACCTGAATCCTTTCACACCCAGACACCCCTCCCACTCCCACTGTCACCTCCAGTGGGACCCAGGCTTGCACTGCACCAGGACTCATAACCCCAGCTGCTACTGTGTGAACATCTGTCTCCTCGGAGAGGGGTCCTGATGGGCTCCGGTAGATAAATCAGACCCAGACCTGCCGGATGGGGGTCTCCAGGCTCAGGGAATCCCATCAAACCCTCCCTTGCAGATGCCCCAGGCTAAGACCTTAGGGAAAAGGTTACATCCATCTCCCAGTGGGGAAACTGAGGCTTGAAGCTATCTGAGGGCCATTCCCTGCCTTGTTCCAGGATAATGAAATCATGGACAGAAGGACCTGTTTTCTGCATGGGTGGGGCTGCCTCCCCAGACACCACCAAGGCAGAGAGTCCCCACTGACCCAAACTTGCTGTGTGACTGCCAGCAAGTCCCTGACTCTCTCTAAACCTCCAATTTCTCCCCAGAAAAATGCTAACCCAAGCCCAGTTAGGGGAACTCCAGAGTGAGACTGGGGTTTGCATCCCAGTTCCCCTTGGTGATCTTGGCCAAATGACTTTGCTTTTCTGTGCCTCAGTTTCCCCAAGTGAACCAGAGGAGCTGCTTTTGGACCTTCTAGAGCCCTCCCTGCCCCATTCCCTGGGGTGGGGGTGGGAGCTCTTAGTCTTTCCTCACTCAAGCGAATGAATGGACCACTTTTGGCTGCCCTGCTGGGAGCCCAGAGCTGCTAATTCCCTGGAGAAACAGGAGGCTCTTTCATGCCCAGGCGCCAGTGGGGTGAGGAGGCGGGAAGAGGGTATGGAGCTGGCCTCATACCCGTGGGCAAGGAGGCCGCATGCCAAAGCCAGGAGTGGTGTGGAGAGCCCTGGAGCCATGCATATCCTCACTGGGGGGACTTGGCTAAGTTGATGTGTCCTCAGCTATAAAATGGGAATGACAGGGACCAGCCACAGCAGGTTTAACGAGCCAATGGGTGGCGACAGAACATGGCTTCAAGTCAGACACACGGTGGACTCTCAGTGAAAGTCAGCTACTGTTACTATGTGTCAACCTGAAGAACCCAGAGAGTCCTCCAACAGTGCCGTTAATAGAATTCCCCCCATTTCACAGATGAGAAACTGAGGCTCAGAGAGGTCAAGGTGCTTTTCTAAGGTCACACAGCCAATGAGTGGTCCAGCCAGGATTTGAACCAGATCTGGGCTCTCCAGTGTCCTTGCTCTTTCTAACTTCCTTCCGGGGGTGAGGTTGGGGGCACAGTTTCCTGTCACCTCCAGCCCCAGCCCTGAGACCAGCGAAGTTGGGTTTGGATGGCACCAGACTCTGTCTAAATGCGGAAAGCCCTGGCAGGCAGGGGCTGAAGAGACAGGCCTTCTGCTGGTGACCCAGTTTCCCCGCCAGCCCCCACCCCTGCTGCCTGGGGTGGGTTTGAGCAGACACTAGTAGGATGCCGGAAGGACCATTCCTCCAGCCCTTGAAGAAAGGGGCTGGCTGCCAGACCATTCAGCTAAAGCCAGGAACAACAGCCTCTTGCCAGTGGCTGCTCTGTCTTGGAACCCTCCATTCATGCAGAACGGATGGTGTCCTGCCCTTTCTCCAACACCTTCCATGACTGCTCCGGGCCCAGCAGGATGTGGCTCCACATATTTTATTCAAATTCATGGTCTTTCACCCAACTAGGCCTTGGCTTATGCTAAGCTCCCTGCCTGGGACACCCTCCCCACTCCAGATTTTCTCACCCTTGTGAATTCCTGGCGCCTGACCCCCTATTAAGGTGCAGTTCTAACATCCCCTTTCCCAGGAAGCCCTTCCTCCAGGTAGAGCCCCTGCTCCTCCGGCCCCATCTCTCCCTTGGGGCTAGGAGTGTCTATGTCTACCTCTGTCTTGCCCAGATCAGGGGCTCCTCTGGGACAGGCCTGGAGCTGAGGCCTCTTGCTGTCCCCAGCATCATCCAGCAGAAGGCTGGACATGACAGTGTGACAGTAGAGCTTGCAGGAGGTGTCTAGTGAATCAGTGAACCAAATCTTCAGCTTGGTATCTGAGGCTTTGTTTGGCAAACTCCTGTTCATGCTTCAAAACCCACCTCACAGCCTGGGTGCGGTGGCTCACACCTGTAATCCCAGCACTTTGGGAGGCCAAGGCGGGCAGATCACGAGGTTAGGAGTTCGAGACCAGCCTGGCCAAGATAGCGAAACCCCATCTCTACTAAAAATACAAAAATTAGCCAGGCATAGTGGTGCGCACCTGTAGTCACAGCTACTCAGGAGGCTGAGGCAGGGGAATCACTTGAACCTGGGAGGCGGAGGTTGCAGTGAGCTGAGATCACACCACTGCACTCCAGCCTGGGCAACAAAGTGAGGCTCCGTCTCGAAACAAAACAAAACAGAAACAACAAAAAACACCCGACCTCGCATGCTCCCTCCTCCAAGAAGCCTTCCTTGACGTCCCAGCAGCATTTTCTGGGAAAGACAAACTTGGAGGCCAGGGCTCCTCTGTCCCAACAAGAACAAAAAGGGTTGATGAGGACTTCAGATACTCCCAACATCGTGGCCTTTTCCACAACTCTGCCTTTGGCCTCCGGGAGGCAGTGAAGTTCGGGGATTCCCAGGCTGCATTTAGTGGTTAGGGTAGAGTAGGTTAGAGTAGGTTAGGGTAGCCGTTAGGGTAGAGTAGGTTAGAGTAGGAAGAAAGACATTGTCATAGGAAGTCTCTCTGGCCGGGCGCGGTGGCTTACGCCTGTAATCCCAGCACTTTGGGAGGCTGAGGTGGGCGGATCACTTGAGCCCAGGAGTTCGAGACCAATCTGGGCAACATGGCGAAACCTCATCTCTACCAAAAAACAAACAAACAAACAAACAAACAAAATAGCCTGCCGTGGTGGCGCGCGCCTACTAGTTCCAACTATTCGGGAAGCTGGGTAGGAGGATTGCTGGAGCCTGGGAGGCAGAGGTCGCAGAGAGCCGCGATCCCACCATTGTACTCCAGCCTGGGTGACAGTGAGACCCCACTTCAAAAAAAAAAAAAAAAAAAGGCCGGGCGCGGTGGCTCAAGCCTGTAATCCCAGCACTTTGGAAGCCCCGGCGGCTGGATCACGAGGTCAGGAGATCAAGACCATTCTGGCTAACACGGTGAAACCCCGTCTCTACTAAATATACGAAAAATTAGCCGGGCGTGGTGGCGGGCGCCTGTATTCCCAGCTACTTGGGAGGCTGAGGCAGGAGAACGGCGTGAACCCAGGGGGCGGAGCTTGCAGTGAGCGGAGATCGTGCCACTGCACTCCAGCCTGGGCGACAGTGAGACTCCGCCTCAAAAAAAAAAAAAAAAAAAGGAAGTCTTTCGGATTCCAAAATCAGTCAAAATCAGTGCTCTACACCTTCGGGCGCCGAGGGACAGCGCCCCGTGCGCGCAGCCAGCCTTTTCCCTACAGCTTCAAGGGAACCAAGGTAAATTCAATCATCGAACCCGGGCCCTTTAAGAAGCGAGCATGAAGGGGCGGGGTCGAACCAAACCCCACCTCTGGAGCGTCCGCGGTCGGCGCCTGAATTACAACACGCATGCGCCAAGCCCACGCGGTTCCGGGTCCCAAGATTTGGCTCCAAGAGCTATTCGCAGAGAAACAGCCTCGCACAAAAAGCCACCGCCCCCGAAACCCGCGGGAAATCTGTTTCCTGTGAAAGGCCTGGCCTCCGGGCATTGGCGGTTTCCCTGATCCTCTCTCCCAAATTTTCCGGCAGGGGATTGATCGAGGCGACATTTAGGACTGGGGTGGGCGAGGGAGTGGCGGTTCTCGTCCCAAGTTACAGGTGAGGACGTTCAGGCCAAGGCGTAGCCAAGATCGCGCCGCCCTGTAGCTTGAGGAGGCGCCGGGATTCGAACCAAGGCTGTGCCCAATCCTAAGCCCTGCGAGGTCTTGTGGAACCGACATGACCCACTCTTTGGTTTGTCCAGAGACAGTGAGCAGGTAAGAGTCTGTGGGGACAGGCAGTGGCGAGGCCCTAAGCCTGGGGTCGAGCCCTCAGTGGACAGATCTGGGGGTCAGGCCCTCCGCGGAGCTGAGAGCTGGTCTCAGCCCCTCTCTTCGCCTTGATCCTGGTGCCTCCAGGGTGAGTTCAGTGCTGAATCGCAACACTCGGCAGTTTGGAAAAAAACATCTTTTCGACCAGGATGAGGAGACATGTTGGAACTCAGACCAGGTGAGGCGCCTCCCTCGACCCTCCATCTCTAGGGTGATTCAGATTCAGATCTCATGCCTTGAGAACGTCAGGGGGCCCTCATGGGTGGCCAGGAAAGGAACATGTGCCGAATTTCCTTCTTCCCCTCCATTCCAAGAACTATGTGAATGAGACAGGCATAGCAGGGCTCTGTGCCTGCAGTGAGCTTGCGCCTCAGTTTCCCTGTCTGCTTCCAGGGCCCCTCCCAGTGGGTGACGCTGGAGTTTCCCCAGCTCATCCGTGTCTCCCAGCTGCAGATCCAGTTTCAGGGTGGCTTCTCCAGTCGCCGGGGCTGCCTGGAAGGTACTAGAAGGCCCTGGGTGGCAGGGGTTCCAGGGGTCACCCCAGACACTCATTGCCTTTCTCTGCTGAAGGTTCACAGGGCACTCAGGCTCTCCACAAGATTGTAGATTTCTACCCTGAGGACAACAACTCGCTTCAGATATCCTGCCCCTGCTTCTGGGGTGGGTGGTCTGTGCCTCTGGAAGCTTTGGACTCACCCAAACCCGAATGGGAACCCTGATGTGTGATCTTGAACACGTGACCTCTAGGACTCCACTTTTTCTGTAAAATGGTGCTGATGACCACCTGTTCTGTGTGAGAGGCTTAGAGGGACCTGCAGCTTCCCCAGGTTGCCCACATCGGTGGAGTGTGAGCTGGGTCTGGAAGGGGTGGGGGCCTGCGGGTGGGAAACCAGAAATCACCAGTTTCCCTTGACTGCCCACGCTCACACTTTCCCCATACCAGCTGCTGAAGTGGACCGGCTGAAGGTGACGTTTGAGGATGCCACTGACTTTTTTGGCCGTGTGGTCATCTACCACCTGCGGGTGCTTGGGGAGAAGGTGTGAGACCTCTAGGGGCTGTCTCCTCCAGGAAGCCCTCCGGGAAGCACAGCAAAGTCCCTCATTCTGCACAGAAGGTTTATTGGTTCCTCTTGGGAAGGGTCCCCTCCCACCACCTGTCCAGAAGCTGCCTTTGAAGTCAGTTCTGGGTTTCCCCAGCTCTGGCTGACCATTTTGTTCCCTGAGTGTCTGAGTCCCCGGCAGGCGGCCTTCACTCAGGGTCAGCGGGCACCAGGTTGCTCTGGAAGAGCTTGAGGATGTGGTTCTCGATCACCTGTTGCACTGAGATGGGGCAGGGAAAAGGTGGGCTGTGAGCTTGAATCGGGAGTGGGGTGGAGGCACAGGCCAACCTGCGCTCTCCCCTTAGGGGACAAACAGGGACCCTTGCAGAGACCTGCATTACAGAGCAAAGCTGGGAGAACCGAGGACTCACCCCAGGAACCTCAACTTCCCCTAAGTTTGTAAAAATGCACTTTTGTAGCTTTTCAGAATTAATATAAAAATATTTCCTACCAAGCAAAATGTGTGAATTGTGACTTTCATGAAAAGATGAGCCTGGGCATGGTGGCTCACACCTATAATCCCAGCACTTTGGGAGGTCCAGTGGGGAGGACTGCTTGAGCTCAGGAATTTGAGGCCAGCTTGGGCAACAGAGCAAAACGCTGTCTCTACCAAAAAAATTTAAAAATTAGGCTGGGCTTGGTGGCTCACACCTGTAATCCTAGCACTTTGGGAGGCCAAGGTAGGTGGATCACTTGAAGTCAGGAAAGGCCAGCCTGACCAACATGATGAAACCCCATCTCTACTAAAACTACAAAAATTAGCCAGGTGCAGCCGGGTGTGGTGGCTCATGCCTGTAATCCCAGCACTTTGGGAAGCTGAGGCGGGTGGATCACCTGAGGTCGGGAGTTTGAGATCACCTGACCAACATGGAGAAACCCTGACTCTACTAAAAATGCAAAAAATTAGTTGGGCATGGTGGTGCATGCCTGTAATCCCAGCTACTTGGGAGGCTGAGGCAGGAGAATTGCTTGAACCTGGGAGGCGGAAGTTGCAGTGAGCCGAGATCACGCCATAGCACTCCAGCCTGGGCAACAAGAGCGAAACTCCATCTCAAAAAAAAAAAAAAAAAAAAAAAAAAATTAGCCAGGTGTGGTGGCAGGCACTTGTAATCCCAGCTATTCAGGAGGCTGAGGCAGGAGAATTGTTTGCCTGGGAGGCAGAGGTTGCAGTGAGCCGAGATTGTGCCACTGCACTCCAGCCTGGGTGACAGAGCGAGACTCTGTCTCAAAAAATAAATAAAAAAGATTTTAAAAATTAGCTGGGTAGAGTGGTACATGCCTGTAGTCCCAGCTACTCAGGAGGCTGGGGAAGAAGGATCACTTGAGCCCAGGAGTTTGAGACCAGCCTGGGCAACATAGCGAGACCCTGTCTCTTCTAAAAAAACAACAACACAGCCAGGCGTGGTGGCTCACACCTGTAATCCCAGCACTTTGGGAGGCCAACACAGGCGGATCACAAGGTCAGGAGTTCAAGACCAGCCTGACCAACATGGTGAAACCCCGTCTCTACTAAAAATATAAAAATTAGCCGGGCGTCATGGTGTGCACCTGTGGTCCCAGCTACTCAGGAGGCTGAGGCAGGAGAATCGCTTGAACCTGGGAGGTGGAAGTTGCAGTGAGCCGAGATGGCGCCATTGCACTCCAGCCTGGGTGACAGCGCGAGACTCCATGTCCAAAAAAAAAAAAAAAAAAAGCAACAACAAAAAATTAGCCAGGCATGGTGACGAATGCCTGTGGTCCCAGCTACTCGGGAGGCTGTGGTGGGAGGATCACTTGAGCCTGGGAGATCGAGGCTGCAGTAAGCTGTGCCTGCACCACTTCATTCCAGCCTGGGTGATAGAGCAAGACTTTCTGCCTCGAACAAAAAAACAAACCCCCCGAAAACATGAGGAGGGAAGAGGAATGATTTCTGTCCCAAACACAGTAAAACTCTGAAGGAAGGAGGGGGATATTTCCTAAGCACCCCATCTCTACCATGACCCCAGGGGGTCGGTTCAATTGGGATCTCCCCATTTTATGGATGGGGAAGTTGGGGTCCCATTGTGACAGAGAAAATGGAGTCAAACTGGGGTCTGCCTATGGCCCCTGTTCAAACCCACTGCCCGCCACGGAGAGGGATGGCCTCTGTGGCTCTGTGCACTATGGCCTGGTCGCCTACCCCTTGGTGTCCTCACTGCCAGGCCTCCGCAGGGGCCACTCCTCCCACCTGGATGCCATTCTCCCTCCCTTCAGGTCCCCCAGAATCCTTCCCTGACCTCCCCATCCCAGGGCTGGGCCCACCTCACTTCTCGGGGTCTCAACCTTAAGACACCTTCCTCCAGGAAGCCTCTCTGACTTCTGTTGGCCACTTTGGGGCTCTTTGATGAGAGGCCCCTCTTTCGGCCTCTCATGCCTATGTGTCCCCCATCATGGCCACAGCCACTGACACCCATTGTCCTCCCTACCCCAGCACATGTGGAGCCCCAGGAGCCAGGACTGGGATGTTCCCAGGCGGGATACACAGCAGTGCTCAACACCTGTCAACACACTCTCGCTGCCGGCGTATGACCACTGAAGGGGTGTCCCATGTACCCCTTTATGGTCACCCTGCCTATGGAAGGGACCCCACCCCTGCTCTGTGTGTCTCAGGCTGACCTTTCCGGTATCCCAGGGCCACGGCAAGGTCCATCGGGGTGTAGCCAGAGTCGGCTTCGGTGGTGAGGTCAGCGCCTCGGGCTGCAAAGGAGAGGGGAGGGCGCTGGAGGGTGGGGCCTGGGAGTCCAGAATGGGGTCTGGGGACCTGGGAGATCCCATGGCACCCCTCATTCCCCACAATGCAGCCGTGGGTCTGCCCGTTGCCCATGTGGCCTTTGACAAGGGTCCAACCTCTGCTATCTTGGTCTCCACTGAAGAACGTGGCTGAAGGGTCTCTGAACCATGGAGGATGGAGGTGCTTAGCCTCTTGGCCAGATCCTAAACCCAGACCCCGACTCCCGTGTGGTCCTACCACCTCCTCCCCTCTGATCCATCCTCCGAGAAGAGCAGGCAGGGACTACCTGCTCCAAGAACTCTTCAAGCAACACTTGGGCGTCTCCCTGCCCTCAGGATTCCCGCAGGGCCCGCTGGAGTGCTGGGGCCCCCAGGGCCACTCCCGACTCCCACTCACCCAGCAAGGCCTCAACGCATTTCACGTGGTTCCCGCGCACAGCGTACAGCAGTGGCGTCCCTCCATTCTGTCGTGGGTAGGGGCAGGAGAAACCAAAGGTTTACCTCTTCCTCATTCTCAAAATGCCTTGTACTCTCTGGCCTCCAGTTGAACGTGGTTCCTCCTGCTCATCACTGGGCCCATCTCACTTTCTGGGGTCTCAAGCTTAGACACCTTCCTCCAGGAAGACCTCTCTGATTTCCCTTGCCCACATGGGGCTCTTGTAGCCACCTGTGCATCTGCCATCGCAGCGCAGTTCACTGCATCTCAGCTGCCTGTTTCCATGTCTGCCTTCCCTGCATGGGGAGCTCTGCTCTGTGAGGCTGGGAATGGGGCTGTCTCGTGTTCTCGGCACCTAGAGCAGGCCTGCACCTTTC
Organism: Homo sapiens; assembly: GCF_000001405.40. Lineage (NCBI taxonomy): Eukaryota > Metazoa > Chordata > Mammalia > Primates > Hominidae > Homo > Homo sapiens. The sequence continues at coordinate 19,198,307 of NC_000019.10, read as the reverse complement.
AAGTACTCTGTGAACATTTGAGGCAGGAATGAAGGCCAGGAGGCTGAGAGGTCCTGGGGATGGGCAGTCCCTCACCCAATCATAGATGTTGATGTCCACGTCACGCTCCAGCAGCAGCCCCACAATGTCTGTGTAGCCGCCTGTGCTGGCCAGCGACAGGGCGCTCTCTCGCTCTTTTGCCAGGATGTGGGGGTCGGCACCCTGCAGGGAGAAGAAGGGACAGTGGTAGGATGGATTGGGGCATAACCAGGAATCCTGGGGTACCCACAGCAGCCGCATCTTTTTTTTTTTTTTTGGAGATAGAGTCTTGCTCTGTTGCCCAGGCTGGAGTGCAGTGGCGCAATCTCGGCTCACTGCTACCTCCGCCTCCCAGGTTCACACAGTTCTCCCACCTCAGCCTCCAGAGTACCTGGGATTACAGGCACCCACCACGACGCCTGGCTAATTTTTGTATTTTTTTAGTAGAGACAGGGTTTCACCCATGTTGGCCGGGCTGGTCTTGAACTCCTGACCTCAAGTGATCCACCCGCCTCGGCCTCCCAAAGTGCTGGGATTACAGGCATGAGCCACTGCACCCAGCCAGCAGCCGCATCTCAAAGACAAGGCGCCAGCAGACACAGCCAAAACCCCAGCCCACCCTAAGGCCCCCGGGAACCCCCCAGCTGCCCAGCTGGGCTGGGACGCACCCACTCCAGCAGGAAGCGAACGGTCTCAATCTCTCCAAAGGCGGAGGCCCAGATGAGGGGGGTGAAGCCGCGCTCGTCTGGCTTGTTGACGAGGTTGTCACCTGGCAGGAGGAGGCGGGCAATACCACCAGGCTGCACCCCTGCCCCCTATCCCCAGTGCTGCCAAATGGGGACGAGGTGGGGGGCTGGGGTTAGACAGGGGAATGAGGGGGAGCGTATGTTGATGGACATACATGAACACGGTCACACACACAGTTAGATACAATCATACACGTGGACACTCACAGGTCACGTCATGAGTGGGTATGGACACCCATATGCACACACCAGCCAGGTGCAGACATGCCAGCACATGTGTGTGGACACGCACCTTTCCGCAAATGCTCCTTCAGCTGGTCCAGCTCCCCCTGTGCTGCGAGCTGGTGGATGGACAGGGCTGGGGCAGGACAGAGGCAGAGTCCTCACTCATCCCCTTGCTTCTCTGTGCCTCAGTTTACCCTCTGTCCACGATTGCTCCTCACAGGCCCTCCCACCCTCCTACTCCTCTCCTTGTTGGGGACCGTGGGCCCACTCACAGTCTAGGGTGGCCGGCAGAGCTGACACCTCGTTCCCTCGCTGCCGGTTGGTGAGAGTGGTGGAGTGCTTCAGGGAGCTGCCTGCTGGGAAACAGACAACAGGCGTCAGTTTCCCCTCAGTAGATGTCTCTGAGGCTTCAGGACAGAAGCCCATCTGTTTTTTTTTGTTGCTGTTGTTGTTTGAGATGGAGTCTCCGTCTGTCCCCCAGGCTGGAGTACAGTGGCGTGATCTCGGCTCACTGCAACCTCTGCCTCCTGGGTTCAAGCGATTCTTGTGCCTCAGCCTCCCGAGTAGCTGGGATCATAGGCGCCCACCACCACACCTGGCTAATTTTTGTATTTTAAGTAGAGACGGGGTTTCGCTATGTTGGCCAGGCTAATTTCAAACTCCTGACCTCAAATCATCCACCTGCCTCAGCCTCCCAAAGTGCTGGGATTATAGGCATGAGCCACCACACCCAGCTATTGGGGTTTTTTTTTTTTTTGAGACAGAGTCTTGCTCTGTTGTCCAGGCTGGAGTGCGGTGGTGTGATCACAGTTCACTTCAGCCTCAACCTCCTGGGCTCAAGCCAACCTCCCACCTCAGCCTCCTGAGCAGCTGAAACTACAGGTGCCACCATACCCAGCAAATTAAAAATATATATATATTGGTAGAGATGGAGTCTTGCTCTGTCGCCCAGGCTGGTCTCAAACTCCTGGGCTCAAGCAATTCTCCTGCCGTGGCCTCCCAAAGTGCTGGGATTACAGGCATGAGCTACCATGCTACTGCCTTCGGTATCTCCCTGGGGTCTTGGAGCTACCAAAGGCAGTGCCTGGGACTCCACCATTCACTCACTCTACTCTCTTGAATACCCAGGGTGCATCTTTCTCCTCCCTGCCTGGCAATGTTCTGAGCAAACAAGACATAGTTTTTGCCCTCTAGGGAGTCGGGGGTCAAGTAGGTGCATCAGACATAGAGAAATAATAAAAAACTTCAAGTTGAAATAAGTGTTCAAAAGAACTTAAGGCCGGGCACAGTGGCTCATGCCTGTAATCCCAGCACTTTGGGAGGCTGAGGTGGGTGGATCACCTGAGGTCAGGAGTTTGAGACCAGCCTGACTAACATGGTGAAATTCCACCTCTACTAAAAACACAAAATTAGCCATGCATGGTGGCAGATGCCTGTAATCCCAGCTACTCGGGAGGCTGAGGCAGGAGAATCGCTTGAATCCAGGAGGTGGAGGTTGCAGTGAGAGAGATCACGCCACTGCACTCCAGCCTGGGCAACAAGAGTGAGACTCCATCTCAAAAAAAAAAAAAAAAAAAAAAATTTAAAAGCAGGTAGAAGAGGATGAAAAGAACGGAGCACAAGGAATAAGTCCTTCTTAGACAAGGTGGTAACAGGAGGGCCTCCCCAAGGTGACACCACCGAGATCTTAGGAAGTCAAAGAAATCCGCTACAGGGACTGGGCGCGGTGGCTCACGCCTGTAATCCCAGCACTTTGGGAGGCCGAGGCGGGCAATCACCTGAGGTCAGGAGTTCGAGACCAGCCTGGGCAACATGGCAAAACTCCATCTCTACTAAAAACACAAAAATTAGCTGGATGTGGTGGTGCATGCCAGCTACTTGGGAGGCTGAGGCAGGAGAATCACCTTAACCCAGGAGAGGGAGTTGCAGTGAGTCAAGATAGTGCCACTGCACTCCACCCTGGACAACAGAGCAAGATTCTGTCTCAAGAAGAGAGGGGATCCAGGAGGCGTCTCGAGAGTGGGGAGAGGGGAAAGGAGGGGAGGGGAGGCGAGGGGAGGGGAGGGAGCCTGGGCAACAAAAGCAAACCTCCATTTAAAAAAAAAAAAAAAAACGGACTGTAGTCCCAGCTACTCGGGAGGCTGAAGCAGGAGAATGGCGTGAACACGGGAGGTGGAGCTTGCAGTGAGCCAAGATTGCGCCACTGCACTCCATGCACTCCAGCCTGGGCGACAGAGCGAGACTCCATCTCAAAAAAAGAAAGAAAGAAAGAAAAAAAAAACGGAGGCGGGAAGGGAGGGAGGGGAGGGGAGTCAGCTATAGGAAGAAGTGTAGGAAGAGCATTCCAGACAGGAGTGGCAGCAACAAAGGTCGTGGGAGGGAACTAAATTAGGCATATTCTTGGACTCCAATCAAAAATAAATCCTCAGTTCCTCAGTAAGTAAAACAGGATGACCATCTGACCCAGTAATTTCACTCCTAGCTATCTACCCTCAAAGAGTTAAAAACAGGTGTGAAGGGCCGGGCACTGTGGCTCACACCTGTAATCCCAGCACTTTCGGAAGTGGAGGCCTGCAGATCACTTGAGCCCAGGAGGTGGAGACCAGCCTCCCAAAAAAAAAAAAAAAATTAGCCAGGTGTGGTTGCATGCCTATAGTCCCAGCTCCTAGGGAGGCTGAGTGATGGCTTCAGCCCAGGAAGTTGAGGCTGCAGTGAACTATGATTGCATCACTGCACTCCAGCCTTAGTAACAGAGCGAGACCCTGTATCAAAAAACAAAAACAGGCCGGGCACAGTGGCTCATGCCTGTAATCCCAGCACTTTGGGAGGCCGAGGTGGGCGGATCACCTGAGGTCAGGAGTTCAAGACCAGCCTGGCCAACATGGTGAAACCCCGTCTCTACTAAAAATACCCAAAAAATTAGCTGGGCGTAGTGGCGGAAGCCTGTAATCCCAGCTACTCAGGAGGCTGAGACAGGAGAATCAGTTGAACCCAGGAGGCAGAGGTTGCAGTGAGCTGAGATCACGCCATTGCACTCCAGCATGGGCAACAAGAGCAAAACTCCATCTCAAAAAACAACAAAACAAAACAAAACAAAAACGAAAGCAAGACACAGGTTCCATGTGAGGCCTGACATTCCATCATCATGGAATCCCAGAGGGCTAATCCCAGAGGAGGTATCCTACCCTGTGGAGAGGAAACACTGGCATCCGGTTCAGGATTCACAGGCTCAGGGGTGCAGGGAAAGAGACTGAGGACCACAGTGTCTGAGCCATCTGCAGCCTCCTCTCCGGGGTCTTCAGGGTCCCCAAGTTCTGAGGCAGGGGTCTGCTGGGTCTGGATGAGGTCTTCTGCAGGCTGGGTAAGCTCCATGGGGAAAGCTGGCGGAGGTGTCAGAAGGGGAGAGATGACAATAATTATCAACAGTTATAATAAAGTAGGCACCGACTGCATACCTAGCCTTGCACTGTGAGGGTGGGTAAACTGAGGTCCAGGTTAATTACCAGAGCCAGGGAAATGAAAACCAGAGTCCAACTGCTTTCGAGGTCTACCATTCCCCACCACCAAAGCACCTACAATGTGCAATGTTTAAGAGCCTGGGCTCTGGCAGGGCACAGTGGCTCACGGCTGTAATCCCAGCACTTTGGGAGGCCGAGGAGGGTGGATCATGAGGTCAGGAGTTCGAGACCAGGCTGGCCACCATGGTGAAACCCCATCTGTACTAAAAATACAAAAATTAGCCAAGCGCGGTGGCGGGCGCCTGTGATCCCAGCTACTCGGGAGGCTGAGGCAGAATTGCTTGAACTCGGGAGGTGGAGGTTGCGGTGAGCAGAGATCGCACCACTGCACTGTAGCTGGGGCGACAGAGCAAGACTCTGTCTCAAAAAAAAAAAAAAAAAAAAAAAAGAAAGGAAAAAAAAGCCGGGGCTCTGGGGTCAGCTGTCTGGGTTCGAATCCCTCAATTTATAGGCCGTGAGAACTTGGGCACGTGACTTAACCTTTGAGCCTCAGTTTCCTCCACGACAAAATGTGGAAATGAGACCTACAACGAATTATGTCTGTACATAGCTTATCGGGGGATCTGCTAAGCGTGGAGCTCAATAAATATTCGCTATGGTTGTTGGGAGGGGCTCCCCATAATGAGTGACGGCTCAACAAAGGTGCGATTGGTCCCAGTCCCACCCGAGCCTCCTAAATCGATCCAGGAGGTCCACTCACCTCCCCACGAGCCTCCTCTGTCCCCCCGCGCCGAAAGCCCAGTTCTCTCAAAACTTGGGGGCCCAAGTCACAAACTTTTCTCTTCCAATGGATATAGCAGGAGGCAAACTGGAGACCGGACCCTCAGCGATCTGGCTTCCTCTGCCGGGACAGAAAGCAACTTGATACTCGACCGCTACCCCCACCCCAGAGCTCCCCCACTGCGCTTGCGCACCCCCGCCCCCCAAAAGTGAGGAAGGGCCCGGGCAGTAAGTGCTGCCTCTGGCCCTTTAAGACTTAGGGGAGGGCGTGGGTTCCGCTGGGGTCCTGGGAGGGCAGTTGCGCCTGCGCCTTCTTTTCCCCTCCTCACCGACTCGGAGGGAATGGGCGGGGCCTAAAGGGCTCTGAGAATTTCACTACGCCTGCGCCCGCTCACCTTTACCCTGCCCACAGATTTTTCCAGAGGGAGCCAATTGGCTCCGGCTTCGGGTAGATGGGCGGGGCTATCTCAAGAAGAAGAAGTAGGGGAAGTACGCGGGGCGTCTGGAACTTAAAGGGGCAGCGTACCTTGGCCGTCCCGTTCCACAACAAGGTCCCTTCTGCGGTCTCAAAGGCTTATAAGCAAGGGCGGGGGCAGAGGGCTAAAGAAGGGAGTTTTTGCGGCCCGAGTGGGTAATGCGTGGAGGACTCCCCCAACTCGTCTCTCAAGGAAAAGGGGGTTCAGAAAGGGAGAGAGTTCTTCCCCCTCTCCTGCCTGGGTGTCGCTCCACCAGCCTCCTGGCCGTCGCGCCCCCTCCTCACTGCGCCACCCCCGGGTGTGCCTCCTTCCCTGCGTCTCACACAGCCCCTTTCTTGTCCGCAAAGACTGAGGAGCGGGGAGGGCGGGCCCTCTGACACCGGAACAGGAGCCGTGCGGCGTCCGGTTTCAGCAGGGAAGGCTTAGGCGGGCGTCCCAACCTCCGGGCTTCCGGTGCCGTTTCCCGGTTCGCTCGGCCGCGGTCGCTATGGAGGAGCCGGAGATGCAGCTCAAGGGGAAGAAAGGTGGTGCGGGCCTGCGGGCGGGACAGAGGGGGCCGGTAACTTGTGGAGGGGCGGCCTGACAAAGGCCGGGCGCGGAGGGACCGTGCGAGGAGCAGTGATTGAACTGCCGTCCAATCCCAGCTCTGCCGCTGACTAGTTTTGAAACCTGTAGAAAGGCTCCGTGTCTGCTTTAATTACCGGTCCCCCCAGGATTGTTTCAAGAATTCAGTAGCTGAGGCTGGGAGTGGTGGCTTTGTAATCCCAGCACTTTGGGAGGCCTAGGCGGGAGGATCGCTTGAGCCCGAGACCAGCCTAGGTGACATAGTGAGATCTCGTCTCTAAAAAAATACAAAAATTAGCCGGGCGTGGTGGCGCACGCCTGTGGTCCCAGCTACTTGGGCGGCTAAGGTGGGAGGATTGCTTGAGCCCGGGAGGTCAAGGCTGCACTGCAGTGGGCTACGGTCGTGCCACTGCACCCCCAGCCTGGGTGACAAGTGAGACCCTGTCTAAAAAAAAAAAACTCAACAACCTGATATTTGTAATGCATTGGAAGAATCCCCGGGGCGTAGTAATCGCTGTGCGTCTTGTTTCCTTTTTTTTTTTTTTTTTTGAGACAAGGTATCACACTGTCGCCCAGGCTGGGGTGCGGTGGCGCGATCATGGCTCACTGTAGCCTCGATCTCTCTGGCGCGGGCGATCCTCTTGCCTCAGCTTCTCCAGTAGCTGGGACTACAAGTGCACACCACCACATCAGGCTAATTCTTTAATTTTTTTTTTTTTTGACGGAGTCTCGCTCTGTCACCCAGGCTGGAGTGCCGTGGGGGGATCTCAGCTCACTGCAACCTCAGCCCCCTGAGTAGCTAGGATTACAGGCACACACCCCCATGCCCAGCTAATTTTTTTGTATTTTTAGTAGAGACGGGGTTTCACCTTGTTGCTCAGGCTAGTCTCGAACTCCTGACCTCGAGTGATCCACCCACCTTGGCCTCCCAAAGTGCTGGGATTACAGGTGTGAACCACTGCACCCAGCTAATCCCCTATACTTTAAATCACCCTAGATTACTCACATCTAGAATACATAATACAGGCCTACACATCACTTCATTCACATGGATTCAAAGAAGTGCTTCGTGTAGGGCAGATTGAAGTTTTGCTTTTTGAAACTTTGTGGAATTTTTTTTTTCCTATTTTCCATCCACGGTTGGTTGAATCCACAGATTCGGGAACCATGGATAACGGAGGGCATGAGTATGAGGCATGAGCCACCGTGCCTTGTCTGTTATGCTCACCTTTCTTCTTCTTTTTTTTTATTTGAGACGGAGTTTTGCTCTTGTTGCCAAGGCTGGAGTGCAATGGCGTGATCATGGCTCACGGCAACCTCCGCCTCCCGGGTTCAAGTGTTTCTCCTGCCTCAGCCTCCCGAATAGCTGGGATTACAGGCATGCACCACCATGCCTGGCTAATTTTGTATTTTCAGTAGAAACGGGGTTTCTCCACGTTGGTCAGGCTGGTGTCGAACTCCCAACCTCAGGTGATCCTCCCGCTTCGGCCTCCCAAAGTTCTGGAATTACAGGCGTGGGCCACCGCCCCTGGCCGTTATGCTCACATTCAAAGCGAGGAGGCCTATCTGGTAAGAGGTCACACAGTTTGGAGGTGGCAGGCTGGGCTCTGCCACTCAAGGCACAGTGGTGAGATGGAGAGACTTGTGTTAGCCTCCTTTGACTCCCAGACACGCCTGGGTTCTCTCTCCTGAGCAGTCACCCTGGTGATGGCATTGGATTCATCTCTGTAGCAAACTTTGAGGCTGGTGCTGTTATTCTTTTTTTGTGGATGAGGAAGCTGAGGCTCAGAGAAGCTCTGCTCTCCCAAGTCCAAGCTTTTAACTTTTCCTGTGAACATGTAACCTAATCAGTTGAAATTGGTATTAAGAGAAAGGAACAAAATGCCTGCCAAGGTCCTCCGTGAGGTGGAGGGGTCATCTTTTAAGCTTGGTAGTCAGGGAGGGTCTTGCCCAGGAGGTGACATTTGAGCAGACCTGAGGGATGAAGGAGAGCCAGTGACGGAATGGTGTCTCCAGGTGGGAATACCAAGTGCAAAGGCCTTGAGGTGACCAAGTGTTTAGAGCTCTGCTGTAATGAATAAAGGAGCAACTGGTCACATACGGGCATTTAATTTTTTTTTTTTTGGGACAGAGTCTCACTCTTTTGCCCAGACTGGAGTGCAGTGGTATGATCATGGCTCACTGCAGCCTCCACTTGTCAGACCCAAGCAGTCCTCCCACCTCAGCCTCCTGAGTAGCTGGGACTACAGGTATAGATCACCATGACCAGCTTATTTTTGCAATTTTTTATAGAGGTGGGGTTTCGCCATGTCTCCCAGGCTGGTCTTGAACTCCTAGGCTGAATCCATCCTCCTGCCAAAGTGCTGGGATTACAGGCGTGAGCCACCGCACCCGGCGTTGGTCTCAAATTCTTATCCTCAAGTGATCCTCCTACCTTGTCCTCTCGGGCAGTGAGAAAGTTCTGGGCAGTGCTGGGAGGTCCAAGGAAGAGCCAGGGGTGGAGGGCAAGGAAGGCAGGGAGGTCAAGAGCAGCCAGAACATGCAGGGCAAGAAAGGCGGATTTTATTCTCTGGCAGGTGGGAGCTATGGAAGAGTTTAAAGCAAGGGTGGGAATAGATGATTTGTTCATTTGGAGTTTGCCTCACGTGCTGCATGGAGGTTGAACTGTTGGCAGCAGGGGAAGCAGAGAGGCCAGGGAGAAGGTGGATCTGGCATCCAGGCAGGAGATGGCCGTGCCTCGCTGTGCCTGGACCGGTGCGGGCAGTGTGGTATAATAGAACAGGTGAGACTGGAACCATCAGGATCTGCCCAAGAATGGGACAGGAAAGGCGGGCCCTGCTGGCTGGCTGGGAATGCCGTTGTTGAAACAGACCCTGTAATGAGGATTTGCGTGCAATTAATTTATCAGGGCCGGGCGGTGGCTCACTCCTGTAATCCCAGCACTCTGGGAGGCCGAAGTGGGCAGATCACTTGAGGTCAGGAGTTCGAGACCAGCCTGGCCAACATGGTAAAACCCCATCTCAAATAAAAATACAAAAATTAGCCAGGCGTGGTGGCGGGTGCCTGTAATCCCAGCTACTCGGGAGGCTGAGGCAGGAGAATCACCTGAACCCGGGAGGTGGAGGTTGCAGTGAGCCGAGATTACACTACTGCACTCCAGCCTGGACAACAGAGCAAGACTCTGTCTCAAAAACAAGAAAAAAAAAATTTCATCAGGAGACACCTGCAGGGGAGAAGGGGAAACAGGGCAGGGCTGGCTGGTGAGGAGGCTGAGCGAGGGGCACCTCAGGTAAAATCTGCAGAGGGAGGCCTCATCCTGGGCCTGCACAGGAGCCCAGGGGGATGTTAGGCTCTGGGTTGTTCAGTGCCCAGCGAGGGACACAGGTTTCCATATCTCTCACTGGTGAGTGGCAGCTGAGGCCCTCCTGGGATGTGAACTTCCAGGCACTTTCAGGTCCTGTGGGCATGCTCTGAAGAGTCCCGAGTGTGGTCACGGGGGCAAAAAGAATGCCGGGAAGTGCAGTAGGCAGCAGTGTCCACTACCGGTGGGTTTGGGAGGGAAAGATGAGAAGAGTTCACTGGGGGCCAGGCACAGTGGCTCATGCCTATAATCCCAGCACTTTGGGAGGCTGAGGCAGGAGGATCACTTGAGACCAAGAGTTCAGGACCAGCCTGGGCCACATAGCAAGACCTTGTCTCTATTTTAAAAAATGAGCCGGGCGCGGTGGCTCATGCCTGTAATCCCAGCACTTTGGAGCCCGAGGCAGGCGGATCACGAGGTCAGGAGATCGAGACCATCCTGGTAACACAGTGAAACCCCGTCTCTACTAAAAAATACAAAAAGTTAGCCGGGCGTGGTGGCGGGTGCCTGTAGTCCCAGCTACGCGGGAGGCTGAGCCGGGAGAATGACGTGAACCCAGGAGGTGGAGCTTGCAGTGAGCCAAGATTGCCCCACTACACTCCAGCCTGGGCGACAGAGTGAGACTCCATCTCAAAATAATAATAAATAAATAAATAAATAAATGAAAAAACTAGCCAGGCATGGTGGTTTGCACCTGTAGTTCTAGCTCCTCGGGAGGCTGAGGCGTGATGATGCCTTGAGGCTGGGAGTTTCGAGGGTGCAGTGAGCTGTGATCACACCACTGCACTCCAGCCTGGGCAACAGAGCGAGACCCTGTCTCTAAAAAAAAAGTTCAATCAAGCTGGCCAGGCGCGGTGGCTCAAGCCTGTAATCCCAGCACTTTGGGAGGCCATGGTGAGCGGATCACGAGGTCAGGAGATCGAGACCATCCTGACCAACATGGTGAAACCCTGTCTCCACTAAAAATACAAAAATTAGCTGGGCGTGGTGGTGCATGCCTGTAATCCCAGCTACTCAGGAGGCTGAGGCAGGAGAATCACTTGAACCAGGGAGTCGGAGGTTGTGGTGAGCCGAGATTGCACCACTGCACTCCAGCCTGATGACAGAGCAAGACTCTGTCTCAAAAAAAAAAAAAAGAAGTTTACTCGTTATGAACTCATCACTCATTATGTCCTCTCATTAATGTCCTCTTTTTTTTTTTTTGAGATGGAGTTTTGCTCTTGTTGCCCAGGCTGGAGTGCAATGGCATGACGTCAGCTCACTGCAACCTCCACCTCCCAGATTCAAGTGATTTCTCCTGCCTCAGCCTCCAGAATAGCTGGGACTACAGGCGCCCGCCATCATGCCTGGCTAATTTTTGTATTTTTAGTAGAGATGGGTTTTACCATGATGGCCTGGCTGGTCTTGAATTCCTGACCTCAGGTGATCTGCCCACCTCAGCCTCCAAAGTGCTAGGATTACAGGCGTGAGCCACCGCACCCGGTCTCATTAATGTCCTCTTGAGTGAGCCCTGCTGTGACCACTTCCTCCAGCCTGTCATGGGCCAGGAGTGACCTAGCTGCGGAGGGACACGCCAGATGCCCCCTTTGCTCTGGCTGGGCTCAACACTTGAGCAATGAGGAGGCTGACGCTTTGTCTCCCCACACCCGCCCCATCCCTACCACCTGTATCTAGTCACGGACAAGTTCACTGAGAGCGTCTACGTCCTGGCCAACGAGCCATCCGTGGCCCTGTACCGGCTGCAGGAGCATGTGCGTCGCTCCCTCCCCGAGCTGGCCCAGCACAAGGTGAGCTGGGGCCTGCTGGGAGGAGCAGGGGCTGTCAGGGCAGGAGTCAAGGCTGGGACACCAGCAAGGAGGCATGTGGTGGCAAAGCCAGGTCAGAGGCGTGGTGGACAGATCTGGGATAGATTTTGAAGGAGATGGCAAGATGTGTGTATTAGTTCATTCTCATGCTGCTATCAGGACATAGCCAAGACTGGGTAATTTATAAAGAGGTTTAATTGACTCACAGTTCAACAGGGCTGGGGAGGCCTCAGGAAACTTAGAATCATGGCAGAAGGGGAAGCAAACATGTACTTCCTCACATGGCAGCAAGAAGGAGAAGTATGAGTGCCCAGTGAAGGGGGAGGCCCCTTATTAAAACCACAAGATCTCGTGAGAACTCACTTATCAGGAGAACAGGATGAGGGGAACCACCTCTATGATTCAGTTGTCTCCACCTGGTCCCTCTCACAACACATGGGGATTATGGGAACTACAATTCAAGGTGAGATTTGGGTGGGGACACAGTCAAACTATACTATTCTGTTACAGTTATGACCTGCATGGCAAGGAGGCAGCCGTCTGACTATCTAAGGGAAGGATGTGCCAGGCAGGGGGAACAGCCTGTGCAAAGGCCCTGAGGCATGGTGGCCAGGTGTTCACAGAAAGCCCAGACCTGTGAGGGAAGGGAGTTGCAGGAGGAAAGGTCTCTGCTTCCACCATGAGGACTCAGGAGAGCCCCAACCAAGAGAGCTGGGAGGAAGGCCCTCTAGGTGGGGGTGGCCTCCCTTGCCAAATATCTCCTGCGCCCCCTACAGGCAGACATGCAGCGTTGGGAGGAGCAGAGCCAGGGAGCCATCTACACTGTGGAGTACGCCTGCAGGTGAGCGCCACAGCCTCCCCGCTGCAGGGCCACCTTTTGCTGCTCTGGCCTCCTGGGCATTCAGGGGCATCCCAGCCAACTGCCCAGTAAGCCCCACCCTGCCAGGCCTACCCGAGTGGGTGTATGGGGTCTGTACCACGATTCACTTGGCCAGGGCCCCAGGTGGGTCTCTTCCCTGTGCTGAGCCCCTCCCCAGCTGCCACAGGAAAGAGGGATAGGGATTCTGGAAGATGCCTCTGGGGACCAGCATTTCTCTCCCACAGCCAGGACAGATGGGCCAGTGGGGTGGATGGCAGCCAGGGGGAAGCCCAAAGCACAGATATGGCTGTTTATTTTTAAATTTTTTTTGAGACAGAATCTTACTCTGTCACCCAGGCTGGAGTGCAGTGGCATGATCTCAGTTCACTGCAACGTCCGCCTCTCAAGTCCAAGCAGTTCTCCCGCTTCAGCCTCCCGAGTAGCTGGGACTACAGGCGCCCGCCACCTTGCCCGGCTAATTTTTGTATTTTTAGCAGAGATGGGGTTTCGCCATGTTGGCCAGGCTGGTCTCAAACTTCTGACCTCAGGTGATCTACCCACCTCAGCCTCCCAAAGTGCTCAGATTACAGATGCGAGCCACCACGCCTGGCCGGTGTTTCTTTTTGTTACTGACCCCTTGCCTCCTGTGCTTTGGTTCCATTCCTCGTGACTGTATTCCCAAGCCTTATTCCGGTTGCCTCGGGTTGCCCAGTTGGCCTTGGAAGTTCCTCGACTTTGCACAGACATGCTGTTTGCACCTGACATGGGCTGTGGGCCATTTTATTGGCGGCTGAATGATGCTCCCAGCAGTTCCCTTGGTGTGTTGCTGTTTGGTTGTGTGGGCGAAGGTGCCTAGACAAGAAATCCTGCTGCTGGGGCAGTATTCTGCCATTGGCAGCCTTGGCCCCCTTGGTGGGACAAGGGTTGACCAGACAGACAGTATCTTCCTTAGCTCAAGGAAAAGAAAAGAAATAGGAGTTGCTAGAGCTGGGAATGGTTATGCACGCCTATAGTTCCAGCTACTCAGGAGGCTGAGGTGGGAGGATGCCTTGAAAGGAGTTCAGGGTCAGCCTGCGTGATATAGCCAGACCTCTCCTCTAAAGAAGAAAGAAATACGGCCGGGTGCAGGGGCTTACGCCTGTACTCCCAGTGCTTTGGGAGTCTGAGGTGGGAGGATCACTTCAGCCCAGGAGTTTGAGACCAGTCTGGGCAACCTGGTGAAACCCTATTCCTACAAAAAATACAAAAACTAGCCGAGCCTGGTGGCACACACCTCTAGTCCCAGCTACTCGGGATGCTGAGGTGGGAGGATTGCTTAAGCCTGGGAGGTTGAGGCTGCAGTGAGTGGAGATTGCACCACTGCACTCCAGCCTGGGCAACAGAACAAGATCCTGTCTCAAAAAAACAAAAAACAGACCGGGCGCGGTGGCTCACACCTGTAATCCCAGCACTTTGGGAGGCCAAGGCAGGCGGATCATGAGCTCAGGAGATCGAGACCATCCTGGCTAACACGGTGAAACCGCGTCTTTACTAAAAATACAAAAAAATTAGCCAGGTGTGGTGGCACCTGTAGTCCCAGCTACGTGGGAGGCTGAGGCAGGAGAATGGCATGAACCCGGGAGGTGGAGCTTGCAGTGAGCCGAGATCACGCCATTGCACTCCAGCCTGGGCGACAGAGCGAGACTCCGTCTCAAAAAAAAAAAAAAAAAAGAAAGGAAAAAAAAAAACCAACAAAAAACCTATGCTTTCTTCTGCTTCCTCTAGCTGTGCCATCTAATCCAGGAACCTACGCCATGGGTGGCTAAGCACACTTCAATTTTAACTCGTTAAAATGAAACTGGGTGCAGTGACTCACGCCAGTAATCCCAGCACTTTGGGAGGCCGAGGTGGGCAGATCACTTGCGGCAGGAGTTAAGACCAGCCTGGCCAACATGGTGCAACCCTATCTCTACTAAAAATACAAAAATTAGCCAGGTGTGGTGGTGGGCACCTGTAATCCCAGCTACTTGGGAGGCGGAGGCAGGAGAATCGCTTGAACCTGGGAGACGGAGGTTGCTGTGAGCTGAGATTGTGCTCAGTCTGGGCAACAAAGTGAGACTTTGTCTCAAAAAAAAAAATTAAAAATTAAAAAAAAATTACAAAATGAGGCTGAGCGCAGTGGCTCACGCCTGTAATCCCAGCACTTTTGGAGGCCGAGGCAGGAGGATCCCCTGAGGTCAGGAGTTTGAGACCAGCCTGACCAACATGTACTAAAAGTACAAAAATTAGCCAGGTGTGGTGGTGGGCACCTGTAATCCCAGCTACTTGGGAGGCTGAGGCAGGAGAATTGCTTGAACCTGGGAGGCGGAGGTTGCAGTGAGCCGAGATCACACCATTGCACTCCAGCCTGGGCAACAAGAGCGAAATTCCGTCTCAAAAAAAAAAAAAGAAAGAAAAAAAATATTCAGCTCCCAAGTCCCGCTAGCCACATTCCAGGTGCCTCTCAGCCATCTCAATGGATAAAGAACATTTTCATCACCACAGAAGTTGCCCCAGATACCACTGGGCTAGGCGGGAGGCCAGCGAACATTTGTCTGTAGTGAAATGTATATTTTTTTTTTTTTTTTGAGACGGAGTCTCGCTCTGTCGCCCAGGCTGGAGTGCAGTGGCGCGATCTCAGCCCACTGCAAGCTCTGCCTCCCAGGTTCATGCCATTCTCCTGCCTCAGCCTCCCGAGTAGCTGGGACTACAGGCGGCCGCCACCACGCCCGGCTAATTTTTTTGTATTTTTAGTAGAGACAGAGGTTTCACCTTGTTAGCCAGCATGGTCTTGACCTCCCGACCTCATGATCCACCCGCCTCAGCCTCCCAGAGTGCTGGGATTACAGGCATGATCCACTGCGCCCATCCCAGATTTTTCTTTTTAAGAGATGGGGTCTCGCTGTGTTGCCCAGGCTGGTCTCAACCTCCTGGGCTCAAGCCATCCTCTTGCCTTGGCCTCTTGAGTAGCTGGGATTATAGGTGTGAACCACAGTGCCCAGGTGTTTTTTCTTTCCTATTTTTTACACCCCCATTATCAGCAGTAATGGCCGAGATATTTTTTATGACATCTTTATACACTGATCCCTCCTTCAAAACATTAGATGTTTCAGTGGCAGAGAATGTGCTGTGTTGCACAGATGTCATCTAGTCATAGCAGGGAAATCTAAAATGTAAGCCCACTGTGAGTCCTTCGGGAAGCCCGCAGAATCACTGAGGTACCCACCGAGCCCTGGTGGTGACCTCAAGTGCTGGGGTGTGGGACAGTTACCTGCAGGTCCGGAGCGCTGACCAGGCCTGTCCTCCCGTTTCAGCGCCGTGAAGAACCTGGTGGACAGCAGCGTCTACTTCCGCAGCGTGGAGGGTCTGCTCAAACAGGCCATCAGCATCCGGGACCATATGAATGCCAGTGCCCAGGGCCACAGGTAGCTCCTGGGACCGCCCGCCCCCACTGCCACTCCCAGCTGCAAGGACCGTCTCTCAGCTGCGCTGGGAACCGCTGCTTCTCGCTTATTAGAAAACTGTCTCTTTCCTTTTGTCCTGGTGTCTGGTGACCTCCTCTTGTCCTGTGGCATCTATAACCTGAGTTCAGTCACTTAATACCGAGGTCCTGCGCTCTGCTGTGTGCCTGGCCCTGGGCTGGGCACTGGGGACATAGCAGTGACCGAGACAGACAGGCTCACAAGGAGACATACGACAACCAGGTAAACATGGCAGACAAGAGCATGTCAGATGCGCTGTGAAGAACACTGCGGGGCCCCTCCTAGGAGGTGGCATGAGTTACATGCAGACAGAGACGATCCGGGGGCAGACGGAGTTCCATGTGGGGCAGTGGTGAGGGCAGACGCTCTGGGGCTGGGATCCCTGGGAGTGTTCGAGAAGCACCGAGAAGGCTTCTGTGGCTGGAGCCGGCCAGCTGGGGGAGATGGGGCCAGGGAGATGGCAGGGGCCTCTCCCTGTCCCAGGACCCAGAGCCAAGGGAGGCTTTAAGCCCAGGACCAGGGGTCTGAAAACGAAAAGCACTCACAGTCCTTGAACATTGGAAAGAGAATTTTTGAAGAGTAGCCCTTCTTTTTGTTTTTGTTGGCATTCTAAGTTAATAAACACGCTTATGAACACACACTCATGTGCCAGGAGCAGGAATGTCGCCTTGGGATGCGTCTGGCTCCCACAGATTGGGGTTCTGGCAGGCCTGTCCCCCACTGGGCAAAAGAAAGAAAGCATCTGTGTTGCTTAACTAAGACGCGAAAATTGCAGAAACAAGACTTGAGTGTATGTGTAAGAATGGGAGTGTAGCAATCTTCCCTCAAACGGTAGCATGAAGGGTTTATCTGGGCTCTCTTGCATCTGAAGAGGAGCGGCATCTGGCTTCTCTGCCATGGGTTGGCATTGGCAGTTGGATCTAGACTTCACTGAAAAGCCATAGCTCTTACTGTCAACTCAGGGTTTCCAAAAATGCTTTCATATGCCCTGTTTGTGCCTGCTGTTTCAAAAACGCAACACACTCCTGAAAGATATTAGTAGCAGCTTGAGTTGCTGCTGACACCTCTCTTTGTAAGCCCTGTGGGTTTGAAGTGCCCAGTCTTGTGTGAGTGAGTTGCAGACGTGGCCTCTGGAGTGCCTTGTCCCACTTTTAAAAACATACATATATATTTCTTTAAATAGAGATGGGGTCATGATACATTCCCTGGGCTGGTCTCAAACCCCTGGGCTCAAGCAATTCTCTCGCCTCAGCCTCCCAAAGTGCTGGGATTACAGGTGTGACCCACTGGGCCCAGCCATTTGTCCCTTTTTTTTTTTTTCAAGACAGAGCCTCACTTTGTCGCCCAGGCTAGAGTGCACTGGTGCGATCTTAGCTCACTCCAGCCTCCCTCTCTGGGTTCCAAGTGATTCTCGTGCCTCAGCCTCTCGAGTAGCTGGGATTACAGGCGCCTGCCACCACACCTGGCTAATTTTTGTATTTTTAGTAGAGACGGGGTTTCGCCATGTTGGCCAGGCTGGTCTTGAACTCCTGACCTCAGGTGATCCACCCACCTCAGCCTCCCAAAGTGCTGGGATTACAGGCGTGAGCCACCGTTCCTGGCCCACTCATCCCACTTTTAAGCAGGATGCCCCAGAAGCTCAAGCCAGAGGTCTTTGAGACCAGAGTATCACCCAAACATACACTCCAGCCAGCTGAGCAAGCCTTGTGGCCTCTGACCTTGGCCTCATGGATGCTGCACATGTTTTGTTGCAGCCCGGAGGAACCACCCCCGCCCTCCTCAGCCTGATCCTGGAAGAGACTCGGGGCCCCCCAGCCTCCGCCAACCCAGGTCAGTGCCGAGGGTAGCCACGAGCCTCTCTCTCTGCTCTGAACTAACCAACCCGCCCGCTTGGCAGCCAGGCAGGCACCTGCTTGTCTAACCACTTGGGGTTTCTCACTGGGCTTGTGGGATGATTTCGGAGGTGGCAGGTGGAGGGGTGTCTGCAGGTCCAGAATGTTCCACCCTGCTGCTCAGGGACCATGTCAGCCCATCTCTCCCACTCTCTCTCCACCACCTTCCTCTCTCTTTTCCAGGCCATAGGCCCCATGCTAGTCCCAGAGATTTCCACCCCCCAAGACAGAGAAGGGAGCCCACATTTCCTCTATCCTACCACGTGCCAGCAGCCTGCTTTACCCGTGCACAGTCTCTCAGGCAGAGCCCGGCATGGGCAATTACCCACCTATCTCTGGGACCTCCCCACCCATCTACTGCCTACCTGCTGTGTGACCGAGCAAATTCACTACCCTCTCTGGTCTCTGCATTTACTTTCTGTAAAGGTGGCTCTCAGGTGACCAAGAGGGTGCAGGGCACAGTGACGGATGTGCTTTGGAGCAGTCGGCTATTGCTGCATAACACAGCATCCCAAAACAGTGGTTTACAGCCCCAGTAATTAACCTACTCATGATTCTGCACTTTGGGCTGGGCTCAGCTGGGTGGTTCTGCTGCTGTCCCTGGGGCTCACCCATGTGGTGCTCATGGGAGCTCAGCTGCACCTGCATAGTCAGGGGGTCCCTTGGCCAGGACTGTTGGCAGCAGGGGTCAGATTTTCCTCATGGCCTCTCCAGCAGGCCAGCCCGGGTTTCTCCTGGTGGCTGGGAGCCAGGAGAGCGGCTCCCATGCAGAGTGCTGGTTTCACATTTGTGGGTGGCCCATCCGTTGAGGCCAGTCACGTGGCCAGGCCCAGGACCAGATGGGAGAGGACCGCACAAGTGCAGCGTGAGCTGTGGGAGGTGTGGCTGACCACGCTTAGAGAGTGTGGTGCCAGGAAAGATCTGATGTGTCACCATTCTATATCTGTGATGGGCAGACGCAGGCAGGTCAAAGGGGCCCTGGGGACTTACCGAGCCCCTGCCTATTGGCCAGGCACTGTGATTGTCCTCGGTGCCATGTGCCATGGAAGCCCTCTCAGAGGTCGAGGGGAGGCAGGTGGAGACAGAGCCTCTGTAGGCCTTTCAAGCTGTAGCCCCAGAGCCCAGAGGCAGCCGAATTCATGTGTGCAGTCAGAGAGCACTTAGTGGGCACTGTAGTCAATCAGTGAGCGCTTACTGGACACCACAGGCAGCAAGCATTTACTGAGTACCTCTGGCAGTTGATGCATACTTCCTGAGTACCTGTTCATAGCAGGCTTAGCTCTGGATGTGGGGTGGTGAGGAATCCCACAGGCTGAGGGGTGGCCTGGGAGCTTTCCAGGGGGCCTGAAGCAGGAGGGGCTGCCTGAGTGGGTCAGCAGCCCAGCCCAGTGCCCTACGCAGCCCTGCCCACACCCCCAACCCAGCCTCTGTCTCCCCAGTCCCATCCCCCACACCCTGGTCCCTCCTACTTTGTGCCTCGAGGACACTGCCCCGCTGCCCTCCTCACTTCCCAGCGTCTGCTGTCCCCTCCGCTGCTGCTGCCCGGCAGGATTGCTCTGTGTCTCATCCACGTTTGTCCCTGCAGAGTTCCTCGCCTCTCCCTGGAACCGCCAGCCTCATGCCGCATCTCAGAGGCTTTTTTTTTCTCTCTTTTTTTTTTTTTTGAGATGGAGTCTCACTCTGTCACCCAGGCTAGAGTGCGGTGGTGCGATCTCGGTTCAGTGTAACCTCTGCCTGTCAGGTTCAAGCGATTATCCCGCTTCAGCCTCCCGAGTAGGTGGGACTACAGGTGCCTGCCACCTCGCCCGGCTAATTTTTGTATTTTTAGTAGAGATGGAATTTCAGCATGTTGGTCAGTCAGGTCTCGAACTCCCGACCTCAGGTGATCTGCCCGCCTCGGCCTCCCAAAGTCCTGGGATTATAGGCATGAGCCACTGCGCCCGGCCTCAGAGGCTTTCATTCCCACTTTTCCCCCAAAACTGCGCCTCTTTGGGGTCATCAGTGACCTTCGCAGGGTCAAGTCATCCCCCTCTCCTGTCCCAGGACCTTAAGCACTGCCCTGTTTTACAGAAGAGGAAACTGAGGCCCCGAGAGGTAAGGCAGCCAGCTCAGGGTCATCGCCCACGCCCAGAAATGCCAGGATTCCCACCCGGACCTCTGACCACCAAGCTCCACCTTAGTCTGGCCCGGGGTCATCCCTCAGGTGCTGCCTCATGCCTTGGGTCTGTCTCTCAGACCACCCTGGCCCTTGCCCCTGCTCCCCAGCCTGACTGAAGCTGGGCCAGGCAGAGACTGAAGACTGAACGAGTGTGGCCAGCATTCCTCCTGCACCTGCCCGGAGCCTCCAGGCCCAGCCGTCCATGTTCCCAGAAGTCCAGAAGTGGCTTTGCTGCTCCTGGACTCTCACTGGCCCCCCATCGACCCTTGGACCAATAACTGCCATCAAAATAATCCTGATTATGCACCTATCAAGTCCCTGGCCCTGGGCTAAAGTCTTCACAGGGGTCATCTCATTTCATCCTCAGCCCCAAAAGGCAGGTCTCACCCCCAAATACATATGGACAAAAAGAGGCTCTGCCGGGTGTGATGGCGGGCACCTGTAATCCCAGCTACTCAGGAGGTTGAGGCATGAGAATCGCTTGAACCCAGGAGGCAGAGGTTCCAGTGAGCCAAGATGGCGCCACTGCACTCCAGCCTGCGCGACAGAGCGAGACTTCGCACCCGCCGCCCCCCAACCAAAAAAAAAAAGGGCACAGTCAGAGAAGAGCAGAGCCCGGCTTGGTTTGGTCCCAGCCCTGCCTGCCTCTGATGTGCTGTGTGACATAGGCCTGGTGCTGGCCCTCTCTGGGTCTCCCTTTCTTTCTTCCTTTCTTTTCTTTTCTTTTCTTTTCTTTTCTTTTCTTTTCTTTTCTTTTCTTTTCTTTTCTCTTCCTTCCTTCCTTCCTTCCTTCCTTCCTTCCTTCCTTCCTTCCTTCCTTCCTTCTTTCTTTCTTTCTTTTGACAGGATCTGGCTGTCATCCAGGCTGGAGTGCAGTGGCACGATCTCGGCTCACTGCAACCTCTGCCTCCTGGGCTCAAGTGATCCTCCTGTCTCAGCCTCCCAAGTAGCTGGGACTACAGGCGCACACCACTACCCCCAGCTAATTTTTTGTATTTTTTGTAGAGACGGGGTTTCACCATGTTGGCTAGGCTGGTCTCAAACTCCTGAGCTCGTGATCCTCCCGCCTCAGCCTCCCAAAGTGCTGGGATTATAGGTGTGAGCCACCGCACCCAGCCTTGGTTCTCCCTTTCTTCATCTGGATAAGGAAGGCTGGACTGCACCTTCTCTACAGGCTGAGTTGGACATTCGCAGATCTACCCTCCCAACCTGCATTCTGCCTCAAGCAGCAACGCCCACCCCAGGCTCAGGCCACATGGAGAAGCCACCCCTAGTTCCAGTGGTGGATGTGGCACCTCGGCCTGGCCAATCAGAGCTCCCTTGTCCTAGGTTCCTAGTGATTGGTTTGAGATGGACACGTGACCCAATGAGCGACCTTTCCTGGGAGTTCTACCAGGAGCATCAGGAAGGTTGAGCTGGGTGTATGGGAACCAGGCCGGGGCGAGGGGTTCCGGGGGGACCTGAGAACATTGTGTGGAGCCCTGGATCCAACTGTACCTGACACTAGCCAATTTCATTTCTTCAGTTTCATGGACCCCTAAATTATGATTTTTGCCAAAATGGCTTTGAGTCCGTTTCTGCTGCTGTTTGCAGAAGGGCCTGCACTGACCACTGTGAATGCCAAGCCTGGGTGACCAGGCCTCCACAAGTTATGCATCTCCAAGGCCAGCTGTGTGCCAATGCAGTTACCCCAGAATCCCTTGTTCCAGTACAATGTATTAGGGAGGTCAGATAAGAGTTGTTTGGGGTCGAGGCAGGTTCCAGTCACTGCTCTGGGAGGGTCCCTCAGCTTGGCACTGTGGGGTGGTTGATGGAGACGGATGGGAAGAGCAGGGGTGTCCCGAGGGGAGACAGAGGGCATCCTGTTAGGACATCGGGCCTGTCAAGGCATCTGAAGGCCTGGAAAGGGGGTTCAGCCCTACCTCTCCTCCTTCTAGGTCACACTGGGGGGCCTCTGTGCCATTATCCCACCTCTCCACTGTCCTACTCAGCTTAGGAGTGGGGAGGAGCCTAAAGCCACCCCATTTAGGGCACTGATTGGTGTGTGGCCTCCAGAGTCCTTCTCCCTTCTTACCTGCTCTGAAGGCACCTCTCAATGTCCATCTGTCCTTCGTGCGACCATTTCTCCAGCAAACACTGGTATTTGTGAGCCAGCCCTCTTGCTCAGACCTTCAGGACAAACTGGCAGCAGAATGGGATTATTGCCTGCCTCCCAGGACCTGCCTAGGATGTCTGGGGCGCTAGGAGCTAGGGGTGAGGGAGGCAGGTGTGGGGGGCCCCACCAGACCCTTCTAGGGCTCTGAGTCACTCATAGCCCCTGGATGCAACCTCAACCAGCGACTAACAGTCATCTCTCTCTCTTTTTTTTTTGAGCTGGAGCCTCACTCTCGCCCAGGCTGGAGTGCAGTGGCGCGATCTCGGCTCACAATAACCTCTGCCGCCTGGGTTCAAGCCATTCTCCTACCTCAGCCTCCAGAATAGCTGGGATTATAGGCACCTGCCACTGCGCCCAACTAATTTTTGTAGTTTTAGTAGAGACGGGGTTTCACCATCTTGGCCAGACTGGTCTTGAACTCCTGACCTCGTTCTCCCAAAGTGCTGAGATTACAGGTGTGAGCCACCGTGCCCAGCCCAGTCATCTCTTAAAAGGAGTCTAGGCCGGGTGCGGTGGCACACGCTTGTAATCCCAGCACTTTGGGAAGTCAAGACTAGAGGAACCCCTGAGTCCAGGAGTTGGAGACCAGCCTGGCAACATGGAGAGACCCTGTCTCTATAAAAAAACAAAATAGCTGAGCATGGTGGCTCACGCCTGTAATCCCAGCACTTTGGGAGGCTGAGGTGGGCAGATCACCTGAGGTTAGGGGTTCAAGACCAGCCTGACCAATATGGTGAAACCCTGTCTCTACCAAAAATATAAAAAATTAGCCGGGTGTGGTGGTGCGCGCCTCTAATCCCAGCTACTTGGGAAGCTGAGGCAGGAGAATTGCTTGAACCCGGGAGGCAGAGGTTGCAGTGAGCCAAGATGGAGCCACTACACTCTAGCCTGGGTGACAGAGCGAGACTCTGTCTCAAAAAATAATAAATAAATAAATAGATAAAAGGGATCTGATCAAGACTCTGGGTTGTCAGACACCTCGTCACCCCGAGTCCAAGGGCTTGTGGGGGCGCTGGTTAATTTGCATCTCATTTGAATGCTCGATAGCCCTTTTTGCCTGGAGGGCGCCCCGCCCACTCTAGCCGCCAGGGGGCGCAAGAGGCAAAGCGTTGGCGGGAAGTTCAGCCTCCTAGCGGTCATTGTCTGCAGTCCTGGCTGGCCCTGGTGGGCACACTGTGACCCTCCACCCTTTTTCACCCTATATGCCCTCGCTCCCATTTTTCAGAGAGCAAACTGAGGTTCTGAGAGGCCAGAGGGCTCTCAGAACAAGAGCTCGCAGCCTCCCTTGTCAGGGTGGAGAGCAAGGGCACTCCTAGAGCTCACTCAATAGCATTTACTGGCCAGGCGCGGGGGCTCACACCTGTAATCCCAGCGCTTTCGGAGGCCGAGGTGGGCGGATCACTTGACGTCAGGAGTTGGAGACCAGCCTGGCCAACATGATGAAACCTCGTCTCTACTGAAAATACAAAAATTAGCTGGGTGTGGTGCATGCCTGTAATCCCCAGCTACTCTGGAGGCTGAGGCAGGAGAATCGCTTGAGCCCGGGAGGTGGAGGTTGCAGTGAGCCGAGATCACGCCACTGCACTCCAGCGTGGGCGACAGAGGTAGACTCCATTTCAAAAAACACCCAGCTGGGCATGGTGGGTCACGCCTGTAATCCCAGCACTTTGGGAGCCCGAGGCGGGTGGATTACGAGGTCAGGAGATTGAGACCGTCGTGGCCAACATGGTGAAACCCCATCTCTACTAAAAATACAAAAATTAGCTGGCTGTGGTGAGCACCTGTAATCCTAGCTACTCGGGAGGCTGAGGCAGCAGAATGACTTGAACCCGGGAGGTGGAGATTGCAGTGAGCCGAGATTGCGCCACTGCACTCCAGCCTGGCGACAGAGCCAGACTCCGTCTCAAAAAAAAAAAAAAAAAAAATTTAACTCCCGGCAGAACTCCAGAGATAGGCAGCTAGAAGAGAGACAGTGAGCTCTCCGTGCCATGGGGCATCCAAACAGAAGCATAGTGCTCACGAGGCTGGAGATCACCCAGAAAGGATCCCAACCCTGATCTGCAGATGGGGTAAAAGGAGACCCATACAGGGCAGCGACCTGCCCCCTGCTCCGTCCACAGTGGTCAGGACAAGAATCAGACTTCCGCTGGGTTTTTGTCCTTAGCCATTGGTGTGAGTCCTGGTTTTTATTTCAGACCTACTCCTCTGGGTTCCCGGAGAGTCCTGCACACTCAGGCCCCTGGAAAGCCTTTTTTTTTTTTTTTCTTTTCCCTACAGTATCCCTGAACAAGGCTTCTGGGTGCCCCAGGCTTATCCCCCACTCCCTTTCACTGCTTAGACCTTCTTTGAGATTCTCCAGTTCTTCAAGAAACCCATGGAGGCTGTGCGCAATGGCTCATATCCATAATCCTAGCTCTTTTGGAGGCCAAGGCAGGAGGATCGCTTAAGCCCAGGAGTTCGAGACCAGCCTGGGCAACAAGCGAGACACCCAGTGCACCTCAAAAAAAAATTTAAAAATTAGCCAGGTGTGGTAGTGCATTCCTATAGTCCCAGCTACTTGGTAGATGGAAGCGAGAGGATCACTTGAGCCCAGGAGTTCAAGGCTGCAGTGAGCCATGATTGTACCACTGCACTCCAGCCTGGGCAACAGAGCAACTCTGTCTCTAAAAAATGAAAAGAAAGAAACCCGTGGAGACACCCCTTTGGTGCCACCATGCACTGGGCCCGGGCCCAAGGAACCCCCAGGCTGGGGGACACAGAACCAGCCACATACTCTACCCCGCCCCCTGGATCAGTGCTAAGCTGGAAGGAAGGGTGGGGAGGTGGAAGGATCCTAAGTGGTAAGAGGATAGGAAGGCTTTTGGAGGAGGGAACATTGGAGGTGGGCCTTAAGGGCTCCTATTATCCCCACTTCTTCTTTTTTTTTTTTTTTTTTTCTTTTTTGAGACAGAGTCTTGCTCTTGTCACCCAGGCTGGAGTACAGTGGCGTGATCTTGGCTCACTGCAACCTCCACCTCCCGGGTTCAAGCAATTCTCCTGCCTCAGCCTCCTGAGTAGCTGGGATTACAGGTGTGTGCCACCATGCCTGGCTTTTTTTTTTTTCTTTTTTTTTTCGAGACAGAGTCTCGCTCTGTCGCCCAGGTTGGAGTGCAGTGGCACGATCTTGGCTCACTGCAAGCTCCGCCTCCCAGGTTCACGCCATTCTCCTGCCTCAGCCTCCCGAGTAGCTGGGACTACAGGCGCCTGCCACCACGCCTGGCTAATTTTTTGTATTTTCAGTAGAGACGGGGTTTCACCGTGTTAGTGAGGATGGTCTCGATCTCCTGACCTCGGGATCCACCCACCTCGGCCTCCCAAAGTGCTGGGATTACAGGCGTGAGCCACCGCGCCCAGCCTATCCACACTTCTCATATGAGCAAAGAGGCCCCAAGGGGTGCAGTGACCATCCTGAGGTCACACAGTGAGTGGGCGGCACAGCTGGGATGGGGACTCAGGGTTCTTTAACCTCAGGGCCCTCCCTACCTACTGGGTCACACATCCTTATCATGGAAGGTCCTTCAAAGCCTTCTCCTGGGAGAGGGGAGAGAATCTGGAGGAGGGAGACAGCGGGGGCAGCTTCTCCACCTCCCCCAGCCTCCCACCCTAGCCTTCTCCTCCATCCCCCACCCACCACCTCCCCCATCTCCCAGACCTGCTTCCCAGGTCACTCTTCTCCCTCACCACCCACTCTGGACCCTTCTATCCCTTCCTCCTCACAACCTTCCCTTCTACCTTCCAACCTCTTACTCTAGCAACTAAGGGTGTCCCTTCATCTGAGAAGAATGAGGTTAAGACTCTTGGTGGCCCTGCTAGGGGACACAATTAGTGGTTGGGGAAGGTATAGGATAGGAACAGAGGCAAAAGGACACGGGACAGACCATGAATAACAAGATGGTGCCCACCAGAAGGAGGGGGCTGGGGAGTTGGGGTGCATAAGGGCCAGCCCCAGCCAGCTTCGCTCTGCTGGGCTAGCCCTTCCCCCAGAGCTGGCCCAGCTGCCGGCCTCACGTAACCAGAGCCTGCCTGTTGCATCAGAGGTGGGCGGGTGGCCTCCGGTAAACAGAGCAGCCCTCCGGGGGCCCAGGGCTCCCCAGCCACCTCCACACTCCCCAAGCCTTGTTCTGCACCATGGAGTGGAGGCAGAAGCCCCCAGCCTGGCCCAGGCCCTGGCATGTCCTTGGGGCACCCCAGTGTATGGCACTGGGCACTGGATGGGGACAGGAGGGACCCACTGATGACACAGTATGAACTCTATAGTTTTCATGTCCAAAGAGAAAGTTGTGCTCAGACTAGAGGCCCACACTGCCCATGTCACAGACGGGTAAACTGAGGTGTGGGGAGAGACACAAGCCTCCCAGGCCCCCTGTTCCCTGTCTCAGTGTCCCCCACACTCCAGCATCTGCCACATGCCTCCCCCTGAGTTTGGGGGACCAGCCCCTCTCTTCTCTGGAGGAGATGGACACCAGGCAGCTTTGCAGCCCCATTGCTCTCCACCTGTATCTGCCCCTCCTCTTCACCCCCTGCCCGCTATACTGGCTTCACCTTCCTCATCTTCCCCGGCCAGAGAATGTTCTATGCTCTTCCTCTGCACTTTTGCAAGTGCTTTTCCCTCTTGAAAAAGCCCTTCTCGGGTCTTGTGTAGTGGCTCACACCTGTAATCTCAGCACCTTGGGAGGCCGAGGAGGAAGGATCTCTTAAGCCCAGGAGTTTGGGACCAGCCTGGGCAACATAGTGAGACATCCTCTCTTAAAAAAAACAAAATTAGCTGGACCTGGTGGTGGCCTGCCTGTAGTCCCAGCTGCTGGGGAGGCTAAGTTGGGAGGATTGCTTGAGCCTAGGAGGTCGAGGCTGCAGTGAGCTATGATCATGCCACTGCACTCCAGCCTGGGCAACACAGTGAGATCCTGCCTTGAAGAAAAAAACAAGAAAAACCTTTCTCCTAGTGGCAAACTCCTACACATACTTGAAAGCCCAGCACAAATGCCCTCTCTTCTGAGAAACCCTCCCTGACTCCTCTGGCACAGCCCTTGCCCCAATTCTGGCCTGTCCCAGCCTCCCATCCCTCCTCTGGCCCAAGCCTGACCCCACAGGGTTAGGGGAGTGCATGGATCCCCTGCCTGCCCCAGACGGGCCGGGGGCTTCTCCAGAAGTGCCCATCCCAGAGCCATCTTTATCCTGTAATTCTTTTCACATTGATACATTCACCAACCCCTGCTCTGATCTTCCTGTGGGTCTGGCCTGTGCTGGGATCCCAGGGGAAGGGGTGGATTTAGAGTTCTGGGCTGGGGTCCAATCCTGGAAGGCCCCTCACAGCTGACCTTTGAAGTTTAGAAAACAGCCTTTAGCGGGGAGAGGTAAGGAGAGGGAAGTGGTTGGTGGAAGCAGTGTGGTTGTCTTGGACTGTGGAGGGGCAGGCGGTGCGGGCTTGAGGGACCAGTAGCTGCGGAGGGTCTGTCACTCCCTGTGGGAGCACATATCTGGCCCCAGGAGGCACAGTTGAGTGAGGCCACACAGGCCACCCGAGAGCCCCGTCTTGCAGTCTTTCCATTCTAGCGAGCGCGAGGGTCAGCGTTGCCTGCGAGAAGGGCTTGGTTCCTCGGGGCGACGGGGTCCGGGATCGGAGTCTATTTCACTCAGGATGGAATCAATCCAGGCAAGTTGGGCCGAGTTAGGAAAAGGTTTAGAATTAGGGTTAGGGTCACAGTAGGGTCAGGGGTCGGCAGTAAGGTCAAGGGCGCCCAGTGAGGGCGGGGAAAGCCTGGCCAGTCTGATCCAGCCCCCTCCCTCCGTTCTGCTTCTTCCTTATCCGCGCCCCCACCCATGGCGCCCCAGCATCCTTTCGCGTCTGAGTCCCAGGCCCATGAACTCCCGGGTCGGGGCCACGCCCAAGTGCACGCCCATCGCCGCCTCCAGGGTGACGCCCTGTATGCAAATAAGCCCGTCCCGCCCAATCAGCTCCCGGGGGCAGGACCGCCCGCTCCCAAGGCACCTGCGGCCGCGGGCCCCTGATCTTCGTGCAGCCGCCGCGGGTCCGTGCGCCCAGCGTCCCAGGGCCCAGGCCGAGCAGGTGCGTGTCATATCGGGTTGAGACTCCTGTGGTGTCCTCTGAACGGCTTCTGCGGGCTGGGTGGGTTTTGGAGGTCCGGGTGTACTGCTGGGCGTCCCAGGGTGGGGTGTGTGTCTAAAGGGGTGTGTGTCGTGGGGTGGTGAGTCCCCGAGGTTGTGGCAGGAGGGGGTTGTGTCTCCAAGGGGTGTGTGTCTGAAGGGTGTGGGTCTGGAAGTTGTGTGTCCAAGGGCTCTGCGTCTGAGATTTGGTGTGAGTTGGGGAGTTGGAGAGTTAGCTGTGTGTCCAAAATCATGGTGCTGTGAGGCCCTATTATGTGTCTGTGAGCTCTGTGATGTGGCATGTGATGTCCCTCTCTCCTGGTGTGCACTCCTTTAGCATTAGCGCATCCCCTGTGCACAACCCTATGCCTTCTTGCTGTGGGTGTACACTCGTTTGTCACAGCAGGATGGTAGGCACAAAACCTTGGAACGGGGGAGCAACAGCTGCCGGGGCCAACTCTCCTCCCTTTGCCTCAATGGGTACAGGAACAAGAGTCACATCCCCGTGTGGTTGTTAGCACATGACAAGGTGGTGGCAGCATTACTTTCACGGTCACAGTCCTCCCTCCCTATCTCTTTTGGGGTCCAGGGCTGCAGATATGGGTGACCTGTGTCCTTGGCCACCCTAACCCCTAGTTGCAGACCCAATTAGTCAGAAATAGCTGGCCGGGCACTGTGGCTCATGCCTGTAATCCCAGCACTTTGGAGGCTGAGGCAGGAGGATCACTTGAGCCCAGTAGTTTGAGACCAGCCTGGGCAACATAGTGAGACCCCCATTTTCTTTTTCTTTTCTTTTCTTTCTTTGTTTTTTTTTTGAGACAGGGTCTCATCCTGTCGCCCAGGCTGGAGTACAGTGGTGATCTTTGTTCACTGCAACCTCCAGCTCCCAGGCTCAAACAATTCTCCTCCCTCAGCCTTCTAAGTAGCTGGGATTACAGGCGCGTGCCACTACCGCCTGGCTAGTTTTTGTATTTTTAGTAGAGATGGGCTTTCACCATGTTGGCCAGGCTGGTCTTGAACTCCAGACCTCAAATGATTCACCTGCCTCAACCTCCCAAAGTGCTGGGATTACAGGCGTGAGCCCCTGCACCTGGCTTTAAAAAAAAATTTTTTTTGAGACAGAGTCTCACTCTGTCACCCAGGCTGGAGCGCAGTGGCTCAATCTTGGCTCACTGCAACCTCTGCCTCCCAGGTTCAAGTGATTGATTTTCTGCCTCAGCCTCCCGAGTATCTGGGACTACAAGCGTGTGCCACCATGACCAGCTAATTTTTGCATTTTTTGTAGAGACGTTGTTTCACCATGTTTGCCAGGCTGGTCTCATGTGATCTGCCTGCCTCAGCCTCCCAAAGTGCTAGGATTACAAGAGTAAGCCACCGCATCTGGCCAAAAAAAATTGTTTTTTTAATTAGGCAGGTGTGGTGGCTTATGTGTATAGTCCCAGCTACTCGGGAGGCTGAGGCAGGAGGATCACTTGATCCGAGGAGTTCGAGTCTGCAGTGAGCTATGACTGAGCTACTGCACTGCAGCCTGGGTGACAGAGCAAGATCCTGTCTCTAAAAGAAAAACAAAAAGAAAGAAAAGAAACAAAAAAATGGCCAGGCGCGGTGGCTCACACCTGTAATCCAAGCACTTTGGGAGGCTGAGGCGGGCGGATCACCTGAGGTCAGGAGTTCGAGACCAGCCTGACCAACATGGAGAAACCCCATCTCTACTAAAAATACAAAATTAGCCGGCCATGATGGTACATGCTTGTAATCCCAGCGACTCAGGAGGCTGAGGCAGGAGAATCGCTTGAACCCAGGAGGCGGAGGTTGTGGTGAGCGAAGATCGTGTCATTGCACTCCAGCCTGGGCAACAAGAGTGAAACTCCATCTCAAAAAAAAAAAAAAAAAAAAAAGAAGAAAGAAACAAAACAATAATCAAGGCCTCAGGCTAGCCTGGCCAAGAATCATCCCTGGGGAAGGGCAGGGCCCCTGGACCTTGGGCATTCGGGACAAGAACTCTCAGACTCTTGGAGTGAAGGAAACTGGATACAAAAAAGTATTTCGACTTCGGAGAACCAGTGTGTGAGGACTGATTTCCAGAGATGAAAAGGGCTTTCTAAAAAGGCAGGCTTGTTCCCTCATGTCCCCTTCCTGTTGTTCAGTAAAGGGGGAAGCTTGGCCTCCAGCAAACAGAATTTCAGGACAGTTAGGATCTTGGGATGTCATCTTAGAGAGCAGGAAGCTGGTTTGCAGGAGGGAAGGCTGAGGCCAGGTAGTAACACTAGGCCCCTCAAAAAAGGATGGAGCTCAAGGCCATGCCTCAGTCCCCCAAGAGAACAGAGGCTGGGGTCACGAGGCCCAGCTTCCTCTCCCTCCTCTCTGTGTGACCCCCCAACAGGTGGCTGCCCCTCTCTGAACTTTGTGGCAGCTCCTGTGAGCGGAGCAAGCTGAACCCACTCTTGGCTTTCCCATCCCAACGAATGATTTATTTGGTTAAACTATGACCCAACCAGGTGGACATCTGGAAAATGCAAATTAAGAAGAGAAGGGGAATTTAAAACATTTGCTCACCCCAACTTGGGTGCAGTGAGTGTAGACATGTTGGGTGTTTGGCCTTCTGGAAGAGGTTTCTTTCTTTCTTTCTTTCTTTCTTTGTTTTTGAGACAGCATCTTGCTCTGTTGCCCAGGCTAGAGTAAAGTGGTGTGATCTCAGCTCACTGCAACCTCTGCCTCCTGGGCTCAAGTGATCCTCCTGCCTCAGCCTCCTGAGGAGCTAGGAATACGCGCTCACACCAGCACACCCAGCTAATTTTTTTTTTTTTTTTTTTTTTGAGACAGAGTCTCACTCTGTTGCCCAGGCTGGAGTGCAGTGGCACAATCTCGGCTCACTGCAACCTCCACCTCCCAGGTTCAAGCGATTCTTCTGCCTTAGCCTCCTGAGTAGCTGGAATTACAGGTGCGTGCCACCATTCCCAGCTAATGTTTGTATTTTTAGTAGAGACAGAGTTTCACCATGTTGGCCAAGCTGGTCTCAAACTCCTGATCACAGGTGATCCACCTGCCTTGGCCTCCCAAAGTCCTGGGATTACAGGCGTGAGCCACTGTGGCCAGCCTGTGACCAGCTAATTAAAAAAAAAAATTATAAATATGGGGTCTTGTCATGTTGCCCAGGCTGGTCGTGAATTCCTGTACTCAAGCACTCAGCCCACCTTGGCATCCCAAAGTTCTGGGATTATAGGCGTGAGCCACCGCACCTGGCCCACTTATTTATTTATTTATTTATAGAGACAAGGTCTCCCTATGTTGCCCAAGCTGGTCTCGAACTCCTGGGCTCAAGCCATCAGCCCACCTCGGCCTTCCAAAGTGCTGGGATTAGAGGCATGAGCCACCACGCCCTGCCCTTCTGGAAGATTCAAGGCACAGAGTGGTCTAGAGACAGATGTCTTTCTGTCTTTCCTTGAGTGTTGCAGTCATGGCTCCCTGTGACCTTGAACTCCTGGGCTCAAGCCATCCTGTCACCTCAGTCTCCCGAGTAGCTGGGATTGTAGGGGAGTGCTACCTTGCCTGGCTTTTTTTTTTTTTTTAATTGGAGATGGGGGGGTCTCCCTATGTTGCTCAGGCTGGTCTTGAACTCCTGAGCTCAAATGGTCCTCCTGCCTCGGCCTCCCAAAGTGCTGGGATTACAGGCATGAGCCCAACCAGATGCCATTTTTCTGAGACGACTTAGAAATGTGTCTGGGATCCCTTTTGGGGTCAGGGAACTCGCCCCAGCCCTGGCCCATGATTCCCCATGGGGTGGGCAAGGAAGTTAAATCCCATTTCTCAGCCCCCAAAGGGCCTCTCTGGGGCTGTATCTTGGGGACTTGTGTGGTTACCCTGATACCCTGCGGCCCAGGATTGAGTTTCTTGGACCCTGTGACGGTGATTCTGGGCTGGACAAGCCCAGGCCCACTTCCCAGCCTGGGTGGGGGTGGTGAGATTGAGGTGCCACGTGATGGCCCTGGGGTACAAGCCCAGGATTGGGTGGGGATCTGGAGGTCTCACCATGTGGCCCTGGAAGAAGCCTGCCCACTCCTGTGCAAAACAGGGCAACTATCGCTGCTTCCCTGGGGTGTCTGGGGGTCAGGCAGGTCTTATATGTAAATGAGGCGGGGTGTGGGCCCGGGCAGACAGTAAGGGCTCAATAACAGAAGGTCCCATCTGGGCTGTGACCAAGTGGAGGTGTTTGTGAGCCCATCCAGGCCCCTTTCCTCTCTGCCCTCTGCCAGGTGCTGTTTCCCTCCAAGCCCAGTTTCACCCAAGGTCAAGGTGGGGCCTGAGGAAGGGAGAAATGGAGGTGGATTGTAATAAGAGTCATGGCTGCTGTGGGCATGGGCCTGCCTTGCCCACTGTTCCAACCTGTGGCCTGTGCCTGGTCCAAGCCCTACCATCCCTGGCTGGATGCTGGCCTGGCTTCCTGCTCCAACAGGCCACAGGGTCTTCTGAAAATTCCAAATCAGACCACAGTCCTCCCCCTCCTCACACACCTTCCATGGCTCCCTATTGCTCTACAGTCCACCCTCTCTCTGTCCCCCAATGCCTCTCTGACCTTCTCTGTCTCTGGCCACTCCTGGCTCACTCCACCCCAGATGTGTGGGGTTTGCCTGCTCCTGGAAGCCACCTGTTTAGCACAGTCCCACCTCAGGGCCTTTGCACCTGCCATTGTGTCCACCTGGCTCCCACCTCCCTGAGACACCTCAGAGACAGGGTCTTGCTCTGTCACCCAGGCTGGAGTGCAGTGGTGCGATCTCGGCTCACTGCAATCTCCGCCTCCCGGGTTCAAGCAATTCTCATACCTCAGCCTCCTGAGTAGCCGGGATTACAGGTGTGGTACCCTCCTGGATCCTCTGTCCAAAGCAGCTCTCTCCCTGCCACCCTCCACTGCCTCCCCCTGTTGAATTTCTTCCTTGAAGGCCGTCTTCCCAGATACGGTTATGTGGCTGCTGTTGCCTCCCCCATCAGACTGGGTGATGGGGGGAGGCCTTGCTCTGCCCACCCCCTGCTCCTGCATCCCCAGCACCTGAGGGGCTCCTAGACATTTCTGCGGGAAGATATTGGGGACTGACAGTGTCCTAAAGCCCCATCTCGGGGTCCCTGCTGGCTGCATCTTCGGGCTGCCGGGCTGTGGGCAGGGTCCCTTCTGCCCAGCGCTGACAGATGTGCTAATTTCCCAAGCAGGGAGGCTGGGGCATCTGGGGATCCATTTCTGAGGCCCCGCAGGGAGAGCTTTCTCTGGAACAAAGAGAGGAAAACCTTGGGCTGTCCCTGCAGCCACTACTGTGGCTTAGGGGACATCACTAGGGGCCTGAGAGGGCCTTAGACTCTAGCCTGCATGGGACAGCAGGGTCAAATTCAGACTGCGGGGTCTGTCTTGGCTCCATGGGCTGGGTGACCTCTGACTCCTGGGTTCAAGTGATTCTCCTGCCTCAGCCTCCTGAGTAGCTGGGATTACAGGCGCCCGCCATCATGCCCGGCTAATTTTTGTATTTTCAGTAGAGATGGGGTTTCACTATGTTGGCCAGGCTGGTCTCAAACTCCTGACCTCAAGTGATCTGCCCACCTCGGTCTCCCAAAGTAGTGGGATTACAGGCGTGAGCCACCGCACCCGGCCTGGAACAGGCCTTCTTGGCAGGTGAGGGTGCCTGTGCCAGGTCAGGTTTGCCATGGATGGTCACCTGGACGTGGTTTTCTCCCAAGCTGGGCAGTGGGACCTTCAGAGGGCCAGTTCCTTGGCCTGAGAGGAGCATCAGCACTGTCCAATTGGCTGTTTTGCTGTGAAGGTTGTTTAGAGGAAGGGCCACAAACTGGCAGCCTGTGGGCTGGATGGGGCCTTAAATTTGTTGTGTGGACCATGAGGTGTTTCAGTGAGAAGTGAACAAGTAGGGCCGGGCTCACGGCTGTAATCCCAGCACTTTGGGAGGCTGAGGTGGGTGGATCACCTGAAGGTCAGGAGTTCGAGACCATTCTGACCAACATGGAGAAACCCTGTCTCTACTAAAAATAAAAAATTAGCTGGGCATGGTGGGGGCGAGCCTGTGATCCCAGCTACTAGGGAGGCTGAGGCAGGAGAATCGCTTCAACCCGGGAGGCAGAGGTTGCGGTGAGCTGAGATCGCACCACTGCACTTCAGCCTGGGCAACAAGAGCGAAACCCATCTCAAGAAAAAACAAGTAGGGCTGGGTGTGGTGGCTCACCTC
The DNA here is from genome assembly GCF_000001405.40 of Homo sapiens. Lineage (NCBI taxonomy): Eukaryota > Metazoa > Chordata > Mammalia > Primates > Hominidae > Homo > Homo sapiens. The sequence goes on along the minus strand of NC_000019.10, from coordinate 19,163,945 downwards.
TATAATCCCAGAACTTTGGGAGGCCAAGGCAGGCAGATTGCTTGAGCTCAAGAGTTCAAGACCAGCTTGGGCAACCTAGTGAGACCCTGTCTCTACAAAAAATAAGATGTCAAAAAATCAAAAAATTAGCCATGTGGAGGGGCAGGCGCCTGCAGCCCTAGCTACTCGGGAGGCTGAGGCAAGAGATTGGCTTGAACCTGGGAGGCGGAGGTTGCAGTAGGCCCAGATTGTGCCATTACACTCCAGTCTAGGTGACAGACCAAGGCCCCATCTCAAAAAAAGAAAAAAGAAAAACAGAAAACTGAGCAAGTTGGCAGTGTTTCTTCTGTCTGTGAAGCAGTTGTTTGGTCGTTGATTCAAGGAAGGGTGATTGAGGGCCTTCTATGTACTAGGCGCTGGGAAGCCGGCAGGGCGAGATGCTCATCAAAGAAAGCAATAAAGAAACACACACCAAAAAGTCTGATAGGGCTGAGGTGCTGCAGAAAGAGTTGAATTTGGCCGGGCGTGGTGGCTTACACCTGTAATCCCAGCACTATGGAAGACCGAGGCAGCAGGATCACTTGAGACCAGGAGTTTGAGACCAGCCTGGGCAACACAGGGAGACCCCGGCTCTAAAAAAATACAAAAATTAGCTAGGTGTGGCGCCGTGCTACTCCCAGCTACTCCAGAGGCTGAGGTGGGATGATCGCTTGAGTCCGGGAGGGCCAGGCTGCAGTGAGTCGAGACCACACCACTGCACTCCAGCCCGGGTGACAGAATGAGACCCTGCCTGAAAAAATTAAAATAAATATTAAAAAAGATTGATGCCTCCAGAAAGAGCGTTTTCTGCAGGTCTTTAGAGGACATGGAGACACTCCTGGACTTGGGCAAACCTAGAAGGGTGTCCCGGGGTTGGACACAGTCCGGGCAAAGGGAGAGTGATGGGCAAGTAGGGAATCAGTTTGGGGCTGGTGTTGCAGATGCCCCCAAAGGGGCAGAAGGTGGGCTGGGAGTCTGCTGGTAGATGACACCTTTTCAAGTGAGGGGAGAGGTGGGTGGGTACATGGGGAGTTTGTGGGGACCCCTGCAAACACAGGAAACCGAGGCTCAGAAAGTATCACGCAGTGGGCAAGTGGCGGGTTTAGGATTTGAATCCTGGACTGACTGGCCTACAGCCCCGGCCCTGGCCTCTCTGTGCATGGCCAAAATGGGATCCTGGAGTGAAGTAGAGGGGGCGTCCCACAGAGGGTCCCACTCACCGTGGACTCCTGCCCCTCGAACAGGAGCTGTCCCTCCCAGGAGCAGGCCCAGGGAGAGGTGGGAAGGAGGGTCTGAGGGCTCCCCACTGGGCCTCACTTTCCCCATGGGTGCCAGAGGGACCTATGGAAAAAAGGACCCCCATGGGGCCTTCTCCAGCTGGAACATTCTAAGAATCCTGGATTCAAACACTACCCATTCAAATCTAGCCTCAGATGCCCCCAGCCTGCATTTCACCCCTGGTGGGTGGAGAGCACCCGGCCTTGGGAAGGCAGCCAGGCCTGTGTGGTGGCTCACACCCGTAATCCCAGCACTTAGGGAGGCTGAGGCAGGAGGATAACTTGAGGCCGGAAGTTCAAGACCAGCCAGTGTGATAAAATGAAGCCCCTTCTCTACAAAAATAAAAAAAATTAGCCTGGCATAGTCTGGTTAAAAATTAGGTGTGCGCTTGTAGCCCCAGCTGCTGGGAAATCTGAGGTGGGAGGAATGCTTAAGCCCAGGAATTGGAGGCTGCAGTGAGCTATGATGGCACCACTGCACTCCAGCTTGGGCAACAGAGCGAGACCCCATCTCAAAAAAAAATAATAATAATTAAAAAGAGGAAACCCAGCCAGGTATGGTGGCCTGTAATCCCAGCACTTTGGGAGGCCGAAGTAGGCAGATCACATGAGGCCAGGAGTTCAAGACCAGCCTGGCCAACATGGTGAAACCCTGTCTGTACTAAAAATACAAACATTAGCTGGGTGTGGTAGCGCATGGCTGTAATCCCAGCTACTGGGGAGGCTGAGGCAGGAGAATCGCTTGAACCCAGGAGGCAGGGGTTGCAGGGAGCAGAGAACACGCCACTGCACTCCAGCCTGGGTGACAAAGTGAGACTCTGTCTCACAAAAAAAAAAAACAAAAAAGAAGAAAGCTAGAGTGTGGGTGGTATCACTGCAGGGATGGGGGGGCCCTACCTATGTAATGGGGGACCAGCATGGATTGGGGGGAGTCTGCATATGTTTGGAAGAGTCTGCATGCGTCTGGCGGGGGTCTCCACATTGTTCAGGGGAAAGGGGTCTGTGTGTATTTGCGGGACGGCCATGTGTTTAGGGAGATCTGTATGTGTCTGTGCATTTGGGGGATTGGCATGTGTTGGGGCATCTGGGTATGTCTGAGTGTTTTTGGGGTCTGTCTATGCAGAGGGAATAGGATGTGTTTTGGGGATGTGTGTGTTTGGAGAGCTGTGTGGGTTGGGGGGTTTGGCGTATCGTGAACTGCATGTATTTTGGGGACTTTCGCAGGAGGAATACTTGTGTATTTGGGGGATCTGTTGTTTCGGGCATCTGTGGATTTTCTGCGGCTCTGTTTGGGGGTCTCCGTGTGTGGGGAATATTTCTACCTCCCATTATGCCCATACAAGGATGGAGTGACCCCCAACCCCATCCGCCCCTGTCCCTCAGCACTCCACCAGGGACTTTTTGGGGCCCGCAATCTGAGCTGGGTTCCCCCAGGATGGAGAGGTGACCCCAAGGCCTTCTGAGAGGCATCAGGACCCATCGACCACAAATCCTCCCCGCATCTGTAAAGCACCTTACTGTGAAGCCCCTCCCCCCAGTTCAGCGAGGTGGCCCCTGCTGCCCCCTGACTTTCTGGAGGAGGAAACTGAGTTCCAGAGAAGCTCAGCAACAGGGGAGTCACTGCCCGAGCCCACCGTCTCCCCTGAGTCCCTGAGGGCAGGTGCGGGGCTCCAGGGACCGCTGTGAACTGAGCCAGGCCGCCAGGTCACCTACATGCCCCCCCACCTGGGTACCACCTCCCTAGGCCCCCGGGGAGGAGGCGGGCCCAGGGCTCTGGCTGGGGAGGGAGGGTCGCCTGCAGCTGGGGTCGGAGCCGCTGGAGCCCCCAGGAGAGGGGAGGAGGGGTCCTGGCTTTCCAAGGGGCTCTTCCTGTCGCCCATAATGAGGTACTTGGGGAGCAGGTGATGAAACCACAGCCTGGGTTGCGTGAGGCGGGGCGGCAGGCCTGATTCGCTGCAGGGGCCGGGAGCAGCGCCCCCTCCCCGCTTCACCGCCTCCCGCGGGCCCTCACCCCCACCCCCACCCAACCCACCTGCCTCTCACTTCTCCTTTCCCGGCCTGGGTTCCTCTGCCAAGCCGTGGCCTCCCTGCGGGCTCAGGGGTCTGGCGAAGTGACTCTGCAGCTCATCCCCCCAGTAAAGTCCCGCAGGGGTGCCAAGAAAGGGAACTTGACTTGTTCCTAATCTTTTCTCTTAAACCCCTCTGCAAAGCCTGTGAGGTTAGGATCCTGTGACCCATTTTATGGGGGAGGAAGCAGGTGACTGATGACAGTATTTCAAGGTGGTCTTGCAGGATGCTGTACTGACTCAGCGCCCCCAGTTCCAAGGCCCAGACCTTCTTCCTTTTGGTTTCCCAGAAGCCAGAAGAAAAGTTCAATAGAGGCCCCCGTGTGGTGGCTCACACCTGTAATCCCAGCACTTTGGGAGGCCAAAGCAGGCGGATCACTTGAGGTCAGGAGTTCGAGACCAGCCTGGCCAACATGCTGAAACCCCGCCTCTACCAAAAATATAAAAAATTAGCTGGGTGTGATGGTGTGCACCTGTAATCCCAGCTACTCGGGAGTCTGAGGCAGGACAATCGCTTAAACCTGGGAAGCAGTGGTTGCAGGGAGCCGAGATCACGCCACTGCACTCCAGCCTGGGCAACAGAGCGAGACTCCATCTCAAAAAAAAAAAAAAAAAAAGTTCAGTAGACCCCTGCTCCCTACCCTCTTCCCAGCTGGTGGGAGAAGGATTCTCACCCCCAATTAACAGGTAAGAGAACTGAGTCCTACCACGCAGAGAGGCCAGAGGGGAAGGGTCAGTGGAAGGGTGGGATTCCCTCCAGCACCCCATCTCCATTACTGGGGGGCTAAGGGGCCTCGCCAGGCTGGGGAGATGATAATCTATGGCTTGAAGGACTTCAGGGTAATGTTTGTTGATTGACTTAGTGACCACAGATACTGCCAGAAAGTTTCTGATGCTTCCGCACTCCTGAGCTCTTCTTTTGTCCTCCCAATTCCCCCTCACCCCCACATCGCTCAGGCCTGGGATCACCAGGCTCCTCTTCTATCCCAGGTCACCAGCACATCCTGCACCCTTTGGTCACCACTTCTGCCCAGGTGCCACCCCTGTCTCCATTCAAACTCTGTATTTCCCACTGGCCCAGCCTCTTCCTGTCACCTCACTCTAGCCTGAACAGACACTGCTCCCCACAGCAGCCATAAGCAGCAAGGAGCTTTTTTATTTTTAGAGACAGGGTCTTACTCTGTCACCCAGGCTGGAGTGCAGTGGCCCACTCATAGCTCACTGCAGCCTCCATCTCCTGGGCTCACGTGATCCTCCCGCCTCAGCCTCCCAAGTAGCTGGGACTACAGGCAGGCACCACCATGCCCCGCTAGATTTAATTTTTTTTTTTTTTTTTTTTTTTTAGGCCACGCACTGTGGCTCACGCCTGTAATCCCAGCACTTTGGGAGGCCGAGACTGGTGGATCACCTGAGGTCAGGAGGTCGAGACCAGTCTGGCCAACATGGTGAAACCCCATCTCTACTGAAAATACAGAAATTAGCTGGGTGTAGTGGTGTGTGCCTGTAATCCCAGCTACTCAGGAGGCTGAGGCAGGAGAATTGCTTGAACTGGGGAGGAGGAGGTTGCAGTGAGCTGAGATTGCGCCACTGCACTCCAGCCTGGGCGACAAGAGCAAAACTCTGTCTCAAAAAAAAGAAAAAAAAACTTTCGAGTCAGTCTCACAATGTTGCCCGGGCTGGAGTGCAGTGACAGGATCTCAGTTCACTGCAACCTCTGCCTCCCCCTGCTCAAGTGATCCTCCCACTTCAGACTCCTGAGTAGCTGGGACTAAGGGGTGCACCACCACGCCTGGCTAAATTTTTTTATTTTTGTTTATTTATTTTTCTGAGACAGCGTCTGGCTGTGTCACCCAGGCTGGAGTGGAGTGGTGTGATCTTGGCTCACTGCAACCTCCACCTCCTGGGCTCAAGTGATTCTCCCACCTCAGCCTCCTGAGTAGCTGGGACCACAGGCATGCCACCACACTTAGCTAATTTTTTTTTTTTTTTCCTACAGACAGGGCTTTGCCATGTTGCCCAGGCTGGTCTTGAACTCCTGGGCTCAAGTGATCCTCCCACCTCAGCCTCCCAAAGCACTGGGATTACAGGCGTGAGCCACCGTGCCTGGCCTGGCCCTAGTTTGTTTTTTTTTTTTTTTTTAGGGGCAGGGTCTCACTATGTTGCTCTGGCTGGAGCTTTTTAGAAATCTTCCTTTTGGGCCGGGGGCGCCCATGCTCACGCCTGTAATCCCAGCACTTTGGCCCCTGAGGTGGGCAGATCACCTGAGGCCAGGAGTTTAAGACCAGCCTGGCCAACATGGTGAAAACCCATCTCTAGTAAAAATGCAAAAATTAGCCGGGCACAGTGGCAGGCACCTGTAATCCCAGCTACTTAGGAGGCTGAGACAGGAGAATCGCTTGAACTCGGGAAGTGGAGGTTTCAATGAGCTGAGATCATGCCACTGCACTCCAGTCTGGGTAACAGAGCGAGACTCCACTTCAAAAAAAAAAAAAGAAATCTTCCTTTTGAAATAAATCACACGAAGAAAAATGCACAAACCACTAGAGTTGAGCTCAACACATTTGCACAAACTGAACATATCTGTGTACCCAAACCTTGGATCCAGGAACAGGACTTCCCTAGCCCCTGGGACTTCCCCCTTGGGCCACTGCCTAATCACAGCTTCTGCCCAGGGTGACCAAAGTGCTGTCTGATATCCATCAGCCTCAGTGAGGGTTTTTTGTTTTTTGTTTTTTTTGACACAGAGTCTCGCTCTGTCGCCCAGGCTGGAGTGCAATGGCACAATCTTGGCTCACTGCAACCTCCGCCTCCTGGGTTCAAGCTATTCTCCTGCCTCAGCCTCCCGAGTAGCTAGGATTACAGGCACATGCCAGCACGCCCAGCTAATTTTTGTATTTTTAGTAGAGATGGGTTTTCGCTATGTTGGCCAGGCTTGTCTCAAACTCCTGACCTCCAGTGATCTGCCCGCCTTGGCCTCCCAAAGTGCTGGGATTACAGGCTTGAGCCCCTGCGCCCAGCTGCATCAGTGAGTTTTGATTGTTCTGAAACTTCATGTAAATAAAATCACACAGTGCATCTTCTCGATGGAGTCTGGGATCGTCGAATTGGCCAATGGTCTCTGAGATTCATCCACGTGGTTGTGTGCAGCGAGAGTGCACCCTTTTTCTGTGCTGTGCTATAACTGATCATAGAATCAACAAGAAAGTGTTGACCAGCTCTCCCATTAAGGGCTTCCAGGTTGATTCCAGTTTGAGGCAATGATGTATGAAGCTGTAGAAAACATTCTTGTCTGTGTCCTCAGGTGTAACTTGGACCCATTTCTCTTGCGTGAATATTGAACATCGAGGAGCGGAATTCCTGGGTCACAGGGTAGGCATCTGTTCAGATTTAGTAGATGCCAGAGGATTATCCAAGTGCTTGTCCCTTTTTCCTCTGCCACCAGCAATGCATGAGAGCTGGAAGTGGAAGAGCTTACAAGATCATCATCGCTCACTGTAACCTTGAACTCCTGGGCTCACAGAATCCTCCCGTCTCAGGCTCCCACATAGCCAGGACTACAGGTGTGTGCCACGGCGTGCAGCTAATTTTTACTTTTTTTGTAGACAGGTTCTTGCTGTGTTGCCCAGGCTGGTCTCCAATTTCTGGCCTCAAGCAATCCTCCCACCTCAGCCTCTCAAGTAGCTGGAAGTATCTGGGAGTAGCCAGGAGTTTGAGACCAGCCTGGGCAACACAGCAAATCGCCATCTCTATAAAAAGTTTTTAAAAATTTGCTGGGTGTGGTGACACATAGCTGTAATCCCAGCTACTCGGGATGCTGAGGCTGGAGGATCACTTGAGCCCAGGAGTTCAAGGCTACAGTGAGCTATAATTGCACCACTGAACTCCAGCCTGGGCGACAGAGGAAGACCCCATCTCAAAAACAAAAAAAGTGACTCGGCTAGATCCCGTCTATTTCAAAGATCTAAGTTCACTGAAATAATGCTGCACTTTCCTGTTCTGTGAGATTTGAGAAAATAGCTGTAAAACCACCTGGGCCTTTAAACATGTTTTTTAGTTATTATTTTAATTTTGAAATTATTATTCTTTTTTAGAGACAGAGTCTCACTCTGTTGCCCTGGCTGGAGTGCAGCAGCTCAAAGCTCACTGCAGCCTTGAACTTTATTGCCTTTAAAAAAAAAATTTTTTTTTTTAGAGATAGGGGTCTCGCTATGTTGCCTAGGTTGGTCTTGAACCGCTAGGCTCAAGCAATCCTCCCACCTCGGCCTCCCAAAGTGCTGGGATTACAAGTGTGAACCATCATGCCCAGCCCACTTTATTACCTTTTTAATGGTAGGTCCTGAGTCACCTTTCTAATCTTCTATGGTTGTTGGTCTACTTAAGCTTTCTACTTCTTCTGAGGTCAGCTTGGCTCAGTGACTTGCACAGGTTGATACTTAATAAACGCTAAGTATGAGGGTGCAATGAAAGGAGTAGGAAGGTACTGGACTCTTAGCTTCAAATTCCCACCTCCCTCCCCTTCTACTCAGGCTCCCATCCAGCCTCTGCGTCTACATCCAACTACATGCCTCCTCCCCCAAGAAGCTCTCCTGGGTTTCTTCTCCTGTTCTTTCTTCTGTGCTCCATTCCTTGGTCAATAGGTCCACCTCTGTGCTTCTGCGCTGGGCAGATGCCACAGCTCTCTGATTTCTGGCTGGACAAAGCAGGGAGGGTATGTGTGTGCGGAAGAGGCCTCCCCAAACCTCAGCTTCCCCCCTCGTGCCTGGCACATTCAGCCTGTGCTGCCACCTCCCCCAGCAGTTCCGATCACACCAACATCTGGAGAATGGGCCACCAGGGTCTGTCTGCGGCTCTGGGCAGGGATTTGCATGTGACTACAAATATACATGCACACTCTGGCCTGCCGCCTCCGCATTCTTTGCCTGGCCCTTCACACCTGGGCCCGAGACAGGTCAATGCTGAGTGGCTGGATTTGCATGTGCATGTATTTCTGGGCAGGGTATCAGCTGGGGCAGTCTGAGAGGAAGTTGTTGAGGGAAGCTGTAGGGTTGTGGAGGGGGTCAGTGACATCTCTGTTGATCTACTCTGCTCACCAAACCTTACTGTCCATTCCTGGCCCTGATCCAGAGGGGCTTTTAGTCTGGAGGAGACAAATCTGGATATATATACCCCCAATGCCATGGAATCTGACCTAGAGGAGGATGGTGACTCTGGGAGACCAGAAGAATGGCAGGGAGGACTTCCTAGAGGAATGGGTTTTTTGAACTGGGTTTTGACGTTTGGATAGGAGTTGGCTTGGTGAAAAAGGGGAAAGGGTCCTTCTAGTCAGAGATATTTATCGAAGAGAGAGAAGTAGGCAAGAGCTGATTTGGGAAGAAGACTTGAATGCCAGGCTAGGTGCTAGAACTTTCTCATAAGGGCAGTGGGGAGCCATGGAGAGTGTATGAGCAGGAGGGGGCCATGCTCAGAGCTGTGTTTGGTTGGGTAGATTCCCTCAGGGGCTAGAGTGGAGGATGGCTTTGGTTCCAATGTCACTGGGGTTCAGGAGAGTGAAACTCCTGCGTGAGTTCATCTGCACCTGTCAGGCCTGCCTCCAGAGTTGGTGTAGGGCCTGCTGGCTTCTGGAGGACTAACGCACCCTGGAGTACAGTGACTTAAAGTGCAAGGCACAGGCCTAGCACAGAGGGGGCCCTACCCCCAGTCTCTGTCAAGACGGACACAGCCCTTGCCTTCTCTCCAGCCGCCCATGATCTCCACCCTGGCCTCCAACAGACCTGCTCCCCATGGAAGCCATGAGCTGAGTCTTAAAATAATAAACCAAGCCCCATCCCTTCTCTGCTTAAAACCTTCTCATAGTGGCTCACGCCTGGAATCCCAGCACTTTGGGAGGCTGAGGCCAGCGGATCCCTTGAGGTCAGGAGTTCAAGATCAGCCTGGCCAACTTGGCAAAACCCTGTCTCTACTAAAAATACAAAAATTAGCCAGGTGTGGTGGTGCACACCTGTAATCTCAGCTACTTGGGAGGCTGAAGCAGGAGAATCGCTTGAACCCGGGAGGTGAAGACTGTGCCACTGCACTCCAGCCTACATGACAGAGCAAGCCTCTGTCTCAAAAAATAAAATAAAAGGCTGGGCGCGGTGGCTCATGCCTGTAATCCCAGCACTTTGGGAGGCCAAGGCGGGCGGATCATGAGGTCAGGAGTTTGAGACCAACCTGACCAATATGGTGAAACACCATCTTTACTAAAACTACAAAAATTAGCTGGGCATGGTGGCACATGCCTGTTGTCCCAACTACTTGGGAGGCTGAGGCAGAAGAATCACTTGAACCTGGGAGGTGGAGGTTGCAGTAAGCCGCGATCACGCCACTGCACTTCAGCCGGGGTGACACAGCAAAACTCCATCTCAAAAATATATATATATTAAAAATAAAAAATAAAATACAATAGGAAATAAAATAAAATATGCTCTCATAGCTCCACATCACTCTTAGACCAAAATCCACAGCCCTCCTCCAGCTCAGAAGGCCCACAGTGGGCCAGGTACAGTGGCTCACACCTGGAATCCCAGCACTTTGGGAGGGTGAGGTAGGAGGATCACTTCCAGCCAGGAGTTTGAGACCAACCTAGACAACATAGTGAGACTCCATCTCTACAAAAAGAAAATAAAAACTAGCAGGGCGTGGTGGCACTCACCTGTAGTCCCAGCTATTCAGGAGGCTGAGGTGGGAGGATTACTGGAGCCTGGGAGGTCAAGGCTGCAATGAGCTGAGATCTCACCACCGCACTCCAGCCTGGGCAACAGAGCAAGACTGTCTCAAAAAAATAAATATGGCCAGGCGTGGTGGCTCACGCCTGTAATCTCAGCACTTTAGGAGGCCAAGGCGGGCAGATCACTTGAGGCCAGGAGTTCAAGACCAGCCTGGCCAACATGGTGAAACCCCGTCTCTACTAAAAATACAAAAATTAGCGAGGTGTGGTGGTGCATGCCCGTAATCGCAGCTACTTGGGAGGCTGAAACGGGAGAATCACTTGAACCCGGGAGGCAGAGGTTGCAGTGAGCCAAGATCATGCCACTGTACTCCAGCCTGGGCGACAGAGTGAGACTCTGTCTCAAAATAATGATAATAATAATAAATTAAATTAAAAGAAGGAAACCCAAAAGAAGGAGTCCTAGAATGGCCCAACCTCTGTGGCCTCATCCCCACCCTCCCGCTGTTTCTTGTCCCTCCTCAGGGCCCTGGCACCTGCTCTTCCTTCTGCCTGGAACTCACTTTCTATCTCAGCTCTCAGGGTCTCAGTGCAGAGAGAGACTTCCCAGTTCTCCCCCATCACATGACCTCTGCCCTAGCCATGGTGTCTGTGTCTAAAATGGGGACAGACAGAGTGAGAAGGGGCTTGAGTCAGGTCTTCCAGGCTTAAGAGACTCAGGCCTAAGCCCCAGCCCTGCTGCTGCTCTCGTGGGACCCTGGGCATCAGGGGCATTTCCGGAGTCATCTTGGCCCTGGGACCTCCGGACCAAGGCCCCCGTCCACCCCCCAGGGACCCATCAGGGTGGGGGCAACATATCCCAGCCGTGGGAACAGGCCCGATTCCGGCTGGGGATTAAAATTAGCCCTGGAGGTTAAATTTAGCAAGTCAAGCCGGAGCTGAGGGTCTGGGACTGACAGCTTGGGCTCTACATAGTTGTGGGGGCTCAGAGACCCAGCCCAGAGAGGGCAGAGGGTGTGCCTGGGGTCACACAGCATGCCATATCTGCCAGCCGAGGTATCTAACACTTCTGGGCCCTGGGATAATGGAGGGCCTTGCCCAGACCGCTTGGGCAGGGGTCTGGGAAGCCCTGAGAACACTCCCAGAGAACAATCTGGATTTCTTTCTTTCTGTTTTTGAGACGGAGTCTCGCTCTGTTGCCCAGCCTGTCAAAATCTCGGGATCTCGGCTCACTGCAACCTCCGCCTCCCAGGTTCAAGGGATTCTCCTGCCTCAGCATCCTGAGTAGCTGGGTCTACAGGTGCCCACCACTATGCCTGGCTAATTTTTGTATTTTTAGTAGAGACAGGGTTTTGCCATGTTGGCCAGGCTGGTCTCGAACGCCTGACCTCGTGATCCACCCACCTCAGCCTCCCAAAATACTGGGATTACAGGCATGAGCTACCACGCCAAGCCAGATTTCTTTTTCTTTTTCTTTTTCTTTTTCTTTTTTTTTTTTGAGACAGAGTCTTGCTCTATCACCCAGGCTGGAGTGCAGTGACACACCTGCCTCAGCCTCCCAAGTGGCTGGGACTACAGGTGTGCGCCACGACAGCTGGTTAATTTTTGCATTTTTAATAGAGATGGGGTGGGTAGGATGCGGTGGTAATCCCAACACTTTGGGAGGCCAAGATGGGTGGATCATGAGGTCGGGAGTTTGAGACCAGCCTGACCAACATGGTGAAACCTCGTCTCTACTAAAAATACAAAAATTAGCTGGGCATAGTGGAGGGCACCTGTAATCTCAGCTACTTGGGAGGCTGAGGCAGGAGAATCACTTGAACCTGGGAGGCGGAGGTTTTAGTGAGCCGAGATCGCGCCATTGCCCTCCAGCCTGGGCAACAAGAGTGAAAACTCGTCTCAAAAAAAAAAAAAAAAAAATAGAGATGGGGTTTTAGCATGTTGGCCAGGCTGGTCTCGAACTCCTGATCTCAAGTGATCTGCCTGCCTCGGCCTCCCAAAGTGCTGGGATTACAGGCGTGAGCCACCGTGACCGGCCTGATCTGGATTTCTTGATAACTTGTTGCCAAGCCTGGTGGTGGGTGCTCAGCATTTCCTACCAGCCCATTCACAGAAGAGCAAACTGAGGCCTGGGGAAAGGGTCTTCTGTGCTGAGGGCTGCCCTGAGGGTCAGAGGGAAGGCCAGGCCTGAGCGTAGGTCCGCGTGACCCTGGAGAGGCCCCTTGCCTGAAGCCTCAGTCACCTGTGACATGGTAGAGGCTGGGAGGTGGAGTGTGGTCACACAGTTGGCGGAGCGGGGACGTCCCCTGTGGTGTCAGGGGACGTCTGTACAGAGGGCGGCGGCTGCAGGACAGGCCACATGATTCGATTGTTCCCAGGAACCTCGAGTGGGGGTCTCTGGGGAAGGCCTGGACCCCAGCATAGTCCAGCAGTCTCCTCCTTCTGGGACCCCTACCAGGGCGATCTCACATCTCCTTGAGTGGGGTACAGGATTTCTTCCAAGTCACCAAGTGGATGCCAGGCCCACACCCTGGCCCAAGGACTCTGAGCTGGAGGCCTTTCCAGAGTGTGCCTGCATCCTCCTGCTAGAGCAGGAGGCGTTTCTATTATTCTGTTTTCTTTTTCCTTTAAAGACTGGGTCTCTGTTGCCCACGCTGGAGTGCAGTGGCAAGATCATAGTTCACTGCAGCCTCAACCTCCCCAGCTCAAGTGATCATCCTACTTCAGCCACCGGAGTACCTGGGACTATAGACGTGTGCCACCATGCCTGGCTAATTTTTGCATTTTTTGTAGAGCCGGGGTTTCAACATGTTGCCCAGGCTGGCCTCAAACTCCCAGGCTCAAGTGATCCTCCTGCCTTGGCCTCCCAAAGTGCTAGGGATCACAGGCATGAGCCACCATGCCCCATTTGGTCTAAACATGTTCATTGAGCCTCTACTGCATCCTAAGGCTGGCCGGGGGCGGGGTCTGCGACAGTGACCCAGCCTGCCTTGATTTTCCCCATCATCTTCCTCTCAGTGGCTGGCAGGGGCAGACAGAGGAGAGGTGTGAGGCTGGGGTACCCCTCCCCACTCTCCACCCACTCACTCTGTCCTCTCCCTCTTCTCCTCCTAGACAAAGATCATTCCACTCAGCCTGGGACGATGGGGAGGAAAAAAATCCAGATCTCCCGCATCCTGGACCAAAGGAATCGGCAGGTGAGTTCACTGGGTGGAACAGTGGCTGGGAAAGACATTCCTAGCAGGGGGCATGGCCTAGGCAAGGGACTGACCTGACCAATTGAACTGCAGGGGAATGAGGAGGCATGAGGAGTCCTGATGCCATGTCAGCCTTTCTTTTTTTTTTTTTTTTTTTTGAGATGAAGTCTCACTCTGTTGCCCAGCCTGGAGTGCAATGGTGCAATCTCAGCTTACTGCAACCTCTGCCTCCCGGGTTCAAACGATTCTTCCTCAGCCTCCTGAGTAGCTGGGATTACGGGTGCGCACCACCAAGCCCAGCTAATTTTGCAGTTTTAGTAGAGACGGGGTTTCACCATGTGGGCCAGGCTAGTCTCGAACTCCTGACCTCGTGATCTGCCCGCCTCGGCCTCCCAAAGTGCTGGGATTACAGGCGTGAGCCACCGCGCCTGGTCTGTCAGTGTTTCTTGTTTCCCCTCCCTCCCTCCTTCCCTCCTTCCTTCCTTCCTTCCTTCCTTCCCTCCCTCCCTCCTTCCCTCCCTCCCTCCTTCCCTCCCTCCTTCCCTCCTTCCTTCCATCCCTCCTTCCATCCTTCCTTTTTTTTTTTTTTTTTTTTTTTGAGATGGAGTTCACTTTGTTGCCCAGGCTGGAGTGCAGTGGAGCGATCTCGGCTCACTGCAAGCTCCGCCTCCTGGGTTCAAGTGATTCTCCTGCCTCAGCTTTCCGAACAGCTGGGATTACAGGCGCCCACCACCACGCCTGGCTAGGCTAATTTTTGTAGTTTTAGTAGAGTCAGGGGTCTCACCATGTTGCCCAGGCTAGCCTCGAACTCCTGACCTCAATCAATCCTCCTGCCTGGGCCTCCCAAAGTGCTGGGACCTCAGGCTGAGCCACCGCACCTGGCCTGCTCATTTTCATGATCATTATTCATTTATTCTCCCTGATGACTGGAACCCCAGCCATAGGGGAGATGGAGCTTGACACAGCCACACCTAACTCAGAGGGCCAGAACAGAGGGAGGCCCAGAACTGGGAAAGCCCAGAGAGAGCATGTGGACTCTGCCTGGGAAGCCAAGGCACACTTCCCAGACATTTGGGCTGGGTTTTGAAGCTCCAGTAGGAGTTTGCCAGGTTGTGACATGAGAATTACCAGCTCAGCCAGAAAGAATCCTGAGGCATGTTCGAGGAAGGGTTAGGCCCTGCCAATTCCCCTACACCACCCCACATTCATCTCTTCTTCTTCTCTCCCCTGCCCCTGTGGGTCCTGGGTCCAGGTGACGTTCACCAAGCGGAAGTTCGGGCTGATGAAGAAGGCCTATGAGCTGAGCGTGCTCTGTGACTGTGAGATAGCCCTCATCATCTTCAACAGCGCCAACCGCCTCTTCCAGTATGCCAGCACGGACATGGACCGTGTGCTGCTGAAGTACACAGAGTACAGCGAGCCCCACGAGAGCCGCACCAACACTGACATCCTCGAGGTACCCCAGGTCCTCCTCCCCAGCCCCACAAGGCCCCGTGCACGCTGCTTTCTCAGAGCCCAGGGACTCTTGGTTTGCACAAAAGATGAGTGTCTTCATCTGGCTTTGTGGCTGACGTGCTTTATTTCTGCTGTCCCTAGAAGGGACCCTCCACTCATCCAAACATTTGGGAGTGGGGGAGCCCTTCTGGGGACAGCAGAAATAAAGCACATCGGGCAGGGCACGGTGGCTCCCACCTGCAATCCCAGCACTTTGGGAGGCCGAAGTGGGCAGATCACTTGAGGTCAGGGATTCTAGACCAGCCTGGCCAACATGGCAAAACCCAGTCTCTACTAAAAATACCCAAATTAGCCAGGTGTGGTGGCTCATGCCTCTAATCCCAGCTACTTGGGAGGCTGAAGTAGGAGAATTGCTTGAACCCGGGAGGCGGAGGTTGCAGTGAGCCGAGATCGAGCCACTGCACTCCAGCCTGGGCAACAGAGCAAGACTCTGTCTCAAAAAATAAATAAATAAATAAATAAATAAATAAATAAATAAATAAATAAGACAGAGGAGTCTTCACTGGGATGGGAAGCTAAAGCCTAAGGGCTGCAGAGAGCAGCGGGCTGGGACTAGGCCTGGGAGTCCGCAGTGTTTTGGAAGTGTGGGGCAGAAGTTGGCAAAGAAGAGGTTGGGGTCCGGGAGCATGCGGTTCTGTGGCCCCAGGAGAAGGCAGCTCAGGAAATCTGCTGGCGTTTCTTAAGCAGTTTTTTTCTTTTTTTGAGAATGAGTCTTGCTTTGTCGCCCACTCTGCAGTGCAGTGGCAAAATTTCAGCTCACCGCAACCTCCGCCTCTCGGATTCAAGTGATTCTCCTGCCTCAGCCTCCCAAATAGCTCTGACCACAGGCATACGCCACCATGCCTGGCTAATTTTTATATTTTCAGTAGAGATGGAGGTCTTACCATGTTGGCCAGGCTGGTCTCAAACTCCTGACCTCAAGCGATCTGCCTGCCTCGGCCTCCCAAAGTGCCGGGATTGTAGGCGTGAGCCACCGCGCCCGGCCTCTTAAGCAGCTTTTGATGCCAGGCTATGAGGCTGCAAGTGGGGGCAGAATGGAGGTCCTGGAGTCATGTCAGGAGCAGCATTAGGACAGCGCCAACAGGCCTGCATGGATCTCAGCTCCTGCTGTGTTGATCTGGGCAGGTCCTTGGGCTTTTCGGTCCCAGGGGAGGAAACTGCTAGCTGGTAACTCACCGGGGTTTGGTCAGTGGGGTTTGGCTAGAGCAGGCCATGCCTGCATTCCTCCCCACTCATGGAGCTGGGTGGGGATGGTCTGTCCCCTCTCCCATAGAACTGGGTTCCCTGGGTGGGGTAGGGGTAAGGGTCTACCCTGTTGTCTCCTGTCCCCATAGACGCTGAAGCGGAGGGGCATTGGCCTCGATGGGCCAGAGCTGGAGCCGGATGAAGGGCCTGAGGAGCCAGGAGAGAAGTTTCGGAGGCTGGCAGGCGAAGGGGGTGATCCGGCCTTGCCCCGACCCCGGCTGTATGTAAGTGACTCCCTGGCCCTGTGAATGAGGCATTCCTCCTACTTCCTAGGCCCAAGTCGTTGAGGCTGGTACTGAGAGAGGGGCTTAGAGCCAGGGATCCTAGAGTTTGGAGGCAGGTCTCTACCTGGTTGGTCAGGAAAGGCTTCTTTGAGAAGTGGGCACTGTAGCTGGGGCTTTGAAGGATGAATAAGAGTTCAACAGGCAAACAGTTCCTTCCTTCATTTCATCTTTGATTCATCAAACACTCTGTGCAGCCCCCTCAGTGCCAACTCTACACTAAGTGAGAGGTCTTGGCTCTGGACCTACCTGTCAAGGACAGGCAGAGCCAGACAGAAGCTCCCCCAGCCTGTAGGGTTAGGGCAGGGGGAGGAGCAGGTAGGGAGCCTGGTGGGAGGTGGAGCAAAGGCTTCCTGAAGGTAGAGCTGGGCCCCTGAACTCATCAGGATTTTCTCCCTTGGACTTGGCACCCCCATCTGGCCTGGGGTCCTCTGACCCATCCCTTCTCTACCCACAGCCTGCAGCTCCTGCTATGCCCAGCCCAGATGTGGTATACGGGGCCTTACCGCCACCAGGCTGTGACCCCAGTGGGCTTGGGGAAGCACTGCCCGCCCAGAGCCGCCCATCTCCCTTCCGACCAGCAGCCCCCAAAGCCGGGCCCCCAGGTGAGCATGGGACAGTGGGGCAGGGGTGAGGTCCTGAGGGGCTGTTTGGGTGCATCTTGGCTCTGGCATTGCCAGGCTGCGTGCATCACCTCTAAACCTCAGACTTCATTAGTTGACATGGCCTGCCTGTCCTCTCTCTCTGGGGTCTCCTCTTCCCCAGGCCTGGTGCACCCTCTCTTCTCACCAAGCCACCTCACCAGCAAGACACCACCCCCACTGTACCTGCCGACGGAAGGGCGGAGGTCAGACCTGCCTGGTGGCCTGGCTGGGCCCCGAGGGGGACTAAACACCTCCGTGAGTGAGGGGAGGGTGTGGCAGGGCTGATGAGGGCAGGCAGGGCGACCTGGGTGTGGGCCTCAGTTTCCCCTTCACCCTCTCTCCGCACAGAGAAGCCTCTACAGTGGCCTGCAGAACCCCTGCTCCACTGCAACTCCCGGACCCCCACTGGGGAGCTTCCCCTTCCTCCCCGGAGGCCCCCCAGGTACATCCCCTAACCTGCCCTGCCCCACCTGGGAAGCGTCCGCACTCCTGCCCTCTGGGGGTTCCACACCCTCCCACCCACCAGAACTCAAAACTGTCACTGGGGGTGGTTAGGTTTGCAGAAGGCTTAAGGAGATGTCCAGGCCTCAGCCCCCAATTCCTGCCCACCAGAATATGGCCTGGGAGACCCTCCACCGCCCCCTGGCTTGTTGCAGCCCCCCACCCTGGCCCCCTGGCAGCCCTCGAGGGGTGATGGGCCCCCCGCCGTGTCCTCCCAGCCCAGGTAAGTGCCCTGAGACGACGGCAAGTCCCAGTCCTCCAAAGCCCCGGCCGCTGCTGACCCCTGGTGGCCATCCCTGGTACTGCGCACACTTCCGGTACGGATGGGCAGCTATTTTGAGGCCCCAAGAGGGACCGCCACCCCCTCCTTTCCCAGGGTCCTCCTGCCAAGCCTTTGCCCACGCTGTGCCATCCCCTGGCTTCCTTCCCTTCCTCGCTGAGCTCACGGCCTCCCTCTCTCTTTCCCCCTGCAGTGGGGGCCGAAGCCTGGGCGAGGAGGGTCCCCCAACCCGCGGCGCCTCCCCGCCGACCCCCCCAGTCAGCATCAAGTCTGAGCGCCTCTCTCCGGCCCCCGGGGGCCCCGGCGACTTTCCTAAGACCTTCCCCTATCCCTTGCTCCTCGCCCGGTCCCTGGCAGAGCCTCTGCGGCCTGGGCCCGCCCTGCGCCGGCTGCCCTTGGCCGACGGCTGGCCCCGGTAGGAGATCACCCGGTGGCACCAGCCCAGAGCGCTCGCCAGGTACGGCGAGGGCACGTGGGGACCCCACCTCCCTCCAGGCCTCTTCAGAGAAGACCCAACAGTGACGCCCCCCTCCGCGGTGGGGGCTTGGAGGTGGGCGGCTGGACTCAATCCACCCTGGGGGGCTCCTTTCCTTCTTCCTATTTGTGTGTATATCCACAAATAAAACGCGCGTGGCGTCCGTGGACCAGACTGACTGTGACTCGCCTCATTCTTGCCTAGTCTTGGCTTGGGGTGCCCCCTCCAGAAGCCCTGAGACGAGGACTCAAGAGCCCGTGGGGTGTCCGGGAGGGCTGCCAGGTGGAGGGTTGGGGAGGCAAGGCGGGAGGAGCCCTGCAGGGGACGCGCACAAGCAGAGGGTGCTTAGCCCGCGGGGGGTTCTGGGGACAGCATAGAGTGAGCGTGCACCTAGAATGGTCCCACTCCAGGGGTGAGGGCCCCGGCTCTTTCCACTCCAGGGCCAATGGCCAGGGCTGCTCCCGGCGCTGTGGGTCATGGGCTCAGGGGCAAGCCCTAGGGCTGGGTCGTAGGGCTCCCAAAAGCAGCAGCTGGGAATCCTGAATGTCGGGCTCCCAGGGCGCTGGAAGCGCCCCTGAACTGTTCATCTTCTTATTTTTTATTTTATTATTTTAATTTTATTTTATTTGAGACAGAGACTCCCTGTGTCACCCAGGCTGGATTGCAGTGGTGCGATCTCGGCTCACTGCAACCTCCGCCTCCCGGGTTCAAGGGATTCTCCCGCCTCAGCCTCCTGAGTGCCTGGGACTACAAGCACCTGCCACCATGCTAATTTTTGTATTTTTAGTAGAGACGGGTTTCCCCATGTTGGTCAGGCTGGTCTCGAATTCCTGACCTCAGGTGGTCCGCCCTCCTGGGCCTCTCAAAGTTCTGGGATTACAGGTATGAGCCACCCAGCCTCGCCGACTGCTCATCTTTTGAATGGGTGTATCTCTTGAGCCCTTGACCCAGCAATTGATTCTACCCAGGGGACAAGAGAGCAGGGTGTTTATATACCCACTCCTGGGGTTGCAAACTGCCCCCACTCTGGCTTGTCCTGTGTGTGAAGACAGACTTGGGTGTCCTGAGGTCAGGGGTGCTCCCAGAAAATAGTTGAGGTGCAGCAGGGTCTATCTGGCCTCACGCACCCCAGGTGGTCTCAGTGGGATTTTTTTTTTTTTTTTAGTTGGGGCCTCACTATGTTGCCCAGGCTGCTCTCAAACTCCTGGGCTCAAGCAATCCTCTCACCTCGGCCTCCAGAGTAGCTGGACTACAGGTGCAAGCCACCATACATGGCATTCAGTGAGATCTTCATAATACTTAACATCTGACTTCTTGCCGGGTGCGGTGGCCAAAGCCTGTAATCCTAGCACTTTGGGAAGCCAAAGTGGATGGATGGCTTGGGCCCAGCAGTTTGAGACCAGCCTGGGCAACATACTGACACCCTGATCTCTACAAAAAATTTAAAAAGAAATTAGCTGGGCATGGCTGGCACATTCCTGTAGTCCCAGCTATTCAGGAGGCTGAGGTGGGAGAATTGCCTGAGCATAGGAAGTCGAGGCTGCAGCAAGCTGTGATTGAGCCATTGCACTCCACCGTGGGCAACAGAGCGAGACCCTATCTCAAAAATAACATCAAAAACAACGACAACATAAAAAACTGACTTCTAGCCGGGCACGGTGGCTCACACCTGTAATCCTAGCACTTTGGGGGGCCAAGGCGGGCAGATCACTTGAGGCCAGAAATTTGAGACCATCTCTACTAAAAATACAAAAATTAGCTGGGCCTCATGGCCCATGCCTGTAATCCCAGCTACTTGGGAGGCCGAGGCACGAGAATCACTTGAACTCAAGAGGTGGTGGTTGCAGTTAGCCGAGATCCAGATCGTGCCACTGCATTCCAGCCTGCACAACAGAGCAAGACTCCGTCTCAAAAAAAAAAAAAAAAAAAAAATTACTTCTTGCCTGTAATCCCAGTCCTTTGGGAGGCTGAGGAGGAAGGATGCCTTGAGCCCAGGAGTTGGAGGCTGCAGTGGGCTATTACCAGCCCACTACAATCCAGCCTGAGTGACAGAACAAGACATTGTCTCTAAAAATAACAGTAATAAAATTTAAAAGATCTGCCTCTGCCATGTTCTGCTCATCTCTTTGAAGCTTTTCCTCATCCTTAGAAGGAAGTTGGGCTCCTCAGCTGCCCTACCCTAGTCTGGCCTGGTCTCCTATCCCTGTCCCAGCCTCTCCAGTACCTTAGAAATATTTGCAGTACCAACATGTGACCCTACTGGTCTTTCCTGGAGCGCCTCCCTCAACCCCCAACTTGTCTCCTTTTTAAACTCCTTCCCACCCTCCAAGGCCCAGCTCTGCCTCTCTTCCTCCATGACGCCTTCTACACTGTCCCAAGCTGAGAAACACCTTTGTGAGTTGGAGTTCACAGATTTGGACAGGAAGACGGAAAACATGAGTGTTGAGATCAAGACTTACAAGATCCGCCTTGGCCGGGGACAGTGGCTCACCCCTGTAATCCAAATACTTTGAGAGGCTGAGGTGGGAGGATGGCCTAAGCCCAGGAGTTCAAGACTAGCTTGGGCAACATGGTGAATCCCATCTCTTAAAAAAAAAAAAAAATTAGCCAGGCGTGGCAGTGCACACCTCTAGTCCCAGCTTCTCAGGAGGCTGAGGTGGGAGAATCACCTGAGCCCGGGAAGTCAAGGCTGCAGTGAGCCATGATTGAGCCACTGCACTCCAGCCTGGGCAACAGAGCAAAAGACCCCGTCTCAAAGAGTAAAAAAACAAAAACAAAAACAGGCCGGGCATGGTGGCTCACACCTGTAATCCCAGCACTTTGGGAGGCTGAGGCAGGTGGATCACTTGAGGTCAGGAGTTCGAGACCAGCCTGACCAATGTGGTGAAACCTCGTCTCTATTAAAAATACGAAAATTAGCCGGGCATGGTAGTGTGTGCCTGTAGTCCCAGATACTCAGGAGGCTGAGGCAGGAGAATCACTTGAACCCGGGAAGTGGAGGTTGCAGTGAGCCGAAATCGCGCCACTGCACTCCAGCCTGGGCAACAGAGCAAGACTCTATCTCAAAAACCAAACAAACAAACAAACTCACCTGCTTTCCAATCACTCTGCCAAGATCCAAAGCTGAGCTGGTTGGCACAGCTCAGCCAGAATGGGCGGGGTACGTTGACTGACAATTTCAAAATCCTTTCTGTCACTCAGCGCCCCAGGGAGAGATTTCTTCAGTAAAACTGAGCACCTTGCATTTCACCCTTAGCGCACACAGTCCTAGACAAGATGATGGGCGGGACGCCTTTTAAGGGATAGGGAGACTGGACAAAGTATATAAGTGACAGAACCCGGAGGGGGCACTTGTTTATACGGCGGAGTATAGGATGCCATCTGCACCCCAGACCCCAGCTAAGGTTTGTCCTACGTCATCTTCGCCACCCTCATCCCCAGTGAGGTGGGGGCTTTGGGGCCCCAGTTTCCAGGATAGGGATATGGCATGATCAAAGTGTGTAAAAGCCCCTCCCCAGGCTCCCGTGGCAGGGGGCATTGGGAGCTGAGGGGAGGCAGTGCCCCCTGGAATGATCACTCTCTGTGTGTGCGTGGAGGCAAACCCACCAGGACTCCAGAACGGCTCGGAGGTGGAGGTGAAGGGAAGAGCGTGCCGTGGGTGACTGGAAGCTCCCATTTCATCCTCTGTGCTGTGGAAGCTTGTAGGGAATGAGACTTGGATGGGGTGAACTTGAAGCCTCTGCAGAGTGTCCAAGTGCGGCTAGAGATTTCGCTCACCCAACCCAGACTCAGGTCTTTTTTCTTTTTCTTTTCTACTTACTTATTTTTATTATTTTGTTTTGTTTTTGTTTTTTGTTTTGAGAGAGAGTCTCGCTCTGTCATGCAGGCTGGAGTGCAATGGCACGATCTCGGCTCACTGCAGCCTCTGCCTCCCAGGTTCAAGCGATTCTCCTGCCTCAGCCTCCTGAGTAGCTGGGACTACAGGCATGTGCCACCATGCTCAGCTAATTTTTTGTATCTTTAGTGGAGACGGGGTTTCACTATGTTGGCAAGGCTGGTCTCAAACTCCTGACCTCAGGTAATCCACCCACCTCGGTCTCCCAAAGTGCTGGGATTACAGGTGTGAGCCACCGCTCCTGGCCTAATTTTGTTTTTATTATTATTGGGTTTTTTTTTTTGTTTTTTTGTTCTGAGACAAAGTCTCACTCTGTTGCCCAGGCTGGAGTGCAGTGGCGGGATCTCGGCTCACTGCAGCTTCTGCCTCCCGGGTTCAAACGATTCTCGTCCTTCCCAAATAGCTCGGATTACAGGCGACTGCCACCACACCCGGCTAATTTTTGTATTTTCAGTAGAGATGGGGTTTCACCATGTTGGCCAGGCTGGTTTCAAACTCCTGACCTCAAGTGATCCTCCCACCTCAGCCTCCCAAAATGTTGGGATTACAGGCATGAGCCACTGCGCCTGGCCTATTTTTTTATTTTTGAGGCAGTGTCTTGCCCTATTGCCCAGGCTGTACTGCGGTGGTGCAATCATAGCTCTCTGCAGCCTTGATCTCATGGGTGCAAGCAATCCTGCCTCAGCCTCCCAAGTAACTGAGACTACAGGTGCACACCACCTTGCCCAGCTAGGCTGGAGTGCAGTGGCAAGATCTCAGCTTACTGCAACCTCTGCCTCCTGGGTTCAAGTGATTCTCCTGCCTCAGACTCCCCAGTAGCTGGGACTACTACTGGGACTACAGGCGTGAGCCACAACGCCTAGCTAATTTTTGTATTTTTAGTAGAAACCCAATAGGGTTTCACCATATTGGTCAGGATGGTCTTGATCTCTTGACCTTGTGATCCGCCCCCCTTAGCCTCCCAAAGTGCTGGGATTACAGGCGTGAGCCACTGTGCCCAGCCTGCCCAGCTAATTTTTGTATTTTTTGTATAGTCTGGGTTTCCCCATGTTGCCCAGGTTGGTCTGGAACTCCTGGGTTTAAGTGATCTTCCCACCTTGGCCTCCCAAAGTTCTCGGATGACAGGCATGAGCCACTGCACCCAGCCTCTTTTTTTTTCCTCGTCATGTTGCCAGGGCTGGAGTGCTGTGGCATGATCACGACTCACTGCAGCCTCAAATTCCTGGGCTCAAGCAATCTTCCCACCTCAGGCTCCTGAGTAGCTGGGACTTACAGGCTTGAGCCACCACGTTGGGCTAATTTAACTTTTTTTTTAATTTAATTTTTTTTTAGAGATGGGTGTTTTGCTGTGCTGCCCAGGCTGGTCTCAAAATTCTGGGTTCAAGCGATCCTCCAGCCTAAGCCTCCCAAGTAGCTGGGACTACAGGCATACGCCAAGCCACCATGCCTGGCTGGACTCAAGTCTTCAACACTTCCCACCTGGTCCCTTCTGTCCCTTCCCCACTCAGGAGGGGTGAGCCACGGTCCTCATGGCAGTGATCAATGGCTGTGGAGGTCCAGCTGAGCATGCAGCTCCTGCCACCTCCAGCAGCGCCACTGCTACATGCACAGATGATGCAAACTCTTCAGCCAGTTACCCACCCTTCTGTTCTGAGGACCTCCCCGACAATGATCCTGGCCTTCCTTCCACATGGGCTGAAGACCTACCTACTCACTGGCACCCCAACCCCGCACATCCAGACCAGGGCCAGGGACTGAGCAAGAGGAAAAGGGTCAAGGTAGCGGGTACCCTGGGGGAAACTGAGGCATGGCCAGAGAGAAAGAGCCTTCCCAGCCTTTGGATCTCACCCTCACGGTGGACAAGAAGTCAGGCCAGTCCCTGATGTTAGTGCCCACAGGCTAAGCACCCAGTGTGAGGTCCATAAAACTATGGGCCGCTTTCTAAGGCTGGGAGCCCCCAGGGCCACAAGTGAGACTGGTTTGACTTCTCCATCCCAGGGAGACTGCGCTTTTGCCCTCCACCACGAGGTGGCGTGCGATAGTGCGCTTAGGATTCAGCACTTGCCAGCCGAAAGTTAAAAAAATAAAATATAAACCAGGCCCGGTGGCTCACGCCTGTAATCTCAGCACTCTGGGAGGCCGACGTGGGCGGATCACCTCAAGTCGGGAGTTCAAGACCAACCTGATCAACATGGAGAAACCTCATCTCTACTAAAAATGCAAAATTAGCCAGTCGTGGTGGTGCATGCCTGTAATCCCAGCTACTCGGGAGGCTGAGGCAGGAGACTCACTTGAACCCAAGAGGCGGAAGTTGCGGTGAGCCAAGATCACACCATTTCACTCCAGCCTGGGCAACAAGAGCGAAACTCCGTCTCAAGAAAAAAAAAAATTAATACACAAATACATAATAAAATGTAAAAACGAAAAGGTAATTACTCAGGCCCCACACACAGGAACCCACCCCCATAAAGATGCTCAGACACTCAGTCATACCCAATATATGTCTACACTCAGGCAGACACACTCATCCACAGAAAGACAAATGGCAAAACCGGGGCACAAACACCAGAAGCCCTTTCCTCCTAGCGGTGAAATAAAGAACATCAGATCCCTGAAGCTGACATTTGGTCCTTGATCCAGCCACGCCTGAAGCTGACACTATGGCTAGTATTTTCTGTCACATGAGCCAAAAATTTTCCTTTTTTGCTTGAACCCATGTTAGTTGATATTTTGTGGAGCACAGCCAGAGTCCTAGCTGATAGAGATGAATAAGGCACTTGCCAGGTGAAAAAGATTGAGGCATTCTTTTTTGCTTTTGTTTTGTTTTTATTTTAAGATTGAGGCATTCTTGAAGGCATTGCAAGATGTAGGATATTTACAAAGGCCTGGAGGTATGAGACAGCATGGTGGGTGCAAGTTGTACTATAGGGTGCACAATAGTGCTAGCAGCAGATTTAAGTCAGGCAGAAGGGTCTGAATTCAGTCTGAGTACTTAGCCTACTTAGTACTTAGGAGTACTAAGTACTTCGTCTACTAAGTGGGAGCCATTGAATGTTCTTGATGGGGGGAGGGAATTCTACTCTCAGAAATGTCCCTTAGGTGGGAATAAATGCTTTCGCTGCAAACCTTTGAGATAAGTGTAGGAAAGAGAAAACTAAGCCTTAAGAGAGGTCGGCCACGCAGGCCTCCCAGACACAATCTTCACTTTGATCGATCCGAACCAGCGTATCTGAACTACAATTTCCGGCATGCAACGCGAGCGGCCTCCTCGTCCCTGGTGATTTGCCGGCTCAAGACACACTGATTGGTCGGACGGGATGCTCGTCAGACCAGAGTCGGGCTCTAATTGGTCGAGTTTCCGCAGAGTGCCCGGAGCCCTAGGCCGGTGGGTGAGTGCACCGCGTTCTCGCACGCGTCATGGTGAGCGAGCGTCCCGCGAAGTGGGGGGTTCTGCAGGGCCGAGGTCCAGCCGAAGGGGTCCAGGGAGACACTGAGGGAATGGATTGGGGTTTCTTCTTGGGGATTGGAGGCTCTGAGGGATTCGGGGGCACGCTGAAGGCCGTGTGTCCCTCTCTGGGAGCCCTGCTCTCGCTACAGGACCTCCGAGGGAGTCGGCGGGAGTTGTACCCAGGGGGACTAGAAGCCCCTAAGCGTTCTGGGGATTCTGCCCTCGAGACCTTTTAGGGGTCTGGGATCCTTTTGAGGGGTCGTGGTCCCACAGAGGGGACTGGGGACCCCAGCACATTTGGAACCTGGTTAAGGCGGTGTGGGGTCCTGTTGGGGGTCCACTCTGGGGACGGGGGTCCTGCAGGAGCGTGGGGGCCGCGCCGACAGGATCCATCGGGGGTCCCTGCTATATCGGGGTGTGTGGAACGGGCAGGGGAGGCCGTGGGAGGTGGACTCAGGAGGTCTGGTTGGCCTCAGGGCGGGCAAGGTTCTCAGAGTGGGAGACAGGAAAGTTGGAACCTTCAGGTCTCACGCGGCTCTGGGTCCAACCTATTGAGTGTGTTCTTAAAACTTAGCCCAGCCCCTGGGGGTCAGGCTGGTGCAGGGAGATGGGGGACTCCCACAACCCTGACGGGACCGGCCTGGGCAGAGAGAGGGACGTGGAACTGGAGGGTCTCTGCCTGGGACCATCCCCGAGGAGGGGCGCTGGAGATGGCCCTGAAGGAAGGGCACTGATGGCCGGAATTATTGAAAGTGGGGCGTCGTCCCAGGCGGAGGTGCAGGACGCCGTAGGAGATGAAGGCACAGGCTCCCGGGAATGAGGAGGGAGGCTGCATTGATTTTATCAGGGTTCTTGAGTTCGAGAATCGTAAATCCAGTGAAGGGAAAAGAAGGAGCTGATGGAAGACTCCAGAAAATTCTTGCAGATGTCTGCAGAGCCCTGACCCTGAGACAGGAGGCTGGGTGGAGGGCAGGGCCATCAGAACATCCCTGGACAGACCTCTGGGAGCCTTAGGTGGAGAGATGCACCCCTCCACCACCTTTTCCCTTGGGGGGTTTTGGGGGGTGGTGGGGTCATTGATGAAGAGCCCAAAGGTCCAGGAAGACCTCTGAGACTCCAGTGGTTGGGTGCAGGGAGGGCTGAGGAGAGAGCTGAGCTGTGGGGAGGTGGAGGGATGGTCTCTAGCTATGCCTGCAGGGTGCAGAACCAAGTTGGGGGCTGACTGTGAGACTGGGAAGGGCCTGAACCACCTGGAAGGGTATGGGATGATGGGTGAGTGCTAGGGTCTCCCAGGAGAGCCTGGAGGAGGCTACTGGTTGAGCTCAGCAGAGAGGTCTGGGCTGGAGGTGTCACCGTGCTGAGGTTTTGATGGGCTGGCTGATTGGGTGGTTAAAACCCTGGCAGGTCACAGGAGAGAGGTCGGAGAGAGAGGAGAAAAACAGACTGGGGGGTGGGAGGGCAGGGTCCTAGGGGAAGGGTGGGGCTTCAACAGCCCTGACCCACTGGCTTGCAGGGGCCCATGGGCTGGCACTCATGGTCCCTAAGTGCCAGCCAGCCAGTCTGCACTAGGGTCCCGGGGAGGGCGAGCAATGAGGACTTAGAGATGAGAAAGATGCCGCCACCAACCTCATTACTGAAAAAAGATTTCTGGTCTCAGTTTACAAGTCACAGGTACAGAGAAAATGTCCTATTAGTCTGTTATTTTATGTATTTTTATTTTATTATTATTATTATTTTGTTTTGAGACAGAGTCCCACTCTGTTGCCCAGGCTGGAGTGCAGTGGCACAATCTCGGCTCACTGCAACCTCTGCCTCCCAGGTTCAAGCAATTCTGCTGCCTCAGCCTCCCAAGTAGCTGGGATTACAGGCGCCCACCACCATGTCTGGCTAATTTTTGTATTTTTAGTAGAGACAAGGTTTCATCATGTTGGCCAGGCTCGTCTCAAACTCCTGACCTCAAGTGATCAGCCCGCCTCAGCCTCCCAACATGCTGGGATTACAGGCACGAGCCACCGCACCTGGCCTCAGCAGTCATTTTGAATTACCGTGCTAGGCCCGGTACCCATCACATTAGGGTTTTTCCGACTAAATTTAGCTTATTTATGCCTGATTAAAGGATTATTTTCATAATTAATTTTACTATTAAATAAACTTTATTTCATTTTGATGATAATTCCAGAACACTAGTAGACAGCTCTCCTGAGCACATAATTTTACATAATTATGTAATTACTGGCAGCAAATGGGTATTTACTGCATTCAAGCAGGAAAACCCAGCTTCACCACAGACTGATTCTTCTAAAACGTTTAAAAATAAGTATATGAAAATGTGTTCTGAATTAAGAACTGGGTGAGAAAATTCCTAATTAAAAAAAAAAAAAGCCTTAGCTGGGTGTGTTGGCACATGACTGTAGTCCTAACTACTCGGTAGGTTGAGGTGGGAGGATCACTTGAGCCCAGGAGTTTGAGACCAGCCTGGACAACATAGCAAGACCCCATCTCTAAAAATAAAAATAAAAATAGGCCGGACACAGTGGCTCACGCCTGTAATCCCAACCGTTTGGGAGGCCAAGGCAGGAGGATTGCTTGAGCCTAGGAGTTCAAGACCAGCCTGGCAACATGGAGAAACCCTGTCTCTACAAAATAGACAAAAATTAGTTGGGTATGGTGGCGAGTGCCTGTAATCCCAGCTACTAGGGAGGCTGATGTGGGAGAATCACTTGAGCCTGGGAGGTTGAGGCTGCAGTGAGCACCCCAGCATGCCACTGCACTCCAGCCTGGGTGACAGAGCAAGACCCTGTTCTCCCCACCACTCCCTTGCCAAAAAAATAAATAAATAAATAAAAATAAATAAGCTCACCCCACTCAGACATGTAGGTCTTCACACCAAAACAGGAGGTGGCCAGGAGCATAGACGCCCTTTCAAGGAGGTTAATTACAAAGGGAAGAAGAGGGAGGAGGGTGATGGAACCATCAGGGATCACTTAAGGTGGGAGACACTTAGGGGAAGGAGCTACCAGGTGAAGGAGAAAGCTAGAAGCTCAACCGAGACGCAGTGGCTCCCTAGGTGACAGTGTGGGGTGCAGAAGGCGGTGGGAGCCGCTTTCACTGAGTGTGGCGGGCTCGTGGTTAGGGGCTGGAAGGTGGTGGTGAGGAATACAGGAGACTACATAGGAAGCACCCATTTCCAGATGAGAAAACTGAGACTCCGGGAAATTAATATTATACCTGAATCCATAGCGGAGGCGGGAGGCAAATCCCATGGTCTCCACTGCCCTACACTCCCGCTAGGTGGTGAGGGTGGGTGTTGATCTCTGACGTGGGAGGGCAGGGCCATGCTAGGTGAGTCCAGACTCACCCCAGGACTCTCCCCTAAGAAGCCGCTAGAGCCTAAGAGGCTCGCCCTTCCCCCATCCAGCCTGACTTCTCTATAAATAGCCTGGGTTCCTAGGGAGGGAGGGAACTTGTGACCCTCTGGCAGGTGCTGCCAGTCATGTCCCCTCCCCCCAGGCGGTCCTCGGAGTACAGCTGGTGGTGACCCTGCTCACTGCCACCCTCATGCACAGGCTGGCGCCACACTGCTCCTTCGCGCGCTGGCTGCTCTGTAACGGCAGGTGAGCCCCGCCCCGGCGGTGGGAGGGGCCCGCGGAGTCACGCCCCCTTCTGGCTCCCCACGCCCCGCCTCACAAATTGCAAAGCCTTGATTTTGGTTGGTGGGTGGTGGGGGGAAAAACGTTGTTGAGGTGTAATTGAAGTACAACAAACTGCATATATTTGTTTTTTCTTTTTCTTTTTAGAGACAGGGTCTCACTCTGTTACCCAGTCTGGAGTGCAGTGACCTGATCATAGCTCACTGCAACCTCAACCTCCTGGGCTCAAGTGACCCTCCTGCCTCAATCTCCTGAGTAGCTGGGACTACAGGTGTGCGCCACCATGCCCAGACAATTTTTAAATTTTTAATAGAGATGGGGTCTTGCTAAGTTGCCCAGGCTGGTCTCAAACTCCTAGGCTCAAGCGATCCTACCACTTTGGCCTCCCAAAGTGCTGGGATTACAGGCGTGAGTTCCCATGCCTGACACAAACTGTATATATTTGAAGTACACAGTTGGACTAGTTTTGACAGGTGTACACATGTGTGGAACCATCACCACACTCCCCACGTCCCTCACTCTTCCTGCCTCCCTGTAACCCAGCCTTCCTTCCACCCCTGCATCTGCTAGAGCTCGCCTGCTCTGGTTTTTGTCCTTGCGTGGGTCTGTGATGCTTTCTGAGAATCTGGTGGCAACTGAATTCTCTCCTGAGAAAAATGTATGTGACAAAAACAAAGGCAAAAAAAAAAAACACGTCAGAGATGATAGCTCAGGCCCATAATCCCAACACTGGGGGAAGCCAAGGTGGGAGGATCACTTGACCAGCCTGGGCAACATGGCAAGACCCTGTCTCTACAAAATATTTTAAAAATTAGCCAGGTATGGTGGCTCACGCCTGTGATCCCAGCTAATCAGGAGTCTGAGGCAGGAGGATCGTTTGAGCCCAGAAAGTCAAATCTGCAGTGAGCTGAGATGGTGCCACTGTACTCCAGCCTGGGCGACAGACCAAGGCCTTCTCTCAAAAACAAAAAACAAAGGCCGGGCGAGGTGGCTCACACCTGTAATCCCAGCCCTTTGGGAGGCCGGGGCGGGTGGATCACTTGAGGTCAGGAGTTTGAGACCAGCCTGGCCAACATAGTGAAACCCTGTCTCTGGTAAAAATACAAAAATTAGCTGGGCATGGTGGCGCATGCCTGTAGTCCCAGCTCCTCGGGAGGCTGAGGCAGGAGAATCACTTGAACCGGGGAAGTGGAGGTTGCAGTGAGCCAAGATCATGCCACTGCACTCCAGTCTGGGTGACAGAGGGAGACTCTGTCTCAAAAAGAAAATGAAAAAGAAAAGAAAAGTTGCACACACTGGCTTCCCCAGGAGAGTTAGCCAGCAGATTCAGGGGTATCCAAGCCCCCGGAGCCCACTCAGCCTAGATCTGTTGGTCTCACGATTTCCCCAGAATTTCCCCATGCTGTACCCTCACCTACCTCCCAGTGTTCCCCTGGCCTAGGCTACCCTCTAACTAGAATCCCTGGATTTGGGGTTCACTGCCTCAACCTCCCAACCCCACGCCTGAGCTTCCCTGACTGCCCGTCCTTGCTCTCAGTTTGTTCCGATACAAGCACCCGTCTGAGGAGGAGCTTCGGGCCCTGGCGGGGAAGCCGAGGCCCAGAGGCAGGAAAGAGCGGTGAGTGACCTGGGCCCCAGCCCCAGCCTTGGGAGGGTGGCTCCTCCCCAGGAACGGCCTCACCCCTGCTCAGGGGGCTCTGGGCTCAGGGACACAGGACCGGCCCACCCATACTTCCAGGCGCTGATCTGGGCACAGGTGAACCGGGAGACCCTAGTCCAAGGAGATGGTCACTGTCAAGTTAGCATCTGTTTCCTGGCAGTTTGCTCTAGCCAGTCCTGTGGGTGGGTGGGGGGATCCCCATATCCCAGTGTGCAGAGGAGCCAAGGTTGTGGAAAGAGATGGTCTCCAGGCCAGCTGCTCTGAGCTCTGAGGGTGGCTGGCCTCAGTGGAATGCGTGCTCACCGTCCCTCTTGCTTGTCACCATCCTCCCAGGTGGGCCAATGGCCTTAGTGAGGAGAAGCCACTGTCTGTGCCCCGAGATGCCCCGTTCCAGCTGGAGACCTGCCCCCTCACGACCGTGGATGCCCTGGGTAATAGCCCAGTCCCATCCCTAAACTCTACTCCCTCAGCCCTGAAGGTCTCCACACCCTCATGGGGGTGGGGAGGATTTGAAGGAAGAATGTTCTATTAGGAGGGGAGCGAGCTGGGCCCCAGGGCTGAGCAGAGTGCCCCCCACAGTCCTGCGCTTCTTCCTGGAGTACCAGTGGTTTGTGGACTTTGCTGTGTACTCGGGCGGCGTGTACCTCTTCACAGAGGCCTACTACTACATGCTGGGACCAGCCAAGGAGACTAACATTGCTGTGTTCTGGTGCCTGCTCACGGTGACCTTCTCCATGTATCCTTCCTCTCTGCTCCCTGCCAGTGGGGCGGGTGGGAGCAGGACCTGAGCTTCCCTGGCTCCCCTAAACTGGTGTGGCAGTTTTCACCTGCTGTGCCACAAACTTCCCCAAGCTTAGTGACATGAAGCAGACATTTTATGTGCTCCAGCTCTGTGGGTGGACAGACTGGGCTGGGCTCAGCAGGTCGGTTCATCTCCACTCCACATGGTCATGCCCTTTGGTGGCAGTAGAAATGCCAGGAGGCAGGAGGGAATGCCTTGCCCAAAGTCACCCACCCCATCCCTATTCTTTCTACCACATTCTCCTTGTTTAAGGAAATCACCAGGCCAGTCCACAATCAGGGCCAAGAAAGATATGGTCCCTTGGCAAAATTTTAAAAAATATATACTCCAGGCATGGTGGCTCATGCTTGTAATCCCAGCACTTTGGGAAGCTGAGGCAGGCGGATCACCTGAGGTCTGGAGTTCAAGACCAGCCTGGCCAACATGGTGAAACCCCGTCTCTACTAAAAATACAAAAATTAGCCAGGCGCGGTGGCTCATGCCTGTAATCCCAGCACTTTGGGAGGCCGAGGCAGGTGGATCATCTGAGGTCAGGAGTTCAAGACCAGCCTGACCAACATTGAGAAACCCCTTCTCTACTAAAAGTACAAAAATTAGCCGGGGGTGGTGGTGCATACCTGTAATCCCAGCTACTCAGGAGCCTGAGGCAGGAGAATTGCTTGAACCCGGGAGGTGGAGGTTGCAGTGAGCCAAGATCATGCTATTGCACTCCAGCCTGGGTGACAAGAGCGAAACTACATCCCCCCAAAAAATTGTGTGTGTGTGTGTGTGTGTGTGTATATATATATATATGTGTGTGTGTGTATGTATGTACATGTATATATATTTGTTGTTGTTGTTGAGACAGGATCTTGCTTTGTTGCCTAGGCTGGTCCTGATTGGCTTCAAGTGATTCTCCTGCCTTGGCCTCCCAAAGAGAGCAAATACATGACTTTGGGGACCCAAGTCTGAGGAAGCACAGAAAGAATGCTACTCCTGTGACTTTTGGAGTGGGAAACCTGTCTTAAAATCCACTGGTTCCCCAGATTCCCATGCTTTTTTGTTTTTTGTTTTGTTTTGTTTTTTGAGATGGAGTTTTACTCTTGTTGCCCAGGCTGGAGTGCAGTGGCATGATTTAGGCTCACTACAACCTCTGTCTCCCGGGTTCAAGTGATTCTCCTGCCTCAGCCTCCCAAGTAGCTGGGATTACAGGCATGCGCCACCATGCCTGACTAATTTTTGTATTTTTAGTAGAGACTGGGTTTCACCATGTTGGTCAGGGCTGGTCTCAAACTCCTGACCTCAGGTGATCTACCTGTCTCAGCCTCCCAAAGTGCTGGGATTACAGGCATGAGCCACTGCGCCTGGCCTGTTGTTGTTGTTTGAGACAAGATATCCCTCTGTCGTGCAGGCTGGAGTGCAGTGGTGCAATCAGGGCTCACTGCAGCTTCAAACTCCTGGGCTCAAGCGATCCTCCCACCTCAGGCTCCCCAGTAGCTGGGACCACAGGGGCTACCACAAAATTATTTTTTGTAGAGATGGGGGTCTCACTATGTTACCCAGGCTGCTCTTGAACTCCTGGGCTCAAGTGATCCTCCTGCCTTGGCCTCCCAAAGTGCTGGGATTACAGGCATGAGCCACTGTGTCTGGCCCCCATGCTGCATTTTGACAGCAGATTGGAGATGAAGCCCTTCTATATCTGATTGCTTTTCCAAGGGATGTGAAGTAGGTGAGGTGGGTGAAAGAGGCAGGGTCACCCAGGGCGGGAGGCTGTACAGACACGGTGGCCTGATGAGGCCATCTCCCACTCAACGGGAACCCCCAGCCCACATCCTGATCTGAGATCCAGCACCCCAAAACCGAACTCCTCTAGGTCATCCCCAAGGCCTATTTGTGCAGCAGTGCTTGTTCCCTGGAGTTCTGGGGTCCCAGACGGAGTGTGGTGAAATGGGCAGAGTGGGGCAGTGGCACCTGAGGCCTCCTTAGCTCCAGCCTCCAGCAAGATGTTCCTGACAGTGACACGGCTGTACTTCAGCGCCGAGGAGGGGGGTGAGCGCTCTGTCTGCCTCACCTTTGCCTTCCTCTTCCTGCTGCTGGCCATGCTGGTGCAAGTGGTGCGGGAGGAGACCCTCGAGCTGGGCCTGGAGCCTGGTAAGTGCAGCCCCCAACGTGGGGCCACCGCAGCTGTCACTCCCTCATGTAATCTGACCAAGATGGTTTAACTGGCTCCGTGTCCAGCACGAGTAGGCAAAGGAGTGGGCTCCTGGGGTGAAGGCAGTCCCCATTAGTGACCATCTCAGCTCCTGAACCTTGTTGGGCTTTGGGGAAGACAGGACATTGCCTCTCTCACTGTCTCTGATGGACACTCATGGCTATAGCTCTTTTTTTTTCTTTTTTTTTTGAGATGGAGTTTCACTTTTGTCACCCAGGCAGGAGTTCAGTGGCATGATCTTGGCTCACTGCAACCTCTGCCTCCTGCATTCAAGTGATTCTCCTGCCTCAGCCTCCCAAGCTGGGATTATGGGTGTGCACCACCACGCCTGGCTAATTTTTGTATTTTTAGTAAAGATGGGGTTTCACCATGTTGGCCAGGCTGGTCTCAAACTCCTGACCTCAGGTGATCCACCCACCTCAGCCTCCCCAAGTGCTGGGATTACAGGTATGAGCCACTGTGTGTGGCCTCTTTTTTCATTTTTTTAAAAAATTATTTATTTATTTATTTTTATTGAAACAGGGTCTCACTATGTTGCCCAGGCTGGTCTCACACTCCTGAGCTCAAGCAGTCTGCCCGCCTCAGCCTCCCAAATTGTTGTTATTACAGGTGTGAGCCACCGTGCCTGGCCTCTTAAATGATCCTTTTAACATATAATTTGGACCTCATCACTTCTCTGCCCGGCACCACACTCCCCCGGTCTTAGGAGAAAGACCATAGCCCTCACCATGGCCCACATGACCCTGCTGACTGCTTGAGTTTTACCTTCTCCAATTCTCCCTGCCTTTCAGTTTTTAAAATTATATATGTTTGATATATACAAAGAAGATGTGTATGTCAATTATAAAGCAAAATAATCATATGAGTACCTGCAAACCTACCCCTCAAATAATAAGTAGGTGGGGTAGTGACTGCACCAATCTCCCAAGGGGGCGGCAGTAAGGTTTAAATGAATCAAGATCCATGGATAGGGCTTGATTTTTGCCAACCTAGCCCTCGTCACATGGAATGATGCCCTCTGTGGCCTTAACATGCATGTCTCTGATTACCAGGGAAGTTGAGCACCTTTTCCTGTTTATTCATGATTCATGTCTCTTCTGTGAAATTTTTGTGAAATACCTGTTCACATTGTTGCCCATCTTTGAATCTTTTTTCTCTTTGAATTTTTTTTCATTGTGGTAAAATAGACAAAACATAAAATTCACCATCTTAACCATTTTTAAATGTGCAGCTCAGTGGCATTAAGTATATTTAGATGGCCGAGCATGGTGGCTCATGCCTGTAATCCCAGCACTTTGGGAGGCTCAGGCAAGCAGATCACCTGAGGTCGGGAGTTCAAGACCAGCCTGATCAACATGGAGAAACCCTGTCTCTACTAAAAATACAAAATTAGTCGGGCGTGGTGACACATGCCTGTAATCCCAGCTACTTGGATGGCTGAGGCAGGAGAATTGCTTGAACCCAGGAAGCGGAGGTTGTGGTGAGCCAAGATCGAGCCATTGTGCTCCAGCCTGAGCAACAAGAGTGAAACTCCGTCTCAAAAAAAAAAAAAAAAAAAAAATGTAGGCCAGGTGTGGTGGCTCACATGTGTAATCCCAGCACTTTGGGAGGCCAAGGCAGGCGGATCACAAGGTCAGGAGATCAAGACCATCCTGGCTAACATGGTGAAACCCTGTCTCTACTAAAAATACAAAAAATTAGCTAGGCTAATGGCACACGCCTATAGTCCCAGCTACTTGGGAGGCTGAGGCAGGAGAATGGCGTGAACCTGGTAGGCGGAGCTTGCAGTGAGCTGAGATCGCGCCACTGCACTCCAGCCTGGGCGACAGAGCAAGAGTCCATCTCAAAAAAAAAAAAAAAAAAAAAGTCTATTTAGATGTCGTGCAACCATCACCACCGTCCATCTCCACAACTCTTTGCTCTTGCAAAACTGAAACTCCAGCCCATCAAACACTAACTCCCTGTTCCTCCTTCTTGCAGCCCCTGACACCCACCATTTTACGTCCTGTCTCTGTGAATGTGACCACTCTGGGTTCCTCATATAAGTGGCATCATACAGTATTTGTCCTTTTGTGACGTGCTCATTTCAGTTAGCACAATGTCCTCAAGGCATATCCATGTTGTAGCAGGTGTTAGAATTTTTTTTTCTTTTTTTGAGACAGGATCTCACTCTGTCACCGAGGCTGGAGTGCAGTGGTGCAATCACAACTCACTGCAGCCTTGATCTCCAGGGCTCAAGTGATCCTCCCACCTCAGCCTTCCAAGTAGCTGGGACCACAGGCACATGCCACCACACCTGGCTAATTTTTAATTTTTTTTTTTTTTTCTGTAGAGATGGGGTCTTGCTATGCTTCTCAGGCTGGTCTCAAACTCCTGGCCTCGAGCAGTCCTCTCACCTCCGCCTCCCAACGTGCTGGGATGACAGGCGTGAGCCACTGGGCCCAGCCAGAATTCCATTTTTAAGACTGAACACTGCCAGGCACGGTGGCTCACGCCTGTAATCCCAGCATTTTGGGAGGCCAAGGCGGGCGGATCACGAGGTCAGGAGATCGAGACCATCCTGGCTAACATGGTGAAACTCCGTCTCTACTAAAAAAAATACAAAAAATTAGCCGGG
Organism: Homo sapiens; assembly: GCF_000001405.40. Classification (NCBI taxonomy): domain Eukaryota; kingdom Metazoa; phylum Chordata; class Mammalia; order Primates; family Hominidae; genus Homo; species Homo sapiens. The sequence continues at coordinate 19,127,477 of NC_000019.10, read as the reverse complement.
TGTGGTGGCGGGTACCTGTAGTCCCAGCTACTCGGGAGGCTGAGGGAGGAGAATGGTGTGAACCCAGGAGGCGGCGCTTGCAGTGAGCTTAGATAGTGCCACTGCACTCCGGCCTGGGTGAAAGAGCAAGACTCCATCTCAAAAAAAAAAAAAAAAAAAAAGACTGAACACTATTTCATTGTCTGGGTGGAACACATTTTGTTTATTCATCCACAGATGAATGCTTGGGTTGTTCCCAACTTTTGGCTTTTTGACTAATACCGCTGTGAACCTGAGTGTACAGGTATCTCTTTGAGACCCCATTTTCAGTTTTGGAGAGTATATATCCAGAAGTGGAACTGCTGGATTATATGATAATTCTACTTTTAATTTTTTGAGGGACTGCCATACTGTTTTATACAGCAGCTGAACCATTTTATTTTATTTTTGAGACAGAGTCTCATTCTGTTGCCCTGGCTGGAGTGCAGTGGTGGCGTGATCTCCACTCACTGCAACCTTTGCCTCCCGGATTCAAGTGATTCTCATGCCTCAGGCTCCCAAGTAGCTGGGACTACAGGCTCCCACCACCACACCCAGCTAATTTATTTTTTTATTTTTATTTTTATTTTTTGAGACAGTCTCCCTCTGTCACCCAGGCTAGAGTACAGTGGCATGATCTTGGCTCACTGCAACCTCCACCTTCCAGGCTCAAGTGATTCTCTTGCCTCAGCCTCCCAAGTAGCTGGGATTACAGGTGTGCGCCACCACACCTGGCTAATTTTTGCATTTTTAGTAGAGATGGGGTTTTGCCATGTTGGCCAGGCTGGTCTTTAACTCCTGACCTCAGGTGATCCTGCCCATCTTGGCCTCCCAAAGTGCTGAGATTACAGGTGTGAGCCACCACATCTGGCTACACCCAGATAATTTTTGTGTTTTTAATAGAGACAGATTTTGCCATGTTGCCCAGGCTAGTCTTGAACTCTTGAACTCAAGCAATCGCCAGCCTCGGCCTTCCAAAGTGCTGGGATTACAGGTGTGCACCACTGTGCTCAGCCCATTTTATATTTTATATTCCCAGCAGCAGTGCACAAGTGTTCCAAATTTATCCACTTCATTGCCAATACTTCTTTTGTTTTCATTTGACCACTATTTGCATTATTTTCCGTCTGCATACATGCATCACACTTTCTTTGCTGAGTCGTCAAATGTAGTTGTAAGTGTCACCTCTAGTGTCTTGATGAATGGAAGTTGATTATTTTAGTTGATATTTGTCTTGAAAAATATCCTTCCCTAAAATCAGAAAGTCATTCTACATTGTCTTTTTTTTTTTTTTTGAGACAGAGTCTCGCTCTTTCCCCCAGGCTGGAGTGCAGTGGGCGATCTCTAGTATTTTTTACTAGAGATGGGGTTTCACTATGCTGACCAGGCTGGTCTTGAACTCCAGACCTCAGGCAATCCACCCGCCTCAGCCTCCCAAAGTGCTGGGATTACAGGCGCGAGCCACCGTGCCCGGCCTACTTTTTGTATTTTTTACTAGAGATGGGGTTTCACCACGTTGACCAGGCTGGTCTTGAACTCCAGACCTCAGGCAATCCACCTGCCTCAGCCTCCCAAAGTGCTGGGATTACAGGCGCTTGCCACCACGCCTGGCTGAAATATTTTAGAAGAAAATATAGAATGACTGGCCAGGGGTGGTGGCTCATGCCTGTAATCCCAGCACTTTGGGAGGCCGAGATGGGCACATCACGAGGTCGGCAGATCGAGACCATCCTGGCTAACACCGTGAAACCCCGTCTCTACTAAAAATACAAAAAATTAGCCAGGCGTGGTGGCAGGCGCCTGTAGTCCCAGCTACTGGGGAGGCTGAGGCAGGAGAATGGCGTGAACCCGGGAGGTGGAGCTTGCAGTGAGCCAAGATCGCGCCACTGCACTCCAGCCTGGGCAACAGAGCGAGACTCCGTCTAAAAAAAAAAAAAAAAAAAAAGCTGGGCAAGGTGGCATGCACCTGTAATCCCAGCTACTCGGGAGGCTGAGGCAGGAGAATCACTTGAACCCCGGAGGCAGAGGTTGCAGTGAGCCGAAATCACGCCATTGCACTCTAGCCTGGGCGACAAGAGCAAGACTCCATCTTAAAAATCAATAAATAAAATATTTCAACTTTTACATTTCATATAAGCTCCTAAACTACTCACTGTTGCTGATGGACAGTGACATTAATTTTTGTGTTATCATATAGGGGTCAAATTTGAGTGTCTCCACGGACTAACCTTGCTAAACAATTATATTTTTATTGAATTGCAGATTCTTTTTGGTTTTCTTTTGTTCTGTCTGATCCTTCCCCTTTGGTGTGGCTAGGACCTCTGGATTTGAGAACAGTACTGGCGTACCTCCTTTTCTTGTTTCCAATTTCTCAGTTAGCTACTTGGCTCATAAATTTTCAATCTTTTCTAATTTTATAGCATATATAGCATTTAATGCTATATATATTTTACCAGGTCTCACTTTTGTTCACCTAAGTTTTTTTTTGTTTTTGTTTTTGTTTTGAGATGGAGTTTTGCTCTTGTCACCCAGGCTGGAGTGCAACTGTGCAATCTCAGCTCACTACAACCTCTGCCTCCTGGGTTCAAGCAATTCTTCTGCCTCAGCCTCCTGAGTAGCTGGGATTACAGGTGCACGCCACCACGCCTGGCTAATTTTTGTATTTTTAGTAGAGACGGGGTTTTACCATGTTGGCCAGGCTGGTCTCAAACTCCTAACCTCAGGTGATCCACCCACCTCGGCCTCTCAAAGTGCTGGGATTACAGGTGTGAGCCATCACACCTGGCAGTTTACCCAAGTTTTGACTGATATTTTTTATTATTCTGTTTGGGGTGTTTTAACATTTCCCTTCTGATTTCTGTAGAGATGGGGTCTTGCTATGCTTTGACCTATGGATTATTAAATATTTTTAAATTTTTCAAACATAGATCTTTAAAAAATACATATTTATTTCTAGCTCAATTGCACAGATGGTCTATTTGAAATAATTTCTTTAAAATTTGGTAAGATTTGCCCTATGGCCTGGAATGTGATCACATTTTGTGACTATTCCTTGTTTTCTTGAAGGACATATTCTGTTTTTGTTGTTTTGCCTTTTTTCACATGTTCTAATTGAAGGACATATTCCCTGGCTCTATGAGTTTAATAAATTCAAATCTCCATCTTGCCTAACCTTTTGTCTGTGACTTATCAGTCAGCAGAAGTTAATCTCCCTCTGGGACAAGAGAGCTCTCAATTTCCCTATCAATTCTGTCAGTGTTTTCTTTATATATTTTGCAGCCTATTCACAATTCACAGATTAGTTCTATTCACAGATTTAGAACTGTTACATTTTCCTGGTGAATCAGCCATTTTATCATGATGTATGGAACCCTTCTGTCTTCTAATACTACTTTTTTTTTTTTTGAGACAGAGTTTTGCTCTCGTTGGCCAGGCTGGAGTGCAGTGGCGCAATCTCGGCTCACTGCAACCTCCACCTCCTGGGTTCAAGCGATTCTCCTGCCTCAGCCTCCCAAGTAGCTGGTATTACCCGCCACCATGCCCAGCTATTTTTTGGATTTTTAGTAGAGCCAGGGTTTCACCATGTTGGCCAGGCTCGTCTCGAACTCCTGACTTTGTGATCTGCCCGTCTTGGCCTCCCAAAGTGCTGAGATTACAGGTGTGAGCCACCGCGCCTGGCCTATTCTAATACTACTTCTTAGTCTAGTTTGGCTGGTAGTAGTATAGCCTTTCTAGCTTGCTTTCTTTTGATTAGTATTTGCTGTATCTTTTTAACATCCCTTTACTTTCAGTCTTCCAGTGACTTTATGTCAAGGTATGTCATCCTTTAAAAAACATGTAGCTGGATATTTTCAATGTAGTCTGACAGTCTTTGTCATTTAACTTTAAAGTTTAGTCTACTTACATTTATTGTGATTACTGACATATTTGACTTTGTTTCTACCATCTTACTTTTTTGCTTTCTATTTGTTCCTTTTCTGTTGTTGCAGTTGACATTGGCTGTCAGCCTAATTGTTGTTCCTTTGTAGGTGATCTGTCTTAACTCCCTGGCTGCTTTGTAATTTTTTTGTTTTTGGTGTTCTGCAGTTTCACTCCATTATGTCTAGGTATGGATTTCTTTTTATTTACATGGTTTGATATACTTTGTGTCTGTCTTTCATTCTGCAAACTTCTCAACCATTCTCTTCCAGTAATTCCTTTTATTCTTCATTCCTTCTCTTCCCTCCCTCTGGGGCTCTGATTTGATTTGCGTTGGGCTCTCTGTTCTGTCTTCCTTATCTCTTAGCCTCTCTTCATATTTCTCACCTACTTGTTTTTCTGAGTTGGAATCTGAGTGATTTCTTCAGATCTGTCTTCCAGTTCATCACTTCCTCCTTTGGCTGTTCCTAATGTGCTGTTTAACAACCTATTATTTCAATACTTACAGTTTTCCTTTGGAAGAGTTTAATTTGGTTCCTTTGCAACTCTACCCAGTCATCTGAAGGAATTCTCATGTCACTTGTTCTGTGATTACAGCTTTCATTTCCTTAGTCATTTGACACATAATTGACAGCACCAATTTCTGAAGTCTTTGAGGCCTAAACTTGACTGTTGTTTTTCTGTTAACTCTCCTTTATGGTGATTTGTTTCCTTATGCATTTGGTGATTTTGCCTGTGAGCTCATATGAATTTGCTCCTTTTTTTTTTTTTTTTTGACAAGGTCTTGCTCTGTGCTGGAGTGCAGTGGCATGATCTCAGCTCACTGCAACTTCCACATCCTGGGCTCAACCCATCCTTCCCACCTCAGCCTTCACAGTAGCTGGGACTATAGGCGTGCACCACCACCCCTGGTTTTGTATTTTTTGTAGAGATGGGGGTTTTGCCATGTTGCCCAGGCTGGTCTCAAACTTGTGAGCTCAAACGATCCACCCGCCTTGGCCTCCCAAAGTGCTGAGACTTACAGGTGCAAGCCACTGCACCCAGCCCTGCTCTTAATTTTTGAAAAATCTTGGGTCCTGAATTGAGGATTCCTTCCTCCAGGAGGACTTTGGTTTTCTCCTGCAGGAGTCCTTCATCCCCCTCTAGATTCCTTCTATAACCTAGGGAGCTCAGGCTCAACAGATACCCCTGAATGTTCCCAGCCCAATCAGGAGTGTCTGCCTGGTGCATTCTGTTTCGTTTTCTTTGAGACTGAGTTTCACTCTTGTCCCCAAGGCTGGAGTGCAATGGTGCGGTCTCAGCTCACTGCAACCTCCGCTCCCCATGTTCAAGCGATTCTCCTGCCTCAGCCTCTCAAGTAGCTGGGATTACAGGCACCTGCCACCACACCTGGCTAATTTTTGTATTTTTAGTAGAGACGGGGGTTTCACTGCATTGGCCAGGCTGGTCTGAAACTCCTGATCTCAGATGATCCGCCTGCCTCAGCCTCCCAAAGTGCTGGGATTACAGGCGTGAACCACCACTCCAATCTTGTTTCTTGTAAAAAGTACTGTGTAACTAGAGCACAAAATTGTCCTTGTGCCTGGCTCAGGGCCTGGCAGACCCTTGTTCATTCCTACTTGGGAAGCAAACGGATGCCTGAGGGATGGGGGGTTAGGGAACAGAGTGGCCTTAGAGACCCTAGGAATTCACTCTACTCGGTCCTCTTCTTATCGTCCCCAGGTCTGGCCAGCATGACCCAGAACTTAGAGCCACTTCTGAAGAAGCAGGGCTGGGACTGGGCGTGAGTCCTGGGAATGGGGGAGGGAGGCAAGGGCAGGCTGGGACCCTCCCAGGGTCCCCCAGGCAGGCTCGTGACCTGGTGTTCTCCTAGGCTTCCTGTGGCCAAGCTGGCTATCCGCGTGGGACTGGCAGTGGTGGGCTCTGTGCTGGGTGCCTTCCTCACCTTCCCAGGCCTGCGGCTGGCCCAGACCCACCGGGACGCACTGACCATGTCGGAGGACAGACCCATGCTGCAGTTAAGTGGGTCGCTTGGTGGGTGGGGGGACTAGGGAGCTTAAGGGAGAGACTCGAGGAGAGGGGGTACCCAGGCCTCACTCCCTCCTGCCCTCACCCCCCAGGTTCCTCCTGCACACCAGCTTCCTGTCTCCCCTGTTCATCCTGTGGCTCTGGACAAAGCCCATTGCACGGGACTTCCTGCACCAGCCGCCGTTTGGGGAGACGCGTTTCTCCCTGTGCGTATTGGGTGGGGCTAGGAGGTAGCTGGGGCTCCCCTGGGTGCCCTAGCCTCTGAGATTCAGGGAGGAGCCTGGGGAAGATCCTGGGGGGTCGGGGGCGACCTTCTTAGTCCCTTGCCCCCGGCCCTCTCCGCACAGGCTGTCCGATTCTGCCTTCGACTCTGGGCGCCTCTGGTTGCTGGTGGTGCTGTGCCTGCTGCGGCTGGCGGTGACCCGGCCCCACCTGCAGGCCTACCTGTGCCTGGCCAAGGCCCGGGTGGAGCAGCTGCGAAGGGAGGCTGGCCGCATCGAAGCCCGTGAAATCCAGCAGAGGGTATGGACGCCCCGATGACCTAGGCCAGAGGGAACCTGGGGCTCAGGGTGGGGTTCCTGGTCCTTTGGGCGTGGAGTCGTCCCAAACCAGAAGGCCTCCTGCTGCAGCCACCCCTGCTACCTGCCCACAGGTGGTCCGAGTCTACTGCTATGTGACCGTGGTGAGCTTGCAGTACCTGACGCCGCTCATCCTCACCCTCAACTGCACACTTCTGCTCAAGACGCTGGGTGAGATGCCGCGGTGTGGGGGTGGAGGAGGGGCGGAGTTGGAAGATAAAACAGAGTGGAGGTGGACTCTGGCGGGGACCGCGGTGGGGGGGGAGAGGCGGGGCCTAGGCAGGGGGCGGAGACTGTGGTAAGGCAGGGTCTGAGCAGGAAGCGGAGCCTGGAGTGGGGCTTGCCTTGGACAGGAAGTGGAGCCTGGGGATGGGTGCAATCTGAGCAGGAGGCGGGGCCTGGGTAGGGGGCGGGGACTGTGGTGAGGCAGGGTCTGAGCAGGAGGTGGAGTTTGGGATGGCGTTTGCCTTAGGAGGTGGAGCCTGGGGAGGGGTTGCGTCTTGGCAGGAGGCGGGGCCTGGGGAGGGGGCAGGGCATGTATTGAGGCAGGATCTGAGCAGGAGGTGGGGCCTGGGGTAGGGTTTGCCTTGGACAGGGGGCAGCGCCTGAGGGGGTGGAGACTGGGCTGGAGATGGAGTCTGAGACAGGGGTGGGAGTGTCTGGAGGAATGGGCCTGGCCCCCCGTGCCAGCCCTGTCCCTCGCCCCCTCCCCCATTTTTCCACTCATACCTCGCTTCATCCTCTTCTCCTAGGAGGCTATTCCTGGGGCCTGGGCCCAGCTCCTCTACTATCCCCCGACCCATCCTCAGCCAGCGCTGCCCCCATCGGCTCTGGGGAGGACGAAGTCCAGCAGACTGCAGCGCGGATTGCCGGGGCTCTGGGTGGCCTGCTTACTCCCCTCTTCCTCCGTGGCGTCCTGGCCTACCTCATCTGGTGGACGGCTGCCTGCCAGCTGCTCGCCAGCCTTTTCGGCCTCTACTTCCACCAGCACTTGGCAGGCTCCTAGCTGCCTGCAGACCCTCCTGGGGCCCTGAGGTCTGTTCCTGGGGCAGCGGGACACTAGCCTGCCCCCTCTGTTTGCGCCCCCGTGTCCCCAGCTGCAAGGTGGGGCCGGACTCCCCGGCGTTCCCTTCACCACAGTGCCTGACCCGCGGCCCCCCTTGGACGCCGAGTTTCTGCCTCAGAACTGTCTCTCCTGGGCCCAGCAGCATGAGGGTCCCGAGGCCATTGTCTCCGAAGCGTATGTGCCAGGTTTGAGTGGCAAGGGTGATGCTGGCTGCTCTTCTGAACAAATAAAGGAGCATGCCGATTTTTACAAACAGGGTCTGAGTGGTTTGGGACTCGGGCTTGTGCAGGGTGGTAGCTGTCTTGCACGTCCCTGTGGCACCTGCCCGGGTGCAGGGTGGGGGCTGCGCGGGAGGGAGAGAGGAGCAGGACTGAGAGGGGAGCAAAGGTCTGGGAGGAGAAAGGAGAGCAAGAAGGAGGCCAGGCTCGGCGGCTCACGCCCGTAATCCCAAATCCCAGCACTTTGGGAAGCCAAGGCGGGCAGATCACTTGAGGCCAGCAGTTTGAGACCAGCCTGGTCAACGCATGGTGAAACCCAGTCTTTACTAAAATAACAAAAATTAGGCATGGTGGCGCATGCATGTAGTTCCAGCTACTGAGAAGGATGAGCCAGAAGAGTCGCTTGAACCTGAGAGGTGGAGGCTGCAGTGAGCCGAGATCGCATCACACTCCAGCCTGGGTGACAGAGTGAAACTCTGTCTCAAAAAAAAAAAAAAAGAAAAAGAAGAAATGCAAGTGTCCCAGGAAAAGTCCAAAAGCAGGATGGAAGAGACCAGAAATCAGGGGAAGTTGGAGTCCCAGCTGAGAGGGCAGGTGGCCTGGGACGGACGGGCAGGTGAGAGAAATGCACCATGAGGGAGTGCCAGGAGAAGGTTAGATGGGCAGGGAAACCTTAGAGGAAAACCAGTTTGAGGAATGGGAGGGCGGGGAGCCCACAGTGATGCCAGCGTCTGCTACAGGTATGCAGGTGACTTGTATAGATATCACACACAGGGAGGGGGGAGGGGCATATTGAGGCCTTGGTGACCCAGGGAAGGGATGTGGGGCCGTCATGGACTCTGAAATTGTCCTGTAGCTGTGACTCCAGGGTGTGTCCACACGTGTGTTACAATGTAAGGTGCAGGCTGGGTGCCGTGGCTCATGCCTGTAACCCAACACTTTGGGAGACCGAGGCAGGCCAATCACCTGAGGTCAGCAGTTCAAGACCAGCCTGGCCAACATGGTGAAACCCTGTCTCTACTAAAATACAAAAAAAATTAGCCAAGCGTGGTGGTGCACACTTGTAATCCCAGCCTCTCGGGAGGCTGAGACAGGAGAATCGCTTGAACCCGGGAGGCAGAGGTTGCAGTGAGCCAAGATCATGCCATTGCACTCCAGTCTGGGTGACAGAGTGAGACTCCATCTCAAAACAAAAACAAAAACAATGTAAGGTGCATATGTAACCTTTTTGTATAAGTAAGATGTATACAGACAGTTCCCTGACTTAGAACGGTTTAAGAATTTTCTTTTTTAAAATTTTCATCAGGCTGGGTATGGTGGCTCACATCTGTAATCCCAGCACTTTGGGAGGCCGAGGCGGTGGATCACGAGGTCAAGAGTTTGAGACCACCCTGGCCAACATGGTGAAACCCCATCCCTACTAAAAATACAAAAATCAGCCAGGTGCGGTGGCAGGTGCCTGTAATCCCAGCCACTCAGGAGGCTGAGGCAGGAGAATCGCTTGAACCCCAGAGGCAGAGGTTGCAGTGAGCCAAGATCGCGCCATTGCACTCCAGCGTGGGTGACAGAGCGAGACTCTGTCTCAAAATAAATAAATAAATAAAAATAGGAAAGATAGAAGGGGGTGGTTGAGGTCTTTGTGTGTGGCTCAGAGGGAAGATAAATATTTTAATTTTTGTGTGTGTGTGTAGTTTTTTTTTTTTTTTTTTTTTTGAGATGGAGTCTCGCTCTGTCGCCCAGGCTGAAGTGCAGTGGCGCGATCTCGGCTCACTGTAAGCTCCGCCTCCCGGGTGCACGCCATTCTCCTGCCTCAGCCTCCCGAGTAGCTGGGACTACAGGCGCCCGCCACTACGCCCGGCTAATTTTTTGTATTTTTAGTAGAGACGGGGTTTCACCGTGTTAGCCAGGATGGTCTCGATCTCCTGACCTCGTGATCCGCCCTCCTTGGCCTCCCAACGTGCTGGGATTACAGGCGTGAGCCACCGCACCCGGCAGTGTGTGTGTATTTTTAATAGAGATGGGTTTCACCATGTTGGCCAGGCTGGTCTGGAACTCCTGGCTTCAAGTGATTCACCTGCCTCGGCCTCCCAACGTGCTGGGATTACAGGCCTGAGCCACCGCGCCCACCGCGCCCGGCCAAACATTTAAATTCTTGTTGATGTATCCATTGTAACCACCATATCCGTGCCTCTCACAGGACGGGGTGGTTCTGCTCCAAAGGAACACATGTTGATGTCTGGAGACATCTTTTAGTTGTCACCACAAGGGGTGGAGGTGTTGCTCTTGGTGTCTGAAGAATGGAGGCCAGAGATGCTGCTCAACACCGTGTGGTGCCCAGGATGGCCTCACCCCAGAGGATTATCAGCGCCAAATGTCAGCAGTGCTGATGTTGTGAAGCCCTATGGGTGAAGAAACGGAATATACCATTTCCAGACAAGCCGAAACAAAATAAAAAGGGGAAATAAAACTCATAGATAAAACAAAATATAACCTTCAACTTTTAAAATAGTAAAATAGTTTTTAAAATTATTTGTAGAGGGCTGGGTGCAGTGGCTCACGCCTGTAATCCCAGCAGTTTGAGAAGTGGAGGTGGGCAGATCTCTTGAGCCCAGGAGTTCATCAGCTCGGGTGACATAGCAAGACCCCGTCTCTACAAAATATAAAAAATTAGCCAGGCATAGTGGCCCACGCCTGTAGTCGCAGCTACTCGGGAGGCTGAGGTGGGAGAATCACTTGACCCTGGGAGGTTGAGGCTGCGGTGAGATGTGATTGTGCCACTGTACCCTAGCCTGGGTGACAGAATGAGAACCCTGTCCCACCAAAAAAAAAAATTATTTATAGAGACAAACTCCAGGTCTCAAGTGATCCTCCTGCCTCAGCTTTCCAAAGAACTGGGATTACAGGTGTGAGCCACCATGCCTGGCCATAAATTAACTGGTTTTTGTTGTTGTTGTTGTTGTTTTGCGACAGGGTCTGGTTCTATCACCCATGCTGGGATGCAGTGGTGCCATCTCGACTCACTGCAACCTCCACCTCCCAGACTCAAGCCATCCTCCCACCTCAGCCTCCTGAGTAGTGGGGATTACAGGCACGTGCCACCATGCCCGGTATTTTTTGTAGAGACAAGGTTTCACCATGCTGCACAGGCTGGTCTTGAACTCGTGAGCTCAAGTGATCCAGCTGCCTCGGCCTCCCAAAGTGCTGAGATTAAAGGCATGAGCCACCGCACCCGGCTGAGATACCATTTTTTACTTGTCAGATTATGGAAGATCAAATATGGGTGAGTATGTGGTATAAATCTATATGATCTATTTGCAGGAATACCTGGCATTCCTATTCCTTTTTGGATAGGTTTCCCCCAAAGATGACCCCAAAAGGACTCAGAGCTAGTGGTTTACCTGGGAGGTGTCCCCAGGCAGCCCCCATGGCGGGTGAGAGCTGAGACGAGGAGGGAAGATGCCCTGCAGGGGGCACCAATGAGCAGGTGACACTGTGGGCAACCAGGCTCAGTCCTGCTGTGGGCCTTAGCGGGGCAGGGTAGAGCAATTATCTCAGGATGATCCCACGTCCGGGCATGGGTTAAGCTACTTACACACCTACCTTCAGTCATCAGCCGCCGGTTGCACCTGGGGTACCATGTTGTGTTTCTTCAGGACACTCCTAGGCTGCGCGGAATTGTTTATAGCAAAAAGCATTTGGTGGCCAGGTGTGGTGGCTCACATCTGTAATCCCAGCACTTTGGGAGGCCGAAGCGTTCAGATCATCTGAGGTCGGGAGTTCAAGACCAGCCTGGCCAACATGGTGAAACCCCGTCTCTACTAAAAATATAAAAATTAGCTGGGCGTGGTGGCGGGCATCTGTAATCCCAGCTACTTGTGAGGCTGAGGCAGGAGAATCACTTGAACCTGGAGGTGGAGCTTGCAGTGAGCCGAGATCGCGCCACTGCACTCCAGCCTGGGCAACAGAGCAAGACTCCGTCTCAAAAAAAAAAGGACTCCTGAAGCTCTTCTTGGACGCAGCTAGCAAACATCTTCTTCACTGTCACTAGTCTAGACAGGTCCACGGGCTCACCTCTATACTGTTAGGAGATGCCACAGTGGTGGGTGGGAGAGGGGAGGGGTTGACCAAGGTTCAGGGGCTGGTGTGAAACGTGGAACTTAGATCAGAAATCTGGGCTGGATGTCAGAGGCGGGGTGCAGATGAGTTCAGCAGCCCCCACCAAATTGCTATCACATTGTCATGGCAATACCTAACAATTGCCCATCCATAAGGGGAACTGAGGGCTCACCTGATTAGACCTACCAATCTTAACTTACCTCACTTGTTTTTAGTTGATTATAAACCCCATAGTGTTAAAAGTCACTCAGCTAAACAATGTATAGCTAAACTCCCAGGCCAGGTGTGGTGGCTCACGCCTGTCATCCCAGCACTTTGGGAGGCCAAGACAGGCAGATCACTTGAGCCAGGAGTTAGAGACCAGCCTGAGAAATATGGTGAGACCCCATCTCTACAAAAAATACAAAAAGTAGCCAGGCGTGGTGGCATGTACCTGTAGTCCCAGCTCCTAGGGGGGCTGAGGTGGGAGGATGGCTTGAGCCCAGGAGTTGGAGGCTGCAGTGAGCCATGGTAGTGTCACTGCACTCCAGCCTGGGCAATAGAGTGAGACCCTGTCTCAAAAAAAAAAAAAAAAAAAAGAAAAGAAAGACAGAAAAATAGGCTGGGCACGGTGGCTCAAGCCTGTAATCCCAGCACTTTGGGAGGCTAAGGCGAGTGAATCACCTGAGGTCAGGAGTTTGAGACCAGCCTGGCCAACATGGTTAAACCCCGTCTCTGCTAAAAATACAAAAAATTAGCCGGGTGTGGTGGCGGGCGCTTGTAGTCCCAGCTACTTAGGAGGCTGAGGCAGGAGAATCGCTTGAACCCGGGAGGTGGAGGTTGCAGTAAGCCGAGATCATGCCATTGCACTCCAGCCTGGGCAAAAAGAGCAACACTCCGTCTCAAAAACAAAGAAACAAAACAAAACAAAAAAACCCAAACAAAAAAACTCCCACTAGTTTCCTTATAGATAATATCTCTATGTATGGGCCACCATGGTAATGGTTGCTCAAGTTGTTCTTCAGGAACAGGATCAGTTCTTGTCCAATCCAAATGGGCTGAGAGCCGAACCTTCACCTTGGCCTGTGTATATTTAGGTGGTGACCTTTGACGTTAGAGGGCCAAACACTCCACCCTCAGATCATGATAACAATGTCATTTTGTGAACACACATCCTATGGAAAAGCCATGAAGCTTGACTACGCACGCACGGTTCCCCGACTGCCCCACTTTTCCCCACGTCTCTGACCACCTTGCTCCTCTATCCCTTAAATATTCCTAAAATCCCATCTTCAGGGAGGCGGATTTGAGATCTGTTCTCCTGTCTCCTCACTCGGCTGCCTCGTGAATAAACTCTTTGCTGCAAAACCTGTCATCTCTGTTGGCATACTGCTGGGCAGAACGAGCCTGGTTTGGTAACATAAGGGAGGCGTGAATTTCTGAGTGGCTGGGACTACAGGCACGCACCTCCAAGACTGGCTAATTAAAAAAAAATTTTTTTTTGAGACGGAGACTTCTCAGTCACTCAGGCTGGAGTGCAGCGGCTCACTGCAACCTCCGCCTCCCAGGTTCAAGCAATTCTCCTGCCTCAGCCTCCTGAGTAGCTAGGATTTTTGTACTTTTAATAGAGATGGGGGTTTCAGCATGTTGGCCAGGCTGGTCTTGAACTCCTGACCTCAAGTGATCCACCTGCCCTGGCCTCCCAAAGTGATGGGATTAAAGGCGTGAGCCACTGCATCCGGCCTAATTTTTCTATTTTTTTGTAGAGATGGGGGGTCTTACTGTGTTGCCTAGGCTGGTCTCAAACTCCTGGGCTCAAGCAAGCCACCTGCCTCAGTCTCCAAAGTGCTGGGATTACAGGCATGAGCCACCACACCCACCCTGGTAAATGTCATCCTGGGGATCCTCTAGGAGAAAACCGCACAGCTGCTGAACAATGTGCACAACGGAGACCAACTCAAAAGAAATCCTGTTGCACGTGAGCAGATTGGAGAGCAGTGGGGGGTCAGCGCAGTGGAACTTATTCCTACTCCCACCCCAACAAGAGCACCAGGCCTGTGCTGGCCCAGCCGCCCCTCCTCTCTGGGCACGCAGAGGCTCCCACTTCTGGCCTGGCAGTGGGTGGGTCCTCCAAGTTGCTCTGGCCAATGGGCTGCAGGTGAAGTGAGCCAGGATTGCCACTGGAGACCCTCTGGTGGCTGCCCCTGCAGATGGTGACTGACGTTCAGGCCTGAAGCCTCAGCCAGCCCCAGAGTGCAGGGCTCTTGGGAAGGAAGGCCATGTTCAAGCCCATGAGACTTTGGGCTGTGCTGGCTGCACAGAGACGGCCCCTCCTGCCTTTGTGGGTGGCCACATATATCCTGAAAGGGATGAGTGTATGCACAGAATCTCTGTGGGAGGAGACAAGAGAAAATGGTCACAGGAGGCCCCCTGCAGAGGGAACTGTTCACCTACTTTTCACTGTAAACCCTTGTGGACAGCTGGTGTTTTCTGGAAAATTGTGGTATGTATTAATTCAAACAACAATTGCATTTAAAAACTTCTTTATTCAAGACTTTTATTCAGAACTTTTATCACAAATGTGTCAAAAGCACTTCAACCCTGTTTGGGGGTTCATGGGGGAAGATGGGGGGGCGGTCAGAGCCAAAGAAGAGCCAGGAGCAGGAGAAGAAGTCATTTAAGTTTTTATTAAATATACTCTCTTGGCACAAATCTTTAAAATATATAAACATTAGATATAAACAGTGTCTTCATGGCATCAAAATATAACTCCAGACCAAGACCAGTGACCAGCAGGGAGGCGAGTGACCGCAGAGCCTGAGGGCCTGGCTGTGTGCAGGGGTGGGGGACAGCACTGTCCCCAACTCCTGCCGGGTCCCACTCAGCTAGGAGCCATCTCCGGGGAGACACACTGGGGTCAGCAGGGACTGGGGGACCCTCCCACCTACCCCTTGTCTCTCCTGCCTAGCCTGTGGCCCCAAATCCACTCATTTGGTCTCACCCACCTGGGGCAGACCCCCAATTCCTACTGCTGTTGCATGCTTGTGGGAGTTGGGTGCCCTCCCATCTCCCTGTGAGGGTTGCCCTGCCTCTCCTGCCAAGTTTAAGTGCTGGGTAAGGGATACCCACACAGTGGGACAGCCCCTCACAGCCATCACAGGCTGCCTGGGCCTCTGGGGACAAGATCAGGGATGGCTGGTGGCCACATGCAAGGAAGGCAGAGAGAGCGGTCTGCACACCTGCAGGTCCAAGGCAAGAACAGGAGGAGGACAGAAGGAAGGGAAATGAAGTCACGACTGGAGATGAACAAGCTCAGATCCCTTCACACAGCGTGTGCTGAGCCAGCTGTCGAAAGCAACACTCACGGTCACGCTCACCCTGGCACCAGGCAGACCAGTCAGGGGTTCGATGTGAATAGATCATAGACCCGGGGTCAGCCAAGTTGAAAACCAAAACAAAACAAACAAAAAAAAGAAATCAAGAAACTCACCATGTCATTAGGAAATGGGTGTTTCTGAGTCCCTGTGATAGCTGGCGGGCCCTGGGGGACTCCTCTGAGAGACCAGTTAGCTGGGGGTTCCCCTGGGTACCTCAGATTTTCCTCACCTCCCACCCCCAAGCTATACTCTATCATGAGGCTCCCACTTCGGGGGATTGAGGCTAGCAGGCACCCCATGCTCCATTTCATAGAAACTGAACAACCCCTGTGGGCTTTAAATTGCTCCATATCCCAGCCAAGTGCCTGCTCAAGTGGGGACCCAAGGACCTGCTGGATACCACAGCTGGGCAGAGGGTTGGGGCACTGAGATGCTAGGCCTGGGGGGCTTCTGGGCCAAAGGAGGTGGTTTGTGTGCTCACATTTCAGCAGATGCCCCAGGATGCAGGTCTGACCCAAACCTGAGGCAGTTCCGTGTCATGGCCTGGGCCTCGAGCCCTGCTGTGCAGAGCAAGCATGAATCTCCTGGGAAGGTTACAAAGCAGGTGGGCATGGGCAGGCAACTCTAGGGGGAGATGCACTCTTGGGGACCCAGCTGCTTGCAGGGTCTAGGATAGACATGAGGCTCTGGGGGACACTGTTCCCAGCAGGAGGCTCTAGTGACTGAGGAGTCGTGGCCATGTGGGAAATACTGGAGAAGGCAGGGCCGGCAGGGTGGGGTGGGCCAGGGGCTGCATTTGTGGCCAAAGCTGAGCACGAGGCTGGCCCCATCCTGGGCAGGGTCCGCCTGCAAGAAAGGCGCCCCCGCACCCTGGAGGCCGGGCAGGCACGTGGAGTCAGAACAAGAAGGTCCAGGCGCGGTCTGGCTCTGAGCCTGGTGGGGACAGGGGTCACTAGAATCAGCAGCATGTCGGAGGACACACAGGATCAGGAGGTGGAGCTGACCACGCCCCACTAGGGCCTTTTGGGCAACACCTCCGGCAGACAGCGCCAGCGTCTGCAGAGGAAGGAAGAGGGGAGCTGCGGGACCCCCCACACCATCGCCCCAACACTGCACTTCCAGGGCTGCCAGCTTTGCGTTTGGACGTGGACTCTGAGCCCAGGCCCCTCAGGCCCACCTGCTCGTTCCATAAAGCGCCCCATGTGCCTCCTGAAGTAGAATCAAGCGCACCCCCCCACCGTTCCATGGGCCCAGAATACAAAGGGGTCACCGGTCCACCGTCCTGAGAGCAGCTCAGGGTCCCCTAGCTCTGCAGGTGCCGCAGCAGGATCTGCATGAGGTCGAAGGTGGTGAAGCTGATGCCCACGGCGATGGGACCCTTGACCCAGTTCATGCTCAAGCCTTTGTAGAGGCCGCGCACGGCGCCCTCCTCCCGCACGATGGTGCGCAGCGTGCGGGCGATGGAGGCGCGCGGGTAGCCCGTGACGCCGGCCGTCTGCATGCGCCGCCGCACCACATCCAGCGGGTACGAGGCCGACTGCCCGATGAGGCCAGCGCAGGCGCCGAAGATCATGCGCTCGAAGGGGTAGGGCTGCCGGCGGCCGCTGTACTCTGCAGGGCGAGGGGCGGGAGGGCCGTGAAGGCGCCGCGAGGGGGCGCGCACCCCGCACCCGTGCGCGCGCCTTTGCACCCCTAGGAGCAACCTGCGTGCACATACACACATGCACTTGCACCCCCACGTGTGTTCGCACTCATGCGCACCCACACGCCCCACTGCCTCACCTCCGGGTCGCTCCTTTCACTCAAACTCGAGAAATAAAAAAAATTTTTTTTTTGGAGATGTAATTTCACTCTTGTTGCCCAGGCTGGAGGGCAATGGCCCAATCTCGGCTCACTGCACCCTCCGCCTCCCGGGTTCAAGCAATTCTGTCTCAGCCTCCAAAGTAGCTGGGAATACAGGCATGCACCACCACGCCTGGCTAATGTTGTATTTTTAGTAGAGACAGGGTTTCTCCATGTTGGTCAGGCTGGTCTCAAACTCCTGACCTCAGGCGATCTGCCTGCCTCGGCCTCCCAAAGTGCTGGGATTACAGACATGAGCCACCGAGCCCGGCCGAGAAATAAAATTTCTTAAAAGGCAGAAACACAGAGAATCATAGAACCAACTCCTAGAGCCACTGCTCACATCTAATCAGCTCTACTCCACGTCTAGTAAAGGAACATTCTAGGTGCTCCCGTGCCTGGTCCCCGACCTGCGCCCTCCCTGGGGAGCCCCTGCGAGCTGTTGCACAGAGTGGACATAAGTGACCATGAACTTCACCCTGCTCTGTCTTGCGGGTCTAAACGGGGTGTGTGGGTGTGGAGGAGGAAGGAGCAGCAACAGGTCAGTAGGGGTACTTTAAACATTTGTAATAGTAAATTTAGAACTAGGAATTTAAAACAGCCAAGGCTGGGTGCAGTGACTCACGCCTGTAATCTCAGCACTTTGGGAGGCCAAGGCAGGCGGATCACTTGAGCCC
Organism: Homo sapiens; assembly: GCF_000001405.40. NCBI lineage: Eukaryota > Metazoa > Chordata > Mammalia > Primates > Hominidae > Homo > Homo sapiens. Next base: position 19,109,660 of record NC_000019.10, on the reverse strand, counting down.
AGGAATTGGAGACCAGCCTGGCCAACATGGAGAAACCCTGTCTCTACCAAAAACACACAAAAATTAGCCAGGTGTGGTGGTGGGCGCCTGTAATCCCAGCTACTAGGGAGGCTGAGGCAGGAGAATGGCTTGAACCCAGGAAGTGGAGGTTGCAGTGAGCTGAGATCGTTCCACTGCACTCCAGCCTGGGCGGCAGAGTGAGACTCCGTCTCAAAAAAACAGCCAGACAGGAGACACTGTGATCTGCTCACCAGGTGGGCAAAAACAAGGGGTCTGATGGCATCACGTGGGGTGAGAACGTGGGGTCAAGGGGCTGGAAAGCACTCCAGAGAGAAACACCGAAAATGGGGTTTTACAGTCACACAAGGAGACGAGCTCCTGGATGTCGGCTGATCACAGAAAACCTGGCAACAGCCAAAGGGCACCCCAAGAAGGTAAGGCCCACTGTGCAGCCACTAAAAAGGCGGAACAGAGCACAGATGCTGGTGGATGCACCCCAAACCAGCTGAGCTGGGAGCTGCACTCCCGGGTGAGCTGACTCCACTTGGAGCATTTTTTATACCTGTGAAAGGTGACATGGTTTTGTTCATGCCACAGATAAATACATACAGAAGTATTTTCAAAGCAGTCTTGAGGGGTGCAACCCTCACTTCTAATAAGAGGCCTCAGGAGAGAGACTTGGGCCCTCAGCGTTACCCCTAACATTTTATTTCTTTGACAAAAAATGTCTGGGAGTGGGCTGAGTGCAGCGGCTCACACCTTTAATCCCAGCACTTTGGGAGGCCAAGGCAGGAGGATCGCTTGAGCCCAGGAGTTTGAGACCAACTTGGGCAACAGAGGGAGACCCCATCTCTACAAAAAAGAAAAAAAACAAAATATCTGGGAGCAAATGTAGCAAAATGTGAATGCCTGTTCACATGCAGTGGCAGGTATGAGTATTATATCATTCTTTGTACTTTTTGATTTTCTCCCAACTACCAAAACAAGCAAGAGTACTTCCTTTCCATCTGGGTTTTACCCATATGCTTTGCGTGTGTGCTCGTGAAGAGGTGAGGTATCAATGCTCTAGGTGACACACTGGGCTTCCCAGAGTCACTTTTTTTTTTTTTCTTGAGACAGGGTCTCACTTTGACACCCAGGCTGGTGTGCAGCAGTGAGATCACAGCTCACTGCGGCCTTGACCTCCCAGGCTTGGGTGATCCTCCCACCGCAGCCTCTCTAGTAGCTGGGACCACAGGTGTGTGCCACCATGCCTAATTTTTTTGTATCTTTGGTAGAGACGGGGTTTCGCCATGTTGCCCAGGCTGGTCTGCAACTCCTGACCTCAAGTGATCCGCCCACCTCGGCCTCCCAAAGCACTGGGATTACAGGCACGAGCCGTGGCACCAGCCAGAGTTCCTCTCACTTAGGCATTTAAGGCAGTGAGTCCAGGTTCCTCAGTGGCGGCTGCACACAGTGTGTTTTCTCCCGATTTGGATGTGGGTCTACAGCCTGCCCCACCCAGGGGTCGTACCCCACTCCGCCTGGTCTCCAGGTCTATGTGACCCAGGTGGAGCTGCTGTCCCCAGGGAATGCTTCCTGAACGTCCCCTCCTCATGCTCCCAGCTCTCCTTACCTCTGTGCAAGCTCTTGAGCGTCTCATAGGTGAAGAAGCTCAGGCCAGCGTAGGGAATGACCCCCAGCACGGTGGGCATAAATCCATGGTAGAGAGTCTTCAGCCCCTCTTCTCTCGAGATGCGGATGAAGACATGAAAGATGTTGCTGTACCTGCCAGGACAGAGCAGCCCAGCAGGTGGGACTCAGGCCTCCCAGGCACAGGGAGGAGCCACAGAGGCTCTCGGCTCCTCCCGAAGCCGGCTGGGCCTGGGTGTGTCTGGATGTTGATGTTTTCCTTCTTCTTCAAGACATATAACCCCATCACTCAAGCTTTGTTATTAGAGGGGAAATGCATGCGTAAGCCCAGACTCCACCTTCGCCACGGGAAGCAAGTGCTCAGCCCTTGTCTTTTTTTTTGTTTCTTTGTTTTTGTTTTGAGACAGTCTCCCTCTGTTGCCCAGGCTGGAGTGTAGTGTCACAGTCTTGGCTCACTGCAACCTCTGCCTCCTGGGTACAAGTGATTCTCCTGCTTCAGCCTCCCAAGTAGCTGGGATTACAGATACATGCCAGCAGACCTGGCTAATTTTTTATTTTTAGTAGAAATAGAGTTTGCCATGTTGACCAGGCTGGTCTTGAACTCCTGACCTCAGGTGATCCACCCACCCCAGCCTCTCAAAGTGCTGGAATTACAGGCGTGAGCCACCATGCTCGGCCTCTATTCTTACACTTTTTTTGTTTTTTTTTTTTTGGAGACAGGGTCTCACTCTGTGGACCGGCTGGAGTGCAGTGACGTGATCATGGCTCACTGCAGCCTCAAGCTGCGAGACTCAAGCAATCCTCCTCCCTCAGCTTCTGGAGCAGCTGGGATCACAGGCGTATGCCATCACATCAGGCTAATATTTCAGTTTTTGTAGAGATGGGGTCTTGCTATGTTGCCCAGGCTGGTCTCAAACTCCTGGGCTCAAGCGATCCTCCTGCCTTGGCCTCCCAAAGTGCTGGGATTACAGGCATGGGCCACCGCACCTGGGCCCAAGCCCGGTCTATTCTTACACATTTTTCATGATCATGGTATCTTCCTTGAATTAAGCATTCTAGTCTCAGACTTTTTTTTTTTTTTTTTTTTTTTTTTTGAGAGACAGAGTCTGGCTCTATTGCCCACACTGGAGTGCAGTGGCTCGATCTCGGCTCGCTGCAACCTCCGCCTCCCGGGTTCAAGCAATTCTCCTGCCTCAGCCTCCCAGGTAGCTGGGAGTACAGGTGCGTGTCACCACGCCCGGCTAATTTTTGTATTTTTAGTAAATACGGGGTTTCACCATGTTGCCCAAGCTGGTCTCAAACTCCTGACCTCAAGTGATCCGCCCACCTCGGCCTCCCAAAGTGTTGGGATTACAGGCGTGAGCCACCGTGCCCGGCCGTATTCTTACATATTTTTACTGCATCTGTGCCCAGTTCAAAATGAAGACCCTTGGTTTGATCTAAGCAGAAAGTGACCCCCAGGCTAAGAGAACAAATTGCTGCCTTTCTGGAACAGCTGCAGAATGACACATCAGGCCTGCCCTGTGGACACGGAGGCCCAGATGCAAACCCCTGGGGCCCGATAGAGAGAGGGATTCCGACCTGGGAGCCCCCGAGACACAGAGCCCCCGGGGCTGATGCGCATCACCGATGTAAGGACTCACATTTCCTTCGGGGTTACGGCCATCCGCGCTCTGACCAGGTCCAGGGGGTAGGTCAGTGAAGCGGCTGTCGTTCCAGCCAGTGCGCCGGCGAAGAGGCGAGGCCAAGGGGGCAGGGCTCTGAACAGGGCAGGAGGAGAAGGCGAGACGGCAGTGAGGGGGTTGCAGATGCACAGAGGCCCAGCCTGGAGCACCCGCACGTCTCTGCTGGGGCGGGGACAGGGGTGGGGACCGAGGAACACGAGGCGGGTTTGGCTTCCTCCTGGCCAAGCTGATGGGGTCTCTGGAGTGGGCCTCATTTTGAGGTTTACATGGCTGCCTTCCCTTCCCCCCTGCTGGCATAAATTAATGATGCGTATTTTCCCTACGGCCCTGGGGGCATAGTAACCTGCCCCTCTGGGATTTATGCGTGGGGGTGGAGAAACGTCTGGAGACAAACGGGCAAAGGAGAGGAGCTCTGAAGACAGAATAGGGCATGTGACAGAGTCAGGGGGTCCCTCAGGAGGGCCTGGGTGAGGAGTCTCCCAGTGTTTCGTTGTGGGAAGAGGGAAGGCAGGGCTAGGGGCAAGGCACGAAGAGGAGGGAGCGGGGCGTGCAGAAGAAAGAGAGAGGGGCGGGCGTGGGCGGGGCGATTCTGTGGCAGGGCGGGGCGGGGCCTCACTCTCCACGGAAGCCATAGTAGCTGCCCAGGATGCGCTTGTACTCCTCGTGTGCGCTGAACTGGATGGCGGCGTAGGGCACCACGCGCACCATGGTGGCCGAGTTCCCGCGCCACAAGCTGAGAAATCCCTCGTTGAGGTAGGTGTAGTAGAGGACCCGGAAGGCCTCCTGGAGATAAGCGGGAAGGTCAACATCCCTCTGCCTCTGCCTGCCCTCCCTGCGGGCCTCTGTGACCAGCAGAGCGCCCAAAGTGCGGAGGCGGGGCCGGGGTGACCCCATCTCCATGCACAGCACATAACCCCACCCCCATGTGAGGGCCCCACCCCGATTTGTCCAGACTGACATTATCAACCCCAGCCCCGTCCTTCCTCCCTATGTTTTCTGGGCCTCCCACCCCACCAAGTTCTCTTGGGGACTGCAAAGCGAACCAGGCTGCAAAGCAGCTCGGAGCCCTGCCCAAGGGCATGTCTGTTGGTGTTTGGCATCCCAGCTTTTACAGTTTATCTTTTCCTTTATTAAGAAAGTAGCACCTGCTCTCTGTTTAACAATAAATCAAACATGAAAAGGTTGTTTTAGAGCTGTTGAGTCTCCCCACCCCACTGCCGGAAGGACACTCGGGATGTCCCGTCAGTTCCCAGGCTGGGCTGTGTCCAGGCAGAGCTGGGAATGGGAAGACAGGTAGTCCTGTCCCCACCCCTGAGACTCTCCTCAGACCACCTGCCTAACTCCTGCCAGCCCATCAGGGTAGTGGTGACTGTCCCCAGGCCGGGGCGGTGACATAGTGGCTCACCTTGGCAGAAAATCTTTTTGAAGACACTGGAAAAAACAAAAGCACAAAAGCCACTGAGATGCAAAGGACAGAACCTCCCATCTGCGTGGCCCCACCCCTGGCACCCACTAGCAGAGTCACCCTCCTTTTCCCCCCAATCTTGTCCCAGGAATGGGAGCTGAGCTGACACCCAAGCCCCAGAATAGTGAGGGTCTCCATTGAGAGGAGAACGTGTCTGAGATGGGTTGACACTCAGCACCCTGCCCCTGGACTAGACTACCATTCACCCAAACCCCTGCAGGGAAGGTGTCCCAGCCTCCAGGCACTTGGGTCTCAGCTGAGAAGCCCTGGCTCTCTCAGAACAAGGCCTGCAGGGGTCTACATGTGGGGTCTGCCCTCTCTCCCGGACATGCCCCTCCCAGGGTCCCAGCACAGGCACCGCTATCCTGCCTCTCCCACCCCCTGTGGCTGCCAGGTTCCCTTTCTGGCTCTGTGCTGCCCTTGGGCATGGGGGACCCGAGCCATGGTGGGCCATAAGCACTCTTGGGAGAGACCCAGAAAAACAGGCCACAAACGGTCACCAGGAGCCTCTGACGTGGTCTGGCAGCCCGCCTCCCTCACCCCTCACCACCCACCACTTGTGTGTGCAACATGCATGCATGCCTGCTGCCTCAAGGGTTGAACCCCAGTTCCCTGCAGAACACAACACCCTGCACCTGCTCATGCGCACTTAAAGGGGCCTGCCCTGGCCAGGTGCAGTGGCTCAAACCTGTAATCCCAGCACTCTGGGAGGCTGAGGCGGGTGGATCACCTGAGGTCAGGAGTTCGAGACCAGCCTGGCCAACATGGTGAAACGCTGACTCTACTAAAAAAAAGTACAAAAAAATTAGCCAGGCATGGTGGCAGACTCCTGCAATCCCAGCTACTCGGGAGGGTAAGGCAGGAGTATCGCTTAAATCCAGGAGGTGGAGGTTGTGGTGAGCCGAGATCGCACCACTGCACTCCAGCCAGGGGGACAGAGAGAGACTCTGTCTCTAAATAAATAAATAAATAAATAAATAAATAAATAAATAAGGCTGTCCCTTTCGAAGGCCTGCCAGCTCACTGGATGCCCATGCCAGCCAAGGAGGAAGCGGATATCCATGCCTCCACTTTACGGAGGAGGAAACTGGGACACAGAGAGGGTAGGGGATCGGCTCAAGGTGGTGGGAAGGGCCTGGCTCAAGCCTGCAGATTCTTCCCAAACAGCTGAGGGGCAGAGGGCCCGGGCCGTAACCATCTTGCTTCTGGGCCCTAGGCAGGAACTGGTAACTGTTTGAAGGGGGCAAAGGCCACCTCTTCAGAGGACCCTGTGACTAACCCTAGCGAGGGAGGGCGAGGGTTTCTGTTGAGGGTTTAATTTCTGTCCTCTGAAAAGCTATGTCTGAGTTCTAACCCCTAGTCTCCAAGAAGGTGACCTTATCTGAAAGCAGGGCCTTTGCAGATGTAATAGAGTTAAGGTAAGGTCATACTGGGTTAGGGTGGGCCCTAAATGCGAATTGGTGTCCTTATAAGAAGAGAAAACAGGCCGGGCGCGGTGACTCATGCCCATAATCCCAGCACTTTGGGAGGCCAAGGCGGGTGGATCACTTGAGGCTAGGAATTCAAGACCAGCGGGGCCAACGTGTCGAAACCTGTCTCTACTAAAAATACAAAAAAATTAGCCAGGCGTGGTGGTGCGTGCCTGTTGTCCCAGCTACTCGGGAGGCTAAGGCAGGAAAATTGCTTGAACTGGGGAGATGGAGGTTGCACTGAGCCAAGATCACACCACTGAACTCCAGCCTGGGTGACAGAGCTAGGCTCTATCTCAAAAACAAACAAACAAACAAAAATAAATAAATAAAAGAGAGAGAGAGAAAACAGACACACAGGGGAGAAGGCCACGTGATGACAGAGGCAGAAATTGGAGCCATGCGGCCACAAGCCAAGGAGAACCAGGAGCCCCCAGAAGCCGGAAGAAGCAAGGAAGGATCCTCCCCTAGAGCCTCTGGAGGGAACGCAGCCCTGCCCACACCTTCACTTCAGACTTCTGGCCCTAGGACTGTGAAAGAAGAAATTCCTGTTGTTTGAGGCCACCTGGTTTGTGGTGCTTTCTGACAGCAGCCCCAGGAAACTCGTACAGATTCGAAGTGGATTTTATTATTTATTTATTTATTTATTTATTTATTTATTTATTTTTGAGACAGAGTCTCTCTGTCACCCAGGCTGGAGTGCGATGGCGCGACCTTGGCTGACTGCAACCTCCGCCTCCCAGGTTCAAGCGATTCTCCTGACTCAGCCTCCAGAGTAGCTGGGATTGCAGGTGCCCGCCACCATGTCCAGCTAATTTTTGTATTTTTAGTAGAGGCGGGGTTTCACCATGTTGGCTAGGCTGCTCTCAAACTCCTGACCTCAAGTGATCTGCCTGCCTTGGCCTCCCAAAATGCTGGGATTACAGGCAAGAGCCACTGCGCCAGGGCCTCTGAGTGGATTTTAAAGAGGCATTAAAAAAACCCAATTGAGTGCAGTGGAGCACACCCATAGTCCCAGCTACTTGGGAGGCTTAGGCAGGAGGATCACTTGAGCCCAGGACTTTGAAGCCAGCCTGGGCAACAGAGAAAAACCTCATTTCTGGCCGGGGGCGGTGGCTCAAGTCTGTAATCCCAGCACTTTGGGAGGCCGAGGCGGGCGGATTACGAGGTCAGGAGATCAAGACCATCCTGTCTAACATAGTGAAACCCTGTCTCTACTAAAAATACAAAAAAATTGGCCGGGCATGGTGGCGCATGCCTGTAGTACCAGCTACTCGGGAGGCTGAGGCAGGAGAATGGCGTGAACCCGGGAGGCAGAGCTTGCGGTGAGCCAAGATTGCACCACCGCACTCCAGCCTGGGTGACAGAGCGAGACTCCGTCTCAAAAAAAAAAAACAACAAAAAACCTTATTTCTAAAATAAATCTAAAAATAAAAGCCAATTTGAAGCGTGGTTTGGGGGCCATGAAGGAGGAGGTGACCGCCTGGCAGCTTCTCTAGCACCTGGGGATGGCCAACACTTACCTTGGAAGATGATTTTGGTTCGGTCCAGGGGAGCTACCGCTGTTTTGGCAAGGGCACCAGCCAGGGCCCCAGACAGCAGGGAGCTGAGCACTTGCCTGTGGTCACGCTGCAACAGAACATGTGATCAGAGGTCAGAGGGCAGGGGGGCGGCTCCGCAGAGGACCTTGCCCCAGAAGTGCCTTCCTTACACCCTCTGGGCCGGGGCCGAGGGATGTACCCCACCCTGAGTATGTTGGCCTTGCTTGGTTCTGGGTGATCTGTGGTGGGTCCACAGGCCACAGAGCCTACTGGGGACACAGTGAAAACCTCCCAAGATGACAGGTACCATCCACTTTGGAGGTGAGGTGTGCAGGTTTCACATTCTCAGAGACAGGCTCACAATAGGACTGGCCCACGTGCAAACTTCAGTTCCCTCCACAGCCTGTGTGCACCTGACTACGGCACTGTGGCATTGTAGGTACACAGGGACTGAAAACAGGCACCAGGGACCGTTGGGGTCAGGGGGTTGGCAGTGGGTATCAGGCAAGCAGACCCTGACTCTGTGTCAGCGTGTCCCTTCCCACAACTTCCGATCAGGACTCCAGAGGTAGGCATCTATGACTCTTCATCCAGCCCAGTTGAGGGGGTGACAGTGACACTGATGATGGCTGCCAACCTGCGTTGACTGCTCCCATGCCAGCCTGAGAGCCATCGCTTTCTGCAGTCCTCTGGAGCTGCCCAAGTCCCCTGCTCCCCCACAGCCCTCCCTCCTTCCCTGGAAGGTCACGCCGCACAGCAGTGTGTCCGAGCCCTGTGGGATCCCACAGGCACCACCTGCCCATCAGGTTGGAGTTTCCATTTCCCCTGCTGACTCGGCCACGGGACTCTCACTGAGAAGTGGCAGAGAGCATTCTGGAAAGTTCTGGATGGGAGGTGCTCTGATTCCATTTCCCCAGTGGACTCGGCCATGGGACTCATTGAGAAGCAGGGGAGAGCATTCTTCTGCCTCAGCCTGCAATGCTTTGCTGTCTGAATGTAACGTGGAAGGGCAGGTTGTTCAGTGACTCCCAGGAATCTGCGAAGTCCCACCAGGCAAGGGCATCCTGAAGGGCCTGGAGCCCCACAGTGCAGGGTGGGGGTGTGTACAAGACCCTTCCTGTCCCCGTGGTGCCACTGGTCCACACAGAGAGCCAGATGCCAACAGAAGCATCAGATGAAAGCAAATACAGCCACCCATTGGGAAGGTGCCGCGAGGAGGTGGCCCAGGGTTCTGTAAGAACTCTGGGTTGGTAGGTGAGAGGCTGAGCTTGAAGGATGAGGTGCAGGTCACTTTGGGGTGTGTGTCATAGTATTAGGTGGGGAGGAATGAATACTCAGAGGCTAGGGTGAAAAGGAGCAGGGGACCCTGGGGGACCACAAGGAGGGCAGATTTGCTGGCACAGGGAAAGGGAGGGGGCCCAGAGAAGAGAAAGGAGATGGCAAAGAGAGGTGGGTGCTAGATCCTACAAAGCCTGGCAAGGAGGCTGATCTTTGCCCAAATAAATGGGTTATTTTTATTTTTTTTCTGAGGCACAGTCTTGCTCTGTCGCCCAGGCTGGAACACAGTGGTGTGATCTCAGCTCACTGCAAACTTTGCCTCTCGGGTTCAAGCGATTCTCCTCCCTCAGCCTCCTGAGTAGCTGGAATTACAGGCAAGCACCACCACGCCTGGCTAATTTTTGTATTTTTAGTAGAAATGAGGTTTCGCCATGTTGGCCAGGCTGGTCTCGAATTCCTGGCCTCAAGTGATCTGCCTGCCTCGGCCTTCTGAAGTGCTGGGATTACAAGCATGAGACACCGCGCCCGGCCGAAATGGGCTATTTTTAATATGACCAGAGTGGGGCTGGGCACTGTGTCTCATGCCTATAATCTCAGCACTTTGGGAGGCCGAGGCGGGCAGATCACGTGAGGTCAGGAGTTCGAGACCAGCGTGCCCAACATGGTGAAACCCCATCTCTACTAAAAATACGAAAATTAGCCGGGCATGGTGGTGGGTGCCTGTAATCCTAGTTACTCAGAAAACTGAGGCAGAAGAATCGCTTGAACCCAGGATACCAAGGTTGCAGTGAGCCGTGATTGCACCACTATTCTCCAGACAGGGTGACAGAGTGTCTGAAAAAATAAAAAATAAAAATAAAAATGTGACCAGGGTAGAAGCGGCTCCTGCAGAAACCCAGGATAGATATGGTGGAGGCTGGAGATGGGGAAGGGATGTGGCGCACTACTCAGGTGTAACAGGCAACCGGAGTCAGACTGAGCATGGTTGCCCCCACCTCTGGAGTTTGCTCAGCTCAGTGTGTGGCTCGGGGTAAAGGGCTGGGCCTGAGTCTGTCCACACACTTGGCCTGAATCCCAGCTCTGCCCGACTGAGCTCAGGCAGAGGGTGCCCTCTTTGGTCTCCCAGTCCTATCTTTACAACAGCAAGGTGCCAGCTCTCAGACCCTCTCCCACATGTCCTGGGCTACCCAGCAGCCTTGCACCCCCAGTCTGGTTCCACAGAACACAGCCTCCTTTTCCTCAGTGCTCCCAGGGTCCCCTCCACCAGCCCAGCCCTCCCTTCCTCAAAGGGACAGATTGCACAGCGATTTTGTTTCTGAGGCCAAACTTCGCCATGGAGTTTGATCTTCTCCTAGCTTCTCGGAAGCTGTCTTTGGGGACCTCTGCCTTTTCTGGGACATGCAGCCAGGTTGCAGACGTCTGGTTCCATGAGCTTTGAGAATTGCGGGCGCTTGTTGGTGGTCCCAGCAGCAGTCCAAGGCCTTACCAGCTTCAGGCCAGTTTCTTCTCTGAATCAGTCGGACCAGCTGCTCCCCTCTGGAATGGGCCTCTGTGTGCAAATGGAATATTCCATGGAGAGTGCCTCCCTGCACCCTGCTGGAGACAGAGTTCTTCCACCTCCTCCATTCGGTGGTTACCTCCTATCAGTTTGTCGTTTTGTTTGTTTTTTGAGACAGTCTTGCTCTGTCCACCAGGCTGGAGTGCGGTGGCGCAATTTTGGCTCACTGCAACCTCTGCCTCCTGGGTTCAAGTGGTTGTTTGTCCTGCCTCAGCCTTCCCAGTACCTGGGATTACAGCTGCGCGCCACCCTGCCTGGCTAATTTTTGTATTTTTAGCAGAGATGGGGTTTCTCCACGTTGCCCAGGCTGGTCTCGAACCCCTGAGGCTCAGGTGATCCGCCTGTCTCGGCATCCCAAAGTGTTGGGATTACAGGCGAGAGCCAGCGGGCCCAGCCAAGGCTCTTAACGTTACAAAGCCAACTCTGTGTTGTTTTTCTGAGATAGGATCCCACTCTGCCACCAGGCTGGAGTGCAAGTGCATGATCATAGCTCACTGCAGCCATGACCTCTTGGGCTCAGGTGATCCTCCCACCTCAGCCTCCTCAGTAGCTGAGACCACAGATGTGTGCCACCACACCCAGCTAATTTTATTTTTTTGCAAAGACAAGGTCTTGCTATGTTACCCAGGCTGTTCTCAAACTCCTGGGTTCAAGCAATCCTCCCGTCTTGGCCTGCTAAAGTGCTGGGATCTCTGGTGTGAGTCACCATGCCTGGCCAATGCCAAATCTTAGTATCAGGAACACACGTCCATAAACTGCACCTCTCCAGGTAGCCACCAGTGGCACCTGGAGGACGTGTGTTGGGGCCAGTTCACATGCTCAGTGGAGGCTGCTGCCTCTGGCTGATACTTCCAGCTCCTCTCTAATGAACACAAACACCTTATTATCCAAAGAGCTGGGAGCAGGCATCACTGAGGGGTTGAAGTTTCAAGATCCATCACGTGGGGAGATCCTACGAAAGAAGGATTTGTCGGCCAGGCAGCTGACAAGAGAAAGTGGGCAATCCCAGATGGGATGCATGTTGGCCATAAACACAGTGGGAAGAAGCTCAGTATTTTTTTTTTTTTTCTGAGACAGGGTCTCACTCTGTCGCCTAGGCTGGAGTGCAGTGGCGTGATCTCAGCTCACTGCCACCTCCACCTCCTGAGTTCAAGCGATTCTCCCACTTCAACCTCATGCGGAGCTGGGATTACAGGTGCGTGCCACCACGCCTGGCCGATTTTTGTATTTTTAGTAGAGATGGGGTTTCACCATGTTGGCCAGGCTGGTCTCGAACTCCTGACCTCAAGCAATCCTCCCACCTGGGCCTCCCAGAGTGCAGGGATTACAGGTGTGAGCCACCATCCCAGCCAAGGCTCAGCTTCTTAACCAAAGAAAAGAGACATTGCAGAGTGAGTCCCTCCCACCTTGGGGCTGGCCAGGCGGACCAAGAGCAATGTTGTTGGGGCCTGCCAGTACAGAGGAGAATGGGCATGTGTGTGTGATGCCCGGCAAGTGACCAGCACTGGCGCATTTCTGCGTGTGGTTCAGCAGCCACCGCTGCCTCAAGCTTGTCCACGTGGTGGGATCCACGTTGCAGACCCCCTCCTCTCCGGCATGCAGAGCAACAGCCATATCCAGGTGTTCTTCCAGCTCTGTTGGGACCTTCACTAAACTTCAAGGCACGTGCCTGCCCTGTGCCTCAGTCACCTGGTGGTGACCCCGGTGAATGAGTCCTCCCGCCCGCCTGCTGCTCTGAGATGTCACCTGGAATCCGGGGAAAGGTCGGGAGGCCTGGAAGATGACGCCACCTCAGCCTTTGACCCCATGGACTTTGAAAACTGCCTGTGCGGTCGGCCTGAGTCAGGCCCTGGGAGTGCGATGATTTCTGCGTGGGGCTGGGTCGGTCTGTGTTTCAGGTTCAGCTGAGAGGACTTAGGGGCCAGTGGGGGTTCTGGTTTCTATGGTGAACAACAGGGCTGACCCAATTGCTTTGAGAGAATATCTTTTCTTCAGTGGAATTGTGGACTTAAGAGGTGAACTTGGAAATGCAGAGTAAAGACCAAGCATGCCCACCCCCTTTGGCTCTCTGCATTTGGCTCTTTTTTTTTGTTTTTGAGACAGGGTTTCACCCTGTCGCTCAGGCTGGGGTGCAGTGGCACAATCTTGGCTCACTGCAACCTCTGCCTTCCAGGTTCAAGCGATTCAACTGCCTCAGCCTCCCAAGTAGCTGGGATTACAGGTGTGCACCACCACGCCTGGCTAATTTTTATATTTTTAGTAGAGACGGGGTTTCACCATGTTGCCCAGGCTGGTCTCAAACTCCTGGTCTCATATGATCCTCCCACCTCAGCATCCCAAAGTGCTGGGATTATAGGCATGAGCCACCATGCCTGGCCTTGGCTAATTCCTTAGTGTTCCAAAATCTGAGGGAGAAAAGGGGGCTCCAAGACATGTCTGATACCTCAGGCTTCCCACCCCACGCTGGAACTGGGTTAGGTTTTGGCCTCTTACCAGGTGGCTGGGCTGGTTGGATTCACATCACAAGTGGGGCTTTTGGTGGAATAGAGGGTGGCTGGCGTCCTCCATCCCATGATGGAGTATTTGGGGCCGTGGGAGCAGAGAGGCTCCACCACTCCACCCTCAGCCCAGGTAGGAAGGGGTACCAACATGCACATCCTAGGTACAGGGTGATTTGTGATGGGCTGCATGGAGCACAGCAGAGGAATCCCTGAGCCTGTTTGGAGGGGGTGCAGAGGCTGGGAGGAGGAGGCAGGGAGCCTGGGAGGGGGGGTGGGGAGGCTGGGGCCCCAGGAGAACACCCATCCCAGGAGGCCGGGGTACTTGCCTTTGATGAGACGGACGAGGACAGGACAGCCTCAGCATCCTCATGCAATCGCACCGGGCCTTCCTTCACACCATTACCCATACCAGGCCTGCTCGGAATGGCAGGAGACTCGGTCCTGGGGGGGTAAGGGGAGGTGGTAAGATACGGCGAGATCCTGAGAGATGGTGGGTGTTCCACCAGCCTTTTCCTATCCCAGTTTCTGGCTCCCTGCGTGGGGAGGGATGCCCTCAACTGCATTCCGCAGCCACGGTCCTGTGTGTACTGCTTAATCATTTACAAAAGCCTTTCTTGTTGGTACTGGAATGTAATCCTCACAAACAGTCTGTTCTTTTTCCAAATCTGGTGCCCAGGGAGCAAACAGGCTCAGAGAAGTTAAGCAGCCAGCCAAGGTCACACAGCTACCAGCGGGTTGTGGGGCCAGCGTGGCCGAGGTGCTCAGTGCCAACACCACTGTCAGGCCAAACATCCAGTGGGCACCGAGGTGCTCGGTGCCAATACCACTGTCAGGCCAAACGTCCAGTGGGCTTGTGTCAGCTCGGACCCGAGGGTCTCTGTCCACCAAAATACTTTATTTTTTATTTATTTATTTTTTTGAGACGGAGTCTCACTCTGTCACCCAGGCTGGAGTGCAGTGGCACGATCTTGGCTCACTGCAACCTCCACCTCCTAGGTTTAAGCAATTCTTGTGCTTCAGCCTCCCAAGTAGCTGGGACTACAGGCGCCTGCTACCACACCCAGCTAATTTTTTATTTTTAGTAGAGATGGGGTTTCACCATGTTGGCCAGGCTAGTCTCGAACTCCTGACCTCAGGTGATCTGCCTGCCTTAGCCTCCCAAAGTGCTGGGATTACAGGCATGAGCCACCGCACCTGGCCTTTTTTTTTTCCCCCACCCAGGCTCAAGTGCAGTAGAACAATCATAGCTCACTGCAGCCTCAAATTCCTGAGCCCAAGTGATCCTCCCACTTGGTCAGCTAAGGGTGTTTTTTTTTGTTTTTGTTTTTGCTTTGACAGAATCTCCCTCTGTAGCCCAGGCTGGAATGCAGTGGCATGATCTCGGTTCACTGCAGCCTCCGCCTTCCAGGTTCAAGTAATTCTTGTGCCTCAGCCTCTCAAGTACCTGGGATTACAGACGTTTACTACCAAACCCAGCTATTTTTTATTTTTTTATTTTTAGTAGAGCTAGGGTTTTGCCATGTTGGCCAGGCTGGTTTTGAATTCCTGGCCTCGTGTGATCCTCCTAACGTGGCCTCCCAAAGTGCTGGGATTACAAGCATGAGCCACCGCGTCCGACTGGGTTGGCTAATTTTTATTTTTCATTTTATATTTTGTAGAGACAGTGACTCACTATGTTGCCCAGGCTGGTCTGGAACTCCTGGGCTCAAGCGATCCTCTGGCCTCAGCCTCCCAAAATGCTGGGATTCCAGGCATGGCCACCGTGCCTGGTTAGTTCCCACGCTTTAAAATCATCCAGTAAATGAAAACGCATTACTGCAAAGTGAAGCAAAGGGTGCAGAGGCCCCAGAGCAGGCATCAGTGCCGGTGAGTGACGCTGTACAAAGTGCACTTGGGATTCTGCTACACCAGCCTCCACTGCTGACTCTCCTAGTGAACATGGACCCATGGGCACTGGCTCTGGGAGAAACACCTGCTTCAAAGATGGGGCCAGAGAGAAAGGAAGAGCCTAGAGCACGTACGTGGAGGTGCCAGTCATGGAGGGCATGTTCAGAAACAGAAACCAAAGCAGATGGGTGTGGCGAGGGGGTCATGGGCACCCACCGAAAGAACCCTTGATGGCCAAAGCTGGAACAGTTTGAGTAGAAATGGAAAAAAACATAAAGCATCATGGATGAAAGCCTGAACTATAAAATAACCATGAGTCCATATAATATAAAGAAATGACAGAGTAAGTAAGTACATGGTAGGGAAGAGACAAATCTCCCAGGCAAAGGATTCCCAAATAGCACAGCAGCTCGGACCTCCAAGAGGGGCCATGCCTCCTGCCCTCAGGTGTGGCTGCGCTTAGCGGCTTCTTTCCAAAGAGTGCAGTCTGGAAAGGGGGCTGTCAGTGACTGCAGCACAGAAACCTGATGGATCCCAGCTGGGCTAGGTGATCCAGGACAACGCTGGCTGGGATAAGTCAGGTGGACGCATGTGCCTCTGATGGAGTGTGACGACTAGGGTCTTCCTCCCCCAGATCCATCACCCCATCTGACCGTGAGAAAAACATCAGGCTGGGCGCAGTGGCTCACGCCTGTAATCCCAGCACTTTGGGAGGCTGAGGCGGGCAGATCACGAGCTCAGGAGTTTAAGACCAGCCTGGCCAACCTGGCAAAATCCTGTCTCTACTAAAAATACAAAAATTGGCCAGGCATGGTGGCAGGCACCTGTAATCTCAGCTACTCAGGAGGCTGAGTCAGAAGAATCACTTGAACCCAGGAGGTGGAGGGTGCAGTGAGCCGAGATCACGCCACTGCATTCCAGCCTGGGTGACACAGCGAGACTCTGTCTCGAAAGAAAGGAAAAAACACCAGACACATCCCACCGGAGGGGCATTCTCCAGCAGCCCTGACCACTGCTCCCCAAAACTGTAACGGTCACCAAAAACAAAGAGCCTGAGAAACCGTCTCAGCCCAGAGGAGTCTAAGGAGATGTGAGGACTAAAGATCAGGTGGGATCCTTGGACAGAGAAAGGACATTCAGGAAAAATGGAAGAACGTGAATAAAGTGTGGAGCTCCATTAATATTAATACCATCTCAGCACTTGTTCATTAGTGAGGCAAATGCAGCACAGCACTGTGAGAGGTTATGCGTAAGGGACGCTAGATGTGTGCGGTGTCGGGGAACTTGGTACAGCCTTTGCAATTTTTCTGTAAATCTAAAACTGCTCTCAGCTGGGCGTGGTGGCACGCACCTGGAATCCCAGCACTTTGAGAGGCTGAGGTAGGAGGATCGCTTGAGCCCAGGAGTTTGAGACAAGCCTGGGCAACATAGTGAGACCCCGTCTCTAGAGAAAAAAATTAGTTGGATATGATGGCATGCACCTGTGGTCCCAGGTACTCGAGAGGCTGAGGTGAGAAGGTCACCTGAGCCAAAGAGGTTGAGGCTTCAATGAGCCGTGATTTCAGCAGTACACTCCAGCGCAGGTGACAGAGCAAGACTGGGTCTCAAAAAATAAAAATAAACTAAACTGCTTGCAAACAGACAGAAACCAGGTCCTAAAGACCTTTCCCAGCCGGTTGCTGGGGGTCGGCATCTTTCATCATCAGCCCATGGGATGCACTGCGTCTGTTTCACTCCGCCCCCCACAACAATCAGCCATGTCTGACTACTGCCCAGCACCACCCCTGCCGCTACAGACCCTGGGGGCTGTCCTTGCACTTGGGCGCTTGGGTGAGAACGGCGCAGCCTCTCTACTCCTTGATTCCTAGAATCGAGGTGCTGGGTCAGGTGGCCTGGACATGTTCTGCAAAGTCACCTTCCCCAGAAAGGATTCAGCCATTTGCTATACCCCAACAGTGGGTGAGGTGCCCGAGGCCTGGGTCCTGGCCGAAGGGGGTCCCTCCCACCCTCCTGTGGGCTCTTGCTCTGAGCTCCTCAGGAGGTCACAGTCCTGTGAGGAACAGTCTCCCCAGAAGGGCATTGTGGCCTCAGACCCTCCCTTGGCTGCACCTGCCCAGCCTCTGTGAACAAGAAGAGCCACCAGACAGGGCTGCCTGCAGTGCCCATGGTACCATCCTTCACTGGATCACCTGCCCAGGGCCAGGGCTCAGCCTCGAGTGGCACCCACAGACATAGACAAAGTCACTGCACAACCTGGCTGGAACTACACAAGTGTGCTAGGCCCTGCAGGTGACAGAGCACTGAGGGCAGCTGGGGCTGGGGGACGTAACTGGAGGGGGTGGAACGATGGCCCCTGAAAGATACACCCTGCCCCCAGAACCTGTGAATGTGACGCTTTTAGGAAAAAGGGTCTGTGCAGATGTGATTAAGGCAAGATCTCTAGATGAGGGTTAGGGTGGGCCCTAAGTGCAATGACTGGTGTCCTTGTAAGAGACAGAGTAGGAGACACAGACACAGTGGGGAGGGTTGAGGATGAGGCCTGGAGCACGGTGGGCCACCACAGCCAGTGCATGATCCCACAGCACAAGAGCGGCCTGCTTCTGTTCCAGCTGCCTCATCCCTTGGTGAGGCCAAGGAGGGAGTCCCAGCACCACCAGCACCCGCCACCCTCCCTGTCTCAAGAGGAAGAGGGCCCCAGGGCACCAATGCCTGCAACCATCAGAGACACAGGTTTTCATGACATTCTTTTTGTTGTTGCTGCTGTTTTATAGTCAGGGTCTTGCTCTGTTGCCCAGGCTTGGGTGCAGTGGCATAATCATAGCTCACTATAGCCTCGACCTCCTGGTCTCAAGTGATCCTCCCACCTCAGCCTCCTGAATAGCTGGGATTATAGGCTCATGCCACCAGACCTGGCTAAGTTTTTAATTTTCTGTAGAGACAGGGTCTCCTTATGTTGCCCAGGCTGGTCTTGAACTCCTGGGCTCAAGTGGTCCTCCTGCCTCAGCCTCCCAAAGCGCTGGGATTCCAGGTGGGAGCCACCGCACCCGGCCATAACATTCTTCTGTTTCCACTGTACTTAATTTGTTTTTTCCCCATCACCTCCTATTTTGCAGAAATATTGAATTTATTTTTAATTAGTGATACAAACTACCCTTTATTTATTTTTATTTATTTTATTTTACTTTTGAGACAGAGTTTCATGCTTGTTGCCCAGGCTGGAGTGCAGTGGTGCAATCTTGGCTCACTGCAACCTCCACCTCTCGGGTTCAAGCGATTCTCCTGCCTCAACCTCCCGATTAGCTGGGATTATAGGCGCGCACCACCATGCCCGGCTAAGTTTTTGTATTTTTAGTAGAGACAGGGTTTCACCATGTTGGCCAGGCTGGTCTCAAACTCCTTACCTCAGGTGATCTGCCCTCGTTGGCCTCCTAAAGTGCTGGGATTACAGGCGTGAGCCACCGCGCCCAGCCCAAACTACCTTTACATGAATTTAAATTAGAAAAGACACCCATGAAGTGAATTCTAGAACTGGGTAGGACAGACCGCAGAACTGGGGGAGGAGGTCCCTGAGGATTTCAGCAGAAACGGGCCCAAGAGTCACGCTTTTGTCTTTTGTCACAGCAGAAAGATGCTCCCTGTGTTCAGGAGTGAGCCGTGTTTGCTGCAGCTCAGGAAGGCAAAGGGAAAAGCCATGTGACATCCCGGACCCCGGGGACCACAGTGAGAACAAGGGATGGGGTTCGGGACATAATAGCCTAAAATATGACCTTGGCCTTTGAGAACACAGAAGCAGGAAGCACTGTTTCTTTTCCCTTCTCCCCAGAAGCAGGTCATGAGACCCTCAGGTGGGAGGTGCCTCCCCTGTACCTGGAGGAGGGGAACAGAAGATGCAAAGATGCCAAGAAGAACCTGAACAAACAGGCCTTGCTAAGTTCCCCCAAGGTTATTATCATTAAATCAGAAGCTTTTTGTTGTTGTTGTTGTTGTTGTTGTTGTTTTGAGACGGGGTCTCACCCAGGCTGGTCTTGAACTCAAGTGATCCTCCCGCCTCAGCCTCCCAAAATGCTGGGATTACAGGTGTGTGCCACGGTGCCCAGCCAGATCAGATCCTTTTGTCCTCTAATCAGATTTGCCCATGACTCTAATCTTCATCAAACCTAACATAAACATATGCAGGTTTACCTGTTTTGGGGGGAGGTCTTTGTTTCCTTATAAAGGGCTCCCAAGACACGTAAAACTTGTTTTAAATAAATTTGTCTGCTTTTATCTTGTTAATCTGTCTTTTGTTACAGGGGCCTCAGCCATGAACCTAAGATGAGTGAGAAAAAGATATTTTCCTCTTCTGCATGGGGCGGCCACTTGGGGTGGCACCTCTGCCCCTTAATGAGCAAGCAGACACCTGGCTGTGACTTTCAAGAAGGGGTGAAACTGACACGGGAGCTCCTAGACATCATTTGGGGGGTTGGGGGACAGACACGCTGGTTTTGCTTCAAAACCCAAACTTGGCCTTCTCAAAATGTAACTCACTCACAAGTTCAAAGATGATTTCTATAAAATAGGATCTGCAGGCCAAGGTGGGACAGGACACTAGATTGGCCACTTGTCAAAATTTTTGCCTAAGAAAACAATCTTTGGAAAGGGCCCAAGGAAAGCTCAGAAGGCAGACTCCTGCTCTCCCTCCAGGGACCCCCAGTGGAACAGACATTCCTGCTGAAATGCCTTACTCTTCTCAGCTCATTTGTTAGAGTTTAGAGGTGTTTTTTGTTTTTGTTTTTTGAGACGGAGTCTCGCTCTGTCACCCAGGCTGGAGTGCAATGGTGTGATCTCGGCTCACTGTAACCTCTGCCTCCCAGGTTCAAGTGATTCTCCTGCCTTGGCCTCATAAGTAGCTGGGATTACAGGCGTGTGCTGCCATGCGCAGCTAATTTTTGCATTTTTCTGTAGAGACGGGGTTTCACCATGTTGGGCAGGCTGGTCTCAATCTCCTGACCTCAGGTGATCCACCCTCCTTGGCCTCCCAAAGTGCTGGGATTACAGGTGTGAGCTACCACACCTGGCTGCCTGGAATCTGATTTTTATATATATAATTTATTATTATTATTATTATTATTTTTTTTGAGATGGAGTCTTGCTCTGTCACCCAGGCTGGAGTGCACTGCTGCGATCTCAGCTCACTGCAACCTCCACCTCCCGGGTTCAAGCAATTCTCCTGCCTCAGCCTCCTGAGTAGCTGGGATTACAGGCACGCACCACCATGCCTGGCTAACTTTTTTGTACTTTTACTAGAGATGGGGTTTCACCATGTTGGTCAGGTTGGTCTTGAACTCCTGACCTCATGATCTGCCCGCCTCAGCCTCCCAAAGTACTGGGATTATAGGCGTGAGGCCCCGCGCCCAGCCCTGGAATCTGTTTTAAAGTTCAACTGCACATTTGTCAAATTCAGAGTGTAAGTTGAGCTCTCTCTAAAGGGTGCCACCACGCTTTGTTTCAGGAAGTACAGAAAGAACAGGTGCCCATTTGAATCAAAGTTGAGGATCACTGGCCAGGCGCAGTGGCTCACGCCTGTAATCCCAGCACTTTGGGCCAAGGAGGGCAGATCGCTTGAGGCCAGGAGTTCAAGAGCAGCTTGGGCAACATGGCAAACCACTGTTTCTACTAAAAATACAAAAATTAGCCAGGTGTGGTGGTGCATGCCTGTAGTCCCAGCTACTTGAGAGGCCGAGGCAGAAGAATCGCTTGAACCCAGGAGGCAGAGGTTACAGTGAGCCAAGATCGTGCCGCTGCACTCCATCCTGGGTGTCAGAAAGAGACGCTGTCTCAAAAAACAAAAGAAAACGAAAAAAAAAAGGCCGGGCGCAGTGGCTCATGCCTGTAATCCAAGCACTTTGAGAGGCCAAAGCGGGGGGATCACAAGGTCAGGAGATCAAGACCATCTTGGCTAACATGGTGAAACCCTGTCTCTACTAAAAAATACAAAAAAAAAAAAAATTAGTCGGGTGTGGTAGCACATGCCTATAATCCCAGCTACTGAGGAGGCTGAGGCAGGAGAATTGCTTGAACCCAGGAGGCGGAGGTTGCGGTGAGCTGAGATTGCGCCATTGCACTTCAGCCTGGGTGACCAGAGTGAAACTCCGTCTCGGGCCAGGCGCGGTGGCTCACACCTGTAATCCCAGCACTTTGGGAGGCCGACGCAGGCAGATCACGAGGTCAGGAGATCGAGTCCATCCTGGCTAACACGTTGAAACCCCGTCTCTACTAAAAATACAAAAAAATTAGCCAGGCGTGGTGGCGGGCACCTGTAGTCCCAGCTACTCAGGAGGCTGAGGCAGGAGAATGGTGTGAACCCGGAAGGCGGAGCTTGCAGTGAGCCGTGATCACACCACTACGCTCCAGCCTGGGTGACAGAGTGAGACTTTGTCTCAAAAAAAAAAAAAAAAAAAAATTGAAGATCAGATTTATATGCAGGGCTGGGGTGGGGTCTGGAACCGTTCCTTAGAAACTCCTGGTAAGAGGCAGAAGAGGTGCAGGACAATGGCCAATCCATACATGGCAACAAAACTGTGGCCCAAAACCTGTGCAGCAACCAGCTCCGGAAACCAACCACCAACCTCTGCAGCAATGCTCAGGACCTGGTCAGTGATTGCAGCTTCTCTAACACTGGCCCCCCTTCCAACTTAGGACCAACCAGAGAAAGCCAATTGTGCTTCCCTAAGCAACCCCACAGGACACCTGCTGTTAGCTGGCTGCCCCCAGCTTCCCCAGGCCAACAGCCTCCTGTGGGCTCACTTGAGCCTGCCCTTTTCCACTCCACAGCTCTCCCTCTCCCCTGCCTGCCCTGGAGCTTCGGCTGACTCCCTTGCAAACTCTGAATAAGCAGCCTGTGCTGCTCTCATTTGGATGGTCTTTGTTTTTCCAAGTAGCTCAATAAATGGGGGAGAAGAGACAGCACTTCCTTACAGTTGAATTTCAATTAATAAATGCAGATGGAATGATGGAAATAGAAAACACCATTAGGCAAAGGCTAGTATTAATTGTTGCCATCAAGAACCATGGGGACAGCTGGGCACGGTGGCTCACACCTGTAATCCCAGCACTTTGGGAGGCCGAAGTGGGTGGATCATTTGAGGTCAGGAGTTCAAGACCAGCCTGGCCAACATGGTGAAACCCCGTCTCTACTAAAAATACAAAAATCAGCTGGGTGTGGTGGTGTGCATCTATAATCCCAGCTACTCGGGAGGCCGAGGCAGGAGAATCGCTTGAACCTGGGAGGTGGAGGTTGCTGTGAGCTGAGATCGTGCCACTGCACTCCAGCCTGGGCGACAGAGCGAGACTCTGTCACAAACACACACCAAAAAGAGATCCTGACATCTGTGACAATTCAGATGAACTTAGAAGATACATGAATAACCGAATAAACCAGGCACAGAAAGACAGATGCTGCATGATCTCATTTATATGTGGAATTAGAAAAAAAAAATCAAATACATAGAAATAGAGTAAAATGGCAGTTACCAGGAGCAGGGGGAAATGGGAAGATTGTAGGTCAAATGGAACAGAGTTACAGTTACGGAAGGCAAGTATGCTAGAGATCTAATGGACAGCATGAGGACTATAGTTAATAACATTGTATCAATTACTGGTAACCTCACCCTCCCCACCCAGCGCACCCCCCCACACACATGGTAACTATATGGGATGATTTTTATATTAGTTTGTAGTTTGTTTGACTGCAGTAATCACTTCACTATATATGTATATCAAAGTAAATATATCAGAACATCACATTGTCCAACCTGGGCAACATGGAAAAGCCCCATCTCTACAAAAAATACAAAAATTAGCCAGGTGTGGTGGCATGTACCTGTAGTCCCAGCTACTCAGGAGGCTGAGGCAGGAGGATCATCTGAAACCAAGAAGTTGAGGTTACAGTGAGCTGAGATCGCACCACTGCACTCCAGCCTGGGTGAGAGAGCAAGACTATGTCTCAAAACGAAACAAAACAAAAAAAGCAAAACCCCCCAAAACCACACAACATGTTGTATACGTTAAATATAAACAATTTTAAAATGTTATTTCAAAAAAAATGGACTAGCCTTAAATAAAACAAAACCATGGGCAGATGCTACAATGAGTGGGTGAAAACAGGATGAGAAATAGGGTGTTTGCGTGGCCTCTGAGCATCTCCCCACAGGAAACTTAATAATTTCTCTGGACTGGGTGCAGTGGCTCATGCCTGTAATCCCAGCACTTTGGGATGCCGAGGCAGGTGGATCACCTGAGGTCAGGAGTTCGAGACCAGCCTGGGCAACATGGTGAAACCCTGTCTCTACTAAAAATACAAAAGTTAGCCAGGTATGGTGGTGCTCACCTGTAGTCCTAGCTACTCAGGAGGCTGAGGCAGGAGAAACGCTTGAACCTGGGAGGCAGAGGTTGCAGTGATCATGCCACTGCACTCCAGCCTGTGTGACAGAGCGAGACTCTCTCTCATAAAGTGCTAAAACAAAGAAAGCCTGGAGAAAACCAGCAGCTTCTGGGGCATGCCAAGTCCAGGAAACACACGTTGGGTGTCTGTGGCTATAGAAGGACTGGCCGGGTGATCTGACTCCTCTTGGTCCAGGTCCTCCACGGCACATGGTCCCAAGGCGTACTGTGGAGGGTGACTCTAAGCCAGCGTGGCTACACCCAGGGGCTCAGTGTTGAGGGGCAGGGAAGGGCGCTGGCAGCCCTGGTTTTCAGGGAACCCATTGCCCTTCTCAGCAGAGTGCACCCTGACCCTGGCTGGCCCCCTCCCCTCCCCTCTCCCCTCCTCTCCTCTTGCCTCCTCTCCTCTCTCCCCTCTCCCCTCCCCTCAGGGTGTCTGGGGCCATGCTCAGGCAAAGGCCTTCCTTCCTCCAGGGCCTGTTTCTGCCTCTGCATGTGGGGGTGAGAATGGGGTGAAGACACAGGCACCCATACAACACAATAGTGGCTATTGGCCGGGTGTGGTGGCTCACACCTGTAATCCTAACACTTTGGGAGGCCAAGGCCGGCCTCACCTGAAGTTCAAGACCAGCCTGAGCAAAATGGCGAAAGCCCATTTCTACTAAAAATACAAAAATTAGCTGGGCATGTGGTGAGCACCTGTAATCCCAGCTACTCGGGAGGCTGAGGCAGGAGAAGAGCTTGAACCTCGGAAGCAGAGGTTGCAGTGGGCTGAGATCGCGGCACTGCACTCCAGCGTGGGTGACAGAACGAGACTCCTTCTCCAAAAAAAAAAAAAAGAAAAAATGTGGCTATTGTTCAGAGATCCCTTTGCCCCTGTGCTCTGGAATCCTCCCAGCCTTAACTGAGGAGTCTCAGTTCAGCTTCACAGCTGGGGAAGCTGAGGCAGTCTGAGTGCTTGCCTGAGGCCACAGCCACTGGCTGGTGGGGCCTAGCTGGGCTGAAGACAATGGTGACAATCACTGCCGCTAATGACTGGGGGCACCGTAGTTCCTCTTTACCCCTCATGGTGAGGTGCTGTTTCCCTACTCTGCAGATGAAACTCAGGGAAGTTTGGCCAAGTCCAAGGACAGAGGGAACTCAGGCCCCAGTGCAGGATCCGAAAGCCACAACCGGGTCCTTCTCCATGGAGCCTGGCCCCTAGGCAGCCCACAGCCACTGAGGTGAGTCTCAACATCATTTCATCAAGCACTCTAGAGGACCATGTACCCCCACCTTTTTTTTTTTTTTTTTGAGATGGGGTCTCGCTATGTTGCCCAGGCTGATCTGGAACTCCTGGGCTCAAGTGATCCTCCTGCCTTACCTCACCTCCCCAGTAGCTGGGATTATGGGTGTGAACCACCTTGCCCTGCCCATGTGCCCTTACTCAAGACTTTGCTTAACCTAAAGGAACAGCCAGTTCCAGGGGCATAGGAGGGCAACTTCCCCCAGGTGACCTGCACCTGGACCTCTTGGGTAAGGTGGGTTCAGCCAGGGGCCTCTGTCAAGTGGGTATTCCCCATTCCCTACTCTACTCTTTGGAAGCAGCCCAGTCTGATGGGATGGGGATGGGTTAAGCTCCACCTCCCGGAAAGGGGAGCATCGATGGATAGGACTTGGAATTATTCCACAGGGACGGCTGTCTCTCCTCCCCCATTTATTTTTTCAGTCATTGATTCCTATCTGTGTGGCCTTGTGGATATTCACTTTGCACTGTCCATTAAACCCAAATGCTCCATTACCCTCTGGGGATGTGATGCTATACATCCACCGCCATAGACAAAGAAGCGGGTTTGGGGAGGGAAGGTGGGTGGAGATTTCACTACGATGAAGAGGTTGCCCCAAAGACTCAGGTGGCTGGAGAAGCTGAACTGGATATACCTATGTCAGAGCATCTGTGGGCCCCAAACCTGACTATGCAGATGTAGAGGGGAGGTGGGGCCTGTGGTGGACGCTGGGTGGGAGATGGTGTGTGCAACACCCCAAAGGTGCCTGCCGGGGCACACTGTGGTGGTGGGATGCAGGCAGGTATGTACAGGGTCCAGGCATGTTGCGGTGGTGGGGTATGGGCAGGTGTGTGCAGGGCCCTGGAGGTGCCTGCAGGGGCACACTGGGGTGGTGGGGTGCAGTCAGGTGTGTGCAGGGCCCTGGAGGTGCCTGCAGGGGCATGCTGGGGTGGTGGGGTGTGGGCAGGTGTGTGCAGCGCCCTGAAGGTGCCTGCAGGGGCACGCTGGGGTGGTGGGGTGCGGGCAGGTGTGTGCAGGGCCCAGGAGGTGCCTGCAGGGGCATGCTGGGGTGGTGGGGTGTGGGCAGGTGTGTGCAGGGCCCTGGAGATGCATTTAGAGGCAGTTGGGTGTCAGATGGTGTGTGCAGGGGCCAGGAGGTGCATGCTGGGGCAGTGGGGTATGCAGGAGTGAGGTACCCTTTCACTTTTTCTGGGGCTCTCTGCCCCTTGCCCAGGCTGTACCTCTGCTCTGCATCCTCACTGCTCCTGTGACTTCCCTCCACGACACTCGTTCACTGTGCTGGCCTGGCCTGGTGCCTGTGCAGTGAGTGCTGAGGGTTTGCCAATTCAGGCCTTCGCCCTTGAGGTAAGAGGAGCCCCAGAAGAGGCTGAATGACGCTGCTGGGCAGGGCAGGGGCAGGAGGCCAGAGAGCCGAGGCTGGAGATCCTGAAACCCTCTTGTCCTGACATTTGGGGTGACTTCCCTGGAAAGGGGAACCTTAAGGACCACCATAATGGGCTGCGTTAGACTCAATAATGGCACTCAAAGATGTCTGCATCCTAAACCCTAGACACCATGAATATGTGATCTTACATGACAAAAGGGAATTTTTAGATGTGATGAAGTTAAGGGTCTTGAGATGGGGGAGACTGTCCTGGATTATCTGGATGGCCCCAATGTAATCACCAGGGTCCCGATGTGGGGATGCAGGAGAGGCCAGGTGCAGTGGCTCACGCCTTGTAATCTCAGCACTTTGGGAGGTGGGAAGATCACTTGAGGGCCAGGTGAGAGCAGCCTGGGTAACATAGTGAAATCTCATTTTGTACAAAAATTTTAAAAATTAGCTGGGTGGCTCACACCTGTAATACCAGCACTTTGGGAGGCTGAGGCAGGTGGATCACCTGAGGTCAAGAGTTCATGACCATCCTGGCCAACATGGTGAAACCTCACCTCTCCTAAAAATACAAAAAAAATTAGCTGGGTGTGGTGGCACGCACCTGTAGTCCCAGCTACTCAGGGAGGCTGAGGCAGGAGAATCACTTGAACCCAGGAGGCAGAGGTTGCAGTGAGCTGAGATCGCCCCACTACACTCTAGCCTGGGTGACAGAGGGAGACTCCATCTCAACAACAACAACAAAAAAAAAATTAGTTGGGCTTGGTGGCACATACCTGTAGGAGGCCAAGATGGGAGGATGGCTTGAGCCCAGGAGTTGGAGGCTGCAACGAGGTGTGATCACACCACTGAACCCCAGCCTGGGTGACACAGCAAGACCTTGTCTCAAAAACAAAAAAAAAAGGCCAAGATCAGTGGCTCATGCTTGTAATTCCAGCCCTTTGGGAGGCCAAGGCAGGTGGATCAATTGAGGTCAGGCATCGAGACCAGCCTGGTCGACATGGCAAAACCCTGTCTCTTTCAAAAAATACAAAAATTAGTCGGGTGTGGTGGCACATTCCTGTAGCCCCAGCTACTTGGGTGGCTGAGGCACAAGAATTGCCTGAACCCAGGAGGTGGAGGTTGTGCCACTGCACTCCAGCCTGGGTGATGGAGCAAGACTCTGTCAGGAAAGGAAAGGAAAAGGAAAAGGACCAGAACGAACAAAGATAGACGCAGGAGAACTGGAGATGTGAGTGCCCTCCGCTGCTGGCTTTAGAGGTGGAGGGAGAGGCCCTGGGGGATAGAAGCTGGGAAAGGCAAAGACACAGATTCTCTTCCTGAGCCTCCAGAAGAAACCCAGCCCTGCACTCCCATTTTAGACTCCTGATGACCAGAACCTAAAGATGACAAATGTGTTGCTTTACGCCTCCACATTTGTGGTGGTTATGGCGGCAAAAGGAAGTGGACACAGGCTGTCACAAGGGAAGAGGACCAACTGGGCCAGTGGCCAGGGGAGTGACGGGAGGTGGACGTCAGGCTGACGTCAAATAACCAGACACTAGAGCTGCCAGCCCTAGTGGGAGTGGTCCCAGGAGGCCAATCACTCCCATGACAACGTGTACCCAGACTTGCGACCAGTGACCAGGTGATCAGGTCGGCCTCCCTGAGGGGCAGTGTCCAAGGCATGGCAGAGCCACATTCCAGCCACAAAATGCAAAGCCCATGGGGCTAGTGAGAGAAGGAATGGGTCTCCAGGGACAGAGGTCACTCGGCTAAAGGAGCGAAGAGGACAGTGAGGCAAGGAAGCCAGAGGACACCACGGGACCACTCGGGTGACAGCGTAGGGCCTGGACGGTAGGCTGCAGTGGAGGGAGGTGGCGGGCGCCTCAGGAGCCTGTCCAGGTTCTGCCTGAGACCTGGAGGTGGTGAGGTCGTTTCCTGGGACAGGGAGGCTTGGATGGGTTCGGGGAGGAAGCCCCAGTTCCCATGACCCCCACCCTCAGTGGCATTCTCCTCTTTGTCACTATAAGGGACAGGTAGTCTACCTACGCCCATCAGCCCCCACCTCGGCTTCCCAAGCGAGAAGAGGTTGTCAGAACTAGTGGTACCACCTGAGTGTCCCATGACACTGCCAGGGACGCTATGAGGACAAAACATGAAACATGCTTCTGTTTATTTAAAAACAGACGGGCCAACTGGCACTGGAAACACTTCTTTCCAGGTTCTGTTGTTGGGGTGTCACTTCCTCTCATCATCACCCCCTGCCAGGCTGGTCATAGTGGTGGTCCCTGTGGTTCCTTATGGGTCCAGTGCTGGAAAGTCACCCTGGGGCCACTTGGGACATCCTGCAGAAATGTGCCCCAATGACAAGTCTGTGGGGAGGGTATTTCTCCTTCTTCCCTTCCTCTCTTTCCCTCCCTTCCTCCCTCCTTTCTTTTCTTTATTCTTTCTTTCTTCTTTTTTTTATTTTTTCAGGGTCTCACTCTGTCACCCAGGTAGGAGTGTAGTGGCACAATCAGCTCATTGTAACTTCAAACTCCTGGGCTCAAGGGATTCCCCAAACTCCTGCCTCAGTTTCCTGAATAGCTGGGACTATACATGTGTACCACCATGCCTGGTTAATTTCCCTCTCTCCCTCCCTCTTTTTTTTTTTTTTTTTTAAATTTTATAGGGTCTCTCTCTGTTGCCCAGGCTGGAGTGCAGTAGCGCAATCTCAGGTCACTGCAGCTTTGATCTCCTGGGCTCAAGAGACCCTCCTGCCTTAGCTTCCCAAGTAGCTGGGACCACAGATAGGTACCACCAAGCCCAGCTAATTTTTGTGTTTTTCGTAGAGACGGGGTTTCACCATGTTGCCCAGGCTGGTCTCAAACTAAGCTCATGCAATCTGCCCACCTTGGCCTCCCAAAGTGCTGGGATTACAGGCATGCACCACCACCATGCCCAGCCTTAATTTCTTAATTTTTTTGTAGAGATGAGGTCTTGCTATGTTGCCCAGGCTAGTCTCGAACTCCTGGCCTCAAGTGATCCTCCCACCTGAACCTCCCAAAGTGTTGGGATTACAGGTGTGAGCCACTGTGCCTGGCTTGGGAGGGACCTATTTCATCAGCAGAACCCTGAGCCCTGAGCCTGGTCCAAATGAAGGAAGAGGACGCTGTACTTCTGGGTGAGAGCCCCTCCCCTTGCCTCCTTCCTTTTCTGTCTCCTTACTCATGGATCCAATGGGTAGGGGGTGGGGCTGTCCTTATCCCTAAAATGTCACTGCTGGGGCACAAGCAGTGACCCTTCACCCTCAGTCACCTGCTGAGGAAGCATTTCCCATTGTGAACTTGAAGGCAGGGTCACAGATTCAAGCCCACTCTGCTCTTCACCAGATGAGCACCCTCAGGCAAGTGTACCAGCTCCCAGGACCTCGGCCTCCTCATCTGAGAGTTGGTCTCACCATCCCACCCCAGTGCTGGCTGACAAGCCTACACATGCGGAACACCCGTTCTCCTCCTGACTCCCACCCATCCTGCCAAGCATCTGACTAAAACCTGCCAGGCGAGCAAGTGGAGAAACTGGTGTCCTTGTATGCTGGGAATGTTAGATGGGGCAGCCATTGTGGAAATCAGCCTGGAGGTTCCTTCACAAGTTACACAGGGAGATACTATTGTGGCCCAGCAATTCCACTTCCAGGCACAGAACCAAAGGGTCCACACAAAACTTGTGCATGGGGTTGGTCATGGTGGCTCACACCCATAATCCCAGCACTTTGGGAGGCTAAAGCAGGAGGATGCTTGAGGCTAGGAGTTCAAGACCAGCCTGGGCAACATAGTGAGACCCCAACACAATAGAAACAATAGCAACAACAATGAAACTTGTACATGAATGCTCCTAGCAGTAAGATTCACAACAGCCAAAAAGTGGAAGTAACCCAACTGCTCATCAACAGATGAATGGATATACAAAATGTTCGCATGACAGACTACTACTCAGCCATGAAAAGGAATGAAGCACTGATCCATGCTACAACATAGATGAACCTCAAAAACACGATACTGAGTAGAGAAGCCAGACACAAAAGGCCACATAGTGTGAGGTTCCATTGATATGAAATGCCCAGAACAGGTAAATCCATAGAGACAGGAACCAGATTGGTGGTTGCTAGGGGCTGGGGGCTGTGGAATGGGGAGTGACTGCTCATGGGGATGGGATTTCCTTTTGGGGGTGATGAAAATGTTCTGAAATTGGCCAGGTGTGGTGGCTCACACCTATAATTCCAGCACTTCAGGAGGCTGAGTCAGTCAGATAACTTGAAGTCATGAGTTCAAGACCACCCTGGCCAACATGGTGAGACCCTGTCTCTACTAAAAATACAAAAATTAGCTGGATATGATGGCATGCACCTGTAATCCCAGCTACTCAGGAGGTTGAGGCAGGAGAATCGCTTGAACCAGGGAGGTGGAGGTTGCAGTGAGCCGAGATTGCGCCATTGCACTCCAGCCTGGGTGACACAGCAAGATAAAAAATAAAAATTAAAAATAAAAAAATAAAAAATTGTCTAAAAAATAAAAATAAATAAAAAAATAAAAGTTCTGAAATCAGATGAAGGCAGTGGTTGCACAACACTGTGACTGTACTATATACCACTGAATTGTTCACTTTAAAACGCTCACAATGAGCCAAGAGCGCGCCACTGCACTCCAGCCTGGGGGACAAGAGCAAGACTACATCTCAAAAAAAAAAAGCTCACAATGGTAACTTTCAAGTTATGTGCATTTTGACACACATACAAAAACCTGCCCAGGTTCCCACCAGCCCTGGGAGGCCCTTCTCTGCTCTGGCAGGATAACAGGGTGGTGGGAGCCTGGGTACACCCTGGGCTGACTCAGGCAGTGTTCATGACCTTGGGTCTCCCTTTTCTTACGGATCCTTCCCTCCCTACTAGGTTACTTGGAATTAGATTAGCTGCTGGACATTCGTATGTCACTCCCTCTGTGTGCTTGCTGCATGCTTGCTGCGTACATGCTCGCTGCGTACATGCTCTGCGGAGGCACACCTTCACGGGCTCTATCGGTACTGCAAATGACCCACACAAGGATGACCATATGCACAGAGTCTATGTGGGAGGAGGGACATGGGGTGGGGGAAAGGGGTCTGTCCTGGGATCTGGAAGGGAAGGAGTACACCAGGGAGGGAGAACAGCAAGAAGGAAGAACCCAAGGCTGGAGTGAGCTCAGGCTGACCAGGGAAACAAACAGGCTGAGGCTGTGTCAGGCATACGCACCTTCATGCTGAATGCAAGTGGGCCATTGCAGGCTGTGCTTGTAGGGAGACACAAAGTACCCCCACCGCCCAATGCCGGCTGGGTCTCCCACCTCCAGACCTCTGCTTCTGCCCAGTGCAGCCAAGATTCCTACAAGCCACACCTGCCATAGAGGCCTCTCCCTCCAGCCTCCCCATATACAGCCCTGGGAGCTTTGAAGACCTGCCCAGCAGCATATCATGGCAATGATGAGCACACTCTATGGACACAACCCCAAAGACCACCCATAGGAGAATGGGAACACGTGTGTGGTATGTCCCACGATGGGACACTATGTAACACACCAAACTGCTGCTACACGCGACAACAACACGGATGGATCTCACAGACACACCAGTGAAGAGGCAGAAGCCAGGCACAAAAGGTTGCATACTGAACGATTCTTTTTTTTTGAGTTGGAGTCTCACTCTGTCGCCCAGGCTGGAGTGCAATGGCACGATCTCAGCTCACTGCAACTTCCACCTCCCGGATTCAAGTGATTCTTGTGCCTCAGCCTCCCGAGTAGCTGGGATTACAGGTGTGCACCACCACACCCAGCTAATTTTTTGTATTTAGGAAAGATGGGGTTTCGCCATGTTGGCCAGGCTGGTTTCGAACTCCTGGCCTCAGGTGATCTGCCCATCTTGGCCTCCCAAAGCGCTGGGATTACACGTGTGAGCCACTGTGCCCAGCTGCATACTGAATGATTCTGTCTGCATAACAGTCAAGCTCAGTAAACAAAATGTTTTATACACATCCAAATGTCGATAACTGCTGCCACACGGATGGACCCTGGGGATGTCATGCTGAGTGAAATGAGCCAGTCACAAAAGGACAAATACCATACGAATCCACTTATATGAGGTCCCTAGAGTCATCACATTCATAGAGACAGAAAGTAGAATGGCAGGTGCCAGGGGCTGGGAGCAGGGGAACAGAGAATTACTGTTTAGTGGGAACAGTTTCAGTTTTGCAAGACGGAAGAGTTGTGGAGACGGATGGTGGTGATGGTTGCACAACAGTGTGAATGTACTTAATGCCACTGAACTGAACACTTAAAAATGGCACTTTTAAGTACTGTGTATTTTACCACACTTTTTATTTATTTATTTTTGACACAGGGTCTCTCGCTCTGCCACCCAGGCTGCAGTGCAGTGGCACTATGATGGCTCACTGCGGCCTCCGACTCCCCGGCTCAAATGATCCTCCTACCTCAGCCTCCTGAGTAGCTGGGGCTACAGGTGTGGGCCACCATGCGCAGCTAAATTTTAAATTTTTTGTAGAGATGGGGTCTTACTATGTTGCCCAGGCTGGTCTTGAACTCCTGGGCTCAAGCTGTCCTCCAGCCTCTGCCTCCCAAAGTGCTGGAATTACAAACATGAGCCATTGCACACAGCCCACCACAATTTTTAAGAAACGTAAGTACAAAACACATTTATGGTGATAAAGATTAGAATACTGGTTACCTCTAGGGGGTATATCAGGGAGGGGGCAGGAAGGAGCCAGCTGGGGGCTTGAAAACTGTCTTGATCTGGTTCCAAGGATGCATATATACATAAAAATTCACTGAGCTATATATACACTTAGGATTTATGTGCTTTATTCTATGTAAGCTATATCTCAATTTAAAATGTTTAAACAGTGCAAACAAAACACCTCTGCCACACCCCCTCCCAGGCCAATGGATGCCAAACCTGGGAGTGGGGCAGGCAAGCCATTTGTAATTCCCAGGGGACTTGAATGGATGGCCTTTGGGAGTGGACGTGTTCAGCTTGCTCTTTCCCACTTTCCTCCAACCTGTGGAGAACACCTGTTTTGTTTTGTTTTTTTAAGATGGAGTCTCACTGTGCTGCCCAGGCTGGAGTGCAGTGGCATGATCTCGGCTCACTGCAACCTCCACCTCCCAGGTTCAAGTGATTCTTGTGCCTCAGCCTCCCCAGTAGCTGGGATTACAGACACACACCACCAGGTCTGGCCAATTTTTGTATTTTTTTTTTTTAGTAGAGATAGGGTTTCACCATGTTGGGCAGGCTGGTCTCAAACTCCTGACCTCAAGGTATCCACCCGCCTCAGCCTCCCAAAATGCTGGGATTACAGGCATGAGCCACTACACCTGGCCGAGAATACCTGTTGATGATCTTAGCAGTGATGAAAGCCTGGAGGAGGCACTGAAGCTCTACAGTTGGTCCACACGCACAGTGGCCATCCCTTCTGAGGACAGCATTCTGGGAAACCACTCGCTCTGCTCCCTGTCACTGTGGAGAAGAAAGTGGGGCTGATCCTCCCCTTGACTCCAGGGTGACCCAGGTGGCCATGGTCAGGTAATGAGACTTCACACTCCCCTAGGTTCAGGGTGCTGCCCCCAAAGACCAAGATCTGGGACTTTTGAGGGAACCATCGGGCCGGAGAAGTCCTCTTTCTTCAGGGGAGGGGAAGCCAGTAGGGTGTGAGACTGCAGGGCAGAGTTGACACAGAGTTAGAGGGCAGAGCAAGGCCAGGAGGTGAAGGAGGATACCTGCAGGCTAGGGGGATCTGGCAGCCAGTGGTGCCAAAAGCACACGGACTTTGCTGTCATGGAGCCCAGGAAGCACCCTTTCCAGTTCAGTCAGCATAGGATGGGTTTCTGTCACTTGCACCTGCCAGAGTCCTGACTCGTATGCTGTGCTGGGGTAGGTACCTCGTACTCCCCCAGCCCCACATAGTATTTACAACCACAGATGACAGTGTCCTGTGGCTCCGAGGCCCAGCCTTGCCACGTTCACTCTAGGTACCTTTCGCGAGTACCTAGGATGCCAGTGCTTTCTGAACTGGGATTCAGGTGTCCCCACAAGGGTGACTACCAGCGGCCAGGCAGAGGGGGGCCAGCCCCAAATAACATACGTGTATCTTTTCCCATGCTGCTTCTGTTCATGCAGTCTTTCCATTCATCAAACAAAAAACAAAGCTCGGCGGGGTATGGGAGGATGACATAGGAAATGACTTACTAAGCAGCATTATTCAGGAAACGTGAACCTGGAGCATGGGATCTTCGATAACTCATGATCACACCAGCCTCAGCATAGAACCTCCAGAGCAATGGGAACACTGGTTCCAAGCAAGTTGACAGTTGCTTGGGAGAGGGCAGGACAAGCTACTTCTTTTTTTTTTGAGACAGGGTCTCACTCTGTCACCCAGGCTGGAATGCAGTGGTAAAATCATAGCTCACTGCAGCCTCCATCTTTTGGGCTCAGGTGATCTTTCCACCTTAGCCTCTGAGTAGCTAGGACTATGGGTGTACACTATCATGCCCAGCTAATTTTAAAATTATTTTTAGTAGAGACGGGGTCTTGCTACGCTGCCCAGGCTGGTCTCAAACTCCTGGCCTCAAGCAGTCGACCTGCCTCTGCCTCCCAAAGTGTTGGGATTACAGGTGTGAACCACTGCGCCCAGCCACAAGGCTGCTTCTTGTTCTGAATCAGGCAATTTCAAACCCAAGCATCCTATAAGCCCCATGTACACAGGCTATCCTAATACATACACACTCACACATACACACACACTCACACTCGCTCACACATACACTCACACACACACACATACACGCACGCACACACACACTCTCTCACACACACTGTCACACACACACAGACTCATATGCACATGTGCCTGATTCCCTTGAGCCTGTCTCATAGCTTCCCGACCAGACATAAGACAGGCCCACCGTTTATGCTGTTACCTTGTGGGGACCACCATACAACTGCCAGCTCCACCCCTTGGGACTCAGGAAATGTTTGTACAAATGTTGGGTGGGGGTGGGGACAGTTTCTCTGTGGATGGAGTTTATTATAAGCAGCCGTGAAATGGATCCTGTAATCTCTCAGTAAACGGAAGCCAATTAACATCCTATCTGCCAGCCGATAAAGGCTGTTTTCTTTTCTAGTTAATAAGCATTAACTCTGCCTAAGGGATCCGGGCACATCTTACATAATGGCTGCTGCCCGTTAACCCCAACCCCGCAGGCTGCCTCACAAATGGGGAGTTTCTTCCTGCTGCATTTGCTCCTGTGTGC
The DNA here is from genome assembly GCF_000001405.40 of Homo sapiens. Classification (NCBI taxonomy): domain Eukaryota; kingdom Metazoa; phylum Chordata; class Mammalia; order Primates; family Hominidae; genus Homo; species Homo sapiens. The sequence continues at coordinate 19,074,251 of NC_000019.10, read as the reverse complement.
CTTTCAGACAATCTTTGGTTAAGGCAACCCTTGTTGCGGTCTCTATGGGTTAAACACCCTGAAAGATCCAGGAAATTCTATGATCAATTGCTGTCCTCTGTCCTTGCAGACAGTGCTGCCCACACCTGTCACCAAAGGCCGTTAGATGTTATCTAAAACAATCCAAGGTACTGAATGGTACTCACATTCCTCCACTAAGAGGGTCTACTTCAGTAACTGTCCTCGCCTCAAAAGCCCTATGTTTGGTTGGGCGTGGTGGCTCATGCCTGTAATCCCAGCACTTTGGGAGGCCAAGGTGGGCAGATCACTTGAGGCCACGAGTTCAAGACCAGCCTGGGCAACATGGTAAAACCCTGTCTCTACAAAAATACAAAAATTAGCTGGGCACAGTGGCTCACGCCTTTAATCCCAGCAGTTTGGGAGGCCAAGGCAGATGGATCATTTAAGGTCGGGAGTTCAAGACTATCCTGGCCAACATGGTTAAACCCCGTCTCTACTAAAAATACAAAAATTAGCCAGCATGGTGGTACATACCTGTAATCCCAGCTATTCGGGAGGCTGGGGCAGGAGAATTGCTTGAACCTAGGAGACGGAGGTTGCAGTGAGCCAAGATCATGCCACTGCACTCCAGCCTGGGTGATGGTGAAAGACTTCAACTCAAAAAAAAAAAAAAGCCCCATGTTCTTACCACACGGAACCTGGCACAGCAATCCGCATTTGATTGGCCTTCAACAACTATTTGCTGGACAAGTGAATTAATTCCCTGGACATGCCAAGTTTTGCTTTGGCCGCAGTCTCCGATCCTGGCAAACTTCTCTGCATCCTTCAAAGCTCCTAAATGTCCTGGCCTCACTGCCCCCAAAGTTAACTGCTCTGCCCTGCACTGAGCAGTCTGTGGTTCTCTGCTGCACTTGAGGGGCCACTCTCCACTTGCTTCCCTGCAACCAGGCTGGGGGTCCCTGGAAGGCAGGGGTCCCTGGAAGGCAAGGGTCCATGTCACACTCAGTGTCCATGCCCAGCAAGGAAGCAGAAACATAACAGCTGCAGACAGGTGCTTTTGCCTGTTGCTGTCCTGTCCTCCTGCTCTTCAGCCATCCCTCCCACAGCAGCAAGAATGCACCACTTCAATCATTCTCTTCCTCATAGCCACACAGCAGCATGCACAGGCTCCCTGCCACCACACACTGTGTTGTGGGATGATGGGGTCTAGCATGTGACACCTTGGATGTGTCACTAAACCTCCACATAGGCCACATACAGTGGGTCACACCTGTAATCCCAGCACTTTGGGAGGCCGAGGCAGGAGGATCACTTGAGGCCAGGAGTTCAAGGCTTCAGTGAGCTATGATCCCACCACTGCACTCCAGCCTGGGTGACAGAGTGAGGCCCTGTCTCTACAAAATAAATTAGCCAGGTATGGTGGCGCACACTTATAGTCTCAGCTACTCAGGAGGTTGAGGTGGGAAGATCACTTGAACCCAGGAGGTCGAGGCTGCATGTGCTGTGATTACACCACTGCACTCTAGCCTGGGCAACAGAACAAGACCCTGTCTCTAAAAAAAATTTTTTGGCTGAGTGAGGTGGCTCATGCCTGTAATCCCAGCATTTTGGGAGGCCGAGGCGGGCAGATCACTTGAGGTCAGGAGTTTGAGACCAGCCTGGCCAACATGGCGAAACCCTGTCTCCACGCCTGGCTAAATACAAAAATTAGCCAGGCGTGGTGGCAGGCGCCTGTAATCCTAGCTACTCAGGAGGCTGAGGCATGAGAATCACTTGAGCCCAGGAGGCAGAGACTGCAGTGAGCCAAGATCAGGCCACTGCACTCCAGCCTGGGTAACACAGTGAGACTCTGAAAAAACAAACAAAAAATTTAAAGTAAAAAATAAACCTCCCCATTCCTTGATTTCCTCATCTGTCACCATCTTCACAGGATAGTGCCACTCGAGTGGGTGACAAGTATTGGTAAGTATCGTTCTCCCTAATAAGGAATCAGACAGGGCTGGGGCAAATCCCATTTAACACGGCCCCGGCCTATTGAGTATGCTTTTGAGACACTGACACATGGCTTCCCCATGATCCATGATTGAAATGTACACATTCGCCAGGCACAGTGGCTCACGCCTGTAATTCCAATACTTTGGGAGGCTGGGGTGGGAGGACAGCTCGAGCCCAGGAATTGGAGATCAGCCTGGGCAACACAGCAAGATCCCACTTGCCTAATCTCACCACCTGAAGACCCTCATTCATCCTGGGTCGCCCCATGCCAGTCTGAGCATCCCCCCACAGGTTAATCTCCCTACAATGTGAAACAAAACTTAGATGATTTGTCCCGCTGCTCATCAAAGAACATCCCTTTATTTTTATTTTTTTAGTTGTTTTTTTTTTTGAGACGGATTCTCGCTTTGTTGCCTAGGCTGGAGTGCAGTGGTGCAATCTTGGCTCAGTGCAACCTCTGCCTCCCAGGTTCAAGTGATTCTCCTGCTTCAGTCTCCTGAGTAGCTGAGATTACAGGTGCCTGCCACCATGGCTGGCTAATTTTTATATTTTTAGCAGAGATAGGTTTCACCATGTTGGCCAGGCTGGTCTCAAACTCCTGACCTCAGGTGCTCCGCCCACCTCGGCCTCCCAAAGTGCTGGGATTACAGGTGTGAGCCACCGCACCAGCCCTAATTTTGCTTTCTGCTAGCCCTTGGCTCTGCCATGTAGTTAATTCCTCATTAGCTTCAGATCTCCCAGAGTTTCCTGAAAATCTCCCTGGCCCCCTGAAGATCAGACCGTAGCACCCCAGCTTCTCCTCAAGACTGACCAATATGGAACTCCAATCACTTGGTGGTGGTCTGATGTGTGTCCATGCTCCCCATCCTTCTGAGACCAGGTATCAACAGGAGATAATCACAGGACCAAGCTCACAGCCCAGAAAGCAAAATTAAGATGTACACACTTGGAGCTGGGCGTGGCGGCTTACACCTCTAATTCCAGCACTTTGGGAGGATGAGGCGGGAGGATGGCTTGAACCCAGGGGTTTGAGACCAGTCTGGGAAGGATGGAGAAACCCTGTCTCTACAAAAAATTTAAAAGTTAGCCGGGCTTGGTGGTGCATGCCTATAGTCCCAGCTACTTGGGAGGCTGAGGCAGGAGGATCACTTGAGCCCAGGAATTCGAGGTGGCAGTGAGCTGTGATCTTGCCACCACACTCCCACTCCAGCCTCAGCAACAAAGTGAGAAAGTGAGACCCTGTATTAAAAAAAAAAAAAAAAAAAGACGGTATGCATTCACTAGTCAGGTCCTTGGTGGCTTAGAGCATCTGGATGCCTCCACCTTCCGAGGGAGACAGGTGAGTAAGCAAAGCTGCCAACATGAGCCATCTGGAGGGGCTGAGGAATGTGTCCGACCCCATTGGCCTATTCTTCCTGAAGTAACAGAGGTACCTGAACAAGCATTTCCCTTAATAATGTCCTGTTGGAAATAACTAGCTCAGCAAGTATAAGGGTTGAATGACATCCCCCAAATTCATGTCCACCTGGAACCTCAGAACATGGCCTTCTTTGGAAATAGGGTCTTTGCAGATGCAATCAGTTAAGGATCTTAAGATGAGTTCACCTTGAGATTTAGGGTGAGCCCTAAACCCAAGGACTAGTGTCCTTATAAGAAGAGGGGATCGGCCGGGAGTGGTTCACATCTGTAATCCCAGCACTTTGGGAGGCCGAGTTGGGCAGATCACTTGAGGTCAGTTCAAGACCAGCCTGGCCAACGTGGCAAAACCGTGTCTCTACTGAAAATACAAAAATTAGCTGGATGCGGTGGTGCGCACCTGTAATCCTAGCTACTTGGGAGGCTGAGGCAGGAGAATGGCTTGAACCTGGGAGGTGGAGGTTGCGGTGAGCCGAGATCACACCATTGTACTCCAGCCTGGGCAACAAGGGCAAAACTCTGTCTAAAAAAAAAAAAAAAAAAAATGGCCAGGCAGGGTGGCTCACACCTGTAATCCCAGCACTTTGGGAGGCCGAGGCAGGCGGATCACAAGGTCAGGAGATCGAGACCATCCTGGCTAACACAGTGAAACCCTGTCTCTACTAAAAAAATACAGAAAATTAGCCGGGCGTGGTGGCGGGCACCTGTAGTCCCAGCTACTCTGGAAGCTGAGGCAGGAGAATGGTGTGAACCTGGGAGGTGGAGCTTGCAGTGAGCCGAGATCATGCCACTGCACTCCAGCCTGGGCGATAGAGCAAGACTCTGTCTCAAAAAAATAAAAAATAAAATTAGCTGGATGTGGTGGTGCATGCCTATAATCCCAACTACTCGGGAGGCTGAGGCAGGAGAATCGCTTGAACCTGGGAGGCAGAGGTTGCAGTGAGCGAAGATCGCACCACTGCAGTCCAGCCTGGGCAACAGAGCAAGAGCTTGTCTCAAAAAAAAAAAAAAAGAAGAGGAGATCCAGGAGTGGTGGCCTGCGCCTATAGTCCCAGCTACTCAGCAGGCTGAAGCGGGAGAATCACTTAAGCCAAAGAGTTAGAGGTTGCAGTGAACTATGATCATATCACTGCACTCCAGCGTGAACAACATAGTGAGACCCCATCTCTAAAAAGAAAGAAAAAATAGAGGACACAAAGACACACACAACAGGGAGAAAGCCACATTAATACAAAGGCAGAGACTGGAGTGATGTAGCCACGAGCCAAGAACTTCAAAGTTTGCCCGGAGAAAGGCCTGGGAAGGACTCCCTCAGAGCCTCCAGAAGGAACCAGTCCTGTTGACACCTTCATTTTGGACTTTAGGCCTCCACAACTACGACAGGATACATTTCTGTTGTCTGAAGCCCCCCAGTTTGTGGTAATTTATTATGGCAGCCACGGGAAACGAATATGCAGGGATCTGAGGCCAAGCCTCCAAGTGTTGGCCTGCCCCTCAGCTGGTGGCTTGTCCTCAGCCATTTGCCTGCCAGAACCTCACAGGCTGCTGGGCTGGCAGAGAGCTCAGCAGAAAATCTGGCCAGCAGAGAACTTTGTTGAGCCCCTGGAATCCAAGCATTCTGCCCAAGATGGTAGTAGCAAAAGGTGCTCAGTGAAGAAAACAAATGTTGACAAGCATATTTTAAAAATAGCTCTGTGAACAGGGTGGGGCCTCCAGGGGACATCGTTCTACTTCCTGAGTTGGGTGCTAATTTTATTATTGGTTAAATCTTCTTTCTTTTCACATACATGTTATATACTTTTTTTTTTTTTTTAAAGAGACAGAACCTCACTGTCACCCAGGCTGGAGTGCAGTGGCACAAACCATGGCTCACTGCAGCCTCAACCCCCTGAGCTCAAGTGATCCTCCCACCTCAGCCTCCTGAGTAGCTAGGACTATGGGTACATGCCAACAAGGCCAGCTAATTTATTTATTTATTTATTTATTTATTTATTTATTTATTTGAGACTGAGTGTCGCTCTGTCACCCAGGCTGGAGTGCAGTGGTGCCATCTCAGCTCACTGCAACCTCCGCCTCCAGGGTTCAAACGATTCTCCTGCCTCAGTCTCCCGAGTAGCTGGGACTATGGGCATGCACCACCACACCCGGCTATTTTTGTTTTTATTTTTTTCTTGAGACAGAGTCTTGCCCTGTTGCCCAGGCTGGAGTGCAGTGGCACGATCTTGGCTCGCTGCAACCTCCGCCTCCCGGGTTTAAGCAATTCTCCCTGCCTCAGCCTCCAGAGTAGCTGGGAATACAGGCGCCCACCAACATGCCCGGCTAATTTTTGTATTTTTAGTAGAGACGGGGTTTCACCATGTTGGCTAGGCTGGTCTTGAACTCCTGACATCAAGTGATCCACCTGCCTCGGCCTCCCAAAGTGCTAGGATGAAAGGCGTGAGCCACCATGCCTGGCCCGACATGATATACTTTTTTTTTTTTTTTTTGAGACAGAGTCTCGCTCTGTCGCCCAGGCTGGAGTGCGATGGTGTGATCTCAGCTCACTGCAACCTCCAACTCCCGGGTTCAAGCAATTCTCCTGCCTCAGCTTCCTGAGTAGCTAGGATTACAGGCGCATGCCACTACGCCTGGCTAATTTTTGTATTCTTTGGTAGAGACAGGGTTTCACCATGTTGGTCATGCTGGTCTTGAACTCCTGACCTCATGATCTGCCCGCCTCGGCCTCCCAAAGTGCTGGGATTACAGGTGTGAGCCACTGTGCCCGGCCAATATACTTTTTATGAAGAAGTATTTCATGTTTAAAATAAAAAATGCAAATGCACTTTTAAAAGCTCTGTCTTGCAAAACCCAAACGAGCGAATGATTCTGATTATCTCAATAATCCCCTCTTAATGTCTAACTGCCAAAATAGAAGAGACAGACAAAAAAAACTGTATGACACGTGGGCAGAGGCCTGACTTCAGTATGACGACACCCTCCATCTGGCACCAGTGGTGAGAAATTGGACAATTGGAGAGAGTCTCGAAACAGCTTCCCAGACAGATTTAACATCTGACTCGTCTCAATCTCTCATGATGCCCTCATCTTTCTTTTCCTAGACCCAAGTGAAAAAAAAAAAAATCAGCAACAGCTAAATGGTTCTTCTAGCAACTGTTCTTGTTGAGGTACCTTGAGCCAAAATCTCAGCACCACCACTGCTCCCTGCTATAGGGACAAGCTTCACAGAGCAGGAACTCAAAAAAAATTTTTTTTAACAGAAAAACAGGGTCTTGCTCTGTTGCCCAGGCTGGAGTGCAATGGTGCAATCATAGCTCACTGCAGCATTGAACTCCTGGGCTCAAGCAGTTCTCCACCTTAGCCTCCCAACTAGCTGAGACTATTTACGCACGCCACCACGCCCGGCTAATTTTAAAATTTTTTTTATAGAGATAGGGTTTCACCATGTTGCCCGAGCTGGTCTGAAACTCCTGGGCTCAAGCAATACACCTGCCTCATCCACCCAAAGTGTTGGGTGGTGTGAACCACTGCATCCAGCCCCAAATATTTCTTGAACTTTAGTCTGACTGGCAGAGAAACAAGTCTAATGTTTAATCCCTACCCCACAAGCCAGAACACCTAAGACAGGGGTAGGAAGCATGGAAGTGATGTTCAAAAGGATCTCTTGTGCTGTTTTTTACCTATCAGATGGGACAGACCACAAAACTTGATAGTAAGATAACTGAGCTGGCCACAGGAGAGGAATCAGGCTTTCCAACTTCACAGTTGAGAGGAGGAGGAGGAATATGCCCTTTTACTTGGCCCTTTTTTTTTTTTTTTTTTGAGACAGGGTCTAGCTCTGTCGTCCAGGCTGGAGAGGAGTGCAGTGGCATGATTATAGCTCACTGCAGCCTTGAACTCCTTGGTTCAAGCAATCCTCCCACCTCAGCCTCCTGAGTAACTGTGGACTACAGGCATGGCCAGCAAGACAGGGGGGTCTGAAGTGTCTGAGCACGGCTGGAGCCCAAATACGTTCAATGTGTATTTAGTACATGCTGATGCATGCATCTATCCATTGCAGCTCTGTTTGTAAAAGCTAAATATGGGCTGCAGTGGCTGGGCGCAGTGGCTCACGCCTGTAATCCCAGCACTTTGGGAGACCGAGGCAGGCTGATCACAAGGTCAGGAGATCGAGACCATCCTGGCTAACACAGTGAAACCCCGTCTCTACTAAAAAAATATGAAAAAATTAGCCGGGTGTAGTGGTGGGTGCCTGTAGTCCCAGCTACTCAGGAGGCTGAGGCAGGAGAATGGCTTGAACTTGGGAGGCGGAGCTTGCAGTGAGCCGAGATCGCGCCACTGCACTCCAGCCTGGGCGACAGAGCAAGAATCCAACTCAAAAAAAAAAAAAGAAAGAAAAAAAAAATATGGGCTGCAGCTTAAACAGCCATCAGTAAGGGACTGGCCTTAGAATGCATATGTCTGCTCAATGCAAATTTACCAGTGGTTTAAAAGGGGTGGGGGATATATACCTCCCCCGACCCCTTTCTGCCACCCCAGTCATAGACTACCTCTGGAAGAAAACATAAGAAATTATCAACAGCAGGTGCATCTGAGGAGGAACGGGGTACAGGCTGGGGAAGACCTGACTGATTTCTACTATGTGACCTTTTGTACTGTTTGATTTTTTCTTTTTAACTATATAATAGGCCGGGTGTGGTGGCTCACGCCTGTAATCCCAGCATCTTGGGAGGCTGAGGCGAGCAGATCACTTGGGGTCAGGAGTGCGAGACCAGCCTAGCCAACATGGTGAAACCCCGTTTCTATTAAAAATACAAAAATTAGCTGGGTGTGGTGGCACATGCCTGTAATCCCAGCTACTCAGGAGGCTGAGGTAGGAGAACTGCATGAACCCAGGAGGCAGAGGTTGCCGTGAGCCGAGATCACACCACTGCACTCCAGCCTGGGCAACAGAGCAAGACTCCGTCTCAAAAAAAACCCAAAAACTATATACTCAATGATCTTGCCAAAGTTTATACACATGTACATATATAACACACACGAAATATGTATATATAAAATATGTATATAAACATATGAATATTATAGGTACATGTACATATGTGTACAACACACACACATATACATACATATATACATACATGCCCATATATGTTTTAAATGACTCCTATTGAAGTTGGACAGAAAACCCAAATGGCTTCAGTTTCCACAGGAGAAGCTGAAGGTGACATGACCCTCTGAAACATTCTGGTACCGTCTTTGCAGGGAGCGGTGGGAGGGGGTAAGAAACGCTCCAGGAGCCTTACAGGAAATGGCACGTTATTGCTTTTCAACAACAAAGCCACTGTCCTCCTTCTATGCTGCATGCTTGCAAATCAGACTCAAGGGAACTAAAAAATTCCAGAAGAATCATTCCTAGCACCACCCAGGCTCGTTTTGCAGGTTAGCTTTAAACAGCTGAAACATTAGTTTGCCTCACTCTAAAGAGTGTTTCCTTACTCTTTATCGGCTTCAAGGGCCCAGGGAGTGTCGGAGAGGGGTCCCGGGTCTGCAAGAGCTGGGAGCCCCGGCCCCGGCAACCCCCTCTCCGGCATCCTGCAGGAGGCACCCAAGATGATGAGCCCCCCTCCTCCGGCAGCGTCTCCACCGCCAGCCTGCCCCAGGACTCCGAGACACACGCTTGGCAGAGGGGCCGTCCCTTCCAGCTAAGCCTTTCCGGACCCAGTCAAAGTCACGACTCCTGCCAATCCCTCTGAGATAAACATAACAGATGGGCCCAAACGCGGTGGGTCCACAGCAGAGGGTCAGCGATGCCCAGGGTAGAATAGGCTCTGCCTCTAGCATTCAAGTGGTTTAGGTCTGTGGCTGGTAAAATGGAGATGATTCCGGTTTGGTCTGACAGATGGGATTATTCTAAGGTCCGGAAATCACTTTATAGACTGTCAAGCACTGTTAGAAATGAACACTGGGGTAAGCTTTTGTTTGGGGAGGGGAGGGTGCAGCGATCCTGAGATACCAAGGCTTGGGGGACTATTGGAGGACCTGGGGGATTCGGGGGGATTATTACAGAGGGTGTGCGAACACAGGTGCACGTGGAAGAAAGCCCAAGGTGGGAGAGAGAAAAGGGGGAGACAGAGGTGTGGGGCTGCCAGGGCAGAGGGCAGGTGCCAGGGGGAAGGTCCCTGAGAAGAGAGACACAGGTTGCTGGGGGAGTGGGCACGAGAGTAGCGAGCAGATACCTGGATATGAGGAAAGGCAGTGGGGGACGGGACTAGGTCCAGGTGTGAGTTGCGAGGCCATGAGTTAGGAGTCACAGGCTCAGGTGTGGGTGTGGGGGTGTCATCGACAAGGACAGACTCAGGTGATGTGGGGGGTGTTCGTGAGTGGGGGCGGGTGTTCGTGAGTGGGGGCGCGGTGTCAGGTGTGTGAGGGGGATGTCAGACCCAGCTGTGCGGGGCGCCGGGGACAAGGCCCCAGGGGTGTGGGAGATGTCAGCAAGGACAGTCTAAAGTGTATGGGGGATGTCAACGAAAAGGGACGTGGTGTCAGGCGTGCGTGGACTGCGGGTGACGGGCTCAAACCTGGATGCAGTAGCCCCCAGGGGGCAGTAGACGTGGAGTGTGGGGTTGGGGGGGGTCTTTAACCTCTTCCTGCCCTCGCGACGCTACTGTCATGCCCCGCCTCATCCGCCCCTCGCCCCGGGATCCATGACAGGACCCGTGCCTCACCTCAGTTCAGCCCGACAGGCGCGGGCCGCTGACGCTTGGGCCCCCCCGGCGCCCCCCGCGCCCCCTCACCGGCCCGGACGCGTCGCCGCCGCCGCTACCTCCAGCCGCCACGGCCCCGCCTCGCGCACCCCCAGAGCGCGCCACGGGAGGGGTCCACGCCACGCCCCGATTGGCTGCTCCCTGGCCAGTCAGCGCTGGAAGCGACAGTGATTGGCGAGTATGAAGCAGATGGGCAGCCCCTAAAGCCAATCGCTGATTGGCAGAGGTGGGGCTATTGGGAGAGGCCTGGGGTGCCTGAGTGGTCCCTCAGGGTGCTAGGCGCTGGGAGGCGAGGGCCTGGAGGCAGGCGAGGATTGGAATCTTGGCAGAAAACAGGCAGAACTGTCGGCCAATCGCTGGGGGCCAGGGGCGGGGCTACGAAGAAACTGGCGCTACCGGTGGGGCAGAGGCGAGAGGAACGGAGGGCGTAGCTTGGGGGGAGACCGGGATTGGCCGCAAAGCCGAAGACTGGCAGGCCCCGCGGCCAGTCGCAGCGGCCGTGGGCGGTACGCCCCCAGGGGAGGGCTGGAGCGTTCAAGGTGCAGTCCGACCCGGAGCGCGGCAACCCGACGTGGCCTCGGACGCCTGGCGCAGGGTCCCCTGAGGCTCTCGTGTAGAGCCCGCCCTCTGGCCACCTAGCACAGAAGCGGATGTGAACTTGGACCATCAAGGCTGAAGGACTCCTGGATAATTCTCTATCCCCTTACTCCCCACTAATCCCCTGCAGACGACACGGAGAGGGCAGATTCGCTGGAGGTCACTCTGAACTGCCCTCTCCATCTCGAGGTGGTGTGAAGACATGGAAATAAGGGGCGGAATCCTACTGAAACGCGCTGCGTGGTTTTCTGAGTGTCTGACCTCTCTGCGTCCCAGCTTTCCCCGCCACGGTATCCAGTGACATCCCTGTTGGGCCTTCTCCCTGCCAAGTCTTTTTTTGAATTAACTGAATCTTAACCACAATCCCATGAGGTCAGAGAGACCACTGGCTCCTTTTACAGAAACCAGAGCACAGAGAGGTCAAGCTCCTTGCCCAAGGTTACACAGCATTCTCTGGTTGCTAAACCAGAGAATGAATCTAGAGCAGCCTGCTTTTTGGAAAGAGTGTGTCAGAGAAGAGCCACTGGGGGCCTCAGAGACCTGGGTTTGAATCCTTGTCCAATCACTGGCCCACCACACAACCTTGGGCAAAAGCCCTTGTGAGCCTCAGCTGTTTCATTTGGAAAAGAGGGGGGAAAATGATTCCTATGCCTTGATCTTTCCTCTCTGGGGTTGCTTCCCTGGGAAAATTTACAACTCAGCTCTCATTTTAATTATCTGGTGAAAGCATTTGACCCTGAGCAGGTCATGTGCGGCCTGTGAGCCTCAGCTCCTCTGTGAAGTGCAGAAAAATGCCGGCAGTTTAGGGAGACACCTGCCATCCCAGGCATGGCTGTGTCATCGGCACCTCCCCCGAAGCCACTCTGTTCTATGACTCACCCTTCATCTTCAGGATGGAGAGGGCTACAAATGTTTCCAGATACCAGCTCTTATTTCCTCTAGGTGCTGGCCAGGGTTGGTGGAGATCAAGTTCAGAACCAGGGAATCCTGGGAGGGAGCAAGGCTGAAACCAACCTTAGAAAGGGCTCACATTTCAGGGCTGCACAAGCCCCTGCTAAGTGTGTGATCCACAAGTTTCAAATGGGGAGGATGTGACGGGAAATCACTAGCCCAAGGCCATCATCAAACTCCTGATATTCTCACGATATGCCTACCTGGACCTCCTCTCCCATACCTCCCACCTGTGGTTTGCTTCCTGGCAACTTCCAGGATCTGGCCTCCATTCTGCCCTCCAGAGAAGAGGGGGAAGCTGAGGTCAGTTGAACATCAATTGGGTGCCAGGTCCCCACTGGGCTTTCTCCAATACCATCTCCCCACCTCACTTCCAGGTGGACGTGACAGTGCCCACTTAGCAGATAAGAAAACTGAGCCTATGGTGGAGAATATTCCTTGGTGGAAGGACCCAGGGCTGAGTTTGAATCCCTGCTCTTTTTAACGTAAGTAATGGCCAGTAACAGCCACAGGACCTTCAGCAAATAACACAAGCTCCCCACTTCAGTTTCCCGGCTGTCTCCTAGGGCTGATGTGAGCATTGATGAAATGGAAGCAAAACACTTACAATGGCTTCGTCCACAGTAAGCACTCATGGAAGGCTGGTGATGATATATTGTTCTTCTCTGGGCCTGTTTCCCTCTCTGTAAATAGCGCTTCATGGACACAGACCAACTATGGGCGTGGCTTGCCACACCAAGAGGGAGATATCTACGCCGAGGAGCGCCCACTCCCAGTGCCCACCTGCCAGGCCCTGGGAGGGGGAGGTAACAAAGCTCCTGGAAGGTCCCACAGTGCCTCCAGGGACAGAGCCAACTAAGGCAAAGGTCAGGCTCTGGCCCAGCCTGGGGCTGCCTCTCTAGCTTCTGCTCGTTCTTTAGCAGGCTGGCGCCAGCCAACCTCCCTACCGCCTTCCAGCAATGGCAGGCAAAGCACCTTGGCAATAGCAATGGACACCCCCACCATGGGCACTCATGTAAGCCCAGCTAGGGTGCCCAGGATCTCGGCTCTTCTGCTTTGGCTGGCCAGCCCTGGACAGGACACTGCCTCTTCGCCCTCCAGTCTCCTCTACCTCTTGGGGATCCCAGGAATCATCTGTGAGCCAGGCCCTGGCACAGCGTCCAGGCCTAATCACCTGAGGCCCAAAGGCCTTTTGCCCAAGGTCAGGTTAACAGCTTTGGAAAAAGATGAGGGGCCTGGAGGCAGGCCAAGCTGTGGTCTCATCCCACCGCAGCCCCTCAAATGCCCATGAGTCTATTTCCTATCTGGAAAATGAGGTTTAGTCCAGCCTCTGGGAGATGTATGTTCACAACAGAAAAAATCTGTGTTCCTTTCCCAGGAGCCCAAGCCCATCCCTGGCTGGAGGGAGACATCCTGAACACAGCAGTGACAACAACCAAGCCTGGCTGGGGTCAGAGTGGCCTCATTCACCTCCCAAGGCTCAGATAAGTCAGGCCACTTCACCAAGAGCCTACAGTAGCAGAGGCGTGGCCTGAACACACTCGCACCATCCTTGCAGCAGGCTCCACCTCAGCCCAGGTCTCGATGTCATCAAGGAGGACAGCAAAAGCTACTTAAGAGAAGGCCAGGGCCGGGTGCGGTGGCTCACGCCTGTAATCCTAGCACTTTGGGAGGCCGAGGCGGGCGGATCACGAGGTCAGGAGATCAAGACCATCCTGGCTAACAAGGTGAAACCCCATCTCTACTAAAAATACAAAAAAATTAGCCGGGGGTGGTGGCAGGCGCCTGTAATCCCAGCTACTCAGGAGGCTGAGGCAGGAGAATGGTGTGAACCTGGGAGGCAGAGCTTGCAGTGAGCCGAGATGGCGCCACTGCACTCCAGCCTGGGTGACAGAAAAGGGAAGGCGACGGGGATGGGGGCTGGGGGGAGTTATGTTCTGGACATCCCCTGAAGCGCGCCTTTCTAGGGGCTGTGGCCCTCCAGTGTGCCAGATCTAGCCTGAGTTCAGATGAGAAGGCCGAGGCTCACAGACGGGAGGTGATATGCCTGAAGTGGCCGAGGGGGGATGGAAAGCCAGGCCATAACCCCAGGGAAATGTGAGATCTTTGGTGAGGGGCCCCCACCCAACCTGAGGCTGTCCAAACATGCTAGCTGCATCTACTGAAGACACCCACTTCCTTGGGCTAAGGTGGGAGGGACAGATAAGGCAGAACCACCCCTTCCTGAAGAAGCCTGCAGCTTGGCCCAGGCCCAGGGGAGGACGCTGGGGCCACCTGGCAGGGACCTCGAGTGCTTGTCAGTTTATTCAGGTGAACACTCAAAAACACTGACGGGAAGCTGAAGGCACAGCAAGTGGGGACAGGGGCCTCCCTGCAGGGAGCCAGCCGATGGTGGGGGCAAGACAAACAGGAGAGTTCACAAATGAGGTGACCTCAGATGGGGCCCAGTGTCAGAGCCAGAGCACATGAGGTGATGAGATGGGGGTCTCTCCTGGAGAAGGCAACGTGAGCTGAAACCTCATGTGCTAGGAGGAGCCGGCCACGGGGAAGGCCAAGGGAAGGGCACTTCTAGGCAGAGGGCATGGCTTGTCACATGGGGGCTTGTGCAAAGGCCCTGGGGTGGGGGAATAGGGAGTGAGTACAGTGGAAAGACTGGGAAATGGGCAAGGCCTGGGCCATACTGGGTCTGCAGGGCATGAAGTGCATTTTTTTGTTTGTTTGTTTGTTTTTGAGACAAGCTCTTGATCCGTCACCCAGGCTGGAGTGCAGTGGTGCCATCCTAACTCACTGCAGCCTTGACTCCTGGGCTCAAGTGATCTTCCCGCCTTAGCCCAAGTTGCTGGGACCACAGACAGGTTTGGTTTTATGTAGAAGGCAAAGGGGAGCCATGGGCAGACTGAGAGCAAGGCTGGAGCAGGAATGACAGGGCCAGCACTGCAGGCCGTCCTCGAAATAGCTCAGGAGCACCTACCCCGCCACATGACAGATGAAGAAATGCTTGAGAACTGCCCAAGGTCACACTGGCCCAGAAGTTAAGTCAGGGCAGTCTGGGGCAGATTCGAGATCTTTCTCCCACATCCTGGGAGTCTCCAGGGAGGAGGGATAGGGCGGGGTGACTGGGTCAGAGGTTTGGGCCAGCCCTGCTGAGCTGAGAGCACCCTTTCCTGCTGGGGGCAGGGGAGACGGGGACACCACGGAGAGGTGCAGCCAGGGTGACGCTCCTCAGCTGTTTGCATCGGCTGGATTCCACGGAAGCTGGGGGCCTGCTGGGAAAGGAGTGTCCCTGAGGTCAAGGACTGAGCCCAGGCCATCCTGGGGCTCGGGGAGGCACATGACAAGCAGGGGCGAGGGTCCAAGAGGGGAGAGGCCTCCAAGGTGTGGGCAGGAAGGCTAGGGCACACACCAGTGGTCATGAGGCTGCCCGGACCCCCGTGAGGCCACAAGAGATGCACAAGCCACCTAGTGACCACGGTGTGACCTCTGAGTGTGACTTCAGAGCAGAAGAGCTGGGGTCTGCAGGGCCACAGCTGTCTGGGCACCCCCAGAATGCTTGGGGTGGGGTGGTCACTGAGGGCAACAACAATGATGTCTTTTTTTTTTTTTTTTGAGACAGAGTCTTGCTCTGTTGCCCAGGCTGGAGTGCAGTGGCGTGATCTCAGCTCCCTGCAACCTCTGCTGCCCGGGTTCAAGCACTTCTCCTGTCTCAGCCTCCCAGGTAACTGGTATTACAGGCATACGTCACCACACTGGGCTGATTTTTGTATTTTTTTAGTAGAGACGGGGTTTCACCATATTGGCAAGGCTGGTCTCGAACTCCTGACCTCAAGTGACCCACCCACCTCAGCCTCCCAAAGTGCTGGGATTACAGGCATGAGCCACCGTGCCCGCCGATGTCTATCTTATAGATGGGGAAATCGAGGCTCAGAGACAAGAGGTTGGGTACCTAGGACACCCAGCCTAAGACAACTGGACACCCTCCATGTGCTCAGCCTGGTCCAACACCTCTCAGAGGGCGATCTATCACTGCCCCACTCCTCACTTTAGGAGGAGCATATTGAGGCTCGGAGAGGTTCTTTCACTTGCTCAAGGCCGCAGAGCTGAGTAGGGGATGAACGTGGAGCCCTCCGGCCCTGCAGGTGGTACACGTCAGAAACAGTGATCCTGACCATGGCCTCAGCGCCTGCCTGTCTGAGGGTGACAGCAGATCCTAGATCCCTGGCTGTTCCCAAAACCCCTTTGCTATCCTCAGTGACTCCATGGCCCCCCCCACCAAAATGTCTGTCTCTCCCCCACACTCTGAGGCCACTGACTGTGGCCCCCCATGCTCAGCCAAGCTATGGAAGAGACCCCTCCGCTGTTCACCCAATGATCTTTTATTATCAGGTATCCTGGCTGGCCCAGGACCCAGAGACAGACAAGCTGGGGCCAAGCAGGGCGGAGCATCTGAGACCCATTTTACAGGTAAGAAAGACAAGGAGCAGAGGCCTGCATGAAACTGCAGTAAGCAGCAGGCGCCAGGGGGCCCAACCCCACTGGAATCGCCTGCCCTGCCCTGAGCCTGGCCCACAGTGGCTGCCACATTTCAGACAGGGCAGTGAGTGATGGGACGTGCCCTTTGCCCCCTCTGGTAGGGCGTGGGGCTGGGGGAAGGAGCAGGACAGTAACATCCGTGCTGCTGGCTGGGACCCAGAAGTGGCTGGGACATGGGGGCTGCTTTCTTCTGTGTAGAGGCCTCCCTACAAGGCTCCCCCCTCCCCCGACCCTTTACCTAGGGCCTGCCAGAAAACACTTCTCATTGTGAAGGGGACAGAACTAATGGGGGACAGTGGAGGACATGGATCTACCCCCATTCCTGAGTCACACGACTCACCCAGAGTCACGGCCCAGACTGGGCCTGGGGTCATGGCGCCAGGTTGCCCCTCTGGCCTGTCCACAGCTCTCGGAGCTCGACATGACAACCCAGGTCCCGCAGGGCGGCCTTGGCCACGTCCTCACAGTCACGGTGGGCAGATCGGGCCTGCATGATGAGTGCCTCAGCCCCCAGGTCCAGGATGGGCTTCGAGAAGGCCTGGCCGTGGGCCACCAGGTTTCGGATCAGCATGCAAGCCTGTTTCTGTAGGAGAGAGCAGCTGTGAGCTGCCAGATGGGGCTTTGGGGTGGGGTCCACTCTGACCTCAGGGTCTTCATCATAACAAGATGGAGGTGATCATAACCACAGCTGACATCCAGCAGCTGCCTATACTGTATCAAGCTAGACCCATCTCTCTACTTTACCCTCTTGGCAGCCCCACAAGGCATGGCTAACTCCCAGGCAAGGAAACAGGCTCAGGGAAGCTCCAGGATCTATCCTATGGCTTTGGAACTCTCAGCCTCAGAGTTGGTGAGCCTGAGGTCCCCCGAGGCTGGCACAGAGCCAAGGAAGGGGCCCTAGGGCAAGGGGGCAGTGAGGCCACGGGAAGACAGTGGTTGTGCACAGGCACCTGTCAATTACATCCCTACCCATTCAGTGGACATTTGTGCCCTGTGCACCTGCTGTGGGTGGGCGCGGGGCACTGCCTGGAAGCTTCCCAGGGTGGCTCCCACCACCAGCAGGACAGCAGGTGGGAAGCGCATGCAGAGTGGGGAACTGCTGGCCAGGGTGGCCAGAAGTGGACAAGGGGTCAGACCAGGTAAGGGTCAGTGTCCCAGAGTAAGAGCCAGCGAGAGCAAAGGCCCCCTGTGGGTCCCAGCCTGGTGTGTCCAAGAATCCTATGCTGGGAGTGAGGAGGCGAGGAGGGCCCCGGGGGCTGCACGGAGGAGTCTGGGTTCAGCCAGGGAGGTGTGGACAGGGTGTCCCACACTCAGAACTCAGACCAGCAGCCCAAGGAGGGGGCAGAAACCTTTCTGAAACCCCAGGCAGATCCCCATCCACGCTTCCCCAACTTCTTTCTCCCCAGATCTCTCTATAGGGACTTTTAAAAAAGGAGATTAAGGGTGCGGTGGCTCACACCTGTAATCCCAGCACTTTGGGAGGTGGAGGTGGGTGGATCACCTGAAGTCAGGAGTTCGAGACCAGCCTGGCTAACATGGCAAAACCTTGTCTCTACTAAAAATACAAAAATTAGCTGGGCGTGGTGGCCCATGCCTGTGATCCCAGCTACTCGGGAGACTGAGACAGGAGAATCGCTTGAACCCAGGAGGCAGAGGTTGCAGTGAGCTGAGATGGCGCCACTGCACTCCAGCCTGGGCGACAGAGTGAGACTGTCTCAAAAAAAAAAAAAAAAAACCCACAGAAGGAGATTACGTGTTATAGCTTTCTTTCCAGGGTTTCACCAGAAAGCCCCTCCAAACTACCCCCTCCCCAAAAAAGGAGAGTAAATGCAGAAAAAACAAAGGCAGAGAAGGAGGCAAATGAAGGCAGAATTCAGCACATTTTGCAAGATGAGAAAGAAGTTGGCCCTATGGGGCTCGGCTGTGGGAGGGACAGGGACAGGGATAGGGATAGGGACTGAGCCTTTGCCCCATCACCCACCCGCACACCGCACCTGCTCCCATGCCCTCTCTGCACCTACCTGCACATCCCACACCAGCCTGCCTGCCCCCATCCCCTGCCCTGCCCACCTGCACGCCGGCCTTCTGCGGGTGTGCCTTCATGGCCTGCAGTGCTGCCACAGCCCCGCCACCCTCCACGATGATGCGGCTGTTGTCGGGCTTACGCAGGGCCAGGAAGCACAGGGCCGCGCAGCTCTGCTCACACACCTGCAGGGGCCAGTCACAGAAAGGCTGAGATGCAGCAGATAGACCCCCCACAACATCCTGCCATGGCCACCAACCCCTGGTGAACACCCTGCGGCCTCCCCTCCGTGGGTCTCTGGCAACTCCTGTGTAATAATGGCAGGGTGACAAAAATATCAGCTCAGCTCTTAGGGGTGACAAGGGCAATAGGCCTGGTCAGATCTTTGCAGGGTGCTGGTGGTAACTCCAGGACACCCAAAGTCATGCATACGCAGGTCAGCATTTGAGAGCCAATGCCCACGACCCTCACCAGCCCTGCCCTGGCCCTGCAGGGGAATAGAGCTTCATGCAGATACAGAAACTGAACTGGGACTCCAGCCACCACCCTGCTACTGTGTGTGCCCCCCGAGGTGGGTACCTGGGGGCTGGTCAGATGCTGGGTCATAGCAGCCACGATGGACTCCGTCCCACCAGCACGGACAATAGCATCTTTCACGTCGTCGTTGCCTGCGATGGCTCGCAGGGTGCTCAGCACTTGCTTCACGAGCTCCTGCACAAGGGAAAGGCCCGCTCACCTCCAGCCAGGCCGCTGGTTGTGGGAGAGGGCTCTGAGGGAGAATGTGGGGCTGTTTTGCTGTTTGACCAACAGGTATGGTGTGACTGCAGGGTGTGACTAACGAGAAGGGGTGGCAGATGCCTGTGGCTCAGGCTGCCTGTGTCCAAACGGTACCATCCAGGTGACTTGATCCCCTACCCCGACAGGGGCAGCGGGGGCATGTGACTCAGGCCGGCCTTCAGAGCACAGGGTCCCCCTGTCCACGGCCACAGACCCAGGGTAGGCGCTAACTGCCCTGCACTGAGGACAGTGGATGAGGTGCTACTGGGACTGCTGATCCCCCGATGGAGAACCTGAGGACCCTGCCCCCAACTGCCCAGGAGTACAGGGCAAAATGTATCCCTTCATTTGCTGAAGTTGGTTCCCATTCAGCTCCTGGCCACTTGCACAGAAAGAGGCTGGCTGACGTCAACAGCTGGGCTTGGGGGCGCAGGACCGTGGCACCCCTGGGGGCTTTCCTGCAGCTGCAGCTGGATAGGGAGGCACCTGTTGATTGGCTCCCTGCTGTGGATGGGCACATGGAGAAGGGCTCAATAATCGGCTGCTAAACGGAGTAATGAGTAGGGACACTGCTCTATTCTGTAGCTAGGGAAACTGAGGCAGAGGTGCGGGAACTAACCCAAGTATCCCAGCCTTGGCCGACACACCCCAACCCTATGCTTCCTACCATCCTTTTCCTGGTGCAAAAGGACAATAAGGGAGAGCAGGTGGGTTTGTTTCCCCCCCGACCTTTGGTTCCTGCCCTTGGGTCCGTGAAAAGAAAAACTGCACTTTGGTTCCGACACTGGCAGGCAGGGCTGGCTTGTTCTGACTATAGCTCGTCCGGTTGACTGGGACCCAGAAGGACAGCACGCAATGGGCCAGGGGGACTTCATACCTGAACGCCGCTCTGGTCCCTCATCTGGTGGTCATTGCAGTCGGCTAGCAGGGACACCAGAATGCTCAGGCCCCCGAGGTCGACGACCTCCTGGCAGAACTCGTTGCGAATGGCCAGGCGGGACAGGGTTCCACAGAGCTCGCTCAGGATGCCAGGGTTATCCAGGAACGCTGCAGGGAGAAAGGGAGACGGTGGTGGGGGCGGGAAGAACCAGCCGCAGGGCCCTCTGTTTTGGTGGAGATCCTGCTCCACTGGAAGAGTCCAGCCCTTCTGCCTATTGGAGTGGCCACGGGCACCAGGAAGGCCCCAGGGAACACCAGGGGCTACCTGGGCCTGCAGTGCCCCCTGCTGGCTGCTGGGAAGACTTAAGAATGTGCCCCCCAACCCGCTTCCTTCCATCATGCCCCAAATAAATTCCATACCAACTCATGGTCTCACCTAAAAAAAGAAAACTATAATAGTGCAAAAAAAAAAAAAGACATCTGAAGACTATTTTTATGATCATGGGGTAGGAATGGCTTCTCTAAGTGCAACAGGAAACTCCAGAACCATAGAGGGACACATACGGACTGGGCTGACGTGGCCAAAACTGAACACAGGAGCCGCAGATGGAGCCCAGAGGCGCTGCACCAGGAAGCAGGTGCCGGCACTCACGCCAAGAGGGCGAAGATCCTGCACCTACACAGGGCTGCGACGGTCAGTTCCTGTGACCACCTGTAGCCCTCTGCAGTTCCACCCAATGCCAATCTAGGTGTTGCCGTGGAGGTATTCTGTCCACATGGTTACCATCCACAATCAGCTATCTATTATTATTATTATTATTATTAATTTTTTTGAGACAGAGTCTCGCTTTGTCACCAAGGCTGGAGTGCAGTGGCGTGATCTTGGCTCACCACAATTTCTCCTTCCTAGGCTCAAGAGATCCTTGTGCCTCAGCCTCTCAAGTAACTGGGATTACAGGTGCCCACCACCACGCCCAGCAATTTTTGTATTTTTAGTAGAAACAGGGTTTCATCATGTTGCCCAGGCTGGTCTTGAACTCCTGGGCCCAAACAATCCTTCTACCTCAGCCTCCCAAAGTGCTGACATTACAGGCATGAGCCACCATGCCCAGCCCAGTTGCCTTTAAGTAGAGGAGATGACCTTGAACAATGTGAATGGGACTCATTCCATCAGCTGAAGTCCTTAGAAGGAAACTGAGGTGTTTCCCCGAAAAGGGGACTGCCTGGGGGTTTCCAGCCTGCCCTATGGAGTACAGACTTGCCATAATTGCATGATCCCATTCCTTACCAAAAAGTCTCTTCATATATACATATCCTGTCTCTGGCAGAAACCTAACTGATTGGAGCTCCTATAAATAAAACAGGAAAGATGTGAGCTACCTCCTGGAAAAGCAGCCTGACTTTGCAGAAGGTCGGGACTCATTTTCAGCCTTGCTGGAGGTGTGGAAGGGAGACTGAGGTGGGCCCATCTCCTCAGCAGACAGAGCCAGAACCCCCACACAGGCCTGGCCACAGAACCAGAGTGACGGGGCAGGCAAGAAAGGGGAACTCATCCTCCTAACACCTTCTGTGTGTCAATCAGGACTTTTCTGGTGGGTTCAGTGGATGGGATGGGGGTAGGGGTTAAGACAGAAGCTTTAGGGTCTGACGGTCAGCACTGTGACCTCCCAGGGCTGGCTCACCATGGTCACCCTGGAGCCAGACACATGAATATGCCTAAGGATTTGTGGCTGAATATGATCAAGCGTGTACACATCCAGCTGAGACTGCCATGGTGCATGCCAGCCAGCCCCCCCGAGTCCTCTTATTTCCCTCTGGGGAGGTCCCCCTTCCCCACTCTCAGCCCCTGGAGTTGGACACAGCAAGCCCCTTCCCCAGACAGCTCCAGAGATGGGATTGTGGCCTGCTCCTGGCCCCTGAGTGCTGGCCTGGAATTCTCCTGGAGCCACTAGAAAACATGGGGAGACTCTTCACGAGGGCTGCCATGCAGGCAGGTCTAAGCCGAGGGGCGAGTGGAGCCTTGAGCCTGCCGTGCCTAAAGCAGTCCTGAGCCCTGACCCTCACTCTGGTCACATCTGACCCGCCCACTTTGTTCGCTGGCTCGTGTCGGCCCCCAGCTCTTACCTTTGGTGGCTTCGATGAGCACCTTCAAGCCTTTGTTCTCCTGCACAATCATCTTGGCATGGTTGTGGGCATGGCCAAAGGGCACACGGATGTCGTCATCGAAGGTCATGACACGCAGGGCCCAGCAGGCTTCCCTGACCACGTCAGTGTGGTGGCCATGATGGGTGATGGCACCAGTCAGCAGAGGCAGCACGCCAGCTTTCACCAGGTCTTGCCGATTCTGTTCATGTTTCAGGCAAGCGTGACGCACACAGCGGATCCCAGAGCAGGTCAGGTCAGCCTCATCAGCATTCTGGGTCAGCGTGGCCACTAGGAGCTGCAGGCCCTGGGCATCCAGGAGGTCTGGCTGTCCATCAGTCAGCACCGACAGGGCATTGAGGGACTGGAGCAGAAGGCCCTGGTCACCTGCAGTGGCCAGCTTCCAGGCAGTGAAGATGATGGGGTAGGCCCCCTTCTGGGCCGCGAGGAAGCGGCAGGCCTTGTCCTGTTTGCACTGGTCGCAGAAGCGGGTGAGGTATGCTGACACCTCCTGGGGGCGAGAGCTGGCCACAGACTCCTGGAGGTCACTGAGCATCTGGGAGACATGGGAGAAACCTCAGCATCAGCTCAGGCAAGAGGAACCCATGGCCACAGCAACAGTGTCTGGACCCCTGCAAGGTTCCCTCCCCTGGGATCTGGGCCTGCAGTGGAAGTGATGTGGGGCAAGTTACAGCTCTGGCAACTTCCAGACCTGTGATTCTAGGAGCTTTGAGCTTCAGAGGCCATAGCGTGGAAGACTGACACACACACACACACACACACACACACACACACACACACAGAGAGAGAGAGAGAGATCCAGACAACTCAGTGTCCCTGCCGAAGGGCTGCACACATAAATGCAGACATATTAAACATTCCAGCCCTACCTGCCATCAAGAGGCCCCAAGCGATACCAGCAGAAGAACCATCCAGTTGAGCCCAACCAGGCAGAATCACAAGAAACAATAAGATGCCTGTTGTTTGGGTTGTTTGTCACACAGCTGTAACAAACTGGCACACCTGTCAATGGTCAGCTCTCCAAGGAAGGAGAAAGCCACATTCACCAGACATACCCATCCTGATGTCTCCTTTCATCTCTCTCATTCACTCCACAAACATTTATTGAGCACCTGCCAAATGTGGTTACACTGTACAGAGAGCAGATTTATCCAAATTCAACTCTAAGCCACTGGGGAGAAAATACTTTAAACAACTCAGATAAGTTTAGCTGCCATTCAACTACATGACCTCGGGACATGTCTTAGCATGAGCCAAAGATGAATCTGTGAGCCTGAAGTGTAGGAGATTATTTGCCCTCAGACTGAATCAGGGTGGTTCTACAGAAACCACCAGCCCAAAGGGCTTTGATTTGGCATTGACTGACACGAAAAACAAAGAAGCCTATGGGATAATCCTCACTGAGCTCAGATTTGTGGACCTAAGTATATGTTACAATGCAACAGGATATTTAAAAAGGTAAGTTTTTGCTAAAATGAGATTAGAACTGAAAAACAAAAAACAACAAAAATTAAGTTAACACCAGTGTGCATGACTAGAATAGACATTACTACAAAGAATACATACAAATGGCCACTAATACATGAAAAGATGCTCAATGTCACTAATCATTAGGAAAAATGCAATTCAAACCTACAGAGAAGCCAGGCGTGGTGGCTCATGCCTGTAATCCCAGCATTTTGGGAGGCCAAGGCAGGAGGATCACTTGATCCCAGGAGTTCAAGACTCGCCTGGGCAACATACGGAGCATTCATCTCAAAAAAGAAAATCAAACAGAATTACTGTGTGACCCATCAGTTCCACTTCTGGGGATACACTCAAGAGAACTGAAAGCACAGTCTCAAAGAGATACCTGTACACCCATGTTCATAGCAGCATGATTCATCAGAGCCAAGAGGTTGGAGGTTGCAGGGAGCTGAGCTCGTGCCATTGCACTCCAGCCTGGGCGACAGAGAGAGACTCTGTCTCCAAAAAGAAAAACAAACAAACAAAAAAACACTACAATGACAACAAAGAAATTCAGGCACATAGTATGCTATGGATATACCTTGAGGACATTACGCTAAGTGAAATAAGACAGTCACCAAAAGACAAATACTGTGATTCCATTTATTTAAAAAAAATTTTTTTTTTTAGATGGAGTCTTCCTCTGTCACCCAGGCTGGAGTGGAGTGGTACCATCTCAGCTCACTGCAACCTCCACCTCCTGGGTTCAAACAATCCTCCCGCTTCAGCCTCCTGAGCAGCTGGGACTACAGGCATGTGCCACCACGCCCGGATAATTTTTGTATTTTTAGTGGAGACAGGGTTTCACCATGTTGGCCAGGCTGGTCTCTAACTCCTGACCTCAAAGTGATCTGCCCACCTCAGCCTCCCAAAATGCTGGGATTACAGGCATAAGCCAGGGTGGCCAGCCTGTGATTCCATTTATATGAGGTCCTGGAGTAGTCAAATTTGCAGCAACAGAAGGTAGAATGATGGTTGCTAGAGGCTGAGGGGAAGAGGAACATGGAGTTTGTTTCAGTATCGCAAGTCATGGATAGTCATGATGGTTGCACAACATTATGAATGTACTTAATGACACTGAACTCTACATTTAAAAATGGTTACAATGGTAAATGTTTTTATGCACATTTTACATAACAAACAGCGGTGTAGCACTTCAGCAGAAACCCTGTAAGAAACTTGAAAAGCTCCTGACAGAAATGCCTTTGAGGATGCACAGTATTGGAGTTAGAACTACCAAGATTTCACAAGGAATTACTAAGTTAGCAAGGATGTGTAAACTAAAAATAAAATTCTTGGCCGGGCATGGTGGCTCATGCCTGTAATCTCTTCACTTTGGGAGGCCAAGGCAGGTGTATCGCTTTGAGCTCAGGAGTTCAAGACCAGCCTGGGCAACGTGGTAAAACCCTGTCTCTAAAAAAAATACAAAAATTAGCCAGATGTTGGTGGCTCACACCATGTAGTCAGCTACATGGGAGGCTGAGGCTGAAGAATTGCTTGAGCCCGGGAAGCAGAGGTTTCAGTGAGCTAAGATCACACCACTGCACTCTAGCTGGGGAGACCCTGTCTCAAAAAAAAAAAAAAAAAAAAATCTAAGTCCTCATCCATACTAAGGACCCCTCCTCTTGGCCAAAGGTATTCCAAAGGTAACCTGAAAAACTACTTCAGGTCATGATGGGAAGTGGCGGTCAAATATGTCTCATTTTATCTTCCTGCCTTTGGAAGTCAGACATAACTGATCATCGTAAGACTTTTTTGTAGCAATAAGACACCAAGTTCCAGCCTAACTAATACAGTATGGAAAGAAATCAAAGTATTTTACCCTAAAATATATTTCTCTGACATATTTTGAAATGGCCCTGCAAAGCTATCTCTTGTGGGGAAAAGCTACATTCTACAGAGATTCCCTTTCCAGGTCTTTTCCCTGATTCAGGAGAGAATTAACTAAGAGTCTGGCACCTTTTTAAGTCTGATAAGAAATATTTACAATCTATTTTCTCTGAAGCCTGCTACCTGGAGGCTTCCTTGATAAACCCTTGATCTCCACAACCCGTCTTAAGCAAAATATTCCTTTCTATTGATTCTAGGTCTTTAGATAACTCTTTCAATCAGAAAATCTTTTTTTTTTTTTTCTGAGTCTCATTCTGTTGCCCAGGCTGGAGTACAGTGGCATGATCTCGGCTTACTGCAACCTCCGCCTCCTGGATTCAAGTGATTCTCCCGCCTTAGCCTCCCAAGTAGCTGGGATTATAAGCACCCACTACCATGCCCAGCTAATTTTTGTTTTTTGTTTTTTGTTTTTTTGAGATGCAATTTCGCTCTTGTTACCAAGGCTGGAGTGCAATGGTGCAATCTTGGCTCACTGCAACCTCTGCCTCCCGGGTTCAAGCAATTCTCCTACCTCAGCCTCCTGAGTAGCTGGAGTTACAGGCACCTGCCACCATGCCCGGTTAATTTTTGTATTTTTAGTAGAGACGGGGTTTCATCATGTTGGCCAGGCTGGTCTCGAACACCTGACCTCAGGTGATCCACCTGCCTGGGCTCCCAAAGTGCTGGGATTACAGGTGTGAGCCACCACACGTGGCCTAATTTTTGTATTTTTTGTAGAGATGGGTTTTGCCATGTTGGCCAGGCTGGTCCCAAACTCCTCAGCTCGATGCAATCCGACCACCTCAGCCTCCCAAAATGCTGAAATTACAGACGTGAGCCACAGCACCTGGCCAGAAAAATCTTTAAATGTGTCTATGACCTGGAAGCCCCGGCTTTCAGCTGCCCTACTTTTCCAGACCACACCAATGTACGTCTCACATGTATTGATTGATATCTCATGTCTCCCTAAAACGTATAAAACCAAGCTGTAGCCCGACCACCTTGGACACATGTTCTCAGGAGCTCCCGAGGCTGTGTCATGGGCCTTTGGTCACTCATATTTGGTTCCGAATAAATCTCTTGAAATATTTTATAGAGTATTTTCATTGACAGATGGTTGCTAAAATGCAGGTGGCAGAGCCAGCTGTGTTCTACCTATGACAATTTTCTGTGGCGCTCACCACCTTGCTCATGGAGGGGGGCTTTACCCATTGACTCCTGGAGTCATTCAGTCTCTGTGACTAATGCCTTTCATTCTACAACTTCCCACATATAAATGTGGCCTGGCTGGCTCAGTTTTTCCCTGGACAGTCTCCAGACATTATTTTCCTTCTGTTTCTACAAGCCTGTTTGCAACAAATCTTATGACACAAACAGATTAATTTCAACGACCATCACAATGTTGAATTTTTTTCTCCCTCAACAGATAAGCATTTTTTACACATCTAAGCCAAGATGCACAAAGGTCAATTATGCTGCAGGGCATTTGAGAAGGGGGTTGGTTCAGTTGCGAACTGACCGCTGAGATGCAAACCCCAGTGTCTGGTGGGAGGGACAAGGCAGGGACTTTCAGATTTTACTATAAATGCTTGAGTATTGCTTGAATCCTTTATGCTAAGAATGTATTTCCACTCTTCCTTAATGAAAAATAAAATTTAAAATTAGCCAGGCATGGTGGCAGGTACCTGTAATCCCAGCTACTCAGGAGGCTGAGACAGGAGCATCACTTGAACCTGGGAGGTGGAGGTTGCAATGAGCCGAGATCCTGCCATTGCACTCTAGCATGGGTGACAGAGTGAGAGTTTGTGTCAAAAAAAAAAAAAAAAGAAATAGAAAAAGAAAAAAAAAAAAAAACAGGTGAGCATGTTGGCTCACACCTGTAATCCTGGCATGTTGGCAGGGCAAAGTGGGAGGGTCACTTGAGGGCAGGTGTTCAAGATCATCCTGGGCAATATAGCAAGATCCCATCTCTACAAAACAAAAAATAGGCTGGGCATAGTGGCTCATGCCTATAACCCCAACACTTTGGGAGGCCGAGGCAGGCAGATCACTTGAGGTCAGGAGTTCAAGACCAGCCTGTCCAATGTGGTGAAATCCCATCTCTACTAAAAATACAAAAATCCGCTGGGCGTGGTGGTGCACGCCTGTAATCCCAGCTACTCGGGAGGCTGAGGCAGGAAAATTGCATGAACCTGGGAGAAGGAAGCTGCAGTGAGCTGAGGAAGGGCCACTACACTCCAGCCTGGCCAACAGAGTGAGACTCCATCTCAAAAAATAAATAAATAGGCTGGGCGTGGTGGCTCACACCTGTAATCCCAGCACTTTGGGAGGCCGAGGCAGGCGGATCACAAGGTCAGGAGATCGAGATCATCCTGGCTAACACAGTGAAACCCCATCTCTACTAAAAAATACAAAAAATTAGCCGGGCGTCATGGCAGGCGCCTGTAGTCTCAGCTACTCCAGAGGCTGAGGCAGGAGAATGGCATGAACCTGGGAGGTGGAGCTTGCAGTGAGCCAAGATCACGCCACTGCACTCCAGCCTGGGCGACAGAGCGAGACTCTGTCTCAATAAATAAATGAATAAATAAAAGAACAGTTAAGAAAAAAAAAGGAGCGAATGTTATAAACAAACACGGAGTTTCCTGTACTGCTGGTAGAACGGCCTTTCAGTGCTTTGCTTCCTGGATCCGGGTACCAGCTCTGCCTCTCACCAGCTGACCTTTCGGGGTGCAGGGGCGTGGTCACTGATCCTTGGGAAGCCTCAGATACCTCACCAGCAAGATGGGCTGAGCACAGATTAAGAGAACATATTTTAAGAATTTAGCATAATAGGCCGGGCATAGTGGCTCACGCCTGTAATCCCAGCACTTTGAGAGTCCGAGGCAGACGGATCACGAGGTCAGGAGATGGAGACCATCCTGGCTAACATGGTGAAACCTCGTCTCTACTAAAAATACAAAAAATTAGCCAGGCATGGTGGCGGGCGCCTGTAGTCCCAGCTACTCGGGAGGCTGAGGCAGGAGAATGGCGTGAGCCCAGGAGGCAGAGCTTGCAGTGAGCCAAGATCACGCCACTGCACTCCAGCCTGGGTGACAGAGCGAGACTCTGTCTCAAAAAAAAAAAAAAATTAGCTGGGCATGGTGGTGTGCACCTGTAATCCCAGCTACTTGTGAGGCTGAGGCAGGAGAATTGCTTGAACCCAAGAGGCAGAGGTTGCAGTGAGCCAAGACTGCGCCAGTGTACTCCAGCCTGGGCAACAGAGTGAGACTCTTGTCTCAAAAAAAAAAAGAATTTAGCATAATGCTGAGCACTTAAGAAGTACTTAAGCAGTAACTGCTAGACAATATAGACGATATTGTTATTGAGATCCTTCCTATATAAACTTCATCTACAAATCAGTAGGAAAAAGATGAATCACCCAATGCAAAGATAGCCAGAAGACAAACTCATTTTAAAATAAATTCATCCAGGCTGGGCACTGTGGCCCATGCCTGTAATCCCGGCACTTTGGGAGGCCAACGCGGGCAGATAACCTGAGGTCAGGAGTTCGAGACCAGCCTGGCCAACATAGTGAAACTTCGTCTCTACTACAAACACAAAAAAATTAGTCAGGTGTGGTGGCGTGTGTCTGTAATCCCAGTTACTCGGGAGGCTGAGGCAGGAGAATCACTTGAATCTGGGAGGTGGAAGTTGCAGTGAGCTGAGATCACGCCAGTGCACACCAGCCTGGGCAACAGAGTGAGACTCTGTCTCAATAGATAAATAAATATATATATAATAAAATAAATTCATCCTTATTAGGCAAGAAAGGCAAAAAGCAAACTAACAACAACGAGGCAATTTTCACAAGACCTCCTCAAGGCAGGAGAGGGCAGGACCCCGAGGTAGGGAGAAGTAAGTGTCATGCCTTAGGCAAGCCGGGTTTACACCCAGAGCCGTCTCTTCCAACTTCCTCTCCTATCACTGCACCTCCTGCTCCCATGTCAATGACTTCTCTTCTCTTTGGATCTCAATGTCCCCATCTCTACAATGGGGAAATCCCAGCCTTGCAGGTGTTGTTTGGACAGTGACCAAGAAGACAGGAAAAAAGTACCTGCACAGAACCAGGCCCACAGTCGGTTCTCAAACACCGGAGCCTTCTGCTGTATTACAAAGTTTGATGGGCGACCTTACGGAAAGCATTGAAGTTCTTTTACCTTCCTTCTTTCGGTCTCTGGAGAGGTTAAGTGCCAGCTCCTGGCCTGTTTCCCCATCACTAAGACAGGAATGACACCACCTACTTCACTGGTGAGCTTCAGTGCTAACGGACTGGCTGGAAAGTGCTGGTAAACAGTCAGTGCTCAGTAAGTGACAGCCTTACTGTGAGCCCACTCTCTCGTCCTATGAGTCCTGACCATCTGTCTCTGGGAAGCCAGAGGGGCACCTCTATGGTGTCCCTGACTCTGGGATCCCAGCAGCAGGGACAACCAAGCCATCTACCTGATTTCAGCATACATGCCACCACAGGAGCCTGGGATCCCCTGCATTGGAAGGCATGCCGCCCTCGGACATGGACTCAGGGAGACCTGGCTGCAAACTCAAGCTTGCCCATGCATGCTGGGGAGGGCATGACCTTCAGAGCCTGTATTCTGCCATCCAGGAAACAGGGAAGAGGTGCCCCCAGACAGAGGTGACGCAGGACCTGCTGTGTGGGATGCCCACTCCTACCTGCAGGATGTCATGTGTGGGCTCCTGGGATCCGTCTGCAGAGACTTTAGGTGCCGTCTTTACAATGTTGCTCAGATCAACCCCTGTTGGGGGTGGGGGAAGCAAGCACACAGGGGTCAGAAAGAAAGTGACAGCTGTCATCCCCGTGGGCCTGCTGGAATCACACCTCAGGACCCTTCTGCTGGGACCACCCCACTCCAGAAGCCTCCCACCTCCCTATTCCCGCCCATGCCACATCATCACGGGGGTGTAGAGGGTATTGGGTGTTTCTGCCACTGGTCCGTGGGCCAAAGGGAGCAGAGTGGTAGTGAGGCCGTTGTCACACAAGGCTGTCATCACAGGCCACGTCTGTGCAGTGAGGTGCCACATGCTGCCTGGTGGGCTTGGTGGGGGAGGGAGGGACCCCACAGCCTTCTCCCTTGGGGCTCCCATCCCTCCTGGCTCTGGCTGCATTCTTGCCCCTGCTGGCACCCCCACAGGGAGCCCCTACAGTGCTGGACGCTTTTGCTTGTCCCACTGGCCCCTGTCTAGTGTTCTATACCCCACTCTGTGCCTAGGAGGCTGACCTCTGACCTCTCAGGCTGTACCCTGGGTTTGTTCAATGGGGAAGTGAACTTGAGATGGGGGCAGGAGGAGGGGAGTGTGGGGTGTTCATTCCCAGCCCCCTGCCTCTGCCCCAGGGCCCAGCACCCATCATGTGGCCCCTGCCCAGGACTCCTGCTCCCTGCAGTCAGGGTCTCTGCCGGAGCTAGTTGTGCTAGGGGTGGTCTCCTAACCCCACCCACACCATTGCAAACAGCCCCTCATAACCACACTCATCTGCACCTGGTCTGAACATGCCACCTGTTTCCACAGGCTGCTTCTGCCTCTGTAAGCTCGAGGTAGGGTAGAGTAGGGCAGGGAGGCAGGGGCCCTGTTTCCCAGGCCAGGGTCAGGGAAAGTCTCTTCAAGGAAGTGATCAAATGAGACTCATGAGAAGGATCCAGCCCACAAATATCTGGGCGAGGTGGAAGCAGGTGAGAGGTGGGAGCAGGATAACCAGCCTGCCTCGGGCAGAAGCTGGAGGGGACAGGGCCCAATGGCACCTGGTTTCTATGCCAGGCATGTGGCACCCCCAGTGGGGCGGGGCAGCAGGGCTCTCCCACTGCTCTTGCATCTAAGAGCCAAGGATGGTAGGTGACAGTCACACCACCCTACCTTGCGATTCAAACTGCTCCACGGCCTCTTTCACTGCCTCCTCTGGCCCCATCGCAAACTCCTCGATGTTCTCGCGCACAGCTGCATCAAAGGTCTCCTGGGCAATGCGCTTGGAGACCATCTTCGCCTGTGTTGATGTTGGCGTGCAGCCGATAGATGCTCCTGAGCTGAGAGGTTAGGGCAAAGAGAGAGCTACCTCAAGGGTGAGCAGGCAATGGCAGGGCCTGGCCACCTTGAAAACGCCACTTAGGAAGCATCTACCAGCGACCAGAGCCCTACAACCACCCTGGAGAAATTCTTCCCACCTGTTATCACAGGAAAGGGTGATATCCCTACTTCCCTAGAACTTCTGCAAATACAGAAGAGGCCGGGTGTGATGGCTTAGCCTGTAATCCCGGCACTCTGAGAGGCCGAGGTGGGAGGATCACTTGAGCCTGGGAGGTCAAGGCTGCAGTGAGCCATGATCACACTACTACACTCCAGCCTGGGCCACAGAGTGAGACCCTGTCTTGGGAAAAAAAAACAAAGTGTAGGAGAGAACACAGAGTTTACTACATTTTATCTAAGAAAGGTGGTTCTTTAATATAATGATACTAGTAATGTTATTCTGAAACTATTACGGATGTAGCAAATAATAATGATTATCTTATTAGGAATCAGAATAAAAGAAAAAAGATTCTGGCTGGGCGCAGTGGGTCAATGCCTATAATCCCAACACTTTGGGAAGCTGAGGCAGGAGGATTGCTTGAGCCCAGGAGTTCAAGACCAGCCTGGACAACATGGCAAAAGTCTGTCTCTACCAAAATAAAAATAAAAATTAGCTGAGTGTGGTGGCACATGCCTGTAGTCCCAACTACTCAGGAGGCTGAGGTAGCAGGATCGCTTGAGCCTGGGAGGCCAAGATTGCGCCACTGCACTCCAACCTGGGCAACAGAGCAAGCCCCTGACTCAAAAAGAAAAAAAAAAGATTCTAACATCGTACTATCAACTAAAAACTCGGAACTCCCTATAATTAACAATATTGTATGGTATACTTGAAATTTGCTAAGAGGGTAGATTCTAAGTGTTCTCACCACAAAAAAGAAAAAGGTAACTGTTGATTGAGGTGAGTATTTCACAATCTGCATGCATATAAAATCGTCAAGTTGTATAATGTAAACATATGCAATATATTTGTATCATTTATGTACCATATATAGTATAAGATATACACTATATTAAATACAATTCGCTGGGTGCAGTGGCGCATGCCTGTAATCCCAACACTTTGGGAGGCCGAGGCAGGTGGATGACCTGAGGTCAGGAGTTTAAGACCAGCCTGGCCAGCATGGTGAAATCCCATCTCTGCTAAAAATACAAAAATTAACCGGGCATGGTGGCGGGCACCTGTGATCCCAGCCACTCGGGAGGCTGAGGCAGGAGAATCATTTGAACCCAGGAGGCAGAGGTTGCAGTGAGCCGAGATTGCACCACTGCACACCAGCCTGGGCAACAGAGCAAGATTCCGTCTCAAAAAAAAGTACATCCTATACCTCGATAAAGTTGAGAAAAAAAATCTCAGAACTCCTATATATGAAATGGGAATATCCATATAAACCCATCATGTGTTTTCTCTTAGGTAAACAAAGATCTAATTTTCTAGTCATAGCAACTAAAAATGCCTAGGAGAAATGACAGCACAGGAGCACTGAATACCTCTAACACCATGTATGGTTTCTACCATTTCCCACGAAAAGGAGCTGGGGCCAGGGCTAGGTGGCTCACTCCTGTAATCCCAGCACTTTGGGAGGCTGAGGCAGGAAGATGGCTTGAGGCCAGGAGTTCAACACTAGCCTGGACAACATGGGGAGGCCCTGTCTCTACATAAAATCTTTAAAAACAAGGAGCCAGGGCTTCTGGAGGAATGGCTGATTCCAAGTCCCAGCAGGTCATGGGGCAGGTAACGCTGGGGTCTTGTGAGACCAGGAAGCAAGGAAGCTTCCAAACCCTAAGGGATGCCTGGTAGCTACAGATGAGACAAGTGAGCATTAAAAAAAAATCCAGTACATATCAAAATCAAAATCTGGGCCAGGTGTGGTGGCTCACGTCTGTAATCCCAGCAATCAGGGAGACCGAGGTAGGAGAACCACTTGAGCACAGAGGCGGAGGTTGCAGTGAGCCGAGATCATGCCATTGCACTCCAGCCTGGCTGACAGTCAGACGATGTTGCAAAAAAAAAAAAAAGTCAAACTCTGTGCTTTCATAATACTAAAACAAATACAGCTCAGGCTTCTGAAAACTGGCCAAGAATCCAGCTCTTGGCAGGGAGTGGTGGCATGCTCTTGTACTCCCAGCTACTACTCAGGAGGCTGAGATGGGAGGATCACTTGAATCCAGGAGTTCAAGACCAGCCTGGCCAACGTAGCGAGACACTGTCTCTACAATAATTAGTAACAATTTTTTTAAAAAAAACCTAGCACTTAACCTGCCTCCCTTGTACAAATGAGTCCCAGGTTATAAAAAGAGGATGAGGAAAAGTTCTGCTTCCGATTCCAGCTGATCAGCTGTGACAGGAGAGAAACAGATAATGATCCCACAGGATCCAAAACCATCAGGTGTAAAACTGATGGGAGCCCAACAAGGGGTAGACAGGAACTCAGTCTACTGCTTGATCTCACATCATCAAGAGAAACCAGCAACACCTACCTCCTGAACAAGAACAAAATGCACCTGTGAAGTCATCGTGCCAAAATCTCAAACCCGAATCTGATCATGCATTCAGGGCACTTCCTGCTATGATGAAACGTTCTCTATCTGCACTGCCTAGTACAGAAGCCATTGGCCTCTGTGGCTATCACACAGCTGAAGTGTGGCAGTGTGGCTGAGGAACTGAGTGTGTAATTTTATTTCATTTTAATTTGTTAATGTAAATAGCCATGTGTGACGAGTGACTATGGTATTGCACAGCACAGCTCTGACACCTTAACCAACACCATGGGGATGTGATCTGCAAAATCCCTACTAGGGAAGAGAATGTCAACTAGAGGACAAACACCCAGAGTTTTCAACAAATAAATCACAAGAACAAAGAAAAGGAGACGGAGTCTACCAACAGATGAATGGATAAAATGGTCTGTGCGCATGGTGGTATATTACTCAGCCAGAGAAAGGAATGAGGTGCTGAAGCATGCTACAATGGAGATAGACCTCAAAAACATGATGTCTCGTCAAAGAAGCCAGACACGAAAAGCCTCATATTGCACGATTCCAATGACATGAAATATCCAGAACAGGCAAATCCACAGACACAAAAAGCAGACTGGGTGTTGCCAGGGACTGGAGGAGAGGGAATGGGGAGTAACTTCTAATGGGTATAGGGTTTCCTTCTGGGTGATGAAAACGTTCTTGAATTATAGTGATGATGGTTGTACAACTCTGTGAAAACGTAAAATCACTACATCAGGCCAGGCATGGTGGCTCACACCTGTGATCCCAGTGCTTTAGGAGGCCAAGGTGGGAGGACTGTTTCAAGTCTGGAGTTTGAGACCAGCAAGGACAACATAGTAAGGCCCCGTCTCTACAAAAAAATTTAAAAATATAGTCAGGTGTGGTGGCATTTGCGTGTGGTTGAAGTTACTCGGGAGGCTGAAGCAGGAGGATCATTTGAGCCCAGGAGTTCAAGGCTGCAGTGAGCTGTGACTGGGCCACTGCACTCCGGTCTGGATGACAGAGGGAGACCATGTCTCCAGAAGAAAAAAAAAAATTACTAAATCAAATGAGTGAATATTATGGTATGTAAATTATAGCTCAATTTCTTAAAGTGCTAATCTGTTTAAAAACAAAAAGAACTGAGCAATGACTTGTGCCTGTAATCTCAGCAACTTGGGAGGCTAAGGCGGGGGGATCACTCAAGCACAGGAGTTTGAGACCAGCCTGCGGCAACACAGTGAGACCATATCTCTTAAAAAAAATGTGTGTGTGTGTGTGTGTGTGTGTGTGTATACACACAAACCCACCTTATAAAATAAAAATAAGCAAGTAAGGCCAGGCATGGTGGCTCATGCCTGTAATACCAGCACTTTGGGAGGCCAAGGCAGGCAGATCACCTGAGGTCAGGAGTTCAAGACCAACATGGCGAAACCCCGTCTCTACTAAATATACAAAAATTAGTGGGGCGCCTGTAATCCCAGCTACTCGGGAGGCTGAGGCAGGAGAATGGCTTGAACCAGGGAGGTGGAGGTTGCAGTGAGACAAGATCACGCCATCGCACTCCAGCCTGGGCAACAAGAGCAAGACTTCGTCTCAAAAAATAAATAAATAAACAAACAAGTAAAACCCAGTATAGGCATACCCTGGAAACCAGGGGTAGGTATCAACACTTAGATGACCCACTAACCTTGGGCAGTACCTTCCACTCTGACAGGTGGGAACAAGACATAGAGTTAAGTAAGATAAAACTCTTGGTAAAAACACCAAATCCCTTTGCAATTCTGTTTCAAACCTGTAGCTCAGCAGTCCCAACCTTTTTAGCCTAAGGGACCAGTTTCGTGGAAGACAATTTTTCCATGGATATGGTGGGGCTAGGGTGGGGATGGTTTCAGGATTGTTCAAGCTCATTACATTTATTGTGCACTTTATTTCTATTATTGTTACATTGTAATATAATAATTATACTATTCACTGTAATGTAGGATCAGTGGGAGCCCTGAGCTTGTTGTCTGGCAACTAGACAGTCCCATCTGGGGGTGATGGGAGATAGTGACAGATCATCAGGCATTAGATTTTCATAAGGAGTGCCCAACCTAAATCGCTTGCATGTGCAGTTCACAGTAGGGTTCGTGCTCCTATAATTTAATGCTGCTGATCTGACAGGAGGTAGAGCTCAGGCATAATGCAAGTGATGGGGAGTTGCTGTAAATACAGATGAAGCTTCACTCGCTCACCCTACGCTTGCCTCCTGCTGTGCAGCCCAGGTCCTAACAGGCCAGGGACCACTGGACCAGTATGGGTCTGTGACCCAGGAATTGGGGACCCCTGCTGTAGATGATCTTAACCAGAAGGTCTTGACAGGGTACGAGTGAACCTAACATTTGCCACCGTCCCTTTGGAACAAAAGGAGGAACAGGCCTTAGGTCCAGAGCCTAACAGAGGTTAACAACTTTTTAAATTTTAATTGTTTCAATATATCCACCTTGCTTATTGCAGTAATATCAAGTTTCCGTTCTGGAATTATCAAGTTTCCACTTCAGGCCAGGCATGGTGGCCTGCACTTTGGGAGGCCGAGGCGGAAGGATCACATGAGGCCAGGAGTTTGAGACCAGCCTGGACACGTGGCGAAACTCCATCTCTATAAAAAATACCAAAATTAGCCAGGTGTGGGAGCATGCACCTGTAGTTACAGCTATTTGGGAGGCTGAGGTGGGAGCCCAGGGAGGTCAAGGCTGCAGTGAGCTGAGATCATATCCCTGAACTCCAGCCTGGGTGACAAAGTAAGACCTTGTCTCAAAAAAAAAAAAAAAGGAAAAAGAAACAGGTCACTCTGGCCCATGCTTCTCTTTTCAGGCAGTGGCATGGGATATACACATTCCATCTGTGTTCCTGCAGATGCCCACCATGGACTGCACACTGCCTGACGGGAGAAGGACTGGCTCGCAGCCAGCCTGCAGAACCCAGTTCCCATGCCCTCCACTTCAATGCCCTTTTCTTTTTTTTTTGAGACAGAGTCTCGCTCTGTCGCCCAGGTTGGAATGCAGTGGCACGATCTTGGCTCACCACAACCTCTGCCTCCTGGGTTCAAGCGATTCTTGTGCCTCAGCCTCCAAGTAGCTGAGACTACAGGCCCACGCCACCACGCCCAGCTAATTTTCGTATTTTTAGTAGAGACAGGGTTTCACCATGTTGGCCAGGCTAGTCTCGAACTCCTGACCTCAGGTGACCCACCTGCCTCGGCCTCCCATCATGCTGGGATTACAGGCATGAGCCACCACGCCCAGCCAGATACACTTTTCTTCAATTCCCTCATGTGTCAAACAGAGATAAACACGAATCTACTTCATAGGGCAGTAGTGAAAAATTCAGCCAACTCCTATACCTTCCTCAGAACAGGATATGGACAGGCTCAATAAATTAGCTATTTGTTCCTTTCCTTTGTTGCTTAAGAGGCAATTCAGCAAGTTTATGCAGGAGTCCCATCTCACTCTTTTGCAGATAGGCCCCTCTCCTTTCTGCCCCAGAAGAAAAGGGAGCTCTTTAAGGGCTGCTATGGATTTCCAAGGTTAAAGGTGAAGGAAGAGTAATATAAAGAGTTTCTCAGTAGGGAGTAAGGAGTAGGGGACTCCACTCCCACCACCCCGGCCAGGCCAGGAAATTCCTTGTGGCCCTCAAGATCTTTACCTGAAAACAATTTTGTTGAATGTCACCCTGGCAATGTAAATTGACAGGTGATCTTCACAAGTGCAGGACAGAAAGTCATCACCTGAGACAAATGCATATCCAGTTGCTCTCTCTGCCCTAACGTTTATGTAAAAATGCAGATTTGGCCTGGCTCCGTGGCTCATGCCTGTAATCCCAGCATTTTGGGAGGCTGACACCGGTGGATCACCTGAGGTCAGGAATTCGAGACCAGCCTGACCAACATGGCGAAACCCCGTCTCTACTAAAAATATAAAAATTAACTGGGCGTGGTAGTGGGCGCCTGTAATCCTAGCTACTCAGGAGGCTGAGGCAAGAGAATTGCTTGAACCCGGGAGGTGGAGGTTGCAGTGAGCCAAGATTGCGCCATTGCACTCCAGCCTGGGCGACAGAGCGAGACTCTATCTCAAAAAATAAAACAAAAAACAAGAAACAAAACCTCAGATTCATGAGTCGGACTGAGGCATAAATGACTATTCCTCTACCTGCCCTGTACCCCATATAAATCGTGTATTCTGTGAAAGGCTGACCAAAGACTCAAAAGAAAGCAATCATTTGTCTCTACCTGTGACCATCTTACACATATTCATTTATATCTCACGTCTCCCTAAAATGTATAAAAGCAAGCTGTGCCCCAACCACCTTGGGTACATGTTGTCAGGACCTCCTGAGGCTGTGTCACAGACATGTCCTTAACCTTGGCAAAATAAGCTTTCTAACTGATTGACACCTGTCTCAAATACTTCGGATTCTCAGTCCTCTGTGGAGCTTCTGCCAGCCCTTCCAGGTGGCTGCCTTTCCTGGCCACTCAGAGAGCCCACACTCTCTGGCTTCACTCCCCAACCCACAACCCCTCCCTTCCACCCACCCCTGAGCTGACTGAGTTGGGAAGGTCTGGCTCTGTGACCACCCCTGACCTGAGTCCTCCAAGGTCCCCTAGATCTGGTACAGGGCTGAGTTGGAGGAGGAAAGTACAGATTTGGAACACATAAGATGGTGCCTGGAGATGGCCAAGTAAGAATTACCTGGAGAACAGCCTAGGCTAAAAGGGGGAAGCAGCATTACCAGTCCCTATTATCCATCAGGGCATGCTGAGGGTAAAACAGAAGATGAGTAAGGCCCCTAACTGGCAGCCAGTTTCCTTCTCTCAGCCAGGAATCTGCTCATCAAGAAAACTGTGCTGTCCAGGTGCGGTGGCTCAGGCCTATAATCCCAGCGCTTTGGGAGTCTGAGGCGGGTAGATCACTTGAGGTCAGGAGTTTGAGAACAGCCTGGCCAACATAGCAAAATCCTGTCTCTACTGAAAATACAAAAAATTAGCCAGGGCCGGGCACGGTGGCTCACGCCTGTAATCCCAGCACTTTGGGAGGCCGAAGCGGGCGGATCATGAGGTCAGGAGATCAAGACCATCCTGGCTAACACGGTGAAACCCCGTCTCTACTAAAAAAATACAAAAAAACTAGCCGGGCGTGGTGGCGGGTGCCTGTATTTCCAGCTACTCGGGAGGCTGAGGCAGGAGAATGGCCTGAACCCAGGAGACGGAGCTTGCAGTGAGCTGAGATTGCGCCACTGCACTCCAGCCTGGGTGACAGAACGAGACTCCGTCTCAAAAAAAAAAAAAAAGGCCAGGCAAGATAGTGCACACCGGTAATCCCAGCTACTCAGGAGGCTGAGGCAGGAGATCGCTTGAACTCCTTTTGACTCCGTTTCAAAAAAAAAAAAAATACAAAATTTAGCCAGGTGCGGTGTTGCGCACCTGTAGTCCCAGCTACTCGGGAGGCTGAGGCAGGGGAAGCCCTTGAACCCGGGAGGTGGAGGTTGCAGTGAGTCAAGATCATGCCACTACACTCTAGCCTGGGCGACAGAGAAAGACTCCGTCTCAAAAGAAAATTAAACGTGTGCCATGACATGCTGGGGACTCTAAAAGACTCCATCCACATGTCCCTCTACCAGCCACACCCACTCTGGTTCAAACACCAGCCTCCCCTAAGGGCGGCGTCACCTGCCACTCCCAGAGCCTAGACTCCACCTCACTCACGTGCTCAAAGCCCGGTAGTGGCTTCCCAACCCTCTCAGAACAAAACCCAGCCTCCTTATCCGCACCTTCTCTATCTAAGCCTTCCAAGTTCCTCTTCCCCGCCTTTCTCATCCTTCCCAGCACTCAAGAGACAGCCTTCAAAACCACTTCTAGATAAAGAGCAGCCCTGCTTTCCCGTCCCATCACTCTGTTATTATTTGCACACCATTACCTGTATCTAGAGCAACATCGTTCACTCATTTATTTGTACCCTGTAGCCTCCTTGTCCCCACTGCCTAGGACGGGGCCCGACACGCAGCAGGCACTCAGTGCACAGGTGCTGAATGAATAAATAAAATGAATGAAAATAAAGCGAATGCCAGGGAAGCCGAGGATTTTGTCCCCAGGCGGCTTCTGTAAAATTCTTTCATTTTTTTTTTCCCCCCAAACCACGTACCCGAGGGTCGCGCCAGCCCGAC
This sequence comes from Homo sapiens, assembly GCF_000001405.40. Classification (NCBI taxonomy): domain Eukaryota; kingdom Metazoa; phylum Chordata; class Mammalia; order Primates; family Hominidae; genus Homo; species Homo sapiens. The sequence goes on along the minus strand of NC_000019.10, from coordinate 19,033,991 downwards.
CCTGCGGCACCCCCACTCCCCACTCCGCGCGGGACAGGCCTCGGCAGCCGCAGCGTCTCACCCGGTCTTCGCGGCCACGTGGGGAAAGGTGGGGCGCGCGGTTGTCACCCAGGGAGCCGCCTCTAGCCCCTTCCGGCCGCCGTACGCGCGCAGGCGCTGTGGCGCCCCTAGGCTTGGCCTCCCAGAGACTCGCGGACGCTCACGATAACCAAGGACGACCGCGAACCAAGGTAAAGCCAACGAGGCCACCTCGTGCGCGACGGAGGCGTCTTTGCCGCCCCTTCCGGGACGCTCACGGTGGTCGCCGCCCCCAGCAGGGAAATGTTTTGCCTCCAGAGCGTCCGCCCAGAAGAAGCGGACAGCGCGCTTGCGCAAGAGAGCCGGGCCGCGGCGGCCCGCGCCTGCGCACCAGGACTCGGCGGCGGCTTGCGCCTGCGCGGCGCGGCGCTGCGGAGACCGTTGGTTCATTTGCATGTCCCCGCCTCGCGCGGCGGCGGCGGCGGGTGAGGAGCCTGAGGCGGCGGCGGGGGTGGCTCCGCGCGCGGTGGTCTCGGGGTGAGGCCCGGGCCCTGGCGTCGTCGGTGGGTGGCTCCCGGGGTGGGAAGCTCGGGCTCGGCCTTGGGGGCCCGCCCCGGGCTCCGTGATGGCGTCGCAGGCTCGGCCCTCTGGCTGCGGCGGCGGCCGCGTCCCCGCCGGGTTGGCCTGGGTGGCCGGCTGCGGCCTCCCGGGCCCGGCGCCCCCATTTCCTCGCCCGCAGAGGCCGGGAGACGGCGGGCCGCGTCCACAAAGGCTCATTGGTTCAGTCGTTCATTCATTCCTCCCGAACTCGGAGCGGCCCCCGCTCGGGAGGAGATAACGGCGCCCAGCGCTGCATCGGGCCCTTGCCCTCTTTAGAACCGGTTCAGCCCCCACACCAGCCCCTTTACTGGCTGCCCATTCCATAGGTGGGGAAACGGAAGCACAGAAAGCTTAGAATCGTGTGATTTGAACCTGGGTCACCTGACCCGGGAACCCTGCCCTTTGCCAGCAGAGAACAAGGGGGCGCCCCGGGAAAAGGGCTGAAGGATGGGACTGGGGGAGGCGGGTGGGGGAGGCGGTGATCGTGATGGGAAATGGACCCTACGGGTTGTCTCTTGAAGTTGGAGGTTTTGCGAAGCGGGATATCTTGATGGTTAAGGATGCAGCCCCTGGACCCCAAAATGTTGCTTAATCTTTTTACTCATTCTTCGGGGCTTTGGATGCACGAATACCCTTTTTGCCAGGTTCAAATCTGGGCTGTCTGGTCTTGAATGGGTCGTTGAGTCTGTCTCCCTTTGCCTCCTCACCCTAATGTCATTCATAACAGGACCCGCCTCTTCAGTGGGTGGTTGGGAGATCGCGCAAGGACCCAGCGCAGAATGAACTGTCACTAGTTCATTGTCATTGGTTGGGGGTCCCGCCACTCACTGTCAAGAGGCTTCTTTTAGAAGGGAAGGAAGTTCTCAGAGCCTCTGTGCCCTGCTGAGTCTGTGAATGGGAAAAGAGTGATCCTGGGCCAGGCGCAGTGGCTCACGGCCTGGAATCCCAGCACTTTGGGAGGCCGAAGCGGGCGAATCACTTGAGGTCAGGAATTCAAGACCAGCCTGGCCAACATGGTGAAACTCCATCTCTACCTAAAATATAAAAATTAGTCGGATGCGGTGGCGGACTCCTGTAATCCCAGCTACTCAGGAGGCTGAGGCAGGAGAATTGCTTGAGTCCAGGAGGCGGAGGTTGCAGTTAGCCGAGATCATGCCACTGCACTCCAGCCTGGGCAACAGGGAGAGTCTCAAAAAAAGGAAGAAAAAAAAAAAAAAGATTGATCTCTTCTTTCCTAACCACGATTTGCGAGGGTTGTGGTCCCACCCTTCCTACTCTGTTATGCTCAGTTATGTGTGTTGGTTGACACCTTCCTCCAGCAGATAGAACTGCTTTCACAGAGCTGCTTTTAATGGATTCCAAGGAGATGGGCCCAGAGAAGGTTTGTCTTGCTCCTTTTCAGCCAGCACACACCTGTGAACTTCGTGAGGGCAGAGACCCCCTTAAAAGAGTCCAGACAAGGTGGGCAGATTGCTTGAGGTCAGGAGTTCGAGACCAGCCTGGCCAACCTAGCAAAACCCTGTCTCTACTTAAAAAAAAAAAAAAAAAAGATAAATAAAAAGGGTCCAGCTTGCCTCTGAAGTACCATGCGAGGATTATGGATTACTGCCTCCTTACTTCGAGGATTAAGTGAAATAGAGCAGGTTCTGTGAGCACGCATTTTTTTTTTCTTTGAGACAGTCTCGCTCTGTCCCCCAGTCTGGAGGGCAGTGGCATGATCTCGGCTCACTGCAACCTCTGTCTCCCTGGTTCAAGCAATTCCCATGCCTCAGCCTCCTGAGTATTTGGGATTACAGGCACGTGCCACCATGCCTGGTGAAATTTTTTTTTTTTTTTTTTTGAGACGGAGTCTCACTCTGTTACCCATGCTGGAGTGCAGTGGCATGATCTCGGCCCACTGCAACCTCCGCCTCCTGGGTTCAAGCAATTCTCTTGCCACAGCCTCCCAAGTAGCTGGGATTAAAGGCAGGCACCACCATGCCCGGCTAATTTTTGTATTTTTAGTAGAGACAGGGTTTTGCCATGTTGGCCAGGCTGGTCTCCAACTCCTGACTTTAAATGATCCGCTCACCTCAGCCTCCCAAAGTCCTGGGATTACAGGTGTGAGCCACCACACCCAGCCTGAATTTTTTGTATTTTAGTTTCATCATGTTGCCTAGGCTGGTCTCGAACTCCTGAGCTCAGGTGATCCGCCCACCTCGACCTCCCAAAGTGCCAGGATTACAGGTATGAGCCACCGCGCCCAGCTCCAAGTTGTTGCTCTTAGTGTATTTTTTTCTCTCTCACCATAGGGCAAAATAACATGGCAGCCAGACGAATTACACAGGAGACTTTTGATGCTGTATTACAAGAAAAAGCCAAACGATATCACATGGATGCCAGTGGTGAGGCTGTAAGCGAAACTCTTCAGTTTAAAGCTCAAGGTAAAATAAAGTGTTGTTGTTGTAGTTGTTGTTTTGGTAGGGGTGTATCTTAGGGCCAAGGCAGGAAGATTACAATACCTTGGGCAAATAATACCAGTCCTCTGATCCTTAGTTTCCTTATTTAGGAGGAGGTAAAGGTTTTTATTTTGGTTTGGTTTCTTTTTTGTGATAGGGTCTTACTCTCTCCCCCAGGCTGAAGTGCAGTGGCGCAGTTTTAGCTCACTGCACCCTTGAACTCCTAGGCTCAAGCCATCCTTCCATCTCTGCCTCCCAGAGTGCTGGGATTATAGGCATGAGCCACTGCACTTGGTCAGGGGATAATGTTTTGATCTGTCAGTCATCATTATGTAGTTATCTGGAGCTTCTCACTGGATATCCTCCCCGACCCACCTCAAGACAGTTTTGTTTATTGTTTGTTTGTTTGTTTGTTTGTTTTGAGACGGAGTTTCACTCTTGTCTCCCAGGCTGGAGGGCAATGGAGGGATCTTGGCTCACTGCAACCTCCGCCTCTTGGCTCACTGCAACCTCCGCCTCCTGGGTTCAAGCGATTCTCCTGCCTCAGCCTCCTGAGTAGCTGGGATTACGGGCATGCACCACCACGCCCAGCTAATTTTTCTATTTGTAGTAGAGATGAGGTTTTACCATGTTGGCCAGGCTGGTCTCGAACTCCCGACCTCAGGTGATCCACTTGCCTTGGCCTCCCAAGATGCTGGGATTACAGGCATGAGCCACCGAGCCCAGCCCAGTTTTGTTTTTTGGTGTTTTTTATGTTTTTGTTTTTTTTGTTTTTTGTTTTTTTTAATAGATATGGAGTCTTGCTATGTTTTCAGGCTGGTCTGCAACTCCTGGGCTCAAGTGATCCTCCCACCTCTGCCTTCAGCATGTTGCGATTACAGGCGTGAGCCACTGCTCCCAGCCCCAAGACAGGTTCTTGGATCCATTTCCTGGCTCCATCCCTGTCACCGCTGCCCAGGTTTAAGCTCTACTAGTTCTTTTTTTTTTTTATTTGAGACAGAGTCTTGTACTGTCGCCCAGGCTGGAGTGCAGTGACGTGATTTTGGCTCACTGCGGCCTGTGCCTCCTGGATTCAAGCGATTCTCCTGCCTCAGCCTCCCGAGTAGCTGAGATTACAGGTGCCTGCCACCATGCCCGGCTAATTTTTTTGTATTTATTTTAGTAAAGATGGGGTTTCACTATGTTGGTCAGGCTGGTTTTGAACTCCTGACCTTGTGATCTGCCCGCCTCGGCCTCCCAGAGTGCTGGGAGGATCACAAGGTCAGGAGATCGAGACCATCCTGTGAATGGTGAAACCCCGTCTTTACTAAAAATCAAAAAAAAAAAAAAATTAGCCAGGTGTGGTTGTGGGTGCCTGTGGTCCCAGCTACTTGGGAGGCTGAGGCGGGATAATGCCGTGAACCCGGGAGGTGGAGCCTGCAGTGAGCCAAGATTGCGCTACTGCACTCCAGCCTGGGCGACAGAGCGAGACTCCATCTCAAAAAAAAAAAAAGAAAAAAAATGGCCGGGCGCAGTGGCTCAAGCCTGTAATCCTAGCACTTTGGGAGGCCGAGGCGGGCGGATCACAAGGTCAGGAGATCGAGACCATCCTGGCTAACACGGTGAAACCCTGTCTCTACTAAAAATATTAGCCGGGCGTGGTGGCGGGCGCCTGTAGTCCCAGCTACTCAGGAGGCTGAGGCAGGAGAATGGCGTGAACCCAGGAGGCGGAGGTTGCAGCGAGCCAAGGTTGTGCCACTGCACTCCAGCCTGGGTGACAGAGCAAGACTCCGTCTCAAAAAAAAAAAAATTTATCTGGGCATGGTGGCATGCGCCTATGGCCCTGGCTACTTGGGAGGCTGAGGCAGGAAGTTCGCTTGTGCCCAGGAAGTCGAGGCTGCAGTAAGCTGTGTTTGTGCCATTATACTCCAGCCTGGGCCAAAGAGTGAGACCCTGTCTCAAAAAAAGACGGCCAGGTGCAGTGGCTTACACATGTAATCTCAGCACTTTGGGAGGCCAAGGTGGGCAGATCACCTGAGGTCAGGAGTTTGAGACCAGTCTGGCCAACATGGTGAAACCCCGTGTCTACTAAAAATACAAAAATGTGGCAGGCCCCTATAATCCCAGCTACCCAGGAGGCTGAGACAGAAGAATAGCTTGAACCCAGGAGGTGGAGGTTGCAGTGAGCCGAGATCGCACCACTGCGCTCCAGCGTGGGTGACAGAACGAGACTCCGTCTCAAAAAAAAAAGACAGATTAGGGGGCCGTGGGTGGGAGAGGACTAGAAACCTAGCAGTATGCTAGGTGATTCTGGAACATTTCTGTGTTGCAAAGCAGTCTATCGTTTAGCCTTTCTCTGTTTCTCTGCTCCACTCTGAACTTTTCATCTCCTCATAAAGGGTATGAGAAAATTCTCTTGAGTAGAATCCAGCCATCACTCTCTGTCACTAATGTTCCCTCCCTAATCATGCCATCAATACCAATCATCAATACCTGGGTTATCACAGTGGATTTCTTGCAGGAACATCCACGTCTGTGCTCATCTCCTTTAATCTGTTCCCTGTGCAGCAGCCAGTGAGATCATCCCTCTGCTTAGAACTCTTCACTAGCCTTCTGTCTCTCCCAGAGTAAATTCCAGAGTACCACTGAGGGCCCGACTTGGATCTGGTACTCCTTCTCCATTTGTGTCTCTTATATTAGTGGTTCCCTAACTTTGTAGCACGTTAGCGTCACCTGGGGGCCTTTTAAAAACCCTGATGCCCAGGTCATCCCCTTATTTAATTAAGTAAGAATGTCTGGGGAGGTGGTCCCTGGGGCTCCAGTAGCAGAGTTTGGGAGCTGCCTTCCTACCACTTGGCCTTTCATTCCCTGTGTTCCCTTCTGTCTACATTGGCCCCCTACTGGTCCCACCTCAGGGTCTTGTCCTCATTCCCCCTCTGCCTGGAAGGCTTCCCTTTGTAACTGTACGGTCTGGCTCCTCATGCCAGGCCACTGCTGCTAGATAAAGTGTCAGAGCTATGCAGCGTGACACGGTGGCTCACGCCTGTAATCCCAGCACTTTGGGAGGCCGAGGTGGGCGGATCACAAGGTCAGGAGTTCCAGACCAGCCTGGCCAATGTGGTGAAACCCTGTCTCTACTAAAAATACAAAAGTTAGCCGGGCATGGTGGCGGGTGCCTGTATTCCCAGCTACTCAGGAGGCGGAGGCAGGAGAATCGCTTGAACCTGGGAGGTGGAGGTTGCGGTGAGCCAAGATCGCACCCTTGCACTCCGGCACTCCAGCCTGGGCAACAGAGCGAGACTCTGTCTCAAAAAAAAAAAGAAAAAAAAAAGTGTCAGAGCTACCCTCCTTGACTAGCCTGTCTCAAAATGTCATTGCCTCCTCAGGTTCCCACGTGCTTGATTTGTCTTCTTGGTACTTAACTTGCATCTGATATATTTTTGTTTATTGTCTGGCTCTCTCAACTGACAAGTTTGGAAGAGTTCTCATTTTCTTGCTGTAACTTCAGTGCCTAGTACAGTGCTTGCGCACAGTAGGTGCCCAGTTTGTACTTGTTGAACAAGTGAACTAGGATTTATATACGACTTTGGCTTCCTGTGGCCTCTTAACCTATTGCTACCTCCTGGCACCTCTCCTTCCCTGTTCATTTGATTTTTTTTTTAACTAGGTCATCGATTCTGATTGAAAAGCTAGAAAGAAAGGCATTCCATGAAAACTCTCCCTGAGGCCCACTGTTCTCATATGCCCGTAGTTCACTTCTCTTCCTCGCTTCTTACAGTTTCTCCATGTGTGATTAAGCAAATGCAAGTACATCTTCCCCTCCGCCCTTTTTTATTTTTGACAGAGATAGGGTCTCGCTATGTTGCCCAGGCTGGTCTCAAACTCCTGGGCTCAAGTGATCCTCCCACCTCGGCCTCCCAAAGTGCAGGGATTATAGGTTTGAGCCACTGTGCCTGGCCCATTTCCCCTTTTCTACATGGAGAAGGACAGAATTGGGCACTGTTCAGTTTCCATCATGGCCTCTCTTGATGTATCTTGTTAAGCTTCTGCCTTCCCTCCTGCCTGCCTCGGTCTGTGGTTTTTCAGCTCCAGAGAGAGGGTTGATTGGCCTGGCCGACCTTTCCGAGGGATGGGTTCAGCCAGCTTTGGGTCAGCTGTGGTGGGTGTGGTGTTAGCTATGGTTCCTCTAGCCTCACGGTGGCACTGTGGGCTGAGACTTCCTTCTAAGAGGCAGTGAAGGCAGGTAGCCTCAATAAAACCTGTCTGTTCTGAGATAGAAGTAGAAACACAGAAGTGCTCCAGTTGCAGTAAAAATATCCAGGTTATTTGGGGACCAAACACCCTTTCCTCAGACTAAAAGAGGGATTGTCAACCCAGATGGCTAGAGAGTAGGGGGATCTGAATGAGCGAGGGCTGTTGGTGCCAACTTAGAGAGTCTGTGTCTTGCCCGTCAGGCTGCTACTGCCCAGCCTGGGTTGACGTCATCAGGGCAAACTCAGGCTTGGTGCTTATAGGTCTTCTGTTTTAGTAAGTAGTCGATCCAGATTTTTAAGTGACACCACACGCATTTTAAATGTTGGCAGCAAATACAGATTGGCAAAAAGCACTGAGGTGTATAAAGCAGTTTTGCTGCCTGGTGATCCGTGGACTGTTTGTTTGCACTGTTTGCATTCTCTGGTCTAAAGTATCTTTTGGCTTCTTCTTTTTTTTTTTTGGATGGTTTATTTCAGATCTCTTAAGGGCAGTCCCAAGATCCAGAGCAGAGATGTATGATGACGTCCACAGCGATGGCAGATACTCCCTCAGTGGATCTGTAGCTCACTCTAGAGATGCCGGAAGAGAAGGCCTGAGAAGTGACGTATTTCCAGGGCCTTCCTTCAGATCAAGCAACCCTTCCATCAGTGATGACAGCTACTTTCGCAAAGAATGTGGCCGGGATCTGGAATTTTCTCACTCTGATTCTCGGGACCAGGTCATTGGCCACCGGAAATTGGGGCATTTCCGTTCTCAGGACTGGAAATTTGCGCTCCGTGGTTCTTGGGAACAAGACTTTGGCCATCCAGTTTCTCAAGAGTCCTCTTGGTCACAGGAGTATAGTTTTGGTCCCTCTGCAGTTTTGGGGGACTTTGGATCTTCCAGGCTGATTGAGAAAGAGTGTTTGGAGAAGGAGAGTCGGGATTATGACGTGGACCATCCTGGGGAGGCTGACTCTGTGCTTAGGGGCGGCAGTCAAGTCCAGGCCAGAGGTCGAGCTCTAAACATCGTTGACCAGGAAGGTTCCCTCCTAGGAAAGGGGGAGACTCAGGGCCTGCTCACAGCTAAGGGGGGTGTTGGGAAACTTGTCACATTGAGAAATGTGAGCACAAAAAAAATACCCACCGTGAATCGTATTACTCCCAAAACTCAGGGCACTAACCAAATCCAGAAAAACACTCCAAGTCCTGATGTGACCCTGGGGACAAACCCAGGGACAGAAGATATCCAGTTCCCCATTCAGAAGATCCCTCTGGGGCTGGATCTGAAGAATCTTCGGCTCCCCAGAAGAAAGATGAGCTTTGACATCATAGATAAGTCTGATGTTTTTTCAAGATTTGGGATAGAAATAATCAAATGGGCAGGATTCCACACCATAAAAGATGATATTAAATTTTCCCAACTTTTCCAGACTCTCTTTGAACTTGAAACAGAAACCTGTGCTAAAATGCTTGCCTCATTCAAATGTTCCTTAAAACCAGAGCACAGAGATTTTTGCTTTTTTACTATCAAATTTTTAAAGCACTCTGCTTTGAAAACACCCAGAGTTGATAATGAGTTTTTAAACATGCTTTTAGACAAAGGTGCTGTGAAGACCAAAAATTGCTTTTTTGAAATCATAAAGCCTTTTGACAAGTACATAATGAGACTTCAAGACCGGCTTCTGAAGAGTGTCACACCTTTGCTTATGGCCTGCAATGCCTACGAGCTAAGTGTCAAGATGAAGACCCTCAGTAACCCCCTGGACTTGGCTCTTGCCCTAGAAACCACCAACTCTCTCTGCCGGAAGTCTTTGGCCCTTTTGGGACAGACATTTTCCTTGGCCTCTTCTTTCCGGCAGGAGAAAATCTTAGAAGCTGTCGGCCTGCAAGATATAGCTCCCTCACCTGCTGCGTTTCCAAACTTCGAAGACTCCACTTTGTTTGGGCGAGAGTACATAGACCACCTGAAGGCCTGGCTAGTCAGCAGCGGATGTCCCCTCCAGGTTAAGAAAGCCGAACCAGAGCCGATGCGAGAGGAGGAGAAAATGATTCCTCCTACGAAACCTGAAATTCAGGCCAAGGCTCCAAGTAGTCTGAGTGATGGTAAGGAAATCAGCCAAAGTTTCTATTTGTTGTTTTTCGTGTTTCTTTGGTAATGTCTTTTATTCGAGATTTTTTTACACAGAAGTTCTTTAGCCAATTGGAAACATATCAGGATTTTAGTAGAAAACGCACATTGGCCAATATATGTCTGCCATTCATTCTGTGAATGTGTATTAGGAATCTGCTGTTTACCATAGAAGTCTTTAGACAGCCGGGTGTGGTGGCACATGCCTGTAATCCCAGCACTTTGGGAGGCTGAGGCGGCAGATCACTTAAGACCAAGAGTTTGAGACCAGCCTGGCCAACATGGTGAAACCCCATCTCTACTAAAAATACAAAAACTAGCCGGGTGTGGTGGCACGCACCTGAAATCCCAGCTACTCGGGAGGCTGAGTTAGGAGAATCCACTTGGACCTGGGAGGCGGAGGTTTCAGTGAGCTGAGATCACCCCACTGCACTCCAACCTGGGTGACAGAGCAAGACTCTGTCTCAGAAAAATAAAAATTTTTAGACATTTTTAGGTCAAATACCTCTCTGGGAATTTGGTAGAAAGCTGTGGCCATTGCCAGAAAAAATGCTCATCTATTCACGCACAATTTTACCTATATCATCCGGGGGATTCGTACCTTTCTGCAGCCAAGGTTAAGAACGCTTGTTCCTTTTTTTTTCTTTTTAACCTTTGAAAAAAAGAAGGGTTGACTTTCTTTCCTTGTTTTTGTTTTTTTGAGACAGGGTCGTGCTCTGTCACCCAGGCTGGAGTGCAGTGGCATGACCATGGCTCACTGCAGCCCCGACCTCCTAGGCTCAAGTGATCCTTCCGCCTCAGCCTCCTGAGTAGCTGGGACTATAGGCATGTACCACCATGCCTGGCTAACTTTTTTTGTATTTTTTTGTAGAGAATCATGTTGCCCAGACTGGTCTCGAACTCCTGAGCTCAAGTGATCTACCTGCCTCAGCCTCCCAAAGTGCTGGGATTATAGGTGTGAGTCACTGCACCTGGCCTGGAACCCTTGTTCCAACATGTCCCCACAAGGTATTACTAGAAGGGAGAAAAGACACAGAGCACTGTCTCTGAGGAATCCCCAGGCTCCTGAGGGAAGAAAATCACAAAGACCAGTCACTTGTGAGCCAGGGGTGGTAGCATATGTCTGAAATCCCAGCTACTTGGGAGGCTGAGGAGGGAGGATTGCTTGAGGCCAGGAGTTCAAGGCTGCAGTGACCTATGATTGCATCTGTGAATAGCCACCGCACTCCAGCCTGGGCTAGAATCACCCTGTCTCTCAATAAACCAAAACAAAAAAACAGTCACCCCTGTGCTAGAATTAAAGCGACACAGGAGAGGCTCCAGTCTAGCCTGGAAAGTTGGAGAGGTCGTGCTTGAGCTGTATTGAGGGATGTGTAGGGAACAGCCAGGTCATTCCACATAGTGGATACACCTTTTCGCCCTACTCACTTTTGTAGACTGGCTAAAGTTGGTGAATCACTTAAGTACACCTGCTAATTAGCAGTTATCATTGGCTTTCTGGGGAGAGGAAAAGGCCAAGGAGGAGAAATAGAAGTGATGAGCTGTTTGGTTTCCCTCTTCCTTCCTCCTAAGCTCCCAGAATGGACTCTCACAGCCCAGACATCCCAGAGGTCACGAGCACACATGGTAATCATGCTGTCTTAACTCTTGTGATAGGGAGAAAGCACTTTTCCCACGATGTGGTTTTCACCTTCCATTGCCCCCAGTCCAGTGGCGAAGTCTCATTTGTTCCTGACTTTCTTTGCTCTTTCACCACCCTCAGGAAGCCCCAACAGCACTAGACACTAGATAGGTCCCACCACATACAGGTGGCCACACCTACTCCCAGAGAGGGATCCTTCCAGAAGTAGGCTCAGGGCTTAAGGGACCCTACTCCCCAATCCCTCACAAAGTGATGGCATACTGTATGAAGGAAGAAAAGTCACCGATAACCTAAAGTGGTTATAACCCACCCACTTACCCTCCCACAGTCTTTGATGTTCCCCCTGTTTTCCTGCAGCTGCAGGCATGCTGGACTGAAAATGCTACCGCCTGCTCTTCTACATGATTGCCAGAAAGCCCTCTTTGTTTCCACAGCCTTTGCTACATCCTGATATTGACCTAATGTAAATTACCTCACCTTTCCCTTGATGCTGGACTCATGCTGCCTTTTACTAGAGGTTTCTGAAGCCAGACAGACCTGGGTTCACATGTAGTTAGCATCTGCAAGCCTCAGTTCCCTGTCTGGATAGCGGGATAGGTGGCAGCAGGGCCCACATCTCATGAGGCTGCCCCACCGCTGCTTATGTTCCTGTTAGAAATGCTATAATGGGCCAGGCGCAGTGGCTCATGCCTGTAATCCCAGCACTTTGGGAGGCCGAGGCGGGTGGATCATGAGGTCAGGAGATCGAAACCATCCTGGCTAACACGGTGAAACCCCGTCTCTACTAAAAATACAAAAAATTAGTCGGGCGTGGTGGCATGTGCCTGTAGTCCCAGCTACTCGGAAGGCTGAGGCAGGATAATCGCTTGAACCCAGGAGGCAGAGGTTGCAGTGAGCCGAGATCTTGCCACTGCTCTCCAGCCTGGCGACAGAGCGAGACTCTGTCTCCAAAAAAAGAAAAAAAAGAAAAAAAGAAGTGCTGGAATGGGCTGGGTGCAGTCGTTCGCAGCTATAATCCCAACACTTTGGGAAGCTGAAGCAGGTGGATCACCTGAGGTCAGGAGTTCGAGACCAGCCTGGCCAACATGACGAAACCTGTCTCTACTAAAAATCAAAAATTAGCCTGGCATGGTGGCACATGCCTATAATCCCAGCTACTTGGGAAGCTGAGGCAGGAGAGATGCTTGAACTTGGGAAGTGGAGGTTGCAGTGAGCCTAGAGCGCACCACTCCACTCCAGCCTGGGTGATGAGCAAAAGTCCATCTAGAAAAAAAAAAAAAATGCTGGAATGACATCTTTGGTTGAATGCTTTGGTTATTACTGTTAGTTTTATTGTTTTTAATTCTCCTTGAAAGGGTACATTCTCAGGAGTAGGATTGCTGGGCCAAAGCTGTGACCCACTTTCTGACCCTTGTTCGTGGTCATCCTAGCTAAAGATGACCAAATTTGCAGGGGTCCCTAAATTTCATTGCTGACTGTAAACCTCAACATCTTTTGTAAAATCATGTAAAACTAGTAGCTCTGTAAAAAGAGAGCCATGAAAAAAAAAGCAGTTTCATAGGGGACATACTTGGAATAACGTGGCAGTTGAAGGATTGACTCATCATGTGTGAGGAGCTCACACTAGTGTTTAAAATAAGCTGAAAGCTGCAACATGGACACAGACGGGCACAGGACTATGCAATCATTTACAGAACAAACTGGAAAACCTCGCTAGTTCAGCAGTGATTTTAATTGAGTTGAGTGGCTGAACAAATAGACCATTCTTTGCTTTTTTTTTTTTTTTTTTTTTGAGATGGAATTTTGCTCTTGTTGCCCAGGCTGGAGTGCAATGGCATGATCTCGGCTCACCGCTATCTCAGCCTCCCAGGTTCAAGCGATTCTCCTGCCTCAGCCTCCCTAGTAGCTGGGATTACAGTCATGTGCCACCACACCTGGCTAATTTTATATTTTTAGTAGAGACGGGGTTTCTCCATGTTGGTCAGGCTGGTCTCGAACTCCTGACCTCAGGTGATCCACCCGCCTCGGCCTCCCAAAGTGCTGGGATTACAGGAATGAGCCATTGTGCCCGGCCATCATTCTGTACTTTTAAAACTAGACAATTGTTAGGAAACTAAACAATCTTACCATTCGAAGAAACATGTTCTGTGTTGCTGGCAGCATTGTAAATTTAAAGTCATATTGGAGGACATTCACACTTTAAAAAATATTTTGGGCAGGGCATGGTGTCTCATGCCTATAATCCCAGCACTTTGGGAGGTAAAGGAGGGTGGATCTCTTGAGCCCAAGAATTGGAGACCAGCCTGAGCAATGTGGTGAAGCCTCGTCTGTACAAAAAAATAAAGCTGTACGTGGTGGCGCATGTCTGTAATCCCAGCTACTTGGGAGGCTGAGGCCTGAGAATTGCTTGAGCCTAGGAGTTCGAGGCTGCAGTGAGCTGTCATGGGACCACTGCACTCCAGCCTGGGCAACAGAGTGAGACCCCATCTCAAAAAAAAAAATTTGCCTTTTTTTTTTTTTGAGACAGGGTCTCACTCTGACGCTCAGGCTGGAGTGCAGTGGCGCAATCTCGGCTCACTGCAAGCTCCACCTCCCGGGTTCACGCTATTCTCCTGCCTCAGCCTCCCAAGTAGCTGGGACTACAGGCGCCCGCCACCATGCCCAGCTAATTTTTTTGTATTTTTTTAGTAGAAATGGAGTTTCATCGTGTTAGCCAGGCTGGTCTCGATCTCCTGACCTCGTGATCCGCCTGCCTTGGCCTTCCAAAGTGCTGGGATTACAGGCGTGAGCCACTGTGCCTGGCCAAAATTTGTTTCTTATACATTCAGCAGATATTTTCTGTGAACATGTAATTTGGGATCACTGACCTTTTTATTTATTTATTTATTTATTTTTTTTTGTGATGGAGTCTCGCTCTATCCCACCATGCCTGGCTAATTTTTTTTTTTTTTTTTTTTTTTGTATTTTAGCAGAGACGGAGTTTCACCATGTTGCCCAGTGTGGTCTTGAACTCCTGAGCTCAGGCAATCCACCCCGCTCAGCCTCCCAAAGTGCTAGGATTACAGGTGTGAGCCACCGTGCCCGGCTGACCTTTTTTTTTTTTCTTTTTTTTTTTTAATTGGAGAAAATTTTTTGTGAATTGATACATATATTTTCTGATTACAAAACACAAGTTTTTTTTTTAAGTTCTTAAAGCATAAGGAAAATGAAATTCCTGATAATTCTACCCCCTATAACCTCTGTTAACATATTTCCTAACATATTTCCTTATAGTCTTCTTTCTATGTATCCATATTTATATTTTTTATTCCCACCTTTATATTGAGAACCATAACCTAGATACATTTTTGTATATTTTATACTAGATATTTATATTTTCCACTTTAATGTTATGAACACTCAAATTATTAAGTAATATGTGAAAAATGATATCAAATTGCTATATATCTTTCTTTTTCTAGAGCATATACATAAATTGCTCTGTCCAGTCATTGAAAGCTGTGACTGTTTCTCTCCTAGTGGTTATACTGTTACATTTTTTAGGAGGAGATTTTCCATATTGGTTGTTTTCCTCTTTTCAATGCTGGTGTCTTGTGAATGAGGATTTCGGTTGTTGATGCCTGCTTGGGTTCAGCACTAAGCCCCCAACTACTCAACTATCCTCGTCTTCTCAGAGCCCACATTCAGCATATTTCTCAGAGAAGCTGTTCTGTGTGTTCCAGCTGTCCCCCAGCGAGCAGATCACAGGGTAGTGGGCACCATCGACCAGCTTGTGAAACGTGTCATCGAAGGCAGCCTGTCTCCCAAAGAGAGAACTCTTCTCAAAGAGGACCCTGCTTACTGGTAGGTCTTTAAATGTCCACGCTGTGAATCCCTCTCATGGAGTATATGGCAAAATTTGGGTCACTCTGATGGTATTGAGAGCAGAGGGTGAGATACTTGAGCAAGTGGTGTTCTCCAGTGAGAAGAGCATGAGGGTGGCTCAGATTTATGTGGGTTCAGCAAGCCCCAGCTCTGCTGCAGACCAGTGGTAGGCCAGCTGGGTGGGTGGCCTTCTCTCACCTGTGACTACAGCTCCAAGTCCCTGCTGGGCTGTTTTAAGGATGCAGTGAGATGTGCATGCAGAGAATACAGAGTAAGGGTAGTAAGATTAGTAATACATCATTGCAGTTGTTTGCAATTTATTGCTAATATTTGTTAAACTGTCTTTTGCTTAATTGCCTCTTTATGTAAATAGAACAACTTTTTTTTTTTTTTTTTTTTTTGAGACGGAGCCTTGCTCTGTCGCCCAGGCTGGAGTGCAGTGGCGCTATCTCGGCTCACCGCAACCTCCGCCTCCCGGGTTCATGCCTTTGTCCTGCCTCAGCCTCCCGAGTAGCTGGGACTACAGGAGCCCACCACCACGCCTGGCTAATTTTTTGTGTTTTTAGTAGAGATGGGGTTTCATAGTGTTAGCCAGGATGGTCTCGATCTCCTGACCTCATGATCCACCTGCCTCAGCCTCCCAAAGTGCTGGGATTACAGGCGTGAGCCACCGCGCCCGGCCGAACAACTTATTAAAATTACAGTTTGCGTCCTAAATATAGTACTTTCTTATTAGAGAAAGTAAAGAACAAGCCAGAGAAAGAGTCTTGCTCTGTCACCCAGGCTGGAGTACAGTGGCGCAATCTTGGCTTACTGCAACCTCCGTCTCCTGAGTTCAAGCGATTCTCGTGCCTCAGCCTCCCAAGTAGCTGGGATTACAGGTGCACGACATGAGGCAGGTCACCTCAGCAAAGAGGCAATGGCCAGTTCTGTCCACAGGGCTCCAGTGGCAACAAATAATGCTTGTGGGGTGTGAGGGTGGAAGGTCTCAAATCTGTGTATTTTTAGTAGAGATGGGGTTTCACCATGTTGGCCAGGTTGGTCTCGAACTCCTGACCTCAGGTGACCCACCTGCCTTGGCCTCCCAAAGTGCTGGGATTACAGGCGTAAGCCACTGTGCTGGGCTGAGACACCATTTCTCTTAAAAAAAAAAAAAAAAAGTGATGATCAGTGCTTTGATTGTATTTCTGCCTACCTTTCTGGCAGTTTATTATGATATCTGGGCGTGAAACTGCTGGGTTAAAGCTCATGTTAGAGGCTTTTGATTTATGTCAGTTTCTCAGCTGCAGCACTTTTTATTTTTATTATTATTATTTGTTAACGGAATCTTGCTCTGTCGCCAGGCTGGAGTATAGTGGTGTGATCTCGGCTCACTACAACCTCTGTTTCCCAGGTTCAAGCAATTCTTGTGCCTCAGCCTCCCAAGTAACTGGGATTACAGGTGCCCGCCACCACACCCAGCTAATTTTTTGTATTTTAGTAGAGACGGGGTTTTACCATGTTGCCCAGGGTGGTCTTGAACTCCTGAAATCATGCGATCCGCCTGCCTTGGCCTCCCAAAGTGCTGGGATTACAGGCGTGAGCCACCGCGCCCAGCCTCAGCTGCAGCACTGAGGCTGGATCATTCTGTATTAGGGTTGGAGCTGTCCTGGACATTGCAGGCTGTTTAGCAGCATCTGTGGCCTCTATCCGTTTGATGTTAGTAGGACCTTCTGTCTCACTAGTAACAACCCAGAATACATCCAGACACTGCCTGGTGTCCCATGGCAGGCAGAGCTGCCCCTGATGGAGACCATTGATGTTTATCATTAGATTACTCTCCATAGGTTATCTGTACTAATTGACTTTCTCACTGCTACTCTGTAGGTGTGCTGTGCCCTCTTTTGTTTTCTGTTTTTTGTTAGTGACAGGATCTCACTCTGTTGCCCAGGCTGCAATGCAGGGGTGCTATCACAGCCCACTGCAGCCTTGACCTCCTGAGTGTGCCCTTTTTGGTAGTCAGATTGTACCCATACTGGACTTGCTATGCTTGCTGTTGTAATTACTAAAGATGCTTGAAAGGCATACATTTCCATGTCTTTGGTCCTACCCACCATGATTTACCAAGGGGAAGGTTGGAGCTTATTGTGGTTTTATTTTTACAAAATTCTTGAGTTTGGATTATTTTCATGTATTGAATGAGGTAGGCATGTAACTTAAAAGTTAAAAATTCCCAAATAACCTAATTGTCCCAGCATCATTTATTGAATACTTTTTATTTAATAAACACTTGTGCCTTCTGTGCAGTTGGTACTGTTCTAAGCACATTACTGATTTAAGCACTAGCTGGTTGAATCCTCATAAACAACGTTGGGAGGCAGGTCTCTTGCTATGCTTATTTTACAGACAAGAAACTTTGAGGCTCCAAGAGCCCTCTTGCCTTGAGGATCCACAACTAGTAAGAGGCAGAGTTGAGATTCAAATCCAGGGTCTGTGGTCTGAACCAGTGTGCATGTTGAAGGATTGTCAGATTGACAGATGCAAGCAGATACCGACCCTCTTGGTAAGAAGGCATCCAGACTTAGAAGGCCCAGGGGCACTTTACAGGTGGTTGATAAGGTGATTAGGCTGGAGGAATAGGAGGCCCTGAGAGGCCTGGGGGCTGGTGCCTCTGCCCCATGACCCCTGCACATGGCCCAGTGGTCTCATGACCACTGATAACCAGGGGCAGCAGACGGAAGCCAGAGTCAGGGGTATGTTTGGATAGGGGGCAGGGCAGGGTACAAAATCAGAAATAAGCGGCCGGGCATGGTGGCTCACACCTATAAGGTGGGTGGATCACGAGATCAGGAGATCGAGACCATCCTGGCGAACACGGTGAAACCCTGTCTCTACTAAAAATACAAAAAAAAATTAGCCGGGCCTGGTGGCGGGTGCCTGTAGTCCCAGAAATAAGCATCAAACTAAGAACTGATATTTGAGGTAAACCAGTATCATGAAAGAGCATCACCAAACTCAACCAACTCCTGACACCCTAGAAGACAGAGTCACTATGAGAAAGAGGAGGTGTAGTCTATAAATATGTATGTGCAATGAATAGTCTCAGGTAATAAGAGTATATTGTATCCATGAAACAGACACTGGTTGCTATGAAAACGATTCTATTAAGGATCTTGGAAATGAAAAATAGATTGAAATAAAAATCTCAGCGGTTGGCTGATAGAATAGATCCTGAAGAAGGAAAGATTTAGGAGTTGGTCCCAGAGACTTTATCATCCAAAAACTCCTTCACAAGGAATTACCTGGCTGGGTGCAGTGGCTCACGCCTGTAATCCCAACACTTTGGGAGACCGAGGGGGACAGATGACTTGAGGTTGGGAGTTCGAGACCAGCCTGGCCAACATAGTGAAACCGTGTCTCTAATAAAAATACAAAAAATTAGCTGGGCATGGTGACAGGCGCCTGTAATCCCAGCTACTTGGGAGACCGAGGCACAAGAATCACTTGAACCCGGGAGGCAGAGGTTGCAGTGAGCCAAGATCGCACCACTGCACTCCAGCCTGGGTACAACGGAGCATGACTCTGTCTCAAAAAAAAGAGAAGGAATTACCAAGAGACTGTAAGAGGAAAGAGTGTGATACAAAAGCACAGCAATAAGTAAAGAAACTGCTAAACTTAGGTTTCTGGTGTGCATGTTTGAATTCTTAAGTCAAAATGCTCCTTGTATGTTGTATTTAACAAAACAGTCAATTGAACGCATAATGAAAAGCCAAATGTTTCTGCTGTGACCTGTTTCCATGTTCCACTCCTTGAAGGCAGTCACTTAGTTCTTCAAACTACTTCTCACGGCTACCTCTGTATCTCTTTTTATTATTTATTTATTTATTTATTTATTTATTTATTTTTTGAGACAGAGTCTCGCTCTGTCCCCCAGGCTGGAGTGCAGTGGCGGGATCTTGGCTCGCTGCAAGCTCTGCCTCCCGGGTTCACACCATTCTCCTGCCTCAGCCTCCCTAGTAGCTGGGACTACAGGCACCTGCCACCACACCCGGCTAATTTTTTTGTATTTTTAGTAGAGACGGGATTTCACCATGTTAGCCAGGATGGTCTCAATCTCCTGACCTCATGATCCTCCTGCCTTGGCCTCCCAAAGCGCTGGAATTACAGGCATGAGCCACCGCACCTGGCTTACCTCTGTATCTCTTAATAAGCCTATGTTGCTTTTTCTTGACTGAACAGTTTTATGCATGACCATTGACATTCTCTGAAGATATATGTGGATTAATAAGTTCTTTTTTTTTTTTGTTTAAAGAGATGAGTTTTCATTCTGTTGCCCAGGCTAGAGCACAGTGGCATGATCATAGTTCACTGCAGCCTCAACCTGGGCTCACAAAATCCCCCTGCCTCAGCCTCCCAAGTAGCTGAGACTACAGGAGTACACCACCGCATTCAGCTATCAGCTTTTTTTTTTTTTTCTTTTTTTAAGAAATGGGTTTTTGCTCTGTTGCCCAGGCTGGTGTCTAACTCCTGGGCTCAAGCGATCCCCCAGATCACTGGGGTTACAGGCATGAGCCATCATGTCCAGCCTTAATAAATTCTTTTTATTAGTTAGCAAGTGAAAAAGTCAGACCTCTAGGAGGCAGATATAAGAAGGGCTTCTTATCTCCACCCTCTGAGGGCCAGCAGAGATTTGAGACCTTCCACCCTCACACCCCACAAGCATGATTTGTTCCCACTGGAGCCTTGTGGACAGAACTGGCCATTGCCTCTTTGCCGAGGTGACCTGCCTCGTGTCGTGCACTAAAGATGTCAGAAGAGCCAGGTGCGGTTACTCACACCTGTAATCCCACCACTTTGGGAAGCCGAGGCGAGTGGGCCGCATGAGGTCAGGAATTTGAGACCAGCCTGGCCAACATGATGAAACCCCATCTCTACTAAAAATAAAAAATTAGCTGGGCATGGTGGTGGCTGCCTATACTCCCAGCTACTCAGGAGGCTGAGGCAGGAGAATCACTTGAACCCAGGAGGCAGAGGTTGCAGTGAGCTGAGATCGCACCACTGCACTCCAGCCTGGGCGACAAGAGCAAAACACCGTCTCAAATCAATCAATGAATCAATCAGAAGTATAGACAGACACATCCACTATGGCTTTACTTCCTTGTTTGGAACACCAAGGGGCAGGCTTCCGTCCTTTTCTATGAGAGAGTGCAAAGCATCAAGCCTAGAAAATGATAACAACAGTGCAGGATATAAAGCTGAAGGAATATGTCATACTTTGTTTTCTCTCATCTTCTAAATTGTCCCCTGGGAGTGGGCCAGCCCTGACCATGCTCTCCAGGGAGAGCCCACCAGGTCCTACGTGTTCACACACTCAGGAAAACAAGTGGCTAAGAATCCCTGTGGTCTAGCCTCAGCAGGATTGTCCAAGCACCCCAAAGTTAACATAAAATCTAAATAATTGATGTTTGGGGTGAAATAAAAGAAACTAAAATCCCAGATGATCTAAATATGTGAGGCACAAGGGGAAGGAGGGAGGTAGGTGTGCAGGCCTTTGTCTTGTTTGACATGAGGATAGAGCTAAAGGGTAATTCTGGATATTGATACAAAATAAAAGTTTAGGTATGTGTGTCGATTAGCCATTAAAGGAACAGAAGTGAGGTCTATAACTTCCGTACTACTATAGAGAGAAAGAAGCAAAAACACAGGAATTGGAAAACACAGAGATGGGAAATTGCATAGCAGGTGAACGCTACCAAAAAGAAAGGATGTAGAGAATTGTTTAGGCAAAAAAGACTTTAAGGAGAACAGCACTAAAAGGAGCAAAAGAAGTTCCTGATAAAAGGGAAAGTCATCACGAACATATAGATTGTGAATCTTGGTGCCTGCACTACATAGCTTTGAGCCATGTAAATAAACAACCTTTAGAAATCATTTAAGTCCAGAGCTGGGTGCGGTGGCTCATGCCTGTAATCCCAGCACTTTGGGAGGCCAAGGTGAGCAGATCACCTGAGATCAGGAGTTCAAGACCAGCCTGGCCAACATGGTGAAACCCCATCTCTGCTAAAAAAAATTCGAAAATTAGCTGGGTGTGGTGGCGGGTGCCTATAATCCCAGCTACTCGGGAGGATGAGGCTGGAGAATCACTTGAATCCAGGAGGCAGAGGTTGCAGTGATCCGAGATTGCGCCACTGCACTCCAGCCTGGGTGACAGAGCGAGACTCCGTCTCAAAAAAAAAAAAATCATTTAAGTCCAAAACCATGATAAGAGGAATTGGATGAATCCAAAACCATGGTAGGAGACATTAATGTTTCTCTGAAATGCGTAGACGACGTAATCCAAATAAGGTTGTGGAAGATTTTATAACACAGGAAATGAGCATAAACAGAGACAATCTGCTAATATTTGTTGAGCGGTTAATGACTACTAGGCAGTTTTCATAGCACTTGCCTCCTAGTGAAAAGCTTATAACGCAGGCCTCACAGCTGTATGATGAAGTAGCTACTGCTTATCATCTTCCCTGTCTTACAGATGGAGAAACTGAGGCACAGAAAGGTTCCCAGCTAATAAGTGGCTATGCTGAGATTTGAAGCCAGCAGACTGGCTTGTTGAGTGTTCTCTGTTCTTGATGTTATGTTCCACTGGAACTTGGGAGATGCATTTGGGACTGACATCCTCGGACTGCACTTGGCATCAGAACCATCCAGGAACAAGGAAAGCCATCAGAGCCATGAGTGACTGGGGCAGTCAGGTCACCTGGCCCTGATTCTGCGCTCTGCCCTTGATGAGGAGTTGCCTTGCTGGGGCTGTGTTTGACTTGAGAACCAGAGTGCCCATGTTGGTCAGCATTCTCTTAATTGAGCGCTATTGCTTATTAGGGCATGATCTTGCAGGATGCCACCGTTAGCCCAACAGAGTGCCAGGGCAGCAGTGGAGCCGGTACTCAGTCGTTTTGTCAGGTCCAGACAGACCTCAACTGGCTAACAGTGTCAGCAGGAGCTTGTGTATGGAGCTGCCTGCCAGGGACATGCCACATCACACAGTGCTGCCAATGCTGTGCAACACACAGCCACCTTACTTCTAGTTGGCTTGTCACTGGTAATCTGGAACCTCATCTAATAACTGATATGTCGCTACTTAATATCAAACAATCTGAAAGCCACCTGAAATACTGCCATACTTACTAAGCAATATTCTTCTTTAACACAAACTGAAATCAAATATTCACAAAAGTCTGTTATGTTTGTTGTGGGGTGGTTATTTATTTATTTATTTTTAAAGAGATGGGGTTTCGCCATGTTGCCCAGACTGGTCTTGAACTCCTGGGCTCAAGCGACCCACCTGCTTCCGCCTCCCAAAGTGCTGGGATTACAGGCGTGAGCCACCACGCCCATCTTAAAAGTTCGTTATGTATGAAATCACAGAGAAAATCACAGCACACCCAGGAAATTCACGTGGGCCACATTATGCCAATACAGCAAACTAGAAACCAGCAACAACCAAAATAAAACATGTTTCTGAATAACTTTTGAGTGAAGGGTAATCATAGCTGAAATTAGAAGCAATTTAGAAGGAAGTGGCAAGAAGAACATTATATACCAGATGCAGTCATAAAAATACTTAAGAGAAAGAGTGACTTCAGGTGACTTTATTAGAAATAGTGGGCCAGGTGCAGTGGCTCACACCTGTAATCCCAGCAC
Organism: Homo sapiens; assembly: GCF_000001405.40. NCBI lineage: Eukaryota > Metazoa > Chordata > Mammalia > Primates > Hominidae > Homo > Homo sapiens. The sequence continues at coordinate 19,011,410 of NC_000019.10, read as the reverse complement.
TTTGAGAGGCTGAGGCGTATGGCTACCTTGAGCCCAAGAGTTTGAGATCAGCCTAGGCAACATGGTGAAATGTCCTCTCAACCAAAAACACAAAAATTAGCCAGGCGTGGTGGTGCGCGCCTGTAGTCCCAGCTACTGGGGAGGCTGAGGTGGGAGGATCACCTGAACCCAGAAGGTCGAGGCTGCGGTGAGCTGTAATCAACTCATGAAGCTAGAAGGAAAATGATGAAAAAAGTAAAGACACTAGAAGGAGAAGGTTTTTTTTTTTTTTAAAGATAGGGTCTTGCTCTGTTGCCCAGACTGGAGTGCAGTGGTGCAATCACAGCTCACCACAGCCTCTCGACTTCCTGGGCTCAAGTGATCCTCCCACCTTAGCCTCCAGAGTAGCTGGGACTATAGGCATGCACCACCACCCTGGCTAATTTTTTTATTTTGTGGAAATGGGATCTTGTTTTGTTGCCCAGGCTGGTCTTGAACTCCTGGGCTCAAGCAATCCTCCCGCCTCAGCCTCTCAAAGTGCTGGGATTACAGGTGTGAGCCACCACGCCCAGCTGAATATTTTTCTGTTAGTACATGTAGCTCAACCTTCTCTTTACTGTTCTCATCATGATGACTGGGTCATAAGATTTCACACCTGGGCCGCAGGCTCCTTGGTTAATGTTCTCTTGTGGTTCACATCACACTTTCCTTGATGCAGTCAAAAGCTCACCGAGCACTCATCCTGGCTGGGCCATTTAAAAGGTGTCAATTCTGCCTGCCAGGGTGCTATGGCTCCAAGGTGACTGGTTTGTGTTTCCAGGCCATCAAGAGCTGGGAGCTCCCTCACGGCTGCTGCTGATGGAAATCAAGGAGGAACTCAGTTCAAACTCCCGATTGCCCTGTGGTCACTCTTAGCAGGGCAGCTGTCTTGGGCCTAGCTCTGGGTCCTCAGTAGAGCCAGGCAGAGCCTCTGAGACAGGAGAGGACAGTGAGGAGTTGGCCACTTAGAAAGGGTTTGTGTTTGAAGGAACAATTTGGGACCTGGTGGTGTTTTCATAAATGTCCCGTTATGCTTGTTTTGTTATCTAGGTTTTTGTCTGATGAAAATAGTCTGGAGTATAAATATTACAAGCTGAAGTTGGCAGAAATGCAGCGGATGAGCGAGAACTTGCGAGGAGCCGACCAGAAGCCGACCTCAGCAGACTGTGCAGTGAGGGCCATGCTGTACTCCCGGGCTGTCCGCAACCTCAAGAAGAAACTCCTTCCGTGGCAGCGGCGGGGGCTCCTCCGTGCTCAAGGGCTCCGGGGCTGGAAGGCGAGGAGAGCGACCACCGGGACCCAGACCCTCCTATCCTCAGGCACCAGGCTGAAACACCACGGCCGGCAGGCTCCAGGCCTCTCACAGGCAAAACCATCCCTGCCAGACAGAAATGATGCTGCCAAGGACTGCCCGCCAGACCCAGTTGGACCTTCTCCTCAGGACCCCAGCTTAGAAGCCTCAGGCCCATCCCCCAAGCCAGCAGGAGTGGACATCTCTGAAGCACCTCAGACCTCTTCTCCCTGCCCATCTGCTGACAGTGGGTGCTCACTCCTGTCCCCCTCCTCTGGGCCCCAGTCCCTACTCTCCCATCTCCAGGGTCTCTTTAGAATTGGGGGGGCCTGCAATCTAGGCAAGGCAGTGGATAAAAGCTCTAGGGACCTGGCCAGGACAAGTGTACATGTTGGCGCTTTCTCTCTTGCTTTCTTGAGAGAGCTGCATGCGAGTCCTGCAGCTCCCTCCTCCTCTTCTGAGAGCGGAGCTGGTATGAGGTGCTGCCCCATGCCTTCGTGCTCCCCGACAGGGTCCTGCTGCTGGGGCCGTGGGCGGTGCATTGCCTGAACTTGGGATCCCATGTCCTGCTATATCCTGGCCTCCCTTGATAGTCTTCGGGACTGCCTTGTTCTCATTGCGCCTCCTCATCCCCAGGGTCTCCACAGTTCCTGTTCTTGGGGTTCGCTGACCTGCACTGCTTCCTCCGAATCGACTAACTTCACCCCTTCTGTTTCTTCTGTCACCTTAGCTGTTTCTTTCTCTCTGTACCACAGGCCTGCTCTCTGGCCAGTGCTTCCTAAGCACTAAGTGGGAAGGAGAGAGCAAAAAAGTGTCCACAACTGCTGCATTATTTAGGTGTTGCTGTGTCGTGAGCCGTTCCAAACTGTGGCTTAAAACAGGAGGCATCAGCTGGGCGTGGTGGCTCACACTTGTAATCCCAGCACTTTGGGAGGCCAAGGCGGGTGGATTGCCTGAGCTCAGGAGTTCGCAACCAGCCTGGGCAACATGGTGAAACCCGATCTCTACTAAAAATACAAAAAATTAGCTGGGCGTGGTGGCACATGCCTGTAGTCCCAGCTACTCGGGAGGCTGAGCTAGGAGAATCGCTTGAACCCGGGAGGCGGAGGTTGCATTGAGCCAAGATCTCACCACTGCACTCCAGCCTGGGCGACAGAGCAAGACTCCATCTCAAAAAAAAACCAAACAAACCAACCAGGAGGCGTCCGGTATTGTGAATTTGCCAGTGGCTGGGTCATCTGCTGAGCTAGCCCACACATGTCTGCGGTCAGTGGCAGGTGTCCAGGCTGTCAGCTGAGATGATGGTGTGGCTGGGCCACATGCCTGTCATCCCCCCAGCAGCCAGCCCATGTTTGTTCACCTGGCAATTGGGGTTGGGGCTTCAGGAGAGACAGTGGAAGTACTCAAGTCCTCCAAGGCCCAGGCTTGGAACTGGCAATGGGCTTTTCCACCACATTCTATAGCTGATGTGAGTCCCAGGACCAGCCCTGATTCAAGGTGGGGATACACAGAGTTCACTTCTTGGTGACAAAGGGTCCACATGTGACGAAGGGCAAGGCTACAGGGAGGGGACATGCAGGCCATCTTTATAATCAGCCTCCACAACCCTGCAGTGTTTACACGGGGAGCAGCAGCTCAGGAGTCATGCCTGACAGGTGCTTTATGTTTTGTAGTTGACATGAAGACAATGGAGACTGCAGAGAAACTGGCTAGATTTGTTGCTCAGGTGGGACCAGAGATCGAACAATTCAGCATAGAAAACAGCACCGATAACCCTGACCTGTGGTACGTACCCCCCCGGGTCTCATCACACCTTTTTCTTTCTCAGAGAGACAAAGTCTAAGGATGTTGCTTAGGCTGGATTTGAATTCCTGGGCTCAAGTGATCCTCCTGTTTCAGCCTCCAGAGTAGCTGGGACCACAGGTGTGCTCCACTGCAACTGGCCATTACACCCTTTAGATTTGAGTGTGTTCACGCCACAAGCATGTCCTGAGCCAGCCCACAGCCTGGCCAATGCATTCCTACTATGGGGGTTATACCAGGAGTAAGTCATGACTTCACTTCAGCTGAGCCAGGGGCCTAAGGGAGAAAGATCTGTTCTAATCACCCGAGTTCAGGAGTTCGAGACCAGCCTGGCCACCATGCTAAAACCCCATCTCTACAAAAATACAAAAATTAGCCGGGCATGGTGGCAAGCACCTGTAATCCCAGCTGCTTGGGAGGCTGAGGCATGAGAATCGCTTAAACCCGGGAGGCGGAGGTTTCAGTGAGCTGAGATTGAGCCACTGCATTCCAGCCTGGGCAACAGAGCGAGACTTCATCTCCAAAAAAAAAAAAAAAAAAAAAGGCTAGGTGCAATGGCTCATGCTTGTAATCCCCGCACTTTGGGAGGCTGAGGCGGGTGGATCATGAGGTCAGGCATTTGAGACCAGCCTTGCCAACATAGTGAAACCCCGTCTCTATACTAAAAATAAAAAAAATTAGCCGGGTGTAGTGGCAGGTGCCTGTAATCCCAGCTACTCGGGGGAGGCTGAGGCAGGAGAATTGCTTGAACCTGGGAGGCGGAGGTTGCAGTGAGCCGAGATCGCGCCATTGCACTCCAGCCTGGGCAACAAGAGTGAAACTCCATCTCAAAAAAAAAAAATCTGTTCTAGGGGACCTGCCTTCATCTCGGGCATCAGGAAAAACCTCCCCAGAGGGACATTTAATCTGCATCCAAAGGCTAAATAGGAGTTGGCCAGGGGAGGGGAGAGAGGTGAGGATTTGCTGCTCACTGCATGATAGTAGTGATAGTCAGCCCTTGCCCAGGTCTGACAGCAGGCACTTCTACACAGGGATAAGGTGGCGTGCTCATGCTGGGAGCAGGTACCTTTGCCCTCTCCATTCCTTGGATAGGTGGAGCTCAGCTCAAAAGCACACAGCCCATAGGCAAGAAAACCTGGGTGAGGAGCCAGCACTGCCCCTGGGGTTTTTCCCCGGGGTGACATGAGATGTCCCCTCCAGAGAAAGGCTGCCGGTAGGAGGCACCCATCTTCCCATTACTGAGCCAGAACCCTACTGAGGGGGCTCTCAACTCCTCGTGCTGGTCCTAGCTTGTTGGACAGTCATGCCTTCATCCAGTTAAAATTACAGTTGAAAACGTGCATTTCTCAGAGCATTTATGGGATTCAGTGGTGACAGAACATACTCTTTCAACTTGCTTGGGACCTGATTGCACAAGCCAAGCCCTACTCCCCTCCGCAGCCTTGGCTTATGACTGGGTCCTGCACTAAGGTACCACCTGCCTTGTGGGGCACTGACCACCTACAGACGGGAAGCCTGACCAGGCTTACAGTCAGGTTTTGCCTTTTACAGGCAGTAGTGGCCTTGGGGAGCTGCTGGGCCCTGTAGACCTCGGGGTCGGACCTGTCCACTGTGTATGTGGGATTTCCTCTGGCAGGGTTGGATAAGGAGGACAGCTCAGTGCAGGGCAGCTGGGGGCATCCCATGAGTCCTTTTTTCTTTTTCACTTTCTTTTTTTTCAATGAAAAGTACAGTTTAAAGGAGAATTTTGCATTAGCCTGGGTACTTGGGCTGTAGTACTTGTTGGGTTTTGGGTGATTCCTCCCCATCTGTGACAGCCTTTTCTGAGCAGTGTCCTTCAGAGTACTCTGTCCTGTCCTTCCCTGGAAGGAGAGCCCTGGATCCTGACCACAATACTGGGCAAGGTGTTGGACGCTATCCAGCCATGCTTGTAAATGGGCCAAGATGACTTTGTGTTTCTTTTGCCTTTAGAAAAAATTTAATTCTAATGTGCTCAAGCTTATTGAGTTAATTCATTTTGTGGGTGTGGTTATGTTATAAAGTTGTCATACAATCCGTTTTATTTATTTATTTATTTTTGAGACGGAATTTCACTCTGTCGCCCAAGCTGGAGTGCAGTGGTGTGATCTCAGCTCACTGCAACCTCCGCCTCTCGGGTTCAAGCGATTCTCCTGCCTCAGATTCCCAAGTAGCTGGGATTACAGGTGTCACCCAGCTAATTTTTGTATTTTTAGTAGAGACGGGGTTTCACCATGTTGGCCAGGCTAGTCTTGGATTCCTGACCTCAGGTGATCTGCCTGCCTCAGCCTCCCAAAATGTGCTGGGAGGCATGAGCCACCATGCCCGGCCCAGATTCATTTGTTTCTGCTGATATTTAGTTGTATGTGTGTGTGGTGTGTGTGTGTGGTGTGTGTGTGTGTGTGTGTGTGTGTGTGTGTGTGTGTGTGTGTGTGTTTGTTAGCCTGGTATAGTGGCATTTGCCTGTGGTCCTAACTACTTGGGTGGCTGATGTAGGAAGATTTCTTGAGCCCAGGAGTTTGAGGCTGCAGTGAGCTGTGATCACACCACTGCACTCTAGCCTGGACGACAGAGTGAGACCCCATCTCTAAAAATGTGTAATAATAATTATAAAGCCGTCCAGCTTTTCCAATACCATTCTTTGAAAGACCCACCCCTTTTTTGTAGTAGTTTGAGAGGTTACCTTAATCAAATGCTGGGTTTCTGGTCTTTCTATTCTGTTCCTTTGGTCTGCCTTATGGACTACTATGCTGTTTAACTCTAGAGGCTTTGGGGCATTTTATAGTGCTTGGTGGGGCTGGAACCCCTTATGAGTCTTGTTCAGAGTTTTCCCAGATACTCTTACATATTATTTTTCTTTATGAACTTTAGAACCATCTTGCCCTGATTCAGAATGGGATTTTATTGGGATATATTAATATGCTAACTGGGGGGACTTGGCACATTTATGAGGTTGAGTTGCCTTACGAGGGCCATTTTTCCTTTGGTCCAAGTGGACTTTGGTGCTTTCGGGAGTGTTTCAAGTTTCTCATACCAGCCACAGCTTCATAGCTGTGGTTACAAGTCGAGGTGGCCACCAGACCCCTGAGGCACAGAGAGGCCTCATCTCCACGCCCATGTAGGTGGACTGCAGGCCCCAGAGCGGGAAGTGCTAGGGGTGAGGAGCCTCCTCGGGGGGCACCTTACGGTTCCATGGTGCACATGTTCCAGCAGTAACTGTGCAGCTCCTCCTGGCATCGCTCCATGCTTCTCATACCTGGGAGGAACCAGAGTCAAAATGGGCACATGGAGGCCCAGAGAGGCCAGTGATGTAACCAGAAAGGGTGAGATGGGTCTCAAGCCAGATCTCTATTCCAGCATTTTCCCAAGCCCTGCATACCTTGTTCGTCCGCCTCTGTCCCCTGGAAAGCAGTTAGGCTTCTTGAATTCTAGCTCCTTATTAAGTTACTAGTACTCCTCAAATTTTCTATCATTGAGAGGCTGCACCATCAAGCCATAGCCGCGTAGAGACTGGTCAGGTTATTCTTTCCCTTGTCCCACCTCCACCTTCCTTGGATCAATCCCAGCAGTTTCAGCAAATAAAAATGTTGAGAGATTCCATCTGGTTACCCAATGTATTTCCTCTGTGCCCCAGGTTTCTACATGACCAAAATAGTTCTGCTTTCAAATTCTATCGAAAGAAAGTGTTTGAACTATGTCCATCAATTTGTTTCACGTCATCTCCGCACAACCTTCACACTGGTGGTGGTGACACCACGGGTTCTCAGGAGAGCCCCGTGGACCTCATGGAAGGGGAAGCAGAGTTTGAAGACGAGCCCCCTCCGCGGGAGGCTGAGCTGGAGAGCCCAGAGGTGATGCCTGAGGAGGAGGACGAGGACGATGAGGATGGGGGAGAGGAGGCCCCCGCTCCTGGAGGGGCGGGCAAGTCTGAGGGCAGCACCCCTGCCGACGGCCTTCCCGGCGAGGCTGCCGAGGACGACCTGGCTGGAGCACCTGCCTTGTCACAGGCCTCCTCAGGTACCTGCTTCCCTCGGAAGAGGATCAGCAGCAAGTCATTGAAGGTTGGCATGATTCCAGCTCCCAAGAGAGTGTGTCTCATCCAGGAGCCAAAAGGTGAGTGCCCGCCTGTCGGCACAGTTGCCTCTAGCACAGTTCTTGGTTGGTGGGCTGTGAGAGTTAGAAGAGACAGGTGGAGACATTTTAATCCAAAAGAGTTTTGTGCACCACTCCAAAATGTGAGCCGACACTCATGTTTCCCAGTGGTCTGAAGGCATTGCTCTAAGGACATGTTTCCTTGCTACCCTGTGGCTTCTGGCACTCTACTTGCTGCTGGACATTTCCCTGATTGCCTGGATTCAGGTCGGGGCATCCCCAACTGTGGAGGGGATGGGCCTGGGTCATCTCAGCTGTTTTCCTGCCTGTGACTTTGTCAGCTGGGGGCCCTTCTGAGCCCCTGGAAGGCCCAGGGTGCTGATAAGCTGCTTCATGTCATGACAGTGAGATGGGAACAGAGCAGGGGTGGTCCCAGGCAGTGGTCAGTGGGACCTGCCTCGGCCATGAGAGGCCATCTCCTGCTCTCCTGTGGGGAGGTTCCGGGTTCTTGAGGTATAATTTACCAGCAGTGAAACGCACCCTTTTCAAGTGGACCATTTGAATTTTGTTGACTGTGCAGAGGCGAGAACCCACCAGTACAGCAGAGCTGAAGCCTGTTCCCAGAACGGGTCTCTTGTCCCATTGCAGTCCCCTGCCCGATTCAGCAACCACTGACTGTTTTCCAAGCCCCAGGTATTCTATCTTTCCTAGTCTGTCAGTACATAGAATTGCATCGCATGTGGCCTTTTGATGGGCACGCCGTGGCCCAGATGACTCCTGTGCCCCCAATGCCCTCCAAGCTGTCTCCCCACAGTCAGGCCTGGACCGTGCTTTCACATGGGACTTCTGCTGCAAAACCTATGTGTGAAGTTGTAGTGAATGGTGCCCCATTGTGGGACTGTGTTAAACAGTCACCTGTGTGTTCTACATCATTCAGACAGTCACATTTACATGTGACAGTGGCCTTATGGTTTTTCCTGCTTTGGAATAGTCCTCATGTTTTGTGTTTGAAAAATTTGGTGTTGCAGTGAAATGCTAACCATTCTACTATAACCTTTACCATCCTTCAAAACTTCTCATGGGGCCAGGCGCAGTGGCTCGTGCCTGTAATCCCAGCTTAGCGGGACTGAGGCAAGAGGATCGCTTGAGCCCGGGAGCTTGAGACCAGCCTGGGCAAGATGGCCAGACCTAATCTTTACAAGAAAAAAAAATTAATGTAAAAAAAATGAAGTAAATAATTAAACTTGTCACGGATGGCAGGTAGTGTATCAGAGTGCTTGTTATGTATGCTCTTCTTGGGGGGAGGTGGAGTTTTTTATTTCTGCATTAGAAGCTCTCAGTTCTTTGGGTAGTTGATGAGATAAAAACCAGACCTGCGCCGGGTGTGCTGGCTCACACCTGTAATCCCAGCACTCTGGGAGGCCAAGGCGGGAGGATCGCCTTTGGTCGGGAGTTTGAGACCAGCCTGACCAACATGGAGATATCCCATCTCTACTAAAAATACAGAATTAGCGAGGCGTGGTGACGCATTCCTGAAATCCCAGCTACTCGGGAGGCTGAGGCTGGAGAATCGCTTGAACCTGGGAGGTGAAGGTTGCAGTGAGCTGAGATCACACCACTGCACTCCAGCCTGGGCAACAAGAGCGAAACTGTGTCTCAAAAAAAAAAAAAAAAAAAAAAAAACAGACTTGCTAATCTCCCTTTCATAAAAAATAGAATAAAATGATATGATGTGGTTCTCTATATGAGAAGCATGGTTGTTTTTCACTAGAAAGTTTTAGGCAGACTTTAATTCTTTTTTTTTTTTTGAGATGGACTCTTGTTCTTGTCGCCCAGGCTGGAGTGCAGTGGCACAATCTCGGCTCACTACAACCTCTGCCTCCCGGGTTCAAGTTATTCTCCTGCCTCAGCCTCCTGAATAGCTGGGATTGCAGGCTCCCGCCACCACGCCTGGCTAGTTTTTGTACTTTTAGTAGAGACGGGGTTTCGCCATGCTGGCCAGGCTGGTCTCGAACTCCTAACCTCGGGTGATCCGCCCATCTCGGCCTCCCAAAGTGATGGGATTACAGGCATGAGCCACTGCGCCTGGCCAGACTTTAATTATTTCCCAGTGAATTAGCTGCAGATAAACTAGGAGGGCACAGTATCACAAATATTTTGTTGAAGCAAAATATATTTCTGTAGTCATGGAAAATAATCCATGTATTGGATCTTTTGTTATAAATGTGGGGACTCTTAGGTTTGAATAGACTTTCCAAAAGCAAGGCACCGCTCAGTGAACCCTTCATTATGGCCCAAGCTGCCTACCCTGAGCGTGTCCCGTCTCTGCTCACTCCAGGGGTCATACATGTTCATTCTTGAGAGGAGCTGGGGCTCAGCAGCTGCCATGCAGAGCCTAAGACACCTTCTGTCATCAGAGAACTGTTAGCCAAAATAGACTGCAAGATCTTCAGTCTCTAAGTAATTTAGGAAAAGCACATGTATGTGTATGTGTCTCTTTCTTTTGTCTTCTAGTCCATGAACCAGTTCGAATTGCCTATGACAGGCCTCGGGGTCGTCCCATGTCCAAAAAGAAGGTGAGCGTAATCATTGGTAGTCCTCACTCAAAGTATAGTTGGTTAGAATTTGTTGGAGTTCCAAAGGATGCTGCAGCTTGTGATTAAGCTGTGCTAACATTTCAAACTGAGGTATTAATGTGTAAAACACAACAGAGACTTTTCTCTTGGGAGGGCTTTTGAAAACTGTTTTGCCTTTGTCCAAAGCATAGACTAGTGATTCATCTGTGTAATGGATAGTTGAGATCCCTGTAATGGATGCAGTGGGATTTGAGAGATAAACGAGATAATGTCTTGGCCCTTAAGAAGTTCAAGCTAGGCCAGGTGTGGTGGCTCACGCCTGTAATCCCAGCACTTTGGGAGGCAGAGGGCGGGTGGATCACAAGGTCAGGAGATCGAGACCATCCTGGCTAACACGATGAAACCCCGTCTCTACTAAAAATACAAAAAATTAGCCGGGCATGGTGGCAGGCGCCTGTAGTCCCAGCCACTCAGGAGGCTGAGGCAGGAGAATGGCATGAATCTGGGAGGCAGAGCTTGCAGTGAGCCGAGATCGCGCCACTGCACTCCAGCCTGGGCGACAGAGTGAGACTCCGTCTCAAAAAAAAAAAAAAAAGAAGTTCAAGCTAAGGCCGATTGGGTGTCTTACACTTGTGATCCCAGCAGTTTAGGAGGCCAAAGTGGGCAGATCGCTTGAGTCCAAGAGTTTAAGACCAGCCTGGGCAATAGGCAAAACCCTGTCTCTGCAAAAAATACAAAAATTAGTTGGGCATGGTGGTGCATGCCTGTAGTCCCAGCTACTCTGGAGGCTGAGGTGGAAGGATCATTTGGGCCTGAGAGGTCGTGGCTGCAGTGAGCTGATTGCACCACTGCACCCCAGCTTGGGCGACAGACTGAGAGCCTGTCTCAAAAAAAAAAAAAAAGTTCAAGTTATCCAGGTGCACTGATTCACGCCTGTAATCCCAGTGCTTTGGGAGGCCAAGACAGGGGGATCACTTGAGCCCAGGAGTTTGAGGCCAGCCTGGGCAACATAGTGAGACCTATGTCTCCTCCTGGTCTCCTTAAAAAATAAAACATAAAAACTTACAAGCTTAGTAGACTGGAAGGGTGGTGAAGAGAGTTCACTAATCTGCTAGTAAGCAGAGCGTGGTGTGTGCGGTCAGCACCTCCTACGTGCCAGGTCCCGACTGTCCACCTGGAGGCAGCAGCAAGCAGGGCCAACAGTGAAAGAGAAATGGATGAGGCAGTCCTGGGGATGCTGTGGGCAAAGAGAAGCAGGTCAAAGAGAGGGAGAATAAGGTGGGGTCGAGGGGATGCCGCTGAATTGGGAAAGCCAAGGGAGGTCTCTCTTGCAGATGACGTTGGCACAAGCCTGGAGGAGCTGAGGAGAAACAGTGTAGAGATCTGAGAAGGGCACAGCCTCGGTAGAGAGGCTGGGGCAGCAAGAGGCCTTTGTGGCAGCAGAGGAATCCGGGGGGTGGTCACACAGGACCTCAACAGATGTTAACGCTGTGGCCCTTTCTCAGGGAAGGGAGGGTACCTCTGGGACCTGTGGTGGATGTGGCCACTAGGGTGGAGAGCAGCCTGTGGGCGGGAACCAGGAGGAGGCTCAAACTTAAGACAGTTGGACCAGGGCATGAGGAGCAATGAGAAGGGGAGAAGATGGAGTGGGTGACACCTGCTTGTGGGCTGGGTGTGCAAAAGCCAGGAGTCCAGATGACCCCAGGGTTGTCAGCTTGGGCAGAAGAGGGACAGAACTGCCATTCACTGACCTGGAGCCAGGTTATGGAAAGGGGGCAGGTACACTCCAGATGGCCTGGGGGACACAGTGCTGGGGGCAAGCAGGGTCACCTGGGACACATGTGGAGAGACTTCACCAGTCCTTCATGGTCAGGGAGGAGGGCGGGGAGCCAGGCGAGATCGCTCTGCTGGTGTCAGGCAGTGCCATGTTGCTTCCAACCCCTTCCGAGTGACCTAGGTCAGTCTGACCCCAATTATGGCAGGAAGGAGGGACCTTCCCGAGTCCAGAGCTCATAGTCCTTACTGATGTGCCAGGTTTTAGGCTGAGCTGGCATCTGGTGCCCCTTGGTGTGGCCTGGATAAGGGCACGGCCAGATGAGGGCACAGCAGGACCTTGGTGTCAGGCACAGCTGTACTCTAGCTCAGCCCTGCCACCGAGTAGTTTTGTAACCTTGGCGTGTAACCCCTGAGCCACGGATTTGTCTGTAAAATGGGATGGCCACACTTACCCAGCAGGTAGGAGGTACAGTGAGGATTAAACTGAACGCGGTTCCTGGTGGGTGTCCTGCACATGCTGCTGTCTCCTTGGGGCTCTGCACCTGTCCTCCTGTCTGCCAGTGACTGTGGGTGGAAGGGAGGCCGTGGTGGCTGCAGCTTTCCTCTGCAAACCTCCACCTCGCCCACAGGGCTTGGCTTTCCTCCAGCTGTCCAGGAAACCACCATCATGATTGTTAAACACAGATTTGAACATTCACGAAGAAACTTCCAGGCTGAGCCAAACCCTCTTCCTCCCACTGCACCTCCAAGCAGCCTTCCTGAAAGGGAAAAGAGTACAGACCTGCCCTCTGGGGACCCCTGTGCCCTGCCATGACCAGCCTTTCCCCTTCCTTCCCTACCCGTCATCCCAGGGCCCAGGTCGTGCACAGCTCCCAGAAGGGCCTGACGGATGCCCCGTTTCTCATCTCAGCCGGTGGGTTCTGTCACCTCTTTTCTCCAGGCCACTTTCTCATGGCAAGGGGCCCCCCAGTGTAGCAGGTCCTGTCTGGTGTCCCCTGGTTTGCAGGGGTGTCTCTTCACTGTTTGTGCCCCTCTTCCTGTCCCAGCCCATAGCATAGCTCCTCCCTTCATACCTCCCCTCCTTAACTGCCCTGCAGAGACACTTCTGCCCACACCGCCTCACCAAGACCACCTCATGCCATTATGGAGGGGCCGCCTGCATCCAGTAACTCACGCACACACACAAGATACACACATGTGCACGCATATGCACACACACATGCATACACACACGCACACACACATGCATACACACACACAGCTACTTTATATAATACCCTCGGAGATGCCTCTGAAGAGAACAAAGGGAATTTCCCTCCGCCTTTGAAGGTCCAAGTCTAAGCCTGTTGAAATGAACTGACAATAAGAAGATTAACAGGATAAAAAAAGGTGTGCGGTGGCTTACACCTGTAATCCCGGGACTTTGGAAGGCCAAGGCAGGGGGATCACTTGAGCCCGGGAGTTCAAGACTGCAGTGAGCCATGATGGAGCCACTGCACTCCAGCCTGGGTGACAGAGCAAGATCCTGTCTTGAAACAAAAAAGTTATACATATTTATTCACGTGCATAAGCACAGGAGCCATATAAAACATTATGAAAACTCAAAGAAGGGCCAGGTGGTTGAAGCTGAAATACCTCTTTGTAGGGGAGAGGGCAGATGGGAGGCTGTAGGTAACTTTAGAGGGGAAGCAGATGATTTTAGGAGAGATGAATGGAGGCAGGCATCATCTTGTGAATGATCCTCATTGAGAATTGAATGGGACTAGAGAACAGCCAGTGGTCTGGGCTCTAGGTGTGGTGTTTAATGTTCCATCTCTTCTTGTGTGATAGGAGTTTTCAACTCTGGTTAATGACATTTCAGGGAAGGGATCCAAGGCCCTTGTGTTCTTCTTTGGCAAGTCCAGTTTCTAGGTAGATAGGGAACTTGAAGAAAACAGCTTCCTCCTGTGCTTTGGGAGGGACCTTGAGGCTGCTACTTTAGTCCCACCTGTCAAAGTGCTATAATTCGGGGTATCGCTTTCTTTCTTTCTTTCTTTTTTTTTTTTTTTTTTTTTGAGACGGAGTCTCCCTTTGTCGCCAAGGCTGGAGTGCAATGGCATGATCTCAACTCACTGCAACCTCTGCCTCCCAGGTTCAAGGGATTCTCCTGCCTCAGCCTCCAGAGTAGCTGGGATTACAGGGGCGTGCCACCACACCTGGCTAATTTTTGTATTTTTAGTAGAGATGGGGATTCACCATGTTGGTCAGGCTGGTCTCAAACTCCTGACATCGTGATCCACGCACCTTGGCCTCCCAAAGTGCTGGGACTACAGGCGTGAGCCACCGCGCCCAGCCTTAGGGTATCCGTTTCTGACCCCCTACATCTTGCTGCATGTTGAGTTCTCAGCACCTCTCCAGGTTGTTTTGTCCCTTTCTAGGGTGAGAACACTGAGGCCCCAGGAGCTCCAGAGGCCCAGGCCTTCCTTATGGGAGCACTTGCTCTCTCCTCCCTCCCTCCCTCCTGACCTGAGGCCCTGCTCTCTCCCTTCTCCCTTTCCTCTCCCAGCCCCTGGCTCCCCCAGGCTCAGCCTTTTGTGCCTTGTCTCCAAGCTCCTTTGTCTCTGGAGTGCCTCCCACATGCACCCCTAACGTTAGGGAAGCTGATTCCTGGGCACCTCAATGCAGATGGCAAGGGGGGGATTTGTCTTTTGGTTGAATTATACCTCGTGAGGCCTGCATGACATCATGGGGCAGGTTGCTAAGCTGATGAGGGCTGACTGCCCAAAGACCTGAGCTCACAGCACTCAGCATGCCCTTCTCACCCTGCTTCCCATGCCCAGGGTCATCTAACCCTCTCCCAGCCACTCCCACCTGTCCCCTGCTCAGACCCCCAGCACCAGCCCCCGTGATCCTCCTCAGCACCTTCCTCCCTCCCTCTCAAGAGCACATGAACCCTCACAGCCTCCCCAGGTCGTTCAGTAAATGCCTTAAATAAATACATCAGCCAGGCGCAGTGGCTCATGCCTGTAATCCCAGCACTTTGTGAGGCTGAGGCGGGCAGATCAGCTGAGGTCAGGAGTTTGATCAAGACCAGCATGGTTAACATGGCGAAACCCCGTCTCTACTAAAAATACAAAAATAGGTGGGCGTGGTGGCACACGCCTGTAATCTCAGCTACTCGGGAGGCTGAAGCAGGAGAATCGCTTGAACCCAGGAGGCGGAGGTTACAATGAGTTGAGATTGCATCACTGCACTCCAGCCTGGGCAACAGAGCAAGACTCCGTCTTAAAAAAAAAAAAACATCAAAAGCTGGGTGCAGTGGCACATACCTATAGTTCCAGTTAATGGGGAGACTGAGGTGGGAGGATCACTTAAAGCCGGGAATCCGAGACCAGCCTGGGCAACATAGCAAGACTCTATATTTAAAAAAAACACACACAAGTTTTGTATTTTGTTTCTTTTTTTAGACAGTCTCATTGTGTTGCCCAGGCTGGAATGCAGTGGCACGGTCTCCGCTCACTGCAACCTCTGCCTCCCAGGTTCAGGCGATTCTCATGCCTCCGCCTCACAAGTAGCTGGGATTACAGGTGCCTGCCACCATGCCTGGCTAATTTTTGTATTTTAGTAGAGACGGGGTTTTGCCACGTTGGCCAGGCTGGTCTGGAACTCCTGACCTCCAGTGATCCACCCACCTCGGCCTCCCAAACTGCTGAGATTACAGGCATGAGCCACCACGCCCAGCCCACCCACACAAGTTGACTCGTGAAGAGCCAAGGAATACATGGCAAGGTCTTGGACTGCCCAGCTGGGCTCTGTCACACAGCAGTGTGTCATGAATATTCATGAGTGAATAGAAATTCCTTCTGCTACAGCCCTGCAGGCTCCTCCTCCAGAGGCCCCAGGGCCCTGTCTGTCTCCAGATCTCCATCTAGTGGCCCAGAGATTGCTGCACTTCCCCACCACCCACAGGAGCAATCAACAGCTGTACTAGCTCTCAGTGAGGTCTGCTCTGTGCTAGACACAGACCCCAATGTCCAAGTAGAACTCAGTCCTGAGGACAGACAGACAATGCAGCCAGGGAGTGAATGAAGCACTCGGGGAGGGGTATGTTGGGGTGGTTCAGGGAGGGTGCTGCCAGCCAGTTCTCACCCACTGTCTGGCCCCCATCCTGCCTGCAGGCCTGTGCCCTGGTGCCCCCCACTCTTCCCTGGGCTGCGCCCTGTGGTCATCACAGGGCCACCCTTCTTTATCCAGGGTTCCGCTGAGGGCCTTCCTACTGACTCCTTGACCCCGGGACTGGCCATTCCCTTACCCAGTTTTCCTCACAGTCTTGGCACCAGGGTTATAGTGGTAGCTGAGAGGCACGACTGACCTCAGGCCAGTGACCTCTGACTTAGAAGTTCCATCCCACCCAGGGATGTTGCAGAGAACTGGGGAAGTGACTGGAGCTTGAGCCTGAGCATCTGGGGAGTCAGGAGGGCATTTGGGGGTGAGGGGCTCCAGGCATAGCCTAGGACAGACCCTTGATCCAGGCATCTCCCTGTGGCCCACATGCCTGGACTCTCCTCTCTCCTCAGAAACCCAAGGACTTGGACTTCGCCCAGCAGAAGCTGACCGATAAGAACCTGGGCTTCCAGATGCTGCAGAAGATGGGCTGGAAGGAGGGCCATGGCCTGGGCTCCCTCGGAAAGGGCATCAGGGAGCCGGTCAGCGTGTACGCAGCAGGCAGCCTGGGGTGGGAGTGGGTGGGGCCTCAGTCCTTCCACCTGCAGCCTGCCGCTTGGCTCCTTCACAGCCAAGATGGCTTACAGCTGGCAGTTGATTTTTGTTTTTTAAACAGAAGGCATCTTCAGATGAGAAGCTGATCATTTACATGTGCAGGTGTTTACAGGGCTCCTTTCTGTCCTGGTGTAGATTTTTTAACCAGCTTGTTGGCCCTGGTCATTTTGGCCACATTTGTGACCATCATAAAAGCTAAGTGGTATTTCTGTGTAGTTTCCGTCTGGAACTGCTTTCCCATTCCCGGGAACCCATAGCCGGGCCAGCCAGGGTCCCGAACACAGGCCCAAAGTTTATTAAACCCCGATCATAACCTCCAGCAGGCATTTCATTTAATACTGAGCTTAGTTCCTGCTGGGTAAGGCATTCCGAGGTAACCAGGGCCCTCTGGGCACCCCCTCAAAAGCCAGCTCTTCGAGGGTGAGTACTCCTTGTTTCTACTGTGAGTCGCGTCTTGATTTTCCCTTTCTTTGATGTCTCAGTGTGTGTCCCAAACACCTGCATCTCATGGACTGTTTGTGCCCATGCCCAGTTCCTGGCATGCCAGGCCCTGGGCTCAGGTGCACAACTGACTCTCTTTTTCACTCCCTAGGGGAACCCCCTCGGAAGGGGAAGGGTTGGGTGCTGACGGGCAGGAGCACAAAGAAGACACATTCGATGTGTTCCGACAGAGGATGATGCAGATGTACAGACACAAGCGGGCCAACAAATAGGTATGTTCACAGGCCAGTGTGTAAGGCCGTCTGCCCTCGCTGGCGTGCTGGTATGCAGAGAAATTTCCCCCAACAAAGTTGATGTTCCCTGCTCCCCCAAAAATGCCACACACAAAAAAAATCACAAAATTCTGTGAGGGAAACAAAAGGGTCTATGGATGTGGATATGCCCCATTCTTACCTTCCAGGTTTGCTGAAGGAGCAAACCTCACACTGGCCAAGGGCAGATGCGCATGGCCTGCCTGGTGCCCCGGCTGTGAGCCCCTCAAGGCCTCCAGGCCAGCCTCCGTGGATGTGCGTGTGGAAATAGGCCACGCCTGTCTCTTCTCTTGCTCAAGTTTTCTCTCACAGATGACAGCCACCTACCACATAACATGACCAGCAAACGGACTGTTCCTAGTCCAGAGGGCCTTGCCATCATGCAAGTGGAAGGGCGACTGTGACAGCCACTGCCACAGAGGATGGCAGTTGGCTGTGTCCCTTTGTGAGGGTCTTCAAATCCTTTTCCTTCTGCAGGGCCTTGGGCCTGTAAATATCCTCATCTTTCTATTCTTTTTTTTTTTTAGTTGCCCCCTCACCTAATTTCCACCTCAGTTTTGAACAAAATCGTTCTCTTCCTGAATAGATCAAAACCACTGATGTGAAAGATAAGCCTTGAAGCAGCAATTGCCCTTAAAACATCATCCCTGCCCTGGATCGGCCTGGAGCCAGTGCCCAAGTACGGTTTGGTGTGTACATGAAAACAAACGTCTCTGCAGTCTCTGGGGCGGAGGTTTCGCTGGCTTTTCTTTCTCTCAAAGAAAAAAACATGCACCATTTTCAATGTGCTTTTGCCTCTCCTCTCTGTTCACATGCTTTTAGCAGCAAGTCCCCTCCAAATCTGTCTTGGTTCCCCTTCAGAAGGTGGCGCTGCCCCCGAAAGGCACCTCAGCCTGTGAGTGCTGAGGAACCAGCTCCTCTGGCTGATTTTCCAGTTGGACTGGCCATTGCTCTCCAGAAGTGCTCTGTTAGCAAACGTGATGTGGAAACGATCACAGATGGTGTTTTCTCGTTGTTCGCCAGAATTTATACGGGGGAGACAAATTCCCGGTAATTACCAAGTCTGCACTCGGGTACCAAAGCTCTGAAGCTCTCTGAACAGTTGCCATACTTGAGTTGATGAATGTGTTATTCATGGTGTCTCATCTCATCAATGCATCTTGAGAGACTTAATGAAATTTTAGCAACAGTATAGAATAGCTCTATCGGGTGGGGAGTAATCATTAAACAGATGAAATCGGCCCCAGATTTACATGTCTCTTTAGAATCCACAGTGTAAGCAAACTACAGTTACAAAGGGATGGGGGTTGTAAACCCTCTGAGACTCTGCACTTTTCGCACGTATGGCATCGTCAAGTGCTGTCTTATTACAGCCTTTGTAAGGAGAGGCAGGCTCCTCCTGGGGTGGGCTCTGCAGCTGCTCTATTTCCAGGCATGTGATCGCCCCCGCTCTCCAGATTCCCCAGCACTCTGCTGCGTGTAACTCCACTCAATTCTCCACTCATCCTTCCTTGTGAAGCAGGATCGTTGAAGTTTTAAGTATGGGCAAAAATCTGGAAAACTTAGGATCCCTCTGACACCCCAGGATTAGGGGACACAGCAGTGGCTAGGGCATCAGCCACAGAACTGAGCGGGAAATGCCACTTGTATTGGCTGTAAAGAAATCCTGGCTTTGGGCCAGGCACAGTGGCTCAAGCCTGTAATCCCAGCACTTTAGGAGGTTGAGGCGGATGGATCACCTGAGGTCAGGAGTTTGAGACCAGCCTGGCCAACATGGTGTAACCCCGTCTCTACTAAAAATACAAAAAAATTAGCCAGGCGTGGTAGCGGGCACCTGTAATCCCAGCTACTCAGGAGGCTGAGGCAGGAGAATCACTTGAACCGGGGAGGCAGAGGTTGCAGTGAGCTGAGATCATGCCACTCCACTCCAGCCTGGGCGACAGAGCAAGACTCCATCTCCAAAAAAAAAAAAAAAAAAGGCCGGCACGGTGACTCACGCCTATAATTCCAGCACTTTGGGAGGCCGAGGCAGGTGGATCACGAGGTCAAGAGATCGAGACCATCCTGGCCAACATGGTGAAACCCTGTCTCTACTAAAAATGCAAAAAATTAGCTGGGCGTGGTGGCGGGCGCTTGTAGTCCCAGCTACTCAGGAGGCTGAGGCAGGAGAATCACTTGAACCCGGGAGGCGGAGGTTGCAGTGAGCCGAGATTGTGCCACCGCACTCCAGCCTGGCAACAGAGCGAGACTCTGTCTCAAAAAAAAAAAAGGAAATCCTGGCTTTCTTTAAGCCACAGACTTCCTAGGCTGTGGTCCCAGCTCCTTGTCTGCCTGGTCCCTGTCACCTTGCAGTGCCACCACCCCCAGGGGCTCTGCTTGCTTCCAGTGGCTTCTGTAGCTTTGGCAACTGGCAGATCTTTATGGCAGTAGAGGTGCCAGCATGGAGGATGGAGTTTGGGTTTATAACCCAACCCTCGAACGAACCAGCCTGTGGGGGCCTGGAGTGGAGCTGGTTTTGGGGAGTCACAGGTGCGGGGGGTTCATCTTCTCCTTTCTCCTTCTCCTTTCCTGACCCCTCCGACAGCTTCCATGTTGGCCATGGGTCAGGTGAATGGATGGAGCTCCAAGCGGGGCTCAGCCCATTGACCCGAGCGAGGCGCACACACCTGCAGCGTGGATCAAGCGCACTCTCTCCAGCATCGCCCTGACCATTCCATGTGCTTTGTCCTAGCATGTTCATTCTTGACTTTCTCCACTTCATTTTATTAAAAAGTTAAATGCTTTAGGAATCTGTGGCGTGTGGCCACTGACCGCCCCCCACCTCCTGCCGCTCCTCCAAGTTTGAGCTGAGATGGTTCTGTGAGTCCTTGGCAGGGGTCAAAGGGCACATCTCCTTGAACCTAGAAAGCCCCCTACACTCTCAGAGGACACCTCTCCTGTGGATTCAGCGCTGGGGCAGTGAAGGTGTCGGGAGCCAGCAGAGCATGGTGCGTGCTGCCAGCTGCCGGCCAGCCGGGATAGAGGAGATGCCACTGGCCCTCCGTGCCCCCAGCCCCTCCCTCTTAACCGAGGCTGTCCTTGCTCTCTGCAGAGGCCGCTCTGCAGGATCCTCGTGTCGCGCGTGATGTGTGGTGGCACAGCCGTGTCAAAGTCACAGTGTCTTTTCTGTCGTTCTAGTTCCAGGGTCACCCCCGAGAGGACAACAGGCATCTGGAAGTGCTCTCTCGCCACTCTGGGTGCTTTACTGTCTCTGGCTTGTTTCCATCACTGGAAATCACTTAGAGAATTGTAGTGTTTTTGGTCCTTGATAAAGCCTAGAAGACATTTGTGATGTTACAAAATGGAAGTTTTCTTTTGTTTCTGTTTTTTAAGATCTAAGAAGTTGTGAATGTTGTTAATCATTTAGCCGTTGCAATAAATGTAGAGGAAATGCAGTGTGCTGGGGTCTCCATGGCTGTGTTTTTAAAATCAGATCAGACACCAGCGCACGCAGATGGGAGTGCAGTGTAGAACCAGATGATGGCTGCCTCCCAGGACGTGCCCTCCGCCGGCGTGGTGCTCCTCCCTCGGGCCCCTCCTCACTGGCTTGCCCCACCTGAGGGACCTTGTGTCACTGTCACCAGGAAAGCTTGGAAGATGCCAGAGAGCAGGAAGGGACCAAGCACCCACCAGAGGGAGGGCAATTCCCTTCTGGGGAGGCTGGGGAGGGTAATCGGTACCGCCAAGTACAGAAGCTGCCTTTGAGGGGTGTCAGGGCAGTGGGAGCTGTGCCCCTGCTGCCTACGACTCACCTGTCCCCACAGGGCTTTGCCCCATCATCCCAGGGCTGGGGTTCCAGCTGCCAGAGTAAAACCAGAGCCTGCCTGGGCCACCCTCTGACTGCAGAGCTGCCTCTCTGTCATCTTCACACTCCCTGCTGTCCCTGGGTGCTGCCAGCCTGCCCATGGTTCCTCTGTCAACAGCCCCTTGGCCCTCCAGGTGAGGAGGGGCGTGCAGAGGGCACAGCAGAGACCAAGGCAGCACCCAGGGGGCCTGCAGGGGCCTCTGCCTGACCAGGGTGAGGAGGGGAGGAGCCAGACTGCAGGGAGGGGGAAGGCACTGTGCCCAGGGCAGGTGATGCTCATGTAGAAAGGTCCCTGTGGGCAGCTTAGCGGGAGCCTTGAGACAGAGCCCTTAGGAAGCTGAGGCAGGACCCCCAGCCTCACTTCTACCGTGTCCCGGGGGAAGCTATTGCCAGCCAAGACCCTCACCCTGCCTTCATCTTAGCGATGTCTAACCGCTAGCTTCAGTGGCACTCCCTGAGAAAGGCCGGAGCCTGCAGGGAAAATGTGGGGCTCACCTGCAGGGGGTGAGGAACCACCAGGAATTTCTCTTCAGTAGTGGAACCCTTCTTCCCCTAGTTCCTCTTAATATCACCCTAAGGCCGGTCAGGGTGTCTTAGGAGGACAGGAGGAGTGGTGTCCAGCCCAGGATGCCTGTCCTGGCGTTGACCCAGGCAGGTCACTTGATCTCAGGCCTCAGTTTCCCCTCTACAGACTGGGAAGGATCTCATTTGGAAGGTAAAATCTCCCCTGCTGCCTTGTACTAGGTTGGTGCAAAAGTAATGGCAAAACCTTCAATTACTTTTCCACCAACCTAATAATTTAGGACTAAGTGGAACCACAAGATCCCTGTCATGGCCTTTCTCCTCCCTGGAGCTTCCTTGGGGCAAGACAGGCAGAAGGCGCTGCCAAGAAGCCCCAGTAGCAAAAGCAAGGTGTGGCTTCAGTCCAGGCCTTTGCTGTGCATGCATGCCCACGTACAGATGTGCGCGCATGCATGTTCAAGCAGCACGCGAGGACGTTTTCCTTGTAAAAGATGAAAAACCAAACCCAGATGTATGCGGAATGGAGCACAGAGGCTTTCTCCTCCCATAAGTCAAAACAAATGACAGGACACTCCAAGGGTGCCACTCGGAGACTGCCTTCCTCTCCCCACAGGCTGTCTCAGCAGTCTCCATGGCCCGTGGGAAAAGAGCAGGTATTGGGTTGGCTTCAGAGGATATTCCACATGTAAACAATCGTAGGCACAATCGTGTTTTAGATGGAACCTTTAAAATGCAAATTATACTTCAAGTTCTATTCTGCTCCCTGCTTTTTTTCACTTAAAAAATTTCTGAGGCTGGGCGCGGTGGCTCACGCCTGTAATCCCAGCACTTTGGGAGGTGGAGGTGGGCAGATCACCTGAGGTTGGGAGTTCAAGACCAGCCTGACCAACATGGAGAAACCTCATCTATACTAAAAATACAAAAGTTAGCCAGGCATGGTGGCGCATGCCTGTCATCCCAGCTACTCGGGAGGCTGAGGCAGGAGAATCGCTTGAACCCTGGAGGCAGAGGTTGCGTTTAGCCGAGATCGCGCCACTGCACTCCAGCCTGGGCAACAAGAGCGACCCTTGGTCTCAAAAAAAAAAAAAAAAAATTCTGAAGCCATGTGTGGCAGCCTGTGCTTGTAATCCCAGCTACTGGAGAGGCTGAGGTGGGAGGATCACTTGAGCCCAGGATTGGAGGCTGTGGTGAATTGAGATTGCATCACAGTACTCCAGCCTGGGCAACCCTATATCTAAAAATACAAACCTGAAATAAACTTACATATACACATGTATGTATGATGGCTTGTCATTTAGCTAACAGGTTCTCCACGCCTAGCCATTTGGGTTTGGGCCCTACATCCTAGAATGGGCTTCTTTGTGGACAAAGTCCAGGAAATAGCATATGAGAACAAAGGGTCCTCCTGAGGGTCTCCTCACCTTGCTGCCTCCCTCCACACAGTTCATGTGCCATCTAACTTTGGGGTGACCCTGCTGATGTCCCAATTCCCTAGTTTCCCTGCCTCTCCGGGACAGTGGGGGCTGTGGTTCCTGCAGGTGTCTCTGGCAGGCACTGGCCCTTAGGCTGGGCTCCAATGCCAGCTTCACCCCCCAAACCCTGACCTCTTGGGATATGGACCTGACTGCTGACTCTCTCTACCTCCTCCAGGTCCCTCAACTCTGTCCCTGTCACCCCCACCCTGTCACCAGCCCCACCTCAACAGTGCAGGAGCCTGTGGTGGTTTGGGGTCACCGTGTTCCCTGAGGGGCCCAGCCAGGCCTCTATCTCCCCTGTGTCCACATACTACCCCAATGCCCACCCATGGTGGAGGGTGGTGTTTTGAGGGCCAGAGATGTGCCAGCAACAGGGACGCTATTACTGACCCTCTGCTCACAGTCAGTCCTCCCCGAGGTGGTCAAGCGGTGGGACCCTCCACGCCTGCATTTTCTCCAGTGAAATGTAGCCAACAGCTTGCAGGGTTAAATACATACGGTTACCCAGGACCTCTCTTAGAGGGTTCAGAGGGACTGGTCTTGTTACCGACTGATCCTTTCACATCCCACCCGCTTGGGCCTCAGTTTTCCCTCGTGAGGATCCCCAAGCCCTTCTCAGCTCCCCTTGCCCACCCCTCCCTGGCCAGCCTGAGGGTTGGGTGGCCCCCAAACTCTACCACATTCCATAGAGGAGCTATCCAGGGAAAGAGTGGTAAGTTGTCACAAGTCCCCCCATCCCCATATGTTTGGGGGATTAATCCCCCCCAAGGGTTTGGGGGATTAATCCCCATCATATGTTCGGGGGATTAAGGGCTGGGCAGAGGTAGGAGCCGGGGATGATTAATGAATGCTGGGGCTGCAGCCTAGGCAACATAGGGAGGCTCCACCTCTACAAAAAGAAACGTTTTTGTTAGCAGGGCATGATAGTCCCACCTGTAGTCCCAGCTCCTCGGGAGGCTGAGGTTGAAGGATTGCTTGAGCCAGGGAGCTGGAGGCTGCAGTGAGCTATGAATGCACCACTGCAGCCCAGCCTGGACGACAGAGCAAGACCCTGCCGCCAACCCCCAACACACACAAAAAAGAGAATTAAAGGAGCTCACAAAATTTCAGCCTCAAGGCCCACAGCACAGACCATATACTGAGATAAATCTGATCGTCATTGGCCTCTCTGGACTCCAGTGCTCTCATCCGGGGAGGATCAGCCCATTTCCCAATGGAAAAACTGAGGCCTGGGGCAGTCTGACTCCAGAGCTTGAATTCTAAACATCAGTATCCGGATTTCCAGTTGGTTTCATCTGATTTAGAAGCTCCCTATATACACACACTTGCGTACACATGGACACACCCTGTGCAACGCCATGTGCGAATGCGTGCACACATGCACATACATACACAGAGACATGCACACGTATGCACACAGACATACACACATGCATAGGTCTACACGGTGCTTCTATTTCCCACGAAGTCCATACTCATGGCCCTGAGAACTTTAACACTCAGGAATTGCGGCTCTGTAATGACTGGCACTATCCGCTTCCTTCACAGCCCAGGAGGGGGACCTCACGAGCTGAGCTTTTCTTGGCTGAATTTTTCTCCAGCGAATCCTCAGGTTGGACTCATGGGAGCACCAACTCCCAGTTCTTGCAGCTTGTGGCCAGGTGTGAAAAGGGGAGCGTTAGCCTCGAGATTTCAGCTTCCACGCCTTCATGACTTGCTTTTGCCAGGAGGAAAGCAAACCTTAAGAATTTGAATCCTCAGTCCTAACATGTCCTCTCTGTGCTGTGTAACCTGGGGCGGGTGATCCACATCTCTGAGTGTCAGCTTCCTCATTTGCAAATGGGGAGAACAGTAGCATCTACAGAAGGGTTCTTAGGAGCAGCACCCGCATGCTGTGAACTCAGACATCGCTGATCTGTTTCCATTGTTCTGTGTCAGTGGACCCAGTCCTTGAGGCATCCCATTGGCTGACTCCTCCTCCTTAAAACAAAGGCCAGGCGTGGTGGCTCACGCCTGTAATCCCAGCACTTTGGGAGGCCGAGGCAGGCAGATCACCTGAGGTCAGGAGTTCGAGACCAGCCTGGCCAACATGGTGAAACCTCGTCTCTACTAAAAATGCAAAAATTAGCTGGGTGTGGTGGTGCATGCCTGTAATCCCAGCTATTCCGGAGGCCGAAGCAGGAGAATCGCGTGAATCCAGGAGGCGGGGGTTGCAGTGAGCCGAGATCGCACCACTGTACTCCAGCCTGGGCTACAAAAGCAAAACTCTATCTATAAATAAATAAATGAAGTTTCCTGAGTCCTTACCTAGACCCCATGACATGATGAAAGGGCCTTGACTCCAGTGTCCTGGTCACAACGAGTGACTTTGGAAAATTCACTTCACTCCCTGAGGCCCCAGCATGCTCATCTTAAAATAAAGATGTTCCAAGCTGGGCGTGGTGGCTCACACCTGCAATCCCAGCACTTTAGGAGGGAGAGGAAAGAGCACTGCTTGAGGCCAGGAATTCAAGGCCAGCCTGGGCAACGTAACAAGACCCCATCTCTATTAAAAAAAAAAGAAACCCTAGCCGGGCATGGTGGCACATGCCTGTAGTCCCACCTACTTGGGAGGCTGAGGAGGAAGGATCACTTGAGCCCGGGAGGTCAAGGCTGCAGTGAGCTGTGATTGTACCACTGCACTCCAGCCTGGGTGACAGAGTATGACCTTGTCTCAAAAAAAATAAATCCATTTGCAAAGTGTAGCATCATTTTTGTAAAAATCTTGTAAAATGTAGACAAGCCCCCCGTATATGGCAATGTTGGGCTGTGTTTCAGCACAAAGATGGGTCTACTCCAAACCGGCCACGTGGTAGGGAAGCGTGTGGGGTCCGGGCAGGGGTGCCACCCCCCACCAACACCCAGCCATGTGCCTCCTTACAACCAGTTTGAAAGGAAAATCCACTGAAGAATGTTTAGAGGAAGTAAAAACAGCAAAGCACTTGCTGGCAGCAATTGTCGGCCTTTGTTTCGGAGGCAGCTGTGGTCTTAGGAGAAAAAAGGATCAGATTTGAACCAAGACAGTTTCTTCCTGTGTCAAATGGGGAAATAAGCCTGGCTTCCTCCCAGGGCCATTGTTCAAAGGCTGCTGTGAAAAACCCTCTGACATCTCCTTGGCAGAGGCTCTGATCGGCTTTTTACATCTTGTCTGTTCACTCATTCATTCATTCATTCATTCACCACACATTTTTATTTGTTGGTTTTCGTTTTGAGACAGGGTCTTACTCTGTCGCCCAGGCTGGAGTGTAGTGGTGCCATCTCGGCTTACTGCAACCTCCACCTCCAAGATTCACGCAATCCTCCCACCTCAGCCTCCTGAGTAGCCGGGACTATGGGCACGCGCCACCATGCCCAGCTAATTTTTGTATTTTTTAGTAGAGAGGGGCTTTTGTCATGGTGCGGTGGCTCATGCTTGTAATCCCAGCACTTTGGGAGGCCAAGGCAGACGGATCGCTTGAGGTCAGGAGTTTGAGACCAGCCTGGGCAAGACGGCAAAATTCCGTTTGTACTAAAAATACAAAAATTAGCCAGGCATGGTGGTACACACACATAGTTCCAGCTACTCGGGAGGCTGAGGCGAGAAGATCACTTGAACCCGGAAAGTGGAGGTTGCAGCGAGCCGGGATGGCGTCACTGCACTCCAGCCTGAGTGACAGAGTAAGACTCTGTCTCAAAAACAAACAAAAAATTTATCATCATTATCATTATTATTTTTAAGACGGCATCTCACTCTGTAGCCCAGGCTGGAGTACAGTGGCATGATCATAGCTCTCTGCAGCCTTGACCTCCTGGGCTGAAATGATCCTCCAGCCTTAGCCTCCTGAGTAGCTGGGACTACAGGCATGTATCACCATGCCTGGCCTGATTTACACCTTTTAAAAGAGCAGTCTGGAAGGGCAGGGCAGGAATGAAAGCAATTCTGAACTGTTCCATCTATACCCCTCGGTTCCAGCCCCATTTAATGGCAGGCACCTGTGCAGGGTATCAGGGCTACCCTGGGCTGCTGGAGCACCCTTTGCCTGAATGCCCACTGGAACCAGAAGTGCCTGGAATTGACATTCCCCAGGGTAACCCTGACAGCTGACGAGGGTGGGGTGTGAATAACCTAGCCAAAAGACACAGAGACATAGACCCCGTGTGCTGGCCAGCTATTTGGTAAAACAACCATTCTCTGGCAGTTGTCTGAAATGTGGCCTTAGACAACGTTGTAGGCTCCGTCTCAGCCCCGAACCCCATGGAGGTCACTTGCAAGGAACCCAGAGCAAACCTGTCCTTTCTGGCTTGGACGTCCCACCTGCCTACTCTAGAGCCTTTGACAGTTTCCCTGTTTCAGTCCAGAGATGTTCACCCTCTCCTTTCTGGCTCTCCACGTTCTTGGCAGGTTGTTGCAAGAGGCAGAGATGTCTGGGAGCAACTAAGTCCCTCAGAACGCAGAAAACCTTCTTCTTCTTCTTCTTCTTTTTTTTTTTTTTTTTTTTTTTTTTTTTTTTTTGAGACAGAGTCTCACTCTGTTGCCCAGGCTGGTGGAGTACAGCAGCTCAATCTGGGCTCACTGCAACCCCCTGTAACCCCCACCTCCCAGTTTCAAGCAATTATTTTGCCTCAGCCTCCCAAGTAGCTAGGACTACAGGCAGGCACCACCATACCTGGCTAATTTTTGTATTTTTAGTAGAGATGGGGTTTCACCATGTTGCTCAGGCTGGTCTTGAACTCCTGACCTCAGATGATCCATCCGCCTCTGCCTCCCAAAGTGTTGGGATTACAGGCATGAACCACTGCACCTGGCCAGAAAACCTTCTTTTATCCAAGTCCAAGTAAGCAGGAGTCCAGGGTGGGCACCCGGGGGGCATCCCTAGATAGCACTGGATATCTTATAGCGCCAGGCATGGCAAAGAACGCTTGGCACCTGTGCTCCTTTCACCTTAGGCAACCACAGCTCCCTTTACAGACGAGGAAACTGAGGCCCAGAGACGTTGGTTAACAACTCTCTGGGGCAGGCAGGTGGGACGTCCAAGCCATTTCCAGAAAGTTCAGTTCTTAGGGCTGGTCTTTAGCTGTTTTTTTTTTTTGTTTTTTTTTTTTTGAGACAGAGTCTCATTCTGTCACCCAGGCTGGAGTGCGGTGGCACTGCAGCCTCAACCTCCCTGAGCTCAGGTGATCCTCCCATTTCAGCCTCCCAAGTAGCTGGGACTACAGGCATGCACCACCATGCCTGGCTAATTTTTTTTTTTTTTTTCTTTTTGTAGAGACAGGGTCCACTATGTTGCCCAGGCTGGTCACAAACTGTTGGGCTTGAGTGATCCGCTTATTTCAGCCTCCTAAAGTGCTAAGATTACAGGCAGGAGCCACTACAGCCTGCCTGGTCTTTGACTTTCTGTTTATCCTCATAGACAGCAATGAGGGCAGCCTCAATTTTCCAATTTCTCTGCTCTCCTAATGAATGAAGTAACTGACATGTTTATAGTGCTGTCTCTGCAGCACTAAGGGCTGAATACATGGGAACTCTTTGGGCTGCATAAAGCCAAAAAGGGAATTAATTGGTGGATGGAATTGGAAAGGACACCTTCAGGATCAGCTGGATCAAGGCACTCAACCAAAACCACCAGCCTCTCTCTCTATTTCTTGGCTTTGCTGTCCTTTGTTTACAGGCAGGCAAGATGGTGGCCAGCAACTCGGAGCCTAGCCTTACCCATTTAAGCAACATCACAAGAGCTCTGTTGTCTGATAGGGGTGGCACAGACACCAAGATTGTCTATTATTGCCCCAGCCCGGGGCATATGCCTGTCTCTGAACCAATCACAGTGGCCAGAGGGCTACAATACACTGATAGCTAGGGCTTCATTGGCTAAGAAGGGGGAAAGACCCCAAGCACAACAAGATGCTGTTCACAGAAGGACTAGGAAGAGCCCCTGCAAGTGGGCAGAATCAGAATCGGAACCCAGCTCTTCACTCCTTAGCTATATTGGTCTCAGCTGCTTTCTTTTCTTTTGAGACAGAGTTTTGCTCTTGTTGCCCAGGCTGGAGTGCCATGGCGTGATCTCGGCTCACCACAACCTCCGCATCCCGGGTTCAAGCGATTCTCCTGCCTCAGCCTCCTGAGTAGCTGGGATTACAGACATGCGCCACCATGCCCAGCTAATTTTGTGTTTTTAGTAGAGATGGGGTTTCTCCATGTTGATCAGTCTGGTCTTGAACTCCCGACCTCAGGTGATCCGCCCACCTCAGCCTCTCAAAGTGCTGGGATTGAGATTACAGGCATGAGCCACCACGCCTGGCCAGCTGCTTTCTGATGGACACTTTCACCCCTTCAAACACCTTCCACTTCAAACTCACCATCAATCAGGTGCAGTGGCTCACACCTGTAATCCCAGCATTTTGGGAGGCCAAAGTGGGAGGATCACTTCAGCCCAGGAGTTGGAGAACAGCCTGGGCAACATAGGGAGACCCAGTCTCTATAAAAAATTTAAAAATCTAGCCAGGTGTGGTAGCCCATTCCTTGTAGTTCCAGCTACTTGAGAAGCTGAGGTGAGAGGATCACTAAAGCCCAGGAGCTCAAAGCTGCAGCGAGCCATGATTGTGCCACTGCACTTCAGCCTGGACAACATAGGAAGACCCTGTCTTTAAAAAAATTCAGGCCTGGCTGGGTGCGGGTGGCTCATGCCTGTAATCCCAGCACTTTGGGAGGCCGAGGCAGGTGGATCATTTGAGGTCAGGAGTTTAAGACCAGCCTGGCCAACATGGTGAAACACTGTCTTTACCCAAAAATTAACTGGGCATGCTGGCACACACCTGTAATCCCAGCTACTCAGGAGGCTGAAGCAGGAGAATCACTTGAACCCTGGAGGCAGAGGTTGCAGTGAGCCGACATCACGCCCCTGCGCTCTAGCCTGGGCAAAAAGAGCAAGTCTCCATAATAATAATAATCATCATCATCATCAGGCCCCCTGGGACCCTCCTCACTGAATCCCAGTCTCTGCTCTCTCGCCTTCTCTGAGCCCCAATTTCCTCATCTGTAAAATGGGTCATCAGGAGCGTCTTGTACTCAGTAAACAGCCAAAGGTCACATTGGATTTACAGAAAGTGAGATCCAGATTCAGAGAGCAAGGAGGCTGGGCGTGGTGGGTCACGCCCGTAATCCTAGCACTTTGAGAGGCCGAGGCGGGCGGATTGCTTGAGGTCAGGAGTTCGAGACCAGCCTGGCCAACGTGGCGAAACCCTATCTCTAAAATACAAAAATTATCCAGGAGTGGTGGCACAAGCCTGTAATCCCAGCTACTCAGGAGGCTGAGGCAGGAGAATCACTTGAACCCAGGAGGTGGAGGTTGCAGTGAGCTGAGATCATGCCACTGCACTCCAGTCTGAGCAACAGACCTAGACTCCATCTCAAAAAAAGAAAAGAAAAACATAGAAGATAAGTCCTTGTGGGGGGTCCTCAGTCAGGGCTGGCGTTGAACTTTCTGTTTATCCTCATAGATCATGAGGAGTTTGGGCAGCCCAAATTTTCCCATTTCTCCACTCTCCTAATGAATGAAGAGGCCAACATGCTGTTTTTAATCCCATCTTTGCAGCAGACATGAATAGCTTCAGGAAGGAACTGGCCGGCATGAGCCAGGCCTGGTGCAGGCTGGCCTGTGAAGTGTCCACATATAAACATTCCTGCAGTTCACGCCAACAAAGGAGAATATGCTCATTTTCATTTTCATTTTGAAAATTAGATTTATTTTGTTGTGTTGGTTAGATTCCATAAAGTTCAGTTCATGGTCAGCCCCCACCTTCAACTTGGCAAACTCATATTCATCCCCCAAAACCCAACACCCACACCCCCTCCTCCATTCTTCAAAGGTTCATAAAATGCTACATCTCTCCCCTCTCTGTGCTATAAGAGAAACATCCAGGCTGGGCACGGTGGCTCACGCCTGTAATACCAGCACTTTGGGAGGCCAAGGTGGGCGGATCACGAGGTCAGGAGTTTGAGACCAGCCTGACCAACATGGTGAAACCCTGTCTCTACTAAAAATACAGAAATGGCCAGGCGCGGTGTCTCACTTCTGTAATCCCAGCACTTTGGGAGGCCGAGGTGGGCAGATCACGAGGTCAGGAGATCAAGACCATCCTGGCTAACATGGTGAAACCCCATCTCTACTAAAAATACAAAAAATTAGCCGGGCATGGTGGCAGGTGCCTGTAGTCCCAGCTACGCAGGAGGTTGAGGCAGGAGAATGGCATGAACCTGGGAGGCAGAGCTTGCAGTGAGCCAAGATCACACCACTGCACTCCGGCCTGGGCGATACAGTGAGACTCCGTCTCAAAAAAAAAAAAAAAAAAAAATTTGCCAGGCGTGGTGGCGCGCGCCTGTCATCCCAGCTACTCAGGATGCTGAGGCAGGAGAATCACTTGAACTTGAGAGGTGGAGGTTGCGGGGAGCCGAGGTCATGCCACTGCACTCCAGCCTGGGTGACAGAGCAAGACTCCATCTCAAAAAAAACAGAAAAAAAAAAAAAGAAAAAGAAAAAAAAGAAGCATTCCCCTGGCACTATGATCGTCTGTTTATAGCTGTTTCTCCCACTCTGGGCTCTGTTCTAGCACCCAGCTCAGTGCCTGGCACACAGTGGATACTCAATAAATGCGGTTTAGGTGGGATCTCACTCTATCGCTCAGGCTGGAATGCATTGGTGCAATGATAGTTCATTGCAGCCTCGACCTCCTGGGCTCAAACGATCCCACCTCAGCCTCCTGAATAGCTAGGACCGCAGGTGTATCCAGCACGCCTGGCTAATTTTATTTATATTTTTGCAGAGACGGGGTCTTGTTATGTTGCTCAGGCTCTTTTTTTTTTGAGACGAAGGCCCATTCTGTCGCTTGAGATGCCATCTTAAATTATAATAATGATAATAAATTGTTTGTTTGTTTGTTTTTGAGACAGGGTCTTACTCTTTTGCCCAGGCTGGAGTGCAGTGGTGCCATCTCGGCTCACTGCAACCTCCACCTCCCGGGTTCAAGTGATCCTCCTGCCTCAGCCTCCCGAGTAGCTGGGACTATGCGCGCATGCCACCAAGCCCAGATAATTTTTGCATTTTTAGCAGAGATGGGGTTTCGCCATGTTGCCTAGGCTGGTCTTGAACTCCTGACTTCAAGTGATCTGTCCCCTTCAGCCTCCCAAAGTGCAGGGATTACAGGCGTGAGCCACCACTCCCAGCCACCCAGGCTCATTGTTATCACCTCAAAAAGAAACCTGTCTCCATCAGCAGTCACTCCCCATTCCCCTCCACCAGTCCCTGGCAACCACCAATCTGCTTCCTGTCTATGGATTTGCCTGTTCTGGGCATTTCAGATCAATGGAATCTCACACTGTGTGGCCTTTTGTGTCTGGCTTCTCTCACTCAGCATCGTGTTTTGGGGGTTCATTCACGCTGTAGCATGGATCAGTGCTTCCTTCTTTTCCATGGCTGTATCATATCCCCCTGTGTGGATGGAACACACTCTGTTATCCATGCACCAGCTGATGGGCATGGGGAGGTTTCCACTTTCTGCCAACCATGACTAGAGCTGCTGTGGACACGCGTGGACAGGTGTTTGTGTGGACGTGGGTTTCCCCATCTCTGGAGCACTTCCCTGGCAGTGTCAGTCAATGTCTAATGGTTATTGTGAAACTTGTTAAACTTTAGCCACATAGTCAGCTGGGTTGCACAGATGACAGATCGAATCCCCCAGGCTTTGAAATCTGCCCCCACCCCCAACTCCCACATCTCCGAAGGGGGCCTTTTTTTTTTTTTTTTTTGAGACAAAGTCTTGCTCTGTCACCCAGACTGAAGTGCAGTGGTGCGATCTCGGCTCACTGCAACTGCAGCCTCAAGTGACTCTTCTGCCTCAGCCTTCCGAGTAACTGGGACTACAAGGCACATGCCACCAAGCCCGGCTAATTTTTGTATTTTTAGTAGAGAACGAGGTTTCACCATGTTGGCCAGGCTGGTCTCAAATTCCCAACCTCAAGTGATCCGCCCACTTCAGCCTCCCAAAGTGCTGGGATTACAGGTGTGAGCCACTGCACCCAACCAGAAGGGGGCCATTTTTGGTCTTCAAATCCAATGTGTCCACCTCTCAGGCCTTTTGCGGCTGAGGACCTCCCTGTCCGCAGGCCAGCCAAAGCAGATCTGTGACCCGGCTCGGGCTGTGGTGTTCTATGGATGGCTGATCAAGCAGCATCCTGCCCTAGGTTTATTTTGGTTGAGGGTAGCAGGCTTGGTCAGCACCTCAGGCCTGGCCCTGCCCAGGACCGTGAAACCCAAGGCCTCTAATGTGTGTCCTTGGTCTGCAGGTGTCTTGGGTGGCGCCCGAGGCTAGGAAGCTGGCCTGGGTTCAGCGGACAAAGGCCAAGGCAATCAGCTGAGGTCCTGCCACCGGAAGCTGTCACTATCTCAGAAATTCCCTGAGTGGCCGGGCGCGGTAACTCACGCCTGTAATCCCAGCACTTTGGGAGGCTGAGGCAGGCAGATCACTTGAGACCAGGAGTTCAAGACCAGCTTCGCCAATATGGTAAAACCCTGTCTCCACTAAAAATACGAAAATTAGCCAGGCATGGTGGCGGGCACCTGTAATCCCAGCTACTCCAGAGGCTGAGGCAGGAGAATCGCTTGAGCCCAGGAGACAGAGCTTGCAGTGAGCCAAGACCATACACTGCACTCCAGCTTGGGCGACAGAGCGAAACTCCATCTCAAAAAAAGAAAAAAAAGAAATTCCCTGAGTATGTATTGGAAAGTAACCCCGCCTCCTTCCCATCACCGGGCCTCTGGGTGCCTGTATCAGTAATGGCTCACAAGAGAAACAGAACCAACAGGAAATATACATATTACATATATAGAAAGAGATTTTCTCTAAAAAAAAAAAAAATTTTTTAAGATTTATTTTGTCTGGGCGTGGTGGTTTACGCCTGGAATCCTAGCACTTTGGGAGGCTGACATGGAAAGATTGCTTGAGCCCAGGAGTTTAAGATCCCATGTTTACAAAAAAGTTTTTAAAAAGTTTGGGCATGGTGGTGTGTGCCTGTGATCCCAGCCACTCCAGAGGCTGAGGTGGGTGGATCGTTTGAGCCCAGGAGGTCGAGGCTGCAGTGAGCCATGATCCCACCACCGCACTTCAGCCTGGGTGGCAGAGATCCTATCTCTCTCAAAAAAAAAAAAGATGTATTTTAAGGAATTGGGTCATGCAATCGTGGGGGCTGATAAACCCAAAATTCATAGGGCACTCTAGCAGGTTGGAAACAGGGAGGCTTTATTTGTTGCAAGCTTACGAATTCCTTTTTCCCTCTAGAAGCTGTTTTTGCTCTCTGAAGGACTTCAACTGATTAGATAAGAAGCATCGGCTGGGTGCAGTGGCTCACGCCTGTAACCCCAACACTTTGGGAGGCCGAGGCAGGAGGATCACCTGAGGTCAGGAGTTTCAGACCAGCCTGACCAACGTGGAGAAACCCCGTCTCTACTAAAAATGCAAAAATTATCCAGGCATGGTGGTGCATGCCTGTAATCCCAGCTACTCAGGAGGCTGAGGCAGGAGAATGTCTTGAACCCGGGAGGTGGAGGTTGCAGTTAGCCGAGATCACGCCATTGCACTCCAGCCTGGGCAAAAAGAGCGAAACTTGGTTTCAAAAAAAAAAAAAAGAAACATCAAGGTCATGGAGGATAAATTCCTTTACTTCAGGTCAGTTGATTGGAGGTGTTAACCACATCTGCAAGGCCGGGTGCAGTGGCTCAGCCTGTAATCCCAGCACTTTGGGAGGCTGAGGTGGGAGGATTACTTGAGTCCAGGAGTTCAAGATCAGCCTGGGCAACATAGTAAGACACCAATCTCCACCAAAAAAAAAATGTTTTTTAATTAAAAAAAAACTTTATTAAAAAAATGCAAGATGGAATGGATCAATTTTTTTTTTTTTTTTTTAGACGGAGTCTCACTCTGTCACCCAGACTGGAGTGCAAGGGCGCGATCTCGGCTCACTGCAACCACTGCCTCCCAGGTTCAAGCGATTCTCCTGCCTCAACGTTCTGAGTAGCTGGGACCACAGGCACGTGCCACCATGCCCGGCTGATTTTTGTGTATTTAGTAGAGACGGGTTTCGCCATTTTGGCCAGGCTGGTCTCAAACTTCTGACCTCAGGTGATCCACCCGCCTTGGCCTCCCAAAGTGCTGGGATTACATGCGTGAGCCACCATGCTCGGCTTAATATACGTTCCTACGCAGACTTGAGAATGTACATCTTTCATCTGTCCATCCCATTTGCAGATGGGGCTCAATTTCTGCAGCTTCCACCCTCCAAATGCCTTTGACATTCTTCTACGAGTTATAATTCTTCTCTGATTTGTTAAGATTTGACAACTCTCCCCCAAGGCATATGAAAAAGCATTAAAAACCTCACATGAATGAAGGAGAACCATTGAGCCCTGTCACGGATAATTTATTTCCTCTTGAGAATGTTCTTTTTTTTTTTTTTTTTTTTTTCTTGAGATGGAGTCTTGCTGTGTCACCAGGCTGGAGTGCAGTGGCACGATCTCGGCTCACCACAACCTCCACCTCCCGGGTTCAAGCGATTCTCCTGCCTCAGCCTCCCAAGTAGCTCGGACTACAGGCATGCACCACCACGCCTGGCTAATTTTTGTATTTTTAGTAGAGATGGGGTTTCTTCACATTGGTCAGGCTGGTCTCGAACTCCCGACCTCAGGTGATCTGCCTGCCTTGACCTCCCAAAGTGCTGGAATTACAAGTGTGAGCCACTGCAACAGGGCATTTTTTTTTTTTGACGGAGTCTTCCTCTGTTGCCCAGGCTGGAGTGCAGTGGCGCAATCTTGGCTCATTGCAACCTCCACCTCCGAAGTTCAAGCAGTTCTCCTGCCTCAGCCTCCCGAGTATCTGGGATTACAGGCATGTGCCACCACGCCCGGATAATTTTTTGTATTTTTAGTAGAGATGGGGTTTCGCCATGTTGGCCAGGCTATTCTCAAACTCCTGACCTCAAGTGATCTGCCCGCCTCGGCCTCCCAAAATGCTGGGATTACAGGTGTGAGCCACCGCACCCAGCGGAATGAAGGTCCCATTTCTGTCGGATACATTCACAGAAGTGGAGTTGCTGCAGTGTATGTGGTCTCCTATCTGCATGCATGGTGTCCTTTCCATCCCTTCCCTGTCCACATCATGGTGTGTCATGCAGACACAAATCTTTTTTTTTTTTTTTTTTTTTTTTTCAGACAAGGCTTTGCTCTGTCACCCAGGCTGGAGTGCAGTGGTGCAATCATGGCTCATTGCAACCTCAACCTCCTGGGCCCAACCAATCCTCCTACCTCAGCTTTCCAAGTAGCTGTGACCATAGGCATGAACATGGGTTCATGCCACATGCCTGGCTAATTTTTGAATTTTTATTCTTTGTAGAGATGGGGGCTCCCTATGTCACCCAGGCTGGTCTCAAACTCCTAGGCTCAAGCAATCCTCCCACCTTGGCCTCCCAAAGTGCTGGGATTACAGGCATGAGCTACCACACCCGGCCAGACACTAATTTAACCAGGCCTCTCAGGCTAGATCTGTGGGCTGCTTCCAACTTTTCCTGGTATGAGAAATATTCGGCCAGGCGCGGTGGCTCACGCCTGTAATCCCAGCACTTTGGGAGGCCGAGGTGGGCGGATCACGAGGTGAGCAGATCGAGACCATCCTGGCCAACATGGTGAAACCCTGTCTCTACTAAAAATACAAAAATTAGCTGTGCTGTGGTGGCACATGCCTGTAATCCCAGGTACTCGGGAGGCTGAGGCAGGAGAATCACTTGAACCAGGGAGTCAGAGGTTGCAGTGAGCCAAGATTGTGCCATAGCACTCCAGCCTGGGTGACAGAGCAAGACTCTATCTAAAAAAAAAAAAAAAAGAAAAAGATATATTCTCCAGGTCAGGTGTGGTGGCTCACACCTATAATCCAAGCACTTTAGAAGGCTGAAGTGGGCGGATCACTTGTGGTCAGGAGTTTGAGACCAACCTGGCCAACATGGTGAAACCCCCATCTCTACTAAAAATACAAAAATTGGCTGGGCGCAGTGGCTCACGCCTGTAATCCCAGCAGGCTGGGAGGCCAAGACAAGTGGATCACCTGAGGTCAGGAGTTCAAAACCAGCCTGGCCAACATGGTAAAACCCCATCTCTACTAAAAATACAAAAATTAGGCCGGACATGGTGGCTCACACCTGTAATCCCAGCACTTTGGGAGGCCAAGGCAGGCAGATCACGAGGTCAGGAGATCGAG
Organism: Homo sapiens; assembly: GCF_000001405.40. Classification (NCBI taxonomy): domain Eukaryota; kingdom Metazoa; phylum Chordata; class Mammalia; order Primates; family Hominidae; genus Homo; species Homo sapiens. The sequence goes on along the minus strand of NC_000019.10, from coordinate 18,974,175 downwards.
ACAATCCTGGCTAACACGGTGAAACCCCGTCTCTACTAAAAATACAGGCGCTGGTGGGCGCCTGTAGTCCCAGCTACTTGGGAGGCTGAGGCAGGAGAATGGCCTGAACCTGGGAGGTGGAGCTTGCAGTGAGCTGAGATCGTGCCACTGCACTACAGCCTGGGCAACAGAGCAAGACTCCATCTCAAAAAAAAAAAAAAAATTAGCCTGGCATGGTGGCAGGCGCCTGTAATCCCAGCTAGTGAGGAGGCTGAGGCAGGAGAATCGCTTGAACCCGGGAGGCAGAGGTTGTAGTGAGCCGAGATCACGCCATTGCACTCCAGCCTGGGCAGCAGGAGTGAAACTCCATCTCAAAAAAATAAAATAAAATAAAATAAAATAAATGGCCGGGTGTGGTGGCTCATGCCTGTAATCCCAGCACTTTGGGAGGCTGAGGCGGGCGGATCACCTGAGGTCAGGAGTTCGAGACCAACCTGACCAACACAGAGAAACCCCATCTCTACTAAAAATACAAAATTAGCCGAGCATGGTAGCACATGCCTGTAATCCCAGCTACTAGGGAGGCTGAGGCAGGAGAATCACTTGAACCTGGGAGGCAGAGGTTGCGGTGAGCCGAGATCACGCCATTGCACTCCAGCCTGGGCAACAAGAGCGAAACTCCATCTCAAAACAGAAACAAACAAACAAAAATTCCTGCAGGACGCCTTACTCAAGACTGCAAATAAGAGAAACTCTCTCTCTCTCTCTCTCTTTTTTTCTTTTATTTTGCGACAGATTCTCAATTTGTTGCCCAGGCTAGAGTGTAATGGTGCCATCAGGGCTCACTGCAGGCTCAGCCTTCTGGGCTCAAGCGATCCTCGGCCTCTCAAGTGATCCACATCACCCGAGCTAGAGAAACCCGGGGTCCTGATGCCACAGTGGTAAGACCTGCCATGCCGCTGGAGAGCAATAATATGGCACCCACTGCATGCCAGTGCCGTGCCAGCACCAAAGACAGAAAGGGTGGCTCAGGAAGGTTCTGGATTTTGGATTTTAACTTTTGGCTGTAGATGGAGGGTGCTCTTATCTGCTTCTGGGCCAGTGGGACCAGCCCTTTCCTGCATTACCTCACCCCAGTGCTGGTGGGAGGACAGTCTAAACTCTATTCACAGAGCGTCAGAGAGAATGAAGCCCTCGGTTGGGTGTGGTGGCTAACACCTGTAACCCCAGCAATTTGGGAGGCCAAAGTGGGCGGATCACTTGAGCCCAGGAGTCCAAGACCAGCCTGGGCAACATGGTGAGACCCCTGTCTCTACACAAAATACAAAATTTAGCCATGGGTGTTGGTACATGCTTGTGGCCCCAGCTACTCAGGAGGCTGAGGTAGCTGAGGATCACTTGAGCCCTGGGAGTCGAGGCTGTAGTGAGCTATGATTGTGTCATTGCACTCCAGCCTGGGTGACAGAGAAATTTCCTGTCTAAAAAAAAAAAAAAAAAAAAAAATTCGTGGTGCTGGAGCCTCTGAGGAAATGCAGCGCGTAGGAGCTGGGGCTCCCCTGCCTGCACCCGGGGCCTCTGCAGATGACCAGAAAAACTGCCCCACAGGAGCTCAGACTGGCCAGGGGGCCCCAAGACCCACGCTGAAGGCCAGGTCCTGCCAAAAAGTGCACACGGGGTAACTGTCATTTCCCCTAATTAAAAAAATGTTGGTCAATTTCCTGATGGAGAAACAAAGAAGCAGAAAAGAAAACAAATAAAAACCCTGCAACCCCTCCCTTAATCGCTCAGCTCGCAGAGATAATCTCCGTTGGCATGTTCATGACCGCTTTCCAGCATTTCTTTGCCTGCATTTTCAAAACGGTCTTATTATATTTTTGTTCTTATCCAAGAAATGTGACTGTATTGGAGAAGAAACAGCCAACAAGATAAGCAGAGAGAAAAAATAAACAGAAATTATACCTCTCGGCCGGGCACCGTGGCTCACGCCTGTAATCCCAGCACTTTGGGAGGCCAACACAGGCAGATCACTCGAGGTCAGGAGTTTGAAACCAGCCTGGCCAACATGGTGAAACCCCGTCAACATGGCGTGAAAAAAAATTAGCCAGGCGTGGTGGCGTGTGCCTGTAATCCTAGGTACATGGGAGGCTGAGGAAGGAGAATTGCTTGAACTTGTGAGGCAAAGGTTGTAGTGAGCCAAGATCGCGCCATTGCACTCCAGCCTGGGTGACAAGAGTGAAACTACGTCTCAAAAAAATAATAATAAATAATAATAAACGGCCAGGCATGGTGGCTCACACCTGTAATTCCAGCACTTTAGGAGGCCGAGGCAGGTGGATCACTTGAGGTCAGGAGTTCAAGACCACTCTGGCCAACATGGTGAAATCCTGTCTCTATTAAAAGTATAAAAAATTAGCCCGGTGTGGTGGCAAACGCCCCGTAATCTCAGGTACTCGGGAGGCTAAGGGGAGAGTATCGCTTGAGCCCGAGAGTTTAACAGCATGGACAACATAGTAAGACCCCTGTCTCTAAAAAATAAACAATTTAAAAAAAATTTTTTTTTTGGAGACAAGAGTCTCCTTTTGTCACCCAGGCTGGAGTGCAGTGGCGCAACCTTGGCTCGCTGCAACCTCCACTTCCCGGGTTCAAGTGATTCTCCCGCCTCAGCTTCCCATGTGCCTAGAATTACAGGCATGCGCCATCATGCCCAGCTAATTTTTGTATTTTTAGTAAAGACAGGGTTTCTCCACGTTGGCAGGCTGGTCTTGAACTCCTGACTTCAGGTAACCCACCTGCCTCAGCCTCCCAAAGTGCTGGGATTACAGGACTGAGCCACCATGCTTGGCCAAAAGTTTTGTTTTTAAATTTAATGTTTATACTTCTTTCCTCTGCTTAAAAAAAAATACAACATACATCTCTTGGCCAGGCACAGTGGCTCACACCTGTAATCCCAGCACTTTGGGAAGCCGAGGAGGGCGGGTCACCTGAGGTCAGCAGTTCGAGACCAGCCTGGCCAATATGGTGAAACCCCATCTCTACTAAAAATACAAAAATTAACCAGGCATGGTGGCAGGCACCTGTAATCCCAGCTACTCAGGAGGCTGAGGTGGGAGAATCACTTGAATCCGGGAGGCAGAGGTTGCAATGATCCAAGATCGCTCCATTGCACTTGAGACTGGGCAACAGAGCAAAACTCCGCCTAGAAAAAAAAAACAGAAAAAAGTAAAAAGAAAAAAAGAATTCATCTCTCTCACACACATACACACTCACATAAACACACACATATATATACACACACACACACATATCTACAACTCATGTAGGACGGGAAAGGCTATCAGCCCCACCCACCCAGCAGAGCTCCACCTGAGGCAGGTCAGAACAGGAGACAAATTAAAGTTCAAGGCCGGGGCGGTGGCTCACGCCTGTAATCCCAGCACTTTGGGAGGCTAAGGCAGGCAGATCATCTGAGGTCAGGAGCTCAAGACCAGCCTTGGCTGACATGGTGAAACCCCGTTTCTACTAAAAATACAAAAATTAGCCAGGCGTGGTGGCGCATGCCTGTAATCCCAGCTACTTGGGAGGCTGAGGCATGAGAATTGCGTGAAGCCAAGAGACAAGTTGCAGCAAGCCGAGATCGTGCCACTGCACTCCAGCCTGGGAGACAGTCTCACTCTGTCTCCCCCAAAAAAAGAAAAAAAAATAGATATGTGATTCATCCAGAGTTCAGGCTTGATCCCTGACATGGATGAAACTGTCAAGTTATTGAGGCTAATTTCAAAAACTTTTTTCTGTGTGCTATTTTGTTTTAATTTTTTGAGACAGGCTCTCATGCTGTCCCCCAGGCTGGAGTGCAGTGGCGTGATCATAACTCACTGCAGCCTCCTGGGCCCAAGACAATTCTACCTCAGCCTCCAGAGTAGCTGATACTACAGGCACGAGCTACCACACCCGGCTACTTTTCAAAGTTTTTGTAAAGGCGGGCTGTCACTATGTTACCCAGGCTGGTCTCGAACTCCTGGGCTCAAGGGATCGATTGCTCCTGCCTTGGCCTCCCGAAGTGCTGGGATTACAGGCATGAGCCACCATGCCCAGCCTCTTTTATTTTGAATACCAAAATAATACAATAGTTCCCCCTTGCCTGTGGGGAATATGTTCCAAGATTGCCAGTAAATTCCTGAAACTTCAGAAAATACCAAACGTGTATGCACTGTTTTTTTCCTATGCATACATACATACCTATGATAAAGTTTAATTTATCAGTGAGACACAGTAAAAGATTAACAACAATAACATAATAAAATAGAAAATTAATAAAATTTGGATTTCTGGAACATAAGCACTGTAATACTGACACGGTTGATCTGATCACCCAGAAGATTACTAAGTGACTAGCCGGCTGGTAGTGTCTATGGCGTGGGCACCCTTAACAAAGGGATGATTCATATCCAGGGTGGGAGGGGGCGGGGTGGGGACTGATTTCATCACACTACTCATAACGGCAGGCAACTGAAAACTTACGAATTATTTCTGGAATTTTCCACTTAATATGTTTGGATTGAGGTTGATGGAAGGTAGCCAACACCACAGAAAATGAAACCTCAGGCCGGGTGCGGTGGCTCACGCCTGTAATCCCAGCACTTTGGGAGGCCCAGGCAGGTGGATCACCTGAGGTCATGAGTTCAAGACCAGCCTGACCAGTATGGCGAGACTGCATCTGTACTAAAAATACAAAAATTAGCTGGGTGTGGTGGTGCGTGCCTGTAATCCCAGCTACTCCAGAGGCTGAGGCAGGAGAATCACTTGAACCTGGGAGGTGGAGGTTGCAGTGAGCCGAGATCGTAGCACTGCACTCCAGCCTGGGAGACAGAGCAAGCCTCCATCTCAAAAAAAAAAAGAAAGAAAGAAAGAAAGTGAAACCTCCGATAAAAGGGAATCACTGTATACTATGTGAACAATTCAAATTTGCAGAGTCCCATCGAATACAGAATCCCACTCCCACCCCTTCAGTCCTTCCTGAGAGTCTGATGTGTTGTCTCTCCTATGGCCCAAATGTATGTGTCCTCCTGGAATTCATATGTGGAAGCCTAAGACCCATGTGACAATATGAAGAGGTGGGGGCCAGGCGCTGTGGTTCACACCTGTAACCCCAGCACTTTGGGAGGCCAAGGTGGGTGGATCACTTGAGGTCAGGAGTTAGAGACTAGCCTGGCCAACATGGTAAAACCCCGTCTCTACCAAAAATACAAAAAAATAGTCAAGCATGGTGGTACACACCAGCTACTTGGGAGGCTGAGGCAGGAGAATTGCTTGAACCTGGGAGGCAGAGGTTGCAGTGAGCTGAGATTGCACCACTGCACTCCAGCCTGGGGGAACGAACAAAACTCTGTCTCAAAAAAAAAAAAAAAAAAAATATATATATATATATATATATGACAGATGAGGTCTGCATATGTTGCCCAGGCTGGTCTAGAACTCCTGGCCTCAAGTGATCCTCCTGCCTCATCCTCCCATAGCACTGGAATTCTAGGCATGAACCCCCACACCTCCAATGATAGTTACTTTTTGCGAAGTGTTCAGGCAGGGCTGCTGGGACCCAGTACCACAGCAGCTCTATGAGTTGGAAACCATGGCCCAGAAGAGACTCAGAGTGAGAAAGGGCTTTCCCCAAAGGTGAATTTTTGTGTGTAGGGTGTGAGGTAGGGATCAAGGTTTATTTTGTGCCACACAGATACCCAGTTACTCCAGAAGAGTTTATTAAAAAGCCTGGGACTGGGCACAGTGGCTCACACTTTGGGAGGCCACGGCAGGCGGATCACAAGGTCAGGAGTTCGAGACCAGCCTGATCAACACGGTGAAACCCCATCTCTACTAAAAATACAAAAATTAGCCAGGTGTAGTGGTAGGTGCCTTTAATCCCAGCTACCCAGGAGGCTGAGGCTGGAGAATCACTTGAACTCAGGAGGTGGAGGGTGCGAAGACCCGAGATCCTGCCACTGCACTCCTGCCTGGTGACAGAGCAAGACTCTGTCTTAAAAAATAATAATAATAAATAAAATAAAATAAAAATAAAAATAAAAAGCCCATCCTTGCCCAAGCTCACAGAGGTAACCAGAGATGAAGCAGGGATTCCAACCTGCATTCCTCTGAGTCAACCTGGAACATTCTCCAAGTCTCCAGAGAGCCTGTCGTCATGGCCAGCTGAGCATGCTTTGCCCTGTCAGCAAAATGCAGTATTTGAAAAGTCACGAGCGTTTCAAAAGGAAGCAGAGTGAGGCGGCCTGGGTCAGCTCCAAGGTGCTTCCTTCCTGCAGGGATGGTGCAATATCCCCAACTGTCTACTGCCCGTTGTGACTTCACCTTCTTATACATTTATTTTTTATTTTTATTTTTTTATTTTCCTGCCTTATTCCAAGAGAGAAGGCTGCGTGTGCATTTCCGTCGGGGAGGTATTTGCCGAGGGGAAGTTCACAGTCATACCCATATCCAGAACCTTTGTGCATTGGGAGATGTTCCAGAGGAACTGCTCTGCCCTCCGGCCTGGTGGGGCAAACACCTGCTTACCCCAAAGCATCAGGATTGCAGGGGGCACAGCCAGGCTCCCAGGCCACTCTCAGAGCTGCCCAGTGCTCCCTAAGCCTCCCCAAATCAGAGAGAGAGTCCTCAAGCACTCAGAAAAATCTAGGAACCTCCCTAGGCTCCTCCTTCTGCCAACTTCTCATAGCCCTCCCAACCCAGGCAGCAGAACGTCTCTCCCTGGAGCCTGTTCCTGCTGACTGTTTTGTTTGTTTGTTTTTTGAGACAGAGTCTCTCTCTGTCACCCAGGCTGACTGGAGTGCAGTGGAACAATCTTGGCTCACTGCAACCTTTGCCTCCCAGGTTCAAGTGATTCTCCTTTCAAGTGATTCTCCTGTCTCACCCTCCCTAGTAGCTGGGATTACAGGCGTGTGCCACCACTCCCGGCTAATTTTTGTATTTTTAGTAGAAACGGAGTTTCACCATGTTGGCCAGGCTGGTCTCAAACTCCTGACCTCAGGTGATCCACCCACCTCAGCCTCTCAAAGTGCTGGGATTACAGACATGAGCCACCGTGCCCAGCTTTTTTTTTTTTTTTTTTTTTTTGAGTTGGAGTCTCGCCCTGTCACCCAGGCTGGAGTGCAGTGGTGCGATCTCAGTTTACTGCAACCTCCACCTCCTGGGTTCAAGTGATTCTCCTGCCTCAGCCTCCCAAGTAGCTGGGACTACAGGCACCTGACACCATGCCTGGCTAATTTTTGTGTTTTTAGTAGAGACAGGGTTTCACCATATTGGCCAGGCTGATCTCGAACTCCTGACCTCAGGTGATCTGCCCGCCACAGCCTCCCAAAGTGCTGGGATTACAGGCGTGAGCCACCATGCCTAGCCCCTGCTTATTGTTTGTTTGTTTTATAGAAATGGTGTCTCAATAAGTTGCCCAGGCCGGCCTCAAACTCCTGGCTTCAAGTGTTCCCTCCCACTGGAGTAGTGTTGTTGTCTGGGGTAAATACCCAAGATTTGTTGTCTCACAGGCCCGGAAAACTAGGACTCAGACATACAAAGAGTGAGGTTCAGAGTGGAAGTTTAATCGGTGAAAGAAAGAGAAGCGCTCTCTCTGCTGCAGAGAGAGGGATCTTGAACGGGTTTCCACTTCCTCAGTAAAAAGCAGTGAGTTTTATGGATGAGCTTAAGGAGGTGGTGTCTGATTTCCATAGGGCACAAAAGATTGGTTGGACCAGGTGTTTCATTTGCATAGGGTGTAAAAACCTGGTTAAGGCTATGTGTGTAATTTGCATAGGGTGTGAAAAGCTGGCCTTCCCATCCTAATCTTTTTTTTCTTTCTTTTCTTTCTTTTTTTTTTTTTTTTTTTGAGTCTCCCAGGTGGAGTGCAATGGTGCGATCTCAGCTCACTGCAACCTCTGCCTCCCTGGTTCAAGCAATTCTCCTGCCTCAACCTCCTGAGTAGCTGGGATTACAGGTGCCTGCAACCATGCCCGGCTAATTTTTTTAGTAGAGATGGGGTTTCACTATGTTGGCCAGGCTGGTCTCTTGGCCAGGCTGGTCTCAAACTCTGACCTCATGATCTGCTGCCTCATCCTCCCAAAGTGCTGTGATTACAGGCATGAACCACTGCGCCTGGCTTCTTAATCTTTTATTATGCAGATGAGTTCTCTAGCTGGCTGGCGCCATGTTGCCTGTTCATTTTTTTTTGTCGCCCAGGTTGGAGTGCAGTGGCTCGATCTTGGCTTACTGCAACCTCTACCTCCTGGGTTCCCGCGATTCTCCTGCCTCAGCTTCCTGAGTAGCTGAGATTATAGGCGCCCACCACCATGCCTGGCTAATTTTTGTATTTTTAGTAGAGACGGGGTTTCGCCATGTTGGCCAGGCTGGTCTCGAACTCCTGACCTCAGGTGATCCACCTGCCTCAGCCTCCCAAAGTGCTGGGATTTCAGGCATGAGCCACCGTGCCCAGCCAAACTAAAACCTGTTTCTTTACTGTACACGTAGTGACCAAAAAAAAGGGAAGCTGGAGCCCCCATGTTGAACATGCCAGGCCCTCAGGTGGCCCTTTTCCATTGACACAGCTGCTGGTATTCACCCCTGGAAGCTTCCCACTTGCTTATCCATGTCTGCAGCTCGATTTTTCAGGCTGTTTTTTGTTAGAAAAGAAATGAGTTGGCCGGGCGCTGTGGCTCACTCCTGTAATCCCAGCACTTTGGGAGGCCAAGGTGGGCAGATCACGAGGTCAAGAGATCGAGACCATCCTGGCCAACATGGTGAAACTCTGTCTCTGCTAAAAATACAAAAAATTAGCCGGGTGTGGTGGCAGGCACCTGTAATCCCAGCTGCTCGGGAGGCTGAGGCAGGAGAATCGCTTGAAGCCGGGAGGCGGAGGTTGCGGTGAGCCAAGCTCGCGCCGTTGCAATCCAGCCTGGGCAAAAAGAGCTAAACTCTGTCTCAAAAAAAAAAGAAAAAAAGAAAAGAAAAAAGAAATGAGTTGCGGCTGGGCACGGTGGCTCACGCCTGTAATCCCAAAACTTTGGGAGGCCGAGGTGGGTGAATCACAAGGTCAGGAGTTGAAGACCAGCCTGGCCAACATAGTGAAACCCCATCTCTACTAAAAATACCAAAATTAGCTGGGCATGGTGGCACATGCCTGTAATCCTAGCTACTTGGGAGGCTGAGGCAGGAGAGTAGCGTGAACCTGGGAGGCAGAGGTATCAGTGAGCCGAGATTGCACCACTCCACTCCAGCCTGGGCGACAGAGTGAGACTCCATCTCGTAAAAGAAGGCCGGGCACAGTGTCTCACGCCTGTAATCCCAGCACTTTGGGAGGCCGAGGTGGGTGGATCGCCTGAAGTCAGTAGTTTGAGACCAGCCTGGCCAACATGGTGAAACCCCGTCTCTACTAAAAATACAAAAATTAGCCGGGCATGGTGGCACACGCCTGTAATCCCAGCTACTCGGGAGGCTGAGACAGAATTGCTTGAACCAGGGAGGCAGAGGTTGCAGTGAGCCAAGATCGTGCCACTGCACTACAGCCTGGGTGACAAGAACGAAACTCCGTCTCAAAAAATAAAAATTAAAAAAAGAAAGAAATGATTTGGGGGGCTGCTTTTTGTTAAAAGAGAAATTCCCAGGACTCTTTTACCCTCACTGTCTGCCAAAATAATTTCTATCTCCTGTATCACGACCACAACCTCCCAAAGTGCTGGGATTATAGGTATGAGCCACAGCACCTGGCCCCAGCTCATTGTTTTGTTTTGGTTTTTTTCATTTTTTAAAACTCATGATCATTGTTCAATGCATTATTATTATTATTATTATTTTGTTGTTGTTGTTGTTGTTGTTTGTTGTTTTGGTGTTGTTTTTTGTTTTTTGAGACGGAGTCTCGCTCTTATCGCCCAGGCTGAAGTGCAATGGCGTGATGTCATCTCACTGCAACCTCTGCCTCCCGGGTTCAAACGATTCTCCTGCCTCAGCCTCCCCAGTAGATGGGGTTACAGGCACCCGCCACCACGCCTGGCTAATTTTTGTATTTTCAGTAGAGACTGGGTTTCACCATGTTTGCCAGGCTGGTGTTGAACTCCTGACCTCATGATCCGCCCACCTCAACCTCCCAAAGTTCTGGGATTACAGTCGTGAGCCACCAGGCCTGGCCTATTATTATTATTTTGAGACAGGTTCTCACTCTGTCTCCCAGGCTGGAGTGCAGTTGCAGTGGCACAATCACAGCTCACTGTAACCTCAAACTCCTGGGCTCAAGTGATCCTCCTACCTCAGCTTCACGCATAGCTGGGACTACAGGCACGTACCAATGTGCCTAGTTAATTTTTTATTTTTTGTAGAGACAGAGTCTTGCTATATTGCCCAGGTTCATCTCGAACTCCTGGCCTCAAGTGATCCTCTTGCCTCAGCCTTCAAAGGCTTTGGGATTTCAGGCATGAGCCACTGTGCCTGGCCAAAGGTTTTATTTTACTCTTTTTTTGTTTTTTGTATTTTAGACAGAGTCTCGCTGTGACCCCCAGGCTGGAGTGCAATGGCGTGATCTCGGCTCACTGAAACCTCCGCCTCCTGGGTTCAAGTGATTCTCATGCCTCAGCCTCCTGAGTGCCTGGGATTACAGGCACGCACCATCATGCCTGGCTAATTTTTGTATTTTTAGTAGACACAGGGTTTACCATGTTGGCCAGGCTGGTCTCGAACTCCTGACCTCAAGTGATCTGCCTGCCTCGGCCTCCCAAAGTGCTGGGATTACAGGCATGAGCCACCGCACCCGGCCTATTTTACTCTTACACACACACATACATGTATGAATACACACGTCCTTCCCATTGTTGCTCCTGGGCTCTGATTGATCATTATGAAAGCTCTTTCCCTTCCCAGACCTTACAGAAATGCACACATACCCTCTTATTATTATTATTCTTTTTTGAGACGGAGTTTTGCTCTTGTTGCCCAGGCTGGGGTACAGTGGCACGACCTCGGCTCACTGCAACCTCTGCCTCCCGGGTTCAAGCAATTCTTCTGGGTCAGCCTCTGGAGTAGCTGGGATTACAGGCACCTGCCATCATGACCGGCTAAGTTTTTGTATTTTTAGTAGAGACAGTGTTTCACCATGTTGGCCAGGCTGGTCTCGAACTCCTGACCTCAGGTGATCCACCTGCCTCAGTCTCCCAAAATGCTAGGATTACAGGCATGCGCCACTACACCTGGCTGCACATAGCCTCTTCTAGTGTTCGCAGGGTGCATATTCACATCTCAGGTCCATTTGGAATTATTATTTTATTTTTTTGGAGACAGAGTCTCGCTCTATCCCCCAGAGAGTGCAGTGGCGCGATCTTGGCTCATTGCAACCTCCGCCTCGCCGGTTCAAGCGATTCCCCTGCCTCAGCCTCCCAAGTAGCTGGGATTACAGGCGTGTGCCACCATAGCCGGCTAATTTATTTGTATTTTTAGTAGAGATGGGGTTTTGCCATGTTGGCCAGATGGGTCTCGAACTCCTGACCTCAGGTGATTCGCCTGCTTCGGCCTCCCAAAGTGCTGGGATTACAGGCGTGAGCCACTGCACCGGGCATATATATGTATATTTTTTGTAGTAGTATCCAGTTAGCCCAAAATCCACTCCCTCCATGGATTTGAAACTGCAGAGAGGGGAGGCTATTTTGGCCAGGATGGTAGCATTTAGTCGACTCCTAAAGGAGCAGTTAGTCATAGGGAAGAACTGAGAGTAGGCGGCTCAGATAGCATATGCAAAGGCTCTGGGGCGGTAATGTTGTTGCCCTGTGCAAAGACCAACTGGGAAGCCTGTGGCTGGAGTACAGTGAATAAGGGGGATGGTGGAGGGAGTTGAGGGTGGACAGGTGAGGTGTTTGGCTTTATTCTGAGGCTGTGGGGGCACAAGGAAGGGACCAGCTCTGGTGCACAAAAGGTCCCTTCCATCTCGGGGATGGCATGCCCATTCGACAGATATGGAGACTGAGGCTTGCTGAGGCGCAGACAGGCACAGACAGGAGTCAAGGATGGTGCCTCCATTTGCTGGACTAGGAGCTGAGGCCGGGGGTCCTCTCGTTTCTCTCAGTGCATGGACGACGTGACCTCGCAGCCTTATTTGTGCACGATCACCCACAGCAGGATCCTTTCATCCTGCTGGTAGCTTAGCCTCAACTGCGTGTAGCAAGAAAGCTCTTCCGCTGCAGTGCTGAGCCGCCCGCTCCGCCCAGCCCCAGCCCCAGCCCCAGCCCACCCGGCGCATCTCAGCCTCTAGCCACGCCCCCAAACCCTCTGCACAGGTGCACTTCGCCCCGCTTCCACCTGATGGGGCAGCCTGGTCCTGCACTGCCCACCCAATAAAGATAGCCCCGCCCCATCAGGCGCATCCTGGACCCAAGTCCACTCCTCCCTATGGGCCGCTGTCTGGTCCCTAGCACCGGCTGACCTTTGCGCCCCGCCTTCTTTCTATACCGTGGATGCAGGAATAGCCTCGTCCCAAAACCTGCCCCTACATGTCCTTGCCGTGTGACCCCGGGAGTATCGTTTCACCTCTGAACCTCAGCTTTCCCCTCTCTACAGTGAGTGGGGGTCGAGCCCCCTCTGTGACTCGATTGATCCACTCCTAGCAGGCTGTTGGATCGACGATCTTTGAGGATGCAGGTTGAGCGCTCAGCATATCACCGGCGCTCAATAAATGGCCTTGTTTCTTCCGTTTGTCTGGAACAGGAGATGCAGAAATAGGCAGTAGTGGCTGGCCATGATGGCTCACACTTGTAATTCCAACACTTTGGGAGGCTGAGGCGGGTGGATCACCTGAGGTCAGGAGTTCGAGACCAGCCTGGCCAACATGGTGAAATCCCGTCTCTACTAAAAATACAAACATTAACAGGGCATGGTTGTGCACGCCTGTAATCCCACCTACTAGGGAGGCCAAGGCAGGAGAATCGCTTGAACTCAGGAGGCGGAGGTTGCAGTGAGCCGAGATGGCGCAACTGCACTCCAGCCTGGGCAACAGTGAGACTCTGTCTCAAAAAAAAAAAAAAAAAGAGCCGGGCGCTGTGGCTCACGCCTGTAATCCCAGCACTTTGGGAGGCCAAGGCGGGCGGATCACGAGGTCAGGAGATCAAGACCATCCTGGCTAACACGGTGAAACCCCGTCTCTACTAAAAATACAAAAACAAAATTAGCCCGGTGTGGTGGCGGGCGCCTGTAGCCCCAGCTACTCGGGAGGCTGAGGCAGGAGAATGGCGTGAACCCGGGAGGCGGAGCTTGCAGTGAGCCGAGATCGCGCCACTGCACTCCAGCTTGGGAGACAGAGCGAGACTCCGTCTCAAAAAAAAAAAAAAAAAAAAATTATGCGGGCATGGTGGTGCATGCCTGTAATCCCAGCTACTCAGGAGGCTGAGGCAGGAGAATCACTTGAACCTGGGAGGCAGAGGTTGCAGTAAGCCGAGATCATGCCATTGCACTCCAGCCTTGTTGACAGAGCGAGACTCCGTCTCAAAAAAAGAGAAAGAAAGAAAAAAAGAAATAGGCAGTAGTTGGAGAGGGCTGGCTGAGGAAGAAGCCAGCAGGTTGGGCAGGGGCAGAAGCCGGCCCTGAACCTCAGTTTTCTTATCTGTAAAAGGGACCTTCAGGCCAGGTACAGTGACTCATGCCTGTAATCCCAGTGGTTTGGGAGGCTGAGGTGGGAAGATAGCTTGAGGCTCCCCTCACTGGACAGCTAGACACACTTCCCTGCTGGACATTCTAAATTAAATTAGCCCCCTAAAAATGTAAGACACAGGCTGAAGGGTGGGGTCCCATCTCTACCTTGCCTTCACTGGCTGCAGGTCTGAGTGCTCATGGATTTTCTTTTTTTTTTTTTTTTTGAGACGGAGTCTTGCTCTGTTGCCCAGACTAGAGTGCAATGGCACGATCTCGGCTCACTGCAACCTCCACCTCCCGGGTTCAAGCGATTCTCCTACCTCAGCCTCCTACGTAGCTGGGATTTCAGGTACGTGCCACCACGCCCGACTAATTTTTTGTATCTTTAGTGGTGATGGGGTTTCACCATGTTGGCCAGGCTGGTCTCAAACCCCTGATCTCAGGATCCATCCACCTCGGCCTCACAAAGTGCTGGGATTACAGGCACGAGCCACCGCGCCCGGACGGTCATGGGTTTTCTTGTCATTGGTGGTGTTTTGAAACAGAGCCTCACTCTGTCACACAGGCTGGAGTGCAGAGGTTGATCACGGCTCACTGCAGCCTTGATCCCAGGCTCAAGTGATTCTCCCACCTTAGTCTCCCAAGTAGCTGGGACTATCGGTGTGCGCCACCACACCCAACTAATTTTTTTATTTTTAGTAGAGATGGGATTTCACTATGATGGCCAGTCTGGTCTCAAACTACCAGGCTCAAGCAATCTGCCCGCCTCAGCCTCCCAAAGTGCTGGGATTACAGGCGTGAGCCTCGGCACCTGGCCCAGACAGTCTTTTATTTATTTATTTTCCGAGACAGGGTCTCACTGTGTCACCCAGGCTGGAGTACAGTGGCACAATCATGGCTCACTGCAGCCTCTAATTCCTGGGCTCAAGCGATCCTCCCACATCAGCCTCCTAAGAAGCTTGGACCACAGGCATGCACCACCATGCCTGGCTAATTTTATTTTATTTTTTGTAGAGATGGGTTTTGCCATGTTGCCCCAGACTGGTCTCAATCTCCTGGGCTCAAGTGATCCCCTGGCCCCAGCCTCCCAAAGTACTGGGATTACAAGCATGAGCCACGGCACCCAGCCAAATTGGGATTTATAAAAACCTTTGTCAAGAGAGTGTAGGCTGGGCACGGTGGCTCACCCTTGTAATCCCAGCACCTTTGAGAGGCCGAGGCAGGTGGATCACTTGAGGTCAGGAGTTCAAGACCAGCCTGATCAACATGGTGAAACCCTGTTACTACTAAAAATACAAAAATTAGCAGGGCATGGTGGCGCATGTCTGTAGCCCCAGCTACTCATGGGGGCTGAGACAGGAGAATCACTTGAACCCAACAGGCAGAGGTTGCAGTGAGCCGAGATTGTGCCCTGCACTCTAGCCTGGGTGACGGAGTGAGAAACTGTCTCAAGAAATTTAAAAAAAGGAGAGTTTAAATGCTGGCCAAGGACCAAGGAAACCAATCAAGGGGCCTCAGGGTTCAAGCTTTATGTTTGGGGACAATCTTAGGCCATAGGATGGGGTGACCTCCCTGCCAGCCTTGTAGCCTACTCACTTGAGGCTCAGCGGTCCCTCCCTCAGACAGGGACCTCCATTCTGTCACCTACGATGACACCTTCTTTTCTTGTGGGATCCACTGTTTGGAAACGTGTGTAATCAATCCCAGCACTTTGGGAGGCCAAGGAGGTGGGCGAAATCACCTGAGGTCGGGAGTTCAAGACCAGCCTGGCCAACATGGTGAAACCCCGTCTCTACTAAAAATACAAAAATTAGTCGGACATGGTCGTGCGTGCCTGTAGTCCCAGCTACTCATAAGGCAGAGGCGAGAGAATCGCTTGAACCTGGGAGACGGAGGTTGCAGTAAACCAAGATTGTGCCATTGCACTCCAGCCTAGATGACAGAGTGAGACTCTGTCTCAAAAAAACAAAAACAAAAACAAAAACTTTTTTTTGGTAGAGACAGGATCTTGCTGTGTTGCCCAGGCTGGTCTCGAACTCCTGGACTCAAGCGATCCTCCATCCTGGGCCTCCCAAAGTGCTGGGATTATAGGCACGAGGCGCCATGCCTGGTTTATGGCTTCTGATTTTAATCTACATCTTGCAAAGCAAATATCTCTAACATTCATTTGCAAATGTCAGACATTCAGAGAAATGGACACACTCACCCATCACTGCTGGGAGCCAAGTAAGGTCCCCTGTATGGAAGGTGATGTGGTCTTAAGTATTCATCAAAAATGCTGAAAAGCTGGGTTCAGGGATGAATGCCTGTAGTCCCAGCTACTCAGGAGACTGAGGTGGAAGAATCACTTGAATCCGGGAGTTCTGGGCTGTAGTGCACTATGCCAATTGGGTGACTACAGTAAGTTTGGTGTCAATATGGTGACCTCCCAGGGAGCGGGAGACCACCACCAGGTTGCCTAAGGAGAGGTGAACCGGCCCAGGTTGGAAACTGAGTAGGTAAAATTCTTGTGCTGATCAGTAGTGGGATCACACCTGTGAATAGCCACTGCACTCCAGACGGGCAACATACTGAGACCCCTGTCTCAAAAAAAAAAAAAAAAAGGAAAAGGAGAAGGAGAAAACTTGAAAACGTGTGTTTGGCTGGGCTCGGTGGCTCATGCCTGTAAACTCAACACTTTGGGAGGCCGAGGCCGGTGATCACTTGAGGTCAGGAATTTGAGACCAGCCTGGCCAACATGGTAAAACCCCATCTCTACTAAAAACACAAAACTTAGCCGGCCGTGGTGGTGGGTGCCTGTAGTCCCAGCTACTTGGGAGGCTGAGGCAGGAGAATCACTTGAACCCAGGAAGTGGAGGTTGCAGTGAGCCGAGATTGCGCCACTGTACTCCATCCTGGGCGACAGAGTGAGACTGTCTCAGAAAAAAAAAAAAAAAAAAGAAAATGTGTTATTCTATTTGTTAGGCTGTCCCCAGAGAGTGACCTAGATGTCCAACCATAGGAGATCTGTTTAACAAACCATAGAAAAGCTTCAAGGTGAGTGATGCTGAAGTCTCTGAACTCAAGAATGTACACTGGAATTTGGCCTTGACTGACAAATCATGTGTATAGTGTAATTCCATTTGGGCTAAGAAAAAAAAGAAAGAAAGAAAAAAAATCTAGATGGAAATAGACCATCGTGTTAGTAACAGTTATTTCTGGGCATTGATTTTATTTTTAAAATTTTGTTCACTCAACAGATATTTACAGAGCACCTGGTCCGTGTCAGCTAGGGCCAAGGGCAAGGATGGCATCTGAATTTGTTTACTTAGTTTGTTTCCTGTGCCAGCATTTTAAAATTTACCAATAAGCACCAGGCATAAAGTAAATAGGTATTAAAAATTCAGAAAGGAAATTAAACGCTATGACAAGGGACCTATTTAGATTATTTACGTTACACGTGTCTGTGCTTTCTAAAACTGTTTTTACAATGAGCATACATTATTTGGAGAATCAGAAAAGAGGCCGGCACGGTGGCTCATGCCTGTAATCCCAGCACTTTAGAAGACTGAGGCGGACAGATCATTTGAGGTCAGGAGTTCGAGACCAGCCTCGCCAACATAGTGAAACCCCGTCTCTACTAAAAAATACAAAAATTGGCTGGGTGTGGTGGCTCACGCCTGTAATCCCAGCACTTTGGAAGGCCGAGGTGGGCAGAAAATGAGGTCAGGAGTTCAAGACCAGCCTGACCAACATGGTGAAACCCCGTCTCTACTAAAAATACATAAAAAAAAAAAAATAGCTGGGCATAGTAGTGAGTGCCTGTAATCCCAGCTACTGGGGAGGCTGAGGTAGGAGAAACGCTTGAACCCAGGAAGCAGAGGTTGCAGTGAGCCAAGATCATGCCACTGCACTCCAGCTCTGCGACAGAGCAAGACCCTGTCTCAAAAAAAAAAAAAAAAATTAGTTGGGCGTGATGGCGCGTGCCTGTAATCCCAGCTACTCGGGAGGCTGAGGCAGGAGAATTGCTTGAACCTGAGAGGCGGAGGTTGCAATGAGCCGAGGTCATCCCATTGCATTCCAGCCTGGGTGACAGAGTGAGACTTCATCTCAAAAAAAAAAAAAAAGGAAGAAAAGAAAAAGAAAATATGGAACTCTGAATCCATTAGGAAACATACACCTATGTCCCACACCCCTCCCATCCCCCCACCAGTGCCATCCACCTTTTTTTTTTTTTTTTTTTTTTTTTGAGATAGGGTTTCACTCTGTCATCCAGACTGGAATACAGAGGCGCCATCACGGCTCACTGCAGCCACGACCTCCTAGGCTCAAGCCATCCTCCCACTTCAACCTCCCGAGTAGCTGGGACCACTGGTGTACACTATCATGCCCAGCTAATCTTTTTATATTTTGTAGATATGGGGTCTCGCTATGTTGGCAGGCTGGTCTCAAGCTCCTGGCCCCAAATGATCCTTCTGCCTCAGCCTCCAAAAGTGTTGGGATTATAGGCATAAGCCACTGCGCCTGGCCCCATCCACCTTCTCAACCTCCCTTCCTGTTCTCCTCACCCCAGCTCCTCCTGGCCCCTCCCCTGGAGTGG
The DNA here is from genome assembly GCF_000001405.40 of Homo sapiens. Taxonomy (NCBI): domain Eukaryota; kingdom Metazoa; phylum Chordata; class Mammalia; order Primates; family Hominidae; genus Homo; species Homo sapiens. Next base: position 18,955,964 of record NC_000019.10, on the reverse strand, counting down.
AGCTGATACATCCCAGCTGATGGGGCCTGATGTGGGCCTCAACTCCTTGTAAATGTGCAATTAACATGAGACAGATTGATTTCCAAATGGGAAAACTGAGGCTCAGAGAGGTAAACTGACCTCTTCAGTGTCACACAGTGCACATGTGACAAAGTGGAGCACAAACCCAGATATATCTGTCGCTGGAGCTCTTGCTGACCCCAGAGTGGCCTCAGGCCAAGCCTGAATTCCTTCCCCGGGCCTTTTTATTGGGCTTAAATCACAGGGGCTTTATTATTGGTGGGTGGGGTGGTATCCCCCCTGACCTGGAGGCCTGATGCCTCAATGGCCCACAGGCAGAAATTGCTGGTCTTCTCCTCGGCGCCCCCTCACACTGGTGCTGCTGGGCCCCCAAGAAACCTCGGCCTCAGGCCTTGCTCTCGAGCAGCCTCCAGTCTGAAAGCTGAGCCAGGTGCATTCACTCTTCGCTCCATGGGTTGGGCCTGGGTGAGAGGAAGGGACAGGGAGGGTCTGGGCCACACCAAGGGCTGCAAGGAGGAAGGCACATGGAGTTGGGGCTTGAAGAATGAGTAGAAGTATGAGAAGTGGAAGTAGAGTTGGGTGGATCATGGATGATGCCTGCATATGAGGGTGGATGGATGGAAGCATGGATGGATGGGATAGGAATGGGGGATTGGTGAATGGTGGGATGGATGGGGATGGATGGGGGATGGAAGATAAATGACTGGATGGGTGACTGGGCAGATGGATGGGCAGATGGATGGATAAATAATGGATCGATGAATGGATGAATATATGGGAAGATGAGTGTACACACGGTTGGATGGTTGGATGGATGGGTGTATAGATAGATAAATGAATAGTAAATGGATGAATGGATAGTTGGATGGATGGGAAGATGGCTGGGTGAATGGATGGATGGATAGATGGATGGATGGGTGGATGGGTGGATGGATGGATGGATGGGTGGGTGGATGGGTGGATGGATGGGCAGATGGATAGGTGTATGGATGGATGGATGGGTGGGTGGATGGATGGATGAATGGATGGATGGATGGATGGATGGATGGATGGATGAATGGGTGGATGGATAGATGATTGGATGGTTGGATGGTTGGGGAGATGGATGGGTGTATGCATGGATGGATGGGCGGGTGGATGGATGGATGGGTGGATGGGTGGATGGATGGATGGGTGGATGGGTGGATGGATGGATGGATGGTTGGGAAGGTGGATGGGTGTATGGATGGCTGGATGGGTGGGTGGATGGGTGGATGGATGGGCAGATGGATAGGTGTATGGATGGATGGATGGGTGGGTGGATGGATGGATGGGTGGATGGGTGGATGGGTGGGTGGATGGATGGTTGGATGGATGGGAAGATGGATAGGTGAATGGATGGATGGGTAGGTGGATATGTGGATGGATGGGTAAATGGGTGGATGGATGGATGGTTGGATGGATGGGAAGATGGATGGGTGTATGGATGGATGGATGGGTGGGTGGATGAGTGGATGGATGGGCAGATGAATAGGTGTATGGATGGATGGATGGGTGGGTGGATGGATGGATGGATGGATGAATGGAAGAATGGGTGGACGGATAGATGGTTGGATGGATGGGAAGATGGATAGGTGTATGGATGGATGGATGGCTGGGTGGGTGGGTGGATGGATGGATGGATGGATGGATGGACGGACAGGCAGATGGGTGGGTGGATGGATGGATGGATGGATGGATGGATGGATGGATGGGCGAATGAGTGGATGGGTGGGTGGATGGGTGGGTGGATGGATGGATAGGCATTGAGTGGGTGCATGAACATGTGAGGAAGTGGAAAGGTGTAGCTTGAGCCCCAACACTCTCTAAGCACCCCGCCTACCCTTCGAAGAGCCCAGTGTAGACTGTCACACTGGTAGTGGCCCTAGTGCGCCTGTGCCTTGCATCCCTGTATCCAACCTGGTCTCCCCAGGTGCCTTTTCAAGGGCCAGCCCCTCCTCCCACAGGACTCCAGACAGCTGCCTTCGAGCCAGGTCCAGATGCTGCTCAACACCCACCCTGGGCCCTGTGACTGCTAGAAGGTGGAGGGCTCTGGCAGATGTGAGTTGGAGGTCACTGGCCAGTTACACAATGTCTGTTTTGCATGTGGGCATGGCTGTGGTGTCCCAGATGGACTCTGAGTGGCCCCCCAGGAGAGGGTCTCATCTAGAAGCGAGAGGCCAGCCCCCAAGCAACTGCTCTCCAAGTCTGTATGTCTATGTTTCTTTCTGTTTCTCACTCTCCTGACCTGTTAACAGCCAACTCCTGAGCACCTACCACCTGGAAGGGCCCTGCAGGAACCCCTCAGCTACTGGTCATGACCTCCCTGGATGGTACCCCCCAGAACAGTGGGGTTACCACCAAGGGCTTGGCCCAGCCACCAGCAGCTATATCCCTCCTGGGTCCCAGGATAGATGCCAAAGCCTGAGGGACCCCAAGGTGTTAGGGGGGACCCCAAGATGTGGGTGTACTGACACCCTTCCCCAGACTCTGGTCCCCATTGACTTTGGGATTTGTTTCTTTGTTGTTTTTCTTTTTTTTTTTCTTTGTTGTTTTTCAAGACAGGTCTCGCTCTGTCCCCCACGCTAGAGTGCAGCGGTGCAATTTGAGCTCACTGCAGCCTTGACCTCCTGGGCTCAAGCAGTTGTCCTGTTTCAGCCTCCCCAGTAGTTAGGACTACAGATGTGTGCCACCACGCCCGGCTAATTTTTGTTTGTGTGTTTTTATTTTTCTGAGGTGGAGTCTCACTCTGTCACCCAGGCTGGAGTGCAGTGGCGTGATCTTGGCTCACTGAAACCTCCGCCTCCCAGGTTCAAGCGATTCTCTTGACTCAGCCTCCTGAGTAGCTGGGATTACAGGTGTGTGCCACAATGCCCGGCTAATTTTTTTTTTTTGTATTTTTAGTAGAGATAGGGTTTCACCATGTTGTCCAGGCTTGTCTCAAACTCCTGACCTCAAATGATCCACCCACCTCGGCCTCCCAAAGTGCTGGGATTAGAGGAGTGAGCCACCGCACCTGGCCAGTGTCTCCCCTGTTGATGCAGTCAGCGCCCAACGTGTGACCCTTTCTCTTTGTTTCAGCGATCCTCCTTCCCTGTGACCTCCGTCCGGGCTGGAAGATCCTTGAACTCCGGAAAGCAGATGTTTCCCTGCTGTTGGAGGCCTGAGATTTCAGCGATAAGACCCGGAGGCCAGCATCCAGGACCTCGTGAGAGACAGAGGAAGATGGGAAAGGGTTTATGAAGACAAGTTTCCTCCCTCAGGCCCTGGGATTACAGGTGTGAGCCACTGTGCCTGGCTGCAAATCTTTTTTTTTTTTTTTTTTTTTGAGACAGTCTTGCTATTTCCCAGACTGTTGTGCAATGCTGCCATCTCGGCTCACTGCAACCTCCACCTCCCAGGTTCAAGCGATTTTCCTGCCTCAGCCTCCCGAATAGCTGGGACCACAGGCATGCACCATCACACCTGGCTAATTTTTGTATTTTTAGTAGAGATAGGGTTTCACCACGTTGGCCAGGCTGGTCTCGAACTCCTGGACTCAAGTGATCCTCCTGCCTCGGCCTCCCAAAGTGCTGGGATTACAGACATGAGCCATCGCACCCGGCTGCAAATATTTAAACACAAAAGAAGATCACAACTGGGTATAGTGGCGCACACCTGTAGTCCCAGCTACCTGGGAGGCTGAGGTGGGAGGATCATCTGAGACCAGGAGGTCGAAGCTGCAGTGAGCCATGATCACGCCACTGCACTTCAGCCTGGGTGAAAGCGTGAGACCTTGTCTAAAAAAAAAAAAAAAAAAAGCAGATCATGCCCTCTCCTGCTCAAAAGCCTTATGTGGCTCCCCAGTGCTCTAAGTATAAAGTCTGCATTCCTTCCTGGGGACCCACAGGTCCCTGATGCCCAGCCTGTAGCCCTCCCTGCCTACATGGTGCCCTCCCCACTCTGCCCAACTCACTTTGCTTCAGTCACAGCCGCCTCCTCAATGCTGTCCCAAGGGGCTGAACACATCCCTGCCTCAGGGCCTTTGGGCGTGCTATTGCCCTGAATCACCACCTCCACAAAGTAGCCTTCAGCAACCACTGCAGTCTTGACCTGGTGCTTTGCCTGGTTTTCTTTCTTTTGCAAAATCCTGTCAGAAGTCATTTCCTCGTTCCCTTGTCTACCAGACATGAGGTCCCTGAGGGCAGGGTGTCCTAACAGACCTGGATGCCTTAAGTGCTTAATAAACATGAGTTAATGATGAATAATCCTTGCTTTACAGAGGAGGAAACAGAGGCTCAGGGAGGAAGGGCTGTTGGACCCCTTGAGTTTGAGCCCAGGCTGCACCAAATCCACCTGCAGGTGGATGAGCAAACCCCCCAACCTGCTCCCTGGGTAAGCAAAGCTCCAGAGGTTGCAAGGAGCAGACTTGGCCTCTCAGACTGGGGTTCCAGGACCAGCCTTTCCTCTCTGCTGACTTTTTGTTGTTGTTGTTTTGAGACAAAGTCTCACTCTGTCGTCCAGGCTGGAGTGGAGTGGTGTGATCTGGGCTCACTGCAACCTCTGACTCCTGGGTTCAAGCAATTCTCCCACCTCAGCCTCCTGAGTAGCTGGGGTTACAGGTGCACACCACCATGCCCGGGTTACTTTTTGTGTTTTTACTAGAGGCAGGTTTTTGCCATGTTGGCCAGGCCGGTCTCGAATTCCTGACCTCAAGTGATCTGCCTGGTTTGGCCTCCCAAAGTGCTGGGATTACAGGAATGAGCCACCACCTCCAGCCTCCTGGTGACTTTTTTTTTTTTTTTTTTGAGACAGAGTCTCGCTCTGTTGCCCAGGCTGGAGTGCAGTGGCGTGATCTCGGCTCACTGCAAGCTCCACCTCCCAGGTTCACGCCATTCTCCTGCCTCAGCTTCCCAAGTAGCTGGGACTACAGGCGCCTGCCACCACGCTCGGCTAATTTTTTGTATTTTTAGTAGAAACGGGGTTTCATCGTGTTAGTCAGGATGGCCTCGATCTCCTGACCTCGTGATCCACCCGCCTCGGCTTCCCAAAGTGCTGAGATTACAGGCGTGAGCCGCCATGCCCGGCCTTTTTTTTTTTTTTTTTAAGATGAAGTCTCACTCGGTCACCCAAGCTGGAGTGCAATGGCGTGATCTTGGCTCACTGCAACCTCTGCCTCCCGGGTTCAAGGGTTCAAGTGATTATCCTGCCGCAGCCTCCCGAGTAGCTGGGACTACAGGCGTGTGCCACCACACTGAGCTAATTTTTGTATTTTTAGTATAGACAGGGTTTCACCATGTTGGTCAGGCTGGTCTTGAACTCCTGATCTCAGGTGATTCACCCACCTCGGCCTCCCAAAGTGCTGGGAGTATAGGCATGAGCTACCATGCCTGGTTATTTTTTTCTTTTTCTTTTTTTTTTTTTTTTTTGAGACGGAGTCTTGCTCTGTCACCCAGGCTGGAGTGCAGTGGCACGATCTCGGCTCACTGCAAGCTCCACCTCTCGGGTTCACATCATTCTCCTGCCTCAGCCTCCCCAGTAGCTGGGGCTACAGGCGCCTGTCACCATGCCTGGCTAATTTTTTGTATTTTTAGTAGAGACGGGGTTTCACCGTGTTAGCCAGGATGGTCTTTATCTCCTGACCTTGTGATCTGCCCACCTCGGCCTCCCAAAGTGCTGGGATTACAGGTATGAGCCACCATGGCCGGCCCATTTTTTTGTATTTTTGTAGAGATGGGGTTTCACCATGTTGGCCAGGCTGGTCTTGAACTCCTGACCTCAGGTGAGCAGCCTGCCTCCGCCTCCCAAAGAGCTGGGATTACAGGCATGAGCTACCACCTCCAGCCTTCTGCTGACTTTTACTTTGGGGAACTGACAAGCTCCCTGAGCCTCAGTTTTCTCTTCTATGAAATGGGTTAGCTAGGTGCAGTGGCTTATGCCTGTAATCTCCGCACTGTGGGAGGCTAAGGCAGGAGGATTGCTTGAGCCCAGGAGTTAGAGAGCAGCTTGGACAACATAGGAAGACCCCATCTCTACAAAATATTAAAAAATTAGCCAGGCTTGGTGGCTCACACCTCTAATCCCAGTGACTCGGGAGGCTGAGGCAGGAGAATCGCTTGAGCCCAAGAGGCTGAGGCTGCAGTGAGCTGAGATCGCACCACTGCACTCCAGCCTGGGCGGCAGAGTTAGACCTTGTCTCTCAAAAAATAAAAATTAATGCCGGGCGTGGTGGCTCATGCCTGTAATCTCAGCACTTTGGAAGGCCGAGGCGGGCGGATCACGAGGTCAGGAAATCGAGACCATTGTGGCTAACACAGTGAAACCCCGTCTCTACTAAAAATACAAAAAAAATTTAGCCGGGTGTGGTGGCACGTGCCTGTAGTCCCAGCTACTCAGGAGGCGGAGGCACGAGAATTGCTTGAACCTGTCAGATGGAGGTTGCAGTGAGCCGAGATCGCGCCACTGCACTCCAGCCTGGGTGGCAGAGTGAGACTCTGTCTCAAAAAAAATAAATAAATAAAAATAAATAAATACATAAATAATTTGGTTACATGTCAGGCCCATGGGGTCCAGACTTGGACCTTGCCTTCCTCCCCCAGAGCCCCTGCTGTGCACTCCTATACTGGATAACAGTGGAGCCCCTGAGAGGCCTGGGTCCTGGGCCTGGACTCCAGTTAGCCCCCAGTCTGGGAGGGAGGCAGGGCCAGACACAGACGCATCCTCGTCCTGGGGGTCAGGATTGTCAGAGTTGTGGGGAGGGCTGGAAGGCTTCCTGGAGGAGATGGCCTTAGAGCTGGCATTTCAGGCCATACGTGGGACCCAGTACAAGTGCTCTGAAGTGGGGCTGAGCAGCTTGACCAATGGGCAATGAGGAGCTTGAGCCTCTCTCTGAGGTGTCCAGGAGAGCCACGGAAGATGCTGGAGCAAGGAGGTGGGCAGCATCGCCAGTTAGAGGGGTCCCTTGGTGTGTGTTGGTGGGGGGGATCCTAGAGGGCATAGCCAGGGCACAGGTGGCCAAACCAGAGACCCCGGCCTGTGCCTGGGGACTAGGAATACTCTCCCTCTGGCAGACCCAGGGAAGAGGCTGTAGCATGTGAGTCACCTGGCTGCTGTGAGAACATTCGGCGCGCGGCAGCCCCACGTGGGCTGTCACCAAGCAGGAACACGGCCCCCAGAGGCCCTCTGAGCTGCCTTCCCCACGGGCTTCTGCTCTCTGTTCCCACAGCTGCTCCCCCAAGGCCACAGAAGGAGCGTGGGATGGGGGGACAGGCGGGGAGGAGGCCGTGTAGGCTGCACAGCCAGCATTTGGGAGCTCCAGGGTAGAGTGGGGCTTCCCCGGCAGAGGGCTCACTGTGTTCTGGGGCTGCCCTAGTCTCAGGACTCTGCTCAGGGTGGGGAAACTGAGGCTCAGAGAATGGTAGGGTCTGCGACCATTCTGCACATGGACAGACACCTCGTTCTTTCCTAAGAGCTGAAACCCTGCCCAGGGCCTGCAGTGTCAATGTGACCACTCCCTCTCTCTCTGGCTCCAAACTCCCCATGGCTCCCCAGTGCCTTCAGAATGAAACCCACACAACTCACCAAGACCCACAAGGCTCTGCTCAGTTCCTGTGACCCCCTAGGTCTCAGCAGTCCCATAAGCTTTTCTCCCACTTACTCCACTCTAGACACCTGTCTAATGTACCAGCAACATGTCCTGCCTGGCCCCACCTCAGGGCCTTTGCCCATGCTCCGACCCCCAGTGCCTAAAGCACCCTTTTTAAATTACACCTGTTTCATCCCTCAGGAAAGGTGCAAAGAGTTCATGAAAGGTTATATGCCCAGGAACACACAGCAAGCTGGTGGGACTTGGGATATGAAACCAGGCCCATCTGACTACCCCCACTCCCACCCCCTGGCAGCCCCTTTCCCGGCCATGGTATCACATCAAAAACAGACCTGGGCCGGGCGTGGTGTCTCACGCCTGTAATCCCAGCAATTTGGGAGGCCCAGGCAGGCGGATCACTTGAAGTTAGGTGTTCAAGACCAGCCTGGCCAACATGGTGAAACTCCATCTCTACTAAAAATGAAAAAATTAGTTGGGTGTGGCGGCACGCACCTGTAGTCCCAGCTACTCGGGAGGCTGAGGCAGCAGAATTGCTTGAACCTGAGAGGGGGAGATTGCAGTGAGCCGAGATTGTGCCACTGCACTCTGGCCTGGATGACAGCGAGACTCTGTCTCAAAACAAAACAAAAAGACTTCAAACCAATCCACCATGGAGCTGGCTGATTCTCAACCCCTCCAGATTTTTTTTTTTTTTTTTTTTTGAGACAAGAGTCTCGCTCTCCCGCCCAGGCTAGAGTACAGTGGCGCGATCTCGGCTCACTGCAACCTCTGCCTCCCAAGTTCAAGCGATTCTCTTGCCTCAGCCTCCTGAGTAGCTGGGACTACAGGAATGCACCACCACGCCCGGCTAATTTTTTATATTTTTAATAGAGACAGGGTTTCACCACATTGGCCAGGCTGGTGTTGAACTCCTGACCTCGTGATCCACCTGCCTCAGCCTCCCAAAGTGCTGGGATTACAGGTGTGAGCCATCGTGCCTGGCCATGCCCCTCCAGATCTTGCCACCTCTGGCTAGGTGCCAAAGACTCTCAGGCCTTGGGCCCAAGGCCCCCTGTTCAGGGAGCTCCAAGGCCAGCCGACCCCCAATTCCCGCAGTGCCTCCCCTGATGTGGCCTCAATTTCTCCGCCCCACTTTCTGCCCTTCAAGCGCTGCTGATGGCGGAGGCTTCAAGGACGCCACAGCCAAAAATAATCGGGCCCCGACCTACCTCCGGAAATTGGGGCAGCCCCGCCCAGCCACCTGGCACCCAGGAGGTAATTAGTGCATGTGGCAAATTAGGGTAATTAGGTCTGCGGGAACTGAACCTCGGGTCCAGGTTTGCTGCTCAGAGGGGCCTCAAGCACTGCCTCCTCCCATCCCCAACTCACTCTGGTCCTAGGTCCTCAAATCCATAAACCAGTGCTGGCGACCCCAACTCCACGACCCTTTCTTGCCTGGGCCTGAGGGAGCCTGGCTCCATTGCTTCATGGGGGGTTGTTGAATGAATTAACTTTAGCCGTGGGCAGAAGTCAAGTTCTGAATTTAAGGCAGGGTCTCCTTCAAGTGATGCAAAATCACCAATAGTACTGAGTCATCAAACTCCCCCTTTGCCTGACCCCCATGCGTCCACACTATGCTGGAAGATGACAAACTCTAGGGAAACATGGGCCCTGGTCTCAGCCCTTGAGAGACACTCAGGCTGGGGGAGTCAAAGCTGCACACAGACACTCCCAGGAGTCAGGGCTGGGCCAGAAAGAGGGAAGAGGGCTGGAAAAGGTCTAGAGGTAGAGGAGAGAGCTTCTTGGGGAGGAGAGCATTGAAGGTGAGGCTTTGAGGGATGAATAGGAGTTTGCAAAGAGGCTAATGTCTGGAGGTTGGCCCAACCAGCTATGGCTTGGGGAATGAAGAGAAGGAAGAGGGAGGTAGCTGGAGGGGGCACCTGAGAGGCCAGGAGCTAAAGATTTAGAGGATGTCATGCCAGGTTGGACCCATTTCTGTCCTTGAGAGTTCAGGCCTGGTTGGAGTCCTCTAACTTCTGAAAAAGAAAAGAGTAAGAGGTTGGTTCAGGATCAAAACCACATACCAAAAATAAATATGATGTTTATAACAGCAAGCATTTATTAAGCACCTACAATCACGTTCTCTTCACATAACAACTCATTGGAGGCCAGATGCAGTGGCTTACATCTGTTATCCCAGCCCTTTGAGAGGCTGAGGCAGGCAGATCTCTTGAGTCCAGGAGTTGGAGACCAGCCTGGGCAACATAGTGACACCCCATCTCTACAAAAAATACAAAAATTAGCCAGGCGTAGTGGTGTGCACCTGTAGTCTCAGCCACTCAGGAGTCTGAGGTGGAAGGATTGCTTGAACCCAGAAAGTTGAGGCTGCAGTGAGCCATGATTGAGCCACTGCACTACAGCCTGGGCAACAGAGTGAGGCCCTGTCTCAAAAAAAAAAAAAAAAGAAAAGAAAAGAAAAGAAAGAAAAAGGGTGGGCGTGGTGGCTCACATCTGTAATCCCAATAGTTTGGGAGGCCAAGGCGGGTGGATCACTTGAGTCCAGGAGTTGGAGACCAGCCTGGCCAACATGGTGAAACCCCTGTCTCTACTAAAAACACAAAAATTTAGCCGGCTGTGGTGGCGTGCGCCTGTAATCCCAGCTACTAGGGAGGCCGAGGCAGAAGAATTGCTTGAACCTGGAAGGCAGAGATTGCAGCAAGCCGAGATTGCGCCACTGCACTCCAGCCTGGGTGACAGAGCAAGATTCTGTCTCAAAAGAAAAAAAGAAAAGAAAAAGAAAGAACTCATTGGATCCCTACAGTAAACCTCAGAAGTGAACACCATTCGTATGCCCATTTTATGGATGGGGAACCTGAGGCACAAAGAAGGGAAAGTGACTTCTTCAGGGTGGCACTGCTGGTAAGCAGCAGGGCTGGGATTCACTCCCTGGCTCACGTGATTCCGAAAGCCAAGTCGAAAGCTGGAACCTGGGGATCTCCTACTCCTGAAAGTGCTCATAGAAAGCTGTCACAGGGGCCAAGGGCGGTGGCTCACGTCTGTAATCCCAGCACTTTGGGAGGCCAAGGCGGGCGGATCACGAAGTCAGGAGATTGAGACCATCCTGGCCAACATGGTGAAATCCTGTCTCTACTAAAAAAAAAAATACAAAAATTAGCTGGGTGTGGTGGCGAGTGCCTGTAATCCCAGCTACTCGGGAGGCTGAGGCAGAAGAATAGCTTGAACCCAGGAATTGAAGGTTGCAGTGAGCCGAGATTGTGCCACTGCACTCCAGCCTGGCGACAGAGTGAGACTCCATCTCCAAAAAAAAAGAAAGCTGTCACAGGTCAGGCTTGTTCTAGGTGCAGGGACAAATCCATGTAAGAGGTGAACAGTAACCAAATCATGCCATAAACAATAAACAGACCTGAAGTAGTCACCAAGACCTTCACTGGGAGGTGGGCACCCAGCTTTCGGGAAGAGCAGGTGGACTGTCCCTGCTCTGGTGGCACAGAAAGTCTCTGGAGAGGAGAGACTGTTTAGCCTCACTCCAAAGGCTAGGTCAGATCTAACTAGGCAGAGACCAGAGCCTGAGCCATAAAAGCCATTCTGCAAATGCAGTTTTCTTAGTGCTGAATGAGCTGTTCAGGCTCCCGCTTGGTTTCCCCTTTAAGGTGGGAAGCTCATTCTCCCACACCATTTTTCAGCCCCAAAGGAAAGTTGCTTTCCTAGTCAGACACCTTGGGGTGGCCTCTGCCTGCCCTGCAAGGACATCTCAAGTCTGTTCCTTCCTTCCTTCCTCCCTCCCCCCCACCCTTTTTTGTTTTTGTTTTTGAGACAGAGTCTCCTTCTGTCACCCAGGCTGGAGTACAGTCACCTGATCTCAGTTCACTGCAACCTCTGCCTCCTGAGTTCAAGCAATTCTCCTGCCTCAGCCTCCCGAGTAGCTGGGATTACAGGTGTGCACCATCACGTCCGGCTAATTTTTGTATTTTCAGTAGAGACGGGGTTTCACCATGTTTTGACCAGGCTGGTCCCAAACTCCTGACCTCAGGTGATCTGCCTGCCTCAGCCTCTCAAAGTGCTAGGATTACAGGCATGAGCCACTGCACCCAGCCCAGTTCTTTAGAAGAGAGGCCTCCAGACCTAGGAAGAAGAGGGCCCAGACTGGGGTGGGGGCAGCAGCTCAGGGCAGCCCTCGTTAGAGACGAGGTCTCACTATGTTGCCCAGGCTGGTCTCGAACTCCTGAGCTCAAGCGATCCTCCAGCCTCGGCCTCTCAAAGTGCTGGGATGACAGGCATGAGCCCAGCCCCTTTCTGTGACTCTTATGTTACCTGTTTATTATATGACCAGGTCTAGGTGCTCCTCTAGGGCTGGCCCATCCATCCTGAAGCCTCAGTCTGACCCAGCATAAGAGTGACTATTCATCCCAGCAGGGAAACTGAGACACAGACTCTGTTTTCCCAGCTGCAGCAAAGAGTGGCAGGGCCTTTGCCCACGAACCTAATGGCAGGCACCCCAGAGGACAGCTGCTGATATTGACTAAATCCTTCATGTTTCTCCCTCTACTAGAAGCCCTGCAAGCATCGGCCCATTTTCCAGGTGAGAAAACTGAGGCCCACACTGAGGAAGCCAGTGCCTCAGTGTAGACTTGGCTAGTCCAGCTTCAGGTTGGGGCTGCTCAAGGCCAGCCCTGTCCCAGCCCCTCCCAGAGACCGGAGAGGGTGTTCAGGAAAGCAACTCAACCCTTCACTGTCTCTTTCACTGTTGCTTTCTGCCCACACAAAGGGCAAAGTCTGCCTGGGCCCCTCGCCCAGCCGCCCCTGTAAAATAGCCACAGGGCCCCACTTGTGCACTTGGCAAACTCTAAGCAGCTTCCAGAAGCCTTGGCCATGCCAGCACCTTTCCCAGATACTTTTTTATTTTTTCCATTATTTTGTTGGTAATAAGGAAAAGTCATTTTTTGCACAGAACAGACGGTATTTTCTTTGCTCCCCACAATGTTCAAGCATTTCGTGGCTTCCGGCCTGAGAACAGAGCCAAATCCTTCCCTTGTGCAGATGCCTCGTGAAGTTAGAAGCAGCCAGGGAAACCGAGTCTGTGCCTCAGTTTCCCCTGTGGGATGAACAGTCGCTCTTGTGCTGGGTCAGACTGGGGCTTCAGGATGGATGGGCCAGCCCTAGAGGAGCACCCAGACCTGGTCATGTAATAAACAGGTAACATAAGAGTCACAGAAAGGGTCTGGGCTCACACCTGTCATCCCAGCACTTTGGGAGGCCGAGGTGGGAGGATCACTTGAGCTTAGGAGTTTGAGACCAGCCTGGGCAACATAGTGAGACCTCGTCTCTAAAAATAAACTTTAAAAAAGAAAAAAAAAAGAGTCACAGGGATTGGGACAGGGGAGGGCAAGATCCCTTCCAAGGCCAGGGTAGTCAGAGAGGCTTCCTGGAGGAGGAGACAGGGTGGTGGCGCTGAGCCTGGAAGGACAAGGCAGAAGAGATGCCTGCAGCGAGGGCATTCCAGGTGGAAGGAACAGTTTGGGCAAAGGCCTGGATGGGGGAAGACTCAGATCTTGGCGCAGGAGTCAATCTCCAAAAACAACCTGACCTGGAATTCACCTAAAGGTAATTTGAATGTAATGTAACCGCCAGCTCAGATATACTATTCTTCTTAGAAGGAAACAGAAATAAAGGAACAGGGAAAGGAGACAGGAGCAGAGGTCTTGGAGATGAAAAGCAAAAGCCTCTCTGAAGTTGTCAAAACACTCAAGTGTCGGCCAGGTGTGGTGGCTCACGTCTGTAATCCCAGGACTTTGGGAAGCCGAGGGGGGCAGATCACTTGAGGTCAGGAGTTCGAGACCAGACTGGCCAACATGGTGAAACCCCATCTCTACTAAAAATACAAAAATCAGCCAGGTGTGGTGGCATGCACCTGTAGTCCCAACTACTCGGGAGGCTGAGGCAGGAGAATTGCTTGAATCTGGGAGGCAGAGGCTGCAGTAAGCCGAGATTGTGCCACTGCACTCCAGCCTGGGCAACAGAGTGAGACTTTGTCTCAAAAAAAAGAAAAGAAAAGAAAAGAAAAACTCAAATGTAAGATCAGAGCTTTAGGGCGCCACAGGCCTTGGTTCCAGGGAGCTGCAGGACCTCTGTCCACAAACGAACCAACGGCGCCGCACCGTGTGATTTTGGAGACGGTGCCAGAGAGGGGGCGGCACCAGGATTGACAAGTGGGACACATGGGCTTGGGGCTGGGGAGGTGGATCCTAGTTCAACTCCGGAAGGATGCTCTCCTGGCAAGTGTGGGAAGGGGGTGCTCCCTGTGACCAGAGGTGACAAACGCAGGCCAGTGGAGGCTGAGGGGATGCAACCATGCGTTGGAGACATTTCCTCAGCCTTTGGATTTTGGAACCCTCAAACAACAGCAAAGATAACCTTAATCCAACCATTGTGGGCATTTTTACCATCGTCTTGGGAGGGACAGAGGTGGACAGACGTCCCTGCTTAGGGATGGGACGGGCAGGGGAACAGAGGCTTCTCTCTCTTTGTCTTGCTTCCCGTTCCCTCCCGAAGTTGATCTCTTCCGTTTCCTGGCAACACCCATTGAGCACTTACTGTATGCAGACCCTGAGACCCACTGCCCCCTCCCCAACCTCACTGGGCCACCCATGTCAGCCCGGGAGGGACCTGACCTCCCTCACAGGCCCAAAGTTATGACCTCAGGTAGTGGGGACAGAGGCAGCTGTCTCCTGAGAAGGTGACAGGAGGGTGAGGTCACATCGCTGTCCGTGCAACTCTCTCCATCTGCTTCCTATCTCTCCGCCTGTCTCCCCCGTGTCTCTGTTTCTGGGTCTCTTTCTCATCCCAGATGTCCCTCTCCGTCTGTCTCTCTGTCCCCACCCTCTGCTCCCAACCCGACCCCACGCAACCCCCCCCCCCACTCCCCCTCCACCGCCCCTAACCCCCTCCCTCAATCCTCCGTCCCTTCCCCAGTCCCGGCCCCCGCCCCTCCCCCTTATCCCCTCCCCCATACCCTCTCCCAGTGCAAAAAGCCGGCAGGGGGCGCAGCGGGGCGGCCTTGGCGGCCCGGGGAGGCGGGGCGGGCGGCGGCCGCGTCGGGACCGGCCGCGATGGGACCGGAGGCGGCGCGGGCGGCGGCGGCGCAGACAAAGGCACGGGCGGCGTGGAGGGCGGCGCGGAGGGCGCGGGCCCGGGAGCCAGGGAGCGAGCGGGGCGCCCGGCAGCGCGGAGTCAGCGCCGCGGGGGCCGCACCCGACTCGCGCCTGGACACTCGCGGGGCGCCGACCTGGCAGGGTGAGCCCGGCCTGCCGAGCCTGCGCTGGGAGCGCGGGGGCCTCGAAGTCCCAGGGCCAAGGGGAGGGCGTGGGGGTTCCCCAGAAGTTTCGGACCCGGGACTGGGAGCGGCGCGAGGGGTCCCCAAGTTCCAGGGCTGGAGGGAGCGCGGGGGTCCCGAAGTTCTGGATTCAGGGTCTGAGAGGGGACTGCGTGGGAGGTTCCCAAAGTTCTGGACCCGGCGTTGGAGGAGGCTGCGAAGAGGTCCCCAAAGCTGCGGACCTGGGGTGGGGTACTGGGGTGGGAGGGGTCCGGACGTCCCGGACCCAGGGACTGGAGGGGTGGCAGGGGGTCCTCGAAGTTTAGGAGTCTAGGACAACGCGGAGGACCGGGGTCCCGGACCCAGTTAGAGGAGGAGTCACGAAGGGAGTCCCCGGAGTTACCGACCTGGGGTTGGAGGAGGCAGAAGAGGTGTCCCCCGAAGTTCTGGACCCAGAGACAGGGGGCGTCGCGGGAATCTCGGAAGTTCCAGGGTCAGAGCCCGCGTCCCGGAGTTGGGGCGTGCACTGGGTGTCCTGCCTCGGGTGGGGATGGGATCCTGAATTAATATTAACCCCCCCGTCCCCCGCACTCGGGTGCATGGGATGGGGCCTCATCCACCGGCCAGATTGGGGATCCCGGGCACCGGGCGGTGTCGGACCCCCCTCCGGGAGCCCCGTGGCCGGCGGCATCCGAGGCGCATGACTAGTTGGTGAGTAACTTTCCCCAAACGCTGCAAGTCGCAGCAGGAGCTGCCGGACCGGAAGGGCCTGGGTTCCGGGGACCCCTGTGTTCCCCAACTCCCACCCGGCGCAGGACCCGCCCCCAGTCCAGGCCAGAGCTGCCGCCCCACCCCCACTCAGGGGCTCCGGTTTCAGACCCTGTGACCAGGACAGCAGCTGCCCAGGACAGGATAGGGGGGGCATCCCCCCTTTGACCACAGAGGCCGCTGGGCCAGGGCCTCCCCTCCCCCACCTGTCTTCCCCCTCCTCCAAACTCCTCCTTGGTCCCCTGCAGATTCGGGGTTGCTGAATGGCCCAATGGGGAGGTTGGGGAGCCCTGGTCTCCCAGTGTGGATTCTGCTCTGCCCTCATGGTGGGCATTGGGATTGGCTGTTTGTCTACATCTTGTCTTTTTAACTTGGCTGGGGGCTCCCTGGGGATTTGGACTCTGGACTTCAAGGTGTGCTTCTGCCCTAGGGTGGGAGCTGCTGGGGGTGGGGTCCCTCTGCAGGGTGTAGTGGGGAACTGGTCTCCTGGTACTACACACCTCTCAACGCCCCATTTTTTGGTGGAGAGCCCCGCTCTGGCCAGTCATGGGTGAATGTGGTGGAAAGAACTCAGCAGAGATTTGGCCTCCACAGCTCAGCCTGGGATGGAGGGGACTTCACGGGGGTGCAATAACCAGGACAATGAGAAATTTACATCTGGATGTCAGCGGCCACCAGGCTCCTCTCAGAGGGCCATCTCCTGTACAGGGTGTTGTGGGGGCTTCCCCTAGACAAAGAAAGATGGGGTCTGCTTGCTCTGAGTTATCTATAATAATTATCTTACCTTTTTGTTTCTTTTTATAATTTCTTTCTTTTTTGAGACAGGGTCTCACTCTCTTGTCCAGGCTGGAGTGCAGTGGCCTGACCATAGCTCACTGCACTGCAGCCTTGACCTCCTGGGCTCAAGTGATCCTCCCACCTCAGCCTCCCCAGTAGCTGGGACGGCAGGCACATGCCACCACACCCAGCTAATTGTTTAAATTTTTGGTAGAGATGGGGTCTCGCCATGTTGCTCAGGATGGTCTCGAACTCCTGGGCTCAAAGGATCCTCCTGACTCAGCCTCCCAAAGCACCAGGTGTACTTTGGGCCTCTCCTGCCTTTTTGATTGAAAGTTCCATGACGGGCACACCTGGTGATGGGTCCTGAGATGGAACCTGCTTGGCCTCCCTCAGCCTGGCCTGAGGGACACTCATAGTCCCTCCTCTCTCCCTAGGGGCCAAACCAGTGCTCCTGCCACCTCTCTGGCTGCCCCCTAGAGCCTGCCCATCCCAGCCTGACCAATGTCCACAGCCAGGTGAGCTCCCACCTCCCCCAGCCTGGCCCTGAGCTTTCTAAGTGGGGGTGCCTGGCCCCCACCAAACACCCTCTCCCCACGCAGGGAGCAGCCAATCTTCAGCACACGGGCGCACGTGTTCCAAATTGACCCAGCCACCAAGCGAAACTGGATCCCAGCGGGCAAGCACGCACTCACTGTCTCCTATTTCTACGATGCCACCCGCAATGTGTACCGCATCATCAGCATCGGAGGCGCCAAGGTCAGGGTGGGGTCTGGGTGGGGCAGAGGCACCAGGAGTCCTGGTGACAACCTTGGGTCTGGTGGCTGGCTTGCTGTGTGCCCAAGGGACAGGAAACCCTAAGCCTTCCCAGGCCCTAGTCTCTATCTCCTGAAAGGGTTCAGAGTAAAGACCTTCAAGACCCTAATACAAGGTAATACCTGGGGGGTTTCATGTTTGTTAGTATCTGTCCCATCTACCTTGAACTTTGTTCCCCGACCCTAGGCCATCATCAACAGCACTGTCACTCCCAACATGACCTTCACCAAAACTTCCCAGAAGTTCGGGCAGTGGGCCGACAGTCGCGCCAACACAGTCTACGGCCTGGGCTTTGCCTCTGAACAGCATCTGACACAGGTGGGCCGGGTGAGGGGGAGAGTGGAGGGAACCGATGAGACTGGGCCCAAGTCTTCTCCTGGGCTCACTCTGGGATCTTGGGCAGGTCCCCTATCTTCCCATCTGCAGGATGGGATTGTAGGATGAGTTGAGACTGAAGCCCCTTTAAGCTTCCCCGGTTTGATTCCTAGTTCATTTTTCTGTTTTTTTTTTGAGATAGGCTGCAGTGATCTTGGCTCACGCAACCTCCGCCTCCCGGGTTCAAGCGATTCTCCTGCCTCAGCCTCCTGAGTAGCTGGGACTACAGGAGTCCGCCACCACGCCCAGCTAATTTTTTGTATTTTATTAGAGACAGGGTTTCACCATGTTGGCCAGGCTGGTCTCGAACTCCTGACCTGAAATGATCTGCCTGCCTCGGCCTCCCAAAGTGCTGCAATTACAGGCATGAGCCACTGTACCTGCTCTTGAGTCCTAGTTCTACTGCCTGTAGCTCTAATTTTGGACACACCCTGCTCCTCTTTGGGACATCAAATGGGTGGCTGGGCTGGGCTGGGCACTTTCCCACATGCCCCAGCAATACCTTCATCCTCACCTCCCTGCACCCTGTGCCGTCTCTATACTTCCATTATTATCTTTATCCGTGGTTTTGTTGATGATGAGTGCTTTCACGAAGATCTTCTTCTTTTTTTTTTTTTTTTTTTGGAGATAATGCCTTGCTCTGTCCCCCAGGCTGGAGTGCAGTGGCACGATCTCGGCTCACTGCAACCTCCACCTCCCGGGTTCAAGCGATTCTCCTGCCTCAGCCTCTGGAGTAGCTGGGATTACAGGTGCCCACCACCTCGCCCAGCTAATTTTTGTATTTTTAGTGGAGATGGGATTTTGTTGGCCAGGGTGGTCTTGAACTCCTGACCTCAGATGATCCACCTGCCTCGGCCTCCCAAAGTGCTGGGATTACAGGCATGAGCTACCACACCAGGCTTTCTTTGTTTTCTTCTAGAAGGTTTAGAATTTACCTTTCTTCTTTTTTTTTCCCTCCCTCCCTCCCTTCTTTTTTTTTTTTTTTTTAACAAGATCTTGCTCTGCTGTCCAGGCTGGAGTGAAGCAGTGCAATCATGGCTCACTGCAGCCTCAAACTCCTGGGCACAAGGGATCCTCCCACCTCAGCCTCCTGACTAGCTGAGACTATAGGCGTATGCCACCATGCCTAGCTAATATCTTTAATCTTATTTTTTTTAGAGATAGGATCTCACTATGTTGTCCAGGCTGTTCTTGACTCCTGGCCTCAAGCGAGCCTCTCACTTTGGCCTCCTAAAGTGCTGGGATTACAGGCTTGAGCCACTGCACCCAGACAATTTACTTTTTTTTTTTTTTTTGAGACGGAGTCTCGCTCTGTCGCACAGGCTGGAGTGCAGTGGCGCGATCTTGGCTCACTGCAAGCTCTGCCTCCCAGGTTCACACCATTCTTCTGATTCTTCTGCCTCAGCCTCCCTAGTAGCTGGGACTACAGGCGCCTGCCACCACGCCCTGCTAATTTTTTTTGTATTTTTAATAGAGACGGGGGTTTCACCGTGTTAGCCAGGATGGTCTCGATCTCCTGACCTCGTGATCCACCCACCTTGGCCTCCCAAAGTGCTGGGATTACAGGTGTGAGCCACCGCGCCCGGCCCCAACAATTTACCTTTCTAATTTAGGTCTTTTTTTTTTTTTTGGAGACAGAGTCTAGCTCTGTTGCCAGGCTGGAGTGCAGTGGCCCGATCTCGGCTCACTGCAACCTCTTCTCTCCAGGTTCAAGCAATTCTCCTGCCTCAGCTTCCCAAGTAGTTGGGATTACAGACACACCACACCTGGCTAATTTTTGTATTTTTACAAAATTTTTGTTTTTTTAATTTTTGTATTCTTAGCAGAGACAGGGTTTCACTATGTTGGCCAGGCTGGTCTCAAACTCCTGACTTCAGGTAATCCGCCTGCCTCAGGCTCCCAAAGTGATGGGATTACAGGTGTGAGCCACTGCACCCAGCCTAAAAAATCATTTATTTATTTATTTATTTATTTATTTTTTTGAGACAGAGTTTCACTCTTGTCCCCCAGGCTGGAGTGCAATGGTGCGATCTCGGCTCACCGCAACTTCCGCCTCCCCGGTTCAAGCAATTCTCCTTCCTCAGCCTCCCAAGTAGCTGGGATTACAGTCATGTGCCACCATGCCTGGCTGATTTTGTATTTTTAGTAGACATGGGGTTTCACCATGTTGGTCAGCCTGCTCTTGAACTCCTGACCTCATGATCCACCTGCCTCGGCCTCCCAAAGTGCTGGGATTACAAGCGTGAGCCACCACACATGGCCTTATCTATTTATTTTGAGACAGAGTTTTGCTCTGTCACCCAGGCTGGAGTGCAATGGCACAATCTCAGCTCACTGCAACCTCCACCTCCTGGGCTCAAGCAATTCTCCTGCCTCAGCCTCCCAAGTACTAGGATTACAGGCGCCCACCACCATGCCTGGCTAATTTTTGTGTTTTTAGTAGAGATGGGGTTTCACCATGTTGGCCAGGCTGGTTTCGAACTCCTGACCTCAAATGATCCGCCCGCCTTGGTCTCCCAAAGTGCTGGGATTACAGGTGTGAGCCACCGCACCCGGCCTAAAAAATTATTTTTAAACTAAGGAAATTTATTTTAAAACCGGGGTGGTGGGGGGAAACATATCCTATCCTAACTGGAAAACTGGTATTGCTTTGTCATAAATAGGTGGTAAATGTAAACATGTAAACATTTAATACAACAAAAACAAGAATGAGATGATTACTTTCTCATTGACTTCTGATGTCTCTCAGAGCCTGAGACCTAATCTCTTTGTTATAAAGGAATAATAACAGGTGTTAAAGACAGATTAGCACCCACCTGAGGCTCTCTTTGTTGAAATAGCCCTGATAAAGATTAAAAGGGACCCCACATGTTGGCTCATACCTGTCATTCTCACACTTTGGGAGGCCGAGGTGGGTGGATCACGGGGTCAGGAGTTCGAGACCAGCATGGCCAATATGGTGAAACCCCATCTGTACTAAATACAAAAATTAGCTGGGCGTGGTGGCACGGGCCTGTAGTCCTAGCTACTCGGGAGGTTGAGGCAGAAGACTCGCTTGAACCTGGGAGGCAGAGGTTGCAGTGAGCTGAGATGGTGCCACTGCACTCCAGCCAGGGTGACAAAGCGAGATTCTGTCCCCCCCCAAAAAAAAAAAAAAAAAAGGCTGGGTGCTGTGCCTGTAATCCCACCACTTTGGGAGGCTGAGGCAGGCGGATCACTTCAAGCCGGGAATTTAAGATCAGCCTGGCCAACATGGTAAAACCACATCTCTACTAAAAATATGAAAATTAGCCAGGCATGCTGGTGCATGCCTGTAATCCCAGCTACTCATGAGGCTGAAGCAGAGGCTGCCGTGAGCCAAGATCATGTCACTGCACTCCAGCCTGGGCAACAGAGCAAGACTCCATCTCAAAAAAAAAAAAAACAAAAAACAGGAAAAGGGCCATTCTGGGGAACATGGCTAGACCCCGTCTCTAGAAAAAATTAGCCGGGCATGATGGCACACACCTGTAGTCCCAGCTCCTTGGTGGAGGGGTAAGGTGGAAGGGTCACTTGAGCCAGGGAGGTCAAGGCTGCAGTGAGCCGAGATCATGCCACTGTACTGCAGCCTGGGTGACAAAGTGAGACCCTTTCCTAAAAAGAGGACATGGGAATTCCTTTCCCTTTCTCAATGTGGCCCAATGTATTTAAATGCCACCTCTGTGATCTGATGCCACCTGCCCACCCACCATGGTACATCATTTTTCAAAGTTTCTCTCCTTCTTCCAAGGTGTGTGATAAGGGGATGGGTACGGTTCGAAAGTGGCGGGGCTGTCACTGAGTGATGGTGACCTGTTTGGGAGGATGGGCTGGGGTTTTACTGTCTTTTCCTCCCCACTCCCTTAGTTTGCCGAGAAGTTCCAGGAAGTGAAGGAAGCAGCCAGGCTGGCCAGGGAGAAATCTCAGGATGGCGGGGAGCTCACCAGTCCAGCCCTGGGGCTCGCCTCCCACCAGGTCAGCACTCCCTACTCCCCTATGCCTGCCTGGGCACCTGTGAGTCAGCCAGGCGCTCAACTGATATTGGGGGACCTTGATATTGGGAGACCGGGGCACTCTGCTGGTCGTCAAGACCCAATGCTTCCAGATGACCTAAGGTTAGACCCACAGCAGGGACCACAGAGGAGTGGTGTGGAGTGTGTCATAGAGGGTCTGGACCTTGCCTGGGGCCGGTGGGGTACACCCAGTAGGTCCCAGTAGCAAAACCAGCTCAGATGGCAGGATGGAAGACTAGAAATTGAAATGGCTAAGTGTGGCCGGGTGCGGTGGCTCACGCCTGTAATCCCAGCAATTTGGGAGGCTGAGGAGGGAGGATGACTTGAGGCCAAGAGTTCGAGACCAGCCTGGCCAACATGGTGATACTCCACCTCTGCTAAAAAATACAAAAATTAGCCAGGCGTGGTGGCATGCGCCTGTAGTCCCAGCTACTCGGGAGGCTGAGGCAGGAGAATCGCTTGAACCCAGGAGATGGAGGTTGCAGTGAGCCGAGATCGTGCCACTGCACTCCAGCCTGGGTGACAGAGTGTGACTCTGTCTCAAAAAAAAAAAGAAAGAAAGAAATGGCTAAGTGTGAGGCAGAACAACGAACTGTCCCTGCGTGTTTTCCCACATTAATTTATTCAGCATTATTTATTGAGCACCTGCTGTGTACCAGGCCGAGGGCTGTGCACAGGGGTTGGAGAGATGAAAAAAAGCATGAGCCTCCAGCTGCTGCCTGCACTGGGCTGCGGTGGCGCTGGCCTCTCGCAGGGCACCCGCCAGCTTGTCTACCCTCAGAGCCAGTGGTCCAGGCAGTGGGGTTGCTCACGAAACACGAATTCGGCCTGGGCAGGGCTTCCTGCTGAAATCCTAAACGTGATGTTGAAGTTCGGCCTCAGGGAAGGGAACAGCAGGGAGGTGTCCGATTGTACCCCTCCCCTACCTTACAGGTTCTAAGTATCTTGGTTTAGACTAACCTGCATCAGACTTGCTCCTGGGGGTGGTGAAAGCCCAGGAAGGCAAGGTCGAGGGCGTGGGCATGGAACTCCCAGCTTAGGGGCCACAGGGAGCCATGGAGGGTGGGTGAGGTGGGGAGGGACACACTTGGATCCTGTGCTGTGAAGGACCTGCTTAGGGTGCATAGGTCAATTGCACCCCCGATGTGACGACCCCAGTCACATCAGCCTTGATCCCAGCTGATGTGGGGTCGTGACCTATTCTTTTCCCCGTGCCTAGGTGCCCCCGAGCCCTCTCGTCAGTGCCAACGGCCCCGGCGAGGAAAAACTGTTCCGCAGCCAGAGCGCTGATGCCCCCGGCCCCACAGAGCGCGAGCGGCTAAAGAAGATGTTGTCTGAGGGGTGAGGGGCGGGACTTGGGGGCGTGGCAGGGGCGGGGGTAGGGGTGGGGGACGAGGAGGCGGTTCTTGGAAGCCAAGGGAGTGCCAGGACGGCGGGATCTAACTGTGGACTCAAGACCTGGGGAAGGGGATGAGGATCTGAATGCTGCCCCATCCAGAGCCGACCCCGCCCCTACCCTGCGTTGGCCACGCCCCTCTGTTTTGACCCCATCCCTGTCTCTTCTCGCTGCTAACCTCGCCCCGTCGATGCCTCTCTGGTCTTAGGATAACCACCCTGACCACGCCCCCATCGGCTGACTCTCCCCAACCTCCCATCCCTCCCTCAACATTCCCACAGTGTCACTGGGCGGACTCCACGTGCCCCCTTCTTTGACTCGGTCCTCGACAAGACCCCGCTTCTGCGGGACTGCCCCATCCCCAAGCTCAGCAATCAGTGTCGCCACATCCCCAGCCCTGCGTGGCCCTGACTCCGTGCCCTAGCCCAAAGCCACCCCTCCTCTGGCCCCGCCCCCTAGCCCAGCATCGCCCGTGACTCCGCCTCAGCCCAGCGCCACCCACCCTGGCCCCGCCCCCTAACCGAGCATTGCCGCTGACTCCGCCCCCAGCCCAGTGCCACTCCACCCCTGCCCCGCCCCCTAGTCCAACTTCGCGCACGACTCCGCACCCTCGCCAGCCTTCGCCCTGACCTAAGCCCAGAGCTATCCCACCCCTGGCCCCGCCCCCTAGCCCAGCATCGCCCGACTCCGCCCCCCAGCCCCGTGTCACCCACTGCCGACCCTCGTGTCTCTGCAGCTCCGTGGGCGAGGTACAGTGGGAGGCCGAGTTTTTCGCACTGCAGGACAGCAACAACAAGCTGGCAGGCGCCCTGCGAGAGGCCAACGCCGCCGCAGCCCAGTGGAGGCAGCAGCTGGAGGCTCAGCGTGCAGAGGCCGAGCGGCTGCGGCAGCGGGTGAGGGCACCCCTCCCTCCGAGAGACCCCCACCTGGCCCGGGCAACTGTGGAGACCGCGCCTCGGCAGTTCCCATCTGCCCTGGGTTCATGGACTAGCTGTGTGACCTCAGCAGGTCACTGACCCAGCCTCAGTTTCTTGCTCTGTAAAATGGGTTTGAGACAATGCCAGCCTCAGAGGGTGATCAGACACTAAAGTCCAAGCTGTGCAGAGGGGGGTGGTGGCACCAACCAAGGGAGATGGGTGCTCGGTCCTGGGCGTGGCCAGACAGGAGGCAGATTCCCTAGAGGTTGGGCGAGCAAGGGAGAGTGCAGGCGGGGGCGTCAGGGGCTGCTATTCCTGCCCTACAGGTGGCTGAGCTGGAGGCTCAGGCAGCTTCAGAGGTGACCCCCACCGGTGAGAAGGAGGGGCTGGGCCAGGGCCAGTCGCTGGAACAGCTGGAAGCTCTGGTGCAAACCAAGGACCAGGTGAGTGCCAAGTGTGGTTCCTGGGCCTCGCCTTCCCTCACCTCCTGTGGGAAAGCCAGGACCCCCGCAACAGACCCTGGGAACTCTTCTCCTCTAGGAGATTCAGACCCTGAAGAGTCAGACTGGGGGGCCCCGCGAGGCCCTGGAGGCTGCCGAGCGTGAGGAGACTCAGCAGAAGGTGCAGGTGTGTGTGGGCACAAGGAGGTGGGGTGACGGTGGGTGACAGTCACCTCAACAGACACTCAGGACAATATCTACCTAAGATGATAAAGTATTGGGAGGCCCAGTCCTGTGGAAGGCCTGATGCCCAGCAGGTGCCGCGTGAACAGTGGCTGTTGGTACAGTTTCATATCCATCTATGGGTTCAACAAGCAATGCTTGAGTTCCTGCTGTATTCCCATGCCAGACCCCGTCAATTCCTCCTGTTCTCAGCCTGAGATCACAGAGCCTGCATTGGAACTAGGTCTGGCTTGGCTTGGCTTTATTTTTTTTTAATTCTTTGAGATGGAGTCTCGCTCTGTTGCCCAGGCTGGAGTGCAATGGCACGATCTCAGCTCACTGCAACCTCCACCTCCCGGGTTGAAGCAATTCTCCTGCCTCAGCCTCCTGAGTAGCTGGGATTACAGGCGCCCGCCACTACACCCAGCTAATTTTTTGTATTTTTAGTAGAGACAGGGTTTCACCATGTTGGCCAGGCTGGTCTCAACTCCTGATCTCATGATTTGCCCGCCTCGGCCTCCCAAAGTGCTGGGATTACAGACATGCGCCACCGTGCCCGGGCATTTTTTGTGTTTTTAGTAGAGATGGGGTTTCCTCATGTTGGCCAGACTGGTCTCGAACTCCTGACCGTGAGCAATCTGCCCTCAGCCTCCCAAAGTGCTGGGATTATAGGCTTGAGTCACCACGACTGGCCTTGGCTTGGCTTTTGCTAAAGGCTTTATCTGAGAAATGTTCAGGGGGTACTTTTTTTTTTTTTTGAGACGGAGTCTCACTCTGTTGCCCAGGCTGGAGTGCAGTGGCGCAAGCTCCGCCTCCCAGGTTCACTCCATTCTCCTGCCTCAGCCTCCCGAGTAGCTGGAACTACAGGTGCTCGCCACCATGCCCGGCTAATTTTTTGTATTTTTTGGTAGAGACGGGGTTTCACCATGTTAGCCAGGATAGTCTCGATCTCTTGACCTTATGATCCACTCGCCTCGGCCTCCCAAAGTGCTGGGATTATAGGCGTAAACCACTGCGCCCAGCCTTTTTTTTTTTTTTTTGAGATGGAGTCTCACTCTGTCACCCAGGCTGGAGTGCAGTGGCGCGATCTCGGCTCACTGCAAGCTCCGCCTTCTGAGCTCAAGCGATTCTCCTGCCTCAGCCTCCAGAGTAGCTGGGACTACAGGTGTGCACCACCATGCCCAGCTAATTTTTGTATTTTTAGTAGAGATGGAGTTTTACCATGTTGGCCAAGCTGGTCTTGAACTCCTGACCTCAGGGGATCCACCTGCCTCCGCCTCCCAAAGTTCTGGGATTACAGGTGTAAGCCATCACTGGGCGTGGTGGTGTATGCCTGTAATCCCAGCTACTTGGGAGGCTGAGGCAGGAGAATTGCTTGAACCTGGGAGGCGGAGGTTGTAGTGAGCCGAGATCACGCCATTGCACTCCAGCCTGGGCGACAAGAGCGAAACTCCTTCTCAAAAACAAACAAACAAACAAAAGAAATGAGGGCAGAAGCTAGGCCCCTGTGGGGTGTGCATTTTATTCCTGGTGTGTTGGGCGCCCTAGGATGGCTCTGGGCAGAAGAGGGACATGAAGGTGGTCAGACTCTGGATGCCTCGGGCAGGACTGGTGATTTGTTGGGGCCCCCAACCCTGCCCACCCTTTCCTGGCAGGACCTGGAGACCCGCAATGCGGAGTTGGAGCACCAGCTGCGGGCGATGGAGCGCAGCCTGGAGGAGGCACGGGCAGAGCGGGAGCGGGCGCGGGCTGAGGTGGGCCGGGCAGCGCAGCTGCTGGACGTCAGCCTGTTTGAGCTGAGTGAGCTGCGTGAGGGCCTGGCCCGCCTGGCTGAGGCTGCGCCCTGAGCCGGGGCTGGTTTTCTATGAACGATTCCGGCCTGGGATGCGGGCCAGGCTGCAGGCGGCATAGTTGGGCCCATTCGTCCTGGAAAGGGACTGGGGGGTCCCAACTTAGCCCTGGGTGGGCCGGGCCGGGCTGGGCTGGGGTGGGCCCCAGTCGGCTCTGGTTGTTGGCAGCTTTGGGGCTGTTTTTGAGCTTCTCATTGTGTAGAATTTCTAGATCCCCCGATTACATTTCTAAGCGTGGCTGTGTGTGTGTGGTATGTGGGTATCTGGGCACTTAACATGTCGCCGGCGCCTTTCCCTGCGTCTTTTTGGGTGCCCCTGAATCCATGTAGCAGTTATAAGCCGCTTGCAGATGAGGGGTGAGGCTTGGAGTCCGAGGGGGGTCCAGGCCACACAGCCAGGAAGCTGGCTCTGGTGTCTCTCTGCCTGTCCCCTTGGGCTTAGCCCACATTGTCTGGCCAAATTTGGACTTTCATGGCCCCTTCACTCTGGCCACAAACCCCAGATGTGGCCAGGTGGGTGGCCAGGGAAGCTTATAGCTGCACCCATTCGGCACAGGACTGACCTCACCAAAGCCTCACAGCTGCCTCTGGAGAGCAGGGCAGTTGCTATGCCCATTCTCCAGATGAGGAAACTGGAAGCCCAGAGAAGGGGCTTCAGGGCCCAAAATCCCATGGCCATTCGAGCAGCTGGTGTCTGCAAAACTTTGGGCCTGCCTGGTGGAAATGGACATGGTGTTCTGGGCAGACACCTGAGAAACAACAGCGGCTGCACCCCACCTCTCCTGTCCCCCTGCTCTTCGAAAGTCAGACTGAGGAAGTCAAAAGACCCGTTTATTAAGCACCTCCTGTATGCGGCACCCCTGGGGGGTGACCTTGGGTTGGGGTCACAACCTCCCGGTCATGTTCTTTCTTCCCCTGCAGCCTGAATCTTGGCCAGGGCTCAGGGAAGGGACCAGCCAGTGGTTTCGGGGCAGAGGAGCAGGGCCCGCACAACACGAGCGCCCACGGGTTCTGCTGTGGGGCACTGGGTAGGCCCCCGGGAAGGGCTGCTGCCCCCAAGGAAGGTTCCTCCGACCCTCAGCTCCATGGACGAGTCAAGGACTGGGCAGATGGCCGTGTGGGGCTCAGACCAGGCCCTGGGAGGGGACTGGGCCTGAGTGGGACCCAGACGGTGTCCTGGGTGGACGCCCCTTGTGGCCAGCCCTGCCAGCCTTCTGTCGCTTCAGCGTCTCCTCCACCTTCTCCTTGAAGCGCCGGTTCTTCTGCTTGATCTTGGCCAGCTCAGCCTTGCGCTTGGCCTCCAGGTCAGGGTCCTGGCACAGGGAGGACCAGGGGATGGCTGAGCTGGCGGCCCCCGCCAGGGAACCTGGCCACCCACCCCCTACCTGCGGGCTCGGCCCTCACCTTCCCCTCCAGGATCAGCTGCTTCCGTTTGTTGATCTCCTTCTTTTCGTCAAAGTGGGCCGCCTCCAGTTTCTGGTGGAGGGAAGTGGGGTAAGGAGATGCTGGTCACGGGGGCCCCACCTGGAAGGGAGCACCCCCGGCCCTGGAGAGCACTTTAGTTCCTGCCCGCCTCTGACACTCACGATCTCACACTCTCTTCGCACCACGTTGACCTGTGTGAGGATCTGTAGCACCTCGGCCTCTTCCACGGAGAACTCCTCCAGCTTCTTCTCTGTGGGGACAGCAAAGCCGGGGGTGGGGGTGGGGAGGAGACGTGACATGGAGAGGGAGTTCAGCCAAGTAGTGAGTTCCCCATGCTGTGGGGTATGCAAGGCCATCTGGGGCCATATCAGGTAAGGGTCAGCTGAGCAAGATCAGGGATTTCTGAGGTAAGGAAGGTATGGACCGCTGTCTTTCAGAGTCTCACGGTCACCCAAGCTGGAGTGCAGTGGCACTATCTCGGCTCACTGCAACATCCGCCTCCCGGGTTCAAGTAATTCTCATGCCTCAGCCTCCCCCCGCCATTTTTTTTCGGTGTTAGCAGCATTATGAGTTTAACCATGAATATTAATTTCTTGCAAACAGTGTCCTTTAAAGTCCAGATATTTCTTTCTTTTTTTTTGAAGACAGGGTCTTACTCTGTCGCCCATGCTGGAGCGTGGTGGCTCAATCAGGTCACTGTAGCCTCCGCTCAAGCAATCTTCCAACCTCAGCCTCTTGAGTAGTTGGAACTACGGGCGTGTGCTGCTAGTTTCTATATTTTTTGGAGAGGCAGGGTTTCTCCACATTGCCCAGGCTGATCTCAAACTCCTGGGCTCAAGTGATCCACCCACCTTGGCCTCCCAAAGTGCTGGGATTACAGGTGTGAGCCACCGTGCCCGGCCTTAAAGTCCAGATGTTTCTCTTTTTTTTTTTTTTTTTTTTTTTGAGACAGAGTCTCACTGTCACCCAGGCTGGAGCGTAATGGCGCGACCTTGGCTCACTGCAACCTTTGCCTCCCGGGTTCAAGTAATTCTCATGCCTCACCCTCCCAAGTAGCTGCAATTACAGGCGTGCGCCACCACACCTGGCTAATTTTTGTATTTTTAGTAGAGACGGGGTTTCACCATGTTGCCCAGGTTGGTCTTGAACTCCTGGGCTCAAGTGATCCGCCCACCTCGGCCTCTCAAAGTGCTAGGATTACAAGTGTGAGCCACTGTGCCTGGCCAAGTCCAGATGTTTCTAAATTTCAGGACAGTCTATGCAGTGATCAGAGATACCTTAGGAAGTGTCTCTGTCTTGGCTGCATATGAAACCATTCCCAGGGGTTTTTAGCAGGCCAGGCCCTGTCAATGGGGCCTCTGACATCTCAGGGACCTTCCATACATCTCAGTCTAAGAAACCCAAGTCCCCTCCTGACTGATGTGGCTTTCAGCTGCTGGCGACAACTATGGGGAGTTTGTTTCAATAAATGGGCAAAAGAACTTCTTTTGGGGGTGCCTAGGGAAGGAAGCCCCAGCCTAAATCTGCTCACGGGAGCAGGCCGGCTGGTGTCTGACGGGAAAATGGGTCTCACCCCGAGGTGCCCACCTCTGCCCACCCCACCCCTCCTTCTCTACCACCCACCCCAACCCCACTCACTGATCTGCTCCTCGATGGCGTGCACCAGGTGGATGTCGTACTGTGTCACCAGCGTGATGGCCTGACCCTGCCGCCCTGTGGGGATGTGCCGGTTATCTGCTATGTGCTGGGCGTCAGGACATGGGGCGAATAAAGGTAGATCCTGACAGCTACACAGCTCAGGGGTCCTGGAGATGCTGAACAAGGGCTTGGGCTTGGGAGGGATCAGCCCAGAGTGTCTGGGCTTGACCCCAAGCAGGACCACTGTGTGGAGGACGGGTCGCTGGGGAGAGGCAGGTCTGCCAGTCTGGCCTTACACAGCAGTTAGTTACTGCCCGATTTCCCTTTTTGGCTTGGCTGCCAGGGAACCCAGTCTAAGTAATGCCAGCCATTAGCCCTGACGGGCCTCAGCCCAAGATCTCTGCTTGCTGTTTTCTGTGACGTTGACTAGGGCCGAAACTGCACTGATGGTGGACAAGGTCCGTGACCCTCATGGCAGCCCCACGAGGACGTCACCATTCTCATTATCCACCATGTGAGGTCTAGGGAGTGGAAGTGACCTGCCCAGCACCACAGGGTCAGGATAGAAGGTCCAGGCCCAGTCCGACCCCAGCAACCACATCTTTCCTGGCTTCAGAACTGACAGCATCTCATGGACACCATGCCCCTCCCTGACGAGGCAGCAGCAAGTAGTGGGGGCCGGAGCTGTGTGTGCACCCTCCCAGGGGGCAGCCCCACACTGCTCAGTTCATCACCTGGCTTGGGTGAAGGCAGCACCTGACTTGCATTTGCTTTATTTTACAATTTTATTTTATTTACTTATTTTAGTTTATTATTATTTTTTGAGACAGAGTCTTACACTGTTGCTCAGGCTGGAGTGCAATTGTGCGATCTCCACTCATTGCAACCTCCGCTTCCCGGGTTCAAGCAATTCTCCTGCCTCAGCCTCCCGAGTAGCTGGGATTACAGGCACCCTCCACCACGCCTGGCTAATTTTTTTGTATTTTTAGTAAGACAGTGTTTCACTATGTTGGCCAGGCTGGTCTCGAACTCCTGACCTCGTGATCCACCCACCTCGGCCTCCCAAAGTGCTAAGATTACAGGCGTGAGCCACCGCACCTGGCCTATTTTATTTTATTTTTTTGGAGACAGAGTTTTGCTCTTTTTGCCCAGGCTGGGGTGCAATAGTGCATTCTCAGCTTGCCGCAACCTCCCGGGTTCAAGTGATCTTCTTGCCTCAGCCTCCCGAGTAGCTGGGATTCACCTTTGCTTTAGAAAGGACAACTCCCCAACTTGCAAACATGGCCCTGAGTAGCTCTCATCTGTGGGCTGCACCCTACCCACGTCCTACCACCTGAATTTGCTGGGCAGGCTGGAGGGACAGAGGCCCAAGGCTCGGCCTCCCCCTCCACTGCTCACCTGCACGGGCCGTCCGGCCGACTCGGTGGATGTAGATCTTGGGGAGCCCGGGGGTGTTGTGGTTGATGACCACCTGTACCGTAGGGATGTCCAGGCCCCTGGAGGCAGAGGTGGCTGGTCAGCTCCACTGTCCATGTGGGGAAACCGAGGCAAGGACTCACCCAGGGTCACTCAGCAGGGATGCTAGGGCTGCCTGACATGCCTGAGGCCAGCCTTCTCATCTGTGGGGCCTTGTAGTAAAAGAGGGAGTGCCCTTGGCAGGAGACTGGGGGCTGCTCACCGGGAGGCCACGTCTGTTGCGATCAGGATCCGGTAGATGCTGGACTTGAACTTGGCTAGGGCGGCAAAGCGTTCTTTCTGCACAGGGTTGGGAAGAAAATTGGGAATGCATGAAGGCAGGGTTTTCTGTGTGAGGCCTCGGGACAGGGTGGAGGCCGGGACAGTCCCCAGCCGTCCATTGAGGAAGGTGGCCATGAGAAGTCAGACCGGGACAAATGAATGACGGCTAAAAGAGATGCGGTCAGGGAGGGCCTCTTGAGCTGCGATATTCTGGGACCAGAAGAGACCAGGTGGCAGGAAGAAGGCGCCCGGCAGAAGGAAGGATCGGGGCCAATGTCTGAGGCGGGGAAGGTATCCCAGGGTGAGGCTGGCGGGCCCCAGGGTGGCCTCACCTGCTTCATCATGGAGTGCAGAGCCACGGTGGGGAAGCTGAATTTGCGCAGCATCATGCACAGAATCTGGCAGGTCCTGGCGGGAAGGATGTGCCTGTCAACCCCTCCAGCTCTCAGGTTCTGGGAAGGTGTTCCTGCCCCCACCCGCCCCTGAGACACCTAGCACAGTGGCCTCATGCAGCTTAGAAAGGAGAGGCAGCAGGCCAGGCACGGTGGCTCATGCCTGTAATCCCAGCACTTTGGGAGACTGAGGCGGGTGGATCACTTGAGGCCAGGAGTTCAAGACCAGCCTGCCCAACATGGCAAAACCCCATCTGTACTAAAAACACAAAAATTAGCCGGGCATGATGGTGTATGACTGTAGCCTCAGCTACTCAGGAGGCTGAGGCAGGAGAATTGTTTGAACCCAGGAGACAGAGGTTGCAGTGAGCCGAGATTGCGCCATTGCACTCCAGCCTGGGGGACAGCGTGAGACTCTCAAAAAAAAAAAAAAAAAAAAGAGGCAGGATGAGGGTTGACAGACGGCTTGCCTGCCTGATGTCCTCTCTGCTGATCCCTCCCTGGAGCTGGAACTGACAAGAGTTGGCCCTGGGACTGCAGGGCTGGAAGGCTGGAAACTGACTTGCTAGGGGTGGTCACTGTTACCAAGAAGGCCAAGAAGGAGCCAGCAGAGGAAAACAGAGGAGAAAGAGGGGCACAGGGAGAAAGGATGGGGACCATCACATAAGCTGCTGGATCCTGCCACGCCTGACAGCCACCCTGCAGCCAAACTTTTCTCTCTTTTTCCCTGAGACAGTCTCACTTTGTCCCCCAGGATGGAGTGCAGTGGCGTGATCTCGGCTCACTGTAACCTCCACCTACCGGGTTCAAGTGATTCTCCCGCCTCACCTTCCCCAGTAGCTGGGACTACAGGTGCTCGCCACCATGCCTGGCTAATTTTTGTATTTTTAGTCGAGATGAAGTTTCACCACGTTGGGCAGGCTGGTCTCGAACTCCTGACCTCAGGTGATCCGCCTACCTCGGCCTCCCAAAGTGCTGGGATTACAGGTGTGAGTCACTGCACCCAGTCCCAACTTTTCTCTTCTGGGAGGTAACGCATTTAAAGCGCCTTGATTTCTGCCCTTCTATCCTGGCTCATGCTGGAAGAGCCTCCAGCTTCTCAATGACCTTCCCAAACAATTCAATGAAGATATGAACTGCCCTCCCCAGGGGTCTCTGTCTGTGCAGACGCACACCAGGCCTGTTAGTTGTCACAACTTCCTCTGAGATGGGACTAAAGGCCCAGGAAAGCTCAGTGACACCCCCAGAACACAGCAAATGGGCTGCTCAAACAGCTGCTTGCAGGGGTTTCCTGGCCCTTCCATCAACGGCTGGGCTGAGGAACCCCAAAGGCCGGCTGCACCTTCAGATTGAGGGACCTTGGCTCCTTGAGGGAAGCCCCCATGACCTCCAGGCTGAGCAGAGGCTGGGGAGTGCTGAGACTGGCTGTGTGTCCCAGACCAAAGACGTCGGGCCACCTCCTCCTTTGAAGGGCGGTGGGAGGGGAGAGGCGGGCCCCGCTCACTTGCACGTGTTGGTGAAGATGATAATGGACCAGTCCTCGTGCTCATCCTGGAAGCGCTGGATCAGGTGGACCAGGTAGGCGTCCTTGACCTTCTCAGGCACCAGCAGGTAGCGCTGGTCCAGCTGCTCCACGGTGCTCACCCTGGGGATGGACAGATAGACCGCCACGCCTCAGTGTCCCTGTCTGTAGGATGGGGCTGCCCTCCCCACGCTGTCTGGGCTGTGGACTCACGGGGCCTGTGCTTCCCAGAAGAAGGGCTGGTTGGTGGCCAGACCCTGCAGCTCCCGGAGTGTGTCGGTCAGCGTGGCGCTGAACAGCAGTGTCTGCCTGCGGGCCGGCACAGCCGCCAGGATGGCCTCCAGGTCCACGGTGAAGTCAGTGCAGCCCTGTTCCAGCAGCCGGTCTGCCTCATCCATCACCTGCCGTGCCAATGGGGGCAGGGGTGAGGGTGCCGTCCATGGCCCCGGGTCTTGGCCACCCCTGAAGCAGGCCTCTTTGAGAGGCATGGACATGGACCCTAGGCCCTGGAGTACCCTCCTTCCAAGGGAGGCCTGCCCCTCACCCAAGTCTCAGCAAGGCCCTACCCCCGAATAACATTGCTAGGACTGGGCCCCCTCTTGTTGGTCCTTGAACGGTCCTTGTCACTGTTCCTAGCGTTTTACTGGACAGTCTAACGGACATACGTTTCCTAAATGGATGAGATGGTGCCCCAGGCTCTGACATTGGGCCTGGAGGCTCCGAGCCCAGCTCCTGAGGTCTGCAGGGGCGGGGCGAACTCACCAGGAAGCGGATCTTCTTTATACTAAAAGTGTTGGAGCTGCGCAGGTGATCTGCCAGGCGCCCCGGCGTGGCGATGACCACGTGTGGTTTCCGAGAGAGCTCCAGCGCCTGGGCCACCATGTCTGGGGGACAGAGCATGAGAGGCAGGGCTGGGCAGGTGGTCCAAAGCTGCTAGGGTCCCATGCTGGGGCTTCCCCCGCCTCCCAGCTCCCGTACCCATGCCACCGACGATGATGCAGTCTTTCAGCCCTAGAGGCTTCCCCAGGACCCGGAACTGCTCTGCGATCTGGTAGGCCAGCTCCCTGTGGGTGTGAAGGGGCCAGGCTGGGTCAGGTAGTGGTTCTGGACCTGCCCCCCATTCCCCTCTCCATCCCCAGGGTTCCTCCCTGAGCCCCCAGGCTCCTGACTTGCCCAGTCCTGTTCACAAAGGCTCTGATGCTGAGCCTTGGAGGCCATTGTGGCCCCTGCCCCCTCGCCAGGCTCAGCCTGGAACATCCCTCCTTCACCAGCCCGACCCAAGCTGACCTCAGCATCTCTTCCTATCCCAAACCTGTGCCTTCCCCCAGTTCGCCTTTCAGCAATGGCCTCACCACCAGCCAGTTGCCCCAGCCAGAGGGTCTCAAGCATCAGCCTCCTTTCTGCCCCCAACCAACTCTGTCCTGGCCTCTCCCTGGCTCATGACCTTTCCTGCTCACACACCCCCAGAATCAATTCTAACCCTCCGCCTGGCATTCAAGGCCTTTCTCAAACTGGCTCCAATATGCCCAGGTCCCAGTACCCTTTCTGCTGCCTGCCTCTTTCTTTCTTTCTTTTTTTTTTTTTTGAGACAGAGTTTTGCTCTTGTTGCCCAGGCTGGAGTGCAATGGCACGATCTTGGCTCACCGCAACCTCCGCCTCCTGGGTTCAAGCGATTCTCCTGCCTCGGCCTCCCGAGTAGCTGGGATTACGGCATGCGCTACCATGCCCAGCTAATTTTTTGTATTTTTAGTAGAGACGGGGTTTCTCCATGTTGGTCAGGCTGGTCTCAAACTCCTGGCCTCAAGTGATCCGCTCACCTGGAGCTCCCAAAGTGCTGGGATTACAGGTGTGAGCCACTGC
This sequence comes from Homo sapiens, assembly GCF_000001405.40. Classification (NCBI taxonomy): domain Eukaryota; kingdom Metazoa; phylum Chordata; class Mammalia; order Primates; family Hominidae; genus Homo; species Homo sapiens. The sequence goes on along the minus strand of NC_000019.10, from coordinate 18,920,866 downwards.
ACCGGGGCCATCTTGTTTAATTCTGCAGGACCCCTAAGAAGCGGGTAGCAAGATTTTCATGCTCATCTCACACGTGGGAAAAGGGCGCTCAGAGAGGGAAAGGTGCTTGCCCAAGAGAGCACAGCTGGTTAACCCATACCCAGGAGGCCTGCTGGGGGCTTACCTGGTGGGTGTCAGGACGAGGCAGAAGATGCCATAGGGATCCTCAGACAGCTTCTGCAAGATGGGAAGGACAAACGCTGCTGTCTTCCCACTGCCTGTCTTAGCACAGCCCAAGCAGTCTCGACCTGGGTTGGGGACAAAGCAGCATCAACACCCTCCATGTGTGGACAGCTGGGTTTCAGAGACCTTGCCCAGGACACACTGCCAGTGAGTGGCAGGCTGGACTGGAACCCATATCCATTTGACCCGAGATGCCCACAGCTTCCTACCACCTCGTTCTAACTCCGTCCAGGAGCACGTGAATTTGGGGAATCCAGAATTCCCTTCCCTCATATGCATCTTGTGCTCCCTGTTGACCCCTTCATTTGTTTATTTAATCCCTGACTTATCACATCTTAGGCTTCCTGTGGGCCTCTCTTTAATGGCGAAACTGGGTTGGGCTAGAGGAGCAGAGAGAAGACCTTCTCCTAGAGGAGCAATCACAGGACCAAGGAGTCCTGGATCTACCAGCAATTTTGACAGCCTCAACTTCTATTTGTAAAATAAAGATAGCAGTACCAGGTCTGCAGGATTTTGCGATACTATCGGACTAGTCATCCATCAAACCCTCCCTGTGCTGAGACTATGAAAATTTCAGAGATTACATCACTTGCGTACGAACACAAAGCGAGTCAGTCATGCAACCTAAATGCCAACACTGTCCAGTCGTCCTCCGGAACCCCGGATCTCCTGTAACGCCCGAGGTTGCCCCTCGCCTCGTGGGACCGGAATAAGCAAAGGTTGCGAGAAGGGAAAGGAGTCGAGAGGAGCGGAGAGGCCTCTTGGGGAAGGCCCTGGGCCATACTCACCCTCCAGGATGGCGGGGATGCAGCCGAGCTGCACGGGCGTGGGCTGCTTCAAACCCAGCTGCCGACATTGTTCCACGAGCCACGATGACAGCCCGAGCTCCGCGAAGCCTGCCATCCTTGTGGCCGCTTGTAGGGGCCCCTTGTAGGGGCCCGTGTGATCCGCGCTTCCGGCGCGCGCCGACGACGTCACGAGAAAAATCTTCCTGTTTATTGGATCTGCCTCCTGCGTGGTCCCACCCTCTCCAGCTCCCTCAGCCTATTCCCAGCCTCGACCGCATCCTTATCATGTTTCCCCGGATCCCATTGGCTTGCAGAAACACACTACAATTCCCGAGATGCTCTCCGTGACGCACTTACGCCTTCCGCCCCCTTGCATATTATTGTGGAGCTTCCCATTGGCTTACTTCGCCGCCGCTCGGAAAAAGTAAACTACATTTCCTAGCGTGCCCGTGTCTTGCTTCCGGCTGACGTGTCTTTCAGGAAGAGGAGCTGGTGAGAAGACAGCGAAATGGCGCCTCCGGCCCCCGGCCCGGCCTCCGGCGGCTCCGGGGAGGTAGACGAGCTGTTCGACGTAAAGAACGCCTTCTACATCGGCAGCTACCAGCAGTGCATAAACGAGGCGCAGCGGGTGAAGGTGCGGCCGCGCAGGGGCGCGGGGACGCTGGGGGCGGAGGCGGAGGACGCTTTCTGGTGGCCGCGAGCCGCGTTCTGCGTCTAAAAACTTTCTCTTTTCTTCTCGCGTTTTTTGGGCCACCTCTTCCACAGTTCAGTGAGGAGTAGTCACTGTCCCGTGACAGAACCCAGAGCAGTAACAGTTTACGGTACTGCTCACTCGTACAGCGTTCTCTCTGCGCCCTTGAAAGTGTTTTGAGTAAGGGAGGTGTTTATGCCACTGTAGTGACAATAAGCCTATTTTGTTCAGCCATACCTTCAGTTCCCGTGAGATGGAGACTGTTGCTTATCCTCATTTTACGGATGAGAACCCTAAAGTTCAGAGAAGGACGTTTCCCTGCCCAACCAGCCTGGTTATTTCTCCCAGAGCTTACCCATTCATTCATTCATTCTTCATTGAGCACTTTTTTGGACGGGCACTGTATTCCGCTGGACTCAGAATGATAAACACAGTTTCCCAGCGCAGTGGCTCAAACGCCTGTAATTCTGGCGCTTTGGGAGGCCGAGGCGGGCAGATCGCATGCGCCCAGGAGTTCGAGACCAGCTTGGGCAACGTGGAGAAACCATGAGTCTACCAAAAATTAGCCGGGCGTGGTGGCGGGCACTTGTAATCTCAGCTACCGGGAGGCTGAGACAGGAGAATCGCTTCAACCCGGAGGCCGAGGTTGCAGTGAACCGAGATCGCGCCACTGCACTCCAGCCTGGGTGACAAAGTTGTAAGAATTAAAGAGGAAAGAAACACGAAAGGTGGCTTGCCAGTCAAGACAGGTTTATTTTAGAGAAAACAAACCTGAGAGGCGCCTTCTGGCGGAGTTGGGTCAGAGTAACACTCTTTTACAGACTAAGAGTTTTTAAGGATTCAGGGTCGGAGAGTTTATCAGAGGCTTGAACTGCTTCTGTGTCTCTTCGTTGTGCTTATCTGGGAGGGAGAGTTGTGTGTCTGTTCCCATACATCTTTCTTTTTTCTTTTCTTTTCTTTTCTTTTTTTTTTTTTTTTGAGATGGAGACTCGCGCTGTTGCCAGGCTGGAGTGCAGTGGCGTGATCTCGGCTCACTGCAACCTCCGCCCCCAGGTTCAAGCAATTCTCCTTTCTCAGCCTCTCGAGTAGCTGGGATTACAGGCGCGCGCCACCATGGCCCGGCTAATTTTTGTATTTTTAGTAGAGACGGGGTTTCACCATGTTGGCCAGGATGGTCTCCATCTCTTGACCTTGTGATCTGCCCGCCTTGGCCTACCAAAGTGTTGGGATTACAGGTGTGAGCCACCGTGCCCAGCCTCCCATACATCTTTCTGCAGCTGCAGGCATACCCCCCTACTCTGCTTTTAGCTTGCCTATTTTAGTGCACCTGAAGGGAAAGGAATGTGCTTATTAAGGCCCACTGTTTTACTGGGGCCCGTTGTATGAAGGTGAAGTTTGGCAGTTACCCAAGAAATTTTCTTCCCACTCTCTCTCTGTCCGAGCTGTCTTTCTGTGTTTTACTGTCTCCTCTTTCTGGCTGCTTGTAGTTAGAAGTGATTTCCTGGCCGGGCGCGGTGGTTCACACCTGTAATTCCAGCACTTTGGGAGGCGGGCGGATCACCTGAGGTCAGGAGTTCGAGACCAGCCTGACCAACTTGGTGAAACCCCGTCTCTACTAAAAAATACAAAAATTAGCCGGGCATGGTGGCAGGCACCTTAATCCCAGCTACTTGGGAGGCAGAGGCAGGAGAATCGTTTGAACCCAGGAGGTGGAGGTTGCAGTGAGCCAAGATCCAGCCATTGCATTCAAGCCTGGGGAACAAGAGCGAGACTTCTCTATTAAAAAAAAAGAAAAAAGAAATTTCCTTAAAATTCATGAGGCTAGAAAGGGGGCTGGAACTTAAAGTGGCAGTGTTTGTCTGAGATGTTGGTGCTCTTACTATGTCAAAAGTGAGACCCTATCTCAAAAAAAAAAAAAAAAAAAGAAAAAAAGAATGTTTCTAGTAGGCTTTCTTGTCTTCACCAGAACCCGCCACTGGAAAAAGAAAAAAAAAAAGGCAGAGGGAGATTTGAGACACAGAGATGATGGAAGCAGAGATGGGAGTAATGTGGCTACAAACTGAGGAATGTAACAGTCACCAAAAGCTGGGAGAGGCAGGGAAGTATCCTCCCCTAGAGCCTTTGGAAGGAGTGTGGCCCTGCTGACACCTTGATTTGGGACTTCTGGCCTCCAGGACTGTGACTGTGAAGGAATACTTTTTTTTTTTTTTTTTTTTTTTTTGAGACAGGATCTCACTCTGTGTCACCCAGGCTGGAGTGCAGTGGCATCCTCCTCCTCCTGGGTTCAAGCGATTGTCCTGCCTCAGCCTCCCAAGTGGCTAGGATTACAGGTGCCCACCACCACACCCAGCTAATTTTTTTTTTGTTTTTTTGTTTTTGAGATGGAGTCTTGCCCTGTTGCCCAGGCTGGAGTGCAGTGGCACGATCTCAGCTCACCACAACCTCTGCCTCCCGGGTTCAAGCAGTTCTCCTGCCTCAGCCTCCCTAGTAGCTGGGACTACAGGCGTGTGCCACCACACCCAGCTAATTTTTGTATTTTTCCTAGTGATGGGGTTTCACTGTGTTGGCCAGGCTCGTCTGTAACTCCTGACCTCATGATCCGCCTGCCTCAGCCTCCCAAAGTGCTGGGATTATAGGCATGAGTTACCGTTCCTGGCCTAATTTTTGTATTTTTAGTAGAGACAGGGTTTTATCATGTTGGTCAGGCTGATCTCGAACTCTTGACCTCAAGTGATCTGCCCGCCTCAGCCTCCCACAGTGCTGGGATTACAGGTGTGAGCCACCACGCCTGGCCAGGAATACTTTTTTTTTTTGAGACAGAGTCTAACTCTGTCACCCAGGCTGGAGTGCAGTGGCACAATCTCAGCTCACTGCATCCTCCGCCTCCTGGGTTCACACCATTCTCCTGCCTCAGCCTTCAGAGTAGCTGGGATTACAGGTGCCTGCCACCACGCCCAGCTAATTTTTGTTTTTTTGTTTTTGAGATGGAGTCTTGCTCTGTTGCCCAGGCTGGAGTGTAGTGGCATGATCTCAGCTCACCACAACCTCTGCCTCCTGGGTTCAAGCGATTCTCCTGCCTCAGCCTCCCGAGTAGGTGGGATTACAGGCGTGCGCCACCACACCTGGCTAATTTTTGAGGAATACATTTTTTAAGCCATCTGGTCTGTGGTAGTTCATGACAGTGGCCTGAGCAACCTCAGCCCCACCTGAGGTGGCCCCAGGGAGAGCACCTGGCAGTCTTTGCCCTTTGCTGCCCCCAGCACTAGGCTACCATCATGACGTTTCTGGGTTTCTGACATTTGCCAGTTTGCCCACAAGATGGCAGGCACCGCCCAGCTGTTGGGGTTGAAGCAGCTCATAGGCCTTGAGTTGCTGACGGCCCAGTGCGGTCAGATCACTGGCTACAGGGACAGAAGGGAGGAGTTACTACCCCCAAGGTTTCTGGCTACAGGGCCCCCATCCTGTCACCCGCCTTCCCAAACAGTACCCTGATTCCTCAACCATGGCCACATCTTAAGCCACCTGGGGCCAGTGCTGGGGCCATCCTAGGGCCAGGTGACCTTGGTGGATGTGGCCTCCTGGCTTTGGTGGTTCCTGGGCTCCCAGGTGATCGTAGTGAGCCCTTGGGGTTGAAGAGCAATGCTCTCCCACCCCGGGGACACACATGCGTCCTGATGGTAGGATCGTCCCTGGAAGTCGAGGAAAACCACAACGGTTCCAGAGCCTCACGTCAGGGTCACGGTCTGCACATTTGTTGTTGTTATGCTTCCCGGCACTCTTGTCTCTCCAGTGCACTCTGCAGCCTCTGAGCACTTCCGCACGCACAGTCTCCTGGGCACCTGCATTTCACACAGGGGCGGCTGAGGCCACCCTGGTGCCCCCGATGGCGCCCCACTGTGTCCTCACTTTGAAAGCCCAACAGCCAGCTTTTGTCTCTTTTTTTTCCCTAAAGATAGACAGGGTCTCACTCTGTCACCCAGGCCAGAGTGCAGTGCAGTGGCATGATCATAGTCCACTGTAGCCTCGACCTCCCAGGCTCAAGCGATCCTCCTTCATGAACCTCCTGAGTCGCTGGGACTACAGGTGCATGCTACCACACCTGGCTAATATTTATAATTTTTTTATGGACACAGGGTCTCAGACCGGGCACGGTGGCTCATGCCTGTAATCCCAGCACTTTGGGAGGCCGAGGCGGCTGGTTCACAAGGTCAGGAGTTCAAGACCAGCCTGGCCAATATGGTGAAACCCCATCTCTACTAAAAATACATATAGTCGCGGCTACTCGGGAGACTGAGGCAGAAAAATCTCTTGAACCCAGGCGGCAGAGGTTGTAGTGAGCCGAGATACACGCCACTGCACTCCAACCTGGGTGACAGAGCAAGACTCCATCAAAAAAAAAAAAAAAAAAAAGACTATGCTTTTTGCTATGTTGCCTATGCTGGTCTCAAACTCCTGGGCTCAAGCAGTGCTCCTGCTTTGGCCTCCCAAAGCACTGGGTTTACAGGTGTGAGCCACCACACCTGGCCTGTCTTTTTTAACTGAGGGTGGCATGTGGCCCTGGGCTAGTCACCTAACTGAAGTCCACCTCAGAAGGTTGATTGAGAGTTACTTATTTATTTTTTATTGAGATGGAGTCTTGCTCTGTCACCTAGGCTGGAGTGCAATGGCGTGATCTCGGCTTACTACAGCCTCTATCTCCCGGGTTCAAGTGATTCTCTTGCCTCAGCCTCCTGAGTAGCTGGGATTATAGGCGCCCGCCACCACACCTGGCTAATTTTTGTATTTTTAAGTAGAGGCGGGGTTTCACCATGTTGGCCAGGCTGGTCTGGAACTCCTGACCTCTAATGATCCACCCACTTCGGCCTCCCAAAGTGCTGGGATTACAGGCATGAGCTACCATGCCCGGCCTATAATATGTTTCTTTGCATACTTGAAAAGGTACATATTTCACCTGTCCATCCCATTTGCAGGTGGGGCTCGATTTCTGCAGCCACCACCCTCCGCATGCCTTTGACATTCTTCTAGGAGTTATTTATTTAGATGGCATCTTGTTCCAAATCATAGCCAGATACCCACTCTGGCTACCAGGGCCTGAGCAGAAGCTGCTGGGTCCTCTTGGCAATGGCAGCCTGAGTCAGGCTGGGGCCAGGTCTGCGGCGGCCTGGGATGAGGACACGTTTGACATCCACGCTCCTCCCTCAGGCTGGGGAGAAGGAAGAGATGTGGCTTGGAATCTGTGGTTCTCGGCTTCAGAGGACAGGGCAGAGTGACTCCCCCTGGTTTGGGCACTGGGTCCTTTGACCCTGTGCCTTGACAGCTGGCAGGCCCTCTTGCTGACAGCCTTCTCAGTCCCCTCTGTTTAGAGGTTGTTGGAGTGGCGATGCCAAGGTGGCTGGGCCCCTTCCCAACTGTACTTTCCTCTCGAAGCCCCCAGGGGCCTGGGCGAGCACCCTCAGGCCATGGGCTGAGCTGCACTGTGCCCACCTGCCATGGGCACCCTGGGAAGTCAGCCAGCCTCCGGGGGCAGCATGCAAAGCTGTGTTCTGGAGAGCGGTCCCAGCCTCCCTCCCTGGCCTGGGCTCAGGGGCAGCTTCATTATCATCCCAAAATGGATGTTGCCACAGGTTACCTCCCTCTTGCTCCTCAGTTCTGTGCAATGGCTGGGCTGTGGGGGTGTGGCCCAAGTACAGAGCCATTCCCAGGGTCTCCCCTGGCCAGGGCTGGGCACAGATGTCACCACACTGGGGCAGCCAAACTGAGCTCAAAATGTCTTGAGACAAAAGCAGAACAGAATCAAGCCACAGTGGCCCCATGTCCAGAGGTTAGAGGTGCGGGTGCCACCCTGGCTTCTTAAGTGTGACTGGGGCAGACACTGAACTTGGGAGCAAGCCTCCTTCCTGGGGTGGTGTCAGCGCGGGATGAGATCAGGCACCCCCCGTGTAGGGTACCCCCAGCAGAGGCCACTCGGGCTACGGAGGATCAGGGCTGGGACTCAGACCTCCAACCCTGCCGGAGAAGCCACCTGTCCCCAGTGTACAGGGGCCTGTCTGTCATGCTCACCCTGTGTGGGCTGCGCTGGGCCTCCCACTGTGCGTCCTGACTCACATTGGTTCCCACAGCTATCAAGCCCAGAGAGAGACGTGGAGAGGGACGTCTTCCTGTATAGAGCGTACCTGGCGCAGGTGAGTGCGGGCCTTGGCCGGGGGCAAGAGTGATGAACAGAGTAGAGGGTGGGGCTGGGGACAGGAAGGCACCACAGAGTGGGTGGCGGGGACAGTAAACAAAGCAGGGACCCAGGCCTGCAGTGTTCAGTGACTGTGAACAGCCAGCGCAGCCAGCATGTGAAGGTGGCTGTGTCACGGAGGCCTGAGACTGCCAGGCCAGGGGGCCTGGGTCACAGCTTCTTGATTTTTTTTTTTTTTTTTTTGAGACGGAGTCTCACTCTGTCGTACTCGATCTCAGCTCACTGCAACCTCCGTCTCCTGGGTTCAAGTGATTCTCCTGTCTCAGCCTCCCAAGTAGCTGGGACTACAGGCGTGCGCCACCACGCCTGGCTAATTTTTATATTTTTAATAAACACGTGGTTTCACCACATTAGCCAGGGTGGTCTTGAACTCCTGACTTCATGATCCACCTGCCTCAGCCTCCCAAAGTGCTGAGATTACAGGCGTGAGCCAACGCGCCCAGCCGATTTTTTTTTTTTTCCTAAAATAATTGGTAGGAGCCAGGCACAGTGGCTCACACCTGTAATCTTTGGGAGGCTGAGGTGGGAGGATCACTTGAAGCCAGGAGTTCAAGACCAGCCTGGGCAACATAGTGAGACCCCCGTCTCTACAAAAAAAAATTAAAAAATAAGACAGTCATGGTGGCATGTGCCTGGAGTCCCAGCTAATTGGGAGGCTGTGGCAGGAGGATCAGTTGAGCCCAGGAGGTCAAGATTACAGTGAGCCGTGATCACGCCATTGCACTCCAGCCTGGACAACATAGCAAGACCTTGTCTCTAAAAAAATAAGAATGGGGGCTGGGCCCGGTGGTTCACGCCTGTAATCCCAGCACTTTGGGAGGCCAAGGCGGGCAGATCACCTGAGGTCAGGAGTTCGAGACCAGCCTCAACATGGAGAAACCCTGTCTCTACTAAAAATACAGAATTAGCCAGGTGTGGTGGTGCATGCCTGTAATCCCAGCTACTTGGGAGGCTGAGGCAGGAGAATTACTTGAACCTGGGAGGCAGAGGTTTCGGTGAGCTGAGGTCACAGCATTACACTCCAGCCTGGGCACCAAGAGCGAAACTCCATCTCAAAAAAAAAAAAAAAAGGCCGGGCGTGGTGGCTCACACCTGTAATCCCAGCATTTTGGGAGGCCAAGGTGGGTGGATCACAAGGTCAGGAGATTGAGACCATCCTGGCTAACACAGTGAAACCCCGTCTCTACTAAAAATACAAAAAAATTAGCCGGGCGTGGTGGCGGGCGCCTGTAGTCTCAGCTACTCGGGAGGCTGAGGCAGGAGAATGGTGTGAACCTGGGAGGTGGAGCTTGCAGTGAGCCGAGATCACGCCACTGCACTCCAGCCTGGGCGACAGAGCGAGACTCCGTCTCGAAAAAAAAAAAAATGGGGAAGGAACCATCTAGGAGGGAACACAATGAGGGACGGGCCCCCAGCTGCAGATGTGACAGTGGTATCAGTCTGGGCATCCTCAGAGGGCCAGTAGGTGGGCAGGGCTGGCTGGGGGCATGTCCTGCTTTATAGAAGCGCATGTCACAACCCCCATAACTGCTGCTGCCCTGCCCCCAGGTGACACGCCCTTCACCTCACCACCAGAGGTGGACAGCTGCCAGGGGATAGACAGTAACCTACCAGGGTCCCTAGCTCAAGGCATGGGCAGTGTGGCCCTGCAGATGAGGGCACACCTGGCTGCTCACGACAGGTGACGCCATGCCACCCTCCACAGTGTACTGCAGTGGAGGTGGCCCATGCTGGGCTGAGGGGTCCCTGGTGGGGCAGGGACTTCCTGTCTGGGGCTCTCCCTGCCAAGCTGAAGACATGGAAATCCTCTGGGGTGGACGGGTGCAGCTGACGCCTCGTCCCTACTGCAGAGGAAGTTCGGTGTGGTCCTGGATGAGATCAAGCCCTCCTCGGCCCCTGAGCTCCAGGCCGTGCGCATGTTTGCTGACTACCTCGCCCACGAGAGTCGGAGGTGAGGCCCCAGAGAATGGGTTGGCCTGAGGCGCGGGGCCATCTTCAAGGCCTGTTGGTTATGAACCTGGGTGGGTGGGGGCATGGCGTGCAGCGCACAGCATCCCTCAGATTAGGCGCCTCTCCCCTCTGCTCCCCTGCTGCTTTGTGCCTCAGTTTCCCTCACCTGCACAGCAGTGGGGGGCTGGTGATGGATCCTGCTTCAAAGGGGAGGGTCAGAGACAGTGCTGTGTGTGCACACGCCCTCATGGACCACAAGGCACTCTCTGAACCTAGAACTGAAAATATCAATTACCGAGCAGCCCTCTGCAACACCCAGAGCCCCAAGACAGCCCAGGGCGCAGCGGGGGCAGGGCCCTCCCATCAGTTTTCTTATTTATTTATTTAGAGATGGAGTCTCACTCTGTCACCAGGCTGGAGTTGCAGTGGTGAGATCTCGGCTCACTGCAACCTCTGCCTCCTGGGTTCAAGTGATTCTTGTGCCTCAGCCTCCTGAGTAGCTACGACTATAGCTGCGTGCCACCACGTCCAGCTAATTTTTGTATTTTAGCAGAGACTGGGTTTCACCGTGTTGCCCAGGGTGGTCTCGAACTCCTGAGCTCAGGCGGTCTGCCCACCTCAGCCTCCCAAATCCTATCAGTTTTCTAGTCCCAGCTAGTTGGGGACTGCAACCTGCCAGTATCTCCCCTGGAGCCCAGTGGGAGGGTGGGTGAGGCCACGCCTGTCCTGCCCCTGAGCCACAGGCCAGCGTTGGTCAAACGCCCATGGGCGGCAGCCAAGGGGAGAGGGGGCTGGGCTGTGGGGACCCAGGAACCTTGCCCCCTCCTGCTGTGGGGTCGGAGTGAGGGTCTGGCATGGGGAGACTGCTGTGATCCTGCTCTTCCTTGGCCCACGGAGGCAGTGTCCCAACTACCGCCTCCCTTCACTCAAAGAAACCTGGGGTTCCTGGGAGCTGACTCCTGTGCAGAGGCAGCATGGTGGGGTGAATGGTGTCCCCCAAAAGGTACGTCCATATCCTATCCCACATGCTTGTGAATATGATATCATTTGGAAAAAGGGTCTTTGCCGATCAGATTAAGAGATAAGGAGATGAAGACATGCTGGATTTAGGGTGGGCCCCAAAGCCAAGGACTTGTGTCCTTTTAAGAGATAAAAGGAGGGCTGGGTGCAGTGGCTCATACTTGTAATCCCAGCACTTTGGGAGGACGAGGTGGGCAGATCACCTGAGGTCAGGAGTTTTCAAGACCAGCCTGGCCAACGTGGTGAAACCCCATTTCTATTAAAAATACAGAATTAACAGGATGTGATGTCTGTGATTCCAGCTACTTGGGAGGCTGAGGCAGGAGAATCGCTTGAACCTGGCAGGCAGAGGTTGCAGTGAGCCAAGATCGCACTAGTGCACTCCAGCCTGGGTGACAGCGGGAGACTGTCTTAAAAAAAAAAAAAAAAAAAGGAAAGAGGCCCACAGAGTTAAGCCCATGTGACAACAGACTGGAGTGACATGTCTGCTAGCCAAGGAGCACCACGAGTGGCCAGCAGCCACCAGAGCTGGGAGAGAGGCCTGGGACGGCCTTGCCCTCCAGCCTCCAGCTGGAGCCAGCCCTGCCGCCACCTTGACTTCAGACTTACGGCCTCCAGAGCTGTGAGGAACGAATCCCTGTTGTCCTTAACTGCCCGGGCTGTGGTGCTTTGCCACAGCAGCTCCAGGACATTGAGACAGGTGACCTCCCAGGGCCACTGTTTCTCCCACCCTGCACTTACTTCACCAGCTGGAGTGAAGGCAGGGAACCCTGGGTCCCCCAGGAGCAGCAGCTGCTGTGAGCATCACAGAAAAGCAGCCCCGGAGAGCAGGCGGTCCAGGCAGGGGCTTGTGGTCCGTTCATCTGGCTGCACAGCCGCGACCTCATTGGCAGGACGCCCCGGGGACAAGGAGCATCCATTAGTAATTGGTTTTGGTTTTGATTTTGTTTTCTTGAGATACGGTCTTGCTCTGTCGTTCAGCCTGGCATACAGTGGCACAATCTTGGCTTACTGCAGCCTTGATCTCCCAGGCTCAAGTGATCATCCCACCTCAGCCTCCCGAATAGCTGGGACTACAGGCACGCATCACCATGCCTGGCTAATTTGTATATTTTTTAGAGATGGGGTTTTGCCTGGCCGGGCGCAGTGGCTCACACCTGTAATCCCAGCACTTTGGGAGGCCGAGGCGGGCGGATCACGAGGTCAGGAGATGGAGACCATCCTGGCTAACACGTGAAACCCCATCTCTACTAAAAATACAAAAAAAATTAGCCGGGCATGGTGGCGGGTGCCTGTAGTCCCAGCTACTCGGGAGGCTGAGGCGGGAGAATGGCATGAACCCGGGAGGCGGAGCTTGCAGTGAGCCAAGATCGCACCACTGCACTCCAGCCTGGGCGAAAGTGCGAGACTCCGTCTCAAAAAAAAAAAAAGAGAGATGGGGTTTTGCCATGTTGCCCAGGCTGGTCTCAAACTCCTGGGCTCAAGCGATCCGCCCAGTAATTGATTTTGTTGCTGTTGCTTGTTTTTGAGATGGTCTCCCTCTGTCACCCAGGCTGGAGTGCAGAGGTGTGACCACAGCTCACCGCAGCTTCAACCTCCCGGGCTGAAGCCATCCTCCTGCCTCAGCCTCCCAAGTAGTTGGGACTACAGGCGCCACCAGGCCCAGCTGACTTTCTTACTTTTTTGTAGAAAAAGGGGTCCTACTATGTTGCCCAGGGTGGTCTTGAACTCCTGGGCTTAAGCGATCCTGCCTTGGCCTCCCAAAGCGCTGGGGTTACAGGTGTGAGCCACAGTACCCGGCCCCATTGGTAATTGTAACACCTTAGGATGACAACATTACAGTACCAACGCTACGACAACTGGCAGTGTTTATACACCCTTGTGTGCTGGAGCCTCAGGAAGCTTTGTAAGATGGTCTTGGGAGCTCCTTGCTCCTCCCCTGCATGATCCCTGTAACATGGTCCCTCAGCACGGGGAAACAGACTCAGACCTGAAGTCACTTGTCTGTTGGACCTGGCACTGTGGCGAGCCCTCAGTGGAGCCTGGTTGGTATCAGACATGCCATGCCCTCAGTGACACCTCAGACACGGGCCCTGGGCAGACAGCCCCCAGATGCGCGTGGATGCTTACGGGGTCACAGAGCCACGTTTGAACCCAGAAGAACACCAGCTTTGGTCTAGGGTGGCCCCCTCACCTGCCTTCTCTTTTTAGCTGCTCAATAGCCATGGGGAATGGAGGGTCTGGGTCCAGTTAGGGACATGGAGGCATGGGTGACCTGTGCCCTCGGAGCTGAGCCGGTCCTCAGCCTTGCCTGGGCTCAAGCCTGGCCCTGGCCCGCAGCACACTGGCCATCTTCAGGGTGCAGCCAGCACCCTGGGCTCTCAGGGACTGAGGGCAGCTGCCCTGGCAGTGGGGGTGCCCCAGGGCTCCCATCCTTCTGCACGGCCCCTCGGCACCCAGGCCGACCTCCTGCTAGAAGACGTGGCCTTGAAGCCCACAGGGTTGATGGGTTATGGTCAGGAGTCCCAGCTGGGCCCACCAGCCTCCTCAGGAAGGCGGGTGAGGTTGGTGTGAGACTGACGGTGCCTCCTCATGTCCCCTTGGAGCGCCCCACCCCACATCTCCCGGCCTCGGGTCCTTGCCTGGCCCAGCATGAGAGGTGCTTCATAGGAACGGAGGGAGGACATGTCGGGACAGCTCGATGCTCGGCCTGCTGCTGCTCTGCACCCCCAGGGCCTGGCTCACCCTCTCTGGACCTGTCTGCTTCCAAGGAAGGGGACCCTCTGAGGTCCCACAGAGGCCACCCCAGCTGTGGGTCGTGAGCATCTCTGTCTTGCAGGGACAGCATCGTGGCCGAGCTGGACCGAGAGATGAGCAGGAGCGTGGACGTGACCAACACCACCTTCCTGCTCATGGCCGCCTCCATCTATCTCCACGACCAGAACCCGGATGCCGCCCTGCGTGCGCTGCACCAGGGGGACAGCCTGGAGTGGTGAGTGGCCTCCCTGCTCTGGGGCCAGCCCAGGGAGGCAAGTGCCCCCTGCCACATCTCCAGGCTGCGCACGGCCTCGCTGGCTGTCGTCATGGGAGCAGAGAAAGGTGGTGCTGAAATGAGGCCCTGGCCTGCTGTCCAGGCTCCAGCTCCCCTGCCCAGTGTGGGAGGCACTCCCATCTGCGCACCAGGCTGCAGATCCAAGGACACGGTGCCCAGGCTGCAACCCTCTGTTCCCAAGGGCAGAGCAGAAAGCGGCTTTGTCTCTGCTCGGTTTCTGTGTCCCCACCCCCCACGAAGCCTTCTGTGTCTCGGCCCTGGGCCCAGTCTCTCAGGCCTCCCCGGGCCCCCCATACCGGCCCTCCTCCAGGGCCCTCTGGGGTTGGGGTGCTGAAGCCCTGCAAGGTTGGTGCCCCCCTCCACCCTAGGATGTGACTCCGGGCCATGTCCAGGGCACTGGTCACAGAAAGTGTGTCAGTTCTTCCCCGTGAGCTGTCCCTGCAGTGCCTGCCTTCCACTGTGAGTTGCAAGCTGGGCATTTCATGGTCGCTGTGGATCTGCTCCCATCCCACCTCCATCCACAGAGGGCTTAGAATTGCAGGGCGAGCCAGGCATGGTGACATGCACCTATGTTTCCAGCTACTTGGGAGGCGGAAGCAGGAGTATCCCTTGAGTCTGGGAGGTGGAGGCTGCAGTGAGCCGTGATGGTGCCACTGCACTCCAGCCTGGGTGGCAGAGCCAGACCCTGACTCACACACAAAAAAGAAAATAAATAGGGATGTCACACTGTCGGCGAGCCGGCCGACTCGGTGCTGGTCCAGGTGCTGGCTCCTGTTGGCAGGAAAACAAGAACAAGAGGCCTCACGAGTAATTCGTGGTCACAGCCACCTGGGGCTGAGAGGGATGAGGGGACGAGGGGGCCTGCAGAGAGTGGGTGGCCCCAGGGCTCTGCTGCAGGTGCAGGTGCAGGGGCGGGTGCGTGGCCCTCCTCTAGGGCCTTGTTCCTGAGTGTTGATGCCTCCAGGGTGTCGAGTCCGGGCAGGGCCCTCCATCTGGAAGCACAGCCCATGGAGGCTGCTTCTCCAGATGGGCGGTGAGTGGGCCGGGGCCTGAAACCCCATCCTGGGTACCTCCCCCAGAGCTCCTGGGCCTGAGGAAGCTGAGCGGTGAAATGTGGGAGTGAGGGTGTCCTCCTCTGCTGGGCGGGGCTGGTGGTCCTAAGCACAGGACTTAGGAACATCCCAGACACACACAGTGAGCCCTGGGTGTGGAGCGGCCATGCAATGTGTCTGTGGCGACCCGCTGACCGCCCCCTCGCCCTGTCCTGCAGCACAGCCATGACAGTGCAGATCCTGCTGAAGCTGGACCGCCTGGACCTCGCCCGGTGAGCCCTCCTGCCCCTCTCCACCCGCACTGAGCCACAGCCCAGAGCGTCACAGCCCAGAGCGTCACAGCCCAGAGCGTCTGTGGTGCTGTCATTACTCTTGTTGTCTTTCCTTTCCATGGGGGTGGCTTGCTGTCGTTCAGCCCTTCCCTGCAGTATGTTGCCAGGGAGGAGGGCCATGGCTCTCTGTGCCTCAGTTTCTCTCTATGCAGTGGGTGGCAGGCCTCTCCCACAGGGTGAGGGTGGGCTTCATGGAGGGAGAGTGGAGGTTGTGCCTGGAGCAACATGTTACTTGACCAGCTTGTAACTGTGCCGTGGGGCTGGCGGGGCCTGCACGTGGCATCACCAGGTCGGAGGCCATGGCTGGGGGTCCAGGACTCCCCTGCTGCCGTTTCCAAAGCCCTTGCCTCAGAGTTGTTCACACTGTAGTTCCGTTGCCCTTCCCTGCGTTCCATCCTCCATGGAGTGAGTCTCTCCTGAGCTCTACCTTGTGGTGGCCACCCTGGGGGGCCATAGCTGGCCCCAGTCCCACCTTCCCAGGGCCTGCACGTGGTCAGACGGGCAGGGTGGCTCGGGCACTTAGTCGTGGGGTATGAGCATGCAGTGGAGCACAAAGCAGGGGCCATCCCCAGGCTCCGGTGGGCCCCAAGTGGGGACAAGGCAGGGATGGCCAGGCCAGGGCCCTCGGCCACTCAGCCCCTCTGTCATCTGTCCCCGCCCCAGGAAGGAGCTGAAGAGAATGCAGGACCTGGACGAGGATGCCACCCTCACCCAGCTCGCCACTGCCTGGGTCAGCCTGGCCACGGTGAGCCCTAGGCCATGAGGTGGGTGGGCATTGCGGGCACCTGGCTGAGCAGGGTCTGTGGGCACCCCCACCTGTGCGTAGGCTGCTGGCCACTCCAGTGGGGCTCCAGGATCAGGCCGTGGCCCCTGCCAGCCTGGCATAACTCAGCCTTGACTCCATTCCGGGCTTCTCACAGCCAAGCGACTTGGCCAGAGCCAGAGCGAAGAGATGGTGGGGGCGGGGACGGGTTCCTGAGCCTGAGGCACAGGGGTACTCGAGGGTCTGGGTTGGCCTGGCAGGCCCTCCTCCCCTCAGGGCTTCCTGGGGTTTTCTGCGACTCAGCTTTGCTCTCCAGGGTCCTGGTCGCCAGCCAGGGACGGAGTTCAGTGTTCCCATAGCAGCGGTGGAGATGTCCTCAGCTCCCAGGCCTGGGCACCTCCGCCCGGCAACAGCCCCTCTCCTGGTTTCTGGGACTTGGCCCCCTTCTGAGCCACTCTTTTGTGTGGGCCTATTAAAATGTGCTTCCTGGCTGGTCGCAGTGGCTCACGCCTGTAATCCCAGCACTTCGGGAGGCCGAGGCGGGTGGATCATGTGAGGTTGGGAGTTCTAGACCAGCCTGACCAACATGGAGAAACCCCATCTTTACCAAAAATACAAAATTAGCTGGGCTTGGTGCCATGCACCTGTAAACCCAGCTACTCAGGAGGCTGAGGCAGGAGAATCGCTTGAACCCGGGAGGTGGAGGTTGCGGTGAGCCAAGATCGCGCCAGTGCACTCCTGCCTGAGCAACAAGAGTGAAACTCTGAGAAAGAAAAAAAAATGTGCTCCCCGTCCCTGCCCGCCACGGGGCTGAAGCCTCACCCAGACAGACTTCCAGTGACCGTCTAGTATGGTAGGACAGGCCCCGGCAGACCTATCGGGTAGTTTGGGCTGTTTTCACTGCCTGCCTTGGCCTCAGGCTCCCCCTGCAAGTGTTCTGCTGTTCTGAGCAAGTGGACAGGTCAGGGCTGCTGGTCACAGAGCTGACTCCTCCTCCTCTGACGTGCTCAGTGACCCAGTGGTCCCCACTCAGACCCTGAGCCAGCCACCTGTGCACTGAGGCCTTGGAAGCCCCAGATTCCACCTCTGTGTACTCAGCACTCCGGGAGCTGGGTGGGAGGTGGGGCAGGAGGCGGCCACGAGTCTTTAGGCCCCATCAGCAGAGTACAAGTTACGGGTAGTCCCCATGGCGGAGTGGCTGTGCCTTGAACCGGGCACACCAGATTCGTCTCTGTGCAGTGCTGGAGTCCCCCCCGCTAGGGGAGGGGGCTGGCGGGGGAAGGGCCGGGCAGCAGGGGCACAGGCAATGATGCGGGACCCTCCCTGCAGGGTGGTGAGAAGCTGCAGGATGCCTACTACATCTTCCAGGAGATGGCTGACAAGTGCTCGCCCACCCTGCTGCTGCTCAATGGGCAGGCGGCCTGCCACATGGCCCAGGGCCGCTGGGAGGCCGCTGAGGGCCTGCTGCAGGAGGCGCTAGACAAGGTAGGCACAAGCCTGTCCCAGAGTGGGGACGGAGGGAAGGCCAGGCGGCCAGAGGGTGGGGTCAGGGCGGACAGAAACAAGTGTAGCAGAGACCCCCTGGGTGTGCGTGTGGCCCCACAGGGCTTCTAAGGCCCAGTCAGCAGCGAGATCCACAAAGCAGGGATCTCACCTGCAAAGAAATCCAGATTCCGGCCTCACAGAAATGGGGCATCTGGGCAGCCTGGGCCTCAGTGGTCTGAGCCGTCCTTGTTGTCACCTCAGCTGCCTGGCCCGGGACCTGCAAGTGGGACCCCTCACCTGAGTACATACTCAGTATTGGAGAGACACTCCCCGTACTTATGTAGGGGAGAGTGTGCTGTGGACAGGAGCTCTTCGTTGAGAGAGCGCTGCCTGCCCAGGGTGGCTGCAGTCATCTCCTGCCTGATGTCTGCAGTCTTTTCTTCCTTCCTTCCTTCCTTCCTTCCTTCCTTCCTTCCTTCCTTCCTTCCTTCCTTCTTTCCCTTCCTTCCTTCCTTCCTTTCCTTCCTTTCCTTCCTTTCCTTCCTTTCCTTTCCTTCCTTTCCTTCCTTTCCTTCCTTTCCTTTCTTCTTTTTTTTTTTTTTTGAGATGGAGTCTCACTCTGTCACCCAGGCTGCAGTGCAGTGGTGTGATCTCAGCTCAATGCAACCTCCGCCTCCTGGGTTCAAGTGATTCTTTTGCCTCAGCCTCCCAAGTAGCTGGGATTACAGGCGGCTGCCACCACGCCTGGCTAATTTTTGTATTTTTAGTAGAGACGGGGTTTTGCCATGTTGGTCAGGCTGGTCTCAAACTCCTGACCTCAGGTGATCCACCCGCCTCAGCCTCCCAAAGTGCTGGGATTATAGGCGTGAGCCACCACGCCTGGCCATCTGCAGTCTTTATGAAGAGTTTATGTTATGTTAAATTAAAAATATATATATATTTTGTAAAGACGGGGTTGTTCTTGCTGTGTTGCCCAGGTTGGTCTCGAACTCCTGGCCTCAAGTGATCGTCCCACCTCAGCCTCCCAAAGCATTAGGATTATAGGTGTGAGCCACCATGCTTGGTGGATTTTTTTTTTTTTTTTTTTTGAGATGGAGTCTTGCTCTGTCGCCCAGGCTGGAGTGCAGTGGTGTGATCTCGGCTCACTGCAAGCTCTGCCTCCTGGGTTCATGCCATTCTCCTGCCTCAGCCTCCCGAGTAGCTGGGACTACAGGCGCCCACCACCATGCCCAGCTAATTTTTTGTATTTTTAGTAGAGATGGGGTTTTGCTGTGTTAGCCAGGATGGTCTCAATCTCCTGACCTCATGATGCTGCCCACCTTGGACTCCCAAAGTACTGGATTACAGGCGTGAGCCACTGTGCCCAGCCTGGATTATTATTTTTATAATCAGAAAGGACATCAAAGCTTTTTCCATTTTGGAGAAACGAATTTTGGGGGGTTTTTTGTTTGTTTTTTGAAACGGTATGCCACCATGCGTGGCTAATTTTTGTATTTTTTGTTAGAAATGGGGTCTCACTGTGTTGTCCAGGTTAGTCTTGAACTCCTGGGCTCAAACAATTCTCACCCTCCTTGGCCTTCTAAAGTGCTGGGATGATAGACATGCGCCAGTGCGCCCAGCTGAGAAACAGTTTTAATCTAGTGACAAACACTGGTGAAGCCCTCCTCCCTGTCTGACTTTCCAGGGGCTGAGTTATCATCAGAAAGTTGTTTGCAGAGCGGGGCTGGCCAAGGGGTATCAGGCTGGCCCCATCACAGGCCGGGTACTGCTCCTCCTGAGCAGGGTCCATCTTTAGCTCTGAGCAGTCAGGGCTAGTCAGGAACTCCCAGCCTGATGTGCAATCTCAGACAGGCTGTGTGTCCCTCGCTGCCCCAGGGGCAAGACTGGCGCCCTCCTCCACCACCCTGCCCCTCCCTGCCACCTGAGAACACTTGGATGCATGTTGTGTTCATGGCCGCATCCTCTGGGGGCTTTTGTTACACCTCTCAGGTGACACGTTCCGTGACTCACCAGTTAGATGACTCCCTTCTGTCCTTGTCTCTTGAAACACCACCTGGGGCTGGCTGGCCGTGCCCCTTGGCCCTGGTGGCCTCCCCGTGGCTGTGGTCACCCTGCATTCTTGCTGGGTTTTGGGAGGCACTCAGGTCCCCCCACTTCCCTTTGGAGCCACCTCATGGCTGCTCCTGTGAGCGCAAGCTGGTGTCCCCCTTCATGGTGGAGACTGAGGCTCAGAAAAGTCCGGTCTGCAAAAAGGTGCCCTGCCATGGGCCGCCGTGGGCAGGTCGGGCTCTGGGCGCATCCTCGTTGGTGTGTCTGTGCTCCAAGCAGACACCAGGGCTCTGGCTGGGTCTCCTGGCCTAGATGTTTCCTAGGGTCCTGTGTGCTGGGAGCCTAGAGTGAGTGAGTCAGGCAAGGTCCCCTGCCGAGGTCTCCTTCAAGGCTCCTTGGGAGCTGGTGCAGGGGTGGCAGGTCTGCCCATGGCCTCGGGGTTCGTTGTACAGCAGGAGTTGAGGCCATCTGGGTCTGGGCCCCATGGCTTTGAGATGTGTGGGACAAATACAACCTTCCCAAGTCTCTGTAAACAAGGGGTCGTACCCCAGGCTGGACTACAGATGGGGAAACTGAGGCTCAGCGAGGCGGCTGGCCCCTTGGCACCGTATCATCTGAGATCTCCACCTTGCAGAGCGGTGGGCGGTGTCAGTCCCACCCCACCTCTGAGGAGGTGACCTTGTGTGGTGCTGCCTGAGGTGGGGGTGACGGGCAGGCATGGGGGCTGGAGTGGCTGACCCTGCCTCCCCGTGTCTGCCTGTGTCTCCAGGATAGTGGCTACCCAGAGACGCTGGTCAACCTCATCGTCCTGTCCCAGCACCTGGGCAAGCCCCCTGAGGTAAGCGGCCCCCAGGGCTCCAGGCCAACCCTAATGTCCAGACCCTGGGACCCCAGCCTGGGGTCCAGGCCCTAATCCCTAGGCCCCTGGGAAAACTCTGTATACAGTATGCCTACCGCAGCCCACCTCCCTCACAAACCCTGTGCCCCCCAACCCATCCTCACCTGGGGCCCTGCCCGACCTGCTCCCCTGAACACCACAATACATCCCCCACCATGTACGGAGGCCAGCTCCATGCCAGCGCCTCTCCAGGGGGCAGGCCCATCCCTCCACCCCCACCCTGAAGGTTCTCCGAGATCAGCCCAGTCCCAAGGCAGGGTGAGGAGCCCCCTGGGGTACTGTGGCTCTCACCCCAATCCACCCCTGTCCAGCAGGTCAGAGCCACCGTGGGGTCCCCGTGTTCGGCTCACCTGCCTCCCTGCCTCCCCTGCAGGTGACAAACCGATACCTGTCCCAGCTGAAGGATGCCCACAGGTCCCATCCCTTCATCAAGGAGTACCAGGCCAAGGTGAGTGGTGGGGATGGCCTGTCCCCGAGAACCAGGCCAGGGGGCGCCTGGAGCTCAGCCTGGGCTCACATGCGCCCTCTCTCTCTCCCTCCACCTGTCTCCCCACACCCTGCCCCCACCCTGTGTTGCCATGTGTCTTGCTAAAGGAGAACGACTTTGACAGGCTGGTGCTACAGTACGCTCCCAGCGCCTGAGGCTGGCCCAGAGCTGTCAGGACCATGAAGCCAGGACAGAGGCCAGGAGCCAGCCCTGCAGCCCTCCCCACCCGGCATCCACCTGCATCCCCTCTGGGGGCAGGAGCCCACCCCCAGCACCCCCATCTGTTAATAAATATCTCAACTCCAGGGTGTTCCACCTGATGATGTGCTCTGGTCACTTTGCTGGGGGCGTGTGGGAGCTGACGCTCAGGGAGAGTCCTGGGGCACTGGCATCCAGGGCTGTTCCTGGAGACCAGGGTCTGTGACGAGCAGCAGGTGTGCAGACCCCCACCCCGCCCCTCACACAGCCACAACCTGCTCCTGCAGGCCAGAGGCAGCACAGCCCTGTCCCCATGCTTCACCCTGGCCCCTAGAGGCCACTGAGCAGCCCTGGTTGGCATCGGGGGAAACTGAGGCACAGAGAAGTCATGCCGCTATCATGAGGGGCACCAAGATTCAAAATGAGAACCCCTAGTGGCCTGGAGGAAGTGGGGGCCAGGGCAGGAAAAACTCAGGCCTCAGCTCAGCAAAGCCGGAGGGGCCCTGCAGGGTCAGCGTTAACCCCAGGTGCTGCTCCTGCCGCCCCGCAAACCCTCCTCCAAGGCAGAGTCCTGCTGTGGCAGGGTCCTGGGGCCAAGCACCCAGCCGCGATGAGAGGCGGCCGCACCATTTAGGGAGGGAGGTGGGTGGGTGGCAGCAGGGCTGGCCGGAGCCTCCCAGATGTCACCATTGAGCTGTGCCCACCCGAACAACAAAAAGGAGCTGCCAGGCTAGGTTCTAGGGGGACAGGCACCCTGGCAGTGGGCATGACCGGTGCAGAGGTCCCTCGGTGGCACAGGGCTGTGAGGTCAAGGGGCGCTGGATGGGGATGCATGCCCTTTGACCTCTGAGCCTGGCCTGGGCTTATCTCCCAGGGAAAAGATAAGACTGGGTTTCCCCAAGCCACACCCAGGCCTATTCATTTGAAACCAGACCCCGTCTCTGGTTGCCAGGGCAGGACAGCAAGCGACCCCCACCCCCAGCCTGGTAGGGGAGGGAAGTGGCAAAAGAGGACTCCCTGGACAGGGACATTAGGAGGGGTCCAGGCCGAGCTTTCTGGAGGGAGGAGACCTTGGGGTGGGTGGGGGGACACTGGCCTCAAGACTGACCTCCGCCCAGCCTTGGGTGCCTGGTCCCCAGCTGCCAGTAGAGCCGCCTTCCATTCCTGCCCTGCACCCACCCGTTGGCAGCCTCCTGGCTGGACCCGCCAAAAAGAAATTCGAGGCTGAGCTGGGGCTAGTGGGTGGGTGGGTGGCGCCTCTCCCGTGACCGATGGGCGCCATGGTGACCAGATAGTGCTGGCCGAGAGGGTGGAGGGAGGTGGCTGGGACTGTCCACGGCTGCCCCACAGGCCTGGCTGGACCTTTGAGAGCATATCCCCCTCGTCCCCCTCTGCCTGCCAGGCAGGTTGTGGCGTTAGTCACATCTCTGGCCTCCGGCTGGACCTGAACTATTGGCCAGGCCAAGCCTCGTGCCCCACCCCTACACTAGGCCCCTAGTCCACATGGAGTCCACGTTCAAGAATAAAGAGTGGGGCCAGGCACGGTGGCTCATGCCTGTAATCCCAGCACTTTGGGAGGCCAAGACAGGCAGATCACTTGAGGTCAGGAGTTCGAGACCAGCCCGGCCAATATGGCAAAACCCTGTCTCTACAGAAAATACAAAGATTAGCTGGGTGTGATAGCAGGCGCCTGTAATCCCAGCTACTCGGGAGACTGAGGCAGGAGAATCCCTTGAACCTGGGAGGCGGAGGTTGCGGTCAGCTGAGATTGCGCCACTGCACTCCAGTCTGGGCAACGGAGCAAGACTCCAACTCAAAAAAAAAAATGAGCTGTATGTATGTAGGGGCAGATGGTGACAAGTGCCAAGCAGACATGAAGACATGAGGGGCGTGTGACTTCAGAGTCGGGGGCAGCCTGAGCAGGTGGCAGAAGAGCCATGCAGGTACCTAGGGGAACAGCATTTCAGGAGGGGGGAACAGCTAGTGCAAAGGCCCTGAGGCAGGACAGAGCTTGGCATGTTGGAAGAACAGCAGAAAAGCCCACAGGCGGAGGGAAACAGGGCGCTGTGAGGGCAGCCAGTGAGGACTTGGGCTTTCCCTGAGTGGAACAGGAGCCATAGAGGGCTGCAAGCAGACGAGGAACAGGCCAACAGCGTCGCAGCCACCTTCTCACCTCTGTGGGGTGAGGAGGAAGCCAGGATACCAGACGGAAGAGGGTAGTGGTGGTAGTGGTGGTGGTGGCGGGGAGCGGGGGGCAAGGCTGTGCAGATGCAGAGAAGTGGCCAGATGCAGGGCCACCTGGATGTGTTGTGGGGGACTCGGTGTGGGGCAAGGGGAAGGTGTGTTCACCTGTGCCCCTGAAGTTCAGGTGCAGGTGTTCGGGAGCCAGCGCGGCTGCTGCAGGACTCATCCCTGCATCCTGCACCTTGAAGGCCAGGTGTGGGGACATCCTGCGGGCTAGGATGGAGGGGGGGTGCAGCAGTGCCTGGGGAGATGGCGGTCCTAACAGAGGTGACCAGTGTCTTCCTCGATGGCCTTCAGTGGCTTTGGGCACAGGGCCTTGTCAATGAACAGTGCATTGGAAAGTCACTTATGGTGGTCCCAATGATGTCACAGTCGATCCAGATTGGGAGTCCCTCCCACGTTGGCACCCACTCCTGCAGCCTCTCTGCAACTCATGTATTAACCTGATGTTGGGGAGCCCCCCCCCCGGGTTCCCCAGGGTCACAGCAGCAAGTGACCCTCAGAGAACCCCCTAATCTCAGCAGCCCCCATCACACCTTTGTCCCAGTAGCCCGCTGTGCAGACCTGCAGAAGAAGATGCCTGGGAAGTGCCCAGGGTACCCGCGTCCAAGCTGGAACCCCATTGCCAAGCTCCTGGTGTAGGGCAGAGAGCTGCGTCTCCACTAGGTGCGCCTCCCAACGCCCTGGCGTGGGCCGTGTCCTTTTGAAGAATGAGAATGTTTCATTGAGCCTACGCCTCCTGAATGCGGGAGGGCCACGGGATGGTCCCAAGACTGTGCCAAGGCGTGCCAGGCCTCGGGTCCTTGAGAAGGAGCGAGGGCTCCAAGAACGGTGAGGTCGGAGCGGGCCGGGGCGATGGAGCGGGAGCGGCGTGGCGTGCTGGAGGGCCGGGAGAAGCGGGGGTCGCCAGTCGAGGGGACTGCCTGCTAGTGTCCCCCGTGCCCCCCGTCACGGGCACGGCGCGGTGGGGTGGGGGAGCGGGGGGCGCGCGGGGCAGGCATGGGGGCGCGACACGGCGGTGCGCGGGGTCTCTCGGGGTCCAGGTCCAACGGGCCCCCAGCTCCGGCCCCCGCGCCTGGGTTTCTCTGCTGGGAAACGGGCAGGGGCGCGGGCCCGCCTCCAGGGCGCCCCGCGTCCCCGCTGGCCGCCCCCCAGCCGCGCCCCCAGCGGGGCGGAGCTTGCGCCGGTCCCGCCCCTCCGCCCTCCGCTCTCCCGCCCGCGCGCCCCCGGCCCAGCTGCGGCGCGTGACGCGGGGCGCGCGGCTCCGTCGGCTACCGCGGGCGGGCGCAGGCGACGGGCACGGCGGGCGAGCGGGCGGTATGGCGGCGGCGGGGCCCGCGGCGGGGCCGACGGGGCCCGAGCCCATGCCGAGCTACGCGCAGCTAGTGCAGCGCGGCTGGGGCAGCGCGCTGGCGGCGGCGCGGGGCTGCACGGACTGCGGCTGGGGGCTGGCGCGTCGCGGCCTGGCTGAGCACGCGCACCTGGCGCCGCCCGAGCTGCTGCTGCTGGCGCTCGGCGCGCTGGGCTGGACCGCCCTGCGCTCCGCGGCCACTGCGCGCCTCTTTCGGGTCAGTGTGGCCGGGGGCCGGGACGAGGGGACCCCGGACTGGGGGAAGCCGGGACCGGGGACCTGGGGCCGCCGGCGCGTTCCTTTCTTCCAGCGCTGGCTGCTGCGGATGAAGGGGTCGCCGGAACGTGGGTGGGGGCCTCGGGCTGGAGAGGCCCAGGACGTTGGAGCCCCAGGATAAGGTCTCTCGGGCCGCCGCGCGCCCCCTTCAGACAGTGCTGCGTGGGGGAACCGGGTAGATGCGGGGGTGTGGCCGGGCTGGGGTGAGTCTGGGACATGGGGGGCCCGAGACAGGTGGGATGTTTGAGACGTGGGGGACCGAGGCACGGCCCTTTCCGGTCAGTTTGGGACCAGGGGGCCCCGCGCGGTGGATGGCTCCGGCCACCGCGCGCTCTTTCCGGCAGGGCCGAGCCAGACACTGAGAAGCCCAGGACCGGGAACGGGAGGGCTCGGCGCACCGCGGCCTGCGCCATGCGCCTCCCTGCCATGCGGGCTGCGCCCCGGCCCGGAGCGAGGTCCGCTGCCCGTTTTCTGCTGGGTCCGTGCGGCGGCGGGGCCGGCTTGCCCGCTGTAATCGGGAAGAGGCAGGAGCTGCCCGGTCGCTGCCTTGTGCCTATCTGGGGTCAGCGCCACCCTCCGACCAGGGATGGCAAGGGCCTGGGTGCTCTGGCCACGCCAGTGGTCGCTCCCTTGGAGGTGACATGGCCCGGGGCTTCAGGGTTGGACTGTGCTGCCTCCAAGAGGCGACAGCAGAATTCCCCAGTTTCTGCGGAGACCATCGCCCCTGCGAGAGAGTGACCATGATGGTGACATTGGCGCCTGACCCCACTCACTTCCCTGGGGAGGGGTCGCTGTGGCAGGAGCTGGTTGGAAGGTGTTTGGGCCTTTAGCTTGGCCTGGACACCCCCGTGGACCAGCTGGTGTCACCCCGCCCGTCTGGCTGGAGGGTGCAGGGACAATGTGCCCAGCGCCAACAAAGGGGCCTTTCTCTGCTGGCCGGGAAGAGGCTGGCCCTTGTGAGGTCGATGATGGGATGTTGTCTGACTGCCACTCTCCCCACTCCCGTCCCCATATCACCCACATGAGGGAGAGACCCCAGCCACACCCCTACTGTGGGAGGGGGAGACAGGGCTGTCCAGGGCCCCTCCCTGGGTCCGCAGTGGTCTTTATCCTGCTTGTTGCCCCTGCCTTCTTCCCAGTTTCCAGCTGGGAAGCCCGAGACCCAGGAGGGCAAGCCGTCCCCCACCCCTGCGGGACAGGAGGATGTGGCGGCTGGTAGACTACCAGGGCCGAGCCCCGGGGGCCCTCCCCAGCCCCTTGGGTGGGGTGCTCGCCCCATTTCGAGGCTCGCCCTTCCTCAGAAATGGGTGGAGGGGCTGCCGGGTGTTCCAAAGCTGATCTTCTTGGCAGCAGCCTGGTTGCCAGGGGTTACCGGAGCCGGCTCCAGCTGTCTCCATGACAACTGCTGGGTGCTCTGGGCTCCGGCCCCCTCAGCCTCTGGGAAGGGGGTGGGACTTGTCCAGGGGTGGGGCTTGGCCGGGCAGCTCTGGAGCCGCGCCCCGCCACCCACCCACCCACCGCACTCCCCAACCCCTGCCTTGGAGCCAGCAGCTTCCTCTGCACTCCCAATGTCCCCTCAGGGTCTCACCTCGCCTGTGACACCTTTTCCGCCTCCTGTCCCCTTTTTCTGCCTCCAGCCCCTCCTCCCCTTTCATCGCCCCCAGGTTCCCATGTCCCCGCCACACCTTCCCCCTAGTCTCTCCCAGCCCTCTAGCCTCTCCAGAATCTCCCACTGAGGGGGCGGCTTCCTCACAAGTTCTTCCTCTCCCCTCTGTGTCGGTCCCATGGGGCTCTCTGTGTTTCCCAAGATGCCCCCATATAACCCCCTCCATGTTCCCTTCAAGGGTCACCCCCACCAGCCCAACTCCCTTGGGCTGACGCATCCATCCGTCTCCCTCATCGTAAGCCCAAGTGTCCCCCTTCTGGCCCCCAGAGCCCTCCTGCTCCCCTCGGGGCCTCCCCCCTCACTCCCCTCCCAGCACCGCGGCGGCCGGACAGCTGGGCACTAAGTTTAGCCTTGGCAGGCGCCTGTGGGCTCTGTTTATGCTCCAGGTGGCTGTGGGCATGGGGGACAGGCCTTCCCAGTGCTGCCCGGCCTGGGGAGTCCCTGGGCCTCAGTTTCCCCACCCCAAAGGAGCAGTCTCTGGCCCCCAGCACCAATGGCTGCCCGCCTGTCTTCTCCCCCATAGCCCCTGGCGAAGCGGTGCTGCCTCCAGCCCAGAGATGCCGCCAAGATGCCCGAGAGCGCTTGGAAGTTTCTCTTCTACCTGGGCAGCTGGAGCTACAGTGCCTACCTGCTGTTTGGCACCGACTACCCCTTCTTCCATGACCCACCATCTGTCTTCTACGGTAGGGGCCCTGAGGGGATGGCCGGGAGGGCTCTGCTTAAAACACAAAGACGCCAGGCTTGTGGTCCCAGCTACTCATGAGGCAGAAGCAGGAGGATCACTGGAGCCCAGGAGTTGGAGGCCAAGGGGAGCTATGAGCACGCCACTGCACTCCAGCCTGGACGACAGAGTGAGACCCTGTCTTGTATCAAAAAAGAAAAAGAGGGCCAGGCGCAGTGGCTCACGCCTGTAATCCCAGCACTTTGGGAGGCCAAGGTGAGTGGATCACGAGGTTAGGAGATCGAGACCATCCTGGCTAACATGGTGAAACCCCGTCTCTACTAAAAATACAAAAAATTAGCCGGGTGTGGTGGGCGCCTGTAATCCCAGCTACTCGGGAGGCTGAGGCAGGAGAATCGCTTGAACCTGGGAGGCAGAGGTTGCAGTGAGCCGAGTTCGCGCCACTGCACTCCAGCCTGGGCAACAGAGCGAGACTCTGTATTAAAAAAGAAAAGAAAAAAAGAACAGTGTAAGGGGATGCTTATCAGAATCAGAGCTCCTATGGGTGTCTCAGAAGTTAAGCCAGCCCCAAGACAAAGGTGATCCCTGGGGACAGGAAAGGGGGTATCTGGCCGTGTTGGAGCTCAGGGAAGACATCCTGGAAGGACCCCTGTGTGGGTCCAGGCAGGCATTCCAGGTGTCGGTAACAGCACGTGCAAAGGCCCGGAGGCACTCACGTTTCATGGGGACAGGAGGAGGGTGGCTGCAGAGAGCTGAGGCAGCAGCTTGAGTTCTGTTCTGGATGTGGTTGTTTTTCTTTTTTTGAGATGGAGTCTCGCTCTGTCGCCCAGGCTAGAGTGCAGTGGCGCGATCTCGGCTCACTGTGAGCTCCGCCTCCTGGGTTCACGCCATTCTCCTGCCTCAGCCTCCTGAGTAGCTGGGACCACAGGCGCCCGCCACCACGCCCGGCTAATTTTTTGTATTTTTAGTAGAGACGGGGTTTCACCGTGTTAGCCAGGATGGTCTCAATCTCCTGATCTCATGATCTGCCCGCCTCAGCCTCCCAAAGTGCTGGGATTACAGGTGTGAGCCACTGCACCTAGCCTGAATGTGATGTTTTTAAGCACAGCATGGAGAGGATTGGGTTTTGTGGATGACAAAATGCTTCCTCTGGCTGCCCTATGGAGGTGGGAGGGTCCCCTCGGCTTGCACCATCTTGGTGAGGAGATAAACATGATGAAGCCTGGTGCGATGGCTCACGCCTGTTATCCCAGCACTTTGGGAGGCTGAGGCAGGTGGATCACTTGAGGTCAGGAGTTCAAGACTAGCACGGCCAACATGGTGAAACCCTGTCTGTACTAAAAATACAAAAATAAATTAGCCAGGCATGGTGGCGCGTGCCTGTAATCTCAGCTACTTGGGAGGCTGAGTCAGGAGAATCACTTGAACCCGGGAGGCGGAGGTTGCAGTGAGCCGAGATGGTGCCACTGCACTCCAGCCTGGGTGACAGAGCAAGACTTCATTTCCAAAAAAAAAAAAAAAGATGAGAATGAGAAGTGGGCTGGGCGTGGTGGCTCACTGGCTCACACCTGTAATCCTAACACTTTGGGAGGCGGAGGTGGGAGGATTACTTGAGCACAGGAGTTCAAGAGCAGCTGGGGCAACATGGTAAGACCTCCATCTCTACAAAAAATTAGCCTGGTATGGTGGGGCACGTCTGTAGTACCAGCTACTTGGGAGGCTGAGGTGGGAGAATTGCTTGAACCCGGTAGGTGGAGGTTGCAGTGAGCTGAGGTCATGCCACTGCACTCCAGCCTGGGCAACAGAGCGAGACCCTGCCTGGGGGTTGGGGGTGTGGAGGGGAAGATGATAAGAAGTGGCTGTGTCCAATTGATTGGAGTGGATGTGGCCTGAGCTCCGGGTGGGCTGGGCAGGGAGGTGACTGCAGCGCGCTCTGTGTGACCTGTCCTGGCAGAGAATGCAGGGCAGGGCCGGCATCGCCACTGGGCAGGCTGATGTAGGAAACCCCATCTGCGATGGGGCAGTGGGGGCTGCGGCTTCTCTGCCCTGCGAGGACCACCAGGGCTGTGGGCCAGGGACACACATGATAGCTGTTTCCTGCCATGTGATGGGAACAGCCTAGAGGGCTCCTGGTGGCACGGAGCCCAGAGTGTACAGTGGATGTGCCACCCATGGGGCCAGTTTTCCCATGTAACACACCTTGATCCCCTAGAGGGGAGGTGTTAGCTGTTGCTCAGTTTTCCTTCTAGACGGATGACCCATGATCGAACTCTCATAACTTTTTTTTTTTTTTTTGAGACAGTCTCACTCTGTCACCCAGTCTGGAGTGCAATGGCACGATCTCGGCTCACTGCAATCTCCACCTCCCAGGTTCAAGCGATTCTCCTGCCTCAGCCTCCTAAGTAGCTGGAATTATAGGCACGCGCCACCACCCTCGGCTAATTTTTGTATTTTTAGTAGAGACGAGGTTTCACCATGTTGGCCAGGCTGGTCTCAAACTCCTGACCTCAGGTGATCCGCCCGCCTCAGCCTCCCAAAGTGTCAGGATTACAGGCATGAGCCACCACGCCCAGCCTCTCTTAACATTTTGGGCATGGACTTGCCTTTAGCTGCTTTTTTTTTTTTTTTTTTTTCCCCAGACGCGGTCTTACTCTGTTGCTCAGGCTGGAGTACAGTGGCACGATCACAGCTCACTGCAGCCTGGACCTCCTGGGCTCAAGCAATCATCCCACCTCAGCCTTCTGAGTAGCTGGGACCACAGGTGTGTGCCACCACCCCCAGCGAATTTTTTTGTGTTTTTTGGTAGAGATGGGGTCTCACTATGTTGGCCAGGCTGGTCTTGAACTCCTGGCCTCAAGCAGTCCTCCCACCTCAGCCTCCCAAAGTGGTGGGATTACAGGCATGAGCCACCTCGTCCAGCCTTAGTTGCTTTTTGTAAATGACACTCACAAGTTAGCTGATTATTTCCATGTCTATTTATTGAGCGACTACTGTATGCCACAGCTGAGACACAGCTAGTAACGGGTCAGAGAAAGCCCTGTGCCCTCATGAAGCTGGCCGTGTGGCAGGGGCAACAGACGGTGCAGTACGCAGTCTATCAACAGCAATAAGTGTGGATGAGAAAACTTGTGTGGAGAGAAGAGGCAGTGTGCTGTGTTGGGGAGGTGGGGAGGGGCAGTTTTTAGCAGGGACAGGGGTGGCCCCACTTAAGGGGACTGAGTGAGGGCCTGGAGGTGCCTGGAGCAGGCAGGAGAGGCAGGGACTGCTGTCCAGGCAAGTGGGGGCCATGCCATCCAGGCCTCGGAGGCCACGGTCAGGATTTGTTACTTATCTGTGGGCTGGGAGCAGAGGAGGGATGTCACCCTGGGTTGGGCATCTACCCCAGGGGTCCAGGAGGGGGCTGACAGCAGGAGCTGGAGCCTGAAGGGACTCCCACCAGGATTGAGCTGAGGGGAGGGGATGGGAGCAAAGTGGCCAATTTTAGAAATGTTTAGAAGGCAGAGCTGATAGTATTTGCTGCCACCCTAGAGGTGGTGTGAAAGGAAGAGGGTGAGGATGATGCTAGGGTCTTGTGAGATGGGGGCTGGTCAGGGAGACCAAGATTCTGGATTCAGGGATGGAGACAAGGCAGGGGTGGCATTGAGTGTCCCAACAGCAGGTGGGATATGAGTATGAAGAGGTGGGACAGGCCAGGTGCGGTGACTCACTCCTGGAATCCCAGTACTTTGGGAGGCCAAGGTGGGAGGATCACTTGAGCCCAGGAGTTCGAGACCAACCTTGGGAATATAGTGAGACGCCATCTCTACAAAAAATAAAAAAATAAAATTAGCTGGATATGGTGGCGCGTGCCTGTGGTCCCAGCTCCTGGGGAGGCTGGGGCAGGAGGCTGAGGCTGAGGCTTGAGCCCGGGAGGTCGAGGCTGCAGTGAGCCAAGATTGCACCACTACATTCCAGCCAGGTTGACAGAGTGAGGCCCTTTCTCAAAAAACGAGGGAGAGGAGATTTGAGACCTCTGAACTAAGCCAGGACTTCCCCCCTATCCTGTGGGGAAGGAGCTACAGGACGGTTGGGGGGCCTCTGTTGGAAAGGTGGGCAACAGATCCAGCAGGGTGGCCCTGGGCAAAAGCTCGGGCTCACATGTTTCTGGAGAGTCAGGATGGAGAGGATCAGGGCATTTCAGAGTTTCAGACAATTTTCATTGAAATTCTGGAAGAGGGCTGAAGTGGGCCGGGTGCAGTGGCTCACACCTGTAATCCTAGCATTTTGGGAGGCTGAGGTGGGCGGATCACTTGAGGCCGGGAGTTCCAGACCAGCCTGGCCAACATGGTGAAACCCTGTCTCTACTAAAAATACAAAAATTAGCCAGGCGTGGGGATGCATGCCTGTAATCCCAGTTACTCGGCAGGCTGAGGCAAGAGAATCGCTTGAACCTGGGAGGTAGAGGTTGCAGTGAGTCGAGATCATGCTACTGCACTCCAGCCTAGGCGACAGAGCAAGACTCTGTCTCAAAAAAAAAAAAAAAAAAAAGAAAGAAAGAAATTCTGGAATAGGGGAGGGTTTTTTGTTTGTTTGTTGTTTGTTTTTTTGAGACAGAGTTTCGCTCTTGTTGCCCAGGCTGGAGTACAATGCCACGATCTTGGCTCACCACAGCCTCTGCCTCCTGGGTTCAAGCAATTCTCCTGCCTCAGCCTCCGGAGTAGCTGGGATCACAGGCATGTACTACCACACCCGGCTAATTTTGTATTTTTAGTAGAGACAGGGTTTCACCATGTTGGTCAGGCTGGTCTTGAACTCCCGACTTCAGGTGATCTGCCTCCCTTGGCCTCCCAAAGTGCTGGGATTACAGGCATGAGCCACCGCACCTAGCCTGTTTTTTTTTTTTTTTTTTTTTTTTTTTAAGAGACAGGGTCTCACTCTGTCGCCCAGGCTGGAGTGTGGTGGTGTGATCTCAGCTCACTGGAACCTTTGCCTCCTGGGTTCAAGGGATTCTCCTGCCTCAGCCTCATGAGTGGCTGGGATTACAGGCACGAGCCACCACACCCAGCTAATTTTTTTTTTGAGATGGAGTCTCGCTCTGTCACCCAGGCTGGAGTGCGGTGGCACCATCTCAGCTCACTGCAACCTCTGCCTCCCAGGTTCAAGCGATTCTCCTGCCTCAGCCTCCCGAATAGCTGGGACTACAGGTGTGTATCACCATGTCTGGCTAATTTTAGTATTTTAGTAGAGCTGGGGTTTCACCATGTTGGCCAGGCTGGTCTTGAACTTCTGACCTCAAGTGATCCACCCACCTTGGCCTCCCAAAGTGGTGGGATTACAGGCGTGAGCCACCTCAGTTGGCCTCCATTTCTTATTGAGGTAAAATGTATGTAGCTTGAAATTAGGCATTTTAGCCAATCACAAAAAGACAAATACTATGTGATTCCACTTATATGAGGTTCCTACAGTCATCCCACTCATAGAGACAGAAAGTGGGATGGGGGGTGCCAGGGCTGGGGGAGGGGAATGGGGAGAGACTGTTTAATGGGGACAGAGGACTGTTCCATTGGGGAAGAAGGAGAATGTTCTGGAGATGGCTGCTGGTGATGGTTGCACAATAATGTGTACTTAACAAATGGCTTAGATGGTAAGTTTTTGCCATATAAATCTTAACACAATTTTTTTTTTTTTTTTTTGAGATGGAGTTTCACTCTTGCTGCCCAGGCTGGAGTGCAGTGGTGTGATCTCGGCTCACCACAACCTCCGCCTCCCGGGTTTAAGTGATGCTCCTGCCTCAGCCTTCGAGTAGGTGGGATTACAGGCATGCGCCACCATGCCCAGCTAATTTTTGTATTTTTAGTACAGACAGGGTTTCGCCATGTTGGCCAGGCTGGTCTCCAACTCCTGACCTCAGGTGATCCACCTGCCTCCACCTCCTGGCCAAAAATTAACCATTTTAAAGCGAACAGTTCATCAGCTTTTAGTCCATTCACAGTGTTGTTCAACCACCCCCTCTGTCTAGGTCTGGAACATTATCATCCCCCACAAAAGGAAACCCCGTCCCATTAGCAGTCACTCACCAGTCCTCTCCCCCAGCCCCTGGCAGCCACCAATCTACTTCCTATCTCTGTAGATTTGCCTGTTCTGGGCATTTCAGATCACTGGAGTCTCACACTGTGTGACCTTTTGTGTTTGGCTTCTCTTACTCAGCATCATGTTTTTGGGGTTCACCCACATTGTAGCATGGATCCGTGCTTCATTCTTTTTCATGGCTGCATAGTATTCCACTGTGTGGAGGTAACCTATCTATTCTTCATCCATCCACTGATGCACATTCGGGTTGTGTCTGCCTTTTGGTTGTGTGCTGCTGTAGACAGGGACACATGAGTATCTCTTTGAGTCCCCGTTTTCCATTGTCAGGCACACACCCTAGTGGACTTGCTGGGTCATGGTGACCGTTTGTGTGTACATGGCCTTCAGGGCTGAGTGAGGAGAGTGGACAAACAGTCATGGGGGCCAGGGATCGCTGGAGAGATGTGGGCAGGAGACAACAGTGCCTGGACTGGGGTGGGGGTGGCATGGGCCAAAGAGGGGACCCTGGATGGGGGTCCTAGTGTAACTCGGCTGCAGAAGGGGCCAGGCCGAGATGAAAGTTGTCGCAGAGGCGGTTCATGGGGCATCTGGAGGCAGCTGGGCTGCAGGGCAGGTCACCAAGGCAGGGGCCAGGAAGCCGCAGATGGAGGCTGGAGGGTCTGTCTTGGGGGTCTGCAGAAAGGGAGTGGCCAGAGAACAGGGAGCAACCCAGAGAGTTCCAGGTTGGTGTGGGCAGAGCACAGCATGGCTTCCCGCCTTTTTTTGTTGTTTGTTTGTTTGTTTGTTTTGTTTTGAGACAGGGTCTGGCTGTGTCTCCCAGGCTGGAGTGCAGTGGCAACATCTTAGTTCCTGCCACCACCTCTGCCTCCCTTCAGGACTCAAGTGATCCTCCCACCTCAGCCTCCCGAGTAGCTGGGACCACAGGCGCCCACCACCACACCCGGCTAATTTTTTGTATTTTTAGTAGAGACGGGGTTTCACTGTGTTAACCAGGATGGTCTTGATCTCCTGACCTTGTGATCCGCCCGCCTCGGCCTCCCAAAGTGCTGGGATTACAGGCGTGAGCCACTGCGCCCGGCCCCAGCTAATTTTTATATATTTTTTTGCAGAGACAGCGTCTCACCATGTTGTCCAGGCTGGTCTCGAACTCCTGGACTCAAGCAACTCTCCTGCCTCGGCCTCTCAAAATGCTGGGATTACAGGCATGAGCCACCGTGCCCGTCCAGAGCATAGCCCTTGAATTTGGTGTCTGGCAGCCTCTGGGGATGTGGCTGAGGAGAGGAGGAGGTGGACGTGGTGGGGTGGGCTGGTGTGTCACCCATCACCTGAGCGTGGTGGTCAGGTGCACCAGGAGGCAGGAGGAGGGGAAGGTGAGGCAGGACCCGCTTGGCGGGAGACCCTGCGCTTGGTGGCATGGTGTGCCCGGGCATGGCAAGACTCCGTGGGCAGCCGCATCTGTCAGGGCCAGGGATTTGCAGGGAGTGGGCCCAGGACACCCGCAAGGCAGGGCTCTGTTAAAGACAGGAAGAGGCCGGGCGCAGCGGCTCACGCCCGTAATCCCAGCACTTTGGGAGGCCGAGGCGGGCGGATCACAAGGTCAGGAGTTCAAGACCAGCCTGGCCAACATGATGACACCCTGTCTCTACTGAAAAAAAAAAAAATTAGCCAGGCATGGTGGTGGGTGCCTGTAATCCCAGCTACTTGGCATGCTGAGGCAGGAGAATCACTTGAACCCCGGATATGGAGGTTGCAGTGAGCCGAGATCCCGCCACTGCACTCCAGCCTGGGCTACAGAGCAAGACTCCATCTCAAAAAAAAAAAAAAAAAAAAAAAAAACGAGAAGGGGCGCTGGGCTGGGTGAGGTGGCTCATCCCTGTAACCCCAGCACTTTGGGAGGCCAAGGCAGGAGGATTGCTTGAGCCCAGGAGTTCGAGATCACCCTGGGCAACATGGCAACACAAAAATTAAAAAAGAAATAAATTATCTAGGCATGGTTATGGGTGCCTGTGGTCCCAGCTACTCAGGAGGCTGAGGTGGGAGGATCACTTGAGCCCAGGAGGTCGAGGCTGCAGTGAACTATGATCACACCACTGCACTCCAGCATGGGCCACAGAACAAGCCAACTCTAAAACTATATATAAAACATTTTAAATGTATATAATGATAATAATGTGTCTATATTAGTTCAGCATTTGTAGCAAATATACCACTTAAAGCCAGGGAAATGGAAATCTGTGGGTATGTTGGGGCAGAAGAAAGAAAGGAACTTTCTGTCCTATCTGCTCAATTTTCCTAGAAACCCAAAACTCTTCCTAAAATAAAAATCCCTGCTGGCCGGGCACGGTGGCTCACGCCTGTAATCCCAGCACTTTGGGAGGCCGAGGCAGGTGGATCACCTGAGATCAGGAGTTCAAGTCCAGTCTGTCCAACATGGCAAAAGCCCATCTCTACTAAAAATACAAAAAAATTAGCCGGGCATGGTGTCCAGCGCCTGTAATCCCAGCTACTCTGGAGGCTGAGGCAGGAGAATTGCTTGAACCTGGGAGGTGGAGGTTGCAGTGAGCTGAGATCGTGCCGCTGCACTCCAGTCTGGTGACAGAACGAGACTCTGTCTCAAAAAAAAAAAAAAAAAAAAAAAGACGGCTGGGCGGGGTGGCTCACGCCTGTAATCCCAGAACTTTGGGAGGCCGAGGCAGGTGAATCATGAGGTCAGGAGATCGAGACCATCCTGGGTAACACAGTGAAACCCCGTCTCTACTAAAAATACAAAAAATTAGCCGGGCTTGGTGGCATGCACCTGTAGTCCTAGCTACTCAGGAGGCTGAAGCAGGAGAATCGTTTGAACCCAGGATGTGGAGCTGAGATCATGCCACTGCACTCCAGCCTGGGCGACAGAGGGAGACTCCGTCTCAAAGAAAAAAAAAAAAAAATAGAATTGGGAATGGAAAGCCAGCAGTCAGACACGCATGGTTACCTGGGTACTGGGAGGACACGTGTGGCTTGGAGGGTGTCACCGGGTCATGGAGGCGATCGTCTAGAGGCTTCGCAGGGCCCTGACTGTGAGATTTGGCTCTCCCCAGACTGGACGCCGGGCATGGCAGTGCCACGGGACATTGCAGCCGCCTACCTGCTCCAGGGAAGCTTCTATGGCCACTCCATCTACGCTACGCTATACATGGACACCTGGCGCAAGGACTCGGTGGTCATGCTGCTCCACCACGTGGTCACTCTCATCCTCATCGTCTCCTCCTACGCCTTCCGGTAAGGACAGGATCGGGTGGCAGGGGGCCGAGGCACAGCCCACACAGAGTGCGGAGGCTGATGTTGCGGCGGGGCACAGAGGAGGCCGTGGAGGGGATCACATCAGGTCGGAGTGCTCAGGGTTCCAAGGTCAGAGTGCTCAGGGGTCCGACGAGGGGACAGACCAGAGGCAGGAAGGCTGAGGAGGGGATGTGGGCCCGGAGATTCCTGAGGGAGATTCCGCTGGGATGGGGTGAAACAGGCCCAGAGAGCCATAGCCACCCCACCCCACTCACCCACCCAGCTCTTCAGACGCTGCCCTTGACCAGCCAGGTCACACACCCAGGAGTTCCTGAGCACCTGCCACGCCCAAGCAATGGGGGCATGGCTGTGAACGCAGCTGACACACCCTGATGTTCTAGAGCCAACCACAGCCGTCAGTGAGCCTTTCAGATGGAGTCTGTCCAAACCTCACCATGCTGTGTGCATAAAACCCACCCGGCTTCAAAGCCTTCACATACAAACGAGTGAAAATATCTTATCCACCCTTTTATTTCTCTCTCTCTTTTTTTTTTGAGACAAGGTCTCACTCTGTCACCCAGGCTGGAGTGCAGTGGCGTGACCATTGCTCACTGCAGCCTGGACCTCCTGGGCTCAAGTGATCCTCCCACCTCAGCTCCCCGAAGTGTGGGGATTACAGGTGTGCGCCACCACGCCTGGCCTTGTTATCTCGACTCCATATTGAAATGACAATATTTTGGATATACTGAATTAATTAGAATGCATTATTAAAATTAATATTACCTGTTCTTTTCTCTTTCTTGTTAAATGTGGCCAATAGAAACTTTAAAATGAAATACACTGCTCATATACTATTCCTACGGGACTAGCTGCTCTAGCTGCGATAATAGGGTAGCCACGCCCCACAAATATAGAGCAACAAAGAGGTGGCCCTTTCAACTTTAATTAGACTTAAATAAAACTCCAGGAGCAGTAGCTCATGCCTGTAGTCCCCCAGCTACTTAGAAGGCTGAGTCAGGAGGATTGCTTGAACCCAGAAGTTTGAGTTCAACCTAGGCAACGTAGGGAGACCCTGTCTCTAATAAATAAATTTTTAGGCTGAGTGCGGTGGCTCACGCCTGTAATCCCACCACTTTGCGAGGCCGAGGCGAGCGGATCATGAGGTCAGGAGATCGAGACCATCCTGGCTAACACAGTGAAACCGTGTCTCTACTAAAAATACAAAAATTAGCTGGGCGTGGTGGTGGGCGCCTGTAGTCCCAGCTACTCAGGAGGCTGAGACAGGAGAATGGCATGAACCCGGGAGGCGGAGGTTGCAGTGAGCCGAGATCATGCCACTGCACTCCAGCCTGGGCGACAGAGCGAGACTCCGTCTCAAAAATAAACAAACACGTACATAAATACATTTTTAAAATTACTTTATCTTATTTATTTACTTACTTATTTTTTTGAGACAGAGTCTCGCTCTGTCGCCCAGGCTGGAGTGCAGTGCCATGACATTGGCTTACTGCAACCTCCGGCTCCCAGGTTCAAGCAATCCTCCCGCCTCGCCTCAGCCTCCCAAGTAGCTGGGATTACAGGGGTATGACATCACACCGGCTAATTATTATATTTTTAGTAGAGATGGGGTTTCACCATGTTGGCCAGGCTGGACTCGAACTCCTGACCTCAAGTGATCCACCTGCCTCGGCCTCCCAAAGTGCTGGGATTACAGGTGTGAGCCACCACGTCTGGTTAGTTTAAAAAATAATTTTAAAAAGCCCCTATTCCATTCCTCAGCCACACAAGCCACAGTTCAAGGGCTCAGTGGCCACAAGTGGCTGGTGGCTCCCATGTTGGACAGTACAGGTTTAGAACATTCCCATAGTTCTAGAAAGTTCTATAATTCAAGGCTCTCTAGAGGGCAGAATCAGATGATAGAACCAAAAAGGAAGGAAGGAACAGTTCATTTGAAGGTGATAAGAATTATGGAGAAAAGGCCAGGTGCAGTGGCTCATGCCTGTAATCCCAGCACTTTGGGAGGCCGAGGTGGGTGGATCACCTGAGGTCAGGAGTTTGAGAACAGCCTGGCCAACATGGTGAAACCCTGTGTCTGCTAAAAATAAAAAAATTAGCTGGGCATGGTGATGAGTGCCTGTAGTCCAAGCTACTCAAGAGGCTGAGGTGGGAGAATCGCTTGAACCCGGGAGGCAGAGGTGGCTGTGAGCCGAGGCATTCCAGCCTGGGCAACAGAGTGAGGCTGTGTCTCCAAAAAAAAATTGTGGCTGCAGGTGTTAGGTGTTAGTTGGTCTGGGGGTGACAGATGAGCAGATGAGCAGAGACTGAAAGGAGTGAAGGGAGGTGCTGAATGCCAGGCACTGGCATGCTGGGTCATGGGGACAGCACGTGCAAAGGACCTGTGGCAGGAGCCCAGGAGCTGTCAGGAGACAGAGCAAGGAACAGGGACTTGGTGAGAGACACTTCCCCACGTCCAGGGTGAATCCAGGACCCTCGGGCAGCTCATCTGTCAGATGGAGACTCTGTGGAAGGACAGGGGATGGCCTTCGGGCTTATTAAGATCCTAATGGGGCCGGGCACGGTGGCTCACACCTGTAATCCCAGCACTTCGGGAGGCCAAGGCGGGTGGGTCACATGAGGTTGGGAATTCGAGATCAGCGGGACCAACATGGTGAAACCCCGTCTCTACTAAAAATACAAAATTAACTGGGCGTGGTGGCACATACCTGTAATGCCAGCTACTTGGGAAGGCTGAGGCAGGAGAATTGCTTGAACCCGGGAGGTGGAGGTTGCGGTGAGCTGAGATCGTGCCATTGCGCTCCAGCCTGGGCAACAAGAGCAAGACTCTGTCTCAAAAAAAAAAAAAAATTAAAAAAAAAAAGGATCCTGATGGGCTGCGGCAGAGGCCTTTCCTGCAGCGATGGCCAGGCTGCACGTACAGACCTGGAAGTCTCATCATGGTGGTGGTGTCCAAAGTGAGGGACAAGCTCATGGAGGATCTGGACACAGAGTACCCCAGGCCTGTGAGAGTCGGGGGTCATAGAGGGTCAGAGGTCACCAAGATGAGGAGGGGCCAGCAAGGAACTTCCAAGACCGGGCACAGTGGCTCGCGCCTGTAATCCCAGCACTTTGGGAGGCCAAGGTGAGAAGATCGCTTGAGCCCAGGAGTTTGAGGCCATTCTGGGCAACATAGCAAGACCCAGTCTCTACTAAAAATTAAAAAAATTAGCCGTGTGTGGTGTTGCTTTCCTGTAGTCCCAGCTTCTCCGGGGGCTGAGGTGGGAGGATCACTTGAGCCTAGGAGTTTGAGGCTGCAGTGGGCCCGATCACACCACTGCACCCCAGCCTGGGCCACAGAGCAAGACCCTGTCTCAAAAGAAAAATAAACTTCCAGGGAGCTCCCTGGGCCACATGGGGACACTGAGGCAGGGAAGATGAGGGTCTGGTTGGGGGTGCACGGCTAAGTGGGGGACAGTGAGGAAAGGGCATCCTGGGAAGTGGAGATGGGCAGGGCAGGCGAGGCAGGAAGGGTGGCTTTGAAGAGGCCCACGGGGAGCCTGAGGTGTAGCCCAGGGACTCTGCTGGGGGCCTTAGTGCAGAGTGGAGGTCCCCCAATGTGAGCTGCCCTCTCCTCTCTGCCTGCTGCTCCCCCAGGTACCACAATGTGGGCATCCTTGTGCTCTTCCTGCACGATATCAGTGACGTGCAGCTTGAGTTCACCAAGCTCAACATTTACTTCAAGTCCCGCGGCGGCTCCTACCATCGGCTGCATGCCTTGGCAGCAGACTTGGGCTGCCTCAGCTTCGGCTTCAGCTGGTGAGTGGTAGGGAGTGCTGGGCAGGGAGGGAGGTGTGGCCTGGTGAGGTGGGTGTGTCCAGAAAAGGGGCGGGACCAGGCAGGGAAGGAGGCGGGGCCCGGTGAGGTGGGTGTGTGGCATGACAGGGGAGGGGCCTCATGATTTGGGTGGGACTGAAGGGGCGGGGCTATACAGGAAAGGAGTAGGACAAGGGTGGGGCCAACTGAGCTAGGAGTGGGGCTGGGCAGAAAAGGATAAGCCAGGTGAGGTGGGTGGATCCAGGAAGGGGAGGGGCCTGGTGAGATAGGTTGGGCCAGGCATGGAAGGGGAAGAGCTAGACTAATACAGAGCAAGCCAGGGGTGGGGCCAAGCAGGGTTGGGGTAGGGCTAGGCAGAGAAAGAGGTAGGGCTTTGGTGTGGTGGGGAAGACCTGGCAGAGAAAGGGAGGCGCTGTGCAGGGAAGGAGGTGGGGGCTTGGTGAGGTGGGCGGGGCCTGGCAGAGAAGGGGAGGGACTGGGCAGGGAAGGAGGTGGGGCCTTGGTGAGGTGGGTGGGGCCTGGCAGGAAAGGGGAGGGACTGGGCAGGGAAGGAGGTGGGGTTTGGTGAGGTAGGTGGGGCCTAGCAGAGAAGGGGAGGGACTGGGAAGGGGAGGAGGTGGGGCCTTGGCGAGGTGGGTGAGGCCTG
This sequence comes from Homo sapiens, assembly GCF_000001405.40. Lineage (NCBI taxonomy): Eukaryota > Metazoa > Chordata > Mammalia > Primates > Hominidae > Homo > Homo sapiens. Next base: position 18,879,609 of record NC_000019.10, on the reverse strand, counting down.
GCAGGGAAGTGGGGGGCCAGGCGGGGAAGGATGTGGGGCCTTGGCGAGGTGGGCGGGGCATGGCAGGGGAGGGGAAGGACAGAGCAGTAGTAGAAACAGGTGGGCAGAGGTGGGCAAGGATGGGATAAGGGGGCAAGGGTGGGTCTAGGACGGGATAGGACAGGGACTGGGTAGGGCACCGTCCCCCTCCACCCACGGCCTCCTGACTCCTCCCACCGCAGGTTCTGGTTCCGCCTCTACTGGTTCCCGCTCAAGGTCCTGTATGCCACCAGTCACTGCAGTCTGCGCACGGTGCCTGACATCCCCTTCTACTTCTTCTTCAATGCGCTCCTGCTGCTGCTCACCCTTATGAACCTCTACTGGTTCCTGGTGAGTCGGCCCCGGCTCTCCTCCACAGTGGCGGTCCCGTCCTCGTCCCAATCCCTGTCCCCTCCTCAGGCAGTCCCGGGGAGGGGCACGTTAGGTGGCAGACAGCCCGTGTGGAGGGCCCGGGACAGGAGCACATGGCTGTCAGCAGGGCAGTGGCGTGGGGGCTTTCTTCTCACTGGCACCTCCCCTCCCCTCTCGCAGTACATCGTGGCGTTTGCAGCCAAGGTGTTGACAGGCCAGGTGCACGAGCTGAAGGACCTGCGGGAGTATGACACAGCCGAGGCCCAGAGCCTGAAGCCCAGCAAAGCCGAGTGAGTGTGGAGGGGCCCGCACCCCGCGTTCCCTCCTTTAGTGTCACCCGTCCAAGCGTGTTCGTGGGCAGGCCCCCAAGACCCAGCAGCAGATGAGGCCGACGCGGATGCTGCCCCCCAAGCCTACTCCAAAACAGAGACTGCAATAAAGGCGTGGACGATGTGGCCAGTACCCTGAAGGACAGGACAGTGAGGAAGGGGAGGGAGAGGCTGGGGAGGGGCAGGCAGGGCGACAGGCAGGGTCTCAGCGGTAGGGACACTGAGGGCCAGGCCTAGTGGCTGGTGTGGCGGGAGTGGCGAGCCAGGGCCCTGTGGGTGGTGAGGAGTAGTTGCTGGCCAGCCTGGATGACGACCTCTGACCCATGTCGCCACTGGAGCTGGTGGCAGTGGGGCTGGGGAGGAAGGAACGCCAAGGGCCACAGAGAGAACCCAGGCTCCATCTGGGCCGAGACATCCTGGCCTCTGAGTTTGACAGGGGAGCCCACTGCCCGGCCAAACAGGAGCTGGGGCTGGGAGCTCAGACTCAGTCCAGCCCAGGTGGGAGTCCTGGGGAAGGAGATAGCCCACGAGCCTCACCAGCCCTGGGTGACAGCCAGATGGTGTCCGAAGCCCCAGGCCTGGGGCAGGCAGGGGGTGTCTGGGCCAGGGATGAACGGAGGCCAAACTGGGTAACAAGCAGAGTCGGGTGTGCAGTGTCTCATAGGCAACGTGAGGAGTGTTTGAGCAGGAGCCGGGGCAGGAGGTTGTGGAAGGCCCTGGAAGGTGCCGACCAGCCAGGCCCTCTGATTTGGCCGGTGGGGGCCATCGGTGACGTGGGAACGATGGTTTCAGGGAAGCAGTGGCTCAGAGCTCCGTGACGTTTTTTGGAACGGGAGGTGCGAGATGCAGACATTTAACACATCCGGGGCTGTAGCCAGGCAGAGGAGCGTCAGACCCCCCACCCTGTTTGGAAGGGAGAACCCATCAGATTCGCCTTGGGTGTAGATGAAACAGAAATAAAAGAATCAAAGACGACTCAAGACTTTTGGCTCGAGCTGGTATTGACTGAGATGGGATTGGGGCAGAGGGTCACATGGGTTCTGGCAGATGCGGCGTTAGGAGCCTCCTTTTGAGGGTGTTAGATTGCGCTGTCCTTTGAGCATGAGTCAAGAATTCTTTTTTTTTTTTTTTTTTGAGACAGGGTCTCACTCTGTCGTCCAGGCTGGAGTGTGCAGTGGCACGATCTCGGCTCGCTGCAACCGCCGCCTCCCAGGCCCAGGAAGTGATCCTCCTGCCTCAGCCTCCCAAGTAGCTGGGCCCACAGGCATGCACCACCATGCTGTGCTAACTTTTGTATTTTTTGTAGAGCTGGGGTTTCCTCATGTTGCTCAGGCTGGTCTCAAACACCTGGGCTCAAGTGGTCCACATGCCTTAGCCTCCCAAAGCTGCTGGGATTACAGGCATGAGCCACTGCAGCCGGCCTGAGTCGGGAATTCTCCAGAGATCAGCTAGGTCTCTCCAAGGAGTCTTCCAAAGGTGGCGATGGCTAAAGGGGGCACCAGTTTGGCCACATCTAGACACCAGGAAGGTCCTCTTGCTGTAGAACAGTGAGCTCATGGTGGGGACATCCTCGGAGGTGCAGAACCCAGAACAAGAGGAAGCCAGACCTCCCAGCCCCACCAGTGTCTGGCTCTGTCCCCGCTGAGGATGTCTCATCAGAACACAGGGTAAGAGCTGGCATGTCCTCTAGGACAGCAAAGCATGCACCCTGTACAGAAGTGCCAGAGAGTATCAGGGAACACCCTGTGATGATTGATCCCATAGGCACCACCAGCAGAATTCGATTCTCCAAGGACAGCCGGAGTTAGTGCAGTTGGGTATAAAACAGGATGGGACGAAGGCAGTCAGGCTGAGAGACGTCTTCCAAAAGAGCCCGTCAGGATGCCCAGAAACTGTCAAGATCATGGGAATCAGGGAAAGACCGAGGAACAATCCAGGGTCAGAGGAGACCAAGGAGACAGATGCCACCTGCAGCATGGGCTCCTGGACCAGGAAAGGGACCTTCACCAAGAAGCTGGTGAATTCAAATCATGTGGAGAGTTTAGTTAATAGCAAAGCACCAATGTCGGTTTCTTTAGCTGCAACCCATGTGCCATGGAAATGTAAGCTGTAATGTCAGGGGAGCTGGATGGAGGTGACAGGAGCTCCCTCTACTCCCTTTGTAGCATCTCTGTAAATCTAAAATTAATCTAAAATAAAAAAGTTTGGCCAGGCGTGGTGGCTCACGTCTGTAATCCCAGCACTTTGGGAGGCCAAGGCAGGAGGATGGCTTGAGGCCAGGTGTTCAAGACCAGCCTGGGCAATATAGGGATATGCAGTTCCTACACACACACACACACACACACACACACACAACCCAATCAAAACAAAACAAAACAAAAAACAGCCATGTGTTGTGGCACACACCTATAGTCCCAGCTACTCAGGAGGCTGAGGTGGGAGGATCACTTAAGCCAGGGAGCTGCAGTGAGCCGTGATCACACCACTATACTCCAGAGCAACAGAGCAAGACCCTGTCTCAAAACAAAGAAAAAAGACAAACCAAAACAAACAAAAAAGTTTATTTTAAAAACAGGTATGAGAGACCATCAAAAATGGCATTGAAGACCAGGCGCGGTGGCTCACGCCTGTAATCCCAGCACTTTGGGAGGCCAAGGCAGGTGGATCACTTGAAGTCAGGAGTTGGAAACCAGCCTGGCTAACATGGTGAAACCCCATCTCTACTAAAAATACGAAAAATTATCCAGGCATGATGGCGCACGCCTGCAATCCCAGCTACTCAGGAGGCTGAGGCAGGAGAATCGCTTGAACTCGGGAGGCAGAGGTTGCAGTGAAAAAAAGGCATTGAATGTTACTTTCCCAGGAACTCTATAACAAAAGGAACACAAGCTTGTGACTTAAAACCACAGGAACTTATTCTCTAATATTTCTGGATGACAGATGTTCAAAATCAAGGTCAGCTGGGCGGTGCTCCCTCTGGGAACTCTAAGCGAGGATCCCCTCCTTGCCTCTTGGGCTTCTGGTGGCTCCAGGCATTTCTTGTTTTATGGCTGCATTGCTCCAGTCTCAGTCTCCGTCTTCCCAGGGCTTTCTCTTCTTCTTTTCTGTCTCTCTTCTCTCTCATAAGGACACTTATCATGGTGAAGCAGGTCAGGGTCACTGGTCTTGTTGTCTAAGGTGTTGTCTGAGCTTGTGGTCTCATGACCAAGAAAATTAAGGAACGTGGCCACAAAGGCCGAGGTTGGAGCAAAAGTTTAATAAAAGAAAGCTCTCCACAGCAGAGAGAGGATTCCAGGTGGATTACCGTTTTAACAGTTGAATCCAAAAGCTTCTTTTTTTTTTTTTTTTGAGACAGTGTCTCGCTCTGTCGCCCAGGCTGGAGTGCAGTGGTGTGATCTCAGCTCACTGCAACCTCCGCCTCCCAGGTTCAAGTAATTCTCCTGCCTCAGCCTCCTGAGTAGCTGGGACTACAGGCGTGTGTCACCAGACCCAGCTAATTTTTGTATTTTTACAAATGGGGTTTCACCATGTTGGCCAGGCTGGTCTTGAACTCCTGACCTCAAGTGTTCCTCCTGCCTCAGCCTCCCAAATTGTTGGGATTATAGGCGTGAGCCACCGCGCCCAGCCTGTTTCTTTCTTTCTTTTTTTTTTTTTTTAGAGACGGTCCCACTCTGTCGCCCACGCTGGAGCGCACTGGCTCAATCATAGTCCACTGCAGCCTCAACCTCCTGGGCTTAAGTGATCCTGCCGCCTCAGCCTCCCAAGTAGCTGGAACCACAGGCACCCACCATCATATCCAGCTAATTTTAAAGTGTTTTTGTAGAGACGAGATCTCACTATATTACCCAGTTTGGTCTCAAACTCATGGCCTCAAGCAATCCTCCCACCTCAGCCTCCCAAAGTGCTGGCATTACAGGCATGAGCCACTTTGCCTGGTTCCGAAAATTCAATCAGGATTGGAACCCTTCAGAAAACCAAGACCGAGAACCACTTTTAGGTAACTCAGGAGGCGTGAAGCAAATCAGAGAGCAATTAATTGGCTTGATCTCTTCCTCACCCCATCTCACCCCATTGCTGCTTCTTGAGCAGCCTCACCTCCAGGGTCCCCTCATCTGTACCCCTTCCCCTGAATTCCCTGTCCTCCTCATGGCCCTCAGGGGACCCCTGGTGATGTGGGTAGCCAGTACCCTTCTCTCCTACACTGACGCCCGTAGCTTCCTTGTGGTCACTCCCATGTCCTTGTCATGACTCAGCCCCTCTGTCCAAAGTCCCCATTGCCCTCTCAGGGGCTGCCGGGACCGGCCATCCGTTGAGACACTCTCACCTCTCTCTGGATCTGGTGACCTGCACTCAATGCTCCGTAAATCCCATTTTCACCTCTGCTGCACCTGCCACTGCCCCTGCAGCAGTTCTAAAGAACTGGGCTGGGCACGGTGACTCACACCTGTAATCCCAGCACTTTGGGAGGCCGAGGCTGGAGGATGGCTTGAGCCCAGGAGGTCAAGGCTGCAGTGAGCCATGACTGCACCACTGCACCCCAGCTGCGGTAACAGAGCAAGACCCTGTCTCAAAAAATAAAAATAGAAAACTGTGAACTTCAGCACCTACATCTGGCCCATGTAGGAGCATCTTCTCTCCTGAGGGTTCCTGGGCACCAGCTGTCCCCATCATCATCATCTCCTGCACTGATAATCTGGCCAACATGTCCCCAAGAAAGCAGAAGTGGCCGGGTGAGGATGTCCAGCTGCTGCTACAGTGGACAACAGTCCCTCTCTCTGAGGCTAGGGATGTTCACCCAGCTTGCCTATTCAAGGACATTTCAACCCAGGAGAGAACGTGCTCTCTGCTCTTCTCCACCACTGGCCTCATCAGCCTGTTTTCCCTCCCTTGTAGCAGAATTCCTAGATCCTCCTGGGTCCTCCTCAAACCCAGCTGTGCCCCATCTTCCTCCCCCCATCCCGAAGACCACTCCTGTCCAGCTCCCATGTGGCTCTCTTGGTGCTAACCCCAGAGAGTCCCCTCCCCTTCTTCTTCTTTTTTTTTTTTTTTCGAGACAGAGTCTCGCTCTGTCACCCAGGCTGGAGTACAGTGGTGAGATCTCGGCTCACTGCAACCTCCGCCTTCCAGGTTCAAGCGATTCTCCTGCCTCAGCCTCCCGAGTAGCTGGGATTACAGGCGTGTACACCACACCTGGCTAATAGTTGTATTTTTTTTAGTAGAGATGAGGTTTCACAATGTTGGCCCAGGCTGGTCTTGAACACCTGACCTCAGGTGATCCACCCATCTTGGCCTCCCAAAGTGCTAGGATTACAGGTATCAGCCACCATGCTTGGCCCCGGCTAATTTTTAAAATTTTTGTAGAGATGGGGTCTCACTGTGTTGCCCAGGCTGATCTCAAACTCCTAGGGTCAGGTGATCCACCTGACTCAGCCTCCCAAAGTGCTGGGATTACAGGCGTGAGCCACTGCGCCTGGCCCTTGAAGCCCTTTATTTACTCTGCACTCCTGCTCTGTCTCTCTGGCCTCCTGGCTGGCCTCCTTCTCTTCTGGGGCCCTTTCTCTACCCACACTTAATCCACACCGACTCCTACATTTCTCTCCTAGCCACGCAGCTCCCCTGAGTGCCATTCTCCATCTCCCGTGTTTGACATTTCCAGCATCTTCTAAAATATCTCAAATCAGCCCCCAATTTCACCCCAGACTCCCTCTCTAGTGATAGACTAGTGTCAACACTAGTCTATCGGTGTTGACAGCAATTTGGGGCAAAACCCTTGCAAGAGCCCAGGGGGTCTTGTCTCCTCTGTCTCCCTCTCCTCCTCATCTATGAAGAAACATCTAGAAAGTGCCTGCATCATCCTTCTCTCTCTGCACACTCGCTCTGGCTCTTTTCACCACAGTGGTGGATAGAAGCCAAAAGGTGTCCATCAGAGTAAGGCCATCTCGGCCCGGCATGGTGGCTCACGCCCATAAATCCCAGCACTTTGAGAGGCTGAGGCGGATGGATCACCTGAGGTCAGGAGTTCGAGACCAACCTGGCCAACGTGGTGAAATCCCATCTCTACTAAAAATATAAAAATTAGCCAGGCGCGGCGCTCACGCCTGTAATCCCAGCACTTTGGAGGCTGAGGCGGGTGGATCACCTGAGGTCAGGAGTTCTAGACCAGCCTGGCCAACATGGTAAAACCGCATCTCTACTAAAAATACAAAAATTATCTGGGCGTGGTGGCAGGCGCCTGTAATCCCAGCTACTTGGGGGGCTGAGGCAGGAGAATCACTTGAACCCAGGATGCAGAGGTTGCAGTGAGCCAAGATCGTGCCACCGCATTCCCGCCTGGGGGACAAGAGCGAGACTTCGTCTCAAAAAAAAAAAAAAAAATTACCCCGGGCATGGTGTTGCATGCCTGTAGTCCCAGCTACTGGGGAGGCTGAGGCAGGAGAATCCCGTGAACCTGGGAGGCAGAGGTTGCAGTGAGCCAAGATTGCGCCACTGCACTCCAGCCTGGGCGACAGAGCGAGACTCCATCTCAAAAAAAAACAAAACAAGAAAAAAAGATAACAGAGAAAAGCTATCTCCCCCAAGGTGGGTACACCGCCACCCACACCTCAAAAGGCAAATACTGACAGCTGTTTCTGAGTGGGTAGAGAACACTTTGAAGCTTTTGCAGAAAAAACAAACAAGAATCAGCAGGAAAGCTCTGATAAAAAGCCCCAGGGCGGGGGCACCCATCACCGAGGATGCTAAACTTTACCATTAGAGGAATCTATACTCTCTGTGGGAACTGAGTGGAGAAACTAACCTAAGACCTTAAAACCTTTAGCAAATACTAAAGACCATCCTGGAGGGCAGGAATGGAAAGCACGGGGACCCTCTGGAAAACACAGTGAGGGTGTGTCTTTGTTTCCCATAAGCCTTAGGGCAAACCCCCACCTTATACCAAAGGTGTCGATGCAGAAATGGAATCCCTGGAGTCATCCCAGAGCCAAAAGGGGACAGTGTGTCACGGAGGTTTGTTTATGGGAAGAATCGAGAAGCCACAAGGGTGGATGAAGAAACGCCACTCACGGTCTCAAGGATCACAGGCAAAATCAGAAGACAAGTGACAGATGGGAGGTCCAAGCAAGGCTTATCTCCTCTCAGATAAAGACCAACAGTCCTTGGATGGGGACAGCCAGTTGGCTGTGAAATGCATGCAGAGAAGCTGAGCTTCAGCCTAAGAGAAGAGCGAATTAAAGTGACAGAAGCCCTTTGGGAGGCGGAGGAGGGCTGACTGCTTGAGCCCAGGAGTTTGAGACCAGCCTGGACAACATAGCAACCTCACCTCTACAACATAGCGACCTCATCTCAACAAACAATAAAAAAAGTTAGCTGGGGCCAGGCACGGTGGCTCACGCCTGTAATCCCAGCACTTTGGGAGGCCAAGGTGGGCGGATCACCTGAGGTCAGGAGTTCAAGACCAGCTTGGGTGATATGGTGAAACCCTGTCTCTACTAAAAATACAAAAATTAGCTGGGTGTGGTGGCAGGTGCCACCACACTACTCAGGAGGCTGAGGCAGGAGAATCGCTTGAACTCAGGAGGCAGAGGTTCCAGTGAGCTGAGATTGTGCCACCACACTCCAGACTAGGCAACAGAGCAAGATTCTGTCTCAAAAAAAAAAAAAAAAAAAAATTGCTGGGAGTGGTGGCGTGCCCCTGTAATCCCAGCTACTCTGGAGGCTGAGGTGGGAGGATCCATTGAGCCTTGGAGGTTGTGCCACAGCTCTAGCCTGGACCACAGAGTAAGACCAAAAAAAAAAAAGGAAAATAAAAGAACATGGAAGGGAAGTAGGTGGAGACAGCAGATGCCAGCCAGGGCCACTGGAGTCAAGGACTAGCCTTCGTGGGGTGGGTGGCAGAGGAGAGGAGGATGTGCAGGGTCCCACTGTGGAGGCGGTGGAGTTGTCAGGCCCAGGCCGGTACGTGGGTTTTGCCCTCCAGCGGCCTGGAGAGGCAGGGAGGAGGGGAAGAGGAAGGTTTAATTGGAGAGGGGGAAGCAAGGAGGAAGTGCCAGGGTGCCAGGGGGGACATACGTGCCTACGGGGCAGGTTGAAGGAGGGGCAGGGTGAAGGCAAGGAGGGGCAGGGTGAAGGCGAGGAGGAAGCCACAAGGCGAGGCCCGGGCCTGGCCGGGTAAAAGGAGCCAGGGGGTGTGAAACGGCCAGAGAAGAAGCGGGAAAGAGGGCCAGGCGGCCGCGTGGGGCTCCCAGGCTAACCTGCGCCGGTTCTGACCCCCAGGAAGCCACTGAGGAACGGCCTGGTGAAGGACAAGCGCTTCTGAACCCCTCGGCCCCGCCCCCGTGGACCCGGCCCCACCCCGAATACCCCGGCCACGCTCCCCGTCCTTGGCCGCCCCTCCACCCCCTCCAACTCTGCTCCTCTAGGGCCGCCGCCACCTCCCCTGGGACCCCGCCCCCTCATCCTGCCTCCAGTTCCCGGCCACGCCCCCCAGGACCCCTGCCCCTCCGGGGACACCGGCCCCGCCCTCAGCCCACTGGTCCCGGGCCGCCGCGGACCCTGCGCACTCTCTGGTCATCGCCTGGGAGGAAGATGCCACCGCCGCAGCAAGGTCCCTGCGGCCACCACCTCCTCCTCCTCCTGGCCCTGCTGCTGCCCTCGCTGCCCCTGACCCGCGCCCCCGTGCCCCCAGGCCCAGCCGCCGCCCTGCTCCAGGCTCTAGGACTGCGCGATGAGCCCCAGGGTGCCCCCAGGCTCCGGCCGGTTCCCCCGGTCATGTGGCGCCTGTTTCGACGCCGGGACCCCCAGGAGACCAGGTCTGGCTCGCGGCGGACGTCCCCAGGGGTCACCCTGCAACCGTGCCACGTGGAGGAGCTGGGGGTCGCCGGAAACATCGTGCGCCACATCCCGGACCGCGGTGAGTGGGGCTTTCGCTGGGGACACTGGTCCTGGAGGCCAGACCTCGCAGGGCGAGCCTCGAGAGTGGCCCGGGGATGCCCGAGCAGCTCCGAGGGTCCCCACCCGCCCTGTCCAGGCTACTAGCAACTTCGGCCACCGCACCTCACCCTTTCCTCGTCATCTGCTGCACGCCGGGGACACATGTCAGGGGGTTCCCAAGACCAGTCCTTCTGCTTGATGCTGAAGCCCTGTCCCCACCCCATGCCCACCCCCACCTCTTGACACTAATGCCTTCCTGCAGATGCCATCCCCACACCCTAGCATGGCTTCCCCAGGGGCCCAGGTTCTGGCTCATGTCTCCCACTTCGGCCACCCCTCCTCCTATGCCCCCCGCCGAGGGCAGCCCACCCCCCCCGCCGCACCCCGCAGGGCGCCTTCCTTGGAACTCATGCCCTGCCCCCACTCCATCAGCCCACCCCGCCGCTTCACACCCTTCCCACAGACGGTGCGCCCCGAGCCCCAGCGTTCACCTTCCTCCCTGTCCCTAACCGAGACCCCATGGGCAGGCCGGGGACGCAGCGCGAGCCGAGTTCCTGTTCCTACCTCCCCAGGTGCGCCCACCCGGGCCTCGGAGCCTGCCTCGGCCGCGGGGCATTGCCCTGAGTGGACAGTCGTCTTCGACCTGTCGGCTGTGGAACCCGCTGAGCGCCCGAGCCGGGCCCGCCTGGAGCTGCGTTTCGCGGCGGCGGCGGCGGCAGCCCCGGAGGGCGGCTGGGAGCTGAGCGTGGCGCAAGCGGGCCAGGGCGCGGGCGCGGACCCCGGGCCGGTGCTGCTCCGCCAGTTGGTGCCCGCCCTGGGGCCGCCAGTGCGCGCGGAGCTGCTGGGCGCCGCTTGGGCTCGCAACGCCTCATGGCCGCGCAGCCTCCGCCTGGCGCTGGCGCTACGCCCCCGGGCCCCTGCCGCCTGCGCGCGCCTGGCCGAGGCCTCGCTGCTGCTGGTGACCCTCGACCCGCGCCTGTGCCACCCCCTGGCCCGGCCGCGGCGCGACGCCGAACCCGTGTTGGGCGGCGGCCCCGGGGGCGCTTGTCGCGCGCGGCGGCTGTACGTGAGCTTCCGCGAGGTGGGCTGGCACCGCTGGGTCATCGCGCCGCGCGGCTTCCTGGCCAACTACTGCCAGGGTCAGTGCGCGCTGCCCGTCGCGCTGTCGGGGTCCGGGGGGCCGCCGGCGCTCAACCACGCTGTGCTGCGCGCGCTCATGCACGCGGCCGCCCCGGGAGCCGCCGACCTGCCCTGCTGCGTGCCCGCGCGCCTGTCGCCCATCTCCGTGCTCTTCTTTGACAACAGCGACAACGTGGTGCTGCGGCAGTATGAGGACATGGTGGTGGACGAGTGCGGCTGCCGCTAACCCGGGGCGGGCAGGGACGCGGGCCCAACAATAAATGCCGCGTGGTCTGCTCCGCTGGTCTCCTTGGACTCCTTGCCTGGGTGGTGGGGAGGGCGCCCCTCAGTCTTGGTGATCGGATAGGCCTTTCCACCTCCAGGCCACCTGCCAGAGGCCTAACGCGCCACTCCGGGGAGCCGCCCGGACAGGCCCAGGTGCTGCCTACGGGAAGGGCCCAGGGGCAGGGGTCGCCCTTCAGTCCTGCAAGGCAGACCTGTCCCTTCTGGGCTTTGCCTGTCTCCCTCTGGCCTCCTTCACACCCCAACCCGTCACTCAGCCAAGGCAAAACCCCAGCACCCTCCACCCCCTGCAGTTTATCCAACCTTGGTGTGAAGTCAAAACTGTTTATTAATATTTGGTGACAAAAGAACTTAAATTGACCGAAAATCAAAAGTTACATTGCCTTGGTACAGTGCGCCTGGGTTTGTCAAGGCTGCTGCTACAAAGCTGGAGAACACAGCACAGGGCGAAGCAGAGGCAAAGCGGCCCAGCCCAACAGCCGGGATGGGGCAGGGAGCGTCCCTCAGGCCGCCGCGGGGTCACCGCGGAAACCTACCCGGTGCATGCCTCTACGCGGCCTACCGGAAGAAGGGGAAACCGAAAGCCCTAGAGCAATGGGAATAAATAAGAGTCCCTGCCAGAAGGAAGGTGGCCTGTGCGTCCCCGTCTGTCCCATGTAGAAGCCGGAATCTGGAGGTGTTCGGATCAGGGCCAGTGACAGCCCCAGGCCCGGGGCAGGGGAAGCTGGAGGCCTGGCCGCCAGGCAGAATGACACCCCAAGCCAGGCGTTCGAGGGGCTGGGGCAGCTCTCCTAAAATGACCCTCTGCCAATGACACCACACCCTCAGTCCCTTCACACAGAACGCGGTAATTTCTGTAACTTGTTTCCTTACCCCCCAGAAGCAGCAATCACCCCATCAGCAAAGTTGCCGGCAGGCAGAGCTCCCAATTTGGGCTTTCGGTGTGCAGCGCTCCGTGTCTAACCAGCACAGGGACTGTCGGTACCTCCTGGGGACGGGGACAGGGACAGGCCCTCTTGTCCTTCCACCAAATCTTCCAAAGGCCCCCGGGAAAAAGCCGTCAATCCGGGAACAGCCACCTTCTCGCCTCCTGGCCACAGGGCCAGTCCTGGCCAAGGCCCCTCGCAATGGGGCCAAAAGCACCTTCCTCACCGGTGCGGGGCCCTGCGCCGAGTCTAGGCGGGAAGCAGCTTGGCTTCTGAGTCCAGCGGAGAACGAGCAGCTTCCAGGCTCGGCGGGCGGCTACCCCAGCAGCCTGATGCCCCGCAGAAAGAAGCCACTGGAAGCTAAAACCAACAACAAAACTCCTCCGGCCGCGGCACAGGTGTTGCTCCTCTTCTCCAGTAGCGCTGGCTTGTTTAAACTGTTTCTGGAAGCTTCTCAAATCTCCCAGGTCCACCGCTAAGATTTTACAGACAAACTTAGGAAAGTATTCTTCAGTACTCCTTTAAAAGAATCTTGAAAAAAACAAAGAGAAAAACCCAAAACACCCTTATTTTCTTTAAATGAAGGCCCTCGGAGAACACAGGCAGCGCGACCTCGGCGCGTCCGGTAGGCGTGGACAGACGCGCCCTCCCGGGGCTCTGCCCCGCACGCTGCTGTCTTTGCAAGGAGCCTGCTCGGGCACAGAAATGCGAAGTTTTTTTTCCTGCTAAGACGTAGTCCCCTTTCAATCAAAGAGAAAAAGAAATAAAAGAACAGAGGAAAGGGCTACTCTGAGATGAGGGTCTTCCTCCCTCCGCCCTGGCCGCAGCCCCGATGGGACGGAGCGGGGCCTCCTGGTGGCCGCGGCTCCCGCGGGCCGGCCCCTCCTCCGCTCCCTCTGCTCCTCGCCGCCGCGGGCCAGCAGGGGGCGCTCGGCCTCGGCTCCTCTCCCTCGTGCGCTCTCCCTTCCTGTTGCTCACACAGTGGTGCTTCAGTTTTAGCAGTGGAAAACAGGTATCCGTTTATTTTTATTTTTTATTACCCAGAATAAGATGCTGATGGACTAAGCCACGTTGCTTAGCTCTTCCGCCGCCACCTGTCAGGAGGGAGAAGGGCAGGAGGCGGTGAGAGGCTGCGACCTGAGCCCCACAGGTACCCAGCACACAGGACAGTGAGGGAGAGCCCGAGCTGCCCTCCCCGACTCTGATGAGGAAACTGAGGTCCCGCGGTGGTCCCCGGAGCAGACAGGATGGGGTAGGGTGGGGTGAGGAGCCACCCTGACTAGCAGTGAAGGGCACAGGCCAAGCTGGCCCTGAGGGCCTATGACCCCCACCAGGCACAGCACACATTTCCAGATACCACCCCTCCAGTGCAGCTCCCTGGGGAGAGCCCCCTCCCATCCTTCTCCTTGAGGCTGGGGTGGGGCCAGGCCTGCTCCAGGGGGGCTTGCCTTTTAATACTGGGACAGCCCCGTCACCCCGCCATGCTGGTAAGCCCGCTCTCCCTGGTACGTGGAGTCCTGTGAGAGCGCCACGTCGATTTGTGATTTAAACTCGTCACCAAGGTAACTGTCCTGAAAGACAAGGTCAGGAGGTAAGCAAGCCACAGGCCAAGGGTGCTCACATCCACCCAGCCCTCAGCAGCCCCAGAGAAAAGAATGGAAAACCCGTCCCCAAACTAAGACCCAGGAGACCCACTCTGATGACCCCAGCCCAGGGACAGGTAATTCAGACAGTGGACATGGGCCAGGCCAGCTCTCTGGGGCTCTTCAGAGGGAATGTTTCAGGTGCATAGCCCCACCCTCACTCAGGTAAGTCCCGTCCCAGGGGCGGGCTCACCTGGGACAGCTCCGGCTGGGAGAGGCCGGGCTGGCTCATCTGGGAAGGCTGGCTCATGGAGATGTAGCCCTGCGTCAGGGCGCCCTGAGAGAAGGGCTGTGACGCCACATCCTGGCTGGCTTGGCTGTTGGGGAGGTTAGTCTGGCTGGGTCCAGGAAGCCCAAAGCGGTTCTTCTGGCGTCCCCCACGACCAGTCTTGCCTTTCGGGGTGCCTCGCCCTGAAAGACAGCAGTCCAGGGTGATCCGAAGGAGGCCAGGGCCTCGCAGACAAGCACACCCTCAAGAGCTCTCAGGAGGGCCACACCCAGCCGCAGCCACAGATGCTCACCTGCAGCAGGCCCGTTGGCTTGTCCAAAATAGCCAGGCGGTGGCATGGGTGGCATGACCAGGTTGAAGGGGATGGGAATGTTCATGGCAGCCACGTGGCTAGGGCCGGCACTGATCATGCCAATCTGGTCATGGGTCTGGAAGTACATGCTGGAAGGCCGGCCTGCAAATCACAGTGGAACACGGCAGGTGTCACCTGCCTCGGTCAAACCCCAGCGATACCCCACCCACCCCACCAGCCAGTCAGCCGGAGCTGCACATCTGTCCTGGCTCTGCCCAGGCTGAAGATGCGGATTCGCAGGACTCCATGTTAACTACAGCAGCCTGCCTGGGGCTGGGTGCTTGGGCAGGCACCTTCCCCGAGGAGAGTCTGCTGGGAATCATTGGCCTACACAGATCTTAAAAACTGAAAATTGGGGCCGGGCGTGTTGGCTCAAGCCTATAATCCCAGCACTCTGGGAAGCCGAGGTGGACCACCTGAGATCAGGAGTTTGAGACCAGCCAGGCCAACATGGCGAAACCTCGTTTCTACTAAAAACACAAAAACTAGCCGGGCATGGTGGTGGGTGCTTGTAATCCCAGCTACTCGGGAGGCCAAGGCAGGAGAATCGCTTGAACCCAGAGGGGGAGGTTGCAGTGAGCCAAGATCACACCACTGTACTCCAGCTTGGGCAACAGAGCGAGACTCGGTCTCCAAAAAAAAAAAAAAAAAAAAAAACACCTGCAAATTGGCCAGGTGCAGTGACTCACGCCTGTAATCCCAGCACTTTGGGAGGCTGAGCAGAAGGACTGCTTGAGGCAGGAGTTTGAGACCAGCCTGGACAACATAGGGAGACCCTGTCTCTAAACAAAAAAAAGAAAATAAATGAAAATCACCCTGCATTTACCAAAGGAAAAAAAAAATCCTTTTTATGAAAATGTTCTATTTGTACTACATGCAGTCCCTGCCCTACCAAAAGGCAAGAAAAAGCTAACTAGCTTGATCACCAGGAAACACAAATGAATAAACTCTGGTTAAAGACAAACACCCCAGGAGTGTTCCGGGGCTAGAGATGCCCTAGGGGCGGGGAGGCCAAGGGAGCCAGGCACCGCCCTTGAGGGGAAGGAAAGATGGGGGCACCTAAAGCTGCAGCCATGGGAACGGCCAGCATCCCGGTGTGAGGACAAGGGGTCGGCCAGGTCCCCTGCTGAGCGACTCACCCTGGCTGCTCCGATCATAGACGGAGCCTGGGATGATGGCCTCCCGGGCATCATACATGGCTGTGGTCATGAAGCGGGCTCCCTGCGAAGGTTTAGATAGGTGAGGAATTTGTCATCTCAACAGAAGGAACAACTTCCCACGGGCCCGGTGGCCTGGGAGGTGGCAGGTATGCAGCTGTGAGGTGTTGACACTGTGCCAGGGGCTCTCCCTGGAGACAGGAGGGAGCTGCTGTCTCATGGCCTCTGGGTCTCGCCTGCCCTCCTCGGCAGACCTGGGCTCTGATGCTGACCCTTGGGCCTCAGCTCAGGAAGCTTCACACCCCCTCACTACCAGATCACCCCGGGCTTGCAAAGCTTCCAACTGCCCGTGTCCAAGGTCCCAGGCTGCTGCATGCAGCACAGCAGCCCTGAGCCCAATTCCCAGAGGCCACCCAGGACTTAGCGGCCCCAAGCCAAAAATGCCACACACGGCTCGGGAGACAAGAAGTGGGCTGGCCCACCCTCCCCTAGGAGAGCCCACCCTCCCCTAGGAGAGCCCTCCCTCAGCTCACGGGCACACGGGCCAAGCTGGCACGTTCCCAGCAGTGTTTTGGGCCCGGGTTTCTCCGTGCTGCCCTGCTGTCCTGTGCAGGCGCTCACCGGGTTGATAGTGTTGACCAGCTTCCGTGGCTTGCTGAACTGCATGAGGCTCTCACGCAGGTTGTTGAGCGGCCCCTCCACCAGCACCTTCTGCTCCTTATAGTAGTTCAGCAGGTGGTTCCAGAGCGGCTGCTTTGATAGTGCCTTCGGGTTGCCCACAATGATGACGCCATACCTGCAACAAGGGCGCAGTGCTGAGGACGCAGGTGGAGAGCTGCCCGTCTCACAGGACGGTCCAAGAGGCAAGGCTGCATTCACTCAGAACCCAAATCCAAGGCAACAGAGGCGTGGACCGGGCAGCAGGCAGGCTGCCAGCCACAGGGACAGGCCCCAAAGCCCAATGCCAAGCCACTGACCCTGCACACGGGTTGATTTTGTGGCCGACTCTAAGCAGCCCCATGGCAGACACCTGGCTGGGTGGATACGTTTGGAGAGAAGACCTGCTGTCAAGAGAGTCGGCCTTCCAGGCACCGGGGCACACGCGGCCCCACAGGGCCCCCAGCAGGCCGGGGCACTGACCCGATGCCCAGCTCCTCTAGCCCACCTCACGAAGCTGTGGGGGGACCCACCCAATACTGCCCACCAAACAAGAGGGCGCCTTAGAAAGAGGGAGTAACCAATGACAAAGCCATGGTGACCTAGAGGAGAACCACCGCGCATATGAGCCGGAAGGAGCACCAGGCTCTCTCCCTGTGCTGGGTGGAGCCACAGGCCAGGTCCCCCCAACTTCCAGCTGGTGAATGGGTCCTTGCTGTCTAGTGTTTTTTTTTTTCCTTTGGAGACAGAGTTTTGCTCTTGTTGCCCAGTGGCTGGAGTGTAATGGCGCAATCTCGGCTCACCACAACCTCCTCCTCCCAGGTACAAGCGATTCTCCTGTTTCAGCCTCCCAAGTAGCTCAGATTACAGGCATGTGCCACCACGCCCGGCTCATTTTTTTGTATTTAGTAGAGAGGAGGTTTCACCATGTTAGGCTGGTCGAGAACACCTGACCTCAGGTGATCCACCTGCCTCGGCCTCCCAAAGTGCTGGGATTACATGTGTGAGACACCATGCCTGGCCTGATGTCTAGTTTTATGTGGGATGACAGAATGGACACCTTGTTCTCGGGGTCCCTTCTGCTATCATCAGTTCACAAAAGTTGTATTTTAGAACCAAAAATAGTGGACAGGACCAAAACTTACAGCCTCTCAGATTAAACAACTTGACAGACACACACAAGATTTATTTTGAATCAGACCAGAAGGGCCTGGAAAAATACGTCCTGCTGGGCTGAGGCACAGGGGCCACAGCAAACCCCCAGGACACGGAAACAAAGATCTCTCCAGTGAGACATCGTTTCTCAACTGCTGCTCAGAGTCCTCTGACCTCTGGCCCTGGCAACCCCCAACCCTAGCCCCAAATTCCCTGGGAAGTGAGGACCGATGAGCGGCTGGGCAGCATGCAGCAGGCAGCCTCCCTACCTTGCTCTGGTCAGGGCCACGTTCAGACGCCTGGGGTCATTTAAAAAGCCAATGCCTTGGTGCTCGTTGGCCCGCACACAGGACAGGATGATGAAGTCCTTCTCGCGTCCCTGAAAGGCGTCCACACTGGCGATCTCCACCTCCTGGAAGGGAGCTTTGTGGTCACTATCAGCCAGCAGGCTGCCTTCCCAGTCCCCCCAAAATGCAGGAAACACACCAAGACCCACCCTCAAATCCCACCCGGGAGCTTGGGGCCTGGCGCCTGCTCACCGCACCTAGGGGCTGTCCTGGCTCTGCTGCCATTTCGTTTTGTTTTCTTTTTTTAGAGACAGGATCTTGCTCTGTCACCCAGGCTAGAGTACAGTGGTACAATCTCAGCTCGCTGCAGCCTTGACCTCCCAGGCTCAGCTGATCCCACCTCAGTCTCCTGAGTAGCTGGGACCATAGACACATGCCACCATACCCAGTTATTATTTTTTTTTGGTGGAGGCAGGGTCTCCCTACGTTGCCCAGGTTGGTCTGGAACTCCTAGCCTCAAGCGACTTCCCTGCCTCAGCCTCCCAAAGTGCTGGGACTCCAGGTGTGGGCCATGACACCTAGCCTGTTCTCTTTTAGCCACGGAGATTTGTTTCTCAGCACTAAGAGCACACGTGCTCATCCCAGAGAACCTGAGCCGTGCTCAAAAACAGAACAGAAACCACTGCCATGTGGCCACTCAGACTCAGCACTTGGGCTCATTTCCTCATGGAGGCAGAGCTGTGCCTCCTCCCCACACACCCGCAGTGGGTGTTTCATCCGGGTGTCAATAAAGGTGTGAACACCACGGTCTCCACAGCACAACATCCAGTGTGTGGCAGGCACAGACCACTGCCGTTCCACCTTGGACTTGTTTCAACCATCCCGAGAAAACACCTTGATGTGCCAATCTCAGCCCATGTTTCTGATCCCTGTGATGTATTTCTCAAAGTCTCTGTCCTGATCATGTGGAATTTCGCAGGGTCTGTGGGGATGTGCTGTCTGTGCCCTCCCCAGAGGGTGGGCCAGCTGGTGCTTCCTGGGCCATTCTGAGCTCCAGCCAGGACGGGCCCCTCTTGGGGGGTAACTTAAAGGTCAAGGGTCAATACCCTTGCATGGCCCAGGAGACCAAGTGTGCCCGAGGGCGCAGCGCACCTGGTAGAGCTTGGTGTGCAGGGAGCCGCTGAACTGCATGTACTGCACCAGGTAGGAGCGCTGGCCCTCGTAGGGCGTGATGATGCCAATCTGGTCCGGCTTGGCGCCTGCCTTCAGCAACTTCGTGGTGATCTTCTCCACGTTCGCAGCCTCGGTCCTAAGAAACCCAGGCTGTCAGTGCTGGGCTCCACCTGTGGGATCCCGAGCCCTGAGGCTGGAGGCCGTGAGGGGTGCAGACACAACACCCTGCGGGAAGGCAGCTGCCATCACTGGCGTTTGCACAGCTGAGCTTCCCCAGCCTTCACCAGGGGAGTCTCGAGGGGCAGAAACGGCTGCCATGTGGGATTAGCAAGTATCTGCCCAATAAAAAACAAGTACAATGGAAAAGGAGGCAGAAACAACACGGTTTAGAGTCTAAACAGGCTAAACAGGAAATGAAGGCAAAAAAAGTTTCAGTCCCATGTTAAAAATAAGTAGAATGGGTCAACAACCTCTCAAGCTGTCCCCAAGACCTGCAGACGCCGGTGGGCCTGTCCCTGCTCACCTGTTCAGGTAGGAGGTGCCCGAGCTGGCAATCTCCTCTTGGCCCTGGGTCACGTAGAAGAACATCGGTTTATCGGGTTGGGGCCACTGGAAGTCAAATCCCTTCTTCACACGATCCGCTGTGAGGGGAGGGAAAGAAGTAACACTTCAAAAGCCCTAGCCCGCCTCAAATGAGTTCAGACACAGGGCAATGTAGTTGCTACGCTACAGTGCTGCAGGTCCTGGGGCAGGAGACTTCGATCTGTGAGGCCCTGGTGAGGTCACCTGAGCCGGTCCCCTGGCCAGAGATGCCCAGGATTGGGCAAGGCTGAGGAGAGGCCACCGAGAGCACCATGGCCAGCACAGAGCTGGCTCAGCCCCTGAACAGGGAACAGGGTCTCAGCCAGGGCTTTCTTGCAGCCTGGATCTCTGCCAACCCCAGGATACAGGATATTCTCCTGCTTCCTTCCAGAAGCTTGCCTTAAAGGCGCCACAGCCCCTACAACTGACTTGTGTGTGACACTGTTGAGCCAACAGTGTCCCCCTGCCCTGCAGCCTTGTCCATTCCTGCTGAGGGCCTGTTGACCGGTGGCTCTGCCTCTGGGCTCCCTCCTGGGCCGGGGCCCAACACTGCAGCTTGGGGGCCGGGGCGTCCTGCCATGTGAGCAGCCACTTTCTTCGGGCTCTTCATGCTCATCTTGGCTTTTCTGGGCCCTGTTGCGTTTCCTTAAAACTGTAAAACCAGTTTCTCAATTCACAGGTGCCCTCCTCACTCTACTGGGAGCTTCCATCAGTGGAGAAAACCGGTGTTTTTGCACAGCACCAGCCTGACATGGACAGAGGAAGCCAGACACGCCAGGACACATCATATGATCCCACGTCGAGCTGAAAATGAGGCCAAGTGGATCACTGCTGTTACAGCGAGCACAGGGGCCGCCGGATGAGCTCAGAAGTCCCTCAGCCCAGGGGCTGCTGTGGATGCGCACCCCTGGACAGTGGCCACCTGCAGGGATGAGGCGGCTTCTCACAGCTGGTCAGGTGGTTCTGGGTTCAGGTGCTGGCTATCCAAATATGCTCACTTAGTAACCACTCATTGAGCCAGACACTTGTAATGTGGCCACATGTTTACACTTCAATAGAGAATTTCCTAAAATGTACTTCCTGGGTGTGAACTACGTGCTGTGCATCAATTAGAGAGCAGTGTGCACCAGCGTCTGCCCTCTGGGCCGATGCCCTGGGGACCATGAGGGGTCTGAGCCTGCGCCGAGCCACGCCTTTCCCAGCCAGTGCTCAGACACCCCAGAGCACAAGCTAGGTCTCTGTGGCCTTGTGTTTTCAGCCTTGCCATGCGCTGGGAACAGCGGTGTCCCTGCGATGTCAATAGTGGCATCAACTCCCAAGACCTACCGCTAGGCAAAGAGTGGTGTGGCCCAACCCGGGGGGTGGGCTCTGAGCCTCACTTTCTCCTGTAACTAGGCCTGACAATACCAACCTCACAGGTTTGGAGTTCATGAGGCGCTGTGTCGGCAGCTTTCAGGACCCTTTACACTCTCAAAAGTTAGGGAGTCCAAACAGCTTTTGTTTATTGGATAACTGTATTCTCTAAACTTGGAAATTTAAAAAATATATTAATTCATTTAAAAATAACCCATTACGTGTTAGTTATTTCTCCAAAAATAAGCTAAGTAAGAAGAGTGGTCCTGTCTCCCATTTCTGCAAATCTCCTTACTATCTGGCTGAATCGGAGGCAGCTGGGCCCTGGGGTCCACCTCTGCTCAGTCCACCCTCCTGGGCTCTGGGGACGCTGTGGGGAAGCCAGGCCTCATGGATGCCTGAGGCTGGAAAGGGAGATGGGTTTGTTTTTACAGCCTTTCTGCATGGCTGGGAGTCTCCAGCCCTGAGGCCACATCAAGCTGGACAAAGGTGGGTTTCTGCAGGCCTGTGACAACTCTTTGCCACTCCATCCCCATGTGACTTCGTGACACTCTGCTGGTCATTCAGGAAGGATCTCCCACCGAGTCAAGTAGGTCTTCCAAAGGCTGACACATTTCACTGGCAATGGTGGAAACATTCCATCTGTCACCCCCACAGACCTCACCAGAAAAGTCTCTAGGTGTTGGGAAGACACCAAGCTCATGGCAAGCGACGTTAAGTTTTCCAAAATTCTGGTTTTCACTTGAATTTTACTACTGTAACAGATGTTGCCACTAGTTCTCCATGAAGCGACAGGTTCGATCATTTTTGGAAAAAGTCTGCCCAACACCTTGGGGTGAATACCCAGGGTGTGTCCACAAGGACTTCCTTCAAGCGCCGGCATACCCAAAGGTGTCACGAGAAATTTTATCTGGTCACAGTGAAACACTCGAGGCTTAGTAAGATGTACTGTTCACTTCCTCATCCAGGGCGTTTCTTACTGTGATCCGGGCACAGTCTGGCTGCTCTGGGCTGACTCTTGCAGAAGCACCAGGGGGTCACCAGCAGTGTGAGCGTCAGCAGAGTGAAAAAGGGCAGGTGAGGCCTCTGTGTTATCCAGGGAAGCCGGACACGGTCTTGCGGGCCCCAGGGGCCCAGGCCCTGAGAACAGCTGTTCTTCATGAAGCACTGAATGCACAGCCCACGTTAAGGCCCGGGCTCAGCTCCCCTAACAGCCTGTCCTGGCTGCTGTGCATGCTGCCACATGAGGCTTGGATGAATTCTCAGGCAATGACTGAGTTTTACAGAGGACACAGGCTCCCCACATGCCCCAGAGACACCACTTGATCCAAGACCATACCATCAAGACCTTGGGCACAAAGTGCCCTGACCTCAAGCAGTGGCTATGTGAAGCCGCTCAGGGGAAGCTGATGGGCCAGTTCCTTCTCCCCAGTCCACATTCCCTTGATGCCGCTTCTCTGTAGAAGCCCCTGCCCTGGGCAGAGCCCCGTTACCTGCAGTGACACCATTCTGGAGGGAGCCCTCGTAGAAGATGTTGGATGGGAAGGCGCTGAGTGCAGGGTGCATCCGGTACTGGACCTGCAGGCGGATGGGCCGGATGCCCAGCACCACCAGGCGCTCGAAGAGCGACTGTGACAGCCCGGCCTTGGCCGCCTTCTTGCACATCACCACTGGGCCCAGCTGGCAGTGGTCGCCTACAAGGATCAGCTGTAGGAACAGGGGCCCCCACAAGTCAAGAAGCTCAGGTGTGAATCAGCCTCAACACACACTAGCAAGGAAGTAGGGGCCCCAGGATGCACAGGACACCACCTGGCCACAGGGGCATTGCTCACCACGCACACTGGACGTGCAGCTGGCAGAACCCACCCTCTATAAACCCCTCAGGGAGCCCCCAGTGTGCGCACACTCTGCTGGGCATCCTACGTCAATACAAGGTGTTTTAAAAGACAAACACCAAGAATCACACACACGAGTTTTCACACAGGAGGGCAGGGGAGGCAGCCCACCTGCTTGGCCCCGAGGACCACGGGAACCATGCACTCCGGCTCGGTGGCCTGGGTGCTTTCGTCGATTAAAATGGAGCGGAACTGCATCTTGGCCAGCCTCGGGTCACCGGCGCCCACACATGTGCAGCAGATGACATCTGCGTTCTGGGGAAGGGTGCAGAGGCATCAGGGCACCTGCACTGTAAACGCCACCAGACCCCGGAGGGCAGGTGGGACAGAACACAGAAGCTCTCCTGTTTCTCACCCTCCCTGACACTATAAAAAACAAGCTGTCCCTCCCAGACAAGATACATGGTCCAGGCTGTGGTGATTACAAACTTTTAAGATCCTTAAACGGTCATGTTTCACAGAAGGCAACCTCTCCACACCAAGAGCTCTGCGCCTCACGACAGCCTCCAAGGGGCAGTGCTGAGCTGCTGGAACCTGCACTCAGGCTGATTCCAGTTCAGGCTGGTTGGTTATGAAAGAGCAGGAGTGTTCTAGATCCACTGCCGGATCCCAGTGGAGGCTGGCAGGGAGTGGAGACTCCCTAGAAGACCGTGTTCCAGGCAGCGAGATGTCCCTAATTTACTGTACAACTGAGCGCAGAGAGGCCAAGTAGAGAGCATCTAAGTTCTCTTTCCAGAAGCAAAGCAACAATTCAAATAGGTGCTTTGGCCCAAACAAAAACCATCAGGCCGCCAGCCCACAGGCCCTTTTGCAGGCAGGAGGGGCACTCACCATCAGCAGCTCTCTCTCTGCGGTGCGCTTCAAGGCCCGGTACCGCTTCTCGTCGGCAGACGACAGCTCCCCAGTCTCGTCTTTCAGCTGCTGCAGCTTCTGCAGCTCAGGCATGCTGGAAGCACATGCAGGTCAGCAGGGTGCCTGAGTTCTGTACATGTCACCCGCAGAAGCTCAGGGACCAACTGGGAGGGATGGACTCGACACACACCTGTCCATGTTCCTGATCTGGTTGTGCAGGGCCAGAAAAGACACCGGGGAGTCGATGGCCTCACGGCTCTTGGCGCAGAGGCGCACGACCTTTAGCCCCGTCTGGTGGATCTTCTCCGTTAGCTGGTCCACGGCGATGTTGCTCGGAGCACACACCAGCACCGGCCTGCAACACCATTGGGGCAGCTCAGTGCTTACCCAGAGGAAGCTCGGTGAACGTAGTAAGCCAAGACTCTGTTTTTTGAGACAGGGTCTTGCTCTGTTGCCCAGGCTGGAGTGCAGTGGTGTGATCTCAGCTAATTGCAGCCTCAACATCCTGGGCTCAAGCAATCCTCCCACCTCAGCCTCCTGAGTAGCTGGGACCACAGGTGCACGCCACTACCCCCAGCTAATTTCTGAATTTTTTTTTTGTAGAGACGTCTCACCCTGTTCAGGCTGGCCTTAAACTCCTGACATTTTTAACAGGCAGTAATGACACGATGCCGAAGGAGCTCAGATCCAGACAGCCCAGGCTTCACAGCTCTACCCACCGCAAGCAATGCCAAGGCTGGAACTTGCACCATCCCGCCACACTATAAAGTGCCGCACACGGAACTCACGCTGCTGCAGCCATGCCCCCCCTGCCCCCAGTTTTCTAAACCAGTAGCAGACCTGGTTACTAAAATGCAATCCTAAGGTTGGAGCTGACACGAATAATGTCACATAGAGAGCGGTAGGCACCATGGCGACACTACCCGCCACGTGCTCTCTTCGGTGTGACAGAGCCCAAGGCTCCCAGCACCAGGCCTTCCATCTGGCCACCCTAAAGCCCTCCCGGGTCTTGCCCGCAAGGGCCGTGTCAGCCCTACCCGTTGCCTTGCCGGGCCAGGTGGTAGACGATGGTGGCCGACGTCACCGTCTTCCCCGTGCCTGGCGGGCCCTGGATCAGGCTCAGTGGTCTTTGCAGCACAGTCTTCACGGCATAAACCTTCAATACAAGCGGCCGTTAGGGGCAGCCTCCGCTTGCGTCCCGGCCCATGGGCGAGGCCCCGCGCGCTGAGGACGGCGCGCACCTGGGAGTGGTTGAGGTCGGGGAGGCCCTGCGCCGTGAAGCGCTTGGGCAGCTGGCACTTGATGATTACGTCCTCCACCTCGTGGCCCAACAGCTTGTGGTAGATGTAGCCAGACACCGAGGTCTCATCCACGGCAAACGTTTTCAATGCGCTCTGCATCCTGTGAGGAGGGTTTGGGGTTGGCGACACGCACAGCTGTGGCCGCCTCTCCGACATCCTGAGTTTGCAGAGCTGGGTGGGGAACCCCACTCCACAGTGACGGGGAGGGCTCATAAAGATGCCACAGGTGGCAACCAGGGAACAGGGGGCAGTGATGGGAGAAGACGTACCTGTCAAAGGAGGTCGACTTCCACACAAAATCCACCTGGAAGTTGTGAGTCACCTCCACAGGTGCACCCACGCTGCTCCGCAGCTCAATGGCGATCTCATCGCCATAATCTGTGTGCTGAGTTAAGTTTGCATCCTTGTCAAAAGCCGGGCTGACCTTTCTGGGCCACCCTTGGTACACGCTCTTTAAACAGCGTTTTTAAAATTTAGTTACTTAAGACACCGCTGGCTCTGCACCAAACGCTAAAAACGTGCAGCCAACACCAGACCAGAGACCAGAAGGACAGCATCCTTGAAGAAAGACTCTACCTCACCATGAGCCGGTGTCCCACCCCCAGCCAGCCTGGAGTTCCTCCTTGCCACTCCCAGCCACCCATCTAGGCCCCTTTCAGAGACGCAGAGGGCGGCAGCGAAGCCAGCAGCGCTCACCAGCAGGGAGCAGCCACATCCTGGGCCCCAGGACCTCACCGGGAGCTCCTGCACATGTGGCCAGCAGGGGCAGGCAGAGCTCGCAGAACCCAGCTTTGGCCACAGCAGCTCTTCTCACAGTTCCACAGAAACAACACCCCTCCCAGTACGGCCAAGCAAAAGGCTCCACATACACAAGCAAACTGCCCTCCAGGAGGCTGTGGCCGGTAGGCAACACCCTTCCCTCGACCCCGAGCCCCAAAACCGGTCTCACGTGTTCAGGATGAGCTTGTCAGGCCCAGGGTGGGTGTGGGAGACAACTCTCCCTACCCCTGTGGAGGCCACCGCTGAATGGTCAGGCCCCAGCAGCATTGGCCAGTCACCAAGAGGCAGCCTGAGTCTGACCCGCGGTGTCTTCTCCCAGGACTCCTCCCCACCCAAGCCTCTGACTGCACCTGTGCCTTACAGCTGCCCCACTCTGGCCGGCAGGCTGCATCACCATGAGGTCACTGCACATTCCCAAACATGGCCTGGGAGCAAGTGTGTGCTCAGAGGGTCTGCATGTGACCACTGGCTTCTGGAACCTCCGTGTGCAGAGTCAGCGTCCAGGTAAGGCGCTCCTGCAGCCACATTAACCTCCAGAGTCAGTCCAGGGACGTGCCACACAAGCGGCATACATTAACTTCCAGAGTCAGCCCAGGGACGCGCCACACAAGTGGCATCACCAACATCACCATTCGGGCAGAGGGGAAGCAACCATACAACCAGCTGTCCCCTGAAGGTGAAGGCCCTGTGATTCTCCTAAGAGCAGTGGAGGGCGATGCCAACCAGCACCCACCACAGAGCATGAGATGCTGGCCCAGCAGTGAGCATCAAATCCACAGTGGCCTCCACCTGATGCCCCCACTTTCCTCTCCCACCAGCCGGCCACACCCTCTTCACATGAAGGATACTATCAGGGACCTTGATGACGTGGCCGATCCCTTTCCACAGGGGCGCAAGGTCCCCTTTGTACCGCAGGCATATCTCATCCCCCTGCATGAGCCGCATGTCTTGAGGTAAAAAAGTGAGAGAGGTGGCCATTTTAACCCACGCCGTCGCTTCCACCAGGGAGAGTTCAAATTAAGGGGCACTTTACAAGGGTGGAACTAGGAATTTATGCTACTTATGGTCACAAATATTTTAAAACTTAAAATCACCTCTTAACCAAATTATGACTAAATCCTCATTACCAGAGTCAGTCTTGGGCAAAGTGAAGTAGGCGATTCTCTTCTTGTTAAGGCCCAGGTCCCACCTGACAGTGATGTTATCTTGAGTCTGAGCACATGAAAAACAAGAGCCCCGGTTAGCCTCCAGCACAGGCCCGGGCCTGGCCTCCACATGCCCGAGGCCCCATGAGGCGGGCCCTACAGCAAGCCTCTGCCGTGAGAGCAGGCGCCGTGAGTGGCACCTGCAGCCCCAAATGCCACCAAGGGCACATCTGAAAGAGAAGCCATTAGGAGTCCCCGGAACACACACAGGCCAATCCCGTCTGGAGGCTTCACCGCACACCAGAGGCCTCCGTGGCCAGGGAGCAGCTGCTGTGGGAGGGAGGAAGAGAGAGAGGAGGGGAGGGAGGGACAGAAAGAGGAGGGGAGGGAGGGACAGAAAGAGGAGGGGAGGGAGGGAGGGGAGGTCAGCGCTCCAGGGCTCCCGTTGCCTAAATGTGGTCTTCACAGGGATCACGCCCGAGTCTAACTCTCGCAACTGTGGGCAAAGCTGTGGACCCCACTGGGAAAGATGTGTTGGATTTAAACAGAAAACACTGAGGCTGATGTCAGATCTGAGGGCGGGGGCTCAGACCACCGGGCTGCCAGGCCCGGATCCGCAAGTTCCAACTCTCAGGTGTCGCGGCTGCAGCCCACATCAGCTCCCACAGCCTGGAGAGAAAACCTCCCTCTGGAAGCCTGAGGAGAGAGCTGTGAGAGCCAGAGCCCACCCCAGGCCAAGCCCTCTCGCACACATCACCTGGGACTCCTTCAGCTTCTTGTCGTAGTCGGCCTCCAGCTTGACCAGGGGCCCGAATATGTTCTGGTACTGGTAGGCGTCCTCGTACCGCAGGAGGACATGCTGCGGCTCCTCGTCCACCCCCGGCTTCTCCAGGTCCTCCAGCGTGGCAGAAGGGTTTTCCTAGAAGACAACAACACCGCGCCACACTCGTCCTGTTTTTCCCTACATGCAAATGAACGAGGGCGCAGAGGCACCAGAGGGATGGAGCACACATGCCGCTTCTCAGAATGGGCCACGGTGGGTGGCATGGAGGGGTTCTGGCGCAGCCCCACCTGCAAGGAGAACCCTGGGAACGGGAACTCCATGCCACACAGGGAGCTGCACACCGGCCTGGCCCATGCCTGGGCCTCAGCTGCTGCTCCGCACCCCAGCGGGGTTCCGGTACTTGGGTGAACCTGCCTACAAAGCCCCAGGCACCAGCCTGACACACTGTCCACAGCAGAGGGCACCTTCAGAGCCAGCTGCTTCCTCCAAGTATGCCCAGCTTGTGAACGAGAGCAGCTAACCCGCCTCGCAGGCTGCCACAAAGACCACCGGTTTCTCTCGCTGTGTCCACAGCCCGGGAGGCCTGTCTCCCACGTCTGCTAACCCTGAGCCAGACCAACATGGGCCCGCAGCTCTTCCCCTGGGGGCCAGCTCCCTCAGTGAGTGCCATGCTGGTGGGGACAGGACATTTTCTGGGCTGTTCAGATATAAACGGGAATCATGAAATCATCTGGCAACCGGAAAATCCAAGTGGAAAGGTACCCGGCTGAACAATGCTTAAAAAAATATTTTAACTTGCACTTCATTTCCTATGTGAGATTTCTGACTGAATGGGAGGCAAATGAAAACTTCTAGCCTAGTTATTAGAACTACTTTATCACAAAATCCTAAACAGCTGGAAGCACAGAAAGGCTTCCGTGGGGAAAAGTGAGGGCTGTCTGTGGAAGGAGGGCCAGGCACCCACTACTTGACCCGGCACCCTCTCCTCTCCCCTCTGTCTCAGCTGACTGTGCCGACCTCGACACCAACCTATTTCCCCAGGACATTCTCGCAGCCCACCTGTCTGGGCAGGTTCAGGCTCTGCAGGACAAGTCTGCCCACAGCCAGCCCCATTCTTCCCCTCCCACCACCCATCCTCACCCCGGCAAGACAAGAAAAATTCCAGCAGCCAGAGCTTTCCTTTCCCCAAGGCCAGGATCTTCTCGGTCAGGTAAGGCTGCCTGGATGGAAGGTGACCAAGGTGCCCTGAGGTCATTCCACGTAGAGGTGGCAGAGGTCTGCCTGAATTCCTTTCAGAGAATCTCCAGCGGTCTCACTGGGTCAAGCCGTCTCTGAAGACACTCCCCTCCCCGCAACCAGAAACCACACGAAGGCACGGGTCGGCCCGCTGGGCAGCCCCACCTTCCACAGCTCCTCCAGCTTGTTGATCTGCTGTGCCGTGATCTGGCGTGCCCGCAGCTGCTCCTGCTCGGAGGGGATCTTGACCAGCCAGGACAGGAAGCAGCGGTCCTGGATCAGCGGCTGCCACTGCGAGCTGTCCCAGTTGATGTCCTTGAGGCTGCTCTGGCTGGCACAGGGCTGCCTGCAGAGCGGGAGGGGGCCGTGAGGACCAGCTCCCGTCCCTGAAGCCCCGGAGCAGGGAGGGCCCCCTCCCATGCTGACCTTTCACCCAAAGGGGCATGCCCTGCATTTTATTATGTGATCACATTACCTTCAAACTGTTAGTAATAAATCGCATCTCCCTGTGCACTTGAGCTCTGAACTCTTAAAACTCAGAACAGACTTTGTTTTTACAGAATTGTTTTTATGACTTAGCCAGAACGCCCCAAAAGAGTTACACGGCACTGCCGACTCCTTAACAAGCCTCAGCGCCTAAACGCTCTCATGCCTCACCCTTCAGCAAAAACCATCTTTGGAGGACAACTCCCTGGAGTTAGAGCCACGGCTGGGCTGGGCTGGGCCAAGGCTTGTGAGGAGACGGCTGGAGCTTAAAGGTCACCCCCAGGAGACATCTGGGGACCACTCACCTGCACAGCAGCACCACCACTGAGTCAGCTTTGGCCGGGATGAAGCCGAGGAGGAAGACGTTGCGACAGCCGCAGTTGTAGCACTCCAGGACTGTCTCCCCCAGGGGCCCGTCCTTGTGCAGGGTCACCTCTTTGCATTTTGCCCTCACAAGGTGATTTACAATGTGGCTGAAACCAGGAAATGATAAACGGTTAACACCCAAAATTTGGCTTTTCACCACTTCCAATTTTCGGGCCCCTGTTAAAAGTTCCGGTACCGTTCACGGTCCATTAGCAGAGGCAGTCACACCTCATCCATCTGGCATCTCTGGGGGCCAGCCCTCCCCCAAACTAGCTCCCCACTGAGCACAAAAATCAATCCCAACTTGAACCACTTTAAGGAAAACTTCCTTAACACGGTTCACATAGTTCCTGCCTTTTTTAAAAATCCTGCTTTCTTAAATCCAACTTATCAGGCCTAATTTAACCCATTGTTGGCCCAGGGCTGCTGTGGGGTCAGAGACATTTCCCACAAGGCCCCAGCCCCTTCTTTCCAAGGTCAACCCCCGCCACCATCTTCTGTGGCTTCTTCTGAAATCACTCCTCAGAGGCCCTGTGCCTACTTCCAGGAGCAACAGTCCCTCCTGCTTTGCTGCAGGCCGGGAAATCTGATAAGCAGGCGACTGGAAACCCCCGCAAAAAGCAGCAAAAAGGTTGAGCAGAGGCGGGGGCGGTTCTACAGAAGCCCAGGGCTGTGTGTGAAGCCCTGGCTGGCTCGGCTCCTTCCTTGCTGCGACGTGGCCAGGACACTGCTCACCTAAACCGCGGTCTGGGCTGAACCCTGCCCTGTGCCAAGCCAGCCACCCTCCAGCACCTATCTGCCGTATCTAACAAGGATGCCCAGCTGCTCTGCCTTTGGGCTCTTCCGGTGTCTCCAGCAGCTCTGAACACGCCTGCAGGGCCTCCCAGCCTTCCTCACCGCGCCCTCTCTCTTCCCCTCTGGAAAACCATTCTTGCCAAAAGCTTCAGCTCAGCTAATCTTCTAACCCTTCTCCCTGCCACGAGGCCCAGGATTCTCTAACCAGCCATGGCCACTCTGAGCATCTCCAAAGCCCGACTCCACTCTGGAGCCCTGCCGGCCACGTGGGCAGAATCAGCTGTCTCCGTGTCTTCTCATGCATCCTCACCCTGTCACAGCCAAGATCCCTAAGGGCCAGCGGCTGCTTCCTCACCTTCCCCTGGGCCTCGCACAGAATGCTCAGTGGTGCTTGGCTCAAGCCTGTTGTTTCTCAGAGGCCCTTTTGCTCACTTCCCTGTTCTTGGCTATGCTGACCGGAAGCTGGGGTTGCCAGCTAAGAGAAGTTTTATTTAGTTGCTTTTCCTGAACAAGAGGAACTAAATGCAAACATAGCAACACTTAAATTACCCAGAAGATTCTGAAAATGGGACAAGAATGTCTTTTGGTTATCCAGAAGATACCCTTCTTTAAAATCTTTTAAAAACAGCAGCCCCTTTCTGGCCTTGCTCATAACACCATATTTCAAGTTACTAACTCAGAGATGCCACGAGATCTGACTGCTCCATCTGTAACCCTCCGAGACCCACAGCTGTCAAAGGCACAGGAGGGGCTTGTGTCAGCACAAGTAAGCCTGCCTCCGGGCTTTGGTCATTTTCTTTCTCCAGAACGTGAACCTCAGAAAAAGACCCCACACTTCCTTGCTAGCACCTCGGAGCTCTGCCTCCCAGGCTCTGCTCCATCCTCTCCAGCAGTGGAGTGACCTGTACACAGCAACCTGGAGGGGAAGGGGAGCCGCTAGCACGGGACCCACCAGGACGAGAGTCCCACCACTCGGGCAAGACCATCGAACTCCCCCCTTGGAATTTGGGCACTGGGAGAACACTGTCCTGTCCCAAACACAGAACAAGCGACACAGTCCAGCTGCAGCTGATCAACATCAGGAAGGCAAGCCCAGCGCCGACGGTCAAGTGAACTTAATTGAAGCCGATGATTCAGGATCTGGCCTGAATTAGCCTCCGGACAGCTCCGATGAGCTCAGGCCAGAGCAAGCTTGCTCAGGAACCAGCGCCCCTGGATGCCCGTTACTGCCTTGGGAACATCCTCCCGTTAATGAAGATCAGCGGGTGTGCCAAGAGCTCATCTTGCAGAAAAATCGAAATAAAAACTGGGAAGGAGAATTAAGCCAACCCTACTTGCATAATAAAAAGAGCCACAGAGAATAAATCAAGGGTAAATACATTAAGGCATTCACACACCACCATCTGTTTCAAGTTAAACCAGTCACAGAGGAGGAAAAAACCCAGGTTTGTTAGCGTGATTTTATATTACGCTTTGCTTCAACATTTCCATAATTTACACACAAATCTGAGCACAGCACTGATTAAACACACATGCATGGTCTGATTATCTACCTGCCAGAAGTATTTCCACGTCCGTTGCAGAACCACTTCTTGCTGGTATTACAGTAAACCACGCAGGCAGGATCGTGTATTCCACAGTAACTAAAAAATCAAAACAGCGACAGTTACAGCTGGAAGCTTGCTCTCTGGTTTTCATTTGGCAAGATGTGAAATTCTTTCCTCTGACAACATTTTTAAGTTCTTCATTAAACACATACTCAACCCCAACAATCCCAGTAACCAAATCAAACCAGTTAACCAGGGCTTCTCAAATCCAAGAATGCAGGGAAGGGGTATGTGGCAGAAGCTCCGAGGGGATAAGGAGCAAAGCCACCTCCAAGGAGAGTCCTGCTGGAAGGAGGCCTCACTCCTCCAGGGCCATTCTAGTCCCCGTTCTTTGGCCTGAAATTCAGGAATCCAGCCTCAGACCCAGTGGTCATGGTGAACTCTGGGCTCCAGCAGAGGGCACTGTGCTCCCAGGGAGCTGGGCACAGACCCTGCAGCAGCAGCGCCCTGAAGCTCAGGCCCCGAAGCCCAAGCGAGGAGCCTCGGGAGAGCCTCACCCCACCACTGGCTGTGGTTTTCTGAAAATCCACATACCAAACCCAAAAATACTAGCTCCCCAGAGCTGCACCAGGACTTATGGCCATCTCTGTGTGTTAAGAGAACACAATTACATACACGAAAACATCTGTAAATGAGAATGAGTGAAGAGCTGAGATGCAGGAAAGAGTGCCTGCCCACCAAGCCTAGCGAAGAGCAGCCTCAGTCCCGGAGCGCTGGGCAGCACGCGGGCAAGGAGCTGCAGGGAGGGCCCCAAGTGGGTGCCCACAGACAGAGGCAGGGCTCAGGCCCAAACCTGCCGTGACTGTCGCTCAGGCTGGAGTGCAGTGGTGCGATCTCGGCTCACTACAACCTCCGCCTCCCGGGTTCATGTCATTCTCCTGCCTCAGCCTCCCAAGTAGCTAGCTGGGACTACAGGCGCCCGCCACCATGCTTGGCTAATTTTTTGTATTTTTAGTGGAGACAGGGTTTCACCGTGTTAGCCAGGATGGTCTCGATCTCCTGACCTCGTGATCTGCCCACCTCGGCCTCCCAAAGTGCTGGGATTACAGGAGTGAGCCACCGTGCCTGGCCAAAACCTTCTCCCCTCTTCTAATCTACATTTCCTCACTTGTGTGTCACAAAAATACAGAAATAAGCCTCAACAAGGGACGATCCCACTCGAGATGAGAATTCTAAATTTGTCAACATGCAGGTCTATCCACTAACTACTGTCTTCACATCCAATTCTCCAGGCACGGCCAAGGCAGCGGGAGGCAGGGATGCCCCAGAACCCTGCAGCAACTGCTTTGTGAGGGTATCTCAGCTGCTCCACTCACCCTCCCACCCCAGATGCTCACCCAATGCCATGACAAATTCTTTCTATGAGTGAGTGCGCAGGTACCAGGCAATGCCCCCAGGGTCTGAGGAGGCCAAAGGAAGGAAAACTTTTCCCACCAGCTGGTGAATTCAGGGTGTCGGAGGTTGCTGAGCCCACCTCCTGACCGGTAACAGGCCTTGGCTGTGCACATGGCCTGAGCAATTTCCTTACTCCCGAGGACACCGCCACCCAGAGTCACAGCACAAGGGCGCCACCCTGTACCTGGGAGGTGAGTGTCCCAGGCCCATGCCAGAGGCACCCACCTGTCCAGCACATGCCCAGGCCCAGCTGAGCTCAGCTCACCTGCAGGCGTGTATGGGGAGGTCCTTCGTGTAATAGGTGTCTTCTTCATCTTCCTCGAAGTTCAACTCAGCCAACAACTGGCTGGTCTTGGCTACACTGTCGTCCACAGCCCCGTTCTGCAGGATGCCTTCGGGCCCAACCTGCAGCAGAACGCAGTGTCACCTGAGTGAGGCTGCAGCTTCCAGGACTCAGTGCAGAAGAACCAGCCTCGATGACTCTGGTGTGACACCCTGGCCTCATCTCTGCTTTGAGACAGTTTCCCTTGTTCTGACTGGATTTCACTCTTCTCTAGCAAACCTACCTGGCCAAAAAAGGGCCACTGGTGGCCTTCTACACCCCCCGGTCCCCCACACAGCTGGTCTAACCCCCGCCTAGCCACAGAGCCATGTCCATGCCCACAACCAGGATGCTTAGGAAGATGCTTCTTTCCCATGACTGAGGACCACAAGGAGCAGGGTGACTTTTACAGACTGACAGCAGTGTGCCCTGAGGACAGCTTCATGATGCCAGACCCACCACAGTGTAAGGCTCATCAAACACTACGAAGCTGCCACCCATGCAGATGTGGAAATGTCACTGGCCACATCCACTGCCACCTCACCCTCCCCATCCCTTCAAGGCAGCCCTCTCCTGAGGATGAAGTAGAAACTGAACACTGAGATACCCTTGGCAACCGAGGCCACACCCTCACTGAAGGCGCCTCTTCTATGTTCAGCAAAGGCAGACAGCGCATGGCTCTAAGTCATCAGGCCACAACTGCACAGGACACTTGCAAGGAGACCACACAGCCACTGGGGCTCCTCATGCCACTCCCAAGTACCAGCACCTCAAATGACATGGCCAACAGTCCCTGGCATGGCCCCCATAGGCCACCTAACCCCACCACGGGGTCAGGCAGCGGGAGCACTGTGTCATGGCAGAACACAAGGTGGCACAAAATTAAGGGCCAGGGAGGAGTGATGGGAGCTCCCCTAGGGACGGCACCAAATCTCCCACTGCCAGTCCCAGCACCCCAGACAGCCCCTCGGCCTAATGCCCTTGCTGTGTGATGCAGCACCTGTGCGAGCCTAGGGACAGGTGCTCATGGGGAGCAGCACCCCACAGAGGCCCCTCCAGCCCGCCTGGCTGGGGTGCATGGGCACGTGCTACCTGCACGCACAGATGCACACTGGGCCCAATGCTGCCCTGCAGTGATCTGGTCACAACACAAGCTGACTTCTGGGTTAACTTCTCCCTTCACTCTCTGAAAAGTTTCAAGATAAAACATTAATTTCAAAAATATATTTGACCCTAGGAACTATCATGAAATGAGGTAAAACAGCAGTAGGGGACAGTGCCTGGCACAGAGAAGTTCCACAGCCCACGCCAGGGGACATGATGGGTGAAGGACAAGAGGGTCATCATCTTCAGCTGGCACAGAGCTGCCACTCCAATAAAGTCCTTTGAGGCTGTCAACTTATCCCCTCACCAGGGAGGCTCTGGAGGGGCAAGGCCTCCCTGTACCCATCCCAGGCATTCACCAAGAAGCAGCTCCTCGGCAGGGCGGATCACCTGAGGTCAGGAGTTCGAGACCAGCCTGGCCAACATGGTGAAACCTCGTTTTTACTAAAAAGGCAAAAAAAAAAAAAATTAGCTGGACGTGGTGGCACGTGCCTGTAATCTCAGCTACTTGGGAGGCTGAGACAGGAGAATTGCTTGAACCCAGGAGGCGCAGGTTGCAGTGAGCTGAGACCGTGCCACTGCACGCTCCACCTTGGGCAACAAGAGCAAAACTCCATCTCAAAAAAAAAAAGAAAAAAGAAAAACCCAAACCCCCCCCCGGCCCCCAAAAAAAGCAGCTCCTCCCATCACCTCTGCTCTGGACACAGTATTTAAAGACGTATCCTAGAATTCCCACTTCCTAGTCATACACGAGGCCCCAGAGCTGGAGTCTCTAACTCCTTTAGTTCTGGATGTGAACCTAGCTACGACTAAAACCACATCCTGGAAGTCCATCTAAGAGCTGTACAGGGGCTTTCTGCCCAGAGACATGCTCCAGAACTCAGACCGTGCATCAGGGCAGCACAACAGTAGGTCACTTCAAGGCTAGGAATGGTGGCTCACACCTGTCATCCCAACACTTTGGGAGGATCGCTTGAGCCCGGGAGTTCTCAAGACCAGCCTGGGCAACACAGCCAAGATCCTGTCTCCACAAAAAAATACACAAACGAGCCAGGTGTGGTGGCGCACACTTGTAGTCCCAGCTAATCAGGAGGTTGAGGCCGGAGGATTGCTTGACCCCAGCAGGTCAAGGCCGCTGTGAGCTATGATGGTACCACTGAACTTTAGCCTGAGCAACAGACCAAGACCCTGTCTCTCTTAACAACAACACACACACACACACACACACACACACACACACAAGCCTGGCCAACATGGCAAAACCCCATCTCTACTAAAAATACAAAAGATTAGCTGGGCATGGTGATGCGCACCTGTAATCCCCGTGCAGGAGAATCGCTTGAACCCAGGAGGCGGAGGTTGCAGTGAGCCGAGATCACACCACTGCACTCCAGCCTGAGTCACAGAGCAAGACTCTGTCTCAAAAAAAAAAAAAAAAAACAAAGAAAGTCACTTCATTCCCACAGACGAAAACCACAGAAATTCAAAAACTCAAAAATCCCCCCAAATGTGCCATCATAAACTCTCAGGCCGCAGACATCTACTCCAACATTTGCACCACTGTCTGCATTTGCCAGCACCCAGGCCTTGCACCTGCTGTTCCCTCAGCCTCAGGGTGAGGTCCACAGGGTGCCTCTCAGGCAGGCATCCTCTGACCCCACCTCAAGGCCCCCGTGGGGCATTGTCTGTCCTGCTCCCTGCCATGAGCCCAGCACCTAGATGGAGCCTGCACCCCAGGAGGCCCTCAACATTGTTGGCTAAAGGCCAAGCTCAAAAGGCAAAGCAGCTCATTCCTGATTCTCTAATTCCAAGGCTTAAATAAAAGAGAGGGCAGGAGGCCAGGCGTGATGGCTCATACCTGTAATCCCAGCACTCTGGGAGGCCAAGGCAGGAGGATCTTGAGCCCAGGGTTTGAGAATAGCCTGGGCAAGATAGTGAGGCCCCATCTCTATTTAAATTTTTTTTTTTTTTGAGACGGAGTTTCACTCTCGTTGCCTACGCTGGAGTGCAATGGCGCGATCTCGGCTCACCGCAACCTCTGCCTCCCGGGTTCAAGCGATTCTCCTGCCTCAGCCTCCCAAGTAGCTGGGATTACAGGCATGCGCCACCACGCCTATTTTTAGTAGAGACAGGGTTTCTCCATGTTGGTCTGGCTGGTCTCGAACTCCCAACCTCAGGTGATCCACCCACCTTGGCCTCCCAAAATGCTGGGATTACAGGTGTGAGCCACTGCACCCAGCACCCCCCCAAATTTTTTTTAATTAAAAAAATTGTAAAGGAAAAAAAGGGGAGGGAATAGGAAGTTCACCACACCCTCAGAGTGATGACTGCCAAGAAGCTGCAGGGTCTCTGAGCCCTCTCAAGGCAGAGGGTTGCCAGGAGGTCTGGCCCCCAAACTGGAAGGATTCTGCCCTGATATTTCCTCTTATTTTGAAAAATTCCAAAGCTACAGAAATCCGACCCCCACACCCCTCCAGCTGGACACTCTCCATCACATCCCCCTGCACTCCGACTCCCCTTGCTCTCACACACTTATCTCTTCCTGACCCATTTCAGAGTGGCCGGCCCCAGGGGAGGGCTTTCTCCACATCCCCACAAAACAGCTGGCTCATGAGCGCACCCAGCCTGCCACACTGTTGGTTAATACACATTCACCCATCACCCCAATGTCTTCATAACGTCTTTTACAGGTTTTTAAGAATCCAAGTCCCAGTTAATGACTGCACGTGATTTGTGATGTCTCTTTAGCCACCTTTAATCTATTAGTTTGAACCACGTGAAACTGCTAGGAGTTGACCATCTTTCACATAGTCCCACCACCCGACACAGCGGTCCCCAGGCTCTCCATTCCTTTATTTTTTTGAGACAGGGTCTTGCTCTGCCACCCAGGCTGGAGTGCAGTGGTAGAATCATAGCTCACTGCATCCTCAAACTCCTGAACTTAAAAGAGATCCTCTTGCCTCAGCGTCCCAAGTAGCTGAGACTACAGGTGTGCACAATGCCTAGAAAGTTTTTTAATTTTTCAATATGTTGCCTAGGCTCACATTCGTTCTTCCCAAAGAGAAAGGGCCTCTCGCCTCCCCTCTCACCAATGGCACCTGTGTGGACCGGCAGACCCTTGTTCCAGCCAGGTGTGCTAGAGTCCGCGTGAGGTTCATTTCAACGGGCCGAGTGTGCAAGGCATCCCCAGCTCACCTCAGGCCGCCCCTGCCTTCCCAGCCCGGGGATCAGCCACTCTCCCTGGAGCCCACAGCCTGAGATGAAATCCACTCCACACCTTCAGCAAGAAGCTGAAGTGTGACAATGAGGGGTTCAGTCCAGAAGGTGCACACCTCACAGGACAACAACCCAGGCCAGACTGCAGCTTGGCGAGATGAAAAGCAGCGGGAGAGGCCGCTCGGAACGCAGGGCCCAGAGACAGCCATCATCTCAACAGCGGACCTCCAGGATCCCAGTAAAGAATCTGCTGTGGAGAGAGGCCAACTGTCCCTACATATCGGACAATCGTGAAAAGCCATTGTTGACGCTGCTTGTGTGATAACGGCGCTGCAGCTATTCAGGACAGGCGCCCTTTTCTGCTTCTAGAAATGCATACTACATACTGCAGGTCAAAATGGCTGAGTATCGCCAATTCACAGGGCTCCACCTCAGACACAAAGGTGAAAGGACACAAAAGACTTGCTTTAAAAACACACACCAGTGAAGAAAAAAAAAGAAAACAGGGAGAAGAAAACCTTCACAACTGTCTCATCAGGGAGACGGAGGCACAGGGCTCACCAGCTCTTGTATGTTAGAGAATTCATCGTAGACGTTTCTACACGGAGGATGCAGCAGGGCTGCAAGCTATGCGCATGGATCCCCGTACTGAAAAAGAGGTGAGGACGGTGCAGGCAGCGCAGCTCTGACCAAACACCTCTGCCTGGGATCTGCAACCCCCTCTCCCAGGGCCGCCAGGAGCCTGCACTCGCTCTGCAAGGAGCTGATGCTTCAGGAAGATGCCATGCTCACTGTCACAAGGGCTCTCTAGAGCCCAACGAGCCACCTTTACACATCTAGACACCATCCTGGCAAAGGCCCACGGGACCTGAGAAGCCCGGCTGGGTTACCCGGCTCTTAAGCTGCTATTCGACCAACACAGAAAAAGGCACAAGGACCTGCTGCCAGCCACCAGACTCCAGGACCCAGCAGCCCTCCATGTATCAGAGAAAGCAGAACTTTGCTCTCATAGGTATGTGCTCCAGCAAGGAGAGCTCAAGGCCATGAACCCTCCGGAGCCCCGAACAGCACTGGTGCCAGGGCCCGGACCCACTCCTCCCACCAGCCCCTCCAGCCAGGCCCCTCGGCCCTGAATGCCACAGAGCACAGCTGGGTGTCACGGCCCTTCTCTGCCAAGCTAGACTATCCCGACCACCATGAAAGCACTCTCACCACCATGACAAGCACAAACTGCCCCTCAGTTGTGAGCTGCTGCCCAGCATGTGCCCTTTAGCTTCCTTGCAGCCGCTCTGGGGAGGCCTCTCCCTCTCACAAGGCCCTCAGGACGGTGCCTCCCCAGCGGAGAGAGCCCCGGCTCAGCCTGGGGAATTATGGACCCTGATGAGACCACAGGCAGGAGCTGGAGCTGCTTTTTAAGTCTGTGGCTCCCTGTGAGGACTGGGAGGGGGCAGCCGGTACCCTGGCAGTTCCCACAGGCACACACACTTACACACTTACTCATGCATACACACATGTACACACACAGCCCTGATCCCGGTGTCCTCCGTCTCCACTGCCCTGTGGCCCCTCCATCCATTCGGGGTCCAACCTGGGCCACAATGCCCAACCTCCAACACCACAGCCCCTCCCCTAACCCCCGCCACTGCCATCTCAGAGCCCTCCTCCCAGCCTTGGTCAAGGCACCCCAGCAGCTCCTAAAGGCTCCAGGACACAGCCCAGCCCCTGCCCTGGCCCCACTGGCCCCACATCCACCCTCCCTCCTTCTAGGCAAAGTGCTGTGCCCACCCCTCTGCCTGGCAGGTACAGCTTCTGAACAACTCCAGAGGCGCCATTCCCACAGGCTTTCCCTTAGCAGGGGAGCCCACTCCTACTCCTGGGGCCCTCACAGCACCCTGGCCAGGCGGCATGTGCTGTCTTCTAACAGTGCAACCGCGGGGGTCAAAGGCTTCACTCTCCCTCTGCTGGCCTCACTGCCCTCAGTCCCACAAGCACAGCAAGGCCAGGAAGTAAGAAAACAGCAGGGGATGGCTGAAGTCCAGGGCCAGGCTGAAGAGGTTGCCCAGCAGCTCGCAGAGGGTGCAAAAGTTAACAGACACGGGGCTTAAAGGCGGGGGAGCATGGGGCCAGGGCTTGGCCATGTTTCTGACCTCCCCAGGGCAGGGCTCAGTCTGAGGCGGTGGACACACCTCCCTAACGGGTGACCTTGGGCATGAGCACAGGGTCTGACAAGGGGTGGTGGGGAGGGAGCGGAAAGGAGCGAAAGAGAAATCAGAGACAGCAAGGCACTGCTGTGGTGGCTGCCCAATTCCGTAAATTTACTAAAACAGCACTAAGTTCTATACTTAAAGGGGCCAGGTGTGGTGGCTCATGCCTGTAATCTCAGCACCTTGGAAGGCCAAGGTGGGCAGATCACCTGAGGTCAGGAGCTCCAGACCAGCCTGGCCAACATGGTGAAACCCCGTCTCTACTAAAAATACAAAAAAATTAGTTGGGCATGGTGGTGCGCACCTGTAATCCCAGCTACTCGGGAGGCTGAGGCAGGAAAATCACTTAAACCCGGGAGGCAGAGGTTGTAGTGAGCCAAGATCGCGCCACTGCACTCCAGCCTGGGCGACAGTGCGAGACTCCGTCTAAAAAGAAAAGAAGGGGGTTCCCTGGTAGGTCATCAGACTTCAATCAAGCAATGAGAGAAATGTGGTGGTAGCTGATGGTGGTAAGCTTTTGTGGTGGTGGTAGCTAGGCTGAGAGGGAACTCTTTTTTTAGTTAGTCCTGGTATAGTATTAGTCATAATCCCCCACCCCGTCATCCTGAATCCGGGTAATTAATTGTGATAAAAATAGAAATTGTTTCGTGTATTCACCACTAACTGTAAAGTGTCAGCTCAGGTCACTTTCACATAATCACTGGGAAACTCCTAACAATTTGAAAACACACTCAGTAAGTCTACTAAGGGGTAAGTGCTGACCAAACACTTGCCAACACTCCTCCAGGTAAACGGCATCTTATCTCCAATGTTCTGGCACCCTAAAACCACACCTGGGCTACCAGAGGATTCAAAAAGCCAAAATGAAGTCATGAGCATTTTTTTTTTTTAAGATGGAGTTTTGCTCTTGTTGCCCAGGCTGGAGTGCAATGGCACAATCTCAGCTCACCGCAACCTCCACCTCCCGGGTTCAAGCGATTCTCCTGCCTCAGCCTCCCAAGTAACTGGGATTACAGGCATGTGCCACTATACCCAGCTAATTTTGTATTTTTAGTAGAGACAGGATTTCTCCATGTTGGTCAAGCTGGTCTGGAACTCCTGACCTCCGGTGATTCACCTGCCTCTGCCTCTCAAAGTGCTGAGATTACAGGCGTGAGCCACCAAGCCCGGCCTGGATTTTCTTCTTTTTATTAAGACAAGGTCTCACTCTGTCACCCAGGCTGGAGTGCAGTGGTGCGATCATGGACATTTTGCCCAGGCTGGTCTCAAACTCCTGAGCTCAAATGATCTGCCTGCCTCAGCCTCCCAAAGTACTGGGATTACAGGCATGGGCCATCGTGCCCAGCTACATGTGCAGATTTTAAACTCACCACTTTTCGGAACCCAAGACTGTATGGAACTCACCCCGCCTTGGTCATAATCTCAGGGCTCAGCAGAAGATGGTGTGTTCACCTGGACAGTCAAGGATAGGTCAGGACAATGGCTTTGAAGACAAAGTAGCAACTTTCTATCCTGAGTATTTTACCACTTCAAAAGGAAAAGTGAGCCCAGGTTTACACACTCAGAGAAGTGGAGGCAATACAGAGAAGTCTGGCAGGAGGAGAGTGAGGGCTGGACGACAGGTCGGCTAGGAGCTTTAGCTAGTTGTCCCTTACGATCCAGAAAGACAGCATGTTTTTCCTAGGGAAACAACTCATGCACTCAGAGTAAAATCCCAGTACGAGATGACTATTCAGCTGTGACTCCCACAGGCTACCAGGAGTGGAGACGGAACAGGCAGTGCAGACCTGACCTGAGGATGAAGGAACAAAGTGGGACCAGTACCAAGCAGCATCTATCTACAAGGTCACCCAGAGCACCTGCACAAAAACATGCGTGTTGCTGCCTAAAAGGTCTGTACCTACCCACAGACCTCATACTTTCAGGTGAGCTAAGAAAAGCAACTCAAACCAATAGGCACACATTTTTCCCACTGGATGTACACACTGCTTTGTTTACCCATTCATCTGCTGATGGCCACTGGGGCTGCTTCCGGTTTGGGGTTCTCATGAAGAGATGCTGTCAGCATTTGGCGCAGCCCTGCGTACACACACCTTCATCTCTGCTAGGTCACAGGTAGGTGTATGGCATGAGAGTTCCAGGCAGCACTTTTGCCAGGCTCAATGGCTCACTCTGTAATTCCAACACTTGGGAGGCCTGAGGTGAGAGGATCTCTTGAGCCCAGGAGTTCAAGACCAGCCTGGGTAACATGGCAAAACCCCATCTCTACAAAAAAAGAAAAATCAGCCAGACGTGGTGGCACACACCTGTAGTCCCAGCTACTTGGGAGGCTGAGGTGGAAGGATCGCTTGAGCCCAGGAGGTCGAGGCTGCAGTGACCCATGATAACGCCACTGCACTACAGCCTGGGTGACAGAATGAGACTTTGCCTTAAAACAAAAACAAAAAACCCAAGTAGCACTTTCAGCCTTTTAAAAAAAGTATGGCAGGCTGGGCGCAGTGGCTCACGGCTGTAATCCCAGCACTTTAGGAGGTAGAGGAGGGCGGAACACGAGGTCAGGAGATCAAGACCATCCTGACTAACATGGTGAAACCCTGCCTCTATAAAAATACAAAAAATTAGCCGGGCATGGTAGCACACACCTGTAGTCCCAGCTACTCGAGAGGCTAGGGCAGGAGAATCGCTTGAACCCAGGAGGTGGAGGTTGCAGTGAGCCAAGATTGTGCCACTGCACTCCAGCCTAGGCAACAGAGCGAGACTCCGTCTCCAAAAAAAAAAAAAAAAAAAAATGGGTGGATAGTGGTATCTCCCTGACTTTTCTTTCCAGTTTCATTGAGGCATAACTGACATACCATAAGCTGCAAATGTTTAGTGTGCCATTTTAGAAACTGACATACATCAATGTACTTAAACACCCATAAAACTATCACTACAATCACGATAATAAAAACGTCCATTACCCCCAAGTTTCCTGTGCCCTTTGTCACCTGCCTCCCCTTTCCCACCTTTCTGTCCAGCCACCACTGGTCTGCTTTCTATTGCTGCAGGCTAGCTGGCAATTTCTAGAATTTTTTTATGAATTAAATCATATGATGAATGACACATACAAAAAAGTAATTATTATGAGACACATCCATGTTGTTGCAGGTATCAATAGTTTGTTCCTTCTTAATACTGAGCAGTATTTCCAACTCTTAAGAGTTTCACTCTAGTTCCCGTTTGGAGGATCCAGGGCAGAAGCTACAGTCAAGAGGAAATATTCCAACCAGGCAGACCAAAAGGCTTGTAACACCAGCTATTATGCAAAGGACTTCTGAAATTACCTTCACTGTCCTGGGAGCAGGAGAAGTGGCAGCAGAGAAGGGCCCAGGAAAAGGTCAGATGCTCGAAAACTGTCCCTGTATCTTAAGGACACTTGGCAATACTGTGTCAGCGCTTTTCATCCCAGGATCTCAAGGGCTTTGATAAATATCAGTTTCATTTCATAAACAAGAAAAGGAGTGTTATCTGAACCAGCTCTGAGTGCAGGGAGTCACCCCTGCTGCCACTTTCCCATCCCGGTGGGGACACACTGTCTTTCAACACACATTAAGGGAAAACCAACTGCGCAAAACCAGTTCAGGTAGGGTTGGTATGGAAAGTGGCTACACACTGGAAAACAGTCTTGCAGTTACTGAAACCATTAAACCCAAGGTTACTACGCGGCCCAGCAGGTCTATAAACACATCCACGCAGAAACCTGTACACTCATGGCCACAGCAGTGCTATTCACAAAAGCCAAGAGGTGGAAACAACCCAAATGTCCATCAACAGATGACGAGATAAACAAAACATGGTCCATCCATCTGGACCATTCCACCCATGGAATATTACTCAGCCTTAAAAAGGAATGAAATGCTGGCCAGGTGCGGTGGCTCATGCTTGTAATCCCAGCACTTTGGGAGGCCGAGGCAAGTGGACCACATGGTCAGGAAATCAAGACCATCTGGCCAACATGGTGAAACCCCGTCTCTACTAAAAATACAAAAATTAGCCGGGGCATGGTGGTGTGCACCTGTAATCCCAGCTACTGGGGAGGCTGAGGCAGGAGAATCGCTTGAACCTGGGAGGCACAGGTTGCAGTGAGCCAAGATCACGCCACTGCACCCCAGCCTGGGCAACAGAGCGAGACTCTGTCTCAAAAAAAAAAAAGGAATGAAATGATGACACATACCACAGCGTGGATGAACCTCGATCAGGTTCATTTTCCTGAATGCTCGGCCAGGGAACAGCTACGAAGCTCACCTTGTAGCTACTTCTCACACATCACGCAGAGTGAAAGGAGCCAGACACAAAACACCATATATGATATGATTCCGTTGATGTGAAATGCCCAGAACAGGCACATCTTGAGACAGAAAGCAGGTGAGTGGTTGCCAGGGGCTGTGGAGGTAGGACGGATGGGCTAAGGGGT
The DNA here is from genome assembly GCF_000001405.40 of Homo sapiens. NCBI lineage: Eukaryota > Metazoa > Chordata > Mammalia > Primates > Hominidae > Homo > Homo sapiens. The sequence goes on along the minus strand of NC_000019.10, from coordinate 18,835,085 downwards.
GCAGGGTTTATCTCTGGGGTGACAAAAATGTTCTAAAGTTTACTGTGGTAATGGCTGCACAACTCTGAATATACTAAATAAAAGCCGCCGAACTGTACACTTTATATGGGTAAATTGTATGTTGTGGCAAGTGAATTCTATTTCAATAAAGCCGCTAAGCAAAAGTGACTGCAGGGCACTTGACAGCTGATAGCCACTTCCCCAGTAAAATAAAAATTAAAAAAGCAGAATGAGAGTTTCCAGGAGCCCCCAACTTAACAGCTGGTTACACGGCCAACTCCTGAGGACAAACAGGGAAAGTCTTCCCAAATATCTTAGCAGACACTGCCTTCAATTCACACAAGAGATAACTTTCTTCCGCTTTCCCTTGAATGATATTCATAGACTTCCTTGCCCCCAAATTCCGTTCTTCCCCTTGTGATGCAAAGGGGTACCACTCCCATTCCCCACAAACAAATCCAAATTACAGGTAACAGGTGGGTGGGGCATCTGGGTCAATTACAAGTAGCACAGGACAAACCCTCTGATGTCGTCAGAATTCTAGTGAGCTCAACTGCAATGTTTACCTCCAGGGGAGCGTTTTAATGCTCTCCTTTTGTACAGCCCAGTGTGTTCAGGTGCAGGAAAAAAAATCAATTGTTTCAACTGAAAGAGAAGGACATGCCCCACAATTAATCCCAAACGGAATGCCAGAAACAAAAGCAGAACTAAAGGCTGCCCCAGGTTTGCTGTTTTATGCTCGCTACAGTTAAAAGGATTCACAAGAAAATGATTACCTTTCACACCCAGCCAACCCCCCGATCCGCGCTGTCACGCTCATGGCTCACTGCTCCACAGAGATCTTTACCGAGTCTCCCCGACAGGCTGGACGTCAGATTACAGACAGCGTATACAGTCGACTCACACATGGATCTAGGTTTCCTTTATGTTTAAAAGGAATAAAAATCTAACTGCCACCCCCATTTCACAGCTGCGGAAGCAGAAAGGTCTACAGGGCATGAAAACTACAAGGAGGTGGGGCCTCCGCAGCTCAGACTCCCTTCTTCAGGAGAACTCTCCTCTCTCCCTCCCTCCCTTCGCAAAATGTAAACAAAACTGAAAAAAACACCCATACGTGCACACCTGTTCTCCTCACACCCCACCTTCTATTTTAAGGAATATGGGGTTAGAATGAGTCAAATGTTTTTTGCTTCCATTAGGGGCTAAAAGAAAGCCCAAGTGGGTGGTCTACCCACGAGAGTGACTCAATCGACTACCACGTAAGCCCCCCATGCAAGGACAGGGTCTGAGCTCACTCTGGATGAGCAAGGAGTGGTTCCCCCAGTTCTGAAACACCAGCATATGCCAAGGGACACCTGTGCCAAGGTAAGCCTCGGAGCTTCTTCCTGTCGGAGCATTCAGGAAAACAAACCTGAGCGAGAGGTCAGGCACAAAGCAAGCCTAAGGTGAAAGCAACCTGAAATCCAGAGGGTGATGAGGACATTCCCCAGGACCCCGGTGCAACACGCGCCACCCCCCCAGCCCCTCTCCCACCCCAGGCAAGCAGCGCCCAGGACCAGGAAATGCATGCCCGATACTTCTCCCAACCCAAGCCCCCATTTAAAATACCTAAGTAACCTTCTCTAAACATCCACATCATTAAAAATAAGTTTCCAACGTGGCAGACTCGTTTATGTAAAGCCATTATTGCTGTCTTATTGGAAGAACAAAACTCAAACCCAACTTTTCCAAGGCAAGAGTTGTGAAGTTATGTAACAGGTCGGTTTCAGCAACAGGCGATGCAAGAAAAAACAAAATACAACCTGCTTCCTGAATGATCTTAATAGCCAGCCAATATGTGCTCCTCCATGGGAGGCAAAAATTCTTCTCTGCCTCAACCTTCCGCTGGCCAGCGCCCCTATGCATGGGGAAAGTCGAACCTACGCTCCGTGACTGTGAAAGGTGGGGTGCCCAGATGGCTGCGACCACAGATGGGAGGTGGGACAGGCGGCCAGACCCACCAATGGGGAGACCGGGCAGGACCCCCGGACCAGGCCAGAGACAGGATTAGGGCAGGTCACCCTGGATACTCCCGGAAAGGGACTGAGGGAAGTCACTCAAGCTCCGGCCTGAGCAAGACCCGGCCCAGGTCGTAGGAGAACTCGAGGCAGAATACCGAGACCTGCGAAAGAGGGACCAGGGCAGGTCACCCTAGCCCGGATGGAATGGAAGAACTCAGATAAGTCAGGGGGCAGGTTACTCCAGGCCAGACTGATTGTGGGACACAAGGCAGGTCAGCCCGGGCCCAGGAGGGGGAGCAAACCCAGCTGGCGTAAAGGAACAGGGTCAGGTTAGCTCGGTCCCGAACGAAGTGGAGGACTCGAGGCAAGTCTGCCCGGCCCAGGAGTTGGGGGCCGAAGGAACTCAGCCAGGTCGCGGCCGGAGCGGGGGACCCGGGGCAGATCAGGCCAGGCCCGGGCAGATTGCAGGACCTGGGGCAGGTAAGCTCAGGCCGAGCCAGAGTAGGGGACCCGGGGCAGATCGCCCCAGGCCCGGCCGCGATGGGGGACTCCGGCCAAACACAGGCCGGGCCCGAGGCGAGTTCGGGGCAGGTCTCAGGCGCCGAGGCCGGGCCCGGGCTTCCGGCACCGCCATGTGCCGCTCACCTGCGCGTCGAGCTGTCCCGCCGCAGCGCCCGCGCCCGCGCCGCCCGGGCCTCCCGCGCCGCCACCGCCCGGGCCGCCGGGGCCGCCGGGGGGCGTCTGCGTCTGGCTAGGAAGAGTAAAGTCGGTGAACTCGAACTCGGAGCCCTGTGTGTCGGCGCCAAGCAGCTCGGCCTCCTCCGTGTCCAGGAAAGTGAGAGTCTGCGAGCTGGGCCCGTACGCCTCCACGCTCATGGTGCCTCCGGGTAGGGCCCTCGGGCCGGTTCCGCGCTGCACTCGAGCCCGCCGCCGCGCTGAGGCCTAGGCCGCAGGCCTCGGGTCGCTGCCGCTGTCGCCCCCGCGCGCCCGGAAAGGACCAAACCGCGCGCCCCGGCGCCAGCCGGACCGAGAGGTAACAGTGCCGAGCCGCCGCCGCTGCCGCCGAGCCCCTCCGCGCCTCAGCTCCCCTCGAAGCCGCCAGCCGCTCGCAGCCTAGAGCAGGAACTGCCGCCACCGCCGCCGTCGCCGTGCGCGTGCGCGAGCCCGACGCCGGCGGAAGCGCGCGCGCTCTTCGCGGGCGCCTGGTGCCCAGCAGGAAGACGGGACGCGCACCGCGCACGCGCAGGGGGTGGGGCTTTCAACCGCCGCTGCGGCGGCAGCTCGAGGACTTGGTCCCGCCCCAACTGCTAATTGGGGACGCCCGGGCGGCTGGCGGTGTGGACTTGGTGGTCTGCACCTGTGGTCGCTGCGACGGTGTTTCGGTTTAATTGAGCGCTAGCCGAATACCCTACATAGGTGGTCTCGGAACGCCCAACTGGAGAGACTGGGCAGGGACGGTGCGCTCCCACTCCTGGCAAAAGCTGCTTGGAACTCAGTTTCCCCATCTGTAAAATGGAGGGTGCCTCGCACATAGTAGATGCTCCCTGTGCATTGGTTTAAAAAGGGAGTGGGGCTCGGCGCGGTGGTCACACCTGTAATCCCAACACTCAGAGGCTGAGGCGGGAGAACTGCTTGAACTCAGGAGTTCGAGACCAGCCTGGGAGACAGAGTGAGACTCCATCTCTACAAAAAATATAAAAATTAGGCCGAGCGCGGTGGCTCACGCCTGTAATCCCAGCACTTTGGGAGGCCGAGGCGGGTGGATCATGACGTCAGGAGATCGAGACCATCCTGGCTAACATGGTGAAACCCCGTCTCCACTAAAAATACAAAAAATTAGCCAGGCGTGGTGGCACGAGCCTGTAGTCCCAGCTACTCAGGAGGCTGAGGCAGGAGAATCGCTTGAACCCAGGAGGCGGAGGTTGCAGTGAGCCAAGATTGTGCCACTGCACACCAGCCTGGGCAACAGAGTGAGACTCTGTCTCAAAAAAAAAAAAAAAAATTAGCTAAGCGTGGTGGTTCGCACCTGTAGTCCCAGCTACTAGGGAGGCTGAGGTGGGAGGATCGCTTGACCCTGGGAAGTTGAGGCTGCAGTAAGCCGAGATTGCACCACTGCACTCCAGCCTGGGTGACAGAGCGAGACCCTGTCTCAAAAATAAGTAAAAATAAATGAATGGGGATAGTCTTACGTACTGGGCCTGGCACTTGGAAATGATGGTTGCTGCTGTTCCTGATGCCTCTGCCACTGTTATTATACCATTACTATTTTTGCTATGATTATTATTTAGTGGACGTATACAGCAAAACAACTGGAAGCACATGGTCTGTGGTGGACTCTAGACCTGACCACTTACCAGCTGTGTGAAATTATACAAGTGACTTAACCTCTCTGAGCCTAGGGTTTCTGTTGCCATTAAGGTGGCATAGGAAGCCTGGGCAAGGTGGCTCTTTCCTGAAATCCCAGCACTTTAGGAGGTAGAGGCAAGAGAATCACTTGAGCTCAGGAGTTTGAGGCTGCGGTGAGCTATGATTGTGCCACTGCACTCCAGCCTGGGTGACAGAGATCCTATGTGTGTGTGTGTATATTAATATATATTTATTTATGTTAATATAAATAGAGTGACTAGTAGCTCATTTATTCCTCTCATACTCTCATGTGATATATGGTTGCTGCTGATATATATGGAGCCCGGTGCGGTGTGTCACGCCTGTAATCCCAGCACTTTCGGAGGCCAAAAGAGCAAGACCTTGTATAAAAATAAATTTTAAAAACTCTGATAGGTGTTACTAAATTGATCTGAAATTTGTCTACAAATTCCACTGGATGTGTTCCAAAGAGAGCTTTGCATGATATTAAAATTATCTGTTGGTCTGTCAGTATTCCCCCTTAAACTGTGCCTTCTTGGAGAGGGAGACCTACTTTTATTCATTGTTTATATTCCTACAGTTTAGTGCATGCTAGGAGCCCCCCCCGAAATGTTATTTTTATTTTTTATTTTTTGTAGAGATGGGGGTTTTGCTGTTTCCTAGGCTGGTCTTGTACTCCTGACCTCAAGTAATCGTCCCACCTCAATCTTCCAAAGAGCTGTGATTATAGGTATGAGCCACTATGTCTTGTCCCTGAAAAAGAGTGAAGAAGGCTGTGGCTCACACCTGTAATCCCAGCACTTTGGGAGGCAGAGGCAGGTGGATCACCCAAGGTCAGGAGTTCGAGACCAGCCTGGCCAACGTGGTGAAACCCCGTCTCTACTAAAAATACAAAAATTAGCCGGGTATGGTGCGTGCCTGTAATCCTAGCTACTTGGGAGGCTGAGGCAGGAGAACTGCTTGAACCCAGGAGGCGGAGGCTGCAGTGAGCCAACATTGCACCACTGCACTCCAGCCTGGGTGACAGAGCGAGACTCCGTCTCAAAAAAAAAGTGTATATATATATATATATATATATATATATATATATATATATATACATATATATATATGTATATATATATATGATGTATATTATATATCTCACTGTATATATGAGAGGAATAAATGAGCTACTAGTCACTTTATTATATATATAGAGAGAGTGCGCGTATATACATATATATACACACTGTATATATAAGAATAAGTGAGCTACTAGTCACTCTATTATATATAGAGACAGAGATAGACAGTGCGTGTATATACATATATATACACACTGTATATATAAGAATAAATGAGCTACTAGTCACTCTATTATATATAGATAGGGAGTGTGTGTGTGTATATATATATACACTCTATCTCTCTCTCTCTGTGTGTATATATATATATATATATATATGAGAGGAATAAATGAGCTACCAGTCACTCTCTTAATGCATAGTTCCATAAGGACAGGGTGTTGGCCTTGTTCATTATGATCTTCCCCACGGAGAGAATGATGCCTCATACAGTAGGTGCTCAATAAAAAGTTTTCTGACACTTTAAATCCAAGGTAAGCTACTGGTTTATGGGCCTTAATTTCCTAACCCCAGGCGTTCGCTTCCTCTCTGGTAAAGTATCTTGGAAAACACCCTCATTTCCCTTTCTGTCCCAAGATTCTGCTGCTCTTTAAATAAGTCAGCTGAAAGAGCTCCTAGCTTGCACAGCTGAACTAAAAGTTCCCAGTTTGCCGTGGTTCCTTATTTCCAATTTGCCTGTTTATCATCACAGGGACAGAGGTTCTGTTCTCCTTCTTCACATTTTTTTTTTTTTCCCTGAGACGGAGTTACACTCAGTCGCCCAGGCTGGAGTACAATGGCACAATCTTGGCTCACTGCAACCTCCACCTCCTGGGTTCAAGCAATTTTCCTGTCTCAGCCTCCCAAGTAGCTGGGATTACAGGCACCTGCCACCATGCCCGGCTAATTTTTTTGTATTTTTAGGAGAAATGGGGTTTCACCATGTTGGCCAGGCTGGTCTCGAACTCCTGACCTCGGGTGATCCACCTGCCTCTGCCTCCCAAAGTGCTAGGATTACAGGTGTGAGCCACAGCCTTCTTCACTCTTTTTCAGGGACAAGACATAGTGGCTCATACCTATAATCACAGCTCTTTGGAAGATTGAGGTGGGACGATTACTTGAGGTCAGGAGTACAAGACCAGCCTAGGAAACAGCAAAACCCCCATCTCTACAGAAAATAAAAATAACATTTCAGGGGGGCTCCTAGCATGCACTAAACTGTAGGAATATAAACAATGAATAAAAGTAGGTCTCCCTCTCCAAGAAGGCACAGTTTAAGGGGGAATACTGACAGACCAACAGATAATTTTAATATCATGCAAAGCTCTCTTTGGAACACATCCAGTGGAATTTGTAGACAAATTTCAGATCAATTTAGTAACACCTATCAGAGTTTTTAAAATTTATTTTTAGACAAGGTCTTGCTCTGTCACCCAGACTGGGGTGCAGTGGTGTGACCCAGCTCACTGCAGTCTCAACCTTCTGGGCTCAAGGGATCCTCCCACCTCAGCCTCATGAGTAGCAGGGACTACAGGCACACACCACCACACACAGCTATCTTTTAAATTGTTTATTTGTAGAGACAGTGTCTTACTATGTTGCTCAGGCTGGTCTCAGTCTCCTAAGCTCAAGCGATCCTCCCTCCTCAGCCTCCCAAAGTGCTGGGATTACAGGCGTGAGCCACCACACCCAGCCCACCTTTCAGAGTTTTAATTGCCCCTCTCCCACTTTGACCCACCTACTCCATTTCTAAAGATCTCTTCTTATTTCCTGTATACACTCACAATTGCAAAGTGACATTGGGATGGTACATTAGAATACATCTATTTAAAGAAAAAGACCAAAAAAAAAAAAAAACCACATCTATTTAACAAAAAAGAAGTCAGTAGTGGAGGAATTGAACAAAAAAGACATAAGATGTATAGAAAAATAGGAGGCCAGGTGCGGTGCCTCACACCTGTAATCCCAGCACTTTGAGAGGCTGAGGCAGGTGGGCAGGTGGATCCCTTGAGGTCAGGAGTTTGAGACTAACCTAGCCAACGTGGTGAAACCCCATCTCTATGAAAAATACAAAAATTAGCCAGGCATGGTAGCACACACCCGTAATCCTGGCTACTCGGGAGGCTGAGGCACGAGAATCACTTGAACCCGGGAGGCAGAGGTTGCAGTGAGCCGAGATCACGCCACTGCACTCCAGCCTGGGTGACAGAGTGAGACTCCGTCTCAAAAAAAAGAAAAAGAAACATCAGAAAATGGCAGAAATAAGTGCTCATCAGCAATTACATTAAATGTAAATGGATTAAACTCTACCTAAAATGCAGAGTGTGTCAGAATGGATTTAAAAAGAAATCAAGGCTGGTCACTGTGGATCACGCCTATAATCCCAGCAGCTTGGGAGGCCAAGGTAGGAGGAGGAGTGTTTGAGTAAAGGAGTTTGAGACTAGCCTGGGCAATAGAGTGAGACCCTGTCTCAAAAAAAAAGTGTTGTTTTTTTTTTTTGTACAGACAGGGTCTCACTCTATTGTGGGTGCTGGAGCACAATGTTGCAATCTCTGCCTACTGCAACCTCGACCTCCCAGGCTCAAGTGATCTCCCTGCCTCAGCCTCCAGAGTAGCTGAGACTACAGGTGTGTGCCACCACGCCTGGTTAATTTTTTTTTATTTTTTGTAGAGAAAGGGTCTTGCTATGTTGCCCAGGCTGGTCTCGACCTTCTGGGCTCAAGTGATCTGTCCACCTCAGCCTCCCAAAGTGCTGGGATTACAGGCATGAGCCACTGTGCCTGGCCTATACCCCACTTTTATTTTTATTATTTATTTATTTATTTTTGAGACAGTCTCACTCTGTTGCCCAGGCTGGAGTACAGTGGTGTGATCTCAACTCACTTCAACCTCCACCTCCCAGGTTCAAGCAATTCTCCTACCTTAGCCTCCAGAGTAAGCTGGGATTACAGGCACACACACCATGCCCGGCTAATTTTTTTGTATGTTTAGTAGAGATGGGGTTTCACCGTGTTGGCCAGGCTGGTCTTAATCTCCTGACTTCAAGTGATCTACCCGCCTTGGCCTCCCAAAGTGCTAGGATTACAGGTATGAGCCACCGTGCCCAGCCACCCCACTTTTAAAAATGGATAAAATAACTAGACAGAAGATCATCAAGGAAACAGAAAATTTCATCAAAACAATTATCCAACTAGACCTAACAGACATTTATAGAATTCTCTGCCCAACAATGACAGAATACATGTTCCTTCCAAAGGCACATGGAACATTTTCTTGAATACAGCAAATATCAGGTCACAAGTATCAATACATTTAAGAAGACTGAAATCATACAAAATATATTTTCTTACCACAGTGGCATGAAAATAGAATTTAATAACAGAAGGAGATTTAGAAAATTAACAAATATGAATTTGTGATTCATACTGATTAAAAATATGTTTCTAAATTATGGAGTTAAAGAAAAAATTAAAAGGGAAATTAGAAAGTACTTTAAAATGAATAACAATTCAAATATAAAATACCGAAACTATGGGATGGAGCAAAAGCAGTGCTCAGAGGGAAATTCATAGCTATAAATGTCTACATCAAAACAGAGGCTCTCAGCTGGGCACAGTGGCTCATGCCTGTAATCCCAGCAATTTGGGAGGCCGAGGCGGGCAGATCACTTGAGGTCAGGAGTTCGAGACCAGCCTGGCCAACATGGTGAAACCCCATCTCTACTGAAAATACAAAAATTAGCTGGGTGTAGTGGCGCACACCTGTAATCCCATCTTCTAGGGAGGCTGAGGCAGGAGAATCACTTGAACCCAGGAGGCAGAGGTTTCAGTGAGCTGAGATCTCACCACTGCATTCCAGCCTGGGCAACAGAATGGGACTCCGTCTAAAAAAAAAGCAAACAAAACACAGAGGATCTCAAATCAATAACTTAAGCTTCCTACATTAAGAAACTAGAAGACGAGCAAATAAACCCAAAGAGGGAAGGAAATACTGAAGATTAGAACAGAGAAAAATAAGAAAGGGAATAAAATGCATGGCTGGGCACAGTGGCTGATGCCTGACACTGGCACTTTGGGAGGCTGAAGTGGGAGAATCACTTGACCTCAGTTCAAGACCAACCTGGGCAACATAGCAAGACCTCGTCTCTACTAAAAATAAATCATTCAGGTGTGGTGGTGGGCGCCTGTGGTTCCAGACACTCAGGAGGCCAAGACAGGAGGATTCCTTGAGCCTGGGAGGTCCAGGCTGCAGTGACCTATGACTGCACTTCAGCCTGTGCGATGAAGTGAGACCCTCTCTCAAACAAACAAACAAACAAAAAAAACAGAAAAAGAAAAAGAAAAGCAATAGAGAAAATGAATAAAACTAAAAGTTCATTATCTGAAAAGACTAAGAAAATTGGCCGGGCGCGGTGGCTCACGCCTGTAATCTCAGCACTTTGGGAGGCCAAGGCGGGTGGATCACAAGGTCAGTAGTTCAAGACCAGCCTGGCCCAAATGGTGAAACCCCGTCTCTACTAAATATACAAAAATTAGCTGGGTGTGGTGGCAGGCACCTGTAATCCCAGCTACTCGGGAGGCTGAGGCAGGAGAATCACTTGAACCCGGGAGATGGAGGTTACGGTGAGCCAATATCGTGCCACGGCACTCCAGCCTGAGTGACAGAGTAAGACTCCATCTCAAAAAAAAAGAAAAAAGAAAAAAGAAAAGAAAATTGACGGCCAGGCGCGGTGGCTCACGCCTGTAATCCTAGCTCTTTGGGAGGCTGAGGAGGGCGAATCCCCTGAGGTCGGGATTTTGAGACCAGCCTGACCAACATGGAGAAACCCTGTCTCTACTAAAAATACAAAAAATTAGCCAGGCATGGTGCTGCATGCCTGTAATCCCAGTTACTTGGGAGGCTAAGGCAGAATTGCTTGAACCTGGGAGGTGGAGGTTGCAGTGAGTGGAGATTGCGCCACTGCACTCCAGCCTGGTCACCAAGAGCAAAAACTCCATCTCAAAAAAAAAGAAAAAAAGAAAATTGATGAAACTTTAGCTAGATTGACCAAGGAAAACAGGAAAGAGACTCAGATTACTAAAATCAGGAATGAAAGGGAAGACAATACTACTGGCTTTACAGAAACAGAAAAGAGTATAAGTATAAGCAGTTGAGGCCTGGCGCAGTGGCTCACGCCTGGAATCCCAGCACTTTGGGAGGCCGAGGCAGGCGGATCACGAGGTCAAGTGATCCAGACTATCCTGGCCAACATGGTGAAACCCCGTCTCTACTAAAAATACAAAAAAAATAGCTGGGCCTGGTGGTGTGTGCCTGTACTCCCAGCTACTTGGGAGGCCAAGCCAGGAGAATCGCTTGAACCCGGGAAACGGAGGTTGCAGGGAGCCGAGATTGTGCCACTGCACTCCAGCCTGGCGACAGAGCGAGACTCCATCTCAAAAAAATAAAAATAAATAAATAAATAAAATAAAATAAAAAGTATGAGCAATTGGGTGACCACATACTGAATAAGCTAAATGAAATGGAAAATTTTCTAGAAACACAAAAACTACTAAAACTGACTCAAGAATAAATACAAAACTGCTGGGTGCGGTGGCTCATGCCTGTAATCCCAGCACTTTGGGAGGCCGAAGCGGGCAGATTGCTTTTAGCTCAGGAGTTAGAGACAAGCCTGGGCAACATAGTGAGACCCCCATCTCTACAAAAAAATACACAAAATAGCTGGGTGTGGTGGCGCATACCTGTAGTCTCAGCTTCACAGTAGGCTGAGGCAGGAGGATCGCTTGAGTATGCCTGGGAGGTGGAGGTTGCAGTGACCTGAGATCACACTACTGCACTCCAGCCTGGGCTACAGAGCAAGACCCCATCTCAGAAAAAAAAATACAAAAGCTACATAGACCTACAACAAGTAAAGTTAGTAATTAAAGAATCCAGCAAAGAAAATCCCAGGAATAGATGGTTTTGCTGATTTATTCTACCAATTTTTTTGTTTTTTTTGAGACAGGGTCTTGCTGTGTTGCCCAGGCTAGAGTGCAGTGGTGTGCTCATAGCTCACTGCAGCCTCCAACTCCTGGGCTCAAGCCATCCTCCCACCTCAGCATCCTAGGACTACAGATGCTTGTTACATACCTGGCTAATTTTTTTAATTTTTATTTATTTATTTATTTTTGTAGAGTTGGTGTCTCATTATGGTTGTTTTTTTTTTTTTTTTTTTTTGAGGCGGAGTCTCACTCTATTGCCCAGGCTGGAGTGCAGTGGCGTGATCTTGGTTCACTGCAAGCTCCGCCTCCCGGATTCAGGCCATTCTGCTGCCTCAGCCTCCTGAGTAGCTGCGACTACAGGCACCGCCACCACGCCTGGCTAATTTTTTGTATTTTTAGTAGAAATGGGGTTTCACCATATTAGCCAGGATGGTCTTGATCTCCTGACCTCATGATCCACCCGCCTCAGCCTCCCAAAGTGCTGGGATTATAGGCGTGAGCCACCGCGCCTGGCCTCGTGTCTCATTATGTTGCCTAGGCTGGTCTAGAACTCCTGGCCTCAAGCAATCCTCACACCTTGGCGTGAGCCACTATGCCCAGCTACAAATTTTTTAAAAAATTATTGCCTGGGCGCAGTGGCTCACGCCTGTAATCTCAGCACTTTGGGAGGCCAAGGTGGGCGGATCATTTGAGGTCAAGAGTTTGAGACCAGCCTGGCCAGCACTGAGAAACTCCATCTCTACTGAAAGTACAAAAATTAGCTGGGAATGGTGGTACATGGTAGCATGGTAATCCCAGCTACTCAGGAGGGTGAGGCAGGAGAATCTCTCGAACTTGGGAGGCGGAGGTTGCAGTGAGCCAAGATCGCACCACTGCGCTCCAGCCTGGGCGACAGAGCAAGACTTCATCTAAAAAAAAAAAAGCCGGGCGCGGTGGCTCACACTTGTAATCCCAGCACTTTGGGAGGCCCAGGCGGGCAGATCACGAGGTCAGAAGATCGAGACCATCCTGGAGATCGAGACCATCCTGGCTAACATGGTGAAACCCCGTCTCTACTAAAAATACAAAAAATTAGCCAGGCGTGATGGCGGGTGCCTATAGTCCCAGCTACTCCAGAGGCTGAAGCAGGAGAATAGCATGAACCAAAAAAAAAAAAAAAGAAAATGCTTGGCCTGGTTTACCGATGATTCTGGGTGACACTCCCGCTTCACCTGGAAGTGGACAGCCACAGCACTGCAGCCCCTTTGTGGGACATCCTTGAAGGGCAGTGGTGAAGGGAAATCCCCCCAGCCGGCAGACACTTAAGCAGCACACATGGTTGTTCATTTTGTTTATGAAGAAATAGCCAGACACGTAATTAAAGTTGACCCTTGGGCTGGGCTCGGTGGCTCACATCTGTAACCTTAGCACTTTGGGAGGCTGAGGCAGGAGGATCACTTGAGCCTAGGAGTTCAACACCAACCTGGGCAACATATTGAGGGCCCGTTGCTGCAAAAAATGTAAAACTTAGCCAGGCGCAGTGGCACGTGCCTGTAGTCCCAGCTACTCAGGAGGCTCAGGGGGGAGGACTGCTTGAGCCCAGGAGGTTGAGGCTGCAGTGAGCCTTGATTGTGCCACTGCACTGCACCCTGGGTGACAGAGTGAGACCCTGTCTCAAAAAATAAAAAATAAATTAAAGAAAAATTTTTTAAAGACCTATCAACATCTTTGTACTCTTTGAGCATATAGAGACTGCATTAGGATTCTGCAGAGAAACAGAAACAATAGGATATATGGAAAGACTAGAAAGAGATTTCTTGTTTTTAAACTTTTTTTCTTTAAAAAAAATTGTTTTTATATATATAGAGACGGGGATCTCCTTATGTTGCCCAGGCTGGTCTTGAACTCCTGGCCTCAAGCGATCCTCCTGTCTCAGCCTCTAAAAGTGCTGGGTTTACAGGCGTGAGCTACCTACCCAGCCTAGAAAGAGATTTCTTTTCTTTTTGAGACAGAATCTTGCTCTGTCACCCAGCCTGGAGTGCAGTGGTGCAATCTTGGCTCATGGCAACCTCTGCCTCCCAGGTTCAAGCGATTCTCCCGCCTCAGCCTCCCGAGTAGCTCGGATTACAGGTGTGCACAACCACGCCCAGCTAATTTTTGTATTTTTAGTAGAGACGGGGTTTCACCATGTTGGCCAGGCTGGTTTCAAACACCTTATCTCAGGTGATCCGCCTGCCTCGGCCTCCCAAAGTGCTGGGATTACAGGCATGAGACACCACGCCTGGCCAGAAATAGATTTCTTATAAGGAACTGACTCTTTCAGTCATGGAGAAGTCTCGTGATCTGCTTGCCATTTGCAAGCTGGAGACCCAGGAAAGTCCTATGGTATCACTGGAAACCCTGAGAGACAAGGCTGATTCCAGTGAGAACCAGGAGCACCACGGGCAGGAAGAGATCAAAGCCCCAGCTTAGGGGGGTGGGCAGAAGATGAGTCAATCCAACTTCCCTGGGCCTTTCTGTTCTATTCAGGCCCTCACAGGGTGGGATGATGCTCATCTGCACTGGGGAGGCCCACCTGCTCAGCCCACCAGTGCAAATGCTAACCTCTTCCTGAAACAACCTCACAAACACACCCAGAAATCATGTGTAACCAGGTATCTGGGCATCCCTTAGTTTAGTCAAGTTGATACAGAAAATTAGCCATCACAAGGGCCAGGCACGGTGGCTCATGCCTGTAATCCCAACACTTTGGGAGGCCACCTTGGAAGGGTCGCTTGAGCCCAGGAGTTTGAGACCAGCCTGGGCAACATGGCAAAACCCTGTCTCTACTAAAAATATAAAAATCAGCCGGACATGGTGGCGTGCACCTGTAGTCTCAGCTACCTGGGAGACTGAGGTGGGATGATCACTTGAATCCGGGAGGGGGAGGTTGCAGGGAGCTGAGATCATGCCACTGCACTCCAGCCTGGGCAACAGAGCCAGACCCTGCCTCAAAACATTTTTTTAAAAAAGACCAGGCGCTGTGTTTCATGCCTGTAATCCCATCACTTTGGGAGGCCAAGGTGGGCGAATCGCCTGAGGTCAGGAGTTTGAGACCAGCCTGGCCAATATGGCAAAACCCCATCTCTACCAAAAATACATAAATTAGGCCAGGCGCGGTGGCTCACCCCTGTAATCCCAGCACTTTGGGAGGCCGAGGCGGGTGGATCACTAGGTCAGGAGATCGAGACCATCCTGGCAAACACGGTGAAACCCCATCTGTACTAAAAATACAAAAAATTAGCCGGGCGTGGTGGCGGGCACCTGTAGTCCCAGCTACCCGGGAGGCTGAGGCAGGAGAATGGCATGAACCTAGGGGGGCGGAGCTTGCAGTGAGCGGAGATCATGCCACCGTGCTCCAGCCTGGGCAACAGAGCGAGACTCCGTCTCAAAAAAAAAGAAAAAAAAAAAAAGAAAACCATAAATTACCCAGGTGTGGTGGTGCACGCCTGTAATCCCAGCTACTCAGGAGGCTGAGGCAGGAGGATTGCTTGAACCCAAGAGGTGGAGGTTGCAGCGAGCCAAGATGGCGCCACTGCACTCTAGCCTGGGCAACAGAAAAAAGTTTTATGGTTTTAGCTATTGCCTTTAGGGCTTTGATCCATTTTGAGCTCATTTTTTGAGCATGGTAGGAGGTAGGGATCCAACTTCATTCCTTTGCCTGTGGATGCAAAGTCATTCTAGCACCACGGGCTGAAGATGCCCTTCTATCCCCTGCTGAATGATCTTGGTGCCTGTTAAGGACAGAATGTTCTTGTCTCCATAAAATGCATATGGTGGCTGGGCACGGTGGTTCACACCTGTAATCCCAGCACTTTAGGAGGCTTAGGAGGCGGGCAGATCACCTGAGGTTGGGAGTTCGAGACCAGCCTGGCCAACATGGTGAAACCGCATTGCTACTACAAATACAAAAATTAGCCAGGTATGGTGGCACATGCCTATAATCCCAGCTACTCGGGAGGCTCAGGCAGGAGAATTGCTTGAACCTGGGAGGCAGAGGCTACAGTGAGCCAAGACTGCACCACTGCACTCCAGCCTGGGCAATAGAGCGAGATTCCATCTCAAAAAAAAAAAATGCATCTTGTGAAATTTTAAACCCCCATTGTTATGGTATTAGAAGATAGGGCCTCAGCCGGGCGCGGTGGCTCACACCTGTAATCCCAGCACTTTGGGAGGCTGAGGCGGGCAGATTACAAGGTCAGGAGATCGGGACAATCCTGGCTAACACGGTGAAACCCCATCTCTACTAAAAATACAAAAAAATTAGCTGGGCATGGTGGCGGGCGCCTGTAGTCCCAGGTACTCGGGAGGCTGAGGCAGGAGAATGGCATGAACCCGGGAGGCAGAGCTTGCAGTGAGCCGAGATCACACCACTGCACTCCAGCCTGGGTGACAGAGCAAGACTCCATCCTAAAAAAAAAGAAAAAGAAGATGGGGCCTCTAGGAGGTGATCACGGTTAGATGAGGTCATGAGGGGAGTACCGCATGATGGGATCACTGCCCTTGTAAGAAAATACACCGTCTAGTGCTTTGAGAGGCAAAGGTGGGAGGATTGCTTGAGGCCAGGAGATTGAAATCAGCCTGGGAAACACAGCAAGATGTCTCCCTACCAAAAATAAAAGCAAAAACTTAGTCAGGCATGGTGGCACACACCTGTAGTCCTAGATACTTGGAAGGCTGAGGTGGGAGGATCGCTTGAGCCCGGGAATTCAAGGCTGCAGTGAGCTAGGAGCTAGAATGGGGCCATTGCACTCAAGTCTGGGCCACACAGTGAGATCCTGTCTCTGAAAAATAAATAACTAAACAAATACATTCTGTTATTTATCTTTTTATTGTTGATTTATAAGAGTTTTTTTCGGCCGGGCGCGGTGGCTCACGTCTGTAATCCCAGCACTTTGGGAGGCCGAGGCGGGTGGATCACGAGATCAGGAGATCGAGACCATCCTGGCTAACACGGTGAAACCCCATCTCTAGTAAAAATACAAAAAATTAGCCGGGCGTGGTGGAGGCGCCTGTAGTCCCAGCTACTCGGGAGGCTGAGGCAGGAGAATGGCCTGAACCCGGGAGGCGGAGCTTGCAGTGAGCCGAGATCACGCCACTGCACTCCAGCCTGGGCAACAGAACGAGACTCCATCTCAAAAAAAAAAAAAAAAAAAAGTTATTTTTCTATTCTGGATACAAATCTCTTAGCAGGTACATGATTTGCAAATGTTCCCTCCTATTCTGTGAGTTGTGTTTGTTTGTTTGTTATTTTGAGACGGAGTCTCGTTCTGTCACCCAGGCTGGAGTGCAGTGGCACGATCTCAGCTCACTGCAACCTCCACCTCCCGGGTTCAAGCGATTCTCCTGCCTCAGGCTCCTGAGTAGCTGGGATTACAGGCACCTGCCACCACGCCTGGCTAATTTTTATTTTTTAGTAGAGAGGGGTTTCACCATGTTAGGCTGGTTTTGAACTCCTGACTTCGTGATCCGCCCGCCTTGGCCTCCCAAAGTTGTGGGATTACAGGCGTGAGCCAACGCGCCTGGCTCAAATGTCTTTTTAGTATAAGTATGTGCCATGCAACATTTGAGACATACTTAGGCAGAAGCAGTATTTGTTTATCTGCAGTTTACGTTTAACGGGGTTTTCTGTATTTATATTTGCTGAATCCAGCAACTCTTTACTGTCGTCTAGTGGGTAGGGGCCAGGGATGCTCCTAAACATCTATGATGCACGGGACAGTCCCCCACAAAAATTGAACTATCCTGCCCCAAACGTCAACATGCTGAGGTTGCGAAACCTTAGTGTGACACAAAAAACAGGACACCATCAGTTAACAAGCAGTGCCCAGCAATTCTGAGAGCAGGTGGTATCAACCCATTTTCCAGAGGGGGAGATTGAGGCTTGGACAGAGACGTGAGCTGTCTTTGAATCTGGCATGGGGCTTGGGAAGTGGGATTCAACTGGAGACTCTAAAAAATCACCCAAAAGAAATTGTCAGCTGGGCGCAGTGGCTCACGCCTATAATCCCAACACTTTGGGAGGCCGAGAAGGGAGGACCGCTTGAGCACAGGAGTTCGAGACCAGCCTGGCCAACATGGTGAAATCCCGTCTCCACTGAAAATCCAAAAATTAGCCAGGTGTTGTGGCCCATGCCTGTAATCCAGCTACTTGGGAGGCTGAAGCAGGAGAATCACTTGAACCCGGGAGGCGGAGTTTGCAGTAAGCCGAGATCGAGCCACTGCACTCCAGCCTGGGTGACAGAGCGAGACCATGTCTCAAAAAACAACAAAAAAGGGATAATTTGTCCCAGTGGGGACAAAAGGACTTTCAAAGGCACCAAGACTTCCCCTGGATGCAGACATCTCGGATTCGAGGGGCACAGTCTCCGAGGATCACCCTCCACCTCCACCCAGGCACTCAGTTTAAGAGAGTCCTAGGTGGGCCCAGTCATTTGCATTTATTTATTTTTATTTTTTATATATATATTTTTAAAGACAAAGTCTCACTCTGTAGCCCAGGCTGGAGTGCAATGGCGCGATCTCGGCTCACTGCAACCTCCGCCTCACAGGCTCAAGCAATTCTTGGGCCTCAGCCCAAGTAGCTGGGATTACAGGTGCCCACCACCACACCTGGCCAATTTTTTGTATTTTCTGTAGAGAAGGGGTTTCTCCATGTTGGCCAGGCTGGTCTGGAACTCCTGACCTCAAGTGATCTGCCCGCCTCGGCCTCCCAAAGTACTGGGATTACAGGCATGAGCCACCGCATCCGGCTGGCATCTGCATGTAATCCCCTCTCCAGAGGGATTTTCTAGTATGTCATATGGAGAGGCTGAGAATAAAAACAGTGCTTGGTCTAGTCATCACTGGAGGGCCCATGACCACTTTTGTTTACTTGGCTACTAGTTATTTTTTCTCAACCTGTCTTATGGTGCAGATTTTTTTTTCTAGCTATTTTTAAAAACCTAACAAACAATACAGTGATCTTCTCTATCAGTCGGCCCTGCACCTTCAGACGCAACCAAGTGGGGATTAAAAATATTTGGCAGGGGCCAGGTGTAGTGGCTCACGTCTGTAATCTCAGCACTTTGGGAGGCCAAGGCAGGAGGATCGCTTGAGCCCAGGAGTTTGAAAACAGCCTGGGCAACATAGTGAGACCCTGTCTCTACAAAAAATTTTGACATATTAGCTGGGCATGGTGATGTGGGCCTGTAGTCCCCACTACTCAGGAGGCTGAGGTGGGAGAATTGCTTGAGCCTAGAAGGTCGAGGATGCAGTGAGCTGAGATCACACCACTGCACTGCAGCCTGGGCGACAGAGCGAGACCCTGTCTCAAAAATAAAAATAAAAACTGGGCCAGGCATAGTGGCCTCACGCCTGTAATCCCAGCACTTTGGAAAGCCAAGGCAGACGGATCACCTGAGGTCAGGAGTTTGAAACCAGTCTGGCCAACATGGCAAATCCCCGTCTCTACTAAAAATATGAAAATTAACCAGGCATGGTGGTGAGTGCCTGTGATTCCCAGCTACACAGGAGGCTGAGGCAGGCGAATCACTTGAACTCGGGAGGCCGAGGTTGCAGTGAGCTGAGATCGCACCATTGCACTCCAGTCTGGGCAACAGAGCAGGACTCCATCTCAAAAGATAAAAAGAAAAAGAAAAAAGAAAAACTGAAATGTGTTGCTTATAGTTCTTGAGCCCGGGAAGTTCAAGATGAAAGTGCTGGCAGACATATGACACATCACTGTGTTCAAACCACAGGGGATGGAGATAGTGAGTCTGGGTCAACTACATCACGTCTGAATTCACATGTCTGCCCAGCCATCTGCTTGCTGTGTGACCTCTCTCCAATGTCTTGGTCTCTCTGTGTTTCACCTGAGAAATGGAATCTAGTGACACCCCCAACACCCCAGAGAGTGATACATGAGGGGCATATGGTGGCACCTGGTATCTGACCAGCCGCCACTGAGCAGGAGCTATTTATGAATGCTTGCGTTCTTTTCTTTGTCTAAATTGTGACGATTCATTATTGAATATATATTTTTTGAGACAGGATCTTGCTCTGTTGCCCAGGCTGGAGTGCAGGCTGGTGGCACCGTGATGGCTCATTGCAGCCTTGATCTCTTGGGTTCAAGCAATCTTCCTGCCTCAGCCTTTCAAGCAGGTGGGACTACAGACACGGGCCACCATGCCTGGCTACATTTTTCACTTTTTTTTTTTTTGAGACAGAGTTTCACTCTAGTCCAGGCTAGAGTGCAATGGTGAGATCTTGGCTCACTGCAACCTCCTCCTCCTGAGTTCAAGCGATTCTCCTGCCTCAGCCTCCCAAGTAGCTAGGGTTACAGGCATGCGCCACCACGCCCGGCTAATTTTGTATTTTTAGTAGAGATGGGGTTTCTCCATGTTGGTCAGGCTAGTCTTGAACTCCCGACCTCAGGTATCCAGCCCGTCTCGGCCTCCCAAAGTGATGGGATTACAGGTGTGAGCCACCGTGCTTGGCCAATTTTTTTTACTTTTTTATAGAGACAGGGTCTCACCATGTTGCCCAGGCTTGTCTCAAACTCCTGGGTTCAAGTGATCCTCCTGCCTTGGCCTCCCAAAGTGCTGGGATTACAGGCATAAGCCACTGCACCCGGCTCATTATTGAAACTTTTTAAAAGTTTCAGACAAATTGAAGTCTCCATGGGTCTTTATCACAAGTGTCTCTCTCGCCCAGTCTAGGCCGGGTTCCAGACAGAATGAGGCCAACCTTGCCAGGCATGGTGGCATGCACTTGTAGTCCCAGGTTCTCAGGAAGCTGAGGCAAAAGGATCCCTTCAGCCTAGGAATTCTAGACCAGCCTGGGCAATATAGCAAGATCCCATCTCAAAAAAAAAAAAATGAATGAGGCTGGGCACCGTGGCTCATGCCTGTAATCCTAGCATTTTGGGAGGCCCAGGTGGGCGGATCACTTGAGTTCAGTTCAAGACCAGCCTGGCCAACCCAGCAAAACCCCGTCTCTACTAAAAATACAAAAAATTAGCCAGACCTAGTGGCGCTCACCTGTAGTCCCAGCTACTCGGGAGGCTGACGTAGGATAATCGCTTGAACCCGGGTGGTAGAGGTTGCAGTGAGCCGAGATCACACCACTGCACTCCAGCCTGGGCAACAGAGCAAGACTCCATCTCAGAAAAAAAAAGAAAAGAAAAAAATATTGAATGAGGCCATCCCTAGCACTGTCCTGCTTGAAGACCTAAATCAGCCTGGTCACGCCCCTGAGCCTGGAGTCCTAAATTTATAACCTACCCTGTGCCCTGTGTCTGCTCTCAACGTAGGCTGGCCCCTCCTCGAGTTCCACATCAGCTTCCCCAGGTCCAGGAAAATGGAATTTTTCCTTCATACCAAGAGAGGTCCCTCGAGGGTAAGCGTTGGCCCTGGCCGCTGCAGAGAAATTCCACGGCTTTGGGAAAAGGATATTTAGGATATTGCAGTGGCTTCTCCCAGCCCAGACTTGGGTCTCTTTAAAATCCACTTTGTTGGCAGGGCACGGTGTTTCATGCCTATAATCCCAGCACTTTGGGAGGCTGAGGCGGGCAGATCACTTGAAGGTCAGGAGTTCGAAACCAGTCTGGGCAACATGGTGAAATCCCGTCTCTACTAAAAAATACAAAAATTAGCCAGGCGTGGTGGTGGGTGCCTGGAATCCCAGCTACTCGGGAGGCTGAGGCAGGAGAATCGCTCGAACCAGGGAGACGGAGGTTGCAGTGAGCCGAGATCACGCCACTACACTCCAGCCTGGGTGACAGAGTGAGACTCCATCTCAAAAAAAGGAAAAAAAAGAAACCCTTTTTGTTGAGCTCCCAGCTTCCACAGACGTGGCCCTCGCGGTGGCTGCCCTTGCAGAAGTGTGGCCAGTTCGGGTGGACCCGGGACCCTCCATGTACAGCACTCCTCCCTAGGAACAGTGGGTGCTTGCGGGTTCCTGTGGGCCCCTCCTCTGTGGCCCCATTCCTGTTTCAAAGGAGCCCCTTGTGGGATCTGGATACACAGCCAAGCCTCAGGCACACCCGGGCATGCTGGTAGTGAAAAGAAAAATAGGTGTGTGTGTGTCTGTGTTAGAGCTCTCCTTGCTTTGAACAGTGTCTTTGAAGGGGATGGTGGGTCTGTGTAAACCTCAGGTGGCGGGGGCAAGCCGGCAGCCACCTTGATTCTACGATCACAGGTTGCTTTTTTGGGGATGTGCTAGCGTGTCAGGGAGGTGGGTTTTGGCTTGGCCTCAAAGCTTTGGTTGCTGCAGAGACTCAAGGCTGCTATTGAGGGTGGTAAAGGTTGCTGACAGTGTCTGGAGAGGAAGGTAGCCCCTGCAGACCCCTTGGAATTCCCGAGCCAGGCTTCAGGCTGGGATATATTTTGTTTTTTGTTTTTGTTTTTATTTTTGTTTTGAGACAGAGTTGTGCTCTGTCTCCCAGGCTGGAGTGCAGTGGCACGGTCTCAGCTCACTGCAACCTCCACCTCCGGGGTTCAAGCGATTCTTCTGCCCCAGCCTCTCTAGTAGCTTGGATTACAGGCGTGCACCACTACACCCAGCTAATTTTTTGTATTTTTAGTAGAGAAGAGGTTTTACCATGTTGACCAGACTGGTCTCAAACTCCTGGCCCCAAGTGATCCGCCCACCTTGGCCTCCCAAAGTGCTGGGATTACAGGCATGAGCCACCGCGCCCAGCCTGGGATATATTTTGGATGGAAGTTCACTGTGGCTGTTTTATTATTGTTGGTTTGCTTGTTTGAGACGGGGTTTCGCTCTGTCACTCAGGCTGAAGTGCAGTGGCGCGATCATAGCTCACTGCAGCCTTGACTTCCCAAGCTAAAGTGATCCTTCCACCTCAGCCTCTTCAGTAGATGGGACTACAAGCATGGGCCACCACACCTGGCTAATTTTTTAATTTTTTGTAGAGTCAGGGGTCTTGTTATGTTGTTCAGGCTGGTCTCAAACTTCTGGCCTCAAATAATCATCCTGCCTCAGTCTCCCAAAGTGCTGGG
The DNA here is from genome assembly GCF_000001405.40 of Homo sapiens. Taxonomy (NCBI): domain Eukaryota; kingdom Metazoa; phylum Chordata; class Mammalia; order Primates; family Hominidae; genus Homo; species Homo sapiens. The sequence continues at coordinate 18,812,619 of NC_000019.10, read as the reverse complement.
ATTACAGGCATGAGCCACCACATCCGGCTACCGAGGCTGTTTTGGAAGGTGTGATGGTGGGAAACCAAATACACTTCCCTGTGGGCCCTGTGGACCCCCACCCTATATACACATCGAGGTGGGTGTCACTGTCCCCAATTCACAGACGACCATGTGGCCTCATGTAGCCGACTCTAGTAGAGAGAAGAACAATAACAAAGCCATCAGGAATAAGAAACTGGTGTCATGTGTTAGAAGGTGACAAGATCAAACGAGAGATGTTCTGGCTCTCACCTGTAATCCCAACTCTTTGCAAGTTCGAAGCAGGAGGATCGCTTGAGCCCAGGCGGTCAAGACCTGCCTAGGCAACATGGCGAAAACCCATCTCTACAAAAAAATGCAAAAATTAGTGGGATGTGGTGGTGCGTGCCTGTAATCTCAGCTACTCGGGAGGCTGAGGCAGGACAATCGCTTGAACTCGAGAGGTGAAAGTTGCGGTGAGCCAAGATTGTGCTACTACACGCCAGCCAGTGTGACAGAGTGAGACTCTATCTCAAGAAAAACAACGAGGCCAGGCACAGTGGCTCACGCCTGTAATCCCAGCACTTTGGGAGGCCGAGGCAGGTGCATCATGAGGTCAGGAGTTCGAGACCTGCCTGGCCAATATGGTGAAACCCCATCTCTACTAAAAAATACAAAAATTAACGGAGCATGGTTGGTGCGCACCTGTAATCTCAGCTACTCAGGAGGCTGAGGCAGGAGAATCACTTGAACCTGGGAGGTGGAGGTTGCAGTGAGCTGAGATTGCGTCATTGTACTCCAGCCTGGGCCAGAGTGAGACTCCATCTCAAAAAGAAAGAAAGAAAAACAAAAACAAAAAAACAAAAAAAAAGACATCACTGGCTTCCTGGGTCCACAGTTTGCAGCCAGCAGATAGTAGGACTTCTCAGCCTCCATAAGTGTGTGAGCCAATCCCTCACAATAAATCTTTTTCTATCAATACATGCCTATCCAATTGCTTCTATTTCTCTAAAAAACCCTGACTAGCTGCTTTTAAAAATATGAGGTCTAGGCCAGGCACAGTGGCTCATGTTTGTAATCCCAGTATTTTGGGAGGCTGAGGCTGGCAGATCACCTGAGGTCAGAAGTTCAAGGTCACCCTGGCCAACATGGTGAAATGCTGTCTCTACTAAAAATACAAAAAATTAGCTGGGCGTAGTGGTGGGCCCCTGTAATCCCAGCTACTCAGGAGGCTGAGGCAGGAGAATCGCTTGAATCTGGGAGGCAGAGGTTGCGGTGAGCTGAGATCACACCATTTCACTCCAGCCTGGGCGACAGAGCTACTCAGCCTCCTGAGTAGCTGGGACTACAGGCATGAGCCACCAAGCCGGACTAATTTTGTTTGTTTGTTTGTTTGTTTGTTATGTTTTATAGAAACAGAGTTTCACCGTGTTGCCCAGGCTGGTCTCAAACTCCTGAGCTCAAAGAGATCCACCCATCTTGGCCTCCCAAAGTGCTGGGATTATAGGCATGAGCCACGGTGCCAGGCCAATAACAGCACTGTTTAAAATTGTGAGAAAGGAAGTAGGCGTGATGGCTCACGCCTGTAATCCCAACACTTTGGGAGGCTGAGGCGGGCAGATCGCCTGAGGTTGGGAGTTTGAGACCAGCCTGACCAACGTGGAGAAACCCCGTCTCTACTGAAAATACAAAATTAGCCGGGCATGGTGGCACATGCCTGTAATCCCCGCTCCTCGGGAGGCTGAGGCAGGAGAATCACTTGAACCCGGGAGGCGGAGATTTTGGTGAGCTGAGATCGCACCATTGCACTCCAGCCTAGGTGACAGAGCGAAACTCCATCTCAAAAAATAAATAAATAATAAAAAGAAAAAGAAAAAATAAGCCAGGCATAGTGGCATGAACCTGTAGTCCCAACTATTTTGGGGGCCGAGGCAGGAGGATCATTTGAGCTCAGGATGTTGAAGCTGCCATGAGCCATGATCACGCCACTGCACTCCAGTCTGGGTGACGGAGAGTTACCCTGCTGTCCCCTAAAAAAAGGCTGGACTCGGTGGCTCACGCCTGTAATCCCAGCACTTGGGAAGACCAAGGTTGGCAGATCACTTGAGGTCAGGAGTTCGAGACCAGCCTGGCCAACATGGTGAAGCCCTGTCTCTATTAAAAATACAAAAATTAGGGCCGGACGTGGTGGCTCATGCCTGTAATCCCAGCACTTTGGGAGGCTGAGGCAGATGGATCATGAGGTCAGGAGATTGAGACCAGCCTGGCCAATATGGTGAAATCCCATCTCTACTAAAAAATACAAAAATTAACCGGGCGTGGTGGCATGCACCTGTAGTCCCAGCTACTTGGGAGGCTGAGGCAGGATAATCGCTGGAACCTGGGAGGCGGAGGTTGCAGTGAGCCGAGACTGTGCCACTGTACTCCAGCCTGGGTGACAGAGTGAGACTCCATCTCAAAAAGGAAAAAAAAAAACACAAAACAATACAAAAATTACTGGGGTGTGGTGGCACGCACTTGTAGTCTCAGCTACTCAGGAGGCTGAGGCAGAAGAATCTCTGAAACCCAGGAGGCGGAGGTTGCAATGAGCCGAGATCACGCCACTGCACTCCAGCCTGGGCGACAGAGTGAGACTCTGTCTCAAAAATAAAATAAATAAATAAAAGGAAATTAAATAACCAAAAAGTAGAAATGATCCAAATGTCCCTCAACAGACGAATGGATAAACAAAATGTGGTCCATCTATGCAATGGAATATGATTCAGCCACAAAAAGGAATGAAGTACAAAACAAAAACAAAACAAAAGAGGAAGGATGCACTGCTCCCTGCTACAGCATGGACGAACCCCAAAAACACATGCCAAGTGAAAGATGCCAGACACGAAATGTCACATAGTGTGTGATTCCATTTGTAGGAAATGGCCAGAACTGGCAAATCCACAGAGACAGAAAGCAGATTTGTGGTTGCCAGGGCCTGGGGAGAGGAAGGGGGAGTGACCGCTGATGGGAACGGAGCGTCTTTACGGGGTGACGAAATAGTCTGGAAGTAGATCGAGGTAGTGATTGCACAACATGGTGTGTGCACTGAATGCCAGGGAATTGTGCACTTTATTTTATTTTATTTTATATATTTTTTGAGACTGAGTCTCACTCTGTTGCCCAGGCTAGAGTGCAGCTTCCAGGGGTCAAGCAGTTCTCCTGCCTCAGCCTCCTGAGTGGCTGGGATTACAGGCACGGGCCACCACACCAGAAAACCGGTTTTGGAGCCACTCTGTGTGTTGCGTTCTGACCCTGTCACTTATTCCCTTGCACCATCTCAGGCAAGCAGCTTCCCCCCAAGCCTCCATGTTCAGCTCTGGGAATGGGGTCACATGAAGCCCCCCCTTCCACCTTTCCACGAGCTCCCAAAGAATAGTGACAGATCCTCCTTGTTCCCATTTGCGCCCCAGCACCCGATGCAGAAATGGGCACACTCTGGGAAAAAAGTAGACTGTTGAATGAATAAACGATGGAAAAACGCATCAGCTCCAAGGTTGAGCTCCCAACCTCTATTTTTCTTTTTCCTTTCCTCTTTTCTTTTCTATTTTCTTTCTTTTCTTTTTTGAGACAGAGTCTTACTCTGTCACCCAGGCTGGAGTGCAGTGGTGAGATCTCAGCTCGCTGTAACCTCCGCCTCCCAGGTTCAAGAGATTCTTGTGCCTCAGCCTCCTGAGTAGCTGGGATTATAGGCATGTGCCAGCATACCAGGCTAATTTTTGTATTTTTAGTAGAGACGGGGTTTCATCATGTTGGCCAGCCTGGTCTCGAACTCCTGACCTTAGGTGATCCATTCACCTCAGCCTCCCAAAGTGCTGGGATTACAGGCATGAGCCAGTGTGCCCGGCCCCCAACCTCTATTTTTTGAGGGAGTTGCTCCCTGGTCAGGGGGACAAGGGCAGGGGAAACTTTCCTTAGCTGGAAAAACCCTGCAGAGGCCAGGAGCAATGCCTCATGCCTGTCATCCTAGCACTTTGGGAGGCCGAGGCAGGAGGATCACATGAGCCCAGGAGTCCAAGACCAAACTGGGCAACATAGGGAGATCCCATCTCTACAAAAAGTTTTGGAAAGTTAGCCAGGCATGGTGGCAAGAGACTGTAGTCCCTGCTACTCAGGAGGCTGAGGCAGGAGGGTCGCTTGAGCCTAGGAGGTGGAGGCTGCAGTGAGCCGAGATCGCACCACTGCACCCCAGCCTGTTCAGCCTGGGTGACAGCGCAAGACCCTCTCTCAAAAAAAAGGAAAAAAAAAAAAACCCTGCAGAACCCGGGCCTCCAAGGAGGGCATGGCAGGGCGGGCCGGGTCCGAGCCGCTTCAGCAGGAGGAACAGTGGTATGACGAGCCCTTTCCACTCTGTGGTCAGACTCCCAGCCCGGAGAGCAATAAAACAGCCCTGCTCAGACTGGAAACATTTTCCTTTCATGTGTTTCTGGAGGCGCTGGCATGGTCCACGAGGAAAATTCCAGCGGAATAAGAAGAAATGTCTTCAGCATCCACCGAGGGCCAGGAAGGGGTAGTCAGGCCGGGAAGGGGTAGTCAGACCCGGGCCTCGGGGGAACCCAGCCATGCTGGGGGGAGGCCTCGAGGCCCAGGCAGGGCCAGGCAGCTGTCAGCGCATTATCTGGGTCTGGGAGGCTCCTGTGGACGACAGACCTCCCCAGCCCCGTGGTGGTGAGGATAGCGGGTGGCCTGGCCTGTTGGAGACAGCTCTCCTCAGGAATTCACATAAAACTGCTTTGAGATGTGTCTACCATGCATGTTGAGCCCATGGGGTTCCCAGGTCTGGGAGGGAGCCTCTCGGTACCTGGCACAGGACGAGGGGGTACAGGTCTGATGTGCCTTCTGCTCACATACCTCCCATGGCTCCCCATTGCCCTGGGATGGAGTCCAAGTCCCATCGTCCCAGGGCTTGTGGGCCCTTCCAGCAGTATGGCCCTTTCTCCCCTCACTCTGTGTGAGTTGGGCCCCTCTACACACAGTTCCAGAAACACTCCATCGTTCTCTGTCGCCTCCAAGCCTTTACACACGCTGGTCCCCCCACCCGAGCACCCTCTGTGGCCTCTTACCAGGCCAATTCTCATCTCTCCTTCAGTCGCAGCATAGCAGTCCCTCCTGCTGACCCTCCATAGCTGCCTGTGCGCCTCCAGCATGACTCAAACCACTCTGCCATTTATTTATTTTATTTATTATTGTTTTTTAATTTTATTTATTTATTTTTGAGACGGAGTCTCGCTCTGTCACCCAGGCTGTAGTGCAATGGTGCAATCTCAGCTCACTGCAACCTCCGCCTCCTGAGTTCAAGCAATTCTCCTACCTCAGCCTTCCAAGTAGCTGGGATTACAGGTGCCTGCTACCATATCCAGCTAATTTTTGTATTCTTAGTAGAAACGGGGTTTCTTTTCTTTTTTTCTTTTTTTTTTTAGACAGAGTCTCGCTCTGTCACCAGGCTGGAGTGCAGTGGCGCGATCTCGGCTCACTGCAACCTCCGCTTGCTGGGTTCAAGCAATTCTCATGCCTCATCCTCCTGATTAGCTGGGATTACAGGAACGTGCCACCACACCCAGCTAATTTTTGCATTTTTAGTAGAGACGGGGTTTCATCATGTTGGGCAGGATGGTCTCGATCTCCTGACCTCGTGATCCACCCACCTTTGTCTTCCCAAGTGCTGGGATTACAGGCATGAGCCACCGCGCCCAGCCGAAACGGGGTTTCACCATATTGGCCAGGCTGGTCACGAACTCCTGACCTTAGCCCCACCTCAGCCTCCCAAAGTGCTGGGATTACAAGCATGAGCTACCATGCCTGGCCTAATTTTTTTTTAAGAGATGAGGTCTCGGCCGGGTGCTGTGGCTCACGCCTGTAATCCCAGCACTTTGGGAGGCCAAGGCAGGCAGATCATGAAGTCAGGAGTTCGAGACCAGCCTGACTAACATGGTGAAACCCCGTCTCTACTAAAAATACAAAAGTTACCTGGGCGTCATGGTGCGCACCTGTAATCCCAGCTACTCAGGAGGCTGAGGCAGGAGAATCGATTGAACCCAGGCGGCAGAGGTTGCAATGAGCCAAGACCACGCCATTGCATTCCAGCCTGGGCAACAGAGGGAGACTTTGTCTCAAAAAAAAAAAAAAAAAAAAGAGGTGAGGTCTCATAATGTTATCCAGGCTGGCCTTGAACTCCTGGTCTCAAGTGATCCTCCTACCACGGCACTCCCAAAGTGCTGGGATTATAGGCATGAGTCACTGTGCCTGCCTATTATTTATTTATGTATTTATGTATTTATTTTGAAATGGAGTCTTGCTCTGTCGCCCAGGCTGGAGTGCAGTGGCACAATCTCTGCTTATTGCAAGCTCCGCCTCCCAGGTTCACGCCATTCTCCTGCCTCAGCCTCCTAAGTAGCTGGGACTACAGGCACCTGCCACCACGCCCGGCTAATTTTTTTGTATTTTTAGTAGAGACGGGGTTTCACCATGTTAGCCAGGAGGGTCTTGATCTCCTGACCTTGTGATCTGCCCACCTTGGCCTCCCAAAGTGCTGGGATTACAGGCGTGAGCCATCGCGCCCGGCCCTATTTTTTTTTTTTTTTTTTTTTTTTTTTTTTTTTTAGAGAAGGAGTCTTGCTCTGTCGCCCAGGCTGGAGTGCAGTGGTGCAATCTCAGCTCACTGCAATCTTTGCCTCCCAGGTTCAAGAAATTCTCCTGCCTCAGTCTCCCGAGTAGCTGGTACTACAGGCACACACCGCCACACCTGGCTAATTTCTTTTGTATTTTAGTAGAGATGGGGGTTTCACCATGTTGCCCAGGCTGGTCTTGAACTTCTGGTCTTAAGTGATCCTCCCACCATGGCCTCCCAAAATGCTGGGATTACAGATGTGTGCCACTGTGACCAGCCTCACTCTGCCATTTATTGAGGGCAAATTTCTGGGTTGTAGGCCAGGTGTGGTACCTCACACCTGTAATCCTAGCACTTAGAGAGGCCAAGGTGGTTGGATCACTTGAGCCCAGGAGTTTGAGACCAGCCTGGGCAACACAGCAAGACCTTGTCTCTACAAAATATAAAAATTAGCTGGACAGGGTGATATGTGCCTATGGTCCCAGCTACTTGAGAGGCTGAGGTGGAAAGATCACCCAAGCCCAGGGGGTCGAGGCTGCAGTGAGCCGGGATTGCACCACTGCACTTCAGCCTGGGCGACAGAGCGAGACTCCAGCTCATAAATAAATAAATAAATAAAGTTCTGGTTGTAAATCCTGGGGCACTGCTGGGGGAGGTCTGGGGGTCTCAGAGGGTATATGTTTGTGAAACTTTGTTGTGATAGCCAGCATCCTCCTTTGTCCCCAAGGAGACAATCTCACCTAGTATATGCCAGGTACAATGGCACAAACTGCGGATAAACCACGTTCCCAACCTCATGAAAATGTAGCCGAGAAGATCATTTCCAAGAGTGAGAAGTGTCTGAAAGAAATACCTGGGTGTAGGTATTTTTGCCCATGGGTTGGGAAAGGTCTCCTGAGGTGTTGACATTTAAGCCAAGTCCTGGGTCACAGAAGGGTATTTTATGTAAATATGAAGGAAGGGGCTGGGCGCAATGGCTCACACCCATAATCCCAGCACTTGGGAGGCAAAGGTGGGTGGATCACTTGAGGTCAGGAGTTCAAGACCAGCATGACCAGCATGGGGAAACCCCATCTCTGGCCTGGGAGCCCTACAGACCGGGGCCAACCTTGACTCGCCTCATGGGTCCCCACTGCCTGGGCCAGGGCTTGGCAGGCAGGTAGATGCTGCACTTGACCTTGAACGTGGATGCGCTTCTACAGCAATGCCCTGTGTTCCAGACGGGAAGCCGAGTCTCCCCTTGTGCCCGGAGAGATGTGGGGACCCAGCTTTTTGGCCTTCTGATCAGGCCCCTCTGCAGGTCTCAGGCCTGTGGGCTGGCAGGGGCCCCAGGGCCTGTTTTTTCCGCCTGGTGTTGGGATTGACGTCTTGAAGGGGCAACGCCTTGGTGCTGGTGATTATTTTTTTAACCTTTGCAGATTCAGCCAGAGACTCGAAATCAAAGCCGTTCTGCCCCCCAGCCCCAGCCGGGCCACAGCCAGCGAGGCCACATGGAGGCCTGACCTGTTGGATGACGGGCCACTGGCCTCCCCAGACCGCACGGTCCAAGGGTTGCGTCCAACTCCACATCTGGACTTTTCGAATTGGTCGTGGCTTCCAACTGGAACAAAAGGACCCGGGATGGGGAAAACATGGGTTCCCCCTGCCCCACCCCACCTGTTTGCACAAAGGATGGGGATCAAGGACGCAGCCAGAGACCCCTGCCCATCTCCCTGCAACGCACACAGCCCAGGCCTGGAAGTCACAGGCCACTCTTTGCCCACAAGGTCCACGGTTCCATCTGGAGCCTGGCCAGCCCAGACCAGACACCTCAGCAACAACATGGCCAAGGTGGGGTTCATGGTTTTCTGCTAAGTCTTCCTGTGTCGGGCAACAACCCTACCAACCACCTTGTGATGGGTTCAAGATCTGGGCGCGTCTGAGACTCCTCCCTCCCTTCCTTCCCAAGCTCATCAGTAGCTCTAGTCCTCTCAGGCTTCAAAACAAACAAATCTAACCTCTCCTCCCCACCCTGTGGCCGTGCCCTGGCCCTGGCCCCACCAGCTCTTGCCTTGACATTGCCTGGCCTCTTCCCCATTGCAGCCACAAGAGATGGCTTAAAATCATAAATCATGTTCCTCCCCTGCTCACACACTCTCCATGGCTCCCTATTGCTCTCAGAATAAAACCCACCTCCTTGCTGCAGCTTGCAAGGCCCCCATGTGATCCCACCTTGGCCCATCTCTCTAACCCATCTCCCCCCTCCTCCCTCACTCTGCTCCAGTCACATCGGCCTCCTCACCTCCTCCAACAAGAAAATTACTTCCTACCCCAGGGCCTTTGCACAAGCTCACCTCTCTGCCTGGAATTCCCTTCCTTAATTTTTGTTGTTGTTGTTGCTGTTGTTTTTGTGACAGGATCTCACTCTGCCACCCAGGCTGGAGTACAGTGGCACGATCATAGCTCACTGCAACCTCTGCCTCCCCAGGCTCAGGTGATCCTCCCACCTCAGCCCCCTGAGTAGCTGGGATTATAGGCAGGCACCACCACGCCCCGCTAATTTTTGTAGTTTTAGTAGAGACGGGGTTTCACCAAGTTGGCCAGGCTGGTCTCGAACTCCTGACCTCAGGTGATACACCCACCTTGGCCTCCCAAAGTGATGGGATTACAGGCATGAGCCTCCGCACCTTGGCCCACCAGCAGCAATTTGGAAAGAAACTGGTGGTGGGGACTCTTCCAGGTAATGCCTGTTTCCTTGTGATGCTTAAGGTGGCTTGGTACCCAGGGGAGGTCGGGAGGCCAGCAGAGTAAGGAAGAACCCACCTTCCTGCAAGCAGAGGGCAGTAAGAAGGGGCCTCAAATACAGCAGCCGGAGGTAGAGACAGGGGATGGGGCTTGGCACATGGCCAGGGTCACCCCGTTAAAGCTACTCAGGCCAGGCACGGTGGCTCACACCTGTAATCCCAACATTTTGGGAGGCCGAGGAGGGCGGATCATCTGAAGTAAGGAGTTTGAGACCAGCCTGGCCAACATGGTGAAACCCCATCTCTACTAAAAATACAAAAATTAGGGTGTTGTAGTGGGCGCCTGTAATCCCAGCTACTTGGGAGGCTGAGGCAGGAGAATGCTTGAACCCGTGAGGCCGAGGTTGCAACGAGCCGAGATTGCGCCACCGCACTCCAGCCTGGAGGACAGAGCGAGATTCCGTCCCTCCCCCTACCCCCAGAAAAAGCCACTCAGAGTAGCCCGTGGTGCCAGAGACCCACTAAGGCAAGAGTCTGGGTGGGGATTCAGTTTCCATCAAGTTTGCCTGCACCACGAGTTACTGACACCATCCTCCTTTGGCCCCTGCCCCTCCAACCTCCAGAGGGGACTCAGGCTCCTGGCCCAGCCAATCAAAGCCCTCCACCCACCGACTGCAGTGATTGGTTCAGGGCTGAGCCTATGAGAGTTAGCCTTGAGATCTTTGCTGAGTTCGTCAGGGAGAGGGTGTTTCCCCACTCAGTGAGCTGGCGGAATTTCAGCCTGGCACTTCAGGGGTCCATCCTTGCTATTCAGAAAGGGCAGGCAGACCGGGCAGTGGCTCACGCCTGGAATCCGAGCGCTTTGGGAGGCCGAGGCAGGCGGATCACCTGAGGTCTGAAATTCAAGACCGGCCTGGGCAACATGGTGAAACCCCGTCTCTACTAAAAATACAGAAATTAGCCTGCTGTGGTGGCAAGAACCTGTAATCCCAGCTACAAGGGAGGCTGAGGCAAGTGAATCACTTGAGCGGGGAGGTGGAGGTTGCAGTGAGCTGAGATTGTGCCACCGCACTCCAGCCTTTTTGTTGTTGTTGCTTGTTTGTAGAGATGAGGTCTCAATATGTTGCCCAGGCCAGTCTGGAACTGCTGGGCTCAGGAGATCCTCCCGCTTCAGCCTCCCAAAGTGCTGGGATTACAGGTGTGAGCCACGGTGCCCAGCAATGCCATGTTTTTACTACACTGCAGATGCGAGAAACCCTCCCTGAAGCTGCCAGGGTGGGTATCGGGAGGATTAGAACCTCACTCTCTTGCCTTCTACTTTTTCATATGTAAGATGGAATGAGGTAATCACACAAGCGAAACCTAGCGGAAAAAAAAAAAAAAAGGCTAGTGGCGGTGGCTCAGGCCTGTAATCCCACCACTTTGGAAGGCTGAGGTGGGCGGATTACCTGAGATCAGGAGTTCGAGACCAGCCTGGCCAACATGGCAAAACCATGTCTCTACTAAAAATACACAAATTAGCCAGCCACGGTGGCTCATGCCTGTAGTCCCAGCTACTTGGGAGGCTGAGGCAGGAGAATCTCTTGAACCCAGAGGCAGAGGTTGCAGTGAGCTGAGATCATGCCACTGCACTCCAGCTTGGGCAACAGAGAGAGACTCCATCTCAAAAAAAAAAAAAAAAAGAAGAAGAAGAAGAAGAAGAAAAAGAAGAAGAAGAAGAAGGGAGGGGGAAACGGTGTGGGCAAGGCTCCTATCAGGCCAGCAATCAGGTCCCCTTTCTGTGCTATGACCACAGTTTTTCTCCACCACAGCCCTGTGAGCTAGATATTCTGAGCCCATGGAAGGGAAGAAACTGCTGCAGCCCGTGCTCTTGGCATTCTGCAATGCACCACATTTGGAAGCAAACACCTGGTGGGGAAGTGGGGGGGTCCCAGGACAAGGGGCTGGGGCCTGAGAGGCAGCCCAACTGGGTGATGATAAGTTCAGGTTTAGCATCCTGCAGGCTTGGGATTGAGACTCAGCTCCAGCCTGCTGTGTTCCTGGGCTCACCTCTGAGACAAGGGCCTCAGTTTCCCCCATCTCAAATGGGCTGGTTGTTCTGGGCATCAGGTGCAAGTTCTGCTGGGCAAACGGGTGCTGTCTTGGGAGAGCTCATTAATACGTGGATGTGTCGAGAAATTCGAGCTGAGCTGTGACTCCTGGCGATGGAGCGGGCAGCTAGTCAGTGCACCGTGGCCCGGAGGGGACGCAGCTGGGGCACGGCCTCCCCTCCATGCTATGTTGCTGCTGGCTTTGGAAGGGACATGGATGTAAACGTTACCCGTTGATTCCTTTGCCCCTGGCTGCAGAGCACTCGGCGTCCAGAGGAGCCTGGCCAGAGGCTGGCAGTGTTTCCTGGTACTTGGACAGCCTCACTTGGCCCTGGTGCCGGGACTCACTGAGTGTTTGGAGGCTGACTGGCTGCAGGCATTGGCGATGGCATGGTCCTGTCCCCCAAGGCTGCTCCACAGATTGGGGGAAAAAGCACCCTGTGGCTTCAGTGGCCCCTGGGAGGCTCCTTGGAGAGCTGAGAGGTGAGGGTGTGGCCAGAGGGTGGTTCTGTTGGGGTCAACTCTGAGACTCTATCCTGGTGGCACCGTGGATGTGGGATGCCCCAATGGCTTGTCTCTGCCCCCACTGGGGTCCTATAGCTTCCAACTACCCTTCGGTTCTGTGCTTCTGTTGACTGGACTGCGTGGATCTCTAACTCTGTGGTCCCGTGGCCCTAGGACTCCACAGTTCAGTTGCTCCATTAACCAGTGATGTGATTCTGTCATTTCTTAGTCCTGTGGATCCTTGTTTTGTGGTCTTGTAGCTTTTCTTTACTCCATCATCCATCCATCCATCTATCCATCCACCCATTCATCCACTTATCCATCCATCCACTTATCTATCCATCCATCTACTTATCTGTCCATCCATCCATCCATCCATCCATCCATCCACTTCTACATCATCCATCCATTCAGCTGCCTATCCACCTATCCATCCATCCATTTATCCACTTACTCATCCATCCATCCACTTATTCATCTATATACCCACTTATCTATCCATCCACCCATTCATTCATTCATTTATACATCCACTTATGCATCCATTCATCTGTTTATCCATCCATTTATACATTATCCATCCACATGTATAAATGTATCCATTTATCCATTATTTATTCACTTATTCATTCATCCATACAATATATCTCCTTATCCATTCATTTATCCATCCATTCACTTATCCATCCATCCATTCACCCATCCATCTACCTATCCATCCATTCACTTATACATCATTCATCCATCTATTCATCAATTCATTATCTTTGCACCCATCCACCTATCCATCTGTCTATCCAGCCATCCACTTATCCATCCATCTATCCATCCACTTATACATCATCCATCCATCCATTAATCAATCCATTCACTTATTTATCCATTTGCCTATCCATCCATCCATCCATCCATCCACTTATCCATTCATCCATCCATCCATTTATCCATCCATCCATCCATCCATCCATCCATCCACTTGTCCATCCATTCATCCATCCACTTACCCATCCATCCATCCACTTACCCATCCATCCATCCATGCACTTATCCATCCATCCATCCATCCATCCATCCACTTATCCATCCATCCTCCATACATCCATTCATTTATCCATCCATCCATCCATCCATCCACTTATCCATCCATCCATCCACTCATTTATCCATCCATCCATCCATCCACTTATCCATCCATCCATCCACTCATCCATCCATCCACTTATACATCCATCTGTCCATCCATTATTGGAGTATTCCATCATGTGTATATGCAGGGAACACAGAGGGGAACAAGATGGTGGAGCTCAGTCTGATGGAGGAGGCAGCCCCATGACCCGTGTAACCTGGCAGTGCCCATACAGCATGGTCACAGCTCTGATGGAGCACACCAAGGGCCTGTGAAGGCCAGCGGGAGCCTCTAAGCCAGCCGGGGTGAGGAATGAGCCATGTGAAAGCAGACAGGGCACCAGGGAGCGGTCACAGCCCAGGTAAGGGCCTGGCGTGCAGAAAGATGTGGGAATGGACACGCCCATGGAGCCTAAACATGGCTCACAGCCGGAAGATTTCCTCCATTTCCCCTCCCCGCTTGCTGCAGCCACTCCTGACGCCTCGCGGAACCTCCAACACATCAAGCACATACCCACCTCTGGGCCTTTGCCCCTGCTGTGCCCTCTGCCTGGGGCTCTGCTCTGCTGGCACCTGTTCACTTGTTCAACTCTCGGCACCAATTTCCCCAGCAGAATGGCCTCCCTGACCCTTGGCCTCTGTTTCCAGAAGGGGCCCAGCTGGCCCCTTTCCGTGCAGCAGTATTGGGGCTGGGCTCCTCCCTACCTGGGAGCCTCCCTCCCCTACTGGCCCGGCCCTGGCCTGGGCTCCTGTCTGCAGCCGCCGGTGGGTAAACACACCCCGCCCTCGGCCTCCCACGCCATCCATCACTCCCCTGAACAAGGGCCTCCTGTTAATGAGCCCAGGTAGGGGCTGGGAGGGGCACGAGGGGTACTGAGGAACTGCAGTAGTGCTCTGGTCCCTGCACTCTCCACTTTCTCTGCTGACAGCCCACCCTACCTTCTCCAGCGGGAACTGCAGAAGCCTGGTTGGGAGACTCTCTCCTGGAGCCTTAGGCAGCGGTAGGAGGTGACTTCCCACTCTGAGCATCCAGTGACCAAATTGAGGAGACAGGACAGACTTGCTGAGCCTCAGTTTGCCAACCTGTAAAATGGGGATGTTAATAGCTGACATTGATTGAGGGCTCAGCTCTTTCTTTTCCTTTTTTTTTTTTCTTTTTTTTTTGAGACAGAGTCTTACTCTGTCTTACTCTGTCACCCCAGGCTGGAGTGAGAGTGGCATGATCTCAGCTCAGTGCAGCCTCTGCCTCCTGGGCTCAGGCAACGCTCGTGCCTCAGCCTCCTGAGTAGCTGGGATTATAGGCATGCACCACCATGCCTGGCTAATTTTTGTATTTTCAGTAGAGATGGGGTTTCACCATGTTGCTTAGGCTGGTCTCTAACTCCTGACCTCAAGTGATCCACCTGCCTCAGCCTCCCAAAGTGCTGGGATGACAGGCTTGAGCCACCACGCCTGGGCCTTTCCTTTTCTTGAGACAGGGTCTTACTCTGTTACCCAGGCTGGGGTGGGATGACAGGCGTGAGCCACCACGCCTGGGCCTTTCTTTTTCTTGAGACGAGGTCTTACTCTGTTACCCAGGCTGGGGTACAGTGGTACAATCATAGCTCATTACAGCTTCAAACTTCTGGGCTCAAGCCATCCTCCCACCTTAGCCTCCTGAGTAGCTGGGACTACAGGCACATACCACCATGCCTGGCTAATTTTAAATTTTTTTTTTGTTTGTTTGTTTTGTTTTAGAGACAGGGTCTTGCTATATTGCCCAGGCTGGTTTTGAACTCCTAGGTTCAAGCGATCCTCCCACTTCCGCCTCCCAAGCAAGGGCTGTGAACTTTCTGGGCGCTAATTCATTCAATTCTTACACTGACGCTAAGAGGTCAGGATTCTTCTCATACTTATATTCACCTTGGTTTTTCCTGCTACCGTTACCTTGCGTAAAACTTTACACATTTCCATTTTCACTTCATTAGACAGAGAGACTGAAGGAGAGAACAAAGCTTCTACAGTTAGCCCTGAAGGCACTCTCCTCCCCTCAGAACACAGACACTAGTTTATTTGACTGCATGAAACCTTCATTAAATATAGGTGTTATGCCTGTAATTCCAGCTACCCTGGAGGCTAAGATGGAAGGGACACTGGAGCCCAGGAGTTAGAGAGCAGCCTGGGCAACAGAGCAAGACCCTGTCTCTACAAAATAAAAAAAATTAGCCAGGTGTGGTGGCACATGCCTTTGGCCCCAGCTAATCAGGAGGCTGAGGTGTGAGGACGGCTTGAGCCCAAGAGTTTGAGCTACAGTGAGCTGTGTTTGTACCACTGCGGTCCAGCTGGGGTGACAGAGCGGGAACCTACCTCAAAAACAAGAAAGAAATGGAGACAGAGAGGAAGAGAGAGAGACAGGGAGGAGGGAAGAAGGAAGGGAGAGGGGGAGGGAGGAAGGAGGAAGGGAAGGAAGGAAGGAAGGAAAAGAGAAAAAAGAAAGAAACCAGTATCAATTGAATATTGTGAAATTCCTATCTGTTCCTAGTGAATTTTTTTTTTTTTTTTTTTTTTTTTTTTTTTTTTGACACAGAGTCTTACTCTGTCGCCCAGGCTGGAGTGCAATGGTGCAGTCTCGGGTCACTGCAACCTCCGCCTCCTGAGTTCAAGCAATTCTCCCGCCTCAGCCTCCTAAGTAAGTAGCTGGGATTACAGACACCTGCCATCATGCCCGGCTAATTTTTGTACTTTTGTACAGACAGGGTTTCACCATGTTGGCCAGGCTGGTCTTGAACTCCTGACCTCAGGTCATCCGCCCTCCTTGGCCTCCCAAAGTGCTGGGATTACAGACGTGAGCCACCACGCCCGGCCTCTGGTGAAATTCTTTCTCTCCTGAAGCAACTCTTCAGTATAGTAACCTGAGAAGTAAAATTTTACATTATAAGAAACTTTCGAAGGTGGCAAAAAAAAGAAGAAGAAATAAAGGAAAAAAGAAGAAACTGAGGCACAGAGAGGTTAAGCAACTTGCCTCATGTACCACAGCAGAGCTGGGATATGAAACTCAGGCTCTGATGCCAGAGACTGAGACCTTCATCACTGTGCCCCACTGTCTCCCATGATGACAAATTCCTGCCTTCTGGGACTTAAGGGATGACAGAAAGAGAAAACCCACAAAGGCTGAGTGGTAAGGTTTCAAGCATTTGGCACTTGCTCAAGAAAACTGTAGCCACTGTATTTATTGTTGTCTTCTTCCTTTATCGCCATCCAGTAGAGCCTGGGATGCAATGGGGGTAGGGACTGAGTAAAAGGAGAATGGGGCTGGGTGCAGTGGTGCACATCTGTGATCCCAGCACTTTGGGAGGCTGAGGTGGGAGGATCACTTGAGCCCAGAAGTTGGAGGCTGCAATGAGTGAGCTATGATTGTCACTGTACTTCAGGCCAGGCAACAGAGCAAGACCCTGTTTCAAAAAAAAAAAAAAAAAAAAGGAGACTGGGAGAGGAGGTGGCACCTGCCAAAGGTCACACGGCCAGTCGGGGGGCGTCTCCTGGACTTCAAAGCTCAGAGCCCCCCATCCCACCCCTGCCTTTTGTTCCTTCTAGAGAGATGCCTCCAGTACGTCTCTCCCAGTTCAAGGCAGGCTGAGGATGCAGAGGTCGCCAAGCTGCCCTCCCCTGCCGCCCTGATGAATTCCGCAGACTGGGGGCCTACAGCCCGGCCCGCCCAGGGCAGGGCGGCTGCCTTCACAACATACTTTCCTTCTGCATTCACAAAGGCAGGCAACGGTGGGGGCGGGAGGCAGGGAGCCGGGGCGCCCACACGTCTCCTGGCTGAGCAGACGTCTGCCAGGAAGGGCCCCGGGGCCCCATCATGCAGGCACCCGTCCCTCTTCCCCAGCCTGGCCGGGCTCCTGGAACCACGGGGCCTGGTGTGGGGCTGGCTGGGGCGCCGGCCAGATGCTCTGGCCAGGAGGTCCTGGGCCGAGAAGACATCCCAGTTAATGAGGGGCTCGGGCCAGCGAAATGCTGGATTCTGTTTCTGTGGCAAGGACAGAGAGGGCGGGTATGAAGGGCTTGAGGGTCTTGCATGCCTCAGTTCTAATTCTGGCTGTGTGACCTCAGACTGTCTCTTCTCCTCTCTGAGTAAGATAGAAATAAGAACGATCTGAGGTATAAGCGACAGGCACAGGGTATAAGTTTTTTTGTTTTGTTTTGTTTTTTTGAGACAAGGTCTCACTCGGTCGCCCAGGCTGGAGTGCAGTGATGTGATCTCGGCTCACTGCAACCTCTGCCTCCCCGGTTCAAGTGATTCTCCTGCCTCAGCCTCCCGATTAGCTGGGATTACAGGCACGCGCCACCACGTCCAGCTAATTTTTGTATTTTGAGTAGAGATGGAGTTTCACGTTGGCCACACTGGTCTCGAACTCCTGGCCTCAGGTGATCCACCTGCTGTGGCCTCCCAAAGTGCTGGGATTATAGGTGTGAGCCACCACACTGGCCCACGGTGTATAAATTTCATATGGAATAAGCACGCTAGTAGCGCTGGAGCTGGGCGCTGGGCTGAAGGATTTCCATGGGTCAGCTCATTCAATCCTCTCAACAGTGATCATCCTCATTTTATGGGTGAGAAAACTGAAGCACAGAGAGGTTAAGTGACTTGTCCTAGGTCACACAGTAAGGCCATGCTCACCAATATTTGAACCCAGGCTGTGTGGCCCCCTTCCCTGCCATATCAAGTACAGAGGTGGCAGGGGTTACTAGGATTCATATGATAATGTTGGCTGGGTGCAGTGGCTGAAATCCCAGGGTTTTGAGAGGCCGAGGAAGGAGGATCTGTTGAGCCCAGGAGTTCGAGACTAGCCTGGGCAACATAATAAGACCCCCATCTCTATTTTAAAAAAAAAAAAAAATAGTAATGACATTACATTAATTATAAAAAGTAGTAATGGCCAGGCGCGGTGGCTCACGCCTGTAATCCCAGCACTTTGGGAGGCTGAGGCAGGTGGATCACCTGAGGTCAGAAGTTCGAGACCAACCTGGCCAACATGGTGAAACCCCGTCTCTACTAAAAATATAAAAAAATTAGCTGGGCGTGGTGGCAGGTGCCAGTAATCCCAGCTACTCAGGAGGCTGAAGCAGGGGAATCACTTGAACTCAGGAGGCAGAGGTTGCAGTGAGCCGAGATTGCACCATCGCACTCCAGCTGGGCGACAAAAGTGAGACTCCATCTCAAAAAAAAAAAAAAAAAATAGTAATGAACACGAATCATAGGGATGCTGTCCCGGCTCACCAAGCCCTCCAGCCTAACCTTTCTACACCAGTCCAGGCCCCTGGGTGGGAGCCCCTCAGGCTCGGAGGGACAGAGCAAACCACAGACACTCACAGTCCCGAGGATCATGGCTAGGCTGGAAGGTTATCTGGAGAATATCAGCAGGGAAGGCTTCCTGGAGGAGGGGACATTATAGCTGGACCTTGAAGGATGGAGGAGTTTGTACGAGGTGGGGGGAACAGCAGGTACAAAGGCCCAGAATGACACCTACAGTGAGTTATTCTGTAATCTGAGGCAAGTGTGGTGTGCACAGGAGGAGGGGACTGCTGCCTAGAAGGGGGATTTCAGGGCTGGCGAGATCCAGGAGGCAGGAGTGTGACCCCAGACATCCCCTTTCCGGGCCTCTGTTGTCCGATCTTGGGACACCCTCAGGAACTCCACCTTTGTAGTTCCCTCCGCCTGGAATGCCCTTCCCTGCAACTCCCCGTGGCCCAGCCATGGATAAGGCCACGTGTGTCCAAGCCCCAGCACTGTGACCAGCCTGTGGCAGGGGCCTGGCTTCCATGTGCTCCTGTCCTAGCTGTGTGCAGCATATGCCAGCCCCCAGGCCCCACTGGAGCTGTGGTTTTCCCGAGAATTCCAGTGCTGCCAGGAGCGGCCCCCAGGTGTGCTGAAGGCCAAGGAAAACAGGAGGTGAGCTCATGGCCCCAATGTAGGCAGCAGGCAGGGCAGGCACTATTGAGGACAGGCTTCATTGGAAATGCTCTGGCTGGGACCAGCTGCTTCCACCAACACTCCACTTATAGGCCTGTCTCTCTTCACGCACTCTCTGTGGCTCCCCATTACCCTCGGGAGACCACTGGAGCCCCACACCACCAGCACTGCCCTTTCACACACAGCCTCATCTCCTGCTTCTCACTGAGCCCCAAGAGCTTGTCACCTTGAGGTCAGTCCATCCAACGGGCCAGGTTGGTTCCTGCCTCAGGGCCTTTGCCTATGCTGTTTCCTCTACCTGGAATGACTTTCTGCTACCTCTGCCTGGCTGTGTCCTCCTCATCATCCGGTCCTCAGCTTGGTGGTCCCTCCTCCTCCAGAAGCCCGCCCTGACCCATCCCCTTTCAAACAGATCAATTTCCTGGGGACTCCTACCATTGTCTGTGTGTCCCGTCACAGCCATGAGCCCACTGGGCTCCCCATTTGAAGGAGAGACTGGGTCTGGCTTCTTCACCCTGTGTGCCCATCACCCAGCACAGGAGACATGACACACAACAGTCCTTGATGTTTGTGAAATAATTATTGTGTCTAGAAATGTCCCCACCTCCAAGCTTCACATGCTTCCCTCCACCAAAACTGCCCTCACCTTTTCCCTCTGCTGATCCAAGTCCTCCTTTTCTTTTATGTCTGTCTCCTTGCTACCTCCTCCAGGAAGCCCTCGGTGACTTCTCTGTAGGCTCCCCAGAAAACATATCTGGCTCTGAGTCTAGATTCACCCCTGCCCTCGGGCAGTGGCCTTAGGCCAGTCACTTTTTCTCTCTGGGCCTCAGTTTCTCTGTCTATAGAATAGACGCTGTGAGTACTGGAAGGTGGGAGTGGAGAGTGTTAACTGATTGCAGGAGGTTAAGGGGTTTTGTAACTCCAGAGTGTGGCTGGCCAGTTAGCGGTAACTTTTATTTTTATTACAGGCTGTTCCCACAGCAGCTGGAGCACAGTTTGGAAGGTATGGCACAGCCTGGACAAACAGAAGCCCCGGACCTCCCCTTGCTAGAGCCCTTTAACTTGCTCCCCTCCAGATGGGGGCCTCACACCCCATTGCGCAGATTGGAAAACCAAGTGGGCCTGTCCCCTTGGACAGGGGTTGGGGCAAGATCCTGAACGCTGTCCCCTCCTCCACCAGCCGAGGGACCATGGGGAGGGGAGGGAACACCAGCAATGAGTTGGGTTGGGGGGAGTCATTTGCAGCCCTCCAGCGTTGGGGCCAGAAGCGGCCTCCTTGGACAGAGGCAGGAAAATTGAGAGTCCCAGGTCTCAACTGCCCCTCCCCTATTTTCCATTCATCATCATAATCATCATTACTATTAATCATTAATTAATAATTATTAACTTATTACCTCCATTGTGCAAGGGAGGAATTACGCCTGGGTAATTTTTGTACTTTTAGTAGAGATGGGGTTTCACCATGTTAGCCAGGCTGGTCTCAAACTCCTGACCTCAGGTGATCTGCCCGCCTTGGCTTCCCAAAGTGCTGGGATTACAGGTGTGAGCCACCGCACCCAGCAACTTACCCAGTTTTGAAGCACTTCAGGAGGAGTGGAGGGCCAGTCAGTCTGATCCATAGTGGGTGGACCTATTTTTTCAGACGCTGGTGACTCTGTTTCCCGAAGTGTGAGCTGAGAGCGTGGCCATGGAGCCTGCCTTGTTTGGAACTGGAACTCAGGTTTGGCATACAGCAAGCACTCAATCAATCAATCAATCAATGAGCTGAATGCTATGGCTGGATCCTGTAATCCCAGTTATGTGGGGAGTATCGCTTGAGGCCGGGAGTTTGAGACTACTAGCCTGCAGGACATAGCCAGACCCGGTCTCTAAAAATAAAAATAAAAATAAAAATAAATTAGCTGGACTTGGTGGTGCGGGCTTGTAGTCCCAGCTACATGGGAGACTGAAGCAAGAGGATGCGATACAGCCACACCCCGTCACACACACACACACACACACACACAGACGCACACACACAGTGAATGAAAGTGGGGGCAGTACCCCCTGACTCCCTGCCCCACCAGCTCTCTCCACAGACCCCGGGACTCAGTTTCCCCACCATGTCGGATTCAGCCGCGGGCGACTTCGCGGGGCATTCCGGGCGGGGACTTGAACGCAGGGGCCAGCGCCATCTGTTTACCTTGAGGCTGGACGTTGGGCAGGGCTGTGGTGGGCCGTCCCTGGGGCCGGCCGTGCCTTGGGGATAAATAGGCCCCGCGGGCCTCGTGGGCGGTAGAAAGCGAGCAGCCACCCAGCTCCCCGCCACCGCCATGGTCCCCGACACCGCCTGCGTTCTTCTGCTCACCCTGGCTGCCCTCGGCGCGTCCGGACAGGGCCAGAGCCCGTTGGGTAAGCCGCGTTAGCACCCGCGCCGTGCCCACGGCCCCACAACGGACTGTAGGACCCGTGAGAGGCCCGGGATCCAGGCTGTTTGGGGCTCACGGACTGTTCGTAGGGGACGTGCCGGGCGCAGAAAGCAGGTGGCGGGACCGAGACTAGAGGAGCGCAGTGGGGCCTCGGAGGTCCGGGTTCGCTGCAACGGTGGGAGTTGGTGGTGGGATTCCCCGGCCCCATGACGCCTCACCAGGTCCCCTGCCGCCGCAGGCTCAGACCTGGGCCCGCAGATGCTTCGGGAACTGCAGGAAACCAACGCGGCGCTGCAGGACGTGCGGGAGCTGCTGCGGCAGCAGGTGCGGGGCCCGGGTGCGGGGCAGGGAGTGCCAGGGAACGGAAGGGGGTCTCAGTTCCCAGCGAGGAGAGAGGAAGTACCCGAGAAGGTGGAGAGGAGATGGGGAGGGAAGGGGGTCGGCGGGTAGGGAGTCCTTGGCGAAAAGAGGCTGTAGAAAGGGACCCCGGGGTAGAGAGAGGGGAGACCCGAGGGATGAGGAGAGGTTGGGACCCCGCTGATTCCATCCCACCCCTGCAGGTCAGGGAGATCACGTTCCTGAAAAACACGGTGATGGAGTGTGACGCGTGCGGTGAGCGCGGCGGGGCGGTCGGGAGAGAGAAGAGACGGGAGACAGAGACACAGAGACAGAGACAGAGAGCCAGGGAAAGCTGGGGAGGAAAAGAGACGGAAGGAGATGGAGGCTGACGGAGAGGTGGACGGACGAACGGGAATGGGATGGGGTGTGTAGAAACAGAGACAAAAAGAGACAGAAGCGGTGAGAGAGTTTTGGGGAAGTGAGAGACGCCACGGGGCAGAAAAGCGGGACAGAGACTCAGAGAAGAGACCGGGGAGACCCCGCGGTCAGAGCGCGCAGCCTCTGGGGCGGGATCGCGGACAGCGCAGGATTTCGGGCCGCCCCGGGGCGGGGGGTGGGGGGGAAGGGGAAGCCTCCAGCCCCGGGGCGTGGCCATGATAGGCTCTGCCCCCGGGCGAGCCACCGATCAGCCCCGCCGCTTCTCCCCCCTCCCCCCCGCAGGGATGCAGCAGTCAGTACGCACCGGCCTACCCAGCGTGCGGCCCCTGCTCCACTGCGCGCCCGGCTTCTGCTTCCCCGGCGTGGCCTGCATCCAGACGGAGAGCGGCGCGCGCTGCGGCCCCTGCCCCGCGGGCTTCACGGGCAACGGCTCGCACTGCACCGACGTCAACGAGGTGCGCTAGCCCCGACACTCCACCGCCCTGACGACTCCCTCTACCGCCCCCCAATCTCTCGCCGCCCGGGAGACCCCTTCCTCCACTGGGAGTGTTCGCCCCGAAGAGCCTCTCACCTCCGGGGGCGCACGGCCAGACTACCTCCTTACCGCGGGGGGACGCCCAACCCAAGGACCATCCCCGTCACCACCCGGGACGCCCGCCCCCACAACCCCCTACATAGCTAGTGACGCCCGCCCCGACGACTCCCTCACCGCCAGGGGTGGTCCGCCCCAGCTACCCTCCTCGCCGCAGGGGATCGCCAGTCCCAACGACCCTTCCACAGCCAGGGAACGCACGCCCAGACCCCCCGCCACCGCCGGGCACGCACGCCCCGACGACCCCTGCCCCCCTCTGCTGGGGATGCCCGCCCTCATCCTTCCTCCCCTCGCCCATGAGGGAACAGCTCTCCTCTCCTCTCCCGGTTGCGCCCTTGCCGTCATCAAGGCAAAGTCGTGCCTGACCCCTGCGACAATTGCTTCCATCTCAGAGCTCCAAGCACTGGCATATGGCCCTTGAACTTTCCACATCCGAGACACTACGAGGTGCGGCCCCCAGGGCCCAGCTCGAAGCCCTCTGACCCTCTGTGGCCCCTCCTCCCCCAGTGCAACGCCCACCCCTGCTTCCCCCGAGTCCGCTGTATCAACACCAGCCCGGGGTTCCGCTGCGAGGCTTGCCCGCCGGGGTACAGCGGCCCCACCCACCAGGGCGTGGGGCTGGCTTTCGCCAAGGCCAACAAGCAGGTGAGAGGTGTGGGGGCCCCATTTTTGGAGCAGAAGGGAAGGGGGCGTCCATTTTGTTTACCAGTAAACTCCTCTTCCAGCCTCCTTCCAGCGGGAGGGGTGGGGAGAGGAGGGGTCCGCTGCGCCAGGGCTGATCGGTTTGGGGCAGGATGGAGGGGAGAGGCAGGATGCGGAGGAAGTGTGGAGGAGGTGGGAGGTCCGGAGGTGTCTGCGTGGGGTGGTGACCTCTGAGTTCCCCTCCCCTAGGTTTGCACGGACATCAACGAGTGTGAGACCGGGCAACATAACTGCGTCCCCAACTCCGTGTGCATCAACACCCGGGTAAGGCCCGCTGGGGAGGAAGAAAGGATCGCGGGAGGTGGGGCGAGCGGCGGGCGGCCTGCGCTGACCTCCGGCGGCTCCGGCGCAGGGCTCCTTCCAGTGCGGCCCGTGCCAGCCCGGCTTCGTGGGCGACCAGGCGTCCGGCTGCCAGCGGCGCGCACAGCGCTTCTGCCCCGACGGCTCGCCCAGCGAGTGCCACGAGCATGCAGACTGCGTCCTAGAGCGCGATGGCTCGCGGTCGTGCGTGGTGAGTGCGGGCGGGCTGGGCTTGAGGCGGGGTTGGGTGGCGGCCACTCCAGGGCACCCACTTACACTCTCCCACAGTGTGCCGTTGGCTGGGCCGGCAACGGGATCCTCTGTGGTCGCGACACTGACCTAGACGGCTTCCCGGACGAGAAGCTGCGCTGCCCGGAGCGCCAGTGCCGTAAGGTGGGTGGGGGCGGAGCGGGGCGGGCTTGGGCAGGAGGGAGGGCGGGACTTCATGACCGCGCCCCTCACACCTTCTGTGCCCGCCCCCAGGACAACTGCGTGACTGTGCCCAACTCAGGGCAGGAGGATGTGGACCGCGATGGCATCGGAGACGCCTGCGATCCGGATGCCGACGGGGACGGGGTCCCCAATGAAAAGGTAGATCTACGGCTCGGCACGGTGGTTCACTCCTGTAATCCCAGCACTTTGGGAGGCCGAGGCGGGCGGATCACGAGGTCAAGAGATGGAGACCATCCTGGCCATCATGGTGAAACCCCTCCTCTACTAAAAATACAAAAATTAGCGGGGCGTGGTGGTGCACGCCTGTAATCCCAGCTACTCAGGAGGCTGAGGCAGGAGAATCGCTTGAACCCGGGAGGCGGAGGTTGCAGTCAGCCGAGATCGCGCCACTGCACTCCAGCCTAGCGACAGAGCAAGACTCTGTCTCAAAAAAAAGAAAGAAAGAAAGAAAGAAAGAAAGAAAGAAAGAAAGAAAGAAAGAAAGAGAAAAAGAAAAAGAAAAAAGAAAAGACAGAGCTGTGAGCGGGGCCTAGGGAAGTGGGATGGGGCGTGGCTTGGATGAGGGGCGTGGCCTCCGTGGTCTAGGAGGGGCGAAAGGTTCCTTGAGGAGGAGACGCGTCCTCGGAGATTTGGGAATCTGAGGAGTGTGACCTTTGCCTTCTCGACCTGATCTCACCCTTAACCCACCCTGTCATCCAGGACAACTGCCCGCTGGTGCGGAACCCAGACCAGCGCAACACGGACGAGGACAAGTGGGGCGATGCGTGCGACAACTGCCGGTCCCAGAAGAACGACGACCAAAAGGACACAGACCAGGACGGCCGGGGCGATGCGTGCGACGACGACATCGACGGCGACCGTGAGCTCGATGGGGGTTGGGGGGCGAGGAGAGGCGGCGGGCACCGAAGGGCGGGATTCGGCTCCGGGGCGGGGCTTGGCTGGTTTTGGAAGCCGGATGGGGTAAGCTGGACTAGGGCGCCCTGGACCAAAGACCATGGTGGGGCGCCAGAAAAATGCAAGCTGGGCTGCAAGGCCAGGAAAAACGCAGGGATATTTGGAAGGGAAGGTGGTCCCTGTGTCAATGCCGCAGGCAGGAATTAAGAGGACAAGAGATTCGAGCCTGGGGTTTAGGACCTGGGAGGTGACAACTTTACAGATGGGGACATAGGGGCTCAGGGTGGCACACACGGGCACCCAGCTGAGCCACCCTGGGAGTGAGAGCCCGTCCCCCTCACTAGCCTTCCCTTGGATGGGACCATTCATTCTTAAAGTTCCTGTGGGCCGGACGGGGTGGCTCATGCCTATAATTCCAGAACTTTGGGAAGCTGAGGCAGGTGGATCACGAGGTCAGGAGTTCGAGACCAGACTGACCAACATGGTGAAACTCCGTCTGTACTAAAAATACAAAAATTTGCTGGGCGTGGTGGCGCACACCTGTAATCCCAGCTACTCGGGAGGCTGAGGCAGGAGAATCATTTGAACCCGGGAGGTGGAAGTTGCAGTGAGCCGAGATCATGCCACTGCACTCCAGCCTGAGTGACACAATGAGACTGTCTCAAAAAAAAAAAAAAAAAAAAAAAAAAAAAGCTTCCATGAAGTTGGGACTCTGTTCCAGGCCAGCCTCAGGCTGGCCTCATCCTAATGAAGTCATTCTGGCCTGGTCCCAATCTTGGGGCTCTGGTCCCGTGGATTTCTGCAGGGATCCGCAACCAGGCCGACAACTGCCCTAGGGTACCCAACTCAGACCAGAAGGACAGTGATGGCGATGGTATAGGGGATGCCTGTGACAACTGTCCCCAGAAGAGCAACCCGGATCAGGTGAGGGCAGGCCAGACTCCAGCTGGGTAAGCCCTCTGGGTGAACTGCAAGTTGGATTACCCAGCCCACAGCCCAGCTTAGAGCATTTTACACTGCCAGAGAAATGACCTCTCGGTCCGAGCAGCCTGCGGTGGGGGTTTCCTTGGGGTCAGGAGGACCTTGGCTGTGCGGCTGGGTTGGGTGGGAGGCTTTCTGATTTCCTCTGTCTGATTATGGACCCCCGCATGCTGCCCTCCGCAGGCGGATGTGGACCACGACTTTGTGGGAGATGCTTGTGACAGCGATCAAGACCAGTAAGGAGGCCACCTGGGGTGGGCGTCCGGGTAGCCTTTGACAAAACGCTCTGGAGAGCTCATTGTCTCTGGATCCCACCTATCCACTCTAGGGATGGAGACGGACATCAGGACTCTCGGGACAACTGTCCCACGGTGCCTAACAGTGCCCAGGAGGACTCAGACCACGATGGCCAGGGTGATGCCTGCGACGACGACGACGACAATGACGGAGTCCCTGACAGTCGGGACAACTGCCGCCTGGTGCCTAACCCCGGCCAGGAGGACGCGGACAGTACGGCGGGGGCGGGGCCTGCGGTGGGGGCGGGGCCAGTGGGGGCTCCTGGCGCGGGGTCTACGGTGGGCGGGCCCTGACTTTAGCCCACCGAGGGGTCTCCCACCTCTCAGGGGACGGCGTGGGCGACGTGTGCCAGGACGACTTTGATGCAGACAAGGTGGTAGACAAGATCGACGTGTGTCCGGAGAACGCTGAAGTCACGCTCACCGACTTCAGGGCCTTCCAGACAGTCGTGCTGGACCCGGAGGGTGACGCGCAGATTGACCCCAACTGGGTGGTGCTCAACCAGGTGGGAGCGGGGTCCACGTGGGGGGTGATGGGACCCTAGAACCCCCACAGTGAGGCCTATGCTGAGGACAGGGTGCCTAGGGCTGTCACGGCCAGCCTGAGGCCCTCCTTTCTTTGACCCCATCAGGGAAGGGAGATCGTGCAGACAATGAACAGCGACCCAGGCCTGGCTGTGGGTGAGAAGCGGGGAGCAGCGCTATCCTGCCACGGAGCGGGCTCAGGGAGAGGGGCCAGAGAAGGGGCAGGCCCGGGCTGAGAATGGGCGGGGCCAGAAGGGGGCTGGCCCGGGCTCAGGAAGGGCGGGGACAGAGGGGCGGGGTTATATGGGCGGGCCCGGGAGGAGAAGGCGCGGGGCCAGAGGAGGGGCGGGCTCGGGAAGGGCGGGGCCAAGTGGAGGTGGACTCTGGAGGGGCGTGGCCAATGGTAGATGGGGGGCGTGGCTGAGTCCGGGCTCTGCGAGTGGGAATGGTGCAGGTCTGCAGGCAGATCGGGACCCAGGGGGCAGGTTTGGGTTCTGGGTGCCAGGTTCCGGGGGCTGGGGCTGGCGTTCGGAAAGGCCACTGCTCTCTTTCCATCCCTAGGTTACACTGCCTTCAATGGCGTGGACTTCGAGGGCACGTTCCATGTGAACACGGTCACGGATGACGACTATGCGGGCTTCATCTTTGGCTACCAGGACAGCTCCAGCTTCTACGTGGTCATGTGGAAGCAGATGGAGCAAACGTATTGGCAGGCGAACCCCTTCCGTGCTGTGGCCGAGCCTGGCATCCAACTCAAGGTGCCAGGGCCGTCCGTGCCTGACCTCTGCGGTCCTCATGCCCTCCCATGACCCTCCGTAAAACCCTTTACAGCCCTTAGAGCCCCCCAGCCCCCTAGCCTCATACTATGGACCTCAAAGCTGTCCCAGCCCTCCTCTGGGCTCCCGCAGTCCCCAAATCCTCCCAGTTCCTTGCACAAATTCTCAAACATTCTCAGGGCCCCCCAGTCTTCCTATGGACCCTAAACCCTCTCACACAGCCCTAAACTTTTCCTTAGTTTCCAAGTCCTTCTGCAGAGCCCCCCATCCTCCCAGACCCTGAATCTGTCCACGGACTCCCAAATCCTCTCATGAACCTGCAGACCACTGCTGCCCCCTGTGACCTATCCCCAAGCTGCCATTTGGCCCCTGAAGAAGGCTTCCTTGTGGGTCTCTCATCCGGATCCCCCTGGCCGCCCACCACCTGCTGCTCCCAACTGTCTCTCCAGGAAGGTGTCTAGGGGGGCTCCGGTGGCCCACGAGGTCTCTGACCACCTTTCCTGGGTATTGGCAGGCTGTGAAGTCTTCCACAGGCCCCGGGGAACAGCTGCGGAACGCTCTGTGGCATACAGGAGACACAGAGTCCCAGGTGCGGCTGCTGTGGAAGGACCCGCGAAACGTGGGTTGGAAGGACAAGAAGTCCTATCGTTGGTTCCTGCAGCACCGGCCCCAAGTGGGCTACATCAGGTGGGGACTCCACCCTCTGTGGTGGGCTGGGCTGGGGACACACAGGCCCAGGTGGGAGTGCCCTGGCCAGGCAGGGGCTGTGTGACCCTGGTCCCCTCATCTGTACGATAGGAAAGATACAGGGCAGTTAGAATGAGCCTATGCTGGTCCAGGCGTGGTGGCTCACACCTGTAACCCCATCACTTTGGAAAGCCAAGATGGGAGGATCGCTTGAGCCCAGGAGTTCGAGGCAGCCTGGGTAACATAGTAAGACCCTGTCTCTACAAAAAAGAAAAAAATTAGGCCAGGCGCAGTGGCTCATGCCTGTAATCCCAGTACTTTGGGAGGCCGAGGCGGGTGGATCACCTGAGGTCCGGAGTTTGAGACCAGCCTGGCCAACATGTTGAAACCCCATCTCTACTAAAAATACAAAAATTAGCCAGGTGTGGTGGCGGGGCCCTGTCATCCCGGCTACTCAGGAGGCTGAGGCAGAAGAATCGCTTGAACTCGGGAAGCGGAAGTTGCAGTGAGTGGAGATCGTGCCATTGCACTCCAGCATGGGTGACAAGAGTGAGACTCTGTCTCAAAAAAAAAAAAAAATGCCAGGCATGGTGGCACGTGCCCATGGTCCCAGCTACTAGGGAGGCTGAGGTCAGTTGAGTCTGGGAATTAAGGTGGCAGTAATTGCACCACTGCACTCCAGCCTGGGTGACAGAGCGAGACCCTGGCCAGGACACAGCACACAGTGTGTATCCAGCTAGAAATGGGGCCTCACCCAGTCCCTGTTTCTCAGCCTCCATTCCATGCTGCTAGCAAGCCCAGGTGCTCTGTTTAGCACCAACTATGTCCAGGGCCCTTGATGTCCACCACACCAGGAAACTGAGGCCCAAGGCAGAGGCCTCACTTGCTCCCAGTGCAGCCCAGTCAGGGGTACCCATCTTCCAGGGCTGGCCACTGAAGCTCTGAGAGGGAAGGGTCTGGCCCAGGTCCCCCAGGCCTCACCATGTCTGACCCTCAGGGTGCGATTCTATGAGGGCCCTGAGCTGGTGGCCGACAGCAACGTGGTCTTGGACACAACCATGCGGGGTGGCCGCCTGGGGGTCTTCTGCTTCTCCCAGGAGAACATCATCTGGGCCAACCTGCGTTACCGCTGCAATGGTGAGCCGAGGGCCAGCGGGCCGTGGGCGGGGAGTCTGCACACAGGCCCTGCTGGCCTTCTCAGCCCTCACCCGCCTGCCCTCTCCCTGCAGACACCATCCCAGAGGACTATGAGACCCATCAGCTGCGGCAAGCCTAGGGACCAGGGTGAGGACCCGCCGGATGACAGCCACCCTCACCGCGGCTGGATGGGGGCTCTGCACCCAGCCCCAAGGGGTGGCCGTCCTGAGGGGGAAGTGAGAAGGGCTCAGAGAGGACAAAATAAAGTGTGTGTGCAGGGAGTGGCGGCTGTGGTTTTTGCTGCATGGAGACAGTAGGGACGGGCCTCTGAGGGAGGGTCGGGCCAGGGAACCCCAAACCAAGGCCTCAGTGCTGCAGCTGCTGCTGAGTGCCAGTGGCCTGCCAGGGACTGTCCAACTGTGATTTGGGATTTGGGGAGGCCCCTGGGTCCACCTCCACGACCCACCACCTCATGGTCACAGGCCTGGATGCCAGCCATGGAAGAGCTGAGACCCCGATACAGTGTCCGCCCCAGGATTCTGGGGGGCAGGTTCCCAGTTGTCCCAGCTTTGGGGACCCCTTCCCTTGCCTGGTCTGGGGTGTGTGTGTGTGTGTGTGTGTGTGTTCGGAAGGGTTGAGGCACCTGCCAGTGCACCTGCCACGCCCATGTGTCACCCCTGAGGGAGGAGGGAGGGGCTCAGAAAAAAGAGGAAGAGCCAGTGACGAAAACGTTGGATTTTTATTACGTTTCATTACAAAGGATGCAAAGGTACAAAGACAAAAGCAGCCCTGCCAGAGGATGGGGCAGGGACGGCCGAGTGTGCCCTGAGCCGCCTGCCCCCGCCCGCTGCGGCCGCCCACAATCATGGCCCACGGGACGTCCGTGGCAGAGTATACATGCTAGGGTTGGGGGAGAGCCAGCCTGGGCACAGAGGAGCACAGGCAGGAACAGGGCTCGGACCGGCGGGTTTGCATATATCAGTGGGGCCACCCAGCCCCTAGGGGACAGTTTCCTACTCAGGGGCACGGCAGGGCCAGTGGACTTTGGCTGCCAAAGCCCTCCCTCCCCAGGCCTACTGGCCAAGTCCATGGCTAAGTCCCCTCCTGGTGGGCAGGAGATCAGAAGTTCTTGATGGCTGGGCTGGGCAAGGGTTGCCCCCAAATTCCAGAACACTTCGAGATGGGGGCCATCCCCCGACCCCAACACATGCCACCTGTCCCTGGCTCCTGGGGGTGGGGTGCTGGCCAGGAGCCCAGAAGGTGGATACAGGCTCTGGAATCATCAGAGCCAGCACCACCCCAAGGCCCAGCCCCTGCCCCCCATCCTGCCCAGGAGGAGCCCGGGGCCCTGAGACCTGCAGGTTTGAGAAAGTGACAAGAGAGAAACTGAGGCTGGGATCACGAGGCACTCACTCCTGCCCCACCCATGCCCTCAGGAACTCCCCAGCACCCAGGCCTGGGGGTACAACTTACTCCACCTCCTGCTCCCAGGGGGAGAATGGTGTCTGTGGCCAGTGGGGGTGGGTGGACACCTGTGCCACACGGAAGAGTATGGGGTGCCTGACCCCTGCCTGGCCAGGACCCTGGAAGGCCAAGGGCCGCAGGGAACAGGACACTTGGCTCAGGTGGAGCTGACGGGAGAATGTCCCAGGGACCCCCAAATCACATGCCGCAAGAGCCCCCAGGAAATGGAGGCCCCTGGTCCATGGTGAATGGGGGTAGAAAGAGACCCAGGTGTCCATGTAGCCCAGGCAGGCCTCCCAGGGTGAGTGAGGGGCCGAGTCTTGCCCCTGCTCTTAGGCTGTGTAGGGAAGGCTCTGGCGCCCGCACGCCCTGGCCCAGGGCACCACATGTGGGTGACGGGCCAGGCCCAGGGGCACATCTGTGCCATCGGCTTTGTGGCCCTTGCTCTGAGAGCCCCTGCGTCCCACCCCCACACAGAGGGCCCCTCGGCCTCTGAGACGGCTCCATCGGGACCCAGTGAAGGTGATGGGAGCTGCTGTTTTCAGGGCGAGGTGACAGAGGACCCCCGAATACCGCTGGACCTTACTCCACCAGCCTCTCCCTGGTCGGAGGGCTCCTTGGAAATACAGAAAACTCAGGAAGCAGGTCGCAGCCCGAGTTTGGAAGGATGTTTGGTTAAAAACCAGCTCAAGGCCCACCTAAGGGAGGCACCAGAGCCCCCTCTAGGGACGGGTCCTGCCAAGGCTGTTCAGGCCTGGGATGCTGGGCAGAAGTGGCTCACACCTGTAGCCCCAGAACTTTGGGAGGCCGAGGAGGGAGGACTGCTTGAGCCCAGGAGTCCGAGACCAGCCTGGGCAACACAGCAAGACCCCATCTCTAAAAAAATAAAATAGAAGCCACCCGGCCTGGCCCCCCATGGGCTTCTGGCAGGCTCCTGTCCCACCTGACCGGGCTCAGGCGAGGTCCCAGCTCACAGCCCCCAAGCCTGACATCCAAGCCCCAGCAGGAGGGATGGATGGACATGGGGGGCCCTCCTGGCTAGGGGTCCTCCCGGGAGCTTGGCCCCCTGAAGAAATCAGGCCAAACACACTGATGCCAACACTCTCCTCCCCAGAGCCGAAAACCCACAAGCAGGGCCCTGATGAGGGCAAAGAACCCTCTTCTCTGGAGGACACAGAGAGAGGCTGAACTTGGGCTACACCCTCTGCCTGCAAGACTTGCCACCCTGGGTAGTGACGTCGGCGAAACAGGAAGGTGGGGACGCCATGCTCTCAGGAGGGAGAGCCCTGGCTGAACTTCGCCGTAGGGGACCGATGTACCCAGCAGAGGGTCTGCAGAAGCCATGAGCACATGGGTGCGTGGGGAGAGCAGCCTCTAACCCAGTGTAGACCAAGCATCCGGGCCTGACCAAGGACACAGACGGCGGGTCTATGTACACGGCGCAACCTCCCCACGTGGGCCTGCCCCTCAGGAAGCGGCTCGTCAAATCACAGTATTTTCACATCACAAAGCAAAAGGCTGATTCCCTTAAGCTGTCTTGTTTCAGAAAGTCTTGGCAATTCAAGAATATGTAGTAGTGATATTTAAAAAAACCACACGTACGCACACACAAAAGGCCGTGATACAGACCCCCTGGGAGGCCCGCCCAGGTCCAGGAGGGGCGTGAATCCTTCTGGAACACAGGGACGCCTGGCTGCTGGCTCCTGGCTGGGCCCCGGGTACTCGCGTGGGCCCCACTGTCCCTGGCAAGCTCGGACCTCGGTCCACCAGGTTCTTATTGGAAAAAGAACTCCATAATGGACCAAGGTCGTCACGTTAACACAATGTCACTGTGAATCTGGCTTCAGGATGCTGAAAATGGGCCACGGGCCTGGGATGCTCCGAGGTGGGCATCCCTCCTCTCCTATCTGTCCACACCGAAGACCAGAGGACAAGCAGTGGCGCCCGCCGGAGGTTGGACGGATGGGGTATGAGGTTTCCTAGCATGGTCCTCAATGCCTTCTTTTGAAAACCGCATCCAGGCGGGTTGCTTGTAATTTTATTAAGGCCATTTTTTTTTAAGTCCTACATACAAGTCTAATGGTAATGAAACTCTCCTATGTACATGTAGTTTTTCTTAAAAAAAAAAAAAAGTCCCCGCTGTCTGCCCCCAGCCTCTGTCATGGTAAGAGAAAGGGACCTTGACCTGGACAGACCAACAGTGTCCCCCCCGCACCTTGGAACAAGACGGCAGCAGGAGCAACGTGACCAGGGAGCCTTCTCCTATGAGTGGCCACTTGGCTGCTCAGACACATGCCAAAGGCATTGCCGGGCAAAGAGAGGAAGGGATGGTTGCTAGGATCAAACCCAGCTCTGAGGACAGAAGCCAGGGTGCCCAGGACCCCAGTGAAAGCAGCAGCCATGACACTACAAATAAACGGACTCAGCAGAAGGCGCTGTCCCGGCAGGCAGGAGCGAGCGAGAGCCGCAATGCAGTTTTGGGGGGATCAGAACAGCAGTTCCTATTCCAAGAACAGCAGAAAACAAAGCCAGCCCTGATGCCTCCCTTGCAGGGCCCGTGGTATGGGGAGGGTCCAGGACAGCTCCCAAGTACCCTGTCACCCTGGTCTTAGAGGTGCTCCTGAAACCTGCCACTAAAACACACACTGCTGTGTGTCTCCAAGTCCACCTGCCACGACCCTGAGCTGCCAAGAAGGGGCAGCCAGCAGACCACGCTGCCCAAGAGAGGGGGTGTGGGCTAGGAGCCAGAGGGTAGGGTGGAGAGGGGATGAAATGCCAGTTCCACCCAGGTTCTCAGGGAGGACCGTGGTCCTCGTCTCGGGGACCCTCGCTCCCTGCCAGTCCCCCACACTCTTGGGGCAGAGAGGTCTCAGCTGCCACTGGTCATGGCATCTTCACACACACACTCTAAGGACTAGCAGGCACCTCTGGGAGAGGCTGGCAGGCTGGGTCTTTGAGAGACCCTCAATAAAAGCCAAGGCCCCTTCCCGGAAGTCTGTTCTGTGGCCCTGGCAGAGGCACCTCTGCCTACCGTGAGCTCCTGACAAGGCCCTGCCCAGCCTGACCAGCCCTTTTGTTTTGAGATAACTTGGGGTGAAACCCAAAAGCCGGACTCACTTCTTACACTCAGGTGGGTGGCGGGCTGCTTTGGGGCGCATGGCCTCCATTTCCAGTTAGCTTAAAAAATAGGTAAAGTTGGATTTCTGAAATAAAAACATGCTCTCAGGCAAGTGTTGGCTTAAAAGATTAAGCGAGTCATCTACAACCAAAATGTAACTAGAAACTAAAAGGAAAAAAAAACCACAATGAAACTCCCCTGGCCACCTCTGCCTGTACCTTAAATTAACAGCATCTATGACAGGACCGGTGACCACAGTGCAGGACAGGAGGGGCCACGGATTGTAAAGCCCCAAGAGGTAACCCCTGCCTCCGCGTTCGACCCCTCACGGGGCCTTCCGGTCACTTCCCGGCAAAGGTGGCCACCGATGGGCCTGCCTGCGGTGAGGCAGGGCTTCGAGGGGATGGAGACAGGGCGAGGAGGGTCGTGGGGGGGTCCGCCGCCCTGCATGCTCTGTCCACTTTGCGCCTGCCCCGGTGGACGCCAGGGCTCTGTGTGTGCTCAGAAATATAAAAGACAGCCGTCAAAATAGTGTTTATTTCACTTTGCGTCTGCCCCGCGCTCTGGCGCCTCCTCCCTGGGGCGGCGTGGGGCTCACTCTCTACCTGACCACGGGCTGGGGATGGCGGATGGGCTGGGGGACCGGGAACCAAGGAAGGCAGTGAGAGCTGGACAAACAGTCGGAAAATGCGCCACGGCCCACAGCCCTGGCGGACCATGCGCGCCCCTCCCCTGAGCCTGCCCGCCACGCCGGGAGCTGACACTTCCCGCATCTTACAGGGGACGGCTCAGGCCCCGGGGCTGGGGGCGAGGGAGCCAGTGCAGGGAGGGTCTGCAGGGGCGGGAGGCTCACGGCCTCCGATCCCAGCCCAGCCCTGGGCGGGCGGGTGGGTGGACGGCCCGGCTCGCGGCCTCGCGATTGGGCTTCGCGGGAGGTGGACAACCGGGGGCGGGCTGGCGGGGGGCGCTTGGCGGCATTGCAAGCTCAGAATCACAAGCTCGGCCGTTGGCGAGGGACGGAGCACGGCCGTCCCCGGGCTGGGGAGGCGCCGTCGGGACGGCTGAGCGGCAGGGTGCCGGCGTGCCCGCTCACAGGCGGTCCATCCGGAAGGTGTCCTCGGTGGCTGGGTCGGCCAGAACCATGTCGGGGTCGTTGAGCATGTGCAGTCCGTCGAGGGTCAGGGGGTCGATCTTGAGTTCGTCCAGGGGAAACTGGCTGTCGGAGTCGAAGCTGACGTCGCCGACCCCGGCCAGAGAGCTGGTCAGTTCTTTAGAGAGGCTGGGGGGGGACTCTCCTGTCACTGGGGGATGGGGTGGGGACAAAAGGCACTGCTTAGCCCTGGCTCCATCGCTCGCATCCATGTGTCGGACCAGGCATGCCCGCCGGGCGACTCTGTCCCCTGGGTATGCTGGCAATGTCTGGGGACATTCCAGCTGTCATGACTGGGGGAGGGGCCAGCACATGAGATGCTGCTCAGCACCCTACAGTGCCTGGACCCCAGAGACCAGTCTGGCCCTAGATGTCAGCTCCAGATGTCAGGAGCACCAAGGAGAAGCCTCGGGCCAAGGGCTGTGTCACTGATGCACGTCAGCATGACCTGGCGAGGGCAGGGACCTCCCCGGCTCCCTCAGCCATGAGGGCTGCTCGGCACGAGTCACTGAGAAGCAGGCTGGAGTGACTGTGGGGACCCAGCTGCTGCTAGGGCTGGAGGGAATCCTCAGTTCCCCCACAAAGACCCGGGTTCAAACCTAGGCTTCCACCTACACTCAGGTTCCAGGTCTGAGAAATGGGGCTGAAACGCCCTGTCTTTCTGGGCTCTTGAGGCCATTGCGGGGGTCAGATTCTGATTCTTCTCCTGAGTCTGAGGCTGGCGCGTCCACCCTTGAATTTCTCGTCAACTGCTGCCTACACCCGAGGGGTGGGAAGGAGGTGCTGGATTCTGCACTCAGAGCCCAGGCCACAGTGGGGGAGCACTAAATACGGACACTTCCAGCCTGGAAGAGGCCAGTGAGGACTGCCAGGGGGCGCATCACCCTCAATCCAGCAGCCCTGACTCATAAGGGAATCATCTTCTTCAGCAGGGAGACAGGGTCTGGGTTCTGTGCTAGATGGAGCCGGGTCTTCCTGATATGTGCCATGCAGGACGGGGCTGGCTTGTCCCCAGGAGCCCAGGCGCCGTGCTCAGACTGCTTGGGCGTGGTTGTCACGGTGCATCACGGCCCTGACCTGTTAGCTGGCTGCCCAGGCTGGGCT
The DNA here is from genome assembly GCF_000001405.40 of Homo sapiens. Classification (NCBI taxonomy): domain Eukaryota; kingdom Metazoa; phylum Chordata; class Mammalia; order Primates; family Hominidae; genus Homo; species Homo sapiens. The sequence continues at coordinate 18,776,217 of NC_000019.10, read as the reverse complement.
CACCAGACAGGGCCCACCCCACAGCCGTCCCTGACCCTGGTGCACATTCAGCTGACAGGTCAGTGGCCTGGGCAGTGGGCACCGTGTACCCGGCTGCTTCACCTTTACCCGGGCTGCTTGGCCAGACAGGAGGCCGCCGAGAGGGGAGAGTGACCGTCTCTATCCTATGCACGGGACGTCTGGTCCAGAGGCATCTCCCTGGCCTGGCCTGGCCCGAAGCCCAGGAGTGAGTCAAATTCAGGGGAGAGGGGGTGTGGCCTCCTCAGGCCCCCATCAAGCTTGGGTCACAACCCCGGCCCTGTCAACCCTCCTGCTGCGGGACAGCAGTCTCTGGCTGTCTCCGCACGGGCTGAGGCCCCTTGGGGCGCCGCACACGCGCCCCCGGCCTGGCCTCACCTGTGAGGATGATGTTGGGGATGCCACTGTGGCTGGCGTATCCCAGTTGCTGCGAGTCCGGCAGGCTCCCGTGGCTGCCCGTGAGGCCCATCATGGCCGCCTGCGAGTAGTTGAGTGTGGAGCCCGGGCTGTACAGGCTGCTGGAGCTGATGGCGTTCTCCATCATGTTGAACTGCTCCAGCTGGGAAGGGAGGCACACCAGGCTGTGAGGGCCACCGCGGGCCTGCCCAGCTGGCCACCCCAAGCCCTTGGCTGCTGTGGCTGTCCTGCCCGCAGCTGGGGACTCTGTCCCTGCAGGATGCTCGGCACCCAGGCTGCCAAGCACGAACCCCACTCCACCCGCCACCTGGGGCCTCCCCGCCACCCTAGAGACTGGCTGGATGAATGGATGAATGGATGAGCAAATGAGTGAGCAGCTCCAGGCTGCCACCAAGCCCCCTGGATGCCCCCGATCCTGGCCTCCACGCAAAGCCAGCACGACCTCCCGGCAAACCCGCGTGCACGGTCCATGCCGAGGCGCCGCGTCCACAGCCACGGTCCCATCCCTGTCTGGCCCGGCGTTTGCTGCCTGCCCCCCCTCACCCTCTGCCCTCGGCCTCCGCTCTGTAGGTGGGCAAAGATGCCAGGGGAGGCAGCGCTAGGCCACCCCTGCCGGGGACTCAGCCTCCATAGCCCGCAGATGGGACGGGGCGGGGGCCGAGGGGCAAAGCTGAGGGGCAGGCACGGGCCCCCCGAGCACGTGCAGCTCTGACTCGCAAGGCCCGGGTCCCAGCGAGGGTCCCAGCAAGCATCTGTCCTGGGCACCGGCCGGCTGGCAGCCTGGGCGCCCGCTCACCTGGTGGGACAGAGCATTGGCCTGCCTGGCCGCCATCTGCTGCTCATAGTACGCGTCCCCAAACACGCTGCCCAGGGTGGAAGTGTGCTGCAGACAGAAGAGAGGCCTGCTGTGGTCACGGCCTGAGGCCAGGTGGGAAGTCGGCACCTCCCAAGCCCGGCTGGAAGACAAGAGGCCCCTGGAACCTCCCAGACGGCAGGAGGCTGATGATGATGCTTATTTTGGGGTTCCAGAAGTGCCCCCCAATCCTGGATGACTTTTTTTCTGCCACCTGCTCCTGGGAGGCCTCTGCAACCCGAAAGCCCCTTCCCAAGGCCCCATCCCCATCTCCTCTCCTCAAGCCTGGGTAAGGCAGCCTCTATCTCCATCACAGGGAAGTTGGGGGCCACAGGGATGAGGAACCCCCACCCAACAGGCCCCAGAGGAGAACCTGTCACCAGGGCCAAGGCGGGAAGTGCCCAGACGTTACATTCAGGACAGAAAGTGCACTTGGTGACTCCTGACAGGAGACAAAGGACACGACGCAGGCCACGTACATGGACAGGATGGGCGCACAGAGCCAGCCACCAGCTGAGAGAGCACAGGACAGGCACAGGGAGAGCCCCTGCCCAGGGCTGCCAGCCTGCAGGACCCGGGGCCCTACTCCTGCTATCTGAGGCCAGCAGGGCTCTCAGAGGCAGGGTGACAGGGGCTGTCCCTTGACAGGAGCAGGGGGCTAGGGGACCTTATGGGTGGTGGAGACGCTAGAAAGGAGACACTCGGAGCCCCTCCCCAAGAGATGGTGGGATGAGGTCTGGCTGGGGTGTGGAGGCGAGGAGGGGGTGGCCGTGGACGAGGCCTCGGGAACCCCAGCTGCAGTGTGACCTTGTGGCTGCTGGAGGCCTGGCAGCATCCAGGGGGCTGGGAGCTCTGGCTAGTGTCCCCAGGAAGCCACTGCCCCACAGCCATTCTCAGAGCTATAGCGTAAGGCATGTGCCCTATAAGGCGTCCAGGTGAATGTCTCCACAGACCCAAAGCCCTGGCCCTCTCCCTTGGAGCTCCCCATCTGAGCTTTGTTCTAGAGAGATCCCCTTTGTTCCAGGAAGATCCCAACGCCTGAGTCTCTGGCCTCAATCCCAGAGAGGGGCCGGCCACAAACCCACCAGTTGCTCCTGGTGGTCAGTGGGCAGACAACAGAGACAGACACGCTCACCCTGGGGCGAGGAGGCTTGTGAGGTTGGACGTCCCACTCAAACGCCAGAGAAGAGGTAAAAAGGTGACCCAAGGAAGGGAAGGCCAGCACGTGTGGCAAAAATGCTATCTTGGCCCTAAAAATCAACGGCTTCAGGTTTTGGAAACAAGGACCGCAAGCTTGCGGCTTGGTTTGCCCGAGGCGAGGGAGGCAGGCAGGCAATAGGTAATGTCCTGGCTGTCGTAGAGCTGGTCTGAAGCTGGGTCTGTCCTGGGGCTCGGGGTGTGGGGTGGGACCAGGCTTCCAGGACAGCGCCTGATCCTGTCCCTGAGGGCTTGGGCTCAAAAAGGCCTGGCATACACAGGGGAACACAGGCTGAGGTTTCCCTGTGAGCCTGCCATGAGGGCTTGCCAGAAAGGTGAGCTTGAAGTTGGGAGAGAGCCACAAACTGGACCAAATGGTAGCTGCCTGTGGCCCAGGGCCTGGCTAGGGTGCACACAGTGGCTACTCAAGGCAGGACACAGCAGGTGTGGGGTGGTCTGGGCCTGTGGGACCGATGGGTGAGTCCTCGGAGACCCAGTGCAGAGGGAAGGCAGGTCTCGGCTCCACCTAGAACCATCTGCCCCTGAGAGCCCCGTACTGATGTCCCTATACCTCCATGAGCCGCCTGCCTCCTGCATCAGCGCACGACGGACACCAGACACACAGACATGGGCTTGACAACACCGCCACCTGCTCGCTGCCCAGCAGACTAACCCGCTTTGGCTTGGGGCCCAAAAATTCACCAACCATTCCAGTGACTCTCTCCTGAGAGAAACTGGCTCGACTCCTAATTCCTGTCCCGTCCTGTCTCACATGCAAGAGGGACCTCACTCAGGAACCAGCCCCACCTGGGCTGCCCACCTGGGACAGGCCTCACCTGCCGCTTCTCCAGCCCCTCCAGCCCCATCCCCAACAGTACCACACGACGAGACCAGACACGCTGCCAGAGCCCGAGAGCTCAGAGAGCCAGTGCGGGCAGACCAAGCATGCGCAGACACCAGGCTGACCCCCATGCCTCCCCGAGACCACTGCTGCCCACCAACTTGCCTCCAGAACACGGGGCTACAGGCAGTGGTCCCAGACGGCCCTTGGCTGATGGGGCAGATGTCCCTATACACGTGTGAGAGCTGGAGATGGGGGCAGAGGGGCTTCACTGTCCTTGTCTGTGGCGCTCACGGTTTGCCCTGGGACAAGGGAGCCCGACCTCAGCCCTGGAGGAGCGACTCTTTTATCTAGCTGGGAAGTAGGACGAGAGCATCCCCTCTACAGGGGACAGGGATGGCTTCAGGGCCCCGGGCACAGCAGTGGCTGCTAGGGGTTTCTCAGCTTGGTGAAATTTCAGGGATGAGATGGTCCCAGGATAGCGGGGTTCTGGGGAGGCTCTGCTGCCAGGGTAAAAAAAGTTGGCGGCTGGATGTTGGCCTTGTGGGCACCCCTTCTCCCGGACAAATGTTCTAGATGGAATGTGGGGTCTACTGGCCACACCTGATGTCAAAGTACAACAGGAGGAGGCTGAGTGGGGAGCCAGGCTGGCCGCTTCCACTGGCCAGGCAGAACGAAGGGGCATTCCGAGGAACCTGAACCTTGGAGTGGCTGGGGCGTGAGCAAGCCAGGGTCCTACGGTGCTGGGTGCAACAGGAAAACCCAGGGCTGATGGGTGAGGTTTGAGGCTGACCTCAGTCTCCCGTCTGTGGAATGGGGACAAGGGCCCTGAGACACTGCAGAGCGGCTCAGAGAAGCCTCCTGGGCCAGTGGTTCTGGAGAAACACAGCTGCCTATGGGGTGAAGGGGAAAGCAGGGCTGCAGAGTCAGCGCCTTCCCTGCGGGCGGGCCAGCCACCTCAGCTGCACCCCCAAGTCGGGGGGGTCCCTAAAGCTCCAGCTCATGCTCTGGGTGACACACTGGGTGTGGAGGGCATTGTCCCTGGGCCACTCAATGAGGACATCCAGGCAGGGCCACAGCCATCGCTAATGTCACTAACGCACACCCCCACCTAGTGTTCAGCAGAGGCAGGCTCTGGCGGCTCCTGGGAAGGACCCTGTGGGGTTCCTGCCCTGGTGCAGCCTGGTAGGTGCACAGCTCAGGTCCGATGGCGTGGACGGGATGGGATGCATGAGGACATGCATGAGGAGCGATGCATGAGGACAGACAGTGGGCAGGGAACACACGGGGCATGAACAAGACAAGCGTGGAGCCCACAGGCCAAGGGGGAGGCGGCGCCCCTTACTTGCGGGGAGCTCCCTGGGGAGAAGCCTTGATTGGAGACTGGCGAGGTGGGAGACTGGTTGGCCGGGGAGCCGGCGCTAGTGCGGTACTGCTGCAGAGCCGGCGCCTGCGATGACAGACAGATCAGCACGCCGCAGCCCAGCTGCCCAAGCCCGGGCTCCAGTCCCTGCTTCCCGGGAGCAGCCTGATCAGCCCCCAGGCAGGTCCCCCCGCCCCTCACACCTTGGTGATGGTCGCCACCCCACTGGTAGGCAGAGGAGCCTGGACACCTGCAGGAAAGGTGGGTACCTGAGCCTCCGGGGAGCTGCCCCCGAACCCAGGAAGGAACGGCGTGGAGGGTGAATAACTGCCCTCCTTCTTGGAGCTACAGGAGGGTGATCAGAGGGTTGGCCCTGACTCAGCAGGCTCAGAGCCATATAGCAACGTGTGCACTCTCATGCATGCACACCCACACAGACATACCCACGTGTACACATATCCACACTAGAATATACATACCCACACATGCACACCCACACATGTGCACATATCCACACATGAATGTACATGCCCATGCATGCACACCCACACATGCACACACACGCATACTCACACCCACAAATGCACACACACAGGCACACATCCACACACAAACGTACATACCCACAAATGCACACATGCACACAAATGTACACACCCACGCATGCACACCCACACCCACATGCACACCCACACCCACATGGACACACCCACGCATGTACACACCCACACACACATATATTCACACACCAAAATGTACACACCGTGTGCACACACCCACACAAGCACACATATCCACACACAAATGTCCACATATCCACAAATGTCCACACATCCACAAATGTACATACCCACGCATGCACACATGCACACACATTCACATGCATGCACACCCATGCAGGTGCACACCACATACACCCGCACCCACCCACTTGTGCACACCCACAACCCACACACACACACCGCCATGGGCAGGGAAAACCCAAGGCTGCCTCCTGTTCCCGGCTCTCGCTGACTGTGTGCCCTGGGCAGGTCCCCTGGCTCTCTAAGCCCCTAAGTCTGCAGCCCAGCAGGTCTGGCCCACCTCTGGGGGTGGGGACTGAGTGAAGGCCATCTTGCTGGTAGCCCAGGCTCCCAGCATGGCGCAGTCACTATCCCTGCCCTGCTGCAGGACAAACCTGCCTGGGTTATGCCATCTGAGACCTGCAAGGGGCAGTCACTTCCTCCACCTGCTCGAGGGACGAAAGGCCCGGGCATCTCACTGCTATGACCCAGAACTTTCAGAGGCAGGTCGGGCCAGGCCAGGCCCCGGATTCAGACCACTCTCTTGTCCTAGCACGGCCCAGCCATGCTGTGTGCCTGCAGACAACTTGCCTGACCTGTCTGAGCCAGTCACTGAATGAGGCCCAGCCTGACCGGTCCAGGGCCTATAATTGCTGTCTCCCCCATGTCCTTGGTGGCGCCTTCTGGGCAGTTTGGGGTAGGGCTTGAGTCCAGGTGGGGCGGGGTGGGGTAGGGCGGGGGGTGGCGGTGAGCTCGCCTGCGTGGGTGATGGAGGTGCCAGCACTGTTACTTAGGGATGGCTGACTTGGGCCTTCCTGGAGTTGGAAAGGACAAAGGGATCAGAGGGAGATTCTCATTTGGGTGAGTCTGTGCAAAAACTCAAGAGTCCCCCCTCAACCCCAGGAGGCTAGAAGTCCTTGAAGTGGGGGCAGGAAGCCGTCTTTGTTGTGTGAGGGTGCTGGACATGGACAGCCTGACCCAAGAGCCCTAGAAGGGCCGTCCCTGCACCTGGCCCAGACACCCTGTGACTCCAAGAACCACCCAGCTCCAAGGCGAGGCCCCACCTTGGGAGCCTCCCCCAGGACCTGCTGTGTTTCCACCAAAGAAAGGACTTGGGCACTCTTCCACCCAGGGGCCGTGGGTGGTCCCCTCCGTGAGGTCAGAGCAGCTTGGGAACATGGGTGTCTACCCACAGGCTCACCTGCCTGCCCCACCCAGCTCAGGCGGCTGTTCTTTGCAGAGCACACAATGTTTGGAGGACATTTAGCCTGGGGCTGGCAGTCGGGGTCAAGTGGGAGGACTCATTGTGCCCGGAACACAAGTCCCTGTTTCCCTGGATGTGGCCCAATGCAGCTGTTTGCCACCCAGCCCGCGCCGCTGGAGCAAGCAGGTGGTCTGGACAGTCAGGAAGGTTTGTGGGTACAGGGTTAAAGCCCAGCCTTTGTCTGCCTGAGCCGGCCCTAGGCAGAAAAGTCCAATGGTCTGAGCTGCAGCCCCCAGCCCTGGGCCCCAGGCGCTGTGCCCAACGGGCTGCCGCCTCTTGGACTGGCCTCGTCTTTCCTTCTCTGATAAGCTCACGTCATCCCCGGCCCCCGGCCTGCGCCCTGGCCCTGAGAACGCCGTACTCTTCTTGCCTCCTAGGAAGCCTGGCTTCAGGTGGGAGGGGCCAGAGAGGCCAAGAAGGGGTGCTCGGCAGTTAAACATGGGGTGGCCCACCTTGGGTGGAATCTGGGGCCAGCCACCTGCTCGTGCCTCAGTTTCTCCATCTCTACAGGGAGTGACAGTCTCAGTTTGATTCCAAGGGGTAGCCCCGTGGAGAGGTGGGCCCAGGCAGCGTTCGCTGGGGTTCTGACCCCTGGCCCATGCAGCAGGTAACCCGACTGTTCTGCAGCCCCCGGGCTGTCCTCTACAAGACCCCCAGTCAGGCCCCGAGGGACCCCACCCTGGGCTTACCGAGGCGATGTCGATCCCCATCGATGGCTGGCCAGGGTTCTCTGGGGGGGACTGGGGGAGAGAGGACGGTACCGTGACTGCAAGCGGGGGCGGCTGTGGCCCACGAGTCAGGCTGGCGCTGGGCAACAGGGGGCCACCAGGGGGCAGGCGGACGGGCGCCTGTGGGGGTGGCGGGGGTGGTGGCTGCTGGGACGCGGGTGGAGGAGGCGGCGGGGGCTGGGGCTGCGGCGGTGGCTGCTGGGAGCCCGCCTGGGTGAAGAAGGCGTAGGGCAGCTGCTGCTCCAGAGACAGGGCGTCCATGGCTACAGCCTGCAGGAGAGGAGAGCGTCAGGCAGGGCGGGCCCTGGTTGTCAGCGCCTGGCCCCCTCGGGCCCCCATAGCCTGGCATGCTCAGCAGGCGAGGTGGAAGGGCCCTGTGATCACAGGCAGCCCCTGGGCTGGGTGCTCCTCACGATGAGGGAGCCCAGGCTAGAGAGGGTGGGCCTCACGCAGGGCCCCAAGGGGGTCAGCTGGAGCTGGGCAGGACCTGACCTCCTCCAGCTTGTTGTGCCTGCACCCGCACTACATGCCGTGCAGCTCAGGCCAGTCCACCAGCTGCAGGGCAAGCCCAGGATGGCCATCCCTGGTGGCTCAGTGAGCAGCCAGCTCCCAGCCCCTGTGGGTGCTGCGGGGAAACCTCAAGTGATCCACTGGCCTTGCCTTCCCAAACCCCCCCGCCCAAAGCCTTGCCCACTCTGGGGATGCTGGAGAGGCTGGGGTTGCTGGAGATACCAGCATGGCCCCTCACCAAGGGCTGGCTCAGGCCTTCGCAGAGCTGGAAAGAGGAAAATCAATAAGAGGGAAGTGTGTGACGTTCACTGTCTGTGTGGAAACTCACAGCCAGGGGCTACCAAGCTGACAGTCCTTGGGAAAGGTGGGGTCCCTGCCCTCTAAGAAAGGCTGAGCGTGCCCAGGAGCTATGGAACAAAAACCACTTAGCAGGATGCCCGGCCTCTGAGGACCAGTGGGTCATTTGTGAAGAGAAAGGAGTTTCCAGATAGAGGGAAGGGGCAGGTGTCAGATTAAGACAGCCTAGCTCACAAAGTGGCTGAAGACACAGCTGCCAGGAGCCAGCGCCCACAGCTCTGTCTGGATCTTGATCTGAATAAGACACCTTTGTAAGCAGACAGGAGACATGGGGGCCGAGGGGCGGGGAGAAATGGAGTCCGGGCCGGGCATTGCCAGGTACCAAGGAACTACCATTAACTTCGTTGTAGGTGGACAATGCCACTGTGGTTACATTAAAAACAAACAAGTGACGGGCGCGGTGGCTCACACCTGCAATCCCAGCACTTCGGAAAGCTGAGACAGGGTGATCACTTGAGGTTGGGAGTTTGAGACCAGCCTGGTCAACAAGACGAAACTCTGTCTCTACTAAAAATACAAAACTCAGCTGGGCATGGTAGGCACATGCCTGTAATCCCAGCTACTTGGGAGGCTAGCACGAAAATCGCTTGAACCTGGGAGGCAGAGGCTGCAGGAGAGCCAAGAGCACGCCACTGCACTCCAGCCTGGGCGACAGAGTGAGACTCTGTCTCAAAAAAAAAATTAAATTAAAATTAAAAAATAAAAAAATTTTAAAAATGTCAAAGTTCTCTGTTAGGGTTTTTTTGTTTTGTTTTTAAAAAGACAAAATGGATAAATTTCTAGAAATGCACAAATGACCAAAACTGACTCAAGAAAAAACAGAAAACCTGAATAGCCTTATAAGAAGGAGATGAGATTGGAAACTTCCCAACACATTTGAGCTAAGACACAGGTGGCTGCACTGGTGAATTTTACCAAACCTGGGACTACAGGAATTTACCATTACACCCGCCTAATTTTACCAAACTTTTAAAGAGGAATTAAAAATACTTCCAAAAAATAGAAGAGAAGTGAACATTCCTAACTCATTCTATGAAGCTGCATTGATTAGGTAAAAAAGAGGGAAGATTCAAATTACTAAAATCAGAAAATGAAAATGGGAACTTTGCTACCAACTTTACGTAAATAAAAAGGATTACAAGGCTGGGTGTGGTGGCTCACGCCTATAGTCCCAGCACTTTGGGAGGCCGAGGTGGGCAGATTGCCTGAGGCCAGGAGTTCGAGACCAGCCTGGCCAACATGGCAAAACCCCATCTCTATTATTATTTTTTTTAATTAGCCAGGCGTGGTGGCGGTCACCTGTAATCCCAGCTACTCAGGTGGCTGAGGCACAAGAATTGCTTGAAATTGGGAGGCAGAGTTGCAATGAACCAAGATCACGCCACTGCACTCCACCCTGGGTGACAGAGCGAGACTCTGTCTCAAAAATTTTTTTAAAAAAGGGATTACGGTCAGGCGCGGTGGCTCACATCTGTAATCCCAGCACTTTTGGAGGCCAAAGGAGGCAGATCACTTGAAGTCAGGAGTTCGAGACCAGCCTGGCCAGCATGGTGAAACCCCATCTCTACTAAAAATACCAAAAAAAAAAAAAAAAAAAAAATTAGCCAGGCATGGTAGCACATGCCTGTAGTCCCAGCTACTTGGAAGGCTGAGGCAGGTGAATGGCTTGAACCCAGGAAGCAAGGTTGCCGTGAGCCGAGATCATGCCACTGCACTCCAGCCTGGGCTACAGAGCAAAACTTCGTCTTAAAAAAAAAAAAAAAGGATTACAAAAGAGTATTATGAAAAATTTTCTGCCATCAAGTTGGATAGCAAAGACGAAATGGACAAATTCCTAGACACATACAAACTACCCAAAAAAGTAGACAAGCAAATACAGCAAATTGAAAAATCAAAAGCTAACCTCTTGAGTTTTTTCTTTTTTTTTGAAACAGAGTCTCACTCTGTCTCCCAGGGTAGAGTGCAGTGGTGTGATCATGGCTCACTGCAGCCTCCACCCCCTGGGCTCAAGTGATCCTCTCATCTTAGCCTCCCTAGTAGCTGGGACCACAGGCGCACACCACCATGCCCAGCTAATTTTTGTATTTTTTGTAGAGACGAGGTTTCACCATGTTGGCCAGGCTGGTCTCGAACTCCTGACCTCAACTGATCCACCCGCCTCAGCCTCCCAAAGTGCTGGGATTACAGGCATGAGCTACGGCACCCGGCTTGAAAATTTGATAATAAAAACTAAAAGTGTTGGGAGCATTCTCAAGGTTTTGTGGCCTCCTGGAAGGAACAGGAGGCCTTCTAAGAGGTAGAGCCAGGCCTCCACCTTTCCCTTTCCCCCTCCCACCTGCCCCCCACCTTGCCCTCGCACCTGAGTGATGGGTGACAGCGGGGACAGGGTGGGCGATGCCTGCTGACGCCTTGCCTCTGTGCTCAGGGACAGGGGGCTGACGCCAGCTGGGCGGTGCTGTGGAGAGGAGCCAGGTGTGCTCATTCCTAGAGAGGAAGTAGGAGGGAGGGAGAGCAGGTGTGAGACTGATCACTGAGAAAGGGCTGCTTACACACCCACAGTCACACTGCATGGGAATAGCTCAACTGCTCAGACAGAAGCCCATGGACATGTCCCAACTGCCAAACCTGGGCACCCCCCGAAGGCCCTGATTCCTGACCCGAGGGTCCCACAGTCCTGCAGAGTCTGTTCTCCTTCCTTCCAGGAAGGGGGTGTCTCACAGCCAGCCAACCAGCACATCCCCATCTCTGGAGCATAAGATTGGCCCCCAGATGGGCATGTAACCAGGCTGGCCCAATGAGAGCCTTCCCAGGGGCTTTGGATGGAATTCCAGGAAGGGCTGTCTGAAGCCGTGTGTGGGGCATCCTGTGGCGAGGTGAGGAGCCAGCTGAAGGGCTGCAGGGGAGAGGCAGCATCTGAGCCTGCTTCCCACTTTCAGGAGACAATAAATGGTTTTTTTTGGCTGAAAATGGCTTGGGTTGTGGTTAGCTTCAAGCCAGCAGGCCCTGCCCAATGCTGTGGTTTTGCCCACCACCTCGTGGATCTTGCCCTCCTTCAGTGAATGTGCCCATTCCTGCAGCTGCTTCTCTTGGCCCCCAGACCTGAGCACCTGCTATCCCCTATGTCCCACAGCCACTTCCTCCTCCCCAGACCTGGTGCATTCCCCAAGCTGCAGTGCCACCCATCAGGCTGTCTGAACTAAAGAATGTCACTCCTTAACATCCTTCCCCCTCTCTGCCCTGGGGTCTGACACATCATTCCTGCTGGAGGTCCTGCCAGGAGCCGCCTCATCACCCCTTCCCTCACCCCGGCCCCGAAGGCCCTTGCACTGAGCAACCCAATCCTTGGATTCTGCTGCAGTGATGAAGCTGGGTGAGGTCAAGTTCAACATGGCAGTAGCTGGGGCTGGCTGGGTTATTGTGGGCACCATGCCAGGCAGGCAACAGGCCCCTCGATGGCAGGAGGACCCCTGCGAGCCTGGCCTGACCCCCATCCACTCTGGAGACTTGGTTCCCTGGTTGGTGAGATGGCGACGATAACAGCCGCCCTCTCCGGTTCAAAGTGAGGCCCTGGTGAGGTCAGGAGCAGTCTCTGAAGAGCATCTGGCCTGCAGTCAAGGCGGGGGTGAAGCCGCCTGACTCACCCCAGGAGATCTGGGCACCAGATTAACCTTGTTCCGGCAGATGAGACGGCGGGTGCGTGGGCCCATGGGAACACACCCGACAAGCGCCGAGGGGAGATGACAGCCTTGTCCGTGCCCAGGGCAGCTGCTCACCGGGGCGAGCTCGGTCACGCCTGCACTTCCCCTCGGATGCCCTGGCAGCTCTGCTTGGCTGCGCACTGTGGGAGGAAGCCTGGTGCTGTTGACTGCTCCCCAGGCAGCAAGCGCCCTTTGCAGGCCCTGGCGTCCAGGGAGGCATCAACAGAGGCCTGGACGGGAGGATGTGGGGGAAGCCTGCTCAGAGCACACTCAGAGTCACGACCCTGGGCCACTCCCTCATCTTCTCCTGAGTGTCCGCCACTTCGTGCGTCCAGCAGGCCGAGAGATGCTCAGTGCCCAGGTCAGAAGCAGAGGTCGGGCTCGGTACAAAGTAGGGGCAAACGTCAGGAGCGTGTGAGGGTATGGATGTGGGACGACAGGGGCGGGTGGGGCCTGAGGCAAACCAGAGCACTGTGGCCCGTCTCGAGGTGCAAGACATCGGCCATGGCCACTGGGCTGTCTGATTCTTCAAGAGCAGCCAGAAATCTGGTGTTCTACGGGCATTCCCCTGGTTTTTCAATGTTGATTCTAAGTACAGTCAAGCATCACTTAACAATGGGGGTGACTTCTGAAAAAACGCGTTGTCCGGCGATTTCATGGCTGTGCATGAGGATCACAGGGCAACTTACACAAACCTGGATGGCAGAGCCTCTGCACACCTCGGCCAGACGGTAGGGCCCTTGTTCCCAGGCTACAAACCTGTACAGGGTGACCGTCCTGAATACCGTCGGCCAGGCACAGTGGCTCACGCCTGTAATCCCAGCACTTTGGGAGGCTGAGGCAGGCGGATCACCTGAGGGCAGGAGTTTGAGATTGGCCTGGCCAATGTGGTGAAACCCCGTATCTACTAAAAATACAAAAATTAGCCAGGCGTGGTGGTGGGCGCCTGTACTCCCAGCTACTCGGGAGGTTGACGTAGGAGAATCGCTTGGGACTGGGAGGCGAAGGTTGCAGTGAGCCGAGATCACACCACTGCACTCCAGCCTGGGTGACAGAGTGAGACTTTGTCTCAAAAAAAAGAAAAAAAAAATTAAAAACAGTAGGCAACTGTAGCACAATGGTAAGGACTTGTGTGTCTAAGCCTAGAAAAGGAGCAGTAAGACACAGCATTATACTCTGATGGGGCCACTGCCGATTATGTGGTTTGCTGTTGTCAGAAACGTCAAGATGTGGCGTGTGGCTGTATTACAGATGCACAACTGTGGGCCCACACGAAACATACCATGGGCTGGATTTGGCCCTTGGGCTGCCAGTCTCTAATGTCTGCCCTGAATACAAGGGAGTTTTTAATCTTCCACTGGCTGCAAAGTGAGCTCTCGGCCACCCCTGGAGAGGCCAGTTGGCCCAGGAGGGCGGACGGGAGCCTTGCTGTTGAATTCCTTTTGGCAACCTGGCTCACCTTTGGGAACAGGCACAGAGCCAGCTGGAGGGGAAGTCTGGAGCGGGCAGGGAGAGCTGCCAGGGGAGGGCGGGCCAGGTGTCAGGGCCCGCCCGGCCTCAAAGCTGGGCCAGGAAGGAGGAGCCAGGGCCTGCCCTCCTCCTGCACTCTGGAAAGCAGCCAGGGATATGGGAAATGTAGATGGAGCCAAGCGGGGTACTGTCTCCTCGGCCGCGAAGGCCTCTGTCTTCCTTCCTGAGGGAGCTCACGTTCTGACTGGCGGGTGGGCTTGCGAGGAGGGAGGGGGCCACCTTCGTGTGTGCCAGGGGCCGGCAGCTCGGCTTGATTTAAAAGGCGTCCAGAAAGCAAAGCCCCTGCCAGGCGAGCTGCTTGGGCGGCAGGTTCACAAACAACCCAACACATGTCAGGCATTACCGGGCCGCTCTGGCCAGCGCCGGCTCCAGCTTCCACGTATGTTGTGTGTTTCCTTGTGCTTGTTTAGACTGGGTGCCTGCTGGAGGTGCGCAGCTCCCGGGCGGGCGCTGGGGACCTGCCAAGGACCCTCCAGCGGGAAGGGGGCCATGTGCTCTGGTGGCCGTGAAGAGATGTGAGGGGAAAAGCAGGGGCTGGGAGATGGTGGCTTCTATGCGGGGCAGGGGTACCTGCAGCCCCAGCGCTGACCTTCAGCTTTCTGGTTCTGCGCAGGTGCGTGTGGATGCCGCCTGCCTGGCCCTGTCTATCTGGAGACAATGAAGAGGGCTCCTCCGAATCGGCTGTGTTTTCTGGGCCTTCTCTGGTGCCCTCTGTCCAGTGGCAGAGCCCCGCGGGCCCAGGGCCCAGGGCCCAGGTGTGGGAGTCAGAATGCAGCCTCAATGCGCTCGGGCTGGGGCCCTGTTCCCTCTTCACTATTCTAGTCCCCATGCCCTCCTCCAAAAAACCCAGGAACATTCACGCCACCCTCCACGCCCCTTGCCTGCCCCTGGCCCTGCTGGCACCAAAGCCAGGAACGCCTCCAGGCTCCTCCCTCTCCTTCACTCCCTGCATCAACCCAGCTCCCAGGCTGGCCAATTTCACCCTGGAGTCTCCAGGCAGAGCCCCCAATTGGGGTGCTGTCCTGCTCCAGTGGCCGCCCCTCCCAAAAGCTCCTTCTTCCAGGGCAGCCAGGGGGACTCCGCCAGTTACAAATGTAAGCATGTGACTATCTCATAGAAAGCCCTGCCTGGTGCTGCCTTCCAAGCCTGGGGCAGAGGCAGGATGGGCTGGTGGAGTGGGCCGGGGCCGGTTCATTCTCCAGCTCTGGGGCAAGACAGAGCACAGCAAGGTGGCGTCTGTCACCCCCACCCCCAGTGCATCCCCCACAGCCCCTCCAGCCTGTCCCACCCCCCAGGACTAGTTGGGGCCACGCCATTTCTCCTCCTTGGAAGCCAGGTGCCTGCCACCCCCGGGATGCAGGTCACACACTGCACAGCCAATGGGGACGCAGGCAACAGCTAAGGACGGAGCAGCAACGTGGGCCAGGGCAGGGGTGCAGGAAAGCAACGCGGCAGTAGAGGCCAGGGCCGGGACGGCCTTGCCAAGGGGACTAGCTCTGACCAGGGCAGGGCAGGGCAGGGGAGGGAGGGAGGCCTGCAGCCTCCTGGAGAGGAAGGACTACATGTGCAGAGGCCCTGAGGTGGGACTGGGGCTAAGTTCAGAGGGTGGAGGGTGGGCCAGGGTGGACATCCCAGACCCTGGAGGCCTCAGGCTTTCACTGAGAGGGAGCTGGGGGCCGTGCGAGGTCCCAAGTGGAGGAAGCCATGGCTGGTGGCTGTTCTAGGTGGGGAGGGGGCTGGGGGCCTGGGGAGAGGAGCCAGGTCAGGCCAGGTCCTGAGGGCGGAACCGACAGGACACGCTGACAATGGGTCAGGTCCATGTCTGGGAAAGGACAGAGGAGTTGGGGGACACCTCTGCAATCAGTGCAGCCACAGGAGGGGGGTCCCGGGGGAGCAGGGCGGCAGCAGCGCCAGGAGCTATTGGGACGGGCGAGGGGCCTGTGCGACGTCCCTGTGGATGTGGCTGAGGAAGAAAGGAGTGTGGAGCTGGAGACGGGTGGGGGTGGTGGTGCTGGGATGTGACAAGTAGGTGGTCACTGTCAGATGTCGGGTGGAGGAAGCAGGTCAGGCCTGGTCCCGCCCCCCAATGAGGGGCTGGGGTCGAGGAGGGGCGGAGGGAAGGCCTGGCCCACCCCAGCTGCGTTAAAACTCCCAGGGCTTCCCTCCTGGACTCCCCAAAGCACCATCACACACCCTCAAACCCACTGTCTGGTGTCTGGGGGCACCAGGCACTCCTTTCCACCAGGCCTGTACCCAGGCCCCACCCCTACCTGGGATGCCTGTGCCCGCTGGGTCAGCCTGTCGGCCGCCCCCCAGCCCTGTCCCCCATGCCCTAGTATTTGGAACGGGACTCTGCCAAGTCATCCTGCAGATGCCCGTGTTGTCTCCACAAGCCAGTGCTCTGTCCGAGGGCGGAGTGTCCCTGCCTTACCCTGGCCGGCGCCACCGATGCCCAGGTGCGTCAGGTTGGCCGCGAGGTTGCCGGTGCTGCTGGAGCTGCTCAGTGCAGGGAAGGTGGGCTCCTCGGGGTCCAGCGGGGTCGGGAGCGGGGAGGGGAAGTGGATGTTGGTCAGGTCGGGCAGGGACCCCCCTGTGTTGTGGGTGGCGGGGATCAGGGCTGTAGTGTTTTCCTGGTCGGCAGACGGGAAGATGCTGGGAAAAGGCCAGAGGCAGGCAGGAGGTGAGCTCATGGGGCGGGGCTGGCGGCGGGGACAGGGGGCTGGCGGGAGAAAATCAGCGGGTGCAAAAGGCCACCCCCCATCAGGTGCCGTGTGCTTGGGAAACCACTGTTGGCTGGCACCAGGCTGAGACCTTGGAAAGCAGCCTATCACCCGGTGAGGACGGTGGGGGGCCTGGGGGCAGCAACCTCCCTGAACCCAGGAGAGGGCATCATCCCTGGGAATGAGGTGCCTGAGGGGTGGGCATGTGGGGGCTCTGTCACTGGCCTCTGGTCACACAGTGTCCCTCTTGCAGGGACTTGCAACCTCAAGAGAGTGGACAGAATGCCCCAGGGTGGACGGAGCAGCGCAGCAGATGCAGTGTGCGGGGTGGGCCCTGTGGAGACTTACTTGATTCCGGGGACCTCACAGGACTTGGGCCTGGACCCCGTCTGAAAGAGAAGACAGGAGAGCCTGAGCCCTGGGGCACACCCTGTGGGGCCCTCCTCCTGGGCACTGGGCCTCCTTGAAACGGCTGATCTTCCCACAAAGCCCAGAGATGCATCATGAGAACCAAGCTTGCTGGGGCCGCAGAGCCCCACAGATGGAGGACAGGGGCACCGCCCCAGGGTGGAGGGGCGGGCCCCAGACATGCCCAGCGCGAAGCCAAGAGTTGCACAGAGAGGGTCTCCCTATGGGTCCCCTCCCCCTGCTCCTGCCCTCAGTGGGCAGTCTCTTTTCAGAGGAGTCTGGGGAGAACATGGCATGTGGATCTTTTTAAATTTTTATTCTATTTCATAGAGACAGGATCTCACTTTGTCACCCAGGCTAGAGTGCAGTGGTGTGATCACAGCTCGCCGCAGCCTCAACCTCCTGAGCTCATGATCTTCCCGCCTCAGCCTCCCGAGTGGCTGGGACCATAGGCACGCGTCACTGCACTGCGCCCGGCTGCTTTTTAAATTTTGTGTAAAGCGCCTCTTGACACTCCCAACGCTGTACCACAGCAGTCAGCAGCCAGCACAGTAGAGGGGCCTCTGCTAAGCTGGCCGCCCTAAGCCCTGGTACCCGAGGCTAAGTGTCCCTAGAGCTGTCCCCAACCATCCATGCTGTTCCCAGATCATGGTGGCAGGGGTTCCGGGGGCAGGAGTTGCCTCTGTCCAGTGCCCACCAGGCAAGTTTGTGAGCAGCCACCAGTCTCCAGGGAGTGAATCAAGCCCAAGGCCCAAAGGAGGGAAGAACTGAGTCAGGGGAGACCCAGGAAGCTTGGACCTGATGCCCTAAACTCAGTTCAGAGGTCACTGCCCCTGTCTTGGGGCTGACCAGCTTTGCAGCAGAGACCTAGACATGTGACTTCCCCGGGGACCCTCAGGGTCTGCTACTTCCTGAGAGTCCCGAGACGTCCCTCTGCTATGTGGGCAGCCACACTCATCCCCCACTGACTAGGGCTTGGGTAGCCCTCAGCATGACACTGGTTTTTCTGCTTGGCTGAGGAGCACTGTCAGGACACTTTCGGGACATGGACATGGTGTATGGAAAGGGCCCACAATAGGCTCCTCTTGGACTGTGGCCCACAGAGCCTTTGAAGTTCAGGGTCTCGGGAAGGGCTCCTCTGCCTTTTTTTTCTTTCTTTTTTTTTTTTTTTAGAGACGGAGTCTCACTCTGTCTCTCAGGCTGGAGTGCAGTGGCACGATCTCAGCTCACTGCAAGCTCCGCCTCCCGGGTTCACCCCATTCTCCTGCCTCAGTGTCTCGCGTAGCTGGGACTACAGGTGCCCGCCACCAAGCCCGGCTAATTTTTGTATTTTTAGTAGAGACGGGGTTTCACCGTGTTAGCCAGGAGGGTCTCCATCTCCTGACCTCATGATCCGCCCACCTCGGCCCCCAAAGTGCTGGGATTACAGGCATGAGCCACGGTGCCTGGCCTCTTCCGCCTTTTAAAAAAATGTTTAATTTTAGTTTTAATTTTTTATTTTTATTTAATTTTTTGAGACAGAGTCTGGCTCTGTCGCCCAGGCTGGAGTGCAGTGGCACGATCTCGGCTCACTGCAAGCTCCACCTCCCAGGTTCACGCCTTTCTCCTGCCTCAGCCTCCCGAGTAGCTGGGACTACAGGCACCCGCCACCACGCCCGGCTAATTTTTTTTGTATTTTTAGTAGAGACGGGGTTTCACCATGTTAGCCAGGATGGTCTCGATCTCCTGACCTCATGATCTGTCCACCTCAGCCTCCCAAAGTGCTGGGATTACAGGCGTGAGCCACTGCACCCAGCCTAATTTTTATTTTTTAATTTTTTTTTAAGAGATGAGGCTCACCGTGTTGTCCAGGCTGGCCTCAAACTCCTAGGCTCCAGTGATCCTCCTGCCTCAGCCTCCCAAAGTGTTGGGATTACAGGCGTGAGCCATGGCACCCGGACTGAAGTATGGACTTTCACAGCAATGGGAAAGAAAATCATAATCCCAGCAGAAAGACCTGCCGGGTACCTCCAAGGGCTTCTGAGGCAGGGTGGGGTCTGGCTCTGGCTGTGAGGACACCGTAGGGTAGCAGGGCAGCCTCCAAGCCCCCACCGCTCACAGACAGAGGCCGGTGAGTTGGCCCTGGGGAGGGGGTGCCCAGGAAAACCTTCCTGGAGGACCAATGTTTCCTCCCCTGTGAGTTGGGGGCACTAACACCAGCCAAGACATGGGATCACTGCAGGCCCTGGGGAACTACAGGCTCCAGGTAGGGGCCCCCGAGACTCCTGTTCAAGGACAAAGGCAGGACCGTCTTCTGCTCTTGGCAGGCATGACCAGACAGAACCCCAGCCATGGATGAGGCCTCCCAGTGTGACACGTTTCCGCCCCTGGGGCCCTGGGGCAAACACTTCTGGCTGAGTTCTTTCAGGATTATCAGATGAAAAAGGCGAACATGCTGGCAGAGGGTGGGGCTGGCCTCAAAATGCACACACCGTGAGGGGGCAATGCCCAACCCGCAGCCACTGGGGTGCCCGAGGGGTGGCGTGCGACCGGCGGGTGTTAAGCCTCTGTGGAGAACGCCGGCTGAATGGGTTTCTGCTTGGCCAGAGCCTCCTTCATTCTGAGAGTAAACATTCGCTTCATTACCGGATTTCTGCAAAGCACACCGGCGATCACGTTCTCAAGAATACTTTGAAAAGCATTCCACCAACATTATGGAGACATTAATGGATTTCTGAGCAGTATTAAAAATTCACCCACCACCCCACTCCACTATCGGGGTGTGTCTCCCTCTGCAAGGTGACTGTCGCCATCTTCCTTTTCTTGAGTAACGGCAGAACATCCAGCTGTGTGGGTGGACCGTGGCCTACTTACCCACCTCTCTGCTGCTGGACATTTGTTTTCTTGTTTTGTTTGTTGTTAGAATTTTTTTTTTTTTAGAGACAGGGTCTTGCTCTGTTGCCCAGGCTGGACTTGAACTCCTGGGCTCCTGGGCTCAAGTGATCCTCCTGCCTCCCAAGTAGCAGGCACACACACATATCACACTAGCTAACTGTTTTAAAATGTTTTGCAGAGACCAGGTCTCAGTATGTTGCCCACGCTGGTCTCAAACTCTTGGGCTCAAGCAATCCTCCCACCTCAGCCTCCCAAAGTGTTGAGATTACAGGCACGAGCCACTGTGTCCGTCCAGCCTAGAGTTTTTTTTTTTTTTTTTTTTTGAGATGGAGTTTTCGCTCTTGGTGCCCAGGCTGGAGTGCAGTGGCGCAGTCTCAGCTCACTGCAACCTCTGCCTCCCGGGTTCAAGCAATTCTCCTGTCCCAACCTCCCAAGTAGCTGAGATTACAGGCAAGTGCCACCACACCTGGCTAATTTTTTGTATTTAGTAGAAACGGGATTTTACCATGTTGTCGAGGCTGGTGTCAAACCCCTGACCTCAGGTGATCCACCAGCCTCGGCCTCCCAAAGTGCTGGGATTACAGGCGTAAGCCACTGCACCTGGCCTAGGGTTCTTTTTTAAAGTTTTTTTCCCGTAAGAGTGGAAATCTCAGTGACTCTTTGTGCCAAACTGAAACACAGAGACCGAGCCCAGGAGTTTGAGACTAACCTGGGCAACATAGTGAGACCCCCGTCTTTAACAAAAATTAAAAAATAGGCCAGGCGAGGTGGCTCATGCCTGTAATCTCAGCACTTTGGGAGGCTGAGGCAGAGGACTGCTTGAGCCCAGGAGTTCGAGACCAGCCTGGGCAACGAAGTAAGCTCCTGTCTCTATAAATGATTTAAAAATTGGCCGGGCACGGTAGCTCACACCTGTAATCCCAGCTACTCGGGAGGCTGAGGCAGAAGAATCACTTGAACCTGGGGGACGGAGGTTGCAGTGAGCCCAGATTGCGCCACTGCACTCCAGCCTGGGCGAAAGAGTGAAACTCCATCTCAGAAAAAAAAAAAAAAAAAAAAAAAAAGCCAGGTTTGGTGGCACGCTCCTATAGTCCCAGCATCACAGGAGGCTGAGGCAGGAGGATCGCCTGAGCCCGGGAGGTTGAGGCTGCAGTGAACCGTGTTCCTACCATTGCACTCCAGCATGGGCAACAGAGCAAGATCCTGCCTCAAAAAAACAAAAAATACAAAAATTTGTCAGGCATGGTGGCATGCACCTGTAGTCCCAGCTACTCTGGAAGCTGAGGCAGAGGACTGTTTAAGTCCAGGACTCCAAGGCTGCAGTGAGCTAGGGTGGCACCACTGCACTCTTGCCTAGGCATAAGAGAGACCCTATTTCTAAAAAAAAGAGCCTGTCATCCCAGCACTTTGGGAGGCCAAGGCGGGCAGATCACTTGAGGTCAGGAGTTTGAGACCAGCCTGGCCAACATGGTGAAACCCTGTTTCTACCAAAAATACAAAAATTAGCCAGGTGTGGTGGCACACGCCTGTGACCCCAACTACTCGGGAGGCTGAGGCAGGAGAATCACTTCGCTTGAACCCGGGAGGCAGAGGTTGCAGTGAGCCGAGATCACACCACTGCACTCCAGCCTGGGCAACAGAGTGAGACTCTTTCTCAAAAAAATAAAATAAAAATAATTAAAATAAATATAATAAAATTTAAAAATAAAAATAAAAGAAAAGAAAAAGAAATACACAGATGGATATAAAGGGCTGACAGCACCACCCACACTCACCACGACAGAAAACGCACAACCCTTGTGAGACGCCCCTCAGTCAGGTCTGCCTGCTGGTATCTGTGCAGCTGCATCTCTGCAAGTTTTATGCCTTTTCCAATATTCTTATCCTACTCTGTCCACATGACAATAGTATCAGGAGTGTCTCTCATGAGTTTAAAATTTCTTCAGAATCTTATCTCCTCGAGGGACTGAAGACTATTTCCTCAACAAATTCCTTACTCCTGAAATGTGCAGGCTGTTTCTAGTTTATTGCAAAAGCTCTGGAAAATACCTTTAAAAAACACATTGTTCCTTATTCATTCCTCAACTCTCAATGATTGAATTCCTGAAGAAGAAATTATTGGAGCAAATATTTTTTTTTCCCCACCAGAAGGGGTCTTGCTCTATTGTCCAGGGTGGAGTGCAATGGTATAGTCATAGCTCACTGCAGTCTTGACCTCCTGGGCTCAAGTGATACTCCCGCCTCACCCTCCTGAGTAGCTCAGAGTACAGGTACACATCACCACCCCTGGCTCATTTTTTGTAGAGGCAGGGTCTCACTTTGTTGACCAGGCTGCTCCCAAACTCCTGAGCTCAAGTAATCCTCCCACCTCAGCCTCCTCCGAAAGTGCTGGGATGACAGGCGTGAGCCATGCACAGCCTGGAGCAAACCCTTTTGAAAGGATTTTGGCACAGGCTGGTGCCTCACTTTCCCATAGGGGAGGAGTAATTTGCATTGCTGTCCCTTTCAGTGCAACTTGACCAGCAACGGGTTTTAATTCTTTTTTTTTTTTTTTTTTGAGATGGAGTCTTGCTCTGTTGCCCAGGCGGGAGTGCAATGGCACAATCTCGGCTCAGTGCAACCTCTGCCTCCAGGTTTCAAACGATTCTCCCACCTCAGTCTCCCAAGTAGCTGGGATTACAGGCGTGCACTACCATACCCAGCTAATTTTTTGTATTTTTAGTAGAGACAGGGTTTCACCATGTTGGCCAGGCTGGTCTTGAACTCCTGACCTCTGGCAATCCGCCTGCCTCGGCCTCCCAAAGTACTGGGATTACAGGTGTGAGCCACCGCACCCAGCCTGGGTTGTAATTTTTGTGCAGTTCCGGCCTGTTGGATAAGGCCTGCTGTTAGTGATCTTAGTGATCAACAGACCTAACAGATTCTCTGAATTTGAAGATGGAAAAATCGGAGTGAGGTTCCCTGTCTTGGGAAGGTGAAGCCACCCCAACCTGCCATTTTGTCACCTTTGCCCAGGTGATGCTTGAGAAGAGAAAGAAGAAAAAAAGTTTTTGAAAGCTCATAGGCTCTTACCTTCTTGGTGTCCCATGCTTGCTTGGAAAGGTTTTTGTCTGCCTCTGATGTGGTCTCTTCCATTCCTGGGACTGTTAACAGTAAGACTGGGGAGGTGGGAGGGGGAGAAGGAGAATCAGAGAAGAAATTTCTTTGCAGCCGCATGGTGGTACCAGGAGGACACGTCCCTGACACACGGAGTCATGGCCATGGTAAGACTGCAACTGTCCTAACGGGAACTTCTGTGGACTGTACTAAAACCACAAAAAAGGGCTTCATGACAAACAACAACAACTTTATTTATTTATTTATTTATTTATTTATTTATTTAGAGACGGAGTCTCGCTCTGTCGCCCAGGCTGGAGTGCAGTGGCACAATCTCAGCTCACTGCAAGCTCCACCTCCCGGGTTCACGCCATTCTCCTGCCTCAGCCTCCCAAGTAGCTGGGACTACAGGTGCCCGCCACGATGCCAGGCTAATTTTTTTTTTATTTTTTTTATTTTTAGTAGAGACGGGGTTTCACTGTGTTAGCCAGGATGGTCTCGATCTCCTGACCTCATGATCCGCCCGCCTTGGCCTCCCAAAGTGCTGGGATTACAGGTGTGCGCCACCGTGCCCCGCCTATCAGCTTTAAATAAGTCAGAGAATCTGTGACTTAAGAAAAAATAGGCTGGGCGTGGTGGCTCACGCCTGTAATCCCAGCACTTTGGGAGGCTGAGGTGGGCAGATCGCCCGAGGTTAGGAGTTTGAGACCAGCCTGGCCAACGTGGCGAAATCCTGTCTCTACTAAAAATACAAAAATTGGCCGGGCATAGGGGTCAGGACTCGTAATCCCAGCTACTTGGGAGGCTGAGGCAGAATTGCTTGAACCGGGGAGGCAGAGGTTGCAGTGAGCTGACATCACGCCATTGCACTCCAGTCTGGGCGACAGAGTGAAACTCTGTTTCAAAAAAAAAAAAAGAAAGAAAGAGAGACAAAGAGAAACAAGGCTGGACACAGTGGCTCACACCTGTAATTACAGCACTTTGGGAGGCCGAGGCAGGCAGATTACTTGAGCTCAGGAGTTTGAGACTGCCCTGGGCAACATGGCAAAACCTCACCTCTACAAAAAATAAGAAAGTTGGCCGGGTGTGGTGGTGCTCACCTGTAGTCCCAGCTATGCGAGAGGCTGAGGTGGAGGGCTCGCTTGAGCCTGAGAGGTAGAGGCTGCAGCGAGTTGTGATCATGCCATGGCGCTCCAGCCTGTGTGACAGAGCAAGACCCTGTCTCTAAAATAAAATAATATAAAACAGCAGCTCTGGAGCCTGAGGATGTGTGGATTCTGCTTCCCACAGAAGAGGCTGAACCAACGTGGGCCTCAGAGGCGTCAGGCTACAGAGAACAGCCAAGAATCTCTCCCAAGAGCAGCTGCCTAGCTTGTGTGTATATTTTTCTTTCTTTCTTTTTTTTTTTTTTTTTGAGACAGTCTTGCTCTCCCACCCAGGCTGGAGTGCAGTGGCACCTTGGCTCACTGCAACCTGCGCCTACTGGGTTCAAGAGATTCTCCTGCCTCAGCCTCAGATTATAGGCATGTGCCACCAAGCCCAGCTAATTTTTATATTTTTAGTAGAGATGGGGTTTCTCC
This sequence comes from Homo sapiens, assembly GCF_000001405.40. Lineage (NCBI taxonomy): Eukaryota > Metazoa > Chordata > Mammalia > Primates > Hominidae > Homo > Homo sapiens. Next base: position 18,751,981 of record NC_000019.10, on the reverse strand, counting down.
ATGTTGGCCAGGCTGGTCTCAAACTCTTGATCTCAAGCAATCTGCCCACCTCAGCCTCTCTCCCGAAGTGTTGGGATTCCAGGCATGACCCACCGCGCCTGGCCCTAGCTTGCATGTTCTGTTCCGCATCCACCACTTGATCTTGCTTCCTGCTCTGGGCTGCTGACACCCAGTGGCTGAACCTTTATTGAGCCCCCGGCACCAAGCACAGGGGTTCAGATCATGTCACTCAATGCTGATGGAGGTGGGACCAGTGCACTCATGGCAGCAGCGGCCCCGTGAGTCAGCCACAATGTCAGCCAGCCCCAGAGCAAGAAGAGGAGAGGGAGAGTCTGAGCGACGGGATGGATGGGCATCAATTGAGGCTCTGGAACCAGCCGGGCCTGAAAGTGCCTTTCCTTGGATCTTTCAGTCAAGGTAAGAGTAAACATTTCCCCATTTTCTTTTTTCTTTTGAGATAGGGTTTCACTTTGTCACCCAGGCTGGAGTGCAGTGGCGTGATCTTGGCTCACTGCAACTTCCACCTCCCAGGCTCAAACAATTCCCCCTCCTGCCTCAGCCTCCCGAGTGGCTGGTACCACAGGCACGTGCAAACACTCCCAGTTAATTTTTTTGTATTTTTGGTAGAGACAGAGTCTCACTATGTTGCCCAGGCTGGTCTCAAACTCCTGGCCTTGTGATCCACCCACCTCGGCCTCCCAAAGTGCTGGGATTGCAGGCGTGAGCCACCACACCCAGCCCATTTCCCCATTTTCTTTATGCCTGTTGCACATTTCATTTTTTTTACTTGTAACTGGGAGACCCACGATGAGCACAGCCAGATAGGCCAACCCCTTCCTTGTTGAAAGCCAGGCTGCGAGGAGGCAGCCAGGCCAACCCCAGCCCTGTCACCACCTCAGGCGCTCCGAGGAGAGTGGGGATAGATGATGTGTCCCTGCCAGGCCCCCACTCCAAGGCCACCAGGGGTCCCATGTCACAGCTCCTTTCCCAGGTTACAGTGTTCCAGGGGATGGTGACATCCTGTTGCCCACCCCTCGGACGTGCTGTCTGTGGGGACCTAGTAGGACAGGCAGCAGCCTCAGAACAGCCTGCTCATTAGGAATAGCAGGGAAGCCCCAGGCACTGTGCTATCCTCAGCACCCCTGGGTGTTCCAGAAGCCTCATTTTCATTATGGAGACATTCTCTTCTCCCTCCCGTCTCTGCTGCACGCTGAGCCGGAACCCCGGAGTGAGGTTCTGGCCAACAGTCCTCCTCCTCCTCCTCTTCCTCCTCCTATCAGCAGAATCTCCCTTGCGTGTTAACCACCCACTCGGTGAACGGCAGCAATACAAGCATAGGTATGTGAGCCCTAAGCACGTGCAACTCCCTGGCTTCAGTGCCTTGGGCCACACCAGGTTCCCTGGGGCTGGCCTCAAGCCTCCAAGCTCCCTTCTCTGATGGCACCGCCCCAGTTTTTAAGACAGCATATGCCCTCCTTGAAGGTTCCCAGGGTGCCGCCTCCACGCCCGGCTTCAAATTGGAGCCAAGGACCTGGGTACAGATCTGTCCCCGCCACAGGGGTGTGCATGGCTCAGCTGGAGGCGACACTCTGGCCAAGAGTTGGGAAGAGATGGCCTCTTTCTCACTCGCTATAGCTAGGACGGGCCCAGGGGCTGCAGGCGAGGAGAGTTCTCAGCAGCAGAGCCAGGAAACAGTCCAGTGGGAAGCAGTGGAAGGAGCTGAACCTGTGGCTAGAAGTCGACCCCTGGCCTGCTCTGTCATGAGCTGACAAATGCTCCTTTGCGTGGGCTTGCTGCCGCTACATTTGAAACCAGCATCTGTGCAGCACCCAGACTTCATGGCCACGCCCTCAATCCAGGAATGGGAGCCAACGTGCGCCTGCAGGGTTGTTTTCTCTGCCTAGAAAACTCCTATGCACTCTTCAAAATCCAACTTAAGTAGCACCACCTCTGAAAGTTTCCGATCCCCTCCCCCGATCCCTCAGCATGGTCTGAGTCTTCCTTTGAAGAGCCATCTGCCCACAAGCTTGTGACCTCCTGGAGAACAGGGGTTACCTGCTGGACTTGCCTCACCCCAGCAGAGACACCCGAGTCCCCTGTCCATACCTCTTTTCTGGTGCACGTCCTGGGACCCACTGCTAAAGGATTCTGGCTGCGTGGGCGTCATTGTGCTCTGGTGCAGGGCGGAGTCAGAATTGGTCCTGGTGGGGAGGGAGGAAGAGACAATGAGCCTCAGCCCAAGGCAGACAATGCGATAGTCCTGATCCCAGCTGGGACACGCTGGATGGACAGGGTGGCAGCTGTGGATCATTTTTGTGAGCTGCTGCACCTGAGCAAAGCTCTCGGGACCTCATTCTAAAAAGAGCCACCAGAGTGACTGCGGTGTTCATCTGCAAAGCTCGTGAAAAACAAAAAGCAGCCGCGCGAGGTGGCGCACGCCTGTGGTCCCAGCGACACAGGAGGCTGAGGTGAGAGGATCACTTGAGCCCAGGAATTCAAGACCAACCTGGGCAACAGAGCAAGGCTTCTTGGCTTTGGGGAAAGGACAGTGCCCTCCTGCTGAAACCTCCCAAAGAAGGAGCCCCACAGGTGCCCAGCCTTGGGGTATGAGCCTCCAGTCTGTCACCAGGTCCCCTCTTGGTGACAAACACAATCAGGTGACTGTGCCCTCTAGGATGCTCAGTGTCACACAAACCCAGTGTGACAGGTGGAATGGGCTAGGAGAAGGCCCCGGAAGGAATGAAGCCACTTAGAGGCCCCCGTGGTTGGGAAGCCAACCTGAGGCAGGAGGTCTTGCTTCAACTAGCCCAGGAGAGGCTCTTCCCTCTACCTCCAGGGACCGCATTTCCCTCTAGGAACTGATGGGGAGAAAGCACAAGGCCACCCAATCTGCTCCTGGCTGCAGGTGCCTCAAGAGTGGGTCCCCAGAAAGCCTCCTTGGCTGCCAGGCAAAATGTGGGTACAGCCACCACCAGCTATGTGTCTCTGAGCAAGTGTTTTGACCTCTCTGTGCTCAATTTCCTCATGTCTAACACGGACTACAATGGAGATGAACACACTGCCCACTCCATAAAGCTCCATTCATTTTATATAAGTTAATGAATGTGATGGTGGGAACAGGGCCTGACCTATGATACGGGCTTGGTGAGAATTTAATATTGTAGTATACATATATATTTTGAACAGCTTGCTTACTTTTCTTCCGTTTACTAACATGTGTGTGTATGTGTGTGGTGTGTGTGCGTGTGTATGTATGTATATGGTTTTTCTTTTTTTTTTTTTGAGACAGGGTCTCACTCTGCCCCCCAGGCTGGTGTACAGTGGCATGATCATAGCTCACTGCATCCTCAACCTCCCAAGCTCTAGTGATCCACCCGCCTCGGCCTCCCAAAGTGCTGGGATTACAGGTGTGAGCCACTGTGCCTGTTATATATATTTCTATTGTAGTAAAATATATATAACAGCCAGGCACAGTGGCTCATGTCCTGTAATCCCAGCACTTTGGGAGGCCGAGATGGGTGGATCACTTGGGCCCAGGAGTTTGAGACCAGCCTGGGTAACGTGGCAAGATCTTGTCTCTCCAAAAAAAAAAAAAAAAAAAAAAAAATCAGCTGGAAGCAGAGGTGGGACGATTCAGTCTGGGAAGTCGAGGCTGCAGTGACCTGTGATCGCGCCATTGCACTCCAGCCTCAGTAACAGAGTGTGACCATGTCTCAGAAAAAAAATTATATACACACACACGTTTGTATACATATGTATGTAAATATGTGTGTATATATGTATAGTTTTAACTGTTTTTGAGTGTATAGTTCTGTGACATTAAGTACATTCACATTGTTGTACAACCATGATCTATATTATTGTATGTTTTTATATTAACTATATTATTGTTATTTTAGGCCTTGGAGACAGGGTCTCGCTCTGTGGCCCAGGCTGGACTGTAGTGGCATGATTACAGCTCACTGCAGCCTTGACCTCCTGGGCTCAAGCAATTCTCCCACCTCAGCCTCCCGAGTAGCTGGGAGTACAGGCGTGCACTACTACATCTGGCTAATTCTCTCATTTTTTGTAAAGATGGGATCTTTCTATGTTGTTCAGGCTGGTCTTCAACTCCTGGGTTCAACTGATCGCCTGCGTTGGTCTCCAAAAGTGCTGGGATTACAGGCGTGAGCCACTGTGCCTGGCCTGTATTTTTCCTAATCTTCCATCCTAAATGTGTTAATATAATTTTATCATCACATTTTTAATGGCTGTTGAGTAACATGGGTACCTGCTCTGAATACAGCATTAAATAGGAAAGAGCAAGCTACAGTGCTGAATATGCGGTATCGTCCCACTTTCTTTTTCTTGCGATGGAGTCTCACTCTGTCACCCAGGCTGGAGTGCAGTGGCTCGATCTTGGCTCACCGCAACCTCCGCCTCCCGGGTTCAATTATCCCGCCTCAGCCTCCTGAGTAGCTGGGGATTACAGGCATGCGCCACCATGCTGGCAAATTTTTGTATTTTTAGTAGAGACGGGGTTTCACCATGTTGGCCAGGCTGGTCTCAAACTCCTGACCTCAAGTGATCCGCCTGCCTCGGCCCCCCAAAGTGCTGAGATTACAGGCCTGAGCCACCACTCCTGGTCCCACTTTTGTTTTTGTCTTTTTTTTTGTCATAAGTGGGGGGAAGGGAAATGTTAGAAGACCTCCCAAAGCTGGAACTCCTGTGTTTCAGGGTGAAGGCTAATTTCTAGAAACTTCTGGATGCATCTTAGTTTGGTCATTGTTTAAGCGACTGTGTCCTGCTTTTCCACATGTAACCATGATGAGAGTTTGGTTTTGTTTCCAACAAGAAGGGGGCGGGGGGGGGGTGTCCAGCCACTGACCTTCTCCAGCTGGTGTCCGCGGGTGGTGAGAGGTACATGGTGCCATAGGGGCAGCTGTCGGCGTGAGGTGAGTTAAGGGGGCAGTGCCACTGGCTGAGACCCCGCCTCCAACAACACACTCTCAGCCCAGGGCAGGAAGCCCCGGCTGGCTGGCTGGGGTCGGCCTGAGGCCTGCAAACAGCTGGGACCAGTAGGGCGGGGGGCGTTTCCTGCCGGCCTTTCCTGCCTGGCTACAAGCAGCCCCCGTTCCAGGGGCTCTCCAGGGGTACAGCCCTGTCCACCTAGCACTCAGCACTCTGCTCCGTGAGCACACGTGCGGGCTGCACCCCTTCCAAGGGAGGGGGTTCTGGGCTGTGAAAGTAGGGCCTGTGGGGACGCTGTGGAGTCTGAGTTCAGCTGACCCTGGTCTGGACTCTCCATCCTGGGCTGACGGGGTGGCTCCTGGGGCCCAAGGGCTCAGTCTGGGGCCCAGCTGGTCAAGCTCCCCCAGCCCACGGAAATGAGAACCGGAGAACAAGCTTCTCTGTTCTGGAGAGCCGGGGGATCCCGGGAGCAACCTGAGGCCGCTCAGACTCTGGTGTTGTGGGGCCCGGCTGGCTGAGCACCAAGGGGCGGCTGAGTTGGGGGGGAGGGGGGGACTCTGGCTGATCTCTGCGTGACCGAGTCGCAGAGGCGAATTTTACTCCTGTCTTACAGAGATGGAGCCTCCCTTGGATGCGTCCGGGTCTCACACAGACCCCCTTAGCCCCATTGCCTTGGCTGGGCTGCCCTCCGTGCAGCGCGTAGGAGAGGCCTCATCAGCTCACAGCCCTGACTGTGGGCTCCCTGCTCACGGCCTTCCTGGCCCCACTGCCCTGCCAGGTGTCTAAGCCCTCTGTGGTCAGGTATAACCTTCCTCAACTCCTGCCTTGAGAGCTGTTCCCTGTGCCCCTTGAGCCCCCAAGTCTGGCCAAAGGCTCCAGGGCTTGTGGCACAGCCTCCTCCAGGAAGTCCCCCAGGCTGCCCTGAGATCAAGCCTCCCAGATGGTGCTGCCCTGATTCTGTCCCCAGAGCTGGAAGCAGGCAGCCCTGTCAGAACCTGCTGGGTAAACTTGGGGTCCTGCCGGCACCGACAGGGCCTGGCCCCCACCCTCATCCTCTGGTGAAAAGGATATCTGCCGTCCGTGTTTGTCCACTGACAGGGGCCGGCGGTGTGGGGAGCCGAGCCGGCCACGCTCCCGGTACACCCTGTCCACCAGCCCATGGTGCCGGGTGGTCCGGCTGGTGTCCAGGCCCGAGGATTGGAAGGGGGTCTGGGGGAGGAGGAGATGGAAACAGAGAGAGAGAAATCCAAACAATGGTTACCAGCTGTGGCCCCAGCGCTGGCCCCAGAGTCTGATCGCAGGGCCCCCCACTCTGGAGCACCCTCGGCCATCGCTCCACAGCCTGGGATGGGCTTCTTCCTTCAGCCCCAGCTCCCTGGCTCTCCAAGCACTGGGGGGTAGGGAGGGGGTGTGAGCTGGGGTCCCGGGAGCCAGGGTGGCAGGGGCGTGCAGTGCAGCTGGCATGCACAGGCCAGGCAGAGCGGCACAAGCTCGGGGCCAGCGCCCGCCGGGTGCCAGGGATGTAGCCGGCCTAGGCAGCCCTCCTCCCCAGTCTCACCAGGTGCAGACAGGCCTCCGCCCTCTCTCTCCGGGCCTGGACGGCCTCCTACCCCCACCTACGTCATCCCTGGAGGGGCCTGCCAAGAGACAGCCCAGGGGCTTCCAGCCCAGGACTGTTTCGGGGCCCACCTGGCCAAGCGCGAGTTCCTGGGAGGCTTCCTTGTGGAGCCCAGGGCTGCTCTTGATTGAGACGCGGCCCCCACACACCCTCCCCCGCAGCCTCCTCCAGGCACTCCAGGCACCACCAGAGCCAAGTACAGGCGCCTTCCGGAGCCATGGCCCACTGCTTGGCTGGATGGGGCTTCCTCCCAGCACCTGGGGCTGGCACCAGGCTGGCCCTCCCCAGGCCCTGCTACATGCCCGGCCTCATGCCCCCGGGGCTGCCAGGAGCCCGCCCTGACCCTGTGTTGCCCACTTGCCATCTGACTGGGGTGAGATCAGCAGGCTCTGCCAGCTTTGGATGCAGCCAATCCCCCAGTCCGGCCATCTGGCCCCTGAGCCCTTATGCCTTCTCTGGGCAGCCGGGCAAAATGAGACTCTGATACTAAAGTGAGTCTCCTCTCCAGAAGCCTGTCCATGGCTAGGATTGCTGCTTTGTCCCAGCCTCGGCCAGAGTTCAGGGCTGACTACTGTCCCCAGCCCTGGGGACCCCCAAGTCTTTCTTCGATCCAGCATGAACTCTGCTGGTTTGGGTCTTTCCGTGGCTCTTGCCCCCAAAAGGCTGTGGGCATGGGAGACGTGGGCCTGTGACGATGAGGGTGGGAACTGTGCTGTCCAGTGCACAGGCTCCTCAGGGTAGGGGCAATTCATCTCCTTCCAGAGATGCCTTGAAGCCCAGAGGGAAACTGAGGCAGCCAAAGCCAAGTCAGAGGCAGAATGAAGCGGGGGCTGGCCACACCCGGGCTCGCCACGTCCTGCCTGCTGGCCTGGTTTGGGAGATGCGTGCACACGTGTGTGTATGTGTGTGTGTGTGTGTGTGTTTGTGTGTGTGTGTATATAGGGACGGACCATGCAGCTTTGGGGCACATGCTGGGATTCTGCTCTGCTGGACCCCAGATGGGGATGCGCGGCTATGGCATCTGCCCCAGATGGACCCCAAGAGTCCCCAGGGCCTCTCGACGCGACCATACGCACTTCCCGAGATGGGGGTGCGGAGTGGATCCATTTCCATTTGGCGGACGGGACACCTCCACCTCCCTGGGAGCCGCAGGGGCGGCCGCTTGGGGAGCTCAGGGATCCCCAGCGCCCGCACACGGGTCGGGGTCTTGCAGGCTGGCGCCGGGGACGCCGCGGCCTCAGCCTGGGGGCTCATTTACCAGAGAGACAGGAGCCGCTGCCAGGGCCTCCCCCAGAAATCCGCTGGGCTGAAAATGCAAAGAACCGAGACTTTGAGACGCTGCTGCCTTGCCTGGCCCCAAAGGCGGGATGCGTGGGACCTCCCCCCGGGCTGTGGGCCTCGGGCGACAGACACCCAACAGGGTCCTGTGCCCCTCAGCCCCACTCAGGCTGAGCTTGCAAGGTGCCCAGAGAGAGACTCTCCTCCAGGGAAGAGGGGACAGGAGAAACAGGAAAGGGAGAGAAGGGCAGGAGGGGAGAAAACCTGGCCAGGAAGGGCTGTGACAAAGAACACGCCCAGCATCAGTGATGGCCCGCACTCTGTATGCCGGAGGAGGCGCACCGTGGTGGCCAGCCCAAGGATCCCTGCCCTGTCCAGCGGCGGTGCAGGTGGCGGTGGAGCTGGTGGGTGACTTGGGAGGGGCCCCGGCTCCATCTGGCCTGTCAGTGGCCATGGCTGTGTCCGAGGTGGTTTTCTCAGCCACAGAGTAGGTGTGACCCCCCCCCAGGGGGACCTGTCCATGCAGAGCCCAGACACCGTCCTGGGGGTGGCCCTGATTCATAGGCCAGCTCCCTCGGCCCCACCCCATCCCCATCTCCACCCGCAGACCAGGGACAGGGAAGAGGGCCGCTGTGGGCCTTATCTCCTGTTTACGATAAGGCTGTGCACGGCGGCTGTGCGGCCTGCGGGAGCCGCGCTGTGTGGGCCTCTGCCAAGAAACGTTTGCAGACAAGTGGGGTCAGGCCGCCGGGCCTCCTTCTGAGAATTGCTGGGCTTGCGGATTAGTGAGGCAGGACAGAGCCAAGCCCCAGTGGCCCCGAGCGGTTCCCGCTGCCGCACAGCCGGCCAACAGGTGTAGCGGCTGCCGAAATGCTGGAGGCCAGATGGAGGGCTCGCCTCGGGGTCTGCTGATGGGGAATGGGCTGCGGGGGCACCCTGGTGGGGCCACTCTGCTTCCTCTGGTTCCCAGGGCAGACAAGGAGAAGGCAGTGGTTGGGTGGGCTCCGCCAACTGTCTGATAACCCCAGCTGTCCTCAATGTCTGGCCCCCAGTGGGAGGCTGGGGGAAGCTCCCCACAATGGGGCAGGGCCAGGGGGCGGGGCACTCACCTGGAAGGGCAGGTCCATGGTGCCACTCCCGATCTGGTTCACGTTGGGCAGGGACCCGCCATAGTACTGGCCTCGGCTGGGGCCCAGTTGCAGGTACTGGGATTTCTGGAGCTGGAGCTGCGAGAGAGAAGCCAGCAGCTGCGGGAGGGGTCACCTCCCAGGCTCACCTCAGAGTGCCAGCCCCAAAGGCACAAAAAGACCCAAGTGGTGGGATTGACAGCCTAAGTGCAGAAGTTTGCAGGACCTCATGACCCAGATGCTTAAGGAAACCAGGTGTCCCTCCACCAAAAATGGCAGAATCAGAAACCCGAGGTGCCGGGACGGCTCCCCAGGCGGGGCAATGCACCATGCAGAAACCCATGACCGTGAACCTGGGGAGCTGGCTGCCTTGCTGCTGATTCGGTCAGTCAGTGAATGGGCAAGAGAGGCACTGGCGGGCCTGCAGCCTGCCAAGGAGGCCCCTCACCAGCCCAGGGGAGCCATTTCTTATCACGGCCAGAGGCTGTGACTTGGCAGGCCAGGCGGCTTCCCACTGGCCTGAATCGGAGGAAGCTGTCTCAGAAGCGTGGTGATGGCCTTCAAAGCGTGGGACTTGTGATCCCGACGGCAGCCCACACAGAGCCAGGGCAGCCAAGTCAGTCCCCCAGACCCAGCTTGAGTTCTAGAGGGTCCTGAGCCCCATGTTCCTTCCTCATGGTCCTTCCCAGCCTCTTGGGGGCTGGGCCCAGCTGAGCGCCTTCATCTCAGCTGCATCCCTGCTTCCCACTCCCTGATGGCATCGGGGCACAGAACCAGGGGCCAGGAGCTCCCTGATGGGTCACGCTGACTCTGAACAGGGCTGGAAGCTGGCCTCCTCCCCTTCATGTGGCTGATGCTGATTTGCCAGTAACAGAGGCCCCTGACCCATGTGGCACGACCCGAGGCCCTTGGGGATGCTGGTCCATGATGCCTGCCATGCAACTGGGGGAGGCAGCCACCGTGAGGAGAGGTGGGGCTGGGCAGGCAGGAAGGAGGGGTGGTTGTCCACTCTGGCCCGGCAGGGGCGGTTGCTAGGGTGGACACTGTGTACACAACAAGGCCGACTCGTTCCTTACAAACAGCTCCTGGCAGTGCGTGGAGAGCTGGCTGCCCCACCGCCCCAGCTTCCTAGGGGGCCCTGGACACCGGAGGCGGAAGTAAAGCCCGGGAACTGGCCACCTGCCCGGCTGAGCACCTCGCCCAGGTAAACAGCTGTTTCCTGTGAGCTGAAGTGGAGCCGATGGTAAGATTAACCTTGTGTGTTATTGGGTGGCTCTCGAGGGCCTGGGGGTGAGGCCCAGGGTCTGTGCTGGGAGCCCTTGGTGGCCGCTGGCCAGACACATACACAATGAACATCCACAGTGTCCCTCCCAGCAGTCACACCAGATGAAACAGGCCAGCTCCGGGCTGTGGCAGAGGGAGGGGGTGTAGGGTGGGGGTCCTACAGCTCCCACCCCACACCTACCTGGGCATAGGTCGCCTGTGGCCTCCCGTGACTTTCTCCACCCTCTTCTGTGTCCAAGTAGCATGACAGAAACCTGTGCTACATTCACCTCTCACTGACTATATGGCCCTAAAGGCTGTGACCCCTCCTGGACCTGTGTCCCCGACCTAGAGTGAGTGCTACAGGCGGGTGTGAGAGGGACACACGACGTGTGACACAGCAGGTACTCATGCCACATGTGCTTTCTACACGGGCTGAGCTGCCAGCTCCCAGGAGGCCAGACATCAGGGGCAAGAACTCCCTGAAGCAGCTTTGTTTACACTATGTCCCCGGGCCACAGGAAACCTGGGATGCGGGGACAATCTACAGGACTGGGGACACACAGAACTCTCATGGTTCCCAAGCCCCATCTCTGTCCAAACCTTGCCCACAATTCCCAGCTCCTGTCCACTTTGCTGGAGGCACTCAGGCTTCGGAGCACAGCCCCTGGGCCAGGAGTGGACACTGAGTGGGGACTCTGCTTTTCTTTTTTGTTGTTGTTGTTGTTTGTTTGTTTTTTTGAGATGGAGTCTCGCTCTGTTGCCCAGGCTGGAGTGCAGTGGCGCCATCTTGGCTCACTACAACCTCCATCTCCCAGGCTCAAGTGATTCTCCTGCCTCAGCCTCCGAACTAGCTGAGACTACAGGCACCATGCCTGGCTAATTTTTTTTTTTGTATTTCTAGTAGAGACAGAGTTTTTCACCATGTTGCTCAGGCTGGTCTCAAACTCCTGACCTCAAGTGATCCACCCGCCTCGGCCTCCCAAAGTGTTGGGATTACAGGAATGAGTCACCGCGCCTGGCCTCTGCTCTTCTTTTGGGGAACCCCATGCTCATTCTTGGTTTTGCATGAGGAGTTGTACAGCAAAAGGGTTAAGCTGGCCCCAAGAGAGGTCTGACCTTTGTCCCCAGCTCCTGGGAGGTGACCTGCAGGAGAATATCCTGCCTGATAAGAGTGTCATTGTGTGCCTGAGGCCTTGGGCTATGGCAGAGTCTGCTCACACTGTGGTTTTAGGGTGGGAGTTTGGGCACATCAGCTTGACATCTGGAGGGACTAGAGACAGGTTGGCCATGAGGGTGGTCAGCCACGTCTACAGGACCAGCCCCCAGTACAGACCCTGGACATGCAGGCCAGGGGAGCTTCTGCGGCTGGCAGTGCTCCATGCTGGGAGAATTACGCACTGTTCACATGAGGGGCTGACTGGAGGTTCTGGCCTGGTTTCTCCTGGACCCTGCCCATCTGCCTCTTCCCTTGGGTGATTTTTTTTTTTTTTAAGATGGAGTCTAGCTCTGTCATCCAGGCTGGAGTGCAGTGGCACTATCTCGGCTTACTGCAACCTCCACTTCCAGGGTTCAAGCGATTCTCTCACCTCAGCTTCCTGAGTAGCTGGGATTACAGGTATGCAACACCACACCCAGCTAATTTTTGTATTTTTAGTAGAGACGGAGTTTCACCACGTTGGCCAGGCTGGTCTTGAACCCCTGACCTCAAGAGATTCGCCCGCCTCAGCCTCCGAAAATGCTGGGGTTACAGGTGTGAGCCACCACACCCAGCCTCCCTTGGGTAATTTTAATGTGTCCTTTCGCTGCAATAAACCATAAGCATGAACAAAACGGCTTCTGGGGAGTCCTTCCAGTGAATTTTCTAGCCAGAGGGTGGGCACGGAGACTCCTGAGTCTGCAGGAGCTGACTTTCCTCCCCAGCCTGGCTGGAACCCCTGGGAGCAGGGTCCTCCTTTCTCTGGGGTCTCAGGGTGGTGGGACGCCAGCTTGGGCTCTGCCCCCACAGACCTCTGGCCTCAGCTGGAAGAACGGCCAGATGTCACTGCACTGCAGGCAACATCACAGCTTTTCTCATCGCCACATCACAGTCCCCTGCCCCCCACCATGCTGTGCTCCCCAAACCACTGAGACCCTGAGGACGAGCTCCGTGAACCCAGCAGCCAGCCCAGGACCCGCTGCTCAGCAGCGCCTGCCGGCGGAATCCACAAGTGAACAAAGATGTGAGGGGGTGAATGAATGAATGAATGGACGCTGCTGCACCTCCTCCACAGCTGACTTCACAAGCCAGGTGACAGGCCCGTCTGGAGGCTGTACAAGCACTTAAGATTAAAACCCAGGAGGCCTCAGGCGGCAGCTTGGCCACCCCCTTCCTCAGCTGGCCCAGGCAACACAAGCCACCTCAAGGTGTAACCCTCACTTGGAGCCAGCGGCTAGCTCTGGAGGGAGCTCCTGGGATGCCACAGCAGCTCCAGCCTGCCCTACACAGAGGCTCGGGGCTGACCTGGGACTCAGGTGTCCCATCTCCACACCATCCCCATGGCTGTCAACAAGCGGGGCGACAGGTGAAACAGCTGAGGCCTGGAGAAGGCGTCCGGTAGGAGTCGGGAAAACTGCAGCTCCCAGGGCGCCCCTCACTCATGGCCTGTGGGCCAGATAGATGGGCATCTGGTCCTGGCTGCCTGGCTGTGAGAGTGGACCCCACTGGCGATTTGGAGGGCCCTGCTGAGGGTGGGTGGGCTTTGCCTCCAGCCTCCCCAGCCTCACTCCCTCCAGCCGCCCAAGCCCCAAAGTGCCCCCAGCTTGTCCTTTCCCCACTGACCCCTCATGCAAGGCCTGACGGCCCCTCCTTAGAGGGGCATCCCCAACACCCCTGCTCAAGAAGCAGCCCCCCAAGTCACAATCGCACCAGCCTCTGGCTTTGTTGTTGTTGTTGTTGTTGTTTTGAGACGGAGTCTCCCTCTTGTTGCCCAAGCTGGAGTGTAATGGCGCGATCTCGGCTCACTGCAACCTCTACCTCCTGGGTTCAAGCGATTCTCCTGCCTCAGCCTCCTGAGTAGCTGGAATTACAGGCGTGCCACCACACTCAGACAATTTTTGTATTTTTAGTAGAGATGGGGTTTCGCCATGTTGGCCAGGCTGGTCTCAGACCCCTGACCTCAGGTGATCCGCCTGCCTCAGCCTCCCAAAGTGCTGGGATTACAGGAGTGAGCCACTGGGCCTGGCTCAGCTCTCCTTTCTCTTACAATTAAAGAGAAAGGCCCACCCTAATCCAGGACGGTCTCATCTGGAGGCCCTATTTCCAACTACAGTTGACCCTGAGACAACACGGGGATTGGGGAGCTGACCCTCATGCGGCCAAAAATCCAAGTATAATTTTTTTTCTTTTTATAGTTTTTACTTCTATTTATTTATTCATTTATTTATTTTGAGACAGGCTCTCACTCTGTCACCCAGGCTGGAGGGCAGTGGCACAATCACACCTCACTGCAGCCTTGGCTTCCCAGGATCAGGTGATCCTCCCACTTTGGCCTCCTGAGTATCTGGGGCCACAGGCACAAACCACCATGCCTGGCTAATTTTTAACTTTTGTAGAGATGGAGTCTCACTATGTTGACCAGCTGGTCTCCAACTCCTGGCTTCAAGCAGTCCTCCCACCTCAGCTTCCCAAAGTGCTGGGATTAGAGGCATGAGCCACCGTGCCCCACTCCAGTATAACTTCTGACTCCTCCAACACTTAACTAATAGCCTACTGTTGACTGGAAGCCTCACTGATAATATGAGTCAATTAAGACAGATTTGGTATGTTATACGTATTACATACTGTATTCTTACAATAAAGCTAAAGAAAAGAAAATGATACTAAGAAAATCATTAAGGAAGAGAAAATGTTTGCTATTTGTGAAGTGGAAGGGGATTATCCCAAAGGTCTTTGTCCTCACCGTCCTTCACGTAGAGCTGGCTGAGGAGGAGGAAAAGGGAGGAGGAGGAGGAGGAGGAGGAGGAGCAGCAGCAGGAGGGCGGCAGCTTGGTCTTGCTGTCTCAGGCATGACAGAGGCGGGAGAGAATCCACGTATGAGTAGACATGCGTGGCTCAAAACCATTGATTCAAGAGTCAACTGTAAGGTCACCTTCCCAGGTTCCAGGAGTGAGAGTGTGGACGTATCTTTTTGTGGGACATGATTCACCCCTCTACAGGGCTTTTGAGGGTGTACCAGTACATGCCACTCTCCAGATGGGAAAACTGAGGCCCCACATGCCTGAAACTTAACCCCTGCATGACCAGCATGACTGAAGTCACATGGCCCCTCCTGGGACAAGTGTTACTGAAGCCACCCGATCTCAGATGAGAGCTTGCCAGCATCAGTGGAGGCACGTGGGAGGCAGATGTGGACCCAGAAGCTCTGACACTACCAAGCTGACCGCAGGGACCCCCGCTCCTGATACAGCCTGCGCCGGGACCCCCTCACACAAAGTCCTACCCCCCCACCTGACCCCTCTATAGAGCCCTTCGTAAAGGTGGCTTCTCAGGCCTCCGCTGACCCCCACCCCTTGCTGACAGGACCCTCGCCCTGGAGAACGCCCACCTCTGCCTCTGTCTGTGCCCACGTCCACACTCCTGCTAAGTCTACGCCCCTGCCCCGCCCAGGAAGTGTCCACAGGGCTGGATGGAGCAGGAGCCCCTAGGTAGGGGAATGGAGGCCGGGTGGCCCCAGTATAATGCGCCTGTGGCTACTTCTCCAGGATGTGGAGAGATGTTCGGGCAGCACTCAGTCTCCCAGGAATCCTGCACAGGGCACAGCGACACCTCCACCTGCCAGCCCTTCCTGGGGCTCGCTCTGCAGACCGGCCAGCCTTGGTCAGGCCCAGAAGCAACTGCCATGGCAACCGGCCAACCTTCTAATGAGATTGAGGGAAGCAGGCGGGCTGATGGCTGAGCTCGGCCCTGCAAAGCCGTGGCAGACCCAGGGCCTCCCTGTGGGGGGGCCAGGGAGGGAAGTGCTGTCTGTGCCAGTCAGGCCTCAGTTTCCCCCCCTCTCCACCTCTAGGCTTCAAAGTCTAGTCTCCACTCTCCATGACCATAGGCTCCAGCTCACATGCTTCCTCCCGGAGCCACCAGTCGCTACCTCCGGGCCTTTGCACGGGTGCTGCCTGTACCAGAAGGCTCTTCCCCCTGGGCCCACCGCTGCCCAGCACTGAGCCTCCTCCAAGGGGCCGCCCTCTGCACAGCCCCTCCCCTGACAGTCCAGATGGGGAAACTGAGGCTCAAGAAAGCACAGAGACTGCCTGAGAGCAGAGGCAGCAGGCACCTCAGCCTGAGGCATGGCCCTACAAGAGGAAGGTGGGGAGCGAACACTTTCTCCAGCCCAGCGAATGCACAGGATGTACCTGGATCCTGGATCCTGGGAGCTGACCAGGACCCCGGGGATTCGCACCCCTTGACCCTGCAGCCCCATAACTCGGGGCTTCCCAAGATGGAGTTCTGGGAAGGCTGATGAAGGCAGAGGGACCCTGGAATGAAGGCAGGAGGCCTGGGCCTTGGAGGGATCTCCAAGCGTCCCAGCAGCCGCAGGCGGGGATGTGTGCCGACTTGAAGGACACCCCCACAGGGCAAGAGCCTTCATCCTCCCATGTCCACGCTGGCTGGAACCCCTGCTGCTGGCGTGAAGCCCAGCTGGGTCAACAGCTGAAAACCAACCAAGGCTCAGGCACCCACCCGCTCAGCCAGCCCAGCTCCCGCCCCACCACGGCAGTGTCCCCACCTCCCCTGCCAGACTCAAGGCAAGAGTCTGCCCAGCACTGGGCATGGTTCTAGGTTCAGTGGACATGGCAGCCAGCCAGCCAGATGGGCACTGCTCACACGAGCCCACAGCCCAGAGCGGGCAGCAAGCATTAGATCTCCAGGCAAGTGGTGACTGTGGGAGCTTCAGCCTGAGCCACTGTGCGGCCGTGGACTGGCAGAGACACAGCACTGGGGAGCCTTGCAGGGGAGGAGGAACAGCAGGTGCCAAGGCCCAGGACTGGGAGCTCATAGGGTCTGAGATGGGCCACCAGGGGTGAAATACGGTCATCGAGGGAACGGAAGCTTCTGGAGCCACTTACCATCAACAGCCAGAGCAGGACTCTTCCCCTAAGGGCTCCAGGCCTCTACTGTGAGGCCGCACCTGCCCATGCTGCCCAGAGCCGGCCCCACAGCCCTGTCACCGCCCCCACCCCAGCACTCCCAGGGGACACGCCATCTGCTCCCTGCAGTTGAGACCTCGGCTTCAAAACGAGGCCTGCAGGAGCTGGCGTGCGCCTCGATCCAGTGCCATGCTCAGGATCCCCCGCTCCCCGGGGGGTCCCCTTGTCACTGCCCTGGATCAAGCAGAACAAAGGAGGTGAACACCCTCCAGGCCAGCTTTTAACCAGATGCACCAGCAGGGATGGCATCCCCAATGCCAGGAGGGGCTGATGCCAGTGTGAGAAGGGAGACAGGGACAAGAGCCCTCAGGCCTCTGCCCAGCCCTGGGGCATCCAAGTCTCTGACAGGTACCCCCAAAGCTCCAAGTGATGTCGGAGGCTGCAGCAAAGCCTTCTGCCCCTGACTTGTGGACATAGAACTTCCCATGTCTGACCCTCAAGCCTCCTCCTGTGCTCCTCCAAGGGCCCAGCAAAGAGCCCCAGATCTCACGCATTTTGCTCAGAAGCCCGTCGCCATCACCTGTGCGTGTTGTGGGGGAGGATTTTCTGCCCGGACGCCTCGCCATAGGGGTAAGGGATGCATGCCCAGCATCCCCTGACCGATTCATTCTCCCAGAGGCCGGGGCTGGGTAATGGCCGCAGGGTACACAGGGAATGTGGGAGCTGCTGCCCACCTCCAGGCACTGGGTCCCAGGGGAACAGGAGAGGCTAGTGACTGAGGGGATCACCTGCTGTGTAGCAGGAGCTGCCAGCCCTGACGGACCCTCCCCAGGGTGTTGCCACTGCCCACCTCTGGAAACTGTGTGTGTGGGAACACAGCTTGGAGCAGCAAGGCCACAGCCTGAGACTGACGTCCCGCATCTGTTTTCTTTCTTTCTTTTATTTGCGACAGGGTCTTTGTCTGTGGCCCAGGCTGGAGTACAGCGGCACGATCAGGGCTCACTGCAGCCTCCTGGGCTCAAACAATCCTCCCATCTCAGCCTCCTAAGTAGCTGGGAGTAGTGGTGTGCACCACCATGGCCTTTTTTTTTTTTTTCTTTCTGTAGAGACAGGGTCCCCCATGTTGTCCAGGCTGGCCTCAAGCAATCCTCCTGCCTTGGCCCCCAAAGTGCTGGGATGACAGGTGTAAGCCACTGTGCCCGGCCCACCATTGGTTTCTCTCTGTGGCCTGTTTCTTTCTATTTTTTTTTAATCTTTTACATGAAAAATATACTTTCAAAAAAGCTGCAATAAAATCCACATAAAAAATTTACCATGATCTTGTTTGAAAGTGAATGATTCAGAGGCATTTAGTACACTGTCAACCATCACCTCTGTCTGGTTCTAGAACATTTCAATCACTCCATAAAGAAACCCCATCCCCATCAGCAGTCACTCCCCATTCCCCTCCCCCAGCCCCTGGCAGCCACTAATCCGTTTCCTGTCTCTGTGGATTTATCTGTTCTGGACTTTTTTTTTTTGAGACGGAGTCTCACTCTTGTCACCCAGGCTGCAGTGGAGTGGCGCGATCTTGACTCACTGCAACCTCCACCTGCCGGGGTCAAGTGATTCTCAGCCTCCCAAGTAGCTGGGATTACAGGCACGCGCCACCATGCCCGGCGAATTTTTGTATTTTTAGTAGAGATGGGGTTTCACCATGTTGGCCAGGCTGGTCTTGAACTCTTGACCTCAAGTGATCCTTGGCCTCCCAAAGTGCTGGGATTACAGGCAGGAGCCACCGCGCCCAGCCAGCCCCTCTGTTTTCTTACAGGAGTTTTACACTTCTAGCTCTTGCATTTAGGTCTTTGGCCCATTCTGAGTTCATTCTGGCTGTCAACTTTGTTTTTGCCTCAGTCCCTCCATGCCGTGGGTCCCCACGTTTACTGAGGACCTGATGAGAAGAGCTGAGCTGACCCCTCGCTGCATGGCTGGTCCACCAGAGTTCCTCAGTAAACATCTGCCGAGCTTGGGAAGCGATAGGGAATGATGATGAGAGCATCAGGGGCACGTGGATTCCAGGCTGAGTCTCCTGGGCCCTGGAGACACTCCCCTGCTGCCTCCTTGCTCCCTCCACTCATGTAAATACAGAACCACATATACAAACACCAGGCCTGCCTCGGAATGCCTTTTATCAGGCATGGTTGCTGCTGCCAAATTTCCAGACCCAGCTGAACAGAGGGTCTGCCGTGAGCACGTTTTGTTTCTCTTGTAGGTGGCGGCTGGGACGTGTGAAGGGTCCCTCGGGGGCTGAGCGCACACAGCTGGCTCACAGGGGCCTCCCTCCCCACAAAAGAGACTCCAGCCCTGCCAGCTGGCCAAGCGCCCACCCTGTGTGGGGCCTTGCAGCAGTCCTAAGAGCAGGGAGACACAGCTGTACCCTTATTTTGCAAGCTGGTAAATTGAGGCACTAAGGGAAGACAGGAGGGGCCTCAGTTACAATCCAGGCTCTTTCCCCAGCCGGGAGGGCTGTCTCTTGTCATCATTTTTTTTTTTTTTAAGAGACAGGTCTTGCCCTATTGCCCAGGCTGGAGTGCAGTGGAGTGAACACAGCTCACTGCAGCCTCCATCTTCTGGATTCAAATGATCCTCCTGCCTCAGCCTCCCGAGTAGTTGGGACTATAGGTGCCCGCCACCACGCTCAACTAAGTTTTTTATTTTCAGAGATGGGGTCTTCCTATGTTGCCCAGGCTGGTCTTGAACTCCTGGCCTCAAGTGATCCTCCTGCCTGGCCTCCCAAAGTGCTGGAATTACAGGTGTGAGCCACCACACCCGGCCTCCTGTAGTTATTCTGAAAGGCTTCTGGAGTATCCCCAGGTTTAAAGCTCTCTTTTCCTTCCCCCAGAGGCAAACCCCAACTCCCCACTGGTGGCACTCAAGGCCCTCCTCTGCCTTTTGCTGCTGGGCTCTGCACCCACGAAGCCCTTGTCTGGAACCTTCCACAACAGTTCCCATTCATCATCTGGGACTCAGTTCAAGCACTACCTCCCCAGGAAGCCCTGCCAGACCCCCAATCCCTGCATCCAAAATAATCCTCTGTCTTAGCAGCCCAGGCTGCCATGATAAAATACCAAAGACCAAGCAGCTTAAATGACAGAAATGTCTTCCTCTGGACAGAATGCCTTCCTTCTGGAGGCTGGAAGTCCAAGATCAGGGCCCAGCAGTACCCAGACCAGGTTCCAGGTACAGCGCCTTTCCTGGCCCTGGGGGGCCAACCTTCTGAGTCCTCGAATGGCCTCTCCCAGCTGTGTGTGCTTAGAGATCTCTCTTCTTCTTCTTACAAGGCCTCCAATCCTAGAGATCGGGACCCCCCCTTTATGGCTTGATTTAACCTTAACTACCTCCTAACAGCCCCACCTCCAAATACAGCCTCGCTGGGGGTGAAGGCTTCAACTTGTGAGTTTGTGGGAGACAGAATTCAGTCTGTGGCACCTGCTCACAAATAAGCCGCCTGCCTGTGTCTTTCTGCAGGCCAACATGCCCTGCCCCTGGGGGCCCAGCATCACCCCCAGGAATTACAGGAACTGTCCATAGACAGGTGTATCTGAAACTGGGCAGCCCAGAATCGCCCCACATCCCAAGTCATCAGGGGGCAACCACAGGCAGCCAAACCCAGGTGAAGCCCACGGAGCCCAGGACTCTCCCTGCAGGAGCCCCCGGGGTGCAGGGTGGGTGAGGAGAGGGGGTTCCTGGGTCGGGCTCCAGTGTGCGCTAGCCCTAAAGGGCCAAGTGTCTGTGGTACAAAGGTGACCAGCAGTGCCTTCCCCCCACCCCCCGGGGCAGCCAGGCAGCCGAGGTGTGACGAGCAGGAAGCTGTGGGCGGTGTTTCTGGAATGAGTCTCCCGAAGATAAGCAACGTGCCTGCTCGGTGGGGTTCACGGGCTGGGGACGCAAGGGGGCTAGCGGGGGGCCTGCTGTCCAGCTGGAGGCAGCACAAGGTAGCAGGAGCAGCCCAGAGTTCAAGGCCAGGCAGCCCAGGATGAATCGGGTCCTGTGTTAGATGGACTCACAGCTCCCCTGAAACTCATGTCCACCAAAACCTCGGAACGTGACCTTATTTGAAAAGAGAGAGTTTCTGCAGATGTAATTAGTGCGGGATCTTGAAATGAGATCATCCTGGAATTAAGGAGGTCCCTGCATCCAATGACTGGTGCCCCCATGAGAGGGGAGGACAGAGACACTGAGGAAAGTGGGCCAAGCGGCAATAAAGGCAGAGATCGGGGTGCCGCGTCTACAAGTCAAGAGCCTGCCGAGGATCGCTGGGCCACCAGGAGCTGGAAAGGGGCCTGAGACTGGCTCTCCCTCATGGCCTCAGGAGGAACCAGCCACGCTGACTCCTTGATCTTAGGCTTCTGGCCTTCAGAGATGAGAGACAAGACATTTCTATTGTCTTAAGCCACCTGATTCATGGTGCTTTGCTATGGCAGCCTAAGAAAATTAGCCCAGGCTGAGCACATTGGCACACACCTGTAGTCCCAGCAACACGGGAGGCAGAGGCAGTACTGTTTGAGTCCAGGAGGTGGAGGGTGCTGTGAGCCAAGATTGTACCACTCACTGCACTCCAACCTGGGTGACAGCGAGACACTGTCTCTTAAAAAAGGGAAGGAGGGAAGGAGGGAAGGAGGGAGGGAGGGAAGGATACTCAGCCCCGGAACTGTGGAGGGCCTGGGACAAGCCCTTCCCTCTCCAAGCTCCCTCTGGACATGGGACTCAACTAAGGCCACGACTCGGGGCACACCAGGAGGAGACAGCCAGGGGGGCCACTGGTGGCTTCTGGGCTGGTCCCCAGGAGTAGGGGGACCAAGGGGGACACCACTGGCTGAAGAGTAGGGTCAATAAGGGCCCAGAGGGGGCAGGGATCCTGAGACTAGGGAGTTGGGAGGGGTGGTTACAGGAACCGTCCGGGATGAAGGATGAGGTAGGCAGCGGGTCGGGCAGCAGGAACTGCAGGGGTGGGAGTGGAGGCTGGACACAGGGAGCAGAGACCAGGCCAGGCCAGCTCTCATGGTAGTCACTGCAGAGGGACGGGGAGGGTGCAGATGAAGCCCAAACCAGGACAGCACAAGGAGCGGCGAACACCCAGCCGGTGACTCCACGGCAGGGCTGTAGGGCGTAGGGGGGCCCCAGTACACTGGGAGAAGGGCCCATCCTGAAGACAGGCCTACCCGGAAGGCCCTGTGAATGTGACCCCGACTCCACCCCAAAGTCCAGGGGCTGCACCAGGTAGCGTGTGAAGCAGGGGGGCTCGGTGTTCACCAGGCGCCCCCTGCCTGGGACATGCCCCAGCAGATCCAGGGGAGGCAGGAGGGACCCTGAGTGAGGAGCTGGTGATGTGCTTCGTGGGATCTACACACGGCAAAAAGCCCTTACCTCGTAAGGGCTGCTGAGGCCCTCAGGAGAGCCCATCCCCACCAACGCCACCAGCAGGGCCAGCTGAAGGTGCAGGCCACCTTCCCAGGGTAAGCCATCAGAAGCCACGGCCGGCCTTGGACAGGACATAAGCACAGGATGGCTGGCACCCAGCACCATCCCACCTCGATCTGTGTGGGGAGCTGCATGGCTAAGTGCACTTGCTGCTGGGCAGTGGCCCCTGGGTGGGGTGTGGCAGACCCTGGCACCCAGTGCGTGACCCCACCATAATCACTGAGGCCCAGGCAGGAGTCACAGCTCCTGGTTTCACAGGCAACCCCAGGAATCTGCCACAGGCTCCAGCAGGGCCAAGAACGAGGATAAGGAGTGTGGACACCACCTCTGGGGGAGGCCACAGGGCTGCGGGGCTGGGAACTGAAGGGGCTTCCAAGCAAATGAAACTGAACCAACTTATTATTATTATTATTATTCTTTTAAAGATGGGGTCTTGCTGTGTCACCCAGACTGGAGTGCAGTGGTGTAATCATGGCTCACTGCAGCCTCAACCTTCCAGGCTCAAGCAATCCTGTCACCTCAACTTCCCCAGTAGCTGGGACTACAGCGGCAGGCCAACACGCTTAGCCAATTTATTTTTAGTAGAGACGCGGTCTCCCTATGTTGCCCAGGCTGGTCTCAAACTCCGGAGCTCCAATGATCCTCCTGACTCGGCCTCCCACAGTGCTAGGATTACAGACATGAGCCACCACACCCAGCCTGAACCAACTTCTTTTTTTTTTTCTTTTTTTTTTTTTGAGACGGAGTCTCGCTCTGTTGCCCAGGCTAGAGTGCAGTGGCGCGATCTCAGCTCACTGCAAGCTCCGCCTCTCGGGTTCACGCCATTCTCCCACCTCAGCCCCCTGAGTAGCTGGGACTACAGGTGCCCGCCGCCACGCCCGGCTAATTTTTTTGTATTTTTAGTAGAGACAGGGTTTTACCACGTTAGCCAGGATGGTCTCGATCTCCTGACCTCGTGATCCGCCCACCTCGGCCTCCCAAAGTGCTGGGATTACAGGCGTGAGCCACCGCGCCCGGCCAGCCTGAACCAACTTCTAAAGAAAACAAGGCGGGCAGGTGCGGTGGCTCACGCCTGTAATCCCAGCACTTTGGGAGGCCAAGGGAGGTGGATCACCTGAGGTCAGGAGTTCGAGACCAGCCTGGCCAACATGGTGGAACCCTGTCTCTACTAAAAATACAAGAATTAGCCAGACATGATGGCAGGCACCTGTAATGCCAGGTACTTGGGAGGCTGAGGCAGGAGAATCACTTGAACTCGGGAGGTAGAGGATGCAGTGAGCTGAGATCGTGCTACTGCACTCCAGCCTGGGCGACAGAGCAAGACTCTGTCTCAAAAAAAAAAAAAAAGGCCAGGTGAGGTGGCTCACACCTGTAATCCCAGAACTTTGGGAGGTCTTTGGGAAGTCAAGGTGGGCAGATCACTTGAGGTCAGGAGTTCTAGACCAGCCTGGCCAACATGATGAAACTCCGTCTCTACTAAAAATACAAAATTAGTTAGGTGTCGTGGCACATGCCTGTAATCCCAGCTACTCAGGAGGCTGAGGCGGGAGAGTCACTTGAAACCAGGAGGCAGAGGTTACTGAGCCAAGATCGCACTATTGCACCCCAGCCTGGGCCACAAGAGGGAAACTCCATCTCCAAAAAAATTAAAAAAAGAGGATAAGGCACGGAGAACTTCCCCGGAGCTGCTCTGTGATGTTACGACTGCTTTTTCAAGTGACTTGGTGTCAGGAATGAATGAAATCGGGATCTCTGATACTTTTAAGCCCAAGCCCATTGTCCTGGTTTTGCTTACCCACAATGCATCCTGGGCAGCGATTGAAGCTGAAGAGGCCTGGAAATAAAGTTTCAAATGAGGCTAATGTACAATTCTTCACCTAGTAACATAAGGGGGTGGAGAGGCAGAGATGGGCCGGGACGGGACATTCTCCCAACCTCTGTGCAACCTCACCGGGAGGGCCAGGACACCAGGGGAGGGGTCACTTGTCCTGACCCCAGAGTCCCCCTTGGTCCATCCCCAACTCTTGGGCATGATATCAGTCTCCTGAGGCTGCTGTAACAAATAAGCACAAACCAGGTGGCTGACACAACAGAGATGTTTCCCGCACAGCTCTGGAGGCTCTGAAAGTAAGGTGGAGGCCGGGCACGGTGGCTCACGCCTGTAATCCCAGCGCTTTGGGAGGCTGAGGTGGGTGGATCACCTGAGGTCATGAGTTCGAGATCAGCCTGGCCAACATGGTGAAACCCCATCTCTACTAAAAATACAAAAGAAAATTATCTGGGCATGGTGATGGGCGCCTGTAATCCCAGCTACTCAGGAGGCTGAGGCAGGAGAACTTCCTGAACCTGGGAGGCAGAGGTGGCAGTGAGCCAAGATTGTGCCACTGCACTTCAGCCTGGGCAACATAGTGAGACTCCATCTCAAAAAATAAAAATAAAATAAAAGCAAGGTGGCCTCTCTCCCAGCTGTTGCGGCTGCTGACCATCCTTAGCACTTCTTGGCTTGTAGACGGATCGCCTCATTCTTTGCTTCTGTCTGCTTGTGTCCTTTTCCCTTTCTTCTTCTTTTTTTTTTTTTTTTTGAGACAGAGTCTTGCTCTGTCACCCAGGCTGGAGTGCAGTGGCGTGATCTCGGCTCACTGCAACCTCCACCTCCCAGGTTTAAGCGATTCTCCTGCCTCAGCCTCCCACATAGCTGGGACTACTGATGCGTGCCACCATACCCAACTAATTTTTTGTATTTTTAGTAGAGATAGGGTTTCACTGTGTTAGCCAGGATGGTCTCGATCTCCTGACCTCGTGACCTGCCTGCCTCGGCCTACCAAAGTGCTCGGATTACACGCGTGAACCACCGTGCCTGACCTTGTCCTTTTCCCTTTCTGTCCCTGTGCCTCTGTTTTGCCTTGTTTGTTTGAGACAGGGTCTCACTCTGTCACCCAGGCTGGAGTGCAGCAGCACAATCATAGCTCATGGCAGCCTTGAACTCCTGGGCTCAAGTGATTCTCCTGCTGCAGCCTCCTGAGTAGTTGGGACTACAGGAGCACACCACCAAGCCTGGCCAATTATTTTCTAATTTTTTGCTGAGATGGGGTCTGGCTATGTTGCCCAGGCTAGACCTGGACTCCTGGCCTCAAGTGATCCTCCCACCTCGGCCTTCCAAAGTGCTAGGATTAAAGGCCTAGGCCACCGTGCCTGGCCTGTTTTGCCTTCTTTTTTTTTTTTTTTTTTTTTTTCCCCAAGACGGAGTCTTTCTCTGTTACCTAGGCTGGAATGCAGTGGCACGATCTCGGCTCGCTGCAACCTCCACCTCCTGGGTTCAAGCAATTCTCCTGCCTCGGCCTCCCAAGTAGCTGGGATTACAGGCACCCACCATCACACCTGGCTAATTTTTGTATTTTTAGTAAAGACAGGGTTTCACCATGTTGGCCAGGCTGGTCTCAAACTCCTGACCTCATGATCCGCCCGCCTTGGTCTCCCAAAGTACAGGGATTACAGGAGTGGGCCACCACGCCCAGCCTTTGTCTTCTTTATAAGGACACCAGTCACTGGATTTAGGGCCCACCCTATTCCATAATGACCTCA
Source organism: Homo sapiens (assembly GCF_000001405.40). NCBI lineage: Eukaryota > Metazoa > Chordata > Mammalia > Primates > Hominidae > Homo > Homo sapiens. The sequence goes on along the minus strand of NC_000019.10, from coordinate 18,726,580 downwards.
TCATGACTTAAGTCCATCTGTAAAATCCCTATTTCCAAATGAGCTCACTCACAGGTTCTGGATGAACATGAACTTTTGAGGGGACACTGTTCAACCCCATACACTCACCAAACCCCAGGTCACCTCCAGCCCACTCTAAGAACCATCCCAAGGAAGCAGATGCCCATGGCTCTCACCTCATCCCTATAGCTGGCCGCCTGAGGGCTCCTCTGGGGCAGCCAGCTCCCCTCCCGGGCCTGGGCCTCCTCTGCTGTCCCCCGGGGACCGAGGGGTGAAGCGAGGCCGGCACACGTCAGCGGTGCTGGAAATGCATGGGGCTCTGAGAGGCAGGTGGCTGGGAGCGCCGGCTGAGCCATTTGGCAGCGTCCGCCGAGTGCCTGAGCAACGTTCCTGCCCTCTAACCTGGTAATCCCACTTCTGGGAAGCTCTCCTGAGGGAAATCATCCAGAACGCAGATTTATGCGCAAAGATGTTCCTGCATCACCAGCTGGGAGAACAAGGAGCTGGAGCCTGTTCCAGGGCCCGGCCTCAACTCCAGAGAAGATCGAGGGCGCGGTACATGAGTCGGGAGGAAGCACTTTCTAGAACATCTTTACTGCAGATCTGCATGGGCACAGGCAGACCTGGGCTGAGGCTGGGTGGCCCCCGTCCCTGGGATGTCCCCAGGGGATCTGGGCAGCAGGAGCAGCCAGGGTGACCGGCAGCCCCGGAAGCGCGACACACGGGGAGAGAGGAATTCTCCAGAACACGGGAGGGCCGAGGCGGACCCTGTAAGCCAGGAGAGGGAGACCATGCAGGCTGTGTTGGGGGAAGGTGGCGGAATACCTGAGCCACGCGAGAAAGACAGAATTAGACTCAGAAGAGGAGAAAGAAGCCCCTAACACAGGCCAGAGAGGTGGGAGGCTCAGGAAGAGGGAGGAGGGGCTGGCGCCAAGGACGGCCAGGCCTCCCCAGGGATGCAAGTGGCCAAGCCAGGTCCAGCCGGCAGCCTGGTGCCCCTGTGAGCACGCATAGCCACAGGTCTGGCACTGATGCCTTCTCCAACGCTGAACCCAGGGGCCCGTGTGTGGGGACGGCTGGCCAGGCTGCCCCAACCTCCGCTCCAGGAGGGTGGCCGAGGCCTCCTAGGTTCTGGGTCCTCCTCCTTCTCCTCTCCAGGATAGAGACAGGCAGGAACCCAGAAACCAAGCGATGACAGAGAGCAAGGATTCTGGGAGCTGGACAGGGGCTCCCTGGAGGCCACAGGGAGGGACAACTGAGATGGATCAAGCCACCTAAGGGGTGCTGGCCTCAGGCCCGAGCTGGGGGAGAGAAGGGGCTGGAGGTGCAGAGGCCTGCAGAGGTCAGAGGTCACAGGAGGCCTCCCCCTCAGCATTGCCATGAGGGGCCAGGCAGGGGCACTAGGGAGCAAGGGGGTCTCGCACAGGGACGCTGGCCTAGAGTGCTATGAAGAAAAGATACTGAGCTCCCCAAGGTGAAGCATACAGGGGTCTCCTGGGTGTGTACTCAGGACAAAGGGGACACCCCCCAGCTCCAGGCGGGTCCAAGGGACGGACCAACAGGAGCGCTCCTGGGTGGGGCCAGTGTGCTGAGGGAAGCTGGGCAGGGGGTGACAGGGTCAGAGGCCTTAGGGAACTGCCAAGGCAACCAAGAGGGTGAGAGGCAGATCCCAAGCGCTCGATGCAGGTCAGCTCAGCTACTGGGGAGTGAATTCACGGTGTCCCCAAAAGGTTATATCCACCTCCTCATCCCTGGAACCTGAGAGTATGACCTTATTTGAAAAAACAGTCTTTTCAGACATAATTAAGGGAAGGATCTTGGGATGAAGAAATCATCCTAGATTAGCCGGGAGGACCCTACATCGGGTGACTGCTGCCCTTTTAAGAGACAGAAGATGAGACACAGATGCAGAGGGGGACGGCCGGGATTGGGGCGATGCAGCCACAAGCCAAGGAACGGCTGGAGCCACTGAAAGCTGGAAGAGGCAGGAAAGATTCCTCCCCAGAGCCTCCAGAGGAAGCTCGGCCCTGCCGACACCTGGATTTTAGACTTCCAGGCTCTAGAACCATGAGAGAAGACATTCTTGTTCTAAGCAGCCCAGGTGTAGTACTTTAATATATTACAGCAGCCACCAGAAACTCACACATGGCCCCCCAGTCCCAATAGGTGCTGCTGTCTCCCCTTCCAGGGCAGGGCTGAGAACCTGAACACCCCAGGTCCCTTGATCCTAGAGCCAGCTCATCATGGAATCCCCCCACACACAGCAACAACCCATCACCTCTAAGATGAAAATGAAATTGACTCCTAGCGAGTGCAGAGAACAACACCCCACGCACCCACACACCCCACCCCACAGACTGATCAGCTGTCACTGCTCCCTCCTGGGGCCTCACCATCTGCAGAGGGGACGAGGGAGCCGTGTCGATGCTGCCGAGGAGCCTGTCCGCCCCGCCGGTTCCCGCCTGGAGCCCAGGGAACAAGCCTGGGCTCACGGTGTCGCTCTCTCAACTCCCATGACCACATATGTGGGATGCTCTGTTCTGTGCAGGGAGGTTTCACATGTCTCATAAGTGCAGCATACAGTGTCTGCTTCTGCCTGGGGTGACGGTGGAATGCCATCGCCATTAACACGCCAACGTGCATCCTCCCTCCCGGAGGCTCCAAGCGCACGGGGACAACTGAGATGACGGTGGCGTGTGCAATGTGCCCCACACTGACGAGGCTGCTGTGGAGCTGGCACAGGCAGCAAGGTGGGTCGACGCAGGGGCTGTCTCACTCCATCTGAGACCAGTGTCCCTGCAGGGCAACTGCCCTGTTGCCCACAGGCCATCTGACCACATCGAAACACATAGCTAAGGCTCCCTCTCCAGGCCCCAGACAAATGGCAATCAGGCAGAAATACCAACCAGATGCCCCCTTGCCCTCCAGAGTTCTCTCTCAGGTCTTTTATCTAATGTGACGCAAGCCCACCGTTAGGAAACCCATACTGGACCTGGGGTCCCCGGTGAACTGGCCTTGGCCACAAACTTCCAACACTTTAAGCCACAGCATGGAGACACCACGTGGCTCCGCACCTCTGGGCTGTGGTGACACAGACACCCACCCTTCATCCCTTCCTCACGCCCTGCTACTTCCTGAGAGCTGTCTTCAGAAGCAAGGATGCTAAGGCAGATGGGAAGAGACAGGTCTCCGTCTCTCCCCATGGGGAGATTGGAGATAAGATGTCAACAAACTTACAAACGGTAGGTGGACGGTTAACAACATCCGAAAGACAAAACCCACCAAATAAATGGATAAACAAAATGTGGTCCATCCGTACAACAAAATATGATTGTAGGCCGGGCAATTACAGTGGCTCAGGCCTGTAATCCCAGCACTTTGGGAGGCTGTGGCAGGTGGATCACTTGAGGTCAGGAGTTTGAGACCAGCCTGGCCAACATGGTGAAACCCCATCTCTACCAAAAATACAAAAATTAGCCAGGAGTGGTGCCCCATGCCTGTAATCCCAGGTACTTGGGAGGCTGAGGCAGAAGAATCGCTTGAACCCAGGAGGCAGAGGATGTAGTGAGCCGAGATTGCACCTCTGCACTCCAGCCTGGGCAAGAGAGCAAGACCCTGTCTCAAAAAAAAAAGACTGTAGCACTGATCCATGCTACAGCATGGACAAACCTCGAAAACACGATGCTGAGTGACAGAAGCCAGACATAAAAGGCCACATGGTGTCAGATTTTCATTGATATGAAATATCCAGAATAGGCAAAGCCACAGAGACAGATTAGTGGTTGCCTGGGGCTGGGAGTGGAAATGGGGAGTGACTACCTGCGGGGTGAGGTCTCCCTCTGGGGAGATGGAAATGTTCTGGGCGCAGACAGAAGGGAAGGTTGCACAGCACTGGGAGTGTGCTACACGCCACCACGGCATGCTCTAAAATGCTTAATTTCATGTTATGTGAACATCATGTCCATTCAAAAACTGGTGGCCGTCAGCAGTCCTTGGCCTCCTTGGCTTGTGGCCGCATCACTCTGGTCTCTGCCTCCTTCATCACGTGGCCTTCTCGCTGTGTGCCTGTGTCTTCTCCTCTTTAAATAAGGACACCAGTCATGGGATTCGGGGCCAATCCTAAATCCAAGACGATCTCATCTCAAGGTCTTTCACTTCATCACACCCCCAAAGACCTTTTTTCCACATAAGGCCAGAGTCACACGTTCCAGGACTTAGGACATGGGCGCATATGTCTGGGGGATACTCTCCAATCCACTCCCCCAGCATCTCTGAAGCCAGCTGGGAGGCACCTGGCATGCCTGTGGCCTGCGTCCACACCCCAGGTCTCCTCTCCCCAGCCAAGGGGCCCCAGACAAGTTGATAACTGCTTGGCATGTTTTCTCGTCTCCCATTCAGGGCTGCAAGCTCCCCATGGCAGGATGGCAGCAAGGCTGGGATGAATCTCATCTGGAACTTAGTCAGCGGATGCATAGGTGTGGGGGTCTCTGGTGCATATCCCCAAAACCCACAGCCTCTGGTGACTCAGGGCAGACTCCGGCCTCTGCTGAGACCCCGGCTGCACGGTGACCTAGGTACTCCCATGTGCTGGATCATGGGGTGAAGTACGTCACAGCACCTCCTGGGCAGACCCAGAGGAGGCTGGGGGACCTCAGTAAGGGCCAGTGATGATGGACTTGGCAGAATGTCTGCTGTGGGTTGCCTGTGTCCCCTGGAAACACATAGCCATGTCCTAACCCCGCCATCTATGAATGTGACTGTATTTGGAGAGAGTCTTTGCAGGTCGAGGCCAGGTGCATGGCTCACGCCTATAATCCCAACACTTTGGGAGACTGAGGCAGGTGGATTGCTTGAGCTCAGGAGTTTGAAACCAGCCTGGGCAACATAGCAAGACCCCGTCTCTACTAAAAATACAAAAATTAGCTGGGCATGGTGGATCACGCCTGTAGTTCCAGCTACTCAGGAGGCTGAGGTGGGAGGATCGCTTGACCCCAGGAGGCAGAGGTTGAAGTGAGCTATGATTGTGCCTCTGCACTCCAGCCTGGGCGACAGAGCAAGACCTTGTTTAAAAAAAAAAAAAAAAAAAAAGGCCGGGTGTGGTGGCTCATGCCTGTAATCCCAGCACTTTGGGAGGCCAAGGTGGGTGGATCACAAGGTCAGGAAATCGAGACCATCCTGGCTAACACTGTGAAACCCCGTCTCTACCGAAAATACAAAAAATTAGCCGGGCATGGTGGCGGGCGCCTGAAGTCCCAGCTACTCGGGAGGCTGAGGCAGGAGAATGGCGTGAACCCAGGAGGCGGAGCTTGCAGTGAGCCGAGATCGCGCCACTGCCCTCCAGCCTGGACGACAGAGCGAGACTCCGTCTCAAAAAAAAAAAAAAAACAGAGGTTGAACTGGAGTAGGGTATGCCTTAAATCCAATGACTAGCATCCTCAGAAGATGAGAAGAGACACAGTGAGAGGAGGTGTCCACATGACAATGAAGGCAGAGACTGGAGTGATGCAAAGAGCGCCTAGAGCCACTGAAGCTGGAGGAGGCAGGAAGGATCCTCCCCTAGAGCCTCCTGCAGGCACCAGCCCTGCCGACACCTGCACTGAATACATTTCTATTGTTTTAAGATACCCAGTTTGTGGTCATTTGTTACAGCCACCAACAGGAAAGGAAGGACTAAGGCCCCACGCATGTGTGCAGGCAGTGTACTCGGGCAGAGAGGGCCCCATGCATGCGTGCACATAGTGTACATGAGCAGAGAGAAAGAGAGGGAATTCCAAAACTCAGCCGGGTGCAGCAGCTCACACCTGCAATCCCAGTACTTTGGGAGGTCAAGGTGGGTGGATCTCTTGAGGTCAGGAGTTCGAGATCAGCCTGGCCAACATGATGAAACCCCGTCTCTACTGAAAGTACCAAAGTTAGGCCGGGCGTGGTGGCTCACGCCTGTTATCCCAGCACTCTGGGAGGCCGAGGCGGGCGGATCACAAGGTCAGGAGATCAAGACCATCCTGACTAACATGGTGAAACCCCATCTCTGCTAAAAAAAAAAAAAAAAAAAAAACACTAAAAATTAGCCGGGCGTGGTGGCAGGCGACTGTAGTCCCAGTTACTCGGGAGGCTGAGGCAGGAGAATGGCGTGAACCCGGAAGGCGGAGCTTGCAGTGAGCCGAGATCATGCCACTGCACTCCAGCCTGGGTGACAGAGCGAGACTGTCTCAAAAAAAAGAAAAAGAAAGAAAGAAAGAAAATACAAAAGTTAGTCAGGTGTGGTGGCTCACATCTGTAATCCCAGCTACTCGGGAGGCTGAGGCAGGAGAATTGCTTGAACCAGGGAAGCAGAGGTTGCAGTGACACGAGATCGCGTCACTACACTTCAGCCTGGGAGACAGTGAGACTCCATCTCAAAAACAAAACAAAACAAAACAAAAAAACTCACTTTTTCTCCACCTTGACTCAAAACACATCTCTTGGTGCACACTTGTGTTCTGGAATGTGCAAGCACACGTCTATTTGTAGCTGGGGGAACAGATCCTTTGCAGTTTAATTTTAAATCTTATCACCAATTGAATAATGCAAACCACTGGCGGGGATGCTGGCCACTTGAAACAGGGTCTCCCTCCCCAAGAGCGGCCCCTGGGTCCCAGGCAAGAAGCCCGACGCCGACGCTGCCCACATGGACGGGCCTGGGGCCTTCCCGGAGCGGGCCTGTGCCCATCTTGAAAATGTCAGGCCTGGTTTCTGACAGGTGCCGGACCTAACCTCAGGGAAGTCAGATCCCAGACACGGCAGAGGAGGCCCAGCCCTGCTCGCCCCGGGTCAGCCGCCCGCAGGCCTCTGGGATTCTGAGCACCGCGGGGCGATCTGCCAGGAGCCACCTCCGGTCGAGGCGGAACAAATGATTTTTGAAAACGGCATCTGCCTGCTGACACAGGGCTTGCTTGGGGTCTGGGCTGAACCCGCCTCTCTGAGCAGCTCTTTCGACGCTGCCTCCCCCCAGGACGGCTAAGACAAAGGCGAGATGCCCTCATTACCATGGGCCCAAAATAGCTTTTATGCTCCATTTTTTAGACATAGCTTGACTATGGAGTTACATAACACCAAAAGTCATTTTGTGATTTGGAAGGCCAGATCCTGGGCCTGCCGGGGCCCACCTGGTACCCCTTGAGTGCCCTCACAGCCCTGTCCCAAAGGCTTCACCCAGGCCCCTGAACTCCTAGCCAGGCCCCAGGTGGCACCTGCTGCAGGCCCTGGGGACCCGGTGGGGTTAGCCCTTGCCTGTCTCACCATCTTCAGGCCGCATTCTGGGCTAGCGGGGCCAGGCACCACATTTGGAGTGCCCAGCAGACACACACGATGCAGGGAAGGACCAAGCCCAGAGGAGGGGTCACTAGTTGGAGGCTGCGCCCGCCAGGGTAGAAGAAGCAGGGACAGAGGCTGGAGGTGTCCCTTTCCTCTGCCTGCCTCATCACTCCCATGATCACTTCCCAGCAGCTCGACTTCCAGGGCCCATCGTCAGCCCCCTCCCTGGTACTAGCCCGTGTCATCTCGCACCCAGACACCCACGTGACCTCCTCCCAGGCCTCCCTGCTCCCTCTGCAAGTGGCTGCCGAGACTCCTTCATTTTCTTCTCTTTATTCATTCAGTTCAAATCGTGTTATGCTCCCGTTTTAAACACACCAGTAGGCTTCCATCCTATTTAAAATAAACCCCCAATCTGTATGGCGGTTCCTCAACAAGTGACATGCTGAGCTGCTGTTATGACCAAGCAATCCCACTCCTGGACGGATGCCCCCACGAAATGAAGACAATCATACATGAGTGTGTGTACCAGCACAATGGACAACAGCCAAAAGGTGGGAAAACCCACGTGTGTGCCAAGGGATGAATGAATAAGACTGGTCTGTCCATACAGTGGAATAAGATTCAGCCATGAAAAGGAATGAAGGCTGGGCACGGTGGCTCACACTTGTAATCCCAGCACTTTGGGAGGCGGAGGAGGGAAGATCCCTTGAGGCCAGGAGTTTGAGAGCAGCCTGGCCAATATGGTGAAACCCTGTTTCTAAAAAAAAAAAAAAAAAATTAGCCAGGCATGCATGGTGGTGCACACCAATAATTTCAGCTATTCGAGAGGCAGAGGTGGGAGGTTGGACAGAGCCCAAGAGGTGGAGGCTGCAGTGAGCTGTGATCGTACCACTGCACTCCAGCCTGGGTGACAGAGTGAGACCCTGTCTCAAGAGGAACAACAAAAAAGGAAGGAAGCACTGACCCATGCTACAATGTGGATGAAACTGAACATGTGATGCTGAGTGAGAGAAGCCAGGTACAGAAGGCCACAGGGTGTGAGATTCCATCGATCTGAAATGCTCAGAACAGGCAAATCCACAGAGACAGGAAGCAGATTAGTAACTGCCAGGGGCTGGGGAGGAGAGGAGGGGAGGGACTGCTAATGGGGACAAGGTCTCCTTTGGATGATGAGAATGTTCTGGAACTAGATAGCTGTGATGCCTGCACAATACTGTGAATGCGCCAAACGCCATGGAACTGTTCACTTTCAGATGGTGAATCTTATGTTATGTGGTGTTCACCTCAACAATAGATAAGTAAGATTCAAAGCCAGCCCCGTGACGGGGCTGCCCAGGCCCTGCTGTCTTTTTCTTCTCCCTCACTCCTGTCCCTACTGCCAGGTCCTCTTCCTGCTGTCAAAGGCCTTCTCCCCAGGGGCCCTCTGCTTGTACTGTTCCTGCCTCACACACGCACCCCCGTGTCTGGAAACCACTGCTGCCTTGACCAGGGCTGGCATGAGAAACCGTCCTGCGAGAGGCCCTCCCATGTCCCTGCGGCCCTGCTCTGCTCCCACCCGGCATTTGGCCCACCCCGGAACCCTGCACCCTCCTCTCTGAGCTGCATCCTCCAGCCCCGCCCATACTCACTGTAGGCTGAGACTGGAAGGCAGTGTTTGAGCCCAGGGGTCCTGCATCCAAGCTGGTGGCTGCACGCATCTGTGTCTGCCTCTCTGGGCCCCAGTGCCCCACACACAGGCAGAAACACAGGCTCCTGTGAGTGAGCACTACGACCCTTCTGAGGGGACAGTGTTTGGGGTGATCAGCTCCAGAGGGGAGGGACTGGCCCCTGAACAGTATGGGGTGGCAGCCCTGCTCCAGCTCAGCATCTATGGCAAGGGCTCCAGGGATGCCCTTGACCCCAAGGGCCACTACCCAGTGGTCATTACTGCACCAAGGACAGAGGCCACAAGGAGACAGACCCAGTCCTGGCTCCCACACAGCCTGAAGACCCTGGGAGAGGGTGCTAGGGGAAAGACTTCCCCTGGGCCCTCCACTCCCAAGCCCAGCAGCCCCCTCTCAGCCCCACCCTGGGAGTGCCACCATCACCCCTCACTCAAAGCTCCCCAAACTCATGTCTCCAGCCCAGCGCCAGTCACCCACCAGGGAGGCTGTACAGACATCACACGTGTTCACACACATGCACCCAGCCACATGTGTGCACACTCACAGCAATGCACATAGTCACATAAACACATTCATGCACGTGCATGCACATATGCTCACACGCACACACACATGCTCACACTCCTGTCCTGCCTGCACTCCTGTCCTGCCTGCACGCCAGCTCCCACTCACTTGCACACACACGAGCACATTCACAACTGCCCAAACCTGTCCCTTCCTTAGGAACCCCCCATGCCCCACCTGGCTCCCCCATGTCCCAGCACCTCTTCTGCCCTCTCGCCTCTTCTGTCCTCATTCTGGCCCAAGCCACATCTTCTCTTGCCTGGACAAATACAGAAGCCTCCTACTGGGGTCTCAAGTTAACCCTGCAGCGCCCAAACCACTCAGCTGGAGTCTCTCCAAACTTCCCACCTGAGCAGGTCACTCCAGCTCTACAGGAAAGACGACACAGCATGCTCTACTCGCTAGCCCCTATACTAGCCATGCCCTCTCCACACACTAATGCCCGCTGGGCTCTCCACACGCTAATGCTTGCTGGGCTGCACCTGGGCTAAGAGTCATGCAGGAGCCGGCCAGGCACAGTTGCTCACACCTGTAATCCCAGCACTTTGGGAGGCCAAGGTGGGTGGATCATGAGGTCAGGAGTTTGAGACCAGCCTGGCCAACATGGTGAAACCCCATCTCTACTAAAAATACAAAAATTAGCTGGGTGTGGTGGCAGACGCCTGTAATCCCAGCTACTTGGGAGGCTGAGGCAGAGAACTGCTTGAACCTGGGAGGTGGAGACTGCAGTGAGCTGAGATCGTGCCACTGCACTCCAGCCTGGGTGACAGAGCAAGATTGCGTCTCAAAAAAAAAAAAAGAGTCATTCGGGAGCCACATTCTGGCCCCACCTCCAATAATGACCCTCAGGCTGATGTCCCCACCCTAAGACCACAGCCCCCAACAAGGGTGGGCTGTGGCTGCTGCACTCACTACAGGGTCCCCAGGGCGGGGCACTGGGCAGGGCAGCGGGGGGCACATGCCACCAGTGACTCTGGGAATCCCGGAGGCATCCCTCCCCACCTGCAGCCCAGCAAGGGGACCATTCTCAGCATCCCCGCTCTTTGGCGACACCCCCCCCGCCAACCGCTGCCAGCACATAAGCGTACACCTGTCCCAGGCTTCGGGTGCAGGAATGCCGGGGACAGCTCCAAACAGCAGCCAACCACAAGCAGTGGCAGGAAGGAGCGTGGGCTGCAGCAAAGTCAACAGGGAAACAGGATGCAGCCCTGAGCAGGGTGGGTTCAGCCAGGTGGGCCCCTTGGCTGGGACAAACCTCCAAACAGGCCAACTCAGAGAGACCCCCTGCCTGGGAGCCCACCTGCACGTGCAAACAGCACTTGGTTCCAAGATGCAATCACACAAATGACGAAAGCAAAAGCATCATGATGTCCACACACTGAGAAGCAGGGGAAGAGGGGAGGACAGGCCCGTCCCCGGGGCCACAGGTGGCTGAGGGGAGGCTGCAGCTCCCTGCTGGGCATGGGGCCTGCACCACAGTACTTACTTTCTGTTGTGGGACGTACTCCCAGAAAAGTATGTCCAAGTCCTGACCCCTGGCACCTGGAATGGGAACTTACTTGGAAATAAGGTATTTGCAGCTGTAATTGAGTTAAAGTCATGTTGGAGTAGGGTGGGCCCTAATCCAATGGCAAGGGCCTTTAGAAGAGAAGAGAAGGGGTATTAGCCAGGCGTGGTGTCGTGCACCTGTAATCCCAGCTACTTGGGAGACTAAGGCAGGAGAATTGCTTGAACCTGGGAGGTGGAGGTTGCAGTGAGCCGAGATCGCACCACTGCACTCCAGCCTGGGTGGCAAAGCGAGTCTCTGTCTCAAATGAAAAAAAAGAGAGGAGAAGGGGAAAGAGATGCAGACACACAGGCCATGTGAAGACAGGCAGAGACTGGAGTGATGCGGCTACAAGCCAAGGAGCTCCGGGAGCCCCCAGAGGCAGGAGGGATCCGCCCCTAGAGGCTTCTACAGATAGTCAACCTTGCCCACACCTTGATCTTGGACTTCTGGCCTCCAGAGCTGGGAGAGTATACATTTCTGTTTCTTAAACCACCAGATTTTGTGGTCATTTGTAGTGGCAGCCCCAGGACAATAATAAAAACTGTGCTTGAAAGGTCCCTGAACAGGCACGGAAATCCTTCCCGAAGCCCAGGCTGGGAACTGCAGGCCCCAGAGCCCAGTGGGGGCAGGAGAGGCCCTCCAAAGGGCTGAGGGAGGGCAAGGGAGCATATAGGCCCAAATATTCAGGGTGCAGACAGCAGGATGTGGCCACAGGGTTGGAGGTTCCCCGGGGGTCATCAACATTTGGGGGTGAGAACGACACCTCAATCCCTAACCTGCCATGCTGAAATGAGAATGCTCTGGAGAGACCTTTCTGGGGATCACAGCACAAGCTGGCCAGTAGCCACATCTGACCAGTGGACGGGAAGCTGCCCTTGTCTGTTTAATGAGCATTAGTTTTAGGCCGAGTGTGGTGGCTCACACCTGTAATCCCAGCACTTTGGGAGGCCAAAGCAGGCGGATCACGAGGTCAGGAGTTCGAGACCAGCCTGGCCAACATGGTGAAACCCGCTCTCTACTAAAAATACAAAAATTAGCTGGGCGTGGTGGTGCACACCTGTAATCCCAGCTACTCAGGAGGCTGAGGCAGGAGAATTGCTTGAACCCAGGAGGCGGAGGTTGCAGTGAGCCAAGATCACACCACCGTACTCCAGCCTAGGTGACAGAGCAAGACTCCGTCTCAAAAAAAAAAAGAGTGTTAGTTTTGTTGCAAACCGAATAGCAGGTGGATGGAGTGCGCCCGCCTGGACCCACTGGGGAAGCTGCATCATGGCTGCATGTGTGCTGTGATGTCTTCCTGCAAATGGAGCTATTCTGATTCCTGATTTCTGGGGCACCCCAAACCCTAGCATGGGATACAGGGCTGTGGAGGGTGGCCTTGGGTGTGCATGGCTCACCCAGCCTCATGCATACGTGTAAGGACAGTATGGGCTTGTGTGGGGCCTGGTGTGCCCTCCCACCCTGCTGCTTCCGGGCACGCTAGGGTGCCAGGAGAGGTGAGCGTGGGCCGCCCACAGGAGGCATGTGGCTGCTATTTTTAGTGTAGGTTTCCACACTTGCAGGCCCTCCCAAAACAGCCCTACCCACCAGGCTGGGGAGCGGGCTGCCAGTGGTGCAGGGCTCACCCCAGCAGATACTGCAGGGCTGTGTCCTCCAGCTCCCACCTCTGCGTGGCCTTTTGGGATGTCAGCTCCTCCCCGCGCGTGCAGCTGGGTGTACAGAAAGGGGCTCTGTGCCTGGGCACGCCACTTCATATACTTGGGCCTTTGCTTCACGCGCAAGTGGAATATTCCAAATGGACCTGGGCAGGAATCCCAGCCAACACGAACCTGGACCTTGAGCTAAGGCCAACCGGCGGTGAGCCTGGCCTCTGCAGAGCCATACAGAAACACTACAGACCCCAACAACAGGCCCAGTAACATTGGAGGGAGGAGGGGCACGAGGAGGACGCCTAAGGGTGCAGGGCCTCAGCTCCCACAGAAGGGGCACAGCAGAGAACAAGGAAAAGGAGCTTAGAAAACTGGTCTACTCCGGGAAGACAGCCCGGCCACTACTCAAACAGTTAAACCCAGAGTCACTGCAGGATCCCGCAATTCCAGTCCTCAGTATAGATCCAAGAGAACTGAAGACAGTGTCCACACAAACCCTGCAACACACATGTCCATGCAGCTCTGTTCATAACAGCCAAAAGGTGGAAACAGGCCAAATGCCCATCAACAGACAAGTGGCTGAACAGAATGTGCTCCATCCATACAGCAGAATGTGCTTCAGCCAGATGTGCTCCATCCATACAGCAGAATGCTATTCAGCCATGGAAAGGAATGAGGCACTCATCCATGCTACGACGTGGAAGAAGCCTGAAGACACGATGCTGAGTGAGAGAGGCCAGACACAAAACGCCACATAGTGTGAGATTCCATTGATCTGAAATGTCCAGAACAGGCAAATCCATAGAGACAGGAAGCAGACTGCTGGCTGCCAGGGGCTGGGGAGGGGAACGGGGAGTAACTGCTGATGGGGATAGGGGGTGGGGTCTTTTTTTTTTTTTTTGAGACAGTCTTGCTCCGTCACCCAGCCTGGAGTGCAGTGGCACGATCTCGGCTCACTGTAGCCTCTACCTCCCGGGTTCAAGCCATTCTCCTGCCTCAGCCTCCCAGGTAGCTGGGATTACAGCCGTATGCCACCATGCCCAGCTAATTTTTGTATTTTTAGTAGAGACAGAGTTTTGCCATGTTGGCCAGGCTGGTCTCAAACTCCTGACCTCGAGCGATCTGCCCGCCTTGGCCTCCCAAAGCGTTGGGATTATAGGAATGGGCAACTGCACCCGGCTAAGGGGATTCTCTTTTTGGGAGGATGAAATGTTCTGGAGCCAGGCAGAGGTGTTCACTGTACAATATTGAGAAGGTACTAAATGCCACTAAATTGCACACTTTAACATGGCTAATTAGGGCTGGGTATGGTGGCTCATGCCTATAATCCCAGCACTTTGGGAGGCCACGGCAGGCGGATTACCTGAGGTCAGGAGTTCTAGACCAGCCTGGCCAACATGGTGAAACCCTATCTCTACTAAAAATACAAAAAAATTAGCTGGGTGTGGTGGTGGGCGCCTGTAATCTCACTACCAGGAAGGCTGAGGTGGGAGAATCACTTAAACCCGGGAGGTGGAGGCTACAGTGAACCAACATCATGCCACTGAACTCCAGCCTGGGCAACGGAGTGAGCTCCTGTCTCAAAAACAAACAAACAAACAAACGTCTAACTGGGCCAGGCACAGTGGCTCATGCTTCTAATTCCAGCACTTTGGGAGGCTGAGGCAGGAGGACGGCTTGAGCCCAGGAAGGAGTTTCAGACCAGCCTGGGCAATATAGTGAGACCCATCTCCACAAAAAAATTTTAAAAATTAGCTGGCCATGGTGGCACACGCCTGTAATCCCAGCTACTTGGGAGGCTGAGGTGATAGGATCACTTGAGCCTGGATGTTGAGGCTGCTGGGATAGAACTACTGCACTCCAGCCTGGGCAACAGAGCAAGACCCTGTCTCAAAAAATTAAATAAAGGCTAATTTTTATGTTATATGTGTTTTATCTCAGTGAAAAAAGTATAAAGGAGAAATAAAAAGTATACCCAAGGTTCTGGCAGTGTGGGGGTGGGTGGAGGGGCCCAAAGTAGACCACCCTAGTGCCATCTAACCAGGAAGCCACCACGGTCCCACATGTGTATAAGGAAGAGGACGTCAGCTGCTGATCCAAGACCCTTGGCATCAAGCTTCTTGGCTATCACACACCCCCTCCCAACGCAGCCGGGAATGGGCGGAACTGCCCGGCACCCACCCCAGGACCAGCACGGCCGCCCCACCCACTACAGCCCAGAGGCCCTCAGGCCCACGTCAGAGCCTGTAACCTGGCAGGCAGGAGCAGGAGCGTGGCCGGCCGCAGCTGTGGCCTTCCTGAGGTCTGAGAAGCATTTTTTTAAAAATGCAAACTGGTGGCCAACTTTTACTTTTTTTTTCTTTTAAGTTAACTTAAACATCAGAATTGCTTGGCTTCTCCTGAAACGCTGGAAGTGCCGACAACTCAGGGCCCGGATTCCTGGCAGGCGATGGATGCATCCCCAGCTCCCGCCCGGCCCAGGCACAGAGGCGCAGGATCGGTGCCCTCATGCTCCCCTTCAAAGCGGCCCCGGGGCCGCCAAGGCCAACGCGTCCCACTGCCCCTCACTCTGGGTCAGCAGCTGTGTGGGCTGAGCTGACCCAAGGCCTGGAGGGAAGGATGGCTCCCCGACTCCCAAACAAGAAGTCCTCCCAGGCCCCTCCCCGAGAAGCAGGCCACCTGGGACGGGAAGGTTCAGTGCTAGGATGCCGCATGTGGCCAAGCAAAGCTGGGAATGCGGGTCTCACCCTGAGCCAAAACCCCAAGGAAATTTACTGCAGCTCATCCAGCAGTTAACTGTTAGCAGCCCTGGCCACAGCAGACTCCCCATCAGCTGGAGGCCTACAAAGCCCTGGGGAGGGGGCACTGTGGGGTGGGACAGGGTGAAGAAAGAGGGGTGACTGGCCAAGCCTGGGCATGGGCTTCCTAAACAGTCAAGGGTGAGGCCGGGCGCGGTGGTTCACACCTGTAATCCCAGCACTTTGGGAGGCCAAGGCTGTGGATCGCTTGAGGTCAGGAGTTCGAGACCAGCCTGGGCAACATGGCAAAACCCAAACCCCATCTCTACTAAAATACAAAAATTAGCCGGGCACAGTGGCGGGTGCCTGTAATCCCAGCTACTGGGGAGGCTGAGGCAGGAGAATCACTTGAACCCAGGAGGCGGAGGTTGCAGTGAGCCGAGATCAAGCCATTGCACTCCAGCTTGGGTGAAAGAGTGAGACTCTGTCTCAAAAAATAAATAAATAATAAATAAAAAATAAATGTAAAAAATAAACAGTCAAGGGTGCCTGAGAGTGTGACCCTCGCTACCCTCTGACCCAAAGCCCCCATGGGAGGGAACAGCTCAACACAGCCAGGAGCCCGGCCGGCCGCCGACTCACACTGGCTCCTGGCTCCCACCCCCTCCAGCAGCCCCAGAAAACCCTGCATGTCCAGCTCACCCAGAGGGATGGTCCCTTTCAAGAAGGATCTGCTGGCCAGACACTGCCCCCAGGCAGTAGGACGGGAGGCCAGGGAGGGACGTCGAGGAACGGGGAGTCCACAGCAGGGGAAGCCACAAGTCCTTGCTGGCCCAGGACAAGCTGTGCTGGCTCAGATGGGCATGGGCCGGGCAGCTGGGTGGGTAGATGGAGGAAGGAAGTGGGAGACTTCCGAGTGAGTGGGGCTGTGCAGAAAACAAGCTGGAAATGGGGTGGGGGGAAGGTGGCCAAGGAGGTGACGCTGGAGCTGGGAAGAGCACTCCAGGCAGGAGGCCCCGTGAGCACAAAGGCCCTGGGGTCACAGAGTGACCATGACAGTGGCTCGCCAAGGAAGCCAGGGTGGGCAAAGAAGTGTGGGGGGGCGGGTGCTGGGCTCAGAGCCTCAAGAGAGCTGAGCTTTGTGGGACCCCATCCTGGGTGGGACGAGAAGCCGCTGGAAGGATTTAACCAGGAGTGACCTGAGCTGTCCTCCCTGTGGCAAAGTCACCGCTGCTGGAGGAGGCAGGACTGATGGGCCAGGGCAGGGCAGGCAACATGGGAGCAGCAGCCCATCCACGGCAGGGAACGCCAGGCAGCTGTCCCCGGCCTCAGCCCTCGGAGCCCTCAGGTCCTAACTTTAGGGCTCCTGATCCTGGCTGCGTTCCAGGCTGGGGTCCCAGCATGAGGAAGCCCGCCCAGGGCAGACGGGACCCATCTCCCCCAGGTGGAGTCCTAGGTGCACTGCCGGCTTCCCAGAGGACCTCAGCAGGGGTGTCCGCAGGTACAGAGGCTCATCCCAACTCCCATCCATGGCCTTGCTCAGACACAGCCCCCAGCCACCCTCAGATGCCCTCTCTGCTCCCTCTCAGCCCCATGCAGATACTGCCCTTCTTAACCTGCCCGCTCCCTCCTTCCTGTCTAGGCCCCATTTTGGGCCTGGAGGCTTCTCCCTCTGAAGCTGTCCTGGCTCCTGCCACCTGGCCTGTCCCCTGCACCAGGAGCCACACCCCCCTGCTGCAGCCCTTCTCCCACTGCCTGAGGGTTACGTGTGGGGGCAAGGTGGGCATAAAAAGGCACCATGAGGGGACATCAGGACAGAGGATGAGGGGCCAGGTGAGGGGAAAGGTGGTCCCTGTGTGAGGGAGGCTGCGGGCACCAGGCTGGGAGGCCCTGTCCCCTTGGCTACCACCTCCTCATGTGCACCCTGCCAACACCAAGCCTCTGCAGCTGCTCTGCCCACTGCCAGGTGCACCTGCGACTCTGGGCTCCACAAGGCCCCTCCCATGCCATGCCTGGCACCTGCTGCTCCAGAAACAGCCCTGGGACCCTGCACCTCCGAGCACCATGCGGGCTCAGAGGAGGTACCGGGTGGACATTTACCCACTGCACCCATGAGGCCTTCCCCTCAGCCTTCCTCCCGGGCCTAGAGACAGCACCCCACGGAGGACAGGACAGCAGGGAGCGGCAGGGAGGAGTCACCAGGGTGGCCACACGGCTGCCTGAACTGAGCACAGCTCTGGGCTTGCCACGGCGTGGGCAGGGTGGCTGAGTAGGGGCAGGAAACCAGGGTCCTCCTGCTTCTGGGCACCGCTCAGCTGGGAGCAGGGCCAGTGCCCACGGAAGATACCACAGGGTCCCGAACGGCGGTGGGAAGGGAAGGGCCAGGCCGGCCCCACAGGAGCCCTGACCTCGGTCCCCACGCTCCGTCTGCCTCTCAAACTTGGCTCCCCGAGGACTTGGCCTCTGTGTTTCTCACGTCACTCCTTACTGTCAGCTAACTCCCAAGTGCCGCCCCAGCCCTGCTTCCAGAACATTCCCTGTGATGCCCCAGGAGACTCCTCCAGCCCAGCAGCCCCTCACCAGGCTCGTCATGGTCCCGATTCCCCCAGCCAACGTGCCCAATTCACCTGGCCCTGGCAGACAGTGCCATGATCTTCCTGATGCTGATACAGAAGCCAGAAACCCGGGGTGGCCCCGTTCCTCTCTCGGGCACCCTGGGTTCACCTCTCCTCTGCAGTTCCTGAGCCCCTCCAGAACCCACAACTCCCTTCCCTGTTCTCCTCTCCAACCCCACCACCTTTTCTCTAGCCTTTCTTAAAGCTCAAAGCTGATCCTGGGTCACCCCTCCCCACCCCATAGCTGGCTGTGGGATCACGTCCAAGCTCTCCAGCTTGGCTCTTGGGCCTTTCCAGATCTGGGTCTCCTCTCTCCTTCCTCCTTCCCTGCCTCCTGTAGGCCTCTGGGCCCCATATATGCTGTTTCTCCTCCACCCAAAGAGCCTTCCCTTCCCTACCCACCTCTTGCACCGGCAACTCGGACCTCACCCCTAATGTCCCACTGCAGAGCTCTCCTCCTCCAGGCAGCCCTCCCAGGAGACATGGCTGCCTTCATGGAGCACTACCTGTGCAAGCTACAGTCCTGAGGACTGTTCATGCATTGACAGAGTTAGCCCCCTTCATGGCACATCTTACAGATGGGGAAACTGAGGCAGGGGCCAATTATGGGCTTGCCCAGGGTCACATAGCTGGGAGGAGGAGAGTGTGACTTCTTTTTGTTGTTGTTGTTTTAAATAGAGACAGGATCTGACTACGTTGCTCTGCCTGGTCTTGAACTCCTGGGCTCAAGTGATCCTCCTGCCTTGGCCTCCCAAAGTGGTGGGATTACAGGCGTGAACCACTGTGCCCGGCCACAACTTAATATTTCAGAGGTGGCAATACTACCCAAAACAGTCTAGATTCAATGCAATCCCTACCAAAATACCATTTCCTGAAGAAATAGAAAAAAATCCACCCTAAAATCCATATGGGATCTCAAGGAATCTGAAATAGACAAGACAATCTTGAAAAATAACAAAATTGGAGGACTCACACTTTGTTATTTCAAAACTTAACTACAAAGCTACAGTAATCAAAACAGTGTGGTACTGACATAAAGACAAACATCAAGACCAATGGAATAGAATAAAAGCCCAGAAATAAACCCTCACATATATGGTCAAGTGATTTTCAACAAGGGTGCCAAACCATTCAACGGGGAAGGGACAGTCTTTTCAACAAAACGGCTCTGGAAAAACAAGATCTCCATATGCAAAAGAATGAAGCTGTGCCCTGATCTAACACCATATACAAAAATTAACTCAAGACGGATCAAAGATCTAAAGCTAAAACTATAAAAGTAAAAAACTAAAACTGTAACTCTATAACTAAAACCATAAAAGCTAAAACTATATATACTAAAACTATAAAACTCTTGGAAGAAAACAGAGGAAAAGCTTCATACACTGGAGTTGGCAATAATTTCTTGGATCGGACACCAAAAGCACAGGCAACAAAAGAAAAAATACATAAATTGGATGCTGCCAAAATTAAAAACACTTGTGCATCAAAAGACGTAATCAACAGAGTGAAAAGGCCCCATTCCCACGGAATGAGAGAAAATATTTGCGAATCATATAGATGATAAGGGATCAATATGTAGACTATATAAAGAACTCTTACAACCCACCAACAAAAAGAAAAACAACCCAATTTAAAAATAGTCAAAATGTGAATGTACTAAAAAGCGCTAAAAAACAAGGGCAAAGGACTTGAATAAACATTTCTCCAAAGACAAATGGCCAATAAGCACATGAAAAGATGCTCAACAGCACTAATCATTAGGGAAATGCAAACCAAAACCACAATCCCTATCAAAATATCCTTTTTCGCAGAAATAGAAAAAAATCCACCCTAAAATCCATACAGAATCTCAAAAAACCTCAAATAGCCAAGACAATATTGAAAAAGAATAACAAAATTGGAAGACTCACACTTCTTGATCTCAAAACTTAACTACAAAGCTACAGTAATCAAAAGAGTGTGATACTGGCATAAAGAGAAACATAAAGACCAATGGGGCCAGATGTGGTGGCTCACGCCTATAATCCCAACACTTCGGGAGGCCAAGGCGGGGGGGATCATCTGAGGTCAAGAGTTCAAGACTAGCCTGGCCAACATGGTGAAACCCCATCTCTACTAAAAATACAAAAATTAGCTGAGTGTGGTGATGGGCACCTGTAATCCCAGCTACTCAAGAGGCTAAGGCAGGAGAATCGCTTTGAACCCGGGAGGAGGAGGTTGCAGTGAGCCAAGATTGCACCACTGCACTCCAGCCTGAGAGACAGAGCAAGACTCTGTCTAAAAAAAAAAAAAAAAAAAAAAAAAAAAAAAAAAAAAAAAAGACCAATGGAATAGAATAGAAAGCCCAGAAATAAACTGTCACATATATGGTCAAGTGATTTTCAACAAGGGTGCCAAACTACTCAATGGGAAAAGGATGGTCTTTTCAACAAATAGCTCTGGGAAAACAGGATCTCCAAGTGCAAAAAGAAAAACAACCCAATTTAAAATAGATAAAGTATGAATATACTAAAAAGCATTAAAAAAAAAAAAAAAGAGAGAGAGAGAGGAAAAGGAAAAGGGCACAGGACTTGAATAAACATTTCTCCAAAGACAGACAAATGGCCAAGAAGCACATGAAAAGATGCTCAACATCACTAATCATTAGGGAAATGCAAACCAAAACCACAATCCCTATCAAAATATCATTTTTTGCAAAAAAAAAATATTAGGATTAGTAAATATTAGTAGACATTAGGATGGCTATTATCAAAAAATCAGAAAATAACAAGTGTTATTGAGGATATGGAGAAACTGAAATCCTTATACACTGTTGGTAGGAACATAAAATGGTATAGCCACTACAGAGAACAGTGTGGCAGTTCCTCAAAAAATTAAACATGCTGGCTGGGCGTGGTGGTTCACGCCTGTAATCCCAGCACTTTGGGAGGCCAAGGCAGGTGGATCATCTGAGGTCAGGAGTTCGAGACCAGCCTGGCGAACATGGTGAAACCCCCATCTCCATTAAAAACACAAAGATTAGCCAGGTGTGGTGGCATGCGCCTGTAATTCCAGCTACTCGGGAGGCTGAGGCAGAACCGCTTGAACCCAGGAGGCAGAGGATGTGGTGAGCCGAGATCACGCCACTGCACTCCAGCATGGGTGGTAGAGCAAAACTCTGTCTCAAAAAAAATTAAACATACAATTACACATGATCCAGCAATCCCATGTCTGGGAATATACCCAAAAAAATTATGAGTAGGGACTCAAAGAGATGTACACCAATGTTCACAGCAGCACTACGCACAATAGCCAAATGGTGAAACCAGCCAAATGTCCATCAACAGATGAACGGATAAACAAAATGTGTCCCATCCATACAGTGGAATAACAGCCTTAGAGGGGAAGGACGTTCTGACACGTTACAACGTGGACGAACCTTGAGGACATTATGCTCAGTGAAATAAGCCAGACACAAAATGATAAATCCTGGATGATTCTCCTTACATGAGGTCCCTGGAGTCGTCAAACTCATAGAGGTGGAAAATAGGATGGTGGTTGCCAGGGGCTGGGAGGGAATGGAGGGTAGTAGGAGGGTGGGGGTTGGGGATTGGGGGGTAGGGGGTGGGTGGGTGAGTGTTTAATGGGGACAGAGTTTCTGTGCGGGAAGATGCAAAAGCTCTGAACACAGATGGTGGTGATGATTGCAAAACAATGTGAGGATACTTACTAAATGCCACTGAACTGCACACTTAAGGTTAAGACAGTAACTTACACGTTATGTGTATTTGTTTTGTTTTTGGTTTGTTTTTGAGACAGGGTCTTGTTCTGTTGCCCAGGCTGCAGTGCAGTGGTGCGATCATGGCTCACTGCAACCTCTGCCTCCAGGGTTCAAGCGATTCTCCTGCCTCAGCATCCCGAGTAGCTGGGATTACAGGCGCCTGCCACCACACCCAGCTAATTTTTGTATTTTTAATAGAGACGGGGTTTCAACATGTTGACTAGACTGGTCTCGAACTCCTCACCTCAGGTGATCCACCTGCTTCAGTCTCCCAAAGTGCTGGGCTTACAGACAAGAGCTACCGCATCTGGCCACATGTTATGTGTATTTTACTAACTTTAAAAAAAAGAAAAAGGCTGGGCATGGTGACTCACGCCTGTAATCCTAGCACTTTGGGAGACCAAGGAGGGTGGATCACTTGAGCCTGGGCAACATGGCAAGACCCCCGTCTCTACAAAAGAATTTTAAAACAAAGCCAGGCATGATGGTGTAGTCCCAGCTACTTGAAAGGCTGAGGTGGAAAGATTGCTTGAGCCCAGGAATTCCTGGCTGCAGTGAGCACTGCACTCCAACCTGGGCAACACAGGCAGATCCCTATTTTAAATATAAAAAAAGAAAAAATATAAAAAGAAAACGAGCACTTCACTTCTGTGGGATCCCCACCAAAATCCCACAACCTCAGTCCAATTGCCAGAAAACCTCCACAAGACCACAATAAGGACATTCCACAAAACACCTGACCAGCTCTCCTCAAGAGAGTGAAGGTCACGGATGATGAGGAGACATTGAGGAACCATCACAGATTGGAGGAATCAAAGGAGATGCTTTGACTAAATGCAACACGTTGCCAGGCGCAGTGGCTCTCGCCTGCAATCCCAGCATTTTGGGAGGCCAAGGCAGGCAGATAACTTGGGGTCAGGAGTTCGAGACCAGCCTGGCCAACATAGTGAAACCCCATCTCTACTAAAAATGCAAAAATTAGCCAGGCACGGTGGCTCAAACCTATAATCCTAGCACTTTGGGAGGCCAAGGCAAGCGAATCATCTGAGGTCAGCAGTTCAAGACCAGCCTGGTCAACACAGCGAAACACCATCTCTACTAAAAACGCAAAAATTAGCCGGGCATGGTGGTGCATGCCTATAATCTCAGCTACTTGGGAGGCTAAGACACCAGAATCGCTTGAACCTGGGAGGTGGAGGTTGCTTGCAGTGAGCTGAGATCGTGCCACTGCACTCCAGCCTAGGCGACAGAACAAGACTCTATCATAAATAAATAAATAAATAAATGCATAAATAAATACGTAAGTAAATAAATGCAACACACAACCCTGTCCAGAGAAGGTGCTTAAAGGAGCAATCCGGGGAAATCCAAACACAGTCTGGAGTCTAGTTAATAGAATTGTGACAACTGGGCCAGGAGCGGTGGCTCACGCCTGTAATCCCAGCACTTTGGGAGGCCAAGGTGGGCAGATCACGAGGTCAGGAGATTGAGACCATCCTGGCTAACACAGTGAAACCCCGTCTCTATCCTGACCGAGACCGTCCTGGCTAACAAGGTGAAACCCCATCTCTACTAAAAATACACACAAAAAAATTAGCCGGGCGTGGTGGCAGGCGCCTGTAGTCCCAGCTACTCGGGAGGCTGAGGCAGGAGAATGGCGTGAACCCAGGAGGTGGAGCTTACAGTGAGCCGAGTCTCAGCTATTCAGGAGGCTGAGGCAGGAGGACTGCCTGAGCCCAGGAAATTGAGGCAACAGAGCGAGAGCGAGACTCCATCTCAAAAAAAAAAGAACTGTGACAACTGGAGGTCCCAGCCCGGCCGTCGCAACCAGGTCACGTGTGATGTTCACAATGTGGGAAACAGGTGGGGGGTTATGGGTATTCCCTGCACTATCTCCAAAACTTTTCACAAAGTCTAAGAGACTATCTCCTGTGTAATCCCAGCACTTTGGGGGGCCGAGGCAGGTGGATCACCTGAGGTTGGGAATTCGAGACCAGCCTGACCAACATGGAGAAACCCTGCCTCTACTAAAAATACAAAATTAGCCGGGTGTGGTGGCGCATACCTGAAATCCCAGCTACTCGGGAGGCTGAGGGCAGGAGAATCGCTTGAACCCGGGAGGTGGAGGTTGCGGTGAGGCAAGATTGTGCCATTGCACTCCAGCCTGAGCAACAAGAGCGAAAATCCATCTCAAAAAAAAAAAAAAAAAGACTATCCCCTAAGAAGCCAGGTATGGGGCTCAAGCCAGCACTTTGGGAGGCCCAGGCAGGAGGAGGATCACTTGAGCCCAGGAGTTTGAGACCAGCGTAGGCAACACAGGGAGACTCCTGTCTCTACAAAAAATATATACTAAAAATTAGCCAGCTGTGGTGGTACACACCTATGGTCTCAGCTACTCAGGCGGCTGAGGCAGGAGGACTGCCTGAGCCCAGGAAATTGAGGCTACAGTGAGCCAAGATCACACCACTGCAGTCCAGCCTGGGCAACAGAGCCAGACCTTGTCTCAAAAAAAAAAAAAAATGCTGGGCACAGTGGCTCACGCCTGTAATGCCAGCACTTTGGGAGGCTGAGGCGGGCAAATCACCTGAGGTCGGGAGTTCAAGACCAGCCTGACCAACATGGAGAAACCCCATCTCTATTAACAATACAAAATTAGCCGGGTGTGGTGGTACACGCCTATAATCCCAGCTACTCGGGAGGCTGAGACAGGAGAATTGCTTGAACCCGGGAGGAGGAGGTTGCGGTGAGCCGAGATTGCACCACTGTATTCCAGCCTGGGCAACAAGAGTGAAACTCCGTCTCAAAAAAAAAAAAAAAAAACAAAACGGTGGGCGCGGTGGCTCATGCCTATAATCCCAGCACTTTGGGAGGCCAAGGTGGGCGGATCATTTGAGATCAGGAGTTGGAGACCTGCCCGACCAACATGGTGAAACCCCGTCTCTACTAAAAATACAAAAAAAATAAAAAACATTAGCTGGGCCTGGTGACACACGCCTGTAATCCCAGCTACTCAGGAGGCTGAGGTAGGAGAATCGCTTGAACCCAGGAGGTGGACGTTGCAGTGAGCTGAGATGGCGCCATTGCACTCCAGCCTGGGTGACAGAGTGAGATTCTGTCTCAAAAAACAAAAAACAAAAATCCTATCTCATAAGAAACAGTTAACAGCAATGAATACTCCCTCAGGTGAAACTAAACAGATGACCCATAAGCCACACAGTGGCAGCTGTCATATTCTGGGCCAAGGCACAGAGGTGAACAAGGTGCGATCCTGCTCTCACTGTTGCCCCAAGTAGCAGCTCAACAGCTGGCCTCGGCCAAGCAGGCATCTTTCAAGGTGTGCACCCACCACGGGCCGGGCACGGGGCCAGACACTTTGCGTGGATGCATCATCTAATCCATGTGACGACTCCTCAAGGGGGCTCTGTGAGCACCCCCTTTTTACAGCCAGGAAACTGAGGCACAGAAGGGAGGGACTGTTTGGCAGGAGCCAACAGAGGCGCATAGAGCAGCGTGATGAGCCCCGGGCTCTGGGGGCGGGCCCGCGAGCAGGCAGCCTCCACCCCATGGTGGACCTTCAGGCTCCTCCTTCTGCCCCGGCTGAGCCGGCAGTGAAGGGATTAGCGGGCTCCTTGCCGAACAGAGGCCGAGGCCGCCTGGGCGCAAAGATAGGCTGTTGGGACCATAAATCATCCCCAGGGTCTGTGCATTTATTCTGTGATGATATAATGAGCCACTCCTGTCCTAATTACAGCCACCAATCTCGCCTGCCTGGGAGGACCGAAGGGATCCCCGCAGCGATGGAAGCGGGATGCGCACAGATGCGAAAGGACTCAATGGTGTAACGCAGCAGGGAGCCTCTGCTTTCAGTCACTTGAGAAAGAGACGCTGAAGCAGACAGAGAGCCCCTCCGAGGTTCCGAGGTTCTGCAGACCCCTGCAGCCCAGAAAGGTGGACAGCTCGCGTGTCTTTGCGGACACGCTCGGCCTCCCCGTGTCCCCAGCCAGAGGGACGGCCAGCCCACAGAGCCAGTCCCAGGCGCCCTGCTAGGCTGTGCTGATACTTCCTCCCAGAGATTTCCGGGCGAATGACCAGCTGGCATGCACCCACCCACCCTCTGCACCCAGGTGAGTGGTGCCAGATGCAGAGGAAACGGGAAGTGCTGTGGTGTTTCTGTTTTCAATTTTAATCAAAGTTTTGAAACATAAATGATTTCTTTATTTTCATTTTTTTTATTTAAAAAAAAAAAAGTGTGGCAGAGAGCTTCTCTGCAGCAAGAGCCCCGGCAGGAAAGGGAAGAGAAGGGCGGCCTGCAGAAGTTCTCAGGGAGGCTTCGCCCCCTTGCCGAGAGCCCCCAAGCACCGTGGTGGTCTCTGGGCTGTTGAAATACCAGAGTGGGGTATGTGGATAAGGGACAGGGTGGCTAGGATATGGGCACAGGGTATTAGCACCCGCAGTGGGAGAAGGCCCACCCTTCCAAGCAGACTCAGCCCCTCTGGGCCTCACCGCACCCTTCAACCCCACCCCACGGAGTGAAACTCCTGGGACCAGCGGAGGCGTCAGGACCCAAGTACAGAGAAGGGGGAATTTTATGTAGTAAATGAGGACCCAAAGCCTCTCAGCCGCTATAGTGGTGACGTTCCCCAGTGTGGGGCTCCCTGAGATGGAAGACGCAGCCACTTAACATAACCCTCCCGTCGCCAACCCTCCTGGGGAATCAGGCTCAGGATCCATGGGTGTGAGAGCTGCCGAGATGAGGCTCAGTCTGTCACAAGCCCGCCTTTGCCAAGCCCCAGGTCATCACAGAGCCCCAGCACCCACTATCTCCGGGGGACACCTGCCCTGGCCCCTCCTAGGCCTCCTGCTGCTCCCTACTCGTTCCTCCCAGGCCTGTCCCCACATGGCAGCCAATGGGATCCTTGCAAAGCATAAATCCCACATCACTGCCCTGCTCAAAACCCTCCCCATCCCAGGACCAGATCTCAACCCCTCACCCTGGCCCACGAGGCATCACCCCCAGAGCCAGGCGAGGCCAGGCTCTTCGCTTTGGCTCAGAGCCGCAACCTCAGGGGCAGGGCCAGCTGGCACAGGTGTGGCTTCCTGTCACTCCCTAGGGCAGGGTCTCCAGCTGACCTGCTCTCCAAGGTGTCTCCGGGGCCAGCTCACAGGAGATGCTCAGGAAATACCAACTGACTCGAGGAATGGACTTTCCTATCCAAACCCTCACTGCTGCAGGGAGAACTCACCGGGCCACCCCAGTGCTTCTTGTTCAGGCACTCAGAGGGCTGGGTGGGCACCATCATGCAGCCCCAGGGCCATCCTACCCCGAGGATTTGACCCTGGAACACACTGTGTTCCGTACAAGTATACAGGCTCAGGATTTGCTTAGAAAAATGTGAGCTCCAGGAAGACCACAAACTACTCTTCTCACTTCAGGGCCCCTCAACAGCCGGTACATGTTCCCAGATGGAGGTATTGAGAAGACCCCGCACACCCCTCCCAGGACTGAAGTGGGGACATTGGACCATGTGACATGGTACTGGCCCTCTTAGAGAGCACCTGCTTCTATGAGATTCCAGAATGAACTGGAGACAGGCCTGCCCACAGGGAGGTCAGATTCCAGAGCCTGCTGATGCCTGCTGAGCACCTGCTGAGTTCACACTGTGCCTGCTGAGCGCCTGCTAAATACACACTGTGTGTCAGCTGAGTGCCTGCTAAATACACACTGTGCACCTGCTAAGCGCCTGCAGAGCACACACGGTACGCCTGCTGAGTACCTGCTAAATACACATTATGCACCTGCTGAGCGCCTGCTAAATACACACTGTGCACCTGCTGAGTGCCCGCAGAGCACACACTGCGCCTACTGAGTACACAGTGTGCACTTGCTCAGCAACCAAATACACACTGTGCACCTGCTGAATACACACCGTGTGCCTGCTGAACACTGTACGCCTGCTGAGCACCTGTATACACATTGTGCACCTGTGGAATACACACTGTGCGCCTGCTAAGTGCCTGCTAAGTACACACTGCACTTGCTGAGCACCTGCTTAGTACACACTGTGCATGTGCTGAGAACCTGATGAGTACACACTGCGCATCTGCTGAGCACCTGCTGAGCACACACTGCGCCTGCTGAGCGCCCGGTGAGTATACACTGTGCGCCTGCTGAGTACACACTGTGCACCTGCTGAGTGCCTGCTGAGTACACACTGTGCCTGCTGAGCGCCTGCTGAGCGCCTGCTGAGTACACACTGTGCCTGCTGAGTGCCTGCTGAGTACACACTGTGCACCTGCTAAGCACTTGCTGAGTACACACTGTTGTGTGTGCCTGCTGAGCGCCTGCTGAGTACAAACTGTGTGCCTGCTAAGCACCTGCTGAGTACACACTGTGCACCTGCTAAGCACTTGCTGAGTACACACTGTGCCTGCTGAGCGCCTGCTGAGTACACACTGTGCACCTACTAAGCACTTGCTGAGTACACACTGTGCCTGCTGAGTGCCTGCTGAGTACACACTGTGCACCTACTAAGCACTTGCTGAGTATACACTGTGTGCCTGCTGAGTGCCTGCTGAGCGCCTGCTGAGTACATGCTGCGCCAGCTGAGCGCCTGCAGAACACAAACTGTGCACCTGCAGAGCACCTACCGTGTGCCTGCCGAGCACCTGCTGAGTACACACTGCAGAACACACCGTGCACCTGCTGAGCACCTGCAGAACACACACTGTAAGCCTGCTGAGCACCAGCTGAGTACATACCATTAGCCTGTTGAACACCAGCTGAGTACACACTGTGTGCCTGCTGAGCATCTACTGGGCACCTACTGAACATCTGCTAAATATTTCCTTGTGTGGGCACGAAGTGCCTCTTGCAGGCCTGCTGTGTCCCCATCAAGCACCTGTTGGATGCCTGCCAAATGCCTGCCCAGTGCCAACTGGGTACACCATGTGTCCACAGTAGCCACACCTCCAGCATCTTGGCAGCAGTGAGCACACAGTGAGTATCTATGCCAGGCCCCATTCCAGATACACCAGATGCCTTCACATTCACGTCTCACCATGATCCAATGAGGCAGAGACCACTGTGACCCCTACTGCACCATGCACCAAAGACAGCAGGGCCTCCCAGGTTGGGCCAAGAGCATTGGCTCATGCCTGTAATCCCAGCATTTTGGGAGGCCAAGGAGGGAGAATTACTTGAGGTCAGAAGTTGGAGACCAGCCTGGCCAACATGGTGAAACCCCATCTCTACCAAAAATGCAAAAATTAGCCAGGTATGGCGGTGCACGCTTGTAATCCCAGCTATTCAGGAGGCTGAGGCAGGACAATCGCTTGAACACGAGAGGCAGAGGTTGCTGAGCTGAGATCGCACCACGGCACTCCAAAAAAAAAGAGGCCTCCCAGGTCTAAGCTCGCCCAGAAGGAAGCGAGGTGGGGGCTGAGGCTGACTGTGTGGCCCTGGCTGGACACCGATGAGGCTGCTCCCCCCGGTGCCAAGTGCTTCTGAATCCCTCCGTGCAAGAACCCCAAGGAGGAGGCCCCGGCCATGCTTCGTTTCCAGTTGGCAAATAATAAACATTGGCTCTCGGGCATCCCTGGCCCTCGAGGCACGCGGCACTTCCTTATTTACACACCTGGACCCCCATCCAGCTGCTGGCACCACAGCCACACCCAGAAGAACAGGGCACCCACCTCCACCCAGGGGCCACGCAGGACCTGTTGGAGGTCAGAGACATACCCCAACCAGAAATAAAGTGGGGGTGTGTTCTATCCCATGAGCTCCAAGGTGAAGCAGGACTCTCCTACCCCCCACCCCTCCCCTGTGATTCTGGTTCCCACGCTGCAGCCTGGGACTCCCCCACCCGCCCTCCCAATAATCCCTGTCACCATCACCTCCTAAATGCCCCGAGTCTTCCTCCGTGAGTGGCACACCTCCAGCTGCTCGCCCTCCTCCCTACTGGAGGGGGCTCAGGGACACACAGGTGGGGCCATTCCCAGGCAGGCACCTTGGAGAGGTCCCCACTCCCCCAGTACATGCACTGGGACAAACACAAAGAATGTTTAGGTTGAGAAAAACCAGGGACAACCTCTATGCTTCTCAACAGATGAACATGAACTGAGGCTCAGCGTACAACAAGGTCCTCCGCATGGGCCTTGGAGTCAGACACAGGTTCAAGTCCCAGCTCCTCCTCCCACCGTCAGCCATGTGACCTCCTGTGCCTCAATTTCTCATCTGTGCCATGGGGGCAGGCAACAGGCCCTTTCTCATGAGTTACTGCAACAATCCACTGTGCACAAATACATGGATTCTAGCAAGGCCAGTTCCTGCCACTCCCTGGACCCCCACTGTCACTCACATTGCCATCCCACTAGAACCTTCCATGGCTCCACATGGCAGGGCCTGGCTCCAGGCCCTCCACCCACTGTCGTACCTGCTCTGAGGGCCCCTTCCTCGGCACACAGGCTTCCAGCAGCCTGAACCGCCCTGCCTCACCCTGACCAGCCGGCCAACTCCCAGAACTCCGTGACACGGCAAAAACACACAGGCTGCGGGGTTAGTCCAACCTGGGTCAGATGG
This sequence comes from Homo sapiens, assembly GCF_000001405.40. Lineage (NCBI taxonomy): Eukaryota > Metazoa > Chordata > Mammalia > Primates > Hominidae > Homo > Homo sapiens. The sequence goes on along the minus strand of NC_000019.10, from coordinate 18,696,164 downwards.
CAGCCTCTCCACTCTAGCGCTCTATGACATTCGCTCTCCGGGCCTGTCTCCCACTCTGTAAACCCGGGAGGACGCCACCAGCTGCCCAGAGCAGTCATGTACTACAGGATCCAGGTTTGCATCTCATGTAGCCAGTAGCCTCCACCCACCCCTCTGCACCTGCATGCTCCCGGCACACACAGGGCCTGACACCAGGGCTTCTGGACTGTGACACTGCTGACACTTAGGGCTGGATAATTCCCTGTGGTGGGGGCCATCCTGTGTACTGTAGTGTTTTTGTTTGTTTGTTTGTTTGTTTTTGAGATGAAGTCTCACTCTGTCGCCCAGGCTGGAGCGCAGTGACGCGATCTCGGCTCACCGCAAGCTCTGCCTCCCGGGTTCACGCCATTCTCCTGCCTCACCCTCCCGAGTAGCTGGGACCACAGGCGCCCACCACCACGCCCAGCCAATTTTCCGTATTTTTAGTAGAGACGGGGTTTCACTGTGTTAGCCAGGATGGTCTCGATCTCCTGACCTCGTGATCTGCCTGTCTCAGCCTCCCAGAGTGCTGGGATTACAAGCGTGAGCCACCACACCCGGCCGTGTGTACTGTAGTGTTGACCAGTATCCTCAGTCTCTGCCCACTGGATGCCAGTAGCACCCCATTCCCCGTCGTGACAACCACAAATGTCCCCAAAAGTTGCCAAATGCCCCCAGGGGCAGAATCGGCCCCAAGTGAGCCCCCTACTCTGCACGGAATAACCTGTGGATTTTGATGTTTCCCTGACCCTGGGTTCAGGCCAGTCTCTACCCAGGGCAGACCCCACTTGTGCTGTCCATATGGCATTTTACAGAGTCCCATTTAAAAAAAGAAATCCCCAGGCCGGGCGCAGTGGCTCACATCTGTAATCCCAGCACTTTGAGAGGCGAAGGCGGGCAGGTCTCGAGACCAGGAGTTCGAGACCGGCCTGGCAAACATGGCGAAACCCCCAACTCCACCAAAAGTACAAAAATTAGCTGGGCACATTGGCTCATGCCTGTGATCCCAGCACTTTAGGAGGCCGAGGCGGGCAGATCACTTGATGTCAGGAGTTGGAGAGCAGCCTGGCCAACATGGTGAAACCTCATCTCTACTAAAAATACAAAAATTGGCTGGGCATGGTGGCGCGTGCCTATAGTCTCCGCTACTTGAGAGGCTGAGGCAGGAGAATCACTTGAACCCAGGAGGCAGAGGTTGCAGTGAGCCAAGATCTTATAGGAGCAAGACTCCCTCTCTCAAAAAAAAAAAAAAAGAGGTCGCTGAAAGTGGGAGAACTGCCGCCAACCTCACTCTCCTTGCTAACCACCCCCAGCCCCTGCAGCTGATCTTCCTTAACACTTGAGGTCAGTGGGTTTCAAACTGTGTGTGAGTCCCAGAGGCCAGCCAATCCCTTCTGTGAAGGGCCAGATGCGCCTGGCGCAGTGACTCACACCTGTAATCCCAACACTCTGGGAGGCCAAGATGGGACAATTGCTTGAGCACAGGAGTTTGAGACCAGCCTGGACAACACAGGGAGAAGACCCTGTCTCTACAAAAAATAAAAAAATTAGCCGGGCATGGTGGCTAACACCTGTGGTCCCAGCTACTCAGGGGGCTGAGGTGGGAGGATCGCTAGAGCCCAGGAGGTCAAAGCCACAGTGGACCGCATGATCTCTGTTGCATGGGACTATGCTGATGTCCCACAAAAGCAGCCACAAAAAAGGAATAAATGGTTGTGCCCATGTTCTAATAAAATAAAGAGACGTAGCTTACAGAGCTCTGGATTAGTAAGTTATCAATTCAGTGGGTCCCAACTGGTACTTTTTATTTTTTTCTTCGTCTCTTCTTCTTTTTTTTTTTTTTTTTTTGAGATGGAGTCTCTCTGTCGGCCAGGCTGGAGTGAAGTGGCGTGATCATAGTTCACTGCAGCCTCAAGCTCCTAGGCTCAAGGGAACCTCTCGCCTCAGCCTCCCAAGTAGCTGGGACCACAGGCATGAGCCACCATGCCAGCCTATTTTTTTTTTTTTTTTTCTGAGACGGAGTCTCGCTCTGTTACCCAGGCTGGGGAGTGCAGTGGTGCAATCTCAGCTCACTGCAACCTCCACCTTTCAGGTTCAAGCGATTCTCCTTCCTCAGCCACCAGAATAGCTGGGGTTACAGGTGCCCGCCACCATGCCCAGCTAATTTTTGTATTTTAGTAGAGACAGGGTTTCACCATGTTGGCCAGGCTGGCTCGAACTCCTGACCTCAGGTGGTCCACCTGCCTTGGCCTCCCAAAGCTCTGGGATGACAGGTGTGAGCCACTGTGCCCACCCAGCCCAGGCTAATTTTCATATTAGAACAAAACAGAGTACATCAGTGTGCCTGCAAACAGTAAGAGTTAAGCGGGCCGGGAATGGTGGCTCACGCCTGTAATCCCAGCACTTTGGGAGGCCAAGGCGGGTGGATCACGAGATCAGATCAAGACCATCCTGGCGAACATGGGGAAACCCTGTCTCTACTAAAAATACAAAAAAAAGTAGCCGGGCATGGTGGTGGACGCCTGTAGCCCCAGCTACTCAGGAGGCTGAGGCAGGAGAAGGGCGTGAACCCAGGAGGCGGAGCTTGCAGTGAGCTGAGATCACACCGCTGCACTCTAGCCTGGGCGACAGAGAGAAACTCTGTTTCAAAAAAAAAAAAAACAAAAACAAAAGAGTTAAGCTCCTTGGTAAAACCTGTCTTGATTGCACATTTGGTGGTAGGTGCTGGCAAGCCATGAAAAATGAATTTTTTTTTTTTTAGACGGTGTCTCACTCTGTCACCCAGGCTGGAGTGCAGTGGCACAATCTCGGCTCACTGCAACCTCCAGCACCCTGGTTCAAGCAATTCTCTTGCCTCACCCTCCCAAGTAGCTGGGACTACAGGTGCACACCACCACACCTGGCTAATTTTTGTATTTTTAGTAAAGACAGAGTTTCACTATGTTGCCCAGGGTGGTCTCGATCTCTTGACCTCGTGATCTGCCCACCTCGGCCTCCCAAAATACTAGGATTACAGGTGTGAGCTACCATACCCGGCCGAAAAATGAATTTCTTTTTTTTTTTTTTTTTTTTGAGACGGAGTCTCGCTCTGTCGCCCAGGCTGGAGTACAGTGGCACTATCTTGGCTCACTGCAACCTCCACCTCCCAGGTTCAAGCGATTCTCCTGTCTCAGCCTCCCGAGTAGCTGGGACTACAGGCACGTGCCACCATGCCCAGCTAATTTTTTGTATTTTTAGTAGAGACAGGGTTTCACCATGTTAGCCAGGATAGTCTCTATCTCCTGACCTTGTGATCCGCCTGCCTCGGCCTCCCAAAGTGCTGGGATTACAGGCGTGAGCCACCGTGCCCGGCCCAGAAAAATGAATTTCTAACTGCAGAGCCACAAGTGCCATGCCTGTTCCTGAGCCAGGGACATCTGCTCCTCACCCAGCCCTGCAGCCCCTGGTTTCACACACGCTGAGGGTCCAGGAAGCCCTCCCAGATTCCCCAGAGCACGTGGACCTGGTCGCTGCACACCCTAACCACTTCTTTTTTTTTTTTTTTTGAGACAGAGTTTCACTCTTGTTGCCCAGGCTGGAGTGCAATGGCATGATCTCTGCTCACAGCAACCTCCACCTCCCAAGTTCAAGCAATTCTCCTGTCTCAGCCTCCTGAGTAGCTGGGATTACAGGTGCATGCCACCATGCCCAGCTAATTTTTGTATTTTTAGTAGAGACGGGGTTTCATCATATTGATGACGGTGAGGGAATTAATTTCTGTTTTTCATGCCCCTCACTTTGTGGTAATTTGTGACTTTAGCCAGTGGCAAGGAACCCCGGGCCTGACAGAACCTGTAGCACCAGGTAACCTTGTGGACTTCACATCAGGACAGGGCTGCAGCCGCTTGCAGATGCATAAGTCCAGCCAGCTCCAGCTGGCTCCGCAGGTTTTGTGTGGGGTTACCACCGAGGCCCGGAGTGGACCCTTCATTCAGCCCTTTTTAGTAGCAGGGGCCCTTGCTCTACACTGGATGAGACAGAGGGAGACAGCAAGAGCAGGGCCTGGGGTGGAGGATCAGGACCACAGGGTCGGGGTTGGAGTGTAGGAGCTCAGTGTTCGGGTATGGATTGTGTCCTAAGAGTGGGGGTGGGGAAGACCGAGCGCGGTGGCTCACACCTGTAATCCCAGCACATTGGGAGGCCGAGGCAGGTGGATCATTTGAGGCCAGGAGTTCGAGATCGGCCTGGCCAATAGGATGAACCCCATCTCTACTGAAAATACAAAAATTACCCAGGCGTGGTGGCAGGAGCCTGTAATCCCAGTTACTCGGGAGGCTGAGGCAGGAGGATCGCTTGAACACGGGAGAAGGAGGTTGCAGTGAGCCGAGATCACGCCACTGCACTCCAACATGGGCGACAGAGTGAGACTCCATCTCAAAAAAAACAAAAAAAAGAGGCACCGGCAGGCCCATGCTTCCTCCAGAGGCTCTAGGGGAAGACCCTTCCTATCCCTTCCAGCTTCTGGGGGCTCTGGGCATTCCTTGACTTGTGACCACATCGCTCCAATCTCTGCCTCCATTGTCACATGGTCCTCTCCCCTGTGTCTCTGTGTCCTTTCTTGTCTTTTTTTTTTTTTTTTTTTTTTGGAGAAAAGGGTCTCACTCTTTTACCCCAGCTGGAGTGCAATGGTACAATCATGGCTCACCACAGCCTTAACTCTTGGGCTCAAGTGATCCTCCCACTTCACCCTCCCAAGTGGCTGGGACTACAGGTGCACGCCACCACACCCGGCTAATTAAAAAACAATTTTTTTTCGTAGAGATGAGTTCCCTCTTTGTGGCCCAGGCTGGTCTCAAACTCCTGGCTTCAAGTTATCGTCCCATCTCAGCCTCTCAAAATGTTGGGATTACAGGCGTGAGCCACTGTGCCTGGTCCCCCTCCATCTTTTCCTTTTTCTTTTTCTTTTTTTTTTTTTTGAGACAGGATCTCACTCTGTCACCCAGGCTGGAGTGATTATAATTCACTGTAACCTCAAACTCCTGGGCTCAAACAATCCTCCTGCCTCGGCCTCTGAAAACTCTGGGATTAAAGGCATGCATCGCCACTCCCAGCCCACTCTTCTTTTTTTTTTTTTTTTTTTTTGAGACGGAGTCTCGCTCTGTCATCCATGCTCGAGCGTAGTGGCGTGATCTCGGCTCACTGCAAGCTCTGCCTCCCAGGTTCACGCCATTCTCCTGCCTCAGCCTCCCGAGTAGCTGGGACTACAGGCGCTCACCACCACGCCCAGCTAATTTTTTTGTATTTTTAGTAGAGACGGGGCTTCACCATGTTAGCCAGGATGGTCTCGATCTCCTGACCTCGTGATCTGCCCACCCCGGCCTCCCAAAGTGCTGGGATTATAGGAGTGAGCCACTGCGCCCAGCCATGGCCCACTCTTCATAAGGATACCAGTCACCGGATTTAGGGCCACCCCCCCAGGATGATCTCATCTCCAGATCCTTACCTTAATCACATCTACAGAAACCTTTTTTCCAACTAAGGTCCAATTCACGGGTTACAGGGCTAGAAGGTGAGCAGATGCTTTTTAGGGGCCACCACTCAGCCTGCTGCAGGGCATGCAGCTCACAACCTGGGGAGTACTGAGACAGCTTAGCTTTTTGGAGGGGCCTGGAGAGTGATGAGGATGAGGGCAGCTTGCCCCACCTTTTGTTCAGGGAGCAGCTCAGGGAGTCCTGCCTGTATATGGAGGCTGCGGATGGCAGCAGACAGCTGAAGCAGCCGGCACAGAAACAAATAGCGCCAAAGCCAGGACTGGGGGGCGGGCTCCACACTCAGCTAACCTGAGCCACCACTGCGCTGTGCCTGCAGCCCAGGGGCCCGTTTTACTCCAGCTTCACAGTAGGTAACAGCAGGAGAGTGCCCTCCTTCAGCCCTGACCGTGCCACCATGACTGTCTTGCCTGGGTACTTTTTCTGGCCCAGGTGTTGCTGTCTGAGGTCATCAATGATCAGTCATACGAGGAATCCCCAATGTCCTGAACCCCTGGCAAGCAGACGACACTCCCCCCTTCCCTTCCCCTCACCCCCAACATCCAATCCTCCAGCACGTCTGGGTGGCTCTGCTGCAGAAATGCCACCAAATCCACCCGCTCTGTCACCCCCTTGCTCCAGCTATCATTCCCCCTGATCTGGACACCTGCAGCGGATGCTCACACCACACCCATCCCACTCACAGCCACAGCTATCCTCCTGAGACACACGACGTCCTCAAATGGATAAATGGAGAGTTACCAGAGGACCCGGCAACTCTACTCCCCAGCACATGCTCTGAGAAATGAAGATATACATCCACCCAAAAACGTGGACAAAGATGCCAACAGCAGCATGATTCACGACAGCCAAAGGTGGAAACAACCCGTGTTCATGGCCAGATGAATGGACAAAACGGGGTAGACCCACACCATGGAATATGACATGAACTATTACTGAGCCATGCCGGTGACGGTGCACCACACTGGGAATAAACTTAATGCCACTGAATTTTATACTTAAAAAACGTCAAAATGGTAAGTGTTATATTACATATATATATATATATATATATGGCCATCAATTTTTTTTTTTGAGATGGAGTCTCACTCTGTCGCCCAGGCTGGAGTGCAGTGGCGTAATCTTGGCTCACTGCACTCCAGCCTGAGAGACAGAGCAAGACTCTGTCTCAAAAAAAAAAAAAAGAAAGAAAAAGAAAAGAAAGAAAGAAATGAAGCACTGATCCAAGTTAGAGGCTTGAAGTCACTATGCTAAGTAAAAGAAGGCAGACACAAAAGGCTTCATGGTGCAGGATTCGCCTCACTGTGTAGGATTCTATTGATATGAAATGTCCAGAACAGGCAAATCCATAGAGACAGAAACCACATTAGTTGACCAGGTGTGGTGGCTCACACCTGCAATCGCAGCACTTTGGGAGGCCAAGGCGGGTGAATCACTTGAGGTCAGGAGTTCGAGACCAGCCTGCCCAACATGGCAAAACCCTGTCTCTACTCAAAAATACAAAAATTAGCCGGGTGTGGTGGCACCTGCCTGTAATCCCAGCCACTCAGGAGGCTGAGGCAGGAGAATCACTGGAATCCGGGAGGCAGAGGTTGTAGTGAGCTGAGATTGTGCCACTGCACTCCAGACTGGGTGACAGAGCTGAGACTCTGTCTCCAAAAAAAAAGAAAGCAAGCAACCAAAGCAGATTTGTGGCTGCCAGGGGCTGGGCAAGGGGGAGTGGGAAGTAACTGTTGATGGGGACAGGGTCTCTTTCTGGGGGTACGAAATGTTCTCAAGTTGACTGGTGTTGGCTGTGCAAATGTGAATATACTAAAAGCCACTGAGTGGCGGAATGCCATGGAAATGACATCTCAATAAAGCTGTTACAAAAACAAGCGGGGCCAGGCGCCGTGGCTCACACCTGTAATCCCAGCATTCCGAGAGGCCGAGGTGGGCGGATCACCTGAGGTCGGGAGTTCAAGACCAGCCTGACCAACATGGTGAAACCCCGTCTCTACTAAAAATACAAAATTACTCAGGCGTGGTGGTGCATGCCTGCAATTCCAGCTACTTGGGAGGCTGAGGCAGAAGAATCGCTTGAACCCAGGAGGCGGAGGTTGCAGTGAGTCAAGATCGCACCACCACACTCCAGCCTGGGCGACAGGGGGGGCTCCTCCTCAAAAAAACAAACAAACAAACAAACAAACAAAACAAGCAGGGAGGCTTCCCAGACCCCTCCCTCAGGGGAGATCCAAGCTCTTGCAGCCTCACCTGCCCTCCTCCCTGCTTTCCACCCATTCTCAAACTCGCCAAGTCATTCCCACCACAAGGCTCTGACTGTGCCTGTCCCCAATCTGAAGTGCTCTTCCCTGCTCTCTGGGGATGCTGTGTCACCCCTGTCCCAGCCACTCCTAGCACGTGGCTGAGCCACTTCTCTCCCAGCGTGTGCCACCTTCTGAGGGCGTCTGCTTCATTCGGATGCATTGATGCTCTCCTGTCCCCCCTAAAACTATGCTGGCTCCCCAAGAACACAGCCCCGTATGCCCTGTACACTGCAGGAGCCCCAGCACCCCAGGCTCTTGAGACATGCCAGACAATGAAAATTGTCATTTGATGGAATGAACGCGCTGCCCCAACTTTACAACTCAGGATTCTACGGCCCAGAGGGGTTGAGAAACCCACCCAGTGTCACACAGCAGAGCGCCATAGACAGCCTGCCTGTCACGCTGACCCAAGCCTAAGAGTGGGAGGGAACGCCCACACACCCACCCCTCCGCCCCAAGACCTGCAAACAGTCTCCCGACTTTACGCCCTGTCCCCCAACCCTTCAGTGCTTGTGCCCTGGTGAGGTCCCTGTCTTCTAGCCAAACATCTGCTGACTGGCCTTCCACGGCAGCAAGACACCTCAGGTGCCATCACCACCGGCAACTGTGAACAGACACGCATGAGTGACATGCTGTCCTTTGGAATTCAAAGGAGAGGAGCAGGTGCCGACCCGATCATGCCTCACCTGGCTGCAGGTGTGGCCAAACCCCTGCTGTCTACAGTATGGGAGGCAGCGCGCCATGGCTGCAGGAGGGAAGCCCACATCATATAGGTTCATTCACCTGCTCCAGGCACGGCGGACATGCCACTTGGACTGTGCAGTGGCCAGTCAAACTGGGAATAAGCTTGCCCACCCTGGTCGCAGCCTGCCAGAGATGGCACAGCCATATAGGTGGGAGCAAAGGATGGAACTCTACCTGACCAGGTGCAAAGCTCACACCCTGGCCCACCTCACTGTTACACCTCTAATCAAAAGTTTCTCAGCCTTGGCTGGGCACAGTGGCTCATGCCTGTAATCCCAGCAATTTGGGAGGCCGAGGTGGCCGGATCACCTGAGGTCAGGAGTTCGAGACCAGTCTGGCCAACATGGTCTCTACTACAAACCCCATCTCTGCTACAAATACAAAAATTAGCCAGGCATGGTAGCAGATGCCTGTAATCCCAGCTACTCGGGAGGCTGAGGAAGGAGAATCACTTGAACTCGGGAGGCAGAGGTTGCAGTGAGCCGAGATTGCGCCACTGCACTCCAGCCTGGGCAACAGAGCAAGAGTCTATCTCAAAAAAAAAAAAAAAAAAAAAAGTTTCTCAGTCTTGGCACTGCCGACATCTGGGGCCAGATTATTCCACACGATGGGGCCATCCTGTGCACTACATGTAGGGGGTTGGGCAGCATCCCAGCCTCCACCCACCAGATGCTAGAAGCACTCCCTAATCATGATGACCCAAAATGTCTCCAGACATCACCAAGTGTCCCCTGGGGGGCAGAATCACCCCCTGCCCCAGAAAGAGAACAATGCTTTGTGTCTAAAAATCTAGTGTGAACTCACCTCTGCCCAGAGCCCATGCTCCCCTGACCCCAGGTGATGAGGAAGATGGGAAATGGTTTCCAGGGCTGAAAGAACTGCCACCTGCATATCTTCAGAATCTTGTTTTTGTTTTTGTTTTGAGATGGAGTCTCACTCTGTTGCCAAGGCTGGAGTACAGTGACACAATCTCAGCTCACTGCAACCTCCACTTCCCAGGTTCAAGCGATTCTTCTGTCTAAGCCTCCCGAGTAGCTGGGATTACAGGCATGTGCCACCACACCCGACTAATTTTTGTATTTTTAGTGGAGACGGGTTTCACCATGTTGGCCAGGCTGGTCTCGAACTCCTGACCTCAGGTCATCCACTCACCTTGGCCTCCCAAAGTGCTGGGATTACAAGTGTGAGCCACTGCACTTGGCCTCAGAATTTTTCTAAATTCATTGACTGATGAATGGATAAACAAATACAATATATCCATACAACGGAATATTACTTGACCCTAAAAAGGAACGAAGCACTGATCCATGATACTACAGAGATGAACCTTGAAAACATGACGCTGAGTGAAAGATGCCAGTCACAAAAGGCCACGTGTTGTGTGATTCCATTTATATAAAATGCCCAGAATAGGAAAACCCACAGAGACAGAAGACAGCTTAGTGCTTGCCAGGGGCTAGGGGAGGGGGAATGGGGAGTGACTGTTAATGGGGACGGGGTTTCTTTCTGGGTGGATAAAAAATGTTCTGGAATTACAAAATAGGGGTGGTTGCACAACTCTGTGAATATACTAAAAACCACCAAACTGTACACTTTAAACAAGTAAATTGTATGATGTGTGAATCATATCTCAATAAAGCTATTATTTTAAAGAGATGTTTTCAACAACAATAATCTATTTCCAATCCCACGCAGAAACTGGACTTCTAATCAGAATGACACCCATGAACCTACTGTGACCCCTTTCTTCCGGTCACACTGCAAACATTTGACAACAACTGCATGCCAGCACACACCATGTGCTGGAGACAAAAAGAAGTGGCCACTCCTGCCTCAGAAGCCCTGATATGTGGGGGACACTCACGTGGAAGGATGCTCAAGTTGCACACTTTCTTCTTATTTTCTTTTTTTGAAATGGAGTTTCACTCTTGTCACCCAGGCTGGAGTACAGTAACATGATCTCGGCTCACTGCAACCTCCACCTCCCAGGTTCAAGTGATTCTCCCACCTCAACCTCCCCAGTAGCTGGGATTACAGGTAGCTACCACCACGTCCGGCTAATTTTTATATTTTTAGTACAGACAGGGTTTCACCACGTTGGCCAGGCTGGTCTCGAACTCCTAACCTCAGGTGATCCACTGCCTCAGCCTTCCAAAGTGCTGGGATTACAGGCATGAGCCACCACACCTGGCCATTTTCTTATTTTTTTTTCATTCATTCATTCACCAGCCATCTCTTTCTCTACATCCTGAGCAAGAATGTAGCTGCTTGGAGCTGGGAGGACAGATGTGGCACACTCACCGAGCATGCCTAAAGCAGTACCTGGGTGACAGTGAGCTCCCAATCATTACCAACACAGAAATGAAGACACAAATCCTAGTCTATAAGGTCACAATCTCTCAGAGAAACAAACAACTAGTTACAAAGTAACACAGACTGAAAGTGCTACCTAAGGAATCAGAGACTGAGGTTAAGTCTACCTGAGCCAGTCACATCAGTGGCTGAATCTGGAAACCAGGGATACGAGCATCTGCAAAGCCCACCCAAACCCTCCCCAAGGCCCCAGGATGCAGGAGAGAGGTCTCACCACACTGCAAGAACAAAGTGGAGATTCAGCATCACCTTTGCAGAGTGTGCTCACCACCCTGCCCCAAGAGGAAGGTCTTGCTAGAATGCCTGACAAGAAACTGAGGCCTGAGGAACTCGGGTGCCTTGCCGTGCTCAGACACCAGCCCCAAGCCCCTGCTCCTGGCCCACAGCAACTTCCCAGGTGAGATTTGCAGGGTATCTGCTCTGCCAGACAGGAGCCTGGCAGAACCTGGCCTGCCCCTGCACACCAAATGCGCCCAGCCACCTGAGGCAGACCTGGCCCTCCACCCTGGTCCTGAGAGGGCAGGGGCTGTGGTCAGCATCCCCTGTTCCACTGGGAGGAACATCACCTGGCCCCCACCATATGGGCTACATGGAGAAGGGGCAGCTGTCTCCACTCCAAGTTCCAGGACTGAGCACAATCTGCCTTCTTGGCCCCCCTCTGGACCCCCTGGGGGACAGGATCTGACCATTCCCTCAGCTGTCCAAGAGGGAGAGATCCCTGTCCCACCTCAGCTCTGCAAGTGGGGACATCCGTTCCTCCCCCAACACCCAGGGAGTAAAGGCACAGGTAACCATGACGTAGAGACACCGGTCCCCCTCAGGTAGCAAGAATGGGAGGGCATCTGTCCCTCCCAGGTAGCAAGGATGCGGGGGCACTTGCACCCTCACCCCCAGCTACCAATGGTGCTTGCAAGCAGCACCCAGCTCATACACCTGTGTCATCCTGCCCCCCCAGGTAGCAATGATGCGGGGGCACCTGTCCCTTCCAGGTAGTAATAATGTGGGGCACCTGTCCCCCTCGGGTAACAATGATGTAGGGACACCTGTCCCCTGTCAGGTAACGACGAGGTACTAGCACCTGTTCCCTCCTAGTAGTAATGATATAGAGGCCCCTGTCTCCTCCGGGGAGCAGTGATGCAGGGCACCTGTACCCCATCAGGTATGGATTTTGTGGGGTCACCTGTCCCGCCCACGACGCCCGGGGCGTGGGGACACCTGTCCCCCTCGGGCCGTGCCAAGCCCCGCCCCCGCCGCGCGCGCCCCGCCCCCGCCGCGCCCCCCCCCACCCCGCCCCGTGCACGCGCCGGACACGCGCCCCCTCCCTCCCTCCGCCGGCCCTGAAGGGTCGGCGCGGGCAGCCCCCTTACCCGCGCGGCCCGCGTCAGGCTCAGGTCCTTCATGACCTCCTCGAAGGCCGCCGTCTCCTCCGCCTGCTTCTGATTGTGCAGCGCGATCTTCTCGCTGAATTTCCGCGGATTGTTCGAAGTCGCCATCTTCTCGCCGCCACCTCCTCCTCCTCCTCCTCCTCCTCCACCTCCTCGCCCCCCCACTCGCCCGTGCCACCGCGCAAGCGCCGGCTGGGCCCACGGGCGGCGAGCAGTGCGCAGGCGCGCCGGCGGTCGTGAGCGCGGCGCAGGCGCACAGGAGCGGCGCGCGGCGCGGGGGCGAAGGCGCATGCGCGCGCCCAGGCGCGCGCTCGGGGCCCGCGGGAAGGGCGGTGGAGCGCGAGTGGAAATTTCAACGCCGACGCAGTGATCCGCCTCCTGGCCCGCTGGACAGCGGCCTCTGGGCTGTTGGACAAGGACCGCGGATCGGCTGGGGCACTGGAGCCCCCAAGAGGGAGACGGCCTGACCCAGATCCTCCCAATTCACAAGGGTGGGGCCAGGCACCCCCCCCCGCAAGGATTGGTGGCACCCCAAGTTGAACCTGGGTTTGGACTAAGAGCTCTGAAAACAGACTAGGGCGTTGGTCACTCATGCATTCATTCATTCAAGGAATATTTACTGAGCACCTACTATGTGCCAGGCAAACTGGAGTACAGGCGTGAACAAGCAGAGGTGATCCCTGCCCTTATGGAGTGTACAGTCAGAGAGGGGGCAGACATAGCACACAAATAACCAAGAACTTTTCAGATGGAGGTAAATGTGATGCGGTAAATAAGACCAGTGGCCAGCCACAGAACATTAGGGAGGGAGGCTCCTGCAGCCACCACAGACAGGGAGGCGGAAAGTTATCTTAGCTAAGACCTGAACCCTGCAATCGGCTCTCTCAGTCCATAAACCTAGCTGTTGCCCTTAACGACTTTCTTTTTTTTTTTTTTTTTTCCCTTGAGACCGAGTTTTGCCCTTGTCGCCCAGACTGGAATGCAGTGGTGCGATCTCGGCTCACTGCAACCTCCTCCTCCCAGGTTCAAGCCATTCTCCTGCCTCAGCCTCTCCAGTAGCTAGGATTACAGGCAGGCGCCACCACGCCCAGCTAATTTTTTTATTTTCAGTAGAGACTAAAGACCATGTTGGCCAGGCTGGTCTTGAACTCCTGACAGCAGGTGATCCACCCGCCTCGCCCTCCCTAAGTGCTGGGATTACAGGCGTGAGCCACCATGTCCAGCCGACGACTACTTTTTCCCATTCCCTTGCAATGGGCATATTGCTATTCTCTGGATACCTGAGCCCAAAGAACTGGAGTTACAGAGCTTCAGCCTTCCCTCTGCATACTTCTCCAGTCCAGTCTTGTTCAAGGATCTCTATTTTGCAACAAGGTGCTAACAGAAGGGTCCAGAAATCCCATCAAGACTCAGCAGTGAAGGAAGGAGCAGAGACTCCCCCGATGGCAGAGTGGTAAGCCAGGGAAGCAGGAGGGACTCTAACCCTCCCTCCCTCAAGAGAGGGACCCCCAACCACCAATATTGAAAGTTTATATTCAGGAGGCTGCAGGGATTTCAGAGTATGGGCTGGGTGGAAGCTAGGAAGGTCAGCTGGGGGAATTGATGATGGCTCTAATGGCACAACAAGCACACATTTTATTGGACTGAGGATGGCTGGAGGGGATGCTGACATCTTCCAAACATGCTTTGATTCATGCTTTACAACAGGTAATAAAATGCTCATGTTAAATATATATATATATATATCGATTTTCATTTAGAATGCCTTGGATATTGCCACTGCCCTACTTTATCTTTGTTTTGAGACAGAGTCTCACTCTGTCGCCCAGGCTAGAGTGCAGTGGCGCAACCTTGGCTCACTGCAATCTCTGCCTCTCAGGTTCAAGCGATTCTCCTACCTCAGCCTCCCAAGTAGCTGGGATTACAGGCATGCACCATGATGCTCAGCTAATTTTTATGGGATTTTTTTTTTTTTTTTTTTTTTGAGACGGAGTCTCTGTTTCCCAGGCTGGAGTGCAGTGGCACAGACTCAGCTCACTGCAACCTCTGCCTCTGGGGTTTAAGTGATTCTCCTGCCTCAGCCTCCCAAGTAGCTGGAATTACAGGAACCCACCACCACACCCGGCTACTTTTTGTATTTTTAGTAGAGACAGGGTTTCACCGTGTTGGCCAGGCTGGTCTTGAACTTCTGACCTCAGGTGATCCGCCCGCCTCAGCCTCCCAAAGTGCTGGGATTACAGACATGAGCCACCGCACCCGGCCATCTTCCTTCTTGATATGATTTTGCGCACTTTGGTAAGCTCCTATACTTTTTGCCTAACAAGCATATTCCTTCTCTCAACCCCACCCACTCCCTCAACTTTTTAGTGTCAACAACCCTTATTTGGGGAACACTGGTTCTGACTTTCAGTCTGTGAGATGTGAATGGCTGGTCTCACCACTCTCCCACCACACAAACACCCCTCCCTAAGGTGGAAGTCTTGGCCAATCAGCATAGCCCATTGTGCTGGCCATCAAGATTGGTTCAGGCCAGGCTGGGTGTTGTGGCTCATGCCTGTAATCCCAGAACTTGGGAGGCCGAGGCAGGAGGATCATTTGAGCCCAGGAGCTTGAGACCAGCCTGGGCAACATAGCGAGATTTAATCTCCACTAAAAATAAAAAAATTACCTGCGCGTGGTGATGCCTGCTTATAATCCCAGCTACTCAGGAGGCTGAGACAGGAGGATTGCTTGAGCCTGGGAGATGGAGGCTGCAGTGAGCTATGATAATGCACTGCACTCCAGCCTGGGTGACAGAGCAAGACCCTGTCTCAAACAAACAAACAAACAAACAAACAAAAAACAGGCTGGGCGCTGGGTCATGACTGTAATCCCTACACTTTTGGAGGCAGAGGCGGGCAGAACACCTGAGGTCAGGAGTTTGAGACCAGACTGGCCAACATGGTGAAACCCCATCTCGACTAAAAATACAAAAAAAATTAGCCAGACGCGGTGGCACACGCCTGTAATTCCAGCTGCTGGGGAGGCTGAGGCAGGAAAATCACTTGAACCCAGGAGGTGGAGGTTGCAGTGAGCCAAGATAGCGCCACTTCACTCTAGCCTGGGCAACAGAGGGAGACTTTGTCTCAAAAAAAAACAAAAGATTAGTTCAGCTGGGCCAAAAGAGTGGACCCACACAGAGGAAAACAGAACCAGGCCTGGCACGGTGGCTCACAACTGTAATCCCAGCACTTTGGGAGGCCAAGGTGGGTGGATCACTTGAGGTCAGGAGCTTGAGACCAGCCTGACCAACATAGGGAAACTCCATCTCTACTAAAAATACAAAATTAGCTGGGCATGGTGGCACATGCCTCTAATCCCAGCTACTTGGGAGGCTGAGGCAGGAGAACAGCTTGAATCCAGGAGGCAGAGGTTGCAGTGAGCCGAGATCACATTACTGTACTCCAGCCTGAGCTTCTGGATCCAGCCATTCCTGAAGCTAGACTCACCTGCCTTTTAAGTTATGTAGGCCAAAAATTTATTCCCTTTTGTGCTTGTCTATTTGTTTTCTTGTTTGTTTGTTTGTTTGTTTTTTCAGACAGGGTCTCACTTTGTTGCCCAGGCTGGAGTGCAGTGGCATGATCATGCTCACTGAAGCCCCAACCCTTAGGCTCAGGTGATCCCCCCACCTCAGCCTTCCAGGTAGCTGGGACTACAGGTGTGCATCATCATGCCTGGCTAATGTTTTGTGGTTTTTGTAGAGACAGGATTCATCCTGTTGCTCAGGCTGGTCTCAAACTCCTGGGCTCAAGTGATCCGCCCCCCTCAGCCTCCCAAAGTGCTGAGATTACATGTGTGCACCACCGTGCCTGGCCTGCCTAAATCTATTTCAAGTCCTTTTTCTGTTCCTGGTTCTGACTGAGACTGCAGCTTCTGTGAGTCCAATGCGAGACTGGGCCCGCTACATATGTGGCTTCTAGTTCTTTTTTTTTTTTTTTTTTTTTTTAAACAGAGTCTCGCTAGGTCTCCCAGGCTAGAGTGCAGTGGTACGATCTTGGCTCACTGCAACCTCCGCCTCCCAGGTTCAAGTGATTCTCCTGCATCAGCCTCCAGAGTACCTGGGACTACAAGCGTGCGCCACTACGCCCAGCTAATTTTTGTATTTTTAGTAGAGATGGGGTTTCACCATGTTGGCCAGGCTGGTCTCGAACTCCTGACCTCAGATGATACTCCCACCTTGGCATCCCAAAGTGCTGGGGTTATAGGCGTGAGCCACCACGCCTGACCGGCTTCTAGTTCTTGACAGCATCCTGTGAGGTCAGAGAAGAAATAAAGACAGAGAGCAGGGACAGCAGCTGCCCTAGCAACTTATGCACCAAAACTCAGGCCTCACAGCCGACCTCAGCTGCTTTCACACACTGAGTTTTGTAGGCTTTAAATGAAGTTAGCCAGGCGTGGTGGCTCACGCCTGTAATCCCAGCACTTTGGGAGGCTGAGGCGGGCGGCTCACCTGAGGTCAGGAGTTTGAGACCAGCCTGACCAACATGGAGAAACCCCGTCTCTACTAAAAATACAATATTAGCCGGGCGTGGTGGCACATGCCTGTAATCTCAGCTACTCGGGAGGCTGAGGCAAGAGAATCGCTTGAACCTAGGAGGTGGAGGTTGCAGTGAGCCAAGATTGCGCCATTGCACTCCAGCCTGGGCAACAAAAGTGAAACTCCATCTCAAAAAAATACATAAATAAATAAATAAAATAAATGAAGTTAATAAGTGTCAACTGCCTTACTTCTAAGAAGTGCTCCGTAATTGATGCCACTTACCCTAATCAATTACATGTATCTTTTTTTTTTTTTCTTTTTTGAGACACAGTTTCGCTCTGTTACCCAAGCTGGAGTACAGTGTTGCGATCTCTGTTCACTGCAACTTCCAACCTCCGCCTCCCTGGTTCAAGCAATTCTCCTCCTACTTCAGCCTCCCGAGTAGCTGAGATTACAGGGGTGTACCACGACGCCTAGCTAATTTTTTCTTTTTTTTGAGATGGAGTTTCGCTCTGTCTCCTAGGCTGGCGTGCAGTGGTGAGATCTCGGCTCACTGCAGCCTTCACCTCCTAGGCTCAAGCGATTTTCCTGCCTCAGCCTCCTGAGTAGCTGTGACTACAGGTGTAGGCCACCACACCCGGCTAATTTTTGTATTTTTAGTAGAGACGGGGTTTTGCCATGTTGGCCAGGTTGCTTTCGAACTCCTGACCTCAAGTGATCCTCCTGGCTCGGCTTCGCAAAGTGCTAGGATTATAGGCGTGAGCCACTGCACCTGGCCCTGTAGGCTTTAAATGAAATTCGTATGTGTCAACATACGTTAATATGTTAGTATGTTAACATATGTTAATATGTGTCTCACTAAGAGGTGCTCCATAAATGCCACTTACCCTGATCACTTACATATATCTGCACTAAGCCAGTTTCCAGACACAGGAAGATGGAAGAGAAAAGATTTTGGGGACTAGCAGGGGTTACAGCAAGGAGCCATCCTGGGCATGTGCAGAAGTAAGTCTGCTGCTCTTCCTACTCACCCCCATTCACCCCGCGGCCCGCCTGGCATGAAACTTGATCCATCCTAAACCCTGGTGATGAGTCAGAGGAAGCAGCCAGCCCGCTCATTGTGCAATGGCCAGACAGCAGCCCAAGCCCCGCTTCTTGCTCCACTGACCCCCAGCCCTGAGAAGGGCGAGGCTTCAGTGTCCAGTGACCCGGGCAGAAACCAACCCTGAGGTTTTCACTTTCTTCCTTCATCAAAGGAACTTGCTGTCACCCAGTGTGGTCCAACACTGCTCCTCACAGCAGCCCTGCGGGCTTTGCAAAGCAGGGCAGATCCCACACTCCCATCGCACTTAAAAAAAAAAAAAATCTAAAGGCTTGGCGCAGTGGCTCATGCCTGTAATCCCAGCACTTTGGGAGGCAGAGGCAGGTGGGTCACCTGAGGTCAGGAGTTCAAGACCAGCCTGGCCAACATGGTGAAACCCCGTCTCTTAAAAAAAAAAAAAAATGAAAATTAGCTAGGCATGATGGTGGGTGCCTGTAATCCCAGCTACTCGGGAGGCTGAGGCAGGAGAATCGCTTGAACCCGGGAGGTGGAGGTTGCAGTGAGCCGAGATCGCACCATTGCACTCCAGCCTGGGAGACAGAGTGAGACTCCATCTCAAATAAAAAAAAAATACCCTCCTCCTGGCGGCTCCACATGCTTATGCTCGGCTCGGCTCTCGCTCCAGCCACACGGGCCTCTTCGCTGTTCCCTCTGCCTGGATTGCGCTCCTCCAAGATGCTTTCGTGGCTGGCTCCTTCTCGACTTGCAGGCCTCTGCTCTGAGAGACCCTCCTGAAGGGTCTAGCTGAAGTGGACCTCCAGCGTCTCTTCCCATGACCCAGAAACATCCCATTCTCTGAAGGCAGCTGTTTGTGCGGTCTCATCTGATCCCTTGTAGATTGAGCTGAGATTATGTTCGCCTTTCCCAAAGAGGCCAGGGCCAGGCCAGAGTTCCCTGTGTGCCTGTGGAATGTGGAAAGGGCACAGACACACGTGATTTCTTATGTGTTTTTGTTCATTCGTTTGTGCGTTTTTAAGACAGAGTCTTGCTCTGTCACCCAGGCTGGAGTGCAGTGGCGCGAACTCGGCTCACTGCAACCTCCACCTCCACACCTGTAATGTCAGCACTTTGGGGGACTGAGGTGGGCGGATCACCTGAGGTCAGGAGTTTGAGACCAGCCTGGCCAACATGGTGAAACACCGTCTCTACTAAAAATGCAAAAAAAACATTAACTAGGCGTGGTGGTGCACGCCTGTAAACCCAGCTACCTGGGAGGCTGAGGAAGGAGAATTGCTTGACCCGGGAGATCAAGAAACTCTTGAGCATTTCTGTGTGGTCCAACACTTATCAGTTGTCAAGCTGTGTGACAATGGAAAACTGTCTTCACCTCTCTGAGCCGCACTGCCCTCCTCTGCTAAATGTGGACAGTGGTGCTCCTCATAGCAGGCTCTTGGAAAGATGAAACAGATAACACATGGAAAGCACTTAGCTCAGTGCCTGCTTCATCCAAGCACTCAGCAACTGTTAGGAAAGCAAAACGCTACTTCGCCATGTTAGTTTTCATGCTTTGCTTCTCAGCTCTTCCTTATATGGGATCTTAGTCGATTTGGGGTACCCACGTCGTGTGGAGGTGAATTAGGGCCATTGGAGCTGAGAGGCAAAGAGGAAAACAATCCCTGGTCTGTCTTTGACTTCCAAAAGAGGCTCTCATCGTACAGAGTTTTTAAAGGGCAAAGCAAAAGCTGGGTCTGATCATGAAGAGAGAGGGAAAGGACCCAAGAGAAGCCAGCGATGCCCCTCCTTACGATAAGGTTACAGGAGGACCCAGGCCCCTCGTCCTCCCACCCAGGCTTTAGTGGTGGATGGAGGGTGGGACGGGGTGGGCCGCCAAGGAGGGTAGTGAGAGGCTGGAACTGGGCAGGCGGGGGACCCATGGTTCAAGTCTAGGGACCCAGCCACTTGTGCTGAGGGATAGATAGCTGAAGTGCGTGTTGGAAAACTGGTTGGTTGGCTGGATGCATTGGCTTGTGCCTATATTCTCAGCACTTTGGGAGGCAGAGGCAGGAGGACTGCTTGAGCTCAGGAGTTTGAAACCAGCCTGGGCAACATAGAGAGACTTGGGCATGCTCCCAGGGACACCTACAGTGTCCATGCCCTGAAACTTGGCCAAGGCCCCATTGACCTCCCTACATCCAGACCCCCATCCTGCTTTCCAAGATCCTGGGGCACTCACAGCCCCCACTCACCTGAAACAAACAAACAAAAAAGAGGGATATCTCGACCTCCAGGGGGCAGTGGCTGCTAAGGAGATGCAGAACGGGCCTTTCTTTTTGGTTGCCAGCATCAGGGTCCCCATCCAAGTTTGGGGAGTCCCCCCACAGAGGGAAGTTGGTCACCCTGCTAACAAGAGAGGCCCCCAAGCCAAGGGTGACCCATCGAACTATTGGCCGCGGTTCCCACCTATTCCTGCATCCCTGCCCTCTACAGTTCTTCCTTCCAGGTGGAAGACACTTCCCCATTCCAGATGTGGGGCTCAGCCATGTCATTTGCTTGGCCAAAGACTTATGGGCAGGTCAGGCATAGTGGCTCATGCCTGTAATCCCAGCACTTTGGGAGGCCAGGGCAGGTGGTTGACTTGAGGCCAGGAGTTCGAGACCAGCCTGGCCAACAAAGCGAAACCCCGTCTCTATTAAAAATACAAAACTTAGCCAGGTGTGGTGGCACATACCTGTAATCCCAGCTACTCGAGAGGCTGAGGCAAGAGAATCGCTTGATCTTGGGAGGTGGAGGTTGCTGTGAGCCGAGATTGCACCACTGCACTCCAGCCTGGGTGACAGAGCGAGATTCAGTCTCAAATAAATAAATAAATGAATAAGCTGCTCTTGGTGGCATGAGCGTATAGTTCTAGCTAGTCAGGAGGCTAAGGTGGGAGTATCACTTGAGCCCAGGAGGTCGAGGCTGCAGTGAACCATGATTGTGCCACTGCACTCCAGCCTGGGCAACAGAGCAAGACTCCATCTCAAAATAAAAAAAAAAAAGACTTACGGGCAGATGTGATAGTGTTTGAGTCCCGAACTGAGACCCTACGAGGCCTCACGTGATTCCACTTGTCCTCAGACACTTGCAGGAGGAAAATGTGCCCTGGCTAGCTGCTGTTCCAGCAGGAGGCAAGAACCCGTGGAGCAGGGACTCTGGGCTACTCTGCATCCTTGCACCTGTAAGCAGAGCTGCCCAGCCGAGGCCCGCCTAGAGCAGACACCACCTCTGCTGACTCACAGACATGTGAAAAACAAACGCTTATTGTTGCATGCCATTGAGACTTGGGGGTGTTTGTTGCACAGCAGTGGCTGACTAATACACACGAATGTACTCACTTTCACCACTCCTGGGACAGCTGGGGAATGGCGTGGGATACTGGTTGGGCCTCCGGGATGTTTCCATGCAGGCACAAGTGCTACAGAGAAACAGCATCGGGGCAGGGCCATCTGTTTTCTAGGGGCAGCTGTGGCTGAGTGCCCAGGGCAGATGGCAGTGCCAACGGAGGCGTCTGGATTCTGCAGTGGTGGCAGGATCGTCCTCTGGCATAATTTCAGCTGAAGGCCTAGTTGCCTCACGCCTTTGATTCCCTTGTTTACTTTTTTCTTTTTTCTTTTTTTTTTTTTTTTGGAGACAGGGTCTCACTGTGTTACCCAGGCTGGAGTGCAGTGGCACAATCACAGCTCACTGCAGCCTTGATCTTCAGGGCTCAACCTATCCTCACCTCACCCTCCTGTGTAGCTGGGACTACAGGTGCATGCCACTATGCCAGGCTAATTCTTCTATTTTTTGTAGAGACAGGGTTTTGCTGTGTTGCTGGTCTCCAACTCCTGAGCTCAAGAGATCTGCCTGCCTCAGCCTCCCAAAGTGCTGGGAATACAGTCTCTAAACCAAAAAAAAATAAAGAAAGAAAGAAAGAGAGAGGCATAGTCATGCCCCCTCCCAGAAATCATGGGCCACCAGTCATAACATCCTGGCACCTCTGACCTCCAGTCTCCTTGTTATGAGAAATAATGTCTGCACTGCAGAAAACACTAATGGCCAGATATGCTTGTCACCAAGCAGTTCCAAAATTATAATGTAAATGTGACAGATGCTGGAGTATTCCCATCTCATGTCAGGGTTTTTACTTGTAAGCAACAGAAACTGACTCTAGACAATTTATTTACTTAAATTTTTTTTGAGATGGAGTCTTGCTATGTTGCCCGGGCTAGAGTGCAGTGGTGCAATTTTGGCTCACTGCAGCCTCCACCTCCCAGGTTCAAGCAATTCTCCTGCCTCAGCCTCCCGAGTAGCTGGGATTACAGGCATTAATCACCACACCTGGCTAATTTTTCTATTTTTAGTAGAGGCAGGGTTTCACCATGTTGGCCAGGCTGGTCTTGAACTCCTGACCTCAAGTGATCTGCCTGCCTCAGCCTCCCAAAGTGCTGGGATTACAGGCGTGAGCCGCTGCATCCAGCCTGGACAATTTAAATAGCCAATGTGTGTATTGCAAAACTGGTTGGTTGGCTAGGTATGGTGGCTCATGCCTCTAATCCCGGCACTTTGGGAGGCCAAGGCAGGAGTGTTGCTTGAGCCCAGGAGTTCAAAACCCGCCTGGACAACATAGTGAGACTCTGTCTCTATTTAAAAAAAAAAAAAAAAAAAAAAGCCCAGGCGTGGTGGCTCACGCCTGTAATCCCAGCACTTTGAGAGACCAAGGTGGGCAGATCACTTGAGGTCAGGAGTTCAAGACCGCCTGGCCAACATGGCGAAACCTCGTCTGTACCAAAAATACAAAAATTAGCCAGGAGTAGTGGCATGCACCTGTAATCCCAGCTACTCAGGAGGCTGAAGCAGGAGAATCGCTTGAACCCAGGAGGCAGAGGTTGCAGTGAATTGAGATGGTGCCATTGCACTCCAGCCTGGGCAACAGAGTAGACTCCGTCTCAAAAAAAAAAAAAAAATTGTTTGGTAGCTCACAGAAGTGATGAGAAGGCTGGAAAACCAGGCTCAGAAAAACAGGCTGGAGTGCAGTGGTACAATCACAGCTCCTTGCAGCCTAGAACTCCTGGGCTCAGGTGATCCTCCCACTTCAGCCTCCCTGAGTGGCTGGGACTACAGGCGTGTGTCACCCTGACGAGCTTTTTTTTTTTTGTAGAGATAAGTTCTCACTATGTCACTCAGGGCTGGTCTTGAACTCTTGGACTCAAGCAACCCTCCTGCCTCGGCCTCCTAAAGCTCTGGGATTACAGGTGTGAGCCACTGCGCCCAGCCTGAGTGTGCTCTCTTAACTTGCTCCTCCTGGCCACAAGATGGCTGCAGAAGCCCCTGGCATTGTGTCCTCATAAGAAGCAGTAAGGAAGGGAAGGGGGCAACAAGGCCTCTCTCTCCCTTGTCCAGAAACACCCGACCCCTTCAAGCTTGCTGGCCAGAGCTGGGAAACACGCCCAGATTACAAACAACCCCGGCAAAAGGCATTGCCAAGAACGGCTCAGCTGAATCTTAACCCCAGAGGCTGGGCACGTTGCTGCTGGCACCAAATCAGGGATCTGATGGTGAGGAGGGAGGAATGGCTGCCCGGCTGGCCACCAGAATGAGAGCGACAGGAAGACGAGAACAAAGCAGGGGCCTTGCTGGGGGTGGAGCACGGCTTGGTGCCCTCCTTTCCCCGGGGTTTGCACACAGAAGGTGCCCACGGCCACTAGTGTGAAGAAGGCTGCCCTCACCTTCCCGCCCCAGCACCTCTCCTTTGTGCAGCAAACATTCGAGCTATGCTCCGTCGGTGCCAGGCTCTGTGTTAGGCGCCAGGCCGCTGAGATCCACGGTCAGGCGCCCCGAGGAAGAGCAGGGTCCGAGGCTGCACCGTGCAAAGTGAATCTCCAGGGCCCGTGAGAACGGACGAGCTGGAGCTGCTTCCTCGGAGACAGAGCCAGGGGCAGGTTTCCAAGCTGGCCAGGTCCGGGGCGGATTCCCACCTCACACGGCTCCCCAGAGGCCCCCTTGGCCCTCACTTGCTGAGAGGCCCCAGAAGTCGCACTTGGCCTCCCTCTTGCGGGCCTGCATCTGACCGTCCCGAGAGACAGCGTTTTCCCACAGCCTGAGCCCAGGTGCAAGGGAGGCTCCTGCAGCCGGCGTCCAGGCCTCAGCGAGTAGGCAGGGCATCTGGAAGTAGACAGGCTTCCCCCAGGCTCGGGGCGGTGCCGGGCTCCAGACCCCTTTGGGCCGCCAGGCAGATTGGGCTACGCTGGTCCAGGGGTGCATGCACAGATATGTGTGTGTGTGCATATGTGTGAGCTTGTGTTTCACTGTGTGCGGGTGAGCGTGTGAACGCGCTGCAATGCGTGGGTATGGGCAAGCATGCGTGTGCAGGCGTGCACGAGCACGGCCATGTGAATGTGCGTGTTGCGGCATGCGTGTGCAGGTGTGTGCATGAGCATGTGCGAGTGTGCGCAGGCATATTCTGCCTCTGAAGGACACAAACGTTCACAAAGTGAAGATTCAAGCCAGTTTCTGCTAAATTAAAAACAGCTTTTTCATGTTTAAAGTTTACAATACGAAAAATAATTTTCCTTTCTTGGGGGGATGCGGGGGGAGGCTGAGGGAGGGGCAGGGGGCCCCACGAACATTCCACGAACCGGCCTAGACGGTTATGCACAATCGATCCGGTTAGATACAGCAGCGCCCCCCGCCCTGGGCCGGCGCCCCTGCCAGCTCACTGGGGACAAGATGTTCTGAGGTGTGAGCTGATCCAGGGGACTTGCAGCTGGCAAAGCTTCTCACTGCTCCCCTGAAGGGGCCATGCCTCCAGTGGGGAAGGGTTCTCTTTGGGGGAGCTCAGGTCGGGGGTGGGGCTGGAATGTTCTGGTAAGTCCCCAGGGAACTCGGCTTTTGTCTCGATGCCCCTGACAGTGTGGGCTTCTTTTAGGTTCCCAACCATGTTCCTATTTTAGCACTGCCCACCCCCTCAGCCTCTAGTGTTACCCCAGCCCCGATGGCTGCCACACAGGAGCGCCAGGCATGCAGGCACAGCAACTTATGGAGATCCATGTGTGTGTGATATCCCAGGGCCTCCCTTCTGGGAAGGCCGTCCGGGAACATCAGGCTTTCTCTGCTAACCTGCAACTGATAAGTGGCCTGCTCTGGGCAGCCCAGTTCATAGTTTGGCCGGCCATGATGAGAATAGGGGGCTGAAGGCTCTTCCAAAGTGCCAAGGTTGGTCCGGGCATGGTGGCTCACACCTGTAATCCCAGCACTTTGGGAGGCAGAGGCAGGTGGATCACCTGAGGTCAAGAGTTCAAGGCCAGCCTGGCCAACATGGTGAAACCCCGTCTGTACTAAAAATACAAAAATTAGCCGGGTGTGGTGGTGTGTGTCTGCGTCTGTAATCCTGGCTACTTGGGAGGCTGAGGCAGGTGAATTGCTTGAACCCAGGAGGCAGAGGTTGCAGTGAGCCGAGATCACGCCACTGCACTCCAGCCTGGGTGACAGAGCGAGGCTCCGTCTCAAAAAAACAAAAAAACCAACAACAAAAAACGCCAGGGTGAAAGTCCTGGCCACGCTTCCTGCTGCCTCTGCGCCCCTGAGCCAAAGCCCAGCCCACTGCCGACTCCTCTGAAAGGCTGGAAAAGGTTGAGGCGGGGGAGAGGAGCCCCCAGACACGCGGAGGACACACGAGGAATCTGTGACCAATCAGACCCAAGCCGCACAAGCTCAGTGCTGGGCCGGCTCCATCTCTTCACCATAACATTTTTATTAAATAAAGGGAAATATTAGGAGACGATGTCTGCTAAGATAGGAGGTTAATTCTTTACATGGTGAGTGGGTCACAGAGACAAGACATCAATCGTCTGTTAGCAGCGAGAGAGACACTTTAAGTTGCCCCAAGAGTACAAATCCCATCTATGAGACAGCAGTGCTGGCTTCTTAAAAACAGTAAAACCAATCAAAAAGAAAAGATTTAGAGGTTCAGACATTAGAACAAATGTGGCCAGAGATACCACAGAGCCCTTGAAGGGAAAGGCCTCACTGCTGGCTCCGTAGCAATGTTGACCCAAAAACAGGGCAGGCCAGGGAGTGGCAGGGCGCGGAGGGGTGGAAAGGAGGGAGGAGAAAAAAGACACCCCACCAGACCTGCGGCAAGCGCCACTATGGGATTCTGAAGTTAGCGTCGCCCTCCAATTGCGGGAAGGGGACTGCCTGGCCAACAGGGCAAATGTAGAGGGCCGGGATGTCTCAGCCAGTTAAGGCCCCACAAGATGCTCAGTGCCAAATGGAAGGTCCCAAGCCCCTAAGGAGCGTTTCTAGGAGTTGATATGGTTTTTCCTCCGGAAAGCAGATGAAGGCAGGAACTGAGGCATGACCAGGGCCTCCCCTCAGCAGCTTGGGATGGGGGAAGGAGGGCACCCCAGGGGAGGCAGACACGTGCCCTCCTCCTCCACCCACCCCAAACCAGGGGCTTCTAAGCCACCTCTCACTGCTCCTGGAGGTCCGTGTGTTACGGACGTTTCGGGTGAGTTTATTTTAAAAACACGCGCGCAGGAGACTTGGAAGGAGGGTGAGTCATATACCACCGACTTTGGGTTCAATGTTGATGAGCTCACATCTGAATGCCTGAAACCGTGGGGCTGGGAGGCAGTAGAGAAGTGAGATGGAGCTGCACAGGGACCCCCTGGAGACCTGGGATTCCACCCGCCAGCCCGTGGGGACTCGGGGGCCAGGCGAGGAAACCACCCCGGGGACGAATTTGCTGCCACCACATGTCAGACGCTTTGCCGGCAGGCTCCCTCGGATGGACTCGCAGCCAGGATCTGCTTTGGGAAGGAGGGAGGGAGGGACCCCTGGGAGGGGGGCTTATCAACGCAGCAGGCCCCTCAAGGGCAGCCCGGGCGAAGGGGGGCACTGGGGTTCTCAGGCAGACGTGCATTCGCCAAGCCCCACTTGGAGACAACATGCGGTCAGGCCAGGGTCCCGGGGGTCTTGGGGGCTACCTCCTGGTCCCGGCCCGGGGCAGCAGGACGGGGGCGCAGGCTATGCCTGCGAAGGACTCCGGGAAGTGCAGGTCCCGCTCCCACTCGTCGGTGTCCGTGTTGTACACCTGTACGATGCCCGTGACGTTGTTGAGACGCCAGTTGTAGCCCCCGACGATGTAGATCTTCCTCTCCAGCAGGCAGCAGCCGGCCTCTGACTGGCCGGCCCGCATGGGGCTCACGCTGGTCCACTGGTCCGTCTCCGGCACATAGTACTCCACAGCCAGCACGTCGAAGCAGCGGTCCACGTGGTCCATGCGGCCCCCGAGGGCATAGATGCGGCCGCCGGCACCCACCATGGCGTGTAGCACGCGGGGTTCGCTCATGGGCGCCTTGAACTCCCACTGGTCGGCCACGGGGTCGTAGCAGTGCAGGGCCTTCTTGTCCTCCACTGAGATCCCGTAGCCACCCGAGATGTAGAGGCGGCCCCCTGAGGCGGCCCCAGCATGGCCCCAGGTACGGCGCTTCAGCGAGCAGGCGTAGCCCCACTCATTGCGCCGGGGGCAGTACCGCTCCACGGAGGCCAGGCTGCCGGCTCGGTTGCGGCCGCCCGTGGCGTACACCATGCCGCACAGCACGTTCAGCTGGAACTGGATGCGGCTTTCCTGCATGGCCTGCAGGCGCAGCCAGCGATTCAGGTGGGGGTCGTAGCGGTAGCAGGCGTCCACTGCGCCCTCGCCGCTGCGGTACTGCAGGTGCTGCCCCCCGGCCACGTACACAAAATTGTCCAGCACGGCCACGCACGTGTGGCTGCAGCCTACCTCCATCTCCGTGAGCTCGCGGAAGTGGCGGGCTCCCGGCTCAGGCAGCTGGTAGACCTTGCTGCTGACCGAGCGGTCGCTGTCGGTGTAGGGCGTGCCGCCGAAGGTGACGAGCGAGGGCACATCCGAGCGCACGGCGGTGCGCGGAGACTGCATCTCGTGCTGCCGGAAGGGCAGCACCTGGTAGTTGAAGGCCTCCAGCAGATACTGGCGGCACAGCACGTCCTCCACCATGATGTCCAGCGTCTGCACGCTGTCCACCAGCTCGGACGACTGCATGAGCGGGAAGCGAATGTGGCAGAGCACGTGGCTGGCGCGCGGCCGCCGGGCCGGGTCATGCTGCAGCCAGCGGACGGCCGCGCGGAACAGGTCGATCTCGGCACAGCTCTGCAGCCGGTTGCTCTGCAGGAAGAAGACCAGGCGCTCCAGTGGCAGGCGCAGGAAATCCTCCTCCTCGGCGATCTGCAGGAAGTGCCGGAAGGTGAAGGCATCCACCGACTCTCGCAGCGAGGCCAGGCTGAAGGTGGTGGCCATCTGGCCGATGTTGAGGCAGGTCTCCACGCTCATGGCCGCCTTCAGGAACTCCTCGCACAGCTCCACCACGGGCAGCATCTGCAAGAACACGGCCGCGCCCAGCACGTCCTGCACGCAGTCCAGGTCCAGTGTCACCTCGGCGCTGTAGGCGAAGTCGATGATGTGCCGCAGGCCACGGGCCGACACGCCCTTCAGCTCGATGACGTCCTGGCTTGCCTCCCGCATGCCGCCGGTGAACATGGCCCTGAAGGGCAGAAACACAACGTGTGGCTGGCAGTGGCTGAGGGGTGTTTTGGCCAGCCAGGAATGATCTGGCCTGGGGAACAGTAGCCTGGGGACACAGAACACAGGGCACAGCCAGCAAGAGGAAAGTAGGCGGAATGCTCATTAAAAACATGCAAAGGGGCCGGGCGCGGTGGCTCATGCCTGTAATCCCAGCACTTTGGGAAGCCCAGGCGGGTGGATCATGAGATCAGGAGATCGAGACCACTGGCACTGCACTCCAGCCTGGGTGACAGAGTGAGACTCAGTCACAAAAACAAACAAACAAACAAACAAACAAAAACATGCAAAGGCCAGGCACAGTGGCTCACGCCTGTAATCCTAGCACTTTGGGAGGCCGAGGTGGGTGGATCACCTGATGTCAGGAGTTCAAGACCAACCTGGAGGTTGCAGTGAGCCGAGATCATGCTGCACTGCAGCCTGGACAATAAGAGTGAGACTCTGTCTCAAACAAACAAAAAAAACATGCAAAAAAAAAAAAAGATTTTGAATCCACCCAAGCCATGCATCTTCCTATAAATAGCAACTCCCTGCTTGGCCCCTCTGCAGAGGACCCTGCCCCTGCCCCTTCATGACTAGATCGTGTTGGAGCTGCAGGAGCGGTGGCCCGGGTCAGCCTCACCCACAATGTGCCTGTCGGGGGTGCGGTTAGAGGGGCCAGGTATGGCAGTGCAGGATGAGAACACACCCTGTGGCTCTGGGGACAGATCTGCAGCCCCACTTGACACCTGAGCTCAGGAACTGCAAGGCCAGTGCTCTGGAGGTGCCATGCACCACAGTTCAACCCTCACCTTGTTCACTGACCTAAGCAGGCAGCTCTGATATGCCCAGCCTGAGTCTCAACAACCATCATGTGAAGAGGGGAAGGTAATGAGGGTCCCCAGGAATGGAGCCCCCACCAGGAGGCTGTGCTGGGGTGACTGCTGTCTCCAGAGACAGGCTCAGGTGGTCGGGGAAGCACCTCCCACCCAACAGCTACGTCCCCAGCCTCCATTGAGACCCCAGCTCCGCCCTTGTACTGCTGTGCTCTGCGAGGCAGAACATGAGAGTGGGAGGGGACACAGGCCCCCGTGAGGGAGGGCAGCGGGGAGGCACACGGTTCTAGGTCACAGTTCCCCTACAGCGTTTAGGGTGTTCCCCAGCAGAAGAGGGGAGAGCACCCCAGCTCCAGGGGAATGGGCGGTTCCTTCCAGGAGGCGCAATGGCATGGCATAGTAACTCTCACTCCTGCCAGTGCACCTCCCCTGATGGCCGTCCGAGGAGGAGGGAACATCCCTTGTGCATTTGACCCACAGAGGCCTGTCCCCTAGTCTTGCACCTCCTGTGAGCCAGGCTCAGGGCTACAGGGGCAAGGACAGCTGCCAGGGCACTATCTCGGGGCCGCCCACTGACATCTGCCCAACAAGCAGCTCTTCAGCATCTCTGAGCGGTCCAGGAGCAGTAAGTACGCTGCCAGCTCCCCAGACCCTGCCCCGCTTGTCCCCACGGGTCCACGCTGGCCCTCGGGCATGATGCGATGAAGGCAGAGGCGGTCGCAGGCGACAGGAGGGAGCTTTGCCTTTTAAGGTCTCGCTGGCTGCAGTGCCAGCACAGGGGAGCCTTTAAAGGGCATTGCTGGCTGGGCTGGCCCACCCGTCCCCAAATCCAGAATAAAAATAGAAGCGGCGCCCCAGTTGGCTCGGCTGCTGCGGCCCCCACAACAGCCTCATTGAGCCCATGGGGCAGGCGGCCCGGGCCTCGGGGAATGTGTGGCTGAGCGGCACACCTGGGCTGGGGCCTGGGAGCCTCCCCAGGGCGGCCCAGCTCTCTCTGGCGGGGTCACCACCTGGCAGGAAGGAGGCTCACCTGCTGGTCACCCAGGGAGGGAGACCACTCAGCCCTGCAACAGCCCCCAGCTGGCGAGGAGAAAGCACCCCCCACCCCACAGCCCTGCTCTGTGGTGCTCTCACTTCCGGCCCGGCCACGGCACAGGGACAGACAGACAGTGCCCGCCATGGCCTCTTCTGTCACGTTGGGGAAGTGCCCACAGCTCAGGGAGACAGGGAGGAGAACTCATCTGGGCCTCAGACAGAGCCCAGGACATGGTGTTGGCAGACACAGGGTCTCTGCGGCCCTCGATGCCCCTCCAGTCCCCCAGCTGTCCTGCTCCAGGTGTCCTGAGGGGATGCCCTGAGGGCAGGGGCTTGTGCCCATTTCACTGTCATCCCTGCTGCATCCCAAGGACTAGAATAGTGCCTGGCATACAGCAGGCGTCAAGTAAAGACAGATTGGGCTGGGCGCAGTGGCTCACGCCTGTAATCCCAGCACTTTGGGAGGCTGAGGCAGGTGGCTCATGAGGTCAGGAAATCAAGACCATCCTGGCTAACATGGTGAAACCCCGTCTCTACTAAAAATACAAAAAATTAGCCAGGTGTGGTGGCATGCGCCTGTAGTCCCAGCTACTCGGGAGGCTGAGGCAGGAGAATCGCTTGAACCCGGGAGGCGGAGGTTGCAATGAGCCAAGATTGTGCTACTGCACTCCAGCCTGGGCGACACAGCGAGACTTTGTCTCAAAAAAAAAAAAAACAAAACAGATCAAAAACCTGGCCAAGCCCTGCCACCCTGCATGCAGGGTAGAAGTGAGTGGGTGCCCACAGGCCATCTCTGTCCCTCCAGGCATGTTCTGCCCAAAGAGAGTAAGATGCAAACTCCGGGAAACCTGCAGGTTTACTGGACATTAAACCTCTCTCTAAAATCAGAAGGGGCCCGGAGCGGTGGCTCACGCCTATAATCTCAGCACTTTGGGAGGCCAAGGCAGGCAGATCACGAAGTCAGGAGTTCAATACCAGCCTGGCCAACATGGTGAAACCCCGTCTCTACTAAAAAATACAAAAAAAATTAGCTGGGCATGGTGGCGGGTGCCTGTACTCCCAGCTACTCGGGAGGCTGAGGCAGGAGAACTGCTTGAACCCAGGAGGCGGAGGTTGCAGTGAGCCGAGATTGTGCCACTGCACTCCAGCCTGGGCAACAGCGCGAGACTCCATCTCAAAAAAAAAAAAAGAGCAGCCGGTACCAGCCGTTCTCCCTCGAAGCTGTCCCTGGGTAGCGCTGAGACAGGCCCCCTTTAGAAAGTGGGTGCCATCTGCCCTGTCCCTGTCCCAACAGGCAGCCGCCCCTTCCAGCTGCCTGGGGCCAGCACTTACCTGAAGTAGTCGCTGCAGGCAGCCAGGACGACCTTGTGTGCAGGAAAGGCCTCTCTGTTAATAGTCAGCACAACATCGAGGAGCTGGCCCTGAGCGCGGAGGGTGGCCAGGCCCTGCAGGAGGCTGGTGCTGTGGCTGGGTGCCGAGAAGGTGCACTTGAGGGCCCCGTTCTTGTCGGCCGTGCTGCGGGGAAAGCAGAGGTGGGGACATGGCCCAGAGGTTCACACACACACTATTACCTTGAACACAACACTCAGTGCAAGAAGCCAGACACAAAAGGCCGCACTGTGTATGACTCCACTGACGTGAAATGCCCAGAACAGGCAAATCCGCAGAGACAGGAAGCAGATGGGTGCCACCAAGGGCTGGGGGAGGGGAGGGGGGAGTGACTGCTGATGGGGTGGGGTCTCCTTTTGGAGGGATGAGAATGTTCTGGAACTAGACAGAGGTGGTGTTTGCATACCACTGTGAATCTACTAAATGCCACTGAATTGTCCACTTTCAGACAGTTTTATGTCACGTGAATTTCACTTCAATAAAAAAACCAAAGGACACACGGGAGCCTTCTCAAGTCCCCTGCAAGCCCCGCCACAGCCCCCTGCACCCCAGAGTATACGAGCCCTCTGTGGTCCAGCCCCCACTGCCCCTACTGCCCCCTCATCCCCTCTTCTCCAGCCCCACCACCCCTTTGCTATTTCATTTGGGGAAACTGTTGAACGGATCAATGAATTAATAGCTTAGGAGCCGTTAACACACCACTTCTTCCTCAGAACACAACAGGGGGTGGACCCTGGTGCCACCTCCAGGATCAGTCCCCTCTAAGACCCCCACCCCCACCGGGCTGAGGCACCCTGCTCTGTCCTGGTGGCCTCTGCCCTCTGGAATTTGCTCTCCCATTCCTGGGACCCACGCCTGCCTGTAAGCAAAGGCCAGGAATGCGGGCACTGATCTTTCCAAGAAAGCGGGAGGAGACGGAAGGCTCCTTGGCCCCACTGCCAGCCAGCCCCAAAACCACAGTGGGCATTAAAGAGCCAACGTCAAACACAGGGCACACAGTGGGCACTCAGTCAACATAGCAGCTGCCACCGGAGGTCCCTGACCTCCCCTTCAGACCACCCTTCCAGAGACCCTTGGGAAAGGGTGAGTGATCAAGACAAACTGCCGGGGAGAGGGGCTTCAGGGCCAGGCGCTGACCACAGCCCTGCAAGGCACCACAGGCAGAGAAGTTGCCCAAGCCCCAGCCCTGCCTGCGAGGCACTGCATGTCCTAGAGGGTGGGGACATAGCACGAAGGACCCAGTGTGGGGCCTGTGCTCAGTGGAAAGCCTTTGAGTCCCTGGGGAAGCAGGACATATGCTACTCAGAGCCCAATGCCACGGTCATCTGGGCTGGCCAGCAATGCTGCGGTGCTGGGGGTGCTGGAGCCCAGACCTGGTGTTTGCCTGGGAGGGTGGGGGTGCAGCCTTTTGAAAGCTGAGGAGGGCAGGGAAGGAAAGGGGTCCAGGTGCACCCTGAGACTCTGGCTTGTCCCCGTGGCCTTTCCCCTGCCAAGTGGAAGGGACGCTTACCTCCCCTCCTCCCTTCCTCCCCTCCCCACACATCGGCCCCGATCCCACTTGACCAGGCTGCTGCCCTGAGCCAAGCCTTGGCTCTTTTTTCCCTAGACCCATGACAGATCCAGATCCGAGGCTTGTGAGGAGCATGTCGCAGGCTCATGGGCCGCTCTCCCCTATCCAGCCCCCCACAGGGGTCCAGCACCTGCCTGGACATCTCCAGGGCAGGGTCTCATTGCTTCCCACGAATGGCATGCCCTCTCACCGACACCCTGCGACGGGTGTCCAGGCTGCCTGGGGCCAAAGCCGCATCCTGCATGTGCCTCTGAGGACCCTCAAGGTCTCTCCTTGTCCCCAGTTTGCCTCACTGGCTTTGCAAACTCCTCTTCCCTGCCCGTGCATGCAGGGATGCTGCGTAAATGAGACGAAGTAGGCCCCGTCCTCATGGGCACGCGGTCCAGGCAATGGGGACCAAAAGGGGTCAGATCACCCAGAATCAGCTTTGTGTTGCAGCTGTGGCAAGGGTTGTGCATTCGGGCTCTGGGTGACCCCTGCCGGCCTTTCTGTGGACACTTTGTCTCCCAGAAGTATGCATGGGCCTTGCCAGCCTTTGCCATTTTGATTTTGGTCTGGTTTTTCCTTAGAAGTTCAAGGAGATTTGCGGGGAGGGATGGGAGGACTTCTCGTGCCTCCTGTAAAGCCCTTGGAGGCAGGTGTGCATGTGTACATTTTCATCAGAAGAAACACGTTGCACTGGGACAAGTTCACCACGGGGCCACTCAGTCCTTAGGAGCATATTTACCATGCTCTTCCATATATAAAGAGCATCAAGAAATCAATACAAATTAGCCAGGCATGCTGGCATGAGCCTGTGTTCCCAGCTACTTGGGAGGCTGAGGTGAGAGGATCACTTGAGTTCGGGAGGTGGAGGCTGCAGTGAGCCATATTTGTGCCACTGCACTCCAGCCTGGGTGACAGAGTGAGATCGAAAGATGCACAAAGAATGTGGGCTAATGGTTCCCAGGAAAGCAAGCAGAGCTGGCTAGAAGGACGTAAGAGTCAGCCTCGCTTGCAGTCAGGGAAGCACACTCTCGGGGGGCTTATGAAGCAAGGTGACCCCCAGGAAGGCAGCTGCGTAGACTCAGCAACACTCTAAAGGCTCATGTCCTTTACCCAAGAACTCTATTTCTGAAACTTACCCAAATACAATCTCTAGGGGCCACAGACGAGAAATAAGCTAACCACCCTTAAAGGAGATTCGTGGAATCACAGCACCTTCTGAGTGAGGGCTGCCCTATAGATGGGTGAGGAGGCTGACGCATCCTGGGGAAGATGTTGCATGCAGGGGATGACGTCAAGGCTGCAGGAGGAAGGAAGAGGCAGAGTGCACACAGTGGGATGCTATTTGGGCTCAAAGTGCCACACATATGCATCTGCCCATGAGTGCACAGAACATATCTGGAGAACTGAGAAGTTGGACAGAGAGGACCTCCCTCTGGGGAGGAGAGGAGCTACTGCCCTGCACCCTGCTACTCTGATGACTGAGGAACAGGAAACCAGGGAGGTGGGCCAGTGTTCCAAACATGGGATCTGTGGGTTCCCCAGCAAGCAGAGAGGGTGCCCGGAACCCAGAAGGCAGGATCAGTTCAGCTGACTGGCAGGGCATCTCAGAGGAGACATCAGGGGCCAGCAGCCTGGGCCAAGCCAGCTCTGGTTAGCTGGGAACTCAGCAGTCACTCAACCACCCAGGCCTCAGCTACAAAGCAGGGGCAAATGACCATCCAGCTCCCCAGCCCCAGGGCCGCTGGAGGATGAGATGAGCAAACGCAGAGCCCTGGGACCCAGGCTGCCACTAGCACGTGACGACTACACACTCGGAGAATCTGGATGCTCCCATCTGGAATTTAGGACACCCCAGGCCCAGAAAGCAGGGTGAGGCCCATCCACTGCTGGTTACAGGGCACAGGGCCCACGCTGGACCAAAGAGGGGAGGAAGCAGCTTGTCCTCCCCAGGCCTCCTCCTCATGCCCTGGTGATGCCTGACGCGTTCCACATGGCTGTTTCCTTCCTCTCATCTTAGGGATGGGACAACTGTCCCTGAGGCCCCTGACGTCACCCTCACTGCCGCCCCTGTGAAGCCAAACCCACCCCACTGCAGCCCCTCCTGGGGAACTCAAGGAGGGAGGAGGCCAGGAGGGGCAGGAGTCCCCCAGCCTGGACGGAGAAGCGAGACGCAGCCTGGGCGGAGGTGGGCAGGCGGAGGAGGGAGGGCCGGGGCCAGGGCTGATGACTAAGGTCCTCTCCAGCCGGCCACTGGGAGGAGGGGAAGGACCCATTACTCAGGCTGGTCCAGACAGGGGGCGGCCGGCACGGCGGGGCCACAGGCCCCCAGGAAGGCGGTGGCCCTGAGCCGGTCCGAGTCTCCAGACGGCCACTCGAGTGACGGTCACCCGCACGTGAGTCATCGGAGCCAATGCGTCAGCAGCCCCGGCCAGGGCCGTCTCAAGAGGCCATTGCTGCCCGCCCTGGCTGCACCCTCTGCCCGAATCTGGCCTCTGAGTGGCCACACGCCCCCGCTACAGGCCTGGCCCGGGCTAGGGGCCATTCTGACACCCGCTTGCCGCTGTATCCCCCCAGCAATGTCATCGGGCACCCTAGCCAGGCCCAGGCCTGTGCTGGACCCAAGGACACGCCCAGGTCTGCCCTGGCAACACCACCCCTGCTCCTCTCAGATGTCCCAGTGCAGGGATGTGCTAGGGCTAACATCCAGGGAGCCTGGGTGGGGTAAACTCCCCCAGGTGGACCACCTGTTATGGGATTCCCGAGATCTCCAAGGGTTGCCCTGGGACCACCTGCTCACTACTGACACACCCTGTGGAGGCTCCTTCCCTCCCCACGCTGTTCTTTCGTGGGGCCCTCGAACCCCCGCCTGAGAGTCTGCTCTGGGGGAACCCAGCCCAAGGCACGATGGCCTCGTGGGGGAGGTCACAAGAAGCTCAGAGTTGCAGAGGTTGCGGCCAGGCACCCTAGGGATGAAGCCTCGTGGGAGGATCAGGAGCAGAGGGAGGTGGGGGCTGCCTAGGGGGACAAGAGTGAGGGGCACGCACCTGTCAGGGCAGGCGCCCCTCCTCCGGCCCCGGGCTGGCCTCATCTCCATGGTCGGCTTCCCAACCCATGAGAAGCGATCCAAAGCCCCAGAACGGTTCTTTTCATTGGAATGTCCAAAAAAGAAAAAAAAAAGGCAAGAACAAGAAAGAATTTCATGGAAACATTTCTTTGGGGTTTTGTAAAATCCTTTCCCACCCCCACGCGGAGCCCAGCGCTCGGGCCAGAACGGAGCCTGCCGGCATTGCCCCTCATAGGCGGTTCTGACGCGCGCAGTCCCTCACTTCCCCTCAAAGAGGAGAGCACTTCCACTTTCAAAGCCAATTTTGGTTTTATTGTCCATGTGGCTCGAAGGAGCACAGCAGCACAGCACAGCTGGTTGGCTCCCACCCCGGCTGATGCGATGCCGCCCCAGGGTCTCAGTGCATGGGTGGGGAAGAGGCTGTACTTCAGGGGACAGCAGGGGATGTCAGGGCCGGCTGAGAAGCCACTGCCCAATCCCTAGCCTCTCTCCCAGCCAGTCCCAGGCTGGCAACTGGACCAAGACCATCCTGAGAGCCTTGTCTGAGATCCAGCAAGAGAGGGAAACAGAGACTCGGAGAGGGAGTGACAGAGACTTGGAGGGGACAGAGACCCAGAGAAGAACCGGGACCCACAGAAAGAAAAACAGGACCCAGAGAGAAGTGGACAGATACCCAGAGAGAGAAAAACAGATTCAGAGATAAAGGGACAGAGACTTAGAGGGTACAGAGACCCAGAGGGGAACAGGGACGCAGAGAAAGGTAGACAGAGACCCAGAGAGAAGGAGACAGAGACCCAGAGAGAAGGAGACAGGCACCCAGAGAGAGGGGGACAGGGGGACAGACAGAGACCCAGAGAGAGGGGACAGAGACCCAGAGAGAGGGAGACAGAGACCCAGGGAGAGAGGGAGACAGAGACCCAGAGAAAGGGAGAGGGAGAGACGGAGGCCCAGCAAGAGGAGAAAAAAACCCAGAGAGAGAGGAAGACAGATACCTAGAGACAGGGAGACAGGGAGACAGAGACCCAGAGAGAGGGAGATGGAGAGAAAGATCCAGAGGGAGAGGGAAAGAGAGACCCAGCAA
This sequence comes from Homo sapiens, assembly GCF_000001405.40. Taxonomy (NCBI): domain Eukaryota; kingdom Metazoa; phylum Chordata; class Mammalia; order Primates; family Hominidae; genus Homo; species Homo sapiens. The sequence continues at coordinate 18,658,683 of NC_000019.10, read as the reverse complement.
GAGGGAGAGAAAGAGACACCCAGGGAGAGAGGAAGACAGAGACCTAGAGACAGGGAGACGGAGACCCAGGGAGAGAGGGAGACAGAGACCTAGAGAGACGGAGAGGGAGACAGAGACCCAGGGAGAGAGGGAGACAGAGACCCAGGGAGAGAGGGAGAGGGAGAGACAGAGACCCAGAGACAGGGAGACAGAGACCCAGAGAGACAAGGAGAGAAATACAGGGAGAGAGGAACAGAGAGCCAGTGAAAGGAAGGGAAGCAGAAATGGTGGCAGGGGTGGGGGTGACAGCGACCAGGCAGTGTGGGAGGTGGTGTGGGGCTCGAGTGCCAGAGCTGTGGGGGGCCTGGAATCCCACCACCAACCTCTCAGCCTCACAGCCACCACCCTACTCTCCAACCACACTGACACCTTCTCTCATGACCCTTCCCACCCACTCTGACCTTGCCAAGCAGGCACAGGTCTTCACATGCAGCCTCACAAATCCCCAGCAGCCGGGGAGATCACAGGCTCAGTATCCCTCTCCAAGATGGGAACACCGCGGCCCAGCGTGCCCCTGCTCCCCCGCCACCCCCACCCCTGGCCACCAGCAGCTGCAGTCCTCACTGGCTCTTGGGCACGTGCCTCGAGGGTAAAAGGTGCAAAGAGGCAGGGTCCCACCCATTCCACAAAGGCAGCTCCCCCAGTACTGTTGCCATGGTGACCACAATGTTTCACAGCACTGGGAACTGCTCCCAGCCCACAGGATGGAGTTGCTGGGTTCCGGCACCTCATGCTGGCCCTCAAACGCTCCGGCCCCCACGCTCACGTCAGCAAGCTTTCCCGTGGGACAGCTCAGAGGCCCCTGAGGCCCGGCCGCCCTGCTTCTCCCCCAGACTGCCCAAGGCTACTTCCTGGGGTTATCCCTCCTGATAAGGGGCCGCCCCTTCCAAGGCACCTGCTGTTCTCTGCCTCCCTTGGCTCCCGTGGGAGTGGAGGAAAGATAATGGCTTCTGGATGGACAAGTGGGAGAGCCAGGAGCGGGTGCAGGGCCCCACCGCAGTGTCCCAGCAGGCCAGGACACTCAGCCACTGACAGACCCAGAGACTGGGACAGAGGGACAGAGATGGGGAGACAGAGACCCAGAAACAGAGGGACAGAGACACAGAGATGGCAACAGAGACAAAGAGACAGAGACCCAGAGACAGAGACACAGAGACAGGGAGACAGAGACCCAGATATGGAGGCACAGAGACTCAGAGACCCAGAGACTCAGAGACAGGGAGACACAGACCCAGGGAGAGGGAGACAGAGACCCAGAGACGGAGACAGAGACCCAGAGATGAAGACACAGAGACTCAGAGATAGGGAGACACAGACCCAGAGACAGGGAGACAGAGACTCCAACCACACTGATACCTTCTCTCATGACCCTGTCTCATGACAGAGACAGGGAGACACAGACCCAGAGACAGGGAGACAGAGACCCAGGGACAGGGAGACAGAGATCCAGGGACAGGGAGACAGAGATCCAGAGACAGAGGGACAGAGACCCAGAGACAAGGAGACAGAGACCCAGAGACAAAGGGACAGAGACTCAGAGATAGGGAGACAGAGATCCAGAGACAGAGGGACAGAGACCCAGAGACAGAGGGACAGAGATGCAGAAACAGAGGGACAGAGACTCAGAGACAGAGATGCAAAGACAGAAGGACAGAGACCCAGAGACAGGGAGACAGAGACCCAGGGAGAGAGGGACAGAGACTCAGAGACAGGGAGACAGAGACTGCAGCTCAGGGGCCGCCAGGGTGCAGCTGTCTGTGTCTCCCTCCTGCTTGACATGCTGATTTTCTCCAACATCTTCACGAATCATTTCAAACAGGAACCCGCCACTCCCGCCCTGTGCTGGGAGGGCAGGCGTGCTGGGCAGGCCAGGCAGGGTCAGAGCCACCCTAACCTCGCGGCCTCCCCACCCACCCACCCTCAAGCCTCCTCCAAGAGCCCCGCGCTACTGAGGCAGACAGGGCTCGCCGTGAGTTGCGCCTGTTGGCCCAACTCACACAGCGTCCTGCATGGATGCCCTCTGACCCCTGCGAAGGAGGCCCTGGCCTTCCCCTTCCTCCCAGCCTCCTGATCTGGAGCCATTCCCTGCCTGTCTGTCCTTGGCTTCAGCCTGTCTGTGCCTGCTGGGTGGGGACAGAATGACAGGAGACAGAGCATCTGGGAGTGCCTAGCAGGAGGCCACTGTACCCAGGGCTGGCACCCCCAGACAGCCAAGTGACGGCCAGGGACGCCAAGGCTCAGAGAGGGTGGCGGGCTGCCCAAGTCACACCGGGAGTTCAGGGAGGGCAGGCAGGCAGGTTTCGGAATCGAGGATCAATTGGAAAGGACCACGACCAATGACCCCAAGGACCCAGTGAGGTGGCAGGAGACACTCCCTGCTCTCAGGCTCAGCAGGTTGAGAGGTGAAGCCCACAGAGCTGGGAGCAGAAAGCTGAGGCCCGTCCACCCCCATCCTGCAGGTCCCCCACCAACCCCACCATGAAGCCAGGGCAAGCTGCGTGGCCTCCCCTTTCCTGAGCCTTGCTCAAACCTTCCAGAAAACAGGGGGTTAGAGGTGCAGTGGTTTGCAAGCTGTCATCTCAGGAGCATGGGGGTGTTCTAGATGAGGAAGGAGGCTGGAGGCATGGGTGGGTGGATGATGGATACGTGTGGCCACCCCTCACCTGCTCCTCAGGGGTCACCATAAGCCCAGTGCCCTCAAGGCCGGGCTGTGATGTCCTGCCCTAATCCCAGCCTCTGACCAATGCCACCAGGAGTCCAGGATGTGTGGGGCTCTGACTGCGGCCAATGGACAGGAAGACATTATGCACAGCGCCCCCATCCCGGACTTGCCAAACTCCAGCCACTTCTCAAGGCCAACAAGAGGAAGCCCCACCATCCAAACAAAGGCCCAGAAGACAAGGGGGTGTTCAGACCCCACCTCCCTGACCAGCAGCAAGCTCTCTGCCTCCACAGCACCCCTCCCATCCTGGCTCTCCATGTCCAGATGACAATGCTGGGGCGTCTCCATCAGAACAGTCTTCACGGACCGAGGGAGCACCCAGTCTGTGCAGTCTTGGCTCCTGGCCCACCTTGTGGCAGGCAGTCTCTGATGGGGCACTGCTACCATCCCATCTTACAGATGGGGAAATGAAGGCACAGAGAAGTTCGGCCACTGGCCCAAAGTTATACAGTAAACAGAGGCAGGGGGACACCAGGCTTGGCCAAAGGAGGCCTTCCTCAGCCAACACACGGGTGCTGGTCGACCTCTCCCCGGTCCCAGGTGGGTGGGCCTCTGATCGTGACCATCACACAGATGGGGAGACTGAGGCTCAGAGGGCTGAGACAGCTCGCCAAGGCTCTGCCTGAGCTGGGAGGATGGACATGGAGCTGAACAGCAGGAAGAGCAAGACAGGGGCTTTTCAAGGCCGGCCCCAGGCAAGAATGTGGATTTACCCCACTAGTCCTCCAGCCGCCCTGCAAGAGAGGGAACCCCACTCTACAGATGAAGGGGCGGTGCCTGCCAGGTCCCGCTGGGAGAGCCTCGGTCTACGGCTCATCAGCCACCCCACCTCCCTGATCCCCACCTGGGCCATTTTTGTCTTCCCTGCTCCTCACTCCATCTGCCACATCATCTGTTTCCAGCCTGTCTCCCCATGGCTGAAAGGGGAACCCCATGGAAGCCGAGCAGGCAAGGTTCTGTCTCCTGTAATGTTCTGGTGCTCACCGCCATGCCTAACATATGGTTGGAGCTCAGTCATGCTTGTCAACTGGATGGGTGGATGAGCAGTCAAATGAATGGACAGGTAGATGGATGGGTAAATGAGTGGGTGGATGGGCAAACGGTAGATAGACAGATGAATGGGTGGGTAGATGGGTGAATCGGTGAGTGGATGGGTAAATGGGCGGGTGAATGGATGGGTAAGTGGGTGGAGGGAGGGGTGAATGGATGAGTGGATGGATGGGTGGATAGATGGGTGGGTAGATGGATAGGTGGATGGGTGGATGAAAGGGTGCGTGGATGTATAGGTGAGTTAATGGATGGGTGGATGAACGGATGGACGGATGAATGGATGGGTGGATAGCTGGGTGGGTAGATGGATGGATGGGTGAATAAATGGATGAAAGGGTGGGTGGATGGGTGGACAGACAGGTGTGTAGGTTGGTGGATGGGTGGATGGATGGGTGGGCGGATGGTAGATGAGAGGATTGGTGGATGGTGGGTTGGTGGATGGATAGTGATAGGTGAGTAGATGGAAGGGTGGCTGGACGGGCAGGTGGATGGGTGGGCAGATGGTGGATGAGTGGGCAGATGGTGGATGAGTGGATTGGTGGATGGGTGGGTGGGTTGGTAGATGGATAGTGGTAGGCAGGTGGATGGGTAGATGGAAGGGTGCCTGGATGGGCAGTAGATGAGTTAATGGATGAGTGGATGGAAGGGCAGATGGATGGGTGACAGACAGAAGGGCAGATGGATGGGTGGGTGGGTAGGTGGGTGGGTGGGTGGATGAATGGGTGGGTGGATAGATGGAAGAGTGGGCAGGTGGATGGGTGGGTGGATGGAAGGGTGGCCTGATGAAAGGGTGGGTGGATGGCTGGATGGGTGGATGGATGGGTAGGTGGGTAGGTGGGTGGATGGATGGATGGAAGGGTGGGTGGATGGAAGAGTGGACTGATGGAAGCGTGGGTGGATGGGTGGATGGATGGGTGGGTGGGTGGACAGGTGGGTGGATGGAAGGGCAGGTGGATGGTGAGTGGATGGAAGGGTGGACTGATGGAAGGGTGGGTGGATGGGTGCATGGATAGGTGGGTGGGTAGATGAAAGGGTGGGTGTGTGGGTGGGTGGGTAGGTGGGTAGATGGAAGGGTGGGTGGGTGGATGGAAGGGTGGACTGATGGAAGGGCGGATGGATGGGTGGGTGGGTGGGTAGATGGAAGGGTGGGTGGGTGGGTGGGCAGGTGGGTAGATGGAAGGGTGGGTGGGTGGGTGGATGGAAGTGTGGACTGATGGAAGGGTGGGTGGACGGGTGGATGGATGGGTGGGTGGGTGAAGGGTGGGTGGGTGCCTAGGTGGGTAGATGGTAGGGTGGATGGGTGGGTGCATGGAAGGGTAGACTGATGGAAGGGTGGGTGGATGGGTGGATGGATGGGTGGGTGGGTAGATGGAAGGGTGGGTGGCATGGGTAGGTGGGTGGATGGAAGGGCAGGTGGATGGGTGGGTGGATGGAAGGGTGGACTGATGAAAAGATGGGTGGATAGGGGCAGGTGGGTGGGTGGGCGGATGGGTGGGTGGGTGGTGGGGTGGATGGACAGGTGGAGGTATGGATGGTCAGGTGGGTGGGTGAACTGGTGGACATAGGTGTGAACAGGTGGGTAAGAAGGAGTGAGTGGGTGGCAGATAGATGAATGGTGGATGAAGGGTGGGTGGATAGATGGACAGATAAATCCACATCTTTGTGCTGGGCCGGCCCTGAAGAGCCCCTGTCTTGCTCTTCCTGCTGTTTAGCTCCACATGCATCCTCCAGGCTCAGGCAGAGCCTTGGTGAGCAGTCTCAGCCCTCTGAGCCTCAGTCTCCCCATCTGCATCATGGTGATGATCATAGGACCCACCCACTTGGGACCATGAAAAGGCCAAAAAGCACCTGTGCACTGGCCAAAGAAGGTCTCTGCTGGCCATACCTAGTGTCCCTCTGCCTCTTGTTTACTGTGTGGCCTTGGATGAGCCCCTGAACCTCTCTGTGCCTCAACTTCCCCATCTGTAAAATGGGATGATAGCCGTGCCCCTTTTCTAGGCTGCCTGCCGACAACGGAGCCAGGAACCAGAACTGCACCACCCCAGTTGATGGCCTTATACAAAGTGGGTGCTCCCTTGGTTCGTGGAGGCTGTTCTGATGGGGACGCCCCAACACTGTGGTCCAGGTACAAGCCAGGATGGGAGGGGTGCTGTGGAGGCAGAGAGCTTGCTGCTGGCCAGGGAGGTGGGGTTTGAGGGTGAGTGAATGAGTGAGGTGGCAGGTGGATGGCTCCCAGGTGGCAGCACTGGGCTGGAGCCCAACTCTTTTTTTTTTTTTTTTTTTGAGATGGAGTCTGGCTCTGTCACTCAGGCTGGAGTGCAGTGGTGTGATCTCAGCTCTCTGCAACCTCCACCTCCCAGGTTCAAGTAATTCTCCTGCCTCAGCCTCCTGAGTAGCTGGGACTATAGGCGCCCACTACCACACCTAGCTAATTTTTGTATTTTTAATAGAGACGAGGTTTCATCACATTGACCAGGCTGGTCTCGAACTCTCGGCCTCAGGTGATCTGCCCGCCTCGGCCTCCCAAAGTGCTGGGATTACAGGCGGGAGCCACCGCACCTGGCCTGCTGGAGCCCAACTCTTATCTTAGCTCACTGCTTGTTCCTCCCCACAAGACCTCCTGGCCCGAGTCCTAGTGTATGTGATCCTTCAGGATCCACCGCGAAGCCCTCAGTGGGACTCTCCTGCACATCCTGTCTCTGGACCTTTGCTCATGTTGTGCTCTGTGCTGAGTGGCCAACCCTCTTGCCCTCAGACCCTTCTCCCTCCACCACACTCCTGAGCCCACCAGCATTTCTGCACTCAGCACCTCTGCTGCCTCCACCCCAGAGCCTTCTCTGCCATGGCTTTCCTCACCCTCATGGCCCAGCTGGGTCCCCATCCAGGGCTGACGAGTGGGCAGGTCTCGGCCTGAGGCTTCCCTTTCCCATTCCCTCCCACTGAGGTGAGACTGCTTCTGCCACAGCCCATCCCCCGACTTGGTCCCACTGCATTGGGCCGGCAGCAGGGACCACTTGAATGAGCAAATCCCTTCACTCCACAGTTCAGGCAAGTAGGTACATGACTGCACAGCTCCAGAGCACCGCTTGGAAACCCAGTGAAATTCTAGCACTGCTGAATTCTAGCATGTCGGGGTGGTAACGTGCTGCAAGGCAGCCCACCCCACTGCCTCCACTGGCAGGACAGGTGTTGAAGCCCCAGAAGGGACGGGGCTGCCACATGGCACTGCTCATCCCCAGCAGAGCCAGGCCAGATGCAGGCACTCCACAGCTTAGCCCAGCACCTTCCAAAGACAACACAAATTTCAGCATCAGAGGGGGTCTGTCATGAATATCTTCATTTTTGGGGTGTTTACCATCCCTCCCCTCTTCTCATAAGGGCCCCCTGTTCTCCTCTGGAACCTCCTCTTCTCTATGCTCAGCCCCAGTGGTGGAGATCAGGCAGATCCCATTGCTGGGCTGAAAATATGGATGTGACACAGACTGGACAGAGGCTCCAGGGCCCCTGGCCATAGGGATTCATCCTGGGATGGGGACTTGGCCCTTCTGATCCAATCAGAGCCTTCCCTGGGATTTTTACTGGAGCCACCAGGATGAAGGGTCGCCTTCCTGGTGGTGTTGGCAGGCTAGTGGAGTGGCAAGGTGAGGTCCCCTTTCTACCAGGTGGGCAGCACCCAGACAAGAGGGATGACAGAGCTGAAAGAAGGGAGCCACAGATTCCAGCCTTCAGACCTTGCACCCCAACGTACCTAAAACCGGGTGTCTCCTTGCACTTTTTAAAATGTGAACTTCGAGTCTTTAACTGACGGCAGTATCTTGGGTTTCTGGCTCTCCCCACCAAGAGGGGCCTCGGATGTCAGGAGGCTCAGATCCAGCCACGGCATTCCAGACGAGCCTCTGGAAAAACCACTGTGGCCTTAACACTTTTCCAGCTGCCGCCTCTCCCTGCAGTGCACACCAGCTTCCTACCGGGGCTGAGGGGTCAGGAAGCCCCGCTGAGGGCCATTCTGAGGGCGAGTGGGCGGCGGCCATCCCCAGCCGCAGCCCCGCCTGTCTGTGACGAGACAGACGGCTCCACTCCGTCCGCCACGACTCCCAGAAAAGGTCAGCAAGCTGCCCGCGCCCCTGACCAATGCGAAAGTTCAGCAACTCTAAATGCTAACAGACTGGAGGCGTGACTGAGGCTGGAACGGCAAAGGGGCCCGGTGCCATCAGCCTTGGCGAGGAAAACATCACCCGTCATCTGTGCAAGTGACTCACGTGGAGTATAAACATTTGTGCGCTCCTGACCCCCCGCTTCACACGACAGAGAGCCACGAGGACCCGAGGAGGGGGAGCCAGAGGAGAGACCTAGCGCAGCCCTCCTGGGACAGGACGGACTTCACCAAGGAGAACGCGTGCTTCCAACTCGAACTTCAGTCCTGGAAGTTTTTCAGATAGAGGATGACTCAGGCTGATGGCAACAGAGAGGGTGTCTTGGGGGTCCTCTGTGGGGCTCCCCTACGTGTCTGTCATCTCACAGTCACCTTGACACTCCTTCCACCCCGCTCCGGGAAAATGTCCCGCTCTCAGACGATCTGGGTGATCACATGCCTCTCTGCTCTGCCTCCTTAGGCAGACTGCCTCAAATTCTAACATCCCGTGGAGAGCAGAACTCTCCGGATATCCAGCCCAGACCGCTCCCGCCCGGGTCCGTCTTTGACCCCTGTGGAATTTCACAGTTGTGGCGTCAGTAAACATCTTCGGCCTCGATCCTCGGGTGACCCCCCTCCAGGCCTTTACAAGCCTGAAGGTCCACCCCTCAAGATCTCCTCCAGGCCCAGCCTGTTCAATTCCGGAAGCCCTTGCCCTCGCAGGAAAGGTCTGTGATTCCCCCAAGGTGCTGGTTACTTCCTCCCAGATCACAATATTTTCAGTGTGCACCGTGGTGGTGCACACAGAGCGATCAGGCACTCCGCTGCGCAGTGAGGGGTCTGAAATCACGCTGGACATGCACCAAAATCCACTCTGCAGAGGAGGAATGCTAGGGAATTGCTGGCGCAGCCGTTGGAGACGAGTCCTGTGAATTCTGTGCGGCCCTCTCCGGAGAGACATGTGGAAGGGGCGGGGTGGGGGGCAGGAAGGGACTGGAGGCTGGGGTTAACAAGTGTTAAGAGAGCTGGTCCGCACAGCTGCAGAGCGGCTACCAGAGGAGGAGGGCGGGGCTGCCGGCAGCGGGAACCCAGCGGGCTTGGCCCCCACTTCCACTTCAGACAGCTGGACAGGGAGAGAGCGGCTGTCGTTTGCCGCCTTTGCTTTAACATGCAGGGCTGAGGTTTTGCTCACTCACTAAAGACAGCACACGCAAAACGGTATGGTGCCCTGGGCTCTGTAACAGGTAACAGGGCTGGTTTACTGACAACATGCCTGTGAATTTCTGCTTCTCCGCCCACACCCTGCTGGTTCAATGAAGTGAAGAGGAAGAGGCGGATGACCCTCGGCCAGCCTGGGCATGCAGAGCTATGCCAGGAGGCTTCCCCTCTGGTATGCATCGAAGACTGTTCGGGGTGGGGTACTCACTGGATCTACACTCAAAAGCATCCATCCCGTGCCAGTAGCTGTGCCAGCGCCAGGACCACCACTGTAAAAAGATCTGATAAAGCCCTGCCCTTGGGGAACGTACATTCTACAGGGACATGGGTCCTCAAGCAGAGAATGTACCATGACGACAGGGCGAGCAGTGGCGCCACGGTGGACACAGTGGCCAGGCCCCGAGGAGACAACACTTGAGCCGTGCAAATCACTGGGACAGGACATTCCAGTGAGCGTGCTTCAGAGCCCAGCAGAGCCGTCAGAGCTGCGGAAGCTCAGGGGCCCAGCGGGTCACATCAAGAAGTAGATTTTGTTCTGAGAGTGAGGGAGCCACTGGCAGGTGGCCGGCAGGGGAGTGAGGTGGTCTGATTCCTGCCTTAGGAGGGTCCCGCTGGCTGGAGTTGGGGATGATGCCCAGAAGGGGAAGAGCCAGGAGTGGCTCTGAGCTGGGATGGGGAGGAGAGAGCAGGAGGAGCTGGCTCCAGGCTGTGGCTCGAAGGTGGAACCCACAAGAGATGCTACCTGAGGACCTCCTGGGCAGCTGCAGCCAGACTGAGGCCTTCTCTCAGGAGGAGGGACATTCCCAGGACTGGGACCTGCTGGTGGGAAGACCTGAAGCCCTCAAGGACTGTGGGAGCTCCAAGTGGCACGAACCCTGAGCAAGGAGAGGCATGAAGGGCTTTTCTGGAACACAGGAAGGGCTGCGAATCCCCTAGGCCAGGTGGCGCCTCCAAGTCTGCTGCTTGTTGCAGGCAGTGCAGCCGCGCGGGACCAAGGACAACCCTGACCTTCAGCCTGCCCGGTGGGGAGGGCAGAAACTGGCCACCACTATCAGTCAGCACAAGCTCAACCTCCAGGCATCCCCAAGCCTGCGTGTGCCTCTCCATCCCTCCAGGGCCCACCTTGGCCGAGGGTCCCTTGTCTCTTGCCAGAGGGATCCTTTCTTTTTTGAGACAGAGTCTCACTTTGTCGCCCAGGCTGGAGTGCAGTGGTGCAATCTCGGCTCCTGGGTTCAATCGACTCTCGTGCCTCAGCCTCCAGAGCAGCTGGGACTACAAGCACCCGCCACTGCGCCCAGCTAGTTTTGTGTATTTTTAGTAGAGACTGGATCTCACTATGTTGCCCAGGCTGGTCTCGAACTCCTGACCTCAAGTGATCTACCCGCCTTGGCCTCCCAATGTGCTGGGAATACAGGTGTGAGCCACCACACCCGGCCTACAGAGGGATCCTTTCAAAACAGGAGGCTGACTGATATGCCGCTCACCCAAACCCTGCCCTGGCCCCCTGGCCCAGCCAGCCCGGAAATGACCGCACGACGTTCTCTAACTCCTGCTGGCATGTATGCGCCCCATGGGCAGGGTCCATCTGTCCCATGGACCCTTCATGTCCAGCACCAGGCATGGGGTGGACACAGGAGACTGTGGCACCTGCACAAAGGCAGAGAAATGTGTCTAACAAATCCTGTCCACAGAGCAAAGAGCTGGGGATGCCGGGACACATGCTGCCCAGTCACCCCTTGCCTTCAGTAGATCCCACCCCCTTCTTCCAGGATCCAAGGCCCCAAGTCGCTGAATTATTTCTATCTGTGTCCTTCCCCCTCATCCTCCTCTCTCCCTCCCCATTCTCCTGTTCTTTTTCTCCTCCTCTCTCTTTCCTCCTCCTCCTCTCTTCCTCCTCCTCTTCCTCCTCTTTTTCTCCTCCTCCTCTTCCTCCTCCTCCCTCTCATCTCCTCCTCCTCTTCCTCCACTCTTCCTCCTCCTCCTCTCTTCCTCCTCCAGGGCCTCTTAACACCAAATCTAAAACATTCCCTAAAACCAAAGGGTAAGACACACACACACACACAAATATCAGAAAAAGGAAAAAACCAAAGGGCTGGAGTGAGGAGAAAGCCTCCCTTTTACAGTGTCTGAGGAGAGGTGGGTGAGATAAAAAGTAATCGCCGTGGGGGAGGTGGGATGACATTCGCAGGGGCTCCCTGGAGATGGTGCGATTATGGCGGAGGGTAATAAAGCCTTTCTTCCCCGGTAACTACGGACAACGACAAGGAGGCCGTCCCGGGGGTCACAGCTACCAGGTGGAAACAGTCCAGCTGTGACGATCGCACTGCACGATTCAGGTTGAAGTGAGTGCTTTCAGAGCAATTCCACTCCCAGAGCTCTTGGGACCTGCCGACAAGGAGGGGAGGAGAGGGTGGCCTCCTTCCCAGAGAAGGGGCTCAGCTGTGAGGGGCAGATCGAGTGGCCTGGATGTGGCTCGGCCTGTGGGCCAGTGCCCTTCTTGGGCTGGCCCAGTTCCACCTGCCCCCATCCCTGCTGAGACGCGCCACCCCCCGCCGCCCCTGCCCCCGCCCTGCCGAGCTCCTGCTCCCAGGCCTACTCCTGGCGGAACCTGCCCTCTCCAGCTCACGCTGGACGTGCTCTACTCTCTCGCTGCCCCTGCTGCTGTCCCTCTTACGGCCCAAGTCATGGCACTACTGTCTTCCCAATGGCTCAAGTTCACCCTCTCCTTTCCCTGCCTGACACACGCACGCCACATCAAGGCTTGCTGGCATTGACGATCCCCTCAAGGCCCATGCGGGCATGGCGGGCAGAAGGATGGCAGTGTCCCCATCATGGGCGTCAGCACTGCCACAGTAACACTGATGAGGTACATGTGACCTCTCCCCACTCGTTTCCTCCCAGACACCCCCCACCTGGTGGGCCTGGAGCCCCATTTCCCAGATGAGGAATCTGTCACAGCCACAACCCATAAAGAGGGAGCCACAGTCACCCATGGGTATGATGAGACACCTCATGCCGCCATATCTGACCACATTTTCCAGGAGAAGGACTTGAGTCCACGTCTTGGAAGGGTCAAAATCCTCCTTCTGAAAGGGGCATGAGGCCGGGCGCACTGGCTCATGCCTGTAATCCCAGCACTTTGGGAGGCCAAGGCAGGTGGATCACCTGAGGTCAGGAGTTCGAGACCAGCCTGGCCAACATGATGAAACCCCATCTCTCCTAAAAATACAAAAACTAGCCAGGCATGGTAGTGGGCGCCTGTAGTCCCAGCTACTTGGGAGGCTGAGGCAGGAGAATCACTTGAACCCAGAAGGCGGAGGTTGCAGTGAGCCAAAATCATGCCACTGCACTCCAGCCTGAGCTCAGAGTGACGTCAAAAAAAATTAATAATAATAAAAAAGAAAGGGGCAAGAGGCCAAAGGAATGAGAACTTCCCCAAAGTAGCAAGAACCTCCTTGGGAAGCCACCTCTTCCCCTAAGTCTTCCTAGCAGGAGCTGGGGGGCTGGACCCTTCCAAGGCCTCTGGGCTTGGTGGAGATGATCTAGATTGTGGAGAAAGCTTCAACAGGCAAAGGCCACCCAGCCAGACTGACTGTGACAAACCCACCGGGCGCAGCGTCTCGGCCACAACTTTCCATGCAAACACTTTCAGCAGGCAGCAAAGCCCCTGGGCACAACGTCCCAGCCATCACTTCTTTTTTTTTTTTTTTTGATACAGAGTCTCACTCTGTCGCTCAGGCTGGAGTGCAGTGGCAGGATCTCGGCTCATTGCAACCTCCTCCTCCCAGGTTCAAGCGATTCTCCTGCCTCAACCTCCAGAGTTGCTGGGATTAAAGACGCCCACCACCACACCTGACTAATTTTTGTATTTTTAGTAGAGAGGGGGTTTCACTATGTTGGCCAGGCTGGTCTCAAACTCTGGACCTTGTAATCTGCCTGCCTTGGGCTCCCAAAGTGCTGGGATTACAGGAGTGAGCCAAAGCACCCAGCCTAGCCACCACTTCTTATGCAAATGCCTGAAGCTGGCACATCCCTCACCCAGATCCCCCCACCTCACCCCCAGGAACAGCATGACTCAGTGAGCCTGGGCCCTACCCAGGCGTCTCCAGGGAGCGTGGGCCAAAAAGCGTGGATGCCAAAGGCCCATGTCGGAGAGGCTGCAAGGCCAGAAGGTTCCTCCAAAACTCTGCCGGTCAGGTACCTCACAGTGACAGAATTTTAGCTGGGGAGGTGCGACTCCCCAGAGGGTTTGCCTCCCCTTGCGACACCCCAAGTGGCCCAAGCCTCCTTTCCCTCCAAGGAGTCTAGACCCCGCGGCCCGAGCTGGGAGGAGGCCAGCTGGTGAACAAGTGTCCTTTGTGCTTGCAGCAAGGACCCCACCTCCTCTCCGCACACCCCAGCCAGGGCAGCCCCACTCTGTCCATCCCTGAGGTTCGGCTCAGTCATTAATGACCACCTCTACTAGGCAACGGGTTTTTTGTTGATCCCTCGAGATAGGAAGGAAGGAGAATAAGCTTTTCTCTTTCTTTTTTCCCCCTCGGTTGCAGAAGACAGAAGTTGGAACAAACAAGTTATATAACGTTGGGGGCGGTCGGGGGTGGGGGAGCGCAGTCCCTCCTGGGGACAGTTTCTTGAGTTGTGGTACCGCTGGAAGGGCCAGGGGGAAGACAGGAACTGCCCCCGCCCCTGGCCAAAAGACAAAACCTTCGTGGGACAAAAAGGCAGATGCGGGCGTTGCCTGGCAGGCTAGAAAGGCAGCTAGAGACTAAGGCCAGCCCCCACTGCCCCCCAGCAGCCCCACAAGCCTCACTGGAAAGGCAAAAGATCGACCTGATCCCATAGAAGGGAATTCCTACCTGCCAGACTGCAAGCCTCAGAGAGCAATAAGCTTTTGCACACCCCCATCCCTCCCTTCCTCCCTCTCAGCCACGTCTCTGGGACACTTCCTCCTTCTGTGTCATTCATGTTCCAGGCACACAAGAGGGCACAAGAGAGACAGGCTTTCCAACCTCAAGGCACCAGAGAAACACAACAAATAACGTTAGGTGGTGACCAGCATGATCAAGAATATACAACAAGCATGCGCCCCAGCAATTCTGCTCCTAGATGTGTACCCCAAAGGACTGAACATGAGTGTTTAGACAAAAATGTGTACACTCATGTTCATAGCAGCATGATTCATAATAGCCAAAAGGTGGAACCAATCTAAGTGTCCATCAACAGATGAATGGATGATGTGGTGCATCCACACAGTGGAATATTACTCAGCCATAAAAAGGAATGAAGTGCTGATTTAGGCTACAACATGCATGACCCCCAAAGCATCATGCTGAGTGAAAGAAGCCAGACTCAAAAGGCCACATAGTGCATGATTCTACCTATAAAACTTGAAAACGGATAGAGACAGACTGCAGATTGGTGATTGTCAGGGGCTGGGCAATGGAGAATAGGGGGTTAGTGCTAATGAAGATGGGGTCACCTTTTGCGGGGACAAAGATGTTTTGGAACTGGACAGCAGTGATGGTTGCACAATTCTGTGAATGTACTAAATGCCACTGAATTGTTCACTTAAAGTGGGTGAATTTTGTGTTACATATATAGTACCTCAAAAACAAAAAACAAAAATACAGGTTGGGCATAGTGGTTCATGCTTGTAATCCCAGCACTTCGGGAGGCTATGGCAGGAAGATCACTTGAGCCCAGGAGTTCAAGACCAGCCTGGGCAACATAATCAGACCCCATCTTGGCCGGACACAGTGGCTCATGCCTGTAATCGCAGCACTTTAGGAGGCCAAGGTGGGCGGATAACCTGAGGTCAGGAGTTCGAGACCAGCCTGACCAAGATGGAGAAACCGCATCTCTACTAAAAATACAAAATTAGCCAGGCATGGTGGCACATGTCTGTAATCTCAGCTACTCGGGAGGCTGAGGCAGGAGAATCGCTTGAACCCAGGAGGCGGATGTTTTGGTGAACCGAGATCATGCCATTGCACTATAGCCTGGACAACAAGAGCAAAACTCTATCTCAAAAAAAAATAATAATAAGACCCCATCTCTATAAAATAATATATATATTTTTTAAGACAGTCTGGTTCTCTCGCCCAGGTGGGAGCGCAGTGGAGCGATCTCAGCTCACTGCAACCTCTGCCTCCCGGGTTCAAGTGATTCTCTTGCCTCAGCCTCCCGAGTAGCTGGGATTACAGGCACGTGCCACCAATCCTGGCTAATTTTTGTATTTTTAGTAGAGAAGCGGTTTCACCATGTTGGCTAGGCTGGTCTCAAACTCCTGACCTCAAGTGATCTGCCCACCTCGGCCTCCCAAAGTCCTAGGATTACAGGCATGAGCCACCGCGCCCGGCCCAAAACAATTTTTAAAAATTAGTCAGGTGTGGGCTAGGCACAGTGGCTCACGCCTGTAATCCCAACACTTTGGGAGGCCAAGGCAGGTGGATCACGAGGTCAGGAGATCAAGACCACCCTGGCCAACATGGTGAAACCCCGTCTCTATTAAAAATACAAAAATTATTTGGGCGTGGTGGCGTGCACTGGTAATCCCAGCTACTCAGGAGGCTGAGGCAGGAGAATCGCTTAAACCCAGGAGGTGGAGGTTGCAGTGAGTCCAGATTGTGCCACTGCACTCTAGCCTGGGCGACAGAATGAGACAATGTCTCAAAAAAAAAAAAATTAGGTGTGTTAGTAGATGCCTGTAGTCCCAGCTACTCGGGAGGCTGAAGCAGAAGGATAGCTTGAGCCCAGGAGGTCAAGAAGGCTGCAGGTAGCTACGACACTGCATGCCAGCATGGGCGACAGAGTGAGACTCTTCCTCAAACCAAACCAAACAAACAAACAAAAAACCACAAGCCGGGCGCAGTGGCTCACGCCTGTAATCCCAGCACTTTGGGAGGCCCAGGCAGGCAGATCACCTGAGGTCAGGAGTTCCAGACCAGCCTGGCCAACATGGAGAAACCCCACCTCTACTAAAAATACAAAATTAGCCAGGCTTGGTGGCAGGCGCCCGTAATCCCAGCTACTCGGGAGGCTGAGGTAAGAGAATCAGTTGCTTGAGCCCGGGAGGTGGAGGTTGCAGTGACCATGCCACTGCACTCCAGCCTGGGCAACAAAAGCGAAACTCCATCTCAAACACACACACACACACACACACACACACACACACACACACACACTAGGTGACTAGCAAAAGTGTCCTGGGGACTACTTGAGCTTGCATGGTCAGGCAGGTGGCTCTGAGGGGCCAGAACCTTGGAGAGTGGAAGGATGAAGAGGAAGGAGACGTGGGCAGGTTGAGGCGAGGAGGTGGGTCGTGCTCCAGGCCTGGCTGTCCCATTTGCAATAAATGAAGGAACAGACGAACAATGCTACAAAGACTCAATGTCTCAAAATGACTTTTGGGAGAATGTCTTGTACCAATCTCCCTCAAAATATGATCCATTTTCTGCATGCTCCATCTTGCCACATTAGGGGTTCTCCCCACACTAGCACCTGAGGCATGAGATGCCCCTATCAGTTGCTCCAAACAGTGATTTTTCACTAGGATGGAGGATAGGGGAGAATGACAAAGATGTCTTTTAAGAAAGAGGGCCGGGCATGGTGGCTCACGCCGTAATCCCAGCACTTTGGGAGGCTGAGGCGGGCAGATCACAAGGTCAAGAGATCGAGACCAGCCTGACCAACATGGAGAAACCCCGTCTCTACTAAAAATACAAAAATTAGCCGGGTGTGGTGGCACACGCCTGTAATCCCAGCTACTCGGGAGGCTGGGGCAGGAGAATTGCTTGAACCTGGGAGGCAGAGGTTGCAGTGAGCCAAGATCACGCCACTGCACTCTAGCCTGGGCAACAGAGCAAGCCTCCATCTCAAAAAAAAAAAAAAGAAAAAAGAAAAAGAGCCGGGTGTGGTGGCTCATGCCTCTAATCCCAGCACTTTGGGAGCCTGAGGCAGGCAGATCACCTGAGGTCAGGAGTTTGAGACCAGTCTAGCCAACATGGTGAAACCCCGTCTCCACTAAAAATACAAAAATTAGCCGGGTGTGGTAGCATGCACCTGTAATCCCAGCTACTCGGGAGGCTGAGACATGAAAATCGCTTGAACCCAAGAGGTGGAGGTTACAATGAGCTAGGATCGCACCACTGCACTCCAGCCTGGGCAACAAAGCGAGACTCAGTCTTAAAAAAAAAAAAAAAAAAAAGGCAACCCAACTTAAAAATGGCCCAAACATTTGAAAAGACACGTTACCAAAGAGATGAATAGCTAAGAAGCTCATGAAAAACTGTCCAACATCATTAGTTATTAGAGAAATGCAAATTAAAACCAAAATAAGACTGGGAACAGTGGTGTGCACACCTGTAATCCCACTTATTCCAGAGGCTGAGGCCCGAAGATTGCTTGAACCCAGGAGTTCCAGGGTGCAGTGAGCTAGGATCGCACCATCGCACTCCAGCCTGGGCGACAGAGTGAGACCTCATCTCACAAATAAATAAATAAATAAAAACACCAAATGAAGACACCAGCACACACCTATAAGAATGGCTAAAACTAAGGACTGGCCATACCAGGTGTTAGTGAGGATGAGGAGGAGCTGGAACTCTTGAACATTGCTGGTGGGGATGCAAAATGGTACAGCCACTTTGGGAACAAGCTTGGCAGTTTCCTAAAAATTAAAACATGGCCAGTCTCAGTGGCTCACACCTGTAATCCCAGCACTTTGGGAGGCCGAAGCAGGCGGATCCCCTGAGGTCAGGAGTTCAAGACCAGTCTGGCCAACATGGCAAAACCCCGTCTCTACTAAAAATACAAAAATTAGCTGAGTGTGGTGGCGCATCCTTACAATCCCAGCTACTCAGGAGGCTGAAGCAGGAGAATCACTTGAACCCAGGAGACAGAGGTTGCAGTGAACAACTGCTGGGCAACAGAGAGAGACTCCATCTCAAAAAAAAAAAAAAAAAAAAAAAAATTAAAACATAGCCAGGCGTAGTGGCTCACACCTGTAATCCCAGCACTTTGGGAGGCAGAGGTGGGAAGATTGCTTGAGCCCTGGAATTCAAGACCAGCCTGGGCAACATGGCAAGACTTTGTCTCAACAAAAGCACAGAAAAAATAGCTGGGTGTGGTGGCATACGCCCTTGTAGTACCTACCAGCTACTTGGAAGGCTGAGGTGGGAGGATCACCTGAGCCCAAGGAGGTAGAGGCTACAGTAAGCCGTGATTGCACCACTGCACTTCAGCCTGGGCAACAGAGTGAGACCCTGTCTCAAAAAAAAAGAAATTTAAACACATCTACCATATGAACTAGTCATTCTACTCTTAAGTATTTACCCAAGAGGATGAAAATATACGTCCACACAGAGACACATATCCAGATGTTCACAGCAACTTTATTTGCAGTTGTCAAAATGGAAACAACCCAACAGTCCATCAACCAGTTAATGGATAAACAAACTGTGTCCGTCCATACGAGATTGTATGGACGGACACAGTTTGTTTATTTTCACTCCACAGTGAAAAAGAACAAATTTCTGATACAACAACACAGATGAACTTCAAAAACATTATGTTAAGGAAAGAAACCAGACGTAAAGGCCACATGTCTGATTCCATTCTTACGAAATTTCTAGAAAAGGCAAAGCTACAGAGAGTGAAAGCAGATCAGGATGTCCCCGGGGCTGTATGTTGGTGGAGCAGGGTTAATTGCAGACGAGCTTGGGGGAACTCTTTGGGGTGATGGAAGCATTCCAAAAAACTGGATTGTGGTGAAGGATGCACAACTCAGTAAATGTACTGAAACTTAATGACCTGGGTTGAGCACAGTGGTTCACACCTGTAATCCCAGCACTTTGGGAGGCTGAAGCGGGCAGATCACTTGAGGTCAGCAGTTCAAGATCACCCTGGCCAACATGGCAAAACCCCGTCTCTACTAAAAATACAAAAATTAGCTGGGCATGGTAGCATGCACCTGTGGTCTCAGCTACTCGGGAGGCTGAGGCAGGAGAATTGCTTGAACCCAGGAGGCAAAGGTTGCAGTGAGCCGAGATCACACTACTGCACTCCAGCCTGGGCAACAGAGTAACTCTATCTCAAAAAAAAAAAAAAAAAAAAAAAAAACTTAATGATAAATTAAAATGAGTGAATTGGCTGGGTGCAGTAGTTCACGCCTGTAATCCCAGCACTTTGGGAGGCCGAGGCGGGTGGATCACCTGAGCTCAGGAATGCCAGACCTGCCTGGCCAACAGTGAAACCCTGTCTCTACTTAAAAAATACAAAAATTAGCCAGGCATGGTGGCGGGCACCTGTAGTCCCAGCTACTCAGGAGGCTGAGGCAGGAAAATCCCTTGAACCTGGAAGGCAGAGGTTGCAGTGAGCCGAGATTGCGCCACTGCACTCCAGCCTGGGTGACAGAGCAAGATTCTGTCTCAAAAAATAAATAAATAAATAAAAACAAAATGAGTGAATTGTATGCCATGCAATTAATTATATCTTGATAAAGCTGTTTATAAAAAAAGAGCCATGCCCAGCATGGTGGCTCACATCTGTAATCTCAGCACTTAGTGAGGGGTGAGGCAAGAAGATTGCTTGAGCCCAAGAGTTTGAGACCAGCCTGGCAACAGAGCAAGACCTGGTCTTTACAAAAAATTTAAAAATTAGCCAAGTGTGGTGGTGCACACCTGTAGTCCCAGCTACTCAGGAGGCTGAGGTGGGAGGATCACTTGAGTCCAGGAGTTTGAGGCTGCGGTGAGCCTTGGTGGCGTCACTGCACTCCAGCCTAGATACCTGGGTGACAGAGCGAGACGGGGTTTCAAAAAAATAAAAATAAAAAAAGCCCTAGCCCCAGGTTATCCCACTCCAGTGCCCAAGGCAGGGACCTGGGGTTCACTGTCCCTCTTCCCTGTCCCTTACTTGCCAACTGATACCCAATTTTCAAGCCCTGGCCACTCCCTGAATATCTCTGAAAATCCTCTGACATCTCCTGGCTCCCTACTGCAGGACAATCTTGCCCCACACCTACCCCAGGAGGCTGGTCACCCCTCTGGACACACACCTCCTGGGTTCCCCATGGCCCCTCTGGCAGACCAGATTCAATGCCCACAGACCTAAGTCTCAAGGTGCCACTCAGCATCCTCAGGAACAGGCAGGGCCTTTGCCTCCTCTGTGCCCTGGCCCAGCCATCCCTCCTCCCTTCCCCACCCATCCCATGCGTGTTCCATTCAGTACCAAATCACACAGCCAGGCCATCAGGCCATTCCCTCCAACAATCAGCCCACAGGTCCAAAACTCCACAGCACGTAAGTATCAAACAACTTCATCATTTATCATGTTGCCTGAAATTACTGGCTCCTGGAAGCTCACCAGCAAGAAAAAGCCTGAATTTCCTCCTTGGCCTGACCTGGGTGCTGGGCTAGAGGAGGAGCTGGGGTGGGAGGGTCTGGCTTTGCCCAATAGGAAAAGAGCAGGAGATCACACTCCTAAGGCAGGTGTTCTTTCCCTCTGACAATCCAATACAATGCATGCACACACATATCATTAGTTATTGATGATAACTAATTGTCATGCAAACCTGGACGTTCAAGCAATCCATGTCAGGACTGGGCCATGGGGAAAGGGGGCCTCCCTCTGACCAAAGGGGTGAATTCTGTCCCCTTGTCTGAGGGCAAGACCTTTCTGTAAGTCCTTTAGCCTGTTGGGGATGTGGATTTGGACCCCATGGGGATGGAAGGGAGGAGCCCCAAAGAAGAACCCTCTGTATGTTCTTTATAAACCCCCTGGAGTTCTCTCACCCCCCTCAGGTTCCCTAGACCCACCCCAGGCCCCCTCAGCCTCCCCATCTCAGACTCCCAGATTCACCTAAGTCCCCCACCCAGAGCCTCCCACAGTCTCTACTCCTTCCAGCGCCCCTCAGCACGCTCTCAGGACCACCTTTAGCCACCTTGGGGCCCTTCAGCACCTCCCAGGATGCCTTGGGCCTTAGCCCCTTCCTCAGAGCCCCCAAGACACCTCACCACCCTCAGACTGGCCATGGCATGGCCCCTGCTCAGGCCCTCTCTGCTGCCCAGGCCCTTTGGCATCCCCAGTTGCCCCACGGCCCACCACAGTCAAGAGCCCCTCGGTTTCCCTTCAGACCCCCAGGATTCTCAGGTCCCTAGGGCCGCCTGCAGACGCCTCGAGGTCCTGGGGCACCCAGCCCCCCTCCAGCCACCCCCTCAGTAGCCCTCGGCTCCTCCAGTACCCCACGGCCCCGTAAAGTCCAAATTCTCAGCGAAAGACCCTCGAGCCGTGCCAGGCCTCCCCTCAACCCCTCAGGACGCCCAAGACTGCCCACAGGTTTCCTGGGCTCCAAGACAGGTGCAGGTCTATCCTGCGGGCCGGGTCTCACCTGTTCGGGCGCTCGGGGCCCGGGCCCGCGCCGAAAGCGCCGCCGCCACCAGCACCACCGCTGCTACCGCCGGACTCCGCCATCTTCCCCCCGCCGTCGCGCGTTCGAGTGACGGGAGCCGCGCGCGCAGGCCCGGGAAACCGAGACGCGGGGGGCGGGGCGGGGCCAGGTCTGCGGAGGGGCGGGGCCGGGACCAGAAACCAAGGATTGGGGCGGGCCCGGAATCGGAGGGGCGTGGTCTACGGAGGGCCGGGGCGGGTCTGGGATAAAGGGAGGGGCCTGCTATGCAGAGAGGTGGGTCCAGGGCGGGGCCTGGGCTAGGGGTGCCGGATTGGGGCGGGACCCTGGCGTGAGGGGCGGAACCAAGTCTGAAAGGGAAGCGGTTCTGGGCTGAGAGGGCGTATTGTCTGTGGATAGGTGGGGACGGGGCGAAGCAGGACAAGTAGGCGCAGGATGGGGTTGGTCCCTGGGCTGAGGAGTGGGGCGGGGTCTGAAGAAGGGGCAGGCCCAGGGCAAGAGGAGGAGGGACAAGGGTCCGGCCTGCGGAGGAGGCGGGGCGCAGGATAAAGGGCGGGGCCAGGTGTGAGAAGGGACAAGGTGGAGGTTAGGAATGCGGTGGGGGAGTGGTCGGGGAGGTAGAAAGGAGAAGATGGGTCTGAGGTTGGGCGGGTCTGGGCAGGAGAGAGGAGGAATCTGGGGATGGATGTGGTCAAGCGAAGAGAGGGCCTGGTCTGAGGAAGGGCGGGGCCTGGGCGAGGGGTGGAGTCTGGTTGGAAGGAGGGCGGGGAAGATCAGGGGTGTGTGCGTGGAGGGGGCGAGGGATTGGCGGGGCCGGGGGGGCGGAGCCTCATCTGATGGGGGTGGGGCCGGGCTAAGTGAGCGGCGGATCTGAGGAGGGGCGGGGCACGTGCAGGTGTTAAGGAGTGTCTGTGAGTGCCCTGGGGCGCTGGCAGGCGTGCCCCGGGCGTTGGCTGGGCGTGGTTATACTTTGAGGCGTTGGAGCCACAGGGAAGTGAGTTATAGGTAGGGTGGGAGGGAGGGTGAGATGGAGCATGGAGAAATGGGTCTCTAAGCTCTGAGAACCACACCCTCCCTCTCCCCACCCTGCACACCCCGACTCCAGTCTTACCTCCTTCCCAGGCCTCTCTCAGGGGCGAAACTCACCCATGCCCAGGCCTCAGACTTCCAGCCCCTCATGGTTCCCCACCCTCCCCTGACATACCCTCTTCAGAGCCTCCACCCTGAGACCCCAATCATCTGGCCTTAGGTTCCCACCACCTGCTTCATACACCAATTCTGGTTTCTCATACTCTAAAACCCTGCACATCCAATTATCTCCCATTCTCTACTCAAAACTCATCTCCCACTCCCCCAAATCCCTGCCCACAGATCCTTCAAACCTTACACTCCCAAAGTCCATTCCACCGGACCCAACACCCTCAGATCCCCAAGCACCAGCCCTCCCAACACACTGACCCTCAGCCAGGGCTCAAAGTCCTGCATCTATAGGCGTCTATGAAGCATCTAGACCTTTTGGGGGCACCCCTCACCCCCCATCTCTGGTAAGCTCCAGGCTCCCAGGATCCCCTCTGTAGCTTGGAGCTCATTTATTCTTTTAACCTCCAAGTCAGAAAACTCTGACTTGTGCAGTCTTGGGCAGAAAGCAGTGATCCAGAAGGAGCTCAAAGCCTTCTTTCCCGTCAGTGCTGGAAGAAGGAGGTGGCTATGGGGCTGGAGACCCCATAGGAGGAAGGAAGGGGCCTGCTTGAGTGGACTCCTGCAGGTTGGACCGCACTCAACCAGCATCTCCAACAGAGGGCCTGATACAACAATACGTGCTCAATCGTTACACAAAATGCTCTCAGATGACCCTGTGCAAGCTGACAGATACCAAGTGCTGAAGGGAACTGCTGGCATCTCCAATACACAGTAAGCACTCTGCAAATGTTGAATGCACGCGTGCATGAACAGCTCACGTTCCGGCAAGCTCTGCACACACACACACACACCCTTGCCTGCCCTAAGTCAGCACCGCCCCAGGAGTCTTTGTTCCAGACGAACCACATGCAGGCATCAAACCTCACTCAGCAGCGACCTACAGCTGACACACCCGCCACAAATAACATTTGAAATCAATGGTGTCCATATGCACGCACACTTCATAAACATCCAGATTTGACCCATATGTCAGACACACAAGACACACAGCTGAAGATAAGAAAGAAGAGGTTCTCTGGGCTCCTGGCTGTGCACACACACATAGTGTGCTGTAGACTCACTGCACTTTGGACACACTGTGTGATCTGTCCTCCACGATCACATAGCACAGGGCAGCCAGTGCAATGTCCCTGGGGCAGGAGCGTGCCTAGAGAGTGGCCTGGCAGAGAAAAATTAGGAAGAGGGAGAGGAGAGGGGAGGAGAATGGGTGGGAGGCAACAGGAGGTGCTTCAGGTCACAGAGGGCTTTGGGGATCATTTTTGGGGTCCTCTGCATGAAATGAGAAGGGAGAGGGGGCTTGTAAGCAGTGGCAATGTAATTGACACTGGGTTTTTGTTTTGTTTTGTTTTGTTTTGTTTTTGAGACGGAGTCTTGCTCTGTGGCCCACCCTGGAGTGCAGTGGTGCGATCTCAGCTCACTGCAACCTCCGCCTCCTGGGTTCAAGCCATTCTCCTGCCTCAGCCTCCTGAGTAGCTGGGACTACAGGCATGTACCACATGCCTGGCTAATTTTTTTTTTTTTTTTGAGATGGAGTCTCACTCTGTCACCCAGGCTGGAGTGCCGTGGCACAATCTCAGCTCACTGCAATCTTCGCCTCCCAGGTTCAAGTGATTCTCCTGCCTCAGCCTCCCGAGTAGCTGGGACTACAGGCATGTGCCACCACGCCCAGCCAATTTTTGTATTTTTAGTTGAGATGGTTTCACCATGTTGGACAGGCTGGTCTCAAACTCCTGACCTCAAGTGATCCACCTGCCTTGGCCTCCCAAAGTGCTGGGATTACAGGAGTGAACCACTGTGCCCAGCATAATTTTTGTATTTTTATTAGAGACGGGGTTTCACCATGTTGGCCAGGCTGGTCTCGAACTCCTGACCTCAAGTGATCTGCCCGCCTCAGCCTCCCAAAGTGCCAGGATTATAGCGTGAACCACTGCACCCAGCTGACATTGGTTTTAACAGTGTCAATTTAACAGTGTTACAGTGTCTGACTGTTCAACAGTGTCTGACAACTGGGGGACAATATCTTGAATTTGGGACATGAGTCAGGAGGCATATAATCCAGGGAAAAATGGGTAGGGCTCATCCCAGGGTGACAGACATGGAGGGGTGGGAGGTAGTCCTAGTTGAGATGCACTTTGCAGGTGGGACCAAAAAGAGATGGAACAGATGGGATGTCGAGTGAGGCAGAGTGAGGCCAGTGACCTCTGCCAGAGCTGTTGGCCTGAGCTCTAGAGGCCACTATCACTGGCATGGAGCAGAGACAAGTGGAGGACCTGGAGGGCCCACGCCGGTGACTGCACACGCCTCATCCAGTAATGATGACCTGTGGTCTAGCAGAGCCGGCAGGCAGGGACATAGCAGGCAGCATCCACGGGCCTGGCCACCATCTGGCCCACAGCTGGCACGGCTCTCCTAGAGGCAGGGCCCGCGCCACCTGCTCTCCCACTTCAGACCAGCTGCAGGGCTCACACCCTCAGGTCAGAGCTTGGAGGCCTCCCTTACAATCCCCAGGTGTTATGGAGGAGGAAAGTGAAGCCTTGGGGGAGGGCTTCAAGTTCCTGTGGTTTTAGGCTGGGGACAGTGTCTGCCCCATCAGGCAGTCACCACGGAGTGGTCCTGGGGCAAGCCCAAGGTCCCCCGACATCAACTCCCTGTCCTCAGTCCTGTTTGATTTTTCTCCTATCTAACAAACTCTGTGTTTTACCTTTTTTTTTTTTTTTTGAGACAGAGTCTCGCTCTGTCACCAGGCTGGAGTGTAATGGCACAATCTTGGCTCACCGCAACCTCCGCCTCCGAGGTTCAAGCAATTCTCCTGCCTCAGCCTCCCAAGTAGCCGGGATTACAGGCATGCACTACCACGCCTGGCTAATTTTTGTATTTTTAGTAGAGACAGGGTTTCACCATGTTGGCCAGGCTGGTCTTGGATTCCTGACTCAGACGATTCACCCACCTCAGCCTCCCAAAGTGTTGGGATTACAGGCGTGAGCCACTGCGCCTGGCCCTAAATTTTTTTTTAATGGAGGCGGCACATCCTTTCAGGATCATGAGTGAGGCTTGCTGACAAACACCATGATCTCTCTCTGTTACCCCAGCCAGCAGCCTCCCGCACCTCCTTGAAGTCATGTCTGCACTGGCCCCACCTTCTTTTTTTATGTTTTATTTATTTATTTAAATTTTTGTTGTTGTTTTTGTTTTGTTTTGTTTTTTTGAGACAGAGTCTCACTCTGTCGCCCAGGCTGGAGTGCAGTGGCGCGATCTCATATCACTGCAACCTCCACCTCCCGGGTTCAAGCGATTCTCCTGCCTCACCCTCCCAAGTCTCTGGAATTACAGTTGCCCACCACCAGGCCTGGCTGATTTTTGTATTTTTAGCAGAGACAGCATTTCATCATGTTGGCCAGGCTGGTCTCAAACTCCCAACCTCAGGTGATCCGCCCACTTCGGCCTCCCAAAGTACTGGGATTACAGGCACGAGCCACCTCGACTGGCTACCTTCTTTTTTTATGTTTTATTTATCCATTTTCTTAAAAGACAGGGTCTTGGCCAGGTGCGGTGGCTTACGCCTGTAATCCCAGCACTTTGGGAGGCCAAGGCGGGCGGATCACCTGAGGTCGGGAGTTTGAGACCAGCCTGACCAACATGGAGAAACCTCATCTCTAATAAAAATACAAAATTGGCCGGGCGTGGTGGCTCACGCCTGTAATCCCAGCACTTTGAGAGGCCGAGGCGGGCAGATCACGAGGTCAGGAGATCGAGACCATCGTGGCTAACATGGTGAAACCCCGTCTCTACTAAAAAATACAAAAAAAATTAGCCAGGCGTGGTGGTGGGAGCCCATAGTCCCAGCTACTTGGGAGGCTGAGGCAGAAGAATGGCGTGAACCCGGGAGGCGGAGCTTGCAGCGAGCCCAGATCGCACCACTGCACTCCAGCCTGGGTGACAGAGCGAGACTCTGTCTCAAAAAAAATAAAAATAAAAATAAAAATAAAATAAATAAATAAATATACAAAATTAGCCGGGCGTGGTGGCACATGCCTGTAATCCCAGCTACTCGGGAGGCTGAGGCAGGAGAATGGCTTGAACCCAGGAGTCGGAGGTTTCAGTGAGCCGAGATCATGCCATTGCACTCCAGCTTGGGCAACAAGAGCAAAACTCTGGCTCAAAAAAAAGAAAGACAGGGTCTTCGTCTCGCTCTGTCACCTAGGCTGGAGTGCAGTGGCACGATCATAGCTGACTGTAACCTCCAATTCCTGGGCTCAAGCCATGCTCCCTCCTCAGCTTCCTGAGTAGCTAGAACTATAAGGCATATGCCACCATGCCTTTCTAATTTTATTATTTTATTTTTATTTATTTATTTTTTTGAGACAGGGTCTCACTCTGTCACCCAGAGTGCAGTGGTGCAACCTCAGTTCACTGCAGCCTTGACTTCCTGGGCTCAAGTGATCCTCCTACCTCAGTCTCCCGAGTAGCTGAGACCACAGGTGTGCGCCACCACGCCCAGCTAATTTTTGCATTTTTTTTTTTTTGTAGAGTTGAGGTTTCACCATGTTGCCCAGGCTGGTCTTGAGCTTCTGAGCTCAAGCAATCTGTCCACCTCAGCCTCCTAAAGTGCTGGGATTACAAGCATGAGCCACCACGCCGGGCCCTTTTATTTATTTATTTATATTTTTAGAGATAAGGTCTCACTCTGTCGCCCAGGCTGAAATGCAGTGGCGCAATCATAGCTCACTGCAGCCTCAACCTCCTGGGTCAAATGAGCCTCGTACCTCAGCCTCCAGAGTAGCTGGGACCACAGGTGTATGCCAGTACACCTGGCTAATTTTGTAAAAAAAATTTGGTAGAGACAGAGTCTCACTATATTGTTCAGGCTGGTCTTGAACTCCAGGCCTCAAGTGATTCTCCCACTTCAGCCTCCCAAAGTGCTGGGATCACAGGTGTGAGCCACCATACCTAGTGTATATCTTGATTATAGGGGTATCTTAGGAGGATTACATTTGCCAAAACTCATTGAACTGGGCATTTAACATGGATGTGCCATTGGATGTAAATTATGTCTTATTAAAGCTGGTTTACTAAGGCTGGGCGCGGTGGCTCACGCCTGTAATCCCAGCACTTTGGGAGGCCAAGGTGTGTGGATCACAAGGTCAGGAGATCGAGACCATCCTGACTAACACGGTGAAACCCCGTCTCTACTAAAAATACAAAAAATTAGCCGGGTGTAGTGGCGGGCACCTGTAGTCCCAGCTACTTGGGAGGCTGAGGCAGGAGAATGGTGTGAACCCAGGAGGCGGAGCTTGCAGTGAGCCAAGCCATTGCACTCCAGCCTGGGTGACAGAGTGAGACTCTGCCTCAAAAAAAAAAAAAAAAAAAAAAAGCTGATTTACTAAAACAAAATCAGGCCAGTTGCGGTGGCTCAAGACTGTAATCCCAGCACTTTGGGAGGCCGAGGCAGGAGGATCACTTGAGTCCAGGAGTTTAAGACCAGCCGTGGCAACATAGAGGGATCCCATCCCAATAGAAAAAAAAAGAAAAGGTCAAATCCACCCAATGTGATAAGAACTAGGACTACCTCTGGGGGGCGACCAACTGGGACCCACCACTGTGGGGACTAGGGTGCTGAGAGGCTGCTGGGGATTCAACTGTCAGCCCATCCGACAAGATCCTTGACCTCATGTTCCAAGATATTCTGAAAGGTACATTCTGATGGGAAAGACAAATCTGAGATATATAATTGATCAATGACCAAGGCCATTTCAGATGGCAATAACTGCCTTGAAGGCAATGAGCTGAGAGCGATCAAGTGTGTGTTGGGTAGGGGAGCACTGCTTCAGCCAGAAGATCAGGGAGAGCCTCCCTGAAGAGGTGATGATGTCCCAGCTTCAGTAAAAGAAGGGGACAGAATGTTCTAGAATGTTCCAGGACATTCCAGAACATTGTGCAATGTTCCCGTATATTCTGAGAGGACATAATATGAAGGACCTAAGCCCAGTGCCAGAAAAAGCTCAAGGGATAGAGATGAGGCCGCACTGGCTTGGAAGAAGTGGGCAAGGCGGAGCAAGGATGGAGAGTGTCGACAAAGATGTATTGAGAGCAGCCTCCTTGGTGTGTGGGACACAGCTGTGACCGAGACGCCTAGCGCATAGCATCTGGCAGAGGGAACATTTATTAAACCAATCATCACACAAGCAAACAAGCCATCACTTAATTGTCACCATGATAAAAGCTGGGGCTGAGCCAGGAGGTCAGGCTGAAGAGCTGGCCAGACGGAGCGAAGAGGGAACAGCCTCCAGGCGGAGGGAACAGCCTGCATGGGGGCCCTGAGGAGGGAGAGTGTGCCAGGAGCTGCATGGAGCCCAACAGGGACCTGAAGTCTCCTCTTCGCACCCCAGGAAAAGACAGCCACCATGCATCCCCATCCTGCCCTCCAAGTGTTTACAGAATGTCCCCTGTGTGCCAGCTGGATGCTGGGGACACCCTCTCCCCATTTCTTCCTGGCGGATTGCCACCCCTGGGCTAAGAAACTCAGGCCTGTCACTAGGGAACCAAGTTGCTGTGGCAACCCTGTGCTACCGTTGCCATGACGCCAGCCACCCACCCACCCACTACCAGGTCTGTGTGCAGCTCAGGATGAAAATGGAGGGAGGGGCAGGGCTCTAGGACAGAAGAGGAAATTGAAGCTCAGAGACAGAGCTGTGGTGAGTCTGGTCTTCAGCTACGTGGTCAAAGAGGCCTTTCTCTCCTGAGAGTCAGGATAGGGTAAGGGGTTGGTTACTGGGCAGAGCAGCCCCAAGGCCTCTGCATGGCAAGCGGGGTTCTTTCCCAGCCATCCCAGACACCCTTGTTGGGTCATTCCTCTGTGACCTGCGTTGATGGGTACTGGGGTCACAGCCGATGCAGCCCTGCCCTCCCAGTGAGCCCAGTCTTGAGTGATGTAGGAGGCAGAAGATGAACCCATAAAGAAGTAAATAGGCTGAGCACAGTGGCTCACGCCTGTAATCCCAGCACTTTGGGAGGCTGAGGTGGATAGATCATGAAGTCAGGAGTTTAAGACTAGCCTGGCCAACATGGTGAAACCTTGTCTCTACTAAAAATACAAAAAATTAGCCGGGCGTGGTGGTGGACACCTGTAATTCCAGCTACTTGGGAGGCTGAGGCAGAAGAATCACTTGAATCCGACAGGCGGAGGTTGTGGTGAGCCAAGATTGCGCCACTGCACTCCAGCCTGGACGACAGATGAAACAACAAAAATCAAACAAATAAAACGAAGGAAGAAGGAAGACTGCAGGTGCTGGGTAGATGCCTACCAAGTCCGTAACAGCATTGCAAAGCAAAGGGAAGCTGCAGAAAAGGCCCCAAGGCCAGACCATTGATTCAAAATGAGGACAAGCGCATTTTGGTCTCCAAGACCAAAAGGCAGGAGGGATGGCACAGGAGAGGTGGCTGCCAGGCTGGCAAAGATCAAAAGCTCTTCATAGGTGAGCAGGAGAATTAGGTTATCCCCCCTCAACCTCCTGAGTAGCTGGGATTACAGGCCTGAGCCACCACACGCAGGTAATTTTTGTATTTTTAGTAGAGACAGGATTTCGTCATGTTGGCCAGGCTGGTCTCGAACTCCTGACCTCAAGCCATCCACCTGCCTCAGCCTCCCAGAGAGCTGGGACTATAGGTGTGAGCCACCATGCCTGGCCTCCATTATTTTTATTTTTATTTATGTATTTATTTTAAGACAGAGTCTTGCTCTGTTGCCCAGGCTGGACTGCAGTGGCATGATCTCGGCTCACTGCAACCTCTGCCTACCGGGTTCAAGAGATTCTCCTGCCTCAGCCTCCCGAGTAGCTGAGACTACAGGCACGTGCCACCATGCCTGGCTAATTTTTGTATTTTTAGTAGAGACAGGGTTTCACCATGTTGGCCAGGCTAGTCTCTAACTCCTGACCTCAGGTGATCTGCCCACCTCAGCCTCCTAAAGTGCTGGAATTACAGGCATGTGCCACTGCCCTCAGCCAACAAATAATTTTTAATCAACGACGAATGTCATCAGAGCAGGGAAGATGGACAGGAAGTGAAACATGGGGATCCCAGGGGATGCTGACGTGGCTGAGAACTTGGTGAAGCAGGACCAGGAGTGTGCTCCTGGCAGAGGGGACTGCATGTGCAAAGGCCCTGGGGCTGGAAGGAACAAGGTAGGCTCAAGAAATCCAGAGAGAACCTCACGCAGCCGCCAGAGCAGAGGGAGTGAGGGGCAGAGCCTCACAGAAGCGCTTGGTGATGGCCGGGTGCAGTGGCTCACACCTGTAATCCCAGCACTTTGGGAGGCCGAGGTGGGTGGATCACAAAGTCAGGAGATCGAGACCATCCTGGTGAACACAGTGAAACCCTGTCTCTACTAAAAATACAAAAAAAAATTAGCCGGGCGTGGTGGCGGGCGCCTGTAGTCCCAGCTACTCGGGAGGCTGAGGCAGGAGAATGGCGTGAACCCAGGAGGCAGAGCTTGCAGTGAGCGGAGATCACGCCACTGCACTCTAGCCTGGGCGACAGAGTGAAACTCCATCTCAGAAAAAAAAAAAAGCGCTTGGAGATGTTAGGTTAGTGTTAGTGAGACCCGATCGTGGGAATCTCTGCTGTCTGGGAATGTTTGGGCTCCTCAAGACAACAGTAAACCCCAGAAAGGTGTGGAGTCTGGGGTCAGATTTGCTTTATCCAAGATGGAACCAGAGGGCAACTGGAGAGGCCGGAAGCCCCAAGAGGAGGAGGTGGGCACCATTGCTGAGTGAGAGGCAGTGGCAGCTTGGACTTCGGTGGTTGCCATGGAGACAAAGAGATGCTTGTGGGCTGGAGGTATGCTTTGGAGGCCTAGGGGACAAGCTGTGCTGATGGAATGAAGTGAGGTGAGGACAGTTAAGAATCAAGATGCAGCCCAGATGTCTAGAGCCACTAAGAAGAGAAACTGGGGGCCAGGCAAGGAGACAGAGTGAGTCCATATGAAGTCCCTTTCAAACTGGGCTGACCAGTGACAGTAGCCATTTAAATCCACAGCAGGGCCGGCCGCAGTGGCTCATGCCTGTAATCCCAGCACTTTGGAAGGCTGAGAGAGGTCAGGAGTTCAACAGCAGCTTGGCCAACAGGGTGAAACCCCGTCTACTAAAAATACAAAAATTAGCCCGGTGTGGTGGTGGATGTCTGTAATCTCAGCTACCTGGGAGGCTGAGGCAGGAGAATCACCGGAACCTGGGAGGCGGAGGTTGCAGTGAGCCAAGATTGCACCACTGCACTCCAGCCTGGGCAACAGAGCAAGACTCTGTCTCAAAAACAATAACAATTTAAAAAAAATCCATGGCAGGTATGGCTGCACAACATTGTGGATGCAATTAATGCACTCAAAACTCATGAAAATGGCAAATTTTGACCAGGCATGGTGGCTCACGCCTGTAATCCCAGCACTTTGGGAGACCGAGGCAGGAAGATCACTTAAGTCCAGGAGTGCAAGACCAGCCTGAGCGACATAATGAGTCCTCATCTCTATAAAAAATCAAAAAATAGGCTGGACATGGTGGCTCACGCCTGTAATCCCAGCACTTTGGGAGGCTAAGGCTAGTGGATCACCTGAGTTCAGGAGTTCAAGACCAGCCTAGCCAACATGGCAGAATCCCATGTCTACTAACAAAATACAAAAATTAGCCTGGCGTGGTGTAATCCCAGATACTCGGGAGGCTGGGACAGAAGAATTGCTTGACACCAGGAGGCAGAGGTTGCAGTGAGCCGAGATCGTGCCACTGCACTCCAGCCTGGGCAACAGAGAGACTCTGTCTCAAAAAAAAATTAAAAAATTAGCCAGGCATGATGTCATGTCAGAGACAGGATCTTACTCTGTCACCCAGGCTGGTATGCGGTGGTGCAGTCACAGCTCACTGCAGCCTCAACCTCCCCAGGCTCAAGCAATCCTTCCTCCTTAACCTTCCAAGTATCTGGGAGTAGCTGGGACTACAGGCAGCCGCCATAATACCTGGCTAATTTTGTATATACGTATATTTTTTGTAGAGACAGGGCTTCACTTTGTTGCCTGCATCTGGCCTAAAAAATTGTTTTAGAGAAAGGGTCTTGCTATGTTGCCCGAGCTAGTGTCAAACTCCTAGTCTCAAGCAATCCTCCCACCTCAGCCACCTTAGTAGCTGGGACTAGAGGCACATGCCCCCACAACTGGTCAATTTCTTTTTTTTTTTTAAATAAAGACGGGTGCCTCAGCTGGGTGCAGTGGCTCACGCTGTAATCCCAGCACTTTGGGAGGCCGAGGTGGGCAGATCACCGGATGTCAGGAGTTCAAGACCAGCCTAGTCAACATGGCGGAACCCCATCTCTAATAAAACAATACAAAAATTAGCTGGGCGTGGTGGCAAGTGACTGTAATCCCAGCTCCCAGCTACTCGGAAGGCTGAGGCAAGAGAATCGCTTGAACCTGGGAAGCGAAGGTTGGTGTGAGCTGAGATCGCGCCACTGCCCACCAGCCTGGGCGACAGTGTGAGACTCAGTCTCAAAAAAAGAAGACAGGTGCCTCACCATGTTGCCCAGGCTGGTCTTGAACTCTTGGGCTCAAGTGATCCTCCTGCCTCAGCCTCCCAAAGTGCTGGGATTATAGCTGTGAACCACCGTGCCCAGCCGGAAAAATCTTACATGTACATCAACTCAAACTAAACAAAATAAGAAACACAATTTGTCAGTTACACTAGCCATGTTGGAAGTGCTCAGTAACTTCCAGGTGGCTGGGAGTAGTGCAGACATAACGTTTCTATCATCAAAGAAAGTTCTACCAAAGAGAACGGCTGGCTGTCATTCTCTTCTCACCTCTGCCCATGTCTTATTTCTGGGCAACATTCCTAGAGGTTTTCCTGAAACCCCACACAGGGCCCAGAATGATACTCCCTGGGGCCCATATTACATCTGGGTTGAATCCTGATGGTCATGGTACCAGGCGGATCACTTGAGGTCAGGAGTTCGAGACCGGCCTGGCCAACATGGCAAAACCCCGTCTCTAGTAAAAATACAAAAATTAGCCAGGTATGGTGGCTTGCACCTGTAATCCCAGCTACTTGGGAGGCTGAGGCAGGAGAATCACTTAAACCTGGGAGGTAGACGTTGCAGTGAGCCCAGATCTCGCCACTGCACTCCAGCCTAAGCGACAAAGTGGGACTCTGTCTCAAAATAGATTAATAAATAAAGTGGTTGGGAGGCCGAGGCTAACGGATTACCTGAAGTCAGGAGTTCAAGACCAGCCTGGCCAACATGGTGAAAGCCTGGCTCTAATAAAAATACAAAAATTAGCCGGGCGTGGTGGTATGCACCTGTAATCCCAGCTACTCAGTAGGCTGAGGTCGAAGAATCACTTGAACCGAGGGGATGGAGGTTGCAGTGAGCCAAGATCGTACCACTGCACTCCAGCCTGGGCAACAGAGCGAGACTCCGTCTCAAAATACATACATACATACATACATACATACATACATACATACATACATACATAAATGGGCTATACATGTATTTTTTGAACCACAGTCCCACTCTGTCACCTAGGCATGATCATAACTCACTGTAACATTGAACTCCTGGGCTCAAGCGATCCTCCCACCTGGGCCTATCGAAGAGCTGGGATTACAGATGTGAGCCACCCTGCCTGGCCTAAAGGAACAATTATTATTATTGTATTTATTTATTTGAGACAGAGTCTTGCTCTGTCTCCCAGGCAGGAGTGCAGTGCATGATCCCAGCTCACTGCAACCTTTGCCTCCTGGGTTCAAGCAATTCTCCTGCCTCAGCCTCCTGAGTAAGTAGCTGGGTCTACAGGCACACACTGCCACGCCTGGCAAATTTTTTGTATTTCAGTAGAGACAGGGTTTCACCATGTTGCCCAGGTTGGTTGTGAACTCCTGAGCTCAGGCAATCCACCCGCCTCAGCTTCCCAAAGTGCTGGGATTACAGGTGGGAGCTACCGTGCCCGGGCTATTATTGCTATTATTTGAGACAGTGCCTCACTCTTTCGCCCAGGCTGCAGTGTAGTAGCATGATCTCGGCTCACTCCAACCTCCGCCTCCCAGGTTGAAGGATTCTCATGCCTTAGCCTCCCAAATATCCGGGATTACAGACATGGGCCACCACGCCCAGCTAATTTTTTGTATTTTTAGTAGGAACGGGGTTTCACCATGTTGGCCAGGCTGGTCTCAAGCTCCTGGCATCAAGTAATCCTTCCGCCTCACCCTCCCAAATTGCTGGGATTACAAGCATGAGCCACCGAGCCCAGCCTTTTATTTTGATTTATCTATTTATTTTTTTGGAAATGGTCTCACTCTTCTCAGCCACGCTGGAGTGCATTAGTGCAATCATGGCTCACTGCAGCCTTGTCTTCCTGGGCTCAAGTGATCCCTCCACCTCAGCTTCAGCTCAGCAGCTGAGATTACTGGTGCCCACCACCAGGTCTGGCTAAATTTTTAAATTTCTTGTAGAGATGAATCTTGCTATATTCCCCAGATTTGTCTCAAACTCCTACACTCAAGTGATCCTCCCGCCTCAGACTTCCAAAGTCCTGGGATTACAGGCATGAGCCACCACACCCGGCCAAGGGGCCCTTTTTTTTCTTTTTTTTTTTTTTTTTTGAGACAGAGTTTCGCCCTTGTTGTCCAGGCTGGAGTGCAATGGTGCAGTCTTGGCTCACTGCAACCTCTGCCTCCAGGGTTCAAGTGATTCTCCTGCCTCAGCCTCCCGAGTAGCTGGGATTATAGGAGTGCGCCACCATGCCTAGCTAATTTTTGTATTTTTGTAGAGACGGGAATTTCGCCACGTTGGCCAGGCTGGTCTTGAACCCCTGACTTCAGTTGATCCACCCTCCTCTGCCTCCTAAAGTACTGGGATTACAGGCATGAGTCACTGCGCCCCGCCCCTCCAGAGCTCTTGAAGATCTCCAGGGGAGGCTGCTTGGTCGAGTTGTGGTCTTGAGTCAGGGGATGCTGGGAAGGACACCAGGAAAGACCTTGACTCCTCCCTCCTCTCATCTCCTGCCAGTGGTCCCTCTGACTGACTCCAGTGGAAAGAAGAGGGTCCAAGTGGATCAACCTTCCAGGATCCAGGGTAGAGTGAAGGGTGGAGAGTCTTACACACAGCCCCAGGAGGCATCATTTAATTTTCTGCCCCAACCTGCAGACCCACTGTCACTCCATCAGCCTGGAATTCCTGGGACTCTCCACCCCATTGCCTGTAGGCTGGGGCCATCATGCTCCTGATCCTGAGCTCTGCCCAGGGGATGAGGCCCTGTATCAGTCAGGAATCTCTGGTTTCGAGCAACAGAAACCAACTCAAGTCAACTGAATCTCAAAGCGGAGTTACAAGAAGAATCTGGAGGAGTCTGCAGAACAGACAGGAACGGAAGGGCGTGGCTCCCTTCCTGCAGTCAAGAGGCTGAGATGGGAGGATGGCTTGAGCCTGGGAGGTGGAGGCTGCAGTGAGCTGTGATCACACCACTGCACTCCAGCCTCGGTGACAGCGTAAGACCCTGTCTCATTTTTTGTTTTGTTTTGTTTTGTTTTTGAGACAGAGTCTCGCTCTGTCGCCCAGGCTGCAGGGCAGTGGCGTGATCTCTGCTCACTGCAAGCTTTGCCTCCCAGGTTCACGCCGTTCTCCTGCCTTAGCCTCCTGAGTAGCTGGGACTACAGGCGCCCACCACCATGCCCAGCTAATTTTTTTTTGTATTTTTAGTAGAGACAGGGTTTCACCATGTTACCCAGAATGGTCTCAATCTCCTGACCTCGTGATCTGCCCGCCTCGGCCTCCCAAAGTGCTAGGATTACAGGCATGAGCCACTGTGCCCGGCCGAGCCTATCTCATTTTTTAAAAAATAAATAAATAAAGCTGGCTGGGTGCAGAGGCTCATGCCTGTAATCCCAGCACTTTGGGAGGCTGAGGTGGGCAGATTATTTAAGGTCAGGAGTTCAAGACCAGCCTGGCCAACATGGTGAAACTGCGTCTCTACTGAAAATACAAAAAGTAGCCGCGCATGGTGGCACGCGCCTATAATCCCACCTACTTGGAGGCTGAGGCAAGAGAATCACTGGAACCTGGGAGGCGGAGTTTGCAGTGAGCTGAGACCGCACCACTGCACTCCAGCCTGGGCGACAGAGCGAGACTCTGTCTCAAAAAAGAAAAAGAAAAAGTAGACCGGAAGCCAGGTGGCTACAAAATCAAGTCCTCTTCAAGATGCAATTTGTCCCTTCATAACAGGGACATCAGGCACAGGAAGGGACGCTGAACTGCCCCAGTCAGATGGGTGGCACAAGCCACTTTTTTTTTTTTTTTTTTTTGAGACAGAGTCATGCTCTGTCACCCAGGCTGGAGTTCAGTGGTGCAATCATAGCTCACTGCAGCCTCCACCTCCCCGCCTCAAGCAATCCTCCCACCTCAGCCTCCCGAGTAGCTGGGACCACAGGCTCAAGCCACCACACCCAGTTAATTATATATATATATGTGTGTGTGTGTGTGTGTGTGTGTGTGTGTGTGTATTTTGTAGAGATGGGGCCTTGCTATGTTGCCCCAGGCCGGTCTGGAACTTCTGGGCTCCAGTGAATCTCCTGCCTCAGTCTCCTAAAGTGCTGGGATTACAGGCATGAGCTGCTGCGCCTGGCCTCGAGTCAGTTTTCCAGGGACATCTGTAGCTGGGAGTGTGACCTGGGTTAGACCAGAGGGAGTGTCCTTCTGAGAGGCAGCTACTTTCAGTGCCTGGTGCCACCTGGGTTTCCAGGGCTTTCCCATGTCAGAAAGATCCTGCTCGGCAGGGGTCATAGCCATGCGTGGGCCACACCCCAAGGGCAGACAGACAACCGAACAGAAGCAGGCTCAGCCTGAAACTCTTTTATATACATGGTTTATTCCTCCCCAGCCCCAGACAAGCCCCAGGCACGCTTTATAGGGGCATGGAGATGCCCACACCCTGTCTCTCAGAAGCTGGGTCTCTGGAGACCGGGATGGGGAGAAGGGGGAAGCCCTAGCAAGACGCAGCTCCCCCTCAGCCTCAGCGCCCCCCCCGCAGAGAGGGGACATAGAAGGAAAAAGGAAGGTGACACAGGACTGGGGTTCAAATACTCAGAAAGCCACACAATAGAAGACAAAAAGTAGCAAGCCCCCAAGAAAGCGGGGACAAGGAGGAACCAGTGCCCGATCCCGCCCTCTTCCCAGCTGGGGCACTGCGTCCCCAGGACTCCGTGGGGCAAGGGGTGGGACTGGGAGGAGAGGAAGGATTTGGGGGTGGAGGGGCTCAAGGCTGGACCCACCCTGCCCTTGGACTCCTGGGCTCAGGGCAAGTGAGGCCCGAGGGGCCCCCTGCAGTTGGCAGTGATGGGGCCAGTGGAGGCCTACAGCTTGGTCAGGTCCAGCTTCAGCTTGTAGGGTGGTAGGCTGTCCTCACAGGCGTGGGACGGCGGCGGGTACAGGGGCCAATCGGGCTCCATCATGAAGCCCTTGTGCTGCTCCAGGGTCAGAGGCTGCAGGAAGAGAGGGGAGGAGGGAAGTGGAGGGACGGGGAGAGGCCGAGCCCCCAACCCTGACTGTCTCCTTCCCACCTCTGATTGTTTTATTTTTTTTCTTTTTTTGAGAGAGTCTCTCTCTGTCACCCAGGCTGGAGTGCAGTGGCGCCATCTCAGCTCACTGCAACCTCCGCCTCCTAGGTTCAAGCGATTCTCCTTTCTCAGCCTCCCAAGT
Source organism: Homo sapiens (assembly GCF_000001405.40). Classification (NCBI taxonomy): domain Eukaryota; kingdom Metazoa; phylum Chordata; class Mammalia; order Primates; family Hominidae; genus Homo; species Homo sapiens. The sequence continues at coordinate 18,620,190 of NC_000019.10, read as the reverse complement.
AGCTGGGACTACAGGTGCACGCCACCACGCCCAGCTAATTTTTGTATTATTAGTAGATATGGGGTTTCACTATGTTGGCTAGGCTGGTCTCGAACTCCTGAAGTGATCTGCCCACCTCAGCCTCCCAAAGTGCTGGAATTACAGGTGTGAGCCACCACACCTGGACTTTTGTGTGTGTGTGTGTGTGTGTGTGTGTGTGTGTGTGTGTGTGTGTGTGATGGGGTCTTCTCTGTTGTCCAGGCTGGAGTATAGTGGTGCCATCACAGCTCACTGCAGCTTCGAACTCTCAGGCTCAAGTGATCCTCCCACCTCAGCTTCCTAAGTAGCTGGGATCATAAACATGCACCTCCACGTCTAGCTAATTTTTTTTTTCTTTTTTTTTTTTTTGAGATGGAGTCTCGCTCTGTCACCCAGGCTGGAGTGCAGTGGCGCGATCTCGGCTCACTGCAAGCTCCTCCTCCTGGGTTCACGCCATTCTCCTGCCTCAGCCTCCCGAGTAGCTGGGACTACAGGCACCTGCCACCACGCCCAGCTAATTTTTTGTATTTTTAGTAGAGATGGGGTTTCACCTTGTTAGCCAGGATGGTCTCAATCTCTTGACCTCGTGATCCGCCCACCTCGGCCTCCCAAAGTGCTGGGATTACAGGCATGGGCCACCATGCCCAGCCACATCTAGCTAATTTTTAAATGATTTGTAGTGACAAGGTTTCACTATGTTGCCCAGGCTCTGGGCACCACAGAGGTGTCACCAACACACCTGGGCATGATAGAGGTGAGGCCAACACCACAGAAGTGTGGCCACCTCTGACTTCATGTCGCCCCAACTAAGAGTGGATTTTCTTCCCACCAATTCAAAGGGCAGTGAAGAAACTGGCCCAAGTCATGCAGCAAGTGTGAGGTCCTGGCTGGGTGAGGTGGCTCATGCCTGTAATCCCGGTATTCTGGGAGGGCAAGGCAGGTGGATCACTTGAGCCCAGGAGTTCAAGACCAGCCTGGGCAACATAGTCCCCATCTCTACAAAAAATACAAAAATTAGCGGGGCATGGTGGCACGTGACTGTGGTCCCAGCTACTCAGGAGGCTGAGGCAGGAGGATTGCTTGAGCCAGGGAGGCCGAGGCTGCAGTGAGCTGTGATCATGCCACTGCACTCCATCCTGGGTGAAAGAGTGAGATCCTGTCTCAAAAATATATATATAGGCCGGGCGCGGTGGGTCACGCCTGTAATCCCAGCACTTTGGGAGGCAGAGGCGGATGGATCACCTGAGGTCAGGAGTTCAAGACCAGCCTGGCCAACATGGTGAAACACCGTCTCTACTAAAAATACAAAAATTAGCTGGGTGTGGTGGCCCGCGCCCATAGTCCCAGCTACTTCGGAGGCTGAGGCAGGAGAATTGCTTGAACCCAGGAGGTGGAGGTTGCAGTGAGCCGAGATGGTGCCATTGCACTCCAGCCCAGGTGACAGAGCAAGACTCCATCTCAAAAAAAATATATATATATATATTATATATATATATATACACACACACACACACACACACACACACGTATATGTATATATATGTATATACATGAAAAAAGAAAAAAATGTCTGAGGTCCTGGCCTCCATGGGAGCAGGTGGCCAAATCCAGGACCAGCAAACAGCTCTCTCTGCCTTCACCCCCTCCCTCGGCCCAGCGCCATTCACAGATCCCACCCACCTGGAACTTGAGGTGCTGGCCAGGCGCGGTCACCAGGGTGGAGCAGCTCAGCCACAGCATCACCAGCACGGAGAGGAAGAGGCAGCAGGCCAGGATCCAGCGAGGCAGACCCGAGCGCCTGCCCCGCCCGGCAGGCACCACTCAGCTGCCCAGGCCGGGACCAGGGAGACCCGTACCTCCAGTCCCACCCCCCTCCCACCCCCAAGGTCCTGCCACCCACCGGGACATGCAACTGAGGAAGTCATTGTCCTGTGGCTCTTCAGACTCCACCTTGGCCTTGCTGCTGGTCTTGACTCGGATCTTGGCCTTCCTCACCTTGTCCAGGGGGCCTACAGGGTCTGAGAGATCAGCTGCCACTCAGCGACCACCAGGTCTTTGCTAAGAGGCCACAATAACCATGACCAGGAGGGAGGAGGTCAGGACCTGGGGCATAGAGTCCTGGAATGGAGATCAGAGCCCTGGGAGATGGACCACAGAATGCTGAGACAGGGACCATGGAACCCTGGGAGATGGATCCTAGGAGATGAACCATGCAACCCTGGGGGTGAACTGCAGAATCCTAGGAGATGAACCATGGAACCCTGAGAGATAGACCAAAGAACTCTAGGAGATGGACCCTAGGAGATGACCCTAGAAGATGAACCCATGGAACCCTGGGAGATGGATCCTAGGAGATGACCCTTAGGAGATGAACCCATGGAACCCTGGGAGATGGAACATGGAACCCTGGGAGATGGAACATGGAACCCTGGGAAATGGACCATGGAACCCTGGGAGATGGACTGCAGAACCCTGGGGGATGGGCCACAGAACCCTGGGAGATGAACTGCAGAATCCTAAGAGATGAACCATGGAACCCTGAGAGATGGACCAAAGAACCCTTGGAGATGGACCCTAGGAGATGACCCTAGGAGATGAACCCATGGAACTCTGAGAGATGAACCATGGAACCCTGGGAGATGGGCCACAGAACCCAGGGAGATGGGCCACAGAACCCTGGAAAGTGAACCATGGATCCCTGGGAGGTGGACCACAGAACGCTGGGAGGCGGAACACGGAACCCTGGGAGGTGGCCACGGAACCCGGGAGGTGGGCCACGGAACCCTGAGAGGTGGACCACGGATCCCTGGTAAATAGACCATGGAACCCGGGGAGATGGACCACGGAACCCTGGGAAGTAGACCACGGAACCCTGAGAAGTGGACCATGGAACCCTGGGAGGTGGACCATGGAACCCTGGGAAATAGACCATGGAGACCTGGGGGATGAGCCATGGAACCCAGGACTTGAGAGATGGAGATCCCGATCCTAGAAGGTCTGTTTGCCAGGCCGACTCCTTGTGGCAGTGGGGCCACCCATGGAAGGAACACTGGTCTAGGTTGCACCTTACCCACGTGCACCTCCAGGGCTTCAGGGTGGGAGCCTCGCCAGGTCACCTCCACGCGCTGCAGACGGCCCCCCTGGAAGCCGAGGCTCTCCACTATGGGCTGAGTCTGGGCCAGGAACAAGACAGCACAGAGAGGCTTGTGAGAACAGCACCCCTGGGCCCAGGCAGGCCCTCTGTGACTGCCATGTCCCACGCCCAGCTGATACCCAGTTCCCCTGGGTATCAGGGGTGGGCTTGATGTCAGGGATGTTGTTTTCTGCTTTCATGGGCTCCTCCATTTGCCTTAACCCCATCCTTTAGCTCCAGAAGTAGGAACATGATCCAGACCAAGCCAGTGAATTGCCTGAGAGATGGTCATATGATCCAGCCAGGGCCAATCAGAGTAAATCCCAGCTCAGTTAAAACCCCAGAGGGAGCCGGGGCAGTGGCTCATGCCTGTAATCCCAGCACTTTGGGAGGCCGAGGCAGGTGAAACACCTGAGGTCAGGAGTTCGAGACCAGCCTGGCCAACATGGCGAAACCCCGTCTCCACTAAAAATACAAAAATTAGGTGGGTGTGGTGGTGGCCGCCTGTAATCCCAGCTACTCAGGAGGCTGAAGCAGGAGAATCACTTGAACCTGGGAGGTGGAGGTTGCAGTGAGCTAAGATCATGCCATTGCACTCCATCTTGGGCAACAAGAATGGGAGTCCATCTCAAAACAACAACAACAACAACAAAAAAAAACCACAGCGTTTGTAACCTAGAGCCTCTGGCATCCACCTTACTGCCAAGAAGAAGTAAATGCCTGGGAATGAAGCCACCACAAAAGAAAGCAGAGTCAAGGCATGGAGTGAGACACTGAGCCCCTGGATCCAGCTGTGCCTGAAGCTCGCCCACTGTGGACTTTGCATCTCATGAGCTAAGAGCCAATGCATCCCATCTTCTTACCCTGCCCACCCATCTGCCACTCTGGCGTGGCCCCTGTCAGAGGTCTCACCTGAAACACCACCACTTTCCCATTGTCAGTCTGCAAGTAGTATGTCCAGGTGGAGGAGACAAATCCCTGGGCTGAGTTGACAAGGTCATTGCAGAGGGTGGAAAACAAGTCCAAGAGGGAGAGGGCCCCACTTGGAGCCTCCAGGACCTTTCTCTGGTGAAAAAAGGTCCAAGACACAAAGATGGCACCGAAATAGGGCATTAACCAATGAATGGGAGGGGGCAGGATGTGGTGGCTCACGCCTGTAATCCCAACACTTTGGAAGGCTGAGGCAGGCCGATCACTTGAGGCCAGAAGTTTGAGACCAGCCTGGACAACATCGTGAAACCCTGTCTCTACTAAAAATACAAAAATTAGCCAGGCATGATGGCGCACGCCTGGAATCTCAGCTACTCCAGAGGCTGAGGCAGGAGATTTGCTTGAACCCAGGAGGCAGAGGTTGCAGTGAGCCAAGATCACACCACTGAACTCTAGCCTGGGTGAAAGAGTGAGACTCCATCTCAAATAAATAAATGAATAAATAAACTAACAGGAGAGGAGCTAGGAGAATTCACTTGGATTGGATGTGGCTAAGTGATTTGGGCCAATAGGACTTCTTATAGTGAACACAGATCTCAGCGTGGCAGTTGGCTTCCTGTGTACCCTTAGGGAAGTGGATTGTGCTCTCTGAGCCCTAAAATGGGTATCGTTCTCTTCCTTCATGGAGTAGCCATGAAATTTCAACTAGAGGATGCCTGCCAGGTGCCTGGCACGGCACAGGCACTTAATGCGTAGTAGTCCCTATTACTAAAAATATCATCATCCTCATTATTCTTATTTTGACAGCGTCAAGACGGAGGTCTGATGGCCGGCCATGGTGGCTCATGCCTGTAATCCCAGCACTTTGGGAGGCCGACGTGGGAAGATCACTTGAGGTCAGGAGTTCAAGATCAGCCTGGCCAACATGATGAAACCCTGTCTCTCCTAAAAATACAAAAATTAGCCGATTGTAGTGGGGGGTGCCTGTAATCTCACCTACAAAGGAGGCTGAGGCAGGAGAACCACTTGAACCCGGGAGGCGGAGGCTGCAGTGAGCCAAGATTGTACCACTGCACTCCAGGCTAGGCAACAGAGCAAGACTTCATCTCAAAAAATAAATAAATAAATAAGAGGGAGCTCTGAATTGGAAGGGCTGACAGTGCAGTGAGCTTTTCTGAACAGCAGTGAAAGCTGGGAAGGGGTGGAGGAAAATGGGGGAAGTGGGGAAAGGGCTTTCTGGGGAGTCCCAGCCCCTAGGTCTCTGGCTATGCTACATGATTTTCTGTGCCTCAGTTTCCCCATGATGCAGCATTGCTTGGACTACAATAGATGAACCGTTATTATTTCTCCCATAAGGCAGTGTGTGCGTGCTTGCGAGGCAAGCCTGCTCTACCCTGAGCCGCAGTTCTGAGCCCCTCCAGGTGACAGTGACCACCAGCTCATCACAGGGGAAGGGCTTAGACCAGCACCTGGCAGCTCTGGGGGCGCCTAAGAGGAGTGAGGTGAGGAGTGGCCACAGCTCTGGTGGCTTCAAATCTCGCCCCTTGCACAGCCCTGTGTATGACCTGGGAGGTTGCCCCCTGGGCACTAAATGGGGGTGACATTGTCCTTTGTGCCTCCAAGTGACACAAAAACATTTGGGACAGGTTGAAGTCAGGCCCGAACCAGGACAGATGTTTGATAAATGATGGCTGTTTTCTGCCACTTATTCCTGAAAAGGTGGTGGGGCATGGGGGGCGTTGTTGCATGTAACTAAGGCTGGAGACATGACGGGGCTGGATGGAGGTTGCCCTGCAGGCCTGGTATAGAACGCAGAGTCTGGCAGAGCCTCTGCACGTGAATGAAGATTTCCCACGGGGTGAAGAGGGTGGGGGTATTGGGAAAAGGGACCCCAGGCCGCAGTGGGAGGCCCACCTTCTGCTCCGGCTCAGGCTCCGCGGGCTGGCTCCAGCAGCCGTGGCTACAGGCCTGCTGCTCTGCCTCCTTCACATAGGCTTCCACGCAGGCTGTGGGAGGTGGGAGCGGGTGACTGGGGACGGCCCTTCCCAGGCCACCTCTCCCCACGCTGGCCCACCCTGCCGGCGGGCCCTCACCTGCTTCACACTCAGTTTGGGTGGCATTGGGCTTGGAGCTTCTGGCCACAAATCGGCAGATGGAGAAGAGGCGGCAGCCACGCTCGCAAGCGCTGATCAGAACGGCTCTGTCATAGGGAGACTCGGAGGCGCCCTCCAGCCCCGCCTGGGGGAGGGGAGGACAGGGGGCTCAGGCCATGGGGAGGGGCAGGAGGAGGGTGGGGGGACCGGAGCATTCAGCAGAGGCAGGGAAAGGCTTCCCCGCTCCCCACGACATCTAGCCAGATGGAGATGAAGTTGGGAGAGGCTACAAATATTAGTGGGGGCTCTTAGCTCTGAGGAGGGAGATGGGGAGGGAGCTTGAGAAGAGAAATGGACAGTGAAGGTGGAGAGAAATGAGCCTTCCCCCCACTAGGTTCCAGGGAGGAGGGGAGACATGGAGAAGGATTCTCAGACCTGGAGGAGGAGGGGGAGGCTCAGAGGAGGGGGTTTTGGTCACACGCAGATCAGGCTTGAATCCTGGGGAGTGGTGGTATGAGTAGGGGCTGGTAGCTCTGAGTGGGGAGGGAACACGATGTGGAGGAGGAGGAATGAGGTGGGGGGACCATCAGGCCTGAGGGAGCTGGGGGTTGGGTGCTAGAGGGTCCTTACCCAGCAGAGTGCGGAAGGAGCCCGGGAGGTGGTATCGGCCCCTTATCGCAAGGACCTGCATCCCCAAGCACTCCCCCATCAGAGGGAACCCCAGCCCGTCAACTACTGGAGAGATCTCCCCATTCCCGACCCCCACCTCCCCACGGACACCCCCACCAAAGTCTCCTGCTGTCATCCAAGAGAAGCCCATCCCAACGCCTCCTCCTTCGGAGAGATCCCGCGTCCCCCGCTGGCACCTGGCACCGCACGCGCCTCACCTGCGAGGGCTGCGGGCCGAGGTCGCGGTCGCGGCACCGCAGCTGGCAGTTCTGCGTGTCCCCGAGCTGGGGGGCGAAGGGATCGCGGGCGGACGGCGCGGAGGCGGCGGGCGGCGACGCCAACAGCAGCAGCAGCAGCAGCGGCGGTGGCATCAGCGCCACCGCAGCCATGGCCGGGCGGAACGCGGGGGGCGCGGGGGACTCCAGCTCAGGCCGGGCACGGAGGATGCAGCGGCTGCGGCGGGGACCGGGGCGCTGACGTCACCCGAGCGAGGCAGCCTGGGAAGCGGGGGGTGGGAGATGCGGAGAGCGGGCGGGGTAGCTGCGCTGCGGCACCCGAGGCGTGCGGGTCGGGCGGGGCAGGTGCATCGCGGCCCCCACCGTCTATCCCATCGCGGGGGTCCCAGGACACCTCCCTGGTGCCCACGGGCGGGGGATCTCTGCTGGCGCTTGGGGCCAAAAGGAAATATATAGGGGGATGGGATGGAGGGGACTATTCCCCAGGGGTGTCGAGGAGAGCGGAGAGCTTGGCGGAGGAGGCGACGTGTGAGCCGACCACGCGGGAGAGAGGAGAAAGGGGTGTCCAGGCTACAAGGATCAGCGAGGATCCTGAGAGAAAGAGCTTGTTGCAGGAGGAGGGAGGGCGATGGGGCTGGAGTCCAACCAGGGAACGGAGAGGGAGGAAGGTGAGAGCCGCAGGACCCGGCAGCTGAGTCCTGGCATCTTCTCTTTTGACACCCAGGTTAGAAAGGAGACAACTTGCGCGCAGTTTGCCTCCTCCGGGAAGCCCTCTGAGCCCCTCCCTTGCTCCTTCAGCCTCGCCTCCCTCTGGCCCAGCCCTGATCCACTGACCTAGGGAATCTGGCCCTGTCTCCCCAAGGCTGGAGACCCCTGGGCTGGGGCTTAGTGGGAGGGGACACAGAGGTATGCTCAGGAGCAAGGGGAGGGGGTGATGCTGACATGTCTAATTCTCATGGGAAAACGGGGCAAATAGCGACACTTCTGACTTCCATAACCATCACACCCCAGGGCGATGGACTGTAGCCCCAGGAGCCGAATCTCGGTTAGAGGGTACCCCCAGCTTCCTCTCCGCCAGATAAGGGAGTGGGGACGCCCCTCTAAACCCGGATCCTCTGCAAAGATGCCCCCGCTTTCGCTGGCATGCCTGGCGCAGGTGCCTGCAGCGCCGCGCAGCAGCCCGCAGGTCCCCCACCTACGCTCCGCCCCCGCAGACGGGGCGGCAGCCTCGCAGGGTCTGCGGGTTAGAGGGCGGCTCAGGTTTCGGCCTGGGAAGAGGGTGTCCCGGGTGGGGGCCCGGCGCACCCCCTACTCTGGCCTGCGGCCGCGCTTTCATCTCAGCGGCCCCCGGCCGGCCCCCACGTGGCTTAATCAGGCGCGGCTGTGCCTGGCGGACCCCGAACATCTGGATCCCGGTGCGGCCCCTCCCCCGCCCCGCCCCGCCCCTCCCCTCCCCTCCCATGCTAGGCCGCTGCGACCCGGCGGCGAGGGCCTCCAGCCCGCAGTTTGCGCCAGAATCCAGCAGGAGAATTCCGCTTCTAACCCACCCGCGCGCCAGGCCCGCACCTTGGGAAACAGCCCTGTGCGTTATGACCAATACTGTCCCCCATTTCACAGGTGGGAAACTTAGGCTCCGGGACGCGTTGGCAAAGTCAGGATTCAAGCCCACACATGCTAATTCCAGAGGCCCGCGCGCGCCTAACCCCTCCACAATTACTGTCTTTCATTCATTCCAACGAAACACTTTTTCTTGCAACAACCGTATAAGACAGGTACCGGTAGCGTTGCCCTTTTATATGGGTGAGGAAACTGATGCTCAGACTGCAAAGTGGTTCTGTCCAGGTGACAGGGAGAGAAGCAAAGAAAAGCCGGCAGAGCCCTGCCAATGATGGGAGGTGACCTTTGGGCATTGCTTAAAACGCATCAGGGAGGAGGGACACCCCGCGCCCTTTTGCAGAAGGAGAAACTGAGGCTGGAGGAGTGGGTCGATCACCCAGGTCGCCTGAGGGGAGAAGGGAAAGAGGCTGATTGCCGCACACCCAGCCCCCTTTCCGCTGCACTAGGCCGCTGGGGGGGTGAGCGGAAAGAGGACTTGACCCCGGCCCCCAAGGTGAGCCCCCGCGCCCCTCCTGCTGTTCCCGGGGGAGCCGGTCCAGGTGAGGGGCGGGAGGGCCGGCGGGCGGCCAGGGTCGGGTTTCAGGAAATCCGCCGACATTCCTTCGGGGCTTAAGAGGGAAAGTTGACTCGGCGCCGCCCTCGCCCCCCCCCCCACTTCCTACCCCCCGGGGCGGCCTGGCTGGGGGCGGCAGGCGGGGGGCGCTGAGGCCGGCCTGGGCGTGAATCAGCGGCAGGCCAGGCGTCCGGGAAGCCACAGCAGCCGAGGTCAAGGCGGGCAGCGGACAAGCACCCTTTGTCCCTTGCCGCCCTCACCACGACCCTGCTGACCCCCACCTCCAAGCAGGGTACAGGCCAGGGAGGAGGCAGAGCACCATGGCGCCGGTGGTGGTTGCTGAGGGTTGTTGGGGGAGGACGGAGGGATGTGGCTGTCCCCCTAAAGCAGCTGGTGCCTCCTGGGACCCAGACTTCAGAGGCTTCTCAGGGTACAGACGGGCAGGGAAACTGGCCTCCCTGGGGCAGGCCTGCAACTTCCCAGGCAGGTCCCCTAGGCAGGTCTGCAACTCCCCAGGTCCCGCCTCCAGTGCCTGAAGTCCAGTGTGCATTACACTGAGCACCCAGGCATTGCTTCTCCCCAGGCTCAGCCTCCAGGGCAGAAATTATAAAGCCTAGGTACACACGGGCCCCACTTTCCTGTGCCACAGACCCTGAACCAGGTGTCCAGACCCTCACTGCCCCTTAATTCCTGAAAGCACCTGCCTGGAACACCAGGTAGCTAATCCCATACTGGGGAGCCCTGAGCACGGGGCTTTCAGAATGGGAGAGACAGCTCTCAGCCTTCCTCACTCCCAGTGGTTGTGGGTCCCCACAGGACCCTGAAGGTGCCATTTCCACTGCCCCCTCCCTGGTGCACCCTCAGTGCCCTGGAATCACGAGGGAGCTGGGGATGGAGGCCCCCCCCCCAACCTAATACCTCTCATCCAGAGGTGACCTTGGAGTGGAGGGTGCAGGACTAAGGAGGGGTCCCTCCCCCAGCCCAAGGGGAGGCCCTCCCTCTGCCCAAGGGGAGGCCCTCCCTCCTTCTGCCCCTTACACATTCCCAGCCAACTTCAAGGACTTGGGTCAATATTTGCCAGAAGTTCCATTGACGCTAGCTCCCTTTTGTCCTCAAGGAGATAATGGAACTGGGGAGTAAAGGGTTAAACTTCTGGGGGCCCTAAGGGCCGGGAAGGATGCACTCTGGGGTCAATTCCCTTTCCCTGAAGTCAAAGGTGTGGGGTAAAGATCACCCAAGGGCAGAAGTCACACTCCAGGGTGGGGCTGGGCAGGATTGGAAAATGGTCCTTCCCTTCTGTTGGTAAGAACAAGAGAGGGATGTCTACTGGCTAGGGTCACACAGCAAGACACAGAGTGTGGGCCAGGCTAGGACCCCAGGCAGCATGACTTGCTAGGACTGAGTTTTCTTGCTACTTGGAGGGAGTAAGAGTTCTCCATCCTTTACTTTTACAAATATTTAGTGAGTGCTTCGCTTTCAGCCCTCACTGGGCCCACCACTGGGGTCCAAAGGGGCTGAGGCTGCCCACAGTCTAAAGAAAATCAGTTGCACAAGAAATGAAATGGTTGGAAGAGTTGTGTTTCAAAAACAATAAAACAAAGTGAAGGAGAGGGAGAGTGCTGGGGGAAGGGTGGAGGGCCTCTCTGAGGAGGTGGCACTAATCCTGTGAAGTGATGGAAGAGAAAGGGCCAACTGGGGAAGATGTGGGGAACAGCATTCCAGCAGAGGGAACAGCCAACACGCAGAGGCCCTTCTATAGTAACAAGCCTGGTATGTTTTGGGAAACAGGGCTCCAGTGGCTGGGGCGGAATGAGGGAGAGGAGGGGGAAGAGGAGAGGGAAGAAGAGGAGGGGAGAGGATGGCGAGAGGGTGGCAGGACAAAGATCTGCTTTTTCTTCTTTTAAAAGCTCCCTCTGCCTGGTGTGCCGAGAAAGGCAGAAGGGTTATCAGGGAGGCCCTGGAGGAGGCCGGGAAGCATCCCTGAGGGAGACCGTGGGGCCTGGATCTGAATGGGGTGGGAAAAAGGGGTCAGCATCTCAGAATGGAGATGTGTTTTAGAATCAGAGCCAACAGGATTTGCTGATGAATTGGACATGAGGGATGAGCAAAGGAGAGAGTTGTCACGTGCGCTTCCAGGTCTCTGGCCTGAGCACCTGGATGGATGGGAGAGCCCTTTCCCAAAACCAAAATGACTGGAAGAGAAGCAGAAATGGAGGGAGGAAAAAATCAAGGTTTTGCTCCAGAAGCCTGAAGTCCTCCCAGGAGGGAGTGAGGCGTCTCTATCCACACAGAGAGCATCTGCAGACAGGAGCCATGGGGGAGTAGTGGTGAGTATCCTAAAAACTCAATTCCAGCCAAGGACTGCCACCTCCACTTAACCCTCTGGGTCCCCTGGCAGGTGGGACTATGGCTCCATGTTTCAGAGGGGACAAGCAGGGCTGGGGGTCACCTCTGCTCCAGGATATCCTCCAGTGCTGTGCTAAGGGCTTGGATTGTAGAGACTTCTGCTGCCCTGCGTCTTCCCACAGAAGCTCCTAGACTGGGTGGTGCCCACTGTGCAGAGGAAGAAACTGAGGCACAAAAGGCCTGGTTTCCCGAAGTAAATGGCAGCGTCTCTCCTTGTCTGTCTTCTCCATCCAGAATTCAGATGGAGCAGGGGCGCCCTGGGCCCCTATAGGCTCCCATCCCCCAATCTTGTTTTTTGACAGTCTGGAGTCTGAACTGGAGATTTAAGTAGGAGAGGGTGGGGCTTCAGTCTTGGGCAGACAAATGGGGGCTCCTGAGCCCCCCTCAGACACTTTTACCCCCTTGGCTGGTTGGGGACCAGGAGAGAGAATCCAGGCCTCTAAGGGACTCCTGGAAAAGGGGACTTGGAGCCGTTCCCTTCCCTGGGCGCTGCAGCTGGGGGCGGGGCTGCGACCAAAAGTGGGTAATTGCACCCCCCAACTCTCATTTCAGGCACCCCCATCCGCAGCAGCCTTGGAGGCCAGGAACCCTTTATTCCTGGGCGCCCGCATCGGGTGGGGACCGGGAGGAGGGAGATGAGACGCCCGGACCGGGAGGGGTCCCGAAACTCGAGCAATGGCCAAAAATAATAACACGGAGAAGGCTCTTTGCGCAAAAGAAGGAAGACAAACTATGCGTCGCTCCGGGCAGCCGGCGTTACCTGGAGTCGGCGGGCGGTGGCCGCCGAAGCGATTACTCACCGCGTGGCGCACCCCACCCGCGGGCCGCTGAGTGGATTTTTCCGTGGCGGGGTGTGAATAGGTCCCGGGGAAAGAGCTTCTTACCGCTCTCCTCCTGGGAATCCCTCTTACTGCGGTGCGGGACCCAGTTCCCGCGCAGGCCTGGGTCCCGGCTCCCACAGGGGACTACATCTCCCCGTCTGCCCACGCAGGAGCTCCCTCCCGAGGCCCCCGGGGCGCCCAGAGCAACCTCAAACCCATCCCGCGCGCGAAGGGGACAGCGCAGCCAGGGCGAAGGCGAGGGACTCCGTGCCTTCCTGCTTTTTCTCCTTTCTTCCAGCAAAGCCTGGGGCCGAGGCTACTCGCGGAGAATCGAAAAGAGGCAGGATGAGGTGGGAGGGCTGGAACCCGCGCGCCGAGGGCGTGGGGCTGGGGGTGACTTTTAGGCCCCTGGGAAGGCTGAGGGGCTGGAGATGGGGGTAGGCGGGACTCAAGGACCGCTCGGTGGGGGGGGCGGGGCCAGAGCTGGGGTGGGGGCCGAGACAGAAGATTGGGCCGTGGAAGGGGGAATGGAGGAGTGGGGCAGGGTTGGGGACCAAAGGGGCCACTGAAGAGGCACTGGGCTGAGAGGAGGGTGCAGGGAAGTGGGCAGGGTTATGGAAACGGGATTGGGGGTGCCGGGTCCCAGACTGGGGGTGGGAAGCCTGGAGCTGGCAGGGTTGGAGAGGGAGGTCCTGGGCCGGTAGGGGTTGAGTTAGGGGGCTTTGGGCCGCGGGATAGGGCGCGCGCGGTTCTCGGTGGGGCGGAGGCGGGACGGGCGGGGCGCGCGGTGCCCGCGGGCGGGCGGGCGGCGGGGAGGCCGGTGCGGGGCCCGCCGCCCCCCCGGGGCCGGGCCGGGCCGGGGGCGGGGCCGGGCGGGGCCAGCGGCGCATTAGCGCCTTGTCAATTCGGCTGCTCAGACTTGCTCCGGCCTCCGCGTCCGCGCCCAGCGACGTGCGGGCGGCCTGGCCCGCGCCCTCCCGCGCCCGGCCTGCGTCCCGCGCCCTGCGCCACCGCCGCCGAGCCGCAGCCCGCCGCGCGCCCCCGGCAGCGCCGGCCCCATGCCCGCCGGCCGCCGGGGCCCCGCCGCCCAATCCGCGCGGCGGCCGCCGCCGTTGCTGCCCCTGCTGCTGCTGCTCTGCGTCCTCGGGGCGCCGCGAGCCGGATCAGGAGCCCGTGAGTACCCGGCGCCCCACTCCTTCCCCCCTGCCAGAGCAGAGGGCGGGCGCCCCGGGGGCAGCCGCGGGGGGAGGGGGCGCGGGCGCCACCTGGACGGCCGGGGAACAAAGGAAGGCGCCCCCGGCGCAGCCCTCGGGGCGCCCTCACCTGCGGGGCACACGGCGCCGCAGTCCACTGTCCAGAGAGTCCTGCTTCCGCGCCCGAGGCCCTGTTACCTGGGCAGCTGGGCCGAGGGCGCCAGGCCAGGCCCCCGGGGGCTGGGGGGATCGCGGCCTGAGACCCTCTGCATGCCAGGACGTGGCGGGCGCACGCGTCTGCTTCGGTGGACTCTGGGCCCCTGGGACTGCAGGGCACCGCTCCCAGGCGGGGGCGCACGCGGTTGGCGCGCTGGGTGCGGGCCCCCAGCGGGCCCCCCCAGGCGGAGGGATGAGCCCCACGGGGAGGGCGGGGCTGCAGGGGGGCCGCTCTGGCCGCCTGGCGCGCAGCCCGGGGTCCCGGGGGACTTGTGTCTCCACGGGCCGGCGCCACCGCCCTCCCCCTGCGGGACCCGGCGCACGGGGGTCCGCGGAGTCCCCGCCACCGGCGGCGCTTAGAACCGTTTTCAGCCAGGCTGCGTCGGGCGGAGAGCCTCCAGCGAGAGGAATCTTTGTGAGCGAGTGGGTGAGAGGGAGAGGGAGCGGGAGCCAGTGAGTCCGGGCACCAGCGGGCCCAAACTTTGAGGGGGCCCACTGGGAACCCGCTGCCCTACGGGCCAAGACCCCTGCCCTGGAGGGACTTCTGGCCTCAGGCACTCTGGGGCCCCCCATCCAAGGAACACCCCCGCAAGGATACGTCTCCGTATGCAGACCCGCTCTGGGACACACCCAGAGACACACAAAGAATCACACTGGCTTGTGGCCCGTCACCCTCGCCCTCAAACTCGCGCACACTGCATCCCAGGTGCACATTCGCGCACCATCGCGGACGCACACACATTCCATCCCCGACACACACATTCACGGTCACACACATCCCACAGGGGAGGCGACCCAGGGGCACAGAGGCAGGCACCACTCGCCCCAGATGTTCAGTCACTCCACGCACCCCATCCAGGCGCACGGGCCACCCCGGGGGTCGCCGGGCACACACTGCTCCCAGGCTCATCCACCCTGTGCTGGGCTGTTTGCGGGCTGCCTGTAGGGCTCCTCCGGGAAGGGGCAGGGTCCGGGCATCTTCTAGGGGCACTTGCTGAAAGCCTGGCTCTCCCCTGGCTTTCAGGTGAGGGGCTACCTCGGGCCCTCCCAGGGCCCCTGACGGCTCTGCCAGGCGGTGGGCAGCGCCTGTGAGTGCCACTGTGAGCGCCAAGCTTTGTTTTCAGCCAGTAGAGCAGCAGGCGAAGGTGTAGGGGGTGGGGGGGCACTGTAAGTGTGTTTTTTCCTTTAAGGGGGGAAGAAATTAAATAAAAGATTCTCACACCTCGGCAATATGTTTCTACTTACGGTGTGTCTTAGCACCTGACCAGCAGGCGGGTGGGTCGTAAAGTGTCTGCAGGTACCAGCGGGACGGGAGATGGGGACCCCCGTGGGGACCCTGGGATGGAGGCCACCCTTCCGCCCTGCTTGCAGAGAATCTCACACTTTTCCCTTTTAAAACACATGGTGTTCCTTTTTAATAACGGCAGTGGCTCCAGATTGGGAAAAGAGGAGAGAAAAAACTTTTAAAGGCCCCAGCTCTGCGGGAAAGGAGGGGAGGCAGGGAGTGAAAAGGGAGCTGTTCAAAAGCCCAACCTAGGGATCTGCTTTGGGGAGCCCTAGGAGGCCCTCCAAACCAAGCCAAGCCCCCACCAACTCCGGCTCAGTGGGCTGTTCCCAGCTGCTCCCCTGCCTGGCCTGGAGTGCGTGCATCTCTGTCCCCAGCGCCTTAGCCCATTGTTTGTGGAGGCCTGGAGGGAGTGCCTAGTCAGCCGGGACCCCAGAGCTGGGAGGGGCTGTCATCTTTGCAGCTCCTGGGGGCTTCAGGCTTCTGAGCCCTCTGGACATTGGATTGCAATCACATCTCATTGATCTCCCCAGCAAGTAGAACGTATTTCTCCTCCCATTTTATGGAGGAGAAAATTGAGAACTGGAGAGGGGAAGTCAATTGGCCAGGTTCTCCCACTGGTGTTGCGCCCATATCCCGGGAGGAGAAAGTGTCCTTCTGACCTTACCGGCTGGGGCTAAGGGGGTGGGAGATTGGTCTGTCCAGGCCCGCCTGGCCTTGCCTTCCCCCTACAACCCGTCGCCGCCCGGTGTCCCCCGCCCAGCCCCGGGAGGGCAGCTGCAGCTGCTGGCAAGTGAGCCACGCCGGCCCAGGCCAGGCGGGTGTGGCAGAGGGGCAGCGCCCCCCAGCCAGGACCCCCCAGAGAGCCCCTTCCTGCCCAGGCCAAGCTGGCGGGTGGTGGGGGCAGGAGGAGTGAGACCCACTCTAGAAGGGCTGAGAGGGGCCTGGGGTCTGGGCAGGCCTGGCCGTGCCTCCCACTCTGTTGGGGGGGCCCAGGCAGGAAGCGGTGGGTGGGCCGGGGCAGAGACGCTGGCACACCCGAGTTCATGCAAAAGGAATTCCGAATTAGCGGGCGGCTGGCTGCCTGGGACCTCCAGGGCGGTCCCCTGGCCCCCAGCCCCCCGCCCCCCTCGGCCGCCCCCGCCTCCTCGGCTCTGGCCCGCTCAGCCGGCTCCTTCGCACGGACGCGGAGACCTCCGGCGAGCCCTGGGCCAAGCCCCAAGCGCAACTGCGATTCCAGGCTCCAGCGAGACAGAGCCCTCGAGCCAAGTTTGCCCCGGAAAATCATCAGGGCCGGCCCAAGAACCGTGTCCACCCCACCTCGCCCATCTGGGGCAGTGAGGGCAAGTGCAGGGCAGCGCTGGCATTCAGGGGGCCTCCCTGGGGGCCAGGATCACCCTGTCCTTGGCTGCCATCTCTGCGAAGCTGGGCTGCCCCTGCCTCCTGCAGTCCCTTCTTCCAGCCGCCTGGGGAGTCCTTTTAACGCATATCTCACCGCATCCCTCCCTCCCCGGCTGAGAACCCTGGAATCCCTCCTCCCTGCAGGTCAGGGTCTCTGACCTCTCAAACCTCATTTCCCACCGCTTCTGCCCCAGGACCTTGGCACTTGCAGCTCCCACTGCCTGGACATGCTCTGTTAGATAATGTCACAGCTACTTCTCTTACTTTATTCAGGTCTCTGCTCAAAGGTCACCTCCCCAGACAGGCCTCCCAAGCTTCTGCCGCTGCTCTGTCTTCCTCCAGCCCCTGCTTTACTTTCTCCCCTAGTTATTGTCTTAGATATTTATTTATTCCTTTTTCCTGCTGCTTCCTTGGATTTGATGCCCACAAGGGCAGGACTTTTGTGTGTCTTGGGCATCACCCCAGTGCCCACAGATCCGGACACACTATAGGTACCCTGTGAATGAATAGATGAACGCGTGAACGAACAAAGGCGTGGATGAGTCTTTACAACCACTCTGTGTGGAACGAGAAGCCCCTTTCCAGAGGCTCAAAGAAGTAAAACACTGAGGCCGGGTGCAGTGGCTCACGCCTGTCATCCCAGCACTTTGGGAGGCCAAGGCGGGTGGATCACTGGAGGTCAAGAGTTCGAGACCAGCCTGGCCAACATGGCGAAACTCCGTCTCTCCTAAAAATACAAAAATTAGCTGGGTGTGGAGGTTATGGTGAGCCGAGATTGTGCCACTGCACTCCAGCCTGGGTGACAGAGTGAGACTCTGTCTCAAAAAAAAAAAAAAGTAGAACACTGAGTCAGGCTGGGGGCATTCGAGTCCAGGTCAACTTGGTTTAAAGATCTCATGGGAAAATATTGTCTCCAACAATATTTTCACTCCTCTCAAACAACCTCATGAGGTTTGTTTTGTTGGTTTTTATAAATTTAAATCTAAATTTTTTATTTCTTTTTTGAGACAGGGTCTCACTGTCACCCAGGCTGGAGTGCAGTGGTGCAGTCATGGCTCACTGCAGCCTCAACTTCCCGGGCTCCAGCGATCCTCCTGCCTCAGCCTCCCAAGTAGCTAAGACCACAGGCATGGGGCCACCACCCCCTCCCCACCTGGCTAATTTTTGTATTTTTGGTAGAGACAGGGTTTCACCATGTTGCCCAGGCTGTCTCAAACTCTTGACCTCACGTGATCCTCCCACCTCAGCCTCTCAAAGTGCTGGGATTACAGGCATGAGCCACCGCACCCAGCCAACCCCATGACATTGACGCCATGATGTCCACTTTCCAGATGGGGAAACTGAGACTCAGAGAGGCATTGGGAGGTTGGCCTGTGCACCCCCTCCTCCTCTGGGCCTTGGTTTCCCTATGGACAAGGTTCTGGTCTCCAGAAGGGGAACTCCTGGGCTGCCCTGATGGCCAGCAGGAGAGAGAGGCATCAACCACCCATGGGCGTCCCCAAGTTTCCTGTGCCTAGTACCTGACTCACACACAACCTGGTTCAGGAAGTCCTTTCCCCTCTGACTTTCACAATACCCCAGGAGACAAAGAGCTTTCTCGTTCTCACTTTGCAGATGAGGAAAACTGAGTGGAGGGAAACAGCGATGATGTCAAGTCCCTTTGGATGGGAGTTGGGGACGTGCAGTTTGCCAGGGCTGCCTTTAGTTCCAGAGGTAGGCAGTGTGGAACAGAACTTTGGAGACCAGAAAATCTGGGCCTAACTAGTATGGCCTTCCCTCATTCCAGCAAGGAAACTCCATCTTTCAGAGCCGGAGTTTTTTCATCTTTAACATATAAGCAGGATTGGCCGAGAAAATGTAGGTAGTCTTAGCCCAGTATTCAGAACACAACAAGTGCTCAATAAATGGTGCTGTTAGGCCAGGCGCAATGACTCACGCCTGTCATCCCAGCACTTCGGGAGGCTGAGGCGAGTGGATCACTTGATGTCAGGAGTTCGAGACCAGCCTGGCCAACATGGCGATTCTTGGACTCTACTAAAAATACAGGCTGGGCGCGGTGGTTCACCCCTGTAATCCCAGCACTTTGGGAGGCTGAGGCAGGCGGATCACAAGGTCAGGAGTTCGAAACCAGCCTGACCAGCACGGTGAAACCACATCTCTACTAAAAATACAAAAATTAGCCGGGCACGGTGATGTGTGCCTGTAATCCCAGCTACTCGGGAGGCTGACGCAGGAGAATCACTTGAACCTGGGAGGCGGAGATTGCGGTGAGCCGAGATCGTGCCATTGCACTCCAGCCTGGGCAACAAGAGCAAAACTCCGTCTCAAAAAAAAAAAAAACATGGTGCTCTTAATGATTCAAGTAAGGGTCAGGGCTTTCATTTTAAGCAGTGCCCTTCCCCCACAGAAACACCTACTATGTGTGAGGCTCTGGGAGCATCACAGGAAGAACCCACAATCTTTTGTTTCTAGTTGCCAAAAAAGAAAAACAAAATGAGAATGAAAAATAAAGAAGGCTAGGCACCGAAGCTCATGCCTGTGATCCCAGGACTTTGGGAGGCCAAGGTGGGAGGATCGCTTGAGGCCAGGAGTTCAAGACCGGCCTGAGCAAACTAGCGAGACCTCATCTCTAAAAAAATATTTAAAAATCAGCCAGGTGTGGTGGTGCACACCTGTAGTCCCAGCTACTTGGGAGCTGAGATGAGGGAGGATCACTTGAACCCAGGAGATCGAGGCTGCAGTGAGCTATGATCGTGCCACTGCACTCCAGCCTGGCCAACAGAGTGAGACCCTGTCGCTAAAAAAATAAAAAGCAAAGCATGCCTGGGTGTATTGGCTCACTCCTGTAATCCCAGCACTTTGAGAGGCCGAGGGAGGTGGATCACGAGGTCAGGAGTTCAAGACCAGCCTGGCCAATATGGTGAAACCCCGTCTCTACTAAAAATACAAAACTTGGCCAGGCGCAGTGGCTCACGCCTGTAATCCCAGCACTTTGGGAGGCCCATACGGATGGATCATGAGGTCAGGAGATCGAGACCATCCTGGCTAACATGCTGAAACCCCGTCTCTACTAAAAATACAAAAAATTAGCCAGGCGTGGTGGCGGGCGCGTAGTCCTAGCTACTTGGGAGGCTGAGGCAGGAGAATGGCATGATCCCGGGAGGCGGAGCTTGCAGTGAGCCGAGATCGTGCCACTGCACTCCAGCCTGGGCGACAGAGCAAGACTGCGTCTCAAAAAAAAAAAAATACAAAAGTTAGTCAGGCATGGTGGTGCACACCTGAAGTCCCAGCTACTCGGGAGGCTGAGGCAGAAGAATTGCTTGGACCCGGGAGGCGGAGGTTGCAGTGAGCCGAGATCGTGCCACTGCACTCCAGCCTGGGCGACAGAGCGAGACTCCGTCTCAAAAAAAAAAAGCAAAGCATAGTGTTTGTCATAACGATGTGCTAAGCAAGAGTCACTTGGATCCGAATGAGCCTCTATGCCCGAGTTGTGTGACCCCTCAGAGAACCTTAAGCATGTCAGTGATGAAGAGTTTTGGAAGGATCCAGTGTTGGAGTCAGACAGACCTGGACAACTCCAGGTCTGTCAGTTTGGCCACCAGTGTTGCCCTGGGCATTTAACCCAACTGATCTCTACCTTCCCTATCTGTAAAATGGGGGACAATCATTAACAGCGTCTTTTCAGGACCACCATGAACCCTGGAGGTCCTGGCATGGTTGGGGGCTTGGAGGGTCCCCGCCCTGGCCTGACACGTGTTCCTCTTTGACCCCAGACACAGCTGTGATCAGTCCCCAGGATCCCACGCTTCTCATCGGCTCCTCCCTGCTGGCCACCTGCTCAGTGCACGGAGACCCACCAGGAGCCACCGCCGAGGGCCTCTACTGGACCCTCAACGGGCGCCGCCTGCCCCCTGAGCTCTCCCGTGTACTCAACGCCTCCACCTTGGCTCTGGCCCTGGCCAACCTCAATGGGTCCAGGCAGCGGTCGGGGGACAACCTCGTGTGCCACGCCCGTGACGGCAGCATCCTGGCTGGCTCCTGCCTCTATGTTGGCCGTAAGTTGGCACCCAGGACACCCCAGGGGTAGCTCTTGGGAGCGGCATCTCCCTCTGGAGTGAGGCATGAATTGTGGGCCTTCTGGCCTGGGGATGAGCTGTGGGCACACTGGCATGGCTATGCAGGTCTTTCAGGTGGGAATGAGAACCTGGAGACCCGGTCGGGCAAGGTGGCTCATGTCTGTAAGCCCAGCACTTTGGGAGGCTGAGGTGGGTGGATCACTTGAAGCCAGGAGTTCGAGGCCAGGCTGGCCTACATGGCGAAACCCCATCTCTACTAAAAATACAATACTTAGCCAGGCGTGCTGACAGGCACCTGTAATCCCAGCTACTTGGGAGGCTGAGACAGGAGAATTGCTTGAACCCAGGAGGCGGAAGTTGCAGTGAGCTGAGATGGCACCATTGCACTCCAGCCTGGGGGACAGAGCGAGACTTTGCCTCGAAAAAAGAAAAAGAACCCGGAGATCGAGTCACCAGCCTCTCAAGAGCCCTTGCAGTTGTCACACCAACTGTGCTGGCATTTCTCAGCACAGGGCTGAGACTGTCCTGTCTGCCCTCCTTCCACTCCAAGGTGGGGGCCTGGTGGGTGGGCAGCAACCCCTCAGCCGAGGCTCAGCTAGTCCAGACCCTCAGCCTGCTTCCTGCACCCTCCCCTTCTCCCAGTGCCCCCAGAGAAACCCGTCAACATCAGCTGCTGGTCCAAGAACATGAAGGACTTGACCTGCCGCTGGACGCCAGGGGCCCACGGGGAGACCTTCCTCCACACCAACTACTCCCTCAAGTACAAGCTTAGGTTGGTGGTGGCCTGAGGGCGATGTGTGTGTCCCAGGCTGGCTGCGTGACCTTGACCAACGCGGACCCTCTCTGAGCCCCCATGTGTTGTCTGCACCCTGAGGCTGCCATGGTGAGGTCTGGGGGCCACAAGGAACCCTCATGCGTCCTGTCGCCCTCCCATCCCCGCAGGTGGTATGGCCAGGACAACACATGTGAGGAGTACCACACAGTGGGGCCCCACTCCTGCCACATCCCCAAGGACCTGGCTCTCTTTACGCCCTATGAGATCTGGGTGGAGGCCACCAACCGCCTGGGCTCTGCCCGCTCCGATGTACTCACGCTGGATATCCTGGATGTGGGTGAGCCCCCAGTGTCTGCTAGGCCCCTCCCTCGGCACCAGCCCCACCCACCGAGCATCCCGAGGGGTCCCCTGCACCTTCTCATTTTTCCTAGGGTCCCACCTGCCCCTCCCCAGCCCGGCAACTCCCGGGTTGTCCCTGCTGGTCAGAGGGAAGGTAGGTAAGTAGCTGAGCATCCGCTCATCAGTCCGCAGCCCCCAGAAACAGCCAGGATACCCCCACTCCACAGAGAACACCTGGCCTGGCCACCACCCCCTCGGCAGCCCAGGTGTGCAGGAGGGGGCCCTGGGGAGAGGGGAGGGGGCGCCCAGGTCGGGAGGCGCCCCAGGAAGCCGAGGCCTGGAGCTGGGGGGCGCAGGGCGGGAGGCAGGAAATGGATGATCTGTGAGCAGAATTGAGCCTAATCTAATTAGGGTGTTTCTCAGCCCCAAGCAGGCCTGTGCCTTAACCCTTTAGGCCCCTCACCAAGGCCTCAGGGGGAGAGGCCAGCTCACCCTGCTGCCCTCAGGGGCCCCCAGAAGGATCCTCAGAACCCCCCAACACACACATACGCCTGGGTTGTAGCCCCCATCCCTGCCCCCGCAGCCTGCCTCACTCTTCCCCACATCCTAACGCTACAGTGGGAAAGTTCTAAGCCTCAGTTGCTTCTCTGCACCCAGCAAAATGTCACATCAAAGATTTCAGTAAGAGTGGAAGGGAGGGCCGGGCGCGGTGGCTCACACCTGTAATCCCAGCACTTTGGGAGGCCGAGGCGGGCGGATCACGAGGTCAGGAGATCGAGACCATCCCGGCTAAAAAACGGTGAAACCCCGTCTCTACTAAAAATACAAACAATTTAGCCGGGCGTAGTGGCGGGCGCCTGTAGTCCCAGCTACTTGGGAGGCTGAGGCAGGAGAATGGCGTGAACCCGGGAGGCGGAGCTTGCAGTGAGCCGAGATCCCGCCACTGCACTCCAGCCTGGGCGACAGAGCGAGACTCCGTCTCAAAAAAAAAAAAAAAAGAGTGGAAGGGAGGTGTGAGTGGGGAGGGGGTGGCAGGGAGGTTCCCAGAAGGCTGACGGCCTGACAGCCCCTGGCCTCCTAAGCATGATAATAATAATATCATCAACCCCGCAATGGCTGCTTTCCCATAGTCAGTTGAAGATAGGATTATGTTTCTCCCGTCACAGATAATAATGGTGATAACAGCTAACATTAATTAGGTGCTGAGTGTTTCTCCAATATTATATATCGTGTAATCCACCAGTCCTGGGGGTGGGGGCAGAGGGAAGAGGAGGAAAACAGAGGCAGGTTCCATCTAGGCCAAGTGCCCTGGGCCACACTGCTGGGGGGAGTTAAACCCAGACAGTCCCAGGCTGAGAGGGTCCCTCCTCTGCCCCGCAGTGACCACGGACCCCCCGCCCGACGTGCACGTGAGCCGCGTCGGGGGCCTGGAGGACCAGCTGAGCGTGCGCTGGGTGTCGCCACCCGCCCTCAAGGATTTCCTCTTTCAAGCCAAATACCAGATCCGCTACCGAGTGGAGGACAGTGTGGACTGGAAGGTGACCCTCCCCTTCCCTGACTCCGCCCCTGTTCCTTCCAGGCCCCGCCCCCGCTCCTGCTAGGCCCCGCCCTCTACTCTGACCTTGTCCTCACTGTCCAGGTGGTGGACGATGTGAGCAACCAGACCTCCTGCCGCCTGGCCGGCCTGAAACCCGGCACCGTGTACTTCGTGCAAGTGCGCTGCAACCCCTTTGGCATCTATGGCTCCAAGAAAGCCGGGATCTGGAGTGAGTGGAGCCACCCCACAGCCGCCTCCACTCCCCGCAGTGGTGAGCACCCTCCTAGGGCTGGGTGATCCAGCGGCCAGTCCGAAACCAGCTAGAGCCTCTGTTTCCTTGTTTTCTTTTCTTTTTTTTTTCTTTTGAGACACGGCCTCATTCTGTCGCATAGTGGTGTGATCTGCACTCACTGCAACCTCTGCCTCCCGGTTTCAAGCGATTCTCCTACCTGAGCCTCCCAAGTAGCTGGGACTACAGGCACGCGCCAACATGCACAGCTAATTTTTGTATTTTTTAGTAGAGACAGGATTTCACCATGTTGGCCAGGCTGGTCTCGAACTCCTGACCTCGGGTGATCTGCCCATTTCGGCCTCCCAAAGTGCTGGGATTACAGGTGTGAGACACCATGCCCAGCCTGTTTCCTGATTGTCTCCAAGAGAGTAGAAGTCTCAAACTGGTGGCCCCCCCAGAGCTGAATGTGGCCCTTGGATCTATTTTCTTTGGCCTGTTGTTTGGAAAACAAAAAAAAAGTTTGACCAACTAGTAGAAATTTTAAACCCAGGAAGTTTTTACACAAATATCCTAGATTCCCTAGAAAAATAAATTATCTAGAAAATGTAACAGCATGGCCTACAGCCCCCACCAGCAGTGGTCTCCCCTTCTCAGGACCCTCACTCTCCATTTGCCCATCCCCATCTGGTCTGTTTTGGCCACTCAGACTCCCTCCTAAGAGGGGGCCAGTGAGTTTGAGACCCCTGCTTCTAAGGCCAATGGGCTGCCAACTCCCACTTTGATGGGCCTCAATTTCTCCTTCTGATCAAGGCAGGGGGATGGGAATGATTAGGTGCCTAGGTCTGCTTCCTCTTGCTGTCTGGGATTTCTCCGGGTCCACAGGCCTCTAGTCTCTCTTTTGTGAAATGAAACGAAAGCTGTTACTTGGAATGTCTGGCCTCCGTTTCCCCATCTGGAAGGTGGGGTCGAGAATCCCACTTGCCTTGGGCTGTTATGAGGGTTGGATGACATAATTTGTGGCAAGTGCCCACATGGTGGGTGCCACCTAAGTGTTTGCAGGCAGTTGGCATGGAGGTACTTATTGTCCCATCCCCCCAGGGTTTCACTGCAAGGGAGGCCGCTTTTTCTCAGGTGAGGACACTGAGGCTCTAGGAGGTCACACAGGTCTAAACTTAGTTCACCGGGAAGACCAAGCTCACTCTGGCTCGTGAGATGATAGGGAAACTGAGGCCCAGAGAGGGTCCCAGAGCTAGGGAGGGGTAGAGTCAGGCTCCAGCCAGCTCCCCAGCCCCTATCCTGGGCCCCTCCAGGTTCAGGGGTGGGCGGGAGCAAGCGCAGCCGGGAGGGGCCTGAGCCTTGGCCCCTGCTCGTGCCCGGCACCTGCGATTCTTGCACAGGAGCCAGCAGGCCGCTGCGTCCGCAGGGGAGGCTGGGGAGGCCGGGGAAGGCCAGCAGGGGCGGCGGGGGCCGGGGCCGTGCCAGGGCCTGTCAGCGGGTCCCCGGCTTTATTTATGACGTGAGGCCGATGTCCTTATCCGCCGGCCTGCTGGGGGCTGGCTGCAGCCGGCAGCTGGACCGACAGGCAGGCCTCCCACCTGGCCCTCCTGGCCCACTCCCTGTCCCATGGGCCCATGCTGGGGACAGTCCCATGGGGTCATCTTGCACTCGGTCTCCCTTCATCTGTCACTCTTCCTCTGTGTCTCTGTCTCGATCTCTTTGTCCCTATGTCCCCAGGGTTTCTGTCCTACCCTGATCAGGCCCTTTCCTCCTGGGCTGACACCCTTGGCTTTCACCCACCCTGCGTCTCCATCTCTCCATCCCTGGCCCCGGCTCTCTCATCCGTGCGTCTTTCTCCCTTTCTCTTTTTCGGCCCCCTGCTCTGTCTGTCTATCTCTATGTCTCATCCCCCCGGCTCTGGCCTCTCTCATTCTCCCCTCCCCCCACTCCACTCGCACCTGGCTCAGGCCACAGGAATCGGGTTCCTGGAGGAGATGTGGAGGAGGAGCCCCTTCCTTCCCCCTCCCCCCCACCTCCCCAGGGGCGCAGCCGGGCCAGGGGCGCAGCTGGGCTGCTGTGCAGGGCCGCGGGGAGGACTCGGTCCTTGAGAAACGGGGAGGGAGGTTCCCCGAGGGGAGCATGGTCCCGCCGCGCCGGGGTCTCCCCTCTCCTGCCCGCGCGCACCCCCTGCCGGGCGCGCTCTGACACTGCCGCTCCGCCCACCACCAGAGCGCCCGGGCCCGGGCGGCGGGGCGTGCGAACCGCGGGGCGGAGAGCCGAGCTCGGGGCCGGTGCGGCGCGAGCTCAAGCAGTTCCTGGGCTGGCTCAAGAAGCACGCGTACTGCTCCAACCTCAGCTTCCGCCTCTACGACCAGTGGCGAGCCTGGATGCAGAAGTCGCACAAGACCCGCAACCAGGTAGGAAGGAGGGACCCTCGGGCGTGGGGGTGGGGACAGGGAGCTGGGGGGGCCCAGAAAACAGGGGAGGGGGAAGACAGCAGGCTGTGGACGCAGGTCTGCAGCCCCCACGACACCTCTGCCTTCCTTCCAAGCACAGGACGAGGGGATCCTGCCCTCGGGCAGACGGGGCACGGCGAGAGGTAAGGTGGGCCTGAATGGGTGGGCGGGAGGGAGCAAGGGGAGGGCCCCTTCCGGTGGCTGCAGGTCTTGTTCACACCCCCACGCCTCCCAACCCCAGCCTTAGAGTCGCTGAGATGGAATCCGTCCTCTTCCTTTGTTATTCATCAGCATTTACTTAGCACTTACTGTATAACTGGCATTGTCTCCTTTAGCCTAAGAACATTCAATGCCCTGAAAATGTCCGAAGTGGAATCTCCTCCGAAATGAATGAACATACTCACCCTAGTTAGCACGCATGGGCGCCTACTGCATACTGGCTCCGCGCCAAGTGCTTTACCTGCAGCTCAGATAGCCTCGCCAAGGCCCGGAGAGGGGCAGGACCCTGCCCAAAGTCACACAGCCAGAAGCGGTGGGGACAGGACACGAATGAAGCCTCCTTCAGTGGCTCTGTGGTGCGGCCCTCTCCTGGACTCCCTGCTTAGCTTGGCTTCCCCTCTGCCTGCAGGTCCTGCCAGATAAGCTGTAGGGGCTCAGGCCACCCTCCCTGCCACGTGGAGACGCAGAGGCCGAACCCAAACTGGGGCCACCTCTGTACCCTCACTTCAGGGCACCTGAGCCACCCTCAGCAGGAGCTGGGGTGGCCCCTGAGCTCCAACGGCCATAACAGCTCTGACTCCCACGTGAGGCCACCTTTGGGTGCACCCCAGTGGGTGTGTGTGTGTGTGTGAGGGTTGGTTGAGTTGCCTAGAACCCCTGCCAGGGCTGGGGGTGAGAAGGGGAGTCATTACTCCCCATTACCTAGGGCCCCTCCAAAAGAGTCCTTTTAAATAAATGAGCTATTTAGGTGCTGTGATTGTGAAGGTGAGTTTGGGGCCTGCCTGGCCTGGGGTGGGGGCTGTGAGATTTGAGGGGAATGTGAGGCGTCTTAATGACCCTTTGAGATTAGAATTTTCACCTCCCAGGACTTCAGACTGTCTATCCAGTATTTGCAAGGTCTGATTCTGAACTCCTTGGAGAATGTGATTCAAAATACCTGAGCTGGCTGGCTGCAAAGGCTCATGCCTGTAATCCCAGAACTTTAGGAGGCCAAGCTGGGAGCACTGCTCAAGGCCAGGAGTTGGGGACCAGCCTGGGCAACAAAGGGAGACCTCATCTCTACTAAAAGCAAAAAATTGGCCAGGCGCCATGGCTCACGCCTGTAATCCCGCCACTTTGGGAGGTTGACATGGGTGGACCACATGAGGTCAGGAGTTCAAGACCAGCCTGACCAACATGGAGAAACCCCGTCTCTACTAAAAATACAAAATTAGCTGGGCGTGGTGGTGCATGCCTGTGATCCCAACTACTCAGGAGGCTGAGGCAGGCGAATCACTTGAACCCAGGAGGTGCAGATTGCAGTGAGCCGAGATCGTACCATTGTACTCCAGCCTGGGCAAAAAGAGCAAAACTCTATCTCAAAAAAAAAAAAAATTAACTGGGCTTGTGGTGGCATGTGCCTGTAGTCCCAGCTACTTGGGAGGCTGAGGCAGGAGGACTGCTTGAGCCTGGGGAAGTCAAGGCTGCAGTGAGCCACGATCTCGCCACTGCACTCCAGTCTGGGTGACACAGCAAGACCCTGTCTCAAGCAAAAAAACCTCAGTTTCTAGGGAGGGTGGGAGTCTTCTACCCACAATCCCTGGCCCTGTGGGGGCCCCCTCCCTAGGCACACTGGCTGCAGCACCCTTGTACACAGAGATGGCAGAGCGGCTACAGAGGAGGAGCTCTTTATTGTGGGAGGTGTCTGGAACTGCAGGAAGGTCAGCAGCGCAGTGGGGCGCAACCCCAGCCAGCTGGCAGTTAGGGCTGGGCTGGGCGCCATCCGCCCCGTTTCCCATCTCCCTCGGCGCATCCCTGGGGAGCCGCCATCACTCGGCAGATTCCGCATCAAACCTAAGGTCCTGGAGAACCTCGCTGATCGCCTCCATGGTTTTAATTACCCTACAAGAGCGGATGGGAACTATAAATAAAACCCAGATGGGGTGAATTAGCTGCTGCCGCGAAGCTGCAAGAGGGCTGTGGCTGTGGTGAGCCCCAGGCCCTCCTGCCCGCCGCCAAACCTCCAGGCAGCACTAGCAGCAAGAGGGAACACTTAGGTGCTAGGGAGAAGGGGTGGCCCCATAGGTCACAGTGGGCTGAGAGAAAAGGCCATCTGGGCTGGGCATGGTGGCTCACGCCTGTAATCCAGCACTTTGGGAAGCTGAGGCAGGCAGATCACCTGAGGTCAGGAGTTCAAAACAAGCCTGGCCAACATGGCGAATCCCCGTCTCTACTAAAAATACAAGAATTAGCCAGGCATGGTGGCGGGCATCTGTAATCCAAGCTACTTAGGAGGCAGAGGTTACGGTAAGCCAAGACCGCACCACTGCACTCCAGCCTGGGTGACAGAGCAAGACTCTATCTCAAAAAAAAGAAAGAAAAAAGAAAAGAAAATAAAGGACCAGGCGTGCTGGCTTACGCCTGTAATCCCAGCACTTTGGGAGGCTGAGGTGGGCAGATCACGAGGTCAGGAGATCGAGACCATCCTGGCCAACATGGTGAAACCCATCTCTACTAAAATACAAAAAATTAGCTGGGCGTGGTGGCACGCGCCTGTAGTCCCAGCTACTCAGGAGGCTGAGGCAGGGGAATCACTTGAACCCGGGAGGCGGAGGTTGCAGTGAGCTGAGATCGCGCCACTGCACTCCAGCCTGGTGACAGAGTGAGACTGCATCTCAGAAAAAAAAGAAAAGAAAAGGCCATCTTGGTGGGGTGTGTACCATTAGGAGGTTATGAAGTGTGACTTTGTCAAATGTGTGTGTACATGAGTGTGTGTGCTTGGGGGCTGAGGACAGGCATCTGAAGGTCTGTGCTCAGTGGGGCATGTCCAAGCTCCACGGACAGCCACGTGTGCAGGATTGGCATGTGTCGAGGTATACAGCAGTGTCCCAGCAATGCACAGCGAAACTGATGTGAAGTTTCACGGCTGTGCCCTCTGGGGAAGTGTACATCTGAGGGCCACCAGGTGAGAACACCATTGTGCACTGGCAGAGGGTTCCTCTGCTGGCAGCGTCCTGACCGTGCCAACCCTGGTGCAAATCGAGCATAGCCAGGCGGCTTGGGCAGCAGCGCTCACTTCATTTTCAGCTGCTGCATCCGTACAGCGTCCTCCTGCCCCGCCAGCTCTGGCGTCTCCATCAACTGCAGCAGGGCCACCTGGTGGGGGAATGAGCAACACGAAGGATGTCTCCACGAGCAGAACCCACCCCCTGCCCTCCAAGGATGTTCAGGAAAAAACAGAGGCACCCAGAAAGGCAGTGCCCGGGTAGAACCACGAGGGGCAGTGCTTTGTGTAGGAAGAGTCCGAAATTCAGTTTAGAGGCTCTCTCAGAAAGGAGACAGCAGGCAGGCCAGAGGCAGTGCTGAGCGCGATGTGGGCGTGGCCTGGGAACAACAGTGACGTCTTAGCCAGGCATTGGCCGTAGGGGTGGGTTAGGTTGCGCCTCATGGTCCCAGGGACGGGGACCCAGGATAAAAGTAGGCCAAAAAGCCTGGACGCGGTGGCTCACGCCTGAAATCCCAGCACTTCGGGAAGCAGAAGAGGGCGGATCGCTTGAGACCAGGAGTTCGAGACCAGCCTTGCCCATATGGCACAACCCCGTCTCTACTAAAAAAAATACAAAATACAAAAATTATGCCTGTAATCCCAGCTACTCAGGAGGCTGAGGCAGGAGAATCGCTTGAATCTGGGAGGCGGAGGTTGCCGTTAGCCGAGATCGCGCCATTGCACTCTAGCCTGGGTGAGAGAGCAAGAGAGCAAGAGCCTGTCTTAAAAAAAAAAAAAAAAAAAAAAAACACCAGAAAGAAAAAGGCCAAAGAGACGCTGAGACGGGTCGCTCATGGGGGGCGTGGCCTAGGAATTCCAGTCACACACGGTTGCAGGGCCGAGCAGGCGGATCGCAAGAGAGAAATAGGCAAAGAACTAAAGCTGTGATGGAGGAATAATACGGAGGAGGCGTGGCCTGGGACCCCCCTCGCCTGTATCTACGGGAGGTTGAGGGTGGGACCCTAGACGCGGAACAACCAGAGTGGGTGGAGCATTGTTGGGGCGGGATCTGGGCATCTTGGAATAGCATTTAGGCGGAGCTGGGAGAAAGCGGGAGTGCTCTGGGAATAAGGACAAAACTTGGGAAAAAAATTGGGGATGAACAGCAGAGGGCAAGGTCCGAGAATCCCCAAGTGAAGCCTTAATAGAGGATTGGGGTGGGACAGGAAGGGGTGAGGTCTGTGTATGGGATACTGGGACCACCCCCCAACCAGGGGTGCGTCATGAGAGGAGCCGGCCAGGGTCCTAGAGACACGGCGGGGAAGGGGTGGTGGCCTCACCGTGCCCAGCCGCGTCTGCTCCAGCTCCTGCAGGCTGCGCACGTGGCCGGCGAGCAGCGGCTGCCTGCGAGGCCCGCCCAGCTCTGCTTCCACCGCCAGCACCTCCCGCGAGGCGGCGGCGAAGGCCTGGGTCACCCCGTGCACTGTGCTCCGGTAGCGCGCGAAGTCGTAGTCAGGGCCGCTGCGCAGGTACTGGCGGTGGCCTCTGCGGCATGTGGGGACCCTGAGGCCGCGCCCCCAGGCTCTCAGGCCCTGCACCGGCGCCAACCACCTGAAAGGCCCCCAGGAAGTGTCCCCAGACACCAGAGGGGAGGACTGGTAGGTAGGAAGGACGCTTCCTGACTCCCGCAGGGGAACGCGAGACAGGCCCACCCCTGCTCTTGGGGAGGAGAGAGAAGCCACGAAGAGTGAGTCGTCGGGTAGTGGGGACGTGCTGTGGGGCCTTTTTCGTGAAGGTGAGGACCCGGTGCCCCGAAATCCCCGCCCCATCTGACTCTGCAGCCACACAAGGACCCAGCTCCTCCTCCAGGCACGCCCGCCGAGAACACGCCCACGCCCGGAGCGGGCGGGGGACCGAACCCTGAGCCCCTCCGCGCCCCCACTCACTCCTCCAGTCGGCGGAAGCCCTGCGCGCGCTCAGCCTGCAGCTGGTGGATGCGCTGCACCAGCGTCCGGATCGGGGCGTCTTTCTGCGGGACAGGGGGCACGGCTGGGGCATGAAGCCCGCGCCCCTGGGTCTGCGCCGCCCGCCCCGCGCCCGTTCCCGCTTGGGCCTGGGCTCACCCAGGGCCACGCCGGCTCCTCGCGTCCCCGAGCTTCGGTGGCCTCCTCAGCAGCAGGCACTGCAGGGACCGTAGGCTCCGCCGCGGTCTCGGTGATCATGACTGCGCAGCCCTGGCCAGGCTCCGGAGCAGGCCCTTCCGCTGCGCCCGACGCCCCCTACAGGCCGGGAGGTCCACGGACCCCCTACCCTGCGGCCGGCCAGCCAGAAGGAAGAAAGGGGAACCAAGACCGCGGGCCGCCCAGTCAAGCCCACCCTTCTTGTTCCCGTCCAGGGCCCGCCTCCGATCGTGTTTTTCCTTGATTGTGCGGCTCTGAATACAGAACAGCTGTTAGCCTTGAGTTCGTTCCTATGCTTGTATCTCAACACCGACTTCCACTTGAAGCGGGTACTGAGCGTGGGTTTTGACGTTCAAGAGTGTTAAGTAAGCCTGGGCAACCTAGGGAGGCCCGATCTCTACAGAAAAACCAATTAGCCCGACATGGTGGCTCCCGCCTCCAGTCCCAGCTACTCGGGAGGCTGAGGTGGGAGGATTACATGAGCCCGGGAGTTGGGGGCTGCCATGAGCTATGACCATGCCACTGCACTCCAGCCGGAGCCACAGTGAGTCTGCCTCAAAAAAAGTGCAGTGGCTGGAACTCCACCAACATTAACAGAGATTCACTGGCTCTTCAGAGAATCACAGGGGTGAAGACAAGATTCAGTGACAGGGACGGTGTCAACAGCCCACCGAGTTGAATTGGGTGTCTTGTGTAATAGCCCTGAGCCTGGAGCATAGCAGGGGCCAGAACGACCTCAAAGTACAGAGGAGGCCTTGGAGCTTCCTGCTGGAGGGATACATGGGCTAGACAGAGCTTTGGAAAGCTTCCTCCTCCAGGGGCCCAGCCGGAGGAGCAGGAAGATGCTGGTAGCCTGACTTAGTGAAGAGGGACCAGCTCAGGTATGGGGTGACAGACACCAGCCTTTAAGGGGGAAGGGACTAGGCTGTTAGTGAGTTGGGAGTTTTTCTTGCCGAT
Organism: Homo sapiens; assembly: GCF_000001405.40. Lineage (NCBI taxonomy): Eukaryota > Metazoa > Chordata > Mammalia > Primates > Hominidae > Homo > Homo sapiens. The sequence goes on along the minus strand of NC_000019.10, from coordinate 18,587,886 downwards.
GGGTTCGTGGTCTCGCTAACTTTGAAGAATGAAGCTGTGGACCTTCGCGGTGTGTGTTACAGATCAAAAAGAGTCCACGGACCAGGAGAGTGAGCAGCAGGGCAGTTTATTGAACAAAGCGAAAGGAAAGCTTCCACATGCTGGAAGGGGACCCGGAAGGGTTGCCGTTGCTGGCTCCGGTGGCTAGGGCTCATATCCCTATGTTACCCCTCCCCTTTCTTTTTGTCCATTGAGAGTGGTTCTTTTTTCAATCCTCCTCTGGAGTGTTTTTTTTTTTTGTTTTTTTTTTTTTTTTTTTTTAGTGAGACAGAGTCTCGCTCTGTCGCCCAGGCTGCAGTGCAATGGCACGATCTCGGCTCACTTCAAGCTCTGCCTCCCGGGTTCACGCCATTCTCCTGCCTCAGCCTCCCCAGTAGCTGGGACCACAGGCGCCCGCCACCACACCCGGCCAATTTTTTGTATTTTTAGTAGAGGCAGGGTTTCACCGGGTTAGCCAGGATGGTCTCAATCTCCTGACCTCGTGATCCGCCCGCCTCGGCCTCCCAAAGTGCTGGGATTACAGGCGTGAGCCACCGCGCCCGGCCTGGAGTGGTTAATTCTGAATCCTTCACTCGATTGGTTAAGAACTCAAAACACTGAGTCACAGGGGTCTTCTGTGAAAGTCCCCAAACCTGCCCAGTAAATCCTGCCAACTCCACCCCTCAGTCCCCTCTCTCAACAGGAGAGCCCAACTGCTGTTGGGGTGTGGGAGGATGACCACTCTAATTGCTTCCTGCTGAATAGGGGCATAGAAGGGGTTCTGTAGCTGAGGTTTCCTCGTGAGAGGTGGTTTGGGTGTCAACGTCCGGGTATGGGCCGGCAGGCTGGTTTAGGGGTCCTTGATAATAGGTGCTGGTTGAAGTCATCTGAGGTTCCATCTGCAGTAACATTTCTAGTTTCATTGATTCTATTCAGGAAGAAACGAAAGGATGAAGGAACTGAAAAGACATGGGCCAAAGGTTACTCCTAGAATAATCATAAGGAAGGGACCTAAAAATGGAAGAAGCCAGTGGAGAACAGGCTGTGAGAACCCTGAGGTAGTTTCGGTTGTCCCACCATGTAGTCTGCTAGCTCTATCCTGAAGTCATTTAATTCCATCTCTCACTATGCCTGATTTATTGACATAAAAACAACATTCCTTGTTCAGAAAAAGGCATGTTCCTCCCCTTTCGGCAGTGAGGAGATTGGAGATCTAGTGCTCACTGGTTCTGGAGAACCACAGCTGCTAATGAGTCTATTTGGTCCTGGATTTGAGTAAGTTGGAGAGAGATTTCATCTAGGCTGTGAGTCCACTTCCTAGGTGGTAGTAAATCCTAAACCAGCCAATAGAGGAAGTAGTGAGATTGCTCTCGGCTGAAGCTTAGCATGAATGGGCACAGCTACTGCCTCTTCTGAAAAGGAATAAGTCACAGGAGGTACTATGTAGGCTAAAGTACAAGTTCCTGTCCAGTTGGTGGGGAGGCAAATATAGAAGGATCTTCCACACACAAAGAAAACTCCTTATCAGGGTTCTATACACCCCTGTAGCTGAAAACTCATAAGGGCTGTGGTCAGTCTAAATTCATTTCTCATTCCCATGATTTGAGGGTTCAGGACAAATGGGCCACTCCTAGCAGTTGGAGCTGAATAGAATTTGCCAAGGACGTATTATGGGGTTCCTGTAAGGCAAACCGGTGGCTAGCTGCATTAAGAAAAACTCTCGGCTGGGTGCAGTGGCTCACGCCTGTAATCCCAGCACTTTCGGAGGCCAAGGCTGGTGGATCACGAGGTCAGGAGATCAAGACCATCCTGGCTAACATGGTGAAACTCCATCTCTACTAAAAATACAAAAAATTAGCTGGGTGTGGTGGTGGGCGCCTGTAGTCCCAGCTACTCGGGAGGCTGAGGCAGGAGAATGGTGCAAACCTGGGAGGCGGAGCTTGCAGTGAGGGAGATCGCGCCACTGCACTCCAGCCTGGGCGACAGAGCGAGACTCCATCTCAAAAACAAAACAAAACAACAACAACAAAAAGAAAAACTCGCGCACCCCAGACAGGAAGCAGGAAGCAATGGGGTTTTTTTAACCCTTTGCCTGTGAGAGAGGAACCAAGTCCCAGGAGGGGGATATCCTGGGCAAAAGGAAGTCTGCCCCAGCAGTAATTGCTTGTTGTTTTGGCCTCTGGTGGGGGAATTATTTGGCTTGGGGTGGTAAATCTTAAGGGATAGGTGACTGAAATAGGGTTTCCAAGGAACTCATGTTTATTTCCACAAAACATTGGGGTGCCAGTAGTCGTACTGTAAGAATTAGAATATTTGAACTCTATATCCAAGGCAAGCTATAGTTGCAGCCAGCCACGTGTCCCACACCTTGTGATCATGGGAACACTTGATGGGAGATACAAAGGAGTGGAGGCGAAGAGAAGGAGGTTATTGTGCCCACAGAACCTATGATTGGGATAGCTGATAGAGCGAATTGTCGGAGAATGGCGGCGGCTGCTTTTAAGGCTGCTTGAGCCCTGTCAGGGAAATTGGACCTATCACTAGGATGAAAAAATCCTGGACCCTTAGAAGTGTTAGCTATGTATGAGGCCTCAGAGCTTTCCACCCATATGTTGAGGGGGGCCGGAACTGCTGTATATAAGGGGGAAATTAGGGTTCATGCAAACCCAACAGGATGAGTTACTCTGATTGGGAAGTGCTTCAAATAAAAACCTGGAGGACATGTTTATAATTCCCTCAAGGTAGGCCGGGCACGGTGGCTCACGCCTGTAATCCCAGCACTTTGGGAGGCTGAGGAGGGCAGATCACGAGGTCAGCAGATCGAGACCACGGTGAAACCCCGTCTCTACTAAAAATACAAAAAATTAGCCAGGTGTGGTGGTGGGCGCCTGTAGTCCCAGCTACTTGGGAGGCTGAGGGAGGAGAATGGTGTGAACCCGGAAGGCAGAGCTTGCAGTGAGCCGAGATCACGTCACTGCACTCCAGCCTGGGCGACAGAGCGAGACTCTGTCTCAAAAAAAAAAAAAAAAAATAATAATAATAATAATAATTCCCTCAAGATTAGGGGAAGACATTGAGCGGGGAAAGGTTAAGACTTGGGCAAAGGCAAGGAATGTTAGGATGTTAGAGTACATTCTGTTTTTAAAACAAGAACTGAGGTAGAACTTATGAGCACTGATTAATTTTCCTTCTGAAAGAGGATACATAAGTCTTCCAATGGCTCGTGGGTGTAAGAAGGTTTGTCTGGCTGACTCTTAGATTCCCAAGCTAATGATTCTGCGGGTTTTTCAGGCTGTATCCAAGGTTTGATTCAGGTGTGATGGATCCAAGACTCCACTCCAATCACCTTGACTGCAGTTGGAGTGGAGAGGATAACCAAATATGGTCCTTCCCACGATGGATCTAGGGATGGGGAGGTAGAGGGGAGGGACTTGACTAATACTAGATCCCTGGGATGGAACGATGCTTTTCCCTTTTCTCGGTGGCATCCCTCGGGTAATGTCTTTAGGATTTGCTGGTACCTAGCCAAAGAAGTTATGTCCTTGACCAAGTTGGCAGTTTCTCAATCAAGTAAGAGGTTGTTTGTGAGAAAAGGCTGTCCATATAGCATTTCATAAGGACTGAGTCCTATCTTGTGGGGAGAATTTAGGATCCTTAATAATGCTATGGGCAAGAGGGTGAGTTTCCATGGGAGGTGAGTTTCTTGTGTTAATTTCCTTGAGTGCCTTTTGAGTGTTTCATTAATCTTCTCGACTTTCCCTGAGGATTGTGGTCCCTGGGCGCAATGAAGGTGATTTTTTTTTTTTTTTTTTGAGGGAGTCTCGCTCTGTCGCACAGGCTGGAGTGCAGTGGTGCAATCTCGGCTCACTGCATGCTCCATCTCCCGGGTTCACGCCATTCTCCTGCCTCAGCCTCTCGAGTAGCTGGGACTACAGGCGCCCACCACTACGCCCGGCTAAATTTTTTGTATTTTTAGTAGAGACGGGGTTTCACTGTGTTAGCCAGGATGGTCTCGATCTCCTGACCTCGTGATCCACCTGCCTCGGCCTCCCAAAGTGCTGGGATTACAGACGTGAGCCACCGCGCCCGGCCAATGAAGGTGATATTGTATCCCTAGCGCCTTGGAAATTCCCTGAGTCACTGTGGCTCTGAAAGCCGGGCCATTATCACTTTGTAAACTACAGGGAAGTCCAAACCTAGGAATTATTTCATGGACCAGGGCTTTGATTACCTCCTGGGCCTTTTCTGTCTTACAGGGGAAGGCTTCAACCCAATTCGTGAAGGTATCAACACAGGCTAGTAAGTATTGAAGTCCCCGTGACTTAGGCATATAAGTGAAATCTAACTGCCAGTCCTCTCCAGGGTAGTGCCCTGTCCTTTGTTCTCCATGAGGGGCTTGGCAATGGACCAAGGGGTTATTCCTTTGGCACACTTCGCAGGCCTTGACTGTCTGCCGGATGGTTTTAAGGAGGTCTCGTCCAGTGAACAGAGATTTGACCATTTGATGGGTATTCTCAATACCCCTATGGAATGTTTGGTGAACGGTTTTAAGTATTTTCCATTGATTAGCTGCGGGTATGGGCACCTTTCCCTCCTGAGTAGCTAGCCACCCCGAGGGGAGAAAACTATGTCCCCATGAAAGTCCCCATTCCATTTCTGCAGGGGAATACTGGGGCCTGGTCTCCTGAAGGGGGTTATCCCATACCAAGGGTCCCTCCATAGGTGTTTCTAATGGGAGGTCCCGTCTTGCGGCAACTTTGGCCTCAGCGTCTGTGCAGCGATTTCCTTTTGCCTCCTTTCCTTTGCCTTTCTGATGGCCTTTGCAGTGCAAGGCCACTACCACTTCCTTGGGTTTCTGCACTGCCTGTAATAATTTCATAATTTCTTCATGGTATTTAATGGGTGTTCCTCCGGAGGTTAGGAACTCCCTTTCTTTCCATATGGCAGCATGGGCATGTAGAACTAGATAAGCAAATTTGCTCTCTGTATATACATTTATACTTTTTCCCTTTCCCAGCTCTAAAGTTCGGGTAAGCGCCACTAGTTCTGCTAACTGGGTGCTGGTCCCTGGGGGAGGGGCCCACTTTCAACTACTGCTTTATCACTAACCTATGGTATATCCTGCCCTTTGTAATCCCTTTTCTACAAACGAACTTCCATCAGTATATATATAGGTTGAGGTCAGGGTTGGCTAAGGGGACCTCTAAAAGATCCTTCTGGGCAGCATAAGTTTGGGTTAAGAGCTGCACAAGTGCGCATCTGAAGCACCAGTCCCTCAAGTAATAAGGCCTGGTACCTAAGTAGGCGATTGTCTGACAGCCACAAACCTCCTTTAGCAGTTAGTATGCCGTTGACATCGTGAATAGTCCATACAGTGATGTCTCTCCCTTGTATTATTTTGACAGCCTCTAATACTAAAATGGCCACTGCAGCTACCACCTGCAGACAGTGAGGCCAGTCCTTTGCTACCACATCAATTTCTTTACTCAGATATGCTACTGGCTGTATGGTAGTCCCTCAAGTCTGGGTAAGGACTCCAAGAACTATTCCCATTCTTTCTGTGACATACAAAGAGAAATTTTGTCCCGTAGGTAGACCCAGAACTGGGACTTGTGTTAGGGCCTGTTTTAGGGTTCTGAAGGCTGCCTCTGCCTCTGGTCCCCATTCTATCAAATGGGTATTAGCTTTTTGGGTCTCCTTAATTAGAGTGTAAAGTGGCCTGGCCATTTCGCTGTATCTGGGGATCCACAGTTGGCAAAAGCCAGTTATTCCAAGAAACCCTGTCAACTGTTTTAATGTCTGAGGGTGAGGATAAGCCAGTATAGACTGGATAGGTTTTTTGTTGAGAGCCCTGGTTCCTTTAGCCAAAACCAGCCCTAGGTATTTGACCTGCTGTAAACAAAGCTGGGCCTTTGATTTAGATACTTTGTAACCTCGATCAGCTAGAAAGTTTAAAAGGCCTTGGGCTCAAATGTAATCCCAGCACTTTGGGAGGCTGAGGTGGGTGGATCATGAGGTCAGGAGATCGAGACCATCCTGGCTAACAAGGTGAAACCCTGTCTCTACTAAAAGTACAAAAAATTAGCCAGGCGTGGTGGCAGGCGCCTGTACTCCCAGCTACTCGGGAGGCTGAGGCAGGAGAATGGCATGAACCCAGGAGGCGAAGCTTGCAGTGAACCGAGATTGCGCCACTGCACTCCAGCCTGGGCAACAGTGCAAGACTCCGTCTCAAAAAAAAAAAAAAAAAAAGTCTTGGGTAGCCTGATGGCACAGGGTCTCTCAACGGGAGAAGTAAGTCATCCATATATTGAAGAATTAGGGTACCTGGGTGCAAGAAGTGACTTAAATCTTGGGCCAATGCTTGGCCAAACAGGTGAGGGCTATCTCTAAATCCTTGGGGCAAGACTGTCCAGGTGAGCTGAGATGTTTGATCTGAGGGATCCTCAAAGGCAAATAGGAATTGAAAGTCAGGGTGTAGAGGGATACAGAAAAAGGCATCTTTAAGATTCAGGACTGTAAACCACTCTGCTTCTTCTGGTATTTGAGAGAGCAATCTATAAGGGTTGGGTACAGCTGGGTATAAAGGAATTATGGCCTCATTTATGAGCCTGAGGTCCTGCACCAACCTCCATTGACCATTTGGTTTTTGTACCCCTAGAATTGGGGTGTTACAGGTGCTGTTACAACTTCTTACTAGACCTTGGGCTTTTAAATTTTTAACAATACCTTGTAATCCTTTTCGAGCTTCAGGTCTTAGGGGGTATTGTCTTTGGTAAGGGAAAGGGGTGGGGTCTTTTAGTTTGATTTGGACTGGACAGGCGTTCTTTGCCCCTCCAAATTGTCCTTCTAATGCCCAAACCTCAGGGTTGATTCCTTCCTCAAGTAGGGGACAACAGATAGGTCTTTTCTTCCCTGTATTCATACAGATGATAGCTCCTGATTTAGCTAATATGTCCCTCCCCAGTAAGGGTATGGGATTCTCAGGCATGATGAGAAAGGCATGTGAGAAAATTAAGGTTTCCCAGTTACAGCTAAGGGGGCGGGAGAAATACCTGGTTACAGGTTGTCCCAGGATCCCTTGGATGGTAACAGACCTTGAGGACAGCCATCCAGGGCAGGACAGTGGAACTGAGAAGGCTGTGCCAGTGTCCAGAAGAAAGTCGATTTCCTGGCCCTCAATGGTCAAACTTACCCGGGGCTCTGTGAGGGTGACAACACGAGCTGGTGCTTGCCCCGGGCACCCTCCATCCTGTTGCTGGATCATCTGGTTGGGGACTTCTGGCCCAGAGAACCTTTGTCCTCTGGGACAGTGTGCCTTCCAGTGATCACCTTGGCATAGTGGACATGGGTGAGAGGGCGGCTTATTTCTCTTTGGACAATCTTGTTTAAAGTGTCCTTGTAAACTGCACTGATAATAAGCCCTGCTGGGTGATTGGCCTGCTCCATTTTTTCTCCTCTTTGAACCGCCAAGGTTTGTCTGAGGGCATGACTAAATCTGCAGCCTTTCTCTTATCCTGCTTTTCCTTTTCGGCCTGTTCCTCTTGGTCCCTATGATAGAACACTGAGGTTGCCAGGTTTAATGATGCCTCCAAATTTTGCTCGGCCCAAGGCTAACTTTTGGAGCTTTTTCCTAATGTCTGCAGCTGACTGAGTAATAAATTTGTCCTTTAAAATTAACTGGCCTTCGAGGGAATCTGGTGACAGGGGAGTATATTTTCTCAAAGCCTCCCTCAGCCTTTTGAGGAAGGCAATAGGGTTTTCTTCCTTCCCTTGGGTTATAGTAGACATCATTGAATAGTTCATGGGCTTTTTCCTAGTTCTCCTTAACCCTTCTAGGATACAGGTCAGTAAATGTTTGTGACTCCAGTCCCCATGATCCGAGTCAGGGTCCCAGTGGGGATCCATACTGGGGACTGCTTGCTGGCCAGTAGGAAACTGCTCTCTTCTGATGTCATTCTATCACTTACTTAACTGAGGTACCAGGTATCCCCAAACTCTCGGGCTCCTGTTAAAGCAGCATTCTTCTCATTAGAGGTTAGGTCTGATCAAGCAATAACATGATCTCTCTCCAGGAAAGGTCAAAAGATTGTCCCAGACCCAGCAGGCCATCTACGTATCTATTGGGGTCATCTGAGAACTTTCATCCAAGTCTGCCTTAATTTGCTTTAGATCAGAGAGAGAAAAGGGAACATGTACTCGGGTTGGGCCAAATTCCCCTCCTACAGCCTGAAGAGGACATAGCCAGGGGCCAGTGGGGTCTCTTGGCTCTCTGAAGGCTCTTTTATTTGTTCCCTTTTGGGCTGTAGAAGCCAGAGAGGGTTTGGCATTAGTAGGAGGAGCCGTGGGGAGGACTGGGTATGGGGGTAGAATTTGAGGACTCCCTGTGGGGTGCAGGTTACATGTCTTACACAATCGTGGGTTATCATCCCTTAATGAGAAAAAGGTCTGAACATATGGTACCTAAATCCACTTGCCTTCTTGTTTACAAAACAGATCTAGTTGCAGGATGGTATTATAGTGTATACTTCCCTCAGGTGGCCATCGTTCTCCTCCTGGAAGAGGATATTGTGGCCAGGCAGTGCTGCAGAAAAATATGAGCTGCTTCTTCAATGTCTGGGGATCAAATTGGTCCCAGTTATTCAGAATACACCTCAGGGGCGACTTCACTTTGGAGGGAAAATCTCCCATCTGAAAGGAAAGCATAGGGATGCCCGCACCCCTAGTCATTCCCAGTGGACACTGGTTCTAGCAGGTCCCCTACTGTTTTAGTGTCCATTTTCCAGGGTGCACAATCACCCATGGAACCCTGCTTATCAGATTTAATTGTGCTTACCGACGTAGCAGTTTCAACCACATTCTTTTCCCTCCCTTCTTAGCCACAAAGAAGGAGGCCAGGCTGCTGGGTTTAGCGGCCTCTTACCAGTGCGCCCGAAAGTTTTTGTTCCAGTGAGTGGGTTCTAAGTTTGGGGTGTATTCTTAGGTGGTTTACAAGGCTCCAGTTAGCATATTTCTGAGCTTGAAACTGCCCCAGTAAGATGAACTCCTTAAAGATTGTACATAGACATAGCAATTTTAAGGCGGGGGGCAACAGGGGATTGGGCCAAGGCTGAAATAGTGTCTCATGCACTACAGCCTTTTGTCCCCGCTTTCCATCTTAAGAATACTACTTTTGATCTCCCAGTCGATGGTCTATTATTTTACTTAACTCCCACAAATGCGAGTGGTACCCTGAGTGGAAGAGCTCCGTAGTTTGGATTGCTGATCCTAAACAAGAGAAATGATAGGTGAAATGGTTCCCAGTGAGGTGGGGACGACAGAAAGAGAAATGGCCTAAGCCTTCCAGTAACCATTGGCACACACTATATTGTCCTGGGTATTGCCTTCGGTGTCGAATATGGGGAACAGGTCCTGTATATTTGCATTGTTGCCCATCTACATTAGAATAAGCCATGGGGGCCGGGCGCAGTGGCTCACGCCTGCAATCCCAGCACTTTGGGAGGTCGAGGCGGGCAGATCACGAGGTCAGATCGAGACCAGTCTGACCAACATGTGAAACCCCATCTCTACTAAAAATACAAAAATTAGCCAGTCATGGTGGCACGTGGTGCCTGTAATCCCAGCTACTCAGGAGGCTGAGGCAAGAGAATTGCTTGAATCCGGGAGGTTGAGGTTGCAGTGGGCCAAGATCGTGCCGCTGCACTCCAGCCTGGGCGTCAGAGCGAGACTCCATCTCAAAAAAAATAAAAAAATAAGCCATGGCACATCAGGAACACAGATCTGAGGGTTGCCATCCTAATTGTTTTAGATTCCTAATCCAGAGGGTTTTCATCCTGGGGGTAGAGAGAATCCTGGAGACAAGTTCTCAAGAAAGTCTTCCTTATAGACGTTTGGACCTAGGAGGCATGCCTCTCGAAGGGTGGGTGAAGTGCGTTTGGGTGGCTGTTTAACAAAGGTTTCACAAAGCGCTGTCATCTCGACTGGGCGTTACCAGGAGCTTGGGGCCACTGTTTTCCACCCTTGGCCAGCCCTCGGTTCAACCCAGAAAATGCAGAGAAAGTGGGAACTGGTTTCTAGGCAAAACAACACTCTCGATTCAGAAGGGCTGGGGGTTGTTAGAGAGCCCTTTCTCAGATACCCTTACATCTGTGTCTTTAGTCAGGCGGCGGCACTTGTCGCTTTTAAATGGCCGACAGGTGCCCGGTGTTTGCCCTCAATTCTAAAGAAAAGTAGAGCAGAGTAGCAAGCGAAAGAGGTCCGATGTTACCGCTTTGGAAATCCTGGGTGAGCCCCCACGATGAGTCAGTTTCTCCTGCCGATGGGTTCCTGGTCTCGCTAACTTTGAAGAATGAAGCTGCGGACCTTTGCGGGGAGTGTTAACAGTTCAAAAAGAGTCCACGGACCAGGAGAGTGAGCAGCAGCTGTTTATTGAATGAAGCGAAAGGAAAGCTTCCACATGCTGGAAGGGGACCCAGAAGGGTTGCCATTGCTAGCTTGGGCGGCTAGAGCTCATATCCCTGTTACTCCCTCCCCTTTCTTTCTTTTTGTCCATTAAGAGTGGTTCTTCCTTCAATCCCCCCTTGGAGTGGTTAATTTTGAATCCTTCATTCGATCAGTTAAGAACTCAAAACCCTGAGTCATGGGGGTCTTTTGTGAAAGTCCCCAAACTGGCCCAGGAAGTCCCGCCAACTCCACCCCTCATTAGGATGCATCACTGGCCTCGTGCACCGGCTTCACCAGCACTGCACCCTAATCAAAACAGGGGCCAGCAAGGTGCCTCACCCCTGTAATCCCAGCACTTTGGGAGGCTGCGGCAGAACTGCTTGGACCCAGTGCAAAACCATTCTGGGCAACATAGCGAGACCATGTCTGTAAAAAAAAAAAAAAAAAAAAAAATGTAGCAAGGCCAGGCGCTGTGGCTTACGCTTGTAATCCTAGCACTTTGGAAGGCCAAGACAGGTAGATCACAAGAGGTCAGTAGTTCAAGACCAGCCTGGCCAACATAGCAAAACCCTGTCTCTACTAAAAACAGAAAAACTAGCCAGGCGTGGTGGTGGTGGCGCACACTGGTAATTCCAGCTACTCAAGAGGCTGAGAAAGGAGAATCGCTTGAACCCGAGAGGCAGAAGCTGCAGTGAGCCGAGACTGCGCCACCGCACTCCAGCCTGCACGATGGGAGCAAGGCTCCATCTCAAAAAAAAAAAAAAAAAGTGATAAAAAACCAAAACTAAACAGGAGGCTTTTAAGTTCAGGAGTTTGAAGCCAGCCTGGGCAACATAGCAAGACCCCATCTCTACAAAATATTAACCGAGTGTGGTGGCACAAGCATGCAGTCCCAGCTACTCGGGAGGCTGAGGCAAGATCCTGGGAGATCAAGGCTGCAGCAAGCTATGATCCTACCACTGCACCCCAACCTGGGTGACAGTGAGACTGTCTCAAAATTTTAAATCAGTAAATAAAACAGGAATTGGTCTGTGCTCACCCCATCTAAAAAACTCTTGACCTTATGATTTGCCCACCTCAGCCTACTGATCATTACAAGCTTTAAAAACACCAAAGCAATTATCTGAGTGTGGTGGTGGGTGCACACCTGTAGTCCTGGCTACTTCGGAGGCAAAGGAGAGAGGATCACCCAAGCCTGAGTTCCAGGGTACAGGGAGCCATGACCACACCACTGCATTCCAGCCTGGGTGACCTTAAGGGGAAAACACCAAGGGTTGCCCTTCTTAAGAGTGATTATCATAGGAGAGGGTACAGCTCAGGGGCAGAGCACTGACTGCAGACCATGAGTGATGTCACGGCCTCAGATTCAAAACTGAGTAACTGGGCCAGGCGTGCTGGCTCACGCCTGTAATACCAGCATTCTGGGAGGCCAAGGCGAATGGATCACAAGGTCAGGAGATCGAGACCAACCTGGCTAACCCAGTGAAACCCCGTCTCTACTAAAAATACAAAAAATTAGCCAGGAGTTGTGGCGGGCACCTGTAGTCCCAGCTACTCGGGAGGCTGAGGCAGGAGAAGGATGTGAACCCCGGAGGCAGAGGTTGTAGTAAGCCGAGACTGCGCCACTGCACTCCAGCCTGGGCGACAGAGCAAGACTCCGTCTCAAAACAAACAAACAAACAAACAAACAAAAAACTGAGAACTGGGTCAGGCATGGCAGTTCTTGCTTGTAATCCCAACACTTTGAGGGGCTGAGATGGGCGGATGGCTTGAGCCCAGGAGTTCAAGACCAGCCTGGACAACATAGTGAGACCCCATTTGTATAAAATAAAAAAATTTGAGAATCAACGTTCTACACCATTGGGTGTACCTAATTTTCTACCCATCTCCACACACCTAGACACTTCAGGGCCAAGGCCTGAGGGACACCTCAAAGTGCCTGACAGGATCCCAGCAATGACAAAACTGATCCTCAGTCCCACCAATTACACGACTGAGGTTTTTACTCCAGTTTTACAGATGACAAATCCAGAGTCAGGGGCATAGGGCAGGGACCAATGCCGATGTGACAGAATCTAGGACAGAAGACCCCACAGGTGGCACAGAATGGAGTGCTGAGTAGAGTCCCTAAGGGAGATGCCCACTCTTCAGCCACCTCCCTGGACAGATCAGCCATGAGGACACCAATTGCTGCTCCAGTCAATGAAAGGGACACTTTATTGAGGCTCCAGGGCCACGGGGCCTGGGCAGGAGGCTGCCCTTCAAGGAAAGAACCACCTTATTTGACCTTCTTCTTGGGACGCAGGTTGTTGGTGTGACCACACTTCTTCTTGCGGCAGTTGACAGCACGAGGGTGAAGGCGAGCATAGCACCTGCACAGAGACAGGAGGGGTGGGTGAGGGCATACCCCGACTCCGGCAGCCCCCACAGCCCCCCAAGCATCGGAGCACACATACTTGCGGCAGATCATCTTGTCGCAGTTGTATTTCTGGGCAAGCTGGCGGAGAGAAGGCTCAATAATGCCACCTCGCAGGCGCAACACCAGGTGCAGGGTGGACTCTGCAGGAGACAGCCAGAAGGACGGCGACTGAGCCCAGCCCTGGCTCCTCAGTCACAGGGGCAGGACCCTCCAGGGCCTATAGTCTGCTGCTTTCTCAAGTGTGATGGGGACACCAAGTCGGGATCCCCCGAGTGTTCTACGTGTGGAAGATACACTGTCCCAGCCAGCCTGCCCCAGGAAATCTCCATCTCAGCACTGACCACGAGCCCTGGGGGGAGTCTGAGACTGACACATGCCAACTGAGGCATCCATCTGGGTTTCTAACATGGAAGCCGACCTCTAAGTGGTTCAGGCAAGGTCAGACACTGAAGTCTAGGCGGGGCACCATGGCTCACGCCTGTAATCCTAGCACTTTAAGAGACCAGCCTGGCCAACGTAGTGAAACCCTGTCTCTACTAAAAATACAAAAAAAATTAGCTGGGCGTGGTGGCGGGTGCCTGTAATCCCAGCTACTCGGGAGGCTGAGGCAGGGGAATCGCTTGAACCCGGGAGACGGAGGTCACAGTGAGATCGCGTCACTGCACTCCAGCCTGGGTGACAGAGTAAGACTCTGTCTCACAAAAAAAGGACACTGAATTCTTGTCGCTCCCACAAGTGACACTAATTTCCTTATTGCAGTGATAAAAAAATTCACATTATGACTTTTTTTTTTTGTCTCCCGAGTTCAAGCAATTCTCCTTCCTCAGCCTCCTGAGTAGCTGGGACTACAGGCACGCACCACCATGCCTAGCTAATTTTTGTATTTTTAGTAGAGATGGGATTTCACCATGTTGGTCATGATGATCTCAATCTCTTGACCTTGTGATCTGCCCGCCTCAGCCTCCCGAAGTGCTGGGATTACAGGCCTGAGCCACTGCACCCAGCTGATTTTTGTATTTTTAATAGAAACGGGATTTCACCACGTTGTCCAGGCTGGTCTTGAACTCCTGACCTCAGGTGATCCACCCGCCTAAGCCTCCCAAAGTGCCGGGATTACAGGCATGAGCCACTGTGCCCAGTCCCATTATTTTAAACAAAACACAAGTCATTTGAACTGCTCCCCAACCCCTGAGGCCATCAATGCTCCTTTCCTAGGACCTGGGGATCTTGGGTCCCTGCCCAGCAACCCCAACCCCGGTACCTTTCTGGATGTTGTAGTCTGAGAGAGTGCGGCCATCCTCCAGCTGTTTGCCGGCAAATATCAGACGCTGCTGGTCAGGTGGGATACCTGAGGGGGAGGGAGGCTCAGTTAGAGGCTCTGCGGACCATATTACTGGCAGTGTCCTCTGCAGGGGAGCTCCAGCACTACCCCCAGTTTCTCAAAAGGCCAACTGAGGTAGAAGATAACAAACGTTCTTCAGATCACATGGAGAAGCAAGGGCAAAACAGATCTAAAGTCAGCACAACCCACACAGGACTGAGACTCCCCTGGGCAGAGAGGGACTCCCAGTTCACAGCCAGAGCCCCCACACCCAGCCCTACTCACCCTCCTTGTCTTGAATTTTGGCTTTGACATTCTCAATGGTGTCACTGGGCTCGACCTCAAGGGTGATGGTTTTGCCAGTGAGGGTCTTCACAAAGATCTGCATGTTTGCGTCTGCAGGAGGAAGGGAGGCAGGATAGACTGGTGAGCAATGCATGCCTGAGTAGCACAAGCTCAGGTGCCTACACCACAGTTGCTATCCCTTTGCCTGCACCAAGTCCAACTGGTCCTGCCCCAGTACCTGTCTTCCTTTCACTCCTCCAAGCCTGGCCCTGCTAGGCTTCTCACACACCCTGGCCTGTAGTCTAAACATGTCCTGGAACTAAAGACCACATGTCCTCCACCCTCCTGACCGCACGGGTGCTCTTCAGGAACACAGACTGTGGTTATTCTCCTTAGGTTTAGCGGCGGAAGGACTCGTCAGTATCTCCTGATGGAATAAGTACCCTTTGGCATCATCTTGCTAGATCCATCTTCCCTGAAGGCGGTCCCACCCTCTTCCACGGCAGCCAGGTCCTGATCTGCACAGGCTGCTCCTGCTGCCAGCCTGGATGGGAAGCCATCCCCTACAACACACATGCCTTCCTGTCGCAGCCTCTCTCCTCTCTAACTCCAAGCTGGAGCACCCAACACTCTTAGCTTCCTTCTCAATTACACCAAAACTCTCCAGACCCCACTTCTTGCCTTGACCCCAAACCACGAACATCACTTAGTATCTACCAACCACCTGCCAAGCATTGTTCACATATAAAAGTTGACTTAAAAAGACAAAGAATCGACCGGGCGCAGGGGCTCATGCCTGTAATCCCAGCACTTTGGAAGGCCGAGGCAGACGGATCATTTGAGGTCAAGAGTTCAAGATGAGCCTGGCTAACATGGTGAAACTCCGTCTCTACTAAAACTACAAAAATCAACTGGGCGTGGTGGCAGGCGCCTATAATCCCAGCTACTCGGGAGGCTGAGGCAGAAGAATCGCTCGAGCCCGGGAGGTGGAGATTGCAGTGAGCCGAGACCGCACCACTGAACTCCAGCTTAGGCGACAGAGCAAGACTCCATCTGAAAAAAATACAAATAGTCTAAAGAAAAGTCTAAAAAGCAGACACTACCACCAGCTCCTCCTTACAGACGTAGTAATGGAGCCAGGTATGAAGACTCAGCTCGAGAAATTTAGTATTTCCAAAGCGACTGACGCAGTGACTGGCAGAGTTAACGCTACACGCTCAATACCCCTCTCTCATTAACTCGGATCTGCCCCGAGGACCTCTTCCCGCCCGAGGCCTCGTGGGGTCACGCTGGCAGGCAGAGCAGGCAGGCTCCTCTCCAAAACGGCGCTCGCCTCCTGGGCCCCGGTCTGGGCTCCGAGCCGTGGCCTCGCGAGCCCTGCCCAGCCACCCTGCCGAGACTGGCCCGCATGAGCCAGCTCAGGGCCGCCTCTTCTGCCGCCCAGGCCCCTGCAGCCTCCCGCAGCCCCCAACCCGCTCTCGGCCCGGCGCGAACCCGCACGACCGCCGCCACCAACCAGCTCGGCCGCCTCGCTGAAGAAAAAGAAGATAGCGGAACCGGAAACCACCTAATCGCCGCCGAAAGCGCTTGCGCACGGAGCACGCCGGACGCCTGCGTCACAATTCGCGCCGCGCCTTGGGCCCCGCCCTGCCGCCATCTTGGATGCTGGCGAACGAAGCCGCAGCGCACGTGGGTGAAGGTCGCCCACCCGCTTCCGGTTGTGGGCCCCGCCCGCCGAGTCACTTGAGACGATTGCACCTCTCCCCGTGTTTGCGTCCGCTGCCTCTAGGCCACTGACAACCGCTGGCGGTTGGCGGGCCCTCAGCGAATAGCTGAACGGAGTAGAGGAGAATGTTTTCTAATAAAGCAAAGGTATTAAGCAGAGGACTGCGGGTCCAGGACGCAGGAGTCGGGGCTGGGAAAGCACCTAACACCTGGAATCGGTTATTATAAAGCTCTCGGCCGCTGTGCCTGAATGGATTTCAGGACAGCAGCAGGGAGAGCAGACGGTACTACCGCATTCGCCCAGAAAGGTGGTGGTGCCTGACAAAAGGTGTCAAGCGGGACTCAGGATTTTTTTTTTTTTTTTTTTTGAGACGGAGTTTCGCTCTCGTTGCCCAGGCTGTAGTGCAATGGCGCGATCTCGGCTCACCGCAACCTCCGCCTCCTGGGTTCAAGCAATTCTCCTGCCTCAGCCTCCCGAGTAGCTGCGATTACAAGTGTGCGACACCATGCCTGGCCACTTTTGTATTTTTAGTAGAGACGGGGTTTCTCCATGTTGGTCAGGCTGGTCTCAAACTCGCGACCTCAGGTGATCCGCCCGCCTTGGCCTCCCAAAGTGCTGGGATTACAGACGTGAGCCACTGCAGTGTCTCTTTTCAGTGTAGGATCCAGATTTGTGGGTGGTTAAAAAGTGCCAGGGCGGGACCTGGGTCCGGTGACTCACGCCTGCACTTTGGGAGGCCGAGATGTGCGGATCACCTGAGGTCGGGAGTTCGAGACGAGCCTGACCAACATGGAGAAACCGCATCTCTACTAAAAATACAAAATTAGCTGGGCGTGGTGGCGCATGCCTGTAATCCCAGCTACTCAGGAGGCTGAGGCAGGAGAATCGCTTGAACCCGGGAGGCAGAGGTTGCAATTAGCCGAGAGAGTGCCATTGCACTACAGCCTGGGCAACAAGAGCAAAACTCCGTCTCAAAAAAGAAAAAAAAAATTACAAAAATTTTTCAGGTGTGGTGGCGGGTGCCTGTAATCCCAGCTACTCAGGAGGCTGAGGCAGGAGAATCGCTTGAATCCGGGAGGTGGAGGTTGCAGTGAGCTGAGTTCACGCCACTGCACCCAGCCTGGGTGACAGAGTGAGACTCCATCTCAAAAAAAAAAAAAAAAAAAAAAAGTGCCACGGCGGGTGCAGTGGTTCACACTTGTAATCCCAGCACTTTGGAAGGTCAAAGAGGGAGGATTACTTGAGGTCAGGAATTCACGACCAGCCTGGAAGACATAGTGAGACCCTGTCTCTACAAAAAAAAGTTTTATTTTGAACTATCCAGGTGTGGTGGTGCGCACCTGCAGTCCCAGCTACTTCGGAGGCAGGAGGATTGCCTGAACCCATAGGTTTGAGATTGCAGTGACCCATGATTCAGCCACTGCACTCCAGCCTGGGCAACAGAGAGGTGCTGTCTCAAAAACAAAACAAAAAAAAAAAGTGCTGAGTACAGAGAAGATGGGGAGCAATGAGAAGTTACCTATAGGCTTAACAGGGGTACCTGTTTATTTCCTTGAACATTTGCAGGCACTACTATACCAGGCAAAAGCAGACACTCTCACGTCTGGGAAGATGCCTTTAAGAACCTAATTTCCTTTTCTTTTTTGAGACAACAGTTTTGGTCTTTTTGCCCAGGCTAGAGTGCAGTGGTGCGATCTTGGCTCACTGCAACCTCTGCCTCCTGGATTCAAGCAATTCTGCCTCAGCCTCCCAAGTAGCTGGGATTACAGGTGTACACCACCACACCCAGCTAATTTTTATATTTTTGGTAGAGATGGGGTTTCACCATGTTGGCCAGGCTGGTCTCGAACTCCTGACCTCAGGTGATCCACCCACCTCGGCCTCCCAAAGTGCTGGGATTACAGGCATGAGCCACCAAGCCCGGTCATAACAACATAATTTCTAAGTACTCAGAAGATGAGGTAACCCTGGGAGTGTGTCTGATGGGGAATGGATCTAGTGTGGCTCCCCTATCTGGAGGAAGGCTGAGATCTGGAGAAGGAATTATGAAATGAGGATGGGAACACTAGTATTGTGAGCAGTGACAGCAGCGTGAGGGAAGACCTAGCTGGTGACGGGAACTTGGGTTGTTATAGCTCCCACCAGGGGGGGTTCCAAAAAAGGGCCACATCTCTTTCTAGCCCTGTAGTGCCTGATTGTCTGCACCTCCCTCCAGCAGGGCCCCCAGCCCCACATCCAGCACTTGCCCTCCTTTTGGGTTGCTTGGCTTAAGGACTGAAGAAGCCACAGCTAGGTGTACTTTTCCCTTTTTAGTAATGGTGTCTTTTTATTGATAACTTCCCAACAGCATCTGTAAACATCGGGTACAAAAATATTCCATTAAACTCTTTCCCGAGGTGGCTCCGTTTGCTCCATGGAGGCCTTCAGAGAGGCCTGCTGGCCCCTCAGGTTCCACACCTCTATTCAGAGAAACACAGAACTCAGCACGCTCAGGGCTGAATGGATGGCCAGCCTCCGTCTCAAGACTTCTACCTATCTCAGAAACCTCCTTGAGATACCAAGGAGAAAGTATTTGATACTTTTACGGAGCAAGGGGCAGGAAAAGCAGAATTAGTGGGTGCGGGGGTGGGCTGGGGTGAACTCAGAGGAGACCGTGCTTGTGCACCTCAAGGAGGTCCTGACCGGTGGTGGGGGACATCTGGCTCTGGTGTCTGGGAACCTTCTAAGCATTCTTCAGAGCAGACGTCAGGCTCAGCTCTGGAAAAATTCCCCTGTGCCCAGCCCCACGACTCCAGCTGGAATGGGCGTGCCCTGGCATGGCAGAGGGGTCTTGCAGAATAGAGATGTTCTGAGGAAGGAAGGAGCCAGAATTAAAGACCCCCCCAGGAATTCCACACCCCTCGGGAGAGAGCCTTGTCCCCCTAGGAGCCCTGGGTGACAGAACGGGGCAGCAAAGGAGCCCTGGATGACAGAACAAGGCAGGGTTACCCGCTGCCACCTTGTATGCTGCTGCCCTGAGACCCCCTCAAGGCACCGGGCAGCAGGGCTATTCGCCCGTCATCTCCTCGTCATCTGTCTGGCTGCGGCCGTTGATGGCTGGGGAGCCAGGCTGGACATGGGACAGGTCCTCGAAGCCGGGGCTCAGGGAGGGCGAGACGGTGTCGGGGCTGGTGTCACATGAGCCCGTGCTCTGTTCTGAGGTGGCAATGGTGGTCGTGGTGCTGGGTGGGATGGGGTCTTCATCCTCTTCCTCCAGGAAGGATGCCTCTGGGATATCTGGGGGAAGGAGGCCCAAGAGTTGGTTTTGTCACCTTGCCAAGCTCTGTGATGTAGGACTTATTGTCCATGTGACCCCTAACGGCTGCCCTCACCCCATGGGGGTATGACTTGACCCTTTTTTTTTTTTTTTTTTGAGACGGAGTTTCGCTCTTTGCCCAGGCTAGAGTGCAATGGTATAATCTCGGCTCACTGCAACCTCCGTCTCCCGGGTTCAAGCGATTCTTCTGCCTTAACCTCCTGAGTAGCTGAGACTACAGATGCCCATCATCACGCCCATCTAATTTTGTATTTTTACTAGAGACGGGGTTTCTCTATGTTGGTCAGGCTGGTATCGAACTCCCGACCTCAGGTGATCCACCCGCCTCAGCCTCCCAAAGTGTTGGGATTACAGGCATGAGCCACCGCGCCTGGCAGACTTGGCCCATTTTTATTTTGTAGAGGAGAAAACTGAGGCCCAGGCAGGGAAGAGCCCTCCCTTCAAGGTGAGGTGAGGAAGGGACACAAGATCTGGGGTTAGGCCTACAGGAGCCCTGAGGGCGAACCTGGCTCACTGCACTACCTGGGCTAGGTATATGACCTCCCCTCAGCCCAGCTCCCTGCTCTGTAAACTGCTGTTGGAGGCCCTGGGATGGAGAGCTGTCGGCCTTTTCAACAGATGGTGTGAACCCAGGCTCAGCCTGCAGAGCCCTTTAAGGTGGTGGCAACATGGAATGGTACCCCAGAGAACACGCGAGCTCTCTAGCCAGACAGATGCGAACTCAAGTCCTGCCCCTCTGGGCCTCTGTTTCCCTCTCCATGAAACGGTGATACTCACAGTCCCCACCCCATGGGTGACTGTGGGTAACAGCTGGACATGGGACAGATCCTCGAAGCTGGGGCTCAGGGAAGGCGAGACGATGTCGGGGCTGGTGTCACATGAGCCCGTGCTCTGTTCTGAGATGGCTCATAATGCACACAGGGATAAGGATTGTCATGCTGCTTATCCACATTCTCCTGTGCGGCCTCCCCACGGGGCACGGACTCCCGTCCTAGTGCCCACTCTGCCAGCTGCTGACAGGACCAGGCCAGCACCCTGACCCTGCCCCCACCCCAGGTTTCCCCAGACCCACTGCCCATTACAGCCTGGTCTCAGTATCAGGCCCCAAGGTGGCCTTCCAGAAGCCTGCCCTGGGTGGAGAGTGCTGACGTGCTCGGGAGCAGGAACCCTGCGTGACACTTACGGCTGAAGGCCTCTGGGTGCTGCCTGGCCAGTTTCCCTTTCAGCGTCCTGCAGGGGAGAGAAGGCACACAGGGCTTAACCTGCTGAGCAGGTAGGCTGGGCCTGGTGCTGGCCACAAGCCCCTGCTGCCAGCTGAGGGCAAGGGGAGACGGGAGTGAGAACCCCCACACTGTTCATCACCTCACATCTTCACTCTCTCTAGGTGCTCGGCCCAGCAGCCACGGCCCTGACAGTCGCCCACCAGCCGGCCTCCAGCCCCAAGGTAGGCACCAACCCCCAACTAGTTAGACTCTGGGTGCTCTGAGCCTAGGCACTGGCTGGGGGCTCCCCCTGCGAGGCTGCTTCTTACATGTGGCCTCTTCTCTGATAAATTTTTTTTTTTTTTTTGAGACAGAATCTCACTCTGTCGCCCAGGGTGGAGTGCAGTGGTGCCATCCTGGCTCACTGCAACCTCCACCTTCCGGATTCACATGATTGTCCTCCCTCAGCCTCCCAAGTAGCTGGGATTACAGGCACGTGCCACCATGCTCAGCTGATTTTTTTGTATTTTTAGTAGAGACGGGATTTCATCATGTTGGCCAGGCTGGTCTCAAACTTCTGACCTCAGGTGATCTGCCTGCGTCAGCCTCCCTAACTGCTGGGATTACAGGCATGAGCCACTGTGCCCAGCCATTCCTGCCTTTTCATTATGTGTCTAGCACTATGTTACTTTTTTTTTTTTTTTGAGACGGAGTCTCGCTCTGTCGCCCAGGCTTGAGTGCAGTGGCGCGATCTCGGCTCACCTCCTGGGTTCATGCCATTCTCCTGCCTCAGCCTCCCGAGTAGCTGGCAATACAGACGCCCACCACCACGCCCAGCTAATTTTTTGTATTTTTAGTATTTTTTGTATTTTTAGTAGAGACGGGGTTTCACCATGTTAGCCGGGATGGTCTTGATCTCCTGACCTCGTGATCCGCCTGCCTCGGCCTCCCAAAGTGCTGGGATTACAGGCATGGGCCACCTCGCCCAGCCGCACTGTGTTACATTTTTTAAGAATAAATAAACTGCAAGGCTGGGCATGATGGCTCATGCCTATAATCCCAGCACTTTGGGAGGTCGAGGTGGATGGATCATCTGAGGCCAGGACTTCGAGATGAGCCTGGCCAACATGGGGAAACCCTGTCTCTACTAAAAAAATACAAAAATTACACAAAATACAAAAATTAGGCTCACACCTGTAATCCCAACACTTTAGGAGGCCGAGGCAGGCAGAGTGCTGGAGCTCAGGAGTTTGAGACTAGCCTGGGCAACACGGTGAAATCTCGTCTCTACTAAAATACAAAAAATCAGCTGGGCGTGGCAGCATGCGCCTGTAGTCCCAGCTACTCAGGAGGCTGAAGCAGGAGAATCGCTTGAACCTGGGAGGCGGAGGTTGCAGTGAGCTGACATTGCACCACTGCACTCCAGCCTGGGCGACAGAGCAAGACTCCACCTCAAAAATAAAACAACAACAACAAAAATTAGCTGGGTGTGGTACAGTATGTCTGTAGACCCAGCTACTCAGAAGGCTGAAGCACAAGAATCGCTTGAATCCAGGAGGCAGAGGTTGCAGTGAGCCAAGATCACGCCACTGCACTCCAGCCAGGGCCACAGATCAAGACTCTGTCTCGGCCGGGCGCAGTGGCTCACGCCTGTAATCCCAGCACTTTGGGAGGCCAAGGCGGCTGGATCACGAGGTCAGGAGATCGAGACCATCCTGACTACTAACACGGTGAAACCCCATCTCCACTAAAAATACAAAAAATTCTCCAGGCGTGGTGGTAGGCACCTGTAATCCCAGCTACTCCGGAGACTGAGGCAGGAGAATGGCGTGAGCCCGGGAAGCGGAGCTTGCAGTGAGCTGAGGTCGCGCCACTGCACTCCAGCCTGGGCAACAGAGCGAGACTCCGTCTCCAAAAAAAAAAAAAAAACTCTGTCTCGATCAATTAATCAATCAGTAAATAAACTTACGTCAAGATTTTATCCCAGGGTTGGAATTGTCCCAGACACTTAAGTGCGCAGTGAAGCCTTGTAAAACAAACAGAAATCTCCCTTTACCCTGGTATGTGAAGGAAACTGAGGCTCAGATGGGGAGGTGGAGGCAGAGGTCAGCTGGGCTGGGGTGGCACTGAGCACCCACCTGATACGGCGGAAGATGCTGTCCAGGTCCCGTTTCATCTCTACTAGGGTCCTCGTGTGGTGCAGGAAGCGTTCGCTCATCTGCTGCAGGCGGGCACTGGACAGGTTGTTGAAGTTGAGCAGCATCTCATTGGTCTTCTCAAAGCGGTCCAGCCTGATGGTGGAGAGAGGGCATGAGCTTCACTGCCCAGCTTCAGGGCCCTGCCCAACCTGGCCCAGAAGACTGTTCATGCCAAGCCCTTGCCTGCTTCACAACCTTTGCATGGGCTGTTCCCTTGTCCTGCAGAGTTCTACCTACTCTTTGAGCCACCTAGCAAACTCCTATTCAACCTTCAAAACCCTACTCAAGTGTGTCCTTCTCATGTAGCCTTGTCTACCTCTATTCAGTCAGACTTTTTTTGAGACAGAGTCTTGCTTCGTCACCCAGGCTGGAGTGCAGTGGCGCGATCTCGGCTCACTGCAAGCTCCGTCTCCCAGGTTCATACCATTCTCCTGCCTCAGCCTCCCGAGTATAGCTGGGACTACAGGCGTCCGCCACCATGCCTGGCTAATTTTTTGTATTTTTAGTAGAGACGAGGTTTCACCAGGTTAGCCAGGATGGTCTCGATCTCCTGACCTCGTGATCCACCCACCTCGGCCTCCCAAAGTGCTGGGATTACAGGAGTGAGCCATCGTGCCTGGCCCAATCAGACTCTTTTAATTCCACTAGCCCCAGGTTGTTCCTCTGGCCCAGCCCTGACACCATAGGGCCAGGAGGGTCTGTGTCTGGCTTTGTCTCCCCTCAGTCTAGAAGTTTCCCAGAGCCAGGTCTGAATCTGACCTAAAAAAACAGGAGACCAGCCGGGCATGGGGGCTCATGCCTGCAATTCCAGCGCTTTGGGAGGTCAAGGCAGGCAGATCATGAGGTCAGGAGTTCGAGACCAGCCTTGCCAACATGGGAAAACCGCGTCTCTACCAAAAATACAAAAATTGGCTGGGCATGGTGGCGGGCGCCTGTAATCCCAGCTACTCGGGAGGCTGAGGCAGGAGAATCATTTGAACCCGGGAGGCGGACATAGCAGTGACCTGAGATTGCGCCACTGCACTCCAGCCTGGGTGACAGTGCGAAACTATGTCTCAAAAAAAAGGAGACCAGCACTTTAGGAGGTTGAGGCAGGGTGGATCACTTGAGGTCTGGCCAACATGGTGAAACCACATCTCTTCTAAAAATAAAAAAATCAGGGCCGGGCACGGTGGCTCACACCTGTAATCCCAGCACTTTGGGAGGCTGAGGCGGGCGGATCACGAAGTCAAGAGATTGAGACCATTCTGGTCAACGTGGTGAAACCCCGTCTCTACTAAAAATACAAAAATTAGCTGGCCGTGGTGGCGCACACCTGTAGTCCCAGCTACTTGGAAGGCTGAGGCAGTAGAATCGCTTGAACCCAGCAGGCAGAGGTTGCAGTGAGCTGAGATTGCGCCACTGTGCTCCAGCCTGGCGAGAGAGCGAGACTCCGTCACAAAAAAAAAATCAGCCAGGCATGGTGGTGCATGCCTATAATCCCAGCGACTCAGGAGGCTGAAGCAGGAGAATCACTTGACCCAGGAGGCAGAGGATGTAGTGAGCAGCAATTATGCTATTGCATTCCAGCCTGGGCGACAGAGTGAGACTCTGTCTCCCAAAAAAAAAAAAAAAAAAGACACAGGAGAGAGACAGGTACTATTGAGACTCGGAGCTGCTCTGGGTCTGGGAGAAAAGGTAAGGAAATCAGGTCTGTACTGTGTCGTGACAGCTGAGAAGAGCCTCTGGCTCAGAGACACAAAAACAAAGCTGCGGGAGGCTGTGCTTCCACTCCAAGACTGTATTAGCCCAGTGGTGTCCAGTCTTTTCATTTCCCTGGGCCACATTGGAAGAAGAATTGTCTTGGGCCACACATAAAATACACTAACACTAACGACAGCTGATGAGTTAAGAAAGAAAAAGAAAAAAATCACAAAAAAAATCTCGTAATGTTTTAAGAAAGTTTACGAATTTGTGTTGGCCCACATTCAAAGGGTTGGACAGGCCGAGGGTTGGACAAGCTTGGTATTAGCCTTTCTTCCCCACAGGGCAGGCCTGAATTAGGGCAAGGTTTCAGCAGCCACAGCACCAAACCCCAGTGAGGACAAGAGGCCTTTATGTCCGCTCCAAGAGACCCTGGGCACTGTGCAGACACAGCCTGGGCTCTGGGAGACTAGTCCTTCACCAGGAAGTAGGCGCACCAGCATAAAACCTGCATAAAGGCCAGGCACAGTGGCTCAGGCCTATAATCCCAGGACTTCGGGAGGCCGAGGCGGGTGGATCACTTGAGGTCAGGAGTTCGA
Source organism: Homo sapiens (assembly GCF_000001405.40). Taxonomy (NCBI): domain Eukaryota; kingdom Metazoa; phylum Chordata; class Mammalia; order Primates; family Hominidae; genus Homo; species Homo sapiens. Next base: position 18,562,679 of record NC_000019.10, on the reverse strand, counting down.
GACCAGCCTGACCAACATGATGAAAGCCCGTCTCTACTAAAAATACAAAAATTAGCTGGGCATGGTGGCACATGCTTGTAATCCCAGCTACTCAGAGGGCTGAGGCAGGAGAAATCGCTTGAACTCGGGAGGCGGAGGTTGCAGTGAGGCAAGGTCACACCATTGCACTCTAGCCTGGGCAACAAGAGCAAAACTCTGTCTCAAAAACAAGAAACAAATAAACAAAAAAACCTGCATGTGGCCCCCTCTGGTCCTTCAACTCTCCCACCCCAGGTCTCGGGACAGGAGCCCCTGCGGCCCCCGCCAAGCCATCCGCAGCTGCAAAATCTCCCCAAAGCCCTGCTTCCTGTGCCAAGGCCTCGCCTCCAGGCCGGGAAGGAATTTACTTTGGAGCCAGCGACAGATTTGCTCATTTCCTTCATTTTATCACCAGTGTGGGCCCCGGGTAGGGGCGGGCAAGACAAGAATGTTGGCCAGCCTGTGGATTCCTTCCCACGCTCAGGTCCCCCAGCCGCCACTCACATGTTCTTCTGGGCCAGGATGATGGCGTTGACATCATCTGTGTTCACCATGCTCAGGATGCGGCCGCAGAAGACCCTCGAGGCCGAGTCCGGGAGGTCCATCTCTTTCTCCTCCTCCGCTGCCTGAAACAGGCAAGAACAGAGTGGTCTGCACTAGTCACCAGGTGAGGTGGGACCAAGAGGCCAGGCCGGGACCGCCATGTGCTGGAACCTAACCCAACCGTGGTGGTATCCTACAGTGGGGATGTGTGACTGTGGCTCAGTCATGCCACCTGAACCTCAGGTGTGCCACCCCAGGAATTTGGAGGTATTGGGCAAACTAAGAGAGGTTGTATTTGTAAACTGTACCCAAGCACATTAGAATCCCATCACCTCCCACTTCCATGAGCCCAAGGCCACAGGTACCTCTCACCTGCACAGATCTGCCAGCTTCCTCCCTCATCCCCTGCCTAACAACTGCTGTCCTCACAAGCTGAACGTGTGTGGCTGCTTCAGCAAATCATCACCACCTCCAATGTCTCCTCTCCCAAGAGGTCAATGACTCCTGTTCCCGTCACTCTTACCGCTTCTCTTACTACTTGACCTCGTTTTTTTATTTCTTTTTGATACAGAGTTTCACTCCTGTCACCCAGGCTGGAGTGCAATGGCGCGATCTTGGCTTAGCGCAACCTCCGCCTCCCAGGTTCAAGCGATTCTCCTGCCTCACCCTCCCAAGTAGCTGGGATTACAGGTGCCCGCCACCACGCCTGGCTAATTTTTGTATTTTTTAGTAGAGACGGGGTTTCACCATTTTGGCCAGGCTGGTCTCGAACTACTGACCTCAGGTGATCCACTCGCCTCAGCCTCCCAAAGTGCTGGGATTACAGGCATGAGCCACCGCGCCCAGGCTACTTTACCTTGTTTTTGTTTGTTTGTTTGTTAAGAGACAGGGTCTCGCTATGTTGCCTAGGCTGCTCTTAAATTCCTAGGCTGACACGACCCTTTTGCCTTGGCCTCCCAAAGTGCTAGGATTACAGGCCTGAGCCACTGCGCCCAGCCACCCTTTACCTTGATTTAACTGCTTCACTGGTTCACCTCTTCATGAAATTATCCTAGTTATCAGCTAACCCGTTTGCCTGTCACCGCCACAACGTCAGCTCCAAAAGAGCAGAGGTGGCCAGGTGCTGTGGCTCACGCCTGTAATCCTAGCACTCTGGGAGGGCGAGGCAGGTGGATCACGAGGTCAGGAGTTCGAGACCAGCCTGGCCAACATAGTGAAACCCCATCTCTACTAAAAATACAAAAATTAGCCAGGCATGGTGGTGGGCACCTTTAGTCCCAGCTACTCGGGAGCTTGAGGCAGGAGAATCACTTGAACCCAGGAGGCGGAGGTTGTGGTGAGCCAAGACTGTGCCACTGCACTCCAGCCTGGGCAACAGAGAGACTCCGTCTCAAAAAAAAAAAAGAAGGAGTAGAGGTGTGTCTGTCACCAGAACCCGACCCGGAGTCTGGCTCATAGCAAGGGGCTGCCAGAATGTTGTTGTGGGGAAGGGCAACAGAACTTTTCAAACTCAGCTCTGACGTGACACTTTTATTAGCAAATTAAAGCCAAGAATTGCAGGTACTCACAGCCAACCTGTGGGCCCCAGCAATCCAGATGGTTCTGAGGTTCCCAGTTTTGCTGGCACACAGATGACCGTAATGGCAGGCAGGGACTTCCCGGAGCAGCCAGGGTAGGAGGGGCTACAGCACTGACCCTCCTAGGGAGTTCAGGAAAAATCTAGGATCTTGATATAGTTTGGCTCTGAGGCCCACACATTTAATAGCCAAGAAACAGAGACGAACTTCTACTGGATCAGAAAGGGTTTCAGAGGCCGGGTGTGGTGGCTCACGTCTGTAATCCTAGCACTTTGGGAGGCCGAGGTGGGCAGACTGCTTGAGGTCAGGAGTTCAAAACCAGCCTGGCCAACATAGTGAAACTCAGTCTCTACTAAAAATACAAAAAAAATTAGCCGGGCATGGTGGCGGGCACCTGTAGTCGCAGCTACTTGGATGGCTGAGGCAGGAGAATGGCTTGAACCTGGGAGGCAGAGGTTGCAATGAGCCGAGATCATGCCACTACACTCCAGCCCGGGCGACAGAGTGAGACTCCATCTCGAAAAGAAGGAAGGAAGGGAGGGAGGGAGGGAAGGAAGGAAGGGAGAGAGAGAAAGAGAGAGAGAAGGAGAGAAAGAGAGAGAGACAAAGAGAGAAAGAGAGAGGAGAGAAAGAGAGAGAGACAGAGAAAGAGAGAAAGAAAGGAAAGAGAAAGAAAGGGTTTCAGAGCTCACTTAATGTACTCTCCCATTTATTCAGCAGCTACTCTATGCTAAACAAAGCATCAAGCTCATACATACTGTTATCATTCTTATTTATAGATGAGAAAACTGAGGCTCAGGGACACTGAGAAACTGGGCCACTGTCACACAGCCAGTGAACCTAAGTCACAACAAACGGCCACAGCCCACGGGTCTCACAAAGGTGTGAATCTGAACAGGTGCACAATATCCAGCTGTGACAGGACAGTGGCTTCTTACAGCAGCTGATTTCTGCCTGACTTCTGATGTTTCTCCAGGAAAAAGGAAACAGGGATTTTTTTTTTCTGGGAAATTGCCTCATTGACAAATGTCAGCAATCAATACTTTTTTCCAAGATATCATGGAGGCCAAGAGCATCTATTTGTGATCTGTATCTGGTCAGTGGTTTGCAGCACCTTCTAGAAATAAGGTGCCACACCCAGCAAAACCCCCTTCCCTCTAATAATAACTATGGTTATTGAACTCCTATGACATGCCATGCAGAGACACCCAGTCTCCACATTCCCAAAGAAGCATGATCTTGTATAAAGAGGATACCTGGACCGGGTGCTCATGCCTGTAATCTCAGCACTTTGGGAAGCCAAGGCTGGTGGATCACCTGAGGTCATGAGTTCAAGACTAGCCTGGTGAACATGGTGAAACCCCCGTCTCTACTAAAAATACAAAAATTAGCCAGGCATGATGGCGGGCACCTGTAGTCCCAGCTACTCAGGAGGCTGAGGCAGGAGAATCGCTTGAACCCGGGAGGCAGAGGTTGCAATGAGCCAAAATCAAGCCACTGCATTCTAGTGTGGGCTACAGAGGGAGACTTCATCTCAACTGAAAAAAAAAAAAAAAAAAAAAAAAAGACACCTGGAGAGGGAGGCCCATAGCTAGTACCAGTGAGACACAGTACTGGGACCTTCTGGGATACACTCCTCCTTCAAAACAGGACTCTTTTCTGTCTCTGGCTCCCAGATGTGAGGGCTGAGGGGTTCCTGGCACCTCCCTCCCGTCCCCCCGCAACTTCCTCTCCCAAGAAGCCTTCCCTGATTACTGCTAGTCTGGCCCACATACACAGTGAAATTGACCCAGCAAGAGCTCTGATCCCAACTCCAAATGTAGATTTATTGAAGAAACGCAGAGAGGTAGGCTGTTTGACCATGGGAGAGCCACTTCACCCTTCTGAATCAGTTTTTTCAACCATAAAATGAAAATAAGGTAGAATGAAGATCTCACAGTGCTGTCTGTGGCAACTGAAACCAAAGGTGATAACGACTGGAGCTCAGGACAGGCTGTTTCTCCAAGAGGAGTGTGAAGAAGTCCCGGGAATCAACATTTTGAGAGCATCCCAGGGGCCTCTAAGAATATATTACGGGCAAACACTTGTAGAGCACTTCATTTCATCCTCAATCACCGTTACGAGGCAGACACAATCATCTCCGAGTGAAACTGAGGCTCACAGGGGCGGGCTCCGTTGCCGAAACTCACAGGGAGAGGCAGAGAAGCACCACGGTTCTATATCCAGGTTATTTAACAGAATTTAACTCAGCCATCCAAGCTCTGAAAAACCCCAAGTGGGGAGGGGCTCAAATATCCCCTCACGCCCCGTCCCCTACAATACAGGGAAACTGAGGCACAAACCGGGCAACGCCCAGCTCCAGGTTACACGACACACCCAGAACACAGGAGGCCCCAATTCCTATGCCCCTGATCCGGATCCAGATCCAGCCCGTAGCGCCGCCTGCGTATCCATTGAGCAGACGGGGAAACTGAGGCCTGTGCGCAGCAGGAATGACCAGATGTGGCCAGTGGCGCACCCCACCCCACCGCAGCCCGGGGGCCGCGCCCGACCCGGACCGGTTCCCCGCGGCCCTGGAGTCCCCAGCCCCACCCCAAACTCGGCCCCGGCGTCGGTAGCGGCGGCACCTGCACATCTGGCGGCCTTGCTCGCGCTTCCGGGATGGCGCCCGCGCCGGCGAAACGTCACCACGCACCGATCCTGCGAGCGCGCGTGGCGGGGACGTACCCTGGAGCCGCTTGCGTGCGTTAAGTCACGACAGGAAAGGGCGGGGCTTAGACGGAGCTTCAGCTCGTGGGTGCATCACAATGAATAGCCAATCAAACAATTCATCTCGCGCCTGCGTATTTCCAGAAGCCCAGGCTTGAAAGCGGCCCGGAAGAAGGAAGGCTGAGAGAAGTGTCCCATTTTGTAGATAGTGTGACTGAGGTCCCAGAGTGGTAACCCTCCCCAAGGTCGTAAATGCTACAGTGGTCAGAGGCCAAACCACACTCAGGTGTCCTGCTTTCCAAGCAGGGAATTAGACTCATCTGTGTTCAGACATCCCTGCTCCACTTTTGCTGATTTTTTTGGTCCAAGTTTCCTTTTTTTTTTTTTTTTTTTTTTTTTGAGACAGAGTTTCGCTCTTGTTGCCCAGGCTGGAGTACAATGGCGTGATCTCGGCTCACCGCAACCTCCGCTTCCCAGGTTCAAGCGATTCATCTGCCTCAGCCTTCCGGAGTAGCTGGAATTACAGGCATGTGCCACCATGCCCGGCAAGTTTTGTGTTTTTAGTAGAGACAGGGTTTCTCCATGTTGGTCAGGCGGGTCCCGATCTCCCGACCTCAGGTGATCTGCCCGCCTCGGCCTCCCAAAGTGCTGGGATTACAGGCATGAGCCACCGCGCCCAGCCCTGGTTTCCATTTACACTTCCACGTTGTTTTGGAGTAATGCGCTGGGGAATTTTTTCAAAAGGGTTTACAGGCTGGGCGCGGTGGCTCACATCCTGTCATTGTAATCCGAGCACTTTGGGAGGCCGAGGCGGGCGGATCACGAGATCAGGAGTTCGAGACCAGCCTGACCAACATGGTGAAACCTTGTCTCTACTAAAAATAAAAAAAATTAGTCGGGAGTGGTGGCGGGAGCCTGTAATCCCAGCTACTCAGGAGGCTGAGGCAGGAGAATCGCTTGAACCCAGGAGGCAGAGGCTGCAGTAAGCCAAGATCGCACCACTGCACTCCAGCTTGGGCGATAGAGCAAGACCACGTCTCAAAAAAAAAAAAGAAGGTCAAGCTAAAAAATGAAGAAAATGTATTTTAAGTTCATGTTAGTTTGTGTATACGAGTACCAAGTTTTTGTAATAAAATGCCTCACAGCTACAATTGGAAAAAAAAAAAAAAACGGGCCTGTGGCCCGAGCCTGTGGTCCCAGTTTCTCAAGAGGCTGAGGTAGGAGTATCGTTTGAGGCCAGGAGGCAGAAGTTGCAGTGAACGAAGACCCCACTCCAGCCTGGGCAACAGAGTGAGACCCAGTCTCAAAAAACAAACAGGCCCGGCGCAGTGGCTCACGCCTGTAACCCCAGCACTTTGGGATGCCAGGCGTGTGGATCACCTGAGGTCGGGAGTTTGAGACCAGACTGGCCAACATGGTGAAACCCCGTCTCTACTAAAAATCCAAAAAAAAAAAAAAAAAATTAGCCTGGCGTGGTGGCAGGTGCTATAATCATAGCTACTCAGGAGGATGAGGCATGAGAATCTCTTGAACCTGGGAGGCGGAGATTGCAGTGAGCCGAGATTGTGCCACTGCACTCCAGCCTGGGTGACAGAATGAGACTTTGTCTCAAAAAGCAACAACAACAACAACAACAAAAATCGCTATAAACTGATGTGGATTAATAAATCCACATCATTATAATTATAATTATTTCCTTTCCTGCCCCTTTAAATTAGCTCCTGGCTGGGTGCAGTGGCTCACGCCTGTAATCCCAGCACTTTGGGAGGCCGAGGCGGGCGGATCATGAGGTCAGGAGATTGAGACCATCCTGGCTAACATGGTGAAACCCTATCTCTACTAAAAATACAAAAAATTAGCCAGGCGTGGTGGCAGGTGCCTGTGGTCCTAGCTACTCGGGAGGCTGAGGCAGGAGAATGGTGCAAACCCGGGAGGCGAAGCTTGCAGTGAGCAGAGATCGAGCCACTGCACTCCAGCCTGGGCGACAGAGCAAGACTCCGTCTCAATAAATAAATAAATAAATAATAAATAAGCTCCTGTGTCCTTTTAATATGTCGCCACCATTCTCTGAGCATTATTTATCTTGGGCTCCACAACATGATCCAATGCTGTGTAAAATCCCTGGAATCAGCCATTTCTCCAAGGAACCTGGTTCCTTTGCTTCAAGAGTAGGATTTAGAAACCAAGATCAGTCGGGGCTCAGTGATTCACGCCTGTAATCCCAGCACTGTGGGAAGCTGAGGTGGGCAGATCAGGAAGTCAGGAGTTCGAGACCACCTGGGCCAACATGATGAAACCCCCCCATCTCTATTAAAAACACAAAAAAATTAGCCAGGCATGGTGGTGGGCACCTGTAATCCCAGTTACTCGAGACACTGGAGAATCACTTGGAACTGGGAGGCAGAGGTTGCAGTGAGCTGAGATCACCCACTGCACTCCAGCCTGGGCAACAAGAGCGAAACTCTGTCTCAAAACAAAAAAGAAAGAGGCCGGGTGTAGTGGCTCACTCCTGTAATCCCAGCACTTTGGGAGGCTGAGGTGGGCAGATCACCTGAGGTCGGGAGTTCGAGACCAGCCTGACCAACATGGAGTAACCCTGTCTTTACTAAAAATACAAAATTAGCCAGGCATGGTGGCACATCCCTGTAATCCTAGCTACTTGGGAGGCTGAGGCAGGAGAATCGTTTGAACCTGGGAGACAGAGGTTGCAGTGATCCGAGATCACACCACTGCACTCCAGCCTGGGCAACAAGAGCGAAACTCCATCTCAAAAAAAAAAAAAAAAAAGAAAGAAGGAAAGAAAGGAAGGGAGGGAGGGAGGGAAAGAAGGGAAAGAAAGAAAGAAATTAGCCGGGTGCTGTGGCTCATGCCTGTAATCCCGGCATTCTGGGAGGCCGAGGCGGGCAGATTACCTGAGGTAAGGAGTTTGAGACCAGCCTGGCCAGCATGGTGAAACCCCGTCCCTACTAAAACACACACACACACACACACACACACCACACACACACAATTAGCTGGGCATTGTGGTGCACACCTGTAGTCCTAGCTACTCGGGAGCCTGAGGCAGGAGAATTGCTTGAACCCAGGAGACAGAGGTTGCAGTGAGCCAAGAACACGCCACTGCACTCCAGCCTGGGCAACAGAGCAAGACTCCATCTCAAAAAAAAAAAAAAAAAAAAAAGGCCGGGCACGGTGGCTCATGCCTGTAATCCTAACACTTTGGGAAGCCAAGGCAGGCAGATTGCCTGAGCTCAGGAGTTCGTGACCAGCCTGGGCAACACAGTGAAACCCTGTCTCTACTAAAACACAAAAAGTTAGCCGGGTGTGGCAGCGTGTGCCTGTAATCCCAGTTACTAGGGAGGCTGAGGCAGGAGAATGGCTTGAACCAGGGAGGCAGAGGTTGCAATGAGCTGAGATTGCGCCACTGCACTCCGGCCTGCGGGACAGAGTGAGACTCTGTCTTCAAAAAAAAAAAATTAAACTAAGATCTGGGTGCTGTGTGTGCTCATTGCTGCTGGGGTGTCACTGCTTCTAGAGGTACCCGTCAGCAGGCACAGCTAAACAATAAGCCAGGCGTGGTGGCACAAACCTGTAATCTCAGCTACTCAGAAGGATGAGGTGGGAGGATCACTTAAACCCAGGAGTTTGAGGCTGCAGTGAGCTGTGATCAAGCCACTGCACTCCAGCCTGGGTGACAGAGACCCATTCTCCAAATAAATACAAATCATGAAGCTGGGTGCAGTGGTTCATGCCTGTAATCCTAGCACTTTGGGAGGCCGAGGCGGGCAGATCAGTTGAACTCAGGAGTTTGAGACCAGCCTGGGCAACATGGCAAAAGTCTGTCTCTACAAAAAATACAAACATGGCCAGGTGCACTCCTGTAATCCTAGCATTTTGGGAGGCTGAGGGGGGCAGATCACCTGGGGTCAGGAGTTTGAGACCAGCCTGGCCAACATGACGAAACCCTGTCTCTACTAAAAACACAAAAATTAGCTGGGCGAGGTGGCGCATGCCTGTTATCCCAACTACTTGGAAGGCTGAGGCAAGAGAATCGCTTGAACCCAGGTGGCTGAGGTTGCGGTGAGCCGAGATCGTGCCGTTGCACTCCAGCTGGGTGATAGAGTGAGACTCTGTCTCAAAAAACAAAACAAGTGGCCAGGCGCGGTGGCTCAGTGGCCAGGTGCAGTGGCTCAAGCCTGTAATCCCAGGACTTTGGGAGGCCGAGGCAGGTGGATCATGAGGTCAGGGGTTTGAGACCAGCCTGGCCAACATGGTGAAACCTCGTCTCTACTAAAAATACAAAAATTAGCCAGGCATGGTGGTACGTGCCTGCAATCCCAGCTACACACAAGGCTGGGCAGGAGAATCACTTGAACCCAGGAGGCGGAGTTTGCAGTGAGCTGAGATCGCGCCATTGCACTCCAGCCTGGGTGACAAAGTGAGACTCTGTCTCAAAACAACAACAAAAACAAAAACAAAAACATTAGCTGGGCGTGGTGGCGCATGCCTGTAGTCCCAGCTACTCAGGAGGCCGAGGTGAGATCACCCGAGTCCCAAAGGTGGAGGCTGCAGTGAGCCGTGATTGCACCTCTGCACTCCAGTCAGGCAACAGAGCAAGACCCTGTCTCAAAAAATAAAAAATAAATACAAACCATGAATTCATACGGAGATGAGGATGCCTTTTCTTTTTTTGAGACAGAGTCTCGCTGTTGTTGCCTGGGCTGGAGTGCAATGGCGCCATCTCGGCTCACTGCAACCCTGCCTCCCAGGTTCAAGCAATTCTCCTGCCTCAGCCTCCTGAGTAGCTGGGATTATAGGCGCCCACCACCATGCCCGGCTAATTTTTTGTATTTTTAGTAGAGACGGGGTTTCACTATGTTGCCCAGGCTAGTCTCAAAGTCCTGACATCATGATCTGCCTGCCTCGGCCTCCCAAAGTGCTAGGATTACAGGAGTGAGCCACCGCGCCCGGCCAAGGATGCTTTTTTTTTTTTTTTTTTTGAGGTGGAGTTTCACTCTTGTTGCCCATGCTGGAGTGCAATGGCAGGATCACGGCTCATTGGAACCTCTGCCTCCCAGGTTCAAGCGATTCTCCTCCCTCAGCCTCTCGAGTAGCTGGGATTACAGGCATGCGCCACCACATCCGGCTAATTTTGTATTTTTAGTAGAGATGGGGTTTCTCCATTTGGTCAGGCTGGTCTCAAACTCCCGACCTCAGGTGATCCGCCTACCTCGACCTCCCAAAGTGCTGGGATTACAAGCATGAGCCACCGCGCCCTACCTAGGATGCCTTTTTTTTTTTCTTTTTTTTTTTTTGAGACAGAGTTTCGCTCTTGTTGCCCAGGCTGGAGTATGATGGCGTTATCTTAGCTCACCGTAATCTCTGCCCCCTGAGTTCAAGGGATTCTCCTGCCTCAGCCTCCCGAGTAGCTGGGATTATAGGCATGTGCCACCACACCCTACTAATTTTGTATTTTTAGTAGAGATGGGGTTTCTCCTTGTTGGCTAGGCTGGTCTCGAACTCCCAACCTCAGGTGATCTGCCGGCCTCAGCCTCCCAAAGTGCGGGATTACAGGCGTGAGCCACCACTCCCGGCCACTAGGATGCCTTTTTTAAAGTGAGATAATCCAAGTTAAATGTATGAACAAAACAAGGTGAATAGTAATTGCTCCATACATGTTTGCTTTTCAGAAGTGTGTCATTAGGTTTAAAAAAATAAAATTAATGTTTACAAGTAATTACTGTTAGCTATTGAGATTCTATACGGTGTGTATGTTATAAATTATATTTGTAACTTCTCTGAGTCTCTGTTAATTGCGAGTCTGTGTAATCACAACATCTATCTCTGAAGGTTGTTGAGAGCTTGGAAGATAAACACACAAGTTCTTGGGCACATGAAGACTGTTTCAGAGCCCTGGAATTACACATATCTGAGTTTTAAATCCTAGCTGAATGGCCCTGGGCAAGCGGCTTAACTCTATGAAATCACGTAGGCAAAATCCTTACAACAAGACTTGGTACACAGTAAGCCCTCAGTAAACTGTTGATAATATCGCTCCCAGGTTCTGCTGCCGTCATTCATGGGAAAGTCAGTGACTGGGAGGCAGAGGCTGGAGGATCCATTCAGCCCAAGAGTTTGAGGCCAGCCTGGGAAACATTGAGACCTTGTTTCTAAAAAAAATTTTAAAAATTAACTGGGCGTGGTGGTGCACATCTGTAGTCCCAGGTGCTTGGGAGGCTGAAGTGGAAGAATTACTTGATCCCAGAAGTTCCAGGCTGCAGTAAGCTAGGATTTCACCACTGTACTCCAGGCTCGGTAACAGAGGGAGACCCTGTCTCAGAAAAAAAAAAAAAAGAAGTCAATGAGGACTGGAATCCTTTTTTTTTTTTTGAGACAGAGTCTCGCTCTGTCGCTCAGGCTGGAGTGCAGTGGCGCAATTTCAGCTCACTGCAAGCTCTGCCTCCTGGGTTCACAGCATTCTCCCGCCTCAGCCTCCGGAGTAGCAAGGACCACAGGTGCCTGCCACCACACCCAGCTAATTTTTTTTTTTTTTGTATTTTTAGTAGAGACGGGGTTTCACCATTCACAGGATGGTCTCGATCTCCTAACCTTGTGATCAGCCCGCCTCGGCCTCCCAAAGTGCTGGGATTACAGGCATGAGCCATCACACCCGGCAGGAATTCTTATATATTTAGTTCAACAATTGGTTTTTGTTGTTGGTGGCGGTTTTTTTTTTTTTTTTTTTTTTGAGACTGAGCCTCACTCTGTTGCCCAGGCTGGAGTACAGTGGCGTGATCTCAGCTCACTGCAACCTCTGCCTCCCGTATTCAAGCCATTCTCCTGCCTCAGCCTCCCGAGTAGCTGGGATTACAGGTGTGCACCACCATACCCAGCTAATTTTTGTATTTTTAGTAGAGACAGGGTCTCACCATGTTGGCCAGCTTGGTCTCCAACTCCTGACCTCGTGATCCACCCCTCCTTGGCTTCCCAAAGTGCTGGGATTACAGGTGTGAGCTACCACGCCCAGGCTGTTGCTTTTTTTTTTTTTTTTTTTTTTTTTTTGAGACGGAGTCTCGCTCTGTCGCCCAGGCTGGAGTGCAGTGGCGCGATCTCGGCTCACTGCAAGCTCCGCCTCCCGGGTTCACGCCATTCTCCTGCCTCAGCCTCCCAAGTAGCTGGGACTACAGGCGCCCGCCACTACGCCCGGCTAATTTTTTGTATTTTTAGTAGAGACGGGGTTTCACCGTTTTTTAGCCGGGATGGTCTCGATCTCCTGACCTCGTGATCCGCCCGCCTCGGCCTCCCAAAGTGCTGGGATTACAGGCGTGAGCCACCGCGCCCGGCCAGGCTGTTGCTTTTTAATTTGAGACAGAGTCTCACTTTGTCACCCAGGCTGGAGTGCAGTGGTGCGATCTCAGCACACTGCAACCTCCACCTTCTGGGTTCAAGTGATTCTCCTGTCTCAGCGTCCCCAGAAGCTGGGATTATAGGCACCCACCACCACACCTGGATAATTTTTGTATTTTTACTAGAAACAGGGTTTTACCATGTTGGCCAGGCTGGTCTCAAACTCCTGACCTCAGGTGATCCGCCCGCTTTGGCCTCCCAAAGTGCTGGGATTACAGGTGTGAGCTACTGTACCTGGCTAGAATTCTTTTTTTTTTTTTTTTTTTTTTGAGATGGAATCTCACTCTGTCGCCCAGGCTGGAGTGCAGTGGTGCGATCTCGGCTCACTGCAACCTCTGCCTCCCGGGTTCAAGCGATTCTCCTGGCTCAGCCTCCCAAGTAGCTGGGATTACAGGTGTGTGCCACCACGCCCATCTAATTTTTGTATTTTTAGTAGAGACCAGGTTTCACCATGTTGGTCAGGCTGGTCTCGAACTCCTGATCTTGTGATTCACCTGCCTCGGCCTCCCAAAGTGCTGGGATTACAGGCGTGAGCCACCGCGCCTGACTAGAATTCTTGTATATTTAGTTCAACAGTTTGTTTGTTTGTTTTTTGAGACAGAGTCTCACTCTGTCATCCAGGCAGGAGTGCAGTGGCACAATCTCAGCTCACTACAACCTCCGTCTCCCAGGTTCAGGTGACTCTCCTGCCTCAGCCTCCTGAGGAGCTGGGATTACAGGCACATGCCACTATACCCGGCTAATTTTTGTATTTTTACTAGAGAGGGGTTTCACCATGTTGGCCAGGATGGTCTCAATCTCCTGACCTTGTGATCCTCCCGCCTCAGCCTCCCAAAGTGCTGGGATTACAGGCATGAGCACTGCGCCCGGGTTTGTTTGTTTTTTTTTGTTTTTTGTTTTTTTTTTTGAGACCAGGTCTTGCTCTGTCACTGAGACTGGAGTGTAGTATTGCAATCTTGGCTCACTGCAACCTCGGCCTCCCAGATTCAGGTGATTTTCCTGCCCTACCCTCTTGAGTAGCTGGGATTACAGGCATGCACCACTATGTCCAGATAATTTTTGTATTGGTAAAGACAGGGTTTCGCCATATTGGCCAGGCTGGTCTCGAACTCCTGACCTCAAGTGATCCACCCGCCTTGGCTTCCCAAATTGCTGGGATTACAGATATGAGCCACAGTGCCAAGCCAAAATCAAACTTTTCAGTGGGTCCTTGGGGCTCTTTTGGAAGCCAAGGAACATTTACGAGGGTCTTAGAAGGGGTGGGGACTATAGATTGAGGCCAAAAGGGACTTGGCTGGCCCCTGATGTTTTGTATACACTGGACTTGAGATAAGAACATGTTTTTTTGTATGATGAAGGGAGAGGATAGAAAGTTATGCGAACATTCAGTCTGCCCAGAGATGGGGACTTTCGGGGGTCGGGTTTGGGGACTGGAAGGCTTTCTCTGCCACTTTTTTCCATTTCATTTCCTTTTTTGTGTGTGTGATAGGGTCTTACTCTGTTGCCTGTACTGAAGTGCAATGGCGTGATCACTGCTCCAGCCTAGCAACAGAGCGACTCCATCTCAAAAAAAAAAAAAAAAGAGGAAAACCACCTAATGAGACAGATTTATGTCTAGATATGTCCATAATTACATTAAATACCAATAGACCAAATTCCCCAGTTAAAAAACAAAGATGGACCCGGGCGCAATGGCTCATGCCTATAATCCCAGCACTTTGCAAGGCCGAGGTGAGAGGATTGCTTGAGCCCAGGAGTTTGAGAACAGCCTGAGCAATGTAGCAAGACTCCATCTCTACAAACAATAAATATAAAAAAAGTAGCTGGGCATGGTGGTGCACACCTGTAGTTGAAGCTACTGGAGAGGCTGAGCTGGGAGGATTGCTTGAGCGTGGGTGATTGAGGCTGCAGTGACTCATGATTGTGCCACTGCACTCCAGCCTGGGCCACACAGTGAGACCTTGTGTCAGAAAGAAAGAAAGAAAACATGAACCAAGGAGAATTGGTGTGTAATTTTTTTTTCTTTTTTGTTTTTGAGATGGAGTCTAGCTCTGTCTCCAGGCTAGAGTGAAGTGGCGCAATCTTGGCTCACTGCAACCTCCGCCTCCCGAGTTCAAGCAATTCTCCTGCCTCAGCCTCCTGAGTAGCTGGGATTACTGGAGTGTGCCACCATGCCCAGCTAATTTTTCTGTTTTTAGTACAGACGGGGTTTCACCATGTTGGCCAGGATGGTCTCGATCTCTTCACCTCGTGATCAGCCCGCCTCGGCCTCCCAAAGTGCTGGGATTACAGGAGTGAGCCACCATGCCCAAGCTTGGTGTGCAATCTTAACAAAGTGCACTCTAAGGGAAAAATGAAAGAAGTAAAGAGGGGCACATCTTAACAATGAAAGGTTCAGATCGGGCCTGGCGCTCTGGCTCATGCCTGCAATCCCAGCACTTTGAGAGGCCGAGGCAGGTGGATCACATGAGATCAGGAGTTTGAGAACACCCTGGCCAACATGGCGAAACCCCGTCTCAACTAAAAATACAAAAATTAGCCAAGCGTGGTGGCGGGTGCCTGTAATCCCAGCTACTCGGGAGGGTGAGGCAGGAGAATCACTTGAACCCAAGGGGCAGAGGCTGCAGTGATCTGAGATCTTGCCACTGCACTCCAGCCTAGGCGACAGATTGAGACTCCATCTCAAAAAAAAAAAGGTTCAGTTCACCAGGAAACACAATTGCAACTCTACATGCAGCCAATGATATGGCCTCCAAGTAGAGCAGTCTTGTTTTTTTGTTTTTGTTTTGTTTTGTTTTGTTTTTGAGATCGAGGTCAAGAGTTTGAGACCAGCCTGACCAATACAGTGAAACCCCGTCTCCACGAGAAATGCAAAAATTAGCCAGGCTTGGTGGCTGGTGCCTGTAGTCCCAGCTACTCCAGAGGCTGAGACAGGAGAATTGCTTGAACTTGGGAGGCAGAGGTGGCAGTGAGCCGAGATCGTGCCACTGCACTCCGGCCTGGGCGACAGAGCGAGATTCTGTCCCAAAAAAAAAAAAAAGGGAAAAGCAAATATAAGTAAAATGTTTGCCTGCAAATATCTGTTCAATGAGTGCCAGCCATTATTATTATTGTTGGTGGTGTTATTTTATAGTTTATTTTAGTAGCTTATTAATTTATAATAATAATTATTACTATTATTTTAGAAACAGCGTCTTGCCTTGTTGCTCAGGCTGCAGTGCAGAACTTTGATCATAACTCACTGTAGCCTCGACCTCCTGGGTTCAAGGGATCCCTCCCACCTCAGCCTCCCATTTAGCTGGGACTACATTTTTAAATTTTCTGTAGAGGCCAGGTGTGACGGCTCATGCCTGTAATCCCAGCACTTTGGGAGGCCAAGGCAGGTGGATCACAAGGTCAGAAGTTCAAGACCAGCCTGGCCAACATAGCGGAACCCCCCCATCTCTACTAAAAATACAAAAAATTAGGCAGGCATGGTGGCAGGCGCCTGTAATCCCAGCTACTAGGAAGGCTGAGGCAGGAGAATTGCTTCAACCTGGGAGGCAGAGGTTGCAGTGAGCCGAGATCACACCATTGCACTCCAGCCTCACTAGACTCTGTCTCAAAAAAAAAATTAGTCATGTGTCATGGCAGGCGCCTGTAATCCCAGCTACTTAGGAGGCTGAGGCAGGAGAATCGCTTGAACCTGGGAGTCAGAGGTTGCAGTGAGCCCAGATCGTTCCACTGCACTCTACGTGGGAGACAGAGGGAGACTGTGTCTCCAAATTAATTAATTAATATTCTGTAGAGGCAGGCTCTCACTACGTTACCCAGGCTTAGGTTGCCCAGGCTGGAGTACGGTGACGTGATCTTGGCTCGCTGCAACATCTGCCTCCCGGGTTCAAGCGATTCTCCTGCCTCAACCTCCCAAGTAGCTGGGATTACAGGCATGTGCCACCGCACCCGGCTAATTTCTGTATTTTTCGCAGAGACAGGTTTCACCATGTTGGCCAGGCTGGTCTCGAACTCTTGACTTCAGGTGAACCATCTGCCTCAGCCTCCCAAAGGCTGTTTTTGAGACTGGGTCTTGCTCACTGCAACTTCCACCCCTGGGGTTCAAGCAGTCCTCATGCCTCAGCCACCCCAGTATCTGAGATTACAGGCATGCACCACCATACCCGGCTAATTTTTGTATTTTTAGTAGAGACGGGGTTTCACCATGTTGGCCAGGCTGGTCTAGATTTCCTGACCTCAGGTGATCCACCCACCTCGGCCTCCCAAAGTGCTGGGATTACTGGCATAAGCCACCGCACCCAGCCCTCCAGGTGATTTCTTACATAGCTCTGCTATGCTACCACCTTTAACCTCCCTTCCTTCCTCAGTGATTTCCGTGAGACCCCACCACTACCTTTTGTGGCAGGCACTGTGCAAGCCTCAGAGCTATAACAATGAGAAAGAACAAAGCCTTCCCAGACTTTGGGGCTCTGCCAGTGTAGAGGGCAAGGCAGAGGTAAATCAAAGCAGTGGCTCACGCCTATAATCCCAACAGTTTGGGAGGCCAAAGTGGGAGGATTGCTTGAGCCCAGGAGTTCGAGACCAGCCTGGGCAACATGGGGAAACCCCATCTCTACAAAAAATATAAACATTGGGCCGGGCGCGATGGCTCACGCCTGTAATTTCAGCACTTTGGGAGGCCGAGGTGGGCAGATCACAAGGTCAGGAGATCGAGACTATCCTGGCTAACACGATGAAACGCTGACTCTACTAAAAATACAAAAAATTAGTCGGGCATGGTGGCAGGCGCCTGTAGTCCCAGCTACTTGGGAGGCTGAGGCAGGAGAATGGTGTGAACCTGGGAGGCGGAGCTTGCAGTGAGCCGAGATTGCGCCACTGCACTCTAGCCTGGGCTACACAGCGAGACTCTGTCTCAAAAAAAAAAAAAAAAATTAGCTGGACATGATGGTGCACCTGTGGGCCCAGCTACTCAGGAGGCTGAGGCAGGAGGATTGCGTGAGCCCAGGAGATAGACATGGTTGCAGTGATCTGAGATCGTGCCACTGCACTCCAGCCTGGGTTTCAAAGTAAGACCCTATCTCAAAAAAAAAAAGGCAGAGATATAAGTAAACTAGTTTGGGAAGCCGAGGCAGGCAGATCATGAGGTCAGGAGTTCCAGACCATCCTGGCCAACATGGTGAAACCCTGTCTCTACTAAAAATATACAAATTAGCTGGGCATGGTGGCGGGTGCCTGTAGTCCCAGCTACTCAGGAGGCTGAAGCAGGAGAATCGTTGGAACTTAGGAGGTGGATGTTGCAGTGAGCCGAGATCGCGCCACTGCACTCCAGCCTGGCGACAGAGAGAGACTCTGTCTCAAAAAAAAAAGAGAAAGAAAAAAAAAAAAAAGGCCAGGCACGATGGCTCATGCCTGTAATCTTTGGTACATCGAGGTGGGCGGATCACGTGAGGTCGGGAGTTTGAGACCAGCCTGACCAACATGAAGAAATCCCGTGTCTACTAAAAATACAAAGTTAGCCAGGCATGGTGGTGCATGCCTCTACTCCCAGCTACTTGGAAGGCTGAGGCAGGAGAATCGCTTGAACCTGGGAGGCAGCGGTTGCGGTGAGCTGAGATTGCGCCATTGCACTCCAGCTTGGGCAACAAGAGTGAAACTTCTTCTCAAAAAACAAAAACAAACAAACAAACAAAAAACCCAAGTAAACTAGTTATGAAGTGGACGTTCATCAACTTCATTGTGCCAAGACAGCTAAAGGGGGCACCTGGTCTTGCCTTGGGGAGGTTGGGAGGGCTTCCTGTAGGAGGTAACCTGGGAACTCCAACCTTAGAAGTGATCTCCAAAAAGCCAGTTACCACCTCCATGATAGCTACCTCCAAAAGCTGGTGTCTGACTCATCCATCCATCCATCCATCCATCCATCCATCCATCCATCCACCTACCCATTTATTGAGCTTCTATAGATGCCAGGCATGGTTCAAGGAGGTGCTGGGTACAAATCAGGTAAAAATCTCTGCCAGGATGAAGCAGAGTGAGGGATGGTCCCTCCAACCACAAGCAAAATAATGACAAGATAATTCTGGAAGGAGTAACTGCTAGGAAGGAAATAAAACTGAGTGAAGGAGGGAGAAGTGTCCCGGTTTCAAAACAAGATCCACAAAAACTTAGCTAATCAAGGATGCCACCTTCTTCCCGAGCCATGGGGACCTTATCACCCTCCAGCAGACAGTGCATAGAGGAGGAACTCCTCCCAGTGGCCCTGCTGGCTCAGTCGCCTGCGCAGCAGTAATCGAGCGCCTCCAGTATGCACCAGGCAACCTTCTAGACATTAAACTGTGTGGGGGATGGGAGGGAGGTTTCTGTATGCCTTTGGGCACGTCACTCCTCCTCAGGCCCTCAGGTTCACTTCTGTAACTAAGGCTTCAGGATGGGTCATTCAGCAACCCCAGAGCTGCCCTGCCCGTCAAGCTTGAACTCTTTAAGGAAATAACATTTAGAGTGGACTGTGCCCCCAGCAGCCCCCAAGGTGAGAGTGCATAGATGGGGGTGTTTATCCCCATTTCGCAGATGGTCAGGATGAAGCTCAGAGGAGAGGCAGGAGTCGCACAGGCTGCGCGATACTGACCCGTGTTGGGGTCCAGCCCAGGGTCCCCCGCCCCCGCCCCAGCCCCCGCCCCAGCCCCCGCCCCAGCCCCCGCCCCAGCCCCAGCAGCCGGGAGGCTTCGGTCCCTTTAAGAACGCCCCGCGGGGCCAAGCAGGAAGGGGGAGGTGCCAACGCCCGGGACGGACGTCTGCATGAGCCAACGGGTGCGGCAGTCGCGGCAGCGGCGGCCAATGGGCACGGCAGGGGCGGGGCCAAGCGGCCGAACCTGGTTCCCGAGGCGCGGCGGCCGCGGCTGGGGGCGGGGAGGGGGGCGCAGGACCCCAAGTGGGGGTCCCGGAGCCAGAGGCAAGTGTCCTGGGGTGCTGGGGGCGCCGTGCCGGCCGGGCCGCTGCCCTGGCCTAGGCTGGTCCGGGGGCTAGCGCGCCGGGGGCTGCGGCCGATGGGCGGGGCGAGGGGCCGCGGGGGTGGCGAGCCGGGGGGGCACGGGGGTCGGGGGTGCCCGAGGGGGCGCGGCCGGGCGGGGGTGGCCAGGGATGGGGGTCACTGGGGGCAAAGGGGATCCAGTGGGGGGGTCCCGATGGAGGCGTGCAGGGCCAGGGGCGCCCGAGGCGTGCGGGGGTCGGGTGCCCCAGACTGGTGGCGTCAGACAGGCGTGGGTCGTTGGGGGCCTGGGTCGCGGCTTGACTGAGGGCCCGGCCGGGGCTGTGGGGCGTCAGGAGAGCGTGGGGTGTTATGGGATCGGAAAGGGGGGGGCGTCTGGGGACACTGGAGTGTTTACGGCGAGACGGAGCGGCTGTGGGGGGAGCTGGCCCGTGCTGGGGGCGGTGGTGGTTGGGGTGGGGGGTGGGAGGGGAGGCCGAATTGTGCGGGCGCGGGGAATTATGGGGGTGGGGGCTGGGAGGGTCTCTCAAAGTGGGGCTCCGAGCCCGGGAGGAGCAGGCAGGTGAGGGTTAGGGAGGGGATGCGGCGGGCTGGTTTGATGGCTGTGCCACACTCTTCTGAGCTTGGGGCCTGGGGGACGGAGGGGTTGGTTATTGGTTCAGGAGGTCTGGGGCAAGGAAGAGGCTGTAGAATGTGGTGGGACCTCGACCACTCCTGGAAAGGAGGCTGCTTTGAGGGGGTGGGACCGAGGCCTGATGAGAGGAGGATGGTCTCCTGGGGAAGGATTTGGGCCAGGGTCCCTGATGTTGGGGTTGTGGGGGATAGTGTTAGATTCAGAGTGTGGAAGGAAAAAACGCTTGGGGTTTCTGGGTGATTACAGTTGGTGCTTTTGGGGAGGGTCTCCCCTTTGGAGAAGAGGCTGGAGGTGGGAGGCCCTGGTAAAAGATTCAATTTCCCCCAGTGGCCTTAGAGGCTCTAAAAATGGCTTCCCTAAGGCCTCGGAGGCTGTCCTCTCCACAAAAATCCCAGCACCCTTCGCTCAGCTTATAATCAGGCAAAGCCACAGGGCCTGAAGCCCCAGGTTCAAATCCTCCTTTGGCCTTTGGCTTTCTCTGTGACCTTGGGCAAATGCCTTTGCCCCTCTGGCCTGTTTCCTGTTCTGCAAAATGTTGAGGGGAATCTTCCCTACTTCCTGGAGTATTTGTAAACATTAAATAATAATTAGCTCTAATAATGGCTAACACTATTTGAGCCTGATGCCAAGGGCTTGATGCATGGGTTAATTTCTCCCAACAAGCTGGGGTTGTTGTTACACCCACTGTATAGATGAGGAAACTGAGGCCTGGAGCCCTTGAGTTACACAGAAAGTGATCGGCAGTGTGGGGAATCAGTACAGTGGAGACTTTGAGGGGCTGTGTAGGATTCTGACCCACATCTCTGCCCCCCACTTCCAGGGCCAATTCCTGTCCCCCCAGCAGCATGGCATCGTGTGCTGAACCCTCTGAGCCCTCTGCCCCACTGCCCGCCGGGGTCCCACCGCTCGAGGACTTCGAGGTACTGGATGGGGTTGAGGATGCAGAGGGTGAGGAGGAAGAGGAGGAGGAAGAGGAGGAAGAGGATGACCTGAGTGAGCTGCCACCGCTGGAGGACATGGGACAACCCCCGGCGGAGGAGGCTGAGCAGCCTGGGGCCCTGGCCCGAGAGTTCCTTGCTGCCATGGAGCCCGAGCCCGCCCCAGCCCCGGCCCCAGAAGAGTGGCTGGACATTCTGGGTAAGGAGCAAAGGTGGATCAGGGTGCCCTTGGCCCTGGCCCTCTCGTCCCCTGAGCCTCATTTCCCCATCTGTGCTGTGAGGGTTGGAAGTCACGTGGTCACCACCGTGATCACCAGCCAGAGGCAACTACTGGAGATGCTTCACATTGATGTACTCTATCCACTGACTCACACACATGCACAATGTGCTGTGTCCCCGTTTCCCAGATCTGCTAACAGTGGCTCAGAGAGGCTGAGTCACCTGCCCAGAGCCACACAGCCAGCACGCCAGGCGCTGGCAGCTCCTAACCCCATCAATGCATCTTTTTTTGGCATTTGTCTGACACATGCTTGGGCTCTGAAAAATGTGTCCTGAGTGCACGCCAGCCTGGGCAACACAGCGAGACCCCAACTTCCAAAACAAAAAATGTGTTCTGGGGTCAAGTGGATCAGAGGAATGTTATTTTGTTCAGCCTTCTGGTTGGTTCACAGTAGTGATAGTATTGTAAATGCTCAGAGCAATCCTACAAGAAGAAAACTACATGAGCCCCCACATGTTCCCCCCAACATACCCCATCACAGCAACTGAAAACAAGAGAAATGTTAGTTTTCTGTGGAAGACGTCTTGCTACTAGTATAGTACTGATATCTAATATACCAAATAATGCTGGTGCCCATGCAAATAATAAGATATCATTACCACTATCAATTGTAATAACAATACTGTAGCAATAGTTTCCAATCATATTGACACTGATGGAACAGAAATATTACTAAATATCACCACCACTACTGATAAAAATCTTACTACTTTTTTTTTTTTTTTTGAGACAGAGTCTGACTCTGTCACCCAGGTTGGAATGCAGTGGTGCGATCTCAGTTCACTGCAACCTCCGCCTCCCAGGTTCAAGCGATTCTTCTGCCTCAGCCTCCTGAGTAGCTGGGACTACAGGTGCCCACCTCTATGCCTGGCTGATTTTTGTATTTTTAGTAGAGACAGGGTTTCACCACATTGGCCAGGCTGGTCTCGAACTCCTGACCTCAGGTGATCCACCTGCCTTGGCCTCCTAAAGTGCTGAGATTACAGGTGTGAGCCAGCACACCTGGCCCCTAATTTTTGTATTTTTAGTGGAGACAGGGTCTCACCATGTTGACCAGGCTGGTCTCAAACTCCTAACCTCAAGTGATCCTCCTGCCTCAGCCTTCCAAAGTGCTGGGGTTACAGGTGTGAGCCACCATGCCTGGTCATTTTTTATTTTTTGTAGAGATGGGGTCTCACTATGTTGCCCAGGCTGGTCTCAAACTCCTGGGTTTAAACAGTCCTCTCATTTCAGCCTCCCAAAGTTCTGGGATTACAGGCATGAGCCACCATGTGTGTCCTTTGCTTAACTTATAAATTCATCCCACTTGGTGCTGTGGTGGGGACACTGTGTCACAGGGGCTCTGCTAACCAAAGGTCCCATGAGCACCTCATTTCATGGCTGGGTAAACCGAGGCCCAAACATCTCAGGGCAAGGATTTCAGCCTGAGGGCTGTTTGTCCTCTCTGAGCTTTGGTTTTCTTTCTTTTTGAGGAGGGTGGGGAGACTGGGTTCTTGCCATTTTGCCCAGACGCTGGGCTGAACTTGTGATTCTCCCACATTGGCCTCTCAAATAGATGGAAACTCGGCAAGTCTCAGTTTTCTTAAAAAAAAAAAACAAAAAAACAAAAAAACCAGACCAACCATTGTTCACTGAGCTGGTCTCTAGCACCAGCACTGTCACCCTGAAGTCTGTCCCATCCTGCCCAGTGTCCTGCACGTGGGGTTCCCCACTCTGGTGGCAGAGTGGCCATTGGAAGTTTGGTTTGTGCCCCAGTGTTGGGCCAGCCCCCTCTGGACAGCTAGTGGGCAGAGCTGAGGGTAGGAGTGGGGGCTCAGGGGAGCGGGTGCCTGTTTGAGCTGCCAGGTGACAGGCTGCATGTCCCTGGACCCTGGCAGGGAACGGGCTGTTGAGGAAGAAGACGCTGGTCCCAGGGCCGCCAGGTTCGAGCCGCCCGGTCAAGGGCCAGGTGGTCACCGTACATCTGCAGACGTCGCTGGAGAATGGCACACGGGTGCAGGAGGAGCCGGAGCTGGTGTTCACTCTGGGTGACTGTGACGTCATCCAGGTGCGGGCTGGGGCGGGACAGGGCAGGGGCGAGGGGCGTGCCTTGCTGGGTCTGAGTCTGCCTGACAGCTGGCTATCCCCACACACCCCAGGCCCTGGATCTCAGTGTCCCACTCATGGACGTGGGGGAGACGGCCATGGTCACTGCTGACTCCAAGTACTGCTACGGCCCCCAAGGCAGGTGAGAGTCAGCCACCCTTAGGTCTCTGCAGGTCTCAGGAGGGGGATGGGTGGAGTGGGTGTACCCCTCGGCTCACCCCATCTACTTGCCCATTTTATAGACAAGAAACTGAGGCTGGGTGAGGTGGCTCACACCTGAAATCCCAGCACTTTGGGAGGTTGAGGTAGGAGGATTGCTTGAGACCTGGAGTTCCAGACCAGCCTAAGCAATATAGACCGCATCTCTATACAAAAAAATTTAAAAATTAGCTGGGTGTGGGCCGGGCGTGGTGGCTTACGCCTGTAATCCCAGCACTTTGGGAGGCCAAGGCGGGTGGATCATGAGGTCAGGAGATCAAGGCCATCCTGGCTAGCACGGTGAAACCCCGTCTCTACTAAAAATACAAAAAATTAGCCAGGCGTGGTGGTGGGTGCCTGTAGTCCCAGCTACTCTGGAGGTTGAGGCAGGAAAATGGCGTGAACCCGGGAGGCGGAGCTTGCAGTGAACCGAGATTGCACCACTGCACTCCAGCCTGGGCAAGAGAGCAAGACTGTCTCAAAAAAAAAAAAAAAAAAAAAAAAAAGCTGGGTGTGGTGCACACCTGTAGTCCCAGCTACTGAGGAGGCTCAGGCAGGAGGATCACTTGAGCCCACGTTTTTGAGGCTGCAGTGAGCCAAGATTGCACCACTGCACTCCAGCCCGGGCAACAGAGTGAGAACCTGTCTCTTAATAAAAAGGAGGAAAACCGAGGCTTAGGGAGGGGAACTCGTTCGTCAAGTCCCGCAGCTCCAAGGCGGCAAGTCACTTCCCCTGCACTTTACTGAGGAGGGAATGATGGAGGGCAGAGGGGAGACAGATCGGGGGCTTGAGCCAAGCTCACTCCTTCCTAGCCAGCCCAGCGGGTTTAGGGGTCACCAGGTCTGAGTGCTGCCCCTGCCTGCTCCCACCCAACTAGCAGGAGCCCATACATCCCCCCGCACGCGGCCCTGTGCCTGGAGGTGACCCTGAAGACGGCTGTGGACGGGCCTGACCTGGAGATGCTCACGGGGCAGGAGCGCGTGGCCCTGGCCAACCGGAAGCGGGAGTGCGGCAACGCCCACTACCAGCGGGCGGACTTCGTCCTGGCCGCCAACTCCTACGACCTCGCCATCAAGGCTATCACCTCCAGCGCCAAAGGTGACCGCCTGGGTCAGATCTCCACCATCTCCCCTGCAAAGGTGTCCACTCCGTGCCAGAAACTTCCAGCCCCAGAGAGCCTCAGACTCAGAATATTCTAGAATAGCCCAGAATATGGGTAGATCCCCAACTGCCCCTAAGCTAGGGCCTGTTACAGACTCGTGGTATATCCCAGACCAGTGGAGTGTTGTAGAATGCAAGTGGATATGGGGATGGGGTGACCATAGACAGGGCCAGTTCACATGTACCACAGGCTAGGCCCTCGCTTGCTTAAGTCTCCATCTTGTAGCTTCCTCAGGAGAGCCCCAGGAAAGCGTGGCCCTTGGTCCGGGGTTAAAATTGGGGAAACTGAGGCCAGAGAGGCAGCCTCCGCAGAGGGGTGGGTGCCGGGGTGTCTGGTGGCATGGTGACGGCTGCCGTGGCGGGCACTGTCTCCCAATAGTGGACATGACGTTCGAGGAGGAGGCACAGCTCCTGCAGTTGAAGGTGAAGTGTCTGAACAACCTGGCGGCCTCGCAGCTGAAGCTCGACCACTACCGCGCAGCCCTGCGCTCCTGCAGCCTTGTGCTGGAGCACCAGCCAGACAACATCAAGGCTCTCTTCCGCAAGGGCAAGGTAGGCCACACCGGGGTGCCAGGCCGGGTCACTCAGCCTGGGGTATACGGGGTGGTCCCCAACCCTGCATTTGAGAAAGGCATAGGTATATAAGCCAGCTGAGCTCTGTGGGGTGCAGGTGGAGAAACTGAGGCCCAGACGGGTGCAGGAGTGTGGCCTGGTCACAACAATTCATTGGCTGAGGCCAGAATTTGATCCTCGAGTCTTGGGTCCCCAACCTTTGGCCCAGTGTTTTTTGTTTGTTTGTTTGTTTGTTTCTTGAGACAGAGTCTCACTCTGTCACCCAGGCTGGAGTGCAGTGGTGTGATCTCAGCTCACCACCGCAACCTCCTCCTCCTGGGTTCAAGCGATTGTCCTGCCTCAACCTCCCAAGTAGCTGGGACTACAGGTGCGAGCCACCACACCCAGTTAATTTTTGTATTTTTAGTAGAGATGTGGTTAGCCATATTGGCCAGGCTGGTCTCGAACTCCTGACCTCAAGTGATCTGCCCGCCTCAGTCTCCCCATGTGCTGAGATTACAGGCCTGAGCCACCGTGCCCGGCTTGGCCCAGTGTTGAAACCTCCTCCCATAGAACCTCCATGGGTCCCAGTTTTCCTCAGAGTAAAGTGGAATCCTAGTCACAGCCCTTGGGGCCTTGAGTTGTCTGGTCTTCCCCCTCCTGCTATCACTTCTCCCACCTCACTTTCTGCTTCTCTCCATCCCACGTGGCATTCTCCCTTTCTGCTGTCTAGCCAGGCTCTCTCCACCTCAGGGCCTTTGCGTAGGCATTGCCGACTGTCTGAGATGTTCCTGACAGGCAGCACGTGGAGGTGACATGCCTCTTGTCCATCTACCTTACTCAAAGGTGGAGATTTGGTCTGTCTTGCTCACTGCCGGATCTCCAGCCTTGCAAACAGGGCCAGGTACATAGTAGGTGCTCAGTAAAAGTCCTGGCAGAGGCCAGGCACAATGGCTCATTCCTGTAATCCCAGCACTTGGGATTACAGGAGGCCAAGGCAGGAGGATCGCATGAGCCCAGACATTTGCGACGAGCCCAGGCAACATAGGGAGACCCCCTTCTCTACCCAAAATATACAAAAATTAGCTGGGTGTGGGGGCGCGGGCCTGTCGTCCCAGTTGCTCAGGAGGCTGAGGATGGCTTGAGCCCCGAAGGTCAAGGCTGCAGTGAGCCTTGATCACACCACTGCACTCCAGCCTTGGCAGCAGAGCAAGACCCTGTGTCAAAAACAAAACACGAGAACAGAAAAAAAAGTTCTGGCAGAACATAGGGGTGAATCTGGCTTGCACAGACTTGACCTTCATTCTCACCCCCTTTTCTGTTCATCCTCACAGCCTCACCCCTAGGTGGGGCTTTCAGGACCTTTTAGCAGTTAACGAAGGAAACTGAGGCACAGATACTGGCTCACCTGCTGTGTTTCTGAAAAGCCTGAGGTGGGGCTCCCTCCAGCTGGGATTTATTAAGGACATACTGTGTGCGGAGTTCTGCAGAGAAATATGAAGAGGGAGAAGATGCAGTTCCTGTTTTTGAAGGCTTTGTTCTCAACCTGGGGGTAGTATCCTCCTGGGGGCAGCAGGAGTGGCTGCTTGTGTAGCTTCATACAAGTTTGGACCTGCTGGTTGAAGGTGATAGAAACCCACTCAAACAGGTTCAAGCAGAAAGGAGGGATCGATAGCTCATGGAACTGCCAAGTTTGGATTAGCTGGCTTCAGGCATAGCTGGATCCAGGCACTCACAATATTGTGGGGATGCTGTTTCTCTGCTCTGACCTTCCCTCCTGGGCCGGCTCCTCTCTCAGGGTGACCATGATGCTCCCCCCTCCCCCCTGGAAAGTTACAGATTTCCATCTTCTACCCCCTCCTTTTTTTTTTTTTTTTGAGACAGAGTCTTGCTCTGTCACCCAGGCTGGAGTGCAGTGGCACGATCTTGGCTCACTGCAACCTCTGCCTCCTGGGTTCAAGCGAGCACATCCAGCCTTTTTTTGTATTTTTAGTATAGACGGGGTTTCACCATGTTGGCCAGGCTGGTCTTGAACTCCTGACCTCAAGTGATCCACCTGCCTTGACCTCCCAAAGTGCTGGGATTATAGGCGTGAGCCACTTCGCCCAGCTCCATCTTCTCCCCTTAGCAACCCATCTCCCATCAGCACCAGCATAGTGCAGGCTGGATCTCATTGACTCATTTGGGTCATGTGCCTGGTCCTGAATCATTCACTATGGCCAAAGCTTTGGAAACATCAGGGCCAGGTGTGGTGCCTCACGCCTGTAATCTCAGCACTTCAGGAGGCCAAGGTAGGAGGATCATTTGAGCCCAGGAATTCAAGACCAGTCTTGGCAGCATAGTGAGACCCCATTGCTACAAAAATTTAAAAAATAATTAAGGGCTGGGCGTGGTGGCTCACGCCTATAATCCCAGCACTTTGGGAGACCGAGGCAGGTGGATTGGTTGAGCCCAGGAGTTCGAAACCATCCTGGGGAACATGGCCCTGTCTCTAAAATAAAATAAATAAATAAGTAGGCCTGGAGCGGTGGCTCATGCCTGTAATACCAGCACTTTGGGAGGCTGAGGCAGGTGGATCACTTGAGGTCAGGAGTTTGAGACCAGCCTGGCCAACATGGTAAAACCCTGTCTCTACTAAAAATACAAAAATTAGCCGGTGGTGGTAGGTGCCTGTAATCCCAGTTACTCGGGAGGCTGAGGCAGGAGAATGGCGTGAACCCGGGAGGCAGAGCTTGCATTGAGCCAAGATCGTGCCACTGCACTCCAGCCTGGGCGAGAGTGAGACTCCATCTCAAAATAATAATAATAACAATAGTAATAATAATTTTATAAATAAATACATAAATAAATAATTCGTTGGACATGGTAGTACACGCCTGTAGTCCCAGCTCCTCGGGAGGCTGAGGCTGGAGGATTGTGTGAGCCTAGGAGTTTGAGGCTGCAGTGAGCTATGATCATGCCATTGCACTCCAGCCTGGGTGACCGATCAAGACCCTGTCTCTAAAGGAAAGAGAAAAAAAAAACAACAACCTCTGGAAGCATCCATTCGGCCTCTCGCCAGTGGAGGTGGTGAGGGAGGAGGCAGCGAGGTGGGTGCCTAGATCTGCAGCTGAGACAGGAAGGAGGAGCATGTTGCGGGGACCAATGCCAAGCTAAGTGTGCACTGATGGAGTTTGAGGGCTAGGAGAGCAGTTTGGGAGTGGCTGGAACCCAGGGATGTTGCCAGAGCTCCATTTGGCACTTGTATGAGTAGCCAGGAGCCTGGCTGTTTTTTTTGTTTGTTTGTTTGTTTTTGAGACGGAGTCTCGCTCTGTCGCCCAGGCTGGACTGCAGTGGCGTGATCTCGGCTCACTGCAAGTGCTGCCTCCTGGGTTCACGCCATTCTCCTGCCTCAGCCTCCCGAGTAGCTGGGACTACAGGCGCCCGCCACCATGCCCGGCTAATTTTTTTGTATTTTTTAGTAGAGACGGAGTTTCACCATGTTAGCCAGGATGGTCTTGACGTCCTGACCTCTTGATCCGCCTGCCTTGACCTCCCAAAGTGCTGGGATTACAGGTGTGAGCCACCGCGCCCAGCCTTTTTTTTTTTTTTTGAGATGGAGTCTCACTCTGTCGCCCAGGCTGGAGTGCAGTGGCACGATCTCGGCTCACTGCAAGCTCCGCCTCCCGGGTTCACGCCATTCTCCTGCCTCAGCCTCCCGAGTAGCTGGGACTATCAGGCGCCCGCCACCTCGCCCAGCTAATTTTTTTTGTATTTTTAGTAGATACAGGGTTTCACCGTCTTAGCCAGGATGGTCTTGATCTCCTGACCTTGTGATCCGCCCGCCTCGGCCTCCCAAAGTGCTGGGATTACAGGCATGAGCCACTGCGCCCGACCCTTTTTTTTTTTTCTTTTTTTAAGACAGGGTTGCACTCTGTCACCCAGACTGGGGTGCAGTGGTGTGATCTCGGCTCACTGCAACTTCTGCCCCCTGGTTCAAGCAATCCTCCCACCTCAGCCTCCTGAGTAGCTAGGACTACAGGTGCATGCCACCACGCCTGGCTAATTTTTGTATTTTTTGGTAGAGACGGGGTTTCTCCATGTTGGCCAGGCTGTTTTTATTTTATTTTATTTTTTGAGATGGAGTCTTGCTCTGTTGCTCAAGCTGGAGTGCAGTGACACCATCTTGGCTCACTGCAACCTCCTGGGCTGGATTTCTTGAAGGACAGGCCCAGGTATGGGTCCAGAGTGATGCCACCCCCTTCCCCTTACAGGTGCTGGCCCAGCAGGGGGAGTACAGTGAGGCCATCCCCATCCTGAGGGCAGCCCTGAAGCTGGAACCTTCCAACAAGGTGAGCAGGACAGGGGTGCCCTGGGACTTGCTCGGCTGGGAAGTCCCTCCTGCGGTCTGCCCCAGGTCTTTCTTGCTGTGGCTCTCTGTTGTGTTCCCACCTGGGCAGTGGCACGGAGTAGGTACCTGAAGGGTCCTGGTCAGCTTGTGAAGACCCTCATGACGGCCACACAGGCAGTCTGGGCTCTCACTCCTCCAGCAGCTGAGGGCACTGCCAGCCTGCTCCATGCCAGTGTCCTTGGCCTTCCTTCCAGAACCTTTTGTCTCCTGGCTACCTTGTGCTCTGCGCCATCAATTGGCTCCCTAGGAGGGATGGGGTCAGCAGCCCTGACTTTGCTAAGCCCAGAAAGGGGCAGATGGGACCCCTGTGTCCCAACAGTCCCACCACCCAAACAGCCTAGGGTCCCAGTAAGGCAGAGCGCCAGTGATGACAGGTTGGCCGCTGCGTGTTCTCAGCTTCCCCTGCCTTCTGCAGACGATCCACGCAGAGCTCTCAAAGCTGGTGAAGAAGCATGCGGCGCAGCGGAGCACGGAGACCGCCTTGTACCGGAAAATGCTGGGCAACCCCAGCCGGCTGCCTGCTAAGTGCCCTGGCAAGGGTGCCTGGGTGAGCTGGGGCACAGAATGGGCAGGGGCTGTGTGCAGGGCACGCCTAGCAGAGGGATTTTATTTTGCATACATGGATGTCCTCGGAGACTGGGCCGTCCTGGGCGATGCAGGGGACGTGGAGAGAGCCCAGCCCTGTGTGATCATGAGTGGAGTCGAAGGTGGAACTCAAGCTGGAGGGCTGGGGGTGGACTGTGGAGCCTCTTCCAGGGCACGAGGGGCGGTGTCCTGGAGGAGGGGCCATTTGATTTGGGTTTTGCTGCATGAGTAGGAGTTTGCCAGGAAGTGGGAAATACATAGTCAGGCAATGATTTGTTGGGAGGTCTGTTTGGGCTGTGCTGGCAGCTGAGGCCCCAGAGGCCAGTCTTGACCTCCCTCCACCCTTCTCTCCCCTCCTTTTTATCCACAGTCCATCCCATGGAAGTGGCTGTTTGGGGCGACTGCTGTTGCCTTGGGGGGTGTGGCACTCTCTGTGGTCATCGCTGCCAGGAACTGACCACCTAGGTGGCTGCCACCCCCTCTGCACACCATGGACCCTGCCCTGCGCTCCCCAACTCCCCCAGGCTCCCTGTCCACTGCCCTCCCTGGTCTGGCCCCCTCCTCCGGGTTAGGGGAGCAAGGATTGGGGGTCGTGCAGCCCAGCCAGCAGGAGGGACTGAGGCCCTCTAGGAGGAAAGCCCAGAGGGAGGGGGCCCTCATTCCTTCAGACCCAGTTTTCCCCCACCCTCCTTACCCCGCTGGGCTAGGTCTCCGCCAGGGCTGGCCTCAGTTTCTCCTCAACAGGCCTGGGGGCAGCCCTTCCCCTGCCTAGTCCCCGCCTGAGTGCCAGCCCCCCACCCCGCCTGCCGCCCCCTGTCCAGGTTCCCTCCCCGCCACAGTGAAATAAAGCATCCCACCCTGCAGTTTCCACGGACTCCTGAGCTTTCTTCTCCCGCTGTCTGGGGCTGGGCCAGAGACAGCCTGTGATGCATCTGGAGTCACACAGCATGGTGGATGTGGTTGAGCCAGCTGGAGCTGGGGGTCTCCTCTCCGGGCACAACATACTCACTTTACAGAGGAGAAACTGAGGCATAGAGAAGTGGGGTGATGTAGCAGGGGCAAGTGGGTTGAGAGGTCTGACTCAGCTGGACTCTGGGGGTGTTACTGCCCAGCTCCACTCGTTACCCCAGCGTTCACTGTTTACTCACCTGAAATCCAGGACCCCAGTGGGCCCTACCTTGAGGCTGCTGCATGGGTTCTGTGGCATCATTGCTTTACCTAGTGGATGTACTGAATTCAAAAGAGACAGATGGTAGGAGGATGACTTGAGCACAGGAATTTGAGGCTTTAGTGAGCTATGATTGCACCACTGCACTCCAGCCTAGGCTGGAAGACCTCACCAGAGTGAGGTCTCTCTTTTTATTATTTATTTATTTATTTATTTATTTTTGAGACGGAGTCTCACTCTGTCACCAGGCTGAAGTACAGTGGCACGATCTCTGCTCACTGCAACCTCCACTTCCCGGGTTCAAGCAATTCTTCTGTCTCAGCCTCCCGAGTAGCTGGGACTACAGGCGCACGCCACCATGCGCAGCTAATTTTTGTATTTTTAGTAGAGACAGGGTTTCACCATGTTGGTCAGGATGGTCTTGATCTCTTGACCTTGTGATCTGCCTGCCTAGGCCTCCCAAAGTGCTGGGATTACAGGTGTGAGTCACCGTGCCCGGCTCTTTTTTTTTTTTTTTTTTTTGAGACAGAGTCTTGCTCTGTGGCCCCGGCTGGAGTGCAGTGGCGTGATCTTGGCTCACTGCAAGCTCCGCCTCCCGGGTTCATGCCATTCTCCTGCCTCAGCCTCCCGAGTAGCTGAGACTACAGGCGCCTGCCACCACGCCTGGCTAATTTTTTGTATTTTTGGTAGAGACGGGGTTTCACCGTGTTAGCCAGGATGGTCTGGATCTCCTGACCTCGTGATCCACCTGCCTTGGCCTCCCAAAGTGCTGGGATTACAGGCGTGAGCCACCGCGCCCGGCCTTTTTTTTTTTTTAATAAAGAGGTGGGGTGTAGTGTCATGGCCTGTAATTTCAGCTCTTTGGAAGCCAGGGTGGGAGGGTCGCTTGAGCCCAGCCTGGTCAACACAGTGAGATTCCATCTATGTTTAAAAAAAAAGTGCACCAGGCACAGTGGTTCCCACCTGTAATCCCAGCACTTTGGGAGGCCGAGGTGGGTGGATCACTTGAGCTCAGGAGTTCCAGACCAGCCTGCCCAACATAGTGAAACCCCAGCTCTACTTAAAATACAAAAATTAGCTGGGTGTAGTGGCACATGCCTGTAATCCCAGCTACTCGGGAGGCAGAGGTTGCAGTGAACCGAGATCATGGGACTACACTGCAGCCTGGGCAACACAGGGAGACTTCATCTCAAAACAAGAGACAGATGGGGTCCAGGGGAGAGGATGTGAATGTCTGGATGCAGCCTGTGAGAAGGCACAGCTGGAGGCCCAGGAAGACCTCTCCCAGGGGATGTGTGCGCTGATATTTCAGCGATGGCAAGGGTCTGCCCATGCAGGAAGCCGACAGCCCCAGGTCTGGGCAACAGCACGCCCAGTACAAAGACCCTGGGGCCAGGTCTAGCCTGGTGCATTCCAGATGGATGAGGCTGGGTAGCCTGCAGAGCCATACCCTGCAGGGCTTTAGGGGCCATGAGGAAGGGCCAGGGTTGATGCTGGGAGGTTCCCTGATCCCATCTGGCTCTCCCAACTCTGGACTCTGGGAGCTTCTCCTATGATGCCGCTCACCAGTGCAGCCAGGATGGGCGGAGCCAGCATCGGGGCCTCTGTCAGCCCAGCACCCACACCCTTTCTTCCTGCTGTTCCATCTTGCCCCCAAGAATAAGGGCATCCTTGAAAATAGACCACTACAGTCACCTCACCTGCATCTATCCCCTTACAGCCCAGGAGGGAAAGCTGCCTGCCACAGCCACCCAGGAGAAGTTGGTGCAGAAGGGAGGTTGGAGGGCCTCCCAAAGGCCTAGGACTCCAATCTACACCTCCACCTCACCCACTCACCCGCTTCTTCCAGGCCCTTGTTCTCTGGGTCACCTGGATGACTTGAGGCTGAGTGTGGCTTGAGGCTGTGCTCTCTTTCCAGTGGTTAGCCCCAGGTTCAGGCAATTCTCCTGCCTCAACCTCCCAAGTAGCTGGGATTACAGGCATGTGCCACCACACCCAGCTAATTTTTTTTTTTTTTTTTTGCATGCCAGCTCTGTCACCCAGGCTGGAGTGCAGTGGCATGATCTCAGCTCACTGCAACCTCTGACCTCTGCCTCCCGGGTTCAAGCGATTCTCCTGCCTCAGCTTCCCAAGTAGCTGGGATTACAGGTGCACGCCACCACACCTGGCCAATTTTTTTTATTATTTATTTATTTTCGAGATGGGGTCTTGCTCTGTCACCCAGGCTGGAGTGCAGTGGCCCAATCTTAGCTTACTGCAGCCTCCGCCTCCAGGGTTCAAGCAGTTCTCCCACCTCAGCCTCTCAAGTAGCTTGGGATTACAGGGGCACGCAACCAAGCTTGACTAATTTTTTTTTTTTTTTTTTTGAGACAGTCTCGCTCTGTAACCCAGGTTGGAGTGCAGTGGCATGATCTTGTTCACTGCTACCTCTGCCTCCCAGATCACGGTTCAAGCGATTCTCCTGCCTCGTCTCCCGAGTAGCTGAGATTACAGGCACACGCCACCATGCCCAGATAATTTTTGTATTTTTAGTAGAGACGGGGTTTCACCATGTTGGCCACGCTGATCTTGAACTCCTGACCTCATGATCCACCCGCCTCGGCCTCCCAAAGTGCTGGGATTACAGACATGAGCCACCTCGCCTGGCCTTTTTTTTTTTGAGATGGAGTCTTGCTCTGTCATCCAGGCAGGAGTGCAGTGGTGCATCTTGGCTCACTGCAACCTCCGCCTCCAGAATTTAAGGGATTCACCTGCCTCATCCTCCTGAGTAGCTGGGATTACAGGTGCGTGCCACCACGCCCAGCTAATTTTGTATTTTTAGTAGAGACGGAGTTTCACCACATTGGTGATTAACTTTCTTTTTCTCTCTCTCTGCTACCCAGGTCGGAGTGCAGTGTCACCATCTCAGCTCACTGCAAACTCCACCTCCCGGGTGCAAGGGATTCTTGTGCCTCAGAATCCCTATAGCAAGCCTGTAATCCCGGCACTTTGGGAGGCCAAGGTGGGTGGATCACCTGAGGTCAGGAGTTCGAGAACAGTCTGGCCAACATGGTGAAACCCCATCTCTACTAAAAATGCAAAAATCAGCCGGGTATGGTGGCATAAGCCTGTAATCCCAGCTGCTCAGGAGGCTGAAGCAGAAGAATAGGCTTGAACCCAGGAGGCGGAGGTTGCAGTGACCTAAAATCGCGCCATCGCAGTCCAGCCTGGGCAACAAGAGTGAAACTCATCGCCAAAAAATATATATATAGAACCTCTTGACTTTTCGTAATGCAAAGTCAACTTGTTTCCTGTTCATGTAGCACACAAATCCTTTTTTTTCCCCCCGAGACGGAGTATTGCTCTGTTGCCCAGGCTGGAATGCAGTGGCCTGATCTCGGCTCACTGCAACCTCTGCCTCCTGGGTTCAGCAATTCTCCTGCCTCAGCCTCCAAAGTAGCTGGGATTACAGGTGAGTGCCACTACGTCCAGCCAATTTTTTTGTATTTTTGGTAGAGGTGGGGTTTCACCTTGTTGGCCAGGCTGGTCTCGAACTCCTGGCCTCGTAATCCGCCTGCCTCGGCCTTCCAAAGTGCTGTGATTACAGGCGTGAGCCACCACACCTGGCCAGCATACAAATCTTAAGATACAGAATTTCTTCAATCCAGGAGCTCCTAAGATATTTTAGTCTTGTTTTTTTCTTAGAGACACGGTCTTGCTGTGTCACCCAGGCTGGAGTACAGTGGCACCATTGCAGCTCTCTGCAGCATTGACCCACCCCACTGCACTCAAGTGATTCTCCCACTGCAGCCTCCCAAGTAGCAGGGGCTACAGGCACGTGCCACTGCTCTCAGCCAATATTTTAGTCTTGAATTGCAGCCTAGACCTGGCTAAATGTGAGACTGATAGTTAATATTTCACTCACTTGTTTGATACACTTTTTTTTTTTTTGAGACGGAGCCTCACTCTGTCGCCCAGGCTGCAGTGCAGTGGGGCGATCTCGGCTCACTGCAACCTCTGCCTCCTGGGTTCAAGTAATTCTCCTACCTCAGCCTCCGGAGTAGCTGGGACTGCAGGCACGTGCCACCACACCCGGCTAATTTTTGTATTTTTATTAGAGACAGGGTTTCACCATGCTGACCAGGCTGGTCTTGAACTCCTGACTTCAAGTCATTCCCCCACCTCTGCCTCCCTAAGTGCTGGGATTATAGGTATGAGCCACTACTCCTGGCTGCTTGTTTGATAAACTTTTAAAAAAGCTTTATTAAAGGAAGGAAATGTCCTTCCTGGCCAAGCAAACTGCCGGTGCCAATGTCTGGAGTTGAAATAGCCCCGCTGGCCAGGCGCGGTGGCTCAAGCCTGTAATCCCAGCACTTTGGGAGGCCAAGGCGGGCAGATCACGAGGTCAGGAGATTGAGACCATTCTGGCCAACGTGGTGTCTCTACTAAAAATACAAAAAAATTAGCCGGGCGTGGTGGCACACGCCTGTAGTCCTAGCTACATGGGAAGCTGAGGCAGGAGAATGGCGTGAACCCAGGAGGTGGAGCTTGCAGTGAGCTGAGATCGCGCCACTGCACTCCAACCTGGGTGACAGAGCAAGACTCCATCTCAAAAAAAGAAAAAAGAAATAGGCCCGGAGCTGCCTAGAACATGCAAGTTATGACATGGTGCGGGGACGGGGAGGAGAGAGGCCCCGAATGGCCAGACTAGGAGTGTGAAATTGAATGTGGTTATTCACTCGGCCACTTCATCCTCAAAGGTCTGAGCTGGTTGTGGGTGGTGAGCTGGAGCATCCAGCACGTGTGACGCTGCAGTTGTGTTGAAGGCATGGGATGCCTTTAATGGGTGGTGAAGGGTATCCCTTGTGGATGGCATAGCTGTGCAAGGTATGCCAGCTGGACCATGTGTGGTACCTTTGGAGAACGACGGGGATGGCTTTGTCTTTCATACCAAAGCATTTACTAACACCTCCCATATACCTGGCCTTGAGCAGTGACTCAGGAGGGCCTTACCCGACTTGCCATGGGCTGTGAATTGGAAGTGAGCACTGCGGAAGGAATTTTGTATGTGTACGCGAGCTCACAATTCTGGAACACTTGAACAGGGCGAGCTACACATGTCCTTGTCTCATGTCATTGTCACAGAAGAATCAGGTAGATGCTGTTACACTCCCTGTTTTCTGGATGAGCAAACTGAGGAACAGAGATGGCAAGATGTGTCCAAGACCACACACGGGGTAAGGGGCAGGGTGGGGTCACTGCTTCCATCAGAGAGCTCACCAGGTGGACTATGTGTCCGGGGGGCACCCCAGGGTGATCAACTCACTTGCAATATTGTGGGTGACCTAGTTCCTTTTTTTTTTTTTTTGAGATGGAGTCTCGCTGTGTCACCCAGGCTGGAGTGCAGTGGCGCGATCTCGGCTCACTGCAAACTCCGCCTCCCAGGTTCACGCCATTCTCCTGCCTCAGCCTCCGGAGTAGCTGGGCCTACAGGCGCCTGCCACAATGCCTGGCTAATTTTTTTGTATTTTTAGTAGAGACGGGGTTTCACTGTGTTAGCCAGGATGGTT
Organism: Homo sapiens; assembly: GCF_000001405.40. Lineage (NCBI taxonomy): Eukaryota > Metazoa > Chordata > Mammalia > Primates > Hominidae > Homo > Homo sapiens. Next base: position 18,525,908 of record NC_000019.10, on the reverse strand, counting down.
TCGATCTCCTGACCTCAAGTGATCCACCCGCCTCGGCCTCCCAAAGTGCTGAGATTACAGGCGTGAGCCACCATGCCTGGCCATGGGTAACCTAGTTCTTAAAAATTTCTGCAGACAAAGCCGGACACGGTGGCTCACGCCTGTAATCCCACCACTTTGGGAGGCCGAGGCGGGTGGATCACTTGAGGTCAGGAGTTCGAGACCTACATGGTGAAATCCCGTCTCTACTAAAAATACAAAATTAGCTGGGTGTGGTGGCGTGTGCCTGTAATCCCAGCTACTCAGGAGGCTGAGGCAGGAGAATCACTTGAACCAGGAGGCAGAGGTTGCAGTGAGCCGAGATCGTGCCACTGCACTCCAGCCTGGGCAACAAGAGCAAAACTCCGTCTCAAAACAAAGAAACAAAAATGTCTGCAGACGGCCAGGTGCAGTGGCTTATGGCCTATAATCCTAGCACTTCCTAGCACTTTGGGAGGCTAGGCGACAGGATCTTTTGAACCCAGGAGTTAGAGACCAGCCTGGGCAACATGGAAAAATCTCATCTCTTCAAAAAATACAAAAGATTGGCCCAGTATGGTGGAGCATGCCTGTAATTTCAGCTACTTGGGAGGCTGAGGTGGGAGGATGGGTTGAGCCCAGGAGTTGGAGGCTGCAGTGAGCCGAGATCATGCCACTGCACTCCAGCCTGGGTGACAGAGTGAGAACTTGTCTCCAAAAAAAAAAAAAAAAAAAAAGGCCAGGCATGGTGGCTCACGCCTGTAATCCCAGCACTTTGGGAGGCTGAGGCAGGCGGATCATCGGATCATGAGGTCAGGAGATCGAGACCATCCTGGCTAACACGGTGAAACCCCGTCTACTAAATATACAAAAAATTAGCCAGGCGTGGTGGCACGTGCCTGTAACCCGAGCTACTCGGGCGGCTGAGGCAGGAGAATCGCTTGGACCCAGGAGGCGGAGGCTGCAGTGAACCCGAGATTGTGCCACTGCACTCCAGCCTGGGCGACAGAGTGAGACTCCGTCTCAAAAAAAAAAAAAAAAAAGAAACTTCTGCAGAGCATGCCAACGTCTGATAAGTTCTGCCTTATTTTTCCTGGGGTCTCATTGAGATCCACTGGGGAATCAAATGTAAAGTAGACGTGGAGAAATACTTTTTTTTTTTGGGACCGAGTCTTGCTCTGTCACCCAGGCTGGAGTGCAGTGGCACGATCTCGGCTCACTGCAAGCTCTGCTTCCTGGGTCCAAGCTATTCTCCTGCCTCAGCCTTCTGAGTAGCTGGGATTACAGGCGTGTGCCACCATGCCTGGCTAATTTTAGTGTTTTTAGCAGAGACGGGGTTTCACCATGTTGGTCGTGGTGGTCTCGAACTCCTGACCTCATGATCCAGCCCCCTCGGCCTTCAAAAGTGCTGGGATTACAGGCGTGAGCCACTGGGGGCCTGGCTTTTTTTTTTTTTTTTTTTTTTTTTTTTTGGAGACAGGGTCTTACTCTGTCACTCAGGCTGGAGTGCTGGAATATAGTGGTGCGAACATAGTTCACTACAGCCTCAACCTCCCATGGGCTTGAGAGAGCCTCCCATGTCAGCCTCCGGAGTAGCTGGGACCACAGGGGTGCTCCACCATGCCCGGCTAATTTTTTTAATTTTTTAAATTTTTTTGTAGAGAGGGGGCTTAGCCCTGTTACCCAGGCTGGTCTCAAGCCCTTGGGTGCAAGCGATCCTCCCGTCATGGCATCCCAAAATGCTGGGATTTCAGGTGTGAGACACCTTGCTAGGTCCTGAGTACTGCTCTTATTGCTGTTTCCTGTTTCCGAAGTGAATCCACAGAGGCTCAGAAGCAGGAGGTGCCTTTCACAAGATCACAGAGCGAGCTGGTTGGCCCTCCAAGCCAGCTCCTCCCTTGGCCAGGCGCAGTGGCTCACGCCTGTAGTCCCAGCACTTTGGTAGCCCTAGGCAGGCGGATCACCTGAGGTTGGGAGTTAGAGACCTGATCAATATGGTGAAACCCCGTCTCTACTGAAAATACAAAAATTAGCTGGGCGTGGTGGTGGGCATCTGTAATCCCAGCTACTCGGGAGGCTGAGGCAGGAGAATCGCTTGAACCTGGGAGGCGGAGGTTGCAACGAGCTGAGATGGCACCGTTGCACTCCAGGTTGGGCAACAAGAGTGAAACTCTGTCTCAAAGAAAAAGAAAAAAAAATCTCGGAAATTAGATAGTGGTGACAGCTACACAGCATTGGGAATATATTTTATATGTAAAATGTGACTCAATGAAGTTGCTTTTTAGAAAATGGAAGGCTGGCCGGGCACAGTGGCTCATGCTTGTAATCCCAGCACTTTGGGAGGCCGAGGTGGGTGCATCACTTGAGGTCAGGAGTTCCAGACCAGCCTGACTAACATGGTGAAATCCCGTCTCTACTAAAAATACAAAAAATTAGCTGGGCGTTGTGATGGGCGCCTGCAGTCCCAGCTACTACTCGGGAGGCTGAGGCAGGAGAATTGCTTGAATCCAGGAGGCGGTGGTTGCAGTGAGCCGAGATCACACCACTGCACTCCAGCCTGGGCAAGGAAATCGAAACTCTGTCTAAAAACAAACAAACAAACAAAAACTGGGGGAGGTGGCTCACGCCTGTAATCCTAGCACTTTGGGAGGGCGAGGCGCGCGGATCACCTGAGGTCAGGAGTTCAAGACCAGCCTGGTCAACATGGTGAAACCCCATCTCTACTAAAATACAAAAATTAGCTGGGCATGATGGCGGGCGCCTGTAATCCCAGCTACTCGAGAGGCTGAGACAGGAGAATCGCTTGAATTCAGGAGACGATGGTTGCATTGAGCCGAGATAGCGCCACTGTTCTCCAGTCTGGGCTGATGAGCAAGACTCCGTCTCAAAAAAAAAAAAAAAGAAAAGAAAAGAAAATGGAAGTCTGGGCTTGGTGGCTCACTCCTGTAATCCTAGCATTTCAGCAGACCCAGACAAGGAGGATCAGTTTGAGTTCAGGAGGTCGAGGGTGCAGTGAGCCATGATGGCGCCATTGCACTCCAGCCTGGGCAACACAGCAAGACCCCTCAAAAAAAAATTAAAATAGGAAAATGAAGCTGGACTGCACCATCGCTCAGGGACTGTGGGGATGTAGGATTTTATCCTATTAAAAGTACTCATCTCATAAGAAAAAGTTTACCAGCTCCTCTTCCACCTACCGGTCCAGCACCTTCCCTGGGTGGAAGTCCCATCCACCCCGCCTAAGGGATGCCTTATGTGTCCAACCCAGCGTCCAACGCGCGCGCTCCGTTTACATAGCCACGCCCACCCTCCCGGCCCGCGGCGGGGCCTACCCACCCACGTGTTTCGAGCCGGCTCCGCCCCTCCACGCCCTCTCTGCGGCTTTCCACAGAAGCCAAAGACGGAAGACTGTAGAGATCTCATAAATAATGCATCACGTCAGCGGCTGTAGGGGCGGGGCTTTGACGCGCCTGGCTGGCTGAGTCAGGGTTATGTATAATACTATGGAGGCGGGGCCTGGAGGGGTGCGCGTGTTGAGGCGGAGTTCGTTCACGGAAGTGGCCACCCCTAGGGCCTGAAGAGGCGGGGCCATAAGTGCCTTATGAATATGCAACAACTTGGGGCGTTGACTGTGGGCCTTGTGGGGCCCTCATGGGGCGTGGCCAGGCGCGTCTCCTGAATAATGTAGTGCGCTGCCTGCCGGTGTGGCGGCGACTGTTGGTTTGGTCGGACTCGGGGGGCGTGGCCAGCCGCGTCTCATGAATAATGCAGCGCGTCAGCGGGCGGCGGGGCGGGGCGTGGCCGGCGTGGCGGCGCTGGAGCCGGGAAGGGGGCGCGGGGGAGAGATGGTCGCAAGATGGCGGCGCTGAAGGAGGATAGGAGCTACGGGCTGTCGTGCGGGCGGGTTAGCGACGGCAGCAAGGTGTCGGTGTTCCACGTGAAGCTCACCGACAGTGCCCTGAGGGCCTTCGAGAGCTACCGCGCCAGACAGGTGAGTGGCATGGCGCCCGGCGCGCCAGTGGGGAACGTCCGGACGCGGGCCGGCCTCGCGCTCCCCTCACTGAGGCGTCCGGGCTCGGAGACGCTAGGTCTGTGGTGCTGCTCGCGGGTCCCTGGGCCGGCGGGGCGCGGAGTGGGCGCCAGTCCGGCCTGGAGCGCTGAGAACCGCGTTCCTTCTCAGCACTAGGAGGCAATACAGGCGGGTGGCCCGGGGCTGCTGAGGGGCCCAGACTCGCGCGCCGGGCCCGGGGGGCGTCGGTGTCGGCACCTGGCGGCGTCCGGGGCCTTTCTGGCCTGCTGGGCACCTGGGCAGGGTCCAGTTTGCGCACCTGGCGGCGGGGCGAGGAGGCGGTGGGCCGCACGGTCCCGGCACCGTGATAGGGGGAAGCTGGGGGCTTTTCCATCTGGGGCCGGGGCAGCGCCGTTGGTGGGGGTGACTGTGTCTGTCCTCCTGGGAAGCAGCGATCGTCTGGGTGCCCGGCAGGGGGTGGTCAGCGAGGCACTTGTGGGGGTCTGTTCTGTCTGGGTGGAAGGCTTTGCAGCTGGGGGCTGGCTTTGACGCGTTCCGATGAAGCCACTCAGGTTGGGCCACTTTGGTTCTTGGGACGGGGAGTTTGGGCAGAAACTGACAGCTTGTCCCAGCTTTCTGCTCCCCTTACCCCCAGGTGACCCTCTCTCTCCGGAGAGAGGTTCCTTGGAGAGTGGAAGTGTTGGGGGCGGCTGTGATGTTATCCTCAGGGCACATGTAGGGGATCCCTGCCACCCAGGAGGAAGCTCTGGCTACCACATCTGGCCGCTGACTCTGGAACTTCTCAGAGGCCGATTTGGGCCCATCTGGGGGAAGTTTGAGGCGTTTCGGTTCTGCCACCTGGCTGGTGGTGGGGAGGGGAGGCTGCTGTGTATGTTCTCTTGGGCCTGACTTTGGGGCGCATCTGGGGCCGTGGTCAGAAACCTGCCTTTTTCATTTCTGTTTGTGTCATGGCCCCCCCTCCCCCCGTCTGTGCTGGGTCAGAAGTTGCAGATGACCAGTGGTCAGGTCCCGAGGGGAAGTGGTTTAGGAACCTTGTAACTCCTTTTCTGGAAATTGGGGGCTTCATTGCCCTAAAGGGAGTGGGGGTGGGTCTAGTCTCGGGCTCAGAGAGCCCTGCTCCCTGCGTGTGTGTGTGTTTGTGTATACTGTTGATGGTGGGGGTGGGGGGGTGCCGCGGGCGGGGGAGGAGGGAGACTAACTAGGAAGGAATGTGGCTTTCTTCCTGCCCCGAACTTGTTCAGCTCCATTAGCTAAGCCGAGAATTTCTTCCCCCTGTTTCGTTTCCACCACTCTCCCGGTGCCCACCCCTTCCGTGCTTCTTCCCATGTCTTTGGGCAATTTCCTCCCTGTCCCGGTGTCGCAGTTTTCCCCTTCATGGAATGAGGATTTCATTTTTTTTTGAAAGAGCAAGTTCGCACCTTGTCAAAAAGACTCCCCAAGATGAGGCTAAGGCGCCCCTGCAGGTGAGGAGGAGACAGTGGCAGCGACAGCAGCTGCTGGCCCATGACCAGCCAGAGCCTCTCTTCCTGGTAGAATTCTGGCCCTGGGTCTTTTTCCCTGAGCGATTCTGACTTGTCCTGCAGGAAGGCAGGCTTTCCTAGAAACAGCTGGGGGAGAGCTCGTGAGTCATATAACTACGATGGACTTGGTACCTGGTCACCACTGTCTTCTGTGCTTTAGGAACCAGGAGCTCCGCCTTCTCTCTGATGCTGCCCTCGCTTGCTTTTCAGTCCAGAAGGTCCGCCTGTGTGTCCACCTCATGCTGTCACACTGCTATTTTTACTTTAGGGTATTGGTTACATCCCCTCTCTAAGCTGGATCTTCCTCATGTTAGGGTGAAGGTAACTGTGGACTGTTAAACTCCTCTGGCTCGGAGCCCAGCTGTGTAGGGCAGTGTGTTGACCAGCCAGGAGGGGCTTCCTAGAAGAACTTTTCCAAGCCATCCAGAGCAACTTGGCTGGCTGGATTATATTTTGGGGTGATTCAAACTTGGATTTTTCTCAAAAAGCTGTCTGGTAATTTAAGTGGCTTGGCCACTTTCTTTCTTTCTTTCTTTCTTTTTTTTTTTTTTTTTTGAGATGGAGTTTCACTCTGCTGCCCAGGCTTCATTGAGGTGGCGCGATCCCGGCTCACTGCAGCTTCTGCCTCCCGGGTTCAAGCGATTCTCCTGCCTCAGCCTCCCGAGTAGCTGGGACTACAGGCACGTGCCACCACACCCGGCTAATTTTTGTATTTTTAGTAGAGACAGGGTTTTGCCATGTTGGCCAGGCTGGTCTTGAACTCCTGACCTCCAGTGATCCGTCCTTCTCAGCCTCTAAAAGTGCTGGGACTACAGGCATGAGCCACTGCTCCCAGCCAGCTTGGCTACTTTCGAATTTAATCTTGCCCATGGGGCAGTATAGTGGATGGACTTTTCTAAGGCACGGCAGCTCCGTGCTCTCTGTGGTTTTGGGTAGTGAGCTTGAGGAAGGTGGCTTGAAGAACTTGATTGTGTAACCAGAGAAATATACTGGTTATGGACAAACTCTCATGTGGACAACTCTATCACCCAGAAGCCAGAGTTTTGTATTCCTCGATGCTGTGGTTATATAGTTTGCCAATTGCAACTTGTGGAGAGGGCTTTTATTTTTAATTTCTTTTTTTTTTTTTTGAGACGGAGTCTTGCTCTGTTGTCCAGGCTGGAGTGCAGTGGTGCGATTTTTCGTGTTAGCCAGGATGGTTTCGATCTCCTGACTTTGTGATCTGCCCACCTCGGCCTCCCAAAGTGCTGGGATTACAGGCGTGACCAACCGTGCCCGGCCTATTTTTAGTTTTTAATTGTGAAGAGGCTTTTACAAATTCAGGTGTGGCAGGGGCTAGAAAGGAACTTGCTGTGGAACTTTCTCTGTGGCTCCCAGGAGCAGGTAATCCTAGCTCTGGGAACAGCCCAGGTAGAAGCCCTCCTGTTTTCTCTCCCCAGAGGGCTCTGGTGTTGACCTGGTAGCCAGCTGGAGCAGCGTGGTGGAAGGTAAAGGCGCAGCAGTACACATAGCTGCTGGCCTTCTCACTCTACCTTGGACTTTGTGCAGTTTTTCTTTCCTTTTTTTTTTTTGAGACAGGGTCTTGCCCTGTCGCCCAAGCTGGATTGCGCTGGCGTGATCTCAGCTCACTGCAACCTCCGCCTCCCGGGTTCAAGTGATTCTCCTGCCTCAGCCTACCAAGTAGCTGGGATTACAGGCACGCATCACCGTGCCTGGCTAATTTTTGTATTTTTGGTAGAGATGGGGTTTTACCATGTGGTCAGGATGGTCTCAAACTCCTGACCCCTCAAGTGATCCATCTGCCTCAGCCTCCCAAAGTGCTGGGATTATAAGCTTGAGTCGCCACGCTGGGCCCCCTTTTTTTTTTTTTTTGAGACAGGGTTTTGCTCCATTGTCCAGGCTGGAGTGCAATGGCATGATCATAGCTCACTGCAGCCTCGAACTACCACCCTCCTGCTTCAGTCTCCTGAGTAGCTGGGGCCACAGGTGTGCACCACTGCACCTGGCTAAGTTTTAAATTTTTTTGTAGAGACGGGGTCTCACTATGTTGCCAAGGCTGATTTCAAACGCCGGGGCTCAAGTGATTTCCCTGCCTCAGCCTCCCAAAGTGCTGTAATTACAAGAGTGAGCCATCGTGCCTGGCCTAGTTTTTGTTGTTGTTGTTGTTGTTTTTTGAGACAGAGTTTCACTCTTGTTGCTAGGCTGGAGTGTAATGGTGTTATCTTGGCTCACTGCAACCTCAGCCTCCCAAATAGCTGGGATTACAGGCATGCACCACCATGCCCTACAAATTTTGTACTTTTAGTGGAGACGGGGTTTTACCATGTTGGTCAGGCTGGTCTCGAACTCCTGACCTCAGGTGATCCTCCTCCCTTGGCCTCCCAAAGTGCTGGGATTATAGGAGTGAGCCTTCGTGCCTGGCCTAGTTTTTCTCTTTTCTTTTCTTCTTCTTCTCCTTCTTTTTTTTTTTTTTTTGAGACAAGGTCTTACTCTGTCACCCAGGCTGGAGTACAGTGGTGTGATCATAGCTCACTGCGGCCTTGAACTCCTGGGCTTAAGTGATCTTCCCACCTCAGCTGCCCAGAGTGCCGGGACTACAGGCATGAGCCATTGTGCCTGGCCCAGTTTTTTTCTTTTTCTTTTAATTAAAAAAAATTTTTTTTTGTAGAGATGGGGTTTCCCCATTTTGCCTAAGCTGGTCTTGAACTCCTGGGCTTAAGGGATCCTCCTGTGTCGGCCTCCCAAAGTGCTGGGCTTACAGGCATGAACTACGTGTCTGTTTTTCTTTGAATATAAAAACCTGCATGGGATGGCCGGGCGTGGTGGCTCACACCTGTAATCCCAGCACTTTGGGAGGCTGAGGTGGGAGGATCCCTTGAGGTCAGGAGTTTGAGACCAGCCTGGACAATATGGTGAAAACCTGTCTCTACTAAAAATACAAAAAAATTAGCCAGGCGTGGTGGTGCATGCCTGTAATCCCAGCTACTTGGGAGGCTGAGGCAGGAGAATCTGGGAGATGGAGGTTGCAGTGAACCGAGATCGCACCACTGCACTCCAGCCTGGGTAACAGAGGGAGACCCTGTGTCAAAAAACAAAACGAAACCTTCATGGGTTGTGAGGTGGCTGTTCTTGTGGATCTCCCGGTTTGCTCTGATGAGTGATTTCTGGGAGAGGGGAGAGTGGAAGCATGGACACACCCCCTCCTTCCAGGACAGTGTTACTCACCTGCTTGGAAAAGTAGCCTCTGGTCAGTCTGAGGAAGTGACCCTCCCAGGGGCACTTGGGTTGTAGTTCATCATTAGGTGTTTGCATGGGCTCTGTTGCTGAGTGACCTCTTTTGGATCACAAGCTCCTTGGTGGAGAGGAGCACACCGTTGTTCAGAAAAAAATGAGGGCCCAGGAAGTGCTTCAGGAGGCCTGGGGATTAGAGCCTCTCTCCATTTGAATCTCAGCTCCACCTGCCTCCTGAGGCCATGGGTGAGTGCCTGACCCCTCCCATCTCCGAATCCTTCTCAGAACTGGGGTCAGCAGTACTTGACCTGCTCCCTCAAGTTCCAGATCCTTCTCTCAGGGCTGTGAGGATCCTGGTGCCTGACCCTTTCTGAGTTCCAGATTCTCTTCCTCTTGGGAGGAGAATAACCTGACCCCTCTTGTGCTCTGAGCCCTTAGTGAATGGACCCAGAGCTGGCTCCTGGGGGGCTGGTCCCTGCCTGGAGGTTCGTACAGAGCCGGTGGGAGACTCCAGATCACTCATCTAACCTGGTATGATTGAGCCTCTGGTCAGTGCCCATGGCTCAGGGCGGGATACCCACCAGTGATTGAGATGGGCCCCTCATGTCACGAGCTGACATTCTAGTGGCAGGAGACAGAATTCATGAACAGGAAGGATGGCACAGAAATTAGCAAGAGTAACTCACCGGCGGTCAACGTTAATGATGGTGAGGGGTATAGGTGGGGCAGTCAGTGAGTGCTTCCAGCAGGTGACACGGAGCTGCAGTCTGCTGGGGGAAGGGTCCCAGGCATGGCCGGTGTGCTGTCGCAGGGAAGGGTGTGAAGGGAGTGGAGGTAGAGGGGTGCTGTGCCTCAGGCCTGTGGCCAGTACTCAGCTCTTCTGGGTGGCCCTGGAGCTGTGCTGGGGGCTACTGTCTGCTGCTAAGTGGGTGGGCTGTGTGGATGTCACCCTTGGCACCGGTGGCAGGAGGAGCCTTACTTCAGCCTGTGATCCATTCTCACAGCAGGGCCCCAGAGGCCCGACTTATCTTCCCTTCCCGGTGGGCACCCCCCTTGGTTCTGAGCAGGGCAGCTTCTTGCCAGCCCTGCCTGCTTTTCAGAGAAGGCCTTCTTTAGAGACCTAGTGCTAGTGCTGCCCCTGTTGGCCCTGGGCTAGACCCCCATCCCTTCCCATGGGTGCACATCATCTTGACCACTTGCCGGGAGAGGAAGTTTATGGTCCCCCTTCACGACAGGGACAGATGAGGCTCTGAGAGGCGGCATCACCTGTCCAAGGGTGCTCGGCTGTCCTCACTGGCCCATACTGCCTCTTGAGTGCTCAAGCCAAACTATCTTTTGAGGTTGCAGGGGTCTTGACCTGAAGGGGAGTCACACTGGGGTCCTGAGCCTCACTTAAATGCAACTTTCCGCGTCCCCAAGAGGCCCGAACCTTGGTGACGTGAGTGACTGAGCAGATTCCTCCGGTTGCTGGCTATGCTGGACCCCCTCCCCCAAGAAAGTGGAAAGGTGATGGGCACCTACACCTGTGGAGGGTGCCCCACCCCGCCAGTGCTGGCTGTGCCACCCACAGTACTGCATTTCATCCCATCTTCCCCGTGGTGGGAGCAGTTCCCATTTCTTAGGTGAGGATATGGGTGGAGACTCTGGAGGAGGCTGAATCACCAGGCAGGATCTCCCAGCTGGGAAGTAGCTGAGAACTCAGAATCCAAGTGTCATGGCCTGGGCTCTGCCACCTCTGAAGGACTGTGGCCGCTGGATGGGCTGGGGTGGAACAGGTGGGCTGCCAGGAGGCATCAGGAGTGGCCCACTGGTGCACCAGGGTATGGTTTGCCTGTGTGTTTCAAGGTGAGCATTTGGTGGTTCTGGGTGGATTCTCCCAGAAGGTGCTAGAAGAGGACAAGCCAGCTTGAGTCTGTGGGCCCGAGCTGGCAGTCTCTGCAGGAGGCAGGCAAGAGTGTGTGTGAGGGACTGAGCTCTGCACTCGGCATCGTGACCCTTGACTGTGCTTTCAGCTGGTTGCCGTGGCTGTGATTGTGTGTAAACAGCAGGCAGCGCTCACTCGGAAACCCACCCCTCTGTTGACTCACGGCCAAGGCCGTAGTTCATCACCTTTGAAGCAGTTTTGACATCACACCCGGATTGTGACATCCCGACTGGGAGACCTTGAGGGAGGAACCCGCCAGCCTGACAAACAGGATTGCCTCTCTGCTCCACGTAGCCCTGGGCTCGAAGCAGCTGCCCAGGGAAGAGACCCTAGTTTTCAGAGGTCTGCTTCTCAGGGGGCATCAGCCTTGTTTAAGGCACCTGGCAGGGCACAGACTTGTGATTGATACTGCACATTTTGGGTTTGGCCTCTTCTGTGTCCTTTGTTTTAGGGTCTTGCTCCCCGTTGTGCTTTCTGCCTTGATGAATTCAGTTGTTACACTTTCTCCTTGGTCTCTGAATCTCATGGACAGGGTTGTCTTCAATCTCACCTGTGTAGTCAGCCACAGAGTCCAAAGGGAAATGTAGAACAATGCATCCAAATGGCCTGTGACCTGCAGGTGCAGTGAATGACAGAGATGGCCATGACATGTGGTTATTTTGTCACTTTGCTTTTTTTTTTTTTTTTTTTTTTGAGATGGAGTCTCACTCTGTTGCCCAGGCTGGAGTGCAGTGGTGTGATCTCAGCTCACTGCAAACTCTGCCTCCCAGGTTCACGCCATTCTCCTGCCTCAGCCTTCTGAGTAGCTGGGACTACAGGCGCCCGTCACCACACCCGGCTAATTTTTTTGTATTTTTAGTAGAGATGGGGTTTCACCGTGTTAGCCAGGATGGTCTCGATCTCTTGACCTCGTGATCTGCTTGCCTTGGCCTCCCAAAGTGCTGGGATTAACAGGTGCGAGCCACCGTGCCCGGCTGTCACTTTGCTTTTTAATGAAAAAAGCTGGTGTCCAAATAAACCATCCGCAGGGAGACTATTCTCCCAGATAAAAGCGTCCTAGAGACCTCCCGCCTCCATCTGACCTGGCAGTGGGCCCCAGAGTCTGATGCTAATTATATCCTCCAGGGCTGGACCCTCCTGACCAAGTGGAGACACGGCTCCTGACTGAGGCAGCCAGGCCAGCAGATGTGTTTGTGAAGGGGTAGGGCTTCGAGTTCTGGTCAAGTTTGTGGAATAACTGAATTCCGATTTTTTTGTTTTGTTTTGTTTTGTTTTTGAGATGGAGTCTCGCTCTGTCGCCCAGTCTGGAGTGCAGTGGTGTGATCTTGGCTCACTGCAACCTCTGCCTCCCAGGTTCATGCCATTCTCCTGCCTCAGCCTCTTGCGTAGCTGGGACTACAGGCGCCCGCCACCACGCCCGGCTAATTTTTTGTGTTTTTAGTAGAGACAGGGTTTCACCGTGTTAGCCAGGATGGTCTCCATCTCCTGACCTTGTGATCCGCCCGCCTCAGCCTCCCAAAGTGCTGGGATTACAGGCGTGAGCCACTGGGCCCAGCCTGAACTCCTGTTTTAAAAGCATCCTGTGAAGTTTTTTTTTTCCTTTTTACTATATAAGCAGTATAACTCAGGGTAGAAAGCCTGCAATGTACCTAAAATTAGCAAGTCTGTTCTCATTGCCCCAGGTAATTTCTGTTGACACCTTTGCACCCTCCTCTGTCTCGCCTGGGTGTACCGTGTTGTCATAGTGGCACAATCATATGGTTTTGCGTCTCTTCTTCCCTGAACACTTTATGTTTTAATGCTGCACCTTCTGTGCATCGTGGAGCCTGACAGGTCAGTATTCTTCGGGCATTTTTGTGTTCTTGGCACTATGCTTGGTTCTGGGGATGTCCGGATGCTGCAGGCCTTGTGTGTGTACAGGCCAGTCCACTGTCCCGTAGTGAGGCTACATAGAGCGATGAGGTGAGGTGAGGCAGGTGACCCAGCACAGGCCACGGCCTGGCATGCCCATGTGTCTGTGAGTGGAGCCTGGAGTATGAGGCTGCGATTTTGAGGCCAGGGAAGGCAGCTCAGCCCCGCTTGGCTTGCTCCTCTTTGGACAAATTGAGCTGCTGGTGATGGAGGGCTGTGGTCAGTCCTTCTCACCGTTCTTCAGATGGGGAGACCGCAAGTATATACCCTACTGTTAACACCCCTGTCCTTCCCCCAGGCCCATCGGGGGCCTCAGCTCTTCATGAGATGCTGTTGTTGCGCCCCGTGTCCTTTTTATATGTTGGTGAAAATGTTTTCACAAAGAGGCGTCTCTCTTGAAGGATGCTGAGAACTGCATATTGGGGATCAGGTACATTGGTGGCGCTGCTCCCACTGACAATTTGGGGCTCCAGGCTGCTGGCACCCTCCCTGAGCCTCAACTTCCCAATTCAGGTGAAGGTGTTGTCCTAGAGGTGAGACAGGCTTGTTCTCCCTGGCTGTGCACGAGGTGTCAGCTGCTCTCCTCGTTGACCCAAAAAATGATCCCAGAAAGCAAAGCCTCCAAAATTTAAAATAGCTTCTCCTATAGCTCTGCTGTTAGGGTTTTATTGTTTTTTTTCTGAAATAGAGAACTGGCTTCCTAGTTTTGGCTCATTGCAACCTCTGCCTCCCAGGCTCAAGCAATCCTCCCACCTCAGCCTCCTAAATAGCTGGTACTACAGACACCCATCATCACGCCTGGTTGCTTTTTGTATGTTTTTGTAGAGATGGGGTTTCACCATGTTGCCCAGGGTGGTCTTGAACTTCTGAGCTGAAGCGACCTGCCCGCCTTGGCCTCCCAAAATGCCGGGATTACAGGCGTGAGTCACCGCACCTGGCCTGTTTCTTTATTTTTATTTCTTTATTTTTGAGACGGAGCTTTCTGCTCTGTTGCCCAGACTGGAGTGCAATCACGTGATCACAGCTCACTGCAGCCTCAACATCCTGGGCTCAAGCGATCCTCCCACCTCAGCCTCCCCAGTAGTTGGGACTACAGGCATATGCTATCACACTCAACTAATTTTTTTTCTTTTTTTTTTTTGAGACGGAGTCTTACTCTGTCGCCTAGACTGGAGTGCAGTGGCATGATCTTGGCTCACTGCAACCTCTGCCCCCTGGGTTCAAGCGATTCCCCTGCCTCAGCCTCCCCAGTAGCTGGGATTACAGGCATCTGCCACCATGCCCGGCTAATTTTTGTATTTTTAGTAGAGACGGGGTTTCACCATCTTGGCCAGGCTGGTTTTGAACTCCTGACCTCATGATCCATCCACCTCGGCCTCCCAGAGTGCTGGGATTACAGGCGTGAGTCACTGTGCCCGGCCCTTTTTTTTTTTTTAATTTGTAGAGGCAGGGTCTCACTGTGTTGCGCAGGCTGGTCTCGAACTCCTGGGCTCAAGCAGTCCTCCAACCTCAGCCTCCCAAAATGCTGGGATTACAAGCTTGAGCCACTGTGCCTGGCCAGCTTCCTGGTTTCTTTAGCAATTTTCCCACTGGAAAGCCCACAGCACTGTCAGAGGGAGCTGGGGCCCCCTGTACTTCCACCTTCTCCATCAGGCCCCCTCCGGTGGTATGGTGGGTGGTGGGCAGTGGGCAGGGAACCAGACTGATGTCCTGTGGTGTGGATGGACCACATCGTGCTCATCCATTCCTCTGTCCATGGGCATTTGGGTTGCTTCCACCTCTTGACTGTAGTGAACCATGCTACTGTGAACAGGGCATGTAAGTATCTGTTCAAACCCCTGCTTTCAGTTCTTTTGGATACATACCCAGAAGTAGACCTGTTGGATCGCCGAGGCTGGAGTGCAGTGACGTGATCTTGACTCACTGCAACCTCTGCCTCCCAGGTTGAAGCAATTCTCCTGCCTCAGCCTCCCAAGTAGCTGGGATTACAGGCGCCCACCACCACGCCAAGTTAATTTTTTTTTTTTTTGAGACGGAGTTTCGCTCTGTCACCCAGGCTGGAGTGCAGTGGTGCTATCTCAGCTCACTGCAAGCTCTACCTCCCGGGTTCATGCCATTCTCCTACCTCAGCCTCCCGAGTAGCTGGGACTACAGGCGCCCACCACCATGCCTGGCTAATTTTTTATATTTTTAGTAGAGATGGGGTTTCACCATGTTAACCAGGATGGTCTCGATCTCCTGACCTCATGATCTGCCCGCCTCAGCCTCCCAAAGTGCTGGGATTACAGGCATGAGCCACCGCACCCGGCCCATGCGTAGCTAATTTTTATATTTTTAGTAGAGACGGGGTTTCACCATGTTGGCCATGCTGGTCTTGAACTCCTGACCTCAGGTTATCTGTCCACCTCGGCCTCCCAAAGTGCTGGGATTAGAGGTGTGAGACACTGCTCCCGGCCTCATTTGGTCATTCTGTGTTTAATTTTTTGAGGATTTGCCAGATTGTTTTCCACAGCGGCTGCAGCATTTTACATTCCCACCAGCCGTGCACAAGGGTTGTGGTTTCGCCACGTCCTTGCCCGAACTGGTTATTTTTTGATGGTAGCCATCTTAATGGGTGTGGGGTGGTCTTGGAGCCATTTAAATGCCCTCATGTATGTGACTGTCCTGTGAGAGCTAGGACCTGCAGGGCCTCTGATGCCCCTGGATGGACCCAGGAGTCACCTGGTCACAGGTGACAGAGGAAGGTCTCGAGCAGGATCACCTGGGCTCAGGTGAGAGAAAGGGACAGGGAGAGCCCGGTGTGGCTCTGCAGTGAGGGAAGCTGGGGCTGAGTGGAGATGACAGTGGCTACGTGCCCTGCTTCTGCATAGCCAGTGTGCGGTTGCCCGGCCTGTGTTGGGATGCAGGTTTCTCTTTTTGTTTTGAGACCGAGTCTCACTCTGTCACCCAGGCTGGAGTGTGCAGTGGTGTGATTCTTGGCTCACTGCAACCTCCACCTCCCAGGTTCAAGCAATTCTCGTGCCTCAGCCTCCAAATTAGCTGGGATTACAGGCTTGCGCCACAATGCCCAGCTAAGTTTTTTGTGTTTTTAGTAGAGACGGGGTTTCACCATGCTGGCCAGGCTGGCCTCAAACTCCTGGCCTCAAGTGATCCACCCACCTTGGCCTCCCAAAGTGCTGGGATTACAGGCGTGAGCCATCGTGCCCAGCTGGGACATGGGTTTCTGTAAGCAGTGAGGGTTAGGAAGGGCCTTGGGTGAGGTTGGCCAGGGTGGTTGAGCCTCTCAGTGGCAGGACTTCTGAGCCCTGCAGGTACTGAGGCTTCAGGGCCCTTCTCAGGCAAAGAGCTCAGATGGGTGCAGAATCTCTATTTTTAGCCCTTTTTGGATTAAGCTTTTGTGGAAAATGAGGTCTCTTCCAGGTGAGAAGTGGCCTGGAGGTCCTGCAGGTCAGGGACAGCCCACTGGGGGGCACTGGCTGGGCGGGGGGGTCCAGCTGCTGCCCTTGGCCTAGCCCTGAGGCATTTGCTGAAGGTGGGTGGGAGGGAAGAGGAGGAGCAGAGTTTTCTTAGGATCCTGTGGGCAGGTGGAATCCACCTACTTCCAGGAGGAGCCCCAGGCCTCCAGTTGGGGAGGGGAGTGTGTGTGTGTGTGTGTGTGTGTGTGTGTGTGTGTGTGTGTGTGTGTGTGTGTGTGTGTATGTGCGCGCGCGCGCACGTGCATTGGCCTGTGTCTCCATCTGTGTTCACCCTGGAGACCTTAGGTTGGGCCCCTCTATCCAGGGTAGGCTGATTAGTGGGGGCCTGTGGGCCAAGGGGCCGGGTGGGGGCGGCCACCCCATCACATTGCCCTTCTTTCGGAAGGGTGACTCCCCACCAGGAACCCAAAGGGCTTGGGGTGGCCTTGTCTCCTCCCACAGGCCTGAGGAGGGTAAGCTGGGTTGGGAAGTTCCTTTTTCCTTTCTGAAAACAGTGACTTTTCGGGGTACAATGAGCTTCCTGCTGTGGATCTTGTAGCCCCTACACCTGGAGGGAGTGACCTTAGGGTCTCAGTGGGCACTGTGATAAGGATGCCTGCTGGATTGCATCAGGGCGCCTGGTTCACAGGACCTCCAACCTGGCTGCTGTGGGGAAGGGCCCTGGTGGGTGCCTCCTGCTCACGGCTACTCTGAAATATTATTCCCGAGATCTTGAGGGGAACCTGGGCTGCGTCCACCTCATGTTTGCTCCATTTCCCCATGGAATTAGTGGTAGAGGTGACTCACAGGGTCTCTTTTTGTGTCCTCAAGGAAACTGAGGCCTATAGGCTCTGCCCAGGGTCACTGCTATAGTTGCTTATCCCCACAACAAGGCTTGCTGCCTTGTTAGGACGCGGACAGAGTGGGCTGTAGTGTGATCTTTTTCAGCAGCAACCCTAGAGACTATAGCGTGTTGGTAAACTGTGGCCAAAGGGCTGGGTCTGGCCTGCCACCTGTCTTTGTAAATAAAGTTTTATAGGGACACAGCTGCCCACTTGCTTACCTGTAATTTATGGCTGCTCTTGCCCTGTGACGGCAGCCAAGGCTGCAACTGTCTAGCTCACAAAGCCTGAAATACCAACTCTTTGGCCCTTCATAAAAGAAGCTTGCTGGCCGCTGGTCTAGGGTGTCCAGCTGGGTGTGTGGCAGGAAGAGTTGGTGTGTTAATGGAACCACTGTCGTGGGGCCAGGCTCGGGCCTTGGGCTCCCAGGCCCCTGTGCAGTGCCAGGCAGCCCTGTGAAGCCTTGCTGTTGGCCAGGGCCAGTTGAGACTTTGGAGGGTCCTTTTGTTCTGGCCCCTTTATTTCACTAATGGGACATCTAGAAGATAATGGCTAACTTGAGATCACACAGTTAGTGCAGATGATGTCAAACCTTGAACCTGAGGGCATCCACTCTGGGACAGGCTACCCTCCTGGCTGCTGACTCTTGTATTGTATTTTATTTTATTCTATTTTTGTTTTTATTTTTTAGAGAGAGGGTCTTGCTGTGCTGTCCAGGCTGGAGTGGAGTGGTGTGATCATAGCTCACTGCAGTCTGTTAACTCCTGGCCTCAAGTGATCCTCCCGCCTTGGCCTCCCAAAGTGCTATAGGCGTGAGCCACCACACTCAGCTGTGACTCCTATTTTGATCTCATGCAAACTCAAAATGTTTCTCAGCCCGCATGGGAGTCCCTGGGTTTTCCGGGAGTTTTTCTCAGGGACTGCATCAATCCTGACATAGCCTCCAGTGGGAACCGGCCTCTTTATTTGTGACCTGTATGTGACCTTTGAAACAAAACACAGTCATGTGCAGCCTGGATGGGAAGGGCTGGCTTGTGTGTCCCTTGTGGAGTTGGGAGCAGCTGCCGCATGGAGTCAGCCTCAGCCTGCTGCATCCTCATCTCTGGGGATGGAGCTGGGGGTCAGGCGTCTGCCTCCAGATGGGTAGTGGGGCCCGCAGAACCTGTGTCTGATTCTAGTTGGGCTCTGAATGCAGTCTCTGAGCTGAGCCTCAGCTGCGTGGTTGTTCGGCGGGGCACAACCTACACAGTGCAATCTCCTACACAGAGGGATTGCACCCAGTGAGGGTTCGGCTGCCTCCAGGAGTGTTTCTCCAGTAAGAAGCAGGAGGGATGAAGCCCCTGCGCTCACATGGCCCACTTCTTCGCAGCGGGGAGGTGCACCATAAACCAGCAACAGCCAGATCATGGTGGCTTCAGACTGGCTTGGTGTGCAGTGGTGGTGGACATGGGCAGGCAGGCATCTCCCTCCACAGAAGCAAGCTCACCTTGGGCTGGGGAGACCTAGGAGACCCTTCCAGAACTTTCTTAGCTCGGGGCAAGTGCCGTGTGCAGATTAGATTCTTTGTTAGATACCAGTGGCTTGAAAGACTCAGAGGAGGACTTCCTGAGCAGTTCTCTGCCAAGGGGCTGTGGGTCTGTGGCCAGGCTCTGGCAGCAGACTTGGCCTGTTTTCACTCTTCTTATCTGGGGATGTTATCTCTCCCTTTTCAGAGTTGGGTGTGACCCTTGAACTGCCACAGGCCAGGCACAGACTGTGCAGGGAGGTATCTGAGGGCAGGGAGCGGGTGCAGCTAGAAGAGCGTGTTCCTTCCTCTCCTGGTGGCACTATTTTTGGAGTTGGATGCTCTCAGACGCCTGCTTGTTCCAGTGAAATGTGCTCAGCTCACACTGGATTTGGCAAGTGGGAGGGGACAGCCAGTGCTGGCAGCCTGTGTCCAGCTCATCTCCAGGCTGCCCTGGCTCTCTTACCTGTGCACAGGCTCCCACTGGTCGAGGGCCATGTGCCTGGAGCCACATGACCCCATAATGTAGGAATCGCTTCCATCTTGTAGGCCAGCTCCTTGTAGATAGGAAGTGGAGCCGTGTTGAGAAGGATTCTGAGGCGATGTCTGGCGTAGAGCGTAGGATCAATGAGACAGGGTCCCTGGCCCTCTGATCATAGCATCTCTGTGGGGAGAGTTCCCTCTAATCTCTGAGCTGAGGAGGGTAACGAACTCCTAGGTGTGCAAGGTGAGGTTCACATGCTGTTGAACGGAAGTCTGCTTTTGTTTTTTCAGACGAGGTCTTGCTCTGTCATCCAGGCTGGGGTGCAGTGGTGTGATCATAGCTCACTGCAGCCTTGGCTCCCGGGCTCAAGTGATCCTCCTACCTCAGCCTCCCAAATAGCTGGGACTACAAGTGCGTGGCACCACACCTGGCTAATTTTTTATTTATATGGAGACAGAGTCTCCCTGTGTTGCTCAGCCTGGTCTCAAACCCCTGACCTCAAACGAACTTCCTGCCTTGGCCTCCCAATGTGCTGGGCTTACAGGCGTGAGCCATGGCACCCAGCCGAGCAGAAGTCTGGGCTGATGCTGCACCCCAGAGGCACAGGAGCTTTGGATCCCTTTCCCCCTGGGGGAGAGGGTAACTTGCCACAGTCTGCTCTGAAGCAGCCCGGGTGTCCCTCCACTGTGGGAGGCGGCTTAGGAGCAGGCGCACCTTGAGGGTGGCCCAGGCAGGTCGCTGGAGGGTGCGGGAGACAGGGCCCAGGCCTGGGGCGGTGCCAGCAGGGCTGTCTCCATGTTGACTGTGGGGGGCTGGTTCCAAGCCAGGCTTCAGACCCAGCTGCTGCGTGTGGCATGGCCTGAGTGCCAGGGGCAGCAGCCTGGGCACACATGGGCACCCAGGGCTTGGAGGGAGGCTGGGTCAGTGGGCCTAGGTGCAGAGCTTCTGGGTGTCTAGACTGTTGTCCCAGGGATGGCTGAGGGCCAGCATGGGGGGCCCAGGCTGCCACCTTTGCCTCACTGGTATTGGCCACATGTGTGCTGGGTGGTCTGTGTAGTACAGAGCAGGACACAGGGTGGGGGTACCTGACTGTACAGTGGTGCCACCCTCTGGGCCTCAGTTTCTCCCTCTGCTGTGTGGGGTCATCCTGTGGGTGGGAGGTCAGGTCAGTGCCTGCAGCCCCTCCTGCAACTCACATTCACCTCTCCTTACTTTGCTTTCCTGTCCGTGGGGTGTTTTGGGGTTCAGGGAGCTGTGTCCCAGGACATCAGGGGAACACAAGCCGCATCCCGTGGCCCCCACTCCTCTCCCGTCCTCTTCTCCCCTCCCCTGTGTGTGCCTGGTGCCTTAGGTGGCTTGCAAGGCGCCAGTCACACACTGTTTCCTTTCCCGGCTTAGCCCTTTCCCATCACAGAAACCCCAGCTCTCTCCCAGGCTATCTCATAGTAAGGAGCCTGCGTTACTGAGGGCTGTTGAAGCACCAAAACCTAGGAAACTCTGGATGAGGTGAAGAGCATGTGTGTGTGTGGCACAGGTACTATGGCCCTGCCCAGTGCTCTGCACACCTGCCTTCCTGCCTGCCTGGGAAGTGGGATGAGTAATGGCAGTAGCTGGGGCTTATTGCCGGGTGCCCTTGCCCGTGGGAGGGTGTGACTGGCCACAGCATCCTTAGGATGAAGAATTGAGTAGAGAAGAATAGCAAAAGCTATCTTCAGTCCTAACAAGAGCCTAACTAGTTGGGATTGCATTTGCTGTTGGGTGAGCTGTGGCAGATGCAGAAGAAAGCACACCACAGAGGAGAGGGGAGGGGAGGAGAGGATGGGAGAGGAGTGGGGGCTACGGGACAGTGGCTTGTGTTCCCCTGATGTCCTGGTATGTCACTGCCCTCTGGCACACAGAAGTTGCCCATCGTTCTCAGTCGCCTGAGGTTTGGCCATGATGGCAGGAGGGTGAGATGTCCTGAACCTTGACCTGCTGCTCCCACAGCCCTGGCAGCCCAGAATAGTCAAAGCCTGGGTTGTCTCCACAAGGCAAGAGTTTTTTCCTCTGCTGGAGCTGTGGGCTGAGAGCCTCCTGTGCGCAGGCATCACACATCCCCAGGCCAGGTGGCTCCTCGGGTGCTCAGGGCTGTGGGGGCTTTGTGTCCCTCAGGCCCTGTCCACTGGACAGGTGGTGGCAGGGCTCCGTGGAGAGTGTCCCAGAGTAAATGGGTTCTGGTATATGCAGTGTTTCTCATGACAGCCCATGGGGTGTGTTGGTGGGGGGAGATATAGCTCATGTGCCAGTGTCACTCTCGGGCCTTGGCAGGGATGCAGCTGGGAGAGTTCTGTTTATTTAAAGTCGAGCCTCAGGTTTTCTGCTGTGACTTATTAACCCGTTGATCCACCCTGTGGGCGGTGCCAGGCTCTTCTGAGGCCTGACAGGTGGGCCTAACCTCTGCTGACCAATGACAGAGAGCATCACTGCTCTGATGACCGGACCCAGGCTGCAGGTTCTGGAGTCTGTAGCCACTTCCCCTTCCTCCCAGGCAGAGATGAACGTGACAGGGATGAGATGTACATGGCAATTTCAGATGGGAGTTGAAGAATGCTGAGCTCTGTAGAAAATGTAGGGGAAATTTAGCAAAGCAAGCCACGCGTCATGGATTTCAATCAGGATGTGACTTGAGATGTGGGTAATCCCGAGAGTCACAGATTGCTTTGGAAAAACAGAGCAGGAGTGGCCTCTGTGCGTCAGTGAGCACACCCTTAGGTAGATGGCTGACAGATGCCCTTTGCCCACCTCCCCTCCTCCTCAGCCTCACCCCTCCAGCCTCTCTGTGCCGTCCCTGGCCTGTTGGCACAAGTGGCTGAGGAGGCCAAAATGAAGTGATGCATGCTTAGCAGAGGTGCCAGCACAGTTGACCCCTGCATCCGCCGTGACAGCCCGCAGATCCTCTGCACGCTGCAGCCACCAGGCGAGGCCTCCCTGGATGCCGAGGAGTCAGTGCTTCAGTGAGCCCCTTGGATCAGGCGGGGGGATGTGAGTGAGCGGGTTGTCCACATGGATAGGAGTGGGGTCAGACCTAGCGTCTGGCCAGAGTGTGTGTCCTTAACCTTGGCCAGGCAGCAGCCAGGCCCCCACGTGTGACTCCAGTTAGCCAGGTGCATTCTGAACGGGAGTGATGAGTGACAGTCCCGTGGGCCCTCATCCAGCCTGCAGCAGGGAAGGCTCCCTGAGGAGGGAAGCTCGGCAGGACCCAAGGAAGGGTGGTGTTTCTGAGCCCTAGGCGGGTGCTTGGGAACAGCCCATTCTCCACTCCCGCTGGCTCCAGGTGGCCAGAGTAACAGGTCCCGTCCCTTCCCACCACTGCTCAGACATCTCCTCACAGCCCCTGAGTGCTCAGCAGCCGTGGCTCTGCACGTACCCTGAGCTCTGGGTGTCTGGGGCCACATCAGCTCACTTGGTGAACTGTTACTAGATGAACATGTGGTGGGGCCGGGTGAGGAGGAACGTGTGTCCTGCAATAGCCTGTTCTGTCTGTTCCATCACCTCCAAGAGCCCACATCCTGCCTGGGATTCCCAGTACGGGCAGCTCAGTTCCTCAGAGCCTGGCCAGACGTGCCCCCCACTTGCTGGGGCTCCCTCGCTCCTATGGGTCTGCTTCACTCCCTTGCTGTTCTCCAGCTTTGCCAGTTGCCTTTTCCAGAAATAAGACAGAAAAACTCTGTCACCTTCTTTTCATCCCACTTATCACCCCAGGGTGGGGGTGCTCCCTCCCAGATGCCATAAAGATACCCGCGGCCCTGACTGCTGGGCGGGCGGTGCCACTGGACACTCTCCAGACCACGGATGCTTACAGGGATGTCCCTGCGCTGGGTGCCAGCCTGGCACAGTGCGAGTTCCCTTTTCTTTTTAAGCCAGGTTCCTGTTTTACCACATTAAACCAGCTGTAAAGTGCCACTTTATAAAATAAGCAAGTGATAGGGAGCCACTCTGGCAGGGCCCAGGGAGCCGAGCAGTGCCTCCCAGCCCTGTGCCTGTGTGTGGTGGGTGTGCAGCCACTGGAAGTGCCGAGCTGCCTGCCTGGAGCGCTGGCCTGCCCTGTTAATAACCGAAGCTCTGCTGGGCATTGGCACACCCGGCCAGGTGGCCCCGTGGTTTCCCAAGACAGGGGCTTTTGGATTCCGCATTGATGGCCCAAAACTCCTTCCCTAAGTTGTCTCAGAAGCAAAAACAGGAAGGTCATTGGGTTTCTTTGCAGAACACTAACCCATGCTGCCACCCCGTGTTCCCACTCCTCCTCCTGGCATCTGCAACATGACAAGTGGCAGGTGTCTGGTGTCCGTTGTCATTGGGCCCTCTCTCTCATTTAAACACCGTCTCTTCCTCCTCGGCTTCTTCAGTTGTCATCTCTCAGAGATGGGATTTTGGGAAGTCCCATGTGTGGATTACTGGGACTTTTGTGGTTGGGGATATTTGATCTTTTAGTTATAAACGTCTGCTCCTGATGCGGCTGGTTGCAGGATTTCCCTGGTGGTGGGGGTGCCCGCTGGCAGAATTGACTAAGGTGAGCTCACTGCTGGGTTCTGGCAGCCCTGCCCACTGCGAGGCACAGTCACCACAGGCCTGGCCCTCACCTGGGACACCTCCCTCCCCTCCTGGCCTGCCCACAACTCAGAAGACGTAGTTGGTGCTCTCCACGGATGATGGCTCCAGGGAGCCTTTGTGTACCCACAGCTGTTCCATGGTCCACCCTAGGGTGGTCATGTGTCTCCCTTGCTGTCCTGGAATCCTTCATTCACCTCTGGGTGCTGGACTGGGGGTGTGCGTCCTCAATGGGCTATCTGGCTGTGGTGGTAGGAGCCTCCCGGGTGCTCCTGCCCCGTGGAGCTGTGGGGCACCAGGCAGCTTAGCGTAGAGCACCAGAGCACCTCCCACTTGCTGTAAGCTCCTTGTCCCCATGCCAGGTGCTGCTCATGCCTCTGTGGGACGCACTCCAGCAGCCTCTGGGGGTGACGCCTGGTTCCTGATCGTGTGTCTTCTGACCCCAAACCACCCTCATGAGGCCCCAGGACCTGCCCGCCAGGCCCCAGTGTTTCTTCCTCTTCCTCTTGACTGTGTTCAGGGCCTTCTTTTGGAAAGGGCTGTCCTGGTCACTGGTGCCCATGCTGCCTCCCCTCCTTCCTGCCCACCCGCAGACACGTAGCTGGAGGTTGAGGATGTGGGGGAGATGCTCCCCAAGGATGGACCATTTGTGGGAGAGTCCGAATTTGCCTGGATTGGTGGTTTCAAGTTTCTTTTGCTTTTATGTGATGCCATCACCTCTTGGGCCCCCAGGTGTGTCAGATGGACCAGTGGGAAGTGCCTGGGATTGGGCAGATCCTGTCCTAGTGAATCCTGGCTGTCCTCGTGTGCACTCGTGAGTAGCCGGCCCCTGGCTTGGCCCCCGTCTCATCCGCCTGGCTCTGAGCTGGCTGTGCCGTGGACCAGTGTCTTGCTCCCTTCTGCCAGTGGCCCCTCACTCCAAGGCCCCGGCTGGCCTGGAAGAGCTGCCTTGAAGTGTGAGGCACGTTGGAGGGTCCGCCTCATTGTTGAGGCGTGGGCCCCTCCTCGCCAACAGTGGGCCCATCCCAGGCCCTTTCCCACGTTCTCTCGCTCAGCAGGGTTTTTGATTCCTCTTAATTTGGTGTTGGTGCTGGGCACACACAGTATTGCTCTCATCCGGGTCTGCTTGGTGGCTTCTCATGTGTTTTGCCCACTTGCGTTACTCTCTGTGGTCCATGGCTGTGCTCACCACTGTTTCCCATTGGGTGGTTTGGCGTGGAGTGGGGTTCACTGTGTCACAGGTTGTCTACGTGGCCCCTGGAGGTGTGCTGCTTGCTGCCCACAGGCATAGCTGGCGAGAACAGTGTCGTGGCCCGCTCGTTCTTCTCCTGGGTGTGCGCCCACATGCTTGGGATGGGACGGCATTGCCTCTCCTGCTGTGAGTTTTGGCCCAAGTTCGGTGGTTGGAGGTTGGCCTGCTTCCCTGCAGGTTCTGCTCTGTGGAGTCACAGAGTCAACTCTGTGGAGTTGAATTTGGCGAGCAGCCGCCATGTGTTCACTTTCCTGAGTGTGATCTGTGTGCAAATTGGCTGGTATTTTTTGAAGCACTCAAACTGTATTAGGCTGTTTTTGAGAGTCTTGGGTATGCTTCAGTGTACCTCAGTGACGTATTAAAAAGCTAAAGCAGTGTTTTTGAGTTGAAAAATAGTGAGCTTTGTATGGCCCCTGACAGTTCCCAGAGCTATTTTGCACAATGGTATGTTCCAGCCCAAGACCACCCTCTGCCATGCTGCCCGGGGCCTGGCACAGGGAGAGCTCGCCAAGAGGTTGCAGGGCACCAGTGTTATGCCGACCTTCCCAGGGGACCAGTCGACCTCTCCATCGGCCCCAACACACAGCTGCTTCCTTGAGGGAACCTCCCAGTTCCCGTCTCTCCTTTTGTGAGAATGGACTCTCTGGGAACAAAGCTGTGCCAGGTCCTGCCTGGAGAAAACTGGATTCTGTGTGTAAGATTTCAAATGTCACAAGCAGCCAGTTGATGGAGCGGCTGTGAAGGTGGTAGGAGAAGTGGACCTCTTGAAGGGCACTTGGTACAGCCCAGTGGGGTTCATTTACAAACCCACGATATGCACAGGAAGCCTCATGGTCACACCTGTCTCAGGAGTGAGGAAGGCGGGAACAGGAACGTGGCTGGTGGTCTCACTTTTTTTTTTTTTTTTTTTGAGACGGAGTCTTGCTCTGTCACCCAGGCTGGAGTGCAATGGCACGATCTCAGCTCACTGCAACCTCCGCCTCCCAGGTTCAAGCAATTCTCCTGCCTCAGCCCCCTGAGTAGCTGGGGTTACAGGCACCCGCCACCATGCCCAGATAATTTTTGTATTTTTAGTAGAGATGGCATTTTGCCATGTTGGCCAGGCTGGTCTCAAACTCCTGGCCTCAAGTGATCTGCTCGCCTCGGCTTCCCAAAGTGTTGGGATTACAGGCGTGAGCCACCACACCTGGCCTCGTGTTTTGCTTAAGCACTTAATGGGTTTGCTCTCACCTTGCTAAATATTATTTGGGGTCATTGATGCAGTTTTGAGAAAGGTCACTGAGCATGTTCTGTGGTCAGATGGCTCCCTCGGCCCCGCTCTTCCTCCATTTGTGGGGCCTGTCCCATCAGCCATCCCTGGTGGGTTCTCCTAGAGACCCAGAGAGCCCCCCAGTGTCCTTTCTCCCAGCCCTTGTCCCCTGTGCCCCTCTGTTCCTCTGTCTCGGGAGCAGATGCCGTGAGGTGGTGTGGCTGTGGCTACTCATGCCCTGACTGTGGCCCCTGAAAGGGAGGATGGGGTTATTCCCATTTTACAGATGAGAAAACTGATGAGTTCAGATGTCAAGTCCATCATTCACAGCCACACGGTGGGCTGAGGGACCATCTCCCCAACCCTGGGAAGTCTACAGGGGCCCGAGACCTTGCCCCCTTCCTCGTGGCAGGATTTGTATTTGTGTTTTGTTTTGTTTTAAAGAATGTTGCTTTATTTCCAGCATTTAGAAGCTTACAGGCAGATGCTGGAGGTCACGGGTATGTTAGGGTCCAGTTTGTGCTGTTAATATGTTGTTTCAGCAGCCTTGCAAGTTAGATCATCACCCTGTGTGACAAAGCCCAGAGAGGTTAAGTGTCTTACTGAGGTCACACAGCTTTTAAATGGCAGATCATAAGTTGGAAGTGAATCTTCTGATCTCAGTTCTTGGGCCCCAAGATAGAAGTTTTGCTTTCACTTCCCAGCAGCTGCTGGTGGCCCTTGTGTCATTCCTGTTGAGCCCTCCCATCCCTGCTGGGATGAGTGAAGTGTGCTGCTGGGATCTCCAGCTAGGAGAGGTCGTTGACACTGCCTCAAGAGCTGCCTCAGCTTTAAGGCTGAGGCCAGGCTTCCCTCCTGGCATCCTGGGCTTGAGAATGAGTGGCCTAGGGTGGCGTGCAGGAGGGAGCCAGCCTTTAGCTTTGTCCCTAGTGCACACATTTGTGTGGGTTTTTGTTGTTGTTGTTGTTTTTTGGAGAAGGAGTCTCGCTCTGTTGCCCAGGCTGGAGTGCAGTGGTGTGATCTCGACTCACTGCAACCTCTGCCTCCTGGTTTCAAGCGATTCTCCTGCCTCAGCCTCCCAAGTAACTGGGACTATAGGCGCCTGCCACCACACCTGGCTAATTTTTGTATTTTTAGTAGAGACAGGGTTTCACCATGTTGTCCAGGCTGGTCTCGAACTCCTGAGCTCAAGCGATCCTCCCGCCTTGGCTTCCCAAGTGCCACAGGCATGAGCCACCACACCCAGCTTTCTGTGTTCTTAACCCAGCCTGTCTACCCATCCGGGGGCAGCAATGTCCTGAGAGGCCAGCCCAGCTGCTGGTCATTGGGGAGGGTCTCACAGGGTCCCTGAAGCTAAACCGGACCTTCTGTCCTGGTCGTGACACTGCCGATTCTGTTTTCCCAGAATCATAGAAATCCAGGAGTTTGGATGGTACTGTGCAGTCTCACACCGTTGAGTGCAGCTGCCTGGCATCAGAAAGACAGTTTTGTTTTCCCTTCCTAACTGAATAGACCTCCTGGTTGTCTTCTAGCTGAGGCGACTGCCCTAGGGTCCCGTCAGGTCCTGCTACTATGAAGCCCTTCTCGAAATCTAATTTTAGGTCAGAAATAGTTTTAGTGATCCGGGTTGGCTCTGGCCAATACTGAGCAAAGTTGAGTGGAAGGTAGAGTTCCTATATACTTCTCCCCGCCTCCCCGCACCTGCAGCCTCCCCCATTCTCAGTGTCCCATCCACCCCACAGAGTGGCACATTTGTTTCCAATGGATGAGCCTGCACTGACATTTTTTTTTTTTTGAGACCAAGTTTCGCTCTTGTTGCCCAGGATGGAGTGCAATGGTGCAATCTCGGCTCATCCAACCTCCACCTCCTGGGTTCAAGTGATTCTCCTGCCTCAGCATCCCTAGTGGCTGGGATTACAGGCATGAGCCACCACACCCGGCTAATTTTGTATTTTTAGTAGAGACAGGGTTTCTCCAAGTTGGTCAGGCTGGTCTCGAACTCCCGACCTCAGGCGATCTGCTCTCCTCAGCCTCCCAAAGTGCTGGAATTACAGGCATGAGCCATCACATCTGGCTGACATCTTTTTTTTTTTTTTTTTTTTTTTTTGAGATGAGATCTCACTCTTTTGCCTAGGCTGGAGTCAGTAGCATAACCATAGCTCACTGCAGCCTTGATCTCCTAGGCTTAGGTGATCCTCCCACCCCAGCCTCCCGGGTAGCTGGGACCACAGGTGTATGCCACCATGCCCAGCTAATTTAAAAAAAATTTTTTTAGACAGTCTTGCTGTGTTGCTCAGGCTGGTCTGAAACTCTGGGCTCAAGTGATCTTCCCACCCAGGCCTCCTAAAGTGCTGGGATTACAGGTGTGAGCCACCACACCCAGCCTGACGTCTTTATCATCTGGAGCCCTGAGTTTCCACTGGGACACACTCTTGGTGCTGTACATTCTGTGGGTTTAGACAAATGTATAATGACATGTCCACCATGGTAGTGCCACACAGTCATGTCACTGCCCCAAAAATCCTCCAAGCTCTACCTACTCATCCCCTTCCTCCCCTCTGCCCGCTGGCATCCACCGATGCTCTTACTGTCTCCATAGTTTTGTTTTTCTCCAGCGTGTTCTGTAGTTGGAACTGTGCAGTGTGCAGCCTTTCTAGACTGGCTGATTTAGTCGTATGCTTTTAAGGCCCCTTCATGTCTTTGCATGGTTTCCTAGCTCATTTCTTGTTATATCCTGTTGTCTGGATGTGACATGGTTTATTTATCCATTCATCTACTGAAGGACATCTTGTTTGCTTCTGAGTTTAGGCAATGACAAATAAAGCTGCTGTAATTAGTATTTTTCATGTGGACGCACGTTTCCAGTGCCTCTGGGCAAATACCAAGGCGTGCAATTATTGCATTGGATGGTGAGAGTATGTTAGTTTAGTTTTTCAGGAATCTGTTGAGGCCGCACCATTTTGCATGTCCACCGGCAGTGAATGAGGTTCCTGTTGCCCCATGTCCTCACCAGCACTTGGTGCTGTCTGTTCTGAGTTTTGGGCATTCTAATAAGCATGTGGTGGTATCTCATTGTCATTTCAGACTAGACTTTTCCTTCTGGATTTTTTATATTATTGAAGTGATGTTTGCCCATAGTGGAAGACTTGGTATGACGGGCCACAGCCACAGGTTCCTGTGCTACCCGCCTGGCCTTGGCAAGGACCTCCCCCAGTCCGCACCACCTGAGTGGACAGCAGCAGCCTGGAGCTGGCCCCACCTGCTGGCAGGGGACACTGGGGAAGGGCCTGTGCCTGGACTTGTGCCAAACCCCAACCCTACTCCACGCCTCCAACCCATGATCTCTGTAGCTCCTGCCAAACTATATGTTTCTAATAAGGTAAAAAAAAAAAAAAGTTGTTACCTGCACTTGACCTGGTTTTATTTATTCTCGAGCCCAGGAAGACAGGCTCTGTTACCACAGGAAGTAGAGGAAGCACTCTGGGTGCAGTGTGAGGCTGAGTCTGGTCAGGTCTCTGTCTCCTGAGTCATCCCTCAGGGAGATTTTGAGCTCTTTCCTCACCCAGTGTCTCTGCACAGCAGCCCTTGAGCTCTTCCTGCATGCAGGGGAGTTTTCTGGATGAGGCAGTGGCCCGGCCACCTCTTGGGGCTCACGGGTGGCTCTTTTCACAACCACGCCCACACACTCAGGCATGGCCGTCACAGCTCTGGTATCAAGTTCTAATGTTTGGCCCAGTAGTACTGAAAGGTGCTTTTGTGGGGCGCAGCCATGGCCTCACCTGAGCCTCAGTTTCCCCATCCATAAGGAGGGAGTAACCCCATCTGTCCGGGAGGTTGTGGGGACCGAGTGGAGTGTCGGTGGCACTGTGCCTGCATCTCCACGCCCTCTGCAGTCCCCATATAAACCTCCCACATCACCTCCAAACGCCCACTGTGTGGAGCAGGTAGGGTAGGGGCTCACGGAGGCTAGCCCCTTTCAGGCCCATGTGGCGGGAGCCTGCTCCTCAGCCCTCCACCCTAAGCCTCATAGTCCAAGGTAAGATCAGAAGAGGCCTCAGTGGGCCTGCCCTGGCTGGCGCTGTCCATGTCCAAGTCTCCCCTACAGCCCAGGTCTTGGTCAGTATTGGGAAGCTGAGGCGCGTGGGACCTGCCTGCCTCCCCATCCCTCCACTGCAGTGCATACTGCCCCAGAGTGGCCACTCGTACAGGGGGCAGGGGGACTGGCTTCTGCTCACTCAGCCAGGGCTTGTGGCTCCTCCTCTTCTCCTCAGTGGGGCAGCCACTGCCGCCTGTCACTCTGCCTACCAGCCCTGTCTCCGCAGGCTCTCGGCCCTCCTCCTTCAGCTGCAGTGGGAGCTGGGCACCCTCATGCGGGGCGCTGCTTCCAAGAAGCCTTTAGGGTCCTCCTGACGCCTGAAGCAAGGAAGTTGCAAGCTGTGCTACTCAGGGCAGCTGGGTGGGTGTTGTGCCCTCCCTGATGGGGATGCGAGTGAGTGGGTGGGAATGGTGGGGCCCACCAACTCCTGCTTGGGCTTTTTGCTGCTGTTGCCAGTTCCTCTCCACACCCCAGCAGCCCAGGGTGCTGGTGATGTGCACGTGGGGCCAGGCCCTCCCCCAGATGCTCCCGAGCCTTGTCATGCCAGACACTGACCCTCCCCACTCCTCCACAGACCACCCCACAAGGCCTGCAGTCTCCTGGGGTCAGCTCGCCTCCTGCACTTCTGCTCTCGGCTCTCGGCTCAGTGGTCCCTAACCCTTGGCAGTTAGAACAGCCCTGCCAGGGGTCCCTGTGTCACTCTAGTTTTTGTCTACTCCAACATTTGTGCCCAGGGGCTCTGAATGGGCAGGGCCACATCTGTCTCCTTGGCTGATGAGTTCCCAGGGCCTAACATGTTATAGCCCACACCTTGATTGAGTTAGCGCCAGCCATATGCCCTGGACTTCTGCCTTGCTGTCTTTTTCAACTCTCAAATCCTGGGCACATGGTGGTTCTGAGATCACATCTGCCTAGAGGTACAGGGTAGAGTTGTCCAGATGCCACCCGGCTAGGGAAGTGGAGGAAGGTGAGGCTCCAGCTCAGGTACGGGTGGGGCCTCCCAAGCTCTGAAGGCAGAGACAGGAAGATGCCCCACCTGGTCAGAGCCCAGAAGGCTGGACAGTGGGGTCTGTCATCAGCACAGGTGGGGAGGGGGAGGGGAGGGCAGAGAGTGGGAATCAGAAATTAACTTCTGGCCTGGTGCGGTGGCTCATATGCCTGCAATCCCAGCACTTTGGGAGGCCAAGGTGGGCGGATCACTTGAGGTCAGA
Organism: Homo sapiens; assembly: GCF_000001405.40. Taxonomy (NCBI): domain Eukaryota; kingdom Metazoa; phylum Chordata; class Mammalia; order Primates; family Hominidae; genus Homo; species Homo sapiens. The sequence goes on along the minus strand of NC_000019.10, from coordinate 18,494,615 downwards.
TTATCGAGACCAGCCTGGCCAACACGGCAAAACCCTGTCTCTACTAAAAGTACAAAAATTAGTCAGGTGTGGTGGCAGGCATCCGTAATCCCAGCTACTTGGGAGGCTGTGACAGAATTGCTTGAACCTGGGAGGAGGAGGCTGCAGTGAGCAGAGATCGCGCCACTGCATTCCCATCTGGGTGACAGAGCAAGACTCCGTCTCAAAAAAAAAAACAAAAAAACAAAAAAGAAACTAACTTTCTTCCTTTCCTTCCTACGTGGGCTGGGAGCTGATGCTGTCATGGCTGGCACCGTCTACATCCAAATCTCTCCTTTTTCTCTCTCTCTCTTTGACCCTCCCCTTCCCTTCCCCTCCCCTTCCCCTCCCCTCTTTTTAAAATTTTTTTCGTGGCAGGGTCTTGCTCTGTTGCCTAGGCTGGAGTGGAGTAGCTTGATCACAGCTCACTATAACCTTGAACTCCTGGGCTCAAACGATCCTCCTACCTCAGTCTCCAAACAGAAACTTTTTTTTGTGGCGATTCACTCTGGGCAGTGGAGAGGAGGAGTGAGGTTGGAATAAGGGAGAAAGACCTGGAGATATCTTGGGGGCCTCTGGTCTGTGTGGACCTGCCTGTCCTTGGATGGATTTCTGGTACTGATTGTTGTTTCTGTCTACCTGCTTGGGACAAGAGGCCATGAACTCACTTTACTGTGCCCTCGTAGGTTAGATCACCTTTCAATTGTCTTCAGGATTGTCCCCACTGGTGGACATCTGTGTGTGCAGACAAGAGAGCAAAGAGCTATGAGGAGTGGTCAGTGACCCAGCAGGCCTTTCCCGGGCCATGAGAAAGGGATGGGGTTGCTGGTGGGCCTGTAGGCCACTTTCTTCCCTAGCCCCTGTTAGGGAGCTGGGCACTTCTGGGGCAGGGCCTGAGGCAGGGCCAACTGAGCCTTGGGAGTCCAGGTGGAGACAGCTGGACACACGCCTCCCTTCCAGGCGTCTGTGGAGTGTGGGGCCGTCTGGCTGCAGTCGTTCTGCGTGCCTTGCCTGTCGGGTTGCCGGTATGGGTCAGAGGTTGAGAGTACACCATGTTCATGTCACTCTCTCCTCCCAAGTGCGGCAGCTCACTCCCAGTTCAGGGTCTCTGTTTTCCACCCAAGTTGGAGCACCAGGCCCTGCATTTGGGGAGCCAGCCCTCCCTGCCCTGGCCAGCAGTGACAGCACAGCCCTGGCTTCAGAGGGGCCAGATGCATTGTTATGCTGCCCAGGGCCCAGGGCAAGCCCCTCAGGGCCGCAGCACAGAGCCCATCTTTTCTGGAAGGTGTGGGCACAGCTTCCCCCTGGCCTGGTGGGCCACTGTGGTGACAGCGGCCCTTCTTTTCACCAGGGTTTCTGAATTGCCCTGATGGGATCCCCAGCCCCATTCCTTTATTATCTCAGACAAATCCCTGGACTTGTAGAAGTGGCTTGTCTCCATGGGATAAGCTCCATCTTTCCTTCTCGGTCACCCTTGTGGTCTGGTCTCGGAGGGGAAGATGAAGGCAGCCTGCTCTTCCCTCTGCTTGTCACTGTTGGCTTTAGAAGCCACCTGGGGATTAGGAGCAGCAGGTGACAAGGTCATGGTTTTTCATTTGGAGAGTGGGAAGCAAATGAAATGGCTTTTCATTTGGAGGGGAGGAATCATGAGAGGAGTGGGGGAATGAACTTGTCCTAGCTTTTCCTGGTGTCATCGCAGCCTGGCCAGTGGGACTTCACGGCCCCATTTTTCCAGAAGAGAAAACTGAGGCTCAGAGAGGCTCACTCATCCACCCAAGGCCATGCCGCTTAGAGGGCAGTGGAGCTGGGCCTGGGCCTGGCTGCTGGACTCCAGCCCTGCTTTCTGACTTGAGCTGCCCTCTGCCAGCTTCAGCTTCTGTCACCTCCCCTCCTTGGTAGTTGAGAGGTCTGGGGATGCCTTTGGCAGAGAGGAGGAGAGGGCACACTTGTGTGTCAGGAGAGTTATCAGTCGCTCAAAAGAAATATGTGACCCAGTAACAGATTGACTCTTTTAACACATTAATAATGAGATTGAGTAGCGAGTCTCACTGCCATAATTAGTGGTGAGCTGAAGTGGCATTTCCAGATAGCAGCACAGCCATCGTTGGATGCACTAACAGCACGTCAGAGGCACAGATAGTGCTGATACCACTGTAGCTTATTGCTTATGTTTCAAATGGAAGGAAATGCTACGTTTTAGTTTATGAAAAACAGATATGTTCCTTCATCCCACTCAAATTCAAGGACACCCCTAGGCTGAGCCATGCAGGAATGGCCGTCCTTGCACATAGGGCAGTGGGGAGCTGTCCCGTGCAGGAGACCTCTGTAAGCAGCGTCACCATGACGGATGAGGAAGCTTCCAGGTCACCGAATGTGGCCTCCTCACAGAGGTAGGTAACCCCATGGTGTGGCCAGAACAGGCCGGGTGGAGCCTGGATCCTCTCCTAGTGTCATGGTCTCAGTGGGGGCTCAGAGGAGGTTGGGGAAGAGCCAGGAGCCAGTACAAAAAGCCAGCCTGGGACAATCTGAACATGAAGACTTTAAGGGCAGTGTCGTGCTCCAGGCCATTTGCAAAAGGTAGCCTGTGAGTCTGTATTGGTCAGGGCTCTCAAAACAGAATCTAAAGGGAGTGTGTGTATATGTATATTTAGAGAGAAGAGAGGTAGGTAGGTAAATATAAAGTCATCTTTATTTTATTTATTTTTTAGACTGGGTCTCACACTTTCACCCAGGCTGTACTGCAATCTCAACCTCCCAGGCTCAAGCAATCCTCCTGCCTCAGTCTCCTGCATAGCTGGGACCACAGGTGTGTGCCATCACACCCAGCTAATCTTTTGTTTTTTTTTGTAGAGACAGGGTCTCACTATGTTGCCCAGGCTGGTCTCCAACTCCTGGGCTCAAACGATCCTCCTGCTTTGGCTTCCCAAAGTGCTGGGATTATAGGCATGAGCCCCTGTGCCTGGTCCATCTTTATTTTAATGAATCGGCTTAAGCATTTATGGGGTTGGGGGGACAAGGTCAAAATCTGCAGGGCAGGACGGCAGGCTGGAGACCTAGGTTACAGTGGATGTTGCAGCTCAAGCCTAGAGTCCTTCTGCCAGAGGCCCTCCAGGCCTTCGACTGATTGGACGAGGCCCACCCATACGTTGGAGGGTGATCTGCTTTACTCAAAGTCTACTGATTTTGGCCTGGCAGAGTGACTCACACCTGTAATCCCAGCATTTTATGGGGCTGAGGCAAAAGGATTGCTAAAGCCCAGGAGTTCAAGACCAGCCTGGGCAACACAGTAAGACTCCATCTCTACTAAAAAAAAAAAAAAAAAAAAAAAAAAAAAAAAAAAAAAAAAAATTAGCCAGGTGTGGTGGTGAGCACCTGTAGTCCCAGCTACTTGGGAGGCTGAGGTGGGAGGATTGCTTGAGCCAGGGAGGTCAAGGCTGCAGCGAGCTGTGATCACACCACTGCACTCCAGACTGGGCGACAGAGCAAGACCCTGTCTCAAAGGAAAAAACAAAACAGTCTACTGATTTAAATGTTAATCTCATCTGAAAAATACCTTCATGGCAACATCTAGACTGTTGTTTGGCCAAACAGCTGGATACTGTAGCCTAACCACATTGATGTGTGATGCTAGCCATCCTGCTGCTGGTGGTGAGCATGTGTGAGAATGTCACCTGCTGCCGGTGGTGAGCATGTGTGAGACCGGGGAGAGAGGGGGCTCCTCCCCAGGCCAGTGGAGATAGAACCAGGGTTTTATGGCCACCATAGCCAAACTGCAGATGGCAGGCACTACACCTGGGGCTGCGGGTGTGCAGTGGGTACCTGCTGGGAGATTTGAGGGGAGGAGGGTTGTGGCACGGGGCAGCGCTGTCTGGGCCGTCAGAGCTCACGGCTGATGAGGGTGGGATGCCTTCCGAGGGCCGTGGTCACTGTGTGGCTCTTGGCCGGGAAGATACCATGCATTTGGTCTCAGGAGACACCAAGCAGACCCAAAATCCAGCACACTCTGATGAAGAAAGTGAGGAGGGGTCTATGTTACCCAAAAACATTGAATGTTGAAGAATGGCCAAGAAACTTGCAGATTAGAGGCAGCTGATGAGGGCAGCTGAGTGCAGTGTGCCACTGCCCATGGGCTCCCGCTGCGGGGAGGACAATGTGAGGTCACCACCAAGTCAGGCAATGACCTGGGAGACAGACGGTGGCTTGAAGTGTCATATTAATAATAAATGTGAAGCTGGTCCCTGCTGTGTCGGCCCAGAAGAGTATTTTTACTCTCAGGAAACATGCTGCGTTTAGGGGCACAGTGTGGCAAAGTCTCCAGCCGGCCCTCAAATGGTTCAAGAAGCAAGTGTGTTGCTACATCTAAGTATGTGGATAATAGGCGTGGGTGGGGGGGAGGGGCAGGTGGCAGAAACGTCACAGAATATGGCTGTTCTTTGTACTGTTCTTGCAGGTTTTTTGTAAGTTGAGATTGTTTTAGATTGCGTCCAGGAGAGAAGGCGACAGCAGGGTTCTCTGCTCTCAGACGCAGCTGGCGTGTAAGCAAGGCTGTGTCTCACCTGGCCTGGCTGGCCCCGCGTGCAGGTGGCTGGAGGCTTGAGGGACCAGCACGGGCTCCACAGCGTGGTCAGGGCCAGCTCCATATCTCTGCTCAGTGCGCGTCTGGGCCCTTATTCTGTTGTCCTAGTGCTAGGCCATCAGCCCCAGGGGTCAGCAGAAACAGGAGGGACTGCTCCTCCTGGAACTCCCCTTTAGGTGGGAAGAGACCAACCTCGCACCCCAATCAGTGAGATGCTCACAGCCAGAGGCCGGGGCCCCAGTGAGCCCTCACAGTTGGAAAGCCTCTCTGATGACGCCTTGGGGGAGGTGTTGGCCAGGTGGATCCCAGGAGGATCTAGACTGCAGTAGGCACAGGGGTCACACAGCACTGAGTGTGAGTACCATGAAGGGGCCAGCGTGGGCTGCTGGGGGCTGCAGGGCTAAGCCTGCCGGCCTTATCAGGCAGCTGGGGTGTGCAGGGAGTGATCCAATAGATACTTGGGTAAGATTCCCCTCTGAGGAAACTAGAGAAGGTGCCAGAGCTGGCTGGGAGAGGCTCAGGTCTTGGATGGCAGCAGCCAAGAACCTGGGGCTCTTGACGTCCCAGCAGGAGTGAGTGGTGGTTGGGGGAACCAGGGGCTAACATGAGGGGGATGGGAGCACCCGGGGCGGCCAGCCCGAGGTCTGCCCAGGCCTGCATGACTTTCTCTAAATCTGTCCGCGGTCAAGTGGTTGTCTGACCTGGCTGAACTTCAGCATTCTCTTGAAACTTCTGGAATTGTGCTAGCGTTCCTGGGAGGACGCCCCCTCGCTCACACCTGCACCATGTTCTGACCTAGATCCACAGCACACTTGGCAGAGCTCCTGCTGTCTCCTGCTTTCTGGTGTGTGTCAGCTGCTAGGCAAATACCCAATCCATGTCACCTTGAGCCGAAATTGGGCGCTTTTATTTGAAGGCAGGTGACAAAACGTTCTGTAAAAAGAGCAGCTGAGATTTCAGACTCCAGCTCCCTCCGGCTGTCAGGCAAGGCTCCTCCACACCCCCTGCAGGTGGGATGACGGAAGTCGGTCTGCAGATGCAGGGACCCGCGCCTGCACAGCTTCAGTTCAGGACTCTGGTCAGCCGGTCCAGGACGCATGACCTGCGCCTGTGAAGAGTCAGTTTGTCAGTTTGGAAGGAGAAAAGACACATTCTGACATAGCAGGGTGCCATTGCCTCGTCATTTTGGGAGAGTCCTGTGTTTCAGCTCAAGCCCTGCCACTTACTGAGCTGGTGGCCTTAAGCAAGGCACCTGGCTTCCCTGAGCCTCAGTCTCCTCCTTTGCTTAAAGTTGGCCCCCAAGATGCGCAGCCCTGTCCATAGAAGGTCCCTGTGATCAGGCTTTCCTTTGCTTGAAGTTGGCCCTCAAGATGCACAGCCCGGTCCATAGAAGGTCCCTGCGATCAGACTTTTGAGGGTGTGTGGGCGCTGAGCACCTGGCAGAGCATGTTCTGTTCTAGCCCCCGCCCCGTGGATGCTGGGAGCATGCAGCCCCTCCCTAGAGCCCTGGATCCTGAGCCCCAGGGCCTCCTGGGTACTCTGAGGTTTGGGGACTTGCCCTGGGCCAGCCCTGGCCAGCACATGCCCTGCTGGTCACAGGCTGCCTCTGCAGCTCCTATCCAGCTTGGCAGTGCCACGTGCTTCCTGCTGTGTGGTCTCCTTTTGGCTCTGTGGGAGCTGTGCTCTGGGTTCTATGCTGCTGGTGGGGAGGAGTCCAGTTTGGTGACATTTCTTGTCAGGCCGTTTGCTCTGAAGGACGGGCATCTTTCTGGGAAGAAGTCAGTTGGCGGATCTTGGTGTACGCTTACCCACGACCTAACCCAATAACAGGGCCGATCCTTTTGTGAGATAAGACCCAGGTGGAGAGGCGGGCTGGGACCTACCTCTCTCCCTGCTCACCTGCCGGGTGCCTTCAGGCATGTTTCTCAGGATGGGCCCACCAGGTGAGGATGTCCACACCATACCACACTGCTGAGGTTATTACTGGGCAGAGACCACGGTGGACACTTGCCAGCCTGGTTGTGGCCAGAGTGAGGTGGGGCCGGCAGGCACAGGGCTCCTGTCAGGGTAGGTTGGAGTCTGGTGGCTGGGACCACAGCTGGATGGGGCAGAGCAGGCCCTGCCAGCCAGGTTCTGAGCACAGCTCCTGAGTGTTCGGATTCTGAAAGTACAGATTGTACCGGGAAGGCTCTACTTTGTTTTTCTGGGTAATAGAAGATCCCGTTGTTCCGAAGGTAAGCACCTGGGCCTGTTAGAAGCCATGTGCTCAACTTTCAGGAGGATGAGGATCTGAAGGGACTGATTCATTCTCTCCAGAGGAACAACTTGGTGCTGTTGGTGATGAACCTGAGCATCAGGCAGCTGCACGGGTCCTCGTCCCAGAGATGTTCCTCAGTGGAAGATGCAGGCAGTGCTTATCTGGCCTGGGGCCTCCCTGAGGGGCTAGTGCAGCCTGGCCGTGGCCACATCAGGTTCTGTCTCTAAAGTTAAAAGTGGGCTGGTTTCATGCAGCTGCCTCTGTCAGACCCAGCAAGGTGGAGGATTTTCCTGAGACAGCACATTCAGGGATCTGTGCGCATCCTAAGCACTCAAGGTGGTTTATGGCCATGCTGAGGGCAACTGTCCCCCAAACCCAGCTGCTCCTCAAGCACGAAGGAAGACTGGGGCCTGGCTCTCGTGGCACCTCCTTGATGCCCACCTCAGGACACATATGTAACGCTTGCTCTGTCCTCACTGGGCCTGCCCATTTGAGGGGTGACCCTACTCTCTGGGGTGGTTGGATTGTCCAGATGTTCCCAGAAGCCTCTGGAGCCCTCAATGGGTTTTTATGGGGAATGCCAGCCCATATGGGCAATGGCTCAGAAGCAGTTACTCCTTTCTCAGGGGGTCTCCTGGTGGGGGGTAGCGGGGTCTGAGCAGCAGGGTCTACACGCACAGGGCCTTCTTTGTGTTCCTGAGTGATTAGGATTTACCCACTGCGTGGTGGTGGAAGCATCGGAGGTGTCAGCATGGCATGTAGCTGACGGTGGAGGCCAGCATCTTGGAAGGCTTTGGTTGGCTGCAGAGGCGCATGTGGGTGAGGTGGCAGGCAGGACCCGATGCCAACCTTTGTGGCTGGCAAGGTCACATCCCTGAGGTCCAGATGTGGCAGCTCCCAGGTTGCAGGTTCAAACTGGGAAGGGGACCTAAGAGCACCCTTGCAGTGAGTACTGGCTGGGGACCACGGGTCATGCCTTGAAGGGTGCCAGATTCTCTTGGCATCCTCTTATTTTTCTGTGATCTTTGCCTATCTTCTGGGACAGGGGTTTGGGTGCTTTGCAGAGGTTGCAGTGAGCAGACAATGAGATGAGGCGGTAAGAGCCGAGTCCGGTGCGGAGCTGTGAATCATCCAGGCGGCTGACGTGACACAGGGGCCCCGTGAAAGGGCGTGGTTTCTGCTTCAGAGACAGGCTCCCTTCTCAGAACCGCCTGGGTCTCTGAGGGCCTCAGGGGCAGCCTTGGTGAGTGTGGCCGACCACCGGAGGAGGAAGGACGGTCCTCCTGGGTCCTGAGTGTGTGCCTTGGTAGCTTGGCAAGCTGCCATCTCCTTCTGACCTGGGTCACATCCACAGTGGACACTCCCAGGACCGCACCCCCACTCTGGGTCACAGAGTACATCTTGGGTGGGTCTGTTGTACATAGACTGTTAGAAACGGGGCAGAGTGGCCTGAGGACGAGGTGCTCAGCAGCCTCTCTCTTCCTGCCCCTGTTGAGCCAGTGCCTGACACTGACCGCCCTTGGGGCCCTGAGCTAAGCTTCACACAGAAGCCCCTCCCCAGATTCCTTCCCAGGTTGCAGGGCTCCCACCCGAGGTGGAGCCCCCTCTGCAGGGCAGCCTGGGGGTGTTTGTGCTGTGGGGCTTGTTGCTTCCTGCCAAGGTCAGCAGGGGGTGGCTGTGCTCTCAGGGAGAAACAGTGGCTGAGGGGCTTCGTGATGCATCCAGGAGAGTGCCTTAACTGTTTTCATCCCCGTAGCTTGCTTTCTTTTTTTTTTTTTTGAGACAGAGTCTCGCTCTGTCGCCCAGGCTGGAGTGCAGTGGTGTGATCTTGGCTCACTGCCACCTCTGCCTCCTGGGTTCAAGCAATTCTCCTGCCTCAGCCTCCCAAATAGCTGGGACTATAGGCGTGTGCTACCACGCCCGGCTAATTTTTTGTATTTTTAGTAGAGATGGGGTTTCACCGTGTTAACCAGGATGGTCTCAATCTCCTGACCTCGTGATCCGCTCGTCTTGGCTCTCAAAGTGCTGGGATTACAGGTGTGAGCCACCGCGCCCGGCCCATCCCCGTAGCTTTCCCAGTGACTGTGAATGTGGCACGAATTTGGGCAAGGGATACCCTCTGCCTCCAACCACCAGGCCTCATGGGGCACCCTGGGCTGGGCCTGAATCTCGCCTCTAAGATGAGCCTTAGAGTTGGGGGCCAGACCTGGTCTCCCTGGTCTCCCTGGTCTCCCTGGCCCTGGGAGGAGATGGGCTCCCATAGTGGAGTGTTAGCTGTTTTCAGGGGAGAGGTGGAGGCAGCTGGAAAGCTTGGGTGCACTGGGGCTCGGCAGAAGGGGCCAGTCTGCTCTGTGGTGAGGCTGAGGACGGGTGGCCTTGGGAGTGTGGCAGAGAGGAGGCGCTCTAATAGCAGTTGAGCTTGGAAGGCCCAAAAGTGAGGTGGCCCTACAGACTGACAGGTCGAAGGCACACACATGGCCTTGTCTGCAGGGGAGTTGAGATGGAGGCCTGGAGGGGCCTCCTGGGGAGAGGAGAGCCCATGGGCCGCTTCTGCTGGGCTCCAAATAGTCCCATGGAGGTGAATGGGGTTTGGGACCTCCTAGCTGCCTGAGCAGGAAGCACAGTGGCAAGGCAGAGCTGCATTCTCAGGGACCCAACCCCCACAGAGGCCTGGCCTGGGCTCTGATGAGGGGATGGCCCATGTCAGGCCCTAGAGCGTTCTCATTCACCTCAGAAACGTCAGGAACCCAGGGCTAGGAGAGGCCCATGCTGTGCCCTGGAGGACCCCAGTGACCTAGGTCAGTCCCTTAGCTTCTTCCATTGTCAGATGTGATCAGATCATGGTCACTGTTGTCTGGGGGAAAGCAGTTGTTATCTGGCACCGCAGACCATGGGCAGAAGGCAGGTTTGGTGAGAGGGCAGTTTCTCGAAGGCCTTCCGTTCAAAATTCCTAGGTCCAGTACCTGTTGTTGGTGAGTTTTAGTGAATGATTAAAAAGAAAAACAAAACCCCACCAAACTCTTGCACTCCTCTTGAGGAGCACAGGTGGAGGCAAAAGAGCATTGGTTGTGAAGCCTCATGTGCTTCCTTGCCGGTTTTGTTATGTTTTGTTTTGTTTTGTTCTAAAGACAGTATCTCTCTCTGTCACCCCTGCCGGAGTGCAGTGGTGGAACCATGGCTCACTGCAGCCTCGATCGCCTGTGCTTAGGTGATCCTTCTGCCTCAGCACCTGAGTAGCTGGGACTGCAGGTGCGCATTACCACACCTGGCTAATTTTTAAATTTTTTATTTTTCTTTCTTGAGACTGAGTCTCACTCTGTTGCCCAGGCTGGAGTGCAGTGGTATGATCTTGGCTCACTGCAACCTCCCCCTCCCAGGTTCAAGCGATTTTCTTGCCTCAGCCTCCCGGGTAGCTGGAATTTCAGGCACCTGCCACCACGCCTGGCCAAAGTTTGTGTTTTTAGTAGAGATGGGGGTTTCACCACGTTGGCCAGGCTGGTCTCGAACTCTTGACTTCAAGTGATCCACCCACCTCGGCTTCCCAAAGTGCTGGGATTACAGGCGTGAGCCACCACAGCGTCTGGCTGCCAAACGGGATTCTGTGCCCATCACACTGGCACTTGCAGATTTGCTCTGTTTCAGACACTGCAGAGTGCGCTAGAGGGGACAGAGGGGCCTGACACTGTGGCCCAGGTGCCCATGGAGTGTACTTGTGCAGCAGGTGCCCACATACGACAGCGTCTTTCCCTGTTTGAAGAAAGGCAGATGCAAAAGGTGGAATAATAAGGGGGAAAGGCAAAGTTAAGGTGTTGGCAGGAGGGCTTGTGCCAGGCATGGGTTGCATGGCTCTGAGATGCACTGTCCTGGAAGCAGGCCTGGGCCATGCCTGGAGATTGACCCATGGAGGTGCAGGCAGGGTGGGCAGGGCAGGCAGGGTGCTTGTCCCTCCCTTGGAGGGAGACTTCTGTCTGTCTGATGAAGCAGGGCTCAGGGACATAGAAGCACTGTAACTTGAAGAATTGTGTAGTAAATGTTTGTCATATCCTGCTACCCTGGGATCATGTGAGGTTGGATAAGTTGTGAAATCTTCATGGGGACCCCAGGGCTCAGTTTTCCTGTGAGGTTGGGATGAGGTCTGCTGTGACCTCGGGCAGCCCTGTCCTCTCTCAGTACCTCATTTTCCTCAGTTGTAACAACCGGAACCCGATCCCATGCAGTTTAGGATGAGAGTGGGTTAGTGATGGAGGCTGGCCGTCTGTGGTACCACGAGTCCTTGCGTGTGATTTGGCTGTGATTTCTACGGACAGGGAGTCCAAGCAGCTCCCCCACCCCCAGCTATGACGCAGGAATGGACAGACATCTGAGGGGCTTCCCATGAGACACAGGCCACTTTCTGCTCACCTGCTGAGCGCCTTCTGGAAGAAGGACCTGGATAGTGTCCAAAAACCCTGCACTGCAACTGCCAGGTGGGCGGTGGCATCCGGGGAATATCCAGGGAGCATCTGTGGTCATGACCCAGGGTGCATGCAGACAAAGGAATCTGAGAGACCCTTCACTGGGGGCTGTGGCAGCCACGGGTGTAGGCAGGAGTTACCCAGAGCTGCTAGTTTGGGAGGGGAGAGGGGAGTTGGTAAAGAATGGCAGTTTGGAGGATTTTCCTAAAATAGAGCTATTTAAAAAAAAGATGGGAGTGTGATGGCTCACGCTTATAATCCCAGCACTTTGAGAAGTTGAGGTGAGAGGATCGCTTGAGCCCAGGAGTTTGAGACCAGCCTGGGCAACACAGGGAGACCCCCACCTCTACAAAAGAGTTAAAAAAACAACGTAGCTGGGCATGGTGGCACAGCTGCTTGGGGATAAGGTGGGAGGATTCTTGAGCCCAGGAGACTGTGGCTGCAGTGAGCTGTGATAGTGCCACTGCCCACTGCCTGGGCAACAGAGTGAGGCCCTGTCTCAAAACAACAGCAGCAACAACAACAACAACAACAACAACAACAACAAAAACCAAAAAGATGGGAGGAACTAAGACACAAAATCAAGACCCACCCATAAAAGAAAAAAATTGAAAAATTCCACTCCATCAAAATTAAGAACTTCTGTATTTTGAGAGATACTGTTAAGAGAATGGAAAGGCAGTCCAGGCGCAGTGGCTCACGCCTGTAATCCCAGCATTTTGGGAGGCCGAAATCACTTGAGGTCAGGAGTTTGAGATCAGCCTGGCCAACATGGTGAAAACCCGTCTCGACTAAAAATACAAAAAAATAAGCTGGGTGTGGTAGTACGCACCTGTAGTCCCAGCTACTTGGGAGGCAGAGGCAGAGGCAGAGGCAGAGGCAGGAGAATTGCTTCAACCCAGGAGGCGGAGGTTGCAGTGAGCTGAGATCACACCACTGCACTTCAGCCTAGGTGACAGGGCGAGACCCTGTTTAAAAAAAAAAAAAAAAAAAAAAAAAAAAGGAATGAAAAGACAAGCCATGGACTAGGAGTAAAATGTAAAATTTATCTGATAAAGCTCTTGTATATAAAAAAAAAAACCTCAAAACTTAGTAAGAAAATGACCCAATTTTTAAAAATGGGATAAAGATTTGTACAGCTTCACCACTGAAGCTAGAAGAATGGCACATTAGCCTGTAAAAAGATGCTCAACATGCTTAATCAGCAGGGAAACCCAAACATGAACCTCCACGAGCTGTCACTGCACCACACACCTACCAGAATGGCTGACATTTTAAATAAGCTGACAGCACTAAATGTTGACGTGGATGGGGAGCAACAGGAACTCTCATTCGCTGCCGGCGGCAGTACAAAATGGTACAGCAACTTTGGGAGCCAGCCTGGCAGTTTCATATTAAATTAAATGTACACCTACTCTGTAACCCAGCAGTCGGGCTCCTGGGTGTTCACCAAGTGAAATGAAAACACGTCCACAGAAAAACCTGTCCATGAGTATTTATAGCTGCTTGATTCATTAATTCTCCAGACTGGAAACAACCTGTGTCCTTCATCCAGCAAATGGATGCACGGGAAGGTGGCGTATTTATACTGCGGGGCAACACACAGGATGGATCTCAAAGGCGTCATGCTGAGTAGGTGGTTGGCTGAATCATGGCCACAGCAGATTCCAGGAACCTGTGAGTGTAACCTTCTGTGGAAAAAGGGACTTTGCAGATGAGATTAGGTTAAGGATCTTGAGATGGGGAGGTTACCCTGCATTATCTGGGTGGTCCCTGTTTGTCATCACAAGTGTCCTCGTAAGAGAGGGACAGATTTAATGTAGACAGAAGAGGACTTGAAGGCTGCATGACCCCAGTGGGCAGAGATTAGGGTGATGCAGCCACAAGCCAGGGAGTGCCTGAGCCTGCAGCAGGTGAAGAGGCCAGGAAAGGTCCTCCCCTAGAGCCCCCAAAAGGAGGGAGCCTGCTAACACTTGGATTTCAGACTTCTGGCCCCCAGTCCGTGAGAGAACCAGTTTCCATTGTTTTAAGCCACAAGTTTATGCTCAGTTGTTGCAAGGACCACGGGAAACTCATCTTATGTGATTCCATTGATAAGACTTTCTGGAAAGGCAAAACCATAGGGACAAAAAAACAGATCCAGGATTGCTGAGGGTGCGGGGAGGGTCAGTCTCCAAGTGGGGATGCAGGAAATTGGGCAGAAAGGAAGGTGGCCTGCTCAGCGTGCTGTCCTGGGAAAAGCAAGCAAGGTGCGTGGAGCGTGTAGAGGCCACAGTTTTGGGCAATCTGCATATTTTTGTCTACAAGATTTCTGAAAAACCCTTTTCCATAAGCTTTCTATGCACCTTCGTGAATGCAGATAGAAATATCTGCTGCGGGCTGGGTGCGGTGGCTCACACCTGTAATCCTGGCACTTTGGGAGGCTGAGTCTGTCGAGTTGCTTGAACCTAGGAGTTCAAGTCCAGCCTGGGCAACATGGCAAAACCCTATCTCTACAGAAAATAGAAAAATTAGCCAGGTGTGTTGGTGTGTGCCTGTGGTCCCAGCTACTCGGGAGCTGAGGCAGGAGGATCACCTGAGCCTAGAAGGTCGAAGCTGCAGTGAGCCGTGTTCACACCACCGCACTCCAGCCTGGGTGACAGAGTGAGAGCTTATCTCCAAAAAGAAAGAAAGAAAAAAAATACTTGCTATGCCGGCCACTGAATTACACTTGGCTTGTAGCCAGTTGGAGTCCCTTTCCTGCTCTTACAGGCCCACCTGGCCTGCTGAACACACCATCTGTCCTCCCAGGCTGGCAGAGGAGCTGCCGTGGGTCCTGCCCTCTGCTCTGCCCTGACCGTGGCCACCTGGTTCCCTAGGCTGGAACCAGTGAGGTCCACAATGTGTCTGTCCAAGTTCCCTAGCTCGTCCCTGAGCCAACCAAGCTCACTGGGCAGATCTTCCTTTGTTTTGTAGTTCACGGAGACAGCCCCACTCAGTCACTGTCTAAACTCTCCGTGGCCTCAATGTCCTGCTCCAGTCCTGCCAGGAAGTCTCAAGGAGGATTCCTGAATAGCGTTTCCCAATCATTTGTGCTTTACTGGAAAGGGGGGGCCTGTTGTGGGGAGGCCACCGTCCAGGGCTCTTCCCGGGACTTCACCTTCCCTCTGCTGGACCACACGCCGTGGCTTGGCAGGGTGACCCAGCTCTGTAAGATCAGGACGTGTGTGCTGACACTGGTGCTTGGGAGAGTCAGCAAGATGGACTTCTGAAGAAGGAACAGATGCATTCCTTTCTGTCATTTCCTGCATCAGGGGTGGGGTGGCAGGCCTTGCCCAGTAGACAGCAGGGAGAACGTGCTGCCTGGGGAGAGTGGGCACTTCTGCTGAGTGGGTGCTTCTGGAGGGTGGTGGGAAGGATCATGTGTCTTTGGGGCAGCCTTGGCACCTGCTGCCTTGGGCCTCATTGTCCCCAGGCTGGTAGCAGGTATCCTGGGACCTGGCCAGATTGGGCCCCGTCCATCTGTCTGTGTGTCTCATCTCTTCACTGTGCCCTCTCCCTAGTTTCTGTCTTTGCTGGAGAGTTTTTAAAACAATCCTAGATTTTTTTTTTTTTTTTTTTTTGAGATGGAGTCTCACTCTGTCGTGCAGGCTGGAGTGCAGTGGCTTGATCTCAGCTCACTGCAACCTCCGCCTACCGGGTTCAAGCAGTTCTCCTGCCTCAGGCTCCCGAGTAGCTAGGATTATAGGCGTATGCCACCATGCCTGGCTAATTTTTGTATTTTTAGTAGAGATGGAGTTTCACCATGTTGGTCAGGCTGGTCTTGAACTCCTGACCTCAAGCAGTCCACCTGCCTCAGCCTCCCAAAATGCTGGGATTACAGGTGTGAGGTACCATGCCTGGCCAACAATCAGATACGTTCTTCTTCACCCGTAACTTTTCCATTTATATTTTATATTTGTTGAAGGGAGCAGGTCTTTTTTCCCATAGATTTTTCTGCTTTCTGCTCTGATGGTCGCTTCCCGTGGCAGGGTCAGCCCAGGGCTTCTCAGCCCCTGCACTGCTTGACATTTGGGGCAGGAGGTTCTGTGTTGCCTGCAGTGTGCTGAGCAGCATCCCTGGCCTCCCCCGAGCCAGATGGTGGGGACTGTCCCCGCCCTCAGTGGTGAGGACCAGAAATGGCTCCAGACATTGCCTCGTGCCCTGGGGAAGATTCACCCACCACACTTCCTGTAAACTGGTCACTCGGCCTGGAGGTGGATTTCGTAAGCCACTTCCTGTTGCTTCATCCCCGGAAGTGCTCTTTGCCGGAGGGGAGAGGATCAGGGGATTCTGGCCCTGGAGAGGTTCCTCCTCACCCTTTCCTCTGTCTCAGCATTGAGGACTCTCACTGCCTCCCAGGCTCTGCACCCTCGACCCTTTTCCCAAAGGCATTGCTGTCTTTACAGGAGTGTCCTCATTGAGGGGGAGCTGCCTACAGGAGTCTCCCAGTCTGTGTTCAGTAGCCCCAGTGGGCGCCCAGGCCAAGTGACCGCAGGGCGCAGGCATCACTGCCCTGCTGTGTTGAGGTCTGTTCTCCGAGTCAGGGTCTGAAGTCCAGTTGGGTCTGGGGAGCACCAGCCTCGGCACAGCTCAGTGCCTGCCTGTCCGGCCTTGAAGACCCAGCTGACCTGCTGACTGTGTCAGGCCAGCTGTGGCGGCCCTACCAGGCTCCCCAGCTCCCACCTGGGGCCCTGGCCTGAAGTACAGCAGCGGGGGTGACTTTGTATCTCAGGAGCTCCCAGTTCCATACCTCATGCTGGGTAATGAAAGTTGGATTTTTGCCACTCGAGGGCCTGAGAGGACTTGTGGGGGTGATGACCCCTCAGAGGGTCTACAGAGACTGGGCAGGCGGTGGCCTGAGGCATGGCTCTCCCCTGCTGGGTGTTCTTGGGTGTGAGATGGGCAGTACCCTGCAGGTGTCATGTGCTACTGAGTTACCCCGTTATTTAATTAATGCAGCCTGAGGCCAACCCCAAAGCTTCTAAGGCAGCAGGGAAATCACCTGTGCTACAGTCTGTTCCTGACCCTCTGTCCTGCTTCATAGATGAGGTAACGAGGCGCTTGGCCCCCCTGACAAGGGTTCGGCCATGACACCACGCATGTTGGCTCTGGAGGGAGCAGCCAGAAGAGGGTGTGGTGGGCCACATGCTGTCAGGCGTCCCCACCAGGCCAGGCTGGTGAGCACAGAGGGTGACAGCTGGTCCCACCGTGAAGGGACCTAGCTGGCTCTGCCTGTCTGCAGCCGACACTCACCTCCTGGGCCCTTGATTGGCTTGTCAGGGCACTGCACCCCAGCTGCTTTCTGTGTTTTTTCTCATCCCCCCCACCCAGTCCTTGTGTTCTCATCACCATCTATTTAGCACCCCACATTCAAAACCCCAGCCTCACTACCGTAATTTATGCCTTGAATGATCTTTTGCAGAAACATCATAAGAAAAAAGCCTTTTCTATTCATGCATGCTCACTGTGCCCGCGTCATCCTCTGCAAATCCATAGGTCCATTTAGGGTCACTCTCCCTCCTTCTGAAGAACTTCTAGAACCTTCCTCACAGTGCAGGCCAGATGCTGACAGAAGATTCTCTCAGCATTTGTTTGAGCGAATCTTTATTTCCCTTTCTCTTTTCACTGGGCATGGAATTGTGGTCTGGCGGTGTTTCTCCCTCAGCACTTTGAAGATGCCCTCCCAGTGTCGGGGCTGGCTCCTGATGTGCAGTGTCGGCACCTCGGCACTTGGGGCGACTGTTGTGGCTGTGCTGATTTGCTCATGATGCGCCACGACCTGGTAGTTTTCCTGCTGGGGGTTGACAAGGCTTCTTGGGTCTGTGGATTTATAGCATTTGTTACATTTGGGAATCTCTGGCCACTCTTTTCTCAGATCCCCCGCCTGCCCTCAGGACTCCAGTTACTTGCACGTGGGATCCCCTGCTGTCGTCCGCAGGTCACCGAGGTGGTGTTCGTTTCCTGTAGGCTTCTTACTGTGGGATTCATCTAGGTGGCTCCTGTGGCTTTGTCTTCAAGTTCGCTGCCCTTTTCTTCTGTGGTGCCTGCTGTGACTTCCACCTAGTGGCCGTTTCATTCCGATCCTCCGTGTCTCAGCTCCAGAAGCCCCTCGTGGCTCTCTCACGATACCCGTACGTCTTCCTCTTCAGCTGTTTTCCTTTAGGCTTGGAGCATTCCAAGTTCACAGTAGCTGTCCCAAAGCCCCTGTCTGTTCAGTCGGCATCTCTGTGCTTCCCACGTCTTTGTGCCGACTCATTTTCCCCCTGGCTTAGGAGTCTCGTTTTCCTGCTGCTTCACGTGTCTGTAGGGTTCTGCTTATAGATACCACATGGCGTTCTTATGAGGTGGGTCCCTGCCCGATGGTCCGCACAGGGCTGGCCATGATTTAGACGGGAGTTAGCCTTAGTGCCCGTGTCTGTTAATGGCTGGGTGCGTCCTGTGTCTGTCACCCTCATGCGTGCGTGATGTTAGGAGTGAATTGCTCTGTTGTTAACAAGGGCCTGGTCTCCTGCTGGAGGGTGGGGATACAGTGTGAGCCAGAGTGGCTGGGAGCCTGGCCATGATGACGGCCACCTCTCATGGGGACAGGCACTTGAGGTTAGCCCTCCTGGCATCATAGAGAAAGGCTGGCTCTGTGGCCCCTCAGCCCTTCTCCTCTGAGGCATGAAGTCTTGTTCTCCATACCCTTGGGGGATAAGCGACTTGGCAAGAAAGGAGTCTTGAAGGTGACCCACCTGACAGTCAGCTACCAGAACCTGGTTAAATGCCTCACTGGATGGCGTGGCCCACAGGGAGCATGGAGCCACGGGGTGGGTGGGAGGGCCAGTGTGTTCAAGGCCTGTCACCCTCAGCCTTGCACAGCTGGGGCTGCCCTGGCACAGTTCCTTGGGGGGGTTGTGCACCCTAACTGGTTCCTGTCCCTTGTCACCCTAACTGGCCTCAGCATCATCACTGTTTTCTGAGCCCTCATCCCTGGCTCACAGCTGCACATGCAGAGGCCTCGCATGGACAGTAGACAGGGTGCTTGTGTTAGCCCCGGGCCGACCCCTCTGCAGAGGTTTGCACCGCGAGAGACGGGGCCCACCTGCTCTCTGCAGCTGCTGCACTGAGTTCCTGCTCCAGTCCCCTGCTGCTCCCTCCTCCAGAATACCCTTCCCACCTGGCCTTGGTCGTGTGCTCCTGGGGCCCATGAGGACTGGTGCCATGAGTTTGTGGGGGCTCCCTGAGTGGGGTGGGCTGGGCCATTCTGCCTTGGTGCTTCCTTTGCTCCGTGTGGTTCTTGTGTCTTACGCCAGTTCCCTTTCACTCGTGCATTGAAAATGGTTAACGGACAGGACTCTCCTCCGTCTGTTCCAGAACTCGCCGTGTGTGTGTCAGAGAATGTTGCTCCTGTGCCCTGAGTCAACAAAGACGGCCCCTGTGAGCTCAAGGGCAGTTGGGAAGGTGTAGCGAACATCCTGTAAAACGTCCCATCTTGTGAGTTTTGACCCTCTACCCTCGCCCGGCTGCAGCCACTCCCCACTCCCACCTCCAGCCCTGGACACCTGCTGGTCGGCTTTCTGTCTCTTTGGTTTTGCCTTACCTGGGGATTTATAGAAATGGAGTCATACAGCCTGTGGCATGACGTGCAGCCTTCTTTCACTTGGCATGGTCCTCTGTATTCCATTGTTTGATTCTCTCTCCACCAGTTGACGGACATTTGGGCTACTGCCGCTTTTTGGATTCTCTAAATAATTCTGCTATAAATGTTCAGGTGTAAGTTTTTGTACGGAAGTGTGTTTTTGTGGGTGTATACCCGGGGTGGAATTGCTGGGTGTGTTTAACCCTTTGTTTAACCTTTTAGAAAACTGCCAGGTGGCTTCCACAGTGGCTGAGCCTTGTCCACTCCCGCCCACGACGGCAGAGGTTCTGGGTCCTCGCCAACACTTGCTCTTGTCAGCTTCTTTTAGATTAGCTGCTCTGATGGGTACAGAGCTATCTCAGTGTGGTTATGTTTTTTTTTATTTTTTAAAATATTTTTATGGCTATCAATCTAGGTCACTATGGTTACAGTTTGCATTTCCTTGATGAGTAATGGCATCCGGTGTCTTTTCACACCTTAATTGGTCCCTATAGGTCTCTTTTTCATGTCTGTGTTTAACCAAATTCTTTTTTGTTGCTGTTGTTGAGACAGGATCTCACTCTGTTGCCCAGGCTGGAGTGCAGTGGTGCAATCTCAGCTCACTGCAACCTCCACTTCCTGGGTTGAAGTGATTCTCCTGCCTTGGCCTCCCAAGTAGTTGGGATTACAGGTGCCCACTGCCACGCCCAGCTAATTTTTGTATTTTTAGTACAGATGGGGGTTTCACCATGTTGGCCAGACTGGTCTCGAACTCCTGACGTCAAGTGATCTGCCCACCTCGGCCTCCCAAAGTGCTGGGATTACAGGCGTGAACCACCTGGCCTGTTTAACCAAATTTGTAGCAAAGGTCATTCAGATGCTGCTTCCCCAAGGTCCCAGCCAGGCCGAGGTCCCCTGTTCTCTGCAGTAGCAGCACAGGCTGGTGGTTGAGTCGTGTTTTGGGGTACAGGGCTAGCCCTTCCTGAGCTGCTCTAGACGAGCCCCCCTTGTCGCAGTAGCACAGTGGCCCTTGTGACTGCAGCAGCTGTTTCCTGGTCTTGGAACAGGACAAGGGAGTGGGCCATGGACGTGTTGCACCATGGACAGTGGTGGCTTGCGCCGTGAATCGTGCTCGCTGTGGAGTGGGCCCATGTATTTGTTGAGGGGTGGCGTGTTTGAGAAGCATGGGGCAGTTTCTGGGGCATCACGGCCTGGGTGGTGTTAGCGTGCAGGGGCACCATCCCTCTGTTCTCCCCTAAACAGCAGAATCCTTGGGGAGTCTTGGCAAAATCCTTGGAGAGACTTGGCAAAGAAGGGGGCTCCTGGTAGACCAAAGTGAGGCACTCGGTGCCTCCCACTCTGGGCACTATGCATGTCATATGTATACAGCTGCGTGGTCTAAGCTGGCCAAGCAGACCCATGGCTCAGGGCACACATGGAGCAGGTGCTGAAAGGCCAGCCATCTCTCATGTCCCAGGCGGCTTCCGCTGCTCCTAGCAGCTCCTGTCTTTCCCAACTGATGGGCACTGGATGTGAGCAGTTGGAGGGCCCTGTGCCATCTCAAGCTGGAGTCCTGGAACAGTGCTGAGTGGCTCCAGAGGGCGGACCCTGGGCTGACCCATGGGGTAGGTGTTGTCTCTGATACTGTCGCAGGTGTGGAGCTGCTCCGCTTACCCCGGGTCTTCCGACAGGCCTCTCCAGACTCAAGTAGTGCTTTGCCCTCTGGGGAGAGCTATGGGCAGACCAGGGTGGGAGGGAGTGAGACCTGAGCAGTGGAGACGGAGCCCAGGACGGGGTACTATGAGGACAGGAGCAAGGCCTGGGTGGGAGGGCATCTCAGTGGGCTGGACCTGAGTGGGGCAGTGGGGCCAGGTGGTGCAGGGGTGGGTTTGGGGACCAAGAATCATGGTGATCAGCCAGGGCTATGCTGTGGGGTAGCATCTGGGACACTGAGATCTACGCTTAGGGCCCCAGGTTGGGAAGAGGGAAGAAGATGCAGAGGTGCAGTCCTCCTCTGGCTCGCAGTTCTTTCTCAGATACTGCCAGAAGGCTGGTCTCTGAATAGCTGAAGCGTCAGTATTTATTTTGAGCTCTTTTGTATATTTTTTCCTTGGAAATTCCACTGCTCCAAGCTCAGTGACCAGCTGTCCAGAAGCCATGTGACTGCCCCAAGGCCGTGTGGTGGAGCTGTGCAGGCCTCAGGCTCCCACCCCAGGCTCCAAGGTGGCCCCACCGCACCTGCTCTGATAGACAGTGCTCACCCACCTGGTTGTTAAAAGCCAGTGTTTGTGAGACAGGACTTAGCCTGGTTGGTGGTTTCAGGGGATCAGCTGGGGCTGTGAGAGTGGAGGGGGCTGCTTTTGCCTGTATGGGTCCTTGGGAGAGTCATGATCCAGGGTCAACCCTGACCTGTCTTTGCTTTTTCCTGGCAGGGCTGTGAGCACCTTGAGCCTTGCCCTTCTCTCCCGGTGGATTCACAGGCTGGTGGTGGCTTTCCAAGGATGGCACACTCCCCGCCCCTGCATCCTGGGCCTTCCGCCAGCCTGTTGCCTGTGTCTGGAGGCCCCATTCTTACCTGTCATGTGTCCCCAGCCCTCTGTCCATCTGAGGAACTCCTACTGATCCTTCTAAAACCCTGCTCCGGTGACCTTGCCTATAATTTTCAGAGTGTGTGCATTTCCTTTCCCCTCTCCTGAGAACACCATCTTCACCCTGCTCCTTCTATACCTGGGGAGGGAGTCTTTGGGTTTCCCAATGTCTTTATTGATGTTCCCCTCACCTTTTTTTTTTTTTTTTTTTTTTTATAGGATTCTGTTTCACTGAGGCCATCTATCCGATTTCAAGGAAGCCAAGGGGTAAGTTTTTGTCTTAATCATTCATATTTGGAATCTTGGGACTGGTATAGTCTCAGGTCTGTCCTTGCTCGCTGGGTACAGCAGCAGCTCATGGCAGTGTTTGGGCCCTGTCTGCCACCATGCAAGGCTGGGTTCTAGGCCCCCAGGATAGCCCCTTGGCTGGGGCCACACCAGGACGTGTCGGGTGCACGTCACAGGCTGCTTGGGCAATGGGCGGCTCTCCTCTCCCAGTGGCTCCCTTCATGCAGCGATGTGCACCTAGCTTCCACTCTGATAGGGCAGGGGCCCCCAACCCCCAGCACTGGACTGGTTAGGAACTGCCCACACAGCAGGAGGTGAGCTGTGGGTGAGTGAGCACGACCACCTGAGCTCTGCCTCCTGTCAGCTGAGCCTGTTATTAGATTCTTACAGGAGCGCGAACCCTATTGTGAACTGCGCATGCCAGGGATCTAGGTTGCGTGCTCCTTATGAGAATCTAATGCCTGATCTGAGGTGGATCAGTTTCAGCCGGAAACCATCCTCCCCTATGGCTCCCTGTCCCCCTTCCACCATCCATAGAAAAATTGTCTTCTGGCCAGGTGTGGTGGTTCACACCTATAATCCCAGGACTTTGGGATGCTGAGGCAGGCAGATCACCTGAGAGATCTGGAGTTTGAGACCAGCCTGACCAACGTAGAGAAACGCGTCTCTACTAAAAATACAAAATTAGCTGGGTGTGGTGGTGCATGCCTATAATCTTAGCTACTCAGGAGGCTGAGGCAGGAGAATTGCTTGAACCTGGGAGGTGGAGGTTGCAGTGAGCCGAGATCGCACCATTGTACTACAGCCCGGGCAACAAGAGCGAAACTCTGTCTCAAAAAAAAAAAGAAAAAGAAAAATTGTCTTCCACGAAACTAGTCGCTGGTGCCAAAAAGGTAGGGGACTGCTGCATTAGGGCACACAAGGACCTTGGACATTTGTCTGGATTTTGGTTGGGAGAGAGGTTCATAGAAACTCAGCACCCTCATTTTTTTGAAATATGTTTTCTTCTAAATGACCATCTTATAGAAAAATCAGGGAATGAGAGAAAGGGTGAGTCATCTACCTTCTTTGACCCCCTGTTTTAGGACTCTTCATCTCCCCTAACCTACCCGATATGCCTTAGAATGGTTTGATTTTTCTTCTAGCCTTTATTGCAGGTTCCCCTGCATCTAGGCTGGAGTGCAGTGGTGCAATCTTGGCTCACTGCAACTTCGGCCTCCTGGATTCAAGTAATTCTCCTGCCTAAGCCTCCCAAGTAGCTGAGATTACAGACGCCTGCCACCATGCCTGGCTAATTTTTGTACTTTTAGTAGAGATAGGGTTTCACCATGTTGGCCAGGCTGGTCTCAAACTCCTGACCTCAGGTGATCCACCTGCTGCAGCCTCCCAAAGTGCTGGGATTACAGGTGAGCCACCACGCCCAGCCTTGTTTTGTTTTTTAAGAGATGAGTCTCTCTGTTGCCGAGGCTGGAGTGCAGTGGCACAACCATAGCTTACTTCAGCTTTGAACTCTTGGGCTCAAGGGATCCTCCCACCTCAGCTTCTCAAGTAGTTGGGACTACTGGTGTACACTACCATGCTAGGCAAATTTTATTTTTATTTTTGTAAAGACGGAGTCTCATTATGTTGTCCAGGCTGGTCTTGAACTTCTAGGCTCAAATGATCTTCCCACCTTGGCCTCCCAAAGTGCTAGAATTACAGGTGTGAGCCACTGCACCCAACTTTTTTTTTTTCTTTTAGAGTTACCATGTTGTACCTAAATCAATTTCTGTCCACAGCCTGAGAGCTCTGCACAGCTGGATGTGGGGATATGGACATGATGATCCATGGGCTTCCAGGTGCAGCCCAGGGTTCTGCAGAGACATGGAGCCTCTAGGAGACGTGTGTCTGTGTGTGCTGATAAAAAGATGCATTGCAAGCAGTGGGCTCAGACGACTGTGGGCTGGGGAGTCTGTAACCCTCAGGGCTGGCTGCAGACCTCCAGTAGGAGCTGATGGAGCAGTCCTCAGGCAGAGTTTCTTCCTCCTCCTGCCAAACCCCAGCCAGTTTCCCTCTTAAGGCCTTGGGCTGATTCGATGGGACCACCCAGACCATCGAGGGTCATCTCCTTTACTTGCTTTCAGTATCTGGTTTGTGGATGGTAACCATGTCCACAGAGTACCTCCAGGGCACCCCTAGACGGGATGTCATGGAATAATGAATCTCCAGGGGCTGCAGCCTAGCCAGTTGACACAACCCCACACTTCCATCAGCCCCAGTTGGGTCTTGTGGTCACCCTTTGGCCACCTCCTTTTTACCTTCCCCAGGACATTCTCTCAGGGGTCAGAGGTTGGGGGCAGGGGCGGGCTGGCCTGGGCTTGCTGCCAGAGCAGCCCCACAGTGCCCTCTGGTGTCCTACAGCAGTCACTCTGTGCCTTCTGCTGCTGCCTGACCACCCATGCCCCTCTACCCCAACCTGAGCAGTGGGGGGGCCCCTCATCCCCAACCCCCATCTCAGCGAGCCCGTCAGATGACACACTGCAGCCTGGCCATGGCCGAAGCACACAGTGGTGTCCTTGCGTGCAGCATGCCATGTGCCTTGACCTGGAGCCTAATAACATGTGTAGCAGGGGCCCAAGTCACTGAGAGAGACCTGGGGTGGCTACACAGCTAACCTCCTTCTAGAGACAGGGTTTTGCCATGTTGGCCAGGCTGGTCTCGAACTCCTGACCTCAGGTGATCCACCCACCTCAGCCTCCCAAAGTGCTGGGATTATAGGCGGGAGCCACCGCGCCTGGCCAGCTGCTTCACTTTAGTGGGCTGTTAGCTTTGGGGCTCTTGGTCCTGGGCCATGCTGCCGGCAGCCTGCCACAGAGCCTGCACTGGGCTCATCGTTGTCGGAACGCCCCCTGGATGGTGTTCCTTCATGGATCCAGTCAGCCAGCATCGCCCAAGCTCCTGTCTGGGGTCAGGTGGGGAGTGCAGCAGGCCCCAATTTGGGATGGATTTCAAAGGGAAGAGATGAACGGACTCTGGCAGGGACTTGAGCGGTGGTGGAAGCAACGCCCCCTGGTGGCCATGGTCAGGTCAGCGGGAAGGGCAGAGCGGGCCTTTGGGCCCTGCGGAAGCGCCTAGGATGAGCCCCTGTGGCCTGGGCTCTGTGTCTGTGAGCATGGACTAGTGCTTAGGTTTATGGCAACTCCTCCCCACACCCTATAACCTGGAGCCGGGACTGACCTCAGACATACCCAGACCTGCTGTGCGTGGGCCATCTGAGGGCCCCATGGCAGCCCACTGGTACGTGGGTCACTGGGCCCATGAGCAGTCCCCAAGGAGCAACCAAGACCCCATTCAGAAGGCTGAGCAGGGGCTGCGTTTCAAACCTTGTCCCAGAACCCGGGCAAGCTCTTGGCTAGTGCGAAGAAAGTGGCCGCATTCCTGGGCTGCTCCCATCCCGCTGGCTTCCCCACGGTCCCGGGCTGGTAACCATTAACCAGCAGCAAAACAGCCCGTTAATCAGAGGGCTCCATAGCGCTTCGTGTGCTAGGGGAGGCAGGGCCTGTGAGAACCTCGGTGTCTGGCTCCGGGAAACCTTTCCTAACACTCTCCCCACCTTCTCACCCCTGCATCCTGAAGGACGCCAACCGCCATGCCCTCTGTGTGTCTTCCCCTTTTCGCCAGCAGCACGACACTCTCCCGAGCATCAGCTTTGAGGCCTGTGTCACCCCCCTTCATGCAGCCCCTACTCCCCGCCACAGCTGCACACCTGGCCCTGGGCTCTGCACCTGGCCCCTGCTTCTAGGATGGAGTTTGGGGGGCAGATGTCTACACCTGTGTGGAAAAGATCCAAGCAGGGTGAAGGGCCACTATGAAGCCCCTACCCACAGAGAAGCAAGGTTGCTGGGCAGGCTCAGGCAGGGGGGCCCTGTCAGTGCTGACTGGGTGTACAGCTGCCCCAGGCCACAGGCAGTGGCCTGGTCTCACTGCCAGCTCTCTGCTGAGTGGCATCTCCCCTGAAGCCAGGGTGACAGAATGAGTCCTGCCAACCTGGGTGGAGCTGGGGTTTTCCTGGGACAGGGCTGCACGTGAGGGTGCCCAGCCCTTAGTCACTGTGGGGCAGGAGCCACTGGCAACTTGGGCCTCAGGCCAGGACCACAGGGGGCAGTGGGGGTTAAAGAGATGACAGAGGAGGGCGGGAGAGCCACCCAGGCCAGGCTCAGGTTCCCACAGCCACTCTTTTTGGTTTCCCTGGACGTGTGGTCCCCAGCTTCCCTGGCTGGCTCATTCTGGGTCACCATGTCACCTGTGCACCTGGCCACCACAGAGCCTCTCACAAACTTGAGCTTCCCTCATCCCAGCAGCGTGTTTCCAGTTTCTTGTATGAACGAGAATAAAAGTCACATCTGGGAAGGGAGGTGCAGGCAGGGCAGGGTGGCACCTGTGTGTGTTGGGTGAAAAAACACCTCAGTGGCGTCGAAGCAGGACAGATCTGGATGGCCAGGGTCACCCACATGGCTCTGGCTGAGGCTTCAGGGCGTGTGTGGTTGTTTGTGTGTGGGAGGTTGTGTTTCTGTGTGTATGGATTGTGTTTGTGTGTGTGTGTGTGTATGGATTGTTTGTGTGTGTGGGGGTTGTGTTTGTGTGGGTTGTGGTTGTGTGTGTGGTTATGTGTGAGTTGTGTTTGTGTGGCTGTGTGGGGGTTTATGTCTGGGTTGTGTTTGTGTGGTTGTGTGTAGGGGTTTGTGTGTGGAGGGGTTTGGTGTGGAGGGGTTTGTGTGTGGCTGTGTGTGTGGGGGTTGTGCATGTGTGGGTTGTGTGTGTGGGTTGTGTTTGTGTGTGGGGGAGGTTGTGTGTGGTGCTGTCGGGGTGGTTGTATGTGTGGCGCTATGTGTTGGGTATTGTGTGTGTATGGTTGTGTGTGGGGAGATTGTGTATGGAGGGGTTGTGTTTGTGTGTGGGGGGGATTGTGTGGTTGTGGGGGGTTGTGTGTAGGGAGATCGTGTGTGGAGGGGTTGTGTTTGTGTGTGTGGGGGGATTGTGTGGTTGTGGGGGGTTGTGTGTGGGGAGATTGTGTGTGGAGGGGTTGTGTTTGTGTGTGTGTGGGGATTGTGTGGTTGTGGGGGATTGTGTGTGGGGAGATTGTGTGTGGAGGGGTTGTGTTTGTGTGTGTGTGTGTGTGTGTGTGTGTGTGTGTGTGTGTGTGGTTGTGTGGTGGGGGCGGGTGGGGAGGGTTTCTCTGTCCGAGGGTGAATCATCAGAGGCTATATGTGTGTGATTTCTCCGATGCTGAGTGCAGGCCGTTTCTGCCTTCTCTGACCCTGATAGAGATGTGTGTTTGTGTTCAGGTGTGGCCTGGCATGGTGGGCCCACAATGGACTTTGGCCTTGCCCTCCACCAGCACGCTGTTTGGGCCCTGACCCCTCAGCTTGTGTTTCTGTATCAGCATGACAGGGACAAGGGCACCTGCCTTAGGGGGACATGTTCGAGGCTGAGAGGGGATGCTGGGCAGACCCCAGCAGATGGGACGGCTTTTTTCCTGGGGCAGTGTTCAGCCTGGGGAAGGGGCAGGATGGGCCTCTGGAGAAGGGTCTGCAGGCCGGGCAGACTGGCTGGTACAGGGACTGCCTGCAAGCCCAGACCAGACTCTTCCTGCCCCAAGTGGCCGAACCCAGGAACTGTTCTTGTCTTGGGAGCAGGGACTGGCACTGGGCTGGGTGCAGCCATGGCTTCCCTTGTGTGTCCAAACACTACCCCAGGGGACAAGTCCCAGTCAAGGCCACACAGCAGGGCCGGGGATTGGTGCTCCTCCACGTGTCTGGTGGCAGGAGCCCCGTCCTGTCTCACAGGTGAGGCACAGGCAGGCAAAGCCTCCCATGGGCGTATGAGGCAGCTCAGCAGGGGCGAGGGGGCAGGAGATTCAGCCACAGTCTCTCCCGCGCTCATGGTGTCACAGAGGAGGAGACGGGGCTTGGGTGCCAAGGGGGTGCTGCAGCCAGGGGACAAGACCTGAGGGCTCCCCCCATGTTGTCCCCTCCTTGTGGACTATTTGAGCGCCCTTCATGTGTCAGTCTAACTGTGAGGAGCTCATGCCAAAGCCCAGGCATTAGTTTAGGAAGGGCCAACTCTGTTGACAGAGGGTCTGGGGTCAGCCTGGAATGCAATGGCCTCTGATGTGATGCCGCCCTGCACTGAGCCTGGCCGGGACCAGCGCAGTCCGTCCATCCGCCTGCCTGCCCCTGGCTGTCCGTCCTCCCAGACAGGGCTGGAGCTTTGCCCAGCTGGGCTGCAGGGGCACAGCCAAAGTCAGGCTGGTGTGACCCATGACAGGCTTGTTGGGGGCCAGTGCTTCTGATCTGTGAGCCCCTGGGACACAAGCCTACCTGATTCACAGCTGCAGCAAATGGAGACTCACGTGGAGTCCATGTCCTTTGTGGGGGGATGCTGAGAGGGGGTCGCCAAGGAGGGGCGCCAGAGTTGCGCGTGGCTGCCCAAGCCCCTCTTGTTGCATTTTACCTCATAGGGTGTCGCAGGCCAGGTCTGTCCATTTGGTGGTGGGGAAAGTGAGTCATGGTCCAGACAAACCACTTTCCAGGGGTCACACGATTGGGGTGGGGGCCCTGCATCTGGGCAGGTGCTGAGCACTGTCCTCAGACAGCAGTGCTGTTGCTGCTGAAAACGGCCCCTGGCCCCATGCCCACCCGCATAGGTGCCTGAGTCCCCTCTCTACGCAGTGTGTGTTGCTGAGGATGGGCTGCCTGTCCCGTCACTGGCTGAAGAGCAGGGGTGTGTTTTAGGGAAAAGGGCCAGCACATTCCTGTTGTGAGGGTTGCACTGTGGGGACTCATGCAGGAAGATGCAGGCTGGGGACCTGTCCTGCCGAGGACCTCCCAGTGACACCCCCTCCCCCTCCACGCAGCACATCTCCATCCCCCAGCCTGACTGCCCCGCAGAGGCGCGGACGTTCTCCTTCTACCTCTCCAACATCGGCCGCGACAACCCCCAGGGCAGCTTCGACTGCATCCAGCAGTATGTCTCCAGGTGAGGCGCCGCCCCACCCCAGAGCACCCCGCCGGCTCTTGAGGTCACCCTGCCACCTCTGGCCCAGGGTTGAGATGTGCCCCATTGAAACCATATTGCCTGAGATGGTGTTGACAGAGTCCATTTTCCAGGCCAGGTGGTGGGCTGGGGGCTTGGGCCCTCAACGGATCCTCCCTGCATTGTCCCAGCTGCTGACCCCAGCTCCTGGCCTTGTCTTGCAGTCATGGGGAAGTTCACCTGGACTGCCTGGGCAGCATACAGGACAAGATCACGGTGTGTGCCACCGACGACTCCTACCAGAAGGCGCGGCAGAGCATGGCCCAGGCGGAGGAGGAGACGCGGAGCCGAAGTGCCATTGTCATCAAGGCTGGAGGCCGCTACCTGGGTGAGCAGTGGGTTTGGCAGGGCTGTAGGGCAGCCGGGCAGCTGCCAGTGTCGGGAGACATTTGGGGCCTGTCCAGGCTGGGCACTGGCTGTGCCCTGCACAGAAATGATGGGTCAACCGAGGAGTCGGTCCCTGAGCAGGACGTGCCTGGACCAGAGTCTGGGTTGGGAAGAGAGGTATGGCCACATGGGCCTGGGGGCTATGTGAGGGATAGGGGGTTGGGTTATGGCAGCTGCTGGCTTGTGAAGCCTGAGGTGGACAAAGGGGCCTGAGAACTCCAGGAGCTGTGAGTTGGTGGTCCCTGCTTTCAGGCTGCAGCCTTGGGGACCTTCACCTGTCAGGGAGATCAACAGGCTCCCTGAAGATGGGCATGCAGCCTAGGGCAAGGCCCATGTCTGTCTCTGGAGGCTGCCCCCACCCTCACCTGACCAGCCAGCTCCTGCCCAACGCCACCACAGCCGGCAACAGGCAGGAAATGAGCCTCACAGGCCCTGTTGCCAGCGACCCAGCACTGCAGGAAAGCTCTGGCCACTCAGCATCAACTTGGAAACGGTTTCAGCAGTTGAGAAGCCAACAGGCCTTGACAGTGGGAAGCACAGTGCTGTTTGTTTACAGAGCTGCAGCACCCCGCCTCTTAGTCCAGGCAGAGCTCCAGGAGTCATGGGAACTCATTACGGCAGGAGTAGGGTGCCGGGCTTCAGGGAGGAGGGAGATGGCTCAGAGCAGACGACAGCCTTGATGGCTTTTTGAGTTTTATCTTTAAGAAAAGGCGGGGGCATTTCAATTCCTCTCTCTCCTCCTTCCGAAGAAAGCACGTGATTTCCCTTTGCTGAGCAGAGGGGTTCCCTCTGAGTGAAACCCCAGATGTGGGTGCAGGGGTTGGTCTTCCTGGTCAACACTGAGTCCGGGTGGACATGTTGTATGGCCAGGGAGCCCGGGTTGTCCATGATGTTGAGGCCCTGGGCTGTAAGCCCCAAGCACAGGGCTGCTGTGGGGAGAACAGTTGAAGAGACAGCGTGTTTTGTTTTTTGTTTTTTCTTTTTTTAAAGACAGGACCTTTCTCTGTCACTCAGGCTGGAGTGCGGTGGCACAATCATAGCTCACTGCAGCCTCAAACTCCTAGGCTCAAGTGATCCTACCTCAGCCTCCAGAGTAGCTGGGACCACAGGTGTGTGCCACCACACATGGCTAACTTTTAGATTTTTTGTAGAGACAGAGCCTCGCTATGTTGCACAGGCTGGTGTCTGACTCCTGGGCTCAAATGATCCTTTCGCCTGGGCCTCCCACAATGCTGGGATTACAGGCATGAGTCAGCGCACCTGGCCCCATATACATGTTAATAAATCTGTGGGTCCTTCAGCCAAAAACTTGATCAGAAATGTATCTTAGCACACCACTTTGGGTACAGTGAGGGTTTTTTTTTTTTGAGATGGAGTCGCGGTCTGTCGCCCAGGCTGGAGTGCAGTGGCGCGATCTCGGCTCACTGCAACCTCCGCCTCCCGGGTTCACGCCATTCTCCTGCCTCAGCCTCCCGAGTAGCTGGGACTACAGGTGCCTGCCACCACGCCCGGCTAATTTTCTTTTTTTTTGTATTTTTAATAGAGACGGGGTTTCACCGTGTTAGCCAGGACGGTCTCGATCTCCTGACCTCGTAATCCGCCCACCTCAGCATCCCAAAGTGCTGGGATTACAGGTGTGAGCCACCGCCCCTGGCCCAGTGAGGGTTTTTGAAACAGTTTATGTTCTGGTAGGGGACGCTGTCTGTTAAGATGTGAATGTGGCCAGATGCAGTGGCTCACACCTGTAATCTCAGCACTTTGAGAGTCCAAGGCAGGGAGATCACAAGGTCAGGAGTTCGAGACCAGCCTGGCCAATATGGTGAAACCCCATCTCTACTAAAAATACAAAAATTAGCCAGTTGTGGTGGCGTGCGCCTGGAGTCCCAGCTACTCGGGAGGCTGAGGCAGGAGAATCTCTTGAACCTGGAAGGCGGAGGTTGCAGTGAGCTGAGATTGTGCCATTGCACTCCAGCCTGCGCAACAGAGTGAGACTCTGTCTCAAAAAAAAAAAAAAAAAAAAAAAAAAAGATGTGAATGTGCGTGTTCCTCTGTCTCACAGTGCCCCCCTCAGGTTGCTCCTCCTCCCTGTCAATCAGCCTGGCCCTATATGGGTGAGTCCAGCCCTGCTGTCAGGACCCCACTGAACAGACCCCAGAGGTGTGAGCACTGGCCCTGGGTATTCTGAAAGCAAGGCTTTCTGGGTTAATTTGACAGATCAGATTTTGAGAGATAAGATCAGAGTGATGTTGTTACGAAGAGCTTTTGGGGGAAGGATTTGAGGCACTGTTGAGCTTGCTCGGCCGACCCTGTTCCCAAGGATGCCGGGGCATCATTGTTCAGGACAGAGCAGGGGAGCAGCGTGCTGGACCCTGCCCACGTCTCTGCGTTGGGGATAGAGGGGAACCTGCTCTCCCCAGGGCTCTGGGCACAGCCACGCCTGCCAGAGGAGAGCTTGACCAGGCCTAAGGCTGGGGTGCCACTTGCACCTCAGGGTCTTCAGAGCAGCTGCTGAAAGTGGCTCCGACATCTTTACTGACTTTAGAAAAACAAAAATGGCAGCCACATGGGGCCAGCATAGGACTCTGAAGTGCAGGCTTGGGAGTGACTGCCTCTTGCAGTTCAGGGACCCCCAGTTTAACATCAGAAGGGTTTACAAACAGCCCCTGCCTCAGGTTGGGCAGGATGGCTCTGGTTTATAATACCAGCACTTTGGAAAGCTGAGGTGGGAGGGTCCTTTGGGCCCATGAGTTTGAGACCAGTCTGGGCAGCATAGTGAGACCCCATCTCTACAAATAATATAAATTAGCCAGGCATGGTGGTGCACACCTGTGGTCCCAGCTACTCCAGAGGCTGAGGTGGGAGGATCGCTTGAGCCCAGAAGTTTGGGGCTGCAATGAGCCATGATTGTATTACACTCCAGCCTGGGTGACAGAGCAGGATCCTGTCTCAAAAAACAAAACAATCCTTCCCCCCCCGCCCCCCGCCCAAACACACACACACACACACACACACACACAGCCCACTAGAGTGATCAGGTGATTTCATACACGCACACACACATTGCCCACCAGAGTGATCAGGTGATTTCTCACACACACATACTGCCCACCAGAGTGATCAGGTGATTACATACACACACACACACACACACACACACACACACACACACACACTGCCCACCAGAGTGAGAGTGATCAGGTGATTTTGCTGTCCAGGATTTAGGTTGCCTGTGATGAAGTAAGTAAGGCTCTAACACAGTTCTGCCGCCTGCACCTCCCACTTCTGAGGCTGGGTGCCCTGCAGGTGCCTGCCTTGGGCAGCAGGTGGCGCTCTTGGTCGCCCAGGGTCCCCAAGGAGCAAGCTGGCTTTTGCTGTGGTTGGTGTGGTGCCTCCCACCAGCACTGTCTATAGTCTCAAACCTCTGGGCACCTGGTCAGCAGCACTGGCTTAGGACACGGCAGCGCCCTCTCTGTTCCCTAAAGCTTGGATTCTTGTTGCAGGCAAGAAGGTTCAGTTTCGGAAACCAGCCCCAGGTGCAACAGACGCGGTGCCCTCCCGGAAGCGGGCAACCCCCATCAACTTGGCGAGTGCCATCAGGAAGAGTGGTGCCAGTGCCGTGAGTGGGGGCAGCGGGGTGTCCCAGAGGCCCTTCCGTGACCGAGTGCTGCACCTCCTGGCACTACGGCCCTACCGCAAGGCTGAGCTGCTGCTGCGACTGCAGAAGGACGGCCTGACGCAGGCGGACAAGGACGCGCTGGATGGCCTCCTCCAGCAGGTGGGTGCCGCCCCGATGTCTTGTCTTTACCAGTGGTCTCCGCAGATGGTCTTGTGCGGGTGGGATGGGCCAGAGCATGGAGACTGGGATTGGGACTGGCAAGGAAGAGCCCTTCCTGGGGTCTCTCACAGGTTCAGAACCTGCCTGAGAGCCAGGGCCTCCTGGATTAGAACAAGCTTAGGGGGCCATGGATGCGTTTCTGGGCATGGCCCCGACTGTCCAGGGTTGAGAGGTGGACTCAGCATGGAGCCCAGGCCCTCCTTCACTGTCTGCTGACACACGGGCCGTGGGGCCTGGCACAGTGGATTCAGGCTTCAGTTGCAGACGATTTGTGGACTCAAGGCCTGGGGAAGGAATCTACACGTGCCTGGCAGAGCCTGGCAGGCCTCAGTGTGAATCAGCTGCCTGCCGCCCTCCACCTGCGCCTCCGGGTGAGGGGCTTCACGTCTCAGACCATCAGGCTTCCATCTGTGACCTGCAGTGCCCCTCCCTGGGGTTGGAGGCTAGGCCATCTGGAATGTGGTGCTGGCGAGTGGAGCCTGCTCTTGAGAAACACCCCGGGCATTGGAGCAGGTGCGATGGCCCTGACTGCCTTCCACCCCCCTCACCCATGGAGGTTCCTGAGGCTCCACCTTGGCTTCCTGGGGTCCCTGGGAAGGGGAGTGACTCGCACTGGCTTCAGAACATTAGCCAGGCTATGCAGATGCAGCCTTGAGGTGAACTGAGGATGGGTCTCCTCGGATCGCTGCTGTGGTGGAGGAAGAGACATGGCTGAGCCTCTTGCACCTTTTAGGATGATGGAAGTGGGATGTTCGGGGTCACATCCAGCACCTCAGGAACACAGGTGATGCCTGCAGCAAAAAGCACATGCTGTGGCATGCCGGGATAGCAGCTGTATAAAGGACGTTCTTCCATGTTTACGGAGCTCCTCATAGGCGTCCCTCTCGGGTGCGCGGCTGGTGGGACCCTGTTCCACATTCCTTGGGAGGATGTCAGCCTGGCCCTCGTCCACCCCCATCCTGCTCCCAAGGCTAGGGCTGGCATGGTGCCAGCAGGAGTTGCTGAAGGGAGCTCGATGGAGTCATCAGATGTGGGACCTGCATTGGCCTGGCCAGGAGGTGTCTGTGCTGGTGCCTGGCTTCTCCAGGTGACTTTGGTTCAGTGCCTCCTGGGAGCAGGCCTGGCCAGCATCTGCAGGCAGATTGTCCCTTCCTGTGCCACTGTGACTTCCCCTGGACAGCTCGTCTGCTTCTTGCTTCTATATTCATTATGCAGCTGCTTCCCCCCAAGCAGCTGTGGGGGTCAGCAGGACACTGTTGGCTTGTAGAAGAGGAGGGGGATGTGCCTCACCCAGACTGGTCATTTCCAGCCCCTCACAGGCCCTCAGACATGCTGAGGAATGGCAGTGACAAAACTGCATGCCTCAAAGGTGCTTGGCCCTCCCTCTGTGGAAAAATCTAGAGCAGAGATGGAAGGTGTCCACCTCTAGGACTGGCTGAGCCCCAGGGAAACCCGCAAGCCTATCCTTCAAGGGGAGGGGTGTTGACGGCTGAGTAATATTTAGCAAAGCCTGTCATGAGCCATAAAAATATTCAGCCTTTGACCTACTAATCTGGCTTCTGGGAATCCCGTCGAAGGAAACTGTTGCCAACCTGAAAAAAACTGCACACAGTAATGTCTGTTTATGCTACAGAGAAACTGGCAGCAGTTTGGGGGTGGGATATTACTCAACTGTTAAAAATGCTCCCCATGGGCCGGGCGCGGTGGCTCACGCCTGTAATCCCAGCACTTTGGGAGGCCGAGGCAAGTGGATTACGAGGTCAGGAGATCGAGACCATCCTGGCTAACATGGTGAAACCCCATCTCTACTAAAAATACACACACAAAAAAATTAGCCGGGCGTGGTGGCGGGTGCCTGTAGTCCCAGCTACTCCAGAGGCTGAGGCTGGAGAATGGCGTGAACCCGGGAGGCGGAGCTTGCAGTGAGCCAAGATAGCGCCATTGCACTCTAGCCTGGGCAACTGAGCGAGACTCCATCTCAAAAAAAAAAAAAAAATGCTCCCCATGGGATACGCTGTGACGCAGAGCCATGTCAGATGCAGCAGAAAACAGTGACTGCTATGCCTGCAGCAAGATGGAGACCAGAGTGCCCTGTAGGCCAGCACGCAGCACCCACTCAGGGCAGTGACCTGGAGCTTCCTCAGATCCCTCTAAGGCAGACGTTCTGAATCCATCTTTGTTAGCAGTCTGGGAGACGAACTTAGCTTTGGTCAACCGGCAACAGCAAGGCAGGCTGGTTGTAGGGAAGGTGGGCTCAGACGTGGCCCCAGAGGTACCCCTCACCCAGCATCCCCAGCCGTGGCTGACTCTTCCCTGGGAGTTGTGATCAGAAATGGGGTGGAGCCCAGCGCGGTGGCTCACGCCTGTTTCCAGCACTTTGGGAGGCTGAGGTGGGAGGATCCTTGAGGCCAGGAGCTCGAGACCAGCCTATGCAAAATACTGAGATCCTATCTATACAAAAAATTAGCTGGGTATGATAGTGCATGCTTATAGCCCACCTACTTGGGAGACTGAGGCAAGAGGATCGCTTGAGCCCAGGAGTTTGCAGCTACAGTGAACCTTGATCACACCACTGCACTCCAGCCTGGAAGAAATAGGAGCCAGGTGTGGTGGCTGGAATCCCAGCACATTGGGAGGCTGAGATCAGAGGATCGCTTGAGCCCAGGGGTTCAAGACAAGCCTGGACAACATAGCGAGATCCCATCTCTTAAAAAAAATTAGCTGGAGTATAGTGGTGCACACCTGTGGCCCCACCTACCTGGGAGGCTGACGTGGGAGGGTCGCTTGAGCACAGGAGGTCTAGGCTATAGTGAGCTAAGATCTTGTATCAAAAAAGGAAAAAAAGCAGGCTAGAGGGGCCAGGGGGCAGGTGATGGGGTCTCAGTACTGCAGGTGGTAGCCCTCCCCTTTTTGGAGCCAGCCTGGCCCCAGCACCTCTAAGACAGTTGAGTCTGGACCTGCCTTCATGACCCTCATTATCCCTTCTGCACCCTGAGGATTGTGTGCGGGGGAACTGGGGGTGGGAGACATCACGGATCGGTAGTGGGCCATCCTCTTTCCTCTCCTCTGTCTCTGTCTGTCTCCCACTGTCTCTGCACACCCTCCCAAACCCACTATCAGATCTTTTTTCTCTAGTCCCCCGTCTCTCTCAGGATTCCCACAAAGTGATGGCTGGCTCTGTCTTGCAGGTGGCCAACATGAGTGCTAAGGACGGCACGTGTACACTGCAGGACTGCATGTACAAGGATGTGCAGAAGGACTGGCCTGGCTACTCGGAGGGGGACCAGCAGCTGCTGAAGCGGGTGCTCGTCCGGTAATGCCGCCTCCCATCCCCCAGCATGTCCCCACCCGCATGAAGGCAGCCAGAGCTTACCCAGAGGATGCTGGGGTGGTCTTGTGTGGTCCTGAAGGCCACAGGGCTTGGGAGCAGGATGGAAGGGTCCAAGTAGGCCTCTCTGGCCATCCTCCCTACTGCCCACGTGGTGCCCCAGGGTGTCCCGTGGTGGGGGAAGGCCACGCTCACAGAGTGGGACGGAGGTGTGAGTCACTGGCCCCGACCTTGGAATCTTCAGACAAAAGGCCTCAGTCTGCTGAGACCCTCCTCAGCTGTCCCCAACTTCCCTTCATGCTTCCCTCCACAACCTGGGCATCCCCACAGGGCCTGGGAAGTTCACTGACTTTTTGAAAAGAGCCTCTCAAGAACCTGAAGTAGAGAGAAATAAGGCCAAACGACACTCCCGGCAGGGCAGGCGTCATTAAGCAGCGTTAATTAAATGCATCCCCTCAGGCTAATTGGGACCCAGGGTCAGAAGTGGCAGCAGCTCAGGGGAGCAGTGGTTAAGGAGGCAGGCGGCTAATGACTTCCTTCTCCACTGCTGCCAGCTAGGGGAGCTCGGGCTGTGAAGCAGGTCAATCTGCTAATTAGTCCGTAAGTGATTTCTCAGGGACTCGGAGGTATTTATGAGTTTGTAGTTGTTTTTTGGAAGTTCAGCTGTTTAAAGCAGTAATTGCCTCTGGAAAGCAGAATGAAGTTGGGGGTCCACTCTGCTCCCCTGAGA
Source organism: Homo sapiens (assembly GCF_000001405.40). NCBI lineage: Eukaryota > Metazoa > Chordata > Mammalia > Primates > Hominidae > Homo > Homo sapiens. The sequence goes on along the minus strand of NC_000019.10, from coordinate 18,457,459 downwards.
GGGTAGTGCCTGCCTGTCCACCCTGGGTGTGCAGGTCAGGGGCCTGCGGGGCACTGCCCTGGCTTGGCGGCAGGCTGGCGGAGGGCACAGTCTTGGCAGAAGACCCGCCCCCATCCTCATACCCTGTGTCCTCTCCCTTGGCCCCCTGGGTTCCTCAGACCCTTAGGGCACTGGAAGGAGAACTGCCCAGAGCTAGTGGAGTGAGGTGGAGAAGGCTGGGCTGCACCTCTGGGGCGTCGGGGAGCTTCCCCGGGATGCAGGCTCCAGAGCCGCCTCCAGCTCCCCTGATTCAAGGCTCATGTTCCGTCTGCTGAGTGAGCTTGCTGGGCTCATGCCAGCCCCTTGGCACTCTGCTTTCACTCTGGGCCGGCATGGGGATCAGCACTGCCTTCACAAGCTTCCACTAGCGTGCAGGGGGCAGGGTTGATGTCCCTGGGCCATAACCACATAGAAGGTGACCTGCGGTGCCCCTCTGCATAGCTGTTTTTTTTTTTTTTTCCTATTTAGCACCCCATCCCTAAGAAAGCCCCATTTATAGCAGTTTTTGACACCATGGCTTCGTGTATATCAAAGCAGGGCCTTGGAGTATTTGTTACCAGCTGGGCTAGCCCAGTGCAGGCCGTTAGCCTAGTGCAGGCCGTGAGACAGATGGGATGTGGGGGCCCAAGTCACTGCAGGAGCCTCCCCAGCTGAGCTGGCACCACATGTGGCTTTGGGGGGTGGTTTCTCCACTCATGTTCTCTTTGTTCATGATGTCCAAACCCGATCTGTCCCTGGTATCCAAATCTCCTCTCATCACTGTCCATGGGTCAGGGGTCCTGCAGGTCCCCCCAAGAGTTCCTGATTCCTCTGCCCAAGCCACACACTGCCTGGTGCCCTTACCTCCAACCTGAGCCACTCCCCTCTCCTGTGAGCCCCATGCCAGAGTCTATATACTCCTCCTTCCTGCTCCTCCCTGGTGCCAAGGGAGCACAGCTCCTGGAGCACCTCTCTGAGGACAGGGCTCCAGGAGGACTGCTGGCCACATCTTCATGCCCAGACGATGGTCCTGCTGAGCCGGCGGTTGATCACATCTAGACTTGTAGAGTCCAAGATGCTTTCCCTCCACGTTGAAGGTCAGAGGCTTCCCACCCCAACCCTGTGCTGGTCCACAGAGCCAGGGGCTGGCCAGGTACCTACTCTGGGATGGTGGGCACCACGGCCCCCGCAGGCTGAAAACTTGCCTTATCCGTCTATCCGTCCTTCTGTCCTGTGTGTGGTAGTGGAAAGGCCTATCCTACTGCACACCACCTCAAACTGCTCTTGGCAGGCTGCTAGAGTCTGTCCTCCTCTTCCTGGTTTTCATCTCTTTTTTTTTTTTTTGTGATGGAGTTTTGCTCTTGTTGCCCAGGCTGGAGTGCAATGGCGCGATCTCGGCTCACAGCAACGTCCGTCTCCTGGGTTCAAGCCATTCTCCTGCCTCAGCATCCAGAGTAGCTGGGATTACAGGCATGCGCACCATGCCCGGCTAATTTTGTATTTTTAGTAGAGATGGGGTTTCTCCATGTTGGTCAGGCTGGTCTCAAACTCCGGATCTCAGGTGATCCGCCCACCTCAGCCTCCCAAAGTGCTGGGATTACAGGCGTGAGCCACCGCGCCCAGCTGGTTTTCATCTCTTGCTCTTTTTTATTCTCCTTTTAGGAGACTTCTTTGACATTTCTCATCCTGTCTCTTAATTTACTATTATTTGTAGTTTCTTTTTTTTTCTTGAGACAGAGTGTTGCTCTGTTGCCTAGGCAAAGAGATGGGGTTTCACCATGTTCTCCAGACTGGTCTTGAACTCCTGACCTCAAGTGATCTGCCTGCCTCAGCCACCCAAAGCACTGGGATTACACATGTGAGCCACCATGCAAGGCCTATTATTTCTAGTTTCTAAGAGTCTTCCCCATTGCGTTTTCGTAGGAGCATGTTCTTTTTTTTTTTTTTTTCCTGAGACAGAGTCTTGCTCTGTCACGCAGGCTGGAGTGCAGTGGCATGATCTCGGCTCACTGCAACCTCCGCCTCCTGGGTTCAAGCAATTCTGTGCCTCAGCTTCCCGAGTAGCTGGGATTACAGGTGCCCGCCACCACGCCTGGCTAATTTTTGTATTTTTAGTAGAGATGGGGTTTCACCATCTTGGCCAGGCTGGTCTGGAACTCCTGACCTCATGATCCACCCGCCTCGGCCTCCCAAAGTGCTGGGATTACAGGCGTGATCCACTGTGCCTGGCCTAACTCATCATGTTCTTATTTAATGGAAAGGATGTCTTTTTCTTTCTTTCTTTCTTTTTTTTTTTTTTTGGAGAGGGACTCTCACCCTATCGCCCAACCTGGAGTGCAGTGGCGCAATCTTGGCTCACTGCAACCTCTGCCTCCCCGGTTCAAGCAATTCTCCTGCCTCAGCCTCCTGAGTAGCTGGGATTACAGGCATGCACCACCATGCCCGGCTAATTTTTTGTATTTTTAGTAGATCTGGGGTTTCACCATGTTGGCCAGGCTTGTCTCAAACTCCTGACCTCAAGGGCCTCAGCCTTCCAAAGTGCTGGGTTTACAGGTGTGAGCCACCGTGCCCAGCCAGGATGCCTTTTTTTTTTTTTTTTTTGAGACTGAGTCTCACTCTGTTGCCCAGGCTGGAGTGCAGTGGCGCAATCTCTGCTCACTGCAACATCTGCCTCCCAGGTTCAAGTGATTCGCCTACCTCAGCTTCCCGAGTAGCTGGGATTACAGGCGCCTGCCACCACGACCGGCTAATTTTGTATTTTTAAGTAGAGACAGGGTTTCACCATGCAGGCCAGGCTGGTCGGGAACTCCCAACCTCAGGTAATCTGCCCATCTCAGCCTCCCAAAGTACTGGGATTACAGGCATGAGCCATTATGCCCAGCCCAGGATGTCATTTTTAACCTACTCTAAGGATGTTTATTTTATTTATTTCTTTATTTATTTTGAGACGGAGTCTTGCTCGTCACCCAGGCTGGAGTGCAGTGGCGCGATCTCGGCTCACTGCTAGCTCCGCCTCCTGGGTTGACACCATTCTCCTGCCTCAGCCTCGCGAGTAGCTGGGACTACAGGCGCCCGCCACCATGCCCGGCTAATTTTTTGTATTTTTAGTAGAGATGAGGTTTCACCGTGTTAGCCAGGATGGTCTCGATCTCCTGACCTCGTGATCCACCTGCCTCGGCCTCCCAAAGTGCTGGGATTACAGGCGTGAGCCATCGGGCCCGGCCTCTAAGGATGTTTTTTAAAGAATAACAGCTTTATTCAGATACAGTTCATGTAACACAAGTCATCCATTTAAAGTGAGCAGCTCAGTAACATTTTGTACGTTCATAATATTGTGCAGCCACCACCTCTGTCTAGTTCCAGAAAATTTTCATTTCCCCAAAAGGAAACCCTATCCCCATCAGGAGTCATTCTCCCCATTCCCTCCCATGCTCCCAGCCCCTGGTAACTACTAATCTGCTTTCTGTCTCTATTGATTTGCCTGTTGTGGACATTTCAGATCAATGGAATTATACGCTGTGTGGCTGACATGTAATCTGTGGAAACTTGTAGCTGTGAGGAATGTTGAATCAGGACCGGGCGTGGTGGCTCATGCCTATAATGTCAGCACTTTGGGAGGCTTAGGTGGGAGGATTGCTTGAGCCCAAGCCTGGGCTCAAGTTCTAGACAAGCCTGGGCAACATAGTGAGACCCTCATCTCTACAAAAAATGAAAAAATTAGCCAGGCATGGTGTTGTGCTCTTGTGATCCCAGCTACCCTAGAGGCTGAGGTGGGAGGATCACTTGAGCACAGGAGATCCAGGCTGCAGTGAGCTGTGACTGGGATTAGAGGCGTGAGCCACTGCGCCCAACCTATTTTCTGTTTTTTTTATTCCAGTCATCCCTGGGTGTGTGTGAAGTGGTATCTCGTTGTTTGTTTTTTGTTTGGTGGGTTTGTTTGTTCATTATTGCTCCTTGCAGGGCAGGGCTAACCCATAGGCAGTGTGCCCAGAGTAGCCAGTGTCTCGTTGTTTTGATTTGCATTTCCCTGATGACACATGGCATTGAGCATCTTGTTATGTGCTTTTAGCCATTTGTATAGCTTCTTTGAAGAAACGTCTATTCAGAGCTTTTGTTTTTCCAAGGACACGAAAACTGGCATTTTTTATTTATTTATTTTATGTTTTTGAGACGGAGTCTCGGTCTTGTTGCCCAGACTGGAGTGCAATGGCATGATCTCTGCTCACTGCAACCTCCGCCTCCCGGGTTCAAGTGATTCTCCTGCTTCAGCCTCCCAAGTAATTGAGGTTACAGGTGCCCACCACCATGCCCGGCTAATTTTTTTGTACGTTTAGGAGAGACGGGGTTTCACCATGTTGGCCAGACTGGTCCCGAACTCCTGACCTTAGGTGATCCGCCTGCCTTGGCCTCCCAAAGTGCTGGGATTACAGGCGTGAGCCATGGGCGCCCGGCCTGTTGATTTATTTTTTAACGTTTTCATCTCCCTGTGGAGTCTCTTTTCAAATGTATTTTCGTGTTCCTCTGTTTTGAGGTCTGACGTTTGTTGCCTGGAAGCTGCAGTGCAGCCGTTGGGGACACTGCACAGCTTGGGGCCTCTGAATCCCGATGTGCCCTAGTCCTGGGCCCTGTTTCTTCTTCTCCTGAGGCCACACATCTGGCCATCCTGTTGTCCAGCTGTGGCCCAGGTAACTTCCCAACTGCCTGGAGGAGTGGCCCGAGCCTCTTTGCTGCCTGACAGCCCTGGGCTCACTGTCCTGCAGCCCCACCAGCAGTGATGAGGATCTGGAGTAGAGCTGTGGGGGATGGCCCTGCAGCAGTCTGTTGTCCCCTGAGGTCGTGGTGCCTCTTGCTCTGGGCCCTGGATTCTCTGGATCCTGCAGCAGTCACCACTCATGCTTCTGCTATGCTTTCCGGTGTCTTCACTCCTCCTTTTGTCTCTGCCTTGCCTGTCCAGTGGATGCAAATGCCTGTTCTCAGTTTTCTGTCTTTAACTGGGAGTTCTGTTTATGTCCACATGGCTCTCCTCTCAGGCCACCAGGGAAGTGACACCTGCAGTGGTCTGTAGCCTAGCCCATTTGTTAGGGAGATGGGCTCTGGGTGTCACTGGCTGGCAGAATGGCCACGGCCCTGGACTTAAGTCTCTCTGCAGGGCCTGGAGGGGCGCTAGGCTGCCCTGAGATGGCACAGCCCCCGGGAATTGAACAGTTGGGTCAGAGAGGATACCCATAAGCTGCAGGGTTGCTGGCGGGGGTGGGGGATTCCACTTGCCCAGATCACATGGAGCGGGAGAAGGGGCATGCACTGGGGTGTTTCTTCCCTTCTTCCCCAGCTGCATCACCTAGTCAAGCTGGTGGCCACTCTGCCGCCCTCCAGATCCTGCTGTGACCTGGGCTTCCAGGAAGGCTGTCTCATCCTAGGCCAGGGCCCTCCGTTCTCTTCTGCATTTTGGACAGTTTCTGCAGTGAGCGTTCTGAACAGGATGAACAGCTGTCTTTAAAAGCAGGGTCCAGCACCCTAGCGTGTGTCCCTGGTCTCTCCGGTAGCAGGCACCTACACAAAGTGATCCTCCTCTGGGCTCAGGGGGACAGTGAGTGGGGAAGTCCTCCTTTGGGTGAAGTCGGGGGCAGGATGGCCTCAGGCCCAGGCTCCTGTGACCCCTTGGCCCTGCTCTGGATTTGGGAGGAGGGGGGTCCCTTCCTTGAGGCATCTCCACCGGGCCCCCATGTGGATACAGGCCTGGGGCCCCTAGGCCCCCTCAGCACCTTCTGACCTAGCCCTGCCTCTCCTTCGCAGGAAGCTGTGCCAGCCACAGAGCACTGGCAGCCTCCTTGGAGACCCTGCTGCCTCCAGCCCCCCAGGCGAGCGTGGGCGCTCGGCCTCGCCCCCACAGGTAAGTGAGGCATGCCTGGGGTGACTGTCCCAAGCACCTGCAGGGCACTCTGTGCTGCATCAGTAACCCTTGTCACCTTCCTCACCAGCTCTTTGGAGCATGAGCTGCTCCAAGTTGAGCCGCCTCCCTCCGCCCAGGGACCAAGGGGGAAGCTGTCGGGTTGGGGTTGGGGGCAGATTCCTGCCAGTGTGGCCGCAGCACCCCAGTGTCACAGTGCGGAACCTGGGACGGGGGGCGGCTCCCTGATGTGGGCTCAACCCTGGGCTTCCTGCTCCTGTGTCACAGTTATCACTGGGGAAGCATGCTGAGCACAGCAGCGCTTTAGACCAGTCCCCAGGGGTGGCCCGCTCACACACTGGGCCCTGCCCTCCCCCTGCATCGATCCCAGCAGGCTGATGGGCCCCAGCTGAGGCCACCCTGAGCGGCACCTGGGACCTGACTTGGTGCTCGGGCGCCCCCATGTGGCCAGCGTGGGCCTTGCAGGCGGCGTTGGGTTTTCTAGCCAGGCCAGGGGATTGCCTGTTGCTGCTCAGCCACTCTGTGCTCCCCTCTAAAATGATCTCTGCTCCTCTCCAGAAGCGGCTGCAGCCTCCTGATTTCATCGACCCCCTAGCCAACAAGAAACCCCGGATATCGCACTTCACTCAGAGAGCTCAGCCTGCCGTCAACGGGAAGCTGGGCGTGCCCAATGGCCGTGAGGCCTTGCTGCCCACCCCGGGCCCACCAGCCAGCACGGACACCCTCAGCTCCAGCACTCACCTGCCCCCGCGGCTGGAGCCCCCGAGGGCCCACGACCCCCTGGCCGATGTCAGCAATGACCTGGGCCACAGCGGCCGAGACTGTGAGCACGGAGAGGCGGCTGCCCCAGCCCCCACTGTGCGCCTCGGCCTGCCCCTGCTGACGGACTGTGCCCAGCCCAGCAGGCCACACGGCAGCCCCTCGCGCAGCAAGCCCAAGAAGAAGTCCAAGAAGCACAAAGACAAGGAGAGGGCGGCTGAGGACAAGCCCCGGGCCCAGCTTCCAGACTGTGCACCTGCCACCCATGCCACCCCCGGAGCCCCAGCAGACACCCCAGGTAGGTGCCCAGGCAGGAGGGCGTTGCCGGGGCTCTAAGTACTGGCCCCACACCCGCCTCACCCTCATGGGGTGTCGAGGGGGCTCAAGCTGTAGAAGCCAGGGGAGGGGACCCTGTTGCCCCAGGCCCCATCAGATTTGCCCTGTGTGCCTGGCACCTGGCACCCTATGTTCCTGCACCTGGTCCTCTCCCTGCCTGTCTGGAGTGCCCGGTGCCACTTGCAGTCAATGTGCCAGGCCAGCACTGGGGGCCGGAGGCCCAGAGCCTTGTGGGGAACTGAGGCCGCAGAAGGGGCTAACATGCAGAGAGGAATGGGGCCCAGGCCCCAGCTCTGACTGCAGGGAAGCCCCAGGAGCCAGGGCCATGCTGAGGTCTGCTGGGGTTCAGGGAAGACAGTGGGGGCCCAGGCAAGCCAGCCCTATTCAGGGAGAGGCAGCACAGGTGCAGATGGGCAGATCCTGGTGGGAGAGGGATAGCACCTGGACCTCTGTAGGCACCGTGCGACTGTTGTGGACTGTAGGTTTCTGCTGTGGGGACAGGGCCTGGCAGGCTGGGATTGGGGAGCCAGGAGACCTGGGCGGCTCCGAGACCACAGCCCAGGCACCTAAACTGAGCAGCAGTAGCACCCGCCTAGCACCGTGGCCATGAGCCTGCGCAGCTGTTCATTTATAGGAACCAGCAGAAGCAGTGGCCAGCGTGCAGCGGCTGTTCCACCACCATGTGCGACAGGGGCTGCAGTGGTCCCATGTGGCGATGGCGGCCAGTTGCAGATGGCCACTTCGCTCTCGGCGCCAGCTGGCCCAGGGCAGCCCAGGTGGTGTCACCTGCTGTGCTTTTGGGTTGTGTCTCTGGGGAGGAGGCTGAGTCAGGGGATTCCTGGGATGAGGGTGGGAGCCCTTCTTTCATTATAGCTTTGCGTTGCTCAGAGGGCCATGCCCCGTCCCCTGCTGTGGCTGGAGAGCAGGTCCTCACAACTGTGGCTGGGTCTTACTGGATAGGAAGGAAGACTTTCGGGGTTGGGTCAGCCCTGCCTCGTGCTGGGCTTCCCACCTCCCGTGGGACTGCATGTGGGGGCCGACGGGGAGAAGGTGGCCTTACTCCCTGGGCAGCCTCTCTGACCAGGGCCATGCTCAGGGCAGGACTCCTGATTCCCAGGACACACCCACACCCCACAGCCAGACCTGGGCCACGATCAAATGGCAGGATCTGCCATTTGAGACCCTTGGCCCGGCTCCAGGGTCCACAGACCACTCTGGGCTGTGTCCCTTCCTTGGATGCCCAGTGCCTAGGTGCCAAGACAGGCCTGGGGACTCAAGGTGGTTTCCTGTCTGGCCTGGTGCGTGTTGGCCCCTAGGCAGTTCATCCCCGGCCCAGGGGCTGTCATCTCTACCACAGGTGAGAAAATGCAAAGCAGGGGTAGATGTCCCAAGCACCAAGAAAAGGACAGTGGAGGCACCAGAAGCTGAGCCTGGTGCTGGTGGTCCATGTTACCAGAGTCCTGAAGGTGGTACTTGTGCAGGGCATGTCTTAGCTGTCCTGTGCCCGTGCCCAGGACAAGCAAGTAGAGAGACGTGGGCTGTGAAGGGGAGAGATGGGGAGAGGAGCTGCTGTGGGGGTGTTCTCCGGGGCCCCGAAGCAGGGACCAGCTTGGCCGGCCCCACACAGCCAGAGCTTGAGTAGGAGTCGGGGGCCGCTGAGGTTTGCCAAGGGCTGGACTTTGAAGGTCCCACTGGTACCAGGTTGAGCTGACCCTGAGCCTTGATTTCCCCGTTTGTCATCCTAGCTGGTGAAGATCTTGGGGCATGTCAAATGAGGTAATGTTGACCAGCCTGACACATGGCAGTTATCTGTTGTAGAATACCCACGGAGTCCACTGCGTGGCGGGAGCATGGGCTTGGCCTTCGCAGCTGCGCCTTGCCTCTCACTTCCTTCTGGCCCGGACCAGGGTCAGACCCATTCAATACATGCCCATTGAGTTGCGTCCCTGGGAAGGCCACAGCCTCTTAAAGACAACCCAGGTGGGGGTGGTGGTGATATGGAAGACAGTGTCTGGCCCAAAGTGGGGAGTGTTAGAAACTTTGTGGGGAGTGAGCTTCGTCCACTTTTGGGAATTTGGCAGCAGAGAAGCTGCTGTGGTCAGCCCAGGTGTGTTACACTGAGAGAGAGGGCTCAGCAAACTGGAGATCGCAGACTCCTGCTCTCTCAGGGGATAGTGCAGAGGGCCCCTGAAAATGTGCACTAGGGCCAGGCACAGTGGTTCCGCCTATAATCCCAGCATGTTGAGAGGCCAAGTCAAGAGGATCACTTAAGTCCAGGAGTTCAAGACCAGCCTAGGCGATATAGGCAAGCCTCCTCATCTCTACTAAAAAGTAAAAAAAAAAAAAAAAAATTCGCCAGGTGTGGTGGTTCATGCCTTTAATCCCAACGCTTTGAAAGGCCAGTTCAGGAGGATTGCTTGAGGTCAGGAGTTTCAGACCAGCCTGGGCAACACAGTGAGACCCCATCTCTACAAAAAAATTTTGTAATTAGCTGGGCATGGTGGCATATGCCTGTAGTCTCACCTACTTGGGAGGCTGAGGCAAGAGGATCACTTGAGCCCAGGAGTTCAAGGTTGTAGTGAGCCATGATCGCACCATTGCAACTCCAGCCTGGGTGGCAGAGCAAGACCCTGTCTCTAAAAAAAAAAAAAAAGTGTATTGAGGATACATCTGAAATTGATAAAATCATTTCTGTATCGGAAAGAAAGCCACTGCAAGAAGGTCTAGAAAACGCACTAAATTGTAGTTGTGGTCTTAGGCGACGCGCACTTCAGTCTTCCTGCCCCTCCCCTCCCTGATTTCCAGACCCTCAGGGGTGTTGTCTTATGTGGCCGGGGCACCCCACCACATGGCTCAGGAGCAGGACAGCTGCCTGGGGTGCCATCTAGCCATCAGCTGTGCTGCTTTGGGCAGGCCCCTGAAGGGGCGAAGGGCTGAGCGTCATCATGGACACTTTGCTCATGGATGGCCGATTGGGGTGGCCCATGGGCTCCTCTGGCTGGCCCTGTCCTGGAGCTGCCTTGTGGAGCGTGCAATTCAGTGTCTAGTGGAAAGGACGGGATGATCTGGGTGGGGCACAGACCAAGGGCGTGGAACTTTGTCAGCAGCAAGAGATGCAGGCCCTGCTGGCCATCTTGTCTTTGTCCTGTCTGGCCAGAGACTGGGATGCCCCAGAGACTCAGGTCAAGCCAGGGGTCATTTGTTTTCAGCTTAGTGACCTTTGACATGCAGTCAGTGGAGGCAGCAAGGGCCTGGCCTGGGGGAAGCTCTGACCGGTTGTGCAGGCTTTGGCCCTGCAGTTCCCTGACCTGTCCGCTGTTTGCCAAGAATGTGACTGTGGTGATGCCTGGGTGCTCTGTGTCCTGCAGGGCTTTGCCCTGGACACGCAGGTGCACGCTGAGCTCTGCTCACCACCTGGAGGGCACGCCCAGGTCCAGCAGCCCACAGTTGCCAGGTGCGAGGGGCTCAGCCCTTGCACCTGCCACACAGTCATCCCCTCTGCTATCCCTCTATGTCCCTCCAGCAGCAAAGTGTACAGTTTTCATGCATGTCCCCATCCTGGCGTGCTTCCTGCCGACCGGTGCCATGGGCGCAGACTCAGGAGGTATGTGTTTGCTCTCGTAGGTTTAAACGGAACCTGCAGCGTTTCCAGTGTTCCCACGTCCACGTCGGAGACGCCTGACTACTTGCTGTGAGTGTTTGTCTGGGCCCTGCAGGCCAGGCCTCCCTTTTCTGGGTTCAGACCCCCTCCCCCAGCACTGCAGGTTATCAGAGGTAGAAGCCACTGCAAGTCTGAGTATGTGAATTCCAAACATAGCAGCCTCTTCTGGGCCAGGCCCCCTCATAATCCAGGGAATCACCCGAGAGGCCAGGCCGCCGGTGGAGCCAGGATGGCCACTTCCTGGGTGGGGCTGGGTCCTTCCAGCCTCCACTCAGTGGCCCCTCTCTCCTGTTTCAGGAAGTACGCAGCCATCTCCTCTTCGGAGCAGCGCCAGAGCTACAAGAACGACTTCAATGCCGAGTACAGCGAGTACCGCGACCTGCACGCCCGCATTGAGCGCATCACGCGGCGGTTCACCCAGCTCGACGCCCAGCTCCGGCAGCTCTCCCAGGGCTCCGAGGAGTATGAGGTAGAGCCCCCCCGCTGCCTACTGTGCCCTGGCTCTGGCGGGAGCCAGGGCCCACTTGGGCGCGCACCATCGCCACCACGAGCTTGGTGGCCCCAGAGTCTGGCCCTTCCCCAGGCAGCGCTTCTCCCCCTGGTGCACTCCATGCAGCAACCCCATGGTTCTGGCCCGGCCCTGGGGTCCTGTTGTGGGAGTCCTTGAAGGCAGCCCAGCTTGTCAGCCTCCTTTGCAGTGGGGACAGCTGTGACCCACCTCCTTGGATGGGGGCGAGCCGGGGTACATGGATCCCCACATGTTTGAGCGCCTGGGGTCCTCTCACAGCCTAGGACACAGGGCTCTTGGTACCTGTGCCAAACCCTCAGGAGACTCCGCAGCTGAGCTCTGTCCAGCACCCTGGGGCCCATCCATGCTGCCACAACTATAGCAGGGGGAGGTGACAGGTCCCTGTGGTCCTGGGAATCAGGACTCCTGTGGTCCCCTGGCTTGAGCTCACAGCTCATTCAGCTGCCCTGTGTATACAGAGAGTCTCCACCCTTAGCCTAGCCTTGGACGTAGCCGCCCCACCTGCCACCTTTCGGAACTGGTGACCTGACTACAGGGCTGGGCCCTGATTAATCAGATGCCGGGGTCTCTCCTGGCCAAGGCCCCTTTGCCTTCCAAAGACGACGACTCATGATGGGGTTCTAGGGGCTGCGAGCCACGGGTTCTTGGGGCATCTCTCCTTCCCCTTCCCTCCCTCTTTGCTGCACCCCCCCACCCCCTCCCCACCCCCCCACGACATGGATACTTCCTTGTCCTGCCACGCCCCCACAACAGCAGTGCCCCACCTGCTATTGCCTCCAGGGGACCCGGCAGCCTTTCCCTCATGCCCCACCCACTCCGGAGCTACAGCCGCTGTGGGCCCCTGGGGTGTTACTTGGCCTTGTCCTTGAGGCTGCCCCACCCTCCCATGCCCCCTTCTCAGAGCACCTGGGACCACTCAATTTGGGTTTCCTGTAGGCGGGGACACATTCTGTTTTCTCAAAATTTTGTTTTTCTTCTAGACTACTCGAGGGCAGATTTTGCAGGAATATCGAAAAATCAAAAAGGTGAGTGTCTCTTGTGTTGGGGTGGGCTCCAAGTGAGCCATGGGAGCTGGAGGGAGGAGGGTGGGCCCGGGGCAGCCTCCCTGCCCGCTACTTCCAAGGTGTGGGGGAAGAGCCTTTGAGTCTGAGGCCAAAGTTGCCCCACCACCCCCAGCTAAGTCTTCAGCTGTGGCATCCTGGCCCAGCCACACAAGCTGTGGAGGTGCGGGGGACCAACTCCCACTCTGCCCTTGGACCACAACCCTCCTTGCTGGGCACCAAGCCCAGGTTTTTGGTTTGGGGGGGACACTGGCCTGCTTACAGCGGGGAGCAGCACCCAGGGCGGCTCTGTCCTGAGCATGACTGTGCTGTCCCACAGACCAACACCAACTACAGCCAGGAGAAGCACCGCTGCGAGTACCTGCACAGCAAGCTGGCCCACATCAAGAGGCTCATCGCCGAGTACGACCAGCGGCAGCTGCAGGCTTGGCCCTAGCCGCCCTCCCCGATGGCGGGGATCTGGGAGGGTCGGGGGAGCAAAAGGCGGTGAGAGAGGATTTATTTAAAAAAATAAACCCGAGGAAGATGCTCATCTGAGCCAGCACCGCCGGCTTTCAGGGCAGCCCCTGCAGACGTCTGGCCCTGGCGGGTGGCTGCAAGCCCACCTCGGCCCTCCCTGCGCTTCCTGAGCAGTCCCTGCTTATGATGGGCTCCCCAGGAAGCCCACTGCCTCCTCCCTGGCTGCAGCCTCCGGGGTTCAGCCTCCTGTCTCGCCAGAAGACTCCTAGGCCCTTGGGGTGGCGCGCCTGCCTTTTCTAGTTTTATACAAAGACAGCCACTTTTAGCTACTGCTAATGAGACTTGAGTCTATTTTTGTACAAAAGAGAAGCAAAATCTTTTTTCTAAACCTGTGCCTCCCTCTCCTCGGACACCCAGGGTCTAGCCGCTGCCCTGGGTCCTGCCTGCAGTATTACAGAGGTCGTCGAAAGGTGCAGCTGCGTTCTGAGGGCGTGGGGAATGGGCAGGTGGCCTCTGCTGGTCTCTGGCTCTACGTTTAGGCACCCCTTTCCCCAGCCTCTCCTCCTTGGGCAGGGTCTCTGCTCCAGCAAGCAAACAGGGTGGCCCAGGTGGCTATTTTGAGAACTCCAGCTGGTGCCCCCAGACAGCTGCTCAGAGCCAAGGGGGCAGAGGGCTTTCAGCGCCCCCAGGCCTGCCCTGCTATTTCAGGCCCTCAGCTGTCGGGGGCCACTGTGTTTCTGTGCTCCAAGTTGAGACTCGGCCGCAGCGGCGTCAGACTTTTCTTTGCGATGTCCTCGGTTTCCCATTTGTTGCTGCTGCTGCTCATTCCACACTGTTGAGACCTTGTGGTCTCGATGCTGCTGGCCTCCCTCCGTCCCTCTGTCCACTTGTGGGTCCTGGGGTCGTCTTAGCAGAGCCACCGCCAAGGTTTGCACTCAGGGAGGGGCTGATGGAGGGCTGGGCGCCATGGGGTCAGGGAGGCCCCAGGGACCCATGGGCAGAGCTGGGGAGCCAGGAGGATGGGTCTGCCTGCTCTGGGGGTGCAGGCTCTGCAGACACCCCAATTGCTGCTCTGTTGCTGTGCCTAGTCTAGTGTCCCCCAAAGCATCGGGGGGCCACGCAAGTGTGGGTGTGTGAGTGTGCGTATGTGGGGACCCCCCAGGGCATGGTGGGGTCTGAGGCGTGTGTTCCCATTTAGGGCTGAATGAAGCCATGACTTGGAAAGGTGGTGGGGGGTGGATGGCGGCTGTGACTCAGGGCCCAGGGATCACATGGGGGTCACTGCTGCCATCAGCAGTCAGGCAGGGAGAACAGAAATGCAAAAATACAGATGTCTATTTTTCTAAACTGGGGGGTGGAGGGGTGCCTCCTGACAGCTTCCAAAGAGCTGACTGTGGAGGGCCCACAGTGTATCCCACCCCTGCCCGAGAGTCTCTCTCCTTTGGGACCCCCGGGTTCCCAGAGCTCCGAGGAAACTGATCCTTCATGTTTCAATAGCTGTTGTTGTTTTTCTCTTTGGGCCGGGCCGGGCCGGGGAAGGGCCGAGCAGGCTCCAGGAGGCCTCCAGAGTCAGCTGGACCTTGCTGTGTCGCCCGCAGGCAGCCCTGCAGACACCGGTGAGGTGGGATGATTTCAGGAGGTCCCAGCCCGGGACTGCCCGCCCCTCTGCCCTGGGAACCAGTCCAAGGGGCTGTCAGTTGAATTTGCCTTTTTGTTGTTGTTGTTGTTTTTGTTGTTTATTTGTTCTCCTTTTAAGGAATTATGAAGCTAAGAAAAGTTTTGTGTTTTGGGGGTTGGTGGACAAAGTTCTAGCTGATTAAATATGGTCTAACTTATTGATACTATTTTTTTTTCTTTTAATGTTGTACTGTGGAGAAAAACTATTTTGAGCCATGGGGTTGGTGTTTACAAGAACTTTCCACTTTTGCCAAAATGTTACAATTGAAAGGCATCTATCTGCGTCTTCAGTTTCCTGATATTTTCTTAAAAGATCTAGTGTCCTTTTTGTACACTAAACAGGTGAATGCTGACTTTTTTCATTCTCCAATAAATTTCACTGAACTGAACCTGGCAGCCCAGGCTGCCTGGCTGGTGTGTGTGGTGTGTGGGTGTTGGTGTATCTGTGTGTGTGGTGTATGGTGTGTATGTGTGTGTGGTGTGTGTTGGGGTGTGTGGGTGTGTAGTATATCTGTGTCGGTGTGTGTTGGATGTTGTGTGTGGGTGTGTAGTGTGTGTGATGTGTTAGGGTGTGTGTGTTGTATGTGTGGGTGTGTTGTGTGTGGTGTGTGTTGGGGTGTGGGGTGTGTGGTGTGTGTTGGGGATGTGTGTGGTGAGGATGTGGTGTTTGTTGGGATGTGGTATGTGTTGGGATGTGGGTGTGTGTTGGGGTGTGGTGTGTGGATGTGGTGTATCTGGGTGTGTGGTATGAGGGTGTGGTGTGTGTTGGGGTGTGTGGTGTGGGGTGTGTGTGGTGTGTTGGGGATGTGTTGAGGGTGGGTGTGTGTTGGGGTGTGTGGGTGTGGTGTGTGTTGGGGTGTGTTGGTGTGGGTGTGGTGTGTGTTGGTGTGTGTTGACCGGATGTGTGGTGTGTGTTGGGGTGTGAGGGTGTGGTGTGTGTTGGGTGGTGTGTGGTGTGTGTTGGGGTGTGTAGGTGTGTGTGTGGTGTGAGGGTGTGGTGTGTGTTGGGGGTGTGTGTGTTGGGTGTGTGGTGTGTGTTGGGGTGTGGGTGTGTGTGTAGTGTGTGGGTGTGTCACAGCCTGGTTTCTGTGGTGGCTGTCCCTGTCCTGTGGTTGGGGGTGGGCTGGCATCAGGAGGTGATGTGACCTGGGGCCGCCATAATGATGAGAAAGGGTTGTTCAGGGGCTCTGGCTGGGACCAGATAAGAAGGCAGAGTTTGCAGCCTACCTGAGCCGTTGCCTGAGAAAGGACCAAATCAGAGGGCCCTGTAGGTGACGGGGAGCGCGGGGGTGGGGGCAGGCTGGGTCAGGGCGGAGGGATAGGGAGCCATAGCAGGTGTGTGAGCACAGCAGTACCCTCTGGTGTGGATAGGGTGGGCTGAACCCAGCATTGGGATTCCTTGGCCCCCTGTGGCACCAAAGGCTACAGGAGTGGGGCTGGGGGTGGGGGAAACCAGCTGTGACTGTCTCCCTCTGATGAAAGCAGCAGCAGGTAACGGTAATATTACCTGTTCTTCCCACACTGGGGCAGGGGCATCCCCTGTGCCACTAGTGGGGATGGGGAAAAGGCCTGACGGGAGCGGCGGTGGTGCAGGTGGAACGAGCCAGGGGCCATGGAGAACATAACACTCAACCTGCCAGCCAAGGACAAGAAGGGGTGCATTTAGTAAGCGATAACACCGAAGAATAGGACCGTGGGCAAAGGTCCTGGGCCTGCAGCTGTGGGGGGGGCCTGGCCTCCCTGCCCGTCCGTGGCCTTGGCCCAAGTTCTAAGGCCACCCAGGAATCTGAGGGGCGCGGGAGGGGAAGTCATGCAGCCCAGTGGGGCAGCGTGTACCCTGCTCCCAGCATAGCCTGGCCACGCTGTTCTCCCAGGATAACATCTCTGTCCCAACATCCCAGGGCCAACACCAACCTCCTGCAGCTCACGGTCCTGCCTCCCCCGGCCCTCCAACGCCAGCCCTAAGCCAACTGCCCAGCAATACTCTGGCCATCACCCCCGCAGCCTGCAGAGGCCACAGTCAGTCCCCTGACCTTCCTGAGCCATGGATGCCATCAGTCTAGTGCCCCGGATATTCAGGAGAGCCTTCCCACCCTCATGACCTGGGCACCCTGGTAGAGAGGGGCTCAGAGCTGTTAAACCCTCTCCTGCCACCTGCCAGGGGCCCCAATTGTCCTCTTTCAACGGGCACCCCTGTTCCTGCAGCCCCCTCCTGTACCAAGCTCCACCTGGGCTCTGCAACACAGCAGTGACTCAGCCTCATCCCTGCCTTCAGGGAGCCCACACTTTGCTGGGGAATAACAGTGCATCTCACCACCGACTTCAGCACACCCAGGCCTGACTGTAGGGGCCAAACCCCCTCCTTCGGCCTTGTCAACTGCTGGGAGTGGAAGCAGCCCAGCCTCTATGCCGATTCCCTCCAGCTGCCCTGTGCCAGCTCCCATCCTCCGGCACCCTCTACAGGTGGCCCTGTGAACACAGGCTCCCCGGGGCTGGGTCTTGGGACCTTCCTCATGTCTCTCAACTACACAGGTTCCTGAATCACGTGTCGCCTCGAGGCACAAACTCCCCGATTCTCTGATCCTCCAGTACCTACAGGATGTCCAACAGTTCCATTCCCAGAGATGGTATCGGACTCCACAAGTTATGGGGGTCAGTCCCACAGGGCTGCACCTGTGTCAGATGCCACCTATACTTCTGGCAAGCAGGCTAATAAATTGCGAGTTCCCATGACCCCACTTCAGGTTTGATAATTGCTGGAACAGCTCACAGAACTCCGGAAAATGCTCACAGCCAAATGGAGGAGGCGCACAGGGCAAGGTATGGGCGGGCCGTGAAGCTTCCATGCCTTTTCCAGGCATGCCACCCTCCCAGCCCCTCCATATTTTCCCCTAAACCCCATTTTTTTTTTGAGACAGGGTATTACTCTGTTGCCCAGGCTGGAGTGCAGTGGTACAATCATGGCTCACTGCAGCCTACACCTCCTGAGCTTAGGTGATCCTCCCACCTCAGCCTCCCACGCAGCTGGACTACAGGTGTGCGCCACCAAGCCCGGCTATTTTTTGTTTGTTTGTTTGTATTGAGACGGGGTTTCCCCGTGTTGCCCAGGCTGGTCTCAAACTCCTGGGCTCAAGCGATGCGCCCGCTTTGACCTCCCAAAGTGCTAGGATTACAGGCATGAGCCACCGTGCCTGGCTGACTGCCTATTTTTCGGCTTAGGTTCTATGAAGAATGTGTATCAATGTGTTGAAACACTGTAGATCTTAAAGGGAGCAGACTGGGTGGGGGAGGGGGGCCAGCCTGCCCAGACTTCCTAGACTCTGGGTAGCATTCCTTCCTCCAGGGTATGGGCAGGACCCTCCCGGAATGAGGGTCTTCAAGGGAGCAGGCAGAGAGTGACCTTTGCCGGCTTTGTGGCTTTTTTTTTGTTTTAAGGGGAGAAGGGCTCCAGTGTCTCTGACCTGCCTTGGGGAAGAGGAATTCTGGTTTCTATGGTTTCCAGGGGAGAAAGGGGCTAGAGGCAGGAGGGCAGGAGAAGGTCGGAGAGACTCGATTCTGAGCTTTCCGATGCCCTGCTCAAAGCGCGGGGCAGGCCAAGGCCCCATAACTTGAGGCTGAGGGGAGTTTCTGTGTTCTGAGCCCCAACTGTCTCATTTGCATATATGTGATTGATTAAATCGTTGGCCACTGGTGATTGAGCTCAATGTCTAACCAAGAACCAGGAACAAACACCAAATACTCTTTCACACTCCCTATCCCCAGCCCTCAGGGTCTGCCCAAGACCCCAAACTGCCTCCCACGTAGCCAATTTTTCATCTGCCCTGTCTGGGTGGCTCAGGTGGCTTGGCCTGTAGTTTTCTTTCAGTGAACTCCTCTTCATGTCTCAAAACCCTTGCCAGCAGCCCCCTCATCTGGGGAGCCTGTCTTGCAGGGGCCCTGCCTGTGAGTTCCCACCCACTGGGGCGGGGGTGTCCCAGTCCACTTCCAACTCCCTCAGACTGGGGCCCCTTCAGGGTGAGGCCTGGACCCAGAGTCTTAAGCCCTCATCCTCCAAGGTCAGGCCCTGTCTCTTGCAAACGTTCCCAACTATCCACCTTTTGGGCCAGCTCCAGTGGTGGAAACTTTCCGGCCTCCAGGCGCTTGTTTTGGAAAGTTCCTGGGGGAGCTGCCCCGGCCTGCCCGCTGGGTTCCCACGCTCCCTTATCAGCGCGCATGAGGGGGGCGCCCTGCAGTGCAGGCCTCATTCCTCCCCTGCCTCGGCCCTGCCCGCCTGTGCGTCCCCTCCCCTTTCCAGCGAACAGCCTCCCGCTCCGGCCCACTCCTGCCAAGCCCTCCTGCTGCAGGTGGGGAAACAGGCCAAACAGGCCCCATCCTTGTGAGCCCCGTGGGGACAGAGTGACTTTGTCCCCCGAGATGGATGGGGGCGGACATGGGGAGCCAGGGGATGGGACTGCCTGGTAGGTGCTGCTGCCCACGAAGGGGGAGTAGGTGGCAGTGTGGCTCCGAGGAGATTCTGGCTTTGGAGTTCTGGTCCTCTGCCTGTTTCCCCTGCAGTGTCTCTGACCCAGACCCCCTACCTACCCCCCCGGAGGCCCAGCTTCCCTGCCCAGCTCCACCCCCTGGCTTGTGGCTGGGCTCATGTGTAGCCTCATTGTCCTCTTGTAAAGGGGGGATAGGCAGCCATGAGCCCCTGGGGGCTGCGGAGCGAGCGAGGTGAACCTATACGCGCCGCGCTCGTGGACGCCTGGCCACTTCCGCCAGGCGGGGACCCGATGGCCACGGT
Organism: Homo sapiens; assembly: GCF_000001405.40. Classification (NCBI taxonomy): domain Eukaryota; kingdom Metazoa; phylum Chordata; class Mammalia; order Primates; family Hominidae; genus Homo; species Homo sapiens. Next base: position 18,438,268 of record NC_000019.10, on the reverse strand, counting down.
GGCTCTGGGTTGTCGGGCCTCGAACCGGGTCTCCAGACGTTGGGCCCCTCCCTCCCAGCGCGGGAGAGGCGGGGAAGGGGGCGGGGCGGGGGAGGGGCCGCAGCGCTTTTCTCCGGAGGTCGCGCGCCCGAGAGCCCGCGCTGTCCGCCGCCGCTGCCTGAGTCGACTCTGCGCCGGTGAGTGCGGTTCGGGGCAGGGACGGCCTCCGTGGGGACCCAGGCTGGCTTGGCCCCGGCCGCTTAGAGTCCCCGCTGACCCCCTGCTCACCCCGGGCCCCCAGCCCGCCGCGATGGAGGCCGCCGCCCAGTTCTTCGTCGAGAGCCCGGACGTGGTCTACGGCCCCGAGGCCATCGAGGCGCAATACGAGTACCGGACGACGCGCGTCAGCCGCGAGGGTGGCGTTCTCAAGGTGGACCAGGGGGCTGAGGAAGGAGGCGTGCTGGGGAGAGCGGGGCGGCTCGGGGAGAAGGGCACGGGACCCGGGATTCACTGCGCGGCCTGTCTTCAGGTGCACCCCACGTCCACGCGCTTCACCTTCCGGACCGCCCGGCAGGTGCCCCGGCTCGGGGTCATGCTTGTCGGCTGGGGCGGGAACAACGGCTCCACACTCACCGCCGCGGTGCTGGCCAATCGACTGCGTTTGTCCTGGCCCACGCGCAGCGGCCGCAAGGTGGGGGCGGGAGGGGCGTGGTGGGTAGGGAGGCTTGGTGGGAGTCCTTGCGGGCGGGGGCGGGAGCCTGCAGGGGGCGGGGCTCTGCGGGACCAGGGGGGCTGTAGGGGGTGGGGTTCCGCGGGGCGAGGGGCTGCAGGGGCGAGGGACCTGCCCGGGTCTGGAGGCCTGTAGTGGGCGAGGGACCTGCAGGGGGCGAAGCTCTGTGGGGCGGGAGGGCTTGCAGGGGGCGGGGCCTGGCTGCAGGCGGACCCCGTGGAAGGGTTTCGCGAGGTAGCGGGGACTCCTCGGGAGTCTTACAGGGGCGGAGCTTAAGGTGCCGGAGGTCTCAGGGGAGGGGCCTGGGGGCAGCGGCTTCCGTCCTGGCTGTGAGCCTGGAACTGAAAAATGCCCGAAAGTGGGGCGGGGCTTGAGAGTCTAGGTGGGGCCCAGGCCGGGTCGCGGCCCTTTCACCACTCCCACCCGTCACCTCGCCGTGTCTGCTGACCCCCAGGAGGCCAACTACTACGGCTCGCTGACTCAGGCGGGCACCGTGAGCCTGGGCCTGGACGCCGAGGGCCAGGAGGTGTTCGTACCCTTCAGCGCGGTGCTGCCCATGGTGGCGCCCAACGACCTCGTGTTCGATGGTGGGCGGAGCCCTGGGCCGGGGTGGGGCGGGATGGGAGATGGGGTCTGGAGGGGCCCAGGATCCGGGCAGGGCCGAGTGTGAGGGTCCCCCCAGGCTGGGACATCTCGTCGCTGAACCTGGCCGAGGCGATGCGGCGCGCGAAGGTGCTGGACTGGGGGCTGCAGGAGCAACTGTGGCCGCACATGGAGGCCCTGCGGCCCCGGCCTTCTGTTTACATCCCCGAATTCATCGCGGCCAACCAGAGCGCGCGCGCGGACAACCTCATCCCAGGCTCGCGTGCGCAGCAGGTGCTGTCCCATCCCGCATCCCTTGCTTCCTGCCACCTGTTCTTCGCCACTTGGTTCCCTCTTTTTGCCCCACCCCGCGAATCCAGGCCTCACTTGACACCCGGGGAACTGAGTAGCCCAGGCCTCTGTGAGTCCGAGAGTATGTACAACCAACTTCCCTACACCCTCTCCATCCTCCCCACACCCTCACCATCCAACCCACAGCTGGAGCAGATCCGCAGGGACATCCGAGACTTCCGGTCTAGCGCGGGGCTGGACAAAGTCATAGTGCTGTGGACGGCGAACACGGAGCGCTTCTGTGAGGTGATTCCAGGCCTCAACGACACAGCCGAGAACCTGCTGCGCACCATTGAGGTGGGCGAACGCCCGGGTGGAGCGGGTCAGGCAGGGCCAGTCACAGACACAGCTCTGTGCTGACTGCCCGCCTTGCCCACAGCTCGGTCTGGAGGTGTCGCCCTCCACGCTCTTCGCCGTGGCCAGCATCCTGGAGGGCTGTGCCTTCCTCAATGGGTCTCCGCAGAACACCCTGGTGCCCGGAGCTCTTGAGCTCGCGTGGCAGCACCGGGTTTTTGTGGGCGGAGATGACTTCAAGTCAGGCCAGACCAAAGTCAAGTCCGTGCTTGTGGACTTCCTCATTGGCTCCGGCCTCAAGGTGCGTGGGCCTAGGGAGCTGCCGAGTGCAGGAAGGGGGCCTGGGCCGCGAGCACCTGGCTTGTGGGGCCGCAGGGCCTGCAGCTGCTGGGGCTTCCCTTGTACCCACAGACCATGTCCATCGTGAGTTACAACCACCTGGGCAACAACGATGGGGAGAACCTATCGGCGCCATTGCAGTTCCGCTCTAAGGAGGTGTCCAAGAGCAACGTGGTGGACGACATGGTGCAGAGCAACCCAGTGCTCTATACGCCCGGCGAAGAGCCTGACCACTGCGTGCGTGGGGCGCGGGCGCGGGCGCGGGGTTGCCCGGCGAGGGGTGGCAGGGACCCGGGCAAACTCCTGCTGCACTCCAGGTGGTCATCAAGTATGTGCCGTACGTGGGTGACAGCAAGCGCGCGCTGGATGAGTATACCTCGGAGCTGATGCTGGGCGGAACCAACACACTGGTGCTGCACAACACGTGTGAGGTGCGGCGCGGCTTCAGGGGCTGCTATGGGAGGCAGGGCTTGGCCACCGCCCCCATCTCCTGACCCACCCGCCCCGCAGGACTCGCTGCTGGCCGCACCCATCATGCTGGACCTAGCGCTGCTGACCGAGCTGTGCCAGCGCGTGAGCTTCTGCACTGACATGGACCCCGAGCCGCAGACCTTCCACCCCGTGCTGTCCCTGCTCAGCTTCCTCTTCAAGGCGCCACTAGTGCCGCCCGGCAGCCCGGTGGTCAATGCGCTTTTCCGCCAGCGCAGCTGCATCGAGAACATCCTCAGGTGCACCCCAGCCTCCAGGTTCCCGCCCGGGGCCCAGATACCCCCCTGGCTAAGCTATGCACAGGGCTTGGGGGGCTGTAGGTGGCAGGGATACCCCCCCTTTCTCCCTGTGGGTGTCTGGCTCTGCTAAGCTGTGTGACCTCTCCAGGGCCTGCGTGGGGCTCCCGCCACAGAACCACATGCTCCTGGAACACAAAATGGAGCGCCCAGGGCCCAGCCTCAAGCGAGTTGGACCCGTGGCTGCCACCTACCCTATGTTGAACAAGAAAGGACCGGTACCCGCTGCCACCAATGGCTGCACCGGTGATGCCAATGGGCATCTGCAAGAGGAGCCCCCAATGCCCACCACCTGAGGCCCCGGTCACACAGTTTCTCGGCTCTTCCTCCCCGCTGCCCCCCACGACCCTACCTTGAAGGCCCCCACAAATAAAGGCGCTGCCACTCAGCCCTCCTTCCACCTGGGGTTCTTGGGGCCTGTGACCTGACTCTGCCTCCCTCTACTTCCCCGACTCTTGAGCGCCCAGCTTCAGTCCCATCCCCTCTGCCCATGGTCATCACCCCAACTCCCAGGGAGAGCCCAGAACCTGGAGCCTCGCTCTGCCCCCAGTTCTCAAAGGTGGGGCTAGATGGGGGCGGGGACGGAACAAGACCACAGGGTGGAGAGTGTGGTGGCAGAAGGCCAAAGAGGGAATCTGAGACAAGCTACCAAAAACCAAAACCAGCTTCCATTTATTTATGGGCCCCACCCCCTGACGTCCTGGGGAGAGGGGCCCCCCAAAGAGCCTTTCTCTCTGGGACAAAATACAAATGGCAGGAAGGGTCCATACAGAAAAGAACGTCTCTGAGGTCCTTGCGTTTTTAATAAAATGGTAAGAGTCTTTCGTGTGGGGCCTCCCAGCTGGGCAAGCCTTGATTGGCCAGGAGTCCAGGTGCCCGAGGTGTGACCTCAGCCCCTCGCCCTGAGCAGGGGCGCTGGGCAGAAGCCTAGGCCCGCAGAGAGGCCCGGGGCTGCCGCCCCATCACACGCTCATGGTCATCCCTGGCGAGTACTGCGGAGAGAGGAGGGGGCAGCGCGCAGGGGCCGAGTTCAGCTCCGGAAGAGGCTGGGACCCGCCCCCAGGGACAATGGGGGACAGGGCAGGGCTGGGTCCTGGGCAGACATGGGGTGGGGACAGGAGGGAACGGGGGAGGGGCGATGCATGGGAAGGCCGCCCTGGGGCGCGGGTCCCGGGGTGGGGGCGGATGGGATCGGGACGGTGAAATAGGAGCGGGAGGTGGTGGGGGGTGGGGAGAGGTTGAGGAGAGGGAAAGGATGCCGCGGCCGCCCCCCCACCTGGCCCGCCGCGGTCACGGTCTTGCTCTGGCCCCCCGGCCGCCCCGCCGGGGCCTGCCCGCCAGCCCCTCCGGCCCGACGCCGCCGCGGGGGGGGAGTCGACGCAGTCGCTTACGCTTTCGCTCGGGAACGGGTGCAGGAAGGTCCCGGCGGCCGCCATCTCGCCGTCGTCCCGCGGGGTGCCCGGGGCGTTGCTCAGGCCGGCCACGGCGCCGGGGGAACTCTGGGGGCGGCCGCCGTCGGCTCGCAACTCCCCGCCCCGCCCCCTCCCCGCCACCCCCCCCGGATCCCACCCCCGGCAAGAGCGCAGCCTCCTTACCTTCGGCAACCCGTCCATGTCGCCCGAGCCTACAGACACGGACAGACACGGGCACCGGCTCAGACGTGCTGGCGCCATGCCCCTCGGCCTCCAGGGGCCAACGACCCTCGCAAGCTGCCCCCGCCGACGCGCCCCCGCCCCGCACAGCCCGCCAGGAACCCCGGGACTGAGGCCAGGTGGAGGGTTGGGCCTGGGGGGGAGGGGCGGTCAGTGCATCCTCTGGTTTGGTCGCTGGATCCCCCTCCAGCTCGGGGCAGCCCCTGTCACTGAGCGGCCCCCGGGGGGCTCAGGACGCCACTAGACGCCTCCACCCGGCAGGCGGGCTGACGGCAGGGGGAAGCAGCCAGGGAGCGCACGGGCCCGGAAGGCAACGTGGGCGGGAGCAGGGACGCCCACTCACCCAGGGATCCGTTCACGTGGTGAGGCTCCATCGCGCTCATGGCGGCCATGGGGCCCTCCGGGCCAGGGCCGAGCGGGAACTGCGGGCATGGGGACAGCGTGGGACTCGGGCCACCCATTCCCCAAGTGGGGTCACCGCCTCGAGAAGCACCCCTGCAAGCCCCCACTCACATTAGCCCTGCCGGCGCCCTGCCCGATGGGGTTCATGATAGTGTACATGTTTTCGCTGGAGTTGGTGGAATCTGGGGGAGACCAGAAGGGTGCCAGGTGTGACGGGGTTTCCCCCAAACACACCCACCCTAGCACACCCCCACCTCTTACTAGGCCATACCTCCAGGGCTAGGCATGATGGGTGTTCCAGGGGGCCCACCTCCTCCTGGGGGTCCCTGCACACAAGAGACAGGAACCGTGAGAAATGGCCCCTCATCTGCCATCCCACAACCCCTGCCCAGGGGTGACCCAGCTTTGCTCAGACTTACGGTGTAGCTGCCGGGGGATGAGGAGGAGTAGGGGATCTGGGGACAAGGGCAGCTGTGAGCAGTCAGCCAGGCGGCTCACCCAGTGTCCCTCCCACCCCACCCCAAGCCTGCCCACCCAGCCATAGGCTCACCGAGTTTCCACTGGGGCTGGCCCACGGGCCACGAACTCCTGGGCCCCTGGAAGAGACCGCGGATGACAGACTCTGGGGCTAGTCCATGTGGATCACAGCCCTCACCACACACCCCCCACACCCTGCTCCACTGTATCCCCAGACCGACCACAGAGCAGCAGATGTTGCTGGAAAAGTGGCCACCATGAGCTGCCAGGTTCCAATCCCAACCCATCACTGGCCCCAGGAGACTAATTGCTACTTCAAGTCTCAGTTTCCCCTCAACGGTGGCCATGAAATAAACAATATCCAAGGCTGTCCTGAGGATTCAGGACCTGCCCCAGCTGACCCAGCCATGAAGCTGGTGGTGGCCTGCGAACTGCACACTCCTAGGATCCCCCAGGGTCTTACATGTTCATGGCAGGCAGGCCTGGGCCGGCGAGGGAGTTGGGTGGGGGTCGCATGCCACCTCCATAGCTCTGCGGAGGCAAAGGGGCTGTGAGGGGTAGACCGGGGACAGCCCGAAGGCCCCACCCACCAGGGCTCCACTCTTACCTGGGGCCCCACGCTGGCCATGCCACGAGGAGGCGTCACCCTCTGCATTGGGCCGCCCATGCTCGGATGCCCTGGGGTGGGGCAGAAGGAAGGGGACTTGGACCTGGACCATTCCCCAGTGTGGACAGTGGGGAGGCAGCAAGGTCTGGGCTCTGAGAGCTGGAATTCTGATTGATGGCGGGATAGGGGCTGGAGCTTCCCTACTCACCCTGGGCTCGTGGGGAGGGCTCCATGGCGCCAGGGAGGAGGGGCTGGGAGCCAGGGAGGCCTGCGGGAGGCTGCGGAGGGGGTGCGGCGGCACTGAGTGTGGGGTGCTCCCTCCCCGGCCCAGCTCCTGCCCGCCCTCCCCTCATCCCTTTCTCACCTGACTCGGCATCCGCAGGGTGGGCCGGGGGCCCCCTGGGAAGCGCGGTGACATGAAGGGCTGGAAGAGGTGGGCGGGGATCAGCACCTTCCCCCACCCTCTGGTCCCCAAAGCTACCCCATTCCTGCTATGCTGGGGCCCCCGACCTGGGGAGCCCCCTCCTCCAGAACCAGCCAGCAAAGCCCGGCCAGCTGGCACCAGCCAGGACCTCATGGCTTGAGGGTGGGAGGGGGCGGCGCTGGGGGAGGGGATGTGTGTGTGTGAGGGGCAGGCACCACAGCTCCTTACCTGACCGTGAGGCCCCATCATGGGGGCGTTGGGGTTGTGGGGGGACGGCTGGGAGCCGGGGGGGCCCTAGGAGGACAGAACCAGGTGGGTGGGGGGGAGTGAGGCCCTACTGGGTTTGGCTGAGGAGGGGAGGGGCTCCATGGAGGCAGAGGGGTGGGCCAGCCTGTGGGACAGGGACCTTGTGGGAAGGCTTGAGGGCAGGACTCAGGCACCAGTGGTCACCAGGACCACTGTGGCTACTGCATCCCCAAGCACCCTGTGCGCACACATGTGCAGGCCAAGTGCACAGACACCCACCCTCCACTGCACTCGGGCCCTCCCTCGCTGGCCCCTGAAAGGCCCACCTGGGCACACCTGCGGCACAGAGGACCCTCCCACCCAACTCCAGCCTGCCGGCCTCATGACCTCTGCCCACGTGGGACCCCCCCCACCCTCAAACGCATGTTCAGCCAGAGTTGGGGGCCAGTGGACTCCAGCCGGGGCCATACCTGGAAGAAGCCAGCCGCCATGGAGCCTGCGGCCATTGTGTCACCTGGGGCCATACTCCCCATAACGGGGCTGGGGGCGGCTGCAGCACTCTGTAAGGGTGCGGGAAACCCAGAGGGCCAGGTCAGGACACCTGGACACTTCCTACCTGGGGTGTGCCCCCCCTCTCTGCAGGTGGCCGGCCCCATGGGACAGCGAGCTGGCATTGGTCAGTGAGCACACTGGGGTTGTCGGCCTGAGGATCTGTGGGTCTGAAGACCCTGTAGGACGCAGGATCCAGTGTCGCCCTCGTTTCTCACAGACCTGCTCCCCACTCCAGACCCATCTCAACTGGCCCTGCATCGTCCTGGCTGGCAGGGCAGCTCAGCTGGGTCCCCAACTCTACTCAGGACCCCCCAAATAAACATACACACAAATATACCGGCAGTTTCAAGAGCCTCCCTGAAGGCTCCACCTTAGAACAAGTGTAGACCCCTGCCCCACCCCACCCTGCCCTTCGTCCAGGAGGGAGGGTGAAAAGCAGGATTCTGGGGTGGGGTCCCCATCCCCCAGCCTCTCTCAGATGGAGAAGGCGACAAGACAGGGTGCTGGAGAGGGGGCTTCCTGTATCTGCCAGAAATTGTGGTGGCAGCCCAGACCTGGCCGGGGACCAAGTTCTAGACCTGTCTGCTATGGGGCCTACAGGGTCTGGCAGGGGGAAGGTGGGGAGGGGGATGTGAGGTGGGAAGGGAGGCCCAGTCTATGAGGGCAGAGGAACACGTCTGGGGACAGGGAGGGGAGAACTTCTCTCCTGGCCCCTGTCTGTATGGTCCAGGCCAAGCCCCAAACCCCAAAAAGAAGGTGATGGGCTCTCTCTGGGGTCGGCCCAAGCCAGCACACAGGGACACTCAGGTGTTTGTGGCATGAACTACAGCCACTTGGGCTCAGAGAGGTTGAGCACTCTGCCTACAGTCACACAGCGTTTCCTGCCCTCAGGGACTGCTGCAAGGGGCCCCCTGCCTAGAGGAGGGCTCCTGGAGAAATCCTCCCTCCCCCTGTGGGGCTGCGGGTTGACCCCTTCCTGCCCCTTCTCTGAGGTTAGCCTCAAGCCTCCCGCCAGGGTCCTAAACTGGGGGAGGGGCTGGAGGCGGGAGCCCCCTAAGCCCACCGTGACGGCGAGCACTCCCAAGGCCCAAAACAAATCCTTCGAAAGCCCTCGTGCCCTACTCCTGTGCCACTTTCTCAGTTCCAAACTTCCAGGTCCCCTCTGGGCTCTGGCCCCCACCCCGCCCCCTCCCGCAAACACAATGGCCTGGAGCAGCTGCCCTCCCAGGCGGCCCCTCCGGTCCACTCCCCGAGGGTGGGGAGGGGGCACCTTTGAGCCCTGTGTCTGTCCACCCCGCAGGGAGGGCAATCCCCTCACGGGCCACAGCGGGTGCCTGAGCGTTTCCTGGTCGGGGACGCTCCACCGCACCCCCCCCCCGCCCCCTGCGACCCGCAGCTTCCCAACTCTAGGCCCTGAGCAGTTAATCCCGGGCGGCGCGCCCTCCCCGGCGGTTGGCCCGGGCCAGACCCCCTACGTCAATCATCCCTGAAGAGGAGCCGGCCCGGCCCGCGTTGCCATGGCGATGGGCTGGGCGCTCCGGCGTTTCCTGGAGACGCCAAGGTCGGCAGGGAGCCGGGGAGGGGCGAACAGAGCCCCCCCCGCCCCCCTCCCCCGCCTCGGAGGGCGAGAGAGGAAGGGGCCGCCTCCGTGCAGGCTCGGCGGGCAAGGCGCCCCCAGTTAGAGCGAGAGCAACGGAGGCGACGGCCCGGCATGACGAGTCCCCGCGGGGATTCGGTCACCCCAGGGCTTGGGCGGCCTCCGCCCTGGGCCCTGCGGTCTACGCTCTGCGCCGGCGCTGCCATGGTAACCGCTGCGCGCCTGGGAAGCGCGTTCACGCCGACTCTCCAGCTCCGCCCTCCTGGCCCGGCGGGGGGCGCCCAGAGAGGATGCTAGACCCAGACGGCAGGGATGGGGGCAGAGTCGCCCAAGTCCACAGCTCCAGACACCCCCGGGGCCCCAGATCTAGCGGGACTAGGACAAGGGGACCACACACGAGTAGTGGGACACCATGGGGGTGAACAGCAGTGACGCCAGGAGGGCTTCAGCCTGCCCAGCTCTCATGCAGAGTGCTGGAGGCATCTTCAGAGACATGGGCGCCCCACCCCTCGGGCCGCCTCTGCCTTGCTGGGGCCTGCGCTCTGGCGCACAGGGGGTAGGGGGTGGGCGGGACTGGCGCCCCCCAGACGCCCACCGGCAGAGCCGGCACCTCCCCCTCAGACCCAACAGAGGGGGCCAGGTGGTCCAGCGCAGAGGATGAAGGGAAGGGCTGCCATCTGCTGCCCCATGACAACAGGAGGCTGCCATCCCCTAGTGTTAGCCAGGCAGCCTCCACTCCAGGCCGGCCTCTGACCTTTTCCAACCCAGAGGGAAAATGACAGCAGAGAGGGAGTGGGCAGCTCCAGATACCTGGCAAGGTCAGAAAGTGTCCCAGTGCCTGGCCCATCAGGCACCCCGACCTGTGCTCCCCGCTCAGAGGAGCAGCAGTGACCCCCAATGCACACACGGCAGAGGAGGGGGAAGGCAGTGAGCTTCCCCCATCTCCACGCAGGCTCACATGAGATGCGGGGAAATGGCACCCCCCAGTGCCCCAATGGGGGTGGGAGGGCTGTGGGGACCCTCAGAAGTGTGTGCAGTGGAAAGAGCTTTCCCTTACTCTGTGAGTGACCCTGGACCAAGTGGAGGGTGGAAGGACCCCCCAAAAGTGGCCAAGAGCCTGAGTGGAGGCTGCAGCTCTGCCTGTCAACCCCAAACTGCCACCATCCCCAGCCCTCCTCTGGCTGTGCAGCCCCCCACCCCACCTCCCCAGCCACAGGCCCAGCACACCTCCCGCCCTGGAGCCCCTGAGTCCCTGGGGCCAGGACTCACATAGTCCTGGAAGGCCTTGGCCTCGCCGGAGTGCTCGCAGGCCTCTCTTCTGTCAGGCGCCGCGCAGTACAGGTCCCAGAAGACGCTGTGGGCCAAAGGGGAAGATGGTTGCTCCACGTGCCTCCCTCAACCCCCTTCCACAGCCCACCCACAGCAGCCCAGCCCGTACCACCACCAGGAGTGCAGGAACCCAGGGGGCTCCCCCAGCGTGATGTTCTTCTCCCATCGGATCTGCAGGGAAAGGAAGGTGGTGAGGGGGTGGCCCTACCTGACCCTGCCCCACCACCCAGCAGGGTGCCCAGAGAACATCTGGGCAGGGAGGGAGTGGGGAGGGAAGGGTAACAGGGTGGGCAGAGGGCCCCAGGATGTGTGGCAGGTCCCGGCTGGGCATGTGGACCAGATGCCTGGATGCTAGCCCAGGGCCTGGACCCTGCAGAGCCCTCAGTTCCCAGGGCCATCAGAGGGGCAACGCGGGCCCACCCCCTGGATCCCCAGTGGAAATGAAGGACCCCCGGAGTGTGGGTGAGGAGGGAGGGCCAGCCTGGAGGTGGTGGCTTACCTCAGACAGGAAGGTCTGGGCTGACTTCTGGGCACCGATGTGCAGCAGGTACTCATAAACGTACAGCGCCAACCTGTGGGGGCGAGGCGGCCCAGGGAGCTCAGACTCTCCAAGGCAAGGGCCCACCCCAAAGCCCCTCCATCTCTCAGGAGGGCGGGTGGAAAGGTGGCCTCCCCACCAGCTGCTCAGCAGGGACAGCTCATAGTTATCCATCTATGTCCTGCAGGCCCCTCCCAGGCATCCGTGACCCCCAATTCCGGGCCGAATTCGGCTGTGTTCCACGCTCCCTCGAGGACCAAGTCCTGGCCATGTCCTGCCAACACTGAGACTCCAGAGAGGCCTCAGCGCTGGGGAGGTCTCCTCCATAGAGGAGTGTCATTCCTGTGTGTGTGCAGGGTGGGGACGACCACTGGGCACCCTGGGCCATGTAGTGTGCTCAGGGCCCACCTCCAAACTCATCCCCAGCCTCCCCGGCCCAGGAAGGAAGGAGGGAAGGGGTCCTCCACCCCACATCCCCTGCAGTCCCTGGACCCCATCTCTTCCTTGGGGAAGAGATGCCCATCCACCATGGTGGCCTCAACCCTTTCTGCAGACTGTCCCCAGTCAGGGCAGTGCTGAACCTGGGGCAATGTCTGGGGAATGGAGGTGGGGGGCCAGGGGAGGTAGGGCCTGCAGTGCCATGTCTGCAGTGGTGCTGCCCTACCCAAACACCCACAGGGCTCTGCGCGAGTCCCCAGCCTGCCAGGGACCCCTGGACTCACCCTCCCAACCACTGTGCACCCCAAGGGCTTGGACCTGAGTCACCCTCGCCCAGCCAGGTGGCTCCAGCACGGCCCTCTGCAGGTCACAGGGGGAGGCCGGACTGTCCACCCCGCTCCAGTCCAGCTGCCACACCAGAGAGCAGAGGACAAACCCCCTATCCAAAGGGTCGCCCAGTCCTGTGGCACCAGCCCTTCTGGACCTCCCTGGAACTGAGCCGCTCCCTGCTCAGAGCTCTTGTACTGTCCAGCTAGGGACCACGAGAGTCTGCTGGGGGTTGGGGGACTCTTAGATTCAAGACAGGGTACCAGAGGGCCAGCCTGAGGCTGAGCCCTAGAGGCGAGAAGCAGGCAGGCCTGGGGGCCCTTCCACAGCCGCCTCCAGCTCAGCTGCGCCGCCCTCTCTGGCTGCGGGCCCCATCCTAAAATAACCTTCCTTTGACTCACGCTCTGCTCCCTCCCAGCCAGGCTGCTCCAATCCTAGCACCCACCACCCATCAGGGCCCCCAAGTCCCTTTCAGATTTCCAGTCCTCCTGTTCCTGCCCCGGCCCCTAGAGAACATGGGGACTTCCTGCCCCCACCTGGTCCTCATGGGCACTGCCCTTGCCCCAAATCTCATCCTGCCTCCCCTCCTTCGTTCATTCACTTCTTCATTAGTTCCTCCAGCATCCATGAAGTGCCTTTTGCGCAGTGCACACACCCGGCCCCTGTCCTGGAGGCCATGTTCTTGAGGGGAGAGACAGAGACAGGCAATACCTGTCAAGAGAGGTGAGCTCTGTGGCAGCTTGGAAGGCGCTGAGGCTACGGAAAGGCAAGTGGGGGGGTGACATCAGGGAGGGGAGGCGGTCCAGGGTGGAGTGCGCCAGGCTCACACTGCACCACATGAGCTGTGAAGGCCACCCCAGGGGCAGGGATGGGGCAGGACACACAGCGCCCAATGGTCACCCCTGCATCATCACAGCACTCTTGAAGAGACTGCCCCCAGCCCAGGCCCTGCTAGATCCTGACCTCCACCCCTCCAGTCTCCCACACCTGCTCTTCCTCCACTTTCCTGGCCCGGCGGCCTGCAGGCCCACCTGTCTAGCTCACTTCTGTGGCACCCTGGCCCATCTAGAGGCTTCTGAGCTTTTCCCTGTGGCTAGTGGCTGACAGGCCTGCGTCCATCAGTGGAAGGGGAGCACACAAGGCCAGGGTGAGCAGGTTCCAGGGGCAGACCGACTAGCCTGGGGAGCCCAGTGCCAACCCACCTGCCAGGTGTGGAAGAGAGTTCCCACCCCAGCCACTTAGGGGTCAGAGCAGGGGGCATGAAAGGCCAGAGTGGGGTAAGACAGAGTTGCAGGAACGCTGGTGAGCGGCCCCGGGAGGGCGGGGGCAGCGGGAGGTCCTGCTGAGGCTGCATTCTGGGTACCCCACACCCAGGGCACGGCTGTCCAAAAGGCCCAGGGGGACTCCTGAAGGAGGGGGCTGCGAAGGGTTCTACCTGCCTTCCTTGTCTCCTGTTCCTCGACTGTCCCCATAAGTGCCTAACCCAGGAGGTGGCCCCCTAGAGCCCACCCCGCCCTCTCCGCCCCCTCCTGCTGTCCTCCTGCCTCCAGCCCCCGCCCCCGGCTACCAGCTCTGTCTTCTCCTCTGCTCTCCCTGTGTGGCCGCCCGTCCTGTTTTGATGATGCCTTCAAGTAGGGGCTGTCCAGAGGGTGCTATGGCCTGACCTTCCCCAAACTTGGGATTCCCTGTTCACTTGACATCTAGAGGCCCAGCCTCGACACCCTGAGCCCCCACCCCTTCCCCATTCTCCCCCTCCCTGCTCAGAGACTGTCAGCTTGGCCTTTACACATGCATCCTGTCCAAGGAGCCTCTGGTGGCGTGCGCACAGGCGTGCACCTGTGTGAGATCCACCCAGCTGTCCCCAAACATCACTGCGTTTAAAAAAACACCGAAGGAAATCTCTTTCCTGACTTGGGCCCCTCTCCCCACCTCCACTGCACACCTGGGCCAGGCCACCCACCGTCTCCCACCTGGATTACGACAGAGTCCCCTCCAGGTGCTGCTCCCCCCACCCCCATGTTCCTTGTTCAAACCCTCCTGTGCCGCCCCCCGCCCCGACCCACACACTGGCTGCCCTGTCACCCCAGGGCCTCTGCGCACTGTTTCCCTGCCTGGGGCACTTCCACCCAGAGACTCCAGTGTCACCTCTCGGGGCTTCACTGTCACATGGAAGCCCCCACCCTGCTCCGTCTCCTCCATCTGAGAGTCTCTGTCTTGGGCCCCCAATGGAATGTAGCTTGACGTGGGGCGGGGACTTGGAGTCTGCTCACTGCAACGACCTTAGAATGGAGCTGGGCATCCTGGGCCCCAGTCACCCCAGTGAATGAACAAACCGGCCCGGGGACCCCCTCCTGGGATGCCGGGAGGATTAGGCGAACCATGGGGTAAGTACTGATGAAGGTCAGCAGCTATTCTGTCCATACTGAGGATTTGGGAGTTTATCCTGGGAGCGATGGGAGGCCAAAGGAAGTTTTCGGTTTTGCTGATTTCCCTTCCACATTGGTCCTTTTATTTTAAACAGGATTCAGTCTCCAGGGAAGAACTGTGGGTTGTTATTGTTTTGGGTGAAAAGTTTTGAAGCCTGGCTGTTCGGCCAGGGAGTTTTGGGACCTACAAGGTCCTCCCCTCCCAGAGGACTGCTCCGGGGGCCAGGTCTGGGGGCGCCACCGGTTGGGGCCCTGAGCTCAGTTATAGGGAAGGGCTCTGGATGCAAATCACCCATGCCCTCTGCCCCCCACCGGCCACCTGCCCTGGGCCGGTACAACCTCTCAGGGCCTGTCACCTATGAGGGCTCCCTGTGTCACACAGGCAGGTGGCCAGAAAGGAAAACAGGGAGGCACCCGGAAGAGCAGCAGGCAGCTCTCCCTGCAGAAGGAACACAAGACTCGGAGGACATGGGGCGCCTGGACCTGGAGCGAGCATGAGGCTGTGCAGGGAAGCAGAGCCAGGATGGGGTGCTAGCGCCTGGTGGCCTGAAATGTACCACAGCTACCACCGTAATGACGCGAGTTACCATAATTACCCAGAATGGCTGCAATGGATGCTCCCTGCTCAGCGCCTTCCTAGACACAGATGCTGCTGGGGCAGGAGACACCTGCCACTCATGGCTTTGTGTCACCTTGCCATCCGTCACCAGGTCTCACTCCTGACCCTCCAACCCTCGCCGTCCTCCCTCCCCTCTGCCAACCCTAAAGGCCAGGCCTCTGGCAGCTTCTTGGCAAAGTGGCGGCCTCTCCTTACTACCCTCCACACCTGCCCCTCATAGCCATTTCCAGCCAGGGGCCAAAATGACCACGTCCAATCGTGAATCCCATCCCTGGCTTACCTGCCAGGCTGATGAACAAGCCACCGACATCCATGTGCCGGCTCAAAATCAAGCCCGGGAGAAACCCACGAGCTGCCAGGCAACACCAACCATGGCTGTGATTCATGGACCTCTTCTCAACCTGCCTGGCAACACTTGAGTGCTGAAGGATATACACATGCCCCTCTTCTTGCAAGTGGCCCACTCAGACCCCAGCCTCCCTCAGCCCACTCTGCTGCCCCTGCACTCCACAGTCACTGCCATCTGCTGCGAGCCCCCGAGGGCAGGCACCCACCAGGTGCTCGGTCCCTTTCTGGAGCCAGCTGGCCGAGACCTAGTGTAAGCCGGGAAGGCCTGTAGGCTCCAAGGGCAGCCAGAAGGGGCTCAGGATTGGGGCCAGAGAGAGAAGGAAGGATATGCAGCGCCTCATTTTTAGGAGGCATGAGGCTCATTGCAGGAAGAAAAGTGCAGTGCTGGAGAGTCAAGGTTTGGAGCAGTGTAACCTCTTCACCCCATTTCACAGAGAAGGAAACCGAGGCCCAGAGGCAGGAAGTGGCTTGCCCGAGGCAGATACTTCCTGAGAGCCGCGTGGCTGCCCCGGCAGGTGCTCTGCCTACGGGCTCCCACCCAGTCCTTGCAAAGATCCTGAAAGATGGGTCGTCCACATTTCACATGAGGAAACTGAGGCCTGGGGCTGCCTCTGAGAGCTCATCTGTGCCAGAGAAGCTGAGTTCTCATCAGGTGGCTTCCTCTCCAGGGCCCTGGTGTCCCTTTCGTTGAAATGGGTGCATGCGGCCATCTGGCGTTTTCCAGGCTTTCTTTCATAGAGGAACCTCACCTCCAAACCAACACTTATACGAGACCCTCTCCGTGAAATGGAAGCATGCAGGCTGGCTCTGACCAAAGATGGGCCCTGCAGCCTCCCCACTGGCAGCTGAGGGACTTCCGAGAGCCTTGAGTCCCGAGGCCAGTGTCCCCAAAGCACCTCTGCTGGGCAGGTTGGGGAGTGGGAGGACAGTATGGGAAGGGGGCCAGGAATGCAGCTAACCCCCTCACCCTACCACCCCCGGCTCAAACCTATGAAATCTCTTCCTTCTTACTTGGGTCCAGGCTGCCACCAGCTCTCTTTCACTGTTTTTCTTTTTTGTTCTTTTTGAGATGGAGTCTCGCCCTGTCACCCAGGCTGGAGGGCAGTGGCACGATCTCAGCTCACTGCAACCTCTACCTCCTAGGTTCAAGCGATCCTTTCACCTCAGCCTCCAGAGTAGCTGGGATTACAGGCACCCGCCACCATGCCCGGCTAATTTTTGTATTTTTAGTAGAGACAGGGTTTCATCATGTTGGCCAGGCTGGTCTCGAACTCCTGACCTCAAATGATCCACCCACCTTGGCCTCCCAAAGTGCTAGGATGATTATAGGCGTGAGCCACCACGCCCGGCCTCCCCAGCTCTCTTTCAGACAACTGTGTCCACATCCCCAGGGCCTCCCAGCCTCTGTTCCTGACCCCTATAAGCCCCACTCCACCTGGGAGCCAGAGCGCACTTCTGCACACACAACCCACTGGGGCCCATCTGGCACTCTTGCAGGCTGCCTCTTCCTCCACCTGGGCCCAGCCCCAGCTCCTTTTCCTGGTCCCATATCAGGGCCTTTGCACTTGCTGTGCCCTCCACCTGACATCCCCTCACCCTTCGCTATCTATCATCCACTTTGCTTTCTCCTGCTAACTGGATACCTGCCTCCCTGCTGGGGTGGGGGCTTCTTCAGGGCCACCGACCCTGCCATCCCGACCGGAGCCTGCCTTCCCGACTGCCACACCCAGGGACACCCAGGGCAGATATGCTGAATCAGTGAACGATCCCGATTCCCACTGGGTGGGTGGATGCCTCCAGAGCCAGCAGCTGCCTGGAGACACACAGGAGACAGACCAGGGGTCCAGGGGTGACCATGGCAGACACCTCCTGCTTCCGACCTGAGCAGGAGCCAGAGGCCAGTTTCAAAAAGTCTTTGGGCTTAAGGGTGCTTGGAAATGGAGCTCATCTTCCTAACTGCACACAGGCAAGGGAGGCCTGACAGTGCAGTCATTTGCCTACCACCTTCTAGCCAGAAGAGCCTCTTCTCCAAAATGACCCAGAGGCTGGGCAGAGGGGACAGGCATCTTTGTGGAGGGGTGGGGCATCCCAAGTCAGCCTAGGCAGAAGAGGCAGGATGGGGGACACTCAGCCAACGTCCAGGGCTCCTCTCCAGCACCCAGACATTCAAGTCCTCACTCCTGGCCTGGCCCTCAAGGCAGGTCCTCATGGGACCCCTCCCTGCTGACCCAGCCTCCTCTCTGCTTGGGTGGCCAGTTCCACACCACGGGCCACTCCAGGTGGCTCAACTTCAAGGATCCTGGAAGTCCCCCATCAGCTATGACAAGACTCCCCTCCTCCTGGGCACTGTTTTTTTGTTTTTTGTTTTTTTTTTTTGAGATGGAATCTGGCTCTGTCGCCAGGCTGGAGTGCAGTGGCGTGATCTCGGCTCACTGCAACCTCTGCGCCACGGGTTCAAGGGATTCTCCTGCCTCAGCCTCCCGAGTAGTTGGGACTACAGGCGCCCACGCCCAGCTAATTTTTGTATTTTTAGTAGAGACGGGGTTTCACCATGTTGGCCAGGATTGTCTCGATCTCTTGGCCTCGTGATCCGACCGCCTCGGCCTCCCAAAGTGCTGGGATTACAGGCGTGAGCCACCGCGCCCGGCCTCTGGGCACTTTTAACAACACTGCAAACTGCCCCGTGCCCTTCCTGCGGGACGGTCACTGCTCCAAGCACCTTTCAAATGCTTTCCACCCGGAGAGCACACTCGGCTGACTCCCCACCCCGAGAGACCTCAGCCCCACCACGACCCTTCCTCCATCCGCACGGTGGAACCTGCCCCTACCAGCTTCAGAGCGCCTGGTACCCACGGCCTGGAGCCACGCCCAGAACAAAAGGGGCCCTCAGTATGCACTCTTCAGTGGTATCAAGAGAGCGGCTCCGTCGTCCCCACCCGCCCCTGGACTGTGAACCGTGCGGCTTCCCCAGGGGCCCCACACAGCTGCTGGGGCCAGGGCAGACAGGTGGCGGCGCGCCCCTCCAGCCGCTCTCCAGCTCTACCCCAGGCGACTGGGGTCCCCGAGCCGACACTCTTGTTCGTCCCGGAAAACTTCGCTGACCTCGATCCCCATGCGTCCGCAGCCTCGCGCACCCACGTCTCGAGGAGGCCTCGCGACCCCCGAGACCCGCTCGGGGATCTCGCGCGCCCCCTCAAATCTCGCGCCCTCGGGTTTCGCGCGCCCCCGCCAATCTCGCGACCCCTGGAGCCGCTCCGGTCTCGCCCGTCCACTCCCGTCTAGCGCCCCTCGGGTCGCCCGCCAACCCTCAACTCCGGCGACCCCTCAGGGTCTCGCGCGCCCCCCGCCAATCTCGTGCCCCTCGGGGGTCGCGCGCCCCCGCCAATCTCGCGACCCCTCGAGCGCGCTCAGGCTCGCGCTCCCCGCCGCCCGCGCCCACGTGCCCCGCGCGGTGCCCGCCCGCGCCGGAGCCCACGGAAGAGCGCGGACGCCGAGCCCCGCCCCCGGCCCCGCACTCACTTCTCGCGGGCCTGGCTGTCGGAGGGCACGGCCGAACCCTTGCCCCCCTTGGCGTACATGCTGCTCCACGCCGCCGCCGCCGGGGCCCACACCTGTCAGGCGGCGCCGCGGGCCGCGCTTGCCGTCGCCATAGCTACCCCGCGCCCCGGGCCTCACCGCCCCGAGCCCCAGGCGGGCACGGCAGGCATCGTCCGCGCGGGGGAGCTCCAGACGGCCGCGGCGGCGGCGGCAGCGGCGGCTCCAGCTCCGGCCCCGGCCGCAGGGTGGCTTTTTTTCCTCCCTTTCCTCCGCGCGGGCTGTTCCGGGAAACGCGCGCTCCCCTCCTCCCGCCGCGCGCGCCCCCGCCCGCTGCCTCTACGCCGCCCGCGGGCGCAGCTCTTAAAGGGGCGATGGCGGGCGCGCGGGTGGGTCCCGCCGCCGGAGCGCGCACGCGCAGTGCCCGCCGCGGGGGGTGGGGGCGCGGCTACACACTCGCGGGTCAGGATCCCGGACGGCCACCCAGGGACGCACAGCTGATCGCGGCTGCACACGCGCGCGTGCACACACACGTTCACTCACCTCAAATGGAGCCGGCCACCCACATTGTTGTACACCCAGCCACACACATTCGCAGCGACACTCAACATAGCGCTCCACACAGCAAAAGTGTACCCCGCTGCTGGAACGACTGCGGATAGCCCCATAAAGCCTCAGGCAGTGACATTGGGTGTCTCACCCCGCAGAGCTACCCACACTCAGCAAGGGTGGGAACCACCGCACATACAGCCCGCCCAGCGACACACATACACTGCCACACACCCAGCTCACAGTGGCCGTCCTGGAACAACTAAACACAGGCCACCGCACACAGGCACCCAGCCTCACGCAGGCGCGCGCTTATGCAAGGCCGTGCCACAGCTTCCAACAGCCGTGGACAGAGCCCACGGAGTTAACTCACAGTCACCCTGGGGCGCACTATCGCGGCCTCCTCAGAACCACACCCTACCCAGCTCCACAGTCACAGGGCCTGCGGACACTCAGCGTCCCGCCCGAAGTCACACAACACAGACACAACCCAGGCACACAGACACAAAGCTCCTATAGTACCCAGGCTGTGGGAGCCACCTGGCACCACCCCGAAGTAACACCCGGTGACAATACTAGGTGCTGGGTGACTGCTGTTTGGGCTTCTCAGCCTCGGTGCTGTGAGCTGTAAATGGGGCGCATCCCACCTTTGTCTGCGGGAGTCAGGGTGCAGGCAGTGGGTGCCCTTTTCCCCTTTTAGGGCCCTTCATCCCCCCACCAGGGGTGTTCAGAGAGGGTGGGGGCGGATACTGAGTCAGGGACCCCCGCAGGGCAGGGATGCCCGGGTACCAGTGGGTCGTGTGTGGATGGGCAGGGTAGGGGAAGGCGGTGCGGTTGACTCTGGGTCTAGATGTTTCTGTGTTTGCCACGGCTATTCCTCTTTTTTCCTAGGCAAGCCCGCGTGTGTGCAAACACGCGGCTCCCGTGTGAGTGCACGTGTGCATCCTTGTGCGTGGGGGGCGGGCAAACACCCAATAAATTATCGCTGTCTCGGCGACTGTCCCTGGCTGCGCGGTGGCAGTTGTGGGTCCGAGTCGGGCCGAGTCGCTCAGTGAGGTTGCGTGCACAAGTGTGTGCCGAATGTGCACGTGTGTGTCTCCGCGCGTGGGTGGGCCGCCAGCTCCCTAGGACCTGTGTGTGGCTCTGTGCTCACGTTTCGTGTGTGTGTTTGTGTGTGAATGTCTGGATGTCTCTCGCTGCCAGCTGACCCCGCAGATGCCTCCCCGATAGAGGCCGCCCCCCAGTACGTGAGAACCCCCCGCCCCCACCCCAAGCCTTCTGGCCGGCGGGAAGTCGGGAGCCGCCGGGGCTCCAGACCCGCGGAGAGGAAGGGAAGGGCAGGACCGGCCCCAGCCCCGCCTCCTCCCCGAGGGGCCTCGGCGCGGGAGGGGGGACGCCAGCCCTTCCCACTTCCTGTCCAGCCGGCCGCCCCTTCCCCCAGCTTCCTCTCCCGCGGGCCTCCGGGCCCCGGCTCGGCGGGGTAGGAGGGGCCCGCACAATTCCGCAGGGCCTCGGGCTGGCGACGGCCCCGGAGCCTGGGGGACCACGGGGGGCGTGGGCTTCGGCGTCCAGGTCACTCCCATCCTAATGACCGCTCCCACCACTGCCCCCGCCAGCGCCTACTCCTAATGAGGCACAGAGAGGGTGTGGCTCACCCAAAGTCACACAGAGCCTTGGTGACAACCGGCACTCCCGGGCCCGGCAGATGCCCCTCCTGCCACCCCCAGTTTAATCTCCTAAAGCTCCGTGGCTCCCCAGGGCCCTGTGTGCCCTGGTTGGTCCCTCGCCCCCTGTGAGCCACGGTTCCTTGGGTCAATGTGAGTCTTCACCCCATTAAACATGTATTGAGCGCCTACTGTGTGCTGGGCTCCGGAGACCCAGCCGGGACACGTTGCTACCTCTTGGAGCTCAGAATCTGATGGGGGAGGCGGACAGTCAAAAGCTGGCGAGTCAGTCGGTTAATTTCAGGGAGTGCCACGTGCGTGAGAGGGAGGGGACCCCTGGTGACAGGACGGGCGACGGCGGGGTCGGTCGGTCTCCCGGGGGAGGGCGGAGGCGGAGGGAGGGAGGGAAGGAGGGAGGGAGGCTGAGGCGCCGGCGGCCCAGAGAGCTGTGATGGGGGAGGCGCGGAGGGCGGGAGCGAGGAGCGCGGTTCTCATGGCAACCGGGAAGGATCTCCAAACACAGCCTGGGCGCTGGCGGAAAAGTGCGAGGGCAGCGGGCCCTGGGTCCCACGCGGCGTCGGGGAGCTGAGCCGCGCGCACTCCCAACCAGGGCGCACGCCTTGCGGGGGCAGAACCCGCAGAAAGGGACCCCCCACCCACGCGAAGGACGGGCAGGGCGGGGAGGAAAAATTATTAATAACGGGGAGAGGAGGGGTGGATTTGAAAGACCTGGAAGTGGAATGTTCAGACTGTAGTCACAGTAAGGGCCAAGGCCCTGAGGTGGGCACACGGCGAAGGCGCTGGAGGCAGAGCCAGGAAGCAGCCGTGGCCGGGGCAGGGTGAAGAAGAGGGGGATGATGGCAGGGAAGGCAGAGAGCTAGACCACGCCCAGAGGGGAGGGGGTGAGATTTTTTTCTAAGAGCATTAGGGAGCAATGGGAGGGTGTGGAGCCGCGAGGAGAGGATGGGATCTACGTCACGATTTTAAGAAGCTCCATGGGAGGCCGCACGTGGTGGCAGCGTGTGCCTGTAGCCCCAGCACTTCGGAGGCCGAGACAGGATGATGGCTTGAACCCAGCAGGTGAAGGCTGCAGTTAGCTGTGATCGTGCCACTGCACTTCAGCCTGGACGACAGACCAAGACTCTTACTAAAAACTAAAAAAACCGGCCGGGCGCGGTGGCTCATGCCTGTAATCCCAGCACTTTGGGAGGCTGAGGCGGGCGAATCACCTCAGGTCAGGAGTTCGAGACCAGCCTAAACAACATGGTGAAACCCCCTCTCTACTCAAAACACAAAAATTAGCTGGGTGTAGTGGCGGGCGTCTGTAATCCCAGCTACTCAGGAGGCTGAGGCAGGAGAATCGCTTGAACCCGGGAGGCGAAGGTTGCAGTGAGCCAAGATTGCGCTCCAGCCTGGGCATAGAGTGAGACTCCGTCTCAAAATAACAACAACAAAAACTAAAAAAACCTAAGAAGCTCCGTTGCCAGTGAGATCAAGGTGGCACAGAGGGGGCGGGGAGGTTGCCCCGGGGAAGGGGCCCAGGGCAGGTCCTCGGCTGGGTCTCTGCTTCTTGGGGTGGACAGTGGTGAGTCACCCACCATGGATGTCCCCTAAATACGGGTCAGGGGCTGTGCCTGGAGGAGCCCTAAGGAGAATCTTCTTTTAGGGCAGGGAGGTTGCCAGGAGAAGGGGCCGACTGTACCCTCACCCTGGATCCACCCTGCACAGTCCCACCCATAAGCCTTTGCGCTAGCGGTTCCTGCCGCCTGGAACGCTTTTTCTCTGGCTTCTGGCCTGGCCTACTGAGGCTCCTCCTTTGGCCAAGGGTTCCTCCTTGGTCCTCCTGGGGGAGGAGGCCAACTCCTCCTCTTCCTCTTCCTCTCCCTCCTCCTCTTCCTCCTCCTCCTCCAAGCCTTCCCTGGGCACTGCCCCCGCAAGACTGTTTCCGCACAGTCCCTAGTTGGACTTGGCAGTATTCGGATGAAATAACGCATCCCGTCCTCAGTTGGCCGCCTCCGCCTTCCTCTGGGTCCTGTCTCCTTGAGGACACAGCAGTGGGGGGGCCCACGAGTACTCCCCATTCCTGCAGAGGAGGCCGGGTTGGGTTTTCCTGCTGGTGGTTTTTCTTCTCCATAGGTGGCGGAAACGGCCTCCCTCCCTCCTCCTCATTAAAGTGGGGGGCCCTGGGAGGGGCCAGGACTGGGGCTGGCGCCCCCTGCAACCCCTCCCCAGCCGTGCGTGCGTGGGAGGCGGCCACAGCTGGGAGCCGGGTCTGCGCTAGGAGACCGTTTCCTCTCAGAAGCTGTAATTATGGGTAATTTTCTAAATGCAACACAAAAATTAAAACCCAAACAACACCAGGGTGGGAGCAGCCACAGCAGCTGGTGAACACGAGGGTAGGTCGAGGGTGGGGGGTGGGAGGAGCTGGGCCTTTGACTCAGGAAGGCTGGGGGTGGCCAGCATGGGCAGAGGGGTGTTCAGACAGCCTCACTCCTTGGACAGCCAGCTAGGGTTTCTGAAATGGGGATTATACCCCAAGACTAGTTGCCTGGAGGCGGAAACTCACAGATAGAGGCTCTGGGCCTGGGTTTGAACCTAGCTGTGCCCTGGCTCACTGTGTGGCCTTGACCGGGAAACAGCTGAACTTCAGTGACCCCTCCAAGCCACTGGGTCATGCCACCAATCCCACAGGGCTGCGAGGGACTCCGGGTGACAGAAGGGATACAGGAGGGCCTGGCCAAGAAGCCTCTGCCAAACCTGCAACTCACACCCCCACGTCCGTCCTCCACAAAGCTTAACCAAAGCCGGTACACTTCTGTGCTTCTAGCACCTTGTGTGGCTTTCACCGGCCACACATCGAAGCCCCACCCCTCTGCCCTGCACTTGAACTCCAGAGTCATACTAACCCTTGGGAACTGGCTTCCATCCTCTGGTAATGTCCTCCTTCCAGACCAAAGAAGGTGGCAGCATCTCTAGTTTTTCTTTTTAGATATGGGTGTCTCACTCTGTCACCCAGGCTGGAGTGCAGCGGCACAATCATAGCTCACTGCAGCCTCAACCTCCGGGTTTAAGTGATCCTCCCACCTCAGCTTCCCAAGTAGCTGGGACCAAATGCATGCACTAACAAGCCCAGCCATCATTTCTTCTCCCCATGTTACAGATGGGGAAACTGAGGCTCGTAAAGGAACCAAGGACGTCATGTGAGCGACCCAGAGGCAATACCCCACCCATCAGAGTGCTTCCAGTACCCTGTCTGGTCTGGGAGACTCGAGGTGTCTCTTAGAAATCCCAGGTCTAGGAGGAGGGTCTGTAATAGCTGCTGGTAGCTCTGGGTGCACGCTGGCTGCAGCCCATCCTGGGCCTAACCACGTGGCTGCACTCCCCACCGCCAGCTTCTGCTACTCCTCACCTGTAGCTTTCTCTGGCCGAGGGAATGCCGTTTTTTTTGTTTGTTTGTTTTTTTGAGATGGAGTCTTGCACTGTTGCCCAGGCTGGAGTGCAGTGGCACAATCTCGGCTCACTGCAACCTCCGCCTCCCAGGTTCAAGCAATTCTCCTGCCTCAGCTTCCTGAGTAGCTGGGATTACAGGTGCCTGCCACCACACCTGGCTAATTTTTGTATTTTTAGTAGAGACGGGGTTTCACCATGCTGGCCAGGCTGGTCTTGAACTCCCGACTTCAGGCGATCTGCCCGCCTTGGCCTCCCAAAGTGCTGCGATTACAGGTGTGAGCCACCACCGTGCCTGCCCTGGGAATGCCCCGTCTAAGGACATGCCAGTCTCCCTAAGGTCTCCGACAGGACTGAGCTTCATTTCCCACGACCTCCCCTGCTCCTGGGCACCCCCTGCAGGGCCCTTCCCCAGCTCCCATGGCCGGATACCCATGTGCCCCACATTCTCAGTGTGCCATCTTGGGTCTGTTTTCTGGGAAATCAAAATGAGGTTGGGGGTGGATAAACACCCCACAGGGCTGGGTGTGGTGGGTCACGCCTGTAATCCCAGCACTTTGGGAGGCCAAGGCGAGTGGATCACCTGAGGTCAGGAGTTTGAGACCATCCTGGCCAACATGGTGAAACCCCATTTCTACTAAAATTACAAAAAATTAGCCAGGCGTGGTGGCGCGTGCCTGTATGTAATCCCAGCTATTCAGGAGGCTGAGGCAGGACAATCTCTTGAACCCAGGAAGCGGAGGTTGCCGTGAGCTGAGATTGTGCCATTGCACTCCTGGCCGAGGAGCCTCTGCTGAACCTACAACCTCCCACCCTCACGTTCGTCGTCCCTCCCCCACGTCCACAATAAGACCAAAACTCCGTCTAAAAAAAAAAAAAAAAAAACCCAAACCAAAACACCCCACGCTCCTCGCCCCTGAGTGGGACCCCTCTGAGATGAGCATCTACACTGTCCCCCAGCTGTCCCAGGCGGGGCTGAGCGCCACTCATCCACATGTGTCATGTCTGTTGGCAGTTGGTGCCCCCTGTAGGGCTCCTTCCCTTCCTGTCTCATGTCCCATTCCCTACCAGGAGCTTCCTGGGGTCACCTCCCAGGTATCCCCTCACCCCACCTGATCCCACCTGCCCTTGAATCTTCAACTCAGAGCCAGCTACTGGAAGCCCCAGCTACCGTGCACCCAGCGCTCTGCTTCAGTGCTCTCGCTGAACCTCAACCAGCTGCCTTGGCAGCCTCCACCTCCCGGGCTTAAGCAGTCCTCCCACCTTGGCCTCCCAAGTAGCTAGGACCACAGGTGTGCGCCACCACTCCTGGCTGTCATTTCTTCTCCCCATGTTACAGATGGGGAAACTGAGGCTCATCACGGCATCAAGGGTGTCGTGTGAGAGACCCATAGGTGGCACTCACCTATGTCTGAGAAAGGTTCAGAGCAGCAAAGCAACTTGCCTGGGGACACAAATCAGGGAGTGGAGGCACCAGATCTGACTTCGAGGTACCCTGACAATGCCCATTCCTCACCTCGTCTGTCTAGAGCTCCAGCCTCCGCCTCCTCCTTTTTTTTTTTTTTTTTTTTTGAGATGGAGTCTCATTCTGTTGCCCAGGCTGGAGTGCCGTGGTGCGATCTCGACTCACTGCAAACCTCCACCTCCTGAGTTCAAGCAATTCTCTGCCTCAGCCTCCCGAGTAGCTGGGATTACAGGCGCCTGCCACCACGCCCGGCTAATTTTTGTATTTTTAGTAGAGACGGCGTTTCACCATCTTGGCCAGGCTGGTCTTGACCTCCTGACCTGATGGTCCACCCACCTCAGCCTCCCAAAGTGCTGGGATTACAGGCATGAACCACTGCACCTGGCCCTCATCCTCCTTTTTTTAGAGACAGTCTCACTCTGTCACCCAGGCTGGAGTGCAGTGGCACAATCACAGCTCACTGCAGCCTCAAACTCCTGGGCTCAAGCGATCCTCGCAGCTCAGCTTCCCGAGTAGCTGGGGCAACAGACGTGCACCACCAAGCCCAGCTAATTTTATTTTGTGTGTGTGTGTGGGGGGTCTGACTTTGTTTCCCAGGTTGGTCTCGAACTCCTGGCCTCAAGCGATCCTCTCGCCTCAGCCTCTCAAGTAGCTGGGACTACAGATGTGTGCCACTGTGCCCAGATTCAGTCTCTCTTCTTACTGGTGGAAGAAAGATTTCCTGTGGTACCCTAAGGTCCATCCCTCTCGGGATGGTACAGGGACACGAGTCTTTTCTTCCCTTCTGGGGGTCCTTTGGCTTAACAACACCACAGAGTCCACACTTGGTAAGTACCTGATATTGAGCATGTTTTGACATGATTATGTTAAATGCATCCAGGTCATCCCACCCCAGGGCCTTTGCATTGGGTTTTCTCCTGGCCGGGATACCTTTTCTACAACTGTACACCATGGCCAGCTTCTCTTCATCCTTCAGGCTTCAGCTCCAGTGACATACCCTCGGAGAGGTCCCCAAACCTCTGTTTGGATTATATTACCTTGTTGGATCTTCCTGGATACTTTTTTTTTTCTTTAAGACGAAGTCTCGCTCTGTTGCCCAGGCTGGAGTGCAGTGGCGCAATCTTGACTCACTGCAACCTCCCTCTCCTGGGTTCAAGCAATTCTCCTGCCTCAGCCTCCCGAGTAGCTGGGATTACAGGTGTGTGCCACCACGCCCGGCTACTTTTTGTATTTTTTTAGTAGAGACAAGGTTTCATCATGTTGGCCAGGCTGGTCTCAAACTCCTGACCTCAGGTGATCTGCCCACTTTGGCATCCCAAAGTGTTGAGATTACAGGCGTGAGCCCATGCACCTGACCCTTCCTGGATATCTTGTTTGTTAATTTTTGCATATTTATTGCCCCAGGAACCCTTGAGCTCCATGCGGGCAGGAGGTTTCTATGTTTTGCTTTCTTTTGTAGAGAAGGGGGTCTCACTATGCTACCCAGACTGGTCTTGAACTCCTGGCCTCAAGTGATCCTCCTGCCTTGGCCTCCCAAAGTGCTGGGATTACAGGCGTGAGCCACCGCGCCCGGCCGAAATTTGTATGTTTTGTTCAGGGCTGTGTCCCTAGCGCTTATAACACTTTCTGGCATACAGTAGGTGCTCAACAAATATTTGTTGCTGAGCAAATGGACTAAAGATTACCAATGTCCCCTCTGTGCTGAACTCCTCTGTGTGGTCTACGGAGTTGCCTGCCTTCGCCAAGGCAGCCAGCACCTGCGGTTCCGAATATAACCACTTGAGGGCAGCAGAGACTCAATGTAGCAACTCCTGAGAATCCCAGCAGGTCCCGCCCCCAGCATCCCCTTGAGGCCTCCCTGAGCTAAGACCCCAAGGGTCAGCGGTGGAATCTAGTCTGCCTCTCTTGACCTTGCCCTTGCTCTCAGGTCGGCTTACAAATGTATATTTACATATTTCTGTATTGAATTATTTCATGGCAAGGAGGAGGCAAATATAGAAAACATCACCCAGTCACGCCACACCCCCAAAAATCCTGTCCCCATTTTGAACTCCTCCCTGCGCATCTTTTTTTCTTGTTTGTCCATATTTTTTTCTAGAGAGGCCTTCTTTGACTAGCCCGTTTAAAACTGAACCAGGCCGGGCGCGGTGACTCACGCCTGTAATCCCAGCACTTTGGGAGGCCGAGGTGGGCGGATCACTTGAGGTCAGGAGTTCAATACCAGCCTGGCCAACATGGTGAAACCCTGTCTTCACTAAAAATACAAAAATTAGGCCGGGCGGGGTGGCTCACGCCTGTAATCCCAGCACTTTGGGAGGTCGAGGCGGGCGGATCATGAGGTCAGGAGATCGAGACCATCCTGGCTAACACGGTGAAACCCCGTCTCTACTAAAAATACAAAAAAAAATTAGCCGGGCGTGGTGGCGGGCGCCTGTAGTCTCGGCTACTCTGGAGGCTGAGGCAGGAGAATGGCTTCAACCCGGGAGGCGGAGCTTGCAGTGAGCCGAGATCGTGCCACTGCACTCCAACTTGGGCGACAGAGCGAGACTCCGTCTCCAAAAAACAAAAATTAGCCAGGTGTGGTGTCATGCGCCTGTATTTCCAGCTACTCAGGCGGCTGAGGCAGGAGAATCGCTTGAACCTGAGAGACAGAGATTTCAGTGAGCCGAGATTGAGCCACTGCACTCCAGCCTGGATGACAGAGCGAGACTCAGACTCAAAAAAGAAAGAAAAAACAAAAACTGAACCAGGCCAGGCACGGTGGCTCATGCCTGTAATCTCAGCATTTGGGAGGCCGAGGAGGGAGGATCACGTGAGGCCAGCAATTTGAGGCCAGCCTGGGCAACACAGTGAGACCTCCTGTCTCTACAAAAAATAAAAAATTAGCTGGATGTGGTGGAGCCATGATTGTGCCACTGCACCCCAGCCTGGGTGACAGAGCAAGACTCTGTTTCAAAACAAGAAAAATCTTTGAACCATCCTACTCTCCCGACTCCTTGACTCTAATTTTTTGGCCATGGCATTTTTTTTTTAAGTGAAATCAAATTTATTAAGAAAGTAAAATAATAAAAGAATGGCTACAGCTGGTCGCCATGGCTCACGCCTGTAATACCAACACTTTGGGAGGCCGAGGCAAACAGATTGCCTGAGCTGAGGAGTTCGAGAACAGATGGGCAACATGGTGAAGCCGTATCTGTACCAAAATCACAAAAAATTAGCCAATTGACGTGGCGCACACCTGCAATCCCAGCTACTCAGAAGGCTGAGGCGAGAGAATCGCTTGAACCTGGGAGGTAGAGGTTGCAGTGAGCCCAGATCGCACTACTGCACTCCAGCCTGGATGACAGAGCGAGACTCTGTCTCAAAAAAAAAAAAAAAAAGAATGGCCACTCCATAGGCAGATCAGCACCACAGCACTATTACTGTCTAATCTCCTTTATAATTTGCTGATTTAGGCCGGGCATGTTGGCTCATGCCTGTAATCCCAGCACTTTGGGAGGGCAAGACGGGAGGATCGTTTGAGGCCAGGAGTTTGAGACCAGCCTATGCAACATAGCAAGACCCTCATCTCTACAAAAAATCAAAAAATTAGCCAAGTGTGGTGGCCCACACCCATGGTCCCCACTACATGGGAGGCTGAGCCAGGAGGATCGCTTGAGCCCAGGAAGTGGAGGTTGCAGTGAGTGAGATCACGCCACTGCACTCCAGCCTGGGTGACCGAGTGAGACCTTGTCTCAAAAAAACAAACCAAAAGAACTGTCTTAATTTGGTGGTTTGGGCCGCGTGCGGTGGCTCACGACTGTAATCCCAGCACTTTGGGAGGCCAAGGCAGGCGGATCACCTGAGATCAGGTTCGAGACCAGCCTGGCCAACATGGCAAAACCCTGTCTCTACTAAAAATACAAAAATTAGCCGGGTGCGATGGCGGGCGCCTATAATCCCAACTACTCAGGAGGCTGAGGCAGGAGAATCACTTGAACCTGGGGGGCGGAGTTTGCAGTGAGCCGTGATGGTGCCACTGCACACCAGCCTGGGAGATAGAGCGGTACTCAGTCTCAAAAAAAAAAAAAATTGGTGGCTTGGTGAAGGAGACTCTAAGACTCAATTCAGGGGCATTATCTGAGAGGTGATCCCAGAAGCCCTCCTGGGGGTTAAAGAGGCAGGAAGGGAAGGGGAGCCCTGCAGGGGGTGCCAGCGAGCAGGTTCAACGTGGGCCACCAGGAATGGGTCCTTTCTCAGGGAGACAGCAACAGAAGAGGTGCTTCTGTTGTCCTACCTGAGGGTGGAGGGAGCGGAGGCATTTACAGCCAACTCTCCTTCCGTCTGTGGTTGAAGACTGCTCTCAAGAGAGCCATGTGGCCATGACGTGGCCTCCCGTGGTCAGCGTCACTGTCAGCCAAGAAATGCAAGCCTCACAGGTGGGACATGCTTGGCCGACCATGGCTGCCTTCATGCCACGTTTTATTTCCCCACGACTCTCCCAAAGGTATTCAGTGGCTTTTAAAATTTTACTAGAACCAGCAGGGCGGGCGTGGTGGCTCATGCCTGTAGTCCCAGCACTCTGGGAGGCCAAGGCAGGAGGGTTGCTTGAGCCCAGAAGTTTGAGACCAGTCTGGGCAATGTGGTGAAACCCTGTCTCTACCAGAAAAATAGAAAAATTAGGCGGGTGTGGTGGTGTGCACCTGTAATCCCAGCTACTTGGGAGGCTGAGGTAGGAGGATCACTTGAGCCGAGGAGGTGCAGGTTGCAGTGAGCCATGATTGCGCCACTGCACCCCAGGCTGGGTGACTGAGCCCAGACTCTGCGTCAAAAAACAAAACAAAACAAAAATTACTAAGGCCGGGTACAGTGGCTCACACCTGTAATCCCAGCACTTTGGGAGGCCGAGGTGGGTGGATCACGAGGTCAGGAGATCGAGACCATCCTGGCTAACACAGTGAAACCCCGTCTCTACTAAAAATACAAAAAATTAACCGGGCGTGGTGGCGGGCGCCTGTAGTCCCAGCTACTCTAGTCCCAGCTACTTGGGAGGTTGAGGCAGGAGAATGGCGTGAACCCGGGGGGCGGAGCTTGCAGTGAGCCCAGATCACGCCACTGCACTCCAGCCTGGGCAACAGAACGAGACTCCGTCTCAAAAACAAAAACAACAACAAAAAAAACATTACTATAACTAACAAGGCCATGTGACCTTAAACAAGGTCTTCTCATGTTATTAAAAAGTCATGCTTTGGGCTGGGTGCTGTGTCTTACGCCTGTAATCCCAGCACTCTGGGAGGCCGAGGTGGGAGGATCACCTGAGGTCAGGAGTTCGAGACCAGCCTGGCCAACAAGGTGAAACCCCGTCTCTACTAAAAATACAAAAATTAGCCAGGCGTGGTGGTGTGCATCTGTAATTCCAGCTACTTGGGAAGTTGAGTCATGAGAATCGCTTGAACCCGGGAGGCAGAGGTCGCAGTGAGCCAAGTTCATGCCCCTAACACTTCAGCCTAGGAGACAGAGCGAGACTCCATCTCAAAAATAATAATAATAATAATAAAATAAAAAATATAAAAATACAGAGGAGGCAGCCAAGGCACAGAGATGTTGAGGTGCGGGTCCTAGGTCACACAGCTTGGAAGTGTCTGAGCCAGCCTCAATCATCGTTTGATGAATGAATGCGTATAGGTCCACAATGTCCATGTCAGTCCACCTTCCAGCCGTTCCTTTAAGTCCTCCCTGGCCCAGACTCATGGTCATTACACCTACTTCTGGTCCTGACCGCTGGCTCCAGAGCCCCTCAGACCCCTCCAGACTTCCAGGCCTTATTGAGGGTCTCTGGTGCTTGGCTCAGCCCTCCCCATCTCTCTGGGGAAGACTGGATTCCACCAGCAGCGGACCTGCGGGCAGACTTTGTATTTTTTTTTTTAATTTATATTTTTTAGACATAGGGCCTCACTCTGTGGCCCAGGCTGGAGTGCGGTGGCACAATCATGGCTCACTGCAGCCTTGACCTCCTGGGCCCAACGGATCCTCCCACCTCAGCCTCCCGAGTAGCTGGGACTACAGGCGCACACCACCAGGCCTGGCTAATTTAAAAAAACTTTTTTAGGCAGCACGTGGTGGCTCACACCTGTAATCCCAGCACTTTGAGAGGCCAAGGTGGGAAGATCATTTGAGGCCAGGAGTTTGAGACCAGCCTGGCTAACATTGCAAAACCCCGTCTCTACATAATAATAATAATGATAATAATAATAATAGTAATAATAATAATAGCTGGGCATGGTGGCGCACACCTATAATCTCAGCTTCTTGGGAGGCTGAGGCATGAGAATCCCTTGAACCCGAGAAGGGAAGGTTGCAGTGAGCCGAGAATGTGCCACTGCACTCCAGCCTGGGCGACACAGCCAGATCCTGTCTCATAAAAATAAATAAATAAATAAAGTTTTTGGCTTGGTACAGTGTCTCACGCCTGTAATCCCGACACTTTGGGAGGCTGAGGCAGGAGGATCATTTGAGCCCAGGAGTTTGAGACCTGCCTGGGCAACATGGCAAAAACCCCATCTCTCTTCTTTCTCTCTCTGTCTTTTTTTTTTTTTTTTAGACGGAGTCTTGCTCTGTCACCCAGGCTGGAGTGCAGTGGCGCAATCTCAGCTCACTGCAAGCTCCGCCTCCCAGGTGCACACCATTCTCCTGCCTCAGCCTCCGGAGTAGCTGGGACTACAGGCGCACGCCACCACGCTTAACTAATTTTTTGTATTTTTAGTAGAGACAGGGTTTCACTGTGTTTGTTAGCCAGGATGGTCTCGATCACCTGACCTCGTGATCTGCCTGCTCTCGATCTCCCAAAGTGCTGGGATTACAGGCATGAGCCACTGCACTTGGCCAACCCCATCTCTTAAAATAATACAGATAATTAGCCAGGCATGGTGACATGTGCCTGCAGACCCAGCTACTCTGGAGGCTGAGGTGGGAGGATCACCTGAGTCCCAGAGGCTGAGGATGCAGTGCAGTGAGCAATGATTTTAGCATTGCACTCCAGCATGGGTGTCGGACAGAGACCTTGTCTCAAAAAGATTTTTTTTTTTTTTTTTGTAGAGACAGAGTCTCACTATGTTGCCCAGGCTGGTCTTGAACTCCTGGGCTCAAGCGATCCTCCCAACTCGGCCTCCCAAAGTGCTGGGATTACAGGCATGAGCCATCACGCCTGGCGTGGGGGAGGGTTTTTAAATTCCCCTGCTCTGCCTCATGGCTGTCACAGAGAGGATGGAGGTGGCAGAAAACCAGGAAGGAGGAGGCTGGGGTGGGAGATTTGGGGTCTGTGCAGGTGGCTGGGGAAGGGGGAGGGCAGCCCTTGACCCTGTTCCAGCCTGATCTGACTCCACAGGGCCAGGCATCCATGGTTGCCCCACTGCCTAGACTGAGGGTTCTTGGGGCAGCACCCAGGCTGAGGCCTGGAGGGACTCTGGCATCACCCACCTCAGGGTGGGCTCTGAGGACCTGAGGGTGTTGGGTGAATGTGGTGATGGGGTTGAATTGAGGCGGGGCCACCCCAGGGAGCTTCTTGCCTGGCTCTCCATGTTTTTTTCTTTCGCGGGGGGGGGGGCCTCTGGGCTTTCCAGGGCATCTCTAGGGTCTGTGAGGATCTCTGGGTGGTCTCAATGTCTCTGAATATTTATCTTTTTTTTTTTTTTTTTTTTGAGATGGAGTCTCGCTCTGTTACCTGCGCTGGAGTGCAGTGGCGTGGTCTTGGCTCACTGCAAGCTCTGCCTCCCAGGTTCACGCTATTCTCCTGCCTCAGCCTCCCCGGTAGCTGGGACTACAGACACCCACCACCACGCCCAGCTAATTTTTTGTATTTTTAGTAGAGACGGGGTTTCACCGTGTTAGCCAGGATGGTCTCAATCTCCTGACCTTGTGATCCACCCACCTCAGCCTCCCTAAGTGCTGGGATTACAGGCGTGAGCCACCCCGCCCAGCCTTTTTTTTTTTTTTTTTGAGACAGAGTCTCGCTCTGTCACCCAGGCTGGAGTGCAGTGGCACAATCTCAGCTCACTACAACCTCTGCCTCTTGGGTTCAAGTGATTCTCCTGCCTCAGCCTCCCGAGTAGCTGGAATTACAGGCGTGCACTATCATTCCTGGCTAATTTTTGTATTTTTAGTAGAGGCGGGGTTTCACCATGTTGGCCAGGCTGGTCGTGAACTCCTGACCTCAGGTGATCCACCTGCCTCAGCCTCCTAAAGTGCTAGGATTACAGGCGTCAGCCACCATGCCCAGCCTGGATGTCTCTGAATGTCTCTGAAAGTCTCTGGGGATCTCTGAGGGTCTCTGAGGGTCTCTGGGGATCTCTGAGGGTCTCTGAGGGTCTCTGAGGGTCTTTGGGAGTCTCTGAAGGTCTCTAAATGTCTCTGAGGATCTTGGGGGTCTCTGAGGTTTTCTGGGCATCCCTGGGCGTTTCTGAGTGTCCCTAGGTGTCTCTGCATGCCTATGGTGGCCCCCAAGTGTTTCTGAGGGTCTCTTGGCATCTCTGAGTATAGCTGGGGGGCGGGCTGGTGTCTCTCTGTCTGGGGCCATCTCTGGCGGCTGCCTGGAGGTTTTTGTGCAGACTGGCTGGCCCTGCCTGGGACTCAAGCCTGGGACGGCTTCAGGTACATCAGGGGGCAGCAGAGGGACCCCAGGGAGGTGGCCTCTGAAAGTTCCAGGCTCCCTTCAGCCAGGGATGAGGCCAGTGGAGCCTTGAGCTGTCCCCTTTCCCAGAAACCTGGGAGTAGCCAGCTGGGGCTGTGTCAGGAAGGCCCAGACCCCAGGGGCCCCAGACCCCAAGACTCCCAGACCTCTGGATCCCTAGACCCCAGCACCCCCAGACCCCAAGACCCCCAGACCTCAGGACCCCAGGACCCCCAGACTTCTGGATCCCCAGACCCCAGGACCCTCAGGCCCCAGGACTCCCAAACCCCAAGACTCCCAGACCTCTGGATCCCCAGAGCCCAGGACCCTCAGTCCCCAGGATCCCCAGACCCCAGGATCCTCAGGCCCCAGGACTCCCAAACCCCAAGACTCCCAGACCTCTGGATCCCCATACCCCAGAACCCACAGACCTCAGAACCCTCACATCCTAAGACCTGCATGAAGGGGTGGCCTGCCCCTCCACACCTGTGGGATATCTCATCAGGTGGAATGAGAGACTGAGAAAAGAAATAAGACACAGAGACAGAGTATAGAGAAAGAACAGTGGGCCCAGGGGACCGGCGCTCAGCATACCAAGGACCTGCACTGGCACCAGTCTCTGAGTTCCCTCAGTATTTATTGATTACTATTTTCACTATCTCAGCAAGAGGAATGCATCAAGAGAGCAGGGTGATAGTGGGGAGGAGGTCAGCAAGAAAACATGTGAGCAAAGGAATCCGTGTCACAAGTTCAAGAGCAGGTACTGTGCCTGGATGTGCACGTAGGCCAGATTTATACTTCTCTCCACCCAAACATCTCAGCCGAGTAAAGAGTAACAGAGCAGCATTGCTGCCAATACGTCTCGCCTCCCGCCATAGGGCGGTTTTTCTCCTATCTCAGAATTGAACAAATGTACAATCGGGTTTTATACCGAGACATTCAGTTCCCAGGGGCAGGCAGGAGACAGAGGCCTTCCTCTTAGCTCAACTGCAAGAGGCCTTCCTCTTTTACTAATCCTCCTCAGCACAGACCCTTCACGGGTGTCGGGCTGGGGGGACGATCAGATCTTTCCCATCCCACGAGGCCATGTTTCAGACTATCCCATGGGGAGAAATCTTGGACAGTACCTGACTTTCCAGAGCAGAGGTCCCTGCGGCTTTCTGCAGTGCATTGTGCCCCTGGTTACTCGAGAATGGAGAATGGCGATGACTTTTACCAAGCACACTGCCTGCAAACATTTTATTAGCAAAGCACATCCTGCACAGCCCTAGATCCCTTAAACCTTGATTCCATACAACACATATTTCTGTGAGCTCGAGGTTGGGGCTAAAGTTACAGATTAACAGCATCTCAGGGCAAAGCAATTGTTCAGGGTATGGGTCAAAATGAAGTTTTTTATGTCTTCCTTTTCTACATAGACACAGTAACAGTCTGATCGCTTTTTCTTTTCCCTACATCCCAGACCCCAGGACTACCAAACTCCAGGGCCCCCAGACTGCAGGACCCCCAGATCCCAAGACTCCCAGACCTCTGGATCCCCAGACTTCAGAACCACCAGACCCCTGGACCCCCAGACCCCAAGACTCTCAGACATCTGGATCCCCAGACCCCTATACCCCCCCACCAAACCCCCATATCCCAAGACCCCTAGATCCCAGGACCCCCAAACCTCCGGATCCTCAGACTTTAGGACCCCCAGACCTCAGGACCCTTAGATTCCAGGACTCTCAGACCCCTGGATCCCCAGACCTCAGAGTCCCCAAATCTCAGGACCCCACAGACCTCAGACTCCAAGGCCCCCGGCTCCCCCAGACCCACCTCCAAAACTCACTATCCCAGACCCCAGGCCTGCCTGTCCCCCACCACCTGCAGCCTCGGGTCTGGCACTTCCTCATTTCTTTATTTCCTTTTTTTCTAAGAGGCCTCAGAACTGGGCGTGGAGGACGTGCAGCTGCATGAGGCTCACTGCTGGCTGGGCTCCTCCATCCCTCTGCTCCTTATAAAAGAGGCCCCAAGAGCTCCCCTGCTCCCTCTGCTGTCTACTGAGGACACAGTGAGAAGACGGTCATCTGCAAACTAGGAAGTGAATCTGCTGGTGCCTTGATCTTGGACTTCCCAGCTTCCGGAACTGTTGTTCATAAGCTACCCCAGTTTACGGCATATTTGTTATAGCAGCCTGAACAAACATTTGGAGACATCTGCTCTCTACCCAGGGCTGCTCCCACCACAGGGCCTTTGCACATGCTGTTCCCACTCCTGGATGCTGTTCCCCACATCCCTTCCTCCTTACTCCCTAAGGGGTTCCTTGATCATCCCATTGAAAAGTTGCTTCTGCGGCCAGGCTCAGTGGCTCACGCCTGTAATCCCAACACTCTGGGAGGCTGAGGAGGGTGGATCACCTGAGGTCAGGAATTCGGGACCAGCCTGGCCAACATGGTGAAACCCCGTCTCTACTAAAAATACAAAAAGTTAACTGGGCATGGTCCCATGCGCCTGTAATCCCAGCTACTTGGGAGGCTGAGGCAGGAGAATCGCTTGAACCCGGGAGGTGGAGGTTGCAGTGAGCCGAGATCGCATCACTGCACTCCAGCCTGGGCAACAAGAGCAAAACTCCGTTTCAAATAAATAAATAAATAAATAAATAAATAAATAAATAAATAAAAGTTTCCCATCTCATTTCCTGCCCTTATTTTTCTTTGCAGCATTCCCACCACCTGCACTTGATATATTTTCCCGATGGATTCTGCCTGTTGTCTGTTTCCCCAACTACAGTGAGAGGTGGGGGGAGGGGGGGCTGGGATTTTTGTCTGTTTTATTCACTGCTGTGTCTGTGGTTCATAGTACCTGGTATACAACAGGAACTTCATAAAGGCTTACAGAGGAAATGAATGAGTCTTTCCTTATAGGTTCATAGAGATTTATAATTTCATTTTCAGAACTTTGTGGCATGCTAGGATGGATGAACTGAACTGTTACTAATGTAACCAATCCTTTAAGTTATTTCCTTTTTTTTTTTTTCCTTCTTCTTGAGGCAGAGGATCACTCTGCACTCTGTCACCCCAGGCTGGAGTGCAGTGGCACGATTTCAGCTCACTTCAACCTCTGCCTTCCAGACTCAAGCGATCCTCCTGCCTTAGGTTCCCGAGTAGCTGGAACTGTAAGGATGTGCCACCACTCCCAGCTAATTTTTGTGTGTGTGTATATCTATCTATATATATATATAAAAATTTTTTTTTTTGGTAGACATGGGGTTTCACCATATTGCCCAGGCTAGTCTTGAACTCCTGGGCTCAAGCGATCCTCCTATCTTGACCTCCCAAAGTGCTGGGATTACAGGCATGACTCACTGTGCCCGGCCCATTTTATTTTTTTTCATGTAACAAACAATGCTGCAATGAATCACTTTGAGCCTGGAGCATCTTTTTGCCTTCTCTCTCTCTCTCTTTTTTTTTTTTATATGAAGTCTCGCTCTGTCACCAGGCTGGAGTGCTGTGGCGCGATCTAGGCTTACTGCAACCTCCAACTCCCTGGTTCAAGTGATTTTCCTGCCTCAGCCTCCCGAGTAGCTGGGATTACAGGTACATGCCACCACGCCCAGCTAATTTTTTGTATTTTTGGTAGAGACAGGGTTTCACAGCGTTGGCCAGGATTGTCTCAGTCTCCTGACCTTGTGATCCGCCCACCTCAGCCTCCCAAAGTGCTGGGATTACAGGTGTGAGCCACCACGCCTGACTTTGCCTTCTCAAAAAAACAAACCTGCAACATACACACAACATAAAATTGAACATTTTAGCCAATTTATTTATTTATTATTATTATTTTGAGATGGAGTTTTGCTCTTGTTGCCCAGGCTGGAGTGCAGTGCCGTGATCTCGGCTCAACTGCAAACTCTACCTCCCAGGCTCAAGTGATTCTCCTGCCTCAGCCTCCCAAGTAGCTGGGATTACAGGCATGCGCCACCACACCCGGCTAATTTTGTGTATTTAGTAGAGATGGAGTTTCTCCACGTTGGTCAGGCTAGTCTCAAACTCTGGACCTCAGGTGATCCGCCCACCTCAGCCTCCCAAAGTGCTGGGATTACAGGCATGAGCCACCGCGGCCGGCCCAGCCATTTATTTTAAATTATTTTTTAGAGATAGGGTCTTGCTCTGCTGCATAGGCTGGAGTGGAGTGGCACAATCACGGCTCACTGCAGTCACAACCTTCTGGGCTCAAGGGATCCTCCCACCTCAGCCTCTGAAGTAGCTGGGACTACAGGCTGAAGCCACCATGCCCAGCTAATTTTTAAATTATTATTATTATTATTATTATTATTATTATTGAGATGGAGTCTCGCTCTAACGCCCAAACTGGAGTGCAGTGGCATGATCTCAGCTCACTGCAACCTCTGCCTCCTGGGTTCAAGCGATTCTCCTGCCTCAGCCTCCCTAGTAGCTGGGATTACAGGCACGTGCCACCATGCCCAGCTAATTTTTGTATTTTTAGTGGAGACGGGGTTTCACCATGTTGGCCAGGCTGGTCTGGTACTCCTGACCTCGTGATCCGCCCACCTTGGTCCCCCAAAGTGCTGGGATTACAGGCATGAGCCACCACGTCCAGGCTGAGCCACATTTTTTTATTCGTTAGTCAGTTCACACTGTAAACATGCAAATATTCAGGCAGGGATTCCCAGAAGTGGACTTGCTGTGTCAGCAGGCACATGAGTTTATCATTCCGGTGGCCTGTGCCAGGGTGCCCTCCACCAGTGCTACACCATGGACGCACCCCACAGCCTGGCTGGCACAGAATGTCATTGCATTGTTGGATTTTTGCCAATTTGATTGGTGAAGACAAACAGTTTGTGATTTGCAGTTTTCTTATTAAGTGTGAACTTTTTTTTTTTTTTGAGACAGGTCTCACTCTGTTGCCCAGGCTGGAATGCAGTGGAGTGATCTTGGCTCACTGCAGCCTCCACCTCCTGGGTTCAAACAATTCTCCTGCCTCAGCCTCCTGAGTAGCTGGGACTACAGGCACATACCACCACACCTGGCTAATTTTTGTATTTTTTAAAGTAGAGACGGGGTTTCACCATGATGGCCAGGCTGGTCTCGAACTCCTGGGCTCAAGCGATCTGCTCACTTCAGCCTCCCAAAGTGTTGGGATTACAGGTGTAAGCCACTGCACCTGGCAAGAATGAGCATCTCTGGACATGTTGAAAAGCAGTTTCCCGCTTTTTCTTCAAGGTCTCCGTTCAAAGCCTTTGACCATTTCTTGGAGTTTGGCGATGTGAAGGACAGAGGCCGAAAAGAGGGGAAAACGTGGGGGAGTGGACTCCCAGCCTCCCAGATCCCGGAGAAGCCTCTGTGCATTTGACAGCTGTGGACATGGTGTCACACGCAGTTAAGGTGGCACAGTGAGTCGGGCTGGCATAGGTTGTACCTGGTCCACCTGACACCAGGTTCAGGTGAGGCCTTCTCCCAGCCCACCCCTCCTCAGTATCATTTTTGTCACTACTACCCCTCCAGTCTGCCTCAGGCCCCCATCTGCTTCTGGGACCTCAGCCTCCTCCCCAAGTTGCCCACCCCAGACACCAGGCTCACTCCAGAGGGACTTCTTGAGCCAGTGCCCCTCTGCCCACGCACCTGCCTTGGCTCCACATGGACCTCTTCCCCCACCACCAATTCCTTCTATCCTCTCCACTCCTAACCATGCTATCCCAGCCAGCTACATTTTCCCAAGCTGCTGGGAGCCCTCCTCACTGTCCCCTCCAGCATAGAGGTGCCACTGTGCAAGAACTCAGTGGGAGAGGCTTGGAGGAGCTTGGAGAGCCAATGATAGGTTTGGGGAATCTTAGTGAACTCCTACTCATGCGTTGAAGCCCCAACTGTAATGCCTCCTCCTCCAGGAAGCCTTCCAGGACCCTGTCTTTCCCTCTGGACCTTCCTTAACTGCATGGGACTAGGAGTGTCTATGTCCAGCTCTGTCCTCTCTTAAGATAGCTCCTTGAGGACCTGGTCAGGGCTGAGGCCTCTTGGGGGCCCAGCGTGGGTGATGCTTGTTGAATGAATAAATGACTGCATGAGCTGGGAACCAGCCAAGCTGAGATCAAGAAGCGAGTTGATGAGGTGGCAGTCGGTTGGGGTGCTAATAGAGGACATGAAGTCACTGGGTTCTAGCAAGAGGGAAGCGGGACTCTGGTCCACCCCTCCCTCTTGCCCTCCATCCACCTCTGGTGAGAACCTTGAGGCCCTGCAAGGGGGCGGATCTCTGTCTTCATTCTTCCCCTCTGCACTCCACCCAGACACCAGTTCCTCTTCCCCCTGAGTCGCTGGGTGCAGAGCCAGAGGAACGCCAGCGACCCCAGCAGCGCTGCGGACGGTGCTGGCCGTGGCCGCTGCGGCCCCCGTGTCCAGGTGGGCCAGGACGCAGCCTCTGGGCGCCGTCGCTTTTCCAGCATCGCAGAGGCAAAAGCGTGGCAGTGGGACCCAAAAGGTAGGACTGAGGCTCTAGAACTTGCACCTGTGCAGGGACTGCAAACCAGACCTGGGAGGACCCTTTCAGCAGCCCCCACTCCACCCTATCCCAGGACTTCCCAGCGACCCGCCGTTCTGGGAGATACCGGGAGCGTGATCAGGGGGCGGGGCCGTTTCCAAGGCAACCGCTTATTTGCATAGGGTCCCGTCCTGGCCAACGAGGGCGCCCCAAATGTTCAGGACATAGAAGAAGGGGTTAACTGGCCCGGATCTCCTCCTCGCCTTCCAAGCCCGCTAAGCACTGGGGTTATCTACCCATTCCCCAGAAGGGGAGACTGAGGCAGCCCACCAGCCAAAGGAGGCGACCAGACTGGGGCTGCGTTTTACCATTTCAGAAGCGGCTTGAGCTGGTCTGAGCTATAATAATAAACACTGGCGGTGGAGGCGAGGGCGACCACAGGGCTGAGGTCAGGGCTAGGATTCCGGTGTCTCTACGTAGGTTGCTTGAATGGGGGGCACCCTGGCATGGACGCTGCTGTTGCCGCTGCTGCTGCGGGAGTCAGACAGCCTAGAACCGTCGTGCACCGTGTCCTCCGCGGATGTGGACTGGAACGCGGAGTTCAGTGCCACGTGCCTGAATTTCAGTGGCCTCAGCCTGAGCCTGCCTCACAACCAGTCTCTGCGGGCCAGCAACGTGATTCTCCTTGACCTGTCTGGGAACGGCCTGCGAGAGCTTCCAGTGACCTTCTTTGCCCACCTGCAGAAGCTTGAGGTCCTGAACGTGCTACGCAACCCCTTGTCTCGTGTGGATGGGGCGCTGGCCGCCCGCTGTGACCTTGACCTGCAGGCCGACTGCAACTGTGCCCTGGAGTCCTGGCACGACATCCGCCGAGACAACTGCTCTGGCCAGAAGCCTCTGCTCTGCTGGGACACAACCAGCTCCCAGCACAACCTCTCTGCCTTCCTGGAGGTCAGCTGCGCCCCTGGCCTGGCCTCTGCAACTATCGGGGCAGTGGTGGTCAGCGGGTGCCTGCTTCTTGGACTTGCCATCGCTGGCCCTGTGCTGGCCTGGAGACTCTGGCGATGCCGAGTGGCCAGAAGCCGGGAGCTGAACAAACCCTGGGCTGCTCAGGATGGGCCCAAGCCCGGTTTAGGCTTGCAGCCACGGTACGGCAGCCGGAGCGCCCCCAAGCCCCAAGTGGCCGTGCCATCCTGCCCCTCCACTCCCGACTATGAGAACATGTTTGTGGGCCAGCCAGCAGCCGAGCACCAGTGGGATGAACAAGGGTAAGTAAGCCACTGAGACACCTGCCAAAGTGGTGAATAATAAGGCTCCACACCCAGATGGCCGAGGTTCAAATCCCAGCTCTGCCGCTTGAAGGCTGTGGGATCTTAGGTGAGTAGCTTTACTTCTCTGAGCCTCAGTCTCCTCACCTATAAAATGGGGAGAGGACTGGACATGGTGGCTCACACCTGTAATCCTAGCACTTTGGGAGGCCAAGGCAGGCGGATCACTTGAAGTCAGGAGTTTGAGACCAGCCTGGCCAACACGGTGAAACCCAGTCTGTACTAAAAATACAAAAATTAGCCAGGTGTGGTGGCGGGCGCCTGTGGTTCCAGCTACTGAGGAGGCTGAGGCAAGAGAATCTCTTGAACCTGGGAGTCAGAGGTTGCAGTGAGCCAAGTTCATGCCATTGCACTCCAGCCTGGGTGACAGAGTGAGACTCCAT
Source organism: Homo sapiens (assembly GCF_000001405.40). Taxonomy (NCBI): domain Eukaryota; kingdom Metazoa; phylum Chordata; class Mammalia; order Primates; family Hominidae; genus Homo; species Homo sapiens. The sequence goes on along the minus strand of NC_000019.10, from coordinate 18,395,741 downwards.
CTCAAAAATAAAATCAATAAAATAAAGTAAAATGAGGGAGAATTACAGCCCCCATCATAGTGTGTTGGGGTAAGAATTAAGTGAGTTCCCATATATGGGACAAACTTCCCCCCCTTATGACCTGTAAACCCAGTTTCTGGCGGCCAAGGATGGGGAGACAGGAGGCAACTGCTTGAGCGGAGTTGGGGCTCCGCGGTGGCGGTCAGCAGCATAGGCCCAGGTCCCATGTGACCCAAGGCTGTCTCTGAACCTCCATTTCTGTCTCCATAGAGTGGGGACAGCCCCCCATTTCCCCATGACACACATGAGATACTAAAGAGGTGCCCTACAAAGTCCCATCACCACTAGATGATTTTTTTTTTTTTTTTTTTGAGATGGAGTCTGGCCCTGTCATCCAGGCTAGAGTGTAGTGACACGATCTCGGCTCACTGCCAGCTCCGCCTCCCGGGTTCATGCCATTCTCCTGCCTCAGCCTCCCGAGTAGCTGGGACTACAGGCGCCCGCCACCACGCCAGGCTAATTTTTTGTATTTTTAGTAGAGACGGGGTTTCACCGTGTTAGCCAGGATGGTCTCGATCTCCTGACCTCGTGATCCGCCCACCTCAGCCTCCTTAAGTGCTGGGATTACAGGTGTGAGCCACCGCGCCCAGCCGACATTTTTTTTTGAGACAGTGTCATTCTGTCGCCCTGGCTGGAGTGCAGTGGCACCATCACAGATCACTGCAGCCTCAAGCTCCTGGCCTCAAGTGATCCTCCTGCCTCAGTCTCCAGAGTAGTTGGGACCACAGGCACATGCCGCCGCACCCAACTAATTTTTGTATTTTTCATAGAGACGGGGGTCTTGCTATATTTCTCAGGCTGGTCTCAAACTCTTGGCCTCAAGTGATCCTCATGTCTTAGCCTCCCAAAGTGCTGGCATTATGGGTGTGAGCCACCGCCACCGGCTTCTGGATGATTTTGCTGGGCTTAGACAAATGAGTTGAACTTTTCTAGGTTGGTGTGGGGTGCGGTGGCTCATGCCTATAATCCCAGCACTTTTCGAGGCCAAGGCGAGGTCAGATCACCTGTGGTCAGGACCTCAAGACCAGCCTGACCAACATGGTGGAACCCTGTTTCTACTAAAAAATACAAAAATTAGGCCGGGCACGGTGGCTCATGCCTGTAATCCCAACACTTTGGGAGGCCAAGGCAGGAGGATCACGAGGTCAGGAGTTCGAGACCAGCCTGGCCAATATGGTGAAACCCTGTCTCTACTAAAAATACAAAAATTAGCCGGGCATGGTCGTGGGTGCCTGTAATCCCAGCTACTTGGGAGGCTGAGGCAAGAAGAATCACTTGAACCCAGGAGGTGGAGGTTGCAGTGAGCCCAGATCGCACCACTGCACCCCAGCCTGGGCGACAGAGCGAGACTCCGTCTCAAAAAAAAAAAAAAAGAAAGAAAGAAAGAAAAAAAGAAAAGAAAAGCTTTTCTAGGTTGGAAAAGGGAATGGAGGGAATTTCAAGGGGTGGGACCCTCAGGGGCAGAGACCCAGAGGTGGGAAAGAACAGAGAATTTGCTGTGAATGGTTTTTGAGAAGGGATGACTTGAAAGCTGAGGCCTGAGGGGAACAGGGAGGGCCAAGCAGGAAGGGGCCGCGGCCATGGCTGTGTTTGGGCAGCAGAGTCCGTGCCAGGAGGTGGGGAGGCTATCGGAAGGCTGTTGGTGAGAAAGGAGAAAATATGCAAAGCAGATGTCAACATGGCTCAAAAGCAGAAATGGTCTGAGGCAGGGTGTTGAAGACACTGGACTCGCAAAAGCAGCTTGTGCTCTGATGTTCATCTTGGCCTCCCTGTCCCCGAGGCTTCCGGATCAGCCTCCTTTATGTACTGGCCTCCAGAAACACTGTGTTTAGAATTGACTGTGTCATTTCCACCCTGCATCTTACAGTTACAGACATGGAGGCTCTGGGAGGCAGGGAAATGACTTGTCCAAGGTCACATAGCCAGTCAAAAAAGGCAGGACACAAACCCTGCGTCCCAGACCTGTTCGTCCCCCTACAACCACTTAGGGGTTGGTGGGCAATTCGTACTAGAGTATAATTGACTGATAGATGCTGTTAACACAAAGTAGCCCTTTTGCCTTTTTTTTTTTCCCGCTCTGTCGCCCAGGCTAGAGTGCAATGGCATGATCTCGGCTCACTGCAACCTTCACCTCCCGGGTTCAAGTGATTCTCCTGCCTCCTGCCTCAGCCTCCCGAGTAGCTGGGATTACAGGCGCCCACCATCACACCCGGCTAATTTTAGTAGAGACGGGGTTTTGCCATGTTGGCCAGGCTGGTCTTGAACTCCTGACCTCAGGTGATCTGCCCACCTTGGCCTCTCAAAGTGCTGGGATTATAGGCGTGAGCCACCGCACCTGGCCCAGTGGCCCTTTTTACAAGAGGAGCTGGGTTGGAATTAGAATGTTCAGGAGGCAGGAAAATTCTCTGGAGGTCTTGCTGACCATAACAAATATTCCTAAGTAGCTACCTGCTCCTTGACCAATTCTATAGATGCAGAAACTGAGGCTCAGAGACTTGCTTTTATATATGAGGGCCACAAAGTCAGTTGCTTCAGTGGTGAAAACATTTCCCATCGGAAGGAGCACAGAGTGTGGGTGCAGCCACTTGTGTGCATGTGACTGACGTGGCCAGAGCTTCCGATTTTTCAAGAGGAAACAAAAATTTAGATTTTAATGTAATAATGAACAGCTACCTCAATTTCTGTTTTTTTTGAGACGGGGTCTCCCTCTGTCATCCAGGCTGCAGTGCAGTGGTGTGATAACGGCTCACTGTAGGCTCGACCTCCTGGGCTCAAGCGGTCCTCCCACCTCAGCCTCCCGAGGAGATGGGACTCCAGGCACACGTCACCACGCCTGAATAATTTTTTAATTTTTTGTAGAGATGGGGTCTCACCCTGTTGCTCAGGATGGTCTCAAACTCCTGGCCTCAAGCAGACCTTCTGCCTTGGCCTCCCAAAGTGCTGGGATTACAGGCATGAGTCACCGCGCCTGGCCGCTATCTCATTTTTAAGGAAGGAAAAAGGGTTCAGGGTCCTCAGACCGCAGCGTTACACCCACAGAACCTTCCCTAAATCACTGCCCTCCCGCAGCCTCCTCAGAGAGAGGTGGGGTTGGCTAGGAGTCAGAACGCTAGCCCGTGCCAGTTTCCCCATATGTAAATATTCGGGGTGGACTGAGCCACTCTGAAGCTTTCTTTTTTTTTTTCCTTCTGAGATAGAGTCTTGCTCTGTCTCCCAGGCTGAAGTGCAATGGCACGATCTCGGCTCACTACAACCTCTACCTCCTGGGTTCAAGTGATTCTCCTGCCTCAGACTCCCGAGTAGCTGGGACTACAGGCCTGTGCCACCATGCCTGGATAATTTTTGTATTTTTAGTAGAGACGAGGTTTCATCATGTTGTCCAGGCTGGTCTTGAACTCATGATCTCAGGTGATCCACCCACCTCAGCCTCCCAAAGTGCTGGATTACAGGCGTGAGTCAGAGCACCTGGCCCACTCTGGACTTTCTCAAAGCTCATGTGCCTGTCCCCTGAGTCCTCCCCCTCCCACACTTACCCCTGGTCTGTCTGTCCCCCCAGGGCTCACCCTTCAGAGGACAATGACTTTTACATCAACTACAAGGACATCGACCTGGCTTCCCAGCCTGTCTACTGTAACCTGCAGTCACTGGGCCAGGCCCCAATGGATGAAGAGGAGTACGTGATCCCCGGGCACTGAGCCTAAGATGTCCTAACCTCCACCCAGAACCCCTTCAGTCCCTGCTGGGTGACTCAGGGCGTCCTAACGCCTCCATGGCCTCAGTTTCCCCATCTGAAGAATGGGTACAGGAAAGGATTGTCCTTGAGGCCCCAGGAAGCTCTGCCGCCCCCTCCCTGTCCCTCATGCCGCTCCTCAGCTCCCTCAGCTCCTAGAGGGGGAAGAGGAGAGACCCCCAACAAGGGGACAGGACGGTCACTGTGCCAATCCTGTCATCACCCTCCTGTGGATGTACAGGCAGTGCTCAATAAATGCTTCGAGGCTGATGAGGCTGCTGGCTCAGGGTGCGTGGGTTCCTCAAGGTGGGGATTTCTGAGTTCTAAGACCAAGTCTCCATCTGAGACTCCCAAATTGCTCCCCACCTCCCATCCCTGTTTTTTTTTGTTGTTGTTGTTTGTTTGTTTGTTTTTGAAACTGAGTGTCACTCTGTCACCCAGGCTGGAGTGCAATGCTGCGGTCTCAGCTCACTGCAACCTCCGCCTCCTGGGTTCAAGTGATTCTCCTGCCTCAGCCTCCTGAGTAGCTGGGATTACAGCACCCGCCACCATGCCGAGCTAATTTTTGTATTTATAATAGAGATGGGGTTTCGCCATGTTGGCCAGGCTGGTCTCGAACTCCTGACCTCAAGCGATCTGCCCGCCTCGGCCTCCTGAAGTGCTGGGATTACAGGCGTGGCCACTGCGCCCAGGCACATTCCTCCCTTCTGCCCCTCTCAGGGCCCCTTCCCAGGTCCCTGATCTCCAGGCTTGGCCTCCAGAGCAGCCCACACCAACCCCAAAATAAAAAAATGTATATATTCCTTTAGCTCTAATATTCTGAGAAAATCTTTCAAGACCCTGGTGCAATGCCACCTCCTTTGAGAAGCTGTCCCTGGTTTCTTCTCAGGCAGAGTTAATGACTCACAGATGTCTGTATTTCAAGAGTTTTTTCAGGCTCATGCCTCAACTGGGTTTCCTATCAGCTGGTCCCAGCCCAATCCTCCAACCTGGGGGAGATAGAACTAGAGACAAGTACCCTCAGTCCTGGGAGATCAAGCCTGGGCCAAAGGGAAGAATGGGAGCACAGTCCCCACATGGAGACAATTGAATGAGTTTGAATAAGGCTGCATGTAAGAGGGGAATCTGCAGTGGGTTTTGAAGGATGCATAGGAGTTTGAGAATTGGAGAGGAAAGGGCATGCTGGCTGGGTGGACCAACTTGTGCAAGAGCCTGGAGAAGCACAGAGAAGGCACAGGCCCAGCCCTATACCTTGCAAAGGCAACAGCTGTTGTTTGGGGAAAGACTCAGTGACACCATCTGCTGCCTTTTGGTATTGAGTTTAATTTTGAAGCCTCCTAGGTGCCCATTTTCAACAGCTTTGCTGTGACTGAAGTGAGCCTGCTCCCATCTCAGGGCCTTTGCACTTGCTGTTTGCATTTACTTGCAATGTCCACCCTCAACTACCCCCTCCCCGACTCCTTTTCTTCCTCCAGGTCTCAGCTCAAATGTGACCTCCCTCCCCAGGGAGGCCTCCCCATCCAACTATCTAGATCACCTCTGCCTCCGTTCACTAATGAACTGATGGGTTGAATCCCCAGCACAAATCTTACTGCAATCAACTACTTTCTTAGGATTTACTCATTTGTCCCCTTCACTCAACCAGGCTCCGCAAAGTGGGGTGGTCCTTGTGTGTCTTTTTACAGCTGTGTCCGGGGCCTGGCATAAAGTGGGCACTCACTGAATACGTTAAGGGGAACCTGCAGTCATTCAGGTTGGCCTGTGGGTGATGGCATTCCCAGCAGATACACCTCACTGCTGGAAGTGGGTACTCTGTCCCTCAAGACACCCATCGCCATTCCTCTCAGAGATTCAGGATGGGCAGGCAGTTTGGTGTGGAGAGGGGGCTGGACTCAGCACACCTCAAAATTCCAACATCCTAAACAGGAAGTATATATAACCTGGGAGATGTGGTGTGCATGAAAATATTCTTCACAACTTATTTGTTTCTCCCTACTCTTTATATGTGAAAGAATGAGGTGTCACTAACATGGAAGTGCCACAAACAGGAGGGGTGATGGGACTAACCCCTCAGGTTGGGGACAGTACCACAAAACAAGGCACTTGGTTGCAGATAGACTTGGCTCTGAGCTGCCTGTGTTTGGAAAGGTGACTCCCAAGTGGGGAGAGCAACAGGATGGTGATAGAGACAAAGACAGAGACAGATCCTCTGCCTCAGACCCCAAAGAGAGAAGTTTTGAGGAATGAGGAAAGATGGAGGGAAGCTGAGACTTAAAAAGGTATGGGGTCTCAGCTGTTTCCAAAACAGAAACACCAGCCTGGGCAACATGGCGAAACTCAGCCTCTACAAAAAATACAAAAGTTAGTTGGGCATGATGGCATGCACTTGTAGTCCCAGCTACTCAGGTGGCTGAGGTGGGAGGATCGATTGAGCCCGGGTGGTTGAGGCTGCAGTGAGCTGTGATTGTGCCACTGCACTTCGGCCTGGGCAACAGAGTGAGACCCCGTCTAAAAAAAATAAAAAGAAAAAAGAAACAGCAATAAGGAGATAGAGAAATAGAGACAGAGAGTCAGGGAGTCAGGAATGGCCAAGGCTGCCCTTAGAGCCCACAGGTGTCGTAAGCACCTTCCAATGGCTTGGCATCTCCGAGAACACCTTGCCACTCATTCCTTGAGCCTTTCCACTTACCCCCTCCCAGGTCTCCTAGAGAAACTGAGGTCAGGGAGAGGAGGATCTTCTCAAGGTCACCTTCCCTTATCCTGGACACCACAGGGAACAGTTCAGACAGCTTTATTTTTATCACCAGAGTTTTAAATAAATACACAGTTCCATCAGACCAGCCCCCGAGTCCCCAAGAAGGTCACCCCAATAAATTAATAATAAATAACAGACTTATATAAATACAGCTGTTTGGGCAGGAATCGGGTGTCTCAGGAACCTTGAGCCCATTCCACAGGGCAGGACAACTGAGGTCGCGTCCTCCGCGCAGGTGCACAGTGGAAGGACCAGGACTGCTCATATGCAGTGGCAGTCTTTGGCTAACAAGTCATCATAGGTCTGGAGCGACACCCCGGTGTCGGTCTTTTGAATGAGCACCATGGGATTGTAGCTGGCGGGCACGCAGCAGGGCGCTGGCACCGTGTCGGGCTTCAGGCGGTGCAGGCTCGTCTTGATCTGCGCGTGCATGTTTGCCGCCCGGAACTGGCTCGGGCACGCGCCGATGCACATGGTCACTTGCACCTCCCGTGGCGACAGCACCCAATCGGCCCAGCCCAGGTCTTCCAGCGACGCGCGGACCGTGTGCAGACGGCAGCAACGCCCGGGCCCGAGCGGACAGTGGTCCCCGTTGCGCGCACGCGCTCTGCGGCGCCCCCTGGCGGCTTGCGGCCGCAAGTGCAACTCCAGCTGGGGCCGTGCGGACGAAGATTCTGCCAGCAGTTGGTCCGACTGCGACGGCGGCGGCGACAGTCGCAGGTGCAGCGCGGGCGCCTGGGGTCTTGCAAGGCTGAGCTGACGCCGCAGCGGTCGTGTCACGTCCCACGACCTTGACGCCGTCGGGGACAGCCGGAACAGAGCCCGGTGAAGGCGGGAGGCCTCGGGGAGCCCCTCGGGAAGGGCGGCCCGAGAGATACGCAGGTGCAGGTGGCCGCCGGATCCCAGCCGCACTGTGGGAAGACAGATAGGGAAGCTGGTCACCCACAGGCCTACCGTTTTCCAGGAACGAGGGTGCCCATTTCCCCTAACACGCCAAGCTGGATCTCACCACGGCGGCGGCGCCTTTGCACAAGTTATTTCCCCTACCAAGAGCATTTCTCCGTGCGGGCGCGGTGGCTCACGCCTGTAATCCCAGCACTTTGGGAGGCCGATGCAGGTGGATCACTTGAGGTCAGGAGTTCAAGACCAGCCTGGCCGATATGTGGCCAATATGGTGAAACGCCCGCTTCTACTAAAAATACCAAAAATTAGCTGGGCATGGTGGCTGGCGCCTGTGATCCCAGCTACTCGGGAGGCTGAGGCAGAAGAATGGCTTGAATCGGGGCGGTGGAGGTTGCAGTGAGCCAAGATCGTGCCACTGCACTCCAGCCTGGGCAACAGAGGAAGACTCCCTCTCAAAAAAAAAAAAAAAAAAAAAAAAAAGGGCATTTCTCCCCTTGAATCTCCTGAATCTCAGTATGGCTGGCTCCTCCTCTTCCTTCCAGCCTGCCTAAAATAGGAAGCACCCTATTTTATTTCCTTGTGTATCATTCATATTCCCTACTTAGAATCTTAGCTTGGTTGACACTGTGCCTGGCACACAATAGGTGCTTAGTAAATACTTGAAGGAATTAATGTATATCTGATATTCAGGCAGCCTGAGATTCCAACCATGGCTCTGCTTTTCTTCTGGCAGTCAAAAACTTACTTGCTTCACTTATTTATTTATTTATTATGGTCTTGCTGTTACCCAGGCTGGAGTGCAGTGGGGCACTCATGGCTCAGTGCAGCCTCAATCTCCTGGATTCAAGTGCTCCTCCCGCCTCAGCCTCCTGAATAACTGAGACTACAGGCACACACCATCATGTCTGGCTAATTTTTTTTAAACATTTTTGGTAGAGATGGATTCTCGCTATACTGCCCAGGCTGCAATGTTCTGGCCTAAAGCGATGCTCCCACCTTGGCCTCCTAAAGTGCTGGGATTACAGGTGTAATCCCGAGAAATGAAGAGTGCCAAACCCATCACATTCCAGACTACTGAGCCTCTAGGAATCACAGCCCCTCAGGCTGGTACAAGTGTTAGGGAGACTGGGGAGACTGGGGTTTGAGGGTGCCTTAACCTAGTTGCTAGGCTTAGCAAGGGTGAGAGGTTTGCCGGAGTCACACGGCACAGATGGGTTTAGGGCGGGCTAAGAGTGTGCCCCTCTGCCTGCCCCCTCCTGGGTCCCACCACAGCCCAGACCTCATCCAGTGCCCTGCACCCCTGGAGCCTCCATGGAGGGCACAGAGATGGGGAAAATACTCTCCTCCTCCCCTAACAAGTCGCTCGTTGCATGTGACTTTAGCAGTGCCTTGACAAGCGATTTCATCAGATTCAGAACCAGCTCCAGCTGGCTCTGCCCATCACAAACTTCTATCCATGCACCACACCCCCATTGTTTCTCTTGGATCCTGGCCCCAGCCCAGGTCAGGGACCATGCCCACACCGCACGCCCGACCCCGTCCCCGGGTTTCCCAGGTGCTGTGCACATTCAGGAGGGTCCCTGGCATCCCTGTACCTCAGTTTCCCCATTTGCAACTTGGGGACAGGTTATAACCTCCCACGTTGTGGGTGCAAATCAGGCATCGGCTACCCCATCAGACCCAAGGGGATCCAGGATATTCCTACCCAGGGCACAGATGGGGCAACTGAGGCTCAAAGGTAGGTCTGGGCTTTTCAAGATGAGGAATCCCTGATTAGATATGGGGGCTGCTTGGGGGGTGGGAGGGGATCTCTAAGATTTCACTTACCTTCTGGCGTGAGTATCCGGACTGCAGGGGCCGGGACGAGGTCGGTGTTCGAATCTTCCCAGCTCTGGTTGGCCCGCAGCCTGGTTAGCAGGTCCTCGTAGCGTTTCCGCAACTCTCGGAATCTGGAGTCTTCGGAGTGCAACTCTGAGGGTCCCGGGAAACTTGCGCGGCTCGCCTCGGCCAGAGACAGGGCGCCCCCATGCGGCAGCCACGAGAGCACCAGCAACACCAGGAGCATCTGAGAGCCATTCACCGTCCTGAGTTCTTGCCCGGGCATGGCTGTGCAGGTTGCGGCTCTGAGCTGGGACTGACCAGATGCTGCCGGACCGGCCTTTATAGTCCCCGGACTTTGTCCGTCTCCGCCTGCTCAGTCCCGCCCTCCTCCCCCTGCCTGCAGAGTAAACACTCCAATGACCACAGCTGGGCGGGGTCTGGGGGTGTATTTAGGGGGAGGATCTTTAGGTGGGGGCGCTCCTAGTAAAGCTAGGGCACATTTCTGGGCCTCAGTATCCTCTTCCTCGATATGAGGACACCATTCCAGCCTGGGAGTCTTTTTGGAGGAAAAAAAGACATTGTTACTATGTGAAAAATTCCAGACAAGAGTTTAAGAGGTGGCTGTCTATGCCCATGGGATTTCCTCTCTTCTCTTTTTGGTTGGGGTCAAAGGCTAAAGATGGTGAAAAACAAAGGAAGCAGAGGAGAACGGGCTAGATGGAGCCAGGAAGGGCAACCTTGATGTGTCATGCCTCTCTGCCATGCCTGTTTCCTCACCAGGAAAAAAAGGACTGAGACTCTCACTGGAGAGGTGGTCAAATGAGGGGTAAAGCACAGGGCCAGACACATAGGAGGCACTTGATAAACTGGGTGTTATTGCAGTTACTCATCCTCCTCTGGAGAACTCCTACTCATTCTTCAAAACTCTACGCAAAAAGCCCCTCTTCCAGGAAGTCTTCTCCAACATTATCTTTCCAGTCTAAGCAGGGTGCTCCCAAACCCCATCCTTTTGTCTGGCTCAGCGCTCACCTTGAAGCCATCCTCACAGGATTCATAATTCTGGGGGCCAGGCATGGTGGCTTATGTCAGTAATCTCAGCACTTTGGGAGGCCGAGGTGGGTGGATTGTTTGAGCCCAGGAGTTCGAGACAAGTCTGGGCAAGATGGCAATACCTCATCTCTAAAAAAAAGAATTCTGCGCCGGGCACGGTGGCTCTCGCCTGTAATCCCAGCACTTTGGGAGGCCGAGGCACGTGGATCATCTGACGTCAAGAGTTCTAGACTAGCCTGACCAACATGGAGAAACCCTGTCTCTACTAAATATACAAAATTAGCTGGGCTTGGTGGTGGGATTACATGCCTGTAATCCCAGCTACTCGAGAGGCTGAAGCAAGAGAATCGCTTGAACCCAGAGGGCGGAGGTTGCAGTGAGCCAAGTTTTCACCATTGCACTTCCGCCTGATCAACAAGAGCAAAACTCTGTCTCAAAAAAAAAGAATTCTGGACAGAAACTTAGTTATAATTAAGCACTAATCAGGCTGCACTTTGACCCACTTCCTTGTGACCGCAAGTTGCTTGTAGCACCTGATACCGACCATTTGCTATAGATGTGATTTCCGACCTTAGAATCATAAGACTTTTTAGAAGAATTTCTTAAGATGTTTTTGAAATCCTTAACCAATGACACCCACCAGTGTGAAGACCCCACAGAGGAACGGAATCTGCATGAGAATACAGTTTCTTACTGTCTGTGACTTCACCTCCTGCACTCTTTCACCAAGCAATGACCTCCACACTTCAGCCCACTCCAAAATCCTTAAAAATTAAAACTCTAGCCCCTGGCCAGGTGCAGTGGCTCACGCCTGTAATCCCAGCACTTTGGGAGGCCAAGGCGGGCGGATCACCTGAGGTCAGGAGTTCGAGACCAGCCTGACCAACATGATGAAACCCTGTCTCTACTAAAAAATTTCAGAAATTAACCGGTCGTGGTGGCACATGCCTGTAATCCCAGCTGCTCGGGAGCCTGAGGCAGGAGAATCGCTTGAACCCAGGAGGCGGAGGTTGCAGTGAGCTGAGATCATGCCATTGCACTCCAACCTGCAAGCTCCAGCTCCCAGGTTCATGCTATTCTCCTGCCTCAGCCTCCTGAGTAGCTGGGACTATGAGCACCCCCCACCACGCCTGGCTAATTTTTTTTTGTATTTTTAGTAGAGATGGGGTTTCACCGTGTTAGCTAGGATGGTCTCAATCTCCTGACCTTGTGATCCGCTGGCCTCGGCCTCCCAAAGTACTGGGATTAGAGGCGTGAGCCACCACGGCCGGCTGACTCCATCTTAAAAAAATATATATATTTGTATATATACATTTATATGGCCCCAAACTCCTCCTCCTGGAAATGGATTTGAGGTTCCCTCCTATCTCCTCATTGGGTGGCCCTAGGATTAAATCTCTTTTTTTTTTTTTTTTTGAGACGGAGTTTCTCTCTGTCCCCCAGGTTGGAGTGCAGTGGCACAATCTCGGCTCACTGCAACCTCCGCCTCCTGCCTCAGCCTACTGAGTAGCTGGGATTACAGTCATGCGCCACCACACCTGGCTAATTTTTGTGTTTTTAGTAGAGACGGTGATTCACCATGTTGGCCAGGCAGGTCTCGAACTCTTGACCTCAAGTCATCCGTCGGCCTCTGCCTCTAAAGTGTGGGGATTACAGGCATGAGCCACTGCCCCCAGCCTTTTTTTTTTTTTTTTTCTTCCGAGACAGTCTCTCGCTCTGTTGCCCAGGCTGGAGTGCAGTGGTATGATCTTGGCTCACTGCAACCTCCGCCTCCCAGGTTCAATTGATTCTCCTGCCTCAGCCTCCCAAGTAGCTGGGATTACAGGTGCGCACCATCACGCCTGGCTAATTTTTGTATTTTTAGTAGAGATGAGGTTTCACCTGGTTGGCCAGGCTGATCTTGAACTGCTGGCCTCAGATGATCCACCCGCCTCAGCCTCCCAAAGTGCTGGGATTACAGGCATGAGCCACCACGCCGGTCGGATTAAAACTCTTTCCATGTTGCAACCTGTTTTCTCAGCTGTTGACTTGCCAAGTGCATGGAGCAACAGACCTATCACAGTTACAGCCCCACGGCACTGGAAGTGTCTGTGCCCAGCTCTGCTGACCCAAGACTGGTGGTTCCTTTGGGGCAGGGATGAATCTGCTCTTGTCTGGGCCCAGAGAGGAGGTGGCACAGAATTGAGGAGCTGGGGTTTTAGAGCAGGGCAGGCTGGTGTAGAGTCCAGCCACCAGATGGTAGAGGGGCAGGGGATGCCCCAGGAGTGCCCTTCCCCCTGGGGTTCCAGACCTTCTCCTAATGCTCAGGCAGGATTCCTGGCCCCAGGCGTCAGCCCTTGTGCCTATGTCCAGCTTCCTGGCTGCGGAGAGGAAGGGCTGCCCTGTCCGGCAGATACTGGGTGTGTGTGGGTGTCTGCATGTGACAGGCATGCGTGGGTAAGAGACACAAGGACTCACTAGGGGGTCACACAGCAAGGCCCCCAGTGGAGTCACAGGGTCTCCAGGCCTCTCCCCACCCCAGCATGCACCCGCTGCTGTGCAAGGCCAGCCAAGCCTCCAGCCCTCAGGGTCTCAGCCACAGCCCTGTCCTAGGGGATTTTTTTCTTTTTTTTGGATTGGAGTCTCGCTCTGTTGCCCAGGCTGGAGTGCAGTTGTGCGATCTCAACTCACTACAATCTCCGCCTCCCGGGTTCAAGCAATTCTCCTGCTTCATCCTCCCTAGTAGCTGGGATTACAGGCGTGTGCCACCATGCCTGGGTAATTTTTGTATTTGTTGTAAAGATGGGGTCTCACCCTGTCATGTTGGCCAGTCTGGTCTCGAACTCCTGATCTCAGGTGATCCGCCTGCCTCGGCCTCCCAAAGTGCTGGGATTACAGGCATGAGCCACCACGCCTGGCCCCCAAATAAGAACATCTTTAAAGAAAAAGAAAATAGACGTGGGGGCTGTCCTGGGGGTGGAGGTCTCAGAGCTCACCTGTGCTTTTGGATGAGGTTGGGGCCCAGCTCCTCCTGGCTCTCCTTGTCTAACTGGTGCTCTGAAGGTCCTGGTGGCGTTTCTGCAACTCCTGGGACCTGGAGTCATCCGGATCAGAGTGCTTGTCCGAGGGTCCTAGGAACCCCAGAAGGTTCTCACCTGCAGAGTCAGGGTGCCCCCTCAGGGTGCCCCCAACAACATCTGTAACATCAGCAGCATCTGAGAGCATCGCTGTGTCACGGGTCCTGGCCTGGGCATGGCTGTGCTAGTTGCTTTCTGAACCGCACTGACACCTGGGGTCTGGCTTTATAGCCCGCACGTTCCTACCCAGCCATCCCCCACTACACCAGACCCTGTAAGCAGAGTAAACACTCCAGTGACCACGGCCAGGCCAGATCTCAGGAATGCATTCCTGCACAAGCTGGGGCGCCTCTCTGACCCTCTGTATCCTTTCCCAAGAAATAAGGACACCAGGCTGGGCGCGGTGGCTCGTGCCTGTAATCCCAGCACTTTGGAAGGCCGAGGTCAGGCGGATCACGAGGTCAGGAGATCAAGACCATCCTGGCTAACACGGTGAAACCCCCTCTCTACTAAAAATACAAAAAAATTAGCCAGGCATGGTGGTGGGTGCCTGTAGTCTCAGCTACTCGGGAGGCTGAGGTGGGAGAAAGGCGAGAACTCGGGAGGCGGAGCTTGCAGTGAGCCGAGATTGCGCCACTGCACTCCAGCCTGGGCGACAGAGCGAGACTCCGTCTCAAAAAAAAAAAAAAAAAAAAAACACCTGGTAGTCCTTTTTTTTTCTTTTTCTTTTTCCTTTTTCTTTTTTTTTTGAGACAGGGTCTCGCTCAGTTGCCCAGGCTGGAGTGCAGTGGCACAATCTTGGCTCACTACAGCCTTGATCTGCTGGGCTCAAGCAATCCTCCCACCTCAGCCTCCTGGGTAGCTGGGACTATAGGCATGTGCCACCACACTCAGCTATTTTTTAAAAAAATTTTTTTTAGGCTGGGCACGGTGGCTCATGTCTGTAATTCCAGCACCTTGGGAGGCCAAGGCAGGCAGATCACCTGAGGTTGGGAGTTTGAGACCAGCCTGACCAACATGGAGAAACCCCGTCTCTTCTAAAAATACAAAATTAGCCGGGCATGGTGGCGCATGCCTGTAATCCCAGCTACTCGGGAGGCTGAGGCAGGAGAATTTTGCTTGAACCTGGGAGGTGGAGATTGTGGTGAGCTGAGATTGCACCATTGCACTCTAGCCTGGGCAACGAGAGCTAAATTCCATCTCAAAAAAAAAAAATTTTAGAGATAGGGTCTCACTGTGTTGCCCAGGCTGGTCTCGAACTCCTTGGCTCAAGGAATCCTCTTGCCTCTGGCTCCCAAAATGCTGGGGTTATAGGCATGAGTCCCCACACCCAGCCAAGCTGGTAGTCTTTTTGGAGATCAAGGCTGCAGTGAGCTGTGATTACGCTTCTGCACTCCAGCCTGAGCAACTGAGCAAGACCCTGTCTCAAAAAAAAAAAAAAGGACTACCAGGCTGGAATGGTGAGAAGCAGGACAGTAAGTAGTGTACTTTTTGTTTCTGTTTTTGTTTGTTTTAGAGACAGGGTTTGGCTCTGTTACCCACTCACTGCAGCCTCGACCTCCTGGGCTCAAGGGATCCTGTCACCTCAACCTCCCGAGTAGCTGGGACTAGAGGCGCGTGCCACCACAACTGGCTAATTTTATATTTTGTAGAGACGGGGGTCTTGCTATGTTGTACAGGCTGGTCTCGAACTCCTGAGCTCAAGCATCCTCCTTCCTTGTCCTCTCACAGTGCTGGGATCCTGTGATGGCATGAGCCACCACATCTGGCCACTCGCCTGGCTCTGCTTCCCCAAATCTTTAACCAATGACCTCATAGCCCGCCTCATGGCCAAGCTGAGAGGAGAGATGGGGCGGATGCAGGCAGGTGGCCAGAGATGAGCTCAGCAGGTCGGATCCTGTGTTCCTCACCGACAGCTTCCATGGGTCCCCAGAGGTGGAGCTGGGATGGAAGTAAACAGAGCACAGGGGCCGGAGGTCAGGCCAGTCCGTCCACCTGGCAGGGCCCCAATCTCCCAAAATCTCCCCCCTCCACTACCAGCTCTCAGTTATCAACGCCTTTGTCAAACACACGGCACTCACGAACACAAACCACTTTTATTGATTGTTTCTTGTGATGTAAGGTAAACAGGGTCATAGGAGGAGATTTGGAAGAGGCACAAAAGCAGATTACTTAAAAACTTCCTGCAGGCCCCGAGGACAAGAAGAAATGCTGTCTCATGCTCGTGACTGTCCTCGAAAGCCAGGATGTGCCTGTGCCATCTAGGGGGTTCCGCAGCCAGCCCGGGTTCTTTTTGTTTTCTGTTTGTGTTTGTATTTAGACACAGGGGTCTCACTATGTTGCCCAGGCTGGTCTCAAACGGCTGAGTTCAAACGATCCTTCCATCTTGGCCTCCCAAAGTGTTGGGATTATAGGCATGAGCCACTGTGCCTGGCCATGGGTCCACTCTTTTTATGTTTTTATTTTCGAGACAGAGTTTCACTCTTGTTGCCTAGGCTGGAATGCAGTGGCGCAATCTCGGCTCACTGCAGCCTCCCAGGTTCAAGTGATTCTCCTGCCTCAGCCTCCCGAGTAGCTGGAATTACAGGTGTGCACCACAACGCCCAGCTAATTTTTTTTTGTATTTTTAGTAGAGACGGGGTTTCGCCATGTTGGCCAGGCTGGTTTTGAACTCCTGATCTCAGGTGATCTGCCCACCTCAGCCTCCCAGAGTGCTGGGATTACAGGTGTGAGCCACTGTGCCCAGCCACAGGTCCATTCTTAATTCAGAATGATCTCAGTACAAGATCTTTAGTTTAATTACATTTGCAAAGACCTTCTTTCCAAATAAGGTCACAGATACTGAGCGTTAGGACTTGGACATATCTTTTTTTTTTTTTTTTTTCTCTGAGACGGAGTTTCGCTCTGTCACTCAGGCTGGAGTGCAGTGGTGCAATCTTGGCTCACTGCAGCCTCTGCCTCCCGGGTTCCAGCGATTCTCCTGCCTCAGCCTCCTGGGTAGCTGGGATTACAGGTACATGCCACCATGCCCAGCTAATTTTTGTATTTTTATTAGAGACAGGGTTTCACCATTTTGGCCAGGTTGGTCTCGAACTCCTGACCTTAGGTGATCTGCCTGCCTCAGCCTCCCAAAGCGCTGGGATTACAGGTGTGAGGCACCACACCTGGCCTAATCTTTATACAGCCTGATGTGGTGGATAGATTATGTCCATTTCACAGATGACAAACTGAGGCCAGAGAGGTGGGCTCGTCACGGCCACACAGCCAGAAGACAGCAGGGCTGGGGTTAGAGCCCCAAGCAGCCAGCCGCTGAGCCTGTTCCATCTCCCTCAGAGCCTCTGAAATGAGAGGATATGGCCACCCTAACAGGCCAGCATGAGATGAGATTTTCGCCAGCACAGCATGGGGCCTGTGGTTCTCCTGCAATACTTGGGCAAGGTGGAAAGAATGCAGTCTCAGAAAAGGGACACCCTGGCTGAACACAGTGGCTCAGGCATGTAATCCTAGCACTTTGGGAGGCCAAAGCAGGAGGATTGCTTGAGGCCAGGAGTTGGAGACCAGCCTGGGCAACACAGTGAGACCCCAAGACCCCATCTCTTTTTTTTTTCTTTTGAGACAGAGTCTCGCTCTGTTGCCCAGGCTGGAGTGCACTGGCGCGATCTTGGCTCACTGCAACTTCCACCTCCTGGGTTAAAGTGATTCTCCTGCCTCAGCTTCCCGAGTAGCTGGGATTACAGGCATGTGCCACCATGCCCAACTAATTTTTGTATTTTTAGTAGAGACAGGATTTCACCATGTTGGCCAGACTGGTTTTGAACTCCTGACCTCAAGTGATCCGCCCACCTCGGCCTCCCAAATTGCTCAGATTACAGTCGTGAGTCACCGTGCTGGCCCTCTAAAAATTGTTTTTAAAAAGGCATTTTCCTCACCAGGTGACTTTTATCTGCACCTCTTCAGAGACGAGGTGAGGTTAAAAACACCTGTGAGCATGTCAACCCACTCCCAAAAAGTGCTCCATCAATGAACACTCCATCAATGAGAGTTTCTTCTTTTTTTCTTTTTCTTTTTTTTTTGAGATGGAGTCTTGCTCTGTCGCCTAGGCTGTCGTGCAGTGGCGCGATCTCGGCTCATTGCAACCTCCATCTCCCAGGTTCAAGCAATTTTCCTGCCTCAGCCTCCCGAGTAGGTAGGATTACAGGCACCCACTACCATGCCCGGCTAATGTTTGTATTTTAGTAGAGAGGGGGATTTCACGATGTTGGACAGGCTGGTCTCGAACTCCTGATGTCAGGTGATCCGCCCACCTCGGCCTCCCAAAGTGCTGGGATTACAGGTGTGAGCCACCGCGTCCTGCCTGTTTTGTTTCTTTTTAGACAGGGTCTGGCTGTGTAGCCCAGGCTGGAGTGCAGTGGCACAATCATAGGTCACCGCAGCCTCGACCTCCTGGGCTCAAGTGATCCTCCCCCATCACTCTCCCGAGTAGCTGGGACTATAGGCATGTGCCACCATGCCCTGATAATTTTTTACTATTTTGTAGAATGGGGTTTTCCTGTGTTGCACAGGTTGGTCTCGAATGGCTGGGCTCAAGTGATCTTCCCACCCCAGCCTGATGCCACTGTGCCTTGCTTTTTTTTTTTTTTTTTTTTTGTGAGATGGAGATTTACTCTTGTTGCCCAGGCTGGAGTGCAATGGCGCCATCTCGACTCACTGCAGTCTCCACCTCCTGGGTTCAAACGATTCTCCTGCCTTAGCCTCCCGAGTAGCTGGGATTACAGGCATGCACCACCATGCCCAGCTAATTTTTGAATTTTTAGTAGAGACGGGGGTTTCACCGTGTTGCCCAGGCTGATCTCGAACTCCGGACCTCAGGTGATCCACCCGCCTCGGCCTCCCAAAGTGCTGGGATTACAGGCGTGAGCCACTTCACCCAGCCAGTGCCTTGCTAATTTTTAAAAAAATTTGTAAAGATGGGATCTCGCTATGTTGCCCAGGCTGGTCTTCAAATCCTAACCTCCAGCGATCCTGTCACCTCGGCTTCCCAAAGTGCTGGGATTACAGGCATGAGCCTCTGCACCTGGCCTAATTTCTGCCTTTATAGATTTACCTATTCGGAACATTTCACAGAAATGGAATCTTACAATATTTGTACTGTAGTTTCGCCTTGATGAAGAATGCTGCTGTAAAAGTGGGTGTACACGTTTTTGTTTGAACACCTGTTTTCATTTCACTTGGCTCTCTACTGAGGAGTGGAATTACTGGGTCACAGAGTAACCCTGTATTGAACTTAATGGGGAACTGCCAAACCTTTTCCTCTCAGTTTTATTTGTCATTGTGAAATCTTTCAGGCACACACAAAAGTATTAATAATAAAATCACAAACACCCCTATCCAGCACCCACCTAAAGAAAAATCATTCCCAAGAGAGTTGAAGTGGTCCCCGTAGTCCAAGGCAGGTTCTCCCCAATCTCAAGGAAGTCTTTGTCTGTAATTAGAACTTGATCATGACCACGCATGTTTTAATTTCATATATATATTTGGGGAACAGGTTTATTTATTTATTTATTTATTTTATTTATTTTATTTTTTTTTTGAGACAGGGTCTCGCTCTGTCGCCCAGGCTGGAGTGCCGTGGCACGATCTCAGCTCACTGCAAGCTCCGCCTCCCGGGTTCACGCCATTCTCCTGCCTCAGCCTCCCGAGTAGCTGGGACTACAGGTGCCCGCCACCATGCCCACCTAATTTTTTGTATTTTTAGTAGAGAGGGGGGTTTTGCCGTTTTAGCCAGGATGGTCTCGATCTCCGGACCTCGTGATCCACCTGCCTCGGACTCCCAAAGTGCTGGGATTACAGGCGTGAGCCACCGGGCCCGGCCGGAATACAGTCTTTGCAAAAAAAAAAAAAAAAGCGGTTTGGAAAACTATCTAAACAAAGAGATGGCTACTGCCTTCCATAATTAAAAACAGAAACAAAAATCACAAAACTCTCAGGAAGGTGGAGAATCTGATTTCTGGAGTTACCATAATTTAGAATATTCAAATGCTCGCTTTTCAACAACAAAAACATCACTAGGCATACAGAGAAACAGCAAAGTGTGGCGCATTTTAAGGAACAAAATTAACAGACAGAAACCATCCCTAAGGAAGCCCACACATCAGACTCACTAGACAAATACTTTAAAATAACTGTCTTCGCTGGGCGCGGTGGCTCACGCCTGTAATCCTAGCACTTTGGGAGGCTGAGGCAGGTGGATCCCCTGAGGTCAGGAGCTCAAGACCAGCCTGACCAACATGGAGAAACCCCGTCTCTACTAAAAACACAAAATTAGCCAGGCACGGTGGTACATGCCTGTAATTCCAGCTACTCGGGAGGCTGAGGCAGGAGAATCACTTGAACCCAGAAGGCGGAAGTTGCTGTGAGCCAAGATCACACCATTGCACTCCAGCCTGGGCAACAGAGCGAGATTCCATCTCAAAAACAAAAAATGAAGAAGAAGAAGTTTGACACCAGCCTGGGCAACACGGCGAGACCTCATCTCTACAAAAATAAAAGTAATTAGCCAGGTGTGGTGGCGCATGCCTGTAGTCCCAGCTACTTGGGAGGCTGAGGTGGGAGGATTGCTTGAGCCCAGGAGGTAGAGGCTGCAGTGAGCTATCATTGTACCACTGCACCCCAGCCTGGGTGACAGAGCAAGACCCTGTCTCTAAAAACAAAAACCACAAAGTTTTTGCCAAGGAGCCATACTTTGGAGTATCACATTCTGAGTCCTGACAGCCTCCAGAAGGAACCAGTCCTGCTGTGACACCTTGATTTCGGACTTCTGGCTTCCAGAACTCTGAGAGAAGTCCCTGTTCTTTTAGGACATCAAGTTTGTGGTCAGTATTATGTAAACAATGTCATCTGCTGCCCATTTTTATCTCTGGTGGGTTTTTTTTTTTTTTTTTTTTTGAGACAAGAGTTTCTGTCTGTCACCTAGCCTGGAGTGCAATGGCACGATCTCGGCTCACTGCAACCTCTGCCTCCCGGGTTCAAGTGATTCTCCTGCCTCAGCCTCCCAAGTAGCTGGGACGACAGGCATGCGCCACCACACCTGGCTAATTTTTGTATTTTTAGTAGAGATGGGGTTTCACCATGTTGGCCAGGCTGGTTTCGAACTCCTGACCTCAGGTGATCCATCTGCCTTGGCCTCCCAAAGTGTTGGGATTACAGGCGCGAAGCACCGCACCTGTCCTTTTTTTTTTAGACAGAGTCTCTCACTGTCATCCAGGCCTCGGCCTCCCAAAGTGATGGGATTGCAGGCGTAAGCCACTGCGCCTGGCCCCTGTCCAGCTAATTTTTAAATTTTTTTGTAGAGACCGGGTCTCACCACGTTGCCCAGGCTGGTCTGGAACTCCTGACCTCAAGTGATCCTCCGACGTTGGTCTCCCAAAGTGCTGGGATGACAGGCATCGGCCACCATGCCAGGCCTCTTTTCAATTTCTTGATGGATATATTGACATCCAAAAGTTTGAAATTGTGATTGAGTCTAATTTGTTGTCCCCTCCAAATCCCCAAGTTTTCATCTTGTCCTTGTGGAGGGCAGGTTTTACGTTGCCAGCCAGTTAAGGCCAAGACTCGGTTCTCCTGCCTGCTTCTCCCCAGCCATGACCTTCTGTCCTTTCTGGGCCTCTGGCCTCGGTCAGGTGCCCTTCCCTCCCCCTCTTCCCCCCCGCCCCCACCCCCGTGCTCAGCAGGGAAAGCGGACCGTGGCAGCTGAGTATGAGTCAGCAGGGCTGGGACCATGGGGGGCGGAAGTGGTGGGCTCAGCCTCAGGGACCGGCTGTGCGAGTTCCTGCATAAACTGGCCAGGAAGTGGTCAGCTGAGGCTTCCCCCACGTGCTTGCTGCCCGGAACCCATTGGCCGAGTAACCCTGGGCCTCCCTCTTCACGCTCCACATTAGCAACCCAGTTCACACGCTCGCTCCCATCATAATTCTACTGTCCACAGTGTGTATTTATGAAGCACCTACTGCATGCCAGGCTCTGGCTGAGCTCGGATACACAGCCCTGTGATGGGGGTATGGAGATCTGCTCTGAGTCACAGGGGTAAACTGAGGCTCGGAACAGGGCAGCTCTGTGCCTGAGTTACACAGCACAGCACCTGGGTGACCTAACATCCCAAATCGTCATCCTCAGCTGGCTAAGTCCCTCTCTGTGTCTCCGTGTCCTCACCCTAAACAAAATATCTGGAGAATTTCCACTTTTTCTCTTTGTGTCTCTCTCTCCCTGGCTCTCCCTCCATTTCTGCCTGTCTCTCATCATGTCTATCTCTGCCTGTCTCTGCCTCCCCACGCCCTTATCAGCACCATACAGGGAAGGGAGAGGTGACAGCCTCACCCACCCCTCCCTGCTTCTAGGGGACTTGGACATGTCCGGGCAGGTCTGAGGCACTCCTGGTAAAAACTGGTGATTGCCTGGAGGCAGGGAGCCAGAACCCGAAAGAGAGGGTGGGAAGGTGGAAGACGTGTGGGGGGACTCAGTTGGGATTTCTGGTGCTGTACTTTGCCCCCTTACCCCCACCCCAGGCTGTCATCACACTGAGGATGTCTTGAGACCACTGCAGCATCTTTCCCAAACCTTGGATTTTGAGGGATGCATAGGAATCCTCCAAGCATCGATAAGGGCTTTGGGGAGGGTGGTTCTGGGAAGAGGAAGTAGGGGATATTGAGACTGCTGGGGGTCAGCAGAAACAAGGGAATGGGGTTCAAATGCCCAGTACAGAAATCCTATTTCCTGTAGGCGAAAGGGAGCCACAGAGGGTGTGAGAGGCTCAGCAGTTGGAATGGAGTGGAAGGGCAAGAATGGAGGCCAAGATCCTCATCTTTTCATTTTTATTTTATTTTTTTAGATACAGGGTCTCACTCTGTCACCCAGGCTGGAGTACAGTGGCACGATCTCAGCTCACTGCAACTTCTGCTTCCCAGTTTCAAGGGATTCTCCTGCCTCAGCCTCCTGAGTAGCTGGGATTACAGATGTGTACCACCATGCCTGGCTAATTTTTGTATTTTTAGTAGAGATGGGGTTTCACCTTGTTGGCCAGGCTGGTCTCAAACTCCTGACTTCAGGTGATCTGCCCACCTTGGTCTCCCAAAGTGCTGGGATTACAGGTGTGAGCCACTGTGCCCAGTCCACAGCTACTTTATAAGATTTATTTTTACTTTTGTAGAGATAGAATCTTGCTATGTTGCCCAGGCTGGTCTGGAACTCCTGTGCTCAAGTGATCCGCCTGCCTCGGCCTCCCAAAGCACTGGGATTGCAGGTGTGAGACAACGCACCGGGCCGACCTGCTCCTTTGAGTAAGGCTGGGAGCACCCAGGCGAGGGCGGAGGGGGCCTCTAGGGGATGGAGCCTCTTGCAGCCTCTCAGCCATATCCTGGGATGATCCTTGGACCCTTTAACTGCCTGTGCAGCCCTCATCCCAAGGGGGGACCTCCAGGCTGTACTCCCAGCTGCCTGATCCTTGCTGTGTCCCCAGTCCAGGGCTCAGCCCACAGTGGACACTTCCTGAATGACTGGGACAGCCACGGGGTGAGGGGCCTCCTTAGGTGGGGACCCCAGACTGCAGGAGGAGCCTGGTGATTCCAGCATCTTTCACTCCTGGGAGGAGGCATTGGTGCCTTGCTGAGCCCCTGGCTGGCCTCAGGAGTGGACCCACAGCACTCACCTCTCCTCCCAGCAGTTTATTGCTTCCCTACTGTGTCCCTGGCACTGTGCTGGGCACAGAAGACACAGAGGGGGCCCCACACATACCCATCCACCCTCTCACAGAGGCTGTCAATTACCACCCAGAGTGCTACAATGGGGACACCCAGGCAGCTGTAGGAGTCAGAGGAGATGCCTAGGTAGCCAGGAGGGCTTCCTGGAAGAGGAGGTGATGGTAACTGTATTTATTTTGTGGGGTTTTTTTTTTTTTGAGACGGAGTCTCATTCTATCACCCAGACTGGAGTGCAGTGGCGCGATCTCAGTTCACTGCAACCTCAGCCTCCCTGGTTCAAGCGACTCTCCTGCCTCAGCCTCCCGAGTAGCTGGGATTACAGGTGTTTACCACCATGGCTGGCTAATTTTTGGATTTTTAGTAGACATGGGGTTTCTCCATGTTGGCCAGGCTGGTCTCAAACTCCTGACCTCAAATGATCCATCTGCCTTTGCCTCCCAAAGTGCTGGGATTACAGGCATGAGCCACCGCACCCGACCGGGTTTTTGTTTTTGAGATGGGGTCTCACTCTGTCACTCAGGCTGGAGTGCAGTGGCACGATCACCACTCACTGCAGCCTTGACCTCCCCAGGCTCAGGTGATCCTCCCACCTCAGCCTCTTGAGTAGCTGGGACTACAGGTGTGCGCCACTGCACCTGTCTAATTTTTGTATTTTTTGTAGAGATGGGGGGGGGGGGTCTCACCATGTTGCCCAGGCTGGTCTCGAACTCCTGACCTCAAGTGATCCACCCGCCTTGGCCTCCCAAAGTGCTGGGATTATAAGCGAGAGCCCACACCCTGATCATTGTATTTACTGAGCAATGACAGGGCACCAGGCTCCAAGTTAAGGGCTGTAAAAGCAGAATCTCATTGAATTGCCACAAAAGCCCCACGAGAAATGGGTAAACTAAGGCTCAAGACAGCAAAGGGACGGGTATGGTGGCTCATGCCTGGAATTCCAGAGCTTTGGGAGGCCGAGGCAGGTAGAGAACTTAAGCCCAGGAGTTTGAGACCAGCCTGGGCAATATGGCAAGACCCTGTCTCTACATTAAATAACAATAATAAGAGTCGACCCTATGGGAAAGACCACCCAGATATGAATACCTCCACTGGGGGTGCAAGAACCCTCAGTCCTCTGTGAGTCCAAGAAGTTCCCCCAACCCACGGGGTCCACTTGCTCCAGGACATCTTCCTAACTGTTGTCCAAGTCCCTTTGGTGTCAAAAGTTTATTCTCAGAGAGCCAGAGACCAGGGTGTCTTCATTCCTGCTGAGGACAGGCGTAGGGAATGAACATGTCCATTTGTGTTCTTCAAGGCCCTCCGCTCCAGAGAAGCCCGCCTGGGTTCACATTCCCACCCCTACTCTCCCTGGCCGTGACATAGGGGACAAGGGGCTTCAACTGGTGGAAACTCAGTTTCCCTGTCTGTAAAGGTGGCAATGGCATGGCATCCCCTGTCAGAATGATGGGGATTTTTTGTTTTTTTTGAAGTGGAGTCTTGTTTGCTCTGTCGCCCAGGCTGGAGTGCAGTGGCGTGATCTCAGCTCACGGAAACCTCCACCCGCCGGGTTCAAGTGATTCTGCTGCCTCAGCCTCCCAAGTAGCTGGGATTACAGGTGCCTGCCACCACACCCAGCTACCTTTTGTATTTTTTTTTTTTTTTGAGGTGGAGTCTCGCTCTTTTGCCCAGGCCAGAGTGCAGTGGCGCGATCTCGGTTCACTGCAAACTCTGCCTCCTGGGTTCACGCCATTCTCCTGCCTCAGCCTCCCAAGTAGCTGGGATTACAGGTGCCTGCCACCGTGCCCGGCTAATTTTTTGTATTTTTTAGTAGAGACGAGGTTTCACCGTGTTAGCCAGGATGGTCTTGATCTCCTGACCTTGTGATCCGCCCGCCTCGGCCTCCCAAAGTGCTGGGATTACAGGTGTGAGCCACTGCGCCTGGCCTAATTTTTGTATTTTTAGTGGAGACAGGGTTTCACCATATTGGTCAGCCTGGTCTTGAACTCCTGACCTCAGGTGATCCACCGGCCTCAGCCTCCCAAAGTGCTGGGATTACAGGCGTGAGCCTCCGTGCCCAGCCATGATGGGGATTTTGTATGCCCTGGAGGTTGATGCAGATCATCGCTCAAACCCCAGTGCCTGTGTTACCACAGGCAAGTTCCTCAACCTCCCTGTGTGTTGGAACAAAGGTCCGCGGGTTTTGTTGTTGTTTTTTGAGACTGAGTCTCACACTGTTGCCCAGGCTGGAGTGCAGTGGTGCGATCTTGGCTCACTGTGACCTCCGCCTCCCGGGTTCAAGCGATTCTCCTGCCTCAGCCTCCTGAGTAGCTGGGATTACAGGCACGTGCCACCACACCTGGCTAATTTTTGTATTTTTAGTAGAGACGGGGTTTCGCCATGTTGGCCAGGCTGGTCTGGAACTCCTGACCTGAGGTGATTCACCCACCTCGGCCTCCCAAAGTGCTGGGATTCCGGGTGTGAGCCACTGCGCTGGGCCAGGCCTCTGATTTTGAGGAAGGAGACCACTGGAGGCAGAATTCCCCTCCTCTCGCTCACTCAGCACATGGTCACCAGCTGCCCTGGGCCCAGCACCACCGAGAATAGAAACCCAGTGACACGGGGTCCCCTCTATCCCCGGGCACCCAGCTGAACTCCAGCCCCACAAAAGGACACACAGGAAATGTATGCGTATTTCAAGTGTTTTATTTGCTTTCTGTGGTGTCAAATTTGGGGTCTCCTAGAGCCCAGCCCCAGGCAGAATCCGGCATATCCTTCTCCGCCTGGGGGGCCCGGGACACAGGAGTTTCAGAAAAGGCACTGGCAAAAGTTCTAGGGCGGGGGTCAGGGAGAAGCCACACTGAGCCTGGAGGGACCGGGCCCTCCTTCGGCGGCAGAAAACACAGTCACCTTTGGCAGGGAAGGGTTTTTTCCTAGAAAGAAATTTAAGACAAGATAAAAACCTGAGATGTTAGAGGAGCCCCCAGAACCAAGCCGGTGCTCCCCTGGGCAGGCAGAGAGTGAACTCGGCTTCCAAAGGCTCAGGGGAGGCTTGCCCGGCCCTCAGCCAGGCTCAGATGCCACAGGCCTTGGCAAGCAGAAAGCCTAATTCAAATCCCTATGTGGAATCTCCTTGAGACAAAGTGTCACGACACAAAACCCCCAGGCCCCAGACCCCACCTCTGAATGGCTTGGGCCAGACGCTGGTCTGGATCGTCAGGAGCCACGGCCACTACCCAGTGACCAATTCCTGTCCCTTTTTGTGTGTTCTGTGAGCGCTGGAGAGGCAGGCACTTCTGTGGGTAACTGGGGGAGGCACAGCGGGGAGAAAGAGCAGGAGGAGAAAGGGAATTTGGGGGAGGGGGAGCAGTTTGGGGTGGGACTGGGTCCCTCAAGTCCTGGGAGTCCCCCCCCACTCAGCTTGTGACAACTGTCCTGGAAACCAGGGGACAGAGTCTCTCAGCAGGTATGTTCAGCGTCCACCCGGGAATTAGCTTTCCAGACGTGGGCACTGGGCAGCGCCTGCCCCTCAACAGCCATTCTGCCAAGGGTCTAAGTGGAACCCCAGCCCTCGGCCGGCCTCCTCACTGCAAAAACGGGGATGCTTTCCCTCCCAACCAGCAGCCCCGGGCCCTCATGAGGCACTTGTGCCCAGGGAAGGGAAATTTAATCCGGATTATAAAAACAAAGCCCTCTCCTGCCCCCTCAAGTTAGGATGCTGAGGATGGGTGGCTGCATGGGGCAACCTGGCAAAGACCTGCCTCCTTGACCATGATCAGCACCCCATGCTGGCCGTCACGCAGCTCCCAGAGGCCTCAGGATAGAGGCTGGGGCTGCGGAGAATAGGGCTTTGTCCAGCTGTCTCCAAAAGGGACGTCTAGGTTCAGACGCCACAAGAGGCAGAGAGGTCAAAGGCCAACAGTCTAGACAGTGGCAGCCAAAAGGGGGCCAGCTGTGCGGGACAGATTTCCATGAGCCATCCCCCTCCACCTGGTCACCTCCCCAGGGCACTGGAGTGCAGGTGTAAACATACCAGCTGGTCTTGCTTCCTGGAAGAAACTTCCAAGACTAAAAGGCATCTTGAATCTACTTTTCCAGCTCTCCCATCTGCCCCAGAGTGGATACTTTCTGTTCTAGATGTTTCTATGCCAGCAACGAGCAGAAAAGCAGAGCAGGGAATTCTTTTTTTTTTTTTTTTTTGTGACAGAGTCTTGCTATGTTGCCCAGTCTGGAATGCAGTGGCGTGATCTCACACCACTGCAACCTCTGCCTCCCAGGTTCAAGCAATTCTCCTGTCTCAGCCTCCCAGGTAGCTGGGATTACAGGCACGCACCATCCACTCTTGACTAATTTTTGTATTTTTAGTAGAGATGGGGTTTTGCTATGTTGGCCAGGCTGGTCGCAAACTCCTGGCCTCAAGCGATCAGTCTGCCTTGGCCTCCCAAAGTGCTGGGATAACAGGCATAAGCCACTGCGCCTGGCCCCCCTTTTTTTTTTCTTAATTTTGAGGCAGGGTCTTGCTCTGTTGCCCAGGCTGGGGTACAGTAGTGTAATCATGGCTCATTGCAGCCTTCACCTCCTGGGCTCAGATAAGCCTCCCAACTCAGCCTCCCAAGTAGCTGGGACTACAGGTGCTTGACACCACAACTGGCTAATTTTTTTTTTTAATTTCTGTAGAGATGGGGTCTCGCCATGTTGCCCAGGGCTGGTCTCGAACTCCCGGGCTCAAGCAATCCTCCCACCTCAGCCTCCCAAAGCACTGGGATCACAGACATGAACCATCTCCAGGATTCCCCTCCTTGCCGAGAAACTACTGCCATCTGGGACATTTCCTTCACACATCTGGCTCTGATGGGGAAGCTGTGATTTCGGCCCCCACCCCCTGTCCCTGCCCAGCCCTGCCTCTCCAAGTGGCCTCAGGTTTGTTCCAGCCCTTGATTGGAGCAGGTGGGCTAGGTGGCCCCAAGCTCAGCCCACCCACCTTGAATTCCTGCTTCTTCCTTTCTTTCCTTTCCACTCCATCTTATTTCTTTTTTGAGCTACATCCCCACACGCATGCAACTGACCTTCTTTGGGGTGGGGAGGGGGTGCTAGGGGCCGAATAAAGGAATAAAAGTGCGCAGACTTGGGCATCTTAAAAGAGATGCCATCATCAAGTTGGTCAGGGTACCAGGTGCCCTGATCACTGTCCCTGCACCCCTGTTCCCTGCCTCAGCACCCTCCATGAGGACTCATCAGGGAAGCCCCCCCAATCACTTCTCACCTTTCTCCCCCAGCCTTCCCACCACACCCCTCAGCCTGTCTTTTCACCATTGACACTTGCCACCCCTATTCCTCTTCCCAACACCTGCCAAGTCCCACCCACCTTGCAGACCCTTCCTATGCCACCTGTAGCCCCTACCCCAGGCTCTGAAAATGAGGCAAGAGGGAATGGGACTTGGTCCTTCCCTTCTTGCATGAGGATTTTTTTTTTTTTTTTTTTTGAGACAGAGTCTTGCTGTGTCACCCGGGCTGGACTACAGTGGTGTGATCATGGCTCACTGGGGCTTCAACCTCCCAGGCATAGGTGATCCTCCTGCCTCAGCCTCCTGAGTATCTGGGACCACAGGCATGCACCACCACATCTGGCTAATTCTTGTATGTTTTGGTAGATATGGGATCTCTTGCTATGTTGCCCAGGCTGGTCTTGAACTCCTGGCTCAAGGGATTCTCCTGCCTCAACCTCCCAAAGTGCTAGGATTACAGGTGTGAGTAACCACACCTAGCCCACATGAGGATATTTTAAGCCAAGACCCAACAAAGGTGGAAAAACACACCAGAGAGTGCACAGATGAGTTCCACCAAAAGAAAAATATTTGTAAAAAACTTGGCCAGGCGCAGTAGCTCACACCTGTAATCCCAGCACTTTGGGAGGCCAAGGCAGGCAGATCACCTGAGGTCAGGATTTCAAGACCAGCCTGGCCAACATGGTGAAGCTGCATCTCTACTAAAAATACAAAAATTAGCCAGGTGTGGTGACGGGCGCCTGTAATCCCAGCTACTCGGGAGGCTGAGGCAGGAGAATTGTGTAAACCCAGGAGGTGGAGGTTGCAGTGAGCCGAGATCACGCCATTGCACTCTAGCCCGAGTAACAGTGTGAGAATCCATCTCAAAAAATAAAAATAAAAAATAACAATGAGAAAAATAAAATGAGCCAAATGTTGTGCATTATGAGGAAGGATGGGATACTGGCTTGACTGGGTAAGGAAATGTGAAACCACTGCAAGAATACAAAGATGACACACACACACGTGACAATGAGCAGACAATAGGTTATATCTCTAAGGAGCTATGTCACACAGTGCTTTAAACACAGAGGTGAAATGAAGACAAAAGAAAGATGGAAGTGTGGAGCCCGGGGCAGGTGCTTAGCTCAGTTCAGGCCTGGCACATCCCCTTCCCCATTTTGTCCCTGTCTTGGCTAGACCTGTTTTCTCCTCAGAGGCCCACAGACCAGACCTTTGAGGAATAGAGCAAGATGAAACCTGAAGTTGCTTTCCACCAGACCTCTGGGTGACCCCTGAGTCTTCAGTTGTTCCCCACATTCAAAAGAGGCCACAGCTTCCCTTCACAGAAGCTGGGGGGACAGATGCAGTGATGTCTCCCACACTCTGGATTTCTCAGGACACAGAGCTACCAGGGGTGTGGAGGGGGCATTTCCAGCAAAAAAAAAAGCTGGCATGGAGGGAACAATAGTGTCCCTACTCATTTCCACCTGTCAGTTACAGTCCACACCCACTGCCAGGCGCCCACTGCAAGTCACCCGCCAGCATCCACCTTCCCCTCCAGAGAAAGCCCAAGACTTGGAAAATGTGTTTCACAGAAACCCATCAACCCCGTTCCCAAACTATCTAGAAACCCAACAGAGGTAGGAACCACTGCCAGCATCGGAACTGGAGACAAGGAAGGTGAACGCTGAAGAAAACAAAACTCTCAGCTGTTTTAAGAAAGAACTGGGCTGGGTGCAGTGGCTCATGCCTGTAATCCCAGCACTTTGGGAGGCCGAGAAAGGAGGATCAGTTTGAGTCCAGGAGTTCGAGACCAGCCTGGGCAACATGGTGAAACCCTGTCTGTATAAAAAATTTAAAAATTAGCCAGGTGTGGTGGTGCATGCCTGTAGTCCCAGCTACTCAGGAGGCTGAGATGGGAGGATCACTTGAGCCCAGGAGGTAGAGGCTGCAGTGATCCATGATCACACTACTGTACTCCAGCCTGGTCAACAGAACAAGACCCTATCATAAAAACAAACAAACAAACAAAAACCTAGATGTTGGGAAACCAACAAGATTAGATTCCAACTGTGTCACACTCAGGGAAGCAGTATAGCCACATTCCTCCAGGCCAAAATAGAAACTGATTTCCAGAACGTGCATTTCACTCAATTACTTTCACTGTGGGGGTCGTCCTCTCTCCCTAATGGGCAGCAAGATGTGGCTGAACTTACATCATCTGAGGAAGTTTACGTCATCTCATCCCTGCCTGGTAAGTTCAAGGTTACCAGGAAGTGAGATAAAAATCAACTCCTGACTCCTGGGCGAGTGTCCAAAAGCAATCTACATAAAACCCTTTGGCCGCCCGGAATTCCTCCTGCTCAGACATGCCGGGACATGCAGAGCTCTGCCAACTCCAGCCCCCGCGCCCCCGTTTTGAGCCCCCCGCGCCACCCCGCTAAGGAGAACAACAAACTCGTCCCAGCACCAAAACCCTGAAGCTCCAGGCCAGAAGTAGGGGGGGGTTTCCGCTGATGTGGAGTTTTACATATTAAAAAAGAAAAGTCAAAAGCAGACAAAATCCGCCTTTCCACAGGTGGCCCTGGTCTCCATGGCGACAGCTCATAGCTTGGTGTTGAAAGGACCACGACCCCCATGGCCACATCTGGGGCAGCAGTCCCACCCCGTTGCCTGGCCACGGACCCCATGCCTTAAGCAAGGGGGCCTCATTTTTGGCCCTAAAACAAAGACATGCCATCTTAAGTCCAATTGTTTTGAGACAGAGTCTCGCTCTGTCACCCAGGCTGGAGTGCAGCTGTGCAATCTCAGCTCACTGCAACCTCTGCCTCCCAAGTTCAAGCGATTCTCCAGCCTCAGCCTCCCGAGTAGCTGGGACTACAGGCACTCATCACCATGCCCGGCTAATTTTTGTATTTTTAGTAGAGGCAGGGTTTCACCATGTTGGCCAGGCTGATCTTGAACTCCTGATCTCAGGTGATCCGCCCACCCTGGCCTTCCAAAGTGCTGGGATTACAGGCATGAGCCACTGCGCCTGGCCAAGACATGGCATCTTAAGTCCAATTTTCAGGGCAGGAGGCAAAAGTGGCATCACCCTGGTGGGCGAGTGGGGGTGGGGGGAAAACACTTTTGTTGTTGGCTAAAAAGCCTGCATTTTAACCAAAGGGAATATAAATTACTCTGTGCCCAAACTAGCACTATTTAAAAAAAAAAAAAAAGAGAGAGAGAGAAGAAAGAAAGCAAGAAAGAAAGAAAGCAAGAAAGAAAGAAAGAAAGAAAGAAAGAAAGCCAGCCAGCCAGCCATATCCCAGGGTGGCCCCAGAAAGGGCCAGGCTGTTGAGCACAGTTCAAGGTCGAGGACGCATTGAGAGGCTTTTAAATTTGGTAAAAGCCAGTCTTGGATATAAAATGAATTCTGAAATTCCTTCACCAACGGACAGGAAAGCAGGTGAACATATGGCCCCAGCCGTGGTATCGCAGCTCATGGATTCACCAGACCAAGATTCTCCCTGGGCATCTGGACCTCCCAGGCTGGCCTCCCTGGTCACGGCAGCTGTGTCCCCAGATGCAGGGAGGAAAATGGGAGAAAAAAAAATTTTCACCACTTCCCTCGAATCAACCGGAGCTTTTGTAGAGAAGGAGGAAGAGGAGGTGGGCAGATCAGAATCTCTCTTCCAGATCGGATCCCCAAGCTGAAGAGCTTGTCTTTTCCTGGCCACACCCCAGAGGGTGGATGTCCCCTCGTGGGGTCCCCAGCAGGATGAGGTCTTAGGAGACCTGAGCGTCCCTCAGTGTTTGTGGCAATAGTTGATTTTGCCCTCTGACTGCTCCAGGAGGTCCAACATCTCCTCAATGATGGCTCTCAGTGCCCTGCCCAGCTGGTCCGCGTTGTACGGCTTCCCCAGTGGGGGCACGTGGACGAAGGCTGATCGACCGTGACTCTGGTACAAAGAGGTGTAGTAGGTAAAGTCGCAGAGATATCTAAGCCGCAGGGCGTGGCGGGTAAGAGAGAGACCAAAACGGGGTCAGAGGGGCAATCCGTAGACCAAGGTGACAGCACCCATCCAAATCCAAGGGAAGACCTTACCAGCAACCCACAAGATGGAACAACACTCTCCTCCCTCCCCAGGTTGGCAAAGATGAAAAAAAATCACCAGAGGTGGTGGCACGTGCCTGTAGTCCCAGCTACTCAGGAGGTTGAGGCGGGAGGATTGTTTGAGCCCAGGAGGTCAAGGCTGCAGTGAGCCATGATTGCACCACTGCACTCAGCCTGGGTGAGAGAGTGAGATCCTGTCTCTTTAAAACACACACACACACACACACACACACACACACACAAACAAAAAAAACTTGATAACTCCCAGTGCTGTGGCACATGTGGGGAAATGGGCAGAGTGAGCTATTGCTGGTGGGAAGGCACGCTGGTTGTCCCCGTGTGGAAGGCAATTTGTCAGGCTAGTAAAATTATAATCACCCAGACTTTACAACCTGGTATTTCCATTTTTTGTTTATTGAGACAGGGTCTCACTCTGTCACCCAGTTTGGAGTGCAACCTGGCCTCCAGCGATCCTCCTACCCCACCCTCCTGAGTAGCTGGGACTACAGGTGTGCACCACCACCACTGGCTTTTTTTTTTTTTTTTTTTGAGACAGAGTCTGCTCTGTTGCTCAGGTTGGAGTGCAGTGGCACAATCTCAGCTCAGTGCAACTTCTGCCTCCTCGGCTCAAGTGATTCTCCTGCTTCAGCCTCCCGAGTAGCTGGGATTACGGGCGTGGGCCACACCACGTCTGGCTAATTTTTGTATTTTTAGTAGAGACAGGGTTTCACCATGCTGGCCAGGCTGTTCTGAAACTCCTGACCTGTAGTGATCCGCCTACCTCAGCCTCCCAAAGTGCTGGGATTACAGGTGTGAGCCACCGTGCCTGGCCCTATTTCCAGTTTTTATTTTTATTTATTTATTTTTTTGAGACGGAGTCATACTCTGTCACCCAGGTTGGAGTGGAGTGTTGAGATCTTGGCTCACTCCAACCTTCGCCTCCCGGGTTCAAGCGATTCTCCTGCCTCAGCCTCCCGAGTAGCTGGAATTACAGGTGCCTGCCAGCACATCCGGCTAATTTTTATGTTTTTAGTAGAGACGGGGTTTCACCATGTTGGCTAGGCAGGTCTGGAACGCCTGACCTCGAGTGATTCGCCTGCCTCGGCCTCCCAAAGTGCTGGGATTACAGGCGTGAGCCACCACGCCTGGCCTATTTCCCGTTTTTAGATCTACCCTCAGGAACCATCTGCACAAGGGTACAAGAAAGTACAAACAGGGATGCTCCCCATCGTATTATGTATAAAAGCAGGAAAACAGAAAGCAACCTAAAGCCCACTGACAGGGAGTGGCTTAGTAAACTCTGGTTTATCCACACCATGGAATCCTATGAATCTGTTTACAAGGAATGTGGTACAGCCAGAAAAAAATGGAGAACTCGCCAGATGCATGTTGAACGCTCACAAATGAAAACTAAGGATGAGAATTCTCAGTAAGTGTGACTTTCGCCATGTGACTCCATCCACGTAAAAGCAAAGCAAAACAAGATAAAATCATAAAGCAGCAGGCCAAGTGATGTATATATGTACGGAAACGTGTCAGTCAGTA
This sequence comes from Homo sapiens, assembly GCF_000001405.40. Classification (NCBI taxonomy): domain Eukaryota; kingdom Metazoa; phylum Chordata; class Mammalia; order Primates; family Hominidae; genus Homo; species Homo sapiens. The sequence continues at coordinate 18,361,730 of NC_000019.10, read as the reverse complement.
GGAGCTTCATGGTTTCCGTGTCTGACTTATCAGAGGGACCGCTATGGAAAAAGAGAGGGAATGAGAATTTTTCCCAATTAGACATATGAGGATATGTTCTAGAGTTACCTATGATTAAAAATTAATTTTATAAAGAGACTGATGGAAGCTGGGTATGGTGGCTCACACCTGTAGTCCCAGCACTTTGGGAGGCTGAAGTGGGAGGATCCCTTGACTCCATGAGTTCGAGACCAGCCTGGGCAACATTGCAACACCTTGTCTCTACCAAAAATACAAAAAAATTGGGCTGGGTGGCCGGGCGCGGTGGCTCACGCCTGTAATCCCAGCACTTTGTAAGGCCAAGGCGGGTGGATCACCTGAGGTCAGGAGTTCAAGACCAGCCTGGCCAACATGCTGAAAACCTCATCTCAACTAAAAATACAAAAATTTTCTGGGCATGGTGGCAGGCACCTGTAGTCCCAGCTACTTGGGAGGCTGAGGCAGGAGAATCACTTGAACCTGGGAGGCAGAGGTTGCGGTGAGCTGAGATTCTGCCATTGCACTCCAGCCTGGGCAACAAGAGCGAAACTCTTGTCTTTAAAAAAAAAGAAAGAAAATTGAGCTGGGTGCGGAGGCTCACACCTGTAATTCTAGCACCTTGGGAGGCCAAGGTGGGCATATTGCTTGAGCTCAGAAGTTCAACACCAGCCTGGGCAACATGGTGAAACCCCATCTCTACTAAAAATACAAAAATTAGCTGGGTGTGGTGGTGGGTGCCTGTAATCCCAGCTACTCTGCAGGCTGAGGCAGGAGAATCACTTGACCCGGGAGATGGAGGCTGCAGTGCAACAAGATCGAGCCACTGCACTCCAGCCTGGGTGACAAAGCTAGACGCAGTCTCAAAAAAACTAAAATAAAATAAAATTAGGCCAGGCGCGGTGGCTCATGCCTGTAATCCCAGCACTTTGGGAGGCCGAGGCAGGCGAATCACCTGAGGTCAGGAGTTCGAGACCAGCCTGGCCAACATGATAAAACCCTATCTCTACTAAAAATACAAAAATTAGCTGGGTGTGGTGATGGGCACCTGTAATCCCAGCTACTCAGGAGGCTGAGGCAGGAGAATCGCTTGAACCCGGGAGGTGGAGGTTGCAGCAAGCCAAGATTGTGCCACAATACTGCAGCCTGGCTCCAGCCTGGGCGACAGAGCAAGACTCTGTCTCAAAAAAAATAAAAATAAAAAATAAATTAGCTGGGTTTGGTTGTGCTACCTGGGAGGCTGAGGTGGGAGGATCACCTAAGCCCAAAAAGTCAAGGCTGCAATGAGCTGTGATTTTGCCACTGCACTCTAGCCTGGGATACAGAACGAGATCCTGTCAAAATAAATAAACAACTAAATAACAATTAGTTTTCAATTAAAAAAGAGAAAAAGTTAGCTTTAAAAAGAACTCAGTGGTGTGCGGTGGCTTTTGCCTATAATCCCAGCACTTTGGGAGGCCGAGGCACAAGGATCACTTGAGCCCAGGAATTCAAGACCTGCCTGGGCAATGTAGCAAGATTCTATCTCTACAAAAAATACAAAAATTAGCTGGACGTGGTGGTGTCCATCTGCAGTCCCAGCTACTCGGGAGGCTGAGGCGGGGGATCACTTAATCCCAGGAGATGGAGGCTGCAGTGAGCTGTGATTATACTACTTGACTCCAGCCTATGCAACAGAGCGAGATCCTGTCTCCAAAAACAAAAATCCTGATGGTAAATCCAGGCATTCCTTCCTTCAGCTACTCAACTGCATTGACCAATAGCTGCCTTTGAGTTGGACAAGCGCACAGATTAGGGAAAAGTGAGGAAGCTGGTGCTGGGAGGGTATAACTTGGTCTGGGGAGTTGGAGAGGCCTACAAGTCACAAGGAGGTGACTCGTGTTGGAATTAAGACTGGAAAGAGGGCCAGGCGCGGTGGCTCAGGCCTATAATCCCAGCACTTTGGGAGGCTGAGGTGGGTGGATCACTTGAGGTCGGGAGTTCGAGACCACCCTGGTGTGGCCAATATGGCAAAACCCCGCCTCTACTAAAAATACAAAAGTTAGCTGGGAATGATGGCGCACGCCTGTAATCCCAGCTACTTGGGAGGCTGAGGCAGGAGAATCACTTGAACGTCAGAGGCGGAGGTTGCAGTGAGCCAAGATCGCGCCAATGCACTCCAGCCTGTGCTACAGAGCGAGACTCCATCTCAAAAAAAAAAAAAAAAAGACTGGAAAGAGGTGTTCCCAGAGGAAGGTGTTCTGGGCAGAGGCCATAGGGTGTTCAAAGGCCCTGAGGCTGGAGTGAACTTGGTGTGTTTGAGGAGCAGGAGGAAGCTGGTTCATGTGTCTGGAGTGCAATGGATATGGGGTGAGTAGAGGCAGAGCGGGGTGGAGAGGCGGGCCAAGGGCCAGGGTTGGAATTTTATTCTATGTGCAATGGGAGCCATAGGGAAGGTCTAGGAAAGGAACACATGCATTTATTTATTTAGAGCCAACAGGGTCTTGCTCTGTTGCCCAGACTGAAGTGCAGTGGCGCTATCACAGCTCACTGCAGCCTTGAACTCCAAGCTCAAGGAATCCTCCTGTCTCAGCCTGCTATTTTTTTTACTTGTTCAGATGGGGTCTCCTTATGTTGCCCAGGCTGGTCTTGAACTCCTGGGCTCAAGCGATCCTCCTGCCTTGGCCTCCCGAAGTGCTAGGATTATAGGCATGAGCCACTGCGCCTGGCCCTGATTTAAATTTATAAAAGACCTTTTGCAATAGAATCATCTCCCTCAACATTCGTGTTCACCTGGGACCTCAGAATGTGACCTTATTTGGGCCACGTTTGGTGGCTCATGCCTATAATCCCAGCACTTTGAGAGGCTGAGGAGGGTGGATCACCTGAGATCGGGAGTTCGAGACCAGCCTGACCAACATGGTGAAACCCCATCTCTACTAAAAATACAAAAAATTTGCTGGGTCTGGTGATGCACGCCTGTAATCCCAGCTACTTGGTAGCCTGGAGCAGAAGAATTGTTTGAGCCAGGAGGCGGAGGTTGCAGTGAGCCGAGATGGCGCCATTGCACTCCAGCCTGGGCAACAAGAGCAAAACTCCATCTCAAAAAAAAAAGAATGTCACCTTATTTGGAAAGAGGATCTTTGCAGATGTAATTAGTTAAATTAAGATGAGGTCGGCTGGGCGCAGTGGCTCATGCCTGTAATCCCAGCACTTTGGGAGGCAGAGGTGGGTGCATCACCTGAGGTCGGGAGTTCGAGACCAGCCTGACCAACGTGGAGAAACCCTGTCTCTAATAAAAGTATAAAATTATCCGGGCGTGGTGGTGCATGCCTATAATCCCAGCTACTTGGGAGGCTGGGGCAGGAGAACCGCTTGAACCCAAGAGGTGGAGGTTGCAGTGAGCTGAGATCACGCCATTGCACTCCAGGCTGGGCAACAAGAGCAAAACTCCGTCTCAAAAAAAAAAAAAAAAAAAAAAAAGTCATACTGGATTAGGATGAGTCCTAAATATAATGACTGGTGTCCTAATAAGAAGACCACACGGCCACACACAAAGGGAAGAAAGTGATGTGAGGATAGGGGCGGGGACTGGAGCGATGTGTCTACAAGCCAAGGATGGCCAGCAGCCACCAGCTGCAGGAGAGAGGCCTGGGACAGACTCACCCTCAGCACCTCCAGAAGGAACCAGTCCTGCTACCACCTTGACCTTGGACTTCTGACTTCCAAGGCTGTTAGACAATACATTTCTGTTATATGAAACCACCCAGTTTGTGGGTATTTGTTATAGCAGCTCCAGGAAATTAACACAGAAACTGACTGCTTGGGTTGGGGTGGAGGCAGCAGGGAGGAAGACTGAGATGGAGGCTGGGGCAGTGTCCAGGTGGGAGATGCTGGGGGCCTTGGTGGGGACCGTGATGGTGGGGAGAAGTGGGCAGATCCATGAGTCCCAGGAGCAGAACCAACGGCACCTGCTACGTACAAATACTTGGCTCTGTGCCTAGTATACACTGAGTGCTTGGTCCAAAGAGGCCAAGGTCAACACGCTTGGCTTGTTCTACACCAGGCTCAGTGGGTGGAGGAGGGAAATCCCCACTCACTCCCACCCCACAGGGCCCTACCTGCCGGCATCCTGCGAGATGGTCACCGACACATCCAGGCCCAACGTGGTGACTCGCTTGCACACAGCATCCATGTCGATGATGGAGTCAATGCTTTCAGGCCCGTCCTCCACGCAGCACTGGGAGCCGGGGCAAAAGCGGCAGTTGTCCAGCCCCTTGTAGCCCTTGTTGTGTCCACATTTCTCCAGTGTGACTGTGGTCGCCATGCCTGACACCCCCACATGCACCACCAGCTGCACACAGACAGGGGCAGGACTTAACATGGCCTGCCCGTGGGACTCAGAGGGGTCCCCCTGAGGCCAGGGAAAAGGCAGCATCCTTAATGAGCTCTGCCTGGGGTTGTGTTGTTTCTGACCTCTTGCTGCTAGAATAGACCCTGCAGTCACTCTTGGAAAAAGGTATGCCATGTAAGACAGGCAAGAATTTGAAACATGAAGGGCTGTTCACTGCAGCTGTTCTTGTTATCAAAATCAAATACTGCAAACAAGTTAACTAGCCATCCAGCGGAGTTAGTTCAATAAATAATGAGCTGCTATGCAAGTGTTAAAATGCCAATGCAGTGTTTTTGTTTCTTTGTTGAGATGGAGTCTTGCTCTGTCGCCCAGGCTGGAGTGCAGTGGCGCGATCTCAGCTCACTGCAACCTCCCCTTCCTGGGTTCCAGCGATTCTCTGGCCTCCGCCTCCCAAGTAGCTGGGATTACAGGCATGCGCCACCACACCTGGCTAATTCTGTATTTTTAGTAGAGACAGGGTTTCACCATATTGGCCAGGCTGGGATCAAACTCCTGACCTCCGGTGATCCACCCGCCTCAGCATCCCAAAGTGCTCAGATTACAGGCGTGAGCCACCATGCCTGGTCTTGTTTGTTTTTTTAAGAGACTTGTTCTGTTGCCCAGGCTGGAGTGCAGTGGCATAAAAATCTTGGCTCACTGCAGTCTTAAATTCCTGGGCTCAAGCAATCCTCCTGCCTCAGCCTTCTGAGTAGCTGGGACTATAAGCATGTACCATCATGCCTAATTTTTAAATTTTTTTGTAGAGATGGGATCTCACTATGCTGCCCAGGCTGGTCTCAAACTCCTAGACTCAAGCAATCCTCCTGCCTCGGCCTTCCAAAGTGCTGGGATTACAGGCATGAGCCACTACCCTTGGCCTGGATAGCCCTTTGGGTTTTTTTGTTTTTTTTGAGACAGGTCTTGCTCTGCTGCCCAGGCTGGAGTACAGTGGCACAATCTTGGCTCACCGCAACCTCCGCCTCCCGGGTTCAAGCGATTCTCCTGCCTCAGCCTCCCGAGTAGCTGGAACTACAGGCGCCCACCATCACACCCGGCTAATTTTTTGTATTTTTAGTAGAGACAGGGTTTTGCCATGTTGCCCAGGCTGGTTGCGAACTCCTGAGTATAGGTTATCCACCTGCCTCGGCCTCCCAACGTGCTGGGATTACAGGCATGAGCCACCATGCCCGGCCTGAAAAGCCCTTTTGAGGACAAGGCTGTATGGCATTGGTCACGTGATCTGATCAGGACCAAAGCCACCTAAGTCCTCCACATGAAGGGTGCCAACCTGTAAGTCCTGATGAGGAAGTGCCGCCCCTTGGCACCACTCACCTGTGGACTGTGCTTCTCCCACAGGGCGGGGATGAGTCTCTGGACTGTTTGGTACTCAACCGGAATCTCGTACACATGCAGGTCCACGCTGTCGCCAAGGCCTAGCTTTTCTAGCTCCTGGAAGAGAGGAGAGTGGGAGTGTCATGGCCCCAGATGACAGCTATGGGGATAATGCGCTCTCTGGGGGGTGAAACAAACAGGCGTTCTCCAGACTCATTCTGCAGGATGGCAAGGGTGTGTGTTGATTTAGTTCAAAGCCCCTCATTTCCTTCCCCACCCTCTTGCCTCAAAGTCTCTCTGTATCTCTATGGAAGGTGACATGATTCTATGGTCCCTGGGGTTAAATCCCAGGCTCCTTGGACTCAATCCTGCCTGTGTGACCTTGGGCAATCCACTTAATCTCTCTGAGTCTCAGTTTCCTCATCTGTAAAATGGGAATAACAGAGTATCAGGCTAGGCCTGATGGCTCAGGCCTGTAATCCCAGCACTTTGGGAGGCCAAGGTGGGCGGATCACCTGAGGTCAGGAGTTCGAGACCAGTCTAGCCAACATGGTGTCACCCCATCTCTACTAAAAATACAAGAATTAGCTGGGTGCAGTGGCACACACCTGTAATCTCAGCTACTTAGGAGGCTGAGGCAGGAGAATCACTTGAACCCGGGAGGCAGAGGTTGTAGTGAGCCAAGATCACGTAACTGCACTCCAGCCTGGGCAACAAGAGCGAAACTCCATCTCAAAAAAAAAGGCCAGGTGCGGTGGCTCATGCCTGTAATCCCAGCACTTTGGGAGGCCGAGGCAGGCGGATCACGAGGTCAGGAGATCGAGACCATCCTGGCTAACACAGTGAAACCCCATCTCTACTAAAAATACAAAAAAATTGGCTGGGCGTGGCGGCGTGTGCCTGTAGTCCCAGCTACTGGGGAGGCTGAGGCAGGAGAATGGCATGAACCTGGAAGGCAGAGCTTTCAATGAGCCAAGATTGTGCCACTGCACTCCAGCCTGGGTGACAGAGCAACACTCCGTCTCAAAAAAAAAAAAAAAAAAAAAAAAAGTATCGACTTACCTCACAGGATAGCTTTCAAAATTAAATGTGCTCACTCACGCTAACAGTTCTAAGCACCATGTCTGGCATATTTTAAGTGTTCAAATGACATTGGCTGCCATTATCCTATTACTGTTATTATTTTAGAAATGGGGCTGGGTGCAGTGGCTCATGCCTGTAATCCCAGCACTTTGAGAGGCTGAGGCTGGAAGATCGCTTGAACCCAGGAGTTTGAGACCAGCCTGGGCAACATAGTGAGACCTGGCCTCTACAAAAACTTTAAAAATTAGCTGGGCATGGTGGTGCACACCTGTGGTCCCAGCTATTCAGGAGGCTGAGATGGGAGGATTACCTAAGCCCAGGCGGTTGAGGTTGCAGTGAGCTATGATCGTGCCACTGCGCTCCAGCCTGGGCAGCAGGGTGAGACCCTGTGCCCTGCAACAGAGTCTTTTATTTATTTTATTTTATTTTATTTTGAGACAGAGTCTCACTCTGTCACCCAGGCTGGAATGCAGCGGCGCCACCTCGGCTCACTGCAAGCTCCGCCTCCCGGGTTCATGCCATTCTCCTGCCTCAGCCTCCCGAGTAGCTGGGACTACAGGCACCCACCGCCACACCCGGCTAATTTTTTCTATCTTTAGTGGAGACGGGGTTTCACTGTGTTAGCCAGGATGGTCTCGATCTCCTGACCTCGTGATCTACCTGCCTCTGCCTCCCAAGAGTCTTTTATTTTTTTGAGACAGAGTCTCATTCTGTCACCGAGGCTGGAGCGCAGTGCTATGATCTCGGTTCACTGCAACCTCTGCCTCCTGGGTTCAAGTGACTCTCAAGCCTCAGCCTCCCCAGTAGCTGGGATTACAGACATGCGGGATCACGCCCAGCTAATTTTTGTATTTTTAGTAGAGATGGGGTTTCACCATGTTGGCCAGGCTGGTCTCAAACTCCTGACCTCAAGTGATTCACCTGCCTTGGCCTCCCAAAGTGCTGGGATTACAGGGGTGAGCCACTGTGTCCAATTTGTAAAAAGAAGCCTCTCTAGTATTCACAAAAGCCAAAAGGTAGAAATAGCACAAATGCCCATCAACAGATGGATAAATGAAATATGGTCCATCCATCCGATGGAATACGATTCAGCCATGAAAAGGAAAGAAGCACTGATCCGTGGTACAATGTGGATGAACTTTGAAAACATGATGCTGAGTGAGAGAAGCCAGACACAAAAGGCCACATATTGTATGATTCCATTGATATGAAATGCCCAGAGCAGGCAAATCCATAGAGACAGGAAGCAGACGAGTGGCTGCCAGGGGCTGAGGGAGGGGAATGGAGAATGGCTACTGATGGGGACAGGGTCTCCTTTTCGGGTGATGGAATGTTCTGGAACTAGATAGAGATGATGGTTGCGCAACACAGTGAGTGTACTTAATGCCATGCAATTATATACTTTAAAATGATTAATTTGGCCAGGTACAGTGGCTCATGCCTGTAATCCCAGTGCTTTAGGAGGCCAAGGCAGGAGGATTGCTTTAGCCCAGGAGTTGAAGACCAGCCTGGCCAATACGGCAAAACTCGAAAATACAAATTAGCTGGATGTGGTGGCACATGCCTGCAGTCTCAGCTAATTGGGAGGCTAAGGTGGGAGGATTGCTTGAGCCAGGGAGGGGGAGGCTGCATGCAGTGAGCAAAGATTGCACCACTGCGCTATGGCCTGGGCAACGGGGCAAGGCCTTGTCTCAAAAAAAAAAAAAAATGAACCAGGCCCGGTGGCTCATGCCTGTAATTCCAATACTTTGGGAGGCTGAGGTGGGTGGATCACCTGAGGTCGGGAGTTCAAGATCAACCTGGCCAACGTGGTGAAACCCCGTCTCTACTAAAAAATACAAAAATTAGCCGGGCATGGTGGCAGGTGCCTGTAATCCCAGCTACTCAGGAGGCTGAGGCAGGAGTATGGCTTGAACCTGGGAGGCAGAGATTGCAGTGAGCCGAGATTGTGCCACTGCACTCCAGCCTGGGTGACAAGAGTAGAACTCTGTCTCAAGGAAAAAAAAAAAAGATTCAACCTGTTTCCAAGTAACTCAGCAGTATCCCAGAAAAAGTTGAATAATAGTGAGAGGTGGCTGAGTACGGTGGCTCACGCCTGTAATCTCAGCACTTTGGGAGGCCGAGGCGGGAGGATCACCTGAGGTCAGGAGTTCGAGACTACCCTGGTCAACATGGAAAAACCCTGTCTTTATGAAAAATACAAAAATTATCTGGGCGTGATGGTGCGCACCTGTACTCCCAGCTACTCGGGAGGCTGAGGCATGAGAATGGCTTGAATCTGGGAGGTGGAGGTTGCAGTGCGAGCCCAGATTGTGCCACTGCACTCTAGCCTGGGCGACAGAGCAAGACTCTGTCTCAAAAAAAAAAAGACAATTATATTTTTCAAAGGCCCCACCATCCGTTCCGTCAACAAACCTACACTAATTCCCATCTTCACACCACAGAGGTGACAGGGCACACATCATGTAGACCTGTTTCTTTCTTTCTTTTTTTTTTTTGAGATGGATTATCAAAAATCATTCAGTAGTATGATCTTGTCTTACTGCAACCTCTGCTTCCCGGCCTCAAGAGTTCCTTCTGCCTCATCCTCCCGAGTACTGGGATTACAGTACTCCCGAGTACTGGGAAAACACCCAACTAATTTTTTTTTTTTTTTTTTTTTGAGACGGAGTCTCGCTCTGTCACCCAGGCTGGCGTGCCGCAATCTTGGCTCACTGCAAGCTCCGCCTCCCGGGTTCACGCCATTCTCCTGCCTCAGCCTCCGGAGTAGCTGGGACTACAGGCACCCACCAGCATGCCCGGCTAATTTTTTTGTATTTTTAGTAGAGACGGGGTTTCATCGTGTTAACCAGGATGGTCTCGATCTCCTGACCTCGTGATCCGCCCATCTCGGCCTCCCAAAGTGCTGGGATTACAGGCGTGAGCCACCGCGCCCGGCCAACACCCAACTAATTTTTGTATTTTTAGTAGAGACAGGGTTTCGTCATGTTGGCCAGGATGGTCTTCAATTCCTGAGATCAAGTGATCAGCCCCCCCTTGGCCTCTCAAAGTGCCGGGATTACAGGCATGAGCCACTGCACTCAGCCCCATGCAGACCTGTTTCTAATCTATTATTCACACACCTGAGAAATCCCATAGAATTTTTTCTTTTAGAGATGGGGTCTTGCTACATTGCCCAGGCTGGTCTTGAACTCCTAGACTCAAGCGATCCTCCCACTTTAGCCTTAGTTGAGACTACAGGCATGTACCACCACATCTGGCTTGTTTTTACATCGATTTTATCTTCTTTTTTTTTTTTTTTTTTGAGACGGAGTTTTGCTTTTGTTGCCCAGGCTGGAGTGCAATGGCGGGATTTCGGCTCATCGCAACCTCCACCTCCTGGGTTCAAGTGATTCTCCAGCCTCAGCCTCCCAAGTAGCTGGGATTACAGGCATGCACCACTACGCCTGGCTAATTTTGTACTTTTAGTAGAGACAGGGTTTCTCCATGTTGGTCAGGCTGGTCTCCAACTTCCGACCTCAGGTGATCCGCCTGCCTCAGCCTCCCAAAGTGCTGGGATTACAGGCAAGAGCCATCATGCCTGGCCTGATTTTATCCTTTTTTAAAAATTGCATTGAGACAAAGTCCAACAGCACTTAAAAGTAAAGTTTTGTTTGGTTTTTTTGAGATGGAGTCTCATTCTGTCACCCAGGCTGGAGTGCAGTGGCGCGATCTGAGCTCACTGCAACCTCCACCTTCTGGGTTCAAGTGATTCTCCTGCCTCAGCCTCCCGAGTAGCTGGGATTACAGGCACCATGCCCCGCTTATTTTTGTATTTTTAGTAGAGACGGGGTTTCACCATGTTGGCCAGGATGGTCTCCATCTCCTGACCTCATGATCCGCCCACCTTGGCCTCCCAAAATGCTGGGATTACAGACGTGAGCCACTGTGCCCGGCCAAAAGTAAAGTTTTTAAAAAGATTTACTGCTGCTTTTCCATTCATAGGCAGTAAAAAAGCAATTCTGAGACAGGGTCCAGCTCTGGTCACTGAGGCTGGAGTGCAGTGGCGCCATCAGCGCTCGCTGCAGCCTTGACCTCCAGGGCTCAAGCGATCTTCCTACCTCGGCCTCCCAAAGTGCTGGGATGACAGGCATGAGCCACTGTGCCCAGCCATTGATTTTATCCTGCAACTCTGTTTGCTCCACTCAGCAGTCTATTTCAGAGATCTGTCTACATTACTATACGGAGATCTCAGCGCATCCTTTTCTCTGCTGCATAATACTCCACCTCAGAAACTGGTCGCTATGGATTTAAACATTCCCCTACATTGGAACATCTAAGTGGCTTCTAATTTTCCTTACTGTAAAGCCAAGCTGCAGTGAACGTCCTCATGCAAACTTCTCATGCTGATGGGTGGGGCATAAATGCCAAGTAGGGGCATTGCTGCACTGCAGATCAGTCAATACATACTTGCTATTGAGAGAGATCGTTACACTGAAGCCTGGTTTTCCCACCTCATATTCAATACGTCCCAGAGGAGAAAATTTTACCGTTTATAAATGCGTCTTCCCCTAATCTCCAAGAGGAGACCCACAGAGCTCTTTTCTCTTAAAAACAAATCAACAGGCCGGGTGCAGTGGCTCATGCCTGTAATCCCAGCACTTTGGAAGGTCGAGATGGATAGATCATTTGAGGTCAGGAGTTTCAGACCAGCCTGGCCAACATGGTGAAACCCCGTCTCTACTAAAAATACACAAAAAAATTAGCCAGGCGTGGTGTCGCATGCCTGTAGTCCCAGCTACTCGGGAGGGCGAGGCAGGAGAATCGCTTGAACTTGGGAGGTGGAGGTTGCAGTGAGCCAAGATCACACCACTGCACTCCAGCTAGAGTCTCGCTGTGTCTCAAAACAAACCAACAAACAAAAAACAAATCAGCAGCCAGGCACAGTGGCTCATGCCTGTAATCCCAGCTACTGGGGCGGACCACTTGAGGCCAGGAGTTTGAGGTCAGCCTGGGCAACACAGTGAGACCCCATCTCGAAAAAAGACCAAAAAGCCCCCACACACCAAATGACACGAAAAGCACAGACAATAAAAGAAAAATAATTGATAAACTGGATTTCATCAAAATTAAAAACAAAATGAAAATATTTAAAAGAATGAGTAATCTCTGTTTGGACCAACCTGGAGGGATTTCCCGGCATGACCCGTGGCGAGACTGTGCCACCTTCTGGGCAAGGAAGGAATGGGAGCGGCGATGGGGACGGGAGGGAGACTTCTATGCAAAAAACTCATCGCATGATTTTGACTTTTAAACCATTTCAGTGTTTTACAAAATCAAAAACAATAAAATAAAACAACCCATAGTCCCATATCAACAGATCTGCCTCTTTTCTGTCTTTTCCCTAATGGGCACAAGGTGATGTCTTGAGTCTCATGGGATGTGTTACTTTAAAAATCAACAGGGAAAGCTGTATTCAGAAAAATAGGGTCAGGGGTGGGTGGCTCACACCTGTAATCCCAGCGATTTGGGAGGCTGAGGCAGGAGGATTGCTTGAGGCCAGGAGTTCAAGATCAGCCTGGCCAACATGGCGAAACCCTGTCTCTACTAAAAATACAAAAATTAGCTGAGTCCCAGCTACCCAGGAGGCTGAGGCATGAGAATCACTTGAACCCGGGAGGTGGAGGTTGCAGTGAGCTGAGATTGCACCACTGCCCTCCAGCCTGGATGACAGAGTGAGATTCTGTCTCAAAAACAAAAATAAAAAACAACAAACAAACAAAAAAACAAGAAAGAAAGAAAACCACTGTCAGCATATACACATACCCCAAGACCTGCAGTCACAAGAGAGGTGTTCATGTGTGTGTTTGCCAAGACCCACCTGATGGCAGGGCTCGGTGGCTCACACCTATAATCCCAGCTTCTTTGGGAGGCCGAGGTGGAAGGATCATTTGAGCCCGGAAGTTCAAGACCAGCCAGGGCAATATAGTGAGATCCCATCTCTACAAAAAATAAAATTTAAAAAATTAGCCAGGCATGGTGGTGCATGCCTGTAGTCCCAGCTACTTGGGAGGCTGAGGCAAGAGGATCACCGGAGCCCAGGAGGTCGAGGCTGCAGTGAGCTATGATTGTACCACTGCGCTCCAACCTAGGCAACAGAGCAAGACCCCATCTCAAAACAAAAAAAAAGTTTCTCACCAAAGTGATAGGGAAACTTAAGGTCTGTTCACATTGCCTGATGTAAATTATCACTCAATTTTAAATAGGGTAACGGCAGGGAGCCACCTGCCATACAGTGTATCTGGCACTAGAAGGAAGTGTGTGGCTGGTAATCTGGCTGAAGTCTTAGCCTCTGAACACGCTCTGTTCCAAAAGGGTTGGATGGTTCTCCTCCGGGAGAAGGGGGGCAGGGCACCCCAAGTCCCACATCACTTTGCCAGCAGCACACCCGGCCTCATGCACCATCAAAGCATACACCGTGAAAGGACGGGGCTCGGGCAGACGCCCCATTGTCTACACCCCATCTACCTGACAGGACCCCGCCGCGCAGCCTCGTCTGACCGATTCCCCTGACCCCACGACAAAGACCCTCTTTGTTCCCTGGTAATATCCTTAGCAGGTCTGTCTAGACTCACTGTGGCAGCAATTGTCCCGTGATGTTACCAAGTTCTGTGACCCGGGTCCTCCTCACCCAGCTTTGGCAAGAGACACCCCAGATGGCCCCGAGCCCCGGAGCTCCCCAGCCCTTAACACCCACCTGCACCTCCTCGGAAGAGAAACACAGCCAGTGCCCCAGTCCACCCTGAGAGGTAGGGGAGACGGGACACACGAGACACATGGTGCCTCGTGCTTGGGGTGCTGGGGGAAGCTGCCATCCCAGGAAAGACAAGGGGGGGTCCCCTCTGTACCCCACCAACTCCCACCTCCTGAACACTGCGGGTGGGAAACAGTTCCACCTATGCTGTGGGCATGACTTCACCCAGGGGACAAAGAGAAAGGATCAGAAGAGACGGAGACAGGCCGGGCGCGGTGGCTCATGCCTGTAATCCCAGCACTTTGGGAGGCCAAGGCAGGCGGATCACGAGGTCAGGAGTTCGAGACCAGCCTGACCAATATGGTGAAACCCCGTCTCTACTGAAAATACAAAAATTAGCTGGGCGTGGTGGCGTGCACCTGTAGTCCCAGCTACTTGGGAGGCTGAGACGGGAGAATCACTTGAACTCGGGAGGCAGAGGTTGCAGTGAGCCAAGATGGCACCACTGTACTCCAGCCTGGGTGACAGAGTGAGACCCTGTCTCAAAAAAAAAAAAAAAAGGAGAGACAGAGACAGAGAGATGGAGTCAGAGAGAAACAGAAATGGGGAGAGAGAGAAGGGGAAAGAGACAGATTCAGAGAGAAAGAAACAAGGAGACAGAGACACACACAGGGAGAGAAACTGAGACACACGGAGATTAACAAAGATAGAGAGGAAGAGAGAGAAAGGGGAAGAGATAGTAAGACCCAGAGAGAGAGAGAGACAGGGAGACAGAGAGAAACAGAGAAGGATGGGCATGGAGGTTTATGCCTGTAATCCCAGCACTTTGAGGGGCTAAGACAGGAGGATGGCTTGAGCCCAGGAGTTTGAGACCAGTCTGGGCAACATAGCCAAATCCCATCTCTACAAAAAAAAAAAAAAAAAAGAAAGAAAGAAAGAAAAAAAAATTAGCTGGGTGTGGTGGTGCATGCCTGTAGTCCCAGCTAATGGGGAAGCTGGGGCGGGAGGATCACCTGAGCCCGGGAGGTCAAGGATGAGGTGAGCTGAGATTGCTCACCTCACTCGTTCAATCGACCATTGAACTCCACTCCAGTCTGGACGACAGAGTGAGACCCTGTCTCAAAAAAAAAAGAGAGCGAGAAAGAGAGAAACGGAGAGAGAAAGAAGGGACGAGGTGGGAAGGAACAGAGAAACCCAGAGAGAGAGAGGCAGAAAGAGACGAGAGGGAGAGGAAGAAAGACACAAGAGAGAGAAACAGCCGGGTGCGGTGGCTCACACCTGTAATCCCAGCACTTTGGGAGGCCGAGGTGGGCGAATCACCTGAGGTCGGGAGTTCAAGACCAGCCTGACCAACATGGAGAAACCCTGTCTCTACTAAAAATACAAAATTAGCTGGGCGTGGTGGTACATGCCTGTAATCCCAGCTACTCAGGAGGCTGAGGCAGGAGAATTGCTTGAACCTGGGAGGCGGAGGTTGCGGTGAGCTGAGATTGTGCCATTGCACTACAGCCTGGGCAACAAGAGCGAAACTCTGTCTCAAAAAAAAAAAAAAAAAAAAAAAAGAGAGAAACAGACACACACAGATAGAGAAGGTGAAAGTGACAGAGAGAGAGACAGAAGAGACAGAGAGATGAAGAGAGACACAGATATGAACAGATAGAAGAAAGGAAAGAGACAGAGAGAGACCCAGAGGGAGCAAGAGGGGAGAGACACAGAGAAGTACTTAGGGGGTCCCTGAAGGATGAGGAGCTTCCGAAAAATCGGTCACGGCAGGAAGCAATTGCCACCCACAGTGCAGAACAAAACACCCATCTTTGGGTGGAGGTGACGCCTGGCAACAGTTGCCTGCATTACACCAACAACACTCCAGGGCACATTTTTTGGAGGAATGGATTCAACCCATCCAGCAGTGACACCTTTCTAACAGGCAAATCCAGGACAGGAAGGAACCAAGCAGCAACTCCAGGGGCGGTTCTCGCAGAGGTGTGGCACCTGGAAGCTGCTTGTTCCTGCCAACTTCTGGAACAGGCAAAATTCACCTACTGGCGCAAAAAAGTCTGCAGAGGTTTACATCGGGAGGGCTTGGGAGTACTTGGGGGAGAGGCTATGTGGGGCTTCTGTGAAGAATGCGAGGAAGAACCAGAGAATGTTCGAGATCTTGACCTGGCCCTTGGGGGTGCACATATGTAAAATTTCTTTTTTTTTTTTGAGACAGAGTCTCGCTTTGTCACCCAGGCTGGAGTGCAGTGGCACAATCTCGGCTTACTGCAACCTCTGCCTCCTGGGTTCAAGTGATTTCTGGCTAATTTTTGTATTTTTAGTAGAGACAGGGTTTCACCATATTGGTCAGGCTGGTCTTGACTCCTGACCTCAAGCGATCTGCCCGCCTCAGCCTTCCAAAGCGCTAGGATTACAGGCGTGAGCCGCTGTGCCTGGCCAAATTTCTTTTCTTTTTTTTTTTTTTTTTTTTGAGATAGGGTCTAGCTCTGTCACCTGGGCTAGAGTGCAGTGATACTATGAGGGCTCACTGCAGCCTCTACCTCCCCAGGCTTAGGTGATCCTCCCATATTAGCCTCCCGAGTAGCTGGGACTACAGGCATGCGCCACCACTCCCGGCTGTTTGTATTTTTTTTTTTTTAGAGATGGGGTCTTGCTATGTTGGCCAGGATAGTCTCGAACTCCTTGCCTCAGCCTCCCAAAGTGCTGGGATTACAAGCGTGAGCCATCATATCAGGCCTAAAATTTCACTAATGAGTGTTCTGGGTGTATATATGTTAAACTTTGTTTTGTTTTGTTTAAGTGAAACAATCAGATCTAAGAAGGTTGGCATCTTTTTGGCAGGCGAATGGTGGGGAATCTTGTGTCCTAAACTTTGGGAAGAAAGTGAAAAGTGGGGCTGGGCGCAGTGACTCACGCCTGTAATCCCAGCACTTTGGGAGGCCGAGGCGGGCGGATCCCCTGAGGTCAGGAGTTCAAGACCAGCCTGGTCAACATGGCAAAACCTCGTCTGTACTAAAAATACAAAAATTAGCCGGGCCTGGTGGTGCGCAGCTGTAATCCCAGCTACTAAGGGAGGCTGAGGCAGGAGAATCGCTTGAACCCAGGAGGCGGAAGTTGAAGTGAGCTGATACCGTGACATTGCACTCCAGTCTGGGCAACAAGAACGAAACTGTGTCTCCAGAAAAAAAAGAAAGCAAAAAGTGGAAACTGCAGGTCTGGAGAGAGGAGAACCAAGGAGAAGGGCTATTTCCTCTCTGGCCACAAGATAAAAAGCTGCCATCCTTCACCATCCGAGAAGCCCCGAAGCTCGGAGGGATTTCCAAAGATTGTTTAATTGATTTTTCTTCTATTTAGATGTAGATCAGTGTCTGGGGCCCAGGAATTCAGACACCCGGCTTTGTGTCCACTCAGCCCCGTGAAGGCTCCTGTCTGAAATGTGCACAAAGCCTGACACACAAGTCTTCAGAAACATGCTGTTTCTTTTTGTCTGGCTCTCCGGGGAGCGGGTGAGCAGGCAGGGCCTCGGGCACGCTCCCATCTGCAGGGTCCCGGGACCCCGTCCCTCCATCCCGTTCACGAAGTGGGCAGGAAAGAAAAAAAAAAAAGGGAAACAGCCAAAACTTTGAGGTCTGAAGTTGGGGATGAGGGGGTGATTAAAAAATGGGGGGTACAGCTGGGGACTGCCACGCTGAGGTTTCAACTTAGATTTTTCTCCAAATCTAGGATTCTGGAATGGGAACAGAGGTTACTTTAAATCAGGCAGCTCATAGGCTAGGATAAACAGGGGTTTGGCTCTGGTCTCTGCCGATCTGATTTATATAACGAGAAAACACTTCCGTCTTTCTCTCTGTGCATTGCTCCCCAGCCTGTCCCTACAAAATACTCCATCTGGAAAAGAAACTAGAAAGGTTTTGCAGACTGGCATCTTCTTCAGGGCACCAGGAATGACAGCCCCCCTCGGCCCCTAATATGCCATCTTTTCCTCCCCCAGCTGCGAGGAGATGACAGCGAGGCTCACTGTACCCCTTCCTACAAGGTCAAGATATGTTCCCCTGCCACCCCACCCCACATATTCCTGCCTGGTCCTTCCTGAACCATGAATTACCTGCCTAAAACATACCAGAGAATTCTCACTTTGGCTGTTCAGAAACCAACCTGAGTCACGATTTGTCTGAGTCAATGGAAAAGATTTTTAAAAAGGAGGGAGATCCTGGCCGGGGGTAGTGGCTCACACCTGTAATCCCAGCACTTTGGGAGGCCGAGGTGGGTGGATCACCTGAAGTCAGGAGTTTGAGACCAGTCTGGCCATCATGGTGAAACCCCATCTCTACTAAAAATAGAAAAAAGTAGCCAGGCGTGGTAGCAGGTGCCTGTAATCCCAGCTACTCTGGAGGCTGAGGCAGGAGAATCGCTTGAACCCAGAAGGCAAGGTTGCAGTGAGCCAAGATCGCGCCACTGCACTCCAGCCTGGGCAACAGAGTGAGATTTCGTCTCAAAAAAAAAAAAAAAAAAAAAAGAGGGAGATCCTAGAGTTGGATAATTCCTAGGTAAAGTAGACGCCAGCACCACATAAACAGCTGTGTCCTGGAAACCAGCTACGTTTATATCCACACCTGGCCCTCCAGACCCAGATCTGTAGCCGCTGGCCAGGGCCTGGGGCACTTCTGAGGCAATGCCACTCCCATTTCTTGGCTGTGTGACCTCGGAGAACTCCCTTCATCCCTCCTCTGGGCCTCAGTTTCCTATTCTGTTAAGTGGGCACAAGAATAACTACACGTACTATGCATGGGTTGTTGGGAGGATTCAGAGCGCTGGGGTACAAACACTCAACAGATGTGTGCTCCGGTGGTTACCATCCAGGAAGAGATGTGGATCCGACATCGTTTTTTAAGAGCTGGCTGGGCGTAGTGGCTCACGCCTGTAATTCCAGCATTTTAAGAGGCTGAGGCAGGAGGATTACTTGAGGTCAGGAGTTCGAGACCAGCCTGGCCAACATGGTGAAACCCCGACTCTACTAAAAATACAAAAATTAGCCGGGCGTGGTGGCAGCCACCTATAATCTCTGCCACTCTGGAGGCTGAGGTGGGAGAATCGCTTAAACCCAGGAGGCGAAGGTTGCAGTGGGCTGAGATTGTGCCATTGCATTCCAGCCTGGGTGACAGAGTAAGATTTCGTCTCAAAAAAAAAAAAAAGTTTTTGTTAAAAGGGGACCTTCTTGGATGCCATAACTTTCTGGGGTGTGCCCAGCTCCAAGCCTGACTCCCACCCTCCGGATCTAAGTTACCTGAACTGCAATCCAACTGGCGTTCACGGTGTGTTCCCCAAAAGGGCCAAATCCTGAAAAAACAGGAAAAGCAATATATTACCCAAGAGTGGCCCTTCCCAGTCTGCCCCTGGCCTGGCCGCTACTCCCACCTGGAGAAGCAAGAAAGGAGCTTCAGGGCGCAGCTGCCAAGGACAACATTGGGGGCCTGGTCCTGAGTTCTGGGAGCACCTGGAGGCCCGTCAGAGCCGCCGTCCTGCACCTGTCCGCTCTGAAGTCAATGAGTCCCTTCCTGTCTTCACCTCCACCTGCCCCTCATGCTCAGCCAGGGGCCAGAGGTATCTTCTGCCTCCGAAAAGGTCCTGATCCTGTCTTCACTTCCTCTGGTCCCCTTGACTCAACCTACAATTATTGTGTCACTGTCCCAAAATGCCCTGAATCGGCACCAAATGAGGAATGAGCCCTCCAGGCTGTCTAGATTTCACCTTGTCACCCTCCTCCCTGCTAGCTCAAACTCCAGGCCCCCTTTCCAAAACACGACAGTCGCCCAAGGCTGTGCTAAGTGATCTTCCTGGCATTAAGCCTGGCCACATCCCCTTTCAGGCAAGGGTGTTTCCTAGGCCCAGTTTCCAGGAGCAGGGACTGAGGCACAGAGAGGTGAAGCTAGCTGCCCAAGGTCACACAGCAAGAAGGTGAAAAAGCTGGGATTCAAATCCAGATCTGGGGCTGGGTGCGGTGGCTCATGCCTGTAATTCCAGCACTTTGGGAGGCCAAGGCGGGCGGATCACCTGAGGTCAGAAGTTTGAGACCAGCCTGGCCAACATGGTGAAACCCCGTTTCTACTAAAAATACAAAAAATTAACCAGATGGGGTGATGCGTGCCCGTAATTCCAGCTACTCAGGAGGCTGAGGCAGGAGAATCGCTTGAACCCAGGAGGCGAAGGTTGCAGTGAGCCGAGATCGCGCCGTTGTGCTCCAGCTTGGGCAACAAGAGCAAAACTCCGTCTCAAAAAAAAAAAAATACGGTCCATCTGGGCCAGTGATCCCACAGGATATGAATGCTATGCAGAGATGCTGTAGCCTGGGATAGCAGGTAGGGGCTGTGGCTCAGGAGGGGACCTCCTAACTCTATCCTTCTGTACAGCCAAAGTTTGAGTCTCAGCTCAGCCCCTTACAAACTGGATGACCTCTGTGAGCCTCAGTTTCCCTTTCTGCAAAATGGAGACAGTAAAGATGTAATCAGCTCATGCAAAAAGTGCTGGAATAAATAACCAGATAAAGGAAGGCTGGAAGGGATGGGGGCAGTGACCCTCCTCCCAATTATACACACCTGTTAAGCAGGTGCCTTGTTTCTTCCTTCTTCCCTGAATCTCCTGGATCAGCCTCAATCTCCCTTCAACAGCCACAAAACACCTGTGTGCACCTTTGCTGGATTTCCCACTCTGACCCCTCCAGACAGCAGGTCAAAATGACCCCCCCACTCCTTGACTCTGAGGCCCCAGCGGAAGTTGGCGCCCCACGTGGCCCCGAGGCGGAGTCTCAGGGAGGAGAAACAGTTGGTTTGGGGGTGGGGGGGAGTCGGTGACAGCAGGGGCCCTGACTCACCAACAAACAGCCCTGGCACAAAACACAAAAAGGTTTCCGCTGAAGACAGTCCCTGGGACAGCTGGGAGAGCCCGAGGTCCCCGGACCCCCACCTGCCCCTGCCTTGGGAGAGTAGCCCCCCAGGAGCGCAGGGCGCGGCGAGCAGTGACTGGGAGGTTCATTTGTCACTGGGACACTTCCTGCCCGCAAATCGGCCTTTGTCCCCTGGGGCCAGGGGTTGGGGGAGCGGTGTGGGGACAGGCTGGACCTCGGAAGGGGCAGGGAGGAAGGGTCCAGTCCAGCCCGCAGGCCAGACAGAGGAGGCAGGTGCCAGGAGGGTCACCATCCCCACCTTGGGAGGAAAGGACGCCAGGGGGGCCTGCGCAGCGCCGGGCTTTTGCCCGGCCCCCCAAGCCCCGCGCCCGACTGCCCTGACTCCCGACCCTGGGACCCCCAAGGCTCCTCCTCCTCCACTTTCCAGGAAGCCTGGGCTGCGCGGGGCTCCCGCGGGTGATGACACCTTCCAAATCTGAGAGGACTTCCAGCACCTGCCCCTCTCGGCCCCGCAGTCCCGGAGCCGCCCCCGCCTCTGCCCCCGGCCGCTGCCGCTACAGCCCCCATCAGCCAGCGTACCCGTCACTACCACCGCCTTCCTCGGCTGCTCCATGGCGGGATCGGGCTGTGCCTCGGACCTGCTTCTGTTGCGACTGGCGCGACAGCTGCTGCCGCTGCAGCCTCTCGGCCGCGCGAGGCCACGCCCCTGTCAAGCCCCCGGCCTCGCCCCCGGTCAGCCGCTCGGCGTGCGCGCCCCCGGGCCCGAGACGCAGCGTGCGCGCCCTGCGCCCCGCCCCCGTCGGCTAGGCCCGGTATTCCCCAGCCTCCGTTTCCCCGTCTGCAAAATGGGAACATCTTATGCCGTAGTGTGTAGCCGCTTGCACGCACTGAGCCAGGTGCTGGGGATGAGCCGGTCCTTTATTCTGCAAGGGTTCATTGAGGGCCTGCCCTATGCATGCATACTGCGCAGAATTAGGGAGGGAAGTCCCCGCGAGCAAGGCCCGTTTTCCAGATAAGGAAACTGAGGCACAGAATGCCACTTCCCCGAGGTCACTCGCCTCAAGGGGTCACAGGAGCAGCATTCAGGCCAGGAAGTTGGCGGGGGTGGGGGAGGACAGAGTAAAAAAGGAAAAACACGACAACCATATTTGTGTGGTGCCAGAAGTTTCTCTGCAGGCCCCCATGGTCCTAGGAGGCTAATGGGGGAGGGCGATTGTACCTGCTGTTCCCTCTGCCGGAACACACCCCGCAGGTACCTGCGAAGCTGGCCTCCTTCAGGCCTCAGCTCCAGTGTTCCAATGTCGCCTCCTCCCAGGGGCCCTCCTCCTGTCCTGGCTGTCACCTCCTCCGAGGGGTGAACTGTCACTTTCTCCTTGTGGCCTTCTCTGGCTATCACCTCCCTGCTATCCTATTACCTCCTCTGAGGGTTCCTTCTGGCCCTCCTTGGCTGAAATGACCTCACTGCTACCCCCCAGTGGTTCCATCTCATTCCCTGGTTCCATCCTCTTCATAGCAATAAAGCTCAGAAATAATTTCCTTTCTCTCTCTTTTTTTTGGAGACAGGGTCTCACTCTGTTACCCAGGCTGGAGTGCAGTGGCAAAATCATAGCTCTGTAACTTTGACCTCCAGGGCTCAACTGATCCTCACATCTCAGCCTCCTGAGTAGCTGGGACTACAGGTGTGTGGCACCACACCCAGCTAATTTTTGTATTTTTGTAGAGATGGGGGTTTCATAGTGTTGCACAGGCTGGTCTCGAACTCCCGAGCTCAAGCAATCCGCACACCTTGGCCTCCCAAAAGTGCTGGGATTACAGGTGTAAACCAGCACACCTGGCCAGAAATCATTTTTAATTTTTTTTAGCTTTTAAGTTTTGGGGTACATGTGCAGGTTTGTTATATAGATAAACTCGTGTCATGGGGTTTGTTGTACAGATTATTTAGTCCCCCAGGTATTATTAAGCAGAAATTATATATGTATTTATTTATTTGAGACGTAGTTTCACTCTTGTCACCCAGGCTGGAGTGCAGTGGTGTGATCTTGGCTCACTGCAACCTCTGCCTCCCGGGTTCAAGCAATTCTCCCACCTCAGCCTCCCAAGTAGCTGGGATTACAGGCGAGTGCCGCCATACCCAGCTAATTTTGTATTTTTAGTAGAGAGGGAGGTTCACCATGTTGGCCAGGCTGGTCTCGAACTCCTGACTTCAGGTGATCCACCCTTTTCAGCTCCCAAAGTGCTGGGATTACAGGCGTGAACCACTGCCTCCGGCCCCCTCCCCAGGTATTATTAAGCAGAAATCATTTAGTATGGTCACAGCCTCTCTGGTTGGCTTCCCGTTTCCTCCGACATAGAGATGAGAACTTCTAGAGGAGGAAGCGTTGTTCTGTTAGAGCTGCGTCTCAACACCCAGCACATCCCCAGGCACATTCTGCCAACATTCATCAGAGACCAGAATTCCTCTAAAAACAGGTAGAAAATGAAAGCTGAGTTTCTGGCCACATCTTCAGAAACAGGACTGGACCTTGGACTTGGGTCACGAATTTTTTTTTTTTTTTTTTTTTTAGACAGGATCTTGTTCTTTTGCCCAGGCTGGAGAGCAATGGAGCGATCACAGCTCACTGCAGCCTTAATCTCCAAGGCTAAAGCAATTCTTCCACCTCAGCCTCCCGAGTAGCTGGGACTACAGGCGCGTGCTGCCATGCCCGGCTAATTTTTATATTTTTTGTAGGGACGAGGTCTTGCTATGTTGCCTGTTTGGGTTGGTCTTGAAATCCTGGGCTCAAGCAATCCTCCTGCCTCAGCCTCCTAAAGTGCTGGGATAACAGGCATGAGCCAGAACTCCTGACTGTGTGGTTCACTGATAGCCCGTTCCACTTTGACTTTGCCATCATTCGCCAAGACACTATGGTTTTTTGTTTGTTTGTTTGAGACAGAGTCTCACTCTGTCGCCCAGGCTGGGGTGCAATAGCACGATCTAGGCTCACTACAACCTCCGGCCCCTGGGTTCAAGCGATTCTCCTGCCTCAGCCTCCTGAATAGCTGGGACTACCAGCACCTGCCACCGTGCCCGGCTAATTTTTGCATTTTTAGTAGGGATGGGGTTTCACCATGTTGGCCAGGCTGGTCTTGAACTCCTGACATCAGGTGATCTGCCTGCCTTGGCCTCCCAAAGTGCTGAGATTACAGACATGAGCCACCGTGCCCAGCTGGTACTATGGTGTTTACTGGCTCCACCCCCGAATTCCTCCAACACCAAGGGCAGAGTTCTCTAGACTGCCCCTGAGCCCTGTTTGGAAGCCCACACCCCAGGTCACACGCTCAGTGGCTATTTTGGTCTTTAGCAGCTTCAGGTAGAATGCAGAACATCAGAGAGCTGTCTGAGCTGGCCAGGGAATGAGGTCCAAGCCAAGAGGGAGAAAAGAGCAGATCAAAACACTAACCTGGCCAGGCGCAGTGGCTCACGCCTGTAATCCCAGCACTTTGGGAGGCCGAGGCAGGCGGATCACTTGAGGTCAGGAATTCGAGACCAGCCTGGCCAACATGGTGAAACCCTGTCTCTACTAAAAATGCAAAAAACTAGCAGTGAGTGGTGGCGCGTGCCTGTAGTCCCAGCTACTGGGGAGGCTGAGCCAGGAGAATCACTTGAACCCAGGAGGCGGAAGTTGCAGTGAGCTGAGATCGTGCCACTGCACTCCAGCCTAAGCGACAGAGCGAGACTCCGTCTCAGAAAAAAACAAAACAAAACAAAAAAACCACTCACCCAAAGGCAGGTTTTATAACCTGAATATGTCATACGTGCCTGGTGTGGAGTATGTGCGTTGCTAGAAGAGGGAAGGCGAGAGGGAAGTGACAGTGGATTTTAGTTTCCTCAATTGCAATGGGAGGAACGAAAACATGTAGAGTCAGCAGTGATGGGGAGAAACTGAGTCATGCCCCACTGCCCCAGTGACTGGCGTAAAGGCTAATGTTCACTCGTAGCCCTAATCATGTTTGGGCCATATTTTTGTTTTTTGAGATATGATCTTGCTTTGTCTCACAGACTGGAGCACAGTGGCACAGTCACAGCTCACTGCAGCTTCCACCCCCTGGGGTCAAGCCATCCTCCCACCCCAGCCTCCCAAGTAACTGGGACTACAGGCATGTGCCACCATGCCCAACTTGGAGGAACTTTTTTTTTTGAGACTGTCACCCAGGCCGGAGTGCAGTGGCACGATCTTGGCTCACTGCAGCCTCTGTCTCCCAGGTTCAAGTCATTCTTCTGCCTCAGCCTCCCAAATAGCTGGGACTACAGGTGCACGCCACCATGCTTGGCTAATTTTTGTATTCTTAGTAGAGATGGGGTTTCTCCATGTTGGCTAGGCTGGTCTCAAACTCCTGACCTCAAGTGATCTGCCCGCCTCGGCCGGGGTTGGGGGGCAGTGGTTTGTAGTAACATGTACATAACATAAAATTTACCATCTTAAGCATACCCTTGGGTAGCATTAAGTACGTTCACATTGTTGTGGAACCATTACCACCATCCATCTCCAGAACTTGTTCTTCCCAAACAAGCTCCATACCTATTAAACGCTCCCTCCCTATTCCCCTCCCTCAGCCCCTAGCACCCAACATTCCACTTTCTGTCTCTATGAATTGGATGACTGTGGCTGGGTGTGGTGGCCCATGCCTATAATCCCAGCACTTTGGGAGGCTGAGGCAGGTGGATTGCTTGAGGCCAGGAGTTCAAGACCAGCCTGGCCAACATGGGAAAACCCTGTCTCTTAAAAATACAAAAATATTAGCCAGGCATGGTGGTGAAACGGGAAAGGTTCCCTTGTTCCCCTCGCAGGGTGGGCGATGGGGGTGTGGCTTGCTTCTGAAGTGCTCCTCTACTCAGACCTCTAGGGGAGCATATAGATGGGCAGGCTGTGGGACTCTGACCCCACAGCAGTGTCCGGGGTGAATGTTTACAGCTCCTGAAGCCCCAGGGGGCGTGTGTTACAGGTTGCTTTTTTTAGTTTGCCATCTATAGGCAGCTTACCAGCTCAGTTAGATCCTCTACCTTGTCACAAGGACAGAGGGATTTCTTTTCTTTTTTTCTTTTCTTTTCTTTTTTTTTTTTTTTGAGACAGACTCTCGCTCTGTCCCCTAGGCTGGAGTGCAGTGGCTTGATCTTGGTTCACTGCCATCTCCGCCTCCCGGGTTCAAAGTGATTCTCCTGCCTCAGCCTCCCAGGTAGCTAGGACTACAGGTGACCGCACCCTTACCTGGCTAATTTTTTTTATTTTTAGTAGATATGGGGTTTCACCATGTTGGCCAGGCTGGTCTCAAACTCCTGACCTTGAGTGATACACCCACCTAGGCCTCCCAAAGTCCTGGGATTACAGGCATGAGCCACTGCGCCCAGCCCAGACAGAGGGATTTTAGTATCCTGGGGTTTCTTGCCTTGGTGTACCAGAAGAATGAGATCACACCTGGGCTTGGAGAATGAGTATGAAGTTTTATTGAGTGGAAGTAGCCCTCAGTAGATGGGGGAGCGAGAAGGGAGATGGTCTTTCTCTGGAGTTGGGTCGCTAGGCGGCCCCAGCTCTCCTCTGACTGCCCAGGCCAAACTCAGCCTAGTTCCACTGGTCGACTACCCGCCTGCATGCCAGTGTGCCCTTCCGCGAGCGTGCTCCCTCGACGTCCTCTCGCTGTCCAGCCACTTGTATCTTCTTCCATGGATGTGTACGTCAAGACGTCCAGCAGCTTGTGTGTCTGCCCGCTAGGGTCTCGGGTTTTTATAGGCACAGGATGGGGGCGTGGCGGGCCAGTGTGGTCCTGGAAAATGCAATATTTGGGCACGAAGGCGGGAGTGCGGATCCTCACCTAGGTCTCTGGGGGTGGAGCCCTAGCCAGGGACCAGGCCCTCCTTTACCCCGCACTTCCCTTCCCTATCATTTAAAGGCACCACGCTCCCCCCATCCCAGCACTCCCGTATCAGTGGCACATGCCTGTGATTCCAGCTACTTTGGAGGCTGAGGCAGGAGAATCGCTTGAATTCAGGCGGCAAAGATTGCAGTGAGCCAAGATCGCACCACTCCGCTCCAGCCTGAGCGACGGAGCGAGACTCTGTCTCAATGAATAAATAAATAGGCCACACGCGGTGGCTCACGCCTGTAATCCCAGCACTTTGGGAGGCCGAGGCGGGCGGATCACGAGATCAGGAGATCAACACCATCCTGGCTAACACGGTGAAACCCTGTCTCTACTAAAAATACAAAAAATTAGCAGGGCATGGTGGCGGGCACCTGTAGTCCCAGCTACTCAGGAGACTGAGGCAGGAGAATGGCGTGAACCCGGGAGGCGGAGCTTGCAGTGAGCCGAGATCACGCCACTGCACTCCAGCCTGGGAGACAGAGCGAGACTCCATCTCAATAAAATAAAATAAAATAATAAAAATAAATAAATAATAAAATAAATGGCCGGGCACGGTGGCTCACACCTGTAATCTCACCACTTTGGGAGGCCAAGGCGGGTGGATCATTTGAAGTCAGGAGTTCAAGACCAGCCCGGCAAACATGGTGAAACCCTATCTCTACTAAAAATACAAAAATCAGCCAGACATGGTGGTGCATGCCTGTAATCCTAGCTACTCAGGAGGCTGAGGCAGGAGAATCGCTTGAATCTGGGAGGTGGAGGTTGCAGTGAGCCGAGATCGCACCACTGAACTCCAGCGTGGGCAACGGAGCGAGAGTCTGTCTCAAAAAAACAAACAAACAAAAAACAATGCTGTGAAGCCTGACGCAGAGGCTCATGCCTGTAATCCAGCAGTCCCCAATCTTTTTGGCACCAAGGACTGGTTTTATGGAAGACAATTTTTCCATGCACTTGGGGGTTGGGGGGGATGAAGATGTTTTCAGGATGAAACTGTTCCACCTCAGATCATCAGGCATTAGATTATCATAAGGAGTGCACAATCTAGATCCCTCACATGTGCAGTTCACAATAGGGTTCACACTCCTATGAGAATCTAATGCTGCTGCTGCTGGTCTGGCAGAAGGCGGAGCTCAGGAGATACTGGGGAGTGATGGGTACTGGCTGTAAATACAGATGAAGCTTCACTGGTTTGCCCGCTGCTCACCTACTGCTGTGCGGCCTGGTTCCTAACAGGCCACAGACTGGTACCAGTCCTTAGCCCAGGGGTTGGGGACCCCTGCTGTAATCCCAGCGCTTTGGGAAGGTGAGGTGGGAGGATTGCTTGAGGCCAGGAGTGTGAGACCAGCCAGAGCAACAGAGCAATACCTATCTAAAAAAAAACCAAACAAACAAAAAAATGCTAAATAGAGCAAAACCTGCCAAGCTGGATGTTGGTTTGCAAAACAAGCTGCATTTTTTAAATGTATCTCTTTTTTTTTCTAGAGAGAATCTTGCTCAGTCACCCAGGCCGGAGTGCAGTGGTGCAATCTTGGCTCACCCCACCTCCCAGGTATAAGCAATTCTTGTGCCTCAGCCTCCGGAGTAGGTGGGGCCACAGGCGCAGGTCATCATGCCCGGCTAATTTTTTTTTTTTTTTTTGTATTTTTGTAGAGACAGAGTTTCACCGCCTGGCTAATTTTTTTTTTTTTGGTATTTTTGTAGAGACAGAGTTTCACCGTACTGGTCTGGAATTCCTGACCTCAAGTGATCCGCCTGCCTCAGCCTCCCAAAGTGCTGGGATTACAGGCATAAGCCACTCGCCCAGCCTAAAATTTATCTTTTTTAGAGACAGGGTCTCACTCTGTCGACCAGGCTGGAGTGCAGTGGCTAGTCACAGGCATGATCCCGCTACGGATCAGCACTGGAGTTTTGACCATCTCCGTTTCCAACCTAGGCTGGTTCACCCCTCCTTGGGCAACCTGGTGGTTCCCTGCTCCGGGAGGTCACCATATTGATGCCAGACTTAATGTGGACACCCAATCAGCACAGTGCGCTACAGCCCACAACTCCTGGGCTCGTGTGATCCTCCTGCCTCAGCCTCCCGAGTAGTTGGGATCACGGATGTGTATCGCTGCGCTGGGCAGAAGCTACATTTTTCTCTAGCCTCCCACCTCCACAACCCAGGGAAGTTTGGGGAGCTTCTGAGGACTAAGGCCACCCTGAACCCAAGCCCTAGGGAGCCAGGTGGGGGAAGGCAGGACTCATGGACTCTGCACCGGCGCTCAGATCCTGCCCCTGGGGGCTCCAAGCCTCTCTGGGCTTTGCCAGTTGCTAATAGGAGTGGCCTTGGAAGGGAGGGAGATTTGGAGCTCATGGGGACGACACGGCTCTGCGTTAGGGCTCTGTCCTTTTGGCTCTGTCAGAGTAAACCAAGCCCAGTTTGAGGACTGCAGGGGGCCTCATGGCCATGGTAGGGAGAGAGATGTCTGGGCAGACATGCATTCTTTGTTGTTGTTGTTGTTGTTGTTTTTTAAACACAGTCTCGTTCTT
This sequence comes from Homo sapiens, assembly GCF_000001405.40. Lineage (NCBI taxonomy): Eukaryota > Metazoa > Chordata > Mammalia > Primates > Hominidae > Homo > Homo sapiens. The sequence goes on along the minus strand of NC_000019.10, from coordinate 18,332,867 downwards.
GTCACCCAGGCTGGAGTGCAATGGCACGATCTCGGCTCATTGCAACCTCTGCCTCCCAGGTTGAAGCAATTGTCCTGCCTCAGCCTCCCGAGTAGTTGAGATTACAGTTGTCTGCCACTACGCCTGGTTACTTTTTTGTATTTTCAGTAGAGACAGGGTTTTGCCATGTTGGCCAGGCTGGTTTCAAACTCTTGACCTCAGGTGATCCACCTGCCTTGGCCTCCCAAAGTGCTGGGATTACAGGCATGAGCCACCGTGGCTGGCCCAGACATGCATTCTTAAAGGATGAATGTGTCCTTTTTCTCCAGGCGGTGTCTGGAGATAGTGAAGCCTTTGGGGAGCTCAGGCTAGAAGACAAGGCTCATACTTGGGAGGTGGAGGCAGGAGGATGAGTTGAGTCCAGGAATTCAAGACCAGGCTGTGCAACCCTATCTCTACAAAAAATTTTAAAATCACCCGAAGGTGGTAGCGAGCTCATCAGGTCCCAGGTTCTCAGGAGGCTGAAACAGGAGGATCACTTGAGTCCAGGAGTTCAATGCTGCAGTGAGCTATTATCCTTTTATTTATTTTTTTTTTTTGAGATGGAGTCTCACTCTGTTGCCCAGGCTGGAGTGCAGTCGTGTGATCTTGGCTCTCTACAACCTCCACCTCCCAGGTTCAAGTGACTCTCCTGCCTCAGCCTCCCAAGTAGCAGGGATTACATGCACGCGCCATCACACTTAGCTAATTTTTGTATTTTTAGCAGAGATGGGGTTTCACCATGTTGGCTAGGCTAGTCTCGAACTCTTGGCCTCAAGTGATCTGCCCACCTCAGCCTCCCAAAGTGCTGGGATTACAGGTGTGAGCCACCGCACCTGGCCTGAGCTACCATCTTGCCACTGCACTCCAGCCTGGGCAACAGAGTGAGACCCTGTCTCAAACAACAACAACAAAAAGACTAGGCCCACAGATGTGCTTTTGGTGGTCAGCCACTGCCCATGGCCCCTGCTCCCACATCCAGCCCTGGCCCGCCCCTTGGAGGGTATATTTACTGCTCCACTCCCCACTCCTGCCTCTCCCTCTTTTCGCCTGGAGTAGTTTGAACGTTGAGGCTGGGTCTTCTTTCCCTTTAGTCTGTGCCAGCACACAGTAGGTGCACAATTAATGCGCGGGGGCAGAGATGTGTGCAGGATGAAGGGGGGCTGGATCCAGCAGTCTCCGTGCCCATCTAAGGAACTTCTACCAGGCCACTGGGCGTAGGTGGACAGTGGAGGAAGTTTCAAGACCCCACTTGAGGGGGTCTTTCTGAGACTCTGTCTTAAAAAAAAAAAAAAAAGAAAGAAAGACCCCATGGCTGGGTGCAGTGGCTCACGCCTGTAATCCCAGCACTTTGGGAGGCTGAGGCAGGTGGATCACCTGAGGTCGGGAGTTCAAGACCAGCCTGACCAACATGAAGAAACCCGGTCTCTACTAAAAATACAAAATTACCCGGGCGTGGTGACACATGCCTGTAATCTCAGCTACTCAGGAGGTTGAGGCAGGAGAATTGCTTGAACCCAGGAGGCAGAAGTTGCAGTGAGCTGAGATCACGCCACTGCACTCCAGCCTGGGCAACAAGAGCGAAACTCCGTCTCAAAATAGTAAAAACAAAAACAAAAACAAAACAAAACAAAACAAAACCCATTTGAGGAATCTCTGCTTCTTCTGACTCTGGGATATGAAGGCGGCCAAGGACAGGGGCAAATGAACCTCTGTTCTTTGGTTGCCTGCACCCCAGGAATGCACTGGGCAAGGTACAAATGATATTTTGTTTCAGCTCAGGTGGCCATGGATCAGGAAGGGCCTGATCCATGTGAGGCTCCTGGTTCCCCGGATGGGAGAGGGTCACTGCCTTGACCAGCGAAGCGCAACCCAGGAGGGTGTCTGCGTTTCCTTTTTTTTTTTTTTTGGAGACGGAGTTTCACTCTTGTTGCCCAGGCTGGAGTGCACTGGCGCGATCTCAGCTCTTTACAACCTCCACCTCCTGGACTCCAGCGATTCTTCTGCCTCAGCCTCCCAAACAGCTGGGATTGCAGGTGATCACCACCATGCCCAGCTAATTTTTGTATTTTTAGTAGAGATGGGGTTTCACCATGTGGACCAGGATGGTCTTGATCTCTTGATCTCGTGATCCGCCCGCCTTGGCCTCCCAAAGTGCTGGGATTACAGGCGTGAGCCACCTCGCCTGGCCCAGCTAATTTTTTTTAAAAAAACCTGCTATTTACTTATTTACTTTTAAGATGGAGTCTCACTCTGTTGCCCCGGCTGGAGTGCAATGGCGTGATCTCAGCTCACTGCAACCTCTACCTCCCAGGTTCAAGCGATTTTCATGCCTCAGCCCCCCAAGTAGCTGGGATTACAGGCACACGCCACCATGGCTGGCTAGTTTTTGTACCTTTAGTAGAGACGGGGTCTTGCCATGTTGGGCTAGGCTGGTTTTGAATTCCTGACCTTAAGTGATCCACCCGCCTTGGCCTCCCAAAGTGTTGGGATTACAGGTGTGAGGCACTGCGCCCAGCAAAATATTGCTCTTTTAGAATTGGCGATATTGCTGTGAGGCCCTGGCATGGTGGTTCCCTTCACCCGAAAGACTTCCTTAGTAGAAATGTTCAGAAATGGATTGCTGAGCTGAAGGGTGTGATACTTTTATAGCTTTTGAGATATAATACCAACTTTTTTCCCATTTAAAAGGAAACACATGTTTGCCAGTTTCATCACAACCTTGCCAGTACTGGCTTTTATGCTGTTCTTTTTTTTTTAGTAGTGGGTAGGGTATTTTTGTTAGTTGGAGACGTACATTGATCTAGACTTCTTAGGTTTCTGCTGGAAGAAATACAATTTTTTTTTTTTTGAGACAGAGTTTTGCTCTTGTTGCCCAGGCTGGAGTGCAATGGCATGATCTCGGCTGACTGCAACCTCTGCCTCCTGGGTTCAAGTGATTCTCCTGACTCAGCCTCCTGAGTAGCTGGGATTACGGGCACCCACCACCACGCCTGGCTAATTTTTGTATTTTTAGTAGAGACAGGGTTTTGCCATGTTGGCCAGGCTGGTCTCGAACTCCTGACCTCAGGTGATCCACCCGCCTTGGCATCCCAAATTGCTGGGATTACAGGTGTGAGCCACTGTGCCCGGTCAGAAATATAATTTAAGCTGGATCCAGAATAGGATTTTGGTTAGTGGAATACGGAAGAATGAAGATTTATGAAGCATCAGATACAGCTGGGCTCAGGCTTAGACACGGCCATGACTCTGCAGTGAAGAAATGGCCATGGCTATACCTGACTGTGATCGCCGATCACTCCAGCTCTGCAATCCCAAAACCATCCCAAGGAAGATTTTTTTTTTTTTTTTCATAGGATCTCGCTCTGTCACCCAGGGTAGAGTGCAGTAGCATGATCATGGCTCACTGCAGCCTCGAAATCCCAAGCTCAAGCCATCTTCCCATCTCAGCCTCCCAAGTAGTTGGAATTACAGGCACGTGCCACCACGCCCAGCTAATTCTTCTTAAGTTTTTTTTGGAGAGATGAGGTCTCGCTATGTTCCCCAGGCTGGTCTCGAACTCCTGGGCTCAGGTGATCCACCGGCCGGCCTCCCAAAGTGCTGGGATTACAGGCATCAGCCACCATGCTCAGCCAGCCAGGGAAGCCTTCTGATTGCCCCAGCCTGGGTCATGCATTCATGATGATAGGGGAGGGTAAACTGTCCTGAACAGCCCCAAATAGAGCCCCAGGAAACCTCTTAGGTCCTTGCTCCTACAAGTCAAAGTTGAGAGGGCTGAAACAAGCAATTACAACATGGCATAAACCAGGCAATGATGGAAATCAGTGGAGGGTACTAAAGTTCAAAGTATAAGAGAAGGAATGATTAGCTTTTGAGCAAGGCAGCTAAGGAAGAGTTCACAGAGCAGATATGCATTAGTACTGGCTCTTTTGCCAGGGACAGACTGCAAATTCCAAGTGGATGAAGCAATTAAAAAAAACTTCTTGGGCTCATTTAAGCTCATCATAGCTGTGGCTTCAACTATAGCTGGATCCAGGGGCTCAAACCATACTTCCCTTTCCACCGAGTACCTCCGTTGTCTTGTGTCTGCTGGATTATTTCTGCAGAAAGCTTCTTCCAGAGGACAGAGCCTAAGGGGTGCTGGACTTTCCCTTTAACTCCCCAGGAACCAGCTCTTCTCCCTCCCAGCCCTCGGTATCCTTCCCAGGGGAGAATCTCATTGGCCTTGGTAAATTCCGTGCTCTTTCTTTAACCAATCCCTGTAGCCAGGGGGATGGGGAACGCTGATTGGCCACCCTTACTGTTGAAAGGGCAAACAAAAAAACTGCAGTAACCACTGGCTGCCACAAGGGGACACCGAAGCAGAGGTTTCAACGATGAATAGGAGTTTGCAAGTTGTGCAAAAAAAGAAAGACTGCATGTAGAAAAGTCTAGAAAAGTCAGAAAGGATGACCCAGCATGCGGTTTGCTGCTACCTTCATCGCCATGTTGATGCTGGGACACCTCATAGACCCTGTTTCTTTCCTTTTTTTTTTTATGATGGAGTCTCACTTTGTCACCCAGGCTGGAGTGCAGTGGCACCATCTCGGTTCACTACAAACTGCGCCTTCCGGCCTTAAGTGATTCTCTTGCCTCAGCCTCCCAAGTAGCTGGGACTACAGCCGCAGGCCACTGCACCCAGCTAATCTTTTTTTTTTTTTTTTTGAGACAGAGTCTCGCTCTGTCACCCAGGCTGGAGTACAATGGTGCGATCTCAGCTCATTGCAACCTCCGCCTCCCGGGTTCAAGCGATTCTCCTGCCTCAGCCTCCTGAGTAGCTGGGATTACAGGCGCCCGCCAACACGCCTGGCTAATTTTTGTATTTTTAGTACAGACAGGGTTTCACCATTTTGGCCAGGCTGGTCTTGAACTCCTGACCTCAGGTGATCCACCTGCCTCGGCCTCCCAAAGTGCTGGGATTACAGGCGTAAGCCACCGCGCCAGCCTAATTTTTGTATTTTCAGTAGAGATGGGGTTTCGCCATATTTTCTTTTCTTTTTCTTTTTCTTTTTTTTTTTTTTTTTGAGATGGGGTCTTGCTCTGTTGCCTAGGCTGGAGTGCGGTGGTGCAATCTGGTCTCACTGCAGCCTCCACCTCCCTAGTTCAAGCAATTCTCCCACCTCAGCCTCCTGAGTAGCTGGGATTACAGGCGCACCACCACACCCAGCTAATTTTTGTATTTTTTTTTTTTTTCAGTAGAGACAGGGTTTCCACCATGTTGGCCAGGCTGGTCCTGAACCTGAACTTTCCTGAACTTTCGGCCTCCCAAAGTGCTGGGATTACAGGCATGAGCCACCATGCCTGGCCTATTTTAAAATTTTTAGTAGAGACGTAGGTCTTATTATGTTGCCCAGTCTGGTCTGGAACTTCTGGCTCAAGTGATCTCCTCCCACCTCGGCGTCCCAAAGTGCTGGGATTATACGTGTGAGCCACTGCGCCTGGCCTGGCTTCCTCTTATAAGGCTCCCTGGGCTTTCTCAGACCTCCAGAGTCCACTCCACCTGGATGTGGTGCCAGTCAGAAGGATCAGGGAATTGGGATTTCGAACTGCTGGGCTCAAACGATCATCCTGCCTCGGCCTCCTGAGTAGCTGGGACTACAGGCGTGCTCCGCCATGCCCAGCAGGAAAATCTTTGAGAAGTTGAACAAGGGTTCCCCAGTTCAGCTCTGAGAGGCATAGGGTCCTTTCAGCCAGAAGTTCCTCACCCTGGACTTGGTAAGAAAAGGCTCTCAGGGCAGTGCTGAGACTCAGGAGGCTGGGATACAAGGAGTCACTTTATGAGGTCCCCTATTGCTCATTTGTAGGCCTGAAAGTCAAGGCATGTGGCCAGGGGATGGAACCTTTGATTGGCACCTAGATAAGCCTCTTCTAGGAATTCAGGTTATAGTCCTGCTTGCAAGTGTATGTAACTATAGGCATGTCATTGGCCGGGCACAGTGGTTCACTCCTGCAATCCCAGCGCTTTGGGAGGCCGAGGCAGGTGGATCACCCGAGGTCAGGAGTTTGAGACCAGCCTGGCCAACATGGTGAAACCCCGTCTCTACTAAAAATACAAAAATTAGCTGTGTGTGGTGGTGCACACCTGTAATCCCAGCTACTTGGGAGGCTGAGGCAGGAGAATCGCTTGAACCCAGGAGGTGGAGGTTGCAGTGAGCCGAGATCGCGCCACTGTACTCCAGCCTGAGTGACAGAATGAGACTCTGTTTCAAAAAAAAAAAAAAAAAAAAACTATAGGCATGTCACTGTGGAGAAGTAAACTACTCAAATAAATGCCTATGTTTAAAGCTACCACAGCTGATACTTGATGTAATGAGTAGTAGCCCCTAAAAATATATATCCCAGCTGGGCATGGTGGCTCATGCCTATAATCCTGGCACTTTGGGAGGCCAAGGTGGGAGGATCTCTTGAGCCCAGGAGTTGGAGGCTAGCACGGTGAGGGCAGGGCAACAAGCAGACCCCCATCTCTACAAAATGAATAAATAAATAAATTAAATTAATAAATAAGCTGGGCGTGGCGGTGACACCTGTGTGCAGTCTCAGCTACTCAGAGGCTGAGATGGGAGGATCACTTGACCCCAGGAAGTTGCGGATGCAATAAGCCATATGGCACCACTATACTCCAACCTGGGCAAGAGGGACGCAGTCGTAAAAAAATTTACACACACACACACACACGTATATCCAAATCCTAACCTGCTGGTAGCTGTGAATGTGACTGTAATTGAAATAGGGTCTTTGCAACTTGATATACAGTGAGGTTCATTTGTTTGTTTCCATTTTTAGGGATTTCTTTTGATTTTTCCTTTTGACTTTTATTTTTAATTATGCTTCCAAAGTTGAAACTAGACAATAAGGTACACTGAAAGAAGTCTGGCTTTCATTCTTATGATTTCATCTTGTTCCCTTATTCTCCCAGGTTACTTTTTTTTTTTTTTTTTTTTTTTTGAGATGGAGTCTTGCTCTGTCACCCAGGCTGGAGTGCAATGGCATGCACTGTAACCTCCTCCTAACCGGGTTCAAGTGATTCTCCTGCCTCAGCCTTCTGAGTAGCTGGGACTACAGGCACGCGCCACCACGCCCAGATAATTTTTGTATTTTTATAGAGATGGGGTTTTACCATGTTGGCCAGGCTGGTCTCGAACTCATGACCTCAGGTGATCCACCTGCCTCAGCCTCCCAAAATGCTGGGATTAAAGTGTGAGACACCGTGCCTGGCCTATATTTTGGTTCATGCTTCTTTTGTTTGTTTGTTTTGAGACAGTGTGTTGCTCTGTCACCCAGGCTGGAGTGCAGAGGCAGGATCACAGCTTACTGCAACCTCTGCCTCCTAGGCTCAAGCAGTTCTCCCTGCTCAGCCTCCTGAGTAGCTGAGACTTCATGCACAGTCACCACACTTGGCTACTTGTTTGCATTTTTTGTAGATTCAGGGTTTTGCTGCTGTATTTCCCAGGCTGGTCTGGAACTCCTGGGCTCAAGTGGTCCAGCCACCTCAGCCTCTCAGAGTGCTGGGATTACAGGCATGGGCCACCGCTCCTGGCCTGGTTCGTACTTTTTACGTTTCTTTTTTTTTTTTTTTTTGAGACAGAGTCTCACTCTGTCGCCCAGGCTGCAGTGCAGTGGCACGTTCTCGGCTCACTGCAACCTCTACCTCCCGGGGTCAAGCAATTCTCCTGCCTCAGCCCCCAGAGTAGCTGGGATTACAGGTGCCCGCCACCATGCCCAGATAATTTTTTTGTATTTTTAGTAGAGATGGGGTTTCACCATATTGGCCAGGCTGGTCTCAAACTCCTGACCTCAGGTGATCTGCCCACCGCGGCCTCCCAAAGTGCTGCAATTACAGGCATGAGCCACTGAGCCTGGCCTTTATGTTTCTTATTAAAAATATAAGCAAATTTGGTTCACGTGCTTGGTGTGGTTAAAAAAAAAAAATATATATATATATATATATACACACACACATGCAAATATATATACACATACACATGCATGTATTTCTCTTTTTGCACACAAAAGAGGACATATTGTAAAAACTGTTCTCTACCTTGGTTTTTTTCACTTAAGATATCCAGACACCATTCAATGTCAGTATATGAAGATTGTCTTCATTCCTTTTTATAGCTGTATTACTCTATTATTTGGTCGCATTGGGTTTTTTTCAGTCTTTTGATATTATGAATAATGTCAATAAATAGCATCAGTCATTTAAAAACGAGGCTGGGCGTGGTGACTCATGCCTGTAATCCCAGCACTTTGGGAGGCCAAGGTGGAAGGATCACCTGAGGTCAGGAGTTCGAGGCCACCTCCTGGCCAACATGGCAAAACCCCGTCTCTGCTAAAAATACAAAAATTAGCTGGGCATTGTGGCATGTGCCTGTAATCCTAGCCACTCGGGTGGCTGAGGCAGAAGAATCCCTTGAACCCAGGAGGGAGGGGTTGCAGTGAGCTGAGATCGCACCACTGCACTGCAGCCTGGGTGATAGAATGAGACTCCATCTCAAAAAAAAAAGAACAGGGTCTTCGCAGATGTAATTAAGGATCTTGAGATGACATTATCCTGAAATTTATGGTGGACTTAATAAGAGAAAGGAGTGTCCTTTACAAGAAAAAGGAGCGGCCGGGCTCGGTGGCTCACGCCTGTAATCCCAGCACTTTGGGAGGCAGAGGAGGGAGGATTGCTTGACCCCAGGAGTTCGAGACCAGCCTGGACAACATAGGGAGACCCTGTCTCTACTACAAAAAAAAAAAAGAAAAAAAAAAGGAGAGATACATTTGAGACTCAGAGACACACAGAGAAGGCCAAGTGACGACAAAGGCAGAACGCGGAAGGCTGCATCTACAAGCCAAGAACTCCAAGGATTCCCAGCAGCCACCAGAACCCAGGAGAGAGGCATAGGACACACAGATTGTCCTCAGAGCCTCCAGAGGGAGCCAACTGTGCTGACAACCTCACTTCATTATTCTGATCTCTTGAATTGTGAGAAAATCACGTTCTGTTGTTTTAAACCTCGCAGTGTGTGGGCATTTGTTACAGCAGGCCCCAGAAAACTAATAGCATTCGCCTATTTACTTTGTTTACTGTCTGTCTCCCTGAGGGCCACGAATTTTGTGTTTTGTTCATTCTGTGAGCAGAAACAGGCACAGAGTAGGTAATAAGTACTTAATATGTGCCAGACGCTGTTTTAAGTGCTTTTACATGGTTTCATTCATTTCATCCTTACAGTAAGCAACGTTTTGGAGCAGACACTACTATTTACAGGGAGCAAACTGAGGCCCCGAGGGTCGTGGTCAGGATTCCAACCTATTAAATGATGTTCCCTGGATAATTACAGAATCAGAAAACTAGGAGTCGGAAGGGCAACATCAGGCACGGCCCAATCACCACGAAGCCTCGATTTCTCTCTCTCTACTGCAAACGAAAGGCATTAACTGGCTTTGCCCACAGCGTGGAGCCCAGGAGACCGACGAAGGTTTCACCTGCGCACGCATTTCCTCACAATGCACCCCGCGCCGGCGCGCGTTGCTCCGCCTCCTTTTGCATTACAAGCCGCGGCACTTTACGGCTCTCGTCCTCGTTCCTCCGGCGGGAACACGGCCCGCCCCGCCCTTTCGCCCAGCGGGCCCCGCCCTACTCCGCGTGGATTGGTTGACCGCCCTTCGAGCCCGGTGCTGACTGGCTTGCGTCTCTGCCACTTTCTTTCAGCTTAGTGGCGCGCGGCGCGGCGACGACCGCCGGGAGCGTGTGCAGCGGCGGCGGCGGAAGTGGCCGGCGAGCCCGGTCCCCGCCGGCACCATGGTGAGGGCAGGGCAACTGCGGGGTCTCACCGGGAGGCGGGAACAGCAGTCGTTGGGATCCCTGCGGGCGGGCGCTGTGGGCTTGGTTGGCGCGGGGCGAACGTAAGGTCCGAGCCTCGAGTCCCGCCCCCCGGCACGAGGCTGGGAAACTGAGGCCGGAGACTGCAGGTGGCTCTATCACGTTCGTGTCTGGGATTTAGGGTTGCACGGACTTGTATCCACAGTACAGTGGCCTCGCCTTAGTTAGTTTTCCCAGTTTGCAGGTGGGGAAACTGAAGTAAAAAAAAAAAAGGTGGGGATCCGCCAAATGCAGCAGAGAGTTTTTGGGCAGGGAAGGGGTCCCTTACGCTTCGGGCCCAGTCTGACCTCCCTGATTGAAAACTAGAGTGCTGGGAAGTAGGGGGCCAGTCTGAGTTGTGAAACTTAGTTTTAGGAATTTCAGAGCTTGCAAGATGCTAGCAGCACAGCCTCCTAGGCCTCTTGGTTTCTGGCTGAAAAGCAGGCCTGGTGCTGGGGTGTGGTGTTTCTCCTTGGGTCACATAGCATGTCATTCCAGCGGAAGGGGGCGTTTTGAGCTAGGGGTGGACAAAGTACATCCTCCCAATACAAAGAAGGAAAAATTGCGGCCCAGGTCTCTGCAGGGCCCATTGTTTATGATTCTGGAAGTTCTGGATCTGGGCTAGAAAGTGCCCGTGTCCCCCACTGTGCAGATCGGAAAAGGAATTCAGAGCTGGGAGTTTCCTGGCCCATCAGCTTCTGGTCCTTCTTTTTTCAATGAGAGAAACCAAGGCCCTTGTTGGGGATGTGACTTCCAGACTCTGTGAGACAGTGGGAGATTCAGTAACCAGGAGGGTCCCCCAGGGGTGGCTGCATCAGAACTGTGGATTAGTGAGAACTCTCCCTAAATCCGGCTGGTCAGTGTGTAACCACCCAATGGGTTCACCTTGCCTGTCTTCCTAGACAGATTTATCAAGACAGGGGAATTGCAGTGGAGAAAGAGTATTTCACACAGAGCCAGCTATGCAGGAGACCAGAGTTTTATTATTGCTCAAATCAGTCTCCGCTGAGCATTAGGGGATCCGAGTTTTGAAAGATAATTTGGCGGGTAGGGGCTCAGGAAGTGGGGAGTGCTGATTGGTTGGAGCTTCCTGAGGTCGATGGAGTCATCGACGGGAGTGTTGAAGTGAGGTTTTCTTGCTGTCTTCTGTTCCTGGGTGGGATCGCAGGACTGGTTGAGCCAGATTACTGGTCTGGGTAGTGTCAGCTGATCCGTCAAGTACGGGGTCTGCAAAATATCTCAAGCACTGATCTTAGATTTTATAATAGTGATGTTATCCCAAGGAGCAATTTGGGGAGTTTCAGACTCTTGCAGCCAGAGGCTGAAGTTACCTAAATGGTAATTTCTAATCTTGTAGCTTATTTGTTAGTCCTACAAAGGCAGACTGGTCCCCAGGCAAGAAGAGGGTCTTTTCGGGAAAGGGCTATTACCAATTTTGTTCCAGAGTCAAACTATAAACTAAATCCCTTCCCAAGGTTAGTTTGGCCTATACCTAGGAATAAGCAAAGATGGCGTAAAGGTTAGAAGCACAATGGAGTCGGTTAGGTCTGATCTCTTTTCACTGTCATAATTTCCCGCTACAATTTTTGCAAAGGCGATTTCAAGTGCAAGGATTCAGAGAGCCTGTCCCTCTCTGCGGTGTACTTAGAGGGCAGAGTTGGCATGTAAGACTGGGCAGAGCTGGAAGGATCCATCCCTGTGTTAAGTTTTGTGGGAGCAGGATCTTCGTTTTTCTTCCGACTAGATTCCCAGTATGTAGAACGGTGCGTGGGCAAAGTGTGAACTCATTCATTCAGCCCCTTCCCACCTTCTGAACATCCAGAGTCCTGGCTGTCCAGCTGTTTCCTGGAGGAGTAGCCGAGAATGGACAAGCCATCACAGGATACACACTTCCAGTTCCCTGTCGTCAGGGCAGGGCCAGAAGGAGTGGCCTAGGTTAGCAGCGGGGATGGGCAGTCCTGGACAGCTTCCTGAATTAGGAGGCACTGGGTTTAGGTCCTCGTGGATCTAGACCTGAGAACCAGATTCCAGATGCTCCAAGAAAGCCCAGAGAAAGGAATTCTCTTTTCTGAATTTTCTTGTGACCTTCCATAAACCAGGGTGGGGCCTCTCCTATCACACTTGGCACTTTTTTTCTTTTTCTATTTCATTTTATTTATTTTTTTGAGACAGAGTCTTGTTCTGTCGCCCAGGCTGAAGTGCAGTGGTGTAATCTCAGCTCACTGCAACCTCCACCTCTCCGAGAGTGATTCTCCTACCTCAGCCTCCCAAGTAGCTGTGATTACAGGCACGCACCACCACACCTGGATAATTTTTGTATTTTCAGTAGAGATCAGGTTTCACTATGTTGGCCAGGCTAGTCTTGAACCCCTGAGCTCAGGTGATCCACCCACCTCGGCCTCTCAAAGTGCTGGGATTACAGGCGTGAGCCACTGCACTCTAGACTTTTTTTGTTTTTCAGAGCTGAGATCTCACTCTCATCCAGGCTGGAGTGCAGTGGCACAATCACTACAGCCTCAACCTCACTGGCCCGTGATCCTCCCACCTGACCTCAGCCTCCCAAGTAGCTGGGACCACAGGCATGCATCACTAAACCTGGCTAATTTCTAGATTTTTTGTAGAGACAGAATCTTTTGTGTTGCCCAAGCTGGTCTCATACTCCTGGGCTCAAGCGATCCTCCCACCTCAGTCTCCCAAAGTGCTGTGATTGCAGGCACAAGCCACTGTGCCCAGCCTCACCTGGCACTTTGATGTATCTTCTTTTAAGATTTTGAGGATCCACCCCTTCCTCTGACCTCTCTCCAACAGAGTTTGGAGATGAGGATGTAGGAGAAATCAAGATATATGGTCACAGGCCCAGGCCATTGCAGCCTGGGAGGGCCTGGGAGTCAGGCAGCTCCCTGTCCCGCAGCCACTCCTTCCCTTACCTGTGGGGTGGGGCGAGTGTTCTGCCTTCCCTGCATGCCTCCCTGGGTAGTGTGTGCATTTTTCTTGTGTATTTATTCAGCAAATATTTACCGAGTCCCTCTCATGTGCCTGGCCTTGTGCTTGGCCCTGGACAAAGTCCACACCCACTTTGAGTGTTCCAGTCTAGCGAGGGACACAGGTAATAAACAAGGTAATTAAAGACTGGCTGCATCCTATGATGGAAACAAACACCCATGAGGCAGAGGGTGGCCATTAAAAGGGCCTGGCCAAAGGAGGTGACGTTTCAGCAGCCTGGGGAAGGTCACCCCAGGCAGAGGCAATAGCAGAAGCAAAGGTCAGGTGGCAGGAATGGGTGTGGCGGCCAGTGTGGCAGAGCCTGTCTGCCTTGACTCTATAGCGGGCCTGAGGAGTGTTGTGAGAGTGGGTCTGCACCAACCCTATTTGGGTTTTTTGTTGTTGTTGTTGTTGTTTTTGAGATGAAGTGTCACTGTCACCCAGGCTGGAGTGCAGTGGCACAATCTCAGCTCACTGCAGCCTCTGCCTCCTGGGTTCAAGCGATTCTTCTGCCTCAGCCTCCCAAGTAGCTGGGACTACAGGTGTGCGCCACCATGCTTGGCTAATTTTTGTATTTTTAGTAGAGATGGGGTTTCACCATATTGGCCAGGCTGGTCTCGAACTCCTGACCTCGTGATCCGCCCACCTTGGCCTCCCAAAGTGCTGGGATTACAGGCATGAGCCACGGCGCCTAGCCAGTCTTTCTTTTGTTTTGTTTTTTTGTTTTTTGTTTTTTTTTGAAACAGTCTCGCTCTGTTGCCCAGGCTGGAGTGCAGTGGCGCAATCTTGGCTCACTGCAACCTCTGCCTCCTGGTTTCAAGCGATTCTCCTGCCTCAGCCTCCTGAGTAGCTGGGATTACAGTTGCCTACCACCACGCCCAGCTAATTTTTGTATTTTAGTAGAGGTGGGGTTTTGCCATGTTGGCCAGGCTGGTCTGGAACTCCTGACCTCAGGTGATCTGCCCGCCTCAGCCTCCCAAAGTGCCGAGATTACAGGCGAGAGCCTCCGTGGCCATCCCACCAGCTCTCTTTGTTTCTCAGATGTTCTTTCTGCTGCTTTTTGGATGGGACTGCAAGTGACAGGCAAGGAGGCCGTGGGTCCTCCCAGGCTGTGCTATTGGTCGCTGAGACCAGGTGGTGGCCCAAGAGGGTCTGTCACTGGCATGGAAGGTGTGTCTACAAGCTACCTGCCTCTGGGCAGCTTTGCCAGGGCCTTGCTGGATGTCCCTGGGCAGGTCACTTCTGCTGTGGGCGCTGGCGCCTCCTCTGCAGAATGAGAGGTGGGCCTTTAAGGGCTAGCCTGACCTCTGCGCCTTCCCTGGTGATCCAGGAGGAGGTCCAAGGTCCCGTTCCTGTTACGGACTAGAGAAAGAAAACAGGCTTGCTGAGGAAAACCCACGGCTTCTTCACAGTAAAGGGCGACCTGGGCATGAGACCCGTGTGCCAGTCTGTGGCTCCTGTGTTTTCTCTGTGGCTGGTGGCACCCAGTCAGATGCACACCCAGCCGCCCGCAGCCCTCCTCCCCTGCCTCTCCTAGCAGCTGCCCCGGGGCCACATGGCCCTTTCTTCCCCCTTATCTGGCTCTTCCAGGAAGCCGGTGCAGGAAGTGGGCTTGGGCCTGGCTTCCTGCTGGCACCAACCTCCCCTGGGCAGCTCTTCTCAGGAAGGGGCTGTGGGATGTAGGATTCCCTCCCCAACCCCTTCCTTTCATTGGGGAGCCACCCGGCCAGGGTTGAGGGCCATTTCCGGCCTCCACAGGGAGAGGCCTTCAAGTTCACACCACCTGGAAAAGCAGCCACACTGTGGATTAGGGTGGTGGCCAGGGCAGGACTCCCAGCAAAGGCATCTGGGGTCAGGGCCACCTGGAATTCCAGTCACCAGGACAGGGCTAGGTGAAGCCTGTGTCCCATGAGGCACTGTCTTGTCAGGGCCCCTTGGTGCTGGGGCCTTCCTCATGGCAGTACTAGAACGGGCATGTTATAGGACCCCGCACCCAGGCACAGCTCTGCGTTACCCGAGGCAGCTCCCAGCGTACGGGTTGAGTTTTCTGTTTCCAAAATGAAAGTGTTGATTTCCCCCCCAGTAATAGAAATACTACATATTTGACATAATAAAGAAATTCAGTAATGATGGAAAAAAACATCTTGAAACCAGGCGTGGTGGTGCATACCTATAATTCCAGCTACTTGGGAGCTTGAGATGGGAGGATTCCCTGAGGCCAAGAGTTCAAAACCAGCTTGGGCAA
This sequence comes from Homo sapiens, assembly GCF_000001405.40. Taxonomy (NCBI): domain Eukaryota; kingdom Metazoa; phylum Chordata; class Mammalia; order Primates; family Hominidae; genus Homo; species Homo sapiens. The sequence continues at coordinate 18,317,733 of NC_000019.10, read as the reverse complement.
TATAGTAAAAGCCTGTCACCATCAAAAAAAAAAATCTTGAAAGTTCACCTTACCTGGTGACTTCCTGTCTTTGAAAACCCAGTTCAGGGCCGGGTGCGGTGGCTCACGCCTGTAATCCCAGCACTTTGAGAGGCCAAGGCAGGCGGATCACGGGGTCAGGAGATCGAGACCATCCTGGCTAACACGGTGAAACCCTGTCTCTACTAAAAATACAAAAATAAAAATAAAAAAAAATTAGCCGGGCATGGTGGTGGGCGCCTGTAGTCCCAGCTACTCGGGAGGCTGAGGCAGGAGAATGGCATGAACCCGGGAGGCGGAGCTTGTAGTAAGCCGAGATTGCACCACTACACTCCAGCCTGGGCGACAGAGCGAGACTCCGTCTCAAAAAAAAAAAAAAAGAAAACCCAGTTCAGGCGGGGGGTGATGGCTCAATGCTGTTACCCCAGCCCTTTGGGAGGACCAGGCAAGCAGATCATTTGAGGTCAGGAGTTCAAGACCAGCCTGGCCAACATGGAGAAACCCCATCTCTACTAAAAGTACAAAAATTAGCTGGGCATGGTGGTGCACCCCTAATAATCCCAGCTATTTGGGAGGCTGAGGCGGGAGGATCACTTGAACCCGGGAGGTGGAAGTTGCAGTGAGCCAAGATCACACCACTGCACTCCAGCCTGGGTGACAGGCTTGCTTCCCAGGCTCAAGCAATCCTCCTGCCTCAGCACCCAAGTAGCTGGGACTACAGATGCGCACCACCGTGCCCAGCAAAGTTTTGTATTTTTAGAGCAAGGCTTCATCTAAAAAAATAAAAATAAAACCAGCTCAGATGTGGCCTTCTCTGATGGGATTGACCCCTGCATTGGGGCCTGGCAGTGTCAGTCTTGGGCCAGTTGGGGCTGCCCTGCAAGGCATGGTCTTGTGCTTGCTTCAGACAGACAGGACCAGGCCAGCTCTGTCTCCTCCTAGCGCCATAGTACTGGGCAAGTTCCTCGGGTTTCCAAGCTGTAGTGTCCTCAACTCCATACTCAGAGTAACCTCATCAACATGGATGCATCTCAGAGATACCAGTTTGAGCTTAAAATACAAGCATTAGGGCAGGCACGGTGGCTCATGCCTGTAATCCCAGCACTTTGGGAAGCCGAGGCGGGTGGATCACCTGAGGTCTGGAGTTTGCGACTAGCCTGGCCAACATGGTGAAACCCCGCCTTTATTAAAAATACAAAAATTTGCTGGGTGTGGTGACGCATGCCTGTTGTCCCCAGCTGCTTGGGAGGCTGAGGCAAGCTGCTTGTGAGGCTTGAACACGGGAGGTGGAGGTTGCAGTGAGCCATGATCATGCCACTGCACTCCAGCCTGGGTGACAGAGCGAGACTCCGTCTCAAAAAAAAAAAAAAAAAAAAAATTGACCAGAGTGTTCAGCACCAAGAGCAGGTGGTGGCCACCTACGGGAGTAGGGAGGGTGTGTGAGGCTTTTCTTCCTAATCTGAGAGGCAGGTGTGTGTTCCAGGGCTGGGCAGAGTGAGGAAATGGCATTTCCAGTGGGGGGTGATTGACACGCACTCCTGTGCCCCCTCAACCGCACCGCACCATCTATGAGTCATGGGTGGGACTCAAGACCAGAGCTCCCAGGCGCTGGTCAAACAGACAAATCATGTGGCTTTATTTGCCTTTCAGCTTCCCTTGTCACTGCTGAAGACGGCTCAGAATCACCCCATGGTGAGTACTCAGTGGTCTGGGAAAGCCTGTTTGAGAGGGGGCCAGCCTCAGCACAGGGGCGGTGGCTGAGCAGACGGCTTCCTGGCCTGCCTGTCCACCAGCATGGCAGTTTGCTCTCTTCTCCCTCCCCAGGAGTGTCCACACTCCTGTCATTTCTGCTGCTTGTAAGAGTAATACATACATACTTACTAAAAATTTAATGGGCCAGTTGCAGTGGCTCGCGCCTGTAATCCCAGCACTTTGGGAGGCCAAGACAGGAGGATCGCTTGAGCTCAGGAGTTCGAGATCAGCCTGGGCAAGAAGAAAAACTTAAAATTAGCCAGATGAGGTGGTGTGTGCCTATAGTCACAGCTACTCAGGAGACTGAGGCAAGAGGATCGACTGATCCCAGGAGTTTGAGGCTGCAGTGAGCTATGATCATACCACTGCGCTCCAGTCTGAGCGACAGAGTGAAACCTTGTCTCTAGAAAAAGAAAATTAATGAGGTGGAAGGATCACTTGAGCCCAGGAGTTCAAATCCAACCTGGGCAATATAGCAAGACCCTGTCACTTAAAAAAATAAAAAGAACTTCAGGTTGGGCATGGTGGCTCAGGCCTATAATTCCAGCACTTTGGGAGGCTGAGGCTAGAGGATGGCTTCAGCCCAGGAGTTCAGAGACCAGTCTAGGCAACATGGAGAAACCACGTCTCTCCATAAAATATAAAAATTAGCTGGGTGTAGTGGCGTGCACCTGTAGTTCCAGTTAGTTGGGAGCCTAAGGCAGGAGGATCACCTGAGCCTGAGGCGTTTGAGGTTGCAGGTCGCTGGGTGACAGTGAAACCCTGTCTCCAAAAAATGATAATATTGGCCGGGCGTGGTGGCTCTATGCCTGTAATCCCAGCACTTTGGGAGGCCGAGGCGGGCAGATCAGGAGATCGAGACCATCCTGGCTAACACGGTGAAACCCCGTCTCTACTAAAAATACAAAAAAATTAGCCGGGCGTGATGGCGGGCACCTGCAGTCCCAGCTACTTGGAAGGCAGAGGCAGGAGAATGGCGTGAACCCGGGAGGCGGAGCTTGCAGTGAGCTGAGATCGCGCCACTGCACTCCAGCCTGGGTGACAGAGCGAGACTCCATCTCAAAAAAAAAAGGATAATATTACATACTAACACTTCAGTTAAAGTGCACAATTTAGTGGCATTTGGTGCAGTCACAGGTTGTGTAACCACCACCTTTATCTAGGCCGGAACATTTCCGTCTCCACAAAAGGAAAGCCCATTTCCATCAGCAGTCACTTCCCAGCCCCAGTCCCTGATGAGCATGAGGCAGCTGCCGTCTCTGTGGGGTTGCCTATTCCGGATATTTCCCATGCATGCGAACGGAGACCATGAGGCCTTTCGAGCCTGGTGGTTGTCACTCAGCAACGTGTTTTTGAGGTTCATCCACCCTGTGGCCTGTGTCAGTGCCTCATTCCTTATAGCCAGACGATACTCCGTGGAGCGGATACTTACCACTTTTTTTTTTTTGAGAGGGAGTCTAGCTCTGTCGCCCAGCCTGGAGTGATCTGGGCTCACTGCAAGCTCCGCCTCCTGGTTTCACGCCATTTTCCTGCCTCAGCCTCCTGAGGAGCTGGGACTACAGGTACACGCCACCACGCCTGGCTAATTTTTTTTGTATTTTTTTTTTAGTAGAGACGGGGTTTCACTGTGTTAGCCAGGATGGTCTCGATCTCATGACCTCGTGATCCGCCCGCCTCGGCCTCCCAAAGTGCTGGGATTACAGGCTCACGCCCGGCCTACATTTTGTTTATGTGTTTGTCTGCTGATAGGCATCTGGGCTCTTTCCCCTTTTTGGCTATTGCGAACAGTGTCACTGTGAACATTCACGCACACATTTTTGTATGGTTGCCTGTGTTCATTTCTCTTGGGCAGATGCCTAAGTTGAGTCATTTAAAAATCTCAGCCCTGGTGGGAGGCCAAGGCGGGTGGATCACCTGAGGTCAGGAGTTCAAGACCAGCCTGGCCAACATGGTGAAATCCCCGTCTCTACTAAAAAATTAGCTGGGCGTGATGGCAGGCGCCTGTAATCCCAGCTACTTGGGAGGTTGAGGCAGGAGAATCACTTGAACCCGGGAGGCAGAAGTTGCAGTGAGCTGAGATCACACCATTGCACTCCAGTCTGAGCAACAACAGAGAAACTTCCATCTCAAAAGAAAATCTCAGGCTTGGACTGAGTGTGGTGGCTAATGCCTATAATCCCAGCACCCCGGGAGGCCAAGACAGGAGGATCACTTGAGCCCAGGAGTTTGGGACCAGTCTGGGCAACAGTGAGACCCCACTTCTACAAAAGGAAAAGAAATTAACCACATGTGGTAGTGTGCGCTTATAGTCTCAGCTACTAGGGAAACTGAGGTGGGAGGATGGCTTGAGCCCAGGAGGTTGAGGCTGTAGTGAGCCATGATCACGATACTGCACTCCAGCCTGGGCAACAGAGCAAGACCCTGTCTCATAAAAGACACCAAAAAATATCAGTCTTTTCCTAACAGCAGCATATCCTCAGAATGATCTGCTACTTATCTTTGTTCTCAAAACATACCAAAATAGATGAGTAATTATTGCAGTAAAAAACAGCATTTGTGGAACACTGAAGCCCAAATATCTGGTGTTGTGGGGGTGCCTGCCAGGACCAGCCCAGCTGTGCCCACCTGGCCCCCAGCCACCCTGGATCAGTGGCCACCATCACCATTGTCTCACTTATTCCTTTAAACATTTCTGTGTTTCTTAGTTTTTTGTTTTTTTAAGACCAAGTGGCACTCTGTTGCTCAGGCTGGAGTGCAGTGGTGCGATCTCAGCTCACTGCAACCTCCCCCTATCTCAACTCACTGCAACCTCCGCCTCCTGGGTTCAAACAGTTCTCCTGCCTCAGGCTCCCGAGTAGCTGGGACTACAGGCATGCACCACCATGCCCAGCTAATTTTTATGATTTTAGTAGAGATGGGGTTTCACCATGTTGGTCAGGATGGTCTCAATCTTTTGACCTCGTGATCTGCCTGCCTCGGCCTCCCAAAGTGCTGGGATTACAGGCGTGAGCCACCGCGCCCGGCCCAGTATCATTTTTTAATTGCACAAAGGTTGGCGTCATGATAGACTGTCTAACTGCCAGCGAAGTGTCTAGCGGAGGCAGAGCCTGTCGCCTGTAAGGAAGGCCATTTAGGGGTCTGGGAACTGTGGGCTGAGGCCCGGAGGTGGTGGTCCATCTCAGGGCAGAGCTACACCTCCTGAGGGGCCCATGGCGCAGGGCTCCAGGGCTACAGCCAACCTCTAGCCTGTCTCTCTTCTAGTTGGTGGAGCTGAAAAATGGGGAGACGTACAATGGACACCTGGTGAGCTGCGACAACTGGATGAACATTAACCTGCGAGAAGTCATCTGCACGTCCAGGGTGGGTGCTGCACCCACCAACGGGGGTGGGATGCAGGGGGTGCACACTCAGCCTCCTCCCTCCCTCCCTGGGCCTCATGGGAGGAGTCAGTGGGGGAGGCCGCCTAGGACTGCTCGTCCTTCCAGGGGTCAGTCAGGAGGGACAGGGCAGGGTGAGCTAGGCCACCAAGTCTCCCAGTGTGCCCTGGACTTTGACCCTGTGGGAGACTTTCCTGCTGTGTGTCTGTTGGTGCCACCCCTGACCTGGAAGGACCTAGGACTGGGGACTCCCTGTGGCTCAGGCTGGGGCAGCCCCCTCCAGGGGAGGCCCAAGACTCCCGGACTCTGCTGCCTTTAGTCCAGCCTGGATGTTGCCTGCACTCTGCGGGCCATGGTAGTGTGGCCCTGGGATGTCCGGGATGCCCAGGTCACGGTGGGCAGGAGCAGCGCCAGGGCCCGGTGGGTCAGGAGCCACCAGCCAGAGCCCAAGACCGGAAGTGCCTGGCTAGGAGTGCTGCTGGGTCGGCCGGGGCTGGAAGATGGTTCCCCTGGTGTCACGGGCCTTCCCTGCCCCTGGGATGACCCACAGAGCACTGAGGAGGAGGCCAGGGATGGTGCTGAAGGCAGCGGCTCCCTTGGACTCCTCCCACCAACCTTCCCTGACCCCATCTGTCTTGTCTCCCTGTGGGTGACAGCCCCCCATGGTATAGGGAGGAAACTGCTGGGGAGCTTGGAGTGCCTGCCTGGGGTCACCTTGACAGGACAACAGGGCTCGAGGGGGGAGGCGCTTCTTCCTGAAGTGGCCGTATCTTGCCCTGACCGCCACCCCCACCCGGGACTGGGCCTCTCATCAGCACAGGGCTGGGCGGGGTGGGGACAGGTGGTGAGGCTGCTGTGCAGCAGCGCTAGAAGCTCTAGAAACTGCTTGCTGGGTTTCGTGCCATAGCCTGTCGGAGGGCGTCTGGGTGGGTCCAGTCTGGCTGTGTCGGATGGTGCCTTGGTGCAGAACCGCGTGCCTCCCATCTGCGGCCAGCGGGGCTCTGTCCACTTCCGGTATTGGAATCACCAGGCGTGTTGCGTGCGTGAGCATGTGCGGTCTTGTGGACACCTCCAGGTCCTAGACATGAGAAGCCTGTTGATTCAGAGGCTGCGTGGTCTCCAGGGGTTGGTTTGGCCTCTGCCTCCAGCTTCGAGTGGACGGATGGCTTTCCCTGAGCAGCCTGCCTCTGTGGCCAGGCGGTGATGCTGCCGTCACATGTGGCTGGGAGGAGAGGCGATGGGAACTCACATCGTCCCCATCTAAGTGGGGCCCTCCCTCCCTCAGAGGCAGGCCGCAGGATGCAGAGACCCCGGGCTGAGAGACCTCTGGAGCGCTGTGGGCAGGAGGCAGGGGCCTCCCTGCAGTGAGCTCAGGCCCTGCCCAGGTTCCTGCACGAGGAAGCCTCTGGGCCCTGCCTGGGAGAGCTGGGCGCCAAGTCACCTGCCCAGGCCCTGAGTCCCCACAGAACCATGGTGTGTCCGCCCCACGAGCCCTCGAGGGGTTCCTGGGAGAGTGAGCACCCAAAGGGGCTGTTCCTCCCCGCCCAGCGCTAGGCCAGGCCACACCTACCCAGGTGTGGAGGAGAGTGTCTGACAGGAGGACTTGGGGATTCGGGCAGGTAAGGCCTTTTGGGGTCAAAGTTAGCCAGATGAGAAGTGGGAAAACCACGTGCAAAGTTCTGGGGGCAAGCCCATGGCGTGTGTTCCGGAAACAGAAAGTTCCATCTGGAGGGAGTGTCGTCGGGCTGGGAGAGGACCGCCAGGGCGGGGCAGGATCTCGGGCCCTAGAGAGCCCTGCTGAGGTTCTTAGACCTTGCCCCCAGGCTGGAGGGGGCCCTGGGTGGGTTCCAAGCTGGAACATACTGTGATCTGACTTTAAAGGGCATCGGGGGCAAAGGCCATCCAGGCGTCGTGCGTGGGTCTGTCCAGGAACCTGGGCGGTGGGGCGGGGCTGGGAAACTGATATGGTAGGAATGGCCCTGGCCCCTGCTAATCCCTCGATCTGTCCCAGTGGGGGCCTCGGAGGCATTGCAGCATGAGTCTGTGTCTTTGCAAGGCCCCCATTTCTCCAGTCTTGGTTAGCTCTCCTAAAACTGGCATCGCTGGGAGCCGCCCTTGAGCCACCCTGGCAGGACCCAAGTCCCCCCATTTCCCGCCCCTCTTCACCCACCACACTAGGCCTGTAGCTTGCTCGCATGTCCCTGCACCCAGCGCAGGCCCTGTCAGGAGATACTTAGATGAATGAATGAGTCAGGGCATGTAGAGAGGCTTCCAGAAGTGAGGTGGGGCTGGGGCAGGAGGAGGAGTAGCTGGGCTTCGGCTGTGTCTGGTGCACAGGGAGGCCCCCACCCGCTCTGGGCTTTGGGCTGCAGGTGAAGAACCCCAACCAGAGAGAGCCCCATCCCAGGCTGGAGGGAGCCCCAGTCAGCCACTCCTGAGCCAGGCCCACGGGCAGAGGATAGGAGCCAGTCTTCCTTGTGAGTGCACAATGGGGGCTGCGCCTACCACACCCACCCTTGCTCCTGGGTGAAGGATTGCCTGGGGTCAGGACAGATCCTGCCTGCAGGGTGGACCCTTTGCCACGTATGTCCCGGGACTGATACTGTGCAGCTTGCAGGGGTGGTACGGGGTGCAGGCTGGGCAGGATCTGCAGGGCCTCCCGCGCTCCCAGGGCTGGGCCAGACGGCCCGGTGGTAAGTTAATAACCTGCTCCCCTTCTCCGCAGGACGGGGACAAGTTCTGGCGGATGCCCGAGTGCTACATCCGCGGCAGCACCATCAAGTACCTGCGCATCCCCGACGAGATCATCGACATGGTCAAGGAGGAGGTGGTGGCCAAGGGCCGCGGCCGCGGAGGCCTGCAGCAGCAGAAGCAGCAGAAAGGCCGCGGCATGGGCGGCGCTGGCCGAGGTGGGTCTCCCCTCTCCAGTGGACGTACCTGGGGCGGGAAGACAGCCACACGTGGCATCCCTCCTTCTTGGGGTTGCCCTTGCAGCGCTGCCTCGGAGCCTCCCAACCCTCCCGGGCCCCCCTCCTGGTCCTTGGCCATGAGCCGAGGCCCAGGCAGAGGAGCCCCGAGACCTGGGACTCAGCCCTCCTCTCACTGCGCCTCCTGGCGGTCCTCAGGGCACATCAAGTCACCTCCCCAAGCCTCAGTTTCCCCTCTGAGAGGGTATGGTGGTGCCCATCTGTCCAGGCCGCTGGCAACTCCACTTGGAACCTGGCGTGGCTCTATCCAGAGCCAAGGTCGCCCGCCCCCACCGGAGATGATGAATTGGCATAAAATTCCATTTGTTAGGCCCAGGGGCCATCTGTAGCCCCTGCCCTTCCTCACCTCTCTGTCCCCAGCTCTGTGTTCTCGGGGGGACCTGGGCTTTGCTTCTGCCATCCATGGGCACTGCCTGTGTGCTGGGCTCAGGTGCCAGCCTGGGGGCTTGCAGCACGGCATGGCTGCCCCCGGAAGGCCCCAGGCGCCAATTCTGTGCAGGCTCACGAGGTGGTCAGGAGTGAGCCCGAGGGAGGGGCAGGGATAGTACTCCAGGCAGGGAGCTTTGGGGATCTCAGGGTGGGTGGGGCCTCTGGGGTCCCCGGCCTGGCTCCTTCCCAGTAGTTGGGGTCAAGGTTGTTGAGAGAGTGGGTCGGGTCCTACCTAGGGAAGTGGGGGGTTTTCTCTGGCTGCTCTGCAGGAAGCCACTGGGCCATGGAGTGCAGATAGCAGCCTCGCAGTAACCCCCACCAGGCTGTGCACCCTAGCACAGCTGGTCCTGCCTGGTGAGAGGGGAGGTTGGTGGCCCAGGCCAGCGTTGGCCTCTGGCCTCTGTCCCCACAGGGCCTGGTGGCCCCTGGCTGGTGAGAGCCCTGACCTCTTAGATCCTCTGAATCTGGACCCCTGACCCCACCTTCACGGGGTTGAGGTCTGCAGAGTAGACCGTGATTCCAGTTCCTGTTGGGGTCAGTCCTCCTGTCCCCAGACCTCCCTGGCCCACGACTGAGCCTCCCAGCGGGCTCTGTGGAGGGCCTGAGCTATGCTGCCTGCAGCGCTGGCCTCTGGCCCCTGGCACCCAGCACATGGGCCACAGGGCCAGCTCCTCTTGCTGGCCTTGGCTCTCCTGCTGTTTGAAGCTCCAGCTTTGATTTCCTCAAGCGTTCGTCCAGCTAGAAAGTTCTCTGAAACGGCTCCCTAAACGGGGCTTACAGAGCTGGGGTCCCCAAGGGAGACAGAGAGGGAGGGATCAATGTTGGGTCCCGGCCTGACCAACCTGCTGCGTCCAGGCCTGGCCTGTGGTGAGGGTGGCGTGAAGGGGCGCCAGGCACACAGAGGGTGTGGGGACAGGCGTGCCCTGCGTGCAGCCTGCTCAGGATTACTGGAGGTGCCGCTGTAGCGTCCACTCAGTCCCTGGGGCCCTCATCTCCCGGGAACCCCCTGTCACCTCCCCAGTGGCCACATGCTCCCACCTCAGGGGCTTCATGGAAAATGTCATTTGTCCTCATGGTCTATCTCTGGCCTCAGGCCTGCTGGGGAGTCCCCTCCCCTTCCCCATCCCTGGGGCTGGATACACAGAAATCCCTCTTTCTGTTTTCCTCCTGGCAGGTAGATGAGGGGCTGTGGGTGGTTGTGGCGCATAGGAGGCCCCCCCCCCGCCAGGGAGCCCCCAGCCTGGCCTACTGCCCTGGTCTCTGCTCCACGCCTCTCCTACCTCCTCCTCCTCCTCCAGGAAACCCTTCTGGCTTTGTCCTTTAGGAAGCCTGCCCCAACCCCCAATGTGACTTAGTGTCCTCTGTCGCCTAGTCCCCCCCCCCCGCATCCCTGGGGGCTGGGTCTAGTCCCATAATGAGGATGCCCTGGAGTTCCTGCCTTCCTCAGATGCTCTGCCCCACGGAGGAGATCCAAGCACCCTCAGTCACCACCTCACACATGAGGAAGCTGAGGCTGGAGACTTAGGTGACCTGGCCTAGAGTTTCAGGGCGCCGGGATCCTGTCGAAGGTCCCACCCACCTGGCTCTGCTGCAGCGCCCTCTCTCTGTCCTCTAGGTGTGTTTGGTGGCCGGGGCCGAGGTGGGATCCCGGGCACAGGCAGAGGCCAGCCAGAGAAGAAGCCTGGCAGACAGGCGGGCAAACAGTGAGCGCCCACCCAGACCGGCTGCTGCGCCCCCTCCTGCCAGGGTGGCGATTCCGCTCCACAGTCTCGGACGGATCTGCTCAGAAAGGAAGAGGCAGGCGCCAGGGGGAACCCCCTTCGTGTTTTGTGACCCTCCCTTTTAGGTGAAGCCCCTTTTTCTTGCTAAAACCGGCAATTCTCCGGTTAGAAATGTTACTTGGTGTTTTTTGGTTTTGTGAAACGGCCGTCCCAAAACTGGCTGGATTCCTAGAAGAGTCTGTGTTGAAGGCATCTTTCAAGCCCTCGCTCTGGTTCTCAGGGCAGCATTTTCCAGGCGGGTTTGTTTTGCATTTCTTGGAGCCTCTCCGAGCAGCAACCAGACGGGAGATTTTTATTTTAAGCTGTTCATGCTGGGACTGACAGCCTGCAGGGTTTCCTTGGGCGCGGCCCCAAAATTGCCTTCAAAACAAACCCGGGACGGTTGAAAGCCTTCGAACCGTGCAGGGGATGCCTCGGGCCCTGGCCCTTCGCTTCCTCTCTTGTGTTATGGAAATAAAAACAAATAAAACTACACACTGCACATCCACTGTTCCTTTTGAGCTTCTGGGTGCACCTAGCGGGTCTCCTGCCCTCTGTCCATCGCTGGACTCTCAGGAAATCCCCGTTCCCGTAAGGGAAGCTTCCTTTTGAGAGTTCTCACCAGGTGTCAGCGGCACAGTGAGGCACTGATGTCCTTTTACAAAAGGCAAGACCAGCATCTGGACAGTGGGGGCTCTTGAGAGTCCCCGGCGCCCCCCACACCAGGTTGTCCTATAACCCTCTCCCCTCTGTGGAGACGTTAATGCCAAGGGGTGTGTGGGGAGGGAAGTCCCAGGCAGGGGCCACGCATGGTCCCCATCACCCCCTCCTGGGTGGCCTGGACTCCATCATCTATCCTCATCTGTCCACACTGGCGTTCACACAGAGAAGACAGGACAGGAATCCCCTCGGAAGATGCTCATGGAAGATTCTCACGAGGCTCCTGCCCCCTTTCTGAGCCAGGCCGGGTTTGCCACTCCTCGGGCGCGCACCTGAGACACTGAGTCAGCGCTTTCGAGAAAGGCTCCGGGTAGCATCTGTGGACCGTGAAGAAACCAGAGGGAAGCCCTGAGCCAGGCAGCGGCCCGTCCCCCTGCATAGCCTTCTCTTCAGGGTCCTCGTTCGGAGACCTATTTTGAGAGGTGATTGGAATAAAAGGTCCCGTCCGTGAGGAACTCTTTTTCTTGAGTCTTCAGAGTTACTTGCCATCGTATAGATTTTGCATTTACAATGTCCTCGCCTGGGATGTTCTCCTTGTGTGTGGGGTGGGGGACAGGGATGGATATCTGCAGTCGCCTGAATCCTCTCCGCCACAGCGGCACTTGATTGATGGTTAGAGATGGGGCATGTGGGGTCCAGGATGTGGCCTGCCCTGAACCTCACAAACCCGCCCCCTCAACACAGGCAGGGGCAGCAGTTGGGGGCCCGGGCCTGGAAGCCTTGGGATGCACCGGCCCACGGCACCCACCTGCCTGTTGGACAAGAGCATTTTTTTTTTTTTTTTGAGACGGAGTCTCGCTCTGTTGCCCAGGCTGGAGTGCAGTGGCACAATCTTGGCTCACTGCAACCTCTGCCTCGTGTGTTCAAGCGATTCTCTTGCCTTAGCCTCCTGAGTAGCTGGGATTACAGGTGTGCACCAACACAGACGGCTAATTTTTGTATTTTTAGTACAGACACAGTTCCACCATGTTGGCGAGGCTGGTCTTGAACTCCTGATCTCAAGTGATCCTCCCGCCTTGGCCTCCCAAAGTGCTGGGATTACAGGCATGAGCCACTGCGCCTGGTCGACAGGAGCATCTCTTGGCACACCCCATGCCCCTACAGTGTGGGCCGTGCAGGGGGCTGGGCTCACAGGGCGAGGTGGGTGGGGCAATGTTTAGAGGAGGAGGGAAGGAAGGGTGGGGAGCAGGGAGGCCCCATTTGCAGCTCCTGCCCCATGTCCTAGACTCACCGGCCCTTAGAGGCCTCTGGGGCTCTCCAAGGGGCCTGGGCTCCTTCCTCCCAGGGGTTGTGTGTGTCACGAGGCGTGGATCAAATCCAGGAGCTCTGGGGTCAGGCATCCTGGGAAGTTGGGATGGGAAAGCCCTCGAAGGCCCCTTCCCCTTCCTGATCTCCGTTTGGTTTTTTCTCCCTGACCAGGCTCTGAACTCAGAATGTGTTCCAACACCCCCTAGGTGCCTTCTCACCATTCAGGGTCCCAGGTGCTGGGGCTAATCCCCGGGCTCTTTTGCCTGCGTAATTGTGGCTTCTTGCCGGCGCAGCCAGACGCAGAGCCGGCTCTGACCTTTCCAGCCCGGCAGCTGCGGGCTCCTGGCCCGTGACTTGAGCCGCAGAGTCCCCTCGTCTGCCTCTGCCAACTTGGCCTTGTGGGCTAGAGTGGCCCCTGCTTAGGGGCAGCCAACTTCCAGAAGCTTCCGGCCCCCCTCCCTCGAGCTGGGTGTCGGACCAGCTCTGTGTTTCATTCTTCCTGGTTGGTTTCACAAAGCCTCATCCTCAGCCCCCTCAACAAGAAAAGAAACCAAAAGCACCAGTCTAGTTCCTAAATCCAAGGCTTCCAGGTCTTTCTGTCCCTCCGATGGTCTGTGCCCTCCTCACCCAACTGGGGCTGCCTTTATCGTAGATGGTCCCCACCCGCCCCCAGACCTTCTCGCCTGGAGTTTGCTTTCTGTTAGGGAGGCCCACGCCTGGCGCTGTGCTGTGACTCAGCCGGGGGCTGAGCTCTGCAGGGCCAGCCCACAGTCCCCCGCCAGAGTGCGACAGGCCCGGGTCGGCTGCTGACGCCACCTCATCCTGGAGCCAAACACCCGCTTCAGGGACAAAAGTGCAGAGGCTGGCCTTGGGCAGTGGCCCCCGAGAGGCAGCTGTGGGAAGCCATCCCTCTCTCCTCCTCCTCCTCCTCCTTCTCCTTCTCCTCCCCCATCCCCCTCCTCTCACTCCCCATCTTCCTCCCCATTCCCCTCCTCCTCCATCCTCCTCCACTCATCCCCCACTCCCATCCCCCATCCCCCTCCTCTCTCTCCTCCTCCTCTCCTCCTCTGGGCTTCACCTGCTGTTCCCAGCACTACTCTGACAGCCACCCCCAGATGGCCTGTGTCCCTGTCACCTCCCTCCCCACCTTCTTCTTTTGGAGCCCAGGGCCTGGCACGAGCCTGGCACTAGGGCCACTTGCCTTGTCCCAGGTGCTGGTGACACAGCCCCGGCAATCCTTCCCTTCCACAGGAGTGAGCCAGCCACAAGCATATGCATATCAAATGCATAAATGCTGTAAAAAGAAGAAACCAGGCCAGGCGCAGTGGCTCATGCCTGTAACCCCAGCACTTTGGGAGGCCGAAGTGGGCGGATCACCTGAGATAAGGAGTTCAAAACCTGGCCATCATGGTGAAACCCCATCTCTATTAAAAATACAAAAATTAGCCGGACGTGATGGCACAAACCTGTAATCCCAGCTACTCAGAAGGCTGAGGCAGGAGAATCGCTTGAACCTGGGAGGCGGAGGTTGCAGTGAGCTGAGATCGCGCCACTGCACTCCAGCCTGGGCGACAGATCGAGACTCTCAAAAAAAAGAAAAAGAAACCAGAAACAGGGCGGGCTCGTGAGGAGGTGAATGAAGAGGTGGTCAGGGAAGGTGAGAGAAGGACACTGAAGATTCAGGAAGGGCCTGAGAGACGAGGGAGCCAGCCACCTTGGGAAAGAACATTCTGGACCAGCAGGGGTCAGGAGGACAGTCCCGTGCAAAGGCCCTGTGCCCAGGGGACACAGGAGCAAACAGAAGGGCAGGAAATGGGGAGGATGTGGGCCCTGAGTGACATGAGAAGCAGCCACAGAGGGTTCTGGAACAGTCAGAAGCAGGGGTGGAAGCAGGAAGGGGGCAGTGCTGGGGCCTCAGGGCAGGGAGGAGGAGGCTGCCAGGGCCTAGGCTGACCAGCTGGCCTTGCCCAGGAAGTGCAGGACCCCGAGGTGGCACCTCCTTTCCACAGAGCAAGAGGAGGCCGGCTGGGTGCTGTGGCTCACAGCGGCAACTGTAATTCCAACACTTTGGGAGGTCGAGGCAGGCGGATCACCTGAGGCCAGGAGTTTGAGACCAGCCTGGCCAACGAGGTGAAACCTTATTTCTACTAAGAATACAAAAATTAGCCAGGTGTGGTGGCACGTGGTGCCTGTAATCCCAGCTACTCAGGAGGCTGAGGCAGGAGAATTGCTTAAACCCAGGAGGCAGAGGTTGCAGTGAGCCAAGATAGCGCCACTGCACTCCAGCCTGGGCGACAGAACGAGAGTCTGTCTCAAAAAAATGATACTACTAATAATAAATTAAAAATTTTTTAAAAATTTAAGAGGAGGTCCAGTCAAACCAAGTCTCGAGTGGACAAGAAGCTGCTGGCCACACAGAGAGAGCCGGAACAGGTGGAGGAACTGCAAGCACGGAGCCTCTGAACTTCTGTGGGGAAGGGGCAGAGGGGGTCAGGGCTCAGGCCAGAAGCCCCTACAGGGCCGGGCGCGGTGGCTCATGCCTGTAATCCCAGCACTTTGGGAAGGCAAGGCGGGTGGGCGCCTGTGGTCCCAGCTACTTGGGAGGCTGAGGCAGGAGAATGCCGCGAACCAGGGAGGCGGAGCTTGCAGTGATCGGAGATCACGCCACTGCACTCCAGCCTGGGCGACAGAGCAAGACTCCGTCTCAAAAGAAAAAATAAAATAAAATAAAATAAAAAAGAAGCCCCTACAGGAGCTGGGGTGGGCACTTGCAGGGATCTGTTCCTGACGCTTGGCATCAGCCACTTCTTTTTTTTTTTTTTTTTTTTGAGACAAAGTCTCACTCTGTCGCCCTGGCCGGAGGGCAGTGGCGCGATCTCCACTTACTGAAACCTCTGTCTCTCAGGTTCAAGCAATTCTCCTGCCTCAGCCTCCCGAATAGCTGGGATTACAGGCGTCCGCCACCACGCCCAGCTAATTTTTGCATTTTTTAGTAGAGACAGGATTTCGCCATGTTGGCTAGGCTGGTCTCGAACTCCTGACCTCGGGCAATCCGCCCGCCTCGGCCTCCCAAAGTGCTGGGATTACAGGCGTAAGCCATCTCGCCCGGCCAAGCATCAGCCTCTTCTCAAGGAGACTTCGAGTGAGGGCGAGGATTCCCCGAGCTCCCACTCAGCCTTGCCGCTCAGCCCCGTGGGTTTCCAAAGCCACTTCCAACCCAGCACCTCCGAGGGTCCTCACAGATGGAGAAATGAAGGCTCAGGACAGGCACACAATCCAAGCAACAGCCGATAATTGTTTTTTATTTTTTTTACAGATAGGGGTCTCACCATGTTGTCCAGGCTGGTCTCAAACTCCTAGGCTCAAACGATCCTCCCACCTTAGCCTCCCAAAGTGCTGGGATTACAGGCCTGAGCCAGTATGCTCAGCCAACCATTGTTTATCTATCATGAATGTGTGCCAGGCAGCTCCGGAACTCACCCATAGGGTGGCATCGTCATTCACTGCTCAGGCACAGAGAGGGTGAGGAACCTGCCCCAGGTCACACAGCAATGGTGACCTCCTCTTTCCACTGCCTCCTTAAACCTGAAGGATCCATTGACCTTCTCCCAGCTCAGGCACAGTCAGGACCCCAAAATTGGTTGGGAATAGGGTGTGGGGGGTAAGCAAGATCGGCTGCTGCTTTAAAACTCACTCCCCTGATTGTAACATCAGCTGAGGGACAGGATTTGAGGCACATAGTTAGGTGCCTGGAGGGCTTAACCCTACCGTGCCTCAGTTTCCTCCCTGGTCGGGGGGATAACAGCAGCTCTACCTCATGGGGGTTATTGGGCAGATTGCATGAAGGGAGGATGCCAGTAATCATTTTAGGACTGGCCTGGTATACAGCAAGTGCTCAATAAATGCTTGAAATAATCTAAGATGGCATCTCGCCTAGCACCTGTGGGGTGTCCAGAACCTCACGGGGGACCCTCCATCTTTACAACTATGGGGTTGGCGTGAGCAGCTCATTGTCCCAGGGCACCCAGGCAGTGGCCCCTCTGGATTGGCCAGTGCCATGGGGAATAGAAAGGCCGCTGTCCTCTGTGCCCTGGAGGCTGGCTTAGGAAGCCTGGCCCCAGGCCAGTGACCGTTCACCTTGCAGGCCTGCGATCCTGCCCTTCGAGCCGCCTCCCAGCCTGGGCCTGGCCTCTGCGGCCACTGGGCAGTGAGTGACTCACCCCTGCCCCGCCTCCACTGGAACCAGGCACCGAAATAGTCACCCAGCTCGCTCTCGGGAGTGGCCGTGGAAATATTTCAGGGCTGCATTCAGCACCTAAAAATACTCCTCACGTCCTCAAGTGTCTTCCCCACCCTCATCTCCCCTCCTCTGCACCACCAGGGCCAGACCCTCCTTGCCCCACCCCTCCAGCATCAAGTAACTCAGACATCCTGGCCCCAGAGCCTTCTCAAAGGTCAGCTTCTTCTGAAACCCCCTGAAATCTCAGACCAGGTTGGGGAGGCCGGGGCTCAGTGACATTGTCTGGGGAGACCTTCACTGCCCAGCAGTTTTCCTTAAACATTAAAAAAATGGCTGGGGGTGGTGGCTCACACCTGTAATCCCAGCACTTTGGGAGGCTGAGGCGGGCGGATCACGAGGTCAGGAGTTCAAGACCAGCCTGGCTAACACGGTGAAACCCAGTCTCTACTAAAAATACAGAAATTAGGCGGGCATGGTGGTGAGCGCCAGTAATCCCATCTACTCGGGAGGCTGAGGCAGGAGAATTGCTTTAACCTGGGAGGTGGGGGTTGCAGTGAGCCGAGATCATGCCACTGCACTCCAGCCTGGGTGACAGAGCAAGACTGTCTTGGGAAAAAAAATTAAAAATTAAAAAAATGGGCCAGGTGCAGTGGCTTATGCCTGTAATCCCAGCACTTTGGGAGGCTGAGGTGGGTGGACCACCTGAAGTCAGGAGTTTGACACCAGCCTGGGAAACATGGTGAAACCCCGTCTCTACTAAAAAATATAAAAATTGGCCGGGCGTGGTGGCTCACACCTGTAATCCCAGCACTTTGGGAGGCCGAGGCGGGCGGATCATGAAGTCAAGAGATGGAGACCATCCTGGCTAACATGGTGAAACCCCGTCTCTACTAAAAATACAAAAATTAGCCAGGCCTGGTGGCACACACCTGTAGTCCCAGCTACTCGGGAGGCTGAGGCAGAAGAATTGCTTGAACCCGGGAGGCAGAGGTTGCAATGAGCCGAGGTCACACCACTGCACTCCAGCCTGGCAACAGAGTGAGACTCTGTCTCAAAAAAACCAAAACAAACAAACAAAAAAATTAACCGGGTGTGGTGGCAGGCACCTGTAATCCCAGCTACTCAGGAGGCTGAGGCACGAGAATTGCTTTAACCCGGGAGGCAGAGGTTGCAGTGAGCTGAGATCTCGCCACTGCACTCCAGCCTGGGTAAGAAGAGCAAAACTTCATCTCAAAAAAAAAAAAATTAATTAGATTTAAAAATGGTTCTTGGCCGGGCACAGTAGCTCAAGCCTGTAATCCCAATACTTTGGGACGCCAAGGCGGGCGGATGGCTGGAGCCCAGGATCCCAGTCTGGGCAACATAGTGAGACCCTACCTCTACAAAACAAATGAAATTAGCCAAGCACGGCGGTACACACCTGTAGTCCCAGCTGCTGAGGAGGCTGAAGGGGGAGGATCACTTGAGTAGGGAGGTTGAGGCTACAGTGAGCCATGATTGCGCCACTGCACTCCAGCCTGGGTGACAAAGCAAGACCCCCCCCCCACCAAAAAAAAAAAGTTCTTGCCGTTTGCATTGTTGAGGCAGCCAGAAGCAGGCCCTTTTGACAGAGCCCCCAGCTGGTCTGAATTCCACCTCCTCACCCTCCCACTGGCTTCGAGACCCCACTTAACTTATAGGGTCCTCTCCCTCCCAGGGTGGGAGAGGGGTGTGCACTGTGCCCTCCAAGATACCCTCACACCCTGCTGTCATCTCAGGCTGTCAGCCTCCCTGGTCATATTCAACGGCCTCTGTGGCCCCAAGGTGCGGTCAACTTTGTCCTAACCACCAAGCACCTTGACCTTTCTGGTGGCCTAAGGAAGGTGGGGATAACAGAGCACACAGAACTGTACCTCGGTTCCACCTGCTGGGGTGGAATCCAGCGTTTCTCGATCACCTGAGGCTTCCAATTAGAGAGAATGGCAGGTGTCAAGGCACTGAAGAAAGTGTGTGCTGGGTGTGTTGAAAAGGCAGTCAGCTGGCTGGCGAGCAAAGTGAGGGCGAGGGAGCAGGGCACAGTGGCTCACGCCTGTAATCTCAGCACTTTGAGAGGCCGAGGCAGGCGGATCACCTGAGGTCAGGAGTTCGAGTCCAGCCTGGCCACAACATGGCGAAACCCCGTCTCTACTAAAAATACAAAAATTAGCCGGGCGTGGCTGTGTATGCCTGTAGTCCAAGCTACTTGGGAGGCTGAGGCAGTAGAATCACTTGAACCCAGGAAGCAGAGGTTGCAGTCAGCCGAGATCATGGCACTGCACACTAGCCTGAGTGACAACGTGAAACTCCATCTCAAAAAAAAACAAAAAGCAAGGGTAAGGGTACCGGGCAAGGGCTGGCACACTGTAGATGTGAGGGCCTCCCTGGCCCTCTGTTTTCCCTTAGAGAGGATGAGTCAACCTAGAGACACCTTCAGAGAACCAACCTCCCTGAACCACTTAAGAAGCAGTTTTGTTTTGTTTGTAATGACTAAATTCCCTACTTTATTCAGATTTCCTTCGTTTTTACCTAATGTACTGTACTTAACAAAAAAAACTGAGGTGGTTGGGTGCGGTGGCTCACGCCTATAATCCCAGCACTTTGGGAGGCCGAGGCCGGCGGATCACCTGCAGTCAGGAGTTCGAGACCAGACCAGCCTGACCAACATGGAGAAACCCCGTCTCTATTAAAAATACAAAATTAGCCAGGTGTGGTGGCACATACCTGTAATCTCAGCTACTCAGGAGTCTGAGGAAGAAGAATTGCTTGAACCCAGGAGGCAGAGGTTGCAGTGAGCGGAGATCGCACGATTGCACTCCAGCCTGGGCAAAAAGAGTGAAACTCTGTCTCCAAAAAAAAAAAAAAAAAAAAATTGAGGTGCCTGGCATGGTGGTGGCTCACGCCTATAATCCCAGAACTTTGGGAGGCCAAGGCAGGAGGATCGCTTGAATCCAGGAAAGTGGATTCGAGAGCAGCCTAGGCAACATAGTGAAACCTCATCTCTACAAAAAATAAACAAAATTGGCCTGGCATGGTGGCGTGGCCCCTGTAAGTACCAGCTGCTCAGGAGGCTGAGGTGGGAGGATTGGTTGAGCCCTGGAGACCAGGCTGCAGTGAACCAAGATTGAACCACTGCACGGTTTGACCTCTGCCTGAACGACAGAGGAAGACCTTGTCTCTAAAAAATAAATTGAAGGCCAGGCGCGGTGGCTCATGGGAGCCATGACTTTGGGAGGCTGAGGTGGGCATATGGCTTGAGGCCAGGAGTTCAAGACCAGCCTGGTGAAACCACGTCTCTACTAAAATACAAAAATCAGCTGGTTGTGGTGGTGCACACCTGTAATCTCAGCTACTTGGGAGGCTGAGGCAGGAGAACTGCTTGATCCCAGGAGGCGGAGGTTGCAGTGAGCCAAGATCATGCCACTGCACTCCAGCCTGGGCAAGAGAGTGAAACCCTGTCTCAAAAAATTAAAATAAAGTAAGGCAGGAGTCACATAACATAAAATGAACCACTTTAAAGTGTATAATTCAGGGGCATTTAATACACACACACTGTTGTGCAACCATCGCCTCTAATTCTAGAACATGTTCATCCCTTCCAAAGGAGACCTGGTCCCCATCAGCAGTTACTCCCCATTCCCTTCCCCCAAGCCCCTGGCAACCAGGAAGCTGCTTCCTGTCTCTGTGGATTTGCCTGTCCTGGACATTTCATATCAATGGAATCTCACACTGTGTGGCCTTTCATGCCTGGCTTCTCTCACTCAGCATCGTGTTTTCGAGTTTTGTGCACGTGGTAGCACAGACTAGTGCTTCATGCCTTTTTTTTTGGAGATGGAGTCTTAAGTCTTATGCTGTCACCCATGCTGGAGTGCAATGGTGCGATCTCAGCTCACTGCAACCTCTGCCTCCCGGGTCAAGCGATTCTCCTGCCTCAGCCTTCTGAGTAGCTGGGACTACAGATGTGTGCCACCACACCCAGCTAATTTTTGTATTTTTAGTAGAGACGGGGTTTCACTATGTTGGCCAGGCTGGTCTTGAACTCCCGACCTCATGATCTGCCCGCCTCGGCCTCCCAAAGTGCTGGGATTACAGGCATGAGCCACTGTGCCCGGCCTGCTTCATGCCTTTTTGTGGCTGCATCATATTCCATTGTGTGGGTGGACCACATTTTGTTGATCCTTCATCAGCTGATGGACATTTGGGCTGTTTCCAAGGAAGGGAGTTTACTGAGTGTTTAATCTGCAGTGGGCACAGGTCTAAGGGCTTCCTCCCAACCCCTGCCCCAGTTATGAGGTCATCCTGCTAGCACCATGTCCATTTACCCATTTCGTAGTTGGAGATATGAAGGCACAAATAGGTCCCTGAAAGAACCACAGGTCAGCTCTTTGGCCTTTATACTCTGGGGATGGGGATAGAGGCAGACATTAAGGAAGGCAAGAATTAAATATGGTAAACCCAGAGCACTTTGGGAGGCCAAGGTGGGCAGATCACCTGAGGTCAGGAGTTCAAGACCAGCCTGGCCAACATGGTGAAACCCCGTTTCTACTAAAAATACAAAAATTAGCAGGGTGTGGTGCCGTGTGCCTGTAATCCCAGCTACTCGGGACGCTGAGGCAGGTGAATCGCTTGAACCCGGGAGATGGAGGGGGCAGTGAGCTGTGACTGCGTCACTGCACTCCATCCTGGGCAACAGAGTGAGACTCCATCTCAAAAAAAAAAAGAGAGAGAGAGAGAAAGAAAGAAAGAAAGCCAGCCAAGAATTAAATATGATCAATTCCAGGTGAGTGAGTCTCCCAGACAGTGGGAACAGCATGTGCAAAGACCCCGAGGTGGGAATACATAGCTGTACCCAAGGGAAAGCTGGCATGGAACAAGTGAGTGGGGAGAAGAAGAGGGGAATAGACGGCAGCTGCTGGGGGGCCTGGGGATATGGGGAAGGATCTAAGATGGACTCAGATGGGAAAACAGAGAGATTGAGAGATGCAGGAAGAGAGAGGGAGCAAGACTAGGAGAACAAGGAAGAGATAGGGCCTCAGCATCTCAAGGCCTGGCTCCAAGTAGCCAAGGAGGCCTTGTCCTCACCCAAGTCCCTGCACCCCAGACTGCTGATACCCTGCCTGCATCGACAGTGGCAACCACCATGTGCCCAGAAGGATGTCAGTACACGGTAAGTGCTCCAAAAATGTTGAGTGAATGGATGAACACAGGAATGGATGGATGGGTGGGTGTGTGGTAAGTGGATGGGTGGCTGGATGAATAGGTGGATTGGTGGATGGAAGGGTGGATGGTGGACGGATGGGTGGATGGTGGATAGGTGGATGGGTGGATGGATGGGTGGATGGATGGGTGGGTGGGTAGATAGGTGGATGGGTGGATGGTGGATGGATGGGTGGATGAGTGGATGGTGGATGGATGGATTGGTGGGTAGATAGGTGGATGGATGGATGGATGGTGGATGGGTAGATGGTAGATGGATGAGTGGATGGTGGATGGATGGTGGATGGGTAGATGGTAGATGGATGAGTGGATGGTGGATGGATGGTGGATGGGTAGATGGTAGGTGGATGGTGGATGGATGGTGGATGGGTAGATGGTGGATGGATGGGTGGATGGTGAATGGGTGGATGGTGGATACATGGGTGGGTGGGTAGATAGGTGGATGGGTGGATGGATGGGTGGATGGGTGGGTGAGTGGATGGTGGATGGATGGGTCAGTGGGTAGACAGGTGGATGGATGGCTGGTGGATGGTTAGGTGGTGGATGGGTGGACGGTGGACGGATGGTGGATGGGTGGATGGTGAATGGGTGGATGGTGGATGCATGGGTGGGTGGGTAGATGGATGGATGGTGGGTAGATGGATGGATGGTGGATGGGCAGATGGTGGATGGGTAGATGGTGCATGGATGGATGGCCGCTGGGTGGAGGAATGGATGGATGGATGAATGGGTAGATGGTGGATGGATGGGTGGATGATGGACTGATTGGTGGATGATGGATGGGGGATGAGTGGATGGTGGATGGGTGGATAGATGGACAGGTGGGTGGATGGATGGTAGATGGGCAGATGGTAGATGGATGGGTGGATGGTGGATGGATGGGGGATGAGTGGATGGTGGATGAGTGGATGGATGGGTGAGTAGGTAGATGGGCGGATGGCTGATAGAGGGAGGAAGACCTGACACTGAGGTCCGCTCCATGAGAAGCAGCGTCTCCCACCTTCCAGCAGATGACTGAGTGGTGTCTGGTGGAGGAACTTGTCCAGTCCTTCCCGAGGTCTCACCCACCCCTCTGCAGCCTCAGAAGACACCCCCAGGGTGGAGGCTGGAAAGTTGGGGCTGGACAGGGTGCTATGAGCGTAGGCCAAGCAGAGGCGTGCCGGCCGGGTACCAGATGCTGCTACCTGCCTCTGCCGCTGAGTCAGCATCACCATGGCAACTGGCCCTGCCGGATGCTTCTCTGGGCACATCCCCGTCACTGCAGCCACCACCGTCACAGCCGCCTCCTCACAGGGGGCAGGGGGAGCAGCTATTTTTACACAGTTTGTGTGCAGCACTCAGGGGCCAGGGTGCTCACCTTCCCTACACCCCCTCCCCTGTTAGTGTCAGCCCCACCATCTCCTGAAGGGGGCTTGGGAGGATGTTGTCACCTGGGGTGGGCATTGTGAGAACAGATGAGGGACATGTACAAGGGCTGAGTGGCTGGACTGCAGGAGAGAAGAGAGCCAGGGGCGATGATGGGGAAGACTGGCCACAGCAGGGAGCCACAGAGGGTGTGGGGAGGCCAGAGGGGCACTGACGGAGGGCACAACAGGGGTCCCTGTGACCCTGGGCAACCTCCACATCCCCAAAGCCTCCCCTGCTGCTTCTGGAGCATGCATAATGGTAGGAAAAGTGAGGCAGGGAGAGCAGTCACAGGCTCCACCTGGGCTGGCCAAGGACTCAAGCCACCCCCCACCCTCCCTGCTTAGGATCTGGAGGCCCCTGTAATCCTCCATCTCTCCTCACCCTGCGCCACGCCTCCTCCTGGATGTTCCCTTAACACACCTCAAATTCAGCCCGGGTACAGTGGCTTACGCCTGTAATCCCAACACTTTAGGAGGCTGAGGCGGACGAATCACGAGATCAAGAGGTGGAGACCATCCTGGCCAATATGGTGAAACCCTGTCTACTAAAAATACAAAATTAGCTGGGCATCGTGGCGCACGCCTGTAATTCCAGCTACTCGGGAGGCTGAGGCAGAAGAATCGCGTGAACCTGGTAGGTGGAGGTTGCAGTGAGCTGAGATCGCACCACTGTACTCCAGCCTGGGGGACAGAGGGAGACTCCTCTCAAAAAACAAACAAACAAATACCTCAAATTCCTCCCCAGGGCCTTTGCACGTGCTACTCCAGCTTTCAGGAACACCCTTCCCTGGGGCATCCTCATGGTGGCCCTGCTGCTGGTATCATGGATCCTCTGGCCCCCCCCACCCCACACTCCCTCCGCCTGCTGTCATTTGCTTTCTCACCACCTGACTTTATATCATTCACTTCTTTCAGTTGTTCCCGTCCCAAGAATGAGGGGCCACTGAGTCACCTCACAGCACATAGCCCACACTTCGCTTCGCTGGGCTCCTCTCTGATGTTTTCAGGGACAGGGCGGGGACTTGGGTTGACCGATGGCTCCAAAGGCAGGCATGACCTTCCTTTCAGGCCACAAGGCCCTATCAGAAGTCAGCAGTCAGTGCGTGAGCCAGGCCTGGAGGCTAACACCAGGGCCAGGAGTTATTCCACCACAGGTTCCTCCAGGAAGCCGCCTCCTACCGGGAGCCTGCCTGGGTGCCTCCAGGCCACACCCGGAGCTCCACCTCCCTTACCTGGTTGTCTCTCTGTCTCTGTCTTGCTCCTAGATTTTTTTCCAGCCTCCCTCTCCCGCTGTCTCTCCTTCCAACTCATTTTTTTTTCTCTTGGTTTATTTCCAAGCCACGATATTGCTTTTCTCTTCCGCTATCTCGAAGCTCTGGCCCTCCAATCAGGAGGCCCGATTTAGTACAGCCTCACCCAGAACGTTGGGGCCGTTCCTTTGGCCTCGATATACCCACTCAATAAATGGGCTTGTCCTAGAGCTTAAGGCCTGCCCCTGGGGGGGAGGAAATTCCGGTGGCGGACACCCTTCCCCATCCCCGGTTCAGGGCCCCGGCGGGGAAGGGGTTAACCACGCGCCGTCCCTTCCCCCCAGCTCTGCATTTAATTAGCAGTCCGGTGGGGCGGCCTCGCTGGGCGGGCGGGGGAAAGGGAGAGAGGGGGTGGAGAGGAGATCGGGGGAGACGGGAGGGAGAAGGGGATAAGGAAGAGGGGAGGGGAAGCTGAAGCAGGAAGGGGAGGGAGAGGAGGGGAGTGAGCGACGGGAGGAGAGGAGGGGGCTGG
The DNA here is from genome assembly GCF_000001405.40 of Homo sapiens. Lineage (NCBI taxonomy): Eukaryota > Metazoa > Chordata > Mammalia > Primates > Hominidae > Homo > Homo sapiens. The sequence goes on along the minus strand of NC_000019.10, from coordinate 18,292,782 downwards.
AGAACCAGCCCGGAATTCACAGACAGCCTCGCAGGTGTCCCCGCTCCAGCCTCTTTCTTGGGGTGCAGTCCCCTCCCACACCCCCTTTTCAAGGCCGAACCCAGCGCCCACACTAAATGTCAACTCTCCCCATTATCCGGTTGAGGAAACTGAGGCCATGCAGAGGTGGTGATGTGCCAAGTCGCAGCTCGGGGCAAACGTTTATTCGCAGGTATTTGCGCAATGGAAAACAAGCCCAAACCAGCTCCAGGTCGTCCGGCGACCTGGAGGAGCTGGGAGGGGGCGGTAGTGTGGGACGCGGGCTAGCGGGCTTAGCACCAGCCAGGCCACGGCCGTTCCCGTGCCTCAATTTCCCTCTCTGCACAGAGCCCAGTAAATTGCTTGCAGGGCCGACCGCCCCCGCCCCCATCCCCGCGGCCTCCAGCGCCGCGTGGGGTGGGGGCCGGGCGGCCGAAGCGTCCGCGTCTACGCGGCACCACTTCGCCCTGACGTTGGCGCTGACGCCACCCGCCAGCTCGCGGCGGGGTCCGGCAGCCCCGGGAAGTTAACTCTTCCACTGCCGCCGACAGCTCCGAGACCTCTCCCCCCGGATCCTTTCTCCCCCCCTCCCATTAGGGGAGGGGCCACACGCTGAGGACCCCGCAGCTAGGCGAGGCAGGAGGCCTCCACCAGCCTCCAGGCCTCTGCCCGCGCCGTTCCCTCCGCCTGGAATGCGCCTCCCGCCCCAACCCAACCCTGTGTTTACTGCGACTTCCCTCCCTTCGGCCTGGCCCTGACCCCTCCGGGGCAGGGCGTGTCCGTGTCTGGCTGCTAGTACCGGCCCGGGGTGGGGTCCTCTCTCCCCAACAACTCGCTGTTTCCAACTCAATGTCTTTCCCCCCATTTTTCATTCGAGAACCATCGAAGACCAGGAAACTTACGGACGTCACCTGGCCAGGGACTGAGCAGCGCCTGCCCAGCTCCTAGGGCTCCCCGCCCCCACCCCTGTACGCGGAGATGCCGTCTCCCGGCGGCGGAGAGGACCCCGCAGGCCCCGCCCTTCCCCAGGGGAAGTGAGAATAGGGTGCCCACCCCCGCATTCTCGCCACTTCCTCCCCGGGAGAGCGAGAGGCGAGGAGCAGGGGGGAGGCGGGAGGCGGGAGGAAGGGGATGCGGGGGCAGCGGGAGGCGGGAAGGCGTGGGGTCTCTCCACTATTGCCCCTGCTGTAGCGCTTAAGGGCCCCATGTGCACGGCCTTTGATACCACTCAGACAACTTTGGGGTCCCCCAAAGTTGCTCCTTCCTTGGGGTCCTTTCTGAATCAACGCGGACCCTGCCGGTGCCTCCCCATCCCCGCAGCCTGGGGCAGCGGCCTCTTCACCCCCTGCCGCCTGCCTTGCCTCCAGTTCCATCTACTCCCCATCTGGGGCCCAGATCCCTTCCGCTGGCTGGGGGCCAGGTCCAGCGCCCCGTCTGCACCAGTCCGGACCCCTAAGCTCGCTCCAGGAACCCCCAGTCTTGGTGCAGAAATGCAGCCCACGATGTGCAGGGCCAACTGGCTTCGAATCTGCCTTCCACATACTGAAGCCTTTCTTGGCTGACAGCCTCAGTTTGTCCATCCGAAAAAAGGGGACAAAGCATATCTAGATGGCTCACGCCTGTAATCCCAGCACTCTGGGAGGCCGAGGCGGACGGATTACTTGAGGTCAGGAGTTCCAGACCAGCCTGGCCAACATGGTGAAATCCCGTCTCTACAAAAATACAAAAATTAGCCGGGCGTGGTGGCGCACGCCTGTAATCCCAGCTACTCAGGAGGCTGAGGCAGGAGAATCACTTGAACCCAGGAGGTGGAGGCTGCAGTGAGCCGAGATAGTGCCATTGCACTCCAGCCTGGGCGACAGAGCAAGACTGTGTCTTAAAAAAAAAAAAAAAGAATACCTGGAGAATGGGTTTCCCATCTTGGCAGCATGAATACTTCCACTCATTCATTAATTCACTCATCCATTCATTATTCTACGAACTCATCCATTATGCTACTTATTGCATTCATTCCTTTACTCATTCACTCATTCATTGATTCACACACCACAGACAGCCAGGGAGGGCGGCGGGCCACAGGGGCCCACATCTCAGTGTGGACAGACGTCAGGGGCCCACAGGACCGTGGGTGGGGACAGCCCCAAGGCTGCAAATAAACGTTTGCCCAGAGCTGCATCCTGGCATGTCACCAAACCAAACCGAAGCCTCCCCAGAGAGGCCCCTGTGGGGTCCCCTGCCCAAGAGGCAGCTGCCTGCCACCTCCCCCACCCCTCCCCATTCAGGCACCACCCTGCCCTCAGTCTGTCAGCGGGGAAATGGCTCAGTACCTGGAAAAGCCACGAGTATGTGGTCGGATGCAGGCAAAACCCACACATCATGGTGGGGGGGGGCACCTACAATAATGGGTTGCATGTTAACAGATCAACACACATTCATCAAGCACCTACTGTGTGCTGGGACCCACGGGACTGGAGCATCTGCCAAGTGGGTCCCTGTGGCCCCTCCTGCCCTTCTGCTTGGGGCTTCCCTGCCTTTGATAAGACTCAGACATTCGAAGTCCAGCCCCAGCCCTGAGTGTTCCTGAGGTGGGAATGCCTGACTTTGCTCTCATTTCATAGTTTTTTGGTTTCCTTCTATTTATAGCAAGAGAAACTGGTTTTCCATTCTTGGTGGTGACATGAAGGTTCCCTTTTAAAATGTATTTACTGAAGTAAAAACAGAAAAGGGGGCCAACTTAAAGGAAAATCGTGAGACCAACCTACAGCATGCTTCTCTAAAATGACCTTGCTTCCAGTCCCCCAGAACATCACCTCTGGGCGGTGAGAACCCACCTGCCCAGCACACAGCGGGCACTCAATAGAGCATGGTCGTCGGGCGCAGTGGCTCATGCCTATAATCCCAGAACTTTTGGAGGTTGAGGCAGGCGGATCACTTGAGGTGAGGAGTTCAAGACCAGCCTGGTCAACATGGAGAAACCCCATCTCTACTAAAAATACAAAAATTAGTTGGTGTGGTGGCATGTGCCTGTAATCCCAGCTACTCTGGTGGCTGAGGCACTAGAATTGCTTGAACCTGGGAGGCAGAGATTGCAGTGAGCTGAGAACGTGCCACTGCACACCAGCCTCAGAGACAGAGTGACACTTTGTCTCCAAAAAAAAAAAAAAAAAAAAAAGCATGGTTGAATCGATGAATGATGGTATGTGAGTTTGGCCCAAAACAACCAAGAAACAAAAAACCAAACCAGCTTTTTTTTTTTTTGAGACAGGGTCTCGCTCTGTTGCCCAGGCTGGAGTGCAGTGGCACGATCTCAGCTCACTGCAATCTCTGCCTCCCAGGTTCAAGCGATTCTCCTGCCTCAGCCTCCTGAGTAGCTGGGATTACAGGCATGCGCCACCACACCCGGCTAATTTTTCTATTTTTAGTAGAGATGGGGTTTCACCATGTTGGCCAGGCTGGTCTCGATCTCCTCACCTTGTGATCCGCCCGCCTCAGCCTCCCAACCAGCTAATTTTTCTATCTTTTTGTAGAGATGGGTTCTTGCTATGTTGCCCAGGCTGCTCTTGAACTTCTGGGCTCAGGAGATCCTCCTGTCTCTGCCTCTCAAAGAGCTGGGATTATAAGCATGAGCCACCCTGCTCAGACTACAAACCAATTTATCTTTTTTTTTTTTTTTTTTTTTTTTTTGAGACAGAGTCTCACTCTGTCACCCAGGCTGGAGTTCAGTGGTGCGATCTTGGCTCACTGCAAGCTCCGCCTCCCGGGTTCACACCATTCTCCTGCCTCAGCCTCCCCAGTAGCTGGGACTACAGGTACCTGCCCACCACGCCTGGCTAATTTTTTTTTTGTATTTTTAGTAGAGACAGGTTTTCACCGTGTTAGCCAGGATGGTCTCGATCTCCTGACCTCATGATCCGCCCGCCTCAGACTCCCAAAGTGCTGGGATTGCAGGCATGAGTTACGGTGCCTGGCCTCTTTTTTTTTTTTTTTTTTTGGAGACGGGGGTATCGTCATGTTATGTTGGCCAGGTTGGTCTTGAATGCTTGGCCTCAAGCAGTCCTCCTGCCTCGGCCTCCCAAAGTGCTAGGATTGCAGGGGTGAGCCATTTTGCCTGGCCCAAACCAATTTCTGAAGTTGGTCTAAAGAAAGCAAATTCACTACCTTCTGATCCCCAAACCCTCTGGTTCTCCAGTATCTACCTGTGAAACGGCCTAACCCAGGCCTGGGCATACAGGAAGTGCACATTAAATGCATGCTGGATAAGTGCAGGGGTCCTGTCTGTCCTAGGGTGGGGTAGGAGGGTAAGTGGTATGGGAAGTTCTTTTCTCCTTGTGCTATAATAAGAGGCTTTGGAGACTGATTCTAGATGGTCAGTCAATCAACAAACACTTGACTGAACCATTCTTCTAGGCCTGCCCAGTTAGTAAAAATGGTCATAAAGCTGGCAGAGCCAGGTTCAATCTGGTTCCATCAATGCTGAAGGGGGGCTGTGCCTCAGTTTCCTCATCTGTAAAATGGTTTTATGAGGCAGGAGGGATCCGGTGCCAGTCCAGAGGGCAGGGCCTGGGTCCCCTCCGAGAGGCTGGGCAGACACCTGCGCTGGACTGGGGACAGACTGCGGTTCCTGCTCCTGGAGAGGGCGGAAGCCTGGCAGGAGGGGAACAGAGAGGCCTCAGCCTTCTCGGGTAACTTGATCCTCAGGAATGTGCGGGCCAGACAGCGCCCCCAGCCCGAGTCTGGCGCCCCACTCCCGACCGCCCTGCGGGGGTCCGGCAGTCGGGGCACTTTCCCTGCAAGTCCCGCCTCTGCGAGCCTAAGGGTCCTAAGCGCTGGATTAGGGTCCTCACAAGCCCCACCTCCCCGCTGTGGGGTCGTGAGTGCCTGGCTCCACCTCACCCCTTCGGCTGCCTGCTTAACTCGGTTTTCTTTGGGGCTTTCCGATTTATCAACGTGATTTTTGGTTTCTGGGTGTTCAAATAAAGACTAAAAATTAAACTGCAGCCTCAACTTACCCGGGCCCAAGCGATTCTCCCACCTCACCCTCCCAAGTAGCTGGGACCACAGGCGTGTACCACCATGCCCAGCGAACTTTTTTATTTTTGTAGAGAAGAGGTCTCACTAGATTGCTCAGGCTGGTCTCAAACTCCTGGGCTCAAGCGACCCTCCCTCCTTGGCCTCCCAAAGTGCTGGGATTACTGCCCTGAGCCACTGTGCCCGGCCTGCAGGTTGCTTTAAACAATAAATCTCTGCGCTGGGGAAGGACTACAGCCGCAGCGATTCAAACCCCGGCGGCTGCGGGGCGTCAGGTTCGGCTTCTGCTTGGAGGGCAGGGTTCTCTCTGGCCTGGCCTGTACGACTCTGGGCACGTCGCGCGCCCCCTCCAGACACTGCCCTGAGAAGTGGGATAACGTCCCTCACCACTCGTGGAGCTGCTGCTGAGATAAAGGTGAAAATGCAGAGTCCCGGACCAAGCCCTAGTGTTGCCCCAACCTCATCTGCAACTTTCATTGCCTTGGGGGTAAATCCCTCCTGAGCAGAGGTGGAGGCTTCGGCACTCCCCTTCTCTTCCTTTGGCACTCACTGGCTTCCCAATCCAGTCCCACCTGCCTCCCCACCTTCTAGAAATGTGTCCAACTGGTTCCTGCCCCGGGGCCTTTGAACTGGCTGTTCCTATTACCGGAACCCTCTGATCCCCCAATAATTGGCAATTAAGTCCAGCTTGTCTGTCACTTGGTGTTACATCCTGGGCCACCCCTCCCAGATTACCCAAACTCTAAAATATCAGCCCCCTCCACTACCATCTATGGCGGGGACACCATTGATTCTCCTGAAAACTGCGCCGGTCTGGCTCTCCCTTGGTGTGGGGACCTACAAAGGTGCAGATGTTGGTCTTGTTCATGTGTGCCCTTTCCCCTGGCTTACAGTAGGGGCTCAATCAGTGTATGTGGATTGAATGAATGAAAGTTCTCTCTAGTTCATTGTATGGGACTAGCTGATGGCGTTAGAGACACCCTCCGCCCCATATGTCCAAAGTGGCTTCAGATCTGCCCCGGAGGAACCCCCACTCTGGGAAAACAGAGCTGGACCAACAGCTGCTGTGGTGTCAGGGCTGGGATAAATGGAAGGACAGGAATGGGGTGTCCCAGAGGGCTCTCTGGCTGGGAGGAGGAAGGAGAGGGTAGGAAAGGGCATTGAGGTGGAGCAACAGAAAATGCGAAGAGAAAGAAAAAGGGAGGCCAGGCGCAGTGACTCAAGCCTGTAATCCCAGCACTTTGGGAGGCTGAGGCGGGCAGATCATGAGGTCAGGCTCAAGGCCAGCCTGACCAACATCGTGAAACCCCGTCTCTACTAAAAATACAAAAAATTAGCCGGGCGTGTTGGCACATGCCTGTAATCCCAGCTATTTAGGGAGGCTGAGGCAGGAGAATCGCTTGAACCCAGGAGGGGAAGGTTGCAGTGAGCCAAGATCAAGCCACTGCACTCCAGCCTGGGCGACAGAGCGAGACTCCATCTCAAAAAAAAGAAGAAAGGAGCCCTTGGGGGTGGCAAAGGCAGCTTCCCACACTTAGGGGCCAGGAGAGGCCTTCCCCATCCAGTCCTGAAGACCTCCCCTCCCCTTCTATGGAGGAGACAGAACAAGACACAGATAAGGGACAGACAGGTCTTAGCCAGATGGAGAGGATTGACGACGGTCCTAGGGGACATGGTCAGGAAGGGTTTCTTGGAGAAGGTGGTGGGTTTTGAAGGATGAGTAGGAGTTCGCCAAGAGTGTAAGGGTATTCCAAGCTGAGAGAACTCAAAACCAAAGAACTGCAGTTACATTTGGGCAAATAATACAATCATAGAAAGCATTTATTGACCCCTTACTATTTGTTTTTTCTTTCTTTTTTTTTTTTTTTTGAGTTGGAGTCTCACTCTGTTGCCCAGGCTGGAGTGCAGTGGCGCGATCTCGGCTCACTGCAACCTCCTCCTCCTGGGTTCAAGTGATTCTCCTGCCTCAGCCTCCCAAGTAGCTGGGACTAAAGGCGTGCGCCACCACACCGGGAGAATTTTTGTATTTTTAGTAGAGACAAGGTTTCACTATGTTGGCCAGGCTGGTCTCGAACGCCTGACCTCGTGATCCACCTGCCTCAGCCTCCCAAAGTGCTGAGATTACAGGCGTGCGCCACCACACCCAGCCTGACCCCTTACTATTTCTTCAAATCCAATAAAAATCGCAATGCTTTTCCTTTCTGCACCATCGTGGTGTGTTCTTGACTCCACTTCTCGCCATATCTTCCTACAAGACTTTCAGGATTAAGCGATTCCTGGACAAGAAACAAAAGCAAAATCGTCCCATTCCCCAGTGGATTTGGATGAAAACTGGAAATAAAATCAGGTACAACTCCAAAAGGACACTGGAGAAGAACCAAGCTGGGTCTATAAGGAATTGCACATGAGATGGCACACATATTTATGCTGTCTGAAGGTCACGATCACGTTAGCATATCAAACTGAAAGTGTCACCACTATCTGGAGAGTTCGACGTGTTTTCCTCTCTGAATCTGTTATGAACGTGTGGGTTGGCTGGGTTCAGTAATAAATATGTGAGGCCTTTCATTTCAAAAAAAAAAATCGCGATACTCCACAAAGTAGGTAGGTTTATTTGCTCAATTTTCATGAAGGAAAAGCTGAGGCTCAGAGAGGTTGACAGGCCTCTGTATCTCACCTGCCTGCCTGCAGGAAAGTGCTCCACTCAGCTCAGGCTGTCTCAGCCTACCATTCACCAGACCATCTCCCCAGCTGCCAAGGCTGAGGCCCAAGTTCAGGGCAGGGCCTCTGTAGGCCGCCCACTCACCTCCTGCCTCAGGGAGAGGCATGACCCCGTCTCCTCCACTCTGGCCCCACTGCACGGGACCCAGAGAGGGGTTCCCAGGGCAGGGCTGGCTACAGGTCTGCGGGCTGGATCTTGTCCCACTAGGGATCTCTTTGTCCAGGATAGAACCTGGGCTAGAGAGCACAGAGACCCATGGATCTGAGTATGTATCTGTGTGTACCTGCGTCTGTCTATACAACACGAATACAGACAGACACAGGTGCACACACAGACACACACTCCAATAGGCAGACAGACACCTTCCTAACCAATCTAGAGACAAAACAAACCCACACCTCCAGTTCCCTGCCCTGGCAATTTGAATCCCAGGCCTGCCAGGCCAGGTCTTTATTATTATTATTATTATTATTATTATTATTATTATTATTATTTTTAAGATGGAGTCTTGCCCTGTTGCCCAGGCTGGAGTGTAGTGGCATGATTTCAGCTCACTGCAACCTCCATCTCCTGGGTTCAAGTGATTCTCCTTTCTCCAGAGCAGCTGGGATTACCGGTGCGCTCCCCATGCCTGGCTAATTTTTGTATTTTTAGTAGAGACAGGGTTTTGCCATATTGGCCAGGCTGGTCTCGAACTCCTGACCTCAGATGACTTGCCCGCCTCAGCCTCCCAAAGTGCTTATTACAGGTGTGAGCCACCTCGCCCAGCCTATTTTTTTTTTCTTCTTTTTTTTTTTTGAGACAGTGTCTCACTCTGTAGCCCAGGCTGGAGTGCAATGGCGCAATCTCGGCTCACTGCAACCTCCACCTCCCGGGTTCAAGCGATTCTCCTGCCTCAGCCTCCCGACTAGCTGGGATTACAGGCACCTGCCACCACACCTGGCTAATTTTTTTTTCTTTTCTTTTTTCTTTTTTTTTTTTGAGACGGAGTCTCGCTCTGTTGCCCAGGCTGGAGTGTAGTGGTGTGATCTCGGCTCACTGCAAGCTCTGCCTCCCGGGTTCATGCCATTCTCCTGCCTCAGCCTCCCGAGTAGCTGGGGACTACAGGCGCCCGCCACCATGCCCGGCTAATTTTTTTTTTTATTTTTCAGTAGAGACAGGGTTTCACCGTGTTAACCAGGATGGTCTTGATCTCCTGACCTCGTGATCAGCCTGCCTTGGCCTCCTAAAGTGCTGGGATGACAGGCGTGAGCCTCTGCGCCCAGCCTAATTTTTATTTTCAATAGAGATGGGGTTTCACCATGATGGTCAGGCTGGTCTCAAACTCCTGACCTCAAATGCCTGCCTCAGACTTCCAAAGTGCTGGGATTACAGGCAGGAGTCACCGCGTGTGGCCGACAGGCCACCTCTCTTGGTGATGAGGACAGCCTCCCTTATGGCCTTCATGCCCCAGTTGGGGGCAGAGCCAGGTGAGTAAGGAGGATAGAAAAGGAGTAACGCATGCCCACTGGCCAGGCAGACAAACTGAGGCTAGAGACCACCCACACAAGCAACCTTTTGTTGCATTCACCTTTATTTTTTATTTTTTTTTGAGACTGGAGTCTCACTCTGTCTCCCAGGCTGGAGTGCAGTGGCACAATCTCAGCTCACTGCAACCTCTGCCTCCCGGGTTCAAGCGATTCTCATGTCTCAGCCTCCTGAGTAGCTGGGATTACAGGTGCACACCACCACACCCGGTTAATTTTCGTATTTTTTTTTTTTTTTGTATTTTTGTATTTCGGCCAGTCTGGTCTTGAACTGCTGACCTCAAGTGATCTGCCTGCCTCGGCCTCCCAAAGTGCTGGGATTACAGGCATGAGCCACCACACCCAGCCCCGCATTCACCTTTAATACTGAGCATCCATTCTATGCGAGGCCCTGTCAGCAGGCTCAGCATAGGCAATGTCCCTGACCTTCAGGGACTATGGTCCACTCCATCATTCTGGCAGATTCAGAGGCTACAATAAAGGAGTAAAGTCTGAGGGTGGGGCACTTCCTGAAGACACATCTTTGCACTGGGGGAAGGGAGTACCAAGCAGAGAGCATAGCACGTGCAAAGGCCCAGAGGTACGATTAGTCCTGCAACTGGGAGGCCAAGGATCAGAGAGAGTGAGGGGAAGGAGGTCAGGGAAAGGAGGGTGTGGGCTCCATTCAGACAGAGGTGGGGAGCTGGAGGGGTGCATGCAGAGGCTGTAGGTCAGATCCAGATGTCCTAAGGATCCCTTGTGAGTATTGGTGGGGTGGGTCCATCTCTCCTCCCTCACACCCCCTTCCCAGCCAGTCTTAATAGTGGCTCATTAAGCCCTAACAGCCATGATAGTGGTAACAAGCATGTAATAATTATACCCGGCATTCCTGCCTCATCAGCCCAGCCCCTGGAGTTGGGCACCCTCGCCCAGGACATCACAGCCCTGGCAGACCTGGGGTTAAAACGTGGGCGGCGGAAGGAAGGGGCTGCGCAGGGGCCTGGACTCCCAGGTTCTAGGGTTCTAAGGGTGGACAAGAGCTCAGGCCTAGTCACAGCCCGGGCCCTGCTGTGACTCCTAGCTAACTCTCGGGGGATGGTCACTCCACCTCTCTGAGCCCAGTTTCCCATCTGTAAAGGCAGGAAGTAGGACTCCTGGTTCTAGAACGCACTCAGTGAAAATGATCAGGATCCAAGCGCTTTCAGCAACTTCTGGCGACCCTCCTCTCCCCTCCCGTCTCTTCCTGAGCAATCACACGCGGGGTGGAGGGAGGGAGGGAAGGAAGGAGGGAGGGTGAGGAACGCAGACCTCCCCACACCCCCGGCGAGCCCCCGGACACAGCCCCACCAGGCCTCCAGCCCCGTATCCGCACAAAGCCTCTCCAGAAGGCGCGCTAGGGGAGGCCCTGGCGGCACAGCAGAGCAGGAGGCGCCAAGGAGTTATTTAGCCATGCGGGACCCCATCCCCCTCCAGTCCCCGGAGGCCGGCACCGCCCCCGCCCCCGCCCCCGCCCGGCCGGGGCCCCACGCGCGGACACGGGGCGGGGCCTCGGGGCGGGCGGGCGCCTGGTGGCCCGGGCCCATCACGCCACCCGGGACGTGCCTTGGCGGAGGCGGCGCCGGGGAGATCGGTCGTACACAGCGGTCCCGGGGCGGGGTGACCCGGCCCGGGCGCGCGGCCGCCCCCATGACGTCAACCCACAAGGCAGCGCGCTGTTGTGGCGTTTACCGCGCGTCGCCGGGGCAACGGCGGCCGGGCGGGCGTCGGCGGCTTGGCCCCGCCCCTCCATGCAAATGAGCGACGTCACCCGCACCCAATGGCGAACGGGGGCGGTGAGCTCATCGCGCCGAGCCGAGGCTATAAGAGGGCGCACAAGTGGCGCGGCGCAGGAGCCGCCGCCAGTGGAGGGCCGGGCGCTGCGGCCGCGGCCGGGGCGGGCGCAGGGCCGAGCGGACGGGGGGGCGCGGGCCCCCCGGGAGGCCGCGGCCACTCCCCCCCGGGCCGGCGCGGCGGGGGAGGCGGAGGATGGAAACACCCTTCTACGGCGATGAGGCGCTGAGCGGCCTGGGCGGCGGCGCCAGTGGCAGCGGCGGCAGCTTCGCGTCCCCGGGCCGCTTGTTCCCCGGGGCGCCCCCGACGGCCGCGGCCGGCAGCATGATGAAGAAGGACGCGCTGACGCTGAGCCTGAGTGAGCAGGTGGCGGCAGCGCTCAAGCCTGCGGCCGCGCCGCCTCCTACCCCCCTGCGCGCCGACGGCGCCCCCAGCGCGGCACCCCCCGACGGCCTGCTCGCCTCTCCCGACCTGGGGCTGCTGAAGCTGGCCTCCCCCGAGCTCGAGCGCCTCATCATCCAGTCCAACGGGCTGGTCACCACCACGCCGACGAGCTCACAGTTCCTCTACCCCAAGGTGGCGGCCAGCGAGGAGCAGGAGTTCGCCGAGGGCTTCGTCAAGGCCCTGGAGGATTTACACAAGCAGAACCAGCTCGGCGCGGGCGCGGCCGCTGCCGCCGCCGCCGCCGCCGCCGGGGGGCCCTCGGGCACGGCCACGGGCTCCGCGCCCCCCGGCGAGCTGGCCCCGGCGGCGGCCGCGCCCGAAGCGCCTGTCTACGCGAACCTGAGCAGCTACGCGGGCGGCGCCGGGGGCGCGGGGGGCGCCGCGACGGTCGCCTTCGCTGCCGAACCTGTGCCCTTCCCGCCGCCGCCACCCCCAGGCGCGTTGGGGCCGCCGCGCCTGGCTGCGCTCAAGGACGAGCCACAGACGGTGCCCGACGTGCCGAGCTTCGGCGAGAGCCCGCCGTTGTCGCCCATCGACATGGACACGCAGGAGCGCATCAAGGCGGAGCGCAAGCGGCTGCGCAACCGCATCGCCGCCTCCAAGTGCCGCAAGCGCAAGCTGGAGCGCATCTCGCGCCTGGAAGAGAAAGTGAAGACCCTCAAGAGTCAGAACACGGAGCTGGCGTCCACGGCGAGCCTGCTGCGCGAGCAGGTGGCGCAGCTCAAGCAGAAAGTCCTCAGCCACGTCAACAGCGGCTGCCAGCTGCTGCCCCAGCACCAGGTGCCCGCGTACTGAGTCCGCGCGCGGGGCGCATGCGCGGCCACCCTCCCCAAGGGGCGGGCTCGCGGGGGGGTGTCGTGGGCGCCCCGGACTTGGAGAGGGTGCGGCCCTGGGGACCCCCCCTCCCCGAGTGTGCCCAGGAACTCAGAGAGGGCGCGGCCCCCGGGGATTCCCCCCCCCCGAGGGTGCCCAGGACTCGACAAGCTGGACCCCCTGCTCCCGGGGGGGCGAGCGCATGACCCCCCCGCCCTCGCGCTGCCTCTTTCCCCCGCGCGGCCGCCCCGTGTTGCACAAACCCGCGCGTCTCGGCTGCCCCTTTGTACACCGCGCCGCGGAAGGGGGCTCCGAGGGGGCGCAGCCTCAAACCCTGCCTTTCCTTTACTTTTACTTTTTTTTTTTTTTCTTTGGAAGAGAGAAGAACAGAGTGTTCGATTCTGCCCTATTTATGTTTCTACTCGGGAACAAACGTTGGTTGTGTGTGTGTGTGTTTTCTTGTGTTGGTTTTTTAAAGAAATGGGAAGAAGAAAAAAAAATTCTCCGCCCCTTTCCTCGATCTCGCTCCCCCCTTCGGTTCTTTCGACCGGTCCCCCCTCCCTTTTTTGTTCTGTTTTGTTTTGTTTTGCTACGAGTCCACATTCCTGTTTGTAATCCTTGGTTCGCCCGGTTTTCTGTTTTCAGTAAAGTCTCGTTACGCCAGCTCGGCTCTCCGCCTCCTTCTTCCCCCGCCGGGGCCTGGCGGGCTGGGCGGGGCCTGGTTCGCTTCCCCCCTACACCCCCGCCTTTCTCTCCTCCCTCTGTCCCTAGCTCCTCCCCTTGTTGGAGGGAGCAGAGAGCGGGTGTCTGAGAGCGGCCCGCACATCTGGCGCGCAGCGAGCGCCCCCTAGACGCGCCTTGGCGCGGGGCCGGCTGATGTCCAGGTTGGGGAGGGGTCTTGGGGTCTTTGATCTGCGTTTGGAACTAGCTAATGCCCCCTTGCCTTTTGGGAAGGAGAGATTTCGAGGTGGAAAGGGCACAGCCCCAGCCCAAAGCAGGAAGGAAGAGACAGAAACTTAGTAAACTTTTTAACCTTTTGGTCCTTGGTTTGCCTGTCCGTATAAAATGGGGAGAACAGTCGAAAAACTTGCCCCATAAAGTTGTGACGATTAAGAGAGTTTATGTTTACAGAGCAGTGCTTGGCTTACAGTGTAAGCTTTTCTCTTTTGGTGGATCGGGGGATGCTGAGGCCCAGGACAAGCTGATGGACCCAGTACCAGGAGGAAGTTGGCACAGGTGGGATCTAACCCAAGAGGTCTGCCTCCAGGACTGGGATTTTCCAAGTATCTCCCTGAAGTTCGCTTCTCCTCCTCCTCCCAACATCCTACTCCCTACTTTGAGGAAATCTAAGGTTCAGAGAGGTTGAGCAACTGGCTTGACATCACACAGCCTTTTAAGGAGACTGTGCAGAGATAGTCTGACCTTGGACTCCCTCACTTTCAGAGCTTTGACCCGAGGCTTCCTGCTTCTCCTGCCTGCTCTGCCCTTTGCTGTTAAGACCCTGCGCTTTGGGCTTCCAACTCATTGGGGACCCTGAGGGATGTGAACATTAGTGGCCGAGGTCACACAGCAAGTAGGGCTGGTGGCCATGTGTACCTAGCCAGCCCTGTTAGGGAGGGCCACTGAATTGTACCCATTTTACAGATGAAGAAACTTGGAGAGAATGGCCACCGTCCCTTGGTCATGGAGAAAGGCCTTGCCACCAACAGCTATGTTGGGGTTCATTTGTTTGAGACAGAGTCTCGCTCTGTCACCCAGACTGGAGTGCAGTGGCGCCATCTAGGCTCACTGCAACCTCTGCCTCCCCGGGCTCAAGTGATTCTCCTGCCTCAGCCTCCAAGTAGCTCAGATTACAGGTGCCCACCATGCTCGGCTACTTTTTTGTATTTGTAGTAGAGACAGGGTTTCACCATGTTGGTCAAGCTGGTCTGGAACTCCTGACCTCAAGTGGTCCACCCGCCTCGGCCTCCCAAAGTGCTGGGATTACAGGCGTGAGCCCCCACGTCCGGCCAGGGTTTGGTTTTTAGCTGTCACGTTGCCTTGTGGGAGGTCATGCAGACGTTTCAGCAGGGCCTGAAGGAACCTGCTGAAGGGAACTGAGGCTGAGGTGGGAGAGCAGGGGTGTCTTGACACACAAGAGACCAAGAACCACATCTCGGGCAGAGTGTCACTGGTTGGGAGACCGGGACCCAGCTTAGGTTCCAGTTGGCATTTGTGAGATCTCAGGCGAGTCCTCCTCCCCCGATGGCCTCTACATCCTGTGCTGTGAGATGCGGGTGTTTGCATCCAGCATAACATCTCTCAGGTCAGAAGTCAGAACTGGGAGGTGCTCAGGGGACGGACAACAGTGACCGCACTCAATGATGGTACCTACTGTGGCCCCCAATTAGTAGAGAAGGGGAAGGGAGGTTTTGAGACTTGCCCAACACCCCTGTTTTTTTTTTTTTTTTTTTTTGAGACAGAGTCTCGCTCTGTCTCCCAGGCTGGAGTGCAGTGGCGCAGTCTCGGCTCACTGCAAGCTTCGCCTCCTGGGTTCATGCCATTCTCCTGCCTCAGCCTCCTGAGTAGCTGGGAATACAGGCGCCCGCCACCACGCCTGGCTAATTTTTTGTACTTTTAGTAGAGATGGGGTTTCACCGTGTTAGCCAGGATGGTCTTGATCCCCTGACCTCATGATCCGCCCGCCTCGGCCTCCCGAAGTGCTGGGATTACAGGCGTGAGCCACCGTGCCCGGCCAACACCCCTGTTAAATGGCAGAGCAGCGATTCAAACCCAGGTCTCTTGCTTGCCTGCCCCCAAGTGGTCTAAGGCGAAAGGACTCTGAGGAGCCCTGCAGAGAGGTGGAGGACGTACTTTGTTTTTCTTTTTTTTTTTTGAGACTGAGTCTTCCTCTTGTCGCCCAGGCTGGAGTGCAATGGCCTGATCTTGGCTTACCGCAACCTCCACCTCCCAGTTTCAATCGATTCTCTTGCCTCAGCCTCTTGATTAGCTGGGATTACAGGTGTCTGCCACCATGCCCAGCTAAATTTTTTTTTTTGAGACGGAGTCTCGTTCTGTCTCCCAGGCTGGAGTGCGGTGGCGCGATCTCAGCTCACTGCAAGCTCTGCCTCCCTGGTTCATGCCATTCTCCTGCCTCAGCCTCCTGAGTAGCTGGGACTGCAGGCGCCCGCCACTATGCCCGGCTAATTTTTTTGTGTTTTTAGTAGAGACGGGGTTTCACCGTGTTAGCCAGGATGGTCTCGATCTCCTGACCTCGTGATCTGCCCGCCTCAGCTTCCCAAAGTTTCTGGGATTACAGGCGTGAGCCACCCTGCCTGGCTAAATTTTTTTTTGTATTTTTAGTAGAGACAGGGTTTCACCATGTTGCCCAGGCTGGTCTCGAACTCCTGACCTCAGGTGATCCACCCACCTTGGCTTCCCAAAGTGCTGGGATTACAGGCGTGAGCCACTGGGCCCCACAAGTTTGTTTTTTTTTTTCTTTACAAGATGAGGTCTCGCTCTTGCCTTGGCCAGAGTGCAGTGGCAAGACCACAGCTCACTGCAGCCTTGACCTCCTAGGCTCAACTGATTGTCCTGCCTCACCTCAGCCTCCCAAGTAGCTGGGACCACAGGTGCACGCCACCATGCCCTACTAATTTTTATTTTTATTTTTTCTTTGAGACGGAGTCTTGCTCTGCCGCCCAGGCTGGAGTGCAGTGGCGCCATCTCGGCTCATTGCAAGCTCCGCCTCCCAGGTTCACGCCATTCTCCTGCCTCAGCCTCCTGAGTAGCTGGGACTACAGGCGCCTGCCACCATGCCTGGCTAATTTTTTTGTGTTTTTAATAGAGATGGGCTTTCACCGTGTTAGCCAGGTTGATCTCGATCACCTGACCTCATGATCCGCCAGCCTTGGCCTCCCAAAGTGCTGGGATTACAGGCGTGAGCCACCACGCCCAGCCGCCCTACTAATTTTTAAATAATTTTTTTGTAGAGATGGGATCTATGTTGCCCAGGCTGGTTTTGAACTCCTGTGTTCAAGTGATCCTCCAACCTCGGTCTCCCAAAATGCTGGGACTACAGGTATTGAGCCACTGTACTCGGCCTCTTTTTTTTTTTTTTTTTTTTTTTTTTTTTTGAGTCAGGGTCTCTCATTCAGGCTGGAGTGCAGTGGTGCAATCTTGGCTCACTGTAGCCTCCACCTCCTGGGTTCAAGTGACTCTCCTGCCTCAGCCACCAAAGTAGCTGGGATTACAGGCATTTGCCATCATGCCTGACTAATTTTTGTATTATTAGTAGAGACGAGGTTTTGCCATATTGGTCAGGCTGGTCTCAAACTCCTGGGCTCAATCGATCTGCCCGCCTTGGCCTCCCAAAGTGCTGGGATTATAGGCATGAACCATCGCGCCCAGCGTCCCCAGCATTTATTGACACCTAGTTGAGGCCAGCCCTCCAGTCTGATGGGGGAGTCAAGCAGGCATGAGCTGTGATGTGAAGGGCTTTTTCTAAATCACAGATCTGACTCCTTACTTGAAACCTTTTTGGAAAAAGTCCTGACTGCACCAGTCCCTGGGCTGGCCAGTGTCTCCTTTCAGGAGCCTCTCCACCCAAATTCCCAATATCCTGCCTTCCTGGCCTCAGGGTCTTTGCACGGCTGCAGCTGTAGTTCTGTGCCAGCTACTCTTCCCCCAGTCATGCAGCTGAGCGCCACCTCCCAGCCTCAGCTGCACAGTCCTCGGAAGCCTGTCCCTAGTAACCCTCAGGCTAGGCCAGCACCTTACTGGGCTCCTACGGTCTCCAATTGCCCTGAGAACTCCCAGTTTGTGTTTAGCTCGTTGACAGCACAGAAGGGACCTGTTCTGATGAAACATCCAAAGGATGAGCTGGGTGCAGTGGCTCATGCCTGTAATCCCAGCACTTTGGGAGGCCGCAGCAGGCGGATCACTTGTGGTCAGGAGTTTGAGACCAGCCTGGCCAACATGGTGAAATCCTATCTCTACTAAAACTACATAAATCAGCTGGGCGTCATAGCATGCACCTGTAGTCCCAGCTACTCAGGAGGCTGAGGCACGAGAATCGCTTGAACCCGGGGAGGTGGAGGTTGCAGTGAGCTGAGATCGTAGCACTGCACTCCAGCCTGGGCAACAGAGCGAGACTCAATCTCAAAAAACAGACAAAGGATATAAACCCCACCCAACTGCCATCTGCCATGTCCCTGATTTTGTCCAAAGTCACACCCACAGTATAGGGAAGGTTTTGGAGGGGGTGATCGCTGCAGAGGGAGGTCAGGCACCCCTGCTGGTTCTTGTCCCGGCAACCCCCAGCGGCTCCCCAAGGAAGCCAGGCAGAGGCTTCTGGGCCAGGCTGGCTTTGGCTGGAGCCAGCTGCACTGAGTCCAAGGTGCGTGTCAGCCTTGGCCCAGCCAGCGGTGACTCATGCTGGGCCCCAGCCCAGCCCCAGGAGGTGATCCAGGACAGCAGCCTGACTTCCCCTTATAGCGCTGCGGCTCAGGGTCAGTACCCACTTTTGCCGGGCCCAGTGGGGATCCCAAGAGATCAAGTCCGGCCCCACCCCAAGGAGCCCGCAGTCTCAGAGCCACACCCAAGACATCAGTGAGAACCCTGACTGGCCCGTTGCACCCCCTTTTTGGTCCCTTCCCATCTAGCCATTTTACAGCCTCAAATTCTTTGAGTTGTTTGTATCCCCAGACATGGGGCAAATTCCAGCATATAGTAGGTGCTCAGAAAATGCCCGTGGGATGAAAGACTGAAACTGCCTCTAGGTACATGGAGGGGGAGATTTGGGGTTCCCTCTGTGCTGAGAACCCTTTGTACTCAGGATGAGCCGGTGTAGGTAGCAACCACCATGACCTTTGGCCCTGCCCTGCATCCTGTTCCCCAACCTCTGGCTGTGCCTTCTAGAATCCCCACCCCCTAAGAGCTGCCAGGGATTGGCCAGAACTTGGCTTTGAGTCACAAAGCTGCTGCGGCACCAGGGCTCCAAGACTGGCCGTTCAGACTGCTAGGTTTAGCTTCAGGGGCAGGTGAGTGGGGCTGGTGGCTTTGGGGGCGGGTGAGTGGGGCTGGTGGCTTCAGGGGCGGGTGAGTGGGGCTGGTGGAGGACTTGTTTGCGAGGGTTCGTGGGGGACCCTGTCGTTCTCCTCTGGCCCCCAGTGCCTTTAGAGCCCTTCTGGGCCTTCTGGGTGACTGCAAATGATGGGTCAGCTCCTTGGCCCCTCACAGCAGGGGCTCTAGGGACCTCTAAAGCCTTGATGGTGGATTTGTTCACCTGTGATGGGGGACATCATGGAGAGCCTGTTATGTCTCTTTATTATTATTTTTTTAAATAAATAGAGACATGTTGCCCAGGCTGTTTTCAAACTCTTGGGCTGCAGCGATCCTCCCACCTTGGTCCCCCAAAGTGCTTGGATTACGGGCAGGAGCCACTGCGCCCAGCTGAGCCTGTTGTGTCTCTTTGGCAACCTGAGGATGGTGATCTTATGTCTTGTGACAGATAGGGAAATTGAGGCTCAGAGGGGTTTACTCAAAATTACCGAGCCAGTCGCTTGGCTTCTGTGTCCAGGGGGCCCCTGTTCCTTCTTCTCATCCCCCACAATCCCGTTTCTCACCCCTTCTGGTTGAGTTCCTCTAAAGAGCTGCACCGTTTGGTTGATGAAACCTCAGCCCCTGGAATGGGCCCATTCAGCTCCCAGAGCTGCTGTCTCCCGGGTTCAAGTGATTTTCCTGCCTCAGGAGTTCGAGACCAGCCTGACCCATATGGTCAAACCCCATCTCTACTAAAAATTCAAAAATTAGGCCGGGCAAGGTGGCTCACGCCTGTAACGCCAGCACTTTGGGAAGCCAAGGCGGGCAGATCACCTGTGATCAGGAGTTCAAGACCAGCCTGACCAACATGGAGAAACCCCATTTCCACTAAAAATACGAAATTAGGTGTGGTGGCGCATGCCTGTAATCCTAGCTATTTGGGAGGCTGAGGCAGGAGAATCGCTTGAACCTGGAGGCAGAGGTTGCAGTGAGCCAAGATGGCGCCATTGCACTCCAGCCTGGGCAACAAAAGTGAAATTCCGTCTCAAAGAGAATAATAATAATAATTAGGCCGGGCATGGTGACTCATGCCTGTAATCCCAGCACTTTGGGAGGCCGAGGCGGGCGGATCACTTGAGGTCAGGGGTTCGAGACCAGTCTGGCCAACATGGCGAAACCCCAACTCTACTAAAAATACAAAAGTTAGCCAAGTGTGGTGGCAAGTGCCTGTAATCCCAGCTACTCGGGAGGCTGAGACAGGAGAATCACTTTGAACCTGGGAGGCGGAGGTTGCAGTGAGCCAAGATCGTGCCACTGCACTTCAGCCTGGGCAACAGAGCAAGATTCCGTCCATCTCAAAAAAATAAAAATAATAAATATATGTGTGTCAATTATCCATGCATTGCCTCTTGTCTCCGAATGGACCCTTTCAATATGTGATAAACAAAGGAATTTCTTTCGTTATGTCTTGTTTAAAGTGAGCACAATGCTCGGCCAGGCGCGGTGGCTCACGCCTGTAATCCCAGCACTTTGGGAGGCCGAGGTGGGCGAATCACGAGGTCAGGAGATGGAGACCATCCTGGCTAGCATAGTGAAACCCCGTCTCTACTAAAAATACAAAATATTAACTGGGCGTGGTGGCAGGCGCCTGTAGTCCCAGCTACTCAGGAGGCTGAGGCAGGAGAATGGCGTGAACCCGGGAGGCAGAGCTTGCAGTGAGCCGAGATGGTGCCAGTGCACTCCAGCCTGGGAGACAGAACGAGACTCCGTCTCAAAAAAAAAAAAAAAGTGAGCACAATGCTAAGATTTCTCAATAGAGGGCGCTGGTGAGGCATTAGGGATAGAGGTGTGAAGACACCAGGTGAAGCCTGCCCGAGCCCTGGATCCAGAACGTGGTCCTGTGACTTTGCAGTCTTGACCTGGTGAAAACCTTTCTGCAGCCCTCTCAACACACACAAAAAACAGAGCCCCTAAGGCCGGGCGCGGTGGCTCATGCCTGTAATCCCAGCACTTTGGGAGGCCAAGGTGGGTGGATCACCTGTGGTCAGGAATTTGAGACCAGCCTGACCAATATGATGAAACCCCATCTGTACTAAAAATACAAAAATTTGCTAGGCGTGGTGGCAGGTGCCTGTAATCCCAGCTGCTCAGGAGGCTGAGGTAGGAGAATCGCTGGAAACCGAGAGGTAGAGGTTGCAGTGAAAGGAGATCGCGCCACTGCACTCCAGCCTGGGCGACAAGAACAAAACTCAAAAGAGAGAGAGAAAAAAAAAAAGGCCAGGCGCGGTGGCTCACGCCTGTAATCCCAGCACTTTGGGAGGCCGAGGCAGGCGAATCACCTGAGATCAGGAGTTTGAGACCAGCCTGGCCAACATGGTGAAACCCCGTCCCTCCAAAAACAAAACAAAACAAAACAAACAAAATTAGCTGGGTGTGGTGGGATTCATGCCTGTAATCCCAGCTACTCGGGAGGCTGAGGCAGGAGAATCGCTTGAACCCAGGAGGCGGAGGTTGCAGTGAGCCAAGATGCTGAGTGCCGCTGCACTCCAGCCTGGGGGACAGAGTGAGACTCTGTCTCAAAAATCATAAATAAATAAATGATAATAAACGAACAGAGCCCCCACGGTGGCCCATACACATTGAAGGCCTCCTGCCCCAGCAACACTTAGGTTTCCAGTGCACATCCAGAGCACCAACTGTTGATAACCTGTTCCCACATCTGCACCCTGGAGGGTGGGCCTTTTGCTTGTTTTGCAACTCCAGACCAGCTCTGGCTTGGCCGATCCAGCAATTATCTCCGTTAACTTGTTAGGCGGGACCATACTTTCTCCAAGGAAGTCTGAATGCTCTCCAAATTTGCCCCTTTTTTGGGGATACTCCCTCAGCCCTAAAGTACCACATAGAGTTTCCTTTTATCTTTTTTTTTTTTTTTTGAACTGAGTTTCGCTCAGTCACCCAGGCTGGTGTGCAATGGTATGATCTCAGCTCACTGCAACCTTTGCCTACTGGGTTCAAGAGATTCTCCCGCCTCAGCCTCCTAAGTAGCTGGGATTACAGGCACCTGCCATCATACCTGGCTAATTTTTGTATTTTTAGTAGAGACAGAGTTTCACCATGTTGGCCAGGCTGGTCTTGAACTCCTGACCTCACGTGAGCCACCCACCTCGGCCTCCCAAAGCACTGGGATTACAGGCGTGAGCCACTGCGCCTGGTTTTTTTTTTTTTTTTTTGAGACAGAGTCTCACTCTGTCGCCCAGGCTGGAGTGCAGTTGCGTGATCTCGGCTCACTGCAATCTCCATCTCTCGGGTTCAAGTGATTCTCCTGCTTCAGCCTCTGAAGTAGCTGGGATTACAGGTGCATGCCACTGTGCCTGGCTAAGTTTTGTATTTTTAGTAGAGACGGGGTTTCACCATGTTGGCCAGGCTGTTCTCGAACTCCTGACCTTGTGATCCACCTGCCTTGGCCTCCCGAAGTGCTGGGATGACAGGTGTGAGCCACCATGCCTGGCCTCCCAGGTTACCTTTTATCTTATACTTACTCTTTAATCACAATCTTTTTTTTTTTTTTTTTGAGACAGGGTCTCAGCCAGGCACCGTGGCTTACACTTGTCATCCCAGCTACTTGGGAGACTGAGGCACAAGAATCACTTGAACCTGGGAAGCAGAGGTTGCAGTGAGCCGAGATTGTGACGCTGCACTCCAGCCTGGGCAAAAGGGTGGGACTCTGTTTTAAAAACAAAAAAGAGATAGGGTCTCATTCTGTCGCTCAGGCTCGAGTGCAGTGGTGCCATCGTAGCTTACTGCAGTCTCAACCTCCTGGCCTCAAATGATCCTCCTGTCTCAGCCTCCCGAGTAGCTGGGACTACAGGTGCATGTCACCATGACTGGCTAATTTTTATGTTTTTAGTAGAGACGGGTTTTACCATGTTGCCCAGGCTGGTCTGGAACTCCTGGCCTCAAGTGACCCACCCACCTTGGCCTTCCAAATTGCTGGGGTTACAGACGTGAGCCACTGTGCCCGGCCTATTTTTTTTTTTTTTTTGAGACAGTTTTGCTCTTGTTGCCCCAGATGGAGTACAATGGCACGATCTCAGCTCACTGAAATCTCTGCCTCCCAGGTTCAAGATATTCTCCTGCCTCAGCCTCCTGAGTAGCTGGAATTACAGGCGTCAACCACTATGCCTGGCTAATTTCTTGTATTTTTAGTAGAGACGGGGTTTTACCATGTTGGCCAGGCTGGTCTCGAACTCCTGACCTCAGGTGATCCACCCTCCTCGGCCTCCCAGAGTGCTGGAATTACAGGCGTGAGCCACGCCTGGCCAATTTTTTTTTTTTTTTTTTTTTTTTTTTAAGAGACAGTTCTTGCTTAGTTTCCCAGGCTGGTCTCAAACTTCTGTCCTCAAGTGATCCTCCCATCTTGGCCTCCCAAAGTGCTGGGATTGCAGGCAAGAACCACTGTGCTCAGCCTGGACGCCATTTCTGATGCCTGGATATCATGCCCTTGTATGATTAATTTAAGCCTGTCTCCATTGATAATTTTGGTTTCTTCCAGTTTTTCCTCTGCTAAACAATACAGTGTTAAACATCCTTGAACATACTTCTGTATTCATTTGTAGCAGAACCTCTACCAATCACTGTTTTGGTTATTTCCAGTTGTTTTGTTTGATTTCTAGCTACAAAATAACACTGGAATAAATTTCCTCATCTTTGCACATTTTTTTTTTTTTTTAGAATTTAGCTTTTTTAGAATTTAGAAATTTTAGAATTTAGCATTTTTGCTTTTAACATTTCTTTTTGTGTTGGTCTTGAGCCAGCCCAGGGCAGTGTTGCTGCATATTGCATGGATGAAAGGCTGAAGGCTGCCTCCTCTTGCAGGCTGGCTTCTGAGATTGCACCTTCTTCTCCTGCTACTCCTCCAAATCTATGACCCTTCAAGGTAAGAAGATGGTCTATGGGCAAGGGGTCTGGCTAGTCCAACCTGAAGAGAGGGGCTTCTGCCAAACAAGTGTGCTGTGCTCCAGGCTATGCATCAGGGTGGCTTGACAGTGTCCCAGCTCTCTCTGCATCCTAGTTACTTCTGAAAGCCACAGTCACCACTTTTTCTTCCTTCTTTCCATCCTTCCATATGCCATTTACCTACCCATCCCCTAATCCACCCACCCACCCATCCACCCATCAGTCTACCTCCTGTTGGGTTATCTCTTCACCAGTCTTTCCAGCTCTCTTTAATTTCCCTCCCTCCCTTGCTTCCTTCCTTCTTTCCTTTTATTTGACACGGAGTTTCACTTCTGTTGCCCAGGCTGGAGTGTGATGGCGTGATCTTGGCTCACTGCAACCTCCTCCTCCCGGGTTCAAGCAATGCTCCTGCCTCAGCCTCCCGACTAGCTGGGACTACAGGCTCATGCCACCATACCTGGCTCTTTTTTTTTTTTTTTTTTTTGAGACAGAGTCTTGCTCTGTCACCCAGGCTGGAGTGAGGTGGCGCGATCTCGGCTTACTGCAACCTCTGCCTACCGGGTTCAAACAATTCTCCTGCCTCAGCCTCCTGAGTAGCTGGGATTACAGGCACGAGCCACCATGCCGAGCTAATTTTTGTATTTTCAGTAGAGATGGGGTTTCACCACGTTAGCCAGGCTGGTCTCAAACTCCTGACCTTGTGATCCGCTCACCTCGGCCTCCCAAAGTGCTGGGATTACAGGCATGAGCCACTGTGCCTGGCCTACTTTTCTGTATTTTTAGTAGAGACGGGTTTCACCATGTTGGCCCGGCTGGCCTCGAACTCCTGACCCCAAGCAATCTGCCCACCTTGGCCTCCCAAAGTGCTGGAATGACAGACATGAGCCACCGTGCCGGGCCAATTTGCCTTTAACACTTTATTCATCAGCTTTATTTACCTATTCATCCAAACCTTCATCTGTCTTTCCAACCCATCTACCATTCACTCATCGACTGATTCATCCATTCAGTATCTAGTCCTGTATCTATCTGTCCATCCAACTTCCAATCCACTCACCATTTATCAGTCAAGATGCCCCCCCCACCCAATACCTACCCATTCACAGCTTGGAACCAAGCTCTATGACTGAGATGGGGACACAGAAATGACTCTGTCTTCTAGGATTCACAATCAATGGGGAGAGGCAAATAATCTCCCCCACCACACTTCTCTCTCTCTCTTTTTCAAACACACACACACACACACACACACACACACACACACACACACAGAGGCAAACAGGAAATTTCCAAAACATTGTGATCAGTGCTAAACCCAGGGTACATCCAAGATAAAGTTTGAAAAGCAGGCCGGGCGCGGTGGCTCACACCTGTAATCCCAGCACTTTGGGAGGCTGAGTCAGGTGGATCACCCGAGGTCGGGAGTTCGAGACCAGCCTGGCCAACATGGTGAAACCCCGTCTTTACTAAAAATACAGAAAAGTAGCCAGCCAGGCATGGTGGCGTGCACCTGTAATCCCAGCTACTCGGGAGGCTGAGGCAGGAGAATCGCTTGAACCCAGGAGGCGGAGGTTGTGGTGAGCCAAGATCACAGCATTGCACTCCAGCCTGGGCAACAAGAGCAAAACTCTGTCTCAAAAAAAAAAAAAAAAAGAAAAGAAAAAAGAAAAGCAGGTAAGTGGTCGGGCATTCAGGTGTCATACACTGTGTGCCAAGATGAAGTGGCCGTAGGGTGATGAGAGGTGGATATAAGGATGGCAAAGACCACTTGGGAGAGGGAGGGATGGAAAAAGGGAGGCGGAAGATCGCAACGTGCCAGGAACAAGATCTGGGCCTGGGGGGCCAGTGTCCACCCCAGCCAGGAGACCTCTTGTTTGCAGGACCTGCTACACCCTGACCACCCCCTGCCGCCCCCACAGGCAGAGCTGACCTGTCCGGTAATCAAGGCAATGCAGCCGGCCGCCTAGCTACAGTTCACGAGCCAGTTGTCACCCAGTGGGCGGTGCATCCTCCAGCCCCCGCTCACCCCAGTCTCCTGGACAAAATGGAGAAAGCGCCTCCACAGCCCCAGCACGAGGGCCTCAAGTCCAAGGAGCATCTTCCGCAACAGCCTGCCGAAGGCAAGACGGCGTCCCGCCGCGTCCCACGCCTCCGGGCTGTGGTCGAGAGCCAGGCCTTCAAGAACATCCTGGTAGACGAGATGGACATGATGCACGCCCGTGCAGCCACGCTCATCCAAGCCAACTGGAGGGGCTATTGGCTCCGGCAGAAGCTGATTTCCCAGATGATGGCGGCCAAGGCCATCCAGGAGGCCTGGCGGCGCTTCAACAAGAGACACATCCTTCACTCCAGCAAGTCGTTGGTAAAGAAAACGAGGGCGGAGGAGGGGGACATACCTTATCACGCCCCACAGCAGGTGCGCTTCCAGCATCCGGAAGAGAACCGCCTTCTGTCCCCGCCCATCATGGTGAACAAGGAGACCCAGTTCCCTTCCTGTGACAATCTGGTCCTCTGCAGACCCCAGTCGTCCCCCCTCCTGCAGCCCCCAGCAGCTCAGGGTACCCCAGAGCCCTGTGTGCAGGGTCCTCATGCTGCCAGAGTCCGGGGGCTGGCCTTCCTGCCACACCAGACGGTCACCATCAGATTTCCCTGCCCAGTGAGTCTGGACGCAAAATGCCAGCCATGCCTGCTGACCAGAACCATCAGAAGCACCTGCCTCGTCCACATAGAGGGTGACTCAGTGAAGACCAAACGTGTAAGTGCCCGGACCAACAAAGCCAGGGCTCCGGAGACACCATTGTCCAGAAGGTATGACCAGGCAGTTACGAGACCATCCAGAGCCCAAACCCAGGGCCCTGTGAAAGCAGAGACCCCCAAAGCCCCCTTCCAGATATGTCCAGGGCCCATGATCACCAAGACTCTACTCCAGACATATCCAGTGGTCTCCGTGACCCTGCCACAGACATATCCAGCGTCCACGATGACCACCACCCCACCCAAGACTAGCCCAGTTCCCAAAGTAACAATAATCAAGACCCCAGCCCAGATGTATCCGGGGCCCACAGTGACCAAAACTGCACCTCACACATGCCCCATGCCCACAATGACCAAGATCCAGGTACACCCCACAGCCTCCAGAACTGGCACCCCACGGCAGACATGCCCTGCGACCATCACGGCAAAGAACCGACCTCAGGTTTCCCTTCTGGCTTCCATCATGAAGAGCCTGCCCCAGGTATGCCCGGGGCCTGCGATGGCAAAGACCCCACCCCAGATGCACCCGGTCACCACCCCAGCCAAAAACCCATTGCAAACATGTCTGTCAGCCACAATGTCCAAGACTTCATCCCAGAGGAGCCCAGTTGGGGTGACCAAGCCCTCACCCCAGACCCGCCTGCCAGCCATGATAACCAAGACCCCAGCCCAGTTACGCTCGGTGGCCACCATCCTCAAGACTCTGTGTCTGGCCTCTCCAACAGTGGCAAATGTCAAGGCTCCACCCCAAGTGGCGGTAGCAGCCGGAACTCCCAACACCTCAGGCTCCATCCATGAGAACCCACCCAAGGCCAAGGCCACCGTGAATGTGAAGCAGGCTGCAAAGGTGGTGAAAGCCTCATCCCCCTCCTATTTGGCTGAGGGGAAGATCAGGTGCCTGGCTCAACCACATCCGGGAACTGGGGTCCCCAGGGCTGCAGCTGAGCTTCCTTTGGAAGCCGAGAAAATCAAGACTGGCACCCAGAAACAGGCGAAAACAGACATGGCATTTAAGACCAGTGTGGCAGTGGAAATGGCTGGGGCTCCATCCTGGACAAAAGTTGCTGAGGAAGGGGACAAGCCACCTCACGTGTATGTGCCTGTAGACATGGCTGTCACCCTGCCCCGGGGACAGCTGGCTGCCCCACTGACCAATGCCTCATCCCAGAGACATCCACCCTGCCTGTCCCAGAGACCACTGGCCGCCCCGCTGACCAAGGCCTCATCTCAGGGACATCTGCCCACTGAGCTGACCAAGACCCCATCCCTGGCCCATCTGGACACCTGTCTGAGCAAGATGCATTCCCAGACACATCTGGCCACAGGTGCCGTGAAGGTCCAGTCCCAAGCGCCTCTAGCCACCTGTCTGACCAAGACGCAGTCCCGGGGGCAGCCGATCACAGACATAACCACGTGCCTCATCCCAGCGCACCAGGCTGCTGATCTCAGCAGCAACACCCACTCCCAGGTGCTCCTAACAGGGTCCAAGGTGTCCAACCACGCCTGCCAGCGCCTCGGTGGCCTCAGCGCCCCACCCTGGGCCAAGCCAGAGGACAGACAGACCCAGCCACAGCCCCACGGACACGTGCCGGGGAAGACCACTCAGGGGGGACCATGCCCGGCAGCCTGTGAGGTCCAGGGTATGCTGGTGCCGCCGATGGCACCCACCGGCCATTCCACATGCAACGTTGAGTCCTGGGGAGACAACGGAGCCACACGTGCCCAGCCATCAATGCCCGGCCAGGCGGTGCCCTGCCAGGAGGACACGGTAGGCTCCCTGCTGGCCTCCTTGTGTGCTGAAGTAGCTGGTGTGCTGGCATCCCAGGAGGATCTCCGCACTCTGTTGGCCAAAGCCCTCTCCCAGGGAGAAGTCTGGGCAGCTCTGAACCAGGCCCTGTCCAAGGAGGTCCTGGGTGCCACTGTCACCAAAGCCCTGCCCCAGAGCATGCTGAGCATGGCGCTGGTGAAGGCGCTGTCCTGGAGTGAGCTGCGCCTGACCCTGTCCCGAGCCCTGTCCCGGGGCGAGCTGCGGGCGGAACTCACCAAGGTCATGCAGGGTAAATTGGCCGAGGTGCTTAGCAAGGCTTTGACGGAGGAGGAGTGGGTGGCTCTGAGCCAGGCCCTGTGTCAGGGTGAGCTGGGTGCTCTCCTGAGCCAGTCTTGGTGTCGGGTGGCCCTGAGGACTGGAACCATCCTCCCCAAGGCCGCCTCGAAATCAACAGGAAGCGGGGTGACTAAGACGCCGGCCCTGGTGAAGGTGGCCTGCAGGAGGAGTCCATCGGCCGCATGGGGGCCCTCCCTGGGCCCCGTGAGACCACAGACCAGCAAGGTCAGGGATTCCCAGGTTGGGATCTGGGGTTGTTTCACCATGGGCCAACCTGCCGGGCCCTTGGAGGAGATGGGGGATTGATGGGGCCATCTTGTGGGGGTCACCCTGCTTATCTGTGGTCACTGTGGGAGCCTCGGTGATGGGTAGCGTCATCACCAGCATTCACCAGGGTCCCCTGATCACTGGCCTGTATCCCATGCTGTCCCGGGAGATGATGGAGTCCAGCAGGGACTTCTCCTCAAACCTGGATTTGAGCCCCAAGTTCCAAAAGGAAGAAGCATGCCCGACCCTGGAGCCTGGCACATTGGCATCAGATTTTAACCCCGAGGGGAGTGGGGAGGGCCCCAGTTTGCTCAAGCTGTCCCACATGCAGCCACCCCCGAGTCTGTGGCAGCCTCTCATTGCCAACTGTGTGGGCCCAAGCATGAACCAGCCCTCTGTGATCTATGGCACAGCCCCGAGCTGCCACAGGCCACATGTGGTCAGCAGGGTGGCCTCTTATCTATCGACCAGGGAGGGCAGGGTGGCCTCGGGTAGGCTTCCTTGCAGCGTGGGTGGTGGGAGGGCTGCCCATGTTCACCAGCCTTACCTCACCTGTGGGGGCCTGCCTTGGTGTCAGTCCTCAGGGGTACATCGTGGTCTCTACCAACCCTTAGTGGCCAGAGGCCAGCAGCAGGCATCCAGGGCTTCCAGGGAGAGCCTGGGGAGGAGGTATCAGCCCCCAAATCGCAAACAGGCCCCCCCGGGTACTAGGGAGGTGATAGACAAGGGGGCCCCAAGTCCCTTGCAGGTCACCATGGTGACCAAAACTCAGGCATCCAAGACTCATGGTCTGTTTCAAGCTTCCCCCGGCAGTGCATTGGCTCAAGTTCGTCCCAAGACATCTGTCTGTGGACAGGGGAGGAATCGAACACAGGGTTCTGTGTCTGCCCTGCTCTGCCCCCAGAAGCTAGCAACAGACCACCAGCCATCCATCCTCGGTGAGCCAGTAGGTGGTTTGCCACAGGATCGAGACGGTGACCTGGCCAGGAGCTTCTCCCAGGGCTTTGTGACCTACAGTCAGGAGAACAATTCCGAAAGCTCTCTGCAAAGTTCTAGTTCCCTCAGCCTTTCCACTATGTCTGTGGCCAGCCTGCCTGCCGTCAACAAGATAGATGAGTCACGGGAAAGCAGTTTAGAAGGGGACCTTGCGGTGAAGTCTGTTTTTCCTCCGGAGTCCATGGGGACACTCCAGAGGTTTAAGGATACGCAAGAGACTGAAACCGGCTATAGGTACATGACCCTACACTTCCCCTACCGGCCCACTCCAGCCTCGGAGAAAGTGCCCAGTTTCCAACACAGCTCAGTGTCTAACTGCTTGACCTTGCGTGTTCACTGGGGCTCAGAGGCTGAGATCCACAAGTTCTCCTTAGGCAAGAGCTCTGTGAATCTGATTGAGGTGTCCCAGGCAACCGTCAAGACAGAGCTGAGGAGGACTCTGTCTTTAGGTACTGTGGTCTCCACTGCATATAAGCCACCATCTGTGGCCAAGAGCTTGGCCCCAATTGTGTCCCAGGCTACACTGGCCAGTAGGGTAGCCCCAAACCTAGGCCAGGCATCAGGGTTCAGTAGGCTGGCCCCAAGCCTATCCCAGCATATAGCATCCAGTAAGGTATCCCCAAGGCTAACCTGCCCATCTATGGGTAATTGGGTGACCCCAAGGCTACCACACTCCTCTGTGCCTAATAGAGTGACACCAAGACCAGCACAGCCATCTGTGGTGACTAGGAGGTCCCCAAGCCGAGGACACCCATCAAGGACCTTTAGAGTGGCCTCAGACCAAGGTCACCAATCAATGGCTAACTGGGGGTCCCAAAACCTAGCCCAGCCATCTATGGACAGTGGGGAGCCCTCAAGCCTAGCCCAGCCATCTCAAGCCCCTGGGGTAACCTCAAATCTGGCCCAGCCATCTCAAGCCTTTGGGGTGTCTCCAAGTCCAGACTACCCATCTCAGTCTGTTGGGGAGTACCCAATGCTGGCTCAGCCATTTCAGCCCACTGAGGTGTCCCCAAGTCCAACCTACCCATCTCAGGCCATTAGGGAGTACCCAACCCTGGCACAGCCATTTCAGCCCACTGAGGTATCTCCAAGCCCAGCCCACCCATATCAGCTCACTGAGGTGTCCCCAAGTGCAGCCTACTCATATCAGCCCACTGAGGTGTCCCCAAACCCAGGCTACCTATCTATGGCCATTGAGATGTCCCCAAGCCCAGAATACCCATCTGTGGCCACTGAGGTGTCCCCAAGCCCAACCTACCCATATCAGCCCACTGAGATATCCCCAAGCTCAGGCTACCTATCTGTGGCCACTGAGGTGTCCCCAAGCCCAGGCTACCCATCTCAGCTCACTGAGGTGTCCCCAAGCTCAGGCTACCTATCTGTGGCCACTGAAGTGTCCCCAAGCCCAGACTACTCATCTCAGCCTACTGAGATGTCCCCAAGCTCAGGCTACCTATCTATGGCCACTGAGGTGTCCCCAAGCCCAGGCTACCCATTTCAGCCCACTGAGGTGTCCCCAAGCCCAGACTATCCATGTGTGGCCACTGGGGAGTCCCCTAGCCTTGCCCAGCCATCTCAGCCCACTGAGGTGTCCCCAAGCTCAGCCTACCCATCTGTGGTCACTGGGGAGTCTCCAAGCCTGGCCCAGTCATATCAGCGCACTGAGGTGTTCCCAAGCCCAGCCTACCCATTTATGGCCACTGAGGTGTCCCCAAGCCCAGGCGACCCATCTGTGGTCACTGGGGAGTCCCCAAGCCCAGCCTACCCATCTCAGCCCACTGAGATGTCCCCAAGCCCAGCCTACCCATCTCAGCCCACTGGGGAGTCTCCAAGCCTGACCCAGCCATCTCTGACCATCAGAGTGTCCCCAAGCCTAGCCATGTCATCTCAGACTAT
The DNA here is from genome assembly GCF_000001405.40 of Homo sapiens. Lineage (NCBI taxonomy): Eukaryota > Metazoa > Chordata > Mammalia > Primates > Hominidae > Homo > Homo sapiens. The sequence continues at coordinate 18,261,428 of NC_000019.10, read as the reverse complement.
TGGAGTGTCCCCAAGCCTAGCCATGCCATCTCAGACCATTGGAGTGTCCCCAAGCCTAGCCATGCCATTTCACACCATTGGAGTGTCCCCAACCCTAGCTCACCCATCTATGGCCATTCGGGAGTCTCCAAGCCTGGCCCAGCCTCCTCAGTCCACTGGGGAATCCCCAAGCTTGACCTGGCCATCTCAGGCCACTGGGGTGTCCCCAAGTGTAGCCCACCAATCTGTGGCCAGTAGGGTTTCCTCAAGCCTAGCCCAGCCATCTCAAGCCAGTGGGATGTCCCCTAGACAAGATTACCCACCAGTGGCCTCCAGGGTGTCCCCAAACCAAGCTCACGCATCTATAACCAGCAGGATGTCCCCTAGCAGAGCTCATGCATCTATGACCTGTATGGTGTCCCCAAGCCAGGTTCATCGATCTATGCCCAGTGAGGTGTCCCCAAGCCTTGCCCAGCTATCTCAGGCCACCACTGCAGTGCCCTTAAGACCAGCTCATCAACCTATGGCCTGTGGTGTATCCCCAAGCCTAGCCCAGCCGTCTCAAGCCACAGGGATGTCTTCAAGGCTAGCCCACCAACCTATGACCTGTGTGGTGTCCTTAAGCCCAGCCCAGCCATCTCAAGCCATTGGTGTGTCCCCAAGCCTAGCCCACCCATCAGGACCCCATGGGTTGTCTCCAAGTCTAGCTCACCCATATGTGGCCAGTGGGGCGGGCTCCAGCCTAGCCCACCCATCTCAGACCACTGCAGTATCCCCAAGGCAAGCCCAACCATCTGTGGCCTCCAGTCCAGGCAAGACAAATTCATCCTGTACCCTAGCCTCCAGCCTAGCCGAGCCAGCTATAGCCCCCAGCCTATTCCCACCATCTGTGGCCCACACGGAAGCCCTAAGCCTGGCTCAGTCACCCCCGGACACTAGGTTGGCCCCAAGCCGATCCCAGCCATCTGTGGTCAGTGGTACATGTCATGGCCTCAATGAGCCATGCTGGGGCTCTAGGCTGGATTCAAATCTGCAGTGTTCAAGGGTGGACTCAGTAGCCCCGTGTCTGTGTCACCCATCAGCGTTTGTTTCAGTTAGCCTGGGTGGACCATATCCCTCTGTGGCTGGAAATATGGACCAGGGTCTGAACCAGCCATCCCTGGGTACTGGGGTGAACCTATGTGAAGAACCTCTGATGGTTAGTGAGATGGTATCCAGCCCCCCGGACTTCAAGTTCAACGACGTGTCCCTTGGGTTCCATCATCCACCCAGGGTTGGTGGGAGGCATGTGTGTCCACCCTCTGTGGTTAGTGTTTCAACACCAAATCTCTCTCATGCTGATGAGGAGGCCTGTTGTGTAGGCCAGTGAATCACGCCTCTGTTCAGGGGTGTGGCTGTAAGCCATCCCCAGGAGCCTTTGGCTGATGCTATGTTCCCCAGTGGGTCTCAGGGGACCACATCTCCTGGCCTAGCTGGGAATCTCCCCTGGAGAACCATAGCAACTGGCATGGGCCAAAGTCAATGTCAGGTGGCCAATGGCATGGCTTCCCTTGCATCCCAGGTCTTAGAGGCAGGTGGCCCTTTGACACATCCCTCTGGAACCACAGGGATGGCCCCCAGCCCCTCTCTGGCTTCAGTGCCCAACAGACTGGCCGTGACTCAGTCTAATCTTTCCCTGAACAGCATGGACCCCAGCAGCTCCCAGATCAGTGTGGTTATTCCAAAAAACATAGACTGCTGGCACCCTTCTGAGGCATCCATGGTCCCACCCAGTTACCAGCAGAGAGATGTGATTCCGCAGGACTCTCTGAAGAGCAGGGCTGGTCGTGGTGCGGCAGGAGGTTTTGTAGCCAGTAGAATGAGCACGGGCGCAGTCCCAGGCACTCTGCCTGGTGGCATAACCTCCAGCCTTCCCCCGGGCTCCACCATCCGAGGCATGGGTCACAGCCTTCCCGCAGGCTCTGTGTCCAGTTGGGTGGCTCCCAGTCTGATGGCAGACAGAAAGAAGCCAAGTCTATCTGTAAGACCCTCCGCTAGCTTAGCTGCTCCAAACTTGCTCCCAGGTTCAGTAGTGAGTCGGGTGAGCCCAGTTGTCCCCCTGGTTCTGTGCCAATGATGGGGGCCTCTAGTGTGGCTCAGAGCTGCTCCAAGGGGCCCATGGTGATTGACATCACTGCCCCTCCTTACCTCAAAGCCTGGCTGGGGAGAGGTCTTTAGCCCCCTTGCAGATGCCCCACACCACCAGTCTGGCTCCAGGTCACTCCTCAGCCCCGGCAGCTAGTGGCACAGTGAGGAGTCTACACCGAGTGCCCACGGTTCTATCAAGAGCCTTACAATTGAGCCAAGATGCTAGGATAATGCCATCTGGGGTCACAGGGGACCAAGCCAAGCTAGGAGAATTGGATGAGGCTGTGTTCCAAGTGTCAGGATCAAGTGGATCCAATGACCTATTCAGCAAAGCCAGGGTCACTGGTGCAACCCAGTGGATGTACTCCAGTCCTCTGGGAGCTGATGGGGGCCATGATCATAGGTCCCTGTCTGAGAAAGGGTCTCTTCCCCAAGGGAGGTGGCTCCCAGCCATGCTAGTGGCATGGTCCCTGTCCCTTTCCAGGCCCCGGGTTTAGCCACTAAGTCCCCCTCAGTTTATCAACAGGGGTCTGTCACTCACGTCATACCCCCAAATCACTCTCAGGGTACAGTGGCTTCTAATGTAGTCTCAGGATCACCCCAGCTGGCCCGTGGCAGTACTGAGGCTTTCAGATTGCTTTCAGTGTCTGTGGGCAGGATGGGGAATCCTAGTCTTCTTCAGAGGTCAGGGACCACCAGCATGGTCTCACATGTGCCACTATATCCGTCCTCGGCTAGAAGGGCATTGTCCAGTCCCTTCCAGACAGAAGCTGTCCCCAATCCACTCCAGAAAACAGTGTCTGGAAACATGGCTCCGAGCAGCCGCTGGGACGCCATGGGCCCTAAAAATTCCTACAGATCCGTGCATGGTAGGATTGTTCCAGAACTGCTAGAAAGTTCTGTGGCCAGGGTTAGGCCCTTACAGTATGTGCAAAGACAACCATCCCAGGCCTCAGCCCGAAGTGGTGCAAACCCCACCCACAGGCCCTCTGCAGAGGTAAGGCCCGTCATCCGCACTGGGGAGATGACACACTCCTCGGTCATTCCTCCGCTGGCCCCGGGAGTTCGGAGGGTGTCTCTAGGCTATGAGTCTTCCCCAAGTGGTTCCCTGCCACCCCTTTTTAACCAGGAGTCACCGTGGAGACGGCAGGACTCCTATAGCCCCCAGAATCCTGCCGTTAGTCACAAGGCATCCCTGAACTCCACTATACTCCAGGGCCCCGCGGACGCTGGTGTGGTTGGTGGCCAATCGTGGAACCGCGCATGGGAGCCAGCCAGGGGTGCTGCGTCCTGGGACACCTGGCGCAACAAGGCGGTGGTGCCTCCCAGGCGGTCCGGGGAGCCAATGGTGTCCATGCAGGCTGCAGAGGAGATCCGCATCCTCGCAGTGATCACTATCCAGGCGGGCGTCCGTGGCTACCTGGCGCGTCGCAGGATCCGGCTGTGGCACCGGGGGGCCATGGTCATCCAAGCTACTTGGCGCGGCTACCGTGTGCGGCGGAACCTGGCACACCTCTGCAGAGCCACCACGACCATCCAGTCTGCCTGGCGCGGCTACAGCACCCGCCGGGACCAAGCCCGGCACTGGCAGATGCTCCACCCCGTCACGTGGGTGGAGCTGGGCAGCCGGGCCGGGGTCATGTCTGACCGAAGCTGGTTCCAGGATGGCAGAGCCAGGACAGTATCTGACCATCGCTGCTTCCAGTCCTGCCAGGCACACGCTTGCAGCGTCTGCCACTCCCTGAGCTCCAGGATCGGGAGCCCGCCCAGCGTGGTGATGCTAGTGGGCTCCAGCCCTCGCACCTGTCATACCTGTGGACGCACACAGCCCACCCGTGTGGTGCAGGGCATGGGCCAGGGCACTGAGGGCCCCGGGGCAGTGTCTTGGGCCTCCGCCTACCAGCTGGCTGCCCTGAGTCCCAGGCAGCCGCATCGCCAGGACAAAGCGGCCACAGCCATCCAGTCCGCCTGGAGGGGCTTTAAGATCCGCCAGCAGATGAGGCAGCAGCAAATGGCAGCGAAGATAGTTCAAGCCACCTGGCGAGGCCACCATACCCGGAGCTGTCTGAAGAACACAGAGGCGCTCTTGGGACCAGCAGACCCCTCGGCCAGCTCACGGCACATGCATTGGCCTGGCATCTAGGACCCTGGCTCCCTGCAGTGGGGACTTCGTGGGAGGCACTCATGGCTCTCTGGGTCTAATGAATAAAGTCCTCCACAGCCTAGATCTTGGGTGATGTGTTCTGGGTTAATGGAAGTGGCTTGGGTATAGTGGGGGAATCTGGAACATCCCAGAGGGAAGAGAACTCTGAAGTTACCAACCATGCAGTATGCATCTGGGGTCTGTGGCCAGCATGGGGACCTCAAATCTTTCCTGGAGGTCAGGCACTGCCAATGTGGTCTCAGCTGTGCCTCTGCCATATCCACGTACAGGTAGTGGGGTGGTGTCCAGCCCGTCCCAGATGGAAACTGTCCCCAGTGCACTCTAGAAATGTGCCTGGGACCTGGCCCAGAGCACTCACCTCAAGTCCCTCACCCCTAAAAAATCCTACAGGATGGCTGGGTGTGGTGGCTCATGCCTGTAATCCCAGCACTTTGGGAAACCAAGACGAGTGGGTCACCTGAGGTCAGGAGTTAGAGCTATCAGCCTGGCCAACATGGTAAAACCCCATCTATACTAAAAAAAAATACAACAACAAAAAAAGGCCAGGCACGGTGGCTCACGCCTGTAATCCCAGCACTTTGGGAGGCCGAGGTGGGCAGATCACCTGAGGTCAGAAGTTCGAGATCAGCCTGACCAACATGGAGAAACCCCGTCTCTACTAAAAATACAAAATTAGCCGGCCATGGTGGCACATGCCTGTAATCCCAGCTACTCAGGAAGCTGAGGCAGGAGAATCGCTTGGACCCGGGAGGCGGAGGTTGTGGTGAGCCAAGATTGTGCCATTGCATTCCAGCCTGGGCAACAAGAGCTAAACTCAGTCTCAAAAAAAAAAAAAAAAAATTAGCCGGGCATGGTGGTACACGCCTGTAATCGCAGCTACTTGGGAGGCTGAGGCGGGAGGTTGCTTGAATCCCAGAGTTTGAGAATGCAGTGAGCTGTGATTGTGCCACTGTGCTTCAGCCTGGGCGACAGAGTGAGACCCCGTCTCTTAAAAAAAAAAAAAAAAAGGGCTGGGCACGGTGGCTCATGCCTGTAATCCTAGCAGTTTGGGAGGCCGAGGCGGGTGGATCACTTGAGGTCAGGAGTTCGAGACCAGCCTGGCCAACATGGTGAAACCCTGTCTCTGCTAAAAAATACAAAAATTAGCCAGGCCTGGTAGCGGGCGCCAGCTACTCGGGAGGCTGAGGCAGGAGAATTACTTGAACCCGGGAGGCAGAGGTTGCAGTGAGCCAAGATTGCATCACTGCGCTCCAGTCTGGGTGACAGAGCAAGACTCCGTCTCAAAAAAAAAAAAGAATAAAAGAAAGAAAAAGAAATCCATAATAGAAATGCTAGAAGGTTAGAAGGTTTCAGTCATGTCCCCAAAAGGCCCCAGTCTGGGTGAGACAGAGGACAGAGGAGGACGAGGACAGAGAACAAGGACATCCCCAGCCCTGTGGGTTCAGGGATCGGAGGGAGGTGGGAGAAATTGGTGCTCCCAGAGGGGACAACCTGGCTGGACGAGGGGCAGAGGGAGTGACAGCAGGGGTTTGGGCAGCTGTGGAACCAGGAGCAGGGGGAAAGAGGACGGCAGGGGCAGGGTGTCTTTAGTGGATGACTGGCTTTGAGAGCTTCTGGGTCGTCGTGTTTAGAAGGGGTGGAGTCCAGGTGAAGAGGGCGAGAACCGCACCCGGGGGAACAGGAGCGCCCCAGGGAGGTCCCACACCCTGCAGCCCCACCTGCGCCTTGCCCCTGCACAGCCCCGCGCTCCGCCAGCAGGGAGCGCACACGCAGGTGCAAGGAGCTGGCACCTGGGCACACACCTGGCCACACACCTGTGCAGAGCCGGTGGCAGGCCCTCCCGGCGCAGGAATGGCGTGCCCCCAGCTGCCGCCACTTCTGCTTTTGGTGCTGGTGGTGCTGCTGAAAGCTGGTGTGAATTACAATACTCCCTTTACAGGTAAGAGCTGGTAAAGAGGCTCAGCTTCCAGAAAGCGGAAGGGTGGGGGTGGGGGACGCACAGCCCAGTCACACACCTGGCTTCTGGACCCCTCCCTCAGGCCACGCTGGTCCGCCAACCCTCCGAGGAAGGCTGGGTTTTCCCCCAGAAACAAACGGAGCAGCTGTGAGGACAGATGAGGCACCGCTGCTCCCAAGCCCTGGGGCTGTGGGTCCTGCAACTCCAGTGAGCCCTGAACCTGCTGGAGGCCACAGATGGCCTCACACCTACTTTTGGGCTCCTTTTCAAATCTGTTGCTTTTAGCCAATCCCCAAAGGGAGAATGGTGAAGACCTCAGGGCCATGGGGGTTCCAGGGAACAGGGACTCACTTCCTGGTCATCAAACATCTGTGGTTCCCATGAGAAGTTCTTCTGGGTGTCTGACTTAATTCCCTCTTGCTCTCCTATAAGACAGTGCCTAGGGTGGAGGGGAGGAGCCTTGAGCTTCTCGCATTCCCTTTTTCTGCCCTTTACCTGCCACTATGTTGTCACTCTCTCTGACCGGTGTCCTACCCCACAGACCTGTAATAGCAGAGCAGAGGCCACCATGGCTGCTGAAATGCTCATTGCAGGGAAGGGTTTCATTCAGAAGGCACCACTTTTATCCCCATTTCATAGCTCAGGAAACTGAGGCTCAGTCCAGCTTGTCCCAGACCCAGATTAGAACTGGTTGACTTGGCTCATGTGAGCCTCCCAGTCTAGGAGTCTCTGGGGAGAGCAAACACCCAGCACAGTGCCTAGAAACATCTTTATTTTTACCTTCTGGTCAACCCTTCAGCAGCTCACCAGTGCCTACTCAGTGCCAGGCACTCAACAGGGCTTGTGTCCTCCAACTCTTCCTTTTTCAAGTCCACAGCTTTTCCTCAGTTCACTAAGCACTCAGCTCCCCAGAATTCTGACTTGGCTTGGGGTCCACTCTGGCCTCTGAATCATCTTCATTTCAGCAGAAACAGAGGACAAGGGTCCTTGAGGGGCGTTCTTCCCAGCTCCCCAGTCACCTCAGGCCAGACCCTCTGCTACTCTGAGCCTCAGTTTCTCATCTGTCAAATGGGGATGAAGCCCAGCCTGAGTTCCATGCCTCTTCTAGACTCAGCCGTCATCCCCACAGGGCCTGGGGGGCTACATAGAGATCTGGGGAGGGTGGCATGTGGACCCAGCCCCCTCTCAGGGCCAGTGTTGTGTGTTATTTCCGCATTTCTGCTGCCTAGGGTGAGTCAAGGAGGAAGCACAAAGTTTGGCCCAGAGCAGAGTGCATGGGTGGAGCAGAGAGTTGATGAATGAACTTGTAAGTGCCTAAGAGGCCCAGTCACCTGGAACTGGGTGGGAAGTCGTTGTGGGAGGTGGCTCATGAACTGCTTACCTGCCCTCAGCCTGGTCCCTGGACTCCATGCCTGGGATGGGATGTGAGCCAGGAAGTAGCTGGACCAACACGTAGAAGGGTGGGTTCCGGAGACATGTTCCCAGCGCCTGTGTCTTTGTGTCTTCCATTAAAGTTGAGGTTAGCCTAGGGCTACCTGGAGAAAATTAGGGCTGATCCTCTCTGAGCTCATAGGTGGATCTTTATAGTTGAGTGTCACTGTGCACCCACTGTGTTTCTATTCTATTGTGTGTGTGTGTTTTTTTTTTTTTTGAGACGGAGTCTCACTCTGTTGCCTAGGCTGGAGTTCAGTGGCATGATCATGGCTTACTGCAGCCTTGAACTCCTGGACTCAAGCGATCCTCCCACCTCAGCCTCCTGAGTAGCTGGGACTAGGCATGCACCACCATGCCTGGCTAATTTTTGTTTTATTTTTTTGTAGAGACAAGGTCTCATTATGTCTCCCAGGCAGGAGTGCAGTGGCGCAATCATGGCGCACTACAGCCTTGAATTCCTGGGGTCAGGCAATCCTCCCGCCTCAGCCTCCCCAGTAGCTGGGAGCACCCAGCTTGTGTACACCCACTATGAACCTGACTGATGAACTGTCAGAGGCACCAACTCCACATGAACTCCATTTTACAGAAAAGAAAACTGAGTCCCAGAAAATTTAAAGGAGCTGCCCAGCACTGCCTGGGATGCAGTCACTTCCCATATCCAAAGGGCTTCTAGAGCTCTCAGCCAAGAGGACTGGGAACGCTGATCTGCACTTGAACCCAGGCTGTGGGACTTCAGACCAGGAGCATGAATTTGAGTGGGAGCTTCAGTTTCCCACTGAGAGCTCACATGGTGTCCTAAATCTTTCAGGTCTCCCTATGACCTGGACAAAAAAATAAATTAATTAAAAATAAAAATGAAAAGGCTGGGCATGATGGCTTATGCCTGTAATCCCAGCACTTTGGGAGGCCAAGGCAGGTGGATCATCTGAGGTCAGAAGTTCGAGACAAATCTGGCCAGCACAGTGAAACTAAAAATGCAAAAATTAGCCAGGCGTGGTAATGCACGCCTGTAATCCCAGCTACTTGGGAGGCTGAGGCAGGAGAATTGCTTGTACCCAGGAGGTGGAGGTTGCAGTGAGCTGAGATGGCACCACTGCTCTCCAGCCTGGGTGACAGAGCGAGACGCCATCTCAAAAAAAGAAAAAAAAAAAGAGAGAGAGAAAGAGAGAGAGAGAGGGTCTCGCTATGTTGCCCAGGCTGGTCTCTAATTCCTGGGTTCAAGTGATGCTCTCACCTTGACCTCTCAAAGTGCTGGAATTACAGGCGTGAGCCACCGCGCCCAGTTTTTCTTTCCAGATATTGTGACCTCAGAGAACAGTATGGAGACATCACCTGTCAGCTCTCTGATTTCTTCTCCCTTCGCCCACAGCACCCACAGTTCAGGGGAACCCCCCAAATCCTACTCCAGCACCATGAGTTTGGAGACAGACTCCATAACCCACCTCAGCCCCTCAAGTTCAGGGGCAACCCCTACCATCCAGCCGAGCCCCAGCTCCACAGATTCAAGGATGATACCCTCCTCCCCACAACCAGAGACAATCACGCACCCTAGTTCTGGCTCCCCCAGTGCAGAGCTCACCCCCTCTTCCCATTCCACCCTCCCCAGTTCCGAATCCCTGACCCCGCACTGGAGCCCCACTTCCCACAGCCCCGGAACGGAGCCCTTGACCTCCACTGACCAGACCTTGGAGCCCCCTGGCCCAGGTGAGTATTAAGAGATTTGGGTGTTTGTAGGGAGGTGGCGGGTGTAACAGGCTGCAGTTTTGGAACTGACCACCAGGGGGAGGTACAGCCCCGAGAATGCTCTAGGAAGGGCTTCTTGTCTCTGCTCCATTGTCTAAAGCTCTTCATGCTATGCGCATTTATTAAGTGCCTAGTGTATGTCACGGCTGGGCACGCAGCGATGGGCAAAGAGAGAAACTAATACTTGCTGTGGTGGGGAGACAGGTTATACATTATGTATTTGGGCCTGGGCAAAATAGCAGGACTTTGTCTCTACAAAAAAATCTAAAAATGGCGGGGCGCGGTGGCTCAAGCCTGTAATCCCAGCACTTTGGGAGGCCGAGGGCGGGGGCGGGGGCGGGGGGGGCGTGTATCACGAGGTCAAGAGTTCAAGACCAGCCTGGCCAAAATGGTGAAACCCCGTCTCTATTAAAACTACAAAAATTAGCCAGGCGTGGTGGCAGACGCCTGTAATCTCAGCAACTCGGGAGGCTGAGGCAGGAGAATCGCTTGAACCCAGGCGGCAGAGGTTGCAGTGAGCTGAGATCGTGCCACTGCACTCCAGCCTGGGTGGCAGAGTAAGACTCTGTCTCAAATAAATAAATAAATAAAATAAAAATGGCTGGGCGTGGTGGTTCACATCTGTAATCCCAGCACTTTGGGAGGCCAAGGTGGGAGGATCACCTGAGGTCAGGAGTTCAAGACCAGCCTGGCCAACATGGTGAAACCCCGTCTCTACTAAAAATACAAAAAATAGCCAGGCATGGTGGCGGGCGCCTGTAATCCGGGCTACTTGGGAGGCTGAGGCAGGAAAATAATTTGAACCCAGGAGGCGGAGGTTGGAGTGAGCCCACATTGAACCACTGCACTCCAGCCTGGGAGACAGAGCAAGACTCCATCTCGGGGGGGAAAAAAAAGACTCTATCTCAAAAATAAATAAAGTAATTGATTAAATAAAATTTAAAAATTAGGCTGGGCTCAGTGGCCCACGCCTGTAATCCCAGCACTTTGGGAGGCCGAGGCGGGTGGATCACCTGAGCCAATGAGTTCAAGACCAGCCTGGGCAACATGGTGAAACCCCATCTCTACTAAATATGTACACAAATTAGCTGGGTGTGGTGGCACACACTTGTAGTCTCAGCTACTGGGGAGGCTGAGGTAAGAGGATCACTAGATCCTTGGAGATGGAGGTCACAGTAAGCTGAGATAACGTCACTGCACTCCAGCCTGTGTGACAGAGCAAGACCCTGTCTCAAAAAAAAAAAAAAAAAATTGTCCAGGCATGGTGGTGCATGCCTGTAATCCTAGCTACTTGGGAGGCTGAGGTGGGAGGATCACTTGAGCCCAGGAGATAGAGGCTGCAGTGAGCTGTGATTGCACTACTGCACTCCAGCCTGGGTGACAGAGTGAGACCCTGTCTCTAAAATACATGATTAAAAAGTGGCAGCCTCAACTGGAGAGGGAAGAGAGGTCAGCTTCCTGAGAACAGATTTTAAAAGGCTCTGGGCCCTGGTGGGTGTCTTAGGCTTGTGGGGAATAGGACCCAGTGCTGACTCTGAGTTCCTTTCCCCAGCTCCAGGTGACACTGGGCCCCGTGAGTTACACAGGAACCCGAGTGTGGTGGTGGTCGTGTGTTTGCTGGTGTCTCTTTTGCTCATCGGGTCTGTGGTCATGGCTGTGAGATTCTGTCACCGGAATGAGTCCAAGTTTGAGAACCTGGACGAGGTGTCCATGGTAAGGTAGGGCTGGGCTGGGGGCTCAGCCCTGGGGCCAAGGCATGGTTGGGGGAGCTGCTATCCCAAGCAGGGCCAACCTGGGCTGCAGAGCCTTTTGGTGTCTGAATGCCTCCCTGTGTGTTCCTTCCTCAGGGATCCGTGAATGACAGATTGTCCTTTGCCCACCACCTCCAGGAGTGAGCCCTGAGGAGCCAACAGAGATGGGGGCATGGATGGGGCTGGGGTTCCTGGGGAGGAGCAGAACCTGAGGAAATAAAGCCCCTACCATTCATCCAAGGCCTCGTGTGAAAACACGAGTTATGGACTCGTGTGAAAACATTAACTGAGCACCTACTATGTGCTGGGCTCTGTGCTGGGGTCACAGTGGGGACCATGTCTTTACTTTCAGGGGATCCACAGACTCAAGGCAGGGACAGATAAGAATCAGGAGCTCACTTGGCTGGGTGCGGTGGTTCACACCTGTAATCCCAGCACTTTGGGAGGCCAAGGCGGGCAGATCTCCTGAGCTTAGGAGTTTGAGACCAGCCTGGCTAACATGGCGAAACTCTGTCTGTACTAAAAATACAAAAATTAGCTGAGCGTGGTGGCAGGTGCCTGTAATCCCAGCTACTCAGGAGGCTGAGGCAGAGAATCGCTTGAACCAGGGAGGCGGAGGTTGCAGTGAGCTGAGATCGCCCCATTGTACTCCAGCCTGGGCAACAGAGCAAGACTCCATCTCAAAAAAAAAAAAAATAGGGCCAGGCGTAGTGGCTTACACCTGTAATCCCAGCACTTTGGAAGGCAAAGGTGGGTGGATCATTTGAGGTCAGGAGTTCAAGACCAGCCTGGTCAACATGGTGAAACCCCATCTTTACTAAAAATACAAAAATTAGCCAGGCGTGGTGGTGTGTGCCTGTAATCCCAGCTATTAGGGAGGCTGAGGCAGGAGAATTGGTTGAGCCTGGGAGTCAGAGGTTGCGGTAAGCTGAGATTGCACCACTGCACTCTAGTCTGGGTGACAGAGTGAGACCCTGTCTCAAAACAAACAAACAAAACTGGGGGTGCCGGGCATGGTGGCTTACCACTGTAATCTCAGCACTTTGAGAAGCTGAGGTGGGTGAATTGCTTGAGCTTGGTAGTTTGAGACCAAATTGGGCAAAATGGCAAAACCCCATCTCTCTCTCTTTTTTTCTTTTTTGAGACAGTCTCCCTCTGTCACCTAGGCTGGAGTGCAGTAGTGCAGTCTTGGCTCACTGCAGCCTCTGACTCCTGGGTTCAAGCCATTCTTTTTTTTTTTTTTTTAATAAGATGGAGTTTCGCTCTTGTTGCCCACACTGGAGTGCAGTGACACGATCTCAGCTCACTGCAACCTCTGCCTCCTGGGTTCAAACGATTCTCCTGCTTCAGCCTCCCAAGTAGCTGGGATTACAGGCACCTGCCACCACACTCAGCTAATTTTTTTGTATTTTTAGTAGAGATGGGGCTTCACCATGTTGGCCAGGATGGTCTCGATCTCCTGATCTCGTGATCCACCCGCCTCCGCCTCCCAAAGTGCTGGGATTACAGGCGTGAGCCACCGCGCCCAGCCAATGACCAGAGAGGGTCTTTGATCTACCCGGGGCGGCACAGCACAGCGGGCAACTTTCCTGGAGCCCCCAAGCTCCTTAGGCCACACCCCATGGGCTCTGCTTGGAAGCAGATATCCTAGACCCTGAGTTGATAAAATCCCCCCCTTCCCAGAGCTGCTGGTCCCCTACCACCATCTTCCTTCGCGCCCTCTCTCTCACTCTATCATATGCAAACACATGAACAATTAATCTTAACACCTCTCACCCAGCCTCCTCACTCCTACGCCTCCCTTCCCTCCTTCCCCCCTCCTTCCTCTGCCCTCCCCGCCCCTCCCCCTCCATGCCCGGCCACCCTCTTGGCCACTCTCTCGTCCCCTCAGGCCCTCTTGGACACTCTGCCCTCCACCCACTGGGAGCCTCACCCAAGGAAAGTGTGTGGATTATGTCCTGGCCTGGTGCCCAGACAGTTAAGGGGCTCCGCTGAGTGGGTGTTGAGGGAGCCCTGGGCCTCCCTCTTGGTCAGGTCATTTTCTCCCCTCCTTCCCTCACTAGCCAGCAGGTCATGGGACCCAGGCAGGACTCCGCAGTGGTGGTAAGTGCCAGACATGCCTGGGCCTCCTGGAGCAAGCTTATTCTTGAGCTTGGGGGCGTCTCAGGAGAGGTGCTGGGGTCTCGTAATCCCCCTGAAACCATCAGAGCCACTCTGGGAGCTGAATGGGTCTCCCATGTGTCTGGGGCCAGGAGACCTTGTTTCGCCAGTCCTGATGCCCCCACCCAGGCTGCTGAACCTGGACAGGTGTGGGGAGGGGCTTTGGGCACCTGGCTGCTGTCCCTGGATGGGGACCGCTGCAAGGTCCGGGCGGGTGTCTCACACTGGTGCCTGTGGTGTGGTCCATGCCACCTTGATTTAGTTCCTTGGGGTTCAAGGGAGGGTGCAGAGAGTGTGGGAGTGAGCTTCTGTCTAGGGGGTGTCCCACAGGGCCGTACCTGGGCTCCCAGTGGTCTGGAGGTCTCAGAACCATTTCTGCAGGGCCACAGATGCCAGCAGCATGAGGCACAGCAGGACAACACTCTCCTTCCTGCTGAGTGAAGTGAGTAGGGGGTGGGGGTGGCCCAGGCCATGGTGGGGAGATCCCAGAGACCCTCTACTGAGAAATACCCAGAGCTGGCCAGGCGCGGTGGCTCACGCCTGCAATCCTAGCACTTTGGGAGGGCGAAGCAGGCGGATCACTTGAGGTCAGGAGTTCAAGACCAACCTGGCCAACATGGAGAAACCCCGTCTCTACTAGACACACAAAAAACTTAGCTGGGCATGGTGGCTCATGCCTGTAGTCCAGCTACTTGGAGGCTGAGGCAGGAGAATTGCTTGAACCTGGGAGGCGGAGGTTGCAGTGAGTTGAGATCACGCCACTGCACTCCAGCCTGGGAGACAGAGTGAGACTCTGTCCCCACCACCAAAAAAAAAAGAAACACTTAGAGCTGCTCGGGGACCAGCTCACAGGGGCCCACTGAGGCCCAGAGAGGCCACCAGGGAATTGGGGACCTGATCCAACTGTCCAGCCCAGGGCTGTGGCCACTGCTTTTGGGAGCAGGAGATCCCTTGTGCCTGGACACAAGGTTTTGACTCACCCAAGAAAAGGGGACCTGGCTGCCCCCGGGCCTGAGCAGTGGGTCATGAGGTCACAACTTCAGATCACAGCCAGTGCCCCCATTCTGGGAAACTGAGCCAAGAGGAAAACCCTGCGGGGGCTGGATTCAAATCCCAGGCCCATCACCTGAGTGGCTGGTAACCTCTCTAGGACTCAGTGGTTTCTGTTGTTGTTTTGTTTTGTTTTTTAGACAGGGTCTCACTCTGTCGCCCAGGCTGGAGTGCAGTGATGTGATTTTTGCTCTCTGCCATCTCTGCTTCCCGGGTTTAAGTGATTCTCCTCCCTCAGCTTCCCGAGCAGCTGGAGTTACAGGCACAAGCCTTGACGCCCGGCTGATTTTTGTATTTTTAGTAGAGACGGGTTTCTCCATGTTGGCCAGGCTGGTCTTGAACCCCTGATCTTAAGTGACCCACCTGCCTCAGCCTCCCAAAGTGCTGGGATTACAGGCATGAACCACCATACCTGGCCAGAACTCAGCGTTTTTGTGTGTTAAAAAACTGGGCTAACTTTGTGTGGAATGAGGGTGCTCAGGGTGAGCCTCGGGTCTCCTAGGGCAGGCGTAGCTGCATATGCCTTAATGTTTATTTATCCACACTCCAGCCATCTGCAGGAAGAGGAAAGGAAAAGGGTAGTCTGGGCGCGGTGGCTCACGCCTGTAATCTCAGCGCTTTGGGAGGCCGAGGCAGGTGGATCGCTTGAGCCGAGGAGTTCAAGACCATCCTGGGTAACACAGTAAGACCCTATCTCTATTAAAAAAAAAAAAATAGCCAGTCATGGTGGTGTACGCCTGTAGTCCCAGCTACTTGGGAGGCTAAGGTAGGAGGACTGCTTGAGCACGGGAGGTCGAGGCTGCAGTGAACCGTGATCATGCCACTGCACTCCAGGCTGGGTGACAGAGCGAGACTCCATCTCAAAAAAAAAAAAAAAAAAATTAGCCTGGTGTGGTGGCGGGCACCTGTAATCCCAGCTACTTGGGAGGCTGAGGCAGGAGGATCGCTTGAACCCGGAAGGCAGGGGTTGCAGTGAGCCAAGATCACACCACTGCACTGCACTCCAGCCTGGATGACAGAGTAAGACTCTGTCTCAAAAAAAAAAAAAAAAAATTAGCTGGGCATGGTGGCAGGTGCCTGTAATCCCACCTACTCGGGAGGCTGAGGCAGTAGAATCGTTTGAACCTGGGAGGTGAAGTTTGTAGTGAGCTGAGATTGCGCCACTGCACTCCAGCCTGGACAACAGAGCGAGACTCCGTCTCAAAAAATAATGATAATAATAAATAAATAAAGGACCTTCTGATGACCTCTCCCACACTCAGCTCACAGCATCAGTCATTTCACCTGCACATGGGCACCCGCTGTGTGCCAAGCCACATGCTGAGTGTGTAGGACACAGAACTGCAGTGACAGGCCCCAAAATGACAGGGCTCATGAGACAGATGTTAAGGCAAGAAAAAAGAGAAAATGTGGGGTTGGGTGAGTGCTCATGAGACTGCTCGAGCTGGGCAGGAGGGCCTTCTCCGGGAAGTTGACATTTTAGCTGAAGTATGGATGGAAACAAGCAGCTGGCCATTTTAACAGCCGGGGGAAGGGTGTCCCCGGCAGATGGCACAGCACATGCAAAGGCCCCGAGGCAGGTTTAAGGAACAGCAAAGAGGCCAGGCACGGTGGCTCACACATGTAATCCCAGCACTTTGGGAGGCTGAGGCAGGTGGATCACTTGAGGACAGGAGTTTGAGACCAGCCTCGCCAACCTGGAGAAACCCTGTCTCTACTAAAAATACAAAAAATAAGCTGGGTGTTGTGACAGGCACCTGTAATCCTAGCTACCTGGGAGGCTGAGGCAGGAGAATTGCTTGAACCCAGGAGGTGGAGGTTGCAGTGAGCCGAGATTGTGCCACTGCACTCCAGCCTGGGCAACAGAGTGCGACTCTGTCTCAAACAAACAAACAAACAAACAAACAAACAAACAAAAAACCAACAACAGGCTAGGCACAGTGGCTCATGCTTGTAATCCCAGCACTTTGGGAGGCCACAACTGGCGGATCATGAGGTCAAGAGATCGAGACCATCCTGGCCAACATGGTGAAACCCTGTCTCTACTACAAATACAAAAAATTAGCAGTGCATGGTGGCACGCGCCTGCAGTCCCAGCTACTCGGCATGCTGAGGCAGGAAGATCACCTGAACCTGGGAGGCAGAGGTTGCAGTGAGACAATATCGCGCCACTGCACTTCAGCCTGGGTGAAGGAGTGAGACTCCATCTCAACAGAAAATAAAAAAAGAAAGAAAGAAAAAGAAAAAAAAAAAGCTGGTCACTGTGGCTCATGCCTGTAATCCTAGCAGTGTGGGAGGCCAAGGCAGGTGGATCACCTGAGGTTGTGAGTTTGAGACCAGCCTGATCGACATGGAGAAACCCCGTCTCTACTAACAATACAAAATTACCTGGGTGTGGTGGTGCATGACTGTAATCCCAGCTACTCGGGAGGCTGAGGCAGAAGGATCGCTTGAACCCAGGAGGCGGAGGTTGCGGTGAGCCAAGATCGCGTCATTGCACTCCAGCCTGGGTGACAAGAGGGAAGGCCCTGTCTCAAAAAACAAACCAAAACAAACAACAACAACAACAACAACAAAACCCAACAACAACAAAAGGGAGCTCTCAGCTAGGTGTGGTCGCGGTCGCCTGTAATCTCAGAACTTTGGGAGGCTGAGGTGGGAGGATTGCTTTATCCCAGGGGGCCGAGGCTGCAGTGAGCTGTGACTGCGCCACTGCACTCCAGCCTGGGTGACAGAGTGAGACGTCGTCTCAAAAAAAAAAACAAAACAAAACAAAAAGGGGAGGTAGCTCAGGGTCTCCTACGAAGGCCTTCCCCACCCAGGAGCCTCCCATCAGGCCCTCCATCCCCATCCCAGCTTCTTAATGAAGAGGGCAATTAATCAGGAGTAGCAGGGCCAGGTGCAGCAGTTCATGCCTGTAATCCTAGCACTTTAGGCCGAGGTGGGTGGATTACTTGAGGCCAGGAGTTAGAGACCAGCCTGGCCAACAGGGTGAAACCCTGTCTCTACTAAAAATAAAAAAATAAAAAATAAAAAAAAAGATTAGCCTGGCATCGTGGTGGGCGCCTGTAATCCCAGCTACTCAGGAGGCTGAGGTGGGAGAATCACATGAAACAGGGAGTTGGAGGTTGGAGTGAGCCGAGATGGCACCACTGCACTCCAGCCTGGGCAACAGAGTGAGACTTTGTCTCAAAAATAAAAGATAAAAAATCAGGAGTGGTAGGTTGATGTGTGCTGCAGCTGAGACCAGAGGACACCCCACTATACCCCATCCCTAGTCCCTGGGAGCCCCATCCTTACCCCATTCCACTCCAGATGGGGGAGGGATAGCTGGCTGGGTCCCAGGAATCAGGGCTCTTGGGAGCACCCCCGCATCTGACCAACAGCCAGATGCTGGCAACTGCCCCCAGACCTGTTAGGTCTGTTTCACCTTCAGTTGAGCCAGGTCCCCCATAATTCCAGATCCAAACATTCAGCTGCCTCTGCTGGCTCCATCTGGGACTCATGTGATGCTCCAGCGAAATTGGAACCCACCCAAAGCCTGGTGCTTCCCCCAATTTTCCCCATGCAAGTAATGGCAGCCCCATTCCCCAGGTAACTGTGTGACTCCTGGCTTTCTGAAAAACAAGTAATCATGCTTAATAATCACCAGTCACCACCGGATGTGGTGGCTCACGCCTGTAATCTTAGCAATTTGGGAGGCCTAGGTGGGTGGATCCCGTGAGGTCAGGAGTTCGAGACCAGCCTGGCCAACATGGTGAAATCCTGTCTCTACTAAAAAATACAATTAATTGGGCATGGTGGTGGGCACCTGTAATCCCAGCTACTCGGGAGGCTGAGGCAGGAGAATTGCTTGAAAATGGGAGGCAGAGGTTGCAGGTTGCAGTGAGACTGTGCCATTACACTACAGCCTGGGCAACAAGAGCGAAACTCTGTCTCGAAAGAAAAAAAAAGTCACCAGTCACCCTTGAATCTTCTCTTTCTCACACCCCGTGGCTATGGCCTGTCTTTCAGCCCCCAAAACATATCTCAGATCCACTCACAGGCCCCGCTCTGGTCCATATCACCTGGCCACTGCTCTAGCCTCTGCCCCAGGGATAGGCCCTGCTCTCCAAATTGGCCACAGCAGGCTTCCTGTGATCCCCAAGTAGATCACATTCCTCAAAACCTCAACATTCTCCCAGAATCAAATCCTAAGTCCTCACCCAGCCCCTGAAGCAATGAACTTCCCTCCACCCTGGCCCTTGGCTCCCAATTCCCTTTTTTTTTTTTTTTTTTGAGGTGAAAGTCTTGCTCTGTGGCCCAGGCTAGAGTGCAGTGGTGCGATCTTGGCTCACTGAAACCTCCACCTCCCTGGTTCAAGCAATTCCCTTACGTCAGCCTCCCAAGTAGCTGGGATTACTGCCCCATGCCACCATGCCTGGCTATTTTTTTTTGTATTTTTAGTAGAGACAGGGTGTCACCATGCTGGCCAGGTTGGTCTTGAACTCCTGAACTCAGGCAATCTGCCCACCTCAGCCTCCCAAAATGCTGGGATTACAGGTGTGAGCCACTGTGCCTGGCTTTTTTTTTTTTTTTTTTTTTTTTTGAGATGGAGTCTCCCTTTGTTGCCCAGGCCAGAGTGCAACAGTGCAACCTCGGCTTACTGCAGCCTCCGCCTCTCGGGCATAAACAATTATCTTCCCTCAGCCTACCGAGTAGCTGGGCTTACAGGCACACAACACCACACCCAGGTAATTTTTGTATTTTTATAGAGACAAGGGTTTCACTATGTTGGCCAGGCTGGTCTTGAATTACTGACCTCAGGTGATCTGCCTGCCTCGGCCTCCCAAAGTGCTGGGATTACAGGCGTGAGCCACAGTGCCTGGCTTACCAATTCCCATTTCTTAAACCTACCAACTTGTTGCCACCTCCGGGCCTTCGCAGGTGCTGTTCCTTCTGCCTGGTATGCTGTTCCCCTATCTTTCTCCTGGCCAGCTCTTTCTCCTCTTTCAGGCCTCGGCTCAAAGCCACCTCCTCAGAAAATTCCCTAACTCACCCCAGCAATGTGATCCACTCCCTCATTCCCAGACCCTTGTCCAGTTTTCTTTTCTTCCTAACACGAGGTGAATTATTTTTTTGCATTTGTTCAATGAATACGTGAACAAATAGGAATGTGTGCAGGGAGTTCTCCCATCTGGAACCTTGTTTTCCCAGCAGGAAAATGGGCAGACAAGCCCAGCGCCATGGCTCAAGCCTGGAATCCCAGCACTTTGGGAGGCTGAGGTTTGTGGATCGCTTGAGCCCAGGATTTCAAGACCAGCCTGGGCAGCATAGTGAGATCCTGTCTCTACAAAAAATACAAAAATTAGCTGGGAGTTGTGGTGTGTGACTGTAGTCTCAGCTACCTGGGAGGCTGTGGTGGGAGGATCCTTGAGCTTAGGAGGTCGAGGCTGCAGTGAGTTAAGACTGCACCACTGCACGCTCCAGCCTGGGTGACAGAGAAAGACCCTGTCTTGGCCGGGCGCGGTGGCTCACGCCTGTAATCCCAGCACTTTGGGAGGCCGAGGCGGGCAGATCATGAGGTCAGGAGATCGAGACCATCCCAGCTAACACGGTGAGACCCCGTCTCTACTAAAAATACAAAAAAATTAGCCGGGCATGGTGGCGGGTGCCTGTAATCCCGGCTACTTGGGAAGCTGAGGCCGGAGAATGGTGTGAAACTAGGAGGCGGAGCTTGCAGTGAGCCGAGATCGCGCCACTGCACTCCAGCCTGGGCGACAGAGCGAGACTCCATCTCAAAAAAAAAAAAAAAAAAAAAAAAAAAAACAAGAGAAGAAAAAAGAAAGAAAGAAAAGAAAAAAGAAAATGAGCAGCTGACATCTCAGGGGCCTCCCATCTGGGAGATGCTAACTGTCCCCACACACCCCACCCTCTTCATTCCCGACACACCCTCCCAGCTACCAGGAACTCTCCCGAGGGAGGCCTCTTGTAGAGCACTTGCATTTCTGCCTTAAATTTCAGGTGCCCCTGGGAAAGGGTGGGGACAAGTTGTGCTCAAATGCGGGGAACAGTCCTAGAAGGATGAGATCTGAGCGTGGCTCAAGCCCCCAGCTGTGTGACTCCCAGCAAGCAGGTCATTTTCTCTCCAAGCTTTGATGTCTTCCTCCACAACACGAGTCAGAGGGCCCTCCACTCATAGGCAAGGAAATGAGCTATGTTGCATCCCTTACACACACAGAAGTTCAAGTTCAACTCACATCCGTTCTCCGCACCCTCTTCCTCCCACCCCACTTTGCCCTGGCTCTGGTCCTGATTAGCAGCATGGTCTTGGACCTCAGTTTCCCCATTTTTTTTTGAGACGTAGTCTCGCTCTGTTGCCAGGCTGGAGTGCAGTGGCATGATCTCGGCTCACTGCAACCTCTGCCTCCCAGGTTCAAGCGATTCTCCTGCCTCAGCCTGCTGAGTAGCTGGGACTACAGGTGCGCACCACCAGGCACAGCTAACTTTTTTGTATTTTCAGTACAGATGGGGTTTCAGCATGTTGGCCGGGCTGGTCTCGATCTCTTGATCTTGTGATCCATCCACCTCGGCTTCCCAAAGTGCTGGGATTATAGGCATGAGCCACCGTGCCCAGCCCCGTTTTTTTTTTTTTTTTTGACAGAGTTTCCCTCTGTAAGCCGGGCTGAAGAGCAGTGGCACAATCATAGCTCACTGCAGTCTCAACCTCCTGGGCTCAAACAATCCTCCTGCCTCAGCCTCCTTGGGAGCTGAAACTACAGGCACATGTACCACCACACCTGGCTAATTTATAAAATGTTTTGTAGCGACGGGGTGCCCAGGCTGGTTTTGAACTCACTTTTGGCCTCAACCTCCCAAAGTGCTGGGACTACAGACATGAGCCACCATGCCTGGCAGTTTCCCAGCTTTTTTATTTTTATTTTTACTTTTTTATTTTTTGAGATGGGGACTATGTGTCTGTAGTCCCAGCTACTCGGGAGGCTGAGGCAGGAGAATCACTTGAACCCAGGAGGCAGAGGTTGCAGTGAGCAGAGACCACACCATTGCACTCCAGCCTGAGTGCTGTTGCCCAGATCTGTTGCCCAGATCTTTCCACTGCAACCTCTACCCCCTGGGTTCAAGCAATTCTGCTTCCTCAGCGTCCCAAGTAGCTGGGATTACAGGTGCAAAGCGCCATGCTCGGCTAATTTTTGTATTTTTAGTAGAGACAGGGTTTTGCCATGTTGGTCAGGCTGGTCTCAAACTCCTGACCCTAAGCGATCCGCCTGCCTCAGCCTCCCAAAGTGCTGGGATTACAGGCGTGAGCCACCGCGCCTGGCCAGTTTCCCAGTTTTAATGCTCAGTCTGGTGGTGGAGATAGGCTCATTGGTGAGGCTCAGGAGGACAGTAGGGGAAGACTGGGCCATCTCTTTGAACCCCACCTCTCCCATCTCCACATTTGTCTTCACTGATCGCCTTACCCCAAAGCTGTGAGTTCCAGTTTTGTGCCCCATTCTGGGGTCAGCACCGCGGACAGCACACAGCCTGTGTCTGGCGCACGTGGGTCCCATTGTTTTATCATCAACACCTCTGAGGGATCCGTACCCCTTTCGCCTCCATTTCCCAGATGGGCAAACTGAGGCCGCTTGCCCTGGACCACGTGGCCTGGATTGAACCCAGATCTGTTGCGCTGAAGAGCTCACACTCCCAACGCATCCGTTCAGACTGATTCTGCCTGTTCTTAAAATGTATCCAGCATTTACCCAGAGCCTGCTTGGAAACAGCATCTCATTTAGTTTCTCCCATTCAGTCCTTCCTTCAAGGAACTCGGCACTGAAGCTCAGAATTGCTTTTATTTATGAATTGCAACCTTGGGCTCTAGTTACTTAACCTCTGAGCCTTCATTTCCTCCTTTGTTAAATGGAAATAATGGTGCTAAATGGCTTCATTATACCTTCATGAGCCCATCCATGTACTATTGGAACGGCATTTATACAGGGTGATTGTGCAGAAAATGTTAGCCATTAGTACTATCGTTATTATTCATTTGCTTATTTACTGCATGTTTTATTGTTTTACTTTTTTTTTTTTTTTGAGACAGGGTCTTGCTCTGTCACCCAGGCTGGAGTGCAGTGGTGTGGTCTCCACTCACTGCAGCCTCCGCCTCCCGGGTTCAAGTGATTCTCCTGCCTCAGCCTCCTGAGTAGCTGGGACTACAGGCGTGTGCCACCACACCTGGCTAATTTTCGTATTTTTAGTAGAGATGGGGTTTCCCTATGTTGGCCAGGCTGGTGTCGAATTCCTGACCTTGTGATCCACCTGCCTTGGCCTCCCAAAGTATTGGGATTACAGGCATGAGCCATTGTGCTGGGCCCTACTTTTATATTTTAATAAATAATATATTGGAATCTCAAATGTAAGAAAAAATATACAATAGAATATCACTATGGTGCATAGCATTATAATAAATAGCATTATATAGCATATAATATGTTATAAAAATAAACATACTGTTTTATTTATTTTTATTTTTAGAGACAGGGTCTCGGCCGGGCGCAGTGGCTCACACCTGTAATTCCCACACTTTGGGAGGCCAAGGTGGGCAGATCACTTGAGGTCAGGAGTTCGAGACCAGCCTGGCCAACGTGGTGAAAACCCCTCTCTACTAAAAATACCAAAAAATTAGCCAGGCGTGGTGGTGGGCACCTGTAATCCCAGCTACTCAGGAGGCTGAGGCAGGAGAATCACTTGAACCTGGGAGATGGAAGTTGCAGTAAGGCGAGATTGTGCCACTGCACTCCGATGTGGTTGAAAGAGCGAGACTCCATCTCGAAAAAAAAAAAAAAGAGAGAGAGAGAGATACAGGGGGTCTCACTCTGTCACCCAAGCTAAAGTACAGTGGCATGATCTTGGCTCACTACAGCCTTGACCTTCTGGGCTGAAGCAGTCCTCCCACCTCAGCCTCCTGAGTAGCTGGGGTTACAGGCATACACCACGATGCCTGGCTAATTTTGTTTATTTTTTGTAGAGCTAGTGTCTCACTATTTTACTCAGGCTGGTCTAGAACTCCTGGGGTCAAACCACCCTTTCAAAGTGTTGGGATTATGGGCATGAGCCACCGTGCCCTACTGAGCATGCTATTATTAGTTAATAAATAAATATTTCTGCAATGTGTACTGTGGACCAGGCACTTTTTTTTTTTTTTTTTTTTTGAGATGGAGTCTCGCTCTGTCACTCAGGCTGGAGTGCAGTGGCCCGATCTCAGCTCACTGCAAGCTCCACCTCCCGGGTTCACACTATTCTCCTGCCTCAGCCTCTTGAGTAGTTGGGACTACAGGCGCCCGCCACCACGCCCGGCTAATTTTTTTGTATTTTTAGTCGAGACAGGGTCTCACCATGTTAGCCAGGATGGTATTGATCTCCTGACCTCGTGATCCGCCTGCCTCAGCCTCCCAAAGTGCTGGGATTACAGGCGTGAGCCACTGGGCCTGGCTGGACCAGGCACTATTTATTTATTTATATTTTTTATTTTTGAGATGGAATTTCACTCTTGTTGCCCAGGCTGGAGTGCAATGGCATAATCTCGGCTCACTGCAACCTCCGCCTCCCAGGTTCAAGCGATTCTTCTGCTTCAGCCTCCCGAGTAGCTGGAATTACAGGCATGCACCACCACGCCTGGCTAATGTTGTATTTTTAGTAGAGGTGGGGTTTCTCCATGTTGGTCAGGCTGGTCTCAAACTCCCGACCTCAGGTGATCCTCCCGCCTTGGCCTCCCAAAGTGCTGGGATTACAGGCACGAGCCACAGCGCCTGGCCTGGACCAGGCACTATTTATATCCCCCCACGTTTGAGATCCCTACTTCACAGATGAGGAAACTGAGGCTCAGAGAGGTAAATTCACTCAGGAGAGTAGGACTGAGATACAGCTCTCTGGGCCAGTCCAGGTGTCTGGGTGAGGGCACTTCAGGGTCCTAGAGAGGTCCCATGACCAAGAACTTGCTCATGTCTTTCTGGTTTCTTCCAGTGGTTCTGGGAGTTGGTGGATTCTGGCTTGGCCCCTGTGAGCCCCCTTGGTGGTGGTATCATCCGGAGAGGCTTCTCGGGTACCCCATTGCTGCCATCGCTGCCGAGCCGCCTTGTGTTGCCTGGAGAGGTCGAGCCCAGTACCCATGTGGTGTTCACCATTGAGGCTTAAGGGACAGAGAAAAGACAGCGTGGTCCCAGATAGGTGAGAAGGCTGATGGGGATTAAAGGGGCCGGCCCCAGGAGAGGAAGAGCAGTTCGTCCATCTGAACCCTTCTTGACCTTATCCAGAAAGCATTTATTAAGTTAGCACCCACTGTGTGCCAGGCCCTGTACTTGGCACACAGTGGGCACACAGCCATGCACAAGGAGGTGCCCACAGGCTGATGGTGGAGACAGATCATACCAGGCAGAGACAGGACAAAGTAATCATGCTGTGATGGAGAAGAACAGAGGAGCCCAGAGGAGGCTCCTGACCTCACATCGAGGGGGCTCAGGGAGGACTACCTGGAAGAAGTGGCATTTAAACTTAACCTGAGGGCCTGGTTGTGGTGGCTGATGCCTGTAATCCCAGCACTTTGGGAGGCTGAGGCCGGTCCATCACTTGAGATCGGGAGTTCGAGACCAGCCTGGTCAACATGGTGAAACCCTGTCTCTAGTAAAAATACAAAAATTAGTTGTGGGGTGCACCTGTAGTCCCAGCTACTCAGGAGCAGAATTGTTTGAACCTGGGAGGTGGAGGTTGCAGTGAGCCGAGGTTGCACCACTGCACTCCAACCTGGGTGACAGAGCAAGACACCATCTTAAAAAAATAAAAACAGGCCGGGTGCAGTGGCTCACTCCTGTAATCCCAGCACTTTGGGAGGCCAAGGTGGGTGGATCACGAGGTCAGGAGATCGAGACCATCCTGGCTAACATGGTGAAACTCCGTCTCTACTAAAAATACAAAAAAATTAGCCAGGCGTAGTGGCGGGTGCCTGTAGTCCCAGCTACTCAGGAGGCTGAGGCAGGAGAATGGCGTGAACCCGGGAGGCAGAGCTTGCAGTGAGCTGAGATCACACCACTGCACTCCAGCCTGGGCGACTCCATCTAAAAACAAAACAAAACAAACAAACAAACAAAAAACAGTAAAACAAATCCTTAGCCTGAGGGATGAAGAGAAGTCAACCAGTGGGAGTGCGGGGAAGGGCATTCCAAGCAGAAGGAACAGAATGTATAAAGCCTCAGACTCAAGAGGATCAGGT
This sequence comes from Homo sapiens, assembly GCF_000001405.40. Classification (NCBI taxonomy): domain Eukaryota; kingdom Metazoa; phylum Chordata; class Mammalia; order Primates; family Hominidae; genus Homo; species Homo sapiens. Next base: position 18,235,818 of record NC_000019.10, on the reverse strand, counting down.
GTGTCAGGAGCTGAAAACAGATCAGTGTGGCTGGAGGGTGGGAGGGGAGCCCCGGGAAGTAGGCAGGAGCTGAAACCACACACCAGACCTCATGGGGTGCCCTGGAGAGTGAGAGGTGTGTCTTCCGGAGAGAGAGTTGGTCAATATTGGCATTAAAAAATTCCCTGTGGTTGCTGTTGTGGAGCACTGACTGTCAGGGATAGGAGTGGAAGGAGACCAAGGAGACTAGGAAGGAGGCTTGGGCAGTGTCTGGGCAGGAGATACTGGTGCTTGGACCAGGGTGGGAGCCATGGGCTGGAGAGAAGTGAGGAGCTTTGGATGACATTTACAAAGTAGACACAACACCAGGGCTGGGCATGGTGGCTCACGCCTGTAATCCCAGCACTTTTGGAGGCCAAGACGGGTGGATCACCTGAGGTCAGGAGATCGAGTCCAGCCTGGACAACATGGTGAAACTGCGTCTCTACTAAAAATACAAAAATTAGCTGGGTGTGGTGGCGGGTGCTTGTAATCCCAGCTACTTGGGAGACTGAGGCAGGATAATCACTTGAACCTGGGAGGCAGAGGTCGCAGTGAGCCAAGATCGCACCATTACACTCCAGCCTGGGTAACACAGTGAGACTCCGTCTCAAACAAACAAACAAACTAGACACACCAGTTGTTGGTGGATGCTAGCAGGAGCTGGGGAGAGGGGGCACTGGTATGCACAGCTCCTGGTCTCAGACCCTTTACATCTGGCATCACTTTTAGTCCTTGCAATGATGCCAAGAGTTGGAGACACCATTATTATTCCTCTTTTCCAGAATATTTTAAAAAAAGACTTTGGGAGGGGAAGTGACAGAGCCAGCCAGTGACCATGTCCCTCACCATTGAGCCAAGTTGTCTCCCACAGTCAGTTCTTGGGAGTGGTGGGGGGGTGGAGAACAGGGACTGAACCACCCAAGCATAGAACAGAGAGGGAGTCATTTGTCATGCGTCACACAGCAAGACATGATGGTACTGGGGCTTGAATTCAGTCTGTCTGACATCCTGGCCCAAATGTTTTCCTTTTCTCCAACCTGGGGACATGGCTGGGGTCACTGGGAGATGGTCTCCATGGGAAAGACCTTGTTGAGTGCTTCTGAGACTTCCAAAAACATCGGGGCTCTTCTCAAATCTGATGCAGCAAGAGGCACCCTAATGGCCTTAAATGCCTCCCTGCCCAAGCCCAGAGCCCACAGGAGGCCTCCACCAAGTCATGACCCTGGGAGTACAAAATCTCACCTCTTTCTGCACCACACTCACCCGCCCAGCCCTGCTGCTGTTCATGCCTACTTCAGTTAACCATGATGGAAAATGTTCTTACCCATCCTTGCACTTCCCAGGAAATTACCCCTGAGACTAAGACGCCTGGTGGGTGGAGACTTGAGTTTCCAGAACTGGGAGGGAGGGGCAGGCCTGGGGTTTGAGGGCAGGAATCGTGGCTGTGAGGTGGGGCCTGGGCCTTTCTCAGGGCGAATGAGATCCTGCCATTTCCGCTGAGGGTCTGTGTGTTGGTGTGGCTTTAAAAGCACGAGAGTCTCAGAGATACTCCTCCTGCCTGTCCTGAGCTTCCACAAAAGGTGGGTTTTCTGCCAGTCCTCCCCCAACTCAGCTGCAGCATGGCTTTGGGGTGGGGAGGGTCTTAGAAGCAGAACTAGGATGTTTCTTAGAGAGACCTGACTTCCCCTCTTTGCCCATCCCTACTGGTAGCTGTTTGGAGCTCTGGCCAGAGGTAGCCTCTGTGTGCCCATCCCAGACATGGGAGCCCCCTCACAGCCTTGCCAATTTCCCTGTCCTTCTCATATCCCTGCCTGGCATGGGTGGGGGTTTTAGGGCTCCAAAGAGACCCCTTCTGGGGCTGAACCGCGGAGCCTACCTTCCTGGGCTTGGCAGAAAGACTGCTATCTGTACGTACCTCCGAAGACCAGAACCTTGACTGCTTCCAGACTCCTTGTTGCCATTGTTGCTGGGGAAGGTTGAGGGCCCGTCACTGCTCATGTTTCAGCACCTCCTGGGCGGATGACGCCCTGGTCTGGGGGTGCACCTGAACCCCGGTCTCCCTCCCCTGCCTTCAGCACCATCAGGTCGCGGACAGCTCTTCGCTGTCTCATCCACCCGGAGAACCCAAAGCTACCTTTTTCTCTTTCAACACGGTGCGAGGGACACCGTCTCGGCCCCGGGGGTCTCCTGAGACCCTGTCTCCCTGCCCTCCATTTAGCAGCGATCAGTGGACAATTTCTGTCTTCTCCACTCCAAGTCCTTGTCTTGGTTCTTTTCCATGCAGCGCTATAGGGGACGGCAGACGGTTTTCGGGGCTGGTGTGTTGGGGGGGGGTCTCTTCAGCCCCTAGCTTCAACACCCCCTCACCACGTTCTTCTCCCCTGTTCTACCCTTCAGCACCATCTGGGCATCGACAGCTCCTCGGTGTCGGCCCCACCTTGAGCCCCAGTTCCACCTTCTACCGCTTCAGCACCTCCGGCGCGGACAGCTCCTCGCTGTCGCCTCCACTCCCGGCCCTGGGCCGGACCCGGGAGCAGACGCTCCTCGGCGCCCGCTCACGGGGACGAGTCCTGCTCCCTGCTATCCCAGACCCCTTTCTCTGGCGCATGGAGAACCTGGGGGTCGGCGAAGGGGCAGAGGCTTGCAGCAGGTTGAGTCGCTCTCGCGGCCGCCACAGCATGACCAGAGCCCCGAAGCACCTGTGGCGGCAACCCCGGCGCCCCATCCGCATCCAACAGCGCTTCTATTCGGATCCGGACAAGTCCGCGGGCTGCCGCGAGAGGGACCTGAGCCCGCGGCCGGAGCTCAGGAAGTCGCGGCTCTCCTGGCCCGTTTCCTCCTGCAGGCGGTAGGTGGCCGGGGCAGGGGCCTCCTGCAGCGCGGGGGAGGGGCGCGCGGGGCCTGGCGGGAGTGGGGGAGGGTCCTTGCTTCTCCAGGGGGCGGGGGTCTCTGCTGCTTGGTTGAGGCTGGCGCCTGGAAGGAAAAAGCTATTTCTACGTAGGGGTGGAGCTGAGGGTGCTGGTGTCATCATGGCTTGTGGGTCTGTGTGACCGGGTGTGCCCACGTGCGGTTGGGACTGAAAGAGTGTGTGTGTGTGTGCGCGCGCGCGCGTGAGACTGGGGTGACCAGATGTGTTTGGGGTGCTCCTGTACGTTCATGCTTGGGTATGATTCCATGTGTCCCAGGTAGTTGTGGGTGTGCCTGTGTGTCTCCCCTTGTGGTGCCTGTAGGTATGTGGCTGAGTGTGACTGTCCTTGTGCTAACATAGCTGGGGGTCCGAAGGTTTTCGGGGTTGTGGAATGTCCGCAGGCCTGTGGGGGAAGTTTGTGACCAGCTCAAGCACCCGAGGTAACCCTGGGGTGCTTGGATATAAATACACACACACACGCACACACACACACACACACACACACACACACACACGTTTTTATTTTTGAGACAGAGTCTCATTCTGTTGCCCAGGTACAAGTGCAGTGTCTCGATCATGGCTCACTGCATCCTCTGCCTCCCAGGCTCAAGCGATCCTCCCACCTCAGTCTCGAGTAGCTGGGACTACAGGGGCATATCACAAGGCCTGGCTAATTTTTGTATTTTTGCTAGAGACGGGGTTTTGCCATGTTACCCAGGCTGGTCTTGAACTCTTGGCCTCAAGTAATCCTCCCGCCTTAGTCTCTCAAAGTACTAGGATTACATGTGTGAGCCACAGCACCTGGCCTATTTAATATATTATAGATATATAAGGGCCAGGGCAGGCTGCCTCCAGTGTTGGGGGGAGGAGTCTTCTCTTGCTACCTCCCCCGCCCCCACTCCCTCACCCCACCCTGCTCCCCTGTAGGAGGAAGGGAAGTCCCTTGGGAAGCTCGTGCACAGGAAGTTTCTTTCACTTAAGTAAGGAGGGGCTGCTTCTCCTGTTTCGTGTAAGTTGAGTGGGGTGGGGTTAGGACAGAGACAGAAGAGACTCATAGAAAGATAATGTAGAATCCTCAGGGGGCCCTACATGAGGGTCTCCAACTACCAGGTGGAGGCTCCAGGGCCAGGAAGGAGGGTCCAGGAACTCCAAGCCCTCCTTAGGTTGGAGGGAGAACCAAGTCAGCTGGACCAGCATCCCAGATTTCAGTCCAGGCTGAGTGGCCTTGGATGGGTTACTTCCCTGCTCTGGAGCTTGGCTTTCTTGCGTCCTGGTGCATGGACCCCCTAGGGGCCACTGGCTTCTGACTCCATCAGCAAGCCTGGCCTCTCGCCCCCAGCCTGGCCCTCCAGCAGCCTGGGAGGCATCTGGGGTAGATGGTTCCCACAGCCCAGAGGGGTTGGAGCTGTTCTCAGGTGACCCAGGAGCCCCTTCTCCCGCCCCGGCTTCTAGTTCCTCCTTCCCCATCCCTTCTGGTGACTCATGATTTTCCATTTTCAAGAAAGAACAAACAGAGCCTTGGTATGAGCTCTTCTAGGGGAAGCCCCCGCTTGGCTCTGGGAGGCAGGAGCGGTGGATTGGGTGTCCCTGTGCACGTGTGTGTGCACACACACGTCGTTCTGCGCATCGTATGCGCTGCAGTCACACATACGTGGATGAGCATGCATGTGGCCCACTGTGCTTCTCTGTGCTGATATGAGGGTAGGGGTTCACCCCAGGGGGAAGCCCAGCGAAACTGAGTTCAAGGCCAGGCCCCAAGGCCAACCTGCTGTGTGGTATTGAGCAAGCCGTGGTGCCTCCCGGAGCCTCGGCGTCCTCATCAGAGAGGTGAATATTCTGTGCCTGAGCCTGGTACACACTGGGTCCCCAGCTTGTGGCTCTTTACTCAGCCCTAGAAACTGTTGGGGGAATGTGCTTCCCCACAGCCCCAGATGGATCACAGGGGTATGGGAGGGTCTAAGCATTTTGTTGAGAAGGCATTTAAGCACCTACTGGGTGGCAGGCCCTGTGTTGGAGACGCAACCATGGATAAGAAGCTGTGTCCCCTAAGGCTGATGGTGGAGACACTCATACCAGGTGGAGAAGGCACAGGTTGATAGGGAAAGGTCAGAGAACAAGCCCAGAGGAGGCTCCAGACCCAGCAGTGGGGTGGGAGTCAGGGAGGACTGCTTGGGAGAAGTGACATTTAAGCTTAGCCTGCAGGAGGAAAGAGGTCAGCTAGGGTGAGTGCAAGAAGGGTATTCTAAGTAGAAGGAACAGAATGTGCAAAGCCTCAGACTCAAGAGGATCAGGCATGTGAGGAGCTGAAAATGGATCAGTGTGGCTTGAGGATGGAAGGAGAGGCTCTCTGTTTATGCTACAAGCATTTATTTATTTATTATTTTTTAGATGGAGTCTCTCACTCTGTTGCCCAGGCCGGGTGCAGTGGCACAATCTTGTCTCACTGCAACCTCTGCCTCCTGGGTTCAAGCGATTCCCCTACCTCAGCCTCCCCAGTAGCTGGGATTACAGGTGCCCACCACCATGCCTGGCTAATATTTGTATTTTTAGTAGAGACAGTTTTGCCATGTTGGCCAGACTGGTCTCAAACTCTTGACCTCAAGTGATCCACATACCGTGGCCTCCCAGAGTGCTGGGATTGCAGGCATGAGCCACCACACCCAGCCGCTACAAGCATTTATTGAGCATCTACTAAGTGCCAAGTACTGAGGGAACAGCAGGGAACATGGCAGACCTGGCCTTGCTCTCCAGGGACTCACAGGCAAATAATCATGACAATAAATGTGAAGTTGTATCCATGGCTGGAGGGTGCTCTGAGGCATTTACCTGGCTAGTCAGGGAGGGCTTCTCGGAGGAGGTGACTCTAACTGTAACCCAAAAGACAAAGCATCAGCAGGCGACAAGCATTCAGGTGAGGGCCATGGGGTGGAAATAAGCCTGGCTGATTCAGAGAACAGTGAGGAGTGGGGAGAGACTGGAACAGTGTAAGCCAAGAGAAGTGAGGTGGGGATGGGCCACATGGGACCTCTGGGAGGTGTGAATTCAGATCTGAGGGCAATGGGGGGCCATGGGAGGGTCTGCAGCAAAGGAGTGTGTGATTTGACCCATGCGAACATCTACACATGTGACCTGGCCCCCACCCTGCTCATTCTGCTTGACTCCTCCGTGGGGACTTGGGCAAGTCATCTCCCCTCTCCACGTCTCAGTTTACTCATCTGTAAAATGGTCAAAAACACCCATTTAAAAAAATCTCTCTGGGGCCACCTGGTGGCAGTGGAGAAAAGTGCCTGCCCAGAGAAGGGAACATTCAAATGAGGGAAACTGAGGCAGTGCTGTGCTAAAGGCATCAGAATGGGCGCAGTGGCTCACACCTGTAATCCCAGTACTTTGGGAGACTGAGGCAGACGGATCACCTGAGGTCAGGAGTTCAAGACCAGCCTGGCCAACATGGTGAAACCCCGTCTCTACTAAAAATACCAAAATTAGTTGGGCGTGGTGGCAGATGCCTGTAATCCCAGCTACTTGGGAGGTTGAGGCAGGAGAATCACTTGAACCCAGGAGGCAGAGGTTGCAGTGAGCCAAGATTGCGCCACTGCACTCCACCCTGGGCGACAGAGTGAAACTGTGTCTCAAAAAAGTAAGGCCAGGGACAGTGGCTCACGCCTGTAATCCCAGCACTTTGGGAGGCTGAGGCAGGTGATCACCTGAAGTCAGGAGTTCGAGACCAGCCTGACCAATATAGTGAAACCTCGTCTCTACTAAATACAAAAAAAAAAAAAAAAAAAAATTAGCTTGGCATGGTGGCACATGCCTGTAATCCCAGCTACTTGGGAGGCTGAGGCAGGAGAATTGCTTGAACCCAGGAAGCGGAGGTTTCAGTGAGCCGAGATTGTGCCATTGCACTCCAGCCTGGGCAACAGGAGCAAAACTCTGTTCTCAAAAAATAATAATAATATGTAAATAAAATAAAATAAAATAAATAAAGGCACCAGAGACTACTGGGCACCTCTACAGGAGATGCAGTAATGCAGGGATGGAGTCAGGGTAGGGGTGCTTCTGTCCAAACCTCTTTCAGCTTTTGTCCCTTACCCAGCGGGGCTTGGAGAGCCTCCCAGGGCCTGGTAGGAGCCAGGCTGTGAATGCTGAGTCCTGGCTCTGTGGCCACCCCTTGCTGTGACTCTTTCTCCATCCGAACAGCTATTAATTAACACCTTCCTGTTAGAACTGTTAATAAAATATTTAAAATTAAATATATGGATGAAACATTAATAGTAAACCTATTGATAAAATATTAATGTGAGACTCGCCCCTGGGACTACAGAGGGGATGAAATGAGTTAACGCATCCAGTGCGGGAGGACCCAGGCTGGGAAGAACACTACCTGTCCGGGTTCAAATGACCCCAGTCTTGCACCTTATGGCTGTGTGTCCTTAGGCAAATGACTGTGCCTTTCTGTGCCTCAGTAGCCCCATCCTCGAAATGGGAATAGTAGTCCACACTTTGTAGGTTTCGTCTGAAAATCCAATGACTTTTCCCTTCACTGCTGTTGGCTGAGTGCTGCATGTTTTTGAAGCACTCAGTTTACATAATTTTGTTTAGTCTTAGCCTCCTATTTTATGTCTGTGATTTTGGGGGAGGGGCTGAATCTCTGTGCCTCGGTTTCTCCTTGGGGACATGTAACTATTGTCACTTCTCTCACAGTGGCGGGGAGGTGGTGTCAAGACTGCTGAGACCTTGGCTCCAGTGTCCCCACAAGGCCAATCCTAGCAGCATGTGTCCCCTAGGGATGGCTATAATTAGGTCTGGCCCCAGCAGACAACGATGGTATTTTTGTCTTGGGGACAGCGAGGTCTGGTTCCCGCCAGGTGTCTGGTTGCAAGACTGCGGGGGTTAGGGGGGCTTCCTGGCCAGATACCTGAGGCTCTCTGTTTTTCTGGGCTGTGTGACTCCTCCTCTGAGCCTCTGTTTTCTCATCTGTAGAATGGGGAGACTCTCATGTATCTGGCCTTAGCATGGTTGCCTCAGGATCTCCTGTGGGATCCCTGATCAATGGGCTTCTCCAGGACTGCCAGAAACATGGGTACCATGTCTGGGGACACCAAGACTGAGGCAGCCGCCCCGGGGGGAAGGCCCAGGCTGAGAGACAGAGGTCATTCCACAGCAAGGGGCACGGTCAGGCCTCAGTTGCTGGGAGGTCCCCTGGGCCTCTGCCTGTGACATGGCTGTTTCTAGGTCCCTCCTCCTTGTGTGACACATGCTAAGCCTTGGTTTCCTTTTCTGTAAAGTGGAACAAGGCCAGCCTGACTCCAGCATTCTGAGGGTAGAGCACCTGGTACAGACTCTGGGAATCCTCCCAGACACCAGAGGCCCCCCCCAGTCCTGGGACAGTGAGGTCCCTCTGATGGCAGGGGTGGGCGGCTGAGGTTTCGCAGGACAGAAGACTTGGCAGAGGTGATGTGCGGATGTTTGTCTAGGAGGAGACAGCAGGAGAGGTGAAGGCATCCAGAGACAGGGCCTGGGGAATGTCAGAGCAGGTGGGGGATCACGTGGGGAGTTGCGTGGAGGGGTGCTGGGAGAGGGGGCCCTGAGTTTGGGTCTCGCTTTCTGCAACAAAGACCCATGCCCGTGACCGCGTCCATGGAAGCCTCAGTTTCCCCACTTGGCAAAGGATTAAGGGTTTGTAGTTTCTGGTGCGCTGTTTGATGGCACTAGGCCTCAGTTTCTCCATCTGGAAAATGGGCAGAGGAGGATTAGAAACATTGCGTGGGATCGGACATTGGCAAACTCTATACCTCGGTGATGCCCTCAATAATGGAAGGCAAGACAGCTGTTTCTCTGGGCACCTTGCTTTCTGACTCCCTCATTCTACACTTTTTAGCAGTTATTGGCCCAGCAAGCTGCACTAACCAGGGACGTGCCGAGGAAGGCTGAGTAAGATCCAGGCTCTGAGATCTTAGGGGCAGCCCTCTAAAGAAGTACAGTTGGGCCTGGCGCAATGGCTCACACCTATAATCCCAGCACTTTGCGAGGCTGAGGCAGGAGGATCACTTGAGTCTGGGAGTTCGAGATCAGCCTGGGCAACATAAAGAGACACCCCCATCTCTCCAGAAAATACATTAGCCCGGGCGTGGTGGTGTGCATCTGTAGTCCCAGCTACTTGGGAGGCTGAGGTAGGAGGATCCCTTGAGCCCAGGAAGTTGAGGCTGCAATGAGCTAGGACTGTGCCACTGCACTCCAGCCTGGGCAACACAGCGAGATCGTCTCAAAAAAAAAAAAAAAAAAAAGGAGCAGAGAGTTGCGTCTGACTCTGTGCCTCAGTTTCCCCGTTTGTCCCGGGGGTCGTCAGGGAGCCGCCGGCCTCGAGGCGGGGCCGATGCGCCCTTTGCCCCCTCCCCGCTGGGCCCCGCCCCCGCAGCTGTCCAGAAAAGGTCCCGCGCAGCCGGCGCTCGGTCCAGCCTCCACGCAGTCCTGGCGATGCAGGGCCCCCCCGCGCCCGCCCCGGTCCCCGGGCCCGGCTCCCCTCGGGGATCCCCGCGCGGCTCCCCCGGGCTCTTCAGGAAGCTTTTGGTGAATCAGAGCATCCGCCTGCAGCGGCGCTTCACGGTGGCCCATCCGCTGTGGTGAGGCTGGACAGAGGGCCTGGCGGGGTCACCGGGACGCCCGGTGTGGAGGTGGGAAGGGCAGGGACAGGGACAAGGCCAGGGACAGCTGGGGCCGGGGCCGGAGTCCGGGCTTGGACGCTCTGCCTCTCCCTCGCTTTCTCTGTATCTCTCTCCCTCTACCCTACCTTACCCTACTTTTGTCTCGCAGTTGGTGACTCTGTCTCTCTCTGTCTCCGTCTGTCTCCACCCGCCGCCTGGATATAGGCCCAGGGGACCAGCCGTCTGTCTCCTTCCAGCTGTGAGGCCCAGAGTGGGACGGGCTGAGGCTCACGTCTCCTCCTGACCCTCGCCGGCCTGGGGCAGGCAGGCTGTGCGTCCTGGCAGTGGGAGGAGGGGGAAGGGGCACTCCTTCCCTTGGTGCCCCCTCCCACCAGCATCCTGTCCCAGTGCCAGCAAAGAGATGCCCTGGGGGCCTCACAATGAACTCTGGGTGTCCACGGAGGAAGACCTGAATTGAGGGGGTTTTCGAGGCAGGGCGTTCGGGAGTCCCAGGCTGAGCGCGCGCCTGCGCCCGGCAGCTGCTTGCGCTGCATCCTCTAAGCACTCGGTCCACCCCTCTGGGTTCGAATCCCTGCCTTTCCAGAAACGACTGTGACCTCGTGGGGAGGGATGGGGGCAAGGCTGGGGTTCGGAGTGGGGCTTGTGGGCGCCGACTGTGGCTGGCATCCTGCGCTTGGTCCGCGCCGAATTGGCACCCACTTGGTAAGTCTGGCACCCAAAGGCTGAGAGGGGAGGTCCCTCTCCAAGGTCATAGCTGGGGTTGGAGGGAGAAGGTATGACCGTGGTTCCTGGTGGTTCCATTTCAACCAGGGAGTGGGAGAGTGGGGGTTCCGTGTCCTGGAGAGCGACCTCGGGGCACCAAACACTAGCGAAGCACATTCCCTTTTGAAGGCGCTAGAGACAGCGCAGGGACGTCGAGGGCGCGTCGCGGGTACTCAGAAGTGAGGATGAACGAGGGCCGGCCCCGCGCAGGCCAGACCCGAACCCAAGTCCGAGCCTCCCTGGCTCAGTTTACCCCCCTGGCCAATGGGCAGCCGCGCCGTTCCCACAGCCGGGGGGCTCTACCCCCGCACCGCCCGCGTCATGGAACCACAGCCTGACCCCGCCGCTCCCGGCTAAGTTTAGAGCAGAAAGAAAAACAGCCTCCCCCGCCCCAAGAAAACCCGGGCCCAGTCCTTAACCCTCCGCGCCCGGGATCCGGATTTGCACGCCCTGTGGCCGCTCCTGGCCTCAGTTTCCCTATTTGTCCACAGACGCGCTTTTCTGGAACCCTTGGGGAGAGCCGAGAGAGGGGTAGGGGGTCGCGATCCGCATGCCTCCCCCTCGAGGGGCAGATCTGGGTTATCCGCCGCCTCCAGTCCGCCCCTAAGAGCGTCTCCCATTGCACCACAGCGCCCACGGCGCACCCCAGACGGGCCAGGGAAGGGTTAAGAAGCCCCGCCCCTTCGGCTGGCCGTGGGGTTCATCCCGGTGCTGCTAAACCCGCTGGAGTCGGACGGAACAGGCCGAGCGCGGCCGGTCTTAGTCGGAGATGCCCGAACTAGCCCTCATGTAGCCGGACGTGACCGAACATGCCCGACCCGGCCCGAGCGTCACCCGGACTTGTTCGAAGCAGACCGAGCGTAACCGGACTTAGGCGAACAAGCTCGAACTTATCCGAAGTCTCCCGAGCTCAATCGGACGTAGCCGAATTCTCCCGAACTCATCGAACAAACTCTTCGTGACCAAGTCCAATTCGACGTGATCAGACCCAACTCAGACCCGGTCATACTTGGACCGAATGCTGCCAAATCCCCCACCTCTACCCAGATCTGAGCCTACGCGGGGTGCCGACCCAGCTCGTGGACGGGGATACGGTGACCTTTGACCCAAAAGTCTTGGCCGGGACCAGCCGGACACTGGCCCTCGGCCGGGAGCTCCGAGTCTCAGGCGGTCCCGGTTGTCTTCCTGTCGGTGCCGCTTCCGCCTGCCCTTCTTGAAAACCCACCCCCAGGTCACCGCCTTCTCTAGCGCCCCAGTTCTTGCCCTACGCCCTTTCTCTGACCTCTGACCCCAAAGAGGAGGAGCCAGAGGGAAAGACAGGGTTTGAGGGTAGAACGGGACAGGTAGTGTGGAGAGGGAGGAGGGTGGGCCGGGCAGAAAGCACGGCCTGTGCAAAGACCCGGAGGTGGAAGATAACAGGCGGAACGTTCAGGCTGAAGATGAAGTGGAGGAGTGGGGGAGCCTAGGGCAGGACCCGGCTAGCTGGGGGCGTGGTCGGCGGCCGTGGGGCGGAGCCTTATGGGCTGAGGGTGGAGCCTGGAACGCTGGGGGCGTGGCAGGTAGCCAAGGGTGTGAGCAAGTTGGCTAGGAGTGGGGTCTCTCTAGACTAAGGCGCACGCAGGAGCTAGGCAGAACCCCGGCCTCCTCCAGGTAGAAGAGCCCAAGAAGCTGTTTCCAGTCCACGTGTCCACCATGTGAGCTAGATCTCAGTTTGTCCCTTTGCAATATGGTCATCCAGTCGCAGTCTTTGGATGTTCGGTTGTAACCCCCTCAAAGAGCTCTCGGGGATGGGCTACATCACGCACATGTTAGAAACAGGAGAGGCCGGGTGCGGTGGCTCATGCCTGTAATCCCAGTACTTTGGTAGGCCGAGGCGGGCAGATCACGAGGTCAGGAGTTCAAGAGCAGCCTGGCCAACACGGTGAAACCCTGTCTCTAGTAAAAATACAAAACTTTGGCCGGGCACGGTGGCTCACGCCTGTAATCCCAGCACTTTGGGAGGCCAAGGCGGGCGGATCACCTGAGGTCGGGAGTTCAAGACCAGCCTGACCAACATGGAGAAACCCCGTCTCTACTAAAAATACAAAATTAGCTGGGCGTGGTGGCACACGCCTGTAATCCCAGCTCCTTGGGAGGCTGAGGCAGGAGAATTGCTTGAACCTGGGAGGCGGAGGTTGCGGTGAGCTGAGATTGTGCCATTGCACTCCAGCTTGGGCAACAAGAGTGAAACTCTGTCTCAAAAAAAAAAAAAAAAAATTAGCCGGGCGTGGTGGTGCGCACCTGTAATCCCAGCTACTTGGGAGGCTGAGGCGAGAAAATTGCTTGAACCCGGGAGGTGGAGGTTGCAGTGAGCCGAGATCGTTCCCCCACTGCACTCCAGCATGGATAACTGCACTCCAGTGCAGGCAACAGAGCAATATTTCGTCTCAAAAAAACCCCAAAAAACAGAAAAAAAAGAAATGGGGAGGCCGGGTGCGGTGGCTCACTCCTGTAATCCCAGCACTTTGGGAGGCGGAGCTGGGAGGATTGTTTGAGGCCAGGAGTTCAAGACCAGCCTGGGCAAAATAGTGAGACCTGGTCTCTACAAAAAATTTTAAAATTAGCCGAGTGTTGGGGCATGCTCCTGTAGTCTCAGCTACTCAGGAGGCTGAGGCTGGAGGATGGCTTGAGCTTAGGAGATTGAGGCTGCAGTGAGGTAGGATCACACCACTGCACTGCAGCCTGGGTGACAAAGTGGGGCCCTGTCAAAAAAAAAAAAAAAAAAAGAAAAGAAAGGGCGAGAGAGAGAGAGAGAGAGAGAGAGAGAGAAAGAACGAGAAAGAAAAAAAAAAAAGAAAGAGAGAAAAAAAATAAAAGAAATAGGGTGATTGAGGTCCAGAGAAAGTCAGTACCTGTCCATGGCCACATAGCCACTTTGAGGAAGATCTGGAACTGAGGTCCTGGAGTCCAGTGTAGACTCAAAGACCAAAGTGTGAGGGGTGCAGGGTTCCTGAGGGTGTAGCTGGGGGCAGGTGAACAAGCTGGAAACCACACTTGCCTGACTGCCAAGCAGCCCCAGGGAGGACGCACCAGACAAGGTGGCCACGACCCGGCACCCAGTTGTCATGACCCTCGTCTCTGACCATGCCGTCTCTCCTTTCAGCTTTGACCTGGAAAATGGGCTCTCGTGTGGGAGGAGGGCCCTGGACCCTCAGTCCAGCCCTGGCCTGGGCCGGATTATGCAGGCTCCAGTCCCGCACAGCCAGCGGCGCGAGTCCTTCCTGTACCGCTCAGATAGCGACTATGAACTCTCGCCCAAGGCCATGTCTCGGAACTCCTCTGTGGCCAGCGACCTGTGAGTCTGGGGCTGGTGGGATGACACCGCCTCTACCCTCCCTCCTTCCTTTGTTCCTCTATTCAGCAAGCTCCTTCAAATAGCCATTTAAGGAAGGTTTTGAAGTTTAAGTAGGAGTTTGCCAGACAGCTCATATATTCAATCAAGTGTGTAGAGAACTTGGCCTTTTGCTGGAGTAGGGGTGGTAATCCAAAAACATTAAGGTCGGCCGGGCACGGTGGCTCACGCCTGTAATCTCAACACTTTGGGAGGCCGAGGTGGGCGGATCACCTGAGGTCAGGTGTTCAGGACCAGCCTGGCCAACATGGTGAAACCCTGTCACTACTAAAAAATACAAAAATTAGCCAGGTGTGGTGGCGCGCGCCTGTAGTCCCAGCTACTCAGGAGGCTGAGGCACGAGAATCGCTTGAACCCAGGAGGCGGAGGTTGTAGTGAGCCGAGATGGCACCACTGCACTCCAGCCTGGGCGAAAGAGCAAGAGTCTGCCTCAGAAAACAAACAAACAAACAAACAAACAAACAAACCATTAAGGCCAATTAGCAGCAAATGAAGAAATACTTTGATTTGAGCTTCCTAGTAGGCATAATGAAAAGGGAAATATCTACGTACCCCTAGGACTCAGTTTCCCCATTTATGAGATGCCGATAAAGTGAGTGAATGGTTGGAGGGGCTGTGCTGGGTCTCAGGGAGAGTCGCATGAGGGGACCCCAGGGACTAAGAAGGAGCCTGGAGGAGAAGTCCTGAGAGCAGGACCCCCTCAGTTGAGGGCATATGGTGTGGGTAAAAAGCTGGAAGATGGGAGAGAGCTCTCCCTGATGGCCCGTCTCCTCGCAGACATGGAGAGGACATGATTGTGACGCCCTTTGCCCAGGTGGGTGTCCCCCGCCCTCCCTGCCCTGACCCCCTCCGGATCCGGCCTCTCCTTCCCACCGCCTACCACCTCCTCCCAACAGGTCCTGGCCAGTCTGCGGACCGTTCGGAGCAACGTGGCGGCCCTTGCCCGCCAGCAATGCCTAGGAGCAGCCAAGTAGGTAGAGGGCGGGGCGGGGCGGGGGCGGGGCCGGCAGAGACAAGGTGGGCGGAAAGCGGGCTGCAAATTGAGGCTGGGGCTCCGGCGCCTCCAGGTGGGTTTGAGGGGCGGGGCCTGGTGGACTTGGGGGCGGGGCGAGATGGGCGGAGCAGCCACGCCTGAGGCTGCTGTACCGCAGGCAGGGACCCGTCGGAAACCCTTCATCCAGCAATCAGCTCCCTCCTGCAGGTAAAGTACCTGTTCCTTCCCTCCCCCGCTGAGGACAGCTGGGAGCTTCCTTTCCATAGTGACCTCCCCAGTCCATGAGCCCCTTATACTGGGGCTAATTGTAGCCCCGCCCCTGCAAAAACAATAACGCCCTCGGGGATGGACCCCACCACACTCATATTACAGATGAGGAGGCTGAGGCCCAGAGATCTCATGGTCACACAGGCACTCGGGGAACAGATCTGGAACTTGGGTCCAGGAGTCCTGGGTGGCCCCCGTGGGAACAGTTTCAGGGTCCAGATGAAGAGACGAAGTCGCGAGAGGCGTGGGGTCCCTGAGCGGGGGGGTTGGGCAGGCCCCTGACTGCCTCGGCTCCCAGAGGACACGGGGCAGAAGCTGGCATTGGAGACGCTAGACGAGCTGGACTGGTGCCTGGATCAGTTGGAGACGCTGCAGACCCGGCACTCGGTGGGGGAGATGGCCTCCAACAAGGTGAGGTGGGGCAGATCGCTGAGCTCACCTGCCTCGGCCCACGGTGCCCCATCATCACGGTCTTCACCTTCTCTCCGCCCCAGTTCAAGCGGATCCTGAACCGGGAGTTGACCCACCTGTCCGAAACCAGCCGCTCCGGGAACCAGGTGTCCGAGTACATCTCCCGGACCTTCCTGGGTGAGCTTTGTTGAGTCACTGCCTGGACGACATTTTAGGAGTACTAAGAAACAAAAGAAAGATTCCTATGATAGACCTCAGTCTGGGGGAGATACAGCCAGACACAGACACCTTCAGCCCCCATGAGTCAGGGCTGGATCAGAGGGAGGAACAAGGGGAACTTCCAGGAGCAGGGGACATTAAAGCTACGGTTTTGAAGCATGAGTAGAAATTTGCCTAGGAGGAGATGGAGGGAACCAGACACTAGCTTGGGAGACGGAAAGGACATTAGGCTGTTTGGGGGAAAATGCTGAGCCCCAGGCACCCAGGGGCCAAGCCTAGCAGAAGGGTTTACTGAGATCAGCTGTGAACAGAGGAGAGGGGTAGGTAGCTACAGGCAAGACAGGATCTTTTTTTTTTTTTTGATACAGAGTTTCACTTTGTTGCCTAGGCGGGAGTGCAGTGGTGCAATCTCAGCCACTGCAACCTCCGCCTCCTGGGTTCAAGCAATTCTCCCACCTCAGCCTCCTGAGTAGCTGGGGTTACAGGTGCCTGCCACCATACGTGACTAATTTTTGTATTTTTAGTAGCGATGGGGTTTCACCGTATTGCTCAGACTGGTCTCGAACTCCTGACCTCAAGTGATCTGCCCACCTCGACCTCCCAAAGCACTGGGATTACAGGCGTGAGCCACTGCGTCCGGCCGACAGGGTCTTTACTCCGAACTTACTTTGGTTCCTGTAGAAAGGGAAATAGGTTGATTCTGGGGTTTGGCAAAATTCAGGTCCTGAGGCCAGGCCCCAGCAGGTGAAATCGGCTTCTCTGAGCTTCACCCTGGCCCATCCGCAGACCAGCAGACCGAGGTGGAGCTGCCCAAGGTGACCGCTGAGGAGGCCCCACAGCCCATGTCCCGGATCAGTGGCCTACATGGGCTCTGCCACAGTGCCAGCCTCTCCTCAGCCACTGTCCCACGCTTTGGGGTCCAGACTGACCAGGAGGAGCAACTGGCCAAGGTGGGTCCCCAACCACAATGCCAAGATCAAGGTTTGGTCCCTGGCTCTGTCTGGATGCCCTATCTCGGGCCTGTTTGCCCACCTATATACTGGGCAGTTGGGGCTCACTGTGGAACCTGGGGTGGGAGGATGGAGGCTCTAGAGTCTGGGGAAGTTGGGCTGGGGTTAATTAAGCTTCAGCCCTTCATATCTTAGGAGCTAGAAGACACCAACAAGTGGGGACTTGATGTGTTCAAGGTGGCGGAGCTAAGTGGGAACCGGCCCCTCACAGCTATCATATTCAGCATTTTTCAGGTACCTACCCTGCCCTTGGCTTCCAAGGAAAAACTCCTGGGGTTTCCCTCACTGCTTCCTACCACAGACCTCAGGGACACTCATTTTTCAAATCCTCCCTGACATTTCTGAAGGGGATAATTTGAGCAGGGTATTGAAGGATGAATAGGAGTTCACTCAGATGAACAGTTTGTTGTCCAGAAGCCTCAGCCCTGGCCCGGCCCCTGGCCCTGAAGAGGAGAGAAATCTGGAGAGAAGAGCTGGACAGAGACACCCCCAGTCCTGTAGGGTCAGGGATGGACCACCAAATAACACAGAGTGGAGGAGTTCAGGAGAGCACAGAGGGCATCTCAGAGGAGCAGGTGCTTGAGGCATAGATAGGAGTTCAGAAGAGAGGGGTAGGAACAGCGTGTGCTGCAGCCCCAAGGCCAAGGCCCTGAGCCAGGGTCTGTGATGGACCAGGAGCGGGACCTGCTGAAGACATTCCAGATCCCAGCAGACACACTGGCCACCTACCTGCTGATGCTGGAAGGTCACTACCACGCCAATGTGGCCTACCACAACAGCCTACATGCCGCCGACGTGGCCCAGTCCACGCATGTGCTGCTGGCTACGCCCGCCCTCGAGGTACTGCGCCATGACTGCAGGCAGGTGGGCGGGTGCAGGGCCCAGAGAACCCGCCCCTCACCGCCTGTGCCCTCTGCCTGCTCAGGCTGTGTTCACAGACTTGGAAATCCTGGCTGCCCTCTTTGCAAGCGCCATCCACGACGTGGACCATCCTGGGGTCTCCAACCAGTTTCTGATTAACACCAGTAAGTAGGAGTGGGAAGTGGGTGCAGGAGAAGAGGTGGACCCTGCCTCCACCCTGTCCACCAGGTGATCTCAGGGGGTTCCCATCTGCCCTGAGCCCAGTCTCCCTGTCTATGAAATGACTATGACAGTTTTCCCTCCCTTCAGGGTCTTGGAGCAGGTCTGGGTACACAGTAGGTGCCAACAAATGACAGAATAATGAGCTGTGGCAGAGCTGATCTGGTTCCACCAAGACCTTTATTTATTTATTTTTAAAGACAGTGTCTTGCTCTGTCACCCAGGCTGGAGTGCAGTGGCGCGATTTCGGCTCACTGCAACCTCTACCTCCCAGGTTCAAGCGATTGTCTAGCCTCAGCCTCCCGAGTAGCTGGGATTACAGGCACACACTACCATGCCTGGCTAATTTTTGTATTTTTCGTAGAGACAGGGTTTCGCTCTGTTACCCAGGCTGGTCTCAAACTCCTGGCCTCAAGCGATCTGTCTGCCTCAGCCTCCCAAAGTGCTGGGATTACAGGCACGAGCCACCGCGCCCAGACAGTTCCACCAAGATCTTAAAGTTTAGGATCCTATGAGGAATCTGAAAAACTCAGTTGACAGGCAATTATTGGGCACCTTTTGTGTACAAGCCCTGGAGTGCTGGGGGTGAGAGTGGAGGCCCCTCACTCAAAAGGACCTAGAGTCCAGAGACTGGGTGCCATGGCTCACACCTGTAATCCCAACATTGTGGGAGGCCGAAGTGGGAGGATTGCTTGAAGCCAGGAGTTCGAGACCAGCCTGGGCAATACAGTGAGACCCTGTCTCTCAAAAAAATAACAAAAATTAGTCAAGGGTGGTGGCACACACCTGTAATCCCAACTACTCAGGAGGCTGAGATGGGAGGATCACTTGAGGCCAGGAGGTTGAGGCTGCAGGGAACCGTGATTGCACCACTGCACTCCAGCCTGGGTGACAGCAAGACCCTGTCTCTAAAAAAGAAAAAGAAAAAAAAAAAACATTACTGAGTACTCACTGTCACTGGCCATAGGGGG
This sequence comes from Homo sapiens, assembly GCF_000001405.40. Taxonomy (NCBI): domain Eukaryota; kingdom Metazoa; phylum Chordata; class Mammalia; order Primates; family Hominidae; genus Homo; species Homo sapiens. The sequence continues at coordinate 18,217,122 of NC_000019.10, read as the reverse complement.
TCCATGAGGAGCCTTCCCAGTCTTGGGTAGGCAGAGCCAAACACAGACAACCCTAGCCCTGCAGTCAGGGAAGCGCCAGGGACCTGGATGGTTTCTTACAGGAGGGCATGCTAGAGTTGGGCCTTCAACGCATGGGTAGGAGTTTGCTAAGGATTTCCAAAAGCTGCTTTTGGGTAGAGTGGGTGGGGCGGGTGGATCTTGGGGCTCTCAGTCCCATACCCTCACAGACTCAGAGCTGGCGCTTATGTACAACGACGCCTCGGTGCTGGAGAACCATCACCTGGCTGTGGGCTTCAAGCTGCTGCAGGCAGAGAACTGCGATATCTTCCAGAACCTCAGCGCCAAGCAGCGACTGAGTCTGCGCAGGATGGTCATTGACATGGTGAGGCCAGGGCAGTAAGCGGGGCGGGAGGGGCAGAGGGGAGCGGGGCATCCTTCTCATCTGCAGACAGCAGGGTGGGGTGATATTGGCATGGCCGGCGGTTCATCCAGACCCAGGCATGTCCTCACTCTGTCTGAGCTTCCTCATCTGTGAAATGGAACAGTGGGGCCAGGGGCGGTGGCTCATGCCTGTAATCCTAACACTTTGGGAAGCAGAGGCGGGCGAATCACCTGAGGTCAGGAGTTCGAGACCAGCCTGACCAACATGGTGAAACCTCGTCTCTACTAAAAATACAAAAATTAGCTGGGTGTGGTGGTGTGCACCTGTCATCCCAGCTACTTGGGAGACTGAGGCAGGAGAATTGCTAGAACCCAGGAGGCGGAGGCTGTAGTGAGCTAGTGAGCTAGTGAGCTGAGATCGCACCACTGCACTCCAGTCTCAGCAACAGAGTGAGACTCCATCTCAAAAAAAAAAAAAAAGGGGCTAGTGACTGCCCAAACCCCAGGCCCTCTGCTGGGCCCAGCAGATCCTGGCTGTACCCAGGCAATGTGGAAACCGTTTCTGGGGTGTCAGGTGCAACTTTTGCTAAGCCTTAAATTAAGCACATCTGGGCCAGGCGTGGTGGCTCACGCCTGTAATCCCAGCACTTTGGGAGGCTGAGGCGGGTGGATCACTTGAGGTCAAGAGTTCGAGACCAGCTTGATCAACATGGTGAAACCCCTGTTTTTACTAAAAATACAAAAATTAGCCGGGCCTGGTGGCGGGCACCTGTGATCCCAGATACTTGGGAGGCTGAGGCAGGAGAATCGCTTGAACCCGGGAGGTGGAGGTGGCAGTGAGCGGAGATTGCACCACGGCACTCTAGCCTCAGCAACAGAGTGAGACTCTGTCTCAAAAAAAAAAAAAAAAGAAAAGAAAAAAATTAAGCAGCCAGGCACGGTGGCTCAGGCCTGTAGTCCCAACAGTTTGGGAGGCCGAGGCAGGCGGATCATGAGGTCAAGAGATCAAGACCATCCTGGCCAACATGGTGAAACCCTGTCTCTACTAAAAATACAAAAATTAGCTGGGTGTGGTGGCATGCACCTGTAGTCTCAGCTACTCGGGAGGCTGAGTCAGGAGAATCATTTGAACCCGGGAGGCGGAGATTGCAGTGAGCGGAGATCGCACACTGCATTCCAGCCTGGCAACAGAGCAAGACTCTGTCTCAAAAAAAAAAATTATACACATCTATCCATTTGAATTTTTTTTTTTTTTAGGTAGGGGCACATCAGTAAGTTTTGGGGTCTCATGCCTCATTCATTCACTTAACAAGCATTTATTGAGCACCTATTGTGTGCTTGATCTGTGCAAAGACAGTTCCGGCCGTTATGAAATTCTAACCCTTGACTAGGGACCTGCAGGCAGAGCTGTGAGGAGGAAGGTTCAAGGTGCTTTCGGAGCCCAGACCAGCCAAAGAGGTCAGAAAGGGCTTCTTGGAGAGGGAACATTGAAGCCAGGGTGTGCAGAATGAGGAAGGCTGTGTTCTCAGCAGAGGGAACCCCACGTGAGGAGGGCTTAGAGAAAGCCAAGGCTTGGAGTGAGAAAGAACTAAACGTTTGGTGAGGTGGAGTTGGGGTCTTGAGTGGTGGGTACCCACAGGGTGGGGAGACAGCATTTGGGACAGATGAGAGATTTGAGGAGAAGTTTTGAGACTTTTGTCTGACTCTCAGAGAAGCCGGTGAACCACATCTGAGTCACTCCTGGCTGGGCTGAGTCCACATGGGTGGGTTAAGTTTTTTTTTTTTTTTTTTTTGAAATGGAGTCTTGCTCTGTCACTCAGGCTGGAGTGCAATGGTGTGATCCTGGCTCACTGCAACCTCCACCTCCTGGGTTCAAGTGATTCTCCTGCCTCAGCCTCTGAGTAGCTGGGATTACAGGTGCCTGCCACCACACCCGGCTAATTTTTTGTATTTTTAGTGGAGACGGGGTTTCACCATGTTGGCCATGCTGGTCTTGAACTTCTGACCTCTGGTAATCCACCCACCTCTGCCTCCCAAAGTGTTGGGATTACAGGTGTGAGCCACGGCGCCCGGCTGGGTTAATCTGGTTTTTAAACATCTGTGCCTAGAAATAGCCCTCCAGGGCACATGGTGGCTACATGGAAGTTTGAGGGGTATGAAGTCACATCCCTCCCCACAGTGAGCTGCAAACTCCCCTGTGGCTCCCATAGCCTCTGGACAATCTACCCCAGCTGCCAGAGGCCCTCAGTCTCTTCAATCTCACCTCCCTTTCTCTTGAGCTCACTTCTTCCAGCCACAGCCACCTCTTTTAGTTCCCTCCCATGTACCCAACTCTTCCAGCCCCTTTGCACAGAACTCATCCTCCCCACTGTCCTCAGGCACAAGTCACCCTAGCCCCTAACCAGCCCTGTGGGGTCACAGTTGGGGTTGGAGGAGGCCAGAAGGGTCAACAGAGGCATCCTAGAGGATGGGTTATTTTTTTTTTTTTTTTGAGACGGAGTCTTGCTCTGTCGCCCAGATCTGTTGCAGGATCTCGGCTCCCTGCAAGCTCCGCCTCTTGGGTTCATGCCATTCTCCTGCCTCAGCCTTCCGAGTAGCTGGGACTACCGGTGCCCACCACCATGCCAGGCTAACTTTTTGTATTTTTAGTAGAGACGGGGTTTCACCATGTTAGCCAGGATGGTCTCGATCTCCTGACCTCGTGATCCACCTGCCTCGGCCTCCCAAAGTGCTGGGATTACAGGCGTGAGCCACGGCGCCCAGCCTGAGGGTGGGTTATTTGAAAAGGGCTTTGAAGGATGAGTAGGAGTTGGGAAGCGGCATTCCAGGCAGAGGGAACAACGTGGCTAAAGATCTGGAGGCTGGATTGGTTCTAGGGTTTGCTGTGACTCAACGAATGCCTTCCGCCCCACCCACCCCACAGGTGGGTTTCATTGACTACAATGCCCACCCACTGTGGGAGACTCTGTCTGACAAGTCCCAGGCGCACAGATTTGATCACCTCCCCACTACACCCTGTCACACATGTGGAATTCATGGCCAACCCAGATGACCTCCCAAAAGGGGCCCCTGACTGAGCCCCTCTTTTGAGCAGAGTTTGCAGTGAATGCAGTTGCATCCTTCCATTTCACAGATGAGTATGCTGAGGCCCAGAGGGCTGAGTCTGAGCCAGAGTGGCATCTGGGAGTTGGGAGTGAGGGTTGGGGTGGGCAGGGTCCTCGCGCCTGTCACCTTCCCTTGCCTGCCCCCAGGTGCTGGCCACAGACATGTCCAAACACATGAACCTCCTGGCCGACCTCAAGACCATGGTGGAGACCAAGAAGGTGACAAGCCTCGGTGTCCTCCTCCTGGACAACTATTCCGACCGAATCCAGGTGTGTAGCTGGATGGGCACTGGGGCTTCCTTTTTAAATTTTGGTTTTACTTTATTTATTTATTTATGTATTTATTTATTTATTGAGACGGAGTCTCACTCTGTCGCCCAGGCTGGAGTGCAGTGGCGCCATCTTGGCTCAGTGCAAGCTCTGCCTCCCAGGTTCACGCCATTCTCCTGCCTCAGCCTCCCGAGTAGCTGGGATTACAGGTGCCCGGCACCGCGCCCAGCTAATTTTTTTTGTATTTTTAGTAGAGACGGGGTTTCACCATGGTCTCAATCTCCATGAGATTGAGATCCGCCCACCTCGGCCTCCCAAAGTGCTGGGATTACAGGCGTGAGCCACCGCGCCCGGCCGGTTTTACTTTAAAAACAACTTTAGCAGCCGGGCGCAGTGGCTCACGCCTATAATCCCAGCACTTTGGGAGGCCGAGGCAGGCAGATCATGAGGTCAGGAGTTCAAGACCAGTCTGGCCAAGATGGTGAAACCCCATCTCTACTAAAAATACAAAAATTAGCTGGGTGTGGTGGCGGGCGCCTGTAATCTCAGCTACTCGGGAGGCTGAGGCAGAGAATTGCTTGAACCTGGGAGGTAGAGGTTGCAGTGAGCCGAAATCACCCCACTGCACTCCAGCCTGGGTGACAAAGCAAGACTCCATCTCAAAAAAACAAGCCAAAACAAACAAACAAAAACAATTTTAGCCAGGTTTCTTACACATTTAGAGTGAAGGCTGGGCGCAGTGGCTCATGCCTGTAATCCCAGCACTTTGGGAGGCCAAGGTGTGAGGATTGCTTGAGGCCAGGAGTTAGAGGCTGCAGTGAGCTGTGATTGCACCATTGCACTCCAGCCTGGGCAACTGAGTGAGACCCTGTCTCTTAAAAAAAAAAAAAAAAAGCTGGGCTCAGTGGCTCACACCTGTAATCCCAGCACTTTGAGAGGCTGAGATGGGTGGATCGCTTGAGCTCAGGAGTTTGAGACCAGCCTGGGCAACACCCCGTCTCTACAAAAATACAAAAATTAGCCAGGCATGGTGGCGCATGCCTATAGTTCCAGTTACTCGGGAGGCTGGGCTGGGAGGATCATTTGAGCCTGGGAGGCAGAGGTTGCAGTGAGCCAAGATCTTGCCACTGCACTCCAGCCAGGGTCACAGCGTGAGACCCTAACTCATTAAAAAAAAAAAAATCGGAGAGGGCCTCCATTTTTGCAATTCTCATTTAGCTTCATTTATGAAGTGCCGACTGGATGCCAAACTTGAAGAAATGGCAAGAGTCACATGCCTGTGCCTTAACCATTTCTTCAGGTCTCAGGCCTCAGTTTCCCCACCTGTAAGATGAATGTGTCCATGGCACCAAGCCTGTCTGTGGAGGTGCCAGGTCTAGGTGTGGCTGGGCCCCGCCAGTGCCCTCCCAAGCCTCGATCTCTGTAGGTCTTGCAGAACCTGGTGCACTGTGCTGATCTGAGCAACCCCACCAAGCCGCTGCCCCTGTACCGCCAGTGGACGGACCGCATCATGGCCGAGTTCTTCCAGCAGGGAGACCGCGAGCGTGAGTCGGGCCTGGACATCAGTCCCATGTGTGACAAGCATACGGCCTCAGTGGAGAAGTCCCAGGTTGGCAGGGGACTGGGCTGAACCGGTAGACACTGGGAGGAAGTAAAAGGAGGGGCTGAGCCAACCCCACGAGCCCTGGTTTGGCCCTGGCTGGCTAGCCAGGGAGTGTGCCTGAAGGGTGCTGTCTGGGCCGAGTTAGACCTGGGATCCATTCTCTCTGGGCTTCAGGGAGAGGGACATGCACTTCTGGGGTTTGGAAACATCTGTTCTAGGTGACATGCGGGACCCTGGAGGGGCTTCCAGTCTGGGGGACACGTACATTCAGCCCTGTGGGGTTAGGGTTGGGGTTGGAGGAGGCCAGAAGGGTTAAGGGAGGCATTCTAGAGAATGAGTTATTTGAAAAGGGTTTTGAAGGATGAGCAGTTGTTGGGAAGCGGCATTCCAGGCAGAGGGAACAACTTGGCTAAAGATCTGGAGGCTGGATTGAGTCTAGGGTTCACTGTAACTCACCAAATGCCGACATGCCCCACCCCCCGCCACAGGTGGGTTTCATTGACTACATTGCTCACCCACTGTGGGAGACTTGGGCTGACCTGGTCCACCCAGATGCACAGGACCTGCTGGACACGCTGGAGGACAATCGAGAGTGGTACCAGAGCAAGATCCCCCGAAGTCCCTCAGACCTCACCAACCCCGAGCGGGACGGGCCTGACAGATTCCAGTTTGAACTGACTCTGGAGGAGGCAGAGGAAGAGGATGAGGAGGAAGAAGAGGAGGGGGAAGAGACAGCTTTAGCCAAAGAGGCCTTGGAGTTGCCTGACACTGAACTCCTGTCCCCTGAAGCCGGCCCAGACCCTGGGGACTTACCCCTCGACAACCAGAGGACTTAGGGCCAGCCCTGCGTGAACTGCAGGGGCAATGGATGGTAAAGCCCTTTGGCTCTTGGCAGGCAGACTTTCCAGGAAGAGGCTCCATGTGGCTCCTGCTTCACTTTCCCACCCATTTAGGGAGACAATCAAGCTCTTAGTTATAGGTGGCTCCCAGGGTCTAATTGGAGGCACCTGGCTGGGGTCCACTCTGACCCTAGACTTGCCTAAAAGAGCTCTCTAAGGGGCAGCCTCTTACGATGCCCTGGTGTCTTTCTCCTGGGCTTCTATCCCTGTGAGGAGAGGTGCTGTCTGCTGGAGCCTCTAGTCCACCCTCTCCAGTGGTCACTCTTGAGTCACATCTGTCACTTAATTATTTCCTTCTTTATCAAATATTTATTGCTCATCTACTTCGTGCCAGCTTTCTGCCTCTGTAGTAGCCCTGCACAAAGGGTGGGGAGTCAGGAGACCATCCCAAAGGCATCTCCCTGTCTTCCTCTACCAAGCGGCTCTCTGCAAGAGCATGGAAATGTGAGTGGGGAAAATTTTCAGCACCAAAGCTTCACTCATACCCAGTTTTGTTTCTGAAACTACGGTAGGGGGCAGGAAGAGGAGCAGAAAAGAAGGGCTGGGCAAGGCATAGTGGCTTATGCCTGTAATCCCGGTACTTTGGGAGGCTGAGGTGGGAGGACTGCTTAAGCTCAGGAGTTTGAGACCAGCCTGGGCAACATAGCAAGACCCCCACCATCTCTGAAAAAAAAAATTAGCCAGGCATGGTGGTGTGCACCTGAGAATCCCAGCTACTCAGAAGGTTGAGACAAAGGGGATCGCTTGAGCCCAGGAGTTGGAGGCTGAAGAGAGCTATGACTGCATCACTGCACTCCAGCCTGGGCAACACAGCAAGATCCTGTCTAAAAATAAAAAGAAAAGAGAAGGAAAGGAAAGAGACGGGGCTCTGAGGCCGAGCACAGTGGCCCATGCCTATAATCCCAGCACTTTGGGAGGCTGAGGCAGGTGGATCACCTGAGGTTAGGAGTTCGAGACCAGCCTGGCCAACATGGTGAAACCCCATCTCTACTAAAAATACAAAAATTGGCTGGGCATGGTGGCGGGTGCCTGTAATCCCAGCTACTGGGGAGGCTGAGGCAGGAGAATCACTTGAATTCAGGAGGTGGAGGTTGCAGTGAGCCGACATCATGCCACTGCACTCCAGCCTGGGCGACAGAGCAAGACACTGTCTCAAAAAAGAAAAGAAAAAAAAAAAAGCCGGGCCAGGTGGCTCACGCCTGTAATCCTAGCACTTTGGGAGGCTGAGTGGGGGTGGATCGCCTGAGATCAGGAGTTCAAAATCAGCCTGGCCAACATAGTGAAACCCTGTCTCTACTAAAAATACAAAAAATTAGAGGCTGGGTGCGGCGGCTCACACCTGTAATCCCAGAACTTTGGGAGGCCGAGGCGGGTGGATCACGAGGTCAGGAGTTCAAGACCAGCCTGGCCAACACGGTGAAACCCCATCTCTACTAAAAATACACAAATTAGCTGGGCATGGTGTTGGGTGCCTGAATCCCAGCTACTCGGGAGGCTGAGGCAGGAGAATCGCTTGAATCCGGGAGGCGGGGCTTGCAGTGAGCCGAGATCGTGCCATTGCACTCCAGCCTGGGTGACAGAGCAAGACTCCGTCTCAAAAAGAAAAAAAAAAAATTAGCCAGGCATGGTGGCAGGTGCCTGTAATCCCAGCTACTTGAGAGGCTGAGGCAGGAGAATCGCTTGAACCCGGGAGGTGGAGGTTGTGGTGAGCCGAGGTCGCGCCACTGCACTCCAGCCTGGGCAACGACAACAACAATAAAAAGAGGGGGCTCTGTGCCCGGCATGTCTCTGAAGACTGATTGAACCTATGCACCAGTTGTTGCTTTAAGTCGCTTTATTTTCTGTCTTTGGTGTCTCTGGATGTAGGAGCCCCCTGCTTTCTCTGTCCGCAGAACTCCATACTGGGTCCCCTACGTGTTCCTCCTTCCCTAGGACAGCAACAAAAACACACAATTTTCCCTCTCTAGCAGGTCTCTAAGTCTCCTGATTCCTGAAACTGCCTCAGACTCCCCCTAGAGGGAGGGAGGCCCCTGAGGCTTTCTTGCCATCATAGCCTCTTCTGGGCCTCAGTTTCCCCTCTGTAACCTGATCCTAGTACTTGGATAAACTCCGACGAGGTGTGGGGGGTTGTTGTCTGTGACCTCCCTGAAATATCTTAGACATTTGGGGTACTGAGCATTTATCTGGGGTTAAATAAAATCTTTACATCTTAAGACATTCGATTGACCAAATTGAGTGTCCTGGCCATTTCACTGATGAGGAAACTGAGGCGCAGAGAGGTCCTCTTGCCAGCTCAAAGTCAAGCATCTGGGCGCCCAATGTTAGCCAGCGGCACCCCCTGGTGGCGGGCGTGGGAGACACGGCGGGGCGCGCTTGTCGGGGGTTGGGGGGTGGGTCGGAGGGGTGGCATCCTCCAGCCCTGATGGTCCCACTTACCGCACCTCGCCGGGAAGAGCTCGTCCTGCTGGTCGGGCCTCCGAGCGGACTGGGCAGCACCATGCTCAAGCCTAGGGTTCGATCCCCGCCTCCGGAAGCCTCAGTATCCATCCCTCCCCTCTGCCTCCCTCTTCGCGTGCCTGAATATTTATACAAGATACAGGCGTCATCACAGCCGCCCTCGGCTTCCAGAGCAGCTGGCTTCGTTCATAAATATTATAACCACTCAGAATTCATCATCATCACAGTTAATGATAAAATTCCACAGTGCCAGAACTAAAAGTCATCCGGGTTCACGAACTTGGTGCATTTCCTTCCAGACTTTTAAAAAGAAGATATTTAGGGAATTTTTTTTTCAAGATTTTTCCCCCCAGTCCGCTTACAAAGTAATACCATGTTCGCTGTAAAAAATTTGGAAATAATGGAAATGTATAAAGAAGGAAATAAAATTCTGCTGTATCTCCACCCATGGATTATCTGCAGTATTTTGACTTATTTCCCTCTAGTTTTTCTCCATCTGTTATAAGATATTCATATTTTTGGCTGGGCGCGGTGGCTCACGCCTGTAATCCCAGCACTTTGGGAGGCCGAGGCGGGCGGATCACGAGGTCAGGAGATCGAGACCGTCCTGGCTAACAGTGAAACCCCGTCTCTACTAAAAATACAAAAAATTAGCCGGGCGTGGTTGCAGGCGCCTGTAGTCCCAGCTACTCGGGAGGCTGAGGCAGGAGAATGGCCTGAACCCGGGAGGCGGAGCTTGCAGTGAGCCAAGATCGAGCCACTGCACTCTAGCCTGGGTGACAGAGCGAGACTGTCTCAAAAAAAAAAAAAAAATTCATATTTTTTTCTTTCTTTTCTTTTCTTTCTTTCTCTGTCTTTCTTTTCTTTCCTTTTCCCTTTCTCTTTCTTTCTTTCTTTGCGTCTCGCCTTGTCGCCCAGGCGGGAGTGCAATGGTGTGATCTTGGCTAACTGCAACCTCCGCCTCCTGGGTTCAAACGATTCTCCTGCCTCAGTCTCCTGAGTAGCTGGGATTACAGGTGCCCACCACCATGCCCAGCTAATTTTTGTATTTTTAGTAGAGACTGGGTTTTCACCATGTTGGCCAGGCTGGTCTTGAACTCCTGACCTCATGATCCGCCTGCCTCGGCCTCCCAAAGTGCTGGGATTACAGGCATGAGCCACTGCACCCAGCCCTAGAATATTCATATTTCTTATAAATGAATATTCATATGTTCTCCTTCAGTTTGAGCCAAAGGCATTTGTCCCTCTCCTCTTACTGACTGCATCTGCTCTGGCCACACTGCAAGCCTGGTCCCACCACAGGGCCTTCAAACAAGCTGTTCCCACTACCTGGAATGCTTCTCTCTCAGCCCCCAGCCTCACCCATTAGATTTTTGTTTTTATTTTTGTTTTAGACAAAGTTTCGCTCTTGTTGCCCAGGCTGGAGGACAATGGCGTGATCTTGGCTCACTGCAACCTCTGCCTCCCGGGTTCAAGCGATTCTCCTGCCTCAGCCTCCCAAGTAGCAGGGATTACAGGCGACCGCCACCATGCCCGGCTAATATTTAGTAGAAATGGGGTTTCACCATGTTGACCACGCTGGTCTTGAACTTCTGACCTCAGGTGATCCACCCACCTCGGCCTCCCAAAGTGCTGGGATTACAGGCATGAGCCACCACACCTGGCCCCCACACTGGGTTTTAAGTTAGTGTCTTCTTCCCCGAGAAGTCGTCCCTGGACCCGTATCTGGGATACTTTTTTTTTTTTTTCTTGAGACAGAGTCTCCCTCTAGCACCTAGGCTGGCGTGCAGTGGTGCCGGTGATCTCAGCTCACTGCAACCTCCGCCTCCCTGGTTCATGCGATTCTCATGCCTGGGCCTCCTGAGCAGCCTCCTGGGACAGGCACCACCACACCGGGCTAATTTTTGTATTTTTAGCAGAGATGGGGTTTCACCATGTTGGCCAGGCTGGTCTCGAACTCCTGACCTCAAGGTCAAGGAGTGATCCTCCTGACTCGGCCTCCCAAAGTGCTGGTATTACAGGCATAAACCACCGCACCTGGCCACATTTTTATTTTTATTTGTCTAGTGTAGACGATAGGGTAGGGATGCAGGGAAGCCTCTGGACTTTCCTCTGAGTGGGACCGGCCTGGAAGCCTAGCCCGTTCTCCCACCAGCTCTGTCTCCCCTGACACAAAGAAAATACCCCAATCCCGCAGCCCCTCCCCCAGCTCAACCATTTCTAATTCCAGAGCCCAATGCTGCTCTGGACAATCAAGGGCTTGCATTCTTTTTAAATTTAAATTAAGTAATTAATTTTTTGAGACAGCGTCTCACTCTGTCGTCCAGGCTGGAGTGTAGTGGCGCGATACGGTTTCCTACAGCCTCGACCTCCTGAGCTCAAGTGATCCTCCTACTTCAGCCTCGGGAGTATTTGGGTCCACAAGCACGCGACACCACATCCAGCTAATTTTTAAATTTTTTGTAGAGATGGGGCCTCCCTATGTTACTCAGGCTGGTTTCCAATTCCTGGGCTCAAGCGATCCTCCCGCCTTGGTCTCCCAAAGTGGTGGGATTACAGGCGTAAGCCTCCGCACCCGGCTATTTTTACTTTAAAATACTAAGTCAGTGACGGAAGCTTCCGCACATTCTCGTGGCTCACTTTTCTCTTCCTGGGGAAAAAAGGCAGGAGGTATTTCCGAGAGAGCCACCCATGTAGGAAGCGTGCCTTTGGGCGATCAGGGAGCTGAGCAACCGAAAAACCTCCCCTCCAAGGAGGCGGCAGGCCAGGGCCTGGACCAGCTGCCCTGGAGCCCCCCACAGAGCACGGACTACCGCGTGGGCGCGGAGGGCAGGGAGAATGGGAGGTGGATTTCTTTTTATTTTTTGTTTTTCTGAATTTTCCCAATTTCTCTGCAGTGGATTGGTGATACTTCTATAGTCCGAGTGGGGGAGGAGGGAGCAAACATGTTACCCTAAAAAGAAAAAATAAATTTCCCAAATGTAAACGGTGCGGGGACGTGGGGGTGGGCGTCCCAGTACTCCCAGGGCACTGGGGGCGGGCTGGGGACTGGGTTGGCGGCGGCTGGGCCTCGAGGCGCTAAGTTATTCTGGTCTCTCGGCGCCTCCGCAGCTGGCGAGCTTTTTATAAACAGGACGAGTCACCCCCCGCCACACACACACGCTCCAGCCCCGCCTACTGGGAGGGGTGGGGGGAGAATCTAGGGGATCAGGACTCTCCTGGGGGCCACACACCCCTGGAGGGTTTGAAAGCTGGAGTAGGGGGAGCAGGAGACCCAAAGTGGGGGCTGGGGTTTCGGGCTCCTCCTCCCTCCCCAAATTCTGACTTCCTTCCCTAAAGATTTGGAGGAATAAAAGATGGACCATCTTAGCTCCCAAAAGGCTCCATCCTCTGAGTTTTGCTTTCCCAGGATGGAGGGAGGGGGTCTCCCAGCCCCCGGGTCTTTGAATCCGAGCTTTGAAGAGCTGGAGGCTTCGGCTCGTGCCCTCCCTGTTTCCCGGGGCATTTACCGCAGGCTTTAAGGGGTTTCCGGGACAGGTCGCTTCTCTGTCCCTGCTAAACCTTTTCTTCGAATTTTCTTCTTGATGACGGGGCGCAGGGAGGGGAGGGGGTTCCCAGAGAGTCCATCAGCCCCTTCCTCCTTTTCTGGGAATGGTGGGGAGGGGAGGCTCTCTTGACCTCTACTTCTTTCTTTTCAAACCTCAGAAACGGGGGAGGGGTGGAGTCTTTACTAGCCCCTCCCTCAGTGGGGGGGTCTTACGCCTCGGGAATGGGACAGGGGTCCCTCTTGACTCCTGTTTATTCTTTGGTATTTATTTTGAACCCCATATATGTGAGGGTATAAAACATCTCTTGGGCCTCGATTTTTCTTTTCTGCAATTGGGAGTCAGGGGCATTTAACAGGGGTCACAGCACCTTGGACTAGACGGTGGCCTCAAGAGTCCCCTACCTGGGGTGGGTGCGGGCGGGTAAGGGAACCGCCCCTCGAAGACCGGGGCTCAGCCAAGGCCTCAGCCTCTCGGCCCTTCAATCTCCCAGATGCCACCATTGGACAAGAGGAGGGCGTAGACAATCTCTGATTGGCTACTTCGCCCGTCGCTCGAGAGCTTAAGCCAGTGAGAGAACGCTGAGGGGCCCCGCCTCCCCGAGGCGGACAGGAGGCGGACGAGAGGCGGAGTCGGCCCCCGCGCCGCTCCCGCCCCTACTGGATGCACACGCTAGGCCCCGCCCCATTTGCACGTCAATCTGCTCAGGAGCCCTGCCCCATCTGGCTCTGCGTGCGTCAATGGGCCACATCTCTACGCGCGGCTCCGCCTCCGGATGGCGTCACGGACTTATCTACATGTGAGGCTCCGCCCCTCCCTTTGCAGGACGTCACGGAGGACTGCAGGGGCCTGAGCCGCTGCTGCCGCCGCCGCCGCGCAGCCCCACATCAACGCACCGGGGTCCTGTCACCGCCACCGCCAAAAAAGTCACCGCCGCTAGGGTCGCCGTTGCATCGGTGCAGGGCAAGGTGAGCTCCTGGGCGGCCGGGTGTGCTCAGGCTCCGAGCACCTGCATAACCTTCATTTGACTGATGGGCTGATGGAGGTGGGGGACGAGGTTGACTAGGGTTGAATGGGGGGAAGGATGCGGCGGTCGCGAGGCTGGGAATGGGTAGGGCCCGGGCGCCCCACTCCTGCCTGATCCTCACCACTAACCCCCCCAACCCCCCTGCTCTGCGGCGGAGGGGGAGGGGAGCCGAGCTCCTTGCGGGAAGCTGTGCGCGCGGGAGGCTTTTGCGTGCGCGTGCGCGTGGTGTGCACACGCGTGTGCGCGCCTGCCTGTGTCAGCGGGTCTGTGTGCACCCTTGCTTGTGTACCTGGATATGCTCGTGTGACGCCGTGGGGGTCTGGGCCTAAGTGTGTGAGCGTTGCACGCGCGTGGAGAAAGACGTGTGGACCGCCTGTGCAGGTATGGCCCGTGCATACAAGCACGGGGATCCGTGTCCGTGTGGGTGATGTGCACACGCCTGCATGGGTGGAGGGGCCTGTGCGCACGGGTGGTTTGCACATTTCTATAGGCGAGTCGGTGTGCAAACAGGTGTCTGTGTCTTTGTCCTGTGCACCTCAGTGCGTTCACACACTCCTGTATGTACGGATGAGCGTGTTTGAGGCTGTGTGCACGTGAGCGTGTGCATGCCCCTCCTGTATCATGTGATGCAGCGGCCTTGGCCGGAGCTCTCCGGCCTGGAGGTTTGCGGGGAGCGGGGGCTGCAGATGCGCGTCCTCGAGGGACCATGCACGCGGTGCACGTGGGGCCGCGCGGCCGGGTTCTGAGGACCATGAAAGATTGATGGGGGGCGGAGCCAGCCGCAGTCACCCCCTCCGGGCTCAGCCCTGGGTTTAGGGTTACAGCCCCACCTGGGGCACCTGCCCCTTGAAGGGGGCTGCTGGGGTGTCCCCATCGGCAACCCTCTGAGCCCCTCCTCTGAAACGCCCAGGATTTCAAGGTCACAGGCTGCCCTCTGCTGGGGGCACCACCAATTAATACTGGGGCTCCTGATGGGATAAGGGTGTCCTCCATACACCGGCCGTTTTCTGGAGCCCTTGCCATCTTCTGCCTGGGCTTGGGCACATGAGGATGGAGAGAGCCCCCCTCACGGCTCTGCTACACCCGGTATCCCCAGATGGCATCCGCCACAGACTCGCGCTATGGGCAGAAGGAGTCCTCGGATCAGAACTTCGACTACATGTTCAAGATTCTCATCATCGGCAACAGCAGCGTGGGCAAGACGTCCTTCCTCTTCCGCTATGCTGACGACTCGTTCACGCCTGCCTTCGTCAGCACCGTGGGCATCGACTTCAAGGTCAAGACCATCTATCGCAACGACAAGAGGATCAAGCTGCAGATCTGGGTGGGTCCCAGCTGGAGGGCTCCCGCCCGGCTCGGTTGGATTCCCGTACTTGGAAAAGCAGCCCCAACCTCGTCTATCTCTTTCCTGACTGGAGTCATTCACTTACACACTGGGCATTTATCAGTAAGGTGCCCACTGTGTACCGGGGCAGAAACAGCACCTGTGTTCTCCCATAAGCACCTAATCCTGGTCCCTCAGTTTCCCCATCTTCAAGTTCTTCCATGTATGAGGTTTCAGCTGGATCTTGGTCCCCATTCTCTTTTTTTGTTTGTTTTTTGAGACAGGGTGGTCTTGCTCTGTCCCCTAGGCTGGAATGCAGTTACGTGATCACGGCTCTCTGCAGCCTCGACTTCCCAGGCTCAAACCATTCTTCCACCTGAGCCTCCTGAGTAGCTAGGACCACGGGCTTCTACCACCACGCCTGCTGATTTTTTTCTTTTTTGTAGAGACAGGGTCGGGCTATGTCTGCCCAGGCTGGTCTTGAACTCCTGGGCTCAAGCGATCCTCCCACCTCAGCCTCTCAAAGTGCTAAGATTACAGGCATGAGCCACCCCACCTGGCCTTGTTAGTTTTAAGAGACAGAGTCTCACTCTGTTGCCCAGGCTGGATTTGAACTCGTGGGCTCAAGCAATCCTCCCGCCTCAGCTTCCCAAGTAGCTGGGAGTACAGGCAAGTGTCAGCTTCCTTTAATTTTTAAACCTACAGTTAAATTCTCTCCATCTTCATCTGGCTTGATTTTTCTCCTTGGTCCTTGTCACTCTCCAATATAGGATACATTTATACCGTTATTTTCTATTTCCCACACTGAGTGTCACTTAGCAAGGGAAGTGCCCATCTTGTTAACAACTGTGTCCCCAGTGTCCAGTTCAGGGTGTGGAAAAGATCAGTGCCCAGTCCATGTTTGTTTATTTGTTTGTTTGTTTTTTGAGACAGAGTTTTTGCTCTGTCACCCAGGCTGGAGTGCAGTAGTGCAATCTTGGCTCACTGAAACCTCTGCCTCCCGGGTTCAAGCGATTCTCCTGCCTCAGCCTCCTGAGTAGCTGGGATTACAGGGGCTCACCACCAAGCCCAGCTAATTTTTTTTTGTATTTTTAGTAGAGATAGGGTTTCGCCATGTTGGCCAGGCTAGTCTTGAACTCCTGACCACAAGTGATCCACCTGTCTTGGCCTCCCAAGGTGCTGGGATTACAAGCATGAGCCACCACGCCTGGCCTCTGTTTTCTTTCTTTCTTTCTTTCTTTCTTTCTTTTTTTTTTTTTTTTTGTTGTTATTGTTTTGAGACGGAGTCTCGCTCTTGTCACCCAGGGTGGAGTGCAATGGCGCGATCTCGGCTCACTGCAACCTCTGTCTCCTGAGTTCAAGCGATTCTCCTGCCTCAGCCTCCTGAGTAGCTGGGATTACAGGTGCATGCCACCACGCCGAGCTAATTTTTGTATTTTTAGTAGAGACAGAGTTTCACCATGTTGGCCAGGCTGGTCTCGAACTCCTGACCTCAGGTGATCCACCTGCCTTGGCCTCCCAAAGTGCTGGGATTACAGGCGTGAGCCACCACCACACCCGACCCCCTGTTTGTTTTTTGAGACAGGGTTTCACTCTGTCACCCAGGCTGAACTGCAGTGGCGCGATCTCACCTCACTGCAACCTCTGCCTCCTGGGCTCAAGCAACCCTCTCACCTGAGCCTCCTGAGTAGTTGGGACTACAGGTGTGAGCCACCACACCCTGTTAATTTTTGTACTTTTTGTAGAGATGGGGTCTTGCTATGTTGCTCAGGCTGGTCTGGAACTCCTGGGTTCAAGCCACCTGCCCACCTCAGCCTCCCATAGTGCTGGGATTACAGGTGTGAGCCACAGCACCTGGCACAGTACGTTTGGTGAATGACTCTGTGGAATAATGGAGCACTCATATATTCTGAGCACTGGTGACCCAACCTGCTCTTCCTGACACTTTGTGCCCCTGGGCAAGCTCCTGCTTCTCCCAGGGGGCTGAACTGGATGATATCAGAGCTCATTTCCTCTTCGAGGGCCTTATGTGCAGGTCCTCTCTGACCTTCATCTCTTCCTCCCTAGGACACAGCAGGGCAAGAGCGGTACCGGACCATCACCACCGCATACTACCGGGGCGCTATGGGCTTCATCCTCATGTATGACATCACCAACGAGGAATCCTTCAATGCAGTGCAGGACTGGTGAGTGTACCCCACTTGCTCTTTTTTTTTCTTTTCTTTTCTTTGAGAGAGGGTTTTATTCTGTCACCCAGGCTGGAGTGCAGTGGCACGATCAGGGCTCACTGCAGCCTCGACCTCCTGGGCTCAAGTGATCCTCCTGCCTCAGCCTCCCAAGTAGCTGGGACTACAGGCATATACCACCACACCTGGCTAATTTTTTTGTATTTTTAGTTGAGATGGGGTTTCCTCATGTTGCCCAGGCTGGTCTTGAACTCCTTGGCTCAAGTGATCTGCCCACCTTGGCCTCCCAAAGTGCTGGGATTACAGGCGTGAGCCATCGCTTCTGGCCTTCCACACTCATTCTGGGGCCATTGTCTCTGAGCCAAACTTTCTTCAAAAAATAATAAATAAAACGTAGGGGTCAGAGAAGGATTTCAGATGGAAAAGTAAAACTATAACCATATAGAAACAAATATCTGCAAGTGTAGGGTGGAGAATATAGAGACTATAAGGAGAGTTGGCATGGCCGGGCACGGTGGCTCACACCTATAATCCCAGCACTTTGGGAGGCTGAGGCAGGTGGATCACCTGAGGTCGGGAGTTCGAGACCAGCCTGACCAAGATGGAGAAACCCCATCTCTACTAAGAATGCAAAAATTAGCCAGACGTGGTGGCGCACACCTGTAATCCCAGCTACTTGGGAGCCTGAGGCAGGAGAATCGCTCGAACCCGGGAGGTGGAGGTTGCAGTGAGCCAAGATTGCCATTGCACTCCAGCCTGGGCAACAAGAGCAAAACTCTGTCTCAAAAAAAAAAGGAGAGTTGGCATAGGTTAGAGATTGTAAACATTTCAATTTTCTGCTCAGAAGTAATAACTTTAAAAAAAAATTTCTGGGTTGGGCACAGTGGCTCATGCCTATAATCCCAGCACCTTGGGAGGCCGAGGTGGGTAGATCTTGAGCTCAGGAGTTCGAGTCCATCGTGGCCAACATAGTGAAACCCTGTCTCTACTAAAAGCACAAAAAATTACCAGGCATGGTGGCTCATGCCTATAGTCCCAGCTACTTAGGAGGCTGAGGCAGGAGAATCACTTCAACCTGGGAGGCGGAGATTGCAGTGAGCCTAGATCGCGCCACTGCACTCCAGCCTGGGCGACAGAGCAAGACTCTATCTCAAAAAAAGAAAATTTCTGGGCTGGGTGGCTCATGCCTGTAATTCCAGTACTTTGAGAAGCGAAGGCAGGCAGATACTCCAGCCTGGGCAACAGACCCAGACTCTATCTCAAAAAAAACCCCAAAACACAGAAACAATAATGGGTCAGTCGGGGGCTGGAGTGGGGTGAAAGCGGGGCACATTGGGGGAAAGGATGGTGGGGAGGATGGAGGGGCAAGCTTCTGGGTCTTTCTTCCTCGGACAAGGACACAGGCTCCACATCAGCCCGTCAGGGTGGAGCTGGGATCCTCCAAGCCCTGACCTGCCCCCATTGGTGCCTCCTATAGGTCCACCCAGATCAAGACCTACTCATGGGACAATGCCCAGGTGCTGCTGGTAGGAAACAAGTGTGACATGGAGGATGAGCGGGTGGTGTCATCAGAACGTGGCCGGCAGCTAGCTGACCACCTTGGTGAGTGCCCAGCTGGGCTGGAGACCCACAAGTCTAGAAAAAGGACACTAAGAGAGGGGAGGGCACACACCCAAGGTCTTACAGCTAAAGCCAGGTAATTCACACTTTCTGCAAACTAGCCTTCATCCAGGAGCCATTTGAGTTGGATCCTGAGGGATGTGTAGGAGTTTGCCATGCAGAAAGTTTAAGGATTTATTCTGACACTCACCGTCCAACGCTTTGTTGGGTGTTGCTGGGCTCAAGAGGCATCTAGGGGTGCCTCGAGGGACCCCTGAGGTAGAGGGAGGGACCTGGATGGGAGGAGCACATGAGAGGAGCCAGGCTTCCTGGAGTGGTGGGTAGTGAAGAAGGGTCTTTCAGGCAGAGGAAATAGCTTGGGCAAAGGCTTGCAGTGAGAAAGGTCCTGTGTGTTTTGGTAATAATTTCACAAGACTGGAACATGAGGGTCAGCTGGAGGAAATGTGGCCGATCACAGAGGGCCTCAACCATGTGCTGAGAGGCTGGGACTCTTTGGAGGGCAATAGGGAGTCACAGAGGGTGTGTGAGCAGGGGGAGGTCACAGCTGGATTTGAGTGTCAGAGCCTTCCAGGGCCAGTGCACGGGGCTGGGCTGGACGCTGCAGGGCATGTCTTGCCAGGTCCCTAAGGACAACGAGACACAATTTTAGGAAGGAAGGGCAGGAGGCCAGGTGCGCTGGCTCACACCTATAATCCCAGCAATTTGAGAGGTGGGGGTGGAGGATCACTTGAGCCCAGGAGGTCGAGACTGCAGTGAGCTATGATCACGCCACCATACTCCATCCTGGGCAGCAGAGCAAGGCCCTGTCTCAAAAAAAAAAAAAAAAAAAAAAAGCAGGAAATGCAAAGCTGACCCAGTTCCATGTTGCTTCTCTGTGGGATTTGTCAGTACCTTCAATAAGTTTCTTCTCTGTGGGATTTGTCAGTACCTTCAATAAGTTGCTTGGCACTGGGAATCTCCAGGTGTTCCCTTTCCTCAGAGAAGCATCTCTGGGAGTTGGCATAGGGCGTGGCCAGGGTCCTCATCCCTGCCTTCTCTGACCACAGGGTTCGAGTTCTTTGAGGCAAGCGCCAAGGACAACATTAACGTCAAGCAGACCTTTGAGCGCCTGGTGGATGTCATCTGCGAGAAGATGTCCGAGTCGTTGGACACGGCGGACCCTGCGGTCACAGGCGCCAAGCAGGGCCCACAGCTCAGTGACCAGCAGGTGCCACCGCACCAGGACTGCGCCTGCTGAGAGCCATCCCACTCCCTTTCCCCTCTTCCCTGTCTTCCCCACCTTCCCCCAACTACCCGGGCCTGACCCGGCCCCTACCAGCCACGGGCACAAGACCCCTGCTCCTGACTTAGCCCGTCACCCTTATTTATTATTGTAGCTATTTATTTATTTATTGAAGATGTCCCCCAGGGGCCCAGGCTCCCCTGCCCGCCCCAAGCCCTGCCCCTCCTGTACATATAGCCCTTTCCCCACTCAGCTGTGGTGTCTCGTGGCCCCGTGAACTCACCGCTCACCCTCCTGAACCCCCCCCCCCCGCCTTTTTTTAAAATTCACCCCCATCCACAGTTGTCAGTTGTGAAGAGGGGCCAGATGACACCCTAAAGCAGGCTGATCGGGCAATGGGAGGTGGCCAGGCCTGCCAGCCCCTCGGCTCTGCCGCGGTGGGCCGAGGCCGCTGTTGGGGGTTTCCCTGTGTGGACCATGGGGATCAGAGTCTGGCCTGCCAGGCTCCTCTCCCCGTTTTCTCTTTTGGTGGGGGGGTGTGCTGTGGGTATTCACCACCCTGGGACCCCCCCCCCCCCCGCCCACCAGACCTGTTCTGACCTCATGAGTGTCAAACGTGCCCCCCAGTTCCTTAGGAGATGTCATGACAACACTACACGCACCCAATAAAGCGAATGGACCATCCATGTGTGTCCCTGTGAGCACCGGGTCCTGCCCACCCTGGTTTTGATCATCCACAGCATTTTCTTTTGTTATTTTTATTTTTCAATATAAATAGAGACAGGGTCTTGCTATGTTGCCCAGGCTGGTCTCGAACACCTGGCCTCGAGCAATCCTTCCACCTCAGCCTCGGGAAGGGCTGAGATTACAGGTGGGAGCCACTGCGCCCAGCCAGCAGTTTCAGTTACATTATAGAGAGAGTTTAATGGCATTTCCACAGTTCAGGACCAGGGAAAGAAACACAGAGGCTGCCTGGCCCTATGTGAAACTTTTGGGGGCCGACTCCAGGCCTGAGCCTGCTCTGAGGGGATCAGTCATGTCCCCGCCTTAGTCCCAGGACCTGAGGGAGCTCTGGATTGGTGGCTTGGCCCAGAGCCAGGTGGATGGCAGTGTTGAGGGGCTGGTGCTTGAGACTGGTTGGCAGAGTGGGCCCTGTGCTGAGGATGGGACATCTTGGTCACAGGTCGCATGAGGTTCCTGCTGAGAAGGGCTAGGGGATGATCATCCATCTTCATGGGTGTGTTCCGGTTGAGGAAACTCAGTCCCAGAAGTGAGCTTGGAAAGGGCGGCTCAGCCCAATGCTCCGGAGCTGAAGTGGTGCTGGGACGTGGCTCAAGACCCGAGCTTGCTGCAGGAGCCCATTCCCCTTCTGTCAGAGGGGGTGGTCCGCCAGGAGACAGTCTTGCATCTGGTCCAGGAAGCAGACAGTTCAGTCTGCTCGGGTGTCCAGGGCCACACAGCCTGGGGGTGTCAGAGGAACTGGGCTCTGTCCACACAAGACAAGGCATCTGGTCAGAAGCCTGGCTCATCCCTCCCTGTCCCTCTACCTGCCCTTGGGCCAGAGGTCAGCCCTGCTCAACAGACTTGGCAGGGACCGGGCTGAGGTCACATCAGACAGCAGAGAAGGGTTGGGTCTTTTTGTTTGTTTGAGACGGAGTCTCGAACTGTCGCCCAGGCTGGAGTGCAGTGGCGCGATCTCGGCTCACTGCAAGCTTCGCTGCCCGGGTTCAGGCCATTCTCCGGTCTCAGCTTCCGGAGTAGCTGAGACTACAGGCGCCCGCCACCACGCCCGGCTAATTTTTTTTTTGTATTTTTAGTAGAGACAGGGTTTCACCATGTTAGCCAGGACGGTCTCGATCTCCTGACCTCGTGATCCGCCTGCCTCGGCCTCCCAAAGTGCTGGGATTACAGGCGTGAGCCACCGCGCCCGGCATGGGTCTTTTTTTTTTGAAACGGAGTCTCGCTCTGTCACCTAGGCTGGAGTGCAGTGGCATGATCTTGGCTCACTGCAGCCTCTGCCTCCTGGGTTCAAGCAATTCTCCTGCCTCAGCCTCTCAAGTAACTGGAATTACAGGTGCGTACCAGTAATTTTTTGTATTTTTAGTAGAGAAGGGGTTTCACCATATTGCCCAGTCTGCTCTCTAACTCCAATTTCAGGCGATCCACCCGCTTCGGCCTCCCAAAGTGCTGGGATTACAGGCATGAGCCACGGCGCTCAGCCACGGCTGGGTCTTAACTGCTAGTGAGGAGCTCTCCGCCAGCCCACTGTTGGGTGTGGGTTGTCAGGAGCACAGGAGACTCCCACCCTCCAGGGTGGCTGGCTACACTGCCACTTGGAGCTCACACGTGTAGCCCCCTGGGGAGTCCCCTGGGTGCCTGGTATGCCCTCCACACTCACCCGGTACTTCAAGTAGGACAGGTACGTGTCCCAGCCCAGCGTCAGGCCGTTGATGTAGGTGACTCGAAATTGGGGGGGCACGAAGAGGAAGTTCACGAACTGCGCAGCAGGCCACACGCACCAGTCTGCCTGCGGGGAGAGGCGGGGGATGAGGGGCGGGGCCAGAGCTGGGCGGGGGCGGAGCGGCCATCAGGGGGCGGGGCCGGACATGTGCAAGGGGCGGGTGCTCCCACCTTGTAGAATTCCCAGAACTTCTCCCGCAGCTCCTGGCAGCTCTCACCCACTGTCTGACCCTCCAGGCAGCCAAGGCCTGGGAAGCAAACCAAGAAATGAGAGTGTTAGAGGCCAGGAAGTACTGTTGAGACGACAAGATGGGCTGACGATGGAGGGGGCGGGGTTGGGCCCCTGAGAGCCCACGCCGCCCACCCCGGGCAGAGGGACAGGGACTTTCAGATGGGATGGACAGAGAATTAGGGTAGCTGGTGTAGAGACAAAACAGAGCAAGTCAGTCCCAGTGAGAGAAAGAGAGGTTATAAACATATAAACACGTGCCCCAATGGAGACACCCTGAAGTTGAGGGAGTTGTGTTACTTTTCCATCACAGACCAGGAAGCCGGGCTGGGAGGTGGAGAATGAGAGACTCCTCTATTAATACCGCTGTCTTTACCGAGCCTAGGGCTGGCACGGTTGCACCCCATTAAGTCTAGCCTCAATTTCTCTTCCTTCAGGCCTCAGAGCCTTTGCATTAGCTGTTCCCTCTGCCCGCTGGTTCCCTCTTCATGTCTCAACTGAGTGTGGTCCCCTTCTTTGGGAAATGCTCTCAACCTCCCGCCCAGGGCAGCCCCAACAGATACAGTCCTCGTCCCTCCTACACTCGCCAGCGTTCACATCGGCCGAGTCCGTCCTGTCCCCGCTGTGACCTGGCTCCTAGTCCAGGGCGACCCAAACAGGGGGCAAATTGGAAATGCACCTCTGCATCCTTCTTAACACAAAGCTGGCTCCACCCCTCCCGACCTATGAGAGGCAAAGCCTAGGCTTAGGAGGCTCCTTACCCAAGAAGTACCAGACGCCCAGCAATGGAGAGGCTACCAGCTGATCCACGAGGACCTTCTTGAGGACATTTGGGAAGCCTCGGAGGCCAGACGCAGGGAATAGGCGGTCCAGCGACAAGTACCAGTAGTGCAGGAAGGGACCCATGCTGCAGCCCACCGCAAACATGCTCGCTATAAGAGTGTAAGTCAGGGGGCTGGGTCGGGCCGGCAAGTTCCTCAGTCCATTCCCTCTCTCCCTCCCTGGCTAAGGCCTGGGTAAGCCCAATGCCATCCCGGAGCCTCAGCCTCACCGGGAAAACCGGAAGAGCCCACCCGTGCATTCTTCCACTACAAGCCCCACCAGGAGGCGCGGCTCCAGAGGCTCCTGGGTAGTGGGCAGAGACCTCCGGGGGTTGGGAGGTGATGGAGACCCAGAGCTGCGGGGAGACAGACACCCGGGGAGAGGCGCGGTCAGGGCAAGGGTCCTGCGGGGGACTGAGGCCACGGGTCAGGGGTCACGGCCCGCAGTCGGGTGTCGGGATCAAAGGTCGCCCGGGGTGAAGGACTAAGCAGCGTGGCGTCCTCACCGGAGCGCCGTGGGTCGAAAACCTGGCCGGGCCGGGCGCGGATCTCCCAGGACTGGCGCACGCCATCACCGGCCGCCATGAGCGCGCCGCAGCCCAGCGTGTTAGTGACGAGCAGCGCGCGGCCCTGGAATAGAAGCTGCCCCGCGGATAACAGGCGGCGTAGCCGGCGCCAGCCACCCCGCGCCATCGCCCTCAGGAACCAAGGAACCGGCGCGCCGCTCTGCTTTCGCCGCGCCGACCAGTCGCGAGTCACTGTCGATCCCAAATTGCCCGCCCCTCCGGCTCCCCGGCCAATCGCATAAGGATCTTCAGTCCGCAGGTCCGCCCCGAGCCGCGACGCGTTCACCAATCGCAGGCAGCCTCGGGGAGCCACATTGCCCGGCCCGAAGAGTATTGACCAATAAAAGGCAGGCGTTCTATCCCAAGGTCGAGCCCCCAACGACCTCCCGAGCTTCACGGACCAATCGGAAAAAAGAATTGCGTTACGTCCCGCATGCCGATTGGTAACGTTGCACTCTTGTTTCCCCGCCCCTTTCTGTGCCAGCCTATGGGAAACCGTCGCAGCCCCGTCCTACCGACACGCCCAGGACGGCACTGGCCAGTCGCAGACCGGCGTCACGCTGGCAAATCAGTGACCGTCGTCCCGCCTCCCGCGTTAGGGTTGGTCAATCTTAGGCAGTTACAACGCCTTCTGGCCTGGTTGCCCTACGTATTTCCAGATTCTCCTGGACTTAACCAGAAGGGATGTGATCTGTGGCCAGAAACAATTATATCCTAATTATACCGTTCCCGTAGGGAACAATTATTTTTTTTCTTTTTTTGAAATGGAGTCTCGCTCTGTCACCCAGGCTGGAGTGCGGTGGCGCGATCTCGGCTCACCGCAACCTCTCCCTCCCGGGTTCAAGCGATTCTCGTGTCGCAGCCTCCCAAACAGCTGGGATTACAGGCACGGGCCACCACGCCCAACTAATTTTGTATTTTTGGTCTAGACAGGGGTTTTGCCATGTTAGCCAGGCTGGTCTCGAACTCCTGACCTCAAGAGATCCACCCGCCTTGGCCTCCCAAGGTGCTGGGATGATGATAGGCGTGAACCACCGTAACTGGCTTAAAA
Organism: Homo sapiens; assembly: GCF_000001405.40. Taxonomy (NCBI): domain Eukaryota; kingdom Metazoa; phylum Chordata; class Mammalia; order Primates; family Hominidae; genus Homo; species Homo sapiens. The sequence continues at coordinate 18,192,357 of NC_000019.10, read as the reverse complement.
AATGATTTTCAATGGAAATCCCTATGCATTCTCTACTAGAGTCGCAAACTACTGCCTGTGGGCTGTTAACTGTTGAAGGTGTGCAGGTTCTTGGCATCTTGAACAAAGAATTGGACAAAGTGCACAAACAAAGCAAGGAAAGAATGAAGCTTAACAAAAGCAGAGATTTATTGAAAACGAAAGTACACTCCGCAGGGTGGGAGCCAGTGGAGCATACGGACTCAAGAGACCTGTTTAAGAATTTTCTGGGGTTTAAATGCCCTCTAGAGGTTTTCACTGGTTACTTAATGTACGTCCTATGTAAATGAAGAGGATGAAGTAAAGTTACAAAGTCATTTACTGGATGTATGCCCTCTTTAAATGGAGAAGATATTTCCTGTCATAGCTGAATTGTTTCCATTTGATTTGGCCTTATGTTCCCTGCCTCCAGACCTATTCTCCTGCCTCAGGGCCAAATCCTGTCCCTGCCTGTTTTGTGCTGCTCATGATGAGCTAAAGGTGTTTCTTACATTTTTTAAATGGTCAGTCAAGAAGGTGGGGATTGGCCAGGCGCAGTGGCTCACGCCTGTAATCCCAAACAGTTTGGGAGGCGGAGGCAGCTGGATCACCTGAGGTCAGGAATTCAAAACCAGCCTGGCCAACATGGTAAAACCCCATCTCTATTAAAAATACAGAAATTAGCCAGGGGCGTGGTGGTGGGCGCCTGTAATCCCAGCCACTCGGGAGGCTGAGGCAGGGTAATCTCTTGAACCCGAGAGGTGGAGGTTGCAGTGAACCGAGATAGCTCCAGTCTGGGCCACAGAGCGAGACTGTCTCAAAAAAAAAAAAAAAAAAAAAAAAAAAAGGCTGTGCCTAGGGCCGTGGTCACTCACGTTTGGCTCAGAATTAACCTCTTTAAATATTTTACGGAGTTTCTTTTTTTTTTTTGAGAGAGTCTCGCTCTGTGGCCCAGGCTAGAGTGCAGTGGCGCGATCTTGGCTCACTGCAAGCTCCACCTCCCGGGTTCACGCCATTTTCCCGCCTCAGCCTGGCGAGTAGCTGGGACTACAGGTTCCCGCCACCAAACCCGGCTAATTTTTTATATTTTTAGTAGAGACAGGGTTTCACCGTGTTAGCCAGGATGGTCTCGATCTCCTGACCTCATGATCCGCCCGCCTCGGCCTCCCAAAGTGCTGGGATTACAGGCGTGAGCCACCGCGCCCGGCCCATATTTTACAGAGTTTCACTCTTTTTGTCAACAAATGGCATGATTGTGTTTCAATAAAGTTTTACTTATGGACACAAATTTGCATTTCATATAATTTTCAGGTCATAGAATAAGCCAAACGTCATTGAAACACAATCATGCCATTTGTTGGCCTGTAAAAAGTAAAACTGAAATATGGCTTTTTTTTTTTTTTGAGACGGAGTCTTACTCTGTTGCCCAGGCTGGAGTGCAGTGGCACAATATCAGCTCACAGCAACATTTGCCTTCCAGGTTCAAGCGATTCTCCTGCCTCAGCCTCATGAGTAGCTGGGATTACAGGCACCCGCCGCCATGCCTAGCTATTTTTTGTAGTTTTGTAGAGACGGGGTTTCACCATGTTACTCAGGCTGGTCTTGAACCCCTGATCTCAAATCCACCTGCCTCGGCCTCCCAAAGTGCTGGGATTACAAGAGTGAGCCACCATGCCCAGCCTACAATATGGGTTTTTACAACAAAAATTTGCCCAGTCAGAGGACACCCTTCATGGTTTTCTGATTTTTTTTTTGAGATAGAGCCTTCTTCCTTCCTTCCCCCAATTTAAAACTTTTATTTAAAGAAAGGTTTTGTTTTTTTTTCCTCTTTAGTAGAGACAGGGTCTCACTATGTTGCCCAGGCTAGCCTTGAACTGTACTGAAGCAATCCGCCCACTTTTGCATCCAAAAGTGCTGGAATTACAGGCATGAGTTACTGAGAATAGATAAAATGACATGTCCCCCTGGGCAATAGGAGAACAGTGAGTTTCGTAAAGTGGGACAAATAAACAGAACAATACAAAAAAAACCTGATCAATGCCGGGCGAGGTGGCTCAGGCCTGTAATCCCAGTACTTAGGGAGGCCAAGGCGTCCGAATCATGAGGCCAAGTGATTGAGACCAATCTGGTCAACACGGTGAAACACCGTTTCTACTAAAAATACAAAAATGAGCTGGGCACGGTGGCACACGCCTGTAGTCCCAGCTACTCAAGAGGCTGAGGCAGGAGAATCGCTTGAACCCGGGAGGTGGAGGTTGCAGTGAGCCGAGATCTCACCACTGCACTCCGGCCTGGCAACAGGGCGAGACTCCGTCTCAAAAAACAAACAAACAAACAAACAAACAAACAAACAAACCACTGGGTGTGGTGGCCCCCACCTGTGATTCCAGCTACTCCGGAGGGTGAGGCAGGGGAGTCGCTTGAACCCTGGAGGCAGAGGCTGCAGTGAGCCGAGATTGCGCCACCGCACTCCAGCCTGGGTGACAGAGCCAGACTGTCTCAAAAAAAAAAAAAAAGAAAAAGAAAGTGGGAGTTGAACAATGAGAACACATGGACACAGGGAGGGGAACATCACATTCCGGGACCTGTCAGAGGGTGGGATAGGGGAGGGATAGCATTAGGAGAAATAACTTCTTTTTTTTTTTTTTTTTTTTGAGACGGAGTCTCGCTCTGTCATCCAGGCTGGAGTGCAGTGGCGCGATCTCGGCTGGCTGCAAGCTCCGCCTCCCGGGTTCACGCCATTCTCCTGCCTCAGCCTCTCCGAGTAACTGGGACTACAGGCGCCCGCCACCACGCCCGTCTAATTTTTTGTATTTTTAGTAGAGACGGGGTTTCACCTTGGTCTCGATCTCCTGACCTCGTGATCAGCCCGCCTCGGCCTCCCAAAGTGCTGGGATTACAAGCGTGAGCCACCGCACCCGGCCAGCATTAGGAGAAATACCTAATGTAGATGACCGGTTGATGGGTGCAGCAAACCACCATGGCACGTGTATACATACCTATGTAACAAACCTGCACCTTCTGCACGTTCTGCACATGGATCCCAGAACTTAAAGTATAATAATAGTAAAAAAGAATTCAATGTAGATGTATGGATTTGGTTCTGGGTTCTCCATTCTGTTCCATTTATGTATGTGTCTATTTTTGTGCTGGTACTATGCTGTTTTTGTTACTGTAGATCTATAGTATAATTGAATGTTGGGTAATGGGATTCCTCCAGTTTTGTTCTGTTTGCTCAGGATAGTTTTGGCTATTCAAGGTCTTTTGTGATTTCATATAAATTTAGGACTGTTTTTTAGAACTGTTCTTTCTGTTTTGTGTGAAGAATGTCATTGGTATTGTATTTTGATGGAAATTGCATTGAATCTGTAGGTTGCTTTGTGTAGTATGGACATTTTGACAATATGGATTTTTCCAATCCATAACTACAGAATATCTTAAAAAATAATAATAATAATAAGGCCGGTGCGGTGGCTCACGCCTGTAATCCCAGCACTTTGGGAGGCCGAGGTGGGCGGATCATGAGGTCAGGAGATCGAGACCACAGTGAAACCCCGTCTCTACTAAAAATACAAAAAATTAGACGGGTGTGGTGGCGGGCGCCCGTAGTCCCAGTTACTCAGAGAGGCTGAGGCAGGAGAATGGCGTGAACCCGGGGAGGTGGAGGTTGCAGTGAGCCAAGATCGTGCCACTTGCACTCCAGCCTGGCGACAGAGCTAGACTCTATCTCAAAAAAAAAAAAAAAAAAAAAGAAAGAAAGAAAGAAAGAAAAAGAAAAACCTGATTAACTTCAGGTTACTTTTTTTGGTAAGTGTTAAAGCAGAGGGGACTTCCTTATCGGGCTAATTCAGGTAGACTAAAATCTTTTTTTTTTGAGACAGAGTCTCGCTCTGTCGCCCAGGCTGGAGTGCAGTGGCGCGATCTCGGCTCGCTGCAAGCTCCGCCTCCCGGGCTCACGCCATTCTCCTGCCTCAGCCTCCCCAGTAGCTGGGACCACAGGCACCAGCCACCACGCCTGGCTAATTTTTTGTATTTTTAGTAGAGAGGGGGTTTCACCATGTTAGCCAGGATGGTCTCGATCTCCTGACCTTGTGATCCGCCCACCTCGGCCTCCCAAAGTGCTGGGATTACAGGCATGAGCCACCGTGCCCGGCCCAGGTAGACTAAAATCTATTTTTAGGAAAGACAGCTGGGCACAGTGGACCATGCCTATAATACCAGCACCTTGGGAGGCTGAGGCAGGAGGATCGCTTGAGGCCAGGAGTTCAAGACCAGCCTGGGCAACTTGGCCAGAACCTCATCTCTACAAAACAAATTTAAAAAAAAAAAAAATAAGAAACTGATCTGTTTGGGATATGTCTGCTTCCTCAAAGTTTCAGTTTGATTATGTGGCATTTAGCACGAGTGACTCCATTCTGGTTTCATCTGGTCTGTTGGTGCCTAGTGCAGGAGCTCAGTCCAAAACAGTGGTCTCCCATAGTTTTGTTTGACATTGAGCTGACCATTTGGTAATCTACAAATGGATTACTGGTTGCTGAGAGACAATGGTGGATAAATTAAGAATTTATTGGCCAGGCACGGTGGCTCATGCCTGTAATCCGAGCACTTTGGGAGGCTGGGGCGGGTGGATCACTTGAGGTCAGGAGTTCAAGGCCAGTCAGGCCAACATGGCAAAACCCCATCTCTACTAAAAATACAAAAATTAGCTAGGTGTGGTGGTGCATGTCTGTAATCTGAGCTACTTGGAGGCTGAGGCAGGAGAATCGCTTGAACCTGGGAGGCGGAGTTTGCAGTGAGCTGAGATCATGCCATTGCACTCCAGCCTGGGCGACAGAGCGAGATTTTGTCTCAAAAAAAAAAAAAAAAATTGTTGCTTGGCCGGGCTCGGTGGCTTATGCCTGTAATCCTACCATTTGGGACCTGGATGCAGGAGGATCGCTTGAGGTCAGGAGTTGGAGTTGCCCAGATGCCTGGGCAACATGGTAAGACCAGGTAACATGGTAAGACCGGATAACAAAATTATCCGGGTACGGTAGTGCACACCTGTAGTCCCAGCTACTTGAGAGGCTGACGTGGGAGGATCGCTTGAGTCCCAGAGGCTGAGTCTTCAGCTGGCTGAGATGGTGACACTACACTCTGGCCTGGATGACACAGCGAGACCCTGCCTCAAAAAGTAAAATAAAAAATAAAATTAAGAGAATTTATGGGGCTGGGTGCGGTGGGTCATGGCTGTAATTCCATCACTTTGGGAGGCCGAGGCAGGCGGATCACCTGATGTCGGGAGTTCAAGACCAGCCTGGCCAACATAGTGAAACCCCGTCTCTACTAAAAATACAAAAATCAGCCAGGCATGATGGCGGGTGCCTGTAATCCCAGCTACATGGGAGGCTGAGGCGGGAGAATCACTTGAACCCGGGAGGCAAAGGTTGCAGTGAGCCGAGATCTTGTCATTGCACTCCAGCCTGGGCGACAGAGCCAGGCTCTGTCTCAAAAACAGAAAAACAAAAGATACTTTATTGCTTCCCAGGAAGAGCAGCTTTTGATACCTGGCAGTAATTTTTGTATGTTTCTGTTGATAGTGTTCAGGACATGTCACCCATAACATACCAGCATACAACTTTGGCATATTGATATTGAGAATTTTGAGTTAAACACACTTGCAAACAGTGGATGCAAGAAGGGCTCTTCTTTTTATTTTTTTGAGAGGGAGTCTCACTCTGTTGCCCAGTCTGGAGTGCAGTGGCATGATCTTGGCTCACTGCAACCTCCACCTCCCGGGTTCAAGTGATTCTCTTATCTCAGCCTTCCAAGTATCTGGGATTACAGGCATGTACCACCATGGCCGGCTAATTTTTGTATGTCTAGTAGAGACGGGGTTTTGCCATGTTGGTCTGGCTGGTCTTGATCCCCTGACCTCAGTTATCTGCCCATCTCAGCCTCCCAAAATTCTAGGATTACAGGCACGAACCACCGCAGCCAGCCCAGAAGGGCTCTGTGATCTATCTTTTTATTTTTTCTTTATTTTTGAGAAGGAGTCTCACTCTGTTGCCCAGGCTGGAGTGCAGTGGCGCGATCTCAGCTCACTGCAACCTCCGCCACCCAGGTTCAAGTGATTCTCCTGCCTCAGCCTCCCAAGTAGCTAGGATTATGGGCGCCCGCCACCACGCCTGGCTAATTTTTGTATTTTTACTAGAGACGGGTTTTATCATGTTGGCCAGGCTGGTCTTGAACTCCTGACCTCAGGTGATCCCCCAGCCTCTGCCTCACAAAGTACTGGGATTACAGGCATGAGCTACCGTGCCCGGCCAAAATTTTTAAAAAATTAGCCAGGTGTGGTGGTGTGCAACTCTAGTCCCAACTACTTGGGAGGCTGAGACAGGAGGATTGCTTGGGCCTGAGAGGTCAAGGCTTCAGTGAGCTGTGATCCCGCTACTGCACTCCAGTCTGGATGACACAGCAAGACCCTGTCTCAAAACAAACACTTAGGTCTAGTTACTTTTTTCGGTCTCCATTTTTCTCGTGAGGGCTCCCATCTACAATGAATAAGCTTTGTGTGCTATTGTTTTGTTAATCTGTCTGTCAGTCTGAGCCAGACACCAGAGAGAGGAGGAAAGCTCTAGCCCTGCTAGTTTCTGGTGATGAGGATGGGCTACAATTGGCTGGGAATATCTGCTCCCTCTGGGGTCTGCAGGGGAGAAATGCTGGGACCTGACAAGCCAATGCAAAGTAAGAATTCAGCCGGACGCGGTGGCTCATGCCTGTAATCCCAGCTTTTTGAGAGGCTGAGGTGGGTGGATTACTTGAGGTCAGGAGATCAAGACCAGTCTGGCCAACACGGTGAAACCCCATCTCTACCAAAAAATAGCAAAATTAGCTGAGTGTGGTGGTGTGTGCCTGTAGTCCCAGTTACTCGGGAGTCTGAGGCAGGAGAATCACTGAAACCTGGGAAGCTGGGGTTTCAGTGAGCTGAGATAGCACCACTGAATTCCAGCCTGGGCAACAGAGTGAGACTTTGTCTCAGAAAAAAAAAAAAAAAAAAAAAAAGGCTGGCACGGTGACTCACACCAGTAATCCCAGCACTTTGGGAGGCCGAGGTGGGTGGATCACCTGAGGTCAGGAGTTCAAGACCAGCCTGGCCAACATGGTGAAACCCCGTCTCTACTAAAAATACAAAAAAATTATCCAGGCGTAGTGGCAGGCACCTGTAATCCCAGCTAATCGGGAGGCTGAGGCAGAAGAACCGCTTGAACCCGGGAAATGGAGGTTGCAGTGAGCCGAGAAAGTACCACTGCACTCCAGCCTGGGCAACAGAGCCAGACTCCGTCTCAAAAAAAAAAAAGAAAAGGACGAATTCTTATCAGGCTGGGATTATGGCTCACACCTGTGATCCCAGCACTTTGGGAGGCTGAAGCAGGAGGATCACTTGAGCTCAGGAGTTTGAGACCAGCCTGGGGAACATAGCAAGACCCCATCTCCACAAAAATTTAAAAAATTAGCTCGGATAGGTGGTGCATGCCTGTAGTCCCAGCTACTCAGAAGTTTGAGGCAAAGGGGATTCTAGAGCCCAGGATTTGGAGACTGCAGTGAGCTGTGATCACATCACTGCATTCCAGGCTGGGCAACAGAGCAAGACTCTTTCAGGGAAAAAAAAAAAGGTGCTGTATAACACCACCAGGTCACCCTTGGATACTTTCCTAGAAGAAGCCAAGAGCCCTCCTGGGCTAAGCCCAAAATTTGGGGCTCCCCTGCAATGGATCAGAACTGTGTTCTCAGAGGGCAATTTGGAAACCAACTGGCAAGTGAAAAATTTTAACAGTCTTTACAAATGTTAGCACAAAGCTTTCATGATCTGAGTAGGTAATCTTAACTCATTTCATCTGCCTCTGCAGATGCAAATTGGATCTCACTTATTTATTTATTTATATTTTTTGAGATTGAGTCTGGCTCTGTCACCCAGACTGGAGTGCAGAGGCACGATCTCAGCTCACTGCAACCTCTGTCTCCTGGGTTCAAGTGATTCTCCTGCCTCAGCCTCCCGAGTAGCTGGGACTACAGGCATGTGCCACCACACCTGGCCAATTTTGTATTTTTGGTAGCGACAGGGTTTCTCCATGTTGGTCAGGCTGGTCTTGAACTCCCAACCTGAGGTGATCAGCCCACTTCGGCCTCCCAAAGTACTGGGATTATGGGCGTGAGTCACTGCGCCTGGCTAATTTTTGTATTTTTAGTAGAGATGGGGCTTCTCCATGTTGCCCAGGCTGGTCTTGAACTCCCTGGCCTCAAATGATCTGCCTGCCTCGGCCTCTCAAAGTGCTAGGATTACAGGCGTGAGCCACTGTGCCCGGCTCCACCATTTTTTTAAAAACTAGTGAGTTTTGTATTATCACACCTGTCTCACAGCTATAATTTTAAAATGAAAGCTATAAGATTTCTGACTGCACCTATTTATGTTTATATATATATATGTTATAGGTATGTAACACTTTCTCCCTCTTGATGGAATTCCTAAAGATTAACTTGTAAAGGAGCTCTATTTCATTGACTTTAGAAAACCACATTTGCTTATGTAAATTAAGACTAGTCAAACAGGCTTATGTTATCTTTAGATGTTGAAGATTATAAAAGTGTAAACTGTAAAACTATAAAATAAACCTAAGAACAATACATGCAATAAAAGTGAATTGCTTGGCCAGGTGGTGGCTCAGATCTGTCATCCATCCCAGCACTTTGGGAGGCTGATGGAGGTAGGTCATTTGAAGCCAGGAGTTCAAGAACAGCCTGGGCAACATGGCAAAACCCCATCTCTGCAAAAAAAAAAAAAAAAAATACAAAAATTTACCACGCATGCTGGCTCGTGGCTCGCACCTGTTGTCCCAGCTATTCGGGAGGCTGAGCAGGGAGGATCGCCTGAGCCCTGGAAATGGAGGTTGCAGTGAGCTGTGATCACATTACTGCACTCCAGCCTGGGTGACAGAACAAGACCCTGTCTCAAAAAATAAATAAAAAAATTTTTACGAAGTGAATTGAGGGTGGGCACGGTGGCTCATGCCTGCAATCCCAGCACTCTGGGAGGCCAAGGCAGGCGGATTGCTTGAGTCCAGGAGTTTGAGACCAGCCTGGGTAACATAGTGAAAAGCTGTCTCTACTAAAAATATAGAAAATTAGCTGAGTGTTGTGGCTTGTGCCTGTAGTTCCAGACACTCGGGAGGCTGGGGTGGGAGGATCGCTTGAGCCCTGGAGGCAGAGGTTGCAGTGAGCTGTGATGTCACCTCACTGCACTCCAGTCTGGGTGACAGAGTGAGACCCTGTCTGAAAAAAAAAAAAAAAAAGGTGATTTGCTTAATGGATGTCAAGCCTGACAATAAAATTAATTTTAAAAAGTAAAGGAGAGACCCATATGTGGGTTTTTAATTTTTTTTGGTTCCTTGGATGGTTATTTTTTGAGATAAGGTCTTGCTCTGTCGCCCAGGCTGGAGTGCAGTGGCATGATCTCAGCTCACTGCAGCCTCCCAGGTTCAAGTGATTCTCATGCCTCAGCCTCCCGAGTAGCTAGGATTACAGGTGTGAGCCACCAGGCCTGGCTATTTTTTTTTTTTTTTGAGATTGAGTTTTGCTCTTGTTGCCCAGGCTCAAGTGCAATGGTGTGATTTCGGCTAACCGCAACCTCTGCCTCCCAGGTTCAAGCGATTCTGCTGCCTCAGCCTCCCGAGTAGCTGGGATTAGAGCTACCACCACCACACCCAGCTAATGTATTTTTAATGGAGATGGGGTTTCTCCATGTTGGTCAGGCTGGTCTTGAACTCCCGACCTCAGGTGATCTGCCCGCCTCAGCCTCCCAAAGTGCTGGGATTACAGGCACGAGCCACCACGCCTGGCCAATTTTTGTATTTTTTATAGAGATGGGATCTCACTGTGTTGGCCAGGCTGGTCTTGAACTCCTGGTCTCCAGTGATCCTCCCACCGTGGCCTCCCAAAGTGCTGGGATTACAGGTGTGAGCCATGGTGCTGCGTCCCATATATTTATTTTTTTAGGTTCTTTGCTTCTTTGATTTTTGATACTTGATTTGTCAACAAGAAAAGTAACTTAAGATGATGATTATTTTTTCAATGTTTTATGAAATGTTCATGAGTAATTAAGCATAATTGTTGAACACAAGTAAGTTAAATGAAAGTGAGATGAAAGCTTGTAAATAAGCTTTTCAACAATAATTATGTTTTATAGTATGCCTGCTTAAATATTGTTTTCAAAATCTGTTTGTAAATGTGAACTTCGGGGTGGGGCGCAGTGGCTCATGCCTGTAATCCCAGCACTTTGAGAGGCTGAGGCGGGTGGATCACGAGGTCAGGAGTTCAAGACCAGCCTGGTCCAAATGGTGAAACCCTGTCTCTACTAAAAATATAAAAATCACTTGGGTGTGGTGGCATGTGCCTGTAATCCCAGCTACTTGGGAGGCTGAGGCAAGAGAATCACTTGAACCTGGGAGGTGGAGGTTGCAGTGAGCCAAGATCGCGCCACTGCACTCCAGCCTGTAGTCCCAGCGACTTAAGAGGCTGAGGCAGGAGGATTGCTTGAGTCCAGGAGGTCATGGCTGCAGTGAGCTATGATTGTGCCACTGCACTCCAGCCTGGGCAACAGAGCCAGATCCTGTAGAGTAGGAAAGGAAGAGCTGGGCGCAGTGGCTCACGCCTGTAATCCCAGCACTTTGGGAGGCCAAGGCGGACAGATCGCTCGAGTCCAGGACTTTGAGACCAGTTTGAGCAACATGGCGAAACCCCGTCTCCACTACCAATACAAAAATTAGTCAGGTGTGGCTGGGCGCGGTGGCTTGCGCCTGTAATCCCAGCACTTTAGGAGGCTGAGGCGGGTGGATCATGAGGTCAGGGGATCGAGACCATCCTGGCTAACACGATGAAACCCCATCTCTACTAAAAAAAAAAAAATAGCCAGGTGTGGTAGCACCCGCTTGTAGTCCCAGCTACTCGGGAGGCTGAGGCAGGAGACTCTCTTGAACCTGGGAGGTGGAGGTTGCAGTGAGCTCAGAATGTGCCACTGCACTCCAGGCTGGGCGACAGAGTGAGACTCCGTCTCAAACGGGAAAAAAAAAAATTAGCCAGGCATGGTGGCATATGCCTTTAGTCCCAGCTACTCTGGTTGAGCCCAGAAGGTGGAGGCTGCAGTGAGCTGAGATTGCACCACTGCTTTCCGGCATGGGTGACAAAGCGAGACTCTGTCTCAAAAAAAAAAAAAAAAAAAAAAAAAAAGGGAAGGAAGGAAAGTGAGGGTGGGGAGACAGAGAGAGAGAGAAAGAAGAAATGCTCATTAAATGCCTGATTGCTCACACCATTTAGAGACCTAACTTAGATAGGTTCCCAACTCCCTCCTAAGCCACCACCTTCTAAAATGAGACACAAGGCTGGGTGCAGTGGCTCATACTTGTAATCCCAGCACTTTGGGAGGCCGAGGTAGGCAGATCACTTGAGGTCGGGAGTTGGAGACGATCCTGGCCAACATGGTGAAACCCCGTCTCTACTAAAAATACAAAATTGCTGGGCGCGGTGGCTCACGCCTGTAATCCCAGCACTTTGGGAGGCCGAGGCGGGCGGATCACCTGAGGTCAGGAGTTCGAGACCAGCCTCGACTTGGAGAAACCCCGTCTCTACTAAAAATACAACAAATTAGCCGGGCATGATGGTGCATGCCTGTAATCCCAGCTACTCGGGAGGCTGAGGCAGGAGAATTGCTTGAACCTGGGAGGCGGAGGTTGCAGTGAGCCGAGATCATGCCATTGCACTCCAGCCTGGTCAACAAGAGCAAAACTCCGTCTCAAAAAAAAAAAAAAAAATACAAAATTAGCTGGGTGTGGTGGCGCATGCCTGTAATTCCAGCTACTTGGGAGGCTGAGGCAAGAGAATCGCTCGAACTCCAGAGGTGGAGGTTGTGGTGAGCCAAGACCACGATCATGCCATTGCACTCCAGCCCGGGTAACAAGAGCGAAACTCCGTCTCAAAAAATAAATAAATAAATAAAATAAAATGAGATACAAGTGTGTAACCAAGCTAACCTATTCTCAGGACAAAGATACTGATTCGACAATATCTGGCATAGTGTGCTTATATTTATTCCTTTCTATTTGTTCTAATCTGTCTTTTTCTACCCCTTCTGTAGATGTGTTACTTCAGAACTTCTACCCTGAATTTCTCTCCACCACCAATTCAGCCAGGGAATGAGGAAGTTCAGGACGTGCCACCTCAAAACATGCCACCTTTGCTACTTGATGATTTGTATTTATTTATTTATTTATTTTGAGATGGGGTCTCTCTCTGTTGCCCAGGCTGGAGAGCAGTGGCGTGATCTCGGCTCACTGCAACCCCTGCCTCCCGGGTTCAAGCCATTCTCCCATCTCAGCCTCTGGAGTAGCTGGGATTACAGGCGTGCACCACCACGCATGGCTAACTTTTGTATTTTTTAAATTTTTTTTTTTGAGACAGAGTCTTGCTCTGTCGCCCAGGCTGGAGTACAGTGGCATGATCTTGGCTCACTGCAAGCTCCGCCTCCCAGGTTCACGCCATTTTCCTGCCTCAGCCTCCCGAGTAGCTGGGACTACAGGTGCCTGCCACCACGCCCAGCTAGTTTTTTGTATTTTTAGTAGAGACGGGGTTTCACCGTGTTAGCCAGGATGGACTTGATCTCCTGACCTTGTGATCCACCCGCCTCGGCCTCCCAAAGTGCTGAGATTACAGGCGTGAGCCACCGCGCCTGACCAACTTTTGTATTTTTTAGTAGAGACAGGGTTTTGCCATGTTTGCCAGGCTGGTCTCAAACTTCTGACCTTAGGTGATCTGCCTGCCTGGGCCTCCCAAAGTGCTGGGATTACAGGTGTGAGACACCGCATCCAGCCTAATTTTTGTATTTTTAGTAGAGACAGGGTTTCGCCATGTTGGCCAGGCTGGTCTTGAACTCCTGACCTCAAGTGATCCACCCACCTCAGCCTCCCAAAGTGCTGTGATTACAGGTTTGAGCCACCGCGCACAGCCGGGGTATTCTTTTTCACTTTTCCTGTTCTACTCTTTGGAATCAAGTTACTCAATCTAGTTCACTGTCAAGGTGGTTGTAGGGCCCGGCACGCTGGCTCACGTCTATAATCGCAGCACTTCAGGATCCTCAAGAAGGATCGCTTGAGCCCACGAGTTTGAGACCAGCCTGGGCAACACAGCTAGACTCCATCTCAAAATAAAGAGAAACAAAGATATTTGTAGGGAGTGGAATTAAGCCTCACTTCCTCGAAGGAAGAATATATACATCTATGATTTGACCAGTCCATCAGTAGGAAAAAATACAACACTGAACATGTTCTTTCCCTTCTTTTTCTTTTAAAAGGCAGAGTCTTGGCTGGGTGTGGTGGCTTTCGCCTGTAATCCCAGCACTTTGGGAGGCCGAGACAGATGGATCATGAGGTCAGGAGTTCGAGACTAGCCTGACCAACATGGAAGAACCCTGTCTCTACTAAAAACACAAAATTAGCTGGGCGTGGTGGCATGTGTCTGTAATCCCAGCTACTCAGGAGGCTGAGGCAGGAGAATCGCTTGAACTGAAGAGGCAGAGGTTGTGGTGAACCGAGATCACGCGTTTCCCTTCAGCCTGGGCAACAAGAGCGAAACTCCGTCTCAAAAAAAAAAAAAAAAAAAAAAAAAAAAAGAGGCAGAGTCTTGCTCTCTGGCCCAGGCTGCAGTGCAGTGGTGTAATTATGGCTCACTGCAGCCTTGACCTCCTGTGCTCAAGTGATCCTCCTGCCTCAGCCTCCCGAGTACCACAGTTGCTCGCTGCCATGTCCTGCTAATTCTTTTTATTTTCATGTTTTGTAAAGACAGGGTCTTGCTTTCATGCCAAAGCTGGTGTCAAACTCCTGTCCTCAAGCAATCCTCCTACCTTGACCTCCCAAAGTGCAGGAATTATAGACGTGAGCCACCTCACCCGGCCACAACCAGTCACTTTTTTAAAATTTTGAGATGGAATTTTGCTCTTGTCGCCCAGGCTGGAGCACAGTGGCGCGATTTCGGCTCACTGCAACCTCTGCCTGCCGGGTTCAAGCAATTCTCCTGCCTCAGCCTCCCAAGTAGCTGGGATTACAGGCGCCCGCCACCGCGCCTGGCTAATTTTTGTATTTTTAGTAGAGAGCGGGTTTTGCCAGGCCTGGGGAAGGGGGAATGGCTGACTTATCAAATTAATTACACCATCCAGAAGGGCTTATTAAACTAGTTTTACTTTAGCACCATTCTTAGTGGAGCAGGATTCTTGATCATGGGGTGGAATTTTGTGTATCTGGGCTTCATGGGATGCATAAAATTTTCCAGTTGGTAAGTAGCAGGTGCCGAGGGTCTGGATCAGAAAAAAAGGCAGGCAGCCGGGTTCCCACTCGCCTTCCATGAGCTCTCCGCAGCTCACCGGCCATCACTTGAAGCAAACACTCCTGAGGGAGCTGGTTGAGGAAGGGCAGACATCCGGCTTCTTGCCCTGGAGGTGAAGGCCATGAGTTGGGGTCCTGGAAGGAGACCCTACCCCCACCACCTGAATCCCACTGCTCCCCTCCCAGCTTACCTGGTACAACTGGCAGACAAGGGTAAGGAGCTGGGTCTGATCTTCCAAGGGTTTCTGCACAAAGCAAGACAGGGGTCGCATATTCCCAGCAGCTACCCCAACCCATGCACCCTGGTTCCAGCCCAGAAAGGGCTGCACATATTCCCAAGTCTGGCCCCCGCCTCCCGCCTCGCAAATCAGTGGCACATCTTTCCCAATGGGGGTGGCTAGGGATGTTTAATACTTCGAATTAATACATACTTTTTTTGCCTGATGGACTCCTACTCACCTTTCAAAACCCCAGCATCAATGCCCTCTTTCCCTATGCAAAGCTATCAAGTTTTGCTCTTGTTGCCCAGGCTGGAGTGCAGTGGCATGATCTCAGCTCACTGCAACCTCCGCCTGGGTTCCTTTATCTCTGGTCCCTCTGTCTTGTCCATCCCTGACTCCATGGGACTATGAGTGTCAAGCTGAGGGCTAAAAAGATTCTTACCCCATTGACGGTGACCCAGGGCACATACTCGTGTGGTGGCTGGAGAGCATCTGTCCGCTGGGCGTTGGCGTGCATGAGCTGCATGCCGCGGTCCCCCATTGCACACTCCATGATAGTGTCTGGCGACAGCCCTGGGGCGTAGAGCTGCAGGCACTGGGTGGGTGGGGAGCAGGGGGTTGCCTCAGCTTCCTCCCCGTTATCTCAACGGTCCCGCCCACCAGCCCTGAGCCAAGCCTGTTTCGTCACTGAGAAGAGGGTACAGTTGGCTTCACAGTGATGCGACAAAGCCCACAAACAGCAGGTGCTCAATACATGCTTGAGTGGAGGCCCCTAAGGCAGGGCTTGGGCTGCTCCTGCCTCCTAGCTCCCTTGGTTTCATCCCTAAGACCAGACCCACTGCCTCTGACCCCCATAGTATCTCACTTTACTCAGGACCTCCACACAGGCTGATCCCTCTGCCAGGAACACCCTTCATCCTCCTTCCACAGTGTCTCCTCAGTGCCCTCTCCTTGCCACTCTCTCAGCCCTGATCTAACCCTGCAGGACTAGGGTGTCACTAGGTGAGGCCTCTTGGGTGACCCGGATGTTTGATGAATGAATAAATGATTGGAGCCAATGAGTCACTTCTCTGGGAGTCATTCTTCACAATCCCCCGGGGAAGTAGGTGGGGTCTGTCCTATCATCTCCACATCCCATCATCTGTGTCTCTGCACATTCCTGCTCATCCTTCCATGCCCAGCTCAGAAATGCCTCCTCCAGTAAGTCCTCTGTGATCACTCATGCTCCTAAGAGACCTGCATTCATTCCCCTGATTCAGAGATGGAGGCTTCAAGAGGGGAGGCTGGGGCCGGGCGTGGTGGCTTACACCTGTAATCCTTTGGGAGGCTGGGACAGGCGGATAACTTGAGGTCAGGAGTTTGAGACCAGCCTGGCCAACATGGTGAACACTGTCTCTACTAAAAATACAAAAATTAGCCGGGCATGGTGGTGCACACCTGTAGTCCCAGCTACTGGGGAAGCTGAGGCAGGAGGATCACTTAAACTGAGGAGACAGTGGTTGCAGTCAGCCAAGATTGCACCACTGCACTCCAGCCTGGGCGACAGAGCAAAACCCTGTCTCAAAAAAAAAAAAAAAAAAAAAAAAAAAAAAAGGGCTGGGTGCGGTGGCTCACGCCTGTAATCCCAGCACTTTGGGAGGCCAAGGCAGGCGGATCACAAGGTCAGGAGTTCAAGACAAGCCTGACCAACATGGTGAAACCCTGTCTCTACTAAAAACACAAAAATTAGCTGGGCATGGTGGCACACAACTGTAATCCCAGCTACTCAGGAGGCTGAGGCTGGAGAATCACTTGAACCCTGGAGGTGGAGGTTGCAGTGAGCTGGGATTGCGCCACTGCATTCCAGCCTGGGCGACAGAGCGAGACTCTGTCTCAAGAAAAAATAAAAAAATAAATAAAATAAAGAAGGGTAGTTGTTTTCCTGGGCTGCACAGACAGCAGTGGTCAGGGCTAGGACTTGAATTTGGGTCTGCCTGGATGCAGGGAAGGTTACCACCCATGTCCCCCTCCTTGGGTGGAGTGAGGGGCGTCACTCACTAGTGGCAGACTTCTCTCCATGTCCTCAAACTCTTCCATGCAGACAATGGTCAGGAAGGCTAGCTCCATGTCAAGTTCATCCAACACGCAGGCCTGGGGTTTGGAGAGGGGGCAGGAGAGGGCATGAAGAGGGCCTAGGGTACCCTGACACCCTCTCGTAATAATCACCAGTACCCACCCAGGAGATAGGGAATAAAGATGTGATTAAATGGGAGCACACGAGGCAGAAGACAGAGCTGGCATCCTCGTATTTGCCTCCTGTACGTGGGACAGTTTTCCCCCACCCCAGTGTGGGGCCCTGGGGCCGCTCACCTCCACCTTGTTGAATTTGCACTCCTCTTCTCCATGCTGGCACTTGAACTCCCACCTGCCACTGACATTTTGTTCCTGCAAGGCAGCAGGGTGAGAGCCTGCTGGTAGGCTGGGTCCCCTGCTCCCCTGCCCACGTGCCTCAGTTTCCCCAGCGCCCACACACCTGTGCGTTTCCGTAGGGCACCAGCGTGACATTGAGGATCTCCATGACCAACAGCCATGTTGGGAAGAGCTCCCGGATCAGGAAGGCTCGGCAGCCACCGCACAGTGCTTCATAGTAGAGGGTCACATTGACAAGCGGTGCATTGGACTTCTTCAGGGGCCCCCGCAGGTATAGATTGCCTGTCTGTGGATTAGGAAGGCGTGGGAGGCAGGTGTAGCCCTGGGCAGTTCCCCACTTCTCTCAACCCCACTTGGTAGTCTTGTAGAAAGGGGGCTGTGATACGCAATTCATCTTGCACGCCTTCCAGAACTTGCCAGGTGGAATCTTGACTTTGAGACTTTTTTTTTTTTTTTTGAGATGGAGTCTCACTGTCGCTAGGCTGGTGTGCTGCGGCACGATCTCGGCTCACTGCAACACCCGACTCCCTGGTTCAAGCAATTGTCCTGCCTCAGCCTCCTGAGTAGCTGGGATTATAGGCACATGCCACCACACCCAGCTAATTTTTGTATTTTTAGTAGAGACAGGGTTTCTCCATGTAGGCCAGAATGGTCTCGAACTCCTGACCTCGTGATCTGCCTGCCTCAGACTTCCAAAGTGTTGGGATTACAGGCATGAGCCACCGCCTCCGGCCTTGGCCCATGCTCATTTCTTGTCACTTCACCTGGAGACCTTGCCTCTGAGCTGAGCAAGGGATCCACGTGAACCCTTTCCAAGTCCGACTGAATAGAGGCGGCACCTAATAGGTGCTGACTTCCGGCTTCAGCTGAGGGGTGGCGGGTGGCCCATGTCGCTGGAGCGGTGAGCAAGTCGCTCAGCCTCTAGGGCATCTGCCTAATAGGTCCCAAAGACACGCGAGCCCTGCCCTGGCTGGAATGAATGCATCAAGGGTAGCAGCAAGAATGCATGCCGGCGGCCCTTGGCCAGCTGCTGAACTTGTGCCCTGGGCCACAAAAGGAGACCCCAGCTCCTGCCCCAAAAGTACACAGTAGGCGCTCATTGAACCCTTGGGCGGGACTAGGCGGGTGGAGGCAGCTGCGCCTCTCAGATGCGGGATGCGAAAGCGAAACGGCACGGAGGGAGTGTGGCCGCAGCGCCGGGAACTGAACAGGGTTTTTCCAGGAACCCGGCAGGGACAGCGTCCCCTCGGGGCCCTGGTCTTCCCCTGTGAAGTCTGGGGAGAAAGAAGGAGCCGCGTGCCCCGACAGGGCGCCTGTTCCCTCCAGCCTGCCCGCCCTGTCGCCGTCCCTACCTTGTAGTTAACTGGTGGCCCATTCCCAAAGAAGTCTAACGCTTGCAGAGGGGACGCCTGCACCGCCGCCGTGGGGACGTCCAGCAGCAGCAGCAGCGGTGGCAGGAACAGCAGAAGTGGCGACAGGGTCATCGCAGCAGGGGCAAAGGTGTGGCGACTGCAGCGGCTGCCTGGGAAATAAGCGCCTTTAACCAGGCGGCGGTCCCGCCCCTAACCCGGGCCCGCCTCCCGATGCCCACGCCCCTCGGGTCCCGGGCCAGCGTCTCTCCCTCCTCCACTCCTTCCTCTGAGTGTCCCACCCCCACCCCTGCCAGGTGCTGGGTCCCCAGTCACGAGGCCATTGGGCCCCTTGGCAATCAGCCCTGCCCAGGCACGTGAGCCCTGGCGCAAGACTACCTTTAGGGGAGGTGAGGTGGGGCCTTTGAGACAGACACAGGCTGAGAGGAATGGTGGTGTCTCCACGCACCCCTAGACCTTCTAGGGGCGGCTAGGGGACTTGAGGCCCGAGACCCACTCTCAGAGTGGGCCTGTGACCTAACAGGGGTGACGTCGGATGGAGGCTGGGGATGGGATGGAGGCCGGGGTTTTGGGGGAGTAACTGAAATATTCAGGCCCCCGAGAGTGGGCAAGGCCTGTGTGGCCAGGTCTCCTCCCTCCAGTCTCGCCCGTGACCTCCCTCACACCCAACCCCCACATCCTGCCCCTCAACCCTTCCCCCCTCAAACTCCTGACCCCGACGCTCCAGACCCCTCACCGTGGTCCCGTGGGACTGACTCAGGCTTGACCACAGCCACGCCGGAAAGCAGAAGCTGGCGCAGGGAGTGGCGTGTCATTTCTCTAGGGTACCCACCCAGCCCCACTTCTGGCTTGGGGTGAAGAGAACTGGCCTTCCTTCTTTTCATCGTTCAAGGCTTGTGGGGGGTGGGGGGCAACCTGGCCTTCAAGGGACGCCCATGGGGGAGAGAGGCAGCCTGTGCTGTCTGGGATAGGGGTGGGGTGGCTTGGAGTCCACCTGGCTTTGGATTTGAGTGACAGAGCCTCAGCTTTCCCTTCTGTGTAATGGGGAGAAGGATAAGGTTTGGGGAACAAGAGTCACCATGGAGGGCTCAGAGGCAGGTGGGGGAGAGTTGTCCCAGGCTGGGGCTTCTGGATGGCATGGTCAGGCCTTGGTGCCTACACAGGACAGTGGCCCCAACAGTGAAGGCAGAGAGAATAGCCTGGAAAAAAGGCCCAGATGGAGGCTGGAGTGTTGGGGGAATAACTGAGACATTCCAACCCTGCCAGGCCTTACATTCAGGGCAAGACACATCGGATCCTAGGGAAGAAAATGTCCCACACCCAGCTGGAAGATATACCTGAGTCCCCAGCTGTGCCCCCCTCTAGTTGTGGGGAAGACCCTGGCCACACACACAGTAGCTGGTTTGGGAGCCGGAGCTTCTCTGAAGTCCCAGTGGCTGGATGGTCCCCGAGCCCATCCCTCAGACGACCAAACCGTTGGCAAAGGCTCCCCAAGACTCACCACCCCAACTTTGGTGCTTACCCTATGCCGGGTGGGATTGAAGAAATAACCATAAATATAATTGCTACAATTTTTCCAGTAGTTACCAGGCACCAGCCCTATTGGAAGAAATCATAAATGTAACCCTACAATGTATTGCTCTCTGGCTTGGTGCCAGGCATAGAGTGGGCCTACAACCCATTTTATCATTGAACCCTCAGAAGCATCCAGTTGGGGCTGGGGGTAGGTGCTACTGACTCCAGCTGGTAACAAATAAATGGCTGATCAGAGAGGGAAGGCTATTTTGCCAAGGACACACAGCCAGTGGTTGAGTGTTTTTAGAGACCACACGGGATATTCTCTTCCACCCCCAGCTCAGCATAGCTGGG
The DNA here is from genome assembly GCF_000001405.40 of Homo sapiens. NCBI lineage: Eukaryota > Metazoa > Chordata > Mammalia > Primates > Hominidae > Homo > Homo sapiens. The sequence continues at coordinate 18,172,086 of NC_000019.10, read as the reverse complement.
ATCATAAAGATGGCAACCTTTCTCCTGTGAGCACCTATGCAGTGAGAGGCACAATCTGGGCTGGAGTTATTTATGGGTTATCTCCAGACAGGACACATGGCAGGGACAGTGCCTGGCAAGGCTAGGGGGCTCTGAGGCTAAGGGAGGCAGGTCCTGTCCCAAGGTCCCAGCAGTAGACTGGGTCAGAGTGGAGGTTTCTTTCTGCACTTGCCCCAGGTTCAGCCTTGTTGGGCCTTGAGAGGTGGCTGTACAAAACAGACAAGGACAGTGAGGCCCCAGGGTTGGGGAGGGCTGAAGGGACAATGACGTCGCAGTGGGGGTGTGGATTCTGGGTGTGATGGGGAGGGTGGTAAACAGGAGTCCAAGTCAAAGACGCCATGAGGCCACGCGTGGTGGCTTACGCGACTCAGGGAGGCTGAGGTGGGAGGATCACTAGAGGCCAGGAGTTTGAGACCCACCTGGAAAAGGGCAAGACCCTTTTTTTTTTTTTTTTTCTTGAGACAGAGTCTCACTCTGTCACCCAGGCTGGAGAACAGTGGCACGATCTTGGCTTGGTGCAGCGTTGACCTCCCAGGTTCATCTGATCTTCCTATCTCAGCCTCCCAAGTAGCTGGGATTACAGGCATGCGCCACCATGTCTGGCTAATTTTTTTTTGTATTTTTAGTGGAGACCAGGTTTTACCATGTTGGCCAGGCTGGTCTCAAACTCCTGACCTCAAGTGATCTGCCTGCCTTGGCTTCCCCAAGTGCTGGAATTACAGGTGTGAGCCACTGCACTCGGCAAGATCTTGTTTCTAAAAAAATTTAAAAATAATTAGCTGGACATGGTGACACACACCCGTAATCCAGTGACTCTAAAGGCTGAGATGAGAGGACTGCTTGAGGCTGGGAACCAGGAGCTTGAGGCTGTGAGCCGCGAGCTGTGTTCGCACAACTGCACTCCAGCCTGGGTGACAGAGTGAGAGACCTTGACTCTTTAAAAAGAAACACAAAAAACCCCACAGGGCTTTTGCTCAGCGTCTCCTGGGACCCGGCGGGCTGTGCATGGGAGTGGGTGAGGAGAGGTCAGAGAAGAGCCTCCAATGCTGGCTGGAGGTGCCGACGACTTGAGAACATCAAAGACACGGGAGACTCCTCCCTGTGGCATGGGAGGGTTTTGACTTTTGACGCCACTTGGCAATGAATGAGGAAGCTGTGGATCAGGGAGGGGATACAACTTTCCCAAGGACACAGCTGATGGTTGCGACAGGATTCAAATTTGGGGGCGGTGGGCGGGGGAAGCAGCTTGGAAGCACTTGAGGGGCTGGATGGGGTCTGGGGTCCCCTGAGCAGTCGGGAGCTCAGGATTCGAATCTCTCTCCTGTATGACCTTGGGCACTGCCTCAACCTCTCCAGGCTTGAGCAGCTAAACTGGGGGAGGGAGGGGTTGTCGGGTCTCAGAGGGGCTTGGAGTTAAACCCACGGGTCCGACCTGCTGTGACCCCCGTAGACACCAGGGTCCCCGACACGCAGAGGTGGTACTGAAGCCCAGTCACTGACAACAGAATCACCCACGACGTTTGATGTTTTATATCATATCAATAACAACGTACCGTACAAAACCTGCCTCCCAGCTCGTGGGGCAGGCAGTGTGGTGGCCAAGGGCAGCGTAGAAAACCAGGGCTCTTGTCCCAAAAGAGGAGAGGAAAGAGGGTTTTGCAGTCAAGGAAAAACAGAATCAAAACCCAACATGATCGAAGAGAAGCCCTGAATCTGCATCAGAGGGAGGGGCCGTGGGCAGTGTCGCAACTTGGCCACTGCGGCGGCACCAGTACGGGGAGCTGTGATTCCTAGGAGGGGTTGGGGCCAGCTCACAAGTTTATTTATTTATTTTTTTGAGACGGAGGAGTCTCCCTCTGTTACCCAGGCTGGAGTGCAGTGGCACGATCTCTGCTCACTGCAACCTCCATCTCCTGGGTTCAAGAGATTCTCACGCCTCAGCCTCCCAAGTAGCTGGGATTACAGGCGGCCGCCACCACGCCCGGCTAATTTTTGTATTTTAGTAGATGCGGGGTTTTGCCATTTTGGCCAGGCTGGCCTCCAACTCCCGACCTCAAAAGATCCGCCCGTCTTGGCCTCCCAAAGTGCTGGGATTACAGGCATGAGCCACCGTGCCTGGCCTGCGAGTTTAATTATTTTTTCGGGGGTGGGTGAACTTCTCGCAGCGGCCCCCTTGTGGGGGTAACCCGGTGGCGGGTTTCACTTCGGGGTTTGGAGGGGAAGTTGGAGTCTGTGGGGCGGGTCCCGCCCGGCCCCGAATGTCACGGCCGAGGTTCTCGGAAGCAGCAGAGTGAAGTTCCTTCCTGCCCTGACCCCAGGTCTATGGCTTAAAAATCAGGGTGCCCAGGCTGGGGCCGCGCAGCCCAGGGGCCCTCTGTAAACATGGCAGGTGCAGCCAGAAGGGGCTTCCGGGACCCCGGGGGACCTGCGGTGGGCAGGGCAGAGGGTCAGGGTGACCAGAGCCATGGAGAGGGCAATGCCCGGAGGACACGTAGATATGGGGTGGGGGAGTTAGGACCCCCAACATGGAGAGAGACAGGGGCCAAGAAAGACAGAGAAAAGGAGACAGAGGGAGATCTGGAGAATGGGGGAGGGAAGGAAAGAGAAAGAGGGTGAGAGAACCCCAAACAAGAGCCAGAGCCGGAGAAATGAGGACCCCTGGATGTGGCTGGTCTGGTCCGTGGCTCCCGCCGCCGCAGCCTCCGGCGCAGACGGGCCCAGGGGCGGCTCTGCTTGGGGCGGGTCCTCGGTGCTCAGCGGGCGGCAGGCGGCGGGCCGGGGCCCGGGGCGCGCACTGGGTGCGCCAGGGTGACGGTGAGCGCGTCGTTGTGCTGCACCAGCGAGGCGTGCTGGTAGTGCAGCACCAGCTCCTTCAGCGACCCGTACAGGTTGTAGGGCTCCGCGAAGCCGAAGCCGGTGGCCGTGCGGTAGATGACGCAGTGCTTGGTGTCGCCGTCCACTCTGTGGGGGCAGACGAGAGGGGGAGTCGGAAGGCTGGCCTCCCCGCCAAGCTTTCCCCGTTCCAGGGCCGCGTGCTCCCCTGTCCCGGATGACCCCACCAGGGACTCCTTCCCAAGGCCTGGCACGCGGCAGGCATTCAATGAGAGCTCTGGGAGGGACGCGGGAATCCCCACCGCTGCGGTCCACTCACACCACGGAGCAGGCGTAGCAGCCCCGCTGGCTGCTCTCGCGGATGAGGAAGGTGCCATCCCGCTTGCCACTCAGCATCTCCTCTGCCTGCGTGCGGTTGATCTTGCCCACGTACCAAGTGCGTTCCTCGTGGTGCGGGAGATCGTCCTCGTCCTCCATGAGTGCGTACTGGCTGGGGTGGGGGGCGGTGGCGGGGAGGGCCCTGGTCACTCACCTGCCAGCCTCCGAGGCTCCCCAGCTGCCTGGACAACTTTTCCTCCCTGGTGAACTCCTACTCATTCTTCGAAACCCACCCCAAATGGCCCCCTCCTCTGGGAAGCCCTCCCTGCCTCCCTCCAGACGGTCACTCACTCCTCAGTCTCATTTTTAATCCCCAGCCACTCGTTGATTTTCTTCTGCCGGGCGCCTTTCTGGGTGAGCCACCTGAGAAGGAACAGGAAAGGTGGGCTTGTGCAGTTGTGTGGGTGCTGAGCCCACAGTGGGCCTGTCCGGTGGGAGGCAGGGTCTGGCTGAGGAGAGAGGGTTCTGGGTACAATATCTCCGGTTGCCACAAGAGGGCAGAGCTGACCTGGCTCAGGGCAGCCTGAACCCAGGGTGGCTCGCCCAGCTCTGCTGGGGAACCCTGACCCACACCCCTCATTTTTTTGTTTCTGTTAACGCCTATGGAGTCCCCCAAGAAGATGCCAGCCCAGGCCCCTCATCATCACCAGAGGCTCACTCCAGCACTGCTGGCCTTTGCACAGGGCAGCTGTCGGTTCTGTGCCTCAGTCTCCCCAGCTGTAAAGGGCAAACTTTACAAAGGGCTTGAAAAGGACCAAATGAACTCATAACGAGCACGGTGCTTAGCACAGCACCTGGCACGCGACAGTGCCCTCCCTGAGGCCCAAGAGGGAGGTGGAGGCTCTGGCTGAGGTCTTCAGGAGGTTGGTGGGTGGGGGCAGGATTTGAACTGATTTGAACCCAGGACAGGGCTGCCGCAGCCACCCAGCATGGTAGGTTGCACAGCAGGCGATTTTTTTTTTCTTTTCTTTTCTGAGGCAGAGTGTTGCTCTGTTGCCCAGGCTGAACTGCATTGGCATAATCTCTGCTCACTGCAAACTCCACCTCCCCGTTCAAGTGATTCTCCTGCCTCAGCCTCTTGAGTAACTGGGATTACAGGCGCCCACCACCATGCCTGGCCGGGTTTTGTATTTTTTATTTTTAGTAGAGACGGGGTTTCACCATGTTGGCCAGGCTGGTCTTGAACTCCTGGCCTCAAGTGATCCATCTGCCCGCCTCAGCCTCCCAAAGTGCTGGGATTACAGGTGTGAGCCATTGCGCCCAGCCCAGCAGGAATTTTTGTGGAAGGCTTCCAACTTTCCACAAAATGGAATGGGATAGGAGTGACACTCCCATTGCACACACCTCTGACTAAGCTGAGGCTGACCTATGGGAAAACTTTCAAGGGGCCCGGGAGGAACCGAGTTTAAGGGGTCTCGGGGCCCAGGAAGGGCCACTTGGTGGAGAGAGAGAGACTGAGACTCCTAGAGAGATCTCCATGTGCCGCAGCAGTCGCCAGGGAGCCGCAGGGAAGTATGGAGCCGCCACTTACACGAGGTACTGGTCTCGGATCTTGCGCAGCTGCATGAGGTCCGGCTTGAGGCTGTTCATGCGCTTGTCGATCTCTCTGTTGTCCGAGGCCTGGGCCCGCAGCTGCTGCTCCAGCTTCGTGCGGCTCTCATGGATCTCGGCAATGCGGGACTTGAGCCGCTCGGAGTTCAGCAGGATCCTGTGGGAGGGGTGGGGTGGCGCAGAGACCTCAGGGTTTTATCTCGGCTCACTGCACCCTCAAACTCCTGGGCTCAGGTGACCCTCCTACCTCAGCCTCCCGAGTAGCTGGGACCACAGGTGTGCACCACCATGTCTGGCTAACATTTTAATATTTTTTGTAGAGGTAGATTTTGCCATGTTGCCCAGGCTGGTCTCAAACTCCTGGGATCAAGCAATCCTCCTGCCTCAGCCTCCCACAGTGTTGGGGTTGCAGGAATGAGCCACTGCACCCGGCCTCCAGGGTTTTCTCAAGGACCTACTTTGCACCAGACTATGTGCTTCCAGCCTCTGAGCCTGTGCATATGCTGTTTCCTCTGATTTCTCTTTCTAGCAAACTCCTATTCATCCTTCAAAGCCCATTTCTTTTTTTTTTTTTTTTTTGAGACAGTCTTTCTCTGTCACCCAAGCTGGAGTGCAGTGGTGCAATCTCGGCTCACTGCAACCTCCAACTCCAGGTTCAAGCGATTCTCCTGCCTCAGCCTCCCAAGTAGCTGGGACTACAGGTGCGCACCATCATGCCTAGCTAATTTTTGTATTTTTAATAGAGACAGGGTTTCACCATGTTGGCCAGGCTGGTTTCAAACTCCTGGCCTCAGGAGATCCACCCGCCTCGGCCTCCTAAAGTGCTGGGATTACAGGCCTGAGCCATCGCACCAGGCCCAAAGTCCATTTCAACAGACTACTCTTTGCCTCCAAGTGGCTGGCCTCCTTCTGCTTCCTTCCCTCCCTGGCTTGTACTGCACCAGATCAGGGTGGGGTGGGGCAGGGCAGAGGCGCCAGACTCACCTTTGCATCTCTTTCTCGTTGCCCTCACGCCGGAAGCGCTCCAGGTATTCCTTGCTGCATTTCTCTTGAGTCTGGCCCTGCTCTTCAAAGATCTTGATAGTCTCATTGAAGGCCTCAATTGCAGTACGCTTCATCTGCAGCTCCTGGAGGAGGGGGCGCAGCTCAGCACCTCCTGGGACTCCCCAAAAGGCCCTCGTGAGGGGTAAAGGCACATCTCAACTCTGATACGGAGACTGCTCAAGCTGGTCCCTCTATCAGAGTGTCATTCTTCTAACGCCTGCTGCACCAAATGAACTCCTATTCAGCCTTCAAAACCCCACCCCCCAAACCCTCTTCTTCTTTACATCCTCCTATAGGTATCCACAAACACCTGGACCTGTTAACACTGCTAAGAATGAATGACAGATCTAGTTGCTACAGCTCACAGGGCTTCTTGGGGGAGATGCCGCACTACGACTTTCCTTACTTTGTCCCATGGACCCTTCCAACAACCCCTAACAAAGTAACAACTATTAACAGAGAAACTGAGGCTCAGGGCCAAAGTCAATTCTGAGGTTACAGTGCTCCTAACTGATCCTGGACAACTGTCTTGTCCATTTAGAGCCTCAGCTAACACATCAGTAAAAAGGGGACAGAGGCCAGGGGTGGTGGCGAATGCCTGTAATCCCAGCTAGTAGGGAGGCTAAAGTGGGAGGATCTCTTGAACCCTGAGGAGTCTGAGGCCAGCCTGGGCAACATGGTGAGACAGCACCTCAAAATTTTTTTTGTTTGAGATGGAGTCTTGCTCTTGTCGCCCAGGCTGGAGCAGTGGCGTGATCTTGGCTCACTGCAACCTCTGCCTCTTGGGTTCAAGTGATTCTCCTGCCTCAGCCTTCCAAGTAGCTGGTATTACAGGTGTGAGCCACCATGCCCGGCTAATTTTTTTTTTTTTTTTTTTTTTGAGACGGAGTCTCACTCTGTCCCAGGATGGAGTGCAATGGTGTGATCTCGGCTCACTGCAACCTCCACCTCTCAGGTTCAAGCTATTCTCCTGCCTCAGCCTCTTGAGTAGCTGCGATTACAGGTGCATGCCATGACGCCTAATTTTTTGTATTTTTAGTAGAGACAGGGATTCACCATGTTGGCCAGACTGGTCTTGAACTCCTTACCTCGTGATCCACCTGCCTCAGCCTCCCAAAGTGCTGGGATTACAGGCTTGAGCCATTGTGCCTGGCTCGGCTAATTTTTTTATCTTTTTGGTAGAGATGGGGTTTCACCATGTTGGCCAGGCTGGTCTCAAACTCCTGACCTCAGATGATCTGCCTGCCTCGGCCTCCCAAAGTGCTGGGATTACTGGCATGAGTCACTGTGCCCGGCCTACCTTTTAATTTTATTAAATTTTTTTTTTCTTTTTTTTTTTTTAACTTTGGGAGGCCGAGGCAGCCAGATCACTTGAGGCCAGGAGTTCGAGACCAGCCTGGCCAACACAGCAAAACCCCATCTCTACTAAAAATACAAAAATTAGCCAGGCATGGTGGCACGTGCCTGTAGTCCCAGTTACTTGGGAGGCTGAGGCAGGAGAATCGCTTGAACCAGGGAGGCGGAGGTTGCAGTGAGCTGAGATCATGCCACAGCACTCTAGCCTGGATGACAGAGCAAGACACTGTCTCAAAAAAAAAAAAACAAAACAAAAAAAAGAGGACAGAAAACCCTTAGGGTACTAGGGACGACTGAGGAATTCCCAGCTGTTCCACCTGAATCTATTCCCTCTTAACTTGCAAAAGAAGCTTATTAGCACAGTCCTTGAGTGACAAAACCTTTCACTTAATTTTTATTTTATTTTTTTAAGAGACAAAGTCTTGCTATGTTACCCAGGCTAGTCTTGAACTCCTGGGCTCAAGCGATCCTCCCGCCTCAGCCTTCCGAGTAGCTGGGATTAGAGGTGCGCGCCCTGCACCTGGCATGATTTCATTTTGAATAACATCTTGGTTGAAGGGGACATAAGTAATCAAGGTGCCTGGTTCCATTCTGCAGATGGGAAAACTGAGGGCCAGCCGGAGATAGGCTCATCCTGGACACTCCCCAGGTCCTGGCTCAGCCACTCCTGTGAGGCTGGTTGGGCCCTTCTCATCTGTCCTTTTTTGGTTTTGTAAAAGCTTGTACACTTATTTTTTTATTTTAATTATTATTATTTTTTTAGATGGAGTTTTACTCTTGTCACCCAGGCTGGAGTGTAGTAGCACGATCTTGGCTCATTGCAATCTCTGCCTCCCAGGCTCAAGCGATTCTCCTGCCTCAGCCTCTGAGTAGCTGGGATTACAGGCGTCCGCCACCATGCCCAGCTAATTTTTGTATTTTTAGTAGAGACAGGGTTTCAACATGTTGGCCAAGTTGGTCTCGAACTCCTGACCTCAGGTGATCCACCCATCTCGGCCTCCCAAAGTGCTGGGATTACAGGCGTGAGCCACCCCACCCAGCCTCGTACGCTTATTTCTGTTTTTAGAGACAAGGTCGTGCCCTGTCACCCAGGCTGGAGTGCAGCAGCATGATCACAATTCAATGCAGCCTCAAACTCCCAGGCTCAAGGGATCCTCCCACCTCAGCCTCCTGAGTAGCTGGGAGTAGAAGCATGCACCACGACACCCAGTTAATTTTTAAATTTTTTTGTAGACGGGTCTCCCTATGTTGCCTAGAAGGATCTTGAACTGTTGGGCTCAAGTGATCCTCCTGTCTCTGCCTCCCAAGTACACAGACGGGAGCCACTGTGCCTGGCCTTATTTCTATGTTTTTAGAACAGCCCTTGGTGCTAAGTGCCTGCTCTGTGACCTGCAACTGGATATTCATCCTCAAGTCCTCTGGGGTTGGTCATCCTGCTCCCGGCCTTGCCACTGCCCCTCTATGTCTCGGTTTCCCTCATGTACGGGGCCTGGAGTACCTGGGAGGTCCGTGTGTACTCTTCATAAAGCTGGTCATACTCGCGGCTCTTGTCCTGGTACTGCTGGTGATAGACCTTAAGCTGGGCGCCCACTGCCTCCACGCTGTCCTCCTTGACAATCTGGTCCTGGAGATACGTGGCGGAATGAGGGGAGATGCATAGCCTGGTCGGGTCTACCTAGGAAACTGAGGCCTGGGGCCAGCCAGGTGCTACCCTCCCTGGCTCCCAGGCCAGCACGGACCTGCTGGTATTTGGACACAGGGTAGAGGAGCCGTGTGTCCAGCTTGGCATTGTACTGGGCCAGAGACTCGTGGCGGTAGTGATTGATGAGGTCCACAACGGAGCAGAAGGTGAGTGGCTCTGAGAAGCCATAGTGCCCATCTCGGTGGAAGACCTTGATCAGCTTATTGTTCCCGCCTTTCCTGGGGGAGGAGAGGGGTGTCGGCACCCAGTGGGACCCCGCACCTGACCCTCAATCCCTGTCCCCTTTTTTTTTGAGACAGAGTCTTGCTGCTCTGTTGTCCAGGCTGCAGTGCAGTGGTGCGATTTCGGCTCACTGCAACCTCCACCTCCCGGGTTCAAGCAATTCTCCTGCCTCAGCCTCCCGAGTAGTTGGGATTACAGGCATCCATCACCATGCCTGGCTAATTTTTTTTTTTAATTTTTTAGTAGAGACGGGGTTTCACCATGTTGGCCAGGCTGGTTTTAAACTCCTGACCTCAGGTGTTCTGCCAGCCTCAGCCTCCCAAAGTGCTGGGATTACAGGTGTAAGCCACCGTGCCTGGCCCTCCATTCTTGAAACCGCACATGTTCTATCCCCTCTGAACTCCCGGTCTCTGTGACCTGTGACCCCCGGTTATCCTTGCAGGGACAGGCCCCCACCTGAGGGTCAGCGTGTACTCGCCCTGGATCTTGCTAGAAGCATCTCGGACTAGGAAGGTGCCATCGGGAGTGTCCCGGAGTTTCTCGTTCACCTCCTCCCTGTGGGAACATCCAACATTGGGACTGCCGAGCCACCTGGAGACCCCGCTCACCCTGTGACACCTCCTTGGTCCCTGGCCCCCTGCCAGCAACCTACCTTGAAATGTCCCCCCAGTACCACTCAGCATCCTGCAGGGAGGGTGGGCTCCCTCCATTGGCCAGGACTGTGGAGGCCGGCTTTGCCTTGGGGGGTTTAGGCGGCAGCGCTGGGGGACAGGAAAACAAATGCATCCTGAGCACCGACTGTATACTGTGGCTGCCTCCCACTGCAACCAGCCTGCTGATGCCGGCAGCACTCAGGGATCAGTATTTACGGCCCCCAACGGGAAGAAATGACAGCAATACAGGGGACTCACCTGGGGGCGCAACCTCCTGCTCTTCCAAGTGTTCCTGAAGCAGCTTCTCCACCAGCAGCGCCGGGAAGTCAGGGCTGGGCTCACTCCTTAGGGGGAAGGGGAGTGTGGTGAGGGCTGGGTAGGGCCTGTCCGCCCACGCATGTGCACAGGATTGTGCGTGCGCTTGCACGCCTGGGGGTATATACGAGACAGTATGTGCAGGGCGGAGGAGGAGATGATACAGGCACATGTGCGAGGCCAGCTCCCTCATAGCTGTATGCAGTAAGTGCTCCATAGATTCTCACACAAAGGCGAGCGAGAGACCAGTACCGGAGCTGCGACGAGCAGAAGGGAAGGTGCAGGCACCACCCACATGCTTCGGGACTAGGCCCCTTCACCTTCTGTCCCACGACTCAGGAGCCCAGGTCTCCGCTCCGTCATCACAAGAACGCAGCTTCTCACTCTGGACCCCATCCCCTCCCTTCTTAGGGTCTAGACGCCGCTCACTCTGGCCATGCCCCGCCCGCCCCACCCCAAACTCCACCCCTGCTCGCTCCGGCTCCGCCCCGCCCCTCACCCGTCGGGAGCGCCCCCTGGCGGCGGCGAGGACGGCGGCGGCGGCGCGCGCAGCAGCAGCGGCCCAAAGGTGGCGCCCAGGGCCCGGACCGCGGGACCCAGGGCCGGGGCGCGGCTGGCCACGCGGCCCAGGTGCTGGAGCAGGAAGCGCAGCGTGAGCGCGCGGTGCAGCGGCAGCGTCGGTGGCTCCAGCGCCGGCCCCACGGGCCCCGCGGCCTCTGCGGACAGATGGCCAGGGCAGGGTGAGCCAGGCCTGGGCCCTCCCACCCGCTACAGCCCCCTCCTTCCCCCGGGCTACCCGCCAGGCTCACCCCGCAGGGCCCGGCGCGCCTCGGCCGAGGCCTCGGGGGTCACGAGCGGCGCGGGCAGTGCCAGCAGGAAGCTCTTAATGCCGTCAGCCAGGGCTGCCGTGTCCCACTGATCCACGTCGCTCAGGGACCAGTCTGCGGGTGCAGGGGGGCACACGTCCAACTCATGTGTACTGGGGCCCCCAGCCTCCTCCCAACCCCATTGAGGCTCCCCTTCACCTGTACGCGGTGCGGGCAGCTCCGGGCGGTAGTGAGATTCGCTGTCCAGCCCTGGGGGTGAAGGGGACAGGCGAGTCAGCTCTCAAATGCTGCCCCGACCTCGTGAGGCCTGGACTGGCCGCTCAACCCCCCTGCAGTCTCCCTTTGCTGCCCAGAGATAAGGGCATGGGAGGGGTGGGGAGGGAGAACTGGGAGAGGGCACAGCACATGCAGTGGCCTGGTCATGTTCACCTTCCCATCTTCCCTTAGGAGTCACTCTGTGCCCTATTCAACATAGAGGCCCAGGGCATCCAGGCTCAGCCTGTTTCCGTGCAGCATGAGCTTGGAGGCCCTGTGAGAGGATGAGTCGCCTGTCACTAGAGGTAAGCAAGCAGAATCCAGGGGCTGCAGCCAGGCTGGAACTTACCTGTCCTTTCAATGGCCTCCACAAGCTTCACCAGAAGAGGGGGAGCCACATCAGGTGGGGAGAACTGCTCGGGCAAGTCGGGGAGTGTGAGGCCTGGTGGGGGAAACAGGGGGGTTGCATGTTGGTGGGGTTCCTGGAAGGAGCCCAGCCCCTCTCTTTGCTGGCTGAACCTCAGCTGGGGCAGTTTGAGGCAGGGCCCAGCTCAGGCAAGTGCTTGGCACCTTGACTCCCATCCGCAGGAGGCTGCAAGACCTTGGGTGGAGGGGCTGGGAAAGGGCAGAATTGATGGGACACAATTTTCTGGGTTAGAATATGAGGAGTTCACACAACTTCACAGACTAGGTGGAGTGCGCTGAATAAAGTCCCCAAAAAGATATGTCCAAGTCCTCATCCCTGGTACCTGTGACCTTATTTGGAAATAGGTCTTTGCAGGTGTAAGGAAAGCAAGAATCTGTACATGAGACCAGCCTGGCATTAGGGTGGACACTAAACCCACTGGCTGATGTCCTTGTAACAAGAGAAAGCCGGCCAGGATGGCGGCTCAAGCCTGGAATCCCAGCACTTTGGGAGACCGAGGTGGGTGGATCACCTGAGGCCAGGAATTCGAACCAGCCTGACCAACATGGCGAACCTGTCTCTACTAAAATCAGAAAAATTAGCTGGGCGTGGTGGTGGGTGCCTGTAATCCCAGCTACTCGGGAGGTTGAGGCAGGAGAATCGCTTGAACCCGGGAGGCGGAGGTTGCAGTGAGCCAAGATTGCACCACTGCACTCCAGCCTGGGCGACAGAGCAAGACTCCGTTTCAAAAATAAGTCAACAGGCCGGGTGCGGTGGCTCATGCCTGTAATCCTAGTACTTTGGGAGGCTGAGACCAGCAGGTCACTTGAGGTTAAGAGTTCAAGACCAGCCTGGCCAACATGGTGAAACCCCATCTCTACTAAAAATACAAAAAAAAAATGAGCCAGGTGTGGTGGTGCGCACCTGTAATCCCAACTACTCAGGAGGCTGAGGCAGGAATTGCTTGAACCCAGGAGGCGGAGGTTGCAGTGAGCTGAGATCATGCCATAGCACTCCAGTCTGGGTGACAGAGTGAGACTCTGTCTCAAAAAAAAGAAGAGAAAGCCAAGGCAGAGACTGGAATAATCAACCCATGCATGAGAGGAATGAATGCCTGGAGGCACCAGAAGCTGCAAGGAAGGAAACTTCAGAGGGGGCACGACCCTGATTTTGGACTTCCAGCCTCCAGAAACATGACAGAATAAGTTTCTGTTGTGGTGGGGTGCAAAGGCTCACGTCTGTAATCTCAACACTTTGGGAGGCCAAGGCAGGAGGATCCTTTGAGTCCAGGAGTTCAAGACCAGCCTGGGCAACAGAGTGAGACCCCATCTCTTAAATAATTTAAAAAAAAAAAAAAAAAAAGGAGGCCAGGCGCAGTGGCTCACTCCTATAATCCCAGCACTTTGGGAGGCCGAGGTGAGCATATCACTTGTGGTCAGGAGTTTGAGACCAGCCTGACCAACATGGTAAAACCCTGTCTCTACTAGAAATACAAAAATTAGCCAGGCGTGGTGGCACGTGCCTGTAATCCCAGCTACTCGGGAGGCTGAGGCAGGAGAATCGCTTGAACCCGAGAGGCAGAGGTTGCAGGAGCCAAGATTGCGCCATTGCACTCCAGCCTGGGCGACAAGAGCGAAACTCCATCTCAAAACAAAACAAAACAAAACAAAAAGATACATTAATTAATAAATAACATTTCCATTGTTTGAAGCCACCTAGTTGGTGGTAATTTTTGCGGCAGCCACTGAAAGTCATATAGCAGGTTTGGGCTCTGCCACAACCTGCTGTGCAATCTTGGCCACAGGACCTGCCCTCTCTGGGCCTCAGTTCCTTCAAATGAAAAATGGGCCAATGACATTGCCTCTCATTTTTTTTGAGACAGGTTCTTGCTTTGTCACCCAGGTTGGAGTGCAGTGGCGCAATCCTAGCTCACTGCAGCCTCAAACTCCTGGCCCCTAACGATCCACTTGCCTTGGCCTCCTCGTTTTTTGTTGTTGTTGTTGTTGTTGTTTTTTTGAGATGGAGTCTTGCTCTGTCACCCAGGCTGGTGTGCAGTGGCATGATCTTGGATCACTGCAACCTCCATCTCCCGGGTTCAAGCGATTCTCGTGACTTAGCCTCCTAAGTAGCTGGAATTATAGGTGGGTGCCACCATGCCTGGCTAATTTTTGTATTATTTTAGTAGAGATGGGGTTTTACCCTGTTGGCCAGGCTGGTCTTGAACTCCTGACCTCAAGTGATCCACCCGCCTTGGCCTCCCAAAGTGCTGGGATTACAGGCATGAACCACTGTGCCCGGCCCGCTTCTCCCTTCTTGATGCAAACAAAAAAGTGGTTGAAAGGAAAGAAAAGAAAAATATCCCGGCCTGGGTCAGAACAGCTTCCTTCCAAGGACCATGACCCGTTTTCTTAATCATTTTGCTTCTAAAAAATTATTTCTTCCCCAAATTAAAATTTAGAAAAGAAAGAAAATTATTGCTCCCCTTTTGGAAAAGCTGAAACCCCTCCTAGCGGGTGCCGGCGGCATCCTGGGCCCAGCCCCCTCCCAGCCCTGGCTTCCCAGCACTACAGGGCCTTTTGTGTGCAGCATCCCCGCCTCAGCAGCTCGCTGTCTGCCACCATTGGACGCTGCTCTGGCCCTCGGCGGGGACGCCCTGGCACACAGCAGGGGCAAGCCGGGGCCTGCGGGGCCTCCCTGAGTGATGGGCCAGGTGGCGCCTCAAGCTGGAGAAAGGCCCAGCTGCAACGAAAACGCCAAAAAAAAAAAAAAAAAGGAAAAGGACAAGGAGGAGGTGGAGGTGGGTGACACTCTGGCCGGTGGGTTGGGAAACTCAACCCTGAGAGTGGCCTGGGATCAATCTGCAGAATGGGGAGGGGGTTCCCATCAGAACTGCATCACCCCGACTTTGCAGGTGAGGAATTGTGGGTCAGAGGGGCTGCAACCTCCCCCGTGGGTGCACAGCCAGGTGGGGCTCAGGTGACTTCAGCACATTTCCGAGGGGTTGGGTCCCAGCATCCCCAGGGACCAACCCTGTTGTTTCCAGATGAGGAAACTGAGGCCTCGAGGGGGCGGGTTCTGGCCGAGGTCACATAACCCTGGAAGATTCAGAGGGTGGGGCTGGGCAGCCGCCCCACGTGGGGCCGTGTATGGTGGCTGGACAGAGGCCAGGCAGAGGAGGGAGGTGGCTGTTACCAGGGGGAGAGGCAGATTCTGGCTGGGAGCCCAGACGGGGCCACCTCCTGCTCCTTCAGGCCGAGGCAGGACGCAGGCCTGGGCCCTGGAGATACCAGATGCCTGGAGGCTGGGGCCAGCGTCGCACCACCTCAGCACCCCCTATTCCGCCCTGCGCTGGGGGACTCTGGTTTGCCTTTGGGCAATGTCACCCTGGCACAAAGCAGGCCTGGCACCTCCCGGGGCTTTGGCCTCCCTGGGTGACCAACTGGTTTCAAGTACGGCATTTGACGGCCTTGCACTCAGGCCTCCCGGTCTGCACACAGGGCCTTTTGCTGGGCTGCTGGGAGGGTCGGAGCAGACCATGCCGAGCATGCAGCACCTCTTAGCCTCCTCCTTGCAACCTGGGCCACAGTTTCCCCGGCCAGAGCCCACACTCCCTGCCCATCAAACAGCAGTCACTGAGTGGGCTCGGTGCCCCCGATTCTCTACACCTGGCACACCCCTGGCAAGTGGTGATGGCCAAGGGTCTTTGAAGAGGGATGTGGGGTCCTCATATCCCACTGTGCTGTGTGGCCTCAGCTGAGCAGCCCACATCCTACCCTCCTTGTGGCTTCATTTTGGAAATCAGGGTCTCCAAAGGGGTTCTTCAAGGGACCCTGTCTGCAAAAGGCAGGATGAAGCTAGGCTGAGCCTCTGAATCCTACTGAACACTCTCCATTGTCCTCAAAATCAATCCCACTAAGTCCTCCATGCCAGCGCACATTGCCCTCCCCTTCCTCCCTCTGGTCCTCCTGCTGGCCGTTCCCGCCATTAGAGTTCTACTCCACAGCCTCTGCCCTCGCTGCCCCCACTGCCTTGAGCTTCCACCCTCGCATCTTCCCACGCAAGCCCCCTTCCTCATGGCATGTGTCACCTCCTGAACCCACTCTCATCCCTTCTTGAACCAGAAGCTCATGAGGGCAGGAACAGGCCTTGTGTCCACTGCTGAGCCTAGCACTGAAGACACTTGTCAAATGACCAAATGTCCTTTTTCCTCCTTCCTTGGAGATCCCATTGCCTCACTGGACAGAAGAGGAGACCAAGGGTCTGAGGGGACCACCCCCCTTTCCAGGGCCCCTGCTTGCTGCTCACCTGGCTCAGGGGCCCCATCACGGGGCCTGGCGGGCAGTGGGCGGGGGCCCCGTGGGCGAGGGCCGGGCCGGGCCAGGGCCACGGGCCCCAGGAACTCCACATAGGTGCCAGGGAAGTCACCTCGCTGCCGTGTGCGCTCGTTGAGGCCGGGCATCCAGCCCACGCTCTGTGGGCAGCGCTCGCCACCCTCGGCCACGCCCAGCGCCTGCAAGGCCGCCCGGCTCACTACCAGCACGTCGCCGGGCAGCAGCTCCAGGTCCTCCGGCCGCTCCCGGCGGAACGGGTACAGAGCGCGGTACTGGAAGCCCTCAGGGCCCGCCATGGCCGCGTGAGTGGGGTGGGGTCTGGATGGTTAGGTGGCTGCTTGGAGCCCCACTGGCCCCATTGGTTGAAGCAGGGCTGGGAGGGTCCGCTGGGTTGGCTTGGGGTGCTGGGACCTCTATCTCCAGCAGTCACAGGCGACCACAGGGGCCGCTCATGCCTCGCTTCAAATTATTCCATGACCCTTACAAGGGCCACTCGTCACTGGGTCCACCATTCGTCAGCTGGTGGGAGGGAGTTGGTGGTGTGGTGTCAGGTCACTGGGCCATTGAGTCCTCCATCAGCAGGTGAGGCTGGGGCAGGCCGCTCACGCCCTCACACGGAGGGCCATGGGCGCCCAAGGCTGGCGGCTCTGCTGGCTGCACCAGACAAGGGAGCCAAGGGTGCAGGCTGCCACCATGCTCGGCCAGCTGAGGACGCCGACCTAGGGAGACAGGGATAGGGCAGCGTTAGCCAGGCCAACTCCTCTCACCCCCAACACGGAGATGGGCCCAAATCCTGATTTGGAATTCCCTGAATCACTGGGTGACCTTGGGGCCGGTCCCTCTCAGGGCCTCAGCTTCTCTATCTGTAAAATGGGTATACTGACAGCCTTCCCTTGGAGCTGCTGGGAGTAGAGTTCCCAAGAACCTGCCCCAGGTATACTACATGCTCAGTAAATCAGTTTTTTTTTTTTTTTTTTTTGAGATAGAGTCTTGCTCTGTCACCCAGGCTGGAGTGCAGTGGTGTGATCTCAGCTCACTGCAACCTGTCTCCCAGGTTCAAGCAATTCTCCTGCCTCAGCCTCCCGAGTAGCAGGCCACCACACCCAGCTAATTTTTGTATTTTTAGTAGAGACGAGGTTTCACCATGTTGGCCAGGCTGGTCTTGAACTCCTGACCTCAAGTGATCTGCTCGCCTTGGCCTCCCAAAGTGCTGGGATTACAGGCATGAGCCACCTTGCCCAGCCTTTTTTTTTTTTTTTCCAATAGAGGTGGGGTCTTGCTATGTTGCCCAGGTTGGTCGCAAACTCCTGGGCTGAAGCAGTCCTCCTGCCTCTGCCTTCCAAAGTGTTGGGATTACAGGTGTGAGCCACCGCGCCCGGCCAGTAAACAGGCTTTTCATCACCCCTGTTACAGATGGGGAAACTGAGGCTCAGAGCAGGGAGGTATCTAGGGCCGTGCAGTAGGCCAGGAGGAAGCCAGGACTTACACCTAGATCTGCCGACTTGGCCCAGTTGGACATGAGGGGGCAGCAGCCAGGTGGCCAGATACCTAGGGCAGGGAGGACGCAATGGAGGCCACTCCGGGTGCTTTGGGAGCTCCATAGAGGGGTCAGGCCAGCTGAACTAAGAGGTAGGGAACAAAGTCCAGGAAGAGGCCTCTACACAAGCAAAGGCCTCGAGGTGAGTCCAAGCAAATGGACCTCCAGTCTCTGCAGAGGAGGAGTGAGTGGGCTGGCAGGTAGCTCCAGCCTGGGGCCCAGAGTAGGCACAAAATGCAGATGGGGAGGTGCTTAGAAGGAACCTTAGCCCCAGGCAGGGACAGGGAGCCAGGAGAAGGTGGGGGTACTGCAGCTGAGGAGGAGGGGAGGCTGCCGGCAGCAGGGCATTGATTATTCCCCAGGAGTCCCAGCCTGGGGAGGCGGAGATAGGCACACATTCCCAGCCTAGCCCTGCGGGTTCAGACGCCCTGTGATGGACAGGGCTAGGGTCGGGGGATGGACGTGCTGTTCTAGAGAATGGATCATCACAGCGGATAGGAAGGCGCGACAGGCAGACGGAACGGCACATGCAAAGCCTTGGCAGTGGGTTAAGTTGCTTGTCAAGGATTCAGGGTGGCTATAAGGATAGGTGCTATCCACCAAGAGGCCCGAGTGTCAGGTGGAGGCTCTGAGCATCCTTCAGTCACGGGGAACCCCAAGAGGTGTCCGAGCAGGGCGGAGGGGCGCCACATTCTCGGGTGCCCAATTTACCCATTCCTAGGCCTCTGTTACCCTCATTCTACAGGTGGGGAAACTGAGGCCCCGAGAGGGGATGCCCAGAAAACCGCCTGGATCTGCCTGCCAGCCCGCCCCCACGCCCCGGTGTGCGCGCCCCGGGAGCAGCGCTCCCCGAATCCGGGAGGCGGGAGGGGCGGGGCAGGCAGGGCTGGGGGCTCCGCGGGTGAAGGCAGGGCCTGAGCGCTCACACAGACGCGCACTTGGGTCTGCGTGGACCCGGCCACCCGGCTAGGGGACCGGAAGTGGGTTCGACCCCCGGCCCTCCCGCACCCCATTCTGCCCCGCACAATGCCTGGGCGCCCCTCGGTACTATTCGAAGCCCCATTCCAGGCAGGGCCTCCCTTCATTTGGGGCCTCGGCTCCAGTCCGGTATCTTGGACGCGGGGAGTCTCTCCCCATTCTGCCCCGACCGTCCCAAGGAGGCTGCACCGCTGCGGAGCCGAGCCCGAGGCCCCCCCTTGCCTGCGGCCCCCCCAGTTCCCGCGGGGCCCGACGCAGCCTGGCGCTTGCGTTCTGGCTTCCACCGGGGCCCGGCACTGCCCCCGGGCGCCCCGCATTTAAGCACACTCCCAGCCGCCCCCGCCACGAGGGCCAGTCAGGACTCACCTGGTCGCGGCCGCCACCGCCGCCGCAGCCGCCGTCACACCAAGCCAAGCCCGCCCCGTGGCTCCACCGCGGCCACCGTCGCCGCAGCCGCGGGATCCCCGCCTCCGCCGCCGCCACGGTTCCGAGCGGCCTGGCCCGCCCCCGGCGGAAATGCCCGAGCGCATTCGAGCCGGGCGGATGAACCGAGGCCGAGGCGGAGCCTGAGGTAAGGGGGCACCCGAGTGTTTCCGGAAGTAGCCGAACGTAATCCCGCGGGACTGGTGGACTAGAGGGTGCCCCCGAGACAGCCGAGCGTTTCCAGAGGTAGCCGAGTGCAATCGGGTCGGCGAGGGATCCGAGACTGGGCTCGGCTGGGCTTAGAGACGCCCGAGCGCTTTCGGAAATGGCCGAACACTCTCTACGGCCGCACTGGCACAACTGAGGCTGATCCCCAAGACCGCGGAGCGTTTCTGGAAATAACCGAATGTGCTCAGTGCCCAATGGAGGCCTTGGGAGTTTAGACCCAGAGGCGACCGCCAGCTTATGGGAATTACTGAAGCATAGATGGTTCCAGGGGACAAATGAGGCGTTCTCAAGCTCAGCAAACAGGGGGCAGTAGAGTGGGGAAAGGGCCTGCCGCAAAAAGCAGAAGTCGGAGAAAGCCAGGGTTGAAGGAGTTTCCATGGCAACCCAGAGCGTCCGGAAACAGCCAACGATCTCGACCCCTACGGGCACTAGAATTTAGCGGACTTGAGCCTAGATGCCGACGGTTTCCGGAAATAGCCGAACGCACTCGGAGATGGGGCTGTAGCCAAGAGTGTTTGCATGCCGGCTGAGCGCCCCGGAAGTAACGGATTGCTCTAGGGCTGGGCCGGGTTCGGCTAGAGGGAGTTTTATGGCAGAGCGCAAGCTAAGACCAGGATAGAAAGGACGCGACGATTGCTTATTTTGTTATTATTTTTTGAGACGGAGTTTCGCTCTTGTTGCCCAGGCTGGAGTGCAATGGCGCTATCTCGGCTCGCCGCAACCTCCACCTCCCGAGTTCAAGCGATTCTCCTGCCTCAGCCTCCCGAGCAGCTGGGATTACAGGCATGCGCCACCACGCCCGGCTAATTTTGTATTTTTAGTAGAGACGGGGTTTCTCCATGTTGGTCAGGGTGGTTTGGAACTCCCGACCTCAGGAGATCCGCCCGCCTTGGCCTTCCAAAGTGCTGGGATTACAGGCGTGAGCCACCGCGCCCCGCCGCTTATTTATTTTATTAACATAGCCCAGGGCGCCCAGGAGGTCGAGGCTGCAATGTGCCGTGATTGCGCCACTGTACTCCAACCTGGGTTACAGAGCGAGACCTTGTCTCAAAAACATAAAAATAAAAAACATAGCTCAGGGCCCAGATGTCTGGAGGAAGCTTTTAAAGGCAGGGCTATGATGGAGTACTCGCAGGGAGAGGGTAGCAGGAGGCTGGTACCAGCGATGGCATCAGGAAGAATCTCAACAGCGAACTGCTATGCAGTCCTCAAAACCCACTTGCAATGACTTTGAGCCATGGGTCTATTTCACTCCGCTCCCCTCCCCACTCTTCCCTTCCTCCTTTCTCAGCCCCTCACAAATCCAGACGTTGGAGCTCATCTTTGTAAATACGGGCTTTTATTCACTGCCAGCTCCAGGATGGAAGGAGGGGGTGAATCATGCACAGCCTTGGTCTACCCTCCAACACTAGGCAGTGCTGGACAGGGGACTCAGAAAGGGAAGCAGAGTGGGCTGTTGATGTCTGGAAAGCTCCCTCACCAGAGTGCCCAGTGGGTCACACAGCATCATGGGGGATGAGCTGGGGCTGGAGTCGGCTGTATCTGACACCAGACCCTCCATTCAAGCTCCCTTGATGACAACGCCCACAACAGGGTCTGGCTGATGCTCCGTTCTGCCACGACTCCTGCTGGGTGATCGTGGGACAGGTCTCCGCCCCTCGCTGGGGTCTCAGCTGCTTTGTCTGTAAAATGGAGGTGATGACACCACCTCCAGCCTTCTCAAGGCTGGCTGAGGGAGAAGCCACGTAAAAGCGCTTGGCACACAGTAGGTGCTTAATAAACAGTCAATGGGATTAGTCTTGTAAACACAAGGAAACTGAGGCACAGAGTGGGAAAGCCATTTTCCCAGAGCCACACAGTGAAGCTGAAATTCAAACTTGAGCCTCGACTGGGTTTTCTGGCTTGAACTTCATCCCAGAGAGGCTCTGACATATGGAGGGAACCCCTAACAGGTGTTTCAGACACATCACGGCCAAGGGCTTACTCTGCTGGGCCTCAAACACACGGCATCTTGTCCAGGGTAGACTGGACAAGGCCAGGCCAAGGCAGAGCCTGAGGGGAGGGGACACTGAGTGTTTCTGGAAGTAGCTGGACGTAATCCCGCAGGACTGGCATACTGGAGCGTGCCCCGAGACAGCCGAGCATTTCTGGAGGCTGCCTTGGCAGTTCCAGGTGAGGCCTGTACCTTCCTTTATCAGTGCCCACCTGGGGAGCGGATGACCCCTCTGCCCAGATCCGGTGAACACCTATTCATCCATCAAAGCTCCAGCTCCCATATCCCTTCTCCAGGCTGAAGCCAGCAGGATTGGAGGCAGACTCTATATATAGAGCAGGCACTGCCTGGGCATGGCAGCTATGATGGTGGGAAGTGGCCTTCAGAATCCAGTCCATCGCTGGGATTACATTGTTTTGTGGGTGAGAGGAATTGTTTACGGACACTCCAGGTTGTAGCCGAACTGGGCCGGTACAGGTGACCAGGTGACTTCAACTCCATCCCCTCAAATGGGTAGGTGTGGGGAGGGGAATGAGACCAGGTAACACAAAACACTTAAAAAGTACAGAAAAACTGGAAAACACAAACACAGATGACTTGTCCAAAGTGCATCCTTCTCAGCCCAGAGGGCAGGGCCTGCAAACAGAGTCCCAGGTGCCTGGGGCAAGACCTGGCAGCCGCCTTCAGGGGGCGGCTCAGTACGGCTATCGCTTATAAAAAGTAATAAATTAGGCTGGGCCCAGTGGCTCACGCCTGTAATCCCAGCACTTTGGGAGGCAAAGGCAGGCAAATCATGAGGTCAGGAGTTCGAGACCAGCCTGACCAACATGGTGAAACCCCGTCTGTACTAAAAATACAAAAAATTAGCTGGGCATAGTGGTGGGCGCCTGTAATCCCAGCCACTTGGGAAGCTGAGGCAGGACAATCGCTTGAACTTGGGAGGCGGAGGTTGCAGTGAGCTGAGATCACGCCGCTGCACTCCAGCCCGGGCAACAGAGTGAGACTCTGTCTCAAAAAAAAAAAAAAAAAAAGAAAAAAAAAGTAATAAATTAGTTGCAGGGATTTGCTGCTATTTACAAAGCCACCCTTGTCCCCCATTCTTGCCCCATCCAGCCCCGATTGACACCAGAACACAAGCGATGTCTCCACCTTCCAGCAAGGACCGAGATGGCTTCTCGCCTTCTGGGTGTCAGGCTGGTGGCTCAGTCCCCATCCAGGCATGACTTTACGGAAAAAACATTGCACAAGAAAACGCGTAACTTTGATGCCAGGGAGAGACCTGGCAGGGGATCAGTCTCTTCCGGTGGGCCCGAGAGCTACTGGCACGGCTTCCTCGCCCTCCACGGCGATCTGTGGCACTGAGGTGGGCAGCCCAGTGGCCTCCTCCTGCGGCTCATCGAAGCTAACCTCCTGCACGGCCTCCTGCTTCTTGAAGGAGTCTCGGCGCTCGGACAGGTGCAGCCGCCGCATGACCACGAGCTCGGCCTCTGGCCCACGAGTGCGCCGCCCCGCCTCCCCATCCAGCCGCTCCCCTGTGCCCAGCTTGTCAGCTGACTGGCCCCGGCGCAGCCGCGGGGATCGGGCAGGTGCGGGCGGGTGCCCGGGCAGGGGCGAGGGCGAGCGGGGTGGGGGCGCGGAGATGGGCGGGCAGGCCAGCGGGGAGGGCGGGATGCTGCTGGTGGACTTGCGGCGGCCAGTCTTGGGGCGGGGTGGCCCAAGCTTGGCAGCCAGGCCGTGCAGGGAGCTGGGGCGGGTGTGGCCAGCAGCAGCTGGGGAGGCGGGGCTGCTGGAGCTCGGGGATGCGCTGGGTGGGGATGCAGTGGTATCTGTGGGTGATAAGCGTAGGTCAGGGCTGCTGGCCTCAATGTCCCCAGCCCAGAAGTGGAGCTGTGGGACTGACAAAAACTGCTAAAGCCCACATCCTTCCATGTGGCCACCCATCATGCCTGGTTGTTTTTGTTTTTGAGACAGGGTCTTGCTCTGTTGCCCAGACTGTAGTGCACTGGCTCAATCATAGCCTCAACCTCCTGGGCTGAAGTGATCCTCACAACTCAGCCTCCTGAGTAGCTGGGACAACAGGTGCACGTCACCATGGCTGGCTAATTTTTTTTTTTTCAATAGAGTCTCGCTCTGTCACCCAGGCTGGAGTGCAGTGGCATGATCTTGGCTCACTGCAACCTTCACCTCCCAGGTTGAAATGATTCTCGTGCCTCGGCCCCCTAAGTAACTGGGACTACAGGCATGTGCCACCACATCTGGCTAATTTTTGTATTTTTAGTAGAGTTGGGGTTTCACCATGTTGGCCAGGCTGGTCTCAAACTCCTGACCTCAAGTGATCCGCCTGCTTTGGCCTCCCAAAGTGCTGGGATTACAGGCATGAGCCATCATGCCTGGTTCATGCCAGACTTTTCTGCCTCCTGCTCAGGGTTGTTTCCTTGGCCTAGCTCTGGTGAACTCCCACTCACCCATCAAAGCCCCAGCTCCTACTCCCCCTCCTCCAGAAAGCCTTCTCTGTATCACTTCTGTTTTCTTTTTTTTTTTCCCTTTTGTTTTTTGAGATGGGGTCTCACTCTGTTGCCTAGGCTGGAGTGCAGTGGTGCAATCATGGCTCACTGCAGCCTTGACCTCCTGGGCTCAAGTGAGCCTCCCATCTCAGCCTCCAGAGTAGCTGGGACCACATGTGTGCACCACCACAACCACCTAATTTTTTTTTTTGAGATGGAGTTTTGCTCTTGTTGCCCAGGCTGGAGTGCAATGGCTCAATCTCGGCTCACCGCAACCTCCACCTCCTGGGTTCAAGCGATTCTCCTGCCTCAGCCTCCCTAGTAGCTGGGACTACAGGCATGTGCCACCACACCTGGCTGATTTTGTATTTTTAGTACAGACGGGGTTTCTCCATGTTGGCCAGGCTGGTCTTGAACTCCCGACCTCAGGTGATCCACCTGCCTCGGCCTCCCAAAGTGCTGGGATTACAGGTGTGAGCCTCCATGCCCGGCCTCACACCCACCTAATTTTTTTATGTTTTGTACAGATGGGGTCTCCCTGTGTTGCCCAGGCTGGTCTCAAACTCCTGGGCTCAGTGATCCTCCTGCCTCGGGCTCCCAAAGTGTTGGGATTACAGGCGTGAGCCTCCGTGCCTGGCCTCTTCTCAGTTTTCCCACCCTCCTGTCTAGCCCCATTTGTCCATGATGTTTCCTCTGCTGGGTGCATCCTTCCCTGGCACCTGCATTCGTCTCTAAGTACTCCCAGGTTCCCTGCTAGACACCAGGATCCCGGTCATCTTTTTCCCTACATCGTGTCATTCCATCCCCTGAACTCCTTCCTCCCTCCTGGGGCCCACCAGCCCTTGCTCCCAGGGTAGCCGGGGTGGTGGGGGGTCGGGGTGCACCCACCTGCTGGGACATCAGGGGCTGGGCTTCGGCAGGGAGTGGTGGGGCTGGGGGAGAGGCTGTGGGTGGGCGAGCCGGGGAGGCTCTCACTGGATGACAGTGAGTGGTGGAGTCCGGAGGAGAAGCTGCGGCTGGTGTGCAGCACGGAGGTCTGCTTGGAGATCTTCTTGAAAAGTGACTTCCGCCTGGGGTAAGAAAACCGGAGGCTTCAGAACCCCTGCTCCTGGCCAGGCATGGTGGCTCACACCTGTAATCCCAGCACTTTCAGAGGCCGAGGCAGATGGATCATTTAAGGTCAGGAGTTCGAGACCAGCCTGGCCAACATGGCGAAACCCTGTCTCTACTGAAAATATAAAAATTAGCTGGGCATGATGGTGCACGCCGTAGTCCCAGTTACTTAGGGGGCTGAGGCAGGACAGTCGCTTGAACCCGGGAGGTGGAGGTTGCAGTGAGCCGAGATTGAGCCACTGCACTCCAGCCTGGGCAACAGAGCAAGACTCTGTCTCAAAAAAAAAAAAAAAAAAAAAAGGAAAAAGAAAAGAAAAAAAGAACCCCAGTCCCCGTGGCCCCGCCCCCTGTGTACCGCTCCCTGGTGGTCACTGCCGCGCACCGATCCTGGGTCTCCCGCCGACGGCTCCTCTTGCTCCTGCGTGCCATGCGGCCCTTGGCCACATTCTTCCGGGCGGGGCCCACCTTGATGGAGGTGTTCTCCAGGGCTGTGGTCCGCAGGGATATCTTGTTGCCGCTCTGCGGGAGGGATGGTGAGGGGTTGCCTCTGTGCCTCTCACAGGGCCCAGCACTTGCCAGGCAGCTGCTATGTCCCCTTCACTCCGGGCACCAGCTGGGACCCACCACCCCAGCATCCATTCATCCACACAACCAGTGACCTACCCAATATATCCGGTCAAACAATAGCCCAGGGAGCACCACCCCTCCTGCTAAGATCCTTCCCTCTGCGGTCAACGCCGATCGAGGCCTGCCCTCTTCACTCTCCACCCTCCCGGGGTCTGTCACCCACCTATCTGGTATCCACCCATTAATCACCCCAACATCTCCCCATCCCCCAATCACTCACCTAATGGCCCATGAGTCATTAGGCCAAAGACACCTACCCAGTGTCCAGCTATTCAATGAACCACCCATGCAGCTGCCCACATGAGAGCCCTCTATTTTTTTAGAACCAGGGAGGGTCTCACTCTGTGTCCCAGGCTGGAGTGCAGTATGGCACGATCACAGCTCACTATGGCCTCAACCTCCTCGGCCCAAGCGATCCTCTCACCTCAGACTCCTAAGTACCTAGGACTATAGGCGCATGCCACCATGCCTAG
This sequence comes from Homo sapiens, assembly GCF_000001405.40. Lineage (NCBI taxonomy): Eukaryota > Metazoa > Chordata > Mammalia > Primates > Hominidae > Homo > Homo sapiens. The sequence continues at coordinate 18,146,299 of NC_000019.10, read as the reverse complement.
CTAATTTTATTTTTTAATTTTTTGCAGAGATGGGGGTCTCGCTCTGTTGCCCAGGCTGGTCTCAAAGTCCTGAGCTCAGGTGATCATCCTGCCTCGGCCTCCCAAAGTGCTGGGATTACAGGCGTGTGCCACCGCGCCCGGCCCTTCCTCCTGTCTTGAGCCCATCTCCTACCTCCAGGCCTCAGGCCAGAGGGAGGAACAGATGTGAGGGTGCCCAGGGAGAAGGGAGGGCTTCCTGGAGGAGCAGCTCTAAGGGGTGATGTTGGGGGCTGAAGAAGGACATGTATTCTGGGCCGAAGGAAGTGGATGTGCCAGGCCTGGAGTTGACATTGAATGTGGGGTTGTGTGTCTGGACGCGGAGAACCACGGGGAACCGGGAGCTGCGGCCAAGGGGTGCTGGGGAGCCCTGAGGGTGGGCAGTGGGGGTGCCGCACCTTCAGCAGCAGCTCCACGACGTCCATGTGCACCAGCCCCAGCACTGACTCCCCGTTGATGTGGGTGATGAGGTCCCCAGCCCGCAGGCCCGCCTCCTGGGCGGGGCTTCCGTCCTCCACACTCTGGGGGCAGACGAGAACGGTGGGGTCAATGGCCTGGGCCCCACATCTGGGGACCCCAGCCCAGGCTGGGTCTGCTGTGGGACCCCAGCAAGCTGCTGCCTCTTGTGCTGTCTCAGTTTCCCTGATCCTGGGGGAACTCCTACTCACCCATCAAAGCCCCAGCTCCTACGCCCCCTTCTCCAGAAAGCCTTCTGTGTCTGTTCAGGGAGCAACCAATAGGGAGGGCATGCCTCGACGCCCTTGGGCTGGGAGAGGGAGGATAACATGCCCAGTGCGTCCCCATATGGAGCTGGGAGGTTAATGCCACTTGGGATCTGTGAGCTTCCATCCATCCATCCTTGTCTCTCTCATCTGACCTCCTCCCTGCCAAATGACAGGGACCGAGATGAACTCGGTGGCACCAGCTCTATCTACCTAACCCTGCCAGGCTCCAAAATGCAGCTCTGAGAAGGGACATGACCGGGCAGAGTCAAACTAGAACCCGGGTCCCTGCCATTCCCACTCGGCACTCACCCAGACGACGTGGTGCACAGTGTAGACGTCGCTATCACCCATGTAGACGCGGATCGCCCGCAGGCTGAAGCCGTACTTCTTGCCAGAGCTGTGGATAACGATGGGGGGCCGCAGGCTGCCACACACGGGGGACGGGTCTCGGCTCGGCGAAGAGTCACGGGACGACGGGTTCGAGGACAGAGAGCGCGGGGAAAGGGGGCTCATGAGGGGGCCGCCGCTGCCATCATCTGCAGGGGGTTAGGGAGGGGGTCACTCACTCCCTCACAGGTCTCCCCTGGGGCCCCCTCTTTCCCACCACAACGACCACCCTGGCCACTTTGCTGTTGCTTCAATGTCCCAAGCATGGTCACCCCACCAGGCCTTTGCACGTGCAGTGCCCTCTACTGGGAACACCATCTCCCCAGCTCTCCATGTGTCCTACTCCTCCTCCCCTCTTCTGGGGCTCATCCCCAGCCTCCCCAACTCAGGAAGGGCCCCCACCCTGTTGGTGAAAATGGGTGCAGACAGACAAAGGTGAGAGGGGCCTTGGGCATTACCTGCCGTGATGATGAGGGACAGGGCAGAGACAGAGGCTGACTTGGGCACGCGGCCCCCACTGCCGCCACCACTGCCACCGCTGGAGGAGGCTCTGGACTTCTCAGGGGCTGGGTCTCTTGGGCCCCCAAGGCGGCGGCCCCGGCCGGCATCCAGAGGCCTTGGTGTGGAGTGTCGGGCGCCGATGCTATTGCTCCGTAGGCGGGCGTGGCTGAGAGCAGCTGTGTCGGCTAGAGGGTCAGCAGGGTCAGCTGGGTGCCCCTCAAACTCACCATGTGGTCCTAAAGGGACCTTAAGGCCCTTCCTCCCTGGTCACTATTTACACAGTCCAGCCTCCTGGCCTTTGCTCATGCAGTTCCCTCTTCCTGCACTCCCTTCCCAAATTATTCTCTATGCAAAAGTCTTCAAGTCCCCTCCTCCAGGAAGCCTTCCTCCACACCCATTTAGACCCTTAGTTCCCCCATCTTGGGAGCTAGGGGTCCCATCCTGACTCTATGAAGCTGGGGGCATTTACCCTAGACTGGGGTTCCTTGGGGGCTGGGGGTCTCTCTGGGACCCTGGCTTCTCCTCTCTTAAAGCCTTTGTTGGCTCTGGAGAACTCCTACTCATCCTTGAAAACCCATCTCAAATAGCCCCTCCTCTGGGAAACTTCCATGACATCATCCCTCTTACTCAGGGCCCCACTTACCAGAAAGGCTCGAGGGCTTGGGCATCACTGGGGTGGCCGCTGGTGGGGGGTCAGGCTCCCCTAGAATGAAGACGGGCCTCTTGGGGCCTGCAGGGCCTGGGCCTACCCCCTCATCCTCTGATGAGAAGGCAAACTTGGGCATTGTGTCCAGGCTGATGGTATTCAGGAGAGATGGGCTGGGACCCCGCTCGGGCTGGGACGAAGATGACTGACAGGAGGATCCAGAGGATGTCCAGGACCTCAGCCTGCAGGGAGGAAGAGCCTGCATCACCCCTGCCAGGCACCTGCACCCCAGGATACTCAGCCACCTTCATGGCCACATCTTAACTCTCAGTCTGCAGTCAAGGGTAATTTGCATAGACAGGACGAGTTCCTTCTGTCTGCACTGTCCTCTCTGTCCACCTGGAGACCGCTTATTCACCTTTTTTTTTAAAGACAGGGTCTCACTCTGTCACCCAGGCTGAAGTGCAGTGGTGCAATCTCAGCTCACTACAACCACTGCCTCCAGGGCTCAAGTGAGTCTCCTGCCTCAGCCTCCCAAGTAGCTGGGATTATGGGTGCCTGCCGCCACACTGGGCTAATTTTTGTATTTTTAGTAGAGACGGGGTTACACCATGTTGGCCAGACTGGTCTTGAATTCCTGAGCTCAAGTGACCTGCCTGCCTTGGGGTCCCAAAGTGCTGGGATTACAGGCGTGAGCCACTGCACCCGGCTTCCTATTCAACTTTTAAAACCCAGCTTCCAGGCTGGGTGCAGTGGCTGACACCTATAATTCCAGCACTTTGGGAGGCTGAGACAGGAGGATTGTTTGAGGCCAGGAGTTCGAGACCAGGGCGGGCAACATAAGGAGACCCCATCTCTGCAATTTTTTGTTTTTTGTTTTGTTTTTTTTTTTTGAGACAGAGTCTCGCTCTGTCACCCCGGCCGGAGTGCAGTGGCACGATCTTGGCTCACTGTAACCTCCGCCTCCCAGGGTCAAGCAATTCTCGTGCCTAAGCCTCCCAAGTAGCTGGGATTACAGGCGTGCACCACTATGCCCGGCTAAATTTTTGGAGTTTTAGTAGAGATGGGGTTTTGCCATGTTGACCAGGCTGGTCTTGAACTCCTGACCTCAGGTAATCCACCTGCCTCGGCTTCCCAAAGTGTTGGGATTACAGGTGTAAGTCACTGCACCTGGCCTACAAAAAATTGCTTAAAAAATTAGCCGGGTGCCGTGGTGCACGCCTGTAGTCCCAGCTACTTGAGAGGATCTCTTGAGCCCAGGAGTCTGAGGCTGAAGTGAGCTATGATCGTGCCACTGCACTCCAGTCTGGGAGACAGAGTGAGAACCAGTCTCTTAAAAAAAGAAAAAAAAAAAAGGCCGGGCACATTGGCTCACGCCTGTAATCCTAGCACTTTGGGAGGTTGAGGAGGGCGGATCACGAGGTCAGGAGACCGAGACCATCCTGGCTAACATGGCAAAACCCCGTCTCTACTAAAAATATAAAAATTAGCCGGGTGTGGTGGCAGGTGCCTGTAGTCCCAGCTACTCGGGAGGCTGAGGCAGGAGAATGGCGTGAACCCGGGAGGCGGAGCTTGCAGTGAGCCGAGATTGCGCCACTGCACTCCAGCCTGTGCGACAGAGCGAGACTCCGTCTCAAAAAAAAAAAAAAAAAAAAAAGGCCAGCTTCCAACACCCATCCTCTAGCAGACATTGACTGTTTCTGTTGGGTCTGAGCTTTGAAGGATGAACAGGAGTTAGTAAGCAAAGGGCATTCTGGACAGAAGGAAAAGTGTGCCTAGCAGCATGATGGTACACAGCTGTTTTATGTTTGCATGGTGAGGAACACAGAGCCAAAGGGAGCAAGGTTGCCAGGGACCTGATAGGCTGGTCAATATGTTTGACCCTTTTCTACTTGGCCACTAGGAAGCTCCCTTTGCATCAGATTTTGTGTCTCTACCTCCCAGCAGGCTTGGAAGCTGGATCTGCCTACACTTCCCCAGGCCACTTACCGGATGTCAGCACTCAGCCGGCGGCCATAGTCCACTTCGCTGCGCTCCCACCCCTCCTCCCGGTCTTCACTGAAGCTCCTTTCAGCGAAGGTAGGAGTGGGCTGGACGGCCAGGAACTCAGAGCTGCTGTAGACCTGGGAGGCAAGACAAAAGAATGGTAAGCCGGGTGCGGTGGCTCATGCCTGTAATCCCAGCACTTTCAGAGGCCCAGCTGGGAGGATCACTTGAGCCCAGGAGTTTGAGACCAGCCTGGGCAACATAGCAAAACCCTGTCTCAAAAAAAGAAAAAAAAAGAAACCCAAACAAAAAAACCAGTAACAAAGGTGGCAAGAAAGCTGGCTTAGACCAGGCCTGGTGACTTATGCCTGTAATCCCACCACTCTGGGAGGCTGAGGTGGGCGGATCACTTGAGGTCAGGCGTTCAAGACCAGCCTGGTCAACATGGTGAAAACCCGTCTCTACTAAAAATACAAAAATTAGCTGGGCGTGGTGGCACATGCCTGTAGTCCCAGCTACTTGGAAGGCTGAGGCAGGAGAATGGCTTGAACCCAGAAGGCGGAGGTTGCAGTGAGCCGAGATTGTGCCACTGCACTCCAGCCTAGGAGACAGAGCGAGACTCTGTTTCAAAAAAAAAAAAAGAAAGCTGGCTTAGTCCAGTGATTCCTATGTACCAGTTGCTTCAGTATGAGTCACTTCTCTAAATCCTCACTCCCCACATCCCTAAAAGAGCATAGACTTTAGCCCATTGTACAGATGGAAAAACTGAGGCTCAGGGGCCAGGCTACCAAGCTGCGTTTTTGCTGTTGACTAGAAAGTCCTGCCTGGGGCCCAGGCCTAAAGCAGAGTGGAGCATTTTTTGATCAGATCATAAAAAAAGTAGGGAATGTAAGTTAAGCTCGTGAGGTTATAAAATAACATCCAGGGCCAGGTGCGGTGGTTCATGCCTTTAATCCCAGGACTTTGGGAGGCTGAGGCAGGCGGATCGCTTGAGGACAGGAGTTTGAGACCAGCCTGGGCAACATGGTGAAACCTGGTCGCTACTAAAAATACAAAAATTAGCCGGGTGTGGTGGCGCGCACCTGTAATCCCAGCTACTCGGGAGGCTGAGGCAGGAGAATCGCTTGAACCCAGAAGGTGGAGGTTGCAGTGAGCTGAGATTGCACTATTGCACTCCAGCCTGGGCAACAGAGCAAGACTCCATCTCAATAAATAAATAAATAAGTAAATAAACTAAAATGGTACCTGTATTCACAAGGTGGAATAGACCCAAATGTGCATCAAAGATGGGTGGATAAACAATGTGTTCCATCCATATGATGGAATATTACTCAGCCATAAAAAGGAAGCAAGCACTGGTCCACACTGCAGTAGGGATGAGCCTTGAGTACGTGATGCTGAGTAAGAGAAGCCAGACCCAAAAGGCCACATAGTGTGAATTGCATTGATATGAAATGCCCAGAACAGGCAAATCCATAAAGATGGAAGCTGAAGGAGGACAAATGGGGAGTGGTTGCTAATGGGTACAAATTTTTGGGGGAATCAAACATTTGAGAGCTAGATAGAGGTGATGGTTGCACAACATTATGAATGTGCTGAATGCCACGAAATTGTACACTTTATTATTATCATTATTTTTTGAGACAGAGTCTCGCTCTGTCGCCCAGGCTGGAGTGCAGCGCTGTGATCTCAGCTTACTGCAGCCTCCACCTCTGGGGGTTCAGGCAATACTCTTGCCTCAGCCTCCCGAGTAGCTGGGGTTACAGGCACCCACCACCGCCTGGCTAATTTTTGTATTTTTAGTAGAGACAGGGCTTCACCATGTTAGTCAGGCTGGTCTTGAACTCCTGACCTCAAGTGATCCGCCTGCCTCGGAAATTGCCTTAAAATGGCTAAAACAGGCCGGGCACGGTGGCTCACGCCTGTAATCCCAGCACTTTGGGAGGCCGAGGCAGGTGGATCACGAGGTCAGGAGATCGAGACCATCCTGGCTAACACGGTGAAACCCCGTCTCTACTGAAAATACAAAAAATTAGCCGGGCGTGGTGGCGGGCACCTGTAATCCCAGCTACTTGGGAGGCTGAGGCAGGAGAATGGCGTGAACCCGGGAGGCGGAGCTTGCAGTGAGCAGAGATCACGCCACTGCACTCCAGCCTGGGCAAAAGAGCGAGACTCTGTCTCAAAAAAAAAAAAAGAAAAAAAAAAAATGGCTAAAACAAAAGCAAATTAAAACAACAAAACAAAATAAAAAAATACAAGGCCGGGTGCGATGGCTCATGCCTGTAATCCCAGCGCTTTAGGAGGCCGAGGCGGGCAGATCATGAGGTCAAGAGTTTGAGACCAGCCTGGCCAACATGGTGAAACACCATCTCTACTGAAAATACAAAAAAATTTGACCAGGTGTGGTGGCTCATGCCTGTAATCCCAGCACTTTGGGAGGCTGAGGCAGGAGGATAGCCTGAGGTCAGGAGTTTGAGACCAGCCTGGCCAACATGGTGAAACCCCATCTCTATTAAAAATACAAAAATTAGCTGGGCGTGACGGCATGCGCCTGTAATCCCAGCTACTCGGCAGGCTGAGGCAGGAGAATCGCTTGAACCTGGAAGGCAGAGGTTGCGGTGAGCCGAGACTGCGCCATTGCACTCCAGCCTGGGCAACAGAGCGAGACTCCATCTCAAACAAAACAAAACAAAAAACCAATACAATTCCTAGCACTTTGGGAGGCTGAGGTGGGAGGATCACTTGAGTTCAGGAGTTGGAGACCAGCCTGGGCAGCATAGCAAGACCTCATCTCTACAGAACAAAACAAAGCAAAATCAAAAAACAGATACGAAAGCAAACAGACATCATGCAATGTTTTCTGAGCAGTGGCTCCCCTCGGGACCCGGGCCCACCTTGCTGAACCGGTGGGAGCAGGAGGAGAACTGGGGGATCTCTGTGGACGATTCTTCATCATTGGTCTCGTCGTCCTCGGAGCCCAGATGGCGGTAACGTTCCGAACGTGCTGTGGGAGGGAGAGGCACATGCAGCACGCCTGATGCCCAGAGATGATCTCAAGGGCGGTGTGGCAATACGGGGAGGGCATCTCAGGATAGGGTCACTGCCAGGGCAAAGGCTCTGAGGTGGGACAGTGCCTGGTGTGTTTAAGGACCACGGGAGGCTTGGGCGGCAGAGCAGATATCTGGGGATCAACACCAGCTGTGTCCCTAAAAAGTTGTGGGGCCGGGTGCGGTGGCTCACGCCTGTAATCCCAGCACTTTGAGAGGCCAAGGTGGGTGGCTCACTTGAGGTCAGGAGTTTGAGACCAGCCTGGCCAACATGGTGAAACCCCATCTCTACTACAAATACAAATATTAGCTGGGCAGTAGTGGTAAGCGCCTGTAATCCCAGCTACTTGGGAGGCTGAGGCAGGAGAATCGCTTGAACCCGGGAGGCAGAGGTTGTGGTGAGTCGAAATCGCACCACTGCACTCCAGCCTGGGTGACAGAGCAAGACTCCATCTCAAAAAATAAATAATTAAAAAGTTGTGGGACCAATTAGCCAAGCATGGTGGCAGGCACCTGTAATCCCGACTACTCGGGAGGCTGAGGCAGATAATTGCTTGAAACCGGGAGGTAGAAGTTCCAGTAAGCCGAGATCGCGCCACTGCACTCCAGCCTGGGCGACAGAGTGAGACTCCGTCTCAAAAAAAAAAAAAACAGGTTGTGGGACCAGGGGCGGGAATTCCTATTTCTGAGCTTCAGTGATTCCTTGAAATGGGTCACACAGAATTAGGTAAAATTGCGCATCTTTTTTTTTTTTTTTTTTTTTCAGGCAGTTTTGCTCTTGTTGCGCAAGCTGGAGTGCAATAGTGCCATCTCAGCTCACTGCAACCTCCACCTCCTGGGTTCAAGCAATTCTCGTGCCTCAGCCTCCCAAATAGCTGGGATTACAGGCATGTACCACCATGCCTGCCTAATTTTTTGTATTTTTAGTAGAGATGGGGTTTCTCCATGTTGGTCAGGCAGCCTGGTCTCGAACTCCTGACCTCAGGTGATCTGCCCACCTCAGCCTCCCAAAGTTCTGGGATTAAAGGCTTGAGCCACTGCGCCTGGCCAAAATTGTGCATCTCCAACATAAAGGATGTTCCTCATTTTACAGAAGAGGAAACAGAAGCTCAGAGAAGACCTCTGACATGAAGCAAGTTCTGAAGGAGGTGCTGGACACTGAAGGGCAGGAACCCCAAGTGGGGAGAGAGAGAGTCATTCCTCAGAGCTCACCTACAGTGCCCCTGCAGGGACGCCTCCAAAAAAGCTGCACTAGGCGCCCTACCCTCCTGGGTAACAGATGGGGCCCCATGCCTGGTCAGGGACGGACACCCAGGAGGCCCAACTTGCTGGGGAACCCCAGACAAGGGTCTGCCACACTTGGTGCCTTGGTTTCTCCTTCTGAAGCCTGAGGGATGCTGTGGCCTCCTGAGCCCAGACACACAGGAAATCCAGCCAGGGGGCGGCCGACACACGCCCTAGATTCTTGGAAGGCTCAGGAAGTCGGAAGCTCCAGGCCTAAGGTGAGGTGCCAAGCTCGGGTGGAATGCCTGGCACACAGCCCTCTGCCCCCAGGGACTGAGGGATGGCAGAGCACCCCCCGCCCCCCCTCCAGGGGGATCCCTCCTTACTGTCAAAGTAGCTGGTATCATCCTCAGCTTCGAGCTGGGGCACGAACTCGGCTTTGTGTCGGAGAAGCCCTGCCCAGTCCAGGGCCAGGAAAAAGGGGTGCTGCTTCACTTCGTGGGTGCCACCTGCAGATATGCCCCGCTGAGCCCTGCAGGTCCTCACCTCACCCGCCACAGGATGCCCCCCTACCCCCACTGCCCATGCTGGACACATAGTAGGGACAACACAGAACCAGAAAAATGGGCCGGGCGCAGTGGCTCACACCTGTAATCCCAGCACTTTGGGAGGCCAAGAAGGGAGGATCACCTGAGGTCAGGAGTTCGAGACCAGTCTGGCCAGCATGGCAAAACCCCATCTCTTCTAAAAACACAAAAATTAGCCGGGTGTGGTGGCTGGTGCCTGTATTCCCAGCTACTCGGGAGGCTGAGGCAAGAGAATCGCTCGAACCTGGGAGGTGGAGATTGCAGCAGTGAGCTGAGATAGCACCACTGCACTCCAACCTGGGCAACAAAGCAAGACTCTGTCTCAAAAAACAACAACAACAACAACAACAAAGAACCAGAAAAATGGGAACAAAAATCCGCTGTCATTTAGGAGCCTGGAGAGGGACGAAGCCAGGATTCAAACCCAGGCCAGCAGCCAGGCATGGTGGCTCATGCCTGTAATGCCAGCACTTTGGGAGGCTGAGGCGGGCAGATCACTTGAGGTCAGGAGTTTGAGACCAGCCTGGGCAACATGGTGAAATTTCGTCTCAATTTCGTCTCTACCAAAAGTATAAAAATTAGCCGGGCATGATGGCACATGCCTGTGGTTCCGGCTACTCGGGAGGCTGAGGTGGGAGGATCGCTTGAGCCTGGGAGGCGGAGGTTGCAGTGAGCCAAGATTGTGCAACTCCACTCCAGCCTGAGTGACAGAGTGAGATCTAATCTCAAAAAAATAAAAAAGCACCCAGGCTGCCCAGGTTCCAAAGATTCTGCCCTTCTCTCTGCTGCCATCTGGGACCACACCGCCTAGAGAAAGCCCAGAGCCTTACGAGGGCCTCCTTCCCGGGCTTCTCCCACTTCTGCTCCACAGAGCAGGTGATGATCCCCGACCTTGGACCCAACCGTCTCCCATAGCAAAGCCTCAGTCATGAACAGGAGCCATAGTGGCCACGTGATGGGTGGCTGCATGAGTCTCAAACGGTCCCTTAATGATTAACCAGGTGGCTGGGAAAACTGGGACAGTGGGATCTTCTGGGCTGGGCCTTTGACACAGGTCCTGGTGACTTTACAGCCTCACACACTTATTCAGGCTCAGTGCTCCATATGGGCACCAGACCCAGCTACTTTCTATTCTTTCCAAGGTCTTGTGATAGTTCCTGGAGAACTCCTGTGCATCCTTCAAAACCCTAGCTGCAAACCCCCTCCTCCATGCAGCTTCCCAAGTAGAACTCTTGTCTACCCCGGGCGCTATCCCTCCATTCCCTGGGTCCCAGGGCCTGAAGGAGCCACCCACCTGGGTTCTCCCCCACACTACATACCAGTGCCCAGACGGTCCAGCGGGCTCTGCCGGAGCAACCTGGTGATGAGGTCCTGGGCGTCTGCTGGAAGGGCCTCATCTCCCTCTGGCCACATGATCTCATCTAAAATGAGGGAGGGAGGTAAAATGAGGGAGGGAGGGAGAAGGCAGGGTACCCCTTTCTAGTACCATCCACCATTTCCCCTCACTTCACTGTACTCCAAGCCACTGGCCTCCTCTGCCCCTGCAACGTGGCAGGCTTGGTACCCACTGACAGCCTTTGCCACAGCTGTGCCCTATGCTCAGAGCCACCTTTCTCTTTTCTGTCTCTATGGCTTTCTCTCATTCTCAGGTTCTTGCAGGTCTCTGCTCACATGTCACTTCTTTTTTTTATTTTTTGAGATGGAGTCTCGCTCTGTCACCCAGGCTGGAGTGCAGTGGCACAATCTCAGCTCACTGCAACCTCTGCCTCCTGGGTTCAAGTGATTCTCTTGCCTCAGCCTCCCAAGTAGCTGGGATTACAGGTGCCCGCCACCATGCTCGGCTAATTTTTGTATTTTTAGTAGAGATGGGGTTTCACCATGTTGTCCAGGCTGGTCTTAAACTCCTGACCTTATATGATCCTCCCGCCTCAGCCTCCCAAAGTGCTGGAATTACAGGTGTTTGCCACTGTGCCCAGCCTCACAAGTCACTTCAGTGAAGCCTCTGTGACCCTATAATTAATCCAGCCACCCGCCTCACTCAGCACCCCACCGCCTCCCCACCTGGCATCCAACTCCCTCCCCTCTTCCTGCTTCTCTCCCTGACATGCGGGTGGAGGACCGCTGCCCAGAGCTCTGGTGGGGCTGCAGCTCAAACCCAGGCCCGTGGAGGAAACGCACCGCTGACCACCTGACCGAAGAGTTCCTCGGGGGTATCTCCAAAGAAAGGCACGCAGCCCACCAGAAACTCATAGAGGACGACGCCCATGGCCCACCAGTCCACTGGCTTCCCATAGCCCTGGCGGAAGATCACCTCGGGGGCTATGTACTCCGGCGTCCCACACACCTGGGCCAGGGAGAACGGGGAAACTGAGGCCAGCCCCCAGCCCAAGAGAGGTCCCAGGAGAGAGGAGGAGGCATCCCGGGGCTGCCCACCCACCTGCCCGCCCACCTGCTTGTCGATGAACTCTCGGGCGTCCTTCTCGATGTGGCCCTCATAGAGGTTGGTGGCCATGCTCATGAGGCCGATCTTGGACAGGCCGAAGTCCGTGAGCTTGATGTGGCCAAGCGAGGTGATGAGCAGACTGTGGGCAGGTTAGGAGTGTGCTCAGAGCTGGGGGGCTGGGGTGCCTGGCCTCCCCTTCTGCCCTAGACCTTGGCTCCGCCTGAGATGGGCAGAGCTCTGCCTCCAACTCCTGGGCCCTAGCGATCCTCCTGCTCAGCCTCCCAAGTAGCTGGAACTACAGGTGCACACCACCACACCCAGCTAAGGTTTTTTTTGTAGACATAAGGTCTTGCTATGTTGCCCAGGCTGGTCTTGAATTGCTGGCCTCAAGCAATCCTCCCACCTTTGAAAGTGCTGGCATGACAGGTGTGAGCCAGCATGCCTGGTCTCTACTGTGTGTGCGTATATGTGTGTGTGTGTATATATATATATATTTTTTTAGTGTACTTTTAGTAGAGACGGGGTTTTGCCGTGTTGGTCAGGCTGGTCTTGAACTCCTGATCTCAGGTAGTTCACCTGCCTCGGCCTCCCAAAGTGCCGGCACAGAATTGTTTCTTTACAGAGCTGGAGCAAACAGGAGGTACTGACTACATAGTTCATTAAATGATGGTTATACACAGTGAATTCTCTGGAATGTATTTTTAAGTGGCAGATGCACCCAGAAGGTGCACGGAAATGCGACTTCATACAGCTGGTGCATAAGACACTATGATGTAGCAAAACATTTATATATTTAAGTCCATAGGAAAACCTAAACAGCAGTATATACTGTACTTGCGTGAGAGTTTTAAAAATGAGTTCATTTGCCGGGCGCAGTGGCTCACAACTGTAATCCCAGCACTTTGGGAGGCCGAAGCCGGCAGATCACCTGAGGTCGGGAGTTCAAAACCAGCCTGACCAACATGGTGAAACCCCGTCTCTACTAAAAATACAAAAATTATCTGGGCGTGGTGGCGCATGCCTGTAATCCCAGCTAATTGGAAGGCTGAGGCAGGAGAATCGCTTGAACCAGGGACTCTGAGGTTGCAGTGAGCCGAGATCGCACCACTGCACTCCAGCCTGGCGACAGAGTGAGACCCCGTCTCAAAAAAAAAAAAAAAAAAAAAAATTAGCTGGGCGTAGTGGTGGCGCATGCCTGTAATCCCAGCTACTCGGGAAGCTGAGGCAGGAATATTGCTTGAACCCGGTAGGCGGAGGTTGCAGTGAGCCAAGACTGCGCCACTGTACTCCAGCCCGGGCGACAAAGACTGTCCCTGTCTCAAAAAATAAATAAATAAATAAAGATAAAGTGTTCTGGGCCAGGTACACAGTCATTGCCTAATAACTGTTCTTCTGCCTATTTTGTATACACCTGGTGCCTAACAAGTACATGCCAACCAAGAAAATGTGATATAGAAACCCAACGTTAGTGTGTAAGGAGTTATTCATGCTTCTGAGTTCCTTAGAGCATCGAGCACAGGCCCAAGTATACAGCAGGTGCCACATACATGTCTGTTTTCTAAGCCACTTGCCAACTGCAAAATGCCCTGAAAACATGCGAGGCGCTTTTTTTTTTTTTTAAGATGGAGTCTCGCTCTGTCGCCCAGGCTTGGGTGCAGTGGCACGATCTTGGCTCATTGCAACCTCCGCCGGGTTCAAGAGATTCTCCTGCCTCAGCCTCCTGAGTAGCTGGGACTACAAGTGCGCGCTACCACTCCCAGCTGATTTTTGTATTTTTAGTAGAGACAAGGTTTCACTATGTTGGCCAGGCTGGGCTTGAACTCCTGACCTCAGGTGATCCGCCCGCCTTGGCCTCCCAAAGTGCTGGGATTACAGGTGTGAGCCACCAAGCCTGGCCTACATGCAAGGCTCTTAACACTCATGTTCACATCTCCACACATGTATGTGAGAAATGTCAGTTCTTGCCTCGTATCTCGAGGACACCTGACAAACAGGCATTCCTTTTTCCCTGCACACAGCAGGCGCTCAATAAATGCAGAGGAGAAAATAATACAGGGGTTTCAAAGCAGGTGGCCCTGTGTCTCCCAGTTGCCCACAGAGGGTCTGGCATGCAGTAGGTGCTTACCACCTACCAGAATAAAATAAACATCCTAAGGCTCTCAGTAAACACGTTCTCTTCCTTGCTTTCCTGCACTAATATACAGCAGGTGCTCAAGACATGCACGGTCACTGTCTTTACATGTAAGGTCTCGCAAATTGCATAATCCTGTTCTGTGTGTGTAGTTGGTGTCTTATAAGTGCATGTTCTCTCCCCTTGTGCAGCAGCAGCTCTGGGTGCGCAGCCCCTTCTCCTGTATACAGTGTGTGCATCCTAAGTGCACATCCTCTCCCCTGGATTGGCAGCACCTCCATAAGTGCACCGGCCTTCCCCTGCATACAGCAGACGCCTATTAAGTGTCTGCTCTCCTCTCCTCTGTACACACAAGATGTTCACCATGCGCTCATTCCCTGCCTTCCTGTCAGGAGGTACCAACAGAGCTCAGACAGATGGGGCTCCTGAAGGGTCCCGGGATGCACCTCAGAGGCTCTGCCCTGATCCTCTTTGGCCCCGCCCCTGATCCTCTCTGGCCCCGCCCTCCGCGAGGCCCCGCTCATGCTAGCTCAGCTCACTTGTCTGGTTTGAGGTCACGGTGCACGATGCCATAGTTATGCAGGTACTCCAGCGCCAACACCGTCTCGGCGAAGTACAGGCGGGCCATGTCCACGGGCAGCGGGCCCATGTTCTTCAGGAGCGTGGCGCAGTCGCCGCCTGGGAGAAGGGCGGATGTAGTCATGAGGCCCGGGGCACCCCCGCCCCCCGCCCGCCCCTTAGGTTATGCCCAATGCCTATGCATCCTCCTCGCTTTACCTCCTGCAAAAGGTCCCCAGTTTGTTCTATCTCAGCGGGGAGGGTCGGGGGAGAGGGAAGGGGCGGACCCTACCTTCATTTATTTTTAATTTTTTAATTTTTTCTTCTTTTTGAGAGAGAGTCTCGCTCTGTCGCCAGGCTGGAGTGCAGTGGCGCGATCTCGGCTCACTGCAACCTCCGCCTCCCGGGTTCAAGCGAGTCTCCTGCCCCAGCCTCCAGAGTAGCTGGGATTACAGGCGCACACCACCACACCCAGCTAATTTTTGTATTCTTAGTAGAGATGGGGCTTCACTATGTTGGTCAGGATGGTCTCGATCTCTTGACCTCGTGATCCACCAGCCTTGGCCTCCCAAAGTGCTGAGATTACAGGCGTTGGCCACCGCGCCTGGCCTATTTTTTAAATTTTTATTTATTTTTTTGAGACAGAGTCTCACTCTGTTGCCCGCTCTGTTGCCCAGGCTAGAGTGCAGTGGCGCAGTCTCGGCTCACTGCAAGCTCCGCCTCTAGAGTTCAAGCGAATCTCCTGCTTCAGCCTCCCGAGTAGCTGGGACTATAGGCGTGAATGGGGGTTTCGCCATGTTGCTTAGGCTGGTCTCGAAGTCCTGACCTCAAGCGATCAGCCCACTTCGGCCTCCCAAAGTGCTGGGACTACAGGCGTGAGCCAGCGCGCCAAGCTGAGACCCTGCCTTCTGATTCTCCCCGACAGGGCAGCAATTAGTGCTGTATACAGCTGGTGTCTCCTAAGTGCATGTTCGCTCTCTCGCCTGGCAGTACTTTGGTAATAGTACTTTACCTGCCTGAACCATACATCTCCCTGCCTTCACTTCTGGTCTCCAGGCCTCTGCCCATCAGTTCCCCCCACCTAGGATGGCCACCCTCCTCTTGCCTCCAGGGTCCCATCCTCACACACTCCTGTCTGGGCTCCTCCAGCCCTAAACCCCCATGGCTGGGCTCCCTACCCCAGACTGGGGTTCCTGAGGGTTCCCCAAAGCAGGGTGAGACCTCATGGAGGACAGAACAGACCTCAACTTGGTCTAAAAATTTTCTCCCAGGCGTGGAGGGGTGAGCTCCCCATCGCTGGAGGCATGCAAGCCCCAGTGAGCGTACCTTCCACGTATTCCATGACCATACATAGGTGGCGCCGGGTCTCAAAGGAGCAGAACATGCTGACCACAAAGGGGTTCTCGGCAAAGGTGAGAATGTCACGCTCCACAAAGACCTGCTGGATCTGGTTACGCAGGATCAAGTTCTGTTTGTTGATCTTCTTGATGGCAAAGCGCTGCCGTGTGTCACGGTGCCGCACCAGGTAGACGGCCCTGGGGACAGAGGGCCAGGCTTGCTGGGACCGGAGATCGAGGCCCCAGCAGGCACTACAGCTCAACTTGAGCCCAGATCCCAACCTGCCTGGCCTTTGCCTGTGCTGTGCCCTCCACCTGGGCCACCCATTCTCCTTACCTGTTCCCCCTCCCAGAGCAGCCACCTTTGGGTTTAAGCCACCATGGCTGGGGGCCATATAAATGGGCTGCACATGGCCCTTGTATATTGGCCTCTAGGTTGTATGTTTCTTTTATTTTTATTTTATCTTATGTTTTTTGAGATAGCGCCTCACTCTGTTGCCCAGGCTGGAGCACAGTCATGAGATCACGGCTCACTATAGTCTTTACCACCCCCCCGGCTCAAATGATCCTCCCACAACAGAACCTGGCTAATGTTTAAATTTTTTGTAGAGATGGGGTCTCGCTATGTTGTGGAGGCTAGTCTCAAACTCCTGGCCTCAAGTGACCCTCCCACTTCGGGCTCCCAAAGTGCTGGGATTATAGGCGAGAGCCACTGCACCTGGCTGCTTGTGTATTTCTTTCTTTCTTTCTTTCCTTTTTTTTTTTTTTTGAGATGGTCTCACTGTGTCACCCAGGCTGGAGTGCAGTGGGGTGATCTCGGCTCACTGCAACCTCTGCCTCCTGGGTTCAGGTGATCCTCCAACTTCAGCCTCCCAAGTAGCTGGAATTACAGGCATGTGCCATTACGCCCAGTTAATTATTCTATTTTTAGTATTGATGGAGTTTTGCCATGTTGCCCAGGCTGGTCTCGAACTCCTGGCCTCAAGCGATCCTCCTACCTTGGCCTCCCAAAGTGCCTCCGCACCTGGTCTAGCTCTTTTAAAAGACCGCTAGCACCAAACTCAAAGTTTTACACATCCGTTTGTTTTACACACAGACCAAGTAAGCAAAATTTTAGCCACTGAGAGCCTGTCTGCTTTGCAGACTCGTGAAACTGCACCATCTCTGAGCCATGGATAAGATGAACTTTGTGGATTTCAAGACCCTAAGCTGCTACCACCCTGCAGGGAGTCTCTGACCCAGAGATTGAGTGCCCATGCTGTTGAACAACATCACCTAGACATGTAAGCCCCCTCTCTGATCCCCCTCTGCCCGGGGAGTTCCCTTGCCGGCCTCTCCCTCTTGATGGTGACTCCTGGAACCTCAGCCTCCAAAAGGCTTATGCTATGAGGGACTTCCCTTGTATGCAAGCCTGCCATTCAAAGCAGCACCTAAATAAAGCTCACTGCGTGCTACTCCCACTGGGTGGGCATCTATTTCCTTGATCAGCCCCCAAGCCCCTAGAACGCCCTACACCTGGGGCAGGTAAAGGCCTGGCTCGTGGACAGAGCACACATGAGGCTGTAACCTCGCTATGGCGTGTCTCCACTTCCCCCTCCAGTCCTCAGGTGCCTTCTCTGCCCATTCAAGGATGAATGTGTGAGCCCTGCTGGGGTAGGAGGGGGATGCAGGAGCTGCCTGGGCCTCAACCATCCCCTCAGGCATCTGTGAAATGGGTCTATGCAGGACTCAGGGACTCACCCATAGGCTCCGTTGCTAATGAGTTTGATGGTCTCAAAGTCGCTTTCGCATGGCTTCCTCCGTGACTGGCCGACCAGGGCGCGGCTCTAGGGGATGGGAAGGGCTTAGGGTCCTGCCCCGCTGCAGAGCTGGGAAGGCTTCTCCTGCCCCCAAGCCCAAACCACTGGTCCTGGTGCCCGATGCTACCTCCTCCCCTGTCCAAACTTCTCCAACTCAGCTTCTGACTTTCTGTACTTTTTTGCTCACAGCTGTGCCCTCCTCCTGGGAAATTCTTACACGTCCTGCAAAACTCACCTGTCCAGTGCCCCTCCAGCACTGCCCCCACCCGACTTCCAAGGCAGGGCAGTCCCACGTGCCGTCACCTTGCCTCCAAAGTCACCGATGCTAATTAAGCTACATGCAAGACCTCGGCAAACCCAGCCCTTTCTGCGGGTGCCTGGTCCACTCTGGAAAGAACAAGATGAGCGGGGGTCCCCCAGCCTCTGCTACTCACCTCTGGGGACTCAGGTGCTGGGGGCTGTTCTTCTTCGAGGTGACTCAGTGGCACCATCTCTGCAAGATGAGGGAGGAGGCTCAGCTGGAGCCTCCCTGCCTCACCCTGCATCACCCAGCAATTTCCTGAGGCCTCTAGAGTTCTCACCCCAGGCTGGGGATGCAGTGCCTCCCCTGACCAGCTCTCATGACACTGTCATGAAGCCACATCCGGGAGGCTGGATGAAGCAATGACTTAGGAACCTTCTAGAAGGGCCAGTGGGCTGCCCTGGCTCTGAAGTGCTCAGTCATGATCAAACTTAGGCTCTGAGCCTTGAGCCTGTGAAGACGGGATGAGACACAGGCCCCCTGGGTGTCAGCTCCTAACATCTTCCTCAGCTCAGGGTGCAGCCCAGGTGGAGGGTCCAATATGTTCTTGCCCCAGGCCTTGGCAGAGGGGCAGCCCCTAGCGAATGCCTGGCAAACATGGTCCAGCCACAGACCACATGTGATCTGGCCTTAGGTACACCTGGGTTTGATTCCCTGCTCAGCCTTATCTGCCTGGAGCCTCAGTTTCCTCAGCTTTATTTTTTATTAGTATGATTATTTAATTTATTTATTTGACATGGAGTCTCGCTCTGTCACCCAGGCTGGAGTGCAGTGGTGTGATCTCAGCTCACTGCAACCTCCACCTCTTGGGTTCAAGTGCTTCTCCTGTCTCAGCCTCCCAAGTAGACGGGATTACAGGCGTGTGCCACCATGCCCAGCTAATTTTTGTATTTGTATTTTTATTTTTTGAGACGCAGTCTCACTCTGTCGCCCAGGCTGGAGTGCAGTGGCGAGATCTTGGCTCACTGCAACCTCCACCACCTGAGTTGAAGAGATTCTCCTGCCTCAGCCTCCCGAGTGGCTGGGATTACAGGCGCCTGCCACCACACCTGGCTAACTTTTGTATTTTTAGTAGAGATGGGGTTTCACCACATTGGCCAGGCTGGTCTTGAACTCCTGACCTCAGGTAATCCGCCTGCCTCGGCCTCCCAAAGTGCTGGGATTACAGGTATAAGCCACTACGCCCAGCCTAATTTTTGTATTTTTAGTAGAGACAGGGTTTCACCATGTTGGCCAGGCTCGTCTCAAACTCCTGACCTCAGGTGATCTGCCCGCCTTGGCCTCCCAAAGTGCTGGGATTACAGGCGTGAGCCACCGCACCCGGCCAAGTATGATTATTTCAGAGACAGGCTCTTGCTCTGTCACCCAGGCTGGAGTGCAGTGGTGCCATCATGGCTCACTGCAGCTTCAGTCTCCTAAACTCAAGCAATCCTCCCACCTCAGCCTCTCAAGTAGGTGGGACTACAGGCATTCACCGCCACGCCTGGCTAATTTTTAAAAATACTTTTTGTAGGCCAGGCGCGGTGGCTCACGCCTGTAATCCCAGCACTTTGGGAGGCAGAGGCGGGCGGATCATGAGGTCAGGAGATCGAGACCATCCTGGCTAACACAGTGAAACCCCGCCTCTACTAAAAATACAAAAAATTAGCCGGGCGTGGTGGCGGGCGCCTGTAGTCCCAGCTACTCGGGAGGCTGAGGCAGGAGAATGGCGTGAACCCAGGAGGCGGAGCTTGCAGTGAGCCAAGATCGTGCCACTGCACTCCAGCCTGGGCGAGAGAGCGAGACTCTGTCTCAAAAAAGAAAAAAAAAAATTACTTTTTGTAGAGATGGGGTCTTGCTATGTCACCCAGGCTGGAGTGCAGTTGTGCGACCATAGCTCACTGCAGCCTCAAACCCCTGGGCTCAAGCAGTCTTCCCACTTCAGCCCCGCAAGTAGCTAGGACTATAGGCATGTGCGATCATGCCTGGCTAATTGTTTTTTTAATAGAGACGAGATCTCAGTATGTTGCCCAAGCTGGTCTCAAACTCCTGGCTTCAAGTGATCCTCCTGCCTTGGCCTCCCACAGTGCTGGGATTACAAGTGTGAGCTACCATGCCGGGCCTCCCCAGCTTTCAATGGGGACAGTGGCAGGTCAGTCCCACTCCAGGTATGGTCCAACCTTAGGGTCTATGCCTATGCTGCCTGTTTCACTCTTTCCTTTGGATCTGCAACCTGGTCACCTCCTGCCCTCCAGGCCTCAGTTTGAACACTGCCTCCTCCCAGAGCCTCCCCCTGGCTACTGCTGGACCAGGCTAGGTCCAAGTTCAATGCTCCAGCTTTCAGTTCCTCTTATCCTGGCTATTTGTGGAAATTTTTTTTTTTCTCTTTTTGAGACAGGGTCTGGCTTTGTCACCCAGGCTGGAGGACAGTGGTGTGATCATAGCTCACTGCAGTCTCAACCTGCCAAGCTCAAGCGATCTTCCCACCTTAGCCTCCTGAGTAGCTGGGACTACAGGCGCGCACTACTACACCCAGCTACATCTTTTTTTTTTTGAAATGTAGGCTCACTCTTTCACCCAGGCTAGAGCACAGTGGCGTGATCTCGGCTCACTGCAACCTCTGCCTCCTGAGTTCAAGCGATTCTCCTGCCTCAGCCTCCCAAGTAGCTGGGATCTACAGGCACATGCCACCACACCCGGCTAATATTTGTTTTTAGTAGAGATGGAGTTTCTGCATATTGGCCAGGCTAGTCTTGAATTCCTGACCTCAAGTGATCCACCCGCCTCAGTCTCACAAAGTGCTGGGATTATGGGATTACAGGCGTGAGCCACTGCACCTGGCTGGCTGTGGGAGTTGTTTGTTTTTTTTTTTGAGACAGAGTCTTGCCCTGTTGCCCAGGCTGGAATGAAGTGGTGTGATCTCGGCTCACTGCAACCTCCGCCTCCAGGGTTCAAATGATTCTCCTGCCTCAGCCTCCCGAGTAGCTGGGATTACAGGCACACGCCACCACACCCGGCTAATTTTTGTATCTTTAGTAGAGATGGGGTTTCACCATGTTGTCCTGGCTGGTCTTGAACTCCTGACCTTGTGATCCACCCACCTCGGCCTCCCAAAAGTGCTGGGATTACAGGCGTGAGCCACCGCACCCGGCCGGCTGTGGGAGTTTTTGACCGTCTTCTTACCTACGGGTTGTCCTGTTTGACTCCAAGTTCACTTTCTGGGCCACAGTAAAGGCCACAGAAATTGGTAAAGTCATTTGTGAATTTGCAGGACAAAGGGAAGGCCACTGCTAACACTGGTCCCCAGGCTTCCTGACCATCTTAACGTGGCATTTGAGGACACTGAGGCCCCTGGGCCCCAAAAGATCAGAGGGTCTCAGCATAATTCCCACAGGTGACCTAAGAGCAAGGCCACAGAGAGACAAAGAACAGTGCGGTGGTTCTGGAATCGGATGGGCCTGGGTTTGAATCCTGGCTTCATCTGCCCTTTCTTTTTTTGTTTTTTTGAGACAGGGTCTCGCTCTGTCGCCCAGGTTGGAGTGCAGTGGCGCGATCTCAGCTCACTGCAACCTCCATCTCCTGAGTTCAAGCAATTCTTGTGCCTCAGCCTCCTGAGTAGCTGGGATTACAGGCATGCGCCACCACACTTAGCTAATTTTTGTATTTTTAGTAGGGGGGGGGTTTCCACCATGTTGGCCAGGCTGGTCTCGAACTCCTGGCCTCAAGTGATCTGCCCGCCTTAGCTTCCCAAAGTGCTGGTATTAAAGGTGTGAGCCACCGTGCCTGGCCTCCATCCGGCCTTTCCCAGCCTTGGTTTCCTCTTCCCATCCCGGCTTACCCTCCAGGGGGTCCTTGGCCAGGCCCAGCTGCCCAATGATGTACTGTGGAAGGTCAGTCTTAATGCCTTGGCCCTCCCGCGCATGGCCCTCAGCCGCCTCCAGCAGGTGGTAAAATTCCTCAGGGTCAAACTCCTAGGGGCACAGGAGGGCTGGTCACCCAGGGCTTGGTTCCACCTGCAGGCCTCTGCACATGCTGTTCCCTCTGCCTGGAGCACCCTTCCCAGCTCACCCACTGGGTCTCCACTCCCGCTGCCTCCTTAGGGAAGCCCACGCTAGCCCAATAGCACCCTGTGTTCCTCTCAAAGCCCTACACGATGGGAACTGTCACCTGTATCTTGGCAGGACTGTTGTGGTCCCAATCTCAGTTCTGCCTGGACCCCAAGCTGGCCGTAGAAAGAGAAACTTACCAGACACTCCAGCAGCCGAGCTGGCCGTGAGATGATGATCAGCAGTTTCCGGACAAGCTGGACGATGAAGCTGACCTCCTCACTGTCCGAACGCTCATGGGCCTGGGGGAGGTGGGTCGTGGCATCACCCACAGGTCCTCAGCACCGTCTGGCCTGGGGACCCCCCTCACTCCACGTCCCACTGCATGCAAAACCTCAACATGCGAAAAACCACGCACATCCTGCAGAAGCCGCTCCAGCTTCTCCTGCATCTCTAGGAAGTAGCGGGAGGTGACGAGGTTCTCGCCAGACTTGGCCAAGCAGTCTCGGGCCAGCTCGACGATCTGGTGGTGGATGAAGCCCAAGACGCCATCAGCCAGCGCCAGCCGGGCGCCGGGCGCGTAGGCCGTCAGGAACTCCTGCAGACGGCCCTCCATCTGTGCTGTGGCCTGGGTGGGGCGAGACGGGGCGACCTGGTCAGAGGGCGGGGCTGGAGTGACACACGCAGAATGGGGCAGGAGAGGCATGGTTGGGGAGAGAGGAGATGGGGCAATGGGGCGATCGGGTGGGAGGGCTGGTGCAGGAGGAACGACATCTTTCAACGGAAGGGGAAGGAAAGACAGAAATGAACAGACTGGCAAAGGGGACATAGCCAGGAAGACAGAGTTCCATGGAGGGACAGCAATGTGGAAAGAAGTGCAGGGGCTGGTCCAGCCGCCAGGCGCTGCCCACCTTGGGGAACCTCTCCCGGTACACGTGATTCATCATGACAATCTCATTGTCGAAGGTCCCCGTTGCACGGCCCGGGCTGAAAGGAAGACAGCTGGCTTGTGATATGGGACCTGAGACCAACCCCAGGGGAGGATGTTGGGGGATCTGAGCCAGGGTTGAGGGACAAGAATCAGAGGCTAGGCTCAGGCAGGGTCAGGGCTGGGGTGAAGGAGGAGCCACAACTTGGGCCTCCACACCAGCCCAGGGAGGGGCCGGGGCTGGGGCCAGAGGTCGCGGCCCACCTGAGACTGCGAGAGCGGGGTCGGAGGCGGGGTGACCGGCCGCCTTCCTCATCAAGCACATTCTCTGAGCTGCGGAAGTGCTTGGACAGGAAGTGCAGCTCGTCCGGCGTCGGCTGGAAGGGAAGCTGGTGGAGACGTTCCCGGGAGGATGAGCTTGACTGGTAGAGAGTGGTGGGGATCAGAGCCATGAGTTCACCGTCAGTGCTGTGGCCAGGAACCCAGCACCACCCCTCAAGGCCCAGGCTGCCTGCTGGCCATCAGAAGGTAACATCCTTTCTCCTGCCTAGCTCCTATGCATCCCTCAAAACCCTAGCTCTGATGCCCTCTCCTCCAGGAAGTCCTCTCTGCCTGTACCCCTGGGCAGCCCCAAGTCCCCCTCTGGTCAGGCCCTGACCCCATAGGCTGAGGATATCTGTATCTCCCCAACCAGGGACTATTTTGGGGCCAAGGCTGGGTCTTCTCAGGGGACCCTGCATTTCCCAGAATGGGGCGTGCATGGAGGAAGTAACTAGTATGTTTGCTGACTGCACAACTATCCAACACCTTGAAAAAAACACACAAAGATGTGTCCCCCCACAACCCGGCATCTGCCTGTCCACCTGCCAAGGTGGGGCTATGGGTACCGAGAGGGTGGAGCTGGGTGTGTTGGTTCCATAGCCGGAAGATGGGAGAGACGCGAGGGACCATCTTCTGCCGTCTGCCCTGGAGAGGGGAACAAGAACAGATGGAAGGAAGGCCTGGCCCCTGTGGTTTGTGGGGACTAAGAACAGACACTGTGGCCAGCATATTCTGGCCCTGTTGTAGGAAGGATCTCCTGAAAATAACCAAGAACAGAGACACAGGCTGACCAAGTCCACTGCATGCTCTCTCTCTTTAGGTACCTCTTCCAGGAAGCCCCCCCGTGAGTCCAGCTGCCACTGTGTCCCCTGTCAAAGCTTCAACCTCTGAGCTGTAGCTTCTGGGGCACACATTGACCACCCCCCACCAAACGGAGGACTCCCCAGGGGCTCAGGGCCAGCTGCCCATTTGCGACCATGCCCTCAGCCCGCAGCACAGAGCATACACACAGTGGGTGCTTAATGAATGTTGTTGTATGAATAAATAAATGAAATGCAAGCGTCTGGCACATGACAGGTGCTCAATCAGCTCTTGTTAAGTGAATGAATGAATGATTTCTTTAGTGAGTTAATGATTCTTAGGGCTATATCCCCCCATGACCCCCCACCCCCTGGGCTGGTTGAAATTACCTGTCCATGCGTGGGATGTGGCTGCAAGATGGCATGCATTTGCCGGGAATGGGAGCCAGAGGGGGAGACCACCACCAGACGGGCCAGGGGAGGGGAAAAGGTGAATGAAATGAATGAGGAGCCAGGTCTAGCCACCGAGCACGTGCCCCTGCCCAACCCTTGCCCGTGGTGCCCGCACTGTCTCCCAAAGCCGGCAATCACTCACCTCCGGGCAAAGGGGAAATTTAGGGCAGAGGCAGCCGAGAAATTCCGAGGACTATCCAAGGGGCTGCTGCCTGCTGAGGAGGAGGCGGGGAAACTGAGTCAGCGGGGCAGAGGCAGGACACAGCACCCGCTGGCTGCTCCCACACTCACCCGTTGGGACCGACAATGGCGACAGGGGCCGGGAGAGGGTCGGGGAGGGCGTTCCTACCACCAAGCTCTTGCGGTTCCCGCTGCGGCAGCTGTGGGGGGAAAAGGGGACAGGGTAGGTGGCTGCCCAGGGCCCCGCGCTAAGCCACCTGCCCAGCCTAAATCACACTCGCAGCCCGTTCTGGAGAAGGATGGGATGTTGGACATGGCCACTCCCACTCTGCCCCCAGCTGGGTTCCCCCATGGCCCTTAGCCAGGTCTTCAAGGCCCAGGAGGGAATCACCCCTCAACTAACATTCCTTATTATTGACACTACTGCTGGCCAGGCATGGTGGCTCACGCCAGTAACCCCAGTGCTTTGGAAGGCCAAGGTGGGAGGATCCTCTGAAGCCAGGAGTTCAAGACCAGCCTGGGCAACATAGCAAGACCCCGTCTCTATACAAAATTTAAAAATTAGCTGGGTGTGGTGGTGCACGCCTGTAGTCCCAGCTACTCAGAAGGCTGAGGCAAGAGGATCGCTTGAGCCTCAGGAGGTCAAGGCTGCCGTGAGCCATGATGGTGCCACAGCACTCCAGCCTAGGTGACAGCACAAGGCCCTCTCTCTTAAAAAAACAAAAACAAGGCTGGGCACAGTGGCTCATCCCTGTAATCCCAGCACTTTGGGAGGCCGAGGCATGCGGATCACCTGAGGTCAGGAGTTTGAGACCATCCTGGTAAACATGGTGAAACCCGTCTCTACTAAAAACACAAAAATTAGGTCGGGCATGGTGACTCACACCTGTAATCCCAGTACTTTGGGAGGCCGAGGTGGGTAGATCACCTGAGATCAGGAGTTTGAGACCAGCCTGACCAACAGGGAGGAACCCTTTCTGTACTAAAAATACAAAATTAGCTGGGCGTGGTGATGCATGCCTGTAATCCCAGCTACTTGGTAGGCTGAGGCAGGAGAATCGCTTGAACCCAGGAGGTGGAGGTTGTGGTGAGATCGTGCCGTTACACTCCAGCCTGGGCAACAAGAGTGAAACTCCGTCTCAAAAAACAAAACAAAACAAAACAAAACAAAAAAACCAAAAATTAGCCAGGTGTGGTAGTGCATGCTTATAATCCCAGCTACTCAGGAGGCTGGGGCAGAGAATCACTTGAACCCAGGAGGCGGAGGTTGCAGTGGGCTGAGATAGTGCCATTGCATTCCAGCCTGGGCGACACGAGTGAAACTTCATCTGAAAAACAATAACAAAAACCAACACAAACTATTGGCAGTGTTGTTATTAACAGCAATGGCATGAAGTGCTTCTAGCCTGATGGAGGACACTACATATGGCCAGGAGCCCCTGGACCAGCTTTTCAGGGTTCTGTGTCACAGTCCCACCCCCACACTTTTCCCTGTACCATGGCTACTGCCAGCAGCACCAGCAAATCAGGTGAACCAAACACACCCTGGAGCCCAGATATGGGCTGAGACACCCCATTCTATATACCCCTCTTGAAGCCCCTGCTCCCATCTCTTGACAACCCTCCTTCTTCTCAAGATGCCCCTAAAATGCCAATGTGACCCAACTAGAAACCCTAAATGCAACCTCTTTCACAGTCCTGCCTCTTCTGCTGAACTTTTGCCCACGTTTTCCTCTTTCCATCCCAGTTCCCTTCTGGCCACCAGATCCCTGGCCCAGGTCTCTCACACCCTGCCTGGCTTCTTCTCCCACCTGGGCCCTGGCCTCAGCCCACACCTTGACAGAAGGAAGTTGGGAGCGACACCGTCCCCCGCCCCACCAGAGCAGTTGCCCAGCAACAGCTCTGCTCCACAAGAGCATCAGCCCACACACCCCAAGCCGCCAACGCAGCTCAGCGGCGGGAGAATCTCGCGGGGAGGGAGAGATGAAGTCTCGGGGCCTCCGAGGTGCAGAAATGGGGTCCCAGGCAGAATGCTCGGAGCAGGTCAATCCATGGGAGAACAAGCGTATGATCATCAAAGGACACAGGTGACAAGGTGGGCAGGGAGAAGAGGCCCAGCCTGTCTACGTCTCCACATGTGGCTGCCCCTTGAGCCTGTTTCCTCATCTCTACCTTGAAGGATGAAACCTACCACATCCAGTGCTCAGCTTTGGGTCGGACTCGGGTACATACACTGTTGTCTTTGCCTAGACAATGCTCACAGGGCCTGGCTCACGCCGGGAGGGCAGCCAGTGCCTCCTGAGTGAATTACATCCCCAACATCTGCCAATTCCAACAAGCCCCAGAGTTGGGAATGACCAGCTGAGCCCATTTTCCAGACTGGGAAACTGAAGCCACAGATGTCAACAGTCACAGTGATTGTCTCCCAGCCTGAGCTGCAGAAGCAAAAGTGAAACCCACAGGTTTCTGCAAAACTTCCTGCCAACCCCTCAATGCACGCTCACCTGGCTGTCTCCACATCCTCTCCCAGCCCCTCACCTGGTTCCTCGCCCCCACACTGCACCACCAGCACCCTCCCTCCCCGATCCTGCTGTATCACTTGCTGCTTCCAAAAGCATTTGGGAAAAACACTTCGTTGCCCTCCCTCCTGTTCTTGGGCGAGGTCTTCTTGAAAACACGGCCAAATGTGAGGCCTCAAAGGAGAACTAAGCATCATCTGTTCACTTCCCAAGCATCTATGCAGGGCCGACTGTTTGTTCAACTCTTCCTGGAGGAGATCCAGGACCTCGAGAAGTTGCCATTTGAGAACGATCCTCTCTTGGTACCCAGGACACAACAGAGAGAATGTGGCAGAAAGCAGGGGCCTGAAGCCAGCCTCCTGCACCTCATCCCTCTGGCACCCATATTCCCCCTCCAATGCTCCCCACGATCTTGGAGGTAAGTTTAAGCCCTGGACTCAGCATTCAAGGTCTTTCGGTAGCTGGTCCCACCGCCCAGACTTTGCCCCAGTCCAGCACCAATGAGAAACCCAAGCACAGAGAGGTTAAGGAGCTACTTGAGGTCACACAGCCTGGTAGTGGCTGAGTCGAAATTTGAACCCAGGTCTGGTAGAATCCACAGCCCTCACTTATCCTCTCTGCTTTTCAAAAGGGGAAACTGAGACTCCAAGAGCGGTGAGGCTTTGGCGGGGGTTAACCCCAACTATCTGGACTCCTGACACCCCACCCAAATGCCAGCCTCGTGCAGTAAATATTTGCTTCTGAGCCAACATTTCTGCTGAATGGACCCCCAGCGGCAGATCAGCCTCAGTTTTTCCAAGAAGTTCCTCCCTGGTTCTGCCCAGCCCTGGACACCCGGGTTCAAATCCTAGCTCAATCTCAACTCACTCCTGTCTGTCACCACCCCAGCTGCGACGCTGGCGGACAGACACCCCAGTCCAGGGAACGAGGGGCGAAAGGAGGGTGCCAGGGACCCCAGGGGACACCTCGATCCACAGGCGTCCTCCCCCCTTCCCACTGCTGCCACAGACAGACGCTCGCCGTGGTCCGCGCCACGCGGCCAGGACACACTTCTGGCAACTCCTGTTTGCTCGGCTGGCCGCCGAGCCTTCGCCGGCGCCGTGCCCCCTACCTCTTGGAGCGCTGCAGCAGCGCGCCTTTTGCCAGGCGGCTCCGATGGCCGGGAGCCGCCACCGCCGTCCAGTAGCTGGGGTCGGACATGCTGCTTCCCTTTGTGCCGCCGCAGCCGCCCGAGGCCGGGAAGGGAGGCCTCGGCGGTGGGATCGGCCCCAGGAGCCCCGCGGAGCCGGACAGGGAGGGGGGCGCACGGGGCTGCGGGGATGGGGGGGCGGCGAGAAGGAAGCGCGCGCCCCCGAGCGCGACTGGAACTCCGCCCAGGCGAGTGCGGGGGCGGGGCCGTTGGGGGCGGGGCCTGTCGGGAGGCGGAGCGAGCGACGCGGAAGCGAGGCCGGCGGACCCGCGTGCCGGCGAGTGGGCGGGGCGCTGCCATGGCCGCGGGCGGAGAGGCGGAGCGTTGCTAGGGCCGCGGGCGGCTGAGGCCGGGCGTTGCTACGACCGCGGGCGGCGGGGGCGGGGCGTTGGCAGCACCTTAACCTCGAGCTAGGGGCAGGCATTTTGGCTCCTTTCTGCTAAAATGTAAATCTAATCGCTCCCTCCATCTTTTTCCTCTCTCCCAGAGCACTGACCCCTTCTCAGTGCGGCACCCAAGACCCACCCCAGCGTCCTGGCCGGCTCATGCTACCACGCCCACCCTGGCCCCACTGCTTGGAATCTAGCCTGGCAAAACTGCGTCCTCTCCTCTGAAAAACCCGCTTTCCTGTCTGTCCGGCTATGTCTTCCCCAGGCTGGGGGCTCCTTAGGGTCCCAGCAGCTCCCAGCACCGGACTGGCATAGAGGGTGTGTTTGGCAAATTGAGTCGGGGCGTCTGACATGCTCTGTCTGTGTGTGGCGGGAAAGGCCATCAGCCCTGCCTCAGTTAGGAAGCAGCCACCTGATTGAACTCCAGCCTCAGTCTCCTCAACTGTGAAATTGGAGGAAAACTGAACTGACATGAGAATTACACAAATCAGATGTAAGGGGGCGCTTCCAAGGGCACCTGGTATATGTTCCATATCTATATATAATTTATCTCTATAAACGATAGCATCAGGCTAACTTCCAGGCCTCTGTTTCCCCATGCGTAACATCCCCCATACTGAAAACAGAATAAAATCTGAGACACAGAGCCTGGAACAGGGCTGAGGGTACAATATGTGTTCACTATGGAAGCAGAAGTGTCTCCCACCGTAAGGACTGAATTAATGCTTCCTCCTGTCATGACAGCCCAGGCAAGTCAGGGGCAGTGTCATCATGAGGGATGCCCCTTCCTGGGCCACAGGACACTTTGGGACCCAGTCCAGGCCCAATGCTGGGGCCCAGGCTTCATAGCTAAAGAGACAAATTTTTTTTTTTTGAGACAGAGTTTCGCTCTCGTTGCCCAGGCTGGAATGCAATGGCGCAGTCTCAGCTTACTGCAGCCTCCGCCTCCTGGGTTCAAACGATTCTCCTGTCTCAGCCTCCCGAGAAGCTGGGATTACAGGTGTTGCACCACCACGCCCAGCTAATTTTTTTGTATTTTTAGTAGAGACGGAGTTTCACCATGTTGGCCAGGCTCGTCTCAAACTCCTGACCTCAGGTGATCCTCCCGCCTTGGCCTCCCAAAGTGCCGGGATTACAGGCGTGAGCCACCTTGCCCAGCCAACAGGAAACAATTCAATGAGCAAGATAATTTCGGCTGGGCGTGGTGGCTCACGCCTGTAATCCCAGCACTTTGGGAGGCCGAAGCGGGCGGATCACCTGAGGTCAGGAGTTTGAGACCAGCCTGGCCAACAAGGTGAAACCCAGTCTCTACTAAAAAAAATACAAAATTAGCTGGGCGTGGTGGCACGTCCCTATAATCCCAACTACTTGGGAGGCTGAGGCAGGAGAATCGCTTGAACCCAGGAGGCGGAGGTTGCAGTGAGCTGAGATAGCACCATTGCACTCCATCCTGGGCAACAAGAGCGAAACTCTGTCTCAAAAAAATAAAAAAAAATAAAAAATAAAAGAAATAAAAGTACAAAAGAAATAGCTGGGCATGGTGGTGCATGCCTGTATTCCCAGCTGCTCTGGAGGCTGAGGTGGTAGAATCACTTGTACCCGGGAGGTGGAGGTTGCAGTGGGCCGAGATCACACCAATGCACTCCAGCCTGGGTGATAGAGCGAGACTCCGTCTCAAAAAAAAAAAAAAAAAAAAAGATAATTTCAAATACCAAGGCTGAGAAGGGAAGAGAAAGGAGAGAACACTGCAAGGGGCGACTTTAGCCAGGAGGCCTCTCAGAGGAGGTAATGCTGCAGCCAGCCAGAAATGGAGGAGGAAGGAGCTGGCTATGCAGAAAGCGTGTCCCAGGCAAAGGGCACAACTCTCTGAGGCAGCACTGAGGGCAAAATGCCAGCGGGGCTGACCACATAAGCCTTGTGGGCTGCAGGGAGGAGTGCAATTGTATTGTAGGAGCAATGGGGAGCCATGGAGGGTGCTTGAGCAGAGAAAGGGTATGATGTGGACTACGTTTGTAAACCCCCTTGTGTCTGCTATGGGGAGCAGACTGCTGGGGGACAGGAATGAAGGTAGCAGGAGGCCAGTAAGGGTCTGGGACGGTGTCTGGGAGGGGAATATTGAAGCTGTGGAGAAAAGTGGGTGGATTTGGGACTTGTTTTGAGACCAGGGGAGATGGTGGTTTTGAGACCACCAGAGATGGTGATGAGTATGGGAGTGGTCACCTATGACCCCCAGGTATGCAGCCCAAGCCTCATGCGGGGTGCAGATTCTCTTGAGTCTGGGGACCCAAGTGGGGATGGGGCCACAGTCTCCACTTGCTGTCACTACGTGCTGAGCCACCCCATATGCACGGGGACACACCTTTGCACACACTCGGTAAAGGCGCTGCCCCCTCGTCCCCAGCCACAGCTACACCCAGTAACACCTACACACCCCCTATTACATACACCCACTGCCCTGACATCTGTAGCAGGGAGAGAACCTTCTCCCATGCTCATTTGTCCTCAGTTTCCCCCTCTGCAAAACAGGGCTGCAGCTGACAATCCAGAGGGCCTGCTGCCACGGTGAAGGCCTTCCATGAAAGGCTGGCTGAGCCACTGATCTCTGGTGTCGGCCCACTGCTCCCCAGATCATGCCCTTCCCCCTGCTCACAAACCCTCCATGGCTCCCTATTGCTCTCACAGCAAAACAAAACTGCATTCCTGGGTGAATCCCTCTCCCAGGGGTCATATCCTAGCCCTGTCCCTGACAAACTCTGTGACATTGGCATTTGACTCTCCCTGCATGTGCTGTGACTGTAAATGCCAAAGTCTCAGGTAGATATACAGACACCCCCGTTCAACGGTCCCTTTTTAGTGGGACTACCCCAGCGCTTCCCACCTGCCCATATATCTGTGCCGCTCCCAGCACCACACTCTATGGCTCCTAGTGCCCTAGGTAGAAAATCCACATTCTTCCTGCCCTTGGGATTTGAGGCTCCAGAAGGAAAGTGTCTCTGACGATGCTGTTGCTGCCTGGAACAGCCACTTTGCCTATGAGCGCCCAACTCATGGCCTTCTTCAACAACACCCCCAACCCCCAATGCTATCACTACCACAAGGACAGCCCTCCCAGATACTGCCCATTCATCTAAGCCACATGCATTAACTGAGCACCTGCTGTATACACCCTGGGCCTGCCCTGAGTCTACGATATGACCAGGACAGACAAGGTCTGGTCTCGGAGAGGCTGTCAAACCTCTGGGTGAGAAAAATAACTGGATAATCACACAAGACAATGTGGAAATTAAATCTCTGGGGTTGGCTGGGTGCCGTGGCTTATGCCTGTAATCCCAACATTTTGGGAGGCTGAGATGGGCAGATCGCTTGAACTCAGGAGTTCGAGACCAGCCTGGCCAACATGGTGAAACCCTGTCTCTACTAAAAATACAAAACTAGCAGGGCGTGGTGGCGCATGTCTGTAATCCCAGCTACTCTCGAGGCTGAGGCAGGAGAATCACTTGAACCCAGGAGGCAAAGGTTGCAGTGAGCCGAGATATCGCACCACTGTACTCCAGCCTGGGTAACAGAGCAAGACTGTCTTAAAAAAAAAAAAAAAGAAAAAGAAAATCCCTGGGGTCTGGATGTGGAAATGGACAGGTATAATGCATATTATACCCCATGTTTGTGGGGCCTGGAAGGAGGGGGTGGTTGGGGAAGGCTTCCTATCTGAGGCTGAGGCCTTGATGAGGATGTGACGGAAGAAGAAAGGAGGGAACAGAGCTCTGGGCAGTGGGGACAGCAAGTGCAAAGGCCCTGAGGCTGGACCAGCCTGCATTCTGGAGGATCAGCCATGTGGCTGGAGCCAAGTGAGCGACGGGGAGATGGATAGGATGGAAGCAGGGAAGTTGCAAGGCCAGGCACAATGGCTCATGCCAGTAATTCCAGTACCGTGGGAGGCCAAGGCGGGTGGATCACCTGAGGTCAGGAGTTCAAGACCAGCCTGGTCAACATGGTGAAACCCTGTCTCTACTAAAAATATAAAGATCAGGCCAGGCGCAGTGGCTCACGCTTGTAATTCCAGCATTGTGGGAGGCCATGGCGGGTGGATCACCTGAAGTCAGGAGTTTGAGACCAGCCTGGCCAACATGGTGAAACCCCATCTCTACTAAAAATACAAAAAATTAGCCAGGAGTGGTGGCAGATGCCTGTAATCCCAGCTACTCACGAGGCTGAGGCAGGAAAATCATTTGAATCCAGGAGGCGGAGGTTGCAGTGAGCCAAGATCGTGCCACTTCACTGCAGCCTGTGCAACAAGAGGAAAACTCCGTCTCAAACAAACAAAAAAAACCACCCAAATGTTAGCTGAGTGTAGTGGTGCATGCCTGTAATCCCAGCTACTCAGGAGGCTGAGGCAGGAGACTCGCTTGACCCAGGAGGCGGAGGTGGCAGTAAGCAGAGATCACACCACTGCACCCCAGCCTGGGCAACAAAGCGAGACTGTCTCAAAAAAAAAAAGGAGGCAGGGGAGTTGCAGAGGCTGGACTCTGTTGGGACGTTTATGAGCTTATTCCTAGGATGCTTGGAACATGGCAGGCAGGGACCCATTCCCCCGCCAGGCCCAAGGCAATGTGGCTCTGCTGCCCCCCGGTGGTGAGTGAGGCAGCCTTATGGCCTTTCTCAGTCCCAGATACTTCCTCCCTCCCCTCCCAGTTAAAACTGGTCAAATCTGCTCAGCGGCCTCCAACACACGGGTCCCTCCCTTCATCATGTCCTCACCTGGGGTGGAAGCCAAGGATTTAGACAGAGTCAGATCTGGCCCGAAACCTTCCTAGGATGCTCCTGATAACACATTCTGAGGTCCTATGCCCCTGTTTTCTTCACTAAATGGGGGTGATGGCAGTCTCTGATTCTCAGTGGATGCCTCGACTTGTTCCTGGATGTTGTCCTAGCCACCTCCTTCTCTCTGGCCACCTCCATTCCTGGCCCCAGCAGAACTTTCTCCCCCCAAGGCAGACACAGAGGCTTAAAAAAAATCTCAGGCGGGGTGCAGTGGCTCACGCCTATAATCCTAGCACTTTGGGAAGCCAAGGCGGGTGGATCACCTGAGGTCAGGAGTTCAAGACCAGCCTGGCCAACATAATGAAACCCCACCTCTACTAAAAATACAAACATTAGGCCAGGCTTGGTGGTTCATGCCTGTAATCCCAGCACTTTGAGAGGCCAAGGCGGGAGAATCACTTGAGGTCGGGAGCTCGAGACCAGCCTAGCTAACATGGTGAAACCCCATCTTTACTGAAAATACAAAAATTAGCCGGGAGTGTTGGTGTGTGCCTGTAATCCCAGCTACTTGGGAGGCTGAGGCAGGAGAATCACCTGAACCTAGGAGGCGGAGGTTGCAGTGAGCCAAGATGGTACCACTGGACTCCAGCCTGGGCAACAGAGCAAGATCCCTTCTCAAACAAACAAACAAACAAACAAAAAATTAGCCGGGCGTGGTGGCACGCCTGTAGTCTCCGCTACTCGGAGCCTGAAACAGGAGAATCACTTGAACCTGGGAGGCAGAGGTTGCAGTGAGCCGAGATCATGCCACTGCAGTCCAACCTGGGCGACAAAGTGAGACTGTCTCAAAAAACAAAAACAAAAAACCCACCACCTCAGTCCTGCCACAGGACCTTTGCACATGCAGTACCCACTGCCTGGTGCCAATCTTTCTTTAGCTGTGCCCAGGCCTTGGCTCAAACATCACCTCCCCAAGAGGTCCCTGTCTGAATACATCTTGTTTATCCATTAGTTTTATCACTGAATTCCCTAAGCTGACTGAGAAGTCATTGATGGAGGGACTATGTTTTCTTTATAGCAATGCCTTTAGCACCTGGATCTCAGTAGGTGCCTCATAAGTGCTTGGCGTCTGAAGGAAGGTACCTCCCTGTTGCCCAGCACCCAAATGTGGGCTCTATATTGTTCTCTCTTCTCCCCGTTAAAGGTCTGTGGATGGCCCAGCGTGTGGCTTATGCCTGTAATCCCAGCACTTGGGGAGGCTGAGGCAGAGGGGTTTGCGACCAGCCTGGCCAACATGGTGAAACCCCATCTCTACTAAAATACAAAAATTAGCTGGATGTGGTGGTAGGTGCCTATAGTCCCTGCTACTTGGGAGGCTACAACAGGAGAATTGCTTGAACCCAGGAGGTGGAGGTTGCAGTAAGCTGAGATTGCACCACTGCACTCCAGCCTAGGGGACAGAACAAGACTCTGCCTCAAAAAAAAAAAAAAAAAAAAAAGTCTGTGGAAAGAGTTAAGCAGCTCATTCATACTAAAGTGTAAATGGTTGATGGGCCACATAACTCTAACAGACACCATTGACCTCACATCTGTCCCTCCCTAAACTTTTGCCCAAACCATGAGAGGAGCTCACAAAACTCCTTCCTGTCCTGAAACCTGGCCAGTCACAGAGTCAACCAACTGGCCAGTAGAACCCTCAACAGACCTGGTAGCAAAGCTGTCCCTGATGCTTGGCCCCCGGGGGATGGACTGAATCAGGAAAACTGGCATCTCCTCTCTGAGCCTCAGTTTTCTTAACTGGGAAGTAGGGATCAGGAAAGGGTTAGGGAGCGCTCAGTCACCCTGGTTCTTTTCTCCCGGCGCCACTTTGGTTAATCTCAATTCACAGGGCTCTCGTTGGTGGCCTCTCAGCCTTGGGTGTGCGTGTGTTTTAGAGGGAGGAGCTTTCTCCCTGAGGTCACCACCCAGGAGTCCAGGCCAATTCAGCAGGGAGTGCCCTGAGCCGCTTGGGAATCCGGCACCTGTCTTGGCGAAGTCCTTGGGCAACAGCTTAAGTTCTTCCCTTTCCTTGGCCACCTGTCAGATGCTGGCCTGGCTAAAAATGGAATTTTCCCATTAAGCCCCTAGAACGTATCGCAGTGCCATTATGTGGAGGGGTAAACTGAGGCCCAGAGAGGTGATGTCACCAACCTGCAGTATCTTGAGGAGACCGATGAGTCTGGAGGGTTTCCAAGGCTCTGGGGTGCCAGGGCGATGTCTGCGCCCCGCCCACACGCGCTGTCACTTACCTCCAGGGGTGCAGGCCCAAGGAGGGGCTACAGGGGCTGCAGGGGCTGCTGGGACCCAGCAGGGACGGGCTCTGGCTGCTCGGAGACAGACTGCAAAGAAAGAGGCCGGGGACGGTGAACCTGGCGGCCGCCCCTTCGTGTGGCCGAATCCGGATCTCCGGATGGCGGCTGCGGTTCCCTCAGGGAGTAGGGGCCCAAGACCGGGGATTCTGGGTTCAGCTCAGGACGTGAGGGCGGGGCCAGACCGATGGCCCGGGAGGGCTCCCCGGAGGCGGCGGTGCGTTTCTGGGCGACACGAACAGAGACGTGGGGGGAGGGTAGTTGTCATCCTGTCCTCCCTGCACCCCGCATACCCCCGCCCTGCCCAACACTCACTCGAGGGTCAGCGCCGGGATGTGCAGCTTGTCCCTGCGGGACTTCATGCCGAGGCAGAGGCCGCCTCTGTGCGGCGGGGTACCGACGCCCCCTTGTTGGCCCCCGGAAGCCCTGATCGTGGCGCGAGCGGACCGACGGACGGACACACGGACGCAGGGACAGACGCCTGGCTGGTGCGGCAGACTAGACGCGGGGGCTGGGCCGCTGGGGGCCGGGCTGGCTCCGCCTCGGGGCGGGGATCGCAGCTCCGCACCTGCGCGCAGGCCCGGCCCGGCAGCGAGGGTCGCGCAGCGGGAAAGGGGAGCCGCGGGTGCCGCCCTGTCTGCCGCAGGGACGCCGAGGCCGCCGGCTTGGGAGCCCCCGAGCTGCGCCCCGGAAGGGAAGGGCGGTCACTGGCTCCGCGGTCCGCGCGATTGCTCCATGGCCTGACCCCGCCTCTCCCCGCCCCGGCCCGGCCTCTGCCCTCGCCCCGGCCCTGGGGCTCTCTGGGAGCCGGGATCTGAGCGCAGTCCGCCCCAACTCCCCAACCCCGCATCCCGGCCAGCTGCTCAGCACTGAGGTCCTAACCCGCTCGGGTCTCCGCATCCCCGCGCACACTAGAGGCTCTGACCACACCTCCAGTCCCTGGCTTCCAGCTGTTTCCTCTGCCAGGAAGGTCGCCCCCTCACCCATATACGATCCCAACCCCACCAGCCCCTCCTCCGCCAAGCTGTACCTGCACCCCCACCAGCACCAGGCGCCGCCAGCTCTGTCCTTCCTCCCTCTCAGCGCAAACCCCACGGTCTGGGGGTGTCTGTGTCTCACTCTGGCCCTCTTGAGGCCCCGGTGGACCCAGTGGGGCACAGGGAAGGTGGCAGGGAGTGGACATCCCTTGTGGAGTCTTTGGCTCTGTCCTGCCCCAAGGTCCAGGACTTTGCCCTCGGCAGTCCTCATTGATTCACGGTCCAACACTCTGCCCACAGCTTGGGCCAAGGCTGGAAACAGTGCCGGCTCTCGGGGCAATGTCCCAGTCCCCCAGCAACCCCCAACCACTGGGGCCTTCAAGCACCTCCCCACCAACTGTATCATCCCCACTGGAACAGAAGCAGATGGCCTGGGATTGGGGGCCACTCTGACCCCATTCCCAGGACCTCCTCCTTCTGTCCTGCCACCTCATCTCCACTCACTCCACTCAGCTACCCTTGTCTTCATGCTGTTCTTCTAACGCCAAGCATACTGGCACCCCAGAAACTTTGCCCAAGCTGTTCCTGCTGCTTGGAATGCCATTCTCCCCAGACTTCCCCGCTGCCAGCTCCTCCTCTTCTTCCAGATCTAAGCTCAAAGGTCACTTCCTCCAAGAGGCCCCAGATCTTCAGGATAAAGCCACCCCCAGCACCTCTGTCTCTTTCTCTGGTTGAGCTCTCTCCTGAGTACAAAACTTCAACCATTGCTCTGAGATTGAATTGTCTGTATCCCCTCTGGCTTCAGCAGGGCCCAGTGTACAGCAGGTGCTCAAAAAAATGTTCATTGAGTGATTCCCACCCCCAACTCAGGCAAAAGCAGCTCCCAAAGATGGGGTGTCCACAGTCACACACTTCCAGACCACTAGCTCAAGGAAAACCCCTCCCCACCCCGGCCTTTGGTTTCTTTCATCTGTAAATGAATGAAAGCATTGAACAATAATGTTCTCTAAGATTTGGGGATAAAAAATGGTAACCTAGACTGGGCATGGTGGCTCATGCCTGTAATCCCAGCACTTTGGGAGGTTGAGGCAGGCAGATCGCTTGAGTCCAGGAGTTTGAGACCAGCCTGGGCAACATAGTGAGACCCTGTCTCTACTAAACATACAAGTCAGGTGTGGAGGCTCGCATGTGTAGTCTCAGCTACTCTGGAGGCTGAGGCGGGAGACTCTCTTGAACCTGGGAGGCAGTGGTTGCAGTGAGCCAAGATGACACTACTGCACTGTACTATGTGGGTGACAGAGAGAGAGGGACCCCGTCTCAAAAAGAAAACAAAGCAAAACAAAAAAAAAAAAACCCAACCTACAGGAACACTGATGTGATCCCGAGAGAGATGATTTTTTTCTTTTCTTTTTTTTTAGACAGAGTCTCACTCTGTTGCCCAGACTGAAGTCTGGTGGTGGGAGCCTGGTTCACTGCAATCTTCACCTCACTTCAAGCGAATCTCCTGCCTCAGCCTCCTGAGTACCTGGGATTACAAGCGAGCACCACCACGCCTGGTTAATTTTTTTGTATTTTTAGTAGAGACGGGGTTTCACCATGTTGGCCAGGCTGATCTTGAACTTCTGGCCTCAAGTGATCTGCCTGCCTCAGCCTTCCAAAGTGCTGGGATTACAGGCGGGAGCCACCGTGCCTAGCTGAGAGATGATTTTCTGCTGGTGTTCCCCAAAAGGAAGTGAGCTCCCCGTCATGAGAGGCATTCAAGCCAGTTCTAATACACTTCAGCTGAAATTCAACATCTGGACTCTGGATTCCAGACAAGTTTCTCTCCTTCCCAGCTGAGTGTCCTTAGCTGGTGATGAAACCCCTTTGCACCTCAGCTTCCTCATTTGCAAACTGGCATGGCCTCCCATGTTTGTGGTGAGAGGCCAGGTGCTTGTGAAGCACTTTGCAAACACGAGGGCAAGAATGAACATGAGATGTGTTGCTGTAATTATTAAATACATTCACAATTCAGTGGCTGTTGCTGAAATATCCACTTCCAAGACCACTGGGGCCCACCCAGCCCGCCAGTCCCAGGTGAACTCACCCACGTCCTCGGCGTGGCAGGCTCAGCTCCTTCTGCAATGAGACAGAAATGGGGATCATTCTCAGAGAGACTAGCCCTCAGAACCCCTGGCCGTTGATGCACCCCCACAATCCCCAATCCCATGCCCCAACCAATGCATCTTTCCCGCTCACTCTACACACTGGCTCAGCCCTGCCTCAAGGCCTTTGCGCTATCTGTGCGCTCTCTCAGAACAGCCTTCCCTCCCTTCTGGCCCTAATTAACTGCAGCTCATACTCCAGATCTGAACTCAACATCCTTTCTTCCTGGAGGCCCTCCAGATTCACAGTCTAATTCCCCACCCGGCTCCTACCATACCTGCATTAAAAAATATTTTAGGCTGGGCACGGTGGCTCACACCTGTGATCTCAGTACTTTGGGAGACCAAAGCAGGAGGGTTGTTTGAGCCCAGAAGTTTAAGCCAGATTGGGCAACATAGCAAGACTACATCTCTACAAAACTTTTTAAAAAAATTAGCCAGAGTAGGCCGGGTGCGGTGGCTCACACCTGTAATTCTGGCACTTTGGGAGGCCAAGGCGGATGGATCACTTGAGTTCAGGAGTTTGAAACTAGCCTGGGCAACAGAGTGAAACCCCGTCTCTACAAAAAAAAAAAAAAAAAAAAAAAAAAAAAATTGCTGGGCATGGTGGCTCAAGCCTGTACTCCTAGCTACTTGGGGGGCTGAGGTGGGAGGATTGCTTGAGCCCTGTCTCCAAAAAAAGGCCGGGCCGGTCAGGCGCAGTGGCTCATACCTGTAATCCCAGAGCTTTGGGAGGCTGAGGTGGGCAGATCACCTGAGGTCGGGAGTTCAAGACCAGCCTGGCCAACATGGTGAAACCCCATCTCTACTAAAAATACAAAATTAGCCAGGCATGGTGGTGGGTGCCTGTAATTCCAGCTACTTGGGAGACTAAGGCAGGAGAATCGCTTGAACCCGGGAGGCGGAGGTTGCAGTGAGCCGAGGTCACACCATTGCACTCCAGCCTGGGAAACAAGAGCGAAACTCCATCTCAAAAATAAATAAATAAATAAATAAATAAATAAATAAATAAATAAATAAGAAGGGCCAAGTGCGGTGGCTCATGCCTGTAATCCCAGTACTTTGGGAGGCCAAGGCGGGCAGATCACAAGGTCAAGAGATCAAGACCATCCTGGCCAACATGGTGAAACCCTGTCTCTACTAAAAATACAAAAATTAGCTGGGCGTGGTATTGCACACCTGTAGCCCCAGCTACTCGGGAGGATCGCTTGAACCTGGGAGGCAGAGCTTGCAGTGAGCTGAGATGGTGCCATTGCACTCTAGCCTGGCAACAATGAGAGATTCCGTCTCAAAAAAGAAAAAAAAATTAGCCAGGTGTGGTGTTGCACGCCTGCAATCCCAGCTACTCAGGAGACTGAGGTGGGAGGATTGCTTGACCCCAGGAGTTGGAGGTTGCAGTGAACTATGATAATACCATTGCACTCTAGTCTGGGTGACAGAGCAAGACTCTAAGTCTAAAAAAAATTAATAATAATTTTATTTAAAATTACCAATTAGTTGTATTTATGAAGAAGTATGTCAGTAGTGGCTAAAAACTAATAATCTGTTGAGAAAACAGAGATTCCTGAGTTGTCCTCTCCCTGTCCCATCTCAGATGTCCCTCTCCTCCTGGGTCTAGGTCTGAACGCCATTCTCTCCTCACTCGCTGCAAAGCCTATGCAGGTTTGGGCCCTGGGTACCAGTGGGGGCGTGGGGAGGACGGCTGACGGGTGACTCCCTTTTGAAGACCCTTTTAGAGCTCAGCAAACTGACCTGCACCAACTCTGGGTGCCCTCACCGCATGAAGGATAGAAAGCCGTGAGCTTGTGTTCCACTGTGACCTCACAGTCCATCCTCAGACATGGGCTGCCCAAGAGGGTTTTTTTTTGTTGTTGTTTTTGTTTTTTTGAGACAGACTTTTGCTCTTGTTGCCCAGGCTGGAGTGCAATGACACAATCTCGGCTCGCTGCAACCTCTGTCTCCCAGGTTCAAGCGATTCTCCTGCCTCAACCTCCAGAGTAGCTGGGACTTTTTTTTTTTTTTTTAGAAGAGACAGGGTTTTGCCATGTTACCCAGGCTAGTCTTGAACTCCTGACCTCAGATGATCCACCCACTTTGGCCTCCCAAAATGCCGGGATTACAAAATGCTGGGATTACAGGCATAAGCCACCATGCCTGGCCAAAAAACCAGTTTTTTGTTTGTTTGTTTGTTTGTTTAGATGGAGTCTCACTGTATCGCCAGGCTGGAGTGCAGTGGTGCAGTCTTGGCTCACTGAAACCTCTGCCTCTCGGGTTCAAGCGATTCTCCTGACTCAGCCTCCCAAGTAACTGGGGTTACAGGTGTGTGCCAGCATGCCTGGCTAATTTTTGTATATTTAGCAGAGACGAGGTTTCACTATGTTGCCCAGGCTGGTCTCGAACTCCTGACCTCAAGTGATCCATCCACCTTAGCCTCCCAAAGGGCTGGGATTACAGTGTAAGCCATCGCACCCGGTCAATCACGAGGGTTTATTAAATTCTCAAAATGCCATGTGGCACAAGTTTAGAATCTGGGGACACCCAGACCTGGGTCCAGTTCAATTCTCTGTTTCTTCCTGGCCATGCAAATTATTTGTATGCCCCGTGCCTCAGTTTCCCCATCTGTAACTGGAGATGACGTGAGGAGGGTTCTGGGTTAATCATGATCAGCCATTACTATTGCTGCTGTTGTGTGCTGTTGTACTATTGTTGAGCTCAGCAAGGGACCATGGAAGCTGTCATAATACCTGGTAAATGTCCTTGCATTTACTGAGCCACCTCCTACGAACCGCGGGCAGGGGCTGTTTTACTGGCAGGGAAACTTAGGTGCAGAGGAAAGCCGGCTGCCCACGTCTCTTAGTGGAGTGAGAGGCAGGAAACTGGGTCTCAGGACACCCTCCCTCCACACACATCAGGGCGGCCACGTTGGGGACACACGACTATTTTTACTTTGGTGGGCTCCAGGCTGCCCACGTCGTGATCTGGGTGTTCGCCATAGCAACCAGTGACGCCATCGGCCCCTACAGCCAATTGGAGGGGGCCGGAAGCTGCTGGGCTGCCGGATGACCCAGCTGGGAGGGCAAGGTCTCCCGGGAGAGGCGGGGAAGGGTCGCGGGGGTGTGGCGTTACCCCAGGCCTGACTTCAGCTGCTCTGCGCTCAGAAAACCAAGCTGTCACGATGGGAGGAGAATAATCTACCCCTCGAAGGTCTCTCTGACTGCTTGAATATGTCTGAGGACAGACAACTCACGGCGTTTAGTTCAAGCAGTCATGGTGATGGAACCATCACCACCATCACCGTGGCCATTAGGGTCTCCTTCTTCCCCTTCCAATAGTTGTGGGAATTTTTTTTTTTTTTTTTTTTTTTTTTTTTTTTTTTTTTTTGAGACAGCGTCTGGCTATGTCGCCCAGACTGGAATGCAGTGGTGCAATCTTGGCTCACTGCAACCTCCGCCTCCAGAGTAGCTGGGATTGTGGGCATGTGCCACCACACCCGGCTAATTTTTGTATTTTTTATAGAGATGAGGTTTCACCATGTTGCCCAGGCTGGTCTTGAACTCCTGGTCTCAAGTGATCCACCTGCCTTGGCCTCCCAAAGTGCTGGGATTACAGGCATGAGCCACTGCACCCAGCCAGTTGTGGGATCTTATACCACTTCCTCCACTACCCCACGTGAAACAGGGAGGGATTTGAACCCTGGTGGGGGGTCCCACTTGCACCCCATCCAGGCATTTCCTTCCAAAACTCTGACAGTCCTAGGTTCCCAGTCTGGCTCCCCCACTCCTGCACTGTGTGACCCGACAAGTGACTTAACCCCTCTGTGCCTCAGTTTTCTCATTTGGAAAATGGCCCAGTGACATAGGGTCCCTGGAGGAATCAATGAGTAGCAAGCTCAGAGCCTGGTGCTGGGGGAGACTTGGATGGATGGGAGTCAAGACAATGATCAAGACGTGAATAATAACCACCAGTTGAAAGTTGCTTCCAAAAGACAAAAAGATGTGAATATTTTGTTTGTTTGTTTGTTTTCAGATGGAGACTTGCTCTGTCGCCCAGGCTGGAGGGCAATGGTGCGATCTTGTCTCACTGCAACCTCCACCTCCTGGGTTCAAGCGATTCTTCTGCCTCAGCCTCCCAAGTAAGCTGGGATTACAGGCGCCCACCACCACGCTTGGCTGATTTTGTATTTTTAGTAGAGATAGGATTTCACCATGTTGGTCTGGCTGGTCTTGACCTCCTGACCTCAAGCAGTCCTCCCATCTCGGCCTCCCAAAACGCTGGATTACAGGCATGAGCCACTGTGCCTGGCCTGAAGATGTTTTTTTAAAGTGGCAGAGAGAGGTGAGGCAAAATCGGCAGCTCCCTGCAAAGGCTCCCGGGGAAGCTGGACCACACAGAACTCTCCTGGCACCACTCCCGGACCCTTCGGTCCCCGCACCATCTGCTTTCCACCCACAGCTCCCTCTGTGCCTGCTGTTCCCCTGGGAGTGGTTCCCACCCAGAGGAGTGGAGGTTGGGGAGGCCCCGACCCCCTGAAACTGCCCTTTAAAGGTAATATTTATGGTATACCCGTCTGCGCTTGCCCAGGCTGGGGGATGCTGCCTCCCCAACAAGCTTTAGCCCCACCTTGAGGAAATCCCATTTTGGAGAAGACATAGCACAGCAGGAGCACCCCCATACTGGAGGGATTAAGAGAGACCCGAAGCAGCTGGGTGCTGTGGCTCATGCCTGTAATCCCAGCACTTTGGGAGGCTGAGGCGGGAGGATCACTTAAGATCAAGAGTTTGAGCCAGGTGCGGTGGCTCACGCCTGTAATCCCAGCACGCTGGGAGGCCAAGGTGGGCGGATCACAAGGTCAGGAGTTCAAGATCAGCCTGGCCAACATAGTGAAACCCCGTCTCTACTTAAAATACAAAAATTAGCTGGATGTGGTGGCAGGCGCCTGTAGTCCCAGCTACTCGGTAGGCCGAGGCAGGAGAATCCCTTGAACCCCGGAGGCGGAGGTTGCAGTGAGCCAAGACCACACCATTGTACTCCAGCCTGGGTGACAGAATGAGACTCCGTCTCAAAAAAAAAAAAAAAAAAGGTGGCCGGGCGCAGTGGCTCATGCCTGTAATCCCAGGACTTTGGGAGGCTGAGGCAGGCAGATCACCTGAGGTCAGGAGTTCGAGACCAGCCTGACCAACATGGAGAAACCCCGTCTCTACTAAAAATACAAAATTAGCAGGATGTGGTGGCGCATGCCTGTAATCCCAGCTACCTGGGAGGCTGAGGCAGGAGAATCGCTTGAACTCGGGGGCAGAGGTTGCGGTGAGCCGAGATCGTGCCATTGCACTCCAGCCTGGGCAAGAAGAGCGAAAGAGTGAAACTCCGTTTCAAAAAAAAAAGGCCAGGCGCAGTGGCTAACACCTGTAATCTCAGCACTTTGAGAGGCCGAGGTGGGAGGATCACGAAGTCAGCAGATGGAGACCATCCTGGCTAACACGGTGAAAGCCCGTCTCTGCTAAAAATACAAAAAATTAGCCGGGTGTGGTGGCAGGAGCCTGTAGTCCCAGCTACTCGGGAGGCTGAGGCAGGAGAATGGCATGAACCTGGGAGGTGGAATGAGCGGAGATCACGCCACTGCACTCCAGCCTGGGCGACAGAGCAAGACTCCGTCTCAAAAAAAAAAAAAAAAAAAAAAAGAGTTTGAGGCCATTCTGGCCAACATGGTGAAACACCATCTCTACTAAAAAATATAAAAATTATATTAGTCGGGTGTGGTGGCGCTCGCCTGTAATCCAGCTACTCAGGAGGCTGAGGCTGTGAGAATCGCTTGTATCCAGGTGACGGAGCCTGCAGTGAGCCAAGATGGCGCCACTGCACTCCAGCCTGGGCCACCGCACTCCAGCCTGGGCGACAGGGCAAGATCCTGTCTAAAAAAAGAGAGACTCAAAGGGAGAAGAGGGGTTGGAGGCACACAGAGAGGAGAGCTAAGGGGCTTCCTGGAGTAGGGGGTGTCAAACAAAGCCTGCAGGCACATGGAAAACACCAGTCCATGCCCAGCAAACAGCACGTGCAAAGGGAGGTGAGACTCAGCCTGCTGGGCACCAAGCCCGGTTGGAAGTTCGATGCCCCTGGAATTAAATGGGAGAGAAGTCAGCATGG
Source organism: Homo sapiens (assembly GCF_000001405.40). Lineage (NCBI taxonomy): Eukaryota > Metazoa > Chordata > Mammalia > Primates > Hominidae > Homo > Homo sapiens. The sequence continues at coordinate 18,101,419 of NC_000019.10, read as the reverse complement.
ACCACATGGCACCAGCCCCAGGGCTTCCAGGAGGAGGAGGAGGAGGAGGAGAAGGAGAAGGAGGAGGAGGAGGAGGAGGAGGAAAATAAGTGGAAGCTGTCCATGAGAAAGCAGGATCACCTTGGAGGGCTGAACCTAGAGGAGCCACCCCAGTAGCGGCAGAGACAAAAGTCCAGATACAGGCTCTAGCCCTTCTCTGCCGGGGGATGCTCTGTTTGTGGGACCTGGTGTTTTGAAATTCGGTCATGTGTAAAGCAAAGGTCCAAGTAGGAGATGATAAATGTAATAAGATAATAGTAGTAGTAGTAATAACAGCTCACGTTACCCGGTGCCTGCACACGTTATGCGTGAGGCTGAGTTTAACCCAAATTGGGAAGGTCTCCACCTCCTCCCTGGACCCAGGGCTGTCGCAAACTGGCCGCCCGCGGGCCAGGCCGGATCCTTTTTCAGACCTTTCCTGCACACAGCCAACAGCACGCCTCACATTGTCACCACCGGAGAGGACGCCCTGGGCTATGCGTCTGGATTGGCCGGTCAGCACCCGTTTGTGAATGGACTCTTTGGCCTTTGGCCTCCAGGAAATCTGATTGGCTCGCATCAGCGATCTACCCCCTGATTGGCTGGGGTGCTCCTGGACCATTAACAAGGTTTCCAGTCAAAAGAGACCCCAAACTGGGGCTGATGAAGACAACACCTTCACGTGCCAGATTGGTTAGAATTTCTCTGGCTTCCTGGTGGGTACTTCCCTCTTTGGGCCTCAGTTTCTTCCTTTGAAAAGTGGAACTAATAATAGCACTGACCACTCGGGCTGTTGGGAGAATTGAATGCATGAGAGGGCTTAGCCTGTTAATATGAACGGTTATTCCCACTTTACTATTATTTTATTATTATTTTAATCTTCTTCCACTTGGACCTTTATTTTTATTTTTGAGATAGGGTCTCGTGATCATGGCTCACTATAGCCTCAAACTCCTGGGCTCAAGAGATCCTTCTTGGCTGGGCGCGGTGGCTCACGCCTGTAATTCTAGCACTTTGGGAGGCCGAGGTGGGCGGATCACCTGAGATCAGGAGTTTGATACCAGCCTGGCCAACATGGCGAAACCCCGTCTCTACTAAAAATACAAAAATTAGCCGGGCGTGGTGACATGTGCCTGTAATCCCAGCTACTCGGGAGGCTGAGGCAGGGAGAATTACTTGAACCCGGGAGGTGGAGGTTGCAGTGAGCCGAGATTGCGCCACTGGACTCCAGCCTGGGTAACAGAGCATGATTCTTTCTCAAAAAAAAAAAAAAGAGAGAGAGAGAGAGATCCTTCTGCCTCAGCCTCCTTGAGTAGCTGGGACTACAGTCATGAGCCACCACACCTGGTACACTTAGACTTTCATTCCATGCTCCTTCCTGGCTTCCTGCCCTTTTTGATTCCCCCACTCCTGCTCCTAGCCCTCCAGAGGAGTCTTCCCAGCCCCTCAATATGGGCATGTCCTCTCCTGCTCCAGCACCTTCCATAGCTCCCCATCACCCTAGGGGGAAAGTCTAACCTCTTCAAAATCAGCACTGAAGGCCCTGGAAGCATTAAGTCCTGGCCATCAGCCTCTAGTGCTAAGAAATAGGTTCAAGTTCTTGTTTCCCCATATAAACAGGTAAGAAAGGCTACATGCCTCTGGGCCTTTGCACGTGCTGTGGCCTCTGCCCGGAATGCCCTCATTCAGTCGGGGAATCCGTGCTCATCCCTCCACCTTCGTGGAGGGACGCCTGTGCTGGGTTGGTTTGGAGAGGAAGCCGGAACTGCGTGGGTTCAAATCCTGTCTGACTCTGTCACCTATACTTTGTGAAACCCGGACAGTGGCTATGCTTCTCTGAACCTCAGTTTCCCCTTTTGTAACATAGAACTTACCATCAGGAAATGTTTGACCCCCCCACCATGGAACAGGCCCCACTTCTTGACGTCAGCAGCACCCCCATTCGCCTACCCGGAGGCGGTTTCTCTATTTTAAGAGGCTGCGGGCGGGTTGGCATCTAACTGGGGCTGGAGGCGGGACTGCCCCCCCACCAACACCACGCTGCTCGCCAATCCCGCCCCGCCCCCTCCTTTCCGCCCAAGTCCCCCACTCTTGCCTCTGGCCTCAGCGCCTCCAGTTCTGCCCCACCCCCGCGCGGCCAGAGACCGGGTGTCTCTGATCTGCAGCTCAGCCCGTGCCTTCCCTGACCACTCCCGACCTGGCTTCCCATCACCTGCTGAGTTCGCAGTCCCGCAGCTACCGGTGCGGCTCCAGGTTGGAGACCCGCCGGCCCCATTCCTCTCACCCCCTCAACCCGCCCGGAGCTAACCTCAGTCCCCGACCCCCACCCCACCTGCTCAGTCCTCCCTAGGTTCCAGCTTCTGTCAACCTCTTTCATTTCCCTAAATACCGCCCCCCGCTGCAATGCCTCGCCACCCTTGGCTGCCTCCTCTACCCCAGGGCTCCCAGCAATGACTGGGTCAGGCGCCTCCTTCACTTGCTGTGAGTCCCTTATCACAACTGATCACTCCGTGGGGTCACCGCTGCTCTGGCGTCTACCTCCCCCAACAGGTTGGGGTTTCTAGGAGGGCAGCTCCAGAGGTTGCAGAACACTCCGCTGCCTCTCCAGAGCCAGGCACACAGCAGGCGCTCCATAAATGTTCGTTGGGTAAGTGCTGAATCCCAGGTTCCCTACCTGAAAACTTGGTGGCTTCTTAAGGGTGTGGTCTAAGTCCCAGAGGAAAATGGCCAAATCTTAATTCCTGTTTTTCTTTTCTTATAATGGGGACACTGAGGCCCAGAGAAGTCAAAGGGTGGCTGCCCGGGGTCATGTAGTCCCTGTGTGGCTTCAAACTTAGGCTTCTGCTGTCCCCGACGCCTGTGTCCCTACCTCCTGATGACACAGCCTCCTAAACATAAACTCAGTAAAAGGAGGACCCTATGGCTCATTGGAAAACTGAGGCCCAGAGAAGCAAGGGTGCCCTCCCCCCAGGTCACACTGCTGGTTGGCAGCGCCTTGTGCCGTAAGAGAGCTGGTTGAGGGCGCAGATCGAATCCCAGCTAGGCGACCTCTGGAGAGTGGCTTTCCGGGACTAGAGCCTCAGTTTCCTTATTCTGACAAATGGGCGCCTGACAGCCCCAACCTCCCCAGGTCGTCGTAGGGCTGAGCTGAGGGTGTACAGTGGTGCAGCGACGACCCAAGGAGGTATTAATACATATGAACTCATATTAATACATCGCTAGTAATAGGACTAAAACAACCATGAACATATGGTGAGCTCTCTGGCTGCTGTTGCTAGCATTATTATTAGAACAGCTGGTGGGGAGGGGCAGAGCCCTCAGCCTCTTCCTCCCACGCCATCGCTTGGAGCCTCAGTTTCCCTAGATGTCCAAGGGGGCACCTTCCCCCTTCCCACCATGAGAAAAAGCACTTTGAGAAGCGGGTGGTCAAAAAGAAGCGATCTGAGCGTTCCCCACCCTCTGCCTCAGTTTCCCTACAGCCCGTGAAGGCCCCGCCCCTCCCGGCACCTTTCAGGCCGCGTCCACTTGGCCGCGCCCTCTGCCTTCCGCCCGCCCGCGCAGGGGCCTCACCTGGAGCCCGCGGCGCCGCAGGAGGCTCGACTCGTCCATGGCCCGGGAGTCCGCGCCGCCAGGCCCGCCCCCGGCCCCGCCCCGGCCTGCCAGGCCCCGCCGCCAGGTGCCATTGGCCAGGCCGGTCAGCTGACACGGCCTGGCCCCGCCCCTCCCGGGGAGCCCGACCACAGGGCCCCGCCCCCACTGGGCGAGCTGGCCCCGCCCCTCCAGCAGAGCGCAGAAGTAAATATTTTGCATGAATCCTCTCAGAAGTAAGGCAGCATCGTTCAGCCCCATTTTGCAGATGAAGAAACTGAGGCTAAGATAGGTTAATCAATATGCCCAGCGCATTGGCCGGGCGCAGTGGCTCACGCCTGTATCCCAGCACTTTGGGAGGCCGAGGTGGGCAGATCACTTGAGGTCAGGAGTTCGAGATCACCCTGGCCAACATGGTGAAACCCTGTCTCTACTAAACAAAAAAAACCAAAACAAAACAAAAAAAAAATTACTTGGGGGTGGTGACGCGCGCCTGTAATCCCAGCTACTCAGAAGACTGAGGCAGGAGAATCGCTTGAATCCAAGAGGCGGAGGTTACAGTGAGCCGGGATAGCGCCGCTGCACTCCAGACTGGGCGACAGAGCGAGACTCTGTCTCAAAAACAAAAACAAAACAACAACAAAAAATGTGCCCAGTACACACAGCAGAACGGGTTCTAGGGTGAGGCGAGTGAGGATCTCACCCCTGTGCAAAATTTAAGGTGGCCCCACAAAACTCAGCCATCAAGAGAAATAATATTTTAAAAACATAAAATTAATGAAAACATTTATGATGAACAAAACATCAAAACTTTTATTTTTTATTTTATTTTTAGAGACGGGGATCTCACTATGTTGCCCAGGCTGGTCTTGAACTCCTGGCCTCAAAAGATCCTTCTGCCTAGGCCTCCCAAAGTGTTGGGATTACAGGTGTCAGCCACCGCATATGGCCAAAACACCAAAACTTTTTTTTTTTTTTTTTAATTTATGAGACGAGTCTCTCTGTTGCCCAGACTAGAATGCAGTGGCATGATCTCGGCAACCCCTGCCTCCTGGGTTCAAGCTATTCTCATGCCTCAGCCTCCCTAGTAGCTGGGACTACAGGTGCCCACCACCACACCAGGCTGATTTTTTGTATTTTTGGTAGAGATGAGGTCTCACCATGTTGGCCAGGCTTGTCTCGAACTCCTGGCCTCAGGTGATTCACCCACCTTAGCCTCCCAAAGTTCTGGGATTGCAGGCCAAAGAGTTTTGGTGTTTTGCCTGGCCAAAACACTAAAACTCTTAAGACATGATCAGACCCTTGTCCTTGCACCACTCAGCCTTGTTTGCCTCCCTTTAATCCTGGCCCTGGTGCCAATAAAACTTTACTTACAAAAGCAGGTAGCCGCTGCAGTTGTCAGTTTCTTTTTTGAGGATGATTGCCTTTTTGCCCTAAGTGTCTCATAAACACCATCTCTCACAGATATTTGAAGATAATTGTTCTACTCCATTTTGCAGGAGGGGAAACTGAGGCTGAGAAAAGCCCAAAGTCCCAAAATAGCACCCACATTTAAAAAAAAATTTTTTTTTTGAGACAGGGTCTCTCTCTGTCACCCAGGCTGGAGTGCAGTGGTGCAATCTTGTCTCATTGCAGCCTCTACCTCCCGGGCTCAAGCGATCTTCCTGCCTCAGCCCCCATACCCCAGCTCCCAGAGTAGGTGGGACCACAGGCACATGCCACCATGCCTGGCTAATTTTTTTGGGTTTTTTTTGTAGAGATGGAGTACCGCCATGTTTCCCGCGCTGGTCTCGAACTCCTGGCCTCAAGTGATGCTCCTGCATCAGCCTCCCAAAGCGCTGGGACTACAGGCATGAGCCACTGTGCCTGGCTTAGCACCTGCATTTTTTCTTTCCCTGGGACTCGCACTTTCTCTGCAGCCGCAGTTGTCTTCGGCTGCCCCACTGTACAGTGTGGACACTGGAGTATGCTTTCAGGCTCGAGGGGACCCTAGGAAGGGTCACTGGGCCTGACTGTCCATGAGGTACTGTAGAATTGCATCAAGTTATGGTGGCCAGATTGAGCAAATAAAAATACAGGATGCCAGGGAAAACTTGTTTTTCTCATACAATTTTAAAAATTGACATATAATTCACATACCATAAAATTCACGCTTTTAAAGTGTGCAATAAATTCAGTGTTTTAAGCATACTCACAGAGTTGTGTAACCATCACCACGATCTGATTCCAGGACATTTGTATCATCCCCAAAAGAAACCCTGTACCTATTAGCAGCCAGTCCTCATTCCCCCTCTCTCAGCCCCTGGCAACTACCAATCTGCTTCCTGTTCTATGAATTTTCCTGTGCTGGATATTTCATAAAAATGAAAACATAACATGTGGCCTTATGTGTCTGGCTTCGTTCAGCATCATGCTTTCAAGATGCACCCATGTTGTGGCAAATATCAGTACTTCATTCCGTTTCATGACCAAATAATATTCCATTGTATATATGTACATGTACATTTTGTTGATCCACTCATTTGTTGGTGGTCACTTGGATTTTTTCACATTTTGGTAGCTATTCTGAATAGAGCTGCTATAAACATTGGCATACAACTTTTTGCATAGATTTATTTCTTTATTTATTTATTTTGAGATGAAGTGTTGCTCTGATGCCCAGGCTGGAGTGCAGTCGCGGGATCTTGGCTCACTGCAACCTCTGCCTCCCAGGTTCAATTGATTCTCCTGCCTCAGCCTCCTGAGTAGCTGGGATTACAGACACCCGCCACCACTCCCAGCTAATTTTTGCATTTTTAGTAGAGACGGGGGTTTCACCATGTTGGCCAGGCTGGTCTCAAACTCCTGACCTTTAAGTGATCCATCCACCTTGGCCTCCCGAAAGGCTGGGATTGCAGGTGTGAGCTACCGCCCCCTGCCTTTGTGGATATATTTTGGTTCTCTTGGGTACTTACCTAGGAATGGACTTCCGGGGTCATATGGTGTAACTCTATGTTTTGGGTTGTTTTGTTTTGTTTTGGGACAGGGTCTTGCTCTTTCGCCCAGGCTGGAGGGCGGAGTAGCTGAGACTACAGGCACATGCCGCCATGCCCAGCTAATTTTTTGTATTTTTTGTAGAGACAAGGTTTCGCCATGTTACCCAGGCTGATCTCAAAATCTTGGGCTCAAGCGATCCTCCTGCCTTGGCTTCCCAACGTGCTGGGATTACAGGCATGAGCCACTGCGCCCAGCAACTCTATATTTTAAATTTGTAAAAGACAACCAGGCTGTTTTCCAAAGCAAACACCCAGTTAAATTTAAATTTCCATAAACAATGAATGTTTTTTCAGTGTAAGTATGCCCCCTTCAGTACTTGGGACATAGTTGCATTAAACAACAATGTGTTGGCCGTGTGTGCTGGCTCATGTCTGTAATCCCAGCACTTTGGGAGGCTGAGGTGGGTGGATCATCTGAGGTCAGGAGTTTGAGACCAGCCTGGGCAACATGGTGAAACCGCGTCTCTACTAAAACTACAAAAATTAAGGGGGCGTAATGGGGCACGCCTGTAATCCCCGCTACTCGGGGGGCTGAGGCAGGAGAATCACTTGAACCTGGGAGGCAGAGGTTGCAGTGAGCTGAGATAGTGCCAGTGCACTCCAGCCTGGGTGACAGAGCGAGACTCCATCTCAAACAAAACAAAACAAGACAAAACAAAACACAAACCAATATGTTGGTTGTCTGAAATTCCAATTTAACTGGGAATTTAATTTAAATGTTATTTAATGAATAATGACTACGAGTGAGTTTGTTAAATGAATGAATAGATTTTCTCCTGGCAAACTCCTATGCATCCTTCAACACCCTCTTTAGATGACCCCTCAGGGGCATCAGGGTCTCTTGGCCACATGGAGGGAAGCTCCCCACTCTTCGGGCTGAAGGTCCCTGAGAAGGCAGAAGTCAATGGGGGTGGGGAAGTCGTGTGTTTTATCTGGCAGTCCTACACTAAGTGAACTTCAGGCTGTAGCTTGCACACCCCAAGTGATGAGAAGCTCATGTCCTGCAATGGCCAATTGTTCTGACTCTGGGCAGCTCTGCCTCAAAGTTCTCCCTTAGTCCAGCCTGGGGTGGACATGTGACTCAGACTCGTTTATCCACCTCAGCCACTGTGATTGGTTCAAGGTGTACATGTGACCCAAGCTCAGCCTATCAGAGCCCTCCCTGGGGCTTTGACTGGAATCCTGGGGAAAGAGAGGTTCCCTGAACCAGGGTTGGGTTGGGCATGTGGGAACATGCTGGAGAGAGCCACCAGAGAGGTCTCAAATCCGCTGCTCCATCTGGAGAATTCCTACACTGAACTGCCTCCTGAACAACCCCTCAGTGGGCAAGAAGGAGTGCTTATTGAGTGACTGACTGGACTGACTGAATGAATGAATGCAGTTTTTCTGTGGTTAACACACACACACACACACACACGCACACACACAAGTATATATATATATATATTTGTGTTTTTTTGTTTTTTGTTTTTGAGACAAAAGTCCAGCTCTGTTGGCCAGGCTGAAGTGCAGTGGAGCAATCTCGGCTCACTGCAACCTCCGCCTCCTGGATTCAAGCAATTCTCCTGCGCTCAGCCTCCCGAGTAGCTGGAATTACAGGCACCTGCCACCACACCCGGCTAATCTTTGTATTTTTAGTGGAGACAGGGTTTCACCATGTTTGCCAGGCTGGTCTCAAACTCCTGACCTCAGGCGATCCACCCACCTCAGCCTCCCAAAGTGCTAGGATTACAGGCATGAGCCACTGTGCCCGGCCTAACATCTATATATTCTTCAAAATCCACTTCAAATTCTCTTTGAGAAGTATCAGAGGACCTTGTATTGAATGAACAAATACATTTTATTCTTGTGAGCTTCTATGTACCCATCAAAACTCTCCTCACATGTCTCTATAAGGGACATCAGGAAGTGTGGTGGTTGAATGAACTTTTTTCTTGGTAACCTCCTGAGTCTTCCTTAAAACATCCTCTAATCTGTTTGGGAGCGGTGGCTCATGCCTGTAATCCCAGCACTTTGGGAGGCTGAGGTGGGAGGATCCCTTGAGACCAGGAGTTTGAGACCAGCCTAGGCAACATAGTGAGACCACATTTCTTTTTTTTTTTTTTTTTCAGACAGAGTTTTGCTCTTGTCTCCTAGGCTGGGGTGCAGTGGCACAATCTCAGCTCACTGCAACCTCCGCCTACCAGGTTCAAGCGATTCTCCTGCCTCAGCCTCCTGAGTAGCTAGGATTACAGGCGCGTGCCACCATGCCTGGCTAATTTTGTATTTTTATTTTATTTTATTTTTTTGAGACAGAATTTCACTCTTGTTGCCCAGGCTGGAGTGCAATGGCACGATCTTGGCTCACCGCAAACCCCGCTTACCAGGTTCAAGTGATTCTCTTGCCTCAGCCTCCCAAGTAGCTGGGATTACAGACAGGAGCCACCATGCCCGGCTAATTTTGTATTTTTAGTAGAGACGGGGTTTCTCCATGTTGGTCAGGCTAGTCTCGAATTCCTGACCTCAAGTGATCTGCCCACCTCGGCCTTCCCAAAGTGCTGGGATACAGGCATGAGACCACATTTCTACCAAAAACTGAAAAAAAAAAAAAAAAAGCTGGATGGTCGAGGGGCGGTGGCTTACGCCGGTAATCCCAGCCCTTTGGGAGGCCGAGGCCAGCAGATCACTTAAGGTCAGGCATTTGAGACCAGCCTGGACAACATGGTGAAACCCCATCTCTACTACAAATACAAAAATTAGCTGGGTGTGGTGGTGCATGTCTGTAATCCCAGCTACTCAGGAGGCTGAGGCAGGAGAATTGCTTAAACTCAGGAGGCGGAGGTTATAGTGAGCTGAAATCGCACCACTGCACTCCAGCCTGGGTGACTGAGCAAGACTCTGTCTCAAAAGTAAAAAAAAAAAAAAAAAAAAGAAAAGCCAGGCATCATGGTGGCATTGGCCTGTGTCTCAGCTATATCAGAGGCTGAGGTAGAAGGATAGCTTGAAACTGGGAGGTTGAGGCTGCAGTGAGCTATGATTGTGTCACTGCACTCCAGCCTGGGTAACAGAGTGAGACCCTGTCTCAAATAAAAATAATAATTAAACATCCTCAAATGATCCCTCAGAGGCATTAGAAAGTCCTGATTGAATGATGAAAATTGTTCTTGTTGATGAGTGATGCCTATGAGTTTGTTAAATTAACAAATGGGTTGTCTCCTGGCTAACTCCTATGCATCCTTCAACACCCTCTTTAGATGATCCTCAGCGACGTTAGGGTCTCTTGCCACATGGAGGGAAGCTCGGCCCTCCTCCTCGGGCTGAAGGTCTCTCTCCCTGAGAAGGCGGAAGCTGAGGAGGTGGGGAAGTGCTGTGGTTCCTCCCGTCATGTTTTCTGGGGCCCTCGTGACTCGATCCTTCCTGCTTCACCCGCCCCCGAGTCTGTGGGGCACCTGAAAGTGGGGCAGCCCTGGGAACTTATCTCAGACGAGCTTCTGGGGCAGCTGGGTGGGGCCATAAGGGGCCCACAGGGCCTCTTGGCAGGCCTAGAGACGGAGGGAAGGAGGTGGGCTTGCCAAGATGTGGCAAGGGGAAGGTGGGATGTGGGGAACTTCAGAGGGAGTGTCAGGTTGTGACTTCAATAAGGGGAGAAATACCACTTCACCTTTGTCTGGGGTACCCCTCCAGCTCACACACCTGCCATGGCTCCCTACCGCCCTCGGAGAAAGCCAGGCCCTTTAGCCTGGCGCTCGAGGCCCCAGCCCATCACCCCACAGAAACCCAGACCCACTGTGTCCATCTTGGTGGTCCCCAAAGCACCTCCTCTGGACTTTTGCCTCTGCTGTGGCCTCTGCCGGAGATGCCCTGTAATTCTATACATTCTAGCTCAAGTGTCCCTCCTCCAGGCAGTCCTCCCTGCTCCACTTCAGGGCACCCGGCCTCCATCTGTTCCTGATCCCAAGGGGCTAGGGGCGTCTGTGTCCAGCTTTTCACCTCCCCAGCCCTGTATCTCCCTCCCTCGATGTTTTTCCAGCAGCTGCCAGGCAGAGGCCACTGGGGAACAACAACAATGACTAATCACACTGGCCAGCGGGTGGACAGCGCTCACTGCAAGCCAAGCCCTCCTTCATACTCACAAAAGCCCATTTTGCAGGTGGGAAAGATGAGGCCTGAGAGGGCCAACCTTGGTGCGGGTGGGGGAAGCCCTGAGGCACGGTCTCCACTCTGGAAGGGGCAAAACTATACTCCACAAGGGGTGGTTTGAATCCATCTCTTCATCTCCAGCTGGGGCCTCAGGTGGTCTGAGTGCCCCTGGACTCAGTTTCCCAATCTGTGAAATAAGGCAAGTGAGGGACTCTCCAGGAATTGGTGGAGTTGGGAGGGTCTCAGGATGGTCAGGAGGGGGCCATGACTTTCCTCTGATCTCTACCTATTTCCTCCACCTTTCTTGTTATTTTTTGAGCAGGGTCTTGCTCTGTGGCCCAGGCTGGAGTGCAGTGGCGCAATTAGAGCTCACTGCAGTCTCGACCTCCCTGGCTTAAGCCTCAGCCTCCCAGGTAGCTGGGACTACAGGCACCTGCCACCATGCCCAGCAAATTATTTTTTGTAGAGATGGAGTCTCACCATGTTGCCCAGGCTGCTCTTGAACTCCTAGCCTACAGCAATCCTCCTGCCTTGGCCTCACAAAGTGCTGGATTACAGGCATAATCCACCCTGCCTGGCCTCCTCCATCTTTATGTATCTCTCTATCTCTGTCCCTTTCTCTGTCTCTGCCCCTCCCCCAGGCCTCACACATCCATCCCCCAGCTGACCCTGGCCTGGGCCCCGGGGCCAGAGAAGGCTGTCCTGTATGGGGTCACAGGGCCCCCGTCCCCACTGTGCCAGGCCCAGGACACTGAGTCTTTGTCCCTAACTCACTGACCTCATAGCCTGCTGGGCGCCTGACCCTGGCCAGCTCAGCTGCCCCTCGGAGCCAGGCTTCTTGAAGGAGGGACCTCCTCCCAGGAAGCTGAACCGCATTGCACAACCCTGGCCACTTGGGCCTCAGTTTCCACAGATGCTCATCCCCAGGAGAGACCCTCTCCTTCTCCCTCCTCAGTGCCCCTGGACTCTAAGAATATTTCTTTTTTCTGTAGATGCATCTCACGTAACCTAAAATTCATCTTTTTTTTTTTTTTTGAGACATAGTCTCACTCTCTCACCCAGGTGGGAGTGCAGTGGTGTGATCTCGGCTCACTGCAACCTCTGCCTCCCGGGTTCAAGCGATTCTCCTGCCTCAGCCTCCTGAGTAGCTGGGATTACAGGTGCATGCCATCACGCCCAGCTAATTTTTGTATTTTTAGTAGAGACTGGGTTTCACTGTGTTGTCCAGGCTGGTCTCGAACTCCTGACCTCAAATGATCCACCTGGCTCGGCCTCCCAAGTGCTGGGATTGCAGGAGTGAGCCACCGCGCCCGGGCCGGAAATTCATCATTTTAAAGCAAACGATTCAGTGACATTTAGCACATTCAGTGTTGTGCAACCACCACCTCTATCTGGTTCCAGAACATTTGCATCACCCCAAAAGGAAACCCCGCATACATCAGCAGTCACTTCTCACTCCCGCCTCCCCCCAGCCCCTGACAACCACTCAGCTACTGTCTGCCTCTGTACATTTGCCTATTTTGGATATTTTATATAAGTGGAATCATACAGTGTGTGCCTTTCCTGTCCATCTTCGTCCACCCAGCATGATGGGTTTTTTTTTTTGTGTATGTGTGTTTTTTTTTTTTTGAGATGGAGTCTCACTCTGTCACCCAGGCTGGAGTGCAGTGGCACGATCTCAGCTCACTGCAACCTCTACCTCCCAGGTTCAAGTAATTCTCTCTGCCTCAGCCTCCCGAATAGCTGGAATTACAGGCACATGTCACCAGGCCTGGCAAATTTTTGTATTTTTAGTAGAGACAGGGTTTCGCCTTGTTGGCCAGGCTGGTCTCAAACTCCTGACCTCAGGTGATCCGCCCACCTCGGCCTCCCAAAGTGTTGGAATTACAGATGTGAACCACTGCACCCAGCCCAGCATTATGTTTTTGAGGGTTCATCCACATGGTAGCTTGGATCAGAGCTTCTCCACTGACATTTAGAGGCTTTGCCGACAGTGGGGAGGGAGGGGCAGGAAACAAAATACTCAGAGGCTAAGAAATGGAACATGGGGGAAAGACTAAGTTGCATCTCTTAAATTTTTTTTTTTTTTTTTTTAAGAGACAGGATCTTGCTCTGTTACCCAGACTGGAGTGCAGTGGCACAATCACGATTCACTGCAGCCTCAACCTCCTGGGTTCAAGCCATTCTCCCACCTCAGCCTCCTGAGTAGCTGAGAATACAGATGTGTGCCACCACGACTGGCTAACTTTTAATTTATATATATATATATATTTTGAGATGGAGTGTCACTCTGTTGCCCAGGCTGGAGTGCAGTGGCGCGATCTCGGCTCACTGCAACCTCCACCTCCTGGGTTCAAGCGATTCTCCTGCCTCAGCCTCCTCAGTAGCTGGGATTACAGGTGCCTGCCACCACACCCGGTTAATTTTTGTATTTTCAGTAGAGACAGGGTTTCACCATTTTGGTCAGGCTGGTCTCAAACTCCTGACCTCGTGATCCACCTGCCTTGGCCTCCCAAAGTACTGGGATTACAGGCGTGAGCCACCGCGCCTGGCCTAATTCTTTATTTTTTATAGAGATGGGGTCTTGCTATGTTGTTTAGGTAGACCCAAACTCCTGGGGTCAAGTGATCCTCCCACCTCGACCTCTCAAAGTGCTGGGATTAGAGGGGTGAGCCCAGGTGCACAAGGCTGGAGCTTGGCATGTGGGGAGGTGGGCATTGTGGAGGGCCAGCATGCTGCAAGCTCTTTGTAACAATTTGTTGGAAGGATGAAATTAGGCCATCCAAGAACACTGCCCTCCTTCAGCTCTTGAGTCTCAGATTCAGAAGCTGGCGAGATGGCCCGGTGCGGTGGCTCACGCCTGTGATCCCAGAATTTTGGTAGGCCAAGGCGGACGGATCATTTGAACCCGGGAGTTTGAGACCAGCCTGGGCAACATGGCAAAACCCCCTCTCTTAAAAAAAAAAAAATGCAAAAATTAGCTGGGCGTGGTGGTGCATGCCTGTAGTCCCAGTTCCTGGGGAGGCTGAGGTAGGAGGATGGCCTGAGCCTGGGGAGGTTGATGTTGCAGTGAGCCGTGATTGCACCACTGCACTACAGCTGGGCCACAGATCAAGACCCTATCTCAAAAGAAGAAAAAAAGAATTTGGCAGCCAGGCACGGTAGCTCACGCCTGTCATCCCAGCACTTTGGGAGGCTGAGGTGGGTGGATCACTTAGGGTTAGGAGTTCGAGACCAGCCTGGCCAGCATGGTGAAACCCTGTCTCTACTAAAAATACAAAAATTAGCTCGATGTTGTGGCAGTTGCCTGTAATTCCAGCTACTCGGGAGGCTGAGGCAGGAGAATTGCTTGAACCCGGGAGGCAGAAGTTGCAGTGAGTGGAGATCATGCCACCACACTCCAGCCCGGGCGACAGAGCAGGGCTCCATCTCAAAAAAAAAAAAAAAAATTGGCTAGAGAGGGCCAGAGACCTGGCCAAGTGCATGGAACCACAGGTGGCCCATGGGCCCATGGGGCTGGCATCTGGGTGTTCAGTTCAGGTCTGGGGCCAGCAGGGCAGAACCCCCTAGAACCCTGACTTGCTCCAAAGTCAGACTTGCTCCAGAGTCTGTGGCCGCCACCATCACCACCACCACGGAGCTGACTTCCTGGGTTTCTCTTTCACTTTGACTTGCCTTAGGGATGGGCTGTGACACTTTACTTTTTTTCTTTTTTCTTTTTTTTCAGTCTTTTCTCCTTGCTCAGCTTCAATGTGTTCCGGAGTGGGGACGGGGTGGCTGAACCTCGCAGGTGGCAGAGAGGCTCCCCTGGGGCTGTGGGGCTCTACGTGGATCCGATGGAGCCGCTGGTGACCTGGGTGGTCCCCCTCCTCTTCCTCTTCCTGCTGTCCAGGCAGGGCGGTGAGTCCCCTGACCCTGGCATGGCGGCTCCTCTTGCTGGGTGGAGGCACGTGTATGTGTGGAGAGCTGTGGGCCTGCTGTGTGGGTTGGTTTCATCTCTCTGTGCCTCAGTCTTTCCTGCTGTCAAATGGGAGATGGGCAGTCATGGCTTCTGGGATCGAACTTAGACATCTTTCCTCTGGTCTAGATTTTCTCTTCTGTGAAATGCACTAAATTTTTTCCACCTCCCGGAGTTCAATGAGAAAAAAAACTAAGGAAGGAATAAAAAGCAAGTATGTATCTAATAGGTATACATAGTATAGTATCTTATGTATGTAGTTTACAATAGATAGACATACATAATATAATGTATACAGTCATTTCCATATTTACGGGGCAATGGTTCCAGGACCCTCTGCAGATACCAAAATCCAAAGATGCTCAAGTTCCTGATATAAAATGGTAAAGTATTTGCATATAACCTATGCACATCCTTCCGTATACTTTACTTATTTATTTATTTATTTATTTATTTATTTATTTATTTATTTATTTACTGAGGTAGGGTCTCACTCTGTGTCCCAGGCTGGAGTGCAGTGGCCTAATCATAACTCATTGCAGCCTTGACCACCTGGGCTCAAGTGATCCTCCTGCCTTAGCCCCTTGAGTAGCTGGGACTGCAGGTGCACACTACCATGCCTGGTTAATTTTTTTGGTGTATACTTTTTACAGAGACAGCGTCTCGCTGTGTTGCCCAGGCTGGTCTCGAACTCCTGGGCTCAAATGATCCACTCACCTTGGCCTCCCAAAGTGCTCAGATTACAGGCATGAGCCACCATGCCCAGCCTTCCCATATACTTTTAATAATCTCAGGCCCTGCACGGTGACTCACTCCTGAAAATCCAGCACTATGGGAGGCCAAGATGGGTGGATCACTTGAGGTCAGGAGTTCGAGACCAGCCTGGCTAACATGGTGAAACCCCATCTCTACTAAAAATGCAAAAATTAGCCAGGCTTGATGATGGGCACCTGTACTCCCAGCTACTTAGGAGCTGAGGTGGGAGGATCGCTTGAACCCAGGAGGCAGAGGTTGCAGTGAGCCGAGATTGCAGCACTGCATTCCAGCCTGTGTGGCAGAGCAAGACTCTATCTCAATAATAATAATAATAAATAAACTTTCCTTCTCTGTACACTGGGGATCAGCGGGGTGCTGACTTTTTCAATGGCTCTTGAGATGCACTGAGTGCCTGTAGAATGCCCACAGCAGTGCTGGCCACACCTCAAGGTCCCAGCGCCTTCAGGGGCCAGGCATGGCTGGAGACCAGCAGCAGGGAGGGGGCGAGAGGCAGCCCACGAGGTATCCTGGAGATAGTGGCAGTGAGTGGTCAGTCCAGGGAAAGGGAAGGAGGATGGGCTTTAGGCTCTCAGGGGTGGGTGGGTGGGTGGGGGTTCTGTGTCATCACAGAGAGAGATGGAAGGATGGAGAGCCTTGTGTGTTAAGCATCTTTCCCCCCTCAAGGTTGGACACTTGGGGCTGTTTCCTGGGGTGCCGCCTTCTCCCCCAAGGCTTCCAATCTGCCTGCAGGGCTCAGGACAGGTCCTTCTTGTGGGAGTGAGGGCGCCGGGGTCTTCCTGACCCATCCATGGTGGCATCCCCCTCCTTCTCTCACCCAGTTCCACACCTAGCAGACTGTGGCAATCCCAAAGGGCACGGGGATCCCAGTGGCTGAGGGAGGTCGCTGCCTCCTGGAGAAATGTTATTAATAATTGCCCTGACTGCTAGTGGGCCAAGTGTGCTTGCCTGGGCCAGCCCTGGCAGGCCTCTCCCTGCCATGCACCCTCTACTGTCTTTCCCCATGCTGGCTTCAGACACTGGTGCCACCCCAGGCACACCTCCACTTCTCTCTGCCCTCCAGACTGTTGGTCTTACTGTTCTTTCCTGCAGGGGTACCTCCCGAGAGTGTCTCCCAAATATGCATCTCAACCTCTGAGGACTAAAGGGTGGTGGATGAATGGATAGACAGGTGGATGGGTGGGTAAATGAATGGATGGATGAATTAATAAATACATGTATGTATGTATGGATGGATGGATGGATGGATGGATGGATGGATGGATGGCTGGATGGATATATCGGTAGGTAGATAAATGGATGGATGGGTGGG
The DNA here is from genome assembly GCF_000001405.40 of Homo sapiens. NCBI lineage: Eukaryota > Metazoa > Chordata > Mammalia > Primates > Hominidae > Homo > Homo sapiens. The sequence goes on along the minus strand of NC_000019.10, from coordinate 18,084,615 downwards.
TGTATGGATGAATGAATACGTGGATGGATAGATGGATAGATTGGTGACTAGATGGATAGATGGATGGTTGGGTGAATGGATAATGGATTAATGAATGCATGGATGCATGGATAAATACATGGATGGATGGATGGATGGATGGACTAATGAATACATGGATGGATGGGTGAATGGGTGGATGGTGGGATGGATGGATGGATGGATGGATGGATTAATACATGGATGGATGGATGAATGGACGAATGGACGGATAAATGGGTGGATGGTGGGGTGGATGCATGGATTAATACATGGATTGATGGATGGATGGATGGATGGATGGATGGATGGATAGATGGATGGGGGGTGGATGGATGGATGGATGAATACGTGGATGGATGGACGGATGGTGGGGTGGATGGATGGATGTATGAATACGTGGATGGATGGATGGTGGGGCAGATGGATGGATGAGTAGATGGATGAATGAACACATGGATGGATAGATGGATGGGTAGATGCGTGGATGGATGGATGAATACATGGATGGATAAATACATGGATGGATGGGTAAATGGGTGGATGGTGGGGTGGATGGATGGATGGATGGATGGATGGATGGATGGGTAGATGGGTGCATGGATGGATGAATACATGGATGGATGAATACATGGATGGATGGGTGAATGGGTGGATGGTGAGGTGGATGGATGGATGGATAGATGGGTGGATGGATGAATGAATACATGGATGGTTGGATAGATGGATGGGTAGATGAGTGGATGGATGGATGAGTACATGGATGGATGGATGGGTAGATGGGTGGATGGTGGGGTGGATGGATGATGGATGAATACATGGATGGATGGATGGATGGATGGATGGATGGATGGGTGAATGGATGAATTCATGGGTGGATGGATGGGTAGATGGTGGACGGATGAATAAATACATGGATGGATGGGTAGATGGGCAGATAAATACATGGGCAGATGGATGGATGGGTGGTGGTAGGAGGGTGCATAGATGGGAAAGTGGGTGGGTGGGAGGGCTGATGATCACTTGGGTGTAGACCCCAAGGCTGAGCCCTTCTCCCCACACAGTGCAAGGCCAGGAATGTCATTATGTCTTCATTGCCTTTGCAGCTGCCTGCAGAACCAGTGAGTGCTGTTTTCAGGACCCGCCATATCCGGATGCAGACTCAGGTTCGGGGCAGTTCCTCATTGTTGGCTGAGGATTATGTAGGGCTCTGCCTGACCCCATCCACAGCGGCCCCTCCCATGGCCTCCACCACCAGGCCAAAGACCCAGCCCTGCCTGTGGTCTTGGGAGTCCCCACCCCACCACCTGCTGGCCCATTCTTACCAGGTTCAAGTTGCCCTGGAGTAGCCAGCCGCCTCTCTGAACATTATCACTTCCCTAGCATGGTCTCAGGGCTGGTGTCTGTGTCCGTTCAGATTGGTCGGTACATGGGAGAAAGTACCTGTTAAGCATTTTGAAGCCCCCCCCCCAACCTGATAAATTATTAGAACATTTATTTCATTTATTTATTTTTGAGACGGAGTCTTGTTCTGCTGCCCAGGTTGGAGTGCAGTGGCCTGATCACAGCTCACTGCCACCTCCACCTTCCAGGTTCAAGCTATTCTCCAGCCTCAGCCTTCCAAGTAGCTGGGATTACAGGTGCCCGCCACCACACCCGGCTAATTTTTGTATTTTTAGTAGAGACCAGGTTTCACCATGTCGCCCAGGCTGGTCTTGAACTCCTGAGCTCAGGTGATGGTGAGCCACCTGCCTCAGCCTCCCAAAGTGCTGGGATTCCAGGAATGAGCCACCGTGCCCGGCCATATTGTCGGAACATTTATGCTCCTAATGCACCCTGAAAAGGGTCTGAACACTAAGCAGACACGCTGTCCATTCTTTTGTTTGATAACGATTTACTGAGCATCTTCTATGTGCGGACACAGTTCTAGACATAGGCAACTGGCTATGAGCTCAACTAACTTCCCAAGACCACAGCCTAGTGGAAGAGATAGACAACAGGCAAACAAATGTCTATCACAAATGTGATGATGTGTTTTGAAGAACCAGAGGAGGAAAGTTGGGGCCCTGGGGACCCCCCAAAAAAAAACACCAGAGGAGGGTGAGGGATAGAGAGAGAGGTGGCAGGACATCTGGCCTCTGTGAGGACAAGTTAGGAGGCTGAGGATTCGGAATAGGTTGAGGTGAGAGACGGCAGGGGATGAGGTAGGAAGGACGCGGGGAGGGTTTAGGCTGAGGTGACGCTGAAAGATGTAAGCATCACAAAGATTTGTCTTAGGCACGAAGACCCCTCCAGACTCTGGTCTGTTCCCAAGCCTACAGGATCTCTTCCAGGCTCGGCCTCGGGCCCTAGGGACCTGAGATGCTATCGGATATCCAGTGATCGTTACGAGTGCTCCTGGCAGTATGAGGGTCCCACAGCTGGGGTCAGCCACTTCCTGCGGTGTTGGTGAGGACCCCTCTACCATTCCCAAACCCTCACCCACCATCCCACTCTTGCTTCAACCCCCTCTGGTGCCCCTACTCTCGGATGCGTGATCTTGGCTGGGTCAACACTCCTTCCTGGGCTTCAGTTTCTCATCTAAGAAGAGAGAGTTGGAGGATTGTGGTGGGGGGTTGGTCAGTGAAGGTAGGCATCCCAGGGTGGGTGGCCATGAGGGTCTCTCTAGTCCTTTTTTCTTCTTCACCCTTTCACTTATCCACCCATCCAACCATCCATCCATCCATCCATCCATCCATCCATCCATCCATTTTTTCTTTTTTCTTTTTTTCTTTTTTTGAGATGGAGTCTTGCTCTGTTGCCCAGGCTGGAGTGCAGTGGCATGATGTCAGCTCACTGCAACCTCTGCCTCCTGAGTTAGAGTGATTTTCCTGCCTCAGCCTCCTGAGTAGCTGGGACTATAGGCACACGCCACCACACCTGCTAATTTTTGTATTTTTAGTAGAGACAGAGTCTCACCATGTTGGCCAGGCTGGTCTTGAACTCCTGGCCTCAGGTGATCCACCCCCCCTTGGCCTCCCAAAGTGCTGGGATTACAAGCGTGAGGCACTGCGCCCAGCCCTTTCATTCGTTTCTTCGCTGTGTGGTGCAGTCCTTGCTGGGAGATACTGGGGTCCCTCAAACCCCTCCAGTCCCAGACTGATCTCCAAGGAACCCCCAGGCTGGGGGAGGAGGTGTACAAGGGACAGAAAAGGATGCTGGGGGCTGGGCACGGTGGCTCACGCTTGTAATCCCAGCACTTTGGGAGGCTGAGGTGGGCGGATCACTTGAGGCCAGAAGTTGGAGACCAGCCTGGCCAACATGGTGAAACTCCATCTCTACTAAAAATACAAAACTTAGACGCATGTGGTGGCATGTGCCTGTAATCCCAGCTACTAGGGAGGCTGAGGTGGGAGAATTGCTTGAACCAGGGAGGTGGAGGTTGCAGTGAGCCGAGATTGCGCGACTGCACTCCAGCCTGGGTGACAGAATGAAACTCCATCTCCAAACAAACAAACAAACACCAAAAAAACGATGCTGGGATGTGATGCACAAAGTCGGCTGTGGGGTCCACTAGGACCCCAGACTCGGCACTGACACCCTCCTTCCTGCTGCAGCCTTAGCTCCGGGCGCTGCTGCTACTTCGCCGCCGGCTCAGCCACCAGGCTGCAGTTCTCCGACCAGGCTGGGGTGTCTGTGCTGTACACTGTCACACTCTGGGTGGAATCCTGGGCCAGGAACCAGACAGAGAAGTCTCCTGAGGTGACCCTGCAGCTCTACAACTCAGGTTAGCACCTTGTTCTCCCCCCGTCCGTTTTTTACCCAGAGAGGCCATCAGGCTGCAAGGCTGGAGCTAGAGAGGATTCCTGGCCCTTGGCAAGGGACTTGATACTACTAGCCATTGTCACTTCACGTAGTGTCACGCAAACACTATTGTGACAAAGCAGTCTTTCATGGTCCCCTTACCAATCCCCTATTCGTGGGCACTTAGATTGCTTCTGGTTTCTCTCTGCTAGCCATAATGCTGCCAAGACCTGGTTGGGTTCTTATTATCTGTTCTCATGACTCGACATCATGTATTTTGCCGGGTGCGGTGGATCACGCCTGTAATCCCAGCACTTTGGGAGGCTGAGGTGGGTGGATCACAAGGTCAAGAGATCGAGACCATCCTGGTCAACATGGTGAAACCCCATCTCTATTAAAAATACAAAAATTAGCCAGGAGTGGCCACGCGCGCCTGTAGTCCCAGCTACTGGGGAGACTGAGGCAGGAGAATCGCTTGAACCCGGGAGGTGGAGGTTACAGTGAGCTGAGATTGAGCCACTGCACTCCTGCCTGGCGACAGAGCAGGACTCCATCTAAAAAACAACAGCAACACACAAAAAAGCCAAAAAAATTTGCCTGGTGTGGTGGTGCATGCCTGCAATCCCAGCTACCCAGGAGGCTGAGGCGGGAGAATGGCTTGAATCCAGGAGGCAGATGTTGCAGTGAGCTAAGATCAAGTCACTGCATTCCAGCCTGAGTGACAGAGCAAGACACTGTCTCAAAAAAAAAGAAAAAAAAGAAAAAAGAAAAGAAAAGAATGAAGGAAAACATGTCATTTGCCACAACATGGACAAAGCTGGAGGACATTACGCTGAGTGAAGTAAGCCAGGCACAGAAACAAAAACATTTCATGATCTCACTTACATGTATAATCTTTTTTTCTTTTTTCTTTTTTTTGAGATGGAGTTTCGCTCTGTCGCCCAGGCTGGAGTGCAGTGGCGCGATCTCGGCTCACTGCAAGCTCTGCCTCCTGGGTTCACACCATTCTCCTGCCTCAGCCTCCCCAGTAGCTGGGACTACAGGCGCCCGCCACCGCGCCCGGCTAAGTTTTTGTATTTTTAGTAGAGACGGGGTTTCACCGTGGTCTCGATCTCCTGACCTCATGATCCACCCGCCTCAGCCTCCCAAAGTGCTGGGATTACAGGCGTGAGCCACCGCGCCCATCCCACTTACATGTATAATCTTAAAAAAAAAAAGTCGAATATCTAGGCACCGAAAGTAGAACTGTGGTTACCGGGGATGGAGAGAAGGAGGAAATGGGGGAGATGTAGGTCAAAGGAATACAATTTGTAGTTACGCAGCACAAATAAATCTAGAGTTCCAAGGTACAGTAGAGAACTATAATTAAAAATAATGTATATTGAAAATTTGCTAAAAGAATAGATTTAAGGGCTGGGTGCAGTGGTTCACGCCTGTAATCCTAGCACTTCGAGAGGCCGAGGTGGGAGGATCACCTGAGGTCAGGAGTTCGAGACCAGCCTGACCAACATGGTGAAACCCCATCTCTACTAAAAATACAAAAATTAGCCGAGTGTGGTGGCGGGCGCCTGTAATTCCAGCTACTCGGGATGCTGAGGCAGGAGAATCACGTGAACCTGTGGTATGGAGGTTACAGTGAACCGAGATCACACCACTGCACTCCAGCCTGGGTGACAGAGCGAGACTCCATCTCAAAAAAAAAAAAAAAAATTTTAAGTGTTCTCACCACACACCAAAAAAGTAATTATAGAAGGTGATGGATATGTATATATATTTTTAAGAGATGGGGTCTTGCTGTGTTGGCCAGGGTGGTCTTGAACTCCTGGGCTCAAATGATCCTCCTGTCTTGGCCTCCCAAAGTGCTTCGAGTACAGGCGTGGGCCCCTGTGCCTGGCCATGGATATGTTAAATTCCTTACTGTAGTAATCATTTCACTATGGATATGTATATCAAACCATCATACCTCTTAAATTTATACAATGATATAAAAAAAGAATCAGGCCGGGTATGACCACGGTGCAGCAAGACTATTTTATGCTAATTTATGTCTCTCCTTGGGTCAGGTTCCTTGAAATAGATCTAAAAACTAAGTACGATTTCCCTGATAGTTCTAAACAAACAAACAAACAAAAAAAGAATTGGCTGGACACAGTGGCTCATGCCTATAATCCCAGCACTTTGGGAGCCCGAGGTGGGCGGATCACCCCCAAGAGACAGGCACTTTTGTAAATTGCTTACCAGAATTGATTACCCTCTGGCAAGCAATTTACAAAAGTGCCCGTCTCTTCACAGCCTTGCCAGCAATGGGTGTTAATATTTTAAAGTTATCTTCACTAACAGGATCCTGTGTATAAATCTTTATTAAAAATTATTTATTTTTAAATTTTAATTTAATTTTAATTTGTTTTGAGACAGAGTCTTGCTCTGTCACCCAGGCCGGAGGGCAGTGGTGGGATCTTGTCTAACTACAACCTCCGCCTCCTGGGTTCAAGCGATTCTCCTGCCTCAGGCTCCCAAGTAGCTGGGATTACAGGTGCCCACCACCATGCCTGGCTAATTTTTGTATTTAGTAGAGACGGTGTTTCACCGTGTTGGCCAGGTTGGTCTTAAACTCCTGACCTCAGATGATCCACCCACCTTGGCTTCCCAAAGTGCTAGGATTACAGCTATGAGCCACTGCTCCTGGCCATATTTGTTGTTTTTTTAGAGACAAGTTCTCCCTCTCTCTCCTAGATTGGAGAGCAGTGGTGTGATCAGGGCTCACTTCAGCCTCAGCCTCCTAGGCTCAAGAGATCCTCCCATCTCACTCTCCTAAGTAGCTGGAACCACAGTCATGAACTACCATGCCTGGCTAATTTTTATGTAGAGATGAGGGGGTCTCACTATGTTGCCCAGGCTGGTCTCGAACTCCTGGGCTTAAGTGATCTTCCTGCCTTGGCCTCCCAAAATACTGGAATTACAGGGTGAGCCACCGTATGTGGCTTGTGTATAAATCTTGACTTTTTGATCATAATATACCAGGCTTAGCTGGGACCTGCAAGTGTCCCCTAATTCATATTTAGGGATTCAGTTGCTTACCCTGGACAGGGTGGATTTTCAGGGCCCATTAACTCACATACGTGTGGGCTGCCCCTCGCCAATCCCTACCTCTGCTTCCAGTTAAATATGAGCCTCCTCTGGGAGACATCAAGGTGTCCAAGTTGGCCGGGCAGCTGCGTATGGAGTGGGAGACCCCGGATAACCAGGTTGGTGCTGAGGTGCAGTTCCGGCACCGGACACCCAGCAGCCCATGGAAGTTGGTGAGTTTGTTTCCCAAGTCCAGGGTGGACACGGGCCTCTCCAGGGCACCTTCACCCCCAAATCAGTCTCACCATCTCTGCATCTGTCCCCGCTCCCAACCAGCCCCCACTCTAGCCCCTGAGGTGGTTTTTTTCTTTTTCTTTTTTTTTTTCTGAGACGGAGCCTTGCTCTGTCGCCCAGGCTGGAGTGCAGTGGCATGATCTCAGCTCACTGCAACCTCTGCCTCCCGGGTTCAAGCGATTGTCCTGCGTCAGCCTCCCGAGTAGCTGGGATTACAGGCATGCGCCCACTACCACACGCAGCTAATTTTTGTATTTTTAGTAGAGACGGGGTTTCGCCATGTGGGCCAGGCTGGTCTCAAACTCCTCAGGTGATCCGCCCACCTTGGCCTTCCAAAGTGCTGGGAATACAGGCATGAACCACCACGCCTTGCTCCCACTAAAATTTTTTAAAATAAATTTTTTCTTTTGGAATAACCTTCGATTTTCAGAAAAGTTACTATATAAACTGGTGCAGAGAACGCCCATATATCCTTTACCCAAACTCCTCTAATGTTAATGTCTTACATAAACTCCAGGCATTATTTGAATGTCACCAATTTTTCCAGGAATGTCTTTTTTCTGCTCCCAGATTCAATCCAGGATCCCACATTGTGTTTAGTAAAATAATTATTAATTTTTAAAATTTAGTTATAATAATTTTTTACTGCTTTATATGTTCCTAAAGAAGGTTTGAACCTAGAGAAGGTTCTCTAGTAATTAACGATAGAAATAATCCCTGGAAGTATGGTCTTTAATTTAAAAAAATTTAGCGAGGTGCGGTGGCTCACGCCTGTAATCCCAGTGCTTTGGGAGGCCGAGTTGGGGTGGGATTGCTTGAGGCCAGGAGTTTGAGACCAGCCTGGGCAACATGGTGAAATCCCGTCTCTACCAAAAATGCAAAAATTAGCTGAGTGTGATGGTGCATGCCTGTAGTCCCAACTACTCAGGAGACTGAGGCGGGAGGATCACCTGAGCCCTGGGAGGTTGAGGCTTCAATAAGCCATGATTGCACCACTGCACTCCAGCCTAGATGACAGAGTGAGACCGTGTCTCAGATAAATAAGTAAATAAATAACTAATTGTAAAACAGCAAATATTTTTCAGCACCAAAATGCAAAACAATATATGAATATGTTTTTATTCTAGGGCGACTGCGGACCTCAGGATGATGATACTGGTGAGAATAATAATAGTAATGACAACAACAGCTGCAGCAAATTGGCATTAATTGAGCACCTACTGTATGCCAGGTCCAATGCTGAATTTTTTTGTATGCCTCTTACCCTGCCCCATAGTTCAGTATTGGATTCTTTCCAAATTGCAGGTGGGGAAACAAATCACGACTTGGAGGGGGTGAGAAGCCTTTGGCCAAGGTCACGACCGAAGGGATGGCCGCAGCCAGGACTTGAACTGAGGGGCAGGGATGGACGTGGGTGATCCTGGAGGCCCTAAGAGGACAGGGCCTGGCCTGCTTCTGCTGAGCCCCCAGGACCCAGCACGTGGCTCTGTACACAGTTGGAGCTCAATAAGCACATGATGGTTAAGTGACTGGTGCCAAGTCCTGGACAATTCTTACGGCCTGATGTTCGACCTGCCTCTCCCCAGAGTCCTGCCTCTGCCCCCTGGAGATGAATGTGGCCCAGGAATTCCAGCTCCGACGACGGCAGCTGGGGAGCCAAGGAAGTTCCTGGAGCAAGTGGAGCAGCCCCGTGTGCGTTCCCCCTGGTAAGATCACTCTGAGTACAGGAACAGGGGCAAGCATTAGAAATAAGGCAACAGCCGGAGGTGGTGGTGCACACCTGTAGTTCCAGCTGCTCAGAAGGCTGAGGCGGGAGGATCACTTGAGGCCAGTGGTTTGAGACCAGCCCGGGCAACATAGTGAGACCCCATCTCTAAAAAATAAAATAAAATGGGGCTGGGCGTGGTGGCTGATGCCTGTAATCCCAGCACTTTGGGAGGCTGAGGCGGGCAGATCACTTGAGGTCAGGAGTTCGAGACCAGCCTGGCCAACATGGTGAAACCCCTTCTCTACTAAAAATACGAAAATTAGCTGGGCGTGGTGGCGGGAGCCTGTAATCCCAGCTACTTGGGAGGCTGAGGCAGGAGAATCCCTTGAACCCGGGAGGTGGAGGTTGCAGGGATCCAAGATCACACCACTGCACTCCAGCCTGGGTGACAGGGCCAGACTCTGTCTCAAAAAAAAGTAAAAAAAAAAAAAAAAGTAATAATAAAATAAAATGGAAAAAGAAATAAGGCAGCAGGTATTAGAAACAAGGTGGTGAGTGTTAGAAATAAGGCAGAGGGAGAAATGGGTGCTCAAACCCTGACAATGTGGCATCCGGTCTTGCTGCACCCACTTTAGGGTTTTTTGCTGCTGTTTTTTTTGTTTGTTTGTTTGTTGTTTTTTGTTGTTTTTTTTTTTGAGACGGAGTCTCACTCTGTCACCCAGGCTGGAGTGCAGTGGCGCCATCTCGGCTCACTGCAAGCTCCGCCTCCCGGGTTCACGCCATTGTCCTGCCTCAGCCTCCCAAGTAGCTGGGACTACAGGTGTCTGCAACCACGCCCGGTTAATTTTTTGTATTTTTTAGTAGAGACGGGGTTTCACCATGTTAGCCAGGATGGTCTCAATCTCCTGACCTCGTGATCTGCCCTCCTCGGCCTCCCAAAGTGCTGGGATTACAGGCGTGAGCCACCGCGCCCGGCCTACTGCTATTTTTTGTTTTGTTTTGAGACTGTCTTGCTCTGTCACCCTGGCTGGAGTGCAGTGGTGTGATCTTGGCTCACTGCAACCTCCGCCTCACGGGTTCAAGCGATTCTCCTGCCTCAGCCTCCAGAGTAGCTGGGATTTACAGGCATGCACCACCACGCCCAGCTAATTTTGTATTTTTAGTAGAGATGGGGTTTCGCCATGTTTGCCCGGCTGGTCTCGAACTCCTGGCCTCAAGTGATCCTCCCACCACGGTCTCCCAAAGTGCTAGAATTCCAGGTATGAGCCACTGCGCTCAGCCCACTACAGGGCTTTATCAAGTGAGAATCATCAGGCTGAACCTCACGGTGTCTCAAGGACAATGTCACCTGCAGGTGGCAGGGTGTACTAAACAGCTGCTGCCCTGAGCCTGGGCAACAGGAAAATGAGTGAGAGGGTTTCAAACCATGCAGAAAGGCCTGGCGCTGTGGTTTATGCCTGTAATCCCAGCACTTTGGGAGGCCGAGGCCAGAGGATTGTTTGAGGCCAGGAGTTTGAGACAAGCCTGGGAATCAAAACGAGACTCTGTCTCTAGTCTATAAAACAACAGCAACAACAACAAAACCATGCAGAGAAATACATTTGCATTCAAAAAGGAACTTAGAGGCCAGGCGCAGTGGCTCACGCCTATAATTCCAGCAGTTTGGGAGGCCGAGGCAAGTGGATCACAAGGTCAGGAGTTCAAGAACAGCCTGACCAACATGGTGAAACCCCGTCTCTACTAAAAATACAAAAATTAGCCGGACATGGTGGTGCATGCCTGTAATCCCAGCTACTTGGAAGGCTGAGGCAGGAGAATCGCTTGAACCCAGAAGGCAGAGATTGCAGTGAGCCGAGATCGCACCAGTGCACTCCAGCCTAGGTAATAGAGTGAGACTTCGTCTCAAAAAGCAAACGAACAAACAAACAAACAAAAAACCTTAGGCAACATGAGATTACAGGTGGCAGTTATCCCTGGGGATGCAAATTGTGTTAATTTTTCTTCCTTCAGTTTTTTCTCTTTTCTGCAATTTGGGGCAGCAAGGGATTTTCACTTTGTAAATGTGGAGAATCCATCATTTACAAAGAAAACATCCATCAGTCTTTCTCTCCTTCCAATTCGTCTAGTTGGTTTGGTTCTGATTGCAGAAAACCCCCCACAGCCTCAGGTGAGATTCTCGGTGGAGCAGCTGGGCCAGGATGGGAGGAGGCGGCTGACCCTGAAAGAGCAGGTAACGGGGCTGTCACAGGGCTGTGGGGTGGCCTGGGATGGGGAGCAGGAGGCAAAAGCCTAGGCGGGGGATGAGCAAGTGGTAGATGGAGGGAGATGAGATGTAGAGGTGGCAGGAAGTGGGCAAATTGTGGGTTTAACTCTGAAGGTAATAGGGAGCCATGGAGTGTGTGTGTGAGCAGGAGAGGCACATGACTGGACTCAGATGTTCACAGACTTTCCCTGGCTCCTGTGTGAGAAACAGAGTGTGGGGGAATTGCACAGAAGCCAGAAGGCCAGGAAGGAGATAATGGTGACTGCATTTGCCTGGGTAGCAGATTATTGCTTTAAGTCCCAAAACAACCCATTAAGTGCAGTCTGATTAGTTTACAGAGAGGGAAACTGAGGCATAGAGGGAGTATCTCTGTTGAGACAAAACTGACAAATACTCCACTCGTTGACTTTACCATAGTCATCTTAGTCAGGTCCCTAATGGGCTGTTACTATAAGGCTGTAGCAAAAATCCTTTATTTCCTATGTTCCTCTAACTCAAATTCCTCTTCTTTTTTTTCCTTTTTTTTTTTTTTTTTTTGAGATGGAGTCTTGCTCTGTCGCCCAGGCTGGAGTGCAGTGGCGCCATCTCGGCTCACTACAAGCTCCGCCTCCCGGGTTCACGCCATTCTCCTGCCTCAGCCTCCCGAGTAGCTGGGACTACAGGCGCCCACCACCATGCCGGGCTAATTTTTTGTATTTTTAGTAGAGACGGGGTTTCACCGTGTTAGCCAGGATGGTCTCAATCTCCTGACCTCATGATCTACCCGTCTCGGCCTCCCAAAGTGCTGGGATTAGAGGCGTGAGCCCCCGTGCCCGGCCTCTCAAATTCCTTTTCTAAGGAAAAATTTTCTGCTTGAGGTAACTGGGTTAAAAGATGGAAACATTTTTGTTTTCCTGAATGTCAGTGGGTTTTGTCAATTTCCCACCTCCCTCAAGCTAGATGTGTGCGGGAGGTGAATGCCTGTCTCACAGCAGCTTTGCCAGCATTGAGGTTTATTATTCTTTTAATTTTTGATGCATGTTATTGGCTGTGGCCTTTGTCCAAGTCTGTCTTCATAGGCTGTGCCCTGCTGTCTGCCTATGGGATGATGAGTGTGATCAGGTACCCACAAGCTGTCTTTCATACTCCTGACAGCCAACCCAGCTGGAGCTTCCAGAAGGCTGTCAAGGGCTGGCGCCTGGCACGGAGGTCACTTACCGACTACAGCTCCACATGCTGTCCTGCCCGTGTAAGGCCAAGGCCACCAGGACCCTGCACCTGGGGAAGATGCCCTATCTCTCGGGTGCTGCCTACAACGTGGCTGTCATCTCCTCGAACCAATTTGGTCCTGGCCTGAACCAGACGTGGCACATTCCTGCCGACACCCACACAGGTGCCTCCTCTGGGTGGGGAGGGCGGTATGAGGGCCCCTCAGAGCTGAGCACCTACTCTGAGCCTCAGCTAGACCAGGGTGAGAGGAGCGAGGCAGAAAATTTTAAAGGAGTGCCTGATTTAGGGGTGTATCAAAAATTCAGTAATCAGCCAGGCACGGTGGCTCACACCTGTAATCCCAGCACTTTGGGAGGCTAAGACAGGTGAATCACCTGAGGTCAGCAGTTCGAGACCAGTCTGGCCAACGTGGTGAAACCCAGTCTCTACTAAAAATACAAAAATTAGCTGAGTGTGGTGGCTGTAGTCCCAGCTACTTGGGAGGCTGAGGCAGGAGAATCGCTTGAACCCAGGAGCCAGAGGTTGCAGTGAGCCAAAATTGTGCCATTGCACTCCAGCCTGGGCAACAAAGAGCAAGACTGTGTCAAAAAAAAAAAATTCAATAATCAAGATCCATAATGCAGTTTTTTGTTGTTGTTGGTTTGTTTTTTTTAAGAGACAGAGTTTTGCTATGTTGCCCAGGCTGGACTTGAACTTCTGGGCTCAAGCAATCTTTCTCCCTCAGCCTCCCAAATAGCTGGGAATATAGGCATGTGCCATCATACCTGGCTATTATGCATTATTAAAGAACAACAACAAAAACTAGCTGAGCCACTGCGCTCCACCCTGGTTGATAGAGCTACACTCTTTTTCAAAAAAGAAAAAAGAGAGAAAGAAAGAAAAAAGGCTAGAGTTGACCCTGTGTTTATTTAAGATCTAATTTCTTTTTTTTCTTGTGACAGATGGCATGATCTCAGCTCACTGCAACCTCCGCCTTCCAGATTCAAGAGATTCTCCTGCTTCAGCCTCCCGAGTAGCTGGGATTACAGGCATCTGCCACCATACCCGGCTAATTTTGTATTTTTAGTAGAGACGGGGTTTCACCACGTTGGCCAGGCTGGTCTCGAACTCCTGACCTCAAGTGATCCACCTGCCTTGGCCTCCCAAAGTGTTGGGATTATAGGCGTGAGCCACCATGCCCAGCCTAATTTTTGTATTTTTAGTAGAGATGGAGTTTCACCATGTTGCCCAGGCTGGTCTCAAACTCCTGCCCTCAGGTGATCCACCCACCTCAGCCTCTCAAAGTGCTGGGATTACAGGTGTGAGCCACTGTGGCCGACCTACTATTTTTATTATTTTTGAGCTAGGTTCTCAGTCTGTTGGCAGACTGGAGTGCAATCATGGCTCACTGCAGCCTTGAACTCCCAGACTCAAGTGATCCTTCCACCTCAGCCTCTGGAGTAGCTGGGACTACAGACATGCACCACCACACCTGGTTAATTTTTTATTTTTATTTTTTGTAGAGACAGGTGTCTCTCTACGTTGCCCAGGCTGGTCTCGAACTCCTGGGCTCAAGTGATCCACCCATCTCCACCTCCCAAAGTGCTAGGATTACAGGCGTGAGCCACCGTACCCAGCCTGGTCCCATATCATAGTGAAATGGTGCCTGTAAAGCTCTCAGCATTGGCTTGGCACATGCAGTTGGTACTCAATAAACGGCTGTTGCTATCCCCAGAATTGCAAGCAGTATCCATCTCTCTGACATTCATGAAGACGCCCTGGCGGGAGGGAGTGGGAGAGATTTGCCCAGGGACTGAGTGGGTGTGTGCTCGTGCTTCTGAGTTTGGCATGAGACCACCAGTGGCGCCGGTCAGGCCAGGGAGGCCTAGTCTTGCATCACACTCTCCGCCTAGGCTAGGCAAGTGGTGGGCAGCCAGGTATCTGCCACAGCCGGAGACGCCTACAAGGCTGGAAGTGGGTGTAATGGCAGTACAGGAAGCTCTCATGGTGAATATCCTGGCAAGGAGACAGCAGTTAGGCTGGAGGAGGACTCAGCTCATTCAAACACCACCTGCTGACTGGATGCGGCGGATTATGCCTGTAATCCCAGCACTTTGGGAAGCCAAGGCAGGTGGATCACTGGAGGTCAGGAGTTCGAGACCAGCCTGGGCAACACGGTGAAACCCCATCTCCACCAAAAAATAATAATAAATTAGCCAGGAAATGGTGGCGCATGCCTGTGGTCCCAGCTACTCAGGAGGCTGAGGCAGGAGACTCATTTGAACCCGGGAGGCTGAGGTTGCAGGGAGCCGAGATCATGCCACTGCACTCCAGCCTGGGCGACAGAGCAAGAATCCGTCTCCAAAGAAAAAACAAAAAAAAACAAACGCCATCTGCTACCCACTTTGTGCCTGGCCCCAAGGCAGCCTCCAGTGCAGGGAAACAGCCAAACACAGACACCCCTGGCCCTGTAGGGTCAGGGGTATAGACGAGAGGGTGGGAGAGAGGCTGCAGGAGCCAGAGAAGGGGACTGGGGAGAGAGATGGCAACTGTCTCGATGCGTCTCTCCCCTCTCCTTCCAGAACCAGTGGCTCTGAATATCAGCGTCGGAACCAACGGGACCACCATGTATTGGCCAGCCCGGGCTCAGAGCATGACGTATTGCATTGAATGGCAGCCTGTGGGCCAGGACGGGGGCCTTGCCACCTGCAGCCTGACTGCGCCGCAAGACCCGGATCCGGCTGGAATGGGTAATGGCCTGGAATGGCCTGCGCCTACCCCTCCTCTGTGCCCTCCCTTTTAGGTCCTGGTGGGTTCAAACCTGCAGGGAAGGCACACAGCGGGTGTCTAAGGCCCAGAGAGGTGTTGCTGCTTACTCAATGTCATACAGAGGTAGGGACAGGGTGAGGTTCGGAGCCTCTCACCCATATGGGTCTGGAACCTCTTGCTGGCATCCTGAGCTCAGTTCCAGGCAGATCACACACATACAGGTAATGAATCTCACATCCCAAGGTGTTTGTTAAATATTCAACCGCGCCAGGGAAGGTGGCAGTTCGCGAGATGCTGGTGGCAAATTAATGAGCAGTCTTTAGGGAAAGGGGGGCCGTGAGGCTCAGGTGGCCTCTCACTCTCCCGCTTCCTGCTCTGGGCCTTGCCAGAGCCCCAGAAAGCCTCAGCCTCAGCCTGTTCCTTGAAGAATACACAGCCTGAGGAGACAGAACTGGACACGGAACCCCTGACCCCATTGTCCGGGCAAGGTGGCTAACACCTGTAATCCCAGCACTTTGGGAGGCTGAGGCAGGTGGATCAACAGAGGTCAGGAGTTCGAGACCAGCCTGGCCAACATGGAGAAACCCTGTCTCTACTAAAAATATAAAAATTAGCCAGGCATGATGGTGTGCACCTGTAAATCCCAGCTACTCAGGAGGCTGAGACAGGAGAATCGCTTGAACCCGGGAGGCAGGGATTGCAGTGAGTCAAGATTGCGCTATTGCACTCCAGCCTGGGTGACACAGCGAGACTCCATCTCAAAAAAAAAAAAAAAAGAAGCCCTGGTTCCATGGAGTAAGGGCTGGGTTAGAGGGGGATGGGGATGGGGTTGGGGGTGTTGCATAGGGAAGAGATCTTGGAGGAGGGGATATTGGTGCAAGGGCTTTGAAACATGAGTAGGAGTTTTCTGGGGGTTCCTGGCAGATGGCACAGCCAGTGCAAAGGTGCAGAGGTGGGAACACAATCTACTGAATGGCCTGGCCTTTGCTTATCCTTCCAGCAACCTACAGCTGGAGTCGAGAGTCTGGGGCAATGGGGCAGGAAAAGTGTTACTACATTACCATCTTTGCCTCTGCGCACCCCGAGAAGCTCACCTTGTGGTCTACGGTCCTGTCCACCTACCACTTTGGGGGCAATGGTAAGTGACCCAAACCTGCAGGTTTACATTATTTTTTCTTTTTAAATAATTTAAAAAAATAGAGGCTGGGCACAGTGACTCACGCATGTAATCCCAGCACTTTGGGAGGCCAAGGTGGGTGGATCACCTGAGGTCAGGAGTTTGAAACCAGCCTGGCCAATGTGGCGAAACCCTGTCTCTACTAAAAATACAAAAATTAGCCGGGTGTGGTGGCGGGTGCCTGTAATTCCAGATACTTGGGAGGCTGAGGCAGGAGAATCGCTTGAACCCAGGAGGCGGAGGTTGCAGTGAGCTGAGATCATGCCACTGTACTCCAGTCTGGGTGACAGAGCAAGACTCTGTCTCAAAAAAAAAAAAAAAAAAAAAAAAAAGGACAATGCTGTTAAGGCAGACAGAATGGCTCACCCCTGTAATCCCAGCACTTTGGCACTTTGGGAGGCTGAGGCTTGTGGATCACTTGAACCCAGGAGTTCAAGAACAGCCTGGGCAACATAGCAAGACCCCGTCTCTACAGAAAGAAAAAAGTTTGCCAGCCATGGTGGCATGTGCCTGTAGTCCCAACTACTCAGGAGGCTGAGGTGGTAAGATCACTTGATCCCAGGAGTTTGAGGCTGCAGTGAGCTATGATTGCACCACTGCAATCATACAACCTCTGCCTCCCGGGTTCAAGCCATTCTCCTTCCTCAGCCTCCTGAGTAGCTGGGATTATAGGTGTGCACTACCATGCCTGGATAATTTTTTGTATCTTTAGTAGAGACAGGGTTTTAGCATGTTGGCCAGGCTGGTCTCAAATGCCTAACCTCGTGATCCACCTGCCTTGGCCTCCCAAAGTGCCGGGATTACAGGTGTGAGCCACTGCGCCCGGCCAGCATTGTCCATTTTATAGATAAGAAAACTGAGGCCCAGGGAAGGGAAATGACAGTGACTGAGTGGCAGAACCAGAATTAAAACCCAGCTCACCTGACTCTGTGGCCAATGTTACCTCCGTCTCTGGACAGTGGGAGGCTGGGCATTCAGGAAGTGCTCAACCAGCACTCCTTTTTTTTTTTTTTTTTTTTTTTTCTTGAGACAGAGTCACTCTCTGTGGCCCAGGCTGGAGTGCAGTGGCACGATCTTGGCTCACTGAAACCTCTGCATCCCGGGTTCAAGCGATTCTCGTGCCTCAGCCTGCCGAGTAGCTGGGATTACAGGCGCCCACCATCATGCCTGGCTAATTTTTGTAGTTTTAGTAGAAACAGGGTTTCCCCATGTTCCTCAGGCTAGTCTCGAACTCCTGACCTTAAGTGATCTACCCACCTTGGCCTCCCAATATGCTGGGATTGCAGGCATGAGCCATCGTGGCTGGGCTTTTTTTTTTTTTTAAAGACAGGGTCTTGCTCTGTTGCCCAGGCTGGAGTGCAGTGGTGCCATCTTGGCTCACTGCAACCTCTGCCTCCTGGGCTCAAGTGATTCTCCTGCCTCAGCCTCCTGAGTAGCTGGGATTACAGGTGTCCGCCACCATGCCTGGCTAATTTTTGTATTTTTAGTAGAGAAGGGGTTTTGCCATGTTGGCCAGGCTGGTCTTGAACTCCTGGCCTCAAATGACTTACCCACCTCGGCCTCCCAAAGTGCTGGGATTACAGGTGCGAGCCACTGTGCCAGGCCTCGACCAGCATTCTTGGTGTTGACTATGACAATGGTACTGGTTGCAGCCTCAGCAGCTGGGACACCGCACCACGTCTCGGTGAAGAATCATAGCTTGGACTCTGTGTCTGTGGACTGGGCACCATCCCTGCTGAGCACCTGTCCCGGCGTCCTAAAGGAGTATGTTGTCCGCTGCCGAGATGAAGACAGCAAACAGGTGTCAGGTACGTGAGGCAGTGCAGACCTGGCTTGGGGAGGAAGGGAGGATCCTGGCCTGTGATCTCTCTTGCTGTGTGACCCTGGGCACCTTGCCGTCCTTCTCTGGGCCTTGGTTATCAAACCCTTAAAACAAGAGAATTGGCTGGGCGCAGTGGCTCACGCCTGTAATCCCAGCACTTTGGGAGGCCAAGGCGGGCGGATCACCTGAGGTCAGGAGTTCAAGACCAGCCTGACAAACTTGGAGAAACCCCGTCTCTCCTAAAAATACAAAATTAGCCGGGCATGGTGGCACATGCCTGTAATTCTAGCTACACGGGAGGCTGAGGCAGGAGAATCGCTTGAACCCAGGAGGCGGAGATTGCAGTGAGCCGAGATTGTACCAGTGCACTCCAGCCTGGGTGACAGAGTGAGACTCTGTCTCAGAAAAAACAAAAACGAAAACAAACAAACAAAAAACAAAAACAAGAGAATTAGACTTGAGGGTCTTTTTTTTTTTTTTTTTAATTTTATAGACAGGGACTCACTCTGTGCCCAGGCTGGAGTGCAGTGGTGCCATCATAGCTCACAGCAGCCTCAACCTCCTGGGCTCAAGCGATCCTCCCACCTCAGCCTCCCTAGTAGCTGGAAACACAGGTGCACACCACCATGCACAGTTAATATTTTATTTTTTGTAGAAATGAGGCCTTGCTATATTGCCCAGGCTGGGATTTTTTCTTTTTTTTCTTTTTGAGAGGGAGTCTGTCTCTGTCACCCAGGCTGGAGTGCAGTGGCGCCATCTCAGCTCACTGCAACCTCTGCCTCCCGGGTTCAGGCAATTCTCTTGCCTCAGCCTCCCAAGTAGCTGGGATTACAGGCACCCACCACCATGCCTGGCAAATTTTTGTATTTTTAGCAGAGACGGAGTTTCACCATGTTGACCAGGCTGGTCTCAAACTCTTGACCTCAGGTGAATCACCCGCCTTGGCCTCCCAAAGGGCTGGGATTACAGGTGTGAGCCACCGTGTCCGGCCTCGCTCAGGCTGGTTTCAAACTTCTGGCCTCAAACTATCCTCCCACCTTGGCCTCCCAAAGTGCTGGGATTAGTCATGAGCACCCAGCTGAACTTGAGGGTCTCGATCACCCCTTGCAGACCCTGGAGAAGGCTGGGTGGGCACCAGCCAAGTGCTTATGGTGTATTGGATTCATCCATGGGAAGCTGCCCCTCACATGTAGCAGCAGCTGAACTCTCATCAAGCAGGGATGACTGTCTCCATTCCACAGATG
Source organism: Homo sapiens (assembly GCF_000001405.40). NCBI lineage: Eukaryota > Metazoa > Chordata > Mammalia > Primates > Hominidae > Homo > Homo sapiens. The sequence continues at coordinate 18,065,283 of NC_000019.10, read as the reverse complement.
AGGAAACTAAGGCCTGGAGGGGGGATCTGATGAGGGACAGGAAAGCCCACAAAACAGGGTTTAGCCAGGAGGGTTTTTGGCTTTCCCCAGGAAAGAGTTCAAGTGCATGTCGGTGGTGTTAGACAGAAACTTTTACTGAAGTGGCCGTGTAGAGCAGCAGCAGAAGTCCTGCTCCTTGCAGAGTGGGGACGCCCCACAGGCAGGGCAGCTACGTCTCATATTTATACCCGCTTTTAATTATATGCAAATGAAGGGGCGGTTTATGCAGAAATATCTAGGATGAAGGTAGTAACTTCCGGGTTGTGGGATCATTGCCGTGGACAGGGGCGGTAATTTCCGGGTGTTGCCATGGTAATGGTAAACTGACATGGCACACTGGTGGGCGTGTCTTATGGAAAGCCCAGGACCTGCTTTAGCTAGTCCTCAGTTTGGTCCTGTGTCCAAGCCCTGCCTCCAGAGTCCAATCCTGCCTCCAACCTCAGATCCACCTGCCCAAAGATCCAACAAGTCAGCCGGACGCGGTGGCTCACGCCTGTAATCCCAGCACTTTGGGAGGCTGAGGCGGGCGGATCACTTGAGGCCAGGAGTTCAAGACCAGCCTGGCCAACATGGTGAAACCTCATGTGTATTAAAAATACAAAAAATTAGCTGGCTATGGTGGTGGGCGCCTGTAATCCCGGCTACTCAGGAGGCTGAGGCACAAGAATCGCTTGAACCTGGGAGGTGGAGGTTGCAGTGAGCTGAGATTGTGCCACTGCACTCCAGCCTGGGCAACAGAGTGAGACTCCATCTCAAAAAAAAAAAAAATCTTGAGATGAATGGGCGCATTAAGAGAAGAGATTTTAGGTTGGGCTTGGTGGCTCACACCTGTAATCCCAGCACTTTGGGAGGCCGAGGTGGGCAGATCACGAGGTCAGGAGATCGAGACCATCCTGGCTAACACAGTGAAACCCCGTCTCTACTACAAATACAAAAAATTAGCTGGGCGTGGTGGCGGGCGCCTGTAGTCTCAGCTACTCGGGAGGCTGAGGCAGGAGAATGGTGTGAACCCAGGAGGCAGAGCTTGCAGTGAGCCGAGATGGCGCCACTACACTCCAGCCTGGGCGACAGAGCAAGACTCCGTCTCAAAAAAAAAAAAAAAAAAAGAAAGAAAGAGTAGAGATTTTAGCAAAATGCCTATGAATCCCCACCCCACCCACAGGCTGTGGTAGCCCAGCCTGGCCTCTGAGGAGTAAAGAGGTCCCAGGACTCAGGGTTGCCTCTCCCACTGCAGAGCATCCCGTGCAGCCCACAGAGACCCAAGTTACCCTCAGTGGCCTGCGGGCTGGTGTAGCCTACACGGTGCAGGTGCGAGCAGACACAGCGTGGCTGAGGGGTGTCTGGAGCCAGCCCCAGCGCTTCAGCATCGGTGAGTGGAGGGGGTAGGACCCAGTTATTTACCCAGCATGCACTGCACTGCGCTTCCCACAATGATCTTAGCAGCCCTGCCCTCACTCTCACTCCCTCTATGGCTCCCTACTGCCCTCAGGAGAAAGTAGCAGCTCAAACTGCTCCCATTGCCTTCTCTCGCAGCTTCCTCTCACACTCCAGGAGCCTTGCCCATGCAGGCCCTTCCCTGCCTCCTGCCTGGAATGTTTGTTTTCCACACGGTCCAACTCCTATTCGTCCTTCAAAACTCAGCTCAAAAGTTCCCTCCTCCAGCAAGACTTCTCTGCCTCCTTCTGGCCATGCCCTTGTTTACAACTGTCCCTTCTCCCTGGTCTGACACTGCGGGGTTGGGGTAGATGTGTCAAGGTATCTGGGGGCTCTTGGGGAGGAGGAAGATGCAGGAATCTGTTCATTGAGCGACAAATAAATGAATGCAAAAATAAGGAGGACACAGGCAAAACCCGGTGTGGTGGCTCACACCTGTAATCCCAGCACTTTGGGAGGCTGAGGCTGGAGGATTGCTTGAGCCGAGGAGTTCAAGACCAGCCTGGGCAACATGGTGAGACCTCATCTCTACAAAAAATATTTTTAAAATAGTGGGGTGTGGTGGTGCACACCTGTAGTCTCAGCTGCTCAGGAGGCTGAGGTGGGAGGATGGCTTGAGACCAGGAGTTCAAGGTTGCAGTGAGCCGTGACTGCACCACTGCACTCTGGCCTGGGCGACGGAGCAAGACCCTGTCTCAAAAAAAAAAAAAAAAAAAAAAAAAAAAAAAAAAATAGAAGAAGAAGAAGGAGAAGAAAGAAGAAGAAGAGGAAGAGGAATAGAAGAAGAGGGAGGAGGAGGAGGAGGAGGAGGAAGAGAACAACACAGGCTCTGTTGTCGGGTGCATGGTTATAAGAGATTCAGAGATCAAATGATCCCTGTTCATGCCACGGTGTCCTTTCAGTTCCAAGAGAACCAACTGGAACCCAGAGAACAAAAGAGTCAGGGTTGGTGGGGGGCAGGCAGGCCTGGGTCCAGGGGCAGCCACATGTGCCCTATGTGCAGGCTCCTGGAATTACAGAGTCTTTTTTTATCTTTTTGAGACAGATTTTCCCTCTTATTGCCGAGGCTGGAATGCAATGATGCGATCTCGGCTCACTGCAACCTCCGCCTCCCGAGTTCAAGCGATTCTTCTGTCTCACCCTCCCAAGTAGCTGGGATTACCGGCGCACACCACCACGCCCAGCTAATTTTTGTGTTTTTAGTAGAGACAGGTTTCATCATATTGGTCAGGCTGGTCTCGAACTCCTGACCTCAGGTGATCAGCCCACGTTGGCCTCCCAAAGTGCTGGGATAACAGTCATGAGTCACTGTGCCCGGCCTGGAATTACAGAGTCTTGAACACTTCCTGCATGCCAGGCCTTTATTTCTTGACAGCTACCGGGCAGGTGGGTTCTGTGGTCTCCCAGTGAGAAGCCCGTGGCATGTGCACCAGGATCAGCAGCAAGTTCATGGAGAAACCAGGCCCTCCTAGCTCCTTCCCTGAGGAAGAGGCAGGAGGTAGCCCTCTGCCAACCCACGCTCTCCCACCTCAGAAGTGCAGGTTTCTGATTGGCTCATCTTCTTCGCCTCCCTGGGGAGCTTCCTGAGCATCCTTCTCGTGGGCGTCCTTGGCTACCTTGGCCTGAACAGGTAACTGACACCTCTTACCGTTACCATAGCGATGGTAATGATGCTGGGCAGGGGAGCCCTAAAGTGGAGCTTAGCCCGCAGATTGGGTCCTTGGCTTTGCCCAGGAAATAATTCAAGGGCAAGCCAGAGGTAGAAGAAAACAGCTTTATTGAAGCAGCAGTTATAGCTCCGTGACTGCCTCTGCAGAGCAGGGCTTCCCTGTAGGCGGAGAGTAGCCGCTGAGAGCGGTTTTGCAGTCAGATTTATACTTACTTTTAATTGCATGCAGATTAAGGGGGGCAGTTTATGCAAAATTTCTTTCTTTTTTTTTTCTTTTTTGAGATGGAGTCTTACTCTGTTACCCAGGCTAGAGTGCAGTGGCACGATCTTGGCTTATTGCAACCTCCCCCTCCCGGGTTCAAGCCATTCTCCTGTCTCAGCCTCCCAAGTAGCTGGGACTACAGGTGCGTGCCATCACACCCAGCTATTTATTTTGTATTTTCAGTAGAGATAGGGTTTCACCATGTTGGCCAGGCTGGTCTTGAACTCCTGACCTCAGGTGATCCTATGCAGAAATTTCTAGGGAAGGGATAGTAACTTTTGGGTCCTTGGTCATTCCCATGGAAAGGGGCGGTGACACTGGTGGGCATGTCTGATTGAAAGCTGCTTTCAAGCCGGGCACGGTGGCTCACTCCTGTAATCCCAGCACTTTGGGAGGCTGAGGCAGGCAGATCGCTTTAGGCCAGGAGTTGGACACCAGCCTGGCCAACATGGCGAAACCTCTCTCTACCAAAACTACAAAAATTAGCCGGGTGTGGTGGCACACGTTTGTAATCTCAGCTACTCAGGAGGCTGAGTCAGGAGAATCGATTGAACCCAGGAGGCAGAGGTTGCAGTGAGCCGAGATCGCGCCACTGCACTCCAGCCTGGGCAACAGAGCAAGACTCCGTCTCCAAAAAAAAAAAAAACCTCAGCTCCTCTCACTGGTCCCCTTTCCTCCCCAGGGCCGCACGGCACCTGTGCCCGCCGCTGCCCACACCCTGTGCCAGCTCCGCCATTGAGTTCCCTGGAGGGAAGGAGGTAAGGATGCCTTTTCTAATTCCAAGTCTTTTTATTGGGTGCACATGCTGGACAAGGGTTACGCATTAGCTCATTTTATTCTCTCCCAATTCATCAAGGTAAGGACTCCAAAACCAGTGCTCCATACCCCTTCCCATTTTAAAGACAGGCAGGCAGAGGTCCATTTCCTGGCACTAGAAACAGAATTCAAAGTGGCTTTATTATAAAGGAAACCTGATGGAAAAAATCCCAAGGGAATGGGCTTCAGATATGCCTGAATCCAGCGATTGGGGTCTATCTCGGAGCTGCCCGTTCAGGGTTCTTCCGCAGGCAGGCTGAGCCTTCTCTGATTGGAAGCAGGGTGTCCATTTTCCCCATTAACTGGGGCAAAAGTCTCAGGGCCATCACTGATTGGTCCAGCTTGGGTCACATGCCCTTCCCTGAGCCTATGGCTAGAACCAGAGGGGTAGGGAAGGGTCTGATGGGTGGGCTGGCCAGGGTCACATGACCATTGCTAGAGCTGAGGTGGGGTCACTGCACTGTCAACCACACCATCTGTGAAAAGAGGGAGGGAAATTTCCCAAAGACAGATGGGAGTGCTCTTCCTAAGAGGGGCTGAATGGGAGTCAGTGCGGCAGACTCCATCCTCAAATCGGTCTCAGGATATATGGAGTCTCGCTCTGTCACCCAGCCTGGAGTGCAGTGGCGCCATCTCGGCTCACTGCAACCTCTGATTCCCGGGTTCAAACGATTCTCCTGCTTCAGCCTCCCAAGTAGCTGGGATTACAGGCGTGCGCAACCAAGCTCAGCTAATTTTTGTATTTTTAGTAGAGATGGGGTTTGGCCATGTTCTCCAGGCTGGTCTCAAACTGCTGACCTCAAGTGATCCACCCGCCTCAGCCTCCCAAAGTGCTGGGATGACAGGTGTGAGCCACTGCACCCGTCCAGGTCTCAGGATGTTAGAGAATTTAACCAGCAGTGACCTGGTCCGTTCCATCCTGCTGTGGATGGGAAGTAGAGCTCTGCTCACAGCTGTGGCCCTACCCTCCCTCTGCAGACTTGGCAGTGGATCAACCCAGTGGACTTCCAGGAAGAGGCATCCCTGCAGGAGGCCCTGGTGGTAGAGATGTCCTGGGACAAAGGCGAGAGGACTGAGCCTCTCGAGAAGACAGAGCTACCTGAGGGTGCCCCTGAGCTGGCCCTGGATACAGAGTTGTCCTTGGAGGATGGAGACAGGTGCAAGGCCAAGGTCCTGGGGCCCAGTGGGCCAGACGGTCAGGGGTGCAACCCTGCCCGGGGGGTGGGGGGGCTAGACATCCATCGCTCCTGGGATATCAGGGCCTGGAGGCCTGAGGGAGAAACGAAAACATCCACTTTGTCTTACAGACACGAAGAGCGACTATCTCAATCACAACGGCTGGTTATTAAGCACTTATGGCATACCCAGCCCATTCCATCCACTCACATGATTCCCTACCAAATCCCTACAACCACCCCCTGAAAGGAACCATGACTGTTGTACTTTACAGATGTGATCGTTGAGGCTCAGAGAGGGTGAGTGACTCGCCCGAGGCTACGTAGCACACACAGGAGTCACATTTGGACCCAAATAACCCAGAGCTCCTCCAGGCTCCAGTGCACCTGCCTCCTCTCTGCCCCGTGCCTGTTGCCACCCATCCTGCGGGGGAACCCTAGATGCTGCCATGAAATGGAAGCTGCTGCACCCTGCTGGGCCTGGCATCCGTGGGGCAGGAGCAGACCCTGCCATTTACCTGTTCTGGCGTAGAATGGACTGGGAATGGGGGCAAGGGGGGCTCAGATGGATCCCTGGACCCTGGGCTGGGCATCCACCCCCAGGAGCACTGGATGGGGAGTCTGGACTCAAGGGCTCCCTGCAGCATTGCGGGGTCTTGTAGCTTGGAGGATCCAGGCATATAGGGAAGGGGGCTGTAAACTTTGTGGGAAAAATGACGGTCCTCCCATCCCACCCCCCACCCCACCCTCACCCCCCTATAAAATGGGGGTGGTGATAATGACCTTACACAGCTGTTCAAAATCATCGTAAATGAGCCTCCTCTTGGGTATTTTTTTCCTGTTTGAAGCTTGAATGTCCTGCTCAAAATCTCAAAACACGAGCCTTGGAATTCATTCATTCATTCATTCATTCATTCCACATATATTTATTAATCTCTTCCTCTAGGTCTCCTCCAGGAGCACCTAATCCGGGGGAGACAGAGCCGGATGAGAGCTTGGAACCCTACTAAGTTAGGACTGAGCAGGGGAAGGGACGGCCTAGGGGGAGTGGAGCAGCCGGGCACTCCGGTAACAGGAACCGTGGTTTGCCCCCACGCTCCTTCCTCCTCACGCCCACCAACTCGCAGCAGGACCCTTGCCCCCCTTACACACCCTGAATCCTCCCTCTTTCTGCCCACACTGCCCCACCTCCCTCGCGTTCTGCAGCCGCCTCCCCCTGATCCCCACTGCGGTCTGAGCCGAGGTGTGGGGGGGGGCTCCTGAAATCCCACCCCAGCCCTGGCGATTAGCGGGTAGTCCAGATTCTCCCCATGGCCACCAGGTGGCAACAGCGGCGCGCGTTTCCCCGGCCGGGCCCGCCCTGCCTCCTCCCACCGCGTTTGCTAAACAGACTTTTCCGGTTTCAGACAGAGGAGGGGAGTTAAAAAGCCCAGAACTACTGAATTTTGTGGCAAAAAAAGGATGAGACCTCTCGGGGAGAGACCCCTGGCAGCCAATAGGGCCAGGAGGCAAGAGGCCCAGGCCCCGCCCCTTTGGTCTGGGGGCCTCCCTTTCCCCATCGATGCATCTAGATAGGGAAACAGAGGCCTGGATCTCGGTGCCCCAGCCACACGGTGGCTGGTCAGAGTTCTGCAAATGCCCCCCGCCCCGCTCCGGATCTGCCACATCCCAGCTTCTGCTCAAGCCGTTCCCTCCACCAGGCATGCCCTCCCTTGAGCGTTTATCCTCCTTTCTTTTTTCTGAGACGGAGTTTGGCTCTTGTTGCTGGAGTGCAATGGCGCGATCTTGGCTCACGGCAACCTCCCGGGTTCAAGCGATTCTCCTGCCTCAGCCTCCCAAGTAGCTGGGATTACAGGCGCCCGCCACCCTGACCAGCTAAAATGTGTTTGTATTTTTAGTAGAAACAGGGTTTCACCATGTTGGCCAGGCTCGTCTTGAACTCCAGACCTCAAGTGATCCACCCGCCTCGGCCTCCCAAACTGCTGGGATTGCAGGTGTGAGCCCTGGAGGCCCCTGGAGTTGGCTGCAAACCCACCCCTATGCACAGTCCCTTGGGTGCGAGAAGTAGGAGACAGGCAATGTTTACTGGCAGCAGCTGGGACTTTTGCCAGAGTGCATGGGGAAGATGCACACCCTGCTTCCACTAGCGGGAGACTGAGCTGGACAGAGGGAAGCCTGGAGCTTGGAGCCTCTTTCCTTCCTACCGTGGGGATGCCTGTCTGAGAGAGGAGCCTGCAGGGAGGACAGCAGCACCGAGATGAAGCATTAGTTCCTGGATCCAGCCATACCTGAAACCCAATATTTTCCATCTGGTTCCTGTTTTTAAAAAATATTTTAGGCCGGGCATGGTGGCTCACGCCTGTAATCCCAGCACTTTGGGAGGCAGAGGCGGGCTGATCACCTGAGGTCAGGAGTTTGAGACAAGCCCGGCCAACATGGTGAAACCCCGTCTCTACTAAAAATACAAAAATTAGCTGGGCGTGGTGGCAAGCGCCTATAATCCCAGCTACTTGGTAGGCTGAGGCGGGAGAATCGCTTGAACCTGGAAGGGGGTGGTTGCAGTGAGCCGAGATTGTGCCACTACACTCCAGCCTGGGCGACAGAGCGAGACTCCGTCTCAAAAAATAAATAAATAAATAAATAAATAAATAAATATTTTTTTTTATTTTTTGTTTCTTTTTTGAGACAGGGTCTCACTCTGTTGCCCAGGCTGGAGTGCAGTAGCACCATCTTGGCTCACTGCAACCTCCACTTCCTAGGATCGAGTGATCCTCCAGCCTCAGCCTCAGGCTCAAGCCTTGTTGCCAAGGTTTTGCCATGTTGCCCAGGCTGGTCTCGAACTGCTGAGCTCAAATGATCCACCTGACTTGGCCTCCCAAAGTGCTGGGATTACAGGCATGAGCCACTGCACCCGGCCTCAGTTCCCTGTTTGATGAAGCCACTTTGAGTCCTTCTTCTGTCCCTAGAAAATGACCAACAGGAGGTTCTTTCTGGGCCTCTGCTTACCCGTCTATAAAATAGGAAGGGATTTGGAGTCCTTTTCTCAATGGGCCCAGCAAGTTTGCTTAGCTGGGCCCTGGCCTGGTATTTATTGAGCAACTGCTATGCAACTATTACTCCAGGGCTCCTCAGAGCAGCCATTGCCTCAGCTTCTCCCAGCAGCTCCAGGAGTCAGGATGGTGTTAGCCCCCATTTCACAGCTCAGTTTCATTCATTCATTTAAGAAATCAGGGTCCGGCGCGGTGGCTCACACCTGTAATCCCAGCACTTTGGGAGGCCAAGGCGGGCCGATCGCTTGAGCTCAGGAGTTCGAGGCCAGCCTGGCCAACATGGTGAAACCCCGTCTCTACTAAAAATACAAAAATTAGCCAGGTTTGGTGGCACATGCCTGTAGTCTCAGCTACTTGGGAGGCTGAGGGCTGAGGTGGGAGAATCACCTGAACCTGGGGAGGTCAAGGTTGCAGTGAGCTGAGATCGCGCCACTGCACTCCAGCCTGGGTGACAAGGTGAGACCCTGTCTCAAAAAAAAAAAAAAAAAAAGCCAGCATTGAGTGCCTACTGTATACCAGGCCCCATCTTGCACAAGTCAGGATCTTCCTGGTCATAAGGGGCTCTTAGCTGGGTGGGGAAGGCAGACACTAATCTAATTATCACTCAGAGAGTTATGAGAAACCGTAAGAGTGATGAGTGGGGATGTGAGGAGTAGCCAGTGAGGGAGGGCTTCCTGGAGGAGGCAATGCTAGGACCAAGGTGGTAAAGAGGGGCCAGAAGAGGGAGTGCAAAGGCCCTGAGGTTGCTGGTGGGGAATGGACGGGGGATGGGGGAAGAGGTTGTAGCCCACGTGAGGCTGGGGGCATATGGACCAGAGCTGTTTTTTTTCTTTTGAGATGGGGTCTCGTTCTGTCGCCCAGGCTGGAGTGCAGTGGCGTGACCACAGCGCACTGCAGCCTCGACCTCTCGGGCTCAACTGTTCCTCCTTCCTCAGCCTCCTGTGCAGCTAGAACCACAGGCACGTGCCACCACGCTCAGCTTAGTTTATTTGATTATTTGTAGAGACAGAGTCTCACCATATTGCCTGGGCTGATCTCAAACTCCTAGGCTCAAGTGATCCTCCTGTCTTGGCCTCTCAATGTGCTGGGATTACAGGCGTGAGCCACTGTACCCGTGGGCTAGGTTTTTTTTTTTTTTGAGATGGAGTCTCGCTCTGTTGCCCAGGCTGGAGTGCAGTGGCGCGATCTAGGCTCACTGCAAGCTCTGCCTTCCGGGTTCACGCCATTCTCCTGCCTCAGCCTCCCGAGTAGCTAGGACTACAGGCGCCCGCCACCATGCCCGGCTAATCTTTTTCTGTTTTTAGTAGAGACGGTGTTTCACCATGTTGGCCAGGATGGTCTCGATCTCCTGACCTCGTGATCCGCCTGCCCCGTCCTCCCAAAGTGCTGGGATTATAGGCGTGAGCCACCGCGCCTGGCGGGCTAGGGTTTTATTCTTGGGTTGTGGGGTCCTGGAGCTGGAGAGTCAGGTCCTGACGGGTGAGAGGTTCAGAGTTTATTCTGGCTGCAGTTCAGCTGGGAGTAAGTGATTCATCTTGTGGGCCTCAGTTTTCTGGTCCATAAAATGGATGTGGTCAGGCAGCCTCTCCAGAGCCCCTGCCCCTCTTCCCACCTCCCCTCCTCTGTCTCTGTCTTTCCTGATCCATCTTTTCCCTTCTCCATGGCTCCCACCTACTGGGTGGGAAGCGTGTCTCCATCAGAGAGATAGGCTGCCTCAGTTTACCTTCCCAGGTACCTTCCTTCTCTATCTCTCCAGTAGCCTCTGGGTTTGGTCAGAAACAGATGTTGTCTCTGCCTCTGCCCTTCAGCCGGGATGGGACTGAGGTGTCAGGTTTCTGGGAACCATGAGCTGCAGGAGATGACCCCTGGACTCAGGGTAGCCCCTGGCCTGGCCCCTGATACTTTATTATCTGTGCCCCAGATGCCAGGCCCTCTGCCCAGGAAGGCCCTTCTTCCAACTCTGCCCTCTGCCCATTTCTCTCTCTCTCTTTTTTAACTCATTTCTTTCATTTAAAAAAAAAATTTAAAGTAGAAACAGAGTCTTGCTATGTTGTCCAGACCAATCTTGAACTCCTGGGCTCAAGCAATCCTCCTGTCTCAGCCTCCCAAACTGTTGAGATTATAGGCACGAGCCACTGAGCCCCAGCCTTATTCCTCTTTTTTTTTTTTTTTTTAGATGGAATCTCACTCTGTCGCCCAGGAGGCTGGAGTGCAGTGGCGTGATCTCGGCTCACTGCAACCCCACCTCCTGGGTTCAAGCAATTCTTCTGCCTCAGCCTCTGGAGTAGCTGGGACTGCAGGCACCTACCACCAAGCATGCATGGCTAATTTTTGTATTTTTGCTAGGGACGGAGTTTCACCATGTTGGCCAGGCTGGTCTCAAACTCCTGACCTCAGGCGATCTGCCCACCTTGGCCTCCCAAAGTGATGGGATTACAGGCGTGAGTCACTGCGCCCGGCCATTCCTCCTTTTTTAAGATACATTCACACACCATACAATTCACCCTCTTAAAGTGTACAGTTGACACTGAGCGTGGTGGCTCATGCCTGCAATCCCAGCATTTTGAGAAGCCGAGGCAGGAGGATCACTTGAGCCCAAGAGGTTGAGGCTGCAGTGAACCGTAATTGCACCACTGCACTCCAGCCTGAGTGACAGAGTGAGACCCTGTCTCAAAAAAAAAAAAAAAAAAAAGTACAATTCAGTGGTTTTTGTACAATCACAAGGTTGTGCAGCCATCACTCATACCTAATTCTAGAACATTTTCATCTCCCCAAAAAGAAAACCTGTGCCATCAGTAGCCACTCCCCGTTCCCCTCCCCCAGCCCCTGGCAGCCACTAATCTGCTTCCTGTCTCTATGGATTTGCCTGTTCTGGGCATTTCATATCAATGAAATCATACAATATGTGGCCTTTCTGTCTGTTCTTTTGTGAAAGAAACTCAGATGTTTTTGAAACGCATCCTCATTATAGTGTGTGTCAGGGTTTCGTTCTTTTTGATGGCTGAATAGCATTCCATTGTGTGGATGTGTCACTATTTATTTATCCACTCAGCCATCAATGGACATTTCGGTGGTTTCCATTTTCTGGCTATTGTGGATAGCGCAGCTCTGAGAGTTTGTGTACAAGTTTTGGCGTAAACACCTGTTTTCAGTTTTCTCCGTATACATCTAGGAGTGGAATCACAGAGTCATATGGTAATTCTGTGTTTAACTTCTGGAAGATCTGCCAAAGTTTTCCACGTCAGCTGTACCATTTCACATTCCCTCCAGCAAGGCATGGGGGTTCAAATTTCTCCACATCCTCATCAACACTTGCTATTTTCCTTTTTCTTTTCTTTTTTTTTTTTTTTTTTTTGAGACAGGATCTCACTCTGTCACCCAGGCTGCAGTGCAGTGGCGTGATCTCGGATCACTGCAACCTCTGCCTCCCGGGTTCAAGCGATCATCCTCGTGCTTCAGCTTCCCAAGTAGCTGGGATTACAGGCTCTTGCCACCATGCCCGGCTAATTTTTGTATGTTTACTAGAGACAGAGTTTCACCATGTTGGCCAGGCTGTTCTGGAACTCCTGAGCTCAAGTAACCCTCCCACCTCAGCCTCCCAAAGTGTTGAGATTACAGACGTGAGCCACTGCGCCTGGCCTCCTTTTTCTTCTTATCCTTCTCCTTCTCCTCCTCCTCCTTCTTCTTCTTTTTGATGTTCTGATGCCAAGGCTGGAGTACAGTGGCGTTATCTTGGCTCACCACAATCTCTGTCTCCCAGATTCAAGCGATTCTCCTGCCTCAGCCTCCCAAGTAGCTGGGATTACAGGCGTTAGCCACCATGCCCGGATAATTTTTGTATTTTTAGTAGAAACAATGTTTCACCATGTTGGCCAGGCTGGTCTTGAACTCCTGACCTTGAGTGATCTGCCCGCTTCAGCCTTCCAAAGTGCTGGGATTACAGGCGTGAGCCACCATGTCTGACTGGATTATTTATCTTTTTGACCCTTATCAGATACAAAATTTGCACATATATTCTCCCATTCTGTGGGTTGTCATTTTTTTTTTTTTTTTTGAGATAGAGTCTCCCTCTTTTGCCCAGGCTGGAGTGCAGCAACGCAATCATAGCTCACTGCAGCCTCGAACTCCTGGGTTCAAGCGATCCTCCCACCTCAGCCTCCCCAGTAGCTGGGACTATACAAGCACACACCACCACACCTGGCTAATTTTTAAATATTTTTTGTATAGACAAGGTCTCATCTCACTATGTTGTCCAGACTGATCCTGAACTCCTGGACTCAAGCGATCCTCCTGCCTCAACCTCCCAAAGTGCTGGGATTACAGGTGTGAGCCACTGTGCCAGGCCTCTCTTAATAGTGGCCTTGCAGAAGAAAAGTCTTGCATTGTGTGGAGTCGGGTTGATCTATTTTCCTTTGCTGGCTTGTGCTTTGGGTGTGCTACCTGAGAATCCTCCTGATCTTGATAAACCCCTCTTGCGGGCACCTCTCCCCATCCTCCCCGCCCCCAGCCCCCACCTCTGGCCTGTCCCTCCCCCCTCCTCCCCTCCCCACCTCCCGCCCCGGTTTGGGGCACTGGCCTCTGGCTCTGTCCCCGATCCATCAATGTTTAATAACTGAGTGGACAGAACCTTGGCGGAGACGTGGAAACCCCGCCCGGCCCCATGCGCGACGCGCCTCCACGGGCTGTGCCGCGATCACGCAGAGCCCCGCTTTCCAGGTGGGGAAACTGAGGCACCGGAAGATTGGGATGGGGACGCGACCTGCCTGGTCCCAGTGGTCGGGGCCACGGCCAGGCTTCCTCCCCGAGTCCTCCCCACCTTCCCTGGCCTGGAGCTGCTCCTGGCTCCCGTCCCCGCCCTGGGCTGACCCTGCCAGCGGGAACCGCCTGCTCCCCGGGGCGGTTCCTGCCGAAACCAAAATACCCAGGAGGAGGAAAAAAAAAACACCCGCCGGGCGGGCTGGGGGTGGGGGACGGGAAGAGGGGCGGGTTTCTCCTCCGGGTTGGAGACTGGAGGGGCCAAGGGTCACACAGTCAGTCGACAAACGTCTCAAGGATCCAGCCGAGTCCTGGCTCTGCTTCCAACTGCCTGTGCAGCCAGGGCTTCTCCGAGCCTCAGTTTCCCCATCGGTGCAATGGGGTAGTTAACCCCCCGGGGAGGCCTATGAGAGGTGAGAAGGAGCTAGGTGAACGAGGTGCCCAACCCTCCAAGATATCATCACCTTTAATAATATTAAACCTTATGTGCTGGGATCAGGAGCTCCAGGCAGGGGGCTCCTCTGGCCGGGTAGGAGGGCCCTCTTCTCCCAGTGGCTGGTCTTGTACCCCTAACCTCTTTTTTTTTTCTTCTTAACCAACTAAACAGGAGTGATCTTTATTTTATTTTATTATTATTCTGAGACGGAGTTTTGCTCTCCTTTCCCAGGCTGGTGCGATCTCGGCTCACTGCAATCTTCACCTCCCAGGTTCAAGCGATTCTCCTGCCTCAGCCTTCCGAGTGGCTGGGATTACAAGTGCCCGCCACCATGCCTGGCTAATTTTCATTTTGTTTTATTTTGAGACACTGTCTCTGTCTGTCACCCAGAGGCTGGAGTGCAGTGGTGTGATCATAGCTCACTGCAGCCTCCTGGGCTCAAACAATCCTCCCACCTCAGCCTTCCAAGTAGCTGAGACCGCAGGTGTGTGCCACCAAGCCCAGCTAATTTTTGTATTTTTTGTAGAAAGAGCACTCACTCTGCTGCTCAGGCTGGTCTCAGATTCCTGGCCTCAAGCAGTCCTCCCATCTCAGCCTCCCAAAGTGCTGGGATTACAAGCATGAGCCACTGTGTCCTGGCCCCACCCCCAGCTTCCTATTTCCTTCCTCCCTCCCTGTCTCTCCCTATCTCTCATTTCTCATCTCTTCCTGTCTCTCTGTCTCTATTTCTCTGACTTGCTTTTATTTTTTTTTTTAATTTTTTTTTTTTTAATTTTTTGAGACAGAGTCTCACTCTATTGCCCAGGCTGGAGTGCAATGGCGTGATCTTGGCTCACTGCAACCTCCACCTCCCAGGTTCAAGAGATTCTCCTGCCTCAACCTCCCAAGTAGCTGAGATCACAGGCGTGCGCCACCCTACTATGCTAATTTTTGTATTTTTAGTAGAGACGGGGTTTCACCATGTTGGTCAGGCTGATCTTGAACTCTCTGGCCTCAGGTAATCCGCCCTCCTCGGCCTCCCAAAGTGCTTGGATTACAGGAGTGAGCCATCGCACCTGGCTTGTCTTGCCCCTCTTTGTCTCTTTCTCCCTGTGCCCCTCTCTCTCTATCTTTGTGTTTTGTCTCTCTGTCTCTCTCCTTGTCTCTTTCTTTGCCATCTTTTTTTTTCTTTTTCTTTTTGTAGAGATAAGGGTCTCATTATGTTGCCCAGGCTGGTCTCTAATTCCTGGCCTCCAGCAATCCTCCCCCCTCAGCCTCCCAAAATATTTGTGTCATCTTTCTCTTTATCTCATTTCTCATCTCTCTCCCTGTCTCTCTCTCTGTCTCTTTGTCTCATCTCTCTGTCTCACTTCTGTCTCTCTGTCTCTGTCTCCCTGTGTCTCCCTTTCTCTCTTTCCCTGTTTCTCTGTGTCTGTCTCTCTGTGTGTTTCTGTCTCATCTCTCTCTGTCTCTGTTTCACCTGTCTCTGTGTCTCCCTGTGTATCTCTCTGTGTCTCTGTCTCTCACTGCCTCTGTCTCTCCTTGTTTCTCTGTTTATTTGTCTCTTTTTTTACTTTTGGAGACAGAGTCTCGCTCTGTGGCCCAGGCTGGAGGGCAGGGGCACAATCTCTGCTCACTGCAACCTCTGTTTCCCAGTTCAAGTGATTCTCCTCCCTCAGCTTCCTGAGTAGCTGGGATTACAGGCCCCCCACCATGATGCCTGGCTAATTTTTGTATTTTTGTAGACACGGGGTTTCACCATGTTGGTCAGGCTGGTCTCGAACTCCTGACCTCAAGTGATCCACCCGCCTCGGCCTCCCAAAGTGCTGGGATTACAGGCGTGAGCCACTGTGCCCGGCCCCACTTCCATTTTTAGGTGGGGAAATAGGGGCTTATTCCTGAAGAGTCTCGTGCAGGTGTCCCAGCCCCAGTGGCATCATGGTCACCCTGGTCCAGCTGCTGGGCTCTGTGGCTCTCCGGCTGTCCTGGGCCTCCCATTCTAGGGGCCTGTCCCATAAATGGTCAGCCCAGAAGGTTCCACCCTCACATACTGGATGGTGACACCCCCACCTCCCAGAGCTAGTTTTCCAGCAGGCAGTCTGGCGGGAAGCCCAGGCCACTTCCCCGTGGTGTTGGCTGCTGCCCGGTGCAAGCCGGGAATGGGGACCGGAGGTGACGTTTAGGGCTAGGCTTTGGGCTCAGGTTTTTTTTCCTCTTCCTTTTTTTTTTTTTGGTATATAAACTATTTGTTTTTTTGCGACAGTCTTGCTCTTTCGCCCAGGCTGGAGTGCAGTGGCATGATCTCAGCTCACTGCAACGTCTGCCTTCCGGGTTCAAGAGATTCTCCTGCCTCAGCCTCCAGAGTAGCTGGGTCTACAGGCGTGTGCCACCACACCTGGCTAATTATTTGTATTTTTAGTAGAGACAGGGTTTCACCGTGTTAGCAGGATGGTCTCAATCTCCTGACCTCATGATCCGCCCACCTCGGCCTCCCAAAGTGCTGGGATTACAGGCGTGAGCCACCGCGCCCGGCCATAAACTATTTATTAACAGATAAGGCCTACAGACTTATTTCTTCTTGGATACACCCACGGTACAGGTACGGCCATGGCGGCCAATGGTCTCGGTGTGCTGGCCTCAGACATGAAGGCCCCAGAAGTGGTGCATCCCTCTATGGGCCGGAATCTTCTTCGGTTGCTCCAGGTCTTCACGGAGCTTGTTGTCCAGACCACTGGCTAGGACCTGGCTATATTTTCCATCCTTTACATCCTTCTGTCTGTTCAAGAGCCAGTCTGGGATCTTGTACTGCTGTGGATTCTGCACAATGGTGATCACTCATTCCATCTCATCCTCCGTGAGTCTCCCGCCCTCTTGGTGAGGTCAATGTCTGTTTTCCTCAACACCACATAAGCGTATCTTCCATCCACACCTTTAATGGCAGTGATAGCAAAGGCTATTTTCCACCACCCATCGATGTTGGTGTTGAGTACTCCCAAAATATGCTGGAACTTTTCAAGGATCACTAGAGACACGGTGGCAGGCTCTGGGGTTCCATACCAGGCACCAGGATCATATTTGGGGTATGGAAGCCCCACATTGCCCTCATCCTCTCTGGCTTTCGTCATGGGGGTGGTGGGCATGAGGAGGAAGGGACCCAGGCCTTTGGCATGAGGTTCCCTTCTTCAGCAAGCCCCCCACTTCCTGGATCGCTGGGGACCCCCAGCCCTGGGTACCTCCCTCCAGCCTAGCCTTGACCCTGTGGGAACAAGAATATCTCTATCCAGCCTGGACCTTCCCAAGCTGGGGCCTCGAGCATTACCCCAAATAAGGCAGGCACCTGGATGTGGCCAGGAATGAATGAACATGAATGAACAAATGAATCGTATATAATCTTACAAACTCAGAAACGTAAGGCCATACAAATCTAAATCTGGCCAAGGTTGGTGGCTCAAGGCTGTAATCCCAGCAGTTTGGGAGGCCGAGGCTGTAGGATTGTTTGAGCCCAGGAGTTCGAGACTAGCCTGGGCAATGTAGTAAGATCCTGTCTCTCCAAAAAATTGAAAAAATGTAGCTGGGCATGGTGGCAGGTGCCTGTAGTCCCAGCTACTCAGGGAGGCTGAGGTGGGAGGATCGCTTGAGTCCAGGAGTTTGAGGCTGCAATGAGCTATGATCATGCCAATGTACTCCAGCCTGGGTGATAGAGCGAGACCCTGTTTCTAGAAAATAAATAAGTTTTGTTTGTTCATTTGTTTGTGATGAAGTCTTGCTCTGTTGCCCAGGCTGGAGTGCAGTGGCAGGATCTCGGCTCACAGTAACCTCTTCCTCCTGGGTTCAAGCGATTTCTCCTGCCTCAGCCTCTGTAGTAACTGAGATTACAGGCGTGCGCCACCACACCTGGCTAATTTTTGTATTTTTAGTAGAGACGAGGTTTCGCCATGTTGTCCAGACTGGTCTTGAACTCCTGACCTCAAATGATCTGCCCACCTCGGCCTCCCAAAGTGCTGGGATTACAGGCGTAAGCCACCGTGCCTGGATGATAAGTAAATATTTTTTTACATTAAAAAAATGCCTAAACCTGGATTTTTAGCACGTTGCAGGGGGCTCCCACCCAAGCCCAAGTTCTCAGAAGCTGGGAAAGGAATAATGCATCTCGGGGTGGAATGTTTGATGACCCCCAGCAGAGTGCCATCTCAAGAGCAGGGGTCTAGAGCCAAGGCTCAGGGTTCTAATCCTGCCTCTGCCTGGAAAACCACTTCGCCTATATGAGCCTCAGTTTCCCCATCTGTAAAACAGTGTTGGTACCCATGTCTTGGGGTTTGGGGTTAGTAAATGAATCTGTGGGAAGCCGAGTCAGGCCTATCGGTGTCTGTAGGTGGTGGAGCCTCTTCCCTCTGACAGGGATGGAAATTATAGAGATAAAATCAAAGAGAGGCCGGGTGCGGTGGCTCACGCCTGTAATCCCAGCACTTTGGGAGGCCAAGACAGGCAGATCACTTGAGGTCAGGGGTTCAAGATCACCCTGGCCAACATGGCGAAACCCCGTCTCTACTAAAGATACAAAAATTAGCCCAGTGTGGTGGTGTGTATCTGTAATCCCAGCTACTTTGGAGGCTGAAGCAGTAGAATTGCTTGAACATGGGAGGTAGAGGTTGCAGTGAGCAGGGATCGTGCCACTGCACCCCAGCCTGGGTGACAGAGTGAGACTCTGTCTCAAAACAAACAAACAAACAAACAAAGAGAGAGATGGAAGGTCAGGTTGCATCAGGAGGAAGCTGGCAATCTCTGTGACTCAGGGAGGTGCGGGGGCTCCCTCCTGGACCCTGGTCACCTCTGAACGTTCCACTGGTTTCTTCCAGTTTCTCCTTTACTGAGATCCCTCTGTCCCCAGAGTCTCAGTTTCCTCCCTTGTGAGATGGGCTCACACTGGTGCCCCTGAATCTTCTTCCTCCACCCATCCACCATCAAAATTGCTCCCACATCCGATCCCTTCTCATGAAGGTCCCTTCTCCCTGGTCCAGACTATCATTGCTCCTTAGGACCAGCAGTGGCACCCCTCTGTGGTCTCCTCGCTTCTCCCTTTATCCCCCACAGATACCCCCACCCTGGTATCCTGAGTCCGGCTTGTCCTTCTTCTGTCTAGAAGCCTCTGTGGCTCCCACCTTCCTCAGAGTAAAAGCCAAAGTTCTCCCCCCAGACCTCAAGGCCCTGCTTGGTCTCACGGCACCATCGCCTCTTCCCTCCCCACCCTGCTTAATCGACTTAGGCCACCTCAGCCTCCTCCAAGCTCCTCCGGTGAGTCAGACAGGCTCCTGCCTCGGGGCCTGTCTAAAGGCTGTGCTTTCCCGGGGACCATCTTCCCAGAGACGCCCATATGTCTCCCCTACCTCCTTTGGGTCTCAGTTCAATTGTCATCGTCACCCACACTCTCTCTCCCTCCTCTGCCATCAGGAATTTGTATCTCTGCCAGGCGCGGTGACTCATGCCTATAATCCCAGCACTTTGGGAGGCTGAGGTGAGCGAATCACTTGAGGTCAGGAGTTCAAGACCAGCCTGGCCAACATGGTGAAATCTCATCTCTGCTGAAAAATACAAAAATTAACTGTGTGGTGGTGGGAGCCTGTAGTCCCAGCTACCAATCCCAGCTACTTGGGAGGCTGAGGCGGGAGAATCACCTGAGCCTGGGAGGTGGAGGTTGCAGTGAGCTGAGATTGTGCCACACTGCACTCCAGCTTGGGCAACAGAATGAGACTCCGTCTAAAAAAAAAAAAAGAAAGAAAAAAAAAAGAATTTGTATCTCATTCATGGTGGTGTCGCTGGCTCCTGTACACAGCCGGGGCTTAATGAGTGTGCTCACAGATAATAATCTTATGCTGATAAAAAGAAATGTTTCCCCAGATGCCTGCTGTGCTTTAGGCCCTGGGCTGTGGTCTGGGGACACAGCCGGGGACAACTGAGAGCAATCTTGCCCTTGTAGGACTCATGGTCTGGGGACAAAGGTGGGACCCAGAGGACATTATGCACCTGAAGCGATGCATCTGTAATGTGGAATCAGGTGTTGAAAAGTGTGATGAATAAAGTAGAATACATGACCAGATGCAGCAGAGGGAGGGTGTTTCCTGATCAGGCAGTCCTGGAGGGCTTCCTGGAATAGGCGACATTTGGGGCCAAGGCCTGAATGAAGAGAGGGACATGCCCCTTTGCAGCAGCTCTGGTGGCCATGTGTTTCTCACTAGTTCACAGATAAGGAAACTGAGGCTCAGAGAGGTGAAGTCACTTGTCCAGCATCCCCAAATCCAAACTCCCCAGCCAGGAGCCTGCAATCCCCTTTCCCCATGGTGCCCAGTTGCAGATGGGCAAACCAAAGTCCAGAGCAGCGCCTCCACACCCCAAGGTCTCCCAGGAAGCTACTCGGCCCTCCTCCACCCTCCTTCTCCTCCCCCGCGCAGCTTTACTGGGGGACTTTCTCACAGGGAGGAAAAACAGCGACAGCTGGTTTCACAAGTAGGTGGCCCAAGCCGCAGACCGGTTTCGGTTTGCAAACAACTTCTGGCTCTGACTGCCTGCTGCTGGGCTGAGCAAACCCAGAGGTAAGAGCCCCGTATCAATCCATAAGAGGAAATGGGCACCAATCTGTCAGCTCAGGGTCTGGCTCATGGGCAGCAGGGCCAGGAGATGGGGGTGCACTGAACCCTCATCTCCACTTAGTCTTTTTTTTTTTTTTTTTTGAGAAGAGTCTTGCTCTGTCGCTCAGGCTGGAGTACAGTGGCGCGATCTCAGCTCACTGCAACCTCTGCCTCCCAGGTTCAAACTCACTGCAGCCTCAGCCTCCAAAGTAGCTAGGACTACAGGCACACGCCACCACGCTTGGCTAATTTTTGTATTTTTAGTAGAGACAGGGTTTCACCATGTTGCCCAGGCTGGTCTCAAATTCCTTACCTCAAGTGATCTGCCTGCCTCAGCCTCCCAAAGTGCCAGGATTACAGACATGAACCACTGCGCCCAGCCTCCACTTATTTTTTATTTTATTTTATTTTTTTTGAAACAATCTCACTCCATCACCCAGGCCGGAGTGCAGTGGCGTGATCTCGGCTCACTGCAACCTCCGCCTCCCAGGGTTCAAGCAATTCTCCTGCCTCAGCCTCCTGAGTAGCTGGGATTACAGGCATGCGCCACTACGCCCAGCTAATTTTTGTATTTTTGGTAGAGATGGGGTTTTGCCATGTTGGCCAGGCTGGTCTCGAACCCCTGACCTCAGCTGAACCGCTCTCCTCGGCCTCCAAAAGTGCTGGGATTATAGGCATCAGCCACAGCACCTGGCCCTTCACTTAGTCTTAATCACTCATCCAATCAACAATCAATGCTTATTTTATGCTTTGCTGTATTCCTGCATTTTATTATTCTCCCAGTACACTGGTACTAAGTGTTTAGTGTGTACCAGGTATTAGCTCATTTAAACATCTCAAACCACTGGAAAGAATCAACCCAGGCAATTATCTTGATTTCAGACTTCTCTCCAAAACTGGGAGAGAATAAATTTCTGTTGTCTGGAGCCCCCCAGGTTGTGCAAATTTGTTACATTAGCCCCAGGAAACTTACACAGCCCCCTCTCCAACCCCAAGTAAAAACTCACCTGTCCTCCTGCAGGTCCTCCAGGTCTGAGAGGGTAGTGCTTACCTCCGGCACTCTGGCCAGGAGCAGGAAGGTATTTCTCTTTGCGGATTTCTGGAGCATGTGGGTTGTGGACTCAGAGACACTTGGAAACTCCAGAGGTTTTTCCCAAGTGTCAGCAGCATGCACCCTCCCACAGCCATTTGTGAGTTTCTCATGAATACATCTTGGGGAATCACTTGGTATTGGTGGATTTTGTAGCTTTTGCCAATCAAATGGCATCTACCTGGTGTTTTAATTTGCATCTTCCTGATCCTCAGTAAATGTTGATCATCTCTTTGCCACTTGTGCTTCCTCCTTCGTGAATTCCTACTCTGTGTTCTTTGTGGTGTTCATTATAGGAATTCTTTATATATGTTTGACAGTATTCCTCCATCCATTGAGTATATTGCACATATCTTCCCCTAATTTGTAACTTGTCTTTTTGTTTTGTTTTGAGACTGAGTCTCACTCTGTCACCCAGGCTGGAGTGCAGTGGCATGATCTCAGCTTACTGCAATCTCCGCTTCCCGGGTTCAAGTGATTCTCTTTCCTCAGCCACCTGAGTAGTTGGGATTACAGGTGCCTGCCATCATGCCTGGCTAATTTTTGTATTTTTAGTAGAGATGGGGTTTCACCATGTCGGCCAGGCTGGTCCCGAACTCCTGACCTCAGGTGATTCACCCACCTCAGCCTCCCAAAGCGCTGGGATTATAGACGTGAGCCACCGTGCCTGGATGGCATTATAGGAATTATTTATGTAGGTTTGATAGTATTCCTCCATCTGTTGAGTATATTGCAAATACCTTCCCCTAATTTGTAACTAGTCTTTTTGTTTTGTTTTGAGGTGAAAACTCCCTCTGTGGTCCGGCTGGAGTGCAGTGGCGTGGTCTTGGCTCACTGCAACCTCCGCCTCCCAGATTCAAGAGATTCTCCTGCTTCAGCCTCCCGAGTAGCTGGGATTACAGGTGCCCGCCACCATGCCCAGCTAAATTTTGTATTTTTAGTAGAGATAGGGTTTCACCATGTTGGCCAGGCTGGTCTTGAACTACTGAACTCAAGAGATCTGCCTGCCTCGGCCTCCTAAAGTACTGGGATTAGAGGTGTAAGCCACTGCACCTGGCCTTTTTCTTTTTTTTTTTTTTTTTTTTTTTGGAGACAGGGTCTCACTCTGTGGCCCAGGCTGGAGTGTAGTGGCATGATCATAGCTCACTGCGGCCTCAAACTCCTGTGCTCAAGCAATTCTCCTGCCTCAGCCTCCTGAGTAGCTGAGACTACAGGTACACACTTCCATGTCCAGCTAATTTTTTAATTTGTAGAGATGGGGTCTCCCTATGTTGCCCAGGCTGGTCTAGAACTCCTGGGCTCAAGCATTCCTCCAGCCTCAGCCTCCCAAAGCTCTGAGATTACAAATGTGGACCACTGTGGCTGGCTGGTAACTTGTCTTTTCACTTCCTTCAATGTGCCTTTTGATGAATACAAAGTCCTACCCTTAATATATGCAAATTAACCAATCTTTTCTTTATATAGACAATGCCCATTGGCTCTTATGTGGAAAGTCTTTTCTTACCCCAAGTTCGCCAATATTTTCTTTTCTCTCTCTCTCTCTTTTTTTTTTTCTATGAGACAGGGTCTCACTTTGTTGCCCAGCCTGGAGTAGAGTGGTGTGACCATGGGTGACTGCAGCCTCAACCTTCCAAGCTCAAGCAGTCCTCTCACCTTACCCTCTCTAGTAGCTGGGACTACAGGATGCACCACCACACTCAGCTAATTTTTAAATTTTATTTTGTAGAGATGGAGTCTCCCTATGTTGCCCAGGCTGGTCTCAAACTCCTAGGCTCAATTGATCCTCCCCTCTTGGCCTCTCAAAATGTTGGGATTGCAGGCATGAGCCGCCAAGCCTTGCCCTCAAGTTCACCTATATTTACCACCAAGACATTAAAGCTTTCTTTTGGGCCAGGCACAGTGGCTCATGCCTGTAATCCCAGCACTTTGGGAGGCTGAGGCAGGAGCATCGCTTGAGACCAGGAGTTCAAGACTAGCCTGTGCAACATAGCAAGACCCTGTCTCTACAAAAAAAATTTAAAAAGAATAGTCAGGCGTGGTAATGTGCGCCTGTAAGTTTGAGGCTGCAGTGAGTGTACTCCAGCCTGGGTGACCAAGCAAGACCCTGTCTAAAAAAATAAAATAAAAAGGTTAATTTTGTTATATTTTTGTGTGTAACTCCTTAACCCATGTGGAGTTTTGTTTTGCATATTGTGTGAAGTAGAGAACCAATATTGTTTTCAACATGGTCTCCCATTTCCCAGATCCTTTTATGGGATAGCCTCCCCTCCCCACTGCTGGGACAGACTCTCTCCTTCTTGAAGCAAAATTCCTGACCTGCATAGGGCTGTCTGTGGGCATTTAATTCTAATCCATTGGTCAATGTGCTTCTTTCTGTGCCAGTATTTTGCTGACTTAATTACAGGCTTTGTCATGGTTCCAATATCTGGTATGTCAGGTAGGACTGCCCTGTTCTTCTGCAGTAATGTCCCAACTATTTGCAACCCTCTGCTGCTCCAGTTAAATGTTTCGGTTATCATATTGAGTTCCAGGGAAAGCTCTGACATGACTTTCATTGGGACTGTGTTGAAACTACAGAGGGGGAAATTAATTTAATATGTTTATTCTGTCACAGCTTTGGAAGCTAGAAGTCTGAAATCAAGGTCTCTGCAAGATTGGTTCCTTCTGGTGGGTTGGGACTGTTAAATGAGTTAATCAGCATCTTTATGAACCTCAGCCTTCCTGTCCATGAACATGGTATGCCTACCATCTCTTTAGCCTCAGTAGTCTCTCTCCGCATTGTGTGTGTGTGTGTGTGTATGTGTGTGTGCCTTCTGGGAGACAGAGGCACTAAGTCTTTATTGGGAAGAATGTCCATCCACCTTCCTTCACTGCAGATGATGAGACATACTCAGGGTTAGGGTACAATGGCAGGTTTTAGCTGGTACTTCTTTTCCCAAGCAGGTGGTAGTCAACAACCCCTCAAGTAGTGGTAGCAATCTGTAAACTAGGTTTCAGACTTTTTGGGTGCTATCAGGGGGAGAAGCAGGTCTGGCTGGATCCCTCCGGAGTTTTCCTTCTCCATGTCCCATCCCAAGGGAATGTCAGCATTGGCAGTGGCACAGTGAGTCTATTCAGGACACTCAGAATGTTACAGAATGGCTTTCAAACATTGCCCTTGAAGCTGAAGCCAAAGATGGCATCCACCCCCAGCCCATACAGCTCATTGATCAGCGTGGGCTCTGGGGGCACTTCACCAAGCAAAAGAATGCCCCTTTCCTGACAGTGGGTCACCAAGCATAGTGTAGAGTGGCTTGTTGGGTCTTTTGGGGTCAAAGATGATTGGCTGGTGACCAAAATGTTTGAGGTGTCAAGCACAGAGCAGGCTACCTTCTCCATTATTCCCTGGGCCATGGATGATCGGGACATGGATATGGGAGGATATGCCTTGGCAATGACAGTGGAACAGCTGAGTCCAGCCAGTTCTGTAAGTTGGGCCATGCTGGTACTCATGAAACAACTCCTCATCCATGGCCCGGGCCCCCTCCTGGTGCAGGAATTTCACTGCTGTGCTTGCCATGACCTCCAAGTCCCCACAGACAGTGGAGTTAAGCCACTGTGGCTCCCAGCAGGTGTGTCCTGGACATCCATCTTGCATCATTAATCTCTCTTAATACAGTTTGTGTCTTTCCCTGCAGAGTTGGAAACACTTTTTGATTCCTTTATTCCTCTTTCTTTTCTTTTTTTTTTTTCTTTTGAGACAGAGTCTTGCTCTGTCGCCCAGACTGGAGTGCAGTGGCACAATCTCGGCTCACTGCAAGCTCTGCCTCCTGGGTTCACGCCATTCTCCCGCCTCAGCCTCCCGAGTAGCTGGGACTACAGGCACCCGCCACCACGCCCGGCTAATTTTTTGTATTTTTAGTAGAGACGGGGTTTCACCGTGTTAGCCAGGATGGTCTCGATCTCCTGACCTCATGATCCATCCACCTCAGCCTCCCAGAGTGCTGGGATTACAGGCGTGAGCCACCGTGCCCAACCTTTTTTTTTTACTTAGATGGAGTCTCACTCTGTCGCCCAGGCTGGAGTGCAGTGGCACAGTCTCCTCTTTCTTGATGCAGGGGTCTGTCCTGAACTTCCATGGCACCAGATGATTTCTTCTCCACTACGTTCCTGATTCTACTATATTTTCTCACAGCTGCTATTTCTGCTTTTTTTTTTTTTTTTTTTTTTTTTTTTTTAAAGACATGGTCTCACTCTGTCTCCCAGGCTGGAGTGCAGTGGCGCAATCATGGCTCACTGCAGCCTCCACCTCCTAGGTTCAAGCTATTCCCCTGCCTCAGCCTCCTGAGTAGCTAGGATCACAGGTGCATGCCACCATGCTTGGCTAATTTTTTTGTTTTTTTGAGATGGAGTCTCGCTTTGCCACCCAGACTGGAGTGCAGTGGCATGATCTTGGATCACTGCAACCTCCGCCTCCTGGGTTCAAGCAATTCTCCTGCCTCAGCCTCCCAAGTAGCTGAAAGTACAGGCACCCACCACCACACCCAACTAATATTTTGTATTTTTATTAGAGAGGGGGGTTTCACTATGTTGGCCAGGCTGGTCTCGAACTCCTGACCTCAGGCGATCCACCCTCCTCAGCCTCCCAAAGTGCTGGGATTACAAGGGCGAACCACGACACGCGGCTCTATTTTGTATTTTTGTAGCAACGAGGTTTCGCCATGTTGCCCAGGCTAGTCTCGAACTCCTGGGCTCAAGTGATCCTCCCACTTGGCCTCCTAAAGTGCTGAGATGACAGGCGTGGGCCACTGCGCTGCACCCAGCTCCCTTAGGGCCACATTGCTGAGTCTGCAACAGGGCTCCTCTGCGTCCCTTTGCCTGAGCCACCAGCTCCCCGACTGGGATACTGAGTCCAGCTTCCAAGTGACCCTGGAACAGCATGGTATTGGGATCAAGACCACAGGATGCCACCCTGGCCTGGGCTCCTCGCTCCCAAGATTGTTCTAGAATCTAAGCAGCCCCAGGACTGGACATTTCAAAGGGGCAGGTGTGCAATGAGATGTGACCAGGAACTGGCTGATCCTGGGACATCACTGCTGCTGCCTCGCTGCGCTGGCAGGGAAGTGCTTGATGATTAGCAGTTGGCCATTTGGATGATGACAAGATGTCAGAGTGAGACTTTAGGTTGGCTCACACCAGTGTAAAACAAATGAACACAGCTGAGAAGACAAAAGACACTAAATCCAACCTGGGACTTATTTCTCCCGCTCTGACAATGCCCACTGCACCAGGCCCAACCCACCCTGTCCTCACAATGACCCCATGTGCAAGGGGGTGATGAACCTCATTGTACAGGTGAGGAAACTGAGGCACGCATCTGTATGTCTCAGACTGATGGGCACCATGGCTCACACCTGTAATCCCAGCTCTTTGGGAGGCTGAGGCAGGAGGATTGCATGAGCCCATGAGTTCAAGACCAGCCTGGGCAGGCCAGGCGTGGTGGCTCATGCTTGTAATCCCAGCACTTTGGGAGGCTGAGGCGGGCGGATCACAAGGTCAGGAGATCGAGACCATGGTAAAACCCCGTCTCTACTAAAAATACAAAAAATTAGCCAGGCGTGGTGGTGGGCACCTGTAGTCCCAGCTGCTGGGGCGGCTGAGGCAGGAGAATGGCGTGAACCTGGGAGGCGGAGCTTGCAGTGAGCTGAGATCATGCCACTGCACTCCAGCCTGGGCGACAGAGCGAGACTCCATCTCAAAAAAAAAAAAAAAAGACCAGCCTGGGCAACATAGCAAGATCCCATCTCTACCAAAAAAAATAAATAAAAAGGACTGTTTTATCCAGATTGATAGTTCCAGGGCTATTACGCATGGAACCGGAGCCATGGTGCCTGATTCAGTATGGCTGTAACCCATACTATCTCCACTTCTAAACTGACTGCTTTAAGGCTGGGTGTGGTGGCTCATTCCTGTAATCCCAGCACTTTGGGAGGCTAAGGCGGGAGGATCGCTTGAGGACAGGAAGTCGAGGCTGCAGTGAGTCATGATTGCACCGCTGCCCTCCAGCCTGGGTGACAGACTGAGACCCTGTCTCCATAATAAATAAATAAATTGACTGCTTTCTCCTTTTTTTCTGTGTTTCTTTAATGGTATGCTCACATATGTTTCATGAATTCTTTGAATATAGCAAGTTAATACTTGTAACTTAAAACACAGATGTGTTTTATTTTGAAGCAAGAAAAAGAACATGAACAGACACATCTGGATAGCTAGGGTATGTAGCAAGAGACCACTCTTCATCATTCCAGAGCTGGAACTAATAACACGAGTTTTCCAAAACAGAAGACTTTGTATAAAGCATTTGAATTTTTTTCTTTTTCTTTTTCTTTTTTTTTTTTTTTTGAGACAGAGTTTCACTCTGTCACCCAGGCTGGAGTGCAATGGCGTGATCTCGGCTCACTGCAACCTCCACCTCCTGGGTTCAAGCGATTCTCCTGCCTCAGCCTCCCAAGTAGCTGGTAGGACAGGCGCCCACCACCATGTCCGGCTAATTTTTGTTATTTTTAGTAGAGATGGGGTTTCACCATGATGGCCAAGCTGGTCTCAAACTCCTGACCTTAGGTGATCCACCTGCCTCGGCCTCCCAAAGTGCTGGGATTACAGGCGTGAGCCACCACGCCTGGCCTTCTTTTTTTTTTTTTTCTTGAGACGGTCTCACTCCGTTGCCCAGGCTGGAGGGCAGTGGCACCATCACGGCTCACTGCAGGCTCAGCTTTCTGGGCTCAAGTGATCCTTCCATCTCAGCCTCTCAGGTAGCTGTGACTAAAGGCCTAGTCACAAGAACCATTCTGTAACATTCTGAGTGTCCACCGCCACACCTGGTTAATTAAAAAAAATTTTTTTTTGTAGAGATGGGGGGTCTCCCTACATTGCCCAGGCTGGTCTCAAACTCCTGGGCTCAAGTGATCCTTCCACCTCCCAAAGTGCTGGGATTACAGGTGTGAACCACCACTCCTGGCCTGGATTTTATTCTTACGTTACTTTTTTTTTTCTCACATTCTCAAAATAAAATATTAAATACATAAATTTTGAGTCAAGTGTATTAAGGTGTAACTTATATCCAATAAAGTACAGTTGAATGAGTTTTGTTTTTTTTGAGACGGGGTCTCACTCTGTCACCCAGGCTGGAGTGCAGTCGTGTGATCGCGGCTCACTGCAACCCCTGCCTCCCGGGTTCAAGCGATTCTCCTGCCTGAGCCTCCTGAGACACTGGGATTACAGGCACATGCCACCATGTACGGCTGATTTTGGTATTTTCAGTAGAGACGGGGTTTCACCATGTTGCCCAGGCTGGTCTCGAACTCCTGACCTCAAGTGATCCTCCCACCTCGGCCTCTCAAAGTGCTGGGATTACAGGCATAAGCCATGGTGCCCAGCCAGCACATTTTTCCTTATGGGGTTAACAGTGAGTTTCAGACAGTTACATATACAGTGGGGGTGGGGGGATAAATAAAAGTGAGGGGCCTTCCTGCAACAAGCCCCCGGGGCTGAGCTCAGAGGGGCCCAGCAGCCTGAGATGCAAGGTTGGCTCTTGGTCACCTGCAGTTGGCTAAAGTCCCATTTCATGGCCAGTGCTACTAAGGCTAGAGACAAAGGACCCAGTGGGCTCAAATCTGGCCCTGGATGCTGGACCTCCATCTTCTCACCTCAAAAGCAACGATAAGGCCAGGCGCATTGGCTCGCACTTGTAATCTCAACACTTTGGGAAGCCGAGGCAGGAGGATCGCTTGAGCCCAGGAGTTTGAGACCAGCCTGGGCAACATGGCAAGATCCCATCTCTTTAAAAAAAAAGTTTTAGCCTTGCACGGTGACATGCACCTATAGTCCCAGCTACTCGAGAGGCTGAGGCAGGAGGATCACTTGCACCTGGGAAGTCCAGGTTGCAGTGAGCTGCGATCGCACCACTGCACTCCAGCCTGGGCGACAGAGCAAGATCCGGTCTAAAAAAAAATAAAAGTAAGGATAAAAGAGAAAGGTGAAGGCCAGACGCAGTGGCTCACGCCTGTCACCCCAGCACTTTGGGAGGCTGAGGCGGGCTGATCACTCGAGGCCAGGAGTTCAAGACCAGCCTGCTCAACATGGTGAAACCCTGTCTCTACTAAAAATACAAAAATTAGCCAGGTATGGTGGCACACGCCTATAATCCCAGCCACTCGGGAAGCTGAGGCAGGAGAATCATTTGAACCCAGGAAGCAGAGGTTGCAATCAGCCGAGATCGCACCACTGCACTCCAGCCTGGGCGACAGAACAAGATTCTGTCTGAAAAAAAAAAAAAAGACAGAGACAAGGTCTTGTTCTGTCACTCAGGCTGGAATGCAGTGGTGCGATCATGGCTCACTGCAGCCTTGACCTTCTGTGCTCAAGGGATTCTCCTGCCTCAGCCTCCTGAGTTTGGGACTATAGGTGTGCACCACCATACCTGGCTAAGTTTTAAATTTCTAAGATTTTTTTTGTGATGTGGGAGGCTTCATCACAGGGGGATCAGGTTTAGCAAATACACATCCAGGCACCCCGTTAACTTCAAATTTCAGAGAAACAACTGTCTTAGCTTTCTGCTTTGTGGTAACAGAATACCACAGGCTGGGTAATCTATAAACAATTGAAGTTTATTTGGCTTGTGGTTCTGGAGGCTGGGAAGTCCAAGATTGGGCCATATCCGGCGAGGGTCTCCTTGCTGTGTTATCACGTGGTGCAGGCATCATCTGGTAAGAGAAACACGCCAGAGAGCAAGGGAAGCCCCAAACAGCCCTGCCTTGCCCTGCCTTGCCCTGCCTTGCCCTGCCTTGCCTGCCCTGCCCTTCCCTGCCCTTCCCTGCCCTTCCCTGCCTTGCCTTGCCTTTTTTTTCAGACAGAGTCTTGCTCTGTCACCCAGGAGTGCAGTGGTATGATCTTGGCTCACTGCAACCTCCGCCTCCTGGGTTCAAGCTACTCTCTTGCCTCAGCCTCCCGAGTAGCTGGGATTACAGGCACATGCCACCATGCTCAGCTAATTTTTTGTATTTTTACTAGAGACAGGGTTTCACCGTGTTAACCAGGATGGTCTCGATCTCCTGACCTCGCGATCCACCCGCCTTGGCCTTCCAAAGTGCTGGGATTACAGGCGTGAGCCATGGCACCTGGCCAGCCTTTTCTTTTAAATTTTTATTTATTTTTACATTAAAAAAATTTAAAGACAGGTTATTACTCTTGTTGCCCAGGCTGGAGTGCAGTGGTGCAATCTTGGCTCACTGCAGCCTTGACTTCCTCCTGGGCTCAAGCAATCCTCCCGCCTCAGCCTCTTGAGTAGCTGGGACCATAGGCCCACACAACCACACCCAGCTAATTTTGTTCTTTTTTGTAGAGATGGGGTCTCACTATACATAGATATACTATAAATATATACTATATATTCATGTATGTATCTATATATATGATATATATTTTCATATATTATATATATATTAGAGACATGTATTTGTCTCTAAAACAGAGACAGGGTCTTGCTCTGTCTCTCAGGCTGGGGTGCAGTGGTGCAATCATAACTCACTGCAGCCTTGAACTCCTAGGCTCAAGCGATCCTCCCGCATCAGCCTCCTGAGTAGCTGGGACTACAGGTGCATACCACCACACTGAGCTAATTTTTAAATTTTTTGTAGAGACGGAGTCTCACTATGTTGCCCAGGCTGTTCTCAAACCCCTGGGCTCAAGGATCCTCCTGCCTTGCGCTGGGGTTACTAGTGTGAGCCACTGTGTCCAGCCCAATCTCACTTTTCTTTTTTTTTTTTTGAGACGGAGTCTCGTCCTGTCACCCAGGCTGGAGTGCAGTGGCACGATCTCGGCTCATTGCAACCTCCGCCTCCCTGGCTCAGACAATTCTCCTGCCTCAGCCTCCTGAGTAACTAGGATTAAAGGCATGTGCCACCATGCCTGGGTAATTTTTTTTTTTTTTTTTTTTAGTAGAGGCGGGCTTTCACTATGTTGGCCAGGCTGGTCTTGAACTCCTGACCTCAGGTGATCTGCTTGCCTTGGCCTCCCAAAGTGCTGGGATTACAGACATGAGCCACTGTGCCCGGCCTCCAAGCTCACTTTTTTTTTTTTTTTTTTTTTTTTTTTTGAGACAGAGTCTCACTCTGTACCCCAGGCTGGAGTGCAATGGCGCGATCTTGGTTCACTACAACCTCTGCCTCCTAGGCTCAAGCAATTCTCCTGCCTCAGCTTCCCAGGTAGCTGGGATTACAGGCGTCCGCCACCGCGCCCAGCTCATTTTTGTATTTTTAGTAGAGACAGGGTTTCACCATGTTGGCCAAGCTGGTCTCAACCTCCTGACCTCAAGTGATCCACCCACCTCAGCCTCTCAAAGTGCTGGGATTACAGGTGTGAGCCACCATGCCTGGCCTCCAATCTCACTTTTATAACAAATCCATTCCCACAATGACGAACCCACTCCAGTGATCGAATCACCTCTTAAAGGTCCCACCTCTCAACACTATTGCTTTGAGGATTTTTTTTTTCATTGTTAATTAAAACATTTATTTTGCATTTTATACAGAACAACCTGAAGTCTGCATCATGACTTGACAGTTAGCCAGGGGTTTACAGTGTGTCCAACTCAACAGTGTGGTTCTGGGACTGGGTATCCACACAAACACAGGCAGGAGTTTGGAGGAAAGATGGGGGCACAGCAGGAGCGTATCTCAATCCTTTCTCAAAGAAAAAGAAGTAGAGCATTCTGAGTTGCTGAAAACCTGTGCAAATGGGGCTTCTGAAACAAACATTGTACTGTGAGCTCTCAGGGAAAGGGAGGAAAAAGATGTTGATAAATAAGGAGGCAATTTCTTGAGGCAGGGGACGAGGAAGGAGGCTTACTATTTTTAATGCCCTCAGCCCCAGTACCTGATAATCAGAGGAGACCATGTCCAATCTTGAATCAATTCTCTGTTCAAAAAGAGGTGCTAATACCCCAGGGACAAGACTCTGAAAATATCATGCTGGTCATTCCGGAGTCCCTGTTCTATGCCCCACAGCATATTAAAAGCTGGGGGTTGGTGGGGGGTGGGGAGGTCAGAAGGTAGTGGCTTGTATTCTGTTGGAAGTAAAAAACTTAGTTCACATTAAGCACTGATAAAACCCAATGACTGGGCCCACAGATCTGTTGAGAGGTCTCTAGTAGGGACTAAGAGGGGGAGGTCCAGAACATCCTCAGCCTGAGGTGAAACAGGTGTAGAAAGTCTGGGAGGGGGGTGAGTATTAAAGTAATGGGAAACAGAACACTCCCAGACCTTAATTTTAATTGGATAGTTTAAAAAAAAAATCAAACATTGGGTGCCAGTCACAACAAATGCCATGCCTTTATGGTCACTTGGCAGTATAAAAAAATTGCCAAAGCATGTCCAGCTAACCAACAGGTCTTGCTAGGAGGTGTTTGTGTGCATGGGAAGGCCAAGGGGCTTGGTACAGCTGACTATCCAACATGATTCCTATGGAAACAGAAGGGGCAGAGTCCTGGTTTGCTGGCTTATTGAGGGCTTGGCAGAGAAGAAGCTAAAGCTCCGAAGTGACTGCAGATTCTCTGCAACCGGCTTTGAGCCATGGAAACAGGAGCCAGATTCTCACTCTAGAGATAGTGAGGGGGCCAAACCTACTCATACCACATGCATTAGTCCTGGTCATCCTCCAGGACCATGCCTGTGATGGGCAACTCATACCAGGCAGGGGAAAGGAGCTGATTAGGGAAGAAGGGACCATTTTTCATCTTTTAAAGTCTTAATTTATATTTTAACCTCAAACATATTATCAGTGCCTCAGATATAATTTAATCTTAAGTCTTTAAAGGCCCCCTGAAACAAAAGTATACTTTTTATTTAGGCTTCCTCACTTTCTGGTAGTCACTTTCCCCCAGTCTCCAGTTTTACCCTGACTTAGAGTCCACAAACTTCATCAGACCCTCTGTGCTCATGGACTTGGGCCTTTCTAGAGGGAAGCCTAAGGCTCGGCTCCAGATGAGCTGTGCCAGTACACCCAATGCTCGTGACACCCCAAACAGGACTGTGTAGTAATTCATCTCCATCATGCCATAATACTGGAGCAGCACCCCACTGTGAGCATCTACATTGGGCCAAGGATTCTTGGCCTTACCCTGCTCTAAGAGGACATTGGGCACAATCTTGCATAGCTGAGCAACCAACTTAAACATGGGGTCATTAGGCAGGTGTTTCAGAGCAAACTCTCGCTGACAGGTATATCGTGGATCAGTCTTCCTTAGTACTGCATGGCCATAGCCTGGAACAGCCCGTCCTGAGTTGAGTGTGTTCCAGATGTAGTCTCATAACTTCTCATCTGACACATCTTTGCCAACTTCCTTCTGCAGCTGTGTTAGCCAGACAAGCACTTCCTGATTTGCCAGTCCATGGAGAGGCCCTGCCAGCCCGTTCATGGCTGCTGCAAAGGACAGGTAAGGGTCTGAAAGGCCACTGCCCACCAAGTGGCTGGTATGGGCACTTACATTGCCGCCCTCATGGTCACTGTGGATAGTGAGGTACAGGTGCATGAGCTCAGGGAACTGATGATCAGTATAGCCTAACATGTTGGTGAAACTGTGAGACCAGTCCAGGTTAGAGTCAATGGCCCCAATACCACTGCCTTCTCCATAGAGATTTCGGTAGATCTTTGCTGCGACACAAGGTAGCTTTGTGATTAGATCCACAGAGTCTTCATAAATCAACTCCCAGTACTTGGTTCGGCTGATACCCCGTGCATATGCTTGGGCAAAGTTACTTTCACTGTTGAGGGCTGTAACAGCTGCACTGAGCTGAGACATGGGGTGTAGATTGGTGGGAAAGTTGTCCAGCATGGTGACCACATGGGAAGGCAGAGCTGCCCTCTTTGCCCACTCTTTTGAGAGCCAAGATACCTGTTCCTCTGTTGGGATACATCCAGTTACCAGCAGCCAAAATAAGCCCTCAGGCAGGGGTTCTTCCCCACCCTTAGCCTTGGGTAGCAGTTTCTGGCATTCAGGGATACTAAAGCCTCAGAAACGGATGCCCTCATCAGGATCAAGAACTGATGTTTCATAGACCAATCCCTTCATGCCTCTCATGCCACCATACATCATGTCCACAGTGATTTGGCCCACCACCTTCTTGCCATGTTGCTGCCTGAAGGTCTTAATTCTGGCCTGCTCCTTAGGTATGAGGTCAGCCAATATGTCTTTCAAATTCATGGAGGAAGCACTGGCATGCTGGGCTGCAAGAACAAGACAAGATGCATTCTTGGTTCCCAAGAGCCGGGCGGCCGCAGTAAGTAAAGCCATGGCGGGCGATCTCCGGGATCTGGTGGGGAGGTAAGAAGGGGAGAGAGCTGCGGCAGGAACAGGAGCCGCCGCCACTGCACCAGAGGCCGCGCCGACAGGTTGACAAGGTTGAAAGGACTGCTTTGAGGATTAAGTTTCAAACATATGAACTTTGGGGGACCATTCAAACCATAGCATCAATGAATAATTTTTTTTTAGTATAAGTATATCCCAAATGTTGCATGGGATATACTTACAGTAAAACCAAATTCAATATTGATCTGAACTTCACATTTAGCTGAGTAGCCTATATTTTATCTGGCAACCTGGCTTCACCATCATGCCCATTTTACAGATGAGGTGGCAGAGGCCCAGAAAGGTTAAGTAATGTGCCTGAGGCAGCACAGCCAGGGACAAGCAGAAGGAGAATCTAACCAGGATCATGGGTCCCACAGCCTTCAGGGGACTCATTCCCCACCCTGGCTAGAGGTGGCCGCAGGAGAGAAGCCCAGCTTGCCAGGACCTCAGTACCCTGTAAACACCTGGAGAGGTGCCAATCCTACCCGCCATCTGGACTTGGGTATCTGGAAGTGGGGCTGACTCATCCCCTGTAAACAGCCAGTCTCCTGTCACTGTAAACAGCTGGCATCTAGAGACGCTGTCACAGTGCCCAACTCACAGTGTGACATCCATGACCCGATACTTTGCCATCAGCCTGTCACTCGATACTTAGTAAACAGTATCCTGAGAGTGGACAGTAGTTGGTGGTTACCGCGGTGCCGTGGGCCCCAAGGCAGGGTTGGACTTAAACCCAGGTTCTGACACCTGATTAGCCATCAGAGCTTGCTGTGTTCTGATACTTTGTGAAAAAAGACTAATCCTGATACTTGCTATCTGTCAATGATGAAACCCTGTTAGCCATAAACCTGTCCTCATATTTTATCAGCTGGTAACTTTAAACAAAGTTCTGATACTCTGTAAACACAAATCATGACACTTATGACCCATCAGGGGTTGGTAAACTTCAGCTTTAACCATGACCCCAAAACAGTATTCAATTTTTTTTCCGTTTTTTTTTTTTTTTTTTTTTTTGAGACAGAGTCTCACTCTGTCGCCCAGGCTGGAATGCAGCAGCGTAATCTCGGCTCACTGCAACCTCTGCCTCCCAGGTTCAAGCTAATCTCCCACCTCAGCCTCCCGAGTAGCTGGGACCACACCCAGATAATTACTGTATTTTTAGTAGAGACAGGGTTTCACCATGTTGGCCAGGCTGGTCTAGAACTCCTGGTCTCAAGTGATCCGCCTGCCCCAGCCTCCCAAAGTGCTGCTGGGATTATAGGTGTGAGCCACCGCTCCTGGCTCCTTTTTTTTTTTTTTTTTTTGAGATGGGTTTCACTCTTATCCCCCAGGCTGGAATGCAGTGCCTTCATCTCGGTTCACTGCAACCTCCACCTCCTGGGTTCAAGCGATTCTCCTGCCTCACCCTCCCGAGTAGCTGGGATTATAGGCGCCTGCCACCACGCCCAGCTAGTTTGGGTTTTTTTTTTTTTTTACTTTCTTTCTTGTATTTTCAGTGGAGACAGGGTTTCACCATGTTGGCCAGGATGGTCTCCATGACCGGCCCTGGCTCCCTCCTTTTTTTTAGAGACAAGATCTCTCTCAGTCACCCAAGCTAGAATGCAGTGGCGGGATCATAGCTCACTGCAGCTTCGAACTCCCAGGCTTAAGTGATCCTCCCACCTCAGCCTACTGAATAGCTGAGACTACAGGCATCCCAGCTAATTTTTAAAACTTTTTGTAAGGATGGAGGAGGGGGTCTCCCTATGTTGCCCAGGCTGGTCTTGAACTCCTGGCCTCAAACGGTCCTCTCACTTCAGCTTCCCCAAGCACTGGGATTACAGGCAAGAACCACCATACCTGGCCTACATTTTAAAATGACTGAAAAACTACCAGAGGAAGACTATTTGATGACATGTGAAAATTACATGAAATTCACACTTGAGTGTCCATGAACAAAGTTTTCCTGGGATACAGCCATGCTCACTTATTTGTGTATATGAATGCTTTCAAACAGCCGCAGCGTAGAGTAATTGCAAAAGAGACTGTGTAGCCGGCAAAGCTTCAAATATTTCCTATCTGGCCCTTTATAGAAAATGTTTGCCTATTCCTGATCTAAGCTCTTGGGCAGTCACTGTTCTTTATATTGAATTTAATACTCTGTTAATAGTCAATGGTCCACAGTGGTCACATGCAATGCAAACTGTGAGTCTTTTTACTCTGTAAAAGTCATATCCTAGACCGGGCATGGTGGCTCACGCCTGTAATCCCAGCACTTTGGGAGGCCAAGGTCGGGACTTTGAGACCAGCCTGATCAACATGGAGAAACCCCATCTCTATTAAAAATAAATACAAAATTAGATGGGTGTGGTGGCACATGCCTGTAATCCCAGCTACTAGGGAGGCTGAGACAGGAGAATCACTTGAACCCAGGAGGCGGAGGTTGCAGTGAGCTGAGATCGTGCCATTGCACTCCAGCCTGGGCAACAAGAGCGAAACTCCGTCTCAAAAAACAAAACAACAAACAAAAAAAGTCATATCCTAATGGGCGTGGCGGCTCATGCCTGTAATCCAACACGTTGGGAGGCAGAGTGGGGAGGAATCGTTTGAGTCCAGGAGTTCGAGACCAGGCTGGTCAACATGGTGAGACCTGTCTCTACAAAAAATTAAAAAAAAAAAAACTTAGCCAGGTGTGGTGCTGTGTGCCTGTAGTCCCAGCTACTCAGGAGACTGAGGTAGGAGGATCGCATGAGCCCAGAGGTCGAGGCTGCGTGAGCCATGACTGTACCACTGCACTCCAACTTGGGCGACAGAGTGAGACCTCATCTCTATAAAAAATAAATAAATTAGCTGAGTGTGGTAGTGTGCGTAGTCCCAGCTACTCGGGAGGCTAAGGTGGGAGGATCGCTTGAGCCCGGAGGTTGAGGCTGCAGTGAACCATGATTGCACCACTGTACTCCAGCCTGGGTGAAAGAGCCAGACACAGTCTCTTAACAACAACAATAAAAGTCGTATTCAGCCTGATGTTCTGACAAGATTAATGCAATGAACATTTGGTTTCTGACAGCAGTTAGTGTGTCCTGGGACTGTGTCAATGGTCAATACTGGGAAACATAACCAAGATGAGACCCAAAGAGTGACTGAGAATTAGACAAAGGAAAAATGATCTTGCCACACTCAGGCTGGACTGTGACTGCTGAGCTGAGGAGCTGGACTTTCTCCTGAGGGTAATAGGGAGCCACGGAGGGTGTGTGAGCAGAGGAGGGACATGCTCAACCTGGACACAGGGACGGGATTGCTTCTGACCTTGGATATCCCTTCCATGCAATGGGCTGAGGTGGCCAAAATAAAGACCTTTCCAGGCCTGGGGTCTGAAAGGAAAGGGCACTTGAAGTTGCGATGTTAGGACTTCGTGGGAGAAGCCAGTGTGCAAATAACTGAGCAGGGACTTCTGTTCCTCCCCTGCCAAGCAGGCTCCAGGGGCTGCTCACACAGTGTGATCTGGGGCCAGGAGGCTAGGGATGAGGCCAGAAGACTCCTCTTTAGGAGTCCAGGACCAGTGGGTCAAGGTCTTACTCTGAGCTTCATTAATCCATCATACACTAATTGAGCAGCTACTGAGGGAGGGCCCTTGTCTTCCACCTCCCCATTCCTGGCTCTCTGCATCTTGTGCAGGCACTCTCATTTAGCATACTGCATTTATTTTTATATTATTTATTTATTTTAGAGATAGGGTCCCATTCTGCTGGAGTGCAGTGGTGCAATCACGGCTCACTGCAGCCTCAACCTCCTGGGCTCAAACAATCCTCCCACCTCAGTCTCCCCAGTAGCTAGGACTACAGGTGTGTGCCACCATGCCTGGCTAATTTTTTTTATTTTTATTTTTAGTAGAGATGGGGCTTCACCATGTTGCTCAGGCTGGTCTCAAAGTCCTGGCCTCAAGGGATCCTCCCATCTCAGCCTCCCAAAGTGCTTTATACAGGCATGAGCCACCACACCCAGCCAGTAAATTTATTGAGCACCTACTGCATGCTATGACCCGCCCTCTTGGAGCTCCCAGTACCGAGGGGAGGTGGAAGACAGGCCGTGAACCTGTCAATACATTGTAATCACAAACTGTGAGAAAGGCAAAGCAAGGAATTGGAAGGAACTGAGAGGGAGAATAGGGCAGCTTTTGTGAAAGAGGTGAAAGGAGCCAAGCACAGTGGTTCACACCTGTAATCCTAGCACTTTGGGAGGCTGAGGTGGGTGGATCACTGGAGGTCAGGAGTTCAAGACCAGCCTGGCCAACATGTTGAAACCCCGTCTCTACTAAAAACACAAAAATTAGGCTGGGCGCGGTGGCTCACGCCTGTAATCCCAGCACTTTGGGAGACCGAGGCGGGCAGATCACGAGGTCAGGAGATTGAGACCATCCTGGCTAACACGGTGAAACCCTGTCTCTACAAAAAAATACAAAAAATTAGCCGGGTGTGGTGGCGGGTGCCTGTAGTCCCAGCTACTCGGGAGGCTGAGGCCGGACAATGGCGTGAACCCGGGAGGCGGAGCTTGCAGTGAGCCGAGATTGTGCCACTGCACTCCAGCCTGGGCGACAGAGCAGCACTCCAGCCTGGGCGACAGAGCAACACTCCGTCTCGGGAAAAAAAAAAAAAACACCACCACAAAAATTAGCTGGCTGTGGTGGCACATGCCTGTAGTCCCAGCTACTTGGGGAGGCTGAGGCAGGAGAATTGCTTGAACCTGGGAGGCAGACGCTGCAGTGAGCCAAGATCACGCCACTGCACTCCAGCCTGCAAGACTCTTGTCAAAAAATTAAAACAAAAAAACAAGAAACAAGAAGAGGTGGAAAGGTCTCTAAGGAGTGGATGCTTAAACTGACATCTTCAGGAAGAGAACGTGCAGGCTTTGTAATGAGCGAGAGGAAGAGCTATCTGGGCAGAAAGAACAACACGTAGAAAGGCCCTGAGGTGCCGGGCGTGGTGGCTCACACCTGTAATCCCAGCACTTTGGGAGGCCGAGGCGGGCAGATCACCTGAGGTCAGGAGTTCGAGACCAGCCTGACCAACATGGAGAACAACCATCTCTACTAAAAATACAAAATTAGCCGGGAGTGGTGGCGCATGCCTGTAATCCTAGCTACTTGGGAGGCTGAGGCAGGAGAATCGCTTGAACCCTGGAGGCAGAGGTTGTGGTGAGCCAAGATTGTGCCATTGCACTCCAGCCTGGGCAACAAGAGCAAAACTCTGTCTCAAAAAAAAGAAAAAAAAAATAAAAGGCCCTGAGGTGACAATGAACCTGTTGTAGACCAGGCATGGTGGCTCACTCCTATAATCCCAGTACTTTGGGAAGCCGAGGCAGGAGGATCTCATTTTGAGATCAGCCCTGGAAACATAGGGAAACCTATGTTTCTCTACAAAAATAAAAATAATAAAAAAAATAAAATTACAGGCATGGTGGCTCACGCCTGTAATCCCAGCACTTTGGGAAACTGAGGCAGGATGATCACTCCAAGAGTTTGAGACCAGCCTGGCCAACATGGTGAAACCCCGTCTCTACCAAAAATATAAAAAATTGGCCAGATGTGGTGGTGCATGCCTGTAATCCCAGCTACTCTGGAGGCTGAGGCAGGAGAATCACTTGAACCTGGGAGGCAGAGGTTGCAGGGAGCCGAGATCTTGCCACTGCACTCCAGCCTGGGTGACAGAGTGAGACTCCATCTCAAAAAAAAAAAAAAAAGTTAGCCGGGCATGGTGGCTTGTGTCTGTGGTCCCAGATGGTTGGGAGGCTGAAGGAGGAGGACCACTTGAGCTTGGGAGGTCGAGGCTGCAGTGAGATATGATTGTACCACTGCACTCCAGTCTGGGCAATAGAGTGAGACTGTCTCAAAAAAAAAAAAGTGGCCACTGCTCATGTCTGTAATCTCAGTGCTTTTGGAGCCTGAGACAGGCCGATCGCTTGAGTTCAGGAGTTGGAGACCAGCCTGGGCAACGTAGTAAGATTCCATGTCTACAAAAAATACAAAAATTAGCTGGGTGTGGTGGTGTGTGTCTGTTGTCCCAGCTACTCAGGAGGATGAGGTGGAAGGATAGCTTGAGCCTAGGAGGTCGAGACCACAGTGGGCTAACAGGGCACCACTGCACTCCAGCCTGGACAACACAGCAATACCCTGTCTCAAAATAAATAAATAAATAAAGCCAACATCAGCAGCTGAATCAGGGCTGACCTGGGGTTTCGGAGGCCTTAGGGCCACGATACAGGCTCTGCCGGCCCAAGTCAGTCCCAGCACACA
Organism: Homo sapiens; assembly: GCF_000001405.40. Lineage (NCBI taxonomy): Eukaryota > Metazoa > Chordata > Mammalia > Primates > Hominidae > Homo > Homo sapiens. The sequence goes on along the minus strand of NC_000019.10, from coordinate 18,024,303 downwards.
CCAGTCACCTCTGCTGACGGACACACAGACTTAACACTTAGACCCAGACTCAAAAGTGCCCCAACCAACCCACTGTCTGCTTCCCACACTGGCTGAGATCCATAGCTCCACATGCGAGCACAGGTAACGGTTGTGTGTGTACATGCCTCTGGGCAATGCCACGTGCGGCCCGACACACACACACACACACACACATATGCACACGCAGGCGGATCCACCTATATTCCAGGCCGCCTGCAAACACGCAAACACACACATGCCTGCCCACACTGCCCCAGCACGCGCACGTCACGCGGAGACTCAGGAAGCACAGCTGGGGGCTCCCATGAGAGCCGGTTTCCTGTTTTCAAAGAGGCTGGGAACTGCTAACGGCATGTTCCAGACGAGCCTACCCCTCACCCACTGCCTCAGCACCCCCATGCTGCCCCACAGACGCTGCACCCACTCTGTGCCCAGTCCTGACACTGACGTACAGTGAAGTCAAGCTCCAGATGAGGAAACTGAGGCTCAGAGGGGTGCTGTCGTTTGCCCACGGTCACACAGGGAGGAAGAGGTGGTCCCAGAGCCCAGACCCGAAGCTCCATGCTGCCTCCCTCCTAAGCACCATGGCCAGGGTCTGGGGGTGGGGGTTCACAGATGGGGACACGCCCTCTCCTGCCTGGACTGTGGCCTGGGCCTGGTCCCTCCTGGGTCACAGGCTTCAGGGGCCACCCCTATAAAGCCCCAGGCTCTTCTGCCTTATGTACCCAATCTTTTCTATTCACCACCCCCTGCCCATCCTGCCTGTTTTGTGTCCCCAAAAGAAAGCGCTGGCTCTCAGCCCCGGTTCAAGGCTTCACGTGGCCTGGTTCACCTGTATCACAAACATTAATGGACAACTGCTGGCCACCAACAAAGCAAACCCGGTCCTGCCCTTAGGGGGCTTGTAGGTGGGAGAATTGAGCACAGAGACAAATAAACACATTTAAACCGGGCACGGTGGCTCACGTCTGTAATCCCAGCACTTTGGGAGGCTGAGGCGGGCAGCTCACTTGAGGTCAGGAGTTCAAGACCAGCGTGGCCAACATGGTGAAACCCCGTCTCTATTAAAATACAAAAATTAGCCGGGCGTGGTGGCAGGCACCTTTAATCCCAGCTACTCAGGAGGCTGAGGCAGAAGAATCACTTGAACCTGGGAGGCGGAGGATGCAGTGAGCCAAGATCGTGCCACTGCACTCTAGCCTGGGCAATAGAGTGAGACTCCATCTAAAAAAATAAATAAATAGTCACGCGCAGTGGCTCACGCCTGTAATCCCAGCACTTTGGGAGGCCAAGGCGGGTGGATCACCTGAGGTCAGGAGTTCAAGATCAGCTTGGCCAACATGGTGAAACCCCGTCTCTACTAAAAATACAAAAAATTAGGTGGGCGTGGTGGCGTGCGCCTGTAATCCCAGCTACTCAGGAGACTGAGACAGGAGAATCGCTTGAACCCGGGAGGCGGAGGTTGCAGTGAGCCAAGATTGCGCCACTGCACTCCAGCCTGGGCAACAAGAGCAAAACTCCGTCTCAATAAACAAATAAACACATTTGCAGATGCCTCTCTATGCTCCAGCCCCATGGGGCCACTGGGGTGGCTGAGGACACGCCTAGCTCCCACCTGCCTGCTGTGGTTGCACAGGCTGTTCCCTCTGCTTGAAATGCCTTTCCCTAGTTCCTCTTCATCCATCAAAGCCCCAGCTCCAATGTCCTCTCTTTCTGCAAGGCCTCTCAGGACCCTCCAGCCTTCAGCCTTCCCTCTGGTTCCACCCTGACTCCACAGGGATCTGAGGTTGTGTGAGTCCTGCTCTGATCTTCACCAGTGTCCTTGGGACTCTGATCCACTGCCATCATCATGCGTCCAAGATGGTTTTCCTTACTTCTAGGCCTTCTTCCAGGGAGTCTCCAAACTCGTAGCATGATTGGCTCAGGCAGGATCACGTGCCCAGCCCTGACCCAATCCCTGTGCCTGTGATAACAAAAGGCTCCAATTGGCCAAGTGTGGTCACATGACCACACAGGAAACCAGGAAGTGGATCTGGGTCTCAGAAAGTGGGGCAGGGAGCCGGGCACTGTGGCTCACGCCTGTAATCCCAGCACTTTGGCAGGCCGAGGTGGGCAGATCACCTGAGGTCAGGAGTTTGAGACCAGCCTGGCCAACATGGTGAAACCCCATCTCTACTAAAAATACAAAAATTACCTGGGCATAGGGACAGGCGCCGGTAATCCCAGCTACTTGGGAGGCTGAGGCAGGAGGCGGAGATTGCAGTCAGCTGAGATCATGCCACTGCATTCCAGCCTGACGGACAGAGTGAGACCCTGTCTCCAAAAAAAAAAAAAAAAAAAAGGGCAGGGCAGGTAGACATTCCTCCAGACCCCTGTGTTAAGGACTTAGGGATCCCCTTGCCTGTACCATCTTGGCTGGTGGGCCTTGGCGAAGTCACTTGTTCCCTGTGTCTCAGTTTCCCCACTTGTCAATCAGGCCCAGCAGGGTTGAAGTGTTGGAGCACAGGGGGATCCATCCCCTCTCTGATCATTCTTGGGCTGAGTCCTTTTTACCCCGCACCCACGCCCTCATCTTTTATTGTTGTTTTCTGTGGATCCTCCCAGATCGGGCCGCGCAGTCCACCCAGCCCAGCGTGGCAGGCACTGATGGCCACCGGCTGAGTCACCATTTCCTCCTGGCCCCTTGCCCGGGCCCAGTGCTTTCTGGGGACTTTCCTGAACATCAAAAACAAGGTGGGGGGTGGGGGGGTGACTCCCGGGTGAGGGAAGCTAGGGCAGACACGCGTGTGTTTGGATAGGTTTGTGCATACCCTGGCGTGGGTTCAAAGCCCATGTCTGGGCCCCACCTGTAGGATCCAGGCCATAACCGCATCCTCCTAGGAGTTGGGGTACTCCACATGTGAGCACCTGGTGAACACTCTGTGCCCGGCTGCTTGTGCCCGAGTTCACTGGCTGGTGTTTCTATGTTGCTGACAGGCTTATGTGTGTGCGTGTGTGTTTGCACGTGTGTGTGTACATCATGACTGCCCTGTGCCTGGAGCCCAGCGACAGAGAGGCCCAGCCCCTCGCTCAAAAGGTGCATCTGAACTCCAGCCGCCCCTGCCCCTCAATGCACCCAGCTCCTCGCTCAGAAAGGTGGATCTGGTGGAGATAACTCCCTGGGCCAAGGCAGGGGGGCTTGGGAAATCCTGCTGCATTAGGGTGCAGGGGTGGCGGAGGCAGGGTGAGGCAGAGGTGGGGTGGTCAGAACTGTGGATCCACATGGATGAGCCTGGGCGGGCTGAGCTTTGGGAGGAATAGATGTCAATTGTAAAAACCTTCACTAAGCCACCTACTGTGTGTTCAGGGTGCTGGGACACAGTGGGGACCTGGTGTAATAGACACCACATCAACAAACAAGTGAATATGTAACCCCAGGGACATGGGGAGGACCAGGAAATTAAATGCACTGGGGCAGCAGGAGGGGAATTTGGGGTGCCCGGGCCTAGGGACAGAGGGGACTTGCTGAGAAGGTGATGTGAGGTCTCAGATGTGCAGGCGGAGGAGGTCTTGGGGAGATCTAGGGAGACAGAGTGCCAGGTGGAAGGTATGGCTGGTGCAAAGGCCCTGAGGTGGGCACGAACTGGCAGAGGGGCTTTGGCTTCATTCAGGAAGGTCTAACCCCACAGCAGGATGGGGAGCCATCAGGAGGTTGTGCTGGTGGGGCCACCAGGACAAGCTGTCCTGTAACTGGAGCTCAGCAGGAATGCGTCCCCCTCCCACCCCCACCCCCACCCCATCTCTGGCGCTCTTTGCTTGGGACAGAATGTGCTGGGAGGAGAGGCTGGCGGTGGCCGCGCCTGGTGGCTGGAGCGGGGAGGCTGGAGGATTCCTGAACAGTGGCCCGGCTGGGCTGGGCTCCCTGCCAGCGTGGGTGGGAAAACAAGCAGCGGGCGCCCTGACTGCTTGTCACCCCTTGTCCCCCAGCTGGCCGGGCCAGGGCAGGAGGCAGAGATGGTGAGAGAGTCAGGGACCCAAAGAGACAGAGAGATGGTAGCCAAGAGAGATAGTGAGAGAATCAGAGGCAGAGGGAGACAGAGACAGGGAGAAAGAGACAGAAGTACAGAGGCAATAAGACTGAGAGACAGAGACAGAGACAGTAAGCAAGACAGATATTGAGAGAGAGACAGAGATGGGAAAGAAAAGATGGTGAGAGTCAGAATGAAACAGACAGAGACACTGAGAGATAGAGACCTAGCATTTGACTCTGCATGGGGGACACGTCTGACTCTAGGAGGTCTTGGGAGCAAGTGCAAGGGATGACACCTCCACCCCCATCAGAATCTTCATCTGAGCTGGGCATGGTGGCTCACGCCTGTAATCCCAGCACTTTGGGAGGCCAAGATGGGCAGATCACCTGAGGTCAGAAGTTCAAGACCAGCCTGGGCAACATGGTGAAACCCTGTCTCTACTAAAAATACAAAAATTAGCTGGGCGTGGTGATGGGTGCCTGTAATCCCAGCTAGTCAGGAGGCCAAGGCATGAGAATTGCTTGAACTCGGGTGGCAGAGTTTGCAGTGAGCCGAGATCGAGGCTTTCCACTCCAGCTTGGACAATGCTGTCTCAAAAAAAAAAAGAAAAGAAAAAAAAAAGAAAAAGGCCGGGCGTGGTGGCTCATGCCTGTAATCTCAGCACTTTGGGAGGCCGAGGTGGGCAGATCACGAGGTCAGGAGATCGAGACCATCCTGGCGAACACTGTGAAACCCCGTCTCTACTAAAAATACAAAAAAAAAATTAGCCAGGCGTAGTGGTGGGCGCCCGTAGTCCCAGCTACTTGGGAGGCTGAGGCAGGAGAATGGCATGAACCCGGGGGGCGGAGCTTGCAGTGAGCAGAGATCAACCCACTGCACTCCAGCCTGGGCAACAGAGTGAGACTCTGTCTCAAAAAAAAAAAAAAAAAGAGGAGTCTTCATCCACATCAAAGTAGGCAGAGCAGTGGTCCCCCAGTCACTTAGTCAACCACCCTCATGCCTGCTGCATGCTGGGGCGGGGGTCAGAGCCTGGATCTGGCCCTGCCCACAGAGGGTCAGACAAACAAATGAACATCTAAGTAGTAATTTCAGAGCGTGATGAGGGCTAGGAAGACTACAGAACAGAGAGATAGGAGAGGGAGTGATGGAGGGGGTGGCAACTTTGGCCAGGAGGTTGGAGTGGCTCTGAAAAAGTGAGGCCAGGGGGTAAAGAGAAACCACCAATGGGGGAAGAGCCTTTTCGCAGGGGGAATAGTATATGAGAAGTCCCCAAGGTAAAAATCAGCTTGGAGGGCCGGGCGCGGTGGCTCAAACCTGTAATCCCAGCACTTTGGGAGGCCGAGGCAGGTGGATCATTTGAGGTCAGGTGTTCAAGACCAGCCTGGCCAGTATGGTGAAACCCTGTCTTTATTAAAAATACAAAAATTAGCTGAGCATGGTGGTGGGCACCTGTAGTCGCAGCTACTTGGGAGGCTGAGGCAGAATCACTTGAACCTGGGAGGCGGAGATTGCAGTGAGCCGAGATCGAGCCACTGCACTCCAGCCTGGGCAACAGAGTGAGGCTCTGTCTAAAAGATAAAAATAATAAAAATAAAAATCAGCTTGGAGTGTTTGAGTAGCAGACGGGGAGGGAGGGGGAGCTGGAGGGAGAGGTGGGCAGGGGGTCTTACGGGCCTGGAGAGGGTTGGGGTTTTTGTTATTTCGTTATTTTTTATTTATTTATTTATTTTTGAGACAGAGTGTCACTCTGTCGCCCAGGCTGGAGTGCGGTGGCTCAATCTCCACTTACTCACTGCAAGCTCCGCCTCCCGGGCTCACACCGTTCTCTTGCCTCAGCCTCCGGAGTAGCTGGGACTACAGGTGCCCGCCACCACGCCCGGAGAACTTTTTGTATTTTTAGTGGAGATGGGGTTTCACTGTGTTAGCCAGGATGGTCTTGATCTCCTGACCTCGTGATCCACCCGCCTTGGCCTCCCAAAGTGCTGGGATTACTGTGCCCGGCCTGCTGTTGTTGTTGTTATTATTATTATTATTATTGGAGAAAAATTCTTGCCACGTCACCCAGGCTGGAGTACAGTGGTTTGATCATCGCTCACTGCAGGCTAGACCTCCTGGGCCAAGTGATTCTCCCACCTCAGCCTCCTGAGTAGCTGGGACCATAGGCACATGCCACCAGGCCCAGCTAATGTTTACATTTTTTTTTTTGTAGAGATGGGGTCTCGCTCTGTTGCCCAGGCTGGTCTCAAACTCCTGGCCTTACGTGATCCTCCCACCTCAGCCTCTCAAAGTGCTGGATCACAGGCGTGAGCCACCGCGCCCGGCCTCATTTCATGTTTGATAGAAGTTGACCACCTGCCTTTGGGCTCCCTAGGCCCCTCCCCATGTTCAGGAAGTTTCCTGAATTGGGACTATCTGGGCCAGCTTAATCCTGGTTGTTGATCATCTGAACCGGAAAGTTCTCCTTCTGTCAGGATCAAGTTCCCCATAGTTGCAGACTCAGGAGTCCTGAGGACACGGGGCGTCTTGTCCTCCCACCCCCGCTGGGTGGAATCTTTTTGTCGCACTGTACCCACATCCCTTGCTGGAATAAATACCTTAGACTCTCCTCTGTTTGGGAACATGGATCTGGAAACTGATATGTCTTGCACACCCCGCATGACAAATAACTCATTTCCTACTGAGACTGTCAGTTCGGCTTCTAGTGACTGTGCTGTGGGAATGCTTCCTCTCTGCTGGCCCCAGGGACCTCCCATGTATGGCATGCTCCAAGCTTGATGCCAGGTCAAAGGAGGTCTTGGTAGACCTTAGAACCAGGGGTAGCAGGAAAGGAGGGCTCACCCTCAGGCCAGAGGAAGGACGTGATTGAGGACTGTGGTAGGGTGTGGGGATGGGCTGTCTCCCAGAGTCTCAGATGACAAAACAGGCTCAGACGCAAGGTGACCTGCCTGCAGTCACACAGAGAGCCAAGCCCTACCTAACCCAGATCTCCTCATGTCCAGCCCCTGGGTCCCCCAGTCCTCATCCCTGGCTCCTAGCCCTGACAATGGCCATTCCAGCCTCCAGCCTGCCAGTTAATTTCTGCTGCCTTGGGCAGGCTGGCTGGGACAGCCTGGGCTATCAGACTAGGGTTTCTTTTTGTTTTTGTTTTTGTTTTTTTGAGACAGTCTTGCTCTGTCACCCAGGCTGGAGTGCAGTGGCACGATCTCGGCTCACTGCAATCTCCACCTCCTGGGTTCACACCATTCTCCTGCCTCAGCCTCCCGAGTAGCTGGGACTACAGGCACACGCCACCACGCCCGGCTAATTTTTTTCTATTTGTAGTAGAGACGGGGTTTTACCGTATTAGCCAGGATGGTCTTGGTCTCCTGACCTCGTGATCCACCCACCTCAGCCTCCCAAAGTGCTGGAATTACAGGCTTGAGCCACCGCGCCCGGCCCAGACTAGGGTTTCAATAGGGCCTTGCCCAACCTTGGAGGGGCACGAGGGCTTAGGTGAGACAGGCAGAGCTTCAGCAGGAGCTTGAGGGGCACAGTATCATGTGGCCTGAGGGCGGCATGGACTCTGGAGTCTAAGAGGCAGTGTTTATATATTTTTTTGAGACAGGATCTCACTCTGTCGCCAAGGCTAGAGTGCAGTGGTGCGATCATAGCTCGCTGCAGCCGCGATTTCCCAGGCTCAGGTGATCCTCCTAACCTCATCCCCCTGAGTAGCTAGAACTAGAGGTCCACACTGCCACACCTGGTTAATTTTTTATATATTTTTTTTTTTGTAGAGTCGGGATCTTGCTATGTTGCCCAGGCTGGTCTCAAACTCCTAGGCTCAAGCGATTCTCCTGCTTTGGCCTCCCAAAGTGCTGGGATTTACAGGTGTGAGCCACTGTGCCTGGCCCAAGGGGCAGTTTTGAGTGCTGGCCGTCTCAGTCCTGACTGTGGGACCCAAGTGGAGCATCTCCCTCCCTCCCTTCCTTCCTCTTCCCTTTGTTTCTCTTTCTCTCTCTCTCCCTCCCTCCCTCCCTCCCTTCCTTCCTCTTCCCTTTGTTTCTCTTTCTCTCTCTCTCTCCCTCCCTCCCTCCCCCCTTTCTTTTCTTTTCTCTTTTTTTTTCTCTTCTTTTCTCCTCCCTCCCTCCCTTCTTTCTTATTTCCTTTTTTTTCTTTTCTTTTTTTTTTTTTTTTGAGAAAGGGTCTCACTACTCTGTCACCCAGGCTGGAGTGCAGTGGCATGATCTCAGCTCACTGCAGCCTCTACCTCCCGGGTCCAAGTGATTCTTCTGCCTCAGCCTCCGAAGTAGCCGAGATTACAGGTGCCTGCACCACGTCTCACTGATTTTTGTATTCTTTTTAGAAGAGACAGGATTTCACCATGTTGGCCAGGCTAGTCTCTTTCTCTTGAGCTCACTATCCCCACCTGTAACTCCAGAAGAATAACAGCCCCACGCCACTAGGGCCACCTAACAGCTCCGTGGGTTTTCAAAGTAATCCTTGAACACACGTGTTCTTAGCAGCAAGATTCACTATAGCCAAGCCGTGGAAACAACCCAGATGTCCATCCGCGGATGAATGGCTAAACACAATGTGGTCTACGCACACAATGGAATATTATTCAACCAGAAAAAGGAATGAAGTTCTGACACATAGTACAATGTGGATGAACCCGGAAAACATGCTGAGTGATAAAAGCCAGACACAAAAGGCCGCATGATTCCATTGATATGAAATGTTCACAATAGGCAAATCCAGAGACAGAAAGTGGTTGCTGGAGGTGGGGGAAGGGGAATGGGGATTGATCACTAGTGGGGACAGGGTTTCCTTTGGCAGGGATAGAAATGTTCTGGAAATAGATGGTGGTGATGGTTGCATAACATCGTAAATAGCCAGGTCGGTTGTGATGGTTCACATCTGTAATCCGAGTACTTTGGGAGGCTGAGGCGGGAGGACTGCTGGAGCCCAGGAATTTAAGACCCACCTGAGAAACAAAGGGAGATCGTGTCTCTACAAAAAAATAATTAGCTGGGTGTGGTGGTACACACTTGTGGTCCCAACCACTCGAGGAGCTGAGGCAAGTGGATCTCTTGAGCCCAGGATCTCTTGAGGCTGCTGTGATCGGGCCATTGCACTCCAGCCTGGGCAACAGAGTGAGAACATCTCAAAACCAAACAAAAGAAACATTATGAGTATTAAATGCTACATTGTAAAGTGTACTAAATTGAATACTTTCAAGTGGTGAATTTTACAATATGTGAATTTCACCTCAATAAAAACAAATCCAGGGCTAGGCATGGTGGCTCACACCTGTAATCCCAGCACTTTGGGAGGCGGAGGCAGGCAGATCACCTGAGGTCAGGAGTTTGAGACCAGCCTGGCCAACATGGTAAAACCCTGTCTCTACTAAAAAAATAGAAAAATTAGCCAGGCGTGGTGGCACATGCCTGTAATTCCAGCTACTTTCGAGGCTGAAACAGGAGAATCATTTGAACCCGGGAGGCGGAGGTTGCAGTGAGCCAAGACCAAGCCATTGCACTCCAGCCTGGGTGACACAGCGAAACTCTGTCTTAAAAAAAAAAGAAAGAAAGAAAAAAAAAATAAACCCCGTCTCTACTAAAAATTCAAAAATTAGCCGGGTGTGGTGGCAGGCACCTGTAATCCCAGCTACTTGGAGGCTGAGGCAGGAGAATCGCTTGAACCCAGGAGGTGGAGGTTGTAGTGAGCTGAGATCACACCACTACACTCTACACTATGCCTGAGCGACACAGCAAGACTCCTTCTGAAAAACAAAAACAAACAGAAAAAAACCCACAAAAACCAAACCTAGACTCAGATGACAGGATGTTCCCGTACTCAGGCGGCTCCTCCCAGCCCCAGCCCCCTGCTCCCCACTCTCTGAGGATAGAGTTCTCTGCTTGTCCTCCACTGTTCAGCCCCCGCCAGCCTCTGAGACTCCGATAGGCGGTGCAGGTATGGGGCCCAGGGCTCAGCTCCCACCCCAGCTCAGCCTCCTCATATGTCCTTGGACCAACCCCCTCCCAGTCCTGGGCCTCAGTTTCCCCTTCTCAATCATGAGCCCCTTTGCCTTCCTTGGCCAGGAATTTAGTCTCCAAGATAGTGACCAGGGATGGCAGTCCCAGTTCCCTCAGCAGCCAGATCGGGGGCGGAAATAAACCAAGAAGCCCGGATTCTTTCTCCACACGTTTACTTTTAAAAAATAATTGTACAAAACAGAATGAATTCTTAAGGCATATCAGAAATGCTGAGTCCCAGGCCGGGGCCCTGCCCCAGCCAGGGCTGGGACTCTGCAGTTGGGAGCTTGTCCAGCTGCCCCCTCTAATGCTTTTCTCCTCCAGGACACAGGGAGCCTCCGGAAGCACAGTAGTCCCCGTGTGTCACCTTAGGCTGACCTCTGTCCCCAGGGGTGACGTAATGCTGTCACTGTCTTGAATTCTTCATCGTTTAACAGGGAGCCCAGTGTTTTCACTTTGCACATTGGGTATCTGGTCTTGCCTGTCCTACCCTGAACCTGGGTTCCCTGGGCCATGTAACACCCAGGCAGCTCTGATGCCCCTGGGTACTTGGAGGAGCTCCCAGGAAGTCCAAGCCTGCGCCAGGAATCTCTGGCTTTCAAAGTCTTCAAAGGCTGGAGCGGCTGCCCCTGCCACCCACAGACTCCACATAGCTCTGACAACCTGCTTTCCTGAACGCCTCGTTCCTGGGTCCTTTCACCCACCAGACCTCACTGTGTGGCCTCAACTCTGAGGCACCTGCCCTCTGAACCCCCAGTTCTACAATAAACGGGGTGGATTCCAAACGTCACTCAGCTCTGACCTTCTCTGACCTTTATTCCTCATTCGTCTGCCTGCTGAGCTCCTATTCGTACTCCAAAGCCTCAGCTAAAATGCCCTTTCCGCAAGGACGCCTTCTCTGCTTCCTGTCTGGACTCTCACAGTTGCAGGTCTCTTCTTCTGGTTCTGTGATGCTGGAACTGTCTATGTCTGGCTCTGTTTCTCCCAGACTGAAGGCTCCTAGGGGATTCCAGCACCACCAATTGGCTGGGAAGACAGGTTATTAAACAGTCTCTCGGATACTGCACTGGGCATTCAATGCCTCACAAGGACAGCGGTCCAGGTAAGTCAGATTCCAGCCGGGCTCTTCCTCTGTCCCATGTGATATCCGAAAGGCCCCCGCCTCACTCTGAGACTTGGTTCCCCAACTTTGATGCAGTCGGGGAGGTCAGCCCTTGGTCCAGCCACTCCCCACAGTCATGGTGGCTGAAAGCTGGTGTGCAACCTTGTTCCTCGAGGGGTCCCTGTGCCGTTCAGCAAGTCATGCAGCGCGGCCTCATGTCCCCCAAGAGTGGGTTTGGATCCTCCTAAGAGAAATGTTCCCATTAAGCCTCAGAGAACACTGGAAACAGAAATTCAGAAATACCGCTCCCCATCTAGCCATCTCCCAACTCCCGCCCTTGACCAGGGATGAGGCCATCAGGAGGTGGTGTCTAGGGCAGACTGGGGTGCAAGGAGGGTTTTGGAGCTGAGTGTATACCGTCCCTTGGTATCCACAGGGGATTGGTTCCAGGAACCCCGTGGATACCAAAATCCACAGATGCTCAGGTCCCTGATATAAAATGGCATAATATTTGCGGATAATCTAAGCCCATCCTCCTGTGTACTTTATTTTTATTTCATTTTATTTTTCGAGACAGAGTCTCGCTTTGTCACCCAGGCTGGAATGCAGTGGCGCAATCTCGGCTCACTGCAACCTCTACCTCCTGGGTTCAAGCGATTCTCCTGCCTCAGCCTCGTGAGTAGCTGGGATCACAGGTGGATGCCACCACACCCAGCTAATTTTTGTATTTTTGGTAGAGACCTGGTTTCGCCATGTTGGCCAGGCTGGTCTCAAACTCCTGACCTCAAGTGATCTGCCCACCTCAGCCTCCCAAAGTGCTGGGATTACAGGCATGAGCCACTGCATCCAGCCCTCCCGTGTACTTTAAATCTCTTCTAGATTACCTATAATACTTTATGGCCAGGTGTGGTGGCTCACGCCTGTAATCCCAGCATTCTGGGAGGTCAAGGCAGGCAGATCACCTGAGGTCAGGAATTCTAGACCAGCCTGGCCAACATGGCAAAACCCCGTCTCTACTAAAAAATACAAAAATTAGCTGGGCATGGTGGTGGATGCCTGTAATCCCAGCTACTCGGGAGGCTAAGACAGGGAGAATTGCTTGAACCCGGGAGGTGGAGATTGCAGTGAGCCGAGATTGTGCCACTTCACTCCAGCCTAGGTGACACAGCAAGACTCCATCTCAAAAAAAAAAAAAAAAAAAAAATATATATATATATATATACACATATACACACACAAAATATAAATGCTATTTAATCACTGTTATACTGCATTATTACTATTAGTAGTAGTATTGAGATGAGGTCTTGTTTTGTCTCCCAGACTGGAGTATGTAGTAGCACAATCATTGCTCACTGCAGCCTCAAACTCCTGGGCTCAAGCGATCCTCCTGCCTCAGCCTCCCAATCATAGATGGGCTCCACCAAGCCTGGGTAATTTTGTATTATTTGCAGTAGAGATGGGGGTCTTGCTATGTTACCCAGGTTGGTCTTATACTTCTGGCCTCAAGCAGTCCTCCCATCTTGGCCTCTCAAAGTGCTGGGATTACAGGCATGAGCCACCGCACCCAGCCTATCATATTTTTAATCTGTATTATCCATGTATGTATTTATTTTTCAAATGTCTCTGACCCATGTTTGGTTGAATCTGCAGATTCCAAACCAGCTAACGCAGAGGGCCGACTGTATGTAGCGAAATTCTGTCAACAATTAAAATCCTCTGCCAGCCGGGCACAGTGGCTGACGCCTGTAATCCCAGCACTTTGGGGAGGCCAAGATGGGAGGATCATTTGAGCCCAGGAGTTCAAGACCAGCCTGGGCAACACAGTGAGACCACATTTCTACAAAAAATACAAAAATTGGCCGGGCGTGGTAGCTCACGCATATAATCCCAGCACTTTGGGATGCCGAGGCAGGCCATCACCTGAGGTCAGGAGTTCAAGACCAGCCTGACCAACATGGTGAAACCCCGTCTCTACTAAAAATACAAAAATTAGCCACGTGTGGTGGCTAACACCTGTAATCCCAGCTACTCGGAAGGCTGAGGCAGGAGAATCGCTCTACCAGGGATGCGGAAGTTGAAGTGAGCTGAGATCGCACCATTGCACTCCAGCCTGGGTGACAAGACTGAAACTCCATCTCAAAAAGCAAAGCAAAACAAAACAAAACACAAAAATTAGCAGGATGTGGTGGCGTGTGCCTGTAGTCCCAGCTACTCAAGAGGCTGAGGCGAAAGGATTGCTTGAGCCCGGGAGGTCGAGGCTGCAGTGAGCTATGATTATGCCACTGCACTCCAGCCTGGGTGACAGAGCAAGACCCTGTCTAAAAAAACAAAAAAACAAAAAAAACCCATCTACTATGTCTGCCACCCCATCAAGGCTCCCAGGGCCCAGAGAGGCATGGGTGGTTCTCAGACCCCTGAGCTCACCTCAGAGTACAGGGGTGGCGGGCGGTAGCGGAACTCTTGGATGTAGGCGAAGAACGGGCCTTCAAGGCTCATGTCGGGGTCCTGCGGAAGCGGGAAGGGGCTCTGCCCCAAGGCTGCCTCCTCAGTGTCGGCTACCACCTCCGAGTACTCAGGAGGAGCTGGAAGCGAGAGACAGGGTGGGTGAGGTTGGCAGGAGAGAGCCCTGCTCCAAGGGACCAGGGGCCAGGAGCTGGCTTGTGCCAGCTCTGGGGCTGCCAGGCTGTATGTCCTTTGGTTGGGATTCCGGGGGACTCGTGGTGAGAGAGTTGACCCGGCATCCACCTCTCCGTGTATCCACCCACCCTCTGCATGCAAGCAGGGTGGGAGCTTACCCTCAGGCCGCTCCGGCAAGGCCCCCAGCCTCCAGTCCAGCAGGAAGCTGGCGTGGCTGCCCACGCTGGAGGAACGGCTGCCAAAAGGGTGCAAGGGAATGGTGCCGATCACCAGTGGCAGCTCCAGCAGCAGCTTGGACGTTCCTGGGATATCCACACAGACCTGGAGGAAGGAACCATAAGGGAGGGTGCCCAGGCAGCCTCCCCAACCCCCACCTCCCTCCTATGCCTGGGGAGACTGAGGCCTCAGCTTCCCCCAGTCTGAGGGAATACAGGGTGAATGTAGGCACTGTCCCCCAGGGCCAGCAGGATGCCCTACCTTGAGTGCGTAGTCCACGTGTAGAACGCGGCAGTGCAGGATGGAAGGACCCACTGGGGGGATCCGCAGTGCCCGGCCCTGCCACAGCGCCCGCTGCCCGGGGCCCACCGGCTCGCCCGCGAGGCTGGCCACCACTGCCCGTTTCTGCTTTCGGGCGCCTCGGGCCATGAACGTCTGTGTCTGCACCACGGCTGCCCGAGGCAGCACAGGACGTGTGGAGCCGTTGTCGATCTCGGCAAAGACAGGGATGACCTCTCCTGCAGCAAGGAGCAGTGGGGCCTCAGTTTCCCCTCCTGCAACCCCAACACCAGCCCCCGTCCCAACCCAGTCCGGTCCGCCTGCTACCTGGGGTGTAGCCCTTGCGGTCGATCTTGGCCGAAAGGGAGACTAGGCCACGGTTACAGTACCAGGATCGGGCAACCTTTTCCCGAGCCCCCGCTTGAGGTGCCTGTCGGTGTAGAGGAAAGTGACATGGATGAGTCACTTTGTGCAAACCACAGTCGCTGTGGAGCTTCCAAACCACCCCCAGCTGAGGGAGGACTTTGGGCAGGGCTTGGTTTCTTTTTAACAATCCAGGAACTATCCGTTAAATAGAGCCAGGAACACAACCCATCTTATAAAGCCAGAAATGAAATGTATAAGCCAAGTGTTTGGTGTGTAATTCACACTTGGTAAGCCCTAGCTCTGGTCTATTTCACAGAAGAGGCATCTGAGGCTCAGAGAGGGCTTCAAGACACTTGCCCAGAGTCACACGGCAAATGGGTGCAGATCCCAGTGGATTCCACACGCATTCCCACACCTGCCTCCCTCCCTGCCAGGGCCCACCTATGACCTCCATCTTATTGGTTGGTGTCGCCCAGCAGCCAGGCAGGCCCCTTCCTACAATACTCCCAACCTACCTCCCCAAGGGTGGCCACTCACCAGCAGGGCTGGCGTGTTGATGTCCACAGGCTCGATGACAGTGAACACCTTCCTTGCCCGGCGTGCTGGGACCCAGGGCCGGTGCAGGGTGGCCTTGATACAGTAGCGGACACTACCGTGTTTGCCCTCGAAGGATGTCACCAGGGTCCTAGGGTGGAGGGACGGGACTTCAGGGGACAAGATACAGAGACAAGCAGGCAGGGAGAAGGAGACACAGACACTCCGGGGGCCTCCCAGGGGGAGAGTCTTGGGGCTCAGAGGTGCCCAGATATCCAGTATTGGAGGTACCAATCTGGAAGGGGCTGCAGGCTTAGGGCAACCCTGCACCCCAGAGGACTTACGGGGGCAGCTGGAAGCTGAACAGGAACTCATGGCGCCCAGGAGGCAGCGTCGTGGTCTCCCCGGTATCTGCAGGTAGGAGAAAAAGGAGGCGACTGAGCGGTTGCGCTGGGGTCCCAGGGCTGACGGAGGTACCGCCGTCCAGGTGGTGGGAGGCACACAACTGGTGTTGGAGCAGGGGTCCTCCATCCGTACCTGGCGCCAGGAGCGTGGCGCGGTGGCTCACGACCTCCACGCGTTCACTGTAGCTCTGCGTGTAAGCCGTGCTCGAGCCCGCGCTGCGCGACTCGGTCCAGTGCACGTGGGCGCGGCCCCGCGCGCGCAGCCTCAGGGCACCCACACGCGCGGCGCTTGACAGCTCCAGCAGCACCCGGCCCGCCACGGCCTGGCCGCCGCTAAACACGGGCTCGACGCCCGCGGTCGCGCCGTCCAACTGCACCGAGAACGCTTTCACCTTGTCGAATAGCATCGCGTCCGGGGTGCGAACCCACGACAGGCGGAACCTGGCCTCGAACTCGCGAACCGGCAGCTCAAGATGCCGACGCTGCAGCCTCAGAACGCAAAATCGCCGTCAACGCGCAGGCGCGCTCACCAACCGGAGCAGAAAATCCCCGCGCCGTGCGTCGGCGCCGCTTTTATACGGCAGGGCGGGGGGGGGTGGGGTCACCGTCTCTTCCCCGCCCCGGGAAGGGACTCCACCAATAGCGCGACAAGGGGCGTGGCTCTGCCCAGGCGTGGAGCAAAATAACAAACGCCCCTGCTCACCGCCGGCTGCCCCCTTCCCTCGCGGACCCCGGGGAGAAACTGAAGCCCTTAGGCTGCCAGAGCTGGTCTCTCGCGGACCCCGGGGGTAAAGAGGAAAAAAAGAGGTGCAGAGGCAGGGCCCAGGCCTGAGGTCACCTAGCAGAGCCTTCAGCCTCTCGGCTTAATCACTCACCAGCCGCCCCTCGTTGACGTGACTCGAGGCATGTCCAGCCCGATTTGGGGCGGGGGACTCTCGCCCCAGTTGAGGGCCAGAGAGCCTATGACTGTTCCAGGCCTGTTTCCCCCGCTATGCAAAGGGAGAAGTGGAGGAGGTGGGTGGGACCGCCCTCCACACTGGTGCCTGCTGCACCCCTTTCCTGATTCAAGTCCCGCTTAGCTGGTGGCTCTGGGCAAATGACAACCTCTTGGAGCCTCAGTTTCCACCTCTGTAGAGCCGGGAGAAAGTAAAAATCAGTCCTGACCTCAGAAGGTTGTGCATGGATCATCGTGCAGCCCCAGCTGGACTCCTCCAAGAGCCTCGCTCCCGGGTCATCAACCTGCTCTTGACATACCGTCACTCGGTCGCGCCTCGGCGCATTCGCCCAGGAGCGGTACCTACGAAATGATGTTCCCTTCCCAATTTTCAGCCTCTGGCAAACCCTACCTTCCCCGCAGCCCTTGTGCCTGCTCCAGTCATCCTCAGCCCCCGTCCCGCCACAGAGCTGAATGCAGGGGACGCTCGGGCACCCCCAGGTCCACAGCTGCGGTGTGGCCACGGGACGGCGTGACCTCTCTCTGGGCTTCAGTTTCCCCAAAGAAAAGTCGCATGGAGTTTCTCCAGCGGGAGTTGCCTCTGCGTCGTCTGCGGGACGCTGGCGCCCTCTCGTGGCAGCGTAATGCGCTGCCGCTGAACCCATCCCCTGCCGTGACTGTCCGCCTCTGAGCCTGGCTCAGGAGACTTCCACCACCTCAGTGAGGTGTGTGGGTGGAGGGGGCGGTCATAAACAAACACGGTCACCCTCAGCCCGTGATGGGGATCGGAACAGGAACGACGGAGTTGGAGGCACAGTGATCAGCCTGGAAGGCTGCCTGGGAGGATGGGTCTTTGGAGTTGAAAGGAAGGTCTGGGACCTTAGGCCAGGTTTCAATGGATACTAGAGGGGAGACAGTAGGCCGTTAAGTCCGGGAGGAGAAGCGGGATTAGGTAACCCTGAAGGGACTACTGAGCCAGCGCCTCCCTCAATTCATTTCGCAGACGGACCCCAAAGGCCCAGAGATGGGTGGGGCTCTGCCCGAGGTCACACAGCACCTCCACTGGCCTCGCCCCTCCAGTGTCACTGTTTTTTCCTTAAATGTATAACAATTTAACAATTTTTAAGCTCCCTCTCCCTCTCCCTCTCCCCTTGGTCTCCCTCTCCCTCTCTTTCCACGGTCTCCCTCTCATGCCGAGCAGAAGCTGGACTGTGCTGCTGCCATCTCGGCTCACTGCAACCTCCCTGCCTGATTCTCCTGTCTCAGCCTGCCGAGTGCCTGCGATTGCAGGCGCGCGCCGCCACGCCTGACTGGTTTTTTTGGTGGAGAAGGGGTTTCGCTGTGTTGGCCCGGCTGGTCTCCAGCTCCTAACCTCGAGTGATCCACCAGCCTCAGCCTCCCGAGGTGCCGGGATTGCAGACAGAGTCTCGTTAACTCAGTGCTCAATGGTGCCCAGGCTGGAGTGCAGTGGCGTGATCTCGGCTCGCTACAACCTCCACCTCCCAGCCGCCTGCCTTGGCCTCCCAAAGTGCCGAGATTGCAGCCTCTGCCCGGCCGCCACCCCGTCTGGGAAGTGAGGAGCGTCTCTGCCTGACCGCCCATCGTCTGGGATGTGAGGAGCCCCTCTGCCTGGCTGCCCAGTCTGGAAAGTGAGGAGCGTCTCTGCCCGGCCGCCATCCCACCTAGGAAGTGAGGAGCGCCTCTTCCCGGCCGCCATCCCATCTACGAAGTGAGGAGCGTCTCTGCCCGGCCGCCCATCGTCTGAGATGTGGGGAGCGCCTCTGCCCCGCCGCCCCGTCTGGGATGTGAGGAGAGCCTCGGCCCGGCCGCGACCCCGTCTGGGAGGTGAGGAGCGTCTCTGCCCGGCCGCCCCGTCTGAGAAGTGAGGAGCCCCTCCGCCCGGCAGCCGCCCCGTCTGAGAAGTGAGGAGCCCCTCCGCCCGGCTGCCACCCCGTCTGGGAAGTGAGGAGCTTCTCCGCCCGGCAGCCACCCCGTCCAGGAGGGAGGTGGGGGGTCAGCCCCCGCCAAGCCAGTCGCCCCGTCTGGGAGGGAGGCGGGGGGTCAGCCCCCCACCCAGCCAGCCGCCCCATCCGGGAGGGAGGTGGGGGGGTCAGCCCCCTGCCCGGCCAGCCGCCCCGTCCGGGAGGGAGGTCGGGGGGTCAGCCCCCCACCCGGCCAGCCGCCCCGTCCGGGAGGTGAGGGGGCACCTCTGCCCGGCCGCCCCTACTGGGAAGTGAGGAGCCCCTCTGCCCGGCCACCACCCCGTCTGGGAGGTGTACCCAACAGCTCATTGAGAACGGGCCATGATGACAATGGCGGTTTTGTGGAATAGAAAGGGGGGAAAGGTGGGGAAAAGATTGAGAAATCGGATGGTTGCCGTGTCTGTGTAGAAAGAGGTAGACATGGGAGACTTTTCATTTTGTTCTGTACTAAGAAAAATTCTTCTGCTTTGTGATCCTGTTGATCGGTGACCCTACCCCCAACCCTGTGCTCTCTGAAACATGTGCTGTGTCCACTCAGGGTTAAATGGATTAAGGGTGGTGCAAGATGTGCTTTGTTAAACAGATGCTTGAAGGCAGCATGCTCGTTAAGAGTCATCACCACTCCCTAATCTCAAGTACCCAGGGACACAAACACTCTGCCTAGGAAAACCAGAGACCTTTGTTCACCTGTTTATCTGCTGACCTTCCCTCCACTATTGTCCTATGACCCTGCCAAATCCCCCTCTGCAAGAAACACCCAAGAATGATCAATTAAAAAAAAAAAATTTTTTTTAAATTTGCTTTTCTTTTTTTTTTTGAGACAGGATCTCACTCTGTTGCCCAGGCTGGAGTGCAGTGGCGCGATCTAGGTTCACTGCAACCTCTGCCTCCCTTCCACCTCAGCCTCCCGAGTAGCCGGGATTACAGGTGTGTACCACCATGCCCCGCTAATTTTTGTATTTTTTGTAAAGATGGGGTTTCACCATGTTGCCCAGGCTGGTCTTGAACTCTTGAGCTCAAGCGATCTGCCCGCCTCAGCCTCCCAAAGTGCTGGGATTACAGGTGTGAGCCACTGCACCCAGCCAAAATTTTAATTTTTTTTTTTTTTGAGACAGGGTCTCACTCTGCTCTGACACCCAGGCTGTAGTGCAGTGGCACCATCTTGGCTCACTGCAACCTCCACCTTCCGGGTTCCAGCGATTCTCCTGCCTTAGCCCCCTGAGTAGCTGGGAGAATTTAAAAATTAGCCCACCTTGGCCGGGCGCGGTGGCTCACGCCTGTAATCCCAGCACTTTGGGAGGCCGAGGCAGGCGGATCACCTGAGGTCAGGAGTTCGAGACCAGCCTGACCAACATGGAGACACCCCGTCTCTACTAAAGATACAAAATTTACCGGGTGTGGTGGCGCATGCCTGTAATCCCAGCTACTTGGGAGGCTGAGGCAGGAGAAACACTTGAACCTGGGAGGTGGAGGTTGCAGTGAGGCGAGATCATGCCATTGCACTCCAGCCTGGGCAACAAGAGTGAAATTCCGCCTAAAAAAAAAAAAAAAAAAAAGTTAGCCCGGCTAATTTTTGTATTTTTAGTAGAGACAGGGCTTCACCATGTTGGCCAGGCTGGTCTTGAACTCCTGACCTCAAGTGATCCTCCTGCCTCAGCCTCCCAAAGTACTGGGATTACAGGCATAAGCCACTGCGCCCAGCCAATTTTTATGTATTTAAAGAGATGGGGGCCGGGCATGGTGGCTCATGCCTGTAAGCCAAGCATTTTGGAAGGCCGAGGTGGATGGATCACCTGAGGTCAGGATTTCGTGACCAGCCTGGCCAACATGGTGAAACCCGTCTCTACTAAAAATACAAAAATTGGCCGGGCACTGTGGCTCATGCCTGTAATCCCAGCACTTTGGGAGGCCGAGGCGGGCAGATCACGAGGTCAGGAGATCGAGACCATTCTGGCTAACATGGTGAAACCCCGTCTCTACTAAAAATACAAAAAATTAGCCGGGCGTGGTGGCGGGTGCCTGTAGTCCCAGCTGCTCGGGAGGCTGAGGCAGGAGAATGGCGTGAACCCGGGAGGCAGAGCTTGCAGTGAGCCGAGATGGTGCCACTGCACTCCAGCCTGGGCAGCAGAGGGAGACTCCGTCCCCCAAACAAACAAACAAACAAACAAACAAAAATTAGCCAGCGTGTTGGCGGGCACCTATAATCCCAGCTACTCGGGAGGCTGAGGCAGGAGAATCACTGGAACCTGGGAGGCAGAGGTTGCAGTGAGCCAAGATTGCGCCGGCGCCACTGCACTCCAGCCTGGGTGACAGAGTGAGACTCTGTCTCAGAAAAACAAAACAAAACAAAACAAAACAAAACAAAAAGTTAGCCGGGTGTGGTGGCGGGCACCTGTAGTCCCAGCTACTCAGGAGTCTGAGGTTGCAGAATCACTTGAACATGGGAGGCAGAGGTTGCAGTGAGCCGAGATCGTGCCACTGCACTCCAGCCTGAGTAACAGAGTAAGACCCTGTCTCAAAAACAAAAACAAACACAAAAACGGAGTGGAGGGTGGGAGGTCTCATTATGTTGCCCAGGCTGGCCTCTAACTTAGCTCAAGCAATCCTTCCGCTTCAGCCTCTGTGATAGCTGGGACCACAGGTGGACCCACCAGGCTCGCCTCTCCAGTGTTTTTTGTTTATTTGTTTTTGTTTTTGTTTTTGAGACGGAGTTTCGCTCTGTTGCCCAGGCTGGAGTGTAGTGGTGCCATCTCAGCTCACTGCAATCTCCGCCTGCCGGGTTCAAGCAATTCTGCCTCAGCCTCCCGAGTTGCTGGGATTTCAGGCGCCCACCAGCACGCCCAGCTAATTTTTGTATTTTTAGTGGAGACAAAGTTTCACCATGTTGGCCAGGCTGGTCTCGAACTCCTGACCTCAGGTGATCTGCCCGCCTCAGCCTCCCAAAGTGCTGGGATTACAGGCGTGAGCCACCGCACCCGGCTGCCTCTCCAGTGTTTTAAGGAAGTCGCCGTTGAGTGTCTGGGCCGGCCTTCGGGTGAAAGCGGTCCCAAGAGTTCTCCGAGTCGCCGGGGAAGGGAAGTGCCTCCTGGGCCCCTTCCTGCCCTGCCCCACCGCACTTGCTTCTGTTTCCACCGCTGGGGAGGGAAGGGTCCCCCGCACCTGTGGCTCTTGTGTGCCCAAAACTTCTATTGCCCGCAGCGCTGGGAAAAAAGTGGGGCTGTCGAGAATCTGAGCTGCCTCCCTCCCGGCCCATTTTACAGACGGGTATAGTGAGGTCTGGCTTGGCCCGGAGGAATAGCCAGGGCGGCCCAGAGAGGATGATGCCCTCCCGCAGCCACACAGTAGGGTGTGAGGGTATGGACTGCCTCCTTCTGTGACCCCTGGCTCGCTGGTGACCAGCTGCGTGGCCTAGGGGCGCTTGGGGTGCGAGAAGGACTGAGGTTCGGGGAAGAGTAGGGACCTGCCCAAGACCCAGACTCCCAGGAGAATGTGACCCCACTTCATCTCTTCCCCTCTGGGATGCATTTCCACCTCCTCACCGGGAAATACCACCAGACCCCCAACCCTACCCCAGGGAAGAACTCAGCGCTGCAGACCCTGTGGGGTAAACTGAGGTGGGGCCCTGGGTAACACGAGTTGGGGGCCTTCTCTGAGAATCAGGGACTCCAGGCCTGGGATCAACGGGGACACTGGGGTCCACCAGGGAGATCTCCCACTCTACTTCCCGCGGGTTTCCTGGACTCTAATAGGAGGGTCCCCCTGCTTTGAAAGGGGTCTCCCCACCGCACAGTCTAAGTTGAGGGAGTCTGGCTCCAGAGAAGGGAACACCCAGACCCTGGGTAGACGTTCCCGGTTAGTGGGGGTCCTGACCAGGGCGGGGTGGGTGTCCAGGCTGGAGTGCAGTGGTGCGATCTCAGCCCATTACAACCTCTACCTCCCAGGCTCAAGCGATCTTCCCACTTCAGCCTGTAGCTGGGACTCCAGGCGCGCGCCACTAAGCCTGGCTAATTTTTGTAGTTTTTGGAGACATGGGGTTTCACCATGTCGCCCAGGCTAGTCTTGAACTCCTGACCTGTGGGAGGGTCAGGACCCCGGGAAGGGGGTTTCCCCCTCCTTGAAAAGGATCACCCGACCGCATAGGTTCTAAGTTGAGAGGCTTCCGGCCCTGAAGAGGGTCGCGGCCGAGGGGGTCCCGGCTGCTGCGGGGGCGGCGCGACGAGTGTCTCACCTCGGAGCAGCAGCTGCCGACGCCGCAGGTAGGTCTCCGCGGCCGCGTAGTCGCTGGATACGGCGTTGACGCCCACGCTGCGACCCTCCAACCAGTGGGTGGCCGCCCCGCCGCGCGCCTTCACCTCGAGCGCTCGCACCCGCAGCGGCGCCGCCGCCTCCAGCAGCACCCGGCCGCACAGCCGCTCCCCGCCGCGGTAGGCGCCGCCCGGGCCCCGCGCCAGCTCCAGCGCGAAGCTGCGCACGCCCCCAGAGCGCATGGCGCGCGGCTGGGGACACGGTTTGGACACGCGGAGAGAAGGCACACGGCCCGGGCGCGCCTGCAGATCCCCGGGGTTTCCGCGTTCCCCCGTCGCGTCCCCCAAGCTTCCTCCGGGCCCCCCCGGCGAACTTGGGCCGGCGCCGGTGGCCCAGGGCGGGCGCGTCGTCGGCGAACTTCCTGGTCCTCTGCATCCGCCCCCGTGACGCACGCGGGCCGCCGGGGACTGGCCGCCCGCGTGCCCGCACTGTTGACTTTGCCATCCTCGGAGATGGGCGGGCCCTGTTTTTGTAGGGTCGGCGCTGTTGAATCAGAAGCAGGCAGGGGCGGAGGTGGCTGGGGAGGCACCGAGGCGGCCGCAGATCTCAGCCCTATGGTCTCATTCGCCCCTCACTACCCCTGCCCCCCCCGCCGCCCAGAACCCGGCACCGCCTCAGTCTCCCCGTCATTGTCACTTCATGGCTGTCCCTCAAACAAAATCCACCTCGAGTAGCTCTCTTCGCCTCCGCACTGGGCCGTTCCGCTACCAGATCCGTTCTCCCACCCATCCCGCCCACGCCCAAATGCCACTTCCTCAGAGTCCCCTTGCCACCTCTGGCCTTGTTTACTTTTCTCTGTTTTTTCTTTCTTTCCTTCCTTCCTTCCTTCCCTCCTTCCTCTCTTTCTTTTTTTCTCTTTCTTTCTTGCCTTGTTTACTTTTCTCTTTCTCTCTCTCTTTTTTTAAGACAGAGTCTCGCTCTGTCGCCCAGGCCGGGGCACAGTAGCGTGATCCTGGCTCACTGCAATCTCCACCTCCCTGGTTCTAGCAATTCTCCTGCCTCAGTCTCCTGAGTACCTGGGACGACAGGAGTCGTCCACGCCCAGCTAATTTTTGTATTTTTAGTAGAGATAGGGTTTCACCATGTTGGCCGGCTGGTCTCCAACTCCTGACCTCAGGTGATCCTCCCACCTCAGCCTCCCGAAGTACTGGGATTACAGGCGTGAGCCACCACGCCCGGCCTGTTCATAACTTTATGGCTTTGGTGTTTTTTTTTTTTTTTTTTTAAGTACTATGGGTTTACTGTGCCTCTGCCATCAGACCTGGGAGCTACCACTGGCACAGAAGGTACACCCACGGATGTTCCTTAACCAAACCCTGGGTTCTCACCCTGAAGGACAGCCCCTTTCCTTCTCAGGCCTTAGTTTCCCCAGCCAGACAACAGGGTAGAAAGGATGAGTCCTGCCAAAGACTCCAGTGTGATCCCTCAGGCGGGAAGGAGCATTTATTGAGCACCTACCAGTTGCCTGGCCCTTTTTAGGGAGTTCTGGTTAAATAGACTGTCACCCCATTTTACAGATGAAACAACCAAGGCCCCAGAGGGGCAGCCACTGCTCAGAGTCACCCAGCAGTGGCAGAGTCAGGACTCGAACCCGGGTCTGACCAGCACCTCCTCATACCCTTCTCGTGCGTGGGCCCAAGCTGGTCATTCATGCACCAGCCACGGCCTAGTTATCTCGTTGAGCCAGGCGATGGATGGCCTTATCAGAGGCTGCCAGGACCTGGGGCTCCTCGGCTATGCACAGCGTCGTCTCCCCAGGAGCCAGGCCTCCTCGCCCCACCCAGGGCTCAGCATCTGCCAAGTAAATGCCTGTTGCTCCCAGCACCCAAGCCCATGGCCTCCAGGGACCTTTCTGATTCTACTTGTGTCTGGAACCCTCCCCTGTAGCCCACCCCTGAAGGGTCTCTCTGACCCCTGGATGTCACCAAATAACCCCTCCTCCTGACGTCCCCATGGCTCCTCCATGGAGTCCCTTCCACCAAGTCCAGGTTTTTTCTCACTGCAACCTCCACCTCCTGGGTTCAAGCGATTATCCTGCCTCAGCCTCCCAAGTAGCTGGGATTACAGGCGTGCACCACCACACCCAGCTAATTTTTATATTTTTAGTAGAGACAGGGTTTCACCATGTTGCCCAGGCTGGTCTTGAACTCCTGACCTCAGGTGATCCGCCCGCTTTACCCTCCCAAAGTGCTGGGATTACAGGTGTGAGCCACTGTGCCCAGCCAGTCCGGTTCTTTACTTTGGCCTAGGGGATTTCCAGTTTGAATGCACCATCCTTCCTCGCAGTGTGGTCCCAGGTAGGTAGATTCACCTCTCTGGGCCTCAGTTTCCCCCCCATCCCACCATGGTCAAGTTCTGATGAGGAATCAGTGTGGTAATTGACATCATCACATTCTCTGTAGACAGCAGGTGCTCAATACAAATCTCACAAAAACCCAAATGACCTTCCTCACCCAGGTCACCTCCCCCATGGGCCCCGCTGGGGCCTGGCACACAGTGGGTGTCCATCAACGCGGTTGGTTGAAGGGGAGCGATGCTTCTGGCCAGGGCTGGGCCATGCTGTCTGAGGGATCTCAGCGCCAGGTGGGGCTGGTACAGGTGTCCCTAGAGAGTTGTCCCTCACTGAGCTCCAGCCCAGAGGGAGAGAGGGCTTCTAGGCTAGGATTCTAGGCTAGGCCGGTGATGGGAACAGGTTTTTCTGATTCCCACATTCATCTTGGTACCCAGGGCTGGAGGTCTACCTCCTGGGACATCACCAGTGCCTTCCAGCCATGCACACAGGCAGCCACTAGGCGGGTCCTGCTTTATTCAGAACCAGCACGGACCCCTCCCCGGGCTGCTCCATGCCCACCGGGGGCCTGGGGAGAGTCGGGGGACCAGGTGACCAGAGGAAGCTCCGGGCTCCCCTGCCCTCACCCATGGTCCAGCCCTGCCCTCTGCCTGGGCAGTCTGGGCGGGGCAGGCCTCAGTCCACTCAGCCTGACTCAGCGTTGGCTTCTTGAACTCCAAGAGGCGCCACTGTACAAGGCTTCCCGGAGGTGGCGGCCACACGATGGCCAAGATTTAGGGGTCTGGTGGCGGGCAGGGCCGTCACCCGCAGTCCGAGGGGGCCACGGGCGTCCACCGGCAGGGGGAGCTCCGGGCTGCCTGGTCTTGGGGGCCGGGGCCGGGCCTGGGAGGCAGGGGAGGCGGGGGTGGGCGTATGGCTTGGGCGATGAGGCCAGGCAGGGCCTGTAGAGAGGCACCCAGCGCATCCAAGCGGCTTTCCAGGGTGGCCAGGCGGGCCTCCAGCTCCTCGTGCTGAGCGTGCAGCTCCGATACAAGGTCGTACATGACGGTCTGGGTCTGCGGGAGACAGAGAGGGGCAGGAGAGAGGCGCCGCTGAGTGAGAGAGGAAAGGACGATACCACGACACCAATGACAGAGAGGGACAGCCCACACGCTCCAGGTGGGTGCCAGCCACTAATGGGGCCCGTGTGAGGGGTGGCTGGGAGGATACCCCCAGCCCCAGAGGTCCCTTGCTGGGCCCAGGGAAGGATTGGAGAGTGGATGAGGGGAGAGACTGGTCTTTTCTTTCTCTCTTTTTTTTTTTTTTCTTTGAGACAGAGACTCCCTCCGTCACCTATGCTGGAGTGCAGTGGCCCAATCTCGGCTCATTACAACCTCCTCTTTCCGGGAGGCGCCCAGCCTAAAAGACAGGTCTTAAATGCCAAGCTCAGCTGGTTGTGGTGGCTCACGCCTGTAATCCCAGCACTTTGGGAGGCCGAGGCAGGCGAATCGCCTGAGGTCAGGAGTTTGAGACCAGCCTGGCCAACATGGTGAAACTTTGTCTCCACTAAAAATACAAAAATTAGCCGGATGTGGTAGCGGGCACCTGTAATCCCCGCTACTCGGGGGGGATGAGGCAGGAGAATCACTTGAACCCAGGAGGTGGAGGTTTCAGTGCGCCTGAGTGACAAGAGGGAAAATCCGTCTCAAGAAAAAGAAAGCAAGCAAGCCAAGCTCAGGGCTGGCAGGCCTGGGAAAGGCCTAGTGAGGTTCTGGGGTGGGGGGACATGCCCAGAGCTGCCCTGGGGGTCTAGTGGCCACAGGGCACACATAGCCACAGGCAGTGCTCAAGTGGTACCCACAGACCTGGGGGATGTTTGGGGCTGACGTTGCTCCAGGCTGGGGAACAGCAGGAGCGTGGGGACATGGCTGCCTAGGAAGAAGAGGAGGGGGGACCCTGTTCAGTCGTGAACTGCCACCCCTCCCATTAGGCTGGGGAGGGGACAGGGGTCTAATGACGAAGGTGACTGCCCTGAGAATCTGACGCAATCACAGACTGGGAACACGACAGCCACAATTACTGTTACAGCAGCCAGTGGGGCATCCCTACCACCTCAACTGCCCGGTTCTGGCACTGTCCCCCTATGGGCAGGGGAGGCCGGCCAGGCAGGGACAGTCCTGGGTGCAGACACCACTCTGGCCACCAGGTGGCACTAGAACATCACTCCACGGCTCTGAGCGCAGCTGGGTCAGGACACCGGTTTGCCACCCCGCGGCGGCCTCCGTGGGAGGATGGAGGCAGTGGTGGAAGGAAGACAGGACAGGACGAGGTGCCCACCCCAGCTCCTCTGTCCTCTCACACCCAGCCTCTTCCTCCCAGCTTCCTCCACTGTGCCCCCTACCCTTTTCCCTCCATCAGTGCAAGGCAGACCCCACTCCGAGTGCAAACACCTTGTGGGGGCCTCCCCTCCTAGCACCACTGACCTTACCCTGGCCTCTCTCAGGCACCACAGTCCCTAGAGCCAGAGGGTGACATCTGGAGGCCAGAGCAGTGTCCAGCCTTCAGGTGGTTCTTTTTAGTCTTTTCTGAGGTTTAAAATTTTTATTTTTATTTTTATTTTTGAGACGAAGTCTCGCTCTTGTTGTCTAGGCTGGAGTGCAGAGGCATGATCTCGGCTCACTGCAACCTCCACCTCCTGGGTTCAAGCGACTCTCCTGCCTCAGCCTCCCAAGTAGCTGAGATTACAGGTGCCCGCTACCACACCCGGCTAATTTTTGTATTTTTAGTGGAGACAAAGTTTCACCATGTTGGCCAGGCTGGTCTTGAACTCCTGGCCTCAGGTGATCCGCCCACCTTTGCCTCCCAAGGTGCTGGGATTACAGGGATGAGCCACTACACCCAGGCTTAAAATTTTATTTTTTAGAGACAGAGTCTTGCTCTGTCTCCCAGACTGGAGTGCAGTGGTACAGTCACAGCTGACTGCAGCTTTTACCTCCCAGGCTCAAGTGATCCTCCCACCTCAGCCTCCTGCTAATTTTTCTATTTTTTTTTTTTTTTTTTTGTAGCAATGGAGTTTTGCCATGTTGCCCAGGCTGGTCTTGAATTCCTGAGCTCAAGTGATCCCCCCTCCTCAACTTCCCAAAGTGCTAGGATTACAGGCATGAGCCACTGCATCTGGCCTGATTTTCTTAATATTTTCCTTTCTCTACCATACCTTACTGTAAGAATACAGTATATATACACAAAATATATGTGAATCAACTGTTTATCAGTAAGGCTTTTGGTCAATGGTAGGCTATCAGTAGTTAAATTTGGGGTGAGGGGGCGTCAAAACTTATATGAGGCCGGGCACAGTGGCTTATGCCTGTAATCCCAGCACTTTGGGAGGCCAAGGCAGGTGGATTACTTGAAGTCAGGAGTTCGAGACCAGCCTGGCCAACATGGTGAAACCCCATCTCTACTAAAAATACAAAAAGTAGCTAGGCGTGGCGGCATACACCTGTAATCCTAGCTACTCAGGAGGCTGAGGCAGGAGAATACCTTAAACCTAGGAGATGGAGGCTGCAGTGAGCTGAGATCGCACCTCTGCACTCCAGCCTGGGCAACAGAGTGAGACTCTGTCTCAAAAAGAAAAAAAGAAGTTATATGGGAATATTTGACTTTTAAGGGGTCAGCACCCCATAACCCCCATGTTCGAGAGTTAACTGTATATCTTCAGGGGTCTAGAATATGTTTTTCTCTCTGTAAGATTCTTTTCTGGGTGCGGTGGCTCACGCCTGTAATCCCAGCACTTTGGGAGGCCAAGGCGGGAGGATCACTTGAGCTCAGGAGTTTGAGACCAGCCTGGGCAACATGGTGAAACCCCATCTCTACAAAAAATACAAAAATTAGCAGGACCTGGTGGTGTGCGCCTGTAGTCCCAGCTACTCAAGAGGATGAGTTGGGGGGATTGCTTGAGCCTGGGGAGGTTGAGGCTGCGGTGAGCCATGATTTTGCCACTGCACTCCAGCCTGTACCACAGAGCAAGACCCTGTCTCAGAAAAAAAAAAAAAAGAAGATTCCCTTCCAAATTAAATTTCTTGTAGGTTAATATTAAGCTAGATTGCATTCTCTTCCTAGTGATGGAGGAAGTGAGTCCAAAATGCACTGGGGACAAGAAATAAAATAGAATGGGACTTAACATTTTCTAAAGATAACATGAAATTAGCCTCAAGCTGACTGATAGATCAGGGGATGTAGCCACTGAGCAAAAGCTATTTTCTGAAACTATGTCATTGGTCAGAAGGGAATTCAAATCAGTGTTGCAAAGATCTCAAGCACTTGATTAATTGCAACTGGTCCAGTGACACATCTTCCAGTGGAAGAATTCAAAAAGTGGGAAATGGGCTGGGCACGGTGGCCCACGCCTGTAATCCCAACACTTTGGGAGGCTGAGGGGGGTGGATCACTTAAGGTCAGGAGTTCGAGACCAGGCTGGCCAACATGGCGAAACCCCGTCTCTACTAAAAGTACAAAAATTAGCCGGGCATGCTGGTGCATGCCTGTAATCCCAGCTACTCTGGAGGCTGAAGCACGAGAATTGCTTGAACCCGGGAGGCGGAAGTTGCAGTGAGCTGAGATCACGCCACTGCACTCCAGCCTGGGTGACAGAGCAAGACTCTGTCTCAAAAAATAAATAAATAAAGCTAAAAAAAAAAGTGGGAGATGACTTGATATTCGAATCAACACACAGATCCATGTATAACACAAACTGATTTCTTTCTTGCTTTTTTTTTTTTTTTGAGACAGGGTCTCGCTCTGTTGCCCAGGCTAGAGTGCAGCAGAGTGATCATACCTCACAGCAGCCTTGACCTCCTGGGCTCAAGTGATTCTCCCGCCTCAGCCTCCCTAATAGCTGGGACTACAGGCACTCACCACCATGCCTGGTTAATTTTTTTATTCTTTTTGTACAGATGGGGTCTCTCTGTGCTGCCCAGGCTGGTCTCAACCTCTTGGGCTCAAGTGATCTGCCTGCCTCAGCCTCCCAAAGTACAGGGATTATAGGCATGACCCATTGAACCCAGCTGGCCCCAATTTCTCTTGCAATCAATTTAAATTTCCTGACAGATGTTTAATTGCTATACAAATTATACAAAGCTTTCTCCCAAGGCTATCATTTGAATTTATACCCATAGCAAAGGAATTTTTTCTCTTCCATTTCAGATCTTGAATTGAGGTGGTATGCCTAAATCTAGAAATACCTCTTCACCCATTTAGCCCCCTAATTGTGTACTCTTTTTAAATTTTTAAATTATTTTTAAAATTATTATCATTTTTTTGAGACAGGGTGTCACTCTGTCACCCAGGCTGGACTGCAGTGGTGCCATCTCGGCTCACTGCAGCCTCAACCCCCCAAGTTCAAGCGATTCTCCTCCCTCAGCCCCCAAGTAGCTGGGATTAAAGGCGCCCGCCACCACGCCTGGCTAATTGTTGTATTTTTTTTGTAGAGACGGGATTTCACCATGTTGCCCAGGCTGGTCTCAAACTCCTGAGCTCAAGCGATCCGCCCGCCACTGCACTCAGCCCACAGCGGGTCCTTGTGCCCTCCTCCGGCAGGAGCTGAGCCCCATCCCATCTGCTCCGGGGCCCCACCTGCCCTGTCTGGCCCACCCTGCCCCAACCCACTCACCTTGGCTAGGTCGGTAAGCGTGTTAGCCTGGTCGTTCAGCTTCCCTTGCTCGATCTTCACACTCCGGAGCCTGTGGGGACACGGGGTTGGGGGAGGGGGTTAGGCAGGTTCCCGTGGAGGCTGCAGTGGGGGCAGGGACTTTCATGCACCCACCCGGGGTCACCTATGGGACATGCATCAGAGGATGAGGTGGGAGTTGGGAGGCCGATTCCCTGTAGTCTATTCCCTCCCAGTACACAGCCGGTGCGCCAGGGCCAGAAGTCAGCCTGGCCACCGCCCACACCACCCATTGGCTGGTCCTGTCTCCGGCCCAACTCAGGACTGCCCCAGGAAGTTGGATCCCAGACCAAGGTGAAGCCTGCACGGATCCATGGGGCAGATGTGAACCCTGCCCGCCTCTGAGGCTGGGGTTGGCATGCCCCGGGTGTACCCCCTGTCTGTGACCACCATGCACCCCCGATTTCCCAGCCCCACCAAGCCCCTGGGAGAACACTTACTTCTGAGCCCTGGCAGGACCGGGCAGAGCAGGAGAAAAATCACAAGGCAATTTTAACCTCAGCACAGTTGTTCGGCATGTACCCAACCCTGCCCACCTCCCGGGGATGCCACCCTAGGGCCCCGCGCGGGGTTCCCAGATGGCCGAGGGGCTGCCGTTGCTCTGGGGAGGTGCCCAGCCTCTGAGGGTTCTGTGCCAGCCCCTCAGGGGCACACCTGTCCTCTCACCACCACCGGAGGCGGTGTTTCATTCAGAAAACTATGCCGACACCATCTCCTGAGGGGGAAACTGAGGCTCAGAGGGGTAAAGCCACTGCCCATCCGCACCCCGGCAGGATTTGAACCCACACTTGCTACTTGGTGTTGGTGTTGGCACTGGTGACCCTGGTCTCTGGACAGCTGGCCGCAGGGGGAGTTGGTTAGTGTATGCCCTCGCCCCTTTTGACCATCCCTTTGTTTTTTTTGAGACGGAGTCTCACTCTGTCACCCAGGCGGGAGTGCAGTGGCATGGTCTCAGCTCACTGCAACCTCCACTTCCCCGGTTCAAGCGATTCTCCTGGCTCAGCCTTCTGAGTAGCTGGAATTACAAGCGCTCACCAGCACACCTGGTTTAATTTTTGTATTTTTAGTAGAGATGGGGTTTCACCATGTTGGTCAGGCTGGTCTCGAACTCCTGACCTCATGTGATCCGCCCGTCTCAGCCTCCAAAAGGATTACAGGCATGAGCCACTGCACCTGCTGGCACTCCCTTCTGTACCTAAGCCAGTCCAGGGGACTGTCTCAAAGTGATCTTGGCTCATTGCAACTTCAGCTTCCCAGGTTCACGTGATTCTCCTGCCTCAGCCTTCCGAGTAGCTGGGACTACAGGCATGTGCCACCACGCTCAGCTAATTTTTTTGTATTTTTAGTAGAGATGGGGTTTCACCATGTTGGTCAGGCTGGTCTTGAACTCCTGACCTCAAATGATCCACCCATCTCGGCCTCCCAAAGTGCTGGGATTACAAGTGTGAGCCACCGCGCCCAGCCTTTTGTACTTTTTTCTAATGTGGCTGTTAGCAAATTTAAAATTATATATGTTGCTCACGTGATATTCTAGTGGACAGCATTGTCGTCAGCATATTATGGCCTGTGGGTCAAATCTAGCCGGCCGCCTGTCTTGGAAAATAAGGTTTCTTTGGAACATGGCCACACCAGGTTATCCTCACTGCTTCCCTGCCTCAGCAGCAGAGAGTTGAAGAGTGGGACAGAAACGGTCTGGCCCATAAAACCTGAAAGATTTACCATCTGGCCCTTTACAGAAAAAGTTTGCTGACTGGCTGCATATTGGACTCAACTGAGGAAATTTTATTTATTTACTTATTTTAATATATTTTATTTTTGATTTTTTGAGACTGAGTCTTACTCTGTCGCCCAGGCTGGAGTGCAGTGGTGCGATCTCAGCTCAGTACAACCTACAGGCACGTGCCACCATGCCCGGCTAATTTTTATATTTTTAGTAGAGACAAGGTTTCGCCATGTTGGCCAGGCTGACATCAGGGGATCCACCTGCCTCGGCCTCTCAAAGTGCTGGGATTACAGGCGTGAGCCACTGCACCCAGCCATATATAGTTTTTTAAGGCAAGGCCTTGCTCTGTGGCCCAGGCTGGAGTGCAGTGGCGCAATCACAGCTCGCTGCAACCTTGACCTTCTGGGCTCAAGTTATCCTCCCACCTCAACCTCCTGGGTAGCTGGGACCATAGACACATGCCACCACACTGGGCTAATTTTTTTATTTTTGTAGAGACGGGGTCTCACTTTGTTGCCCAGGCTGGTTGCAAACTCCTGGCCTCAAGCGATCCTCCTGGCTCAGCCTCCCAAAGTGCTGGGATTACGAGGTGTGAGTCACCACGCCTCGCTTTATTTTTTAATTTTTACATAGAGTGGGGTCTCACTATGTTTCCCAGGCTGGTTTCCAAATCTTGGCCTCAATCAGTCTTCCCTCCTTGGCCTCCCAAAGTGCAGGGATTATAAGTGTGAGCCACCATGCCCAACCAAGCAGTCATTTGAGGAATTTAAATGTAAACCCAGACTGCAACCCAGACTCTACTAAGTAACTGATGTTGGATGTGGCTCTTGGGATTTTTAAAAAGCCCCCTGGTGACTTCAATGAGCAGCCAAGGATTTAGAGCTACTTTATTAAATAGTTCTCAGGGCAAAGAAACAACATAGGGAATCAAGCAATTTCTTTCTTCTTTTTTTTCTTTTTCTTTCTTTTTTTTTTTTTTTGAGACAGAGTCTCACTCTGTCGCCCAGGCTGGAGTGCAGCGGCGCAATCTCAGCTTACTGCGAGCTCCGCCTCCTGGGTTCATGCCATTCTCCTGCCTCAGCCTCCCGAGTAGCTGGGACTACAGGCGTCCGCCACCACGCCCGGCTAATTTTTTGTATTTTTAGTAGAGACGAGGTTTCACTGTGTTAGCCAGGATGGTCTTGATCTCCTGACCTCGTGATCCACCCACCTCGGCCTCCCAAAGTGCTGGGATTACAGGCGTGAGCCACCGCGCCCGGCCTTTTTTTTCTTTTTCTTTTCTTTCTTTTTTTTTTTTTGAGACAAGGTCTCACTTTGTAACCCAGCTGAGTGCAGTGGCGCAATCATGGCTCACTGCAGCCTTGACCCTGCAGACTCAAGTGATCCTTCCACCTCAGCCTCCCGAGTATCTGGGACCACAGAGGCACACCACCACACCCAGTTAAGTTCTTAGTTTTTGTAGAGATGGGGTCTCCCTGTATTGCCACGGATGGTGTTGAACTCCTGGACTCAAGCGATCTTCCTGCCTCCCAAAGTGCTGGGATTACAGGCATGAGCCACCGCACCTGGCCCAATTCATTTCTAGTTATCCTACATGATCCCATGGATCAGACCATGGATTTAACTATGAGCCTCCTGGCAGACAAAGCAAAAAGAGGAAATCGCTTCAAAGTCTAAAGGGTAAGAATTATCCTGGTTATTCCAGAGAATAAAATATACATCCTGCCACTTACTGAGTCGTGTCCATGATTTAGCAGACCCCATCATCTGCCTCCCTCTGAAGATCCTCCCATCCACCCAGCTCAGAAGATGCAGGCCCCAACCAACTGACCACCCGTCCCTGGCAGGGAGCCGTGAAGAGGCCACACAGAGCTGCGAGGGCTGCCTCCGCGCCATG
The DNA here is from genome assembly GCF_000001405.40 of Homo sapiens. NCBI lineage: Eukaryota > Metazoa > Chordata > Mammalia > Primates > Hominidae > Homo > Homo sapiens. The sequence continues at coordinate 17,989,882 of NC_000019.10, read as the reverse complement.
TGGACACAGAAACGTGAGCTGGAAAGGTGCTGGACTTACTGATGGATGGCTTGGAGGAACTTACGCTGGTGTTTCCGAACCCGGGCTTGGTCTGGCTTCTTCACCAGCCTGGTATGTTTGTAGATGAGCCACGTCTCCCTGAGAACGTTAGCAGCGGCGTTTTTTACCTGGGGCCAGAAAAAGAACAATTCCTCAGGGTTGGCGCGAAATTCCAAAAGGCTCCAGAAATGTCTAGAATCTTCCAGAAACCTCTAGAAACTTCTGGAAATGCCTCTCAGGGTCCCTGGGCTATAAGGCAGGGCCATGCTTGTACAACAACATCTGTGCAGTGTGTGTATACCTAACACACATCACTCATGATGGGCCAGGCCCCTTCTATGCACCATGCAAATGTTTTTAATGTTTTTTGTTTGTTTGTTTGTTTGTTTGTTTTTTGAGGCTCTGTGGCCCAGACTGGAATGCAGTGGCATGATCTTGCCTCACTGCGACCTCCACCTCTCAGGTTCAAGTGATTCTTCTGCCTCACTCTCCCTAGTAGCTGGGATTACAGGCGCCTGCGATCACGCTCAGCTAATTTTTGTATTTTTACTAGAGATGGGGTTTCATCACGTTGGCCAGGCTGGTTTTGAACTCCTGACCTCAAGTGATCCGCCCGCCTCGGCCTCCTAAAGTGCTGGGATTACAGGCGTGAGCCACCGCGCCCGGCCATGATGCAGATGTTAACTCAGTGAATCGGCATGTGTTTTTATTTCCCTGATTTTCTATATGGGGAAGCTGAGGTACAGAGCAGTCAACCCGCTAGGGTCAGGCAGCTCTCAAATTGCATATGGCGGTCTGGCTCAAGCCTCTTACTGAATGCTCATGGCTGGACGTGACTGGGCACAAGGGTTGATGCCACGATGTCTCTCTGTGCATTACTCACAGATGGGTGCGTGGTGGCAGAGCCAAGCACAGTCCTTTTTTTTTTTTTTTTAAACGGAGTCTTGCTCTGTCACCCAGGTTCGAGTGCAGTGGTGCCATCTTGGCTTATTGCAGCCTCTGCTTCCCAGGCTCAAGCGATTCTCCTGCCTCAGACTCCCAAGTGGATGGGACTACAGGCGTCCGTCACCATGCCAGGCTAATTTTTGTATTTTTAGTAGAGATGGGATTTTGCCATGTTGGCCAGGCTGGTCTCGAACTCCTGGCCTTAGGTGATCCACCTGCCTTGGCCTCCCAAAGCCAGCACAGTCTTGACACGGGGCTGCATGGTAACCCATGGGCACATGAGCATGCCCGGCACGTACAGAGGGAAAGCAGGGAAGTTCTACGCTCGCTGACAAGGCCAGGAGGCGGCCTCCATGGGAACCGCGGTCCTCACCCGCTTGGTGAGCTGAGTGTCCATCATGAAGTTGTGCACGTGCTTCTCAGCCTTGGTGAGCTCCAGCTTCCGAGCCACCACAGCCACCACGAGCGCGGTACAGCCAGCTCCCTGTGTGCAGGGCAGAGGGGGCACATCAGCGTCCTGTCTTGAGGTCACTCCCTCCTCCAGGAAGCCTGCCCAGATTGCAGCCTCCCCATTCTCTGAGCCAGCAGTGTGAGTGGATTCCATCTGCTGAGCTCACTGACTTCAGGTCTACTCGTTTCCTATTCATCAAATGTCAGAGGGAACCATGTCCCACACATTAGCTCATTCGACCCCCAACAACTCCAGGAGGTAGGACGATTCTTTTTTTTTTTTTTTTTTTTTTTGAGATGGAGTCTCGCTCTGTCGCCCAGGCTGGAGTGCAGTGGCACAATCTCAGCTGACTGCAACCTCCACTTCCCAGGTTCAAGCGATTCTCCTGCCTCAGCCTCCTGAGTAGCTGGAACTAGAAGCGTGCACCACCACATCCCGCTAATTGTGTGTGTGTGTGTGTGTGTTTGTTTAGTAAAGGGGGGGTTTCACCATGTTGGTCAGGCTGGTCTCGAACTCCTGACAGGTGATCCACCCGCCTTGGCCTCCCAAAGTGCTGGGAGTACAGGTGTAAGCCACTGCGCCTGGCCCTGTTTTTTTTTTTTTTTTTTTTTGGTAGCGATATGGGGTCTCACTATGTTGCCCAGGCTGGTCTCGGACACCTGGCCTCAAATGATCCACCCACCTCGGCCTCCCAAAGTGCTGGGATTACAGGCATGAGCCATTACCATGCCCAGCCCCAGGCAGGTTTAGATGCCAACACCCTGAGCCTGAGCAGGGTTGGCCTAGAGCACAAGCAGGGGCTCCCGGAGGAAACCCTGTCTCGGTTTCCAGGCCAGGACAAAGGTTTTGAGAGGACCCAGAAGCCTGTTCTCAGGAAAATCCCTGTCAACTGGGACAGAGTGACTTGCTGGAAACCTCCACCTAGAATACTAGACAGCAAGGAAAAGGAATGGACAACGGCTCTGCAACAGCATGATGCACCACACAGATGCTACAGGGAGGGACCCATGCTGGGCTGCCAGCAAAAAAGCAGACACGGACCAGGTGCAGTGGCTTGCACCTGTAATCCCAGCACTTTGGGAGGCCAAGGTGGGTGGATCACCTGAGGTCAAGAGTTCGAGACCAGCCTGGTCGACATGGTGAAACCCTGTCTGTACTAAAAATACAAAAATTAGCTGGGCCTGGTGGCAGGTGCCTGCCATCCCAGCTACTCAGGAGGCTGAAGCAGGAGAATCGCTTGAACCTGGGAGGGGAAGGTTGCAGTGAGCTGAGATCACGCCACTGCATTCCAGCCTGGGCGACAGAGCGAGACTCTATCTCAAAAAAAAAAAAGAAAAAAAGGGCCAGCGTGGTGGCGTCATGCCTGTAATCCCAGCACCTTGGGAGGCTGAGGCAGGTGGATTATCTGAGGTTGGGAGTTCAAGACCAGACTGGCCAGCATGATGAAACCCTGTCTATACTAAAAATAGAAAAATTAGCCGAGCCTGGTGGCAGGCGCCTGTAATTCCAGCTACTCAGGAAGCTGAGGCAGGAGAATGGCTTGAACCCGGGAGGCGGAGGTTGCAGTGAGCTGGGATCGTGCCGTTGCACTCCAGGCTGGGCAACAGAGTGAGACTCCATCTCAATGAGGAAAAAAACAAAGTCAGGCATGGGCCAGGTGCAGTTGCTTAGGCCTGTAACTCCAGCACCTTGGGAGGCCCAAGCAGGAGGATCACTTGAGCCCAGGAGTTCATGACCAGCCTGGGCAACATAGTGAGACCCCATCTTTATAAAAACATAAAAATAAAACATGGAAAAGCGTTTGTTGGCATGGGCATAAAACATGTCTGGAGAGAAAGAAGGCTCTGGAAAGAGGGGATGGACAGGGACCCCGATGACTGAATTAGGGAAAAGAGAAAGCAGTGAGTGTGAAAGGATGTTCACAGGCACCCACGGCAGACTTGAGAATCCTTCGGGGAGACGGGGTGCTGCCTGCGCCCACTGTCACGAAAAACTCAGGGAACACCCCGAAAGTCAGCTAAGGAAGGGAGTTTGGGCTGCAGAGGACACAGCCCAGCAGGTTTCTTTTTTCTTTTTTTTTTTTTTGAGACTTAGTTCACTCTGGTTGCCCAGGCTGGAGTGCAATGACGTGATCTCCGCTCACCACAACCTCTGCCTCCTGGGTTCAAGCAATTCTCATGCCTCAGCCTCCCTAGTAGCTGGGATTACAGGCACCCACCACCACGCCCGGCTAATTTTGTATTTTTAGTACAGACTGGGTCTCACCACGTTGGCCAGGCTGGTCTTGAACTCCTGACCTCGTGATCCACCCGCCTTGGCCTCCCAAAGTACTGGGATTACAGGTGTGAGCCACCACTCCCGGCTATTTTTGTATTTTTAGTAGAGACAGGGTTTCTCCATGTTGGTCACAGGCTGATCTCAAACTCCCAACCTCAGGTGATCTGCCCACCTTGGCCTCCCAAAGTGCTGGGATTACAGGCATGAGCCACCACGCCCGGCCCCCAGCAGGTAGTTATAGCATGTCCATGGCATTCACAGTTCTGGGATTCTCACATAAATAACCGACTTAGCCCTTGCAAAGCAGAGGAAGTAGCGCTGGTCACAGCTGAGGAAACTAAGGCACATCAGCATCAAGCCCCTTGCCCTGGATCCAAAGGCTGTGAATAAATCAGGCTGTAGAGAATAAAGGGGTGACAGTGACTCTCTGGTCAGAGTGGACCGCAGCTTCTTACTGGGCAGGCATGGTGGGAGCTGCATATCTAGGCCTGGAAGGACCGCATGGAGATGTCCCAGGAAGCCTGTGGGTGTGGCTTCCACGTGACGTCAGAGGAAAAGAGCAGAGCAGGGGAGGGGTGGACTGACAGATGGAGGGACGCTGATCAGGCACAGCTCGTGATGGGATGAGCACCCTGTCAGCAAGGGGTATGCAAGGGCTGGTGGAGCGGGCAGCTGGCTGGACCTCCCAGGATCATACACATGGACCCTCACCCTTACCATGATGCCAGTGAGCAGGCACACACCCTTCCCGCAGTAGGTGTGGGGCACCATGTCGCCGTAGCCAATGGAGAGGAAGGTGATGGAAATCAGCCACATGGCCCCCAGGAAGTTGCTGGTCACTTCCTGCTTGTCGTGGTACCTGGGGGAGCCAGAGTGGGAAGAGGGAGGGCTCAGTCTATACCATCCCCTTTGCCTCCATCACACCCCCTGGGGCAGCGCCAGGGCTGGAGGGCCCTGAGTCCACCTCGCTGCGTTGGGGCTATGTCCTGTGGGTACAGGACAGGCGCACCCTCTCCCCCGCTACAGCCCTTCCACATTCCCTTTGCCTGCCCCCCCAAGCTGCTTCCCTGGATGGGGCAGAGAGGGGCCCAGGTGAGGTTGTATGAACATACAATCCCCCTCCCAACGACAGACACACACAGACAGGGGGATGGGTGACCACAGCACCAGAAGCAGCAGGAGGTGGAGGCAAGAATTCAGGACAGACACCAGGAAGAACTTTCTCAGCCAGCAAGGCCCCAAGGAGGGAGGAGGACTGGAGGAGGTGGGAGGCTGGAGGATCACCACCTGGGGCTCGAGTGAAGAAGGGACGTCCATATAGGAAGGACATAGACTGGAGGACAGCATGAGTCCCCCAACTCAGCCTATGTTGCATCTGGGGGTTGGGAAGAGAGGGGCATCGGCTTTGGCACTGGGGAGATGCCTGGGGCTATATTTGGGACCCAGGGAGACAGGCCCCAAGACTGACAGAACTTAGTCCTGGTCACAGCCAGGCTTGGGACTTCGGCCAGAGGGGCTGCAAAGAGGTTCTGCCTGTGGCCATGCTAGCGGGCCGAGGGCTTGGCTCTCTGGGTCTGGGGGTGGCTCTAGGATCTGTTCCCACTCAGCTCTCAGTCCCCAAATCCCCTTGGCCTTTTTCTGGAGACTGGGCCCCCTCTGACCTGGCTTCCAGCTAACCCACTCCTTCCCAGGGCTTAGATCACCTGAGCCCCAAGCCAGCCTCTGGGGTGTTCAAGGTCAGAGGCCAACTGGGGTAGCACCGAGGAAGTGGCCTGGATAGAGCAGGATCTTCAGGGGAGGCCTGTGCCAGGCACAGTGGGTGACACAGCCCAAGGATAGGGCTGGGGTCAGGCTCCAGAGGGAAGGAGATGGGGGCTCCCCAAATATTGGCATTTGGGGGTCTTCACTCCCGCGGAAGTCGAATGCCACTCCAGGCACCTCCAGTCTGGGCTTCTAGGACACTTGCTGGGTAAAGGCCCAGGGACTGACCCTATCTTTTTTTTTTTTTGAGACAATATCTCTCTCTGTTGCCCAGGCTGGAGTGTAGTGGCATGATCTTGGCTCACTGCAACCTACACCTCCCGGGTTCAAGCGATTCTCCTGCTTCAGCCTCCCGAGTAGCTGGGACTACACGCGCCCGCCACCATGCCCATCTAATTTTTTTTTTTTGTATTTTTAGTAGAGACAGGGTTTCACCATGTTAGCCAGGATGGTCTCAATCTCCTGACCTGGTAATCCACCCGCCTCGGCCTCCCAAAGTGCTGGGATTACAGGCATGAGCCACGGTGCCCAGCTGACTGACCCCCATCTTACACCAAAACATCTGAGCCCCAAGCTGCCTGACCCCCAGAGGGCAGGAGGGGCGGGGGGGTGCCCTCTAGTCGGTGGGTGGGTGAGCCCCAGATCCAGACGGAGCGATGGTGGGGGGTGCCGCGGGACCACCCAGGAGCACGGCTGGGGGACATGCGGGAGGCGGGGGTGGGTCAGAGCGAGGCAGGCAAGGGGGCTTCAAGCATTGTCGCCAGGCTCAGAATTTAGGATTGGCTGCCTGCCGGCCCTGCCCCGTGCCCCACCCCCCCAGAGCCCTGCAAGGACCCAGCTTGGACCTCAGGGATACCTGACGAGGGGCACCCCATACCCCTAACCCTAGTTCTGACCCCACCCATCAGGGGTGTGAGAGCTGCATGGGGGAACATCAAGAGCCCAAGGAGAGCCCTGGAAGCCTTAACAGCCAGAGAAACTGGGCCTTTCATCCCTGAGAGCCAGGCCTCATGCCCAGGCAGGGCCCGTGGGAGTATGGGGGGTGGGGGCTGGGTGGAGGGATGAGGATGGGGTGCTGAGGGCAAGCAGGGGTCCAGCCAGGGACCCCTCCAGGGCCTCCACCAGCTAGGCGCATGGCAGGGAGACCCTCTCCCAGATAAGGCACCCTCACACCCCAGGCCTGGCGGAGCCCCTCCTGCCTCTGAGACTGCCAGGACTCAAGGCTCCGGGCAAGTCCCTTTGTCCCCCAGAGCCTCAGTTTCCCTCTCTGTAAATCGGGTTGATGGTCCACCACCTCCTAGGGGTATTTACAACAGACTCCCTCCTGCTTGGAGGTCCCAAAGGCACGGCCGGTTTTCCTTCATCCCAGACCCATTTATTTGTCTTTTTTTTTTTTGACTGGAGTGCAGTGGCGCAATCTCAGCTCACTGCAACCTCCGCGTCCCAGGTTCAAGCGATTCTCCTGCCTCAGGCTCCCGAGTAGCTGGGATCACAGGCACCACCACCGCACCTAGCCCACCCCAGATCCATTTAAGTCTTGGGAGGAAACATCGGAGCTCCCAGGGGTCAGCTGCCCAAACACAACATGAGAGCCAAGCCCTTCCTTAATCCCTCACCCTTCGGACACAAGGGCCCTGAGGCTCGGAGAGGACGCCCAGTGGAGTGGCCTGCCCCCGTGACGGGGTGACTTACCCCGACCCACCCCGCCGGGCCCGTTCTCCCTGCCTCCCTCCCCTTGCGGCAGCTAATCTTAAATTCCTAGCGGGTCGGGGATGGCGGCAGCGGTGGCAGTGGCTGCTCTGCGCACACAGCTCAGCGGAGGGTGGGACTCACATGTTTTCCCTAAAGTCCAGTGGAGCGGGCAGAGGGGAAAATGAAAGCTGGTTAAACGTGGGAGATGGGAGACAGAGGGGACGGGGAGGCATCCCTGTGCCTGCTGCCTGCGCCCCCCGGGGCCAGAGATCGGGAGTCAGCCTCCCAGGGAGCCGAGGGGCTGGGAGAAGGAAGCTTGGGAGACCCTGGCAGGGAGGATGAGGGAGAGGGAGCTGGGGTCCCTCCCTGGTTGAGGGCAGCTGGGGACACAGGGTTAGGTCCCCAGGGAGGATGATTACTGAAGCCACAAACTGGAAGACAGGAGGCACCACGGGTGTCTTGCAGTCGGGGAGACAGAAGCAATGGCCAGGGTCGGGAGGGGCCCAGGGTCGGTGAAATCATGAATGGGCATGGAGGTCCAGGGAGACGGGGGCTGGGGGCTGGGGGGGCTCCAGGGGCGGCGGTCGCACCTCTCGCAGACGCGCACGGTCCAGGCTGCGATGATCCAGGAGGAGATGCTGAAGACCAGCAGCACGGTGCCGGGGCAGATGGTCATGAGTGTCTTCATGACGAAGCGCGTGTTGAAGGTGATCTTGTTGAGGGCCCCGATGCTGCGGCTCGAGGCGTCCGTGAAGATTTTGCTGTGCAGTAGCATCACCCGGCCCAGCAGGTAGAGGCGCAGGAACATGGGGATGGACAGCAGCACGTCCACGTCGGCCTCGGCCACCGAGGGCGCGTACGTGAAGGCCAGCCGCGCCGTCCACGTGAAGCGGTAGTGGCCGGGCACCGGGTGAATGGCGCACACTGCCAGCTCTAGCGAGATGAGGAACACGCGCTCGCAGGTCATGGCGATGCGCCAGTCATCAGCCCCGTTGTCCACCATGAACAGCTGTGGAGGGCGGGAGGGAACCAGCCATGGGTGTCAGACACGCGCCGCGCTCCCTGCCCAGCCCCACCGCGCCCCCAGAGAGTGACGTCAGCCTGGCCTGAAACCCCACAGGCTCGGATTTTTCTTTCTTTCTTTCTTTCTTTTTTTTTTTTTTTTGAGATGGAGTTTTGCTCTTATCGCCCAGGCTGGAGTGCAGTGGCACGATCTCTGCTCACTGCAATCTCCGCCTCCTGGGTGAAAGCAATTCTCTTGCCTCAGCCTCCGGAGTAGCTGGAATTACAGGCTTGCCCCACCACACCTGGCTAATTTTTGTATTTTTAGTAGAGATGGGGTTTCATCATGTTGGCCAGGCTAGTCTCGAATTCCTGACCTCAGGTGATCTGCCCACCTCGGCCTCCCAAAGTGCAGGGATTACAGGCGTAAGCCACCATGCCCAGCCTCTTTTCTTTCTTTTTCTTTTTCTTGAGACAGGGTCTCACTCTGTCGCACAGGCTGTAGTGCAGTGGCGCAATCCTGGTTCACTTGGCTCATGCACCATGAAGACGATCTTGGCAACCTCTGCCTCCCGGGTTCAAGCAATTCTCCTGCCTCAGCCTCCCGAGTAGCTGGGATTACAGGTGCCTGCCACCATGCCTGGCTAATTTTTGTATTTTTAGTAGATACGGGGTTTCACCATGTTGGCCAGGCTGGTCTCAAACTCCTGACTTCAAGTGATCCACATGCCTCGGCCTCCCAAAGTGCTGGGATTACACGTGTGAGCCACTGTGCCTGGCGAGGATTTTTCTTTTCTTTTTCCTTTTTTTGGAGACAAGGTCTTGCTCTGTGCCCGGGCTGGAGTGCAGTGGTGCAATCACAGCTCACTGCAGTCTTGACCTCCTGGGCTCAAGTGATCCTCCTGCCTCAGTCTCCTCCTGAGGAGCTGGGATTACAGGCATGCAACACCATGCCTGGCTAATTTTTTAAATTTCCTGTAGAGATGGGGTCTCCCTATTTTGCCCAGGCTGGTCTAAAACTCCTGGCCTCAAGTGTCCTCCTGCCTCAGCCTCCCAGAGTGCTGGAATCACAGGTGTGAGCAACCGCACCAGCTTCAAATTTTTCCAAGAGAAGTCAGAAACGTGACCTCGTATGCAAAACTCTCTAGTTCTCAGCACTGGCCACAGTTCGAACGAAATATGAGTGTTCCCCAAAAAGTTCAACATAGAGTTACTAATGACCCAGCAATCCCACTCCTAGACAGACTCAAGAGAAACTAAAACAAGTGTTTAAGCAAACGCTTGGACAGACACATTCACAACGGCACTATTCACAACCTCCAAAAGTGGAAACAGAATGGGTGCAGTGGCTCCTGCCTGTAATCCCAGTGCTTTGGGAGGCAGGAGGACTGCTTGAGGCCAGCAGTTTGAGACCAGCCCAGGCAACATGGCAAAACCCCGTCTCTACTAAAAATACAAAAAAAAAAAAAAAAAAAAAAAAAAAAAAATTAGCTAGGTGTGGTGGCGGGTGCCTGTAATCTCAGCCTTGAGAGGCTGACGCACAAGAATCATTTGAACCTGGGAGGCAGAGGTTGCAGTGAGCCAAGATTGCGCCACTGCACTCCAGCCTGGGCAACAGAGTGAGACTCTTGTCTCGATAAAAAAAAAAAAAGAAAGAAAAAGAAAAAGAAAATTAATGCAGAGATGGGGACTCGCTCTGTTGCCCAGGCTGGCTTTGAACTCCTGGGCTCCAGCAGTCCTCCCTCCTCAGCCTCCCAAAGTGCTGAGATTCCAGGTGTGGGTGCCCAGCCCTTCACTGTACTTTTCTCTTCCTTCTGAACGTGTGTATAACTCTTAAGTATCTTTTTTTTTCCTTTTTCACGTGTCATTTTAAAAATAAGAAGCAATAAAGTCATTCTAAAATAAGAAAAAGAAAAAAAAGTCACTTCCTTAAAATGTGGCGGCCGCGCGTTCTAGGGGCCTCCTCCGCTCGCACATCGGCAAAGCGTTGACATAAAGGACACCCTACAGCGCCATTGCTCACCCTCCATGGGGTACCCTGGCCATATCCAGGGCCAGTCCTAGGGGAGATGAGGGGAGCGCCAAGATACATAACATCTGTCAGTTACGGAGCCGGGACCAATCATATTGGAGCTGGAGGCAAAAGGTATCATCAGGAATGCAGCCACGCCCCCTCCCCCACCCCCCACCCTATTTTTGAGACCGGGTCCTGCTCTGGCGGGATCATAGCTTACTGCTTACTGGAGCCTCTAACTCCTTCCTTTTTTTTTTTTTTTTTTTTTTGAGACGGAGTCTCGCTCCATTGCCCAGGCTGGAGTGCAGTGACGCGATCTCGGCTCACTGCAAGCTCCTACTCCCGGGTTCACGCCATTCTCCTGCCTCAGCCTCCCGAGTAGCTGGGACTACAGGCGCCCGCCACCACGCCTGGCTAATGTTTTGTATTTTTAGTAGAGACGGGGTTTCACCGTGTTAGCCAGGATGGTCTCCATCTCCTGACCTCGTGATCCGCCCACCTCGGCCTCCCAAAGTGCTGGGATTACAGTCGTGAGCCCGGCCTTTTTTTTTTTTTTTTTTTAAGAGGAAGGGGTCTTGCTATGTTACTGTCCATACTGCCTCCATTTTGTTGTTTGTTTGTTTTGTTTTGTTTTTTGTTTTGAGAGGGAGTCTCATTCTGTCCCCCAGGCTGGTGTGCAGTGGCGCCATCATGGCTCACTGCAGCCTTGACCTCCCTGGGCTCAGGTGATCCTCCCACCTCAACCTCCCAAGTAGCTGGAACTACAGATGTGTACCACCATGCCTGGCTAACTGTTTAAAAAATTTTTGTGTAGAGACGGTGTTTCGCCACGTTGCCCAGGCTGATCTCGAACTCCTGTGCTCGAGTGATCCTCCTGCCTCGGCCTTCCAAAGTATTGGGATTACAGGCGTGAGTCACTGTGTCCAGCCTGAATTACAGTTAAAAAAAAAAGCCGGGTCTGTGGCTCACACCTATAATCCCAACACTTTAGGAGGCTGAGGCAGGAGGATCACTCTAGCCCAGGAGTTTGAGACCAGCCTGGGCAACATAGGAAAATCCTGTCTTTATATATGTATGGTTTTATATATCTGTATATATAAGGTTTTACATTTAGCTGGGCATGGCGGTCTGTGCCTGTGGTCCCAGCTACTTGGAAGGCTGAGGCAGGACTCCTTGATCCCAGGAGGTACAAGCTGCAGTGAACTCTGACTGCACCACTGTACTCCAGCCTGGGCGACAGAACGAGATCCTGTGTTTAAAAAAAAAAAAAAAAAAAACAGGCTGGGCAGTGGCTCATGCCTGTAATCCCAGCACTTTGGAAGGCCGAGGCGGGTGGAACACGAGGTCAGGAGTTCAAGACCAGCCTGGCCAACATGGTGAAACCCCATCTCTACGAAAAATACAAAAATTGGCCAGGTGTGGTGGCAGGTACCTGTAATCCCAGCTACTCAGGAGGCTGAGGCAGGAGAATGACTTGAACCCAGGAGGCGGAGGTTGCAATGAGCTGAGATTGCACCACTGTACTCCAGCCTGGGTGACAGAGCAAGACGCCATCTCAAAAAAAAAAAAAAAAAACAAGTATACATATATGAAATTCACAAACCGTATAATTCTCCCATTTAAAGTGCACAATTCAGTGGGATTTAGTACACCTCTTCTATCTAATTTCAGAACACTTCCATCACCCCAAAAGGGAGCCCTGTCCCCATTAGCAGTCGCTCCTTTCCCAGCCCCCGGCAACCACTAATCTCCTTTCTGTCTCTGCGGATTTGCATCTTCTGAAAATTTCACATAAATGGAAGCATGCAATTTGTGGCCTTTTATGTCTGGGTTCTTCTGCTGAGCGTCGTATTTCTGAGGTTCATCCATGTTCAGTATCAGAAATTGTTATAGGTTGATTTGTGTTCTGCTGAAAAAGATATGTTGGCATCCTGACCTCTAGTACCTCTGAATGTGCTCTTATATGGAGATAAGGTCTTTATAGAGGTCATCTCGTTAAATGAGGTCATTGTAACGAGGTCGGCTAGTTAAAATGAAGTTAAGCTGGAATCAGGCCAGGCATAGTGGCTCACGCCTGAAATCTCAGCACTTTGGGAGGCTGAAGTGGGAGGATCGCTTCAGCCCAGGAGTTCAAGACCAGCCTGGCCAACATGGTAAGACCCCCTTTCTACAAAAAAAGCAAAAAATTTAAAAATTAGCTGGGCATGGTGGCAAGTGCTTGTAATCCCAGCTACCTGGGGGCTGAGGTGGGAGGACTGTGTAAGCCCAGGATGTCGAGGCTGCAGTGATCTGTGATCAAGCCACGGCATTCCAGTGTGGGTGACAGAGTGAAACTCTGTCTCAAAAAAAAAAAAGTGGAATCATCTAATTGCAGTGGGCCCTAATCCAATAATGACTGGTGTTCTTATTTTAAAAAGGGGAAATTTGGACACAGACACTCTCAAAGGGAGAACATCATGTGATCCTCAAGGCAGAGATTGGAGTGACACATCTCCTAAGCTGAGAACCCCCAAAATTGCCAGCAGCAACCAAAAGCTAGGAGAGAGGCCTGGGACGGATTGTCTCTCATGGCTCTCAGAAGGAACCAACCCTGCTAACGCCTTGATCTCAGACTTCTATACTCCAGACTTTCAGACAATACATTTCTGCTGTTTTGGTGTTTCGTTCTTTTGTTAAGGTTGAATAGGCCAGGCATGGTGGCTCACGCTTGTAATCCCAGCACTTTGGGAGGCCAAGGTGGGAGGATCACCCTGAGGTCAGGAGTTCGAGACCAGCCTGGCCAATATGGTGAAACCCCATCTGTACTAAAAATACAAAAATTAGCCAGGCGTGGTGGCGGGCACCTGTAATCCCAGCCACTCAGGAGACTGAGGCAGGAGAATCACTTGAACCTGGGAGGCGGAGGTTGCAGTGAGCCAAGATCGCGCCACTGCACTCCAGCCTGGGCAACAGAGTGAGACTCCATCTCAAAAAAAAAAAGGTTATGCTGGGCGCGGTGGCTCACACCTGTAATCCCAGCACCTTGGGAGGCCGAGGCGGGCAGATCACCTGAGGTTGGGAGTTCGAGACCACCCTGACCAACATGGAGAAACCCCGTCTCTACTAAAAATACAAAATTAGCTGGGTGTGGTGGCACATGCCTGTAATCCCAGCTGCTCGGGAGGCTGAAGCAGGAGAATTGCTTGAACCCAGGAGGCGTAGGTTGCGGTGAGCTGGAGATCGTGCCATTGCACTCCAGCCTGGACAACAACAGTGAAACTCCGTCTCAAAAAAAAAAAAAGGTTGAATAATTGTCCATTGTACAGGTGCACTACATTTTATTTATCCATTCATGCCTGGATGGACATTTGGATGTTGTTTCTGCTTTTTGGCTACTTTGTATTTTTGTTTTTTTGAGACGGAGTCTTGCTCTGTTGCCCAGGCTGGAGTGCAATGGTTCGATCTCAGCTCCACTGCAACCTCTGCCTCCCAGGTTCAAGTGATTCTCCCGCCTCAGCCTCCCAAATAGCTGGGATTACGTGCACCCGATATCATGCCTGGCTAATTTTTGTAGAGATGGAGTTTCACCACGTTGACCAAGCTGGTCTTGAACTCCTGACCCCAAGTGATCCACCCGCCTTGGCCTCCCAAAGTGCTGGGATCACAGGTGTGATTTTTGGCTACTTTGAACAGTGCTGTTATCAACATGCGTGTGCAGCCGGGCATGGTGGCTCATGCCTGTAAAGTCCCAACACTTTGGGAGGGTGAGGTGGGCCGATCACTTGAGCCCACGAGTTTGAGGCCAGCCTGGGCAATATGGCGAGACACTGACAAGACAATACAAAAATTAGCCAGGTGTGGTGGTGCGCAGCTGTAGTCCCAGCTACTCGGGAGGCTGTGGCAGGAAAATCTCTTGAACACAAGAGGTCAAAGCCATGACTGCATCACTGCACTCCAGCCTGGGCAACAGAGTGAGACCCTGTCTCAAAAACTAAACAAATAGGCCAGGAGCAGTGGCTGACACCTGTAATCCTAGCACTTTGGGAGGCTGAGACGGGTGGATCACTGGAGGTCAGGAGTTCGAGACCAGCCTGGCCAACATGGTGAAATCCCGTCTCTACTAGAAATACAAAAATTAGCAAGGTGTGGTGCCATGCGCCTGTAATCCCAGCTACTCGGGAGACTGAGGCAGAAGAATCGCTTGAACCCAGGAGGCAGAGGTTGCAGCGAGCCAATATCGCACCACTGCACTCCAGCCTGGAAACAACCCGTGTGTCCCAGAGTCCCAGCTCAGCCCCTCACTTTCTCACTACCTGTTCTTTTTTGTAAATAATCAATGAAAATTAAAACACAGATGTGTGTTTCAAGGAAATCTAGAATGATGGAAACTGTGTGTCTTTATGGAGATCTTTTTTCTATCAGAAGCCAATTATACATCCTTTTATGTTTTGAGGGGATGGGGTCTAAGGTGGGCTGGTGTGGGGGGATCTGGGGTTTGAGGAGAGGAGCTGCTTCCTGCAGTATTCAGCACTGACCTGGATCTCCCGGGCATGGTAGAGGACAACGAGACCCAGCAGGATGGCCGTGGAGAGGCTGATGAGGCATTTGAGTGCGAATGAGTACAGAGACTCCTGGTAAAGAGAGAGGACACAGCCAGATGGACGCTGGAGGCGGTGGGCCGGCGGCCCTCCCATCCCCTTACCCTGGCTCCCGGGCATGGGAGTCAGCTAAATGGGGCTCTTCCCAGTGGCTTCTCCCACTGTACCCTGAATTTCTGCTAGTTCCCCAGTCCTGGGGCTGCTGTGTGTGAAACAGCTTATCAGGGCTGGGCGTGCAGCATGTGCTGTATTCAGGAAGCGGTGCTCTCCTGTCCTTATTCCTGGGGACTGGGCTGACAGCAAGATGTGTCCAGTGCTTCACAGTTTATGAGGCCTGGCCTCACTTGGGCACAGCACTTCACAGTTCACAAGGCCGGACCTCATCCAGCCTCGGCACTTCAGAGTTTACAGGCTGACACAGCCCTGATCTCTCTCCATCCTCACACATTCTAGGTGGCATGAGGGAACCCACAGCCAGGCTTGTAACCTGGACGCACTCACTCTCGGAAGGGGAGGAAGATCTTCTGTTGCTCCCCAGAGCAGGCCCACTCTGGGGAACCCCTGTCCTGGGGGGAAGCCCCCCTCCGCCTTAAGCCAGGGTGCAGCCCCTTGACACCTGGCCAGGGAATGGGCTGGAACCTTCCTTCTCCATGTGTAGCCTCCCTGCTACCTTCCTGGAGGTGGGTATGCAGAAGGCCAGGGAGCCCTCACCTCCGGGAGCCCCCTAACACTCCCTATCTCCCGGGGGGCCCTGCCACCCCCAACCCCATGTCAAGAAAGCTAGGCGGGCTTGGTGGAACCTCCCTGGAGTGCCTGGGGGAGGACCACGCCTACCTTGGTGTACACCCCCCAGGACAGCTCGGTCTCCGTCACCATGACGACGATGCCAAACATGCCGAAAATGAGGGCATAGTCGCTGAGGCGCTTCCGCTTCTCGAAGAGCGCCCGCCGGTGGCCCAGGCGGTGGCCCACATTTGAGGGTTTCCCCGAGGCTCTCTGCCTGCCGGCCTCATCTTCCTCATCATCCTCGTCATCGTCCTGGTCCTGGGGCTGCCCCCGGGGGCTGCCGGGTGAGGGCCGGGCTGGCTCACTCTTGGCCACTACCACCTGGAGGCCCGGGCTGTGCGGGGGTTGTGGGGGGTGGCCGGCCTCAGGGTCCGGAGGGTCTCGTCCCAGGGCGCCCGGCCCGCTGCCCAGCGGCCGCCCCACGCTGCCATTGTAGCTGTGGCTGTTCATGACTACCTGGGTGCAGGGGTTGGGCTCGCTGCAGGCCGCCCGGGGCCCGGCATGGCTCAGCGGCTGGGCTCCTGCACTGACCTGCAAGGGCACAGAGGGACATGGTCACAGCAGGGTCCAGCTTACTGACCAGAAAGGCAAGGACCATCCCGGCCAACCCAGAACGTTCTAAGTTTGGGAGTGGCCCAGAGTGCTGACACGTGGGTTTACCATCCCAGAAACATCTGAGTCAGCCTGAATCCCTCCCCTGCTCAAAGCCCTGCCATGGCTCCCCAGTGCCATCTCACTGAAAAAATCAACCCCAGAGAGCCGGGCATGGTGGTGCAGCTCTGGTAATTGCAGCTACTTAGGAGGCCAAGGCAGAAGGACCGCTTGAGTTCAGGAGTTCGAAACTGGCCTGGCCAACATGGCGAAAACCAGTCTCTACTAAAAATACAAAAATTAGCCAGGCGTAGTGGTGCATGCCTGTAGTCCCAGCTGCGTGGGAGGCTGAGGCAGAAGAATCGCTTGAACCCAGGAAGCAGAGGCTGTAGTGAGCCAAGATCATGCCATTGCACTCCAGCCTGGGTGGCAGAGTGAGACTACGTCTCAAAAAAAAGAAAAAGAACAAAGAAACTCCAGAGCTGGGCCCAGTGGTGCACACTTGTAATCACAGCTACTCAGAGGCTGAGACTGGAGGATCACTTGAGTCTGGGGGTTTAAATCCAGCCTGGACAACATAACTAGAGCCGATCTCTAAAAAAAACAAAAACAAAAACAAATAAAACACCAAACTCTTCACTATGGCCAAGGGGCCCTCTGTATCTGGTTCCCACCTATCTCGTCCTTCTTACTCTCCCCAGACCCAATTCCTCCAGCCACAATGGTCTCCCAATCACCAGATTCCAACAAGTTCATCCTTCTCTGATACCTTGCACAGGCTGTGCCCTCTGCCTGGAATGCCCCCCTACCAGAGCCCTGCCTGCTGACTTTATGTGTATCCAAGCACCTAGAACAATGCCTAGCAAACAGATGACACTCAGGAAACACTTGCTGAACGCTGGAAGATGAAATCTACCAACGGGCTTGCCTGGGAGGAGAGGGTGGCTAATGGTATGCTTAGAAGGTGGTTTTCATCTGAGCTCATCCTCTTCCAACCTTCAGACTCTTGGATGAGTTAACCTCACCTCACCGTGCCTCCTGCATTTGTAGGCTCCTGCACTGTGGCCTATGGGACATTAGGGACCCTGGCTGTGGCTACAGAGATCCTGAGGCTCCCTCCTGCCTGGGCAGGAGGGGATCCATAATCTCCAAACAGATTCCAAACAGAATCCAAATGGTTTCCAGGAGGGGATCCATGATCTCCAAACAGTGTGGCAATGCAGGCTTTAACTCCAAGATCTAGAATCGATTCTGCAGGGCTTTGTAAGACATAAGACATGCTTGGCTGGGCTCTATGATCTCAGGCTAGCCTGTTTCCCTGCCAGGCTATTTGAAAAGCACCCTGTGTGATTACAGAGCAATGTCCTGTGGCATCATGTGTGAGAGCAGGGACCTCAATGATGGTGACATAGTCATCATGCTCACCAAGGCATTGAGAGGCTGTCTGAGACTCTGGATCCAACTTGTCAGATTCTCCCCTGCCCTGCCCAGCCCAGTATCTCAGACCCTCAAATGCACTCCTTGCCTGCTCTGTAGCCCAGGCTGGAGTGCAGTGGGGCAATCCTAGCTCACTGCAGCCTCGGACTCCTGGGCTCAAGCGATCCTCCCACCTCAGCCTCCCAAGCAGCAAGGACTACAGGTATGCGCCACCACCCCCAGCTAATGATTTATTTTTCCGAGATCAGATGAGATCGGGAGTGTTCAGGGTGGTATGGCCATAGATGATTTATTTTTATTTCTAGTAGAGATCAGGCCTTGCTACATTGCCCAGGCTGGTCTGGAACTCCTGGGCTCCAGTGATCCTTCCTCCTCGTCCTCCCAAAGTGTTGGGATTACAGGCATGAGCCACTGTGCCCGGTCCCAGGCTCCATTCTTTATGTAAATGTTCTCCTGAATCCTAATACTGCCAAGAAGTGGGTCCTGGGATTTGGCCAGTTTTACAGATGGGGAAACTGTGGCATGATGTTGTGAAAGAATCTGCCTGGGCCGGGCACGGTGGCTCACGCCTGGAATCCCAGCACTTTGGGAGGCCAAGGTGGGCAGATCATCTGAGGTCAGGAGTTCGAGACCAGCCTGACCAACATGGTGAAACCCCGTCTCTACTAAAAAGACAAAAAATTAGCTGGGCGTGGTGGCCCATGCCTGTAATCCCACCTACTCAGGAGGTTGAGACAGGAGAATCGCTTGAACCCGGGAGGCGGAGGTTGCAGTGAGCTGAGATCATGCCATTGCACTCCAGCCTGGGCAACAAGAGCAAAACTCCGTCTCAAAAAAAAAATAATAATAATACAAACCTGCCTGAAGACACACCTTCTCCTTGCAGGGAAGATTCCGGACCCGGCTCCTTTGTGAGATTTTCCCAACAAGCTGGGCAGGGGTGGGTGGAGGCCAAGTGTTATCCCCTTTGAAATGGTCACAACAGCATGCACTAGGGGTCCCCCATGTGCCAGGCCTGGGAGAAGGGTTGGGGGCAGCTGTGTGCACAGGCAGGACACTTCCCACCCCCACTGGGGGTGACAGACTAGCAGATCGTCATTCCAGGACACAGCAAGATGAGCCACATTGGCTGGGTGCAGTGGCTCACGCCTGTAATCCCAGCACTTTGGGAGGCTGAGGTGGGCAGATCACTTGAGGTCAGGAGTTTGAGGCCAGCCTGGCCAACATGGCGAAATCCTGTCTCTACTAAAACTACAAAAATTAGCCAGGTGTGGTGGTGGGCACCTGTAATCCCAGCTACTTGGGAGGCTGAGGCAGGAGAATAGCTTGAACTCGGGAGGTGGAGGCTGCAGTGAGCTGAGATCACGCCACTGCACTCCAGCCTGGGCAACAGAGTGAGACTCTGTCTCAAAAAAAAAAAAAAATGAGCTACACTGCTGAGTTGGACATGGGTGACTTTGGCTGCCGCACACATTGCAGGACCACCTATGCCTTTGTCCGGCACCCCCCACACTGTGTCTGTCCCTCACGATGTGTCTCCAGATACTGGTGTCAGCACACAGGAGTGCAAGAATTATTTCTTTGTGGCCGGGCGCGGTAGCTCATGCCTGTAATTCCAGCACTTTGGGAGGCTGAGGCGGGTAGATCACTTGAGGTCAGGAGTTCAAGACCAGCTTGGCCAACATGGCAAAACTGGCTGGGCGTGGTGGCTCACACCTGTAATCCCAGCACTCTGGGAGGCCAAGGTGGGTGGATCACCTGAAGTCAAGAGTTCAAGACCAGCCTGGCCAACATAGTGAAACCCTGTCTCTACTAAAAATACAAAATTAGCCGGGCGTGGTAGTGGGCACCTGTCATCCCAGCTACTTGGGAGGCTGAGGCACAAGAATCACTTGAACCCGGGAAGTGGAGGTTGCAGTGAGCTGAGATCATGCCACTGCATTCCAGCCTGGATAACAGAGTGAGACCCTGTCTCCAAAAAAAAAAAAAAAAAAAAAAAAAAAAAAAAAAAAAAAAAAAAATCATTCCTTCTATGGTCAGGTGACCTCATGAGTCTCAGAACTTGTCCCACCCCTTCCCACCCTCACCCATCACATCAATCAGGCTGTGGCTTCCTGTGACCAGGCACCTCACAGCTTGTAAGGCCTGACCTCCCGCAGGCCCAGCACTTCCCAGTTTATGAGACCTAGCCTCATGTGGCCTAGTACTTCCCAGTTTATCAGGCCTGACCTCCTGCCGGCCCAGCACTTCACAGTCTATAAGGCCTGGCCTTGTGGGCCCAGCATTTGACAGTTTATGAGGCTGACCTTGGCCCTGATCTTTCCGTAACCTCACAAATACTTAGGTGGGCCTTCTGCTCCGAGGCTCAAACCCCTGCCCACTGCCTGAACATCCGCTGGCTACCAGGTGGGGCTGGGAGCTTGCACTAGGGTGCACACAGGAACCCCAGATCCTGCCCTCCTCCAGGGGGCCCAGGAAAACCCAGGCACCCCTTCCACCATCCCCGAGGGTGCAAAACTTCCCCAGCTGGGGATGGGGGGCACAGGGATGAGAAGCGGGTGGCCTGGCAGACAGAACCCAGAGGGGGTGTAGGCCTCCGATGGCCTCTGCAAACGACCTTCCGAAACGCACCAATGAAGATGCAATTTGGGGATGTGACTCAGCCACCCGACGCATGGGCCAAATTCAGCCGTGTGTCTGCCATGTTCCTCCTCGCCTGGCAGCCGCGTCCTAAGGTGCCCTGGGCAGGGAGGGGGTGGGGAGGAGGAGAGAAATGGCAGGTGGCTTCCAAGAGGGTGGAGGGGTGGAGGGGTGGAGGGCTTTCCCGGCACCCACCACATTACTGTGGACCGGGCTCTTACTATGCTTTGAGCCTGAGATCAGGGTGATCACATTTAATCCCTATCACCACCGGTGAGCAAGGTGGCATTCCCGTTCCCATTTTACAGACGGGAGACAGAGCTCAGAGAAGCTCAGCACCTTTTGCCCAAGGTCACCCAGCCAGGAAAGGCAGGGACTAAATTAGTGCCATCCAGGCGTGGCAGGTGGCAGGGTCTGCTTTCTGGGAGGGGAACTGGCCTGGTCCTGCCGTCGAGAAGCCACTAGCTTGGAGCACAGAACTGATGAGTGCCTGGGCCTTCCCCATTCCTGGGTACACATCCCCTCCCCCACTGCAATCTGGGCCTAACACTGGAGTCCCTGGGACCCTCAGGGATTCCCAGAGACCCAGGAGCCCCTGGGAACCCTCAGCCAAGGTTTGGATGCCCATGAAAGGGTATGTTTTTCTGGGTAACAGCCCTGGGTTTGCCAAGTGAGGAATACCACCCTATTAGCTAGGTATATACCTAGTTCCAGCTATTCAAGAGGCCAAGGCAGGAGATCACTTCAGCCCAGGAGCTCGAGACCAGCCTGGACAACTAGCAATATCCCATCTCTAACAAACAACAAACATCCTACGGGGTGTATTTGGGTTGGAAGGTCTTTGATATTGCCTTACTTTTACTACTCTGTCTGGTCATGAGAGCTCCCTTCCCTGAAGCCTGGGGTGCAGGGGATGAGCAGAGACCCACTTCCACACCCTCCCTGGAGACACACACTTCTGGGGGAACCTCGTGTGCCTGGGGGGACCCATGAGAGCTCTTGAGGAGAGGATGAGGGTAGCAGGGAGCAGGGCTGATGGCTCCTTAGATTCCCCACCCAACAGGACATGGGAAGAGACAGAATCCCAGTCAGGCCCCCAGGGCCCTCCAGCGAGCATTTTTACAAATGACAGGTTGGTTGAGGCAGCCACTGAGAAGGGGCCCTAGGTACCCCTGCCAGGGAGCAAGTTACTGCCCACTCCTTGGCCACCTGCTTTGTAAAGATTCCTCATGGTGCCTCCCCCCCACCCCCCCACTACGAGGGTTGGTGTCCAGAACAGAGTAAGATCTCGCATGGCAAATGCTTTGCAGTCTGTAAGAGCTTCATGCCATTGATTTCTGTTCTTCAGAACTGGACCAAGAGAAGGTGCTCCCTGCCCCTCAATCCCCAAGGCAGACCGCCCCTGCTCCCCAGATGCACACCCAGGGGCTTCCGGGTACCACAACCAGATCAGCACACAGCAGAAACTTCTGGGACATGTGGGCCTGTTGTGGGTCCCCAGCGGGCGCAGCCAGAGTCCGGGTGTCCCTGCTGAGGTTGAGGAAGGTCTCCGAGGATCCCCCTTCCCGCCACCACCCCCACCCCTCCCTTCCCCTCCCCTCCCCCAATAATCACAGGGCCCTAGCTCTGCAGGGCAGACAGACACTGCCTGCCCTCCCGTCCCATGGGCCGCCCAGGAGCCAGTGCAGCAAGGCGCTGGCTACCCGCCCGATCCCCCCATCACCACCCGCCAGGAGCCTGCCAGCAGCCAGCAGGGTGCAATTAGCCTGCTCTCCTGGAGGCTGCCTCCCTCGGGGGCCCTCCATTCTGATGCATCTCCATCAGCCTCACCGCTCAGACCCCAGCCTCGGGAACTCCCATCTGCTGGCCAGCCCTCCAGAACAGCAGGGGCAGTGCCCCGAGCTGGGTCCGGGACTTCTGTCCGGGGAGAGATGGAAGACCCGGTTTCCTGACCCCTCCCTGAGTGCCCCAACCCCTGGATCCAGGGGCCAGTGGTGGGTCACCTCCCTCCCATTCCCAAGTCATTGCGGGTCACTGTCCATCCCTGAGAGCTCCCCGACCTCCAACCCTATCTATGCAGTTTGGAGACTCACAGCTCTGCCCTCCCCCAAAGTGAACCCTGCACCCTCCCCCTCCCAGGATGGGGGTGCGTGGATCCTCACTCACTCGGGCAATGTACATGCATTCATTCCCCCCACCTTTCCTGTGTCTCCTAGGCTCCGGACCGCACGGAGACCCTCCCTCTTGGCCCCTGCCCCAAACCGCGTCCCCCTCCGAGACGTGCCTCCCTCCTCGGGCTCCCTGAGCTGCAGATCCTGGATCCTCCCGCACCCTCACCCATCCCACCCTGTACCTGCGGGGCTCGGCCCGAGCGGGCGGACAAGGCTGGAGGGGAGAGGGTCCCGCGCGGCCGCGGACCCCCAGTCGGGAGCCGGAGCCGGGGTCGCGGACGGGGCGGGCAGCAGCGAGCGGGCGCGGGGCCCGGGGGCGGCGGGGCCGGGGGCGGCGGCGGCAGGCGCATCCCCCGCCGCCCAGTCCACGGGCCCGGCGG
The DNA here is from genome assembly GCF_000001405.40 of Homo sapiens. Taxonomy (NCBI): domain Eukaryota; kingdom Metazoa; phylum Chordata; class Mammalia; order Primates; family Hominidae; genus Homo; species Homo sapiens. The sequence goes on along the minus strand of NC_000019.10, from coordinate 17,967,119 downwards.
GGGGCGAGCGCCCGCCCGGGCCGGGAGAGAAGGGGGCGGTGCGACGCGGGAGCCGCCGCCGATTGGCCGAGCCCGGGTTGGCACCGCCTTCGACGACCCCGCAAGCCCCGCCCATATTTAAAGATCCCACATTCCCCGGCGCCCCCTGCAACCCCCCGGCATGCGGCTGGTCTTCGAACTCCCCCTCTTGCCCCATAAGACGGGAAGGACCTTGGTGAAGCTCCAACCCCCGCCCCCAACAGCCCTCCGGACCTCCTAACTATACCCCCTCCCCAAAATTAGGTCCCAAACTTCAGCCGCTCTGTCAACCTTTGCACGCCTGGGGACTGTCCTCCCCGTAAGCATCAGCTGAAAGACAACTTTGCAAAGCAACTCAATGCCTGCCCCTCAAACGACCTCCTCCGGGGTCTAGCTCTGCATAGGGGAGCCTTGAGGGGGACTAGGGTGATTGCAAGTTGGGGGGTGTCTGGGAGCCAGGTGTAGGGCCTTCCAGGGGTGGGACTGGGTACATGCTGGGGCACTCGGTTAGAGGCCACCTTCTGTGGGAGGAGAGACGCCCGTCTGGATCAGGCCACCCAGTCCTAACCTCCAACACCCATTTCCAGGATGACAGGAAGCCAGAGCCCCAGGGAGTTTGGGATCACCAGGGCTGGGGGTCCCCAAAACTGTGCTCCTTCCCCCAGCACCCAGGCTGAACTTGGCCGACTCATTCATTCAAAGTTAATGGCGGCTCCAGGGAGCTTTGGGGACCAGTGGGTAGGGAGCTCTTCCTTCCTCCTCTTCCAGTCTTACTGCCTCTGCCTCTGCCTCACCCTGTTCCCACCAGGCTTGGGGTGACTGTGTTCAGCTCTGTCCCCCACCAGCCTGGGGGCTTCCTGGAGCCAGCAGATCCCACCTCCTATCTCTCTCCCACACCCTCCATCTGTTTTCTTCCCAGCCCAGAGCTTTGGCCCAGGTCAGGAACATCTGAGTGTTTATTCCTGAGGGAGGCTGTCTTCTGTGTTTCCTCTGCGGAGCTCAGAAAACAGTTGGACTGAAGGAAGGAAGGAAGGAAGGAAGGAAGGAAGGAAGGAAGGAAGGAAGGAAGGAAGGAAGGCAGGCAGGCAGGCAGGCAGGCAGGCAGGCATGAATGAGGGATAGCTGCATGGGCTGAGGGTGGCGGTGAGTCACAGAGGGGCCAGGTGATGGCTCAGAGTCTCAGACAGGACCTTTGTTCCCTCCCCTGGAGAGCCCGTTCCTCATCCCAGCCTGTCCAGACTGCTCTGCACAAGGCCCGGCCGTGGTGACAATGCCCAGGGCTGAGACAATCAGGAAATAGAGGCCTGGGTGGTCCCGGTCAGATCCACAGAGGTACCAGGCGGGGTTGGATAGGATCTGTAACAGGGGGCTGTTACGAGTGATCTGACCAGACACAAGCAGCTTTGAGAGTCACTGCAGAGCAAGAAAGGGGTTGTGGGGACTCCGAAGGGGCGGGTTTTCAGCCACACCTGAGAACCAGCCACCCCTCTTGCATCTCTCCACTGACTCACCAGCACTCCAACCTCCAGCCAAGCCTTCTCAGTCTCCCCTCGCCACAGTTCCCACCTCCAGGCCTTTGCACTTGCTGTTCCCCTGCCTGGACCACCAGGAGCCCCCCTTTCTAAAGCACAACATTGGAGCCACCCACAGCTCCCTCAGGATTGGGCACATCCCTGAACCACATTCAATGCTCCTGGCCCCTGACAGCTCAACCCAGCCCTTGCAGGAGTCCCTGAGCCACGAGAAGCATACCATGCCCACGGGCTGACCCTGGTCTGCTTGCACAGGCTGTAGCATCAGATGCTTTTTTCTTTCTTTTTTTTTTTTTGAGACAGAGTCTCACTTTGTCGCCCAGGCTGGAGTGCAGCAGCACGATCTCCACTCATTGCAACCTCTAAACCTCCACCTCCTGGGTTCAAGCAATTCTCATGCCTCCGCCTTCCAATGTAGCTGGGATTACAGGCGTGCACCACCAAACCTGGCTAATTTTTGTAATTTTAGTAGAGACGGGGTTTCACCATGTTGGCCAGGCTGGTCTCGAACTCCTAACCTCAAGCGATCCACTCCCAAAGTGCTGGGATTACAGGCGTGAGCCACCGCGCCTGGCCAGATGCTTTTTGAATTCAAGTCTAACATGTAACTGTCCCGAAATTCACAAAAACATCAGCCACAGCACTCCACTGCCCCCAATCCCCTGCACCCCTGCCCACGCCCTGAAGCCCCTGTACCCACCTTCTCCCTCTGAAAAGACCTGTGCTTGTTCTCCTTTGCATTCACCTGCCCTGAGGGATCGGGGACTGCCCCCATCAAGAAGTGGAACTTGGACAATCAATCTGGTGATCAACGGCCTTGCCTCCCACCTGAGTCAGTCCTGCCACCTGCTGGAATCCCACCCCTCAGAGACAAGGTTGGCAGCATGAATGGGAGTCAAGGTTGGATGGAGGTGGGACTTCTGGTGGGGGCTGTCTGGGTCTCCGTTCCAGGCAGAGCCTCTCATCAGCCCATGGTTGGCTGGAAGAGACCCAAGAAGCCTGCAAGTGAGCCTGTCAGGCAGCCAAGACGCCCCCGGGACTCATGCCCTGGGAAACTGCCTTGCGCACAGGCTGTGTCCTCTGCAAACGTCAAGCATGGTGGAGGCGGCTGGAGAGCAAGCCCCTCCGCAGGGGGCCTGAGGGCTGGGCCTCTGGTCTCTGGGCAGTGTCTAAGGGTCTGGGTGCAAGAGAACTGGAAGACGTTCACAGGAGCTCAGGGACACAAAGGTAGTGGCCGGAGCAGGGAGTGGCCTGGCCACACGAGCATCTCCCTACACCTCCATCCCCAGCACCCCTCCACAGGTGCATCCACTGAAATCTTGGACCCAGCCCGGACTGCCCGGATGGAAGCTGGAACCTGGGCCCCAGTGAGTGTCAGGATGGCAAGGGTAAGATATTCACTCATTCAGCCATTTATTTATTCACTGATTCATTCATTCATTCACTAATTCATTCATTCATTCACATATCCACATAGCCCCTTCTCTGAGCCTGGTGCTGGGGAATGCAGCACCCTAGAGAGATACAAACCGTGCCCCTCTTGAAGCTGGCTTTCTAGAAGAGGGGGACAACCCTCTCCAAAGAGGGAAATAAAACTGAGAATTTTAGATACACAAAAGTACTGTCCAGCCTAGGCAACATAGCGAGACCCTGTCTCTACAAAAATTTTTTAAAAATTAGCTAGGCGTGGAGCCATGTGCCCGTAGTCCCAGCTCCTTCGGGCGGCTGAGGCAGGAAGATCGCTCGAGCCCAGGAGGTGGAGACCACAGTGAGCTGTGATCATGCCTCTGCCCTCCAGCCTGGGCAACAAAGCAAGACCCTATCTCACAAAAAAAAAAAAAAAAGTATCAGAAGTATCAGGAAGAGATCCAAAAAAGTTGAAAGAACTAAGAACGAGGACAGGGAGACTTGAGTTAGGGTGGTCAGGGAAGTCTCTTAGAAGAGAAATCATTTGAGCTGGGTGTGGTGGCTCATGCCTATAATCTCAGCACTTCGGGAGGACAAAGAGGGCAGATCACCTGAGGTCAGGAGTTCGAGACCAACCTGGCCAACATGGCAAAACCCTGTCTCTACCAAAAATACAAAAAATTAGCCGGGTGTGTTGGTGGGCAACTGTAATCCCAGCTACTTGGGAGGCTGAGAGGCAGGAGAATCGCTTGAACTTGGGAGGTGGAGGTTGCAGTGAGCCAAGACTGTGCCACTGCACTACAGCCTGGGCGACAGAGTGAGACTCTATCTCAAAAAAAAAAAAAAAGGTGGCCGGGTGCAGTGGCTCACTCCTGCAATCTCAGCACTTTGGGAGGCTGAGGCAGGCGGATCACGAGGTCAGGAGATCGAGACCATCCTGGCTAACACGGTGAAACCCCGTCTTTACTAAAAATACAAAAAACTTAGCCGGGTGTGGCGTGGTGGCGGGCGCCTGTAATCCCAACTACTCTGGCGGCTGAGGCAGGAGAATGGCGTGAACCCAGGAGGCGGAGCTTGCAGTGAACCGAGATCGCGCCACTGCACTCCAGCCTGGGCTTGACAGAGCAAGACTCCGTCTCAAAAAAAAAAAAAAAAAAAAAAAGCCTGGGCGTGGTGGCTCACGCCTGTAATCCCAGCACTTTGGGAGGCCAAGACAGGCGGATCATGAGGTCAGGAGTTCAAGACCAGCCTGGCCAACATAGTGAAACCCCATCTCTACTAAAAATACAAAAAATTAGCCAGGCGTGGTGGCGCTGTAATCCCACCTACTCGGGAGGCTGAGGCAGAAGATCGCTTGAACCCAGAAGGCAGAGGTTGCAGTGAGCCGAGGTCACGCCACTGCACTCCAGCCTGGGTGACAGTGCAAGACACCATCTCAAAAAGAAAAAAAAAAAACAAGATCTGGAGTGTTGGCTCCCTCGGGCTCCTGGGAACTGCAGGGGCAGGAAGCGGAGTGGGAATACCAGGGTGGGAGCTGGGGCAGGTGTCGCAGAGGGCTTGTTCCTGAGCTCTCGGGATTCAGGGACCTGGGATTCCTTCCATCAGCATCTACTGAGCACCTCCTGTGTGCAGGACTTGTACTCTAAGGCAGGGACACTGTGGTGGTAAAGACACACAAAGTCCCCCAGACTCCCAGTTTCAGGCCAGAAGACAAGACCGGCTTTGATATGATAAATACACAAGGGCCCTGCAGACAGAACACGGAGGAAAAAGGGGCACAGGATGGGAGGGGAGGGACTGGGCCTGATCCTTCCCGGTTCTCCCCATGGGCTGCCTGCTGTGTTCTCAGCCCTAGAGCAGGAAGTGGGAGCCTGGGCGTGACAGGCAGGCAGGGTAGCAGCTCCATCATAAGCAAGGAGTCCCCAAAAAGCATCCAAGGCTGTCAGGGAGCCCCTGTCATGCCCACCAGCGGCCCCACCCTGGGACTGTCCCATCCTGTCCATTCAGACATGAGCGCCCCTCCCTCCTCACGCTCAGGCTAGAAGGCTCTAGCCTCCTTCCTTTACCACCCCCACATCCAGTGGGTCCAACCGATCCCATAAATTTGCTCCAGGGAACCCCTCTCTCCCCACTGTGGCAGCTCCATAGAGGAGCAAAGGTTTGACTCCAAACCCCAATGTCTTGCTACGCAGGTGGACTGGTTTGAATCGTGACCCCCCAAAATTTGAGTCCTCCCCAGAACCTTGGACCTTATTTGAAAATAGGGGTTTTTTTGGCCAGGCTCAGTGGCTCATGCCTGTAATCCCAGCACTTTGGGAGGCCGAGGCGGGTGGATCACCTGAGGTCAGGAATTAGAGACCAGGACCAGCCTAGCCAATATGGTGAAACCCTGTTTCTACTAAAAATATAAAACTTAGCTGAGCATGGTAGCACGCGCCTGTAATCTCAGCTACTAGGGGGTGCTGAGGCAGGAGAACTGCTTGAACCTGGGAGGCAGAGGTTGCAGTGAGCCAAGATTGTGCCATTGCACTCCAGCCTGGGCAACAAAGCAAGACTCCGTCTCAAAAAAAAAAAAAGAAAGAAAGAAAGAAAGAAAGAAAATAGGGTTTTGTTTCTTTTGTTTTTGAAGCTGGGTCTCACTCTCTCACCCACACTGGAGTGCAGTGGCACGATCACGCCCATTGCAGCCTCTATCTCTTGGGCTTAAGAGATTCTCCTGTTTCTTTTTCTTTTCTTTTTGTTTTTAAATGTAGAGACGAGGTCTCATTATGTTGCCCAGGCTGCTCTCATATTCCTGGGCTCAAGTGAGGCTCCCATCTCAGCCTCCCAAAGTGCTGGGATTATAAGCGTGAACCACTGTGCCTGGCCTGGAAACAAGGTTTTTGCAGATGTAGTTAAATGAAGAGGGGGTCATAGTGGGTTAGTTCTGGCTCTGATCTAATAACTGGTTTCTGGGTTTTTTTTTTTTTTTTTTTTTGAGTCAGAGTCTCACTCTGTTGCCCAGGCTGGAGTGCAGTGGTGTGATCTCGGCTCACTGCAACCTCCGCCTCCTGGGTTCACGCAATTCTCCTGCCTCAGCCTCCTGAGTAGCTGAGATTACAGACGCGCACCACCACAGCCGGCTAATTTTTATATTTTTAATAGAGACGGGGTTTCACCATGTTGACCAGGTTGGTCTCCAACTCCTGGCCTCAAGTGATCTACCTGCTTTGGCCCACCCAATGAAGAGGGGCTCATGGTAGATTAGGGTGGGCTCTGATCTAACAACTGTTTTTTTTAATACGAAGCCCATATGAGGATACAGATGGACAAACAGGGAGAAGGTCATGTGAAAACAGAGACAGAGGTGGGGGTGACACAGCCAAAGAACACCAGGAGCCACCAGAGGCTGGAAGAGGCAGGAAAGGATCCTCCTGAGAGCCTCCGGAGGGAAGGCAACACCACCAACACCTTGATTTTGGACTTCTGGCCTCTAGAACTGTGACAGCACAACTTTTTGTGTGTTTTTCTTTTCTTTTCTTTTCTTTTTTTTGAGACAGAGTTTCGCTCCTGTCACCCAGGCTGGAGTGCAGTGGTGAGATCCTGGCTCTCTGCAACCTCCGCCTCCCACGTTCAAGCGATTCTCCTGCCTCAGCCTCCCGAGTAGCTGGGATTATAGGCACCCACCACCACGCCTGGCTAATTTTTGTATCTTTAGTAAAGACAGGGTTTCACCATGTTGGCCAGGCTGGTCTCGAACTCCTGACCTCAGGTGATCCACCCGCCTCGGCCTCCCAAAGTGCTAGGATTACAGCCGTGAGCCACCCCGCCTGGCCAACTTTGTGTGGTTGTAAGTCATCCAGCTCATGGTCATTTGTGGTGGCAGCCACAGGAATGAAGGCAGTGATTGTGGACAAGGGACTTGTAACTCTAGGCCTCCATTTCCTCTGCAAGGCAATGATATGGCCTCATTGGAGGCCAGTGGCATGAGGTTCAGCACTAGTGCTCCATGAATGCTTACAGCTGCAACTGGCCTGACCATTACCTGAACTATTTCTTTTTCTTTTTTTTTTTTGTTTTTTTGTTTGGTTTAGTTTTTTTGAGATGGAGTCTCACTCTGTTGCCCAGGCTGGAGTGCAGTGGCACAGTCTCCGCTTACTGCAACCTCCACCTCCTGGGTTCAAGTGATTCTCCTGTCTCAGCCTCCTGAGTAGCTGGGATTACAGGTGCCCACCATCACGCTCGGCTAATTTTTGTATTTTTAGTAGAGACGGGGTTTCACCATGATGGCCAGGCTGGTCTCAAACTCCCGACCTCGTGATCCGCCCACCTCAGCCTCCCAAAGTGCTAGGATTATAGGCCTGAGCCACCGCGTCCAGCTGACCTGGACTATTTCAAAAGCACCTCTTGAACTCTTTCACTCGGGTGTAACCTCCCCCAGAGCCCCCCACCTAGAGGGAATCATTTTTTTATTTTTAAGAGACAGGGTCCCATGGCTCATGCCTGTAATCCTAGCACTTTGGGAAGCCAAGTTGGGCTGATTGCCTGAGCTCAGGGATTCAAGACCAGCCTGGGCAACATGATGAAACCCTGTCTCTACTAAAATAAAGAATAAATTGAAAAAATATAACCGGGTGCGGTGGCTCACACCTGTAATCCCAGCACTTTGGGAGGCCGAGGTGGGTGGATCATGAGGTCAGGAGTTCAAGACCAGCCTGGCCAACATGGTGAAACCCCGTCTCTATTAAAAATACAAAAATTAGCCAGGCGTGGTGGCAGGTGCCTGTAATCCCAGCTACTCAGGAGCCTGAGGCAGAGAATCACTTGAACCTAGGAGGCGGAGGTTGCAGTGAGCTGAGAACGCACCATTGCATTCCAGCCTGGGCGACAGAGCGAGACTCTGTCTCAAAAAAAACAAAACAAAACAAAACAAAAAACAAGACCAGCGTGGCCAACATGGTGAAACCCCGTCTCTACTAAAAATACAAAAAATTAGCTGGGTGTGGTGGCGCACGCGTATAATCCCAGCTACTCGGGAGGCTGACGCAGGAGGCAGGAGAATCGCTTGAACCTGGGAAGCAGAGGTTGTAGTGAGCCGAGATCACGTCATTGCACTCCAGCCTGGGCGACAGAGCAAGACTCCGTCTCCAAAATAAATAAATAAATAAATAAATAAATAAATAGGGCTGGACGTGGTGGCTCACGCCTGTAATCCCAGCACTTTAGGAGGCCGAGGCGGGTGGATCACGAAGTCAGGATATCGAGACCATCCTGGTTAACACGGTGAAACCCCGTCTCTACTAAAAATACAAAAAAAAATTAGCCAGGCGTGGTGGCGGGCGCCTGTAGTCCCAGCTACTCGGGAGGCTGAGGCAGGAGAGTGGCGTGAACCTGGGAGGCAGAACTTGCAGTGAGCCGAGATCGCGCCACTGCACTCCAGCCTGGGCGACGAGGCAAGACTCCGTCTCATAAATAAATAAATAAATAAATAAATACAATTGAAAATATAAATAAATAAAATAAAAATTAGCCGGGCACGGTGGCAGGCACCTATCTATAGTCCCAAGCTACCCAGGAGGTTAAGGCACGAGAATCACTTGAGCCTGGGAGGTGGAGGTTGCAGTGAGCTGAGATTGCATCACTGCACTGTAGCCTGGATGACAGAGTGAGACCCTGTATCAAAAAAAAAAAAAAAAAAAAAAAGAGACAGGGTCTCCTGTTGTCTCGCAGCAGTTTGGAGTGCAGTGGTGCAGTCAGAGCTCACTGCAGCCTCGATCTCCTGTCCTCAAGTGATCCTCCCACCTCAGCCTCCTGAGTAGCTGGGGCTACGTGTGTGCTACCATGCCTAGCTATTTTTTTTCCTTTTGTAGAGATGGGGTCTTGCCATGTTGCTGAGGCTGTTCTTGAACTCCTGTCCTCAAGTGATCCTCATACCTTGGCCTCCCAAAGTGCTGGGATTACAGGGATCTTTCTTGGTTACAAATCTGATTATACTGCCCCAGATTCTGGGTGCTCAGTGATCCCCTGGCATTTGAGCAGTTAGATCCCACATGACCCCAGCCTTATCTGCTGGCAAGCTTCTACTTGACCTTCCAGGCTCAGCCCAAAGAGCACCTCCTCCAGGATGCCTTCCCAGGTTTCCCCAAGCACAATGAGTGCTCCCTTCTCTCACAGTAGCTACTTGGCATGAGATGGAAACCTGGCCACATTTCATCCTCCATCCCCAACCCAGTCCCAGAATGTGCCCACTTTTTTCCATCTGAGGCTCTACCCTGGTACCAACCCAGCTGAAACCACCAGACATCTCCTGGGCCTCCACTCTGGGCTCCTGCCACCTCCACTCCTGCCCTGCTCTCCACAGCAGCCACAGGGCTTCTGAAAATCCTAACTGAGACCATGCCTCTCCCCTGCTCACACACCTGCCATGGTTCCCCATTGCTCTGAAGTCCACACCCTCACTGCAGCCGCTGAGTTCCTTGTAGCTTGGCTCCTACCTGCCGATCTTGCCTTCATCTTCCTCCTCTCTCCCACTCACTCTGTTCCAGCCACAGCAGCCTCCTCACTGTTCCTCAAACACGCCAAGCTCATTCCCACCTCAGGACCTTTGCACATGTGGTTCCCTCTGCTGGGTATGCTGTTCCCCCAGCTGTCAGCAGGCCAGTTCCTCCTCTTCCTTCAAGTCTCAGCTCATGATCACTGCCCTAGAGAGGCCTCTCTGACTTTTACAAGAGGCTTCCCTGCTCCTCTGGTCACTAATACATCCTCATATTCTATTTTCTTCCTAATACAAAACAATTTTCTTCCTTCCCTCCCTCCCTTCCTCTTTCTTCTTTCTTTTCTTCCTTCCTTCTTTCCTTCCTTCTTTTTTTCTCTCTCCCTCCCTCCTACCCTCCCTCTCTCTCTTCTCCCTTTCCCTTTCCCCTTTCCCTTTCCCTTTCCCCTTCCCCACCATCCCCTCCCCTCCCCTCCCCTCTCCTCTCCTCCCCTCTCCTCCCCTCTCCTCTCCTCCCCTCTCCTCTCCTTTTTTTCTCTCTCTCCCTCCATCCTTTCCTTCCTTCCTTCCTCCCTCCCTCTGTCCCTCCCTCCCTCCCTTTCTCTGTTTTTTGTTTTTTTGTTTTGTTTTGTTTTGTTTTTTGAGACAGTCTCGCTTTGTCGCCAGGCTGGAGTGCAGTGCTGCAATTTCGGCTCACTGCAACCTCCAACTCCCTGGTTCAAGCGATTCTCCTGCCTGCCTCAGCCTCCTGAGTAGCTAGGATTACAGGCACTCCCGACATCACCCCTGGCTAATTTTTTGTATTTAGTAGAGACGGGGTTTCACCATGCAGGATGGTCTCTATCCCCAGACCTCATTATCCGCCCACCTCGGCCTCCCAAAGTGCTGGGATTACAGGCATGAGCCACCACACCTGGCCCCCTTTCTCTCTTTCTCGCTTTCTTTCTGAGACAGAGTCTCACTGTCACCCAGACTACAGTACAGTGGTTCAATCATAGCCCACTGTATCCTCGACCTCTTGGGCTCAAGTGATCCCCCCATCTCAGCCTCCAGAGTAGCTGGGACCACACACATGCACCACCCCACTGGTTAATTTAAAAAAAAAAAAATTGTAGAGATGGGTTCTTGCTACATTGCCCAGGCTGGTCTCAAGCTCCTGAGCTCAAGTGATCCTCCTGTCTTGGCCTCCCAAAGTTCTGGGATCACAGGCATCAGCCACTGTATCCAGCACAAAACACTTAAGCTTAATTGATGCCCCATGAAATTCCACAAGGGCTGACCTGGGCTGGCCTTTGTCCTTATTGCATCCCAGCATCCAGCCTAGGGCCTGGCAGACAGTAGCTAGCTTGCTCAGTGTTTGTTGATTGACTAAATGACCACCACCTCTGTTTTCTCCACACCCCCATGGGCAGCTTAGTGCTGACCCTGGATGTCAGTCAGTGTTCACCAAGGAGGCCTGGCTCAGTGGCTCACGCCTGCAATCCCAGCACTTTGGGAGGCCAAGACAGGTGGATCACCTGAGGTCAGGAGTTCGAGACCAGCCCGGCCAACATGGGGAAACCCCATCTCTACTGAAAACACAAAAATTAGCTGTGCGTGGTGACGCATGCCTGTAATCCCAGCTACTTGGGAGGCTGAAGCAGGAGAATCGCTTGAACCCGGTGGGGTGGAGGGTGGAGGTTGCAGTGAGCCAAGATCATGCCACTGCGCTCCAGCCTGGGCGACAGAGTCAGACTCTGTCTCAAAACAAACAAACAAAACAAAACAAAACAAAACTAAAAAAAAAAAGTTCACTGGAGAAAGGAGCACAGGAGCTGCCTTCCACAGAGCTGGCCTACCCTGGGGGCTGTCTCCAGCGAGACCACGAGAGCCGGGAAGTAGAGGCTGTGTGTGGGGGGCGGGGGCGGGAGTGGTGGGACAGAGCTCTTCCAACCTGGCTCAACACCCCACTTCTAGGTCATCTGGCCTCTCTGAATAGTTTCCCCAACTCCAGTGATCAAAGAAAGTGGACAGTAACTCCCCGGAGGCTCTAGAAAGCATAGTCCTTGCTATCATCATCATGATATATATGATATAATAATAATTATATTATTATTTTTTTTCTTTCTTTCTTTTTTTTTTTTTTTTTGGAGATGGAGTTTCACTCTTGTTGCCCAGGCTGGAGTGCAATGGCACAATCTCGGCTCACTGCAACTTCCGCCTCCTGGGTTCAAGTGATTCTCCTGCCTTAGCCTCCCAAGTAGCTGGGATTACAGGCATGCAGCACCATGCCTGGCTAATTTTGTATTTTTAGTAGAGATGGGGGTTTCACCCTGTTGGCCAGGCTGGTCTCGAACTCCTGACCTCAGGTGATCTGCCTGCCTTGGCCTCCCAAAGTGCTGGGATTACAAGCGTAAGCCACCACGTCTGGCCTTTTTTCTTTTTTTTTTTTTTAATTAAAGAGATGGGGGTCTCGCTCTGTCGCCTAGGCTGGAGTGCAGTGGCCATTCACAAGCGTGATCATAGCTCACTGCAGCCTCGAACTCCTGGACTCGATACTCCCACCTTAGCCTTCCGAGTAGCTAGGACCACAGGTGCACGCCACTGTACCCAGCTTGTTATTATTTCAAAAGCTGGCACTTTTTCCTCAGGTCACCTTTTTTTTTTTTTTTTTGAAACAGAGCTTTGCTCTGTCGCCCAGGCTGGAGTGCAGTGGCGCGATCTTGGCTCACTGCAACCTCTGCCTCCCGGATTCAAGTGGTCCTCCTGCCTCAGCCTCCCAAGTAGCTAGGATTGCAGGTGCCCACCACCATCCCCGGGCAATTTTTGTATTTTTAGTAGACACGGGGTTTCGCCATGTCGGCCAAACTGGCCTCAAACTCCTGACCTCAAGTGATCCACCTGCCTCAGCCTCCCAAAGTGCTGGGATTACAGGCGTGAGCCACCTAGCCTGCCCAGTTACCAATTTTTCTATCCAACCCCTGAGCCACCCCCACCCCCAAAGGCGACCCAAGTCTGGGATTCACTCACCCTAGGGTGCAGGGGTCTCCTCGCCGAGCCACTGCAAAGGGGCTGTCCCCTTCAGTCCTGCTGGTGACCACTTGACTGGGAGAGAGGGTGGCTGCTGCTGCCTTTCCTGTCCCTTTGAGATCTGTAATGATCAGACAGGGGGTGCGGGGTGGAGGCGGGGACCCAAAAGAGTAGGGTGCAGACAGCTCCCGGACTACAGTGGTCTTTCTTATTTTTTATTTTTTTGAGACAGAGTCTTGCTCTGTCACCCAGGCTGGAGTGTAGTGATGTGATCTCAGCTCACTGCAACTGCCGCCTCCAGGGTTCAAACAATTCTCCTGCCTCAGCCTCCCAAGCATCTGGGATTACAGGTGCCTGCCACCATGCCCGGCTACTTTTTGTATTTTTAGTAGAGATGGGGTTTTGCTGTGTTGGCCAGGCTGGACTTGAACTCCTGGCCAGAGGTGATTCACCTGCTTCAGCCTATTACGTACAATGGTCTTTACAGCAGATCTGCGCTCTGGCTTGGTGTTGCTGAGCTGGGTCATCTCCTAAGCTTTCAGGAAGCTTAAGAACAGTGGCTTTATCACTCCAATGGGGCCCTGGGCTAGCCCCACCTCTTCCATGTCCCCTCCCTAAGGCCACTCCTCCTTTCACTGGGCTCCAGAAGCTAGACACTGAATGCTTTATCTGTCTTTCCCAATGCTGTTCCTGCTCACCCCCTCACATTGCCCCTAGTTCCTTCGCCATGGGGAGATCTAGGTGGGTGACATTCAGGGAGGTGACATTTTGTCACCCAGGCTGGAGTGCAGTCGCATGAACATGGCTCACTGCAGCCTTGACTTCCCGGGCTCAAGCGATCCTCCCACCTTCGGCCCCCAAGTAGCTTGGACTACAAGTGTGCACCACTACACCTGGCTAATTTTTTTAATTTTTTGTAGAGACAGGGTTTCAGTACGTTGCCCAGGCTGGTCTCGAACTCCTGAGCTTGCCTCGCCCTTCCAAAGTGTTGGGATTACAGTTGTGAACCACCTCGCTTGGCAGAGCAGCTGAACTCTTGCTCCCCAGCTCTGAAGCTGCCCTGGGAGCCTGTAGCTCCCTTGGCGTGCTCCCTCCATCTATTTAGTGCTGTCTGCAGAGGGCTTATAGAAGCACATGGTACCCAAGTCCGATCCTGGAGAAGAGGGCAGAAAAGGACACCCCATGGAGGGCAGGGGCAATGCCAGACCCCAGAACAGGACTGAAGGGGAAACCCCCAGCTGCCCTTTCTCTCACCAGGACCTGGGATCGGGGCAATGGTCACCTTGGATGGCTCAGGGGCCACCTGTTCCAGCCAGGGGGACTTGGTGCTGACCCTAGCCTTGGGAGGGCAGGGCCTTGTCCAAGGTCACTCAGCGGGTTGCTGCGTCGGAGTAAAAATTATCTCCTCCGTGGCTCCAGAAGCTTTGACTTCCCCATCTATAAGCCCCCTCCCCCCAGGGATTTCCTTTGATGAGGTCTTGGGCAGCCTGAGGAGGCTGGGAGCGGGGGCACACGGGGGACAAGAGGAGGTGAGATCTGGGAGCCCCGGAAGAGAGCGAGGCCGGGGCTTCTTGGCTCAGTCCTGTCTGGGTCTCTAGCCAGAGGAGAAACTTGGAGAAAGTAAGGAATCCCCCCAGTTCTGGGGCCCTGGCAACCCACGCTCAGGGTTAAACGGCGGCGGGGGCAGAGGATCCCAAAGCTGACCTCCCCAGCTGGGTCCCGGGATTCGTGGATCTGACCAGAAACCTGCTCTGCCCCAGCCCAGCTGGGTGACCTTGGGCGAGTGGTAACCCTCTCTGGGCCTCAGCCCCTCCTCCTGTCCGGGAGAGGGGAGGGGGGAAGGGAGGGAGCTTAGGGAAAAGAACAGGAACCCGGAGCCCAGCGCACAGTAGGCTGGCAGGTGGGGGGTTCCCTCCTACTGCGCAGCCTGGCCAGCACAGGGAATCCCCGCCACAACGCAAGGAGAAAGGGAGAAACCTGAGGGGACAGAGAGGGAGGAGGGGGCAACGGGAACCAGCGGTGCTTTCCCCCCACCACTGAGGAGGGTGCAGGCGTGGAGGATCCCCATGTCCCCACCTTCACCTCGCGGAGGGAGGGGGATGTCTGCGCTTCCCCAGACCTGGAAGCAGGAACCCCCTCCTCACAGGGCATGGGGGTGGGGTCAGGAGCTGACTCCCGGGATCGGTGTTGGAGGCGGGGGTTGAAGAAGGGATGTCCCCCTCCTCCCGCAGCTCCCCTTTGAATTCCCGGAGTCGGGCAAGCTTTGACCAATCCGCCCACCAAAGAGAAGGGGACCGCCGCCGGGACCGAACGCTCCCCGCCGTGCCCCCCACTGCCACTCACCGGCCGGAGTCGGCCGCCGCAGCCGGAGTCCCTGCGCCCTGCCCGAGCGCGAAGACAAGTGCACGGCCGGGCAAGGGCGTGTGAGCCGGGAGGGTGTGCGCGCGCCGCCGCAGAGCCGACCCCCTCCCCGCCGACCTGGGCCCCGCCCCGCCGCCCGGGGAGGGGGCGCGGACCCCGCAGGCCGAGGGAGGCAGTCCGTCGCGGCCACAGCCGGGGCCCTCCCCCCCGCAAGGCGTCTCCTCTAAAGCAGGGATGGAATCCCCCTCCAGGTCTCTCGCCAAAGCCCACTCTCCCCCCTCCACCCAGGGGCGTGACAGCAAATCTTAGAAGACGGTCAAAGAGATGGGAGGACCCTCTGCCGCCTCTGGCCCAAGGTGCTCATCTTACAGACGGGGAAACTGAGGCCCGGAGAGCGGAAGCCCCTGGCCAGGGCCCAGTGTCCCAGCAGCACGGAACAGGGCTGCTCCCCTCACTCTGGGGGGCCGCTCTCTCAGCTCCGGGAAAGAAGAGAGTCAGGGAGAGAGGAAGGCAGACAATTAAAGCCTCCCCACCACGCCACTGGGGAGGATCGGGGGACCCAGAGGCTTCGGGCAGCTGGCGACGTTGACCGGGCTGGAAGGTCCCAGCTAGGAAGGGGGAGCCTGGGTGGCCAGAACCAAACCACAGAAAACTTCTCTATTTCATTGTTGGGCTGGTGACACCCTCCCCCCAACCTGCGCGATTAGGAACCTCTTGAGCCTGACTGGCCCGGGCTTGGGTGGCAGAGTTGTGAAGGTCACTCTGCCACCTTAGAACAATGTGGCTCGCGGGGTCTGGCTCGGTAGGGGATGGGAGGGAGAAGTCCAGGGGCAAGCCCTTTCCGTGACCTCGGCCCTGCCAAGCCCCTTTCTGAGCCTCAGTTTCCCTTCAGCGAACGGACAAGTGCCCACCTCCGGGGTCCCTCCAGCTCTCCGAGTCCGTAGGGCCGCCGGATATGTCTTGCTGTTCTCCTTCAGCTGCCCCCTCCAACAGAAAGCGTGGCTCCAGCTCAGACCACCGTGTTCCTCCTCGAAGTCCCCTGCTCCGCCCCGTCTCTGAACCCCCACCCACCTTCAGCCTTGGTGGGGACCTTCAGCCACCTTCAGGCAGGGGACAGGGAGGGGGGTTCCTCTTGGAAGCAGGGAGGCTTCTACAAACCTCCATTCTGGTTTTTGTTTTTTGTTTTTTTTCCTCTCTTTTCTTCCATTCATTCTAAAAATAGCCCTCCCCCCTCCCCAGCCCCCCGGCGGGGAGCCTCTCTGGAAAGGTAACGAGCTTCCCGGGCGGGGTCTGGAGGCCGGGATTCCGTGGCGCGGGCGGGGCTCGGGGACGCCGATACTGAGAGGAGGGGAAACTGGGAGCGCACCCCCCACCCCCATTGTGTGTGAGATGCGCTCAGAGGGAGCCGCCGGTGTGACCGTGACCGTGTGGAGGGAAAAAGAACAAAGGGGAGGAGGCCTTCGGGTCTGCACTGTGGAGGCAGAGAGCCGGTGGGTTCGCAGGAGCCGAGGACAAGGGGTGCCACCCAACACCCTCCCCGGGGGGGACTTCCCGCCCCTGTTGGGGAAGGCTGCGACCCATGCTTTAGTCAGACACAGTGAAGGAGAGTCAGGCTGCAGAAGTGACAAGGACACCCATGATCAGGGGATTCCCCCACGCCCCGTGGACCCCACAATCGCCCAGTGGAGCCCGAAAATCCTCCCCACTCCCGCGGCTCCTCCTGTCCCCGCCACAGTCCTTCTCCCTGACGCAGCCACAGACTTCAGTCCTCACCCGTGTGACAGGTCACGTCCCTGTCCCGCATGACCGCCCTCCCCCCACCTCCCTTCTCTTCTTGAACCAAGAGGAGCACCCTGACTCCTCACAGGCCGACGCGGTCTGCCCCCCACAACGCCCACCCTTTGTTCCAATCCCTCCGCGGTCTCCCTGGACCGCCCACCACATTCTGGACACGCCCAGCTTCTCCCCCTAACCGGTTCAGCCTCAGAGCCTTTGCATCTGCGGTTTCTTGGGCCGGGATCGCCCTTCCCTGGCTCTCCTCACCCCCTGTTCCCACAGGGCTCTTCAGGGCTCCATCCAAGGTCGCCTCTTCCCTAGAGTCGCCCCTTCTCTGGGCACGTCGCCCTGGTTTACTGTTCTCACTGCCCTCAAGCCCTGGTGTGAACTTGCTTGCTCTTTCATCTTCTCCTCTCTCCGCCCCTGGGAATGAGGGGCCAGGTGCAACTTGGTCCTAGCTGATGGGAGGAGAGGGCCGCTCCCGACCCAGCACCACCCCAGGAGCTACCTAGCTCCAAATAAAGGGACAGCACCACCCTTTGCCCAGCTAGCCGCCCTAGAAATGCCTCCAAGACACGGCACAGCAGATCCACAGCCGTCTTCTGCAGGGGGGTCACCTAGGCCAGCGAAACTAAAAACACAGGAGCCGACGTGTCCCCAACCCGGGACCGCTTAGCCCGTTTCCGGAATAATATGCCCCTGGGGAAAATGATCCGCAGGGACCGAGCTCCTGGCCGGTTGAGCAGAAGCCAGGCCGGAGGCGCAAATGTTCCACCGTTCCGATGGCGAATAAGTAAAAGAAGCGAACGTGGCAAGTTGGGGAAGTGTTGGGGGAGACGCTGGGGGCAGCCCAGGGCCAGGGACCCCTGGGGGGCTGACCTTTCCCCCCTTTGATTGTGTTTTGATAACAAAACAAAGTGTTTTGTTATCTTACACTTTTTGAAACCAAAGGGAAGGATAAAAGGGAAATTGCTTTGTTGGAGGGGACAAAGGCCCAGAGAGGGTATATGTCCCCATGGGATGAGGACGCAGTTGTCCGTGTCGAGAAATGCAACACTCCCTCACCTGCACTTGCCTCCCTAAAATCACCCTCAAATGTTTTTTTTCATGAGCACCTACTACGTGCCTGTGTGCTTTTGTGCCCAGAGAGTGAGGGAGGCTGCCCGAAAGCAGAGCCCTGGAGGTTCCTGGAGAAGGAGAAGGTGCGGGTGTCTGGGACCCGCGGGGCGATGTGGCCTTGGCAGGGCCAGGCCCATAGCGGAGGGTTTGGAGGTCGTGGGGGGTGAGGAGCGCTGAGAAAATCCCCGAGGGTGCGTGCTGCACCTTTGCGCTTTCCCCTGCCTAGCCCGGACTCGACTTCAGGCTGTTGTTCAAGGCCAGGAGGACGGCAGATGGCTGGGGGAGGGGATGACGGGGCCCGGGGGTACACCCCACATGCCGGGCTGTGGGGCGCTAGGCAGGCGGGAGACAAAGGCGTCTTCCGCGAGGGTCCGCACAGCTTTCGAAAAGGATAGGGACAGATGGTGTGTAAATTGGGGGGTGGGGGGGAACGACAATAGCCCAGATTAGGGCTGCGGGATAAAGTAGAGGACACGGAATGGGACATACTTATAATAAAAAATTGCTCGTTTATCTGAAAGTCAAGTTTAAGTGGGCGCCCTGTTTTTTTATTTTTTTTTTCTAAATCTGGAAACCTTAAGCTCGGACTCGAAGATCCTGACTTTCTGGCACAGCAACCCCCACCCTCGCAGACCAATCTGCTGGGCGGGAGACTGCAGGTGCCTAAGGTGTCCCCCAGCTCCCCCTCCCATCGCCCCCACTGGCCCAGTGTACCCCTCTCCTTGTCCATATCCCTTCTCTACTCCCTAAGCTCCCCCTCCCATCCCCCTCCGCCTTTGTCGTCCCCCTCCCTCTACGCTCTCCCCCGTCACCCCCTCCCTGGCGCGCATCCCCAGGCTCGCCTCTCCCTGCACCCCTCCCTACAGTCCCTACCCATTGCGTTTTCCCCCACCGCCCCCTCCTCGGCACCCACCCCTCCTCCCCTTCTTTCCTCCCGCGCCGTCTCTTCCCCCACGGTCTCTTCCTCCCCAGCACCCGCTCCCCCGCGCCCATCCTCTACTCCCCCGCCGTCCCCCCGGTGCTCGAGGGGGAACCCCGGCTGCAGGCGCGGAGCCCCGCGCAGGCGCAGAGCCACCCGGCTTCCCCGAGGCCGCCGCCGCCCGCGCACTGCGGCCCGCGCGCCCGGTTGCTAAGGCAACGGCGGGGGCCGGAGTGGGAACCTCGGGAAGACCCCGCTCTCGCTCCCTCCCCCGCCACCTCCTCGGCAAACCCCACTCCGGTTTGAACCGGTTTCCCCGCCCCGCCCCCATGCGCACTGCGGCGGGTGAGGATTCCCCGGCCCTCAGGGTGGGTGGGTTGGGGGCGGGGGGCGGGGGGTGTCGGGTGGGGCCGACGCATGCGCGCTGGGCGCGGCATCCCCTCTTCTGCTGGCGCGCGACGGGAAAGCCCCGGCGCAAATGGCGAGCACCCCCGCGCAGGCGCAGTGAGCGACCGGCGGCCCCGCGGCCCCGCCCGGTCGTCCTGGCAACGCACGCGGGGCCGGCTGGGCGCGCACGGAACTCCCCTCTCACGCCCCCTCCCGCTCTCTGCGGCGGAGCTGGGGATTCCCTGCTGCCAGTGCGCACGCGCGAGCCTGGGATTCCGCGGGGGCGGGGGTGGGGGCGGGGCCGGGGCCGGGGCCGGGGCTAGGAGCCGAAGGGAGTAAGGGCCTTTCTGTAACAGGGAACAAACGTCATCACCTTGTCTTTGTGCCCGAGGGCTGACGACCACCCTCTCAGCTCCTGTCCTGAGTTTCATCCTCACTCTTGTCCACCAGTTGTCCCTCTGCAGGCGCCCGGAAGAGCCTGCCACGCGCCGCTCTGATCGGCTCTCTGCCCTGCTCATAACCCCACCGGGGCTCCCCATCGTCCTGGGGTGAAGCCCCACTCCTTTGCCTGGCGTCCGAGGCCCTGTGTGCCCAGTCGTGTCTGGCTGGCCCTCCCGTCGGCTTCTTCCCTCGGATCGATTACCATTGGTCCCCGACCTTCTCTCATCCCCAGCCAGAAAGACCCTAATATGGTCATGTGGGCCAAGCCCTTCCCCACGTACCCTTCCCAGGTACCATCTCCTTGATTCTCCAGATAGCCTGGGGTTGGGCGCGGTTTTTAGTCCTATTTTACCGGAGAAACTGAGGCTTAGATCATTCAGAACCTTGTCTAAGGTCTCAGAAGAGTCAGAGGTGGGATTCAAACCCAGGCCTCCATTTGTGGGGAGCTATATGGGCTATTCCATTCATTTCCTGGCTGACATCTTCAGCCCCAATTCTGGGCCCCAAAACTACCCCTGCTGCCTTCCTGGCGGCTCTGGGTGCTTCCCGGCTATGTGACACAGGCAGGTGACTTAGTTTTCTTTCTCTTTTCCTTTTTTTTTTTTTTTTTTTGAGACAGAGTTTTGCTCTCCTTGCCCAGGCTGGAGTGCGATGGTGTGGCCTCGGCTCACTCTGCCTCCCGGGTTCAAGCGACTCTCCTGCCTCAGCCTCCAGAGTAGCTGGGATCACAGACGCCCGCCACCACGCCCGGCTTTTTTTTTTAGATGGAATCTCTCTCTGTCGCCCAGGCTGGAGTACAGTGGCATGAACTCGGCTCACTGCAACCTCCGCCTCCCGGGTTCAAGCGATTCTCCTGCCTCAGGCTCCCGAGTAGCTGGGATTACAGGCATGCACCACCACGCCTGGCTAATTTTGTATTTTTAGTAGAGACGGGGTTTCTCCATGTTGGTCAGGCCGGTCTCGAACTCCCGACCTCAGGTGATCCACCCACCTGGGCCTCCCAAAGTGTTGGGATTACAGGCGTGAGCCACTGTGCCCAGCCTTAGTTTTCTTATATACAAAGACGATCAATATCTCATAGGGGCTGTCCCCAGGGCTCAGTGAGGGGCTGCTGCCACCTGTTTGGCCAAGGCCTGGCACCCAGTGGTGCCACTGCCTGTCTCCTCCCACGTGGGGGACTCTGCTCGTTGGTGCCCCCTGCAGGATGCAGGGGGCCTTACCTTCCTCTCCTTTCCCTAACCCTCACCAAAGGTCTCTCCCAGATATCCCACGTTTCCTACAGTCATTGTCTCAGGGTTGGTTCTTGGGGGACCTCCAAACTAAGCTAGTGTCCAACATATGTTGGTTAGTTTTTATGTTAACTTCAGCTGTACCCAGTTTATTTTTTAGAGACGGGGTCTCGCTCCGTCGCCCAGGCTGCAGTGCAGTGGCACAGTTATGGCTCACTGCAACCTCCTCACTGCAACCTCTAACTCAACCTCAAGGGATTCTCCCACCTCGGCCTCCAAAGAAGGTGGGACCACAGGCACATGCCATCACGCCCTAATTTTAAACTTTTTCTGTAGAGACAAAGTCTTGCTTTCTTGCCCAGGCTGGTCTCAAACTGCTGAATTCAAAAGATCCTTCCACTGTGGCCTCCCAAAGTCCTGCGATTATAGATAGGTGTGAGCCACCGTGCCTCACCTGTACCTAGTTATTCCTGGCACCTTTTACCCTCCGTTGAACAGGAAGCAGTGTGACTTCCAGACCTTTGCACATGTGATTTCTTCGACTTTTCTGTCCCTTGTCTGTGTGGAGAGCTCCTATGCATCCTGAAAGTCCCGTCCTCCATGATACATTCTATCTCCCACCTCTGGGCAGAGCCTAGCCCCTTCCAGCCTGCCCAGCCCTCCAGCCCTGACTACACAGAGCTGAGGACCTCTGTGGGGACCTGCATGCACTAAGCCTTGTGATCTGGGAGGACAGTGATTTTTTTTTTTTTTTTTTTGAGATGGAGTCTCGCTCTGTTGCCCAGGCTGGAGTTCAGTGGCTCACTGCAACCTCCAACTCCCAGGTTCAAGCGATTCTCCTGCCTCAACCTCCCGAGTAGCTGGGACTACAGGCACTTGCCGCCATGCCCGTCTAACTTTTTGTATTTTTAGTGGAGATAGGGTTTCACCATGTTTCCCAGGCTAGTGTCGAACTCCTGAGCTCAGGTGACCCACCCGCCTTGGCCTCCCAAAGTGCTGGGATTACAGGCCTGAGCCACCGCACCCAGCAGGACGGTGTTCTTGGTGGAGGGATCAAGCCTTCTGTGTTGGAGGGTCTCAGAAGCCAAGAGTAAGGAGGCTGGAAGTACTGAGCTGAGAGGGTAATGGGGAGTCAGGGGACAGCCCTATGGGCATAGGAAGTGGGTGTCACCTGGGCAAGAGCCACAGCAGTGGCCTGGTAAGTCCTTCAACCCTACCCTCTACCCTTGTGCCTCAGTTCCCCCCACTGTTATGGATGACCTTGGACAGCAGGGCTGTCCAAGGCCAGGCACACAGTGGGGACTTGATGGCCATTTCTTGCACCAGGGGCTGCTCCAACCTCTACCCGAGCCCACTGGGTAAGTGCTGCAGATGATCTGACCACTGCAACTTTTTTTGTTGTTGTTGCCAGTCTTGCTCTGTTGCCCAGGTTGGAGTGCAGTGCTGTGATCTTGACTCTCTGCAGCCTCTGCCTCCTGGGTTCAAGCGGTTCTAGTGCTTCAGCCTCCCCAGTAGCTGGGATTATAAGCATGCGTCACCACACCCAGCTAATTTTTGTATTTTTAGTAGAGACGGGGTTTCACCATGTTGGCCAGGCTTGTCTCGAACTCCTGACCTTAGGTGATCCGCCCACCTTGGCCTCCCAAAGTGCTGGGATTACAGGAATGAGCCACCGCACCCGGCCCTGACCACTGCAGCTTCTGGGGGCACCTCCATCCCCTGCCGCCCTCATGAGTCCAAGCAATTTGCTCAGCCCACAAAGCCTCACAGGCCCATCTCCCAGCTGCCCTTCCTCTATTCTTCCGGGCTGGCTAAGTTCTAGGAAGCCAGAACTAGGTTCAAATCCCACTCCACCCTTCCCAGATGTGCAGTCTCTGACGGGACGCTTGCTCACACCCACTCCGATCCACCTGCTCACTGCAGCCTCCAGGCCTTTCCCAGCCCAGTGCCTTCCTCCTCCCTCTGCAATGAGATCTGACTCATCCCCCACTAAGGAAGAAATCCTCCACTGGGAAGCCTGCCCAGGATTCAGCACAGAAGGATTTGGCCCAGATGCCTCCCCTGTAGGAATAACAGCAGAGCAGCCAGCATTTCCTGACCCCAAACACAACATGGTACCCCCAATCAAGTCCTAGGGCCCACCCTGAACTGGAATCTCAGAAGGCAGACAGGCTCCAGCTCTTCTCTGGCTCTGCCTCTGAAGTATGGCCAGCGCCTCCACCTCCACCTCTCTAAGCGTGTGCAGGAGACAGTGGAGCAGGTGCCTCACTGGACAAGTGGCACAGCCAAGGAGGGGTGCTGGCAGGAGCCGATGAAGCACAGCTGGCAGCAGGAAGGAGCGCGCTGTTGGGGGCTCTTGTCTTTTCTAGCTATGATCCCAGTGCGGTTCACAGCAGGTCCCCAAAGCTGTTCCTTCTCCCCATTCTTCGCCCGCCTCTCCCCACCCACTCACTTAGGCTTCAAGTGCCTCACCGCAGCCTTGCCGCCACCTTTATTGGGCACTCAGCCCTGAGGCTCTACACACACGCGCCGGGGGATGGGAGGGGATGGGGTGTCACTCGGGGCAGGGACCCTCTGGCGGGAGGACGGGTGGCTGGTGATAAGAGCATGGCCCCGGGGCCCGGCGCCTTGGCCCCCGGAACGCTCTGTGACCCTCGCAGCTGACCTGGCCTAAGGGCGTGCAGAGTCGTGACCTGGACCACCCGTGGGTGAACTGGCTCCCCAAGTTCTGGGCTCACTTGGGGGCATTGAAGGGCACGGCCCGCTGGTTCATGGGGTTGTCAGGAGAGCGGAGCCACTCCTTCTTGAGCAGCTGTTTCAGCTGCGACAGCCGCATGTTGGGGTTCTCTTGTTTGAGCCGCGGCAGCTGGGCTTCCTCAAAGGCTGTGAAGGCTGCCCGCATGCGTCTTTCTGGGTGCCGGTCGGCCGCCTCCTCCGCCACGCTGGGGGTGGACATGAGCGTCAGGGGGCCTTGGGCGCAGCCTTGCCCCGAAAAGCCCGGCCCCGCCCCCAGGTAGCCCCGCCCCCGATGACCAGCTCCACCCCTGGGAAAGCCCCAGGCCCCGCCCCGTTACCTGAGCACTGCAATGGCGTCCTCGATGGTGCGCGCCTCCACGCTGCCCTCCTCCAGCACGCGGCGGTTCACGTTCTCCTCCAGCGGCACCTCCAGATGGCTCTTGGCTTTCTCGGCTGGGCGGGTGGGTGGGTGACAGAGACAGAGAGAGATAAGCAAAGATGCACAGTTCCAAGGAGATGAGATAGAGACTGGCAAGAGAAGCTAGGGGCGGGAGGAAGGCGGGAGAGATGAGGGGGGATGGAATCGCGACTTCAGCTGATAAGCCCTCTTGGGACAGGTCCCACCCTCCCGGCGCCCAGTTCTCTGCCTTACTTTCCGGCAGCCCTGCAAACAAGAGGACCCCGCGGGGCACAAGCCCTGAGGTTGTCTGCTCACGGCCAGGCCTACCAGGAGGCGGCCTACCCACCCACCCTGCACCACGTGGAGCCCCGGCAGCTTCTCTGGGGGCCAGGAGGGGGCTAATGGACTCAAGGTCCACTGCCTCTGCAGTGGGCAAAAGTGCAGCTCCAGAGCGGGATGCCGCCCGACCTGTGTCCGGGGCCTCCCTGAGCTGATGGTCTCGGCGCAGCGTGTCCTCGATCTGGGCCCGGGTGACCTTGCTGGACGTGGCCACCCGCGGCGCCTTGCCGCCCTTGAGCTTGGAGTCCTCCTCCTCCAGTAGGCGCTGCGTCTCCTTCTTACGTTCCAGCTGGTCGAGGCGCCGCTTCTCCTTCTCCTCCTGCGGGGGCGGCGTGCATGGTCAGGCAGAAGACCCCACACCCCCGCGCCACCCACTAGCCTGGGGTTCGAGTTTTCATCTCAGCCAACGAGGATTTAGGCTCTGTGCTGGGTGCAGGGGACATACCAGGAACAAGATAGGTCCCGGTGCTGCCCTGGGCGGGGGATGTGAGGCCAACAGGGGAACCTTGGACAGGGCGGGTGGGTGGCTCTTGAAGAAGTGACGCTCCTAGGTGCGAAGAGCGCCGGCCAAGGGGGAGAGCTGGGGAACAGGAGCGTCCTTAGCAGCAGGGCTACCAGTGCAAAGGCGCCGAGGCAGGAGCCATTTGTTGTAACAGGAACAGCTTGGAGGCTGGAGTGGGAGTGAAGCGGGAGGGGGAAGAGGCCGGGAGGGAGACGGCTGGGCCATGCGGAGCCTCTGGGGGCCAGGGAGGGGTTCATGTTGGATTCTAAGAGCCGTGGGAGGCCTGGACCCGTTTCAGGCTAGGGCAGGGGCTCTGCCCTTATGAGTCGGGCAGCACTGTCCACGTTTCCCTGCCGTGGGTCACTGAGGCTGAAACTGATTCCACATCGGCCGCCCAGGGAAGCCCTGATGCTGGCTGGATGAGGGACATCTGGGCTACGGGACTTGCCCTTGCCCTGGCCTGCACGGACCCCAGGGGGCCGAGCAAGCCCACGGTTTATATGCAGTGCTGCTGGAAGCTCAGGGCAGTACTCTGCCCACTGCCTGGCACTCCTGCAGGGCCCTGGTCTCGGACACCCCTGCCTGCCCCCTCACTGCCTGAGACTCCACCATCTGACTCTCACACCTTCAGCCTTCCCAGGGACGATCCCCACACCTGCAGTGTCCCCCTGGGACACTACCACTGCATCTCCAGATAGATTTGACAGAAGGGAATGTCGCAGAATAGGGGTGGACGCACCTAAGGACACTGCCAGGGCCTGACCCCCACCCCCACCAGCACAGCAGGAAAGTGGAGGGGGCGGTTAAAGTCAAGGCTGTTGGAGTGCACAAACTGGGCTCCCATTGCTGTGCTGAGGAGCCTTAGTTTCCCCCTCGGTCAGAGGCAACGTCCCGAGGCTCCCCGACCGATGCGTGTCACACACACATTCTGCCTCAGACAGGGTCCTTTTTTTTTTTTTTTCTGAGACAGTCTCTCTCAGTCGCCCAGGCTGGAGTGCAGTGGTGCGATCTCGGCTCACTGCAACCTCTGCCTCCCGAGTTCAAGCAATTCTCATGCCTCAGCCTCCCAAATAGCTGGGACTGCAGGTGCCCACCACCACGCCTGGCTAATCTTTTGTAATTTTAGTAGAGACGGGGTTTCACCATGTTGCCCAGGCTGGTCTCGAACTCCTGACCTCAAGTGATCTGCCTGCCTTGGCCTCCCAAAGTGCTGGGATTACAGGTGTGAGCCACTGTGCCTGGCCAATGCATGATGTTTGAAGTGAGGAGAGGTATCACTGGTGGGGGACTGACCAGGAGGGGTATGAGGGAAACTCACGGGGGCTGAGAATATTCTAGAGAGCAGGGGTTGACAAACTATAGCCAACTAGCCAACTGCCTTCTTTGGTAAAGGTTTTTTGTGTTTTTTTCGTTCGTTTGTTTTTTCGAGACGGAACCTTGCTCTGTCGCCCAGGATGGAGTGCAGTGGCGCCATCTCGGCTCACTGCAAGCTCCTCCTCCCGGGTTCATGCCATTCTCCTGCCTCAGCCTCCTGAGTAGCTGGGACTACAGGTGCCTGCCACCATGCCCGGCTGATTTTTTGTATTTTTAGTAGAGATGGGGTTTCACCGTGTTAGCCAGGATGGTCTCGATCTCCTGACCTTGTGATCTGCCCACCTCGGCCTCCCAAAGTGCTGGGATTACAGGAATGAGTTACCGCGCCCGGCCCTTTTTTTTTTTTTTTTAGGTGGAATCTTGCACTGTCGCCCAGGCTGGAGTACAATGGTGCAACCTCTGCCTCCCAGGTTCAACCGATTCTCCTGCCTCAGCCTCCGGAATAGCTGGGATTACGCACACCCGCCACCACGCCCGGCTAATATTTTGTATTTTTAGTAGAAATGGGGTTTCACTATGTTGGCCAGGCTGGTCTCGAACGCCTGACCTTGTAATCCACCTGCCTTGACCTCCCAAAGTGTTGGGATTACAGGTGTGAGCCACCATGCCCGGCCCCTTTGGTAAAGTTTTATGGGCATGCAGCCACACCTATTTGCTAACCTACTGTCAGTGGTGGCCTTCATGCTCAATGATAGGGTCTAGTGGCTTCCTGTCTGGCCCTAAGTGAAGTCTAAGCTATTCACCACCTGGCCCCAATTGCCTGTCCAACCCCCTCCATACCTTGTCCCGGATGCATGCAATACAGGTGTGCTCAGAGGTACATGCTTTCTGACCCACACTCCTAGGACAGGCATGCTTTGCTGTCCCTTAATCAAATCTCTTAACAGGCCAGAGGCGGTGGCTCACGCATGTAATTCCAGCACTTTGGGAGGCCGAGGTGGGCGGATCACTTGAGGTAAGGAGTTGGAGACCAGCCTGGCCAACATGGTGAAACCCCATCTCTACTAAAAATACAAAAATTATCCAGGCATGGTGCCATGCCTGTAATCCCAGCTACTTGGGAGGCTGAAGCAAAAGAATCGCTTGGACCTAGGAGGCGGAGGTTGCAGTGAACTGAGATCACGCCACTGTACTCCAGCCTGGGCAACAGAGACTGTCTAAAAAAAAAAAAAAAAAGGCCAGGTGCGGTGGCTCACACCTGTAATCCCAGCACTTTGGGAGGCCGAGGTGGAAGGATCACTTGGGGCCAGGAGTTTTAGACCAGCCTGACCAACATGGTGAAACCCCATCTCTACTAAAAATGCAAAAATTAGCCTGGCATGGTGGCGCACACCTGTAATCCCAGCTACTCGGGAGGCTGAGGCAGGAGAGTTGTTTGAACTTGGGAGGCAGAGGTTGCAGTGAGCCGAGGTCGCGCCACTGCACTCCAGCCTGTGCGACAGAGTGAAACTCTGCCTCAAAAAAAAAAAGCCTCTTAACAAAGGAGAAGGTGCCAGTCTGGCTCCAGCTCTTCCTCATAGCCACGTGATCTGGGCTTTCTGCCTTCTCTGCCTCAATTTCCTCATCCAGAGGATGGGGCCAACCCCAGTGGCCAAGACGCAGGCCACAGGGAGGATTAAGCCAATGATCTTGACACTATGGGCGGAAAGGTCTCTGGATTCTGTCTGGATACTGGATCTTTTTGTTTTATTTTATTATTTTTTTGAGATGGACTCTTGCTTTGTCACCCAGACTGGAGTGCAGTGGCGCGATCCCGGCTCACTGCAACCTCCACCTCCCAGGTACAAGTGATTCTTGTGCCTCAGCCTCCTGAGTTGCTGGGACTACAGGTGCGCGCCACCACGCCCAGCTAATTTTTTTATTTTTAGCAGAGATGGGGTTTCACCATGTTGGCCAGGATGGTCTCGAACTCCTGACCTCAGGTGATCCGCCTGCCTCGGCCTCCCAAAGTCCTGGGATGACAGGCGTGAGCCACCGCACCCGGATGGATACTGCATCTTTGACAGACATTGTTTTTCCTTTTGAGTTTTCAACTTTCCTATAGTGTCAAAATTTTGATGATCCCCCAACCCCCAAACTATAAATATCTCCATGGACCCAGTGCAGCAGGGTGGGTAGGGGTGGGGCTGGAAGAAAGCCAGGGACATTGAATGTGTGCTAAAAACAAGGCAGGATCTACCCCTTCACAGAAAGACAATGGGAGGCCAGGTGCAGTGGCTCATGCCTGTAATCCCAGCACTTTGGGAGGCTGAGGTGGGAGGACTGTTTGAGCCCAGGAGTTTGAGACCAACTTGGGCAACACAGTGAGATGACCCCCACCCCCTACACAAAATACAAACAATAGCTGGGCGTGGTGGTGCACGCCTATAGTCCCAGCTACTTGGGAGGCTGAGGCAGGAGGCTTGCTTGAGTTCGGGAAGTCAAGACTGCATTGAGCTGTGATCCTGCCACTGTACTCCAGTCTGGGTGACAGAGCAAGACCGTCTTTAAAAAAACAAAAAAAAGATGACGGGTAAAACAGGTGGGAATGTCCAGATTCCCCCCAAGAACTGGGCATGTTGTCAGGATAGCAGCCCCTAAGCTGGGGGGTTGCCTAGAGGGCCAGTGTCTCAGCTACCCAGGGTGTGGAAACCAGGAGCTGTGGCTAGCATGGGTCACTGGCGCCACCTACTGGGCCAAGCAGGTCAGCATCAGCCCTAAACCACAACCCAGACACCAATGAAGCATGGTGCTTGGCCCTGGGCTTTTTGATTCATCTTGAGTCACAGTCTCATTCTGTTGCCCAGGCTGGAGTACAGTAGCACGATTATAGCTTACTGCAGCCCTGAACTCCCAGGCTCAAGTGATCCTCTCACCTCAGCCTCCCAAGTAGCTGGGACCACAGGCACACACTACCATGCATGGCTAATTTGTACATGTTTTGTGGAGATGGGGTCTTGCTATGTTGCCCAGGCTGGCCTGGAGCTCCTGGCCTCAAGCAATCCTCTCACCTCAGCCTCCCAAAGTACTGAGATTACAGGCATGAGCTACCACGCCAAACGACGGCTTTTAAAAAATAAACACCTGGGCCGGGCACATTGGCTCAGGACTGTGATCTCAGCATTTTGGGAGGCCAAGGCAGGCGGATCACCTGAGGTTGGGAGTTCGAGACCAGCCTGACCAACCTGGAGAAACCCCATCTCTACTAAAAATGCAAAATTAGCTGGGCATGGTGGCACATGCCCGTAATTCCAGCTACTCAGGAGGCTGAGGCAGGAGAATCACTTGAACCCAGGAGGCAAAGGTTGCGGTGAACTGAGATCGCGCCATTGCACTCCAGCCTGGGCAACAGAGGGAGACTCTGTCTCAACAACAACAACAAAAATAAAATAAACACCTAGAAGAACCTGTGGACCTGGGTCAACAGGTTGGAAATGGGGGCCTGATCACAGCGTTTCTCAGCCTCAGCACTGCTGACATCTGGGGCTGGCTCATTCTTTGCTGTGGGGGCGTCCTGTGCATTCTAGAGTGTCAGCATCTCTGGTCTCCACCTTCTATATGCCAGCAACACCCCCTCTCCCCGAGTTATGACAACCAAACACATCTCCAGGTGTTGCCAAGCGTCCTCAGGGGCAGAGTAGCTCCACGGTGAGAATGACCATCTAGCCCAACCCTGACATTACTCAAAGGAGAGAAACATCCACAGAGAGCAATGACAGCCTCACTGTCCACAGACAAGCAAGACTGTGCCACCCCAGGGCCTTTCCACACACCATTTCCTCTGCCTCCCTCCCCTCTGCCATCTCCAGTGCCTCCTGGCATTTTGCTTTTTGTTTTCCGAGACAGTGTCTCACTCTGTTGCCCAGGTTGGAGTGCAACGGCACAATCTCAGCTCATTGCAACCTCCGCCTCCTGGGTTCAAGCAATTCTCCTGCCTCAGCCTCCCGAGTAGCTGGGATTACAGGAGCCTGCCACCATGCCTGGCTAATTTTTGTATTTTGAGTAGAGTCAGGGTTTCACCATTTTGGCCAGGCTGGTCTTGAGCTCCTGACCTCAGGTGATATGCCTACCTCGGCCTCCCAAAGTGCTGGGATTACAGGTATGAGGCACTCTGCCCAGCCTCTTTTTTTTTTTTTTTTTTTTTTGAGATGGAATCTCGCTCTGTTGCCCATGCTGGAGTGCAGCGGGGAGACCTCGGCTCACTGCAACCTGCGCCTCCCAGTTGAAGCAATTCTGCTTCAGCCTCCAGAGTAGCTGGGACTGTAAGTGTGCGCCACCACGCAGTTAATTTTTGTATTTTTAGTAGAGACAGGGTTTCATCATGTTGGCCAGGCTGATCTTGAACTCCTGACCCCAGGTGATCTGCCTGCCTCGGCCTCCCAAAGTACTGGGATGACAGGCGTGAGCGACAGCGCCTGGTCCCTCCTGGCCTTTCAGACCAAAGCTCAGAGGGCCCTCTCGCTATTCACCCACATTGACATAATGACCACTGGCCTTGGCCACAAGGCATGCGGGCCGCGGGGACTCGGAGTGCACGCACCTTGCGCTGCTCCTTCCTCATGACGTGTTTGTCGTCGTCCTTCCAGTAGGCATCCTCCAGCTCCTTCTGCTTCTTGGCATCAGCGGCCGCCTTGGCCTCTGCCCTACGTGCCCGGGCCGCTGCCGACTTGGTGTTCTCACCCTGGAACTTCTTGGGCATCCCTCAGCAGGCTGCGGGAAGAGGATGGGGATGGGGGAGCAGGGGCCGGAGGGGACATCGGCACTCAGCACCCCCAGAATCACACTTGGGCAGCCATGACCCTCTTGGGGCCTCTGTGGCCTTCTCTGTATAAAACAAGGGCTTTGGACTTAGCGCTCTCCTTGTAAAAGTTTATTAAGGCAAAATTCACATCATGACACCAAATGAGCTCATTTAGGCCAGGTCTGGTGGCTCACACCCGTAATCCCAGCACTTTGGGAGGCCGAGGCGGGCGGATCACTTGCGGTCAGAAGTTCGAGACTAGCCTGGCCAACACGGCAAAACCCCATCTCCACTAAAAATACAAAAATTAGCTGGGCATGGTGGTGTGCACCCGTATTCCCAGCCAGTCAGGAGGCTGAGGCAGGAGAATCGCTCGAACCCGGGAGGTGGAGGTTGAAGTGAGCCAAGATCGTGCCACTGCACTCCAGCCTGGGCGACAGAGTGAGACTCCGTCTCAATGAAAGGAAAAAGAATCAATTTAAAGGTGGACAATTCCGGCCAGGCACAGTGGCTCACGCCTGTAATCCTAGCACTTTGGGAGGCCAAGGTGGGCGGATCACCTGAGGTCAGGAGTTCAAAACCAGTCTAGTCAACATGGTGAAACCCCGTGTCAACTAAAAATAAATAAAAATTGCTGGGTGTGGTGGCGGACACCTTTAATCCCAGCTACTCAGGAGGCTGAGGCAGGAAAGCCGCTTGAACCTGGGAGGCAGAGGTTGCAGTGAGCCGAGATCGTGCAACTGCACTCCAGCCTAGGCGGCAGAGTGAGACTCACTCTCAAAAAAAACCAAAAAGCTGGGTGTGGTGGCACATGCCTATAATCCCAGCTACTCGGGAGGCTGAGGCAGGAGAATCACTTGAACCCGGGAGGCGGAGGTTGCAATGAGCTGAGATCACACCACTGCACTCCAGCCTAGGCGACAGAGCGAGACTCCATCTCAAAAAAAAAAAAAGGTGTACAATTCAGTGTTTAAGTATATTCACAGCGTTGTGCAAATACCACCTCTGTCTAGTTCCAGAACACTTGCACCCCCCAAAAGAGGCCACATCACCATCAGCAGTCACTCCCTATTCCTCTTCCCCTAGCCCCTGGTAACCATCAATCTGCTTTCTGTCTCTGTGGCTTTCCCTGTTCTGGACATTTCAGTCCATATCAATGGAATCACAGGCCGGGTGCGATCACTCACGTTTGTAATCCCCGTGCTTTGGGAGGCTGAGGCAGGAGGATTGCTTGAGGCCAGGAGTTCAAGACCAGCCTGGGCAACATAGCAAGAGTCCGTCTCTACAAAATAAAAAATAATTAGGCACAGTGGCTTGTGCCTGTAGTTCCAGCTACTTAGGAGGCTGAGGTGGAAGGATCGCCTGAGCGTAGGAGGCTGAGGCCACAGTGAGCTATGATTGTGCCACTGCACTCCAGCCTGGGCAACAGAACAAGACCCTGTCTCTTAAAAGAAAAAAAAAAAAAGGAAACAAGGAAACAAGGCACCAATACATACATGATACAATGTGGTTGAACCTCAACAACACAATACTAAGTGAAAGAAGCCAGACACAAAAGGCCACACAGTGTGAGAGTACATTTATTTATTTATTTTGGAGACAGGGTCTCACTCTGTCGCCCAGGCTGGAGTGCAGTGGCGAAATCTCGGCTTACTGCAGCCTTGACCTCCTGGGCTCAAGTGATCCTCCCACCTGAGCCTCCTAAGTAGCTGGGACTATAGGTGCAGGCCACCATGCCTAGCTTTTTTTTTTTTTTTTTAAGGCAGGGTCTGACTATGTTGCCCAGGCTGGCCTTGAACTCCTGGGCTCAAGTGATCCTCCCGCCTCGGCCTTCCAAAGTGCTGGGATTACAGGCCTGAGCCACTGCGCCTGGCCCTTCGTTCCTTTTTATGGCTGAATATTCCTCCACTGCATGGATACGCCACATTTTGTTTATCCATTGTCCACAGCTAGACATTTGGGCTGTTTCCACGTTGGGGCTTTTTTTTGTTTTGAGACGGAGTTTTGCTCTTTCACCCAGGCTGGAATGCAGTGGCACAATCTCGGCTCACTGCAACCTCCACCCACCCGGTTCAAGCAATTCTCCTGTTTCAGCCTCCCAAGCAGCTAGGATTACAGGCACCTGCCACCACGCCCGGCTAATTTTTGTATTTTTATAGAGATGGGGTTTCACCATGTTGGCATGTGCCACCATGCCTATCTGATTTTTGTATTTTTAGTAGAGACGGGGTTTCACTATGTTGGCCAGGCTGGTCTCAAACTCTTGACCTCAAGTGATCCGCTTGCCTCGGCCTCTCAAAGTGCCTGGATTACAGGTGTGAGCCACAGTGCCTGGCAATTTCTGCTGTTTAAGCCACCCAGTCTGTGGTATTAGTTATGACAGCCCAAGCTGGAAATACAGACACTTTTCTCTGTGTAGTAAACACTCACTCACTTGCACACGTCATTCAATAAATATGTACTGGGCACCTAATACGTGTGCGATGCTGGGGAAAGAGGTGGCACAAATGAGCTTTCTGCCTGCATGGGACTCCCAGAGAAGAGCCAACACATGCAATCAGAGTCCTAATAAGGACACGCAGGGCGCCGGGGAAGCCCGGAGAGGGCTTCTGACCCAGCCTGGGTCAAAGGGCTTCCTAAAGGAGACATCTAAGGAAAAGTCTGAATGAGTGGGGGAGAGCGCAGCCTGCACGCGGGATGCAGGAGGTAGGCTGGAAAAGGGGGCGATTTGTATTCCAGGGAGATGGGAAGGTGTGGAGGGCGTTAGAGCCGGGAAGCCCAATCTATGGGTCACACAAGCCCTCTGGGGTTAGTGAGGAGGTGGACTCCCCAGATGGCAGGAGCTGGGAGCCCAGGCGGTACCCAGGGAGTGGCTCAGGCTGGGCGAGGGGCACACTTAGAAGCGAATCAAGACCCATGGGGATTAAGACCCCACGGATGTGAAGGTAAAATAACAGAATACAAAATTCAACAATGCCTCCTCTAAGCAGCCCTCCCGGCTATCCCTTTTGAAGTCCCCCACCACTAATCCCCCTACAAGAGGCCGGGGGAGTCCGCGCCCAACTCTGTCCCTCTCGAGACCAGAAGCTGCCTAGGGGCAGTCCGGGGCCAGGTGGCCTCGAACATGCTGTCGCGTCGGGCTTCAATCGTCTAGTCTGGAAATGGGCATCGCCCCCAACTAGGTGCGGTTCAGACTGGACGCCAGAAGTGCTCCTGCCTCCCAGCACCCCTCCTCCAGCCTTCCCAGGGGATGGTCCCAGGCCAAGCAGCCCCCGCCCCGCGCCTCTGCTCCCCGAACCCGGGTTCCGCCCGCGCCGCAGACGCTCCTACCTTCTTACCCCAGCGCCGGCCCGGTCGCGCCTCCGTGACGTCATCATGGGGCCTGCGCGCTGAGCTCCTGGCGGCGCGCACTCATTGCGCCTCAGTACCGCCGCCATTTTGGTAAAGAAAAAGATGGCTGGGCCTCGGACCCAAGCCAGGGTAGTCAGCCACTTCTTTGTCTCTTCAAAAAGAGGACACTTAATACGCCCTCATTCCCTACGCTCATTTAATATGTTGATGAACCAGGAGGGGCGGGCAGAGGCGAAAATCTAGAACATTGCCTTTACCAAGATGGCCGATGCCCGGATGAAAGATGGCAGCTGCGACTACACACGTGGTCCGGCGGCTTCAGCCTGGAGCGGCCCGGCCGCCAGAGCGCGCCCGCGGTCCATGAGGGGAGGTGGACCCAGTATAGCCCTGAGGAAGCCTCTCCGTAGCTCTTCGCAATCCCTTAACGCTTTAAAAGTGCTTTCCTAGTCCTGAGTCTCTGCGTCCCACTGGTGACGCTGGGGCGGGGCTAGGAGAGGGGAGATAAATGGGGCAGAGAAATTAACACACACCGCGCAGTCCAGGTAGGGAAACCGAGGCTCAGAGAGACCAGGAATTGAGTTTGGCCAAAATGTAACCGCGAGTAGGCTCATAACCGCGAGTAGGCTCAAATTCCGTCTCTTGCTCCTGCCAGTGCCTCTTCCTGGATTGCTGACCTGCTCCCCACTTCTGCAATATTATTTATTAATTTTATTTAGAAATTAGGTTTGAGGCGCCAATTTGTCTTAGGCACTATACTTTAGATTTTCTGCATTTACTACTTCTCGGTGTTCTCAACAGTAAAAATGGCAGTATTAGGGGTCTAAGGTTACACTGGTCCTGACTGTGGAGAGGGAAAAGCAAATGCTTTGGGGGCAGTTCAGGTAGGAGTAGTTGACCACAGAGTCCATTCCCTAAAAGGCATCCCCCCAGCGACCTTGCTGGGACCTAAATCCCAGTGCGCGATGCACCTCCCCTGCTCTAACGCCTCCCCTGGGTTCCCATTGTCCCGCAAGACTCCTCCCACCTCCCACCCCATCTCCCTTGGCTTCCCTCACCCTCCCATTAGCTCTCTGCTCAGGTCGCACCAGCCCCCTTCTTACAAATTGCCAGGCGCAGTCTTGCCTCAGGGAGTTCCCCCAGGAATTTCCCAGGTTTTTCCGTGGCCAGTTCCTTCCCTTCAGGCATGAGACAGAAAGGTCTCTGGGTGCAGGGGGCTTAAAGTCGGAAAATCACATGAAAGATTATTATCCTGGCTGGTCGCAGTGGCACATGCCTGTGATCCCAACCCTTTGGAAGGCTAAGGTGGGAGGATCGCTTGAGGCCAGGTGTTTGAAAGCAGCCTGGGCAACATTATGAGACCCCATCTCGACAGAAGATAAAAACATTAGCTGGGCGTGGTGGCATGCTCATCCTCCCATTCAAGAGAATCACTTGAGCCCAGAAGTTGGAGGGTGCAGTGAGGTATGATAGCGCCACTGCACTCCAGCCAGCCTGGGTGAAGGAACCTCTCTTAAAAAATACTAATAAAGGCCAGGCATGGTGGCTCACGCCTGTAATCCTAGCACTTTGGGAGGCCGAGCCAGGCAGATCACCTGAGGTCAGGAGTTTGAGACCAGTCTGACCAACATGGTGAAACCCTGTTTCTACTAAAAACACAAAAATTAGCTGGGCGTGGTGGCACATGCCTGTAATCCCAGCTACTTGGGAGGCTGAGGCAGGAGAATCACTTGACCCCAGGAGGCAGAGATTGCAATGAGCCGAGATCGTGCCATTGCACTCCAGCCTGGGCTACAGAGTGCAACTCCATCTCAAAATAAATAAATAAATAATAATAATAAAGGCCAGGCGTGGTGGCTTATAGCTGTAATCCCAGCACTTCAGGAGACTGAGGCGGGCAGATCACTTGGTGAGTAGTTCAAGACCAGCCTGGCTAACATGGTGAAACCCCATCTAAAAATTACCCAGGCGTGGTGGCATGCGCCTGTAATCCCAGCTACTTGGGAGGCTGAGGCAGGAGAATCGCTTGAACCTGGGAGGCAGAGGTTGCAGTGAGCTGAGATCACGCCACTGCACTGCAGCCTGGGTGACAGAGTAAGACTCTGTCTCAAAAGTAATAATAATAATAATAACAATAAAATAATAATCGTAATTGTGACTAAAAGATGTGCCTGGGGTTGAAATAGGGTTGTGGAGGCCCACAGCCTGGGTGATCAAAGAGGGCTTCTCAGAGGTGGTGGCATTTAAGGAGAGCTCTGAAGCTTGAGAAGGAAAGAGCTGAGTGAAAAAGAGAGGGAAAGGTGTTCTGGGCAGAGGGAACAGTATATGCAAAGGTGAGGAGGTGAATATAAAGTGAGGAAGATAAAAGTAGCCCTGGACCACACACAGTCAGCTAGCAGTTGGCCTGGCAGTCACAGCTAAACTGTAGAGTTTTTTGATTGACCAAACCAATTTCACGGAATGTCCACATCAGACAGGGACACTCAGACCAGTCACACTTGGCCGCAGAAAAACAAAACCCTTCCGTAATCGAGTCTTAGCACAGGTGAATACAAGAGCATTGTCCAAACCACAAAAATGGCCAAACCTCCCCATCTCCTGGCCAAAGGGCGTGACTGCTAGTTTTCGCCAATTCCCAGCAGGTTCCCCCGCCTTCTAGGTAAAAAGATTATTAAAGGCCGGGCGCGGTGGCTCACGCCTGTAATCCCAGCACTTTGGGAGGCCAAGGCAGGCAGATCACGAGGTCAGGAGATCGAGACCATCCTGGCTAACACGGTGAAACCCCATCTCTACTAAAAATACAAAAAATTAGCCGGGTGTGGTGGTGGGCGCCTGTAGTCCCAGCTGCTCAGGAGGCTGAGGCAGGAGAATGGCGTGAACCCGGGAGGCAGAGCTTGCAGTGAGCGGAGAACACACCACTGTACTCCAGCCTGGGGGACAGAGCAAGACTCCATCTCAAAAAAAAAAAAAGAGATTATTAAAATACTTAGAGAATTGTCCCACTAGCTGTTTGCATACAATCCAGGGCAGAATCCCACTCCCTTGAACTCTCCTCGAATCACCCCACAGTTGCCCTAGTTCTGTAACACGCTCCTTCTCACTTTCTCTTTCTGAGATAAACAGAACCCCTTCTGGTGTGTCTTCCTTCAATGCATTAATCCATAAACCCAGCTGGGTTTCACTGCAGCTGTTTTTCTGGTGGTATTTGACATCAACAGGACTGGATGTCCTACTGAGACTGGGCTGAGACCTTCCCTGCCACCAATCAGTACCCTGGACTCAGCAAAAGTGCACCCATCTGAGGTCAGGCACGGTGGCTCACGCCTGTAATCCCAGCACTTGGGGAGGCCAAGGAAGGCAGATCATCTGAGGTCAGGAGTTGAAGACCAGCCTGGCCAACAGGGTGAAACCCCGTCTCTACCAAAAATACAAAAAGTAGCTGGGCATGGTGGTGTGTGCCTGTAATCCCAGCTACTCAGGAGGCTGAGGCAGGAGGATCGCTTGAACCCGGGAGGCAGAGATTGCAGTGAGCTGAGACTGCACCACTGAACTCCAGCCTGGGTGACAGAGCAAGACTCTGTCTCAAAAAAAAAAAAAATAGTGTGCACATCTGAGACCCTTGTGTCTCT
Source organism: Homo sapiens (assembly GCF_000001405.40). Taxonomy (NCBI): domain Eukaryota; kingdom Metazoa; phylum Chordata; class Mammalia; order Primates; family Hominidae; genus Homo; species Homo sapiens. The sequence continues at coordinate 17,929,401 of NC_000019.10, read as the reverse complement.
ATCTGCTTAAGGTGATTCTGCCTGTGGCTGGAAGGTAAGTTAATGCTGACTGGAGCTTCAGTTATGATCTCATTAGGGCCCTTCTGTGTAGGGTTAATTTCGTTTACTATTCTAGGAATGAGTTTCTCCACGGCTTTTTGGTTTTCTGATCAGCCACTCTGTTCCTTGGTGAAATTGTTTTCTCTCTCGACACCTCCTCCTGTGGACTGTCTCTTGTACAGGGCTGTATGAGTTTCTGGTGGCTACAGTAGCAAATGACCACAAACTAGTGGTTTTGAAAACAACAGAAATTGGCTGAGCGTGGTGGCTCATGCCTGTAATCCCAGCACTTTGGAAGGCCAAGGCAGGTGGATCTCCTGAGATCAGGAGATCGAGACCAGCCTGACCAACATGGTGAAACCCCGTCTCTACTAAAAATACAAAAATTAGCCGGACATGGTGGTGTACGCCTGTAATCCCAGCTACTCAGGAGGCTGAGGCAGAAGAATCTCTTGAACCTGGGGGGCAGAGGTTGCAGTGAGCCGAGATAGTGCCACTGCACCGCAGCCTGGGAGACAGAGCAAGACTCTGTCTCAAAAAAAAAAAAGGAAACAATGCAAATCAATTCTCTCATAGTCCTGGAGGCTTCAAGTCTAAAATCAAGGTCTCACTTTGTTGCCCAGGTAAAAGTGGAGTGGTGCAATCTTGGCTCACTGCAGCCTCGACCTCCTGGGCTCAAGTGATCCTCCTGCCTCAGCCTCCCAAGTAGCTGGGACTACAGGCCTCACCACAAAGCCCAGCTAATTTTTGTATTTTTAGTAGAGACAGCGTTTCACCATGTTGGCCAGGATGGTCTTGATCTCTCAACCTTGTGATCCGCCCATCTCGGCCTCCCAAAGTGCTGGGATTACAGGTGTGAGCCACCGCACCCAGCCAATTTTTCTACTTTTTGTAGAGACAGGGTCTCACCATGTTGCCCAGGCTGATCTCGAATCCTGGGCTCAAGTGATCCTCCTGCCTCAGCCTCCCAAGTAGCTGGGACTACAGGCCTCACCACAGAGCCTAGCTAATTTTTGTATTTTTAGTAGAGACAGCGTTTCACCATGTTGGCCAGGATGGTCTTGATCTCTCAACCTTGTGATCCGCCCATCTCGGCCTCCCAAAGTGCTGGGATTACAGGTGTGAGCCACCGCACCCAGCCAATTTTTCTACTTTTTGTAGAGACAGGGTCTCGCCATGTTGCCCAGGCTGATCTCGAATCCTGGGCTCAAGTGATCCTCCTGCCTCGACCTCCCAAAGTGCTGGGATTGCACTGTGGGTCCATCGGGGGAAACGTCGATAAAGAGAGGACGGGCCTAGACTCAGTAAGTCACCCTTGAGTCAGTGTTGATGGCCAAAGTATTCCAAAGATCTCCTTGGACCACTGTCCTTTGGGCAACTTTTCACCATTTCAAAATCTTAGAAGGAAGCTGTGCGCAGTGTTGTGCTTCTGTAGTCCCAGCTACTCGGGAGGCTGAGGCAGGAGAATCGCTTGAGCCCGGGAGGCAGAGGTTGCAGTGAACCATGATCACAATACGGCACTCCAACCTAGGTGACAGAGCCAGATCCTGTCTCAAAAAAACAAAACCAAAACCAAACATGTCTCTCTCCAATGGTACCTCACACTGGGGACAATTTAGAATTTGAGTGGCCACTGTGAGACTTTTCCACTGGAGAGGAGACTTACAACGGAAAGACAAAATTCTCATGAGGCGATCATCTGTTGTGTTATTTATTTATTTATTTATTTATTTGAGACAGGGTCTCACTCTGTTGCTCAGGCTGGAGTGCAGTAGTGCAGTCATAGCTCACTGCAGCCTCGACCTCCCAGGCTCAAACGATCCTCCTGCCTCAGCCTCCCGAGTAGCTGGGACTACAGGTGTGTACCACCATACCTGGCTACTTGAAATGTTTTTTAAAAAATTGTGATAGGGTCTCCCTCTGTTGCCCAGGCTGGTCTCGAACTGCTGGGCTCAAGAGATCCTCCCACCTTGGCCTCCCAAAGTGCTGGGACTACAGGTGTGAGCCACCATGCCTGACTAATTTTTGTATTTTTAGTAGAGACGGGTTTTTGCCATGTTGGCCAGGCTAGTCTCGAACTTCTGACCTCAGGTGCTCCGCCCGCCTTGGCCTCCCAAAGTGCTGGGATTACAGGCGTGAGCCACCGCACCTGGCCAATTAATTATCTTTTGAAGATCCAATTTTTATGTTTGTCTAGAGCCCCCTTTATCTCCGTTCTTTTTCTTTCTTTTTTCTTCCTTCCTTTCCCTTTTTCTTTTCTTTTCTTTTCTTTCTTTTCTTTCTTTCTCTTTCCTTCCTGTCTTCCATCTTTCCTTCCTTTCCCTTTCTTTTCTTTCTGATCTCTCTCTCTCTCCTTCCTTCCTTTTCTTTCTCTCTTTCTCTTTCTTTCTTTCAATAGGAACATGGCAACATATTGAGACCTATAGGAAGAACTGTTCTTCTAACTTATTTTTTTTTTTGGCCTTCTCCATCCCTTTTCTCCTCACTTGGGAAACTTGAAAGATGACAGGCCAGCCACAGTGGCTCACGCCTGTAATCCTAGCACTTTGGGAGACCAAAGTGGGAAGATCACTTGAGGCCAGGAGTTTTGAGACCTGCCTGGACAAGATAGAGAGACCCCTGTCTCTACAAAAATAAAAAAAAAATCAGCTGGCGTGGTGGCAAGCTCGTCTTCCCAGCTACTCAAGAGGATTACTTGAGCCCAGGAGTTGGAGACTGCAGTGAGCCACCATTGCACTGCCTGCATGCACTCCAGCTTGAGCAACAGAGTGAGACCCTCGCTCAAAAAAAAAAAAAAAATCCTTACTGTGACCAAAAGATGTGTCTGGTGCTGAAATGGGTTATAGAGGCCCACAGCCTGGGTGATCACAGAGGGCTTCTCAGAGGAGGTGGCATTTAAGAGCACTCTGAAAATTGAGAAGGAAAGAGCTGAGTGAAGACAGGGAGGGAAAGGCATTCTGAGCAGCAGGAACAGCATATGCAAAGGCGAGAAGGTGAATGTAAAGTAAAGAAGAAAAAATTGGCCCCAGGCTCTGGTCAACTGGGAGTTGACCTGGTAGTCACAGTGAAGCCGAGGAGTTCTTTGGTTGAACATATACGATTTCACAGAATGACCACATCAAACAGGGCCACTCTGTCCAGGATGAAACCAGACAAAAATCAAAACCCTTCCGTAATTGAGTCTTACCACAGATGAAAATAAGAGCATTGTCCAAACCACAGACATGGCCAAACCTCCCCATCCCCTGGCCAAAGGAGTGACTGCAGTGAGATACAGTCACACCACTCCAGCCTAGGTGACAAAAGTGAGACCCTGTCTCCAATTTAAAAAAAAGAGAGAGAAAGAAAAGGAAAATCACTGTTATTCTATGTGTGGAAAAATCATTGTCATTCTATGTGCAGAAAAATCATTGTCATTCTATGTCCAGAATAGGAGTGTCCACTTTATGGCTGGGCATGGTGGCCCACGCCTATAATCCTGGCACTTTGGGAGGCCGAAGCAGGTATATCACCTGAGGTCAAGAGTTCGAGACCAGCCTGACCAATATAGTGAAACTCTGTCTCTACTAAAAATACAAAACTCAGCCAGGTGTGGTGGTGCATACCTGCAGTCCCAGCTACTCGGGAGTCTGAGGCAGGAGAACTGCTTGAACCTGGGAGGTGGAAGTTGCAGTGAGCTGAGATCACACCACTGCACTCCAGCCTGGGTGACAGAGTGAGACCCCATCTCAAAAAAAAAAAAGAGAAAAGGAGTATCCACTCCAGTTAACTATTCAAAAAGGACTAAAAGACACACACGTTTATAGCAGTATTGTTCACTATCGCCAAAAGGTGGAAACAATTCAGCTGTTCCCTTAAAGGATGCATGGATCAACAGACTGTGGTCAATCCACGAAATGGAATACTATGCAGCCATAAAAAGGAATGAAGCACTGATCCATCCCACAGCACGGATGAACCCTGAAAACACGAGGCTGAGTGAAAGAAGCCAGGCACAAAAGCCCATAGAGTGTCTGATTCCATTTATAAAAATGTCCAGGGTAGGCCGGGCATGGTGGCTCACGCCTGTAATCCCAGCACTTTGGGAGGCCGAGGCGGGTGGATCACCTGAGGTCAGGGGTTTGAGACCAGCCTGGTAACCTGGTGAAACCCCATCTATATTAAAAATACAAAAAACTTAGCTGGACGTGGTGGCGGGCACCTGTAATCCCAGCTACTCGGGAGGCTGAGGCAGGAGAATCTCTTGAACCCGGGAAGCAGAGGTTGCAGTGAGCCGGGATTGCGCCATTGCACTCCAGCCTGGGCGACAGAGCGAGACTCTGTCTCAAAAAAAAAAAAAAAATGTCCAGGGTCATGGCCAGGCATGGTGGCTCACACCTATAATCCCAGCACTTTGGGAGGCTGAGGCAGGCAAATCACCTGAGGTCAGGAGTTCGAGACCAGCCTGATCAACATGGTGAAACCCTGTCTCTACTAAAAATACAAAAGTTAGCTGGGTGTGGTGGTGGTGCCTGTAATCCCAGCTACTTGGGAGGCTGAGGGAGGAGAATCGCTTGAACCCAGGAGGCGGAGGTTTGCAGTGAGCTGAGATCGTGCCATTGCACTCCAGCCTGGGTGATAGAGTGAGACTCTGTCTCAAAGACGAAGAAGAAGAAATGTCTAGGGTCAAGCATGGCAGTTCACACTTGTAATTCCAGCACTTTGGAAGACCAAGGAGGGAGGATTGCTTTGAGCCTAGAAGTTTGAGACCAGCCTGGGCAACACAAGAAGACCCCATTTCTACAAAAAAGCCAGGCACAGTGGCTCATGCCTGTAATCCCAGCACTTTGAGAGGCTAAAGCCAGAGGATCACTTGATCTCTGGAGTTCAAGACCAGCCTGGGCAACATAGAGAGACCATGTCTCTATCTAAAAAAAGTTTTAAAAATTAGCCAGGGCTGGGCGCGGTGGCTCACGCCTGTAATCCCAGCACTTTGGGAAGCCAAGGCGGGCGGGTCAACAGGTCAGGAGATCGAGACCATCCTGGCTAACACGGTGAAACCCTGTCTCTACTAAAAATACAAAAAATTAGCCAGGCGTGGTGGCGGGCGCCTGTAGTCCCAGCTACTGGGGAGGCTAAGGCAGGAGAATGGCGTGAACCCGGGAGGCAGAGCTTGCAGTGAGCCGAGATTGTGCCACTGCACTCCAGCCTGAGCGACAGAGCGAGACTCCATCTCAAAAAAAAAATTAGCCAGGCATGGGGGCATGCACCTGTAGTCTCAGCTATTCAGGAGGCTGAGGCAGGAGGATCACTTGAGCCCAGAAGGTTGAGGCTGCAGTGAACATTGATCATGCCAATGCACTCCAGCCTGAGTGACAGAGTGAGACACTGTCTCCTAAAAAAATGAATAAAAATAGAAAGAATAATTTCAAAAATAATAAATAAAGTGTTAAATGAATTGGGCAAAAAAGAAGGGCTTAAAATAAATAAAGCCAGCCTGGGCAACATGGCAAGACCCCATCTACACAAAAATTTAAAAAATTAGCCAAGTGTGGGGCTGGGCACTGTGGCTCACGCCTGTAATCCCAGCACTTTAGGAGGCTGGGGTGGGCGGATCACTTGAGGTCTGGCGTTTCAGACCAGCCTGACCAACCTGGCGAAACCCTGTCTCTACTAAAAATACAAAAATTGGCCCAGCATGGTGGTGGTCGCCTGTAATCCCAGCTGCTTGGGAAGCTGAGGCACGAGAATCACTTGAAGCTGAGAGGTGGAGGTTGCAGTGGGCCGAGATCACGCTACTGCACTCCAGCCTGGGCGACAGAGTGAGACTCCATCTCAAAAAAAAAAAAAAAAAAAAAATAGCCAAGTGTGATGGCGCATAGTTGTGGTCCCAGCTACTCAGGAGGCTGAGGTGGGAGGATTGCTTGAGCCCAGGAGGTTGAGGCTGCAATGAGCCATGATTATGCCACTGCACTCCAGCGTGGGTGACAGAGTGAGACTCTGTCTAAAAAATAAAAAATCAGGCCGGGCACAGTGGCTCGTGCCTGTAATCCCAGCACTTTGAGAGGCAGAGGCACCCTGAGGTCAGGAGTTCGAGACCAACCTGGTCAACACGGTGAAACCCCATCTCTACTAAAAATACAAAAAATTACCTGGGCGTGGCGGCGCGAGCCTGTAATCCCAGGTACTCGGAAGGCTGAGTCAGAATTGCTGGAATCCGGGAGGCGGAGGTTGCAGTGAGCCAAGATCACGCCATTGCACTCCAGCCCAGGCAACAAGAGCGAAACTTCATCTCATAAATAAATAAATAATAAATAAATAAAAAACCAAAAAACAAAGACGAGGGAATTTGGAACATGGGGCCATGTGATGAAGAAGGCAGTGACTGGAGAGATGAGGCCACAAGCCAAGGAATTGCCAAGGATGGCTGAAGCCAGGAGAGAGGCCTGGGATGGATTCTCTCTAGGAGTCTCCAGAAGGAACCAGCACTGCCCACACCTTGATTTCGGACTTCTGGCCTCTAGAACTGTGAGACAATACATTTCTGCAGTTTTTTGTTTTTCTGCTTTTTGTTATTGTTGTTGTTGAGACAGTGTCTTGTTCTATCACCCAGGCGGGAGTGCAGTGGCACGATCTCAGCTCACTGCAACCTCCACCTCCTGGACTCAAGCAATCCTCCCATTTCAGCTTCCCTAGTAGCCGGGACTACAGGTGTGCACCATCATACCTGGCTAACTTTTTGTATTTTTTTAGATACGGGGTTTCGCCACGTGGCCCAGGTTGGTCTTGAACTCCTTGGCTCAAGCAATCCTCCTGCCTCGGCCTCCCAAAGTGCTGGGATTACAGGTGTATGCCATCATGTCCGGCCTTTTCTGCTGTTTTAAGCCACCTAGTTTGTGGAGCTGGGTTACATCAGCCTCAGGAACCTCCTGTCATAGATTTCCTTCTTTAGGCCCCTCCTAGAATGTACATTTTCTTCACATACTTAATCTCAACCTTCATCCTTCAAAATTGGATCTTAATCTTATGTCCACAAACTGCTTCTGCTGAAATCATTACAACCCTATCAGTAAGCCCAGCCCATCAAGACTGGAAACAAATATTGGGATTATCCTTGTTGTGATAATAGTCAATGTGTTCTTAGGGACGCCTCAGCAGCTGCAGGAACTGTTTAACTGACCTTAGAAAATCCCTTCCCTGGCCGGGCACAGTGGCTCATACCTGTAATCCCAGCACTTTGGGAGGCCGAGGTGGGCAGATCACGAAGTCAGGAGATTGAGACCATCCTGGACAACATGGTAAAACCCCGTCTCCACTAAAAATACAAAAATTAACCGGATGTGATGGTGCATGCCTGTAGTCCTAGTTACTTGGGAGGCTGAGGCAGGAGAATTGCTTGAACCCGGGAGGCGGAGGTTGCAGTGAGCCGAGATCGTGCCACTGCACTCCTGCCTGGGTGATAGAACAAGACACTGTCTCAACAACAACAACCAAAAGCAGAAAAACAAAAAAACTGCAGAAATGTATTGTCTCACAGTACATTCTGCATTCCAACCTGGCAAGAGAGTGAGACTCTGTCTCAAAAAAAAAAAAAAAAAAAAAAAAAGAAAAGAAAAAAAAGAAAACCCCTTCCCTTAAGGGATTACTGTGTGGCTCACTCATTTATTTGTTTATTGAGACAGAGTCTTGCTTTGTTGCCCAGGCTGGAGTGCATTGGCACTGTCACAGCTCACCGTAGCCTCAAACTCCTGAGCTCAGGCAGTCCTCCTGCCTTAGCCTCCCGAGTAGCTGGGACCAAAGGCATGGGCCACAATGCCCAGCTAAATGTTTCTTTTTTTTCTTTTTTTTTTGAGGTAGGGATGGGGTCACTCTGCGTTGCCCAGGCTGGTCTTGAACTCCTGAACTCAAGCGATCCTCCTGCCTCAGACTCCCAAAGCACTAGGATTACAGGCATGAGCCAGTGCATTTGGCCATGGGGGAAGCCTTTAAGATGGTTTGCAGTGATCCCCACCTCCTGGCATTCTGACTTTTCTCGAATTCCCTCTCTTCGAATGCGAGCTGATTGCCTTTTTTTTTTTTTTTTTTGAGACAGGGTCTCACTCTGTCACCCAGGCTGGAGTGCAGTGGTGATCTTGGCTCACTATAACCTCTGCCTCCTGGGTTCAAACAATTCTCCTGCCTCAGCCTCCCGAGTGAGTAGCTGGGATTACAGGTGCCCACCACCACACCTGGCTAATTTTTGTATTTTTAGTGGAGATGGGGTTTCACCATGTTGGCCAGGCTGGTCTTGAACTCCTGGCTTCAAGGGATCTGCCTGCCTTGGCTTCCCAAAGTGCTGGGATTACAGGTGTGAGCCACCACGCCCAGCCTTTACTGACTGCCTTTTAATCAATATTATGCAATAGAAGCAAGGAGCCATCACTTCTGAAATTAGATTTAAAAGACAATGGCTTTCTATTCTCCAGTTTCCCAGCTGCCTCTGCAGGTAGAGGTGGCCCAGGACCCAGTTCTGACCAATGAGCCCTAAGAGGAAGGATGCCATGGGAATTTCTAGGAAATATTTTTATGCCTTTATCTGATCAAAGGGAAATGCAGCTGGCTTTCCCCCTTACCCTCTTGTTTCTGCCTTGAATGTGATGTCTGGAGCTGCAGCAGCCATTCTGCAACAAGAGGCAACAAGCATGAGGAAAAAGGGAACACACTAGAGATGGCAGAACCTAAAAGAAAATCTGTGGCATCATGGAGCAGGTAAAGAAGAAACATGTGGACCAGGTGTGGTGGCTCACACCTATAATCCCAGCACTTTGGGTGGCCAAGGTGGCTGGATCACCTGAGGTCAGGAGTTCAAGACCAGCCTGGACAACATGGTGAAACCCCATCTCCACTAAAAATACAAAAATTACCCGGGCATGGTGGCACACACCTGTAGTCCCAGCTACTCGGGAGGCTGAGGCAGGAGAATTGCTTGAGCCCAGGAGGCAGAGGTTGCAGTGAGCCGAGATCACGTCACTGCACTCCAGCCTAGGCAACAGAGCGAGACTCTCTCTAAACAACAACAAAAACAACAACAACAAAACAACCAAGAAGAAACTTGTGAAGCTACCTCGTTCTGGATTTCTTAATGCTAGATAAATAAGCAAAAGGGCTGGCGGTGGTGGCTCACACTTGTAATCCCAGCACTTTGGGAGGCCAGGGCAGGCAGATCACTTGAGGTCAGGAGTTTGAGGCCAGCCTGACCAACATGATGAAACCCCGTTTCTGCTAAAAATACAAAAAATTAGTGGTGCATGCCTGTTATTCCAGCTACTCAGGAGGCTGAGGCAGGAGAATTGCTTCAACCCAGGAAGCAGAGTTTGCAGTGAGCTGAGATCGCACCACTGCACTCCAGCCTGGGTGACAGAGTGAGACTCCGTCTCAAAAAAAAAAAAAAAAAAAACAGTGGTGGCTTATGGCCTGGAATCCAGTGCTTTCTGAGGCCAAGGCAGGAGGATCCCTTGAGGCTAGGAGTTCAAGACTAGCATGGACAACATAGTAAAGCCCCATCTCTACCAAAAAAAAAAAAAAATCATTTTTTTTTTAAATGAGCTGGGTGTGCTGCATGTGCCTGTAGTCCCAGCTACTCAGGAGGCAGGGAGGGGAATGGTTTCAGAATGTTTCAAGCAGATTACATTTACTGTGCACTTTAGTATTATTATATATATGTTTTTTCGAGACAGAGTTTCGCTCTTGTTGACCAGGCTGGAGGGAAATTTGCGATCTTGGTTCACTGCAACCTCTGCCTCCCAGGTTCAAGCGATTCTCCTGCCTCAGCCTCCCAAGTAGCCAGGATTATAGGCGCCCGCCACCCTGCCCAGCTCATTTTTGTATTTTATTTTTTATTTTTTTTTATTTTTTAATTGATCATTCTTGGGTGTTTCTCACAGAAGGGGATTTGGCAGAGTCACAGGACAATAGTGGAGGGAAGGTCAGCAGATAAACAAGTGAACAAAGGTCTCTGGTTTTCCTAGGCAGAGGACCCTGTGGCCTTCCGCAGTGTTTGCGTTCCTGGGTACTTGAGATTAGGGAGTGGTGATGACTCTTAACGAGCATGCTGCCTTCAAGCATCTGTTTAACAAAGCACATCTTGCACCGCCCTTAATCCATTCAACCCTGAGTGGATACAGCACGTGTTTCAGATAGCACAGGGTTGGGGGTAAGGTCACAGATCAACAGGATCCCAAGGCAGAAGAATTTTTCTTAGTACAGAACAAAATGAAAAGTCTCCCATGTCTACCTCTTTCTACACAGACACGGCAACCATCCGATTTCTCAATCTTTTCCCCACCTTTCCCCCCTTTTCTATTCCACAAAACCGCCATTGTCATCATGGCCCGTTCTCAATGAGCTGTTGGGTACACCTCCCAGACGGGGTGGTGGCCGGGCAGAGGGGCTCCTCACTTCCCAGTAGGGGCGGCCGGGCAGAGGCGCCCCTCACCTCCCGAACGGGGCGGCTGGCCGGGACGGGGGCTGACCCCCCATCTCCCTCCCAGATGGGGCAGCTGGCCGGGCGGGGGGCTGACCCCCCCACCTCCCTCCCGGACGGGGCGGCTGGCCGGGCAGAGGGGCTCCTCACTTCCCAGTAGGGGCGGCCGGGCAGAGGCGCCCCTCACTTCCCAGACGGGGCGGCTAGCCGGGTGGGGGGCTGACCCCCCCACCTCCCTCCCGGACGGAGCGGCTGGCCGGGCGGGGGGCTGACCCCCCACCTCCCTCCTGGACGGGGCGGCTGGCTGGGCAGAGGGGCTCCTCACTTCCCAGTAGGGGCGGCCGGGCAGAGGCGCCCCTCACCTCCCGGACGGGGCGGCTGGCCAGGTGGGGGGCTGACCCCCCCCACCTCCCTCCCGGACGGGGCGGCTGGCCGGGCGGGGGGCTGACCCCCCCACCTCCCTGCCGGACGAGGTGGCTGCCGGGCGGAGATGCTCCTCACTTCCCAGACGGGGTGGCTGCTGGGCGGAGGGGCTTCTCACTTCTCAGACGGGGCGGTTGCCGGGCGGAGGGGCTCCTCACTTCTCAGACGGGGCGGTTGCCAGGCAGAGGGTCTCCCCACTTCTCAGATGGGGCGGCCGGGCAGAGACGCTCCTCACATCCCGGACGGGGCGGCAGGGCAGAGGTGCTCCCCACATCTCAGACGATGGGGGGCCGGGCAGAGACGCTCCTCACTTCCCATATGGGATGGCGGCCGGGAAGAGGCGCTCCTCACTTCCTAGATGGGATGGCGGCTGGGCAGAGACGCTCCTCACTTTCCAGACTGGGTAGCCAGGCAGAGGGGCTTCTCACATCCCAGACGATGGGCGGCCGGGCAGAGACGCTCCTCACTTCCCAGACGGGGTGGCGGCCGGGCAGAGGCTGCAATCTCGGCACTTTGGGAGGCCAAGGCAGGCTGCTGGGAGGTGAAGGTTGTAGCGAGCCGAGATCACGCCACTGCACTCCAGCCTGGGCACCATTGAGCACGGAGTGAACGAGACTCTGTCTGCAATCCCGGCACTTCAGGATGCCGAGGCTGGCAGATCACTCGCGGTTAGGAGCTGGAGACCAGCCCAGCCAACACAGCGAAACCCCGTCTCCACCAAAAAAAATACGAAAACCAGTCAGGCGTGGCGGCGCGCGCCTGCAATCGCAGGCAGTCGGCAGGCTGAGGCAGGAGAATCAGGCAGCAGTACCGTCCAGCTTCAGCTCGGCATCAGAGGGAGACCGTGGAGAGAGGGAGAGGGAGATGGTGGGGAGAGGGAGAGGGAGCCATTTTTGTATTTTTAGTGGAGACGGGGTTTCACCATATTGGCCAGGCTAGTCTCGAACTTCTGACCTCGTGATCCACCTGCCTTGGCCTCCCAAAGTGCTGGGATTACAGGCATGAGCCACTGCACCTGGCCTATTTCTGTTATTATTACATTGTAATAATACAACTGACCATAATGTAGAATCAGTGGGAGCCCTGAGCTTTATTTTCTGCAACTAGATAGTCCCATCTGGGAGTGATGGGAGACAGTAACAGATCATCAGGCATTAGATTTTCTCTCTCTCTCTTTTTTTTTTTTTTGAGACAGTCTTACTCTGTTGCCCAGGCTGGAGTGCAGTGGTGGGATCTCAGCTCACTTTAACCTCCACCTTCCAGGTTCAAGTGATTCTTGTGCCTCAGCCTCCTGAGTAGCTGGGATTACAGGTGCGTGCCACCACACCTGGCTAATTTTTGTGTTTTTTTTTTTTTTTTTTTTTTTGTAGAGATGGGGTTTTGCCTTGTTGGCCAGACTGGTCTCAAACTCCTGACGTCAAGTGATCTGCCTGCCTCTGCCTCCCAAAGTGCTGGGATTACAGGCGTGAGCCACTGCGCACGGCTGTTTCCTTCCTTTTTATGAGGAAACCTGGAGAGTCTTGAGTCTGTGACCCAACACTATGAGCCCTGTCCATGCTCTGACCCCAGGACTCCCCGCCTGGAGTCTCAGAGTTGGAGACAAACCTACAGGTCCAGCCTTCTGCAGCCTCTCCTCCTCTGCCCCAGCTGTGAGCTCTGACCTGGCCATGAGGCCCCCGCAGGCATCTTGTCTCAAATAAACAAATGTTTAGGCAAGGATTGAATTCAGCAAACAGCCTGTGCTTCCGTGCAGGATGGCTGGGCCAGGGTGGGCTGGGGCAGGAACCGGGCGTTAACGTGCAACCAAGCCCCTCAGAGACACAAAGCCTCTGTTTGCTTTCTGAACTTGACATTTCTCCCCAGTAAACTGCAATCTGTGGGCTCCCTGCAGCCTTTGTTCACCTTGGGTGTGTTTTCCCTTTGTTCTGATAGCTGCCAATCTGGTGCCTCTTTCCCTATATCAAACATGACCTTCCCCACCAGCAACTGAGGCTGGGGTCTTTACTCTGGCCACACCTCCAGCCAAGGGCACACTTTTTTGTTTTGTTTTGTTTTTAGGCAGCCTGTTGCCCAGGCTGGAGTGCAGTGGTGGGATCTCGGCTCACTGCAAGCTCCCATTCCCAGGTTCAAGCGATTCTCATGCCTCAGCCTCGGGAGTAGCTAGGATTACAGGTGTGCACTACCAAGCCCAGGTAATTTCTGTATTTTTAGTAGAGACGGGGTTTCTGCATGTTGGCCAGACTGGTCTCAAACTCCTGACCTCAGGTGATCCACCCACCTCAGCCTCCCAAAGTGCTGAGATTACAGGTGTGAGTCACTGTGCCTGGCTGGTATTGTGATTTATGGTAAGATAAATATTTGGTCTTTGTCCCAGTTCCTGACACAGAGCTCCTGAGAACTTTGTAATCTGATGTAGTCTGATGGGAACATCTGACGCAGAGTTCCAAATTTCCTTGGGATTTCCTGGGTGACAGGAGTGTCTTTTGTTCTAATGAGGTGACGCTTGGGAGGTTCCTGGGTTGGGGACCAAGAAGACCAAGCCATGATTACAAGCCTGGAGCTTTCAGCCTCACCCCCTTTCTCTGGAGAGGGAAGAGGGGCTGGAAATGGAGTTAATAATCGATCATGGCTTCATAATAAAGCTTCCATAAAAATCCCTCAACTACGGAGTTTGAAGAGCTTCCACATTGGTAAACACTTCCACATACCAGAAGGGTGGTGGACCCCACTCCATGGAGGCAGAAGCTCCTGTCTCCCTCCAGACCCTGCTCTAGGTATCTCCTCATCTGGCTGTTCACCTGAATCTTTTTTTATTATTATTATTATTTTGAGATGGAGTTTCGCTCTTGTTGCCCAGGCTGGAATACAGTGGTGCAATCTTGGCTCACTGCAACCTCCACCTCCCAGGTTCAAGCGACTCTCCTGCCTCAGCCTCCTGAGTAGCTGGGATTACAGGCATGTGCCACCACACCCGGCTAATTGTGTATTTTTGGTAGAGACGAGATTTCTCCATGTTGGTCAGGCTGGTCTTGAACTCCTGACTTCAGGTGATCCGCCCGCTTCAGGCTCCCAAAGTGCTGGGATTACAGGTGTGAGTATTATTGTTTTCTTTTTCTTTTTTTGAGATGGAGTTTCACTCTTTTTGCCCAGGGCGGAGTGCAATGGCGCAATCTTGGCTCACTGCAACCTCCACCTCTTGGGTTCAAGCAATTCTCCTGCCTCAGCCTCCCAGGTAGCTGGGATTACAGATGTGTGCCACCATGCCCGGCTAAGTTTTTTTTTAGTAGAGACGGGGTTTCACTATGTTGGCCAGGCTGGTCTCAAACTCCTGACCTCAGGTGATCACCTGCCTCAGCCTCCCAAAGTGCTGAGATTACAGGCATGAGCCACTGTGCCTAGCCACCTTTTTTTTTTTTTTTTTTTTTTTTTAGCAGGGTCTTGTTCTATCACCGAGGCTGGAGTGCTGGGGTGATCTTGGCTCACTGCAGTGTCCATCTCCCAGGCTCAAGCAATCCTCCCACCTCAGCCTCCTATGTAGCAGGGACCTCAGGTGTGTGCCTCCAACAGCTGGCTATTTTTTTGTATTTTTTTGTAGAGATAGGGTTTCACCATGTTGTGCTATCTGGTCTTGAATTCCTGAGCTTGACTGATTCTCCCACCTTGGCCTCCCAAAGTGCTGGGATTACAGGTGTGAACCACTGCACCTGGCCACCCCCACTTCTTTAAAAAAATAGTACTTAAAAAAATGTTTTTGAGATGACATTTTCACTCTTGTTGCCCAGGCTGGAGTGCAATGGTGCAATCTCGGCTCACTGCAACCTCCGCCTCCTGGGTTCAAGTGATTCTTCTGTCTCAGCCTCCTGAGTAGCTGGGATTACAGGCACATGCCACCACACCCAGCTAATTTTTGTATTTTTAGTAGAGACGGGTCTTGAACTCCTGACCTCAGGTGATCTGCCCACCTTGGCCTCCCAAAGTGCTGGGATTACAACCATGAGCCACTGCGGCCAGCCACCATTTTTTTTTAAGATGGGGTCTTGCTCTGTTGCCCAGCCTGGAGTGCAATGATGCGATCTTGGCTCACGGCAACCTCCACCTCCTGGGCTCAAGCGATTCTCCCATTTCAGCCTCCTAAGTAACTGGGACCACAGGTGCACACCACTATGCCCAGCTAATTTTTTGTATTTTTTGTAAAGATGGGGTTTCACCATGTTGCCCAGGCTGGTCTCAAACTCCTGAGCTCAAGTGATCTTCCCACCTTGGCCTCCCAAAGTGCTGGGATTACAGGAGGGGACTCTGTGCCCAGCCTAAGGGAGTCTTGATTTACAGCCAGTGCATTAGAAGTACAGGTGAAAACCTACTGTTTGCAGATGGCATCTGCAGTAGGGACCATCTTGTGGGACTGAGCCCTTAACCTATGGGATCTGATACTATCTTCAGGTAGATAGCTTCTGAACTGAATTGAATTTAAAAACACCCACCTAAAAAAATAAAAAGACAAAAAAATCAAACAAAAAACCCCACCCAGCTGGTGTCTGCTGGAGAATTACTTGACGTTTGGAAAAGTTCCCATACATCTGGTGTCAGAAATGTTGTGTTAAGGCTGGGCACAGTGGCTCATGCCTGTAATCCCAGCACTTTGGGAGTCTGAGGCTGGCAGATCACCTGAGGTCAGGAGTTCGAGACCAGCCTGGGCAACATGGTGAAACTCCATCTCTACTAAAAATACAAAAGTTAGCTGGGCATGGTGGTGCATACCTGTAGTCCCAGCTACACGGGAGGCCGAGGTAGGCGAATCGTTTGAACCCGGGAGGCAGAAGGTTGCAGTGAGCAGAGATCACGCCATTGCACTACAGCCTGGGTGACAGAATGAGACTCCGTCTCAAAAAAGAAAAAAGAAAAGAAAGGAATGTTGTGTTGAGTGATGTGTGAGCAGAAAAAAAAATTAATTTATGTTTTCTTTTTACTTTTGGTGTCAGAAGTGGGATTTGGACTTGGTGCAGATCTTAAGTGTAATAATACACTATCTCAATGATATTATGATATTGTTGGAAACTGAAGATCAGGCTAGGACTGAGTTGAATGCAGTGGGGACCCACATGACCAACCAAAGCTGGCTAATAGCTGTCCAAATGGTGAAATTCTTAGAATAGGCCAGGCGCCGGTGGTTCAAGCATGTAATCCCAGCACTTTGGGAGGCCGAGGTGGGTGGATCACCTGAGATGAGCAGTTCAAGACCAGCCTGGCCACCATGGTGAAATGCCGTCCCTACTAAAAATACAAAACTTAGCTGGGTACGGTGGCAGGTGCCTGTAATCCCAGCTACTTGGGAGGCTGAGGCAGGAGAATTGCTTGAACTGGGGAGGTGGAGGTTGCAATGAGCCAAGATCACATCACTGCACTCCAGCCTGGGCGACAGAGTAAGACCTTGTCTTAAAATAAAAAAAAAAGAAAAAAGAAATTCTTAGAATAATCTAGGCAGGAGCCACCCAGGATAGTCCACAACTGACTAAAAATAAATTGCTGGCCAGGTGTGGTGGCTCACACCTGTAATCCCAGCACTTTGGGAGGCCGAGGTGGGTGGATCACCTGAGCTCAGGAGTTTGAGATTAACCTGACCAACATGGAGAAATCCCATCTCTACTAAAAATACAAAATTAGCTGGGGGTAGTGGTGCATGCCTGTAATCCCAGTTACTCGAGAGGCTGAGGCAGGAGAATCGCTTGAACCCAGGGGGTGGAGGTTGCAGTGAGCCAAGATCACACCACTGTATTCTAGCCCGTGTGACAGAGCAAGACTCCACCTCAAAAAAAAAAAAAAAAAAAAGAAAGAAAGAAAGAAAAAAAGAAACAGCCGTCGTTACCTAACCCCAGGACCAAACAAGAAACGTCAGTGTTTCTGGAGTCTCCAACAGGACTCAGTCCCAACACCTCTGCTCCCCATGAATTCAGAGAATAGCACTGGGGCTGGAAGGGCCTTCAGTAGGTCCAAGGCCAGCATGCACAAGACCCACTGCCCAGAGAAGAGGGAGATTTGGGTCCTCCAGTGGTCCCCAAGCCAGTTTCTTTGACAGATTGAGGAGGTCCAAGCAAGCTGGTAGCCTCTGTGTCCCCCAGCCTCAGGCCTCAGTGTCTGGCACTCCAGCTTCACAGGCGTTTGCAGTGGGGCATCCTCAGGGAATAAAAAGTTTTGTGAAGACCTGGAGATCTTTTTTCAAAAGCACAATTACAGGTTTTCACACAGACTAGTCTTCATTCATACCTAAAACTCTCATTTCTGGTAGAAAATATGCACCAGTGAAAAACAGGGCATGGGGCTGGGTGTGGTGGCTCATGCCTATAATCCCAGCACTTTGGGAGGCTGAAGCAGGAGGATTGCTTCAGCCCAGGAGTTCAAGACCAGCCTGGGCAACTTAGTGAGTTGCTGTCTCTACAAAAGATAAAAAATTAGCTGGGCATGGTGGTGTGTGCCTATAGTCCCAGCTACTCGGGAGGCTGAGGTGGGAGGATTGATTGAGCCTGAGAGTTTGAGGCTGCAGTGAATCAACATCTCCCCACTGCACTCCACCCTGGGCAACACAGCAAGATTCTTTTTCTAAAGAAAAGTTTAAAAATAAAAATAAATAGTCTGGGCAGGGTGGCTCATGCCTGTAATCCCAGCACTTTGGGAGGTGGAAGTGGGCAGATCACTTGAGGCCAGGAGTTTGAGACCAGGGTGGCCAACATAACAAAACCTCATCTCTACTAAAAATACAAACATTAGCCAGGCCTGTGGCGCACACCTGTAGTCCCAGCTACTCGGTAGGCTGAGGCAGGAGAATCGCTTGAACCCAGGAGGCGGAGGCTGCAGTGAGCTGAGATCGCACCACTGCGCTCCAGCCTGACAACAGAACGAGACTCCGTCTCAAAATAATAATAAATAAATAAATAAATAAATATTTGGTCTTTTGACCCCAGTTCCTGACAGAGTGATGGGAGTGTCTGACATAGAGCTCCTAAATCCCCTAGAGTTTCCTGGGTGATAGGAGCGTCTTTGGTTCTAAAAAGATGACTCTTGGTGGGTTCCTGGGTGGGGACCAACAAGACCAAGCCATCATTAGAAGCTTGGAGCTTTCAGCCCCACCCTCTTTCTCTGGAGACCGGAGAGGGGCTAGGGACTGAGTTAATAATCAATCATGCCTTCATAATGAAGCCCCCATAAAAATCCCCAAAAGATGGGGTTTGAAGAGCTTCCGAGTTGATGAACACATCTGCAGGTTGCAAGGGTGGGGTATCCCACTCTATAGAGACCATTGTGTCTCAAGGCGGGCTGTTTTGTGGGATTGAGCCCTTAACCTGCGGGATCTGATGCTGTGTCCGAGTAGATAGCATCGGAACCAAATTGCATCAGAGGAATCCCAGCTGGTGTCCACTGGAGAATTGCTTACTATGTGGAAAAAATAAAGACAACCCACACATCTGGTGTCAGAAGTGTGGTGTTGAGTGGGATGTGTGTTTTGTTTGTTCCTCTTACATTGTGTTTTGAAATAAAACCAATACTCAGCCGCAAAGCAACCGCATTGGTCACCCTTCTGCAACGATTGTGTTAATGTTTTTCTTGATTTCGTCAAACATGAGAGCCGCAGGGGTCTGCAGATTTTCATAACAAGGCCTCCAGGACAAATTGGCTCTTGAAATTATTTTGTGATTAAAAAGAAAAAAGAAAAGCCAAATTTAAAAAAATAAATTAAAAGAAGATTTAATAAGATTTATATGTATTCAAAAGAAGATTTAGTAAGATTTGTATGTATTCACCAGGAAACATGTTTTATGATTTGTTTTGGAAGGGCAAAAGCAATTTCCACAGTAATGTGAATTTTGTAATCTAATATTCTTTTTTTTTCTTTTTTTAGATTTTTGAGGCAGGGTCTCACTCCCATCACCCAGGCTGAAGTGCAGTAGCATGATCACAACTCACTGCAGCCTCAACTTCCCAGGCTCGGGCGATCCTCCCACCTCAGCCTCCTGTGTAGCTGGGACCACAGGCATGCATCACCATACCAGGCTAATATTTGTATTTTTTGTAGAGATGCAGTTTCACCATGTTGCCCAGGCTGGTCTCAAACTCCTGGGCTCAGATGATCGCCCCACCTCCCAAAGTGGTGGGATTACAGGCGTGAGGCACTGCACCTGGCTCATTTTTCTAAGAAAAAAAAAAATCTTTCTGTCTAGATTTTTTTTTTTCATGTTTGAGGGCTCTGCATTGCTGGGGCAACTGTGGATTTGACCAGCTCCTTGAACAATCCATTGCCAGGTCAGGACTTGGAGAAAGCAACGTGGATGACCCAGAGAGGGGCAGCGACTGGCTGCAGGCCACACAGCAATTTCATCAAGATTCCATCCTTAGGCCAGGAGTGGTGGCTCACGCCTATAATCCCAGCATTTTGGAAGGCCTAGGTGGGCAGATCACTTGAGGTCAGGAGTTCAAGACCAGACTGGCCAACATGGCGAAACCTTGTCTCTACTAAAAATATGAAAATTAGCTGGGTGTGGTGGCGGGTGCCTGTAATCCCAGCTACTCGGGAGGCTGAGGCAGGAGAATCGCTTGAACCCGGGAGACGGAGGTTGCAGTGAGCCAAGAATATGCTACTGCACTCCAGCCTGGGTGACAGAGCAAGAGTCTGTCTCAAAAAAAAAAAAAAAAAAAGATTCCATCTTGGTGGGGTAGGTGGCATGAGGTGAGCTACCTCCTGAGAGCCACCAGTTTTGGGATGATCCTCAATCCCAGCCCGTCTCAGACCTGGCTCTGGGGAGAATAGGATGTAGGGGAGACCTTCCATCCTTGCCGTGCTGTGCCCCAGGTGGGCCTGGAGCCAGCTGCACCTGAAGCTGACACAGCCCTGGGCCTCGGTAGGAGGCAAGTGGAGTCATTCCAGTGGAAACTTACCTGCTTCCTGCCTGGTCTTGTCTTCTGCTCCACCTGGCTTCTTGACAACTCTCCCGCTGTACCAGAAAGAATAGGAATTCAGGGCCTCAGTATTGGCTTAAGCTACAGATACCAAGATCAGCAGGGGAGACAGAGACAAGCCTGTGGACCTGAAGGGGAGGGGCCCCACCTCCCAGCCATTTAGGAGAACATTCAACAGGGCTGCAAGACAGGGCTCAGAGGACGAGGAGGAACAGGAGGCAAGGGCACTGCCTGGGGTGCTGGGGTAGGCAGCAGGGTTGCCCAGAGGAAGAGGAGATTCTGGGAGGAGGCCTCTGGAGCTGCTTGGTTGAAGTCACCCAGTTGACCTTATGCAGAAGTTCCAGGATTCCTATGGGAATCGGCTCAGCTGCAGGGTACTGAGCTGCCAGGAAGAGGTCAGGGCTCTTGGTGCATGCAAAAATGCTGAATAAAACATTAGCAAATTGAGTTCAGCTGTGCTTTAAAAGACACTATACTAGGAGTATGCGGGGTCTTATTCCAAAGAGACAAGGAAAGTTCAGCTTTAGAAAGCTTCATTTATTCAATGAAAAGATAAAAGGAGAAAAATTCCACGTGATTATTTCACCATGGAAAAACTTTAGATAACATTCAGAAACCACTTTCCTTTTTTTTTTTTAAGTTCTTAGAATTTTTCTTAAAAGTTCTGATCACCATTGATGGTGATTAGAAAGGAATCACCTGCATCCTGTTAGATGGTAAAACAGAGCCGGGTGCAGTGGTTCATACATGTAATCCCAGCCCTTTGGGAGGCAGAGGCAGGCAGATCACCTGAGGTCAGGAGTTCGAGACCAGCCTGGCCAACATGGTGAAACCCTGCCTCTACTAAAAACACAAAAATTAGTCAGGCGTGGTGGCATGTGCCTGTAATCCCAGCTACTCAGGAGGCTGAGGCAGGAGAATCACTTGAACCTGGGAGGCAGAGGTTGCAGTGAGCTCAGATTGTGCCATTGCACTCTAGCCTGGGTGACATAGCAAGACTCTGTCCCCACCTCCACACACACACAAAACAAAAAAGATGGTAAAACAGGATGTACAACATATTTAAGAATGAGGCAGGAATGCCTCAAATCATGGCTAATATTTCGTGCTTATGTGGAGGTGCTGGACAATGCAATAAGATAAGAAAAAGAATTGAAACCAGATGATATGACCATTTACAGAAAATAAAAAAGAATAAATTAACAAAATGAATAGAACTGAGGAGGACGCTAAAAGCAAGACCAATATAGATTAACCATGGGGGACTATTTATTTATTTATTGAGACAGAGTCTCGCTCTGTCACCCAGGCTGGAATGCAATAGCATGGTCTCAGCTCACTGCAACTTCCACCTCCTGGGTTCCAGCGATCCTTCTGCCTCAGCCTCCCAAGTAGCTGGGACTACAGATGAGCGCCACCACTCCCAGCTAACTTTTGTATTTTTAGTAGAGACAGGGTTTCACCTTATTGGTCAGGCTGGTCTTGAACTCCTGACCTCTTGATTCACCCGCCTCAGCCTCCCAAAGTGCTGGGATTTCAGGCATGAGCCACTGCACCCAGCCAAATACAGGGGATTTTTAGGGCAGTGAAAATATTCAGTATGATAGGTTGTGATGTTGGATACACATCATTGTGCATTTGTCAAAACCAATAGAATACACAACCCAAGAGTGAACCCTAATGTAAAAGGTAGACTTCAGTAATAATAATGTATTAGGCTGGGTGCGGTGGCTCACACCTGTAATCCCAGCACTTTGGGAGGCCGAGGCAGGTGGATCACCTGAGATCAGGAGTTTGAGACCAGACTGACCAACATGGTGAAACCCCGTCTCTACTAAACACACAAAAAATTAGCAGGGCGTGGTGGCACACACCTGTAATCCTAGCTACTTGGGAGGCTAAGGCAGGAGAATTGCCTGAACTCAGGAGGCAGAGGTTGCAGTGAGCTGAGATCATGCCACTGCACTCCAGCCTGGGTGACAGAGCAAAACTCTGTCTCAAATAATAATAATAATAATAATGTATTAATATTTGTTCATCTATTGTAACAAATATACCACTCTAATGAAAGATATTAATAATAGGGGAAATTGTGGGGGTGAAGGAGAATAGAAGACGTATATGAGAGCTCTCTGAAATTTCTGCTTAATTTTACTATAAACCTAAAATTGCTCTAAAAAATAAAGCCTATTAATTTTTTAAACATCAATAAAATAATTACTTCAAAAAAAGTGTATCCTACTGAGTCTTGGCTGGGCGTGGTGGCTCATGTCTATAATCCCAGCACTTTGGGAGCCTGAGGCAGGAGGATCACAAGGTCAGGAGTTTGAGACCAGCCTGGCCAACATGGTGAAACCCAATCTCTACTAAAGATTAAAAAAAAAAATAGTGCAGGGTGTGGTGGCTCACGCCTGTAATCCCAGCACTTTGGGAGGCCGAGGTGAGCAGATCACCTGAGGTCGGGAGTTTGAGACCAGTCTGACCAACATGGAGAAACCCTGTCTCTACTAAAAAAACATACAAAATTAGCCAGGCATGGTGGAGTGCACCTGTAATCCTAGCTACTTGGGAGGCTGAGGCAGGAGAATCACTTAAACCAGGGAAGTGGAGGTTGCAATGAGCTGAGATTGTGCCATTGCACTCCAGCCTGGACAACAAGAATGAAACTCCATCTCAAAAAAAAAAAAAAAATTAGCTGGGCATGGTGGTGTGCACCTGTAATCCCAGCTACTCAGGAGGATGAGGCAGGAGAATCATTTGAACCTGGGAGGCCAAGGTTGCAGTGAGCTGAGATTGCACCATTGCACTCCAGCCTAGGCGACAGGGTGAGACTCTGTCTCAAAAAGAAAAAAGAGAAAAGAAAAAGTGTATCCTACTGAGTCTCTGCTCAATAAACATCAACACATTTTTTTTTTTTTTGAGACAGAGTCTCACTCTTGTCGCCCAGGTTGGAGTGCAATGGTGCCATCTTGGCTCACTGCAACCTCCACCTCCTGGGTTCAAGCTTCTCTTGCCTCAGCCTCCTGAGTAGCTGGGATTATAGGTGCTCGCCACCATGCCCGGCTAATTTTTGTACTTTTTTAGTAGAGACAGGGTTTCGCCATGTTGGCCAGGCTGGTCTGGAACTCCTGACCTCAGGTGACCCACCTGCCTTGGCCTCCCAAAGTGCTGGGATTACAGGCGTGAGCCACCATGCCCGGCCAACACATATTTTTTTAAGAGACAAGTTTCACTGTTACCTAGGCTAGAGTGCAGTGGCATGGTCATAGCTCCTTGCAGCCTAGAACTCCTGGGCTCAAGCAATCCTTCTGACTCTGCCTCCTGAGTAGCTAGAACTATAGGTACACACCACCCTGCCTGATTAATTTTTTTATTTTTAGAGATGAAGGTCTCACTATATTTTTCAAGCTGGTTTCAAATTCCTGGCCTCAAGTGATCCTCCTGCCTCAGCCTTTGAAAGCCCTGGGATTATAGGCATGAGCCACCAAATCCAGCAATAAACATCAATACTTTATTTATTTTATTTTTTGCTGGGCATGGTGGCTCACGCCTGTAATCCCAGCACTTTGGGAGGCCAAGGGGGGTGGATCACGAGGTCAGGAGATCGAGACCATCCTGGCTAACACGGCAAAACTCTATCTCTACTAAAAATACAAAAAATTAGTTGGGCATAGTGGCAGGCGCCTGTAGTCCCAGCTACTCGGGAGGCTGAGTCAGGAGAATGGCATGAATCTGGGAGATGGAGCTTGCAGTGAGCCGAGATTGCACCACTGCACTCCAGCCTGGGTGACAGAGCGAGACTCCATCTCAAACAAAACAAAACAAAACAGACTTTGACGGAGTTTCACTCTTGTTGCCCAGGCTGGAGTGCAATGGCACGATCTTGGCCCACCGCAACCTCCACCTCCTGGGTTCAAGTGATTGTCCTGCCTCAGCCTCCCGAGTAGCTGGGACTACAGGCATGTGCCACCACACCCGGCTAATTTTGTATTTTTTTTTTTTTTTTTTTTTTTTTTTTAGTAGAGACGGGGTTTCTCCATGTTGGTCAGGCTGGTCTCGAACTCCTGACCTCAGGTAATCTACCCGCTTTGGCCTCCCAATGTGCTGGGATTACATGTGTGAGCTACTGAGCCCGGCAAATATCAATACTTTTAATATATGGGTAAACTGCTTGGCACATATTGTGTGCTCAATAAATGTAAATAATTTCTTTTTTTCTTTCTTTTTGAGAAAAGTGCTCGCTCTGCTGCCCAGGCTGGAGTGTAGTAGCATGATCTTGGCTCACTACAACCTCCGCCTCCTGGGCTCAAGTGGTCCTCCCAAGTAGCTGGGACTATGGGCACAAGCCACCACAGCTGGCTAATTTTTGTATTTTTGTATTACAAGCATGAGCCAGTGTACCTGGCCAATAATTTCAAAATGTTCTTTTCTGGCTATAAAAATGAATCACTTTAAATATTAAAAATAGTCCAGTCGCGATGGCTCACGCCTACAATCCCAGCACTTTGGGAGGTCAAGGAGGGTGGATCACCTGAGGTCAGCAATTTGAGACCAGCCTGGGCAACATGATGAAACCCCATCTCTACTAAAAATACAAAAAATTAGCCGGGTGTGGTGGCGGGCACCTGTAATCTCGGCTACTCGGGAGGCTGAGGCAGGAGAATCACTTTGAACCCAGGAGGCGGAGGTTGCAGTGAGCCGAGATTGCATCATTGCACTTCAGCTGGGGCAGTAAGAGCGAAACTCCATCTCGGGGGAAATAAAAATTTAAATATAGGCTGAGCATGGTCACTCATGCCTGTAATCCCAGCACTTCGGGAGGCCGAGGCAGGCGGATCACGAGGTCAGGAGTTCGAGACCAGCCTGGCCAACATGTCGAAAACCCATCTCTACTACAAAAATTAGCTGGGCGTGGTGGCATGCACCTGTAATCCCAGCTACTTGGGACGGTAAGGCAGGAGAATTGCTTGAACCCAGAGGGCGGAGGTTGCAGTGAGCCAAGATTGTGCCACTGCACTCCAGCCTGGGCAACAGAGCAAGACTCCGTATCGAAAAAATTAAAAAATAATAAATACATATTATGGAAAAGAGAACCCTACATATCCTTTTTGATTCTTTTTTAGTGCAGAATAGTGATCCTCAAGCAAGGATGATTCCACTCTCCTACTCTGCCCCAGGCCTTAGGGAACAATCGCCATGTCTGGAAACAATTTTGATTGTCACAACTGGAGTGGATGGTGGTGCTACTGGCACCTAGAGGGATGAGGCCAGAGATGTTGCTAAACATCCTACAGGCCGGGTGTGGTGGCTCATGTCTGTAATCCCAGTACTTTGGGAGGCCAAGATGAGCGAATCACTTGAGGTCAGGAGTTCGAGACCAGCCTGGCCAACATGGTGAAACCCCATCTCTACTGAAAATACAAAAATTAGCCAGGCGTGGTGGCACATGCCTGTAATCCCAGCTACTGGGGAGGCTGAGGCAGGAGGATTGCTTGAACGTGGGAGGTGGAGGTTGTAGTGAGCCAAGATCACACCACGGCACTCCAACCTGGGTGACAGACCAAGATTCCGTATCCCTCTCTCTCTCTCTATGAAGTTTTAGCCAATGTGACTAGGCATGAAACAGAAATTGAAAATTTCTGCATCCAAACTGGAAAAGAAGGAATAAAATGATCTCTGTTTGCAGATGACATGATCTTATACATAGAGTATCCCAGAAGTTACACACATGTCCACAGAAGCCTGTTAAAATAAGCAAATTGAGCAAATTTGCAGAATACAAAATCAACCCCCAAAAATCGATTTTATTGGCTGGGCACGGTGGCTCACGCCTGTAATCCCAGCACTTTGGAAGGCTGAGACAGGTGGATCATGAGGTCAAGAGTTCAAGACCATCCTGGCCAACATGGGGAAACCCTGTCTCTACTAAAAATACAAAAATTAGCTGGGAATGGTGGCACGCGCCTGTAGTCCCAGCTACTCGGGAGGCTGAGGCAGGAGAATCGCTTGAAACCAGGAGGCGGAAGTTGCAGTGAGCCGAGATCACACCACTGCACTCTAGCCTGGGCCACAGAGCGAGACTCCATCTCAAAAAAAAAAAAAAAATCAATTGTATTTCTACACCACTAACAACGAACAATCTGAAAAGGAAATTAGGCAAACAGGCCAGGCACAGTGGTTCACATCTGTAATCCCAACACTTTGGGAGTCTGAGATGGGAGGATCACTTGAGCCCAGGAGTTCAAGACCAGCCTGGGCAACATAGCAAGACCCCATCTCCACAAAAAATTTTAAGATTAGCCAGGCATGCTGGTGCTTTCTGTAGTCACAGCTACTCAGGACGCTGAGGCTGGAGGATTACTTGAGCCCTGGAGGTTGAAGCTGCAGTGAGCTGTGATCATACCACTGCATCCCAGCCTCTGTGACAGAGACCCTGTCTCTACAACAACAACAACAACAATGAAAAAAGAAACCAATTCCAGTTTGTTGTTGGAGAAAGGAGAAAAACGAAAGCACAAAGAACCTCCACCACTATCACCACCAGCACAACCCTGCAGAAGCCCAGAGGATACCCGGGTCGCCTTCAGCCTCCCCTGCTTCCCACCACTGGCTGCCTGCATTCTTGGACCTGGTCCCACCATCTGTTACAACATGGAGGCTTACCACTAAGTTCCAGGCATGCAGAGACATGCCTCACCCCAGGATGTGAAAAAGGCATATGAGGTCGGGTGTGGTGGCTCTCGCCTATAATCCCAGCACTTTGGGAGGATGACACAGGAAGATCACTTGAGCCCAAGAGTTCGAGACCAGCCTGGGCAACATAGTGGGGCCCCATCTCTACAAAAAATTTTAAAAATTAACCAGGTGTGATGGTGCATGCTTGTAGTCCCAGTTACTTGGAAGGCTGAGGTGGGAGGATAACTTAAACCCAGGGGTTCATGGCTGCAGTGAGTTCGGGCCACTGCACTCTAGCCTGAGAGACAGAGTGAGAATTTGTCTTAAAAAAGTAAAAATAAAAATATGTAGTGTTAAGGCTGGGTGGGGTTTTTTTTGTATGTTTTTTTTTTTTTGAGATGGAGTCTCATTCTATCATCCAGGCTGGAGTGCAATGGTACGATCTCGGCTCACTGTAGTCTCCACCTCCCGGGTTCAAGTGATCCTCCCACCTCAGCCTCCCAAGTAGCTGAGATTATAGGTACCCAGCTAATTTTTATATGTTTAGTAGAGATGGAGCTTCACCATGTCGGCCAGGCTGGTCTTGAATTCTTGGCCTCAAGTGATCCACCTACCTCGGCCTCCCAGAGTGCTAGAATTACAGGCATGAGCCACTGCACCCAGCCAAGGTTAGGTTTTAAAAAGTAAAAATGGTAAACTGTGTCTTGTTATTTGCTTTAGAAAAGAAAAAAAAACCGAAGTGGCACAACTGAGGCTCACTGCAAGATCACAGCTCACTGTAAGAAAAAAATTCCACTTATGGTAGTGTCCAAAAGAATAAAAAACTTAAGAAAAACTTAGCCAAGGGGCCAAAAGACTTGTACACTGAAAACTGCAAATCATCGCTGAAATAAATTAAAGACAAAAATACCAGAAAGACATCCCATGTTCATGAATTAGAAGACTTAATATTGTTAAGATGGCTATAGTACCCAAAGTGATCCGTTGATTCAAAGCAATCCTATCAAAATCTCAATTTTTTTTCAGAAAGAGAAAAATCCATTCTTAAATTCATCTCAAGGAACCTTGAGGTCAAAATTACATAGACAGACATATAGATCAGTAAAAGACATGGAGAGCCCAGAAATAAACCCTTAATATACAGTGAGATGATTTTTGACAAGGATGCCAAGACCATTAAATGGGAAAGGACAAGTGTTTTTCAACAAATTCTGCGGAAAACTGGATATCCACAGCAAAATGATGACGTTGGACCCTGTATTAGTCCATTTTCACGCTACTAATAAAGACATACCTGAGACTGAGAAAAAGAGGTTTAATTGGACTTGCAGGTCCACATGGCTGGGGAGGCCTCAGAATCATGGCAGGAGGCAAAAGGCACTTCTTACATGGCAGTGGCCAGAGAAAATGAGGGAAACACAAAAGCAGAAACCCTTGATAAAACTATCAGATCTCGTGAGACTTACTCACTACCACGAGAACAGTATGGGGGAAACCGCCCCCACGATTCGATTATCTCCCACTAGGTCCCTCCCACAACACATGAGAATTATGGGAGTACAATTCAAGATGAGATTTGGGAGGGGACACAGGGCCAAACTACATCATTCTGCCCCTGGCTCCTGCCAAATCTCATATCCTCACATTTCAAAACCAATCATGTCTTCCCAACAGTCCCCCAATGTCTTAACTCAATTCAGCATTAACTCAAAAGTCCACAGTCCAAAGTCTCATCTGAGACAAGCAAGTTCTTTCTGCCTATAAGCCTGTAAAATCAAAAGCAAGTTAGTTATTTCCTAGATGGAAATGGAAGTACAGACATTGGGTAAATACAGCCATTCAAAATGGGAGAAATTGGCCAAAACAAAGGGCTACAGACCCCATGCAAGTCTGAAATCCGGCGGGGCATTCAAATCCTAAAGCTCCAACATTATCTCCTTTGACTTCATGTCTCACATCCAGGTCATGCTGATGCAAGAGGTGGGTTCCCATGATCTTGGGCAGCTCCGTCCCTGTGACTTTGCAGGGTACGGCGTTCCTCCCAGCTGCTTTCACGGGCTGGTGTTGAGTGTCTGTGGCTTTTCCAGGCATATTGTGCAAGCTGTCGGTGGATCTACCATTCTGGTGTCTGGAGGATGGTGGCCCTCTTCTCACAGCTCCACTAGGCAGTACCCCAGTAGAGACTCTATGTAGGGGCTCTGACCCCATATTTCCCTTCTGCACTGCCCTAGGAGAGGTTTTCCATGAGAGCCCCACCCTTACAGCAAACTTCTGCCTGGGCATCCAGGCATCTCCATACATCTTCTGAAATCTAGGTGGAGGTTCCCAAACCTTGATTCTTGACTTCTGTGCACCCACAGGCTCAATGCCATGTGGGAGCTGCCAAGGCTTGGGGCTTGCACCATCTGAAGCCATGGCCTGAGCTCTGCATTCGCCTTTTTCAGCCATGGCTGGAGCGGCTGGGACACAGGACACCAAGTCCCTAGACTGTACATAGCTTGGGGACCCTGGGCCCAGCCCACAAAACCACTTTTTCCTCCTAGGCCTCCAGCCCTGTGATGGGAGGGGCTG
The DNA here is from genome assembly GCF_000001405.40 of Homo sapiens. Classification (NCBI taxonomy): domain Eukaryota; kingdom Metazoa; phylum Chordata; class Mammalia; order Primates; family Hominidae; genus Homo; species Homo sapiens. The sequence goes on along the minus strand of NC_000019.10, from coordinate 17,900,306 downwards.
CTGTGAGGACCCCTGACATGCCCTGGAGACATTTTCCCCATTGTCTTGGGGATTAACATTCGATTCCTCATTACTTATGCAAATTTCTGCAGTTGGCTTGAATTTCTCCTTAGAAAATGCAATTTTTTTTCTATCACATTGTCAGGCTGCAAATTTTTCAAACTTTTATGCTCTGTTTCCCTTTTAAAACTGAATGCTTTTAACAGCACATAAGTCACCTCTTGAATGCTTTGCTGCTTAGAAACTTCTTCCACCAGATACCCTAAATCATCTCTCTCAAAGTTCAACATTCCACATATCTCTAGGTCAGGGGCAAAATGCTGCCAGTCTCTTTGTTAAAACATAACAACAGTCACCTTTGCTCCAGTTCCCAACATGTTCCTCATCTCCATCTGAGACCACCTCAGCCTGGACCTTATTGTCCATATCACTATCAGCATTTTGGGCAAAGCTATTCAACAAGTCTCTAGGAAGTTCCAAACTTTCCCACATTTTCGTGTCTTTTTCTGAGCCTTCCAAACTGTTCCAACCTCTGCCTGTTACCCAGTTCCAAAGTCACTTCCACATTTTCAGGTATCTTTTCAGCAATGCCCCACTCCCAGTACCAATTTACTGTATTAGTCTGTTTTCACACTGCTAATAAAGACATACCCGAGACAGAGAAAAAGAGGTTTAATTGGACTTGCAGTTCTACACGGCTGGGGAGGCCTCAGAATCATGGCAGGAGGTGAAAAGCACTTCTTACATGGCAGTGGCAAGAGAAAATGAGGAAGATGCAAAAGTGGAAACCCCTGATAAAACCATCAGATCTCGGCCAGACACGGTGGCTCATGCCTGTAATCCTAGCACTTTGGGAGGCTGAGGCAGGCAGATTGCCTGAGCTCAGGAGTTCGAGACCAGCCTGGGCAACACAGTGAAACCCTCTACTCTCTACTAAAATACAAAAAATTAGACGGGCTTGGTGGCAGGCACCTGTAGTCCCAGCTACTTGGGAGGCTGAGGCAGGAGAATTGCTTGAACCCGAGAGGTGGAAGTTGCAGTGAGCTGAGATCATGTCACTGCATTCCAGCCTGGGCAAAAGAGCAAGACTCTGTCTCAAAAAAAAAAACAAAGCAAAACAAACAAACAAACAAAAAACATCAGATCTCGTGAAACTTATTCACTACCACAACTACCGCAAGAACAGTATGGGGGGAACCGCCCCCATGATTCAATTATCTCCCACCAGCTCCCTCCCACAACACGTGGGAATTATGGGAGTACAATTCAAGATGAGATTTGGGTGGGAACACAGAGTTAAACCATATCAGACCCTTACCTCATATACGAAAATTAACCCAAAATGAAACTAAATTTCCCCTTTTTTTGCAGCCAGGTGCAGTGGCTCATGACTGTAATCCCAGCACTTTGGGAGGCTGAGGCAGGCAGATCACTTGAGGTCAGGAGTTCCAGACCAGCCTGATCAACATGGCGAAACCCTATCTCTACTAAAAATACAAAAATTAGCCAGGCATGGTAGTGAGCGCCTGTAATCCCAGCTACTCGGGAGGCTGAGGTATGAGAATCGCTTGAACCCAGGAGGTGGAGGCTGCAGTGAGCTGTGATTGCACCACTGCACTCCAGCCTTTTTTTTTTTTTTTTTTTGAGACAGGGTCTTGCTCTGTCGCCCAGGTTGGAGTGCAGGGGTACAGTCATGGCTCACTGCAGCCTTGATCTCTGGGGCTCGAGGGATCCCCCCACCTCAGCCTTCCAAGTAGCTGGGACTACAGGTGCATGCCACCATGCCCAGCTATTTTTTTTTTTTTCTAGAGACAGGGTTTCTCCATGTTGCCCAGGCCGGCCTCGAACTCCTAGGCTCAAGCGATCCTCCCGCCTCAGCCTCCCTAAGTGCTGGGATTATAAGCATGGGTCACTGTGCCCGGCTTGCAGTTTCTTAAAAAGTCAAACATATATCTACTGTCAGATCCAGCCATTTTACTTCTAGATACCCCAAGAAAAATGAAAATGTTACCCAAGAAAAAGGGGGTTCATTTGCCTAGTAACAAACAACTCTCCAAAAGAACGCAGGTTTTGATCAATAGGGGTTTTATTACTTGTCCCAAGTAAGCAAAGAATCAGGAGTGGGCTTTGCTTTTTTTCCAAAGCAGTGTCCCCAAGAGGGAAAGTGACAGGAGGGTTTTCTGGGGCAATGGAGAGGGGAGAGGGTACATTATTGCACGCATAGAAAGTGTCGCAGTGGCGCAGATACAATGAGCCGTCACGCCAGCACGTAGGTCGCATTGTGAAGGCATTGAGCTGTAGTTCCTCCCAGCGTGGAAACTTTATTGATTGATTGATTGATTGATTGATTGAGACAGAGTCTCACTCTGTTGCCCAGGCTGGAGTGCAGTGGCGCGATCTTGGCTCACTGCAACCTCTGGCTCCCGGGTTCAAGTGATTCTCCTGCCTCAGCCTCCCGAGTAGCTGGAATTATAGACATGTGTCACCACACCCGGCTAATTTTTGTATCTTTAGTACAGATGGGGTTTCCCCATATTGGCCATGTTGGTCTTGAGCTCCTGACCTCAGGTGATCCTCCCTCCTCTGCCTCCCAAAGCGCTGGGATTTCAGGTGTGAGCCACCGCTCCTGGCCTAGGGTGGAAACTTTAGCACGGTAAAAATTAGAGTTCACCAGTCCATCTATAAGTTGCTGAGGTCTGTCATAAACTGGTTCCAGCCAACCAGGTGACCACATTCTACATGGGGTTCTACTTGTTTTTTTTTCTACAAAAAAACAAGCTATGGGGCAGGGGGCTGTAAAACAGGCTCATATGCTCAAGCTGGTTAAATTTCTGTAGTCCAGGCTGAGTGCAGTGGCTCACGCCTGTAATCCCAGCACTTTGGGAGGCCGAGGCTGGTGGATCAATTGAGGTCAGCAGTTCGAGACCAGCCTAGCCAACACGGCAAAACCCTGTCTCTACTAAAAATACAAAAACTAGCTGGCTGTGGTGGTGCATGCCTGTAATCCCAGCTACTAGGGAGGCTGAGGCAGGAAAATCACTTGAGTCTGGGAGGCGGAGGCTGCAGTGAGCTGAGATCATGCCACTGCACTCCAGCCTGGGTGACAGAGCAAGACTCCGCCTCAAAAAAGAAAGAAAGAAAGAAAAAACCATTAAAAAAAGAATTCCTGAATCCCTGGCCAGACGCAGTGGCTCACTGTAATCCCAGCACTTTGGGAGGCCAAGGTGGGCAGATGACTGGAGGTCAGGAGTTGGAGACCAGCCTGGCCAACATGGTGAAACCTTGTCTCTACTAAAAATACAAAATTAGCTGGGCGCAGTGGGCACATGCCTGTAGTCCCAGCTACTCAGGAGGCTGAGGCAGGAGAATCACTTGAACCCAGGAGGCAGAGGTTGCAGTGAGCCTAGATCACGCCATTGCACTCCAGCCTGGGCAACAGAGCAAGACTCCATCTCAAAAAAAAAAAAAAAAAAAAAAAAAAATTCCTGTAGACCTGGAGGCCCTCCCTGTCTGCTTACAAAAGTAGAGATGACTGGCCAGGCGCGGTGGCTCACGCCTGTAATCCCGGCACTTTGGGAGGCTGAGGCACGCGGATCACGAGGTCAGGAGATCAAGACCATCCTGGCTAACATGGTGAAATCCCGTCTCTACTAAAAATGCAAAAAAAATTAGCCGGGCTTGGTGGCAACCGGCGCCTGTAGTCCCAGCTACTCGGGAGGCTGAGGCAGGAGAATGGCGTGAACCCGGGAGGCGGAGCTTGCAGTGAGCCGAGATCGCACCGCTGCACTCCAGCCTGGGGGACAGAGTGGGACTCCGTCTCAAAAAAAACAAAAAAAAAAAAAAAAAAAAAGAAATTTTTCTATAGAGATGGGGTCTCGTTATATTGCCCAGGCTGTTCTCAAACTCCTGGTCTTGAGCAATCCTCCTGCCTTGGTCTCCCAAAGTGTTGGAATTACAGGCGTGAGACACTGTGCCCAGCCTCCATACAAAGACTCGTACATGAATGTTCATAGCAACTTTATTTCTCATAGCCAAAAGTGGCAAACAACCCATACATCAACTGGTGTATAGATAACAAACTATGGTCCTTTTGCACAATGGAATACTACTCCGCAGTAAACGGAATGAATAACGCCGTGGAAGGATCTCTATACTGCAGCCAGATAAGCTTCTTCTGCTCACTTGGGGGAACATTAGCCCATCCCTACCCCGGGCACCTCCTCCCATCTCAGATTTGGGCTCTGTTTTGAGTGAGGACTACACAGAGGTGGAAAATCTGCTTACCACGTTGCTCAGTCATTGATTTGATTTTATATATATATATACACACACACACACACACACACACACATATACATATATATATATTTTTTTGAGACATAGTCTTGCTCTGTCACTCAGGCTGGAATGCAGTGGCGTGATCTCACTGCAACCTCTGCCTCCCAGGTTCAAGCGATTCTCCTGCCTCAGCCTCCCGAGTACCTGGGACTACAGGCGCCCGCCACCACACCCGGCTAATTTTTGTATTTTTAGTAGAGATGGGGTTTCACCATGTTGGCCAGTCTGGTCTTGAACTCTTGACCTCGAGTGATCTGCCCGCCTCAGCCTCCCGAAGTGCTGGGATTACAGGCATGAGACGCCACACCCGTCCAGTCATCGATTTTAAAGTTGTAATGGCCAGTTTTAAGTCCAAATCTAAAGGTGTCCAATCCCAACAGCGGGCACAGAGGACCAGGTCTCCAAGGGGTGGAGAGAAGCGGGATCAGAAGGTGTGTATGAGGCCGGGCGCAGTGGCTCACGCCTATAATCCCAGCACTTTGGGAAGCTGAGGCAGGCAGATCACTTGAGGTCAGGAGTTCGAGATCAGCCTGACCGACATGGTGAAACCCCGTCTCTACTAAAAATACAAAAGTCAGCCGGGAATGGTGGCACATGCCTGTAATCCCAGCTCCTCCAGAGGCTGAGGAAGGAGAATCTGGGAGGCAGAGGTTTCAGTGAGCCAAGATCGCACCACTGCACTCCAGTCTGGGCGACAGAGCGAGACTCTGCCTTAAAAAAAAAAAAAAAAAAAAAAAAAAAAAAAAAGGTGTATGAGCTCCTGTGGCTGCTGTCACAAACCACTATAGGCCTGGTGGCATCAAACAACAGAAATTTATTCTCTGACAGTTCTAGCAGCCAGAAGTCTGACATCAAGGTGTCAGTAGGGCCATGTTCCCTCTAAAGGCTCTAAGAAATAATGCATCTCATGCCCCCCTCCTGATTTCTGGTTGTTGCTGGCAATCCTTGGGTTCTCCGACTCGTAGATGCATTGATCCAACCACTGCCTCTGTCTTCACGTGGCATCTTCCCCATGTGTTTCTCTGCATCTCTTCTCTACTTCATATGAGGAACCAGTCACTGGATTCATCCATCCTCCTCCAGTAATACCTCTTTTAATTTAACCAGTTACACCTGCAAAGACCCTATTTCCAAGTAAGCTCATGTTCTGAGGTTCTGGGTAGACATAAATTTTGGGGGGACACAACCCAATTCGAGAGCCTCCATTGTCAGGTGAGGAGGGGACGCTAGCATGCTCAGGATGATGGGAGCCATGGCAGGTGTGTGGGCCAAGGTTGGAGGCCATGTGGGGTCTGAATCATCCCCTCCCCAATCCCAGGAAGAAAATAAGAAAGAGGTGGGGCGCGGTGGCTCACCCCTGTAATCCCAGCCCTTTGGGAGGCCAAGGCAGGAGGATCACCTGAGATCAGGAGTTTGAGACCAGCCTGGCCAACATGGCAAAACCCCGTCTCTACAAAAATACAAAATTACAAAAATTACCTGGGCGTGGTGGCTTTCTATTATAGATTGAGAAAAACGGTAGGCTGGGCATGGTAGCTTACGCCTGTAACCCAGCACTTTGGGAGGCCGAGGCAGGTGGATCACTTGAGGTCAGGAGTTCGAGACCAGCCTGACCAACATGGTGAAACCCTGTCTCTACTAAAAATACAAAAAGTTGGCTGGGCATGGTGGTGGGCACCTACAATCCCAGCTACTCAAGAGGCTGAGGCAGGAGAATCACTTGAGCCTGGGAGGCAGAGGTTGCAGTGAGCCGAGATCACACCACTGCACTCCAGCCTGGGTGACAGAGCATGACCCTGTCTCAAAAAAAAAAAAAAAAAAAAAAGAGAGAGAGAAAAACCCAGCCTTATTTGGGGGGAGCCGTCAGGGCTGCAGCGTCTAATACTGGGGACGGTTGAAGCAAGGGGCTGGATTTAAAAAATGACCTCCCGGAGGCAGGGCCTCCCCATAGGGTAGGGTATTGTAGTCCTGAACTCATTTGCATACAAGGCAATCCAGCCAATCAGAGCCCAAGGCCATGGGCCCGTTGTCTGGGTTTGGCCCATCCTGAGGTTCCATCCCAGGGTGTCAGTCCCGCGGCTGGCCCTGTCCTCAGAGGTTTGTCTCCTGCTGGTCTCGACCACCATCATGTCCAACACAGGGGGTCCAAGAGCCAGCCCCCTCCAGCTCCTTCTGCCCCAAGAAAAACAGACGATCCTCATTGGTGGGCAGGAAGCCAGGGGGCTTCTTGTTTCCAGTGGGGAGTTCTTCAGGACCCTGGGGAAAAGTGGGAAAAAGAGACCCCATCAGAGACCCTGTCCCCACCCTGTTCCGTGTCAGCTCATCTCCCAGATGGGCTACTGATGACCTGGCGGGACGGGGCGTGCACAGAATTGCATACTATCCCCTTGCTCAGTGCACGGGCCAGTCCTGCCCGCTCTGCCTCCAAAATTTCCATGCGCTTCTCTTCCCCACTCACATGTCACCTACAGCCCAGGCCATCAACGCTTTCTCAGATGCCTGCTATAGTTCCTCCCTCCTTTCTCTGCTTCTCTGCCTGTTCACCTTCAAGAAAATAAATATTTCTGGCCGGGCACGGTGGCTCACCCCTGTAATCCTAGCACTTTGGGAGGCCAAGGTGGGCAGATCACTTGAGCCCAGGAGTTTAAGACCAGCCTGGCCAATATGGCAAAACCCCATCTCTACCAAAAATAAAAAAATTAACCAGACTCGGTGGTGCATGCCTATAATCCCAGCTACTCAGGAGGTTGAAAGATGGGAGAATTTCTCGGACCATGGAGGTTGGGGCTGCAGTGAGCCATGGTCATGCCACTACACTCCAGCCTGGGCAATAGAGTGAGTCCCTATCTCAAAAAAAGGAAAAAAAAAAAAGACAAAAAAGAAAAAAAACACACAAATAAAACAAAGACAACAAAAAAGAAAAATAAAATAATAAAGAACAAAAAAAGAGAGAGAAAGAAAAAAAAGAAAAGAAGAGAAAGGAAAAGAAAAGAGGAAAGAAAGAAAAGATAAACACTTCTCTAGGGCAGCTGGAGGGAGCTTTAAACACCTTCAGGCAAACCCCTCCCCTCCCAATCCCCTTCTCAGTCAAAGCTGTTCCTGTCTGTGGCTGGTTCCTCTTCTCCTAACTCAGGGTCAATCAATGTCACCTCTCCCAAGAGGCCACCCCTGACTTCCCTGGCTAAAGTTGCTCCCCATCACAGCATCCGGTTTTATTATCCTTTGAATATTTATCATGCTGAGACCCTACACGTTTTTCTTTTTAGCTTGCTCTCTCTCTCTCTCTCTCTCTCTCTCTCTCTCTCTCTCTCTCTCTGTCTTTTCTTTCTTTCTGACAGTGTCTGGCTGTTGTTGCCCAGGCTGGAGTGCAATGGCACAATCTCTGCTCTCTGCAACCTCCACCTCCTGAGTTCAATCGATTCTCCTGCCTCAGCCTTCCGAATAGCTGGAATTATAGGCATGCACCACCACACCCGGCTAATTTTTTGTATTTTTAGTAGAGATGGGGTTTCACCATGTTGGCCAGGGTGGTCTCGAACTCCTGACCTCAGGTGATGCACCTGCCTAAGTCTCCCAAAGTGCTGGGATTACAGGGGTGAGCCATCACGCCTGGCTCTTTCCTTTCCTTCCTTCTTTTCCCTCCCTCCCTCCCTTCCTGCTTTCCTATCTTTTTGACGAAGTCTTGCTCTGTCACCCAGGCTGGAATGCAGTGGCGCGATCTCAGCTCACTACAACCTCTACCTCCCGGGTTCAATTGTTCAATTCTTCTGCCTCATTCCACTGAGTAGCTGGGATTACAGGCACACGCCACCATGCCCGGCTAATTTTTGTATTTTTAGTAGAGACAGGGTTTTGCCATGTTCGACAGGCTGGTCTTGAACTCCTGGCCTCAAGCGATCCACCTCAACCTCCCAAAGTGCTGGGATTACAGGCGTGAGCTACCGTGCCCGGCCTGACAGCATCTGGTTGTATTATCTTTTGAATGCTTATCACATACTGAGACAGACCCTACATGTTTCTCTTTTTAGTTTTCACCTGCCCCTGCTAGATGAGGGTGGGGTGGGGGTCTTAGACCATAGCCCAGAGCAGGACTGGGTACACAGCAGGTGCTCAATAAATGAGAGAATGGAACAGGGATTCCAAAACAGGGGTAGGCATGGGATCAGGTCCCCCAGGGACAGCATTTTCCAAACTCTGGGAATTCACAAAGCAACCACGCGGTTTTAGCCAAAATCGGTTTACCATCTGTTGTGTTTCTTATGTAAGATTTTTTCCCCAAGTTGACTCACTTTTGAATTAAGTAATTTTATTTTAAGAAGAGACTTTACATCAATACCCTAACAGCACACCAGTTTCACCTGCCAAAGATTGGAAGTCACTGTAAAAACAGATAACGACAAAAAGGAATAGTATTCAACTTTGTTCAGTCCTTATGAAGGGAGATAACAAAAACTTGAAGATGAGGCTGGGCTCGGTGGCTCATGCCTGTCATCCCAGCACTTTGGGGGTCTAAGGTGGGTGGATCATTTGAGGTCAGGAGTTCGAGACCAGCCTGGGCAACATGGTGAAACCCCATCTCTACTAAAAACATAAAAATTAGCTGGGTGCGGTGGCATGCGCCTGTAGTAGCAACTACTCAGGAGGCTGAGGCAGGAGAATCGCTTGAACTCGGGATGTGGAGGTTGCAGTGAGCCGAGATTGCACCACTGCACTCCAGCCTGGGCAACAGAGCGAGACTCTGTCTCAAAAAACAAACAAACAAAAAGGAATAGTATTAAACTCTGTTCAGTCCTTGTGAAGGGAGATAAAAACTGTTGAGGATGAATCAGCTCCCAATAGAGTCTTTTGACTGGAGATAATGAGCGATGGAGAAAGGTGCTGATATACCATGTCCCTCCCCTGAGCTGTGGTCACGTCCTAAAGTCACTTGGCTGCCTCTAGATCTGGGAACCCAGCCTAAGACTGACCTTGACCAAGTTGTCATCCAGGATGGCCACTTCTTCCTTGGGGGCCACTGATGCTGTCTGCCGTGCGAGGTCCCACCACAACAATCCCGGGGCCAGGGTGCTGCGCTTGGTGGGGCCTGAGAGGCGGGGAGAAATGGAGAAATCCAGGCATTCAGTGAAGGGGTCATGGGGGTTGGAGACCAGGTCCTGGGAAGGAGAAAGGAGATCCCTGGTCTATGAAGTCTAACAGGCTCCAGTCCCACTAAGGGACCCTGGCAAGCCTCTGAGCCTCAGTTTCCTCATCTACACAGTGAAGTTGTAATAAAACATCAGTGAGGCCAGGTATGGTGGCTCATAATTGCACTTTGGGAGTCTAAGGCAATAGGATTGCTTAGAGTTGCCCAGTAGTTGGAGACCAGCCTAGGCAACATAGCAAGAACCCATCTCTACAAAATATTAAAAAATTAGCCAGGCATGGTGGTGTGTGCCTCTAGTCTCAGCTACTTGGGAGGCTGAGGCAGGAGGATTGCTTGAGCCCAAGAGGTCGAGGCTGCAGTGAGCCGTCATTGTGCCACTGCACTCCAGCTTGGTGACAGAGTGAGACCCTGTTTCTAAAACAAAACAAAACAAAACAAAACAAAAACATCATTGGAGGTTGGGCACGGTGGCTCACGCCTGTAGTCCCAGCACTTTGGAAGACCAAGGCAGGGGATCACTTGACGTCAGGAGTTCGAGACTAGTCTGGCCAACATGGCGAAACCCCATTTCTACTAAAAATACAAAAATTAGCCAGGCGTGGGGGTGGGCGCTTGTAATCCCAGCTACTCGGGAGGCTGAGGTAAGAGAATTGCTTGAACCCGGGAGTCAGAGGTTGCAGTGAGCCAACATCGCACCATTGCACTCCAGCCTGGGCGACCAGAGTGAAACTCCATCTCAAAAAAACAAAACAAAACAAAACAAAGACATTAATGGATGGCTGGGAGGGTCCAGCACACGGTTCCATTCACTGCTGCATCCCCAGTGCCTAAAATAGCGTCCAGCACAGAGGAGGACTCGATAAAGGCCTGATGACTGTGAAGTCTGAGACTCAAGAAGTGTGAGCAGGTACTGTTATCACTACTGACTTTCCCCTCTTTGTCTCCTTCTACTTTTCCGTGGAATTTAGAATTCCCTAACAAGTGCGGAGTCACCGGCAGCTTTAGAAGATATTTCAGCACCAGGGATAGCGCCGCCCGCCCCAACCCATATCCTCTACTGAGGACTTAATCTTGTTGGGGAGAGGAGTTGCAGGCAATGCCTCCGTTTCTGCCTCTGCAAAATAGGGCAAGCTCTGAGAGGTGCAGGGTTGTCAAGAAAGCAACATAGCTTTAAAGGGTGTAAATGTGAGCCGGGCACGTTGGCGCGCACCTGTAGTCTCAGCTACTCGGGAGGATGAGGTGGGAGGATTGCTTTCAGCTCAGGAGTTCAAGGTTGCAGTGAGCCATGATTGTGCCACTGCACTCCAGTCTGGGTAACAGTGAGACCTGTCTCTTTTCTTTCTCTCTCTCTTTCTCTCCTTCTCTCTCTCTCTCTTTCTCTTTCCTTCCTTCCTTCCTTCCTTCCTTCCTTCTTTCTTTCTTTCTTTTAGATGGAGTCTCACTCTCTTGCCCAGGCTGGAGTGCAGTGACGCAATCTTGGCTCACTGCAACCTCCATCTCCCAGGATCAAGCGATTCCCTTACCTCAGCCTCCCAAGTAGCTGGCATTACAGGCGCCTGCCACCATGCCCAGCTAATTTTTTTGTATTTTTAGTAGAGACGGGGTTTCACCATGTTGGCCGGGCTGGTCTTGAACTCCTGACCTCAGGTGATCCACCCGCCTCGGCCTCCCAAAGTGCTGGGATAACAGGCATGAGCCACTACGCCCAGTCGACCCCGTCCCTTTAAAAGAAACTATATATATATACACTTTCTTTTATGTATATATATAGTCATAATTTTTATATATATTCATAATTTCTTTTATGTATATATACACATAAAAGTGTGTATGTATGTGTATATATACACACACACTTCTTTTTTCCTCACAAACTTTTTTTTTCCTTTTAAAAAAATAGGTACAGCCCAGGTGCAGTGGCTCACACCTATAATCCCAGAACTTTGCGAGGCCGAGGTGGGCGGATCACTTGAGCCCAGGAGTTCGAGACACATGGCGAAACTCCGTCTCTACTAAAAATGCAAAATTAGCCAAGCATGGCGGCACACACTTGTAATCCCAGCTACTCGGGAGGCTGTGACATGAGAATCGCTTGAATCTGGGAGGTGGAGGTTGCAATGAACTGAGATCACACCACTGCACTCCAGCCTGGGTGACAGAGTGAGACTCTATCTCAAAAATGATGATGATGATGATGATGATGATGATAATAATAATAATAATAATAATAATAATAAGGTACAAATGTGTACAGCACACAGTGGCAGTTTGGCCAATGGGAGCGTCCTTTCTCCCCTCCCTGCTGGGTGGAGCCTTGAGGCAGAGAGATGAATGGGATGACCTCTGAGGCCACATGCTCTGTTTACCTACCTGTCAGGCAGCTGATGAGGGCTCCGCACAGCACAGTGGTCAGCGTGCCCAGGGCACCGTAATAGAGATAGGAGATGGCATAGAAGCTGTCAGCTAAGGCGGGTCGGCTGGCGTCCATTCCTGAGCTGCAGGTTGGGAGAGACAGACTTGAACCTCCTCTTTTATCCCCTGCCTGCACTCAAAAGCTGTTCCAACCTCACCCCCTGCTTCCTTCCCCCAACTGCCATGGCCTAGCACAGACCTCCATTACTGTCTGCCCAGATCTGTGCAGTAGCCAATGTTCCTTCCCTCCAGGTATCCCATCCCCACCCTAGACGTCCTCCACACACAGCCAAAGGGCACATTACTAAAATGTAACTCAGATCACCTGCTGCTGCCCGTCACCCTCTGTGGCTCCCTGTCACCCTCAAAATCAAACCAAATTAAACTCTCAGAAGAAAACATAGGTGGGAATCTTCGTGACTGCAATTGTTTCTTAGATATGACGCCAAAAGCAAAAGCCACCAAAGAAAAAAATAAATCAATTGGACTTCATCAAAAATTAAAAACTGGCTGGGCGTGGTGGCTCACACCTGTAATCCTAGCACTTTGGGAGGCCAAGGCGGGTGGATCACGAGGTCAGGAGATCGAGACCATCCTGGCTAACATGGTGAAACCCTGTCTCTACTAAAAATAAAAAAATAATAAAAAATTAGCCAGGCCTGATGGCGGGTGCCAGTAGTCCCAGCTACTCGAGAGGCTGAGGCAGGAGAATGGCATGAACCCGGGAGGTGGAGCTTGCAGTGAGCCGAGATCACACCATTGCACTCCAGCCTGGGCAACAGAGCGAGACTCCATCTCAAAAAAAAAAAAAAAAAATTAAAAACTTCTGGCCAGGCATGTTGGCTCATGCCTGTAATCCTAGCACTTTGGGAGGCTGAGGCAGGCTGAGGTCAGGAGTTGAAACCAGGCTGGCTAACATGGTGAAACCCCATCTCTACTAAAAATATAAAAATTAGCCTGGCATAGTGGTGTGCACCTGTAGTCACAGCTACTCACGAGGCTGAGGTGGGAGAATCCCTTGAACCTGGGAGGTGGAGGTTGCAGTGAGCTGAAATCGCACCACTGCACTCCAGCCTGGGTGACAGAGTTAGACTCCATCCGCCCACCAAAAAAAAGAATTAAAAACTTCTGTGCATCAAAGGATTCTATCGAGAGAATGAAGACAACCTACAGAATGGGAGAAAATATCACATGCAAATTATACATCTGATCAGGGGCTTGTACCCAGAATACATAAAGATATAAAAATATGTAAATTATAACTCAACAATAAAAAGACAAATCACCCAATTTAAAAATGGGCAAAGGGTGTTTTTTTGTTTGTTTGTTTTTTAATTTGAGGCAGGGTCTTGCTCTGTTGCCTAGGATGGAGTGCAGTGGTGGGATCATGCTTCACTGCAGCCTTGGCCCCCCAGGCTCAAGCGATCCTCTTTGCCTCAGCCTCCCAAGGAGCTGGGACTACAAGTGTGCACCACCATGCCCAGCTAATTTTTTCATTTTTATTTTTATAGAGATAGGGTCTTTCTATGTTACCCAGGCTGGATGGGCAAAGGGTTTGAATAGACATTTCTCCAAAGAAGATGCACAAATGGCCAATGAAAAGAAAGATGCTCAACATCATTATTCATCAGGGAAATGCAAATCAAAACCACAGTGAGGTATCACTTCACACCCACTAGGATGGAGAATAATGAGTATTGGCGAGGACGTGGAGAAGTTAGAATCCTCATATGTTGCTGGTCGGAATGTAAAATGATGTGGCCGCTGTGGAAAACAGTCTGGTAGTTCCTCAAAAAGTTAAACATAGGCCGGGCGTGGTGGCTCAGGCCTGTAATCCTAACACCCTGGGAGGCCAAGGCAGGCGGATCATCTGAGGTCAGGGGTTTGAGACCACCCTGACCAACATGGTGAAACCCCTTCTCTACTAAAAATATAAAAATTAGCCAGGCGTGGTGGCATATGCCTGTAGTCCCAGCTACTCGGGAGGCTGAAGCGGGAGAATCGCTTGAACCCAGGAGGCGGAGGTTGCAGTGAGTGGAGATCACACCACTGCACTCCAGCCTGGGCGACAGAGCAAGACTCCATCTAAAAAAAAAAAAAAAAAGTTAAAGAATTACCATATGATCCAGCAATTCCACTCATAGGTATATACCTAGAGAAATTAAAACATATGTCCATACCAAAACTTGTTCACAAATGTTTTTGGTTTTGTTTGTTTTTGGTGGAGTCTCACTCTGTTACCCAGACTGGAGTGCAGTGGCTCCACTGTACTCTGCTGTAATCCCAGTACTTTGAAAGGCCAAGATGTGTGGATCTCCTGAGGTCAGGAGTTCAAGACCAGCCTGATCAATATGGTGAAACCCCATCTTTACTAAAAATACAAAAATTACCCAAGCGTGGTGGCATATGCCTGTGACCCCAGCTACTCAGGAGGCCGAGACAGGAGAATTGCTTGAACCTGGGAGGCAGAGGTTGCAGTGAGCTGGGATCACGCCACTGCACTCCAGCCTGGGCGACAAAGTGAAACCCCGTCTCAAAAAATATATATGTATTATGCTAAGACACAAAAGATCACATATTTTATGATTCCATTTACATGAAATGCCCAGAACAGGCAAATTCATAGAAACAGAAAGTGGATTCGTGCTTGCCAGGAGCTGGGGAGAGGGGGAAGTGGGAAGTGACTGCTGATGGGGACAGGGCTTCTTTCTGGGGTGATAAAAATGTTCTTATGACCAGGAACAGTGCCTCACACCTGTAATCCCAGCACTTTGGGAGTCAGAGGCAGGCAGATCACTTGAGCCCAATACTTTGAGACCAGCCTGGGCAACATGGCAAAAACTCGTCTCTATAAAAAATACAAAAAATTTAGCCCAGCATGGTGATACATGCCTATAGTCCCAGCTACTTGGGAGGCTGAGGCAGGAGGATCATCGGAGTCTGGAGGTCAATGGTGCAGTGAGCTGTGATTGTGCCATTGCACTCCAGCCTGGGTGTTAGAGTGAGACCCTGTCTCCAAAAAATCAAATAAACAAAAAGCAAAAAAACCCACCCAAAAAACCAAAATAAATAAATAAATAAATAAACAAAACAGAAAATGTTCTTGGTTGGCTGGGTGCCCACACCTGTCATCCTGGCACTTTGCAAGGCTGAGGTGGGCAGATCGCTTGAGCCCAGGAATTCCAGACCAGCCTGGGCAACATAGCCAGACCCTGTCTCTACAAAAAATAAAAATAAAAACAAGCAGGACATGATGGTGTGCACCTGTGGTCCCAGCAACTAGGGGGGCTGAGGTAGGAAGATTCCTTGAGCCCAGGAGGTTGAGGCAGCAGTGAGCTATGATCGTGCCACTGGACTCCAGCCTGGGCAACAGAGCAAGACCCTGCTCCAAAAAAAAAAAAAAATAGAAAATGTTTTTGGGGCCAGGCACAGTGGCTCACACCTGTAATCCCAGCATTTTGGGAGGCTGAGGTGGGCGGATCACCTGAGGTCAGGAGTTCAAGATCAGCCTGGCCAACATGGTGAAACCCCATCTGTACTAAAAATACAAAATTAGAAAAAAAAAAGAGGAAACGTTCTTGACTTAGATAGTGGTGATGGTTGCACAAATATACTAAATGCCACTTTAATTTATTTATTTGAGTTGGAGTTTCATTTTTGTTGCCCAGGCTGGAATACAGTGGTGCGATCTCAGCTCACTGCAACCTCCACCTCCTGGGTTCAAGCGATTCTCCTGTCTCAGCCTCCCGAGTAGCTGGGATTACAGGCACCTGCCACCACGCTTGGCTAAGTTTTGTATTTTTAGTAGAGACGGGGGTTTCCCCATGTTGATCAAGCTGGTCTTGAACTCCTGACCTCAGGTGATCCACCTGCCTCAGCCTCCCAAAGTGCTGGGATTACAGGTGTGAGCCACTGTGCCTGCCTGGCCTAAATGCCACTTTTAAATGGCTAATTTATCTCAATAAAAAATAGAACCAAACCAAATTCTGGGCCTCCCTCAAGCTGGGAGGATTGCTTGAGCCTGAGAGGTTGAAGCTGCAGTAAGCTGAGATTGCACCCCTGCATTCCAGCCTGGACCACAGAGCGAGGCTCTGTCTCAGAAAAACAAAACAAAAAAAGTACTAGCTTCCTCTGGCTGCACCATATCTCCCACCCATCTCTCCTCCCATTAAATGCACCCTAACCTCAGTGCAGTTGGACTGGGACTAACCCGATTGTGGCCTCAGGGCCTTTGCACCTACCGTTCCCTCCCCCAGGAATGCATTTTACTAATCAGGCTTCTTACACAGAGTGCAGGGCAAGTAAGTTTCCCTTCAAGATCACACCATCCAGGGCTCGGGTACCCCCCTACCCTCAAGTCTGCTCACCTGGGGGCCCTGCTGGAGTCGTTAGCAGGGAGGAGAGCCGGGTCCAGGAGGCCAGAGGCGTTGACTGAGAGAGCCACGCAGCGGGCAGCCGACGATGGCAGGACCCTCATGGTCTGCTCGCTGGGTGGGTACAGCGTGGCGCCCAAGGCCACCCACAGCGACAGCGCCAAGCCCGCGCCTAGTCCCGCGAGGACGCCCTGGGGGCAGAGCCGGCGTCAGGGAAGGGGAGGGGCCTGTCCGGCCCCGCCCCTCCCCGCCCCTTGCCCCGCCCCCACTCACCGGTGTGTTGCAGGCCGGCAGGAACATTCCCAAGATGAAGGCTCCCAGCAGGGGGCCGCTGATGACTCCCATGACGGTGAAGGAGCCCTGGGAGAGTAGGTGGAAGTGGGGCTGAGGGCGGAGCCCTCCCACCGCTCTGGGCCTCAGTTTACCCGCTGGGAAAGCGAGACCTCAGGAACTCCAATGTGGGTCTCAAGGACTCCTCTGTGTCTCAGTTTCCCTAAAGGGGAGAGGACCCCCCCCCCTTGTTCCTGCCTATCTCCCTTGGGTTGGAGGCAAAGACACTGATTATCTCTTGGGGGTGGCAGTCCCACCCTCAAGCCAGGGAGACCCTTTCTTCTTCTTTTTTTTTTTTAGACAGAGTCTCACTTTGCTGTCCAGGTTGGAGTGCAGTGGCGCGATCTTGGCTCACTGCAACCTCCATAGGGAGGCCCTTTCTGTCGCCACCTCCCCCTTCCCAATTCCCCCACCCCAAGCCAGCCAGCTGCAAAAAAGTCCCCTGATGGCCTCTGGCATCAAATAGAACTTAGTTCTTAATCTCAGCGACTTGGAAGGCTGAGGCGGGTGGTTGCTTGAGGCCAGGAGTTCAAGACAAGCCTAGGCACGAAGCGAGACCCTGTCTCTAAAAACAAGTTTTAAAATTAGCCAGGCCAGGCGTGGTGGCTCACACCTGTAATCCCAACACTTTGGGAGGCAGAGGCGGGTGGATCACTTGAGGTCAGGAGTTCGAGACCAGACTGGCCAACATGGTGAAGTCCCATCTCTAATAAAAATACAAAAATATAAGCTGGGCGCGGTGGCTCACGCCTGTAATCCCAGCACTTTGGGAGGCCGAGGAGGGCGGATCACGAGGTCAGGAGATCGAGACCATCCTGGCTAACACGGTGAAACCCCATCTCTACTAAAAATACAAAAAATTAGTCAGGCGTGGTGGCGGGCGCTTGTAGTCCCAGCTACTCGGGAGGCTGAGGCAGGAGAATGGCGTGAACCCAGGAGGCTGAGCTTGCAGTGAGCCAAGATGGTGCCACTGCACTCCAGCCTGGGCAACAGAGCGAGACTCCGTCTCAAGAAAAAAAAATACAAAAATATTAGACGGGCATGGTGGCATGCACCTGTAATCCCAGCTACTCTGGAGGCTGAGGCAGAATTCCTTGAACCCAGGGGGTGGAGGTTGCAGCGAGCTGAGATCATGCCACTGCACTCCAGCCTGGGCAACAGAGTGACACTCCACCTCAAAAAAAAAAAAAAAAGAAAAAAGAAAAAAATTAGCCAGGCATGGTGGCACACACCTGTAACTCCAGCTACTTGGGAGATTGAGGTGGAAGGATGGCTTGAACCCAGGAGCTGGAGGTTGCAGTGAGCTATGATCGGGCCTCTGCTCACCAACCTGGGACAACACAGTGAGACCCCATCTCAAAAAAAAAAAAAACATAGAAGTGAGTTCTGCCACTGACACATGTGACCTCTCTGAGCCTCAGTTTAATGGGAAAGAGGGAAAGGTGCCCCCACCTCTCAGGAGACCAGGGCAGGGGGCAGGTGGGGTCTCACCTGAAGGACACCTCCTCCGAGCAGTGAGGACAGGGCTGCCACGGTGAGACAGGCCGATCCGTAGATGAGTGCTGTAGTGGATGAGGATGGCACGGTCAACGGGGAGGGACTGCCCTGGCCTCCCACCCAGGTCTCCCTGAAACTCACAGAGCCCCTTGGAGATAATCACGAGTTTCCTGGGTGCCAGGCTCCGCAGCCGAGGTTTGATGAGGTCTTCTACAGTGACTGCAGCCATAGCATTGATGCTGGTGGATGCTGTGCTGTGTGAGGAAGGCAGCGGGGGGTCCTCAGGCCATATGGAGAGACCGTCCACACCATCTGGCCTGCCAGACCTCACCCAGCCTGAGGGCAACGGTGGGGGTAACCCAGTCCTGCAAAGGTGAAGGAGATATTTGCCCCTCCCCTCCCCGAAGACCTGAGACATCCCTACAGGAGCAAGGACACCTGTGACCAAGGGCAGGTGGGACAGACAGGTGGGTTCTGGTTCCAGAGGGACTGCAGTCACATGTGGGAGATTTGCAAAAGGGACAGTGAGGGCATGTGACCAGAAGTCCCGGAAGAGTGGAAACCACCTGAGTGTGTGGCCTTGGAAGGCAGAAGCAGGGGACTGCTTGGTCATGGCTGTGCCCCAGGGTTTAGAACAACAGTACCTGGGCTGAGCACGTTGGCTCATGCCTGCAATCTCAGCACTTTGCGAGGCCAAAGCATGCAGATCACCTGAGGTCAGGAGTTCAAGACCAGCCTGGCCAACATGGCGAAACCCCGTCTCTACTAAAAATACAAAAATTAGCCGGCTGTGGTGGCGTGGACCTGTAATCCCAGCTACTTGGGAGGCTGAGGCAGGAGAATTGCTTGAACCCAGGAGGTGGAGGTTGCAGTGAGCCGAGATGGCACCACTGCACTCCAGCCTGGGTGACAGAGCAAGACTCCATCCGGAAAAAAAACAAAAAAAAACAGTACCTGCCACATAGTAGATGTTCAACAAATATTTGTCTGGGGAGGAAGGAAGGAAAGAAGGAAGAAGAAGAGAGGAGAGTCAGGCGTGGCCCTGACAGGTGATAAGAAGGTAAACCCTTGCAGTTGGGGTCCCTGTGCCCAGGGCATGCTCTCTGCCAGCGCCTACCTGAGCTGTCTTCTAGGGATCAAGCAGGAACTGGGACTGATGGACAGGTCCAGAACATTCCATGCCCCAGAGGGATGGCAGGCCAGGATAAGGAGGCTCCCAGGGGCTGAAATAATGCTCCATGAACAAGCAGGGGTGCTCACCTGAGGGTGCCACTGTAAGCACAGGCCAGGAAAAGCCCGGGGACTCCAGGCAGATCTTCGAAGATGTCCAGCACCAGCAGAGGCATGTACTGGGGAGAACTGGGGGTCAGCCTCCCAGACAGCTGCACCCCGAGGACCGGGGCATCTATCTGTCCTGATGCTGCACGTCCCCAGCACCCAAGACGGACAGGGCTCAGAGTCGGCATTTAATATGCATTTAGTTTTTGTCTGTGGTTTTGTTTTGTTTTGTTTTGTTTTGAGAAAAGATCTTGCTCTGTTGCCCAGGCGGGAGTGCAGTCCCATGAATGTGGCTCACTGCAGCCTAGAACTCCTGGGCTCAAGCGATCTTCCTGCTTCAGTCCCCCAGTAGCTGAGACCACAGGTGTGCGCCACCATGCCTGGCTAATTTTTTTAAATTTTTGTGTAAAGATAGGGGTCTGGCCGGGCAGGGTGACTCACGCGTGTAATCCCAACACTTCGGGAGGCCGAGGCGGGTGGATCACTTGAGCTCAGAAGTTCAAGACCAGCCTGGCCAACATGGTGAAACCTCATCTCTACCCAAAATACATAAATTAGCTGGGTGTGGTGGTTGGCACCTGGAGTCCCAGCTACTTGGGAGGCTGAGGCAGAGGAATTGCCTGAATCTGAGAGGTAGAGGTTGCAGCGAGCGGAGATCGCGCCGTTGCACTCCAGCCTGCACAACAGAGCCAAACTCTGTCTCAAAAAAAAAAAAAAAGAAAGAAAAGAAAGAAAGGCCGGGCACAGTGGCTCATGCCTGTAATCCCAGCACATTCAGAGGCTGAGGCAGGTGGATCACCTGAGGTCAGGAGTTTGAGACCAGCCTGGCCAACATGGCAAAACCCCACCCCTACAAAAAATACAAAAAAATTAGCTGGGCATGGTGGCGCATGCCTGTCATCCCAGCTACTCGGGGGCTGAGGCAAGAGAATGGCTTGATCCTGGGAGCCAGAGGTTGCAGTGAGCTGAGGTTGCGCCACTGCACTCCAGCCTGGGCAACAGAGTGAGACTCTGGCTCAAAAAAAAAAAAATTGTGTAAAGATGGGGTCTCCCTATGTTCCTCAGGCTATAATGTGCATTTGTTGATCAACTGCATGAACCTGAGAATTGTCCCTGAGCCCCACTGTGTTCTGAGCCCTGGGATCCCTGTGAAGCAGGGACCCGTGTCATCCTCATTTTATTGATGAAGACTGTGAGGCAGAGAGTACAGTCCCTCCCTGAAGTTACACAGTCCAGCAGTCCCGGATCTGACCTCCAGGGAGGACTGCAGATGGGGTGGTCCCCCGTACCCTCTGCTAACTCTGAACCCCATGGTCAGAACTCTACTTGGGGTGTGACCTAGGCATGGGTCCTGGCACCGCCCCCCGACTTGCCCATTGACCTCAGGCAGTGACTTCCCCCCGAGCCTCAATTTCCTCATCTGTAAAGTTGGAGCCGTGACTGCCCTGCCTTTCTCAGAAGAAAGATTAGATGGAGAACTAACTGCTGGTGAAGGGAACAGCATGAGGCACAGAGTGGACGCTTGGGACATGGGAGACCAGAGCTGTCATTATTATTATCACCAACATGATTAGTTCCCGCTGGATTACAGTTTTTGTTTTTGTTTTTGTGGGTTTGTTTTGTTTTGTTTTTATTTTTGTTTGAGACGGAGTTTCTCTCTTGTTGCCCAGGCTGGAGTGCAATGGCGCCATCTCAGCTCACCGCAACCTCCGCCTCCCAGGTTTAAGCTATTCTCCTGCCTCAGCCTCCCGAGTAGCTGGGATTACAGGCATGCACCACCACACCCGGCTAATTTTGTATTTTTCAGTAGGGACGGGGTTTTTCCATGTTGGTCAGGATGGTCTTCAACTCATGACCTCAGGTGATACCCCTGCCTCAGCCTCCAAAAGTGCTGAGATTATAGGCGTAAGCCACCGCGCCCAGCCTTGTTTTGGTTTTTTTTTTTTGTTTTTTTTTTTTTTGAGATGGAGTCTCTCTCTGTCACCCAGGCTGGAGTGCAATGGCGCGATCTCTGCTCACTGCAACCTCCACCTCCCGGGTTCAAGCTATTCTCCTGCCTCAGCCTCCCGAGTAGCTGGGATTACAGGCATGCATCACCAGGCCTAGGTAATTTTTGTATTTTTAGTGGAGGGGGGTTTCACCATGTTGGCCAGGTTGGTTTCGAACTTCTAACCTCAAGTGATCTGCCTGTCTCGGCCTCCAAAAGTGCTGGGATTACAGGCGTGAGCCAACATGCCCGGCCTGGGTCATGGTTTCATCTCCTCCTGAGCATCTCCCAGGGGATCTTTGGAACTCTCTGGAACTCTAGATCTGAATGTGGCCCTTGTCTGCTCACACCTACTGAGGGCGGTCCATTGCCTCCCAGACTCACCTTTCCCATTCCTTGCAGATCCTCCTCTGAACTCTTTATTTTATTTTATTTTATTTTTTTGAGACAGAGTCTCACTCTGTCATCCAAGGTGGAGTGTAGTGGTGCGATCTCCCTTCATCGCAACCTCCGCCTCCCGGGTTCAAGAGATTCTCCTGCCTCAGCCTCCTGAGTAGCCGGGACTACAGGTGCGTGCCACCACGTCCAGCTAATTTTTATATTTTTAGTAGAGACAGGGTTTCACCATGTTAGCCAGACTGGTCTCAAACTCCTGACCTCAGGTGATCCACCCGCCTCAGCCTCCCAAAGTGCTGGGATACAGGCATGAGCCGCCGCACCTGGCCTCCTCTCAGCTCTTTCCTACTTCTTGGCCTTTGCACAGGCCATTCCCTCTGCTAGGAATGCTCTTCGACCTCAATCCCACCAAGCTAGTGAGGGAGTGCAGAGCCAACCAGGAGCCTGGGTGGGACTCACCTGGTCTGGGGCAGAGATGCGCCCCAGGAGGAGAGGGTCGCAGTCAGTGTAGAACACAAACATGACGATGCCACAGCAGGCAGCGCTGGACACGATCAGGAACAGGCCGACCTGGTTGATGAGCAGGGCCCTGGGGGAAGAGGCAGCCTCAGGCTTAGGGGATAGCCTCAGGCTGGTGGAGGGGGGCAGCATGTCCCAGAAACCCCGACCTTGCTCCCCGAAACACTCACAGCTTGGCCTGCTTCTCTGTGCGGCAAGCCACGTAGCGCTGCACCTGCGCCTGGTTCACGCCATACATGGAGAGCCACACCAACGTGCCACCCACCACAAAAGTCCAGAATGTATAGCGGCTCCTCGGGTCAGGGTTAAAGCTGGGTGGGGACAGGGCAAGTTAGCCACGTGGAGATGTCACGCTGACTTCACCCTCCCAAGGGCCCCAGACAGCGCTTCTGGACCTTATAGGGGACATTTGGAGTGGGTTTTGTTGGCCAGGCGCAGTGGCTCATGCCTGTAATCCCAGCACTTTGGGAGGCCAAGGCGGATGGATCACCTGAGGTCACAGTTCAAGGCCAGCCTGGCCAACATGGTGAAACCCCATCTCTATAAAAATACAAAAATTAGCTGGGAATAATGGCGGGTGCCTCTAATCCCAGCTACTTGGGAGGCTGAGGCAGGAGAATCACTTCAACCCAGGAGGCGGAGGTTGCAGTGAGCTGAGATCGTGCCATTGCACTCCAGCCTGGGTGACAGAGCGAGACTCCATCTCAAAAAAAAAAAAATTAATTAAATTAAAAATAAATAAATAATAAATGGAGTGGGTTTGACATATGCATAGGCATTTGCCAGATTGAAAATTCACGTATTTGTTTACTGAATCATCTATCCACGCACTTAAAAACCTTTCTTTGCCCAGCTGAGAGTTCAGAGAGGCTTTAGCCCCCAATCTGGTCTGAGGGGAGGAGAAGAGAGCAGCGAGGGCCTCCTGGAGCAGGAGGCATTGGCTGATTTCTACCATCCCACGGCACAAAGGGAGCCCAGCCCCATCCTCTTTTTTTTTTTTTAAAGATGGAGTTTCGCTCTTGTTGCCCAGGCTGGAGTGCAATGGTGTGATCTCGGCTCACCGCAGCCTCCGCCTCCTGGGTTCAAGCGATTCTCCTGCCTCAGCCTCCCCGAGTAGCTGGAATTACAGGCATGCGCCACCACGCCCTGCTAATTTTTTTTTTTTTTAGGGGGGGGACGGAGTCTCTCTCTGTCACCAGGCGGGAGTGCAGTGATGCCATCTCGGCTCACTGCAACCTCTGCCTCCTGGGTTCAAGCAATTCTCCTGCCTCAGCCTCCTGAGTAGCTGGGATTACAGGCGCCTGCCAGCATGCCCAGCTAATTTTTGTATTTTTAGTAAAGACGGACTTTCATCAAGTTGGCCAGGATGGTCTCAATCTCTTGACCTCATGATCTGCCATCCTTGGCCTCCCAAAGTGCTGGGATTACAGGCGTGAGCCACCGCGCCCAGCCTAATTTTGTATTTTTTAGTAGAGATGGGGTTTCTCGATGTCGGTCATGCTGGTCTCAAATTCCTGACCTCAGGTGATCCCCCCGCCTTGGCCTCCCAAAGTGCTGGGATTACAGGCATGAACCACTGCACCCAGCCTCTTTTTTTTTTTTTTTTTGAGACAGGGTCTAGCTCTGTCATCCAGGCTGGAGTGCAGTAGTGTGATCTCAGCTTGCTGCAGCCTCCACCTACCGGGCTCAAGCAATCCTCCAGCCTCAGCCTCTCAACTACCTGGGACCACAGGTGCACCACCACGCCCAGCTAATTTTTGTATTTTTGTAGAGATGGGTTTTCACCATGTTGCCCAGGCTGGTCTTGAACTCCTGAGCTCAAGTGATCTGCCCGCCTCGGCCTCCCAAAGTGCTGGGATTACAGGCATGAGCCACCGCACTGGTCCCAGCCCCATCCTGCTGGAGTATCCTCTGCATTTTCACTCACTCCATGAGGTTGATCCGGGAGTGGTTCTGGGCCAGCGTGAGCACCTGGCGGGGCCCGCCCACAAGCATGACACCGCGTGCCAGGACAACCCAGAAGCCACTTAGCATCACCACGACCTGGAACACATCAGTCCAGACCACAGCCTTCATGCCGCCCTGCAGCATGGGACAGAGAGAGGGAGAGGGGCGGTTAGATGGGGGACCTGGCCTTCAGTGGTGCCTAGGACTGATGCCCTTCTATGCCTCAGTCTCCTCCTCTCTAAAGTGGGATTAATAATAATACCTTCTTACTGTGTTGTTGTAAGAATTAAGTTAGTTATTTTATTTTTAAAGAAAAGGTTTCTGTCTTTTGCCCAGGCTGGAGTGCAGTGGTGTGATCACAGCTCACTGCAGACTGGAACTCTTAGGCTCAAGTGATCCTCCTGCCTCAGCCTCCGGAGTAGCTGGAGCTACAGCAGGTGCCACCATGCCCGACTAATTTAAAAAAAATTTTTTTTGTAGAGATGGGGGCGGGGGGGGGTCTCACTATGTTGCCTAGGCTGGTCTCGAACCCCTGGCCTCAAGTGATCCTCCTACCTTGGCCTCTCAAAGTGCTGGGATTACAGGTATGAGCCACTGTGCCCAGTAGAATTAAACAAGTTAATAAGTGAAAAAGATTTGGAATATGACTTGACATATACGAGTGTCAGTGAGTGATTGCTGCCATTACTATTATTATTATTATTATTATATTTTTTTGAGATGGAGTCTTGCTCTGTCGCCCAGGCTGGAGTGCAATGGCGCAATCTCCACGCACCGCAACCTCCACCTCCCGGGTTCAAGCGATTCTCCTGCCTCAGCCTCCTGAGAGGCTAGGATTACAGGCGCGTGCCACTGCGCCCAGGTAATTTTTGTATTCTTAGTAGAGACGGGGTTTCATCATGTTGGCCAGGCTGGTCTCGAACTCCTGACCTTAGGTGATCCGCCTGCCTCTGCTTCCCAAAGTGCTGGGATTACAGACGTGAGCCACCGCGCCCGGCCGCCATTACTATTATTATCACTACGATGATAATATCGCCATCAAGGTCAGACCTGAGCCAGCCAAAGGTAGCCCTCCCTGGGACCTCAGCCAGCCCCAGGATGAAGCAGGAGCTCACTTCCTGCTGGACTGGAAGCCAGAAGAGGTGGAAGCCTGGATCCAGCCATGCCTGAAGCTACCATACCTCTAGATTCTCAGCAATAAGCTTTTCAGATCATTTTTCACTATAAAGATGAGGACACTGGGTCCCAGCTGGGACAGAGGCTTCCTCAGGAGAAAGGGGCAAGCCCAGAGTCTCCCCACAAGAGACACAGTGGGCCCGATCCCCCGTATGGAGTGAGTTCCCAGGGCCACTCACCACAGCCGTGTAGAAGGTGCAGATAATTCCGGTGGACAGGAGCGACGCCCAGATGTCCAGCCCGGTCACTATGCAAAAAGAGGTCCCCCTGTTAGGCCCCTGGGCGGGGCGCAAACTTAGTCTTGGGTTCTCCTCTCCCTCCCTTTCTCTTCCCAGACATGCTTCCCTAATCTCCCAGAGTCACACCTTGGTTCAGGATGAGGGCCGGTGCGTAGATTACGATGCCGGTGTACAGCATCTGTAGACAGAGTGTGGGGCGGGTGAGCAGGGAGGGCGTCTGGGCGAGTTGGGGATGGGGAGAGGAGGCAGAAGGGTGGTCCCAGAATATGGGCGGGGCAGATAGGCCGGGTCTTCCAGAGTGCAGGCGGGGTCAGGCCGGCTGTGGTGTGGGAGGGGACTGATGGGGGCGGGGTCAGAACGGGAGCATGGGGGGCGGGGTCTGGGCGGGGTCTTGAATGGTGGGGGCCGGGCTAGTGAAGGCTGACGCTCTCGGGGCCCTGAGCGGAGGGCGGGGCCGAGGCCACTCACCGTGGCTACAATGTACTGCAAAGTCCCGCAGAGCCGCACTGCGCGGCTGAAGCGCATCTCCAGGTACTGCAAGGAGGGACTCGAGGTCACCTGGACAGTCCTTACCCAGGAGCCGAGGCCTCTCGGGTCCCTGGTCTGCTCTCTAGGTGGGCCCCTCCCTCCGGAAGCCAACCGCGCCCGCCAGATTCTTGCACGTGGGGGCCCCGCCGCACGCACACACCCGTGCACAGGTGCCATCCCGTGCCTGTGCGTACCCCGTGGACCTGGAGGACTGGTCCATGCGTGTGCACGCGCCCTCCCACTTGCGCCTGACGGGCGCGGGCTCCTGGAGCAGCCACCGCTCAGCAGACACCGACGTGGCCCGCAAGCGCACAGTGTAGACAGTGCCCCGGGCCAATGGTGTTGGCCGCCTAGGATATACCTGTCACGATTTTTTTGGGGGGGAGGGGGGACGGAGTCTCGCTCTGTCGCCCAGGCTAGGGTGCACTGGCACGATCTCGGCTCACTGCAACCTCCGCCTCCCAGGTTCAAGCAATTCTTCTGCCTCAGCCTCCTGAGTAGCTGGGATTACAGGCGCGCGCGACCATGCCCGGCTAATTTTTGTATTTTTAGTAAAGACGGGGTTTCACCATGTTAGCCAGGCTGGTCTTGAACTCCTGACCTCGTGATCCACCCACCTCGGCCTCCCAAAGTGCTGGGATTACAGGCGTGAGCCACTGCGCCCTGCCACAATATTTTTTTTTCCTTTGAGACAAGAGTCTCGCTCTGTCGCCCAGGCTGGAGTGCAGTGACGCGATATCGGCTCACTGCAACCTCCCGGGTTCAAGCAATTCTCCTGTCTTAGCCTCCCAAGTAGCTGGGATTACAGGTGCCCACCACCACATCCGGCTAATTTTTGTATTTTTAGTAGAGACGGGGTTTCGCCATGTTGGCCAGGCTGGTCTTGAACTCCTGACCTCAGGTGATCTGCATGCTTTGGCCTCCCAAAGTGCTGGGATTACAGGCGTGAGCCACCGCACCGGGCCCCGGTCACGATTTTAATCGCTTTACCCTCTCCCCTGGAGGGAGGTCCTGTAATTCGCCCATTGGACAGCTGGGAAACCCAAACAGAGAGGCACGCCCCTTGCCCAAGATACAAGAAAGCAGTGAAGCCAGGTTTCGAACCCCGGAGCCGTCAGCAGTCCCCTCTAGCGCGCACACGTGGGTCTGCACGCCCGGGCAGGTGGGGGGCAGGTGTGTGTCCACCCGTGAGGACACACCTGGTCGAGCCGGGCCCCGCCCCGCGCGCGCTTCCACCGAAGGAGCAGGACGCCAGGCTCTCTCTTCCTCCTTCCTGCCCCTCGCCGGGCGCCTGGGGCCTCTTCCTAGAACCCTCCCCACGTGTCTGCCTAGGGGCCCCTTCCGTTAAAGCACCGAGGTGCCATCCGCGTCCTCCTGTACAGCGGCCCAAAGCCCCAGCGCCTCCCCCACACGGGGTCCCAGCACTGCCAGTGGGGCAGGTCCTACCCCCGGGCCTCTGTCCGGTACCTCGTAGGTGCTGGTGAGGCCCAGGCGGTAGAAGACGGGCATGAAGAGCAGGGCGGTGAGGACCGAGTTCAGAAGCTGGCCCAGGCACATCCAGAGGAACTTGAGGCCATAGCGATAGGCCTCCGACGGCACGCCCAGCACCTGCACGGCCGACATGAAGCTGGCAGACAGCGACAGGCCCACGGGCAGGGCCGCCAGGCGCCGGCCCCCGGTGAAGAAGTCCTCAGCGCTGCGCTGCCCGCCCCGAGCCAGCCCGACCCACAGCCCGATGCCAGTGGACACCAGGAGCATGAGGGCAAAGACCCCGTAGTCCCAGGCTCCGAAGGTGGGCCGTTCCCCGGTCTCCACGGCCTCCATGAGGGCGGGTGCGGAGGCCCAGCGCGTCCTCGGACGCCCTGCGTGCTCAAGCGGGGGAAGCTGGCAGGGGCCGAGGAGGCAGGACGGGGAGGGCGGGTGGGAGGATGCTCGGCAGCCTGTCCCCGCTCCGTCTGGGGTGGGAAGCGGCGAGAGGGGCCGGGGCTCCCTGGGTTAGGAATCTATGGGCTGTCGATGTCCGTGTCGGCCTCCCTGTCCCCGCTGTCTGTCTCTGCGTCCGCCCCTGCTGTCTGTCTGTCCTGCCACCTCCCCTCTCACTCTGGGTTCCGCTGTCCCATGCAGCCGGCTGTCTGTCCCTCTCCCTGGGCGCTGTGCTCAGCGCTGACAGCTGGAGGTCGCCTTGGGGCTTACGGGAGCAGCTCGTGATTGTGGGTTGCAGATTTATTGGGCTCCCGGGTCACCGCGACTCCGCCTCCAGACCTAGGGGCGGGCAGGACCCGCACCCTTTCAGCCCTGGACTGGGACAGACAGGCCAGGACAGGCTATCTGGGTGGCTGCAGGGGGTGGTATCGGGGAGGGCTCCCAAATGCCCCTCCATCCCCATGCACCCACCCATCCCCATGCACTGTGATCCCCTGATCACAGCTGTCACTGTCTGCTGTTGACAGGTGGGGAAATTGAGGCTCAGAGAGGGCATGTCACTATCCAAGCCTGCACAGCCTGCTTCAGCACTCAAAGCCGTATTGTGCTTGAATACCTTGAGCTATGGGGAGCTCACTTTCATGCAGGACTGGGGTTCACTTTCAGGGTTTCAGGGGACCCATAAAGAAAACTTACCTGGCTTTACCACCCCCAAACTGGCATGTGGGCCTACCCCCTTTCTCTAGAGCCTTAGGGGGTGGGCATCACTGAACCCCGCTCTTGGGCTAAGCTGGGTGGGAGACATTCAGAGCTCAAGTTCTGAGTGGGTACATACTTGGGGAAGACTTTGCTCCTCCCTGGGCCTTAGTTTCCCCATCTGTAACAAGGATAAAATAGACCCTGCCTCAGAGGAATAAATGGGACGTGGTAACGAAAGCCTGGTACATGATAAGTGCCTCATTCATTTATTCCTTTATTCATTTGTCACTTCATTCATTCATTCATTGGTTCCTTTGCAGATATGCACTGAGAGTTGGCCCTGTGCCAGGCATAAATGGCTCACTGAGGTGGTGCGAGGGGCCTTTAAGGTTATGAACCCGAATAAGCGGAGACCATGACCACCAGGGAGGTAGAGTCTGGCTTGTCCCTATCATATAGATGAGGAAACCAAGGTTGGGTGTGGGAGAAAGTCTACTGGGGGGGTCACGCTTCCATGAGGACCAACGAGCTGTCATCTCAGGGCCCTTCTCTGGGGGACCCAGGAGGACTTTGACCTCTGGAGGTTCTGGTCTCTGGGTTCAAGTCTCAGCTCAGCCTCCAACTTTCTGGGCAATCACGCATCTCAAACTTGGTTCCCTTCTCCATAAGCTGGTGGAATCTGAAATCCTGGGGGTTGAAAGAAACAGCGTCAGAGGCCGGGCATGATGGCTTATGCCTGTAATCCCAGCACTTTGGGAGGCTGAAGTGGGAGGATCATTTGAGTCCCAGAATTCGAGACTACCCTGAGCAACATAGTGAGATCTTGTCTGTATGAAAAATACAAATATTAGCGAGGCGTGGTGGCACATGCCTGTAATCCCAGCTACTCAGGAGGCTGAAGTGGGAGGATCGCTTGAGCGTGGAAGTTCGAGGCTGCAATGAGCTGTGGTCGAGAACTGCACAGCACTCCAGCCTGGGCAGCACAGCAAGACCCCGTCTCCAAAAAAAAAAAAAAAAAAAAAAAAAGGGCTTTTGAGCGCTTCTCGCCAGCCTCTGCTGCTCCCTGGTGGCCTCCTCTGGCCTACCCTCTGCCCTGGCCGCTCCAGCTGGGTCCAGCGTTTCTCAACGCGTCCCCACGTAACCCCCGGACAGTCCTCTTGCTCCCTCTCTGCTGTGCAGGGTGGACCTGTCCCTCCCCCGGGGCTGTGACACTGCGGCGGCTACGCGGGCACCTGTTGCCGGCTGGAG
Source organism: Homo sapiens (assembly GCF_000001405.40). Classification (NCBI taxonomy): domain Eukaryota; kingdom Metazoa; phylum Chordata; class Mammalia; order Primates; family Hominidae; genus Homo; species Homo sapiens. The sequence continues at coordinate 17,870,273 of NC_000019.10, read as the reverse complement.
CGTACCTCCTGCCCTCGCCAGGAGAGTGGGTTAGGCACCTAGTTCTTTCTCCTTCCACCCTGGTCAGGCATCCTCCTGGAAACCCCGTTGGAAAAGGGGAGATCCGGCCGGGTGCGGTGTCTCACTCCTGTAATCCCAGCACTTTGGGGGGCCGAGGCGGACGGGTCTCTTGAGATCCGTTCAAGACCAGTCTGGCCAACATGGTGAAACCCCGTCTCTACTAAAAATACAAGAATTAGCCGGGCGTGGTGGCGGCCGCCTGTAATCCCAGCTACTTGGGAGGCTGAGGCGGGAGAATCGCTTGAGCCCGGGAGGTGGAGGTTGCAGTGAGCCGAGATCGCGCCACTTCACTCCAGCCTGGGCGACAGAGAGAGATTCCGTCTCAAAAAATAAATAAATAAACAAATAAATAAATAAAAATCAAGGCTGGGCGCGGTGGCTCACGCCTGTAATCCTAGCACTTTGGGGGGCCGACGCGGGCGGATCACGAGGTCAGGAAATCGAGACCATCCAGGCCAACGTGGTGAAACCCCGTCTCTACTAAAAATACAAAAATTAGCCGGGCGTGATGGCACGCGCCTGTAGTCCCAGCTACTCGGGAGACTGAGGCAGGAGAATCGCTTGAACCCGGGAGGCGGAGGTTGCAGTGAGCCGAGATCGTGCCACTGCACTCCAGCCTGGCGACAGAGCGAGACTGTCTCAATCAATCAATCAATCAATCAATGGGAGATCCGAGCGGGATCCCCTACTTGCAAAGCCCTGCCGACCAATGTAAACATATGCAAATTGTGCAAATACATGTAAATGGACCCCTTCTCTCCAGGGAAGTTCTGGGAAGGCATAGCTTCTCTTCTTCCCACCGTGGGGTCCAGGCTGCGGCCAGAGGCCTGGGCTGAGGCCGGTTCATTGAGTGCATACTGTGTGCAGGGCCCTCCGGCAGGTGCTGGGGACACAGCATGATCCAGGTGGACCCACCCCAGGGTGGTGATGGCCCTGACCTCACCAGCAGATAAATACTGATTTCAGCTGGGCACTGTGGCTCACACTTATAATCCCAGCACTTTGGGAGGCTGAGGTGGGAGGATCGCCAGAGCCCGGGAGGTCAAGGCTGCAGTGAGCAGTGATCACACCAGTGAATTCCAGCCTGGATACAGGTTGAGCAGAGACAGACAATCACGGGGTATCTTCTGGGCCTCCGGAAGGGGTGTGGATTTTGTTCTGAGGGTGCTGGGGAACTGTAGGAGAGTTTGGAGCAGGTGAGGAGTCTGATGAGATTTCTAGATTCTGAAAAATGGGTCATATCCAAGTGGCGGGAGTGGGGTGGCTGCCGAGTGGGGGGAGGGGGGTGGATTTGGAAAGCACTTTGGAATTCCTAAGGAGGCCTGGAGTGAAGGCCCCTGCAGAGTGTGCAGGACCATCTCCTGCCCTAGCGGAGGGAATTGTGAGCCTGGAGAGGAAAAGCAGCAGAGTGGGGAGAATCAGGTCACACCTTCCTTGACTGTGATTCCAATGACAGAAGCGGGCAGCAGGACCCCAGGATGTGAGTTAGGAAGGGCCCAAGGCCGCGGCAGACAATGTGAGCAGAATGTGCAGGAATGGGAGAGTGGTGGCAGTGTCGGGGCGCTGTCCCCTGCCCCTTGGTTCCCTGGGAGATGCAGCAGGGGTTGGGGTGAGAAGTTGTGAGCTGCTGTGACTGCAGCACGACCTGCTGGGTGGCCCTGGACATCAATTCCCCTTCTGTGAGCTAGGAGTGACAGTGGGATTTGAACCCACGCCATGGGGAGCCAGAATCTGTCCTTGAACTTCAACTCTGCACTCAACAAGTGCAAAAAGGCCAGTTTCGGTGGCTCATGCCTGTAATCTCAGCACTTTGGGAGGCCAAGCCAGGAAGATGGCTGGAGGCTAGGAGTTGGAGACCAGCCTGAACAATATAGTGAGACCCCAACTCTACAATTTTGTTTGTTTGTTTGTTTGTTGTATTTTTAGTAGAGAAGGGGTTTCACCATGTTGGCCAGGCTGGTCTCGAACTCCTGACCTCACATGATCCACCCACCTCTGCCTCCCAAAGTGCTAGGACTACAGGTGTGAGCCACCATGCCCAGCCAAAAATTTTTAAAAGTTAGCCGAGTTTGGTGGTGTGCACCTGTGGTCCCAGCTACTTAGGAGGCTGAAGCAGAAGGATTGGTTGAGCTGGGGAGGTTGAGGCTGCAGTGAGCGGTGATTGCGCCACTGCACTTTAGCCTGGGCGACAGAAGAAGACCCTGTCTCTAAAAAAATAAATAAATGCAAACTATTCTTCCTTGTTGCTGCTGCTGTCTGTAAGATTCCACAATTCGACTGGGCACGGTGCTCACGCTTGTAATCCCAACACTTTTGGAGGCCCAGGCAGGTGGATCATCTGAAGTCAGGAGTTCAAGCCCACCCTGGCCAACATGAAGAAACCCCGTGTCTACTAAAAACACAAAAAACTAGCCAGGCATGGTGGCAGGCATGTGTAATCCCAGCTACTCGGGAGGCTGAAGCAGGAGAATCGCTTGAACCCAAGAGGCAGAGGTTGCAGTAAGCTAAGATCATGCCATTGCACTCCAACCTGGGCAGCAAGAGTGAAACTCCATCTCAAAAAAAAAAAAAAAAAAAAAAAGATTCCATAATTCTAAGTCCTGAGACTCAACTGTGAGTCTCAGATTCTGTGATTCTCATATAGTCTCTCTTGGTTGCAGGAACTGGGGCTGGGGTCTCTTGGGGTCCCTACTCGTCTGTCCTGCTTTGGCACTGCCTTTGTCCCCACTGGTTCTGACTCAGGAGCAGAAGTGCAGGGCGGGTCAGGGAGGGGAGGCTTTGAATGTCGCTCCCCCAGGGATCACGGCCCTACTGAGGTGACACCTGGCACCTTGACAAGCCCAGGAACGAGACCCAGGAGCGCCTCAGCACCTGAGGAGGTGGGAGGAGTTCCTGGATTCCTGCCCTTGCTTATCCTTGGGTTAACTGGGTGAGCCCGGGTAGGACCTGTCCTGCTCCAGACCCCAGCGGACATCCAGGTTCTCGCTGGCCAGCCTCTGCCTTATTGGCCCCACTCACAGCCACGTGAAAGGATCCATTTCTGCCCAGACCCAGGGCTTTTGCTCTGGTTGGTCTTGTACCTTCTCTCAACAGCCAGGGGCAGTTCTTTTTGTTTGCTTATTTTTTCTATTTGTTTTTCTGAGACAGGGGCTCGCTCTGTTGCCCAGGCTGGAGTGCAGTGGAGAGGTTACGGCTCACTGCAACTTCAACCTTCTGGGCTCAAGTGATCCTCCTGCCTCAGACTCCCAAGTAGCTGGGACTATGGGCACACCACCACCACGCCCAGCCTCTGCATGGGGTTGTGACTGTTCCTCTCCCTCCTGAGAAAGAACCAGGGTCTGTCTATTCCTTCAATCACCCACACCGGAATTAACGCAGGCCCCTGCACAAAGTAGGGACTCAAGGACAATTGAGGCTGCAACAAAGGGATGGTGTGTGTGGGGTGGGGGTGGGCGCGTGGAGTTTGGGTAGAGGATTTGACATGACAGATGGGAGGATGTGTAAATGGATGGATGGGTGGGTGGATAGATGGATGGATGGATAAATGGATGTATGTATCGACTGGTGGGTGGTTGAATGGGTGAATGGATGGATGGATGGATAGATGGGTGGGTGGGTTGATGGGCAGGTGGGTGGATGGGTGGGTGGGTAGATGGATGGATGGATAGATGGGTGGATGGATGGATGGGTGAGTTGATGGATGGGTGGGTGGGTGGATAGCTGGATGGATGGCTGGATGGTTGGGTGGATGGATGGATGGGTAGGTGGATGAGTGGAAGGATGAATGGATGGGGTGGGTGGATTGAGTGGACGAATGGATGGACAGGTAGCTGGTTGGATGGTGGAGGAATCTGACTGAATGGAAGGATGGGGTTTGGCAGGGGGTGGGGGAATTCGGTGGTAGAGGGGCTTCTGGGCACATTTATGAGAGGCTGAGTGTGCCAAGGTAGGTGAATAGGTGCAGGCTAGTGATCTGGGAGCACATTCATCCTGTCAATGGCCCCTCAATAATGGGATTGGCCTCCATGTCTCAGCTGGTTGGGGCAGAGCTCTCCCAAGTGGTTCCCAGGCTGCTGCCACGTGGTTGAAGCCCTGGAGGGGCTCCAAGGCACAGGGAGGGGACTGAGGTGGAGATGAGGGTATGCAGTGGGCTTTGGTGGGGCCGTGAGCCTTCCACTCTCCTGATCTCTCATCCTCCAACTCACCTAATATCACCTCGCCTGCCCTGCAGCCTGGAGGGATCACCGCCCTCACTTTATACAGGAAGAAATGGCTCAGAGAGGGCAGGGACTTCCAGGCAGTTACGGCCTGAGTCCACAGTGCCACGCCCTGCTTCAGGCCCAGCTCAAGGTAAGGTAAGGTCACATCTAACAGAGCAGCTCCATTACAGCCTAAGCAGGACTCATGTCTCCTCCCCGTGTTCTAATCAAGGGGGTAGAAGGGTCAAGCCTCAGGGACGGGGGCAGCACTGCACAGGGTCAAGTACCGGAGATCCTTCTCCCTCACTGCTCCTGTGTGTTGCTTCTTCATAGTCCAAAATGACTGCTGCAGCACTGGCCATCATGTCCACACCAGCCAGAGGCGTTCTTTCTCAGAAATGGCACATCAGTACTGTATTTTTGTTTTGTTTGGTCTCGTCTTGTTTCCAGGCTGGAGTACAGTGGCATGATCATGGTTCACTGCAGCCTCAACCTCCAGGCTCAAGTGATTCTCACACCTCAGGCCCCCGTGTAGCTGGGACTACAGGTGTGCACCGCAACACCCAGCTAATGTTACTTGGTAAAGACAGGGTCTCACTATGTCTACCAGTCTGGTCTCAAACTCCTGGCCTCAAGTGATCCTCCTACCTCAGCCTCCCAAAGTGCTGAGATGACAGCCATGAGCCACACCTGGCCATAGCTATGGAGGTTAGGAAATGTATTTTCTTTTCTGGGTGGCACTTAAGTATGAAGATTCCCTTATGGAGAAAGGAGAGTTTGTACTAGAAACCACAAGATGAATGAAATTCAGGCAAAATTTTAAGATTTCCAGCTAGCACCCCCCATCCAATATACTCTAAGGAACATCAAAAGATATCCTGGGCTAGGCGGGGTGGCTCACACCTGTAATCCCAGCACTTTGGGAGGCCAAAGCAGGTGGCATGAGGTCGAGTTCCAGACTAGCCCGGCCCACATGGTGAAACCCCGTCTGTACTAAAAATACAAAAAATTTGCCAGGCGTGGTGGCAGGCACCTGTAATTCTAGCTACTCTGGAGGCTGAGGCAGGAGAATCCCTTGAACCTGGGAGGCAGAGGTTGCAGTGAGCTGAGACTGTGCCACTGCACTCCAGCATGGGCAACCAAGCGCGACTCCGTCTCAAAAAAAGAAAGATATCCTGGGAAAATGTATGACTCTTCTCAAGCTTTTGCCCCGCATATGTAAAGAGCTTTCACGAAACAAAAAGGATACCATGGAAAGTTGAGCCCCTCCTGGATACACTGGGTGACACACACAGCCCCTGCCCTCTCAGAACTAGTGGGGGATAGAAATCAAATATAGCCCAGTCCCGGGAACCCACGTGCAGTTTGTAAAACTCGAGTGAGGCCAGCCTGGGGGAATCTGTAGTATTCCAGGCAAGTGCGAAGGCCCTAGGGTGGGAAGGAGCCAGTTGTTGGGGACGGGACCCGTGGGGTTCTGTGGTCTACAGGGCTGTCCTCAGGCCTGGGTCTTACGCAGAATGGGTGCTTGTGTGCTGACCCTGCCCAGGTTCTGGGCGCCTCTCCAAGTTCCTGGGTGTTACAACACCCCACAGGTGAGGCTGGAAAAGGCCTGGTTTCCTGGAAACCACACAGCTCCTCCACAGGTAGAGGAAAGGCTGTGTCCTTGCCCTGAGTGTGGTGGTGCCCCTGTAGTCCCAGCTACTTGGGAGGCTGAGGCAGGAGGACCACTTGAGCCCAGGAGGTCGAGGCTACAGTAAGCCACGATCTCTCCACTGCACTCTAGCCAGGGCGACAGAGCAAGACCCTGTTTCAAAAAGCCGTAACTACTACCTAGTCCTGGCTTCCTCCTGGTCCTGGGCTCTCTGGGACAAAGGAGGGCCCCATAGGCTGACCCCAGCACCTGCACAGCGTCACTTCCCACATCAATGTGGAACCCGATGTTGAGATCAAGACAGCAAGCCCCAGAAGGGCCGCTGGCCCAGAACAGGGCTGCCCAAGGTCACGCAACAAAGGATGGGAGGCTCCCAGAGCCTGAGCTCTTGGCTGTGTCTCAAACTTCTCCAATGCCAGCTTAGCCTCCACCTGACAGAAGGACTCAGCCAGGGTGGGATTAGTGTCATGCCTGGAATTTTCCAGGCCTGAGGCAGTTTCCCAGAGATGAGTACCTGTGGTGAGTCCTTGACCTCCTTGGGCAAGATGAGGGCGTCATCTAAGAGGCCCCCAACCAGTGAAAGGGAAACAGCCCCCAAGCAGCAGAGAGCGCCCCTCGGGTGCCCACTTGTGTCTACTCTGAAAACTTTGGGAACCAGAGACTTAGGAGAATCCCCAGGGAGTGAACGCCAACCCCACTATCTAGGGAGATTCTCCCTGGTCCAGACTCAGCAGGGGAGCCTGGGAGGCCTGTGTCTCACAAGGCAGTTGGGACAGATTTAGGGCCCAGGACAGACAGTACCCCTGCAGCTCATAGCCCAGGGCTGCCAGCAGGGCTGAGAACTGACCAAGCAAGAGGGAGCTCAGGGGTGGGGGCGCCTGGAGGGCCCACTCCAGGACAGGAGGATGTGAGGGTTTGTTTGTTTGCACTGAAGACCCCTCCCAGGACAAAGAAATGGCAGCTCAGCTGCACCCCAGGAGCTGACTGGGCCGGCCTCTCATAGCACCCCTTTGAGCTCTGCAGTGTGCAAAGAAAACATGCGGCGAGCACCGGGGCGTTCCTGAGTTTATTTGGGGCACACCCGGACGAGGGCCCTGCACCTAGAAGAAGGTGTTGGGCCTCTTGGTGGTGAAGCGTGGCTTGTGCTGACGGCGCAGGACCCGGTGGGGCAGCGGGAACTTGATCTTGGAGTCCTGTGAGGAAGGGAGGCATGTTGAGGGGGTTGGAAGCCTCTTAACACCCCATCCTGTGGGGCCACCAAGGTGTAGCCGCCCCCCACTGGGCTCCTGCGTCAGAGCAGGCACTTCCCTCCAGGGGAGTCCCCCAGGGCACTCACGTGGAACTGCTTGACAGCCGGCCGGCGGCACTTGCTGGCCGCGATCTCCTCCACCTTCATGATCTGAATGGAGTGGGCTCGGGCGCGGTGCCGGGCACCCATGTCTCGGTCTGTGGAAAGGAGCGGGGCCAGGGTGACGGTGTTGCCTGGGCTCTGGGCATTCAGCAAACCTCCTGAGTGCCTGCCCAATGACCTGACACATCCTGTTGGTCACAGCAACTGCCTGAGGGCTCGGGGCTCACGGGAAGGTGGTGGTGGGGAAGCGAGATAGCCCAAGGCCTGGGTCCCTGCAGTCACTGGCCACTAGAGTTGTGGAACCTCCAAATTCACTTTGAGGGGCACGGCCACAGCCCCCCAAAGGCGACAAGATCCGCTTGCTGTTTGCACCTCTGTTTAAACCACCGCTATAAGAAACAGTGATTCTTGGGTTTAGGTGCAATCAGGGAGGTGTGGGGGTCTCACAGACCCTGGCAGGTGAGCCAGGGAAAAGGTGCCAGCTCCCAACACTAGGCAGGGGTTCAATTCGGTTCTCAGTGGGTCCCAGAAAACAGTGGTGATGTGGATCCCAGTCTAAACAAGGTGCAGACCCAAAAAGGGAGTTTCCAGATGTGATGTGATTTACAACCGAGCCTGGCAGGGCTCTCAGAAAAGCGCCATCTGGGGCCTGGGGCATCCTTTTGTCTTCCTGTGCCCCGCCACCAGTCCTGAGACTCTCCTGCACTGGGAACCTCTGGCACTTGCCCTGCCTCAGTGTGAGGGAGTCAAGGAGGGTCTAAAAAGCTGGAGGCGGGACAGGCAGCTTACAGCACTGGGTGACAGCGCCTGCGGTGGTCAGGTCCCGGTATTCCCGGTACATGTTGTGGGTGCCGCTCCGGGAGTCATAGCGCAGCCAGATCCCGAAGTTCTTCACCCGCAGGGGGGACTTCTCAAACACCTGCCAAGGAGAGGCCACAGGGAGATGTGAGAGCAGCAAGCCGATGTGCCCTAGCCCCATCCTCACTGAACCCTCTGCCTCTAAAGCACACCCCAGGCTCCAGGCCTACTCTATGGCCAGACTCTTGTGCCTCAGTTTCCCAGCCCCACCTACCTTCAGGCATCCTCAGGGAGCGTGAGGTAAGGGAACTTCCCATGGCAACAGCCTGAAGTCCAGGCTTCTGCCACGGACACCAACCCAGCCCCAGATGCAGTTCCTGAACTCAAGTCTCCTGGAACCTGTCTGGGCCAACCTAGCTACCACCCACTGACCAGATAGCCATCACCTCTCCTCACTTAACAGACAGGGCCCAGGGAAGACAGCACCAACCAAGGTGTCCCACCATGCCACCCACCCGCTCCCTGGGTCCCTGGCTTTCTAATCAGGGAAATGGCACATAAGCTCTGCTCCAGTCCCGTGACCCAGGCAGAAACACAACCCGGGGCTCTGATGTCTGATGTGATGGGATTACAGGCGTTGAGCTACCGCACCCGTTCGATGTCTGATTAATTCTTGAGATGCACGATGTCCCAAGAGGCGCAAATCCACTCCAGACCCCACGTAGCCCCGGCCTCTCCATACCTGCCCACAGTAGACAATCTCCCCTGAAGACTTCTTCATCTTCTTTAACTGAGATACAAAGTACCAGAAGCGGGACTTGGCGACGACATGATTAGGCGCAAAGATTCGCATGCGGTAGAGGGGCGGCGTGTGGCATTTGGGGGTGGGCAGGCAGCGACCCACTACCTTGTACTCTCGTAGCTGAAAGGAAACAGGAGTGAGGGTAAGGCCAGCACCCAGAGGCAACTGTGGAGATCCACCTCACTCCCTTTCCTACATCTAGTGACCACAGATTCGGGAAGCAGGAGGCAGGGCCACCCTAGGGCCTCCATGTGGATTCTTGGTGACTGTAGGTCACACTCCCGACCACAACTTTATACACAAAATGAACTGAGGAGAGGGAGGTCTCCAGGGAGGATTAATTGAGTTGCCTGCCTCTCCTTTGCCTGGGCTAAGGGTTTCAGACCAGGAAAGCTGTGGCTTAGACCCACAGCCTCCTTTCTTCATGCTGCAGTCCTGAATTGCTTTGCAGTCGCCGTCAAACAGCCACTCTGCACCTCAAAACATCCAGCCAACATCTTCTTTCACCCTGAGGCCCAGTGACCAGCATGGGATCTCACAGCCCATTCCAGGCAGAACTAGGACAAGACCTCAGGTCTCTCCCCAGCCCTGGGATCCCTGCACTGTTGCCACGCGAGCTGCGGCTGCCTCCGTTTTCCCAACTGCAATCCAAACGTTTGGCCCAGGGAAGACTCCCGGTTTACAGATGCAGAGGTGAGAATCTTTGGTCAAGTCCAGGCTCTGTGATATGGCACAAAGAAACCACCTCTGAAACTGACTCGCCAGCTTTTCACTAGTTATCAATGAAAAATAGTCACAAATTATCGCAGTTCCTACTTTTACTGTGAACCTGACCCACCGGCCTCGGCACACGTTCAGGAAGGGAACAATGGGGCCCGCCCCTTTGACAGCAAGGAAACCGAAGCTGGAGATCTGGACATAATACACCCACTCCATGGGAGTCCAGGTTCTCCTATCTCTGCGCCATAGAGCCGTTTGATTCTATCCAGTATGTACCACAGCGTTAAGCCTCACGCTCCCCGTTTCGGCTCACTGTTAGCAATTTTCATCTGCTTCTCACAGCCATTCCGGCAGAAAGAAAACACACTATTGCTCTACCGCCACGTCCACGTTGCAGAAAGGAAAACAGAAACTTGGCGGCTCGACGAGGTGCCGGGGCTAGGGCCTCTATGCTGCGCGACTTATTCCTTCCCCCGGGAAGAAGACCCGGAGTCCTTGGGCCCCCGCGATCCCTGAGCTGGCCCAGGTCACGCATCGCTCTCTCCACGCGGCTCCCACGATGGCCGCCATGTTGGGTGCAACAAGAGAAGGCGGCGCGCGGCCAAGGGGGGCCCAAACAGAAGCGCGCGGCACCAACCCGGCCCACGCCACTTATGCAGGCCCCTGATGGGGCCCGTGCCCCATCCCTTGGCCCCCTGCCGCGCCGCGCCCGCCTTACCGTGCCCGAGGCCTTCATGGCGTGCTCTCCGCGTTCGCCGCCACCCGCAAAAGGAAGTGTCCTCTGTCGCGCAGCCGTTCACCAGGCCTTCACTACCGGAAGACCCGCCCTCTCAATGCCGCACGTCCATTGGCTTCTCTGCCCCGCACTCAAAGCGACCCGCGTCTTCATTGGCTATGGATCCACCTGCTACTCAAAGTTCCGCCTCTCTTCAGCGAGACTTCGTTTCCCAGAAGGCAACGAGGCAAGCTCCACCTGTTCCACCACGACCGCAACGGAGCGTCTGCGCGCGCGGCACGTCGGGAGTTGTAGGCACTCCGCCAGTCCCGGCTGCAACTAGGGGCGGCGGCGCGCGCCGCCTGCAGGATGCCTAAGCATTGAACCTAAGCTACCTCGGGTGGCTGCGGTGTTTACCGTGAGATCCCGATGCTTCACACTCGGGGCCTCATCCTCCGGGGAGGTGTGTTACGGAGGTCTCCACCAGATACCTGAGGGTATCTGTAAAATGGGAATACAAATAATATATTTTTCTCCTAGCGATGTTGCAGCACGAATATTGAATAAGCTCTGGAATGCTGTTTTTGTTAATTTGGGGTCCGATTTGTGTTTCGTAGTAGCTGGGATTCAAACTCTGTCTGTCTGCCTCCAGTTCATAAGAACCTGAGGGAGCAGGGGTTGGGGGAGAGCGCGCGGAGAGCCGGAGAATGGATCAAGATCCAGCCGCCCACTTTGAGGGGCTTGGACTTAGCAGTTTGCTTGGGCAGAAAGAAGCCCTCCTGGGGATGAGGACGGGGACCAGATATGAAAAAAGAAACACCCGCAAACAACTCCCTGATGACAAGGCTATGAAGTAAAATTAAGAGGAAAGAGGCAGGAGGCTGAGGCATGAGAATCGTTTGAACCCAGGAGCCAGAGGTTGCAGTGACCCGAGATTGCGCCACTGTACTCCAGCCTGGGCGACAGAGTGAGACTCTGTCTCAAAAAAAAAAAAAAAAAAAAAAGACCAGGCGCGGTGGCTCACGCCTGTCATCCCAGCACTTTGGGAGGCCGAGGCGGGTGGATCACTTGAGGTCAGGAGTTCGAGACCAGCCTGGCCAACATGGCGAAACCCCGTCTCTACTAAAAATACAAAAATTAGCCGGGCGTGGTGGCGGGCGCCTGTAATCCCAGCTACTCGGGAGGCTAAGGCAGAAGAATCGCTTGAACCTGGGAGATGGAGGTTGTAGTAAGCCGAGATCTGGCCATTGCACTCCAGCCTGGGAGACAGGGCGAGACTCCGACTCAGAAAAAAAAGAAAGAAAGAAAGAAAGAAAATAAAGGACAGCAAGCATGCAATTTTTTATTTTCATTTTCTTATTTTGCATTTCTGGTTCTCTTAATCTGGTTTTGTGGATTCAAGTCACTACTGGGTGTGATTTTCTTTTCTTTTCTTTTTCTTTTATTTTTTGAGACTGAGTCTTACTCTTTTCCCCAGGCCAGAGTGCAGTGGCGCTATCTCGGCTCACTGCAACCTCTGCCTCCTGGGTTCAAGCAATTCTCCCGCCTCAGCCTCCAGAGTAGCTGGGATTACAGGCGCCCGCCACGATGCCCAGGTAATTTTTGTATTTTTAGTAGACACAGGGTTTTACCATGTTGGTTAGGCTGGTCTCGAACTCCTGACCTCAGGTAATCCGCCTGCCTCCACCTCCCAAAGTGTTGGGATTACAGGCGTAAGCCACCGCGCCCGGCCCAATGATTTTCTTATTCCAGTACAACTTGGCTCCCTTCACCTCCTTTGTGCCGTTAATGTCAAATATGTTACCTTTCTCTATATTGTAGACCCAACAATACAATTAATATATAGTTTGTTGTTGTTGTTGTTGTTGTTTTGAGATGGAGTTTAGCTCTGTCGCCCAGGCTGGAGTGCAGCAGCGTGATCTCAGCTCACTGCAACCTCTGCCTCCCAGGTTCAAGCGATTCTCCTGCCTCAGCCTCCCGAGTAACTGGGACTACAGGCGTGCACCACCACGCCTGGCTAATTTTTTGTATTTTTAGTAGAGATAGGGTTTTACTGGGTTGGCCAGGCTGGTCTCAGATTCCTGACCTCAGGTGACCCACCCGCCTCGGCCTCCCAAAGTGCTGGGATTACAGGCATGAGCCACCGCACCCAGCCTGTTTTTTTGTTTGTTTTTTGTTTTTTTGAGACAGAGTCTCGCTCTGTCACCCAGGCTAGATTGCAGTGGCATGATCTCGGCTCACTGCAACCTCCACCTCCCAGGTTCGAGCAATTCTCCTGCTTCAGCCTCCTGAGTAGCTGAGATTACAGGCGTGCACCACCACACCCGGCTAATGTTTTGTATTTTTAGTAGAGAGGGGGTTTCACCATGTTGGCCAGACTGGTCTCGAACTCCCAACCTCAGGTGATATGCCCACCTCAGCCTCCCAAAGTGCTGGGATTGCAGGCATGAGCCACCGGGCCCGGCCAATATATAGTTTTGTACAATTGCTTTTTAAATATGTTAAGAGGCAAAGAGAGAAGAAATTTGCATTTATGCTACATTTTATTTTTATTTATTTATTTTGAGACAGGGTCTCACTCCATTACCCAGGCTGGAGGGCAGTGGTGCAATCTTGGCTCATTGCAACCTCTGCCTCCCAGGTTCAAATGATTCTCCTGCCTCAGCCTCCCAAGTAGCTGAAATTGCAGATGTGCGGCACCATGCCTGGCTAATTTTTTTTTTAATTTTTAGTAGAGACAAGAGTTTCGCCATGTTGGCTATGGCTGGTCTTGAACTCCTGACCTCAAGTGGTCTGCCCGTCATGGCCTCCGAACATGCTGGGATAACAGGCATGAGCCACTGTCACTGGCAGATCTTATTTTTATTTATTTATTATTATTATTTTTTGAGACGGAGTCTCACTCTGTCACCCAGGCTGGAGTGCAGTGGCGTGATCTCAGTTCACTGCAATCTCCGCCTCCCGGGTTCATGCCATTCTCCTGCCTCAGCCCCCTCGAGTAGCTGGGACTACAGGTGCCCGCCACCATGCCCGGCTAATTTTTTGTATTTTTAGTAGAGATGGGGTTTCACCATGTTAGCCACGATGGTCTCAATCTCCTGACCTCGTGATCTGCCTGCCTCGGCCTCCCAAAGTGCTGGGATCATGGGCGTGAGCCATTGTGCCCAGCCTTATTTTTTTGATACAGGATCTCACTCTGTTGCCCAGGCTGGAGTGCAGTGGCGAGATCTCTGTTCACTGCAGCCTCGAACTCCCAGGTTCAAGAGATTCTCCCACCTCAGACCTCCCGAGTAGTTAGGACGGATGCCATGAAACCCAGCTAAGTTTTATATTTTTTTCCTTAAACTCCTGACCTCGTGATCCACCCGCCTCGGCCTCCCAAAGTGCTGGGATTACAGGTGTGAGCCACCGTGCCCGGCCAAGTTTTGTATTTTTTGTAGAGACAAGGTCTCTCTGTGTTGCCCAGGCTGGTCTTGAACTCCTAGGCTCAATTGATCTGCCCACCTCAGCCTCCTGAAGTGTTGGGATTACAGGCGTGAGCCAAAGCACCCGGCCTTATGCAATCTTTTAAAATTACATACATTACCTTTATATGTGTTCTTCAGATTTTCACGTGGATTGGAATACATGTCTGGGGTCCCTTGTTTTCAGCCTAAAGAATTTATTTTGGGTGGGTACGGTGGCTCTCGCCTGTAATCCCAGCACCTTGCGAGGCCCAGGTGGGTGGATCACCTGAGGTCAGGAGCTCGAGACCAGCCTGGCCAACATGGTGAAACCCCGCTTCTATTAAAAAATACAAAAATTAGCTGGGTATTGTGGCGGGTGCCTGTAGTCCCAGCTACTTGAGAGGCTGAGGCATGAGAATCGCTTGAGCCTGGGAGTCGGAGGTTGCAGTGAGCCGAGATTGTGCCACTGTACTCCAGCCTGGGCAACAGAGTGAGACTCTGTCTCGAAAAAATATACATTTTTTTAGTATTTCTTGTGAGGTGGGCAAATTAACTTTTGCACTAAAATCTTTAGCCCAACTGTAGCACAGGTGGTTAGTTACCCAGTCCCTTCCTGGTGGACACTTAGACTGTGAAAATTCGGAAAACTGATGGGCGTGATGCGGGGCAGGGAGGCCAGGGGAGCAGGTCAGCCCTCCTCTGGCTGGGCTTTTCGGGGCAGGACGTCAGGTGAGAGGCGGCTCTATCCCAACAGCGCTGCCGCGAGTGTCCACCAGGTGGCAGCAGAACCATGTCCCATCTGCGGTGGCCCAGCTGAGGCCAAGCGCTAGACCGTTGAATGATACACAACCAGGTTCAAATCTTACCGATGGTTCGCTGGCCGCGTTGCCGCTCTGGGCCTCAGTTTCCCCTTCCACAAAATGAGGCCAATAATAGTCGCCAGCTTTTAGGGTTGTTGTGAGATTTAAATGGCGTATGATTGTTTGGACTGGGAAGGTTGAGGCCCTGCCCTTCCCTCTGTGCTGGAACTCACCGCTCTGGCCTCAGTTTCCCCAAAGTGCTGAGCGGCTACAAGCAGGTGGAAAGAGATGCTGGAAAGGGCAGAGCGCAGCCTGGAGCACAAATTGGATCCTGGGACAGCAGGAACGGGGCAGGAAAAGGAATTTAGGGAGGACAGGGGAGGAGGAAGAAGACGAGAGGGAGATCCCTGAGACCCAGCCCTGGCCTTGGGGCCTCGTGCTTCTGCCTTCAAGGCCTGGGTTGGAGTGGAGGGAGGGGCATGCCAGGGTGGGGAAGGGCACGGGTCGTGATGTGCTGTTTGTTTCAAAGCTTTATTATTTTTCTTTAGTTTCTTTTTTTTTTTGAGATGGAGTCTCACTCTGTTCCCCAGGCTGGAATGCAATGGCGTGATCTCATCTCACCGTAGCCTCTGCCTCCCAGGTTCAAGCGATTCTCCTGCCTCACCCTCCAGAGTAGCTGGGATTACAGGCACCCATCATCATGCCTGGCTAATTTTTGTAGAGACAGGGTTTCTTGTTTCCTTTTTTTTTTTTTTTTTGAGACGGAGTCTCACTCCATTGCCAAGGCTGGAATGCAGTGGCACAATCTCAGCTCACTGCAGCCTCTGCCTCCTGGGTTCAAGCCATCCTCTCCTGCCTCAGCCTCCTGAGTAGCTGGGATTACAGGCATCTGCCTCCACGCCCGGCTAATTTTTGTAATTTTAGTAGAGACGGGGTTTCACCATGTTGGACAGGCTGGTCTTGAACTCCTGACCTCAGATAATCCACCCACCTCAGCCTCCCAAAATGCTGGGATTACAGGCGTGAGCCACCGCGCCCGGCCCAGAGCTTTATTATTTTTCTTTTTGGTTGGGCACAGTGGCTCATATCTGTAACCCCAGCACTTTGGGAGGCTGAAGCGGGCAGGTCACTTGAGGTCAGGAGTCGAGACCAGCCTGGCCAACATGGTGAAACCCCGTCTCTACCAAAAATACAAAAATTAGCTGGGTGCAGTGACACACACCTGTAATCCCAGCTACTCGGGAGGCTGAGGCACGAGAATCACTTGAACCCTAGAGGCAGAGGTTGCAGTGAACCAAGATCATGCCGCTGCACTCCAGCCTGGGCAACAGAGTGAAACTGTCTTAATTTAAAAGAAAAAAAAAAGCTTTATTATTTTTCTTTCTTTTACATGTTGTCGGTGCCTGAGTGATGCCGTGGCCCCGGCTTCCTAGTGACACACCTGGCCTGGCAGGATTCCTCTGCCCCCACCTCGGGCCATGCAGGAATCTGACCTGAGCAGGCTGGTCCTGGGCTACTCTGTGTCTCTGTTATCACCATCCAGTGGGGCCCAGGCGAGGAGTTCCTGGTTAGCAGGGCTGTCCAAGGGCACCCCTGTCCCCCCTGTCTTTTTCCCAGGGACTTTGAAGGCACCAGTTTGTTCATCCAGGATCCTGGGCCAAGCCACAGCTTGGATCACGGAGCGTTCACAATGCTGATGTGCCTCATCCTTCCCACTCTTTCCCTCATCTCAGTTACTGGCACCAGTGCCTTCCCAAGGCTGGGCCCAAGACACCCAAATCTTGGTTTCTGACCGTTGGTCCTCAAAACACTGCAAAGCCACCCACTTGTATGCACTCCGGACTCCAGGTCCCTGGCCTTCTTTTTTTTTTTTTTTTTTTTTTGAGATGTAGCCTCTTTCCTGTCACGCAACCTTGAGTGCAATGCAGTGGCGCGATCTCAGCTCACTGCAACCTCCACCTCCCGAGTTCAAGCGATTCTCCTTCCTCAGCCTCCAGAGTAGCTGAGATTACAGGCGTGCGCCACCACACCCAGCTAATTTTTGTATTTTTAGCAGAGACGGGGTTTTACCATGTTGGCCAGGCTGGTCTTGAACTCCTGACCTGAGGTGATCCACCCACCTTGGCCTCCCGAAGTGCTAAGATTACAGGCATGAGCCACTGCACCCGGCCTTTTTTTTTTTTTTTTTTTTTTTTGAGACAGAGTTTTGCTCTTGTTGCCTAGGCTGGAGTGCAATGGTGTGATCTCGGCTTACCGCAGCCTCCACCTCCTGGGTTCAAGCGATTCTCCCACCTCAGCCTCCCAAGTAGCTGGAATTACAGGCATGCACCACCACATCCAGCTAATTTTGTTTTGTCAGTGGAGATGGGGTTTCTCCACGTTGATCAGGCTGGCCTCAAACTCCTGACCTGGGACTACAGGTGTGCACCACCATGCCCAGCTAATTTTTGTGTTTTTTTTGGTAGAGGTGGTGTTTCGCCACATTGCCCAGGCTGGTCTCAAACACAAGTTGTTTGTCAGAGACCAGCCTGCAATTCTCCCAGGGTGCTGGGATTACAGGCGTGAGCTACCATGCCCAGCCTAGGGGCCTCTTTTATAAGGGCATTAATCCCATTCATGAGAGCTCAACCCTCATGATCTAATCACCTCTTAAAAGGTTCCGATTCTGAATACCACCGCCTTCGAGGTTAGGATTTCAATGTATTAATTTTGGGGAGACGCAAACTCTCAGACCATCACAGTATTTTATCTTTTTCAGTGCTGCTGCAAAGGAAATTTTTCAAAATTTTTTTATGTTCCAATTGTTTGCTGCTGGTGTATAAAAATTCAATTGACTTTTGTATTGAATTCAACGGACTTTTTAAACCTGGTAACTTGCTGAATTTATGTATTAATTTCAGTAGTTGTCTTATAGATTCCCTTGGGTTTTTGACATAAACAATCATATCATCAGCAAATAGCAACAGTTTTATTTACCTTTTTTTTATTACTTATTTTATTCTGTTTTGCTTGTTACAGAATCTTGCTATGTTGCCTTTAAATTCTTGGGCTCCCATTTCAGCTTCTCCAGTAGCTGAGGCTACAAGCATGTATCACCATGCCCAGCCACACCTGACTTGTTTATTTTTCTCATATATTTTTTTGTTTTAAGACAGGATCTCGCTCTGTTGCCCAGACTGGAGTGTAATGGTGTGATGATGGCTTACTGCAGCCTTGTCCTCCCTGACTCAAGCAATCCTCAGCCTCCCAAATAGCTGGGACAACAGGTGTGAGCTATCACACCCTGCCAATTTTTAATTTTTTTTTTTTTTTTGAGACAGAGTCTCCCTCTGTCACCTAGGCTGGAGTGCAGTGGCGCGATCTTGGCTCACTGCAACCTTCACCTCCCGGGTTCAAGCGATTCTCCTGCCTCAGCCTCCTGAGTAGCTGGGATTACAGGCGCGCATCACCACGCACGGCTAATTTTTGTATTTTTACCATGCCTGGCTAATTTTTGTATTTTTAGTAGAGATGGGGTTTCACCATGTTGATCAGGCTGGTCTTGAACTCCTGACCTTGTGATTCTCCCACCTCAGCCTCCCAAAGTGCTGGGATTACAGGCGTGAGCCACCATGCCCAGCTTTTCTTTTCTTTCTTTCTTTTTTTTTTTTTTTAGACGGAGTCTCACTCTGTCACCCAGGCTGGAGTGCAGTGGCCCGATCTTGGCTCACTGCAAGCTCCGCCTCCCTGGTTCACACCATTCTCCTGCCTCAGCCTGCTTTTTCTTTTCTTATTACAGTGGCTAACATCACCAGAACAATGTTGAATAGAGGTGGTGAAAATGGACATCCTTGTCTTGTTTCCAATCTCAGGAGGAAGTTATTCAGTCTTTTACCATTTTTGTTTTTGTTTTTGAGATGTAGTCTCGCTCTGTCGCCCAGGCTGGAGTACAGTGGCACTATCTTGGCTCCCTGCAACCTCTGCCTCCTGGACTCAAGCCATCCTCCCACTTCAGTCTTCCAAGTAGCTGAGACTACAGGTGCACACCACCATGCCTGGCTAATTTTTGTATGTTTTGTAGAGACGGATCTCACCATGTTGCCCAGGCTAATCTCCAACTCCTGAGCTCAAATGATCCTCCCATGTTGACTTCCCAAAGTGCTCAGATTACAGGCATGAGCCACCGTGCCTGGCCCTGCCTCACTGTACTCTTAATTTTCATTTGGCAAGTGAAGCTGAGGAAATTTTTCTGGGTTTAAGAGCTATTTGTCCTCCATTTTCTCTGACTTCTGGATTCATATCCACCTAACTGGTTGGCATTTTCTTACTGCTTTCTAGATGTTACTTATATAACGAGGATATTTTATCCATGAGTTCAATTTTGTTTCCAGTTACACTTTGATTGTATTTTATTCTTTGATTGTATTTATGGACTTCTTGTCAGCAGAAAAATCTGGGTGTTTGCATCACTGACGTGCCCCATTTTTCTCGGGCAAGTTCTGGGTTCTGTCCCCAGAACTTCCTTTTTTTAAAAAAAATTATTTATTTATTTATTTATTTTTTGATACGGAGTCTTGCTGTGTCGCCCAGGCTGGAGTGCAGTTGTGCGATCTCGGCTCACTGCAACCTCCGCCTCCCAGGTTCAAGTGATTCTCTTGCCTCAGCCTCCTGAGTAGCTGGGACTGCAGGCGCCCGCCACCACACCCAGCTGCGTTTTGTATTTTTAGTAGAGATGGGGTTTCACCAGGTTGGCAAGGCCGGTCTCGAACTCCTAACCTCAGGCGATCCGCCCGCCTCGGCCTCCCAAAGTGCTGGGATTATAGGCGTGAGCCACCGCGCCCGGCCAGAACTTCCTTTTAGAGCCTTCACATGCCCTTCTCTGGGGCTGAAGGTACCACTTTGGTCCTCACCCCAATCTCCTCTTACTTATTCTCAAAATATTGCAGAAACCATCACACTGGAGGTAGCAGAGACCCAGAAACTCACTGTACTTCCGGAAAGCAGAGGCTTCAGCCTCAGGCCAAGGATGAGAACATAAGGTTGCATTCCCGTCTGCTGAAGCCACCCAGGAAGTGAAAGAAAACACTACAACTAAGCTTCTGCTTGGCACTTCCTGCCGCAGGTCAGCTGTGGCTCCACTAAGCTCCACTAAGCTGAGGACATAATCTATATCTCTTTCCCTTGACCCACGCGGCCCTACCCACGCCATCAAATGAGTCTCAGCCCCCCGTGTCCCTGACATCCTGCTCTTCTCAGGAACACTGTGAATTCGTGAAGCCTCCAGGCCTTTGCCTGGGCTGTTCTGCCTGCCAGAACTGCCCACACTCCCACATTCTCAGGTCACTCTCTGGCTAGTCCCACTTGTTGTTGGATTTCAGAATCAAAGCCACCTCCTCCAGGAAGCCCTCCCAGATCCAGTCATCTCTCTTAGCAGACCGGTCCCAGGGGCAACTGATATAATTATTGGGCAATAGCTTGTTTATTGCCATCTCCCCTGCTGGACTGTCAGCTCCCCTGGACAGGGATTGGGTCTGCATTGTCCCCGATTCCCTGCACACAGGCTGTGTCCAATAAGCCTCTGGCTGATTGAACAGTTAAGATCAACAAAATACTTACCAAACCATTTTGTGTTAAGACTTGTGATGGTGATACAGAGATGAAAAGTCTTTTTTTTTTTTTTTTTGAGACGGGATCTCACTCCCATTGCCCAGGCTGGAGTGCAGTGGCATGACCACAGCTAACTGCAGCCTCAACTTCCTGGGCTCAGGTGATCCTCCCACCTCAGCCTCCCCTAGTAGCTGGGACTACAGGCACATGCCACCACATCCAGCTTATTATTTTGTTGTTGTTGTATTTTTTGTAGAGACAGGGTTTCACCATGTTGCCCAGGCTGGTCTCGAACACCTGGGCTCAAGCCATCCTCCTGCCTGAGCCTCCCAAAGTGCTGAGATTACAGGTGTGAGCCACTGTTCTTGGCCACAACTTCTTAAATCTATTCCTTTTTTTTTTTTTGAGACAGAGTATTGCTCCGTCGCCCAGGCTGGAGTGCGGTGGCACAATCTCAGCTCACTACAACCTCCGCCTGCCTCCTGGGTTCCAGTGATTCTCCTGCCTCAGCCTCCCAAGTAGCTGGGATTACAGGCACATGCCACCACGCCCAGCTAATTTTTATATTTTTAGTAGAGATGGGGTTTCACCATGTTGGCCAGGCTGGTCTCGAACTCCTAGGCTCAAGCAATCTTCCCACCTGGGCCTTCCAAAGTGCTGGAATTACAGATGTGAGCCACTGTACCCGGTCACCACTTCGTCAGTCTATTCCTGAAGCTCTACTTCCGGGGCTCTGATCCTATTATCCTAAGAACACTGGCCCAAGTCTCTGCATTTGGATGCTGCCCGGGCCTTCTGCCTCTTCTATTTATAACAGCTCCTACTTCCAACTCTCCTGTGGCTCCAGATTATGCTCCAGGCAAAACCCACCCTTCTCCCAAAGACCCTGATCCCCCTGTCCCCCCACGATCTTGCCCCTGTTGACCGCCCTGCAGTCCCCTTCCCCCTCATCTCACCCCTGCCCCTGGCCTCCTGACTGCTCTTCAAGCTGCTAAGATCACTGCCCTCTCAAGGTCTTTGCCCATCCTGTGCCCTCCTCCTGGAGCACCCTTTCCCTGGCCAGCTCCCTGTCCTGCCTCGGGTCCAAGTTCCAGTCTGTGCCTGTCCTGACACCCTGGCTTTCTTTGTTGTCTGCGATGATTTGGCTCCTTCATTTGCTCATTGTCTCAGCGCCAGATCACAAGTTCCAAGAGGCCAGGCCGGATCCACCTGGTTTTTTAGGGCTGGGCCCAGGGCACCACAGGCAGAAATGGGTCATTATCTCTCCCTGAGTCTTTTCTTTTTTTTTTAAACGAAGTCCCGCTCTGTTGCCAGGCTGGAGTGCAGTGGCGCCATCTCGTCTCACTGTAACATCCGCCTCCTAGATTCAAGCAATCCTCCCACCTCAGCCTCCTGAGTAGCTAGGATTACAGGCATCACCAGGCCTGGCTAATTTTCCTGTTTTTAGTAGAGACAGGGTTTCATCATGTTGGCCAGGCTGGTCTCAAACTCCTGACTTCAAGTGATCCGCCCGCCTCAGCCTCCCAAAGTGCTGCGATTACAGGCCACCACGCCTGGCTAATTTTTGTATTTTTAGTAGAGACGGAGTTTCGCCATGTTGGCTAGGCTGGTCTCAAACTCCTGACCTCAAGTAATCGCCCGCCTCAGTCTCCCAAAGTGCTGGGATGACAGGCGTGAGCCACTGCGCCCAGCGTCTCCCTGAGTCTTAAGGGAGAAATACCTCAAAGAAGAACTTGACCTTCCTCTGGGGCAACTTCCCTGCTTCCCTCCTGGGCAAATCCAGCCAGGTTTCCTTCCCTGGGTGCAAAATTAGTTCCACTGGGTGCCCAACTCACACATGCTACAGATGGGTAAACTGAGGCAATAAGGGCCGGGCCAGAGCCCCACTTAACAAGTGGGTCTAGAGTCGGCTGAGCCCCTGGTGTGACCCAGACCCTTCTCTGTGCTATCATCAGTTCCTTTGGCTTAGGGGTCTCCAGCAGCCTGTCTGAACGGGGCGGCTGATGCAGAGGCTTCCGGAACTTTCTGCCCCTCCTTGCCCGCCTCCCCGCCCCCAGCTCCCGCAGGGCCCTGACTTTCGGTAAATGACAGTGGCTCAGGAAACCAAGGGGCCCACACAGGAAGGAGCCGAGTGGGACTTTCCTCTCGCTGCCTCCCGGCTCTGCCCGCCCTTCGAAAGTCCAGGGTCCCTGCCCGCTAGGTAAGAGCTGGCGATGCCGCAGGGCTCGGCCCAGACACTGGGGGAGGATGGTGGTGGCGGGGGATGGCTGGGCTGGGGCAGGGTGCTGCCAGGGCAAAGGCTAGCTCGCCTTCCAGGCCTCGGAGGAAAGCTGCGAGGCAGACGTGAGCCGAGACTCGCATCCTCCGATCGCTCGCTTCTCTGGGCTTCGGCTTTGACTAAGGCCGGGAGATGCCTGCCTTGCGGACCTGGAGGAGTCATTGCGCATGCGCGACGGGGGCTGCGGGGTTGGGGGTGGGGAGGAGGGATTGGGAAGGAGGGATTGGGGGGCGGAGTTCCCAGCCCCTACCCTCCAGGCCTTCCCGGTCCAGACACAGGGTACCCGACCATACCAGGATGCAGAACGTTGAGGATTATAAACAGGGGATGCCGAGGCGGGAGGATAGCTTGAGGCCAGGAGTTCAAGGCCAGCCTGGGCAACATAGCCAGACCTCCATTTCTACAAACATTTTTAAAAAACCAAAAAAACTATGGCGTTTTCTGGGACCAAACATCACCTCTGACTTTTCATTTTTTTTTGTTACAGTATTACAGAATAATAATATTCTGTTAAGATTTTTTTGTTGTTTTGGAGATGGGAGTCTTGCTATGTTGTTCAGGCAGGTCTCTAACCCCTGGCCTCAAGCTATCCTGCTGCCTCAGCCCCCTGAGTAGCTGGGATTGCAGTGGGGCGCCACTGCCACTGAAGCCTTATTTTAAACTCGACTGGGGCTGGGCACAGTGGCTCATGCCTTTAATCCCAACACTTTGGGAGGCTGAGGCCAGCGGATCACTGGAGGTCAGGAGTTCGAGATCAGCCTGGTCAACATGGTGAAACCCTATCTCTACTAAAAACACAAAAATTAGCCAGGTTTGGTGGCGGGTGCCTGTAATTCCAGCTACTCAGGAGGCTGAGGCAGGAGAATCGCTTGAACCTGGGAGGTGGAGTTTGCAGTGAGCCGAGATCATGCCACTGCACTCCAGCCTGGGAGACAGAACAAGAATCCGTCCTCCCCCCTACAAAATAAATAAATAAATAAAAAGGCTGGGCAATGTGGCTCACGTGTGTAATCACAGCACTTTGGGAGGCCAAGGCAGGCGAATCACCTGAGGCCAGGAGTTTGAGACCAGCCTGGCCAACATGGTGAAACTCCGTCTCTACTAAAAATACAAAAATTAGCTGGGCGCTGTGGTGCGCGCCTGTAATCCCAGCCACTTGGGAAGCTGAGGCATGAGAATCGCTTGAACCCAGGAGGCAGAGGCTACAGTGAGCCAAGATCGTGCGACTGCACTCCAGCCTGGGTGACAGTGCGAGACTCCGTCTCAAAAAAACAAACAAACAAACCAAAAAACTTGATTGGCTGATGTTGAGGGGACGATAGAGAGGCTATGGTGTGTGATTTTATTTCTATAAAGGGCAAAACTAGACATCAATCTCTCTGTGGGAGAGATGGGGCTCCTCCAAGGTTCCCGGGACTAGGAATGTGCTCATTCTTGGTCTGGGCATCGGTGACATCAAAGTGTCCCTTTGGTAAGGTTCTTTCCCCCACAAGACTTCCCTTCCCACAGTAACCACCACACCGCTGTGCCAATTGCCCTTCCTGTTTGGTTTAACAGGCGTTTGTTGATCGCTTACCGGCACATCATCAAGAAATATACAAATTAATGCACATTAATTGAGTTGACACTTTAGGCCTGGATTGCGCTCAGCAGACCACCTCAATGAGGATGCTGGGGAGTCAGCCCATTTCACAGCTGCGAAAGCTGAGTCCTAGGGGTCCTAGTCCTCTGATTGTCTTAAACCTCATTAGGCCAGGCGCAGTTTCTCACGCCGGTAATCCCAGCACTTTGGGAGTCCGAGGCAGGAGGATCACTCGAGGTCAGGAGTTCCAGACCAGCCTCGCCAACATGGTGAAACCCCGTCTCTACCAAAAATACAAAAATTAGCCGGGCATGGTGGCGTGCCCCTGTAATCCCAGCTACTTGGGAGGCTGAGGCAGGAGAATCACTTGAACCCAGGATGCAGAGTAAGCCGAGATTGTGCCACTGCACTCCAGCCTGGATGACAGAGCTAGACTCTGTCTCAAAACAAAAACAAAAAAACCCTCATTAATGCCGCCCCACCCCAGCCACAGGGCATTATTTTGGATCATAGTTTTTGTATTGTGTTTTTTTTCTAGAGATAAGGTCTTGCTCTGTCGCCCAGGCTGGAGTGCAGTGGTGTGATCATAGCTCAATGCAGCCTCAACTTGCAGAGCTGAAGGCATCCTCCTGTCTCAGCCTCCCAAGTAGCTAGGACTATGGGGGTGTGCCACCATGCCCTGCTAATTTTTTAGAGATGAGGTCTCAAAATCCTAGCCTCAAGTGATCCACCTGCCTCGGCCTGTCAAAGTGCTGGGATTACAAGGCTTTTTTTTCTTTTTGAGAGGAGGTCTCACTATATTGCCCAGTCTGGTTTCAAACTCCTGGTCTCGGCCAGGCGCGGTGGCTCACACATGTAATCCAGCATTTTGGGAGGCTGAGGCAGGCTGATCACTTGAGGCCAGGAGTTTGAGATCAGTGAAACCCCATCTCTACTAAAAATACAAGAAAATTAGCTGGGCGTGGTGGTGCCCACCTGTAATCCCAGCTACTGGGGTGGCTGAGGCACGAGAATCTCTTGAACTTGGGAGGCGGAGGTTGCAGTGAGCTGAGATTGCGCCACTGCACTCCAGCCTGGGTGACAGCGCGAGACTCTGTCTCAAAAAAGCAAAAAACATAAAACAAACTCCTGGTCTCAAGCTATCCTTCCTTCTTGGCCTCCGGAAATGATGGGATTACAGACATGAGCCACTGCGCCCTGCTGGAACTTAGGTTTTTGTTTGTTTTTCCCAACACTTTCTTCAGATCTTCTTCATTCAGGTCAATTTGAGTGACCTCCTTTTTCTCCCCAATTTTTCTCAGGGGACTCGAAGCCCCACCCCTGGCCCCACCCAGCTGAGGGCCCTGAGTGCTGAGGTTTCTCAGGGCAAGTGAGCGAGCGGGTGGGAGGTGTTGGGGGCTGGAAGCAGGGGGCCAGTTTCCTCCTGGGCCCATCCCAGGGAGGCTTTCCTTCTTTCTTTCTTTCTTTCTTTCTTTTTTTTTTTTTTTTTGAGACAGAGTCTGACTCTGTTGTCCAGGCTGGAGTGCAGTGGTACAATCTTGGCTCACTGCAACCTCTGCCTCCCAGGTTCAAGTGATTGTCCTGCCTCAGCCTCCCGAGTTGCTGGGATTACAGGAACGCACCACCACACCCGGCTAAGTTTTGCACTTTTTAGAGGCAGGGTTTCGCCATGTTGGCCAGGCAGGTCTCAAACTCCTGACCTCAAGTGATCCTCCCGCCTCGGCCTCCCAAAATGCTGTGATTACAGGCATAAGCCACCGCACCCGGCCTCCAGCACTCCTTTCCATGCCCTCCCTGCTCAGAAGTCCAATCCCCTCTGACCAGGACTGAGGGGCTTTTTCTCTCTGTGCCCCAGGCAAGTTGCACTCATGGCACCTCCAAGTGAAGAGACGCCCCTGATCCCTCAGCGTTCATGCAGCCTCTTGTCCACGGAGGCTGGTGCCCTGCATGTGCTGCTGCCCGCTCGGGGCCCCGGGCCCCCCCAGCGCCTATCTTTCTCCTTTGGGGACCACTTGGCTGAGGACCTGTGCGTGCAGGCTGCCAAGGCCAGCGGTGAGTGCATCCCTAGTGGATCGGGCCAGAGGGAAGGATGGGGCTGTGTGGGGCCAAGATTGGAAGCTGGAATAGTTGCCTGCAGAAGTCAGCATCGGAGCTGGGGCTTTGGGGGATGAGTAGGAGTTTTGTAATGGAGAAGGGTGTGCAGGGTTGGCTTCTGAGGCAGAGGGAATGGCCTGTGCAGACGGAGAGGTGTGACGGCACATGAAGGGAACAGCTGGTCATACCTTGAGGTATGGAAGGATCTGGACGGTTGGGTATGATGCTGGCACTCCTGAAGGGCACAGATGGGGTGACTCAGGAGGGAGCTGATGGGACCATCCCCTGTAGGCATCCTGCCTGTGTACCACTCCCTCTTTGCTCTGGCCACGGAGGACCTGTCCTGCTGGTTCCCCCCGAGCCACATCTTCTCCGTGGAGGATGCCAGCACCCAAGTCCTGCTGTACAGGATTCGGTAGGAAGTGCCCCCCAGCCCCCAGGGATTGTACAATTTTATCATCTCCTTGCATTTCGAGGTGCCCACACCCCTGCCCCAGGGAGGTATGGTCACTACCCATTTCTCAGATGAGGAAACAGACCAGAGAGGGTGGGTCACTTGCCCAAGGTCACACAGCAAGTTAAAGGTACAAGCTGGGCTCTGTGAGGCCTCCGCAGAATCTGTCCCTCGCCCCCACCATAATGTCACTCCTACTGAGGCTGGGTTGCACTTTCATCCCAGGGTTCTCTCCTCTCCTCACAGCTTTTACTTCCCCAATTGGTTTGGGCTGGAGAAGTGCCACCGCTTCGGGCTACGCAAGGATTTGGCCAGTGCTATCCTTGACCTGCCAGTCCTGGAGCACCTCTTTGCCCAGGTGGGGTTCTGCCTGGGGTTTGACCCAGGGGGTTGGGGGTCCAAGGGGCAACATGAGGACTGGCATGCAATCAGGTGGGGCCTCGTCTGACCCTCCCTGTGGCAGTCCAGGGGTGGGGGTCAGCCCAGGATTGGGGGGGTCTGCAGGTTAACAACAGGGCTTGAAGTTGGGTGGCCTCAGCTGATGCTCCCTGTGGCGGCCCCCCAGCACCGCAGTGACCTGGTGAGTGGGCGCCTCCCCGTGGGCCTCAGTCTCAAGGAGCAGGGTGAGTGTCTCAGCCTGGCCGTGTTGGACCTGGCCCGGATGGCGCGAGAGCAGGCCCAGCGGCCGGGAGAGCTGCTGAAGACTGTCAGGTGAGAGCCACCAGGCTGTGGGGACGGCCTCTGCTTGGGAGTGAGCAACGTGGGCTCCATCGGGGCTTTGCCGGGCTCCCACCATGGAGTTCTCCTGCAAGCTTTCAGGGTGTTCCTATGACCCAGGGCCTCCCACGAACCCAGCCCTCTCCACCCCCAGGCTCCAGCTGGACAGACACCTGACCTCCCCCAGCTAAAAGGCCTGTGGGGTCCCTGTCCGACCTGTGGGCGCCAATGGCCCTCCCCTACTCTGAGGTCCGGTCCTCATACCTGACCCTGAATGAGAGTCTGTGTGTGCCTGGTGCCCCAACTAGGGCCGCACCCCAGCCCCTGGGCTAAAGCCTGGGTTTGTGTGTGTCCCCGCGGGGACCCCTCCCGACGCTGAGGGCCGGCTCCCTCCCCTCCAACCCCTGCAGCTACAAGGCCTGCCTACCCCCAAGCCTGCGCGACCTGATCCAGGGCCTGAGCTTCGTGACGCGGAGGCGTATTCGGAGGACGGTGCGCAGAGCCCTGCGCCGCGTGGCCGCCTGCCAGGCAGACCGGCACTCGCTCATGGCCAAGTACATCATGGACCTGGAGCGGCTGGATCCAGCCGGGGCCGCCGAGACCTTCCACGTGGGCCTCCCTGGGGCCCTTGGTGGCCACGACGGGCTGGGGCTGCTCCGCGTGGCTGGTGACGGCGGCATCGCCTGGACCCAGGGAGAACAGGAGGTGAGGGCGGACTCCCCCGCTGGGCGGGGCCAACGTGGGGGCGGGGCTCGGGGAGGGGCCGGAGAGTGGTAGGGGATGTGGGGCGGAGCCAAAACGAAAGACTTGGGGAAGTGGGCGAGGCTTAATGAGGGGCGGGGCTTAGTGAGGGAGGAGACTGCGGGAATGGGAGGGGCAAACTGAGTGAAGGGTTGGGCTGAGCGACCCGGGAATGAAAATGGGAGGGGTTGAGGAGTGGGTGGGTGGGCGCTGGAACGAGGCAAGACTAAGAGGCAGAGTGAGGCTCCGAGAGCTGGGAGGCTGCGAAGCGGGGCAGGGATCAAGGGGCGGGGTCCGGCAGAGAGAAGGAGGCGGGGATTGGCAGAGCGGGTGGGAGATGTTTGGGGATGGGTAGGGGAGGTGTTGAGAGGTTGGAGTTGATAGGAGGGGGCGCGGCTTGGAAGGGTTGAATGGCAAAGGGATAGGGAGTGGATGGTGTGGCTTGGGGGTGGGTTCATGGGCGTGGTTTGGCGGGGTCCAGCTGGGCCCCCACTTCGGTACTCCCCCTCCTTCCCAGGTCCTCCAGCCCTTCTGCGACTTTCCAGAAATCGTAGACATTAGCATCAAGCAGGCCCCGCGCGTTGGCCCGGCCGGAGAGCACCGCCTGGTCACTGTTACCAGGACAGACAACCAGATTTTAGTGGGTGCAGGATTCCCCTCCCCTTCAGCCTTACCCCGAGGGCGGGACCGGCACCCTCGGGTTTCACTGGGCTCTGACGCTTGTCCCTCGCAGGAGGCCGAGTTCCCAGGGCTGCCCGAGGCTCTGTCGTTCGTGGCGCTCGTGGACGGCTACTTCCGGCTGACCACGGACTCCCAGCACTTCTTCTGCAAGGAGGTGGCACCGCCGAGGCTGCTGGAGGAAGTGGCCGAGCAGTGCCACGGCCCCATCACGTAAGGACCTGTCCCCCATTCCCGGCCTCTGTGGCCACTCAGGGCCCCTCCCCTTCTCTATGCCTCAGTGTCCTCACCTTCCAGGAGCCCTGGACAGGGGTCAAGTTTTCAAACCACACCTGCCGCACAGTC
Organism: Homo sapiens; assembly: GCF_000001405.40. Lineage (NCBI taxonomy): Eukaryota > Metazoa > Chordata > Mammalia > Primates > Hominidae > Homo > Homo sapiens. The sequence continues at coordinate 17,841,256 of NC_000019.10, read as the reverse complement.
AGCGCTCAGTGAAGCTGAAGTATTCCTTCTGCTTCACAGGGCGACCACTACTCTCTCTCTCTCTGACCCCAGGGCCATTTCCTGGAGATGGACAAGTCGCCCACCTTCACCTACAGCCTCTTGTTTAATCTCCCAGGAAGGGCCAGGCATAGTGGGGCACACCTGCAATCGCAGCGCTTTGAGGGGCCAAGGCAGGAGGATTGTTTGAACTCAGGAGTTGGAGACAAGTCTAGGCAACAGGAGAGACCCCATCTCTACAAAAAAAGAAAAAAAAATAGCTGGGTGTGGTGGTTGACCTGTAGTCCCAGCGACTCCGGAGGCTGAGGCAGGAGGATCACTTGAGCCCAGGAGTTGGAGGCTGCAGTGAGCTGAGATTGCACTCCAGCCTGGGCAACCAAGCAAGACCCTGTCTCTATTAAAACAAACAAACAAACAAACAATCTCCCAGAAGAGGCCAAGACTTACGGCTGATTTTCTTTTTTCTTTTTTTTTTTGAGACGGAGTCTGGCTCTGTCGCCCAGGCTGGAGTGCAGTGGCACGATCTCGGCTCAATGCAACCTCTGCTTCCCAGGGTCACGCCATTCTCCTGCCTCAGCCTCCCGAGTAGCTGGGACTACAGGTGCTCGCCACCACGCCCGGCTATTTTTTTGTATTTTCAGTAGCGACGGGGTTTCACGGTGTTAGCCAGGATGGTGTTGATCTCCTGACCTCGTGATCCACCTGCCTCGGCCTCCCAAAATGCTGGGATTACAGGCGTGAGCCACGGCGCCTGGCCCATGGCTGATTTTATAAATGGGGGGAGGGTGTCACCTGGCAAGGATCCCAGGGCTACAGAGGTACCTGAATTTGAGCCCAGGTCTCTCTGTCTTCTTCTATCTCTGACTCCTCCCCATTCCCTCTCACCTTCCCCCACAGTCTGGACTTTGCCATCAACAAGCTCAAGACTGGGGGCTCACGTCCTGGCTCCTATGTTCTCCGCCGCAGCCCCCAGGACTTTGACAGCTTCCTCCTCACTGTCTGTGTCCAGGTCGGTCTACTGCTAGGGTGGGTAGTGGAGGGCTGCCTGGAGGAGGTGACGTTTGAATTGAGATTTAAAAGATCAGTCAGCATTTGGTTCCTGAAGAATAGGAGGGAAAAGACACCCCCGGTGAACAGAACAGCATATTCAAAGGTCTAAAGACTGGAATGAGTTCATGGTGCTTTAGGAGAAAGGACTGAGGCTGGGCACAGTGGCTTACGCCTGTAATCCCAGCACTTTGGGAGGCTGAGGTAGGCAGATCAAGAGATCAAGAGATCGAAACCATCCTGGCCAAAATGGTGAAACCCTGTCTCTACTAAAAATATAAAACTTAGCTGGGCGTGGTAGTGGGCATCTGTAGTCCCAGCTACTCGGGAGGCTGAGGCAGGAGAATCGCTTGAACCTGGGAGGCGGAGGTTGCAGTGAGCCAAGGTCACGCCATTGCACTCCAGCCTGGGTGACAGAGCCAGACTCCGTCTCCAAAAAAAAAAAAAAAAAAAGAAAAAAAAGGAAGAAGGACTGAGAAGGAGAGTGTCTGTCGCTCAGTCCCACTCAGGGGCCACTCTTCTTTGCAGAACCCCCTTGGTCCTGATTATAAGGGCTGCCTCATCCGGCGCAGCCCCACAGGAACCTTCCTTCTGGTTGGCCTCAGCCGACCCCACAGCAGTCTTCGAGAGCTCCTGGCAACCTGCTGGGATGGGGGGCTGCACGTAGATGGGGTGGCAGTGACCCTCACTTCCTGCTGTATCCCCAGACCCAAAGGTGAGCCCCTTCCTCCCCTGGAATGAGTGGCTGATCTGGGACCCTGGCTTTCTATGTCTGTGACAGCTCCTGTGTGGGTGGCAAGTGGCAGAAACTGCAGGTCAAGGTGGGTTAGGGAAGAAAAGGTGATTTGTTGGCTCAGGAAGTTAGAGATATATAACCTTTAGGTCTGGCTTGATCTAGGCACAGCTAGATGTGAGCCATGTCATCTGCACCTAGTCTCTCTCCAGCTCTCAGCTCTTCCTCTGGGTGAATTTCACTCCTGGACAAACCCCTCTGATGGGACAATTCTGAGATGTGAGTTCTTCTGAGTCTCCCAGAATCCCTGGTAGAACCGATCCCTGGTTGTCCACAGTGCCACTTGCTCATTAAAGCCCCCTGCAGGGCTCCTTCCTTCCTTGTCGCTCATCCCAAATCCCTATGGGGGCTTTCTGGATCTCCTTTCAAATAAACCATGTGCCAGCCAGGCACAGTGGCTCACGTCTGTAATACCAGCACTTCGGGAGGCTGAGGCAGATGGATCACCTGAGGTCAGGAGTTTGAGACCAGCGTGGCCAACATGGTGAAACTCCATCTCTACTAAAAATACAAAAATTAGCTGGGTGTGCTGGCACACTCCTGTAGTCCCAGCTACTTGGGAGGCTGAGGCAGGAGAATTACTTGAACCCAGGAGGCAGAGGTTGCAGTGAGCCGAGATCACACCACTGCACTCCAGCCTGGGTGACAGAGCGAGACTCTGTCTCAAAAAAAAAAAAAAAAAAAAATTAGCCGGGCACGGTGGCACACACCTGTAGTCCCAGCTATTCGGGAGGCCGAGGCAGGAAAATCGCTTGAACCTGGGAGGTGGAGGTTGCAGTGAGCTGAGATCGCACCACTGCCCACCCAGCCTGGATGACAGAGTGAGACTCCGTCTCAACAGCAGCAGCAACAACAAAACAAAAACAACAACAAAAAGCCATGTGCCCTGAAGTCTTCATCTCAGGGTCGGCTTCTAGAGGGTACCTCAAACTAAGGCATGAGTTAGCTAACCCTTGGGGACTTTTCACCTCTGATTTCTGGTTTTTCTCCCTCATCCTCTCCCCATAGAAAAGTCCAACCTGATCGTGGTCCAGAGAGGTCACAGCCCACCCACATCATCCTTGGTTCAGCCCCAATCCCAATACCAGCTGAGTCAGATGACATTTCACAAGATCCCTGCTGACAGCCTGGAGTGGGTAAGAGGCCCTGGGAAATGAGGCGATACCTCAGTCTGGGGTCCAGAGACTCAGATGCGTGGCCTCAGGCATATGCTATAATTTTACCTTGCCTCGGTTTTCCCATCTGTAAAATGGGGCCAGCAGCTATGTCTCGCTTGGGCTGGGATCCTGCAGGAACCCCCTCACTGGCCTCTTCTGCTGTCCCCTCACCATTCAGCATGAGAACCTGGGCCATGGGTCCTTCACCAAGATTTACCGGGGCTGTCGCCATGAGGTGGTGGATGGGGAGGCCCGAAAGACAGAGGTGCTGCTGAAGGTCATGGATGCCAAGCACAAGAACTGCATGGAGGTGAGAGCAATGTGGACCAGACTTTTGGAGTCGGGGCTGGCTGGAGAGGGGGTCGTGGATGCAGAGAAATTTAAAAACACACAGGGACCTGGGCGTGGTGGCTCATGCCTGTCATCCCAGCACTTTGGGAGGCTGAGGCAGGAGGATGGTTTGAAGCCAGGAGTTCAAGAACAGCCTAGGCAACATAGCGAGACCTCGTCTTGACAAAAAAATTTTAGGCCGGGCGCGGTGGCTCACGCCTGTAATCCCAGCACTTTGGGAGGCTGAGGCGGGCAGATCATCTGAGGTCGGGAGTTCGAGACCAGCCTGACCAACATGGAGAAACCCCGTCTCTACTAAAAATACAAAATTAGCCGGGCGTGGTGGTGCATGCCTGTAATCCCAGCTACTCGGGAGGCTGAGGCAGGAGAATTGCTTGAATCTGGGAAGCGGAGGTTGCAGTGAGTCAAGATCGCGCCACTGCACTCCAGCCTGGGTGACAGAGGGAGACTCTGTCTCAAAAACAAAACAAAACAAAACAAAAAACCATAGATGATAGTGGGAACTTCTGTCCCGTATCAGAAAATCATGGTAGTGCTGTGTGCACTAATGGCAGACTCCAGGGCCAAAGGTGACCTGTGGCCAGGTGTTCCCCTAAGGCAGGTCTGTGAGCACAAAATTTGGGATTATTGGAGTGGAAGAAACCCACGCATCTTCTCTCCCTTCCCACCTTCCCCAGTCATTCCTGGAAGCAGCGAGCTTGATGAGCCAAGTGTCGTACCGGCATCTCGTGCTGCTCCACGGCGTGTGCATGGCTGGAGACAGTGAGAGCCCCCCACCCACCCACCCCACCCCTGCCTCACCCAAGTCTAGGCTGTTCTTCCCACCTCTGTTCTGAGCCGCTATATGACAGCCCCAGCAACACACTGGGCCACCCTGGATGGGAGCCGTGTTCATTACCCTTTATTTATGTCTCTCCATCATCACTCCTTGGAAAGCGGCTCCAGGTTCTCACCCATATCCAGCCCCAGAATGACCTGAAGTCAGACAAACCTGGCTTTCTAATCTCTGCAGCTTTGTACAGGTCACGTAACCTTTCTGAGCCTTGGTTTCATTGGTTGGGAGTCTAGGATGGGCCAGGAGCTGGGACAGAGCCTAGAATGTGACAGGCAGGGTGTGATGAGGTGTGAGGAGGGCAGCACGGAGCACTGTGGATGGTCAGAGAGGCTGCTGGGCCAGCCTGGGGGTTGGGCAATGCTTGTGGGAAGACAGAGATGCATTCTAACCTGGAAAGATAAGGACAAGTGTGGATTAGGAAAGGAAGAGGGGTGTTCTAGGCAGAGGACACAGAATATGCAAAGGGTTAGAAGTGAGATACAGAGGCTGGGCGTGGTGGCTCATGCCTGTAATTGAAAAGCCGAGGCGAGTGGATCACCTGAGATCAGGAGTTCAAGACCAGTCTGGCCAACATGGCAAGACCCCGTCTCTACTAAAAATACAAAATCAGCCGGGTGTGGTGGCATGCGCCTGTAGTTCCAGCTACTTAGGAGGCTGAGACAGGAGAATCACTTGAACCCGGGAGGCAGAGGTTGCAGTAAGCCGAGATCGCACCACTGCACTCCAGCCTGGGCAACAGAGTAAGACTCTGTCTCAAAAGAAAAGAGAAAAAAAAAAGTGAGATACAGATACAGACAGGGCTCAACACCTTCCAGGCATTCCAGGCAAATCATTCAGAGATGGAGGTGGGAGGAGAGGTGAGTACTGTATGAACAGAGGCAGCAGGGGAGGGAACAGACAGAGATGAGAGTTTGAGAGACCCTGAGAGCCAGGGTGTTGGCAGAACCTCCTCAACACAAGTGCAGTTCAGTCTCCCAACCCCGCCTCTCCCTGCTGCCAACCAGGCACCATGGTGCAGGAATTTGTACACCTGGGGGCCATAGACATGTATCTGCGAAAACGTGGCCACCTGGTGCCAGCCAGCTGGAAGCTGCAGGTGGTCAAACAGCTGGCCTACGCCCTCAACTATCTGGTGAGTGCTCCTCTGCCTGCTCCACCCTCCATTCCCAGGGAAGGCTTTCTCTGGGTGGAAGAGGAATTGGGAGTGGGCTCTGTAGTATGCATAGGAGTTTGGTAAGGGTTCGAGGGGAGGGCATTTTAGGTTCAGGTTGTGAGAACACTAGAAGAGAACAAGTCATTCTTGGATGTCAGGGCGTGTGGTGAATGACGAGGCTGGGCAGGAAGAAAGGCTTCCTAGAAGAAGGAACATTGGAGATAGGGCCTTAAAAGTTGAGTAGAAGTTCATCAAGAGAAGAAAGGAAGGAAGGAATGTCAGGCTGAGGGAACAGCCTAGGCAAAGGCCTGCAGGCTAGATAGTGTGTTGCATCCCCTGGGGCCTATCAGGCAGTTCTGTTGGCAGGAGACCAGGGTGCAAGTGTGGAAGGGAAGTTCATTGGAAGCTTGAGCAAGGGCCTTGAATGCCAGGCTGAGGAGCTTTCACTTTGTGTCAAAGGCACTGGGGAGTCACAGGATGGGGTGGTGTTTGAGAAGGGGAGGGACATAGCCAGGTCAGTGTAGGGGGTGAACTAGAGGGGCAAGACAGGATGTCAGGAGTCAGGGACGATGCTGGAGCATGTCTGAGCAGTACCAAGTGGGTTTTGAAGGATGTATAGGAGTTTGCCAAACAGACTCTTCATTCATCAAACCCTCCCGGGCATTTTCCTGTGTCTGGCCCCCTTAGGAGGACAAAGGCCTGCCCCATGGCAATGTCTCTGCCCGGAAGGTGCTCCTGGCTCGGGAGGGGGCTGATGGGAGCCCGCCCTTCATCAAGCTGAGTGACCCTGGGGTCAGCCCCGCTGTGTTAAGCCTGGAGAGTAAGTTCCTGGAGGTGGAGGAGGGAGGGGCTGAGCAGGGCAAGGAAGTGGATCCCTGATCCCACTTTCATTCCCTCAGTGCTCACCGACAGGATCCCCTGGGTGGCCCCCGAGTGTCTCCGGGAGGCGCAGACACTTAGCTTGGAAGCTGACAAGTGGGGCTTCGGCGCCACGGTCTGGGAAGTGTTTAGTGGCGTCACCATGCCCATCAGTGCCCTGGATCCTGCTAAGGTCAGAGCCCCTCACCCGGCATCGGTCTCCGAACCCCCACTTTGACAGAAGGGCAGACTGACATCCAGTCTGGGGAGATTGGGGTGGGTCTATTGGGTTGGGGATTACCGACTGCTCCTCTCACCCTCAGAAACTCCAATTTTATGAGGACCGGCAGCAGCTGCCGGCCCCCAAGTGGACAGAGCTGGCCCTGCTGATTCAACAGTGCATGGCCTATGAGCCGGTCCAGAGGCCCTCCTTCCGAGCCGTCATTCGTGACCTCAATAGCCTCATCTCTTCAGGTGCCCGCTGGGACGGGTTGGGTGGGGAGGGCTGTGATGTCATATTGGGCCCAGTGGAAGGAGCGTGGTTTGCAGCAGGCCACGCCCTGTGTGTCTGGTGAGGTTGGAGGGGTTGGTGACTGTGACAGTCAGTGTGAGCTTCAACAGCTACTGTAACGAACAGTCCCCTCAGTTCAAGGTTCAACATGATGATATTTTATTTATTTATTTATTTTTGAGACAGAGTCTTGCTCTGTTGCCTAGGCTGGAGTGCAGTGGCACAATTTCGGCTCACTGCAACCTCTACCTCCTTGAACCTCTAGTTCAAGCGATTCTCCTGCCTCAGCCTCCTGAGTAGCTGGGATTACAGTGTGTGCCACCACGCCCAGCTAATTTTTGTATTTTTGGCAGATATGGGGTTTCACCATATTGGCTAGGCTGGTCTCGAACTCTTGACCTCAGGTGATCCGCCCACCTCTACCTCCTAAAGTGCTGGGATTTCAGGTGTGAGCCACCATGTCTGGTCTATTTCATTCTTTTAAAAAAATGTTTGGCTGGGCGCAGTGGCTCATGCCTATAGTTCCAGCTATAGGTAGGTGGATCGCTTGAGCCCAGGAGTTCAAGACCAGCCTGGGCAACATGGCAAAACTCCATCTCTACAAACAAACAAACAGAAAATTAGCCAGGCATGGTGATGCATGCCTGTATGCATTTTTATTTTATTTTATTTTATATTTTTGAGACACTATCTCCCTCTGTCACCTAGGCTGGAGTGCAGTGGCGTGATCCTGGCTCACTGCAACCTCTGCCTCCCTGGTTCAAGCAATTCTCCCGCCTCAGACTCCCAAGTAGCTAGGATTACAAGGGCGTGCCACCAAACACGGCTAAATTTTTGTATTTTTTAGTAAAGACAGGGTTTTGCCATGTTGGCCGGGCTAGTCTTGAACTCCTGGTCTCAAAGAGATCCGTCCACCTCAGCCACCCAGTGCTGGGATTACAGGCATGAGCCACCACACCAGGCTGGATTTTTTTTTTTTTTTTTTTTTTTTCTGTGATGGGGTTTTGCTATGTTCCCCAGGCTGGTCTTGAATTACTGGCTCAAGCAATCCTCCTGCCTTAGTCTCCCAAATAGCTGGGATTACAGGCACACACAACCATGCCCAGTGTGATATTTAGTCTTCATTCAATGAGGGTGTCCAGGCCCACAGGAACCTCTCACTTAGTGGCTGCACTCACCTCAGGCGTTGGGTCCCCGTTGGATCCTCTGCAGATAAAAGAGAGAGTGTGGAGGGCCCCGTATTAGGTTTCCATGGGTCAGGACTGGAGGGGCACCCAGCATATCTTGTCCATCAGCCTGAGCTCAGTCATGTGGCCACATTTCATAGCAGTGGAACTGGGGAAATGAGTTCTCATTATGTCCTCCATCTTTGTAGCCATGTGGAGTTGCACAGGGTGTGCACTGCACGAGGAGGCTTCCTTTGCCTGGGACAGAGTGGGAGACACCTTTTTCCAGTCTCCACAAGGTACCCTTTGGCTTGCAATGGCCCTGCCATAATGCACAGAGAGGGTCAATATGCAGATGGAGGTTGCACAGCAAGTCAACTCAGGAGTGGGGCCCAGGATGAGAGGCGCTGCTTACCACTGCCCATGCCCCCACCCCAGACTATGAGCTCCTCTCAGACCCCACACCTGGTGCCCTGGCACCTCGTGATGGGCTGTGGAATGGTGCCCAGCTCTATGCCTGCCAAGACCCCACGATCTTCGAGGAGAGACACCTCAAGTACATCTCACAGCTGGGCAAGGTAAGGTGGGCAGGGCCAGGGTGGGTTGGAGAGGGCAGGGCAGCATCCAGGTGCCTGGACATCAGTCCCGCTATCCCCCAGGGCAACTTTGGCAGCGTGGAGCTGTGCCGCTATGACCCGCTAGGCGACAATACAGGTGCCCTGGTGGCCGTGAAACAGCTGCAGCACAGCGGGCCAGACCAGCAGAGGGACTTTCAGCGGGAGATTCAGATCCTCAAAGCACTGCACAGTGATTTCATTGTCAAGTATCGTGGTGTCAGCTATGGCCCGGGTGAGCCAGCTCCCGGATGAGTGAACCAAGACGTATGGGTGCTTTTCAAAGTGCACATTCTTACCCTCCTGCCAGGCCACTTTAGGTAGGCTGGGAACGTGATTATTGATCCAGATTCACATGGGTTACAGGTTTGAATCCTGACTCTACCCCTTACCAGTTGTGAAACCTTAACTTTTCTGAGCCTCAGTTTCTCCAGCTGAAAAATGGGCCATTGTGATATTTACTTTGTTGTTGTTGTTGTTTGTTTGTTTTTTTGAGACAGAGTCTCGCTCTGTCACCCAGGCTGGAGGCAGTGGCTCAATCTCGGCTCACTGCAACCTCTGCCTTCCAAGTTCAAGTGATTCTCCTGCCTCAGCCTCCAGAGTAGCTGGGATTACAGGAGCGTGCCACCACACCCGGCTAATTTTTGTGTTTTTAGTGGAGATGGGTTTTCACCATGTTGGCCAGGCTGGTCTTGAACTCCTGACCTCAAGTGAGGCTTCCAAAGTGCTGGGATTACAGGCGTGAGCCACTGCACCTGGCCGTGATATATAAACACATCAATGTATGTTGTAGAAAGTACTCAAGAGATATTAGCAATGTGTCATTGTTGCGGTTCCCATATTACAGTCAGCAAAACTGAGGTCGAGAGGGACACAAGGTCCCACTGTGAAAGGGGGGAAGAATGGGGGGACGAGCAGGGCTGGGCCCTGCTGTGACAGATCCTGCCTTCTCCAGGCCGCCAGAGCCTGCGGCTGGTCATGGAGTACCTGCCCAGCGGCTGCTTGCGCGACTTCCTGCAGCGGCACCGCGCGCGCCTCGATGCCAGCCGCCTCCTTCTCTATTCCTCGCAGATCTGCAAGGTGCGAGGGGGCGCCCCGGGACTTGTGGGGATTCAGCTGGCACGGCCTGGGCAGGGGTCTGCTTGGAGGTCGCGGTGAAGGCTGAGGAGTGGTTTGGGGTCCAGGTCTCGGGAGTGGTGGGGTTGGCTTAGGGCTCAGGATCAGAACTTCAGTGGAGGATGGCTCGGGGGTAGGGTTATAGTTGGGGTCTGGGTTGGGGTGCCAGGTCACGCTTGGGGTACCTGCCGGATTATCCTGGGATCCTCTCTGCACGCTCACACCGCCCGCCCGCAGGGCATGGAGTACCTGGGCTCCCGCCGCTGCGTGCACCGCGACCTGGCCGCCCGAAACATCCTCGTGGAGAGCGAGGCACACGTCAAGATCGCTGACTTCGGCCTAGCTAAGCTGCTGCCGCTTGACAAAGACTACTACGTGGTCCGCGAGCCAGGCCAGAGCCCCATTTTCTGGTGGGGAACCCGCGCCTAGGCTCCGCCCCTATTCCCCACGGCTCTGGCTCCGCCCCCAGCCATGCCCCCGCCCCCTCCCGCTGCTTTGCTCCCCAGCCTTAGCCCCGCCCTTCCTCCGCTGCAGCTTTGGCCCCTCCCACTCCCCAGAGCCCCGCCCCCTCAACAGCACTGGCTCCTCTGTCTCCCGCTGCCCTGCTGTCAGCGGCCCCCAGCCTTAGCCCCGCCCTTCTCTCAGCTCTCGCCCCGCCCAAGCTTCAGAACCCCACCCCTCCAACACGCTGGCTCCGCCCCTCAGGGCTGGCCCCCTCTTAGTTCCGCCCTTCCCCCCGCCCAGTTCTGGCCCCTCCCCCTCCCACGGCTCTGGCCCCGCCCCCATCTCCGCCCCTCCGTGCTGCCCCCGCCTCCTCCCCACAGCCTTAGCTCTTCCCAGGCACCTCCCAGGGCTGGAGAATCCACCTATCCCACAGCCAGGGAAACCGAGACCCTGGAGACGGGACTGACCTGCTCACAGTCCCCACCTACCCTGACCAGTTCCCCATTCCAAGGCTGCCCCCCTCTTCCTGTCCTTTCTACACCCTCGCATCTCAAGACCTTGTCCCCTCTCCAGGTATGCCCCCGAATCCCTCTCGGACAACATCTTCTCTCGCCAGTCAGACGTCTGGAGCTTCGGGGTCGTCCTGTACGAGCTCTTCACCTACTGCGACAAAAGCTGCAGCCCCTCGGCCGTGAGTCGGCTTCCCAGAGCCCCCAGCCTTCTTCTCCCTCCACGCCCCTCGTGGCCAATCTCCAACCTGTCTGCGCCTGCGTCCCTCTTTAGCATGGGGTCACCTGGTCCCAGCATCATAGGCCCCAGTGGGGAGGACGCTTCCTCACCTTTCTGACCCCTTCACGGTTCAGGCAGCCCCTCCCCGCTCCATCACAGATGGCCCCTACCCCCACCACGGGTGGCCCCTCCCCCTCCACCCACGGAGGCTCCTCCCCCACCACATGCGCTCCTCCTTGGCTCCAGGAGTTCCTGCGGATGATGGGATGTGAGCGGGATGTCCCCGCCCTCTGCCGCCTCTTGGAACTGCTGGAGGAGGGCCAGAGGCTGCCGGCGCCTCCTGCCTGCCCTGCTGAGGTGAGCGCCGCAGGGCTAGCCTCAGTTTCCCAGTCTGTAGATTGGGCCGGGGTCTCGGGCAAGCCAGCTGGCGCCTGAGTCTCTGTACTGAGAAGAAAGGCTAGAGTGTGAGGCCGATGAGGATCCTGGCCCCCACTTGGCTACTCTCTCACTGTGTGGCAAGTCAGAGCACTTTCAGAGCCTCAGTTTACCCTTTTCCAAAATGAGAATAGTAATGCCTTATAGGGTGAGGGAAGATTAGACTCCTGAACACCTGTGCCTATGAGGGCTCAGCTCAAAGCCGAGCACACAGTCGATGCTCCATAAATGGTGGTGACGTTCATGGTTTTTTTTTTTCTTTCTTTCTTTCTTTTTTATAGATGGGGGCTCACTCTGTTGCCCAGGCTGGGGTGCAATTATAGCTCACTGCAGCCTCCAACTCCTGAGCTCAAGTGATTCCCCTAGTTCAGTGTCTCTAGTAGCAGGAGCTACAGGTGTACACCACCACACTTGGCTAATTTAAAAATAATTTTTTAGAGATGGGAGCCTCACTATATTGCCCAGGCTGGTCTTGAACTCGTGGGCTCAAGCGATTCTCCTGCCTCAGCCTCCCAAAGTGCTGGGACTATAGGTGTACATCACCATGCCTGGCTAATTTAAAAATAATTTTGGCCAGGTGTGGTGGCTCACACCTGTAAACCCAGCACTTTTGAAGGCTGAGGCGGTCAGATCACCGGAGGTCAGGAGTTCGAGACTAGCCTGGCCAACATGGTGACACCCTGTCTCTACTAAAAATACAAAAATTACCCATGTGTGGGTGCCTGTGATCTCAGCTACTTGCGAGGCTGAGGCAGGAGAATTGCTTGAACCTGGGAGGGGAAGGTTTCAGTGAGCCAAGATCATGCCACTGCACTCCAGCCTGGGCGACAGAGCAAGATTCCATCTCAAAATAAATAAATAAATAAATAAACAAACAAATAAGATAAAAATAATTTTTTTAAGAGACAAGGTCTCGCTATGTTGCCCAGGCTGGTCTTGAACTCCTGGGCTCAAGCGATCCTCCTGCCTTGGCCTCCCAAAGTGCTGAGATTTACAGGCATAAGCCACTGTGCCTGGCTAATTTTAAAAAATTTTTTTAAAGAGATGGGGTCTCTCTGTGTTGCCTAGGCTGGTCTTGAGCTCGTGGGGTCAAGTGATCCTCCTGCCTCGGCCTCCCAAAGTGCTGGGATTACAGACGTGAGCCACCACATCCCACCCTCTCATGGTTTATAATCATATAATCATAACCTTTGTGGAAGTGTCTGACATGCAGTTGGTCATTGATAAATTAATTTGCTCAGGCCAAAAACATTTATTGAGTGCCAACTGTGTGCCAGGACTTGTTGGGTGCTGAAGACCCTGTCCTCCCAGTAACTAGCAAAATCTGATAAGAACATTCTAGGCTGGGCACGATGGCTCATGCCTATAATCCCAACACTTTGGGAGGCTGAGGCAGAAGGATCACTGGAGCCCAGGAGTTCAAGACCAGCCTGGGCAACGTAGTGAGACCTTGTCTCTACAAACAATACAAGCAATAGCCGGTGTGGTGACATGCACCTGTGGTTTCAGCTACTAGGGAGGCTGAGGCAGGAGGATCACTGGAACCCAGGAGTTCAAGACCAGCCTGGGCAACATAGTGAGACCTTGTCTCTACAAACAATACAAGCAATAGCCGGTGTGGTGACATGCACCTGTGGTTTCAGCTACCAGGGAGGCTGAGGCAGGAGGATTGCTTGAGCCCAGGAGGTTAAGGCTGCAGTGAGCCATTATTGTACCACTGCACTCCAGCCTGGACAACAGAGTGACACCCTGTCTCAAAACAAAACAAAACAAAACAAAACAAAACAAAACAAAACAAAACAAAGACAAAATTATGGTAGTGATAAGTGCCTTGAAAGAGATGAACAGAGGGAAATGGTGGGGTGGGGGTGGTCAAAGAGGGCCTCTTACGGGGCCGACGCTGGAAGGAGGAGGAGCCTACCCATGAGTAAAGCTAGGAGAAGAAATTTCCAGTGGAGGACACGGAAGGGAAAAAGGCCTTGGGGAGGTAATGAGCTGGGTGCCTTTAAGCACCAGTGCGATGGAGGCAGATGTGACTGCCCGGAACAAATGAGGGAAGGAGGGATGGAGATGAGCGAAGGAGGGCATCAGGGAGAGGTGGTGTTTTTTTGTTGTTTTTTTTTTTTTGAGACGTGGTTTTGCTCTTGTTGGCCAGGCTGGAGTGCAATGGCGCAATCTCGGCTCACCACAACTTCCGCCTCCCAGGTTCAAGCAATTCTCCTGCCTTAGACTCCCGAGTAGCTGGGATTACAGGCACACGCCACCTGTAATTTTTTTTTTTTTTTTTTTTTTTTTTTTTTTTTTTTTTTTTTAGTTAAGATGGGGTTTCTCCATGTTGGTCAGGGTAGTCTCGAAAGGAGAAGTGTGTTGTAAAATCCATAAGGGCTGGGCGCGGTGGCTCACACCTGTAATCCCAGCCCTTTAGGAGGCCGAGGTGGGTGGATTACATGAGGTCAGGAGTTCAAGACCAGCCTGACCAACATGGTGAAACCCCGTCTCTACTAAAAATACAGACTTAGCCAGGTGTGGCGGTGTGTGCATGTAATCCCAGCTACTTGGGAGGCTGAGGCAGGAGAATCGCTTGAACCCAGGAGGCAGGGTTTGCAGTGAGCCGAGATCGCACCACTGCATTCCAGCCTGGGCAACAAGAGCGAAACTTTATCTCAAATAAATAAATAAGTAAGATCCATAGGGAGCCATGGGAGTTTTTGGAGCAGAGATGGGATGGAATTTAATTTGTGTTTTAAAACTGAATGAGTGCGGTGGCTCATGCCTATAATCCCAGCACTTTGGGAGGCCAAGACAGGTGGATCACCTGAGATCAGGAATTTGAGACCAACCTGGCCAACATGGTGAAACCCTGTCTCTACTCAAAATACAAAATTAGCCAGGCGTGGTGGCACGTGCCTATAATCCCAGCTACTCAGGAGGCTGAGGCAGGATAATTGCTTGAACCCGGGAGGCGGAGGTTGCAGTGAGCCGAGATCATGCCATTGCACTCCAGCCTGGACAACAGAGCTAGACTCCGTCTCAAAAAAACAAAAACAAATACGCTGAATGGGAGTTGTGTCCTTTGGACTGCTCAGGCACGACCCCATTATCTGTCCCCCGCCCCTCAGGTTCACGAGCTCATGAAGCTGTGCTGGGCCCCTAGCCCACAGGACCGGCCATCATTCAGCGCCCTGGGCCCCCAGCTGGACATGCTGTGGAGCGGAAGCCGGGGGTGTGAGACTCATGCCTTCACTGCTCACCCAGAGGGCAAACACCACTCCCTGTCCTTTTCATAGCTCCTGCCCGCAGACCTCTGGATTAGGTCTCTGTTGACTGGCTGTGTGACCTTAGGCCCGGAGCTGCCCCTCTCTGGGCCTCAGAGGCCTTATGAGGGTCCTCTACTTCAGGAACACCCCCATGACATTGCATTTGGGGGGGCTCCCGTGGCCTGTAGAATAGCCTGTGGCCTTTGCAATTTGTTAAGGTTCAAGACAGATGGGCATATGTGTCAGTGGGGCTCTCTGAGTCCTGGCCCAAAGAAGCAAGGAACCAAATTTAAGACTCTCGCATCTTCCCAACCCCTTAAGCCCTGGCCCCCTGAGTTTCCTTTTCTGTCTCTCTCTTTTTATTTTTTTTATTTTTATTTTTATTTTTGAGACAGAGCCTCGCTCTGTTACCCAGGGTGGAGTGCAGTGGTGCGATCTCGGCTCAGTGCAACCTCTGCTTCCCAGGTTCAAGCGATTCTCCTGCCTCAGCCTCCCGAGTAGCTGGGATTACAGGTGTGCACCACCACACCCGGCTAATTTTTTTTATTTTTAATAGAGATGAGGTTTCACCATGATGGCCAGGCTGATCTCGAACTCCTAACCTCAAGTGATCCTCCCACCTCAGCCTCCCAAAGTGTTGGAATAATAGGCATGAGCCACTGCACCCAGGCTTTTTTTTTTTTAAATTTATTATTATTATTTTTAAGAGACAGGATCTTGCTACGTTGCCCAGGCTGGTCTTGAACTCCTGGGCTACAGTGATCCTCCTGCCTTATCCTCCTAAATAGCTGGGACTACAGCACCTAGTTTTGAGTTTCCTGTCTTATTTCCAATGGGGACATTCATGTAGCTTTTTTTTTTTTTTTTTTTTTGAGACGGAGTCTCGCTCTGTCGCCCAGGCTGGAGTACAGTGGCGCAATCTAGGCTCACTGCAAGCTCCGCCTCCTGGGTTCACACCATTCTCTCGCCTCAGCCTCCCAAGTAGCTGGGACTACAGGCGCCCGCCACCACACCCGGCTAATTTTTTGTATTTTTAGTAGAGACGGGGTTTCACCTTGTTAGCCAGGATGGTTTCCATCTCCTGACCTCGTGATCTGCCCGTCTCGGCCTCCCAAAGTGCTGGGATTACAGGCATGAGCCACTGCGCCCGGCCCTCATGTAGCTTTAAATGTATGATCTGACTTCTGCTCCCCGATCTCTGTTTCTCTGGAGGAAGCCAAGGACAAGAGCAGTTGCTGTGGCTGGGACTCTGCCTTTTAGGGGAGCCCGTGTATCTCTTTGGGATCCTGAAAGGGGGCAGGAAAGGCTGGGGTCCCAGTCCACCCTAATGGTATCTGAGTGTCCTAGGGCTTCAGTTTTCCCACCTGTCCAATGGGACCCTTTCTGTCCTCACCCTACAAGGGGCACAAAGGGATGACACCAAACCTGGCAGGAACTTTTCACGCAATCAAGGGAAGGAAAGGCATTCCTGGCAGAGGGAACAGCATGCCAAGCGTGAGAAGGCTCAGAGTAAGGAGGTTAAGAGCCCAAGTATTGGAGCCTACAGTTTTGCCCCTTCCATGCAGTGTGACAGTGGGCAAGTTCCTTTCCCTCTCTGGGTCTCAGTTCTGTCCCCTGCAAAATGGTCAGAGCTTACCCCTTGGCTGTGCAGGGTCAACTTTCTGACTGGTGAGAGGGATTCTCATGCAGGTTAAGCTTCTGCTGCTCCTCCTCACCTGCAAAGCTTTTCTGCCACTTTTGCCTCCTTGGAAAACTCTTATCCATCTCTCAAAACTCCAGCTACCACATCCTTGCAGCCTTCCCTCATATACCCCCACTACTACTGTAGCCCTGTCCTTCCCTCCAGCCCCACTCTGGCCCTGGGGCTGGGGAAGTGTCTGTGTCCAGCTGTCTCCCCTGACCTCAGGGTTCCTTGGGGGCTGGGCTGAGGCCTCAGTACAGAGGGGGCTCTGGAAATGTTTGTTGACTGAATAAAGGAATTCAGTGGAAAAGATTTTGTGCTGGACTTGGGGCGATGGGGAGCCTCAGAGGGTGTGTGAGCTGGGAGGGATGCGGTTAGAGCTGTGGGCCAGAGACCTCTCAGGGAGCCACTGTGGGGGCCCCAGGGCAGGCTGGTGGAGGAGGACCACTGGGTGGGGCTTGGCTGGGGCCCTCAAGGACAGAGCCCCCTCACTCCCAGCCCCAGCTGCTGGCCTTGGCTGCAGCCTGGGGGAGCTGATTACAGGCTCTCTGTGGGTGGGGAAGGAACAGGATGCTCTCCCGGTGGTCAGAGGACAAGGCCAGGTTGGGGGAGCGAGGCTGTGGGGAGGGGACCAGCATCACTGGGGCCGGACCACCTCCCCACCGACCGGCCCCCGTCATGTGCACCTCATAACTGCTAGAAAGATGTGGAGAGTGGCCAGGCTCAGTGGCTCACGTCTGTAATCCCAGCACTTTAAGAGGCCAAGGCAGGAGGATCACTTGAGGTCAGGAGTATGAGATCAGCCTGGCCAACATGGCGAAACCGTCTCTATTAAAAATACAAAAATTAGCCTGGTGTTCTGGCACATGCCTGTAATCCCAGCTACTCAGGAGGCTGAGACAGAAGAATTGCTTGAAACTGGGATGTGGAGGTTGCAGTGAGCTGAGATCATGCCATTGCACTCCAGCCTGGGCGACAGAGCGACTCCGTTTCAAAAAAAAGAAAAATGCGGACAGAGACAGACATACAGAAGGAAACTGAGAGATGAAGGCCGAGAGAGACTCAGAGAGAGAGAGAGAGAGAGATCCCTGTCCCTGCTCTCTTAGCCCCAGAGGGCCCCCTAATTTGGTAGAAATAGGGAGGGAGCTGCTCTGGGGTCAAGCAAGACTCGAGTTCCAGCCCAGGTTCTCTCCTGCCTAGGGTCAAGCATCCTTCCCTCTCTCAACCTCAGATTCCCTCCTTGGAAAAACAAAGCTATAAGACCCCCTAGGCATGAAGCGGGGGCCAAGCATCCACTGAACAAATAAATCCTGCTCTATTCTGGGTCCACCAGCCCCTGCTCACCCAGAGGGGACAACCGTGTTGGGGAGACAGAGCTTCGGATGGGACACCCCCAGCCCTGCGTGTCAGGCGCCTTGAGAAGACCTGGGCTCTGCTCAGCCTCCTGTGACCTTGGGCAAGTTTGGGGTCCTTTCTCTGTGCCTCAGTTTTCTTTTTTTCTTTTCTTTTCTTTCTTTTTGTCTGGTGAGGGGACGGAGTCTCTGTCCCCAGGCTGGTGTGCAGCGGCACCATCTCGGCTCACTGCAATCTCCACCTCCTGGGTTCAAGTGATTCTCCTGCCTCAGCCTCCCGAGTAGCTGGGATTATAGGCATGCACCACCACATCTGGCTAATTTTTGTATTTTTAGTAGAGACAGAGTTTCACCATATTGGGCAGGCTGGTCTCGAACTCTTGACCTCAAGTGATCCACCTGCCCCATCTTCCCAAAGTGCTTGCATTACAGGCATGAGCCACTGCACCTGGCCTGTGTGCCTCAGTTTTCTCATTTGTACAGTAATAGAAACAACAAAATTCTGAACATTTCTGGTCTTGGAAGATGCCCGCTGTCTTCCCCCCTGCCCCCCAGAAAAGGCAGGATTATTACTTTTCAGTTGATCTATTTCATCTCTTTAAACTGGTTAAGACAATAGCGAAGACTTGGCCGTGTGTGGTGCCTCACACCTGTAATCCCAGCATTTTGGAAGGCCGAGTAGGGAGAACCACTTGAGTTCTAGATGAGCCTGGGCAACATAGCAAGACCCCTGCCTCTACAATTAAAAAATTAAAAATGGCCGGGCGCGTTGGTGCACGCCTGTAATCCCAGCACTTTGGGAGGCCGAGGCGGGTGGATCACTTGAGGTCAGGAGTTTGAGATCAGCCTGGCCAACATGGTGAAACCCCGTCTCTGCTAAAAAATACAAAAATTAGCCAGGCTTGGTGGTGGGCACCTGTAATCCCAGCTACTCAGGAGGCTGAGGCAGGAGAATCGCTTGAACCCAGGAAGCAAAGGTTGCAGTGAGTCGAGATCGCACCACTGTACTCCAGCCTGGGTGACAGAGTAAGACTCTGTCTAAAAAGATAAAAATAAAAATTAAAAAATTAAAAATTAGCTGGGCATTGTATTGCAGGCCTGTAGTCCCAGCTACTCAGGAGGCAGAGGCTGAAGGATCGCTTGAGCCCAGGGGAATGAGGTTACAGTGAGCTATGATCCTGCCATTACAGGCCAACCCAGAGAGATCCTATGTCAAAAATGAATAAATACCCTGGTGTGGTCGCTCTCGCCTGTGATCCCAGGACTTTGGGAGGCTGAGGCGGGAAGATGACTTGAGTCCAGGAGTTTGAGACCAGCCTGGGCAACATGGCAAAACCCCATCTCTACAAAAAAAATACAAAAAATTAGCCGGGTGTGGTGGCGTGGGCCTGTAGTCCCAGCTACTCAGGAGGCTGAGGTGGGAGAATTGCTTGAGTCAGGGATAGGGAGGTGGCAGTGAGCCCATATCGTGCCACTGCACTCCAGCCAGGGTAACAGAGCAAGAACTCATCTCAAAAATAAAAAATAAAAATAGGTGGCTGGGCGTGGTGGCTTACACCTGTAATCCCAGCTACTTGGGAGGCTGAGGTGGGAGAATCACTTGAACCCAGGAGGTGGAGGTTGCAGTGAGCCGAGATCGCATCACTGCACTCCAGCCTGGAAGACAGAGCAAGACTTTGTCTCAATAATAATAATAAAAATAATAATAGTCCAGGCACAGCTCATGCCTGTAATCCCAGCATTTTGGGAGGCCGAGGCAGATGGATCGCTTGAGGTCAGGAGTTGGAGACCAGCCTGGCCAACATGGCGAACCCCAGTCTCTACTAAAAATAAAAAATAAAAAAAAAAAAATTAGCCAGGCATAGTGGTGCGCACCTGTAATCCCAGCTACTCAGGAGGCTGAGGCAGGAGAATCGCTTGAACCCGGGTGTCAGAAGTTGCAGTGAGCCGAGATCAAGTCACTGCACTCCAACCTGGGTGACAGAGTGAGACTCCATCTCAAAAAAAAAGAAGAAAAAAATAAAAAAGAAAGACTCGTTGCCCAGTGCTCCCTCTGGGAGAAGTACATCCAAGGCCCTGGCCCTGGGAGAAAGGCTCTGGCACTAACCCCACCCTTGACCTTTTTCCTGGGCGGTCCTGAAGAATGTTCTGTCCCTTCTCCAAGGCCCCCAGCTGGGACGGCCCAGGCGCCTATAAAGGGGGTCCCCGCTTGGCCCCGGCGCCACCCACCACCATGGACCCCCGTCTGCCCGCCTGGGCGCTGGTGCTGCTGGGCCCTGCCCTGGTGTTCGCGTTGGGCCCCGCGCCCACCCCAGAGATGCGTGAGAAGTTGTGCGGCCACCACTTCGTACGCGCGCTAGTGCGCGTGTGCGGGGGCCCCCGCTGGTCCACCGAAGCCAGGAGGCCTGCGACCGGAGGCGACCGTGAGTGGGGACGGGCAGGGACAGCGCTCTGGGAAGCCGAGGTGGGGCAGGTGCACGTAGGCGCAGATGCACACGTGCAGGGAGGTGGGCAGGTTTGCATGCATGTGCCCAGGGCTCACCTGCCGGCTGCGTGCACAGATCGTGGGTCCGCACTGGAGTGTGTGTGAACGCGCGTGTGAAAGTCCCCAGAGCCGTTAGCCAGGCGTGGTGGCTCACGCCTGCAATCCCAGCACTTTGGGAGGCTGAGGCGGGTGGATCCCCAGAGGTCAGGAGTTCGAGACCAGCCTGGCCAAAATGGTGAAACCCCATCTCTACTAAAAATAATTTTTAAAAAAATTAGCCGGGGATAATGATGCACATCTGTAATCCCAGCTACTTGGGAGGCCAAGGCAGGAGAATCGCTTGAACCCGGAAGGCAGAGGTTGCAGTGGGCCGATATCATGCCATTGCACTCCAGCCTGGGCGACAGAGTGAAACTCCGTCTCAAAAAAAAAAAAAAAAGAAAGTCCTCAGAGCATGAGTCCCCCTGAGGGGCCAGAAACAGAGTGAGGCAGGAGAGGTAGGCTCTTGCAAGTACATGGTGAGATCCTGTCTTAAAATTTCAATATTTTGATCTTCATGAATTTTTGCCTTAATTTTGCTTTGTTTGTTTGTTTTTTGAGACAGGGTCTCACTCTGACGCCCAGGCTGGAGTGCAGTGGTGAGATCTCGGCTCACTGCAGGCTCAACCTCCTGGGCTCAAACCATCCTCCTGCCTCAGCCTCTGGAGTGGCTGGGATACAGGTGCTGCCACCACACCCAGCTAATTTTTTTTTCTTTTTCGTAGAGAGGGAGTCTCACTCTGTTTCCCAGGCTGGTCTCAAACTCCTGAGCTCAAGTAATCCTCCCACCTTGACCTTCCAAAGTGTTGGGATTAGCGATGTGAGTCACTGTGTCCAGCTTTAAAAGTATTTAAAAGTATTGCTTTTGAAAAGTATTGCTTTTCACAATTATGTTACTTTATTTTATTATTTTATTTTTATTTATTTATTTTGAGACATAGCCTCGCTCTGTCACCCAAACCAGAGTGCTGTGACGTGATCTCGTCTCACTGCAACCTCTGCCTCCCGGGTTCCAGCAATTTTCCTGCCTCAGCCTCCAGAGTAGCTGGGACTGCGGGCACGCACCACCACACCTGGCTAATTTTTGTATTTTGTTTGTTTGTTTGAGATGGAGTCTCGCTCTGTCACCCGGGCTGAAGTGCAGTGGCACGATCTCAGCTCACTGCAACCTCCGCCTCCTGAGTTCAAGCAATTCTCCTGCCTCAGCCTTCCAAGTAGCTGGGATTACAGGCCACTCCCCAGGTCACCCACTACCATGCACAGCTGATTTTTTTTTTTTTTTGTATTTTTAGTAGAGACAGGTGAACAGGTGAAACAACAGGTTTCACCATGTTGGCCAGTCTGGTCTTGTTTTGTTTTGTTTTGTTTTGTTTTGACATTGAGTCTCGCTCTGTCCCCCAGGCTGGAGTGCAGTGGTGTGATCTCGGCTCACTGCAAGCTCCGTCTCCCGGCTTCACGCCATTCTCCTGCCTCAGCCTCCTGAGTAGCTGGGACTGCAGGCGCCTGCCACCAAGCCCAGCTAAATTTTTTGTATTTTTAGTAGAGATGGGGTTTCACCATGTTAGCAAGGATGGTCTCAATCTCCTGATCTCGTGATCCACCTGCCTCGGCCTCCCAAAGGGCTGGGATTACAGGCATGAGCCACTGTGCCCGGGCCAGGCTGGTCTTGAACTCCTGACCTCAGGTGATCTGCCCGCCTCAGCCTCCCAAAGTGTTGGGATTACAAGCGTGAGCCGCTGTGCCTGGCCTTTTTACAAATATTTTAAATTTTATTTTAAAAGTATTGCATTAAAATACTTACCTTGCTGGATGTGGTGGCTCATGCCTGTAATCCCTGCTACTCAGGAGGCTAGGAGGGAAGATCACTTGAGGCCAGGAGTTTGAGACCAACCTGGGCAATATGAGACTCAGCCTGAGACAGAGACCCTTGTCTCAAAAAAGGGAAAAATATTAATATTATTATTATTATATATATATATTTTGAGACAGGGTCTCACTCTATCACCCAGGCTGGAGTGCAGTGGCGTGATCTCGGCTCATTGCAACCTCTGCCTCCCAGACTCAAGCAATCTGCCCACCTCAGCCTCCTGAGTAGCTGTGACTAGCTACTCTCAGGCTGGTGAGACCAGCCTGGCCAACGTGGCGAAACCTCGTCTCTACTAAAAATACAAAAATTAGCCGGGCGTTGTGGCGCACACCTGTAGTCTCAGCTACTCAGGAGGCTGAGGCAGGAGAATCACTTGAACCCGGGAGGTGGAGGTTGCAGTGAGCCAAGATCACGCCACTGCACTCCAGCTTGGCAACAGAGCGAGACTCCATCTCAAAAAAAAAAAGCTGATGCTGACATTTGGGGATGTATATGGTAGTGGGGCTGTCCTGTATATTGTAGGGTGTTAGATAACATCTCTGTCTTCTGCCCCCTAATGCCATGAATAGCCTCACACCCCATCCAAGTTGTGACATCTAAAACTGTCCCCAGACAAGTATCCCCTGGAAACAAAATCACCCTGGTTTGAGAACCACTGGTGTCAATTGTAAACTGCAGATTGGGTAGAGGGTAAACAACCCTCTAAATTTTCATAAGTCCTTTTTTTTTTCTTTTGAGACAGTCTTGCTCTGTCACTCAGGCTGGAGTGCAGTGGCACGATCTCGGGTCACTGCAGCCTTGCCTTCCCAGGCTCAAGCGATCCTCCCACCTCAGCCTCCCAAGTAGCTGGGACTACAGGCATGCAGAATTATGCCCAGCTAATTTTTGTATTTTCTGCAGAGATGAGGTTTTGCTGTATTGCCAAGGCTGGTCATGAACTCCTGGGCTCAAGCAACGCACCCACCTAGGCTTCCCAAAATGCTGGGATGACAGGTGTGAGCCACGGTGCCTGGCCTCAAAAAAATATCCTGATGGCTTCGTGCCTCCCTGTCTGTACCCTAGTCCTGGCCCTGGTGCAGGGATATACGACAAGTTTGTGCAGATGTGTTAACACGTGTCCACATGTCTCTGTGTGCCACTCCACTTGCGGTGTTAGGGATCCAGGGGAGGTGGTCTGCAAGGGTGTGTCCTCGTAGGGGTGTGTGTGTGTCTGTGGGTCCACCACACATGCGTGGGTGACCAGGAAGTGGACCCACAGACACATGTACACCCCTGCATGTCTCTGTACCACGAGGAGTCTGTGGGTGGGTCTCTGACCTGCTCTGGGTGTCTCACGGACCCTTGGACCTGTTGGGGAAACTGACACCATCTGTAGCTCCAAGACCCCCGACACTCCCTGGGCAGGGCATGGGGCACTCAGGTGGCATATGGGGACCCACGCAGCTGGGGATGTGAGTGTGGACATGAGTTGAGTGGATGAGAGGATTAACCAGGTGCCTGGCGTACAGTAGGTGCTTAATAAGTGCTCGCTTTTTTTTTTTTTTTTTTTTTTTGAGATGGAGTTTCATTCTTGTCACCTAGGCTGGAGTGCAATGGCATGATCCCAGCTCCCTGCAACCTCCACCTCCTGGGTTCAAGTGATTCTCCCACCCCAGCCTCCCCAGTAGCTGGGATTACAGGCGTCCACCACCACGCCTGACTAATTTTTGTATTTTTTAGTAGAGACAGGTTTTTACCATGTTGGCCAGGCTGATCTCAAACTCCTGACCTCAAGTGATCCACCCACCTCGGCCTCCCAAAGTGCTGGGATTACAGGCGTGAGCCACTGAGCCGGGCCAGTGCTCACTTTTTTTTTTTTTTTTTTGAGACAGAGTCTCACTCTGTCACCCAGGCTGGAGTGCAGTGGCGTGATCTCGGCTCACTGCAAGCTCTGCCTCCTGGGTTCACGTCATTCTCCTGCCTCAGCCTCCTGAGTAGCTGGGACTACAGGCGCCCGCCACCACACCCGGCTAATTTTTTGGTTGTTTTTTTTTTTAGTAGAGAAGGGGTTTCACTGTGTTAGCCAGGATGGTCTCAAACTCCTGACCTCGTGATCCGCCCACCTCGGCCTCCCAAAGTGCTGGGATTACAGGTGTAAGCCACTGCACCCGGCCAGTGCTCACTTTTTATCTGCATGCATGAGTGTTTGGTGGGTTACTCAGTGGGATGTGTGTGGATTCGTGCACATGCAGCATGGGGTAGCATGTCCTCTGTCGTTTCCGTTCCAGCTGAGTTTCACTCTGTCCCCAGGTGAGTTGCTACAGTGGCTGGAGAGACGACATCTGCTCCATGGGCTGGTGGCCGACAGTAATCTCACGCTGGGACCTGGCCTGCAGCCCCTGCCCCAGACCTCTCACCATCACCGCCACCACCGTGCAGCTGCCACCAACCCTGCACGCTACTGCTGCCTCAGTGGCTGTACCCAACAAGACCTGCTGACCCTCTGTCCCTACTGATTCCTCCTTGGGTGCAGCCTCAGAGTGGCCTGAGGCCCAGAGGGTCTGGTCTGGTGAGCTCCTGAGGCCACACAGCACCATAAAGTCTCGCATCTACAGGCCTTTGATTACCTCCTGGGATGGGTGCTCACTATCTACCCCAGACCAATGCCACCTGCAGCCTGTGGAGTCAACTGCAGAATAAATCACACCCTAGCCCTGGCTTGGAGGATCCCCGCTTTCACAGATGCTGGACACTGACAGCCAAATGTCCTCACTCCAGGGGAGCCCCAGACGCTCCGCTCCCTGCATGTGTAACACCCCTTCTTGCTGTCTCTTAGTAAATAAACGACCCAAAGCAGCTTCCTGCATTTTCTCTAGAAAAAGGGACAAGCCTCAGTCAGTCCCTGTGTGGGCTTGTCCCCCAGCAGCCATGGACCCACCGGCACTTCCAGGAGCTTGATAACTAGAGAGGCATTGCAACGCAAAGTGGGGAAACTGAGGCCCAGGGAGAGGGCTGCTTGCCAAGGTCAGACAGGGAAGGGTAAGTGCAGGACTTGAACCGAGGTCTCTACCAAGGCCCATGGGAGTCCTTAGCATTGAGGACTTAGAATGGTAGACATTAGACACAAAACAAATGTCAGAAAATGATCATCACAAAACACATTAGTCTTTTTTTTTTTTTTTTTTTTTGAGGCAGGGTCTCACTCTGTCACCCAGGCTGGAGTGCAGTGGCACAATCATAGCTTACTGCAGCCTCCAACTCCTGGGCTGAAGTGATCCTCCCACTTCAGCCTCCTAAGTAGCTGGGATTACAGGCACCCGCCACCACACCCAGCTAATTTTTGCATTTTTAGTAGAGACGGGGTTTCACCATGTTGGCCAGGCTGGTCTTGAACTCCTGAACTCAGGTGATCCGCCCACCTCGGCCTCCCAAAGTGTTGAGATTACAGGCATGAGCCACGTGCCTGGCCCAGTCATCGGATTTAGGGTCCACCCTAATCCATGATAACCTCATGTCTGTCTATAAAGACCCTATTTCCAAATAAGCCCATATTCTGAGGTGAATTCTCAGAATATGAATTCTCAGAATATGAATATGAATTCTCAGACATGAATTCTTGCCAGACACTACTCAATCCAGTGGAGCAGGGGAGCTGGGACTCTCCCCTGATGGCAATAGGGAGCCACAGAGGCTGTGTGAGCAGGGGCAGAATGAGGTCAGATGTGCCTGTCAGAAAGCCCTGCAGCCCCATCTCATCCAGGCCTGATTTGCAGGATGGTGTCTCATCCTCCCAACTCCCTCCAGTCCCCAGAGCAGCCATTTTTAACCACCTTTTTTTTTTTTTTTTTTTGGAGACTGAGTCTCACTCTGTCACCCAGGCTGGAGTGCAGTGGCATGATCTCGGCTCGGCTCACTGCAACCTCCGCCTCCCGGGTTCAAGCGATTCTTTTGCCCTCAGCCTCCTGAGTAGCTGGGACTACAAGTGCACACCACCACGCCTGGCTAATTTTCATATTTTTAGTAGAGACGGGGTGTCACCATGTTGGCCAGAATGGTCTCAATCTTCTGACCTTGTGATCCACCCACCTCGGCCTCCCAAAGTGCTGGGATTACAGGTGTGAGCCACCACGGCTGGCCTATTTTTTTTTTTCTTTTTTTTGAGATAGATTCTCACTCTGTCGCCCAGGCTGGAGTGCAGTGGCTCAGTCTCAGCTCACTGCAACCTCCGTCTCCCAGGTTCAAGTGATTCTCCTGCCTCAGCCTCTCAGGTAGCTGGGATTACAGGCATATGCCACCACACTCTGCTAATTTTTGTATTTTTAGTGGAGACGGGGTTTCGCCTTGTCTAGGCTGGTCTTGGTCTCCTGACTTCAGGTGATCCGCCCACCTCGGCCTCCCAAACTGCTGGGATTACAATCGTGAGCCACCATGCCCAGCCTCATTTTATTTTTGAAACAAGGTCTCCCTCTCACCCAGGCTGGAGTGCAGTGGCATGGTCCTGGCTCACTGCAACCTCAACCTCCCAGGCTCAAGTGATCCTCCCACCTCAGCTTTCCGAGTAGCTGGGACCATAAGTGGGCACTACCACACTGGGCTAATTTTTTTTTTCTGTAGAGACAGGGTCTCGCTATGTTGCCCAGGCTGGTCTCGAACTCCTGGGCTCAGGTGATCCTCCCACCTCTGCCTCCCAAAGCCCTGGAATTATAGGCATGAGTCACTGTGTTTGGCCCTGTTATCCCATTTAAATTCTGCTCAGGCTGGTGCAGTGGCTTATGCCTCTAATCCCAACACTTTGGGAGGCTGAGGCAGGTGGATCCCTTGAGGCCAGGAGTTCGAGATCAGCCTGGACAACATGGTGAAACCCTGTCTGTACTACAAATACAAAAATTAGCCAGGCGTGGTGGCGCATGCCTGTAATCCCAGCAACTTGGGAGGCTGAGGCATGAGAATCACTTGAACTCAGGAGGCAGAGGTTGCAGTGAGATGAGATTGTGCCACCACACTCCAGCCTGGGCAACAGAGCGAGACTCTGTCTCAAAAATAAATAAAATAAAATAAAATTTAAAAAAAAATTCTGCTCAAAGCTCTTATTGCTCCCGGGAACTTCCCATTTGATCATTTTCAGGTTTGTTTCCTCACCATAAGGTGGGTCTGTATCAGCTGACCCTTCCCACAGGAGGGAGGAGGAGTACAGGGCAAGGCGTGTAGCACATGGCAGGTGCATAATAAGCACTTGAGGAGGGGAGGAAAGGATGAGCTACAGAGAGCAGTAGATCTGAGGTTCCAACCAGGGAAGGCAAGCCTGGTAAGGAGAGGGAGGCTGCTGGTGGCTGGGATGGTATTCAGAGGGGGCCTTGCTGGAAGCAGGAGGCCAAGGTGGGCCCAGCATCCAATCCAGCTAAGAGCATCTCACCCTGTACCTCCCGCTCCTAAGTCTGCTGACAACCTGGAAGCAAGAATCTATCTTTGGCTGGCCAGGCACTGTGGCTCACGCCTGTAATCCCAGCATCTTTGGGAGGCCGGCGGGTGGATCACTTGAGGTCAGGAGTTTGAGACCATCCTGGGCAACATGGTGAAATGCCGTCTCTATCAAAAATACAAAAATTAGCTGGACATGGTGGCACATGCCTGTAACCTGTAATCCCAGCTACTTGGGAGGCTGAGGCAGGAGAATTGTTTGAATCTGGGAGGCGGAAGTTGCAATGAGCCGAGATCACGCCACTACACTCCAGCCTGGGCAACAGAATGAGAATCCGTCTTAAAAAAAAAAAAAAAGAATCTGTCTGTGGGGATATGTGGGGTTATGAGCTGAAAGCAATAAGGAGCTATGAAGGGTATCTGAGCAGGGGGTGGGTGGGATGAGGTCAGATCTGCCTGATAGAAATTCCTGCAGCTTTTGCCTCACACATGTCCTGTTTTATGTTTTTGTCTTCTTATTGCCGCCCAGTGGAGTACAGTGGCGCAATCATGGTTCACTGCAGCCTCCAACTCCTGGGCTCAAGCGATCCTCTCGCCTCAGCCTCCCAAGTATAGCTGGGACTACAGGCATGTGAGCACCACCACGCCTGAGTAATTTTTTATTTTGTGCAGAGACAGGATCCAGAACTCCTGGGCTCAAGTGATCCTCCCACTTTGGTCTCCCAATGTGCTAGAATTACAGCCCTGAGCCACGGCCCCATGCCCCGTTTTTACCAGTGTATATTTTCTACTGGAAAATGAGACTTTTAGGGATGAATGTGGACTTGTCTGTTGAAACTTGTAAATTTGCTTAAAAAAAAAAAAAGATCTCCAAGTCTTCACAAAATTTTATATTCCCCAAGGCTGCCCCATCACAATGCCTGTGAAGCTTGACTGGCAGACACTGAGGCCTGAAGCTGGGGGCTACAGGGGGTCACTGGCTCACCCGGTCCCCCCGTAATCTGTAAAACATACTGGGTGAGGGAGGCTGCTGGAGGACCTGAATCTCTCCCTTCTCCAGGCAGTAGTGAGGCATATGCCTGTTGGCCTTGGGCCCATTAAAGATCATTCCAGCCCCAGTGCTGTTCTCTGAATTCTTGGGGAACACAGGGATGGGGGCTCCTAATGAGGACCCCAGAAACTCTGAGCTCTCACAACTTTCAAAGGACACTTGCCTCCCTCCTCTGCCCACACCTCCACCATTACAGCATTTGATCCCACAAGTAAGGAGGGGGCGGTCCTATTCCACCACCTCTCTGGTATCCCCCCAACCTTCTGAGTTGTCTGAGACCCAGGAAAGGGTTAAGATCAGGACCCCTCTCTCCTGGGCTGAAAGATATTTCTCACGTCAGCTCTATGTGGACACAGGAGTTTCTGGCTGGCCTGGAACTGCAGACGGAGCTTATCTGCCATTAAACCACTGCAGGTGCACTGCTTAGCATCCCGTCTGTGAGTAGGTGAGAGCAGGGAAGTAAGACTTTGACTCAAACGGGACGGATGCATCCACAGTTGGAACTCTAGCACAGGCACTTCTGCCATTAGCAGCCACAAAAAGAAGATGGATATTTTCTGGAGTTCCTCCAGCCATCCAGGGAAGATGCTGGAACAGTACCAGGTGGGTTTTGAAGGATGTGTAGGAGTTCGCCAGCCAGAATATTCACTCATCAAACCTCAAACCTTCCCTGGCACTCCCTTATGCTCAGACCACAAAGGTCTCAGCTTCCTGGGAGGAAGGTGTCGCCCCTTCCTATGGAAACAGGAGCCCAGAGGCTGGGGACCCTGATGCTGACTCAGTAGATCTGTGTCTGATTGCCGCAGGTGAGGTTGGGCTGGTTCAGCGCATCCCACATGAGCAGCATCTCATAAGGTAGGAAGCGGTGCACCAGCAGCAGGTCTCGGTAGAAGCAGGGGTCAAAGGAGGACAGGCGTTGCGATGGAGCCCGCACGCCAGACGTGCGGATGCCGCTGTGGGAGGCAGGCTTCAGTCCCTCAAGCTCCAGACACATACCCAGGAAGACATCATCAATGGGGAAGATGTCCAAGACATGGGCAGCACGGCGCAGGGCAGCGGCCGTGAAGCGGGACAGCAAGAAGCCACCACCCCCACAATAGGGTGGGTACCGCTCATTCTGAGTCACCACCTCTGGCACATAGTACTTGCTCCAAAAAGCCCGGATGGGGCCCACGTTTTGGATCAGTTGCCCCACGAAGAGGTGGCGGCCAGGGTCATGGTCCTGCAGGTAGAAGACCATGTTGTCTGTGTGTGCAAAGACGTCATCATCCCCGTTGAGCACGAAGCTGGCGTTGGCGCACCTTGTCTCCTGCCACTGTAAGAACAGGACCTGCAGGCAGGGTGGACAGGGCATGCTTGCTTGAGGGCTGGAGAAATTGGCCTTGGGTCTCTATTAGCCACTCCAGCCCACTAAGCCCAGGAAAGGAAGTGTCCACAATCCAGCCTGGGTTAAGGCCCTGCCCTGTGGGGTTACTTGGGAAACCCTCTCTGTGCCTTGGTTTCAACTCTCCAAACAGGCCTTATCATGTGCCTCTAGGAGTGTTGGGGAATCCATGGAGACCATGCTCCATGAAGCACCAAGAAATGCTGGAAAATTGTTACATTTACATGTATTGCTATTCCTTCCAACTCTGCCTGGCCAAGCCCTGTTGTTAAATAATCATTTGTATGAATTTTGTTTGTTTCTGAGACAGGGTCTTGCTCTATTGCCCAGGCTAGAGTGTAGCGCTATGATCATAGTTCATTGCAGCCTCAAATTCCCGGGCTCAGGTGATCCTTCCACCTCAGCCTCCCAAGTAGCTGGTACTACAGACACATGCCGCTACTTACTCCTGGCTAATAATTTTTTTTTTTTTAAGAGATGGGATCTTGCTATGCTACGCAGGCTGGTCTCAGACTCCAGACCTCAAAGGATCCTCCCACCTCAGCCTCCCAAAATGCTGACATTACAAGCAATGAGCCACCACTCCTGGCCTTTGTGTGATTTTTATTTTATTATTATTATTATTATTTTTTTGGAGATGGAGTTTTCGCTTTTGTTGCCCAGGCTGGAGTGGAGTGGTGCAATCTCGGCTCACTGCAACCTCCGCCTTTCAGGTTCAAGCAATTCTTCTGCCTCAGCCTCCCAAGTAGCTGGGATTACAGGCATGCACCACCACACCTGGCTAATTTTTTGTATTTAGTAGAGACAGGGTTTCACCATGTTGGTCAGGCTGGTCTTGAACTCCTGACCTCAGGTGATCCACCTGCCTCAGCCTCCCAAAGTGCTGGGATTACAGGTGTGAGCCACCGTGCCTGACCTGTGTGATTGTTAACATCCCCCTCTCCCACCAAACACTGGACTTCCCTCCTTGGGCCTGTGTCTCTCTTTTCTGTTCATGCCATCTCCCTCAGCACCCAGCATAGTGCCAGTGCTTCACGGGTGCTGGGTTCATATTTGTCAAGCTGATGTTTATCACACACTTTTAAAGGGTTTTTTGTTTTTGTTTTTGAGACAGAGTCTCACTCTGTCACCCAGGCTGGAGTGCAGTGGCACAATCTTAACTCACTCCAACCTCCGCCTCCAGGGTTCAAGCGATCCTGCTGCCTTAGCCTCCCAAGAAGCTGGTCTCGAACTCCTGGTCTCAAGTGATCCGCCCACCTCAGCCTCCCAAAGTGCTGGGATTATAGGCATGAGCCACTGTGCCTAGCCACTTTTGTGTTTTCAGAACACAGCATGTTAAGAGGCCATGGCCCCTACCCGCCTCAGCCTCAGTTTCCCCTACAGTAACCTACACAGGCTGGGTATCTGTTTGTTGCCGGGCGCTGTGCTTGGTGCTTACCCTACCTTGAATCCTGAATGCACCCTTAGGAGGCAGAAGTGGTCCTCTATCTTATTTACAGATGAGGGAACAGAGGCTCTCCAGAGAAAACTGCAGTGAGGTCACCCGCAGAGAAACAGCTACCAGAGGACTTGAACCCAGGCCTGTCTGTACCTCCTATGAGCAGGAACCTGCAGAGTTCCCTGTTCCTCCTTGAAAATGTTGTCTCTACTTGTCTTGCTCTACTCGAGGACCTAGGAGGGGTTCTTAGAGCCCCTCCATTTCCTCATCTGCAGATGGGCAGGATTTTCTCACCTCTCATGGCTTCTTTTTTTAAAAAAATAGAGACGAGGCTGTGCGTGGTGGCTCATACCTGTAATCCCAGCACTTTGGGAGGCCAAGGCAGGAGGATCACTTGAGGTCAGGAGTTTGAGACCAGCCTGGCCAACATGGTGAAACCCCATCTCTGCTAAAAGTACAAAAAAATTAGCTGGGCATAGTGGCATGCACCTGTATTCCCAGCTACTCAGGAGGCTGAGGCAGGAGAATCACTTGAACCTGGGAGGTGGAGGTTGCAGTGAGCCGAGATTGCACCACTGCACTCCAGCCTGGGGGACAGAGCCAGACTCCATCCAAAAAAAAAAAATTAATTAAAAAAACATAAAAATTAATTAATTAAATTTTTTTTGAAAAAGATGAGGTCTCGCTATGTGGCTCAGGCTGGCCTCAAACTCTTGGGCTCAAGCGATCCTCCCTCCTCAGCTTCCCAAAGTGCTGGGATTACAGGCATGAGCCACCAAGCCTAGCTACCTCTCATGGGTTCTTGTCCATCAAAAAGGTCTTGACTGAGCACATGCTGTGCACCTGAATCTATTCTAGGCATTAGGGACACAGCAGTGAGTGAAACAGACAAGGCCCCCAGCCTCATGGGGAGACAGAACCGGAACAAATAAACAAGGAGATGTTGGCCGGGCGCAGTGGCTCACGCCTGTAATCCCAGCACTTTGGGAGGCCGAGGCGGGAAGATCACCTGAGGTCAGGAGTTCGAGATTACCCTGGCCAACAGGGTGAAACCCCGTCTCTACTCAAAATACAAAAATTAGCTGGGCATGGTGAGTGCCTGTAATCCCAGCTACTTGGGAGGCTGAGGCAGTAGGATCGCCGGAAACCAGGAGGTGGTTGCAGCAAGCCCAGATCGCACCACTGCACTCCAGGCTGGGCAACAGAGCAAGACTCCATTAAAAAAAAATAAATAAACATAAAAATAAACAAGGAGATGTGTCCCCCGTCATTGCCAAGTTGAGTTGGACATCCAGCACTGGTCTGGGTGCCTTATAAACTCCATCTCCTGTAAACCTCACAGTAGCCCTTAGAGGTGGGTGGGACTCATTCACATCCCATTTTCCAGGTGAGAAAAGTGAGGCACAGAGAGGTGAATGAACTCCTCCAAGGTCGAACACCAAGTAAGAGGCAGAGCTTGGATTCGAATCCGCATCATCAGGCTTGAGCTCTGTGCTAGTAACCTAGCTCCTCTGCCCTTCCCCCTAGCCTCTCCTAGAAGAAGACCATTTTGGGTCTCCACGAGGCTGGTGAGGACAGCAGAGGGGCAGAATGGGCTGTGATGGACTGACGAGGACTTCTGGTCCCCTGGGTCCCTCAGGAGTGGGTGGTAATTTGGACAAGAAGGACAGGTGGCCCCGATCAGGTGACCCCAGTCCAGCGCACCTGCTTGAGCGTGAGGTTGAAGAAGGAGTCGTGGAAGTCCCACTGCAGGATGTCTCCGTGAGTCTGTGCCTCCAGCTCCAGCAGCCGGTTGACCTTGCGGGCCTCGTGCGGGTTGGAGGCTGTGCCCACCAGGAAGAGGAGGCGCAGCTGCAAACCCCGTACCTTGCGCTCGCGGCCCCACGTGCGCCGCAGCAGCTCGCGGCGCACATAGTTGCTAGGGGAGGACTTGATCACCAGCAGCAGGAAGACCGGCTGCGCGCACTTAGAGGGGGGCACGTCCTGCAGCAGGGGAAAGTGGCGGCAGTGTCTGTACAGGAGGAAGTTCTGAACGTGCTGCGGCTGCGTGGCGAAGTCCGGGTGGGTGACCATAGAGGTGTTGGCATGGCACGGGGCCGGGGCTGGGCGGGTGGGTGGAGTGGGCCAGGCCAGGGCCTCGGGGATCGCCGGTGGCTGCTCCTGGACCTTGCAGGTGGGTGGTGACACTAGCAGACTGAAGAGGAGGAGGGTGAAAGCGCCGATGGCCAGAATGAGGGTGGCATTGGGCCGCCGGTGCCGGAGATACTTCATCCTGGCCAGCCAGGGTCTGGGGTCGGCCTGAGGAGCCTCCTGGGCGGCTCCTGTGGAAAACAAAACTCACTGAACACTCGCCATGAGCAAAGCGCTTTTCCTGTGGCCCCCAACATCTGGTTGCACCTGTACAGTTGCTCAGGTTGGCAAAATATTGAAATTCACCCCCCACTTAACTCCTCCACCCCTTGCAAGACCCATTTCAAAGCACTCCAACCCCTGTTGGCTCTGACAGGTGCCCTGGCCCTCCCTGCTGGGGATTAATTTTTTAAATTTTTTAATTTTGTTTTTTTTTTTTGAGACAGCGTCTCTCTCTCTCTCTCTCTCTTGTTCTGTTGCCCAGGCTGGAGTGCAGTGGTGTAATTTCCGCTTACTGCAGCCTCCACCTCATGGGTTCAAGCGATCCTCCTGCCTCAGCCTCCTGAGTAGCTGGGATTACAGGTGTGAGCCACCATGCCTGGCTAATTTTTTTGTATTTTTAGTAGAGACGGGGTTTTACCATGTTGGCCAGGCTGGTCTTGAACTCCTGACCTCAAGTGATCCACCTGCCTCGGCCTCCCAAAGGGCTGGGATGACAGGCATGAGTCACTGTGCCCTGCCTTTCTGTGTGAAGTCTTAGTTTCCTTATTAGGACATGGGGGTGCTGAGGTTCCTGCTCCAATACACACACACACACACACACACACACACACACACTGGGGCCACTGCTCCCTGACTGCAAAAGGGCTTGATGCATATTAGCTGTGTGGTGACCGCCTCAGTGACCATGAGTCCACCATCCTGGCTACCTTGATTCCCCAGCTATTCCCACTTACAGCATGGAGCAGTATCAGAACCCAGGACTTTTTTTTTTTTTTTTTTTTCTTGAGATGGAGTTGCCCAGGCTGGAATACAGTGGCACAATCTCGGCTCACTTCAACCTCCGCCTCCTGCATACGAGCGATCCTCCTGCCTCATCTTTCAGAGTAGCTGGGACTACAGGCACGCGCCACCACGCCCAGTTAATTTTTGTATTTTTAGGAGAGACAAGGTTTCACCGTGTTGGCCAGGATGGTCTCGATCTCCTGACCTCATGATCTGCCCACCTTAGCCTTCCAAAGTGCTGGGATTACAGGCATGAGCCACCGTCCCCAGCCGGAACCCAGAACTTTGATGGGTGCAGTATGCCCATCTCATACGTCCCTCAACTCGGGGTCACTGGGAGACTCCCTTCCAACACCTCAGGGCCTCCCAGAATCTGTCACAAGGGACTGCGTCATGGATGGCACCAAACATCCCTCAAAGAGAACCTGGCCAACTCTCGGCCACCTGGGGCACAGACAGGTGAATATCCGTGAACGTGCATGAGTCCAATCCTGTTAACTGTCACAGTGCTCATCAGCCCTAGAGTGTTAACTGAGCACCTACTGTATGCTAGATGCTGGGGATACAGCTGTGACCAAGCCAGCCCTGCCCTCAATATAACAATAAGTAGAACAGCTTGGGCAGCATGGTGAAACCCCGTCTCTACAAAAAACACAAAAATTAGGCTGGGCGCAGTGGCTCACACCCATAATCCCAACACTTTAGGAAGCCAAGGCAGGTGGATTACTTGAGGTCAGGAGTTCAACAGCAGCCTGGCCAACATGGGGAAACCCACTCTCTACAAAAAAAAAAAAAAGAAAATACAAAAATTAGCCAGGCATGGTGATGGGTGCCTGTAGTCCCAACTACTCGGGAGGCTGAGGCAGGAAAATCACTTGAACCCAGGAGGTGGAGGCTGCAGTGAGCTATGATCACACCATTGCACTCCAGCCTGGATGACAGAGAAAGACTCTGTCTCAAAACAAAACAAAACAAAAAATTAGCAGGCTGTGGTAGCATGTGCTTGAGGTCTCAGTTACTTGGGAGGCTGAGGTGGGAGGACCACCTGAGCCCAGGAGTTCAAGGCTGCAGTGAGCTATGATCACACCACTGCACTCCAGCCTGGGCAACAGAGCAAGATGCTGTCTCAAAAAAAAAAATTGTAAATGATACTAACAATTAGTGACAGCCATACTAATTGTTACTGAGGCAGGTCCACAGGGGACCTGAGCAACCTAGGATCAGGGAGGTCCTGAAGGATGATGGGAATTCACTTGAGCAGACTGTGGGGAAGGGCATTCCAGACAGAGTGGAGCATGTGCAAAGGCCCTGAGATGGATACAAATTTAGGGTGCTGGTGGCAGAGCGAGGAGGCTGACGTGGTTGGGACAGGGCGAGAGAAAGGAGGTGATGGTGGAGTTATGGGACCCTGCTAGGGTACAAGAATAGAATGGGCACGCCAGAAAGAATGTCTTATGTTTCCTGTGAGAAGCAATGAGGAGCCATGGAGGGTCTATGAGCAGGGGAGGGATCAGATTGATTTATGCCTTTAAGAAGTCCCCTGTGGGCTGGGCAAGGTGGCTCAGGCCTATAATCCCAGCACTCTGGGAGGCTGAGGTAGGAGGATCGCTTGAGCTTAGGAGTTTGAGACCAGCCTGGGCAACATGGTGAAACCCCATCTCTACCCAAAATACAAAAGTTAGCCGGCGTGATGATGCATACTTGTAGTCCTAGCTATGCGGGAGGTTGAGGTGGGAGGATTGCCTGACCCCAGGAGTTTGAGGCTGCAGTGAGCTATAATCACACCACTCCAGCCTGGGCAACAGAGAGAGACTGTCATTAAAAAAAAAAAAAAAAATCCCTGTGGTCACTAAGGGATTAGGGACATTTCAGTCAGGGCAGGGCAACTAAGGGAGACCCTGTCTCTGCTAAATAAAAAAATGAAACAAAATTAGCTGAGTGTGGTGGTGTACACCTGTAGTCCCAGCTACTCAGGAGGCTGGGTGGGGGGAGATTGGGTAACATCTAGGTGGAAGAGTTTGGTGGCCTAGACAGAGGCTGGCTGCTGGGGTATAGGAGAGTATGCAGGTTTAGAAAATAAGGTGAAGGGCTGGGTGCAGTGGCTCACAGCTGTCATCCCAGCACTTTGGGAGGCCAAAGTGGTGGATCACCTGAGGTCAGGAGTTCGAGACCAGCCTGGCCAACATGGTGAAACCCCCGTCTCTACTAAATACAAAATATTAGATACAAAAATTAGCAGGGCGTGGTGGCTCATGGCTCATGCCTGTAATCCCAGCTACTCAGGAGGCTGAGGAAGGAAAATCGCTTGAACCCAGGAGGCGGAGGTTGCAGTGAGCCAAGATCACACCACTGCACTCCAGCCTGGGCAACAGAGCAAGACTATGTCTCAAAAAAAAAAAAAAAAAAAAAAGCTGGGCACGGTGGCTCACGCCTGTAATCTCAGCACTTTGGGAAGCCGAGGCAATCACTTGAGCTCAGGAGTTCGAGATCAGCCTGGCCAACATGGCAAAACCCCATCTCTACTAAAAATACAAAAATTACCCGGGTGTGGTGGTGCGTGTCTGTAATCCCAGCTACTCAGGAGGCTGAGACAGTAGAATCACTTGAATCTGGGAGGCGGAGGTGGCAGTGAGCCAAGATCAAGCCATTGTACTCCAGCCTGGGCGATAGAACAAGACTCTGTCTCAAAAAAAAAAAAAAAAAGAAAAAAAAGAAAGAAAGAAAAGAAAAAAAAAAGGAAAATAAGATGAAGAAAGTCATCAATGTTTCGATCACAGCCCAGATGTCCAGATGTTAGGGGGTGGAAAAAGAAGGACCAGAAGGAGCAGAATGAGGAACCTCTGGGCAGTGGGAGGCTCAGTCTGGTATCCAGGTGAGAGCTGTTGGCACACCATGGCCTATAAGCCAGGAAGGCCCAACAGGTATTGATTGTGTGTGCTGTGTTTTAAGAGACAGGGTCTCACTATGTTGTCCAGGCTGGTCTTGAATTCCTGGCCTCAAGCAATCCTCTTGCCTTGGCTTCCCAAAGCGCTGGGATTACAGACATAAGCCACCTTGCCAGCTAATTAAAAATTTTTTTTTTTTTTTTTTAGTGATAGGATCTCACTTGCTCTGTTGTCCAGGCTGGAGTGCAGTGGCGATCATAGCTCACTGCAGCCTCCAGCTCCTGGGCTCAAGTGATCCTCCTGCCTTAGCCTCTTGAGTAGCTGCGACCACAGGCACCAGTCACCATGCCTGGTGCCAACAGGCAATTGTCATATGTTCCCTGCATGTTACAGCGCCTACCCTGCACTCCTGTTCAAGGTGGGTGAAAAAACTTCACCCCAAGCCAGACACGGTGCCACCAGTGTCCAGCAGTGACATCCAGGCTGACTCTTGGGGACCCTCGCCTGGCCGCCCGCTGCCAGACCAGTCGGTCCTGCCTGGAGCTGTTTGCACTTCACGTGCCAGTGCGATTTTGCCATCCTCCAGAACCCACTTCCTCAAATGCACAGAAAAGCCATTTATTTCCCCTGCCAAGACCCAGAAGCCACCGCCTGGGGTGTGGCTGCAGGATGTGGGTCCTCTCTGCTGCCATCTTTCCCACACAATCTCTGCCCTCACTCATCTGCTCCAGCTGCACCAGCCTCCTTAAACATGGCCGGGAGCTGTGGCCCACGTCTGTAATCCCGGTACTTTGGGAGGTCAAGGAGGGCAGATCACCTGAGGTCAGGAGTTTGAGACCAGCCTGGCCAACATGGTGAAACTCTGTCTCTACTAAAAATACAAAAATTAGCCAGGTGTGGTGGCACACGCCTGTAATCCCAGCTACTCAGGAGGCTGAGGCAGGAGAATCACTTGAATCCAGGAGGTGGAGGTTGCAGTGAGCCGAGATCGTGCCACTGCACGCCAGCCTGGGCAATATAGCCAGATTCTGTCTCAAAAAAAAAAAAAATCCTTTAACACCCAGGCTCAGGCTGGATGCAGTAGCTCATGCCTATAATCCTTGCACTTTAGGAGGCTGAAGCAAGAGGGTTGCTTGAGCCTAGGAGTTCAAGACCAGCCTGGGCAAAAAAGGGAGACCTGTCTGTGCTAAAAATTAAAAAAAAAAGTAAAAAAATTAGCTGAGTATGGTGGTGTATGCCTTTAGTCCCAGCTACTCGGGAGGCTGAGGTGGGAGGATCACTTGAGCCCTGGAAGTGGAGGCTGCAGGGAGCTGTGATCACACTTCCAGCCTGGTGGCAAAGCGAGACCCTGTCTCAAAACAAACAAAAACCACCCAAGCTCAGCCCTGCCTCAGGGCCTTTGCACCTGCCACTGCCTCCACCTAGGACCCCCTTCCTTTCCAGCTCTTTCCGTAGTCTTCATATTTAGGCTTCCCCTGAAATGTCACCTCCGAGAGGCTTCGACCTCCAGGCTAAAACACCTAGCCCCAGCACTGCTGATGTCTGTAGCATTCACCACCATCAGACATGGGAAATCTCTTCGCTTCTCTCCTGTCCATCTGCCCAGCCAGCCTGAAGCCCCAGGGCTGGGCATCTTATCTCCTGCAACTGTGCTCCCACAGGATGCTACCTAGTTTGTTGCAGAAGGGAAAAAGTACGATAGCCATCACCTCCTATCTCACTGCAGCCTCGCCCCCACTCCACGAGGCAGCAGCCACAGTCCCCTGCCGCACACGTTCTGCCTCAGAAGACAGATTTATAGCTTGGGAGACTAGTAAGCCTTGGGCACCCGTGATTCAGTCAAGATAAGTCACCTGTAATCCCAGTGCTTTAGGAGGCTGAGGCAGGAGGATCACTTGAGCTTAGGTGCTCAAGACCAGCCTGGGTAACACAGCAAGACCCTGTCTCTACAATGATTTTTTTTTTTTTTTGGAGACAGAATCTTGCTAGGTCACCCAGGCTGGAGTGCAATGGCATGATCTCAGCTCACTGCAACCCCCGCTTCCCAGGTTCAAGCGATTATCCTGCCTCAGCCTCCTGAATAGCTGGGACTACAGGCATGTGCCACCACGCCTGGCTACTTTTGGTATTTTTAGTAGAGACGGGGTTTCACCATGTTGGGCAGGCTAGTCTCAAACTCCTGACCTCAAGTGATCCGCCCACCTCAGCCTCCCAAAGTGTTGGGATTACAGGCGTGAGCCACCATGCCCAGCCAAAAAAAATTTTTTTAATTAGCCTGGTGTGGTGGTGGTGAGTGCCTATAGTCCCAGCTACTCAGGAGGCTGAGGTGGGAGGATCACTTGAGCCCAAGAGTTCAAGACCAGCCTGGGCAACATGGTGAGACTCTGTCTCTACAAAAAGTGTAAAAATTAGCCAGGTGTGGTGGCGTGCACCTGTAGTCCCAGCTACTTGGGAAGCTGAGGCAGGAGAATCGCTTGAGCCCAGGAGTTCAAGGCTGCAGTGAGCTATGATAGCACCACTGCACTCCAGCCTGGGCAACAGAGCAAGATCCTGTCTCAAAACAAAAAAACAAAAAACAGCTGGGTATGGTGGCTTGTACCTGTAATCCCAGCTGTTTGAGAGGCTGAGAAGGAAGGATCACTTGAGCCCAAGAGTTTGGGCAAGATGGCAAAACCCCATCTCTACAAAAAATACAAAAATTAGCCGGGCATGGTGGTGTGCGCCTGTAGTCCTGGCTACTTGGGAGGCTGAGGTGGGAGGATCGCTTGAGCCCAGGAGGTCAAGGCTGCAGTGAGCCATGATCTCGCCACAGTACTCCAGCCTGGGGAACAGAGCAAGACCCTGTCTCAAAAACAAAACAAACAAACAAACAAAAAAAGTGCTGCATGTTAGTGAAGTACTGAACATTAACAATCCATTAACTACAGAGGAGGTGCCTACTATTCGTAATATACAAAATAGTTGCAAAGCAATAATGAAAAGTTGCAAGTTGTGCCCAAATATACTGAATTTTTTTTAAAGTTGCAAGTCACATACATGATACTTGAATATTATCATGAGGAATATATATATATACATATATATATTTTAGATAGAGCCTCTGTCGCCCAGGCTGAAGTGCAGCGCCACGATCTCAGCTCACTGCAACCTGGAGGTTGCACCCTCCTGGGTTCAAGTGATTCTCCTGCCTCAGCCTCCTGAGTAGCAGGGATTACAGGCATGTACCACCACACCCGGCTAATTTTTGTATTTTTAGTAGAGACAGAGTTTCACCATGTTGGCCAGGCTGGTTTCAAACTCCTAATCTCAGGTGATCCACCCACCTCAGCCTCCCAAAGTGCTGGGATTACAGGCATGAGCCACCTCGCCCGGCCTAATAGTATCATGAGGAATATTAACAAGCCACAAACAGTCTTCAGATACCAAATATTCATGGTCACTGAATATTCATGCTTCAATGCACAGGTGATACTAAGTATTAATGACTCATTGAAAATTAATGACCACTAAATATGCAGAAGGGTTGTCTGCTCAGCAGAATCGTAGGCATTGGCAGCTGCACCCTGGCCCCATGTCCTCTGCCACTCCCAGGGGGCAGTCAAGGCTGGGCCCTTGCCCCAGGTGCAAGTGGCTCCAGGCACCTCTGTCGCCCTCATCCCTGTTTCTTTGGTTTTATTCTGGAGACAGAGTCTCGCTTGCTGTGTCCCCCAGGCTGAAGTGCAGTGGTGTGATCTTGGCTCACTGCAACTTCCGCCTCCTGGTTTCAAGCGATCCTCCTGCCTCAGCCTCCCAAGTAGCTGAGATTACAAGTGTGCGCCACCACACCCAGCTAATTTTTGTATATTTAGTAAAGACGGGGTTTCAGCGCGTTGGCCAGGCTGGTCTCGAACTCCTGACCTCAAGTGATCTGCCCGCCTCGGCCTCCCAAAGTGCTGGGATTACAGGAGTGAGCCACTGCGCCCAGTCTCAACCCTGTTCTTGTCACTGTCTGCAAGAGATGTGGGGCATGTGAAAGTCATCAAGGACCCTGCTGGTACCACCTGGGGCTAGATCTGCCCCCCTCACTCCCAAGACTATTTGGAGACCACAGGTGATGGGGAGTGGCACAGGGGGCGGGGGATGTCCTGACACTGACTCAGAGGTCTCCATAGCATTAAGGTAATTCTCCCTGTGAAACTCCCACTTTCCAGATGAGGAAACTGAGGCCCAGATAGGGCTACTTCTGGATTGCTCTTCAGGGACTCCCAGGCCTGGATACCCCTAACCGGCCTGGATACCCCTAACCAGCCTGGTCGCTGGCTCTCAGTCTCTGCCTTGCCTGCAGCTGGGAGGACTGGTCTGTGAGCTGATGCCTTTGAAGCAGCCATGGGGACCCCCGACAGCCGTTGAGGAAGGGCCTTCTGACCCAGCTACTGACCTTCCATGGGACCTGGGCCGAGTAGCTGGGGCCACCCAGACCTTAGCATCCTCCTCTGCAAAGCTGGGATGGTCAGCCGGGCTCGGTGGCTCACACCTGTAATCCCAGCACTTTGGGAGGCAGAGGCGGGCGAATCATGAGGTCAGGAGTTCGAGACCAGCCTGGCCAACATGGTGAAACCCCATTTCTACTAAAAATACAAAAAATTAGCTAGGTATAGTGGAGGGCGCCTGTAATCCCAGCTACTCAGGAGCCTGAGGCAGGAGAATCGCTTGAACCCAGGAGGTGGAGGTTACAGGGAGCCGAGATTGCGCCACTGCACTCCAGCCCGGGTAAATGAGACTCCATCTCAAAAAAAAAAAAAAAAAAAAAGCTGGAATGGTGGCAGAACCACCACCTGACTATCAGCATTGCTGTGGCCGCTGTTTCTCCAATTCTCACCCATCCTAAATTGGGATTTGGATGGAGGTGTGGAACATTCTGAGGCCGCCAAAAGGCAAGGCAAGAGGTGGAGGGTGAGAGAAGCTTCTGGAAGAATCCCGTTTGACTACATACGGATTTGAGTCCTGGGAAAGGCTAGAGGGTCAAGTGGTAGCTCCAAGCAGTGGCCTTTTCTCCAAGTGGCACATATGTGAAGCGCCAACAATGAGATTTTTTTTTTCTTTTCTTGAGACAGGATCTTGCTCTGTCACCCAGGCTGGAGTGGTGCAGTGGCACGATCATAGCTCACTGCAGCCTCCAACTCCAGGGCTCAACTGATCCTCTTGCCTCAGCCTCCTGAGTAGCTGGGACCACAGGCATGCATCACCACCCCTGGCTAATTTCATTTTTGTAGAGATGGGTCTCGCTATGTTGCCCAGGCTGGTCTCCAACTCCTGGGCTCAAGTGATCCTCCCACCTCAGCCTCCCAAAGTGCAGGGATTACAGTTGTGAGCCACTGCACCCAGCCACAATTAGATTTTTTTTTTTTTGAGACAGAGCCGCACTCTGTTGCCCAGGCTGGAGTGCAGTGGTGCTATCTTGGCTCACTGCAACCTCTGCCTCCAGGGTTCAAGCGATTCTCCTGTCTCAGCCTCCAGAGAAGCTGGGATTACAGGTGTGCGTTACCATGCCCAGCTAATTTTTGTATTTTTAGTAGAGATGGGGTTTCACCACGTCACCTAGGCTGGTCTCAAACTCCTGACCTCAGGTGATCCACCCGCCTCGGTCTCCCAAAGTGCTGGAAATACAGGTGTTAGCCACCACGCCCAGCCACAATGAGATTTAATAGCAGCTGCCACCACCCTTATCACCTGCAGAGTTGTGACTGCTCTGAGCAAGTGCTGAGCACCTAGCGTATGCCACATCTGGGTCTAGGTTCCGAGGACACAGCCAAGATGATGGAGAGAAACACTCGTGTGCCCAGGACGCTGATACACCACTAACAGGGGACAGAGAAGTGGCAAACAGGACAATTTTCCAGAGGAGTGCAACCTCTAGGGGTGAAGAAACTCCAGGGTGGAAGTTGGGGACGCTTGCAGGAGAGGGTGTGAGCCCCTGGCCTGTGGAGGAACCCGAGGAGTCTCACTGAGCCTTCCAGAGGGGAGCCTAGGGTCCAGGTGGACGATCTGTGCAGAGAGGGTGCAACTCTGCCCAAGGTCACACAGCCGACTGAGGCCAGGGCGGGTTGGTGGGATTTGAACCCTGATCTGCCAGCCCCTGTGGGTGGTTCCTCACCAGTTCTTACCAGTTTGGGTTTCCCAGTAATGATAGGCTGGTCCCTTTTTACAAGGAGCAGGAGTTGCTTTTGCAAACAGAAGGGGAAGAAAAGAAGAAGAAATAGCCCAGTAAATCCTTTAAGTTCAC
Organism: Homo sapiens; assembly: GCF_000001405.40. Taxonomy (NCBI): domain Eukaryota; kingdom Metazoa; phylum Chordata; class Mammalia; order Primates; family Hominidae; genus Homo; species Homo sapiens. The sequence continues at coordinate 17,797,796 of NC_000019.10, read as the reverse complement.
AATGGCCGGACCCTGCTTTAGTGAAACCATGTGTACTAGTGAGTTCTCTGTCAATATATACTCAATATCTGCACCAGGGAGTGCCTGGGTATGGAAAAAGGGGTGGGGTTGGGCACGGTGACACATGCACTTTAGACTTTGGTGTCCCGGGTTTCTAGGTCCCGAGGCTCTGTCATGGATGACTAATTGTATGTCATCCATGCCAGCCCTACCCCATTGCAGGAACTGCCTGGGGCACCTATGTGAGACTGGAAAGGGGCCCCTGAATAACACCAGCCCTGGCCCAGTGGAGTCTCAAAGGGCATCTTTGGGCTCACTCCATAGATGGGGAAACAGGCTGGGAAGCCAGGCCGTGCATCGCAGTTCAACCTCAGACCCTTCCCACAATCCAGGAGTGATGGGGGAACTGAGGTCTCCTGGGCCCCTCCTCTGGGGACTTCCTGGACCCCCACACCTTCAGGCTGGTCAGAGCTCTTCTCCAAGTCTTGTACTTAGAGCTCAGAAATATTCATGATATTATTTCTGTGTGCAAAGATACATGCTATAAATGATAACATAATGAGCTGCATAATTAGGACTAGGATCAATATGCCAGGTCCTGTGTGCAGCCTGGCCACCATCTGTCCATCTAAACTCTATATGTGTGCTGAGAAGTAGGGCTGCATTAGCTCCATTTTTATGGATAGGAAAATTGAGGCACAGAGAGGCCTAGAAATCCACCTAAGAAAGGTTGGGTGGGAGCCTAGTTCCTGTCTTTAACTCCCAGCTGATGAGATTTCCTTTAGTTTGCCACGTTGGTAGTGACCTCACCATCATGAGGAGCAATCAAGGCAAGCCAGATTCCCACCAGGAAGAGGGTCCACAATAGGCATCCTCCCTGGCTCATGGGGTTGGGGGAGTGAGCAAATTCCTGCTTGCTCTGGGCCTCAGAGGCTGGTGGCAGGAGGAAATGTCACTCAGTGAGCCCTTACTTGCTCCTCCTGGGCTGACCTGGCTTGTCTGGATTCCTGAACTCTGGCCTGGAACAGAGAAGCACCAAGGCCCCCTTTTGGTTCTCCCACACCCAGAGCACCTGCCAGGAAATGCCACACCCTAGGGGTGAGAGTGAGGGAGGGTGTCCAGGCTGGACTGAGCAAACACCCAACTGCTCACCTAGGCCATATGGGGGCCCAGCTGCCTGACCTGGGGGCCACACCTCTTCCTCCTGACACCAGCCCTGCCTGGTGTCACCTTGAGAACAGGCCAGTGGGAGGAAGTGATGGCCCCCAGGGCTGGCCCCAGACCTAGACGGCCAGGTGGCTTCCCATGGGCCCTGAATCCCAGATCTGGACTGCAGGAGTCCCCCGCCCAAGTTGAGGGGCGACCTCAGTTTCCTCTTGAGAAGTGTCCATTTAAAAAAATCAGAGCTGGGCATAGTGGCTCATGCCTGAAATCCCAGCACTTTCAGATGCCAAGGCAGGAGGATTGCTTGGGCCCAGGAGTTTGAGACCAGCCTGGACAACATAGTGAGACCCCGTCTCCACACACAAAAAAATTTTAAAATTAGCTGCCTGTGGTGTGCACCTGTAGTCCCAGCTACTCGGGAGGCTGAGGTGGGAGGATCACTTGAGCCCAGGAGGTTGAGGCTGCAGTGAATACAGTGCATGGAGCCACTGTACTCCAGCCTGGGTGACAAAGTGAGTCCCCCACCTCTACAAATAAAACAAACAAACAAAAAGTTTAAATCTGACCCAGAGGAAAAGATGGTCGGGATTCTTGGAACAGGAGTGAATCTGAACAGTGGCTACAGACATAATTAATATAATTATGATGACAGCTGACTGTCCCTGGGCACCCACTGAGTGGCCACAGCTCCTATCCACTCAACTCATCCTCGCCAAGGTCCCATGCCATGAGACCCCCCCTTAACACACAGGGAAACTGAGGCTCAGAGACCTAACGCCAGTCACGCAAGGGCCCCCAGTGGCCAGCAGTACACCTCATCACAAAAATTTCCTTTGACTAAACGCTTCGGGCATCCTCATCCCAGCTGGTTCATTGTTCCACCTCACGGAGGGGAAACTGAGGCCGGTTCAGCAATGTGTCCATGCCACGCAGCCAGGGCCCCTGGAATGCCGCCCAGCCACCTGGCAGGGCCTGCAGCACCGGAACCGCAGGGAGAGACTGGGGGTCACCTGCAGTTCCCAAACCCAACCGGGGACCCCAGCGCTGGCTTGCCCAGATACTCCCAACCAAGGGGCCAATAATCTCAACAACACAGGTAACAGTAACAGCCAAGTCTGACTAAGCGGCATCCGCCTCGGGGGTCTGATCCCGCCCAATCTGGGAGGGGCGCCGGGGTCCCGGGTCGCCAGCTGTGGGGGAGGCTTCCTCCCCGACCCAGGTCCGAGCTGGCCTTGGGAACGCCGGAGACAATTACGGATGGGTGAGGGCAACCGGGTTCTCGAGACTCGGGGCTCCCGAATGTTCCCACATCTGCAGGGTATGCGCGGTGGAGACCGGCAGGGGCTTCTCCAGAGCCACAACTTCCCCACCCCCAAACCCCCACCACTGGGGTCCGCCAGATCCTCCGGGGGCTGCCGACACTCACCCCCAGACGACAGTCCCGCCTCTGCCCCTCTACCTGCTCCTCTCAGCTCGCGAGCCGAAGAAAGAGTTTTTACCTGAGCCAGAGCTCCCGCCCCTCTCCCGCTTCCTCCCTCCCACCGGGCCTCACGCCTTCCTGCCTCCCTCCGCCTTGGCCGCTTGCCAGTCCCCCTCTTCCCAGCTCGGCTGAGTTTCCTGGTGGCCCAGGCGAAGTTCTCTGCCGGCTCCTCCCTCCCCGGCCATGCCTCTTCCCCTCTCCGGTCCCGGCTGCCACCTCTGCCATCCCGCTCTTGCCACCCTCGCCCCTCTCGGGGCTCACGACCCCACCTTGGGTCTGGCCCGCTGCTAGGGAATGAGCTCCCCGTGGCTGGAGATGAACAAGCAGCGCCTTGCGGGTTCCTGGCACAGAGCCCGGTCAGCGTTGGCCCACGTGTGTTCCGTGAAGAAATGATTGGATAAGCCCATGGCGATAAGGAGGGAGGGAGGCAGGTTAAACCTTGCGGCACCTCTGCTCTCTGCGGGGAGTTCAAAGATTCCTGAAGCTGGGGTCGGCGCAGTGGCTCACTCCTGTACTTCCAGAGGCCGAGGGGGGCGGATCGCTGGAACCCAGGAGTTTGAGACCAGCCTGGGCAACATAGTGAGATTCCATCTCTATATTGAAAATAATTCCAGGACCCGAAAACCTACGATGTGCCCCCAGACATCCAGATGCCACCTGCTGGCATTTGGAAGGGTTCTGGAAGTCAACAATCAGACAGATTTGTAGTCTTTTCTTTTTCTTTTTTTCTTGTTTTGAGAGACAGGATCTCGCTTTGTCACCCAGGCTAGAGTACAGTGGTGTGATCTCCGCTCGCTACAATGTCGACCTCCCCAGTTCAAGCAATCCTCCCACCTCAGCCTCCCGAGTAGCTGGGACTACAGGCACCCGCCAGCATGCCTGGCTAATTTTTGTCATTTTTCTAGATATGGGGTTTTGATATGTTGCCCAGGCTGGTCTTAACTGTGGGCCTCAAGTGACCTTCCTGCCTCAGATCCCCAAGGTGCTGGATTATAGATGTGAGCCACTGCACCTGGCCTCAGATTTGTAGATTTTTAGGGTTGGGTTGGCTAGGATTCGAACCCTGCCCTGTGCTGCCTCTGAATCTCTAGGAGATTCTAGCCTGGACCCAGCGTTGGGAGCTCTGGGGTTGGGGAAGTCCAGGTGTGTGAGCTGGGCTATGGTTTCAGGAAACCCCTCCTTCCTCCTTCATCCCTGTTTCTTCCCGAGGAGGAAGCCGAGGTGTATATGTGGCCTGTCTGTGCCTCAGTTTCCTCACCTGTAAAATGTAAGAAATAGCCCCTGGGTACTCTGGATGGGAGAGGTCTGGGGAGTGAACCCTCAGAGCAAATGCATGATTAAAACTGTATGGAGGGCAATTACCGGAAATGTCATAGTGTCAAATGTGGCACTACTGGCCTCGGTTCTGGATGCACACACTTTCTTACTGTGGTACATCCTTGGACTTTGATTCAGAGTCTATGCTCACCCTGTTGGGTCCCTGGGTTCACCAAGTCATGGCCCCAGGAAGGGATTTGTCGGCCGGGAAGGAGCCGGAACCAAAAGTCCCATCCTGGGCGGGCGGGGTGGCTCAACCCTATAATCTCAGCATTTTGGAAGGCCGAAGTGGGCAGATCATGCCGGTAATCCCAGCACCTTCCAAAGGCCAAAGTGAGGGGATCACCTGAGGTCAGGACTTTGCGATCAGCCTGGCCAACATGAAGAAACCCCGTCTCCACTAAAACATACAAAAATTAGCCAGGCATACTGGCGGGTGCCTGTAATCCCACCTACTCGGGAGGCTGAGGCAGGAGAATCACTCGAACCCAGGAGGTGGAGGTTGCAGTGAGCAGAGATCATGCCACGGCACTCCAGTCTGGGAGATAGAGTGAGACTCCATCTCAAAAAAAAAAAAACAAAAAACAAAAATATTAGCCAGGTGTGGTGGCGGGCGCCTGTAATCCCAGCTACTCAGGAGGCTGAGGCAGGAGAATCACTTGAACCTGGGAGGCAGAGGTTGCAGTGAGCCAAGATCGCACCACTGCACTCCAGCCTGGGCGACAGAGTGAGACTCCATCTCAAAAAAAAAAAAAAAAAAAAGTACCATCCTGTGACAGGGTCCCCGCCCATCCCCTCCTCCACCAGGTACTGGCCCTCCAGAATTCAGGCTGCTGGGAGGATGTGAGCTCTAGCCCCGCCCCACTCACCCAGGGAAACTGAACCCTCCCACCCTTTTCCCATGTGTAAGACATACAGATACCCTGAGCCCCCAGACCTTTTAAACCGGGTGCTTCCGGGGTTCACTGGACGCAATAGAGTGAATTCTGGTGCTGGAGGGCCCGGGTTCAAATCCGGACTAGAATGACCCTATGATCCCGCCATTGCCCTTGTAGGTATCTACCCAAAGGAGTTGAAAACAGGTGTTGAAACAAATGCTTGCATAGGGAAGTTCATAGCAGCATGATTCACAGTGTTCTTTTCAGCTGCTTGGGTGGTGATCACCCACCCAAGTGTCCAGTGGATGAATGGATAAACAACATGTGGTCCATCAGTGGAGTCTTGAGTTTTTTTTTTTTTTGTTTTTTTTTTTTTTTTTGAGACAGAGTCTCGCTCTGTCACCCAGGCTGGAGTGCAGTGGCAGGATCTTGGCTCACTGCAACCTCCACCTCCCAGGTTCAAGCAGCTCTCTTGTCTCAGCCTCCCGAGTAGCTGGGATTATAGGCACCTGCCACCACGCCCGGCTACTTTTTGTATTTTCAGTAGAGACGGGGGTTTCACCATGTTGCCCAGGCTGGTCTTGAACCCCTGACCTCAAGCAATCCACCCGCCTCAGCCTCCCAAAGTGCTGGGGTTACAGGTGTGAGCCACTGTGCCCTGCCTGGAGTCTTTTTCAGCCATCAGAAAGACTGAAGTCCTGGCCAGTAGCTCACGCCTGTAATCCCAGCACTTTGGGAGGCTGAGGCAGGCAGATCACTTGAGGTCAAGAGTTCGAGACCAGCCTGGCCAACATGGCAAAATCCCTCTCTACTAAAAATACAAAAATTAGTTGGGCATGGTGGCGCATGCTTGTAATCCCAGCTACTCGGGGAGCTGAGGCAGGAGAACTGCTCAAATCCAGGAAGCAGAGGTTGCAGTGAGCCCAGATCATGCCACTGCACTCCAGCCTGGATGACAGAGCGAGACTCTGTCTCAAAAAAAAAAAAAAAAGAGAGAGATTGAAGTCCTGATAAGAGATTGAAGTCCTGATCCCTGCTACAACAGGGATGAAATAAAAAACACGATGCTGAGTGAAAGAAGCCAGACACAAAAGGCCACATGTCGTATGATTCCATTTATGTGAAATGCCCAGAACAGGCAAATCCACAGAGACAGGAAGCTAATTAGTGGTTGCCAGGAGCTGTGGGAGGGGAAATGGGGCATGACTGCTGAAGGGGACAGGGTTTCCTTTCGGAGGGGATGAAAATGTGCACAAATTAGATAAAGGGTGTGGTTGCACATATTATGAATATACTGAAACTCACTGAATTGTTCATTTTAAAGTGGTTCATTTTTTGTTTTGTGAATTTCAGCTCAAAAGAAAATCCAATTAGGCCACTTATCAGCTGGGGGTGGCCTCTGACATGTGGCCCAGTTGATGGTGCTGTGCCAATGGATCACTCTGTACCACAGCTGAGGTTTTAAGGCCACCCGGGTGGAAGAGACCAGGGCATGTAAACTGCATAATGGCATCACGCCTGCCCGGGGTTGGCAGGTTTAACGGGTTCCGCGCCCTCTCTCTTGGAATTCACTCTTCTGAGATAGGTCACGTCACACCTGCTCTGGAAGGCTGGGCAGTTAGGAGGCCACACCTGGGAAAAGTGCCTTCTGCGCTTTTTTGTTTGCTTGTGTTTTTTTGTTTTTTTTGTTGTTGTTGTTGTTGTTTGTTTGAGACGGAGTCTTGCTCTGTCATCAAGGCTGGAGTGCAGCGGCGCCATCTGGGCTCACTGAAACCTCTGCCTGCCGGGTTCAAGCAATTCTCCTGCCTCAGCCTCCCGAGTAGCTGAGATTACAGGCACCTGCCACCACGCCCAGCTAATTTTTGTTTTCTTAGTAGAGATGGGGGTTTCACCATGTTGGCCAGGCTAGTCTCGAACTCCTGGCCTCAAGTGATCCACCGGCCTGGGCCTCCCAAAGTGCTGGGATTACAGGCGTGAGCCAATGCGCCCAGCCCTGTTTGTTTGGTTTCTTTTTTGAGATGGAGTCTCTGTCTCCCAGGCTGGAGTGCAGTGGCATGTTCTCAGCTCACTGCAACCTCCTCGTCCTGGGCTCCAGAGATTCTCCTGCCTCAACCTCCCGAATAGCTGGGATTACAGGCGCCCACCACCACGCCTGGCTTATTTTTGTATTTTTAGTAGAGATGGGGTTTTATCATGTTGGCCAGGCTGGTCTCGAATTCCTGACCTCAAGTGATCCACCTGCCTTGGCCTCCCAGAGTGCTGGAATTACAGGCATGAGTCACCATGCCCAGATGCCTTCTTCATTTTAAAAGGTGCCCAGCCTCATTTGTGTCCCCAGGAAGGCAAATAAAAGCTACTAGGAGGTGCCATGTACCCGCCACTTATCAGACAGGGAAGAACCCATGCCCAGATTAGGCTACATTATGAGGAGGTGGTGGCAAACAGATTTTGATTTTGTCACCTCTATAAAGCTCAGCTCTGATACCCAGGGCCCCATGGATGTCTGACACCCAGTGGCCCCATGGATGCCACTACTCTCTGACACCCAGAGCCACACCCACTGGGCAGGTGTGGTCTCTGAATTTACAGCCTAGGTGCTAAGACCTGCAAGGGAGAAGACATGAAGGGCTGGGAAGTCCCTGGGCTGTTTGTAGCCAGACAGGGCAGGTGCTGCAGCCACCTCTGCCCCCATTTGATGCCCCAACTCCTATAATCATCCTTCCTTCCTACAGCTGACGTTTTTGTTGTTTTTGTTTTGTTTTGTTTTGATACAGGGTCTCACTCTGTCACCCAGACTGGAGTGCAGTGGTACAATCTGGGCTCATCACAACCTCCGCCTCCCAGGCTCAAGCGAGTCTCCTGCCTCAGCCTCCCAAGTAGCAGGGATTACACGTGCACACTACTACCGCCTGGCTAATTTTTGTATTTTTAGTGGAGACGGGGTTTCACCATGTTGGCCAGGCTGGTCTTGAACTCCTGACCTCAAATGATCCACCTGCCTCGGCCTCCCAAAGTGCTGGGATTATAGGCATGAGCCACCCTACCTGGCCTATTTAAGAGACAGTATCTCACTCTGTGGCTGCCCAGAGCCTTGGAGAGCACCAGTGTGATCTTAGCTCACTGTAGCCTCAACCTCCTGGGTTCAATTGATCCTCCTGCCTCAGCCTCCCAAGTAGCTGGGACCATAGGCGTGTGCCACCATGCTGGGTCAATTTTCCTATTTTTGTAGAAACAGGGGGTCTTGCTATGTTGCCCAGGCTGGTCTTGAACTCCTGCTCTCAAGTGATCCTCCTGCCTCGGCCTCCCAAAGTGTTGGGATTACAGGCGTGAGCCACGGTGCCCGACTCTCAGCCAATGTTAATTATGCACTTGCTTTGTGCCAAGAATGCTCCCTGAACCTCTCCCAACTACAGGATTCCTCCCATCTTACAGACAAGGAAACTGACGCACAGCCAGAGGCACTCTCTCTTTGGAGGACAGGGTGGGATGATCAGAGACAGCGCACAGCAAGTCTCAGGCCAAATCCTGCCTCCTACTTCCTTCCTTCTGAGCTTCATCCAGTCTGGGCTTGCTCCCTGGGGTCTGTACAGCCTCAAGGTCAGGAACACGGGCCCTGGTTCCCTGAATATCCATCAGGACCCAAGACTGTCCACTGGGCTCAGACCTGCTCCCCACTGCAGTCTGCTGTTACTGCTTCTGTCCTGCCCTCCCCAGTGGGCCATTCTTGCACACCTGCACCAAGGTCCACCCTCCTCCTGGGGCTCCCAAAGCTGCCTGGTACTAGTGGGGGTTTTGCCCTGTAGTTGGCACTCTTCTAAGTGTGTGACCTCCCACAGATATCCAGTGAGGTGAGTTGCAGATGAGCTGAGGCTCAAGTCCCGTGCTTAAAGTCACACAGCCAGTGGCCGCCAAGCAGGCTCCTCACTCAGGCTTCCTATCTCCACTTCCTGGGTTCCAAGAACTTTGTCCTGCTCATAGCTCTCTCTCTGCTACATGGTATACAGTAGATACTCAATTAATATTTGTAGGTTGACTAATTGCTTCCTCATTGAACTAACAACCTTCCATCACTTTGCTTGGGATGCCCATTCCTATCTTGCAAACTCCTACTCATACCTCAAAACCTCATTTATAATGCCCCCTCCTTAGAAAGTCTTCCTGACTGCTTGGGAAGACTCCTGACACCCCTTTCTGGGCTTCTGTAGTCCTCCTCCCTCCCTATAGCCCACCTCTGAGCCCATGGGGCTGGGGTATCTGTGTTGTTCTTTCTCTCCCAGAATGGCCCTGTACCGGTTGAGCGCAGTGCAGGGAGGGAGGTACATTAGGTCTCTCGTATCCATCCACCTTCTCTTCCTCCCCTCTCTGGCAACGCAAAGGATACTTCCTGGAGCAGGAAAAGGTTTCCTTTTTTATTTTATTAGAAAATAAAGTGTTTATTCAAAGAACATTAAAAGGCCGGGACCTGTGTGGGGTTGGCATGAGGGGGAGGAGCGAATCTCGGGCTCAGCCAGGCTGGGCATGGGGCTCCTCTCCGTGGAGTATGGGCCTCAGGGAGGCTGGGGTGGGAGGCCCCAGGGTCCGGCAGGAGGGCAGGGGGTGGTCAGCCAGCACCAGGGCGCAGTGTAGAGCTGGGGCAGCAGCATTTGCGGGTTCAGCAGCTCACCAGGTACATCCCTGTGGGGGTGCAGCTGTGAGGGGGAGGGGTGGGGAGGAGGGGTACGGGAGGGGTTCCCCGGCTCTGACCCTGGGATGCTTCAATCATCCTTGTCCTCTTCAAAACACCCCTGTAACTCATAGTCCCTGTTGCCACTGGGCCCCAGGAGCCCCTTGTTGGGGGCAGGAGAACAGGGTGGGGCTGGAGGAGGGGGTGGCAGGGGGGACTTCGGGCTCCCTGGCTGGGGTCCTTCCAAGGACGTCCTCCAAGGGCCAGCCCCAGATACACAGGGCCCTGCCTCCTTGCCCACCTGTGCCCCCCATCTGGGGTCTCCTGGCCCCAACACCCACCTATCTTTCCCAAGGATCCCCACACCCCAATCCCTCCCCACACCCCGGGGCTTGCCCCTGTAAGATCTCGGCTCCTGAGGTCACCCAGCAGCAGGGTTGGGGAGTACCTGTGGCAAACCTCCTCTTCACCAGCGACATGCGGTAACCGCTGCCCACCAGTTCCAAGTCCACGCCCGACAGAGTGGTCCCCTCGCTGGTGAACTGTGCAGCCACGGGGCTGGGTGTGCTGGGCCCTGAGAGCGGCTCCCAGCTGGCAGAGAGGCGGCCAGAACCTGGGGAGACCTGCAGTCAGCTGCGCCCTGGCACCAGCCCCCGTCCCAGCTGTGAACCAGGCTCATCTTTGGCCCACACCTGAAGCCCTCTGTTCTGTGGCCTTTATGTGCCCCATCAGACCTCCCTTTGATCCCCTGCATCTGTCTCTCCTGGCATCACTGGGCTTTGTATGGCTAGCAAGGGAGTCCTGCCTCAGGGCCTTTGCACCTGCTGTGTCTGGCCATCTGGCCCTGGGACGCCCTCTCCTTCAGCTTTTTTTTTTTTTTTTTAGAGACAGGGTCTGGCTCTGTTGCCCAGGCTGGAGTATAGTGGTGCAATCATAGGTCACTGCAGCCTCTAACTCCTGGGCTCAAGTGATCCTCCCACCTGGGCCTCCCAAAGCACTGGGATTACAGACCTATGCCACTGTCCTTGGCCCTCCTCCAGCTTTTTTTTTTTTTTTTTTTTTTTTTTTTTTGAGACAGAGTCTCGCTCTGTCACCCTGGCTGGAGTGCAGTGGCACGATCTCGGCTCACTACAACCTTCACCTACTGGGTTCAAGCGATTCTCCTGCCTCAGCCTCCCAAGTAGCTGGGATCACAGGTGCGTGCCACCACACGCGGCTAATTTTTATATTTTTAGTAGAGACAGGGTTTCACCATGCTGGCCAGGTTGGTCTTGAACTCCTGACCTCAAGTGATCTACCCACCTCGGCCTCCCAAAGTGCTGGGATTACAGGCGTGAGCCACCACACCTGGCCTTTTTTGTTTGTTTGTTTGTTTTTGAGTCAGAGTCTGGCTCTATTGCCCAGGCTAGAGTGCAGTGGTACGATCACGGGTCACTGCAGCCTCCAACTGCTGGACTCAAGTGATCCTGCATTCTGGGCCTCCCAAAGCACTGGGATTACAGACCTATGCCACTCAGCCCGGCCCTCCTCCAGCTTTTAAAGACTTCCTCAATGCCCATACTTGCCCGCCCTCAGTATGTCCCCAATTCTTCCCCAACATAAATAAGTGCCTCCCACCTGACCCCAGTCCCTCCCACCCAGCCCTCATACACAACCACAGCTCACCGCCTGCCTCGGACACATCTGGAAGCCTCCAAGTGAGCCGCTTCTCCTCCAGGTTCCTGGCAGAGAAAGAATCTTAATCAGGGCTTCCCCAGAGAGGATGCTGAGAGCCCAGGGTCCTGCCTCAGCTGCCTCCTGGCTGTGTGACCCCAACAAACCTTCTCCCCCACTTCACCTCAATTTCCTCATCTGTGAAATGAGGGTGAGATATGGAACAGCCGTGGAGCCACACAGCCTTGCAACACTTCTGTGTGTGTGTGTGTGTGTGTGTTTGTTTTGTGTTTTTTTGTGTGTTTTTTTGAGATGGTGTCTCCCTCTGTCGCCCCGGCTGGTGTGCATTGGTGCGATCTCTGCTCACTGCAGCCTATGCCTCCTGGGTTCAAGCGATTCTCCTCCCTCAGCCTCCTGAGTAGCTGGGATTACAGGCGCCCGCCACCACGCCTGGCTAATTTTTGTAATTTAGTAGAGACGGGGTTTCACCATATTGGCCAGGCTGGTCTCAAACTGCTGACCTCAGGTGATCCACCTGCCTTGGCCTTCCAAAGTGTTGGGATTACAGGCATAAGCCACCATGCCCGGCTTCCTTGCAGCACTTTTAGATGACGCATTCTGTCCTATAAGTCTGGCTTCTTCACAACAGACTTTTTTTTTTTTAAATTTTTGTTTTTTAAGAGACAGTTGTCACCCAGGGTAACTCCTTGAAGCCTCAACTCCTGGGCTCAAGTGATCCTTCTGTCTCAGCCTCCCGAGTAGCTGGGACTACAAGAGCACACTACCACTACTATTTTTTTTTTTTTTTGAGACGGAGTCTCACTCTGTTGCCCAGGCTGGAGTGCAGTGGCATGATCTCAGCTCACTGCAACCTCCACCTCCCGGGTTCACGCCATTCTCCCACCTCAGCCTCCCAAGTAGCTGGGACTACAGGCACCCGCCACCATGCCCGGATTTTTTTTTTGTATTTTTAGTAGAGACGGGGTTTCACCATATTAACCAGGATGGTCTCGATCTCCTGACCTCGTGATCTGCCCATCTCGGCCTCCCAAAGTGCTGGGATTGCAGGTGTGAGCCACCGCACCCGGCCTGACTACTTTTTAAAATATTTTTTTGTAAGGCTGGGTGCAGTGGTTCATGCCTATAATCGCAGTCCTTTGGGAGGCCGAGGCGGGTGGATCACCTGAGGTCAGCAGTTCGAGACAAGCCTGACCAACATGGTGAAACCTCATGTCTACTAAAAAAACACAAAAATCAGCTGGGTGTGGTAGCAGGCACCTGTAATCCCAGCTATCCGGGAGGCTGAGGCAGAGAAAATCGCTTGAACCCGGGAGGCGGAGATTGCAGTGAGCTGAGATCGTGCCACTGCACTCCAACCTGCACGACAGAGCGAGACTTCATCTCAAAGTAAATAAATTAAATAAATAAATAAATAAACAAAATATTTTTTGTAGAGATGAGATCTCACCATATTGCCCAGGCTGGTCTCAAACTCCTGGCCTTAAGTGATCCTCCCACCTCAGCCTCCCAAAGCACTGCAATTACAGGCATGAGCCACTGCACCTGGCACTCATAACATCACCCTTAGTGCTAAGCAGGGTGGGCTCACAGTTAACGGTCAGGCCGAGGGTGCACCCTTTAATCAATGCATCAGGGAGAAGGTCTGGGGTTATGGGGGAAACTGCTGAGTTTTCCTTGGCCTCCCGCAAGCCCTCACCAGGTGGCAGCCGGCTGCAAGCGGACGTTGGTCACAGGCTCCCCCACAGGCAGCAGGATCTGGACGTTCGTGAGTGGTGTGGGCACAGCCGTGGCACCGGGCCGGTAGCCGTACTCCACTGAGACCTGGGTGAGGGTGGCTCCACACTGCCAGTGGGCACTGAGCTGCAGAGGCACAGACTGGGGACCCGGGCGGGAGAACTAGGAAGAATGAGAATGAGAGAGAGGACACAGCTTGGGCCATCCTGTCTTGCCACACCATGCGCTATTCAACCACCTTGACCCTGCGATGCACGCACCGCCCCAAGGGGGTCCAGTCACAGGGAGATTTGATGGATGAGAGGCTGTATTACACCAGGTTTCCAGCAGGGGGCAGGAGAGCGCCTCATTCTAACAAAGTCTCCCAGGGAAGTTCAAGTGTAAGGTTCCGGGGCTGGGCTGCTTCTAGTTCACATAAACATACTATCTGCAACAGGGGATGCACGCTCTTCCACACTGCCTACTCCTCCACCGTTCATTCCCGACCCACACTGCCTACTCCCTCCAGCTCATCGGCTCTCACAGATTGGATCTCTTGAGGTCAGGAATTCGAGACCAGCCTGGCCAACACGCAGGCGCCTCCATGTCTGCTGCCGGCTCACCGTGTCCCCCACTCCACCACCTCCTCCCGGCCCCATGCGGGTGGCGCACCTGGTATCGCAGCAGCACCACGTTGTAGTAGGAGGCAGTGGGGTTCTGCTCTGCCTGGCGCTGCAGGGCTTCGGTCAGAGCTGCCATGTTGAGCCAGAAGTCTTTGGTCTCAGGGTCACTCTGGGAGGGGTCACTGCAGAGACCCGGACTGATCACCCCAATCCTCGGGACATGCCCTCCCAGGGCTCCCAGCATTCAATCTACCCCTTCCTAAAGATGCAATTTCCTGGCCCACCCTGGGCCCAGCAAAGCCCTACCTGGGTGGTTGTGGTGCGGGCAGTAAAGGAGGGATGGAAAACAAGGGTCAGAGAGGGCAAGTTACTTGCCCCACGCCACACAGCAAATCCCAGGAGGTGGCTGGGTGTGGTGGCTCATGCTTGTAATCCCAGCACTTTGGGAGGCTGAGACGGGTGGATCACCTGAGGTCAGGAGTTTAAGACCAGCTTGACCAACATGGTGCAACCCCATCTCTACTAAAAATACAAAAATCAGCCAGGCATGGTGGCACATGCCTGTAATCCCAGCTACTCAGGTGGCTGAGGCAAGAGAATCACTTGAATCCGGAAGGCGGAGCTTGCAGTGAGCCGAGATCACGCCACTGCACTCCAGCCTGGGCAACAAGAGCAAAACTCCATCTCAAAAAAATAATAATTAAAAAAAAAAAATCAAGCCGGGTGTGGTAGCTCACGCCTGTAATCCTAGCACTTTGGGAGGCCAAGGCGGGCGGATTGCCTGAGCTCAGGAGTTTGAGACCAGCCTGGGCAACATGATGAAACCCTGTCTCTACTAAAATACGAAAGAAATTAGCTGGGTGTAGTGGCACGTGCCTGTAATCCCAGCTACTTGGGAGGCTGAGGCAGGAGAATTGCTTGAACCCGGGAGGCGGAGTTGCAGTGAGCCGAGATGACGCCATTGCACTCCAGCCTGGGCGACAGAGCAAGACTCCGTCTCTACAAAAAAAAAAGAAAAGAAAAAATCCCAGGAAGCAGAGAGGGAACTCAGAGTCCGGAAGCCTGATCCCCAGCAGCCTCCGAGGCCCTCTCCCACTGCCCCTCCATAGTACCTGAACAGCAGATCGGCGTTGGGCTGGAAGTGCTCAATAGCGGTTGTGTGTACAAGCCGGAAGCTGAGGACAGGTGGTGGTGGGGTCCCGCTGAACACACGCACGATGCCAGCAGGGAAGGTCATGGTCAGCTCCCCAGTTACTCGAGCCAGGCAGCTAGGGAGGATGAGGGGACTGGGTGTTGGCTTAGGGCTCTGCCTGGTGCCTCATCCTTCCCCTTCTCTTGGTTTCACTGGTGCCTGTGGCTCCCCAGACTCCTCGGATCTAGGAGGATGGCCCTGATGATCCCCCGTATCCTTTCCCCCAACCTCCTCTTTCATTCCTGCCTGGACAGGAAGAATCCACCCTGGGCTGAAGGAGGCAGGAACATCTCCATCCCTAGTTCTCTTTTCTCCTAGGCCACCAGGAAGCTCAAATTAAAATGTTCAGTTTTTTAGCTATCCTTTGCTTGGGTTTTTGATCTGACACTCTCCTCTTCTTCATGGTTTGACTTTCAGATCTTTTCTGCTGAAGGCCACCCCAATATATATCCCTGCACTCCGCTTGTCCCTAACCCACGCCCTTACCCACTTACTGGGCCTAACTTCTAGTATTACTCCCTTCATCTTAATGCCCACGGCAGCCTTGGCGTCTACAGCAATGCATAGCCCTGCTTAAATGCTCTCCTATGGCTGGGCACAGTGGCTCATGTCTATCCTCCCAGCACCTTGGGAGGCTGAGGCAGCTGGATTACTTGAGGCCAGGAGTTCGAGACCAGCCTGGCCAACATGGTGAAACCCTGTCTCTACTAAAGACACAAAATCAGCAGGGTGTGGTGGCATGTGCCTGTAATCCCAGAATTACTCGGGAGGCTGAGGCAGGAGAATCTCTTGAACCCAGGAGGCAGAGGTGGCAGTGAACTGAGATCACGCCACTACACTCCAGCCTGGGCAACAGAGTGAGACCCTGTCTCAAAACAAACAAACAAACAAATAAACAAACAAAAAGCACAATAATTTAGTCGGGTGCAGTGGCACGCATCTGTAGTTCCAGCTACTCGGGAGGCTGAGACAGGAGAATTGCTTGAACCCGGGAGGCAGAGGTTGCAGTGAGCTGAGATTGCGAGATTGCACCACTGCACACTCCAGCCTGGGCAGCAAGAGCGAAACTCTGTCTCAAAAAAAAAAAAAAAAAAAAAAAAAAAAAGGCCCTCCTATGGCTCCACTGCCCTCAGGACAGGGGCCTGGTCACTTGGCTCAGTGTTCAAGGCCCTTTCACTATAAGACAGACCATGAAGCACATCTGAAAGCTGTCCCTGCTGGACTCCCCCAACACAGACTTCCCACGGGCCCTGTCTGCCCATCACTGGGTACCTGGGGCTGTGGCCACGGAAGTAGGCGTGGACATACTCTGTGAAGGCTGTGGCTATGGGCAGGGCATCCTGGGAGCCCAGGACCACAGGGCTCGGACCCCGGGAGACTCCTGGGGGTGGTGGAGAGGGAATGGGGAACAACGGATAGACAGTGTGAATATAGGCTCCAGGCTCGAGACTCCCTCCGCCCAACCACACCTCTGCCAACAGAGAAGCCACCCACCCAGACCAGAGAAGGTGACACTGAGGCCCAAAGCCAGGCCCAGGACCGCCCTCACATACCGTGTCCTGTCTGGGATAAGAAGCTGGGCCGTTCCAAGGCAGTGCTGGCGGCTGAAGAGCCCAGTGGGGAGGGGCTCAGGGAACGAGACTGGAAGGGAAAGAGACAATCTTGGCTGTGAGTGCCCCAGGACCAGTGCCCAAAAGCGGACCCCAGACGCGACCCCCAGTCCAGCTCCTGCCACGCCCCCTCACCTACCAGGTCCCCATTGCTACGTGTGAGAGGGCAGGACACCTTCCTAGAGCGAAGTCTCCTGGGTGGGGCTGCCAGGCCCTCCCTGGCTGTGGGGTCAGCAGGTGCAGGCATCAGGTCTAGGAGCGAGTACAAAGAGGCACTGCTGAGATGCTGCCCGGGGCCTCTGGGGCCTCCCCAGGGGCACAAACTCAGCCAAAATCTTAGGAGGTGGGCTTTTCTGCAGAGACCCCCAATGGGTCTGAAGTCCTGGTGTTGCAGAAAAGGTGCCAGACAGGACTGCAGATACTGTCCACACCCCCAACCCTCCCAGACACCAGAATGGTGGCCCAATAAGGGGTGAGCTCCCCATCACTGGGGGTATGCAAGCAAGCACTGAAGGCTTAAGACGCAGGCATGCTGTAAGGGGGGTTCAGCAGAGGATTTTTAGCCAACATTCAGCCATTTTGTGACCTCTACCCTTTCCGAGAACCTGACTGCAGCCACCTACTGTGGTCTGTGTCTGAGTCTCATGCCTTTAACACCCAAGCTCCCCTCCCTCTCCTGCTTCCTCAGGGTCCTGGTTCTGTTCCATCTATGAACGTGCTCCCTTGCTTGCCAACCTCCCCTCCCACCTACCTCCCCTCTCACCTGTACCCCAAGCTGTGCTCCCCGCTCTACCCGACTTTCTCAGCCTCAGCACTGTGGATATTTGGGGGCTGGACCATTCTCGGGGGCGGGGGCTGCCCTGTGCACTGTAGGGTGCTGAGCAGCAACCCAGGCCTCCACCCACTGAATGCCAGGAGCACCACTCCTGCCTGGTGGTGACAACCAAAAATGTCTCCAGACACTGACAATGTCCCCTGGGGGGGCAGAATTTGCAGGGTTGGATAAGAGCCTCTACTCAGGCCGGGTGCGGTGGCTCACGCCTGTAATCTCAACACTTTGGGAGGCCGAGGCAGGCAGATCACCTGAGGTCAGGAGTTCGAGACCAGCCTGTCCAACATGGTGAAACCCCATCTCTACTAAAAATACAAAAATTAGCCACGTGTGGCGGTACGCACCTGTAGTCCCAGCTACTTGGGAGGCTGAGGCAGAAAACTGTTTGAACCTGGGAGGCAGAGGTTGCAGTGAGCCAAGATCACACCACTGCACTCCAGCCCGGGCAACAAGAGCAAAACTCCCTCTCAAAAAAAAAAAAAAAAAAAAGAGCTTCTTCTGCCCCCACTCTGTGGTCTCCACCCACTCAGCTCTCCCTTGAACGGGCTCCAGCCTGGCCCTTTCCTATGGAGGGTGCCAGGAGCCCTTGTTGACACTACTGGGGACCTCGGGTGGTCACAGCCCACAGTCCCTCTGACTCGGGGGCTTCCCATTCTCCTCAGACAGCCCCCAGGAGCCCATCCCGCCGCTCTCCCCCCATCTCCTGCTGTCCTCCTGTCTCCAACCCCTCTGGGCTCCCCGGCTGTCCTCTCCTCTGCTCTCCCTGGGCGGCTGCTCCTCCTGTTTTGATGACGTCTTCAAGGAGGGGGTGCTCTGACCTGACCTTCCCCACACTCAGGGTCCACTGTGCACCTGACACCTAAAGGCACAGCCTCGACGTCCCCCACCCCTCCCTGACTCCACCCCTTCCCCATCCTCCTCCCTCCCTTGTCTCCGCCCCTTCCCCATCCTCCTCCCTCCCTTGACTGTCCCTTCCCCATCCTCCTCCCTCCCTTGACTCCGCCCCTTCCCCATCCTCCTCCCTCCCTTGACTCCGCTCCTTCCCCATCCTCCTCCTTCCCTTGACTCCGCTCCTTCCCCATCCTCCTCCCTCCCTTGACTCCGCTCCTTCCCCATCCTTACTCCTCCGAACTCTCCCCTGCAGCGACCTTTCCACCTGCTTCTCCCACTGCCACCCTTACCCCCATCGCCTACTTGCCTCCCTGGTTGCCTCCCCAGTCTCTGGTTTCTGCCCTCACTCCCGAAGCTGCCAGAGGGAGCCTGTGACCCCTGAGTCAGGTCCCGCCCCTCCCCTGCTCATGGCCCTCAGCGTTACTCAGGGTAACATTCACAAGCCCTCCCTGGGCCCATCAGGCCCTTCCTGGTCCCTGCCTTCTCTTCTTCCTCCTTCCGTGATCACCCCGTTCCAGCAGGCAGACCTCCTTGCTGTTCTTCAGACAGGCCTAGCGCGCTCCTGCCCCAGGACCTTTGCAGGGGCTGTGCCCTCTGCCCAGCACGCCTTTCCCCTCATGTCCACGTGGTTCTGTCCTCACCTCCCTCAAATCTCAGCTCAGATGTCCCTTCCTCAGGGAGGGCCCCCACCTGGCACCCGCTACCGCCTGCCTTGCTAAATGTCCATCTCATTGTTGTCCCTGCAACGGTGGGAGGTTCTGCCTGCCTGGTCCTGGCTGTGTCTCCAGCAGCCTGATCAGGCCCTGCCCAAAGCAGGCGCTCAATCCCCCGCCCAGGGTTCCAGCAACTCTCAGGCCCAGGCCCGCTGGACTCACCTCCTCCGGCCAAGGCCTCCAGCCCCCAGGGGCCTGGAGACGAGGCGAGGGGCTGCGGCGAGTCTGGCAGAGGCGGTGCCCGGATACCCCTGGCCTCTGGGGGTGGCGCCCTACAGCTGGGCGGGCTCTGCGGGGTGCCTGGGCGGGGGACCCAGGAATCTGGGGAGGGGCCAGGTGCCGCGTGGGACGGAGAGTCCAGGCCGGAATCCTCCACGTTTTCGGGCGACGAGGAGGAGAAAGGGGAGGGGCTGGAGGTGAAGCCCAGGCTGCTAGAGCCTTGGGGAGGGAAGCGGGCGGTCAGCTCCGACCCTCGCCCACTCAGAGTCCCTGCCCATCCTCCTGCAGGCCACGGCCACGTCGAGGGAAGGTCAGGGGGGCCCCCATTCAAAGTCCTTGTGCACGCCCCCAAGGCTACACCTTCTGGTGACTTCCCTCTCCACAAATGTCCGGCCCATCCACTCAGTCACCGCCCACTGGCCAAGGCCCCACCCTATCTATGGCCCCTCCCACGCGCACTCTGGCCCCGCCCACCCCTACACGGACTAGTCCTCCCTCCAGCCTGGCTTCCAGGGGACCTCATTGGCCTAACTCTGCAATGGCCCCACCCAACCTCCCTCCGGCCACACCCATGCCCTCCAATCCCTTATCCCCATCACCTGTAAAATCTTCGTGGTCAAAGGCTGACTCCAGGGGCGGCCCAAAGAGGTTCTTGGACACCTGCTCCTCTGACTGCAATCTCTCTGCACAGCTAGAGAGGGTGAGGCCAAGAGGGCTGCTTCTATTTTTCCCAAGCCTCATCCCACCCTGGGGCCTTTGCACATGCTGTTCCCAGTCTTTTTTTTTTTTGAGACGGAGTCTTGCTCTGTCGGCCAGGCTGCAGTGCAGTGGCACGATCTCAGCTTGCTGCAACCTCCGCTTCCTGCGTTCAAGCGATTCTCCTGCCTCAGCCTCCAGAGTAGCTGGGATTACAGGCACCTGCCACCATGCCCGGCTAATTTTTGTATTTTTAGCAGAGACGGGGTTTTACCATGCTGGCCAGCCTGATCCCAAACTCCTGACCTCAAGTGATCTGGCTGCTTTGGCCAGTGCTGGGATTGCAGGTGTGAGCCACTGTGTGCAGCCTGTTCCCAGTCTGGAGTTCCATTTCCCCAGCTCTCTTCACAGTCACCTCCTAGCTCCTCTTTGGGGCTTAGCTCCAAGTCACCCCCTCAGGGAGGTTCCCAACCCCACCTCAAGGGAAGTCACCTCCTCCTGTCTTCGCGTCATCTGCTTTAGTTTCTTCGTAGCACTTAGAAGTATCGAATATGCTCTAACTTATTTGCTTTTTTTTTTTTTTTTTTTTTTTTTTTGAGACGGAGTTTCCTCTTGCTGCCCAGGCTGGAATGCAATGGCACAACAGTGGCTTACTGCAAGCTCCGCCTCCCAGGTTCAAGCGATTCTCCTGCCTCACCCTCTCGAATAGCTGGGATTACAGGCATGTGCCACCATGCCTGGCTAATGCTGTATTTTTAGTAGAGATGGGGTTTCTTTATGTTGGTCAGGCTGGTCTCGAACTCTCGACCTCAGGTGATCCGCCTGCCTTGGCCTCCCAAAGTGCTGGAATTACAGGCGTGAGCCGCCACGCCTGGCCCTATTTGCTATTCTTAAAATCTGGAGTCACTAGAATGTGACTCTGAGAAGGGAGACCTGTCTCAGAACCCAGACCCTAGAACAGCACAGGTACACAGCAGGCACTCAATAAATGTTCATCAAATGAATGACTAAATGGTCCCTCAAAAGCCAGCATGGGCCAGGCACAAGGGCTCATGCCTGTAATCCCAGCACTTTGGCAAGCCGAGGTGGGCAGATCACTTGAGGTCAGGAGTTCGAGACCAGCCGGGCCAACATGGTGAAACCCTGTCTCTACTAAAAATACAAAAGTTAGCTGGGCGTGGTGGTGGGTGCCTGTAATCTCAGCTACTTAGGAGGCTGAGGCATGAAAATCGCTTGAACTCAGGAGGTGGAGGTTGCAGTGAGCTGAAATCGCACTCCAGCCTGGGTGACAGAGTGAGACTCTGTCTCAAAACAAAAACAAAAACAAAAAAACCCCAGCATGACGTCAACTCCCAGCCGGGACAAGAGAACACCAGGCGGAGACATGGGGAGGTGGAGGGAGGAGGTGGGGACAGCCCCCACCTGCCCACTCGTGTGGAACCCACCTGCTGGTTCTGGGGGCAGACCGAGGTCTCTGGGGTTTCCCAGCAGCGTCCCCTACAAGAGATGCACCTCCTTCAGCCTTCTTGTCACCCTGCCTGCAATGCTCCCCACTCCACAGACCAAGGGACCGAGGCTCGGGGGTGTCCAGCCAGTTGCCCAAGGTGATCAGCAAATCAGGCAGACATGGATTCAAGCCTAAGCGAGCCTGTCTCCAGATGCTAGCTTCTCCTGGCCCCAGCTACCCCTTTCAGCTCTCACTTAATTTCATAATGACCTCATTTTACAGAAAAGGAGACTGAAGGTCAGTGTGGTTAAGCAGCCTGCCCAAAGTTACAAAACGGAGTTATGATTCAAGCCCAAACCCATAGCCTCCCTTCCTTAGGATCCTCCCCACTCTGAAGACCAAAGGCTACTCACGTGAAGAATGGCGTTTCATGGTGCCCTGTGGACAAAGTGGGCAACATCACACACGAATGCATCCAGCCAGCCTCTCTAGCAACACCCAGGGCACCCCTCCCACGCCTCACCCCTGGGCCAGGAGGAAGGATGAGGCTGCCCGCGGTGGCCCTGAGCTGTGCCGCTGCTGCCTCGGGGCTGCAGGCTGGAGCCCGGGCCGGGGCAGGCTTGATGTGCACATAGAACTTGCGGGGCTCTTCATCGTCGAAGTCGGAGTCGCTGGACGAGAAACGGGAGGGCTCGGCCGTGCGTGGGCTGCAGTCAAGGTCCAAGCCAATCCCAACACAAGCTTTCCCCCAGTCAGCTCTCCAATCCAGCCTCGTCCCTCCCTGCTCAAACCCTTCGAGGTCCTGCCCAATCCCATCGCTCACCACGCGCCACCTTCAGTCCTGACACCATGTCCCACCAGCACTCCCACCCCCCCCGAGAAGCCTTTGCACAAGCATGCCCAGAACTAACTGGCAAACTCCTATTCGGCTGCAAAACCCCAACACTGGTGCCCCCTCCTCCAGGAAGCCCTGCTAGATCTCCTTTTCTCTCTCCCTCTTGCCCAGTGCTGACCCCATAGAGTGGGTGTTTACATTTAGGTTGGCTTCATCCACAAAGGAGACTCTCTCCAGGATGTACACAGAGAGGACTGCTGAAGGTGGACTGGTTATTACGGAGAATTTTGTCCTTGCTGTGCCAACAACTGCCCCCAGGGGGTGCCAGAAGGATATTGTTCTGGGTCACATCAGGCCGGACAGTGAAACCTTCTTCATCCACCTCTGGACATGTCTAGGGGAGTCAGGGGGCAGCAGTGAGTCAGGCGCCCCACTATCGAACCTTCCATCTCACCCTGCCAACCGCCCCCCGCCCTGCCCCCAGGCCTTGACTCAGACCTCAAAACCAACCCTGATGGCAACGACTGTCTTCCCTGGGTGTGTGGGCAGGTTCCTGGGACAAACTGAGCTTCGGCAGGGACATTATTCACACCCACGTAGTCCATGGGACTTTGCAGCTGAGGTGGGATATGAACCCAGCCCCCAGGCTCCAGCCCGCCCCTCAATCTCGGCTCTTTAGTTTCCAGTAGGGATCGGGACTCTAGGAGCCAAGAGTGGGATCAAACTCCTTCCACTTGTAGCCCAGCCTGACCCCTCCCACATCACTCACCCCTGAATCGGGCTCCAGGAAATCTCTGGGGATGGAGGAAGAGATGTTGGTGTCAGCTTCCGCAGCCCATCTGGTGCCCCCTGTCAGCCCCCAACACTGGACATGGAAGCTGGGGCAGCTCCCAGACTGTGATACTGCCCTGAGCTAGCCCTAGAGGCGGTGGGACCATGGGGCTTGCTTGGGGAGGGGGTTGAATCTGAAGTTAGCTGAGTAGAGAGTGTTCTCAAACAGCCTGGGAGGGAAGGAATCCTGGAACTCATTTGAAGGGCTGCCTTGTGAAGATAGGGAAAGTCGGGGCTAGCCTTGGCAAACAGAACAATCCTGGGCCAGCTTGGGCAGGGAAGATGCTACGTTACTCTGGGACAGGCAATTCCTGGCCTAACCTAGCAAAAGGAAGAATTCTGGACTAGCTTGGGCAGCGGTAATATTGAGCTAGCCGGGGGCAGAGGTACTCCTGGTCTAGCTCAGGTAGAGGGAATCCTGGTCCAGCCTGGAATATGGATACTCCTGGGCTATCCTAGGAGGGGACTTCTGGGATAGCCTGGGCAGGGGAGGGGATCTCGGTCTAGCCTGGGCCAGACCGGGCAGGGGTGCTTCCTCACACAGCTGCAGGTGGCTCTGGCTCCCGCTCCCGCCGGCTTAGTCCTGGAAGGCGAAAGGCCTTGGCTCCCCGCAAACGTTTCATCGCTGAGGATAGATTGGGGGGCACCTGAGCACTGTGAGCCTCCTTTCACATTCAGATCAGCCTCCCTCACCCCCATGGTCCAGCCTGGGCATCCAGGCCCAGACGTACTTGCCTTCCTGCAGGGCAGCCGCACTGTATGCCTCGAAGTCCAGAGGTCCTGAGACAGGAGACGGAAACTCAATTGAGGGGCTGGGCACGGTGGCCCATGCCTGTAATCCCAGCACTTTGGGAGGCTAAGGCGGGCGGATCACCTGAGGTCAGGAGTTCAAGACCAGCCTGGCCACCATGGTGAAACCCTGTCTCTGCTAAAATTACAAAAAAGCCGGACATGGTGGCAGGCGCCTGTAATCCCAGCTACTGGGGAGGCTGAGGCAGGAGAATCGCTTGAACCCAGGAGGCGGAGGTTGCAGTGAGCCGAGACTGCACCACTGCACTCCAGCCTGGGTGACAGAGCAAGACTCTGCCTCAAAAAAATTAAAAAAAAAAAAAAAAGAGAGAGAGAGAGAGAAAGAAACTAAATTGAGGGTGGGGAGACTGCGCTTGGAAAGGGTAGTACACTTTTGGCCACAAAATGGCACCTGGATCTGAACTCAAGGTCCATCAGGTTCCCGGACAAGAACCAGCCCCACATCATCAGAAGTGGGATGGACCAAGGGGCTGGTCTGGTTCCAGCAGGGCAGTGCCACCGCAGGGGGTGACATGAGCTACTTCTACATACTTCCAGCATTTGTGGCTGGAACTTGGGTTGGGTCGGGGAATGGACCATGCGTCTGTGCAGTGGGCTGGGCTTTGAGTGACAGGATAAGGAGTGGGAACTCTCTCCCAAGAACAATGGGGAGCCATGGAAGGTGTGTGAGCAGGAGGAGGACAAAACAGATCTGGGGCCTGTGAAGGGCAAGAGTGGGGCCCCATGCAGGGAGGGGAGACCTGAGCCAGGCCTGAGCCAGAGCGACAGGAGGGAGAAAGAACAGGTTTTGCTAGTTAACAAGACTTGAGGACGTAACTGTATACCAGCATTTAGTGAGTGCCTACTGTGTGCCTGGCACACCCTTTGCCCTTTACCTGCATGAAATCACTGAATGTTGCAACATTATTACATCCTCACTTTACAGATGAGGAAACTGAGGCTCAGAGAAGTCAAAGCACAGGTCCTAGGTCACACAGCAAGCGATGAAGAAAAGACTCAAACCCACGTCTCACTCTAAAACTTTTGCTCTTAACTCCTTCCCAGTCCTGCATCTGCGCATTCCCAAATTGTTCTTTTGCTCAACAACCCTCAATGGCTCCCTTAGGCCCTGGGGGTGAAGTCTGATCAGCCAAGCCTGGCATTCAAGGCTCCTCTGGGATCTGGTTCAAAGACATTTACACATAAGATCAGGCTGGAGAGCTGGACTTGTCAGCAGCCCATTTTTCCCATGAAGAAACCAAGGCCTGGCCATGTGCAGTGGCTCACGCCTGTAATCCCAGCACTTTGGGAGGCCGAGGCAGGCAGATCACCTGAGGTCAAGAGTTCGAGACCAGCCTGGCCAACATGGTGAAACCTCGTCTCTATTAAAAATAAAAAAATAAAAAAAAAATTAGCTGGGCATGGTGGCACATGCCTGTCTGCAGCTGTGGCCCCGAAGCCCGACCCCCAATGGCTGCCCTGACTCACCAGGCTTCTCCCGGCCTGTGCCCTTACTCTCTGCAAACTTCCTGAGTAGCATCTCCACGCTGACGTTCTCGATGTTCTGCTTAAATTCCTCATGCACCTGTGCCGGGTGGGCGGGGTGTGTAACTGGTCAAGGCCCCTTTGCCCAGCAGTGACCCCAGCCTCATTCCTCACACCTGCCCAACTCACCTGCCCAATCTGCACGTGCGTGTCCTCCACCGAGTGAGCATATGAGCCCAGCAGTGCCTTCATGTGCCTCAGGTGTGTCTCCTCCATGGCTTGGAAGCGCTGAAGCAGGAGGGCAGAGGCAGGTGGAAAGGAGGTCAGGGCCAAGAAGAAGTGGCCATATGACTCAGCCTGACCAATCAGAATACCCTAAGCCCTTGGCTCAGTGATTGATTTGGGGAAGGGCCAATGAGAGTCTGCCCTAGGACTTTCATTGACTCTACAGGAAAAGGCACTTCCATTCCTGAGCCAATGTGCTGATGGGATGTAAGTGGGGGTTGCTGGTGCCCAGTTTGATGCACACATGTGCATGCTTGCACACACATGCACACACACACACACACAAGGGGATGTCTGTGTGGGAGTGATGTCCCCAGAGAGAAAAACAGACTTAAGAAGCAGAAATAGTGGTCAGCTGTGGTGTATCATGCCTGTAATCCCAGCACTTTGGGAGGCCAAGGCAGGTGGATCATCTGAGGTCAGGAATTCAAGACCAGTCTGGGCAACATGGTGAAACCGTTTCTACTAAAAATACAAAAATTAGCTGGGTGTGGTGGCACGTGCCTGTAATCCCAACTACTAGGGAGGCTGAGGCAGGAGAATCACTTGAGCCCAGGAGGCGGAGGTTGCAGTGAGCTGAGATCACGCCACTGCACTCCAGCCTGAGTGACAGAGAGATCCCATCTCAAAAAAATAAAAGAAGCAGAAATTCACAATTTCCTGCCAGCACTATTTGAGCACATGGATTCAGCTATGACTGAAACCTCCACAACTCAAAAATAAAACTTTACAGTTCCCTGAGCTTGTCAGTTTTTTTAAATTTTATTTTTTATTTTATTTTTTATTTTTTTGAGACAGAGTCTCGCTCTGTCGCCCAGGCTGGAGTGCAGTGGCGCAATCTCGGCTCACTGCAAGCTCCGCCTCCTGGGTTCTCGCCATTCTCCGGCCTCAGCCTCCTGAGCAGCTGGGACTACAGGCACCCACCACCACGCCCGGCTAATTTTTTTGTATTTTTAGTAGAGAGGGGGTTTCACCGTGTTAGCCAGGATAGTCTCGATCTCCTGACCTCGTGATCCACCTGCCTCGGCCTCCCAAAGTGCTGGGATTACAGGCATGAGCCACCGCGCCCAGCCTTTTTCTTTTCTTTTCTTTTTTTTTTTTATATACACCTGTCGGTTTGAATGAAGGCTTCTATCACTTGTAACTTGAAAAAAGTTCTGATTCCTAATCCTCAGATTCCAATCTGCTTGAATTTATTTTATTTTTTCGAGACAGGGTTCCACTCTATCACCTAACCTGGAGTACAATGGCTCGATCTTGGCTCACTGCAACCTCCGCCTTCTGGTTCAAGTGATTCTCCCGCCTCAGCCTCCTGAGTAGCTGGGATTACAGGCACCTGCCACTACGCCCGGCTAATTTTGTATTTTTAGTAGAGACAGGCTTTCGCCATGTTGGCCAGGCTGGTCTCAAACTCCTGACCTCAGGTGATCCTCCCGCCTCGGCCTCCCAAAGTGCTGGGATTACAGGTGTGAGCCACCACACCCTGCCTGGGATTTCTGCAGTCCATAACCTCCAGGGCAAAGGCATGTGTGGGTCTTAAAGGTACAGATGCCTGGTTCTTACCAGGGCTGAGTCCAGCATCTTCTGCTCAAAGTCAGCTCGGGCTGAGTTGTATTTTTCCACTGAGCGCCGCAGGCTCTCTGCCGCCTTCTTGGTTTTAGTCTCCGCCTACAAAGCACAGGGAGGAAACGGGGATGGGAGGGCGATACTCAGGGGGCCTCCCCCAGGCCCCATCACCTGGCAGGTGAACTCCTCGGGGTACCCAGGGTGTGATCACCCACAGGTTCCAGGACCGTCGCTCTGGGATGTGTTTCCACTCTCTGATCAGGCAGCCCCTCCGCCCCGCGGCAAATTCCTCAGAACCCCCCCACTGTGAGCCCACCTTGTCCATCTCCTTCTGGCTGGTACTCTCCCTCCGCAGCCGCTCCTGGTCCATGCAACGGTTCAGGTAGTTCTCGCGGGACTTGGGCAGGAGCTGGCTGACGCCCGAGAGTACCTGCACAGCATCCAAGGTGCTCACCACTTCCTCCTTGCACTGCGGGGTAGGAGGGGATTTCATGGGTAGACTGTGAAATTCCTGACCTCCCAAACACTCCACGTGATGTCAGCTCCACAGTCTTTTTCTATGTGTGTGTGTGTGTTTTGGTTTGGTTTTTTTTAGACAGAGTTTCGCTCTTGTTGTCCAGGCTGGAGTGCAGTGGCACGATCTCGACTCACTGCAATCTCTGCCTCCCGGTTTCAAGCAATTCTCCTGCCTCAGCCTCCCAAGTAGCTGAGATTACAGGTGCTCACCATCACACCCAGATAATTTTTTGTATTTTTAGTGGAGACGGGGTTTCACCATGTTGGCCAGGCTGGTCTCTAACTCCTGACCTCAGGTGATCTGCCCACCTTGGCCTCCCAAAGTGCTGGCATTACAGGTGTGAGCCACCACGCCCGGCCTCTGTGTGTGTGTTTTAATAGCAATGGGGTCTTGCTATGTTGCCCAGGCTGGTCTCAAACTCCTACACTCAAGCAATCCACCTGCCTCAGCCTCCCAAAGTGTTGGGATTACAGGTGTGAGCCACTACGCCCGGCCTGTACGTTTTTCATTTCAAAACATTTTTAACTTTAAAAAAAAGTACTATTTACACATGGTTCATATTTCAGAAAGTTGTAAGAGGTAAGCCAGGAAAAAGCCTCCCATATATGGGCCCTCCAGCCTAGAAGTCCCCAATTATTACTGTGATACTTCTCTAGAAATAATCCGCATATGGATAAAGATGCTTGTTCTAACCCAAGTTTTATGACAAACAGTGGCAGACTGTGTTGCTTAACTCACCGTTTTGTGTGTGTGTGTGTGTGTGTGTGTGTGTGTGTGTGTGTGTGTGTGTGTGTGTTTGAGACGAAGTCTCGCTGTGTCACCCAGGCTGGAGTGCAGTGGCGCGATCTTGGCTCACTGCAAGCTCCGCCTCCCGGGTTCACGCCATTCTCCTGCCTCAGCCTCCTGAGTAGCTGAGACTACAGGCGCCGCCACCACGCCCGGCTAATTTTTCTTTTGTATTTTTAGTAGAGACGGGGTTTCACCGTGTTAGTCAGGATGGTCTCGATCTCCTGACCTCGTGATCTGCCTGCCTCGGACTCCCAAAGTGCTGGGATTACAGGCTTGAGCCACCGTGCCAGGCCTTTTTTTTTTTTTTTTTTTTGAGGCGGAGTCTTGCTCTTTCACCCAGGCTGGAGTGCAGTGGCACAATCTCAGCTCCCTGCAACCTCCGCCTCCCGGGTTTAAGCGATTCTCCTGCCTCAGCCTCCCAAGTAGCTGGGATTACAAGCATGCACCACCATGCCCGGCTAATTTTGTATTTTTAGTAGAGACAGGGTTTCACCATTTTGGCCAGGCTGGTCTTGAACTCCCGACTTCAGGTGATCTGCCCGCCTCAGCCTCCCAAAGTGCTGGGATTACAGACATAAGTCACTGTGCCCAGCTTTTTTTTTTAAGAGATGGGGTCTCACTGTGTTGCCCAAACTGGTCTCTAACTCTTAGGCTCAAGCAATTCTCACACCTCAGCTCAGCCTCCCAAGTAGCTGGGACTACAGGCATGCACACCACGCCTGGCCTGCTTTTACCACTTAAAAATTCACTCCTGGCCAGGCACAGTGACCCATGCCTGTAATGCCAACATTTTGGAAGGCTGAGGCAGATATGTTAGATGTTTGACCAGCCTGGGCAACACAGCAGGACCCCTTCTCTCTCTCCTTTTTTTTTTTTTTGCCTTGTTTTGTTTTTGAGACAGAGTCTCACTCTGTTGCCCGGGCTGGAGTGGTGTGTCGCGATCTCAACTGACTGCAACCTCCACCTCCCAGGCTCAAGTCATTCTCCTGTCTCAGCCTCCTGAGTAGCTGGGATTACAGGTGTGTGTGCCACCACGTCTGGCTAATTTTTGTGTTTTTAGTATAGACAGGGTTTCACCATGTTGGCCAGGCTGGTCTGGAACTCCTGACTTCAAGTGATATGCCTGCCTCAACTTCCCAAAGTGCTGGGATTACAGGCATGAGCCATCGCTCCTGGCTAGCAAGATCCCTTCTATACAAAAAATTTAAAAATCAGCAAAGCCAGGCGCGGTGGCTCACACCTGTAATCCCAACACTTTGGAAGGCTGAGGCGGGCAGATCACCTGAGGTCAGGAATTCAAGACCAGCCTGGCCAACATGGTGAAACACTGTCTCTACTAAAAATACAAAAAATTAGCCAGGCGTGCACCAGCACACCTGTAATCCCAACTACCTGGGAGGCTGAGGCAGGAGAATTGCTTGAACCCAAGAGATGGAGATTGCAGTGAGCTGAGATTGTGCACACTGCACTCCAGCCTGGGCAACAGAGCAAGTCTCCATCTCAAAAAAACAAAACAAAACAAAACAAAAACAAAGTATTACCAACCCCCTTTTTAAACAAGACATAAAAACATGCAGATTTTGGAACTCTGTAAAGACAATGCATCTATGATTCTACAATTATAAGCTTTGGATATTGTGGAATTCTAAGAGTCTAAGATGGTTCTTCTGATTCTAGGTTTATAAGAGTGTAAAAATAGTAAATATGAATATCTGTAACTTCCAATGCTTTAGAACAGCTGTTGGCAAATGTTTTCTGTAAAGGGACAGATAGCAAATGTGTTTGGCTTGATACAAACACTTGAATCTGTCGCTGCAGTGCCAAACAGCCACAGATGACAGGCACATCAATGGGCATGGCTCTGTGCCAATAAAACTTTATTTACTGGCACTGATATGTGACTGTCATACAATTTTCACATGTGGTGAAATTTTATTTTTCTTTAGATTTTTTTCTAACCCTTTAATAATGTAAAAACCAGTGATAACCCATCTCTCTCTCTTGTTTTTTTTTTTTTTTTTTTTAGACAGTCTTTCTCTGTTGCCTAGGCTGGAGTGCAGTGGCATGATCATGGCTCACTGCAGCCTCGACCTCCCATGCTCAAGTGATCCTCCCACCTCAGCCTCCTGAGTAGCTGGGACTACCGGCATGTGCCATCATGCCTGGGTAGTTTTGGGTGTTTTTTTTTTTTTGGTAAAGATGGGGTCTCCCTATGTTGCCCAGGCTGGTCTCAAACTCCTGTAGGATCCTGGGCTCCAGCCATCCTCCTGCCTCAGCCTCCCAAAGTGCTGGGATTATAGGCATGAGTCACTACGCCAGGCCCAAACATTTTTTAAAAATTAGCCAGGCATGGTGGCGTGCAACGTAGTCCCAGCTATTCTGTGGGGGCTGAGGCAGGAGGTTCGCTTGAGCCCAAGTGTTTGAGGCTGCAGGGAGCTCTGATCACGCCACTGCATGTGGGTGACAGAGTGAGACCCTGTCTCTTAAAAACAAACAAGCAGAAAAAAAAAAAACCCTTCTTAGCTGTACAAACATTGGTGGGGGGTGGGCGGGATTTGGCCCGTGGGCCACAGTGTGCTAACTCCTGGTCTGGAATTTTGCAAGTTTGAAATTCAACAACGCTCAGGTCCGTAAGACCCTGGGCTTGACGTTGTGGAATTAACGGAATTCTCGGAGGCGGACATCCGCAGGTTATAAAGCCCCAGAAGATCTGGGGTCCTGTGAGCTGCCGGTGTTCCACACCCACCCAGCCGCTGGGCGGCGCCCACGACACACACCTTCTTGTGGGTCTTGAGCTGTTCCTCGCCGTAGCGGAGAACGTCCTTGATGAGATCCTGTAACTTCCGTGTCAGTTCCAGGTGGCACAGCGCCAGCTTGTCCGAGGAGACGCGGAAGACCTCCCAGAGCGGGGCGAAGGTCCTGGGGGCGGGCAAGGTCACACCCAGGGTTCATCAGGCTCACCCCACCCCGGGACAGCGCTGGCACTGGCTCAGGTATGTGCTGCACGCTGAGCCCTGCTAAACATGAATGAATACTAATTCATATAATCTCCATGGCAGCTGTAAGAGGCGGGCCTGTGACAGATGGGGAAACTGAGGCATAGGGAGCTCTATAGCTCCTCCCAAGGCCCCTCAACAAATCAACATTAGAGCTGGAATTTAAACGCAGGCCCTGGTAATCCCAGCACTTTGGGAGACCGAGTCGAGCAGGTCACTTGAGGTCAGGAGTTCCAGACCAGCCTGAGCAACATGGTGAAACCCCCGTCTGTACTTAAAATACAAAAATTAGCTGGGTGTGGCAGAAGAATCGCTTGAACCCGGGAGGTGGAGCTTGCAGCGAGCCGAGATCACACCACTGCACTCCAGCCTGGGTGACACAGCGAGACTCCATCTCAAAAAAAAAAAAAAAAATGGTTCACGCCTGTAATCCCAGCACTTTGGGAGGCTGAGGTGGGCAGATCACAAGGTCAGGAGATTGAGAGAGCATCCTGGCTAACATGGTGAAACCCCGTCTCTACTAAAAATACAAAAAATTAGCCGGGCGTGGTGGTGGGCACCTGTAGTCCCAGCTACTCGGGAGGCTGAGGCAGGAGAATGGCGTGAACCCAGGAGGCGGAGCTTGCAGTGAGCCAAGATCGCGCCACTGCACTCCAGCCTGGGCGACAGAGTGAGACTCTGTCTCAAAAAAAAAAAAAAAAAAAAAAAAGAGTGACTAAGACACCACATGCCCCAATCGAGTCAATTTGGCCTGCCCCACTCAGCAGAAGCCCCATCCAGCCTCCCTCCACCTTCTCCTCCTGCTGCCTCCACTTCTGCCTGCCCCACAGAACTTTTGCCTCATAGCAGCCACAAAGAAAACTGCAAATGCCATCGGGGGACCACATTATGTGTTTTGTTTTTATTTTTGTTTTTTTTTGAGGCATGGTCTGGCTCTGTCACCCAGGCTGAAGTGCAGTGGTACAATCATGGCTCACTGCAGCCTCCATCACCTGGGTTCAAGCCATCCTCCTGCCTCAGCCTCCTAAATAGCTGGGACTGCAGGCACATGCCACCATGCCCGGCTAATTTTTGCATTTTTAGTAGAGACAGGGGTTTCTCCATGTTGCCCAGGCTGGTCTCGAACTTTTGGCCTCAAGTGATCCTCCCACCTCAGCTTCCCAAAATGCTGGGATTAAAGGCTTGAGCCACCGCGCCCGGGCACAAGGTTCATGCAAAGTCATTTGTGTGTCAGGCCCCTGAGGCCTCACCCTGCCATCTCCCCTCCTACTTCCTTTCCACGTTGCCCAAGCCCTGCAGCCAGGCCAGCCTCCTCACTCTTCCGTAAACATGCCACGCCTGTCAACTCAGGGCCTTCGCACTGGCTGAGCCACTTGCCCGGGTCTCTGTCCCTCAGACATCCCCATGGCCTGCCCCTTTCTATTAAGGTCTCAGTTCAGGGAGGTCGGGCCCACCCCAGAGAAAGTGCCCGATCTCTCACACTCCTATCTCATTCCCTTCCCAGCACTTTTTTTTTTTTTTTTTTCAAAACAGAGTTTTCGCTCTTATTGCCCAGGCTGGAGTGCAGTGGCACAATCTCGGCTCACTGCAACCTCCGCCTCCTGGGTTCAAGCGATTCTCCTGACTCAGCCTCCTGAGTAGCTGGGATTACAGGCACCCGCCACCACACTCGACTAATTTTGTATTTTTAGTAGAGAGGAGTTTCACCATGTTGCCCAGGCTGGTCTTGAACTCCTGACCTCCGGTGATCCGCCCACTTCAGCCTCCCAAAGTGCTGGGAGTACAGGCATGAGCCACCGCACCTGGCCCCCTTCCCAGCACTTTTCACCTCAGAAAAAAAATGTTTTTGTTTGTATTTAACATCTCTCTTCTCACACAGCCCAGATGTACATTGCATGAAGGTGGCTGGGGTTTTATCTGTCTGGGTTGCTGCTGGTGCTTGGCACACAGAAGGCACTCAAAAAATATTTGTGGAATGAATGAATGAGCTAGTGTGTGAATGAATGATATACATCCCTCTATCCAAATAGCCCCATAATCGAGGTGGATGACACTCTATTCTACATGCACCGAGTGTGAAGAGATGTCCACCAAGGAGGAGGCTCCCAATGTCCCCATGTTGGTGACCCCTACCCCACTCACCCCATGGGGGTCCCGTTGCTGGCCAGCTTGGAGAGTTTCGCCATCGCCTTCGAGTAGGTCTCCTCGATGGTGGCCCTGGGGAGGAGAATGAGGTAAAGATGGAGAAACTGCCCGGGCGCAGTGGTTCACGCCTGTAATCCCAGCACTCTGGGAGGCCGAGGCGGACGGATCACCTGAGGTTAGGAGTTCAAGACCAGCCTGGCCAACTTGGTGAAACCCTGTCTCTACTAAAAATACAAAAATTAGCCAGGTGTGGTGGTGCATGCCTGTAATTCCCAGCTACTGGGGAAGTTGAGGCATGAAAATCGCTTGAACCTAGGAGGTGGAGGTTGCGGTGAGCTGAGATCGTGCCACTGCACTCCAGCTTGGGTGACAAAGCAAGACTCCATCGCAAAAAAAAAAAAAGATGAAGAAGCTTTCAGACACCCTTGAGAGAGGCACTGCTCCTCTGGGCCTCAGTTTCCCCATCTCAAACACCTTAGCAGTGGCTTTCCATAATGGGGGGATGACACAACACTCTGAGGGATGTTTTGAAAATTCATAGAAGATTTTTTCTTACGTAATATATTTTATTAACAACAGTAGTAGGCTGGGCATGGTGACTCATGCCTGTAATCCCAGCACTTTGGGAGGCCGAGGCAGGAGGATCACTGGAACCCAGGGGTTCGAGACCACCCTGGGCAATATAATGAGACTCCTTCTCTACAAAAAAAATTTTTTTTAACTTAGATAGGTGTGGTGGTGCATGCCTGTAGTCCCAGCTACTCAGGATCCTGAGGTGGGAGGATCGCTTGGGCCCGGTAGGTCGAGGCTGCAGTGAGCTATGATCAGATCACCCTGGGCAACAAAGTGAGACTCTGTCTCCAAAAAGAAAAAAAAAAAAAAAGGCAGAGTGCAGTGGCTTACATCTGTAATTCCACCACTTTTGGAGGCTGAGGCGGGCGGATCGCCTGAGGTCAGGAGTTTGAGACCCGCCTGGCCAACATAGTGAAACCTCGTCTCTACTAAAAATAAAAAAATTAGCCAGACGTGGTGGCAGGCACCTGTAGTCTCAGCTACTTGGGAGGCTGAGGCAGGAGAATTGCTGGAACCCGGGAGGCAGAGGTTACAGTGAGCCGAGACTGCACCATTGCACTCTAGCCTGGGCAACAAGAGCAAAACTCTGTTTAAAAAAAAAAAAAAAAAAAAAAGCCAGATGTGGTGGTACATGCCTATAGTCCCAGCTACTCGGGAGCTGAGGTAGGAGGATCTCTTGAACTCAGGAGTTCGAGGCTGCAGTGAGCTATGATTGGGTCACTGCACTCTAGCCTGGGCAACAAAGCAAGATCTTGTCTCCAAAAAAAAAAATTCCAACCTTGAGTAGGTTATATCATCCTCTTTTGAGGAGGGGAGCTTTCGAAATCAGGTGATTGTTGTTTAAAAGGAGATATGGGCCTGACCGGGTTGAGAATCGGTCATTTCCAGGATTTTCGAGCCCCTCTGGTTCCTGGAATCCCCAGGGTTCTAGCCCCTGACCATGCAGGGCGTAGCCATTAGGTGGGCGTGACTACAGGATGGTGGGCGTGGCCTCTGGTGGATGGGGCTTGGGGACCTCACCTCTCCCGGATGAAGTCCGCCAGCTCCTTGGTGGAGATGGGCCCCTGCTTCACGCTGTGGTACAGGACCTCAAAGCCATGATTTTTCTCGCCCTGCAGGGGATGGGAATAGAGATTGAGAAAGGATGGAGAGAACATCATAGTTGCTTAGCAACGGGGGCGTGGCCAAGGAGCAGAAGTCCATCCCCTTGGCTGTAGGGACTTGTTCGGGCCTGAGCGAATCAGCTTGCTGCATTTCCCCTGGGCCATAGGGATTGTCTATGGACCTTAAATTTGTCCAATCAGAGAGAAGCCTGGGATTTTCTTTTTGTCCTATAGTTGCTGGGGAGGAATCTCATTTGTTCTGTGTCTTTGTCTCCTTCTGTCTTTGTGTCTCTGTCTTTCTCTCCGTTTTTCTGAGTCTCTCTGCCGTTTCTGTCTCAGTCTCCTCCCCTTTTCTCTTTGTGTCTTTCCATAAATGAGGAATTATGTGGCCACAGGGGATACTGGAAGTCAAATGGAAACCGTGAACCTTAGAAAGAAGCTGAACCAGAGGGCTTTTATATTTAAAAAAAAAAAAAAGTGTGTTGAGCTGGGCACGGTGGCTCACGCCCGTAATCCCAACACTTTGAGAAGCCAAGGTGGGTGGTTCACTTGAGGTCAGGAGTTCGAGACCAGCCTGGCCAACATGGCAAAACTCCGTCTCTACTAAAAATACAAAAATTAGCCAGGCGTGGTGGCGCGTGCCTGTAATCCCAGCTACTTGGGAGACTGAGGCAGGAGGATTGCTTGAGCCCAGGAGGCAGAGGTTGCAGTGAGCTGAGATCCTACCACTGCACTCCAGCCTGGGTATCAGAGCAAGACTGTCTCAAAATAAATGAATGAATGAATGAATGAATGAATGAAATAAAAATAAAAATAAATTGGAGTGGGTCACGCCTGTAATCCTAGCACCTTGGGAGGCTGAGGCGGGCGGACCATGAGGTCAGGAGTTTGGGATCAGCCTGGCCAGCATGGAGAAACCCTGTCTCTACTAAAAATACAAAAATTAGCCAGGCATGGTGGCGCACCCCTGTAATCCCAGCTACTTGGGAGGCCGAGGCAGGAGAATTGCTTGAACGTGGGAGGCAGAGGTTGCAGTGAGCCGAGATCACGCCATTGCACTCCAGCTCTGGGCAACAGAGGAAGACTCCGTCTCAGGGCGGGGGGGAAGTGTGTGTGTATATATATATATATATATATGTATATACATGAAAAGAAGTCAAATTGTCTCTCTTTGCAACATGAACTTATGTATAGGAAGGCCTAAACACACCACCAAAAAACTCCTAGAACTGATAAACAAATTCAGTTAAATTGCAAAATACAAATATCAACATGAAAATCAGTAGCGTTTCTATACACCATTAATAAAATATAGCTGAAAAGAAATCAAGAAAGTGATCCCATTTATACTAGCTACAAAAAAAAAAAAGTGTGTTAAATTGAGTTGCTGGATCAAACCAACCCTGAAAGCCACATTCCCCCATAATCATTTGATCTTATAAGCCAATACAGTCCCCGTTGCTTAAGTCACTGTAGTTGTGTTTTCTGTTCTTGTCAACATGGAAATTCCGCCTATGAGAACCCAAATTAGGGTCCAGGTTTGAGTTCTCTCCCAGGACCCACCAAAGCCCAGCACAGAATGAGAGACAGAAAGGGCATTTGAGTTCGTTGAATAAATAAACAAATGATTCTGCTGTTACCTGTTAGTGCCACTGGGAACTGAGTATTTCTACCCTGGTGCCTGCGAATGCCTTCACAAAATCTCTTTACTCCAATTTCTGGGGTTGTCATGGTGGGGGAGGCCAGGGCTGCACTGTGTGACCCAGGCAAGTCACTGCCCCCTCTGAGCTTTTAGGAGCTCCTCATTAAGATGGGGCAGGGAGGTTAGGCGCGGTGGCTCACCCCTGTAATCCCAGCACTTTGGGAGGCTGAGGCAGGCAGATCACTTGAGGTCTTGAGTTCGAGACCAGCCTGGCCAAAATGGTGAAACCCCGTGTTTACTAAAAATGCAAAATTAGCCAAGCATGGTGGCAGGTGCCTGTAATCCCAGCTACTCAGGAAGCTGAGGCAGGAGAATCACTTGAACCCGGGAGGCGGAGGTTACAATGAGCCAAAATCATGTCACTACACTACAGCCTGGGAGACATCTGCCTCTTACATGGAGATGATACAAGCAGCAAGATAATCCATGTCAATGCTCCCCAAAGCCCCAAAGGCCACTCTAGTTTTTGCTAATTCGTAACATTAGTTATTAATAGTTAGCATTTGTTTTAAATTTGCTTATGCTTCTTCCCCAAAGACATTTATGTTAAAGGGCAACTTTTTCTGCCACTCTCAATGGAAAATTGGGACCCTCTGCCGCATGAAAGGAGTAGGAAAAAATGAGGCAACAACTATATCTTAACGCCGGCCAGATTCTGTCACCTGGGAAGGGCATCATGCCTGAACACTACTAAGCTGTCCATTAAAAATGGTAATCAGGCCGGGCGCGGTGCCTCACACCTGTAGTCCCAGCACTTTGGGAAGCCGAGGCAGGCAGATTATCTGAGGTCAGGAGTTCGAGACCAGACTGGCCAACATGGTGAAACCCCGTCTCTACTAAAAATACAAAAATTAGCCAGGCGTGGTGGCACATGCCTATAACCCCAGCTATTCGGAGGCTGAGGCAGGAGAATCGCTTGAACCCGGGAGGCAGAGGTTGTAGTGAGCTGAGATCGTGCCATTGCACTCCAGCCTGGGTGACATAGCAAGACTCTGTCCCCCAATGCAAAAAAAAAAAAAAAGATGGCAAAACAGGAGACACAACATATTTCAGGATGAGGCAGGAATGCCTCAAATCATGGCTAATATTTAATGCTGATGTAGAGGTGTTGGCAAATGCAGTAAGGTAAGAAAAATAATTGAGACCAGATTATATGACCATCTACAGAAAACAAAAAATAATAAACAATATGAATAGAACTGAGGAAAAGGCTAAAAGCAAGACCAATATAGATTAAACATGAGGATTTTTTTTTTAACAGGCGTGTGCCACCACACCTGGCTGATTTTTGTATTTTTAGTATAGACAGGGTTTCACCATGTTGGTCAAGCTGGTCTTGAACTCCTGACCTCAACTGATCTGCCTGCCTCGGCCTCCCAAAGTGCTGGGATTACAGGCGTGAACCACCACGCCCGGCCTCATACACACCTTCTGATCCCGCTTCTCTCCACCCCTTGGAGACCTGGTCCTCTGCGCCCGCTGTTGGAATTGGACACCTTTAGATTTGGACTTAAAACTCACCATTACAACTTTAAAATCAATGACTAGATGGGTGTGGTGTCTCATGCGTGTAATCCCAGCACTTCAGGAGGCTGAGGCGGGCAAATCACTCGAGGTCAAGAGTTCAAGACCAGACTGGCCAACATGGTGAAACCCCGTCTCTACTAAAGATACAAAAATTAGCCAGACGTGGCAGTGGGCGCCTGTAGTCCCAAGTACTCGGGAGGCTGAGGCGGGAGAATTGCTTGAAGCAGGGAGGCAGAGGTTGCAGTGAGCTGAGATCCCGCCACTGCACTCCAGCCTGGCTGACAGAGCAAGACTCTGTCTCAAAAAAAAAAAAAAGGTAATCAGCTGGGGTCTGAGGGAACTGGGGACATTTTAGCACCAAATCAGGTCTTATAATAACACTGGAAGAGAAGGCTTGTGGAGGGATCTGATGCCATTTAAGTCCCAACACACATCAGTGAAGCCATCCCTCTGGCAGCATTTGGCGGGTTTTCCATAAATGGTAGTTTCCTGTGCCCTCCTCCAACCTACCAGGTTCACCCTCCCAGGTACCCGGAAGCTTGAATGTTATACATATTTTTCTATGTTTGAGACAGGGTCTCGCTCTGTCTCCCCAGCTGGAGTGCAGCGGCACAATCATGGCTCACTGCAGCCTCAAATTCCTGGGCTCAAGAGATCCTCCCACCCCAGCCTCCCAAGTAGCTGGAACCACAGCCATGTGACACCAGGCCTGGCTAGTTTTTTTTATTTTTAGTAGAGATACGGCCTTACTATGTTACCAAGGTTGGTCTCGAACTCCTGGACTCAAGCAATCCTCCCATCTCAGCCTCCCAAAGTGCTGAGATTACAGGCGTGAGTCACCACACTTGGCCAGAAGCCTGAAGGTTAAAGCCAGAAGTCACTGCTAGGTAACGTTTCCTGCTGCACCAATGGAGACACCGAAGCCAAGACTGGGGCAGACCCAGGTCAGCCTCAAGCCCAAATCTCCCAATGGTCACACTTCATTCTAGAATCATCAATGGGTCCCTATTGCCCACCAGATGCTGAAGTCCAAGTCCATGGCCTGGAATTGCTGCTCCAGCCTCATCTCCTAGCTTCTTCCTAGCCTCACCCACAAAACAGCAAATAGCAAAGACAGGCAGTGCCTTTCCACCACCACATTTTGTCCAGGCTATTCCCGCCATCAGCTCTCCAGCTTGCATCTCCTTCCACCCATCCACATCCTTCCACTTCCCAAGGATCATTGCCACCTGCTCTAGAAACTTCCCTAACCCTGCTCAACCCCCTCCCCCACTTCACTGTTGCTCCCTCCAGCTCGCCAGGAATACGTTTTCTCTTTTTTTTTTTTGAGACGGAGTCTCACTCTGTCACCCAGGTTGGAGTGCAGTGATGCGATCTTGGCTCACTGCAAGCTCTGTCTCCTGGGTTCACGCCATTCTCCTGCCTCAGCCTCCTCAATAGCTGGGACTACAGGTGCCCGCCACCATACCCGGCTAATTTTTTGTATTTTTAGTAGAGACGGGGTTTCACTGTGTTAGCCAGGATGGTCTCGATCTCCTGACCTTGTGATCCGCCTGCCTCGGCCTCCCAAATGCTGGGATTACAGGTGTGAGCCACCGCACCCGGCTTTTTTTTTTTTTTTTTTTTGAGACAGGGTCTTGCTCTGTCGCCCAGGCTGGAGTCCAGTGGTATGATCTTGGCTCACTGAAACCTCTGCCTCCCAGGCTCAAGCGATCCTCCCACCTCAGCCTCCCAAGTAGCTGGGACCACAGGTGCGCGCCACCACACCCAGCTAATTTTTTGTATTTTTAGTAGAGACGGGGTCTTGCTATGTTGCCCAGGCTGGTCTCAAAGTCCTGGGCTCAGGCGATCCGCCATCTCAGCTTCTCAAAGTGTTTGGATTACAGACGTGAGCTACCACGCTCCACCTATATTTTCTCTTCTTGTGTTTGGAATTATATTTTCAAAGTTCAAGTGTCCAATCTCCTTATACGTACAGGGTCACTTTGGGTTGGTGACTTCGTCTCTCTGGCCTCAGTTTCCTTCCTTGTGTGACAAATGGGGACAACAACAGCACCCAACTCCCAAGGGTCTTGCTGGGATGAGGCTGGCACAGTGCTGGCCCCAGGAGATCCTCGGGTGAGGCTGCACCAGGCACCACCGCCCAGAGCAGCATCTGGGTCTGACTCAGAGCCAACTGCTGGCCCGTTTCCCAGACCTGGCAAACCCCCAGCAGCGTCTGCCTCTCTTGGACTGGGCTGGCAGCCGAGGGTCCTAGGAGGGGCTGTCTCAGGTCTGTCTCTCCCACCAGAACTTCTAGACTTCAGACTTGGCCTCTGTGCCAGCCAAAATGTGGTCTTTTTTTTTTTTTTTTTTTTTTAGACGGAGTCTCACTCCATCACCCAGGCTGGAGTGCAGTGGCGCGATCTCACTGCGACTTCCACCTCCCGGGTTCAAGCAATTCTCCTGCCTTAGCCTCTCGAGTAGCTGGGACTACAGGCTCATGCTACTATGCCCGGCTAATTTTTGTATTTTTAGTAGAGATGGGGTCTTGCCATGTTGGCCAGGCTGGTCTCCAATTCCTGACCTCAGGTGATCCGCCTCCCTCGGCCTCCCAAAGTGCTGGGATTACAGGCATGAGCCACTGCGCCCAGCCAAGAGTGTGGTCTTTGTAACAGAGCTTGTTTATGTCCCTCTCCTGCTCACACTTCCCCCATGGCTCCCTAGTACACTTCATGCTTCGGCCCTGCCCTGGCGCAATGAGACTGGGGCATCCCTGTTTGGCTTAATCTCCCCAGCACCACCCAGCAAAGAACCAGGCTTCTATGGCGGCTTCAATACTAGCAACTGATGACAGATGTCACAGGAGGCCTCCCTGAGTCTGGGGGTGTGTGGGGTGCATGGGGTGGGAGTGGCGGTGCAGGAATTTCATCCCTTTTTCCCAGATGGGGAAACAGAGGTTCGGGCAGGCAAAGTCATTTGCTCAAGGGCTTCCAGCAGAGTCAATTCGAATCCTGAACTCAAAGCTCTTAACCATTCTCTACCAGGATATCTTTGGGTGAGGTGGGGAAGTCGGGGGTGGTTTCTATTTTCTCTTTGCTGATCTGAATTTTCTGCAGCGAGCCTGCACGCCTCACACAATTAAAAAGGATTTAAAATAAATGTAGGTGCCACTGTCGGGGTTCCAAAATGCAGGTGACTTTTGATCCTCAAATGGTCACCTCCATTACACGGCAGTACTAAAAGGAGCTCAGAAAGGGGTAGCCCCTCACTGGAGTCACACAGCCTTTCAGGGGCAAATCGGGGAGTCTGACCTTTGGAGAGAGGGCGGAGGTCACACCCCTGCAGGTGGCAAGGGAGTGCGGCCCCTTTAAGAAAGCAAGTGCTTTCAAGAGGAGCCCCAGCTGGGGAGGGAGCAAGGGCAGGAGTGGGGCTTGTTGCCAGGGGCAACCAGTCGCCTAGCAACAGGCTTCCTCACTGCAAGCTCAGGGCCTGCAACTGGGGAAGGGGCTTTCTGACCTGGTCCTTCCCTGACTCCTGGGCCCTCCCCTGTTCACCCATCCTCTGTGGCACCCTGTTAGCCTGGCTCTGCAGGAGGAGTCCCTGTTCCCTGAACTTGCCACTCAATGTCACATCTCTGGTCTTTTGCCCAGGCTTTCTCACAGCAAACACGATTCTGTGTCCTGGTTCCTACTCTAGGACCCCCAAGGCTGGGTTCAGCCCTGGTCCTGCAGGGCTGAAGGTGTCTAAGCTGGCTCTGGGTCCCCCAGACTGGGGACTCCTCCCTTGGGGCTGGGGCTGGGATGGATTCTCTTGGAGACCCCAGCATCTCCTAGGGCTGGCTGGGGATGAGGTCACAGTGGCAGGGAGAGAGGAAATGAATGAATAAAAACAACTCTGTCTCACTCAGCAGCCCTTGGGCTACAGGAGGTGATCTCCAGCCTGGACAGTGGAGGGGTGCACAGGCCATGAGACGCCAGGTCAGGAAAACCCCCCAATTCTCCAGGATGGGAAGGGGGTGGAAGTTCCCTGGCTGGAATGACCCTGGGTCCTGGAAGTTCAGTTTGGCCCTGGGTTTGAGCACTGACTCTGCACTTTTTCATGGGGCAACTTCAGGTTGCCTAGACGTTCCCACTCTGGCCCTTGGTCTCCCTATGACACAAGCTATGACTTGCCCAAGGTTGTAAGGCCTGTGAGGTCTGGGGTGGGTGTGGATTCAAACCCAGCCTGACTCTTCCCACTTTAACTTCCATCCCTTGCAGATCCTCTACCTGTCCAAGGCTGTAACCGCAACTCACCCAGTCCTCCCATCTCCATAAAAGTCCCCACAGCCCTGCCAGCATCCCCCGCCTAAATAAGAGTGGGTCTTACCCAAAAATGCTCCCCAAAATACGACATCCTGATGGTCTCTGTGGAGACCCCTGCAGGCCCCGTCCAGTGCCTGTCTGAAGAGAGAGGCAAGTTTGAGCTACAGAGTCATTGCCAGTGTGGGCTTGGTGGGGGGAAAGTCCCTCCCTGTAGAGGAAGGAGAGAAAGGATGAAGGAGGAACTGAAAGCTCCAATGCTAAGAGCATGCCAGGA
Source organism: Homo sapiens (assembly GCF_000001405.40). NCBI lineage: Eukaryota > Metazoa > Chordata > Mammalia > Primates > Hominidae > Homo > Homo sapiens. The sequence continues at coordinate 17,754,981 of NC_000019.10, read as the reverse complement.
CCCCTGAGATAATTCAGCCCCAGTGCTGGTCCCAAGTAGCTCCAGTAGAGGGGGACAGAACAAGACACAGATGCCCCCAATTCCACAGAGTCAGAACTGGACTAGGTGGAGGGACAAGAGCTGAGGGAGTCTAGATTGGAGGAGGGGGCATGGAATGTGGGGTTTTTAGGCATGTATAAGAGTTCATAGCAGTGGGTAGGAGCAGTGCTGGATGACCCCTAACCTTGACAGGAAAGCTCTGATCCACTTCACAGATGGGAAAACTGAGCCCTCCCCTCCCCCAGAGGGGAAGTCACTTGCCAAGATCACACAGCTAGGAAGGGACAGTAGATTTGCACTCTGGACTGGCTGAGCCCAGACCTGAGCTCTCAGCTCCACTCCAGGCAGCTCCTGCAGGAAAAGGGTTTGAAGAGAAATAGATGCAGGGGCTGTGATCAGCCACATGGGGGTTGGGGTCCCTGAAGTATCCCTGAGGGTCCCCTGGGATCTTCTGATTCCTCTAGGACAGTCCTCACCTTATGTACCCTCCTGGGAGTCAGAGCTCACTCCTCACTGTGATGACCCAGCTGGCATTGCTGCCCCCACGAGTCCCAACCCTGCCCTCAAAAGCCAGTGTTCACCTGGTGTCTGAGTCACTGTCCAGCTCCGTGCCTCAGTTTCCCCATCTGCAAAATAAGAAGGAATGCTTAGAAGGGATCTTGCCGGGGAGCCCCAGGTGTCTCTGCACAAGAGGCTGGGTCAGGCCGCCCGGCAGGGGACGGACAGGCAGTGTCCTTGGCATGTTCTAGAGGCCAGGCTTGTCACTGGAGCCTGCAGGCCTCATGCATAATTCATGACCCCACAGGCAGCTCGGTAGCAGCTGGGAGCCTCGTAGGAACAGTGGCAGGAGTGACAGGGACCCGTGACCACAGGATGGGGAAGCTCCCGGGGCCTCCCCAGGAAAGGACTGAGCAAGACCTTGGGCAAGGCTGCCCCTCTCTGTGCCTCAGTTTACCTAATCTTGAAAGTTAGTTTAGGCTAGAAGTGGTGGCTCACGCCTGTAATCCCAGCACTTTGGGGGACCGAGGCGGGCAGATCACTTGAGGTCAGGAGTTTGAGACCAGCCTGGCCAAAGTGGTGAAACCCTGTCTCTATTAAAAATACAAAAATTAGCCAGGTGTGGTGGCGGGCACCTGTAATCCCAGCTACTTGGGAGGCTGAGACAGGAGAATCGCTTGAACCTGGGAGGCGGAGGTTGCAGTGAGCTGAGATGGCGCCACTGCACTCCAGCCTGGGCGACAGAGTAAGACCCTGTCTCAAAAAGAAAGAAAGTTAGTTAGTTTAATTGGACCCATTATCATTGAGCCTCCAATCCCGGGACTTCTGTGAGTCACCCAAGACCTCCTACTTGCTCACCCAGACTAGAACAATGTCAGGGTCCCTGAGTTGATTCAGCCTCGGGCCTGGCCCTGCAGGAGTCCCCAGTCTAGAGAGACAGAGCTGGACACAGATATCACCGTCCTGCATGGTCAGGGCTGGGCCAGATGGAGGGACAAGGTCCAAAAGAACCTGGACTAAAGGAGGGCTCATGGGAGTTGGGGTTTTAAAGCATGAATAGGAGTTCACTGGGCAAGGAATTATTTGTTTCAACAAACATTCCCAACCCTGCACTGGTTAATGACAGGGCCCCTGAAAAACTTCAGTCCCCACCACACCCCCTTAGGAAACCTAGTTTGGTGGCAGGGGTAGGGTGGTGAGCATGCTACACTGACATCCCTAGGGGAAAAGCCCTAAATTTCCATATCATTTCTTAGCTTCTGTCCATGACCAGGACCCTAAGCATCTCCAAATCTCTTAGAGCTGTGCTGACTGGCATGGGAACCACTAGCCCCATGTGGTGACTTAATTTTTTTTTTTTTTGGAGACAGGGTCTCGCTCTGTTGCCCAGGCTGGAGTGCAGTGGTGCGATCATAGCTCACTGCAGCCTCCACCTCCCAGGCTCAAGGGAGCCTTGAATAGTAGCCTCCCGAGTAGCTGAGACTACAGGCTCACGCCTGAATAATTTTTGTATTAAGTTTTTTTTATTTTTTTATTTTTTCTGGAGACAGGTTCTTGCTCTGTCACCCAGGCTGGAGTGTGCAGTGGCATGATCACAGCTCATGGCAGCCTCGACTTCCCAGGCTCAAGTGATCCTCCCATCTCAGCCACCCGAGTAGCTGGGACTACATGTCTAACTAATTAAAAATAAATTTTTTTTTTTTTTTTTGTAGAGACTAGGTCTCACTAGTGTGGCCCAGGCCAGTCTCGAACTCCTGAGCTCAAGCCATCCTCCTGCCTGGGACCCCCAAAGTGCTGGGATTACAGCCATGAGCCACAACCCCTGGCCTTAATTTTTGTATTAATTTTTGTATTAATGTTAAACCAAGTAAAATTAAATACAATTGGCTGGGCGCAGTGGCTCACGCCTGTAATCCCAGCACTTTGGGAGGCCGAGGTGGGTGGATCACTTGAGGTCAGGAGTTCGAGACCTGCCTGGCCAACATGGTGAAACCCCATCTCTACCAAAAAATATAAAAATCAGCAGGGCGTGGTGGCACACACCTGTAGTCCCAGCTACTTGGGAGGATGAGGCAGGAGAATCACTTGAACCTGGGAGGCGGAGGTTGTAGTGAGCCAAGATTGCCCCACTGCACTCCAACCTGGTTGAAAGAGTGAGATTCTGTCTTAAAAAAATAATAATTAAATACATACATACATACATACATACATACATACAATTATATGCCCAGCTCCTCAGCTGTGCCAGCCTCTCTTCCAAGGCTCAGTAGCTACATGGGGCTGATGGCTGCTGTATTGGATGGCCAACATTGTTCTAGAAGATCCCAGGAACCAAGGAGCCCAAGTTCCCCAGAAACCAAGAATCTCACTACTGTTTTCACAGTTTCAATTAGATTGCCTCACCCCACCTCTGGCAGACAGATACACATGGAGCACCAGTATGTGTGCGACCCTGTACCCAACTATTCACACGCATCTGCTCATCCAATCTTCATGCCATGCCCTCAGAGGCAACCCCAACTTTATGAAGGAAACCGAGGCACAGAGAGATCAATCATTGGTCCCGGCTGACTGTGATTTTGCCCCTGGTCTGTCTGCCAATGACCTCCTGTTTGAAACCATCACGCGTGGCTCTCTGGGTTTCCAAGCTCCCCTTGCCGCCCCCCTAACCCAAACCACCACTCACAGCTGGAATGGGGGACGGGGGGCAGGGCAACGGGTGGCCCCATGCAGGCTTTGGCCAGCCCAGGAAGTGACACCTGCTACTTCTCCTGAAACCCAGGCTCCGGGCAGGGGGGCCTCCCCTCTGTTCCTGAGGGGGGCCAAGGCGAGATGATGGGTATCTACTGGCCAGGGCTCAAACTCACCGGACAGGGTAGCGAGTGGGATGGGGCCCCTGTCTGACGGGGCAGGCGCCAGGAGACAGCCACGAGGCCACTTCCGTCAGCACCAAGTTGGAGGCTTGTGTGCATGGGTTGGGGGGGGGACAGGAAGCTCACCCCGCCCCGCCTACCATCCAACCGCCACCTTTCCTCCCCCGCCCGATCAGCACCCATGGGACCTCCCTGGAACCACACAGGCCATGGGTGAGTAAACAAGAGGCGCTTGAACCTGGAGCCCCCCGGCCTGAACCTGGAGCTGTTCTTACCGAACAAATATTAATCATGGCAATTGGGAAATAACTGAGCACCAACCCTGGCCCAGGCATTCAACATCTTGCCATCCTGAGGTAGGCCGATACCCACTTCACAGACTGGGCAAACTGAGGCTCAGAGAGGGAAATGCGCTCAGAAAGGGGAAGACATGGCCAGGCGCGGTGGCTCACGCCTGTAATCCCAGCACTTTGAGAGGCCAAGGTGGGTGGATCACGAGGTCAAGAGGTTGACACTATCCTGGCCAACACGGTGAAACCCCGTCTCTACTAAAAATACAAAAATTAGCTGGGCGTGGTGGCCCATGCCTGTAGTCCCAGCTACTCAGGAGGCTGAGGCAGGAGAATCACTTGAACCCGGGAGGTGGAGGTTGCAGTGAGCCAGAGGTTGCAGTGAGCCGAGATTGCGCCACTGCACTCCAGCCTGGCGACAGAGCGAGACTCCATCTCAAAAAAAAAAAAAAAAGAAAAGAAAGGGGAAGACATTTTTGCATTCATGAGCGCTTTCCTTCACTACAAAAGAAATTTAAAATTATATTTTAGGTGGTGGCTGATGCCTGGAATCCCAGCACTTTGGGAGGCCGAGGCAGGTGGATTGCTTGAGCCCAGGAGTGCGAGAACAGCCTGGGCAACATGGTAAAACCCCGTCTCTACTAAAAATACAAAAGTTAGCTGGGTGGGGTGGCATATGCCTGTAATCCCAGCTACTCGGGAGGCTGAGGCAGGAGAATCGCTTGAACCCAGGAGATGGAGGTTGCAGTGAGCGGAGATCGAGCCACTGCACTCCAGCCTGGGTGACAGAGAGAGACTCTGTCTCAAAAACAAAACAAAACAAAACTGTATTTTACAACTACATTGACATAAAGACAAATATATTAATATTATACACAAAAATGTTTCCTTCAACCCAAGAGTTCATTTTTTTCCCTTTGGATTTTAAAAGAAGTGAAAACATCAACCTAGGGACCCCTAAAAGCACTGTGAGCCTGAGACACTGGGCATTTTGGGTCTGATGGAGAAGTCAGCCCTGCTAGAACCCAAGTCTCCCAGCCTGTACAGTACCAGCACAAAGCCCAGAGATGGCCGGAGACTTGCCCAAGGTTACACAGCACATTGCCAGCTGACTCAGAGGTCCCCATCCTGCCTTCCCGGCACCAAGTCTTGCAAACCTGGGGCTGAGACATGTGAGCAGCCCCAGAACAGATAAAACAAAGCAGGAACCACATCAGCAACAAAGGCAAGACCCGAGCTCCCATCCTGGGAATCGAGTGGTGCCTGGCTGGGTGTCCGGAGCCGCTGACGTCTTGCCTGATGACCTTGGGCCACTCCTGACCTTCCACGATCTGGCTTCCAGGATCCTGGGAAACAGGATCTCACATTTCCCTCTCTCTTGGACCCCAGTGTATGTACAGTAGGGCCAGTAGCAAGGGTTTTCTCATCCTTCCCACGGACCAGTCACTTGGTTCAAGCAGGTACCATGCTGTTTCAATGACCCACTATGTCATGTCTCCCCTCTTGGCCTCGCCACCTGGGCTGCGATCACAGACAATCTGGCTTGATTCTCGTCACCACACCTCAAGGCAGTATCTTATCTCAACCAGCACCACGATGGGGAAACTGAGACACGTGCCCCAGGTCACACAGTGACTCGGGCCACCAAGTGGGAATCTGAGCCAGGGATTCTCAGAAATTTTCTGTCCTCCCCATGGGTCCCCTCCCTCTTCCTCACTTCATTTGGCAAACATCTATTGAATGCCTACTGTGTACCCAACTTTCCCAGGTGCTGGAGTCTCCTCAGGCAATGCCTTTGATAGACTCCCCCTTCCCCTCCCTCCTCCTGGTCAGCTGTGACCCGATTTAAAGAGCACTAATACTGTCATTAATATTATAATAATCATGTCTGTATTTACAGAGCTTCCTCCTCCCACAGACTCCTCCCATCTTCCCAGAGGAATTCAGCCCATTTCACAGAAGAACAAACAAAGGCACCAAGGGAAAAACACACACACAGGTAGAGGCAAATTCAAACCTGGGGGTGTCAGACTCCCAGCCCCATGCCCACCACTGGGAGGGCGCTCCAAGGGACAGGGAATGAGCTGGCCTGGCAACTCCCACCCCCTCCTGCCCAGGACCTCGCCCGAGAACAGGTTCACCCCTGGCGTGGGTGATGGTATGTGGGTCAGGGTGTGCCCTAAGTGGCCCCAATGGTGAGACCAGGGTGGCGATGCCCCATCCCAGCCATTGCAGCTTGGTCCTATGTTTTACTCCCTGTCCCCATGCCCTCAGCCCCAATATCAGAGTGTCATCATCAACCCATTTTGCAGTGCAGTAAACTGAGGCTGAGAGGATAGCAAGGCACTGTGGGAGGGTCTCCAAACCCAATGCTGTCTTGACCCCAAACCACCCACATGTTAAGCAAAAGAGTGAATCACCATTGGACAAAATGTGGGCTGGGTGAGTTCAGAATCTGTAAAATGCAGGGTCCGAAGCTCCCAACCTCAATTTTCAAAAGAGGAAACCGAGGTTCAGAAAGGTGCTGTCACCTGCCCAAGGTCACCAGTGAAGCAGGTCCATTCGACACTGCCTCCTGGTCCCCAGTGCAGCTGGGGCAGGTGACTCGGGGGATCCAAGGCAGATGGAGGGGTCCCCCACCCCCCAAGCCTCCTCCGCACCCCACTCACAGCCAGCCTCTGGCAAGATCCTAATTTACCTCGATTTATTTTAATCCCCAGAAACAGATGCTAGCTGTACACCCCGCCCCTCAGTAAAAGAGGGACCCCCCCCCCAAGTCCAGGCTCCAGGCCCTTCAAGGCCTGGCCTGGATAAACCGTGCCAGGCAGGGGACCCCACAGTGACCTCCTCCCCAAAATTCCAACCTTGGGGTCCCCACAGAAGATGCCAGTGAAACGCCCCCCACCCCATCCTTAAGGTGGAGGACTGGGATGGGGCAGATTAGAGGAGGGGCCAGGTGACACCCCAGCTCCTCCAGCCACCAGGCCTGGATAGGGGTTCACAGTGGAGGAAAAGGGAAGGGGTCCCTCGTCTCGGTCCCCGGTGGTCTGCAGGCCGGAGCTGGGAAGAGGGAATCTGCGGGTGGTCCCCATCTCAGCCACCGCCCAGGGTTCCAGGCTGGAAGGGGAGCGGCGCCCCCATCTTTGCAGCCCCAGAACCCAGACCTAGGCTTAGAATAAAAGAATTTGGGGAGGGGTCTCGCGTCGTCGCCGCCCCCGTGCACGCTCGGTTCTAGGCCAGGAGACGGGGGATTTGGGGAGCGGTCCCCATTTTCGCCTGCGGACCCCCAATTACCACTTGGAGGGGGAAGCCGGGGCGCCCACCGCGTAGCCCCAACCCCCTGCTCTCCATCCCTCGCGTCCCGCCGCGCCTTTGCCCTCCGCAGCCGCCGGGGCTGCAGGGCACGGTGCGCGTGGGAGGCTGCGCGGGCCAGGGTATCCCAGGGGGTTCCGGGGGGCAACACTCACCTCCTGAGCTCGGGCCGAGCCCCGCGCTCGCCGCCACCTGCGGCTTGGTCGCTGACACCGGAGCCCGCCCCGCCCCTCCCTCCGCGGCTGCGGCGCGGCTGCCGGCGGGCTCCGCCCCCGGGGCGTGGCCTAGAAAGTCCCCACCCCCGCGACGGCGCCAGGAGGCAGGGCGGGCTCTGATCCCGCGCGGCCCCCCATTGGGCCATTTAGGCGCCCAGCTCCGCCAGCTCAGCGCGCTGATTGGTCCAGCCGAAGACTAGGCTCCTTTTTATGTTCCCCCCCTTACGCCACCCGCAGTCTATTTGCATAATTTAAAGAGACAGGCGCCACTCTTTCGCCCTGAGACTCAGTGGTAAGGAGTAAGGAGCGACCAACGTTTATTGAGCGAACAGGCAGGGCTCAGTTGATGACCCCCCACAAGCCTGTAACCTGGACATTATTGGTCTTTATTTTACAAATGGGAAATCTGAGGCTCAGAGAGGGCAAGATCTTGCTTGGAGGCCACACAGCAAGTCTGCAGCCGGCCTAGGGCAGCCCCGGGATCCGGCACCTTGCAGAGGAGGTCATCCCCTCATATGCCATATGATAGTTCTTTTTTGGAGTTCGAACTCGATCGCTTGAGGTTAGGAGTTCGAGACCAGCCTGACCAACATGGTGAAACCCTGTCTCTACTAAAAATACAAAAATTAGCTGGGCATGGTGGCAGGCGCCTGTAATCTCAGCTACTTGGGAGGCCGAGGCAGGAGAATCACTTGAATCCGAGAGGCGGAGGTTGCAGTGAGCCGAGATCACATCACTGCACTCCAGCCTGGGCGACAAGAGTGAGACTTCGTCTTAAAAAACAAACAAACAAACAAACAAAAACAAAGAAAAAGAAAATATAAACTTACACAACACCCGCCAGTCCCCCATCCTACCCTCTGCTTAGGGACAGGGCACCCGGCTGATTTTCTTGCCCCTCCACCAGCCTCCCAGGCTCAGTCAGGGCAGCCCAGGAGCACAGACCAGAAGCTTGGGAGGCCCTAAGGATCTTCTCTTCCCTTCATTACCAGCATTTCATCCCGTGGATTCAGTGTCTCTGAAACAGTTCCAAATTGTCCATTTTCCTACACCCCATAGTGGTCCCAGCGAAGACCCAATTGTCTTCAGCCTGGATGCCAACTCGGTTTCTTATTTGTGTTTCTTGTTCCCTCCATCCCAGCCCTAGACAATCCCTATTCTCCAAGGCAACTGTAGTTGTTCTTTCTTTTCTTTCTTTCTTTGTTTAGAGACGAGGTCTTGCTCAGTTGCCCAGGCTGGAGTGCAGTGGTGTGATCATAGCTCACTGCAGCCTCAAACTCCCAGGCTGAAGCGATCCCCCTACCTCAGCCTTCCAAAATGCTGGGACAACAGGCGTGAAGCACTGAAACTGGCCAGTTCCTTTTATTTCCAAATAAACCTTTTATTTTAGAGCAGTTTTAGAATTATTGTGAAGAGAGTACAGAGAGTTCCTGTATACCCAACACCCAGCTTCTCCTATTATTTTTTTCTTTAATTTTTTTTTTTTAATAGAGACAGGGTGTCCCTATGTTGCCCAGGCTGGTATCAAACCCCCGGGCTAAAGCAATCCTCCCACCTCAGCCACCCAAAGTGCTGGGATTAACAGTCATGAGCCACTGTGCCTGGTCTATTATTATTATTATTATTATTATTATTTGAGACAGAGTCTCGCTCTGTCACCCAGGCTGGAGTGCAGTGGCATGATCTTGGCTCACTGCAAGCTCTGCCTCCCAGGTTCACGCCATTCTCAGCCTCCCAAGTAGCTGGGACTACAGGCACCCGCCACCACACCCGGCTAATTTTTTGTATTTTTAGTAGAGACGGGGTTTCACCGTGTTAGCCAGGATGGTCTTGATCTCCTGACCTCATGATCCGCCCACCTCGGCCTCCCAAAGTGTTGGGATTACAGGTGTAAGCCACTGCACCCGGCCTATTATTATTATTATTATTAATTTATTTATTTGGTGAGACGGGGTCTTGCTCTTGTCACCTAGGCTGAAGTGCAGTAGTGCCATCTCAGCTCACTGCAAGCTCTGCCTCCCGGGCTCAAGCAATCCTCCCACCTCAGTGTCCCAAGTAGCCGGGATTACAGGCACGCACCACCACGTCCAGCTAATTTTTGTATTTTTTTGTACAGACGGAGTTTCACCATGTTGCCTAGGCTGGTCTTGAACTCCTGAGCTCACTCCATCCTCCCCGCTCATCCTCCCAAAGTGCTGGGATTATAGGCGTGAGCCACTGTACCTGGCCTGCTTCCCCCGTGATTAACGCCTTCCATTGGTATGTCCATTTGTTACAGTGTCTTTTTCCTTTTTCTTTTTCTTTTTCTTTTTTTTTTTTTTGAGACAGAGTCTCACTGTTGGCCAGGCTGGAGTGCAATGGCACTATCTCGGCTCACTGCAACCTCCGCCTCCCAGGTTCAAGCAATTCTCCTGCCTCAGCCTTCCGAGTAGCTGGGATTACAGGCACCCACCACCACACCCAGCTAATTTTTGTATTTTTAGTAGAAATGGGGTTTCGTCATGTTGGCCAGGCTGGTCTCAAACTCCTGACCTCAGGTGATCTGCCTGCCTCGGCCTTCCAAGGTGCTGGGATTACAGGAGTGGGCCAGTGCGCCCGGCCCGCCTCCCACATGATTATCACCTTCCACTGGTATGGCCATTGGTTGCAATGTCTTTTTTCTGTCCTAGAATCTTACATGACACTTACTCCTCATGTCTCCTTAGGCTGTTCTGGGGTGTGACGGTTTGTCAAACTGTCTTGTTTTCGGGGACAGTTTTGAGGAATGGTGGTCAGGTGTTCTACAGAATGTCCCTCCATTGAGGTTTCTCTGATGTCTTTCTCACAGTTAAATGAGGGTAATGGATTTGGGGAAGGAAGACCACAGAGGTGAAGCACCCATCTCATCACACCATATCAAAGGTACAAACTGTCAACATGACTTACTCTGCTGGTGTTGACCTTGATTTCCTGGCCGAATGGCATCTGTCAGGTTTGGGGGCTTTTTTTAGTTTTTGTTTTGTTTGTTTGTTTTTTGTTTCTTTGTTTTCTTGAGACAGAGTCTCGCTCTGTTGCCAGGCTGGAGTGCAGTTGCGTGATCTCGGCTCACTGCAACAACCTCCGCTTCCCAGGTTCAAGCAATTCTCCTGCCTCAGCCTCCTTAGTAGCTGGGATTACAGGCGCCCACGACCACACCCAGCTAAGTTTTATATTTTTAGCAGAGACGGGGTTTCACCATATTGGCCAGGCTGGTCGTGAACTCATGACCTCAGGTTATCCTCCTGCCTCGGCCTCCCAATGTACTGGGATCACAGGCATAAACCACCACACCCGGCCAATGTGTACTTGTTACTGGGGTGACGTGTCTTGGAGGCCCTGTCTGCAGACAGAGCAGGGAGCTGTATGTGTGTATATATGTATATACACATATCTGTACATATTTTGCTGTAACTATCTATATTGGGTTGAACATGAGCTCAGCCTCCTCCCCTTGCCTGTCTGTGATCTTCTACTTTATCCCTGAGAAACCTGGCTCCCACTGTCAGCCCTCCAAAGTAGGAGGCAGGACTCAACTCCAGAGGTGGGGCTGCGACATTGGACCAAATTGAGGACTAGCTATTATAAAACAGACCCCCAGGGAAGGGGCTTTCCTTAAGACATGCCCACTGGTGTGCCATGTCAGTTTACCATTGCCATGACAACATGCAGAAGTTACCACCCTTTTCCATGGCAACAACCCTGATGACTCAGAAGTTGTCACCCTTTTCCTGGAAGTTTCTGCATACACTGCCCCTTAATTTGCATATATATACATATATATATATATATATATATATATATATTTTTTTTTTTTTTTTTTTTTTTTTTTTTTGAGATGGTATCTTGCTCTGTTGCCCAGGCTGGAGTGCAGTGGCATAATCTCAGCGCACCGCAACCTCTGCCTCCTGGGTTCAAGCGATTCTCCTGTCTCAGCCTCCTGAGTAGCTGGGATTACAGGCGCACACCACCATGCCTGGCTAATTTTTGTATTTTTAGTAGACACGGGGTTTCACCATGTTGGCCAGGCTGGTCTCAAACTCCTGACCTTAGGTGACCCACCCGCCTCAGCCTCTCAAAGCGCTGGGATTACAGACTTGAGCCACCACGCCTGGCCTTCATTTGCATATAATTAAAAGTGGGTATACATATGAGTGCAGCTGTGCCTGTGAGCTACTATTCTGGATGGACTGCCTATGCACAGTGGTCTTGCTCAGCAAGGAACAGCACCTCTGATGCTGCTCTACACGGCCATTTCAGTAAATGCCGCTGTTTAGGGCCAAGCGCGGTGTAATCCCAGCACTTTGGGAGGCTGAAATGGGTGGATCACCTGAGGTCAAGAGTTCGAGACCAGCCTGGCCAACATGGAGAAACCCTGTCTGTACTAAAAATACAGAAATTAGCTGGGCATGGTGGCTCATGCCTATAATCCCAGCTATTCGGGAGGCTGAGGCTGGAGGATTGCTTGAGTCAGGGAGTTGGAGGCTGCAGTGAGCTATCATCACACCACTGCACTCCAGCCTGGGCAACAGCGAGACTCTGTCTCAAAAAAAAAAAAAAAAAAAAAGCCAGACCAGACCTGGCGGTGGGCACCTGTAGTCCCAGCTACTGGAGAGGCTGAGGCACGAGATTTACTTGATACTGGGAGGTGGAGGTTGTAATGAGCCGAGATGGTGCCACTGCACTCCAGTCTGGGTGACAAGGCGAGACCCTGTCTAAAAAAAAAAAAAAAGAAAGAAAGAAAAGGCCAGGCATGGTGGCTCACACCTATAATCCCAGCACTTTGGGAGGCTGAGATGGGCGGATCACCTGAGGTCAGGAGTTCAAGACCATTCTGGCCAATATGATGAAGCCCCATCTCTACTAAGAACAAAAAAATTAGCTGGGTGTGGGGGCAGGCACCTGTAATCCCAGCTACTTGGAAGGATGAGGCAGGAGAATTGCTTGAACCCAGGAGGCAGAGGTTGCAGTGAGCCAAGATCATGCCATCACACTCCAAGAGCTAAACTCCATCTCAGAAAAAAAGAAGAAGAAGAAAATGTTGCTGTTTACCAGCCTGGGCAACATGGCCGAACCCCATCTCTACAAAAAAAAAAAAAAAAAAAAAATACAAAAATTAGGCCAGGTGCGGTGGCTCAAACCTGCAATCCTGGCACTTTGTGAGGCCCAGGTGGGAAGATCACGTGAGCTCAGGAGTTTGAGACCAGCCTGGGCAAAATGGTGAAACCCTGCCTGTGCCAAAAATACAAAAAATTAGCTGGGCTCCATGGCTTGTGCCTGTAGACCCAGCTACTTGGGAGGCTGAGGTGGGAGGATCCCTTGAGCCCAGGAGGCAGAGGGAGCAGTGAGCGGAGATCATGCCACTGCACTCCAGCCTGGGTGACAGAGCAAGACGACCCCATCTCAAAAAAAAAATTAGGTGGGCATGGTGGACTGTGCCTGTGGTCCAAGCTTCTCAGGAGGCTGAGGTGGGAGGACTCCTGGAGGCTGCAATGAGCCAAGATCATGGCACTGCACTCCAACATGGGCATGAGAGTGAGACCCTATCTTAAAAAAAAAAGAAAGGAAAAAAGAAAAAGAAAAGTTGCTGTTTAACACAATTGACTTGCCCTCAAATTCCTTCCTGGGTGAAGCCAAGAACCCTCTCAGACTAAGCCCCAATTTTGAGGCTTGCCTGTCCTATCACCTTCACGTGCTCAGCTGTTCCATTGAAGTGCATGTGTGTAGCAATTCCAGAATGTTTAACTGGGACCCACAGTGGGGTTTCAAACAGAAACTGCTCACCTTTTTCTCCAGCTTGAAACACTCCCCAGACTCCCCAGCACTCTTGGTAAAAACTGCAAACCTGTCTCAGCAGCCCATCATGCTTATGGGGTCCGGCCCTCCCTACATTCCTGTCCTCACCTCTCTCTACCCACCTCAATGCAGGGGGCACAAAAGCCGTTCCACCTCAGGGTGCATCTGACTGGTAACTTTCCTACCTTGAGCTCTTAGTTCCTGTTTGGTCCCCTCCTCCAGGAAGCCCTCCATCTGGCCTCCCAGGCTCCTTTCCCAACTTTAGCTCTTATGGTCCCTTCCTCCAGGAAGCCCTCCATCTGGCCTCCCAGGCTCCTTTCCCACCTTTAGCTCTTGTGGTCCCCTCCTCCAGGAAGCCCTCCTTCTGGCCTCCCAGGCTCCCGTCCCACCTTTAGCTCTTAGTTCCTATGTGGTCCCCTCCTCCAGGAAGTCCTCCTTCTGGCATCCCAGATTTCCTTCCCACCTTTAGCTCTTAGTTCCTATGTGGTCCTCTCCTTCAAGAAGCCCTCCAGCTAGCTTCCCAGGCTCCTGAAAACCCATCTGGTTTTCCTTCCAAGCCAGTGCTGATCCCCCAGGACTGGGATGTTATGTTAGGCATTGCCCCCTCCCCCTCCAGCCTGGGAGCTTCTTGGGGGCCCTGGCCCTGGTACTATCCACACCTGTCAGGTGAGGTCTGAACTGCATCCACACTCCCCCAGACACTCCACTCCCAAGCCTGGGCCAGGGGAAACAGAGCTCAGAGAAAGCAAGCTACTCTTGGAAGTCACACAGCAAACACACGTCAGAGGCAGGACTTGACATGGGTGTGCTGGTACCACAGCTCACACCTGCCCTGGGCCCAGATCCCAAAGGATGCTGTAGGGGGTGGGGAGGACAGGATGACATAGGTCAGGCCTGTCTGGAGTGCCTGGGGCCGAACAGGCCAGGGAAGAAAACTCAGGGGTCCAGTTGCCAAAACAGCCCAAGGCTCCCTGCTCTTCCTGGAGGTTCAGGCCAACTTTCTTATTTCTGAGACTGGGGAAGAGGAGAAGCCCAGAGAGGTTAAGGAACATTCCCGAGGTCACCCAGCAGTGCTGCCAAGCTGGGGCACAACCAACATTTCCCAAGAACCTGGTGTGTGGGTACAGGTACTGGGTCCTGTCCTGGGCAGCGGGCACCCAGAAACAACCAAGATGGAGAGGGTGCAGCTCTCATGGGCTCACAGTTGGGGGAATCAATATAAACATATTGACATATAAACATATAAACAAGTAAGAGTCTGCTAGGGCTATGGATTAAAAGGAAATACAACAGGAAGATGTGCTGGTGGACAGGACGACACTTTATTTATTTATTTATTTATTTATTTATTTATTTATTTATTTATTTTGAGATGAAGTCTCGCTTTTGTCCCCCAGCCTGGAGTGCAATGGTGCGATCTCGGCTCACTGCAACCTCCATCTCCCGAGTTCAAGTGATTCTCCTGCCTCAGTCCCCTGAGTAGCTGGCATTACAAGCGCCCGCCACCACGTCCAGCTAGTTTTTGTATTTTTAGTAGAGACGGGGTTTCACCATGTTGGCCAGGCTGGTCTCAAACTCCTGACCTCAGGTGTTCCCAAAGTGCTAAGATTACAGGCGTTGAGCCGCTGCGCCCGGCCTTATTTATTTATTTTGAGACAGTCTCACTTTGTTGCCCAGGCCATCTCAGCTCACTGCAACCTTCACCTCCCAGGTTCAAGCGATTCTCCTGCCTTATCCTCTCGAGTAGCTGGGATTACAGGCACCCACCACCACGCCCGAATAATTTTTTTTTTTTTTTTTTGAGACGGAGTTTTGCTTTTGTCGCCCAGGCTGGAGTGCAGTGACGCGATCTCGGGTAACTGCAACCTCTGCCTCCCGGGTTCAAGTGATTCTCCTGCCTCAGGCTCCAGAGTAGCTGGGATTACAGGCGTGTGCCACCACGCCCCGCTAACCAGGTTGGTCAGGCTGGTCTCGAACTCCTGACCTCAGGTGAGCCACCCACCTCACCCTCCCAAAGCGCTAGGATGACAGGAGTGAGACACTGCATCCGGCCCTAATTTTTGTATTTTTAGTAGAGACGGGGTGTGACTATGTTGGCCAGGCTGTTCTCAAACTCCCGACTTCTGGTGATCCGCCTGCCTCAGCTTCCCAAAGTGCTGGGATGACAGGCGTAAGCCACCATGCCTGGCCAGGACACTTTTAAGAGAGGGAGTCAGGAAGGGTCCAGGCAGTGGACTAAGAGGTAGCAAGGAGGGCTACCTGGAGGAGGTACCATACCAGGCAGGGCTCCACCACGCCCTGCCCCATCACTGCCTCTCTCTGGGAAGAGCTGACATCTTCCCAGAAATGAGCTCTGGCCACGCCCCACCAGGACCTGGCACCCCCACCCCCACCCCTCTTCCACTGGCGGGCCTCTCCCAAGTCCACTTTAAGCCCGCTTCCCCTGCGTCTCCCCTCCCCCAGGGCCCCATGGGATTTGGTCCCAGCTGCTCAGTGAGGCCTCCAGGCAGCTGCCTCCCACACTCTTCCCCCTTTGCGGGGGCGTCAATGTCACCCTTCTCTCAGTTCCTCCAGCAAACCAGGCCTTTGCCTCTGCCGGTCCCTCCTCCAGGAGCACCCTTCCCCTTCCCTAATAAGGCTCACCCTTTTGCATCCTTGGGAAGCCTCCTTTAACCCCCAAGGCGGCAGCGCTAAAAGGCTTCCTCTGAGCCCTCGGGGTGCGCGTGCCACCTCCCCACACCTCACACCATGGGCTGTTGCTTCTTTGTGTTTCACTCGCCCACCTGACACTGTTTGCCCAGTGGGAGGAACTTCCAACAGTTTTTGTTTTTATTTTGTTTTGAGACAGAATCTTGCTCTGTTGCCCAGGCTGGAGTGCAGTGGTGCGATCTCAGCTTACTGCAACCTCTGCCTCCCAGGTTCAAGCAATTCTTCTGCCACAGAGTAGCTGGGATTACAAGACGTGCACCAGCACACCTGGCTAATTTTTGTATTTTTAGTAGAGATGGGGTTTCTCCATGTTGGCCAGGCTGATCTTGAACTCCTGACCTCAAGTGATGCGTCTGCCTCGGCCTCCCAAAGTGCTGGGATTACAGGCATGAGCCACTGCACCTGGCCTAAAAAGCTTTTTTGAGAGTCAACTGGCAAGGAGACAGTAGGCGAAGTTCAAATCTGTCTCTTCAAGCTGGAGCTTGGGGGCAGGTTTCATAGGCAGAGGGTTATCATGGGAGAGATACGGAAATGCAATGGGGGTGATATGACTGCATCACGTGCAGGGGCGATGATGTGTTTTTGGTGCTCAAGTCCACACTGCAGTAAACAAGGCACCGCCCTCCCCCTTTTATTTTTTGAGACAGGGTCTTGCTCTGTTGCCCAGGCTAGAGTGCAATGGCGAAATCACAGCTATCTGTAGCCTCAACCTCCGGAAGCTCAAGTGATCTTCCCACCCCAGCCTCCCAAGTAGCTGGGACTACAGGCGTATGTTACAACACACAGCTAATTTTTGTATCTTTTGTAGACGGGGTCTCACTATGTTGCCCAGGCTAGTCTCCAATTCCTGGGCATGAGACACCACACCCAGCTTTCTCTTTTTAATTTGGTCCCCATTCCTTTTTTTTTTTTTGAGATGGAGCCTCGCTCTGTCACCCAGGCTGGATCTCAGTGACGGTGGGATCTCAGCTCACTGCAATCTCTACTTCCTGGGTTCAAGCAACTCTCCCTGCCTCAGCCTCCTGAGTAGCTGGGATTACAGGTGCGCACCACCATGCCCCGTTAGTTTCTTTTGTATTTTTAGTAGAGACGGTTTCACCATGTTGGCCAGGCTCGAACTCCTGACCTCAGGTGATCCGTCTGCCTGGGCCTCCCAAAGTGCTGGGATTACAGGCATGAGTCACCACGCCCAGCATAGTCCCCATTCCTTGATCCGAGTACTTGGGTTCTACCTGTAGTTGACTTTTTCATTCCACCCAAGGGTTATGAATTGGGCATGCTTTGTTCATCTGTTAATGCTCCAGCGATATGTGACTTGCACCCTGGGGGTCCATTGCACTGAAAAACGACTCATCATTTTGTTACATTTTGTTACTAACAAAGCTGAACCAGATTGGACTGGTTCTATGTTTATACCACACCCATTTGTTGTAGTCTGTTCAGCCTACAACAAAGGAATTCAGTGGTCTGGACAGACTATATGGCTTACAATACCAACAAAGTTTATTCTTTGGCTTTTTTTTTTTTTTTTTTTTTTTTTCAGAGTCTTGCTCTGTCGCCCAGGTTGGAATGCAGTGGCACGATCGCCTCACTGCAACGTCCTTCCTCCCAGGTTTAAGTGATTCTCCTGCCTCAGCCTCCTCCTGAGTAGCTGGGATTACAGGCATGTGCCACCATGCCTGGCTAATTTTTGTATTTTTAGTGGAGATGGGGTTTCACTACATTGCCCAAGTTGGGGGTCTCGAAATCCTGACCTCAAGTGATCTGCCCACCTCAGCCTCCCAAAGTGCTGGGATTACAGGCATGAACCACCGTGCCCAGCCACCTTTTGCCTTTTAACTAGAGATTTCTGTCCATTTACAACATTTGTTGAAATGACTGGCAAGTTCTATGTACTCTCCTCATCTTAATAGAGACAGAAACACCATCTCTACTAAAATTACAAAAAAAAAGTTAGCTGGGCGTGGTGGCAGGCGCCTGTAGTCCCAGCTACTCGGGAGGCTGAGGCAGGAGAATGGCGTGAACCCGGGAGGCAGAGCTTGCAGTGAGCCAAGATCGCGCCACTGCACTCCAGCCTGGGTGACAGAGCAAGACTCCGTTTTAAAAAAAAAGTTGCAGTTTGGCCAGGTGCAGTGGCTCATGCCTGTAATTCCAGCACTTTGGGAGGCTGAGGTGGGAGGATCACTTGAAGCTAGAAGTTCCAGGCTGCAGTGACTGTGATCCCACCCACTGCACTCCAGCCTGGGCAACGAGAGACCATCAAAAAAATATATATATCTCTACAGCAAAATCATGCCTAAACAAAATGGAAAAGTACATTTGGAAAACATTTACCACATAAGTTTATTATCCCTAATTTAAAAAAGAAAATTGTGTAGGAATGAGAAAAAGACAAATACCCAATGAGAAAAATATCAAACCAGCTAATTAGAAAAAGGCCTGTAAGCCAGGCACAGTGGCTCACGCCTGTAAATCCCAGCACTTTGGGAGGCCGAAGTAGGATCGCTTGAGCCCAGGAGTTCATGATCAGCCTGGGCAACATAGTGAGATCTCATCTCTACAAATAATAAAAGAAATTAGGCGGGTGTGGTGACGCACACCTGTGGTCCTACTTACTTGGGAGGCCAAGGTCGGAGGATCACTTGAGTCTGGGAGGTCGAGGCTGCAATGAGACATGATCATGCCACTGCCCTCCAGCCTGGGCAACAGTGAGGCCCTGTCTCAAAAGAAAAAAAAAGGGCTGGGCCCAGTGGCTCATGCCTGTAATCCTAGCACTTTGGGAGGCCAAAGTGGGTGGATCACCTGAGGTTAGGAGTTCAAGACCAGCCTGGCCAACATGGCAAAACCCCGGCTCTACCAAAAATACAAAAAATTAGCCAGGCAGTCCCAGCTACTCAGGAGGCTGAGGTGGGAGGATCACTTAAGCCCAGGAGGCAGAGGTTGCAGTGAGCCGACATTGTGCCACTGCAGTCATCTAGGTGACTGAGCGAGACCCTGTCTCAAGAGAAAGAAGGAAAAAGGCCTGGGCTGGGCACGGTGGCTCATGCCTGGAATCCCAGTACTTTGGGAGGCTGAAGTGGGTGGATCACTTGAGGCCGGGAGTTTGAGACCAGCTTGGTCAACATGGCAAAACCCCATTTCTACTAAAAATACAAAAATTAGCCGGGCATGGTGGAACATGCCGGTAATCCCAGCTACTCGGGAGCCTGAGGCACGAGAATTGCTTGAACCTCGGAGCCTGAGGTTGCTGTGAGCTGAGATTGCACCATTGCACTCCAGCCTGGACAAGAGAGAGAAACTGTCTCAAAAAAAAAAAAAAAAGAAAGAGCCCATAAATAGAAAGAAACCTCCCTGATAACGGGACAATTGAAATAAGAACAAGTAGGCAGCAGGGGTCACTAGACAGTTTGGCCAAAACAAGAAACCCAGGGGAATCATCCTCATGTATAAATGGTGACCCCAGAAGAGGTCCATCCTTACCCTGGCAACGGAGAAAAGGCCATAACTTGAGTGCCAGCTGATGGGGAACTGGGCAGGGCTGGCTTTGCACTGCTGTGTCAACTCGCCTAGGCTGGGGCCTTTCTCCCAGGACTCCCATCCCTGTTAAGTTTCCGCTGCAGAGGTGTGGAGGGTGGGTAGGTGGAAGTGGGAGGTGGCTGGCTGAGCTTAGCGATCTTGGCATTGCTAGCAGGCATTGGACAGGAGGTGGCAGGCACAGGCATGGCTCCTCTGCTCCACCTGCCCTTCCTGATCACCTACCCTGTGACCGTAAGACCCTGTGAAGGGCCAGGCATATGGTGGCTCACACCTGTAATCCAGCACTTCGGGAGACCGAGGCGGGTGGATCATCTGAGGTCAGGAGTTCGAGACCAGCCTGGCCAACCTGGTGAAACCCCGTCTCTACTAAAAATACAAAAATTAGCCGGGCGTGGTGGCGTGTGCCTGTAATCCCAGCTACTAGAGAGGCTGAGGCACAAGAATCGCTTGAATCTAGGAGGCGGGGGTTGCAGTGAGCCAAGATCGCCCCACTGCACTCCAGCGTGGGTGACAGAGCAAGACTCCATCTCAAAAAATAATAAAACTGTATCTGCAAAGATCCTTTTTCAAAATAACATCACATTCACAGGTGTCAGGGGTCAGGTGTTGAATGTGTTTTGGGGGCTGGCTGCCATTCAACCCAGTACAGATGACATTGTATCTAATAGTAAACCTAAGTGCTTGTATTTCTGCAGAGAGGGGTCAGGGTGCATTAGTCAGAAGTGGATATTCTGTAATCTCTGGGTTTCAGATTCCTCTGTAAATCCTTCCTGCAGAGTAAGACTTTCTGGAATAAGCATCCATCTCCTCTAGGGACAGCAGGATAGCTTTTGTTTGATGGCTTTGGAGCAGAGACAGGTATTCAATCTCCCCCTGCCACCAACTGGTTTGTGTGACAGATAGTCAGGTAGCTACTTCGCGCCTATAACTTGGGCCCCTCACAGTTGCTGAGTCGGGATGGAGGCCATAGTCAGGAGCTCCACCGGTCAGTGGTCATTAACTCTGAGAGGCACTTCCTTCCCCAAACCAGGCCCAGCGAAGCCTGCATTTCTCCCATCTGCGACATGGAGGCCAGAGTGGGCCTGACCGCAGGGTCACTGGGGATTCCATGGAAGCTGTCCCCACCCGCAGGACCAGGAGGTACATGCCAAGTCTCCCATCACAGAAAGAAGAGAGGCCACAGCCAAGTGTAGTCACAGTTTATTTCTGATGTGGCTGAATCTAGGGACAGGCGGGCTGGGCTGAGTGGGGGGCGTGTCGGCGATGGGGCTAGAACTCCACCTTGCAGGCCGGGAAGGCGTCATCCTGCATGGACACCATGCTGTTGCTGCCCAACACCGTGATGCCCAGCGCCTGGTGCCGGGCGTGCGTCTCTGCGTACCACGTATGCATGGCCACCGAGTCGAAAGTGGGGATCAGGGTCACCTGCAGGTGGAGGGGGGGTGTGTGGGGAGAGTGGACCACCAGTGAGGGGGGTGCCCCCTGCCCTTCTGGCCTGGGCCCAAGTCGCCTTCCTTTCCTGGCATTTGAGACCCCTCCTGGCTTTTCCCTGATCTTGTGTGCTCCACCTTGAGGTCTGCAATGGGTGGTCAGCCCGTCTGTGAGGTCCCTGTTCCTCCCAACCAGCACCCAAAGAGCCTTCTCAGCACACAGGAGACGGAGCTCCTCCTCTGCAAGGCCTTCCTTGGCCTGAGACCCCTCTCTACTCACTTGGATCTCCCCCTGCTCCTTGAACACACCAACCTCTTTCCTACCTCTGGGCCTTTTCCTGGGTCGTGCACCCTACAGGGACACTCCTTTGAAGCCAGCCTAGCAGCTATGAGAGGGCAGGGGCCGCGGTGTGAGGCGGTCCTCCCTCTGCCCACATGCACCTCGCCCTGCAGGGCTTGGTTTCAGTCTCTCAGCTTCATGCAGCCATGGGGGAGGGTTCTCAGCCGCACAGATACCACCCAGCCCACCTATTCCATCCCGACTAATTCTCACAGCGGAACAATGGCTAAGTGACAAGGTGTCTGGGGAAGGGATAGAACCATGAGGCTTCACGAGGCCCTGCGTCCTCCCCCAGGCTTCCAGCACAGCCAATGACAACAGTGACACGACAGAATCAGAGTCCGAAGAGACCCCTAAGGGCTGAGCCATGTGAGACTCCCACATTCGCCCCCATTCCCGTGTGGCCTGGGGAACACAGCTTAGTCTCTGAGGGTCGAGGGTGGTTTTACCCATCTGTGCTAACTACACTTACCACCAGAGGCCCTGGGGTGACACGCACCTGCAGGTCACGGTCCCAATGCTGCTTGCTGGCCAGTAGCGCGTCCAGGACGGCCCGCATGCCTTCCTCCTTGCGCTGGTCCTGGCCACTGATGACGTAGCAGAGCGCGCGCACGCGCTGGAAGAACTCCTCATCCACCAGGTGGGCGCTGCTCCCGCTGGGCAGGTAGGCCAGGTCCAGGTAGACCGGGGACTTGGGTGGGGTGGCTGACACCCCGGGCCGGCTGCTGGCTGACCCTGCGGGCGGGGGGATGGGGAGGCAGGGATGAGCTCCTGGGGCTGGGGAGGGGCCGAGGCTCCAAGTTCGACCTGCACCACTCAGAGCAGCTCCCTCCTCAGCAGGAGGCCTGAACTCAGAGTTTTCTGGGGAGGCCTGGTGCGCTCATGACTCCAGTGAATCTTATTTTAAGAAATGGGGTCTCGCTATGCTGCCCAGGCTCGTCACAAACTCCTGGGCTCAAGTGATCCTCCTGCCTCAGCCTTCCAAGTAGATGGGACTACAGGTGCATGTCACCACGCCTTGACTCCAGTGACTCTTCACTCACTCTACAAACACCACCGGCCACCCCTTTGTGCCTAGAGCCTGACTCATCCCCAGCCAGTCCCTGGACATAGACATCCCCAGGGCTGGGGGGCGAGTGGGTGGCAATCAGGGAATGCTTCCTGGAAGAGGGTTTAAGAGTTTGAGCCCTGAAAGCAGCCAGTGCCTGGACCATCTGCTGCTTCTGCAGCATTTGTCTGGTTCACTTGCTCAAGGGGCATTTAACAGAACCTCATGGGCACCAGGCCCTGAAACAGGGCTGTGACCAAGACAGACAGAATCCCTGCCCCAAGGGTGATGGGGAGCCAGGGTGGGTGGACAGAGCCTTGAGAGGCGGGCCCAAGATCACTGCGGGATGCTGGATGCGGATGAGACAGCAGCTCTGGGGGCCTTGTCCAAACCCTGACCTTAGGGCCAAAGGGGACAAGGCCACCAGCCCTGGGCAAGTGAATGATCAATGAAATGAAAGGATACGGCTGGGTCTCGGGCACAAGAAGCCTGCCAGACCCTGCATCTTACAATCACAGCTGCTGCCCAGCTCAGGGGGTAAGAGTACTACCCCGTCTGTATACCAACAAATGCATACCCTCAGCCGAAATGGACACATTCCTAGAAACACAAAAACTACCAAGACACAATCACAAAAATAGAAAATCAGCACATACCTGTAGCTAGCAAGGAGAATGAATCAGTAACTTACGACCTCCCAACAAAGAAAAGCCCTGGGGAAGCCACTAAACATTTAGAGAACTAACATCAGCCTTTCTCAAACTTTTCCGAGGAACTGAAGAGGAAGGAACACTTCCTAACTCATTTTATAAGACCAGAATTGTCTTAATACCAAAGCCAGGCACAGATATTTAATTCTACAAGAAAATGCCAGTTCAACAGACTTTATGAACAATAATGTAAAAAATCAGGCCTGGGGGTGCAGTGGCTCACGCCTGTAATCCCAGCACTTTGGGAGGCTGAGGCAGGCAGATCACTTGAGGTCAGGAGTTCAAGACCAGCCTAGCCAACATGGCGAAACCCTGTCTCTTACTAAAAATACAAAAATTAGCTGGGCGTGGTGGCAGGTGCCTGTAATCCCAGCTACTCGGGAGGCAGAGGCAGGAGAACTGCTTGAACCCAGGAAGTGGAGGTTGCAGTGAGCTGAGATTGTGCCACTGCACTCCAGCCTGGGCGACAGAGTGAGACTCCATCTCAAAAAATAATAATAAACGAATTCAGCAAAGAAGCAAGGTACAAAGTCCACAGGCAAAACACAGTTGAATTTCTATACATGAACAATGAACAATGTGAAAAGGAGATTAAACAATCATGAAATAGAAGAATCAAGATAGAGGACTCACACTTCCAGATTTCAAAACTTACTACAAAGCTACAGTAATCAAAACAGCGTGGCACTGGCATAAAGACAGACATATAGACCAATGGAATACAATAGAGGCCCGGAAATAAATCATCACATGTATGCTGAAATGATCTTCAACAAGCGTTCCAAACATTCAATGGGGAAAGGATAGTCTTTTCAACAAATGGTGCTGGGAAAGCTGGGCTTCCACATGCAAGAGAATGACACTGGATCTTTTCACCACATACAAAAATTACCTCCAAATGGACCTAAATGTGAAATGGAAAACTTAAAACTCCTGGAAGAAAACATGGGGTAGAAGCTTCTCACTGTTGGATTTGACCAGGCATGGTGACTCACATCTATAATCTTAGTACTCTGGGAGGCCGAGGCGGGCAGATCACTTGAGGTCAGGAGTTTGAAACCAGCCTGGCCAACGTGGTGAAACCCCGTGTCTACTAAAAACACAAAAAAAATTAGCCAGGTGTGGTGGTGGGTGCCTGTAATCGCAGCTACTCAGGAAGGCTGAGGCAGGAGAATCGCTTGAACCCGGGAGGCGGAGGTTGCAGTGAGCCAAGATAGTGCTCCCATGCTGCAGCCTGGGCAACAGAGCCAGACTCATCTGAAAAAAAAAAAAAAGAAAAAGAAAAAAGAAAAAAAATCGATGTGGCAATCATTTATTGGGTCTGACATCAAAAGTGCAGACAACAAAAGAAAAAAATAGACAAAATGGACTTCATGAGAATTTAAAACTTTTGTGCATCAAAGGGCACTATCAAAAGAATAAAAAGGCAGCTCACAGAATGGGAGGAAATATTTGCAAGCCATTTATCTGCTAAAGGATTAATGTCCAGAATGATTTAAAAAACTCCTAAAACTCAGCAACGGAAAACAACTCAATTTAAAAATGGGCAAAGGGGGCTAGGTATGGTGGCTCATGCCTGTAATCCCAACAGTTTGGGAGGCCAAGGCGAGAGAATCGCTTGAGGCTGGGAGTTCAAGATCAGCCTGGGCAACATAGTGAGACTCCATCTCTACAAAACATTAAACAATTGGCCAGGCACGATGGCATGCACCTGTGTAGTCCCAGCTACTTGGGAGGCTGAGCTGGGAGGATCACTTGAGCCCAGGAAGTTGAGGCTATAATGAGCTGTGTTTGCACTACACTCCAGCATGGGTAACAGACCGAGACCCTGTCTCTAAAAAGTAAAACAAAATTTTAAAATGAGCAAAGGAATTGAATAGACATTTCTCCAAAGAAGACAGACAAATGGCCAATAGGCATATGAAAAGATGCAACATCACTAATCATTAGGGACATGGAAATCAAAACCACAATGAGATCCCACCTCACACCCATTAGACTGGCTAGCGTCAAGCAGCTGCTGTGGAAAACAGTCTGGCGGTTCATCCAAAATTAAACGTTGAGTCGGGCGTGGTGGCTTATGCCTATAATCCCAGCACTTTGGGAGGCCGAGGCCAAAGGATCACTTGAGTTCAGGAGTTCAAGACCAGCCAGGGCAACATAGTGAGACCCCAGTGCTACTGAAAAATTTTAAAATTAGCTGGGCGTAGGCTGGGCACAGTGGCTCACGTCTGTAATCCCAGTACTTTGGGAGGCCGAGGCGGGCAGATCACGAGGCCAGGAGTTCGAGACCGGCCTGACCAGCATGGTGAAACCCCATCTCTACTAAAAATACAAAAATTAGCTGGGCATGGTTGCGCATGCCTGTAATCTCAGCTACTTGGGAGGCTGAGGTAGGAGAATCGCTTGACCCCGGGAGGTAGAGGTTGCAGTGAGCTCAGATCGCACCACTGCACTCCAGCCTGGTGACAGAGCAAGACTCCATCTCAAAAAAAAATTAGCTGGCCGTTATGGTGCGTGTCTGTGGTCCCACCTGTTCGGGAGGTTGAGGTGGGAGGGTTGCTTGAACCCAGGAGGTCGAGGCTGCAGTGAGCCATGTTTGCGCCACTGCACTCCAGCCTGGATGACAGAGTGAGACTCTGTCTCAGAAAAAAAACAAAGAACAGCACAGCAGGCCAGAGACCCTCCTCTCAGCAAGGCCTGCTTAAAATGTGAGCCTTTGGCTGGTCTCTGGGAATTTGGATCTTAGGCAGAGGGTTCCCACCATTCCCTGTCTGAGAGGGGCTCCCTGTGCCTGGACTGGACCACACACCTGATTTCTCCTTTTTGGGGAGTCTAGAGTGTGGGTGCCAGGCAGAAGATGCCTATGTAATGGCCCAATAGGAAACCTGGGCATGCTGTGTCTAATGAGCTTCCATGAGGGACACACTGTTACAACTTGCTACTGGAGAAATGAAGCCTGTGGTGTGCAGCCCCACTGGGAGAGGATTCTGGAAGCTTCTGCCTGGTTTCCTTTGGACTTCACCCTATGTGCCTTTTCTCTTTGCTGATTTTGCTCTGCTATGAGTGCAACCATAGGCCGGGTCCTCCTAACCAATCAGTTACATAAAATACGCTATTTAAATTTTCAACTGTTTCA
This sequence comes from Homo sapiens, assembly GCF_000001405.40. Lineage (NCBI taxonomy): Eukaryota > Metazoa > Chordata > Mammalia > Primates > Hominidae > Homo > Homo sapiens. The sequence goes on along the minus strand of NC_000019.10, from coordinate 17,729,030 downwards.
TTTTACTTATTGTGGCTTCTAGAAACCCACAGTTGGCATACGTGCTCACCTGTCCAGGCACCTCAGAATGGCAAGTGCTTCAACACTGAGGTCAGTTTCCATTTCACAGGAGAAACTGAGCCCCGGAGAGGTGGGCACGGCTGAGGTCACGAAGTAATTACGAACAGGAGGACTTGGCTGGGTGCAGTGGCTCATGCCTGTAATCCCAGCACTTTGGGAGGCCAAGGTGGGCAGATCACCTGAGGTCCGGAGTTCGAGACCAGCCTGGCCAACATGGTGAAACCCCAACTCTACTAAAAATACAAAAATTAGCCAGGCGTGGTGGCAGGCACCTGTAATCCCACCTACTCGGGAGGCTGAGACAGGAGAATTGTTTGAACCCGGGAGTCAGAGGTTGCAGTCAGCCAAGATCGTGCCATTGCATTCTTGCCTGGGCAACAAGAACGAAATTCTGTCTCAAAAAAAAAAAAAAGAACAGAACTGGCAGGGCACCGTGGCTCACGCCAGTCATCCCAACACTTTGGGAGGCTGAGGTGGGCACACAGCTTGAGGCCAGGAGTTTGAAATCAGCCCAGGCAACATAGTAAGACCCTATCTCTACCAAAAACTTTAAAATTAGGCAGGGGTAGTGGCGGTGCCAGTAGTCCCAGCTACTGGAGAGGCTGAGGTGGGAGGGTGGCTTGAGCCCCATTGTTCAAGGCTGCAATGAGCTGTGACCACACCACTGCACTCCAGCTCAGAGACAGAGTGAGACCATCTCTTTTAAAAAAACTGAAAATGTAAAAACAGGGGGACGAGCTATGCTCTCCAGCCTAAGCAGCTGCTAACCCAGCCCAGGGCCCCAGCTCCAGTACTCACCCGACGGGCCTCGAGTGGCAGTCTTGGGGGTTGAGGACTTTCTGGACAGGGGTGCCCGGCCTCCCTTCTCACTGGGCTCACTCCGGGCACTGAGTGGTCGGCTGGCACGGTCCCCACCAGCAAGCCCCTTGGTTTTGGCAGCAGCCACTGGAGTGGCTTTGGGGGCGGCAGCGCGTGAGTTGGGGCGGGCCAGGGGCTTCCGGGTGCGGCTGACGTTCTCCGTTTGCCGTGCTGTCTTGGGGGGCAGCATCTCGGGGTCCACCATGCAGATGCTGGATGGGTCAGGCAGTGGTGGGGGGACCTTGAGGGGGTCAGGCAAAGGGTCGTGGCGAGGGACTCCAAAGCCCTCTGTGTCTTCGTCTGAGTCTGCCGCACCGGGGGCCAGGGGCACGGGATCCGAGTCAGACAGGGTGGGCAGGGACTCGCTGACCGATGTGGGTGGCGTCTCCTCGGCCCCCAGCCCACCTGCCCGTTCCTGTGACCGGGCACTGCTGTCATTCGAGCTGCCGGGGGACGCAGGTGCCGGTGCCATTGGCACCGCCTTGCGATGCTCAAATTCACAGGGTGACACCAGGCACAGGTCCACATCGTGTGGGGAAGCCGAGCGCCGCGCCCGGGGGCCACGCAGCGGGAGGCTCAGCCCAGCCTCACTGGTGGGGGCGGATGGCGGCAGCACCTGCTCAAAGGACACCGACAGGGACTCGTCCACCTCGGTCGAGTGCGGGGAGCCCACCTCTGCGGGTAGTGAGGGCGTGGTCACCGTGGGTGTGGTCACTGTGGGTGAGGCGTCTGGCCCGGCCTCCCCGCCCCGCAGTGGGCTCAGCGACAGCCGCTCGCTGCCCTCTGCGGGGCTCCGGTGGGACTCAGGGGAGGGTGTGCGTGGCCTTGGGATTGAGCTGGCGGCCAAAGGCAGCTCCAGTGCCTTCTCCTCCCCGGCTGGGATCGGCCCCAGCTCCAGGCTGGGCGTGGCCACCAGCTGGGAGGCCGGAGAGCCGCAGGCTGCACTGGGGGGGCTGGCTTCTCCACATCGGAGGCTGGGCGGGCTGCGGGGTCCATTTGCCACCGGCGGGAAGCCAGAGTGGGACGTGCTGGGCGCTTTGCGGGGCTTGGGTGCCGCCTGGGCATTCGTCTTCTTGAGGTTGGGCACAGAAGAGGCTGCCCGGCGCACCTCCCGCGGCTGGGTCCGGGAGACACTCGGTTTGGGGTCTTTCTTCAACTCCCGGGGGGTCTTGGCTTCTTTCTCAGTCTTGCGTGGGGCCTCAGCCCGTGCTGGCTCCTTGCGGGCCACCCCAGGGCGCTCCTGGCCAGGTCTAGGGTGGGTGGCCAGGAGGCCCTCTCTCTTCGAGCTGTCCCGGGAGCCCACGCTCTCTTTGCTCTCGGCTCGCCCCGGCCCCTCCAGGTCCTGGGGCGTCACCACGGGCTCTCGCAGGAACCTCAAGTGCTGCAGGCGGACCAGGCCGTCCAGGAGGCAGGCGGGCGGGGTGCAACCGGGGAACAGCACGCGCACCACCTTCTCGCCGGGGCCGGCGGGGTGCCACACCAGCAGGGCGCACACAGAGGCCAGCGTGCGCTCGGCGCCGGCGGAGGGCGGGTGCAGCACATACATGTCCAGCCGGCCCACGCCCATCTTCTCGAAGAGCACGGTGGGTTTGGCTGGCACGGGGCCGCGGCTGAGTGGCAGAGGCGTGATGCCCAGCTGCGCCAGGAGGCTCAGCGCCAGCTCCGCCTCATCCTCGCCGCGCGCCAGCCGCGACGCGGCCTCGCAGGCGTTGAAGAACACGACCCCCAGGTTGGGGGAGATGAGCCTGCGCAGCCTGTCGTCCCAGGAGCCCCCACCAGCAGCCACCTCGGAGCGCTCCGCCAGTTTGCGCCGCAGCAGGCTGTTGAGGCCGGGGAGGCTGTCGGCGCCAGGGTGGGTCACCAGCACGGCATCCACGCGGTCCAGGTGCCGCACCAGCTTCCAGAAACTGGACTTGGGGTTTGAGCCACCGTTGACCAGCACAGTGAAGCCATTGACGGCGAAGAAGGCGGCATCCCCGAGGCCTCCAGGGAAGATGTAGCAGCAGGGCCGGCCCAGCCTGAGGAAGCCCCCGGAGGTCGGGGGCTCCAGCAGCTCGAAGGGGGACGGTGGCTCCAGAGACTCAGCCACGTACTCCAGGAATTCGCACAGGCCCTCAGAGTTGGGCAGCTGCGCCGGGGGGTTCAGCCGCAGCTGGAGCCGGAGCGCCCCCTGAAGGCCAGGCACAGCGGGTGCCAGCTGAGCCCAGTCACCGAAGGTGGGGCAGGTGATGGTGAGTATGGGCGGCTGCACAGGTGGGGGCGTGGTGGCCAGGATGTCCCGGATCTGTATGGAGGAGGAGTGGTAAGGGACCACCTAGAGCCAGGCAACACCTAGCCCGGTGGGAAAACTGGGCGAGGACACCCTCATCCTTTCCCCCAGGGCCTGCTCCTCAGGGCCCTCCCGCCAAAACCCAACCCTCTCCAGCGCCACAAGGCTCTTTGATCTGGCCTCACCTCCTGTCTCTCCCTCCCCTTCAAATGCCTCCCTGCCCCAGGGCCTTTACACTCACCATTCTCTCCTCCCAGGGCACAGCTCCCTCCAAGGAGACTCTCCACGCCCCACCTGTCTACTGAACCTTTTCTCACCATTTTTAAGTGCCCCACTACAATGTGAAAGTGAGGTTTGCCATTTTGCCCATGTGTCCTACCCAGACTGCGGGCACCAGGAAGGACCCATTTGGCTCCATCCCTCATCAGGACTTTGGGACATCTGCTGACCTACAAACTCAGCTCACACCACACCCTTTCGCGGGCAATGGGACTGACCCCAGACAGCCAGGAGGCATGTGTCACCACTGCCATCCTACAGAGGATGGGGAGACCAGGCCATGGAAAACAGCAGGTCGCTGGTGCCACACAGCCTGATACACCCCAGTCAGGATTCAGAGCTGGGGAAGCAGGGGATGGCAAAGGGGTGGCTTACCTCTCTGTCCTTCAGGACCTGGAGGAAGTGGTGAGGCGAGAAGCCCCCTGTCTGTAGCAGCAGCTCCCCCGTCTCCTCCAGGCAGGGCCCAGCCAACACCAGTAGCTTGTGAGAGGCAGGGTCCAACAGAAGGTTCCGGAGCTGAGGGAGGGGGTGAACACTAAAGGACCCGTTCTGTGCAGTGACGTATCCAGCAGTCCTCTTTGGGGTAGCCTCGAGTCGATACATAACCACCCCTCTCCTGTCCTCACCCCACGACCAGCCCAGTGCTCAACTAGCTACGAAGGCAGTCTCCAGGTCTCCTGCTGGGCCCTGGAGCAACCCTAGCAAACTCCTATTCATCCTACAAAGCCCAGCTCTGATGTCCCTTCCTCCTGAAGGCACTACTTGCCCTTTCTGGGCTCTCTCTAGTCCACCTCTCCCTCCAGCCCAGCCCTGATGCCACAGGGCTGGGGGTGTCTGTGTCTCACTCTGTCTCTTAAAGACTGAGAGCCCCTCAAGGGAACAAAAGGGAAAAGTTGATCCAAGGAATCAACCTGTAAGAAGGTCTGTAGTGGGATGCCCCAGGGCTCTGTCTGGTTCATCTTCCGGATGTATAATTGGTAGAGTACAGATGGCCACAAGCTGGTTAATGTTAGTGAGTCGATTCAGACAACTCCTGGGGCCTAGCCGGAGGGAACCCACAGGAGGAAAACCTGTCTGCTCTGGCCTTCCCACCTCCAGACCCACGCTGTCCTGGGCCCTGAGCTGGGAGTGCTTACCCTCCCCTCCCTCCCAAAGTCCAGGCTTTTCTGCTCCCACCCCAGAGGAGGGAAGAAGCGGAGGCTGAAGCCACAGGGAAGGCTTCGTGGGCGAAGAAGTGTGGTGCCGGGTGTCTTGAGAGGATCTGGGGCAGCATGAAGACAAGGACACGAGACAGGAAGACAGAGAAGGCACGGGTCCCAGCAGCCCGCCCCCTCCAGGACGTCAGCCATTCCCTACCTCATCATACAGGGACTTGTCTGATGGGTTCAGGAGGACCAGGGTCTCCAGGTTGTCTCCACGGTGGTGCAGGCTCCGCTGGCCTGTGGGGGAATCAGGCCGTCCCGGAGTCAAATCCTGCCTCCCCGTGTGACCCTCAGGGAACATGAACCCCTCTGGGAACCCACCCAGGGATCATATGGAGATTAACAGGCGCACGGCAGAGCTGCAGGTCAGGACCAGGCAAGAAAGAGAAACTCAAACCACCCCAGCTGGCCTAAGAGAGGCAGTAACCAGAGGGCCCCATCGTGCGCAGGGCCTGGTTTGCAGCTGTCACCCCTGGGAGTGATGCCACCATTTTCTTCTTTTTTTTGTGAGACGGAGTCTCGCTCTGTCGCCCAGGCTGGAGGGCAGTGGTGCAATCTCTGCTCACTGCAAGCTCCGCTCCTCCTCCCGGGTTCACGCCATTCTCCTGCCTCAGCCTCCCGAGTAGCCAGGACTACAGGTGCCCGCCACCACACCCGGCTAAGTTTTTGTATTTTTAGTAGAGACAGGGTTTCACCGTGTAAGCCAGGATAGTCTCCATATCCTGACCTCGTGATCCGCCTGCCTCGGCCTCCCAAAGTGCTGGGATTACAGGCGTGAGCCACCGCGCCCGGCCTTTTTCTTTTCTTTTTTTTTGAGACGGAGTTTTGCTCTTGTTGCCCAGGCTGGCGTGCAACAGTGCAACCTGGGCTCACTGCAACCTCCGCCTCCTGGGTTCAAGCAATTCTCCTGCCTCAGCCTCCCGAGTAGCTGGGATTACAGGCACACGCCACCACGCCCCATTAATTTTTTCAATTTTTAGTAGAGACGGGGTTTTAACATGTGGGTCAGGCTGGTCTCAAACTCCTGACCTCAGGTGATCCGCCTGCCTCGGCCTCCCAAAGTGCTGGGATTACAGACTTGACCCACTGCACCCATCCGGCCACATTTATTTTTCAGACAGAGAGCCAGAGCTCGAGGAGGGCCAATGAGGGCGAACGTGGACGAGGGTACATCCGGAGCAAAGGTCCTGAGGCAGGACTCAGCTAGGGGTGGGGCAGCATAAGGGCCGGGGCTGAAGTAGGGCTGTTTCTGGGATCCTGACCCTGCTCTGTCCCCCAGGGCCCGTATGTGTTTTAAACATCAGTACTGTGAGAGGGGGGTGGCAAGGAGCCAGAGCCGGGGTGGGGGCCGGTGAGGGCCAACCCGGACCAGGGTACAGCACCAGCCAAGGCCCCTGAGGCAGGACTGAACTGTGAACAAGGCTGAGTCTTGAGAGGCAGAGACCCTCCAGTGTTGCCAGCCCTTATCACATTTAACTTTCTTTCCTTTCTTTCCTTCTTTTCCCTTTCTCTCTCTCTCGCCCTTATCACATTTAGCTTTCTCTTTCCTTTCTCTCTCTCTCTCCCTCCCTCTCCCCCTCCCTCCCTCCCTCCCTCTCTCTCTCTCTCTTTTTTGAGATGGAATCTCCCTCTATTGCCCAGGCTGAAGTGTAGTGGCACGATCTCAGCTCACTGCAACCTCTGCCTCCTGAGTTCAAGCAATTCTCCAACCTCAGTCTCCCAAGTAGCTGGGGTTATAGGCGCTTGCCACCACAACCAGCTAATTTTTGTATTTTTAGTAGAGATGGGGTGTCACCATACTGGTCAGGCTGGTCTCGAACTCCTGACCTCAGGTGATCCACCCACCTCAGCCTTCCAAAGTGCTGGGATTATAGGTGTGAGCCACCATGTCAGGCCTAAGTTTATTTTTTTGAGACAGGGTCTCGCTCTGTTGCCCAGGCTGAAGTGCAGTGGCACAATCTTAGCTCACTGCAGCCTCTGCCTCCTGGGTAAAAGCGATCCTCCCTCCTCGGGCTCCTGAGTAGCTGGGACTACAGGTGTGCACCACCAGGTCCAGCTCATTTTTGCATTTTCAGTAGGGACAGGGTTTCACCATGTTGCCCCAGCTGGTTTTGAACTCCTGACCTCAAAAAATCCTCCCACTTTGACCTCCCAAAGTGTTGGGATTACAGGCGAGAGCCACCCCACCCAGCCTTAGCACGCTTTTTGCCACACAGGGATATTGCCCCATTCAGGTGGGGAAATCAAGGCATAAAGAAGGGAAGTGGCCACGAAGTTCACACACAGCAGACAGGATTTCCAGCTCCACTTTCTGCCCCATGAAGTGTCAGGAAGCCACAAGGACCAACTGGGACAATGAGACTACAGACACTTCCTTCCTCTCCAGCAGCAGCCGGGAGGTGACTCAAGAGACCATCAGGAGCCGGGGGCGGCTGCAGGCAACACCCAAGCCCTGCCTGCCCGCCTGCTGCTCTGCTCACCCTGGGTCACCCTAGAAGGGAGCCTCGTGCTGAGTTGGGCCCTTCTTGATCTCACTCCTTTTCAGTTCCCTGCCTACTGTATACCCAGGCCTGTGGCTGTGAACCAGTATCAGTCCCTTCCTGCAAGGGGCCCACACTCCATCTTCCAGGGCCTGCTCAGTGCCCCTCCACCTTCCAGATGTTTTTTGTTTGTTTGTTTGTTCTGAGACAGAGTCCCTCCCACTCTGTCACTCAGGCAGGAGTGCAGTGGCGCAGTCTCAGCCCCACTGTAACCTCTGCCTCCTGGGTTCATGTGATCCTCCCACCTCAGCCTCCCGAGTAGCTGGGATTAGAGGCGCCTGCCACCATGCCGTTATTTTTGTATTCTTAGTAGAGACAGGGTTCCTCCACGTTGGCCAGGCTAGTCTCCAACTCCTGACCTCAAGTGATCCGCCCGCTGCGGCCTCCCAAAGTGCTGAGATCAGAGGCGTAAGCCACCGCGCCCGGTTCATTCTAGATGTTCTGTCCACTGCTGGGTCTTGACTGGGGCCCTTCCCTTCCACTGGACACACCAGTCATAGCAGTTTCTCATCAAAAAACCCCCTCCTCAGAGATCTCCCTGCCTCTTCCCCCTTCAATGCCAATTTCCTCATCTGTCAATCAGGGACAAAAACACCAGTTCCTGCACTGTGGGTTGCTGAGGACTGAGGGGGTTATCACTGGGTCACGGCTTGCATTTGAAAGGTCTCAACTGTATTATTACTGTTGTTATTTATAGCTGCATCCCACCCCCCATGCCTGGCACACGGCTGGCACTTCCCCAAATAACAAGAGGTAGGGAGCAGTCAGGGGGACCCCAGCCTCACCTTTCACAATGCTGGAGAAGGTGGCAGAGTGTCGGGACACAAAGACCTTGAGCTGTTCATCAAGGTTGCAGACGCCAGGATCGACATCCCAAGACCGGATGCCTGGTGGGAAGGAGGGATCAAGGCGGGAGTTCAGCCGGGCCCCCCAGCTCCCAGAATATTTCAATAATTAGCACCCCGTGGGTGGGGAGCGCCCCAGCCTCCTCCCTTCACTCACAGCTTGGAGACTCAGAAGTACCCAACACCTTCAGGTCTCGCTGCAGCTGAGCCAGGGGACCCAGAGCACACCTCATCATTTTACACACAAGATTCATCAGCAACAAAGCCTCCACCTCCTCCATCTCCACCTCCTCGCTGCTCCTATGCCCTGCCAGACCCGTTTCCACTCACCGCCCTTGCAACAGCTGTTTCCCCTGCCTGGAAGTCCATCCCCCTGCCGCCCCCACCTGTTCCTACTGGCCAGGGGGCCCTTCCCCCTCAGCACCTTCGGGTGCTAAGACTGACTGTCCTCTCAGTCCCTTGCAGCCTTCTCATCCTTCCTGACACCATGTGAGCTGGAAGCTTGTTCCATCTCCTCACTCGCTTTGGGTCCATCCCCAAACCAGACCTGTGTTGGCAGGGCTGAACCTGTCTATCATCCCGGCCATATCCCTGTGTCCACTGCCCAAAGGCCTGGCGCATAGCAGGTGCTCACTAAACACTCCTCAAGCACATGAACCGAGGTGCGTGTTCCTGTCCCATTTTACATGCAATGAAACGCCAGGTCCAGATGCTCCGAGGGATGGGGGATGAACACCCATCTCCACCCACGGGCGCATCACGCCCGCCAGTCCCACTGAGCCAAGTGGCTGCAGGTGAACCTGGCAGGTGCGCCTATGACTCACCTCCCTAGGTGCCAAATCCCCAGGGCAGGCCGCACCCGCCCACACCCCAATTAGCAGCTCCTTGTGAGGCAACAGAAAGCGGGCCCCGGGGCTCCAGGCCCAGCCTCCCCCATATCTGCTTCTCCCTCCGGGAGATCTCTATCTAAGCTGCTAAGACCTGGAGATCCAAAGCGACCCCAGGCCCTACCCCCGGGCAGGCCAGTCAGGCGGGAAGCGGAGCCGTGGTCCAACTGCAAGGGTCCCCAAGCCCAGGCCCGTGTCCCCTCCCCTATCTTCACCCGGAGTTGGGGCGGGGCAGCCCTGCCCAGCCCAGGCCCGGATGCCACTTTCTCCGCGGGCACCCACGGGCACCCCGCCTTTGCCCGCGTCGTGCGCCTAACGGTGAAGGGGACCCAGCCCCAGGCCCGCGACCCCCGCCCCGGAGCCCGGGTCCCGCCGCCGCCGCCGCCGCCGCCCCACCCCGCCGGCCCCGGGCCCAGACGCGCGAACGGGCCCGCCTCCCGGGCTCCCGCGGGCCCCCAGGCCAGCCCGACCTCTTTCGAGCTCCTCCAGGACGTAGGTGAGGAGCCCCGGGCTCCCGAACTCGCTGCCCACCACGAGGAGCAGTGAGCTCGGAGCCGCGGCAGCCCCAGATCCAGCCACCGCCGCCATCTTCGGGCCGCCCCGGCGTTCTCGGCGCCCGCCCCGCAGGCCCCGCCTCTTAAAGGGGCCGCACCGGAAGGGCTGAAGACCCCGCCCGGAACCACCGCATCCCCGCCCCTTTTTGTCGACCACTTACAGGCCCTTTGAGGTCGTGGAGAGCAGGGGATGCGGGCGTTAAAGGGGTTGGCCGACTCCTGGGTGTCCGCTTGGGAGCCGCCTCTCCCAAGTGACCATTCATTCATTTTTTTTTTCATTGAACAAGCTTTGATTGCGTGCCTGCTGCATGTAGGTCAGAACTCCTGCCCTCCAGGAACTCACATCACATGACAGTAGGCCGCATCAGAACCCGGTGCCTATGGATGCTCCCAGCTCTCTAGGTCAGGGCTTGAACAGAGAAAAGAAATCTATCTTGTAGGTAGGGCTTTAAGGGATGTGTAGGAGTTTGCCTTGTGGGTGGTGGGGCAAGAGCTGGTGAGGCAGAAGTTTACAGCAGGTGCAAAGTTTTAGAGGTAAGAAAGTACATGTGTGTTTGGGACACAACCGGAGCACTCTGGGCCTGCCTGGAACAGGGCAACACTTATTCTGCACCTCCTGTGCGCCAGGTATTTTATTGCATTAGCTCATTACATACAAGCACAAAGCGATGAGTTTTGTGCTTGTATGTAGGCACAGATGAGTAGGCACAGTTACTGTGGTCACTTTCAGAGGAAAGAAGAGGAAACTGAGATTTGGAGGGATGAAGTCACCAGGCCTGTAAGTGGTAGAGCAGGTTTGAACCCAAGTGGGTCTTACTCTAGATCCAGCCTGTGCAAGGGACTGCCTGCGTTGCGCACATGGGTACCTCTCTCTCCCCAGATAATCCTCTTTAGGCTTTTCTTTCCTTTCCTCCCCTCTCTTCTCCTCTCCTCCCCTCCCCTCCTCTCCTCTTCTCCCCTCCCCTCCCCTTCTCTCCCCTCTCCTCTCCTCTCCTCCCCTCCCCTCCCTTCCTCTCCCTCCCCTCCCCTCCCCTCCTCTCCCCTCTCCTCTCCTCTCCTTTCCTTTTCTTGAGATGGAGTCTCATTCTGCCGCCCAGGCTGGAGTGCAATGGCACAATCTCAGCTCACTGCAACCTCTGCCTCCCGGGTTCAAGCGATTCCCTTGCCTCAGCCTCCCAAGTAGCGGGATTATAGGTGTCCGCCACCATGCCCTGCTAATTTTTGTATTTTAGTAGAGATGAGGTTTCTTTTCTTTTCTTTTCTTTTCTTTTCTTTTCTTTTCTTTTCTTTTCTTTTCTTTTAGAGACAGAGTCTCGCTCTGTCGCCCAGGCTGAAGGGTAGTGGCGCGATCTCGGCTCACTGCAAGCTCCACCTCCCAGGTTCATGCCATTCTCCTGCCTCAGCCTCCCGAGTAGCTGGGACTACAGGCGCCCGCCACTGTGCCCAGCTAATTTTTTGTATTTTCAGTAGAGACGGGGTTTCACCGTGGTCTCGATCTCCTGACCTCGTGATCTGCCTGCCTCGGCCTCCCAAAGTGCTGGGATTACAGGCGTGAGCCACCGTGCCCGGCAGAGATGGGGTTTCACCATGTTGGCCAGGCTGGTCTCGAACTCCTGACCTCAAGTGATCCTCCTGCCTTGGCCTCCCAAAGTGCTGGGATTACAGGCGTGAGCCGCCGCGCCTGGCCCCCTTTAGCCCTTTGACCCATAGGGGCTACTACTTGACAAATCATCTTGCTTGGAACTTCTGGACAGTGGTCCATGCCCAGGAAACATTGAACCTCCTTTCTCAGGAGTGAGCTCCCTGTCTCCGGGAGTATGCAAAGAAAAGCAGAACAGAAATGGGAAAGATCTGGGAAGGCGAATCAGCCTCCCGCTGCCGTTTATTATCTAGGTTGTTCAGCCCAACTTCCTCCCTGGCCAGTGTGTAACAGCCACTGGCCACGTGCCGTCTACCATTCTTGCACTCCACTTCCTCTCTCTCTTTTTGGTTCTGGCATCCTTCCTCTATCCTTGTCCCTCCCCCTTGGCTCCCTTCCCTGTGTCTCGCCTGCCTGTGATTTCTTCTGTTATTGCTGTGAGCAGTAATAGTAGTGGGAGTGTCTGTGTCGGGCACTATCTCCCCTATAAGGCTGGAAACTTTTGGAAGCCTGAGGCCTCTCTGGGGCCCTGGCCTTGTGCAACACAAGGCTTGGGCATCTGAGAAGGGATATGATAAAGTCTTTTGGAATGGGCTGAAAGGCCTATTTGTCCACTATTCCTTCCTTCCTTCCTTCCTTGTGTATTTATGGATGGGTCCAGGATTCGAACCCAGGAGCTTCTGAATGGAAGTCTATCCACTTCCTTCTGCCCACGCTGTGAATTATGATTGTTGGTACTAATTCTTTTTTTTCTTTCTTTTTTTTTTTTTTGAGACGGATTCTCACTCTGTCGCCCTTGCCAGAATCATTCTGAGAGAGAGAGAGAGAGTCTTGTTCTGTCAAGCAGGCTAGGTTGGAGCACAGTGGTGTAACCTCGGCTCACTGCAAGCTCCGCCTCCCGGGTTCAAGGGATTCTCCTGCCTCAGCCTCCTGAGTAGCTGGGATTACGGTACCCACCACCATGCCTGGCTAATTTTTGTATTTTTAGTAGAGACATGGGGTTTCACCATGTTGGCCAGGATGGTCTCGAACTCCTGACTTCAAGTAATCTGCCCCACTTGGCCTCCCAAAGTGCTGAGATTATAGGTATGGGCCACTGCACCGGCCTGTTGGTATTAATTCTATTACTAGTTGGTCTTACAGGGCCTGAAGAAATGTCTCCACTAGGGGGATCTGATTTGGGGATGAAGGTCTCCCCCATTAGGTTTTTGGGAGATAATGTCCTGAGTACTTGGAGCCATGAGGTCTTCCTGTCCCAAAGCATTTCCCAAGCTTGAGGACTCTGGTGTGGGACATGTGGGGTGCATTTCCCTAGAAACTGAGAAGCCTCTGAGACCACTGCTCAAATCCCAGGCATGGGACTCTGGTCTCTGGTTTCTGGCCCAGCTCCATGACTGTTTCAAGGTCACCATCCCCAGAGGCGTCAGATGATGGCATTTGTGGGGAAAACGGAACCCTGAGCCCTCAGGACTGCTGGATATTCTCATCTTCTCCTGGCAATTATTTTCTTATTTTAACAGTTTTGTTGAGGTTTAATATAGACATGGTCAGGCTGGGTGTAGTAGCTCACACCTGTAATCCCAATATTTTGGGAGGCTGAGACAGGCGGATCACTTGAGGTCAGGAGTTTGAGACCAGCCCGGCCAACATGGTGAAACTCCGTCTCTACTAAAAATACAAAAATTAGCCAGGTGTGGTTGTGGGCTATTCAGGAGGCTGAGGTGGGAGGATCACTTGAGTCTGGGCTGTGGAGATTGCAGCGAGCTGAGATCACGCCACTGCACTCCAACCCAGCCTGCTTGACAGAATGAGTCTCTCTCTCTCTCTCTCTCTCTCTATCTACAGTGGTGTGATCTCGACTCACTACAACCTCTGCCTCCCAGGTTCAAGTGATTATCCTGCTCCAACCTCCCAAGTAGCTGAGATTACAGGCACCTGCCACCATGCCCAGGAAGTTTTGTGTTTTTAGTAGAGACGGGATTTCACCATGTTGGCCAGGCTGGTCTTGAACTCCCGGTGTCAGGCCAGCCTTGGCCTCCCAAAGTGCTGGGATTACAGGCATGAGCCACCGTGCCCGGCCTTTTTTTTTTTTTTTTTTTTTAAGACAGGGTCTCATTCTATCACCCAGGCTGAGGTGCACTGGCTTGATCTCAGCTCACTGCAACCTTGACCTTCAGGGCTCAAGAGATCCTCCCACCTCAGCCTCCCAAGTATCTGGGACTACGGGTGTGCGCCGCCATGCCTGGCTAATGTTTTGTATATTTTGTAGAGATGGCATCTCCTTGTTGCCCAGGATGCTCTCAAACTCCTAGGCTTAAGAGATCCACCTTGACCTCCCAAAGTGCTGGGATTACAGGGTCAGGTTACCCAGGCTGGAGTGCAGTGGCACAATCTCAGCTCACTACAACCTCTGCCTCCAGGGCTCAAGCAGTCCTCCCACCTCAGCCTCCTGACTAGCTGGGACAACAGGTGCAGGCCACCTCTGCTGGCTAATTTTTGTATGTTTTGTAGAGATGGGATTTTGCCGTATTGCCCAGGCTGGTCTCAAACTCCTGAGCTCAGGTGATCCACCTGCCTCAGACTCCCAAAGTGCTGGGATTACAGGCATGAGCCACTGCACCCGGCCTCCATTTTAACCATTTTACAGTGTACAAATCAGTGACATTTAGTGCATTTACAACGTCCTGCCACCCTCGCTAATATCTAGTTCCGGAATACTTTCATCCTCTTAAAAAGAAACTCTGTCCTAGGGCGGGCATGGTGGCTCATGCCTGTAATCCCAGCACTTTGGGAGGCAGAGGCAGGAAGATCCATTGAGCCCAGGAATTCAAGACCAGGCTGGACAGCATAAGGAAACCCTATCGCTCTATTCGGAATTTTTTTTTTTTTTTTTTTTGAGAAGGAGTCTTGCTTTGTCACCCAGGCTGCAGTGCAGTGGCACCATCTCAGCTCACTGTAACCTCTGCCTCCCAGGTGCAAGCAATTCTCCTGCCTCAGCCTCCTGAGTAGCTGGGATTACAGACATGCACCACCACGCCTGGCTATTTTTTTTATTTTTAGTAGAGACAGGGTTTCGCCATGTTGGCCAGGCTGGTCTTGAACTCCTGATCTCAGGTGATCCACCCACCTCAGCCTCCCAAAGTGCTGGGATTACAGGTGTGAGCCACTGTGCCTAGCCTATAATTTTTTAAATAAAAATTGAAAAAAAAAAAAGAAAATAAATGCTATCCTCAACAGCAGTAACTCCCTATTATGCACTCCCCCCCGCAGTCCCTCACAACCACAAATCAGCTTTCTGTCCTAAGGATTTGCCCACTCTAGGCATTTCAGGCAGTAAGTGGCCTTTTGCAGCTGGCTTCCTTCACACAGCATAATGTTTTCCAGCTTCACCCACGTTGTATCTTGTGTCAGTACGTTATTCCCTTTTTATGGCTGAATCATATTCCTGTATATGGATGAGCCACATTTCTTTTTTTGTTTTTTGTGGGTTTTTTTGTTTTTTTTTTGAGACGGAGTCTTGCTCTGTCGCCCAGGCTGGAGTGCAGTGGCGTGATCTCGGCTTACTGCAAGCTCCGCCTCCCGGGTTCACGCCATTCCCCTGCCTTAGCCTCCCAAGTAGCTGGGACTACAGGCACCCGCCACCATGCCCGGCTAATTTTTTTGTATTTTTAGTAGAGACGGGGTTTCACTGTGTTAGCCAGGAGGGTCTCAATCTCCTGACTTTGTGATCCGCCCGCCTTGGCCTCCCAAAGTGCTGGGATTACAGGCGTGAGCCACCGGGCCCAGCCGGGCCACATTTCTTTATCCGTTCATCTGTTAATAAACATTTGGGTTGTTTCCACCTTTTGGCTATCACAATTATTGGCTCTTGTGATTCCACCTTTTGGCTTTTTTTTGCTATGAACATTTGTATACAAGTTTTCGTGTGAATATACATTTTCTTTTTTTTTTTTTTTTTTTTTGAGATGGAGTCTTGCTCTGTCACCCAGGCTGGAGTGCAGTGGCACGATCTCGGTTCACTATAACCTCTGCCTCCCGGGTTCAAGCAATTCTCCTGCCTCAGCCTCCTGAGTAGCTGCGACTACAGGCGCGTGCCACCACGCCTGGCTAATATTTTGTATTTTTAGTAGAGACGAGGTTTCACCATGTTGGTCAGGCTGGTCTTGAACTCCCAACCTCAGGTGATCCTCCCACCTCAGCCTCCCCAAGTGCTGGGATTACAGGCATGAGCCACCGCGCCCAGCCCTTTAACTTTTATTTTTTTTGTTGTTGTTGTTTTTAGAGATAAAGACTTCCTATGCTTCCCAGGCTACTCTTGAACTCCGGGCTTCAAGTGATCCTCCCACCTTGGCCTCCCAAAGTATTGGGATTATAGGTATGAGCCATAGCACCCAGCCTGTGTTTAGCTTTTTGTAGAACTGCCAGACCCAGACTGTTTTCCACAATAGCTGCACTATTTTACGCTCCCACCAGCATCGTATGGAGGTTCTAATATGCCCACATCCTCACCAACACTTTGGTGGGGTTTTCCTATTAAAAAAAAAATCATGGCGGGGCGTGGTGGCTCATGCCTGTAATCCTAACACTTTGGGAAGCCAAGGCAGGCCAATCACTTGAGGTCAGGAGTTCGAGACCAGCCTGGCCAACATGGGGAAACCTCATCTCTACTACAAATACAAAAATTAGCCGGGTGTGGTCGTGGGCACCTGTAATCCCGGCTACTTGGGAGACTGAGGCAGGAGAATCACTTGAACCCAGGAGGCAGAGGTTGCAGTGAGTTGAGATCATGCCACTGCACTCCAACCTGGGTGACAGAGTAAGACTTTATCTAAAAAAAAAAAAAAAAAAAAAAAAGGCCGGGCACCATGGCTCACGCCTGTTAATCCCAGCACTTTGGGAGGCCGAGGCGGGAGGATCATGAGGTCAGGAGATCGAGACCATCCCGGCTAACATGGTGAAACCCCGTCTCAACTAAAAATACAAAAATTAGCCGGGCATGGTAGCGGTCCCCTGTAGTCTCAGCTACTTGGGAGGCTGAGGCAGGAGAATGGCGTGAACCCAGGAGGCGGAGCTTGCAGTGAGCCGAGATCACGCCACTGCACTCCAGCCTGGGAGACAGAGGGAGACTCCGCCTCAAAAAAAAAAAAAAAAAAAAACATAACCACTGGGTACCAATTTTTCACTATCCATTCACCTATTGGTGGGCATTTGGGTTGTTTCCAGGTTGCAGGGATAAAGGGGTTAAGTTTTCCTTGACCCTCTGAAGGTTCACAGAAAAGTCATTGCCATGGGGCCGATTGATTACTAGGAAAAAAGGCATTGAAGTTTATTTAACCTGTATATGCGGGAGCCTTCAGAATGAAGCCCCCAAGACACAGGGGAAGTTGTCCGTTTTTATGCTTTGGTTTAACAAAGTATGAGCAGCGATGTAGAAATAAGATTGGGCTGGCCGGGCACGGTGGCTCATGCCTGTAATCCCAGCACTTTGGGAGGCTGAGTCGGGAGGATCACCTGTGGTCAGGAGTTCAAGACCAGCCTGGCCAACATGGTGAAACCGTATCTGTACTAAAAATACAAAAATTAGCTGGGCATGGTGGTGGGTGCCTGTAATCCCAGCTACTTGGGGGGCTGACACAGGAGAATCACCTGAATTCGGGAGAAGGAGTTTGCAGTGAGCTGAGATCACGCCACTGCAGTCCAGCCTGGGTGACAGAGCAAGATTCTGTCTCCAAAAAACAAAGCACAAAACAAAACAAAAACAAACATGGGGCAAAAAAGGTTCAATGTGCAGAGACAGAGTGGGGAAACCCTGCAAGGCCTGTCTGTCTAGATTCTTCTTGGCTTCTCTGAGCAGCGTTCTTTCCTTCTGGGTATAGGGCAAAACCCTCTCTGGAATGGGGATCTTATGGCGTACAGTCAAACAAGGTAGGTTAGATCATTTCTCTTTTTTTTTTTTTTTTTTTTGTGACAGAGTCTCACTCTTGTCTCCCGGGCTGGAGTGCAGTGGTGTGATCTCGGCTCACTGCAACCTCTGCCTCCCAGATTCAAGTGATTCTCCTGCCTCAGCCTCCCAATTAGCTGGGATTACAGGCGCATGCCACTGTGCCCAGGTAATTTTTTTTTGTATTTTTAGTAGAGATGGGGTTTCACCATGTTGGTCAGGCTGGTCTCGAACTCCTGACCTAAAATGATCCATCTGCCTCTGCCTCCCAAAGTGCTGGAATTACAGGCGTGAGCCATGCGCCCGGCCAATTTCTTTATGGCCAGTTTTTACACAGAAGGGCAGAGGGCAAGTTAGTCATATTTTTAGGGCTTATGGCTGGCTTTGGGGAAAAGGAGTTCTGGTTTCTCTGTCCTACTTTGGGGAAAATAATTCTAGTTTCTGTGGTAACCCTGGCGGAGGGGAAGGGTCCTCGGAGACAGCGAAGAAGGTCAGAGAAAATCTGGTGTTTCTGAGACCTTCATTTTAGGGGTTTGTTTTCTGAGCCTCAACAAGGTGTTGACAATTGTGGATAAAGTTGTTGTTTTGATTGCCAGGCGTGGGGGCTCACGCCTGTAATCTCAGCACTTTGGGAGGCCGAGGCAGGAGGATTGCTGGAGGCCAGAAGTTCGAGAACAGATTGGGCAACATAATGAGATCCTGTGTCTCAAAAAATCTTTAAAGAAAAAAGCTGTTTTAAGCCTTTTTATACGTATCTTTTGGTGAATATACCCCCTGTCTCTCCGGTGAGTACCCAGGGTTGGAATGGCTGGATAACAAATATCTAGGCTGTTTCCTACCAACATTTCAGTTGTCAGATTTTTTTTTTTTTTTTTGGAGACGGAGTCTTGCTCTGTTGCCCAGACTGGAGGGCAGTGGCGTGATCTCAGCTCACTGCAAGCTCCGCCTTCCGGGTTCACGCCATTCTCCTGCCTCAGCCTCCCAAGTAGCTGGGATTACAGGCGCCCGCCACCATGCCCAGCTATTTTTTTTTTTTTTTTTTGTATTTTCAGTAAAGACGGGGTTTCACCATGTTAGCCAGGATGGTGTCGATCTCCTGACCTCGTGATCGGCCCGCTTTGGCCTCCCAAAGTGCTGGGATTACAGGCATGAGCCACCACGCCTGGCCTTTTTGTTTTTTTCTTTTAGACAGGGTCTCACTTTGTCACCCAGGCTGGAGTGCAGTGGCATCATCTCAGGTCACTGCAGCCTCTTCCTCCAGGTTCAAGCAATCCTCTCACTTCAGCCTCTCAAGTAGCTGGAACTATAGGTGCACGCCACCACACCTGGCTAATTTTCATATTTTTAGTAGAGAGGGAGTTTCGCCATGTTGCCTAGGCTCATCTTGAACTCCTGAGCTCAAGCGATTCACCTGCCTCGGCTTCCCAAAGGGCTAGGATTACAGGTGTAAGCCACTACACCGGGTCTAGATTTTTTTTTTTTTTTTTTTGAGACGGAGTCTCACCCTGTTGCTCAGGCTGGAGTGCGGTGGCATGATCTCGGCTCACTACAATCTCCACATCCCAGGTTCAAGCGATTCTCCCACCTCAGCCTCCCGAGTAACTGAGATTACAGGTGCCCACCACCATGCCCAGTGAATTTTTGTATTATAAGTAGAGATGGGGTTTACCATGTTGGCCAGGCTGGTCTCGAACTCCTGACCTCATGTGATTGGCCCACCTCGGCCTCCCAAAGCACTGGGATTACAGGTGTGAGCCACCACACCCAGACACGTTTTTTTTATTTTTATAAGAGGCAAGGCCTCACTCTTGCCCAGGCTGGAGTCCAGGAGCATGATCATGGCTCACTGCATCCTTGATCTCCTGGGTTCAAGTGATCCTCCTGCCTCTGCCTCCTGAATAGCTGGGACTACAGGTGCATGGCAACGTGCCCAGCTAATTTGAAAAAAAAAATTTTCTTTTTTTGGTAGAGACAGGGTCTCACTATGTTGCCCAGGTTGGTCTGAAACTCCTGGGCTCAAGCAATCCTCCCACCTTGGCCTCCCAAAGCACTAGGATTACAGGCATGAGCCACTGTACCAAGCTCAGGTTGTTAGATTTTTAATAGCCACCTTTCTTGTCTCCTTGCCTCGTCCTCAGGCCAACCCTATGTATCAGCATTCACTAAGCACTTGTGTTGACAACATTCCTGTTCTGGGTGCTGATGCTAGTGGTGGGGCGATTCACCTGTGGGGTGGCAGGGGGAGGACAGAGCTGCTGGTTCTGGGTGAAATTCACTCCTGCTCTGGGATGCCAGGGAGCCTGACGTCCCTTTAGTCACAAGATTTGTGTGTTAGTTTATCTTCACAACCACCTGGGGCATGGGCTTCGAGTAAACACATGTAGTTGCCTGGAAAGTGAGGGTCAGAGACATCAAGGGACAGATTCAGTGACCTGTGCAATGACTGGGATGTGAACCCAGGGGAACTGACTGTAGGCCCTGCAAGAGATCCATCCATTCATTCATTCATTCAATAAACACTCCCTGACAACTTTCCTGTGCTGGGTGATGCTGGCATACCCAAGCGGTCTCAGTCCTGGTGCCCAAGGAGACATCTGTCTGGAGGAAGATCAGCTGGACACAGATGTCCCCCATCTCTGTGATGTCAGGGCTGGGATAGAGGGTGAAGCCAGGAGCTGGGAAAGTGGGGACTATGTCTGGGGAGACAGGGAACTTATCCTGAAAAACGAGACTTTGCAACTGGGGTTTCGAGGAGTGTGTGGGAGTTTGCCAGTCAGATGATGCATTCATTTACTCAACAATCCCCCTCCCCACTACCACCAGCCAAACCCTCTGTGCTACTCTCACTCCAGCCTGGCCTCAAGGATCCTCCAGGCTCAGGGAGACAGAACCAGATACAGACTCTCCAGGTGATCATGAATGGGCTGGAAGAAGGGGTGAAAGCAGGAGGTGCCCTGGGTAGAGGAACTGGGGGCTCTGAAGGGGACCACAGGGGGTCTCTTGGGAGAAGAGAGTGTGGTTGCAATTGATTCTCACAGAGTGGAAGTTGATGGTGAATATATATTATATATTTATACATAATGTAATATATTATATGTTATATATGTAATATGTATTATATGTTATATAATATATATTATATAGTATATATTTTATATGTTATATAATATATATTATATAGTATATATTTTATATATTATATATACACTATATATTATATATTTATATACTATATACTATATATTATATATTTATATATTATATATACTATATACTATATATTATATATTTATATATTATATATACTATATACTATATATTATATATACGTATATTATATATTGTATATATAATATATACAATATATAGTATATATAATTTATATAGTATATATTTTATATACTGTATAAAATATATACTATAGTATATATAGTATATAAAATATATACTATAGTATATATACTATATAAAATATATACTATAGTATATATAGTATATAAAATATATACTGTAGTGTATATAGTATATAGTATATATACTATATATAGTATATATGATATATATAGTATATATACTATATATAGTATATATGATATATATAGTATATATACTATATCGTATATACTATATATAATATATAATATAGTATATATACTATATATTGTATATTATATATATTATATATATAAATATAATTTTTCTTTGAGATGGAGTCTCGCACTGTCACCCGGGCTGGAGTGCAGTGGCATGATCTCGGCTCACTGCAACCTCTGCCTCCCAGGTTCAAGCAATTCTCCTGCCTCAGCCTCTCAAATAGCTGGGATTACAGGAGCCCACCACCACACTCAGCTGATTTTTTGTATTTTTAGTAGAGATGGAGTTTCACTATGTTGGCCAGGCTGGTCTCAAACCCCTGACCTTGTGATCCACTGCCTCAGCCTCCTAAAGTGCCAGGGCTACAGGTGTGAGCCACCGGGCCCGGCTGAATATTTTTGTTTTGAAATATATGGCTTGGGCTGGGTGTGGTGGCTCACTCCTGTAATCCCAGCACTTTGGGAGGTTGAGGCAGGCAGATCACTTGAGGTCAGGAGTTCGAGACCAATCTGGCCACCATGAGAAACGCTGTCTCTACTAAAAATACAAAAATCAGCCAGGTGTGGTGGTGCGCACCTGTAGTCTCAACTACTTGGGAGGCTGAGGCATGAGAATTGCTTGAACCCCGGAGGTGGAGGTTGCAGTGACCCGAGATCACAGCACTGCACTCCACTCTGGGCGACAGAGTGAAACCATGTTCCCGCCACCATCCTCAGGGCTGGCTATGGGGGGCAAATGGGGAAAGAGGTGGCCAACTGGACAGGCTGGAACTGTGATAAGACTGACTTAGGTCCCTGGGGCTGTGGGGGACTATGAAATGGTGCAGTGAGCCAACATCAAGCACATACTGTGGGCCGTCCTCAGGGATGATGTACATGTCCCTTCCCTCCTCTATTCCACACACATGTATTGAGCACTCACTGTGTGTTAGACTCTGTGCCAAGCCAGCAGCGGGTGTCCCAGCCCTGCCTTCAGGATTTCCTAGCTCCTAACTGCTAGCTCAGTGCTCCTCAATCTTTGAGACCAGATTAATTCATTAATTATTCCATTTGACATACGTTTCTTGAGTACCTACTATGTGAGGCAATGGAGAGACAAAGCTATCTGAGACCCAGTCCTGGCTTCTAAGAAGCTTATAGCCTGCTTGGGAGGCAAATAAGAAAACTAATGTGATGAGAGCAGCTGACCTCCTCCACTCACTTTTGGGAGTCAGGGAAGGCTTCCTGGAGGAGGGGCCATCTTAGCAGAGAAGGGGGGATAAAGCAGTTTATCCCGGAGAAGAGGGGAAAAGGTATCTCTGGCTGTGGGAACAGCGTGTGCAAAGGCCTGCGGGGGAGATGTGTGGGAAAAATTCCAGGGAGGCTGTAGGCCAGAGGATGGGAGAGGTGATGGGAAGCTGAAATGGCCAATCAGCAAGCAAGAACGGCCTTGTAGGCGGAGCTTTTGATGTGCGCCTTCTCATTGGTCGCCAGCCGTGGTCCAGGCAGCGGCAGTCACAGGGGCGTGGTCAGGGGCTGTGCTGCATCCCAGCCACGTGGTCCAGATCCCGAGCTGGATGCGACCTACCAAAGTGGCGCGCAGTGTTGTTACCCCGGCGGAGGTGACCAACCTGGGTCCAGACCCAGTTTCCAATTCCTGCTCACGTCTGGGCCCCCAAGCAGCACCATGTGTCGACATCCAGACCCGCAGCAAGTCTAACGGTCACCAACGTCCCCGCACCTCCCTTTCTACTAATGACCCTATTGTAAAACGTGAGGTTGAGGAGTCAAGGGCACAGACACCAAGCTTGGTGGGGTTCAAATCTCAGCTCTGTCTCTCCCCAGAGGTGCGACCTCCCTGGGCCTTGGTTTCGCCATCAATTGAACTGGTAGGGTCGCTGTGGGGATTAAAAGAGTTAAAACAGCCCGAGGGTGTAACCCTGCATATGCTA
Source organism: Homo sapiens (assembly GCF_000001405.40). Taxonomy (NCBI): domain Eukaryota; kingdom Metazoa; phylum Chordata; class Mammalia; order Primates; family Hominidae; genus Homo; species Homo sapiens. The sequence goes on along the minus strand of NC_000019.10, from coordinate 17,706,432 downwards.
AGCGCTCACCTGGTATTACTTAATTCTTGTAATTTATCATTTTATTTTGGAAATCTACTGGCTACAAGTAGCTCTCTGGCAGCTGGTAGCAATCTGCCTGAGGTCTTCCTAGGGATAGTGAACCAACCCCGGGGCTGTTTCTAGATGCATTGAATTTAACCCAAATAAAGGTGACATCCTGTGTCTGAATGTAATTAAACATCGATTCATTTGGACTTTGCAGTTCTCTTTTTGCATTTTGGAGCCAAAGTGAACAGGCCTCTGGGTCTCAAGCGTTTTCTTTCTTTCTTTCTCTTTTTCTTTTTTTCTTTCTTTTTTTGGAAACAGAGTCTCGCTCTATCCCCTAGGCTGGAGTGCAGTGGCGTCATCTCGGCTCACTGCAACCTCCGCCTCCCAGGTTCTAGCGATTCTCCTGCCTCAGCCTCCAGAGTAGCTGGGATTGCAGGTACATGTCACCACGCCCAGCTAATTTTTGTATTTTCAGTAGAGATGGAGTTTTGCCATGGTGGCCAGGCTGGTTTCAAATTCCTAACCTCAGGTGAGCTGCCTACCTCAGCCTCCCAAAGTGCTGGGATTACAGGCGTGAGCCACCGGGCCCGGTAAAGCATTTTCATAGGGCCCCAGAGTGCTTTTCAGCTGCGGGCACCAAGGGTCTGAGATAGGCCTGCCTGACAGTCCCCTTATGGTGGTCCTATAGATATGAGAAGTCAAACCCCTGAGTTGGGGTCCAGCAATGTCTCCTACTACCTGGGTGGTTTGGGCAAATGCCTTGGCATCCCTGGTCTATGGTTTTCTCACGGGTCAAAGGAAAGAGAGGCCCCACGGTGAGTGTTCTCTCCCCTCCCTACTTCAACCTCTTAGGTTGGTTGTGAGTCCACGAGGTCTCCAGCCAGTCTAGAGTGGGGAAACAGGACTTGGAGGATCAGAGTGAGTCCGGGTGTAGCCCTGAGCTAGGGCGGGTCTAGGGACATGGCTGGATCCAGTGGCGACAGCGGAGGTACTGGAGGCTGCAGAAGACAAGGTTCGTGCTGGCCCCTTTCCAAGCCAGGCCCAACCAAAAATTCATTTCACATGCTCTTAGGATACTTACATTGGACATAACACCACCTGGCCCTCAGCTCACTCCTTTGTGCCTCAGTTTCCTCATCTGTAAAATGGAAATGATGGTACCCACTTCCAGAGTTGACATATAAGTGAGATACACAGAAAGAGTGTTGAGAGGGAGCCCTTGCTTTTTTTGACTTAAAAAATATATACATATTTAAAGTAGAGGGCCTGGCGTGGTGGCTCACGCTTGTAATCCCGGCACTTTGGGAGGCCGAGGCAGGCAGATCACGAAGTCAGGAGTTCGAGACCAGCCTGGCCAATATGGTGAAACCCCATTTCTACCAAAAATACAAAAATTAGCTGGGCGTAGTGGCAGGCGCCTTAATCCCAGCTACTCGGGAGGCTGAGGCAGGAGAATTACTTGAACCTGGGAGGCAGAGGTTGCAGTGAGCCAAAGGTTGTGCCATTGCACTCCAGCCTGGGTGACAGAGCGAGACTCTGACTCAGAAAATAAATAAATAAATAAAATAAATAAAGTAGAGATGAGGTCTCACTATTGTTGCCCAGGCTGGTCTTGAACTCCTGAGCCCAAGCAATCTTTCCGCATCCCAAAGTGCTAGGATTACAAGTGTGAGCTACCACGTCTGGCCTGACTTTTTCTGGTGGGGGACGGAGTCTCGCTCTGTCCCCCAGGCTGGAGAGCAGTGGCGTGATCTCGGCTCACTGCAACCTCCGTCTCCCAGGTTCAAGTGATTCTCCTGCCTCAGATTCCCGAGTAGCTGGGACTACAGGCGCCACCACACCCGGCTAATTTTTGTAGTTTTAGTAGAGACGGGGTTTCACCATGTTGGCCATGTTGGGCTCGAACTCCTGACCTCAAGTGATCTGCCCGCCTTGGCCTTCCAAAGTGCTGGGATTACAGGCATGAGCCACCATGCCCGTGCCCTACCCACACCCGCCCCCCACCCCCCACCCGGCGCCACCTTAAAAAAAGTTTTAAACTGTCATTTTAGGAGATTTAGGGGAAGGAGAGCCAGTAGAGTGCAGAGGTTAAGGGCCTCAGCTGGGCTTCCTAAATTCAAATCCAAGCTCTGCCACTCCCCTGATGTGTGACGTTGGGTGAGCAACTTAACGTTGTTGTTCTCAGTTTCCCCATCTGCAAACTCTATTATGGGGATTAAATGAGTGCTTGTAGAGTTCTGTTCCATGTCTGGCACACTGCAGGCACATGTCAAATAAGTTAACCTCCGTCAGAGGGTCACAGAGGGTCCCTGGTTCCCCTCTGCTCCCAGCCCTGGGATGGCCTAATGGCTTATGCTGCCCCCAGCTGGCCACTCTGGGAACTTTGGGCTGAGGCCCCCTCTCTGAGTCCGGAACCTCGCCTCCATTGGGTCTGAACCTATTACGTTCCTTTGTCTGCCTTTATTTCCTGCCTCCGTCTCCTCCTCTTGACCAATCCAATCACTTTTGTTTATGATCCATCCAATCCCATCCAACCACTCCAGGCCCATCCAGTCATTTTGCAGCCTAGTGTTATTTCCACCCTACATCCCTGCAGGGCAGGGCCTGGAACTTTCAAAAGATTGATGTTGCCTTTGTCCCATTTAATTCTCTGGGAAACCATTATTATTAATTATTATTATTATTATCTGTTGTCGTTGTTATTGTTGTTGTTTTTGAGACAGAGCCTCACTCTGTTGCCCAGGCTGGAGTACAGTGGCGCGATCTCGGCTCACTGCAGCCTCTGGCTCCTGGGTTCAAGCGATTCCCCTGCCTCAGCCTCCCGAGTAGCTGGGATTACAGGCGCCCGCCACCACGCCCAGCTGATTTTTAAACTTTTAGTAGAGATAGGGTTTCACCATGTTGGCCAGGCTGGTTTTGAACTCCTGACCTCAGGTGATCTGCCCGCCTTGGCCTCCCAAAGTGCTGGGATTACAGACTTGAGCCACCGCACCTGGCAGAAACCATTATTTTTTATCCTCATTTTATAGGCGATAAGCCAAGTTTGCCCTCATCGATTTCTCTGCCCCAGGCAGCCTGACAGCTACAATTAAGTTCAATAAGAGGTCCAATCTCAGAGCCTTTGCACACACCCTGCCCTCGGCCAGGAATGTCCTTCCTCCAATTCCCTGTGCTGAGCGAGATCCTCCTTGCTCGCTGGACCCTTGACCTTGGCAAAGAAGGAGCCGCAGAGAAAAAAGGGCAAGAGAAGATACAGACAGCACCGGCATAATTAAGTGGAGGGATGAGAAGGCTCAAATCAATAGCTTTGGAATTAGCTGAGCTGTTGGCTGGAAGAAAATGGGGCACCAGAGCTTAAAAATTAATTGGATCCGAGTGCTCAATGGTGAACGTTGAAATGCCCCTTTCATCATTATGATTATTATCATCATCATTATTATTATTTTGAGATGGGGTCTCACTCTGTTGCACCCAGGCTGAAGTGCAGTGGCGTGATCTCGGCTCACTGCAGCCTCTGCCTTTGAGGTTCAAGTGATTCTCCTGCTTCAGCCTCCCAAGTAGCTGGGACTGACTACAGGCAGGCGCCACCACGCCTAGCTAATTTTTTTTTGTATTTTTAGTAGAGACGGGGTTTCACCATGTTGACCAGACTGGTCTGCAGCTCCTGACCTCAGGTGATCCGTCCACCTTGGCCTCCCAAAGTGCTGGGATTACAGGCGTGAGCCACCACACCTAACAGAAACGTCCCCTTTCAGATCAGCGCGAGATGGGCAAGGGTGTGGATCCAAACTACGTTCATTGAATGAATGAACGATTACACAGACGTCTGCATTGCAGAAACGGCCTATTCTGAGAGTTACTCCAGACCCACTTCACGTCCCAGCCTTGTCCCCCTCCCCCGCCCCGCTGCCTGCTGCCCCAAACTCTCAGGAACTCAGTCTCCCCATCTATAAATGAGCACTTGACTGTAATCCCAGCACTTTGGGAGGCCGAGGCGGGTGGATCACGAGGTCAGGAGATTGAGACCATCCTAGCCAACACGGTGAAACCCCATCTCTACTAAAATACAAAAAAAAAAAAAAAAAAATTAGCTGGGCATGGTAGTCCCAGCTACTCGGGAGGCTGAGGCAGGGGAATTGCTTGAACCCAGGAGGCAGAGGTTGCAGTGAGCCAAGATTGCGCCACTGCACTCCAGCCTAGTGACAGAGTGATACTCCATCTCAAATAATAAATAAATAAATAAATAAATAAATAAATAAATAGGCACTTGAGAGAAGAAGAGGAGCACCTATGGTAAGCCCAAGGACACTGAATTCCATGTTCCCTGCAGGTAGCATTCCTGCTGACCTGATAACAGGGACTGGCGTTGGGCATGGACAGAGTTGTAAAGGGTGGACCCCTGGGTGTGATGTCTTGGCTTTGATAGTCCTGGAAGAGCAGGGTGTCCCTTGACCTTGTATCTATGCCCTTGCCCCAAATAGCCACACCTCATTGCGTGTTGTCGACTATCCCATTGGTGTCTCCAGCCTGCATCTCCCCAGAGCTCCAGGCCTCAGTATCCAATGGCATTGGATATTTCCACTGAGTGCCTTGCAGGCATTTCACACTCACAAGGCCAAAACCTGGCTCTTAGAATAGTTACTCGCCCTGAGATCTGCCCCTTCTCCATCCTGTTGGTGCCTCCACTATCACACAGTAGCCTGGGTCCTGATTCCTGGATACGCTCTTTATTTTATTTTATTTTATTTTTTTTGAGATGGAGTCTTGCTCTGTTGCCCAGGCTGGAGTGCAGTGGCGCCATCTCGGCTCACTGCAAGCTCCACCTCCCAGGCTCATGCCATTTTCCCACCTCAGCCTCGTGAGTAGCTGGGACTACAGGCGCCCGCCACCATGCCTGGCTAATTGTTTGTATTTTTAGTAGAGACGGGGTTTCACTGTGTTAGCCAGGATGGTCTCGATCTCCTGACCTCGTGATCCACCTGCCTCGGCCTCCCAAAGTGCTGGGATTACAAGCGTGAGCCACCGCGCCCGGCCCTCTTTATTTTATTTTTTTAAGAGACAGGGTCAGCCGAGCGTGGTAGCTCATGCCTGTAATCCTAGCACCTTGGGAGGCTGAGGCAGGCAGATCACTTGAGGTCAAGAGTTCAAAACCAGCCTGGCCAACATGGTGAAAACCTGTCTCTACTAAAAATACAAAAAACTAGTGGGGCGTGGTGGCGGGTGCCTGTAATCCCAGCTACTCAGGAGGCTGAGGTACAAGAATCGCTTGAACCTAGGAGGCGGAGGTTGCAGTGAGCCGAGATTGTGCCACTGCACTCCAGCCTGGGCAACAGAGGGAGACTCTGTCTCAAACAAACAAAACAAAACAAACAAACTAAAAAAGAGACAGAGTCTCACTCTGTCACCTAGACCCAGGCTGGAGTGCAGTAGTGCAGTCATAGCTCACTGCAGCCTCCATCTCCTTGGCTCAGGCAGTCCTCCCACTGCAGCCTCCTGAGTAGCTGGGACTACAGGCACACACCACCATGCCCAGCTCATTTAAAAATTTTTGTAGAGATGGGGTCTCACTCTGTTGCCCAGGCTGATCTCAAAATCCTGGTCTCCCTCAAGGAATCCTCCCGCCTCGGCCTCCCAAAGTGCTGGGATTACAGACATAAGCCACTGCACCTGACCTGGACTCATTCTTGTCCCTTCTCTTTCCTTACCCTGCATGTTCAGTGCATCAGCAGGTCCTGCAGTCTCCGGCTCCAGAATGAAACTGAGCCTCCCTGAGCTCCTAAGGGGCCTGCTGTATCTTGTGTGGATGCTGTCCTGGCTCCCTGCCACCTACACTCCTGCCCCCAGCCATCCTTGCTCCCCTAGGGAGCCCCAGATGGATTCTTAAAATCATAAAGCAGGCCGGGAGCGGTGGCTCACGCCTGTAATCCCAGCACTTTGAGAGGCCAAGATGGGCAGATCACGAGGTCAGGAGATCGAGACCATCCTAGCTAACATATGAAACCCCGTCTCTACTAAAAATACAAAAAAATTTAGCTGGGCGTGGTGGTGGGCACCTATAGTCCCAGCTACTTGGGAGGCTAAGGCAGGAGAATGGCGTGAACCCGGGAGGCAGAGCTTGCAGTGAGCCGAGATCGCGCCACTGCACTCCAGCCTGGGCGACAGAGCGAGACTCCATCTCAAAAAAAAAAAAATCATAAAGCAGATCACGCCCTTCCTCTGCTCAAAGCCCTCCCGTGGCTCCCTATTACCCTCATAGTATAGCCCACACTCTTTCCTGTGATCAGGAGGCCTGGCATAGTCTGTATCCCTGCTGACCTGCCCCCCTCCCCGCCCCCGACTCCATCCCTCCCTCACTCCCTCCACCACGTACTGACTCACTCATGTTTATGGAGTGCCCACAGTGTTCTGATTCCGTTTTCCGTTCAAGGTGGTCACTCCCTGCCAGTGCAGTTGGGGGCATCAGAGAGAGGTCTGGGGGTGGGGAGACACGGGTTAGAACAAGACCTCAGTGGCCACTTAGGCTTGGGCTGGAGTCTCAGCCCTGTCTTGCAGAGCTGAACCCCCATCTCTTCTTCCTTCTCAGTCACTCTCTCTCCATCTCTCTGTCTGTCCATCTCAGAGTAAATTCCAGAGCCTTCTCCATCCCCTGCCCTGAGGCCCTGAATGACCTTCCCCCGCAGTTCCCTTTCTCTCTATTCTTCTTCTTCTTCTTCTTCTTCTTTTTTTTTTTTTTGAAACAGAGTCTCGCTGTTTTGCCCAGGCTGGAGTGCAGTGGCACAATCTCTGTTCACTGCAACTTCTGCCTCCCAGGCTCAAGTGATTCTCCTGCCTCAGCTTCTGGAGTACCTGGGACTACAGGCGTGCACCACCACCCCTGTCTAATTTTTGTAATTTTTTAGTGGAGACGGGGTTTCACCATGTTGGGCAGGCTGCTCTCGAACTCCTGACCTCAGGTTATCTGCCCGCCTTGGCCTCCCAAAGTGCTGGGATTACAGGGGTGAGTCACCATGTCCGGTCCCCTTTCTCTCTTTTCCTCTCTCCCCCTCACTCATTCACACAAGCCTTCTCGGCTTCTCCAACACACCAGGCACAGCCTCACCTCAGGGCCTTTGCACCTGTCCTGTGAATGCCTGTCCCTCATCTCTCTCCCTGCCTGGCTCCACCTCTTTTACATCTTGGCTCTCGTGTTGCCTCCTCCGGGAAGCAGATTCCCCCACCCCTTCCATCCCTCTCTGTCACCAGACCCTTCCCATCGCCTCATAATCGTCCTTGACTTCCTCTGCCTGCTTGTTCATTCCCACTTCCCATGCTAGGGACAATGTCGCCTGGCAGAACCTGGTGACAAGCTTAGTTCCCAGCATCCAGATGGCACCAGCAAACGCTGGCTGAACAAATTGACGTCTCATCGGTATCCGTCTACTCCATGGAGCTTTGCACAGTGCCAGGAACATCAAATGCACCCCGTAAGGACTGGGAATTTATCTGAAGACCAAGCAAGTTTGCCTTGGATTGGGGCTGCTAGAAAAAGCTCTGCCCAGCCGGGTGCGGGTACCTTATGCCTGTAATCCCAGCACTTTGGGAGGCCAAGGTGGGAGGATTGCTGGAGCCCAGGAGTTCAAGAGCAGACTGGGAAACCCGATGAAACCTCATCTCTACAAAAGTACAAAAAATTAGCTGGGGCCGGGCGCGGTGGCTCATGCCTGTAATCCCAGCACTTTGGGAGGCCGAAGGGGGCACATTGCCTGAGGTCAGGACTTTGAGACCAGCCTGGCCAACATGGTGAAACCCCTTCTCTACTAAAAATGCAAAAAAAATTAGCTGGGTGTGGTGGCGTGCGCCTGTAATCCCAGCTACTCGGGAGGCTGAGGCAGGGGAATTGCTTGAACCAGAGAGGTGGAGGTTGCAATGAGCCGAGATTGCGCCATTGCATTCCAGCCCGGGCGACAGAGACTCCATTTCAAAAAAAAAAAAAAAAACTTAGCTGGGCATGGTGGTGTGTACCTGCAGTCCTGGCTACTCAGGAGGCTAAGGTGGGAGGATCACCTGAGCCTGGGGAGGTCGAGGCTGCAGTGAGCCGTGATTGTGCCGCTGCACTCCAGCCTGGGCGACAGAGTGAGACACCATCTCACAAAAAGAAGAAAAAAAGCTCTTACCATTCATTCTCCATTCAAAAGCTGAGCTGGACAGATGCTGTGCCGTGAAACTCTTCTCATCTAAAGCCCAGATGTTTTCATCGCTGCTTTTGGCACCGGGGGTGGGCAGGTTTTGATAAGAGCAGGGTCCCTGGGGAAGCCCTGGAGCTCAGCAAGGCAGGAATGATGTGTCTGCATTTGCTGGCAGTGGTAGCCTCACTCTGCAGGTGGGGGGGTTGTACTTTTCACCAGCCTGTACATTATCTCCCATCACTTCTCTTTCCATTATTTTTCTTTGTGGGTTTCCTAGGGTGGTGGAGAGAAAGCATGAAATTGGAAGCCAAGAGAAGAGAGATGGAAAGACACAGAGAGTCACACAGGGTTTGCAAAGGCTCCAAATGCAGATGCACCTGGAGGGGAATGAAGTTAAGAGGGGGCCACATGGAGGTTGCAGTGAGCCGAGATCTTGTCACTGCACTTCAGTCTGGGTGACAAAGACTGTCTCAAAAATAAGTAAATAAATAAATAAATAAAAGAGGGGGCCGGCCGGGTGTGGAGGCTCACGCCTGTAATCTCAGCACTTTGGGAGGCCAAGGCAGGTGGATCACGTAAGGTCAGGAGTTCGAGACCAGCCTGGCCAAGATGGTGAAACCCCGTCTCTACTAAAAATACAAAATTAGCCAGGTGTGGTGGCTCATGCCTGTAATCCCAGCTACTTGGGAGGCTAAGGCAGGAAAATCGCTTGAACCTGGGAGGCGGAGGTTGCAGGCTGAGATGATGCCACTGCACTCCAGCCTGGATGACAAGAGGAAAACTGTGTCTAAAAAAAAAAAGAGGGGGCCACAGAGAAGAGAGGGCAAGAGAAGACAGAAGCAGCATGGCATAATTAATTGGAGGGAGGAGGAGACAGCTCAAATCAATACCTTTCGAATCAGCCGAGCTATGCTGTTGGTGGGAATGAAATGAGGCACCAGGGCTTAAAAATTAATTGGATCCAAATGATCAATGATGAACGTTGAAACATTCTCTTTCAGAATTGGAACAAGGCAGGAATGCCTGTTAACATGGTGCTGCGCATTTTACTAAAGAAAACAAGAAATGAAAGTTCTGAGGAGTGGAAAGGAGGAATTAAGGGTGTCTTTAGGCCTGGCACGGTGGCTCACGCCTGTAATCTCAGCACTTTGGGAGGCCAAGGCGTTCGAGACCTTGAGGCCAGGAGTTCGAGACCAGCCTGGCCAATGTGACGAAACCCCATCTCTACTAAAAATACAAAAAATAGCTGGGCGTGGTGGCTTGCCTGACCTGGACTCACTCTTGTCCCTTCTCTAATCCCGGCTACTCGGGAGGCTGAGGCAGGGGAATTGCTTGAACCAGGGAGGTGGAGGTTGCAATGAGCCGAGATTGCGCCACTGCACTCCAGCCTGGGGGACAGAGTGAGAATCCATCTCAAAAAAAAAAAATTAGCTGGGCATGGTGGTGTGTACCTGTAGTCCTGGCTACTCAGGAGGCTAAGGTGGGAGGATCACCTGAGCCTGGGGAGGGTAATCCCAGCTATGTGGGAGGCTGAGACACAAGAATTGCTTGAACCCAGGAGGCAGAGGTTGCAGTGAGCCAAGATCGCACCACTGTACTCCAGCCTGGGTGACAGAGCGAGACCCTGCCTCAAAAAAAAAAAAAAAAAGGAAAAAGAAAAAAAAAAGAGTGTCTTTATTTGCAGATAACATCCTCATACGCAATAAACTCCCAAAGAATGTGCACATCTAATTATTGGGTTTACAAAAAGTTGAGAAAGCTTGATAGATGCTGGTCACAGTGGCTTACGACTGTAATCCCAGCACTTTGGGAGATGAGGCAAGAGGATCGCTTGAGCCCAGGGGTTCAAGACCAGCCTGGGCAACATAGGGAGACCCCGTATCTACAAAAAATAAAAAATTAGTCAAGAATGGTGACATAAACCTGTAGTCCCAGCTACTGGGGTGGCTGAGGCAAGAGGATCACTTGAGCCAGGGAGGTTGGGGCTATAATGAGGTATGATTGCACCACTGCACTCCAGAAAGGGTGACAGAGTCAGACCCTGTCCCCCAAATAAATAGGCCACTTATCCACAGCACCAAATACTCAAAGCATCTAGAAAAAAATCCCAAAGTTATAAGCTTTGCTGAAAGATAGATAAATGGAATTATTCACTGTATGTTCACTTTGAAAGATTCAATCACAAAAGATGCTCATTCTCCTGATTTGGTTTATAGATTCAATGCAATTCCAATCTAAGTCCCAACTGAGTTTCTCCATGCAACCCAAAAAGCTGAGAAGAAAGCAAAGAATAAGTCAGATGCTTGTGAAGCAGAGCAAGATGAGTGACTGGTGTTGGCAGATGTAAACGATTAGCACAAAGCTTCTACCAGGAATAGATCAGCCTCTGGGACAGAAGAGAGATCCTAGACCAGACTTCCAGGTGGGCAGACATCCAGCAGCACTGCTTGACTTCTGGTTGGTCTATGCTTGCTGTTAAATCCACACATGCATGAAAACTTGCTTTGTGAGTTTCATTACAGGGTATTGGGACAATAGATCATCCCCATGGACAAAATATGCGATTGGACTTTATCTTACTCCACACTCAGAAATCAGTTCCAAGAGAAGTCAAGACATGACTGCAAATGACAAGACTCAAAAAATGTAGAATACGTATGGGAAGATCTTTATGACGCTGGGGCAGAAAATGATTTCTTTCCTTTCTTTCCCCTTCCTTCCTTCCTTCCTCCCTCCCTCCCTTCCTTCCCTCCCTCCCTCCTTTTTCTTTGTTTCTTTCCTTTCCTTTCTCTCTTTCCTTCTTTTCTTTCTTTCTCTTTCTTTCTCTTTTTTCTCTTTCTGTCTCTCTTTCTGTCTCTCTCTCTTTCCCTCTCTCCCTCTCTCTCTTTCTTTCCCTTCCTTCCTTCCTCCCTCCCTCCCTTCCTTCTCTTCTATTCTTTTCTTTTTCTCTTTCTTTCTCTCTCTCTCTCTTTTTTTTTTTTTTTAATTTGAGATGGAGTCTCGCTCTGTCACCCAGGCTGGAGTGCAGTAGCATGATCTCCACTCACTGCAAGCTCTGCCTCCCGTGTTCATGCCATTCTCCTGCCTCAGCCTCCCAAGTAGCTTGGACTACAGGTGCCTGCCACCACGCCCGGCTAATTTTTTGTATTTTTAGTAGAGACGGGTTTCACCGTGTTAGCCAGGATTGTCTTGTTCTCCTGACCTCGTGAGCCACCCGCCTCGGCCTCCCAAAGTGCTGGGATTACAGGCGTGAGCCACCGCACCCGGCCTCTTTTTCTTTCTTTCTTTCCTTTTTTTTTTTTTTTTAAACGGGGTCTCACTCTATCACCCAGGCTTGAGTGCAGTGGCACAATCACAGCTCATTGCAGACTGCAGTCTCGACCTCCCAGGCTCCGGTGATCCTCCCACCTCAGCCTCTCAGGTAGCTGGGACTACAGGTGTGCACCACCTCTCCTGGCGAATTTTTGTATGTTTTGTAGAGCCGGGGTCTCCCTATGTCGCCTGGGCTGGTCTTGAACTTCTGGGTTCAAGTGATCCTCCCGCCTTGGCCTCCCAGAGTGCTGGGATTATAGGTGTAAGCCAATGCACCCACCCGGGAAAGGATTTCTTAAACAAGCAAGTATGCTATGAGTTAGACATGGTGTCCTACACTGCAAAAGACTGAGCAAGTTGAATAACTTAAATCCACAGAGATGAGAAGCAGGTTAATGGTAGCCTGGGGCTGGGCGTGGGGGAAAGGGAGTGATTGCTAATCGGGATGGGGTTTTATTTCAGGGTAATGAAAATGTTCTGGAACTGGACAGAGGTGATTAATGCACAACAACATAGCAACACAGTCAATGTGGGAAATGCCACTGAATTATCCAGTTCGAAATGGTAAATTTTGCTAGAGGCTGTGGTGGGAGGATTGCTTGAGACTAGGAGTTTGAGACCAGCCTGGGCAACATAGCGAGACCCCCACCACTAAATGCATTAAAAATATATAAGTAGGCTGGATGTGGTGGCTCACACCTGTAATCCCAGCACTTTAGGAGGCCAAGGCAGGCAGATCACCTGAGGCTGGGAGTTCGAGGCCAGCCTGGCCAACATGGTGAAATGCTGTCTCTACTAAAAATACAAAAATTAGCCGGGCATGGTAGAGAGCATACCTGTAATCCCAGCTACTCAGGAGGCTGAGGCAGGACAATCCCTTGAACCTGGGAGGCAGAGGTTACAGTGAGCCAAGATCGCGCCACTGCACTCCAGCCTGGGTAACAGAGCAAGACTCCGTCTCAGAATGTACCCTGTAACCATATATAAGATGTCAACATTATTAGAAGCTGGGTGAAGGGTATATAGGATGGACTGTAAAATGCAACTCTATACCTCAGCAACTGTTCTGTATGTCTAAAATTTTTGTTTCCCAAATAAAAAGTTTAGGTCGAGTGAAGTGGCTCATGCCTATAATCCCAGCACTTTGGGAGGCTGAGGCAGGAGGATTGCTTGAGCCCAGTAGTCCCAGATCAGCCTGGGCAACATGGCGAAACTCCATCTCTACAAAAGATAAAAAAAAAAAAATTAGCTGGGTGTGGTGGCATGTGACTGTAATCCCAGCTACCAGGGAGGCTGAGGTGGGAGGATGGCTTGAGCCCAGGAGGTGGAGGCTGCAGTGAGCTGTGATCATGCCACTGCATCCAGCCTGGGTGACAGAGTGAGAACCTGCCTAAAACAAACAAACAAACAAAAAAAAAGAAAAGAAAAAGTAAGAGCTTCTGTTCAGAAAATGACACAGTAAATACAGTGAAGACAAGCTACAAAATTGGAGATTTTTACAACAAATGAAACTAACAAAGGATTTGTTCCTAATATGCATAGGAACTATAAATCAATAGAAAAAGACAGTGAAATTTTAAGAAATGGACAAAAGGCCGAGTGCAGTGGCTCACACCTGTAATCCCAGCACTTTGGGAGGCCGAGGTGGGTGGATCACTTGAGGTCAGGAGTTGGAGACCAGCTTGGCCAACATGGTGAAACCCTGTCTCTACAAAAAATACAAAAATTAGCCGGGCATGATAGAGAGTGTACCTGTAATCCCAGCTACTCGGGAGGCTGAGGCAGGACAATCCCTTGAATCTGCGAGACAGGTTACAGTGAGCTGAGATCTCAACACTGCACTCCAGCCTGGGCGACAGAGCAAGACTCCATCTCAAAATGTACCCTGTAACAATATATAAGATGTCAACATTAGTAGAAGCACTCAAGCCTAGATGATAGAGAGAGATTCAGTCTCAAAAAAAAAAAAAAAAAAAAAAAGAGAAAGAAATGGATAAAAGACTTGAACAGGCATTTCACCATAAAAAGAAACCAGTAATCACATAAAAAGTTCAACGTCAAGAGCAATCAGAAAGCAAACCAAAACCCAAATGAGGCACTCCTTCCCTCCCTCCACATAGGCCCAGTGAAAAAACTTGGACAATTCAAAGTGTTGGCAAGAACTTAGAGCCAGGCACGGTACCTCATGCCTGGAATTCCAGCACTTTGGCAGGCCGAGGCAGGAGGATCACTGGAGCTCAGGAGTTTGAGAACAGCTTGGGCAACATAGGGAGACCCCATCTAAAAAAAATAAAATGAGCCAGGCATGGTAGCACAGGCTTGTAGTCCCAGCTCCTTGGGAAGCTGAGACAGGAGGATCGCTTGAGCCCAGGAGGTGGAGACTGCAGTGAGCTGTGATTGCACCATTGCACTCCAGCCTGGGCCTCAGAGTGAGACTATCTCAAGAAAAAACAAAAACCAATAACAAAACAAAAACAAAACATAGAGGAACCGATGATTATACTGTGTTGGTATGATGAAAATCGCCAGACTCCCAATAAAAAACATGACATTATCAGGTGAAGCTGAGCATATATGTATTTTCTTTTCTTTCTTTCCCTCCTTTTTTTTTTTTTTTTTTGAGACAGAGTCTTGCTCTGTTTCCAGGCTAGAGTGCAGTGGCGTGATATCGGCTCACTGCAACTTCCGCCTCCTGGATTCAAGCAATTCTCCTGCCTCAGCCTCCTGAGTAGCTGGGACTACAGGGGTGTGCCATAATGCCTGGCTATTTTTGTGTGTGTTTTTAGTAGAGACAGGGTTTCACCATGTTGGCCAGGATGGTCTCGATCTCTTGACCTCATGATCTGCCCATCTCAGCCTCCCAAAATGCTGGGATTACAGGCATGAACCACCATGTCTGGCCACATATATGTATTTTCTGACCCAGCCATCCTTACTCATGTGTGCCAGCACACAAGTCTGAAGTCTGAGGATGGTCATAAAAACTTTTTTTTGTAATAAACCTGAGCTTGAAACAACCCAAAAGTCCATGACCTGGAGAACAGATGAATAGCCAATAGAAGATTCATACAAAGGAATACTATGCAGCAGTAAAAAATGCAAGCCTTACAGCCACATGCAGCGATATGGATGAATATCAGCAGAATCACATTGAGCAAACAAAACAGATTAGCAGTCCAGGTGCTGTGGCTCACACCTGTAATCCCAGCACTTTGGGAGGCTGAGGTGGGTGGATCACCTGAGGTCAGGAGTTTGAGACCAGCCTGGCCAACATGGTGAAACCCTGTCTCTACTAAAAATACAAAAATTATCACTGCAACCTCCATGGCCAGGCATAGTGGCTCATGCCTGTAATCCCAGCATTTTGGGAGGCCGAGATGGGCAGATCACCTGAGGTCAGGAGTTCGAGACCAGCCTGACCAACATGGAGAAACCCCGTCTCTACTAAAAATTACAAAAAAATTAGCTGGGCATGGTGGCACATGCCTGTAATCCCAGCTACTCAGGAGGCTGAGGCAGGAGAATTGCTTGAACCTGGGAGGCGGAGGTTGCGGTGAGCTGAGATCGTGCCATTGCACTCCAGCTTGGGCAACAAGAGCAAAACTCTGTCTCAAAAAAAAAAAAAAAAAAAAAAAAAAAAAAAAAGCCAGGCAAGGTGATGGGCGCCTGTAATCCCAGCTACTCGGGAGGCTGAGGTAGGAGAATCGCTTGAACCTGGGAGGCAGAGATTGCAGTGAGCGGAGATTGTGCCACTGCACTCCAGCCTGGGTGACAGAGTGCAGCTCTGTTTCAAAAAACAAACAAACAAACAGATTAGTAAAGAATGTGAACAAAGTCAAATGAGGTGGCTCATGCCTGTAATTTCAGCACTTTGGGAGTCCAAGGCAGGCAGATTGTTTGAACCCCAGAGTTCAAGACAAGCCTGGGCAACATAGTGAGACCCTCATCTCTAATTAGCCAGGCATGGAGGTGCATGCCTGTTGTTCCAGGTACTTGGGAGGCTGAGACAGGAGGATTGTCTGAGCTCAGGAGCTCACACCACTGTACTACAGCCTGGGTGACACAATGAGACCTTGTCTCAAAAAAATAGAAACATGCAAGAGGTAACCATGTATTGTTTGCTAAGGAGCATGTGGTAAACTATAAGGAAAAGGAAGAAAATGAAAAACAAAATTTGTGATAGTTCTTCCATCTGCAGGGAAGGATTATGAGATTGGGGAGAGGCACATGGGGGTCTTTTATTGTGATGGTATTTTTTTTTTTTTTTGAGACGGAGTCTCTCTCTGTCACCCAGGCTGGAGTACAGTGGCCCGATCTCGGCTCACTGCAAGCTCCGCCTCCCGGATTCACGCCTTTCTCCTGCCTCAGCCTCCTGAGTAGCTGGGAATACAGGCGCCCGCCACCACGCCCGGCTAATTTTTTGTATTTTTAGTAGAGACGGGTTTTACCGTGTTAGCCAGGATGGTCTCGATCTCCTGACCTTGTGATCACCCCGCCTCAGCCTCCCAAAGTGCTGGTATTATAGGCGTGAGCCACCGAGCCCGGTCGATGGTAATTTTTTTTATCCAAGCCTGCTCCTCATAGTTTATCTACTCATTGATGTTTAATAAAACATCAATGTTTTATTGATTATCAATGTTTAATAAAACATCTACTCATTGATGTTTAATAAAAATTTAAGACCAGGCATGGTGGCTCATGAGCCTGTAATCCCAACATTTTGGGAGGCTGAGACGGGAGGATCACTTGAGCCCAGGAGTTTGAGACAGCCTGTGCGACATGGTGAAACTCTGTCTCTACAAAAAATACAAAAATTAGCTGTGCTGATTTTTTTAAAAATTTAAAGCAGTGACAGATACAAACATGGTTACTATTAGGCATTAAGATTACAACTGGGGCCAGGCGCGGTGGCTCATTCGTGTAATCCCAGCATTTTGGGAGGCCACGGTGGGTGGATCACTTGAGGTCAGGAGTTTGAGACCAGCCTGGCCAACATGGTGAAACCCCATCTCTACAAAAAATACAAAAAAATTAGCTGGATGTGGTGGCGAGCGCCTGTAATCCCAGCTACTCAGGAGGCTGAGGCAGGAAGATCACTTGGAGGTTGAGGTTGCAGTGAACTGAGATGGTGCCACTGCACTCCAGCCTGGGCCACAGATTGAGACTACACCTCCAAAAAAAAAAAAATTACAACTGGTTTCACATGTTAACTCATGTAATACCTCCAGCAACCTTGTGAGGCAGGACTTGTTATCATATTCATTCTACAGGTGCGGAAACTGAGGCACGAGGAGGTCACAAGACCTGCCCAAGGCCATGCTTGTGATGAGAGACAGAGTTTGGTTTTGAACAATGGCCTCACTCAACTCCATGCACATTCTGCATTTATGAAGCTCTTTCATGTGGGCTGGGGGCAGGAGACCCTGTGGGGCTCAGCCTTTCATGCTAGTTTAGGTGCCAGTGATACAGCGAGCAGGTTGCAGGGCAAGGGGCCCACATGGAGCTGCCCAGTTTGATATGTGGGGAGGGGGCCAGGCGCAGTGGCTCAGGTCTGAATCCCAGCACTTTGGGAGGCCGAGATGGGCGGATCCCCTGAGGTCAAGTGTTCAAGACCAGGCTGGCCAACATGGTGAAACCTCGTCTCTACTAAAAATAAAAAAAATAAAATAAAAAAAAAAAGCTGGGCATGGTGGCATGCGCCTGTAGTCCCAGCTACTCGGGGAGGCTGAGGCAGGAGAATCTCTTGATCCCAGGAGGCAGAGGTTGCAGTGAGCCAAGATTGCGTCACTGCATTCCAGCCTGGGCTGCAGAGGGAGACTCCATCTAAAAAAAAGAAAAGTGGGGAGGAGTGGCAGAGTTTCGTTCGGGTCAGGGCCCAATCAGAGGAAGGGATAGGGGCTGGGGGAGTCCAGAGAGGAGAAACAAAGGCTCAGCTTGGGGCAGTCAGGGAAGCCTTCCTGGAGGAGAGGATATTCAGACAAGACATTGATGGATGAAAAGGAGTTCAGAGTGTGGGCAAGGACCCATGGGCTGGATGGCTTAGAGACATAGAGAGAGACCTAGACAGGATGCAGTAGAGCTGCAAAAAGACTTTACAGAGAGAGGCTAAGAGACACATGACTGAGAGAGCAGTGGACAGAGTCAGAGGAACAGAGACCCAGGGAGAGAAAGAGACCAGGCAGTAGAGTTAGAGAGACAGAGACGTAGAGACAGAGGAAGAGAGATACTCAGAGAACAGGACCATCTGCCCGGTGCTGGTGCCGGGCGTACACACAAGAGCTTGCATTTGCCTGTACTTGCTTGAGTATTGCAGGGAGGCGTTTGCCCAGGTTACCAGGGCAGGAATGTCCATGCATGGGTGGCGGGGGCACGTGCACCATTTCAGTGCAGGTGAGGGTCTGCACAGGAGGAAACCTGCTTGGGGGCCGCCGTCGCCCCTTGTCCCCCTGCAACGAGGAGGTGTGGGGCGAGGCGCCCCTTCCCGGAGCCAGGCCCTTTAACGCCCCCCCAGCCCGCAGCGCCCCCGCCCCATCAGGCGTCCCTGGGCTCCGCCTGCCCGCCCCGCATCAGCGCCACGTCAGGCGCTGTCCGCGCCCCCGGTGCTGAACCAAGATGGCCGGTGGCGGCCGGGCCCCGGCGTGAGCCAAGCGCGGGCTGCAGCCGGGAGATGCCCCAGCCCAGCGGCCGCTGAGCCCGACCCGACAGAGCCGGCCCGGCCGCCTCCGGCCCACCTGCGAGCTCGGAGACATGTCTCTGCTTTGCGTTGGAGGTAGGAGGCGAGGCTGGGGGTCGGGGGACCCGTGTGGACGCGGGCTGGGGTCGGGGTCCGCGTGGATGCGGCTCCCAGGGGGTTCCTGGGGGGTGACCCGAGTCCAGGTGGCTGGACTTTTGAGAGGGGTAGCCCTTGTCGACGCAGCTGGGCCCCGGAGGGGGTGATCCGTGTAGACGCGGCAGGGCTCTCGGGGGTCCTGGTGGCCGCTGCTGGAGGGGTCGTGTGGACGCGGCTGAACGCGGAGGCCCGTGTGGACGTGGACGGGTATCCGGGGTTCTACCCGGAAACGATCTAGACTGGGGCGTCTGTGTAGACCAGGTTTTTAGAGGGTCAGTGAGGAAGAGTCTGGGCTCGGTAGTTTGATTGAAGCCTGCAGGGGTGCTTGGAAGGGGTCTGGTGTTGTGGGCTGGGTTACGGGTCCTCATGGACGCGGACCCGGCTGGAAATTCGAAGGAGAGTGCGGTGGGAGGGTTCTCCAAGCCGTGGGGATGTAAGATATAGGTAGAGGGGCTTGGCCATCAGGGCATCCACGAGTTCTAGGACTCTCCCAGCCCTAGGTGTAAAGAGGACTGGAGTGGGGGGAGTGTGGAGACAGGAGACCCCTCCCAGCGTCCAGAGAGGGCTGTGACTGGAGGTCTGGGGGCGCTTTTCCAGTTAACTCTTTGGCCTCCCGAGTGAGGGGGTTGGAGGAATGTCCAGAAGGTCTTCCCGCTCCCTGCCCCCTCCGGTTCTCCCAAACACGTTTCAGGGCCTTCTCGGCAGGGAGCCTACTTCTTGGAAGAGCAATGTCTCCTGGTCCCCCTCCTGGCCCATCCTCACCTCACCCACTTTGCACTGGAGAGAGGGAGGGAGGGAGACGTGAGGTGGGGGGGGAGCTATTTTGGGGCCAGAACGCCATCTGCACAGAGGCCCACGCCCAGGCCCACGCTCTGCGTTGGGGTTGGAGGAGGGAGGGAGACGTGGGAGGGGCATGACCCCCCACCCCACACCTTTATGGCTCTGGGGTCGTGGGGAAGCCAGCCCAACCGAACCCAGGCGTTCTGGGCACTCCCGTTTGAGAAATCAAACTCTGGGAGACCTTGGGCGGCAGGGGTGGATGTGGACCGCCGTTCCACGCCTACAGAGCTCTGAACCCCTGGTTCTTAAGGACTGGGGTCCCCCCGTCACTCCCACCCATTTCAAGAAGGCTGGGGTGGGGGAAGGGGTGTGTCTGCCAAGCCTGAGACTGCAGGCTTCGGGAGACCTCGGGCGACAGGAAGCGTGCGTGTGCTGAACTCCTGCTGCCTGGACACAGGGTGGGCAGGCCGGGGAGCCGGGAACCGCCCCCGCCGCCCCTCCTCCTCCCTCCCCTCCCCCTCGGCCGATTCATTCACAAACCCTGCCCCGCCCGCCCGCTCCCCGCCGCGGCAGCTTCCGAGTGCAAATCCGGCCGGGCTGGGCCGGCGTGGACGCGGGTGTTCTTAAAGGGACAGGGGCCTACTTTCTCTAAGCTCGTTTCTGCTGGACGGGGCTGGGGGTGGTGGAAGAAGGGTCCCTAGAGTCAAAGGTCAACTCCTCCATCCCCTAGCCTCCAGGCCTATGGAGTTAGGGGAGTAGGGAAGTGAAGGAGACCCCTAGGCGACCCCCACCGCCTAGGCCTGAGGACGGAATGGGAGGAGAACTTGAATGTCCAGACCCCCTACTGACCTCTCCCCCTGCTCTAAGTAGCCGGGCTCTTAAAGGTGGCACTGGAGGAGGTTCCGACGTGGGTGTTCTTGGCTGACTCCTCTATCCTCTCTCTTCTCCCCCCAGCATCCCGCCCCACCCCGCCTCACATCCTCCAAGTTGGGCTTCTCTGGAAGGTTTGCCTAGTGGAGTGGGGGGGGGGGGGGGGGGGCGGGGATCTCACCCTTAACTCTGACGCAAACAGGAGGCTCGGCTGCGGGGGTGGCATTAAGGGGGGGCAGCAGGAGGCAAGAGGGATGAGGCTTCCAGAAACAGAGACGTTGGGGGAGGACTGTGCTGGATTCTGTGGACTTTACAGGGAGGGGCCCGGCTGAGTGGAGAGGAATCGCTGGGAGGGGCAAGGCTGGGGAAGAGGTTGACAGGGGTGGGAGGTAAGGCCCTCAGGTGTAAAGGGAGGTGTGAGGTTGGAGTGAGGAGGAGTAGGAGGCAGGGAGGGGTGGGGAGAGGGAGAAGTGCTGGGTGAGGCCAGTCTCCCAGGGAGAGGTGGGATGGTGCCCAGAGAGGGGAGGGGCTGGGATGGCTGAGCACGAGAGATGTTGGGGTGGGCTTGGCAGGAGTGAAGCTAGGCTGAGATGGGTTGCCGTGTTGCCTGAGCTCAGCTGAGGAAATACCTGTCCCCCCTCCCCTCCACCGGGGACCCACAGGCGTTTGCCAATCCCTACACACATTCATACCCAGACTTGTTCCTGTGTGGACACAAATGCTTAGGATGTATGAAGGCTCTACGCAGACCATGTGCCTGGGAAGGCACATTCCGTAGGCACACGTGTGTACTCAAATGCCTGTGTGAACACAAGCATACACGTGTATATAGGACACAGTCTGCCGCTACAGATATAGTCCCAGCAACACACGTGTGAGTGTGTGTGTCTGCCAGCACGCATATAGATGTATCCACGTGTCTGATGAATGCTCACAATATACATGTCACATAAAGATCCACCCATGTCCAGCCGAGCGCGGTGGCTCAGGCCTGTAATCTCATCACTTTGACTTTGGGAGGCCAAGGTGGGCAGATCACTTGAGGTCAGGAGTTCAAGACCAGCCTGGCCAACATGGTGAAACTTTGTCACTGCTAAAAAATAAAAAAAATTAGCCAGGTGTGGTGGCGCGCACCTGTAGTCTCAGCTACTCGGGAGGCTGAGGAAGGAGAATCACTTGAATAGGGGAGGTGGAGGTTGCAGTGAGCTGAGATCCTGCCACTGTACTCCAGCCTGGGCAACACAGTGAGACTCTGTCTCAAAAAAAAAGATTCACTCATGTCCTAACACTCAGACATGTACCCATACATATCTGTTAAGGTCCCCAACCCCATGAAGCACATATATATTCATATAAGCACATGTCAAAGCCATGTGTGTATGCACATGACAACACTTGCCTGGACATTCAAAGCAGCCCCTTTCAACAAGTGGATGATGATGCATACAAGTAAATACACATTTGAGTATTTCATTGCACACAAGTGCATACATGTATGCAGATAAACAAATACAGCTGCCACAGAACTGCATCCATGTACACATGCAAACATCAATATGTGTGTTTTCCACCTAACATATCACCCACAAGCT
The DNA here is from genome assembly GCF_000001405.40 of Homo sapiens. NCBI lineage: Eukaryota > Metazoa > Chordata > Mammalia > Primates > Hominidae > Homo > Homo sapiens. Next base: position 17,684,875 of record NC_000019.10, on the reverse strand, counting down.
CACACACACCAGTGTGTCTCTGATGTAGTGACACCCCACTCCTAGACACACATGTGCAGACTCCCACCTGCACTTAAATGGTGCACATACTCTGCACACATGCACACTCATATCCATGTAGAGGCAGGCACCTGCCTGCCCTGGTAAGATGAGCCAACTACTGCTGCAAATACCCAAGCAAGTACAGGCAAATGCAAGCTCTTGTGTATACACCCAGCACCAACACATAGCAGACCACCCTGTATGGTGTATGGGCCTTATCTCTGCCCGCTTCATTTATTTATTCATGTGGTGCCCCGCTGCTTCCCAACATCGTAATCCACTGACTAGGTCTTGGCAGGATCCTGAGGCTGTGAATGGTAAATGCCACCTGGTTCCTTCATGAAGTCACTTATTTTATTTATGCAACAAGCATTAATTGAGCACCTACTGTATACCAGGCACTGTTCCTGGCTCTGGGACCCAGCCCTATTCCTAGCCATCACTCCTGCACGTCCCATGGGGTTAGAATGAAAGAGATGAGGGAGGGCTAAGGGAGCTGAGGAGTGGGGTATCCAGGGCTCTCTTCCTCTGGGAAGCCTACCCTGATTCCACCACCACCATTTACTTGAGTCTCAGAAGATGTGATGAGGGGGAGATGAGCAGGAGGGAGATGGTGCTCTGGGTGGAGGGAACAGCATGAGCAAAAGCATGGTGGTGTGAAGGGTTACTTCCAGATCTTCCTATGTGCCTCACAGCATTTTGCACAGGCCACTTGATGTTTTGTTTTGTTTTGAGACAGAGTCTCACTCAAAGCCTGTTACTCAGGCTGCAGTGCAGTGGCATGATCTCAGCTTGCTGCAGCCTTGACCTCCAGGGCTCAAGTGATCCTCCTGCCTCAGCCTCCCAAGTAGCTGGGAGTATAGGCATGCACCACCACACCCGGCTGACTTTTTTCTTTTTAATTTTTTGCAGAAGCAGGGTTTTGCCCTGCTGCCCAGGCTGGTCTTGAACTCCTGGGCTCAAGTGATTCACCCTCCTCAGCCTCCCAAAGTGCTAGGATTACAGGTGTGAGCCACCACGCCCAACTGATGTTTTAAAGGCTCTATAAACATGTTATGAATAAATGACATGAACAAATCAGTGAATTTAGGTGAGGGTGGGTTTGCTTCACAACTTACAATAATATCAACAACAAACCCCATTTATCCAGCTTTTTTGTTTGTTTGTTTGTTTTTTGAGACACGGTCTCACTCTGTCACCCGGACTGCAGTGTAGTGGTGTGATCTCGGTTCACTGAAACCTCCACCTTCCAAGTTCAAGCGATTTTCCTGCCTCAGCCTCCCGAGTAGCTGGGATTACAGGCACGTGCTACCACACCTAGCTAGTTTTTGTATTTTTAGTAGAGATGGGGTTTCTCATCTCTACTAAAAATACAAATACATCTCTAGTGGCCAGGCTGGTCTTGAACTCCTGACTTCAAGTGATCCTCTTGCCTCGGCCTCCCAATGTACTGAGATTACAGGCTCGAGCCACCGTGCCCAGCCCAGCATTTCATAGGCATGATGTTAAGGATTTTTATGCCCATGCCCTCTTTAACTCTTACAGTAGCCCCATTGTACAGATGAGGAAAACTGAGGCTCAGGGAGCTTTAACAACTTGCCTGGTGGAACAGAGCCAGAGGTGGAGCTGACTGACTCTAGAGCCTACTGGGGTTGGCAGAAGTTTGAGCCTTCTCTCAGACCCCAGGACCTCGGAGACAGCCAAGTCCCTTCTGTGGAGTGATGTTCTGCCCTGGGATTGCCTTCTTCTTTCTATTTATTTATTTATTGGAGACAGAGTCTGGCTCTGTTGCCCAAGCTGGAGTGCAGTGGCACAATTTCAGTTCACTGTAACCTCCTCCTCCCGGGTTCAAGCAATTCTCCTGCCTCAGCCTCCTGAGTAGCTGAGATTACAGATGCACACCATCATGCCCAGCTAATTTTTTGTATTTTTAGTGGAGATGGGGTTTCACCATGCTAGCCAGGCTGGCCTCGAACTCCTGACCACCAAGTGATCTACCTGCTTTGGCCTCCCAAAGTGCTGGGATTACAGGCATGAGCCACTGTGCCCAGCCAGGATTGCTTTCTTCTCTCATGCATCTAGTAAACAGACATGTCACAATCTCTCCATTCATCGGGGCTATTCCCCTGCTCCTTGCCTAAGAAGCCTTCACACATCCCTCCGTTCCTGGCTACTCAGTCCCTGATACCCTCCAGCTAGGAGGAGCTGCATCTAGGTCTTAGCTCCTACCGTTCTCATGGGATGCCCTCCAGAGTTGCATCTTCAGGGCTGCAGCCTAACCCTTTCCCTAACCTGGCCTCACTTTTCTTCCACATACAATGGACCTCTTCTGCAAGGTGCCAATAAGGGCATCCTGGGTCCAGCAGGCCTGAGTGTGAATTGCTAAGTCCACCACTTCCTGGCAAGTCTCACATCCTCTGCATTCCTTGGTGTGCTCATCTGTGGAATGGGCACAGGAGTAGCATCCACCATCTACGTTTGCCAGAACTCTCTAATGAGGCTTGCAGAGCCCCTGGCATGACTCCTGGCCTACGGGAAGGCCCAATAATCGTGAGCAAAAGACATGAAAAATCAATGATGGGCCGGCCCCGGTGGCTCACGCCTGTAATCCCAGCACTTTGGGAGGCCTAGGCGGGCAGATCTCCTGAGCTCAGGAGTTCAAGACCACCCTGGGCAACATGGTGAAACCCTGTCTTTACTAAAATACAAAAAAATTAGCTGGGTATGGTGGCGCGCGCCTGTAGTCCCAGCTACTCAGGGGGCTGAGGCACGAGAATCGCTTAAGCCCCGAAGGCGGAGGTTGCAGTGAGCCGAGGTCGCGCCACTGCACTCCAGCTTGGGCTACAGAGTGAGACTCCGTCAAAAAAAAAAAAAAAAAAAAATCAATGATGATGTTTTTATTAATGGAGACTAAAAGCTTTCTGGAAGGCGGTTCTGAGTGCAGGACATTTCTGAGAGTCCACTGCATTCTGGGGCCCGAGGAGCGCTCCAAGAGGGGTCCCCCAGGGCCACTCCAGGAGGGAGCCTAGTTCGTTGAGGGTACACGGGTGGGACCGAGCATTCAGCACCGTGGACAGCGCCTGCCCGCGCCTCTGGGGGACAGCTCTTAGCTCAGCCTCCCAGGATTAATGGAGGAGGTGACGTCATTCCTTCCGTGAATTACTATTTAATGAGCACCTACTATAGGCTAGGCCTACTTCTAAGTGGTTCATGGTAAACAACACACACACAAATCCCTTATTCCCGAAGCTCTCTGGAACTCCAGGTTCTTGGTGTTTTTTACACTGAAGGCTCAGTCTGGCTCTGGTCTATTTGTGTCAACGGAGGATAAGGGTCCTCATTTAGTGTCTCCCAGATGCGAAACCAGCACAGCTGAGGTCTTTTATCCTAAAGCCCATCCATCTCCCGCTGAAATGCCCTCCACCAACATCACACACAAAACGATCAAATCTCCTATAATCTATTTCTGGATTCTCTATGCTTCCTCCCTTCCCCCAAGCTAATCCTGGGGCGGGTGGGCTTTCAGAAGCCCTAGACGGCTGGATCTCCACCTCCTGTCTCCCCACCCCATCCCACGTGGCAGGTCAGGGAGCCAGTGCCCCAAGACTGCAGTCCCCCCTAATTAGAATCCAGGGTCAGTCAGCCATGTGGTTCACGCCTGTAATTCCAACACTTTGGGAGGCCGAGGGGATGGCTTGAGCCTTGAAGCCAGCCATAGCAACATAGCAAGACCCCATCTCTACAAAAAAAAAAAAAAAAAAAAAGGAATAGCCAAGCATGGTGATGCGCACCTGCAGTCTCAGCTACTCGAGAGGCTGAGTGGGGAGGATCGCTTGAACCTGGGAGATCGAGGCTGCAGTGAGCCATGATCACACCACTGCCCTCCAGCCTGGAGCCTGGGCAACAGAGAGAGACCCTGTCAAAAAAAAAAAAAAAAAAAAAAAGAAAAGAAAAGAAAAAAAAAGAAGAAGAAGAAGAGAAAAGAAAGAAAAAGAAAAGAATCCAGGGTATTCAAATCCTAGAATCCAGGCCAGGGACACCTTTAGAACACAACCAAATAATAAAAACAGTAAAGATATCAGTAATAATAATAATAGTATAAATGACACTATAATCATTCTGCAGAAGGGGTGAGGGAGGAAGAGGAGGGAAGAAGAGGAGGAGAAAGGAGAGGGAAGGGAGATCAGCCACTCCGTCTCCCCATTTTCCAGATGCAGAAACGGAGGCGCGAAGCCAGGCTGCAGGGGTGTCCCGCAGCCTGAACTCCTGCCTCAGCCTCCCCGGGTACGGCCACTACATTCATCAGTCAGCGCTTCTGGGGGCCCCAAAGACCTTTGAGGCCGCATGACGCGGTGTCTTCACCCGCTCGTCGCTGGGGACAGCAGTGGGCACCCCCCTCATCCCCGCCCCCCTGTCCGCCGGCGCGCCTCCCACGCCCTCCGCGCGCCCACGCTATAAATAGCCTCATGCGTGTGACCCGAAGCCCGCTGGGGAAGGGTGGCGCTTCCGCCCCGCTGACCCTGATACAGCAACCCGGCGCAGGCGGGGAGGTGGCGGGATGTGACGACGAAGACGGTGACTCAGGGACCATTTACTGACCGGGGAAGACAGGGAGAGAGACTGGGTTCCTTCTCTGAGCCCCCTTCCTCCTCCAAGCCTCTCCCCCGATACCACCCTCCCCTCTGCGCCCATCCCCCTTCCCGAATCCCCTCCCTCACCGCGAACACCCTTCCCTCCTGAGAACCCCCTCGCCACTCTCGGCCCCCTTTCCTGTCCCCTTTTCCCTCTGAGACCCCTCTCCCACTGGGAGCCCCAGTGATGAAAAATCATGGATGTCCTCAACCTGGACCTCGGCAGGGAGCTAAGTGCAGGAGCCTGGCTTCAGCTATCAGAGGGTACAGCCCTCCAGCCGGTCCCCCACTGCCTGAGGACCCCAACGGAGACCATTCCCCTCTAGCCAAGAGAGGCTGCAGGAAGGAGCTGAGGCTTAGGGAAGAGGAGCCGGACTGACCAAGGGAGGGGCACAAGAAGGGCAGAGACAGTGAGAGAGAGAAGGAGAGAACAGAGACCAAAAGAAGACGACCAGAGTGGAGAGAAATAGAACGGGGAGGAGGGAGATGAGAGACAGGGATTGGGAAAGAGAGAGAGAGAACAGATCAAGGAGCTACTGGGCTCCCCGCTGAGCCTAAATCCATGGTTTATAAAACAGGGCACAGTTGGAGGAGCTTCAAGTGAGCCCAGCCCAGTCTAGACCCCAGTGAGCCCCTTGTATCACCCCCCAGAGCCTGTCACTTTCCCACCCCCATATGCATCCCTACTTTTCTCCCCCAACTGCCTCTCCTCTCCCCAGTGTCTCCTCCACCTGCCTGCCCTCCCTAGTGGAAATCTTTCCCCCTCTCTCTTTTATTATTATTATTATTATTATATATTTTTTGAGACAGAGTCTTGCTCTGTCGCCCAGGCTGGAGTGCAATGGCGTGATCTTGGCTCACTGCAACCTCCGCCTCCTGGGTTCAAGCGATTCTCCTGCCTCAGCCTCCCGAGTAGCTGGGACTACAGGCGTGCACCATCATGCCCGGCTAATTTTTGTATTTTTAATAGAGATGGGGTTTTACCATGTTGCCCAGGCTGGTCTCGAACTCCTGACCTCATGTGATCCACCTGCCTCGGCCTCAAAGTGCTGGGATTACAGATGTGGGCTACCACGCCCAGCCTCTCTCCCTTTTAAATTATTATTTTTAGACATGGGATCTTACTACATTGCCCAGGCTGGTCTTGAACTCCTGGGCTCAAGGGATCCTCCTGCCTTAGCCTTCCTAGTAGCTGGGATTACAGGCATGTGCCTCTATGCCTGGTACTCTCGCTGTCTCCTTGTGTCTCTCTATTTCTCTCCATCTGTCCAGACTCTCCTCTCTTGCTTTCATGCCCATCATTTCTTCCTCTCTCCTCTCCCTTCCTCTCCCTGTATGAGTCCCTCCAGCTGTGGGTGCCTTTCTCAGCCTCTGTCAGCATCCCCTCCACCCCCGATCCCGTCACATTCTACCTCTTGCCCCTTCCCCTGCCCACCCCCTTCACAGAGAGTCCCCACGCCTGCAGGCTGGACCTCCTCCAGGAGCCAGGCCCAAAGCTCCTGCTGGGCACATTCCTGAGTGTTCCTGAGCCTCTTTCAGTCCCAGGGGTGAGGTGCTGGGTGGGTGCGCTCCCTGGGGGCTGGGTGGGGCTGAGGATGTGAGCGAACAAACCAGACCTAGAAAAAAAAAAGACAGAGATGGAAGCAGAGATGAAGGCCCAGAGAGAGGGGTTCACTTGCCCAGGGTCACACAGCTCAGGAATCTGAACCTGGCTCAAACCAGCATTCACTTCTCTCAAGGCCCACCCAAGGGCTGCAGTGCAGTGGCACAATCTCAGCTCACTGCAACCTCTGCCTTCCAGGTTAAAGGGATTCTCCTGCCTCAGCCTCCCGAGTAGCTGGGATTAGAGGTGCGTGCCACCACACCCGGCTAATTTTTGTTATTTTAGGAGAGACGAGGTTTCCCCATGTTGTTCAGGCTGGTCTCGAACTCCTGACGTCAAGTGATCCACCTGCCTCGGCCTCCCAAAGTGCTGGGATTACAGGCATGAGCCACCGCGCCTGGCCAGGAACAGTCTTTACTGACATGTGTTTAGGGCCATCGCACTTCCCCCGCTCTTCACGGGAATTCTCTCTTCACTGGCTCCACTCAGGTGCCTTTTGTGAGACAGAAATTCAAGCGATGAGGACAGAGATACAAACCCGGGATGGGAGGCTGTGACATCTGCCCATAGAAACACAATTCTGTTTCTAGGAATTTATCCTTCAACTCGCTAGTACACGCTCTTCAAGACATACTGAAAAAACATGAAGGATTAGAACAGTGGGTGTCGAATGCTACCATTTGTCTTGGAAATCAAGCAAAACGAACGTGGGTATGGTTGCCGACGCATGGACCATCTCCAGTGGAACAAGGAACTGCCAACGTTGATTGCATTTGGGAGGGAGATGAAGGGCTGGGATGGAAAGAGCTTTATTCTCAGTGCCTCATCTTTTGGTTGTTTTGGATTTTACAACATGTGCATGCATTGCCTACACAAACAAAGACACTAATTTGAAAAGGAAAAGGGGAGAAGAAAAGAGGGAGGAAAGAAAAGGGGCCGGTGTGGCAGCTCACACCTGTCATCCCAGCACCTTGGGAGGCCAAGGCGGATGGATCACCTGAGATCAGGAGTTTGAGACCAGCCTGGCCGACATATACTGAAACCCTGTCTCTACTAAAAAATACAAAAATTAGCTGGGCATGGTGGCGCACGCCTGTAGTCCCAGCTACTTGGGAAGCTGAGGCAGGAGAATTGCTTGAATCTGGGAGGTAGAAGTTGCGGTGAGCTGAGATGGCACCACTGCACTCCAGCCTGGGCAATAGAGCAAGACTCCGTCCCTAAAAAAAAAAAGAAAAAAAAAAAGAAAAGAAAGAAAGGAAAGGGAGGGAAGAGCTCAGTGTGGGAGAAGATTGGGGGTGGGAGTAGAGAATTAATGGAGGAAAAAGATGTGGGGGACAAAAGCAAGGTGTGAGAGGTGTTGGCAATGGAAACTGAATACCTGTTGAGAAGAGCCAGGAGGGGGCGACATGGCTTTGAATCTCTTGGGGCTGTGAGATTATGTGAAATGTGAGAAGACTGGACCTCAGTGGGGTGCCTGACATATATTCAGGTTACACCTCCCACAAGCAGGTGGGGCTGGACAATCTCTGTCAACCCTCCAGCCAGGACCCAAGTGTCTCCCTGTACATTACTTTTGGTTGTTGTTGAGACAAGAATCTCACTCTGCTGCCCAGGCTGGAGTGCAGTGGCATGATCTTGGCTCACTGCAATCTCTGCCTCCTGGGTTCAAGTGATTCTCCTACCTCAGCCTCCCAAGTAGCTGAGACTATAGGCGCCTGCCACCACACCTGGCAAATTTTTGTATTTTTAGTAGAGACAAGGATTCACCATGTTGGCCAGGCTGGTCTTGAACTCCTGACCTCAGGTGATCCACCTGCTTCAGCCACCTAAAGTGCTGGGGTTATAGGTGTGAGCCACCGTGCCTCGCCCTCCACATGCATTTTGAGAGCCAGCTCTCTGGGTTGCTTTGTCCCAACTCACCCAGCCTTCTTTGAGGCTTCCCCAAACCCTGGGAGCATTTGACATTGCAGACTGAGCTGGACAATCAAGGGAGAGGTCTTGCTGACCTGTCGGGGCTGGTGGAGTCATCAGAGATTGTCTTTATCCTCGCCTTCTTCTTCTCCACCTCCTCAACTTCCCCTCTTCTTCTGGGGCAATCCTGGAGGGCTTCTTGTAGGAGGCCTCTCCCACCATCTGCCCAGCTCTTTCTTTCTAATCTTGTTCAATTGTGGGTAAAGGCACAGCTAGTTGGGAGCTTGGGGAGTTTGATGGGGACAGGGGATGCAGGGAGAGGGAGGGGCAGGGAATGCTCTCAGGGTCCAAATTTCCTTCCATTCTAGGGTTGCCTGTGCTCATCTGTCTGATGGCTTCTCTCTCTCCCTCTCATCCCTGCCTCCTCTTTCCTACCTCTCCTCCTCCCCTTGTCTCTGTCTCTGACATTGCTTCTATCTTTCTTTTTTAACATCTGTCTCTTTTGCTTTTTATCTTTGCCTGTCTCTCCTCTGTGTCTCTCTCCTTATGTCTCCATCTTGGTGTGTCTCTGAATCTCTCCGTATCTCTGCCTCCTCCTCCCCACATCTCTCCCCACCTCCCTTCCCTATCTCTGTCTCTCTCCACAGTCAAAAAAGCCAAGTTTGATGGTGCCCAAGGTAAGTGGCTTCTCTTGCTGTCCTGTCCCGTGTTGTCTGTCTGTCTGTCTGTCTCTTGGAGAGACTGGGAGGGGGTCCCAGCCCAGACTTAGAGTTGGGCTTTATGTCTTCTGAGCATCAGGAGAGGGGTCAGAAGATTAAATAGGGGGAGGGGCAGCCATTGGCCTGGGGTCCCTGCAGTTTGTATGGGGGTCCCCGGGTCTCCCCAGCCATCCTTGGAGAGTCTGTAAGGGGTGGGGCTTGCCCTGAGCCAGTGGCTCTTCCCAGGGTCCTAAGAGGTAGAATGGGGACTCTTAGATGGGGCTACAGGTGGGAAAAATGAGGCTCAGAGAGGCGAAAGGAGTTTCTTTCTTTTCTTCTTCTTCTTTTTTTTTTTTTTTTGAGACAGAGTCTCCTTCTGTTGCCCAGGCTGGAGTGCAGTGGCGTGATCTCGGCTCACTGCAACCTCTGCCTCTGGGTTCAAGCAATTCTCCTGCCTCAGCCTCCCAAGTAGCTGGGATTACAGGCGCCCTCTACCACGCCCGGCTAATTTTTTTATTTTTAGTAGAGATGGGGTTTCGCCATGTTGGCCAGGCTGGTCTCAAACTTCTGACCTTAAATGATCCGCCCGCCTCGGCCTCCCAAAGTGCTAGGATTGCAGGCGTGAGCTACCGTGCCCTGCCTTTTTATTATTATTATTTTTATTTAAAATTTTTATTTTTTGAGGCTGGAGTGCCGTGGTGCAATCATGTTTTACTACAGCCTCAACCTCCCAGGCTCAAGCAATCCTCCCACCTCAGCCTTCCAAGTAGCTGGGACCACAGGCGTGCACCACTGCACCCAGCTAATTATTTTTTTGTATTTTTTAGTAGAGATAGGGTTTTGCCAAGTTGCCCAGGCTGGTCTTGAACTGCTGGGCTCAAGCAATCCTCCCCCCTTGACCTCCCAAAGTGCTGGCATTATAGGCGCGAGCCACTGCACCCAGCCTGCAAAGGGGGTTTCTTACAGTCAATTTTGTTCCCCTTTTCTGGGACCTCAGTCTTTTTAGCTGAAAACCAATGGCATGGTCATTTCGAAGCAGCTGGATGAAGTATCCCAAAATTCCACGTCTCCCCACACTGAGGCCCCTCCCTTGTGCCCTGAGGGTGGGGTTGTGGGTTAGGGGGTGAGTGGCCCAGAAATTCCTGAGGGGATCACAGCAGATGGTCTAGAGCTTGGGAAGGGGCATTGGAGAGTCCCTGAGCCCCAGCGCTGACCCCTACTCTCACTGCCACAGAGAAATTCAACACGTACGTGACCCTGAAAGTGCAGAATGTCAAGAGCACGACCATCGCGGTGCGGGGCAGCCAGCCCAGCTGGGAGCAGGATTTCATGTTGTGAGTCTGCAGCGTCTGGCATGACCTCACTCCCTGGCATAGCCCAGCACCTCGCTGGCCCCTCAGGGCAGAGCTGGACACTGGGGAATCCCGGGTGACTCCCCTCTGTCCTCCCTCTTCCCCTGTCCACCTTATCACCTTCACCTCCAAAACACATCCCCAATCCAATCACTTCCCTTGGTCTCCGCAGCCACCAGCCAAGTCCCTGCTGCCCGCCAGCCTCCGCCCTGGCCTCCTGTGCCATCCACCTCCTACAATCTGTTCTCCTCCAGGCAGCCAGGGGGATATTTTTAAAACTGCAAATCACATCCTGTCGCTCCCATGTTCCAAACTTGTCCGTGGCTCATCGACCTCACAATAAAACCCACAGCCTTCCCCGTGATTCCCACCAGGTTCTCGCTCTATCTCCCTCACCTGCCCCAGCCACACCCACCTCTGCCCCTTTCTCCAACACTTCCCAGCTTGTTCTTGCCCCAGGGCCCTTGCACTTGCTCTCCTGTCCCCAGCTGGCTCTTCTCCTTCAGGTCTCAGCTTGTGTCACCTCCTCAGTGAAGCCCTCCCTGACCACTACCTCCAAGCTACAATTTCAGGGCATCATGCCTTCCCAGGCCTTGCCACCAATTTTGTTTGTTTGTTTGTTTGTTTTGAGGCAGAGCCTCACTCTGTTGCCCAGGCTGGAGTACAGTGGCATAATCTCGGCTCACTTCAACCTCCACCTCCCAGGTTCAAGTGATCCTCCTGCCTCAGCCTCCCAACTAGCTGGGATTACAAGCGTGTGCCACCACACCCGGCTAATTTTTGTGTTTTAAGTAGAGATGGTGTTTCACTATGGTGGCCAGGCTAGTCTCAAACTCCTGGACTCAGGTGATCCGCCCACCTCAGCCTCCCAAGGTGCTGGGATTATAGATGTGAGCCACCATGCCTGGCCAATGGAATTTTTTTCCTTTTTTTTTTGTTTTGTTTTGAGACAGAGCCTCACTCTGTGGCCCAGGCTGGAGTGTAGTGGTGCAATCTCGGCTCACTGCAACCTCTGCCTCCTGGGTTCAAGCTATTCTCCTGCCTTAGCCTCCCGAGTAGCTGGGACTACATGTGCGTGCCACCATGCCCGGCTAATTTTTGTGTATTTAGTAAAGACCGGGTTTCACCATGTTGGCCAGGCTGGTCTTGAACTTTTAACCTCAGGTGATCCACCCGCCTCGGCCTCCCAAAGTGCTGGGATTATAGGCATGAGCCAGGAGCCACCAATCCCAGCCAACAGATATATATATCAGATATATATATACTTTTTTTTTTTTTTTTGAGACTGAGTTTTGCTTTTGTTGCCCAGGCTGGAGTGCAATGGCGTGATCTCGGCTCACCGCAACCTCCGCCTCCTGGGTTCAAGCAATTCTCCTGCCTCAGCCTCCCGAGTAGCTGGAATTACAGACATGCACCACCACGCCCGGCTAATTTTGTATTTTTAGTGGAGATGGGGTTTCTCCATGTTGGTCAGGCTGGTCTTAAATTCCCAACCTCAGGTGATCCGCCCATCTCGGCCTCCCAAAGTGCTGGGATTACAGGCGTGAGCCACCGTGGTTGGCCATATTTTAAAAATATATTTCTTAAGATAAATCTTTGGTAAACTGTAAATTCAGTGAATCTCACATTTCACCAAGTTTCCTGCTCCCCCGAATTCACATATGTCTAGGGCGAGGCCTGCAGGGAAAGTGCTTTGAGGTGGGATCGTGTCCTCACATCATTAGATGGGGATGACACTGGGAAGGACAGAGGTGACCCGAATGTCCTTATCCTGTAGGTAAAGGGAGCTATGGAGGGTATTTGAGCCTCTTCCTCACTTACCCAGCATGGTCAGTGTTGGAGGGCCCAAGGAAGGGCTCAGAAAGATGAAGGTGCAGGCGATGTGTAACATCTGTCCCCACGCCATCCTTCCCGGCTTTGAATCCTGGTTCTTTTGTGATACCCCGAGCTCTTAACTTCCCCCACTGGCCTCAGTTTCCCCTCTATAAAATGAGAACCACCATGTTACCCTACCACCTAGGACACTCCCAGGCCTAGGTTTGAATTGCAGTATGCTGTGTGTTCTCAGGCGAATCAACTAAACTCCCTGGGCCCCCGTTTCCTCCCTCCTGCTCCCTCGACGCCCCCTCTCCTTTTTCTGCAGCGAGATTAACCGTCTGGATTTGGGACTGACGGTGGAGGTGTGGAATAAGGGTCTCATCTGGGACACAATGGTGGGCACTGTGTGGATCCCACTGAGGACCATCCGCCAGTCCAATGAGGTGAGTGGCGGGTGGCCTGAGGGTGAAGAAGGAGGAGTGCCTTGCAGAAGCCCAGAGACCAGTGGACTAAACAAGATGGGCATTTATCTCCTATCCCCTGACAACATCAATGTAGACACTTGGGATTGCCACGAACCTTCCAAAGTCACTAGAGCCTATACACCTTCCATCTTGCTCTGCCTCTCTCTCCATGTGGCTTCCACCTTGTGGCCCCAAATGGCTGCTTTAGGCTCACCATTGCATCTTCATTCCAACCACCGAAAGGTGCTGGTGGTGGGGGAGGGGGGTGGTTCATGCACATCTCATTGGCCAGAACTTAGACATGTGGCCAACACCTTGCTGCAAGGGATTCTGGGAAATGTAGTCCTAGGCTGGAAAATGTAGTCCTGGGCTGTGCTTCCCTAGGCACAGCTAAAAATGTATTACCTTGGAAGGAGAAAAGGGATAATATAGGCAATTAGCATTTTGTGTCCCAGATGGGCAGCAGCAGGAAGCTTACACCAACTCATAAGAAGGTGCTAGGTAACAACCCTGGCCCCTCAGCCTGTGCATCATTGTCAGCAGGTAGTAGTGATGTCTATTTTTTATTTAATTATTTATTTTTGAGACAGGGTCTCACTCTGTTGCCCAGGCTGGAGTGCATTGGCATGATCATGGCCCACTGCAGCCTCGACTTCCCAGGCTCAAGTGATCCTCCCACCTCAGCCTCCTGAGTAGCTGGGACTGCAGGTGCATGCCACCAGGCCCCCCTTATTTTTTTTGTATTTTTAATAGAGACAGGGTTTTGCCATGTTGCCCAGGCTGGTTTCGAACTCCTGGGCTCAAGCAATCCACCCACCTCAGCCTCCCAAAGTGCTGGTATTACAGGTGCGAGCCACCATGCCAGGCCGTGGTCATGTCTATTCATCTGTCCCCACAGCCCAATCCCTGGCCTCCTAACCTCAAGTCTCAACCTCTCCATGCTGACCCCAGGAAGGCCTTATTAGCTGGAGCTCTGATCTGTCCTCCCCTGTCCATCTGCCTTGGGAGGCCCTTCAGATGGCACCTGCCCACTAGCCTCATCTCCCCCCACACTCTAACCTCTACCCCTCCCAGATTCCACCCTCTGAACCTTTGCATAGTGTGTTCCCTGAGCTTCAAGTGTCCTCCTTTCCATCACCTTCTAAATTCCCATGTGCCCACCTCCAGGAAGCCCTCTCTGACTTCTCTCTAGATCCTTTAGCCCTCCTTCCTCCCTCTGGGCTATGACCTCATGGGGCTGGGGGTGCCTGTGTCCAGCCCTGTTTCCAAGGGCTATGGGCTCTCAGGAGCCAGGGTGATGATGGCTGGGCCTCTTGGGGACCCTGGCATCACCCAATATGAACCAGGCATAGAGGAGGGACTGGGGACTGTTTTTTGTTTGTTCGTTTTTGTCATTTTATTTTATTTTATTTTATTTTATTTTATTTTATTTTATTTTATTTTATTTTACTGTGAGATGGAGTCTCACTCTGTCACCCAGGCTGGAGTGCAATGGCACAATCTTGGCTCACTGCAACCTCTGCCTCCCTGGCTTAAGTGATTCTCCTGCCTCAACCTCCTGAGTAGCTGGGATTACAGGGGCCTGCCACCACACCCAACTAATTTTTGCATTTTTAGTAGAGATGGGGTTTCGCCATGTTGGCCAGGCTGGTCTTGAACTCCTGACCTCAAGTGATCCGCCCACCTTGGCCTCGCAAAGTGCTGGGATTACAGGTGTGAGTCACCGCACCTGGCCAGTGAGTGTTTGTTTTTGAATGAATGAATGCAGAGGGACGAAATGGTTGCAACAATCTAGGTAAGCGAGTCTAAAAGGAAGCCTTGGCTGGGCATGGTGGCTCACACCTGTAATCCCAGCACTTTGGGAGGCTGAGGCAGGTGGATTGCCTGAGCTCAGCAGACCAGCCTGGGCAACATGGTGAAACCCCGTCTCTACTCAAAAATACAAAAAATTAGCCAGGAGTGCTGGCACGTACCTGTAATCCCAGCAGCTCAGGAGGCTGAGTTAGGAGAATCACTTGAGCCTGGGAAGCGGAGGTTGCAGTGAGCTGAGATCACGCCACTGCACTCCAGCCTGGGTGATAGAGAGACTCTGTCTCAAAAAAATTAAATTAGGCCGGGCATGGTGGCTCATGCCTGTAATCCCAGCACTTTGGGAGGCCGAGATGGGTGGATCACGAGGTCAGGAGATTGAGACCATCCTGGCTAACACGGTGAAACCCCGTCTCTACTAAATATACAAAAAATCAGCCAGGCGTGGTGGCGGGTGCCTGTAGTCCCAGCTACTCGGGAAGCTGAGGCAGGAGAATGGCGTGAACCCAGGAGGCAGAGCTTGCAGTGAGCCGAGATCGCGCCACTGCACTCCAGCCTGGGCGACAGAGCGAGACTCTGTCTCAAAAAAAAAAAAAAAAGAAAAGAAAAGAAAAAAGAGAGAGAAAGGAAGGAAGGAAAAGAAAGGAATAAAGGAAGGAAGGGAGGAAGGGAAAGAAAGAAAGGAAGGAAGCAGGGAGGGAGGGAGGGAAGGAAGGAAGGGAAGGAAGGAAGGACGGAAGGAAAGATAGAGAGGGGACATGACTTTGGTTTTGGGGTAGGGGTGAGGGGGATGTCTCATGCGAGAGTAGGGGCCCTGGGGACTAGTGACCAGCAGATTCCTGACCCACACACCTCCTCCCCCAACCCCCAGGAGGGCCCTGGAGAGTGGCTGACGCTGGACTCCCAGGTCATCATGGCAGACAGTGAGATCTGTGGCACCAAGGACCCCACCTTCCACCGCATCCTCCTGGACACGCGCTTTGAGCTACCCTTAGGTGAGTACAGGGGCCCGGGACCTTCACCCAGCCCCAGCCCCAGTTGTGGACTCACTCAGCTATTCCAGGAGAGTGAACAGGCCTGGGTAGGTCTAGCTGACCCTTCAGGCTGAGAATGAGGGTCCTTCGCCCCGGAGGAGAGAGAGTTTCTTGGGTTGCAGAGAACAGGGATGTGAACCTGCTGGGTGCGGGCCATGACCTGGGCCCCGTAGCTTCCCAGTGAGCTGCAAGTGCTTCACGACCGAGGGCGTTCAGGGTTGAGCTATCCTGGCTGTTCCTTGGTGATGCCTGAGACTGCAACAGTGAACTGGGGATAGGAGGAGAGACAGACAGAGACAGAGAGACAAAGAGAGACAGAGAGAGACATGTAGACAGAGGCTGAGAACAGATAGTCCCCTCTTCCTTTCCTGGAAGCACCTTGAGTCTCTCCACCTCATTCTTCTAAGAACCCATGGCTGGCCAGGCATAGCTTCTCATGTCTGTAATCCCAGCACTTTGGGAGGCCAAGGGGGGAGGATCATTTGAGGCCAGGAGTTTGAGACCAGCCTGGGCCATCTAGTGAGATCCCATCTCTATGAAAAAGTTAAAAATTCACCAGGCATGGTGCTGGGTTTCTGTAGTCCCAACTATTTGGGAGGCTGAGGCAAGAGGATGGCTCAAGCCCAGGAGTTTGAGGCTTCAGTGAGTTGTGATTGTGCCACTGCACTCCAGCCTGGGTGACAGAGCGAGACCCTGTCTCTAAAAAAATAAAAATAAAAACAATGGGCTGGGCGTGGTGGCTCATGCCTATAATCCCAGCACTTTGAGAGGCCGAGGCAGATGGATCACCTGATGTCAGGAGTTTGAGAGCAGCCTGGCCAACATGGAGAAACCCTGTCTCTACTCAAAATACAAAAAAATTAACTGGGCATGGTGGTGCACACCTGTAATCCCAGCTACTCGGGAGGCTGAGGCAGGAGAATCGCTTGAACCCAGGAGGTGGAGGTTGCAGTGAACTGAGATTGTACCACTTCACTCCAGCCTGGGCAACAGAGTGAGACTCCGTCTCAAAAAACAATTTAAAAATTAAAAAATTAAATAAAAACAATGGCTTCCCCACCCTCGTAAAGGCTAGGAACCATCTCCTGTCATCCTCCAACTATTCTCCATTCAGCTCTGGGAAGAGGGGCGTCAGAGGCACCACGGTACCTCCCCTTCATCTCCATCCACCCTCCTGAGACCGCAGACCAACCCACCCCTACTTCTGAGGCTTTGCCAAAGACCCCAGAAGCCAGGGCCCGGGTGGAGCTCAGTAGGCCTGGAGGATGGAGGCTGAGCGGCAGGGAGGGTCTTCCAGGCTCACAGACAGGGCTCTGCTTGCAGACATTCCTGAAGAGGAGGCTCGCTACTGGGCCAAGAAGCTGGAGCAGCTCAATGCTATGCGGGACCAGGATGAAGTGAGTGTTGGGGTGGGAGGGGACTGTTTCTTCCTTGTTTCTGTCTCTGTCTCCCCATGATTTTCACTTACAGATGCTGTTTCTCTCTAAGCTTGTCTTTCCCTGCATCTCTGTTTCTAACTCTTTGTAACCTGACTGCATCCATGACCCATGTGGTCCAGTCTCTAGACAATGATGGGGTCAAGAAACACACAGAGGCCAGGCGCAGTGGCTCACGCCTGTAATCCCAGCACTTTGAGAGGCGAAGGTGGGCAGATCACCTGAGGTCAGGAGTTCAAGACCAGCCTGGTCAACACAGTGAAACCCCGTCTCTACTAAAAAAAAAAAAAAAAAAAAAAAATTAGCCAGGCTTAGTGGCTCACACCTGTAATCCCAGCAATTTGGGAGGCTGTGGCGGGCAGATTATTTGAGGCCAGGAGTTCGAGACCAGCCTGGCCAACACGGTGAAACCCCGTCTCTACTAAAAGTACAAAAAATTAGCTAGGCATGGTGGCGGGCGCCTGTCATTCCAGCTCCTTGGGAGGCTGAGGTGGGAGAATCACTTGAATCTGGGAGGCAGAAGTTGCAGTGAGCCGAGATCACGCTGCTGCACTCCAGCCTGGGCAACAGAGCAAGGCTCTGTCTCAAAATAATAATATTGATAATAATAATAAAATAAAAAATTTTACTTTTCATTTGGCGGATACATGTGCAGGTTTGTTACACGAATATATTGCATGATGCTAAGGTCTGGAATTCCATGGCATTACTCAAATTGTAAACACAGTACCTAACGGGTAGTTTTTTCACTCTTGTCCTGCTCCCTCCTTCCTCCCTTCTGGAGTCCCCAATGTCTACTGTTCCCATCTTTTTTTTTTTTTCTTTTTTGAGACGGAGTCTCGCTGTGTCACCAGGCTGGAGTGCAGTGGCACGATCTTGGCTCACTGCAACCTCCACCTCCCGGGTTCAAGTGATTCTCCTGCCTCGGCCTCCCGGGTAACTGGGACTACAGGCATGCGCCACCATACCTGGCTAATTTTTGTATTTTTAGTAGAGACGGGGTTTCACCGTTTAGCTAGGATGGTCTCGATCTCTTGACCTCGTGATCTGCCCGCTTCGGCCTCCCAAAGTGCTGGGATTACAGGTGTGAGTCACTGCACCTGGCCCCTAGTCTTTTTTCTATCTCTGTTTCTTACTTTTTCTGTCTCTGTCTCTGTCTCTGTCTTTCTCTCTCTCTCTCTCTCTCTCTCTCTCTCGTGTGTGTGTGTGTCTTTCTCTCCTTTTCTCTCTTACTCCCTGTATCCTTCTCATAGAGAGGGAGAGAATTTGGGAGGTAGAGGGAAGTCGGGATGGGACAGAACAGAGGACTATCCTGGTCCCCTGGCCTTTGGCCCCTCTGAGAGAAGCCCTTTCTCCTTCCTCCACCCCTTCAGTATTCGTTCCAAGATGAGCAAGACAAGCCTCTGCCTGTCCCCAGCAACCAGTGCTGTAAGTACCTCTTGATTCTTCCTTGGGTATCAGCTGAAATCCTCATCCCTCCCCTACCCCATGACTGTCCTGTCTAAAGGCTCCTCCAGTCCGGAGATACAAGTCCTGAGAGTGCAGTGTCCACTTACAGTGTATTAGAAATCAGCGTTCTGAGGCTGGGCATGGTGGCTCACCCCTGTAATCCCAGCACTTTGGGAAGCCGAGGTCAGGAGTTCGAGACCAGCCTGGCCAACAGGGCAAAACCCCATCTCTACTATAAATACAAAAAAAATGAACAGGCATGGTGGTGGGTGCCTGTAATCCCAGCTACTCAGAAGGCTGAGGCAGGAGAATTGCTTGAACCCAGGAGGCAGAATCTGCAGTGGGCCAAGATCATGCCACTGTACTCCAGCCTGGGTGACAGAGCAAGACTCTGACTCAAAAAAAGAAGGAAGGAAAGAAAGAGAAAGAAAGAGAGAAAGAGAGAGAGAGAAAGAAAGAAAGGAAGGAAGGAGAGGAGAGGAAAGAAAGAAAGAAAAAGAAAGAAAAGAAAAGAGAAAAGAAAAGAAAGGAAGGGAAGGAAAGAAAGGAAAGGAAGGAAAGGAAAGAGAAGAGTTCTGAGACTTGGGCTTGATGAAAGACAAGAAGGAAGAAAGGAAGGAAGGAAGGAGAGTTCTGAGACTTGGGCTTGATTCCCACCTTGCTATGTGGTCATGGGCAGGCCAGTGTCCCTCTTCGATATTTAGGGGCCCTCTCTTTGAAATAGCGCATCTGACAGCCCCCTCACTCTGAGGGCTGTTGGAAGGATCTGGGACATCTAGAGACATGAAAAACACTTCGTAGATGCTTCACTTCCATTCATCAGATCCTGGATGAGGGCGTATAACTCATTCCACAAACTATTCATGGGGCCAGCACAAACCCCGAGCAGCCCACGTCAGATGGTGCAGACAGACACAGGCAGAAGATCCTGCCAGCACATGTACAATGGGCGCACGTACAACAGACGAAGGCTGTTTCACTAACCCATTTTCTTAGATGGAGAAACTGAGGCCCAAGAGGAGATGTGATTTACCCAAGGCCACACACCCGGCAACTGGCAGAGCCAGGATTTGAACCCAGGTCTGAGGGACTCCAACTTTGCTTCCCTTTCCACTGCACCTTGTCTGTTAATGATGATGATGATCACGTTCCTCTTCCTATTTCCATCAAGGCTGCAGTTGTCAAGATTTTTTATCTTCCTGGGCCTTGTGGACACTCAGATGCATCCAGACCAGGTCTTTTCATGGATGGAGGAGCTGTCTCCCTCCTTAAAATGACTTCCCATTGCTCTGTGGTGGAGGGGAAGTAGCAAATCATATAGCCTCAGGGCAGAGCTCCCACCTGCTGACACCAAAACCCCACTGCACTCTTTAGCCTCCTTCTCCTTTCCCATTTACTTTCTTTTCTTCTTCTCTTTTTTTTTTTCTTGGAGATAGAGTCTCCCTCTGTCACCCAGACTGGACTGCAATAGTACTATCTTGGCTCACTGCAGCCTCTGCCTCCCGGATTTGAGTGATTCTTGTGCCTCAGCCTCTTGAGCAGTGGGGATTACAGGCACATGCCACCACGCCCAGCTAATTTTTGTATTTTTAGTAGAGATGGGGTTTTGCCATGTTGGCCAGGCTGGTCTCAAATTTTTTACCTCATGTGATCTGCCCACCTCAGCTTCCCAAAGTGCTGGGATTACAGGTGTGAGCCACCATGCCTGGCACCTTTTCCATTTGCTTTTCCATCTTCCTTTTCTCCCCTCTCACAGCTCTCCCTGTATCTGTGTCTCCCTCACCATGTGTCCAGGAGGGTGGTAATGGAACCGGGGTTGAGGAGGGCTTGGGATACTCCAGCTGGGGTACCCTGTTTCCACACTAACTTGGGGAGTGATATTGAGAAAGTTCCTTGGCTTCCCTGGCCAGGGAGGGGTCATCACTGCCTGGAAGGAATTACAAACCCCCGCTTGGTGAATGGGGTCATTGAGAGGTTGCAATGGGGGCGGGGCCAGGCAGAGTGGAGGCAGGAAGGCAATGGCAGAGAGCCCCTGGGCAGATGGACTAGAGCTAGGGGCAGGTTCATTTTGGGAAGTGGAGACCACCACTCAGTATTTACCCACAAGTCCTCCCTTGGAGTATTTTGTCACCCTATTTCTCAGAGAAAGCAGCCAATGGTCAGAGGAGCCAGGATTCTGGTCCAGGACATTTTTCTGAAGTGCCAGGTACTGCACGTGATAGGCAAAGGTGGTTCTCGCCCTGGCCCTGATGCGCAGAGGCTCTGTGACTTTGGGCTGCTCACTCCATCCCTCTGAGCCCCATAGTTTCACCCATAAAATGAGTAGAATGATAAAATCCACCCAACAGGGGTGTTTCAAACCTTAGGGTTTCCAATTTAGTGTGTCTTTCCTTATCCAAGAGCTGGGAGAGGAAAAGGGTGGAGACTGGGAGACTGCTAACCCTAGACATCATAGTCAGAAAACCCTGGGCCCAAATACCCACTTTGTTACTTCCTGACTGAGCCTTTCCTCTCATTGAAAACTGAGCCAGGCACAGTGGCTCATGCCTGTAAATCCCAGCTACTCGGCCTCACTTGAGACCACGTGTTTGAGACCAGCCTGACCAACATAGCAAGATCCATCTCCACACAAAAAAACAAAAAGAAAACCACCAAGAACCAAAACATTAGCTGAACATGGTGGTGTGTGCCTGTAATCTCAGTTACTCAGGAGGCTGAGGTGGGAGGATCACTTGAGCTTGGAAATTGGAGGCTGCAGTAAGCCGTGATTGCACCACTCTACTCCAGGCTGGATGACAGAGTGAGACCGTGTTTCAAAAAAAAAATTAAAGAAAAGAAAAAAATAAACAAACAGGGATATCCCACCTTCCTCCCAAGGTGGAGAGCAGAGACACAGCAAGTGTCAGCAATGAAGGTGATACTCAGGGAAGGTACTCAGGACAAGAGGGACTTTTGGGGTGGGGGGAGCAGTTGGGGAGAGTGAGGACAGCAGGGGAGCCCCCTTCCTACACCCACCCCTCTGTCTGCTCCCTTTTATTATTTCTGCCCCTTCTCTTTGTAGGCAACTGGAATTATTTTGGCTGGGGTGAGCAGCACAGTAAGTACTCAGCCTGATTGATGTTCTGGGAGTTACATGGGAAGGTGGGCACCTTGGTGATCCCAAGGCCCCTCCCCACTACCACACAGGGAAGCAAGGAGCCTGTGACGAGCACGTGGGGGCCAGAGGGCTCAGCAAGACCCCTTTCAAGCTTTCCTGTACCCTGTTCATTAGTGCCTGTCTTGGGAGGCCTGCCATCTGCTGGGGAGTGGGCACCGTCATTGGGGTGGGGTGGGGGGGGTTAGCCTGGAGGAGTGGACATTTAGACCAACAACCTGCTTGTCTCCAGCTGGGCACTGTGACCCCCGCACCCCACTCCGCCGTATAACCTCACCTCCTCTCCTGTAGCCCCTGCCTTTTGGTCTTCCTATCTTCCTTCTCCACTTGGAAATGTGTCCAGTGTCACTCAGAGGGTAGTGGGTGGGCGGGGTCTCTAACAGAACGGCAGGCCAGGGACCTCAGGGAGATGCACACAGGGACCTCAGCACCCCCCAGGTCCACCCACACTCACACCTCACCTTCCACCTTCATTTGCTCTCCCAGGGAATAAGGCAAGCCACCCCCTCCCTAAATTAAATGTCCATTTTCCTTTTCCTTTTTTTTTTTTTTTTTGAGACGGAGTCTCACTCTATCACCCAGGCTGGAGGGCAGTGGCACGATCTCAGCTCACCGCAAGCTCTGCCTCCAGGGTTCACGCCATTCTCCTGCCTCAGCCTCCCGAGTAGCTGGGACTAAAGGCGTCCGCCAACACGCCCGGCTAATTTTTTGTATTTTTAGTAGAGACGGGGTTTCACCGTGTTAGCCAGGAGGGTCTCGATCTCCTGACCTCGTGATCCACCTGCCTTGGCCTCCCAAAGTGCTGGGATTACAGGCATGAGCCATGGCACCTGGCCCTAATTAAATGTCCGTTTTTCTACCTAACAGCGGTTCCCAACCTTTTTGACACAAGGGACCAGTTTCATGGAAGACAATTTTTTTATGGACTGGGGTTGGGGGATGGTTTCTGGATGATTCAAGTTCACTGCATTTGTTGTGCACTTTATTTTTATTATTATTATTATTACATTATAGTATGTAATGAAATAATGATACAACTCATCATCATGTAGAAGCAGTGGGAGCCCTGAACTTGTTTTCCTGCAATTAGACAGTCCCATCTTAGGGTGATGGGGGACAGTGACAGATCATCAGGCATTAGATTCTCATAAGGAGCACACAACCTAGATCCCGCACATGCACAGTTCACAGTAGGGTTCACGCTCCCGTGAGAATCTTTTTTTTTTTTTGAAACAGAGTCTTGCTCTGTTGCCCAGGCTGGATGGAGTACAGTGGCGCAATCTCGCCTCACTGCAACCTCTGCCTCCGAGTTCAAGTGATTCTCGTACCTGAGCCTCCCAAGTAGCTGGGATTACAGGCGCGTGCCACCATGCCCAGCTAATTTTTTGTATTTTTAGTAGAGATGGGGTTTCACCATGTTGGCCAGGCTGGTTGTGAACTCCTGACTTCAGGTGATCCACCTGCCTTGGCCTCCCAAAGGGCTGGGATTACAAGTTTGAGCCACTGCGCCCGGCCTTCTATGAGAATCTAATGCTGCCGCTGATCTGACAGGAGGTGGAACTCAGGCGGTAATGTGAGTGATGGGGAGCAACTGTAAATACAGATGAAACTTCACTCGCTCACCCAACCGCTGCCCACCTCCTGCTGTGCGCCCCAGCTCCTAACAGGCCACAGACCAGATCCATGCCCTAAAGAGTTGCTCCCTTTCTCCCATACCCCGCCTCTTCTAGAGAAATCCAGTCCTCTATTCTTTCTTTCCTTCTTTCTTTTTTCTTTTTTTTGAGATGGAGTCTTGCTCTGTCACCCAGACTGGAGTATAGTGGTGCGATCACTGCTCACTGCAACCTCCACCTCCCGGGTTCAAGCAGTTCTCTTGCCTCAGCCTCCCGAGTAGTTGGGATTACAGGTGCACGCCACTATGCCTGGTTAATTTTTGTATTTTTAGTAGAGATGGGGTTTCACCATGTTGGCCAGGCTGGTCTTGAACTCCTGACCTCAAGCAATCCTCCCGCCTTGGCCTCCCAAAGTGCTGGGATTATAGGTGTGAGCTACCATGCCTGGCCAGTCCTCTATTTTGAGGATAAATCTGCCTCCTTCTCTCTCCTTCAACTGGGGAGTCCTTCACTCCTTCCTCATATCCTGGTGGACAAACCTAACTCCAGGACCAGTGAAACTGTTGACAAACACTTTGGTCCACCACAATTTATCAAAAACAAGTTGGTTAAAAATCAACTTAGGCCAGCCACACTGGCTCACACCTGTAATTCCAACACTTTGGGAGGCTGAGGCGGGAGGGACGCTTGAGCTCCAAAGTCTGAAATCAGCCTGGGCAACAGAGCAAGACTCCATCTCTACAAAAAAAAAAAAAAAGGGCCGGGTGTGGTGGCACGCCCCTGTAGTCCCAGCTATTTGGGAGGCTGAGGTGGGAGGGTTGTTTGAGCCCAGGAGGTTGGGACTGCAGTGAGCCATGATTGTGCTACTAGACTTTAGCCTAGGCAACAGTGTGAGACCCTGTCTCTAAAAAATAAATAGATTAAAATAAATAAATAAAATCAATTTTGCCAAAATGAATGCTTGGCAGACAGGGCAAGCTCGATAACAACCAACTTGCCACAAACGAACAGTACGGTCAAAAGCAAAGATAGACCAGGCGTGGCAGCTCACACCATAATCCCAGCACTTTGGGAGGCCGAGGTAGGCAGATCACTTGAGGTCAGGAGTTCGAGACCAGCCTGGCCAACGTGACGAAACCCCATCTCTACTAAAAATACAAAAATTAGCCAGGCATGGTGGTGCATGCCTTTAATCCCAGCTACTCGGGAGGCTGAGGCAGGAGAATCATTTGAACCTGGGAGGTGGAGGCTGCAGTGAGCCGAGATCGTACCATTGCACTCCAGCCTGGGTGACAGAGCGAGACTCTGTCTCAAAAAAAAAAAAAACCCAAAAACCAACAAACAAACAAAACAAAACACCAATGCAGCTAAAGCTGATAGATAATTGGGTCAAAAAGGAAAGACAATTGAACCGAAAACAGACCGTTGGGTTAAAACAAAAGTGGTTGAAAATAGCCAGAAGCAGGCAATTTAGTCAAGAGCTACTTAGTAGAAAGCAGAGCCTGGGCAAAAGCAAAAAGAATCCAACTCAAAGTAATTTACCCTTCATAAGCAGATAATTTGTCAGGAAAAAAAAAAACTGGGTAAACATGTGCACAGCCTCATGCAATTTGGCTGGAAACATCTCAGCCCGGTCAAGGACAATTGGATAGAAAGAATGCTGGCCGGCCGAGGTGGCTCACGGCTAATCCCAGCACTGTGGGAAGCTGAGGCGGGAGGATCGCTTGAGCCCAGGAGTTCAAGATCAGCCTGGGCAATATAGGGAGATCCCATCTCTACAAAATAATAAATAAATAAAATTAGCTGGGTGTGGTGGTGTGTGCCTGTGGTCCCAGCTACTGTGGAGGCTGAGATGCGAGGATCTCTTGAGCCCAGGAGGTCGAGGTTTCAGTGAGTTTTGATCGCGCCACTGCGCTCCAGCCCAAGTGAGAGAGACCCTGTCTAAATGAATGGATGAAT
Source organism: Homo sapiens (assembly GCF_000001405.40). Lineage (NCBI taxonomy): Eukaryota > Metazoa > Chordata > Mammalia > Primates > Hominidae > Homo > Homo sapiens. Next base: position 17,659,902 of record NC_000019.10, on the reverse strand, counting down.
ACAGCAAAAGTCTGAAGGTTTCACTCATTGCTCTGAGATTTTGGGGTCTGGGGGTTTTTTCATTTTTTTACATCCTCTTCCCCTTACCCGTACTTCTCATGTTTTCTTCATGGACTACTTTTTCTTTTTTTCTGGATACAGGGTCTCATTCTGACACCCAGACTGCAGTGCAGAGGCGTAATCATAGCTCACTGCTACCTCGACCTCCTGGGCTCCAGCAATGCTCCTGCCATACCCTCCCGAATAGCTGGGACTACAGGCGCCCACCACCACGCCCAGCTAATTTTTAAATTTTTTTAAAGAGATGGGGCCTTACTATGTTGCCCAGGCTGATCTTGAACTCCTGGGCTCAAGTGATCCTCCTGCCTTGGCCTCCCAAAGTGCTGGGATTACAGGCATGAGCCACTTTGCCTGGCCCATGGACTAGGTTTTACTTTACTTTTATTTTATTTTATTTTTTGGAGACAGGGTCTTGTGTCACCCAGCCCCTGGAGTGCAGAGGTGTGATCTTGGCTCACAGCAATCTCCACCTCCTGGGTTCCAGAGATTCTCCTGCCTCAGCCTCCCAAGGAGCTGGGATTACAGGCACATGCCACCACACCTGGCTAATTTTTGTATTTTTAGTAGAGACAGGGTCTTGGTATGTTGCCCAGGCTGGTCTTGAACTCCTGGCCTCAAGTAATCTGCCCGCCTCCGCCTCCCAAAGTGCTGGGATTACAGGTGTGAGCCACTGTGCCCGGCCTTTGCTTTACTTTTAAAATAAAGATAACTTTATCATTCTTTTTAGTTAAAAAATTAAAAAGATTGCATTATTGAAATCTTTTTTTTCAGAAGGTACAGAAAAGAATAAAGAAGAAAATGTACAATCCCCAATTATGCCACCACCCAGACATGTTGCTTTTAGAATTGGAATTTTTTTTTTTAGGATTTAGAAAACAAACTGTTCTTTTTTCTAAGGAAACCAAACTAAACCAAAATATCTTTTAGTTCTTATTAAACATGAAGTTTGGCAACTCTACCACATTCCATTTTAGCAATAGATTCCAAGTGTGTGGTGGCTTTGCCAAGCTAAGAATCTAATCCTTTTTGAAAAAGACAGAACCATGTCTCAGCATCTTCTTGGTTCTTGCATATTTGTTAAGTTCAGGTCTGGGGTCGTCACCCTCAGATATCAGGAAATCTCTAAGGGTTAAAGAGCGTTCCGTCCACTTTGAACTCCTGATCTTCTTCCAACTTCCCCCTGACTGTCTGTGTGACTCCTGTTATGGGAAACTAACTGCTCAGTGGAAAAAAATCCCATGTCATTTTCAGAGATCCTGACCTTCAGCAAAGTTGTTCTTCACATTTGAGCTGAAGGATGCCCTCTACTCTGTCCCTGTTTTCTTCACATTGTAGGTCCTACCCTAGCCCCTAGACTTTAGGTCCAATTTGACCCACATAAAGCAAAGCAGGGTTTTCACCTCCCTTGTTCTGAAGCCTATATCTCTATTAACATGACCCACAATTCTTTATCCATACTAGTAAAAAATTCTCTTCTTCGGTAGCGGCACCGTAAGTCTGGGAAATTGTATTGGCTCCCATCATGTGCACTCTCTCTTCCTCACCCTCTTCCCATACCGCCTCTCTCTTCCAGACGATGACCCCGACAGTGCAGTGGATGATCGTGACAGTGACTACCGCAGTGAAACGAGCAACAGCATCCCGCCGCCCTATTATACTACGTCACAACCCAACGCCTCAGTCCACCAATATTCTGTTCGCCCACCACCCCTGGGCTCCCGGGAGTCCTACAGTGACTCCATGCACAGTTACGAGGAGTTCTCTGAGCCACAAGCCCTCAGGTAGGTGCTGCGGAGTGCAGCATGCATGTGGGTCCTGCTGTGTCTCCTGGAGTGGAGAGAGGGGTACGGGGCTGGACAGAGCTGGAGGTGGAGTTCCAGAAGGGCAGAATTCACCCATCCAGGAGGGCAGAATTCACATTTTCTTGTGGGAATTAACCATTTTTTTCTTTTTTTTTTTCTTTTCTTTTTTTTTTAGACAGAGTCTTGCTCTGTCACCCAGGCTGGAGTGCAGTGGCACCATTTCGGCTCACTGCAACCTCCACCACCCAGACTCAAGCGATTCTCCTGCCTCAGCCTCCCCAGTAGCTGGGACTACAGGCACAGGCCGCCACACCAAGCTAATTTATTTTTATTTTTTGTGGAGATGGGGGTCTTGCTCCATTGCCTGGGCTAGTCTTGAACCCCTTTTTATTCCTATAGCATCCTCGAGGCTGGCCAGGGAAGAGGGTCTCAGGCGCTAAGATTGGAGGAGGTATCTAATCGGGAAATGATAAGGTTCGTTGAATGACTAAGTGAATGGTTAGAAGAGGGCTGAGTGGTGGCCCCTATGTCCCCCTGCCTGTATTTAGACAGAGACAGATATTGCTGTTGACGTTGAGCACGATCCTGGGTTCACATAAGCAGCACATAACAGAGGGCCTGACCTGGCCAGACAGTGGGGGGCATTTGCACAAGTAAGTGATGTTTCAGTGGGTACCAGAGGGTGGGTAGGAGTTTGCTAGATAAAGCAGACAAGGAAGAGACCACGGCAAGTGCACAGGTTTATGGTGTTGGAGAGACAACGAGGTGGCCAGCGTGGCCGGAATGGAGGAGGCGGGGAGAAGTGGAGGGAGGTATGCAGGGGGAGTTTGGAGCGTATGGGCCACACAGGGCTAGCACAGATTTTATTCCAAGGCACTAGGGAGCCATGGTAGGATTTAGAGCAGGGGAGGGAGGTGATTGGATTTACAATTCCCTGTGGCTTCCAAGGGAAGCAGGAACTGTGGAGACAGCATCTGGTAGAGACAGCAGAGGCTGGCCTGGGTTGGGGCCCGGGGTACGGGGAAGTGGATGCATTTCCCATACTTTTTCCAGGTGGAGGACAGGAGACCTGCTGCGGGGCTGTGGTGATGGCGCTGACCCTGAGTTCCCAGCACAGTCAATTGCCTGTTCCCCACAGACCGCAAATGCCACAAAAGTGGGAATTTTTTTTTTTTTTTTTTTTTTTTTGAGACGGAATTTCGCTCTTGTTGCCCAGGCTGGAGTGCAATGGCATGATCCCAGCTCACTGCAACCTCCACCTCCCGGGTTCAAGTGATTCTTCTACCTCAGCCTCCCGAGTAGCTGGGATTACAGGCATACGCCACCATGCGCAGCTAATTTTTGTATTTTTGGTAGAGACAGGGTTTCACCATGTTGGCCAGGCTGGTCTTGAACTCCTGACCTCAGGTGATCTGCCCACCTCAGCCTCCCAAAGTGCTGGGATTACAGGCGTGAGCCACCGCACCTGGCCAAAAGCGGGGATTTTTGTCTTTTCTGATCATGGCTGTGTTTTCCAGCCCCTAGAGCAGGACCTGGCACATCGTAGGTGCTCAGTCGGTGATGAGTCAATGCCTGTGTGACTGGGGCTCAGGTGGGCAGTGACTCGGTACCCCAGTCCCTGAACCCTGTTCCATCCCCACAGCCCCACGGGTAGCAGCCGCTATGCCTCTTCCGGGGAGCTGAGCCAGGGAAGCTCTCAGCTGAGCGAGGACTTCGACCCTGACGAGCACAGCCTGCAGGGCTCCGACATGGAGGATGAGCGGGACCGGGACTCCTACCACTCCTGCCACAGCTCGGTCAGCTACCACAAAGACTCGCCTCGCTGGGACCAGGATGAGGAAGAGCTGGAGGAGGACCTGGAGGACTTCCTGGAGGAGGAGGAGCTGCCTGAAGATGAGGAGGAGCTGGAGGAGGAGGAGGAGGAGGTGCCTGACGATTTGGGCAGCTATGCCCAGCGTGAAGACGTAGCTGTGGCTGAGCCCAAAGACTTCAAACGCATCAGCCTCCCGCCAGCTGCCCCAGGGAAGGAGGACAAGGCCCCAGTGGCACCCACCGAGGCCCCCGACATGGCCAAGGTGGCCCCCAAGCCAGCCACGCCCGACAAGGTGCCTGCAGCTGAGCAGATCCCTGAGGCTGAGCCACCCAAGGACGAGGAGAGGTAACAGGACGGGGCCAAGGGGCCAGAGGGGCTGCCACAAGGTCACAGGGTCAGCAGGGCTATGATGGGGTCAGCGTGGACCTGGGAAGTTGCTGGGGCTGAAGTTGTCACAGGCTCTTGGGTTTCTTAAAGGGATCAGAGGTGACAGGGCAGAGTAGGGAGGTCAAAGAGGGTTCAAGGGGCCGTGAAGGAGACTTAGAGTTTGTGATCTTAGTGGTTGCTGGGGTCGGAGAGGTCAAGATCCTGGGCAAATGGGGGGCCAGAGGGGCTGGGCTGGTGAAAAGGAAGCCGAGGAACAGTGAAGTGTCACAGAAGCATTGGGTGTGTGGGAAGGGGTGAGGGGCACTGAGGTGGGCCAGGGGACTCACGTGGGTCCTAATGTCTCTGAGGGGTCAGAGATACCATGGGGAGCTATGCATCACTTGCACAGCTGGAGGGTCAAGGGAAGTTCAGGGGTCACGGAGAGCCAGCCCAGAGCCTCATAGCGTTCCCTGCCTCAGTTTCAGGCCGAGAGAGGATGAGGAAGGCCAGGAGGGGCAGGACTCCATGTCCAGGGCCAAGGCCAACTGGCTGCGTGCCTTCAACAAGGTGCGGATGCAGCTGCAGGAGGTGAGTGACACGCCCAGCCATGCCCCTGCCACACTTAGCCAGGCCACGCCCAATGGCAGGCCCACACATGTTTTGGCCACACCCACACCTATATTGGCCACGCCCAACACCCCACCCGTACCCAAGCCTAGCCTGGGCATGCCCAGTGCAGTGCCCACACTGTGCCCATGCCCCAGCCACTCGAGCCCTTCCCTGGCCCCACCCTCATTCAGCCTGGCCTCACCCAATGTCACCGATGCCCCACCCACTCTGACCCTTCCTTAGCCACATACACACACAGCCCAGGGTATCCCCATGGCCCGTCCACACCAGCCTGGCTATGCTAACTCCCAAACCATGCACCAAGTCTGGCCCCACACATCCCCAGCCCAGCCTCCTTCCCAATGTCAGCCTGGGGTTTCTAGATCTAGAGGGAGGAGAGAAAACTAGGGCTGAAACTGGGCTGAAGTCATGGTTAGGGATCAAGGTCAGGGTTAGTTCAGCCATCAAAGATCAGAGGTCAGGGTTAGAATTGGTGTTAGGCAAAGGGGTCAGTGCTTAGGGCCAAATTGGAGGTCATTGTCAGGGTTAGGGAAAGGTCTGGGGCCGGCTCAGTAGGGGAGTAGGAATCAAGGGAAGCAATCAGCATCAGGGGCAAGCTGACTGTTTAGATGGGCAGCAGGGTTGAGGCCATTCGTTTATTCCTTCATTCAGCTCACCCTGGGCTGGGGACAGCTGTGTTGCTCTTCAGAGTTACCCTCCAAACTGCAGTGGGATTGGCAGGAGGAGATTCTAAACAGACTCCCAAAGGTTTAGACCATCAAATATCAGAGCCACAAAATTACCAAACGAAATTTCTTAACAGTTTTAAAATAGAAATCTATTTTTTGACTCAGCAGTACATACATATGGTTCTAAATGAGACAGGTGGAAGAGGACACAGTGAAAAGGCTGTTGGATAACTTCCACTAGGTCAAGAAATTAAATTGAAAAAATAGCAGCTACTATTGGAACTATGTGATATACAAGAAAAACAAACTATGGAACTAGTAATATGACAAGAAAAAGACACATGGAAGGCTCTCTGGGTTTCATAGGAAAAGCATAAAACTAATCCAAGGCAATCAGGAAAACTCCCTGGAGGAGATGACACTTAAGGAGAAGTGATGGCCGGGCGTGGTTGCTCAAGCCTGTAATCCCAGCACTTTGGGAGGCCGAGGTGGGTGGATCACGAGGTCAGGAGATCGAGACCATCCTGGCTAACATGGTGAAACCCCGTCTCTAGTGAAAGTACAAAAAAATTAGCCGGCTGTGGTTGCAGGCGCCTGTAGTCCCAGCTACTCGGGAGGCTGAGGCAGGAGAATGGCGTGAACCCGGGAAGCGGAGCTGGCAGTGAGCCGAGATCGCGCCACTGCACACCAGCCTGGGTGACAGAGCGAGACTCCATTTCAAAAAAAAAAAAAAAAAAAAAAAGAGAAGTGATATCCAAAATATTTATTTCAACAATATTTCAGGAGCTCATGCCTGTAATCCCAGCAATTTGGGAGGTCGAGGCGGGAGGCTCACTTGCACTCAGGAGTTTGAGACCAGCCTGGGCAACGTAGTGAGACCTCATCTCTAAAAGAAAAAAATAAAAAATATTTCAGAGCCGGATGCAGTGGCTCACGCCTGTAATCCCAGCACTTTGGGAGGCAGAGGTGGGTGGATCACCTGAGGTCAGGAGTTCGAGACCAGCCTGGCCAACATAGTGAAACCCCACCTCTACTAAAAATACAAAAAATTAATTGGGTGTGGTGGTGGGCACCTGTAATCCCAGCTACTAGGAAGGCTGAGGCAGGAGAATCGCTTGAACCCAGGAGGTGGAGGTTGCAGTGAGCTGAGATTGCGCCACTGCACTCCAGCCTGGGCAACAAAAGGGAAACTCCGTCTCAAACAAACAAACAAACAAAATATATATATATATATTTATTTCAGGAGCTGAGTGTGGTGGCTTGTGTGTGTGGTCCCAGCTACTCAGGAGGCTGAAGCAGGAAGATCACATGAGGCCAGGAGTTCAAGACCAGTCTGGGCAATATAGCAAGACCCTGTCTTTAAAAAAAAACCAAACACCCCCTCAATATTTCAGAACAGAAGAGTGCTGCCTGTGTTCCTCATAGGGCCACCCCTCCCCCCATGTTAACCCTTTAGTTACAAGATGGAGGGAAGGTAGGGGCTGTGGACCCCACGTCTATGCTGAGACCCGAATGATAAATAGAGGCTGGTTGGCTGCAGAAGGTGGGAAGAGGTACAAGCTGAAGTCACAACTCCTGGAAAGAGCCCGAGGCAAGAGAGCAGATGAACAAGTGAGACTATAGGGGGTTTAGGGAATAATCAATGAAGAGACTGAGGTCCATTGAGGTGGTTGAAAGAGAAGAGCTTCTTTCTCCCCCAGCCCATCTTACAGATGGACAAACTAAGGCCCAGAGATAGCCACGGAGCTTCCTAAAATCACTCAGCCAGGACTAGGACCCAGGCCATCTGACTCCCAGCCCAGAGGGGAGTCAGAAGTGGGTGTGGAGCCTGCTCTGGGGAGGGGAGGGACAGCCACACTGACCATATCTGTCTGTCTGTCCTGCAGGCCCGGGGAGAAGGAGAGATGTCTAAATCCCTATGGTTCAAAGGCGGGTAAGTAATGAAACTGTGAGCGGTGGGAGGAAGATTTGAACCCCAAGTCCAAGGCTGGTTTGCGCCTGAGCCTCAGCCCAGAGAGGAGGAGGAGGGGTTCCATTTAGACAGGGGACAGATTGAGCTTGGGCAAAATACGTCACTTTCATAAGGCACACAGCCATACGCAGACACAAAAGACAGTAATCTTTGAAGACAGGGCGGGGTGCGGTGGCTCATGCCTGTAATCCTAGCACTTTGGGAGGCCGAGGCGGGAGGATCATTTGAGGTCAGGAGTTCGAAACCAGCCTGGCCAACATGGTGAAACCCTGTCTCTACTAAAAACACAAAAATTAGCTGGGCATGCTGGCAGGCGCCTGTAATCCCAGCTACTTGGGATGCTGAGGCAAGATAATTACTTGAACCCGAGAGGCAGAGGTTGTAGTGAGCTGAGATTGCACCACTGCACTCCAGCCTGGGAGACAGAGCGGGACACTGTCTCAAAAATAAACAAACAAATAAATAAATAAATAAATGTAAGATAAAGCAGACACTATGAGGAACTAGACACTATTGGGAAATGTACACTATATATTTGTAATCCTGGAGCAAAATTTTTGCGTTGATTCTATTTTTAAATCTCTTTGATTATTGCTACAGTTGTGGGCTCTTTAATTAAAGATAGTTGTTTAGTCTTCAGTGGAGAATGTGGTCATGTCTAACCTCTTATGTTATGGATTTTCAGGTTAGAGGATGCACAAGATATTTTAAAAATATGCTCAGGTTTTAAAATAGCAGCACGATAGTGACCTTCCTTGTACGTCCTTGGCAAACAGGCAGGGAGACAGCAGCTGGGACTCCTAAATAAATGAGCAGGTACCCTAGCTAGAGAGCCTTGGATGCGGGTCCTGAAATGCGGATTCCTGTGCACGTGATTTATGAAGGATGTGCTCTCGGGAGAAACCTGTCAGACAAGGGGAGGCTGCCGAGAAAAGATGTGGTTTAGGAGTCTCTAAGCCTCAGTTGGCTCCTGCAGAAAGCTTTGTAGGTTGAATAGCCCTGCAGGGCTTGTCTGGAGTCATTGGCTGCAGGCACCTATCTCACTGGCCAGTGAAAACCTTTTCGGGGCCAGGCTTGGTGGCTCACGCCTGTAATCCCAACACTTTGGGAGGCTGAAGCAGGTGGATCGCCTGACGTCAGGAGTTCAAGACCAGCCTGGCCAACATGGCAAAATCCCGTCTCTACTAAAATATACAAAAAATTAGCCAGGTGTGGTGGTGCATGCTTGTAATCCCAGCTATTTGGGAGGCTGAGGCAGGAGAATCACTTGAGGCTAGGAGTTCAAGACCAGCCTGGGCAACATAGCGAGACCCCCATCTCTACAAAAGAATTTTTTTTTAATTAGCTATGTGTGGGCCGGGTGCAGTGGCTCATGCCTGTAATCCCAGCACTTTGGGAGGCCTAGGCGGTTGATCACCTGAGGTCAGGAGTCTGAGACCAGCCTGGTCAACATGGTGAAACCCCATATCTACGAAAAATACAGAAAATTAGCCAGGTGTCGTGGTGCGCACCTGTAATCCCAGCTACTTGGGAGGCTGAGATAGGAGAATTGCTTGAACCCAGGAGGCAGAGGTTGCAGTGAGCCAAGATCATACCATTGCATTCCAGCCTGGGCGACAGAGCGAGACTCCATCTCAAAAAAAAAAAAAAAAAAAAAATTTGCTGGGTGTGGCGGTGTACACCTATGGTCCCAGCTACTCAGGAGGCTAAGGTGGGAGGATTGCTGTAGCCCAGGAGGTGGAGGCTACAGTGAGCCGTGATTGTGCCACTGCACTCCAGCCTGGGTGACAGAGTGAGATCTTGTTTCGAAAGATGGCTGGGCATGGTGGCTCACGCCTGTAATCTCAGCACTTTGGGAGGCCAAGGTGGGCGGATCGCCTGAGGTCAGGAGTTCGAGACCAGCCTGGCCAACATGGTGAAAGCTTGTTTCTACTAAAAATACAAAAATTAGCCAGGCGTTGTGGTGGGCACCTGTAATCCCAGCTACTTGGGGAGCTGAGGCAGGAGAATTGCTTAAACCTGGGAGGCAGAGGTTGCAATGAGCCAAGAAAGGTTTCATCTATATTTTATTTTATTTTTGATACAGAGTCTCGCTCTGTCACCCAGGCTGGATTGCAGTGGCGTGATCTCGACTCACTGCAACCTCTGCCTCCTGGTTCAAGCAATTATCCTGCTTCAACCTCCTGAGTAGCTGGGACTACAGGCATGCACTACCATGCCTGGCTAATTTTTGTATTTTTAGTAGAGACGGGGTTTCACCATGTTGGTCAGGCTGGTCTCGAACTCCTAACCTCAGGTGATCCGCCCGCCTCGGCCTCCCAAAGTGTTGGGATTATTACAGGCGTAAGCCACCACTCCTGGCCTCATTTATATTTTAGTATATTATTTAGATTTGCCTTAATTCACGTTTTCATTCAAGGTGGGCAATTACATCATCTCCCCATTTTTCAGATGAGGAGGGTGAGGCCGGGTGTCTCCATTTCTTAGGACTGCTGTCACAAAGTACCACAGACGGGTAGCTTAAAACCACAGCAATGTATTCTCTCACAGTTCTGGAGGCCAGAAGTCTGAAATCAAGGCATTGGTAGAGCCATGCTCCCTCTGAAATCTGTAGAAGAGAATTCCTCCCCTGCCTCTTCTAGCTTCTAGTTTGCTTGAATTCCTTGGCCCCCGAGTATTGGTTTGTAGATACGTCGCTTTCTGCCTCTGCTGTCACAGAGCCACCTTCTCCCCATGTATCTCTTCTTCTAAGGACACCAGTCATATTAGATTAAGTGTCTACCCTACTCCAGTATGACCTTATCTTAACTAATTACATCTGTGACAACCCCGTTTCCAAGTAAGGTCACCTTCTGAGGTAGTGGGGGTTAGGGCATCAGCGTATCTTTTTTTTGAGGGACCCAATTCAACCCCTTAACACCTGGGGGAGGTTGAATGTTCTCCCCAGGGCTCTATGTGAGGAATAGGGACATCTGGGCCCTCAGTGTCCCTCTGTGTCTTTCAGCCCAGGGGGCGGTCTCATCATCATCGACAGCATGCCAGACATCCGCAAGAGGAAACCTATCCCACTCGTGAGCGACTTGGTAAGCACCCTCGCCCTTTACTCCCTGAGCAGAGCAGGCCTGCTATAAGCAGTGCACAACCTGTGGAACTGCCCATGGTCAACCTGGGGTTGGGGGCCAGCTAGGCATTCTCTGAGACTAATGTAGTCTGATTTCTACCCCCATGTGCTGCGTGGACACTTCAGGCCATGGTGAGTGATGGCGACATGGGCCTCTTGGGATCTTCTCCCCAAACTCCCCCACTGGGATCTTCTAACAGGCCCCCAATTCATGGATTATGGGGGAACCTTGCCATGTCCCACTGTGTTGGATGCTGTGAGTCAGGGGTGCGGGGCTGCTCACTTTCCAGGGTCCCTTCTAACTCAAAGCCTCTGTCACCTCCTAATTCTTTGTTGGGTCTGGCCCGGATGCTGTCGGTGACCTGTTTCCAACTTGCGGTTGTGGCTCCAAAATGTGGCTGCTGGCCCCATCCGTGGCTGTGAACTCTCCTGGTGGTGATCTCATGGATGTCAACCCCCCCGACTCCCTCTTCTGTGACCTCCCCAGTCCCTGGTCCAGTCCAGGAAAGCGGGCATCACCTCGGCCTTGGCCTCCAGCACGTTGAACAACGAGGAGCTGGTGCGTGGGGCACCTCTTTTTCCCCGGGTCAGGGATGGACTGGGCTAGGAGCTTCTGGAATTGTCCAAGCCTCTGTGGGTCCCCGGGAAGAGGAAGGGTGTGTGTGTGACACAGACTGGCAGAAGGCAGCGTGGATTCCGACAGCGTGGAGGCAGGGGAGGGCCTGGGACTTTACCGCGCTCAGTGATGGGGCGGAATGGGGCAGGACAGGGACAGCGCCAGGTTAGGCGCCCCCAAACCGCACCCCATCCCTCCCTGCAGAAAAACCACGTTTACAAGAAGACCCTGCAAGCCTTAATCTACCCCATCTCGTGCACGACGCCACACAACTTCGAAGTGTGGACGGCCACCACGCCCACCTACTGCTACGAGTGCGAGGGGCTGCTGTGGGGCATCGCGAGGCAGGGCATGCGCTGCACCGAGTGCGGTGTCAAGTGCCACGAGAAGTGCCAGGACCTGCTCAACGCCGACTGCCTGCAGCGTGAGCGCAGGGCCTGAGCGCAGGGCCACGGGTTGGCGTGGGGAGCCCCGGGGCTTGCATGGCGGGGAAAGGCTGAAGGGCAAGGCGATGGGTGGGGCACCATGGGGCGGGGCAAGGGGCGGGGCGTCGTGAGGCAGGGGAGGGACTCGCTGAAAGGGAGGGGTGGGGTTAAAGGCGCAGGACTCCCTGGTGGAAGGGCTAGGGGGTCGAGGGGTGGGGAAAGAAGCTGTGAGGGTGTCAGAGAGGGGTGGGGCAGGGCTCAGGGACTAGCTAGGTTGTGCAAAGGACAGGCTTAGTGAGAAGAGGCAGCTCCCCTGGATAAAATGGGTTAGCTAGGGGTAGCTCTGAGAGGAAGAGGGGCTCAGAGAGGGAAGGGGTTCAGACTGCGAGAGGACTGTGGAGGGGGGGATTGGAAGGGGGAGGGGACTCAGAGGAGGTGGGACCAAGAGAAAGGGAGGGGTCTGAGAGATGGAAGGGGCTCAGGAATGTGGAGGGGACTCGCAGGGGTGGAGATCAGAGACGAGGAGGGGATTCAGAGGAGTGGGGCTCAGAGAGGCAGCGGGACTCAGAGGGGTGGGACTCAGAGAGGGGGCGGAGATTCAGAGGGGTGGGACGCAGAGGGGGCGGGGACTCAGAGGGGTGGGGCTTAGGGAAGAGGCCTTAGAGGGGTGGGGCTCCAAAAACCAGTGGGGACTCCAAGGGGTGCGGGGCAGAGAAGGGCAGGACGCAGGGACATGGCGACTCAGAGGAGCATGGCTCCGAGAGGAGGTGGAAGGGTGAAGGGTCTGGGTGGGGGGTACAGAAAGCAGGTAGGAAACCGGCTTCAGGGGGTGACACCTGAGTCCCCCCGGTTGATGAGTAGGGGCGGGGCTCTCGCCTTGGTGAGGGGCCACTATGCAGGGCGCGCTGGGGTCAGCGCCGGCCTCGGGCGTCCTCAGGGGCTGCGGAGAAGAGCTCCAAGCACGGGGCGGAGGACCGGACACAGAACATCATCATGGTGCTCAAGGACCGCATGAAGATCCGGGAGCGCAACAAGCCCGAGATCTTCGAGCTCATCCAGGAGATCTTCGCGGTGACCAAGACGGCGCACACGCAGCAGATGAAGGCGGTCAAGCAGAGCGTGCTGGACGGCACGTCCAAGTGGTCCGCCAAGATCAGCATCACCGGTGAGGGGGCGTGGGCCGCCATAGGGCCCCTCCTTCTCCACCCTCTGAGACCTGTCTCATGCCCTGTCCCATGGCCTGGTCCCTCTCCTTTGCAGCGCGCACTCACTCGGTCGGGTGCATTCCATCTCATCTCCGTGTGTGCACGCATATGGGGGGACATGCGTGCCTCCAAACGCCTGTTCATGGCACTGTATCTGGGTGCGTCTTGGATGGTGCCCTCCAGAATGAGACTCCAAGAAGAGGAATTGAGGGTGCATGGTTTATCTGGAAAGTGACCCCAGAAAGTCCTGGTGAGGGGCAAGGACTTGAGACAGGGATGGAAGGAGTCCTGAAGGAGATGCCGTTGAGCAGACAATGCTGTGGGCAAGGGGGTCAGCCCATCCTGGGGCCACTGGGGACAATGTCGAGCATGCAGCTCAGTGTGGCCCCACTTAGGGGCGAGGATACTGGCTTTTCTCCACACCCAGCCTCATGTGGGTTTCCCCATAAACAGACCTGAGGATGAGGATTTCAGGTTATGTGGGTTATCCAGGAAGTGACCCCAGGACGGAGCTGGGGTGGTAAGTCAGGGAGGGAAGGAACCCTGCAGGGGGCACCAACGAGCAGGAGATCTCGGGGGGCAATGGGTTCTTGTAAGTGTCTGACCTCAGGGAGTTCACACCTGAGAGAGGTCCTACCCATGCGCAAGGCAGCTGGGGCACCTTCCCATCCTTCATGGTTTGGGGACTCCTTCCCAGCACTTTGGGAGGCTGAGGCTGAGGCAGGCGGATCACCTGAGGTCAGGAATTCGAGACCGACCTGGCCAACATGGTGAAACCCCATCTCTACTAAAAATGCAAAACGATTGGCCGGATGGGGTGGCACGTGCGGGTAATCCCAGCTACTTGGGAGGCTGAGGCAGGAGAATTGCTTGAACCCGGGAGGCGGAGGTTGCACTCCAGCCTGGGTGACGAGCAAAACTCTGTCTCAAAAACAAACAAACAAACAAACAAACACACAAAAAACCTCTCTGGCAAGCCCAGCGTGCCCTGCCATTGCTCTCCAGCCATGCTGCAGGTGTCCCAATTATCAGCCTGCAGCGTGTGGCAGTGACTGTCCCCAGCATGCCTCGCTTCTTGAGTGCACACCTGTGTATGCCCTCTGTGTCTTCCAGTGGTCTGCGCCCAGGGCTTGCAGGCAAAGGACAAGACAGGATCCAGTGACCCCTATGTCACCGTCCAGGTCGGGAAGACCAAGAAACGGACAAAAACCATCTATGGGAACCTCAACCCGGTGTGGGAGGAGAATTTCCACTTGTAAGTGCCTGGCTGGGTCCCTGGCCCCATGTGGGGCATCCTGCTGGGGCAGCCAAAAGAGGGCTCCAAGGACAGGACTCACACTGGCTGCCTGACCCCTGCCTCTGCCTCCTCCTCCCGCCACAGTGAATGTCACAATTCCTCCGACCGCATCAAGGTGCGCGTCTGGGACGAGGATGACGACATCAAATCCCGCGTGAAACAGAGGTTCAAGAGGGAATCTGACGATTTCCTGGGGCAGACGATCATTGAGGTGCGGACGCTCAGCGGCGAGATGGACGTGTGGTACAACCTGGGTGAGAGAAGCTGGGTTCTGAAGCGGGTGGGGACGGGTCCCAGGGATCCAGCCAGAGCATGGAGCCCACGAAGAGCAGAGAGATGTGTTCTCAGGAGGAGTTTGGTCGAGGAGCATAATCTGATGGGGGAGGCAGGGTCTAGGAGCCCAGTTTGATGGGAGCAGGAAGCACCCAGGCCAGGAGGGTGAGCAGAGCCCAGGAACCTCTTAGTTCAGCTTAGGAGGGAGGGTGGGGACAGAATCTCCATGTTCTAGTCTAATGGGGGAGGCAAGAAGCAAGAACTGGGAATCCTAGTCTGAGGGGAGAGACAGAGACCTAGGAACTAAATCTAAGAAAGAAGATTGAGCTTTAAGAATCCAGGCTGGGGCCAGGTATGGTGGCTCACGCCTGTAATCCCAGCACTTTGGGAAGCTGAGGCAGGCAGATCACATGAGGTCAGGAGTTCGAGACCAGCCTGGCTAACATGGTGAAACCCCGTCTCCACTAAAAATACAAAAATTAGCCAGGCGTGGTGGTGGGTGCCTGTAGTCCCAGCTACTTGGGAGGCTGAGGCAGGAGAATCGCTTGAACCCAGGAAGCGGAGGTTGCAGTGAGCTGAGACTGCGCCACTGCACTCCAGCCTAGGCAACGAGAGCAAAACTCCCACTCAAAAAAAAAAAAAAAAGAATCCAGGCTGGGGGCGCCGGGCAGTGGCTCACATCTGTAATTAATCCTATCACTATGGGAGGCTGAGGCAGGCCAATCACTTGAGTCCAGGAGTTCAAGACCAGCCTGGGCAACATAGTGAAACCCCATCTCTATAAAAGATACAAAAATTAGCTAGGCAGGGTGACACTCACCTGTGGTCCCACCTACTCTGGAGGCTAAGGTGGGAGGATCCCCTGAGCCTGAGAGGTAAAGGCTGCAGTGAGCTGTGATCACACTGCTGCACTCCAGCCCAGGGAACAGAGTGAGACCCTTTCTCAAAAAACAAATATGGCCGGGTGCAGTGTCTCACGCCTATAATCCCAACAGTTTGGGACGGCTGAGGCAGGCAGATCACTTGAGGTCAGGAGTTTGAGACCAGATTGTCCAACATGGCGAGATCAAGCCCCTGCACTCCAGCCTGGGCAACAAAGGAAGACTCCGTCTCAAAAAAAAAAAAAAAAAACAAAAGAAAAAGAAAAAAAAAATGGAATCCAGGCTGGGCATGGTGGCTCCCACCTGTTATCCCAACATATTGGTTGGGTGGCTGAGCTGGGAGGGTCACTTGAGCCCAGGAGTTCGAGACCAGCCTGGGCAACATAACAAGGCCTTTGTCTCCATTAAAAAAAAAAAAATAGCTGGGTGTGGTGATGCGTGCCTGTAGTCCCAGCCACTTGGGAGGCTGAGGTGGAAGCATCATTTGTACCTGGGAGGTTGAAGCTGCAGTGAGCTATGATCATGCCACTGCACTCCAGCCTGGGCGATAGAGCAAGACTCTGTGTCCCCCCGACCCCCCACCACAAGAAAAGAATCCAGTCTAAAGAGGGAGGTATTGTTTGGGAATCCTAATCTGAGATGGCTGCTACAGATCAAAGAACCCTGTGTAAGGAAGTTGAGTAGAATCTGGGGAGTCCAATCTAATGGAGGAAGCAGGGTGTATGAGCCTAATCTGAGGGGGTAGAAAGGACCCAGCCTGAGAGAGGTGAGCAGAGCCCGGAAACCTCTTAGATTGGAGGACATCTAGATATCCCATTCTGATGGGGGAGGTGGGAGACAAGACCAGGGGGTCCTAGTCTGAGGAGAGAGGCACAGACCCAGGAACAGTGTCTAAGATGTGTAGTCTCCGGGGAGCATGATCTGATGGGGGAGGCAGGGCCTGGGAGCTCAGACTGGGAAAGAAGTGGGGCCTAGGGCTGCTAGTCTAAGGAGGGAGGCACATAGCCAGGAACTTAATCTGAGTGAAGAAGCAAGGTCTGGGATCCTTGTTTGAAGGAAGAGACAGGGCTTAAGGAATTCTAGCCTAAACAGGGAGACTCAAGCCTAGGGAGCCAATCAGAAGAGAGACACCAAAGCCTTAGTTTCCGGAAGTCTGGGAGGACTACAGAATCGTGTATCTATTAAAAATTGCCTTGGGAGGCCGAGGCGGGCGGATCACCTGAGGTCAGGAGTTCGAGACCAGCCTGGCCAACATGGTGAAACCTCGTCTCTACTAAAAATAAAAAATTAGGTGGGTGTGATGGCACATGCCTGTAATCCCAGCTACTCGGGAGGCTGAGGCAAGACAATTGCTTGAACTCAGGAGGTGGAGATTGCAGTGAGCCAAGATTGCGCCACCGCACTCTAACCTGGACCACAGATCTCAAAAAAAAATAAAATAAAAAAAAATTTGCCCATGGCTGGCCGGGCGCGGTGACTCACGCCTGTAATTCCAGCACTTTGGGAGGCTGAGGTAGGTGGATCACCTGAGGTAAGGAGTTCGAGACCAGCCTGGCCAACATGGTGAAACCCCGTCTCTACTAAAAGTATAAAAATTAGCTGGGCACGGTGGCAGGCACCTGTAATTCCAGCTAGTTGGGAGGCTGAGACAGGAGAATCGCTTGAACCCAGGAGGTGGAGGTTGCAGTGAGCTGAGATCGTGCCACTGCACTCCAGCCTGGGTGACAAGAGCAAGACTCCCTCTTAAAAAAAAAAAAATTGCCCACTGCTATAGTGGGAAGTTCTGACACTGTCTTCTTTTTCTGCCCTGCAGACAAGCGAACTGACAAATCTGCCGTGTCGGGTGCCATCCGGCTCCACATCAGTGTGGAGATCAAAGGCGAGGAGAAGGTGGCCCCGTACCATGTCCAGTACACCTGTCTGCATGAGGTGAGGGTCATTGCTCGGCCCCTCCCATGCCACTTCCACTCACCATTCCTGCCTGCCCAGCTCTTCCTCTTTCTGGCCACACCATCCACACTCTCCTGGCCCTCTGAGACTGCCCGCCATGCCATTCCCTTTACCTGGAAAACTCCTCCCTATCCATCAAAGTCCAGATTCAGGGTCACCTCCTCTGGGAAGCCCACCTTGGCCTCCAGGTTGACTCTCACTACTCATCATCAGGTTCTTCCTTCTATTCCAGCCCTAACCACTCAGGATTGGGCCGTTTGTGTCTGGGTATGTCTCTTCCAGCTGCCTGGGTTTCCTGGAAAGAACTCTTATCCCCAGGAACTAGTTTGTTGAATAAATGCTGGTGAATGAATGAATGATTGAACAGATGAATGAGTGATGAGTAGATAAAAGGATGGATGGAGAGATGGGTGAGTACATGGATGGATAGATGGATGAGTTGGTGGGTAGATTCGTGGCTAGATGGATGATGGATGGATGGACAGATGGATGGATATATGATTGAACTATTGAAAGTATAGATGTATGGATGGGTGAATTTGGGGGTAATTGTTAGATGATGGATGAGTATAGATGAATGATGGATGGATAACTTGATGAGTGGATAGATAGATTGCTGGATAGATGATTGACTGGGTGGATAGATGAAATGTTGGATGAGCAGATTAAGTTGTATTGGATGGGATGGATGGAAGTGTGGTTGAGTTATTAGAAGGAAGATTGAGTAGATAGGTGAATTTGTTGATAGTCAGATGGGTAGATAGGTAGATGGATGGATGGATGGATGGATGTATAGGCAGATGGACAAATGGATGAATGGGTGGGTGGATGAATGGAAGGATGTGTGGTTGAACTATTGCAAGTATTGATAATTGGGTTCATAATTTCTGAATATTTAGATGGATGGTTGTGAGTGGCTGGTGGACAGACGAAAAATGGATGGTTGGATAAATTGATGGGTGGATGGATGGTTGGTTGTATGAAAGAATGAATGATTGGGTAGGTGGATTAAGTTGCGGATCAATGTATGGGATGGATGAATGGATGGATGGATGGATGTGTGGTTGAATTACTGAAAGGTTGGAAGAGTGGATGGGTGAAATTTGGGGTAGTTAGATGGGTGGGTGTGTGGATGGATAAAAGAGTAGATGAATGAATTAATGAATAAACAGGCAGATGGATGATGTAAGCTGCCCCAGACCCTGGGACCTCTGACCCCCGGCGACCCCTTGCACTCTCCATGACACTTTCTCTCCCATGGTGGCAGAACCTGTTCCACTTCGTGACCGACGTGCAGAACAATGGGGTCGTGAAGATCCCAGATGCCAAGGGTGACGATGCCTGGAAGGTTTACTACGATGAGACAGCCCAGGAGATTGTGGACGAGTTTGCCATGCGCTACGGCGTCGAGTCCATCTACCAAGCCATGACGTGAGACTGCAGGCTGGGGTGCAGGAAACAAGAGGGAGGTCACCAAGTGGGCACTGGCAGGTCTGGGGTGGGAGGGATTCTCAGGGGGAAGACCCAGAGAGGAAGTGGGCGTGGTGGTGGTGGGTTCCGTAATTCCCCTGGAGATCAGGAGAGCGCTGTGATTGACACCTGGAGTGACATGGAAGAGAGGGAAGACTTAGAAGCAGAGATAGAGGCTGGGCACAGTGGCTCAAGCCTGTAATCCCAGCATTTTAGGAGGCTGAGGTGGGCGGATCACTCCAGGTCCAGGAGTACAAGACCAGCCTGGCCAACATGGTGAAACCCCATCTCTACTAAAAATACAAAAGTTATCCAGGTGTGGTGGCTTGGGCCTGTAATCCCAGCTACTCGGGAAGTTAGGGTGGGAGAATTGCTTGAACCTGGGGGGCAGGGGTTGCAGTGAGCCGAGATTGCGCCACTAAACTCCAGCCTGGGTGACAGAGTGAGACTCCATCTCAAAAAAAAAAAAAAAAGAAAGAAAGAAAAAAAGAAGCAGAATTAGAGCAACTCAAATGGATATAAAGATGGAGGGGAGAGGAGATGCGGAGACCCAAAGGACAGAATCAGGCAGGGGATGGTTTAGGAGGTGACAGAGACCCACTCACAGATGCTATCTTGGAGGCATTCTAGGGGGGATCTTGGTCCATCCTGGCTGGACCCCTGGCCTAGTGCCTCCTGCTCCCTCTCTCCAGCCACTTTGCCTGCCTCTCCTCCAAGTATATGTGCCCAGGGGTGCCTGCCGTCATGAGCACCCTGCTCGCCAACATCAATGCCTACTACGCACACACCACCGCCTCCACCAACGTGTCTGCCTCCGACCGCTTCGCCGCCTCCAACTTTGGGGTCAGTCCTGGGGACTGGGATTGGAGAATTAGGGAGAGCCCAACTTTATGCCGGTCAGATCTGATGTGACTTCTGGGTCCCCAGTCTAGACCTGATTGCTGTGTGACTTTCCACCAGTCACTTCCCGTCTCTGAGCCTCCATTTATTCCTCTGTAGAATGCTATAGAATGGAGGTCGGGCGCAGTGGCTCATGCCTGTAATCCCAGCACTTTGGGAGGCCGAGGCTGGAGAATCACTTGAGGCCAGGAGTTCGAGACCAGCCTGGCCAACACGGTGAAAACCCGTCTCTTCTAAAAATCCAAAAGAAAATTAGCTGGGTGTGGTGGCCTGTGCCTGTAGTCCCAGCCACTTGGGAGGCTGAGGCAGGAGAATTGCTTGAGCCTAGGAGTCGGAGGTTGCAGTGAGCTGAGACTGCGCCACTACACTCCAGCCTGGGCAACAGAGCAAGACTCTGTCTCAAAACAAAAAAAAAAATGCCATAGAATGGAAATGGACATTATGAGGGTGGTGGATGAGGTATACTTACTGTACAGTAGGCGCTCAGCCACTATGGCGGCCATGTCCTGCCTCCATCCATCCTCCCTCCTCCCCTTCCTCCTCAGAAAGAGCGCTTCGTGAAACTCCTGGACCAGCTGCATAACTCCCTGCGGATTGACCTCTCCATGTACCGGGTAGGAAGTGTGTGCATGAGAATTTGCTCACCCCACGCACATGTGTGTGCCTGGAGGGGAAAGCTACCAGCAGGTGTGTGCATGGGAGGACCCATCTTCGCATGTACGATGTGTTCCTCCAGCATGTGTGCACCTGCATGGGCACTACCTGCCGTAATGTGCTTGGTGCATCCAAGCAGATCCCCAGTTGCTTCGAGGTGCTCTAATCAACCCCCAGCCTGAAACCGGGGAGCCTTTGTATCCCCCTGAAAAGCAGTCTCCCATCCTCCCCACGCCTTCTTCCATAACCCCACATCTCTTCCTGCTCCCAACAGAATAACTTCCCAGCCAGCAGCCCGGAGAGACTCCAGGACCTCAAATCCACTGTGGACCTTCTCACCAGCATCACCTTCTTTCGGATGAAGGTAGGAAAGGATCCAGTTGCCTTTGCTCTCCAAGGAGGGTTCTCTAGGATCCCCAGCTCCCAGGACAAGTGACATTCCTCCTGGAGAGTGGCAGCCTTTCTCAGTAACCTTTTCCTTTCATACCACTTCATTTCCTTAAACCCAAAATGACTCGCAGTCACTTCCTGGGGACCTCCTGTCACAGCTGTGGCCGCCTATGCCTCTCTCCCTCCCTTCAGGTACAAGAACTCCAGAGCCCGCCCCGAGCCAGCCAGGTGGTAAAGGACTGTGTGAAAGCCTGCCTTAATTCTACCTACGAGTACATCTTCAATAACTGCCATGAACTGTACAGCCGGGAGTACCAGACAGACCCGGTGAGACTCCAGATGGGTCAGAAGGGAACAGTGATGCCAACTAGACACAGGCTTCAGTCCCAGCCCTGCCCCTTCCCGAGGGATTTAACTCTTCTGAACCTCAGTATCTTCTTCTATAAAATGGGGTCATTAACCCACATCTCAGGATTAGGGAGAAGAGTTCATGAGCTGTAAGTTTAGATAAAATATAGTCGGCACTCAGTACATTTGGTTGCGTAGTTGAGTTTGGCATAAAAAAAAATTTTTTTTTTTTGAGATAAAGTTTCACTCTTGCTTCCCAGGCTGGAGTGCAGTGGTGTGATCTCAGCTCACTGCAACCTCTGCCTCCCAGGTTTAAATGATTCTCCTGCCTCAGACTCCCGAGTAGCTGGGATTACAGGTGCCCACCACCACACCTAGTTAATTTTTTGTATTTTTAGTAAAAACGGGGTTTCACCATGTTGGCCAGGCTGGTCTCGAACTCCTTGACCTCAGGTGATCCACCTGCCTCGGCCTCCCAAAGTACTGAGATTATAGGCGTGAGCCACCACTCCCAGCCTGGCATAAAAATTTATGTCTGGCATACAGTCACTGTTCAGTAAATGTTGAGTTGAATTGAATTTATTTATTTATTTTGAGATGGGGTCTTGCTCTGTTGCCCAGGCTGGAGTGCAGTGATGCAATCATGGCTCACTGCAGCCTCGACCTCCCAGGCTCAAGTGATCCTCCCACCTCAGCCTCCCAAGTAGCTGGGACTATAGGCACGCACCACCATGACAGGCTAGTTTTTGTATTTTTGTGGAGATGGCATCTCACTATGTTGCCCAGGCTGATCTCCTGGGCTCAAGCGATCCTCCTGCCTCAGCCTCCCAAAGTGCTGGGATTACAGGCATGAGCCACCACCTGTAAGGAGCTTATAGCCTATTATGAGGGAAAGATGTACAAACTGGAAATTTACAAACAGGGATGGTTAGTATTGAGATAGTGGGATCTCAGGAGGCTGTGGGAGCTGGAGGCAGCCCCTACCCAGGTTCTGATAGGATATAACACATAAGCTGTGTTCAGTTCAATTTGATTTCATTCTGTTCCTTTACATTCAGTTGACTAGAGTTGGAATCAGTCTCACTCTCATTTGAATTGAGTTGAGGTGAACTGGATTAAATTAGGCTATAAGGAGCTTATAGCCTATTATGAGGGAAAGATGTACAAACTGGAAATTTACAAACAGGGATGGTTAGTATTGAGATAGTGGGATCTCAGGAGGCTGTGGGAGCTGGAGGCAGCCCCTACCCAGGTTCTGATAGGATATAACACATAAGCTGTGTTCAGTTCAATTTGATTTCATTCTGTTCCTTTACATTCAGTTGACTAGAGTTGGAATCAGTCTCACTCTCATTTGAATTGAGTTGAGGTGAACTGGATTAAATTAGATTGTTTAGTTCAACCATAATCAGTTTAGTTATATTTATTTCTATTTGGTTGACTTAAGTTAAAATTGTTCTTGACGGCCAGGCACAGTGGCTCACGCCTGTAATCCCAGCACTTTGAGAGGCCGAGGTGGGTGGATCATGAGGTCAGGAGATCGAGACCATCCTGGCTAACACAGTGAAACCCCGTCTCTACTAAAAATACAAAAAAATTAGCCGGGCGTGGTGGCGGGCACCTGTAGTCCCAGATACTTGGGAGGCTGAGGCAGGAGAATGGTGTGAACCTGGGAGGCAGAGCTTGCAGTGAGCTGAGATCGCATCACTGCACTCCGGCCTGGGTGACAGAGCGAGACTCCGTCTCAAAAAAAAAAAAAAAATTGTTCTTGACAAATTAGTGAGCCAGGCTGGGCTCAGTGGCTCACACCTGTAATGTCAGCACTTTAGGAGGCTGAGGCAGGAGGATCCCTTGAGGCCAGGAGCTCGAGACCAGTTTGGGCAACATAGCGAGACCCTATCTTTGCAAAATATACAAAAATTAGCCAGGTGTGGTGGCGCACCTGTAGTCCTGGCTACTTTGGAGGCTGAGGTGGAAGGATCACTTGAGCCCAGGAGTTCGAGTCTATGGTGAGCCATGATTGCACCACTGCGCTCCAGCCTGGGTGACAGAATGAGACTCTGTCTCTTGAAAGAAAAAAAAAAAAAATAGAGAGAAGAACAAGTTGGTTGATTGCATTGAGTTTTATTGAGTACAAATTCATTCATTTCCATTTAGTTCATTTACATTCAAGTCAAGTTGTTCTCAACTGGGTTAAATTGTCTTGAGTTAGGATGAACTGGGTTGTTGGATTAGATGCAATTGATTTCAGTTGAATTGGGTTGAATTGGGCTAATTTCAGCTGATTATATTCATTTCCATTGATTAACAAAGGTGGGTTGAATTGCCCTGCGTATGTTCAGTTGGGTTTAGATAGGTAGAATCGGATTGGGTTGACTTGGGTAGAGTTGAGTTCGAGTCGATTTATTTCCATTATTTTGATTTGGGTTGATGTTGATCTTGGACAAGTTGATTAGGTTCAATCCAACGGAATTCATTTGAGTTTAATTCAATCCAGTTAGGTTGAATTGCACTCCATTCAGTGTGATTGGCCCAAGTTCAGTTCCATTGATTTAACTCAGAGGAAGAACTTACTTCCGTTAAGCTAAGTGGGCTTAATTTGCATTCATTTCATTTCCATTTGGTTTAGTGGAGCTGGGTTTGTTCAACTAAATTTGGTTTCATTTATTTCCATTCACTTTTAGAGTGGAGTCTAAAAATCTTAAGCTTTATCAAGCTGCATTGACATGAGCTCTGTTTGGGCCAGTTTATGAGTTCAATTCCTCTCTATATAGATTTCTTACCTGAACCATACACATGATGATGGGATGCATTCCTCTAAAACCTCTTGTTCTTCAGTAATAAACTGACCGAGGCACCAACCTCTGGACCCCCTATAACCGAGGTCTCCACTGTCCATTTCAGGCCAAGAAGGGGGAAGTTCTCCCAGAGGAACAGGGGCCCAGCATCAAGAACCTCGACTTCTGGTCCAAGCTGATTACCCTCATAGTGTCCATCATTGAGGAAGACAAGAATTCCTACACTCCCTGCCTCAACCAGTGAGTTGTGTATCTGTGTAGTTAATTATCTGGGTGTCATCGTGTGTATGTATACAACTTTGTGTCTTGTGTGTCAAGATGATTTTGTCTAATTACACAAATGTGCACCTGGGGGTAATTGTGGGTCTGATTATACCTGTGCAAAATTCAAATATGGGTACAATTTGCAAACATAAACATAAAATTGTGTGTATGTTCACAATCACTGGTATAATCAGACATGTATTTTGTATGTATTCATTTGCATGCATAACTGTGTGTACATATGTGTATAATTTTTTATGTGTATGTAGGTTAATTAATAATAGTGTTGCTCAAGTATTACTATGTGCTACCCTAATACATATCATACATTTAAATTGCATTATATCTTATATGTATGGATGTAAGTAATTTTGTATATTGTTGTGGTCAGTGGGTTTTGGGTTTAATTTGTATATGTGTAAAATCATTGAATGCAATTCAACGTACAATATTGTACAATATACAATATTGTGTATTGTGTATGAATATGGGCACAGTTTTCATTTGTGGATTTATATGTCTGTAGAATTTTCATCTGTGTTAGCTGAATGAGCTACTGTGTTCTATTTCTCTGCCAGATGAGTGCTAGAGAGGACTCTAGCTTTGGGGCGTTAACATATCCTGGTTAGGGAATTAAGATCAGGGATTTGGATGGATTGAAGGGTGGGTGGATGAATGGATGGATTAATAAACAGATGGGGTCAGGCACAGTGGCTCACGCCTGTAATCCCAGCACTTTGGGAGGCCAAGGTGGGTGGATCATTTGAGGTCAGGAGTTTGAGACCAGCCTGGCCAACATGGTGAAACCCTATCTTTACTAAAAATACAAAAATTGGCCACGCGCGGTGGCTCACCCCTGTAATCCCAGCACTTTGGGAGGCCGAGGCAGGCGGATCATGAGGTCAGATGGAGACCATCCTGGCTAACATGGTGAAACCTTGTCTCTACTAAAAATACAAAAATTAGCCGGGAGTGGTGGTGGGCGCCTGTAGTCCCAGCTACTCGGGAGGCTGAGGCAGGAGAATGGCGTGAACCCAGGAGGTGGAGCTTGCAGTGAGCCGAGATTGGCCACTGCACTCCAGCCTGGGCAACAGAGTGAGACTCCGTCTCAAAAAAAACAGAAAAAACAAAACAAAAATTAACCGGGCGTGGTGGTACACGTCTGTAATCCCAGCTAGTGGGAGACTGAGGCAGGAAAATTGCTTGAACCCAGGAGGCAGAGGTTGCAGTGAGTCGAGATTGCGCCACTGCACTCCAGCCTGGGGTGACAGAGCGAGACTCCGTCTCTAAATAAATAAGTAAATAACAGATGGACAGATAGATTGGTAGAAGGATGACTGTGTGGATAAAGGAACGGATGGGCCAGGTGTGGCAGCTCACGCTTGTAATCCCAGCACTTTGGGAGGCCGAGGCGGGAGGATCACCTGAGGTCAGGAGTTTGAGACCAGCCTGGCCAACATGGCAAAACCCCATCTCTACTAAAAATATAAAAAATTAGCCGGGCATAGTGGCTCGCGCCTGTAATCCCAGCTACTTGGGAGGCTGAGGCACGAGAATCATTTGAGCCCGGGTGGTGGAGGTTGCAGTGAGCTGAAATCGCACCACTGCACTCCAGCCTGGGTGACAGAGTGAGACTCCGTCTCTAAATAAAAAAAAAGGAATGGATGGATGGGTGGACAGATGGATGGGTAAATGGATGGGTGGATAGCTGCATAAGTGAGTAAATAAATGGATAGAGGGATGGATGGATAGGTGGATGGATGAATAGATAGATGGGTCATTTAATGGGTGGGTGGATAGTTGTATGAGTGGGCGAATGAATGGATGGAAGGACAGATAAATAGGTGGATGATGGAAGGATGGACGGATGGATGGATGAACAGATAGACGGGTAGGTGGCTGGATGGACAGTTGGATGAATGGGTGGAGGGATAGATGGATGAACAGGTAGATGAGTGGTTGAGTGGATGGATGAATAGTTGGATGAATGAGCAAATGAATGGATGGAGGGATGGATGGATAGATGAATAGATAGATGGATAGGTGAACGGATGGGTGGATAGTTGCATAATTAGGTGAATGAATGGAAAGAGGGATGGATGGATGGATGGGTGGATAGATGAATAGATAGATGGGTAGGTGGATGGATGGATAGTTGGATGAATGGGTAGAGGGATAGATGGATGAACAGATAGATGGGTGGTTGAGTGGATGGATGAATAGTTGGATGAATGAGTGAATGAGTGGATGGAGGGATGGATGGATAAATAGATAGATGGATAGGTGAATGAATGGGTGGATAGTTGCATAAGTAGGTGAATGAATGGATAGAGGGATGGATGGATGGGTGGATGGATGAATAGATAGATGGGTAGGTGGAGGGATAGATAGTTGCATGAGTGGGTGAATGAATTGATGAAGGGATGGTTGGATGGGTGGATAATGGGTGGATGGATGAATAGATAGATGGGTACATGGATGGGTGGACAGTTGCATGAGTGGGTGAATGAATGGATGGAAGGATGGATGAATGGATGGAGGAATAGATAAATGAGTTGTTGAATGTATGGGTGGATAGTTGCATGAGTGGATGAATGAATGAATGGAGGGACAAATGGATGAGTGGGTGGAGGCTCAAAGGGAAACAAAGCCTTAGTGCAGAGTCAGTCAGCAGTGGCTATGAGGGAACCTGAACCCAAATCCCTCTACCCTACCCTACACTCCTCTGTGGGGCAGGGAAGGACAAAGCAGCCCATCCCATCTGCCTTCTGCCTGCCAAAGTTTTATACTTCCATGACTTTGCCAGGTTTCCCCAGGAGCTGAATGTGGGTAAAATCAGCGCTGAAGTGATGTGGAATCTGTTTGCCCAAGACATGAAGTACGCCATGGAGGGTGAGTTTCCCACCCCAGTGTTCCCCAGCCTGGCCACACCAGGTGGCTGTACCTCTGTGTCCCCTCCAAGGCTGTGAGCACCCTATAATACCCTCATGCCTGAGTTGGAAATCAGTGATGGCCAGAGTAGGCAGCCTCTCTGCCGAGACAGAGGGTGGCAGACCCTTCCAGCTGTGCCATCCTCTTTGTCCCTGGCCAGAGCACGACAAGCATCGTCTATGCAAGAGTGCCGACTACATGAACCTCCACTTCAAGGTGAAATGGCTCTACAATGAGTATGTGACGGAACTTCCCGCCTTCAAGGACCGCGTGCCTGAGTACCCTGCGTAAGTCCCCTGCCCCAGGCCCAACCCAAGCCAGAACTGTAGCACTGACAGCTAGAAGGAAAGCCAGAGAGGAAGACTGACCTACTTAGGGTTACCTGGGCATCAGGGGCATGGGTGGGGCTTGAATCCAGTGTTCTCCACTCTCAGCCATTGAGCAGTTGACTCCTACAGCCCAGAAAATTCAGTCAACAGCAACAGGAACCATGTGACTTTCTCATTTTATCCTTTTGACAATTCTATGAGTTAAGGTGGGATCATTTTAATTCCTATTTTGCGGAGGAGAAATTGGAGAGTTAAAGATGCCAAATGGCCAGGCATGGTGGCACATGCCTGTAGCCCCGGCAATCTGGGAGACTGAGGCAGGACTTGCTTGAGCCCAGGAGTTCGAGACCAGCCTGGAAAAGATAGTCAGATCCCATCTCTAAAATTAATGAATGGGTCAGGCACAGTGGCTTGTGCCTGTAATCCCAGGACTTTGGGAGGCCGAAGTGGGCAGATCACCTGAGGTCAGGAGTTCGAGACCAGCATAGCCAATAGGGCGAAACCCCAGCTCTACAAAAATACAAAAATTGGCCGGGCGCAGTGGCTCATGCCTGTAATCTCAGCACTTTGGGAGGCCAAGGTGGGTGGATCACCAGAGGTCAGGAGTTTGAGACCGGCCTGGCCAACATGGTGAGACCCTGTCTCTACTAAAAATACAAAAATTAGCCAGGTGTGGTGGCAGATGCCTGTAATCCCAGCTACTTGGGAGGCTGAGGCATGAGAATTGCTTGAACCCAGGAGGCGGAGGTTGCAGTGAGCCGAGATTGCACCACTGGATTCCAGCTGGGGCAACAAAGTGAGACTCCGTCTCAAAAACAAAGAAAAAAATTATCCGGGTGTGATGGCACACACCTGTAGTCCCAGCTACTCGGGAGGCCGAAGCAGGAGGATCGCTTGAACTCAGGAGGCAGAGGTTGCAGTAAGCGGAAATCGTGTCACTGCACTCCAGCCTGGGCGACAGAGTGAGACTCCATTTCAAAAAATAAATAAATATAAAAATAAAATGAATGAGTGAATAAATGCCACATTCCTTGCCCACGGTGACTCCCAGTACATGACAGACCCGAGATTTGAACTCGGGACATCTGATTCCTGGGCTGTGTGTTGGAGGATAGTACGGTGCCGCCGGTTCCTGAGAATTGTGGTGTCGTTCTCTGCTCCCAGCAGCACAGGAGGATGGCTAGTCTTCTGTTGTACAAGAAACGAAAGCTCTGGCTGGATGCGGTGGCTCATTCCTGTAATCCCAACATTTTGGGAGGCCAAGGTGGGAGGATCACTTGAGGCCAGGAGTTCAAGGCCTGCCTGGGCAACACAGGGAAATCCTGTCTCTACAAAGAAGACAAAAAAAAAAATTAGCCGGGCATGGTGGCATGTGCCTGTAGTGCCAGCTATTCGGGAAGCTGAGGTGGGAGGATTGCTTGAACCCAGCAGGTCAAGGCTGCAGTGAGCTGTGATCGCACCACTGCACTTTAGCCTGGGCAACAGAACAAGACCCAGGAAGGAAGGAAGGAAGGAAGAAGGAAGGAAGGAAGGAAGGGAGGGAGGGAGGGAAGGAAGGAAAGGAGGGAGGGAGGGAGGGAGGGAGAAAACAAGAGCTCAGAGAATAAACCCACTTGCCATGGGCAGTTTATCTGAAGAAGGAAGGAAGGAAGGAAGGAAGGAAGGAGGGAGGGAGGGAGGGAAGGATGGACGGAGGACTCAGAGAGGACTCAGAGAATAAACCCACTTGCCATGGGCAGCTTATCTGAACTAGGATTCCCACAGGCCTGGGCCCTGTTGTAAAAGGGGCCACTCAATCTATTTCATGAGCAAAGTAACTGAGGTTCAGTGCAGGAGGCGAGCAGAGGAGCAGCCACTCAAGGCTGCAGGGAGAGCTCCAGGCAGAGCAGGAGCAGCCATAGCTCCACTCGTTAGTGGGTCAGAACCAGGCGGCGCAGAGGTTGAGGAGGACAAGAGGTGGCAGAGCCCCACCCCGGCTCTTCATTCCAGATGGTTTGAACCCTTCGTCATCCAGTGGCTGGATGAGAATGAGGAGGTGTCCCGGGATTTCCTGCACGGTGCCCTGGAGCGAGACAAGAAGGATGGGGTAAGAAGGCCCACCCACAACCAAGTTCCTAATCTTCCCACTGGGGTCAATTTAGGTGGAAATTTGCCCTTGAGATGAGGCCAGTCTCTGGTAGGTGTCCGCCATCTTTGTCTTGCTCATGGTTTTTAAAATCTTTTGTTCATTCATCAACTACAAAATGTGAGTTCCATCAAGCCGGACACCTCCAGGCACCCCATGGCTTCTGCGTCCACCTCTAGAGTTGACTCTAAGTCTACCTCGCCCTCTGTCCATCTCACCCCGGGGAAATTGGTCTCTGGCTCTCCCCGTGGAGAGTGGGAGAGTTGGGCTCTAGGGATTCTCTGGTGCTGATCTCCTCCTTCCTCTTGGCCTCCTTCCCCCTGCAGTTCCAGCAGACCTCAGAGCATGCCCTATTCTCCTGCTCCGTGGTGGATGTTTTCTCCCAACTCAACCAGAGCTTTGAAATCATCAAGAAACTCGAGTGTCCCGACCCTCAGATCGTGGGGCACTACATGAGGCGCTTTGCCAAGGTGTGGGAGAGTGGGTAGGGTTGGGGCTAGGGGACAGGGTCAGGGTTAGGGAATTGAAGTCTGAGTTGGAGATGGGCTAAGGTTGAGGTTGAGGTTGGAGTTGGTGATGTCATTGAGGTTGGGATTGAAGTTGGAGTTTGGGTTGAGGTTGGAGTTGAAGTTTGGGTTGAGGTTGAGGTTGAGATGAGGTTGGAGTTGAGGTTTGAATGGAGGTTGGAGTTGGGGTTAGGGTTTAAATTGAGATTGGAGTTGAGATTGGGGTTGGAGTTGAGGTGTAGGGTAAGGTTGGAGTTGAGGTGTGGGTTGAGATCAGGGTTGGAATTGAGGTCATTAGTGCGAGTTGGCAATGCTGTTTGGTTGGAGTTTGAGGCTGTGCTGGGTCTTGATTTGGAATTGAGATTGGAGTGAGTGCTGAGATTGATGCACAATTTGAGTGAGTCTTGGGGTGAGTTTGAGGGTTGGGATCATTGGGGTTGAGGTTTGATTCATTGGCATTAGGCTGTGTTGACCTTGGGAATTACAAGTAGGAATTGGCTTTTGATTTGAGATCAGGTCATCTTGTGGTTGAGGCTGGGTTAATATGATGCTTGGTTGCTCTGAAAAAGAGCTGGGTCTACATAAAATGATCATCTTCATCGAGCGGTATCTCCTCTAGGTCTTGATGGTCATCTTGAGTGGAGAATTTGCCTAGCCCAAAGGCCCATCTTAGGTCCTAATAGGGTTTGGGTTCATCACTGATCTCACTAGTGGCCTTGATGGGACGACTGGCGCCTGCCTTGGTGCCAGCCTCTCCTCTCACCCACACTCTGTGTCTTCCCCAGACCATCAGTAATGTGCTCCTCCAGTATGCAGACATCATCTCCAAGGACTTTGCCTCCTACTGCTCCAAGGAGAAGGAGAAAGTGGTGACCTGAGGGGGCCCCTGACCTATCTCCCTCCTCAGCCCCATTCAGCATCCCCAGGACTCCCTTCTCCCCAGGGCCCTGACACCTGGGGCTATGTATGTCCACCTGTGTGTGATCTGACTGGATTGTCTGTGTGTTTAGAGGTGCTTGTTTGAATGTGTGTGATCAGAGTGTATCTAGTTGTGTGTGTCTGAGTGTATGGGAAGTAAGTGCATGTGTCTGACTGTGTATTGTCTGTGTTGACTGGTATACTCTGCGTGTGTGTGTGTGTGTGAGTCTGTGCACATCTGAGTGTGCGTGTCTGATCATGTTTTGTCTGGCTTTGTTAACAGGGTATGGCATGAATGTGTGTGTGAGTCCAACTGTGCACGTCTGAGTGTGCGTGTGTGATTGTGTTTCGTCTGGTTGTGTTAACTGGGTATAACATGAGTGTGTGTATCTGTGTGATTGTGTTTCGTCTGGCTGTGTTAACTGGGTATAACATGAATGTGTGTATCTGTGTGTGTCTGTACATATCTGAGTGTGGGTATCTAGCCATGTTTCATCTGTGTTAACCGGGTATAGTGTGAGTGTATGTATGTGTGAGTATGTGTGTTCAACTATACAACACATCTAGGTGTGTGTCTCATATTTTATCTAGCTGTGTTAACTGGTTATAGTGTGAGTGTGTGTATGCTTGTGTGTGTGTCCAGCTGTGCATGTCTGGGTGTGTGTGACCGTGTTTTGTCTGGCTGAGTTAACTGCATATAGTGTGAGTGTGTGTGTGTGTTTGTGCACGTCTGGGTGGGTGTGTCTCACCAGGTTTGGTATGGCGGTGTTGAATGTGCGTGGTGTGAGTGTGTGTCTATGGCTGTGTCTGGCTGTGCATGTCTGAGTGTGTGTATCTGTGGGGGGGGTCTCGTGTGTATATCTCGGGGTGAGGGCACACGCCTTCAGTGTGTCACTGTCTGGCTGTTGCAAATGAAGCCTTCAGGGTGTGAGCTGCAAAGCTTTGGGCTCTTGCAGGAAACTCTGCTACTCCCAGAGTTCCCAGCCCCTCTCATGGACCCCCCACCAGGCCTGGGGTCGTGGGATTACTTGAGTCCTCCTTGCCCCCACCAGTCCCCAGAGATGCCCGCCCCAACAACACGCCCAGGAACCTGAGCACAAAAGCTCCCTTCCATTTGCAGGTGACCCCATGGGACCCCAGCTTCCTCCAGACCCAGACCCTGAAACCATCCCAAGGTCCCTGGCGGTGGGTAGGGGAGGCTCTGGGGAGAGGTCCTGAGGCTTGACTCCCCTCTCTGTTCCCACCCACAGCCCTGCATTCTCATGAATAACACTCAACAGCTACGAGTTCAGCTGGAGAAGATGTTCGAAGCCATGGGAGGAAAGGAGGTGAGGCAGGGCCGAGGCAGGGCTGGAGAAGGGATGGGGCACCCCCACCACTGTGTCCCTGCAGGCCCCTGAGCTCATATGCCACCAGGCCTGGGGATGAATTCCAGCTCAACCATGGCCTTAAACCCAGGCTTGCAGCATAACGGTCTGTGCCTCAGTTTCCCCTGCAGCCCCTTGGGATCCCTTTCCCTGGGTCAGATGAGAAAATGCCCAGTACATGTGGATACTTACTGAACCTGGCCTGGTGTCCCTTCTCCCTCCTTAGCTGGATGCTGAAGCCAGTGACATCCTGAAGGAGCTTCAGGTGAAACTCAATAACGTCTTGGATGAGCTCAGCCGGGTGTTTGCTACCAGGTGGGAGCATCTCCAGGGCTGGGGGCAGTGGGGAGGGAACAGCCTTCAGCCCTCTAAGCCTGGGGCATCTGGAGGCTCAGCAGATGTAGAGGTGAAGATTGCAGGCTCAGAGTTAGACAAGGCTGAGTTCAAATCTTGGCTTTACTGCTTACTAGCTGTGTGGCCTTGGGTGAGTCACTTAACTTCTCTGAGCCTTATTTTTTTTTTTATTGCTCTGTAAATTTGGGGTGATGACAATAATAGTACCTGGGTAGGATTTTGAGAATGAAATGAACAATGCGGGCAAATGTCTTATCCCTTTGCCTGGTTCTGCAGTTACTATTTTCCACTCTTTTTTTTTTTTTGAGACGAAGTCTCGTTCTGTCACCAGGCTGGAGTGCAGTGGCGCGATCTCGGCTCACTGCACCCTCCACTTCCTGGGTTCAAGTAGCTGGGACTACAGGTGCATGCCACCACACCCAGCTAATTTTTGTATTTTTAGTAGAGACAGGGTTTCACCATGTTGGCCAGGGTGGTCTCGATCTCTTGACCTCGTGATCCGCCCGCCTTGGCCTCCCAAAGTGCTTGGATTAAAGGCGTGAGCCACCGCATCTGGCCTGTTCTCCATTCTTGCTCGGTTATGTGCTGTGATGCAAATGATATGACCTCAAGGACCACAGATCAGCATCTGTGTCCTCATCCAGCCCTTCCTGTGGTCTGAGCCCTTCCCTTCTGTGTCCCCAGCTTCCAGCCGCACATTGAAGAGTGTGTCAAACAGATGGGTGACATCCTTAGCCAGGTTAAGGGCACAGGCAATGTGCCAGCCAGTGCCTGCAGCAGCGTGGCCCAGGACGCGGACAATGTGTTGCAGCCCATCATGGACCTGCTGGACAGCAAGTGAGCTGGGCCAGGTGGACTGGGCTGGCCGGGGAGGGGCTGGGGCAGGGCCATAGAGACCCAGGGACTGGCTGGAGAGGGTGTGCAGGGAATGTTTGCTGGGTGGTCACTGGATAGTTGGATGGCTGAGTAGATGGTGGCATGAAGGGGATGGAAAGTTGGGTGGGTAAATAATTGGAAGGATTGGTGAGTAAATATTTGTGTGGATGAATGAATGGTGGATGAATAGGTGACATGAGGGATGGGTAGGTGGGTGGACGCATGGATTAAAAGATAAATGTTTAGAAGGATAGAGGGAGGATAGATGTTTTAAAAAGATGGATGGGTGGATAGTTGGGTAAATATTTGGATGGATTAATAAATGTTTTGATGCATAGATGGATTGATGCTTAGATGGATGGATGTCTGGCAGGCTGGCTTGATGGATGGTTGGATGGACGATGGATGGATGGATGGATGGATGGATGGATGGATGGATGGATAAATGGTTGGATATGTGGATAAATATTTGGATGGATGAATAAATGTTTTGATGCATAAATGGATGGACAGATGGGTGGATGGATGAATAAATGGATGGGTGGGTAGATGGATGGATAGATAGGTGGATAAATATTTGGATGAATGAATAAATGTTTTGATGTATAGATGGATTGATGCATAGATGTCTGTCTGGCTGGCTGGATGGATGGATGGATGAATGGATGGATGGATAGGTCAATAGATATTTAGATCATTGAATAAATGTTTTAATGCATAAATGGATGGACAGATGGGTGGATGGATGAATGGATGGTTGGATGGGTGGGTGGGTAGATGGATGGATGCTGGATAGATATAGGTGGATAAATATTTGGATGGATAAATAAATGTTTTGATGCATAAATGGTTGGACAGATGGGGGGGTGGGTGGATGAGTGGGTCGATGGATGGATGGATTAATAGGTGAGAAATATTTGGATGGATGAATAAATGTTTTGATGCATAGATGGATGGACAGATGGATGAATGGACAGGTGGATGGATAGATAAATGGATAAGTGGATGGATGGGTAGAAGGATGCATGGAAGGATGGATGGATGAACAGATGGATGGATGGATGGATAGAAAAAGAAATAGAGAATTAAGGACCACTGGGGGAGGGATGGATTGGTGGGTGACTGGATCAGTTGGTGGATGGATCTTGGTGGACTGCCTGTCTCCTTCAACCCCTATCCATCCAACCACAATCTCTTTGCTGTTTTCCCTTTCAAGTCTGCCCTCCTCTGACCATTCCCCTCCTGTTCCTCTTGGGCATGGCCTTCTCCCTCATAGTCCCTGATCTCCATCCTTCCTGTTTCGGTTCATCCCCCACACTGTTCTTTCAAACATGAAAGTCTGGCTGTGTCTCCCTCTTGAACACTCCATGGCTCCCCACTACCCCCATCCTGATAAAACCCAAGCCTTCCTCCCAGACATTGGGGCCCCTTCCCATCTGGTCCCTGCTGACTAGTCCAACCACCACTCACTCTTCTCTTCATGCATCAGATATCATAGCCCCATCAAACCACCCAGGGGTCCCTGTACAGGCTGTGGGCCCTCTTTCCTATCTGTGGAATGCCTTGCCCACCTGTTAAGGGAAGGTGATCTGTGGGTGGGGGCGAGCTGGGCCCTCTCTCAGACCTGCCCCTCGTCCCCAGCCTGACCCTCTTTGCCAAAATCTGTGAGAAGACTGTGCTGAAGCGAGTGCTGAAGGAGCTGTGGAAGCTGGTTATGAACACCATGGAGAAAACCATCGTCCTGCCGCCCCTCACTGACCAGACGGTGAGACCTGCAGGGGGCCCGAGGGGACATTTAGGCCACCTCCCTGGCGAGAGCCCAGAAAACTTGGTGCCTAGAGGCTGGGGGGTAAGAACAAAGGCATCCGGTCTCAGAGAGGTCATCCAGGCTCAAGGGCCATTCAAGGGTCATGGAAGCCACCAGAGGTCAGTGGGGGGCCATTCAGAGGTCAGAGAGTTCACACAGGGGTTAAAGATCATCGAAGAGTTAAAGAGGTCATTCAGAGTCCATTGTATTTTCTCTGGGGTCAAAGACATCAGGTAGAGTCAAGAGACCACTAAAGTCATAGAGGTCACATGTAGGTCAAAATAGCTTTCAAAGGTCAGAGGTCATCTAGAAAACAGGTCAATTTTGGGATCAAGGTTATCCTTGAGCCACGGAAGGCATAGACATTGGCCAGGCACCGTGGCTCACGCCTGCAATCCCAGCACTTTGGGAGGCTCGAGGCGGGCAGATTGCTTGAGGTCAGGAGTTCGAGACCAGCCTGGGCAACATGGTGAAATCTCGTCTCTACTAAAAATACAAAAATTAGCTGGGTGTGATCCTGTGATCCTGGCTTCTTGGGAAACTGAGGCACGAAAACTGTTTGAACCTAAGAGGTAGAGGCTGCAGTGAGCTGAGATGGCGCCACTGCACACTCCAGCCTGGGCAACAGAACGAGACCCTTTCTCAAAAAAACAAAAAAAAAAAAGAGAAGGCATAGACATCAATGGGTTTTTCTAAGGGCTTTGGGGCTCATTCAAAAGCCAAAGAGGGGAGACACCATGGACTTCAGACATCAGAGATCAATAGACCAAGGGGCTCCTGGAAGTCAGCCAGAGGTCATGGAGGGCATCCAAGGTCAGAGAGGTCAAGCAGAGATCATTGGCCATCCAGAGACCAGGACCGATAGACCAGAGGCCATAATCTCTAGGGACCAAGGGGACCCAAACATCTGTAGAGGGATGTAGCTGGGCGTGGGTCCCTCCGGGAGGCATCAAGAACCTGAGGACAGCAATGGCATGTGGGCTGTGGGCACATTAGGGAGTGGGGAGGTCTTTCCCAGGTGGACCACGGAGGCTTGGGGAGGGTGAGCGGGGGCCATAGATGGGCGACGATGGTCGGGGAGGCTCGGACTTCCCATCCTTCCACCTCTTCTGGGCTGGGCTGGGGCAGGGGTCTTGCCCCTCCGTGCTGCCATCTCTGCCCCCTCCCTGGCCTTCCCGGGAGACTCATGGTACCTTATTCCCCCCTCCCCCACCGCCCCGCCCCCATCACGGATGACAGATGATCGTAAGTAGAGTCCCGTCTGTCCGTCTGTCTGTCCGTCCTCTCTGTGTCTGGACTCGGCCCACCGCGTCGCTGCACCCCTCTCCCCACCCACCCAGCGCCCCCTCCTCACCCACCATCCTCCCTCCCGCCTAGATGTGCCTGTGTCTGTCTGGGGCGGGGCATGGGGAGGGGGCGGGGCTGGGAGGGAGGGAGACCACGCCCACCCTCCCTGTCCCACTGAAGTCCAGAGGAGCCCCACTACCCACTCCCAAACCCCAAGCCCAGCTCCTCCTTCGCAGCGGACCTGCCGTCTAAGGGTAGAATCCAACCTTGCTCCCGTGCCCAGATGTCACCAGACGCCCTGAAGCTAGAAAGAGGATCAACCCCAGGATTCCTCTGACCTCCTCTTTGGGCTCTGAACTGTCAGCAGCTTCCCAGAATGCAGGTCCTCACCATGAGGGTCTCTACTTCTGATTCCTCTGAAATTCCATGCTCCAGACCATTCCTTGGTACCCCACCACCCTGTCTACCCAACTCCCGCCATCCACACCGACACACACCAATCCCAGACATACACCCAGGTGCCCAAGTGGGAGACTTTTGTCATGGCTTTGATGTCAGGTAGACTTGGGGTCAAATCCTAGCCCAGCCACTGTCTCTCTCTGTGACCTTGGGAAGTCACTTGACCTCCCAGCCTCTGTTTCCTTGTCTGGAAAATGGGGCTCATTGCATCACCTCCCTGAGGGTAGTTCTAAGAACCAAATGGCATGATGCATTAAAATACTCATCTCAGTATTGCCTGAACCCAGGAAGCAGAGGTTGCAGTGAGCCGAGATCGCGCCACTGCACTCTCAGTGACCGGCCCAGAGGCAGAGCTAATGGTGGTGGTGGTGGTGGTGGTGGTGGTGGTGATATGCAGACATGTGTAAGAGCAGAGACAAAACAACTTCAGATTTTCCCTTTGTGGGCAAGACAAGGCTGTTACAAGATTTCACTTTGTTAAAAGTTTACAAGGGCTCTTACTTCCTGGTAGCTGCAGCCTGGGTCTTTGGCTATAACCACTTGGTGGCAGCATACCCAACCACAGGCAATGCATTTGTAGGCAGGGGGAATAAAGGAATTCGCATTTAATGACTCCCCATATGCCAGGCCTTCTCATAGCTCCTGTTTCAGCTCACCTTCATGATAACCCTTTGAGTGAGGTGGATATTATTATCCCCATTTTGCAGATGAGGAAAGCTGAGGCTCAGAGAGGAGTCACTTGTTCAAGGTCATATAGTAAATATATGCCAGAATCAGGATTCAAATTCAGATCTGTCTGAATATGCAGCCCATTTGCTTTCCTGTTAACCCAAGAACCAAGAGTCTCATGTGTACAGTAAATGTAAATGGATTATATTTTGGCAGTGGCTTTTTTCCCTTCTTTCTGACTTTCTTTAGCTCTGTATCTGTATCTTTCTCTCTCTTTCCTGTCTCTGCCTCTCACACCATTTAAGAGTGAGTCACTAAAGCGCATGCACGTGTGTGCACACACACAGACACACACACAAACACACTATCCCCATGCAACCCAGTCACCAGTACCCTGTGCAGTGTGGATTCCCCCATCCCCATGAATATTCCTGTGAGCATCCCAGCTTCCCACCCTGCACGACTTGCCAGGTTGATCACCCTGTGACATTATCTCTGCAGGGGAACCTCTTGAGAAAACATGGCAAGGGATTAGAAAAGGTAATGAGGGCCTCGTCTCACTGAGGCCCTGAGCTCCAGTGTCTGGGCATGTGTGTGCATGTGTGTGCGTCTGTGCACCTGGGCAGGAAGGGCAGCTGGGGGTCGTGGGTAGGAGATAGCTCTCCTAACCAAGTCCTGCAAAACCAGAAGTCAGAGATGAAGTGATTCTCCAGGGACAGAACGTGCAGTGTGTGTGTCCACATGTGAACTAATGTGTGTGCACAAACAGCTCCCATCCTCCCACAGCAATACCCACAGGGCTCATCTGAGCCCTGGGCTCAGCTGAAATTCTGTGCCTTCTTGAGGAGCCTACACGCTAGATCACCACCCTGGACTGAGACGTGTTGTTTTTTACGTAGATTTCTTTTTGTTGCTGTGCTAATGGGTGTTTGTTGTTAAGGAGATGGGAGCTACAGCAACACGCAAGCAGCTGTCTTGCTGTACACTTGTGCAGAAGATATCGTTGTACATTTGTGTCTACAAATGGAGTCTTAGCTTTGTGAATGTGGGTCACAGGGGTTCCGTACTCTCTCTGCCAGCCCTTTGCGGGGCACATTCAGTGTCCCAGGCACCCTATATGTGGATGTGAATCCGTGTGGGGTCAAGAAGGGTGTGTGGGTTTTTGTGTGTGATATAATTGTGTACGTGCCTGCAAGTGTTTAGGAGTGCACGTATGTAGTTTAGTGTATGGGTTCTTCAGCACTGAGTGAACTTACAGTATATGTTAATATGTTTTTTGTAGACTTGGGTGCTGGGATATAGGGGCAGCCCCTTAGGGAATGGAGGAGGAGACAGATTCCTAGCCCTGTCTCATCTCCCCACCTCCCCAGGTGCCCCATCCTGGGGCAGGCTGACTGTGGGATGAGGCTGCTTCCAGCCTCCTGGGTACCCCGAGAGTGTGCTGGCAGTCAAGGAGTCTGACCTCTAAACCCCTGCTAGGGGACCAGAGGAGGTGCTAGCTGGGGAGGGGGCCCACCATTAGACCCAGGACCTGGGGAGGAGCTCCTGGGCTGGGAAGTGAGACTGTGCTTTGAGGGGGCAGGGAAGTCCCACTGAGTATCCTCCCAACAGTCACCAGAACTCTGACCTCCACCTGATTCTCTCCACAGGGCAGGGTGAAATTGCCAAGCCACTCAGACGTAAGACCGGCCTCTCACTGTCTGTCTGGCTCCCATCCCACTCCCCCCCACCCCACCCCTGTGCCCCCTTCCACCTCTGTGGTTCGTGCCGTCCGAGGGCGTACTGTGAACCTGTCTGTTGGTCTCTTCTTCCTTTGTCTGTCTGGCTTGCTCGTGGGGGGTGGTGGGTGGGGGGTTGGTGGGTAGGGCAGAGGGTACCCAGGAAGGCCCCTGAGCCCTGCCAGACTACAGGTGGGTGCAGCAGGGGAAACTGAGGCCCAGTCCGCTGGACCCCTGAGTAACTGTGCCTTGTAAGAACCTCAGGATCACAGACAAGAAATAAGAATAGTAACAGCCAAGATGATAATAGTAATACCTCTAGGAATGACCAGATGGCCAGCTGGTAGACTATGAACATAATTCCAAATATTTCCACAGTAAATGGGCCCCCTCCCCACCTAGCCTCACCCAGGACCCCCAGACCACCCCAGGACCCAGTAAGACAAGACTTGTTACCTCAATACTCAGCCCCACCCTGTCCCCCAAGTTACCATGGGTATCCCTGTTAGCCACAGTGGGAATTGAGGCTCAGAGCATTCAGGGACAAGCCTGGGGCCATCCAGCAGTGACAGAGGAGGCTAGACACATGCCTTCCAGGCTGGGACCCCGTCTCCCTTAGCATTGCCCGTGACTTTGAGACCAAGTGATAATTAGCGAACACTGAGCAAAGACTTGTTCAGTCCAGACTAAGCCACAAAGTGGATATAATTTTCCTCATCTAGATGGGAAAACTGAGGCTCAGAGAGGTTAAGTGCCTTGCCCAGGGCCACACAGCAGGACTGCAATTTGAACCCAGGCCCATCTGGCTTGTCAGAGCCATCACCACATCACCATCTTGCTAGTGTCTGTTTGGGGGTGGGGTGGAGGACGGATATGGAGGTGTTTGTATAGAGGGAGGATTTTTCCTTTAAAAGGTCAGACTGGCTGGCAATGTGGCTCACGCCTGTAATCCCAGCACTTTGGGAGGCTGAGGTAGGAGGATCGATTGAGCCCAGGAATTCAAGACCAGCCTGGACAACACAACAAGACCCCATCTCTATGAAAAAAATTTCAAAAACTAGCTGGATATGGTGGCTCACACGTGTAGTCCCAGCTACTGGGGAGGCGGGAGGATTGCTTGAGCCCAGGAGTTTGAGGCTGCAATGAGCTATGATCATGCCACTGCACTCCAGCCTGGGCAACAGAGGGAGACTCTGTCTCAAAAAAAAAAAAAAAGAAAAGAAAAATCAGACTGAAATTCCTCCCAGATTACAGGGGAAATTTCCCTGCAGAGGGGATGCTCCTTGAGGAGGAGGAAGTGTTTGACCAGAGCCATTTTCTGCAACCTCAGCCTAGCCTATTGTGTTCCCAAAGCTCCCTTTCCCTGGAAACCCTGCCCACACCCACAAACACCACCGTCTGAGGCTCCCCCAACCCACTGCCCCTCACAGTCTGGTCCCTGTCTGTTTCTCCTGTTACACAAGCCTGGGTGGGGCTGAGAGGGTGGGGGACTATCCTCACAGGACCGGGATTTTCAGGGACAAGGTCACCACATCCTCCTCAGTTCTTCCTGGGGAATTCCAGACCTCTGTCCCTGGGACACAATTATTGCCCTGCCCAGAGCCTTTGGGCAAGAACCAAGATGGTCTCTGGGGCTGGAGTGTCAGCTGTAGCACCCCTGCCCTCACCCAGCTGTATGTTGTTACCTGCAGGGAACCCAGATGATCTTCAATGCAGCCAAGGAGCTGGGTCAGCTGTCCAAACTCAAGGTGAGGAGTGGGGATAGATTATGGCGTGAGGGACTGCCCCCCAAACTCATGTGGCTTCCAGGTTGCCACCATCCTGGGGGAGGGGTCCCAGGATGATGACATGCATTACAGGCTCAAAGGACAGAAACTCTACTCACTGAAGCACAAGATATTTGCTCCCCAGTGTGTCAGAAAGATGTGAATGGTTCAGCTTCAGGTACAGCTTGATCAAGAGGGCAAGTCATTTATTCAACCAATATTTTTTGAGCACCTGCTGTGTACCAGTCACATATTGGGTGCTGGGATGATGAAAACATAGACCCTCAGCCCAGCTCCTCCAAGTTGAACAGGGATGAGACCCATAGACACAGATTCCAAAGGTGGAGCCCACTCCACCCACATGGCCCCTCTCCCCATCCATCCAGGATCACATGGTACGAGAAGAAGCCAAGAGCTTGACCCCAAAGCAGTGCGCGGTTGTTGAGTTGGCCCTGGACACCATCAAGGTGAGAGGCCCTACCCCTCCCCATCCCAGGTGGGGGATGTAGAGGGTGTGGCTGCTGTGGTCATGGACTTAGGCTCGCCTCGGACCCACATTAATTTGTTCAATTTATGGACACTCCCTCGTTCCCCTGTCTGTGCCAGAGCTGGGCTGGCTAATGCTGGAGCCTTAAGGAGCCCCAGGTCGGGGAAGACTGCTGGATACAGACATTCTCAGCCTTGTAGGATTAGGCTTGGGGTAGAGGGAAGGATGTGGGCTGGGGGAGCCCAAAGAGTGAGAAGGTGTAGAGGGAAGGATGTAAAGGACCTCGTGCCAGGCATTTCTTGAGGTGTAGAAGGGTAGAGGGAAGGATGGGGGCTGGGCGAGCCCAAGGTGGGAGAAGCCAGGCCTTCCTGGAAGACGGCATGTGAGAGGTGGGTTCTGAGGAATGCATAGGAGTTCACTAGGCAAAGCAAAGGAAGAGGTGAGAAAGTAGTAGCGGGAAGAATTGGGAGTGGGGACAGCAGGGCTACCCAGCCCTATGAGTGGGTAGAGGTTCCCACCATCCTCACCTCTCCCCACCCTGTCCTCCCCAGCAATATTTCCACGCGGGTGGCGTGGGCCTCAAGAAGACCTTCCTGGAGAAGAGCCCGGACCTGCAATCCTTGCGCTATGCCCTGTCGCTCTACACGCAGGCCACCGACCTGCTAATCAAGACCTTTGTACAGACGCAATCGGCCCAGGGTAAGGGTACCCAGACCGCATCACCCTTTCCCGCTCCGCGGAGACAGCCCCGCCCCAAGCCTGAACGGCTGCCATTGGCTCACTCCCCTGTGACGTCATGGATGGGGCGGAATTGACATCTCTGCACCAAGTCCAGGGACCAATGAGCGATCAAAGGTTCATGGGGGCGGGGCCTCTGACGTCACAGGCCTGGAGGTGATCGTCAACCCCTGGGAAAATCTGTGATGTCCTGGGGCCAGACAATGATTAACAGCTCTGGGATGGAATGTCTTTGACATCAAGGACCAGGGTAGGATTGATGACTCTTAGGTGTGGAACCTGTGACGTCGTAGGGCCACAAGGTGATTGTCATCTCCTGGGAAAATCAATGGTGTCCCAGGGCCAATGAATGATTGTCAGCTCCTGAGGGACCTGGACAGTCATGGGTCCAGGGAATCGTTGACAGCTCTGGGAGACTTCAGGAGTGATTGACAGCTCAGGATGGGCAGGACCTCTGATGTCAAGGGGTCAAGGAATGATTGGCAGGTCCATGGGTGGGAACTTTGACGTCATGGTCCCAGAGAGTGGTTGAACTCCCCTGAGGAGGGACCTCTGTGATGTCATGGGGCTAAGGAATGATTGACAGCTCCGAGGGCGGGAGGGACCTCGACTTGGTGGGGGAGGGTGGACGGAGAGGGAGTTCCCATTTCTCAAACTCTCTCTTTCTCTCTGTATTTTGCTTCGGTCTCCTGTCCCTCTCTGAGCGCACACACACGGCAGCTGGGGCTGGATGGAGGGCAGGATTCCCTGGGGACCCCCCCTTTTCAAAATTGGTCCCGACAAGGGGAAGAAGTTTGGCGGCTTGAACTCAGGAGGGGGAGGGAGAATCGCCATCGACACCCAGCCTGGGGCGAGGGGAGCAAAGCCCTGTGGCCTCCAACGGCCCCCTTCTCCCCCGATCCAGCCAGCCCAAGGGCCCTCCGTGGGCGCTGGGTCTCTGAGCTCAGCTTCCCTTCCAGTCCTGGCTGCTTTTAGTGTCCCTGGTGTCCCTGGAGCAGGAGGCTGTCTGTCTCTCCGTCTGTCTGCAGCTGACGTTTCTCTCTCTCTTGTTTTTCCTCCCTCTCACTCGCCGTCCCCTCTCCGCGCCTCCCCTGCCCCCTCCACACACACTCCTCCATCCTCACCTCTCACTGGCTCGTCTCTCCCCGCTCCCCATGCTTCCCACCTCTCTCCCCCTTCCACCCCCACCCCCAATTAGTCCATGGTGGAAAAGGTACTAGGTTTACCCTTAGTGAAGACATTTATCCTGAGAAGGGTACGTGCCTCCGCCTCCCGCCCGCCGCCCGCGCCTGGTGCCCGGTGCCTGCGCCCCTCCTGGCCCCGGCTAGTAAAAGGATCGTCCTTCTGCCTCAAGGGCCTGCAGGGCCGCCGCCCAGGCCTGAGCGGCTTGGAGGGCCCAGGCGGGTGAGGGGGAAGGACGATTTGCTGGTTCTACATGGGGAAGAAGCGATTCCAGTGGGAATCCCAGAATCCATTTCTCCTGATATGACATATTTTTTAAGCCAGATCCTGGGACCCCGGGACAGGCACCTGTCAGGTTAAGAGCTGGGCTCTGATTCCAGCCCAGCCACTCCACGGGTAGGCACCTTGGGCAAGAATCTGTCTCCCTGAGCCTCAGTTTTCTCATCTGTAAAATGGGGACAGTCAAGGACCCTACTTCATAGGATTATTGTTATTGATATTATTATTTAGAGACAAGGTCTCCTTCTGTCACCTAGGCTGGAATGCAGTGGTGCAATCACTGCTCACTGCAGCCTCCCTCCTGTGCTCAAGTGATCCTCCTGCCCCAGCCTCCCGAGGAGCTGGGACTACAGGCACACGTCACATGGCTAGCTAATTTTTAATTTTTTTTGTAGAGAGGTGGCCTCACTTTGTTGCCCAGGCTGATCTCAGTGAATACTTATCAGGCTCTAAGGCTGAGCAGGACCTTGTGCCAGGCATTTCTTGAAGAATCTGTGTTTGGTTTTGTTGTTGTTGTTTGAGACAGAGTCTCACTCTGTCACCCAGGCTGGAATGCAGTGGGGAAATCTCAGCTCACTGCAACCTCCGTCCGCCTCCTGGTTTCAAGCGATTCTTGTGCCTCAGCCTCCTGAGTAGCTGGGATTACAGGCCCGCACCACCACGCCTGGCTAATTTTTGTATTTTTAGTAGAGACGGGGTTTTGCCATGTTGGCCAGGCTGGTCTTGAACTCTTGGCCTCAAGTGGTCCACCCATCTTGGCCTCGGCCTTCCAAAGTGCTAGGATGACAGGTGTAATCCCAGCGCCTGGCCATTTTGTTTTTAATTTGAGGCAGACGCTGTCACCCAGGCTGGAGTGCAATGGCGAAATCTCAGGTCACTGCAGCCGCCACCTCCTGGGCTATGTTGCCCAGGCTGGTCTCGAACTCCTGGCCTCAAATGATCCTCCCACCTTGGCCTCCCAAAGTGCTGGGATTACAGGCATGAGCCTCCATGCCTAGCCTTCTTGGGGAAACTGAAACAGATTTCTTTAACTGCCCCACGAGGGGTACATCATTCCACAGATGAGATACTGAGAGCCAA
Source organism: Homo sapiens (assembly GCF_000001405.40). Classification (NCBI taxonomy): domain Eukaryota; kingdom Metazoa; phylum Chordata; class Mammalia; order Primates; family Hominidae; genus Homo; species Homo sapiens. The sequence continues at coordinate 17,615,121 of NC_000019.10, read as the reverse complement.
AGGAGATTCAACCACTTGTCCGAGGAACCTTCCCCTGCAGGGGTCCCGGGACTTGGGGAGTGGGGAGTGGGGTTGGAAGAAGCACTGAGAGGCCCAGGAAAGACCCTTCCCCGCGAAGCCAGCAAAGCACGGGATGGGGGCACCCAGCACTGCCTCCCTCCCCCCTTCTTACTAGCTTTGGCCTTGGTCTGACCCCTCACCTGACCCACCACTGTCCAATTCCCCCTGGCACCCCCGGCACCCCAGTCTGGCCCGGATTGAGCTTGCTATGAAGCATCGGCCTGGGGGAGGGCGGGGCGGCTGAGCATGTGACTGGTGGCGGGGGGTGGGGGTGGAATGGGAGCCTGAGGCAACAAGGAAGACGGCCTGGGGCGTGCAGCAAAGACCGGGGCCACATACCCCAGTACTGGGGTGATGGGGGTCTCCAGGCCCCTGTGCTCCCCAACCCTCAGTCACTTCCTGTCCAGCGTGAGGTAACCCAATCAGCGTTTGACTGACCCAACCTCCCACCCTCACCTCTGACTTTCCCCTTCTTCTCCCCGTGCATGGGGTGGTCCAGGAGTGGGGAGTTGCCTGGTGGGGGGTGGGGAGGGGTTGGTGGAGGTGCTGGCGGTCACAGGTCCACAGGCCCCACAGGATGCCCTTTTGAGTCACAGAAGGCGGGACCGGGAGAGATTCTTTTAAGCTGCCCCATCAGTGATCCCCATTGGCACCATGGAGGACACGGCTGGTGGCCCCAAACAGAAGCCCACCACACCATGATTCAAGCAGACAAGGGAACTTTTTGACTCCATAATGGAAAAATTAGGGGTTGAGGCCTGGCGCGGTGGTGCATGCCTGTAATCCCAGCACTTTGGGAGGCCAAGTTGGGCGGATCACTTGAAGTCAGGAGTTTGAGACCAGCCTGGCCAACATGGTGAAACCCCATCTCTACTAAAAATAACAAAAATTAGCCAGGCGTGTTGGTGGATGCCTGTAATCCCAGCTACTCAGGAGGCTGAGGCAGGAGAATCGCTTTAACCTGGGAGGCGGAGGTTGCAGTGAGCCGAGATGGTGCCATTACACTCCAGCCTGGTGACACAGCAAGACTCTATCTCAAAAACAAAAAAGAAGGCCAGGTGCGGTGGCTCATGCCTGTAATCCCAGCACTTTGGGAGGCCGAGGCGGGCAGATCACCAGGTCAAGAGATCGAGACCATCCTGGCCAACATGGTGAAACCCCGTCTCAAAACTACAAAAATTAGCTGGGTGTGGTGGTGTGCACCTGTAGTCCCAGCTACTCAGGAGGCTGAGGCAGGAGAATCGCTTGAACCTGGGAGGCCGAGGTTGCAGTGAGCCGAGATTTCGCCATTGCACTCCAGCCTGGGCGACAAAGCAAGACTCCATCTCAAAAAAAAGAAAAAAAAAAAAAAAAAAAAAAGAAACTTAAGATTCTGCACTAGAAGGGAAATAGGGGTAAGGAAAATAAAAGATGCCGCTATGAGCTGTCACATCAGGAGGGATGAGGATTCTGGGCCAGGTGATGCAATGAGGTGACCTGTGGGGCTGGGTCAGAGTTAACAAGGGCAAGAATGGGGTGAGTGGGGAGAGGTAATAGTAACCTATTGGAAAGGGCCACTATTGGAAGGGGTGTTGCAGGTCACAAAAACCACTTTGATTATCTCAGAGTGAGGTGGGAGCCATGGAAGAGTTTGGTTTTGCTTTGTTTTGTTTTTTGAGACAGTCTTGCTCTGTCACCCAGACTGAAGTGCAGTGGCGGGATCATAGCTCACTGCAGCCTCAACCAGCTGGGATTAAGCGATCCTCCTGCCTCAGCCTCCTAGATAGCTGGGACTACAGGTGCATGCATCACCACACCTGGCTAATTTTCTTTTCTCTCTCTTTTTTTTTTGAGACAGGGTCTCTCTCTGTCACCCAGGCTGGAGTGCAGTGGTGCAATCTCAGCTCACTGCAACCTCTGCCTCCCAGGTTCAAGTGATTCTCCTGTCTCAGCTTCCCAAGTAGCTGGGATTACAGGCGTGCACTACCACACCCGGCTAATTTTTGTATTTTTAGTAGAGACAGGGTTTCGCCATGTTGGCCAGGATGGGCTTGAACTCTTGACCTCAAGTTATCTGCCCACCTCAGCCTCCCAAAATGCTAGGATTACAAGCATGAGCCTCCCAAAGTACTGGGGTTACAGGCATGAGCCACCACTGCCCGACCCATGGAAGAGTTTTGAGCAGAGGAGGGACATGATCTGACTTTTAAATGTTATTTATTTATTTTTTAATTTTCTGAGACAGGGTCTTGCTCTGTCACCCAGGTTGAAGTGCAGTGGTGCGATCTCGTCTCACTGCAGCCTGGACCCTTCTGAGCTCAAGTGTTCCTCCCACCTCAGCCACCAGAGTAGCTGGGGCTACAAGCACGCCCCACCATGGCCACTAATTTTTGTATTTATTGTAGAGATGGGGTTTTGCCATGTTGCCCAGGCTAGTCTCAAACTCCTGAGCTCAAGTGAGTTTGCCTCACCCTCCCAAAATGCTGGGATTACAGCTGTGAGCCACCGCGCCCTGCCGACATGATCTGACTTAATAGGATTTTTCTGGCTGGTATACTGAGAGTAGATGAAAGAGTGGAAGGAAGACCAGCAAGGAGGCTACTGCAATAGTCCAGGCATGGGATGCTGGGGGCAGGTGTAGGATACAGGGAAAAGACATGGCTCTGCTTCTGGATGTATTTTGAAGGTAGAGCTGGCAGGATTTTCCAGTTTATGGGCACCTAGGGAGGAAGTGAAGACAAAGAAGAGTGTCAAATATTGAGGTGCAGGGTCAGTTTGAGGACCCACGGAGGAGAAAATGACAAAAGGGGGTTGGAGGGAGTGACAACTATGTAGGATGAGAATCGAGTTGGTGACATTGTTGCAGCCAAGAGGACAAACAGCCACAGGAGGCCAGGGTGCCAGATGCTGCCAAGATGTAATGTAACATGAAGACTGAATTTTGACAACATGGCAATCAATGGAATAAGAAAAAAGAAAAGAATTGCATTAGGCTCAGAGAGGTTAAGCAATCTACCCAAGATCACACAGCAAGGCAGTAAAAGGCCAGAACCCAGGATTCTTGGCTTCCCAAGAGCACCTCCCATCCTGGCCCCCCATCAGTGCCTCCCTATCAGGGCTGATGACCTGGTGCCGCCAGCACAGGTGGGTGGGAGGCCGTCAAGGTCCCTCCTGGTGGGTGGGAAAGAACAGAGCTCACGCTGACCATCCTCCCCTGCCCTGCCCAGGCTTGGGTGTAGAAGACCCTGTGGGTGAAGTCTCTGTCCATGTTGAGCTGTTCACTCATCCAGGAACTGGGGAACACAAGGTCACAGTGAAAGGTGAGTGGTCTGAGGTGGGAGGGACTTGCTAGGTTCTAAAACAGAAACCAAACTCAAACTGGCTTAAGCAACACCCTTTTTTTGTTGTTGTTGTTTAATGGTCCATGAAACGGAAACGTCCAAAGGTGGCCACCTTCAGGCATGGCTGGATCCAGCAGTGTAAACAGTTTTGTAAGACTGAATCCCACTTTCTCCATCTCTCAGCCCTGCTTTCCTTTTCTTGGCTTTTGTTGACTAGAACACAGATTGGGCTGTTTTTGACATGGCTTAAATAAGACAGAATTAGGCCAGGCACGGTGGCTCATGCCTGTAATCCCAGCACTTTGGGAGGCCAAAGCTGGCGGATCAGGCCAGGAGTTCAGACCAGCCTGGCCAACATGGTGAAACCCTGTTTCTACTAAAAATTCAAAAAGTAGCTGGGTGTGGTGGCGTGTGCTTGTAATCCCAGCTACTCAGGAGGCTGAGGTGGGAGGATCGCTTGAACCCGGGAGGTGGAGTTTGCAGTGAGCTGAGATTGCGCCACTGCACTCCAGCCTGGGTGACAGAGTGAGACTCCATGTAAACAAACAAACAAAAATGATAGAATTGGTTTTTCTCTGGGATAACAGTTTAAGTAGCAACCAGCCTCGAGCTGATATGGAGGCTTCGCAGTGTTGGTGATCTGTGCTGCTGCCATCTTTTGTTGCATTTTCATCCCTAATGTGTTGTTGTTGTTGTTTGTTTGTTTTAGAGGCCAGAGTCTCACTCTGTTGCCCAGGTTGGAGCGCTGTGGTGCAATCACAGCACACTGCAGCCTCAAACTCCTGGGCTCTAGCGATCCTCCTGCCTCAGCTTCCGGAGTCGCTGGGATTGCAGGCATGCAGCATCACACCTGGCTACTTTTTAAATTATATTTTTGTAGAGATGGTGTCTCACTATGGTATCCAGGCTGGTCTCAAACTCCTGGCCTCAAGCAGTCCTCCCACCTGGGCCTCCCAAAGTGCTGGGATTCCAGACGTGAGCCACCATACCTGGACCCAAATGTGTTTTTCCTCCACTATAGGGTCACAAAGAGCTCAGCCCCCACAAGCATTGCAGACTGCGGCTAGAGGAAGGAGAAAGTTTGGGGTTCACTCCCTGCCTTTTAAGCCACAGTGGAGAAGTAGTACACGTGATTTTTTTCTCTCACCTCATTGGCCAAAACATAGTCATATGACCACACTTAGCTTCATGGCAATGCTGGGAAATGTAGTCTTTATTTCAGACAGGGTTTTTGGCGGCGGGCGAGGGGTGGGGTGTTTTTATTTTTTATTTTTTTTAGACAGGATCTTGCTTTGTCACACAGGCTGGAGTGCAGTGGCACAATCTCAGCTCACTGCAACTGCCGCCACCCAGGCTCAAGCAATCCTCCTGCTTTAGCCCCACAAGTATGTGGGACTACAGGCGCGTGCCACCACGCCCAGCTGATTTTTGTATTTTTCGTAGAGACAGGGTTTCACCATGTTGCCCAGGCTGGTCTCAAACTCCTGGACTCAAGTGATCCACCCGCCTTGGCCTCCCGAAGTGGTGGGATTACAAGCGTGAGCCACTGCGCCCAGCCTTGGGCAGGTTTTGAGAGCCACAAACATCTACTTTTTCCAACTGGGAGAACCTGACCTGTCTTACCCTCTACTTCCTCCAACAGTGGTGGCTGCCAATGACCTCAAGTGGCAGACTTCTGGCATCTTCCGGCCGTTCATCGAGGTCAACATCATTGGGCCCCAGCTCAGCGACAAGAAACGCAAGTTTGCGACCAAATCCAAGAACAATAGCTGGGCTCCCAAGTACAATGAGAGCTTCCAGTTGTGAGTTTGGGATGCTTTGAAGAGCATGGGGGCAAGGGAGGGGGCATCCGCCAGGTGAACCCCAAAGCCAGCTAGGCAGGAGGTATCTGGAATCTGGGCCCGGGAATGGGAGGGGCCACATTCTAGGTGGGGGTGCTGGAAAGGGAGACCCCTTAGTAGTGCAGGAATGACATCAGGGAGGGGACACGAGGATGGAGGTCACCTTTGGGGGCTGGCAGATCCAAGGGGAGGCAATGAGTAGAGTGGGGTAACTTCATGATGAAGACTTGCAGAGGGGAGGGAAAGTCTGGGCAGGAAGTGCATGGTGGGCAGGGCCATTGCTGGGGCTGGAGACTCTGTCTGGTGAAGGAATGAGGGTGGCAGTGATGACGCTTATGAGCGGGGGGCTGAGGGACCTGGGGACAGGACTGAGGTTGCATGGGGGTGGGGACTACTGGAGTCTACATTGAGCCTTGTCAGGACCGTTGGGGCAGCCCATCTGGAGGAGTCGGCTCTGGGGACAGGAGTGGAGTGTAGATGGATCCCAGGCTTGGGGGTGGGTGTCACGTGGGGTGGAGGTGGGGTCACATTGGATGGAGGTTCTTGGAGTTGGGAGTGGGCCTAGGCTGCGGGTATCAGGATAGGGTCTAGAGGATGCTGATGATGTGGACAGCATAAAAAAGTCTGCTCTGGCCGAGTGTGGTGGCTCACACCTGTCATCCCAGCACTCTGGGACGCCGAGGCAGACAGATCACCTGAGGTCAGGAGTTCAAGACCAGCCTGGCCAACATGGTGAAACCCCGTCTCTACTAAAAATACAAAAAAAAAAAAAAAAATTAGCCGGGTGTGGTGGCGCACGCCTGTGATCCCAGCTACTCGGGATGCTGAGGCAGAAGAATCGCTTGAGTCCGGGAGGCGGAGGGTGCAGTGAGCCAAGATCGAGCCATTGCACTCCAGCCTGGGCAACAAAAGCGAAACTCCACCTCAAAAAAAAAAAAAAAGTCTGCTCTGGCCGAGCATGGTGGCTCACGCCTGTAAGCTCAACACTTTGGGAGGCCAAGGTGGGCAGATAACTTGAGGCCAGGAGTTCGAGACCAGCCTGGCCAACATGGTGAAACTCCATCTCTATTAAAAATATAAAATATGGCTGGGTGTGGTGGCTCACACCTGTAATCCCAGCACTTTGGGAGGCCAAGGCGGGCAGATCACGAGGTCAGGAGATCGAGACCATCCTGGCTAACACGGTGAAACCCCGTCTCTACTAAAAATACAAAACCTAGCCAGGCGTGGTGGCGGGCGCCTGTAGTCCCAGCTACTCGGGAGGCTGAGGCAGGAGAATGGCGTGAACCCGGGAGGCAGAGCTTGCAGTGAGCCGAGATCGCACCACTGCACTCCAGCCTGGGCAACAGAGCAAGACTCCGTCTAAAAGAAATATATATTATATAATTATATATAAAATATGTATTTATATTATATAATTATATATAAAATATGTATTTATATTATATTATATAATATATAATAAATATATATCATATAAATATATTTTTATATATTATATATAAATATATATATATTTATATACATATATAATATATATTTATATTATATATAAAATTATATATAGTATATATTATATAGTATAAATAAAATTATATATAGTATATATTATATTATATATAAAAGTATATATATTATATATTTCATATATTATATATTGTATATAATATAGTATATACAAAAAATATTAGCTGTGTGTTGTGGTGGGCGCCTGTAATCCCAGCTACGCGGGAGGCTGAGACAGGAGAATCGCTTGAACCCAGGAGGTGGAGGCTGCAATGACCCAAGATGGCGCTACTGCAGTCCAGCCTGGGCTACAGAGTGAGACTCAAAAAAATAAAAAATACAGAAATTAGCCGGGTGTGGTGGCAGGCGCTTGTAATCCCAGCTACTCCAGAGGGTGAGGGGTACGAGAATCGCTTGAACCCAGGAGGCACAGGTTGCAGTGAGCCATGATTGTACCACGGCACTCCAGCCTGGGCGACAGAGCAAGACTCTGCCTCAAAAAAAAAAAAAAAAAAAAAGTCTGTTCACGGGGGTAGATGGATGGTGGTGGTTAGCAAGGGTAGAGTTGGGGTCATCCGGGGTAGATCCTTGGGTCGAGTGTCAGCCTCACAGAGCACTGGGGCAGGGCAATGTTGTTGGATGTTCTTAGGAGACAGAAGTGCAGAAGAAAGTAGTCCCAGCTACCTGGGAGGCTGGGGCAGGAAGATCGCTTGAGCTCAGGAGTTTAAGGCTGCAATGAGCTATGATTGTGCCACTGCACTCCAGCCTGGGTGACCGACATAGCGAGACCCTGTCTTTAAAAAAACAAAAAACTATGGGCCAGGCGCGGTGGCTGACGCTTGTAATTCCAACACTTTGGGAGGCCAAGGCAGTGGATCACCTGAGGTTAGGAGTTCGAGACCAGCGTGGCCAACATGGTGAGACCCCCCCCCCCGCCACCCCCATCTGTACTAAAAACACAAAAAATCAGCCCGGTGTGGTGGTGCATGCCTGTAATCCCAGCTACTAGGGAGGCTGAGGCAGAAGAATCGTTTGAACCCGGGAGACAGAGGTTGCAGTGAGCCGCGATTGTGCCACTGCACTCCAGCCTGGGTGACAGAGGGAGATGCCCACTCAAAAAATAAAAATAAATAAAAATAAATAAAAATGCACAGGGGTAAGGGTAAATCAGAGCTGGTTAGCTGGTATTATCTAGGGGGCCTGGGAGCTCTTATGGGACAAGATTGAAGCCAGTTCCATGTCGTGTCAGCACAGGGCTCTTGGTCAGAAGGTTTTGGGGCGATTGGCCCCTTTAGGGGATACTCAGGAGGAGAAGCATGGTCTAGTGGGAGGTCAGATGTCAGCCAGGGTGGGCCGGAGTACTTCAGGGATAGAGGTACAACCTGGGAGGTGGACAAGAGGGAGAAGCTGGGCGTGACCCTGTAGGAGGGGCTCTTATCCAGCTGGCGTCAGGGCAGGTCACTGGGACTGCTTAGGGGCAGGAGCACAGGTGAGGGGCATGCGGGAGGCGGTGTCACCCATGGTGAGGCACCAGGGCAGGCTCATGTCTGGAGGGCATCTTGGAAGTAAGAGGGGTGGGCTGGGGGTGTGGGGGGCTGGGGAAAGGGCCACGTCGTGGGTCTAGAGGAGAGCCTGGTTAAAGAGCTTCTGGGTGGGACATTAGGGGCAGGGCCGTGCGGGCAGCAGTTCAGCCGGCAGAGGGCACAGGCGCGGGTATCTCAGGGTGGGAGCATGGCCTTGCAGGGCGGTGTCTGAGGGGCGGGAGCTGGATGTAAAACTATGCGGTCATTTTTCGGTGGGTGGAAAAATGGGAAGAACAGGCGTGGGCGTGGCCCAGCTCGGGGTCAGCTGCTGTGGGCGCGGCCAAGCACAGGGTTGTAGGTCAAGTAACGGGGCAGGGGCGGGGCTAGCGTAGCGTGGGAGGTGACAGGTGTGGGCACCCCGGTGTGGGCGTGGCCCGCAAATGCGGTGGGGACGGGGCCGTGGGCGGGGCATCACAGTAGGTGTGGCCTGTCTCACGTTCCGCCCCTCCCCACGCAGCACGCTGAGCGCCGACGCGGGTCCCGAGTGCTATGAGCTGCAGGTGTGCGTCAAGGACTACTGCTTCGCGCGCGAGGACCGCACGGTGGGGCTGGCCGTGCTGCAGCTGCGTGAGCTGGCCCAGCGCGGGAGCGCCGCCTGCTGGCTGCCGCTCGGCCGCCGCATCCACATGGACGACACGGGCCTCACGGTGCTGCGAATCCTCTCGCAGCGCAGCAACGACGAGGTGGCCAAGGAGTTCGTGAAGCTCAAGTCGGACACGCGCTCCGCCGAGGAGGGCGGTGCCGCGCCTGCGCCTTAGCGCGGGCGGTCGGCCGAGCGGCACTGCGCCTGCGCGGAGGGCGCTGGGCGGGGAGGGACGGGGCTTGCGCCTTGGTGGGACCTCCCCAGGGGCGGGGCTCGGGGGGCTCCACGCCAAGGGTGGGCTGCGCCTACGCCCTTGACTCAGCTTTCCCTTTTGGGGAATTAGGAATGGAGGATGCCCCGCCCTCTCGGGAGGCCACGCCCAAGGGCGCGACGAAGGAAGGAGCCACATCCCCAACTTGAGGCCACGCCCCCAGCACCTAGGGGGCATTTTGAGCTGGGATGGGGGAAACCTCGTCCCTATGGAGGAGGCCACATCCCGGGGCTCTGGTACCGGGAGGCACCACCTCATGTCCCCTGGAAAAGCCATAAGATGGGACCCAGACCCCTGGGACCCCAGACCAATTGCCAAGTATGGAAATCTCAGCTCCCTCGAGGGGGGGCCCTGGGCAAGGGGTAGGGCTCTCTGGAGCGCCCCTCTAGGTGGCCTGGGGACTGGAGGGACCAGGATGCTGGTTGGAGGGCCCCGGAATACCGGAGTCCCTTTAGATATTTGTGCAAAAAATAAATGGGGGGAGGGGGGAGGATGGGATTTCAAAAGCACATGCGCCCTTGGGCGCCCAAACCCTGGGGGCCGAGGGGACGGCTCTGGTTCCCCACGCTGCCCCTACTTCCCTTTGGGAGTTTGCCTCTCCCTCTCCCCCAACAAACCCAGTCCTCATATCATAGAGTTCAACACACCCATTTGACAGATGGCAAAACTGAGGCTTAAAGAGCTGCTTGAGACTTGGCCAAGGTTCCAGGTGCCATACCCTCTGTGCCCCTCCCTTAGGCCTGTGTGCCCCATGGAAGGGTGGGCTGAGATCGGGATGACCTGACACAGCTCCCTATTGCTGCTAATTCCCCCTCGGCCTCCTCCAAGGGGTGGGAATTCCAGGCCAAGACCCCTACTTCGCCTTTCCTTCTCCGGCTGCCAAGCAGGACCTTTGCCCTCAGCCCTTTCTCCTGGGATCTCCATGGGGGATGCCATGAGGGCCTCCCACCACAAAAGAGAATTTGGGATCCCCTGGTCCCAGGTTTCTCCATCCCTTCTTCCTTTTCCAGAATTTTCCAAATAGGAAAGAACAGAAGGAGACCAGAAACTCTAGGGGGGAGAAAGAGAATGAGAGAAAGAGAATGAGAGAGAGAGAAACACAAACACAGTGACACAGTGAGAGCTTAGTCTCCAAGAGCCTATTCATTGATTCAAACACCCAAGCCACAGGATACCTCAGATGGCCCTCTTGCCAGCTGGAAGCTCTTTCTCCAATGAGCAAAGTTACAGTGACCTGGCTGGAGTTACCTGGTGCACATAGGACCTTAGGGGAAAGTTCAGCGTGGACTACACTTGCTCTGGGATCTGCTTTTCCACATGTGTGTATGGCACGCCTTTTTCTGCTGGATTGGGAAGGACAAGATTTTGCTGTGCTAGGGAGAAATGAAAACGGGGTGAGCTGAGTAGCTGGGTTTCTGGAGGATAGAACATCAGATGGGGAGGCTTTCCGAGGTGAAGAATGAGAGGGAACCACTTACTAGAGAGAAAAGAGCTCCAGGCCTGGGGAACAGCACGTGCGAAGGCCAGGAGAGAAGAACTGTTGAAACAACGAGAAGGGTGGCACGGCTGGAGCTGAGCCAGCAAGGGGGATCGTGAGGAGCCTTGGGGTTGGGGAGATCTGCAGAAGCATCAGACCAGGCAGGGCCTCGTACGCAGTCCTGAGGAGTTTTACTTTTATTCTAAGACAGTTGGGGAGCTCCAGGAGCTGTTTTAAGTTGGGGAGAGACTGGATTCCAGCCTGCAAAAGCTGTTTTGTGAAGACTAAAACCAGTGAGGAGAGGTGGAGGTGCTTTGGGGACACTGAAATGGATTCTTGGAAAGATTCTGAAGGCTGTGTTGAAAAGACACCTATAGCTGTGGGGACATGACTATAATCCCAGCATTTGGGGAGACCGAGGCTGGCAGATCACTTAAGGTCAGGAGTTTGAGACCAGCCTGGCCAACATGGCGAAACCCCATCTCTGCTAAAAATACAAAAATTAGCTGGGTGCAGTGGTGCATGCCTGTAGTCCCAGCTACTCAGGAGACTGAGGCGGGAGAATTGTTTGAACCCTGGAGGCAGAGGTTGTAGTGAGTCGTGATCACACAACTGCACTCCAGCCTGGGCAACAGAACAATACTCCATTCCCTCCCCTCTACCCCACCAAAAAAAAAAAAAAATCCTGCCCTTAGATGAGCTCTAGGGCTGCTGAGTACAGTTGTCCCAGTTGCACAGTGCCCAAGGGTTTGGCATTGCTAAGAAGGCCACGTGCAAATCCTAGATATTGAGTGTTGTATGTTTGTGACGTTGGTTTCCCGACATGTGAATGGCCCAAGTGTCTGGAAGAAGTGGCGCCACTTTCTAATTTGCTTGGAGATGTTGCATGTCCCTTAAATTCAGACAGGTGCAGGTAACTGGAGGTTCTGAACCAAAGGTTAAAATGCAAATTCTCATACAGGGTTGGGAAGTTGTAGCCAGGGATAAGCTTATGTGACTGTTATATGGACTGAGGAGCAGATGTGAATTTCGAACCATGACATGGCTGAGGGTAGGGGTCGGGTGGATGGATGATTCAGGGTTGTAACCCATAGAGCCCAAAGGGGAAGTGATCTGTGACCTGGGGTGAGGGTGATCTGGAAGATTTTTGGATGGCTGGAAAGAAATGGGGAAGTCGAGCTGCCTGAGAGAGCCAAGTTATTTCCCAAAAGATTCCTTAGGAGTCTTTCTGTTCAAGACCTCCGTGTGTGTGTGTGTGTGTTTAGGGTTCCCCAGCAATGGCCCAGGCATGTGAAGGAAACAAGCTTCTTCAGGGAATATTTGTTGAATGAGTTTTCCTGACTCCCAGGCTAGAACTGTTTTTGCAATTTCCACCCTCTTTTCTTTCCCCCAGAGAACTCCTATTCGTCCTTCAAAACCCATCACGGAAACCCCTCTTGGAGAAAACCCTCCTTCCTTCCCCTCAGGACTTTCCCAGCCACCGTCTCTCCTCCAGTCCAGCCTGATGCCATGGGACTGGGGGTTTCTCTGTCCAGCTCTGTTTCTCCCAGACTGGGGTCTGAGGACTCTCAGGACCCCCAACTTTACCTAGCACAGGCTGGGCACAAGTGGGTGACAGGGAGTCTACGCCTAGTGGAATTATGTATTGGGGCAGGGTCAGTGTGAGAATACACATCCGCATGCATGTCTGTCCATGTCTGTCCGTACCAACCTTCCCCTTCCACACGGACCTGGGCACATAGGAGGTGTCTGAGCCTGACACATGGGACAGAGAGTGGACATGGCTGAGACACGGACAGAGAAAAGACAAGGAGTCCAGGGGGCTGAAAGCCTTTTGAAATCAGGAAGTTCCTGTATTGGCAGAACAAAGCCCAGAGAGGAGCAGGGCTTTCCTCAACGCCACCCAGCAAGTGGACACAGAGCCCGGCCTTGGATGACACCTCCAGGGTTCTGAACCCTGGACCTCGCTTTATGCAAGGAGCTGGCCCCACATTTCCATGAATCGGGGAAACAGCACAAGAAGGTTGGCCTGTGGCAGGGCAAGGGTTAAAGGGGTGACATTGAGGGATGCCTCAGAGTCAAAGTCCCCTGACCAAGAGGAATAGAGTAGAAAACACAGAGACAGAGGGTGAGATCACGCCCCGATGAGGACGGAGAGAGACAGAGATGGAGAGAGACATAGAGGTGGAAATATACAGAGAAAGATAAATGCAGAGACCAAGGCAGGGAGTGTCGGGGGAAGTAAAGAGGGTGTCCTGAAGAAAGAAGGATCTGTTCACTCTTACCAGTCTGTCCTCGAATGATTTGCATAAAATGAGGAGGTGCCTGTCCACACCCCCAATTCCTCTCTCAGGCCCCAGAGCCTGAGACCTCACCATGCCCCCATCAGAGATGCAAAAAACTAAACACCCAACTAGAAATCCTTGGGACCTCTCTCGGCTGGGATCTCAGAGCCTTTCTGTCCCCTACCCCTACCCCATGTGCTGTCGATTTTGCAGATGGGGACAACCTGGGGCCTCCCGGAACTCTGCCACCCTGGGGAAGTTGGGGGAGGGCCTTAGTCCCGGATCACAACCCCGTCTGCTCCCCAGAATCCTTTCCTAAGAATCGTTGAGGACCAAAGTTGTCTTTGCTGACACGTGTTGCTTTTCTCTTTGCCTTTTATTGTTTCAGAGAAAAATCAAGTTGACTGTGTCAAGTAACACCCCACCCCTTACCCCCGTCCAGCCATAGTGGCTCTCTGGAGACACAGGTCACAGGCGGAGGGTCCCCTGATCATCCCCAACCACACAGCCAGGGGGACTTGACCCCTGTCCACCCCTGTCTCGTGCTCCCTCAGACCCCCACAAACCGGCCAAGCAGTCCGGGGAGGCTTCCCCTCCACACAACTCTTAGCATGTGATTGCAGATGTGAAATCAAAACGTTGTTTGTTTTTTGTTTTGTTTTGATTCTACCCCGTCGGTCCAGTGTCTGCACAGACGCCTTCATTTCTCTGTAAATATGTGACTTGGAACAAATGTTTAACACAAACGAGAAGTGGTCATGAATGCATGGTGTTGAGATGTTTTGCACTATTCTGACTTTTTGGTCTCTGTAAAAATATTTTATTAACAGCAGACATTAAAAAAAGAAAAACCACACACAGCCTTGGACACGTGGTTGCCTCCTCCTTGCATTCCTTTATCAGCAAAAAAACAAAAACAAAAACCTCACGTACGATTAGCACCTACTAGGTAGGCGCAGACTCAGTAGAACACACTGCTTGCCCATGAACGCGGCTCATCCGCAACTGGAGTCATCCCCATTTTACAGAGAAGGAAACTGAAGTACAGAGAGACAAGATCTTGCTCAGATCACATAGCCAGGAAGAGATGGAGCTGGGACTTGAACTCAGAACATTTGCAACCATTGCTTTTTTTTTTTTTTTTTGAGATGAAGTCTCTGTTGCCCAGGCTGGAATGCAGTGGTGCAATCTCAGCTCACTGCAATCTCCACCTCCCAGATTCAAGCGATTCTCCTGCCTTAGCCTCCTGAGTAGCTGGGATTACAGGCGCCCGCCACCTTGCCTGGCTAATTTTTGTATTTTTAGTAGAGATAGGATTTCACCATGTTGGCCAGGCTGGTCGCGAACCCCTGACCTCAGGTGATCCACTCCCTCGGCCTCCCAAAGTGCTGGGATTACAGGCGTGAGCCACCGCACCCGGCCATCTGTTGCCCTTAAGGAAGTTAAGATACAAACACTAGGAATACATGCCCTTAATTCAACCCACACCCCCATGCTTGTTTGGTTTTGTTGGGTTTTTTGGGATCTTCTTGTTTGTTTGTTTTTGAGACAGGGTCTTGCTCTGTCACCCAGGATGGAGTTCAGTGTCACAATCTCAACTCACTGCATCCTCAACCTCCCAGGCTCAGGTGATCCTCCCACCTCAGCCTCCTGAGTAGTGTGCACCACCACACCTGGCTAATTTGTGTATTTTTTGTAGTGATAGGATGTCGCCATGTTGCCCAGACTGCTCTCGAACTCCTCACTTTGGGCAATCCTCTCTCCTCAGCCCTCCAAAGTGTTGGGATTACAGGCGTGAGCCACTGTGCCTGGCCATGTCTGTTTTAAATGTAGCAGCTGGGGCCAGGCGCAGTGGCTCACGCCTGTAATCCCAGCACTTTAGGAGGCCGAGGCGGGTGGATCACGAGGTCAGGAGATCGAGACCATCCTGGCTAACACGGTGAAACCCCGTCTCTACTAAAAGTACCAAAAATTAGCCGGGCACGGTGGCAGGCACCTGTAGTTCCAGCTACTCGGGAGGCTGAGGCAGGAGAATGGTGTGAACTGGGGAGGCGGAGCTTGCAGTGAGCCAAGATCACGCCACTGCATTCCAGCCTGGGTGACGGAGCGAGACTCCATCTCAAAAAAAAAAAAAGAAAAAAAAGTAGCAGCTGGGAATCTCATTTCATAAACTCAGATGTGTGAGGAATGAAACTCCATTTTCCAACAGCTGAATTTAATTTCTGTTTTGAGTCTCCATCCCACGAGGAAGCAGAAATGGAATCTCATTCAGCCCAGTTTCCTCGGTAAATTCCGAAATTCCCCTCCTTATGTCTGGGGTTATTTCTACATTTGAGCGGACAGGACGGGAGCTGCGGGATCCACCACCAGGAGTGGGTTCAGTGAGTGCTTTTGGTTGCAAGTAACAGACAGCAGGACTAAAAGTGGGGCCAGAAAGTGGCTTACACCAGGAGTTATCCAGCACGCAGCAATCCCGCTCCTGGGGGACTTTTCTCCTTTGAGAAACTTGCACGTGGGGGTGTGGTATCTTCTCAAAGAATAGCATATAGCTGGGAAAAGGGGACAAACCGCAGCTGTCTGCATGATGTCTGCAGAGGCAGCCTGCAGGTCCTTGAGTGCCCCTGCTCATTAGCTGTTTCTGTACCCAAGTGCATAGGCTACGCACTGTGACTGATGTGGATCTATTTGCCCCTCGCTACAAAAGGGTCTCAAGTCTTGTCCTTCAGTGTGTGGGACCCATCGTGTTACCAATGGGGCTTGGGGACTGAGGCTCAAGACTGCTTGCTGGGAAATGTAACCCCTTTGTTCTGGACAGGTAGAAGGAGAGGAGAATGGTCATCCAGGCCTAATGTAAAGTTTCTGCAACCCAACCCAATTCCCAGACTCATTTTGGTCATGATCAATACAGGGGTCAACAAAATTTTCTGTAAAGGGCGAGCTAGTAAATAGATTTGCTGTGTGTACTATGCTGTCTCTGTTGCAACCAACTCGGCCATTGTAACCTTGACAACATGCAAATGATGGGCGTGACTGCATGCCAATAAAACTTTATTTAGAAAATCAAGCGGATATATTCAAACAAACCCTTGGACGTGTTCAGAATAGCGCTATTCACAATAGCCAAAAGGTGGAAACAACTCAAGTGTCCACCAACAAATGAATGGATAAACACAACATGTTGTCTATTCATACAATGAATATGATTCAGCCATAAAAAGGAAGGAAGTGGCCGGGCGCGGTGGCTCACGCCTGTAATCCTAGCACTTTGGGAGGCTGAGGCGAGTGGATCACCTGAGGTCAGGAGTTCAAGACCAGCCTGGCCAACATGGTGAAACCCTGTCTGTACTAAAAATACAAAATTAGCCGGGCATGGTGGCAAGTGCTTGTAATCCCGGCTACTCGGGAGGCTGAGGCTGGAGAATCATTTGAACCTGGGAGGCAGAGGTTACAGTGAGCCGAGATCCTGCCATTGCACTCCAGCCTGGGTGAGAAGAGTGAAACTCCATCTCAAAAAAAAAAAAAAAAAAAGGAAGGAAACCCCGTCTCTACTAAAAATACAAAAAATTAGCCGGGCATGGTGGTGGGCGCCTGTAGTCCCAGCTACTCGGGAGGCTGAGGCAGGAGAATGGCGTGAACCCAGGAGGCAGAGCTTGCAGAGAGCCGAGATCGCGCCACTGCACTGCAGCCTGGGCGACAGAGCAAGACTCCGTCTCAACAACAACAGCAATAATAGAAGCTGGCCCAAACCCACCAAAACCAAGATGGCGACAAGAGTGACCTCTGGTCATCCTCACTGCTACACTCCCCCCATCACCATGACAGTTTACAAATACCATGGCAACATCAGGAAGTTACCCTATTTGGTCTAAAAACGCAAGGCATGAATAATCTACCCTTCCTTTAGCATATCATCAAGAAATAACCATAACAATGGGCAACCAGCAGCCTTGGGGCTGCTCTGTCTATGGAGTAGCCATTCTTTTTTTTTTTTTTTTTTTTTGAGATGGAGTCTTGCTCTGTCACCCAGGCCGGAGTGCAGTGGCGCGGTTTCGGCTCACTGCAAGCTCCACCTCCCGGGTTTCATGGGCGTCCATGTGAAGAAAAAGGAGCATCTATACAGGAGCTCAAATGGGCTGTACCCTGTAGCATTCTGAGGACAGGTCTGACTTCTGAGAAGGGAAAGTGGTAAAAGTATTGTCCGTCCTTTTTAAGTTGGTGGCTGAGCTTGGTGAGGTGTGTTTTTAAAAGACCTTTAGTCCGTTCTACTTTTCCTGAAGATGGAGGACTGTAAGGGATATAAAGATTTCACTGAATACCAAGAGCCTGAAAAACTGCTTGGCTGATTTGACTAATAAAGGCTGGTCTGTTATCAGACTGTATAGAGGTGGGAAGGCTAAACTGAGGAATTATGTCTGACAGAGGGGAAGAAATGACAGCGGTGGCCTTCTCAGACCCTGTAGGAAAGGCCTCTACCTATCCAGTGAAAGTGTCTACCTAGACTAAGAGGTATTTTAGTTATCTGACTCGGGGCATGTTGAGTAAAGCTAATTTGCCAGTCCTGAGTGGGGCAAATCCTCGAGCTTGATGTGTAGGGAAGCGAGGGGGCCTGAATAATCCCTGAGGAGTAGTAGAATAGCAGATGGAACACTGAGAAGTGATTTCCTTGAGGACAGATTTCCACGATGGAAAGGAAATGAGAGATTCTAAGAGGCGGACTAGTGGCTTGTACTATAGCATAGCCTGCCTTTGCTGGTGTGTGGCGATTAGGCCTGGTGGAACTGCCATCAATAAATCAAGCGTGATCAGGGTGAGGAAAAGGAAAGAAGGAAATATCGGGAAATGGGGTGAATGTCAGGTGGATCAGAGAGATACAGTCATGGAGGTCAGGTGTGGTATCAGGAATAATGTGGGAGGCCAGATTGAAGTCCGGGCCAGGAACAATGGTAATTGTGGGACTTAACAAAGAGTGAGTACAGCTGAAGGAGCCGGGGAGCAGAAAGCATATGCGTCAGGTATGAGGAAGCAAATAGATTTTGGAAGTTATGAGAAATGTAGAGAGTGAGTTAAGTATAGTTTGTGATTTTTAGGGCCTCTAAATGTATTAAAGCAGTGGCAGCCGCTGCACGCAGACATGAGGGCTAGGCTAAAACAGTAAGGTCAAGTTGTTTGGACAGAAACGCTACAGGGTGCGGTCCTGGCTCTTGTGTAAGAATTCTGACTGCACTAACCATGCCTAGGAAGGAAAGTTGTTGTTTTGTAAGGGATTGAGGTTTGGGAGATTAATCAGACACGATCAGCAGGGAGAGCACGTGTGTTTTTATGAGAATTATGCCGAGATAGGTAACAGATGAGGATGAAATTTGGGCTTGATTGAAGTAATGGGGGCTGTCTGTGAAGCCTTGCGGCAGTACAGCCTAGGTAATTTGCTGAGCCTAATGGGTGTCAGGGTCAGTCCAAGTGAGAGCGAAGAGAGGCTGGGATTAAGGGTGCAAAGGAATAGTAAAGAAAGCATGTTTGAGATCCAGAACAGAATAATGGGTTGTAGAGGGAGGTATTGAGGATAGGAGAGTATATGGGTTTGGCACCACGGGGTGGATAGGCAAAACAATTTGGTTGATAAGGCGCAGATCCTGAACTAACCTGTAAGCATCGTCTGGTTTTAGGACAGGTAAAATGAGGGAATGGTAAGGAGGGTTTATAGGCTTTAAAAGGCCATGCTGTAACAGGAGAATGATAACAGGTTTTAATCCTTTCAAAGTGTGCTGTGGGATGGGATATTGGCATTGATCGGGGTAAGGGTGATTAGGTTTTAATGGGATGGTAAGGGGTGCATGATCGGTCGCTAAGGAGGGAGTAGAGGTGTCTTATACTTGTGGGTTAAGGTGGGGAGATACAAGGGGAGGATGTGAAGGAGGCTTTGAACTGGGGGAAAAGGTGGCAATGTGGTGTGGCTGTCACCTAGGAATAGTCAGGGAAGCAGATAATTTAGTTAAAGTGTCTCGGCCTAATAAGGGAACTGAGCAGGTGGGGATAACTAAAAAGGAGTGCATAAAAGAGTATTGTCTTAAGTTGGCACCAGAGTCGGGGAGTTTTAAGGGGTTTAGAAGCTTGGCCATCAATACCCACAACAGTTATGGAGGCAAGGGAAACAGGCCCTTGAAAAGAAGGTAATGTGGAGTGAGTAGCCTCCATATTGATTAAGAAGGGGATGGGCTTACCCTCCACAGTGAGAGTTACCTGAAGCTCGGTGTCCGTGATGGTCTAGGGGGCTTCCGAGGTGATCGGGCAGTGTCAGTCTTCAGCCACTAAGCCGAGAAGATCTGGGAAGGAGTCAGAGAGCCTTGGGCCAGAGTTCCAGGGGCTCTGGGAGTGACTGCCAGGTGAGTTGAACAGTCCGATTTTCAGTGGGGTCCCACACAGATGGGATACGGCTTAGGAGGAATCCTGGGCTGCGGGCATTCCTTGGCCCAGTGGCCAGATTTCCGGCACTTGTAGCAAGCTCCTGGTGGAGGAGGTTCTGGAGGAATCCCTGGCCACTGCGGTTCAGGCGTTTGGAGTTCTTTTGTGCTGGAGATGTGGCTGGGGTTTGTCTCACAGTGGAGGCAAGGAACTGCAGCTCAGAAATACATTGCTACTTGGCTGCCTCTACTTTATTATTGTACACCTTGAAGGTGAGGTTAATTAAGTCCTGTTGTGGGGTTTGAGGGCCGGAGTTTAATTTTTGGGGTTTTATTTAATGTCAGGAGTGGATTGGGTAATAAAATGTATATTGAGAATAAGACAGCCTTTTGACCTCTTAGGGTTTGGGGCTGTAAAGCGTCTCAGGGTTGCTGCCGAACGAGCCACGAACTGGGCTGGGTTTTTCATGTTTGATGAAAGAGTCTAAATGCTAACTGATTTGGGAGAGGTCGGATAAAGAAAAAGGAGCATTAACCTTGACTATGCCTTTAGCTTCAGCCACCTTTTTAAGAGGAAATTGCTGGGCAGGTGGGGGAGGGCTAGTCACGGAATGAAACTATAAACTGGACCGGGTGTGAGGAGGGGAGGTGATAAAAAGATTACAAGGTGGAGGAGCGGAGGCTGAGGAAGAATTGGGACCTAGCTCGGCCTGGTGAGCAGCAGCCTGGGGAGGAGGGGAGAGGTCAGATGGGTCTGTAGAAAAGGAAGATTAGAAAGACTCAGGGACGCTTGGGGATGGGACTGAGGGGACAGGAGAGACGGAAAGAAGGAAGACTTGGGACGAGTTGCACTGGGCACAGAGACTAGGGAGGGACCGATGTGTAAAAGAATGCCTGGACGTCAGGCACCTCAGACTGTTTGCCTATTTTACGACAAGAATTATTTAGATCTTGCAGGATGGAAAAATTGAAAGTGCCGTTTTCTGGCTATTTGGAACCACTGTTGAGTTTGTATTGGGGTCAAGCAGCATTGCAGAAGAAAACAAGGCATTTAGGTTTTAGGTCAGGTGTGAGTCAAAGAGGTTTTAAGTTCTTGAGAGCACAGGCTAAGGGAGATGGAGGAGTGGAGCATGGAAGGTTGCCTATAGTGAAGGAGGCAAGCCCAGAGAAAAGAGAGAGTAGAGACACAGAGGGAAGGGGTTTGGGGGTTCTTACCTTCCAGAAAAGCCAGAAAGGGGTCAGGGTGCAAAAATAAGGGGTTGGGGCACAGAGATAAGAGGTCAGGGCACGGAAATAAGGGATGGGGCGCAGAGATAAGAGGTCGGGGCATGGAAATAAGGGATCGAGGCACAGAGATAAGAGGTTGGGGCATGGAAATAAGGGATTGGGGATTCTTGCCCCTTAGAAAAGCGGGACTTGCCGCTAAGGGTGAAGGACCAAGGCAAGCATCCCTGCATGGTCTGACACCTCTGAAATGTGGGTGAATAATCAGAGAGGCGTTCTTGCAATGATTAAACACCAAGGGAAGGCTGCCTTCCTAGTCCGTGACCGGTGCCAGAGTTTTGGGTCCACAGATAAAACATGTCTCCTTTGTCTTTACCAGAAAATGAAAGGAATTGAAATTAAGAGAAGGGAGAGATTGAAGTGTGGCGCCAATATTGAAAGGAGAAAGAGGTTGAGGGATAGTGAGGGAGGTTGGAGAAGAGAGTGAAAATAGGCCGCTTACTGGATTTGAAATTGGTGAGATGTTTCTTGGGCTGGTCGGTCTGAGGACCCGAGGTCGTAGGTGGATCTTTCTTATGGAACAAAGAACAGGAGGACAGGGGATTGATCTCCCAAGGAAGGTCCCCCGATCTGAGTCACGGCACCAAATTTCATGCGTGTCTGTGTGAAGAGACCACCAAACAGGCTTTGTGTGAGCAATAAAGCTTTTAATCACCTGGGTGCAGGTGGGCTGAGTCTGAAAAGAGAGTCCTTGAAGGGAGATAAGGGTGGGGCCATTTTATAGGATTTGGGTAGATAAAGGAAAATTACAGTCAAAGGGGGGTTGTTCTCTGGCGGGCAGAGTGGGGGTCACAAGGTGCTCAGTAGGGGAGCTTTTGAGCCAGGATGAGCCAGGAGAAGGAATTTCACAAGACAATGTCATCAGTTAAGGCAGGAACCGGCCATCTGGATGTGTACATGCAGGTCACAGGGGATATGATGGCTTAGCTTGGGCTCAGAGGCCTGACACTGGGTTCATGCCATTCTCCTGCCTCAGCCTCCCGAGTAGCTGGGACTACAGGCGCTCACCACCATGCCCAGCTAATTTTTTGTATTTTCAGTAGAGACAGGGTTTCACCGTGTTAGCCAGGATGGTCTCAGTCTCCTGACCTCGTGATCCACCCACCTTGGCTTCCCAAAGTGCTAGGATTATAGGCGTGAGCCACTGTGTCTGGCCTGGAGTAGCCATTCTTTATTCCTTTACTTTCCTAATAAACTTGCTTTCACTTACTCTATGGACTCACCCTGACTTCTTTCTTTTTTTTTTTTTTTTTTTTTTGAGACAGAGTCTGGCTCTGTTGCCCAGGCTGGAGCTCAGTGGCGCAATCTCGGCTCACTGCAAGCTCTGCCTCCTGGGTTCATGCCATTCTCCTGCCTCAGCCTCCCGAGTAGCTGGGACTACAGGTGCCCGCCACTACACCCGGCTAATTTTTTTGTATTTTTAGCAGAGACGGGGTTTCACTGCGTTAGCCAGGATGGTCTCAATCTCCTGACCTCGTGATCCGCCCACCTCAGCCTCCCAAAGTGCTGGGATTACAGGCGTGAGCCACCGCGCCCGGCCTCCCTGACTTCTTTCTTGCACAAGATCCAAGAACCCTCTCTTGGGGTCTTGATCAGGACCCCTTTCCGGGAACACATAGAGACAGGAAGCAGATTGGTGGTGCCAGGGGCTGGGGGAGAGGGAGTGGAGAGTGACTGCTGATAGAAACGAGATCTCCTTTTAGGGGGATGAAAATGTTCTGGAAATTGATAAAGGTGATGGTCGTGTGACATTGCAAATGTGCTAAATTCCACCAAATTGGACATTTTAATCTGGTTAATTTTATGTTGTCTGATTCTTACCTCAATTTAAAAATTTTTTTTTCCAGATTCCGTGTTCAGCCAAATAATTTTTGGGGTTTTGTTTGTTTGTTTTATTTGTTTGCTTGTTTTAAGAGGGAGACTCGCTCTATCGCCCAGGCTGGAGCACAGTGGCACGATCTCCGCTCACCACAACCTCTGCCTCCTGGGTTCAAGTGATTCTCCTGCCTCACCCTCCTGAGTACCTGTGATTACAGGTGTGTGCCACCACGCCCGACTAATTTTTGTATTTTTATTAGAGGCAGGGTTGCACCATGTTGGTCAGGCTGGTCTCGAACTCCTGACCTCAGGTGAGTCCCAAAGTGCTGGGATTACAGGCATGAGCCACGGTGCCCAGCCCTGCCAAATTTTTTTTAAAACAAGTCAGATTTGAGGCCAGGAGTGGTGGCTCACGCCCGTAATCCCAGCACTTTAAGAGGCCGGGGCGGGTGGATCACCTGAGGTCAGGAGTTCGAGACCAGCCTGGACAACATGGTGAAACCCCATCTTTACTAAAAATACAAAAATTAGCCGGGCATGGTGGCACACACCTGTAATCCCAGCTACTCCAGAGGCTAGGCAGGAGAATCGCTTGAATGCGGGAGGCAGAGGTTGCAGTGAGCCAAGATCGCGCCATTGCACTCCAGCCTGGGCGACAAGAGTGAAACTCCGTTTCAAAAAAAAAAAAAAGTCAGATGTCAGATTTGGCCCTCATCCAGTTTGCTAATCCCTAACCTGACCTCATTGTTCTTCAACTTATTCGCCTGCATCTCCTCACTTCTCTCAACCTCAGACTAAACTCTCACACTATTCTCACGCCCATCACTATCCTTCCACTGTCACCTGAAACACCCCCACCCCAATCACTGTCCCTCTCATCCTAACCCCATTTGGCTCTTGCCTTCTTCTCCCACCACCAGCCATCCTGGCAGAACCACCCGGGAACTTCAAAAAGAGGCATATTCCATTTCCTGGAGGGCATAACACAATTATGTCGTTGATGATCTGTCTGAGATTACATTTCATTATATAATTGATTATATTGCATGATAATTACTCTGCTCCAAATCCTGCAATTACATGTAATAGTGACGATGATTATGCATCCTACAGTTACACCGTCGTCCCTATCATCATTGTAACCTACGCTAATAAGCCATCCATGGCAGGTTGACATCAGCATCCGCCCCTGTCCCACCCCATTCCAAAGCCCCAGCTACACAGGCAGATCTCCCTGTGGCTGGGCAGACTCAGGGTGTCTGCCCAAGTTCACCTGCCAGATGCACCTCTGGGAGTCTGGAAAACAAAAGGGACTTGAGTCGTCTTGGTTTTCCTTCCCCTTCACTCTGCCAGCAGCCAGATGTGGAAACAGTTGAGGTTTTAGCATTCCTCTGTTCAGTGACAACCTCGGGGCGCTTTGGAAAGCCACTTCTTCAAGGTCATCTCTGTAGGACCAGACTCAGTCCTGATCCTTTGTACCCAGAGATGGCAAACTTCAGCCCCCAGGCCAAATCTGACTCCACACTGGTTTTTGCAAATAAAGTTTTATTGGCACACAGCCAAGCTCATTCATTTATGTATTGCCTGTGGTTGTTTTTCAGGCTGCAATGGCAGCATGGAGTCATTGTCAATTTCCTATATGAAACCCCTTTCTGTTAAAAGACCTCAAGTGATTTCTGTTTTCCCACCTTGATCCATGACTGATACACTGTACTATGATACATAACTATGTATCATATGACTGACACATCCATAGAGCAAGACACAATCTCAGCCTCTCCAAAGGATACTGTAGCAATAGGCTAAATAATGTCCCCCGAGAGATATCCACATCTATTGCTCAGAACCTGTGGATGTTACTTTATTTATTTGAGACGGAGTTTCACTCTTGTTGCCCAGGCTGGAGTGCAGTGGCGCGATCTCAGCTTACTGCAACCTCCACTTCCTGGGTGCAAGCGATTCTCCTGCCTCGGCCTCCTAAGTAGCTGGGATTATAGGCGCCTGCCACCATACCCAGCTAATTTTTATATTTTTAGTAGAGATGGTGTTTTACCATGTTGGCCAGGCTGGTCTTGAACTCCTGACCTCAGGTGTTCCACCCACCTCAGCCTCCCAAAGTGCTGGGATTACAGGCATGAGCTACTGCACCTGGCCCTATGGATGTTACTTTAAATGGCAAAAGGAATTTTGTAGATGCAGATGTGATTTTTCTTTTCTTTTCTTTTCTTTTTTTTTTTTTTTGGCAAGATCTTGCCCTGCTGCCCAGGCTGGAGTGCAGAGGTGCAATCATAGCTCACTGCAGCCTCAAACTCCTGGGCTCAAGCAATCCTACTGCACACCACAGCCTCTTTCACAGCTGGGACTACAGGCACGTGCCACCATGCCCAGCCCTGCAGATATGATTAAGTCAAGGATTTTGAGATTATGGCAAGATTATCCTGGATCATCTGAATGGGCTCTAAATGTAATCACAAATGTCCTTAGAAGAGGGAGACAAGAGGTTAGGTGAATACATAGCATTGAAAGGATTGGAGTGACTTGGAGTGACACAAGAAGGGACCACAAGCAAAGGATACCAGTGGGGCTTTTCGGCCAGAACCGCCATCTTCCAGTAATTTGCCAAGATGACAAACACAAAGGAAAAGAGGAGAGGCACCCGATATATGTTCTCTAGGCTTTTTTAGAAAACATGAAGTTGTTCCTTTGGCCACGTATATGTGAATCTATAAGAAAGGTGATATTGTAGACATCAAGAGAAGGTACTGTTCAAAAAGAAATGCTCCACAAGTGTTAACATGGCAAAACTGGAAGAATCTACAGTGTTCCCCAGCATGCTGTTGGCATTGTTGTAAACAAACGAGGGCAAGATCCTTGCCAAGAGAATTGATGTGTGTATTGAGCATATTAAGCACTCTAAGAACTGAGATAGCTTCCTGAAATGCATGAAGGAAAATGATCAGAAAAAGAAAGAAGCCAAAGAGAAAGGTGCCTGGGTTCAACTGAAGCGCCAGCCTGCTCCACCCAGAGAAGCACACTGTGTGAAAACCAGTGGGAAGGAGCCTTAGCTGCTGGAACCTCTTCCCTATGAATTCATGACATAATAGGTGTTAACAAAAAAATAAAAGGCCAGGCAGGGTGGCTCACATCTGTAAGCCCAGCACTTTGGGAGGCCGAGGCAGGCAGATCACAAGGTCAGGAGGTTGAGACCAGCCTGACCAATATGGTGACACCCCGTCTCTACTAAAAGTACAGAAATGAGCCGGGCATGGTGGCAGGTGCCTGTAGTCTCAGCTACTCGGGAGGCTGAGGCAGAAGCATTGCTTGAACCCGGGAGGCGGAGGTTGTAGTGAGCCGAGATCACGTCACTGCACTCCAGCCTGGGCGACACAGCGAGACTCCGTCTCAAAAAAATAAAATAAAATAAAATAAAATGCCTCTGGAGTATGAAAATGTTTCTCTTCATTGAGCAGAAGTGTGGTGTTCTCTCCACCAAAGAAATATTTAAAGCAAATTTTAATTATGTCCTAATTCATTGTGTAATGTCTTCACTATTCAAATTTAATGTATTTCTTGCTGAAAGACTTGAGGTAGCTTATTATGCAACAAATTACTCAATTGGTTAGAAATTGGCCAGGTATTATCTATGAAATATTTGTACTGGTTTGAAGATAGTCCCTCTAAGTCATCAATGAAAAAATAAAATAATTTACAAAAATAAATGGAATGTAATCTACTCCATTACAGTTAAGCTCAGGATCCAGAGTTTGCTTTTGAATTCTAAAAAAAAAAATTGTTTAAAGCATAAAAAAAAAGATGCCAGTGGGGATGGGGCATGGTGGTTCATGCCTGTAATCCCAGCACTTTGGGAGGCCAAGGCAGGAAAATCACCTGAAGTCAGGCGTTCAAGACCGGCCTGGCCAAAATGGTGAAACCCCCTCCCTATCAAAAATACAAAAATTAGCTGGGCATGGTGGTGGGCGCCTGTAATCCCAGCTACTCGGGAGGCTGAGGCATGACAATCACTTGAACCTGGGAAGCAGAGGTTGCTGTGAGCTGAGATCGTGCCACTGCACTCCAGCCAGGGTGACAGAGCTGGACTTAGTCTCAAAAAAATTAAAAAAAAACAAAAAAGATGCCAGTGGGTTTCAGAAGCCAGAAAAGACAAAGAGAAGGATTCCCCCCTAGATCCTCCAGAAGAAACCAACCCTGCTGACTTGAATTTATTTTTACTTATTTATTTATTTTTAGAGATGGGGGTCTCACTATGTTACCCAGGCTGATCTTGAACTCCTGGGCTCAAACGATTCTCCTGCCTCGGCCTCCCGAGTAGCTGGGATTACAGGGTAGCTGGGATTACAGGTGTGTGCCACTGCACCCAGCTTGATTTTTTTTTTTTTTTTTTTTTGAGACAGAGTCTTGCTCTGTTGCCCAGGCTGGAGTGCAATGGCCCCTATCTCAGCTCACTGCCACCTCCGCCTCCCGGGTTCTCCTCAATTCTCCTGCCTCAGCCTCCCAAGTAGCTGGGACTACAGGTGTGTGCCACCATGCCCAGCTAATTTTTGTATTTTTAGTAGAGATGGGATTTCCCCATATTGGCCAGGCTGGTCTCGAACTGCTGACCTCAAGTGACCCACCCACCTCAGCCTTCCAAAGTGCTGGGATTATAGGCGTGAGCAACCGCACCCAGCCTCAGCTTGATTTGACATTAGCCCAGTGAAACTGATTTCAGAATTCTGGCCTTCAAAACCATACAAGAATACATTGATGTTGTTTTAAGCGACTAAGTTTGTGGAAATGTGTTAGAGTAGCAATAGGGAACTAATAGCCAATAGACCAACTGAAGGGTGTCCCCATGAATAAGAATCACTTTACAATTAAAAATAGCATTCATAAAATAAAGGTGCCAGGTGCAGTGGCTCATGCCTGTAATTCCAGCATTTTGATAAGCTGAGCGGGGAGGATTGCTGCAGCCCAGGAGCTCGAGACCAGGATGGGCAACATAGCAAGACCGTCATCTCTACAAAAAATAAAAAATTAGCTGGGCATAGTGGCTCATGTCTGTAGTCCTGGCTACTTAGGAGGCTGAGGTGGGAAGATCACTTAAGCCTGGGAGCTTGAGGCTGCAGTGAACCATGATTGCACCATTGGACTCCAGCCTAGGCAACAGAACGAGACCCTGTCTCAGAAAATAGTAATAATAAAATTTTTACAAAGACAAGAAAAGTATACATTGTGTGTGTGTGTATTTAGAAAGTTCCAGAAGGAAGGATGAGGTTCTCCTGAAGGTGCAGAGGTCAAAAGCAACACCAGAGTTACATAACTGTTTGGGGGCCTTCAAAATAAAATTTAATTCCCAGGCATCACCTCCAAGTTCTTTTTTTTTTTTTTTTAGATGGAGTTTTGCGCCCAGGCTGGAGTGCAATGGCACGATCTCGGCTCACTGCAACCTCTGCCTCCCCAGTTCAAGCGATTCTCCTGTCTCGGCCTCCTAAGTAGCTGGGATTACAGGCATGCGTCACCACGCCCAGCTAATTTTTTTGTATTTTTAGTAGAGACAGGGTTTTGCCATGTTGGTCAGGCTGGTCTCGAACTCCTGACCTCAGGTGATCCTCCCGCCTCGGCCTCCCAAATTGCTGGGATTACAGGTGTGAGCCACTGCACCCAGCTACCTCCAAGTTCTAATCCTTTAGTCTGTGAGCAGAGCCTGCGAATCTATGCTTTATTCAGATAAATTTCATAGTAAAGGAAGCTTCACTTCGTACCACAGAGAAGATCCTTCTAAAGACTCATGTCCCCAAGAGGCTGAAAGGAATTGGGTACAGGGATTCTTTTTTTATTTTTATTTTTTCGAGACAGGGTCTCGCTCTGTAGCCCAGGCTGGAGTGCAGTGGTACAATCACTGCTCACTGTAGCCTCAACCTCGTAGGCTCCAGCAATCCTCCCATTTCAGCCTCCCGAGGCTGGGGGGCACAGACACGTGACAACACACATGGCTAAGTGTTTCTATTTTTTTGTAGAGACAGGGTTTTGCCCAGGCTGGTCTCAAACTCCTAGGGTCAAGTGATCTGCCTGCCTCAACCTCCCAAAGTGCTGGGATTACAAGCACGAGCCACCATACCTGGCCGGGTACAGGAATTCTTAGTCTCAGCACTATGAACATTCTGGACTGGAACGTTCTGTATGGTGGGGCGTCCTGGCCATTGTAGGATATTTAGCTGCATCCTCCTGCATAGGATGTACAATGTAGGATGGTGTTAGCATTGTAGGATGTTTAGGGGACATTGCCAAATGTCCCCTGAAGAACAAAATTACTCCTGGTTGAGCCTCACTGGGTTAAATAAGATTTAGAAACTTCCCTGCAAAGCATGAGAAAAAAATCTTTCACAGAAGGGGCTGGGTGCGGTGGCTCATGCCTGTAATCCCAGCACTTTGGGAGGCCGAAGCGGGAGGACCACCTGAGGTCAGAAGTTTGAGACCAGCCTGGCCAACATGGTGAAACCCTGTTTCTACTAAAAGTACAAAAACTAGCCGGGCATTGTGGCAGGCGTCTGTAATCCCAGCTACTAGGGAGGCTGAGGCAGGAAAATTGTTTGAACCCAGGGTGGGGGCGGAGGTTGCAGTGAGCCAAGATCATGCCACTACACTCCAGCCTGGGCGACAGAGTGAGACTCTGCCTCAAAGAAAAAAAAATGTTTCACAGAAGGGACTGTTTAATAAACATGGATAATTCACTCTGGCCAATAGATGATGAATAGTTAGGATTCAATAAGAAAAAGGAATATGATAGCCTCTACTGAAACCTGAAGTGCACATCCAGGTTAATCCAGGAATCCCACCTGTCTCAATTTACCCAACTGAAATTTTAAAATCCAGTAGGAAGCCAGGTGCAGTGGCTCACGCCTGCAATCCCAGCACTTTGGGAGCCAAGGCGGGTGGATCACTTGTAGTCAGGAGTTCAAGACCAGCCTGGCCAACATGGTGAAACCCCATCTCTACTAAAAATACAAAAATTCTCCAGGTGTGGTGCGGGCGCCTGTAATCTATTACTCAGGAGGCTGAGGCAGGAGAATTGCTTGAACCCAGGAGGCGGAGGTTGCAGTGAGTCAAGATCGTATCACTGCTCTCCAGCCTGGGTGACAGAGTGTGACTCCGTCTCAAAAAGCAAAACAAAACAAACAAAAAAACACAAAAAAACAAAAAATCCAGTAGGAAAGATGTATTGTATAATGCTATCCACTGCAGGAAACAGCAGGGAATATTTTCCATAACAATCCAAAAAGAGCTCGTAGATGTTAACCCTATTTTGGAAAGGAGGTCCACAATAGTTGTTAAATTTAAAAATAAAAGTTGTTTTTTAAAAAATAGGTACAGTTTGATCCCATGCTTAGAAAATAAAAGTGCATTCCACGAAAAATAAAACGGCAAGTTGCAGTAGCTTAGGTAACATGGTCCTCCTTTTTTAAAAAATGCATATATATTTACACCATGCAAATAAGGAAGGCTGGAAAGTTTTTGAAAATGTTAGTTGTGTCTGAAAAGGTGTGATTTAATTTTTGCTTTGTCAATTTGCTTAGCTGTAAGTTCTGATTTTTTCCACACTGATTGAACACCATCAGTGTTAGGGTTTTTTGTTGTTGTTTGTTTTTTGTTTTTTGAGACAAGAGTGTTGCTCTGTCGCCCAGGCTGGAGTGCAGTGGCGTGATCTCGGCTCACTACAACCTCCGCCTCCCAGGTTCAAGTGATTCTTCTGCCTCAGCCTCCAAGTAGCTGGGACTACAGGCGCTCACCACCATGCCCAGCTAATTTTTCTGTATTTTTAGTAGAGACGGGGTTTCACCATATTGGCCAGGCTGGTCTCGAACTCCTGACCTCATGATCCACCAGCCTCGGCCTCCCAAAGTGCTGGGATTACAGGTGTGAGCCACCGCGCCTGGCCCCTGTGTTAGTTTATAAAAGTCTCGGGTATATTCTTGCACACCCTAAAGGTGTAATAATCCAGAGGATTTGTAAGCATTTGACCCAGAAAATCCAAATGCAACTGGGCATGTTGTAATGTCCAGCCCCCTCTCCCTGGGGTGGGACCACTCTTTCCCTTCTTGTCTCACTTCCCTACTGCTCCACAGCAAGTTCCTGGGGTCACTGATAACGTAAGTGCCCTTCAATCCTCATCTTGGAGTCTGTTTCAGGGGACCCAAACCATGACAGCCCCTCCTCATTTGAAGTCATCTGCGACGATCCTGTGGTTGATCCAAGATAGAATGAAGTTGGCCACCTGTCCCTGGGCTATTTCAGGGAAGTTTTCTGGTTTTGTTTTATAGAAACAGGGTCTTGCTCTGTTGCCCAGGCTGGAGTGCAGTGGTGTGATCATGGTTCACTGCAGCCTCAACCTCCTAGACTCAAGAGATACTCCTGCTTCAGCCTCCTGAGTAGCCAGATTACAGGTGTGCCCTACCATGCCCAACTAATTTCTCAATTTTTTTTGTAGAGACGAGGGTCTCACTCTGTTGCCCAAGCTGGTCTTGAGCTCCTGACCTCAAGCAATCCTCTCACCTCCTCAACCTCCCAAAGCATTGGGATTATAGGAGTGAGCCACCTCACCCAGCCTAATCCTTTTTTTTTTTTGAGATGGAGTCTCATTCTGTTGCCCAGGCTGGAGTGCAGTGGCAAGATTTCAGCTCACTGCAACCTCCACCTCCTGCGTTCAAGCGATTCTCCTGCCTCAGCCTCCCAAGTAGCTGGGACTACTGTCACACACCACCATGCCTGGCTGCTTTTTGCATTTTTAGTAGAGACGGGATTTCATCTTATTGATCAGGCTGGTCTCGAACTCCTGACCTCAGGTGATCCACCCACCTTGGCCTCCCAAAGTGCTGGGATTACAGGCGTGAACCACCATGCCCAGCCCTAATCCTCATGTTGAGGTCTGTTTTAGGGGGACTCAAAGCACGACAGCCCCTCTTTATTCGAAGTCATGTGGAAGGATCCTGAAGTTGACTCAAGACAGAGCTGTCGGTCCCCCGCCTGTTTGGGGGAAGTTTTATGGCATGAGGGGACACAGGGCTCTTACCACACCCTCACCCCACAGTAGCTCCACTGGCCAGCTTTTTTTTTTTTTTTTTGGTTTGATTGTGTCTTGCTCTGCCGCCCAGGCTGGAGGGCAGTGGCTCAATCTTGGGTCACTGCAACCTCCACCTCCCAGGTTCAAGCGATTCTCCTGCCTCAGCCTCCCAAGTAGCGAGGATTACAGGTACCCCCCCCCCGCCACCCCGCCCCACTACACTAGGCTAATTTTTGTACTTTTAATAGAGAGGGGGTTTCACCATGTTGGCCAGGCTGGTCTTGAATTCCTGACCTCAAGTGATCCGCCCACCTTAGCCTCCCAAAGCACCGGGATTACAGGCATGAGCCACCATGCCAGGCCCCACTGGGCAGCTTCCCTACTGCACCTGCCCTGGTTTCCTCCCAAATCTTGTCGGCCATCCAGGGGTGGGGAACGTGGGCAGTGTTTTGGTGCCGAGCAAAATCCCACAAACTGCTGTGAAAACCAACCAGGAACATTTATTAAAAAACTAAGCAAGTTATCCCCAAGAGGGTGAAGCACCGCTGGCTGGTTCTGACATTCGATTCAGGCTGAAGGCACGGCAACTCCTCCAGCCCTTGCTGGGAAATGTCCTACCCAGGCCACGGGCAGTGCCCCAGTGCAGCTGGGTCCCCTAAAAGCCCCCAAACACATGATCCCACCAAAGGCTTGAACAGAGCAACTTCATCAAGCAGGCAGGGACCACACCTGAGACACAAGGGCAAGGAGGTAAAGCACAGGGGACCGGGAGTGGGCCAGGGACACCCAGCCCCCGTCTCCAACTGGCGCCCCCTCCAGGGGGGCTAACATGTGGCGTGGGGCCACCAGGACCTGTGCTTGCCCCTGGTGGCGGAAGAGCTACCCTCCCTCTTGGGTGGTGGGGGGATGTTGTCTGCACACAGCTCAGACGACCGAGGGTACAGGAAGAATCAAACTCAGTCAACCATTCTTCAACCCAACTGGGAGTCTGTGAGGCCTGGCACACAGGTGCTCAATAAACACTTGTGGCATGAAGAAGTGAAGGAACCGATCTTGTTCATCTCTGTGCCCCAGCACTCGGCATGTAGCCCATGATCGAAAATGCAGACTGAACAACTGTCACACTCTTTTGTATCACTAGTGCCCGGCACACAGTCAGTGCTCTTCAGGTGTGTGGGAAAGAAGCCAATGAGTGAGAAGTTCCCACACCGTCTAGCAGTGAGGAAAAAAAGAAAAAAGTAAAAAGTACCTTGTTTACTCCCATTCCCATCCCATAGCTCAGCTCCCTGCACACAGCAGGTGCTCAGTAAGTGTACCGAATCAGGAACTTATCTTTGTGACATGAGTGCCAGGCACACAGTAGGTGACCAATATGTGCTTGAATAAATGGATAGAAGCATCTTATTTATCTCAATATTCCCAGAGCCTGGGCTGGGCACAGTGGCTCATGCCTGTAACCCTAGCACTTTGGGTGGCCAAGGCGGGCAGATCACTTGAGGTCAGGAGTTCGAGACCAGCCTGGCCAACATGGTGAAACCCCGTCTCTACTAAAAATACAAAAACTAGCCAGATGTGATGGCACGCACCTATAGTCCCAGCTACTTGGGAGGCCGAGAAACAAGAATTGCTGGACGCTGGGAGGCGCAGGCTGCAGTGAGCCGTCACACCACTGCACTCCAGCCTGGGTGACAGAGACAGACTCTACTCTTAAAAAAAAAAAAAAAAAAATCCCAGAGCCTGGAATGGCACCCAACACACAGTAGGCACTCAATAAATCCTTGAATGAATTTTAAAAATGAATGTGTATCACTAGTGCCTGATTCTTAATCTGATCAGTAACTGCTTGATGACTGAATCAATCGCTGATGGAGGGAACAATTATGCCTCATTCACTGCCGTAACATGGGAACCTTGCATACAGCAGGTGCTTAATAAATGCTGGGCACATGAACAGATGAAGAGGGCTTGGTTCCTCCCAATTCCCCAGGGCCAAGCCCTGTTGCTGGCATGCAGTAGGCACTCCATTAATGCTGCCTGTGTGCACGTGATTGCTTAGCAAGAGCTGGCTGGACACCACCCCACACGAGAGCCCTCTGTGGCCTGCCAAGGGGTCCAGAGGTGGACCTGATGTCCTCAGTAAGCACGTGGAGCCTGGGCCACCGATGGCTGCTTTGGCTTTCTGGCTGCTACCCCTCAGAGTTCATCCCGGGCAGCACTGTCCAGTGGGGACTGGAGCACGTCCGAGTTCTTGGCCTCACGGCTCAGTGCCTGCTGCTCCCGCATCTTCTGGGACTTGGCGCGGTCCCAGTCGGTCTTGACGTGCTCATTGTTCCATACGACTGAGGTCTCGGTGTCACTCACATAGCCATCGTCTCCTGTGTAGTGTGTGGGGTAGATGAGCAGCGGCTCCACAGAGAAGGCATGCAGGTTGCGGAGGGAGAAGTGGGCCTTGTACTCGGACCTGGGGGGAGGAGGAGGGGAGTGAGGGGCAGCAATGGCTTCAGGGGACGGGACAGCTGGAGGAAAAATTGGGGGTGAAGAAGTCAGCGGGGACAGATTAAAACGTAAGTGTGCAGGGGATACAAATGGAGACAGATCTGCGAGGGGGCAAACGGAGGGAGAAGTAGGCAAAAGAAGAGACATCTTCTCGGAGGCCGTGAGTCTCACATCCCCATTCTCCCAGGACAGACCCACCGTGAAACCCCAGCCCAGCAGCCGCCTGCCCCTCTCACACTGGGTGTTTGTCGAACATGACGGGCAGGAACTCGTCCACAGGCAGCATCTTGGAGAGCGGCTCAGCAGCCAGCAGTTTGCGGGCGCCTTGCAGGGAGATCACGTAGGCCAGGGTCCAGTAGGAATAGTCGG
Organism: Homo sapiens; assembly: GCF_000001405.40. Lineage (NCBI taxonomy): Eukaryota > Metazoa > Chordata > Mammalia > Primates > Hominidae > Homo > Homo sapiens. Next base: position 17,580,772 of record NC_000019.10, on the reverse strand, counting down.
CCTCCACCAGGTTCCTCACGCGAGGCACAGCCTTCTCGGGGTGCTCCACCTGCATCCGCTTCCGGCCCACATAGCTGGGGTGCAAGATCGGGCCTGTCACTCTCCTCCCGCCCTCCGGAGGGAGCTTGCCCAGAAAGCCAGGGATCTAGTTACCCCGTCAGGTCCTGGGATGGGAGCAGGCTCAGCATGTTTGCAGAGCTCTGTGACTGGATGGAGTGAATGCAGGAGCCCAGGGGTCTGGCGGTCATGGGGGAGAAGAGTGAGTTTTTCCAAAGGGCGTGAGGGAGCCATGGAGGATCTGGAGCTGGGGAGAGCAGGATCACGCAGACGTTCTCTGAGGCTGAAGCTGCTCTGAGTTCAGAGGACAGTGGGGGTGGAGGTGGGCGAGGTGCCCTGATGGGGGGGCAGTCAGGAATGGAGGGGTGCAGTTACTATTCACATGGGGCAGTGTTCCCAGAATGCAGATTAGGGCACTGCACATGGAAGGGAAAAAAGAGATGGAGGAAGGGAGAGGACAAACCAGCCCACTTACAGAAGAGAAGGACGGCTCCAGTGCTGGAAACATGTTGGTGGCACTCCCATCCAGGGGCTTGTCTAAGACCAGGCGCCCTGGCCACGCCCCCACACTCTTCGGCCACACCTCCAGCTCTGACCACACCCCCATGCTCTTCAGCCACGCCCACAGGCTGCCCGGTCAAATTTTAGCCACATCCACCTCCACAGGCCTCAGTCAAGTCTCTAAGCCTTGACCAAGCCTGCAGGCTTCCGGCCAGGTCCCTTGAGTTCTGGGTGATCCTTCCAACGCCCTTCCCTATAGGCTACAGCCCTGACAGTGCCTTCAGGCCCAGGAACCACGTGAGCCCTCCTGCTACGCTTCCAAGGGTTGGCCACGCCTGCCACCCTGACCACACCCAGACATACAGGCTCTAGGCTCAGCTGCAGCGCTGTGGCCACGCCCGTAGGATTCAGCTCCACTCCGCCTCCCAGCCCCACCTCTAAGCCCTGGCCATGTACCTAGGCTCCAGTTCCACCCCACCTTCAAGCCCCGCCTCTAAGCCATGACCCATCCCCAGGTCCCAGCTCCACCCTGCCCCCACCCCCACCTCTAAGTCCTGGCCTTGCCCCAGGCCCCAGCTTCACCCCATCCTCAGACCCCCACTCACATGAGGTCCCAGTCCAGGCCCTCCCGCTCCACATCCCGCATGAGGTTCATCAGACGTCTCTTGAAGAAGATCTCAAAACGCAGGTCATCCTCAAACACAAGCGATTTCTGCAGCCCCCGGTCCACCACCTGAGGGAGGAAGCCCCGCCACATCACAGGGAGGCCAAGGCCAGGCCTGACCCTAAAGCACAGAGCTTTGCTTTGAGAAGGTTTGAAAGACCCGTAGAGAAGCCAGTGCATCTCCCTGCCTCTCCTAGCTCCAGGGACATCTGGACATCCAAACCTCTGCCCTCTGCCGTCCATAATGGATCTCAGAAGAGAAAGGCCTCCCAGCCCCTCAAATGCCCACGCCTCATGCACCTCCCGCCTTGCAGCCGCACACCCCCATTTGGCTTCACATTCGATAACAAGTTTTTCTTTTCTTTTTCTTTTTTTTTTTTTTTGAGACGGAGTCTCGCCCTGTCGCCCAGGCTGGAGTGCAGTGGAACGATCTCAACTGCAACCTCCGCCTCCCAGGTTCAAGTAATTCTGCCTCAGCCTCCTGAGCAGCTGGGATTACAGGCATGTGCCACTACGCCCGGATTTTATTTTTCTTTTTTTGAGATGGAGTGTCACTCTTGTCGCCCAGGCTGGAGTGCAATGGCATGATTTCAGCCCACTGCAACCTCTGCCTCCTGGGTTCAAGTGATTCTCCTGCCTCAGTCTCCCAAGTAGAGGGATTACAGGTGCCCACCACCACACCCAGATAATTTTTGTATTTTTAGTAGAGTCTAGGTTTCACCATGTTGGCCAGGCTGGTCTTGAACTCCTGACCTAAGGTGATCCGCCTGCCTCGGCCTCCCAAAGTGCTGAGATTACAGGCATGAGCCACCACGCCCAGCCATTTTTCTTTTTTCTGAGACACGGTTTTGCTCTGCTGTCCAGTCTGCAGTGCAGTGGCACGATCTTGGCTGACTGCAGCCTTAACTCCTGGGCTCAAGCCACTCTCCCACTTTAGCCTCCCAAATAGTTGGGACCACAGGTGTGCGCCACCATGCCCGGCCCTGATGGCCCAAGTTCGAAGCCTAGTCAGACACCCTCCTCCAATCACAGCCTCTCCCTCTGAGGGTGGATGAGGATGCCTGGGCTGGTGAGTGCCCCCAGCAGCACTGGGCAGGTGCTGGTTTAAAGTGGCTCTGTGGCCATGACTTCTAGTACTAAACATCAAGCACAGAGACCAGGCTGGGAGTAATGAGGATTTGTTTACAGGTCCCAGGCCCCAGACACCACCTGCTGCTCAAAAGGGCTCACCCCTACCCCCAGGCTCAGTTTCCACATTTGCGCAATGGAAGGATGGCAGGTACACCTGGGGGTGATACAGCTGGTGTGGCGCATCATTCACTAAAGAGAGGCCATGGGTCCCATGGCTGAGGCTGGATGCCTAGCCGGGGCTTTGGGGAACTCTTTCAACCCCTTTCCCGTCCAAATCTCCGATGAGATCTAGAGTCATAACTCTGGCCCCGCCCATCACTCAGGACACACCTCCTTCCAGATGTTGTAGTGGCTCAGGAAGCAGCCCAGCTCACCCTTGGTGAGGGGCCGGCCGTGGTAGGGGTCCCGGTAGCCAGGCAGCATCTGGATCCCCAGCGCCTCCACCTGGCTGGTGTTCATGGCTCTGGAGAGGAGGAGGAGAGGGTCACGAAGAAGGTTCACCCTGCCTGCCATTCTGCCATCCCCGGCCATTCCACCACCCCCTGCGGCGTTGAGCAGCTGGTCCACCTCTTGTAGCACTGGCACCCCTTCCGGGCACATGGGGCCTCACTCACCTGCACATGGTATACACTCGCGGGCAAACCTGCTCTCCTCCTCTCCTGGGGTCTGACTGACTTACCCCTCCACAGTCCCCACCAGTCTACACTGGCAGCATGCAAACCTACCCATTCCCCTGGGTCAGGACTCACTTGCCTTCCATGGTCTACAACTGTGAGGATCTGCCCCTTCCCCAGGGTCCCATTCACTTCCCCTTCAGGACGCCCACTGACGAGGTCTACATCTGTTTGGACACCACGCCCGCCCCCATCTGAATCACTTGCCGTCTACCAGCGAGGTCTACACCCACATCCACGTGCGGACCCGCCCCCCCACCCCCAGGCCTCGGACTCACTTGCCGTCCACGGCCTCCACCAGCCGGCACTCGATCTCCTGTGCCTGCAGCGCCCGCAGCATGCGCTCCCGCCGGTCCTGCCGCCGCCTCAGGTTGATCATGAAGACCTGCAGCCCGGAGAGTCCCCAGCCAGATCAGCCCCTGCAAACAAGGGCCCTCCAGCCCCCGCCCCGCCTCCAGGGAAGGCCCAGCTCACCTCGTCGAAGCCCATCTTGTCCGGTGTCTTGGTGGGAGCCGAGATGAAGCGGGAGGGCTCTGCGGGCGGGTGCTTCACTGTGGGGCACAGACGTTGAGGAGTCGCTGGGGTAAGGAGCCTCCAGCCTCTCTCCAACACGCTTTCCCCACCCACTCCATGGCTCCCAGTCAGACTGGCTCGGCCCACAAAGTCGACCTGGCTCCGCCCACATCAGCGCTGCCCTCTAGGAGCCCCTCCCATGTCATTTGAACCCTGCACAGCAGCCCAAAGCCCTGGCCACACCCCAGGCCCCAGCTTCACCCCGCCCCCAGTCCTGCCTCTCAGCCCTGGCCACACCCCAGGCCCCAGCTTCACCGCGCCCAAGGCCCCGCTACTCAACCCTGGACTCGCCCCAGGTCCCAGCCTCACCCTGCCCTTAGCCCCGCCTCTAAGCCCTGGCCACACCCCAGGCTACAGCTTCAACCTGCCCCCCAGCCGCACCACTCAGCCCTGGCCACGCCCCAGGCCCCAGCTTCACCCCACAGCCTCCCCCAGCCTTGCCTCTAAGCCCTGGCCATGCCCCAGGCTCCAACTTCACCCTGCACCCCCCCAGCCCCACCTTTAAACCCTGGCCATGCAACAGCTTCGCTCCGACCCCCAGCCCCGCTTCTAAGTCCTGGTCACACCCCAGGCCCCAGCTTCACCCTGCTCCCAGCCCCGACTCTCAGCCGTGGCCACGCCCTGGGCTCCAGCTTCACTCCGCCCCCAACCCTGCCTCTAAGCCCTGGCCACGCCCCATGCTCCAGCTTCACTCTACCCCCCAGCCCCACCTCTATGCCCCTGCCAACCCAAAGAACCCCCATTCCTACCTCAGGGCCTTTGCACATGCTGGATCCCTGCTTGAAATACCCTTCCTTTCCCTGCTCTGTAACGTTACTTCTCAGCTATGATGCCCTGGGCATGGGGGTCACCCTCCCCACTCCCACCTCCCTAGGCTGAGCCAGGCACCTCCTCTGGGCCCCAGCAGCACCTGGACTTGCACCACCAAAGCTCGCATCCTTGCTGCCCTAACCCCCTGGCCCTGTGCCTGTCTGTTGTGAGCCCTTTGGGAAGGACACCAGGTATGTCTGCTCACACTGGGCCCCTAGTGCCCAACACAGGGGCTTGGCACACAGCAGGCACTCAGTAATTGCTTGTAGAATGAACCAAGAAATGATGGCATGCTGTATATTCTTGATTGGCCTGGGCCTCAGCTTTCCTCATCTATAAAATGGGCCAATAAGCCACTGAGAGGTTTCACAAAGAGATGTCATGAGATCATGCACTATGTCATGGGGTGAACTGTGTCTCCCCAGTGCCAACCACCAGTACCCCAGGATATGATCCTATTTGGACACAGGGTTGTGTACAGAGGTCATCGAGTTAAAATGAGGTCATTAGGGTGGGCCCTAATCCACATGGCTTGTGTGCTTTTAAAAGGGGAAATCTGTAGCTCCTTGGGAGGCTGAGGCAGAAGGATTGCCCAGGAGTTCAAGGCTGCAGCGAGCTATGATGGTGACACTGCACTCCAGCCTGGGTGACAGAGACTCCATCTCCAAAAAAAGCAAAAAAGAAGGCCGGGCACAGTGGTTCATGCCTGTAATCCCAGCACTTTGGGAGGCTGAGGTGGGCAGATCATGAGGTCAGGAGTTCGAGACCAGCCTGGCCAACATACTGAAACCCTGTCCCCACTAAAAATACAAAAAACTAGCTGGGCGCAGTGGCTCATGCCTGTAATCCCAGCACTTTGGGAGGCCGAGGCAGGTGGCTCACAAGGTCAGGAGATCGAGGCCATCCAGGTTAACACAGTGAAACCCCATCTCCAATAAAAATACAAAAAATTAGCCGGATGTGGTAGCAGGCGCCTGTAGTCCCAGCTACTCGGGAGGCTGAGGCAGGAGAATGGCGTGAACCCAGGAAGCGGAGCTTGCAGTGAGCCGAGATCGGGCCACTGCACTCCAGCCTGGGAGACAGAGCGAGACTCCGTCTCAAAAAAAACAAACAAACAAAAAATAATAAAAATAAAAATACAAAAAATTAGCCAGGCGTGGTGGCAAGCGCCTGTTAAACTCAGCTACTTGGGAAGGTGGGGCAGAATCACTTGAACCTGGGAGGCGGAGGTTGCAGTGAGCCAAGATCGCACCATTGCACTCCAGCCCAGGCGACAGTGCAAGACTCCATCTCAAAAAAATAAAAACCAAAAAAACCAAAAACCTAAATTAACAAATTAGCTGAGCATGGTAGTGGCATGCACCTGTGGTCTCAGCTACTTAGGAGGCTGAGGTGGAAGGATCGCTTGAGTCAAGGAGGTTGAGGCTGCAGTGAGCTGTGATTTTGCCACTGCATTCCAGCCTGGGTAACAGCGAGACTCTGTCTCAAAAAAAGGAAATGACAACACAAATATATGTGAGAACTTAAACTGGGAAAACTCTGGTAGCCACAGAGACGCTTCTCAGGCCCGTTTCTGATGGGAGTTGGTGATAAATGGAGACCCACCACCCCCAACTGTAGCCGGGTGGGACCTGGACACCTAAGTATGCCACTCTTGGGTGTTGTGGGGGGCCTGCCCCAGTGATTGTGCAGTCTCCAGGTGTCACCTCAAAAAGACTCAAAAGTCTCCCCCAGGCCAGGCGCAGTGACACACGCCTGTAATCCCAGCATTCTGGGAGGCCGAGGCAGGTGGATCACCTGAGGACAGGAGTTCGAGGCCAGCCTGGCTAACATGGTGAAACCCCGTCTCTACTAAAAATACAAAATTTGCCAGGTGTGGTGGCAGGTACCTGTAATCCCAACTACTCGGGAGGCTGAGGCAGGGGAATCGCTTGAACCCAGGAGGCGGAGGTTTCAAGTGAGCCCAGAATGCGCCACTGCATTCCAGCCTGGGTGACAAAGTGAGACACCGTCTCAAAAAAAAAAAAAAAGTCTCCCCAAAACACAAAGGGCAGGGTGCTATTCCATCTTGAGCCACCAGGGGGAGCCGCAGATAGACTCGTTCAGAAATCGGTAAGGCTGGGGAAACTGAGCCCCGGGACAGAGGCCTCACCCCTCCCACCCAGTCTCCATCTACGCAGTGGTGGGAATGGCAGTGGCTTTGGCAGGGCTTTCTGCGCCCAGTGCAGGGCGAGGCCCACATTAGCAATGGCTGAGATGGGAGCATCATCCCTAGACAACCTCAATTACAGCTCAGCCCTGCGTGCTCCTCCAGTTTTAGAGGGACGGCTGCTGGTTTCATAGTTCATGGATTTTTTTAAAGTTTTATTTATTTATTTATTGATACAGGGTCTGGCTCTGCTGCCCAGGCTGGAGTGCAGTGAAGCAATCTTGGCTCACTGCAGCTTCGACCTCCTGGGCTCAAGGGATCCTCTCGCCTCAGCCTCCCGAGTAGCTGGGACCACAGGTGTGTGCCATCACGCCTGGCTAATTTTTGTTATTTTTTTTTGGTAAAGACAAGGTTTCACCATGTTGCCCACGATATTCTCAAACTACTGGGTTCCAGGGATCCGCCCACCTTGGCCTCCCAAAGAGCTGGGATAATTATTTTTTATTATTATTATTTTTGAGACAGACTTACTCTATTGCCCAGGCTGTAGTGCAGTGGCACGATTATGGCTCACTGCGGCCTCCAACTCCTGGGCTCAAAGGATTCTCCCACCTCAGCCTCCTGAGTAGCTAGAATACAGGCATGTGCCACCATGTCGGACTAATTAAAAAAAAATTTTTTTTTTTGAGACGGAGTTTCACTCTGTTGCCAGGCTGAAGTGCAGTGGCACGATCTCGGCTCACTGCAACCTCCGCCTCCCAGGTTCAAGTGATTCTCCTGCCTCAGCCTCCCAAGTAGCTGGGACTATAGGCATTCGCTACCACACCCAGCTAATTTTTTTTGTATTTTTAGTAGAGACAGGGTTTCACCATGTTGGTCAGTATGGTCTCCATCTTTTGACCTTGTGATCCGCCCGTCTCGTCCTCCCGAAGTGTTAGGATTACAGGCATGAGCCACCGCACCCGGCCAAAATTTTTTTTAATATAGAGATGGGGTCTCACTATGTTGCCCAGGCTGATCTTGAACTCCTAGGCTCAAGCAATCCTCTTACTTTGGCCTCCCAAAGTGCTGGAATTACAGGTTTGAGTCACCATGCCTGGCCTATACATGCAGTTCTTTAGTGAAAACTTGCTGTCCTCTCAGTTTTCATGTCCTCTATAGCTCCTGACTGTCCTCAGGGGGAAGGTCCCTTCCTCAGCCTGGTCTCTGAGGCCATCCACCCTGGCCCTGGATACCAGCCCCAGGGGATCACTGACCTTGCCTGTTCCCCAGGTTCACGTCCCTTCCAGCCTCCCGGCCTTTGCCCACACTACCACCTCCTGCTGCAATCCCCTTTATGGTGAACTCCTACTCAACCTGCCCCTTAATGCCACCTCCTCCAGGAAGCCCACCCGACAACCCCAAGCATGCTGTGTACAGCTACCTGCAAACCAGCACTCTGTGAGAGCAGACACAACCCTCCACCTCGTTCACACGTGCCGTTGCACCCAGCACCCCCCACAGGGACTTGCATCTGCCTGGCACTCAGTCAGTGCTCATGGGACGGATTTGAGACATCAGTGAAAGGGAGGCAACCTGGCACCTCCCAGGGCGGTGTGCAGGCAGACTCACCCATGACCTCCAGCTGCACATGCATGAAGCTCTCGGCCTCATCCTGGAGGGTGCTGTGGGCGCGCAATGGCACTGGCAAGAATCCGTACTCCTCCTTGTTGCACACATACATCTGAACCTCTGCAGTGGGCAGGGAAGCAACAGACAAATGTAAAAACAGGCGAGGCCCAGTGGCTCATGCCTTCCATCCCACGGCTTCAGGAGGCCAACGCAGGAGGATCGCTTGAGGTCAGGTGTCTGAGACCAGCCTGGGCAACAGAGCAAGACCTTATATCTACAAACAACTTTTTTTTTTTTTTAAGACAGAGTCTCACTCTCCCAGGCTGGAGTGCAGTGGCACTACCTTGGCTCACTGCAACCTCCGCCTCCCGGGTTCAAGTGATTCTCCTGCCTCAGCCTCCCTAGTAGCTGAGACTACAGGCACATGCCACCATGCCTGGCTAATTTTTTGTATTTGTAGAGACGGGGTTTCATCATGTTAGCCAGGATGGTCTCGATCTCCTGACCTCGCGATCCACCTGTCTTGGCCTCCTGAAGTGCTGGGATTACAGGTATGAGCCACCACGCCCGGCTCTACAAATAATTTTAAAATTAGCTGGGAATGGTGGTACCTGCCTATGGTCCCAGCTCCTCGGGAGGCTGTGGCAGGAGGATCACTTGAGCCCAGGAGACTTGAGGCTGCCATGAGCTATGATGGCACACTGCACTCCAGCTTAGGCAACAGGGCAAGGCCCTGTCTCAAAAACAAACCCAAAAAAAAAACAGTAAAAATGCATGTTGAGGCACAAAAAGGAAAGTTTGACAAAATGTGAGTTAAGTTACTTCCTTCTACATCTATCCTTTTCTGGATGGTTTAAATTTTGATGAGTGTGTATCTTTTTTTTTGAGACAGAGTCTCGTTCTGTCGCCCAGGCTGGAGTTCAGTGGTGCCACCTCGGCTCACTGCAACCTCCGCCTCTGGGGTTCAAGCAATTCTCCTGCCTCAGCCTCCCAAGTAGCTGGGATTACAGGCACCCGCCACCACACCCAGCTAATTTCTGTATTTTTTTTTAGTAGAGGTGGGGTTTCACCACGTTGGCCAGGCTGGTCTCGAAATCCTGACCTCAAGTGATCCACTGAGCCCAGCCAAGTGTGTATCTTTTTTAGACTAAAAAACTCAATGATGCTCTTTTAATTTAATTTATTTATTTTTTTTGAGACAGAGTCTCGCTCTGTCGCCCAGGCTGGATTGCAGTGGTGTGATCTCCGTTCACTGCCTCCTGGGTTCAAACAATTCTTGTGCCTCAGCCTCCCAAGTAGCTGGGACTACAGGCACCCACCACCATGCCCAGCCAATTTTTGTATTTTTAGCAGAGACGGGTTTCACCATGTTGGCCAGGCTGGCCTCAAACTCTTGACCTCATGTGATCCACCCACCTCACCCTCCCAAAGTGCTGGGATTACAGGCATGAGCCACTACACCCGGCCTCTTTTAATTTTAATTGGTCAATTTCTTCTATAAAGGGCCAGGTGGTAAGTATTTTAGGCTTGTGTGCCAGACGGTTTCTATCTCAATGACTCTGTTCTGCCTGTGGCACTTGAAAGCAGCTACAGACGACACTTAAATGAATGGGCTTGGCTGGGTACTGATGACACTTTATTGATGGGCAATGAAATCTGAATTTCATACAGTTTTCATGTGTCACAATATTCTTCTTCTTTTGATTCTTTTCCCCAGTGATTTAAAAATGTAAAAATTGGCCGGGTGTGGTGGCTCATGCCCGTAATCCCAGCATTTTGTGAGGCTGAGGCGGGTGAATCACCTGAGGTCAGGAGTTCGAGACCAGCCTGGCCAACAGGCAAAACCCCATCTCTACTAAAAATACAAAAATTAGCCAGGCGTGGTGGTGCACACCTGTAGTCCCAGCTACTAGGGAGGCTAAGGCAGGAGAATCAATTGAACCTGGGAGGTGGAGGTTGCAGTGAGCTGAGATCATGCCACTGTACTCCAGCCTGGGCAACGGAGGGAGACCCTGTGTCAAATAAATAAATAAATAATAAAAATGTAAAAATTGTTGGCCAGGCACCGTAGCTCACGTTTGTATTCCTAGCGCTTTGGGAGGCTGAGGTGGGAAGGATCACTTAAGGCCAGGAGTTCAAGTCTAGTCTGGGCAACATAGCAAGACCCCATCTCTACAAAAACATTTTTTTTTTCAATTAGCTGGGCATGTAGGCAGGTGCCTATAGCCCCAGCCAGTCTGGAGGCTGAGATGAGAGGATTGCTTGAGCCCAGGAGGTTGAGGCTGCAGTGAGCTACGATCACACCACTGCACTCCAGGCTGGGTGACAGAGTAAGACTGTGTCTCTAAAAAAATAAAAATAAAATATAAAAGTTGTTGTTAGCTTGTGGCCATATAAAAGTAATTAGTGGGGCCAGGCGCGGTGGCTCACGCCTGTAATCCCAGCACTCTGGGAGGCCGAGGTGGGCAGATCACAAGGTCAAGAGATCAAGACCATCCTGGCTAACACAGTGAAACCCCGTCTCTACTAAAAATACAAAAATTAGCCGGGCCTGGTGGCTGGTGCCTGTAGTCCCAGCTACGCGGAAAGCTGAGGCAGGAGAATGGCGTGAACCCAGGAGGCGGAGCTTACAGTGAGCCAAGATCGGGCCACTGCACTCCAGCCTGGGCGACAGAGCGAGACTCCGTCTCAAAAAAAAAAAAAAAAAAAAAGTAATTAGTGGGCCAGGTTTGGCCTGCAGGTCAGTTTGCCAACCTCTGGTTTCCAGTAAACAACAAGTCAACATGAGGCTGTGCTGTCTCTTTAAATATTTGTTTTCCCAATTAAACAATTAATATATGCTCAACTGTAGAAAATTAGGAGAATGGCCCAGGTGCAGTGGCTCCCTCCTGTAATCCCGGCACTTTGGGAGGCCGAGGTGGGCGGATCACCTGGGGTCAGGAGTTTGAGACCAGCCTGGCCAACCTGGGGAAACCCTGTCTCTACTATAAATATAAAAATGAGCCAGACATGGTGGCGTATGCCTGTAATCCCAGCTACTTGGGAGGCTGAGGCAGGAGAATCTCTTGAACCAGGAGGCAGAGGTTGCAGTGAGCCGAGATCGCACCACTGCACTCTAGCCTAGGTGACAGAGCAAGACTCTACTTCAAAAAAAAAAAACAAAAGAAAATTGGGAGAATATAGAAAAGTATGAAGATTGAAATAACATTTGGGGTTGATCATGGAAAATTGTGTAACGGGTTCAATGTATATTATTTGGGGATGGATGCCCTAAAATCTCTTGACTCACCACTTCACAATCTATGCACGTGACAAAATTACACTTGTGCTCCATAAATTTACACAAATTAAAAAATAATAGTAACATGCAATCAATAGGTATTTTTTTCTTGAGAAGGATTCTTACTTTGTTGCCCAGGCTGGAGTGCAGTGGCATGATCTCGGCTCACTGCAACTTCCGCCTCCCATATTCAAGTGATCCTCCCGCCTCAGCCTCCCCAGTAGCACCACCACGTCCGGCTAATTTTTGTATTTTTAGTAGAGATGGGGTTTCACCATGTTGGCCAGGCTGGTCTCAAACTCCTGACCTCAAATGATCCACCCGCCTTAGCCTGCCAAATTGTTGGGATTACAGGCATAAGCCACTCTGCCTGACCAACCAATAGATCTTAAAGAGCTAGGGAATGAAGCTAACCAGCAAAGCCAGGGCTGGAGAGAAACGGGGTCCTGGAGACATTATCTGAACACCTAGATACAGCTGCACCTGAAGTCAGCCCTGCGCTGCATTGTTTGGGTTCTGTGAATCTTCAGTGTGTTCTGAACTGGCTTAGTGCAAAACCCAAAGAACCAGGCAGATGCCCCTGCGATGGCAGACCCCTCATGTACGTACCTGCCTGCTTGCAGGAGAAGGCAAAGACGATGATGTCGTCAAAGGACCAGGTGTAGTCAGGGTGAGGTGGGTAGAAGGCCAGGTTCCTGGACGCCGCCTTCCGCAGGTCGATCAGGAAGGTCGAGTGCACCATGGGAACTGCAAAGCAGCCCCGGCGGTCTCGCTTGCGGATAGGGATGTAGGCAGGTGTGCGCTTGTAGTAGCCCTGTGGGGAGAGAGCGAGAGTTCCGCGTAGGGGTCTTGAAAGGTGAGGATGGAGACCCGTGATAGTGGGCGGCATGAAACAGGACCAGACAGACAGCCAGGCACAGCAGTGTGCGCCTGTGGTCCCAGGACCCCAGACTCAAGCCCAGTGTGGGACCTGTGGCCAGGCATGGCCAATAAGAAAGAGCCTTGTATTTTCCCAGCTTCAGTAATGAGTTCAGAGGTAGTGTGGAGAGGAGACTAGCAATGGCCCAATCAGAATGGATGATGGCTAGACGCTGCTGGGATCACTCTCAAGCTGTCTGAGAATGAACCCACCCAAAGGATGGAGAAAGACAGTTATCCAAACACCTGGATCAAGCCATGCCTGAAGTCCCATCCTGACACCACCACTTGCTAGCTGTGTGACTTTAGGCAAGTCACTTCCTCTCTGTGTTTCTGTTTCCACCTCTGGAATAGCATGGTGGGGGACAATCAAGGACCCTCTATTCTTCCCTCCTGTCTGGCCTCAGAGGGCTGTTTAAAGATTACCATAATGAGTTTTTGTTTTGTTTTGTTTTTGAGACCAAGTCTCACTCCGTCACCCAGGCTGGAGTGCAGTGGCGTGATCTCGGCTCACTGCAACTTCCGCCTCCTGGGTTCAAGTGATTCTCATGCTTCAGCCTCCCGAGCAGCTGGGAGGACAGGCATGTGCCACCATACCCGGCTAATTTCTGTAATTTTTTTTTTTTTTAGTAGAGATGGGGTTTCACCATGTTGCCCAGGATGGTCTCAAACTCCTGAGCTCAGGCAACCCGCCTGCCGCAGTCTCCCAAAGTGCTGGGGTTACAGGTGTGAGCCACCGTGCCCAGCTTCCATGATGATTTTTGTAAAACACACACCACGAGGTTGTGTGACAGTAAGTTACACTCTAGCCACGGCACCCCCCTGCTCAGCCCAGTCCCCACAGTCCCCAGGCCCTCACTCTACCTGGGAAGTCATTCCACACCAGAAGTTGGAGTACGCAGCCCGGGAATCCAGCATGGGGGCGACCACCGTCTTGTTCTCAGCGATGAGCAGGCTCAGTGTGTCAGGGTTGAGGATCAGGTTGTCCGCATCTACAAACTGCAGAACACCCCACAAAGCATCAGCATGGGCTGCCAGGTCAGGCTACCATTCAGAACAGCTGGGGCAAAGGCCAGTGCCCTGGGGGTCTGGCAAAGACCTCTGGAAGCACCCCCTACACCGGATGAAATGAAGCAGGGACCCCGTTTTGGGGGCCTGCAGGATCCCCTGGATCATGGAAATAAAGCAAAGGTCTTCAGTTCCTTCAAAGAAAATTCTAGGCACTGAGATAGCCCTGAGAAATAAATGAACAACCAATGAGCAAGAAGGTAGCAAAACCTTTTTTTTTTTGAGACGGAGTCTCGCTCTGTCACCCAGGCTGGAGTGCAGTGGTATGGTCTCAGCTCGCTGCAACCTCCGCCTCCTGGGTTCAAGCGATTCTCCTGTCTCAGCCTCCCGAGTAGCTGCGACTACAGCCGTGCACCATCACACCCGGGTAACTTTTTGTATTTTTAATAGAGACAGGGTACCATCATGTTGGCCAGGCTGGTTTTAAACTCCTGACCTCATGTGATTCGTCCACCTCGGCCTCTCAAAGTGCTGGGATTACAGGCATGAGCCACCATGCCTGGCCTACTATTTTACTTTTTCTTCATTTTTTATTTTTTAAAGGGATAGCATCTTGCTGTGTCACTCAGGCTGAAGTGCAATGGTGTAATCGTAGCCCACTGCAGCCTGGAGTTTCTGGGCTCAAGTGATCCTCTCATCTCAGCCTCTCAAGTAGCTGAGCGTACAGGCACACGTCACCATGCCTAGATAATGTTTTCATTTTTATTTTTATGTTTGTAGAGATAGGATCCCTCTACATTGCCTAGGGTGGTTTTGAACTCCTGGGCTCAAAGCGATCCTCCCCATGGCCTACAATAGTTCTGAGATTACAGGTCTGAGCCACTGCACCTAGACTAAAATTAAATATATATATATAAAATCACACATAGAAAATGATTAGGTCCGGACGTTCCCCCTCTACCAGGATGTAAAGACACAGAAGTCATGATATATCACAGAACTACCAGAAGGTTTTTTGTTTTTGTTTTTGTTTTTTTGAGATGGCGTCTCCTGTTGCATAGGCTGGAGTGCAGCGGCGTGATCTCGGCTCACTGCAACCTCCACCTCCCATGTTCAAGCAATTCTCCCTGAGTCTCCCAAGTAGCTGGGATTACAGACACATGCCACCACGTCAGGCTAATTTTTGTATTTTTTGGTAGAGATGGGGTTTCACCAGGTTGGCCAGGCTGGTCTCGAACTCTTGATTTCAAGTGATACGCCTGCCTCGGCCTCCCAAAGTGCTGGGATTACAGGTGTGAGCCATTGTGCCCGGTCTGGATTTTTTTTCTTTTACTGCTGGTCCACAGAGATGCTTTCTGTTACCCAGGCAGTATCGTTTAGAATATTTGGATTAACTGCCATGAACAACAACAAAAACTAGAATTCCAGTATCCCCTGGCAACGTGAGAATACCATTTCCACATGGCAACCTTCAGTTGCAGAGGGGAGGTGGCTGGGTCTTAGGACAAGCCCTGTGGTCATGTTACACACCCCATCCGGTCCCTCTGGATGTTTGAATCTGTGACCTTTGAATATTAATGCAGAACAAACAGCCAGATCACTGTGGCAGTTCCTCAAAAAGCTAAACATAGAATTACTACATGATCCAGGAATTCCATTCCTAGGTATGAACCAAGAGAATTGAAAGAAAGGACTCAAACAGCTTCTTTGTTTGTTTGTTTGTTTTTGAGACAGAGTCTTGCTCAGTCACCCAGGCTGAAGTGCAGTGGTGTGATCTCGGCTCACTGCAACCTCCACCTCCTAGGTTCAGATGATTCTCCTGCCTCAGCCTCCTGAGTAGCTGGGATTAAATACAGGCGCGCACCACCATGCCCAGATAATTCAAACAGGTCTTTGTACGCTCATGTTCATGTCAGAATCCCAACAGCCAGGCCGGGTGCAGTGGCTCACACCTGTAATCCTAGCACTTTGGGATGCCAAGGCAGGCAGATCACATGAGGTCAAGAGTCCAAGACCAGCCTGGGCAACACGGTGAAACCCCGTCTCTACTAAAAATAAAAATAAATAAAAATAATTAGCCGGGCATGGTGACACATGCCTGTAATTTCAGCTACTCGGGAGACTAACGCAGGAGAATCGCTTGAACCCAGGAGATGGAGGTTGCAGTGAGCCGAGATCGTGCCACTGCACTGCAAACCTGCGCGACAGAGCAACACTCTGTCTCAAAAAAAAAGTCTCAACAGCCAAAAAAGGTGGAAGTGACTGAAGTGTGTCCATCAACGGATGAGGAGATCAACATAACGTGGTCCACCCAGACAACGGAATAAGAGTCAGCCATACAAAGGAAGGAAGCACTGATCCAGGCTGTAATGAACCCTGAAAACTCAATGCTGAGTGAGAGAAACCAGACACGAAACGCCATATAGTGTGACATTCCATTGACAAATCCGTAGACAGGAAGCAGATTAGTGGCTGCCAGAGCCTAGGGGAGAGGAATGGGGAGTTGGGGAGTGACTGCTGATGGGAATAGGGTTTTCTTTCTGGGGAATGAAAATGTTCTAGAATTAGAGGTGGTGGTTGCAAAACAAATAAATATATATGTGAACTGACTTCAATTAAAACAAACAAGAAAGAGGAGAAAGTGAATCTCTCCAGGAGATACAATTAAAATTTAGATGCTGGCCAGGGGCGGTGGCTCACGCCTGCAATCCTAGCACTTTGGGAGGCTGAGGCAGGTGATCACTTGAGGTCAGGAGTTCAAGACCAGCCTGGCCAACATGGCGAAACCCCATCTCCACTAAAAATACAAAAACTTAGCCAGGCATGGTGGCGGGCACCTGTAATCCCAGGTACTCCGGAGGCTGAGGCAGGAAAATTGCTTGAACCCAGAAGGCAGAGGTTGCAGTGAGCCGAGATGGCGCCACTGCACTCTAGCCTGGGTGACAAAATGAGACTCCATCTCAAAAAAAAAAAAAAAAAAAAAGTAGATGTTTTTCTTTCTTGTTTCATATGTATATCTATATTATACACACACACACGTATATATGTTTATATACATATATAGATATATATACATATACACGTATATATGTATATATGTATACACACACGCACACACATACACACACACATACACATATACGAAGCTTAAGAAAGGGTCTCGCTCTGTCACCCAAGCTGGAGTACAGTGACACAATCATGGCTGATTGCAGCCTCCTACTCCTGGGCTCAAGCAATCCTCCCACCTCAGCCTCCCAATTAGCTGGGACTACAGACACAAACCAGTACACCTGGCTAATTTTTTTTTTTTGTTAGTTTTTGTAGAGATGGGGGGGGTCTCACTATGTTGCCCAGGCTGGTTTTGAACTCCTGACCTCAAATGATCCTCCCACATTGGCCTCCTGAAGCACTGGGATTACAGGCGTGAGACACACCCAGCTCGTATATTTTTATTTATTTTTTTTACCTGCAAGTAACATCCATAGCTTTTGTAAAAAGAGAGAGAAAGGGGGACCTTCAAACAATCATTTTAAAACATTAGACAAACTATTTCACATTCCAATATGGGTTCCAAAGTCCCCAGTTACAAAAATATAATTTTGTGACCAGGCGCAGTGGCTCACACCGGTAATCCCAGTAGTACTTTGGGAGGACGAGGTGGGTGGATCACCTGAAGTCAGGAGTTCGAGATCAGCCTGGTCAGCATAGTGAAACCCTGTCTCTACAAAAATACAAAAAAAATTAGTCGGGCCAGGCGCGCTGGCTCACGCCTGTAATCCCAGCACTTTGGGAGGCCAAGCCGGGTGGATCACGAGGTCAGGAGATCGAGACCATGCTGGCCAACACGGTGAAACCCTGTCTCTACTAAAAATACAAAAAATTAGCCGGGTGTTGTGGCGGGCGCCTGTAGTCCCAGCTATTCAGGAGGCTGAGGCAGGAAAATGGCATGAACCTGGGAGGCAGAGCTTGCAGTGAGCTGAGATCGCACCACTGCACTCCAGCCTGGGCGACAGAGTGAGACTCCGTCACAAAAAAAAAAATAGCCGGGCATGGTGGCAAGCATCTGTAGTCCCAGCTACTTGGGAGGCCGAAGCAGGAGAGTCACTTGACCCCAGGAGGTGGAGGCTGCAGTGAGCCAAGATCGCGCCACTGCACTCCAGCCTGGGCGACAGAGTGAGACACTGTCTCAAAAAAAAAAAAAAAAAAAAAGAAACACGAAAATATTATTTTGTGTCAAAAGCCACTTTGAGTTTTGAACCAGCACTTTGAGTTCCACCCCGGTTTGCTGAGGGAAAAAAAAGCTAAAGCCAGGCAACCTCAAACCACAAAAGCAAAATCCTAGAGGCAGGACAAGGCAGCTTTGTGTCAGAAGGCTCTGGAAGGCTCCAGATCCACCTCTCTGCCTCCTTGCCAGTTCTGACACCCCACCAGGCAAGATGTCCCCTCCGTCAGCCTGTTTCCTCACCTATAAAATGGTCTGATAAGGCACCAAGCGAAAGGGTCCCCTCAGGAGCTCCATCCGTCCTCCCTAGATGTGGCACTGTCCCCGTTCCTCTCTCCCTGGCACCTTCACATCCAGTGTCAAAGCAGAACCTGTCTCCTTCACCTCGTGACGCATCCTGAACCCCCTGCCTTTCTCCACGGCCCCCACCCCATGCAGGCCTGTCCATCAATCGCTGATACCCTGCTTGGGCCTCTACTCCAGCTTCCTGCTAGTGTGTGGCTTTTTTTTTTTGAGACATAGTCTCACTCTGTCGCCCAGGCTGGAGCGCAGTGGTGCAATCTCAGCTCACTGCAACCTCTGCCTCCCGGGTTCAAGACATTCTCCTGCCTCAGCCTCCCAAGTAGCTGGGGTTACAGGCGCGCATCACCATGCCAAGCTAATGTTTATATTTTGGTAGAAACAGGGTTTCACCATGTTGACCAGGCTGGTCTCAAACTCCTGAAGTCAAACAATCCACTTGCCTCAGCCACTCAAAGTACTGAATTTAGAGGCATGAGCCACCGCGCCTGGTCCACAGAGGCTTCTGAAAATCTCAAATCAGAACACAGACCTCCCCTGCTCACACACCCTCCATGGCTCCCCATTCCCCTCCAAGTAGACACCAAGTGCCTCCACTGGCCTGTGTAGTTGGACCTCTAGCCACCACTGCATCGTAATCACTTTGCTCACTTGACTCTTTGCTTTTTCTTTTCTGCTTTTTGTTTGTTTGTTTTAAGAGATGGGCTGGATGTGGTGGCTCACACCTATAATCCCAGCACTTTGGGAGGCCGAGGCAGCTGGATCACCTGAGGTCAGGACTTTAGAGACCAGCCTGGCCAACATGGCGAAACCCCGTCTCTACTAAAATTACAAAAATTAGCCAGGCATGATGGCGGGGGCCTGTAATCCCAGCTACCCAGGAGGCTGAGGCAGAAGAATTGCTTGAACCCAGGAGGAGGAGGCTGCAGTGAGCCGAGATTGTGCCACTGCACTCCAACCTGGGCAACAGAGACTCTGTCTCAAAAAACAAGAAAAAAGAAAATCAGGAGAATATAGAAAAGTATGAAGGCTGAAATAACATTTGGGGTTGATCATAGAAAACTGTGTAATGGGTTCAATGTATATTATTTAGGGGATGGACGCCCCAAAATCTCTGACTTCACCACTTCACAATCTATGCATGTAACAGAATTACACTTGTGCTCCATAAGTTTATACAAATTAAAAAATAATAGTAATATTCAACCTATAAGTCTGTTTTTTTTTTTTTTTTTTTTTTTTTGAGACAGAGTCTCATACTGTGGCCCAGGTTGGAGTGCAGTGGCGTGATCTTGGCTCGAGAAAAAAATAAAAAGACTCAACTGTTCCCTTCCCCATGAGACAATGTCCCCACAGGAGGAGGAAGTGCAAGTCAGGCCTCAGCAATTCAATGTGGCCACCACCCCCCAGCCCCTGACCCCTTCCTCCTGCTTCTTGGAAGTGACCCAAAGGTTTGGCCATTACATATGATGGTGATAAAAACAGACGTGACACGGCCAGGCACGGTGGCCCATGCCTGTAATCCCAGCACTTTGGGAGGCCGAGGCAGGAAGATCACTTGAGCCCAGGGGTTGGAGACCAGCCTGGGCAACATAGCAAGACCCCGTCTCTACAAAAATATTTTTTATTTGTTATTTTTTAAAAATATTTATTTATGTATTTATTTATGAGATGGAGTCTCACTGTGTCGCCCAGTGACTGGAGTGCAGTGGCACGATCTCGGCTCACTGCAACCTCTGCCTCCTAGGTTCAAGAAATCCTCCTGCCTCAGCCTCCCAGGTAGCCGGGATTACAGGCACCTGCCACCACGCCCGGCTAATTTTTGTATTTTTAGTAGAGATGGAGTCTCACCATATTGACCAGGCTGGTCTCGACCTCCTGACCTCAAGTGATCCACCCGCCTTGGCCTCCTAAAGTGCTGGGATTATAGGCATGAGCCACCATGCCTGGCTTCCACAAAAATAAAAATAAAAAATTAGCCGGGCGTGGTGGTGGGTGCCTGTGGTCCCAGCTACTCAGGAGGCTGTGGCACGGGAATCGCTTGAACCCAGGAGGCAGAGGTTGCAGTGAGCCGATATTGCGGCACTTCACTCCAGCCTGGGCACCAGAGTGAGTCTCTGTCTCAAAAAAATAAAAAAATAAAAATGGACTTGACCCAAGTGTCCAAACACAGGGGACAACTGGGGACAGAAAAGCCCATTCATTCCTAGTGCTGAGGATCAAATGAATCCCAGCTCCTCCTCCACTGACCAACCATATCACCTCAAGCAACTCATCTCCCCTCTCTAAGCCTCAGTTTACCCTTCTGCAAAACAACATTAAGGATGGTCCTGGCATCCTGCTGCTCCGCCTTCCCTGGGGATACCCAGACCTGCCTGTGATCCATATCCGGCCGGCTGAGAAACTTACCAGGATGTAATCAGCCCACATGTCTCGAGCTGATTTCAGGGCTGCCTGGCGCAACTTCATGACATGCTCGTAGCGTGAGTCAGACCAGTGTTTCGGGCCTTCCTCGTCCGGGTAGGACCTATGGGGAGGCAGCTGTGATGTGGACATCACAAGGCACTATCAAAGCCCAGCGAGGGCCTGAGCTGCCTTCGGGGTACTCAGAGAGAGCTTCCTGGAGGAGGGGACGTGTAAGCTGATCTGAGGGATGGGAAAAAGTAAACGACGAGGAAAGAGAAGTGGGGAGAATGTTCCTGGCCGGAGGTACAGCCTGTGCAAAGGCCTGGAGGGAAGAAAGCCCGAGGCACACTGGAGGGAAGGAAGGAAGGAAGCTCAGTGGGGTCCAGTGCAGTGGCCCACGCCTGCGATCCCAGCACTTTGGGAGGCAGAGGTGGGAGGATCGCTTGAGGCCAGCACTTTGAGACCAGCCTGGGCAACACAGTGAGACCCTATCTCTACAAAAAATACAAAAACATTAGCTAGGCATGGTTACATGTGCCTGTAGTCCCAGCTACTCAGGAGGCTGAGGCGGGAGGATGGCTTGAGCCCAGGAGTTAAAGGCTGCAGTAAGCTGTGTTCACTCCACTGCACTCCAGCCTGGGTGAGGGAGTGAGACCCTGTCTCAAAAAAAAAACAAAAACCCAGAAAGGAACTGGGTGGGGGCAGGGAGTCCATGCTGCCCAGGGCTTTAGGGAGTAGATAAACAGCAAAGCCAGTGCTGGGACCAAGACTGAGTCAGTGAGCCAGGGAACAAAGCAGTGGGCGTCCCCAGAAGAAAAAGGGAGTGAAAGAATTCTAGGTACAGGGAACGGCTTGGGCAAAGGTCTGAGAAGAGGATTATGGCCTATTTGTAAAGCTGAGGGAGGCTCAGAGTAGCTTAATGCTGCCTGGCTGGGCTGGAGGCAGGGACTGAGGGCCTGTAATTGTTCTGGGGCAATGGGGAGCCATAGAGGGTGTGTGAGCAGAGGCAAAGCCCAATCAGACTAGGAGCAGGGGAAAGATGCTCACCTGGGCTCCTCTGCTGGCCGCCACTCCACGGAATGGTACAAACTCTTCACGGCCACCAGCCACTCCCGCAGCACAGTTGACGTGTTATCCATGTTGTGGTCCGTAGCCACCCTGCAGGGAGAGGGGACAGGCAGCGTACTTGGGGAGACTGAGGCAGGACCAGGCAGCAGTGAGGCAAGTCAAGGACCACCATCCCCAACTGGCCTCCCACCAGCTATGTATCCCTGGACAGGACACTTCTCCCTTTCCTTTGTTTTTTTTTGAGACAGAGTCTCGCTCTGTTGCCCAGGCTGGAGTGCAGTGGCGCGATCTCGGCTCACTGCAAGCTCCGCCTCCCGGGTTCACGCCTTCTCCTGTCTCAGCCTCCCAAGTAGCTGGGACTACAGGCGCCCGCCACCACACCCGGCTAATTTTTTTGTATTTTTAGTAGAGACGGGGTTTCACCATGTTGGCCAGGCTGGTCTCGATCTCCTGACCTCGTGATCCGCCCACCTTGGCCTCCCAAAGTGCTGGACTTAACAAGCGTGAGCCACCGCGCCCGGCCCATTTCTCCCTTTCCATGTCAGTTTCCTCATCTGTAACATGGGGGTGGGAACAGGACCCAGTTTACTGGGAAGTGGAAGGATTAAACAAGCTGATTTTGGAAAGACCCATTAGTGATTGGCTGTTTTATTACTGAGCATCTAAGATCTTGCAAACCACATTCACTAACAAATATGTGTCACTTAATTTTTTTTTTCTTTTGAGACAGAGTCTTGCTCTGTCACCCAGGCTAGAGTGCAGTGGCACAATCTTGGTTCACTGCAATCTCCGCCTACCAGGTCCAAGCAATTCTCCTGCCTCAGCCTCCCGAGTAGCTGGGATTACAGGTGCCCACCACCATGCCCAGCTAATTTTTGCATTTTTAGTAGAGATGGGGTTTCGCCATGTTGGCCAGGCTGCTCTCGAACTCCTGACCTCAGGTGATCCACCTGCCTCAGCCTCCCAAAGTGCTGGGATGACAGGAATGAGCCACCGCACACGGCAATTTTTGTAATGTATAGATCAGGCCAGGCACGGTGGCTCACGCCTGTCATCCCAGCACTTTGAGAGGCCGAGGCGGGTGTATCACCTGAGGTCAGGAGTTTGAGACCAGCCTGGCCAACATGGCGAAACCCCATCTCTACTAAAAATACAAAAATTAGGCCGGGCATGGTGGCTCACGCTTGTAATTCCAGCACTTTGGGAGGCCGAGGCGGGTGAATCACTTGAGGCCAGGAGTTTGAGCCTAGCCTGGCCAACATGGTGAAATCCCATCTCTACTAAAAACACAAAAAATTAGCTGGGTGTGGTGGCGGGCACCTGTAATCCCAGCTACTCAGGAGGCCGAGGCAGGAGAATCGCTTGAACCTGGGAGGAGGAGGTTGCAGTGAGCCGAGATCGTGCCACTGCACTCCAGCCTCAGCAACGAGAGCGAGACTCAGTCTCAAAAAATAAATAAATAAAAAATATTAAAAAATGAAATGTATATATCAGAAACCAGCTGGGTGCAATGGCTCACGCCTGTAATCCCAATATGTTGGGAGGCCGAGGTGGGCAGGTCACTTGAGCTCGGGAGTTCGAGACCAGCCTGGCCAATAGGGCAAAACCCCATCTCTAGAAAAAATACAAAAATTAGCTGGGCGCAGTGGCATACGCCTGTAGTCCCAGTTACTCAAGAAGCTGAGGCAGGAGAATCACTTGAGCCCAGGAGGGGGAAGTTGCAGTGAGCTAGGATTGCACCACTGCACTCCCGCCTGGGCGACAGATGTAAAACCCTGTATCAAAAAAAAAAGTATATCTCAGCAGGGCGCTGTGGCTCATGCCTGTAATCCCAGCACTTAGGGAGGCCGAGGCAGGCAGATCATGAGGTCAGGAGATCAACACAAGCCTGGCCACAATGGTGAAACCCTGACTCTATTAAAAATACAAAAATTAGCCAGGCATGGTGGTGCGCACCTGTAATCCCAAGCTACTCGGGAGGCTGAGGCAGGAGAATCACTTGAACCCGGAGGCGGAGGTTGCAATGAGCTGAGATCGTGTCACTGTACTCCAGCCTGGGCGACAGAGCAAGATTCCGTCTGAGAGAAAAAAAAAAGTATATCTCAAAGTATATCTCATAAATCCCTTACCCTGCCTTCATCTTCTCCTGTGAGCCACACCACTTCAGTGGGCTGCAGTCAATTATTCATTCAACAAACATTTGTTAAGTACCAATTGTGTATTTGGATTATCCAGACTGAGAAATCAGGTGGAAGGAAAAGCGACATTTGGGAGTTTAGTTTGACCGTAGTGCCAAAAGCTAATTCTGCCCAATAAATTAAGTTGACAATAACACCAGCAATGACAGTAATCATGATAATAAAATCACTGAGAGCCAAGCCCATGCCAGACCCAAGGGCTCCACATCCATTAACTGGATAATCTTCAGAGACAAACCCAAAAAGAGAATTATATTAATACGCTCATTTTCTTTTCTTTTTCTTTTTTTAGAGGCAGGTCTTACTCTGTAGCCCAGGCTGGAGTGCAGTGGTGCAATCATAGGTCACTGCAGCCTCGAACTCCTGGGCTCAAGCGATTCTCCTGCGTCAGCCTCCTGAATAGCTGGGACTACAGGCACACACCACCGCACCTGGCTAATTTTTGTATTTTTTTTCTAGAGACGGGGTTTTGCCATGTTGGCAAGGCTGGTGTCGAACTCCTGAGCTCAAGTGACCCGCTTACCTTGGCCTCCCAAATTGCTAGGATTACTGCGTGAGCCACTGCACCCGGACCCATTTTCCATTTGAGAAAACTGAGGCAGGGAGTGAGAAGTCACCAGTCAAAGGTTTCTTCAGAGCTCTGCCCCATTCCCTACCAAGAAAGCATCCACTTCCTCCTGGGCCATCTGGTCCTGGACTCCACCCACGCCGGTCTGAGGGCAGGGGTTTGACTGGGGCCTGGAGCCAGGCTGAGTTCAAGCTTAAGGGCAGCAGCCGGCACAGAAAGGCTTGCTGTTAGATGTGGCCTCTGGCAACGCCCCAGTGGGGGCTCTGGGCTCCGTCCTTTGGAGGTGTACGTGCCCCAGAGGGAGTTAGAGCCCCAGTTAGTGAGGCCGGAGCTGCCCTAGTAGGGTCCAGCAGGCAGAAGCGGTGCCCAGCCCACCCCAAAGGAGCCAGCAGGAGGAACTCGGTCCCGCTTGTGTTGTGGGGAGGGCTGTGTCTGGCCCCATGGGAGGACAGCAGGCAGGGGGCACGCGTGGACCCGTCCCGATGGGGGCAGCGGGCAGGGGCATGCGTAGAACCGTCCCGATGGGGGTAGCGAGCAGGAAGCACGCGCGGACCCGCCCAGAAGAGGACAGCGGGCAGGGGCTCGCGTGGACCCACCCCTATGGGGACAGCAAGCAGGGGCTCGCGTGACCCGCCTGATGGGGACAGCGGGCTCGACTCACCATAGCGCCGTGCGCTCCCGCGGGTGCCGCAGCCGCTCGAGTGCGCCCAGCGTGGTGGGCAACGCGTGGGCCGCGTTTCGCGCCAACAGCGCGATGAGCACGCGCGGCGCCTGCAGGGGCGACTCCGGGCTCCAGCGCTCCTCGGGGAAGTAGGCGTCGGCGCCCGGCGGGGCCCCCGGCGGCAGTGGCGCCAGCAGCAGAAGCAGCAGCGCCAGGAGCGGCTGCCCGCGCCGCCGGCCCGCGCGTGGGGCCGCCGCCATCGCGCCACGCGTCTCCTTTAAGTCGTTTTTCTGCGGGAGGACTCTGGCCGCGCCTTAAAGGGGTCATAGGGGCCCCGCCCGGCCGCGCGCCTTAAAGGGGAGGAGCGCGCCGGGCGTGAAGTCCAGGCCCCGCCTCCAGACGCTCTCCGAGTCCCAAGGCCCGGAGTGACGTCACCTGCAGCCCTACCCAGGACGCCCCGCCCCCGCACCGATCTTAAAGGCACATAGCGCTCGGAGCGCGTGGAAGGGATGTTAGGGGTAGCGTTAGGGTTAGGAACCCGCGCTTCCTCCAGGCGCCTCCTACCACTGAGACCTCCGCCAGATGCGCCGCCCAATTTCCCCATGTATAAAACCCGGGCTGTGCCACCAGGCGGACTTGGCTACTTAGGACCTGGTTTGGGACCCAAGAGACCTTAGCCTCAGTTTCCTCTGCTGCAACGTGGGTTTTGCCATCCTGGTTTTGGATCTCACAGGGATGTCATTGAGGGTTGTGGAGAATAAAGGTCATGACGTCCACAGACCTGGCGTCACATTCAGTCCCCGCCTTGGGCTTGCTATATGTGAGCCTCAGTCTGTCCATCTATAAAATGAGATCATAGAGACCCTATAGGGTTGGCGTGAAAATAGAGCCAGGGCATGATAATGGACCGTTCTGGGCACAAGCTCTTCCAGAGACAAGGGCCATGTTTTCATGGAAACGCTGTCAAGGGATTGTTTTCCAATACTCTAGAGCCGCATTTTCAAATTGATTGACTTAGTATCACACTTTTTTTTTTTTTTTTTTGAGACGGAGTCTGGCTTTGTTGCCCGGGCTGGAGTGCAGTGGTGCAACATAGCAAGACCGTGCCTCTATTTTTAAAAACAATAAAAACTTTAAAAAATACATCTGAACATTATTATTATTATTATTATTATTTTCTTTTTTTTTTTTTTTGAGACAGCGTCTCACTCCATTGCCCCGGCTAGAGTACAGTGGCGCGATCTCGGCTCACTGCAACCTCCGCCTCCCGGGTTCAAGCGATTCTCCTGCTTCAGCCTCCTGAGTAGCTGGGACTACAGGCACGCGCCACCACGCCCGGCTAATTTTTGTTTATAGTAGAGATGGGGTTTCACCATATTGGCCAGGCTGGTCTCGAACTCCTGACCTCCTGATCCGCCCACCTCAGCCTCCCAAAGTGCTGGGATTACAGGCGTGAGCCACCGCGCCCAGCTTATTATTATTTTCACAGAGAGGGTCTTACTCTGTGGCTCAGGCTAGAGTGCAGTGGCATGATCACATGATCATGGCTCACTGCAGCCTCAACCTCCTGGGCTCAACTGATCCTCCTGCCTCAGCCTCCCAAGTAGCTGGGACTACAAGTGCACTCAACCACGCCCAGCTAATTTTTAAATTTTTTGTAGAGATGGAGTCTCGCTATGTTGCCCCGGCTGTTCTCAAACTCCTGGTCTCAAGTAATCCTCCCCCTTCAGCCTCCCAAACTGCTGGGATTACCAGTGAGCCATCATGCCCCGCTAAAACTTAATTTTTAAGAATGATACAGGCCAGGTGCAGTGGCTCACGCCTGTAATCCCAGCATTTTGGGAGGCTGAGGCAGGCGGATCACTTGAGGTCAGGAGTTCGAGACCAGCTTGGTCAATATGGTGAAGCCCCCATCTCTTCTAAAAACACAAAAAATTAGCCGGTCATGGTGGCGCTTCGCCTGTAATCCCAGCTACTACGGAGGCCGAGGCAGGAGAATCACTTGAACCCAGGAGGTGGAGGTTGCAGTGAGCCAAAATCGCACCACTGCATTCCAGCCTGGGTGACAGAGTGAGACACCGTCTCAAAAAAAAAAAAAAAAAGGTAAAAACAAATTTACACTCTGTGGACTTGATGAGGAAAGGTCTTTTCATATTAAGTAAGAAAAAGGAGGTGACAAGATACATCCCATCCCATCTGGAAGGATTTAGACCCAAGGGCAAACAATGTTTTTCTCAAAAGGGGCAGGATGACAAATTCTTGTAGCTGCAATTGTTCCAGAATTAACATCTACATCCCGTCCGGGGTAAAAGGAAGACAGCTAAAGAAGCCTATGAAGTGCAAATGTATTGAGCAAATGTATTTCGGAAGGTGGGGTTGGAGGGAAATAGGTGGAAAGGTCAGGAATATCTCATTGTCTTGGGGTAGGCCGAAAACTCCAGACAGAATGGGAGGAAACGGTCTCCAGGGAGTGTGAAAGTCCCTCTGCAAGCTGAACCAAGAACACACGGGAATCCCTGTGGAACCCACTCCGGAAGCAGCTGCAAGACAGCAGAGAAGCTGCCAATATCCAGTTAGCAGATGACTTTGCTGGCAAGCAGAGGAAGTCGGTAAAAGCTTGTCTCCCAGCCAGGAAACTTGACACCAAGTTAAGATTTGGAGCTAGGAAACAAACCCAAAAGGCTCACAGCAAGCGGAGAAAAAAACCCCAAAATCTGTAACCTGTATCACAAAGCGTTCATATCCTTCAGATATAAAGAGTTATTAGATATCAATAAGAAAAATGCAAACACTCCTGAAAAGTAGAAAAAAGCTATGAACAGGCAATTCACTGAAATTAAAAAAAAAAAAACTACAAACATGTAAATGGCTAATCAACATATTTGGATTTTGTTTTTTGAGACAGGGTCTCACTCCCATCACCCAGGCTGGAGTGCAGTGGTGCAATCACCACTCACTGCAGCCTTGAGTTCCCAGGCTCAGGTAAATCTCCCATCTCAGCCCAGCTTCTTTTAAATTTTATTTATTTATTTATTTATTTATTTATTTATTTATTTATTTTATTTTTTAGTAGAGACAGGTTTCACCACATTGCCCAAGCTGGCCTCAAAACTCCTTGGCTCAAGCAATCCACCTGTCTCAGCCTCCCAAAGTGCTGGGATGACAGGCGTGAGCCACCACTCCCGGCCGCTAATTTTGTATTTTTTGTAGAGATGAGGTCTCACTATGTTCGCCAGGCTGGTCTTGAACTCCTGAGCTCAAGTGATCTGCCCGCCTCAGCCTCCCAAAGTGCTGGGATTACAGGTGTGCACTGCCACGCCTGGCCATAATAAACTTATTTGTAAGTTCAATTTAGTCAAAGAAATTCAAAATAAAATCATGAGATTTCTGTGTGTGTCTAACTGGCATAGCTTTTTTCTTTTCATGAAAAGTCCTAGTGTTTAGAAAGGATTTGGAGGCTGGACATAGTGGATCACTCCTATAATCCTAGCACTTTGGGAGGCCAAGGCAGGAGGATTGCTTGAGTCCAGGAGTTTGAGATCAGCCTGGGCAGCATAGCGAGACCTTGTCTCTATTATTTAAAAAAAAAAAATTAGGCCACGTGTGGTGGCTCACACCTGTAATCCCAGCACTTTGGGAGGCTGAGGGGGGCAGATCACTTAAGGACAGGAGTTCGAGACCAGCCTGGCCAACATGGTGAAACCCCATCTCTACTAAAAACACAAAAATTAACCAGGCATGGTGGCGGGTGCCTGAAATCTCAGCTACTCGGGAGGCTGAGGCAGGAGAATCGCTTGAACCCGGGAGGCGGAGGTTGCAGTGAGCCGAGATCCTGCCACTGCACTCCAGCCCGGGTGACAGAGCAAGACTCAGTCTCAAAAAAAAAAAAAAAATTAAAATAAAGAAAGCCTTGGGGAAAATACACAAATAAATGCTGCTGCTTGGAGTATAAAATGGTACAGTTTTCTGAAGTTGCAGGGGTTACAAAAGCCTAAAGATGGCACATCCGTTTTGGCCCAGAAATTCCACTTGTAGACATTTATCCAATAGAAACAAGATAGATGTGGGTGAAGATTCAGCTCCGGAATGTTCCTGGAGAAGGCGGTGGGCAGAGTGGCTGGATCTGGGCACCAGAGTCTGGCTGCCTGGGACAAGCCCCTCCTTCCCGCTCAGCCTCAGTTTCCTCATCTGTATAATGGAAAATATACGGACGTCAAAAATCAGATGTGTCAGATGCCTGGCATGTAATAAGTGCTTAAAAAATCAGAGTTAATAGAGATGTTGGCTGGGCGCAATGGCTCATGCCTGTAATCCCAGCACTCTGGGAGACCAAGGATCAGGAGTTCAAGACCAGCTTGGCCAACATGGTGAAACCTCATCTTTACTAAAAATACAAAAATTAGCTGGGCATGGTGGTGGGCGCCTGTAATCCCAGCTACTCGGGAGGCTGAGGCATGAGAATCGCTTGAACCCGAGAGGCAGAGGTTGCAGTTAGCCGAGATCGCGCCATTGCACTCCAGCCCGGGTGACAAGAGCGAAACTCCATCTCAAAAAATAAAAATAAAAAAAAAGAAATGTAGGCCGGGTGCAGTGGCTCACGCTTGTAATCCCAGCACTTTGGGAGGCCGAGGCAGGTGGATCACCTGAGGTCAGGAGTTCAAAATCAGCCTGGCCGACATGGTGAAACCCCATGTCTACTAAAAATACAAAAGTAGCCGGGCGTGGTGGTGGACGCCTGTAATCCCAGCTACTGGGGAGGCTGAGGCAGGAGAATTGCTTGAACCCGCAAGGTGGAGGTTACAGTGAGCCAAGATGCTGCCACTGCACTCCAGCCTGGTGACAGAGCGACACTCCATCTCAAAAAATAAATAAATAAATAAATAAAAAGAAAAAGAAATGTATAAGCAGCCAAAAGATGAAAGGGTGAAGGATAGGAGAGAAGGTTCTCAGAAAAGGAGCTAAAAGCAGCTCCTAAACCTCCCGGACAAAGGTGAGGGGCACCAGTGAGGCTACCCTGGTGGACAGCCCTCTGTTGAAATGACAAACACACATACTTTAAATTCTGAGGGTTCCCATTGCGGGATTTGCCCACAGGAACCTGCATTTGAAAAAAAAAAAAAAAAAAAAAAAGTATGTACAAGATTAATCCCTGTGGCATTGGCTGTTAGTATGGAAGACTAGAAACCAAATGCCTGTTGGTTTGGTTCTGGTTAAATAAATTCAGGGGCCCATCTACAATCCCTCACATCCAATTGCAAATCCTGAAATATTCTAACACTCATGTTTGTATTTGTTAGTTTGTGTTTTTGAGACAGGGTCTCTCTCTGTGGCCCGGGCTAGAGGGCAGTGGTGCAATCATAGTTCAATGCCACCCCATCTCCACGGCTCAAGTAAACCTCCCACCTGGGCCTCCCGGGTAGCTGGGACTACAGGTGCATTCCACCACACCCAACTAATTTTTAAAATTTTTGTAGAGACAGGGTCTTGCTATGTTGTCCAGGCTGGTCTCAAACTCCCAGGCTCAAGCAATCCACCTATCTTGGCCTCCCAGAGTGCTGGGATTCCAGGCATGAGCCACTGTGCCTGGCCTTAGAAGTCTTTCTAGGACTGTTTAACTATTTATCCAAGTTAGTGTAAATATTGATCAGTTTCTCTGTCCCAGATCAGCTAGGAAGTGTATTAGTTAGCTATTGCTGCATAAAAAAATTATCCCCCAAATTATGGCCATCTTGGAAGCTCTTGCTGGTGGTAAACCTAAGGCCCCTGTCACTACAATCTCCCTTTCCAAGTTGGCGACAGGAAGTAGCCATTGGGAGATGCCCCCTAAGTCCTAGGATTAGAGATGGGATACAAAGGCTGGGCCTGGTGGCTCACATCTGTAATCCCAGCACTTTGGGAGGCTGAGGCAGTCAGATCATGTGAGGTCAGGAGTTCGAGACCAGCCTGGCCAACATGGTGAAACCCCATCTCTATTAAAAATACAAAAATTAGCTGGGCATGGTGGCATGTGCCGCCTGTAGTCCCAGCTACTCGGGAGGCTGAGGCAGGAGATTCACTTGAACCTGGGAGGAGGAGGTTGCAGTGAGCTGAGATTATGCATTCCAGCCTGGGCAACAGATCTAGACTCTGTCTCAAAAAAAAAAAAAAGAGAGAGAGAGAGAGAGAGATGGGACACAAATTCACCACAATCTCAGCCCCCCAGGGCTGAGCTCACATGCATGTCAGAGCCTGGGTTTAGAGGGTCCCTCTGTGGCTCAGATGCACTCCACAACTTCCCACTGAGCTTGTTCACGAGCTTGGCCAGGCTGGCTGGGTAAGGAGACAAAGTGCATTCTGTTCCGTCCATGAACCCACACTCATGACAATCCCATACACCCCATGTGGGCCTCCACCTCCCCACCCCCAGCAATCACTGGCATGTTTCAGAAGCCTGTGAAGTTCCCCACCTGCTCCCTCCTGTTCCCATGGGACCTCCAAGCAGCCGTCCAGAGTGCAGGATACATCATTGGCACCAAGGGTCTTTTTCAATTCTGAAATGAGATGAACTCTTGGACACACCTGGGGAAGCCCAGGCATCAAGGGGCTTCCCTGCATTTTCCCAGAGAGACTACAAATGTCTCAAGCAGAAATCCTAAAGAGGTGGCTCACATAGAGCCTCTCTCCAAGCCCGCACCCATGGCAGACATTGCTAACCGATCCCTGCACCCTTCACTGAGCCTGGACACTGCCAGTCCCACCTCCCAACATGCTGCTCTAGGCAGACATCACAAATCAATTCAGGATGGACCCACTTAAGGATACATAAAATCTTTAGGAAGAGAAACTTATTGAGGTCAACTGTTTCTGGATTTAATTCTGCAGTCAGAAAATAGCTTTTATTCCTATTTAAAACTTCTGCTATTTTAAGGAAGCTCCATTTTTCTTGTTTAGATGCTCACAGACACATCCTCTCCCTCATTCCCTGGCTCCCAAGAACCCACCATCTATGGGGGTGTCTCCCAACTCTCTGACCTCACCTTATTTAAAAAAAAAAAAACAACTTTTTTTTGAGATGGAGTCTCGCTCTGTCGCCCAGGCTGGAGTGCAGTGGTGCAATCTCGGCTCACTGCAAGCTCCGCCTCCTGGGTTCACGCCATTCTCCTGCCTCAGCCTCCCAAGTAGCTGGGACTACAGGCATGTGCCACCATGCCCAGCTAATTTTTGTATTTTTAGTAGAGACGGGGTTTCACCATGTTGGCCAAGCTGGTCTCAAACTCCTGACCTCCAGTGATCCACCCTCCTCAACCTCCCAAAGTGCTGGGTTTACAGGCGTGAGCCACAGTGCCTGGCTGCTGAACTCACCTTCTATGTCTGTTCTTCCTCTTTCCTTCAAATGAGGGCTCTTTGAGATTCCCCTCTGTTCTCCACACACCTTCCCTGGCTTGTGGAACCCCTCTCCTTCACTTAGTGACACCTGAAGCCCAACACTTCTGGCACCTCCAGCTCCCACCCGCACCTCCCTCCTAGACTCTGTTCCCTTGGCTGCTGCCCCTGCTCGGGCCTGTCCTTTGTTCCCAGAACCGGGGCCTCAGCCTCCTCCCTCACTTCCAGTCTGGCTTCTGTTGACCTCTGCTCACACACCCTCCATGGCTCCCCACTGCCTGCACCATAAGTCTAAATTCCTCTGCCTGTCATTCAAGGCCTTGCGCATCTTCCAGCAGCCTCCAGCCTCCCGCTCCGTGCCCTTGTGCTGGCTGCATGGATGCTCACATTCCCTGAATCCCCACTGCATCCTGTTCACCCCCCAATCAGTGCACACATCTCAGTGATCATGGGCATTAATTAATCCATGAATGAACTCAGGAAGCAGGAGGGAGAAAGATGTTTCTGGAGCTCCTTCCCAGCTCGGGAGCTCCTAAGAGGCCAACTCCAAGTCTGAAAACCTCTAGGGCCTCAATGCCAGCCCAGAGAAAAACAGGGAGTGGTTGTTAAATGAATAAATTTAAATGTCTATCCGTAGTTTTGTTTGTTTTAAGACGATGTCTCTCACGCCGGTAATCCCAGCACTTTGGGAGGCCAAGTCAGGCGGATCACGAGGTCATGAGTTCGAGACCAGCCTGGCCAACATAGTGAAACCCCATCTCTACTAAAAATTCAAAAATTAGCCAGGTGTGCTGGCATGCACCTGTAGTCCCAGCTACTTGGAGGCTGAGACAGGAGAATGGCTTGAACCCAGGAGGCGGAGGTTGCAGTGAGCCGAGACCATGCCATTGCACTCCTGCCTGGGTGACAGAGTGAGACTCTGTCTCAAAAATAAAATAAAAAATAAAAGATGGAGTCTTGGCCGGGTGCGGTGGCTCACGCCTGTAATCCCAGCACTTTGGGAGCCCAAGGGGGGAGGATCACGATGTCAGGAGTTTGAGACCAGCCTGACCAACATGGTGAAACCCCATCTCTACTAAAAATACAAAAATTAGCCGGGCGTGGTGGCACATGCCTGTAGTCCCAGCTACTCGGGAGGCTGAGGCAGGAGAATCACTTGAACCCAGGAGGCAGAGGTTGCAGTGAGCCAAGATCGTTCCACTGCACTCCAGCCTGGGTGACAGAGCGAGACTCTGTCTCAAAAAAAAAAAAAAAAAAAAAAGACATAGTCTCGTTCTGTCGCCAGGCTGCAGTGCAGTGGCGCGATCTTGTCTCACTGCAACCTCCGCCTCCTGGGTTCAAGCGATTCTGCTGCCTCAGCCTCCCGAGTAGCTGGGACTACAGGCATGTGCCATCATGCCCGGCTAATTTTTTGTATTTTTAGTAGAGACGGGGTTTCACCATGTTGGACAGGCTGGTCTCAAACTCCTGACCTCAAGTGATCTGCCCACCTCAGCCTTCCAAAGTGCTGGGATTACAGGTGTGAGCCACCACACCCAGCCTCTATCAGTAGTTTTTGAACTCTGCCTCCTTCTTCTCATCCTGAGAACTCCTATACATCCCTCACAGCCCCAGTCCAACGGCCCTTCCTTCAGAGAGTATCCATCCCTGCCCCTCTGAGCTCCTCTACCCTGGACCTCCTCAGGCCAAGTCCTGA
This sequence comes from Homo sapiens, assembly GCF_000001405.40. Taxonomy (NCBI): domain Eukaryota; kingdom Metazoa; phylum Chordata; class Mammalia; order Primates; family Hominidae; genus Homo; species Homo sapiens. Next base: position 17,546,915 of record NC_000019.10, on the reverse strand, counting down.
CTTAAGGTCAAATGGCAAGTATTCACAGGAAGTGAGAGTCGATGTGGCCCTGGTGGGGCTCGGTACATACAGCCAAGGGACGCCAGGCTCCTCTGAGCCATGGCAGGGCGGGACTCACCTTGGTCAATCCTCTGCAGCAAGCACCCCCGGATGACGTCCTCATAGATGCCCTCAGTGGTCAGAGCCTGGCTGCCCACGGCAAGGACATCCCCCTCGAACTCAGGCAGCTCCTGGAACCATGGCGGGTTAGGGGCTCGGATGGAGAGGAGGGCCCCTCTAGAGGCCTACAACACAGGCTTCTGCCCTAGCCCTGGGCCTGATTAGCTGTGGGGTTGGGGGGCGGGGCTTGGGCCTTAGTTTCCTTATCTTTATTTTTAAATATTTTTATTTTAAAATAAACAGGCCGGGTGCGGTGGCTCATGCCTGTAATCCCAGCACTTTGGTTGGCTGAGGTGGGCGGATCATGAGGTCAGGAGTTCAAGACCAGCCTGACCAACATGGTGAAACCACCGTCTCTACTAAAAGTACAAAAATTAGCTGGGCGTGGTGGCGGGTTGTGGGCGGCAAGCCACCCAGGTGCTGAGGCAAGAGACCGAGGACATGAGCTGTTCCAGTATAACAAAATATAAAACAAGAATAGTTATACCAGATATAGATATTAGATATGATTATATATGAATATCATTAATGATTAGTTGGTAGCAGTTACTCTTTATTCCAATATTATAATAATCCTCACTCTACAATCATAACCTAGGAAAAACCAGGCCATACAGAGATAGGAGCTGAGGGGGCATAGTGAGGTATGACCAGAAGACAAGAGTGCGAGCCTTCTGTTATGCCCGGACAGGGCCAGCAGAAGGGCTCCTTGGTCTAGCGGTGACGCCAGCGTCTGGGAAGATGCCTGTTGCCAGGCAGACCGTGGTCTAGCGGTAGCGAAAAGTGTCAAGGAAAAACACCGGCTACTTAGCAGACCGGGAAAGGGAGTCTCCTTTTCTCCGGGGGAGTTTAGAGAAGACTCTGCTCCTCCACCTCTTGTGGAGGGCCTGATATCAGTCAGGCTTGCCCACAGTTATCCAGAGACCTAACCGTCTCCCTGTGATGCTGTGCTTCAGTGGTCTCGCTCCTAGTCCGCCTTCGTGTTCCATCCTGTACACCTGGCTCTGCCTTCTAGATAGCAGTAGTCAGTTAGTGAAAGTACTAAAAGTCTCTGATATGCAGAAATAATGGCTTAAGCTGTCTTTCTCTTTGTCTCCTCTCTCTCTCTGCCTCAGCTGCCAGGCAGGGAGGGGCCCCCTGTCCAGTGGACACATGACCCACGTGACCTTACCTATCATTGGAGATGACTCACACTCTTTACCCTGCCCCTTTTGCTTTGTATCCAATAAATAACAGCGCAGCCAGACATTCGGGGCCACTACCGGTCTCCGCAACTTGGTAGTAGTGGTCCCCCGGGCCCAGCTGTCTTTTCTTTTATCTCTTTGTCTTGTGTCTTTATTTCTACACTCTCTTGTCTCTGCACACAGGGAGAGACCCACCGACCCTGTGGGGCTGGTCCCTATAGCGGGTGCCTGTAATCCCAGCTACTTGGGAGGCTGAGATGGGAGGATCGCTTGAACCTAGGAGGTGGAGGTTGCAGTGAGCCAAGATCACACCACTGCACTACAGCCTGGGCGACAGAGTGAGACTCCGTCTAAAAATAAAATAAAATAAAATAAAATAAAATAAAATAAAATAAAATAAAATAAAATAAATAAAATAGTCTCTCTCTGTCACCCAGGCTGGACTACAGGGGTGCAGTCATGGCTCGCTGCAGCCTTGACCTCCCAGGCTCAAGCGATCCTCCCACCTCGGCCTCCCAAGTAGCTTGGACTACAGGCGTGCACCACCACATCTGGCGAATTCTTGTATTTTTTGTAGAGGTGGGGTCTCACTATCCCAAAGTGCTGCTATTACAGGCATGTGCCACCACGCCTGGCCTCAGTTTCCTTATCTTTAAAATGGACTCAGTGGCCCATATTCTCTAGTGTTGTGGAAAGGATTCATGGGATTAATTAGGCACAGCAAATCACACCTCACAGGGAATAGTATGAGTGTCTCAGCTGAGACTTCCCCAATTCCCAGCCACTTCCTCTAGAGGATTCTGTTTGTACCCATGTCAGACACCCGCCTGGTGCCCATGAGCCCTGTGTGCCTAGGTACCTAGGACTCCCGCTGACCTCCTTCCCACTCTTCCACTCACTGAGCTTCAGCCACACCCACCTTGTCACTGTTCCTCCAACACACCAGGCATGGTCAGGCCTCAGGGCCTTTGCACATGCTGTGCCCTCTGCCTGGAATGCCCTTCCCGGGACATGGCCCATGCCTTCATTTCACAGGGACATCCTTCCTGACTCCCTGGTAACTCCCCACCCAACCCTTACCCACTCTCCATCCACCTCCTCCCTCCACTGATGCCCATGTCACCAGGTGATATGCGATGTGTGGGACCCATCCCAGCTCTTCTGTGGCAGACACAGGGTAATGAACCCCGTCATAGGTGAAGCAGAGGGCATTGTGGAAGCCCAGAAAAGCCACCTGACCCAGCTCCAGGGCTCAGGGTATGGAAGTCTCTTAAAAAGAGACAGGCCCTTGCTCTGTTGCCCAGGCTGGAGTGCAGTGGTGCGATCCTAGCTCACTGCAGCCTCGACTTCCTAGGCTCAATTGATCCTCCCACCTCTTGGCCTCCAGAGTAGCTGGGACCACAGGCACATGCTGTCACGCCTGGCTAACTTCTGTATTTTTATAGAGATGGAGTTTCACTATGTTGTACAGACTGATCTCCTGGCCTCAAGCAATCCCCACACTTTGGCCTCCCAAAGTGCTAGGATTAAGGTCAAATGGTCTCTAATGATCAAAGAGCATTCTTTTTTTTTTTTTTTTTTGAGACTGAGTTTCACTCTGTCGCCCAGGCTGGAGTGCAATGGCGCGATCTCGGCTCACTGCAACCTTCCCCTCCCGGGTTCAAGCGATTTTCCTGCTTCAGCCTCCTGAGTAGCTGGAATTACAGGCGCCCATCACCATGCCTGGCTAATTTTTTGTATTTTTAGTAGAGACAGGGTTTCACTATGTTAGCCAGGCTAGTCTCGAACTCCTGACCTTGTGATCTGCCTGCCTTGGCCTCCCAAATTGCTGGGATTACAGGCATGAGCCACTGCGCCCAGCCTCAAAGAGCATTCTTGCCCACTTTAAGTGGATGCATGGTGATGCTGTCAGACCCTCTTGCACACTTCCCATTAACTCACCTTTTTGCAGCCTGGCTCGAGTTGGCTCAGCACAAAAGGTAAAAAGATGCAGAGACCCCAGCCTCGGATGAACCTCCTCTGCGCCAACCCGCTGTCCGATTTGAATTTCTGCACAACACACCCAGCGGTGCGTCCAGCAACCATCTGAGCACCCAGGCCCACTGCCACCCCATGCCACCCCGTACCCACAGAACACACCTTCAGCACGCGCCCCCTGACTCTCTCCAGCCTCTGGGCAGCCTGGTCACAGTTGAGGGCCGTCGTCAGACACTGGTCAGCCAGCTGCAGGAAGGTGGCCACGGCGTCAGCCATGAGCTGTGGGAGGAGATGCTATGATGACCCCAGAATCTGTGCTCCAGCCTCCCGGGCCCCACTCCTGCCCAGCTGACCCCTTCTCAGCATCCAACCTGTTCCAACCAGCCACCTCTGCCCAACCTCCTCCTCCTTGTCCCAGGAAACACCTTTCCCCTCCTCTCAGGACCTGGGGATTGTCTAGTCTGTGGGGGACTATGTGCAAACTGACAGAAAGCCCCTTCCCTCTGGGAGATGGTGCCAGGATGCCCAGAATGGGGAGTAGGGAGCCAGCCAGAGTTCAGCCTCCTCCACTGAGTGCTTTTGTGCAGTGCACAAACTGAACAACTGTGCCAGGTAGTGCTGGATCATCTCACTCTCTGTCTTCTTCTGTCACCATGTCCATCAGCAGGTCCCATCTCAGACTTCAAAACACTTATTGCTTCTCCCCACTGACATCCCCCATCCTGGTGCAGGCCTCCTCCCTGCCTCCTCTTTTCCTGTCCCCAACAGCCTGTGCTCCCTATGGCAGGCAAAGCTTCCTAAACCTTAAATCCAGCCATGCCCTCCCCCTGCTCACATACCTGCTCTGGCTCCCCATTGCCCTCAGGAAAGAGCTCACCCCTTAGCCCCACGCTCAAGGCACTGCGCGATCTGCCCGTCCATGTCGCCGGCCTATCTTCCCCATTTCTGAAAAATTGCTCCACGTTCCCCAAATGCAGACAAGCACTCTCAACACTATTCACTCGGGACTGGTGGCAACGCCATTCCTCCCATTGCTCTCCCATGTTGGAAGTCCCCTCCTCCTGAAAGTCCTGTCAACCCCAGAGGTGGATCAGGAACATCCTTGGCGCTCCCTGTACACCCTGCCCCAGCTCTGTCCACCACATGTGGCTGCTGCCTGGTCACGGGCTCATGTCCCCATGAGACTGGCAGCCCCGCGGAGTTGTCTCGATCATCGTGGTCTCTCCAGGGCACACTTAGCAGGAGGTCAGTGGAGGCTGTCTTCACAGCCTGGCCTCATCCCAGCCTCCTCTCACCCTCACCTGCTGTGCAAGATCTTGGGCCCCAAACACGAGGCTCTGCATCCCCAGAAAGCCAAACGGTGCTGCCAGCTGCCCCAAGCGCCCCCGGCTCCGCTCGGCCTCACGGTAGCATGTCTGCATCAGCGCCAAGTCCCACGGCATCTCCCCAAATGAGTAAACCTGTGCTCCCGGAAGCAGTTTTGGGGGAAAAATGCTGTCAGCTGATTGCAAAGGGCCAGGGACCCCATTACCAATTCACCAAAGGAGAAACACAAATGAAAATACATCCCGTCTCAGCTGTCACCAAAGAAACTCATAATACAATAGTGGTGGGCCAGGCATGGTGGCTCACACCTGTAGTCCCATCAGTTTGGGAGGCCGAGGTGGGTGGATCACTTGAGGTGAGGAGTTCGATACCAGCCTGGCCAGCATGGTGAAACCCTGTCTCAACTAAAAATACAAAAATTAGCTAGGTGTAGTGGCACACACCTGTACTCCCAGCTACTTGGGAGGCTGAGGCATGAGAATTGCTTGAACCCAGGAGGTTGCAGTGAGCCAAGATCGCACCACTGCACTTCAGCCTGGGCGGCAAAATGAGACTCTGTCTCAAAAATAAAATAAAATAAAATAAAATAAAATAAAATAAAATAAAATAAAATAAAATAAAATAAGTAGCAGTGAGGCACGGTGTCATGGACATAAAATGATAAAACCTGAAAAAACTATAACAAGCGATGCTGGCACAATTGAGAGGAAATGAGCACATTTCCTGGCCCAGATCTGTGAATACCATCTCATGTTCTGTCTGTGCTGGGCCCTGGGGCTGCAGAAATGGAATACTCTAACCCAGTCTCTGCTTACAAATTAGGGGAGACAGAGTATAGAAATCACCCACAGTGGTATGAAAGTCAGGCTGTGATAAGAGAAGCACAGGCTACTGCAAGACATAGAGGGGACCAGGGACAGTTCCTGGAGAAGGTGATTAGGAAATGGAGGCTTAAGAATGAGTTGAAGGTTGCCTGGTACATAGTAGGTGCTATTCTATGTATGTATGTATGTATGTATGTATGTATGTATGTATGTATATATGTATGTATGTATTTTAGGTGCTACTTGTATATCAGATGCACTGAGGTGACCTGCCTTGAGCAGAATTCTCTGGGTTGTTGCCCTACAGGGGAATGGGAGGAGGAGTTTGGGGGATGACCTCAGACTGATTTTGCTAAATTGCCACTTTTCTCATCCAACTCCTTTCCCCTCACGTTTTAAACTGTGTTCCATGGCCAGTGCGGTGGCTCAAGCCTGTAATCCCAGCACTTTGGGAGGCCAATGCAGGCAGATCGCTTGAGCCCAGGAGTTTGAGACCAGCCTGGGCAACAAAGCAAGACCCCCATCTCTACAAAAAAATTAAAAAATTAGCTGGGCTTGGTGGCGTGCGCCTGTATTTCCAGCTACTTGGGATGCTAAAGTAAGAGGATTGATTAAGCCCGGGAGGTCGAGGCTGCAGTGAGTTAAGATTGTGCCACTACACTTCAGCCAGGGTGACAGAGCGACACCCCTGTCTCAAAAACAAAAAACAAACAAAAACTGTGCTCCACTGACCATAGCATGGTGATGGGTCCACAATAAGTAAAAAGCAGCCTAGAACAAATTCAGTGAAGATTCTCCACAGGAAAGACTCAAGTTAACACATCACCCTCTGGCTCACTGAACCCCTACCCACGGGAGCTCACCTCCCTGCGCAGCCGCGTGCCTGAGGGGCTCTGGCGCAGGCGGTGGGACAGTCGGTCCATGCCTTGAGCCAGGAGGGTCCGCACCGCCTCGAGCGAGGCTTCCACGGTGCGCAGCAGGGTCTGCACGACCCGGGGCAGCTGCGGGTCCACCTCCCGGCGCAGGCACGACTCGAGCGGTCCCCTGATATCCGCTGGGAGTGGAAGACACTGGTCTGGAGTCCCCTCCGCAAGGTGCCTCACAGATGGGGATGTGCAGGGGCCCTCGCGAGGGGGACGCGAGCAGGGACGCTGAGCGCCCTCTTCTACCCATTGTAATGATGAGAAAACTGAGCCTCGGAGGGGCGGGCCCAGTCAGGATTCCCACCTGGGTCTTTGTAGGGGCCACCTTGGCCCACCGCTGCCCATGTATCAGCCTTTACCCCCGCCCCTCCTCCGCTGTTCTACTTCCCAGGCCCGCCCACCCGCATTGGCCCGGCTCTGGGCCTCAACTCCTCGAGCCTCAGCCTCAAGGCCACGCCTATCCCCCGCTGAGGCCCCGCCCTTTTTGTATCCAAGCAGCCCCCTTAGGACCTGGTTTCCTCCGGACAGACTCTAGGCCCCGCCCCCAGTGCCTCGACCACAAGACCACGCCCACCGCCTCGCTTTGGCCCCGCCCCTTCCCCACCCGTTCCCTTGCACATCCTATGCTTGGCCCCGCCCCTCTCTGACCACGCCCCCATTTTACATAACTTCAAGCCCATTCTTCGCTTAGGTCACGCCCCTTTTTCCCCAGCATCGCCTCGCCCCTCCCAGCCCAGGCTCCGCCCCAGGGCCTCACTCCTCAGCCGCCCCGCCACACGCGCCCGCTGCCGCAGCAGCTGGTCCACGTCCGGGCGGATCGTCTTCTCCAGCGACGCAAGCAGCTCGTCCTTTTCGGGCTGGAAGGCGCAGAGCCCGGCGGAGGCCCCGGCCAGGACAGCTGCGTGAACGGCGTCTAGAAGCTGCCCAGACCGGTCGAGGGGGGACAAAGCCGAGACACGGGGCGGGGATGGGGGTCAGAGAGATCGGGAGAGGGTTTAGGCGACAGTCGTGGGAGGGGAACCCGAACGCCCGCATCCCGCCCCCTATCCCGGATCCGGACGCCGTGCATACCTCGGTCCAGGCCCAGGCGCGGGCGCGGCCTGCCCCCCGCAGGCCAGGAAGGGTCTGGGCTCGCAGCGCGGGAAGTTGCTCCCGCATCAGCACCGCGGTCAGCACCTGCAGGAGAGGGGGCCATGGGCGCCGCGGTCGGCCGGGAGGGTCCTGGGGGTCCCGGGTGCGGCCTCGCGGGGCACTAACCTCGGCGTCTGAGCCTAGGGTCACGTCGTCGTCGCCAAAGTGGCCTTGGTGCTGCCGGTAGAGTCGGACGGCGTCCAGGAAGGCCCGGGCAGCAGGGGCCTGGCTTCGCTGCAGGACTGAGAGGGGCTGCTCCTCAGTGCCTGCTGGTAGCTCCCCTGCCTGGCTCCCGATGGCCCGGGGAGGAAGCCCTCCGCCTGGCCAGGTCCCCAACACCCAAGTCTCACCCATCTCTGGAACTTTGCATAGGCAATGCCCTCCACAGGGAACACAGTCCCCCAAGACCATCATGTTTATTCAACTTAGAAGGAACCCTCTACTGGCAGCCACAGCCCCGTGACCAGCAGTTCAGGCCATACATACTGCAGCCACTAGCTGTTCCTCTAGTTGCATCGTTTGTGCAGTCAACAACCTGCCCAACTGTGTGTGTCAGTCCTGCTGCTCCCCTACTTTTTTCTTTCTCTCTTTCCCTTCCTCCCTTTCTTCCTTCCTTTCCCTCCCTCCCTCTCTTTCTTTCTTTCTCTTTCTTTCTTTCTTGCTTTCTTTCTTCTTTCTTTCTCCTTTCTTTTCTTTTTCTTTCCTTTCTTTTTCCTTCTTTTCTTTCTTCTGTTCTCTTCTCTCCTCTTTTCTTTTCTTTTCTCTCTCTTTCTCAGGGGGTCTCTCTGTTGCTCAGGCTGAAGTGCGGTAGCATGATCATTGCTTACTGCAGCCTCCAAGTCCTGGGCTCAAGTGATCCTCCCACCTAAGCCTCCTGAGTAGCTGAGACCACAAGCTCATGCCACCACGCCACTGTGCCTGACCTATTCCCCTTCTTCATCTGGCTGGCCCCTCATCTTTTTTTTTTTTTTTTTTTAAGACAGAGTCTCACTCTGTTGCCCAGGCTGGAGTGCAGTGGCACCATCTCGGCTTACTGCAAGCTCCACCTCCTGGGTTCATGCCATTCTCCTGCCTCAGCCTCCCGAGTAGCTGGGACTACAGGCGCCTGCCACCACGCTCGGCTAATTTTTTGTATTTTTAGTAGAGATGGGGTTTCACCGTGTTAGCGAGGATGGTCTCAATCTCCTGACCTCGTGATCCTCCCGCCTCGGCCTCCCAAAGTGCTGGGATTACAGGTGTGAGCCACCGCGCCCAGCGGCTAGTCCTTCATCTTTTACAGACCCCAGCTTCCCCTCATCTGGGAAGCCTGCTCTAACCCCCATCCCTCAGGCTGAGCTCCCATAGCACCCTGTGTGTCTCTGTTACAGCCCTAGTCACTCACAACTGCCTGGTGTCCCTTCTGGCTCCCCCAACAACCCATTTTCTTCTCGTGTGTGTGTGTGTGTGTGATGGAGTTTTGCTCTTGTTGCCCAGGCTGGAGTGCAGTGCCGCGATCTTGGCTCACTGCAACCTCCACCTCCCGGGTTCAAGTGATTCTCCTGCCTCAGCCTCCCGAGTGGCTGGGATTACAGGTGCCTTCCACCATGCCCAGCTAATTTTTGTATTTTTAGTAGAGACAGGATTTCGCCATGTTGTCCAGGCTGGTCTCGAACTCCTGACATTGGGTGATCTGCCTGCCTCGGCCTCCCAAAATGCTAGAATTACAGGCATGAACCACCACACCTGGCCTAAAAACCCATTTTCTGGGTAAAGAAAGTGAGGCCTGGAGAGGTCCCGAGCCAACAGAGGCTGAGCCATCTGACCCCAGACCATTAGCCCCACAAATGTCTGACCCGTCCTGAGACCCACCTATGCCCTGAAGCCGGATGCCACCCTGCAGGGCCAGCCTCCAGGCATGCTGTGCCTCCCTGGTGGCTGCAGAGAAGCAGAGGTGCCGGCGGAAGGGGTGCTGCAGGAACAGCGGGAAGCTCACAGGCACTTCCAAGAGGGAGTCAGGCTCTTCCTGAGTATGGTCTCCTGAAAACAAACAGGAGGTCGCATCTTCTAGACGTTCATTCACTAGGAGAAAATACCCCTGAAATGCATACAGCAGTCCCTGGCATGGGCAGTTGCTCGATAAATATGAGTCATACCACGATACTTGCCACCATCCTTATTCCAACAGCACTGGGTGGGGCACAGTTTTGGGGGAGGCAGGGTCACCTTCTTCCACTGCATGCCCAAGGCAGACATCACCAATCCATCCCAGAACTGTTTTCCAGCCTTAGCATCCTTAATACAGTCCTCCTGGCAGCCACCACCAATCCATTCAAGCTGGGATGTTATCTGAGTCGTCCGGCTTTATGTGGGGTTTTGGAGTCAGTCAGACCCGGGTTCCAACCTGACCAAACCACTTTCATTTTCTTTCTTTTTTTAACAAAAGGGACAGGGTCTCACTATGTTACCCAGGCTGGTCTTGAACTCCTGAGCTCAAGCGATCTGCCTGCCTCAGCCTCCCAAAGTACTAGGATTACAGGTGTGAGCCATTGTGCCCAGCCTGGCCAAGCTACTTTCTAGCTCTATGACTAGGGCACACAGCTCTATGAGCTGTGATTTTCCTGCCCAAATGGGGTTAACAGTGATACCGATGACCTAGAATTATTGACAAGACAAAATAAGTGAATTCAGCTTTGGTTAATTTATTTGGGGACCAGCCGCGGTGGCTCATGCCTGTAATCCCAGCACCTTTGGAGGCTGAAGTGGGAGGATCCCTTGGGCCCAGGAGTTCCAGACCAGCCTGCACAAGATATTTTTTATTAAAAACATAAGTATATGAAAAGAAATATTTAGGGTATCCTGTCTCCAGTGTTTTGTTCCACTTTCCAGGATGATAAACACAGACTGCGATAAAACCCAACAATCCAGGCCAGGCGAGGTGGGTCATGCCTGTAATCCCAGCACTTTGGGAGCCTGAGGCAGGCGGATCACGTGAGGTCAGGAGTTCGAGACCAGCCTGGCCAACGTGGTGAAACCCCGTCTCTACTAAAACACAAAATTTACAGGGTGTGGTGGCAGGTGCCTATGGTCTCAGCTACTCAGGAGGTTGAGGCAGGAGGATCACTTGAGCCTGGGAGGCGGAGGTTGCAGTGAGCAGAGATCATGCCACTGCACTTGAGCCTGGGAGACAGAGCAAGAGCAAGACTCTGTCCAAAAACAAAAAGAAGAAGAAAAGAAAAGGAAATCAATAGTCCAGAAGGTGGAAGCTCCTGATCATCTCAGTCTTCCAGCCTCAGCCCCCAGAGACGATAATGACTGTTAATAGTTTAGGGGACATTTCTCCAGATTCTAAAATCTGCGTGAAACTGTGTGAGGTGCATATCTGTGACAAGATGGGATTTTCTGCCTTGGAACTGGTCATTTTGCTCCTTGATACGTCTGGGACACTTTCAGTGGCTAAGTTTTGCTTTCTTTTATTTATTGTTTTTAAATTTTAATTTATTTTTATTTCAGAGATGGAGTCTTCCTCTGCTGCCCAGGCTGGAATACAGTGGTGTGATCATAGCTCACGGTGGCCTCAAACTCCTAGGCTCGAGTGATCCTCCCACTTTGGCCTCTCAAAGTGCTGAGACTGCAGGCGTGAGCCACCTGGCTTTTTTTTTTTTTTTTTGACAGAGTCTTGCTCTGTCTCCCATGCTGGAGTAAAGTGGCGCTGTCTTGGCTCACTATAACCTCTGCCTCCCAGGTTCAAGCAATTCTCCTGCCTCGGTCTCCTGAGTAGCTGGGATTATAGGCGTGTGCCACCACGCTCGGCTAATTTTTGTATTTTTAGTAGAGGTGGGGTTTCGCCATGTTGGCCAGGCTGGGACCTCAGGTGATCTGCCCGCCTTGGCCTCCCAAAGTGCTGGGATTACAGGCATGAGCCACCGCACCCAGGTTTTTATTTATTTATTTATTTATTTAAATAGAGACAGCTCCTGGCTCTGTTGCCCAGGCTGCTGGAGTTCAATGGTGTGATCATAGTTCACAGCAGCCCCTAACTCCTGGGCTCAAGTGATCCTCCCGCCTCTGCCTTCTGAGTAGCTGGGACTACCGGCACATGCCACCACACCTAGGTAATTTTATTTTTTAAAATGTTTGTGGAGATGGGGGTCTCACTATGTTACCCAGGCTGGTCTGGAACTCCTGGCCTCAGGGGATCCTCCTGTCTCTGCCTCCCAAGTACCTGGGACTACAGGCATATGCCGCCACAGCCAGCTCACTGTTCATTACCAAGGGCCAGGCCATAATATATTTAATCAACCCTCAAGAGATGGGTATTTGGGCAGATTCTGATGTTTTGAGCAGCATCAACATCTCAGCAGACTACATTTTTGTGTCCTTTGACAGCAAGATAGCTTTTAGGTGAAGCAGAGGGTGCAATTCTAGCTCTGCCCTTGACTGTGTGACAATCCTCAGCCTCAATGTCCTTATCTGTGAAATGGGGTAGTTAGTGATGGGCCTGCCTGCTGGGCAGACTTTATGAGATAGTGCAAGCCCAATGCTGAGTTATTTGCCAGGCACATGCCTGGAATTGGAATTGTTCCTTCTCTAATTTCTTTTCTTTTCTTTTTTTTTTTTTTTTTGAGATGGAGTCTTGCTCTGTCACCCTGGCTGGAGTGCAGTGGCGCGATCTCGGCTCACTGCAAGCTCTGCCTCCCGGGTTCACGCCATTCTCCTGCCTCAGCCTCCTGAGTAGTTGGGACTACAGGTGCCCGCCACCACAACTGGCTAATTTTTTGTATTTTTAGTAGAGATGGGGTTTCACCATGTTAGCCAGGATGGTCTTGATCTCCTGACTTCATGATCTGCCCGCCTCAGCCTCCCAAAGTGCTGGGATTACAGGCGTGAGCCACCACGCCCGGCCTACCTTTTGTATTTTTAGTAGAGACAGGGTTTCACCATATTGGTCAGGCTGGCCTCATGAGGTCTCCTCCTGACCTCAGGTGATCCACCTGCCTTGGTCCCCCAAAGTGCTCGGATTACAGGCGCATGTCATTACACCGGCTAATTTTTGTATTTTTAGTAGAGACGAGGTTTCACCACGTTGGCCAGGCTAGTCTCGAACTCCTGACCTCAAGTGATCCGCCCACCTCGGCCTCCCAAAGTGGTGGGATTATAGGCATGAGCCACCGTGCCCAGCCTATTGTTTTTAATTGTTTTTGTTGTTGTTTTTGGAGATGGGGTTTCAGTCTATTGCCCAGGCTGGAGTGCAGTGGGGCAATCTCGGCTCACTGCCACCACCTCCCAGGCTTAAGCGATCCTCCCGCCTCAGCCTCCCGAGTAGCTGGGACTACAGGCATGAGACAGTGCACCCATCCCAGATTTTACTGTTTTTATCCTTTGCTATTCTGATTCTGGTCCCATGACCTAACTCTCCCCCTCACCCTTGCAAGAGTGGGTGTTTGTTTGTTTGTTTGTTTGTTTGTTTTCCAGAGTAGGGATGCTCACCCGTAGCAACGCTGCCCCCGGGAGACACTTGGCAATGCTGGAGACATTGGTGGTTGTCGCACCCAGGGTGGGGGCTGCTGCAGGCAGGGAGTGGGTGGAAGCCAGGGATGCTGCTTACTGCCCTGCTGTACACGGGACGCCCCCACCGCAGAGAATGATCTGGCCCCACATGTTAATGATGCTGGGGTGGAGAAACCTGTTCCTGGGAACCCCGGGACCCTTACCCAAGGATTCAGGGCAGAGAGCATCCAAAAGGCGGAGATATTCTCGCTGGGAAGTCAGGAGCGTGTATCCTGTCAGGGCTGTTGAGCCAAGGCAGTGGCCCCCGTTTTCATATTCCTACAAAAGGTACCCAGAGAACCAACCTGGGACAGGTCTGAACTGTGGCTTCTGTGTCCCAACTATACCATCAAGGGAAGATTTCAGATGAGCTGAAAAATCCTCTGCCCCTCCCACCCCTCCCTCCCTCTCCTTTCCTCCATTCCTCCCTCTCTCTTTTTTTTTTTTTTTGTTTTTGAGACAGAGTCTCACTCTGTCACCCAGGCTGGAGTGCGATGGCGCGATCTCAGCTCACCGCAACCTCCACCTCCCAAGTTCAAGTGATTCTTCCACCTCAGCCTCCCGAGTAGCTGGGATTACAGGCACCCGCCACCACAGCAGGCTAATTTTTGTATTTTTAATTGAGACGGGGTTTCGCCATGTTGCCCAGGCTGGTCTTGAACTCCTGACCTCAGGTGATCCACTTGCCTTGGTCTCCCAAAGTGTTGGCATTACAGGCCTGAGCCACCGTGCCTGGCCCTAGGTTTTGTATTTTTAGTAGAGACGGAGTTTCACCATGTTGGCCAGGCTGTTCTTGAACTCCTGGGCTGAAGGGATCTATTTGCCTCAGCCTCCCAAAGGGCTGGGATTATAGGCGTGAGCCACGAGGCCCGGCTCTCCCTCCCTTTTTTTTTCCTCCTCTCTCCCTCCATCCATCCTACCTCTGCCCCCATAACTTTCTCCCTTCCTCCCTCCTGTTCTTGCCCTCTCTCTCCCTCCTTCCCTTTCCCCTTTCCCTCCCTTCCTCCCTCAGTCCCTGAGCTCCCAGCACCCACGGGCTCCCCACGTGCCGGTCCGGTCCCAAGTGCTGTCTGAGGACCCTCTTGTTGAACCCTCAAAGCCCTACATGGTGTGAAACATCCCATTTCACAGAAGTGGAAACTGAGTTTCAGAAAGGTAGTGATCGCTCCAAGCTCCCCAGCCAGAAAGCAGAGCGGCCAGAGGTGTGACTTGCAAAGGCCCCAAGAGGTTGAAACCACAGCTCTGATACTGACCACGACCCTATCCCTGGCCTGGGCCTCAGTTTACCCACCCAGCACAGCAGGGGATGGGACGAGATGGTTGCCTACAACAGGCCAAACACATAGGGGCACAAGATTCATCCTGGGTGATTGATAGAGGTGGGGCTATGCTGAGATATGGATCCCACAAACCTTGAGGCTGACGGGGGTGGGAAGGAGGGACCCAGAAGTAGAAAGGCCACGTGCCAATCACGCACCTCCTTGTGGCTGAACCACTCTAGGCGGCCGTCCCCACGCAGAACACAGAAGATCGGCTGCCACCGGGGTGGGTGGCCCCGAAGCTGGGTCAGGGGTCCTCGGTGCTCACGGACTCGGGGCAGCTTCTGCAGAAAGAGGGAGCAGTGGGTGTCAGGGGGCTGTGGGCTGATGTCCCTGTGGCCCGACCACCCAGACACCCGCTGTATCCTGGGGTGACGCTAAGGTCCCGTGATGCCCCAGGCTGGACAGAGAGAGTCCTAGGCAGGAAGGGGCTCTGTGTCCACAGCTCCTGGAGCCCCCCGCCCTGGGTGGGCACAGCTGGGAAGTGGGGCATTCCGGAGAGGCAAAAAATCTCAGCCCCAACTGGAGCGTGGGACCAAGCATTAGTAATAAGCGTGGATCCCAGGTTGAAATCACACCTCTGTAGTGTGACCTCGAGAAGGCCATTTGGCCTCTCTGTGCCTCAGTTTCCTCATCAGTCAAAGACCTGTCTACCAAAGGGGTGAAGACTGAGTGAGGTGTGTGGGGCACACAACCTCATGGCTCCAGAGATGTCTGGAGGCCAGGCGCTCACGCTTGTAATCCCAGCACTTTGGGAGGCCAAGGTGGGGAGATCACTTGAGGTCAGGAGTTCGAGATCAGCCTGGCCAACATGGTGAAACCCCGTCTCTACCAAAAATACAAAAATTACCCAGGCATGGTGGCGGGCGCCTGTGGTCCCAGCTACTCGGGAGGCTGAGGCACGAGAATCGCTTGAACCTGGGAGGTGGAGGTGGCAGTGAGCTAAGATTGCGCCACTGAACTACAGCCTGGGCAAGAGAGCAAAACTCCATCTAAAAGAAAATGTTACTCCATTCCACATCATGATATGCTAACTTGTTTGGAGTCTTCTACCTCCCATCAGGTTGTGAACCCCAGAGGTTACCGCAGGATCTGTCCTTGTCACTGGACAAGGGCTGTGTGTCCTCATGCCCAGCCCATGATGTGGCATGAATTACATGCTCAGTGAATGGTTGTGTGTGTGTGTGTGTGTGTGTGTGTGTGTGTGTGTGTGTGTGTGTTTGACAGAGTCTAGCTCTGTTGCCTAGGCTGGAATGCAGTGGCACAATCTGGGCTCACTGCAATCTCCACCTCCCAGGTTCAAACGATTCTCCTGCCTCAGCCTCCCAAGTAGCTGGGACTACAGGTGCGCGCTACAGGGTCTGGCTAAATTTTTTTTTGTATTTTTAGTAGAGATGGGGTTTCGGGGTTTCACCATGTTGGCGAGGCTGGTCTTGAACTCTTGACCTCTGGTGATCCGCCTGCCTTGGCCTCCCAAAGTGCTGGGATTACAGACGGGAGCCACCTTGCTTGGCTGCTCAGTGAATGTTTATTTAAACAATGCATATTTAAAGTCATCCTATGGCAATGGCAAAGGTCTGAGGTTGGAAGCATGGCCTAGGGAGGGCTCCTCCAGGACCCTCCCCTAACACTCAAACGTCCTCTGCCCCCACAACACCCACTTTGCTGCGTAGCAACTGGCTTCCGGTCGGCTCCTGAGGGCCCAGCTCTCGAGAGATCTGCCGCAGGACAGACGCTGCCAGCTGCCCACGGTAGCAAGGCAGGAAGTTCCTCAGCAGGGTGTCCACCTGACCTGCAGGGACAAGGGGACAGTGAACCCAGCAAATTGAATCTGCCCAGGAGACCTGCTTGGGGAGGGCAAAACAGACAGGGAAGCCACCTGGGGGCTCCTGTAGTCATCCTGAGCTTCCAGACAAGTTGTCACCAAATTTCATTCATCCTTCACCCTCCATGCCTGTTTCCATCCATGTGGCTGGGTGAGGGAGCTTCTTTTTTTTTTTTTTTTTTTTTTTTTTGAGATGGAGTCTTGCTCCGTTGCCAGGCTGAAGTGCAGTGGCACGATCTCAGCTCACTGCAACCTCTGCCTCCTGGGTTCAAGCAATTCTCCCGCCTCAGCCTCTCGAGTAGCTGGGACTACAGGCGCACGCCATCATGCTGGGCTAATTTTTGTATTTTTTAGTAGAGACGGGTTTTTTGTTTTGTTTTGTTTTGTTTTTTGTTTTTTGTTTTGATGGAGTCTCACTCTGTTGTCAGGCTGGAGTGCGCTGGCACGATCACAGCTCACTGCAACCTCTACTTCCTGGGCTCAGGTGATTCTCCCATCTCAGCCTCCCAAGTAGCTGGGACTACAGAGACTACAGGCTTCTGCCACCACGACTGACTAATTTTTCTATTTTTAGTAGAGACGAGGTTTCGCCATGTTGCTCAGGCTGGTCTTGAACTCCTGAGCTCCAGTGATCCACTTGTCTTGCACTTTTTTTTCTTTTTTTTGAGACAGGGTGTCTGTCCCCCAGGCTGGAGTGCAGTGGTGCAATCTCAGCTCACTGCAGCCTTGACCTCCTGGGCTCAAGTGATCCTCCCACCTCAGCCCCACTCCAGTAGCTGGGATCATGTGCACGTGCCACCATGCCCAGCTAATTTTTTTATTTTTGTAGAGACAAGGTCTTGCTATGTTATCCAGGCTGGTCTCAAACTCCTGGCCTCAAGCAATCCTCCCACCTTGGTTTCTCAAAGCGCTGGGAATACAGATTGAGCCACACCTTCACTTATAGCTCACGTATCATGTAAGCATATGGTTTGCTGAGCTTTGACACAATCACACATCCGTGAAACCCTCACCACAATCAAGATGAGCGGATCCATCACACCCAAAAGTGTCCCCATATGCTTTACCTGGGGAGCTTTTCAAAAGCTTTTAAAGCTCCAAAGCACACAAGTGAACTTTCTGTGAGTGATGGAGGTGTGCTGTATCCTGATCTATCTGGGAAGTAGTCATATGGGTGATGGGTGACTAGCTCTTTGAGCTGTTGCCCTAAGGCTTGTACACTTGACTGTAAATAAAACATAGTTCCATTCTGCTGCCCGGAATGTGGACCCAATGGCTGGAGCTCCAGCAGCCATTCTGTGCCATGAGGCTACCTTGGGCACAGGAATCCACACATGGCAGAGCCATGAGATGAAAGGACTTTAGGTGTCTAACTTTTACTAGCCTGCCTGCTTCCACACCTCTCAGTTTGAGGAGAAAAAAAAAAAATCCTTATCTTGTTTAAGCCACTATCTGGGGGAAAAAAATCCCAGTGCTACATAGAGTAACTCTTTGAATCCTTACAATGCCCCCCCAGCCCCATGAGCTAGGCGTTGTTGCTATCCCCATTTTACATATAAGAGAATGAAGCCCAGGGAGGTGAAGTCACTCACCAAAGGGCACACAGCAAATGAGGGAATGACCAGGGTGTGAACGTGAATTGTTTGTTTGCAAGATACATCACTGGCCTTAGCACATGCTGTTTCTCCTGTCCAAAATGCTCTTCTGGTATCTCCTTCCTTCCAACACCATCACATCCCTCCAGCCCTGGCTTGATCATTGTCTCCTCAGTGGGCAGTCATCCACCTCTGCTCTTCCCTACCCTCAAGGAACATGTGAGCTCTCTCCCATCATTCTCACCATGCAATTTTGGGTCATGACTTGACCCAAAAACCAAAAAAACACTCTTCCATGCTGCTGCATGGAATGTAGACCCAATGGCTGGAGCTCCAGCAGCCGTTCTGTGCCATGAGGTCACCTTGGGCACAGAAGCCCCACATAGCAGAGCCACCAGAGGGAAGGTGTTTAGACCATGAGCCTGTGAGGGTAAGGCCAATACCAACCCCACAATGTCCCCAGCGCCCAGCACAGTTGCTCACCCCACATATGAGGACAGAGGGACCCGAATGGCACTGAATCTGGCACTGGCCCCTCTTAGTCTCAAATTGGGAACTGAGCCTCCATCCCCAGGGTCCTACCGAGGGGCCTGCTGGTCCCTGCCCGCTCAGGAAGACATCCCTCAGGGCCTGGCTGGGTCTGGGACACCCTCCACTTGGCCCTATGCCTCCCACCTGAACCCCTGCCCTAAATCAGGTCACTAGATTTACCAAATAAAAATAGAAGACACAGTCTTCTGGGCACAGTGGCTCACACCTGTAATCCCAGCACTTTGGGAGGCTGAGGTGAGCAGATCACCTGAGATCAGGAGTTCGAGACCAACCTGGCCAAAATGGTGAAACCCCATCTCTACTAAAAATACAAAAATTAGTCAGGCATGGTGGCACATGCTTGTAATCCCAGCTACTCGGGAGGCTGAAGCAGGAGAATAGCTTGAATCCTGGAGGCGGAGGTTGCAGTGAGCCAAGATTGCGCCACTGCACTCTAGCCTGGGCAACAGAGGGAGACTCCATCTCAAAAAACAAAACAAAACAAAACAAACAAAAAAAAAACCATAAAGGGGTAATTGGTTTTCAGCATAAGTGTGCACTATGCAAAATCTGGGATACACTTATACTAAAAATAAGATGCAGGCTGGACACAGTGGCTCCCGCCTGTAATCCCAGCACTTTGGGAGGTTGATGTGGGAGGATCGCTTGAGCTCAGGAGTTCAAGACCAGCCTGGGCAACATAGTGAGACCCTGTCGCTACGAAAACAAATAAAAAATTAGCCAGGTGTGGTGGTGCACGCCTGTGGTCCCAGCTATTCGGGCTGAGGCGGGAGGATCGCTTGAGCCCACAAGTTCAAAAGCAAACTGGCCAACATAGGGACACCCTGTCTCTATTAAAAAAAAAAACAACCAATGAAATAATTAGTTGGGCATGGTGGTACATGCATGTGGTCCCAGCTACTTGGGAGGTTAAGGCGGGAGAATTGCTTGAGCCCAGGAGGCCAAGGTTGCAGTGAGCCACGATCATACCACGGCACTCCAGCTTGGGCAACAGACAAGATCCTGTCTCAACAATAAAAAAAGATTCACTGCGTGAAATTTACATTAAGAAGGCATCCTGTGTGTTTTGACAGCCCTAGGTCTGAACCGAACCCCATCTGCTGCATGGAGCATGTGGACCCAATGGCTGGAGCCCCCACCCACCTGGACTCCCACCCTGTCCCCTCCCCGGCTGCTCACCCCTTAGGTGCTGCCGCTGCTGCTTGTCCAGAGGGCTCGAAGGCCGCCCACCCATGCTGCTGTCGTCTCCCGGGGCTCCTCTTCCCTTCCCCACGACCACCGCCTGCGTTCCTCGGCTCAGGGGCACCTGGATGGCGGGTGAGAGGCTTGGTCACAGTGGGTTCAGAGGCCCCGCCCCTGCCCCACCCCACGCTGCACCTGCGTCCTCCCCACTCCCCTGGGGCCCGTGTTGCCCAGAGCCAGTGGTTTCTGTAGAGGCTGCGGGGACAGCCCCGGGGTTAGGTTGTGGGGTGTGGGAGAAAGAAAATCATAGCTCGTCTTGGAGGAGGGTGGCAGGGCAGACATCTGGCAGGACCGGCCAGCAGTCGTTGTGTATGGGGGCTGGAACAGGGGGATGGGCAGGGATGCGGCATCTAGTTCCTGGTGCCACACCCCCCCACCAGCACTGTGCCTACCCTGTGCCCGGTGAGGCTGGACCCCAGAGAGGATACAGCCCTGGCCCAGCTCCTAGGAGTCCCCAGGCTGGGGAGACAGAGCTGGACAGGCACTCCCAGACTGTCCCTGAGGTCAGTGCTGGGGCAGGGGGGCAGATGCCAAGGTCTTAGAGGATGGGTGGCCTGGCAGGGGTGAGCAGAGAGACTTGGGGGCACTGAAGCTTCATCCTTGATTCCTTCTTCAGGCCCCCAACACTGTCCCTCCCACCAGTCCATCACCTGGACTCCATTTCTTTTTCCTTTTTTTTTTTTTAGAGACAGGGTCTTGCTCTGTTGCTCAGGCTGGAGTGCAGTGGCACGATCATGGCTCACTGCAGCCTGGAACTCCTGTGCTCAAGTGACCCTCTCACTTCAGCCTCCAGAGTAGCTGGGCCCACAGGCACACGCCACCACCATGCCTGGCTAATTTTTGTATTTTTTGTAGACACGGGGGGTCTTCCTATGTTGCCCAGGCTGGTCTCAAACTTCTGGACTCAAGTGATCCGCCCACCTCGGCCTCCCAAAATGTTAGGATTACAGGCATGAGCCACCACACCTGGCATATTTCACGTTTTAAGTGTCTCTTAAAGGTGTCCTTTTTTTTTTCTTTGGGACAGACTCTCGCACTGTCGCCCAGACTGGAGTGCAATGGCACTATCTTGGCTCACTGCAACCTCCACCTCCCGGGTTCAAGTGATTCTCCAGCCTCAGCCTCCCGAGTAGCTGGGATTACAGGCGCCCGCCACCACACCTGGCTAATTTTTTGTATTTTCAGTAGAGACGGGGTTTCATTATGTTGGCCAGGCTTGTCTCAAACTCCTGACCTCGTGATCCACCCTCCTTGACCTCCTAAAGTGTTCTTTTTTTTTTAAACGGTGTCTCACTCTGTTGCCCAGGCTGGAGTGCAGTGGCATGATCTTGGCTCACTGCCACCTTCGCCTCCTGGGTTCAAGCGATTTCTGGCTAATTTTGTTTTGTTTTGTTTAGTAGAGATGGGGTTTCCCTGTGTTGGCCAGGCTGGCCTCAAACTCCTGACCTCAGGTGATCCTCTCGCCTCAGCCTCCCAAAGTGCTGGGATTACAGGTGTGAGCCACGTCACCCAGCGAAGGTGTCCCTTTTCTTGGGCCCAAACCCCATCTTTAGCACCCCAAAACTCTCCGTGCTGACCTCCCGAAGCTCTCCCATTGCCCTTTGGGAAAGCACCACTGAGGGCCCAGCCTCATCGCTCCAAGAGCCCTCTGGCTCCACTCAGCCCCCTGCAGCTCCCGAAGCCCCCATGTCCCTCTGACCCCCGCGGTCTTGTCCAGTGCCTAGAGAACTCTTGCTCCCGCCTCCTGCACGTGGTCGCCCAAGCTTCACCCCTCAGGTGAAAAGACCAGATACCAGCCCCTTGGAGAGCCGTCCCTGTGCCCCTGGACTGGTTGGGCGCGACCTTTATGTCCCAGCATTTGACCTGGTTTGGTTAGTTGGGCGTCTCCACCCCTTCACCTGTTTTGTGCCTGGCACAGAGCAGCCCTCGATGTTTGCTGAATGAATGCATGAATAAACGTGTGCATGAATGAATGAATGAATGAATGAATGAATGAAGGGAGGGACGGAGGGAGGGAGGGCATGCAGTCTACACTCCAAGCGGAAATGTGATCAAATGGAGCCATCACAGGTTTTCTGATGAGGGGAGTGTCAAGCACTGAGCTCTGGATCCAGCGTTGGCTGGGGAGTGGGGTGGGTCCCTGAAGACCTCTCAAGGACACTGAACACTTCCCAGCAGTCAGGGGCTCCAGGCTGGAGGAAGGAAAGTCCAGAGTGTGGCCCCTCAGATGGCAAGATCCCCAGGGAGCCCCTGAGGCAGGCGGGCAGGTCATCGATGAATAGAGAACACGTGTCCCTCAATGTCCATTGCTCCTATTGGCCTCAGTAGTAGAATCCCTGATCATAACGGAGCCCATGGCTGTCCAATGGAGACTCATCTTCCAGACTTCCTTGCTGCTATGTGGGGCTGTGCAACCCAGGCTGGCCATAAAGGAGTGAGCAGAAGTGTCTTCGGTGAATCCTGGGAAGCTTCTTCATGCTAGAGCTGGAACGTGGACACAATGGCTGGAGCACAAGCAGCCACCTTGGGCCATGAGGCAGAATCCAGCTGATGACAGGGCAAAGCAATGATGTAGAAGGAGCTGGGGTTCCTGAAGAATGTGTGACATTGCTCTACCAGCCCTGAATGGTGTCTCTCCAGAGAAAGAGCTAAACCTCTGTTTTGCTTAAGCCTCTAGTAATATCTGAATGTAATCTTCACTAACAGCCCAGGATTCATTTCTTCTTTTAAAAAAATTTATGTTTTTTCAGCTGGCTGTTGTGGCTCAAGCCTGTAATCCCAGCACTTTGGGAGGCCGAGGCAGGCGGGTCACCTGAGGTCAGGAGTTCGAGACCAGCCTGGCCAACATGGTGAAACCCTGTCTCTACTAAAAATACAAAAAATAGCGGGCGTTGTGGTGGGCGCCTGTAATCCTAGCTACTCAGGAGGCTGAGTCAGGAGAATCACTTGAACCCAGGAGGCGGAGGTTGCAGTGAGCTGAAATCGGACCACTGCACTCCAGCCTGAGCAACAGGGCGAGACTCTGTCTCAAAAAAAAGAAAAAAGAAAACCATCAGATGATGAGACGGGCAAGGAAGAAAAATGCAGCAGGAGGGGATAGAGGATGGGCATGGAGGGGTCACGGAGATGAAAGGAAGCGAGGAGTTGGGCGCAGTGGTTCATGCCTGTAATCCCAGCACTTTGGGAGGTTGAGGCAAGTGGATCGCTTGAGGTCAGGAGTTCGAGACCAGCCTGGCCAGCGTGGTGAAACTCAATGTTTCTACTAAAAATACCAAAATTAGCTGGGAGTGGTGGTGGGTGCCTGTAGAACCAACTACTTGGGAGGCTGAGGCAGGAGAATTGTGTGAACCCGTGAGGTAGAGGTTGCAGTGAGCTGAGATCACACCACTGCACTCCAGCCTGGACGACAGAGCAAGACCGTGTCCCCCCAAAAAAGAAAGCGAGGGCCCAAGCCATGCAAAAAGCTGCAGGAAAGGAGATACCGGGCAGCGGGCTCAGCACAGGCAAAGGCCCTGGGGTGGGAATGTGCTCAGCGGGCTCCAGGAACAGCAGGAAGTGGGTGCGCTGCAGGGAGACTGAGTGAGGGGCTGATGTTGCTGGGGAGAGGGAGAGGTGAAAGGGGCCACGTGGAGCCTTGTGGGAAGGGTGAATTTCACTCCGAAGGCAAAAGGAGCAGGAAGAGTTGTCACTCTCGCAAAGAGTAGGAGATGGTGACAGCCCCAGGCACAACCATCCATGTGGGGTCCCTGTGCTGGCAGCTCAATTTCCCTTCACTTCGCAGCCCCGTGCCTGCCGCTCTGGGGGCCACGGCCTCCTGCCCTCAACCAGCCCCACAGCTGAGCTTCCGCTCAGCTCTCTTTGCTGTTTACCAACCTCCTTCCGGTCAGGCCCCATCCCACTTCCTCACTCTCACATCTGAGTGGCCTGCCGGGACAAGACGTTGAAGCAAACTTCACTTTCTGTGGTTTCGGCTCCACTCTCACCCTGCACAGCCGCCTCTGCGCAGGTTTCAATTCCCATCTCCTGCTCAGCCGGGTGCCTCCTCTGGATCCCCCCACAGAAACTTGCACGTGGCTGGGCAGCCCCCATGCACCCACCAGCCTCCCACACTGTCGTCCCTGGGGCCTAGAGAAAGCTGAAGGGTGGGCCATGAGCAGATGCATTCTGGGAAAATGTGCAGGAGCCCAGCACATGGAGACTAGACTCTCTGGTGCTTTCAAGGCTCTGAGCAGGTCCGCAGCATGGCTGAATGCAGTGCTTCGCCCTGTCAGTGCAGCTGGAGCTCAGCAGAGGGTTGACTTATGTCCCCCAAAGGACATGTCTACGTCCTGACCCAGGAAACTCAGCATGTGACCTTATTCGGAATACTTATTCCAAATAAGCATTTATTTGGAACTTATTTGGAATACTCATTTGGTATCTTGAGATGAAACCACCCTGGGTGCAAGGCGATCCTAAATCCAATGACAGGTGTCCTTATAAGAAAAGAATGCTGGGCACAGTGGCTCATGCCTGTAATCCCAACACTTTGGGAGGCTGAGGCTGGAGGATCGCTTGATCTCAGGGGTTGGAGACCAACCTGGGCAACATACCAAGACCCCGTCTCCGCAAAAAATTTGTACAAGTAGGCAGGCGTGGTGGTGCATATCTGTAGCACCAGCTACTTGGGAGGCTGAGGTGAGAGGATCGCTTTAGCCCAGGAGATGGAGGCTGCAGTGAGCTGTGATTGCACCACTGCACTCCAGTCTGGGTGACAGAGCGAGACCCTGTATCAAAAAAATAAATAGGAGGCGAGAACACACAAGAGAAAGAAGTCCAAGTGAAGACAAGGAGAGACTGGAGTGATATGGCCACAAGCTAAGGAATGCCAAGGACAGGAGAGGCCTGGGATGGGTTCTGCCTCAGAGCCTCCAGAGGGAACCAGCCCTGCCGCCACCTTGACCTTGGACTTCTGATCTCTATAGCTAAGACAGAATACATTTGTTTTTTTGTTTTGTTTTGTTTCATTTTAAGACGGAGTTTCGCTCTTGTTGCCCAGGCTGGAGTGCAGTGGCGCAGTCTTGGCTCACTGCAACCTCCGCCTCCTGGGTTCAAGCAATTCTCCTGCCTCAGCCTCCCAAGTAGCTGGGATTACAGGCGCATGCCACCACACCCAGCTAATTTTTGTATTTTCAGTAGAGATAGGGTTTTGCCATATTGATCAGGCTGGTTTCAAACTCCTGACCTCGGGTGACCCGCCCACCTCAGCCTTCCAAAGTGCTGAGATTACAGGCGTAAGCCACCGTGCCCAGCTTTTTTTTTTCTTGAGACCGAGTCTCGCTCTGTCACACAGGGTGGAGTGCAGTGGCGCGATCTCAGCTCACTGCAAGCTCCGCCTCCCTGGTTCAAGCAATTGTTGTGCCTCAGCCTCCCAAGTAGCTGGGATTACAGGTGCACACCACTACGCCCGGCTAATTTTTGTATTTTTTTTTTTTTTCGAGATGGAGTCTCGCTGTATCTCCCAGGTTGGAGTGCAGTGGTGCGATCTCAGCTCACTGCAAGCTTCGCCTCCTGGGTTTTATGCCATTCTCCTGCCTCAGCCTCCCAAGTAGCTGGGACTACAGGCGTGCACCACCTATGCCCAGCTAATTTTTTTTTGTATTTTTAGTAGAGACGGGGTTTCACTGTGTTAGCCAGGATGGTCTCGAACTCCCGACCTCGTGATCCACCAGCCTCGGCCTCCCAAAGTGCTGGGATTACAGGTGTGAGCCACCGCGCCCAGCTAATTTTTGTATTTTTAGTAGAGAAGAGATTTCACTATGTTGGCCAGGCTAGTCTCGAACTCCTGACCTCAAGTGATTTGCCCACCTCATCCTCCCGAAGTGCTGGGATGACAGGCGTGAGCCACTGTGCCCAGCCTGTTGTCTTAGGAAATTCATCCATGGTGGCTATGCCCCAGGGAAGCAGGCCCCGCCTTCCTCCCCACAGATGAGGGCTATGGATCAGAACCCAGGCCAGGGCGCCCCCAGGCCTGCTGCCATCAAACACCGCGAGACAGTGCAGACTTCCA
Source organism: Homo sapiens (assembly GCF_000001405.40). Taxonomy (NCBI): domain Eukaryota; kingdom Metazoa; phylum Chordata; class Mammalia; order Primates; family Hominidae; genus Homo; species Homo sapiens. The sequence goes on along the minus strand of NC_000019.10, from coordinate 17,521,283 downwards.
GCAACGCTCCTTTTAATATCCGGATGTCCAGAGCCACAGCCTGTGTGTTGAGCCCCGGGTAGGGCTGCTGGCCGGAGGCTGTTGGCTTCCAGCAGCAGCACGACGTGGCTTTTTGAAAGGAGAGCCCGGAGAGTGGCGGCCAGCAGGGGCCCAGCCCCATGGGCCGCGTGCCTGGTCCCAGCTGCGGCGTCCCTCTGGCCAGCTACAAAGTGGAATGCTTCTCGAAGGGCACGGTCAGGAGGCGGGCGGCCGCCTCGTCCAAGAACCAGCACAGTTTCCCGGTGTGGGGCTGGACCAGGGCGGCGGGCAGCGGGTTTTCCTCCTGGTCCTCCAAAATGCGCTGAAGAAGAGGGCAGAAGAGTAAGGCCCTGCCTGCGGCCCAGGCACCGCCCCTCGGCACTCTCCTGGCTCCCCAACCAAGGATAAATAAGACTCTTGTATCCTCAAAATGTGACAATGCCCAGCTCAGCTGTCCTAGTGCCAAACAGCAGGGACAAGAGTCCCTTCCTTTCTATCCACTGTAACTATTTTTATTTATTTATTTATTTATTTTGAGATGGAGTCTCACTCTGTCTCCCAGGCTGGAGTGCAGTGGTACGATCTTGGCTCACGGCAACCTCCGCCTCCCGGTTTCAAGCGATTCTTCTGCCTCAGCCTCCTGAGTAGCTGGGATTACAGGCAAGTGCCACCACGCTCGGCTAAGTTTTTTTTTTTTTTTTTTTTTTTTTTGAGATGAACTCTCGATCTTATCCCCCAGGCTGGAGTGTGATGGCGTGATGGTGCGATCTTGGCTCACTGCAACTTCCGCCTCCCGGTTTCAAGCAATTCTCCTGCCTCGGCCCCCCAAGTAGCTGGGATTACAGGCGCCTCCCACCACACCTGGCTAATTTTTTTGTTTTTGGTAGAGACGGTTTCATCATGTTGGTCAGGCTGGTCTAGAACTCCTGAACTCAGGTGATCCACCCGCCTAGGTCTCCCAAAGTGCTGGGATTACAGGCGTTAGCCACCGCGCCTGGCCTAATTTTTTATATTTTTAGTAGAGACGGGGTTTCACCATATTAGCCAGGCTGGTCTTGAACTCCCACGTTGAGCCACCATGCCCCGCCCACTGTAACTATTTGCATTTTTTTTGAGACAAGGTCTTGCGCTGTCATCCAGGCTGGAGTACAGTGACGGCATCAAGGCTCACTGCAGCCTCAATCTCTGAGGCTCAAGTGATCCTCTTGCCTCAGTCTGCCAAGTATCTGGGACCACAGGCACATGGCACTGTGCCCAGCTAATTTTTTATTTTTTGTAGAGACAGGGTCTTGCTATGTTGCCAAGACTAGTCTCAAACTCCTAGACTCAAGCAATCCTCCTGCCTCAGCCTCCCAAAGTGCAGGCATGAGCCACTGTGCCTGGTCTGTAACTGTTTAATACTGCGGTTGGCACCCTTTTTCAGCAAAAGACCAGAGTCAATAGATTAAGCTCTGCAGACCATCCAGTCTCTATTGCAACCACTCAGCTCTGCAGTTCTGGCCCCAGAACAGCTGCAGACAATATATACATAAGCGGGTGTTGCTATGTTCCAATAAAACTTTTCTGGGCCGGGTGCGGTGGTTCATGCCTGTAATCCCAGCACTTTGGGAGGCCGAGGGGGGCGGATCACTTGAGGTTGGGAGTTTGAGACCAGCCTGGCCAATGTTGTGAAACCCTGTCTCTACTAAAAATACAAAAATTAGCTGGGCGTGGTGGCAGGTGCCTGTAATCCCAGCTACTTGGGAGGCTGAGGCAGGAGAAGCACTTGAACCCGGGAGGTGGAGGTTGCAGTGAGCTGAGATGGCGCCACTGCACTCCAGCTTGGATGACAGGGTGAGAAGCTGTCTCAAAAAAACAAACAAACAAAACAATTTCTGGACACTGTAATCTGAACTTCATAGAATCTTCACAAGGTCAAGGAGTATTATTCATTTGATTTTTTTTTTTTTTTGAGACTGAGTTTCGTTCTTGTCGCCCAGGCTGGAGTGCAATGGCATGATCTCGGCCCACAGCAACCTCCGCCTCCCGGGTTCAAGTGATTCTCCTGCCTCAGGCTCCTGAGTAGCTGGGACTACAGGCGCACGCCACCACGCCTGGCTAATTTTTGTATTTTTAGTAGAGACAGGGTTTCGCCATGTTGGCCAGGCTGGTCTTGAACTCCTGACCTCAGGTGATCCGCCTGCCTCAGCCTCCCAAAGTGCTGGGATTACAGGCATAAGCCACCGCGCCCCGCCTGATTTATTTTTTTTGGAGATGAGTTCTCGTGATGTTCCCCAGTGCAGTGGTAATTCACAGTTGCAATTACATTTCACTATAGCTTCGAACTCCTGAGCTCGAGTAATCCTCCTGCCTTAGCCTCCTGAGTAGATGGGATGATAAGCATGGCCTGGCTCTTCATTTGACTTTTTTCCAACCACTTAGAAAAGTAAAAACCAGGCTAGGCACGGTGACTCATATCTGTAATCCCAGCACTTTGGGAGGCCAAGGCAGGTGGATCACATGAGGTCAGCAGTTTGAGACCAGCCTGGCCAACATGGTGAAACCCCCTCTCTACTAAAAATACAAAAATTAGCCAGGCCTGGTGGCAGGCGCCTATAATCCCAGCTAGTCAAGAGGCTGAGGCAGGAGAACCGCTTGAACCTGGGAGGTAGAGATTGTAGCGAGCTGAGGTCACATCAGTGCACTCCAGCCTTGGCGACAGAGGGAGACTCTGTCTCAACAACAATAACACAAAAAACAAAAAAAAAATAAAAATATATTTCCAGTTTCTTCTGTAGTTGTTGGTCTTTTCAATGAAGGCAACTAAAACCTTTTTAATTATTTAGTTTATTTTTAATGCTGTAATGAATTTGTATTTTCCTAAAATACTTTACATAACAGTACCTTTTTTTATTCATAATACCACGTGATTTTTTTTTCTCTTGATTAGCCTTGTCAGGAGCTTTTCTATCTTTTAGATCTACTTACCATTAAAGTTTAAAATATATTAACCAACTCATTAATTTCTGACTTTAATTTCACTTAGTCCTGCCACTGACTTTTGTAGATTTATATTATTGTCCTTTTTCTAATTCTACAGGAAAGCACTTGATTTATTTCAATAGTTTGCTACTTAATAATTTTTTTTAAATGCATTTGAATGCTATTAATTTACCTCTGAATGCAGCTTTGGCCTCATCTCATCAATTTCATTTCATAGCGGTTAATACCTAACTAGCCTTTAATTGCAATTTTCTGGGGTTTTTTTTTTTTTTTTCCTTTTTTTCTAATTGCAATTTCAAGTTACCTTTCAACCCAAGAATGACTGAGTTTTCTTCAGATCTGATGCTTCAGCACAATAATGTCTGGGGCCATTTTCTGTCCCTGGGGCCCACATGCCCATGAACTTCCCAGGACTAGAACCCTCAGCTGTTACCTTCAGAACAGCTGCCTTGCCTTCTCCAGTTGCCACAAAGATGACAGTTCGTGCTGCATTCAGGACAGGTAGTGTGAGGGTCACACGCTGTGGCGGTGGCTTCGGGGAGTCACTGATGGGAGCCACAATCTTCTCCCGCTCCTTGGGGAGGAAGCCCAGGGATGGAGGCAGAAGGACAATGTCACTTCAGCTTCTTGGACACTTACACACACCAGGCCTGGTCCAGCCACTGTTCCATCCCATCCTACTAACAATCCCATGGTGGGTAGTTTAAGGTCCCTGTTTTAAGGGGCTCAACTGAGACCTGAAAGGATTGAGCCCAGCAGGCAGGTATGTTGGTGGAGGCTGACTTGAACCCTGGCTCTAGACACCCCACCCGGCAGGTGGCTCTCCCTCTGGAAGTCCCAGATGTTAGGGACTGGGCTCAGGACTAGGGTGGAACCCCGCATTGGTGTGCTCACCTGTAGGAGGGGGTGGTCTGGGAAGAGTGAGCAGGTGTGACCATCGGGGCCCACCCCCAGGATCAGCAGGTCGAAAACCGGGATGGAGTCCCCTTGGAATGCCTGGGCGTGGGGAGAAGACAGCCTTGAGAGGTTGTAGGTGGCAGGGGCAGGGGAGACTCAGAGGACACAGAAACAGTTGTCAGATAAAAAAATACAAGTAGCTGTGGCTGGGCATGGTGGCTCACACCTGAAATCCCAGCACTTTGGGAGGCCGAGGTAGGTGGATCACGAGGTCAGGAGTTCAAGACCAGCCTGGCCAACATGATGAAACCCTGTCTCTACTAAAAATACAAAAATTAGCCAGGCGTGGTGGCAGGCACCTGTAGTCCTAGCTACTTGGGAGGCTGAGGTAGGATAATCACTTGAGCCCGGGAGGCAGAGGTTGCAGTGAGCTGAGATTGCATCACTGCACTCCAGCCTAGGTGACAGAGTGACAGAGTAAGACTCCATCTCAAAAAAAAAAAAGGCCCATGGTGGCTCACGCCTATAATCCCAGCACTTTGGAGGCCAAGGTGGGCGGATCACGAGGTCAGGAGATCGAGACCATCCTGGCTAACATGGTGAAACCCCGTCTCTACTAAAAAAATACAAAAAAATTAACCAGGCGTGGTGGCGGGCACCCGTAGTCCCAGCTACTCAGGAGGCTGAGGCAGGAGAATGGTGTGAACCCGGGAGGCGGAGCTTGCAGTGAGCCATGATCACGCCACTGCACTCCAGCCTGGGCGACAGAGTGAGACTCCGTCTCAAAGAAAAAAAAAAAAAAAGAAATACAAGTAGCTGTAACGCAGGAAACAGTGCTCAATGTAGCCTGTGATCAAAGCCATAGCCATACCCATCATATTTCCCCAAGATGTGAGGACCCAGGCCTGTTACCTGGGCAACAGAGGCCGAGTGGCCTTCAGGCTCCCCAGGGCAGGGCTGTGGCCTCGAAGAGGGGATTCCTCAAAGGGATCTGCCAGTGATCCCTGGGGCAGTTCCTGCTGGTGACAATCAGAAGGCCGCTCTGTTGCCCGGGGTGTGGCCGCTTCGTGGATGTGACTCCCTTGCGGCCGCTCCTCGGGGCTCACCTGTCTCAGCTTCTTGGCGTAGTCCTCAGCCGCCTCCTCCACAGGCAGCTCGGGGTTAATGGTGATCACCTGGCTTTCTGGGATCGGCAGTCTGGAGAGAAGATGCGTCTGCAGCCAACAGAGGGACAATGTCACCAACAGTAACGTGACCACCTGGATCCTCCAGGGAGTTTATGACAGTACCGTCATAACACTCATTTACAGATGGGGAGACTGAGGCATGGGGAGGCTGGTGCATTTGTGCAAGGTCCTTCGGTTGGTGAGTGACACTTTGGTTGGTGAGTCACCTCTGGAATGCTGGAAGCCAGGATCCTGAGCCCTGGGTGACGCCGCCTGTCAGGGCAGAGGAGGTTCAAGGGCAAGAGGGAGCCCTGCTGCTCTTGGGGGGCTGGACGGGAGGGTGGCCCTCCTGGGTGAATCGGGATCATGGTGGTTCCTGCGGGGGCCAGCATTCCAACAGGAGTCTTTCAATTCCGTTGTATTTGGGGGGTTTCCTGGCCATAGCCTGCACCTGTCTAGCCAGCCCATTGTCCTGTTTCAAAGCCTCCAGGGTCCCACGGCCCTTGGGATAAAACTCAGCCCCTCACCACCCTCCATGGAGAAGGGTAACCTTCTCCATCCCCACCCTCCCTCCTAAGGCTGCCTGGGAAACTCATATACATCCCTCAGGCCACCTCCTCCGAGCAGCCACCCCCGCCTGCACCTGCCCCACTACAGGGAGTGGGGGCCAGGCTTGCCCAGGCCCAGCACCTGTGGCTAGCGCACAGTAGATGCCCTGGCCTGTGAATGGTGGAGTCGTTGGCAGCAGATTTAACTCAAAAGCACTTGGATCAAGGAGAAAGCTGCAGCCCTATCCCACTGAGAGGCGCCCCAGGGGCCCTGGTCTGCTCTGAGATGGCGTCCATGTCTCGGTGCCTCGTGTTTGTGCAGAGTCTAGCTCAGTGAGCTGAGGCAATGCTAAGGTGAGCCACGAAGTAAACGCAGGGGCTGACTGCCCTGAATGCTGACCTGAGGAGTATGAGCTCCACACTGAGGGCATTGGGGAGCCAAGGAGGGTGTGTGAGCTGGGGAGGGACACAATCGTATCCATAGTTGGAAAGACCACTCTGCTTTGTCCAAGGTCCCTGTGTTAATCTATGCAGCCTGCTATCACAAAACACCATAAACTCGAGGCTTATAAACAACAGAAAATGGCCAGGCATGGTGGCTCACGGCTGTAATCCCAGCACTTTGGGAGGCTGAGGTGGGACAATCGGTTGAGCCCAGGAGTTTGAGACCAGCCTGGGCAGCATAGTGAAACTTCGTATTTACCAAAAATAAAAAATTAGCGGCCTGGCACGGTGGCTCATGCCTGTAATCCCAGCACTTTGGGAGGCCAAGGCAGGCGGATCACCTGAGGTCAGGAGTTCGAGACCAGCCTGACCAACATGGAGAAATCCCACCTCTACTAAAAATATAAAATTAGCTGGGCGTGGTGGTGAATGCCTGTAATCCCAGCTACTTGGGAGGCTGAGGCAGGAGAATCACTTGAACCCAGGAGGCGGAGGTTGTGGTGAGCTGAGATCGCGCCATTGCACTCCAGCCTGGGCAACAAGGGTGAAACTCCAACTCAAAAAAAAAAATTAGCTGGGCCTGGTGGTGCACACCTGTAGTCCCAGCTACTGAGGAGGCTGAGGCAGGGGGATTGATAGAGCCCGGGAGCTGAAGGCTGCAGTAAGCCACGATCATGCCTCTGCACTCCAGCCTGGGCAACACAACAAGATCCTATCTCAAAAAAAGAAAGAAAAGGAAAGGAAAAGAAAAGAAAGTATAGGAAGGGAGGAAGGAAGGAAGGGAAGGAAGGGAGGGAAGGAGGGAAGGAAGGAAGGAAATAGGGTCTTTGCAGATGTAATTAGTTAAGAACAAGTCATAGTGGATTAGTGTGGGCCCTAAATCCAATGACTGGCGTCCTTATATAAGATGAGAAGACACACAGAATCCAAGAAGGCCATGTGCAGACAGAGACAGGAATTGGAATGGTGTGACCCCAAGCCAAGGAACGCCCAGAGCCCCCAGAAGATGAGGAGAAAATGAAGGATCCTCCCAAAGAGCTTTCAGATGGGGCGTGACCCCACCAACACCTTGATTTCAGACTTCTGGCCTCCAGAACGGTGAGAGAATAAATTCCTGTGGCTTTAAGCCGCTCAGTTTGTGGTCATTCGTTATGTAGCCCTAGGGAACCGATATGATTCCCCTCACAGAGAACCGGCAGAAGGAGCAAGTCCTGGCTTCAGGTTTGCTCCCATCACACGGCTTTGGCCTTAGCTGAGCCCTCTTGCCACAGCTTGACCATGGCCAGCTCCTGCACATGCTCCAGCTCTCAGCTCAAATGGCACCTTCTCAGGACCTCCCACCCCATAGCCCTTGACGAATGCTCACTCCCTATTCCCTAGCACTCTGCAGCATTTCACAATTATTTATTTTGAGACAGAGTCTCAACTGTCGCCCAGGCTGGAGTGCAGTGGCATGATCTCAGCTCACTGCAACCTCTGCCTCCCACATTCAAGCGATTCTCGTGCTTCAGCCTCCCCTGTAGCCGGGATTACAGGCACACGCCACCACACCCAGCTAATTTTTGTATTTTTAGTAGAGATGGGGTCTTGCCATGTTGGCTAGGCTGGTCTCCAACACCTGACCTCAGGTGATCCACCATCCTTGGCCTCCCAAAGTGCTGAGATTACAGGTATGAGCCACCACGCCCGGCCAAAAACCTGCTTTTTTTTTTTTTTATCTTTAAGACAGTCTCACTCTGTCGCCCAGGGTGGAGTGTAATGGCATGATCTCGGTTCACTGATCATGCCTCACTCCTGCCTCAGCCTCCCGAGTAGCTGGGATTACAGGTGCGCACCACCACACCTGGCTAATTTTTGCATTTTTAGTAGAGACAGGTTTCACCATGTTGGTCAGGTTGGTCTCAAACTCCTGACCTCGTGATCCGCCCGCCTCAGCCTCCCAAAGTGCTGGGATTACAAGCGTGAGCCACCGCACCCAGCCAATTTTTGTATTTTTTTTTAGTAGAGACAGAGTTTTGCCATGTTGGCCAGGCTGGTCTCGAAATCCTGACCTCAGGTGATCTACTCACGTCGGCCTCCCAAAGTGCTGGGATTACACGCGTGAGCCACCGCACCCGGCCAAAACTTTTTAATGATGCTCTTGGAAAACACACACAGGAAGGCGGAAGTTAAATGTGTACCCAACTACGAAGTCAGATGAGGCAGGATCACACCCTGGCTGCCCCTCTGGTCACTAGATGCCTTGGGCAGGTAAGCTCACCTCTTCTGGCCTCAGTTTCTCCATCTGTGAAATGAGTGTAACATCTCATAGGCTGTGGTACGGACTCATGAATTGATGCATATAAAGCGTTCAGTAAGCCTTTTCTCTTAATAAAAAACCCACAAAACCATCATCAGCTCAAGATTCTATGCAAAGAGAAGACGGCACACCCAGCATGGGGTGTCCCTTGACGCTGCCAGACTCAAGTGACTTGAGGTTCCTGGCCTTTGAGCCCGCCCCTCCCACTCTTCCCTCGGCCAGGCCAAGGCTCCTCCAAGCCTCAGTTACCCTGTCTTTAAAAGAGCGCGCTCCTCTGATTCTATAGAATCCTGAGGCTCAAAGCCAAAGATGAACAGCCTGGAAGCAGAGCCATCAGAGCGGCAAAGCTGCCCAGGGATCCCCGAGAACTCGCTGGGGTTAGAGATCAGGACCCTGAGATTCAGGCTCTACACCTGATTCCTCGTGCCCCCGTCCGCTACGGGGCTGAGTTATGGGCATCGTTTGACATGGGCCACTCGGATTCCCTTCCAGGCCCTTGCCCGTGCCGTTCCCTCTGCCTGGCCACCGGATGAAGCAGGAAGACGGACTGCAAGTAGACCATTTCTAGCCCTGCCTAGATAAAGGCAGAGGGCGCAGTGAGGTCCTGCGGGACCCACTGTAGGCGGGGTTCAGGAGGCGGGCGAGCCCTGTCGGCTAGACCCCCAGCGGCCCCCGTAGTCGAGGTGCAGGCAGTGGGCGTGACCATCTCGGCATGACCCCCAGTGGCCCCCGTAGCCGAGGGCAACCGGTGGGCGCGGCCCTCTTGGCATGACCCCCAGCGACCCACGTAGCCGAGGTGCAGGCAGTGGGCACGGCCCTCTTGGCATGATACCCAGTGGCCCCCGTAGCCGAGGTGCAGACAGTGGGCGCGGCCCTTTCGGCATGGCCCCCGGCGGCCTCCGTAGCCGGGGTGTAGGCGGTGGCTGTGGCCCTCTCGGCGTGATCCCCGGCGGCCCCCGTAGCTCTCACCCGGTAGAGGCCGTACGTGCTCTCGGCGTGATCGAAGGGCACGAGGCGCTCGTCGCAGAAGCCCAGCGTCCAGCGCGCTAAGCTAGCTGGCCCGGCAGGGGCGACGGCGGCGGGTAGCTCGCGGGCTAGCATCGAGACGAGGCTCCCGCCCGACAGGCCGAGCGCGAAACGGGCGCGGGCCCCTGCCAGGCAGCATGCTGCGCGCTGGGCCACCAGCTGCGCTAGCGCCGCACCCAGCTCCTGGGAACTCGAGAACACCGAGATGAGGCCCGGGGCCGGCGCGGCCATGGCGAGGGCGGCGGCGGGGAGGAGGAAGCGCTCCCTACGGCCGTCGCTAGTACGCCTGCGCAAGGGCCGGCCCTGCCGCTTGGTTTCGAGTACTTTGGGTGATTGTCTTTGGCACATGCGCAGTGAGGCAAGTGAAGCACCGCGAAGGTCGGGCAGTCGGTCCGGCCCTACCCATTGAATCTTTGCCTGCTGTGCCTGAGTCGAAGTGAGTTCGGGAAGCCAGTGCCCGAATGCTCAACCTTGCTGTATCAGGGAGGGCCGGAGAGGGGAGCTCAAGAAGAGGACGTCCTATCGAGGTGGCAGGGATTTTCTGAAGGAGGGCGTATTTTGGTGAGTTTTAAAATTCCTGCACCGCCGGGCGCGGTGGCTGACGCCTGTAATCCCAACACTTTGGGAGGCCGAGGCGGGCGGATCACGAGGTCAGGAGATCGAGACCATCCTGGCTAACACGGTGAAACCCCGTCTCTACTGAAAACACAAAAAATTAACCGGGCGTAGTGGCGGGCGCCTGTAGTCCCAGCTACTCGGGAGGCTGAGGCAGGAGAATCGCTTGAACCGGGGTGGCGGAGGTTGCAGTGAGCCGAGATCGTGCCACTGCACCCCAGCTTGGGCGACAGAGCGAGGCTCCATCTCAAAAAAAAGTAGGGGATGAAAATATGCTTGTTGAATTTTTTTTTTTTTTTTTTTTACATTTTCCGGACGGACGGGCTCTTGCTATATGGTCTAGGCTGATCTTGAACCCCTGGGCTCAAGCGATCTTCCTGCCTCGGCCTCCCAAAGTGGTAGCATTCAGGCGAAAGCCACTGCGCCTGGCCATGCTTGTTGAATTTTTTAAGCTAACCCTCCTAGTGTGGTGGTGTGTCCCTCTGAGTGCCCAGAAAGGCCTCCAATCGAGTTCTTGCCTGGACAGAGGGCTGGAAGGGGAAGAAGGCCTGGTGGGCCTGGGGAGGCTGGGCCACTTCTGAGAGTGGGATATTTCAGTGATGTGTGTAAGCGCAGTTCAACTCACACAGGTAGTGGATTTTAAAATCAGTAGCAAATTAAGAAAACAATTCCATTTACCATAGCATCATAAAGTATAAAGTAGGCATAAATTTAATAAAAGAAGTACAAGACTGTACTTCTTGAGAGCTGTAGCTGGGCTTGGTGGCTCACAGCTGTAATCCCAGCACGTTGGGAAGCCAAGGCTGGACCCGGTGGCAGCTGCCTGTGGTCCCAGCTACTTGGGAGGCTGTGGTGGGAGGATCACTTGAGCCCAGGAGACTAAGGCTGCAGTGAGCTGTGTTCCTGCCATTCCACTCCAGCCTGGGCAATAGAGTGAGACCCTGTCTCGAAACAAGCAAAAGAACTAAAACTTTGGTGAAAAAAAAAATTAAAGATGATCTAAATAAATGGTAAGACATTCCACGTTCATGGATTGGAAAGTATAATATTGTTAAGATGGCAGTACTCCACAAATTGGTCTACGGATGCAATGTAATCCCTTTCAAATTTACAATGTTTTTGTTGAAATTGACAAATTGATCCTAAAATTAATAATAAATTGCAAATGGCCCCAAAATAGCCAAAACAATATTGAATAAAATACGAGGACTCATACTTTCTCATTTCAAACAATAAAAAGGTACAATAACCAAAACTGTGGTATTGGCATAAGGATAGACATATAAATAAATGATTGGAACTGATGCAGAAATAAACCTATGCATATATGGTCAACTCATCTTTGGCAACGGTGCCAGGACTATTCAAAAAGAAAGGAGGGCTGGGCGTGGTGGCTCACGCCTGTAATTCCAGCACTTTGAGAGGCCAAGGCAGGTGGATCACCTGAGGTCGGGAGTTTAAGATCAGCCTGACCAACATGGAGAAACCCTGTCTCTACTAAAAATACAAAGCCTTAGCTGGGCGTGGTGGCACATGCCTGTAATCTCAGCTACTCGGGAGTCGGAGGCAGGAGAATGGCTTGAACCCCGGAGGTGGAGGTTGTGGTGAGCTGAGATCACGCCATTGCACTCCAGCCTGGGCAACGAGCAAAACTCTGTCTCAAAAAAAAAAAAAAAAAAAAAGGAATAGGCCAGGCGTGGTGCTTCACGCCTGTAATCCCAACACTTTGGCAGGCCAAGGTAGGCAGATCACCTGAGGTGAGGAGTTCGAGACCGGCCTCTCAAATGAAGTAGAAACCCCATCTCTACTAAAAATACAAAAATTAGCCAGGCGTAGTAGCTCATGCCTGTAATCCCAGCTATTCGGGAGTCTGAGGCAGGAGAATGGCTTGAACCCGGGAGGCAGAGGTTGCAGTGAGCCAAGATCGCGCCACCGCACTCCAGCCTGGGCGACAGAGCAAGACTCCCTCTTAAATAAATAAATAGGCCGGGCGCGGTGCCTCACGCCTGTAATCCCAGCACTTTGAGAGGCCGAGGCGGGTGGATCACGAGGTCAGGAGATCACGACCATCCTGGCTAACACGATGAAACCCTGTCTCTAGTAAAAATACAAATTAGCCAGGTGTGGTTGCAGGCGCCTGTGGTCCCAGCTACTTGGGACGCTGAGGCAGGAGAATGGTGTGAACCTGGGAGAAGGAGCTTGCAGTGAGCCGTGATCTCGCCACTGCACTCCAGCCTGGGCAACAGAGCTAGACTCTGTCTCAAAACAATAAATAAATAAATAAATAAATAAATAAATAAATAAAACCCAAAAAGTCTGTTAATTAATAAGAAAAACTAACAGAGTTCAAGCCTAAGAGTCATTGGGATTATTTTCTGGCCAACTTGGAGGGAACTTCCTAGACACTATTGCAGCTAGAGGCTTTGGAACAAGAAAGTTCACTGGGCCACTGTCTCACCTGGAGCCCCTGGCAATGAGTCCATTCCCCTTCTTGTGCCTCAGTTTCTGCATCTGTACAATGGGGACCATGGTGACACTTCCTGAAGTGGTTGCGAGGTTGGAGAGAGATTAGTCAGAATTCACTTGCCCAGCTGGGTGCCATGGCTCACGCCTGTAATTCCAGCACTTTGAGAGGCCAAGGTGGGTGGATCACCTGAGGTCGGGAGTTTGAGACCAGCCTGGCCAACATGGTGAAACCCTGTCTCTACTAAAAATACAAAAATGAGCTGTGTGTGGTGGCACGTGCCTGCAATCCCAGCTACTGAGGAGGCTGAGGCAGGAGAATTGCTTGAACCCAGGAGGCGGAGGCTGCAGTGAGTCAGATTGTGCCACTGCACTCCAGCCTGGGCGACAGAGCAAGACTCCGTCTCAAAAAAACCAAAAAGCAAAAAACAAAACAAAAAAATTCACTTGCTCATCTGCACACGAGGGTCACCCCCTCAGTGTCCTCTCCCAGCAAATGCTCTGTCACCTCCTGTCCCCTGAGGTAGAGACAACAAACAAGATGCCAACATTATGACACGCGAGGGGGACAGCAGAGGTGAGAGTCAGTTGAGAGTACAGTAGTCCCTGCTTATTCAAAGTTTCTCTTTCTGAGGTTTCCACAGTTCAAACATATTAAATGGAGAATTCCAGAAATAAGCAATTCATAAGTTTCAAATTGCGTGCTGTTCTGAGGAGCATGATGAAATCTCGGACTGCCTTGCTCCATCCCTCTCTGTCCCGCCCAGGGTCATGAATCACCCCTTTGTCCAGCAGATCCATGCTGGAGACACCACTCCCCCCATGCCCACTCATTTGTCACTTAGTAGCCTCCTGGTTATGAGATTGAAAAACCAGTATAAACTGGGCACGGTGACTCACACCTGTAATCCCAGCACTTTGGGAGGCCAAGGCAGGAGGATGGCTTCAGCCCAGGAGTTCAAGACCAGCCTGGGCAATACAGTGGGACCTCATCTCTGCAAACAAATCAAAAAATTAGCTGGGCGTGATGGTGCATATCTGTAGTCTCAGCCACGCAGGAGGCTGATGGAGGATTGCTTGTGTGTGGGAGGTCAAGGCTGCAGTGAGCTATGATCATGCCACTGTACTCTGGCCTGGGCAACAGAATAAGACTTTGTCTTAAAAATAAATAAATTAGGCCACGTGCGGTGGCTCACGCCTGTAATCCCAGCACTTTGGGAGGCCGAGGAGGGCGGATCATGAGGTCAGGAGATTGAGACCATCCTGGCTAACACGGTGAAACCCCATCTCTACTAAAAATACAAAAAAATTAGCCGGGCGTGGTGGCAGGCACCTGTAGTCCCAGCTACTCGGGAGGCTGAGGCAGGAAAATGGCGTGAACCTGGGAGGCAGAGCTTGCAGTGAGCCGAGATCGTGCCACTGCACTCCAGCCTGGGAGACAGCAGGACTCCATCTCAAAAATAAATAAATAATTAAATTAAATTAAAATTAGAAAGGGAGGAAAGGATGAAGGAAAGGAAGGGAGGGAGGGAGGGAGGAAGGGAAAGAAAAAGAAGGAAAGGAAAGAAAGGAAGAAAGAAAAGAAACAAAACATATTTAGGGCTCAGTATTATGGTCAGTTTCAGGCATCCATTTGGGGTCTTGGAACATATCCCCCAGCGATTGGGAGGAATACTGTATAGACTCCTGAGCTTGGAGTCCTGGGTTCGAATCCCAGCTCAGACGGCCACCCCAGCAGGCCTAGCGACTTTCACCCAGAGCTCTCACACCAGCCGGCCTGTACATGGAAGAGGACACTGCCAGGGCAGCCACAGGTGCCAGGACATACCGTGATCTGAGCCATCCTGCAACACCTGCAGGAACCCACAGGCAGGCTGGCCATCCCTCCCCTGCAACCACAAGGTCAACGAGGGCCTGTGAGGCCCAGACACTGCAGGGAGGTGCCTCCCCCTCGGCAGGCCAGCGAGAGGGCCAACCCGAGTGCCCCTGCCCCAAGGTCCCTTTGGTCTTGCAGATGGGGCCACATGGTACAGGGTCCCTTCTTTTTCTTTTCTTTTTTTTTTTTTTTTGAGACAAAGTCTCGCTCTGTCACCCAGGATGGAGTGCAGTGGCACCATCTCGGCTCACTGCAACCTCCACCTCCCGGCGCAAGCAATTCTCCTGCCCCAGCCTCTGGGGTAGCTGGGATTACAGGTGCGCGCACCACCATGCCTGGCTACTTTTTGTATTCCCTCCCTCCCTCCCTCTCCTCTCCTCTCTCGCTCTTTCCCTCCCTCCCTCCCCCTTTCTCTCTTTCTTTCTATTTTGAACCAGAGTCTCGCTCTGCCACCCAGGCTGGAGTGCACTGCAACCTCTGCCTCCTAGGTTCCAGCAATTCTCCTGCCTGAGCCTCCCGAGTAGCTGGAATTAAAGGTGTGAGCCACCATGCCCAGCTAATTATTTTGTTTGTATTTTTAGTAGAGACAGGGTTTCACCATGTTGGCCAGGCTGGTCTCGAACTCCTGGGCTCAAGTGATTCACCCACCTCAGCCTCCCAAAGTGCTGGGATTACAGGCATGAGCCACTATGCCCGGCTGGCCGAGTCCTGCCTTCTGAAACTCAGCAAGGGTTCTGTGCCACATAGGGACACTCAATGAATGGGCTCCCAGCAGGCACCAGACGGTCTTCAGGTTTATTTCTTAAATCAATTAGGAAATAAAACCACAGTGCCCAGGAAAGTTCACATGAGACGCCACGGTGTCTCTTGCCATGGCCCCACCACTCCAGGGGCCAGGGGGTGCTGCTGGAGGGAGGACAGACGGACAGGCGGCCTGGGTGGCCGGCCCCAGAAAGGCTGGCGTGGATGTTCGAGATGAGCCACCAGCGAAGCCAGTAGGGATGTCTGGGCCGTCCTGGTGGGATTGTCTGGGACATCGCCACCAACACGGTGTCAGAGCCATCAGTGGGGACATCGGAGGGGCCACCACCAGGTGGGGTATATTCAACAGGCTAGAACCCCTGAGGCTTGAGAGGCCAACCCCCGGCAGGAGACCTCCCCTGACCCCTCTGCTGCCTCTCCTGTGGGACCCTCCAGTAGACACACCAGATGAGGACACCCAGGAGGCCTCCTCCCAGGACAGGAGGCAGCTGGCTGGGCAGCCACGCAGTGCAGGGTTCAGGGCCCTCCAGCAGGAGCTCCATGGAGATGGCTAAATGGGGACATCAAGGCAGGGGCTGACAGTGGTGACATCCAAGTGGTCACAGTCAATTCCGGAAGCTTTCAGGGCATCAGGAGGGGAAGGTGGGGCTGGGGAAATGTGACAGGAACGGGGAAGTGCAAAAGGCAATTGGCCTAGCCTGGGAGATTTTCCAGTTGGCCTGGGGGACCCCCGGCTCCTCCATTCAGCAGGGAGGGCGGAGGGCCTGCTTGGAAGTCACATGGAGCTGCAGCATCTGGAACCCAACAGCCACAGGAGGCCTGGATCGGGGCTCCGTAAGGCACAGCCGAGAGGGAGGTGGGGAGGCCCCAGTCCGAGTCCAGGGCCCAGGGGAGATGATTCCTGCAGTCCCCAAAAGCAGCTGGACCCTACACAAGATGCAGCTCCCAGGACACGCGTGTTCCACTCTCGGCAGGAGAGGAGAGGAAAAAGGAAAGGCCGGGCCAGAGGCTCACGCCTATAATCCCAGCACTCTGGGAGGCCGAGGCCAGCGGATCACCTGAGGTCAGGAGTTCAAGACCAACCTGACCAACATGGTGAAACCCCGTCTCTACTAAAAATATAAAAATTAGCTGGACGTGGTGGCGGGTGCCTGTAATCCCAGCTACTCAGGAGGCTGAGGTGGGAGGATCACTTGAACCCCAGGAGGCAGAGGTTGCAGTGAGCCGAGATCCCACCACTGCACTCTAGCCCGGGCAGCAGAGTGAGACTCTATCTTAAAAAAAAAAGAAAGAAAGAAAGAAAAGAAAAAGAGGGAAGAGTTAAGGCCAGACAGGGACAGGGATGGAAGGAGACAGAGGCTGAAAAGCAGGGAGAGGAGGCAGACACAGGGGCACCAAGGCAGCAGAGAGGCACGGGTTCCTCTGAGGTTCCAGTTTCTCAGTCCAGGATGGGCCGTGCCAGGTACAGCTCGGCCAGGTGGGTGTGTACTAGGCGGCCACCCCTGGGCAGCGCTGTCTGGCTCAAGCTGGCCTCTCCCACCAGGCCCAGAGTTTGTGGCCAGTAGAGGAACAGCTTCAGAGGGCGAAGGCGCCCGAGCAGATGCGAGTGTAGACTGCCTCATTTAAGGGCAGGTAGTGGCCCTGCTTCAGGTCCAGGAAGAAGAGCCGGTCTGAGGTCTGGCGTGGGTCAAAGCCCTCTCGCTGCAGCCTCGTCTTCTGGATCTTGAAGGTGCCTATAGTGGGGATGGGGGGCAGATAAGGGCTGAGCAGGTGGCTTCTGGGAGGCCTCAACTCAATATCCTCTCCTGCACCTCTGGACCTTCCCACAGGCTGTCCCCTGGGCAGGAATGTTCTTCCCCATTTTGCCTGCCTGATTCCCCCTTGTCTGTCAGATCCTGGCTTCATGCCCCCTCCTCCAGTGAGGCCTCCCTAACCACTCCTCACCAGGGCAAGAAAATGTACACCCTGCCTGGTCATGTGTCCATTCCCCACATGACAGGCAGGGCTGTGTCTGTTACACAGTGAATAAGAGTTTAGCAACTTACATCCTGTGGGCCAAATTTGGCCCTCCACCTGTTTTTGTAAATAAAGTTTTACTGGGGCCGGGCACAATAATGGCTCATGCCTATAATCTCAGTACTTTGGGACGCCAAGGCAGGAGGGTCGCTTGAGCCCAGGAGTTTAAGACCAGCCTGGGCAACATAGTGAGACTCTGTCTCTGCAAAAACCCTTTTTTTTTTTTTTTTTTTTTTTTTTGAGACATAGTCTTGCTTTGTCACCCAGGCTGGAGTGCAGTGGTGTGATCTCGGCTCACTGCAACCTCCACCTCCTGGATTCAAGTGATTCTCCTGCCTCAGCCTCCCAAGTAGCTGGGATTATAGGCGTGCACCACCACACGTGGCTAATTTTTAAAATTTTGGTAGAGACAGGGTTTCACTATGTTGGCCAGGCTGGTCTCGAACTCCTGACCTCAAGTGATCTGCCCGCCTCGGCCTCTCAAAATGCTGGGATTACAGGCGTGAGCCACCGCACCCGGCCAACAATTTTTTTTTTTTTTTAAATTAGCTGGGTGTCATGGCACGTGCGTGTAGTTCCGGCTACTTGGGAGGCTGAGGTGGGAGAATCACTTGAGCCCAGGAGGAGAAGACTGCAGTAAACTATGATTGCATTATTGCATTCCAGCCTGGACAACAGCAAGATCTTGTCTCAAAAAATAAATAAAAATTTAGAAATAAAGTTTTATTGGCACACAGCCATGCTCATTCATTTGCACATTGTCTATGGCTGCTTTTGCACAAGAATAGCAGTGTTGAATAGCAATCGAGGCTGTATGGCCTGCAAAGCCGAAAATATTAACTATCTGGTCCTTTAAGAAAAAGTTTGCCTGAGCCCAGGACTGCGAGACCAGCCTGGGCAACACAGTGAGACCCTGATATATTTTGGCTGTGTCCCCACCCAAATCTCATCTTGAATTGTAGCTCCCATACTTCCCACGTGTTGTGGGAGGGACCCGGTGGGAGGTAGTTGAATCATGGGGGTGGGTCTTTCCCGTGCTGTTCTCATGATAGTGAAGGGGTCTCACGAGATTTGATGGCTTTATTTGGTGGTTTTTAAAGGGGAGTTCCCTTGCACACACTCTCTTGCCCTCCACCATTAAAAAGTCCCTTTGCTTTTCCTTCGTCTTCTGCCATGATGGTGAGGCCATCCCAGCCATGTGGAACTGTGAGTTCCATTAAACCTCTTTCCTTTATAAATTACCCAGTCTCGGATATGTCTTTATTAGCAGCATGAGAATGGACTAATACAGACCCCATCTCTACAAAAAATCAAAAAAATTAGTCAGGCATGGTGGTGCCTGCCTGTAGTCCTAGCTACTCCAGAGGCTGAGGTGGGAGGATCATTTGAACCCAGGAGGCTGAGGCTGCAGTGAGCTATGATAGTGCCACTGCATGCCAGCCTGGGCAACAGAGTAAGACCCTGTCTCAAACAAACAAACAAACAAAAAAAACAAAAGAAAAAGAAAAGATACACCGAGGCCGGGTGCAGTGGCTCATGTGTGTAATCCCAACACTTTGGGAGGCCAAGGCAGGTGGATCACTTGAGGTCAGGAGTTCAAGACCAGCCTGGCCAATATGGTAAAACTCGATCTCTACTAAAAATACAAAAAAATTAGCTGGGCATGGTGGTGCACACCTGTAATCCCAGCTATTCAGGAGGCTGAGGCAGGAGAATCGCTTGAACCCAGGAGGTAGAGGTTGCAGTGAGCCAAGATCACGCCACTGCACTCCAGCCTGGGTGACAGAGCAAGACTCCATCTCAAAAAAAAAAAAAAAAAAAAAAAAACAAAAAAAACACTATTTCAGAATGCTTAGTGGCAGTGGAAGTGAGGAATGGAAATAAATAACTACTAAAATAAAACAGCAGAAGGGACCCGTGAGAGCCCACAGTGCTAGCTGGCTGTGAGCCCTTGTGTCAGTCCCAGGACACTGTCCTGAACTAGGATGAGTAAATGGTTTGGATATGGTTTGTTTGTCCGCACCAAAAATCATGTTGAAATTATTATTATTATTTTGAGACATTGTCTCACTCTGTCACCCAGGCTGGAGTGCAGTGGCCTGATCTCGGCTCACTGCAACCTCTGCCTCCCAGGTTCAAGCAATTCTTCTGCCTCAGCCTCCTGAGTAGCTGGGACTACAAGTGCATGCCACCATGCCTGGCTAATTTTTTTTTGTATTTTTAGTAGAGACACAGTTTCACCATGTTGGCCAGGCTGGTCTCGAACTCCTGACCTCAGGTGATCCACCTGCCTCAGCCTCCCAAAGTGCGGAGATTACAGGCGGGAGCCACCACACCCGGCCAGGTATTCTTTTTTTTTTTTTTTTTTTGAGACAGAGTATCACTCTATCGCCCAGGCTGGAGTGCAGTGGCGTGATCTGGGCTCACTGCAAACTCCGCCTCCCAGGTTCATGCCATTCTCCTGCCTCAGCCTCCCAAGTAGCTGGGACTACAGGCACCCGCAACCGTGCCCGGCTAATTTTTTGTATTTTTAGTAGAGACAGGGTTTCACTGTGTTAGCCGGGATGCTCTCGATCTCCTCACCTCGTGATCCGCCCGCCTCGGCCTCCCAAAGTGCTGGGATTACAGGCGTGAGCCACCGTGCCTGGCCCCGGCCAGGTATTCTTTTAGAGCAACACAAAATGGACCAAGACATGAATCAACAGACACACTGATGGATGAAGAGAGAGATTGGAGTGGGGGAGACTCGCACCTGTGGTGTCCACCTGGGGCAGGAGGCGCAGGAAGATGGGCCGGGCATAGGGTGCCAGCACCTTCTGCAGCTCCTGGTATATCGCGTTGGGGTCCAGCAGGCTGTGGGGGTCTGCGACGGCCGCCATCCCTGCCTTACCCTCCACTCCTGGAGGCAGAGGCTCAGCTGAGGACACCCCGCCTCTCATCCTCCCCACCAGCAGGACCAGATACACTGTCAAGCAGTAGCCCCTGGTCTGTAATCTCCAGTCTCTCCCAACCTGGGATGACATTTATGGAAGCAGCCACACATTTTGTGGAGCTCCTGCTTGGCTCATTGAAGCCCTAAGACAGGTGGGCTTTCATGATCCCATTTTCTGGATGACAAAACTGAGGCTCAACATCACCCAGGTGAACTGGCTCCAGATCCAGTGCTTCCTCCTGGGCTGCCATGAGCAGTTGTCCAGGTTGTGCACTGCCCAAAGGCATGTGTACTTCTAAGCCCCTTTTGGCTGAGCTCCCTCAGGACCATGCCTCAGGACCACCCCCTGCAACCCCAGCTTGCCTGGAACAGCCACCCCATAGACGGCCACGTCTGTCTGGCCCAGCAGGCGGCTCAGCACGCCCTCCACCTCGGTGGTGGAGACGTTCTCCCCTCGCCAGCGGAAGGTGTCCCCGCTACGGTCCCGGAAGTACATGTAGCCCAGCTCATCCATCACTAGCACGTCACCTGGCAGAGGGGAGAGGGGCAGATGGGTGGAGGATCCCCATCCGCACAGCCAGTCACCGGGGCCTAGCAGGCTGCGCACCTGAGAGGTAGGCGCTGTCGCCCTTGCTGAAGACGCTGTGGGCGATCTTCTTGCTGGTGGCGCTCTCGCTGACATAGCCATCGAAGCGGCGCAGCGGGTCCTGTTGGTTGATCTGACCCACAAGGAGGCCAGGCTCCCCTAGGGAGAAGGCCATGTTCAGGCTGCGCTAGGCAGGCAGGGCGTGGGGACCCCTGCTCCGGGTGGGGACCATGCGGGGGCCCTGCTCACCGGCCTGGCAGGGGATGCAGAGGCCCTGGGCATCCCGCAGCAGCTCCATTGTGTCCTCATTGACCTTCACCAGCCGGATGGGGTACACGTGGGGCAGGATGCGGCTGTTGAAACCACAGGAGCCGACCTGGAATGGGGTGAACTGAGTTGGAAGGAGCCGGGGATATGCGGGGTCCTTCTCAGTAACACTTTGCCTGCCTTGCCCTGGGGCTTGGACCTAGCACCTCCAGTGTCATTCTAAGCTCTGTGACCTTGGCTGATCTGCAAAAGCAGGGTAGTAAGCGTCGCCTCCAACTCAGGGCCCCTCCTCCCACCTTCCCAGCCTGCATTCAGTCAAGAGAAGACCTCTGGCTGGCACCCACTTCCTGATCCACAAAACCCTCCATGCTGGCAGGAAGTAGATGCCTCTGTGTGGACACTACAGCTACGTCAGACACTGCAGAGCTTCACCTGCTGCCCGCCGCCCTGCTTGGCATGGTTCTATGAACAGAAATGCTTCTCCAACATGTTTGAGCCACTACACCCTGTCTGGTGTGTTTCTTTCTGCTTTTCCCCCTTCCTCCGTTCCTCCCTTCCTTCCTTCCTTCCTTTTTTTATAGAGTCTTACTCTGTCGCCTAGGCTGGAATGCAGTGGCGCAATCTTCGCTCACTGTAACCTCTGCCTCCCACGTTCAAGTGGTTCTTATGCCTCAGCCTCCTGAGTCTGGGATTACAGGCGCATGCCACTGAGCCCAAACAATTTTTTTTTTTTTTGTATTTTTAGTAGAGATGGGGTTTTGCCATGTTGGCCAGACTGGTCTCGAACTCGTGACCTCAAGTGATCCACCCACCTCAGCCTCCCAAAGTGCTGGGATTACAGGCGTGTGTGGGTGGCAAGCTACCCAGGTGCCGAGGCAAGAGACCGAGGGCACGAGCCATTCCAGTATAATAAAATATATAAAACAACAAGAGTTATACTAGATCTAGATCATAGACATGATTATATATGAATATCATTAGTCATCAGTTTGTAGCAATTACTCTTTATTCCAGTATTATAATAATCCTCGCTCTGTAATCATAACCTAGAAAAAACCGGGCCATAGAGAGATAGGAGCTGAGGGGACACAGTGAGTAGTGACCAGAAGACAAGAGTGCGAGCCTTCTGTTATGCCCGGACAGGGCCACCAGAGGGTTCCTTGGTCTAGCGGTGACGCCAGCGTCTGGGAAGTCTAGTCTAGCGGTAGCCTTAGTGTCAAGGAAAAACACCTGCTACTTAGTGGACCGGGAAAGGGAGTCTCCCTTTCCCCCGGGGAGTTTAGAGAAGACTCTACTCCTCCACCTCTTGTGGAGGGCCTGACATCAGTCAGGCTTGCCCACAGTTATCCGGAGGCCTAACCGTCTCCCTGTGATGCTGTGCTTCAGTGGTCATGCTCCTAGTCCGCCTTCATGTTCCATCCTGTACACCTGGCTCTGCCTTCTAGATAACAGTAGCAAAATTAGTGAAAGTACTAAAAGTCTCTGATATGCAGAAATAATGGCATAAGCTGTCTTTCTCTCTCTCTCCCTCTCTCTGCCTCTGCCTCGGCTGCCAGGCAGGGAAGGGCCCCCTGTCCAGTGGACGCATGACCCACGTGACCTTACCTATCATTGGAGATGACTCACACTCTTTACCCTGCCCCTTTTGCTTTGTATCCAGTAAATAACAGTGCAGCCAGACATTCGGGGCCTCTACCGGTCTCCGCCTCTTGGTGGTAGTGGTCCCCCGGGCCCAGCTGTCTTTTCTTTCATCTCTTTGTCTTGTGTCTTTATTTCTACAATCTCTCGTCTCCGCACACAGGGAGAAAAACCCACCGACCCTGTGGGGCTGGACCCTACAGGCGTGAGCCACCGTGCCTGGCCTGGTGTGTTTCCTATGCAAGAATCTGAGCTACAGTGAGCAAAAGTGCCCTGGGGGCTGGCCATCCAACACCAAGCACACTGAGGAAGGAGCATTGTTCTTGGCATTAAGGACCCAGCCCCCATGGCACTTGCTGTTTTTTTTTTTCCTTTTTAGAGACACAGAGTCTCACTCTGTTGCCCAGGCTGGAGTCCAGTGGTGTAATCATAGCTCACTGCAGCCTCGATCTCGTGAGCTCACGTGATCCTCCCGCCTCAGCCTCCTTAGTAGCATTGACTACAGGCACCTGCCACCATGCCTGGCTAATTTTTTATTTTCTGTAGAAAAGGGGGTCTCACTACATTGGCTATGCTGGTCTCAAACTCCTGGGCTCAAGTGATCCTCCTGCCTCAGCCTCCCAAAGTGTTAGGATTACAGGTGTGAGCCACTGTGCCCAGCCGACATTTGCTTTATGATCATTATTACGGTCTGTTCTTGGCCTTGGATGGGAGGGGCTTGGGAAAGGAGAGGGAGATTCATGCAAGCGGAGAATGGAGATGATTAAGAGAGTAAGTAGTTGCTAATTATGAAGGTATCTGTTTGCTGCTACTTGGGAGGCTGAGGCAGGAGGATTGCTTGAGCTCAGGAACTGAAAGCTACAGTGAGCTATGATCACGTGGCTGCACTCCAGCCTGGGCGACAGAGCGAGACTCTGTCTCAAACAACAACAACAAAATAACAGCACGGTACACAGAGCCCTATTCTCCTTGCTAATCTCCACACGCAGAAACTGAGGCTCAGAAAGGCTGAGGCACTTGCCAGGGCGCACAGCCATACCTATCCTCCAACTCTCCTGACCCAAGGACCACAGTCACATGACTATCTGTGCAGGCTGCAGGATTGTCCCTCTGGTGGTGCACCGGGAGTCCCAGGAACTCCCCTTACACCCCGCCCTGCGTGCGCCTTGGCGGAGCCTTCCGCGCCAGTCCAGGCTGTTTTATGTATCCCAGGGGCCCCAGGAAGAGGAGACAGTGGTCTTCCCTGAACTCCGAGACCTGCCCCGGGGCCCTGCCGGTGTGCACCTTGCCGTCCATGTTGGCAATGCTGCAGTTGCACTCGGTGGCGCCGTAGAACTCCCCGATTTGGCGTACGCCGAAGCGCTCCGTGAACTCCTCCCAGATGGCAGGACGCAGCCCGTTCCCCACCGCCAGGCGCACGCGGTGTCGCCTCTCCGCCTCGCGCACCGGCTGCTTCAGCAGGTAGCGGCAGATCTCCCCGATGTACTGAACCACCTGGGGGACGGGGTGAGGAAGTGGGTGATGGGACCGGCAGGCGGTGGGGAGCCCGGATCAGAGGAGAGACCCCGAGACCGCCCCACCCAGGGAGCTAATCCTATGAGCGGAACAGCCTAAGGATGATGATGGCTGCAGAATCGTCCACACTCCATTAGGGACCACATTGACTCCTAGGACTCGTTCAGTCTCTTGCAAAGGGTCTAGGATGCAGCTTTTTTTGTTGTTTTTTGGTTGGGGGTCTCCCTGTGCCGCCCAGGCTGGAGTGCAGTGGCATGATCACAGCTCACTGCAGCCTCTAACTCCTGGGTTCAAGTGATCTTCCAGCCTTAGCCTCCCGAGTAGCTGGGACTACAGATTTTTTTGTAGAGATGGGGGATCTCGCTCTGTTGCCCAGGCTGGTCTTGAACTCCTGGCCTCAAGCAATCCTCCTGCCTCAGCCTCCCAAAGTGTGAGATTCCAGGTGTGAGCCACTTGTGCCTGGCCGGATGCAACTTCTATCCAAGCAGATGCAGTGTCTTTCCTCCTCCCCCTACCCGCACCCCTTCGTGGTCCCTCGATTCTGCCAAGCAGCTTCCTGGAGATACCACATCCCTGTCTGAGCCTCAGCAGGCACACAGGGCAGGACTAGCAGGAGAGCTGGCACCCCGCAGGGCAACCCTCAGCCTGGAGCCTACACTGTCACCCAGAGCCCCCTGGCTGAGCCTGGGCTGGCCGGAGCGTCACCCCTGGGCAGACCACTCCCAGGTGCACCCACTAGGCTGCGCTGCGTCTGGACTGAGCCCCAGGTGCCCACGGAGCCACCTGCTCATGGGCTCCCCCTGCAGGACATCTTCCCTCCCTGCCACACATTCTCAAGCCCCGCAAGAGCTTCCT
The DNA here is from genome assembly GCF_000001405.40 of Homo sapiens. Lineage (NCBI taxonomy): Eukaryota > Metazoa > Chordata > Mammalia > Primates > Hominidae > Homo > Homo sapiens. The sequence goes on along the minus strand of NC_000019.10, from coordinate 17,496,378 downwards.
GGGGTCATCCACCAGGTGCCCCACGGTGCCTTTAAGAGTTCTCATCTCCAGTTGGGCTTCGGAATGACTCCCCCCCCGCCACTTTACAGATGGAGAAACCGAGGCTCACAGATGGTAAGGAACTGGAACGAGATCACAGAGCTGGGAAGTGGCAGAATTTGATTTGAACCCAGGCATCCCGGCCCCAGAGTGGGAATAAAACAGTTGCATGCCAGGGATTACCCACCAGATGGATCATAACAGCTGCAAATGTGCTCGGGGCTTCCCGCTCACACACAGGATGAAACCCACATTTCTTCCTGTGGCCAACTGGATCTGGCCCTGCCGCCCCTGCTGCCTCCTCTCCCTCCATCTCCGCTGAACACTCTGCCTCCTCAGGGACTTTGCACATGCTAGCCTTTTGCCTGAAGCAGTCTTCCCCCAGATGCATTTGCCTGAACTCTTCAGTCTCAGCTCAAACGTCACTGAGAGGCATCCCCTGTGCCCCCAGCTGTGCCCCTGAGAAGGTACTGACTAAATAGCTGATGACTAAACCAATATGATCAGCAGACACCACCGCCATGCTCTGAGCTGAGCTTGGAGATGAAGGCACTGAGGCCCAGAGAGGAAATGCAGTGCACCCAAGATCACTGGCTGCTGACCAACAGCAGGTCCCTAAGGGGGAGGGTCCTCTCCCTCCATTCTCAGACTTGGGCCACTGCCTTAGGTGTGGTACAGCCCACACCATCTCTAGGAGAGAACCTGGCCAATCAGCCCAGCCCCTCCTCAGCCAATATGACTGGCTTAAGAATGGGCACGGCCAGGCGGGGTGGCTCAAGCCTGTAATCCCAGCACTTTGGGAGGCCAAAGCAGGTGGATCACGAGGTCAGGAGATCGAGACCATCCTGGCTAACATGGTGAAACCCCGTCTCTACTAAAAAATACAAAAAATTAGCCGGGCGTGGTGGCACACTCCTGTAATCCCAGCTACTCGGGAGGCTGAGGCAGGAGAATGGCGTAAACCCGGGAGGCGGAGCTTGCAGTGGGCCGAGATCGCGCCACTGCACTCCAGCCTGGGCGACAGAGCGAGACTCCATCTCAAAAAAAAAAAAAAAATGGGCACATGGCTGGGCGCGGTGGCTCATGCCTGTAATCCCAGCACTTTGGGGGGCCGAGGTGGGCAGATCACTTCAGGTCAGAAGTTCGAGACCAGCCTAGCCAATGTAGTAATACCTCATCTCTACAAAAATACAAGAAAATTTTGCCAGACCTGGTGGCATGTGCCTGTAATCCCAGCTACTTGGGAGGCTGAGGCAGGAGAATCTCTTGAACCCGAGAGGCAGAGGTTGCAGTAAGCCAAGATCGCTCTATTGTACTCCAGCCTGGGGACAAGAGTGAGACTCCGCCTCAGAAAAAAAAAAAAGGCAAGGATTTTTACAGACAAGCTAGCAGGGAGGCTGTATCTGATCTAAATAGACCGTGAAAAACCGGTGAGGACCAGATGTGCCATCCGCATAGGGCGCAAATCTCTGGCAGCCCCCAACCCAATCTCTTATTATGCAGGTGAGTAGCTACTCTACGTTGCCTATTTTTTTTTTTTTTGGAAACAAAAAATCCTCGGTAGAACTTCCCTTCTAACAAAAAGCAGCCCAAGAAATCACTTATTTTCTAACAAAGAACAGCCTGGAAGATTGGGCTGCAAACACAAATAAGGAAGCTGGAAGCTTGCAGCAGGGGATGCCAGCAGCTGCACCGATAAAAAGGGCTACCTGTGGCCGGGCACGGTAGCTCACGCCTGTAATCTCAGCACTTTCGGAGGCCAAGGTGGGTGGATCACCTGAGGTCAGGAGTTCGAGACCAGCCTGGCCAACATGGTGAAACCCCATCTCTACTAAAAATACAAAATTAGCCAGGCGTGGTGGCACACACCTGTAATCCCAGCTATTCAGGAGCCTGAGGCAGGAGAATCACCTGAACCCAGGAGGTGGAGGTTGCAGTGAACTGAGATCGCACCACTGCACTCTGGCCTGGGCAACAGAGTGAGACTCCGTCTCAAAAAGAAAAAGAAAAAGAAAAAGGCCAGGCACGGTGGCTCACGCCTGTAATCCCAGCACTTTGGGAGGCCGAGGTGGGCAGATCATGAGGTCAGGAGATCGAGACCATCCTGGCTAACACCGTGAAACCCTGTCTGTACTAAAAAATACAAAAAAAAAATTAGCCAGGTGTGGTGGCGGGCGCCTGTAGTCCCAGCTACTCAGGAGGCTGAGGCAGGAGAATGGTGGGAACCCAGGAGGTGGAGCTTGCAGTGAGCCAAGATTGCGCCACTGCACTCCAGCCTGGGAGACAGAGCGAGACTCCGTCTCAAAAAAAAAAAAAAAAGAAACAGCTACCTGGGGCTGGGCATGTCCACCCTGGGGGCTCCACCATCCCTTTTTTGTTAGCACGTGTACAGTAAGAAAGAAATAAGCAACAAAAGCCGGCTGCTGTGGCTCATGGCTGTAATCCCAGCAGTTTGGGAGGCTGGGGCAGGCAGATCACCTGAGGTCAGAAGTTTGAGACCAGCCTGGCCAACATGGTGAAACCCCGTCTCTACTAAAAATACAAAAAATTAGCTAGGCTTGGTGGTAGACCCCTGTAATCCCAGCTACTCAGGAGGCTGAGGGAGGGGAATCACTTGAACCCAGGAGAAGGAGGTTGCAGTGAGCCGAGATCACACTACTCCATTCCAGCCTGGGAGATGCAGCGAGACTGTGTCTCAAAAAAAAAAAAAAGTAAGGTTCTAGATTATAGCCTGCTGCCCCCATGAGAATGGCTAGACTGCAACTGCTGCTACAGATAAAATAGCAGTGAGCAGTTTCTCATGAGATGTAATTTCTGAACCCAAATAAATGTATGCTCTTGTTTTCTCCTTGTGTCCTTATTAAACATCACCTTTAGAGATTCTGTCCTGTTTTTTTTTTTTTTTTTTTTTTGAGATGGAGTTGTGCTCTCTCACCCAGTCTGGAGTGCAGTGGCGCGATCTCGGCTCACTGCAACCTCCACTTCCCGGGTTCAAACGATTCTCCTGCCTCAGCCTCCCGGGTAGCTGGGACTACAGGTGCCCGCCACCATGCATGGCTAATTGTTTTTGTAGAGATGGGGTTTCACCATGTTGGCCAGGCTGGTCTTGAACTCCTGACCTGAGGTGATCCACCTGCCTCGACTTCCCAAAGTGCTGGGATTACAGGCGTGAGCCGCCGCGCCCGGCCCTGTCCTCTATTTTTCTTTTTTTTTTTTTGAGATGGAGTCTCACTCTGTCGCCCAGGCTGGAGTGCAGTGGCACAGTCTCAGCTCACTGCAACCTCCACCTCCTGGGTTCACAGGATTCTCCTGCCTCAGCCTCCCAAATAGCTGGGACTACAGGTGCCCACCACCGCACCTGGCTAATTTCCCATCCTCTATTTCTTTCTTTTTTTTTTTAAGACGGAGTTTCGCTCTCGTTGCCCAGGCTGGAGTGCAATGGCACAATCTCGGCTCTCACTGCAACTTCCACCTCCCGGGTTCAAGCAATTCTCCTGCCTCAGCCTCCTGAGTAGCTGGGATTACAGGCATGTGCCACCACGCCCTGCTAATTTTTGTATTTTTAGTAGAGATGGGGTTTCTCCATGTTGGTCAGGCTGGTCTCAAACTCCAGACCTCAGGTGATCCACCCGCCTCGGCCTCCCAAAGTGCTGGGATTACAGGCGTAAGACACTGCGCCCGGCCCCGTCCTCTATTTCTTTTTCTTTTTTTTTTTTTTTTTTTGAGATGGAGTCTCACTCTTGTCACCCAGGCTGGAGTGCAGTGGTGCGATCTCGGCTCACTGCAACCTCCACCTCCTGGGTTCACAGGATTCTCCCGCCTCAGCCTCCCAAATAACTGGGACTATAGGCGCCCACCATGCCTAGCTAATTTCCCATCCTCTATTTCTTAAAAAGCCTCTCAATGTTCACTGTGTGCCTTATTTGACACAGAAATTCCACTTCTAGGAAACTGACAGAATGAGCTTCCAAGGCCCAGGAGACAGTAAGTAGTAACCAATGCAAGATGGTGTGTCAAGGACAAAGAGAGACCATCAGACATGACGGGCTTCCCAGTGGGAGGACACCACACCACCCATAAGGAATCTTTGCCAAAAAAGTTGAGTTTGAAGCCGATAAAATATATAGACCAGCGATTCTCAAGCGGGGACCATTCTGTCCCCCAGGGACACTTAGCAACATCTAGACACATTTTTTTAATTGTCACAACTTGGGGGAAGGGGACTGCTACTGGCATCTGGTGCAGGGAGGCCAGGGATGTTGCTAAATATATGCTACAATGCACAGGACACGTCCCACCCCAGGGAATGATCCAGCCCCAAATGTTAAGAGTCAAACCTGTTCTGGACACTATCTCAATTTCTGTAATAAATAAATTCCAAGAGGGAAGAGAGACAGACAGAAAGAGAAAAGGCACCTACAGATGAAATATTTTCTTTTCTTTTCTTTTCTTTTTTTTATTTTTTTGAGATAGGGGCTTGCTCTGTTGCCCAGGCTAGAGTACACTGGCACAATCACGGCTGACAGCAGCCTTGACCTCCTGGGCTCAAGCAATCCTCCCACCTCAGCCTCCCAAGCAGCTGGGACTACAGGCACAAACCACCACAACCAGCTAGATTTTCAATTTTTTTGTAGAGATGAGGGACTCACTATGTTGCCCAGGCTGGTCTACAACTCTTGGGCTCAAGCGATCCTCCCGCCTCGGCTTCCCAAAGTGCTGGGATTACAGGCATGAGCCATTGCGCTCAGCCAAGAATTCTTACAAGACACATCAACCAGTCATAATGCTGGTTGTGTATTTAATTATGGAAATAAGAAAAAACACATTTTTGACATTGTGAGACAGAATTGAGCCACTGCCCAGATTCCTGATGACACTGAGATATCACTGTCACTTAAAAACAATGCTTACCAGACACAAAAGGCGACAGTGTCTGACTCCATTGATCTGAAATGTCCAGAACAGGCAAATCATAGAGGCAGGAAGCAGAATAGTGGTTGCCAGGGGCTGGGGGTGGAGGGATGGGGAGTAACTGGGGATGGGATTTCCTTTGGGGGGCATGAGAATGTTCTGGATCTAGATAGACATGGTGATTGTACATTGTGAATGCCACCAAATTACTGACTTTTTTTTTTTTTAAAGATGGAATCTCACTCTGTCACCCAGACTGGAGTGCAGTGGCCCGATCTCAGCTCACTGCAGCCTCCGCTTCCCAGGTTCAAGCGATTCTCCTGCCTCAGCCTTCCAGGCAGCTGGGATTACAGGTGTGTATCATCATGCCCGGCCAAATTTTTTTTTTTTTTTTTTTTGAGATGGAGTCTCACTCTGTCACGCCCAGGCTGGAGTGCAGTGGTGCAATCTTGGCTCACTGCAACCTCTGCCTCCCGGGTTCAAGCGATTCTTCCGCCTCAGTCTCCCGAGTAGCTGGGATTACAGGCACCAACCACCACGCCAGGCTACATTTCTGTATTTTTAGTAGAGACAGGGTTTCACCCTGTTGGCCAGGCTGGTCTCAAACTCCTGACCTCAAGTGATCTGCCCATCTCAGCCTCCCGAAGTACAGGGATTACAGGCGTGAGCCACTGTGCCTGGCCAAATTTTTCACTTTAATATGGCTAATTTATATGAATTTCACTTTAATTTGAAAAAACAAGTACTCATCTTTCAAAGGTTATAGTGAAACAGCTACACAGGAAACATGATGCCGTCTGAGGGATGCTTTATGCCATCACCGAGGGGAGGATGTGGGGAGGTGGGGAGGGGCAGGACAGGGTATCTGATAGCCTCTGGGTCCAGCTGAGGGGTGCACCAGAACTCTCTATACTTTTCTGTCCACTTTTATGTGTATTTGCTACTCTCTGTAATTTTTTTTAAAAGATAATTTTGGGCTGGGTACAGTGGCTCATGCCTGTAATCCCAGCACTTTGGGAGTCCGAGGTGGGTGGATTGCTTGAACCCAGGAGTTTGAGACCAGCCTGGGCAACATGGCGAAACCTCTTCTCTACAAAAAAAATTCAAAAGTGGGCCAGGCGTGGTGGTGCGCACCTGTAGTCCCAGCTACTTGGGAGGCCAATGCTGGAAGATCACTTGAGCCCAGGAGGTCAAAGCTGCAGTGAGCCATGATAGCGCCACTGCACTCCAGTCTGGGCAACAGAGTGAGATCCTGTCTCAAAAAATAATAATAATAATAAAAATATACTTTTGCATTTCAACATGCAGATTAGTAATTTTCCCAAGACCCTCCAAACAGAACCAAAACTCCTCAAAAGCGAAGCCAAGCACAGCTGTGGACCTTGTGGTATACCCCAAGATGCTCAGCCCAGAGCCCCCAACCCCTGCTCAGCTGTGTGACCTGGCCTGAATCTCTCTGGGCCCCATCTGTCCAATCTGCATCTGCCAACTTGCCACAGTCCCTGGACAACCTCTCACCCAATCCTTCCCAGTCAGCCTTGCTATTCCCTCCGGGCTCCATACCTGTTTCCTGTACCTCCCGCCTGTATTTCCTGTATCCTGCCCCACATTACAGCACTGAAACCCTCAGCCTGGTCTCCTCTCACTGTGGAGGGGAAAGAAGAATTCCTGTTCTTAACCTCTGCCTGCTCTCCTCTCCGGGACAGCAGATGCCTCCACCTCCGCCTCACGCGTTCCTCACCTGGAAGCCCCAGACTCATCGCCCTTCCCATCCCAGGGTCTCAATTCCCTACAGTCAGCAGCAGGGAAGACCCACAGGGCACAAGGCATGGGGAAGGCATTGCCTTAAGGAGCTCAGGCACCCTGGGCCCAATCCTAGCCGCATTACAAGCCTTAGTTTCCCCAGCTGCAAAATGGGTCCACCCTCCAAAGTTATAGGATTGCATTGAGTTTACACGTGGAGGGTTTAGCTCTGGTCTGGACACAGAGCAGGTACTCAGGAAACACTACTTGCCCTCTCTGTCCCCATCCTGAACAGCCATTCCTTAAGCCCCGCTCCCCACCCCACCCCTAGAGACGGGGGAGCAGGTTGCGCCAGCAGGTGGACAGGAGGGCGCACATAAGGGAGTTAAGGGAATAGAGCCTGGTCGGGGGGCGGGGCCTGGCTGGGAGAGGACGGGACCTGACCAGGAGGAGGTGGGGCTTTGCTGGGAGGTACGGGGCCTCACCGGGAGGAGGTGGGGCCTGATTGGGAGGGGGTGAGGCCTGGCTGGGAGGGGCGGGGTCTAGACAGAACAGGGCAGGGCCTGACCGTGCAGTTGTACTTGATGCAGTCGTCCCAGAAGCGGCTGGCCGAGAATTTCTTGCGGAGGACGACTGTCAGCCCATAGATGAGACACTGCCCCACGCCGATGATGTTTCCTGCAGAGGGTGGCCTTGGTAAGGGGTCCCCCGCCCCCACCCACCATTCCCTACCCAGGCCGTAGTACCTGCCGAGTGGTACAGGGGCAGGCAGTCATAGAGCACGTCAGCCGCCTGCATGCGGTAGGCGTGGTGGCCGAAGGCTGCCATGCGGTAGTACCTGCAGGGGGAGGGGGAGCCGGGAGGGCAGAGGCTGGGACCTAAATCCCCCAGGGTACAGGCATGGGGAAGCATGCTGCATGTGGACCCAGGCAAAGCCAGCCCAGTTCGCATGAGTTCACAGGCTGGCAGGAAGGAAACACGCAACCAACAATTGTTGGTGGTGTTAGGTGTCACGAGGGATATAATAGGGTCAAGGGGCATAGAGGGGCTGATGGTAATGCAGCCAGGGGGGTTGGGGGATCCTGTCTAGGGAGGTGAAGTGTGATCCGAGACCTAGCAAGAAAGAGCTGTGGGGGCGAGCTATGGAAGAGTGCCCAGGCACAGCACATGTGAGGGCCCTGAGGCCGGAAGGAGTGTATGGGTTTGAAGAGTTTGGGGGGCTGAGGAGGAGTGAGTACGGGGTGAAGGGGAGGAAAATGACATCAGGGAAGTGGCAGAAGCCACCCAAACTGAGAGAGGGTTTTTGTTTGTTATTTGTTTCTTTTTTTGAGAGGGAGTCTTGCTGTATCATCCAGGCTGGAGTGCAGTGGCGGGATCTCAGCTCACTGCAACCTCCGCCTCTGGGTTCAAGCGATTCTCCTGCCTCAGCCTCCCGAGTAGCTGGGATTACAGTCATGTGCCACCACGCCCAGCTAATTTTTGTATTTTTAGTAGAGACAGGGTTTCGCCACGTTGGCCAGGACGGTCTCGAACTCCTGACGTCAAGTGACCCGCCTGCCTCAGCCTCCCAAAGTGTTGGGGTTACAGGCGTAAGCCACCACGCCTAGCCCGAGAGAGGGTTTTATTCTGAGGGTCACGGTAGATGCAGGGAGGTCTGGGACAGGGGAGGTCTGATTTAGGATTTTCAAACCTCCTGTAGCTGCTGACAGGAGCTGGGCCATCGTGGGTGGAGGAGAGAGTGGGGGGAGCAGGAGGAGCCCGAGGAGGGGCTGGCACAGGTCCAGATGGGGGGCATGGAAAAAAGTAGACAGATGGAGAGGACGGGTTTTGCTGGTGGGATGGATGTGGTGAACAGGTGGGGGGATGAGAGGGGCCCCAGAGTAGTGGGCACAGGGCAACCGGGTCCCAAGATGGGTGTGAAAATGGGTGTGATGCCTTTGTCCAGCCCCAAGCAGTTATGAGGGTTGCAATGAGTTTACACGTGGAGGGCTTGGCCCTGGTCTGGACACAGAGCAAGTGCTCAGGAAACACCAGCTGCCCTCTCTGTCCCCAGGGTAACATGGAGATGCCCACAGGAGCTGAGGGGCAGGTCAGGCTGGCAAGATAGCCTGGGTCACTCTCAGCGGCTGAGGGCATTATGCCTGTGGGCCCCTCACCTGCTGTGCACGACAATGGCAGCCTTGGGCAGCCCGGTGGTCCCCGACGTGTAGATGTAGAAAAGACGATCTGCAGGAGATACAGGTGTTAGGGGTGGGGCCTGAGCATTGGGGGGTGGGGCCTGGAAGTTGGGGGCGGGGCCTGGGCGGGTAGGAAACCAGTTGATAGAGCAGGGGTCCCACCCTTGACTCACCGTCCATGCCCTTGCTGGGGATCTGTGCCAAGGGGGCAGTAGAGGCCTCCTTCAGCAGCGGGTCCAGGAGGTGGGTGTCCGGCAAGATGCCCTCGGGCCCCAAGTCTCCAGAGCAGAACTTGATCAAACTTTTCCCCAGATGCCCGCTCACTTCGGCCACCGCTGTGGTCCCCAACACATGGGTCATGGTCACCGCCGGACAGGCCCCCTCCCGAGGCCTGGGATGCACCAACTCCCTGCCCGGGGCATACCCAGACCGTGCACCTCATGCCCACGTCCAGGGCGGCCGCCTTCCGAGGCCTGGGGCGCAGCATCTCCCCGCCCGCCCAGGGGCCAGTCCTGGGTCCCCGCCCACCTGATGCCCACGCCTGGCCTCACCCGCCACCATTTCTCCTCCAAAGATCAGGGCCTTAGCGCCCGAGGTGCCCAGGCAGAAGGCCAGGGGCTCGCGCCGCAGGTTCACGTTGAGCAGCGCGGCCTCCATGCCCGCCTTGGCCAGGCCCAGCCACAGCCCCACGAACTCCGGCCGGCCCTCCAGGAAGATGGCCACCACGTCGCCCGGCGCGAAGCCCAGCTGGCGGAAGAGGTTGGCTACCGCATTGGAGTAGGCGTCCAGCTGCGCAAAGGTCCAGCACTCGCCGGTCCCGGCATCCACCAGCGCCAGGCGCTCGGGCTGTCGCTGCACTACCGCCTGAAAGATGCGCGGGATGGTGTGGCCGGCACGCTGGTGCCGCCGCAGCTCCAGGCGCACGCGGATCAGCACAGAGAGACCGCTGGGAGGGAGGACGGAGGGGACAGCGTCACTGGTGCCCTGCCCCGCCTGGCCTCTGGGAGCCTCAGCCTCCCCGCTGGAGGACCCCAGGGCAGCCAGGGGCTTTGATGAGGTCTATGGTGAAACTTTTGGTGGCTGGATCTCTCAGTGGACCAAGGGCAAGGGCCATTTACCAACCAGCCAGGAAGAAGGTAGATTCTCAAAGCGTAATAAACCAGTCACCCTGTCCTCCCCCATACCCCAGCTGGCTTGGTGGCCCTGGGGGAGCTGGGGCCTGAACCCATCCTCCTTTCTGTCCCCTGCGACGTCTGGAGCACCTGACACCATCCCCCAGCACCTCCAGCCTGGACTCTTCATGCTCAGACCACCCTAACCAGGACCCCCAGGGTCCAGCCCCGAGCTGGGCAGCTGTTCTGCCCCCAGGTCACTGGGTGGCACCAGGGACAGATGGCTGAAGCATCTAGCACGTGTGCCCCCAACTGGGGAGGGATTGCCCCTGCCCCAGGTAGGGCCAGGAGATGTGCCAGTGGATGGGGGGTGTAAGGACCAATGCCAAGCCCAGATGGAGGGTTCCAAGTTCCCCTTCCCCACTCGCTAGTAGATATAACGGGCAGAGGCCCCAGGGAACTGCAGAGCCCCCAGTGAAAGGAGCCGGGTTCCTGAATGATTGTGTGGAGGCAGGCGGGCCACCACTTGCTGTTAGATGAATGAGAATGAACTGTTTTTTTGTTTTTTTTTTGAGACGGAGTCTCACTCTGTCGCCCAGGCCAGAGTACAGTGGTGCAATCTCGGCTCACCCTCCGCCTCCTGGGTTTAAGCAATTCTCCTGCCTCAGCCTCCACAGTAGCTGGGATTACAGGTGCCCACCACCACACCCGACTAATTTTTGTATTTTTAGTAGAGACGGGGTTTCATCATATTGGTCAGGCTGGTCTCAAACTCCTGACCTCAGGTAATCCACCAGCCCTGGCCTCCCAAAGTATTGGAATTACAGGTGTGAGCCACCATGCCCAGCCAAGAATGAACTTTAAAAACAAACAAACAAACAAACAAACAAACAAACAAGAAATGCTTTAGGCCAGGCGTGGTGGCTCACACCTGTAATCCTAGCACTTTGGGAGGCCGAGGCGGGTGGATCATGAGGTCAGCAGATTGAGACCATCCTGGCTAACACGGTGAAACCCCGTCTCTACTAAAAATACAAAAATTAGCCAGGCGTGATGGTGGGCGCCTGTAATCCCAGCTACTCCGGAGGCTGAGGCAGGAGAATTGCTTAAACACAGCAGGCAGAGGTTGCAGTGAGCCGAGATCACGCAAATTCACTCCAGCCTGGGCCAAAGAGCAAGACTCCATCAAAAAAAAAAAAAAAAAAGGAAACAAAAAGGAAATGGAAAGGAAAGGAAAAGTTTAGATCACAGAAGCTGGAAATTCAGATTTTCTTGGTTGAGAAGCTGGAGAAATGAGTGGTCCCCACCCCTTCCTGGCTCCCTGCCCCACCACCCTGCGCCCCTGGCTCTGGGAACCAATAACCTTGTACTGGGGTAAGCCACTGGAATGTGGGGTGTGTTTGTTGTAGTACCTGGCCCTGCCCAGCCCTGACCAACACAGGGCAGGGGCTCCACCCACCTGCCCCTGTTTCAGCCTGGCCCGGCCACTGCCTCCCTCCAGCTTCTGCATCAAAATCACCAAATCCATCCTTTGGATCTCCCCTGCCTTTCCCAGGCCTCCCCAGATCCCTGCAATGGCTGCTCACACCCCCCAAAATGTTCACAGTGGACTTCAGCACCTATATTCATTCATCCTCTCGGTCATTCATTCATGCTCTTCTTCGTTCTTTCCCTCTTTCATTCCCTCCCTCATTCTCTCCTTCATTCATTCCATCATTCATTCCATCTTCATTCACTCATTCCCTACTTCACTCACTCTTTCCCTCCCTCCGTCATTCATTCTTTCCCCCCTTCACTCATTCAGTACTTTTTTTTTGAGACAGGGTCTCACTCTGTCGCCCAGACTAGAGTCCATGATCATGGCTTACTGCAGACCTCCCAGGCTCAAGCAATCCTCCCACCTCAGCCTCCCTAGTAGCTGAGACTACAGGTGCACGTCACCAGGGCCAGCAAAATTTTTGTATTTTTTGTAGAGACAGGGTTTCACCATGTTGGCCAGGCTGGTCTCGAACTACTGGACTCAGGTGGTCCTCCCTTGGCCTCCCAATGTGCTGGGATTACAGGCGTGGGCCACCGCATCTGGTCTCATTCCATCCTTATTTATTATCTCCTTCACTCTTTCATTCCCTCCTTTGTTCATTTATTACCTCTTTCATGCATTTATTCCCTCCATCATTCATTCCCTCCTTTATTCTTTCCCTCCATTTATCATTTACTCCCTCTTTCATTCATTCATTCCCTCCTTCCTTCATTCATTCAGGCAGCTGGTGCATACCAGTGTCTGTTGTGCTTTAGGCACTGTTCTCAGCTCTGGGGACAGAGCATCCAGACCACCAGGCCCCACCCTCTGGGGTTCACAGTCCTCTGGGAAGAGAGACCCCTTCCATGTATATGACTGAATACCAGGCCGTGCTGGATGGTGACAAGACTGCAAGGGGTGATGTGGTCAGTCACACGGACCAAGGGCAGAGGCAGGGGAGGCCCTTGAGAGAGGCAGGCGGCATCTGAGCAGGACCTGGTGAGGCAAAAGGGAGTCGCTGTGGGTACATCCGGAATGCAGCCAGTGCAAAGGCCCTGGGGTGGGAACAGGCCTGGGAATGGGGCACAGTTGAGGACCAGCGTGGAGGTCAGTGTGGGGGGAATTAGGGGAAAGCGACATGAAAGGGGAATGAAGTCTGAGGTGGGCAGGGGCCGGCTCCATGAGGCTCATGGGCCCCAGGAGGGGTTCACAATGAAAGCCATGGAGATAGGAGGGTGCCGGGGTCTGTTGGGGGAGAGCATCCGCAATTTCTAAAAACAAAGGTCCAGGGTTTTCATGAGACTTCCTGCATGGGTCAAACCACTTACCCTGGAAGCCCCTAGAAGGCCCCTCTGGCTACTTTTGGGATATGAGCAGGCTGCTGAACTCCTAGTGACAATACTTCCCTACCCACCATGACCCACAAGCTCACTGAGCTGAGCACAGCCCCCACACACACACCCACTCACAGAGCTCCCCCCAGCAGCCTCATTGCCTCCCTCAGGAAACCTTCCAGGCACCACATGGCCCATGCACCATGCTTACTGCTCCCCAATCACAGCTCCCTCAAAATGGGGCCGCACTTGGTCAGTGGGGCACTGGCTGGTGTCAGGGAGCTCTCTGTTCTACCCTGGGAGCCCTCCCTGTCACCTTCACTCTCCCCATCAAAGCCTTGTGCAGAGCCACCAGGTCATGGGTCTATTTCTCCCTCATTCATTCACTCATTTCACTCATTCATTCCCTCCTTTGTTCATTCATTCCCTCATTCCCTCATTCATTCATTCCCTCCTTCCCTCATTCATTCATTCCCTCCTTCACTCGTTCCCTCATTCATTCCCTCCTTCACTCATTCCCTCATTCATTCATTCCCTCCTTCACTCATTCCCTCATTCATTCATTCCCTCCATCATTCATTGGCATTGTGAGCACGCAGGAGATCTGTGCATCTGTGCATCTCTAGCATCTGTGCATCTCTAGCATCTATGCATCTGCTGGAGTATGTGCTCAGTCAATAGAGGGTGGACCAATGTTCATTTCATGCCCCTGGGTCCAGTACCTAGGGCATCTGCCCTCCCTAGCAGCCAGTTGCAGAAGCATGAACTCTGATTCTTGAAATGGTGAGCACCTACTGAGTGCAAAGCCCACACTAGCCAAGACCCTGTGGTGATACAGACCCTCCTCCCGCTCCATTCTCTCCCCACCCTTTTTTTTTTTTTTTTTTTTTTTTGAGACAGAGTCTTGCTCTGTCGTCCAGGCCAGAGTGCAGTGGTGCTATCTCGGCTCACTGAAACATTTGCCTCCTGGGTTCCAGCAATTCTCCTGCCTCAGCCTCCCAAGTAGCTGGGACTACAGGCACATGCTACCACGCCCAGCTAATTTTTGTATTTTTAGTAGAGACGGGGTTTCACCATGTTAGCCAGAATGGTCTCCATTTCTTGACCTCGTGATCCACCCGCCTCGGCCTCCCAAAGTGGTGGGATTACAGGCATGAGCCACCACACCTGGCCATTTTTGTATTTTTAGTAGAGACGGAGTTTCGTCATGTTGGCCAGGCTGGTCTCAAGCTCCTGACCTCAGGTGATCCGCCTGCCTCACCCCGGCAAAGTGCTGGGATTACAGGCGTTAGCCACTGCGCCCGGCGGGCACTTCTAGTCTTTAAACGCCACGTGCAATGTACTCATTTACCACCGTGTCCTTGGTCTGTCCCTCCCTATACTGGGTAGACAGGGCATGCATCTGTTACATTCTAGTACCAGAGAGGCAGCAGGGGAGGAGACCGCCCAAGACCCAGCTCTCCTGGAGCACAGAGAGCTTGCTACAAATAATCTCGAAGGAAGAGAGGCATCTGGGACTCTCAGATCAGGTTCCAATCCTGCAGGCCTAGGGAGAGAGCAGCCACCCGTGGCCCCAGCCCGATCTAAGGGGCCCCGGGCAGGTTCTGGCCCACCAGGTCTCCCTGCAGGGACCTGTCCTGCTGCTCTCTGGGTGGCTCATGGGCTGCTGATAAATTAACATCTCCAACTGGAGAGTTCCCTCCTTAAGGAGAGAACTTCAAAAAATGTCAATCAGCCGTGCAGGCATGCTGGCTCATGCCTGTAATCCCAGCACTTTGGAAGGAAGGCTGAGGTGGGAGGATTGCTTGAGCCCAGCAGTTCGAGACCAGCCTGGGCAACATGGTGAAACCCCAGCTCTACTAAAAATACAGAAATTAGCCAGGGTAGTGGCGCAAGCCTGTAGTCCCAACTACTCAGAAGGCTGAAGCAGGAGGATCGCTTGAGCCCAGGAAGTCAAGGCTGCAGTGAACCGAGATTGTGTCACTGCACTCCAGCCTAGGTTATGGGAGTGAGACCCTATCTCAGAAATTTTTTAAAATCATTTTTAAAAAATGTAAATGGAGGCCAGGTGTGGTGGCATGAGCCTGTAATCCCAGCTACTCAGGAGGCTGAGGCAGGAGAATCACTTGGACCCAGGAGGCAGAGGTTGCAGTGAGCCGAGATTGCGCCACTGCACTCCAGCCTGGGTGACAGATTGAGACTCTGTCTCAAAAAAAAAAAAAAAAAAAAAGGAACTAAACCATGTGCTTTGGAGCAACGTGGATGCAGCTGGAGGCCATGACCCTGAGCAAATTAAGGCAAAAACAGAAATCCAAACACCGCCGGGCCCAGTGGCTCACGCCTGTAATCCCAGTACTTTGGGAGGCTGAGGTGGATGGATCACCTGAGGTTGGGAGTTCGAGACCAGCCTGGCCAACATGGAGAAACCCTGTCTCAACTAAAATTACAAAATTGGCCGGGCGTGGTGGCGCATGCCTGTAATCCCAACCACTTGGGAGGCTGAAGCAGGAGAATTGCTTGAACCCGGGAGGCAGAGGTTGCGGTGAGCCGAGATCGCGTCATTGCACTCCAGGCTGGGCAACAAGAGCAAAACTCCATCTCAAAAAAAAAAAAAAGAAATCCAAATACCACGTTTTCGTTATAAGTGGGAGCTAAACATTGAATACGCACGGACGCAAAGATGGGAACAACAGACACTGGGAACTCCATAAGGGGCAGCTGAAAATAACCTATTGGATATTCTATTCTGTTCACTACCTGGACAATGGGATGATTACAAGCCCAAACCTCAGCATCATACAATATACCAATGCAACAAACCAGCACGTGCAACCTGCAGCCTAAAATTAAAATTTTTAAAAAAATTGGGTGGACACGGTGGCTCACGCCTATAATGCTAGGACTTTGAAAGGTCAAGGTGGGAGGATCACTTGAGCTCAGGAGTTTGAAACCAGCCTGGGCAACAAACTGAGACCTCATCTCTGCAAAAAAAAAAAAAAAAAGAAAAAAATTAACTGGCCATTGTGGCATGTATAGTCCCAGCTACTCAGGAGGATGAGACAGGAGGATCGCTTGGGCCTAGGAGGTCAGGGTTGCAGTGAGCCATGATAATGCCACTGCAATTGAGCCTGGGTGACAGAGTAAAACTTCTTCATGAAAAAAAAAAGAGAAAGAAATGACAATAGAAATATATGTCTCAAAAATTTTTAAAAAATAGGCCAGGTGTAGTGGCTCATGTCTGTAATCTGTGCACTTTGGGAGGCCGAGGTGAGCAGATCACTTGAGGTCAGGAGTTCGAGACCAGCCCGGCCAACATGGTGAAACCCCGTCTCTACTAAAAATACAAAAATTAGCCGGATATGGTGGCACATTCCTGCAGTCCCAGCTACTTGGGAGGCTGTGGCAGGAGAATCACTGGAACCTGGGAGGTGGAGGTTGCAGTGAGCTGAGATCATGCCACTGCACTCCAGCCTGGGTGACAGAGTGAGACTCCGTCTCAAAAAAAAATTTTTTTGTATCGAAAGATAAAAAATTTGGCATCTTAAAGTCGAATGGGGGAAATGACAGTGCTATTCACTGTAGCTTCCAAAGAGCAGACCAGGCTGGGCACAGGGGCTCACGCCTGTAATCCCAGCACTTTGTGAGGCCAAGGTGGGCAGATCACTTGAGGCCAGGAGTTTGAGACCAGCCTGGCCAACATGGCAAAACTCCGTCTCTACTAAAGATACAAAAATTAGCCGTGCGTGGTGGTGGGTCCCTGTAATCCCGGCTACTCAAAAGTGTGAGGCACAAGAATCACTTGAATGTGGGAGGCAGAGGTTGCAGCGAGCCTAGATTGCACCACTGCACTCCAGCTGAGCCACAGAGCAAGACTCATCTTAAAAAAATTGAGAGAGAGAGGGAGAAAGAAACAACAATAGAATATGAAGTATGTCTCAAAAATTTAAAAAATAAAAAGTTTGGCATATTAAATTCGCATATGGGAAATAACAGTGCTATTCATTGTAGCTTCCAAAGTGCAGAAGATCAGAAAAACACCAAACGCCCTAAGCAGGGGAGGGATGACCTATACAATGGATTGTCTTTACAACAGAAAACTGGGCAGCCTGCACAAGAATGGGGCCCCCCGCTGCAGGCTGATGACTAACGGGGCTCAAACCAAGTGGGAAAATTCAGTGATTTCATGACAAAGACAGCAAATCCAGTACAAAGACACTGACAGGCCTTTGTGCCTCCCTGCATCTCCAAAATTGCCAGTAAAGGGATTTTTGTGGGTTTGTTTTGTTTTGTTTTATTTTTTTGTAGAGAAGGGATCTCATTTTGTTGGCCAGGCTGGTCTTGAACTTCTGGCCTCAGGTGATCCGCCTGCCTCGGCCTCCCAAAGTACTAGGATTCCAGGCGTGAGTACTGTTCCCAGCTGATAATTTTTTAAATTTTTTATTGTTTAGAGACAGGGTCTCACTCTGTTGCCTAGTCTGGAGTGCGGTGGCACCATTATAACTCACTACGGCCTCAAACTCCAGGGCTCAAGTGATCCTCCTGCCTCAGCCTCCTGAGTAGCTGCCATTCACCGCCATACTCAAACACATGTGGAGAGGTGAAAAATCAGAATTGCCAACATGCATGTTCCCATCTGAAGTCATCAAGACAACACTCTGCCTTCTTTTTTTTGAGACAGGGTCTCACTCAGTTGCCCAGGGTGGAGTGCAGTGGCACAATCTCGGCTCACTGCAACCTCCGCTCACTGCAACCTCTGCCTCCTGGGCTCAAGCAATCCTCCCACCTCAGCCCCCTGAGTAGCTGGGACTACAGGCGTACACCACCACACCTGGCTAATTTTTGTATTTTTGTAGAGATGGGGTTTCGCCATGTTGCCCAGGCTGGTCTCAAACTCCTGGGCTCAAGCCATCCTCCCACCTCAGACTCCCAAAGTGCTGGGATTACAGGCGTGAGCTACCGCATCTGGCCCACTCTGCCTCCTTAATTCAGCTCTCACATTGTAAACAAGCACCCTTTTCACAGTCTATTTAGTGCCATGTTTTTTGCATTTTTGTGCCTTTTTTTTTTTTTTTTTTTTGAGACGGAGTCTTGCTCTGTCGCCCAGGCTGGAGTGCAATGGCACAATCTTGGCTCACTGCAGACTCCGCCTCCCAGGTTCAAGCGATTTTCCTGCCTCAGCCTCCTGAGTAGCTGGGACCACAGGTGCCTGCCACCACACCTGGCTAATTTTTGTATTTTTAGTAGAGATGGGGTTTCATCATGTTGGCCAGGCTGGTCTCAAACTCCTGACCTCAGGTGATCCGCCTGCCTCAGCCTCCCAAAGTGCTGGGATTACAGGCATGAGCCACCGCGCCCAGCTGCATTTTTGTGATTTTTGCTGGTGACTTCGCTGTTGAAAATGACCCCCAAGCACAGGGCTGAGGCGCTTGTCTGGTGTGATGTGCCTCATGGAGAAAATATGTGTGTTACAGCAGCTTTCTTCAGGCGTGGGTTTTAGTGCTGCTAGTTGAGTTCAATGTCAACACTTCAGGGCCAGGTGTAGGGGCTCACTCCTGTAATTCCAGCACTCTGGGAGGCCAAGACAGGGGGACTATTTGAGGCCAGGAGTTCGAGGCCAGCCTGGGCAATATAGTGAGACCTCATCTCTATGTTAAAATAATTTTTTAAATTTATTTTAGAAAAAGGTGGGCGGCAGGTGCGGTGGCTCACACCTGTAATCCCAGCACTTTGGGAGGCTGAGGTGGGTGGATCACCTGAGGGCAGGAGTTCAAGACCAGCCTGCCCAACATGGTGAAACCCCGTCTCTACTAAAAATACAAAAAAATTAGCCGGGCATGGTGGCGGGCACCTGTAATCCCAGCTACTCGGGAGGCTGAGGCAAGAGACTTGCTTGAACTCAGGAGGTGGAGGTTGCAGTGAGCCAAGATTGCACCACTGCACTCCAGCCTGGGCAATGAGAGTGAGACCCTGTCTCAAAAAAAGAAAGAAAGAAAGAAAGAAGGCCAGGCACGGTGGGTCATGCCTGTAATCCCAGCTCTTTGGGAGGCCAAGGTGGGTGGATCACCTGAGGTCAGGAGTTTGAGACCACCCTGGTCAACATGATGAAACCCTGTCTCTACTACAAATACAAAAAAAGTAGCCAGGCATGGTGGTGCACACCTGTAATCCCAGCTACTCAGAAGGCTGAGGCAGGAGAATGAACCCATGAGGTGGAGGTTGCAGTGAGCTGAGATCACACCACTGCACTCCAGCCTGGGCAATCGAGCAAGATTCAGTCTCAAAAAAAAAAAAAAAAAAAAAAAAGCGCTGCTCATCCATTCAACCAATAAACAGAGCAGCCAAGATAATCATTCTCAGCTAGACATAGTAGCTCACACTTGTAATCCCAGCACTTTGGTAGGCCAAGGTGGGTGGATCACTTGAGGCCAGGAGTTCGAGACCAGCCTGGCCAACATGGCAAAACCCCGTCTCTACTAAAAATACAAAAATTAGCCAGGTGTGGTGGTGGGCACCTATAGTCCCAGCTACTTGGGAGGCTGAGCCATAAGAATTGTTTGAACCCGGGAGGTGAAGGTTGCAGTGAGCCAAGATTGCACCACTGCACTCCAGCCTGGGTGACAGTGTGAGACCATGTCTCAAAAAAAAAAAAAAAAAAAAAAACAGATGATCATTCTCAGTGTTTATTAAGCACCTACTATCTGCCATGCCCTGTGCTAACCTTATATCCACCCTCCAAAATAGGTCCCTCAGATCCCCATTTGTCAAATAATGAATGAACTGGGGGCTCGGAGTGGGGAATGGACACGCCCAAGGTCACAGAGCAATTTGAGGACAGAACAACCCAGAAACAAAGCCTCCTCCCAGGGTCCCTCTAATCCCTGGCAGACTTATTACAAAGCATTTATCAAGTGCTGGCGACGTAGCCAGTGGCAGGCCAAGTGCCCATGAGGCACACAGCAGGTGCCCAATGCCTGCGTCTTTTTTTTTCCTTTTTTTTTTTTTTTTTGAGACAGAGTCTCACTCTGTCACCCAGGCTGGAGTGCAGTGGTGCCACCTCAGCTCACTGCAACCTCTGCCTCCCGGGTTCAAACGATTCTCCTGCCTCAGCATCCCGAGTAGCTGGGATTACAGGTGCCCGCTACCACGCCCAGCTAATTTTTTTGTATTTTTAGTAGAGACAGGGTTTCGCCACGTTGGCCAGGCTAGTCTCGAACTCCTGACCTCAGGTGATCAGCCCGCCTCAGCCTCCCAAAGTGCTGGGATTACAGGCATGAGCCACCATGCCCAGCCTGGAGCACCTAGTATACACCCAATTCTGCTCTAAGGGCTTCCTGTGGGTGAATTTGACGGAGCACCCCAAGAACTCCATGATGGGGTACAAATGTTACATCCATGGGGAGAGGGCTGTTATTGAGGGAGTAACCACAGGAAACAGCCCCTGCCAGTAGGGTGCCCGTCCAGAGGCAACACAACAACAAGAAACAGGAACTGAGGCCACAGTTGGTCACCGTCAGGCTAAACACCAGAGCTAGATGTGGGAACACGAGGATTCACCCCCAGCCTCCCGGTCTCTTGGTCTCACTCGTTCTCTCTCAAGGATGCCCACACCAGCAGGCAGTGGATTCCTGTACTTGGTTCCAGCCACATGCCTAGGCAGCCCTGCCTGGCAGCTGCTCAAGCCACCCCCAGCCTGGGGACAATGAGCCCACTGTCCAGCTCTGGGCCCAGGACTCCAGGGCGGAAGAAATCAACAAGGATGAATACGATCAGATTTCATGCAGGAAGTACAGGGCATGTTAGGAGAGTCAGGGCAGGGTGCTGAAATATTTTCTGAAGCCAAGGTCTAAATTTAGCACCCCAACCACTCCAGTGCGGCACAGTGGCTAAGAGCACATGCTCTGGAGTCCTGTGCCTCCCCGGCTGTGTGTTTCTGGGCAAATAACCTCCCCTCTCTGTGCCTCTGTTCTCTCACGTGTTAAATGGGATTTGTCAGCACCCCTTCATTTTTCAAGACAGAGTCTTGCTCCCTCACCCAGGCTGGAGTGCAGTGGGGCAATCATGGCTCACTGCAGCCTTGACCTCCTGGACTCAAGCAATCCTCCCACTCAGCCTCCTGAGTAGCTGGGACCACAGGAGAGCCCCACTCCCCCAGCTAATTTTTTGCGTGTAGAGATGGAGTCTCATCATGTTGCTCAGGCTGGTCTTGAACTCCTGGCCTCAGGCAATCCTCCCATCTTGGGCTCCCAAAGTGCTGGAATTATATGCACGAGCCTCTGCACCCAGCCTCCATCAATTCTGATGTATTTTACTCATTAGAAGGGAGTCACTAGGGCTGGGCGCAGTGGTTCAGCCTGTAATACCAGCATTCTGGGAGGCCAAGGCAGGCGGATGACCTGAGGTTAGGACCTTGAGACCAGCCTGGCCAATGTGGTGAAACCCCCTCTCAACTAAAAATACAAAAATTATCCGGGTGTGGTGGCAGGCACCTGTAATCCCAGCTACTCGGGAGGCTGAGACAGGAGAATTGCTTGAACCTGGGAGCTGGAGGGTGCAGTGGAGTCACACCACTGCACTCCAGCCCGGGTGGCAGAGCAAGACTCCGTCTCAAAAAAAAAACAGGGCGCAGTGGCTCACACCTGTAATCCCAGCACTTTGGGAGGCCCAGGCGGGCAGATCACCTGAGGTCGGGAGTTCAAGACCAGCCTGGCCAACATGGAGAAACCCCGTCTCTACTAAAAATACAAAATTAGCTGGGCGTGGTGGTGCATGCCGGTAATCCCAGCTACTCAGGAGGCTAAGGCAGGAAAATAACTTGAACCTGGGAGGCGGAGGTTGCGGTGAGCCGAGATCGCGCCATTGCACTCCAGCCTGGGTGACAAAGCGAAACTCCCATCTCAAAAAAAAAAAAAAAAAAAAGAAAGGGGTCACTAGGTCCAGCCCACACTCAAAGGGAGGGGACCATACAAGTGGGAAGAGCAGGAGACAGGGATCCCTGGGGCCATCTTCAAAGCTGCCACCCACAGGCAAGTATGTCAAGCCATGTCAGGAACTTAGAACCAGGCATGGACACCCACAGGGCCCATGGGAGCAGAGCTGGAGAGGAGGGAGAGATGGGCCTGGGTGAACCCAAGAAGGAAGGGATGGCCTTCCACCTAACAAACATGTCCTGCGCTACCGCTGTGCGCCAATCCTGAGTGGGGCGCAGGGCCACAGTGGCACCAAGACTGACACAGTCTCCTTTTGTGCCCCTATAGGGCCCACAGTCTAGAAAGAGGCCCAAGATTAAAAGGCAAGAAAACAGGCCAGATGTGGTGGTTCACACCTATAATCCTAGCACTTTGGGAGGCTGAGGCAGGAGGATCTCTTGACCTCAGGAGTTCAAGACCAGCCTGGACAACATAGTGAGACCTCTCCTTTATAAAAAATAAACAAAATCTGCTGGCTGTTGTGGCACGCATCTGTAGTCCCAGCTACTTGGGAGGCTGTGATGGGAGGATCATTTGAGCCCAGGAAGTTGAGGCTACAGTGAGCTATGATCACACCACTGCACTCCAGCCTGGGTGACAGAGTGAGACTTTATCAAAAAAACAAGAAACTTCTAATCCCAAAGCAAAGAAAGAAAACAACTAAAAATGCTGGGTTAAATGAGTTAAATCTTTGTTTTGTTTTGTTTTGTTTTTTGAGATGGAGTTTCGCTCATGTTGCCCAGTCTGGAGTGTAATGGCACGATCTTGGCTCACTGCAACCTCCACCTCCCAGGTTCAAGTGATTGTCTTGCCTCAGACTCCCAAGTAGCTGAGATTACAGGCGTGCACCACCACGCCCGGCTAATTTTTGTATTTTCAGTAGAGACAAGGCTTCGCCACGTTGGCCAGGCTGGTCTCAAACTCCTGACCTCAGGTGATCCACCCGCTTCGGCCTCCCAAAGTGCTGGGATTACAGGTGTGAGCCACCGCGCCCAGCCGAGTTAATTTTTTATTAATGTAGCAACAAGGTGATCAGAAAATAAGGACCAACCAGAGGCCAAAATGTCATTGTAGCCCCAGGAGGGGGACAGCTTAGGTGTCAGACAAGCAGGTTTGAGTCTGATAAGACCTCAAAGCATGCCCATTCAACATAAAGGTGAATTGGAAATCAAAATAAGATCTTTCCTTAACATACACACACCAGGAGCTAAAAGGAAATTTGGTATCTCAGACCTTGCTGTTAGGAGGAAGGGGTGAAATCTCGATCGATGACTCATAACCTCACATGAGTTTGCAACTCCAACTGCACCATCTGGCTGTCTGAAAGTCAAGTAGACAATATGGTTCAAAGCAGTTCACGCTGGGCGCGGTAATCCCAGCACTTTGGGAGGCTGAAATTGGGTGATCGCTGGAGGCCAGGAGTTCGAGACTAGCCTGGGCAACGTGGCAGAACCACGTCTCTACAAAAAATAAAAAAATTAGCCAGGTGTGGTGGTGTGCACCTGTCATCCCAGCCACTTGGGAGGCTGAGGTAGGAGGATCGCTTAAAGCCAGGAGTTCCAGACCAGACTGGGCAATATAGCGAGACCTCATCTCTATAAAAAACATTCTATTAACTATCCAGGAGCGGAGGCAGGCGTTTGTAGTCCCAGCTAGTCAGGAGGCTGAGGTGGGAGGATTGCTTGAGCCCAGGAGATGGAGGCTGGTCCACCCTGGGCAACAGAGAAGACACCCTGTCTCAAAAAAAAGGGAGCCAGGCATGGTGGCTCATGCCTGTAATCCCAGCACTTTAGGAGGCCAAGGCAGGCGGACTACGTGATGTCAGGAGTTTGAGACCAGCCTGGTTAATACGGTGAAACCCCATCTCTACTAAAATTACAAAAATTAGCTGGGCATGGTGGCACGTGCCTGTAGTCCCAGCTACTTGGGAGGCTGACGCAGGAGAATCACTTGAACCTGGGAGGCAGAGGTTGCAGTGAGCCAAGATCGCACCACTGCACTCCAGCCTGGGCGACGGAGTGAGACTCTGCCTCAAACAAACAAACAAATGAGCAATAGACAAAAGGTAAGTGCAGCTAGGCGACAAAAGGGAAGTAAGCGGAGGCTGGGACATGGTCAGGGACCTCGTGCGCAATGCTCAGGAGTATGGCCTCAATTCTAATTCTATTTTTTTTTTTTTTTTTGAGACGGAGTCTCACTCTGTCGCCCAAGCTGGACTGCAGTGGCATGATCTCCGCTCACTGCAAGCTCCGCCTCCGGGGTTCACACCATTCTCCTGCCTCAGCCTCCCGAGTAGCTGGGACTACAGGCGTCCACCACCACGCCTGGCTAATTTTTTTGTATTTTTATTAGAAACGGGGTTTCACCGTGTTAGCCAGGATGGTTTTGATCTCCTGACCTCGTGATCTGC
Organism: Homo sapiens; assembly: GCF_000001405.40. Lineage (NCBI taxonomy): Eukaryota > Metazoa > Chordata > Mammalia > Primates > Hominidae > Homo > Homo sapiens. The sequence goes on along the minus strand of NC_000019.10, from coordinate 17,472,167 downwards.
CTGCCTCGGCCTCCCAAAGTGCTGGGATTACAGGCGTGAGCCACCGCTCCCGGCCAGTATGGCGTCAATTCTAAGGGCAACAAGGAGCTATGGGAGGGTGCTGAGCAGGAAAATTCAGCAAAGGTTCCCAGAGGGAGAGCCTGCCCTGGCTAAAAGGGGTCCAGTATGTTCTGGGCAGCTTGAGCTTGACACTGCAAGTCTTTCTGAAGACCAGGTGAACATATGGATGGGGGGAGTGGCAGGTGGGCAGGGAACAGATGGTAGGACCTTGAGTGCCCAGCTAGGGGCTGAGTCTTCCTTCTGCCAAGGATGGGCTGGCCATGGAAGGTGTCTGAGCAGAGGGCACAGTCAGATTTCCACATCAGAACAACCAAGGAGCCGGGGGCAGGGGGCCATGGCATGCAGAAGGGGTGAGTTTTAGAAAGTTCAGAACCAGTCAACTTACGGTGGGATCTTTCCCATCTCCACACCCTCTGTGCCCTCCTTACAATGGGTTCAGTCCCTCTTGCTACTCCATCTTACAAGGAGCTGTGAAGGTGTTGAGCCCTGCCCCGCTAGCCGGCGCTCACCTGCTCCCACGTGGTGCTGTTCCTGAGGTCTGCTCTGATAGAAGCCCCCAGCAATGCCTGTTTCATCCCAGAAGGACCCCCAACGGCTCGTTTGAGCAAGTCCCTCAGAGACACCGCAAAAACCCTCCAAGGATCCTTGCACAGGACACCAGAATCTGCCCCCCTAGCATGAATCCAGTGTCCCAGTCTCCAGAAGAGACCCCCCAAACAAGTCCTGGAATACACAGCAGCCTCCCGACACACTCCGAACAACTCCCAAACCCAAAGTCCCACACAGACCCCAAAATCTCAAACAGTGCCCCAGCTGTAAACGATCCCGAGGAAACTCACACCTTCAGAAACCCGGGAAGTCCTTTATAGAGCAGCTCGCTCATCCCTCAGAGAAAGCCCTAGATAGACCCAAAGTGTCTTGGCAACCCCCCAGAGACTATCTATTGGGTCGTCCCTGTGAGCCCCGGTGACCTACTGGAGAGCCCCCTGAAGTCTCTCACAGTTATCACGGCTCCAAAAAGACCCCCACACCGCCACGGATTTCCAGTCAGCCCCAGCTCCCTGGAATTTCCACCAGTTGCCCAAAGACCCCCAAATTGCCCCCCAAATCCCCTGAGATCATCTCCTAAGCAGCCTGCAACGCCCGAAGCACCTTAGAGGCTACTCATCTTCCTCGAGAAATCCTTAAAGTGTCCCCTGTAGCCCCCTCAGAGACCCCCAACTGGTCACCCTCTCAGGCCCCGCCCCCGCCCAGCCCTCGGCCCAGCCCCGCCCCCAACCTACAAAGCACCCTCAGCTCTCCGGACCCTCCAAGCCGTCCCCGCAACCCAGCCCTGCACCGTGCGCCCCCAGAGCCCTCAGCCCCGCCCCCAGCCCTGGACGGATCCCGGCAACACTCACAAGAGGTCTCGCCTCGCGGTCTTGCAGACGATGCGCAGGAAGCGCCAGCCGCCGCTGCCCACGTACACGCCGAGCGCCGCTGCCGCGCTCCAGGTCCACGGCAGCCCCAGCAGCCACAACAGCGCCAGCGAGACCACCGAGGCCGCGCCCGCACCCGGAGCCCGCATCCTGGGGAAGCAGAGAGAGCTGAGGCCGCGGGCCGCTCCAGCCCCGCCCCACGACCCGCTCCGCCCCACGACCGCCCCCGCCTCTACAGCGAGCCGCGCCCCCAGGCCTCGGCTCTGCGCCCCCCGCGAGTCCGGGAACGCGCTCCGAGTCAGACTCCGCCCCCAGGCCTGGGATTGGTCAACTCCTCAGGCCAGGCATCGCCCCTTTCCAGGCTTTTACACCCGCCCGCTAACTAGGAACCAGACCAGGGCCCCAGGCCTGGGATTGGCCAGGTCCTGGCCAGGCTCCGCCCCCGGACCCTGGGTCCGCTCTATTCCATATTTTTGAGCCCATCCTTCCCTGCCAATCTTACAACAGTCCCCGCCCCCAGAGCCAGCATGTCCACCTTGTCGGTCACTGTCAGGCCTCGCCACATGCCTTCATCTAGCCTCTATCCTCGATCCCCGAATTACCCTTCACGTCCTGTCCCCTTTCCTCCTGGTCCTGCCTCTACCCCGTGGCCTTTTCACCACTCACTGGGCCCCGCCCTTAGGTTATGCTTCTAGCCCAGCCCACAGGTACAAGCCCTCTCCCCGAGTCCCGCCCCTCTCAGCCAGGCCCCACCCCCTAGGTTAGACATATGCCTCCCCACCCCCCCGCAATAAGCACACGCCCCACCCTCCCGAAACTAGAGCCCTCCCCAATCCGTTCAAGCCCCACCCCAGTTCCGGGCCTAGCCCAAGTTCCCAGGCTCAGGTTCTATCCTGGCCACGGGCCCCGCCCTCAGGCTTTGGCTCGGTCGCCACCTCCTGGGTTTCACTCCGGCCCCCCTAGGACCTAGGCCCCGCCCCTCTTCCCTCCTGTCTACTTCGAAGCCCCTCAGCCCGCAGAGCCGAGGCCGGCCGTCTTCCAGAAGCCACGACCATAGAGAGGCAACCGGACCGGAGAGGCGACGGCCAAAGAGACATGGGTGCTAGAACGGCCCGCCAGGGTCGTCCGCTGTCTCCATGACAACCAAGCCTTGCCCCACCCCCTCTCCTTTTAGGAAACACACGTGTCCTGCAGCCTTGGGGCGTGGCTCGCAAGATATCAGGACCCGAGCCCTAGTTGGCGTGCAGGATCTCTACCCCGGGGGACCAAAAATATCCCAGTCCACACCCACGGCCCGCGCGGGCTGTATTCTTGCTCCAGCTTGTCCTAAATCCAAGCCCCAAAGCCTCTTTCGGTCTTAAAAACACGTTCCAGGGCCCGGGGGAGTGCTCAACTCACACCATTGGGGCCTCAGAAGTCTCTAACTGTAAACACCGCCGCGGTCTTAACACGTGTGATTCAAGGACACAGCTAATTCTTAATCCATGTCCCGAAGCCTTGTCGGTTAAGTCTCACCGTCACACCCCAGGATCCCAGGGAGGACAAAATCCACACGCCAGGTCCCCATCCTTCCTAGAAGCACCTACAGGCCCTTTACTTGCACCCCGGGGTCCTAGATGCTCCCCCAGGCGCTGCCAGCGCTGGCCTGGGGGCACGCACAACCCCATTCTCTGGCTGACCTGAAGCTGCAAGCCGTGCCTTCAGTCTCCCAGAAGCTCAGGCAGGAGGCAGGCAGGGACTAGGAGGCTGAGGCCGGGGACCTTTCTGTTTCTGCAGACTCCTGGACCCTTCTTGGGTGCGCTGTGCCTACTGTGCGGGCTTCTGCTTTGGGGTCCTTCCCTTCCAGCTCCCCCTCCTCTGCCCCACTGCCGACTCCACCACTGCTTGTTTTCTGCTCTCCTTGGCCGACCTTTCCAGCGTTCTCCTTAGGAGGCGGCCCGGGCCTGATTCCAATGCATTTGGAGGACAGGGCTGGGCAGGCACTCACCCCCTACGCTGCCATTGGTCCCTGCGGGCAGCAGGGTGGCTGGAATGAGGGATCACGAGGAAGATCCGGAGGACAGGCCCAGAGCCAGCCACTGGCCTGCTGCTTTCTGGGCCTGGAAGAGTCAGCAATGACCAGTAACTGCAGTTGCACTCTTACCTAGCCAGGTAGCACCGCTGTGATCACCCCATTTGACAGGTAAAGAAACTGAGGGCAGGCTGGGCGTGGTGACTCACGCCTGTAATCCCAGCATTTTGGGAGGCCGAGTTGGGTGGATCACTTGAGGCCAGAAGTTCGAAACCAGCCTGACCAACATGACGAAACCCCGTCTCTACTAAAAATACAAAAATTAGTCAGGCATGGTGGAGCACACCTGTAATCCCAGCTACTCCGGAGGCTGAGGGAGCAGAATCACTTGAACCCGGAAGGCAGAGGATCCAGTGAGCCGAGATCGCGTCACTATACTCCAGCCTGGGTGACAAAGCAAGACCCTGTCTTAAAAAAAAAAAAATAGAAGAGAGAAAGAAAGAAAGAAAAGAAAGAAACAAAGAAAGAAGGAAGAAAGAAACTGAGGACTGGAGCTGTCATGCTTACTTGGAATTGAGATTCATTCATTCATAAATGTCAGCTGAGTGTTCCCTGTCCCTCCTCCCCTCCTCTCCTCCTTTCCCTCCTCCTTCCTCTCTTCTTACCCCTCCTCCTCCTTTTTCTTCTCTAAACTTCCCCTCCACCTTTCTTGTGCTCTGATTCTCTCTTCTCTTACCCCACTTCCTCCTTCTCTCTTTCTCCCTCCTTCTCTCCTTTCTGCCCTTTTCTCTCCTCCTCCCTGCCCTCCTCCTCTCTTCCCCCCTTCCTTTTTTCCTATCCTCCCTTTTCCCCCTCCATCTTACCAGTTTGTTTGTTTGTTTTGAGATGGAATCTTACTCTGTCACACAGGCTGGAGTGCAATGTCTCAATCTTGGCTCACTGCAACCTCCGCCTCCTGGGTCCACGCGATTCCTGCCTCAGCCTCCCCAGGAGCTGGGATTACAGGCGCATGCCACCAAGCCTAGCTAATTATGTATTTTTGGTAGAGACAGGGTTTCACCATGTTGACCAGGCTGGTCACGAACTTCTGATCTCAAGCGATCCGCCTGCCTTGGCCTCCCAAAGTGCTGGGATTACAGACGTGAGGCACCACACCCAGCCAAGAGTTCTAGTTTCTAAAACCTACCTTGGGAAAGAGGGATTCTAGTTTTTATGGCCAGCCTTGGGGGAGAATAGATCTGAGACACAAGAGGGCAGGAGAAGGTCAGAGAAAAACTTTTGCTTCTGAGATCTTCATTTTGGGGTGTTTTTTTTCTTTCTTTCTTTCTTTCTGTCTGTCTGTCTGTCTCTCTCTCTCTCTCTCTCTCTCTCTCTCTCTCTCTCTCTCTTTCTCTCTCTCTTTCTTTTTTTCAGTCGGAGTCTTGCTCTGTCACCCAGGCTGGAGTGCAGTTGCCCAATCTCAGCTCACTGCGACTTTTGCCTCCCGGGTTCAAGAGATTCTCCTGCCTCAGCCTCCCGAGTAGCTGGGATTACAGATGCACACAACCGTGCCTGGCTAATTTTTGTATTTTTAGTAGAGATGGGGTTTTGCCATGTTGGCCAGGCTGGTCTCAAACTCCTGACCTCAAGTGATCCCCCACCTCGGCCTCCCAAAGTGCTGGGATTACAGGCATGAGCCACTGAGCCCGGCCTGGGTATTATTTTCTGAGCCCCCTAAAACAGCACGGGTATACAGCAGCCTCTGCCCCCAGTTGTTTTCCTAAAATACAAAATCTCCCAATTCACAAACACAGCTGTCCCCAGGGATTTCAGATGAGGGATTGGGGACTGTCCTATCCCCAGGAAACTGAGATGTGGACCAGGGAGTAAAACTCAGGCTTCCGGGCCAAACTGCTCTCTGCTCGTTTCTAGCCAGGTAGTCTTGGACTGATCACCTCTGTGGGCGGCAAGCCACCCAGGTGCCGAGGCAAGAGACCGAGGGCACAAACTGTTCCAGTATAATAAACAAAATATATAGAATAAGAATAGTTATACAAGAAATAGAATATAGATATGATTATATATGAATATTATTAATCATTCGTTAGTTTGTAGCATTACTCTTTATTCCAATATTAAAATAATCTCTGTTCTACAATTATAACCTAGGAAAAACCAGGCCATACAGAGGTAGGAGCTGAAGGGACACAGTGAGAAGTCACCAGAAGACAAGTGTGAGCCCTCTGTCATGCCCGAACAGGGCCACTAGAGGGCTCCCTGGTCTAGCGGTAACGCCAGCGCCTGGGAAGGCACCCATTACTTAGCCGACCTGGAAAGGGAGTCTCCCTTTCCCCAGGGGAGTTAGAGAAGACTCTGCTCCACCACCTCTTGTGGAAGGCCTGACATTAGTCAGGCCCGCCCGCAGCCATCCAGAGGCCTAAACGTGCCCCTGTGATGCTGTGCTTCAGCGGTCACGCTCCCGTTTACAACATCAGTCATTGGATTTAGGGCCCACTCAGATAATCCAGGATGATGTCATCTCAAGATCCTTAACTAAGTAACACCTGCAAAGACTCCTTCCAAACAAGGTCCCATTAACAGGTTCCGGGGGCGAAGGCATGGATATATCTTTTTGTGGGGAGCCTGTAGTTCAACCCACTACAGAAGGAGGAAAGATGAGAGCTATGGTTCTCAACAGAGGCCACATGGACTTCAAAGATGAAAGTGTTTACCTCCTAGTCCTCTACAGACAAGAGGCACAGAGCCCTGGACTAGAGCTTCTTTCTTTCTTTCTTTCTTTCTTTCTCTCTCTCTCTTTCTTTCTTTTGTCTTTCTATCTTCCTTCCCTCCTTCCTTCCTTCTCTTTCTTTCTTTTCTTTCTTTCTTTTTCTTTTTTTTTGAGACAGAGTCTCACTCTGTCGCCAGGCTGGAGTGCAGTGGCGTGATCTTGGCTCATTGCAACCTCCTCCTGCCGGGTTCAAGCGATTCTCCTGCCTCAGCCTCCCAAGTAGCTGGGACTACAGGCATGTGCCACCATGCCCAGCTAATTTTTGTATTTTTAGTAGAGACAGGGTTTCACCATGTTGGCCAGGATGGTCTTGATCTCTTGACCTCATGATCCACCTGCCTTGGCCTCCCAAAGTGCTGGGATTACAGGCATGAGCTACCGCGCCCCGCCCCTTGTTTCCTTTTTATTGTTGAGACAGGGTCTCAGTCTGTGGCCAAGGTTGGAGTGCAGTGGCACGATCCCAGCTCACTGCAGCCTTGACCTCCTGGGCTCAGGAGGGAGAGGCTCCCACCCCAGCCTCTCGAGTACCTGGAACCACAGGCGTGTGCCACCACACCTGGCTAATTTTTGTAGAGACAGGGTTTTGCCACATTGCCTAGGCTGGTCTTGAACTCCTGGGGTCAAGCTATCTTCCTGCCTTGGCCTGCCAAATTGCTGCGATTACAAGCATGAGCATGAGCCACTGTGCCATACCTAGATCTGCTTGCATTTATTTATTTATTTATTTATTTAGACAGGGTCTCACTCTATTGCCTGGGGGCTGGAGTACAGAGGCATCATCTCAGTTCCCGGCATCCCTGACCTCCCAGGCTCAAGTCATCCTCCAGCCTCAGCACCCTCAAGTAGCTGGGACTACAGGTGCACCACCATGCCCAGATAATTTTTGTATTTTTTTGTAGAGGGGGTTTTGCTATGTTGCCCAGGCTACTCTTGAACTCCTGGGATCAAGAGATCTGATCGCCTCAGCTTCCCAAAGTGCTGGGATTACAGGTATGAGCAAATTTGCCCTGCCTAGATCAGCTTTCTTACATGGGGTCCCAATAGAGTTTCAAGAGTAAAATGAGAGGCAGAAGGAAACTAAAGATACTCTTCAGGCCAGGCACATTACAGCTGTAATCCCAGCACTTTGAGAGGCTAAGGCGGGAGTATCGCTTAAGACCAGGAGTTCCAGATCAGCATGGGCAAAAGAGTGAGACCCGACCTCTACAAAAAAATTTAAAACTAGACGGGCATGCTGGCATGCACCTGTAGTCCCATCTACTCAGGAGGCTGAGGCAGGAGGATCCCATGAGTCCAGGAGGTCAAGACTACAGTAAGCTATGATTGTACCACTGAACTTCAGCCTGAATGATAGATTGAGACCCCGTCTCTGAAAAATAAAATAAAATGAAGACATCTTTGAAACTCACACATTTCACCACATTCTATTTTATTTATTTATTTTTGAGACGGAGTCGTGCTCTGTCTCCCAGGCTGGAGTGCAATGGCACGATCGCAGCTCACTGCAATCTCCGCCTCCCGAATTCAAGCAATTCTCCCACCTCAGCCTCCTGAGTAGCTGGGATTACAGGCACCTGCCACCATGCCCAGCTAATTTTTGTATTTTTAGTAGAGACAGGGTTTCACCATTGTTGTCTAGGCTGGTCTCGAACTCCTGACCTCAAGTGATCCGCCTGCCTCAGCCTGCAAAAGTGCTGGGATTACAGGCTGAACCACCGCGCTTAGCCCATTCCACCACATTTGATACGTCAAAGCAAGTCATGAAACCTACCTGGATTCAAGGGGGGGCAGAACTAGTCTCTACCCTTTGACAGGGTTGGAGTTGGAGATGCAAAATATAATATCCATGACTTTCAGCCTTCTACACCTACACATCTACAATCTTAAGGTGTGGGTGGTCCAGACAGAATTCAGGAGGATGGAGAAAAAAAAATACATTTTCTTCTTCTTCTTTCTTCTTCTTCTTCTTCTTCTTTTCTTCTTCTTCTTTTCTTCTTCTTCTCCTTCTCCTTCTCCTTCTCCTTCTCCTTCTCCTTCTCCTTCTCCTTCTCCTTCTCCTTCTCCTTCTCCTTCTCCTTCTCCTTCTCCTTCTCCTTCTCCTTCTCCTTCTCCTTCTTCTTCTTCTTCTTCTTCTTCTTCCTTTCATTTGAGATGGAGTCTCACTCTGTCGCCCAGCCTGGAGTACAGAGGCGCGATCTTGGCTCACTGCAAGCTCCGCTTCCCGGGTTCATGCCATTCTCCTGCCTCAGCCTCCCCAGTAGCTGGGACTACAGGTGCCCGCCACCATGCCCGGCTATTTTTTTTTTGTATTTTTAGTAGAGACAGGGTTTCACCATGTTAGCCAGGATGGTCTCGATCTCCTGACCTCGTGATGCGCCTGCCTTGGCCTCCCAAAGTGCTGGGATTACAGGCATGAGCCACCGCGCCCAGTCCCCCCATTTTGTTTTGTTTTGTTTTTTTAGAGACAGAGTCTGACTCTGTAACCCAGGCTGGAGTGCAGTGGCGTGATCTCAGCTCACTGCAACCTCTGCCTCCCGGGTTTAAGCGATTCTCCTGCCTCAGCCTCCTGAGTACCTAGGATTACAGGAGTGCGCTACCACACCCAGCTAATTTTTGTATTTTTTTAGTGGAGATGTGGTTTCATTATATGTTGGCCAGGCTGGTCTTGAACTCCTGACTTTAGGTGATCCTCCCGCCTCGGCCTCCCAAATTGCTGGGATTACAGGTGTGAGCCACTGTGCCCGGCCCATTTCATTAGCCTCTAACTGGAATTCATCAGGTCCTCTCACTGTGAATGCAGACATTGGCTAGCCCTGGAACTTTGTCCCCTGTGGAAATCAAAGATAATTTCATATCACATCCTGATCATAGGAGACACCCTAAAATATCACAGATGCTCACCCTGACTTAGACCTTGAAGTAACTAGTAGAGTCCATGTGAATCAATGTGATTTAATATATTTATGAAAAGGTGTGGCCAGTTGCATGCTCATGCCTGTAATCCCAGCACTTTGGGAGGCCGAGGCTGGAGGATTGCTTGAGCCCAGGACTTGGAGGCCAGCCTGGGCAACATGGCAAAACCTCATCTCTACTAAAAATACAAAAAATTAGCCAGACGTGGTGGCACAGAACTCTAGTGCCAGCTAACAGGGACGCTGAAATAGAAGGATCGCCCGAGCCCTGGAGGTCAAGGCTGCAGTGAGCCATGATCACACCACTGCACTCCAGCCTGGGCACCTTGACAGAGTGAGACCCAGTCTCAAAAAATATACATACAAAAAAGTCAGATATTAAATTTTTTTATTTTTATTTTGGAGACAGAGTCTCACTCTATCCCCCAGGTTGGAGTGCAGTGGGACAATCTTGTCTCACTGCAGCCTCCGCCTCTTGGGTTCAAGCAATTCTCCTCCCTCAGCCTCCCAAGTAGCTGGGATTACAGGCATGCACCACCACGCCTGGCTAATTTTTGCTTTTTTTTTTTTGAGATGTAGTCTCGCTCTGTTGCCCAGGCTGGATGGAGTGCAGTGGTGCAATCTCAGCTCACTGCAACCTCTGCCTCCCAGGCTCAAGCAGTTCTCCTGCCTTAGCCTCCCGAGTAGCTGGGATTACAGGCATGTGCCATCACGAGCCGCTAATTTTTGTATTTTCAGTAGAGATGGGGTTTCACCATGTTGGCCAGGCTGGTTTCGAACTCCTGACCTCAGGTGATCCGCCTGCCTCAGCCTCCCAAAGCGCTGGGATTACAGGCATGAGCCACCACACCCGGTCTAATTTTTGCTTTTTTTTTTTTTTTGAGACGGAATCTCACTCTGTCACCCAGGCTGGAGTGCAGTGGCGCGGTCTCGGCTCACTGCAAGCTCCACCTCCCGGGTTCACGCCATTCTCCTGCCTCAGCCTCCCGAGTAGCTGGGACTACAGGTGCCCGCCACCACACCCGGCTAATTTTTTTTGTACTTTTAGTAGAGACGGGGTTTCACTGTGTTAGTCAGGATGGTCTCGATCTCCTGACCTTGTGATCCACCTGCCTCAGCCTCCCAAAGTGCTGGGATTACAGGCGTGAGCCACCACACCTGGCCAATTTTTGCATTTTTAGTAGAGATGGGGTTTCTCCATGTTGGCCAGACTGGTCTCGAACTCCTGACTTCAGGTGATCCACCCACCTTGACCTCCCAAAGCTTTGGGATTACAGGCGTGAGCCACCGTGCCCAGCCTATTTTTTATTTTTAGACACTAGGTCTTGCTCTGTCACCCAGGATGGAGTGCAGTAGTGCAGTCATTGTAGCCTCAACCTCCCAGGCTCAAGTGATCCTTCCATCTCAGCTGAGTAGCTGGGACTACAGGCTCATGACAACACCATGCCCAGCTAAGTTTTTAATTTTTTCATAGAGATGGGGTCTCACACTGTTGCCCAAGCTGCTCTCAAACTCCTGGTCTCAGGTGATCCTCCTGCCTCAGCCTCCCAAAGTGCTGAGATTACAGGCGTGAGTCACTGTCTGCTACATGGTTTTTTGGTTTTTTTTCTTTCTTTCTTTCTTTTTTTTTCTGAGATGGAGTCTCGCTCTGTCGCCCAGGCTGGAGTGCAGTGGCACAATCTCAGCTCACTGCAACCTCCGCCTCCTGGCTTCAAGCGATTCTCCTGCCTCGGCTGCCCAAGTAGCTGGGATTACAGGTGCCCACCACCACGCCTGGCTAATTTTTTTATTTTTTAGTACAGACAGGGTTTCACCATGTTGGCCAGGCTGGTCTCAAACTCCTGACCTCAGATGATCCTCCCACCTCTGCCTCTCAAAGTGCTGGGATCACAGGCGTGAGCCACCGTGCCCATCTGTTACGTGTTTTCTTAATGCGTTTGCGGCTCTCTCCTGAGAAGGGCCACACAGAGAGCCCTGCCCCCCGCCCTTAGAGGCCCCTCAGGTCAAGGTTTAGGCAGATTAGTGAAGTCCTAAGCTGGTTTTCTAAAGATTTCTATTTCTGGGAGAGGAGCCAGTCAGCAGACCGGGGACCACACGCCGCGCTGTCCCCAGCACCCAACCCAGGTTACCATGGCCTCCCTGTTCTCTGGCCGCATCCTGATCCGCAACAATAGCGACCAGGACGAGCTGGATACGGAGGCTGAGGTCAGTCGCAGGCTGGAGAACCGGCTGGTGCTGCTGTTCTTTGGTGCTGGGGCTTGTCCACAGTGCCAGGCCTTCGTGCCCATCCTCAAGGACTTCTTCGTGCGGCTCACAGATGAGTTCTATGTACTGCGGGCGGCTCAGCTGGCCCTGGTGTACGTGTCCCAGGACTCCACGGAGGAGCAGCAGGACCTGTTCCTCAAGGACATGCCAAAGAAATGGCTTTTCCTGCCCTTTGAGGATGATCTGAGGAGGTGAGGAGGGGCAGGGAGGGCTTCCTGGAGGAGGGGGCATGTTCGCTGAAAGTGAAGCATCCATTCTAACTAGAGTGAATGAGCAGCCCCTGTGTGCCAGTCCATATACTGGGAACTAGGGGGTACAGACAGGGGTGCCCACTTCCACATGCTGGCTTCCATGCCACCCCAGGGAGCTTAGAGCCGAGTGAGAGGAACAGATGCAAAAGACAGAATCAACTATGTAATAGCAAGGCCGGGCATGGTGGCTTAACCCTGTAATCCCAGGACTTTGGCAGGCCGAGGTGGGCAGATCACCTGAGGTCGGGAGTTTGAGACAAGCCTGGTCAACATAGTGAAACCCTGTCTCTACTAAAAATACAAAAATTATCCAGGCGTGGTGGTGGGCGCCTGTAATCCCAGCTGCTTGGGAGGCTGAGGCAGGAGAATCGTTTGAAACTGGGAGGCAGATGCTGCAGTGAGGTAAGATCGTGCCACTGCCCTCCAGCCTGGGTGACAGAGGGAGACTCTGTCTAAAAAATCAAAAAACAAATATATAATAGCGAATTGCAGTAGTGCTCAGAGGACAAAGCTAGGCCACAAAGTGGAAATACAATGAGGGAAACCTTGGTGAGGTTCCGGGGTCAGAGGATGCTTCCCCGAAAAAGTGGCTTTAAAGAGAGACCCCTAGCTGGGCACGGTGGCTCATGCCTGTAGTCCTAGCCACCTGGGAGGCTATGGTAAGAGGATAACTGGAGCCTAGAGTTTGAGGCTGCAGTGAGCTATGATCGCACCACTGCACTCCAGCCAGGGCAATACAGGTAGACCCTGTCTCTTAAAAAAGTAAGGCCAGGTACGGTGGCTCACACCTGTAAATCTAGCACTTTGGGAGGCCAAGGTGAGCAGATCACCTGAGGTCAGGAGTTCGAGACTAGCCTGACCAATATGGCAAAACCCTGTCTCTACTAAAAATACAAAAATTAGCCAGGCCTGGTGGCGCACAGCTGTGGTCCCAGCTACTTGCGAGGCTGAGGCAGGAGAATTGCTTGAATCCAGGAGGCGAAAGTTGCAGTGATCCGAGATGGTGCCACTGCACTCCAGCCTGGGCAACAGAGTGAGACTCTGTCTCAAAAATAAAAATAAAAAATAAAAAATGTAATAAATAAATAAATTACAGGGAGACTCCAATGAGAAGAAAGATAGGAGGATGGAGAATGAGGAAAGGGAAGGGGTTCCAGGCAGAGGGCACAGCAGAAAGGCTTGGAGGCTGTCAGAGAAAGAACAACCAGTTCAGGGAGACTGTAGGTAATTCCGGAGAGGATCAAATTTACAATGTTATTGTTACTGCCCACGCATTTGTCATAATCTTCTTTAGATGTGACAGGTCTGTGGTGCAGAGCCACCTTAACAAGTATAGACATGATCCTCAGAGTAGCAGGGAGCCATGGTGGACATTAGAACAGAGGGAGAGGTAGTCGGATTCAAGCTTTATAAGGAGATGTCCAGCCAGGCATGGTGGCTGACACCTGCAATCCCAGCACTTTTGGAGGCTGAGGCAGGAGGATTGCTTGAGGCTGGGAGTTGAAGACCAGCTTGGGCAACACAGCAAGACACCACCACTCCCATCTCTAAAATTATAAAAAAGAAAAATTATGAAAGGTGGCTTGGTGCGGTGGCTCATGCCTGTAATCCCAGCACACTTTGGGAGGCCGAGGTGGGTGGATCACGTGAGGTCAGGAGTTCAAGACCAACCTGGCCAACATGGTGAAACCCCGTCTCTACTAAAAATACAAAAATTAGCCAGACGTAGTGTTGGGTACCTGTAGTCCCAGCTACTCAGGAGGCTGAAGCACGAGAATCGCTTGAACCCGGGAGGCGGAGGGTGCAGTGAGCCAAGATCGCACCACTGCACTCCAGGCTGAGCGACAGAGCAAGACTCTGTCTCAAAAAAAAAAAAAAAAAAAAAAATTAAAAAGATCCTTTAAAAAAATTTACAAAAGGAGCTGCCCAATGAAACAGTATTATAGCTTGACTTTTTATTATGAAAAAAACGTTCAGGCTGGGTGCAGTGGCTCACGCTTGTAATCCTAGCACTTTGAGAGGCCGAGGCGGGCGGATCACGAGGTCAGGAGATCGAAACCAGGGTGAAACCCCGTCTCTACTAAAAATACAATAAATTAGCCGGGCGTGGTGGCGGGCGCCTGTAGTCCCAGCTACTCGGAGAGGCTGAGGCAAGAGAATGGTGTGAACCCGGGAGGTGGAGCTTGCAGTGACCCGAGATCGTGCCACTGCACTCCAGCCTGGGCGACAGAGCGAGACTATGTCACAAAAAAAAAAAAAAAAAGAAAGAAAGAAAAAGAAAGAAAGAAAAAAAATGTTCAAACATAGCAAAAAGTTGAAAGAAGTGTACAATGAAACCCATCGCAATTGTTAACATTTTGCCATATTCACTTTGTCTACAATACAAATACGTGTCTATAGACACATATACACTTTGTCTACAATAAAAATACGTGTCTATATACACGTATATGCATACGTGTATAGTTTGTGCTAAATTATTTGAAAGTGAGTTGCAGACTTCATGACATTTTCCCAATGTCATGCCTTTTGTTACTCAACAAGTTGGAAGTTTCTGGTCATCATCAGAATTTGGACATCATCAGAGTTTGGACACTGAATCCTGCCCACTGCCCTCGGCAGCTGAGGAGATTCCTCCCTGACGCTAGCAACGCTTCCTTCCCTGGGGCAGAGACGCCAGCTGCAGACAAATGCTGACCTTCTCTGAGACAGGGTCCTCTCAACAAAACATTCACCCAGACTAGTATGTTATCTGGGCAGTTCCCATTCCACATCCCCCGTAGACGGGATGTCCAGTTAAATGAAATTTCAGGCTGGGTGCAGTGGTTCATGCCTGTAATCCCAGTGCTTTGGGAGGCAGAGATGGAAGGATCAGTTGAGGCCAGGAGTTCAAAACCAGCCTGGGCAACATAGCAAGACCATATCTTTACAAAAACTTAAAAAAAAAAATTAGGTGTGGTGGTACGAGCCTGTAGTCCCAGCTACTTAGGAGGCTGACGCTATAGGATCACTGGAGCCCAGGAGTTTGAAGTTACCACGATCTGTGTTCCCGCCACTGCACTCTAGCCTGGGTGACAGATGGAGGCTCTGTCTCTAAAAAAAAGAAAAAGAAAAAAAAATTGAGATAAACAATGAATAATCTTTCTTTAGTATAAGTATGTCCCATGCATTTGGCTATACTTACACTAAAAGATTATTCATTGTTTATCTGAAATTCAAATTTAACTAGTGTATTTATATATAGAATAGAGAGAGATGGGGTCTCGTTATGTTGCTGAAGCTGGTCTCAAACCGTTGGGCTCAAGCAATCCTCCCACCTCGGCCTCCCAAAGTGCTGGGATTACAGGGGTGAGCCACTGTACCCAGCCTCCAATTTTTTTTTTTTTTTTAAGAGAGGGAGTGTCATATATATATGTTGTTTGTTGTTGTTGTTGTTGTTGAGATGGAGTATCTTCGCCCAGGCTGGAGTGCAGTGGCGTGATCTGGGCTCACTGCAAGCTCTGCCTTCCGGGTTCACGCCATTCTCCTGCCTCAGCCTCTCCGAGTAGCTGGGACTACAGGCGCCTGCCACCACACCCGGCTAATTTTTTGTATTTTTTAGTAGAGACGGGGTTTCACCGTGTTAGCCAGGATGGTCTCGATCTCCTGTGAGTGTCTTATATTTTTAATTACTAAACCTGGCAATCTACTCATGGGATTTTGTAAGTATCATGGGTTCTCTTTGTGGCAGCCTGGAAAAGGGCCACGGAAGAATGCAGCAGGCTGAAATTAAGAACTGTTAACCATGTTGGCTAGGCTGGTCTCGAACTCCTGGCCTCCGGTGATCCGCCTATCTCAGCCTCCCAAAGTGCTGAGATTACAGGCATGAGCCACCACGCCGGCCAAGCAGGAGAAATTTTAAAAACCATACATGATGTTGGGTGCTGAAAGGCACTTTGGAGAAAAACACTGCCTTGGAATGTTATTTATTCTATTTTCGAGACAGGATCTGGCTGTGTCACCCAGGCTGGAGTGTAGTGGTGCAATCATAGCTCACTGCAGCCTCGAAATCCTGGGCTCAAGGGATACTTCTCGAGGGAAGTCCCAGGTACCTCGGCCTCCTGAGTACCTGGGACTACAGGAGCGCACCACCACACCCTGCTTTATTTATTTATTTATTTATTTATTTATTTATTTGTAGAGACAGGGTCTTACTACAAATAAATGTAGTAAGACCTTGTGTCTTGCGATGTGAGGTCTCCATACTACAGGGTCTTAGCCTGCAAATGTCTGAGGAGAGCGCTCCAGACGTGGGCACAGCCAGCACAAATGCCCCGAGGTTGGAGCATGCCTGGGGTGCTGGAGACAAAGCGCGGGGACCAAAGTGTCTGGCCCTGTCCCGGTCCTCGTGTGCACCTACCCAGTGCCCGGCAAGAGGCAGTGCACACAGAAGGCGCTGCCTAAGTACTGGGAGGAGGGATGTGGGGCTCTCTGGTTCAGCATCAGGGATGTGGATCCGTCCAGACTGACCTGCCCGCTCCGCAGGGACCTCGGGCGCCAGTTCTCAGTGGAGCGCCTGCCGGCGGTCGTGGTGCTCAAGCCGGACGGGGACGTGCTCACTCGCGACGGCGCCGACGAGATCCAGCGCCTGGGCACCGCCTGCTTCGCCAACTGGCAGGAGGCGGCCGAGGTGCTGGACCGCAACTTCCAGCTGCCAGAGGACCTGGAGGACCAGGAGCCACGGAGCCTCACCGAGTGCCTGCGCCGCCACAAGTACCGCGTGGAAAAGGCGGCGCGAGGCGGGCGCGACCCCGGGGGAGGGGGTGGGGAGGAGGGCGGGGCCGGGGGGCTGTTCTGACCCGCTAGGGTGGAGGAGAGGAGTGGGGTTTGTTGATGAACCTCCACCCCCACCCCACCCCCGCACGCCTGTAATCCCAGCACTTGGGGAGGCCAAGGCGGGAGGATCGCTTGAGCCCAGAGGTTCGAGATCAACCTGGGCAAGAGAGTGAGACCCTGACTCTACGAAAATTAAAAGTTAGCCCGGTGTGGTGGCGCGCACCTGTGGCTTAGCTACCCTGAAGGCTGAGGTGGGAGAATGGATTGAGTCCGGGAGGTCAAGGCTGCAGCGAACCGTGATCGCACCACTTGCACACTGCACTCCAACCTGAGCGACAGAGGGAGACCCTGTCCCCAAAAACACAAAAGGAAACCCTCCTTCCCCGCCCCGCCCCCGTAAGAGAGCGGGATGGGGGTGGGGGGGTGGGGGTGCCAGGGCGGAGGGCAGGGCCAAGGGCGGATGTTATGACCCCCTAGGGTGGAGGAGTTGGGGTTTGGTGATGAACCCCTCCACTCCGGAGGTGGAGAGCTGGGAGGGAGTGGGGGAGGGATGTGGGGTGGGGGTGCCCCGGCGGAGGGTTGGGGGGGGGTTGCCAAGGCGGAGGGTGGGGCCGAGGGGGGCTGTTCTGACTCCATAGTTGGGGAAGACTGGTGGAGGGGTGACCGGTCTATGAAAAGCCTGCCCCCCACTGCGGAGAGAGAGGGCTGGATGGAAGTCGGAAGGCTGTTCTGAGTCCTCCTCTGCCCCAGGTGGGCAGGCCGCGGGAGGGGAATCTGTAATGAGCCTCTTGGAAGCCGAGGAGAGGGGAGGGGAGGGGATTGTCAGAGATCTGCGCAGGAGTAGGGCGGGACGGAGCTCACTGTGGGAGCACGAGGTAGGGGACTGTCTGGGTTCTGAGCACTCCTCTGGGGGCAGGAGGGGCTGGGGGGCTGTTCTGAGCTCCCATGATGAAGAGGGGTGGAGGCGAAGTGGGGATGGGTAGGGGTGATGTCTGTTTTGAGCCCATCCCCAGGAGGGGTCAGGGCAGAGGGAGTGTAATAAGATCCACAGGGAGAAGCAGGACAGGACCTGGGGAGTCTGTTCTGATCCCCATGCAGGGAAGGGTGGGAGCTAGGATGGAGCGAGTGGCAGGGGATTCTCTCTTCTGAGACATCCCCTCACACCCAGGGATCTGTTCTGGTCTTCCAGGTGCGCATCTGAGCCTCCCTGGCCAGGAGATAAAGTAGGGAGAGCTTTTCAAGGATCTCTATAAATATTTCTGAGACCTGGCTGAGGGGGAGTAATTAATGGCTCCAAAAATGAGAAAATCTAAACTAAAATAGAACAAACGTGCTGAAAACGCCAAGCCCATCCTACATTAAATGAGTTGCCCCCCCCCTTTTTTTTTTTTTGAGACGGAGTTTGGCTCTTGTTGCCCAGGCTGGAGTGCAATGGCACGATCTCGGCTCACCGCAACCTCTGCCTCCCGGGTTGAAGCGATTCTCCTGCCTCAGCCTCCCAAGTAGCTGGGATTACAGGCATACCACCACACCTGACTAATTTTTGTATTTTTAGTAGAGACGGAGTTTCTTCATGTTGGTCAGGCTGGTCTCGAACTCCCGATCTCAGGTGATCTGCCTGCCTCGGCCTCCCAAAGTGCTGGGATTACAGGCGTGAGCCATCGCGTCCGGCCGAGTTGCCCACATATTTCATGCGCAAAATCACAACAATCCTTTAACAACAGATTTATATGTTACACGGATGCATTTCAATATTTGATACCACGTGGGCTGGGGGTCCCGGGCTGCCAGCAGGAGCCAAGAGTCTCCCAGGTCTCCCTCTGTTGCTCGTGGACTGGGGCATTACCAGGGAACACGGCAGAATACAGAAATCAAAAACTCCGATCTAGAACCATCTCCTGGCTTTGTGACCGTGAGATCAACTCCCTTCTCTAAACACTAATCCCTTCCTCTGAAAAATTAGAATTAAAGCCAGGTTCTCCCAGGCAGGTCAGTGAAGAAGGAGGAGCAGGTGCTCACTCGGCTCACGAACTGCTTGGTTGGCCTCTGGCGCCCCCTCGCGGCAGGACGAGATGGCACACTTTCGGGGCAGGGCCTAGCATTCAAATGAGATGCAAATCACTCCTCTCGTGCCCAGTCTCCGGAAAAGGTTTCCTAGGAGTCCACGCGTGTCCATGGAAACTAGCAAGCGTGACTGCGGTGCACGGGAATCTGGCTGACAGGAAGAAGGAGGCTGGGGGCCTGGGAGGCCAGAGGGTCCTGAATACTGGATGACCACCTGATTTCATGCTCACCTCGACTTCCAACCTCCAGGTTGGAAAATTGACCCAGCTCAGGACCCTGGTGCTGCCTGATGCTTCATGTTCCAGCAGCCCTCTCTGGACTGCTGTGGCGCATCTGTGAAATGGGTGCATTGAGTCTGGGCGTGGTGGCTCACTCCTGTAATCCCAACACTTTGGGAGGCCGAGGCAAGTGGATCACCTGAGGTCAGGAGTTCAAGACCAGCCTGGCCACTGTCACAAAACCCCGTCTCTACTAAAAAAAAAAAAAAAATATATATATATATATATATATATATAAATTAGCTGGCGTGGTGGCACGCACCTGTAGTCCCAGCTACTCAGGAGGCTGAGGCATGAGAATCACTTGAACCTGGGAGGCGGAGGTTGCAGTCTGCCAAGATTGCACCCCTGCACTCCAGCCTGGGCGACACAGGGAGACTCTGTCTCAAAAAAATAAAAATCACTTAAATTATCTGTAAATCATACCAGGTTGCCCTTTTCCAACAAATCACAGGCGATGTAACCTGTCAACATTGTTACTATTATTCCAGCCAACATGCAGTGACCAGCCATCCGTATCTGGGCAGTGAGGTTGAGGGAGTCCACTCTCTGTCCCTGTCAGGCTGTGTGCCTTGGACTGTATGGTGGAACTCTCCAAGCCTCACCCCCCATCCCCACCTCCCCACTCCCCACCTGTCTGAGCTGGAATGAGAAGGGCAGCTTAGCAAAAGGCCAAGGTAGATGAGCTCACCATCTACCAAGAGCAGTGTGGGGCCTGCTTGCAGGGTTAACTTTCCAAGTTGAAGCCAGACACCCCCAAACTAGAGAATCACCCCACATACAAACAGCAGGACCAGACCTTGGTATCTGTGTTCCCCCAACCCCAACAAATAATGGCAAAACCTAAGCCAGCACTGCAATGAATGTTGGCCATTTAGGTAAGTGTCCCCTTATTGTGGGGTTTCATGTATGTTTCCACCTCCCCCACCAGGCTGTGAGCACCAGAAGGGAGAGCTGGGCCTGTCTTGGTCACCCCTGGGTCCTCAGAGCCCAGCACGTAGATGGGCTCTCCACTGATGTTCGTCGAATGAATACATGAAAATATCTTGTATCTCTGTATTCCCACCACCCAGAGCAAACTGTAGCCCTGATCCAAATGAATTGCTGAGCCCTCAACGTGAGACTTTTCCTTACCTGGAAAACATGGAAAATTCACCCTAACACTGATGATGATGAAAGAATGAGTGTTGGGCTGAGGCCTGATGAATGAGTGAATGAATCAATCAATCGATCAATCAATTGAAAGAAGGAACAGGTTCTTGCTACATATGAAGAGGCCCAGAGAGGTTAAGGGATGTGCCCAAAGTCACACAGCAAAGAAGGAGGCCACCTGGAAGTGAAGGGTCACCCTCACCCCATACTCTTCCTTGGGGCCATTTTACCTACGAGGCTGAGGGCACAGGGCCCACAAACTCTTTTCAAGGGGCCCCAAAATTTTCAAACCTGAAAAAAAAACTTGATTCCAGTCCAGGCGCAGTGGCTCATGCCTGTAATCCCAGCACTTTGGGAGGCCCAGTGGGTGGATCAGTTGAGCTTAAGAGTTCCAGATGAGCCTGGACAACATAGTAAGACCCCATCGCTACAAAAAAATTAATTAATTAATTTAAAATAGAGAAAGGATTTGAATAGACATTTCTCCAAAGAAGATATATGAACAGCCAAAAAGCCCATGAAAAGATGCTTAACATCATTAGTTATTAGGGAAATGCAAATAAAAACCACAATGAGATATTACTTTATAAGCATCAGAATGACTATTATCAGGGAGGAGGAGGCTGGGTGTGGTGGCTCACTCTGTAATCCCCCAGCACTTCAGGAGGCTGAGGTGAGAGGATCACTTGGGCATAAGAAGTTTGAGACAAGACCAACATAGCAAGACCCCATCTCTACAAAAAAATTTTAAAAACTGGCTGGGTATGGTGGCTCACACCTGTAATTCCAACACTCTGGGAGGCCGAGGTGGGAGGATCACTTGAGGCAGGAGTTTGAGACCAGCCTGGCCAACATGGTGAAACCCTGTTTCTACTAAAAATACAAAAATTAGCTGAGTGTGGTGGTAGGCACCTGTAATCCTGCTACTTGGGAAGCTGAGGTGCAAGAATCGCTTGAACCCGGGAGGTGGAGGTTGCAGTGAGCCGAGATCTCACCACTGCACTCCAGTCTGGGCAACAGAGTGAGAGTTCATCTCAAAAAAAAAAAAAAAAAAAAAGGCTATTATGAGGAAGGAGGAGGCTGGGTGTGGTGGCTCACTCCTGTAATCCCAGCATTTAGGGGGACTGAGGTGAGAGAATCACTTGGGTATAAAGAGTTTGAGACCAGACCAACATAACAAGACCCCATCTCTATGAAAAAAAAAAAAAAACTTAAAAATTAGCCAGGCATGCTGATGCTTGCCTGTGGTCCCAGCTACTTGGGGAGAGGCTGAGGCAGAAAGATCACTTGAGCAGGAGGTCAAGGCTGTAATGAGCTATGATCACACCACTGCAATCCAGCCTGGGTGACAGAGCAAGGCCCTGATAAAAAAAAAAAGAAGAAGGAGGAGGAGGAGACGAGGAGGAGGAAGAAAGGAGGAGGAGGAGAAGGAAGGGAGGAGGAGGAGGAGAAGGAAGAGGAGGAGGAGGAGGGCAGGAGGAAACACGTGTTGGGGAGGATGTGCAGAAAATTATTTTTAAAAACCTCAGACATTGCTGGTGGAAATGGAAAACGGTGCAGCTGCTGTGGAAAAGTTTGAGGGTTCCACAAAGAGTTAAAATAGAGTAACTATGTGACTCAGCAACTCCACTCCTAGGAGTCCACGCCCCACAAGAATTGACAGCAGTGACTCAAGAAGATACCTGTGCACACATGTTTATAGCAGCATTAGTCACCTTCACCAAAAGGAACCAACAACACAAATACCCATCAATGGATGAACGGATGAACACAATGTGTTCCAGACACGCTATGGAATATTACGCAGCCATAAAAAGGAATGAGGCACTGATCCATGCTACAACCTCGATGAACCTTGAGTACATCATGCAGAGTGAGAGAAGCCAGAATGCCACCTCTTGTATGACTCCATTGATATGAAGTGTCCAGAACAGGCAAATCGACAGAGACAAGAAGTAGATTAATGGTTGTGAGCCACTTGAGGAGGGGGAATGGGGAGTGGCTGGTAATGGGGATGGGGTCTCCTTTTGGGGGGATGAAAATCTTCTGGAGCTAGACAGAGGTAATGATTGTACAACACTAAATGCCACTGAATAAAATGATTAATTTTATGTTATGTAAGTTTCATCTCGATTTTTTTAAAGTGCTGTGCGAATAATTTGGGGGACCAGTTGGGGAAGGGATCCAGGATTCTCCCTAGCCTCCTAGAGGAAGCAACGGTTACCCAAAGGCTTGAAGGAAGTAAGCAGAGGGGAAATCACAGCCAATGACAGAGTCCCTGGGTTGAGATCAAATGAAAAGTGAATTTTTAAATTTTGTTATTTCTTTTTTGAGACACAGCCTCGCTCTGTCACTCAGGCTGGAGTGCAGTGGCGTGATCTCAGTTCACTGCAGCCTCGACCTCCTGGGCTCAAGCGATCCTCCTGTCTCAGTCCCGAAAGTAGCTGGGTCCACAGGCGTGCACCACCACACCAGGCTGACTTCCTTATTTTTTGTAGAGATGGGGTCTGGCTATGTTGCCCAGGCTGGTCTCAAACTCCTGGGCTTAAGCCATCCTCCTGCCTCAGCCTCCCAAAGTGCTGGGATTACAGTTGTGAACCACCTCACCCAGCCCTTTCTCTCTCTCTCTCTTTTTTTTTTTTTTTTTTTTTGATGGAGTCTTACTCTGTCAGCCAGGCTGGAGTGTGCAGTGGTGCAATCTCGGCTCACTGCAACCTCCGCCTCCCTGATTCAAGCATTCCTCCAACCTCAGCCTCCCGAGTAGCTAGGATTACAGGCCATGCACCACTACGCCGGGCTAATTTTTTTTTTTTTTTTTTTTTTTAGTAGAGACGGGGGTTTCACCATGTTGGCCAGGCTGGTCTTGAACTCCTGACCTCAAGTGATCCGCCCACCTCGGACTCCTAAAGTGCTGAGATTACAAGCGAGAGCCACCGCGCCCGGCCTCCTTTCTCTTTATTTTTTATTTTTTAATTAATTAATTAATTAATTTTGAGACGGAGTCTCGCTCTGTCGCCCAGGCTGCAGTGCAATGGCGTAATCTCAGCTCACTGAAACCTCCGCCTCCTGGGTTCAAGCAATTCTCCTGCATCAGCCTCCCGAGTAGCTGGGATTACAGGCTCCGGCCACCACGCCCGGCTAATTTTTGTATTTTTAGTAGAGACGGGGTTTCACCATATTGGCCAGGCTGGTCTGGAACTCTTGACCTTGTGATCCGCCCGCCTCGGCCTCCCAAGGTGCTGGGATTACAGGCGAGAGCCACCGCCCCCGGCCTCCTTTTTCTTGTTTTAAACCACAATACAATCGATGCTTAGGGCGGCAGGGGGCGGGGTGGTGCCCTTTTCTGAACTTAGCGAGCTGTGGGGTTCCCGCGATCCAGTCCCTAGTGGGGCCTCCCCGCCCTGCGCCCGGTGCCAGGCCCCGCCCCGCCAGGCCCAGCGGACCAAGAGGGGGCGCCCGCGGGGCCCCGGGAGGGAGGAGAAAAGACTTTGTCCCAAGTTTTCGCGGAGATTCGGCGTCCCGGCTGCGACCAGCACCCCGGAGCCCCCGTCCGTCTGGCGACCCCCAGCCCAGTCCCCGAACTTTCAGACACTCCCTGCGGCCCCGCCCCCTCGGGGACCCCCTGAGGACCCTCGGATTCCCCCCAACTCCCCTGCCCTCTAAAACCACTTCAATTCCTCAACTCTTCCCCCGGCCCGCAGGAACCCCCGCCATGGCCCGTTCTTACGGCGGCCGGGTGCTGGCTGCAATGACCCTGCTGGGCATCGCGGCGGCCGTGCTGGCGGCGCTGGGCGCGCAGCTGCTGTTTCAGCTGCAGGCGGGCCGCGCCGAGCTGCGGGGGCTGCGCGCCGAGGGGCTGGGCCAGGAGCTGGGCGCCGGCCCCGGGCTGCCAGAGGACGCGGCCGGGACGCTGCTGCCGCTGGCCGCCGCGCTGGCCGCGCTGGTGCTCGTGCTGGGGTTCACCTGCTTGCTGCTCGCCGCGCTCTGTGGCCACCTGGGCGCCGAGCTGGCGCGGGGGCCTGGCCCCAGGAGGTAGGAGGACTGGCCTCACCGCCTCGGAGGCCCGGCTGGGGGCTGGGTGAGCCTGGTTGAGCCTCTTCCCCTCTTTTGGCCTCAGGCTGGGGGGACAGCTTCCCTCCCCACTTCCCTCTCCCCACCACTCCATGTCTCTCTGCCTCCCTCCTTTCCTCTCCTCCTCCCTCCTTCCCTCCCTCCATTCTATATTTGTTCAATTTTGCAGCAGGTGCAACCACTGCTGTGTCTCGCATTTTGCAGATGAGGAAACTGAGGCTCAAAGAGGGTCCAGGATCAGCTTGCCTGGATCTCAAACAGGGGAGGCTGAGCTCTCAGGCTGTCTGGCTTGGAAGTGGGTGGGAGGCGGGACAGTGCTGGACTTGAACTTGGTTCTGGGTAGAGCCAGCCAGAGCCTGTGTCCTGGTCTGAAATTGAGTTCCTTCCTCAGGGACCTGAACTCAGTCAGGGATGTGGTCATTGAGGGACCCCTATCAGGGGCAGTGGTTGTGGAAGGAGGAACCCTCCTTGAGCTGAGGACTCCGCTGTCCCACATGGTAGTGTTTCTCTCCAGAATGTCGGGGGAGAGGAGCCCAAATTCTAGTCCAGAATTCTGTGAAATTGAGCAGATGAGAACTCCCACCATTGAGGTAGATCCTATCCAGACCATGCACCTTCCACCCAAGGGACAATGAAATGCATGGGTCCCACGGGTCAGCAAACATCTGTTGGGTGCCTGCCTGCAGGGGAATGGATCTGGCTCAGGGCATCAGAGACAGCGGGGACCAAGTGGACCCAGACCTGCTCTCATGGGGTCACAGAAAATAAGGAAACATAACAAGGACAAGGCATGGTGGTTCACACCTGCAATCCCAGCCCTTTGGGAGGCAGAGGCAGGAGGATCATTTGAGGCCAGGAATTTTTTTTTCTTTTTTTTTTTTTGAGACAGAGTCTTGCTCTGTCACCCAGGCTGGAGTGCAGTGGCGCTATCTCGGTTCACTGCAGCCTCCACCTCTTGGGTTCAAGCGATTCTCCCACCTTAGCCTCCCGAGTAGCTGGGATTACAGGTGCCCACCACCATACCCAGCTAATTTTTGTATTTTTAGTAGAGGCGGGGTTTCACCATGTTGGCCAGGCTGGTCTTGAACTCCTGACCTCAAATGACCCACCCACCTTGGCCTCCCAAAGTGCTGGGAGGCCAGGAATTTGAGACCAGCCTGGGTAATATAGCAAGACCTTGCCTCTACAAAAAGAAAAAATAATAATTAGCTAGGTGTGGTGGTGCATGCCTGTAGTCCCATACACTTAAGAGGCTGAGGCAAGAGGATCCCTTGAGCCCAGGAGGTCAAGGCTGCAGTGAGCCATGATCATGCTTATGAATAACCACTGCACTCTAGTTTGGGCAACATAGTGAGACCTCATCTCTAATAATAATAATAATAGCAGATGGTAATGAGTGCTGAGAAGGAAAGGAAACAGAGAGATGGGATAGAGAGGAGATAGGACTTTGGGATTTCTTCTGCTAAGGAGGGTTGTGAGTAAGGAGGAAGGTGATCTGATTTAGGTTTTGAATGACCACCTCTAGCCACTGTGCTGAAAAGGGGACAGGAGGGAAGGCGACAGGAAGATGGGGAAGGCGTCCACTTTCATTATACTGGTGGGAGCTGAGTGAGGATGGAAGCTCTTATAGCCTCCACTTCCTCCTCAATCAGTCTCACCTCTTGGGGTCGCGGTTTGTATCATCAATAACAGCATGTGAAACTCAGTTTCCTCATCTCTCAAAGAAGCTTGTAGTCTGTAAAATAATGGAAGCCAGGTGTGTAGCAAGTATCTGCACATAGTAGCTGCATCCTGAGTGTTGAGTGTTTGAGTGGACTCATGCATATAGATGGGTTATAGGGGAAAGAGAATGGATGGTGGATGGATCGAAGTAAGGAAGGATGAATGGATGGATGGATAGATGGATGGATGGATGGATGAGGGGTGGATGGATAGTGAATGGAAGATGGATGACCAGTGGATGGGTGGGTGAGGGATGGATAGATAGGATAGCAGAGGGTGTTTAAATGAATGGATGGATGGATGAATAGCACATGGTTAAATGGATGGAAGGCTGTATATGAGTGCTGGTCAAATAATCAATGAATATGAATGGTAAATGGATGGTGGACACTGACTTGGAAAAATGGATGTGTGGATGGATGGAGCATAGATAAATGGATAGATATCAGATAGTGGATGGTGGATATCTAAATGATTGTATGGATGGATGAATGGGTGGGGCCGATGGATGGATAAGTGGATGGATGAATGAATTGATAAGTGGATGGATGAATGAATGAGTGGATGGATGACTGGTTTGATGGATGGATAAGTGAATGGATGGATGGATAAGTGGATGGATGGATGAGTGGAAGTATGGATGGATGGATGGGTGGATGGATAAGTGGACAGATGGATGAATGGGTGGATGAATGGATGAATGGATAAATGGATGGATGGATGGATGGGTAAGTGGGTGGATGGATGAATGGGCATATGGATGGATGGGTGGATGGATGGATGAGTGGACAAATGGGTGAATGGGTGGATAAATGGATGAATGGATGAATGGATAAATGGGTGGATAGATGGATGGATGGGCTGATGGATACATGAGCTGATGGATGAATTGATGGATAGATGGAGAGTGGATAAGTAAATGGATGTAAATGGGTGGGCAAGTAGATGGATGATGGTTAGGTACTCACATAGATTTTGGGTCCCTGAAAGCTGGGTCCTTGTCTCATTTAAGCGGCTCTCCCTCCCTGTCCTCACTGACCTCCCCCCACCAGCTCCACTTCCTGAACCCTTTATCTTCCTGCTCCCCTTCATTCCAGGTCTGACTGGTTTCTCTACGACTGCCGCCTCCTCAGACATGTGGCCCTTGGCCTTTTCTGCTGTGGGATCTCCGTCTATTTAGCAGGTGTGTGCTGGAATAGAACGTGGGGCATGGGACCCTGGGCTGGGTAGAGAGCAGCAATGGTCCCCTAACTGGGATCAACTCTGCAGACAGCCTCCTTGAGTTCAACTCCAGGCTCTGACACTTCTTTGCTTTGGTGCCTTGGGCAAAGTCTCTCTGTGCCTTGATTTCCTCATCAGTACAATGGGAATAACTGTCATTACCTCACAGAATCACTTGAGGAGATTCTGAGATTTAATCCTCATGAAAGCCCATAGGACCAGGCATAGTAGCTCACATCTGTAATCCCAGCAATATGGGAGACTGAGGTAGGAGGATTGCTTGAGGCCAGGAGTTTGAGACCAGCCTGGGCAACATAACAAAACCCCATCTCTACAAAAAAAAAAAAAACTATATATATATATAATATATATTTATTAAATATATAAATATATATTTATATTTATATGTTTATATTAATATATATTTATATAATATATTTATATTTATATATTATATATCTATATATAGACTTGGTGTGGTGGTACACACCTGTAGTCCCAGCTCCTCGGGAGGCTAAGGTGGGAGGATCACTTGAGCCCGAAGGTTGAGGCTGCAGTGAGCCATGATCACCCCACTGCACTGCACTCCAGCCTGGGTGATACAGCGAGACCCTATCTCATTAAAAAAAAAAAAAAAAAAAAGCCCGTGGATGGCATCTGACTCCAGCAGGGACTCCACAAATGCTAGCTGTCATCAGAACACTTCTGATTCATCAGTTTTATAATTTGTTTGAACAAAAATTTTCATGGCCTGCGTGGTGTCTAAAGATAGCATTTTGGCCAGGCGCAGTGGCTCACGCCTGTAATCCCAGCACTTTGAGGGGCCGAGGCTGGTGGATCACCTGAGGTCAGGAGTTTGATACCAGCCTGGCCAACATGGTGAAACCCCATCTCTACTAAAAATACAAAAAAATTAGCCGGGCATGGTGGTGGGCGCCTATAATATCAGCCACTCAGGAGGCTGAGGCAGGGGAATCACTTGAACCAGGGGGCAGAGGTTGCAGTGAGCCAAGATCGTGCCACTGCACTCCAGCCTGGGCAACAAGGGCAAAACCCCGTCTCAAAAAAAAAAAAAAAAAAAAAAAAAAAGATAGCATTTTACAGGTTGGAATGAGTGAAAGCTGTTTTGGTTACAAATATCAATCTCCAGCTCAAAAATGGCTTGAGAAAAAAAAAAAAAAGGATACCCCAGATGCTGGAACGCATCACACTGTCCTTCCTTCCTGATTTGTAATAACTTTTCTTCAATCAACTTTCTTTCATCCATCCGGGCTGGTAAAGGAATGAAATCATTAAGTGTCTTTCAAGAGACTCCTAACGCCTTATATTTGGTTTTAATCTTGAAACAAATGTGTTGATGATGCTGCGGACTCAATGCTGAATCATATATAAGTCCCTGCCAGCCCTGTAAACAATCTGTTTTACAGGAAGAAAAAATATCCTACTGAATGAAAAACAGGATTTGCTATTACTGTTTTTTTTTCATAGTCCCACCACAGAAAATAGAAATTTAAAAAGATATTTAGGCCGGGCGCGGTGGCTCATGCCTATAATCCCAGCACTTTGGGAGGCCAAAGTGGGTGAATCACTTGAGGGTAGGAGTTCAAGACCAGCCTGGCCAATATGCTGAAACCGCCCCCCCACCCCACCATTAAAAATTCAAAAAAATTAGCTGGGCCTGGTGGCAGCTGCCTGTAATCCCAGCTACTCGGGAGACTGAGGTGGGAGAATCACTTGAACCTGAGAGGTGGAGGTTTCAGAGAGCCAAGATCGTGCAACTGCACTCCAGCCTGGGTGACAGACTGAAACTTCATCTCAATAAATAAATAAATAAATAAATAAATAAATGTTTAAAAAGATATATTAAAAAAATTTTTTTTGATGCGGAGTCTCGCTCTGTCGCCCAGGCTGGAGTGCAGTGGTGTGATCTCGGCTCACTGCAAGCTCCGCCTCCTGGGTTCATGCCACTCTTCTTCCTCAGCCTCCTGAGTAGCTGGGACTACAGGTGCCCACCACCACGCCCAGCTAATTTTTTGTATTTTTAGTAGAGACGGGGTTTCACCGTGTTAGCCAGGATGGTCTACGATCTCCTGACCTCAGGTGATCCACCAACCTCGGCCTCCCAAAGTGCTGGGATTACAGGCGTGAGCCACCACGCCCGGCCCTGAGCCACCACGCCAGGCCCTCAAAATATTTTTAATGAGATGTGAGCCTAAGGCTCACTGTGGGAATTTATATATGTGAAGTGCACGGAACACTGCATAACTTTTGTTGTTTGACTTAATGAAATGCTCCAGAAGTAGTTTTTTTTTTAAAAAAAGGAGAAGGGATGGATGACTTGTGCATCTGAAATTGTCAGGGGAAGTTGGCTTCAGGTGTGGCTGGATCCAGGCACTCAAATTAGGTTATCAGAAATGCCTCTCAGCCGGGTGTGGTTGCTCACACCTGTAATCCCAGCACTTTGGGAGGCCGAGGCGAGTGGATCACTTGAGGTGGAGTTTGAGACCAGCCTGGGCAACATGGTGAAACTCCATCTCTACTAAGTATACAAAAATTAGCCAAACATTGTGGCATACCCCTGTAATCCCAGCTACTCCAGAGGCTGAGGCAGGAGAATTGTTTGAACCTGGGAGGCAGAGGTTGCACTGAGCCAAGATCATGCCACTGCACTCCAGCCTGGGCGACAGAGTGAGATGCCATCTAAAAAAAAAAAAAAAAGAAAGAAAAGAAAGAAATTAGCCAGGCATGGTGGTTCATGCCTGTAGACCCAGCTACTCAGGAGGCTGAAGGCAGGAGGATCGCTTGAACCCAGGGGGCGGAGGTTGCAGTGAGCCGAGATTGTGCCATTGCACAGCCTGGGTGACAGAGTGAGACTCTGTCTCAAAAATGATGTTGTTGATAATAATAATAATAATAAAAGAAAAAAGAAACAGAAATGCTTGTCACTTCACCTGTTCATCTGCTGTTCCCTGAATGGGCTTCTCTCTGAGAAAGATGCCTCTATCTGTAAGCACTTTTGACACGATGCCTGGAGCCTTGAGTCTTTGCACAGGCCAACAGAAATATTAAAGACCTAGGGAATAAGATATCCTCATTCTAAAATACAAGAACAATTACAAAAGGAAAAAAAAGGTAACATTATGTCAGCCTCACTAAGCGTAAAATTGAGAATTCATTCACCTCCCATTTAGATTGTTTTTGAGGCTAGGTGACCTCATTCAGCAAGAATTCCCAAGCACATCCAACCAATCATCCATTCATCGCTAGCTAGAACTAAAAGAATAATTACAAAATCCCTTTCAAAATGTTTCCAGCCAAAAAAAAAAAAAAAGTCCTTGGCCTTGCTTTCACATGTGGGACATCATGCAGTGTGATATCTTCCAAAGCAATAGTACAGAGCCAGAGAACGCGTATAAACAGCCTGGAAAGTGCCAAAAAAAAAAGTCCCCCATGTGTTCTGGGCCCCTCTCCTACCAATACCCTAGACGCTGCAGGAAAATCTATCTGTCCCAGTAGCCCAGGCTAAAGTCTCAGGGCTGACTCTGATAGGCTGAGCTTGGGCCATGTAATATTCCTCCACCAATCACTAACATCAGGGGAAGCAATTAATGCTCTGATTGGCTGAGCTTGGTCCAATGAGGACATCATTGATGCCAAAGTGGCTTAGTGATCCCAAATCCACTCTGCAGTGTAGAGATAGGGACCAAACCAGGGATTCTCCACTGAGACTGATTCTGGCCTCAGAGGAACTTTTGTCACTGCCTGGAGACATTTTTGGTGGTCGCCACAGAGTTGAGGGTGGGATGCTACTGACATCTAGTGGGTAAAAGCTGCTAAACGTCCTACGATGCACCACCACTAAGAATGGTGCCAACTGTATGCTGGAGAGGCTGATGGAGGGCTAGCTAGCTCAGGTCCTCAAAGTCCCTTCTTTTTTTTTTTTTTTTTTCTCTGAGATGGAGTCTTGCTCTGTTGCCCAGGCTGAAGTGCAGTAGAGTGATCCCAGCTCACTGCAACCACCACCTCCCAGATTCAAGCGATTCTCCTCCCTCAGCCTCCCAAGTACCTGGGATTACAGGAGCCCACCAGCACGCCCAGCTAATTTTTGTATTTTTAGCAGAGACGGGGTTTCATCATGTTGGCCAGGCTGGTCTCAAACTCCTGGCCTCAAGTGATCCGCCCACTTCGGCCTCCCAAAGTGCTGGGGTTACTGGCGTGAGCCACCACGCCCGGTCCCTCAAGGTCCCTTCTTATTCACATTGGCTAACTGAGGCCAGAGAGGGGTTGTGAATCTCTCAATGCCCCCCAAGCCTGGGGCGTGGCAAACCTGTGGGCACCAGAGAGTAGAGAGCAGAGGCTGGCTCCTCCACCTTGACCCTCACCCCCACCCCAGGCAGAGACAGACAGAGATGCAGGACCCTGAGAGCTGAGTTGCTGGGGGTGTTTCTGGTTTTGTTTGTTTAGAGACAGGGTCTTGCTATGTAGCCCAGGCTGGACTTGAACTCCTGGCTCAAGCAATCCTCCTGCCTCAGTCTCCCAATCCATGTAGCTGGGACTACAGGTGTACACCACCATACCCAGTTAAGTTGCAGTTTCACTGTGGCAAAGTACACATAACAAAAACATTACCATTTTAGGCCGGACGCGGTGGCTCACGCCTGTAATCCCAGCACTTTGGGAGACCGAGGCGGGCAGATCACGAGGTCAGGAGATCGAGACCATCCTGGCTAACAAGGTGAAACCCCATCTCTACTAAAAATACAAAAATTAGCCGGGTGTGGTGGCGGGCGGCTGTAGTCCCAGCTACTCGGGAGGCTGAGGCAGGAGAATGGCGTGAACCCGGGAGGCAGAGCTTGCAGTGAGCCGAGATTGCGCCACTGCACTCCAGCCTGGGTGACAGAGCGAGATTCCATCTCAAAAAAAAAAAAAAAAAAAAAATACCATTTTAACCAGTGTATTTTATTTCCATTTTTTGAGACAGGGTCTCGCTGTGTCACCCAGGCTGGAGTGCAGTGGTGTGATCATAGCTCACTGCAGCCTCCATGTCCTAGGCTCAAGCAATTCTTCTGCCTCAGCCCCGCAGCTAGCTGGGACCGTAGGCAAGCACTGCCATTCCTCGATAGTTTCTTATTTTTTGTAGGGACTGGTCTCCCTATGTCACCTGAGCTGGCGTCGAACTCCTGGCCTCAAGCAACCTCTCACCTCGGCTTCCAAAAGTGCTGGGATTACAGGTGTGAGCCACCTCGCCCAGCCGTTACCCACTTTAAAGTGAACAGTTCAGTGGGATTGAGCACATTCACGGTCTTAGGCAACGATCGCTACTATCTGGTTCCAGAATATTTTCATCACCCAACAGGAAACCCTGTCTCCATTAGCAATCACTCCCCATTGCCCCTTCCTCATCCCTGGAAGCCACTAATCTACTGTCTGTCTCTATGGATTTGCTTGTATTTTTTTTTTTTTCTTTTTTCTCGAGACAGCGTCTTGCTCTGTTGCCCAGGGTAGAGGGTAGCGGCGCGATCTCGGCTCACTGCAATCTCCACCTCCCAGATTCAAGCGATTCTCCTGCCTCAGCCTCCCAAGTAGCTGGGATTACAGGCACGTGCCACCACACCTGGCTACTTTTTATATTTTTGGTAGAGACAGGGTTTCACCATGTTGGCCAGGCTGGTCTCCAACACCTGACTTCAGGTGATCCACCCACCTCGGCCTCCCAAAGTGCTGGGATTACAAGCATGAGCCACTGCGCCCGGCCAGGATTTGCCTGTTCTGGACATTTCAGATCAATGACACCTCACACTCTGTGGCTATTTGCATCTGGCTTCTCTCACTCAGAACGATGTTTTCCTGGTTCATCCACATTGTAGAATGGAGCGGTGCCTCATTCCTTACATGCTGCATCATATTCCCTCATATGGGTATTCCACCAACAGGGAGGCTTTTTTTTTTTTTTTGAGATGGAGTCTCGCTCTGTCACCCAGGCTGGAGTGCAGTGGCGTGATCTCGGCTCGCTGCAAGCTCCGCCTCCCAGGTTCACGCCATTCTCCTGCCTCAGCCTCCTGAATAGCTGGGACTGCAGGCGCCCGCCACCACGATCGGCTAATTTTTTGTATTTTTAGCAGAGATGAGGTTTCACCGTGTTAGCCAGGATGGTCTCGATCTCCTGACCTTGTGATCCGCCCACGTCGGCCTCCCAAAGTGCTGGGATTACAGGTGTGAGCCACCGTGCCCGGCAAGGGAGGCTTCTTAAGAGATAGAGCAGGTGTCGGGCGCAGTGGCTAATGCCTGTAATCCCAGCACTTTGGGAGGCCGAGGCAGGTGGATCACCTGAGGTCAGGAGTTCGAGACCAGCCTGACCAACATGGTGAAACCCCTGTCTCTACTAAAAATACAAAATTAGCCAGGCATGGTGGTGCATGCCTATAATCCCAGCTACTCAAGAGGCTGAGGCAGGAGAATTGCTTGAACCCGAGAGGCAGAGGTTGCAGTGAGCTGAGATTGTGCCACTGCACTCCAGCCTCGGCAACAAGAGCAAAACTCAGTCTCAAAAAAAAAAAAAAAAAAAGATAGAGCAGGTAGGTCCTGTTCCTCCCCAGCTCCAAAATCCCCCTACTCATTGCTCTTAGAAGAAAACCCGGTAGGACACAGTGGCTCACGCCTGTAATCCCAGCCCTCTTGGCAGGCCAAGGCTAGAGGACCACTTGCGCTCAGGAATTGGAGACCAGCCTGGGCAACAAGGCGAAACCCCGTTTCTACTAAAAATACAAAAATCAGGCTGGGCCCAGTGGCTCATGCCTGTAATCCCAGCAGTTTGGAAGGCCAAGGTGGGCGGATCACCTGAGGTCAGGAGTTCAAGACCAGCCTGGCCAACATAGTGAAACCCTGTCTCTACTAAAAATACAAAAATTAGCTGGCGTGGTGGTGGGTGCCTATAATCCCAGCTACTTGGGAGGCTGAGGCATGAGAATCGCTTGAACCCGGGAAGCAGAGGTTGCAGTGAACAGAGGTCACACCACTGTGCTCCAGCCTGGGTGACAGAGCAAGATTCTGTCTCAAAAAAAAAAAAAAAAAAAATTAGCCAGGCATGGTGGCATGCACCTGTAGTCCCACCTACTCAGGAGGCTGAGGTGGGAGAATCACCTGAGCCTGGGGAGGTTGAGGCAGCAGTGAGCTGTAGCCGAGCCACTGCCTTCCAACCTGGGTGACAGAGCAAGACCCTGTCTCAAAAAAAAAAAAAGAAGAACAAGAACAAGAACAAGAAGAAAAAGAAGAAGAAGGAGAAGAAGGAGAAGACCCACACCCCTTTCTGTGGCCCCCACCCTCATCTGGTCCCCAACATCCACTCCTTCCTTAACTCCTCCATCTCTCCCCCACCTCTCCACCTTTCTGCTCCAGCTACACAACCCATTTTTCTTTTTTCTTTTCTTTTTGTTCAGACTGAGTCTCACTCTGTCACCCAGGCTGGAGTGCAGTGGTGCGATCTCGGCTCACTGCAGCCTCCATCTCCCAGGCTCAAGCAATTCTCCTGCTTCAGCCTCCTGAGGAGCTGGGATTACAGGCGCCCGCCACGATGCCCAGCTAATTTTTGTATTTTTTGTAGAGACAGGGTTTTACCATGTTGCACAGGCTGGTTTCAAACTCCTGACCTCAAGTGATCCACCTGCCTCAGCCTCCCAAAGTGTTAGGATTATAGGCGTGAGCCACTGAGCCCGGCCAGAACCCGTTTTGCTTTTTTCTGAGCCTCGGACACTCTTGGGTGTTTCCACCTCAGGACCTCTGCACTTGCCATGTCCCTGCAGCTGTCATCCTCCTCAGCTCTCCCAAAAACTGCTGCTTCTTCCCCAGGGTCTCAGCTCAAATAGCTCCTCCTCAGGGAAGCCCTGGCCCACAGCTGCTGAAATTAGTCTCTTTCTGTTGTCTCCTTCGGAGGCAGCACTGTGCTTCAGAGCACAGACTCTGGAGCCCACCAGCCTGGGTTAAAATCCCACCTCTGTCACTTCCTGGCTGTGTGGCTTTGAGGAGTCCCCTAACCTCTCTGGGCCCCAGCTTTCTTCTCTGTAAAATGGATGTGATGATGATGCACGAGTGGGATGTGGGAGGATTAAATGCCTATTCTATGTGCCTGTCATGTGGCAGGGCTTTTCGTAATTTCTCCCTGTGTGCAAGAACTCCCTGAGGGCTTGGAGGGCAAATGTTTGTTGACTGAATAAATGAGAGTCGTTTCCTTCCCTAGCACTGTCCATCTATGCCTTGCTACTTTTCGAGATCGAGACAGGCGCAGCAGCTGCTTCCATCCTCGGCTCGGGCACCCTGGTTCTGGTGGCTGTGCTGACCCACACTCTCCTCCGGGCTGCCCGGGCTGCCCGCCGTGGGCTCCATGAGTTGTCCCCGCCATCCTTTGAAGACGACCTCGCCCGCCCTGCCGAAGTCTCCAAGGCCAGCCCCAGAGCTCAGCCTCAGCAGGGTATCCATCGTCGGACCCCCTATTCAACCTGTCCAGAGCCTGGGGACCCCTTTGGGTCCATGGCCACTGCCACAGCACCTGCAGCCCTGGAGGGAGGCTGGGAGAGCAGCCTGCCTGCATCCAGAATGCACCGGACACTGTCGGCTGGCCTGGGGCACTGGGACGGGGTTACGCACGAGATGCGTCGAATGCTGGGCCACAGACCAGGGAGCATGGGGAAGGACTCCACACTGGTGTGAGCCCAGGGATGAGGAATAGAGACCTGGTGTAAGAAAAGGATACCATAGAGATAGGTTCGGGTTCAGCTGCAGTAGCAGTAGGACTTGATTTTTCTCTCATTTTATTGCATCCTTGGCTTTTGTCCTCAAGGTTGCCTCGTGGCACAAAATAATTGCCAGAGCTCCAGCCTTCACCTCCTCATTCTGAGGGAAAGTCAGAGGCCAGCGCTGGCTAGGTGTCTCCTGGAAGTCTTCCCAGGAAGCCTCGAAACCCTTCTTTTTATATCCCACTGGCCAGAACAGAGCGAAATGGCCATACCTTGCTGCAGGGGAGGCTGGGAAATGTGGCTGTCCAGATGGATGAGATTCTGTTACAGGCATAAGGGGAGCGGGGGGCTTAGGCAGTGATTCTCTAAGTGTCTCCATCCATTTCACAGATGAGGAAACGGAGGCCCCAAGAGAGGCAGTGACTCACCAGGGGGCCCACGGCCAGGACTGAGCACCAGAGCCAGGATTCTCACCTGAACCCCATAATCTCCATGCTGCTGATGTGCAAGTCTCAGACTCTGCAAAATCCACTGCACCCCCTCGGGCTGTGAACATTTCAAATCCATGTGTGCCAAGCTTGGAGCAGCCCAGGGCCAGGGGCACGGCTGGAGAGCTGGACCCAGGTTCCTGGCTGTGGACCCATGGCTGAGGGCTTAGCTGCTTTGTGCCTCAGTTTCCTCATCTGTAATATGGGGACACGAAGTGGCCCTGTCTCCAAGGGCTCTGACAAGACACATGACTTCATGTGAGGCATTCCGGGGACCCCCACACAATAGGTCCTCAATGTGTGTTAATCGTTCTCATGCTGCTGCTGCTTTTGGGGTGTAGGCATGGGTAGTTTCTGGGGCTCAAGGAAATAACAGAGGGGTCTCCAAAGGTCTCCTGTCTTGCACAACCCACAAGTAAACTCTGATATTCACTATCTGTGTGTTACTCAATGTTCAATTGTGCTGCGTGGCCAAGCCCAGGCCCATGGGTGGGACTTGGGTCGGGGGAAGGAAGGGCAAAAGTGAGAGCCAGGCCATGCCCCTTGTAGTCCCCAGGCTGGGACGCATGCTCCACCAGTTAGTTTTGTTTGGTTTTGGTTTTGGTTTGAGACAGAGTCTTGCTCTGTCTCCCAGGCTGGAGTGCAGTGGCACAATCTCGGCTCACTGCAACCTCCGTCTCCCAAGTTCAAGCGATTCTCCGGCCTCAGCCTCCTGAGTAGCTGGGATTACAGGCACCCACCACCATGCCTGGCTAATTTTTATATGTTTAGTAGAGACGGGTTCACCATGTTGGCCAGGCTGGTCTCGAACTCCTGACCTCAAGTGATCCCCTGCCTCGGCCTCCCAAAGTGCTGGAATTACAGGTGTGAGCCACTGCTCCTGGCCTTTTTAAAATTTTTTTGAGATGGAGTTTTGCTCTTGTGGCCCAGGCTGCAGTGCAATGGCCCAATCTTGGCTCATTGCCACCTCCGTCTCCCGGGTTCAAGCGATTTTCCTGCCTCAGCCTCCCAAGTAACTGGGACTACAGGAAAGGGCCACCATGCCCGGCTAGTTTTTACATTTTTTGTTTGTTTGCTTTTGAGACAGAGTCTCACTCTGTCGCCTAGGCTGGAGTGCAGTGGCGCGATCTTGGCTCACTGCAACCTCCGCCTCCCTGTTTTAAGTGATTCTCCTGCCTCAGCCTCCCAAGTAGCTGGGACTACAGGCAAGGGCCATCATGCCTGGATAGTTTTTACATTTTTAGTAGAGATGGTGATTTACCATGTTGGCCAGCTGGTCTCGAACTCCTGACCTCAAATGATCCATCCACCTTGGCCCCTCAAAGTGCTACAGGCGTGAGCCACCACGCCTGGCCTGAATTGTATACTTCTAAATGGTTAATTTTATGTTAATGTGATTTTTCACCTCAACACATTTTTAATTTTTTTTTTTTTTTTAAAGAGAGGGGTTTGCTCTATCACCCAGGCTGGAATGCAGTGTTGTGATCATAGCTCATTGCAGCCTCAAACTCCTGGGCTCAAGTGATCCTCCTGACTCAGCATCCAGAGTAGCTGGGACTGCAGGCATGCACCACCACACCTGGTTAATCTTTGTATTTTTTATTTTTGTAGAGATGGTGTTTTGCTATATTGCCCAGGCTGGTCTCGAACTCCCAGGCTCAAACAATTCTACCACAGCCACCCAGTAGCTGGGATTACAGGGGTGTGCCACCATGCTCCCTCCCACACACACAAAAATAAAGCAAGGCCGGCGCAGTGGCTCATGCCTGTAATCCCAGCACTTTGGGAGGCCACGGTGGGCAGATCACGAGGTCAGGAGTTCAAGACCAGCCTGGCCAACTTGGTGAAACCCTGTCTCTACTAAAAATACAAAAATTAGATGGGCATGGTGACGCATGCCAGTAATCCCAGCTACTTGGGAGGCTGAAGCGGGAGAATCGCTTGAACCGGGACCCAGGAGGTGGAGGCTGCAGTGAGCTGAGATTGTGCCACTGCCCTCCAGTCTGGGCTACAGAGCAAGACTCCGTCCCCCACAAAAAAAAAAAAAAAAATACAGAAAATTAGCTGGACATGGTGGTGGGTGCCTGTAATCCCAGCTACTCGGGACGCTGAGGCAGGAGAATCACTTAAGCCAGGGAGGCGGAGGTTGCAGTGAGCCAAGACCGCACCACTCCTCTCCAGCCTGGGCACAAAGCGAGACTCCGTCTCAAAAAATAAATAAATAAAAATAAATAAAAAATTGCACCCTGGGCACCTCAGCAACCTCACCCTAGGCTGGTCCCTGCTCTTCCTCCTGATACCTCAAACTTGAACCTTGGAAATGATAAGGTTCCAACTTGGGAGGCCCGGCTGAAAACCGCCCCCTCGTCTGCACTGCCTGGAAGGGGAGCTGAGTTACCGAGCATCTTCCTATCTCAGCCAGAATCAGGTGAGGCGCAGGGCAAGGCTGGTCCTGGGGCTGCAGCCAAAACCTCCAGACTCCAGGCACCTGATATGGGTTTGGCGTGCGGCTTTCAGAGTGTTCCGGGAGCTGGGCAGACCTGCCTTAAGGAACAGTAATGCAAACTCAGTTTCGTTCTTTACAAACGGAGGTGATCTCCCCTACCCAACAAGCCATAGGCACAAGGCCCCAGTCGAAAAGGGTAGAAATGTCTCCATTAATTCCACAGGCCTCGCAAACACAAGCTCTGTCAGCATTCTGGTATGTTCTAGGGTGTGGACAGTATCTGTCAAAGATGTTCTCTTGCAAGAGGATCACCTGAGGCCAGGAGTTCAAGACCAGCCTGGGCAACATAGGGAGACTCCAGCTCTACAAAAAAATTAAAAATTAGCCAGGCATGGTGGTGCACACCTGTGGTCCCAGCTACTTGAGAGGCTGAGGCAAGAAGATCAGCAGTGATTGAACCACTACGATCCAGCCTGGGCAACAGAGCAAGACCCTATCTGTTTAAAAGAAAAGTAGGCAGGGCACAGTGGCTCACTCCTATAATCCTAGCACTTTGGGAGGCCAAGGCAGTCGGATTGCTTGAGGCTAGGAGTTCAAGACCAGCCTGGCCAACATGGCAAAACCCCATCTCTACTAAAAATACAAAAATTAGCTGGTCATGGCCAGGCGCTGTGGCTCACACCTGTAATCCCAACACTTTGGGAGGCTGAACCGGGCAGATCACTTGAAGTCGGGAGTTCAAGACCAGCCTGGCCAACAAGGTGAAACACCGTCTCTACTAAAAATACAAAGAAAGAAAGAAAGAGAGAGAGAGAGGGAGGGAGGGAGGGAGGAAGGAAAAGAAAGGAAAGAAAAGGAAAAAAGAGATGAAAGAAAGGAAAGGAAAGAAAGGAAAGGAAGAAAGAAAGGAAGAAAGGAAGAAATTAGGCTGGGCGCCGTGGCTCACGCCTGTAATCCCAGCACTTGTGGGAGGCTGAGGCGGGCAGATCACGAGGTCAGGAGATTGAGACCATCCTGGCTAATGCGGTGAAACCTCATCTCTACTAAATACACACACACACACAAATTAGCTGGCCATGGTGGCGGACGCCTGTAGTCCCAGCTACTTGAGAGGCTGAGGCAGGAGAATGGCATGAACCCAAAAGGCGGAGCTTGCAGTGAGCCAAGATTGCGCCACTGCACTCCAGCCTGGGCGACAGAGCGAGACTCCATGTCAAAAAAAAAAGAAATTAGCCGGGGGTGGTGGTGGGCGCCTGTAGTCCCAGCTACTCAGGAGGCTGAGGCAGGAGAATCACTTGAACCCCAGAGATGGAAGTTGCAGGGAACCACAATCACACCACTGCACTCCAGACTGGGTGACAGAGGGAGACTCTGTCTTGGAAAAAAAAAAAAATACTATAGAGACTGGGGTCTCCCTATGTTGCCCAGGCTGGCCTCAAACTCCTGGACTCAAGTGATCCTCCCACCTCAGCTTCCCAAAGTGATGGGATTACAGGGCTGAGCCACAGAGCCCAGCCCCTCTGCCACTTTTGAATACAGGAAGTATAGGGTTTGCCACTAGCAGAGGCCACTCACGGGGAGTCACATCATCCATTCTGCCTGGATGTCAGGCTGCAGAAACCTTCCACCTTCAAAGGCCTGTCAGAGTCAAGAGGTGTTTCTTCAAGAGTCATCAGGGGCAGCTGAGAGACACGGGTCCTATGCATTCTCCCTTACACGTATCCCATGAGATGAGGAATGTTGAGGTTCCCATTGTAAAGATGGAGAAACTGAGGCGCAGAGAAGTTTAAGCCGCAGCTCAAGGTCAGCAGCTATTGAGTAGAGGAGCTGGGATCACGTCTATCCAGAAATGCCACTCTCAGTACCCATGCCCCTGTGGAGCCTGGGAGTAAGCAATAGGAGAGAAACCCACCTGGGCAACATAGCAAGACCCCATCTCTACAAAAGTAAAAATGTAGCCAAGTGTGGTGGCACACACCTATAGTTCCAGCTACTAGGGAGACTGAGATGGGAGGATAGATTGTGCCCAGGAGGTCAAGGCTGCGGTGAGCCATGATTGCACCACCGCACTCCAGCTTGGGTAACAGAGTGAGACCTTGTCTCAAGAAAAGAGAAATGGCCAGGCATGGTGGCTCACACCTGTAATCCCAGCACTTTGGGAGGTCAATGTGAGCAGATCGCTTGAGGTCAGCTGTTCCAGACCAGCCTGACCAACACAGTAAAACCTCATATCTACTAAAAATACAAAAATTAGGCCAGCATGTTGGCTCATGCCTGTAATCCCAGAACTTTGGGAGACCGAGGCGGGTGGATCACTTGAGGCCAGGAGTTCAAGATCAGCCTGGCCAACGTGGTGAAACCCCATCTCTACTAAAAATACAGAAATAAGGACCGGGCACGGTGGCTCACACCTGTAATCCCAACACTTTGGGAGGCCGAGGTGGGCGGATCACTTGAGGTCAGGAGTTCGAGACCAGCCTGACCAACATGGTGAAACCCCATCTCTACCAAAAATACAAAAATTAGCCGAGCGTGGTGGTGGGCGCCTGTAATCCCAGCTACTAGGGAGGCTGAGGCAGGAGAATCGCTTGAACCCAGGAGGCAGAGGTTGCAGTGAGCTGAGACTGCACCATCACACTCCAGCCTGGGCAACAAGAATGAAACTCCATCTCAAAAACAAACAAACAAAAAATTTAGCTGGGCGTGGTGGTGGGCACTTGTAGTCCCAGCTACTTGGGAGGCTGAGTCACGAGAATTGCTTGAACCTGGGAGATGGAGGTTGCAGTGGGCCGACATCGCTCCACTGCACTCCAGCCTGGCGACAGAGTGAGACTC
The DNA here is from genome assembly GCF_000001405.40 of Homo sapiens. Lineage (NCBI taxonomy): Eukaryota > Metazoa > Chordata > Mammalia > Primates > Hominidae > Homo > Homo sapiens. The sequence goes on along the minus strand of NC_000019.10, from coordinate 17,430,662 downwards.
CGTCTCAAAAAAAAAAAAAAAAAAAAAAAAACCAAAAACTACAAAAATTAGCTGGGTGTAGTGGTTCATGCTTGTAATCCCAGCTACTCAGGAGGCTGAGGCAGGAGAATCACTTGAACCCGGGAGGTGGAGGTTGCAGTGAGCTGCCGAGATCGCACCACTGCACTCCAGCCTGGGTCACAGAGTGAGACCCGGTCTCAAAAAATAATAATAATAATAAAAGAAGAGAAGGATAGGCACGGATCCTGGACTTAGTGCTGTGGTTCCCAGGGCCCTCAGCTCCTTCCTCAGTAGCCCAAGATGATGTAAGCTCAGCCCAGAAATGTTAGGATTGATGATACCCAAGTCAGAAGCAGGTGGGGTAGGCTCCATCGGGCCCCTCTAACCCTTGCGTGATGCAGTCCCCAGGCCTGCCTGGGCTCAGAGGACTGGGATTTTGCAGGGTGAGTGGCCCTGTCATCAGTGACAATTGGTCTAGTTGGACCCAAGGCCAGGATGGATCATCCTCAGGCCCCTGGTCACACACAGACTCCCTGAAATGAGATCTGGGGCTGCTTTTGGGGCAGCTGAGAAGGACGGCAGAGAGGACAAACGGCATTTGCTTTCTGGCTGGATCGGGTTCTGTGGCTGGCGCCAGAGGAGCCTGGGCGAGACCTGGCAGATGATCCGTGTGCCGGGAGCCAGGAGATGCAGGCAGGTGCCTTAGCATCAGAGACCTAGTTTTTCCAAGGCAGCTGAAGAGTTTGGGGAAAGGGCGTACGTTTTGCATCATCCCCGCTCACCTCCCCTTCCAGGAGAACGCACTGTCCCCCGTCTCAGATTCCCAGGGCCAGGCCAGGTCTCCGCCCCGACAAAGACTCTCTTCTTGGCCAAACTTGAGTCAGAGTCCTCTGAAATCTCTTCTGCATTGGGCCGTGACCTTGGCTCCCATCCTGTCTTTGATCTGTGTCGCCCAGTTTTAGCAAGAATCCTGCTAAGTCAGTTTCTTGATAGCTGATCGCCCTGGCCTGGCTTCAGCAAGGATCCTATTAAGAGAGTTTAAGGTGACTCCCCAAGCCTTTATAATTTTCTATCCACTGACCCCCCCTTGCCCTGCTCCGTGGCTATAAATCCCCCCTTGGTGACAACTTCGTGGATTCCGAGTTGAGCTCAATCTTCCATGCAGTAGTCTTGAATAAAGCCTTGTTTACTTTTAACAATCATCTGAATTATATATGTGTGTGGATTTTTCTTTTTTCTTTTTTTTTTTTTAAGAGGGAGTCTCACTCTGTTGCCCAGGCTGGAGTGCAGTGATGTGATCTCAGCTTACTGCAACCTCTGCCTCCCAGGTTCAAGCAATTCTCCTGCCTCAGCCTCCCGAGTAGCTGGGACTACGGGCACCCACGACCATGCCCGGCTAATTTTTTTTTTTTTTTTTTTTTGTATATTTAGTAGAGATGGGATTTCACCATGTTGGCCAGGCTGGTCTTGAACTCCTGACCTCGTGATCCGCCCACCTTGGCCTCTCAAAGTGCTGGGATTACGGGCGTGAGCCACCATGCCCGATCATGTGTGTTTTTTTCGTAGAGATGGTGTTTCACTGCTGCCCAGGCTGCCCTTAAACTCCTGAGCTCAACAGATCCTCCCAGCTTGGCCTCCCAAAGTGCTGGGATTACAGGTGTGAGCCACCGCTGCACCCAGTCCCAAATTTTTTTTTTCTTTTTTTTTGAGACAGGGTCTTGCTCTGTCACCCAGCCAGGAGTGCAGTTATGCAATCATAGCTCACTGCAGCCTTCACCTCCCAGACTCAGGCGATCCTCCCACCTCAGCCTCTCGAGTAGCAGGGACTACACAGGCAGGTATCACTATGCCCGGCTAATTTTTAATTTGTACAGACAGGGCCTTGCTGTGTTGCCCAGGCTGGTCTCAAACTCCCGGGGGCTCAAGTGATCCTCTCGCCTCAGCCTCCGATAGTGCTGGCATTACAGGCGTGAGCCACCATGGCTGGCCAACTTTAATTATTTAAAAGCTTGGATGTTTCTTTAGACAACACCGTCCTCACTGTGAGAAAATGACCCTCCCATTAGGCCAGTTTCTGTACCACTACAACTAACAAAGTCTATTGCCGCTAAGAAATAAGCCTTAGCTTTGCTATTTATTTATTCATTTACTTAGAGATAGGGTTTTGCTCTGCACCCAGGCTGTTTTTTTTTTTTTTTTTTTGCAGACAGAGTTTCGCTCTTGTTGCCAAGGCTGGAGTGCAATGGTGCGATCTTGGCTCACCACAACCTCTGCCTCCTGGGTTCAAGCGATTCTCCTGCCTCAGCCTCCTGAATAGCTGGGATTACAGGCATGCGCCACCACGCCCCGCTAATTTTGCATTTTTAGTAGAGACGGGGGTTTCTCCATGTTGGTCAGGCTGGTCTTGAACTCCCGACCTCAGGTGATCCGTCCGCCTCGGCCTCCCAAAGTGCTGGGATTACAGGCGTGAGACACCGTGCCCTGCCTTACTTATTTATTTATTTAGAGACAGGGTCTCACTCTGTCACACAGGCTGGAGTGCAGTGGCGCAATCATAGCAAACTGCAGCCTCGACCTCCTGGCCTCAAGCGATCCTCGTGCCTCAGCCCCCAAAAGTGCTGGGATTACAGATGTGAGACTCCAAGTATGACAGCCTTAGTTCTTCTTTTTCTTTTTGAGATGGAGTTTCACTCTTGTTGCCAAAGCTGGAGTGCAATGGTGCAATCTTGGCTCACTGCAACCTTGACCTCCCGGGTTCAAGCGATTCTCCTGCCTCAGCCTCCCAAGCAGCTAGGATTACAGGCGTGTGCCACCACACGCAGCTAATTTTTATATTTTTAGTAGAAACAGGGTTTCACTACGTTGGCCAGGCTGGTCTCGAACTCCTGACCTCAGGTGATCTGCCTGCCTCGGCCTCCCAAAGTGCTGGGATTACAGGTATCAGCCATCATGCCTGGCCAGCTTTTCTAAACCACAGAGATCTGGGGATGTTTCCAACTGCAGCAGAATGTGGGCCACCACAAGACTACAACAGCCCAGAGGAGAAACAGCAGCATAGCAGCCATCGTACACGTCCATGGGCATGCACTTATGGGAGAAGGAAGGTGTGAGTTTAGGGTGGTGAATTTCTTCTCTTTTTTTTTTTTTTTTTTTTGAAATGGAGTTTCACTCTTGTTGCACAGCCTGGAGTGCAGTGGCACAATCTCAGCTCACTGCAACCTCCACCCACCAGGGTTCAAGCGATTCTGCTGCCTCAGTGTCCCAAGTAGCTGGGATAACAGGCACCTGCCACCAAGCCTGGCTAATTCTGTATTTTTGGTAGAGATGGGGTTTCACTATGTTGGCCAGGCTGGTCTCGAACTCCTGACCTCAGGTGATCCACCCACCTCGGCCTCCCAAAGTGCTGGGATTACAAGCATGAGCCACTGTGCCTGGCCATGTTCTTGTGGTTTTTGTTGGTGATTTTGCCATTGAAATTCCCCCAGACACCGAAATGCTGTCCAGGCTTCCTAAGTACCAAAAGGCTGCAATGGCTGGGCTCGGCGGCTCATGCCTGTAATCCCAGCACATTGGGAGCCGAGGCAGGAGGACTGCCCAAGGCCAGGAGTTCAAGACCAGCCTGGGCAATATAGTGAGACCCCCATCAGTACAAAAAAAATTTTAAATTAGCCCAGTGTAGCCTGTAGTCCCAGCTACTCAGGAGGCTGAGATTGGAGGATCACCTGAGCCCGGGAGGTCAAGGCTGCAGTGAGCTATGATCATGCCAAAAATAAAATACTTAAAAAAAAAAAAGTCTGTGATGCACCTCATGGAGAAAATCCATTATAGAGAAGCTTTATGCAGACGTGAGTTTCGGTGCTGTTGGCTGTGAGTTCAATGTAAATGAATCCACCATAGATATTAAATAAGGTGTTTTTAAACAAATGTACATAAAACAAGGTTGTATGAATTGGTGGATGAAAATGGTGTGGCCTGGGCCGGGCGCAGTGGCTCACACCTGTAATCCTAGCACTTTGGGAGGCCAAGGCGGGGGATCACTTGAGGTCAGGACTTTGAGACCAGCCTGGCCAACAAGGTGAAACGCTGTCTCTACTAAAAATACAAAATACAAATTAGCTGGTTATGGTGGCCCAAGCCTGTAGTCCCAGCTACTCAGCAGCAAGGGGTGCCGGCTGAGGCAGGAGAATCACTTGAATCTGGGAGGCAGAGGTTGCAGTGAGTCGAGATCATGCCACTTCACCCAGCCTGGGTGACAGCATGAGGCGCTGTCTCAAAAAAAAAAAGAAAGAAAAAAAAAAAAGGCCTGGGCGCTGTGGCTTACACCTGTAATCCCAGCACTTTGGGAGGCCGAGGAGGGTGGAGCACAAGCTCAGGAGATCGAGACCATCCTGGCTAGCACGGTGAAACTCTGTCTCTACCACAAATATAAAAAATTAGCCGGGCGTGGTGGTGGGTGCCTGTAGTCCCAGCTACTCAGGAGGCTGAGGCCAGAGAACGGCGTGAACCTGGGAGGTGGAGCTTGCAGTGAGCCGAGATCACGCCACTGCACTCCAGCCTGGGTGACAGAGCAAGACTCTGTCTCAAAAAAAAAAAAAGAAAAGAAAAGAAAAGAAAAAAGACAGCAATTGCTGGGTTTCAGTCCCAGTTGTGGCCTTAGCATCCCCATCTCAGTTTCTTTATCTGGAAAATGGCAACAAAACCTGAGCTTCCCAGTGGGTTGTAGGGAGACTGAATGAGGTAATAATGGTGTATCGCGTGTTGGGGATGTGGCCACTGCAGTAGAAACAGTACTTGTTTTATTATTATGCCCAATGATGAAGGGCCGGGACAAGGTCTTCTCTATGATCTAGAATCCAGACTCACTCACTCCCTGAGCCTGTTTCCCACTCTGTAGAATGGAAGACCCAAGCCAGGCGCGATGGTTCACGCCCATAATCCCAGCACTTTGGGAGGCCGAGGCGGGCGGATCACCTGAGGTCAGGAGTTCAAGACCAGCCTGGCCAACACAGTGAAACCCCGTCTATAGAAAATACAAAAAATTAGCCGGGCGTAGTGGCGGACGCCTGTAATCCCAACCACTCGGGAGGCTGAGGCAGGAGAATCGCTTGAACCCCAGAGGCGGAGGTTGCAGTGAGCCGAGATCGTGCCACCGTACCCCAGCCTGGGACACAGAGGGAGACCCCCGTCTCAGAAAAAAACAAACAAACAACAACAACAACAACAACAACAAACGGGAGACCCAGCAGCACCGCCTCCCTGCCATGATTTCACCCACTTGCCCGGTGCAAGAGTGCCTAGTGTGGACAGGCGGCAGGATCAGGACTCCAGAGGGCGAGAACCGGGTAGTGTTTATTGCCAGGAGGACACCCGCACAGCCTCCGGACCCCAGAGGGTTTTGACACAAATGACTTAAAGGCACTGGCTTCTGTCCAGCTCCAGCCCTGCCCGGCAGGGCGTGGGGGCGGAGACCCCATCACCACGCAGCCTCGACCCGCCCCCTCCTCCAGGGCTGCAGCTCCGCCCAGTGGCTGAAGATAGCAAACGCCTTGCAGGGCGAAGGTTCCCAGGATGCAGTGAGTGGGGGTGGCCCCAGGATGCAGTGAGGGGGGGTGGCCCCAGGCTGGCGGGGAGGTGGAGTAAGGGGGCTCTTTCCGCGGAAGGGTGAGGGACTATGAGACGCTGGGGGGCAGGCGGGCAGCCGCGGTCTTCTCCACCACGAAGCCGTAGTTATACTGGGGGATGGGGAGAGAGAGAGTGAACAGGTGCCAGAGTAAAGAGAGGGCCAAAGGGGGAGTGACTGAGGAATGGCAGAGTGGGTACTTAGGGACTTGAGTGGTCTTCTGCCCTGGAGAGATGGTGTGTGTCTGGGGCAAAGCGGGGATGGGGAAAACTGGGACAGCCTGGGGCGGACGAGGGGCGGGTGCCGGCCCCTCAGGCACCTCCTCCCTAGCCCTGCACCCACCTCCTCCCTAGCCCTGCACCCACCTCCTCCTCAATGTCCGCCAGAGACTTGATGGTCAGGTCCCCAAAAGCAGAGAAGGCCTGGCGGGCAGAGGTGGGTCAGCCTTGGGCCCGATCTCAACCTGAAACCCCCTTTCCTTCGTCTTCAAGGGGTCCTGCCCTCCCCCCAACACTCCCCGAATATTCCCTCGGACATCCCTCCCCCTTATTTTTCTTGTTTGTTTTGTTTTGTTTTTAGAGACAAAGTCTCTAAAGCCGCGCCTGGCTAATTTTTGTATTTTCAATAGAGACGAGGTTTCACCATGTTGGCCAGGCTGGTCTCGATCTCCTGGCCTCAAGTGATCCACCTGCCTTGGTCTCCCAAAGTGCTGGGATCACAGTCGTGAGCCACCATGCCCAGCATCCCTCCCCCTTCTTGTCACAGCCTCTAGCTACTGGTGTCCAGCTGCTTTCTCTGGATGGATCCCTCCCCATTCTAAGACTGAAGACCTTCCAGCTGCCACCTGGAGGTGACACACTCCAGCCCCAACCCAGGATGTGGCCCTCTGTGCTGGGGCACTGGATACAGGGATGTCCTGGCACCCAGAATGGTGATGGCAGGCGCAGACCCAGGCTCCCTGAGACCCCGACTCACCAGGGGGCTGCAGCTCTTGCCCTCAAATCGTGGGTGGAGTGTGAAGGGAACCCCATCCATGGCTGAAAAACACGTGCGAGGGGAGGAGGTGAGGTGTAGGGAACTGCCCACCCCACCCACAGAGGCCCAACCCGCACAGCCTGGCTCCTTCAGTCTTTACAGAATCCAGAGTTGGGAGAGGGAAGTAGGAAGATCCTTCCTGGTTGTGTAATCTCAAGACAGTCACACCCTCCACTTCCACGCCTCAGTTTCCCCACTCTGTGCTCACCTGAGATGCCATAGAGGCTGGAGGCCTCGTAGATGGAGTCATTCCTCCGCAGAGTGGATGCCCGAGAGCCCAGCCTTGACGCTGTCCGCTCCAGGAGGCCGCCCTTACTGGAGGTGGGATGACTCAGGTTAAGCCTCATCCTCCCACAACGGCCACCCCCACTCCGGTGCCTGAGGACTCACCTTGGCTGGCTGGCTGCATCCAGAGAGAGGCCCTGCATGTCCCGGCTGAGACCTCGGGGCTTGGGCACTGGCCTCGGGGCCTTGGCCTTCTTGCACCAGATGGCAAAGCCGCCCATGTCCCTGGACCAGGAGGGAAGGTGGGAGGGATGCTGGCCCGGTGTGGGGCCAGGGTTGAGGATAGCCCCTGGAGAAGGCGGGGGACCCGGGCATGCAGGTGACCTCTGTCTTTTGGGGGAATTTTTTTTTTTTTTTTTTTTGGGGACGGAGTTTCGCTCATGTTGCCCAGGCTGGAGTGCAATGGCGCAATCTAGACTCACTGCAATCTCCACCTCCCAGGTTCAAACGATTCTCCTGCCTCAGCCTCTGGATTAGCTGGGATTACAGGCAACCATGCCCAGCTAATTTTTTTTTTTTTTTTTTTTTTTTAAGTAGAAACGGAGTTTCACCATGTTGGCCAGGCTGGTCTCGAACTCCTGACCTCAGGTGATCCGCCCGCCTTGGCCTTCCAAAGTGCTGGGACTACAGGCGTGAGCCACCGTGCCCAGTCTTTTGGGGGATTTTTGTTTCAGCATCTTGACCCACACCCGAAGCACCACACCAAACTAATACTGCTGGGTTCAAATCACCGTTCTGTCTACTTTATTTTTATTTATTTTATTTTATTTTTGAGACGGAGTCTCGCTCTGTCGCCCCAGACTGGAGTGCAGTGGCGCGATCTCAACTCACTGCAACCTCCGCCTTCCAGGTTCAAGTGATTTTCCTGCCTCAGCCTCCCAAGTAGCTGGGACTACAGGCGTGTGCCACCATACCCGGCTAATTTTTTGTATTTTCAGTAGAGATGGGGTTTCAACATGTTAGTCAGGATGGTCTCGATCTCCTGACCTTGTGATCGGCCCGCCTCAGCCTCCCAAAGTGCTGGGATTACAGGCGTGAGCCACCGCGCCCAGTCCTGTTATGTCTACTTTAGACACCAAGTCACTGACTCCTAATGACAGTCCTACAAGATGATATATATGTCCCGGTTTTAACATGCAGAATCTGAGGCTCAGAAGGTAGAAGAAGGAACAGGAGACCTCAGGGGTGTCCTTGAGGGTCAGATTGGTGAGATCATGAGTTGGGAGGGCAGGGAAGGTGGCTAGACACTGGGGGGTGGCCCTACCCTATTCGAAGGTATCCAGGCACTGTCTTGGTCTTCCCACTCAGCCGGACATCAAACACAGCCGTGTCCGTGGCTCCCAGGGGCAACAGCTTCACACACATGCGTTTCTTCTTGGACACAGAGGCCTCTGGGAGTGGGGGGTAGGGGAGTGAGAGAGGGAAGCCAGGCAGGGGTGGGAAGGCCCAAAGATGACTCTAGGATGAGGCTCGCCAGGGTGCTGTTTAAGGCAGCCACATGGACAACATTGGGGATGGGGGTGGGAGGAGTGGTTAAATCATGAATGGTATAGATGAAGGAGGGGATTCCATGCAGCCTTTAGGAACCGCTGGAGTAGGCTGATCTTTGGTGATATGAAGCTGCATTCATGGGGTGGCTAGCTGTGGAATCGGACAGAGCTGGGTGCCCATCGTGGCCCTCAAAACTTACTTTCCATGAGCCCTCTAATCCTATAGAGGTTGGACAACTAGCACCCATGAGCCAAATCTGGCTCAAGGTCTGTTTTCTTTTCTTTTCTTTTTGAGACAGAGTCTCACTCTGTCGCCCAGGCTGGAGTGCAATGGCGCAATCTCAGCTCACTCCAACCTCCGCCTCCCAGGTTCAAACAATTCTCTTGCCTCAGCCTCCCAAGTAGCTGGGACTACAGGCGCCCACCACCATGCCCAGCTAATTTTGTATTTTTAGTAGAGACAGGGTTTCACCATGTTGGCCAGGCTGGTCTGGAACTCCTGACCTCAGGTGATCTGCCCGCCTCAGGCTCCCAAAGTGCTGGGATTACAGGTGTGAACCACCACACCAAGCCTAAGGCCTGGTTTCATACAGCTGATGTGTTAAGAGTGATTTTTACATTTTTAAGGAATTGTAAAAAAATTGAATATGCAAAACACATCATCTGCCCTGTAAAGCCTAAAATATTTACTATAAGGCCCTTTACATAAAAGTTTGCCAACTCTAAGAAAAAATAAAGAAAAAAAGTTTGGCCGGGTGCGGTGGCTCACGCCTGTAATCCCAGCACTTTGGGAGGCCCAGGCAGGTGGATCACCTGAGGTCACGAGTTCGAAACCAGCCTGACCAACATGGAGAAACCCCGTCTCTACTAAAAATACAAAATTAGCCAGGCGTGGTGGCGCATGCCTGTAATCCCAGCTACTCTGGAGGATGAGGCAGGAGAATCGCTTGAACCCGGGAGTCGGAGGTTGTGGTGAGCTGAGATCGCGCCATTGCACTCCAGCCTGGGCAACAAGAGCGAAACTCCGTCTGAAGAAAAAAAAAAAAAAAAAGGTTTGCCAACTCTAGTATGAATGAATATAGCCTGAGTCAAATAAAAATGACAAGAAAGGGTGGGAAAGTTCAGGTGGGGCTGGGAGGGCTGCACTAGGGTTGTGGGCCCAGAAGAGGAGGGGTAGGGAAGGGTGAAGGTGACATCTGACGGAGGACGGAGAATGAGCTACAAAAAGGAGAGAAAAAGTGCCCCAGGCAGAGGAAGCGGCGTGTGCAAAGCCTGGAAATGAAAAAGAAAACTGCGCAGTGGTTTTGCTTGGCTATGGTGTAAAAAGACACAAGTAGCACAACAGTAGTGAAACAGGTGGCGTGGACTGAACACTTAACTCGAGGATGCAGGCTGTGCCAATCATATCACACATTTTGAATCAGGACAGGGGATGTCGGTCCACCCTAGGGCAGGGCTCTGAGTCCTCAGCCAACCCTGTCATCACCCCGTGTGCCAGGGGGCAGCCGAGGCTCAGATACCGCGCGCCCGTCGTCCCTCCTCCCCCGCTCCTCCCTGCAAGGGACCCGGACAACTCTCGCCTCCGAAGCAGCCCTTACTGGAATCCATGGGGTCGCAGACGGGGGAGAAGCCCAGCGGCAGGGGGCTCTTGTCCACCACGATCTGGATATCGGCCACCACGTTCTCCTGCGGGTTCTGGGGGTGGAAGGGGGACACGGCGAGGGTGGCTAGCAGCGGGGACAGCGCACCTGGCATAGGGCACCGTGAATGGGCAGGGGAGGTGGGCAGACCCTGGTGGTTCCGAAGGTGGGCACCTCTTACCTCTAGGCTGCCCAGAGAACTAAGGCACAGGAAGTAGCCAGATTTCTGCGCGAAGCTCTTGCCAAAGCTGGCGGGTGCCCCCTCGACGGTGCAGGAGATCTACCGGGAGGACGCGGGTCAGCGCCGGACTCCCACCCCACAGCGACTGCCTCCCCCATTCGACCCCCGCCCCTCGACGCCGCTCACCGCGCTGAACCCCCGCGGCGGGGGTGCAGAGGCCGACGACCAGGCCAGGCCAGCCAGCGGCGCCGAGTCTGTCCCGGGTACGGGATCCATCCTGCGAGCCGAGCGCCGAAGGCGGGGTCGCGGGGCACAGCCTCGAACCTCGGAGCGCCTCCCGACGGCAGCGCTCGCGACCGAACTACAACTCCCAGAAGGCCATGCGGGGGGGGGGGGCGGAGATTGCCCGGAAGCGCAGTATACGCGTGCCCGAGGAGCTGCTGGCCAATGGCGTGGGGAGGCGGAGCCTCGCCACCACGCGTCGCCAGGGTTGCGCGCGTGAGCGATGATGGCGGAAAAAAAGGTCTTGCCGGCTTTCCGCGCCCAGCAACTTCCGCCGGAAATGCTACGGCACAGGACCAAGAGACTCGTTCTCTGCAAGTCTGCACTACGTTCCCCAGAATTCCTTCCGGCCTCAGCTGCTAGTCTAGAAAAAAGCTCGGTGCTTAACGGAAAAGTTGGGAGCTTTGTGGCCGCGCGCAGTGGCTGACGCCTGTAATCCCGGCACTTTGGGAGGCGGAGGCGGGCGGATCATGAGGTCAAGAGATCGAGACCCTCCTGGCCAACGTGGTGAAACCCCTTCTCTACTAAAAATGCATTGTGAAGAATCTGCAATTCCAGTTCTGGGAAATCATCCCAAAGGAAATCATCTGTGGGATACGCAGCTATTGATTTAAAGAGCGAGTACTATGGACCATCATGAGCTTTGAAATCTTGGGTATAACTTGAAGATTTGTTCACAGGCACAATACGTTTAAAAAGCGACGTATAAAAGAATTTATTGCCTGTAGTCCCAGCTACTGAGGATGCCACCAGCAAACCGAGTTACCTCCCCACTTTGTGTAGGTGGCAAAGAAGGAACATCCAATCGGAAAAGGCAATCAGGTTTTATTCACTGGCCAGGAATGGAGAAGGAGAGGCTCTCACTCTAACTGCCCCTTCTCCCTCAACAGTAAAAAGCATAACGTTTTATTGTTTCTTCCCCTGGGTACAGGAAGGGAGAGGAATGCTAGCATGTGCAGGGTGGGACTCCAGACACGCAGGCTCAATTCATGAGCCTCAATTCCTGGGTTGTCTTCATACAACCCATCTACACAAAATGGAGATTTTCTTTTAAGAGAAGGAATTTTAGCATTATAATTATATATTGATGATCTAAAGTCGACTAGAGGTCGTCTGTTCCAGTTTGTGGTGATTTAGGGATCTTATCTTCCTCTGGTATCTGGTCAGGGGTCAAGAAGGTCTGGGGACATCCCTGGCTGTCTGCAATCTTTAAGCAGCTGTGCCTTTTTTTTTTTTTTTTTTGGACTTACAATAAGAAAGAGAACTTTCCCAGTTATTTTATCAGGGCTGTCATGGCAACAGGGTAACAGGGAGGCTGAGGTGGGAGGATCGCTTGAGTCCAGGAGTTTGAATCTAGCCTGGACAACATAAGGAGACCCCAGTGTTTAAAATGAAAGAAAGAAAGGGAAAAAAAGTATTTACTATAATAATATGCTTTTAAGCCGGGCACAGTGGTTCACACCTGTAATCCCAGCACTTTGGGAGGCCGAGGCGGGCGGATCATCTGAGGTCAGGAGTTTGAGACCAGCCTAACATGGTGAAACCCCGTTTCTACTAAAAGTACAAAAAACTATCCAGGCGTGGTGGTGCGCGTCTGGAATCCCAGCTACTAAGGGGGCTGAGGCAGGAGAATCACTGGAACCCGGGAGGTGGAGGTTGCAATGAGCTGAGATCGCGCCATTGCACTCCAGCTTAGGCAACAAGAGCGAAACTCGTCTCAATAATAATAATAATAATAATAATAATAATAATATGCTTTTTTACACCCATTGGGGGAAAAGTTTAGAAAAATAGCGAACAAGTGTCCTGCGCTGCCCAGACTAGCAAACAATACAGTCAGGATGGCTAATGGTGACCCCAAGAAACCAAAGGGCAAAATGTCTGCTTATAGTTTTTTTGTGCAGATGTACAGAGAAGAACATAAGAAGAAAAACCGGCCTGGCACAGTGACTCACGCCTGTAATCCCAGCACTTTGGGAGGCCAAGGCAGGCGGATCATGAGGTCAATAAATTGAGACCATCCTGGCCAACATGGTGAAACCCCGTCTCTACTAAAAATACAAAAATTATCTGGGCATGGTGGCAGGCGCCTATAGTCCCAGCTACTCGGGAGCCTGAGGCAGGAGAATCGCTTGAACCTGGGAGGAGAAAGTTGCAGTGAGCGGAGATCGTGCCACTGCACTCCAGCCTGGGCGACAGAGTGAAACTCCATCTCAAAAAAAAAAAAAGGAAGAAGAAGAAGAAAAACCCAGAGGTCCCTGTCAATTTTGCAGAATTTTCCAAGAAATATTCTGAGAGTTGGAAGACAGTGTCAGTGAAAGAGAAGTCCAAATTTGATGAAATGGCAAAGGCGGATAAAGTACACTAGGATCGGGAAATGAAGGATTATAGAGCAGCTAAAGGGGAAGCAAGAAGAAAGAGCCTAATGTCCCCAAAAGGCCACCGTCTGGACTCTTATTTTTTATTTTATTTAATTTATTTATTTTATTTTTTAAAATTTATTTATTTATTTATTTATTTTTTTGAGACGGAGTCTCGCTCTGTTGCCCAGGCTGGAGTGCAGTGGCGCAATCTCGGCTCACTGCAAGCCCCGCCTCCCAGGTTCAAGCTATTCTCCTGCCTCAGCCTCCAGATTAGCTGGGACCACAGGCGCGTACCACCACGTCTGGCTAATTTTTGTATTTTTAGTAGAGATGGGGTTTCACCATGTTGGCCAAGCTGGCCTCAAACTCCTGACCTCAGGTGATCCACCTGCCTTGGCTTCCCAAAGTGCTGGCATTACAAGCATGAGCCATCACACCCAACCAACTGTCTGGATTCTTCATGTTCTGTTCAGAATTCCACCCCAAGATCAAATCCGCAAACCCTGGCATCTCTATTGGAGATGTGGCAAAAAAAAAAAAAAAAAAAAAAAAAGCTCTGGGTGAGATGTGGAATAGCTGAAGTGACAGTGAAAAGCAGGTTGACGTCACTAAGGCGGCAAAGCTGAAGAAGAAATATGAGGAAGAGGTTGCTGACTGTAAGTTGAAAGGAAAGTTTGACGGTGCAAAGGGTCCTGCTAAAGTTGCCTGGAAAAAAGTGGAAGAGGAAGATGAAGAAAGAAGAGGAGGAGGACAATGGATGAGAAAAACTTTCTATGCCAGGAGTGATGGCTCACTCCTGTAATCCCAGCACTTTGGGAGGCCAAGGCGGGTGGAGGTCAGGAGTTCGAAACCAGCCTGGCCAACATGGTGAAACCCCATCTCTACTAAAAATACAAAACATTAGCAGGGGGTGGTGGTGCACACCTGTCGTCTCAGCTACTCCGGACACTGAGGCAGGAGAATTGCTTGAACTCAGAAGGCGGAAGTTGCAGTGAGCCAAGATCATGCCACTGCACTCCAGCTTGGGTGACAGAGGAAAAAAAAAAAAAGGGTGGTTGAGACCAGGCACAGTGTCACCCCAGCACTTTGGGAGGCCAAGGTGGACGGATCACTTGAGGTCAGGAGTTGGAGACCAGCCTGGCCAACATGGGTGAAACCCCATCTCTACTAAAAATACAAAACAATTAGCCAGGCTTGGTGGCAGGCGCCTGTAATCCCAGCTACTCCTGAGGCTGAGAGAGGAGAATTGCTTGAGCCCCAGAAGTGGAGGTTTCAGTGAGCAGAAATGGTGCCTCTGCACTCCAGCCTGGGTGACAGAATGAGACTCTGTCTCAAGGAAAAAAAAAAAAAAAAAGCAGGCTGGGCACGGTGGCTCAAGCCTGTAATCCCAGCACTTTGGGAGGCTGAGGTGGGTGGATCACAAGGTCAGGAGTTCGAGACCAGTCTGACCAACATGGTGAAACCCTGTCTCTACTAAAAATACAAAAATTAGCCAGGCTTGGTGGCATGCGCCTGTAATCCCAGCTACTCAGTGGCATGCGCCTGTAATCCCAGCTACTCAGGAGGTTGAGGCAGGAGAATTGCTTGAACCCAGAGGCAGAGATTGCAGTGAGCCCAGATCACACCACTGCACTCCAGCCTGGGCGACAGAGCAAGACTCCGTCTCAAAAAAATAAGTGGTTGAGTTTTTGGCAAGGCCTGTTATTTAAACCATAGCCTAAATGTCTTCCAAAGTTAGCTCGACCCAGTAGCCCAGGAATAATTAAGGGAAAAGTAAGGTGGGGTTTGGGTTAGCTTAGCTTACTGTTCTAATGTTCTCACTGATATAACTTTTGCAATGGTGATTTCATCAGTTGGGTGCAGGAAGATTGTGAGGGTTCTTTTGTTTTGTTTTGTTTTTGTTTTTTGAAACGGAGTTTCACTCTTGTTGCCGAGGCTGGAGTGCAGTGGCGTGATCTCGGCTCACTGCAAACTCTGCCTCGCAGGCTCAAAGTGTTATACCCAAGCGAGTTAGAGAAAACGCCACACTTCGAGACGAATTAAGAGTCCTTTATTTAAGCCGGCAGCCAAGAGAAGGCTTGACTTTCCAAAATTCTCTCGGCCCCGAGGAAGGGGCTTGATTTACTTTTATACCTTGGTTCGGAAGGGGAGCGGAGCTCAAATGCAATAATTCTACAGAAGTAAAAACATGCAAGAATCAAAAAACAAATGGTTACAGAGAAATAAACAATTTAAAAGACAAATGGTTACAAAAAAAGCAACGGAACCAGGTGCCGGGCTCTAAATCCTTCATAAGAGTTAGATATGGATGCTATGCCAGACACAGACTCAAGGCTTTATGTTGTTATGCTTTTGAGCAAAATCCTGGGAACTTCGTACATTGTTTGTTCCAGTACCTTATCAGCTAATTGGGCTCCTTTGAAATGCTGAGGATCTGCTTACGCAGGTTAACTCTTTGAGGAAGGGGGTTGGGTAAGTAGCCCTTAATGTCTTGTAAATCAAGGGGCCAGATGGCGTTCGTCAGGCTTTCCCAGCTAAGGGAGAGTCTACTCATATGGGAAACAAGGCTAGGTAATTAAGGAGACAAAAAGGGAAAATTTAAAAATAGGGTTAGTAAAAACAAGGTTAAAATAGGGTTAGTAAAAAAACAAGGTCAGGCATTACAAAAGGATTCTCCTGTCTCAGCCTCCACTGGGATTACAGGCTCGCACCACCAAGCCCAGTTAATTTTTGTATTTTTAGTACAGGCAGGGTTTTGCTAGTTCACCCAGGCTGGTCTCGAACTCCTGGACTCAAGCGATCCGCCAGCCTCTGCCTCCCAAAGTGCTGGGATTACAAGGGTGAACCACCCCACTGATCAAGGGGAACATATTAATACTTTGTTTGTTTCTTTGTTTTGAGATGGAGTCTCACTTTCTTGCCCAGGCTGGAGTGCAGTGGCATGATCTCAGCTCACTGTAGCCTCCACCTCCCAGGTTCAAGCAATTCTCCTGCCTCAGCCTCCCGAGTAGCTGGGATTATAGACACACGCCACCACACCCGGCTCATTTTTGTATTTTTAGTAGAGACGGGGTTTTACTATGTTGGCCAGGCTGGTCTTGAACTCCTGACCTCAAGTGATCCGCCTGCCTCAGCCTCCCATAGTGCCGGGATTACAGGCATGAGCCACTGAGCCCAGCCAGAAACATATTAATACTATAAACAACACTCAGCCCTGGGCTGGTTAAGAGGCTGGAGACTGAAAGGTGGTGTTGATTGACCATGGACCCAGGGAAATATCTGCAGTGGGTTAAGGATACTCTGTGTGTCTTACAAAACAGAGACACAGATGCTGCCTAAGAACGAGGTCCTCCTGGAACCGGTGCCAGGGAAGGATCTGGAAGGAAAAGAAGAATACCTGTGATAGGTGTGAGAGAGGAGTGCCACTCACTGTTCACTGCAGCAGCAGGCGACAGGTGAATTCTGAATTCTTTTTTTTTTCCTTTTGAGACAGAGTCTTGTTCTGTAGCCCACGCTGGAGTGCAATGGTGCGATCTCGGCTCACTGTGACCTCCGCCTCCCGGGTTCAAGCAATTCTCCTGCCTCAGCCTTCCAAGTAGCTGAGATTACAGGTGCCCACCACCAAGCCCATCTAATTTTTGTATTTTCAGTAGAGACAGGGTTTCACCATTTTGTCCAGGCTGTTCTCGAAGTCCTGACCTCAGGTGATCCACCCACCTCAGCCTCCCAAAGTGCTGGGATTACAGGTGTGAGCCACCACTCCTGGCCGAATTCTGAATTCTTCTTTATGGGAAGTGAGAGCTTGGGACATAGGCATCCCCTTGGACCCAGTAACCCCACTTCTGGGAGTTCAGTTTAAGGAAAGCCTGCAGTCAAGTCCAAAACTTATCAAATGACAAGGGCAAACTATGATGGGGAACTGTAATGTACAAAGTGCTAAGCTAAGCACTTTCTATATATTGCTTTTTCCTGTCAAAGAAAATAAAAATATGAGGACCTTCCAAAGGCAGTTTGCCAAAGGAAAAGTTGTTGTTGTTTGTATTGGTTTGTTTGTTTTTGAGACATGGTCTCATCTGTTGTCCAGGCAGGTGTGCAGTCATGCGAACATGGCTCACTGCATCCTTGATCTCTTGGGCTCAAGGGACCCTCCTACCCCTTGGGCTCAAGGGATCCTCCTACCCAGCCTCCTGAGTGGCAGATCACCTGAGGTCAGGAGTTGGAGACCAGCCTGGCCAACATGGTGAAACCCGGTCTCTACTAAAAATACAAAAATTAGCCAGGCGTGGTGGCAGGTGCCTGTAATCCCAGCTACTCAGGAGGCTGAGGCAGGAGAATTGCTTGAATGCAGAGGCTGCAGTGAGCCAAGATCACACCACTGCACTCCAGCCACCACAGGCGCAGCCACCATGTCCAGCTAATTTTTAAATGTTTTGTTGAGGTGAGGGGTGGGGGGAAACTCACTTTGTTGCTCACACTAGTCTTGATCTTCTGGGCTCGAGTGATCCTCCTGCCTAAGTGTTGGGATTACAGGCATGTACCACCGCGTCTGTACCAAAGGGAAAGTTAGGTCTGGAGACTGAGCCACACAACACTGAAGTTCCTTTCCCGAATGCATGGCTGTTGCTTCCTGATTGTGTTAAGTGGTTAAGCATTGTAGCTTACCCAGATGCCTACAAAAAGAAAAAAAAAAAAAGCCCTCACACATCTCCAGATGATCACCCTCACAAATTGTTCATACGTAAATTCTTTGCTTACTCCTAAATCTTTCCAAGATGTCCAGCCTCCCGTAAACAAAGATACGTAACCTTAGGTTTACAAGCTCTATGTGACCCCTTGTCCACGGAACCAGTCTGCTGAATTTCATCCTGACAGCACTGATTACAAGCTTACTTTCCCCGGTGCAAAACAAAGACAGGATGACATCCATCAGCCCTCCACCAGACCCTGAGACAGCTGCAAAATTAATCTTTCCTTTACTCCTTCTTCAAATGTTTATCTTAGGTATAGCTATAGTTTCAGTTTCCCTGGACACTAATTAAAGTCAGAATAATGTAACTGATGAGAAATCTCACCGCCTATTTTCTTTTTACTGTTTTCTCTGAGTTGATGGAGATACTGTTTCAGTTTCTAATTTGTGTGGACATTCCAATTGACTGGGAAGCAGCTGTTATCACACCCCCGCTATAAGAAAGCAGAGGTTGGCTGGGGGCAGTGGCTCACACCTGTAATCCCAGCACTTTGGGAGGCTGAGGCGGGTGGAACACTTGAAGCCAGGAGTTTGAGACCAGCCTGGCCAACATGGTGAAACCCCGTCTCTACTAAAAATACAAAAATTAGCCGGGCGTGGTGGCACACACCTTTGATCCCACCTACTTGGGAGGCTGAGGCAGGACAATCACTTGAACCAGGGAGACAGAGGTTGCAGAGAGCCAAGACTGCATTACTGCACTCCAGCCTGGGCAACAGAGTGAGACTCCATCTCAAAAAAGAAAGAGAGAGAGAAAGAGCAAAAGAGAGAGAAAGAAAAGCAGAGGCCCGAGGGAAAGGAGCTGGTTCGCCATGATGGAATTTGAGCCCAAGTCTGACTCCAAACCTGCACTCAGTTCTCCCCAGGGCAGGGCTTGTCACGTCTGGTGGCACCTCTGACACTTGGGGCTTGATCATTTACTGTGGGGGGCCGTCCTGTACACTGTAGTGTTGAGCAGCATCCCTGGCCTACATCCCTAGATGGCAGCGGCACTCCCAGCCCCCGCGGTGACAATAAAAATGTCCCCTGGAGCAGAATCGCCCCCACCCGCTGAGCGCCCTGGGGCCAGCGACTTCCTACAGGCATGGAGTTGTCCTCAGAAGCCCATCCGGGGCCACATCTCAGTATCCCAAAGTAAGTGAAATATGCATGTAGTGTAATAAACAGAAATGAAACAGCTGAGGGATGGTTGCGGATGATCTTTGCTCCTATTTTTTTTTTCTTAGCCAGGTGCAGTGGTTCACACCTATAATCCCAGCACCTTGGGAGGCTGAGGAAGGAGGATGACATGAGCCCAGGAGTTTGAGACCAGCCTGGGCAACATACAGAGATCCCGTCTCTACAAACAATACAAAACTTAGCTGGGCGTGATGGTGGTGAGTGGCTGTAGTCCCAGCTACTCAGGAGGCTGAGGCAGGAGGATCGCTTGAGCCCAGGAGTTTGAGAAAAGCCTGGTCAACATAGTGAGACCCCATCTCTACAAAAAAAGTAAAAAAATTAGCCAGGTGTGGTACTGAGCATCTGTGGTCCCAGCTACTCGGGAGGCTGAGGTGGGAGGATCGCTTGAGCCCAGGAGGTCAAAGGCTGCAGTGAGCTATGATCACACCACTGCACTCCAGCCTGGGCGACAGAACAAGAGCCTGTCTTTAATAAATAAATAAAAGAGGGGAAATTGGGTGTAGGGAATGTGGGAAATTCTATTATCCTCACTGTTTTTTTTCTGCAAATCTAAAACTATTCTAAAATAAAATGTTGGCCGGGCACGGTGGCTCACGCCTGTAATCCCAGAACTTTGGGAGGCTGAGGTGGGCAGATCACGAGGTCAGGAGATCGAGACCATCCTGGCCAACATGGTGAAACCCTGTCTCTACTAAAATACAAAAATTAGCTGGGCGTAGTGGCGCATGCCTGTAATCCCAGCTACTTGGGAGGCTGAGGCAGGAGAATTGCTTGAATCAGGGAGTTGGAGGTTGCAGTGAGTGGAGATCGCGCCACTGCACTCCAGCCTAGGTGACAGAGTGAGACTCTGTCTCAAAAATAAATAAATAAAATAAAATAAAATAAAATGTTTCTTTTCTTTTTTTTTTTTTTTGAGACAGAGTCTCACTCTGTCGCCCAGGCTGAAGTGCAGTGGCGCGATCTCACTGCACTGCAACCTCTGCCTCTGGGTTCAAGCGATTCTTCTGCCTCAGCCTTCTGAGTAGCTGGGATTACAGGCACCTGCCACTACGCCTGGCTAGTTTTTGTATTTTTAGTAGAGACAGGGTTTCACCATGTTGGCCAGGCTGGTCTCGAACTCCTGACGTCAGGTCATCCACCCGCCTCAGCCTCCAAAGTGCTGGGATTACAGGCATGAACCACTGCTCCCAACTGAAATGTTTCTCTAAAATAATAATAATTATATATATATATGTGTATATATATATGTGTGTATATATATATGTATATATATGTATATATATGTGTGTGTATATATATATGTGTGTGTGTATATATATATATATATATATATATATATATATGAAGCTAAAACCAAAAGAATGCTAGCGGCTGGGTGCAGTGGCTTACTCCTGTAATTCCAACACTTTGCGGGGGCTGAGGCAGGAGGATCTTTGGAGCCTAGGAGTTTGAGACCAGCCTGGGAAACATACTGAGACCCCCATCTCTACAAAAAATAAAAAATTAGCTGGGCGTGGTGGTGCACACATATAGTCCCAGCTACGCCAGAGGCTGAGGTGAGAGGATTGCTTGAGCCCAGGAGGTCAAGGCTGCAGTGAGCTATGATTGCACCACTGCGCTCCAGCCTGGGCAACAGGACAAGATTCTGTCTCAAAAGAAAATAAAAAAAGAAAAAGAATGGTAGCATAACAGTTTCCATTTCTAATTTTATTGCGAAAGTAATTGTGGTTTCTGCCATAACTTTTAGTAAGCATAATTAATTAATGCCATTAAAAGTAATGGAAGGCCGGGCGTGGTGGCTCATGGCTGTAATCGCAGTACTTTGGGAGGCCGAGATGGACGGATCATGAGGTCAGGAGTTCGAGACCAGCCTGGGTAACATGGTGAAACCCCGTCTCTACTAAAAATACAAAAATTAGCTGGGCGTGGTGGCGGGTACCTGTAATCCCAGCTACTCAGGAGACTGAGGCAGCAGGATTGCTTGAACCCAGGAGGCGGAGGTCAGAGGTTGCAGTGAGACGAGATCGTGCCAATGCACCCCAGCCTGAGAGACAGACCGAGACTCCATCTCAAAGAAAAAAACAAAAAAAGGCTGGGTGCGGTGGCTCAAGCCTGTAACCCCAGCAATTTGGGAGGCCGAGGCGGGCAGATCACCTGAGGTCGGGAGTTTGAGACCAGCCTGGCCAACATGGAGAAACCTAAACCTCTCTACTAAAAATACAAAATTAGCCGGGCATGGTGGCGCATGCCTGTAATCCCAGCTACTAGGGAGGCTGAGGCAGGAGAATTGTTTGAACCCAGGAGGCAGAGGTTGTGGTGAGCTAAGATTGCATCATTGCACTCCACCCTGGGTAACAAGAGTGAAATTCCATCTCAAAAAAAAAAAAAAAAAAAAAAAAGTAATGGCAGAGGCTGGGAGCGGTGGCTCATGCCTGTAATCCCAGCACTTTGGGAGGCCAAGTCGGGTGGATCCCTTGAGGTCGGGAGTTCGAGACCAGCCTGGCCAACATGTCGAAACCCCGTCTCTCCT
This sequence comes from Homo sapiens, assembly GCF_000001405.40. Classification (NCBI taxonomy): domain Eukaryota; kingdom Metazoa; phylum Chordata; class Mammalia; order Primates; family Hominidae; genus Homo; species Homo sapiens. Next base: position 17,409,310 of record NC_000019.10, on the reverse strand, counting down.
AAAAATACAAAAAGTAGCTGGGCATGGTGGCAGGCATCTGTAGTCCCAGCTACTCAGGAGGCTGAGGCAGAAGAATCACTTCAACCCAGGAGGCAGAGGTTGCAGTGAGCCGAGATTACACCACTGCACTCCAGCCTGGGTGACAGAGGGAGAATATATTTAAAAATATAAAATAAAATATAGGCCGGGCACGGTGGCTCACGCTTGTAATCCCAGTACTTGGTGAGTCCAAGTTGGGTGGATCACCTGAGGTCAGAAGTTTGAGACCAGCCTGGCCAACATGGCGAAACCCCATCTCTACTAAAAATGCAAAAAGTAGCCAGGCATGGTGGCAGGCATCTGTAGTCCCAGCTACTCAGGAGGCTGAGGCAGGAGAATCGCTTCAACCCAGGAGGCAGAGGTTGTAGTGATCGAGATCGTACCACTGCACTCCAGCCTGGGCGACAGAGAGAGATTCCCTCTCAAAAAAAAAAAAAAAAAAGTAATGGCAGAAACCGCAATTACTTTTGCACCAACCAATATATAAAAATACATTATATATTTAAAAATATAAAATAAAATATAGGCCAGGTGCAGTGGCTCACGCCTGTAATCCCAGCACTTTGGGAGGCTGAGTCAGACAGATCACCTGAGGTCAGGAGTTCAAGACCAGCCTGGTCAACATGGCAAAACCCTGTCTCTACTAAAAGTACAAAAATAAGCCAGGCATGGCGGTGGGCGCCTGTAATCCCAGCTACTCAGGAGGCTGAGGCAGGGGAATCGCTTGAACTCCGGAGGCAGAGGTTGCAGTGAGCCAAGATCGTGCCACTGCACTCCAGCCTGGGCAACAAGAGCGAGACTCCATCTCAAAAAAAATTAATTAATTAATTAATTAATTAAAACAAAATAAAATAAATATATGTACTTAAAATATATATATATATTTATTTTTAAATAGGGATAGGATCTCTCTATGTTGACCAGGCTGGTCTCGAACTACTGGCCTCAAGCAATCTTCCCATCTCAGCCTCCCAAAGTACTAGGATTGCAGGCATGAGCCACTGCACCCATCCCACCATTTGTAATTGTGGGCGGCAAGCCACCCAGGTGCCAAGGCAAGAGACTGAGGACACGAGCTGTTCCAGTATAATAAAATATAAAACAAGAATAGTTATACCAAATATAGATCTTAGAGATATATGAATATCATTAATCATTAGTTTGTAGTAATTACTCTTTATCCCAATAGTATAATAATCCTCGGTCTACAATCATAACCTAGGAAAAACCAGGCCATACAGAGATAGGAGCTGAGGGGACATAGTGAGGTGTGACCAGAAGACAAGAGTGCAAGCCTTCTGTTATGCCCGGACAGGGCCAGCAGAAGGGCTCCTTGGTCTAGCGGTGACGCCAGCGTCTGGGAAGACGCCCGTTGCCCGAGCGGACAGTGGTCTAGCGGTAGCGAAAAGTGTCAAGGAACAACACCCACTACTTAGCAGACCGGGAAAGGGAGGCTCCTTTTCCCTGGGGGAGTTTGGAGAAGACTCTGCTCCTCCACCTCTTGTGGAGGGCCTGACATCAGTCAGGCTCGCCCGCGGTTATCTGGCAGCCTAACCGTCTCCCTGTGATGCTGTGCTTCAGTGGTCACGCTCCTAGTCCGCCTTCATGTTCCATCCTGTACACCTGGCTCTGCCTTCTAGATAGCAGTAGTCATTTAGTGAAAGTACTAAAAGTCTCTGATATGCAGAAATAATGGCATAAGCTGTCTTTCTGTCTGTCCCCTCTCTCTCTCTCTGCCTCGGCTGCCAGGCAGGGAAGGGCCCCCTGTCCAGTGGACACGTGACCCACGTGACCTTACCTATCATTGGAGATGACTCACACTCTTTACCCTGCCCCTTTTGCTTTGTATCCAATAAATAACAGCACAGCCAGACATTCGGGGCCACTACCAGTCTCCGCGCATTGCTGGTAGTGGTCCCCCGGGCCCAGCTGTCTTTTCTTTTATCTCTTCGTCTTGTGTCTTTATTTCTACACTCTCTCGTCGCCGCACACAGGGAGAGACCCACTGACCCTGTGGGGCTGGTCCCTACAGTAATTTTAAAGGGAAGAGCAACAAACTTTCGGTTTGCAGGGCTGGGACTGTTTACAGCTGCAAAATTTAGAGAGGACATCAATCTATTATTATCCACATTTTACAGCTGGGGAAATCAATGCTAAGAGAGGAAATTCATTTGCCCAGAGGTGCACCACCCTGGCCTCCAATGTGCAATTCATGCAATTGTGATTTCCGACCTGGTCCCAAACTAACCCTAAAGTTAGCAGGCCAGAACAGTGCTGCTCAAATAAGTCAGCTTAGTCAAATAAGTCAGGCAAAGGTCGTGTCTTTGCACCTGGAGTCCTGGCCAGGCTGGTAGGTCCCTCCTCCTGGGACAAGTTCACCCTCAGAATTTTCAGCAAGATCATCTCCCACAGCTTGTTAATTGGTTCTTGGTTCTAAGTGATTTTTTTGTTTATTGGTTTAAGAGATGGGATCCCACTCTATCACCCAGGCTTGAGTGCCGTGGCACAATCATAGCTCGCTGCAGCCTCAAACTCCTGGGCTCGAGTGATCCTCCTGCCTCAGCCTCCCAGCCTCAGCCTGGGACCACAGGCATGTACCACCATGCCTGGCTCTAAGTGGCTTTAATGGGGTCCTTCTGAGGGATGTTGGAGTCAGGGCCTGGGGGGAGTTCCCCAGGCCTTCTGGGAGGCCTGGGCTCTGGACTTGACCTCGCCTACTGTCTGGCCCTGCTGAAAAGAAAAAAAAACATGGAAATGGCAGACCTAACAGAATCTGGGCTGTGGTCAGGATGTGGCTGAAGAAGCCACAAGAAAAACATGCAGTCCCCTTTCAGCGGTCATGCCCAGCAGTTGGGTGCCGATAATGGGCCTGATTTCCTGTAGGAAGCCCTGGCTCTCTTGGCCACATGGACAGTGTCTGAGGCTGGCCCTGTTATTCCCCTTTGCAGATGAAGAAACAGGCTCAGAGAGTTTACCTGGTATCCTGGAGTCCCAGGAGCACTTTTTCTGGAAGTAGGAGCTTGTTTCCTGCAGGTGCCAAGACAGAGACCGACATTGTTTGTTGGCTGGGTCGGTCTCCCAGTTTTCAGCTGGCTCCAGTCTCACCTGTTGCTCACACACCCTCCATGTCTCCCATAGTCCCCTCGGTGGGGACAGAGGCACTGGATGAAGCCCTGCTCGTCACCACAGAGACACCTGAACACAAAAACCAGTCCCTGGGGTCAGACCCAGGCCCCGCCCCCAGACCCAGGCCCTGCCCTCACTCCACCACGCAACTGTGCAACCTCAGTTTCCCCAGGTGGAGACCGGACCAACAGTGATGGCCTCTGCCTCTTCAGGTCATAGTACAGATGAATACAGGCTGGCACGGCCTAGGCACTCAGTAACACACAGCAGAGGCACAGGGACTTAAGATGGAGTGTCCCAGGCAGCCACAGTTGGCTGGCACCCAGCTGGGAAGGGCCCAAGGGCTTTTAAAGCAGGGTGAAAAAAAAGCCCACCTCCTTTCTGGGAAACTGAAACTGAAAACCTAATTAATCCTCTGCCTGTAGGTGCCTCATGCAAGAGCTGCTGGTCAGAGCACTTCCTGGAACTTGCTATTGGTCAGGACGTTTCCTATGCTAATAAAGGGGTGGCCCGTAGAAGATTCCAGCACCCTCCCCTAACTCCAGGCCAGACTCTAAAGGGGAGATCTGGATGGCATCTACTTCGTATGACTATTGCAGAGTGCCCATGGAAGACGGGGATAAGCGCTGTAAGCTTCTGCTGGGGATAGGAATTCTGGTGCTCCTGATCATCGTGATTCTGGGGGTGCCCTTGATTATCTTCACCATCAAGGCCAACAGCGAGGCCTGCCGGGACGGCCTTCGGGCAGTGATGGAGTGTCGCAATGTCACCCATCTCCTGCAACAAGAGCTGACCGAGGCCCAGAAGGGCTTTCAGGATGTGGAGGCCCAGGCCGCCACCTGCAACCACACTGTGGTAAGCTCCTCAACTCCTTTGGATGGCCTAGTACTAGGCGGTGGGAGGGACAAGAATCTCTCCCCAGAAATCTGACCCAGGGTGGGTCTCCAGGGAGATGCAGGGGAGGTCCTGAAACTGCTCCTGGGCCCCCACATCAAGGGACCTAGGTTCCCCTACCAGGGTTTGTGGGCCCCTAACCCAGTCCAGGGCACTGGTGTAGGGGCAGGGTGTTAAAACTCTCCAGATCCCCCAAATCGGGGACCTCAGTATCCCCCTGGGACTTAGGTGAATTTATAAATTCTTTCCAGGGCACTGGTGTCGGGGGCCTTGAAACTCCTCGTGGGCACCAGTCCTGGGGGAGTAGAAATCCCTATTCAGGGTTGAAGGGGGACCTCACCAGACCCTGAAAAAGGGGGCTTTTGAAATTTTCACTTCATCCCTAAGAAACTGAAATATTCACCTGGGTCCTGATATGGGGGATCTTGAAACTCTCGCTGGGCATGTCACTTGGGCGGGGAAATCCCACTGCATTCTGGATTTGGTAGGGCCCTCTAACTTTTCTTGGGCCATTGCTCAGGCAATCTGGAAATGTCCACTAAACTTTGGTTATCGATAGCCTCCAAGTTTCCACGTGGGGTGGCCTCAAAACTCCCATTTTGAGGACCCACATGCTTATGGGTGGCCCTGGGAGAGTGTGTGGTTGTGGCTGTTCTTTAAGGTTGGAGACCATGGTGCAGAGAGGGTTGGAAGAAAACCTGAAAGGGGTTTGCATTTAAGCCCCTCTGTCCCCAGGACCTAGGGAGGAGGCCCAGGTCCCAGGGGCAGCAGCCAAACTCCCCAGGCCAAAACCCCAGATTCTAACTCTTCTTAGATGGCCCTAATGGCTTCCCTGGATGCAGAGAAGGCCCAAGGACAAAAGAAAGTGGAGGAGCTTGAGGGTGAGAAAGGGAGAAGGGAGAGGGCCGGGGAGGGGTGAGTCAGGTATGGAAGAGGGGGTGGGGGCAGGGAGACCAGGGCTGGAGGTTGGGGTAAGGGGGAGGTTCTGTCCCAGAGTGGAGCAGGGCCCCAGCATGGCCACATGCTGACCCGCCCCCTGTTTCTGTCCTCCCACCCTACCAGGAGAGATCACTACATTAAACCATAAGCTTCAGGACGCGTCTGCAGAGGTGGAGCGACTGAGGTCAGAGATAGCCTTCCCCCGCTACCCTCCACCTGCCACATTCCTCTCACCCCCACATCCCTAGCCCAAGACCCAGGATCTCCTTTGCTCCCAAAATCCCCATTGCCCCAAGGGATAAAGTTTGAGTCCCACAAAAGGATAACTTAGCCCCTAGGGTCACAGAGCCATGGGTGGCCGCTGTCCATTCCCTCCCCGGTGACTTGGATTGGGGCGGTGCGGGGGGAACTCCCGGGGGCGGTGGGCTTACAGGGAGGGCGGCAGGAGCCAGGACGAGCAGATGCCTGATTTGCCATCTGTACCGCAGAAGAGAAAACCAGGTCTTAAGCGTGAGAATCGCGGACAAGAAGTACTACCCCAGCTCCCAGGACTCCAGCTCCGCTGCGGCGCCCCAGCTGCTGATTGTGCTGCTGGGCCTCAGCGCTCTGCTGCAGTGAGATCCCAGGAAGCTGGTCAGTGAGGAGGGGGCGGCCCCGGGAGGGAGAAGAAAGCTGGGGAAGCGGGGCGGGGAAGCAGAGGCTCCGAAGTCTAGAGAGAGAGGCTGCAGGGGAAGGGACTGGGCGCAGAGGTGAGGGGCCTTGGGGAAGGAGGGAGAATCCAGTGAGAAGGATGCCCTGGATCGGGGACGGGCTGATAGCTGTATGGGGCGGGGCTATCAATGGGGGCGGGTCTATCGATGGAGGGGAGGGGCTTATGGATGGGTGGGGCGGGTCTAGCGATGGGGGCGGGGCTTGGGGCCGGGCTTGGAGCGGGGCCAGTGTCTGCTGCCTCCAGTCTGCCCTGAGTCCCTCTTCTGGTCCTTTAGGCACATCTTGGAAGGTCCGTCCTGCTCGGCTTTTCGCTTGAACATTCCCTTGATCTCATCAGTTCTGAGCGGGTCATGGGGCAACACGGTTAGCGGGGAGAGCACGGGGTAGCCGGAGAAGGGCCTCTGGAGCAGGTCTGGAGGGGCCATGGGGAAGTCCTGGGTGTGGGGACACAGTCGGGTTGACCCAGGGCTGTCTCCCTCCAGAGCCTCCCTCCGGACAATGAGTCCCCCCTCTTGTCTCCCACCCTGAGATTGGGCATGGGGTGCGGTGTGGGGGGCATGTGCTGCCTGTTGTTATGGGTTTTTTTTGCGGGGGGGGTTGCTTTTTTCTGGGGTCTTTGAGCTCCAAAAAATAAACACTTCCTTTGAGGGAGAGCACACCTGACTCTCGAGTTCCTGGAGTATCATCGTTTTAGTACCCAAGCGTTGGGGCCGCCCCTGCAGGTGAGAGTGGACACCCCGTTGACGATGACACCTCCCTTCCCTGCTCCAGGACGTTTTCAGGAGCCCACGGAGTTCGGGGAGGCACCACCCCAGTTCTTCCCAGCCCTTGTCTCTGCTGGGATCAACATAAGAACTATGCACCCTCATCAGGGCTCACCGTTTCCCAGGTGTTGTATTCTCATCTCCTCCCTAGAGCCTCTCCTGATTCCTGGGGATCCAGTGAGGAAACTGAGGCTGTAACTGAGAGTAACCTTGTCTTGCTTCCCTTCCCGCCTGCAGAAAATGCTGGGCTGGGATTTAAACTGGGATCTGTACACACACACAGGCCATGCATTGTCAGAATGTTTCCCCCTGCTTCATCCCCCAGATTCTCTCTCTCTCTCTCTTTTTTTTTTTTTTTTTTTTTTTTTTGAGACGGAGTTTCGCTCTTGTTTCCCAGGCTGGAGTGCGATGGCGCAGTCTCGGCTCACCGCAACCTCCGCCTCCCGGGTTCAAGCGATTCTCCTGCCTCAGCCTCCCAAGTAGCTGGGACTACAGGCTTGCGCCACCATGCCCGGCTAATTTTGTATTTTTAGTAAAGACGGGGTTTCTCCATGTTGGTCAGGCTAGTCTCGAACTCTCGACCCCAGGTGATCTGCCTGCCTTGGCCTCCCAAAGTGCTGGGATTACAGGCATGAGCCACCACCCCCGGCTCTTTTTTTTTTTTTTTTTTGAGACAGAGTTTTGCTCTGTCGCCCAGGCTGGAGTAGAGTGGCACGATCTTGGCTCACTGCAACTTCTGCCTTCCAGGTTCAAGTGATTCTCCTGCCTCAGCCTCCCGAGTAGCTGGGATTACAGTACTACACCACCACACCTGGCTAATTTTTGTATTTTTAGTGGAGACAGGGGTTTCATCATGTTGGCCAGGCTGGCCTCAAACTCCTGACCTCAAGGGATCTACCCACCTTGGGCTCCTAAAGTGCTGGGATTACAGGCATGAGCCATCACACCTGGCCCGATTCCCCAAACTCTTATTCATTCTGCAGTACCCAGCTCTGGGAACCCCTCCCCCAGAGAGTCTCTCTGCTTCTCCACAATTGAGGGCTGCAATCCCGACGGACCCTTCACCTACCTTATTCGATCCTCAAAGATGCCATAGTCCCTTCCTTCTCTGTTATCTTACTTCCTCCAAGTTCTCCCGGAATCCCGGCCATTGTCTCTGCAACTCCAACTCCTGTTTGTGGTAATGGAGCCAGGAGTCCCTTGTCCCAGATTTCTGTACTATCCTAAGGTCCCACAGTCCCCAGCCCAGACGGTCAGTGGGATTTAAAAAAAAAAAAAACCCTCTGGCCAGGCACAGTGGCTCACGCCTGTAATCCCAGAACTTTGGGAGGCCGAGGCAGGTGGATCACTTGAGCTCAGTTCAAGACCAACCTGGCCAACATGGTGAACCCCATCTCTACTAAAAATACAAAAAAATGGCTGGGCGTGGTGGTTCATGCCTGTAATCCCAGCACTTTGGGAGGCCAAGGTTGTTGGATCACAAGGTCAAGAGATCCAGACCATCCTGGCGAACACGGTGAAACCCTGTCTCTACTAAAAATACAAAAAATTAGCCTGGCGTGGTGGCATGCACCTGTAGTCCCAGTTACTCAGGAGGCTGAGGCACGAGAATCGCTTGAACCCGAGAGGCGGATGTTGCAGTGAGCCGAGATCCCGCCACTGCACTCCTGCCTGGGCAATAGAGCGAGACTCTGTCTCAAAATAAAAAAAATTAGCGGGGGGTGGTGGGTCGTGCCTATAGTCCCAGCTACACAGGAGGCTGAGGCAGGAAAATCGCTTGAACCCAGGAGGTGGAGGTTGCAGTGAGCTGAGATCACGCTACTGCACTCTAGCCTGGGCGACAGAGCAAGAGTCTGTCTCAAAAATAAATAAATAAATAAAACCAGGCCTCCACTTCCATGGTTCCTACTGCTGTCCCAGGGAAGGGTCCCCAAATACCTCCCCTGCCACAGACCCCCTGGCCCTCTTGCCCCCTCACTTCCCCTTGCTCACCACCTCCACCTTTACTGATCCCAAGTTCCTTTTTGCCTCAAGGCCTTTGCCCAAGCTCTGCCTGCTGCCTGGAGCACCCGTTCCTCACTCCCAAGGTCTAGGGCAGGGTCTCAGCCTCAGCAGCATTGGTGGTTTGGGCTGGATGGTTCTCTGGGTGGGGACCATCCTGTGCATTGTAGGATTTTGTTTTTTGTTTTGGGTTTTTTTTGTTTGTTTTTTTGAGATGGAGTCTCACTCTGTCTCCCAGGCTGGAGTGCAGTGGTGCGATTTCAGCTCACTGCAAACTCCGTCTCCCGGGTTCAAGTGATTATCCTGCCTCAGCCTCCCGAGTAGCTGGGATTACAGGCACCCGCCATCATGTCCGGCTAATTTTTGTATTTTTAGTAGAAACGGTGTTTCACCATGTTGTTCAGGCTGGTCTTGAACTCCTGACCTGAAGAAATCCACCCGCCTCGGCCTCCCAAAGTGCTGGAATTACAGACATGAGACACGGCGCCCAGCTGCATTGTAGGATATTAAACGGCATCCCTGGCCCCCACCCATAAATGCAAGTAACACCCTCCCAAGTTGTGACAATTAAAAATGTTTCCAGGCTGGGCATGGTGGCTCATGCCTGTAATCCCAGCACTTTGGGAGGTCGAAGGGGGAGGATTGCTTCAGCCCAGGAGGTCAAGACCAGCCTGGGCAACATAGGGAGACCTCCATCTCTACAAAAAATTTAATAATTAGCTGGGCATGGTGGCACACGCCTGTAGTCGCAGCTACTTGGGAGGCTGAGGCAGGAGGATCGCTTGAGCCTGGGATGTCAAGGCTGCAGTGAGCCAAGATGATGCAACTCCAGCCTGGGCAACAGAGCCAGACTCTGTCTCAAAAGAAAAAAAAAGTCTCTATATGTTGCTAAGTGTCCCCGGGAGCAGGGTGGGCCTTCACTTCTGTGGCCCTGGCTTGCAAAAAAGCCAAAGCCGCTTTGCAACTACTAAGCTATTTCATCCTCACCAACAGCCCCGGTGAGGCCTAGGGTAATTACTGGACTTTTTCAGGGGTTTTTGTTTTTTTTGTGGTTGGTTTGTTTGTTTTTTGAGATGGAGTCTTGCTCTGTTGCCCAGGCTGGAGTGCAATGGTGCGATCTCAGCTCATTGCAACCTCCACCTCCTGGATTCAAGTGATTCTCCTGCCTCAGCCTCCCAAGTAGCTGGGACTACAGGCGCCCACCACCACGCTGGGCTAATTTTTTTTGTATTTTTAGTAGAGACGGGGTGTCACCGTGTTAGCCAGGATGGTCTTGATCTCCTGACCTCGTGATCCGCCCGCCTCAGCCTCCCAAAGTGCTGGGATTACAGGCGTGAGCCACCATGCCTGGCCTTGTTCAGGGTTTCAAAGCTCGTTGGGCAATTAACCCTCCACATTCTGTGGATTTCCTTTTGCCCAGGAAACAAACGCTCCCCACGTGACCTCCTCCACTCACCACTCCCGACTTGGGCCATGGAAAGGTCCCCAGACTATGCTGCTGCTCCACCCACCCCCACCCCTACTCACACTCCCTCCCCCACTCTCCCCCCACAACCCCCACCCCCATCCTGCCTGGGCTGTATTTTGCTGATAAGATTAGCCCAATATTGTGGATTCAACTCCCAATCCCCCCACACAATGGCCTGGGTGTAAATTTCCCTACTTCCTAAAATGTCCCATCTTCCCTCCCTATTTTGTCCTTTTCCTGAGAGACCTGACTCCAAGGCTGTGACCCACCCAGGGGTTGAGAAGCTGACGGCTGTGGGGTTCTGCAGTCCCCAGTGGGAATTTGGCAGTGACCAGCCACTGCTGAGTGTCCCTGCTCTGGGACTCGACCTCTCTGAGCTCTGATTTCTTTCTTTTTTTTTTTTTGAGACAGGGCCTCTCTCTGTCACCCAGGCTTAAGTGCAGTGGTGCGACCTTGGATCACTGCAGCCTCAATCCCCTGGGCTCCAGCAATCCTCACACCTCAGCCTCTTGAGTAGCTGGGACCACAGGTATGCACCACCATGCCCAGCAAATTTTTTTTTTTTTTAAATAATAAAGACAGGATCTCACTATGTTGGCCAGGTTGATCTTGAATGCTTGGCCTTAAGTAATCCTCCTGCCTTGGCCTCCCAAAGTGCCAGGATTACAAGCGTGAGTGAGCCACGTCCACACGTCCAGACACAGCTCATTTCTTTTTCTTTTTTTTTTTTTTTAGACAGAGTTTCACTCTTGTCACCCAGGTTAGAGTGCAATGGCATGATCTCGGCTCACTGCAACCTCCCCTTCTTGGGTTCAAGCAATTCTCTTGCCTCAGCCTCCCGAGTAGCTGGGATTACAGATACCCACCACCATGCCTGGCTAAATTTTTTTTTTCTTTTTGAGACAGAGTCTCGCTTTGTCGCCCAGGCTGGTGTGCAGTGGCACGATCTCAGCTCAGCCTCCCGAGTAGCTGGGACTACAGATACCCGCCACCACACACAGCTAATTTTTGTATTTTTAGTAGAGATGGGGTTTCACCATGTTTGCCAGGCTGGTCTCAAACTCTTGATGTCGTGATCCACCCTCCTTGGCCTCCCAAAGTGCTGGGATTACAGGCATGAGCCATTGCGCTGGCCAATTTTTGTATTTTTAGTTAAGATGGGGTTTCACCCGTTGGCCAGGCTGGTCACAAACTCCTGACCTCAGGTGATCCACCTGCCTCGGCCTCCCAAAGTTCTGGGATTACAGGCATGAGCCACCATGCCCGGCCCTAATTTTTTTTATATTTTGTAGAGATGGGGTCTCACCATTTTGCCCAGGCTGATCTCAAACTCCTGGGCTCAAGTGATCCTCCCACCTCAGTCTCCCAAAGTGCTTGGGTTACAGATGTGAGCCACCATGCCAAGCCTGGTTAAAAGAGTTTTTTCCAGGGCAAAGTGTGAGGGCAGAGTCTATCCAGGGCCACAGGGACACCAAAGAATGAGGATGAGTGCCTCTCATTCAGGGAAAAGTGTGGATTGTTTGTTTGTTTGTTTGTTTGAGATGGAGTCTTGCTCTTGTCACCCAGGCTGGAGTGCAATGGCATGATCTCGACTCGCTGCAACCTCTGCCTCCCGGGTTCAAGCGATTCTCCGTCTCAGTCTCCCGAGTAGCTGGGATTACAGGTGCCCGCCATCACGCCCGGCTAATTTTTGTATTTTTGGTAGAGACAGGGTTTCGACATGTGGGTCAGGCTGGCCTCGAACTCCTGGCCTCGTGATTCGCCCGCCTCGGCCTCCCAAAGTGCTGGGATTACAGGCATGAGCCAGCTCGCCTGGCCTGGATCCTTTATAAAGCCACAAACAGAGGTGCTGAACAGAAATACATTTCCCATGCAAAGGCTAGAATACAGATAGGAGATTAGATTGGCTACTATTGACTATGTCCTAAGGGGGTTGCTTACACATTCTGTTGTAAAGAGGTGACAGTCACAAGGGTCTCTATCTCCAACAACATTTAGTCTATGCTTGAATGAAGACTAGGAAGTCTAGTTAATGTGGGATATCTCCACACAAGAAAGGCCAGGGGTTGGGAATGGGGTGGCTCGGTGCTCACAGTGGTGGTAATCCCAGCATTCAGGGAGGCCCAAGTTGGGGCATCGCTGGAGGCCCAGGTGGGGGCATCGCTTGAGCCCAGGAGGTCAAGGCTGCAGTGAGCCGTGATGGCACCACTGTACTCCAGCCTGGGTGACAGAGTGAGACCTGGTCTCAAAAAAAAAAGAAAAGAAAAAATAAAGAGGCCAGGCGTGGTGGCTCACCCCTGTAATCCCAGCACTTTGGGAGGCCGAGGTGGGCAGATCACTTGGGGCCATGAGTTCGAGACAGCCTGGCCAACATAGTGAAATCCCATCTCTACTAAAAATATAAAAGTTAGCTAGGTGTGTTGGCAGGTGCCTGTAATCCCAGCTACTTGGGAGGCTGAGGCAGGAGAATCTCTTGAACCTGGAAGGCAGAGGTTGCAGTGGGCTGAGATCGTGACATTGCACTCCAGCCTTGGCAACAGAGCAAGACGCCATCTCAAAAAAAAAAAAAATTAGCTAGGAGTGGTGGCAGGTGCCTGCAATCCCAGCTACTCAGGAGGCTGAGGCAGGAGAATTGCTTGAACCCAGGAGGCAGAGGTTGCAGTGAGCCAACATTGCATTCCAGCCTGGGCGACAGAGCAAGACTCCATCTCAAAAAAAAAAAAAAAAAAGAAAGAAAGAAAGAAAGAATGAATGAATGAATACAAGAAAAGAAAGAAAGGTTGATTCAGTTTCCAGGGCTTAACTATTACCCCTTGACATAATAAATCTGGAAGGTCCTAAAATTTTATTTTATTTTTTACACGCCTAAATTCTGGACCCACCAAAAAAGAAAACAATTACTTCTGATTCTTTGAGTTTTCATTAACTGAACTCATATCACAGGCAGAAAGACTAAAGTCTATCAACATACCTGAATAGACTTTTTTTTGTTTTTTGAGACATGGTCTCACTCTGTTGCCCAGGCTGGAGTGCAGTGGTGCGATCTCGGCTCACTGCAGCCTCCATTTCCTGGACTCAGGCGATACTTCTGCCTCAGCCTCCTGAGTAGCTAGGACTACAGGTGCACACCACCACATCAGGCTCATTTTTTTTTTTTTTTTTTGTAGCGATGGGGTCTCACCGTGTTACCCAGGCTGGTCTGAAACTCCCGGGCTAAAGTGATCCTCCCACCTCTGCCTCATTTCTCCTATTAATCTTCCTTTTGTGAGTTGATTTTTCAAGGAACCTTCAGAGGGTGAAGGGGAAGATCACCCAGTTTGATGGGAAAGGCGGGGGTGGGGGGGAGAATCAGTCACACGCATAAATATATAATTACTTTTTTTTTTTTTTGAGACAGAGTCTCACTCTGTCACCCAGGCTGGAGTGCAGTGGCACGATCTCTGCTCACTGCAACCTCCACCTCCCGAGTTCAAGAGATTATCCTGCCTCACCCTCCTGAGTAGCTGGGATTAAAGGCGCCAGCCACCACACCTGGCTAATTTTTTTTTTTTTTAAGACAGAGTCTTGCTCTTGTCGCCCAGGCTGGAGTGCAATGGCATGATTTCAGCTCACTGCAACCTCCCCCTCCTGGGTTGAACCCATTCTCCTGCCTCAGCCTCCCAGGTAGCTGGGATTACAGGCGCCCGCCACCACACCCGACTAATTTTTGTGTTTTTAAAAGAGATGAGGTTTCATCATGTTGGCCAGGCTGGTCTCGAACTCCTGACTTCAGGTGATCCACCCGCCTCGGCATCCCAAAGTGCTGGGATTACAGACGTGACCCATTGCGCCCGGCCTGCCATTACCTTTTTAATGTTAGGGCCCTAGGAGCTGATCAAAAGGAGGTAGTGTTGAAGAGGGGGACTTTCTGTAGGAGGGGACCTGTTAGCAGAGCAGCAATTAGCCAGGCAGAGGAGGAGAAGGTGTAAAGGCCCTGCGATGGGAATGCACTTGGTGGAAGAACCTTGGGGAGGCTACAGGAAGGAGTGAAAAGAAAATGACCTTAAAGGTGTGATCAGGTCCTTGAAGGTGTAAGGAGGGAGAGAAGGGGCAGGGGGAGATAGAGAAGGAGAAACAGGAAGAGGAGGGAGGAGGGGGAGGAGGGAGAGTAGGAGGAAGGAAGGGGAGGGGAGAACGGGTTGTATTCTAAGAGGGAAGGGGAGCCAGAGCCCAATTGTAATCACGTTGTAAGATCGCCCTCTGGCTGCCCAGTGGCGAGCAGGCGGGAAGACGGGGCCGGTCCACCCTGTTGTCTACCCTCCGGTCCTCTTCACAGCCGGCGTGGCAGCCTAAACTCTGCCAACCGTAAGTCAGTGGAGTATCCTCCCATCTCCCAATGCGGTTACCCCGTCAACAGAATGGGAACCACAGGCCGGATGCGGTGGCTCACGCCTTTAATCCCAGCACTTTGGGAGACCAAGGCGGGAGGATCGCTTGAGCCCAGGAGTTCAAGACCAGCCTGGGCAACATAGCGAGACCCTGTCTCAAAAAAACAATCAAACAAAAAAAATTAAAATTAGCCGGGCGCGGGGGCTCACGCCTGTAATCTCAGCACTTTGGGAAGCCGAGGTGGGCAGATCATTTGAGGTCAGGAGTTCGAGACCAGCCTGGCCAACATGGTGAAACCCCGTGTCTACTAAAAATATAAAAATTAGCTGGGCGTGATGGCAGTCGCCTGTAATCCCAGCTACTCAGGAGGCTGAGGCAGGAGAATCGCTTCAACCAGAGACGGAGGTTTCAGTGAGCCAAGATTGTGCCATTGCACTCCAGCTTGGGCGACACAAACACACAAAATTAAGATTAAAAAATATTGGAAACGACATATCCCCAAATGATAGCCAAGCACTTCGTTTGCAGATGCGGTCTTTGGCGCTTCCTACAGATGTGCCAGCTTGATTCCTACCAAGCCCTACCAAGCAGGAGTTAATACTCTCCCCATTTCACAAAGGGGGAAATTGAGGCACAGAGGGCAGCACGTGGGATGCAGGAACCCAGAACCCCTAGTCCTTTCTTGGGCTCGACGGGATGGACCAGCCCCTGGAGGGGGTCCAACCCCTCCCAACGGCCTGGGAAGCCACGGCCAGGCTGGGCGGAACCGTGGGTGTCCCTGGCGCCCCAAGGTGCCAATTAAATATTCGTGGCCGTCTGGGGCCAGAGCTGTGGACCGCGGCATGGCCGAGCCGGGGCCGGAGCCCGGGCGTGCCTGGCGGGTGCTCGCCCTGTGCGGGGTGGCCGTGTTCCTGGCTGCGGCAGCAGCCGGCGGGGCCCTGGTAGCCTGGAATCTGGCCGCCTCGGCTGCTCGGGGACCTCGCTGCCCGGAGCCAGGGGCCAATGCCACGGCGCCGCCCGGGGACCCGCCGCCTGGGGTCGACGACCTGCGGCGCCGGCTGGCAGAGGCTGCCGAGCGGGAGGAGGCCCTAGCCAGGCAGCTGGACCAGGCGGAAAGTATCCGGCACGAGTTGGAGAAGGCATTAAAGGCCTGTGAAGGCCGCCAGGTAGGTGGGCCGGGTAGAGGGGGAGCTCGGGAATCCAGAATGTTGAGATAAGAGACGGCCTGCCCACACAACTCCAGGGTTCCCTCCCTGTGCCTCGGTTTCCCCAGTTCCTCGAATTGAGAGGGTATTGAGAATAGCGCCCTAATGCCTTCCAACCCTTAGATGTCAGCTCACCATGGAGTCTACCTTCTGATCAGAAAGGTGGATCACCTGAGGTCAGGAGTTCGAGACCAGCCTGGCCAATATGGTGAAACCCTGTCTCTACTAAAAATACAAAAATTAGCCTGGCGTGATGGTGAACGCCTGTAATCCCAGCTCCTCAGGAGGCTAACGCGGGAGAATCGCTTGAACCCGGAAGGTGGAGGTTGCAGTGAGCTGAGACCGCGCCACTGCACTCCAGCCTGGGTGACACAGCGAGACTCCATCTGAAAAAAAAAAAAAAAAAAAAAAAAAAAAAAGTCTCACTGTCCTTTGCTATTTGCCAGATAAATGGTGTCTGGAGAAACGCCAGACCACTGGAGGCCCTCCTCCATGTGCCAACTCAGCCCCACTCCAGCCAGTTTCCAGCAGCCCTATTTTGAGAGAGGGACATACATGTCACCTGTAATTAGGAGGCTAAAGTTGGCCTCTTGGGGGAGGTACCTGCTGGGTCCTCCTTTTCCTCTGACTAACCCTTCAGACTTTTTCTTAACCTTTTCCAGCCCTGAGCCTGCCAAAAGAACTGTCCTTAAAATCCCAGCCATTTCCATTTATGGAGTGACTACTGTATACCTCTGTGCACACCCCCCATTCCACCCCAACCTCCCAGCCCAGCCGAGGTAGTGCAGCATCTGAATATTAAAAATCAAAATGGGGCCGGGCGCAGTGGCTCACGCCTGTAATCCTAGCACTTTTGGAAGCCAGGGCGAGTGTATCAGTTGAGGTCAAGAGTTCGAGACCAGCCTGGCCAATGTGGTGAAAACCCGTCTCTACTAAAAATACAAAAATTAGCCAGGTGTGATGGCGCATGCTTGTAATCCCAGGCGGAGGTTGCAGTGAGCTGAGATCCCACCACTGCACTCCCGCCTGGGCGACAGAGCAAGACCCCATCTCAAAATAAATAAATAAATCCAAATAAACCCCTACCCCTTTTCTGCCCCCTGGACCAAGAGAAGGGACTGGGGCAGTCGAGGTTAAGAGGATCCTACTCCAAGTACAGGTTCTGGCTCTGCCCCCTTGCTGTAAGACGCACTGAGGAAGCCGAACCAGTCGTTTTGCAGAATGTCCTACACAGGCAACCGACACATACCCCAAAAATTCAATCATTGTCAACCATCAAATTGCCCTGTGTTGGTTTTTGTTGTTGCTGGGTTTGTTTGTTCTGAGACGGAGTCATGCTCTTTTGTCCAGGCTGGAGTGCAGTGGCACAATAGCTCACTGCAACCTCCACCTCCCAGGTTCAAGCGATTCTCCTGTCTCAGCCTCCTGAGGAGCTGGGATTACAGGCGCCCACCACCACACACTGCTATTTTTTTTTTTTTTTTAAGTAGAGATGGGTTTTCACCATGTTGGCCAGGCTAGTCTCGAACTCCTGGCCTCAAGTGATCCGCCTGCCTCGGTCTCCCAAAGTGCTGAGATTACAGGCGTGAGCCACGACGCCCGGCTAACTTTGTTGGTTTGAAATCCCATCAGCTAGTCCCAGATGGAGCTGAAAGTGGAACTTGAATCTGACCGCAGAGCTCAGCACTCTCCACTTTCTGGTGGCTTAGGGTTGGTGGCGTTGGACCTGGGCAGAGATCTCCCTCCAGGCAGGCAGCTGTCACCACTCGGTGCCCCAGGCTTCAGAAGCCACTTCTGTATTTTACAACTACAAGGCCCCAAAGGACATTCCACACAAAGCTCAGGACACAGGGTCGCAGGTGGCTTCTCACTGTCCCCAAAAGGGCCAGGCCGAATCACTCCTCCTCTCCTCTGCCTACACCCCCTCCCACTTCCCCTCCACTCCTCAGAGCCGGCTTCAGACCCAACTAACGACACTGAAGATTGAGATGGACGAAGCCAAGGCACAGGGGACCCAGATGGGGGCCGAGAACGGGGCGCTGACAGGTGCGTTGGGGTGTAAGGGAGTGGGCAGGGATAGAAGTGGGAGGAGCCTAGGTGAATCCTAGTTATCCAAACAAGCACAGTTGCAAACGTAATGCAAATAACACGGATATAAACGCAAAAACTTATGAAAAGAATGCAAACAACATGCAGAGGCCATGCAAATGTCACAAAAACAAGGCAAATGCCACAAAACATGCAAACTCCTTGTAAACGACTCACGAAAGCAATGCAAACCTATGAAAAGCTATGCAAATGGCACGTGGAAGCCATGCAATGGTACACACTAATTTAATTCAAATAAAGGAAAGCGTGCAAACGGCATGCAGACTATCAACTTGGATTCCGGCGTGCGTGGGGCGGGTGGGCGCGGGAGTCTCCAGCCTGACCCGGCTCCCTGCGCCCCCAGAGGCCCTGGCGCGCTGGGAGGCGGCGGCCACGGAGTCTACGCGGCGGCTGGACGAGGCTCTGCGGCGCGCAGGCGTGGCGGAGGCCGAGGGCGAAGCCTGTGCGGCCCGGGAGGCGGCGCTGCGCGAACGCCTGTGAGTGAGGGGCTGGCCCGAGGGCGGGGTCGGATGGACGGGGAGGGCGCGACCAATGCTTGCGCAGGGCTGCATTCTTTCGGCCAATCATTACTTTGGGCGTGGAATTGTGGTGGGGGGGGGGCATTGTTGATTTAATAGGGGGATCCTGGAATTGGAACCTAAGGATGGAGAAGGGAGTGGACTCTCTTGGGATTCCAGGCTGGGGCGGGCATTCTAGAAACTTAGGTCCCCAGGATCCAGCGTCGGTGGGAGCCCCGAGAGGGACGGGGAACGGAAGAGAAGGGAGCAAGGAAAAGGGAGTATCGAGGGAGAGGCTGGTGGTAGGGGGACAGAGCTTCTGGGGATGTAGCTGGGAGTCTCTAGGGAGGCGTCCCGGGAATGGCTGGGGGTCGAGAACGGATGCCGGATCCTGGGGAGCGGGAAACCCTGGGAGATGGGGATCTCTGGGGATGGAGTTCCCAGCAAAGGGACGCTCTGGCGGATGAGGGCTGGCGATGTCTGGGGACAGGGGTCCAGAGGCTGACAGCCCCCTTCCCCCTTCCCGGCAGTAACGTCCTGGAAGCCGAGATGAGCCCACAGCGCAGAGTGCCCCGGCCGCGTCCCCGCTCGGGGTCCCGACCCCGGCCCAGCCCTCGCTCGCGCTCTCGCTCCGGACCCTCCGGGGGCTGCCGGCGGCCGGCGCGGCGCGCACGAGGGTGAGTCGGCCCCCTGCCGGAAGGGGGCGTCGGCCTGGAGGACACATATGGGGGGGGGGTCTGCGGGGACGTGTATAGAGGCACCCCCACGCTGGATGCGACACTCAGCTTTAGACCCTGGAGACGTCCTGAACGGAAACTGCACAGAAAGGTGCCTCAGCCCTCTCTCCCCCACCATGTAAAGTGCTTATTCTACAGACAGGGAAACTGAGGCCCAAGTGATCATGCAGTGAGCTAGTGCTTAGCTGGGATTTGAAGTCCCCTCTAACAACAATGTTGCCGTCATCCCACAGATATGAGGACTGGAGGTCTAGCCCTGGCTCAGGAAAAACCGGAAAGGGTCACTTTCCCTCTTTGGGTTTCAGTTTACCCTATCTGTAAAATGGGTGATTGGACTCATGATAGGGAGCTGATTTGACAACAAAAGCTGACAAAGGTGGCACAATAGGAAAACCGCAAATCCCTAACCCTGTGAGAAGGGTACAAAACTCCCAGATGGAATTTAAACAAAAAGAACCAAGTAACATGTTTGTTTTGGTTTGGTTTTGAGATGGAGTTTTGCTGTTGTCGCCCAGGCTGGAGTGCAGTGGCACAATTTGGGCTCACTGCAACCTTCACCTCCCAGGTTCAAGCAATTCTCCTGCCTCAGCCTCCCAGGTAGCTGGGATTACAGGCCCCCACCACTACGCCCAGCTGATTTTTGTATTTTTAGTAGAGACGGGGTTACACCATGTTGGCCAGGCTGGTCTCGAACTCCTGAGCTTAGGTGATCCGCCCACCCGGCCTCCCAAAGTGCTGGGATTACAGGTGTGAGCCACCGCTCCCAGCCCATGTTTTTAACCTACACTGCAACAAAGGTGACTTATGCCTGAGACAGAGCAATGGTTCAATATTGCCAAGTCTGTTAATTGCTATACTAATAGATCAAATGAGGAAATGTATAAATTGTGGGGGAAAAAACACATCAAAATCAGTGCCAAGGTGAGGACGTCCACTGTCAAGTAGTTTTTTTTCTGGGAGTACAAGCCAATGCAATTACACAAGAAAAATAAAAGCTACAACTAAAAGGAAGAGAATCTGTAGGTTGAATCACAAGAAAGAGCTGTTTATATGGGTCAAAAATCATTGAAATATGGACAATTTTATATTGCTCAATTTCACATGAATGTATTAGTGGGTTTTCTTGTTTTTCTAACCTTTAAACATTTTTAGCTTGTTATCTAAATTTAACCTTTATATTTGGCATAACTTCAGACTTACAGAAAATTTGGTGGATTAATCTCCAACTCCTTAACAACACAAAGGTTATGGGCACCAGTTCTCCATGCAGTTGAAAATTCACACATAACTTTGACTCCTCCAAACTCAAAGCTGGCCAGGTGTGGTGGCTCACGCCTGTAATCCCAACATTTTGGGAGGCCACAGCAAGAAGATCACTTGAGCCCAGGAGTTCAAGACCAGCCTGGGCACCATAGCAAGAACCTGTCTCTACAAATAATATCAATAATTAGCTGAGCATGGTGACATGCATCTGTAGCCCCAGCTACTTGGGAGGCTGAGGCGGGAGGATCACTTGAGCCCAGGACGTCAAGTTTGCAGTGAGCCATGATCACACCACTGCACTTCAGTCCTCTGAGTGACAGAGCAAGACCCGGTCTCAAAAATTAAACATGAAAAATTAAAGCTATAAAAAAATTATTAAGAAAATCATGCTGGGCACAGTGGTTCATGCCTGTAAGCCCAATACTTTGGGAGGCTAAGGCGGGAGGATCTCTTGAGCCCTGAAGTTCAAGACCAGTCTGGGCAACATAGGGAGACCCTGTCTCTACAAATAATTGTTTCAAAATTCTTTGGGAGGCTGAGGCGGGTGGATCACTTGAGCTCAGGTGTTTGAGACCAGCCTGGGCAACATGGTGAAACCCATTCTCTACCAAAAATACAAAATATTAGCTGGGCATGGTGGCATGCACCTGTGGTCCCATCTACTTCGGAGACTGAGGTGGGAGGATCACTTGAGCCTGGGAGGCAGAGGCTGCAGTGAGCCAAGATCGTGCTAGGGTGACTGGAGCAAAACCCCTTCAAGAAAAGAAAGAAGAGAAAGAAAGAAAAAAGAAAGACAAAAAAGAAAAGAAAGAAAGAGAAGAAAGTAGCCAGGCTTGGTGGCATGCACCTGTGGTCCCAGCTACTTGGGAGGCTGAAGCAGGAAGATCACTTAAGCCCAGGAGGTGGAAGCTGCAGTGAGCCATGATCATGCCACTGCACTCCAGCCTAGGTGACTGAGTGAGATCCTGTCTCAAAAAAAAAAAAAAAAAAAAAAAAGGAAAAAAAGAGCCCGGGGGTGGCTCACGCCTGTAATCCCAGCACTTTGGGAGGCCGAGGCGGGCGGATCACGAGGTCAGGAGATCGAGACCATCCTGGCTAACACGGTGAAACCCTTTCTCTATTAAAAATACAAAAAATTAGCCGGGCATGGTGGTGGGCATCTGTAGTCCCAGCTACTTGGGAGGCTGAGGCGGGAGAATGGCATGAACCTGGGAGGCGGAGCTTGCAGTGATCTGAGATCGCACCACTGCACTCCAGCCTGGGTGACAGAGTGAGACTCTGTCTCAAAAAAAATAAAAATAAATAGAAAAGAAAGACAGAAAAAGAAAAAGTGTCTGTCCATCCACAGTGGAACGCTATGCAACCACCATTTAAACAGCCAAAGCAGATCTTCTCTAAGATATGTTAATGTGAAAAGCAGGAGATTGATAAGTTGTGTACTTTCTTTCTTTCTTTCTTTTTTTTTCTTTTTGAGATAGAGTCTTGCTTTTGTTGCCCAGGCTGGAGTGCAATGGCGCAGTCTCAGCTCACTGCAACCTCCGCCTCTCGGGTTCAAACGATTCTCTTGCCTCAGCCTCGAGTAACTGGAATTACAGGCGCCCATCACCAGACTCAGCTAGTTTTTTGTGTTTTTTAGTAAAGACGGGGTTTCACCATGTTGGCCAGGCTGGTCTCGAATTGCTAACCTCGGGTGATCCACCCTCCTTGGCCTCCCAAAGTGCTGGGATTACAGGCCTGAGCCGCTGTGCCCGGCCCCCGTTTTTGTGTGTGTGTGTGTGTGTAGGGCTTGGGGAGGGGACTTTTATCCAAATATCTCTGAAGGAGATGCTGGTCACAGCCTCCACCTCTGGGGAGCGAACCAGGGGTCTGGGAATCGGTGGGGGACATACTTGCACATTTCTCTATGTACCTTTTGTAAAAATTGCATTTTTAAAAACCATGCACATGTGTCACTTATTACAAATTAAAAATTAAAAATTGTTTTTAAAAATGTCTGGGCTGAGTGTGGTGGTGGCTCGTGTCTATAATCCCAGCACATTGGGAGGCTGAAGCAGGAGGATCACTTGAGCCCAGGAGTTGGAGAACAGCCTGAGCAATGTAAGGAGACCACCATCTTTACAAAAAGTTTAAAAATTAGCCAGGCGTGGTGGTGCGCACCTGTAGTCCCAGCTACTTGGGAGGCTGAGGCAGGAGAATCGCTTGAACCCTGGGGGTAGAGGTTGCAGTAAGCCAAGATCACTCCATTGCACTCCAGCCTGGGCGACAGAGTGAGACCCTGTCTCAAAAACTAAATGAATAGGCTGGGCACGGTGGCTCACACCTGTAATCCCAGCACTTTGGGAGTCCGAGGCAGGTGGATCATCTGAGGTCAAGAGTTCAAGACCAGCCTGGCCAACATGGTGAAACCCCATCTCTACTAAAAATACAAAAATTAGCAGGGCGAGGTGGTGGGCGTCTGTAATCCCAGCTACTTGGGAGGCTGAGGCAGGAGAATCGCTTGAATCTGGGAGGCAGAGGTTGTAGTGAGCCCAGATTGCACCACTGCACTCCAGCCTGGGCAACAGAGCGAGACTCCATTTCAAAAAAATAAATAAGTAAATACAAATAACAATTAGCCGGGCGTGGTGGTGCACACCTGTAGTCCCAGCTACACGGGAGGCTGTGCCAGGAGAATCGCTTGAACCCTGGAGGTGGAGGTTGCAGTGAGCTGAGATCGTAGCCACTGCACTCCAGTCTGGGTGACAGAGTGAGACCTGTTACTCAAAAACTAAGTACATAAAAATAAATTTAAAAAATTCCTAAGAGGCCGGTGTAGAGAGGGGATTGGAAGCTCTTGGAACTCTGACACCACCCCCTTTAGCCAGTCCTGCTCACGATCCTCCCATCCACCTGGGGTTTGTAGGTGCCTGATCAGGACCTTCACCTGAGAGGGGGCTCATCTGGAGGCTCTGCCTATGGGGAAAATGAGGCTGCGGGAAGGGGAGATCTAGCTGTTGTGTTCCGCCAACGGCCACCAGGGGCCGCCCCAGCCAGCAGATCCAGTTGCAGCCTCCTGAGGGCCCAGAGTTTGAGAGTCGGACAGGGTGGGTCTGAGACCACCTCCCCCGGCCCTGGCGTCAATCCAGAAGCCAGCAGGAAACGGTTCCTCCTTCTGGAGTCAGCCAGAGCTGGAAGCCTGGAGACTGGCCTCGCCCCAGCCAGGACCCCAGGGACGCAAGACCCCCTCACCACGGCGCTGTGTGGTCCAAGAACTGGCCCGTGTAAAGGGCAGGGCACAGGGCTGTCCATGGGAACTAAGTCATTGTCACCATTATGCATTTATTTCCACTGCTGGCTCCATCTTGACCATACCCGAGGGACCACTGAACATCAGTTCTGAGCCAGCCGTGGTGGCTCACTCCTGTAATCCCAACACTTTGGGAGGCCAAGGCGCACTGATCACTTGGGATCAGGAGTTCGAGACCAGCCCGGCCAACATGGTGAAACCCCATCTCTACTAAAAATACAAAAAAATAGCTGGGTGTGGTCATGGGCATCTGTAAACCCAGCTATTCCGGAGGCTGAGGCAGGAGAATTGCTTGAACCCGGGAAGCAGAGGTTGCAGTGAGCCGAGATCGCGCCACTGCACTCCAGCCTGAGCGACAGAGCGAGACTCCGTCTCCAAAAAAAAAAAAAATCAGTTCTGGGGATGGAGGGTGATAGGGAGCCATGGCAGATGTGTAAGTAGGAGGGGCACAGGCAGAACTAGTGTCAAAGAATTTTGGGAAGCGGGGAATTTGAGGCTGGAGGCTTTGAACCCCAGGGAAGTCATAAGACAAGAGTCGGTGAGTATTCGAGGTGACTTGAGGAGGGTAGGCTGAGAACTTGGTCTGCACTGAGGCTCCCTGGATGCCCAGAGAGGCAAACAGCACTTCTCAGTGAGACCTGCCTCCCACCCTACAGAGCCAGCCACTGAGCTGTCCTTGTTCTGTCTCCCTGCCTCCACCTGTCTAATGATCCCTCTTGGTCTCTGTTGATCATCTCTCTCTTTCTTTCTTTTTTTTTTGAGATGGAGTTTCGCTCTTTTTGCCTAGGCTAGAGTGCAATGGTGCGATTTTGGCTCACTGCAACCTCCGCCCCCTCAGTTTAAGTGATTCTCCTGCCTCAGCCTCCTGAGTAGCTGGGATTACAGGTGCGCATAACCACAGCCAGCAAATTTTTTTTTTTTTTTTTTTTTTTTTAGTAGAGACAGGATTTCACCATGTTGGCCAGGCTGG
The DNA here is from genome assembly GCF_000001405.40 of Homo sapiens. Taxonomy (NCBI): domain Eukaryota; kingdom Metazoa; phylum Chordata; class Mammalia; order Primates; family Hominidae; genus Homo; species Homo sapiens. The sequence goes on along the minus strand of NC_000019.10, from coordinate 17,384,933 downwards.
TCTTGAACCCCTGACCTCAGGTGATCCACCTGCCTTGGCCTCCCAAAGTGTTGGGATTATGGGCCTGAGCCACCGCACCCAGCCTTTTTTTTTTTTTTTTTTTTTTTTGAGACGGAATCTTGCTCTGTTCCCCAGGCTGGAGTGCAGTGGCGTGATCTCGGCTCACGGCAACCTCCACCTCCCTGGTTCAAATGATTCTCCTGCCTCACCTTCCCAAGTAGCTGGAATTACAGGCACGTGCCACTACACTGGGCTAATTTTTTTTTTTTTTTTTTTTGAGACGGAGTCTCGCTCTGTCGCCAGGCTGGAGTGCAGTGGCGTGGTCTCGGCTCACTGCAACCTCCGCCTCCTGGGTTCAAGTGATTCTCCTGCCTCAGCCTCCCAAGTAGACTCCCAAGGGATTACAGGCACGTGCCACCACACCTAGCTAATTTTTGTATTTTTTTTAGTAGAGATGGGGTTTCGCCATGTTGGCCAGGCTGGTCTTGAACTCCTGACCTCATGATCCGCCCGCCTCGGCCTCCAAGTGCTGGGATTACAGGTGTGAGCCACTGCGCCTGGCCAATATTTTTATTTTTAGTGGAGACAGGGTTTCACCATGTTGGGCCAGGCTGGTTTCGAACTCCTGACCTCAGGTGATTCACCTGCATCGGCCTCCCAAAGTGCTGGGATTACAGGCGTGAGCAACAGCACCCGCCCTCTGCTGGTCATCTCTTTAAGTGTCTTTCTGTCTCTGGTTATCTCTGTCTGTCTACCCCTGTCTCCAGGGCACCATCCTGGGTAATCCCTATCCGTGGCCACACTGGACCTCCCCTCCCATAGCTGGAGGGACAGGGGTAGGGGACAAAAATGGAAAGCCCACAGTGGCCTTGGCAGGAGGGGACATGGGCTAGTTGCAACCTGACCTTTCCAGCCCTCCAGTCACAGGCAAGGAAGTAGGTCCCTGTTTTTCTTTTTATTTATTTATTTATTTATGACACCGAGTTTCACTGTTGTTGCCCAGGCTGGAGTGCAATGGCGCAGTCTCAGCTCACTGCAACCTCCACCTCCCGGGTTTAAGCGATTCTTCTGCCTCAGCCTCCCCAGTGCTGGGATTACAGGCATGCGCCAGGACACTTGGCTAGTTTTGTATTTTTAGTAGAGACGGGGTTTCTCCATGTTGGTCAGGGTGGTCTCAAACTCCTGGCCTCAGGTGATCTGCCTGCCTCAGCCTCCCAAAGTGCTGGGATTACAGGCGTGAGCCACCACGCCCAGCCTAGGTCCCTGTTTTTCAGCAGGGAACACAGAGTCCCAGAGAGCACAGGTTTCCCCCACCCCACAGAGGGACTCTCTTCGCTGCCTCCGTCACCTCCAAAAGCACAAAACTTAACTTCACTTCGATTAACCAAAAACCAAACTCACAGACATAAAAGTGGAGGGTTGGCCCGGTGCAGTGGCTAATGCCTGTAATCCCAGCATTTTGGGAGGCTGAGTTAGGAGGATCACTTGAGGTCAGGAGTTCAAGACCAGTCTGTCCAATATGGTGAAACCCAGTCTCTATTAAAAATATAACAATTAGCCGGGGGTGGTAGTGTGTACCTGTAGTCCCATCTACTTAGGAGGCTGAGCCAGAATTGCTCTAACCTGGGAGACAGAGGTTGCAGTGAGCCGAAATGGCGCCACTGCACTCCAGCCTGGGCGACAGAGCGAGACTCCGTCTCAAAAAAAACAAAAAAAGAAAAAGAAAAAAAAAAGCCAGGCGCAGGGGCTCACGCCTGTAATCCTAGCACTTTGGGAGGCCGAGGTGGGTGGATCACGAGGTCAGGAGATCGAGACCATCCTGGCTAACACGGTGAAACCCCATCTCTACTAAAGGCACAAAAAATTAGCCTGTAGTCCCCAGCTACTCTAGAGGCTGAAGCAGGAGAATGGCATGAACCCGGAAGGAGGCGGAGCTTGCAGTGAGCCAAGATCGTGCCACTGCACTCCAGCCTGGGCAACAGCGCAACACTCCGTCTCAAAAAAAAAAAAACAAAATAGTGGAAGGTTTTCTGAACTTCACTGAAATCCTTCTTCACCAGAAATATCACTTCCTCAAGGACCTTCCTGAAGTTCTGAGTGATTTTGTTTTTTTTTAACTCGTGTCTCCATGAGGACTTCAGTGTCAGTTTTCAGGGAGTGACACAGAGTTGACTTCCTCATGACAGTTTTTCCTTCTCCACTCAAACAAACAAATGAAACCAAATCAATTGTTTTCTGTTTAGAAAAACAAAAGGGTTTAAAAAGCAAGCCTGATTTTCTGATGCCCCTCCAAGGGAATTTGAAGGGATTCATGTGCAAAATTTCCTGTGAACATGACAAATTGTTTTCAGGAAAAAACCCAACACTCACATCAGGGCTGATGCATTTGACTTCATGTAGATTCTTGATCAGGCACTCACATTCTCCCTCCAGATTTTTCTGGCCAAGGACACAAACAGAACATTTTCATAAAGTCCATGTTTGGAGATTTCAGACATCGCAGGCAAAGATGTCAATGAAAACAACCTCTTTGAAGGACAAATTGGTGACAACTATCAAAATGTAAAAATGTGCCCACTTTGAGACCCAGTAATTTCATTCATTTCTGGAAATTTGATTTTCTTTCTTTCTTTCTTTCTTTCTTTCTTTCTTTTTTTTTTTTTTTTTTTTTTTGAGACCGGGTCTCACTCTGTCACCCAGGCTGGAGTGCAGTGGTGTGATCTCGGCTCACTGCAACCTGTGCCTCCTGGATTCAAGCAATTCTCTGCCTCAGCCTCCCAAGTAGCTGGGACTACCACACCCGGCTAATTTTTGTATTTTTTGAAGAGATGGGATTTCAACATGTTGCCCAGGCTGGTCTCAAACTCCTGGACTCAAGTGATCCGCCTGCCTTGGCTTTCCAAAGTGCTTTGGATTACAGATGTGAGCCACCGCACCCAGCCAGGAAATTTGATTTTAAATCTTCTTTTATTTATTGAAAAACTAACTCAGAAAAAATCTAAGTGTCCATTCATAATTTTATGGTACTGTATCTGGTGAAAACCTAAACAGCCAGCCATAGGAGTCAATGAATCTCAAAGACATAATACTGTGCAAAAAGAGGAAGGTCTATCTTTACCTTTTTTTTTTTTTTTTTTTTTGAGATGGAGTCTCACTCTGTAGCCCAGGCTAGAGTGCAGTGGCACGATCTGGGCTCACTGCAACCTCCACCTCCCAGGTTCAAGCAATTCTTCTGCCTCAGCCTCCCGTGTAGCTGGGAGTACTGGCATCCGCCACCATATCTAGCTAATTTTTGTATTTTTAGTAGAGATGGGGTTTCACCATATTGGCCAGGCTGGTCTCGAACTCCTGACCTCGTGATCTACCCGCCTCGACCTCCCAAAGTGCTGGGATTACAGGTGTGAGCCACGACCCCCAGCCTACCCTTTTTGCTAAAAAAAAAAAAAAAAAAAAAAAAAAAAAAAAAAAAAAAAAAATCAGGCCTGGCGTGGTGGCTCACGCCTGTAATCCCAGCAATTTGGGAGGATGAGGTGGGTGGATCACCTGTGGTCAGGAGTTCGACACCAGCCTGGCCAACATGGCGAAAGCCCATCTGTACTAAAAAATACCAAAAAAAAAAAAAAAATTAGCTAGGCATGGTGGTGTGCACCTGTAATCCCAGCTACTCAGGAGGCTGAGGCAGGAGAATCACTTGAACCCAGAGGTGGAGGTTGCAGTGAGCCAAGATCATGCCATTGCATGCCAGCCTGGACGACAAGAGAAAACTCTGCCTCAAAACAAACAAACAAAAAGTTACAAAGTTAAATCAGCTAATATAACAAATGATCCAAAACAGAAACATTACAAATTAAAGGTGTGAGATCAAATTAGAAAAGGACACCAAATATTGTTTTTGGGCTTGATACAAATAACATTGGTATGTATATTTAAAACTCTGCTTCTCACATGGTGACAACTGTTCAAAATTGTGGCACATCAGTACCATCAGGTCCGGGGGGCTTTTTGTTTTCTGGGAGTTTGAGGTTGCCTTTATTTTTCCTTGTCAACTGGTATCACATTCATACATACATAGATGCAACATCTTCTATATACAATGAAGAACAGCCAAGATCTTAAGTGTACACCAAGACCCACATCTACTGGCATTGGCCCAGACACTGCACCCAGCCTCAGCTCCTCTGCTGGACCCTGGTCACCCACACTTCATCCCCATCATGCTCTCCTTTCCCCAGTGCTCTCACAGGCCTGGGGCACCGGCAGCTGGGAATACTGCCCCTCCCCTATGTCTGAGTTCCTCAGCCTGACATCAGAGGCCAGGCATGATCCAGCCCTCACATCTTAAAAAATGCCATCATTGCCCGGTGCGGTGGTTCATTCTGTAATCTCAGCACTTTGGGAGTCCAAGGCAGGTGGATCACCTGAGGTCAGGAGTTTGTGACCAGCCTGGTCAACATGGTGGAACCCCGTCTCTACTAAAAATACAAAAATTAGCTGAGCAGTAGTGCTGCACATCTGTAATCCCAGCTACTTGGGAGGCTGAGGCAGGAGAATTGCTTGAACTCTGGAGGCAGAGGTTGCAGTGAGCCGAGATCGCACCACTGCACTCCATCCTGAGCAATAGAGCAAGACTCTGTCTCAAAAAAAAAAGGCCATCATTTATTAAGACTGAGTATGTTCCAGGCATGACGTCAAGTACTTCAAAACTGGCTATGTTGTTGGCCAGGTGAGGTAGCTCACGCCTGTAATCCGAGCACTTTGGGAGGCCGACGCAGGCGGATCACGAGGTCAGGAGTTTGAGACCAGCCTGGTGAAACCCTGTCTCTACTAAAAATACAAAAAATTAGCCAGGCATGCTGGCGCGTGCCTGTAGTCCCAGCTACTCAGGAGGCTGAGGCAGGAGAATCCCTTGAACCCAGGAGGCAGAGGCTGTGGTGAGCCAAGATAGTGCCACTGCACTCCAGCCTGGGGAACAGTGCCAGACTCCATCTCAAAAAAAAAAAAAAAAAACAAAAAAAAAAAACAAAAAAAACTGGCTATGTTGTCTTCACTTGATTTTTGTTTTGTTTTTGTTTTTTGGGTTTTTTTTTTTTTAGAACAGGGTCTTGAACTTGTGGGCTCCAACGATTCTCCCACCTCTGCCTCCCTAACTGCTGGGATTACAGGTGTGAGCCACTGCACCTGGCTATCTCCACTTCGGACAGGAGAAAACTGAGGCCCAGGGAGGGAAAGTCACTTCTCCAAGGCCACAAAGCTGGTAGGTGGCACAGTCAGAACTCAACTCCAGAACTCTAAACTGTAATGCTGGGTTCACTCAGACTACATTGCCCCCATTACGGAGGATGTTCTCCTCCTGCCCAGCTCTGGGGGGCTCTGGGTGGGTCTGGCCAACCCAGAGAAATGGCTGGTTGGGCACCCGTGGCAGCCCCCAGCCCTCCTTCCCCCACTAGCAGCCGCCGACGACGCCGCTGGGAAGGGTCCGGAATCAGGATCAGGAACCACCGGGTAGCTGCAAAGGTCAAAGGTCAGACATGGGTTTCCTGCCCACCCCTGGGAACTTCCTTCTTCTCAACTCTACACTCGCCTCACTGAGCACCACCCTGGAGTACCCCTCCGCTCTGTCAACGACCCCTCCCCACTCTGTTACCCTGGCTAATGGGGGGACGGGTCCCCACGCCCCAGCCTTCACATTGCCCTACAGAGGACAGCAATTGCATGATTGTCACCTGTCCGGAGTCCAGCCTCCTTTCCGGCTCCCTGCTCCTGTTCCTCCAGCCCACCCTGACTCCACAGGGTGGGGGGTACCTGTCCCAGTCTGTCTCCCAAGACTGGGAGTTGCTTGTGGCTGAGGTTGGGACTGACACCTCTTGGGGGGCCCTGGCATCACCCAGCATGGAGCAAACAAAGAAGGGACTCCAGGGAGGGTTTCCCTGGAGCTCCTGATCCTGGGAGATAGGCAGGACACACAGAATCCTTTGCTTCCGGGTCCCCAAATCCCCTCCAGGCCCAACTGGGGGGTGACCCACAGCGACCCCAGAAAACTCCCGTGGTTTTTTTGGTTTGTTTGTTTTTGTTTTTGAGACAGAGTTTCTCTCTTATCTCCCAGGATGGAGTGCAGTGGCCCGATCTCGCTTCACTGCAACCTCCGCCTCCCGGGTTCAAGTGGTTCTCCTGCCTCAGCTTCCCAAGCAGCTGGGATTACAGGTGCTCGCCACCACACACGGCTAATTTTTGTATTTTTAGTGGAGATGGGGTTTCACCATATTGGCCAGGCTGGTCTCGCACTCCTGACCTCAGGTGATCCGCCTGCCTCAGCCTCACAAAGTGCTGAGATTACAGGTGTGAGCCACTATGCCCGGCCGCCCATGGGGTTTTGAGTGTCGGGGGAGGAATCTCAGTCCCACGTATCCACCACTTGTCATTCACCATCTCACGGAGCCCCCAGCAGTGCCTCCAGCAGGAAATGATCCTAATCATAACAACAGCCACAGAGTGACGAGGCACTGGGTATACCCCGTCTCACAAAGGGGAAAAGGGAGGCACAGACATGCGAGGCCTCTTGCCCGAGCTCTCCCGGGACAAAGCCAGCTCTTCCCCGCTCCAAGTTCATTATTCCTTGTGCTGCAGTTTCCTGGAGCATTTACTGAGCATCTAAGTGAACAGGGCACTGGGGGCAATGACAGAGCTTGGGGAGCCAGCGCCACCGCCATCCATGGCTCAGCCCTCCGTGACGCCCTCCTATGCAATTACTAATCACCTACTGCTTCTCCATCCCTAGGCTAGCTAAGAGTTTCACACTTTTTCTGTTTTTTTTTTTTTTTGAAACAGAGTCTTGCTCTATACCCCAGGCTGGAGTGCAATGGCACGATCTCTGCTCACCGCAACCTCCGACTCCTGGGTTCAAGCGATTCTCCTGCCTCAGCCTCCTGGGTAGCTGGAATTACAGGCGAGCACCACCACACCTGGCTAAGTTTTGTATTTTTAGTAGAGACGGGGGGTTTCACCACGGTGACCGGGTTGGTCTCAAACTTCTGACCTCAGGTGATCCGTCCGCCTCAGCCTCCCAAAGTGCTGGGATTATAGGCGTGAGCCACCGTGCCTGGCACATTTCCCACGTTTTGTGGCACTTAATCAGCACCGCCCTGGTGAAGTGGGTGCACGTCTGTAGCCAGCCTGTCTTGAGGTAAGTCAAGTTCGCTGAACTAACAGCGTGAGACCCCGAGGCAACCCCTTCTCCTCCCTGTGCCTCAGTTTCCTCCGCCACACAAGGGAGACAGCAACAGACCTGGCATGATTCAGCGACCTAATCACAGCAGGTACTGAGAACAGCACCCGCCAGCAAGTAAAGGCGAACGCGAGGCTCGAAGAGGCCAGGAATGCCTGACCAGCCAGCCAGCGCCCCACCCAGCATTAATCAGAGGGGTCCAGCCGGTGCCCTGGCTCTGGGCCCCCAGCCCCACCCCCGCCTTCTCACAGCCAGAGTGGGAGTGTTGTGATAACCCGCAGCCCCCGTTTCCTCCGGGCCAGGAAGGAGCCAGGCAGAGGAAGTATTAAGAGGAGTAATATAAGCACTCCCCCCTGCGAGGCGGGGGCCAGAGCAGGCCTGGTGGTGAGCAGGGACGGTGCACCGGACGGCGGGATCGAGCAAATGGGTCTGGCCATGGAGCACGGAGGGTCCTACGCTCGGGCGGGGGGCAGCTCTCGGGGCTGCTGGTATTACCTGCGCTACTTCTTCCTCTTCGTCTCCCTCATCCAATTCCTCATCATCCTGGGGCTCGTGCTCTTCATGGTCTATGGCAACGTGCACGTGAGCACAGAGTCCAACCTGCAGGCCACCGAGCGCCGAGCCGAGGGCCTATACAGTCAGCTCCTAGGGCTCACGGCCTCCCAGTCCAACTTGACCAAGGAGCTCAACTTCACCACCCGCGCCAAGGATGCCATCATGCAGATGTGGCTGAATGCTCGCCGCGACCTGGACCGCATCAATGCCAGCTTCCGCCAGTGCCAGGGTGACCGGGTAAGGCTGTGGGCAGGACACTCGCCCTGGGGACCCTGAGCAAGCCCCCTCACCTCTCTGAGCCTGAGTTTCCTCATCCAAGAGAGGGGGACGATCACAGGACCAATGCTCTCTTTTCTTATGAGACAGAGTCTCGCTCCGTCTCCCAGGCTGGAGTGCAGTGGTGCAATCTCGGCTCACTGCAACCTCTGCCTCCTGGGTTGGAGTGATTCTCCTGCCTCAGCCTCCCGAGTAGCTGGGATTACAGGCATGTGCCATCATAACCGGCTCATTTTTGTATTTTTAGTAGAGATGGGGTTTCACCATGTTGGCCAGGCTGGTCTCAAACTCCTGACCTCAAGTGATACGCCTGCCTTGGCCTCCCAAATTGTTGGGATTACAAGCGTGAGCCACTGCACCCGGCCGATAGATTTTTTTTTTTTCCTTAAGAGACAGGGTCTCCATGTGTATCCTGGGCTGGATGGAGTGCAATTGCTATCACAGCTCACTGCAACCTCAATCTCCTGGACTCAAGTGATCCTCTTGCCTCAGCCTCCTGAGTAGCTGGGACTACAGGCGTGCACCACCACACCCAGCTAATATGTTTATATTTAGCAGAGATGAGGTCTCACTATGTTGCCCAGGCTAGTCTCGAACTCCTGGGCTCAAGCAATCCTCTCACCCCAGCCTCCCAAACTGCTGGGATTACAGGTGTGGGGCACTGCGTCCAGCTAAATTTTTTTTATTTCTTTTCTTTTTTTTGGAGGCAGGGTCTCACTCTGTCACCCAGGCTGGAGCACAGTGATGTGAGCATAGCTCACTGAAGCCTTGACATCCTGGGCTCCAGCAATCCTCCTGCCTCAGCCTTTTGAGTAGCTGGCACTATGGACATGCCACTATGCCCAGGTCATTTTTTATTTTTAGTAGACGTGGGGTCTCGCTATGTTGATCAGGCTGGTCTTGAACTCCTGGGCTCAAACAATCCTCCCTCCTGGACCTCCCAAAGTGCTGAGATTACAGGTGGGCACCACCACACCTGGCAATTTTTTTTTTTTTTTTTGAGACGGAGTCTCGCTCTGTCACCCAGGCTGAAGTGCAGTGGCACAATCTCGCCTCACTGCAACCTCCACCTCCCAGGTTCAAGTGATTCTCCTGCCTCAGCCTCCTGAGTAGCTGGGATTACAGGCGTGTGCAACCATGCCAGCTAATTTTTGTATTTTTAGTAGAGACGGGGTTTCACCATGTTTGCCAGGCTGGTCTCAAACTCCTGACCTCAAGTGAGCCACCCACCTCGGCCTCCCATAGTGCTGGGATTACAGGCATGAGCCACCGTGCCCTGACCTGGTGCCCTGGCTAACTTTTTTTTAGAGACAGAATCTCACTATGCTGCTGAGGCTGGTCTTGAACTCCTAGGCTCACCCTCCTAAAGTGCTGAGATTACAGGCATGAGCCACCATTCCCAGCCAGCAACATTTTTTTTAAACTGTAAGTATATTCCATGCAATATTTGAGATATAATTTTGAAAATAATATTCATTGTCTTTTTGGAATCCAAGTTTAATTCTCCTCCTGTGTGTTAATTGGCAGTCCTGAGCCCATAACTTACTATGCATGAAGCTCCCAGAATGTGCCAGCACTAATCAAAGGGGTCCAGCACACACAAGCTGCAAATAAGTGGCTGAAGACCGGCTACAGTAGCTCACACCTGTAATCCCAGCACTTTGGGAGACCGAGGCAGGAGGACCACCTGAGTCCAGGAATTTGAGACCAACCTGGGCAACATGGTGAAACCCTGTCTGTACAAAAAGTACAAAAATTAGGCCAGGCATACTGGCTAACACCTGTAATCCCAGCACTGTGAGAGGCCAAGGTGGGTGGATCACTTGAGGTCAGAAATTTGAGACCAGCCTGGCCAACCTAGTGAAACCCCGTCTGTACTAAAAATACAAAAATTATTAGCCGGGTATGGTGGTATGTGCCTGTAGTCCCAGCTACTCGGGAGGCTGAGGCAGGAGAATCACTTGAACCTGGGAGGCAGAGATTGCAGTGAGCCGAGATCTCACTACTGCACTCCAGCCTGGGCAACAGAGGGAGACTCTGTCTAAAAATAAATACATACATACATACATACATACATACATACAAAAATTAGTCAGGCATGGTGGCACATGCCAGTAGTCCCAGCTACTTGGGAGGCTGAGGTGGGAGGATCACTTGAGCCCAGGAGGTCAAGGCTGCAGTGAGCCAAGATAGTGCCACTGTACTCCAGCCTGGGCGACTGAGTGAGACCCTGAATGGAAAAAAAAAAACAAAAAAAGGATGGACTGAATAAAAGTTCACAGTGTTTTGTTCCTGTTCAATTCTAGCATGTATAAACAGTCCATATTTGCTGTATGCTGGGTGTTGAATTTAGAAATATTAACTCATTGCCAAATCCCGGGAAGTAGGGAGAAGCTTTTGTTGTTTTGTTTTGTTTGAGATGGAGTCTCACTCTTTCACCCAGGCTGGAGTGCAGTGGCGCAGTCTCGGCTCACTGCAAGCCCCACCTTCTGCGTTCATACCATTCTCCTGCCTCAACCTCCTGAGTAGCTGGGACTACAGGCGCCCGCCGTCATGCCTGGCTAATTTTTCTATTTTTAGTAGAGACCGGGTTTCACTGTGTTAGCCAGGATGGTCTGGATCTCCTGACCCTGTGATCCACCCGCCTCGGCCTCCCAAAGTGCTGGGATTACAGGCGTGAGCCACCGTTCCCGGCTGTTTTGTTTTATTTTGTTTTGTTTGAGACAGGGTCTCCCTCTGTTGCCAAGGCTGGAGTGCAGTGGAAGGTCTCGGCTCACTGCAACCACTGCCTCCCAGGCTCAAGCGATTCTGTTGCCTCAGCCTCCCGAGTAGCTGGGATTGCAGGTGCGCCCCACCATGCCCGGCTAAGTTTTGTATTTTTAGTAGAGATGGGGTTTCACCATGTTGGCCAGGCTGGTCTCAAACTCCTGCCTTCAAGTGATCCACCTGCCTTGGCCTCCCAAAGTGTTGAGATTACAGGAGTGAGCCATTGCGCCTGGGCAGCAGAAGTTTTAAACCCTTTGCAGGCAGGAAAGTGAAGGCATGAGAGGGGAGGTGACTTTCTTGAGGTGGCAGAAACAGGCGGGCTCTCTGGGCAAAGTCACAGCTGCAAATCTGGGGTCTCCTGGAGACCATCGCGCCACTCTCGCACCCCGGCTTGTGTCAAACTCACTAGACAATTATCCCCGTGTTCTCAGACACAACTTCATCCAGGGGGTGTCCCGCCTGCCCTGAGACATTGTGGGGAGCAGGTGTGGGGCTCTCTCCTTAAGGGTGAGGTGGGTGAGAGATGGGAGGGTGGGGTGAGGGAAGGCTGAAGAGGCAGCTTCAGGGTCTTCCAAGGAGGTGACCTGGCTGGCCAGGGCCCAGGCAGTGGCAAAGACAGACCTCCCATAGGACCTCAGACCACCCAGCCGTCCGCACTGGGCAGGAAGGTAAGCTCAGCCCCCTCAGTCCTGCTCAAGGCAGAACTCAGTCTCCTCACCTCAGACCCCTAATGGCGGGGCCCTACCTCCACCTCAACCCCTCGCCCAGAGCCCCAGGGGTAGGGCCCTGTCTCTATCCGCCAAAACCCCGGGGCAAAGCACCGTCTCCCCAGATGCCCAGAGTATGGTAGGTCTCACCTCAGCCCCCCAAGATGGGGTGGAACACCCCTCAGTCCCCAGGGCATAACTGTGCCCCTCCCTCAGACCCTCCCAATAGGGTCCTGCCTGCCCCTTAGATCCTCAGATTAGAGCCCTGCCTCCCCTCTCAGACCTGAACCTGGCTAACTGGTGTCTTTTCTTTCTTTTTTTTTTTTTTTTTTTTTTTTTTTTGAGACAGAGTCTAGCTCTGTCGCCAAGGCTGGGGTGCAATGGCGCGGTATCCACTCACTGCAACCTCTGCCTCCTGGGTTCAAGCAATTCCCCTGCCTTAGCCTCCCGAGTAGCTGGGTCTACAGGTGCCCGCCAACATGCCCTGCTAATTTTTTTTTTGTATTTTTAGTAGAGACGGGGTTTCACTATGTTAACCAGGATGGCCTCAATTTCCTGACCTCGTGATCCGCCCGCCTTGGCCTCCCAGTGCTGGGATTACAGGTGTGAGCCACTGCACCTGGCCTGTCTTTTCATTTAAAAAAAAATTATTGGCCGGGTGCAGTGGCTCACACCTATAATCCCAACACTTCGGGAGGCCGAGGTGGGTGGATCACTAGGTCAGGAGATCGAGACCATGCTGGCTAACACAGTGAAACCCCGTCTCTACTAAAAATACGAAAAATTAGCCAGGTGTGGTGGTGGGCGCCTGTAGTCCCAGCTACTCGGGAGGCTGAGGCAGGAGAATGGCATGAACCCGGGAGGCGGAGCTTGCAGTGAGCCGAGATTGCGCCACTGCACTCCAGCCTGGGCGACAGAGCGAGACTCCGTCTCAAAAAATAAATAAATAAATAAATAAAAACATTATTTAATTATTTTATTATTATTATTACTATTTTTGACACAGAGTTTCACTCTGTCGCCCAGGCTGGATTGCAGTGGCGCAATCTCAGCTCCCTACAACCTCTGCCTCCCGGGTTCAAGTGATTCTCCTACCTCAGCCTCCCGAGTAGCTGGGATTACAGGCACCCGCCACCAAACCCAGCTAATTTTTTGTATTTTTAGTAGAGATGGGGTTTCCCCATGTTGGCCAGGCTGGTCTGGAACTCCTGATCTCAGGTGATCCACCTGCCTCAGCCTCCCAAGACACCTCTTCTCTATAAAAAATAAACTAAAAATTAAAAAAGAAACTTAAAAATCACATCCTTTTTTTTTTTTTTTTTTTTTAGAGACATGGTGTCACTACATTGCCGAGGCTGGTCTCGAACTCCCAGCCTCAAGCAGTGTTCCCACCTCAGCCTCCTAATGACTAAGGCTTTTGAGAACAGAAGGCATTCCCCATGTCCCCCCAGGACATTCACCCAGGGCCAACTGCAAAAGGATGAAGGACAGAGAGTTGCAGAAAGACAAACTCTCCTGATTCTTCATGTCTTATTATATTTCTGCAGAGGGTTCTCTTCCAAAGTTTGAAAGGCATGGCTTTAGTTTGTTAAATTGTGAACACTTTCTTTAAAAACAGCTTTGCTGGCCAGGCGTGGTGGTTCACACCTGTAATCCCAACATTTTGGGAGGCCAAGGTGGGTGGATTGCTTGAGCTCAGCAGTTTAAGACCAGCCTGGGCAACATGGTGAGACCCCATCTCTATAAAAAATTAGCCAGGAGTGGTGGCACGTGCCTGTAATCCCAGCTACTTGAGAGACTGAGGTGGGAGGATTGCCCGAGCCTGGGGAGGCTGAGGCTGCAGTGAGCTGTGATCACACCACCACACTCCAGCCTGGGTGGCAGAGTGAGACCATGTCTCAAAAAAAATAAAATTAAATTAAAATAAAAATAGCTGGCCGGGCGTGGCAGCTCACGTCTGTAATTCCAGCACTTTGGGAAGTCAAGGCAGGAGACTGAGGCCAGTGGATCACTTGAGGTCAGGAGTTCGAAACCACCTGGCTAACATGGTGCAACCCCGTCTCTACTAAAATACAAAAATTAGCTGGTCATGGTGGTGCACCCCTGTATTCCCAGCTACTTGGGAGGCTGAGGCATGAGAATCACTTGAACCCAGGAAGTAGAGGTTGCAGTGAGCTGAGATCACACCGCTGCACTCTAGCCTGGGCCACAGAGCGAGACTCCATCTCAATAATAATAATAATAATAAATAATTTTTAAAAACAGCTTTATTGATATATAATTCATGTATTTTACAATCCACCTATTTAAAGTGTACAATTTGATGTTTTTGTTTGTTTGTTTGTTTGTTTTGAGATGGAGTCTCGCTCTGTCGCCCAGGCTGGAGTGCAGTGGCGCGATCTCAGCTCATTGCAAGCTCTGCCTCCCAGGTTCACGCCATTCTCCTGCCTCAGCCTCCCGAGTAGCTGGGACTACAGGCGCCCGCCACCACGCCTGGCTAATTTTTTGTATTTTTAGTAGAGATGGGGTTTCACCGTGTTAGCCAGGATGGTCTAGATCTCCTGACCTCGTGATCCGCCCGCCTCGGCCTCCCAAAGTGCTGAGATTACAGGCGTGAGCCACCGCGCCCAGCCAATTTGATGATTTTTTTGTAAATTCACAGAGTTGTACATTGATCACCACGATCCATTTTAGAACATTATTTTAGAACATTTTCACCTTCCCAAAAGAAAACCCACGTCCCCATCAGCAGTCACTTCCCATTCCCCTCCCCCAATCCCTGACAGCCACCAACCTGCTTCCTGTCTCTATGGATTTGCCTGTTCTGGGCATTTCATGTCAGTGGAATCTCACATTCTGTGGCCTTTTGTGTCCGGCTTCTCTCACTTAGGCATCATGTTTTTGGGGTTCACACACACTGCAACATGGATCAGTGCTTCCTTCCTTTTTATGGCTGAATCATGTTCTATGTATGGAAGGAACACATTTTGTGCGTTAATTCATCTGCTGACAGGCATTTGGGTTCTTTCCACCTTTGGCTACTGTGAATCGAGCGGCTGTGGACATTCCTGGCAAGTTGATGTGAGGATGTGTTTCCATTGCTCTGGGTATATGCTGAGAAGTAGAGTTTCTGGGTCACGTGGTAACTATGTTTAACATTTTGAGGAACTGCCAGACTTTCCCAAAGCCGTTGCAACATTGTACATTCTCACTAGTACTGTCTGAGAATTCTGATTTCCCCACATCCTCATCAACACCTGTTACTGTTCATTTTGGGGGTTTATGGGTTTTTAAAATAGCCACCCTCGTGGGTGTGTAGTGGTATCTCACTGTGGTCCTGATTTGCATTTCCGTAATGGCTAATGATTTTGAATATCTTTCTTTTTTTTTTTTTTTTTTTTTTTTTAGACAGACTCTCGCTCTGTCACCCAGGCTGGAGTGCAATGGTGTGATCGTGGCTCACTGCAACCTCCATCTCCCGGGTTCAAGCAATTCTTCTGCCTCAGCCTCCCAAGTAGCTGGGATTACAGGCACCTGCCACCAGGCCTGGCTAATTTTTTTGTATTTTTAGTAGAGATGGGGTTTCACCATGTTGGCCAGGCTGGTCTCGAATGCCCAACCTCAGGTGATCCACCTGTCTTGGCCTCCCAAAGTGCTGGGATTATAGGTGTGAGCCACCGCGCCCAGCCGATTTTGAATGTCTTTTGATATGCTCTTTGGCCATTTGCATATCTTATTTAATTTAATTTTAATTTTTCTTTTTTTTTTTTTTGGACATAGAGTCTCACTCTGTTCCCCAGGTTGGAGTGTGGTGGCACAATCTCATCTCACTGCAACCTCCGCCTCCCGGATTCAAGCGAGTCTCCTGGCTCAGACTCCCAAATAGCTGGGACTACAAGCATGCGCTTCCATGCCTGGCTAATTTTTGTATTTTTAGCAAAGATGGGGTTTCGCCATGTTGGCCAGGCTGGTGGTGGGCAGATCACTTGAGGTTAGGAGTTCGAGACCAGCCTGGCCAACATGGCGAAACCCTGTCTCTACTAAAAATACAAAAATTAGCCAGGTATGGTGGTGCACACCTGTAATCCCAGCTACTCGAGAGGCTGAGGCTGGGGAATCACTTGAACCCGGGAGACGGAGGTTACAGTGAGCCGAGATCGTGCCACTGCACTCCAGGCTGGGTGACAGAGCAAAAAACCCTGTCTCAAAAACAACAACAAAAAAAAAAACAAAAAAAGGTTTTTTTTAAAGACTGTTGTTTGCCTCATGAGATGGTGTTAGCATTTGTATTAATTTGCTAGGGCTTCCATGACAAGGTATTACAGACTGGGTGGTACCAAGATCAAAGTGTTAGCGGGGTTGGTTCCTTCTGAGGCTGTGAGGGAAGGATCTGTTCCAGGTTTTTGTTTGTTTGTTTGTTTTTTTGAGACGGAGTCTCGCTCTGTCACCCAGGCTGGACTGGAGTGCAGAGACGCGATCTCGGCTCACTGCAACCTCCGCCTCCCCGAGTTCAAGCAATTCTCTGCCTCAGCCTCCCCAGTAGCTGAGATTACGGGTGCCCACCAACATGCCCTGCTAATTTTTTTGTATTTTTAGTAGAGATGGGATTTCACCATCTTGGCCAGGTTGCTCTTGAACTCTTGACCTCGTGATCCACCCGCCTTGGCCTCCCAGAGTGCTGGGATTACAGGCGTGAGCCACCATAGCCGGCCTGTTCCAGGTCTTTCTACTTGGCTTGCAGGTGGCATCTTCTTCCTGTGTCTGCTCTTGGTCTTCCTTCTGTCCGTGTCTCTGTGTCCAAATCTCTTCTCTTTATAAGGACATCAGTCATGTTGGATTAGGACCCACCCTAAGGACCTCACCTTAACTTAATTACCTCTCTAAAGACCCTACTTCTGCCAGGAGAGGTGGCTCACGACTATAATCCCAGCACTTTGGGAGGCCGAGGGGGGCGAATCACCTGAGGTCAGGAGTTTGAAACCAGCCTGGCCAACATGGTGAAACCCTGTCTCTACTAAAAATACAAAAATTAGTTCGGCCGAGTGCGGTGGCTCACACCTGTAATCCTAGCACTTTAGGAGGCCGAGGTGGGCGGATCACCTGAGGATGGGAGTTTGAGACCAGCCTGGCCAACATGGAGAAACCCTGTCTCTACTAAAAAATACAATATTAGCCAAGCATGGTGGTGCGTGCCTGTAATCCCAGCTACTAGGGAGACTGAGGCAGGAGAATCACTTGAACTCGGGAGGTGGAGGTTGCAGTGAGCCGAGATCATGCCATTGCACTCCAGCCTGGGCAAAAAGAGCGAAACTCCGTCTCAAAAAAAAAAAAAAAAAAAAAAAATTAGCCGGGCAGGGTGGTGGGCCCCTGTAATCCCAACTACTCGGGAGGCTGAGGCAGGAGAATCACTTGAACCCGGGAGGCAGAGGTTGCAGTGAGCTGAGATCGAGCCATTGTACTCCAGCCTGGGTGATAGAGCGAGACTCTGTGTAAAAAAACAAAAAACAAAAACAAAAAAACCCTACTTCTAAATACAGTCACATTCTCAGGTACTGGGGATACAGTTGAGCTCATAGCAGCATCCTTGTCCAAATCAGTTGACCATAGCCAGGCATGGTGGTGCACACCTGTAATCCCAGCAATTTGGGAGGCTGATGGGGGAGATCGTCACCACCCTGGTAAACATAGTGAAACCCCATCTCTACAAAAACAAATTTAAGGCTGGGCATGGTGGCTCACGCCTGTAATCCCAGCACTTTGGGAGGCCGAGATAGGCGGATCACCTGAGGTTGGGAGTTCAAGACCAGCCTGACCAACATGGAGAAACCCCATCTCTACTAAAAATGCAAAGATTAGCCGGGTGTTGTGGCGCATGCCTGTAATCCCAGCTACTCAGGAGGCTGAGGCAGGAGAATCGCTTGAACTCGGGAGGCGGAGGTTGCAGTGAGCCGAGATCGCGCCATTGCACTTCAGCCTGGGCAACAAGAGCGAAACTCTGTCTCAAGAAAAAAAAAAAAATTTAAAAATCAGTCAGGCGTGGTGGCACAGGCCTGTAGTCCCAGCTACTGGGGAGGCTGAGGCAGGAGAATCACTGGAACCCAGGAGTTCGAGTCTGCAGTGAGCTATGATCACTCCACTGTACTCTAGCCTGGGCAACAGAGTGAGACCCCATCTCTTTAAAAAAAACAAAAAAATTCAGGGCTGGGAGGCCCTGGCAGTTGGATTCTTTGAGCTCAGGAGTTCAAGACCAGCCTCGGCAGCATGGTAAAACCCCCATCTCTAAGGAAAATACAAAAAATTGGCCAGGAGTGGTGGCGCATACCTGTAGTCCTAGCTCCTCGGGAGACTGATGCAAGAGGATTGCTTGAGCCTGGGAGGTCAAGGTTGCAGTGAGCTGAGATCAGGCCACTGCACTCCAGCCTGGGTGACAAAGTGAGACCCTGTCTAAAAAAAAAAAAAAAAAAAAAATTCGAGCCGGGCACAGTGGCTCAAGCCTGTAGTCTCAGCACTTTGGGAAGCCGAGGCGGGCAGATCACCTG
This sequence comes from Homo sapiens, assembly GCF_000001405.40. NCBI lineage: Eukaryota > Metazoa > Chordata > Mammalia > Primates > Hominidae > Homo > Homo sapiens. Next base: position 17,366,868 of record NC_000019.10, on the reverse strand, counting down.
AGATCAGGAGTTCAAGACCAGCCTGGCCAACATGGTGAAACCCTGTCTCTACCAAAAACAAAAAAACAAATTAGCCAGTCGTGGTGGCAGCCACCTGTAATCTCAGCTGCTTGGGAGGCTGAGACAGGAGAATTGTTTGAATCTGGGAGGCAGAGGTTGTGGTGAGCCAAGATTGCGCCACTGCACTCCAGCCTGGGCAACAGCAATAGGAGTGAAACTCCATTTCAAAAAAAAAAAAAAGAAATTCAGTTGACCATAAATGTGGATGTAATATTTTTAAAGTTCATCCATGTTGTAGCATGTATTTATACTTTGTGTCTTTTTATTTCTGGATAGTAGTAACTGTAAAAGCTTTTGAAGATCAGACAAACATCCACTATATTTTTGTTTATTTATTTTTGTTTGTTTGTTTTATTGAGATGGGAGTCTCACTATGTTGCCCAGGCTGGTCTCAAACTCTTGGGCTCGAGTGATCCTCCCACCTCAGCCTCCCAAGTAATTGGGATGACAGGTGTGAGCTGCCACACCTGGCTTCTAACATTCCCTCATAAAGGGACCATGCCCTTGTGAACTCAGCTCACTCTGGCCACCAGGGTGCTCGATCTGGGTCCAGGCAGTCCTGGGGGCAAGACACTAAGCTCTGTCCTGCGTCCTTCCCCTATCTTCCGGGCAGGTCATCTACACGAACAATCAGAGGTACATGGCTGCCATCATCTTGAGTGAGAAGCAATGCAGAGATCAATTCAAGGACATGAACAAGAGCTGCGATGGTGAGTGCTAAGGCTGCAGGGAGCCGGGGTGGTGGACTCCCTGCCCAGTGCTCTCGGCAGCCCCCAATCTTCCTGGGTCTCCTGGTCCTGTTTTCCTTAGCCTTGCTCTTCATGCTGAATCAGAAGGTGAAGACGCTGGAGGTGGAGATAGCCAAGGAGAAGACCATTTGCACTAAGGATAAGGAAAGCGTGCTGCTGAACAAACGCGTGGCGGAGGAACAGCTGGTTGAATGCGTGAAAACCCGGGAGCTGCAGCACCAAGAGCGCCAGCTGGCCAAGGAGCAACTGCAAAAGGTGCAAGCCCTCTGCCTGCCCCTGGACAAGGACAAGTTTGAGATGGACCTTCGTAACCTGTGGAGGGACTCCATTATCCCACGCAGCCTGGACAACCTGGGTTACAACCTCTACCATCCCCTGGGCTCGGAATTGGCCTCCATCCGCAGAGCCTGCGACCACATGCCCAGCCTCATGAGCTCCAAGGTGGAGGAGCTGGCCCGGAGCCTCCGGGCGGATATCGAACGCGTGGCCCGCGAGAACTCAGACCTCCAACGCCAGAAGCTGGAAGCCCAGCAGGGCCTGCGGGCCAGTCAGGAGGCGAAACAGAAGGTGGAGAAGGAGGCTCAGGCCCGGGAGGCCAAGCTCCAAGCTGAATGCTCCCGGCAGACCCAGCTAGCGCTGGAGGAGAAGGCGGTGCTGCGGAAGGAACGAGACAACCTGGCCAAGGAGCTGGAAGAGAAGAAGAGGGAGGCGGAGCAGCTCAGGATGGAGCTGGCCATCAGAAACTCAGCCCTGGACACCTGCATCAAGACCAAGGTGGGCTTGCAGGCCCCAGAGGGAGGCTGCAGTGGAGTTAGGTCCAGATGCCAAGAGGGTGGTGGCGATTTGAACTTGGAGTTGGCTTTGAGGATGGCTTCCTGGTCTAGGTTGGGTGAGTTACAACTCTCTAGGATCAGGCATTAGGATCAGGATAGAGCTTGGAATGGGGATGGCATTGAGAAGAGTGTAGGGTTAAGAATGGAATTAGAGTGCCGTGCGCAGTGGCTCATGCCAATAATCCCAACACTTTGGGAGGCCAAGGTGGGTGGATCGCCTGAGGTCAGGAGTTCGAAACCAGCCTGGCCAACATGGCAAAACCCCGTCTTTGCTAAAAATACAAAAATTAGCCGGGCGTGGTGGCGGGCACCTGTAATCCCAGCTACTCAGGAGGCTGAAGCAGGAGAATCGCTTGAACCCGGGAGGTGGAGGTTGCAGTGAGCCAAGATCGAGCCATTGCACTCCAGCCTGGGTGACAAAACAAGACTCCATCTCAAAAAAAAAAAAAAAAAAAAAAAAAAGACTGGAATTAGAGGTAGGGTGGATATCGGGTCTAGGGTTGGGTGAAGGGTTGGATCTAGAATTTCTGTTGCTTTTGGGTTTGGGTTGAGTTGAGGCATGGAGGGTGGATTTAGGATGGATACTGTGATGACCTGTTGGTGGCTGTCCGCCCTACAGATGGTTATAGGATTGTAGTAATGTGGATGGAGAAGTTTATTGGCATTAGGATTAGGGTAGAGTTTGGAATTAGGAATGACATTGAGAAAGGATTAAGAATTGAGGCTGGCTGGGCTTGGTGGCTCACACTTGTAATCCCAGCATTTTGGGAGGCCAAGGTGGAAGGATAGCTTAAACTCAGGAGTTCAGACCAGCCTGGGCAACATAGCAAGACCCCACCCCAGGCTGGGTGTGGTGGCTCACGCCTGTAATCCTAGCACTTTGGGAGGCGGAGGCAGGTGGATTGCCTGAGCTCAGAGTTTGAGATCAGCCTGGGCAACACGGTGAAACCTCGCCTCTACTAAAACACAAAAAATTAGCTGGGCGTGGCGGCGTGCGTCTGTAATCCCAGCTACTTGGGAGGCTGAGACAGGAGAATCTCTTGAACCCAGGAGACAGAGTTTGCAGTGAGTCAATATCATGCCATTGCACTCCAGCCTGGGTGACAGAGCGAGACTCCATCTCAAACAAACAAACAAACAAAACACAAAACCCCATCCCTACAAAAAAAATACAAAAATTAGGCCGGGCGCGGTGACTCATGCCTGTAATCCCGGCACTTTGGGCGGCCGAGGTGGGTGGATCATGAGGTCAGGAGATGGAGGCCATCCTGGCTAACATGGTGAAATCCCGTCTCTACTAAAAATACAAAAAAAAATTTAGCCGGGTGTGGTGGCGGGCGCCTGTAGTCCCAGCTACTCAGCAGGCTGAGGCGGGAGAATGGCGTGAACCCGGGAGGCAGAGCTTGCAGTGAACCAAGATCACACCACTGCACTCCAGCCTGGGTGACAGAGCAAAATTCTCTCTCAAAAAAAAAAAAAAAAAAATTAGCCGGGTGTGGTGGCACACACCTGTAATCCCAGCTACTTGGGAGGCTGAGAAGTGGGAGGATTGCTTGAGCCCAGGAGGTTGAGGCTGCAGTGAGCCGGGATTGCACCACTGCACTCCAGCTTGAGTGAAAGACCAAGGATGGGAGCAACAGACATCTGGGGTTCCAAAATGGGAAAGGGTGGAAGGGAGGGGGGAAGGGGTTAAAAACCTACATTTTGGGTACTGTGTTCATTGCTTGGGCAATGGGACCATTAGAAACCCAGACCTCTACGACCAGGCGCGGTGGCCCACACCTGTAATCCCAGCACTTTGGGAGGCCAATGTGGGCGGATCACCTGAGGTCAGGAGTTCGAGACCAGCCTGGCCAACATGGTGAAACCCTGTTTCTACTAATAATACAAAAATTAGCCAGGCTTGGTGGCAGACACCTGTTATCCCAGCTGCTTCTTGGGAGGCTGAGGCATGAGAATCGCCGGAACCCAGGAGGCAGAGGTTGCAGCGAGCCCAGATCGCACCACTGCAACTCTAGCCTGGGTGACACAGCAAGACTCCGTCTCAAAAAAAAGAAACCCAAACCTCTGCATCATGCAATATACCCAGTGTAACAAACTGGCACACATCCCCACTGAATCTAAAATAAAATAAAATCTGCTCCCAATTCTAAAAACGAAAAATGAAAGAATCGAGGCTGAGTTTGAGCGTAGGGAGCTGGTGGGTTCTTTTACGGCTGGGATGAGGATTGGGGTTAGGGTCGGAGTTAAAATCCTGTATTTGAGTTGTGTTGAGGAACCGGGGAGTTGGTTTAGTGTTGGGAGTGATACTGGGGTGAGGATGCCTAGAGGAAGAGTTGATGTGAAGGTTGAACTCGTGTTTAAGTTGGGCTGAGATGAGTTTTTGGTCACTGCTGTATCTGGAGCTGATTTGAGTTAAGGTTAGGATTTCACTTAGGATTTCACTGATTTTAGAACTGGGGTTGAATTTGGAATTTGGATGGTGAGAAAAGCTTGCAAATTGAGTCAGGGATGCTTGTAGGGGGTGAGGTTGGGTGAAGAATGATCTAGGATCTCAGTTGCTTCGGGACTGAGTTGAAGCACTGAAGCTGGATTGGAGGCTCTGGTAGCTGGAGGTGGCTGGTCGGTATAGAGATGCTTAGAGGTTGCAGCCAAGGGTGAATTTTGGATTTCACTGGCATTGACATAGGGATTGGTATTGACAATGGGTTAGGAGTTGAGGTTCGGTTGGTTTAGGGTGACTGGTGGAAGGTTGAGTGGGCTTGGAGTTGAGTTGAAGGATTGGGTGACCCTGGGTTATGGCTGGGGACATTGGGGTTGAGTGACGATCAGGGCTGGGTTGAGAGGAAAATTTGGGGTAGATGCCAATCTCGGGGTGGAAGTGGGTTGAGGTGGATTTGGGGTAACTGACCAGCTTAGGACTGTTTCGGGTTAACATCAGGGGCTCCATAGGGCCTTAGGATTGGAGTGAAGTTTGGGTTGGGATTGGAACTGAGGGTGGGTTTAGGATGGGAGCTGGGCAGAGGCTGGGGTCTGGGGTTGAGGAGGTTGAGCATGACATTGCACAAGTGTTTGTAGGAGGACATGTTGGAGCACAGGGCTGGGGCTGGGGAAATGGATATTTTCTCTTTTTTCTTTTTGAGACAGAGTTTCGCTCTGTCACCCAGGCTGGAGTGCAGTGGTACAATCTTGGCTCACTGCTACCTCCGCCTCCCAGGTTCAAGCAATTCTCCTGCCTCAGCTTCCCCGAGTAGCTGCGACTACAGGTGCCCGCCACCAGGCCCGGCTGATTTTTTTTTTTTTATTTTTTTTTATTTTTAGTAGAGATGGGGTTTCACCATGTTGGCCAGGCTGGTCTCGAACTCCTGACCTCAGGGGATCTGCCCACCTCGGCTTCCCAAAGTGTTGGGATTACGGGCGTGAGCCACCACGCCTGGCCCGAAACGGGTATTTTCATAGAGGTTGGGTCAAGAGAATGGTTGGAGTCAGAGTGAGATCTGAAGATATGGTCAGATCCAGTTTATAATTAGGACTGGGTTTAGGCTGAGGCTTGATTCTAAGGGAGATTGACTTTTCACGTTGGGATCAGATTTTAGGTGATTGAGTTCAGAATTGGCTTTGGATTTCAGGTTTTGGGGGATTGGCTCAGGGATATTCCAGGGGTGGCATTTAGGATCGGGGTCCAGTTAGTCTACACGGTAGGTTGGCTTCAGTCTGAAGGGGGCTGTGGTGGGTGAGTAGACTCCGATGGGGTCTTGGGTTGGAACTGGATTCACCCTGAGGCTGTGATGGAGACAGGGGTAGGCCAGCTCTGCAGCATGGGGCCTCAGGACTGCCGAGGTGATCAGTCCCACAAGTCCCCAAGCCATCTTGTGGTGTCCCCAAGTCTTGTGGTGCGTGCAGGTGATTCTATGTTCATGACCATGTATGTCTTTCTACATGGGGTCTGTTACCCTGCCCTGGAAGGACTTTAGAGACGATGGTCTTGAAGGGCATGAAAGCACAGAACCTGGCCGGGTGCAGTGGTTCATGCCTGTAATCCCAGCACTTTGGGAGGCCGAGGCAGGCAGATCACCTGAGGTCAGGAGTTCGAGACCAGCCTGGCCAACATAGTGAAACCCCAGCTCTATTAAAAATACAAAAAATTAGCCAGGCATGGTGGTGTGTGACTGTAGTCCCAGCTACCCAGGAGGCTTAGGCAGGAGAATCGCTTGAACCTGGGAGGCAGAGTTTGCAATGAGCCAAGATCACACCACTGCACTCCAGCCTGGGCAACAAGAGCGAAACTCCGTCTCAAAAAAAAAAAAAAAAAGAAAAAGAAAAGAAAAGAAAAGGCAGAAGCCTGTCTGGGAAGCCCTGGCTCCTACCAACCTCCCTCCATCTTTCTTTCACAGTCGCAGCCGATGATGCCAGTGTCAAGGCCCATGGGCCCTGTCCCCAACCCCCAGCCCATCGGTGAGTGACAAAAGACAGAGCCAAGTAGGGGAGGGGCCCCTTTCCACCTCGAACCCCACCCCAGCCCCACTTTCCCACTCCCCTGGGCTGCCAGCCCATCCCTAGCCCAGGGGCAGGGGCAACTGAAGCTGTAGGTCAAGCCTCACCTCTCTCCCTCCACAGACCCAGCTAGCCTGGAGGAGTTCAAGAGGAAGATCCTGGAGTCCCAGAGGCCCCCTGCAGGCATCCCTGTAGCCCCATCCAGGTAAGGCACTGGGCAGACTGCAGTTGTTCAGTCTTAGAACTGTGGGCAAAGCTAGGACCAGGACTGAGGGTGGAGGGAGGCTGATCTCACACTTGCTTCTTCCTTAATTGAGCACCTGCTGTATACTAGGTCATGTATGGTTGGGCGTGAGGGACACAGCAGTATCCAAGACACACCCAGTCCTGTCCTCATGAAACTCCCTGAGTAGTGGGTTAGACAGTGTCATGATGGGACTACCAAAGAGCCTACAATTATTAGGCACCTACTGGGAGCCCCACGCAGTTCTAAGTACTTTGCAAGATTAATTCATGTAATCTTCACAACTTAACAATAATAGTAGGGCAAACCACTATTCTACCCACTTTCCAGATGAGGAGAGTGAGGCACAGAGAGGGCATGCCCTGTACCCCAGGGAGCACAGCAGAGCTGGGACATGAACCCAGGCCATCGGACCCCAAACAGGCAAGAGAGAGCCTTGGTGAGGAAGAGCTGGAGCATGAGGAGCTGGCCTCAGGGAAAGCAGGGGGAACAGTGTTCTAGGCAGCAGGAACAGCCAGGCCAAAGGCCTGGAGGCTGGACGGGGGTGAGGGAAGGTAATGAGCAGAGGGAGAGAAGGGGGAGTGGCATCCAGGAATGAATCCTGACCTTTACTTTCTAGAAAATGAGTCTCAGCTGGGCACAGTGGCTCATGCTTGGAATCCCAGCTACTCAGGAGGCTGAGGCAGGAGAATTGCTTGAACCTGGGAGGCGGAGGTTGCAGTGAGCCGAGATCATGCCACTGCACTCCAGCCTGGACGACAGAGTGAGACTGTGTCAGAAAAAAAAAAAAAAAAAGAGGCCGGGTACGGTGGCTTACGCCTGTAATCCCAGGCCGAGGTGGGCGGATCATGAGGTCAAGAGATCAAGACCATCTGGCCAACATGGTGAAACCCCATCTCTACTAAAAATACAAAAAGTAGCTGGGCGTGGTGGTATGCGCCTGTAGTCCCAGCTGCTTGGGAGACTGAGGCAGGAGAATCACTTGAACCCGGGAGGCAGAGGTTGCAGTGAGCCGAGATGACACCATTGCACTCCAGCCTGGGAACAGAGCAAGACTCTGTCTCAAAAAAAGAGAGGCTGGTTGCAGTGGCTCACGCCTGTAATCCCAGCACTTTGGGAGGCTGAAGCGGGCGGATCACTTGAGCTCAGGAGTTCAAAACTAGCTTGGCCAACATGGTGAAACCCTGTCTCTACTAAAAAAAAAAAAAAAATACAAAAATTAGCCGGGTGTGGTGGTGGGCACCTGTAATCCCAGCTACTCCGGAGGCTGAGGCAGGAGAATCACTTGAACCCGGGAGGTGGAGGTTGCAGTGAGCCAAGATTGAGCCACTACACTCCAGCCTGGGCAACAAAAAATAAAAATAAAAATAATAAATAAAAAAGAGTCTCAGCTAGGCACTGTGGCTCACACCTGTAATCCCAGCACTTTGGGAGGCCGAGGTGAGAGGATTGCTTGAGCCCAGGAGTTCAAGACCAGTCTGGGCAACATAGCAAAACCCCCTCTGTACAAAAAATACAAAAATTACCCAGGTGTGGTGGTGCGCACCTGTAGTCCGAGCTACTCAGGAGCCTGAGGTGGGAAGATCGCCCGAGTCCAGGAGGTGGAGGCTGCAGAGAGCCAAGATCGCATCCCTGCACTCCAGCCTGGGAGACAGAGTGAGATCCTGTCTTGGAAAAAAAAAAAAGATAGTCTCTGAAGTCAAGGGCCTGGAAATGCTTTGCTAATTGCAAGGTGCCATCCAAAAATGACCGGAGCAAGGGACTAGGGGCCTCTGTAGGAAGCAGCAAGGGCTCCTGGCACACGCTCAGGTCATGGCTTGCTGCCTGTGCCCCCTGCCTCCTCCCAGAGTCAGTCACTTCTCAGAGGGTGGCCTGTGCGTCACAGGGATGGTGACTCAGGCCACCGCCCCAAGAATAGCCTGTGCTCTCTCTGGGGTCCTGCTACACCACTGACGGAGGAGTCAGGGCCTGGCATTGCTGTTTGCAGTTTAGGACCCGAGGCTCAGGAAGGCACCAGAACTTTAAGTCAGATCCCTTTGACCCCAACCACTGTGCCTATGACCATTTTGCCACGGAGCTATTGTCATTCTGGGTCTGTTGCAGCCTCAGAGGGCTAATATGGGATTTCTGGCCAAGTAGATTTCCGAAAGCTTTGCCGCCAACTCCCCAGGATGCATCATGTCCAGCTCCATTTCCACCTCTTCTTCTTTTTTTTTTTTTTCCTTCTTGCATACCCTCTCCAACAGGGAGCTCACTCCCTCGCCAAGCTGTCTCTCAACCCCTTTGCTCTAGATGGCTCTGTCTGGGAGAAAGTTCTCAGCCCTGAGCAGCCCACAGGGAGGGAAACAAAAAGGTGAGGAGGAGATTCCCCGCTCCAAGCAAACACAATTTTCCTCTCTCCATCTTGGCCGAAAGCCCTCATGGCAAGGAAGGAGGTTCTATTATTATCCCCACTTCTCAGAGGAGGAAACTGAGGCCCCAGGGAAGTGAGCAGCCTGGGGTCACACAGTGGAGAATCAGGGCCAGGCCCGGGCTCCCAGCCCAGGACTGTCAGGGCCTCGGCTGAGAACCAGGGAAGCTCTTGACATTGTTTACCCCGAAATGACGTCCACCTGCCGAGAAAACAATGTGTACTTAAGCCTGGACCTTGCCTGCTTCTCTCCTCACGGTCGCAGGAAGGGCTTCTGGCCTGCTGGCTTCTGCCCTTGACTCGCCTTCCCCTGAGAGAGGCCGGGGGCAAGTGGGCTGGGGCTGTCTGCTCTGGGTTAACTGGGCAACTTGGGGAGAGTCACTGGAATTTTATTTTTTTAATCATTATTTTTTTCGAGACAGGGTCTTGCTCTGTCACCCAGGCTGGAGTGCAGTGGCACGATCATAGCTCACTGCAGCCTCGAACTCCTGGGCTCAAACAATCTTCCTGCCTCAGCCTCCCCAGTGGTTGAGCCTACAGGTACACTCCACCATGCCTAGCTAAATTGTTATTTTTTTGTAGAGACAGGGGTCTTGCTATGTTGCCCAGGCTGGATTTGAACTCCTGGCCTCAAGTGATCTTCCTGCCTCGGCCTCCCAAGTAGCTGAGTCACTAGAATTTTAGATGCACCTAATGAGGTGCTGGGACAAGACTCAGCATTAAATCACCCACCTCATGCATCGGGAGAGTTGATTTTTCCTTTTCCACTCCTTTTTCTTTTTTTTGAGATGGACTCTCACTCTGTCTCCTAGGCAGGAGTGCAGTGGCGCAATCACAGCTCACTGCAACCTCCGTCTCCTGGGTTAAGCAATTGTCCTGCCTCAGCCTCCTGAGTAGCTGGGATTACAGGAGTGTACCACCACACCTGGCTAATTTTTGTATCTTTTTCTACAAAATTTGTAAAAATTTTGGGGTTTCACCATGTTGGCCATGCTGGTCTCAAACTCCTGGCCTCAAGTGATCCGCCCTCCTTGGCCTCCCAAAGTGCTGGGATTAGAGGTATAAGCCACCCCCTCCGGCCTCCACTCTTACTTCTTCTTCTTTTGTTTTTTTGTTTTTGAGACGGAGTTTCTCTCTCGTTGCCCAGGCTGGAGTGCAATGGCCCGATCTCAGCTCACCGCAACCTCCACCTCCTGGGTTCAAGTGATTCTCCTGCCTCAGCCTCCCAAGCAGCTGGGATTACAGGCATGCGCCATCACGCCCGGCTAATTTTGTTTTTTTAGTAGAGACGGGGTTTCACCATGTTGGTCAGGCTGGTCTCGAACTCCCGACCTCAGGTGATCCACCCACCTCAGCCTCCCACAGTGCTGGGATTACAGGCGTGAGCCATCACACCCGACCCACTCTTATTCCTTCTAAGCCTTGATAAAATCTCAGTTTAGTGGGACAAAGTGGCTCACGCCTGTAATCCCAGCACTTTGGGAGGCTGAGGAGGATGAATTGCTTGAGTCTAGGAGTTCAAGTCCAGCCTGGGCAACATAGCAAGTCCTCGTCTCTAAGAGAGAAAAAATAAAATTCTCATTAATATAGTGTTTAGTTTAAAAAAATAAAATAGACAAAGCCTTAGCTGGTATTAACTTGCTCTAACGGCTTCCAGACACTTGCGCATCTCCCGTGTTCCCAAATCGATGGCCGACGCAGGGCCCCACATCAGCTGGGCTTCGGCGTGAGGTCTTGCTCTTATGGAAAAAAAATCTTTCTTTTTCTTTTTAGATGGAGTCTCACTCTGTCGCTGGGCTGGAGTGCAGTGGCGCAATCTCTGCTCACTGAAACCTCTGTCTCCCGGGTTCAAGCGATTCTCATGCCTCAGCCTCCCGAGTAGCTGGGATTACAGGCACGTGCCAGCATGCCCGGTTATTTTTTGTATTTTTTAGTAGAGACAGGGTTTCACCACATTAGCCAGGCTGGTCTCGAACTCCTGACCTCAGGCAGTCCGCCCGCCTTGGCCTCCCAAAGTTCTGGGATTACAGGCATGAGCCATGGTGCCCGGCCTATGGAAAATTTTAAAGTCATTTTCTGTTGGTGATGTGTGCGCCAGCTTTCCTTTACTTGATGAGACTGAGTGTCCCTTCCTGCAGATCACATGAGGCAGAGCAAAAACAAAAACAAACAAAAAAAGAAGTAGAGACTGAGTGTCTTTGGAAATCAATGTAAGTTTCTTTAAAAACGATATAAAGACAGTAATGGCTGGGTATGTTGGCTCACACCTGTAATCCCAGAACTTTGGGAGGCTGAGGCGGGCAGATCATGAGGTTAAGAGTTCAAGACCAGCATGGCCAACATGGTGATACCCTGTCTCTACTAAAAATACAAAAAATTAACTGGACATGGTGGAGTGTGCCTGTAATCCCAGCTACTCGGGAGGCTAAGGCAGGAGAATTGCTTGAACCAGGACCTGGGAGGTGGAGGTTGCAGTGAGCTGAGATTGCACCACTGCACTCCAGCCTGGGCTACAGAGCGAGACACTGTCTCAAAAAAAAAAAAAAAAATTAACCAGGCATGATGGCATGCACCTGTAGTCCCAGCTACTTGGGAGGCTGAGGCAGGAGGACTGCTTGAGCCGAGGAGTTCAAGGCTGCAGTGAGCTATGATCACGCCACTGCACTCCAACCTGGGTGACAGAGGAAGACCCTGCCTCTAAAACGTTTTTTAAATGGCAAATATTAAGTAAATCTTGGTCCAGGAGCTATGTGGCTGAATATGGCAAAAATTGCAATGGGAAGAGCTTTTTTTAAAAAAGATTTTATTATTTATTTTATTATTATTATTATTATTATTATTATTATTATTATTTTGAGATGGAGTCTCACTCTGCCACCCACGCTGGAGTACACTGGTGTGATCTCAGCTCACTGCAACCTCCACCTCCCAGGTTCAAGCAATTCTCCTGCCTCAGCCTCCCGAGTAGCTGGGATTACAGGTGCCCGCCACCAGCCTGGGTGATTTTTTTTGTATTTTTAGTAGAGATGGCGTTTCACCATGTTTACTAGGCTGGTCTTGAACTCCTGATCTCAGGTGATCTGCCCGCCTCAGCCTCCTAAAGTGCGAGGATTACAGGCTGGGCCACCACACCTGGCCAAGATTTTATTTTTATTTTTAATTTTAATTTTTTTTTTTTTTTGAGACGGAGTCTTGCTCTGTCACCCAGGCTGGAGTGCAGTGGCACGATCTCGGCTCACTGCAAGCTCTGCCTCCCGGGTTCACGCCATTCTCCTGCCTCAGCCTCCTGAGTAGCTGGGACTACAGGTGGCCACCACCACGCCCGGTTAATTTTTTGTATTTTTAGTAGAGGCGGGGTTTCACTGTGTTAGCCAGGATGGTCTCGATCTCCTCATCTCGTGATCCGCCTGCCTCGGCCTCCCAAAGTGCTGGGATTACAGGTGTGAGTCACAGCGCCCGGCCCTTTTTTTTTTTTTTTTTTTGAGACAGAGTCTCGCTCTGTTTTCCAGGCTGGAGTGCAATGGTGCCATCTCGGCTCACTGTAACCTCTGCCTCCCAGGTTCAAGTGATTCTCCTACTTCAGCCTCCCGAGTAGCTGGGATTAAAGGCATGCACCACCACACCCGGCTAATTTTTGTATTTTTAGTAGAGACGGCGTTTCGCCATGTTGGCCAGGCTGGTCTTAAACTCCTGACCTCAGGTGATCCGCCCACCTCCGTCTCCCAAAGTGCTAGGATTACAGGTATGAGCCACTGCGCCTGGCATTATTTTCTTAATCTTTTTTATTTTTTGAGAGAGTCTTGCTGTGTTGCCCAGGCTGCAGTGCAGTGGTGTGATCTTGGCTCACTGCAACTCCCACCTCCTGGGTTCAAGCAATTCTCATGCCTCAGCCTCCCAAGTAGCTGGGATTACAGACATGCATCACCAGGCCCGGCTAACTTTTGTATTTATAGTAGAAATGAGTTTTCACCACATTGGCCAGGCTGGTTTTGAACTCCTAGCCTCAAATGATCCCTCCACCTCGGCCTCCCAAAGTGCTGGGATTACAGGCATGAGCCACCGCGCCCGGCCGTATGGGCTTAAGATGGGAGTCCAGCCCTGGCTCTGAGCTGGACACGTGGTTAATGTTGTTCAAGTTCACTGTTAACGCCTCTGATGATTCGTGTGTCCATTCGAGCCGTATTTATTGAGCAGCTGCTGGTAACCGGGCATGGTGCTGGGTGCTGGGAACAAGGCACAGAAACCCGCTGCCCTCATGGGGCTCACAGTCTAGTGGGAGAGATGGATAATAAATTAGATGAACGGGTCACTCAAGGGTCCTTTGGTGATGGGCGAGACAGAGAAAGGGGCAGGAAGCGTAAGAAGGTTGGAACTTTCTACCAGAGACAGGGCAGGCTACACCGAGGAGGTGATATTGAAGCAGAGACCCAGAGGAGGTGAGGGAGGAGCCATGGGGGGATCCCAGGAAGGGTGCACCAGACAGAGGACACAGCCAGGGCAAAGGCCCCAAGGTGGGACCGTGCCTTGTGTGTTTGAGGGAAGAGGCCGGTGTGGCTGGAGTGGAGTGATGGAGGGGAACGGGAGGAGGAGGTGAGGGCAGGGAAGTGATGGGAGCTGATCAAGCCCTGCCTGTGGCTGCTGTGAGGACCTGAGCAGACGGGGGATGTGCATGACCCAGTTCAAGCATCCACAAGTTCCTCTGGTCACTGTTGGGGAACAGACTACGGGACAAAGAGCTGGGGACCAGGACAGAGGGATGTGCATTGACCCAGTTCAAGCAAAGATGGAGCCTTGCAGGCTGGCAGCAGGGACAAGAGCTGGGTAAATGCTGGTTGAGGATGGAGTCTGGGGCCAGGGCCAGGGCCCAGAGCCAACCAAGGAACGTGAGGCCACTCGGGCCCCAGGGAAGAGCCGGGGAAGGAAGGGAGAGGACCAGCGGAAGCGGGACTTAGCCACAGCCCCCTCCTCCCCCAGCAGGAAACAGGCTCTAAGCCAACCCCTGACCCCTCGCAGGAACCTCTGCCAGGCCCAGGAGGGGGAGGGCATCCCAGATAGCAAGACAACTCCGATCGTGCAAAGGCGGTGGGGCCGGAGGGTGCGGAAGCAGTGTGATGGCTCTTGGAATTGTTGGGTCTTTGGCACAGCAGGAGTCCCTGATGGGGAGGCCTGGCAGGGGCAGAGGGGTGGAGCCCTGAATGCCACGTTGTAAGGTTTGGACTTTCTCCTGAGGGCACTGGGGAGCCATGGAGGACATGTGAGCAGGAGCAGGCAAAAGAGGGAGACCGAAGCCTTGCCTTGGGAACCAGTGTAGGGGTCTGGGGGAGCAGAGGCTTTGGGGTAAATTCTCAGTATCCCCAGAATGTTGGGAGGCACTGGGGAGAGTCAAACAAGCTGTAGCAGAGGCTTGGGGCTCGTGAAGTGTGGCCACTCTGAATCTCAGTCTCTTCATCTGTATAATGGGGAAGAACACACCTCAGTCTCACCATTCACCATCCTGGGGAGGTTCAACACATGAGCGTCTCATGGAGAGGCTGAACCCGAAGGAGCCCTGGGGTTCTGAGGAAGAAGTAGGGGCCCAGGGTGGTAGGAGGCAGGGCCGGGGTCCCCAGGATGTTGTGTCCCCGCTGAGGACGAGCCTCCAGGGCCCGGCGAGGTTTGCCCTTCCCTCTGTCTGACACTCTGTTGTGTTACCATCCCCTTCCTGCCCTAGTGGCTGAGGAGGCTCCAGGCCTGAGGACCAAGGGATGGCCCGACTCGGCGGTTTGCGGAGGATGCAGGGATATGCTCACAGCGCCCGACACAACCCCCTCCCGCCGCCCCCAACCACCCAGGGCCACCATCAGACAACTCCCTGCATGCAAACCCCTAGTACCCTCTCACACCCGCACCCGCGCCTCACGATCCCTCACCCAGAGCACACGGCCGCGGAGATGACGTCACGCAAGCAACGGCGCTGACGTCACATATCACCGTGGTGATGGCGTCACGTGGCCATGTAGACGTCACGAAGAGATATAGCGATGGCGTCGTGCAGATGCAGCACGTCGCACACAGACATGGGGAACTTGGCATGACGTCACACCGAGATGCAGCAACGACGTCACGGGCCATGTCGACGTCACACATATTAATGTCACACAGACGCGGCGATGGCATCACACAGACGGTGATGATGTCACACACAGACACAGTGACAACACACACCATGACAACGACACCTATAGATATGGCACCAACATCACATGCACGCATGCCCTTTCACACACACTTTCTACCCAATTCTCACCTAGTGTCACGTTCCCCCGACCCTGGCACACGGGCCAAGGTACCCACAGGATCCCATCCCCTCCCGCACAGCCCTGGGCCCCAGCACCTCCCCTCCTCCAGCCTCCTGGCCTCCCAGCCACTTCCTCACCCCCAGTGCCTGGACCCGGAGGTGAGAACAGGAAGCCATTCACCTCCGCTCCTTGAGCGTGAGTGTTTCCAGGACCCCCTCGGGGCCCTGAGCCGGGGGTGAGGGTCACCTGTTGTCGGGAGGGGAGCCACTCCTTCTCCCCCAACTCCCAGCCCTGCCTGTGGCCCGTTGAAATGTTGGTGGCACTTAATAAATATTAGTAAATCCTTCAAAGACTCCAGAAGCGTGATTTCTGCTTTTAAAGGTACCACATGGTTTCTGGGCATGCTGGCTCACGCCTGTAATCCCAACACTTTGGGAGGCCAAGGCGGGAGGATCACTTGAGGTCAGGAGTTCGAGACCAGCCTAGCCAACATGGTGAAACCACATCTCTACTTAAAATACAAAAATTAGCTGGGCGTGGTGATGCACGCCTGTAATCCCAGCTACTCGGGAGGCTGAAGGAGGAGAATCTCTTGAACCCGGGAGGTGGAGGCTGCAGTGAGCCAAGATCGAGCCACTGCACCCTAGCCTGGGCAACAGAGCAAAAAACAAAACAAAACACAACACAACAACAACAACAACAACAAAAGTACCACATGGCTATGAAGGAGAAAAGACTGGAAAGAAGATGAAAGCCAGGGAACCTCCTCCCCAACTCCTCCAGGCCACAAGACCCTTCAACCTGGAACAAACGTTGGGGGACACCAGCAGCCCCCAAGGCACAGGCATCTCTATACACAAAGGGAAATAGCAGAGTCATAGCCAAAGAGGGTTTAATGCAGTGGCTACAAGGCACAGCATCATGACGGCAATGCTGTTAAATTTAGTGTTTCCTTTAAACAGCAGGCCAAGAAAGATGTCTCACATCTGTAATCCCAGCATTTTGGGAGGCTGAGGCTGGAGGATCGCTTGAGCTCAGGAGTTCAAGAACAGCCTGGGCAACATAGCAAGACACTGTCTCTACAAAAACCTTAAAAATTATCCAAGCATGGTGATGTGCACCTGTGGACCCAGCTAATCTGGAGGCAGAGGTGAGAGAATTGCTTGAGCCCAGGATTTCAAGACCAGTTGTGGCAATATAGTGAGAACTTGTCTTTACAAAAGATTTTAAAAATTAGCCAGGCATGGTGGCACACGCCTGTAGTCCCTATAATCCCAGCACTTTGGGAGGCTGAGGTGAGTGGATCACCTGAGGCCAGGAGTTTAAGACCAACTTGGCCAACATGGCAAAACCCCATCTCTACAAAAAAACACAAAGCCAGGCGTAGTGGTGTGCGTCTGTAATCCCAGCTACTCGGGAGGCTGAGGCACGAGGACCTCTTGAACCCTAGGAGGCGGAGGTTGCAGTGAGCCGAGATCACGCCACCGCACTCCAGCCTGGGCAACAAAGCAAGACCCTGTCTCAAAAAAAAAAAAAAAAAAAGAAAGAAAAAAGAGAAAGAAAGTTCTAGGTTTGCAAAGAATTCTCCAGAAAAGGTACCAGTGTCCAGTTTAAAGACACTTTGGCTCACTGCTATCACTAAATTAGCCAGTAGTCAGGGAAAAGCAAATCGAAAGAACACAGGGAAATCACATTGCACCCAGCAGACTGGGAAAATGTCTTTTCAAGGTCATAACACCCAACACCTACTGCAAGTAAAGGTGTAGAAAAAAGGTCCTTTTCCTACAAGACTGGTAGAAATTCAAGTCCTGTAATAGCCCTTCCAGAAACTAGTTTAGTGAAACGTAATAAAATCAGGCTGGGTGCAATGGCACATTCCTGTAATCTCAGCACTTTGAGAGCCCTAGGTAGGAGGATCGCTTGAGCGCCAGAATTCGAGGTCAGCCTGGGCAACATAGCGAGACCTCGTCTCTACAAAAAATTTAAAGAAAACCAGGTGTGATGGTGCGTTCTTGTAGTGCCAGCTACTTGGGAGGCTGAGGTGGGAGAATTGCTTGAGCTCAGGAGCTGAAGGCTGCAGTGGGCTCTGATTCCACCACTATGCATCAACTTGGGTGACAGAGCAAGACCCTGTCTCAAATGAATGAATGCACAAAACTTTGACTCTGTAACCCCATCCCTGGGGCTTTATCTCTAACAAGTAAAAACTTCAGGACATAAAGCCAATGGCCATCAGGAAAAACAGCCTTAAAATCGCTGTCTAGGGCCGGGCATGGTTGCTCATGCCTGTAATCCCAGCACTTCGGGAGGCTGAGGCGGGCAGATCATTTGAGATCAGGAGTTCGAGACCAGTCTGACCAACGTGGTGAAATCCCATCTCTGCTAAAAATACAAAAAAATTGGCCAGGCGTGATGGTGCATGCCTGTAGTCCCAGCTACTTAGGAGGCTGAAGCAGGAGAATCGCTTGAACCCAAGAGGCAGAGGTTGCAGTGAGCCGAGATCGCGCCACTGCACTCCAGCCTGGGCGACAGAGCGAGACTGCATCTCAAAAAAAAGAAAGAAAGAAAGAAAGAGAGAGAGAGAGAGAGAGAGAGAGAGAGAGAGAGAGAGAGAGAGAGAGAGAGAGAGAGAGAGAGAGAAAGAAAGAAAGAAAGAAAGAAAGAAAGAAAGAAAGAAATCACTGGCTAGGATCTCAGCTTGTCTCCTCCCCCAACACCTCCCATCCTCTCAATCCCTCAATTCCCTCCCAGCCCATCCCCTGGGGTCCTGGACTGGGACGGATGAGTCACAAGGACCTGGGAGCTGGCAGCGCCACGCTTAGGGCAGGCTAGTCTGGAGGGACAAAGGAACGATATTTCCGGGATACGGAAACAAGGGCGAGAGATGGTCACCGCAGGAAGCGCTCAGCTGGGGCTCTGCCAAGACAGAGTAGGGGGGTCAGCCTGGCCAGACCGCCCAGACGGGCTGAGCTGGAGGCCCCAAGGAAGCGGGGACATCCCTGCCCCTAAGCCTACTGCCAGACAGCCCAGAGTCCTTAGGGGGAGACATTGATGCCAGCCAGTCCTAACCATCCCAGAAGACCTGATTTAGGATTTCAGAGCCAAACATCCCTGGGTTTGAATCTTGGCTCAGTCAATCCTAGCCTCCATTTTCTCATCCAAGCATTGGGTGTAATAATAATAACTCTAAGGTCAGGCATTGTTTTTATAAATAAAGTTGTATTAGGGCTGGGCACGGTGGCTCATGGCTATTATCTCAGCGCTTTGGGGGATCGAGATAGGAGGATCGCTTGAGTCCAGGAGTTTGAGACCAGCCTGAGAAATTTAGCAAGACCCTATGTCTAGCAAAAATTTAAAAATTAGCTGGGCATGGTGGTGCGTACCTTTAGTCCCAGCTACCTGGGGGGCTGAGGCAGGAGAATCACTTGAGTCCAGGAGTTGGAGGCTGCAGTGAGCTAGGATTGCACCACTGTACTCCAGCCGGGGCGACAGAGCAAGACCCTGTCTCTAAAATAATAATAGTAATAATTCTAAACTCTCCAGACACATGGGCACAGGCCTCTGGTCCTTTGTCTGTTTTGCCTTCCAGAGCATTCCAGGAGCCATCATCCCTCTAACCGATCCCAGTGACCTGGCCCTGGCTCAGCCCCTGTACACTTGCACCTCAGCTGCTGCCTCTGGTATGGCTCCTGTGCTGGTCCAGAGGAGTCTTTCCATTACAGACTCTGTCCAAGTCCCTCTCCTGCTCACACACTCTCCATGGCTCCCTATTACCCTTAGAACAAAGTCTAACTCCTTAGCACATCTGTGACTCCCCTTTTGCCTCCTCCTATCCTGGACTTTTTAATTCTTTGTAAAAGACTCAACATTCATTAATTTGTGCTGTGCCCTTGGATTAGAAAGTCTTTTTCATGTCTAACGAACCCTTCTACCTCTGAAGCCCAGCTCCAGAGACCCCCTCCTCCAGGCAGCCTTTCTTGAAGTCCCAGATATAGCCCTTGCTTCCCCTTTTGGAAACCTCTCTCCCAGCCTCATCCCTCCCTCTTTCCAGCTCTGACCCTAAAGCTCTGACTGTCCCAGGCTGGTGACTCCTCAGGAACCGGGTGGGGGCTGAATACAGGGGGTGGGGGTCGAGCAATTGGCCGATCAGGCCCCCTTCCTGACCCTGAGGTCCAACCGCCTGGCGAGTCTCAGACTCTTTGGGGATTTCCTGCAGCCTCTATAAATAACCCCCATGGCTGCTTCCCACAAACCACCTCACCCTTCTTGGAAAAAAAGGATTGTAGCCAAGGACCTCAGGCCAGCTGTGTGCCAGGGCCCCAGGGAAGGCAGGCGGGGCCCCAGCATCCTGTCCAAAGAGCATCTCCAATCCCACCCAGGCACAGGCCCAGCTCACCCCTCCTGGGAGCCTTCAGGACCCTCCCCACTTCAAGCCCACCCCTCACGCCCAGATCTACATTATTGCTTTTCTTCTCTGGGCATCGGTTTGGTTTCCTGATGGGGCCAATAGTAACATCTGTGGACTCAGCTCATGGTGTGACCCTTTCCACTCTGGCCACCGCCCCTCCAGCCCCAATTTGTTGATTTGGTTGAACAAGCAAGGAAATGAACAAATAGTGACATACTGCCAGGAACCCTGTAAATAAAATCAGGCCTGGGTCTCCTCTAGTTGGGTGGTTGGGAAACTCTGGTGGCCTCCTTTGGCCCTTGTCATGCCCTCTGTCTGCCCGGGATGTCTCCCAGGCTCTGTGTCCCCTGAAACCAGAGAGTTTCTATCTTCAACCACTGGAGGTGGAGATCTTTTTCTTTTTTTTTTTTTTTTAATGTGAGATGGAGTCTCACTCTGTTTCCCAGGCTAGAGTGTAGTGGCGCCATCTTGGCTCACTGCAACCTCCGCCTCCCAGGTTCAAATGATTCTCCTGCCTCAGCCTCCCGAATAGCTAGGATTACAGATATGCACCAGCACGCCCGGCTAATTTTTGTATTTTTAGTAGAGACGGGGTTTCACTACGTTGGCCAGGCTGGTCTCCTGACCTCAGGTGATCCACCCACCTTGGCCTCCCAAAGTGCTGGGATTACAGGCGTGAGCCACCGCGCCCGGCCCTGAGGTCTCCTTCAGTTGGGTGGTCAGAAACTCTGCGGGCCTCCTTAGGCCCTTTTCGTGCCCTCTCTCTGCCGCGGATGCCTCCCAGGCTCTGTGTCCACTGAAATCAGAGTTTGTATATTCAACCACTGGAGGTGGAGATCTTTTTCTGATTCCAGAAAAGATCCTGATTCTCTTCGAGACTCAGTTTCCACCCCAGTCAGGGGAAGTTAACCATTCACATGCCACCAGGTGAATGCGGAAGGCCTAGATCCGCTGAGGGTGGGGCACCGGGAGCGCTGATGGGAGGATTGCTGGGGACCGCCTCACTTAGCGCGACGCGCCCTCTGCTGGTCGGTCCCCGCCACGTCAGGCTCCCCGAAGAATCTCAGACGAACCTCTGCCTATCAGACCCCTCCATCCATCCCTTCTCCAATGGTCTCCCTCCTCTTTCTCCTCCTTTCCTCTGCTCCAGCCACTCTGACCACCTCTGGCCGGGCGCGGTGGCTCTCGCCTGTAATCCCAACACTTTGGGAGGCTGAGGCGGACAGATCACTTGAGGTCAGGAGTTTGAGACCAACCTGGGCAACATAGCAAGATCCTGTCTCCATGAAAAAAATTTAAAAATTAGCCGGGCATGGTGGTTGTGGTCCTAGCTATTCAGGAGGCCGAGGTGGAAGGATCAACTGAGCCCAGGAGGTTGAAGATTACAGTGAGCCATGATTGTACCACTGCATTCCAGCCTGGGTGACAGAGTGAGACCCCACCCCAACCCCCCCCCAAAAAAAGGGCCAGGCATAGTAGCTCACACCTGTAATCCCAGCACCTTGGGAAGCCAAGGCAGGAAGATTGCCTGAGCCCAAAAGCTTAAAACCAGCTTGGGCAACATAGTGAGAACCCATCTCTAAAAGAAATTTAAAAATTAGCTGGGCGTGGTGGCGCATGCCTGTAGTCCTAGCTATTCAGGAGGCTGAGGTGGGAGGATCACTTGAGCCCAGAAGATGGAAGCTACAGTGAGCCATGATCGAGCCACTGCAGTCCAGCCTGGGTGAAAGGGAGAGGCCTTGTCAAAAAAAAAAAAAAAAAAAAAAAAGGTCGGGCGTGGTGGCACATGCCTGTAATCCCAGCTACTTGGGAGGCTGAGGCAGGAGAATTGCTTGAACCTGGAAGGCGGAGGTTGCAGTGAGCCACAATCACGCCACCGCACTCCAGCCTGGGCGACAGAGCAAGACCCTGTCTCAAAAAAAAAAAAAAAAAAAAAGCAAACAAACCAACAAAAAAACCTGACCATCTCACTATTCCTTGAACACACCGCGAAGTTCCTGAATCAGTGGGATATGTAATCCAGTGAAATATGTGTCAGTGGGATATGCATATGAAGGGATTTGCATATTCAGTGCCCTCTGCCTGGGGTGCCCTCCCCAGACTCCTCCATCTGACATCCTCACCATTCAGATCTCAACACTCATCACCTCTGCCAGGCAGCCCACTTTAAGTTGCCTGACTAGGTCACTTCTCCTCTTTATGAGCTTCAAAGAAGCCATCAGGCCAGGCACGGTGGCTCACACATGTGATCCCAGCACTTTGGGAGGCTGAGGTCTCAGGATCACCAGAGGCCAAGAGTTTGAGACCAGCCTGGGCAACACAGCAAGACCCCCATCTTTACTTAAAGAAAAAAAAAAAAAAGGCTGGGCACGGTGGCTCACGCCTGTAATCCCAGGCATTTGAGACCAGCCTGGCCAACATGGTGAAACCCGTCTCTACTAAAAATACAAAAATTAGCCAGGCGTGGTGGCACACGCCTATAGTCCCAGCTACTCGGGAGGCTGAGGCAGGAGAGTCGCTTGAACCTGGGAGGCAGAGGTTGCCAGTGAGCTGAGATCATGCCACTCCACCCTGGGCAAAAGAGCAAAGACTCTATCTCAAAAAAAAAAAGAGCAGCCATCAGGCCTCACTGTAATGACCTCTTTCTTGTCTCTTCTTTTCGTTGTTGTTTCGAGACAGAGTCTCGCTCTATCGCCCAGGCTGGAGTGCAGTGGCGTGATCTCTGCTCACTGCAACCTCTGCCTCCCAGGTTCAAGCAACTCTCTTGTCTCACCCTCCTGAGTTACTGGGACCACAGACGTGTGCCACCATGCTTGGCTAATGTTTGTATTTTTTGTAGAGATGGGGTTTCACCACGTTGGCCAGGCTGGTCTCAAACTCCAGGCCTCAAGTGATCTGCCCACCTTGGCTTCCAAAATTGTTGGGATTACAGGCGTGAGCCACCACGCCTGGCCTCTTGTCACTTCTTTAATGTGAACAGGGACCAAGCCTGTTGCTCCCCTCTGTGACCCCAACATCCTGCCTGCTGCACAGGAGGCCCTCAGCAAACTCAGATTTGGAGTCAAACAGACCTGTGTTCAAACCCCAAAGCTGGGGAAACTCCAGGAAGTAACTATTCCTGTGAGCCTCAGTTTTCTCATCTGCAAAACTGGAAGAAAATAGCCACAACATCGTGCTGTGGTGAAGATTCAATAAAATGATGTGTACAATGCTGGATGCAGGAGTTTGATGAATATTCACGGAGTGAGTGAATGAATGAATGAATAAAGATTCAGCTTATAGAGGGAGAAAGACCCCTAGGTTTTGCCAGTCAGATTTTTGTTTGTTTGTTTATTTGTTTTGAGACGGAGTCGGACTCTCCCTCTGTCGCCCAGGCTGGAGTGCAGTGGCACGGTCTCGGCTCACTGCAACCTCTGCTTCCCGGGTTCAAGCAATTCTCCTGACTCAGCCTCCCGATAGCTGGGACTATAGGCGCATGCCACCATGCCCAGCTAATTTTTTGTATTTTTAGTAGAGATGGGGTTTCACCGTGTTAGCCAGGCTGGTCTCGATCTCCTGACCTCGTGATCCGCCCACCTATGGCCTCCCAAAGTGCTGGGATTATCAGCATGAGCCACTGCGCCCGGCCTTGCCAGTCATTTTTAAGATACAAGAGGTTGTCCTGGTGTGGTGGCTCACACCTGTAATCTCAGCAGTTTGGGAGGCTGGGGTGGGAGGATCGCTTGAGTCCACGAGTTCAAGGCCAGCCTGGGCAATATAGGGAGACCCCATCTCTATAAAAAATAAGAAATTAGCCAGACATGGGATATGGTAGTGCAAGGTCAGGGTCTCAAGACTATCCTGGCTAACACGGTGAAACCCTGTCTCTACTAAAAATACAAAAAATTAGCCAGGCATGGTGGCGGGCGCCTGTAGTCCCAGCTATTCAGAGGCTGAGGCAGGAGAATAGCATGAACCCGGGAGGCGGAGCTTGCAGTGAGCCGAGATTGCGCCACTGCACTCCAGGCCGGGCAACAGAGTGAGACTCCATCTAAAAAAAAAAAAAAAAAAAAAAAGGTGGGTGTGGTGGCTCACGCCTGTAACCCCAGCACTTTGGGAGGACAAGACGGGCAGATCTTTTGAGGCCAGGAGCTTGAGACCAGCCTGGGCAACATGACAAATACCCATCTCTACTAAAAATACAAAAGTTAGCCAGGTGTGGTAGGGTACACCTATGATCCCAGCTGCTCGGGAGGCTGAGGCACGAGAATGGCTTGAGCTCAGGAGGCAGAGGCTGCAGTGAGCTGAGATCACACCACTGCACTTCAGTCTGGGCAACAGAGCAAGACTCTGTCACACACACACACACACACACACACACACACACACACACACACACACTTTGGGAGGCCACAGGTGGGCAGATCACAAGGTCAGGAGATCAAGACCAGCCTGGCTAACACAGTGAAACCCCATCAAAAAAAAAAAAAAAAAAAAAGAAGACTAAAGACTAAAAAAGGAATGAGGCCAGGCACCGTGGCTCACACCTGTAATCCCAGCACTTTGGGAGGCCAAGACAGCAGGATGGCTTGAGTCCAAGAGCTCAAGACCAGCCTGGGCAACATAGTGAGACCCCCCATCTCCATAATTCTGTTTTTTTTTTAAAAAGAAATGACAATTTGTAGAGCAATGAACACAATACCATTTATATATGATACACAAGACAAACATATTTGAAAGGTACATCCACAAGTATGCAAACATTCAAAGTTCTGGAAAGACACACATTAAGCCATGACAACCACAGAAGGGCTAAGGAAAATTTCCATGTTGAAACACTTCTGGGGCCAGGTGTGATAGCTCACGCCTGTGATCCCAGCACTTTGGGAGGCCAAGGTAGGCAGATTACCTGAGGTCAAGGAGTTCAAGACCAGCCTGGTCAACATGGTGAAACCTTGTCTCTACTAAAAATACAAAAATTAGCCTGGCGTGGTGGTGTGCGCCTGTAGTCCCAGCTACTCAAGAGGCTGAGGCAGGAGAATCACTTGAACCCGGGAGGTGGAGGTTGCAGTAAGCCGAGGTCGCACCACTGAACTCCAGCCTGGGTGACAGAGCGAGACTCTGTCTCAAAAAAAGAAAAAAATTAGCCGGGCATGCTGGCACATGCCTGTAATCCCAGCTACTCAGGAGGCTGAGGCAGGAGAAGCGCTTGAGCCCCGGAGATGGAGGTTGCAGTGAGCCAAGGTCGCACCACTGCACTCCAGCCTGGGCAATAGACAGAGGAGGGAAGGGTAGGGGAAGGGGAAGGGGAAGGGGAAGGGGAAAGGGAAAGGGAAAAGGAAAGGGAAGGGAAGGGAAGGGAAGAAAATAAACACTTCTAGATCACCTGAGTTTTTTTTACATTCCTTTGGTATTTGCAAAATAAATAAAAAACTACGAAACAAATATACTGAGATCCTCCTATCTCCATCCCAACCCGGATGCCCCAGCATCAAGGGTCGAACGGGACCTCCATTCAGCCCCATTCCAGGGCCTGAATCTCCAGGGAGTCCCTGCAGGGATCTCACTACCTCTCAGCTGTGTTGCTTCACTATTTGAGAATCAAGTTCTTTCCCAGGCGAATGAGAATCCCAATTGGCCTAAACTGTTTCCAGATCCCCCGAGGCTCCTGGGTCTCCACGCAGCTTGGGTGCGACTTCCCTGGATCCCGTCACTTGCCCACACAGAAGTCCTGGAAGATGATGTCCAGGATCTCCTCGGTACCCCCTCCACCTGTGAGCCGGGTCAGGTGACCCCGGGCCACCCGCAGCGCCTCTGCCGCCAGGGCCAGGTCTTTTGACTGCTTGTAGTGGCCGAGGGCATCCAGGCAACCCTGGAGGTGGTGCTGGTGCCTTGCTCGGGTCAGCAGCGGGGGATCTGTGGACGGGTCCCCACACCTGGAAGAGACAAGAGACATGGTCTCTCCCGACCTTTTACAACCATCCCTTGAAGGGGAAATGGTTGTACCCATTTTGTAGGTTCAGAAATTGAAGTTGAGGGACCCACACTTAAACTGTGGGTCAGGGGAGGCTGGGAGTGGGAGGGGGCTCACACTGCAGCTAGCTCCTTCCTCAGCGCCTCCAGGAGGCCGTCCAGCCCCTCTCCCGTCAGACAGGACAGCAGCAGGTGCGGGGGCAGGTCAGGACCGGGACCTGGGCCCTCCGGGGACAGCAGGTCCGACTTGTTCAGCACCAGGAGGAGGCGCTGGCTGCTGTCACTGGGGCTCTGGGCTCCCACAGAGGCTACGACGGTGGCCAGGAAGTTGCAACTGGAGGGAGAGGCCAGGTCAGAAGCATCCAGCATGGCCAGAATGAGGTCAGCCTGCTCTAGCCTGCGGGAGCAAGGTCAACTGAGCGGGGATCCCAGGTTGAGCAATTGAAGGCACTGGGTGGAGGGACAGTTAGAGGGGCCAGGCAGAGCACTGGGGGAGCTGCGAAGCGTGAGGTCGGGAGGGAGGAGTAGAGTACCAGGGGACCGGCAGAATGTTGGGGGCCCAAGCCGAGCACAGGGGGTGGGGCAGAGCAAGAGGGGCGGGGCACAGTGCAGGGGGAAGGGCAGAGCAAGAGGAGCGGTCACGGTGCGGGAGCGGGGCAGAGCAGGAGGGGCTGGGCACAGTGCAGTGAGTAGGGCAGGGCAGGAGGGGCGGGGCACAGCACAGGAGGGCGGGGCAGAGCAAGAGGGGCAGAGCACTGTGCAGGGGGAAGAGCAGAGCAAGAGGGACAGGGCACAGCACAGGGGCTGGGACAGAGCAAAAGGGGCCGGGTACAGCACTGGAGTGGGGCGACCATGAGTGGCGGGGCAGAGCAAGAAGGACCAGACACACCACAGGGTAAGGGGTAGAGAGCACCAGGGGTGGGGCAGAATGTAGGGGGTGGACAGAGCACAGGGGATGGGATAGACCGCAAGGGGCAGAGCGGAGTGCCAGGGCGGGACAGAGCACGAGAGGGCGGGGCAGAACGTGAGGGCTGGGCGGAGGGCTTAGGGATGAGAAACATGTCCGGAGGGCCGGGGGCAGGACTTAATCAGAACTAAATCACTGGCCGGGCACAGTGGCTAACGCCTGTAATCCCAGCACTTTGGGAGGCCGAGGCAGGCGGGTCACCTGAGATCAGGAGTTCGAGACCAGCCTGGCCAACATGGTGAAACCCCCATCTCTACTAAAAATACAAAAAATTAGCCTGGCATTGTGGTGGGCGCCTCTAATCCCAGCTACTCGGGAGGCCCAGGCAGAAGAATCACTTGAACCCGAGAGGCGGAGGTTGCAGTGAGCCGAGATTGTACCACTGCACACTCCAGCCTGGGCAACAAGAGCGAAACTCCGTCTCAAAAACAAAAACAAAACACCAGGCCAGGTGCGGTGGGCTCACAACACTTTGGGAGGCCGAGGCTCAGGAGTTAGAGACCAACCTGGCCAACATAGTGAAACCTCATCTCTACTAAAAATACAAAAAAAAAAAAAAAATAGTTCGGCGTGGTCGCTCCCGCCTGTAATCCCAGCTACTTGGGAGGCTGAGGCAGGAGACTTGCTTGAACCCGGAAGACAGAGCTTGCAGTGAGCTGAGATACCGCCACTGCACTCCAGCCTGGGCGACAGAGCAAGACTCGGTCTCGGAGTAAAAAAAAAAAAAAAAAAAAAGAACCAAATCCCTGAGATCCATGCTTGATAGGGCTTAGCAGGTTCTCTGATTCAGGAAGAATGAAAAATAAACGCAACAGGGAGAAAAGGCAGAGAAAGGGCCCCGCGTTCCCCTCCCATCACCACCCTGTCCGCCCACCTCTCCCGGGCGCGCCGCACGCCCTCCTGCTCCACGGGCCCCACGCCCTCCCGCAACCCAGCCGTGTCGCTCAGCAGCACAGGAAATCCGGCCAGGTCGACTGGGGTCTCCAGCACGTCACGGGTGGTCCCTGGCTCCGGGGACACGATGGACACAGGCTTCCGACCTGGGGGAGGGTCAGAAGAAGAGGAGAGGGTGGAGACAAGGGAGCTCCTCCCCCAGGTTCTACCCCATGTCTGGAGGGAGCTTTAGACCTGAACAACTAACTCAATAACCCAGCTCTTGGCCCCGCCCCTGGCACTAGGCCCCGCCCCCTTCCCGCCGCCTACTCACTGAGCAGGTTCACTAGGCTGCTCTTGCCCGCATTGGGGGGTCCAGTGACCACTACGTGCACCCCTGAGCGGAGCCTCTGCCCGCGCCTGGCATCTCGTAGATGTGCACCCAGGGCCACCTGCAGTGCCCGTACTTCGATGTCGGCTGTGGGTGAGAGAAGGCAGGCAGAGAGAGACAGTGAGGGGAGCCTTTGAGGGCTGATATGAGGTGTCTTCCTCCCCCACCACCAGGTAGACCCACCTTGCTCCAGGACCCCCTCCTCCAGGTTGTCATCCTCGCCGAAATCGATATAGGCCTCCACGTGGGCCAGAGCCTGGCGGGGCAGGGAGAGCAGAGGTGGTGTGTGCACCCAGAAACCCACCTTCCCACACCCAATTTGTCCAGCCCGACTTCAGGGGCCAGAATGGCGGCTCATAGGCCGGAAGCTTTCACGCAGGGAATGAATGCGGGATTGAGAGGGGGTCTCATGCAGGGGTTGCACAGATGGGGTCTCTGAGGGAGAGAATGGACAAATGGGGGACTTGCTTTGGTGAGGGTCTCGGCCCAGCCACGGCAGAGGTGGCCCAGCTCTCCGTCCAGCTGCCTGAGGGCCTGCCGCCGCTGCGCCTCTGTTTCCGCGTGGATAAGGTCCGCCAGCCCCTCCACTTCGGTCAGGTTCAGCTTCCCATTGGCGAACGCCCGTCTGGTGAACTCGCCTGCCTCCGCCGGTCGAAGCCCTGGCACGCTGCCTGCAGGAAGGTCCCAGTCTGACACCCCCTGGTCCCCACCCAGGCCCATTGGGAGGACCAAGCATCTCACCCAACGCTGCAACTCACCCAAGGCCTGCAGGACGCCGCTCACCACTGCCGGGCCTCCATGCACGTGGAACTCCACGCAGTCCTCACCGGTGAAACTCTGGGGACCTAATGTGACAGACAGGTGACAGGAGGACAGCACAGCCAGTGCAAACCCTTGGAAGGGGGAAACTGAGTCATGGGACCTACAGGAGGCTCGGAACCTGGGGACCCTCACCTGGGAACCAGAGCACCAGTGCGCGGTCCAGAGGCTCCCCGGAGCGGGGATCGCTGAGCAGGCGCAGGCTGGCGTGGCGAGCAAGGGGCAGGTCTCGGGGTGCTGTGAGAATTCGGAGGGCGTGGCCGCTGGCGGGGCCGCTGGTCCGGATCACTGCGATGCCGCAGCGGCCTTGGCCAGAGCTTAGCGCGAAGATGGTGGCGCCGGAGCCGGGGGCTGGTGCGCCGCTGCTCCGGCGCGTGCACAATCTGGAACCGGAGGGGAGGCGAATCAGCGCACCTGGGAGGCTCAGCCTCAGTGTCAAGTAGACCGAGGGCTCGATGATCGCGAGATGCTCCAGGTGGGGGGGTTCTGCGGCTGGGGGATGCACAAATTGGATGTTCTGAAGGCCGAAGGGTGACCGGATTAGGGACTGTGAGGCCAGAAGGAGACCCAGATATGGGCTCTGCCGCAAGGGTCATGAACGATTGAGGCACGGAAGAACGCGAATGATTGCTCTGCCGCAGGGAATTGGGCCCCTAAAACCCAGGGAGTGGGTCTGGGGTCCAAGCAGCACCCCAAGCTGTCGCACCCCTTCCCCTGTAGCCCCACCTGCGAGGCCCACGTGCCGCTTGGGCCGCCAGGGTCCAAAGCCCCCGCCACATGGATTTACAACCTGCGACCCGCCTGCCCGACCTGCCTGTGTGGCTTCAAGTCTGGGCAGGGGGCCCCGCCCACTCCGCGGCTTGACTAGTAAAGTGCTCAACTATTCTCGACCACCATTGGGTATCTTAGGATACGTCCTGCCCACCGTCTGAAGATACTCGCTTCCATTGGCTGGTGCAAGGGAGAGCGGGAGCGGGAGGCGGTATGGAGGTAGGTGTAGCGAAATGTTGTTCCCCGGGCAACATGAGACCAAATTTTTAGGGTCCTAGCGCAGCGAGGCTGACAATAGGAATAAGGAATGGAAGAAAGGACAGAGTTTGGCACAGGGCAGTGCAAATTACAGCGAGGGGAGGTTTTGAGTCCCGCATTTTCCATCTGCTCACTCCGCAGCCTTAGGCGTGGCAAGGACCTATGTGCGTTCAGTTTTCCCGTTCAAGAAAGGAGGGACTACACCTCTTTACGTTCAGGTTCAGACCG
This sequence comes from Homo sapiens, assembly GCF_000001405.40. Classification (NCBI taxonomy): domain Eukaryota; kingdom Metazoa; phylum Chordata; class Mammalia; order Primates; family Hominidae; genus Homo; species Homo sapiens. Next base: position 17,337,133 of record NC_000019.10, on the reverse strand, counting down.
GAAACTCAGAGCATCTCGGTGACCGGGAGGGACGAGTACTGGAGAACCCACGCCCTGATCCAGGGAAAATCTTGCCCGAACTTCTGGAAAGAGTCCTACTTGCTTTTTCCGGAACTCTCCAGATTCTCTCCCCTCCCCAGCGTTCCCTTCTGCCGTTCCCTCGGCTTCGGATGCCCTTCCTCATTTGACAAACTCGTCTTCAAGGCCTAGCTCCAAGATCCCCTCCTCCAGGAAGTCTTCCTGGAACCCCCAGCACAGCCCTCTCTCCACTGTGGACTTCCTTGGCTCTCTGTCTCTCTGGTCCAGGTCTGCACCTGCAGAGCCAAGTGTCCGGTCAGTCTCTGGCTCCCCGAAAGCCAGAAAGGGGAGCCTCGGAGATTGCTTTCAGGTTAACCCAGGACAGCACTGAAACTCGGAATAAAGCGCTGATGGTGGAATTCCAGGCACTGGCTGGGCGGGGTCTCCGGGAGCGCCTTCGCATGGCGGATTCTCTGGTTCTGGATCAGAGCGGGCGGGCGGCGCACTTGCGTGTTAAGAAAAATCTGTCTGACAGAATAGAGTTCTAATACCCCCTTACCTCGCCCTGCTCAATATTTTTATTTACTTTATTATTTTATTTTATTTTATTTTTGAGACAGGGTCTCACTCTGTCGCCCAGGCTGGAGTGCAGTGGCGCGATCACGGCTCTTGCAACCTCCAACTTTTGGGCTCAAGGGATCCGCCCGCCTCAGCCTCCTGAGTAGCTGGAACCACAGGCGCGAGCCACCATGCCAGTCTAACTTTTCGGTGTTTCTTTTTGTTTGTTGTTTTTGTTTGTTTGTTTTGTTTTCGTTTTTTTGGTGGAGACGGGGATCTCACTACGTTGCCCAAGCTTTTTTTTTTTTTTTTTTTTTTTTTTGAGACGGGGTCTCGCTCTGTCGCCCAGGCTGGAGTTCAGTGGCGCGATCTAGACTCACTGCAACCTCCGCCTCCCAGGTTCAAGCGATTCTCCTGCCTCAGACTCCCAAGTAGCTGGGACTACAGGCGTGCGCCACCATGCCTGGCTAATTTTTTGTATTTTTAATAGAGACAGGGTTTGGCCATGTTGGTCAGGCTGGTCTCGAACTCCTTGCCTCAGGTGATCTACCCGCCTTGGCCTCCCAAAATGCTGGGATTACAGGCGTGAGCCACTGCGCCCGGCCGAGGCTTTAATATTTTAAGTTGTAAAATAGGAACAAATGATGACATATTTATATTTCATCTGCCATTCTCTAGTTGTTACATCTGTAACAAGCTAGTTATTACATCTGTAACAAGCTAGTTGTTACATCTGTAACAAGCGTACAGCAAGCGCCTACTGTGTGCTCGCATTGAGAACCAGACCTGGCCCCTCGTTCCTACCCTCGCTGGGCTTTCAGTCTAACAGACTGAGCTACTCAGAATAGTCAGGGGTTGGCCAAATGCCAGGTAAAACCCAGGTCGCCCAGCTAAATGTGAATTTCAAATAAACAATGAATAATTTTTTAGTACTAGTATGTCCCATGTAGACATAGGACATAGAAACATTTATGTATGTATGTATATATATGTATTTGAGACAGGGTCTCGTTCTGTCGCCCAGGATGCAGTGCAGTGGGTGTGATCTCAGCTCACTGCAGCCTTGACCTCCTGAGCACAAGCGATTCTCCTGCCTCAGCCTCCCAAGTAGCTGGGATTACAGGTGCGCCCCGCCCAGCTAACATTTATTCTTTTATCTGAAATTTACATTTAACTAGACGGACTGTATTTTTATTTGCTAAACTTGACAACTCTATGGGATCCTCTCCGAGGTTACATCCTGAAGGGAGTCGGTGTTAACCGGACGAAGAGTGCATGAGGAGTGTTCTAGGCAGCCAAATGGTGCGTGCAAAGTTCCTAAGCAGGGCTTGCTGTAATTATGTATCACAGCCCTACTGGGGTGGTTGAAGTTATTGTCACCAGGAATCTTCCCCAACCGGCCCGCCCCTCCCACGTCCTCCCTTAGTCAACTTACGCCCATCTCACATTCCAAACAGCGTCTCCAGGGTCCGGAGTTTGCAGATGGGGAAACTGAGGCTCCGAGGCGGGGACCAGAAGAAAGCATGGGTGGGGACAAGTTGGAGAATGCACCATCAGTGCGGGCGGGGACCAGCAGCAGGGAGCGAGGTAGGCGGGCGAGAAGGAAACCCAGAAAACAACACGGGCGGAGACGCGAACCAAAGAACTAGGCGGGCGAACTCAGCTGAGAACCCTAGAGTGACGTGCATCGGGCCGGGAAGGAGAATCGAGGTTCGGCTCGGGCGGGGACGAGAAGCAGCGCTCGGGCGAGCGAGGACCGAGGCCGGCGCGGGCGGGCGCGGCCTTTGTCTCCTCCTCCCGCGCGCTCCGCGGCTGCACCGGCCCCATGAGCCCGCGGCTCCCCGTCGCCCGGGCCGTCCGTAGCCCCTGACCTGACCTGTCCTCGCCATGGCCGAGGCCGCCTCCGGCGCCGGGGGCACGTCCCTGGAGGGCGAGCGTGGCAAGAGGCCCCCGCCGGAGGGCGAGCCTGCAGCCCCGGCGTCCGGAGTTCTGGGTATGTGTGCGGCGGCTGGACCAGACAGGGTTGCAGGTGCCTGGGGAGCCCGCGTCAACTACACGGGGAGGAGGATCAGGGTCAAACGTAACCTGGCGTGGTGTCTGGACGAGGGGCCGGCTCCTCCCGGCACTGCGGCTGCGGCCCGGCGGGCGGGGCTGGGACGGTGCTTCGGGCTGGGGTCCCGGCGCGGAGACGCGGACACGCCCCTCCGAGAGCCCCAGGCTTGGGCTGCGCCCTGCCACCCCCGGGCTGCGGGATCGCGGCGGGCCAGGGATGTGCTTGAGAGAGCCTCTCCGCGAAGAATACAGAATCATACGGTCCTGGGTTCAAATCCCAGCTTGACTGTGTGACCTTGGGCGCGTGACTTAAACGCTCTGGGCCTCAGTTTCCTCACCTGTGAAATGGGGGTAAGAACCGCACCTAGTCCCTGGGGCTGCTGCAAGGACGGCGCTGTCATAATGTGGTGAAGCGCTCAGGGCTGCTAGTGAGCGCCCCATCGATTGTGGTTTTGGAGGCGGAGCTGGGCCTCAAGAATGAGTAAGATTTGTAAGGGAGGATCTGGGGGGAAGGGCATTTCTGGAGGAAGGCCTGGCTGGTACAAGGACGTGGAGGGAGGAAAATAAGCCAAGCCCAGAGCTCCCGGGGCCTTGAATGCCAGGTGGAGTGGTGAGGAGCCCTGGCGGGGGCAGGAGGAGCCAAGACTGGAGGCCGGGTCCGGATCCCAGAGTGGCCTGACCCGGGCCTGCTACGCCGCCCCCTAGATAAGCTTTTCGGAAAGCGGCTCCTGCAGGCTGGTCGCTACCTGGTGTCCCACAAGGCGTGGATGAAGACGGTGCCTACAGAGAACTGCGACGTGCTGATGACCTTCCCAGGTACCCAAGCCCGCCCGCCCGCCCGCCCAGTGCCCAGATGCGGCTCTCCTGAGCTCGGCTTCCCAGAACGGGAATACGTAGGAGGCCTTGGGCCCCCTCGTGGCAGGAGCCATCGGTCCCTGTGCCCCTTGGCAGACACGACCGATGACCACACGCTGCTATGGCTGCTGAACCACATCCGCGTGGGCATTCCCGAGCTCATCGTGCAAGTCCGCCACCACCGCCACACGCGTGCCTACGCCTTCTTTGTCACCGCCACGTATGAGAGGCGAGTCCCCTGTCCCTGGCCTCTCGCTGAGCCTGCCACCCGACTCCCCGCTCTACCAAGTGCCAACCATGCTATCCAGCCGCCCTGCGTTTGTCCCAAAGGCTGCCAGGTGCACCATCCTCAGCTCCAGGATGGTGGGCCGGGGCCTCCCTGTGAGCCCACCTCCTCCGCCTTCTTCACAGCCTACTCCGAGGGGCCGACGAGCTGGGTCTGCGCAAAGCAGTGAAGGCCGAGTTTGGCGGGGGCACCCGCGGCTTCTCCTGCGAGGAGGACTTTATCTATGAGAATGTGGAGAGCGAGCTACGCTTCTTCACCTCCCAGGTGAGGCCGGCTCTGGGCCCCCGCATGCATCCTGTGCCTATGAGTTCCCTGAGCTCACGCCCTCTTCCTCGCAGGAACGCCAGAGCATCATCCGCTTCTGGCTGCAGAATTTGCGTGCCAAGCAGGGAGAAGCACTCCACAACGTGCGCTTCCTGGAGGACCAGCCAATCAGTGAGCAGGGCGGGGTCAACACCAATCACAGGCAGAGAGTTGGGTGGAGCTCTTCAAAGACAGCTTATAGGAGCAGGAGGGCGGGGCCCAGATCCAACCAGTCAGGGGTTGGCAAAGAGTTAGGAAACCAATGAGCTAAAGGGGTGTGGCCTTAGCAAAAGGGTGGAGCTTATCTCCTGAGTTGGGTGGAGCTCTGAGAGGACAGCTTATCAGGACAGGAGGTCAGGGCTTATGTCCAACCAGTTAGGGGTTGGCAAAGGGTTGGGAACCAATGAGCTGAGGGGGCGAGGCTTTGGCCAAAGGGTGGGGCTTATTTCTGGGAGGTGGGTCCAGGAGAGGCCCTTTTCTGGGTTTGGGATAAAGTGGAGGCAGGAACCATGGACAGCACTCCACTTACAGAGTGGTGCGGCTCTGGGCGTTGGATTCCCCTCCAGGAAACTAGGCACCCAAGTTCACCTTCCGACAGCAAGTTTTTACCATTCCTCAGACGTTCGGGTCCACAAACTGAGCTTTATTTAAAGCAGGGGAACAGGCGCAGTGGCTCCCAGTACTTTGGGAGGTCCAGGCGGTAGCATCACTTGAGCCCAGGAGTTCGAGGTTGCAGTGAGCCATGGTAGCGCCACTGCATTCTGTCCAGCCTGGGTGACAGAGCGAGACCCTGTCTCAAACAAATAAATAAATAAAGTAAAAAATAAGGCCGGGCGCGGTGGCTGACGCCTGTAATCTCAGCACTTTGGGAGGCTGAGGCGGGCGTATCACGAGGTCAGGAGATCGAGACCATCCTGGCCAACATGGTGAAACCCCCATCTCTACTAAAAATACAAAAATTAGCCAAGTGTGGTTGGCGCGCGCCTGTAGTCCCAGCTACTCGGGAGGCTGAGGCAGGAGAATCGCTTGAACCCGGGAGGCAGAGGTTGCAGTGAGCTGAGATCGCACTACTGCACTCCAGCCTGGTGACACAGCTAGACCCCGTCTAAAAAAAAAAAAAAAAAAAAAAAGCCGGGCGCGGTGGCTCACACCTGTAATCTCAGCACTTTGAGAGGCCGAGGCAGGTGGATCACTTGAGGTCAGGAGTTTGAGACCAGCCTGGCCAACATGGCGAAACCCCGTCTCTACTAAAATACAAAAATTAGCTGGGCGTGGTGGTGGGCGCCTATAATCCCAGCTACTCCGGAGGCTGAGGCACGATAATCGCTTGAAGGTTGCGGTGAGCGGAGATCACGCCACTGCACTCCAGCCTGGGCGACAGAGTGAGACTGTCTCAAAAAAAAAAAAAAACATGGTTCCTCACCAGAACCCCACTCTCCCAGTTCCTTTACATTCTCCCCGCCTGCCCCTGCACCTACAATTTCTGAAGGAGAATCAGATCTTCTATCCGTCTAGAACTTCTCCCCTGGAAAGAGCTCTAGAGGTTTAAGAGCAGGCAAAAAGCTGTGACTTGGGTTTCAGACAAAGAGGGGCTAGCCAGGCTAGGCACAGGTGGAGGGGCGGGGATCACCTGTGCTCCTCCCTCCACAGTCCCGGAGCTGGCAGCACGTGGGATCATCCAGCAGGTGTTCCCTGTCCACGAGCAGCGTATTCTGAACCGCCTCATGAAGTCATGGGTGCAGGCCGTGTGTGAAAACCAGCCTCTAGGTGCTGCCTGGGCTGGGGGGTGGGAGGGAGTCCCAGCAGACAGGCAGGGGGTGACTGAGACCCACTTGTCCCCTGGCAGATGACATCTGTGATTACTTTGGTGTGAAAATTGCCATGTACTTCGCCTGGCTGGGCTTCTACACGTCGGCTATGGTATACCCAGCTGTCTTCGGGTCTGTCCTGTACACATTCACAGAGGCTGATCAGGTACTGGGCAGGGACCCTGCAAGGTCTGGGGGATCCAGAGGCGCCCTCCTTTCTGGACTGGCACAAACAATGACTCAACTCTTCTCTGCCACTCACAGACAAGCCGGGATGTTTCCTGCGTGGTCTTTGCCCTCTTCAACGTGATCTGGTCGACGCTGTTCCTAGAGGAATGGAAGCGGAGAGGGGCTGAGCTGGCATATAAGTGGGGGACGCTGGACTCACCTGGGGAAGCCGTGGAGGAGCCACGCCCCCAGTTCAGGGTCAGTTGGGGGCTGAGTCCAGGGTCATGGAGACAGGACAAAGGTAAATGGTGGGGGGCACTGCAGGAGCAAAGGCAGAGAGGTGTGAAACAGGATTGTTTCATCAAAGAGGGTATGCCAAACCGAGGCGGGCTCTGTGTGCTCCCCAGGGGGAGAGGTGGAAGTTGGATTTGAGGGACTGGGAACAGTGCCCTAGGTGGGTGACCTGAGAGGGTCACCTCCGCATGATGGAGGGAAATTGAGTTCTGAGGATAGGGAGGGGTGCAGAAGGCAGAGGTGGCCCCTCTGAGCTCATGCTGGGCCCGGTCTTTGCCCACCATCAGGGCGTGCGACGTATCAGCCCCATCACGCGGGCCGAGGAGTTCTACTACCCGCCCTGGAAGCGGCTGCTCTTCCAGCTGCTTGTGAGCCTCCCCCTGTGCCTGGCGTGCCTCGTCTGTGTCTTCTTGCTCATGCTTGGCTGCTTCCAGCTGCAGGTGACCCCCCATACCCTCACCCGCCCTGTCCTTGGTACCTAGCTCCACCTTGGGCTGAGCCCTGCAGCTGGGATGAGCCCTGAACCCCCTTCTCCCGCAGGAGCTGGTGCTGAGCGTGAAGGGGTTGCCCCGTCTCGCCCGATTCCTGCCTAAGGTCATGCTGGCCCTGCTTGTCAGTGTGAGTGCCGAGGGCTACAAGAAGCTAGCCATCTGGCTCAATGACATGGGTACGACCTGCCAGGGGGTCTCTGGGAGGAAGGTCTCCACTGCCCCTTGGGATCCCTGCCACCCTTGGGGGGACCGCGGCTGCCCCCTCACTCCCCCCCTTGGCCCCTAGAAAATTACCGGCTGGAGAGCGCCTATGAGAAGCACCTCATCATCAAAGTTGTCCTGGTGAGTCACCACCATCGGACAGGCAGGGGGACAACGGGGAAGCTGTGCCGTCTGTATGGGGCACAAGGAAGGCTCCAAGGAGTCGGGTGGGGGTGCAGGATGACCACCGCCTGCCTCCTTCCTGCAGTTCCAGTTTGTCAACTCGTACCTGAGCCTCTTCTACATCGGTTTCTACCTCAAGGACATGGAGCGCTTGAAAGAGGTGAGACCCCCGCCCCAGCGGCAGTCCCCCCTGCCCCCATGGCGGCCAGCGAGGGGCCAGACCCGGCACAAGGGGTCCAAGGGCTCTCCAGCCCCTCCCTCCCCTCCTCCATCCTTCTCTCCTGTCTGTCCGTCCGTTGTCCGTCGTCTGTGCGTCCTCTCTCTGCCTGTCGTCCCCCCATCTGTCCGTCCATCTGTCCGTCGGTCCCTTCACAGCTCCTGCTCGTCCTGTCCCTGTCCCAGAGCCTCGAGCGGCAGCTGCAGGCGGTGCTGGTCCCGCTCGCGGCCCTGCGGTTCCGCCTGCTCCTCCTCTCCCTCCGGGGCCTCCTGCTCGCGGCCCGGGCCAAAGTACGGGCAGGTGGCGAGCCCGTGGGTCCTCGCCGGGGTGGGCAGCGTGGCTGTGCTGGGGGCCTGGCGCGCCGAGCTGAGGGCGCATGCGCGGAGGGAATCTGGGGTCGGGGGCGGCCAGCAAGCAGGTGCAGGCGGCTGGGGGCGCACGCGGCCCAGTGCACCGACAGAGCCCGCGGTGGGGTGGAGACGCGCTGGGCCTGCCCGTGAGGTGGGCGAGGAGCGCTGCGCGTGCCAGGCTGTATTTTGTGGCTGAGCGCTGGGGGCCTCGCGTCGAGGCGCGTCCAAAGCAGCGGAGTTAGGAACCGGATTCGGCGTGTGTCTGGGCACGGTGCTCCGGCGGGGCGCCCAGGGAGGGTGAGTCCCCCGATCCCGGCGCCCCGCTTGCCCCCCACGCGCCTCTCTCCTTCCCCTTCCTGCCCCCAGATGCTGGCCACGCTGCTGATCACCCGCCAGTTCCTCCAGAACGTGCGCGAGGTCCTGCAGCCGCACCTGTACCGGCGCCTGGGCCGCGGCGAGCTGGGCCTGCGGGCCGTCTGGGAGCTGGCCCGAGCCCTGCTTGGCCTCCTGAGCCTCCGGCGCCCTGCGCCCCGCCGCCTCGAACCCCAGGCGGATGAGGGCGGGGGCGGCGGCAGCGGGGGCGGGGGCCGCAGGTGCCTCAGCGGGGGCTGCGGGGCGCCGGAGGAGGAGGAGGAGGCGGCGCTGGTGGAGCGGCGGCGGGCGGGGGAAGGCGGGGAGGAGGGGGACGGGCCTCCAGGGGGCAAGGAGGAGGACGAGGACGACGAGGAGGAGGAGGACGAGGAGGAAGAGGAGGACGAGGAGGAGGGCGAGGAAGGGGGCCTCCTGGACTGCGGGCTCCGGCTGAAGAAGGTCAGCTTCGCTGAGCGCGGCGCGGGGCGGCGTCGGCCCGGCCCAAGCCCGGAGGCCCTCCTGGAGGAAGGGAGCCCCACTATGGTGGAGAAGGGGCTGGAGCCGGGAGTGTTCACCCTGGCCGAGGAGGACGACGAGGCGGAGGGGGCTCCCGGCAGCCCTGAACGGGAGCCCCCGGCCATCTTGTTCCGCCGGGCCGGGGGCGAGGGCCGAGACCAGGGGCCCGACGGGGGCCCGGACCCGGAACCCGGCTCCAACAGCGATTCGACCCGTAGGCAGAGACGGCAGAACCGGTCGTCTTGGATTGACCCGCCGGAGGAGGAACACTCGCCCCAGCTCACCCAGGCAGAGCTGGAGAGCTGTATGAAGAAGTACGAGGTGAGGAGGGGGCGGGGCCTCGCAGGGGGCGGGGCCTCGCCGGGGACGGGACACACCGTCCGAGGGTGAAGGCCGTGGGGGTGGGAGTGGTGATAACAGGGCCATTGATGTTGGGATGCTGCAGGAGAGGAAGGCCTAGCCAGATACAGGAAGCCTCTGGGCTGGCTGAGGATGGGGACAGGCCCTGGGTCCACATGGGATAATCTGAGGGAGGCGGGCTCAATGGGAGAAAGATTGTCCCAGGGAAGAGGCTTCCAGGTCTGAGGCCCGCCCACTCGCAGGACACGTTCCAGGACTACCAGGAGATGTTCGTGCAGTTCGGCTACGTTGTGCTCTTCTCGTCCGCCTTCCCCCTGGCGGCGCTGTGCGCCCTGGTCAACAACCTCATTGAGATCCGCAGCGACGCCTTCAAGCTGTGCACCGGGCTGCAGCGGCCCTTCGGCCAGCGCGTGGAAAGCATCGGCCAGTGGCAGGTGGGGGGAAGCCAAGAGATCCGAGCTGAGGCCCAGAGGGAGCCCAGGTGCAGCTGGGAGGAGCCTGGGGTCTGGGGAGGCCGGCTGGACCCCGCCTGAGCCCTCCTGCCGCCCTGCAGAAGGTGATGGAGGCCATGGGTGTCCTAGCGATTGTGGTCAACTGCTACTTAATCGGCCAGTGCGGGCAGCTGCAGCGCCTCTTCCCCTGGCTGAGCCCGGAGGCAGCCATCGTGTCGGTGGTAGTGCTCGAGGTGGGGCCGGCGACAGGGGCGGGGGCAGCTGGGAGGCGAGAGGGCGGCCCCAGCGTCTGCAGCCTGCAGCCTCCTCTCTGCCACCCCTGCAGCACTTCGCTCTGCTCCTCAAGTACCTCATCCACGTGGCCATCCCCGATATCCCGGGCTGGGTGGCCGAGGAAATGGCCAAGCTGGAGTACCAGCGCCGCGAGGCCTTTAAGGTAGGGGGGCCAGGCTGGGCTCGGTTTTCTCATTGGTGGGGCTGCTGGTGGATCTCTGATCTTGGTGGCCAATTCCTTAGCGTAAGGGCAAATGCAGAGACTGCACAGAGCTGGGTATAATAATTAGTGCTCCCTGGCTGGGTGCAGTGGCTCACTCCTATGATCCCAGCGCTTTGGGAGGCCAAAGTGGGAGGATCGCTTGAGCCCAGGAGTTTGAGGCTGCAGCTAGCTATGATTGCGCCACTGCACTCCAGCCTGGGTGATGGAGCAAGACCCTGTCTCTAAAAAGAGTAATAATAAGCAATAATAACTAGTGTTCACAACGGGTCCAGTCGCTTCTGGAATCCTGGCAGCATCCAGCACGAGGCTGGCCCTTCAGAACCTTCAGCCATCCACCAGCTTGCCCGATTGCATCCTGTTAGGGGGCCAGGGACACAGCGGAGGCTTCCTAGAAGCGCAGCTTCTTCCGCATTCCTCAGAAAGCTACAGAATGGGCCAAGGAGCTCCCCAGTGCCTGCACAGGGAACATTCCTCGAGGATGACAATGTCCTTTGTCTGCACTGTCCCTGCAGCCTTTAGCTACAGGTGATAAGTGAGCACGTTGAAGTGCAGCTGCTGCGACCGAGAAACTGAATTTTTATTTTATTGAACAGAGCCTCGCGTGGCTACCTGGGTATAGTCTGCTGCAGCCATAGTCCTTTTTGTTTTTGTTTTTGTTTTTTCTTTGAGACAGAATCTCTCTCACTCTGTCATCCAGGCTGGAGTGCATGGAGTGCAGTGGCACAATCTCGGCTCACCGCAATCTCCACCTCCCAGGTTTAAGCAATTCTCATGCCTCCCAAATAGCTGGGATTACAGGCATGTCCCACCACGCCTGGCTAATTTTTCTATTTTTAATAGAGATGGGGTTTCACCATGTTGGCCAGGCTGGTCTCCAACTCCTAACCTCAAGCAATCTGCCCACCTCCCAAAGTGCTGGGATTATAGGCGTGAGCCACCGTACCCAGCCTGCAGCCACGGTTCTGTCTCTTGCCTGTTCTCTGGGAAGCAGGGGATCGGTTGAGGCTCAGGATTGGTTTCCACTTTACCAATTCCTAAGACGCTGTCTGGCACACAGCCGGGGACAGAGTTGATGGCCAGTGAATGTTTGTTTTCTTTTCAATTCCCAGAAAGTACCGGCGTGGGTCCAGGGATTCATTCAGTTGCACCCAATAAGCCTCGGAATCTCTCTCCAGTTCCCCAGAGAACCTCAGTGTGGGCCCAGAGATGAAGCTGGCGCCCAATACGCTTTTTTTCTTTTTCTCTTTTTTGAGACAGTCTCGCTTTGTCCCCAGGCTGGAGTGCAATGGCACAATCTCAGCTCACTGCAACCTCCGTCTCCCGGGTTCAAGCGATTCTCCTGCCTCAGCCTTCCGAGTAGCTGGAATTACAGGCGTGTGCCACCATGCTCAGCTAATTTTTATATTTTTGGTAGAGACAGGGTTTTGCCATTTTGTCCAGGCTGGTCTCGAACTCCTGGCCTCAAGTGATCCTCCCATCTCAGCCTCCCAAAGTGCTGGGATTACAGGCGCAAGCCACTGCGCCCAGCCCCAATAAGCATTTAAGCCTCCCTCATTTCCACAGAGAGGCTGATCATGTATCTGGGAATGCCGTTTGCACCCAATAAGTGATTGGCTCTCTCCCACTTCTGCAGGGAGCCCCCATTGTGGGTGCAGGGATACAGTTGGAGCCTAATAAGCATTTAAGTCTCCCCCACTTTTGCAGAGAGCCCTGGCATGCACCAGCCTCAGCTGGCACCCGCTAACACCCTTTCTTCTTAGTCCTGTAACGGCTTGGCTCTACCTGCAGAGACACGAGCGCCAGGCCCAGCATCGCTACCAGCAGCAGCAGCGCAGGCGGCGGGAGGAGGAGGAGCGACAGCGCCATGCAGAGCACCATGCCCGGCGGGAGCATGATTCTGGTGGCCGAGAGGAGGCGAGGGCCGAGGGCTCTGGGCTGGACCCTGCCACCTCCTCCGAGAAGGCCTCTGCCAAGGCCAAGGGCAGCACTGCGGGTGGCCACGGGCCTGAACGGCCCAAGCGCCCAGGGTCCCTGCTGGCACCCAACAACGTCATGAAGTTGAAGCAGATCATCCCACTGCAGGGCAAATTCCTCTCGTCAGGGGCCACATCCTCACTGGCTGCTGCAGGGGCCGGAGCCACCACCCGGCCTCCCCCTGCCCAGTCACCCACAGGCAGCGACACCCGCCTGCCTGCCTTCCTCAGCTTCAAGTTCCTCAAGTCACCCGAGACCCGGCGGGACTCTGAGCGCAGCCACTCACCGCCCAAAGCCTTCCATGCTGGCAAGCTCTTCCCCTTTGGTGGCACCCGGGCTGAGCCTGGGTCCAACGGGGCGGGCGGGCAGGCCCGGCCAGATGGGACCCCCAGCAGTGGCAGCAGCCGGGTTCAGAGGAGTGGGCCGGTGGACGAGGCCCTGGCTGAGGAGCTGGAAGCCCCCCGGCCCGAAGAGGAAGGCTCAGGTCACAAGCTTTAACTCGGGGGTGGGGACGCCGGGCCGGCTTTGGGGATAGGGTAGGGTGGCCAGGCCTGGGGAGAGGGGCTGAAGGGGACAGGGGAAGCCCGGTCTTAGGTCCTGGTGGGGACCTGGGTCAGTGGTACGTGGAGCCTCTCAGTTAAAGCCTGCTTAGTATCTCCAGGGCCTTTGTTAGCCTGGAGCCCCGTGCCTGACCCTCCCCAGGGAGGGATGCCAAAGCCCCTTGTCCCAGGACTGCACCCAGGGACCCCCACCATGCTCCGGTGCCAGGAGAGATGAGGGAGGCCTGTTTCCCAACCAGCCCACCCTTCTCCTGCTCCAGCTCACTCTTGGGGGGGACTTGACCCCCCAGGCCTCTATGCAAATCCACACCCTGCAGCCCAGCTGTTCAGGAAGGCCTTCCTCGAGGTGGGGCTGGGGCTGCCCACCCAGGGAGCTCCCACATGTGCTGAGCAGAGGTGCAGGCCTCACCCCTACCCTCCCACCCCCACCACCTCCCCTGCCCCAATCCCAGCCTGGGCTCCAGCAACCCCATTCCCAGGGAGCCCAACAGGTGGCAGCTGCAGCACAAGGGCCATAGGTCAGAAGCCAGAGGGACTTCCTCAAACTGTCCTCCCCCTGTGACCGGCAGGGCCGTGCCCAGAGGCAGGGTATGCACCGGAAGCCGCCCAGGGGGCCGCCCCACCTCAGTCTCTGATCAGAAGCAATAAGGCCTTTATGTGCCTGGATGCCCGGGAGGGAGCGCGGGCAGGGTTGCCAGCCCGGCGGGGTCCGGCGGGGGCGGCATCCCCCCGGAACGGCCCCTCTCGCCTCCGCAGGGACAGCGCTGGCCCCCGTGGGCGCCCCTGCCCTCCGCACCCGCCGCAGCCGGAGCCCCGCGCCGCCGCCGCCAATGCCGCTGCCCCGGCCCCCGACACCGCCCGCAGGCTGCTGGCAGTGGGACGGGCCCTGGGGCTGCGGGGGCGAGGGTGCCGCCCCCCGCCAGGCCCTGGCCGCTGCCGAGTGCCCACCCTGTGCCATGGCCGGGCCCCCACCCGCCCCCCAGCCCCTGCCGGGAGACGCCAGCTTTTACAGCCTCCCGCCCCCACCGCTACCGCCCACCTCGGATCCCCTCGAGACCCCAGCGCCCTCCCCTAGCCCCAGCCCCAGCCCCCAGGCCGTGTGCTGGCCCAGCGGCTGGCATTAGCTCTACCCGCCCTGCCTTCTCTTCTCATATGCAATATCAGTCATTCACAGGGGCGGCCGGTCTCCAAAATGCAAAATGCGCTTCAGCCCCCGAGGGCCCCCAGTATTGGTCGGTGCCCCCCATCTGCCGTTTTCCTTTCCAAACGAAAGGAAACCCACAAATCCAACAGAAAACACACACACACACACACACACACACACACACAGAACAGGCGATTATTTATTTGTTTTTAATTTATTTTGTCATATTTTTGTAAAACGGCAGAAATGCAATAAAAACTATATTTCAACAGTGCCCGAGGTCAGAGCAGTGGAAAAGGGAGTGGGGGTGGGGGAGTCTGGGTGGCTGGGGCCTAGGTTGGGAACCCCCTCCCCCCATCCTGGTACAGGCTGGCTTGACCCATGAGGGCCTCCTCCCAAAAACTGGGTCTTGGCCACAGATGGAAAACTCCAGGCTGCGCCGCCTCTGAGACGGCCCAGATTTGGAGGCCAACTTCAGCCCTGGCTTCAGCCACTAGACAAAGGAAGGAATCTCTAAGTGCTGAAAAGAGGCGACAATGTGTGCACAGGCCCCAGTCCTGAGTAAGACTCCTTCTCAAAGAGGACAGCGCGGTGGTTTGCAAGACGTGGCCCCTTCTGGCACACCCGCCTCCTGGAACATCGTCTGGGGAGCCAGAGACAGTGGGAAGAGCTTGTGGCATGAACATCAGAAGGCACCTGGCACCTGAGCCTCCTGCAGTCCCCGACTTGTGATACTGAGAGAATGGCACATTTGGGTGTCCCCAGGACACGGGGTGGCATTGGGATGCAGCAGGGATGTCCCACTGTGGGACAGACATCAGACCCAAGTCACTGGGACTCTGTCGTATGACTCAGGAACAGGAACGTGGCCTCTCAGACCCTCACATTTTTCAGGAAGAGGACAAATGTGTCCACATCCAAAGGCTTAAGGCTCAGAGACCAACATGGCCATGCTGCAGGGCTGGGCCAGTGTGAGCAAGGGGCCCTTTGGGAGGCTGTGGAGAAGTCAGAGTTCACTGGAGGCAGGAGAACAGCCTGTGCAAAGGCGGAGAAGGTGGAAGGCAGTTTGGGGGAACAGTGGGGTAAAGGGGACCCCAAAGGCAGGAGGGGTAGACAGAGGCCGGCTCAGGGGCCCAGCGTCCTCCCACAGGCAGTGGGAGCTACACAGGGTGTGTGTGCCAGGTGGGGCATGTCCCGACAGACCCAGGGGTTCTAGGGGGAGGCCACAGGGAGGCAAGCTGGGGCACAGCCCTCAGACCCCAAAGGAGGGAGCTGAGGTAGGGGAGGGGAAGGAGGTGCCCGCCCAGCAGCCCTGCAGAGCGACGGGCAGACAGCACAGGCAGGAGACAGCCCCCAGCCACTCAAAGCAGAAACTGGGAGCCAGAGAGGTCTAGACAGGCCGAGGGGAAAGGCGGGAGTGCCCCCTGCTCCCACTCTGGCCCCTGGCCTTGGAAGCTGAAGTCCCACCATCTCAGTCATTCACAGATGGACACCGCAGGCCTGCCCAGGTCACACCAACCCTGGGGACTGGGACTCCCCAGCTGGCCTGGGAGCCTCCAGGGCATTCAGCCGGACCCGGCACCATCGACCGCAGTCAAGTGTGCATTTCCTGACCACCTGTCCTGTGACCACATGGCCCCTGTAGCACCATCACTGTGGTGTAGACACTGCCGGGAGCTGGGAGGTACAGCAGGGTGGCTGTGCTGTGCCTGGGCCTGGTCAGCCACTCCTTGTGTAGGACGGGAGCCCACCCTGGCACTCTCCGTCCTTGGGAGAGATGGGCCGCCTAGGCCCGAGGGTCTGACACAGGCAGGGCCCTCCACAGTGGAATCTGGGGCAGGCGGACCCTCCATAGCCCGGAGTGTCTGCTAGCTCTGTGGCCCAACCCTACACCATCCCAACGCCCTCAGACTCAGCTCTCAAAACAGAGACCTCTGCCAGGCACGGTGGTTCACGTCTGTAACCCCAGCACTTTGGGAGGCTGAGGAAGGTGGATGACTTGAGCCCAGGAGTTTGAGACCAGCCTGGGCAACATGGTGAAACCCTGTCTCTACAAAAAATTTTTAAAATATTAGCCAGGCAGCCAGGTGCGGTCACAGCACTTTGGGAGGCCGAGGCAGGCGAAGCACCTGAGGTCAGGAGTTCGAGACCAGCCTGGCCAACATGACAAAACGCCGTCTCCACTAAAAATAGAAAAATTAGCTGGGTGTAGGGGCGCACGCGTGTAATCCCAGCTACTCAGGAGGCTGAGGTAGGAGAATCACTTGAACCTGGGAGGCAGAGGTTGTAGTGAGCTGAGATCTTGCCACTGCACTCCAGCCTGGGAGACACAGCGAGACTCCATCTCAAAAAAAAAAAAAAATTAGCCAGGCATGGTGGTGGGTGCCTGTGGTCCCAGCGGCTTGGAAGGCTGAGGTGGGAGGAAGGCTTGAGGTCGAGGCTGCAGTGAGCTGTGATTACGCCACTGCACTCCAGCCTGGGAAAGAGTACAAGACCCCAACTCAAACAAACAAACAAAACAAAACAAAAGAAAACTGAGATCCCCACCACCACCAGTGGGGGCAATAAGGGGAGAAGCGGTGTTCCCCCAGCCCCAGGCTCAGTGGTCAGGGCCACAAACCTTCTGCCCAGAGCCCGAACACCCCTACATACCCAAGCTCAGCCCCAAACCCAGCCCAGCTGGCGGAAGAGGGGTCCCCATGAGCGGCCATGGCACATGCCAACTGCCAGGTGCCAACCTTCTGTACAGCTCCTCTATGACCCAGCAAGGGTGAGGCCACCACCTAGGACAGCAAGACCGGCCAGATGCCGTCTGTACTGTCACCATGCCTCAGGGGAGCAGCAGAGGCCAGAGACCCCAGGCCCCCGGATGAGGCCGGCCATCTCTGCGGTGTCTGACAGGTGCGCTGCCCTGCTTGGCGGTATCCCAGGCAGGGGGCTGACCCCGCTCCATCCTTGGCACCATGGACCGTCTCTCAGGAATGACCTGTCCTTGGGGTCACCTTGACAGGAGAGGCAGAGGGGATGGTCCAGGCAGGTCTTGGCCTTGAACATGGTGGCCTCAGCAAGCCCACGAGAGAATCCAGCCGGTCCTGGGGCCCCTGGCGTGGGGGGCCCTTCTCACTCCTCTTGGTGACAACAGGGATGACTCCCAGGGGCTCCGTCCTCTGCAGCCAAGGTGTGTGGAGCAAAGACGCGAGGTCAAGTAGGAAAGACCCTTTTATTGGGGTGGACACGGAGCACGCACTAGTCCATGATAAAAATAAAATGACTCAAGAGAAAGATCCCAAGGGCCGACTTCTCCCCAACGTGCGTGCACGCTGAGTGAGGCCTGGGCATGGGAAAGTTCCGGGCGAAGCGTGGGACAAGACCGAGTCTCAATGGCCTGGACCGGTGTTGGGGGGGAGAAGGCCACTCGGCTGTCCTGGTAGGTCAGGCCACCCCGGGCCCGCCCCTGTCGCCCGGCCACAGTAAAGCCCCCGCTAGAGACTCTCACAGACACACTCTGGTTCTCTGGAGAACTGGGGGCAGGAATCGGGGAACTGGCCCGATGGAAGGCGGGGGTCGGGGGGACAATGTTGTTTTTTTTAAAAAGCATCTACCAACATCACACTACTGGGTCTGATGTCCCCTTTAACCAACGCTTGATACAGGTTACAGCATAAATAAAAACTCAAGGAAAATAAATACATCGGCTCCTATGAGGTTGGAAGTGGTGTGGACGCAGGGTGTGGATGGGCCGGCAGGGAGGCGGGCGGGCGGGGTGCTTACACATGGCGGGCAGGCGGGTGGGCGACCGAGGAGCAGACCTGGCAGGAGGCGCCTGTGGAGTTGAGAGTCTTAAGTGTCCTCGTGCATGTCTGGGCTGTCGGTCCGCGCCACCTTGCGGGGAGGTGCGGAGCTCTCGCCTTCCAGCTCCACTTGCTCCTGGTCTCTCTTCTTGGCAGCGTTCTGGGGGACAGGGAAAAGAGAGGGGCTGTGAGTCTTTTTTTTCGGACAGCCTCAACCTTCTGGGCTCAAGCAATCCTCCCAGCTCAGCCTCTGGAGTAGCTAGGACTACAGGCACATACCACCACGCTTAATATTTTTACTTTTGGTAGACATGGGGGTTTCACTATGTTGCCCAGCTGGAGGCTGTGAGTCTTCACGTGGGTGAAGCTCCCAGAGTCATAATGCCAGCCCAGGCCCCTGCAGCAGCATCACAGAGGTAGGCCTGGAGTACAGTGGGGGGCCCCAGGGTCCCTGGCTAGGCAGCCCCTCCTACCACCAGGACCTGCCCCACTAAGCCCTGCCCAGAGCACTTTCTGGACCCATGCCTGGTGATAGACAGGTGTTTCCTGGCACCCGGAGTCACCCCCACCACATGCAATGACCCACACAGGGCTGGTTTCTCAAGCACTCAGAGGAGCAACCCACCCAGCCTGGGAATAAAGGGCCTTTGGAAGCCACTGGGGATGCCGCACATCAACGCAAGACAGAAGCACACGCCTCCTTCCCCGCTGTGGAAACCAAGTCCTGGGGGGCAGGAGAAGGGGTGGGGGTGGGCCCAGCAGCTTGGATTTTCAGAAGCAGTCACTTTGCCACACAGTCCCCCGACCTTCCAACTTTGCGCAGGGTAGGCAGCCACCCACTGTTCAATGTTAGGTAAAAAAAAAAAAAACAAACTTGCCAGGCGCGGTGGCTCATGCCTGTAATCCCAGCTACTCTGGAGGCTGAGGCAGAAGAATTGCTTGAACCCAAGAGGCGGAGGTTGCAGTGAGCTGAGATCACGCCACTGCACTCACTCCAGCCTGGGCAACAGAGAGACTCCGTCTCCAAAAAAAAAAAGAAGGCCAGGCGCGGTGGCTCACACCTGTAATCCCAGCACTTTGGGAGGCCGAGGTGGGTGGATCACTTCAAGTCAGGAGTTCGAGACTAGCCTGGCCAACATGGAGAAACCCTGTCTCTACTAAAAATACAAAAATTAGGCCAGGCATGGTGGCTCACACCTGTAATCCCAGCATTTTGGGAGGCCAAGGCGGGTGGATCACCTGAGGTCGGGAGTTCAAGACAAGTCAGACTAACATCGAGAAACCCCGCCTCTACTAAAAATACAAAATTAATCAGGCATGGTGGCACATGCCTGTAATCCCAGCTACTCGGGAGGCTGAGGCAGGAGAATCGCTTGAACCCAGGAGGCGGAGATTACAGTGAGCCAAGATCGCGCCACTGCACGCCAGTCTGGGCAACAAGAGCAAACCTCCATCTCAAAAAAATAAATAAATAAAATAAAATAAATTAGCTGGGCATGGTGGCGCGTGCCTGTAATCCCACCTACTCAGGAGTCTGAGGCAGGAGAATTGCTTGAACCTGGGAGGTGGAGACTGGGAGGAGGAGGTTACAGTGAGCCGAGATCACGCCACTGCACTCCAGCCTGGGCGACTCCAGCCTGGGTGACAGAGCAAGACCTCATCTAGGAAAGGAAAAAGGGGGAAAAAAAGGGGAAAAGAGGGGAAGGGCAGGGCAGGGCAGGGCAAAAGAAAATGAAAAACGAAAAAGAAAAAGAAGAAAAATATCCCGTGTGCAGAGGCAGCCTCTGGGAAGGGAGCTGGGGCACCAGAAGCGGGAGGCGGGAGATGACTCTTCGCTGCAACTACACCCTCTTATTTTTATTTTCTAGAGACAGAGTCTGGTTCTGTTGCCCAGGCTGGAGTGCAATGGCATGATCATGATTCACTGCAGCCTCAACCTCCTGGGCTCAAGCGATCCTCCCACCTCAGCCTCCTGAATAGCTGGGATTACAGGAACATGCCACAGCCAGCTAATTTGTTTTTTTTTTTTTTTTTTTTAGTGATGGAGTTTTGCTGTGTTGCCTAGACTGGTCTCAAACTCCTGGCCTCAAGCCATCTGCTTGCGTCAGCCTCTCAGGCAGTTCCGGGTGTGAATCACCACACCCAGCCACACCCTCACATGTTACCTAGATTTCTTTTTTTCTTTTTTTGAGATGGAGTCTAGCTCTGTCGCCCAGGCTGGAGTGCAGTGGTGCAATTTCAGCTCACTGCAAGCTCCACCTCCTGGGTTCACACCATTCTCCCGCCTCAGCCTCCCAAGTAGCTGGGACTACAGGCACCCGCCGCCACACCCAGCTACGCGGCTAATTTTTTGTATTTTTAGTAGAGACGGGGTTTCACCGTGTTAGCCAGGATGGTCTCGATCTCCTGACCTCATGGTCTGCCTGACTCGGCCTCCCAAAGTCCTGAGATTACAGGCATGAGCCACCGCGCCCGGTATAGATTTCTTTTTTTCTTGAGACCGCCCAGGCTGCAGTGCAGTGGCATGATCTTGGCTCACTGCAATCTCTGCCTCCCAGGTTCAAGCCATTCTTCTGCCTCAGCCTCCGGAGTAGCTGGGATTACAGGCGTGCGCCACCATGCCCAGCTAATTTTTGTATTATTAGTAGAGATGGGGTTTCACCATGCTGGCCAGGCTGGTCTCAAACTTCTGACCTCGTGATCCGCCTGCGTAGGCCTCCCAAAGCGCGGGGATTACAGGTGTGAGCCACCACGCCCAGCTGAGATTTTTAATCATGTGTACACATTTCACCATTCAGAAAAGATTTTTTGTTTTTTTTGTTTTTTTTGAGATGGAGTCTCGCTCTGTTGCCCAGGCTGGAATGCAGTGGCCCTATCTAGGCTCACTGCAAGCTCCGCCTCCCAGGTTCACACCATTCTCCTGCCTCAGCCTCCCAAGAAGCTGGGACTACAGGCGCCCACCAGCATACCTGGCTAATTTTTTTTTGTATTTTTTAGTAGAGACAGGGTTTTACTATGTTAGCCAGGATGGTCTCGATCTCCTGACCTCATGATCTGCCCACCTTGGCCTCCCAAAGTGCTGGGATTACAGGCGTGAGCCACCTCACCCGGCCTTTTTTTATTTTCTTGAGACAGTCTTGCTCTGTCAACAAGGCTGGAGTGCAGTGGTGCAATCTCGGCTCACTGCAACCTCCGCCTCCCTGGTTCAAGCGATTCTCCTGCCTCAGCCTCCCAAGTAGCTGGGATTACAGTCACGTGCCACCACGCCCAGCTAATTTTTGTATTTTTAGTAGAGACGGGATTTCCCCATGTTGGCCACGATGGTCTCGATCTCCTGACCTCGTGATCCGCCCGCCTCAGCCTCCCAAAGCGCTGGGACTACAGGCATGCGTCACCACACTCGGCCTCAGAAAATATTCTATCTAGTTCATACCAATACAGTCTACCTAATGCCAGAGCCATGGAAAACTGGGCCTGGCGGCTACTTGGGCCTGGCCTCCAGCCTCCTGAGCACTGGTGTCCTGTGGCCTCTGCACAGCGGTTCCCTCCACTGGAACGCTCTTCCCTCTCCTGGATCGCCCAGGGCACTCCTACCCAGCCCTCAAGGCCCTGCTCCAATCACTAGAGTCCTTCCTGTGCTCAGAAGCCCCTGCCAGGTGCCCAGTCTCTGTCCACCCACAATCCCTGCACCAGAGCCCTGTGGGCCTCACCTTTTTGTCCCATTGCTGATGCAGGTAGCGCAGGAGGATGTTTGTCTTTTCTGTCACGATGACTAAGGAGGAAAGATAGAGAAAGTCGCAGACGCCTCCCCTCCCCAGGCTCCTCCCCTGACACTGCCCTGGGAGGTCTTTTTGGGGCTGGAACTCAGTACCCCCAACTCCAGAGATCTCCAAAAGTCCCATGTTTTTGCTTCTGAGCACACTCGCAGCTACTCCCAGAGGCCTGAGCCAGCTGCTTTCAGGGTCCCGGCTCCCTGCAAGGGATTCCACCCTTGGTGGGGGACCAAGCCCCGCAACTGAGACTCTCATGCCTATGTTTCTCCCAGGCTGACTAGGAGCACATACCGCATATCTGTGCCCAGTGACCACACAGTCCCACCCCACAGGCTCCAGATGGATAAATGCTTTAAGAGCAGGGTCTCACTCTTGTCACCCAGGCTGGAATAATCATAGCTCACTGCAGCCTGGAGCTCCTGGGCTCAACTGATTTTCCCACCTGGGACTATAGATGCATGCCACCACGCCCGGCTAATATATATATATATATATATATATATGCACACACACACACACACACGTATGTATATATATAGTGTGTATATATATACGTGTGTATATATATAGCGTATATATATAGCGTGTATATATATACGTGTGTATATATATAGCGTGTATATATATACACGTGTGTATATATATAGTGTGTGTATATACACGTGTGTGTATATACACGTGTGTGTATATACACGTGTGTGTGTATACACGTGTGTGTATATACACGTGTGTATACACGTGTGTGTATACACGTGTGTGTATATACACGTGTGTATATATACGTGTGTGTATATATATGTGTGTATATATACGTGTGTGTATATATATGTGTGTATATATACGTATATATATGGTTTTTGGTGAAACAGGGTCTAACTATGTTGCTCAGGCTGGTCTCGAACTCCTGGCCTCAAGCAATCCTCCTGCCTCAGCCTCCCAAAGTGCTGGGATTACAGGCGGGAGCTACCCCACCTGGTGTGGAGTCTTTTTGAACAGTTAAACTAAGACAGCAAGACCAAGTCCTCCTGTGCTGTGGGCCCCTTTGCCTGGACCCCCTTCCCATCACTGCCACCCAGGCTTGGCTGGATCCCCAGCCCAAGCCCCTGTAGCCCTCTGCTGCCTCTCTGCCCGATAGCACTTGTCTTAGAACCAGAGTTCTCGCTTGACCTCATCTGACAGGGAGGGGAAAGGACCAGTGAGTGGCAGATGAGGGACAACTTGGGGGCCCCTTTGGGCTGGCTGTGGATCCCAGTGTGTCCCAATCAAGAGACACCTGGGGAAAGCCAGGTTTCTGGCTGTCCCCAGGGGCTGGGAGTGGACAGGCATCCACGTGTGCATCCCCAGGCTGAAGCCCCCAAGGTCCCCCTCCTGTACCTCCCTGGAGGCCCTCCCTGACTTAACTGGATTCAGTAGACAGCGTGTGAACCCAAGCCAAGTCTATGGCCTGGGCCGGGGTTGAAGATAACCTCCGCGTGCCACGCTGCAGTCACCAAACCCCGCCCCTCAGCAGCCAGAATGGGACAGACTGACAGCGGCCACTTACTCTGTTCAGACGGGTACTCGCGGGTAGGCAGGTAGACTGAGGGCCGTCGGTTCTGCAGGAGGGTTGAGAAGGGGTGGGTTAGGAGAGTGCATGGGCCTGGGGTCTCCTCATCCCTCCACTCAGCACCCACCCTTCAGTGCAGATTGGAAGACACTCAAGTATGTGGATGGGGCTGGGCTTGAAGATCAGCCTCTGTTCCAGCCAAGACCCCAATCGGGGGACACAAGCTGCCCCCAGGCCCCCTGGAAGTGACCAATTCCTCCCAGTCCCAGGAACACGCACTCACCGAGGCTTTGCACACGGAGTCCGCGTGAAATCGACTAAAATTGCTTTTGTTGTAGACAGGCAGTCCTTTCAAAAAATCTGCCTAGAAGACATGGAAGATGGTACATGAGAAAACAGGCAAGGGCCAGCTCATCCCTGGAGCACCTGCAGGGTGACTGCTGGGTTCCTTCTTCCCACTATTCTTTGTAGTTCAAGTTTTCCAGAACACACCCTTGAGCTGGCTGCTGGATACACTGTCGGGACCACAGAAAAGTAACCAGGCCAGGCTATGTGCACATCCCCCACGGGATCCTCATGACAGCCCCCTAATTAGGTGAGAGGTGGGGAAATTGAGGCTGCAAGAGAACAGGCCACTGGTTAAAAGTCATACCGCAGTGGCTCCCGCCTGAATCCCAGCACTTTGGGAGGCCGAGGCGGGCGCATCATCTGCGGTCAGGAGTTTGAGACCAGCCTGGCCAACATGGCAAAACCTCATCTCTACTAAAAATATAAAAATTAGGTGGGCGTGGTGGTGCGCGCCTATGATCCCAGCTACTCGGGAGGCTGAGGCTGGAGAATCGCTTGAACTCGGGAGGCAGAGGTTGCAGTGAGCCATGATTGTGCTACTACACTCCAGCCTGGGAGACGGAACCAGACTCTGTCTCAAAAAAAAAAAAAAAAAAAAAAAAAAAGCCATTTTCAATCCAACCCTGTGAGTGAGGTCTGGAGTGGGCCAGTGGTGGGACTGTCTGCTGCGAGTCTCTCCACATGGCTTGCCCTGAACGGGGCCCTCCTGAGCTCACTATGTATGATCTCCTGACCCAATGGGGCAGGAGGTAGTGTCTCCCTATCAAAGGCAAGGACACCGAGGCAGAGAGGTTACCCAGTCTCAGTCAGAAAACCAGGGGGCTGATTTGAACCCACATGTACCCCACCTCAGAAGCCAAGCTCCTTCTCTTCATCACACACCTGAAAAGCAAAAGCCAGAGCCCCTGCAGGCTACAGAGCTGGAAGGGAAGGCCATCCCCTGATGCCTGAGGCCCAAGAGAGCTGCCCTGGGAGAAGCTGCTATTCAGACAATTTCCCACCACCCTCTGGGACAGGCAGGAACAGCAGTGTCCCCAATTCTATGACATCTGGCCCCTCCTCTGCTGGTCCCTCTCGGGAAGCCGGAATGTGGCTGGGTGGGCCTCCCCCTCCCACCCGGGAGGCAGCCGTCACATCTGGATGACCTACTGCCCCAGGACCTGTTCAAAGTCCCTCAAACCTGCCTCCCCTCCCACCCTAGGATGCCAGCCTCAGCTCAGCACCCGGCTCTGGGGCCAGCTTCATTCATTCAGCAAGGTCTTCTGGGGCCCTAGCAGGCACCAGGGCACTGGACTGAGCCACCATGGCCACGCGCCTGGCCTTGAGATGGTGTGGGGCAAAGAGCTGCACAGTGCACAGGAAGCGGCTGCAGGACAGGGTGCCTCGAGGGCGCAGTGTGAGGTGCAAGGCAGAGCTCTGGCCCATTTAGGGGATAAAGGAGGGCTGCCCAGACGCAGGGATGCAGGCACTGAGACCTGAAGGGTGAGGAGGGGTCCCTGTCCCCCTTCGCAGCCCTGGCCCAGCTTGCCCCTGCTGGACTCCCATCATACACACCCTCTGCCACACACACCCTCTAGGAATGCCCCTCATGCCTCCATGTGGCAAATACCTGCTAACCTCCCCACCAGCTCCAACACCCTCCCTGGCCCCTTTGTTCCCCCGACACTTCGGGAGCCTCTCCCAGAGCCTCCCTCACACCCCGGCGAGGTCATCTGCTTACATGTCCACCTCCCTGGCTGGACTGGTACCTCCCCAAGGGAAGAGGACAGGACAGGGCTGACTGAACCCTGGCCGGGCTCACACAGGGCCCGGTGGCTGAGTGGCGAGAGGTGCAGGTACTCCGGGCATTCTGCTCTCAATCCTGGCTTAGCCCGTCCCTGGTTGTGTGACCTGGGACGAGGGACTTCCCAGCCTCTGGGCCTCCCTGTGAAGAGACGCATTCCAACAGGGCCACCTCCCAGGGTTACTCTGAGTCATAAGACAACAAGGGGAATGCTTTGCACAGAGCTCCCTCAGGGGCAGCCTTTAGGATCAACATGTCTGCGTTGGACAAATGAATGAAGGCAGGGTACGTGCAGCCTTCCTGTCATGCTAAGCTGGAAAACAAGGCCTCGAGACATGGGGGCAGGGGGTGGGGGAGGCCTCATTCCAGACAAATGCCAGCCACGGCTGGGCCCTCACAGGTGCCTCAGCAGACACGCACTGGACACCTGTGTGCCAGTCCCACTGCAGGTAGCCTGCCAGAGACCCAACAAAGAGATGAGAAAGAGAAGCAGTACACTAATAGCAGAGAACTGGGGGCCCCCCAAAGTCAGGAATGACCTCGATCACAGGAGGAAGAGTGTTCCGAGCAGAAAGAGCAGCAGGTGTAAAGGCCCTGGGGTAGCAGGAACCTGGAGTGTGAGGAAGTGAAAACAAGGCCAGGGTGGCTGAAGCTCACAGACAGAGTGGAGAAGAGAGTGGAGATAAGGTCATAGAGGTGGCCAGGGGCCTCAGGGTGAGGAGGGGAGCCGCCAGGGTTCCTGGAGCATTTTATAGGCTAGAAAGTGGTATCATTTGATGCACATCTTTAAAAGCTCCTTCTGGCCGGGCGCAGTGGCTCACACCTGTACTCCCAGCACTTTGGGAGTCCGAAGCGGGTGGATCACAAGGTCAGGAGTTCAAGACCAGCCTGGCCAATATGGTGAAAACCTGTCTCTACTAGAAATACAAAAATTAGCCGGGCATGGTGGTGGGTCCCACCTACTTGGGAGGCTGAGGCAGGAGAATGGCTTGAACCCAGGAGGCGGAGGTTCCAGTGAGCCGAGATCATGCCACTGCACTCCAGCCTGGGCGACAGAGCAAGACTCCATCTCAAAAGAAAAAAAAAAAACAACCTCCTTCTCAGGCCCCATGCAGTGCCTCACACCTGTAATACCAGCACTTTGGGAGGCTGAGGCAGGATCACTTGAGCCCAGGAGTTTGAGACCAGCCTGGGCAACATAGGGAATCCCCATCTCTCCAAAAAGTACAAAAATGAGCCTGGTGTGGGGATCTCTTGAGCCTCCAGTCTGGGCGCCAGAGTGAGACCCTGACTCCAAAAAAAAAGTTCCTTCTGGTTCAGGTGAATTATGAACTGCCAAAGGGGTGAGAGCAAGGCTAGGAGACCAGGGAAGAAGCTGGGACAGGTATGCAGGTGGGAAGTGGCAGTACCTGCAACAGGGCATGAAGCCATGGATGAATTCAGGTGTGTTCAGAAGGCAGAGACAATCTAATCCACTTATGATTGGCTGTAGGGATGAGACTGTACCAAGGTATCAAGGACAACTCCCAGGCTTGGGGACCCGCACACTAGGAACCCACCTTCCCATTTCCTTCCTGAAAGGGAGTCTTCCTTTCATCCCCACCACATCCCAAGGACTGTGGATTGTGGGCTGGGACTCTGGGTCAGGGGACAAAGGAGACTTGAGGTATCTTGACCAAGCTTCCCATCACCCTTCCCAGCCCTCAGGATGCCAACTAATGGGGGTTGTGGAGAGGCTTTAGTTCCACTCTGAGGGTGGGTCACCATCCCACTTTTCAGGTGGGGAGACTGAACCCCGAAGAACCACCAGACCCAAATTCCAGGATGACTGAGGAACCCTGAAGGAATTTCAACCTTCCAACAGCCAGGTGGGGACGATCCACACTTCATAATGAGGGGACAGCTAGAAGAGAACGTCACTGGCCTCGAGTCACCCAGCTCATCTGTTGAGCATTCACTATCCTGAGTCCTTTACGACGTCAGTTACCTAAATTGTCACCACCCTAAGAGGTTCAGACTACTGCTACCCTCATTTCACAGGGACAATCCATGCGGATCGGAGATAAAAGTTTTTCATTCTTAGAGGCGGGTAAGGGCCCAGAATGGTGGAGGTGGGGTCAGGGCCCGGGGAACCGGGACAATCGGCGATGTCGCACTTCCTTTGGCGACAAAGCCCTGCATATCGCGGTGCCAAGCCCCCTCCCCCGCCCCGGGGCCCAGGCCGGCCTCCCAAATTCTCCTGAACTGAAGAGATCCAGGTCCGGCGTGCTGAGAACGAGGCCAGACCAGGGGGTCTTACGGGACCCCATCCCCACCCCAGACGATTTCCGGGGGGAGCCGCAACCCGGAAATGAATGAGTTGTCAGGGCTTGGTATCCTGGATGGGGTCAGGGGTCGGAGAAGGAGTGGCAGTGGGATCAGCAGGAAGCTCTCGGTAGGGTCCGGGGGTCGAAGGTCACAGGTGAGTGGGAGGGGCGGGCCGGACCTGAGGGGACCGGGCAGAACGGAGAGGGGCCTAGGGGGATACTAGAGGTGGGTGGGACCACAGCGCCATTTTGTCTAGCAGAGGGGGAGTGGGGGCCTGGAGGCCATCCTCACCATCTTCTGTTTCCTCCGTCGCCGCCTCGGCCGCCGCCTCAGCCTCCACCGCCGCCACCAGAGCCGCCTTCTTAGCCGCCGCCTCACAGTAACTTCCAGCCACGGCACAGCCCACACTGATGGCGCCACCACCTCCCTGTCATTGGTGTGCAGTCTAGCCCCGCCCCCACATAGGAGCGCTTTGCACGCTTCCATTGGCCGCATCCAGCTAACTCATGCGCCCATTGGTTGCCACGCCTCCTCCCATTGTGGTCAAGTTCGGTTGAAGAAGCAAAGCACCTCCCGGTACTTGGAAGCAATGAAAGTGAGATCCGGAAGTGGGCGGAGGCCTCGGCCGCGAAGTCTCTTGGGAGCTGTAGTTTACAGCTCCGCGAGGCTCTCTAGAGCTTTTGTGTGTCTGTGTGTTTTTAAGATGCGAGGTTCGGCCGGGTGCGGTGGCTCACTCCTGTAATCTTAGCACTTTGGGAGGCCGAGGCGGGTAGATCGCCTGAGGTCAGCAGTTCGAGACCAGCCTGGCCAGCATGGTGAAACCCCATCTCTGCGCCTGTAATTCCAGCTAGTAGGGAGGCTGAGGCAGGAGAATCACTTGAACCCGGGAGGCGGAGGTTGCAGTGAGCCAAGATCGTGCCATTGCACTCCAGCCTGGGCAACAAGAGCGAAAATCAGTCTCAAAAAAAAAAAAAAAAAGCCAGCCGGGCGCAGTGGCTCACGCCTGTAATCCCAGCACTTTGGGAGGCCGACGCGGGTGGATCACGAGGTCAGGAGATCGAGACCGTCCTGGCTAACACGGTGAAACCACGTCTCTACTAAAAATACAAAAAATTAGCCGGGCGTGGTGGCGGACGCCTGTAGTCCCAGCTACTCCGGAGGCCGAAGCAGGACAACGGCGTGAACCGTGAGTGAGGCGGATCTTGCAGTGAGCTGAGATCGCGCCACTGCACTCCAGCCTGGCGGACAGAGGGAGACTCTGTCTCAAAAAAAAAAAGGCGGGGCACGGTGGCTCACGCCTGTAATCCCAGCAATCCCAGCACTTTGGGAAGCCGAGGCGGGCGGATCACGAGGTCAGGAGTTTGAGACCAGCCTGGCCAACATGGTGAAACCCCATCTCTACTAAAATACAAAAATTAGCCGGGCGTGGTGGCGGGCGCCTGTCATCCCAGCTACTCAAGAGGCTGAGGCAGGAGAATCGCTTAAAACCAGAAGGCGGAGGTGTCAGTCAGCCGAGATTAAGCCACTACAGTCCAGTCTGGGCAACAAGAGCTAAACTCCCTCTCAAAAGAAAAAAAAAAAAAAGACACAGGGGTCTTGCTATGTTTCCCAAGCTGGTCTCGAACTTCTGGCCTCAAGCAATCCTCCAGACTTGGCTTCCCAAAGTTCTGGGAGCCATCGTGCCGGCATCTTCTTGTGTTTATTACGTTTTTAAAGCAGCCCTAGAAGATAAGAACCATAACACTCCCTAGCTCCTCCTCGACACCGTCTTGCTCAACCACCTCCCGTAACTCCCTAGTATTCAATCCCACCTCCTTGGCCCCATTTATGGGCACCTGCGGTCTTCATTGCCCACCTGTGTCCTCACCTCTAACCAATTCCTTCTATGTCTGGGCTCTCCCAGACCTTGCCATTTCCTCCAAGACTTCCCTGACTGCATTCTTCAAAAAGGCAAGTCAGGTACCTTCCCTGAAGTCCTACAGCCCTCACAATCCCCCTCCCAGCCCTGACACCTCTGTGTCCAAACTGCCTTCCTGACTTCCAGGGCAAAGAATGGGCACCCAGCACACAGCAATTGCACAGTGAAGTTGCTAAGTGGAAGCTACTAAGTATTATTACTCCAACAGCAACAGAGCAGAGGAGAAACCAGCACTGCATTTTATAGGCGACAAATGCACCTCACAGTGTTAAATTCTTGCTCAAAATCAAACATCCCCAAGGGACAAGTGGAAGATTCAAACTCCTTATGGGCTGGAGTTCAAGACCAGCCTGGTCAACATGGTGAAACTCCCCTCTACTAAAAATACATAAATTAGCTGGGCGTGGTGGCATGCACCTGTAATCCCAGCTACTTGGGAGGCTGAGGCACCAGAATTGCTTGAACCCAGGAGGCAGAGGTTGCAGTAAGCAGGGATCCGACAACTGCACTCCAGCCTGGGTGACAGAGCGAGACCCTGTTTCAAAAACAAACACCCCCCCGCACACACACACAGTTTTCCACCAGTCTTCCCAGACCTATAAAATTTATGACACAGGCTGGGCATGACGGCTCACACCTGTAATCCCAGCACTTTGGGAGGCCGAGGCAGGCAGATCACCTGAGGTCAGGAGTTCGAGACCAGCCTGGCCAACATGGTTGAAACCCCGTCTCTACTAAAAATACAAAAATTAGCCGGGTGTGGTGGTGGGCGCCTATAATCCCAGCTATTCGGGAGGCTGAGGCAGGAGATTGCTTGAACCCAGGAGAGGGAGTTTGCAGTGAGCCGAGATCGTGCCACTGCACTCCAGCCTGGGGGACAGAGCGCAGTGGTTCATGCCTGTAATCCCAGCACTTTGGGAGGCAGAGGAGGGCGGATCACCTGAGGTCGGGAGCTCGAGACCAGCCTGACCAACATGGAGAAACCCCATCTCTACTAAAAATACAAAATTAGCCGGGCGTGGTGGCGCATGCCTGTAATCCCAGCTACTCGGGAGGGTGAGGCAGGAGAATCGCTTGAACCCGCAAGGCGGAGGTTTTAATGAGCCGAGATCCCCCCATTGCACTCCAACCTGGGCAACAAAAGGGAAACTGTCTCAAAAAAAAAAAAGAGTTATGACACATATAAGGCAAGTGGAACTTTGAACATTTATTACACGTTTAATAATATTTCAAAATTATTGATAATTCTTTTGGATGTGATAAGCTTTGTAATTGTCTTTTAATGAGCTCTCATCTTGGAGAGATACATTCTGAAATATTTACAGAAGAAATAATCCGATGCCTGAGATCAGCTTCAAAAGAACTCAGGATGGGGCAGGGACGGGTTGTAGGTAGTCGGTAGTCAGGGTACTGGGTACACGGATGTTCTTTGTACTGTTCTTTGGTCTGTTGCGCAGGTTCGAAATGCTTCCTAATTAAAAAGCCTAAAAAGGGACTTGGCAAGCTCCCATCCAGACTTCAACCCCACAATATGGAGAGCACTCAGGTCCGAGGCGTTCCTGCTCCCCAGCTCCCTGCAAAAATAGCGCCAGGCAAGGTCCGAGGCGAGGGCGATGCTTCCATGAGGGTCCCGCCGACTGCGTCGCGATCCTCAATGGCTCAGCGACTTGCGGCCCTTGAGCATTCGGCGAAGGATGACCTGCACGCCGGCCGGCGTGCTCAGGCGCCGGACCCAGCCGTGCTTGTTCTTGCGTTTGATGTTGCTCGGCTGATACTCATTCCCGCGAGCCTTGCCCCGGGCCTGCTGCGGGGTGGGGAGGCCCCAGGCGTCTGGGAACCCCAGCCAGGCCCGGGGCTGGAGCCACCTGCGTGGGTAGAGGGACGGCGAGAAAGGTCAGACGGGGCGCTGGGTGACCTTGGCGCTCAACCTCTCTGAGCCTCGGCTCCCGGAGACAGAGCCTGGCTGCAAAATGCGCAAGGCACTGGCAGGTCACGCGGGCAGTGAAGAGTGGCGCCAGCCTCCGAAGCCGCCCTTATTCCCTGATTTGGGGAAGGGTCCCCCTGAGGACTTACCTGCCACCCAGCAACGCTGCCGACCTACTCGTGGGGCCCAACAGGGATCCAGCCAAGACAGCCATATCCGCAGTGGGTCCCGCAGTACCGGCTGCGGGCGATTCCGGAGCCCAGAGCCGCTCCAGCCCTGGAACAAAGGATTATGGGAAATGTAGTTTCTCCTAACGTGCAAAAAAGAGGCCGTTGGGGAAAACCCTGAAGTTGTAGTTCTGCGCCTGCGCAACAGAGGCGCGCCAGTCTATATCCGCGGGGCACAGGGATGCTCTGCATACACACCAACAGGTAGCCGGCGAACGGCGCCTTCTGAGCAAGCGCGTGCGCACAAGGCATTATCTCCCGCGGTCAGCTGGCAGCTGAGCTGTAGTTCTCTCTCCTATTGACCGGCAGAGGGTGCCCCGCGGTGGCCGGGCGCAGCTGGTGGCAGCTGCAGGAAGCGGCTGGTTGGTCTTCCCGCCCCCAGCGGGAGCTGGGCAGATGGCACACAGCTGGCTGGCAGCTTGTCCTGGCTGCAGCCAAGTCTCCGCCTCTTGGCAGGAAGCCGAGGAGGCCTGAGTTCAAGCTCGCTGCGTGTCCTTGGGGTGGTCCCTGCGCCACTCTGGGCTTTCTCAATCTGTAAACTCAGGGATTGCAAGCTTGTCTTTGGCAATCTTGCCCCCATTTTGGGCCCTAGAAGAATTCTCCTCTGTTGTTAGAACCAAAAAAAAAAAAAAAAAAAAGGAAGAAAAATTTTCTGATACTCAGATCTGAACCCCTCCCCTACTCACACACTATCCTTGGCTCCCCATTTCCCCAGGTAAAACCTGCTCAGCCCTTCCATCAGGCATGCAAAACCCTCTACACACACCATCTTACATTTCAGCCACACTCTCCTCTCTGCCTGGTGTTCCCCTATCCGCCCTTTAAAAATCCTTTCCTCTCCAAGGGCTGAGTGAGGTGTGGCTCATGCCTGTAATTCCAGCATTTTGGGAGGCTGAGGAGGGAGGATCCCTTGGGGCCAGGAGTTTGAGACCAGCCTGGGGACATGGTAGCAACCACCTATAGTCTCAAGTACTTGAAGGTGAGGTGGGAGGATTCCCTGAACCCAGGAGATCCAGGCTGTAGTGAGCAATGATAGCGCCAATGCACTGCAGCCTGGGCAACGGAGTGAGATCCTTTCTCAAAAAAAAAAGGAGTCGTCTTCTCTCAACCGCTGTCCATTCTTCTGGCCCGACTGCTTTCCCTTGACTCTCCCCCAAGTTCAAGGGCTCCTCAAGGGCCAGGGGCCTGGGGCTGTATCCCTACAAGTGCCAGCTTGGGGTTCATGCAGAGAGGTGTTTGCTAAATGAATAAACTGTATAGTCTCCCAGAAGTGCCCTTAGTGGGCAAGAGTAGGTGTCTGGACGGAATCCAGCTCTGGCAGCAAATTCCAGGGGATGTGAGTGGCCAAGCAGCAAGGAGCATTTAACCCCTCGTCCTCCGAAGCCCATCCTACCTGTAGCATCGTTTAGCAAAACATCACCACTATAATAATGCCCATAATATATGGAGCATTTGTTATATGCACGACACTATGATGAGTGCTTTACCTGCGTAGCAAACTTATGAGAGGATTAATTTCATAGAGAAATAAACGGAGGCTCAGGAAAGTGAAGTAACTTGCCCGAGGTCACACATCAGCAAAGGGCAGAGGCTGGATTTGAGACCTGAGCTCTCCTGAGGGCCTACCATGGCCCCGCCGGTACCACAGAGCTGGGATGCCTGCCTCTTGCTATCAGCCCTTCTCAGAACCATGGCAGCCATGGGTTAAATCGGCTGATTATGAAATTCAAACTCTCTAATTACCCACAGCTCCAAGACTTTCCTTGAAAGCTTTAGAGAAGCCCGTCACGATGGCTCACGCCAGTGATCTCAGCCCTTTGGGAGGCCGTAGACGAGAGGATTGCTTGATGCCCAGAGTTCGAGACCAGTCTGGGCAAGATAGCGAGACCTCGTCCCTACCAAAAGAAAAGGGGGGGGCGTAGGGGGGAGGTTAGCAAATAATGGTTCCCAGGGTTTGGAATCACACAGCCTTGGGTTCAAGTCCCAGCTTTGCTCCTTGCTTGATTTATGCTCTTGTGCCCTTTATGAGCCTCAGTTTCCCCACCGGAGATTGGAAAAAGATCTTGGAGTCTCTGCTTCTAGAATGGAAAGGTCAATACAGAGAGAAGAGTATGGGGGCCTCGTTTGGAGAGGAACAGGGCAATTGGGAGGCAGGGGCTGGGGGGCAAGGGCTTGGGAGACCCATTTGCAGAGAGAGGGCCCCGGCCGCACACTCCCAGGCGTCCCGCAGACCCTAGACTGCAACCCCCTTCTCCGCCTTGAGCCAGGCCCCATCCCTCCCCCAACCTCGGTGAACCCCCAAAAGGGGCGGGGCCGTTGCTCCCAGAGCCCGCCTCCACTACGGAATTGCCGCCTCTCATTGGGCTCCTAACTAGGCCAGGTCAGTCCGCAGCTGCGATAGGCCGAAGTGCCCGCCCGTCGGCACGTGGCTCCGCCTACTCGGGGGAGGAACTTAAAGGGCCGGCTGTTTCGGCGGCCGCGGGATGCCCCTGCGCTGACCGCCAGGGGCAGGTGCCCGCCCGCGTAGACGCACCCGGCCTGACCCCGCGCCACCATGTAAACGGCGCCAGCAGGCGGACGCTGGCTTCTCCGCCTGGGACCCCTCCGCCCCGACCCGGGCCCCGCGGCCCTCGATGAGGTGAGCGGGGAACGGGCCCCAAAAGGAGAGATCGAAGCCCCGGGGCCTCCACTTCGGAGGAGTGGTGTCCACCAACCCCGCGTTTGGGCTCGTAGGAAGCCACGGAGCCCCAGTGGGCTCGACCCCGCTGCAGGGATGACGAACACCTGGAAGGCGGGGGCCGGGGGCGGGGAAGCGGGGCTGGGGTGGCGCCTGTGCGTTGCCCTCCACAATCCGGGATTAGGGCCCCACTCGAGGTGGGGGGCATGGCCTGCTTCCCCTCCAGTATGTCTGGGGCCACTGCGGCTCAGTCTCGGGCGTGCGTTACCTTAGCGGCGCCCAACCTGGGGTAGGGGGCAGGCAGGCAGCTGGTCCCATCTCCAGGCCCTAGACACCTCGACAATGGGGGTGCACTGCTCGGGTATCCCCCCCTTAGGTTATGTAACCGCCTGTGGTTGCCATGGACACGGGGGCGGGGGTGGCCCAAGGAGTGGGATGGAGGCTTGGAGGCCCCCAGCCAGGGCCCTGCCTCTCCCATCCTCTTCGCCACCTCTGGGGACTTGTATAGCAGATCCCCAGAATCCAGGGTGCCAAGGAGGAAGTTCAGAGTCTAGCTTCCTCTCAGAGTGTCTGGGCCTCAGCTTGGCCCTCTATGAAACAGACCCCGGCTCACCCCGGTCTAGGGGAGCTGAGCAAGGCTTTCTGTGGCTCAGTCCCCATCCCCCTCTCCTAGGGCCTCACCTTTCAGGAGTCAAATTCAGAGCCAGGAGCCTCACTGGGGGCTCACCAAAGATTTGCATATTTTAGATGCCTTAGGAGGCCCTGGGGATATGTGAGTTAGTGAGTGCATACCTGGATGAGTTAGTGAGTTAGTGTATACCTGAATGAATGAGTTAGTGTATACCTGAATGGATGAGTTAGTGTATACCTGAATGAATGAGTTAGGAGGCCATAAATGGTATAAACTCCAGCTGGGGGGAGGGGGTGTCTTCCGGCTGGTCCACATTTGCCACAATGTCCCCTTCTCCAGGAACATCCCCACACAAGACGCCACCACCTTCCCTGTGGACACCCTGTGGGGTAAGCCATAGCCAAGTCTTTCTCTCTGAGGATAGACTAGGGTGACCCAGGAGGGTAACTACCACAAAGGCACTGCTCAGACAAAACATGTCAGTGCACGGTGGCTCACACCTATAATCCCAGCACTTTGGGAGGCCGAAGCAGGAGGAAAATTTGAGGTCAGGAGTTCAAGACCAGCCTGGCCAACATGGTGAAACCCCATCTCTACAAAAAATACAAAAATTAGCTAGACATGGTGGCACCTGCCTATAATCCCAGCTACTCAGGAGGCTGAGGCAAGAGAATCGCTTGAACCCAGGAGGGGGAGGTTGCAGTAAGCCGAAATCCGGCCACTGCCCTCCAGCCTGGATGACAAAGCGAGACTGTCTCAAAAACACACACACACACACACACACACACACACACAAACAAAAAAATCTCAGTGCCGTGGCTCACTTGATCTGGCGCTCCCCAAACTGGAGTCTAAAACAGTTCTCCCAAGGCTCAGGGAGTGCCTGCTGCACGGTGCAGGGTTCTCATTGAGACAGCACCTGAACTGGCTGCTGTCCTCACTCACAGGACACACCATGCTGACCGGGGTGACCGACGGTATCTTCTGTTGCCTGCTGGGCACGCCCCCCAACGCCGTGGGGCCACTGGAGAGCGTCGAGTCCAGCGATGGCTACACCTTTGTAGAGGTCAAGCCCGGCCGCGTGCTGCGGGTGAAGCATGCAGGACCCGCCCCAGCCGCTGCCCCACCTCCACCATCATCCGCATCCTCGGATGCAGCCCAGGGGGACCTCTCCGGCTTGGTCCGCTGTCAGCGCCGGATCACCGTGTACCGCAATGGGCGGTTGCTGGTGGAAAACCTGGGCCGAGCCCCTCGAGCCGACCTCCTACACGGGCAGAATGGCTCTGGGGAGCCGCCGGCCGCCCTGGAGGTGGAGCTGGCAGATCCGGCGGGCAGCGATGGCCGCTTGGCCCCCGGCAGCGCAGGCAGCGGCAGCGGCAGTGGCAGTGGTGGGCGGCGGCGGCGAGCCAGGCGCCCCAAGAGGACCATCCATATTG
The DNA here is from genome assembly GCF_000001405.40 of Homo sapiens. NCBI lineage: Eukaryota > Metazoa > Chordata > Mammalia > Primates > Hominidae > Homo > Homo sapiens. The sequence continues at coordinate 17,301,135 of NC_000019.10, read as the reverse complement.
ACTGTGAGAAGCGCATCACTAGCTGCAAAGGCGCCCAGGCCGACGTGGTGCTCTTTTTCATCCATGGTGTCGGCGGTTCCCTGGCCATCTGGAAGGAGCAGCTGGACTTCTTTGTGCGCCTAGGCTATGAGGTGGTGGCTCCTGACCTGGCCGGCCACGGGGCCAGCTCTGCGCCCCAGGTGGCCGCAGCCTACACCTTCTATGCGCTGGCTGAGGACATGCGAGCAATCTTCAAGCGCTATGCCAAGAAGCGAAATGTGCTCATTGGCCATTCCTACGGGTAAGTGAACCCTGGCATGTGGGGTGGGGGTGAGGGATGGGGTCAGCAGGGACTACAGTCACAAAATACTGAGTTTTTGGCTGAGCCCCGTGGCTCACGCCTGTAATCCCAGCACTTTGGGAGGCCGAGGCAGGCGGATCACCTGAGGTTGGGAGTTCGGGAACAGTCTGGCCAAGGTGGTGAAACCCCGTCTCTACCAAAAATACAAAAATTAGCCAGACGTGGTGGCACGCGCCTGTAGTCCCAGCTACTCGGGAGGCTGAGGCAGAGGAATCACTTGAACCGAGGAGGTGGAGGTTGCAGTGAGCCGAGATTGTGTCACTGCACTCCAGCCTGGGCGACAGAGGGAGACTCTGAGATGCCACTGACACCTGTAATCCCAGTGCTTTCGGGGGCCAAGGCGGGAGGATATCTTGAGGCAAGGAGTTTGAGACCAGCCTGGGCAACATAGGGAGAACCCCCTAGCTCTACAAAAAGTACAAACATTAGCTAGGTGAGGAGGTGCACGCATATAGTTCCACCTACTTAAGGGCTGAGGCAGGAGATTGCTTGAGTCTGGGAGGTCGAGGCTGCAGTGAACTGTGATCACACCACTGCACTCCAGCCTGGGCAGCATGGCAAGAACCTGTCGCTCTTTAAAAAAGAAAAAAAAATCCGGGCGCGGTGGCTCACGCCTGTAATCCCAGCACTTTGGGAGGCTGAGGCGGGCGGATCACGAGGTCAGAAGATTGAGACCATCCTGGCTAACACGGTGAAACCCTGTCTCTACTAAAAATACAAAAAATTAGCTGGGTGTGGTGGTGGGCACCTATAGTCCCAGCTACTCGGGAGGCTGAGGCAGGAGAATGGCATGAGCACGGGAGACGGAGCTTGCAGTGAGCCAAGATCATATTGTGCCACTGCACTCCAGCCTGGGCGACAGAAGGAGACTCCGTCATGAAAAAAAAAAAAGGGGCCACCACGCGCGGTGGTGCACATTTGTAATCCCAGCACTTTGTGGATGGATCATTGGAGATGAGTTTGGACAACATGGCAAAACCTTATCTCCTAAAACAAAACAAAGCAAACAAAAATCCTAATTTTTCTCCTTGAAAAAAATCCCATTTTTCAATTTAATTTTTACATTTTTAAAATTTTTTTTTCTTTTAAATAGAGATGGCATCTCACTATGTTGCCCAAGATGTTCTTTAACTACTGGGCTCAAGTGATCCTTGCACCTCAGCCTCCCAAAGTGCTAGGACTACAGGTGTGAGTCATTGTGCTCAGCCTTAATTTTTTTTTTTTTTTTTTTTTTTGAGATGGAGTCTCACTCTGTCCCCCAGGCTGGAGTGCAGTGGCGTGATCCTGGCTCACTGCAAGCTCCACCTCCCAGGTTCATGCCATTCTCCTGCCTCAGCCTCCCTAGTAGCTGGGACTACAGGCACCCGCTACCATGCCTGGCTAATTTTTTGTCTTTTTAGTACAGACGGGGTTTCACCGTGTTAGCCAGGATGGTCTCGATCTCCTGACCTCGTGATTCGCCCTCCTCGGCCTCCCAAAGCGCTGGGATTACAGGCGTGAGCCAACGCACCAGGCCAATTTTCAAGTTCAAAAAAAAATTATATAGAGAATGGGGGGGGGGTCTCATTATGTTGCCCAGGCTGGTCTTGAACTCCTGGGCTCAAGCCATCCTCCCTCCTTGGCCTCCCGATGTGGTGGGGTAACAGGCATGAGCCGCTATACCAGGCTGAAAACTCCCATTAGCATATGTAATCAGACAGGGATTTCCGTCATCACTGATATTGTTTCACATTGTTCTAAAGCAGTGTTGCTCAGGCCAGGTGCAGTGGCTTACGCCTGTAATCCTAGCACTTTAGGAAGCCAAAGCAGGCAGATCACTTGAGGTCAGGAGTTCAACACCAGTTTGGCCAACATGGTGAAACCCCATCTCTACTAAAAGTACAAAAAATTAACCAGGCATGATGGTGTGTGCCTGTAATCCCAGCTACTCGGGGGTGTGAGGCAGGAGAATCACTTGAACCTGGGAGGCAGAGGTTGCAGTGAGCCAAGATCACACCACTGCACTCCAGCCTGAGCAACAGAGTGAGACTCTGCCCAAAAAAAAAAAAAAAAAAAAAAAAGCAGTGTTGTTCAATCCCAGCACTATCGTGTTTGGCCAGGTTATTTTTTTTCTGTGAGGGGCTATAGGATGTTTAGTAGCATCCCTGGCTTCTGCCCACTGGATGCAACTACACAATCTAGTGTTGATCATGACAGTCAAAAATGTCTTCAGTAGTTGCCAAGCGTGCCCTGGTGGGCAGAATTACCCCCAGCTGAGAACCACTGCCTTAGACTAAGTTAAAAAATCAACTGCCCTGGAGAACACTGTGCATTCAGGAAGCGCTCATCGGAATCCTGTAAATTCTAGGCATTTACAAAGGCATGGGTTACTGTAATTCACTCCTGCTTAAAGGGCAGGTAATACAACCTAAAACTTACCAAGAACCCCTCCATGGAAGGCTTGGTCCCCAGGGCTTGACCACTACCAAGTGGCCTCATTCTCTCCTTTATCCAGGAAGAAAGGCAAGATTGAACAGCCAGGCAAGTTGAGCACCACTGTTTTAGAGATTCTAGCCTATGCAATTAGACAAGAAAAAAAGGCCAGGCGTGGTGGCTCACACCTGTAATCCCAGCAATTTGGGAGGCCGAGGCGGGCGGATCAGGAGGTCAGGAGATCAAGACCATCCTGGCTAACACGGTGAAACCCCGTCTCTACTAAAAAATACAAAAAAAAATTAGCCAGGCATGGTGGCAGGCGCCTGTAGTCCCAGCTACTCAGGAGGCTGAGGCAGGAGAATGGCGTGCACCCAGGAGGTGGAGCTTGCAGTGAGCCGAGATTGTGCCACTGCACTCCAGCCTGGGTGACAGAGTGAGACTCCATCTCAAAAAAAAAAAAAAAGAAAAAAGAAAAATAAATAAGTGGCCAGGTGTGGTGGCTTACACCTATAATCCCAACACTTTGGGAAGCTGAGGTGGGAGGACTGCTATAGCTGAGGAGTTCAAGACCAACCTGGGCAACATAAGCAAGATCTCATCTCTACAAAAAACTAAAAAGTAAAAAAAAAAAAAAAAGAAAAGAAAACAAAGAAGTTACATAAGTATCTAAAAGAAAGGAATCTAGACTGAGAGGTAACAGCTCTTATTTGTTTATATTTCTTTATATAACATACTCAAAAGTTGATGCTTATGAGAAATGATTCCTCTAATTAAATGAGCACCCACCTGCTGGGCACAGTGGTTCACACCTGTAATCCCAGAACTTTTGGAGGCCGAGGCAGGCGGATCACAAGGTCAGGAGTTCAAGACCAGCCTGGCCAAAATGGTGAAACCCCGTCTCTAATAAAAATACAAAAAGTAGCTGGGTATGGTTGCAGGTGCCTATAATCCCAGCTACTTGGGAGGCTGAGGCAGGATAATCATTCGAACCCATGAGGTGGGGGTTGCAGTGAGCCGAGATCGCACCATTGCACTCCAGCCTGAGTGACAGAGCAAGACTCTGTCTCGAGAAAAAAACAAAAAAACAAAAAAAACACCCACCTACAATAGTTCCCATGACCCCATAACAGTGCTATTAGGTCAGCACATTTACAACTTCAGGAATGTGGAGGCTGAAGCTCAGAGAGGTGAAGCAACCTGCCCAAAGGCATACAGGAAGTCCCTGACACAATCAGGTCTGCCTGACTCCTGTCTGTATCCTTTCCTCATTACAGCAGGGGCTGGCAAACATTTCCTTAAAGGATCGGATAGCGAATATTTTAGGTTTGCAGGCCATACAGTCACTGTTGGAACTTCTGATAAAACTTTATTTAGGAAACATTTTTTGGCCAGGCACGGTGGCTCACGCCTCTAATCCCAGCACTTTGGGAGGCCAAGGTGGGCAGATCACCTGAGGTCGGGAGTTCAAGACCAGCCTGACTAACACGGTGAAACCCCGTCTCTACTAAAAATACAAAAATTAGCCGGGCATAATGGCAGATGCCTGTAATCCCAGCTACTCGGGAGGCTGAGACAGGAGAATCACTTGAACCCGGGAGGCGGAGGTTGCAGTGAGCCGAGATCGCGCCACTGTGCTCCAGCGTGGGCAACAGAGCAGGACTCCATCTCAAAAAAAAAAAAAAAAACCTTATTTAGGAAACATTTTTCAAATCTCCAAAAGTGTAAACTGTATTTAAAAAAGCAAATGACTAGCCCACAGGCCGTACATAGTTTGTTGACCCCTGCTTTTGTAGGAATGAGGAGCTCAGCTTTGGGGGCTTCTCAGGCCTTCCATCTTGTATAAGGAAGACAGATATGTCATGCCCAGAGGCAGGTGGCAGAACATCCTGAAAGGGAAGGGATAGTAGGAAACAGTGACCTCCCCTGGGCAGCCGGAAGCATTTGTTTAATCAGATTGCTTTCCTACCACTTGCTGATGAGTAATTCTTACCGCTTTTGGGTCATGGTGGCTTGAAGAATCTGATGAGGGCCGGGCACAGTGGCTCATATCTATAATCTTAACACTTTGGAAGGCCAAGGTGGAAGGATCACTTGAGCCCAGAAGTTCAAGACCAGCCTGGGCAACATAGTGAGACCCCCATCTCTACAAAAATTTTAAACAATTAAAATAAAAAGTCTGGTGAAACTTCTGGATCCAGATTCTCTCTTCAAAATAAGTTCCATCCTCAACACTCAAACTCACACTTTCACGGTATTTGAGAGGCCGCACTCATCCCTCACCCCTTCAGGTGTCCATGGACCCCAGGGGAAGAATCTTGGCTTCCAAGGACCTGCCTTCTGGGTAGGGGGAGGACATGAACCCCCTCACCAGGCCGGGTGTCACGGCTCACGCCTATAATCCCAGCACTTTGGGAGGTTAAGGCCAGAGGATCACTTGAGCCCAGGAGTTCAAGACCAGCCTGGGCAACATAAGGAGACCCTGTCTTTATAAAAAAATTTTTAAAAATTAGCTGAGCATGGTGGCACATGCCTGTAGTCCCAGCTATTCAGAAGGCTGAGGTGGGAGGATCTCTTGAGCCCAGGAAGTCAAGGCTGCAGGGAGCTATGATTACGCCACCGCACCACTCCAGCCTAGGCGACAGCGAAACCTTGTCTCAAAAACAAAAACAAAACAGGCCAGCCCAGTGGCTCATGCCTGTAATCCCCGCACTTTGGGAAGCCAAGGTGGGTGGATCACTTGAGGTCAGGAGTTCTCGACCAGCCTGAGCAACATGCTGAAACCCTGTGTCTACTAAAAAATACAAAAATTAGCCAGGTGTGGTGGTGCATGCCTGTACTCCCAGCTACTCGGGAGGCTGAGGAAGGAGAATCAGTTGAACCCAGGAGGCAGAGGTTGCAGTGAGCTGAGATTGCATCACTGTACTCCAACCTGGGCAACAGAATGAGACTCCATCTCAAAAACAAAAACAAACCAGGCCAGGCGCAGTGGCTCAGGCCTGTAATCCCAGCACTTTGGGAGGCCGAGGCGGATGGATCACTTGAGGTCAGGAATTTGAGACCAGCCCGACCAACATGGTGAAACCCCATCTCTACTAAAAATACAAAAAATTAGCCGGGCGCGGTGGCGGGCGCCTGTAGTCCCAGCTACTCGGGAGGCTGAGGCAGGAGAATGGCGTGAACCCGGGAAGCGGAGCTTGCAGTGAGCCGAGATTGCGCCACTGCAGTCCGCAGTCCGGCCTGGGCGACAGAGCGAGACTCCGTCTCAAAAAAAAAAAAAAAAAAAAAAAAAATTACCTGGGTGTGGTGGTGTGCGCCTGCAATCTCAGCTACTCGGGAGACTGAGGCAGGAGAATCGCTTGAACCTGGGAGGCAGAGGTTGCAGTGAGCCAAGATGGAGCCACTGCATTCCAGCCTGGGGGACAGAGTAAAACTGTCTCAAACAAAAACAAAAACAAAGCAAAACAAAATGGTCACTGCTTGTATCCTGCTGACCGCCTCCCTTCAATCCTCCTATCACCCCACCCGTTCCGGGCAGTGTCTCTTTCTGCACATTCCTGGCACATGAGTACCCAGACCTAGTGCACAAGGTGATCATGATCAATGGCGGGGGCCCTACGGCGCTGGAGCCCAGCTTCTGCTCAATCTTCAACATGCCCACCTGCGTCCTGCACTGCTTGTCGCCCTGCCTGGCCTGGAGCTTCCTCAAGTGAGTGTCCCCACCCCAAAGACCGTGATCCTGGCCCTGGCGAACCCAGGCATCTGCTCGAGTTGGATGGGAGGGGGGACTGTACCGCTGGGACTAGGGCTGGCATCGGGGGCACCCCACGGCAGTCGGGCTGGCATAAGGGGCTCTAGCGGTGCCTCCACCACCACCAGGGCCGGCTTCGCCCGCCAAGGAGCCAAGGAGAAGCAGCTGTTAAAGGAGGGCAACGCTTTCAACGTGTCATCCTTCGTACTCCGGGCCATGATGAGCGGCCAGTACTGGCCCGAGGGCGACGAGGTCTACCACGCCGAGCTCACCGTGCCCGTCCTGCTTGTCCACGGCATGCACGATAAGTTTGTGCCGGTGGAGGAAGACCAGCGCATGGCCGAGGTAGAGGCGGGCACCTGGGGCGCCACAGCTACAAATCCCCAGGGTGCTGCCCGGGAGGGGCGTGGCCTCTGCGGGGGGCGTGGTAGCGCTTGGTGGGCGTGCTTTCTTCCCGAGGGGGCGTGGCTGCCGGGTGGGCGTGGCCTCTAGTTGCTGTATCTTGTTCTGACCCCAGGCAAACAGGAGCATTAGGTCTAGCATCAGAAGTAGAATCTAGAAAGCAGGGCTGCCCTGGACAGGTGTTAGCAATTACGCACTGTCCCCACCGCTGTAAGAAGGCTCTCCTCACAGCGGAGGATTTGTATGAGACCGGTGACCTATATAATTCTAGAAGACCGGCACCAGGGGATCTTTAGATTAGAAACTCTAATTAGCGAGTTCAGATTAGAAAGGGTCTGGGGATCCTTAGCACTTAGAATAGCCCTGGATACTAGCCCGGCGAGGTGGTTCACGCCAATAATCGCTGCAACTTGGGAGGCTGAGTGGGGCGGATCGCTTGAACCCAGGAGTTCAAGGCTGTGGTGAGCCATGCTCGCACCACTGCACTCCAGCCTGGGCGACAGAGCAAGACCCCGTTTCTTAAAGAAAAAAAAAAAAAAACAAAAACCATTAAAGTATAACTGGACTGGTGGTTCTTAACTAAGGAGGATTCTGCCCCCAAGGAACACGTGGAAATGCATGGAGACATTTTTAGGTGTCACGACTGAGGGGGAGGGGGTACTACTGGCATCTAGTGGGTGGAGGCCAGGGATGCTGCTCAACACCCTACAAATGCACAGGATAGCAGCCCCCACCCCAGCTACCCGCCCCTTCCCCGCCCACCCCCGCCCCCCCAGCAAAGAATGATCCAGCTCCTAATGTTGGTAGAGTTGAAGTTGACAAAATCCTCCTCCAGGCCGGGCGCGGTGGCTCACTCCTGTAATCCCAGCACTTTGGGAGACCGAGGCGGGCAGATCGCCTGAGGTCAGGAGTTGGAGATCAGCCTGACAAACATGGCGAAACCCCGTCTCTACTAAAAATACAAAAAATTAGCCGGGTGTAGTGGCGCGTGCCTGTAATCCCAGCTACTTGGGAGGCTGAGGCAAGAGAATCGCTTGAAGCCGGGAGGCAGAGGTTGGAGTGAGCCGAGATTACGCCACTGCACTCCAGCCTGGGTGACAGAGCAAGACTCTGTCTCAAAAAAAAAAAAAAAGAAAGAAAAGAAAAAAAGAAGAAAATCCTTCTCCTGGCATACTGTAGACACTTAATAAATGCTGGATGCCTGAATACTAGTTGGGTTCCAGCAGGGCTACAGGCCATCCTCCAGCTCCCCCTTGAGTGGAAGTGGAGAGATGCAGGGTAGATGGGAGGAGGGACTTTTGGATGCTGTGGGCCATGTGTGTATGGCGGAGTCCCAGGGAAGCCTGGCCTCTCTCCACCCTCTTGCCCCCGCCTACCTTGAGCCCTGCGTCTTCTGCAGATCCTGCTCCTGGCATTCCTGAAGCTCATCGACGAGGGCAGCCACATGGTGATGCTGGAATGCCCTGAGACGGTCAACACGCTGCTCCACGAATTCCTGCTCTGGGAGCCCGAGCCCTCGCCCAAGGCTCTACCGGAGCCACTGCCGGCGCCTCCAGAAGACAAGAAGTAGCCGCTGGGCCGGCGGGGCATCGCTTGGTGAGCACAGCCGCAGCAGGAGGAGGCCCGAGCCTGCGCCAGGTCTGCAGCGCAGACCACCTGGGCGGGCCGTTCGCTCCGGTGGGCGGGGCCAGGTCAGGGAGACGCCCCCAGGCTGCCTGGGCGGGGCGTGGCATCCGAGGGAGCCCAGCGGACATTCCGCTCTCCGCTTCCGTCCCGCGGGGCCCATCGGCGTTTTGGGGCCGCAGCCGGGACCCTCACGGAAGATGACCTTGTACAGAAGCTCTCCCTCACCTTCCCCCCAACGCCACGGCCAAGGCAGGCCCCCCACCCCGCTGTCTTCCGTGTCAGCCGTGCTTGATCCTGGGACCCACGAGCCCCACAGGGACCCTCGAGGCCCCATCCCGTTATCCGAGACCCTTCCTACCCCCCATTCCTCGGCGCTGGGAGCTATTTTTGCCCAAGGGGGGGGGATGGGGGGGCTGGCGCCACCGAACCTGCACATCTCAACTTGTAACTCAATAAACAGAAGTGACAATCGGAGTCTCCGGACCTGTGCTGGGTGACCACAGGGCAGGGTGTTCGCCGCCTGGAGCCTCAGTTTTCCCATCTGCAGACTGGGCTCAGGCTGGTGCCTCGCGCTCAGGATCGACTTCGACAATGTCTGGTGTCCACGTTAGCTTCCTGAATTTCCCCTCGTACCTCAGAAGGCTGAGGCTCCTTGGACAGTATCCCCCAGGGCAGGAGGCAACTTATCAAGAGGTGACCCCGGCCGGACGTGGTGACTCACGCCTGTAATCCCAGCACTTTGGGAGGCCGAGGAGTATCGCCTGAGGTCAGGAGTTCGAGAACAGCCTGGCCAAAATGGTGAAACCCCGTCTCTATTTAAAAATGCAGACAGGCCAGGCGCGGTGGTTCACGCCTGTAATCCCAGCACTTTGGGAGGCAGAGGTGGGGGGATCACGAGGTCAGGAGATCGAGACCATCCTGGCTAACACAGTGAAACCCCGTCTCTAGTAAAAAATACAAAAAATTAGCTGGGCGTGGTGGCGGGCGCCTGTAGTCCCAGCTACTCGGGAGGCTGTGGCAGAAGAATGGCGTGAACCCGGGAGGCGGAAATTACAGTGAGCCGAGATCGTGCCACTGCACTCCAGCCTGGGTGACAGAGCGAGACTCCATCTAAAACAAACAAACAAACAACAACAACAACAACAACAAAAAACAAAGACAAGCCAGGAATGGTGGCACGCGCCTGTGGTCCCAGCTACTCGGGGAGCCTGAGGCAGGAGAATCGCTTGAACCCAGGAAGTGGAGGTTGCGGTCAGCTGAGATCGTACCACTGCACTCCAGCCTGCGCAACAAGGCGATACTCCTTCTCAAAAAAAAACGAGATGAGCCCTTCCCTGGCCGGAAGAGATCCAACCGAGGTTTAGGTGAAGATCAGTGGGTGTTGCATGGAATTAGAGCTGCCATAATTGAGTGCCCACTGTTTTCCAGGCTGTGTGTTGAATGCCTGCCACCCACTGGTTCATTGAATTCGACTCATCCAACCCCACCCAGCAAGTCAGGACCTTTTACTATTCCCGTGTTATATCTTTCAGCTTGGTTTAGGGCCACCTTTGTCAAGAAGACTTTTCTTTTGAAACCACCAAATCTGTCTTTTAGTTGGGTTTTGGTTTTGTTTTTGTTTGTTTGTTTGTTTGTTTTTTGAGACAGAGTCTCACTCTGTCGCCCAGGCTGGAGTGCAGTGGCACGATCTCGGCTCACTGCAACCTCCGCCCCCCGGGTTCAGGAAATTTTCCTGCCTCAGCCACTGGAGTAGCTGGGATTACAGGCTCCTGCCACTACGCCCAGCTAATTTTTGTATTTTTAGTAGAGACGGGGTTTCACCATCTTGGCCAGACTGGTCTTGGAACTCCTGACCTCGTGATCCACCCGCCTCGGCCTCCCAAAGTGCTGGGGTTACAGGCGTGATCCACCGCACCTCACCTACATTTTATTCTGGTCCATGTATATCTGGTCCTATCTGTGGTTTCTGTGTATTACAGGAGGAGGGAGGAAATCTTTCCCTCGGTTCTGTCCTTTCCCCACCGGTTTGTGAGCTCCATCCTTAGTTTAGCCAGGGGGGCAATTGTGTCCATTGGCAACTTCTGGAGACATTTTTGATCGCCATGTTTGGGGGTGCATGGGTGTTGCTGACTTCTAGTGGATGGAGGCCAGGAACGCTGCTCATCACCCTGAAATGCAAGGGACAGACCCCACAGCAAAGAATAAGCCAACCCCAAATGTCATTAGGGCCAAGATTGGGAAACCCTGTGTTAGACAAATCCCATCTCTTCTGGGGGCTCTAGGTTCTTTACCAATGTCCTGTTTGTGTATTCTGGGGCGATGGCACAGTGTCATAACACCTGTGGCTTTATTATTAGATTTGGCAACTGGGAGGCATCCCTGTTTCACACTTTTTTTTTTTTTTCTGAGACAGTGTCTTGCTCTGTTACCCAGGCTGGAGTGCAGTGGCACAATCTCGGTTCACTGCAGCCTCAGCCTCCTGGGTTCAAGCGATTCTCCTGCCTCAGCCTCCCGAGTAGCTGAGATTACAGACACCCGCCACCGCGCCCGGCTAATTTTTGTATTTTTAGTAGAGACAGTGTTTCACTGTGTTGGCCAGGCTGATCTTGAACTCCTGACCTCAGGTGATCCACTCGCTTCGGCCTCCCAAAGTTCTGGGAGTACAGGCGTGAGCCACGGTGCCTGGCCCCTGTTTTACACTGGAGGAAAGTGAAGCTCAGAGAGCGGTTTCTTCAGCTCGATTACAAGTGGTCGAGCCCAAACCCACTCCAGAGACTGGACCCCTAATCACAATACCAGCCATTCCCCGAGGAGCAGCCGGTGGCTAAGCAGTGGCGAGGTGGGTGGAAACTCGGCCCAGGTCACAGCCCGCCCCCTGGGGGACCTGGTTGGCTAAACCGCCGTGATGACCGGCAGGTCCTGAAACCAATGAGGCAGCGGATCTCTCCCAAGTCCCTAAATGCACCGGGCCCTTTGCAGAAGCGACTTCCAGAAGCTTAAATGCCCTCGACCCCCCCCCGACCCCCGCCCGCCCGAAACCAGACCGCTGACATCTCACCAGGATGGCGGCTTGGTATTTACTTAAGACCTTTGCACATGAATGGTCTGAAGTCGCATAGCATCGCTGGAAGTCGGGTTATTTATTATTATTATTATTATTATTATTATTATTATTATTATTATTATTATTATTTGAGACGGAGTCTCACTGTCGCCCAGGCTGGGGTACAGTGGCGCGATCTCAGTTTTCTGCAACCTTCGCCTCCCGGGTTCAAGTGATTCTCCTGCCTCAGCCTCCCAAGTAGCTGGAATCACAGGTGCTCACCACCACACCCGGCTCATGTTTTGTATGTAGTAGAGACAGGGTTTCACCATGTTGGTCAGGCTGGTCTTGAACTCCTGACCTCAGGTGATCCACCCGCCTCGGCCTCCCAAAGTGCCGGGATTACAGGCGTGAGCCACCACGCCCTGCCGGGTTATTATTAATGATCCCTCCCTTTTTTTGAGACGGAGTTTTGCTCTTGTTACCCAGGCTGGACTGCAATGGCTTGATCTTGGCTCACTGCAACCTCCGCCTCCCGGGTTCAAGCAATTCTCCTGCCTCAGCCTCCCAAGTAGCTGAGATTACAGGCATGCGCCACCACGCCCAGCTAATTTTTGTATTTTTAATAGAGATGGGGTTTCTCCATGTTGGTCAGGCTGGTCTCGAACTCCCGAACTCAGGTGATCTGCCTGCCTCGGCCTCCCAAAGTGCTGGGATTACAGGCGTGAGCCACCGAGCCCGGCCAATAATCCCATTTTATAGTGGATAAACAGGTTCCCAGAAGCAACAGGGGAGGCTGGGGTTGCACAATGATCCTGAGGAGGGTCCCAGCCCTGCTCACGCCTCATCACACAGGCGGCCCCTTGAGGGCCCCCACACCTCCCCTTCCTCCAGCAAGTTCTCGCCTGGGCTGCACTGCCACACACTTTGGGCTCTGAGCCACACACTTTGCTCACATGACCTTATTTTTAAATTTTTATAGTTTTTTTAAGAGACAGGATCTTGATATCGCCCAGGCTGGAGTGCAGTGCTGTGATGGTAGCTCCTTGAAGCCTCCAACTCCCAGGCTCAAGCAATCTTCCCACCTCAGGCTCCCAAGCAGCTAGGACCACAGGCCCACCCACCAGATCCGCCTAATGTTTTTACTTTTCGTAGAGATAGAGTCTTGCTATGTTGCCCAGGCTGGTCTCAAACTCCTGGGCTCATGCTATGCTCCCGCCTCAGCCTCCCAAAGTGCTGGGATTACAAGCGTGACACCCAGCCCCAACATGACCTTACAATGATCCCCTGGAGTAGGACCTCTTTACTGCCTCCACTGTACAACCAAGGAAACTGATGCTCAGGCAGATAAAATACTGATCAGAGGTCTCACGGCTGGGTAGCAGTGAACTTGGCTCTTGAGCTGGGTAGATATCCTGAGTGCAGCTGAGGATCCCCCAGTCCAACCCGCCATGTGGGTGTCCCATGTCTGGGCGGTAAAAGCAGCCTCTATCCATTTTATTTTATTTATTTTTTGAGACAGAGTCTCGCTCTGTTGCCCAGGCTGGAGTGCAGTGGCACAATCTCGGCTCACTGCAAGCTCCACCTCCCAGGTTCATGCCATTCTCCTGCCTCAGCTTCCCGAGTAGCTGGGATTATAGCCGCCTGCAACCATGCCTGTCTAATTTTTTGTATTTTTAGTAGAGACGGGGTTTCACCATGTTAGCCAGGACGGTCTCAATCTCCTGACCTTGTGATCCACCTGCCTCAGCCTCCCAAAGTGCTGGGATTACAGGCGTGAGCCACCGCGCCTGGCAGGCTCCATCCATTTTGACAGCACCAAGCTGCCAAAGTGTTACCAGAAAGGCCCGATCCAGACCCCAAGAGAGGGTTCTCCAATCTCACGCTAGAAAGAATCCAGGGCGAGTTCATAGAGTACAGTGAAAGCAAATTTATTAAGAAACTAAAGGAATAAAAGAATGGCTACTCCATAGACAGGGCAGGGCTGCTGGTTGCCCATTTTTATGGTTATTTCTTGATGATATGCTAAACAAGGGGTGGATTATTCATGCCTCCCCTTTTTAGACCATATAGGGTCTAAAGGTTAACGTCCTGATGTTGATGTGGCATTTGTTTTTTTGTTTGTTTGTTTGAGACAGACTCTCGCTCTGTTGCCCAGGCTGGAGTGCAATGGTACAATCTCAGCTCACTGCAACCTCCACCTCCTGGGTTCAAGCGATCCTCCTGCCTCAGCCCCCCTAGTAGCTGGGATTACAGGCACGCGCCACCATGCCCAGCTAATTTTGGTATTTTTAGTAGAGATAGGGTTTCGCCACGTTGGCCACGCTGGTCTTGAACTCCTGACCTTAGGTGATCTGCCCTCCTTGGCCTCCCAAAATGCTAGGATTACAGGCGTGAGCCACCGCGCCTGGCCAGCCATGGCATTTGTAAACTGTCATGGCGCTGGTGGGAGTGTAGCAATGAGGACGACCAGAGGTCACTCTTGTCGCCATCTTGGTATTGGTGGGTTTTGGCCGGCTTCTTTACTGCAACCTGTTTTATCAGCAGGTTCTTTATGACCCGTTATCTTGTGCTGACCTCCTACCTGATCCCGTGACTTAGAATGCTTTAACCATCTGGGAATGCAGCCCAGTAGGTTTCAGCCTCATTTTACCCAGCTCCTATTCCAGGTGGAGTTGCCCAGGTTCAAACGCCTCTTACAGAAGCACCGGACTGTTCCAAAGCACCTTCTGCTTCCCTTCTTGTCCTCCTCCCACGATGGGGAGCTCACTACTTACTACCTCTCCAGCAGTACCATCTGTAACAAAGTCCTCTCTCAGCCTGGGGGAGATCTGCCTGGGTGCTCCCTACACACACACACACACACACAAACACACACACACACACACACACACACACACACACACACACACACCCCTTCTGAAACCAGAGATGGGGGCTGCTGTCAGCATGGGGCAGCTGGAACATTCAAACATTTCTCCCCAGGCTGGATGGCCAACTCCCCAGCACTCAGCCCCGGGCCTGGATGTCCTGGGGATGAAGCTGTCGCTCGCCTTCAGCCAGGAAGACAAGGAGGGCACGGTGCAGCAGGTGCACCCCCAAGCGCCGGCGACGAGCAGGTGGCCAGCCTGCCACCACTCCATAGCAGTGCCCTTGCTTCTGGTTGGTGAGCGTCTGGATCCCTGGAGAAATTGGATGTGGGGTCACAGGGGCAGCCATGGGGACACCTCCCCATCCAGCAGAAGTGTGTGACAGCAGGCGGCTGGGTATGGTGGCTCACGCCTGTAATCCCAACACTTTGGGTAGATCACATGAAGCCAGGAGTTCGAGACCAGCCTGGCCAACATGGTGAAACCCTGTCTTTACTAAAAAATACAAAAATTAGCTTGGCACAGTATGGTGATATGTGCCTGTAATCTCAGCTACTGGGGAGGCTGAGGCACAAGAATCACTTGAACCTGGGAGGCAGAGGCTGCAGTGAGTCGGGATCACGCCACCACACTCCAGCCTGGGCGACAGAGTCTCACACACACACAAAAAAGTATGTGACAGCAAACCCAATGTGTATTGCCCTTGAGTGGGGATAAACCAATGGAGCAAAATACATGCATGTGCAGGTTCAAAGTTGGTGCTCAATAATTGCTCAGTCAACAAATGAACACCCCTCAGAAGGAAAAAAATGAGGGAACTGGGAAGCCAAATGCCTTTCATATGACCCCCATTCTAGGTACCAGGCACCCACCTAGGGCTTCCACAATACACGCCTCCCGTGTATAAGCCTCCACAGCGACCACGTGCTGGAAGCAATGTAGGGACACAACACCGCAACCACTGGCCCAGATGTCCAAGATCTGACGCACCTTGGGGCAGGCCTGGTGGGGCTAGGGCAGAATCAGGAGTCAGCACCCCCAATACCCTCCCCTGCCCATGGCCCGACTGCCCTCGCTGAACCCTGATCCCTGTCCTCACACCTGTTTTCTTGACCGCCCATGGTGACCAAGGGCCTCCCAGAGGTGGACATATGGCCGGGCCCTCGTCCCTTTGCCCACGTAGAAGATGGCACGGATGAAAGTCTGAAGGCGCTCAGCTGGGGTCAGTGAGAAGGCTCGGGCTGGCAGGTCCTGAGTCTCCCTGGATGAAGGGGATAGCTCAGACAGGGAAAAGTGGATACAGTGGTCCCCAGAGGCAGTCCTTAAAGTCACAACATATCTTGAACCCATGTCTAGTGACTCCTGATTACAGGATCAGAGAGAGTCAGCGGCTCCCCAAAGACATTCAGCAGCTTTCTTTTTTTTTTTTTTTGAGACAGAGTTTCACTCTTGTTCCCCAGGCTGGAGTGCAATGGCACAATCTCAGTTCACTGCAATCTCCACCTCCTGGGTTCAAGTGATTCTCCTGCCTCAGCCTCCTGAATAGCTGGGATTACAGGCATGCACCAACACACCTGGCTAATTTTGTATTTTTAGTAGAAATGGGGTTTCTCCACGTTGAACACGCTGGTCTCTAACTGCTGACCTCAGGTGATCCGCCCACCTCAGCCTCCCAAAGTGCTGGTATTACAGGCGTGAGCCACCATGGCCAGCCGGGGCTCATGCCTGTAATGCCAACACTTTGGGAGGCCAAGGCAGGAGGATCACTTGAGGCTGGGAGCTCAAGACCAGCCTGGCCAACATGGTGAAACTCCATATCTACTAAAATTACAAAAAAAATTAGCCAGGCATGGTGGCACATGCCTGTAATCCCAACTACTTGGGAGGCTGAGGCACAAGAATCACTTGAACCCAGGAGGCGGAGGTTGCAGTGAGCCAAGATTGCGCTACTACATTCCAGCCTGGGCGAAACAGTGAGACTCCGCCTCAAAAAAAAAAAAAAAAAAAGAGGCCGGTGCGGTGGCTCACACCTGTAGTCCCAGCATTTTGGGAGGCCAGGGTGGGTGGATTACCTGAGGTCAGGAGTTCGAGACCAGCCTGGCCAACATGGTGAAACCTCGTCTCTACTAAAAATACAAAAATTAGTCGGGCGTGGTGGCAGGTGCTTGTAATCCCAGCTACTTGAGAGGCTGAGACAAGAGGATTGTTTGAACCTGGGAGGTGGAGGTTGCAGTGAGCCGAGACGGCACCATTGTACTCCTGCCTTGGCAACAAGAGTGAAACTCCGTCTTAAAAAAATAAAAAAAAAGAAGAAGAAGCAGCTGATGATTCTAGGGCCAGTCCCTTTCTTAAGGGCACACAGCAAATAAAAACCAATCCCCAAATTTTCTAGTTTCTATTTCTGGGGCTTTCCTGCCCTGAGTACCTGGGGTCCAGCAGCAGATAGGTGAAGCTAGACTTCACGACCCCCTCCCGCCACCTCCTGGCAGGATCTGGCTGCTCAAACTGCTGGGCCAGCGCGTCTTCATCTGCCTGGACATCTGGAATACAGCCCGTCCGCAGGGCTGCAGCCAGTTCTAGGCTGTGCCCTGAAAACTCTGGGCCTGGAAGTCAAGGGAGATGGAGGAAGGGATGATTCTGAGATGGGGAGGAAAGTGGGGCTGAGAGCTGGGGTTCTCCGGGAGATTCCTGGAGGCTCCCTGGACTCCATGTGCCCTGGGAAGACTAACCAGGAGCAATCTGGGCTTCTTCCAGCTGCTGGTGGTACAACTGCCTGGTGAAGGGTGTGATGGGGTGAGGATTCTCACCAAGTGCTCGGAGTCCCTTCAGCAACTCCAAGTCAGACACAGTGGAGACTGGCAGGTGCCGGCAAGGGCCGACAGGTTCCCTGCCACCTGTAGAGCTTGCCTCATCCTCTGTCAGCCAGAGCGTGGCCATGTCACTATCAATGGATGTCTGGTGCTCCCACAGGCAGTGGCAGTCAGAAGCTCCAGGGGTTGGTGTCCGTGGGGGGCTATGAGCTGGACTCCTGTCCAGGAGAGGCATGGAGGAAGGGGAGGACTGGAAGCCAGCAGCATTTGGTGGGGTCAGAGTCAGGGCCTGCAGACGGGCATTCAGTTCTGCCTCCGTGCCCTGAGACCTAGGTACCCTCTGGTTGGCATGGACAACATGCAGAAGTCCCTGCCTGGTCGGTGGCAATGACCCAGCCCAGGGGGGAGTGTCCGAGGCTGGGTCCTCAGCTCCAGAGACCTCAACCGCTGTGACGAAAGAGGCGTCTGAGCTGTAATCCCAGTGCCCTGGAGGGGACGCCGAGCTCCCATGTTTGTCCACAGTTTCAAGGGGAACAGGGAGGCTGGGGGGTCCTGGGTCAGCCTCCAAGCCAATGTCCCTGTTGTCACCTCTGCATGGCTGCTTTTGGAGTGCTATGGAGTCCAGCGTCTCATCGGTAGGTCCAGAGAGGCCTGGGGCTGCAGGTGAGAGTGGGGGCCAGAGAGGAGAGGAGGAGGGATGAGACAGCGATGAGAATAGGATCAAACAGAAAAAGGAGATCAGAGTGTCTGAGGCCGAAAGAGCTGGCCACAAATAGTGGATGTGAGACGGTCAGAACCAATGGGTGGGGTGGGGAAGACCCTGGATGTCAGGGACTGGTCCAGAAGTCAAGCCCCAGCAGCCCTGCAGGCCCTACTCACTGCCAGGTGCAGGCTCGGGCTCCTGAGTCTCTGCCCCGATCCGGGTCCGGGTCCTGGTCCGCGTGTCGAGATCCTGCAGGACTCGCGCGCACTCCAGGTGTCCCTGCTGCAGGGCCAGGTCCAGCGGCCGGAGTCCGTCCTACAGGGGCGCGGTCAGCAGGGGGCGCCCGAGGCCCTCTTACCTTCCTTCCCTCCCTCTGGGCTCACCCAGCCTTTCTTTGCCCGCGCAGTGCCTCCCAACCTGGTCGCGCAGCGCCGGGTCCGCTCCTTGGCTCAGCAGCAGCTCCAGGCCGCGGCGGCAGCCCCACGCGGCGGCCACATGCAGCGGCGTCAGTGCCTCGACAGATCTGGGGCGGCAGCGCAAGAGGGGTCATTGCGGACTCAGCCTCCCGGCAGGAACCCCGATCTCCGCTCTGGGGACCTGGAGCCTTCGTTCTCGGCCTCCCGGATCTCCGCCGTCCACCCTGGTACACTGCCCTTGGAACCTAGATGCTATGACCTCAGGCCAGGACCCAAACCTCTGCCGTCTGACCCTGGTGCCTCCACTCCAATATCCGAACCCTTGATCCCCACTTTGGTCCTAGCGCAGCCCCATTCCACGCCCTCGGTCTGGGACCCCAGCGCCTCCCTCGAGCCCTAGCCCCTGCCCTTGGACCCCCAAGTTCCCTCCCCAAGATCCCCTAAACCCCACCCTCGAGCCCCGAGGCCTGGCCCGGGATGATGGGGCGCCCCTTCCCGGATTCCCAGACTTCGGCTTGGGGAGACCCCGCCCCGGACCCAGGCTCTATCTTACCGAGCGTTGGGGTCCCCGCCTTGGCGCAGTAGGGCCCCGAGGCAACGCAGGCCGCGCGGGTGCCGGGCTCCGGCCGCCAAGTGCACAGCCGCTGCGCCGTCCTCTAGCACCAAATTAGGGTCCGCGCCGCAGCGCAGCAGCTCCTCTACTGCCCTGCAAACACCGCGGTCAGAGTGGACCCCGGCCAAAGACCCCCACTCCTGGCCCGCCCCCGGCCCCGCCCTCACCACGGCTCCTCCTCCCGCAGCGCATCCCGCAACCTGCGAGCCAGGCGGGCCTCCGAGCACATGCCCTGGCTGGGTCCGAAGCGCACCGCCTGGTCGGTCGATTTCCTACTTCCCGCGGGGGGCTTGTGGGCATGCGCCGCTCCTCCCCTCGGCTCGGGGGGCCCCTCTCCAGGGCCGAGCAGGGTTCCCAGCCAGGCTGCCCCGCGCCGCACGGGGGTCCACATCGGGGTTCGAGAGCTTTAGTGTCCTCAGGGGCCCTTGACACCCGGAGGCGCTCAAGCAGGGTCTGGGACCGCCGATAAGAGCCCGGGTGGGAGGATGCCACCGGGTGTGCCACTATCTCATTTAAAAACGGGAAACGCGAAGGCACCCGGCTCGAGTGGGTGGAGCTACGATTAAGAAAGTCCGGGGTGCCCCAGGTCATTAAGTCTCAGGGAATCTTCTTCAAGGGTGGCCTCTGGCAGGGAGCACGGCCTTATGAGAGGCTTAGGCCGGGCACGGTGGCTCACACCTGTAATCCCAGCACTTCGGGAGGCCCAGGCAGGAGGGTTGCTTGAGCTCTGGGGTTCGAGACCAGCCTGGGCAACTTGGATAAACCCAGTCCCTACAAAAAAATACAAAAAACTAGCCGGGCGTGGGTGGCTTGCACCTGTGGTCCCAGCTACTTGGGAGGCTGAGTTGGTAGAATCTCTTGAGCCCGGAAGTTCGAGGATGCAGTGAGCCATGATCACACCACTGCACTCCAGCCTGGGCAACAGAGCAAAACTCTGTCTCAGAAAATAAATAAATACATAAAATAGAGGCTTCAATTTCCAACCCCCAGGCCGAGGGCCCAGCTCACGCCTTTAAGCACAGTGCTTTGGGAGGCTGAGGAGAGAAGATCGTTTGAGCCTACTAGTTTGTTGTTGCTTTTCTTTTCTTTTAGTGAGTGCAGGAGTTTGAGACCAGCCTGGGCAACGGAGTGAGGCCCTATTTTTTTTTTTTTTTTTTTTTTTTTTTTTGAGCCGGATCTTACCCTGTCGCCCAGGCTGGAGTGCAGTGGCGCAATCTGGGCTCACTGCAACATTTGCCTCCCAGGTTCAAGCTATTCTGCCTCGGCCTCCCAAGTAGCTGGGATTACAGGCATGTGCCACCACTCTCGGCTAATTTTTGTATTTTTAGTAGAGATGGGGTTTCACCATGTTGTCCAGGCTGGTCTTGAGCTCCTGATCTCAGGTGATCCGCCCGCCTCGGCCTCCCAAAGTGCTAGGATTACAGGCGGAGACCTTGTCTTTGTTTTATTTATTTATTTATTTTTGAGACGGAGTTTTGCTCTTGTTGCCCAGGCTGGAGTGCAGTGGTGTGATCTCAGCTCACTGCAACCTCCTCCTCCAGGGTTCAACAGCTTCTCCTGCCTCAGCCTCCCCAGTAGCTGGGATTACAGGCATGCACCATCACGCCTAATTTTTTATT
The DNA here is from genome assembly GCF_000001405.40 of Homo sapiens. NCBI lineage: Eukaryota > Metazoa > Chordata > Mammalia > Primates > Hominidae > Homo > Homo sapiens. The sequence goes on along the minus strand of NC_000019.10, from coordinate 17,280,530 downwards.
TTTAGTAAAGACGGGGTTTCACCATGTTGGTCAGGCTGGTCTCGAACTCCTGACCTTGTGATCCGCCCACCTCGGCCTCCCAAAGTGCTGAGATTACAGCCGTGAGCCACTGCGCCTGGCCAAGACCCCGTCTTTAAAAACAATTTTTAAAAAATTTCCAGTCCCCGTTCTGCGTTGCCCATTTTCAATCCAGCGGAACTAGGACTTCAGTATTTTGGAGGGCTGGACCTCTGAGAGTCTTAGTGTCCCATCTGCAAAATGTGAGAATCCTAACGAGGTTGATGCGGGGATTGAACAGGGGCTTGGGCACAAGGGCCTGACACACGATAGGTTCCAAAAAATGCTCATAGGGAGGAAAAGCAGTCACTCAATAAAGCTGTTTGTGTTTATTTTTGAGATAGGGTCTTGCTCTGTCACCCAGGCTAGAGTGCAGTGGCGCGATGACAGCTCACTGCAGCCTCGACCTCCTAGGTTCAAGTGATCCTCCCACTTCAGCCTCTCAAGTAGCTGGGAATCACAGGCGTGAGCCACCGAGCCTGGCTTAATTTTTGCATTTCCTGTAGAGACAGGAAATGTTGCTATGTTGTCCAGCGTGGTCTTGAACTCCTGGCCTCAAGCAACCCTCCTATCATGGCCTCAGTACTGCTGATGGAGCTCTTAAACCTCCCCCTTAGGGATGTATGATCCAGGCCTGGCTCATCAGAACATCACACAACCCTGGTACATGACTAGCTCTTAATTGAAGGTCATGTATCCCCCCGGGGGAGTCCAATCATATCCAGATGCTGAGAGAACTCTGCCTTGACCTGGATTGGGGTCTGGGGAGTGGTTGAAGCCATCACACACCTTTCCATTGGTTGGGGGGTAAGCAGGGCACATTGACTAGCAACCATGTAGTACCCTCCCAAATGGCAATGTTGTCCTAGCACCTGGACACAGCCAAGCCTGAAGCTGTTCTCTTGGCTTTTTCATCTTTTTTATTTTTGAATTTTTCTTTTTTATTTGAGAAAAGCTCTCACTCTATCACCAGGCTGGAGTACAGTGGTGCAATCTCAACTCGCTGCAACCTCCACATCCCGGGGCTTTTTCATCTACAAGAAAGCAGCCACTCACCTTTGCTCAGTGGCTAAGTTTTCCATCACTTGCAATGAAGATGATCCCCATTAACACAAAGTGATTGGCGTGGACTTCGGTTAACGAGTCTCAAATTTTTATTTTGATGGCAAAAATCACACAGGGAAGAACAAAAATTATCCATGACAAACTAGGAGTGGAAATGGGCTGGGAGACACAGAAAATGGGTGCCCACAGTTCCTGGGATCCCTCCTGGAATCCTGGGTTTCCCTCCTAGGACCCTGCAAGGTACCCTACGTGCCTCCTGGAACCCCCCCACCCCGGAGGTCCCAAGGAACCCAGTTTGAGAACCAAGGCTTTAGGCCAAGGACTTCCTTGCACAAGAAGGTGCAGATGTACAGGGATGGTTCAGACAGTGGCCTCAACCTCAATGGCTTCATCCTCCTCCTCCAGCAGGCTGTAGGAAGCATGGCTCTGGCAAGGCCGCTGCAGGGGGTGGGCCAACAGTTTCGCCATGCAGTTGTGCAACTCCAGGGCTGGCCCAGCCAGTGCCACCTCATACTTGTAGCTGGTACCCTTGGTATCCAGGCTGCCCATGAAGGCAAACATATCCTGCCGGGGAGGCGGGGGTCAGTGAAGGGCTGTTCAGGCAGAGGTTACCCCAACAGGCCCTTCATATCCCTGGAGGGCTTCTCAGAAGAGGGGACATCTGGGGTGGGTTCTAAAGGGTGAAGAGGAGTTTGCCAAGCAGAAACCATTCACACATTCAGCAAACATTCCCCGCCATGGACCCAGTGTTAAGGATCTGAAGAGGTCCCAGTCATGGCCCCCAAAGAGTCCCCAGTGTGGGCCGGGCGCGGTGGCTCACGCCTGTAATCCCAGCACTTTGGGAGGCTGAGGCGGGCAGATCACAAGGTCAGGAGATCAAGACCATCCTGGCTAACACAGTGAAACCCCGTCTCTACTAAAAAATACAAAAAATTAGCCGGGCGTGGTGGCAGGCACCTGTAGTCCTAGCTACTCGGGAGGCTGAGGCAGGAGAATGGCGCAAACCCGGGAGGCGGAGCTGGCAGTGAGCCGAGATCACACCACTGCTCTCCAGCCTGGGCGACAGAGCGAGACTCCGCCTCAAAAAAAAAAAAGAGTCCCCAGTGTGGAGGCACACAGTCAGATACAGACACATTCTCCTGGCCCCCACTTTGATCCTTCTTGAAAAACAGGGAGGGCTTCTCAAGAGGAGGGACTTTTTATTTTACTTATTTTATTTTTTTAATTTTTTTTTTGAGACAGGGTTTCGCTGTTGTTCCCAGGCTGGAGTGCAACGGCACGATCTCGGCTCACCGCAACCTCTGCCTCCCGGGTTCAAGCGATTCTCCTGCCTCAGCCTCCTGAGTAGATGGGATTATAGGTATGTGCCACCACGCCTGGTTAATTTTGTATTTTTAGTAGAGACAGGGTTTCTCCATGTTGGTCAGGCTGGTCCGAACTCCCAACTCAAGTGAGTCACCCGCCTCGGCTTCCCAAAGTGCTGGGATTACAGGTGTGAGCCACCACACCTGGCCGTATTTTTATTTTTTGACACAGGGTCTCCGCCCTGTCACCCAGGCTGGAGTGCAGTGGCTTCATCACAGCTCACTACAATCTCCACCTTTCGAGCTCTAGCGAGCCTCCTGTCTCAGCCTCCCGAGCAGCTGGGACCACAGGCGTACACCACCACGCCTGGCTAGAGGGGGGACTTTTGATTTGGGTACTGAGATATAAGGAGGAGCTGGTCTCAATTCCCTGTTCATAGTTGGGTAAACTGAGGCTCAGAGAAGTAAGTAGTCCACTCGAGGTCCCACAGCTAATTCAGGTCTGGGATGTGAAGGCCCAGCAGGGCCTGGGGAGTCCAAGAGGGATGGATGCTCCAGGCTGAGGGTGCAGCGAGGTCAAAGGCAGGAAGAAAGGGAAGAGGGAGCGGGTCGTGGTGGCTCACACCTGTAATCCCAGCGCTTTGGGAGGCTGAAGCAGGCAGATCACCTGAGATCAGGAGTTCAAGACCAGTCTGGCCAACATGGTGAAACCCCGTCTCTACTAAAAATACAAAAATTAACCTGGTATGATGGCAGGTACCTGTAACCCCAGCTACTCGGGAGGCTGACACAGGAGAATTGCTTGAACCCGGGAGGCAGAGGTTGCAGTGAGCCGAGATCATGCCACTACACTCCAGCCTGGGAGACAGAGGGAGACTCTGTCTCAAAAAAAAAAAAAAAAAGAAGAAGAAAGAAAAGCAAGCAAGCAAGCAAGAAAGAAAGGAACGCAGGGAACGTTGGAGATGGGGGAGGCAGGACTCAACATGTTGCCTGGACCATCGTCCCAATGGCTGCCACCCCATCAGTCACAGCAGACAACTGGGAAACGGCTGTTCAATGACCAATGCCATGACCTACCCCAACCAGGGTTCCAGGGGTATCAAATGGAGGTAGAGACCCCCAGACCCAGTGCAGGTGTGTTCCAAGACATCCTGTCCACACCCGCCTGCTACTCACACCTGCTGCAGCCTCTCACCTTCCAACTCATCTCCTCCTCCTTCTCCTCAGTGCCATTGTGGATGTAAACAACGTCAAAGAAGAAATATGGGCACTGGAACATTTTCTGCAGGGGAAGTAAAGAACACCAGCCTCTGGGGCTTGGGTCACCCCGTGCCCCATGACTATAGCTCCCCCATTTCTGCCTCAGACTCTGGGAACTTACCTCTAGGCACCCCAGCCTCTGTGGTTGGAAGTCCCTCCTGGTGTCTAACCACCATCCTCATGGCTGCAGGCACCCCTCCCTCTCCCAGGCCTCACCCACCTTCATGGGCTCCGTCAAGGAGAACTGGGGCTGGCAAGGTGGACGGCTGTAGACAAGGATGGTGCGGACCACATATGGCGGGGGAATCGTCTGCACGTTCTCTGTGACCGGAAGCTCAGTTTTCTGCTGGCTGCATACCCGGGAGGAGGGAGCAGTCAGAGCAGCCTGTGGGGGTCTGCCCCTCTTATCACCCTGAGAGAGACCCCAGATGCTCACCGGGCAGGTGAGGCCCCACTGATGTCTCCCAAGTTCACTGCTGCCTGTGAGGCATCCCATAAGCGGTTCCCTCTGCCCTGAGCATGTTCCCAGCCCCACCCCTCTAAGTGCAATGGTGAGATCTCGGCTCACTGCAACCTCTACCTCCCAGGTTCAAGCGATTCTCCTGCCTCGGCCTCTCAAGTAGCTGGGATTACAGGTGGCCAGCTAATTTTTGTATTTTTAGTAGAGACGCGGTTTCACCATGTTGGGCAGGCTGGTCTCAAACTCCTGACCTCAGGTGATCTGCCCGCCTCGGCCTCCCAAAGTGCTGAGATTACAGGCCTGAGCCACTGGGCCCGGCCACCCTCAGTGTCCTGAACATCCCCCATCACTGCCGTCAGCTGGAGCTGCCTAGCAGCATGTGCATCTCCACCAGCCCCCATGCTCCCAAGACACACATAAATGAGGAATTGCTCGGGGCGAGGTAGGAAGGGAGGAGGCTTTAAGGCTCCCTAGATTACTTCTGTGCCGTTTGGAGCTTTTTCCCAGAAGTGACCCTTCTCTTTGAAGGTGAATAAGAATTTCCCCACAGGGGACTTACATGAGGCTGAAAAGTCCTTCCAGATCTGGTGGGGGTGCTAAGGAGAAGGCTAGTAGAGCACGAGTGAGCGGGAAACAGGTGGCTTCCCCGATCCCGATACCAGAGGAGACCCGGCACCCCTAGGGACGCACCATGTGACCCTGGCCAAGTCACTTGCCCTCTCTGACACACAAATTCCCCTCAGCATGGATCACAAAATAGGATGCTGGTACCGGATGACTTTAAGACTCTTGGTATGCCAGGCATGGTGGCACACGCCTGCAATCATAGCACTTTGGGAGGCCAAGGCGGGTGGACCATCTGAGGTCAGGAGTTCGAGGCCAGCCTGGCCAACACGGTGAAACCCTGTCTCTACTAAAAATACAAAATTAGCTGGGCCTGATGGCACATGTCTGTAATCCCAGCTACTTGGGAGGCTAAGACAGGAAAATTGCTTGAACTCGGGAGGTGGAGATTGCGGTGAGCCAAGATCGTGCCACTGCACTCCAGCCTGGGCAACAAGAGCGAGACTCCATCTCAAAAAAAAATATAATAATAAATAAGATCCACAGGGAGCCATGGGAGGTTTTGGAGCAGAGATGGGATGGGATGGAATCTAATTTATGTTTTAAAACAGAATGGGGCCGGGTATGGTGGCTCATGCCTGTAATCTCAGCACTTTGGGAGGCTGGGGTGGGCTGATCACTTGAGCCCAGGAATTCAAGACCAGCCTGGGCAACATAGCAAGACCCCATCTCTACAAAACATTCAAAATTAGCCAGGTGTGGTGGTGCACACCTGTAATCCCAGCTACTTGGGAGGCTAAGGCAGGAGAATCGCTTGAAGCTGGGAGGTGGAAGTTGCAATGAGCCAAGATCGCATCACTGCACTCAGCCAGGGCAACAAGAGCAACAGGAGCAAAAATAAAAAAAGGTCCCCTTTCCTGCATGGCTGGGGCCACTCTCCTCAAAATGAAAAGAGCCAGGGGTGTCTTGTCCTCCTGGAAAAAACTCTCACCATTTATTCCTTTTTTAACTTACGAGAGTCCTATTCTATTTCAGTTTTGGGCCACACATGAGCCTTTTATGTCCAAATTACCATAAAATGTCCTGCGCCCAGGTTCAAGTGGCTGTAGGAACAATGGTGACACTTCTGTCACACACTGCCATTTATTGAGCACTGACTGTATGCCCAGTCCTGTGTGAGGTGATCCCCTTGTGCATGAATTTTGGACCTCCTGAATACAAATCAGGTATTTCTTTCTTTTTTTTTTTTAAAAAAGACGGAGTCTCACTCTGTCTCCCAGGCTGGAGTACAGTGGCAAGATCTCAGCTCACTGCAACCTCCGCCTCCCGGACTCAAGTGATTCTTGTGCCTCAGCCTCGCAAGTCGCTGGGATTATAGGCATGGACCACCATGCCCGGACCAAATCAGGTACTTTTGCTTCTGTATTGTTACAGCATCTCCATGGGGTAGGCAACTTTGTGCCTTCCACAGTACAGATGGGGAAACTGAGGCTCAGAGGGGTGACTTTCCCAGCCTTGGCAGATCTGAGATCTGAACCTCAGCCAGCCAGAGTCATGACTTAGACTTTCCTGGGCCCCAAGGATGACAGAAGGAGACAGCCCCCTTCATGGGGACATCTCTGCCAGGAAGGATACTGAAGGTGGAACAGGAGGCCGTCTCCAGATCATAGAGGCAGCTACAGAGCTCGCGGGGGTCGGAGGTCAGGCCAGACAGCTGCAGGGAAGCAGAGGCCTCAGTGCGATGCTCCCCGGGCCCCAGGGGACCCCAGGGCACCCAGCGCCTGCCGCAGCCTCACCCAGGCCGTGTCATCGTTCACCACCACCAGTGCAAACTCGTGGCTTTTGTCGATCTTGTGTTTTGTCCGCACGAACATCTCAATCATCTTCTGGGAGACATTGAGGGCGTTGGTTTTGGAGCTGGGGAGGCAGAGAGTACAGGGGAATTAAGGTTCCCTCAGGGCCGGGCACAGTGGCTCACGCCTGTAATTCCAGTACTTTGGGAGGCTGAGGCAGGTGGATCACGAGGTCAGGAGTTCAACACCAGCCTGGTCAAGATGGTGAAACCCCATCTCTACTAAAAATACAAAAAAATTAGCCAGGCGTGGTGGCGAGTGCCTGTAATCCCAGCTACTCAGGAGGCTGAGTCAGAGAATTGCTTGAACCCAGAAGGCGGAGGTTGCAGTGAGCTGAGATCGCGCCACTGCAGTCCAGCCTGGGCGACAGAGTGAGACTCTGTCTCAAAAAAAAAAAAAAAAACAAAACAAACAAAAAAAAACTTCCTTCAGCCACCCTCCTCTGAAAACCCTGCATGATAAGGCCCTGGAGGTATAGGTCATACTGCAGGGGTGTGGCGGAGCTCAGCCACAAACCCAGTCTGGCTGACATCGGAGCTCCTGCCCTCTCCAAATGGGTCCCTCTGCGCAGCATGGGGCTCAAGTTTCCCCTAGAGTCATTGCAGGAACTTTGCTCAGCCATGGGCAGTTGTGAATGCCACTGAGGGGAAGAAGGTGTCACCTTCAACATCTCCAAGGAGGTCCTCAAGCCCCATCCAGGTCCTGCAACCCAAACTGCCCCCCACTCCAGATACAGCTGCAGGCAGCACATGACTCCAGACAAGGGCTTCAGGGCCAGCCAGGCCTGGGTCCGAATCCTGGCTCTGCCCCATTACTCTGAGCCCTTGAGCAAGTCACTTTGCTTCTTGGCGTCTCCAACTCATTGCTATGAATGGAGCCTCAATGGGCCATAGCCTTAACATTACCAGTTGTCCTTGCTACTCTTTTTTTATTTTATTTTACTTTTTTTGAGATGGAGTTTCGTTCTTGTTGCCCAGGCTGGAGTGCAATGGCGCGATCTTGGCTCACCGCAACCTCCATCTCCCAGATTCAAACGATTCTCCTGCCTCAGCCTCCCGAGTAGCTGGGATTACAGGCACGCACCACCGTGCCCAGCTAATTTTTGTATTTTTAGTGGAGGTGGGGGTTTCACTATGTCGGCCAGGCTGGTCTCGAACTCCAGACCTCGTGATCCGCCCACCTTGGCCTCCCAAAGTAATGGGATTACAGGTATGAGCCACCAAGCCCGGCTTCTTTTTTCCTTTTTTTAAAGAGACAGGGTCGGCTGGGCGCGGTGGCTCACACCTGTAATCCCAGCACTTTGGGAGGCCGAGGCAGGCGGATCATGAGGTCAGGAGATTTGAGACCATCCTGGCTAACACGGTGAAACCCCATCTCTACTAAAAATACAAAAAAATTAGCCAGGCGTGGTGGCAGGCACCTGTAGTCCCAGCTACTCGGAGGCTGAGGCAGGAGAATGGCATGAACCCGGGAGGCGGAGCTTGCAGTGAGCGGAGATCGCACCACTGCACTCCAGATTGGGCGACAGAGCGAGACTCCGTCTCAAAAAAAAAACAAAAAAAAGGGACAGGGTCTCGCTCTGTCGCCCAGGCTGGAGTGTGGTGGCAAAATCATAGCTCACTGCAGCCTCAAACTCTTGGGATCAAGTGATCCTCCCAGCTTGCCCTCCCAAGTAGCTGGGACTCTAGGAGCACGCCACCATGCTCGCTAATTTTTTAAAAATACATTTAGAGGCTGGGTGCTCATGCCTGTAATCCCAGCACTTTGGGAGGTCAAGGCAGGCAGATGACTTCAGATCAGGAGTTTTGAGACCAGCCTGGCCAACATGGCAAAACTCTGTCTCTACTAAAAATACAAAAATTAAACGGGCATGGTGGTGCATGCCTATAATCTCAGGTACTCGGGAGGATGAGGCACAAGAATGGCTTGAACCCAGGAGGCAGGGGTTGCAGTGAGCTGAGCTCATGCCATTGCACTCCAGCCTAGGCAAGAGAGCGACACCCTGTCTCAAAAATAAATAAATACATACATACATACACATACATATATATATTTTATTTTTTTAGAGATGGGGTCCATGTTGCCCAGACTAGTCTCGAACCCCTAGCCTCAAGTGATCCTCCTATCTCAGCCTCCCGAGTCACTGGGATTACAGGCATGAGCCACTGCACCTGGCTCTTGCTAATCTCTGATACTGCCAAGCCTGAAGCCAGACCAAGCTGGTGTGAGTTTCAGAGTGAGAGCCCCGTATCTTTTGGGCTGGACCCTCCCTGCCATGGCTGCATGTTCAAGCCCTAAAATGTCCCTCTTACCCGTTGAACGACTCCAGCTTTGGCAGTGACATTTCCTCTGACAGGTCCAGGCAGATAATCTGCAAGGTAGTTGGAGGGTGGTGAGCGTCCTCTGACCTTAACGTTGGCCCCCACACCACTCACTGGCCCTCTTCAAGCTGCCTTGTCTGAAAAGGCAGTATGGTGACCTCTAATCCTCAGCCAAGCCATCTACTTTGAAAAGCAATGGCTTAGAAGAATGGGCACTGAACTGGGAGTCCAAGTAGATAAGTAAATAAATGAGCCAGAGAATGTGTGACACAGAAACACAGAAATGAGGATATAGTGGATCGAACTGTGGCTCCCAAAAGACATGTCCACCCAGAACCTGAGAATGTGACCTTATTTGGCCTGGCACAGTGGCTCACACCTGTAATCCCAGCACTTAGGGAGGGCAAGGTGGGTGGATCACTTCAGGTCAGGAGTTTGAGACCAGCCTGGCCAACATGGTGAAACCCCATCTCTGCTAAAAATACAAAAAATTGGCCAGGTGTGGTGGCACCTACCTGTAATCCCAGCTACTCAGGAGGCTAAACCAAGAGAATTGCTTGAACCCGGGAGGTGGAGGTTGCAGTGAGCCCTGATTGAGCCACTGCACTCCAGCCTGGGTGACAGAGTGAAACTCTGTCTCAAAAAAAAAAAAAAAGAGGCCAGGCGTGGTGGCTCATGCCTGGAATCCCAGCACTTTGGGAGGCCGAGACGGGAGGATCACGAGGTCAGGAGATCGAGACCATCCTGGCTAACAGGGTGAAACCTGGTCTCTACTAAAAAAATACAAAAAAATTAGCCAGGCGTGGTGGCGGGCGCCTGTAGTCCCAGCTACTTGGGAGGCTGAGGCAGGAGAATGGAGTGAACCCAGGAGGCGGAGCTTGCAGTGAGCCGAGGTTGTGCCACTCCACTCCAGCCTGGGCGACAGAGCGAGACTCCGTCTCAAAAAAAAAAAAATTTGTTGGGTGTGGCGGTGAGTGCCTGCAATCCCAGCTACTTGGGAGGCTGAGGCAGGAGAATCATTTGAACCAGGGAGCCGGAGGTTGCAGTGAGCTGAGATCACGCCACTGCACACCAGCCTGGTGACAGAGCGGGACTCCGTCTCAAAAAAAAAAAAAAAAAAAAGAATGTGACCTTATTTGGAATCAGGGTCTCTGCAGATGTAATTAAAGTAAGGGTCTTGAGATAAGATCCTGTTTTGATGACAAGTGTCCTTATAGGAGACAGAAGCGGAGAAGACACAGAGACACAGTGAGAAAGGCTTTATGAGGATATGAGGACTGGACAGAATTAGGCAAAGACAGCCAGGCGCGGTGGCTAACACCTGTAATCCCAGCACTTTGGGAGGCTGAGGTGGGTGGAACACAAGGTCAGGAGATGGAGACCATCCTGGCTAACACGGTGAAACCTCATCTCAGTGGCTGGGTGCGGTGGCTCACGCCTGTAATCCCAGCACTTTGGGAGGCCGAGGCAGGTGGATCACGAGGTCAAGAGATCGAGACCATCCTGGCTAACACGGTGAAACCCTGTCTCTACTAAAAAATACAAAAAATTAGCCAGGCGTAGTAGCGGGCGCCTGTAGTCCCAGCTACTCGGGAGGCTGAAGCAGGAGAATGGCATGAACCCGGGAGGCAGAGCTTGCAGTGAGCCGAGATAGCGCCACTGCACTGCACTCCAGCCTGGGCAACAGAGTGAGACTCCTTCTCAAAAAAAAAAAAAAGAAAGAAAGAAACCCCATCTCTACTAAAAATACAAAAAATTAGCCGGGCATGGTGGCGGGCGCCTGTAGCTACTCAGGAGGCTGAGGCGGGAGAATGGCATGAACCCAGGAGGCGGAGGTTGCAGTGAGCTGAGATCACACCACTGCACTCCAGCCTGGGTGACAGAGCAAGACTCCATCTCAAAAAAACAAAAAAAAAAAATTGGGCAAAGACTAGAGTGATGCAGCCACAATCCAAGGAATGCCAGGAGCCACGAGAGGCTAGAAAAGGCAAGAAAGGGTCAGGCAGAGTGGCTCATGCCTATAATCCCAGCACTTTGGGAGGCCAAGGCAGGCGGATCACCCAAGGTCAAGAGTTCGAGACCAGCCTGGCCAATGTGGTGAAACCCTGTCTCTACTAAAAATATAAAAATTAGCCGGGCGTTGTGGTGGGCACTTGTAATCCCAGCTGCTCGGGAGGCTGAGGCAGGAGAATTGCTTGAACCCGGGAGGCAGAGGTTGCAGTGAGCCAAGATCGTGCCATTGCACTCCAGCCTGGGCAACAAGAGCGAAACTCCATCTCAAAAAAAAAAAAAAAAAAAGACAGACAAAATGAAGAGGCAAGAAAGAATTCCCTCCCTTAGAGCCTCCTGAGGGGCCATGGCCCTGGCGACACCTGACTTCTGGCCCCAAGAACTGTGAGAGAATAAATTTCTCTTGTTGAAAGCTACCAAGTCCACGGTGACTTGTGGCAGCCACAGGTAACGAATACAAAGGGAATGTTTGCAGTGTTAATCCCAAAAGACAAGATGCTAGGTTCCCTAGCATCTCAGAGCCCCAGGCCACCCCCTCTACTTACCACTTTCTCTGGACAGTTGACCCTTGGTGTCCGAATTTGGACCTCAGGGGCTGGCGGGGGCACCTGCCAGGACTTAGGGCCGGCTCCTGAAGTGTTGAGGCTCCCATCATCAGCACTGGCGGCCTCACCCTCACCCTCGCTGCGGCTGCCCACGCTGGCCTGTGCCCCTACTGCCCGGTCCTCAGCCCCTTCAGGATTGGAGCGAGTGCGGGGCCGAGGCTCTGCCGAGTGCTCCTCTTCCTCCTCCTCCTCTTCAGTGGGGCTGCTGGGCTCTGCCACTTCCATGGCTCCTGTGTGGCTAGATGGAACACGGACAGGGGAAGCCAGAATCCTCCCCTTGGAGTTTTAAAAACATTTGGTTACGGTCGGGCACGGTGGCTCATGCCTGTAATCCCAGCACTTTGGGAGGCCGAGGCAGGTGGATCACCTGAGGTTGGAAGTTCGAGACCAGCCTGACCAACATGGAGAAACCCCGTCTCAACTAAAAATACAAAATTAGCCGGGCGTGGTGGCGCATGCGGATAATCCCAGCTACTCGGGAGGCTGAGGCAGGAGAATCGCTTGAACCCGGGAGGGGAGGCTGCGGTGAGCCGAGATCCCGCCACTGCACTCCATCCTGGGCAAAAAGAGCGAAACTCCGTCTCAAAAAAAAAAAAAAAAAAAAGATTGGTTACTAAGAAGGAAGAGGGGCGATGAGCCGCTTACTGATGATGAGTCACTCCTCTTAGGGAGTCACTTTCCTCAGCTGCAGAATGGCTGCCTTTTACACCTCTCAGCCGAGCAGCCACTCCGACATAAGATAACAGTCCCCCCTCTTTTTTCCTCTTTTTTTTTTTAACGTAGTGCTAGCCCCATGCCCCTACTCGGCCAGTGAGCACATCCCAGCTCTCTGGCCACTGAAAATGGCTCAGGGATGGGCACATGACCCAAATCAGGCCATTGAGTGGCAGCTCTGCAACTTCTAGCAGTGTCATCAAGGAAAAGAGACTCTCATTAGAGTTGCAGAGCTGGTAGAATAAAGTTGAGAGCTGTGAGGGGCCCCTTTTGCCTCGGTAAAAAGCGAAATGGTCTCCACCGAGAAAACTGCAGATCGAATTCTGACCACCTGGACCCAGCTCCTGTTAGACCCAATCTATAAGCCACCAACTTCCTTTTCTTCCTTAAGCCAGATTGAGTAGGGTTTTCTGTTACCTAAAACTGAAAATGTCTTGGTGAATAAGGGAATAATAACCTCTAGGACACCCTCGTCCCTAGCGGGTGTCTGCATGAGGGAGAAGCAAAATATTAGTACTGTGGTTCCCCTTGGAGAGAAACAGGACGCGAATGGAGCAGTTTGTCTATCTGGGAAATAGGCACGGGCTTCCCAAGATGGTCTTTGAGCGCCTTGCAGTCCCCACACCTCTAAGAAAAACAAGGCTTTAGCGGCAGCAAGAAGGATGGAGGCTACACTGCAGGAGAAACCAGAAATAAAGGCGGAAGCCCCAGGAAAGGCGAGGAGCTGGATCTCTTGGGGCAAAGGGAGCTGGGCCCCTAGGAACGGGCCCCACACGCTTTCACCACCCACCTTCGGCTCACCGTAGCCTGAACCTCCTTCTAAATCAGCCGCCGACTCACTAGGAAGCCGCCATCTTTACAGCCGGAAGTTGTACGGCGCAGCCCCGACGCCTCCTGGGAAATGTAGTTCAGCGGGCTGCAGAACAAGCAGAGACAGAAACTGGTTGAGGCTAGAAAGAACTTGGAAACTGATAGGCTGAAACTGGGTTGGGGGTGGGGTTTGGAGTGAGAGCTGCCTGGAGCTGGGTGCGGCGGGACCTGGAATGTGATTGGCTACACTGGAGCAAAGTATGAAATGTGATTGGATTAAAAAAATTAGTGAATTTTTGTTTTTGGCCGAATCAGACTACAATAGTCAGTGCTTCTACCGTGATAGGCTGAAACGTGGAATAGAGGTGGAGCTTGCAATGTGATAGGCTAAGAGGGACGGAGAAGGCCGATTTAGGGAAAGAGGAGGAGCTGATTGGTGATTGGTGGAGCTGGCCTGAGCCTCCATGTGGGGCAGGTATTCCCATGTGGGTGTGGCCTGAGCATCCAGGGCCCTTCCCAATTACTTAATTCTTGTTCCTTATTTTACATATATTTGCATGAATCAAAAAATACTTACTCTGGTCTTATTGGGTCACTGTAGGTGGAGCGAAGCTAAGTCGGGCCTATTTCAAGCCTACCTCTTTTTTCATGGCTTTTTTTTTTCTTATTTTTAGAGACAGGGTATCGCTCTGTCGCCCAAACTAGACTGCAGTCACGCGATCATGGCTAGTCACTACAGCCAAGCGATCGCTCAAGTAGCTGGGACTACAGGCGAGGACCACCGCATCAGACTACCCTAGGCTTCCTTCCTTTTTTTTTTATTTTTATTTTTTAGATGGAGTCTCACTCTGTCGCCCAGGCTGCCGTTGTCTTCTTAGTGCACACTTCCCCCTTAGCCCCAGAAGTATTTATTTATTTATTTTTATTTTTTTGAGACAAGAGTCTTGCTCTGTCGCCCAGGCTGGAGTGCAGTGGCTCAATCTCGGCTCACTGCAACCTCCACCTCCAGGGATCGAGCAATTCTCCTGCCTCAGCCTCCCAAGTAGCTGGGATTACAGGCATGCACCACCAGGCCCGGCTGAGATATATATAGTATTTTTAGTAGAGCTGGGTTTTTGTTGTGTTTTTTTTTTTCGTTTTTGTTTTTGTTTTTTTGAGATGGAGTCTCGCTGTGTCACCTAGAGCGGCTCTTTGAAGGCTCTAAGCCTTTGCCCAGGAAGTTCCTTCTGCCTGGAATGCTGTTCCTCCTGTTGCTTTTCTGGCAAGTTCTTTATGCTTCAAAGCTCACCTTACACAGCCCCTCCGGCTATTCTCGAATTAGAGCCTGGCCAATGTGGCCGGCTTCTTTGACCCTCAAAAAAAAAAAAACAACTGAGGAGTTGGGGGCAGTGGCTCACACCTATAATCCCAGCATTTTGGGAGGCTGAGGTGGGTGGATCACGAGGTCAGGAGTTAGAGATCAGCCTGGCCAATATGGTGAAACCCCGTCTCTACTAAAAATACAAAAAATTAGCTGGGTGTGGTGGCGCGCACCTATAATCACAGCTACTCAGAAGGCTGAGGCAGAAGAATTGCTTGAACCCAGGAGGTGGAGGTTGCAGTGAGCCGAGATCGCACCACTGCACTCCAGCCTGCGTGGCAGAACAAGATTCCATCTAATAAAATAAAATAAATAAATAAACTGAGGCTTCAAGTGGCTCTTAAATGTTTCTGGGGCTGGTGGGGTCGGTGGCTCATGCCTGTAATCCCAACACTTTGGGAGGCTGAGGTGAGTGGATCACCTGAGGTCAGGAGTTTAAGACCAGCCTCGCCAACATGGGAAAAACCCATCCCTAGCCGGGTGCGGTGGCTCACGCCTGTAATCCCAGCACTTTGGGAGGCCGAGGCTGGCAGATCACTTGAGGTCAGGAGTTCGAGACCAGCCTGGTCAGCATGGTGAAACCCTGTCTCTACTAAAAATACAAAAATTAGCTGGGCATTGTGGTGGGCACTTGTAATCCCAGCTACTCGGGAGGCTGAGGCAGGAGAATTTCTTGAACCCAGGAGGTGGAGGTTGCAATGAGCCAAGGTTGCGCCACTGCACTCTAGCCTAGGCGACAGAGCAAGACTCCATCTCAAAAAAAAGAGAACTGTCAGCCCACAATGAAGAGACAGGCAGAGAAGAAAAGTTCACAGGGGAGCCAAATAAAAACCATCAGCTCACGGGAACATTCTAGCTCTTTTTTTTTCTTTCTTTTTGAGACAGGGTCTTGCCTTATTACCCAGAATGGAGTGCAGTGACGTGACCACGGCTCACTGCAGCCTCAACTTCCAGGTGTTAAGCAATCCTCCCACCTCAGCCTCCTGAGTAGCTGGGACTACAAGCGTACGCCACTACTCCTGGCTAATTTTTATATTTTTTGTAAAGACGGGGGTCTCGCCATGTTGCCCAGGCTTGTCTTAAACTCTTGGACTCAAGCGATCTGTCTTCCTCAGCTTCCCAGAGTGCTGGGATTACAGGTGTGAGCCATGGTGCTCGGCCCATTCTAGCTCTTGAGAAATAAAATCCAAGAGTCAGAGCTAGAAGGGCCATGAGTTTGGAGGCTGAGAAGAGGAGGGGCTGAAACCTTGGGAGTCAGGTATGTGTGCCCCGCTAGGGCTGCAGGAAGCCGCTGTCCCCGAGAAGGAAACAACACAATAACAAGTCACGTGACCAGGGGAGGGGGTTTCCTGTTTCCCAGCCCCTCCCAGGCCAGGCTTGGCCAGCCCAGGCCTGAACAGGCAGTGGTCAGAGTGACCCCAACAGAGTGTCCCGGGACTCAGGCCTCTGATCAAGTTACCCCCAGAGGATCAGAGAGGTAGAGAGAGCTGAACCTCTCATTTAGGAGGGCCGGGGAGGAGAGGGAATTCTTGAGATCGCATTCCCAGGCTCAAATAGAGGAGGAAAGTGGACAAAGACGTAGTGAAGGTAAAGAAGGCAGAGAAGAAGGGGGAGATCAGGACAACCTTCTTAGGTAGTGAGCTCCCTGTCCAGGGAGGCATTCAAATCTGCCCAATCAACATTGATAACAAAATCCCTTCCTGAGGGGTAGTCAGTGCCCCATTTCACAGCAGAGGAAATTGAGGTTGTCCTTTGTCCAGGACAACAAAGGCAAGAGCTCATGGCAGGCTGTGGTTTTAGGGGTTGACGAAGGAGAAGCATTCAGAGGGCACTGGCTTCTGGACAGCAATGAGTGCCCGGGCCACGCGGCCCCGAAGCCGGCGAGGGAGGCATGCTCCACCCGTAAGTGTCACCCTCTCCCCTCCACACCCAGATCCTGGGGACCCCAAGGTCCTGTCCTGCCTGGCTCAGAGCAGGGCCCCGGGGGTCATTTGCAGGGTGAACTGGATCCCGTGGCTGAGAGTTCAGAGGAGGTCGAGGCAGCCAGTGGGAGCTCCAAGCCCAGCTTTGCCCCACCTCCGGTGAGCTCCGGGCTGGAGCAGCTGGGCCCCATGGAGGAGGTCAGTGGCCAAGGCCTAGGAAGCAGGTAAGACCCGCTTGGTCTGTGCCCTTCACTCCAGTCCAGACGCATCTTTGCCATCCACAGATCTGCTGATGTGCCTGCTCTGCTCACACACCTACCATAGCTCCCTATTGCCTTCAGCCTGACTTTCTTTTTTTTTTGAGTCTTGCTGTGTCACCCAGGCTGTAGTGCAGTGCAGTGGCACAATCTCGGCTCACAGCAACCCCTGCCTCCCGGTTCAAGCGGGAGCCTCAGCTTCCTGAGTAGTTGGGATTACAGGTGTGCGCCACCACATCCGGCTAAGTTTTGCATTTTTAGTGAGACAGGCCACATTAGCCAGGCTGGTCTTGAACTCCTGCCCTTAAGTGATCCCCCAACTTTGGCCTCCAAAAGTGCTGGGATTACAAGTGTAAGCCGCCGCCCCAGAAGACCCTATTTCCAGAAACTTCTGTCTCTCACCTTCAGGCCTTTCCCAGTGCCCGTCACAGTCCAACTTCACTCTGTTTCTCAGCTCCAGGTCTCCCCTCCAACTTCTTCACCACCTCTATCTAGCCTCTTCCTTGAATTCACAGCCTCCCAGTCTCACCCTGGGATGCCAGTCCCAGAACACGCAGCTCTTGCCAACTCCCTGCTCCGCTCACACCTCCCCAAGACCATGAAGTTTAAGCCCTCAGAATTCCCTGCCCAGGGCCGAGCATGGTGGCTCATGCCTATAATCCCAGCACTTTGGGAGGCCGAGTTGGGCGGATCACCTGAGGTCAGGAGTTTGACACCAGCCTAGCCAACATGGTGAAACCCTGTCTCTACTAAAAATACAAAAATTAGCCAGGCGTGGTGGTGGGAGCCTGTAATCCCAGCTACTTGGGGGACCGAGGCAGGAGAATCACTTGAACCCAGGAGGTGGAGGTTGCAGTGAGCCGAGATCGCGCCACTGCACTCCAGGCTGGGCAACAGAGTGAGACTCCGTCTCAAAAAATAAAAAAGAATTCCTTGCCCAGCATGGAGTGACTCAAGTGCCTGAGTTGGTGTCCACAGGACTGACAAGAAGATGGATGGGGGCTCTGGCAGGGAACTGGCCTCAGCCCCCGAAGTGCCCCACAAACCTGCAGTGGAAGCCCACCAAGCCCCAGAAGCAGCCCTACAGTACAAGGAGACTGTGCCCCCTGGGAATGGGGCCCCCGATGTGTTTCAGACCCTCCAGCACACTCTGAGCTCCCTGGAGGCAGCGGCTGCAGCCTGGCGCCACCAGCCCCCCAGCCATTCTGGGCCGATGGAGTTCGAAGGCACAAGCGAAGGGGGAGCAGGTTCCCTTGGGAAGCAGGAAGGGGCAGGGAGCTGCCAGCGAGAGGCAGCTCGCCTGGCCGAGAGGAATGCCTGGCTCCGGCTGGCCCTGAGTAGCCGAGAGGATGAGCTGGTCCGCACGCAGGCCTCCCTGGAGGCCATCCGAGCTGAGAAGGAGACGCTGCAGAAAGAGGTGAGTGGGGCCATCCTGAGTCCCATGTGGCTCTCTGTCTGAGGGAGGAGGTGGGCCTGATGTAGGCAATATTCATTCATTTGTTCATTCAAAAAACCTTTTAAGGCTGGGTGTGGTGGCTGACACCTATAATCCCAGCACTTTGGGAGGTGGAGGCAGGAGGATCCTTTGAGGCCAGGAGTTCAAGACCAGCCTCAGCAACACAGCAAGACTGCCACCTCTGCAAAAAAATTAAAAATCAGCCAGGTTGGCCAGGCACAGTGGCTCACACCTGTAATCCCAGCACTTTGGGAGGCTGAGGTGGGTGGATCACAAAGTCAGGAGTTCAAGGCCAGCTTGGCCAACATGGTCAAACCCCATCTCTACTAAAAATACAAAAAAAAATTAGCCGGGTGCGGTGGCATAGGCCTGTAATCCCAGCTACTCAGGAGGCTGAAGCAGGAGAATCACTTGAACCCGGGTGATGGAGATGGCAGTCAGCTGAGATCGTGCCAATGCACTCCAACCTGGGGGACAGAGTGAGACTCTGTCTCAAAAAAAAAAAAAAAAAAATCAGCCAGGTTGGCTGGGTGCAGTGGCTCATGCCTGTAATCTACACCAGCACTTTGGGAGGCCGAGGTGGGTGGCTCCCTTGAGGCCAGGAGTTAGAGACCAGCCTGGCCAACATGGTGAAACCTTGTCTTTACTAAAAATACAAAAATTAGCCAGGTGTGGTGGCACGTGCCTGCAATCCCAGCTACTCTGGAGGCTGAGGCAGGAGAATTGCTTGACACAATTCTGCAGCTACCAGGGAGGCTAAGGCACGAGAATCGCCTGATCCCAGGAGGTGGAGGTTGCAGTGAGCCGAGATTTCACCACTGCACTCCAGCCTGGGTGACGGAGTGAGACTCTGTCTCAAAAAAAAAAAAAAATAATAATAATGCTGGGCACGGTGGCTCACGCCTGTAATCCCAGCACTTTGGGAGGCCGAGGCACAGATCACGAGGTCAGGAGATCGAGACCATCCTGGCTAACACGGTGAAAACCCGTCTCTACTAAAAATACAAAAAATTAGCCGGCGTGGTGGCGGGTGCCTGTAGTCCCAGCTACTCCGGAGGCTGAGGCAGGAGAATGGCGTGAACCCGGGAGGCGGAGCTTGCAGTGAGCCGAGATCCCGCCATTGCACTCCAGCCTGGGCGACAGAAGAAAACTCTTTCTCAAAAAAAAAAAAAAAAGAAAGAAAGAAAGAAAGAAAAAGAAAGAAAACTGAGGGTGGTGGGAGTAGGCCCTGGAGTGGCAGCATGACTGGCCTGTTCAAGAAACCCGAAGGAGGCCAGTGTGGCTGGAACACAGGGGGCAACAGGGAGAGTGTGGGGAGCCAGAACAGAACAGAGGGAGAACAAATGCAGATCGCGTAGGGCCTCGTGGGCTGCAAGGAGACGCTTGGGCTTTGCTTGGATTAAGGTGAGAGCCCTGGAGGGTTTTGAGCAGAGGAGGGGCATGCTCGACGCAGGTGTTCACAGGCGCCCTCTGGTGGCGGAGGTGAGGGTGGACTCCTGGAGAGCCAGGAGGCGACTTCATTGGTCCAGACATGCACGATGGTGGAGGTTGTAGAAGTGGAGAGATGCGGACGGATTCTGGGTGATGTGGCAGATGGAACTGACGTGTGAGCGTGAAGGCTAGAGAGAAGTCAAGGACAACTTCAGGCTTTGGGACCTGCTGGACTAGAAGGGAGAGATGGAGGAGCTACAGGGTAGGCAGGTTTGGCTGGGGGTGACCAGATCTCTTTAGCCCTTGATAAGCTCAAGTGTCCATGAGACATCCACGTGGGGTCCTCAAGGGAGCAGCTATATGTCTGAGTCCAGGGCTCAGAGGAGACAGCAGGGCAGAAGGGAGAAACTTGAGCATCCTTAGCACACAGGTGGCATTTAAAGCCATGTGGCTGCTGGGTGCATTGTCTCATGCCTGTAATCCCAGCACTTTGGGAGGCTGAGTCAGGAAGATCACTTGAGGTCAGGAGTTCAAGACCAGCCTGGTCAACATGGTGAAACCCCATCTCTACTGAAAATACAAATATTTGTCAGGCATGGTGGCAGATGCCTGTAATCCCAGCTACTCGGGAGGCTGAAGCAGGAGAATCACTTGAATCCGGGAGGCAGAGGTTGCAGTGAGCTGAGACTGTGCCACTGCACTCCAGCCTAGGTAACAGAGCAAGACTCCATCTCAAAAATAAAAATAAAAAAGCCATGTGGCTGAATGAGATATTGAGAGGGAAGCCCTCATCTTAGGCTGGTAGAAAAACTTTGGAGCCCAGTCCAGGGATTCATTTTTCCCCAGAGTGGGGCCCATTTTTCTGCTGGGAAAAATAAAATCCTCAGCAGCTGAGAAACATTCCCAAGGTCAGATAGTGAGATTTTTGGCAGGCTAAGTATCCAAGCCTCTTGCCTTCCAGCTAGGGTTCTTGCCACTTCCCCAAGAACAGGCCTTGGGGAGAGAGGGCTGGTGGTTGGTTTGAGCCCCTAGGCCTGACGTCCCCCTCATCTTTCCCAGGTTCAAGAGCTGCAGGATTCCCTCTTGAGGCTGGAGCCCTGCCCACATCTTTCCCACAACCAAGCAGGTGGCTCAGGCAGTGGTTCTAGCAGCTCTGAGGCAGACAGGGAACCCTGGGAGACTCAGGTGAGTGCGAGAAGTTCAATCCCATGGTCTTGATGTCCTTAGCCTTCAGGGGAATGAGACTCAAATCTTTGTCATGGGATCCAACAGCTTTGGGGTTGCAAAATGCCTACAATCCCAGGCTCTTGGTGACAATTGGGGTCAGTTATATCACTTCTTCTTGGCAGGACTCCTTCTCCCTGGCTCACCCCCTGCTTCGGCGCCTCCGCAGCCATTCCAGCACCCAGATCCTTGGGTCTCTTCCCAACCAGCCCCTCAGTCCTGAGATGCACATCATGGAAGCCCAGATGGAGCAACTCCGGGGGTAAGAGACTCAAATGCTGAGCTCATAAGGGCACAGGCACCTCCTCCAACTGAGTTATAAAGCCAGGAGTCTGAAGCTGCAACAGGAGGGAGGGAAAGGGTGGAAATTGAGGCCTGACTGCCTTAGAAGGCCTCTGACTTTCCCTCTTCCCCACCTTCGGGAACAGGAGCATTGAGAAGCTCAAATGCTTTAATCGTCTGCTATCAGCTGTGCTACAGGGATACAAGGGCCGCTGTGAAGGCCTCAGCATGCAGCTAGGCCAGCGGGAGGCTGAGGCCACAGCATTGCATCTGGCCTTGCAGTACAGGTCAGTGCACCCTGCCAGTGATGTCACCAGCTGGGGAGGGAGTGGGCTTTCTGAGGATGGCCCCAATCCACAGAACCCTCACTGGAGAGCACCTTCCCCACTTCAGAAATTAATTTTTTTTTTTGAGACAGAATCTCGCTGTGTTGCCCAGGCTGGAGTGCAGTGGTGAGATCTCAGCTCACTGCAACCTCTGCCTCCTGGGTTCAAATGATACTCATGTCTCAGCCTCCTGAGTAGCTGGGATTACAGGTGTATGCCACCATAGCCAGCTAATTTTTGTATTTTTAGTAGAGATGGGTTTCACCATGTTGGCCAGGCTAGTCTCGAACTCCTGACCTCATGATCCCCCCTACTGGGCCTCCTAAAGTGCTGGGATTACAGGTGTGAGCCACCTTGCCTGGCCCAGAAATTAACTTAAGGCAATTTTAGTTCAGGGTTGCTAAGGGAGTCTGCATGCTTCCAGAGCTGAGGGCAGTGGGGAGAAGAGGGGTTCAGGAGCAAGTGGGGACTGGCACCTATAGAGCAAGATGTAGCTAAGTGGATTTTTTTTTCTTTTTTCTTTCTTTTTTTTTTTTTTTTTGAGACAGAGTCTTGCTCTGTCACCCAGGCTGGAGTGCAGTGGTGCCATCTTGGCTCACTGCAACCTCCGCCTCCCCAGTTCAAGTGATTCTCCTGCCTCAGCCTCCTGAGTAGCTGGAACTACAGGTGCGTACCACCACACCTTGCTAATCTTTGTCTTTTTAGTAGAGACGGGGTTTCACCATGTTGGTCAGGCTGGTCTCGAACTCCTGACCTCAGGTAATCCTCCCGCCTCAGCCTCCCAAAGTGCTGGGACTACAGGTGAGGGCCATTGCACCCAGCCGAGCTGAGTGTCCTGAAGCACTCAGAACCAGTGTCCCACAGTGAACACTGTGAAGAGGCATACAGGGTTCTGCTTGCTCTGCGGGAGGCCGACTCAGGAGCAGGAGACGAAGCCCCCATGAGTGACCTGCAAGCAGCTGAAAAGGAAGCATGGAGGCTGCTGGCACAAGAGGAGGCTGCCATGGATGCAGGAGCACAGCAGAATCCACAGCCAAGGTACCCCCCTGGAACCCTGGGAACTGGCCTGGTTGAGGAGTGGGGTCTTGACTGGGGGATGGGGCTCCCAGAGCTCACCACGTTTCGGGGCTTGGTGTGGCTGTGTCCAGCAAGGTCGGTATGGAGCTCACTGTAGTTGGTTGACATGAGGCTCAACTGCAGTTGGCCTGTTGCTACTTGACAAAGTTGGCATGGTGGTTGACAGACATTGCAGTTGGCATGAAGATGAATGACAATGCCTACTGGTTAAAACTGGCACCCACAGCCGGGCACAGTGGCTCAAGCCTGTAATCCCAGCACTTTGGGAGGCCGAGGCAGGCAGATCGTTTGAGCTCAGTAGTTCAAGACCAGCCCTTGTAACATGGCGAAAGTCCTTCTCTACCAAAACTACAAACAAATTAGCTGGGCATGGTGGTGTGCCCGCGTAGTACCAGCTACTTGGGAGGCTGAGGTGGGAGGATGCCTTGAGTCTGGGAGGTGGAGGCTGCAGTGAGCTGAGATTGCACCACTGCACTCCAGCCTGGGTGACAGAGTGAGACCCTGTCTTTTTTTTTTTTTTTTTTTTTTTTGAGACAGAGTTTCACTTTTGTCGCCCAGGCTAGAGTCCAATGGTCCGATCTCGGCTCACTGCAACCTCTGCCTCCCGGGTTCAAGGGATTCTCCTGCCTCAGCCTCCCGAGTAGCTGGGATTACAGGCTCCCACTACCACACCCGGCTAATTTTGAATTTTTAGTAGAGACGGGGTTTCTCCATATTGGTCAGGCTGGTCTCGAACTCCTGACCTCAGGTGATCCACTTGCCTCGGCCTCCCAAAGTGCTGGGATTACAGGCGTTAGGCACTGCGCCCGGCCGCAGCTAATTTTTTATGAAGACGGATTCTCGGCCAGGCGCGGTGGCTCACGCCTGTAATCCCAGCACTTTGGGAGGCCGAGGTGGGCAGATCACAAGGTCAGGAGATCGAGACCATCCTGGCTAACACGGTGAAACCTCGTCTCTACTAAAAATCCAAAAAAAAAAAAAAAAATTAGCCGGGCGTGGTGGCAAGCGCCTGTAGTCCTACCTTCTTGGGAGGCTGAGACAGGAGAATGGCGTGAACCCGAGAGGTGGAGCTTGCAGTGAGCCGAGGTTATGCCACTGCACTCCAGCCTGGGCGACAGAGCAAGACTGCGTCTCAAAAAAAAAAAAAAAAAAGACGGATTCTCACTCTGTTGCCTATGCTGGTCTCAAACTTCTGGCTTCAAGCAATCCTCCCACCTCAGCCTCCCAAAGTGCTGGGGTTACAGGCATGCATCACCGCACCTGGCCACCATGTGGTCTTGATGGAAGGTGGTGCCTAGTGGGGTATGTTGGTGTGACAGGGACCACCAAAGATGGCATAGATTCCATCGTGGCCAGTGAGATGGAAGGTGATGGACCCTACCAGGATTGGCATGAACTTAACCCACCTATGCCTGCCAGTGTTGACATAGGCACCTTTTCTGTTTTCTATAGCCCTGAAGGCAGCAGTGTGGATAAGCCCACCCCACAGGAAGTGGCTTTCCAGCTCCGAAGCTATGTCCAGCGTCTCCAGGAGCGCCGTTCTCTAATGAAGATTCTCTCAGAGCCTGGCCCCACCTTGGCACCCATGCCCACTGTGCCCCGTGCAGAAGCCATGGTGCAGGCCATTCTGGGGACCCAGGCTGGCCCAGCTCTTCCCCGACTGGAGAAGACACAAATTCAGCAGGACCTGGTGGCCGCAAGGGTACAAATGGGCTGTGGCCACTGTGTCAGTCTTTCTTGGTGGGACAAAATCCTTTACTGAGGTCGGGGGACCAAGGAGCAAAGGAGAATTCTGCTGGGCTGAGTGCAGGCATTGTGAAGGGAGAATTGGAGCTGGGGTTTTGAGGGATTAATAGGAGTTTGTTTTCTGGGGTTCAGTTTCTCATTAGACTACAAATCTGGCTCTCCAAAATGCCCTTCCTATGGGAAGAGATGGGAGCAAAGAACACAATCTTGGGTTTGTAGCTTGGCATGAAAAACTTGAGGTTCTGGAGTTAGAGAAACTCCAGAAGCTTTGACAGAACTAATACTTGACCTATGTAAGCTACTTGCCCCTCTAGGAAATGCCATTTCTACAGCTGTAGCTTTTATGGGAGGAAGATATTTCCACCTCACAAGAACATGGTGAATGGTGAAGGTCCTAGTTTGTTTGTTTGTTTGTTTGTTTTTTGAGACGGAGTCTTGCTCTCACCCAGGCTGGAGTGCTGTGGCGCTATCTTGGCTCACTGCAGCCTCTGCCCCACTGCCGGGTTCAAGTGATTCTCCTGCCTCAGCCTCCCAAGTAGCTGGGATTACGGGTGTGCACCACCACACCTGGCTAATTTTTGTATTTTTAATGGAGACGGGTTTTCACCATGTTGGCCAGGCTCGTCTCGAACTCCTGACCTCAGGTAATCCACCCACTTTGGCCTCCCAAAGTGCTGGGATTACAGGCATGAGCCACTGCGCCTGGCCAAAAGTCACAGTTTTTGTCTGAATAGTCCTCAGTGGGTGCCTCTTGGGGCCTCAGTTTCCCTGCAGTTGACCGTAGAAGCATAAATTCTCTCCCCTCTCCTTGGTCCCACAGGAGGCCCTGGCGGACCTGATGCTTCGGCTGCAGCTGGTGCGGCGTGAGAAGCGGGGCCTAGAGCTGCGGGAGGCTGCCCTCCGAGCCCTGGGTCCAGCTCACGTGCTCCTGCTGGAGCAGCTGCGGTGGGAACGGGCAGAGCTCCAGGCTGGTGGGGCAAACAGCAGTGGCGGACATAGCAGCGGAGGTGGCAGCAGCGGGGACGAGGAAGAGTGGTATCAGGTGAGCTGCCCTGCCTGAACCTGGTAGGGGAGTAGCTTACTAATGAGAACATAGCCCTTGTCAATCACAGCCTTTTTTTTTTTGTTTTTTTTGAGACGGAGTTTGGCTCTTGTTGCCCAGGCTGGAATGCAATGTTGCAATCTCGGCTCACCACAACCTCCGCCTCCCAGGTTCAAGAGATTCTCCTGTCTCAGCCTCCTGAGTAGCTGGGATTACAGACACGCACCACCACATCTAGCTATTTTTTGTATGTTTTGTAGAGATGCAGTTTTGTAGAGTTGCAGTTCACCATGTTAGCCAGGCTGCTCTCGAACTCCTGGCCTCAAATGTTTCGCCTGCCTCCACCTCCCAAAGTGCTGAGATTACAGGCATGAGTCGCCGCACCTGTCCTTAATGCAGCTCTTTAAATCATCTCTCCTACCTCCAAGCCTTTGTATATTCTGTGTCCCTGCCAGGAACACCGGTCACTTCCCTCTTTGTGTCATAAAGTCCTCGACCTCCTGTAGATCTCAGCTTAGACATCACCTCCTCAAGGAAGCCCTCCTGGAGTGACTTCAGATGCGGTTTCCTGTTATTTATTTCCCTTATCACAGTGGTCCCAGCTACTCGGGTGGCTGAGGTGGGAGGATCACTTGAACCCGGAGTTGGAGGCTTCAGCGAGCCACGATTATGTCATTTCACTCCAGCCTGGGCCACACAGCGAGACCTCATCTCTTTTTTTTTTTTTTGAGACAGAGTTTTGCTCTTGTTGCCCAGGCTGGAGTGCAATGGCCCGATCTTGGCTTACCACAACCTCCACCTCCTGGGTTCAAGTGATTCTCCTGCCTCAGCCTCCTGAGTAGCTGGGACTACAGGCACGCGCCACCACGCCCGGCTAATTTTTGTATTTTTAGTGTAGATGAGGTTTCCCCATGTTACTAAGGCTGGTCTCGAACTCTGAACCTCAGGTGATGCGCCCGCCTCAGCCTCCCAAAGTGTTGGGATTACAGGCTTGAGCCACTGCACCCGGCTTATTTATTATTATTTTTTATTTTTTTTGAGGCAGAGTGTCGCTCTGTAGCCCAGGCTGGAGTGCAGTGGTGCAATCTCGGCTCACTGCAAGCTCCGCCTCCCGGGTTCACGCCATTCTCCTGCCTCCGCCTGCCGAGTAGCTGGGACTACAGGCGCCCGCCACCACACCCGGCTAATTTTTTTTGTATTTTTTTAGTAGAGACGGGGTTTCATTGTGTTAGCCAAGATGGTCTCGATCTCCTGACCTTGTGATCCACCTGCCTCAGCCTCCCAAAGTGCTGGGATTACAGGCGTGAGCCACCGTGCCTGGCCAATTTTTGTATTTTTTAGTAGAGATGGGGTTTCACCATGTTGGCCAGGCTGGTGTAGAACTCCTGACCTCAGGTGATCTGCCCACCTCAGCCTCCCAAAGTACTGGGATTACAGCCATGAGCCACAGCGCCTGGCCTTTAATTTTTTTTTTCTTTTTTTTTTTTTTTGGGAAACGGATCTTGCTCTGTCACCCAGGCTGGAGTGCAGTGGTGCGATCTTGGCTCACTGCAATCTCTGCGTCCCAGGTTCAAGCGATTCTCCTGCTTTGGCTTCCCGAGTAGCTGGAATTACAGGCGTGCACCACCACACCCAGCTAATTTTTGTATTTTTAGTAGTGACAGGGTTTCACCATGTTGGCCAGGCTGCTCTCAAACTCCTGACCTCAGGCTGATCCGCCCGTCTCGGCCTCCCAAAGTGCTGGGATTACAGACGTGAGCCACCACGTCCAGCCTAATTTTTAAAAAATTATTATTGGCCAGGCACGGTGGCTCACACCTGTAATCCCAGCACTTTGGGAGGCCGAGGCGGGTGGATCATGAGGTCAGGAGTTCAAGACCAGCCTGGCCAACATGGTGAAACCCTGTCTCTACTAAAAATACAAAAAAATTAGCTGGGCATGGTGGCACGTGCCTGTAATCCCAGCTACTCCAGAGGCTGAGACAGAGAATTGCTTAAACCTGGAGGGGTGGAGGTTGCAGTGAGCCGAGATTGCGCCACTGCACTCCAGCCTGGGCGACGAGACTCCGTCTCAAAAAAAAAAAAAGAAAAAAAAATTATTACTGTCCGGGCACGATGGCTCATGCCTGTAATCCCAGCCTGTAATCTTAGCACTTTGGGAGGCCGAGTTGGGCGGATCACGAGGTCAGGAGATCGAGACCATCCTCGCTAACACGGTGAAACCCTGTCTCTACTAAAAATACAAAAAATTAGCTGGGGATGGTGGCGGGCGCCTGTAGTCCCAGCTACTCGGGAGGCTGAGGCAGGAGAATGGCGTGAACCCGGGAGGCAGAGCTGGCAGTGAGCTGAGATCACGCCAGTGCACTCTAGCCTGGGCGACAGAGCGAGACTCTTCTCAAAAAAAAAATTATTATTATTTCAAACAAGGATTAGACAGGAGGAAGGACTTCCAGTGGATCTCTAGTTTTTGTTTTTGTTTTTTTGTTGTTTTTTTTTTTGAGACAGAGTCTCACTGTGTTGCTCAGGCTAGAGTGCAGTGCTGCGATCCCAGCTTACTCCAACCTCTGCCTCCCAGCTTCAAGTGATTCTCCTGCCTCAGCCGCCCAGTTAGTTGGGACTCCAGGTGCCCGCCACCATGCCTGGCTAATTTTTTTTTTTGAGACCGTATCTTACTCTGTTGCCCAGGCTGGAGTGCAGTGGCATGATCTTGGCTCACTGCAACCTCCGCCTCCCAAGTTCAAGCGATTCTCCTGCCTTAGCCTCCCAAGTAGCTGGAATTACAGGGGTCTGCCACCATGCCAGACTAATTTTTATATTTTTAGTAGAGACAGGGTTTCACCATGTTGACCAGGCTGGTCTTGAACGCCTGACCTCAAGTGATCCACCCGTCTTGGCCTCCCAAAGTGCTGGGATTACAGGCATGAGCTACCACACCTGGCCCCTAAATTTTATTTTTAGAGATGAGGTTCGAGACCAGCCTGGCCAACATGGTGAAACTCCGTCTCTACTAAAAATACGAAAAGTAGCCGGGTCTGGTGGCATGTGTCTGTAATCCCAACTACTTGGGAGGCTGAGGCAGGAGAATCGCTTGAACCTGGGAGGCGGAGGTTGCTGTCAGCCAAGATCGTGCCACTGTACTCCAGCCTGGGTGGCAGAGTGAGACTCTGTCTCAAAAAAAATTTTTTTTAATTAAATAGGATATTTCCCTTATCAGAGTATAATTTTGCTCTTATTGGTATATCGAACCAGATGTGGGTCTCTGAGAGCACAGCAGCTGCCACTGTCTGGGCAGCTCCAATGTCCAGTGTGGGCCAAGCACGGACTTGGCCTAGGTTAATGTCACTTTCTTGTCTTCTGCCTCCCTTAGGGCCTTCCTGCTGTCCCTGGTGGCACCAGTGGCATTGATGGTGGCCAGGTGGGCAGAGCCTGGGACCCAGAGAAGTTAGCCCAGGAACTGGCAGCATCGCTCACCAGGTGTGTGCCTGGGTCCTGGGCTGTGCGGGGGGTGGGCAGGCAGCCTATGTGAGAGCCCCCGGGGGTGTCGTCTGCAGTAGAAGCTAAGGTGTACCCCGGTGTACAGGTGTGTTTACATGACAATACTGTGGGCAGGTGGGTAGGAGGAGACCTGGGAAACAGGATCGGCTGGGGCTGTGAGCCCCCTCTCTTCTCCTTCGCAACAGGACACTGGACCTGCAGGAGCAGCTGCAGTCTCTGCGCAGGGAGCTGGAACAGGTGGCTCAGAAGGGGCGAGCCAGACGGTCTCAGAGTGCCGAGCTGAACAGGGATTTATGCAAAGCCCACAGGTAGGACTGTTCTGCATCCCCCCAATCCCCCTGGCACCATCCCCCACCAGGATATCAGAAGTATCCCTGGCTGTCTCTGGGCCTTAGCATTCCCCACTGCCCCAAGATAGGCAGTAACGGTCAGGTGTGGTGGCTCACACCTGTAATCCCAGCATGTTGGGAGGCTGAGGCCAGCAGATCACTTGAGGTCAGGAGTTTGAGACCAGCCTGGCCAACGTGGTGAAACCCCATCTCTACTAAAAATACAAAAATTAGCTAGGCGTCTTTGCACGTGCCTGTAATTCCAGCTACTTGAGAGACAGGAGAATTGCTTAAACCCAGGAGGTGGAGGTTGTGGTGAGCAGAGATCACACCACTGCACTCCAGCTTGGGTGACAGAGCAAGACTCTGTCTAAAAAAAAAAAAAAAAAAACAACAGGCTGGGCCAGGCGCAGTGGCTCACGCCTGAAATCCCAGCACTTTGGGAGGCCAAGGTGGGCAGATCACCTGAGGTCGGGAGTTCGAGACCAGCCTGACCAACATGGAGAAACCCCATCTCTACTAAAAATACAAAATTAGCCAGGCGTGGTGGCGCATGCCTGTGATCCCAGCTACTCGGTAGGCTGAGGCAGGAGAATCGCTTGAACCCGGGAGGCAGAGGTTGCAGTGAGCCGAGATTGTGCCATTGCACTCCAGCCTGGGCAACAAGAGCGAAACCCCATCTCAAAAAACAACAACAAGAAAAAACAGGCTGGGCATGGTGGCTCACGCCTGTAATCCCAGCACTTTGGGAGGCTGAGGCAGGCGGATCACCTGAGGTCAGGAGTTCAAGACCAGTCTGGGCAACATGGTCAAACCCTGTCTCTATTAAAAAATACAAAAAAATTAGCTGGGCGTGGTGGTGGGCGCCTGTAATCCCAGCTACTTGGGAGGCTAAGGCAGGAGAATCACTTGAACCCTCGAGGCAGAGGTTGTAGTGAGGGGAGATCTTACCATTGCACTCCAGCCTGGGTGACAAGCGCGAAATTCTGTCTCAAACAACAACAACAACAACAACAAAAGACCAGCTAGCTGGGACCCTTGGAGACCCAATGTGAAAGAGCCCCCATTCTGGGAGTGGGAGTACACGGCCCTTGCCTTGGGTGGACTCGGGGGCTGTTTCCTGACCCAGCCACCCACCCCTTCCAGCGCCCTGGTCCTGGCCTTCCGAGGAGCCCACCGGAAGCAGGAAGAGCAACGCCGGAAGTTGGAGCAGCAGATGGCACTCATGGAGGCTCAGCAGGCCGAGGAGGTGGCGGTGCTCGAAGCCACTGCAAGGGCCCTGGGGAAGCCCAGGCCTCCCCTCCCGCCTCCCCAGCTTGGGGACACCTTTCTGTAGGCCCCTTACCCAGCCATGTCTGGACATGCCAGACAGCTGTGGCATGTCATAAACTGTCCTGGAGTGACATCATGTCATGTTGCATGATTTGGCATGTTGGGGCACATTTGGCGTGAGGGAAGCTGGTGCACATGGGTGTCCAGGGCCTGATGGGGTGTGGCCAGGCAATGAAGAAAGACTCAGGTGTCTTTGGCCTGGCACCAAGTGGAATGTGAACTTCATATCAGTGGGGTCAGGCCAGAAGCAACCTGGGCTATGGGACCAGGTCCCTGGGACTGACGCATTTCGGGGGTCCGTGAGGTTGCATAGCCACAGCTGAAGTTCCAACTGGCCTGTCTCCCGAAGCCCAGGGAGGGATTCATGGGGACTGGACAGAGCTTCTCCTGGCAGCCCCTTCCCAGGGAGATGCTGGGTTTGGCTGGCAGATTTTCCTGAAGGGGGCCGGGCTCAGTGGTGCACATCTGTAATCCCAGCATTTTGGGAGGCCAAGGTGGGTAGATCACTTGAGCCCAGGAGTTCAAGACCAGCCTGGGCAACATGGCAAAACCCCATTTCTACAAAAAAATACAAAAATTAGCCAGGCGTGGTGGCATGTGCCTATAAAGATATTTAGGAGGCTAAAGTGGGAGGGTAACTTGAGCTTGGGAAGTGGAGGTTGCAGTGAGCTGAGATCACGCCACTGCACTCCAGTCTGGGTCACAGAGTAAGACCTTGTCTCAAAAAAAAAAACAGGCCAGGCGTGGTGACTCATGCCTGTAATCCCAGCACTTTGGGAGGCTGAGGCGGGGAGGATCACCTGAGGTCAGGAGCTTGAGACCAGCTTGGCCAACATGGTGAAACCCCCGTCTCTACTAAAAATACAAAAATTGGCTGGGTGTTGTGGCACATGCCTGTAATCCCGGCTACTCGGGAGACTGAGGCAGGATAATTGCTTGAACCTGAGAGGCGGGGGTTGCAGTGAACCGAGATCGCGCCAACAACAAGATCGTGCCCGGGCAATAAGAGCAAAACTCTGTCTCTAAATAAATAAATAAAACACAAAACAAAACAAAAAGGAGGGAGACTGAAGCTGGAATGGTTCAGATTCAGGGTGTGGATGACGAGTTGCTACTAACTCAAAGCTAAGGTCAAGGGTTTCTGGACTCCATGTGGTCGAGCTTGCCTGTAATCCCAGTATCTCAGGAGGCCGAGGGAGGAGGACTGCTTGAGCCCAGGGGTTTAAGACCAGCCTAGGCAAAATAGGAGAGTCTGTCTCAAAAATAAATAAATAAAATAAGGTAAAGGGTTTCTGGGTGGGGGACAGGCATAGCAAAGGTAATAGTCTGGGACTCAGGGGGCGTTGTACTTCAAGAGAAACTCAGAATGAATGCCAATGGTGGCCAGTTCCAGCTTTCTCCTGGGGGCCCAGGAGCTGTGGGACGTGTCAGGTTAATAGCAGGCAATGAATTAGCATGTCATTTGCATAAGTCACATCTCCCTGCCCCTCCACACCAGGACTGGCTGAGTCTGGGAAAGGGGAGCTTGGAACGACCCAGCCAAGCTTGGATTAGTGGCCAGCTGTCCCCCTTCAGGGTGGCAGCTGAAACCCGAGACAGGGATTAGAAAGACTTTCATTCCCAGCCTTGGGGGCAGGTGCTCCAGGCCTCACCTGTGCAGGTGTGTTCACCGCCTCTCCCAGGGCAGGACCACGTCAGCCTGAGGTCAGCGCCAGTCAGCGGCCTGGACTTGAATCCAGTCAACCTGACCCCAGAAACAGAACAAGAAGTATGGTGGCGAGCACAGTCCCCTCCAGCGAGGGCTGGGGCTAGTCACCTTCCGACCCACACGCTGTCCCTGGACTTGGGCCAACTTTGAAGAAAGCAGGGAAATGGAGGCAGACCACCTTGCTCGTGTTGGGGTGGGGCAGAGAAGCTGAATTTCTTCCCTGTACCCTGCCGAGCCCCAGAGTCTAAGACCTGAGTTCCTGGTCCCACCAGGTTGCCTGTGGAGGGGCAAAGGGAGCCAAGGTCACATGTGGGAGGACGGAGACAGGTTCCCAGGCTGCCCCAGCAGGATCTGGCCATTCCCACGGGTGCCCCCTCAGCAGATGGGCCTAGGCCCCTTTGTCCCTGGTTTGCGGCCGCCGCAAGGTCAAATGTTACTGCAGGGCCGCGGGCAGGGGTCAGGGAGGCGGGGTAGAGCCTTGATCCACCCCCAGGCGGGCCCCAGGGGGCACAGGGGTGGCCAGGCTACTGGAAGGGGGTGGGGCAGCCTTTGGGACTGGAACTACTGGAGTTTCTGGGATCTGCGATGGTCTTTCTTCCCCCATCTCCCACCCAGCTCTCAGCTGCCTCGCAAGACTTGTCTCCCCCAAACCTAGTTCTTTGCTCCCTCCCCTTCACAATCCCCTCAAGATTCCTTGAGTCTTCTCTCCCTCTTCTTTTTTTTTTTTTTTTTGAGACAGGGTCTTGCTCACGCTGGAGTGGAGTGACGTGACGTGATTATAACCCACTGCAGCCTTGAACACCTGGGCTCAAGACGGGTCTCACTTTATTGCCCCGGCTGGTCTTGAACTCCTGGTCTCAAGAGATCCTCCTGACTTGGCCTCCCAAAGTGTTGGGATTACAGGCGTGAGCCACAGCGCCTGTCTCTCATCTAAATCTCTTTTCAATCCCTTCTGAGACCTCCACCCCAATGCTCCCCACCAAAGATCCTAGCAGGTCCAGGCAAGGGGCCTAGGATCCCTGCCCTCATCCCAAATTACCAGTCACATTCCCATGCAGCCTCAGAACCAAAGGGTCGTCTCTGCCCACCCACGCCTTCCTCTCTCCCAGCAGGGATTACATCAGGCTGTGGGCAGAACCCGACTCTAGACCTCGGGAAGTCCTTGCTCATGTCTAATCCTAGTCCTTCCTGCTTTTCGTGTTTACTAACGCCTCCTCCTCCACCTCCCAGGCAGCCAGAACGTCCCTGGAGCAGGTTGAGAGGCCCAGGGCTGGGTGTGCCTGGCTCTCCCAGAACCTCAGTTTCTTTTTAAGTGTTGTAAGATCTCTAAGAATCTTTCCCCCTACTCCAGGGAGGGCAATTCTTCAAGTCTCATCAGGGCTCTGGGAGGCAGAGGAGGGGGTGCGCAGAAGGCACTGTCCTGGCCAGAGCTCTCAGAGGCCCAGCTGCATGCTCTGGTGTCCAGCTCTGGGCTCAGGGCGGGGTGGGACCACAGTCTGGGTGGCTGGGGCTGCAAGACTCCGAGGTGAAAGGTCACTCCTGGAAGGGCTTGTCCAGCCGGTTAAAGGTTAACCTGCCCAGAGCCAGAGGCTCGCCAGCCCGGGCCTCGCATACAAAGGGTGCTTAATAAATGCTGGTCGGGCGGGCCCCAGCCCCGGTACTGGGGGATGGGGTGAGTTGGAGGTGGCGGCAGCTGCGAGGCTCCAGGGCGCCTGGAAGAGACATCTGCAGTCCAGCCGGCCGCCAGGCCAAGCCCTTTCTGCAAAGCACAGAAAGAAAAGGAAATTAAAAGGGAAAAAGGGGCAGGCCCCCAGACAGGGCATGCCTGTCGCCTCCAGCCGCGCGGGGCGGGTGGGCGCCCTGCCCCCGGAGGCCAGAAATTCTGCAGAGGGGCCCCCTGACCTCGCGGCCCCGGCCAGCCGGTCTCAGACCACAACATCCCTTCCCCCTGGAGATTCCGGGCACCAGGTGTTAACCCGAGCAGAGAAAGGGTGGGGTGGGGGTCAGACGCGGCGACTTTCTGGAAGAGGAAGCAAACACAATCTAGGGTGTGTGTGTGTGTGTGTGTGTGTGTGTGTGTGTGTGTGTCTGTCTGTCTCGCGCGCGCGTGTGTCTTGCGCAGGGGCGTACCCCCCCCCCGGGTGCCACTGGCCCCCCATCATTGCTTTGCCAGGAACTGTGGGGTGGGGAGAGGTTCCGAGGGGCGCCTCGAGGGTGATCGAGCGACCCAACGTCCAAGGCCAGAGGTGGAGGGGAGGGCCTTGGAGAGACATCTTGGCGAGGCTCAAGGAAGGGCAGAGGGCAGGCGCGGCTGAGGCTCCCGCCGCGGCCCGGCAGGGGTTAAGGCCCGAGCTGGGCGAGGGCGAGGGCGGGGGTGCGGGGGGAGGGGCAGAGGGAGGCGGGGGAGGGTCAGGCCCCGCGGCCCAGCGCTCGGCCCCCGTCCCTCCCGCCGGCCCGTTCGCCCGGCGCCGCGCGCGGCCACCCATGCCCTTATAAGGGCGGCCGTCGCCGGGGCAACGAGCGCCCGCCCCCAGCCCGCGGCGCGCGCCCCTGCCCCCGCCCCCGCCCCCCGCCCGCCCCGCGAATGGAACGCTGTGTGTCAAACCGGCCGCAGCGCGAGGCCGGCGCGCGGGGTCGGTGGCGGTGGCGGCGGCGAGAGCGAGGCTTGGGCCCAGGCGCAGGCCCAGGCCAGGCAGGAGCGGCCGCAGCGGGGGCGGCAGCTCCAGAGGCGCCGGCCCAGCGGCCCTGCAGGCCCGGAGCGGCAGCCGCGGGCGCCGGGGGACCCAGGGGGCGCGGCGATCAGCCCCGGCGCGCACCCGCCGCCCCTCCCCCCCCGCCACGGGCGGCCGCGCAACTTGCGGCCAAACTTTCCCCCCGGCCTCCCGCGCTCGGATGGCGGCCCGCTGAGTTGGCCGCAGCCCCCGGGCGAGCGGCGGCCAGGCCAGAGGACGCCCCCTGCGCGGCTCGGGCCGGGCCATGGCCCGCGCGCCCCCGCCGGGGCCCCAGGGCGGCGGGACGCGAGTCCTCTGGGCCCCCGGCCCGCGCCTCTAGCGTGCCCCTCCCGGCCCCGGGCCCGGCCCCGCGCACGCGTGGGAAAGTTGGCCTGGAACCGGCCCGACCAGTTCCGCCCGGGCGCGAGGACCGGCCGCAGGAAGTTGCTGCAAAACTTTTTTGGGGGGTGCAGCCCGTGCCCCCCGCGCGCCGGGGCCGAATGCGCGCCGCGTAGGGTCCCCCGGGCCGAGAGGGGTGCCCGGAGGGAAGAGCGCGGTGGGGGCGCCCCGGCCCCGCTGCCCTGGGGCTATGGCCATGGTGACCGGCGGCTGGGGCGGCCCCGGCGGCGACACGAACGGCGTGGACAAGGCGGGCGGCTACCCGCGCGCGGCCGAGGACGACTCGGCCTCGCCCCCCGGTGCCGCCAGCGACGCCGAGCCGGGCGACGAGGAGCGGCCGGGGCTGCAGGTGGACTGCGTGGTGTGCGGGGACAAGTCGAGCGGCAAGCATTACGGTGTCTTCACCTGCGAGGGCTGCAAGAGCTTTTTCAAGCGAAGCATCCGCCGCAACCTCAGCTACACCTGCCGGTGAGCCCCCCATCCGCGCGCCGCCGCCGTGCACCCCGCCCCGACCTGGGGCAGGCCTCTGACCTGCTCGGTCACCTTGGGCCTGGCGCTGACCTTCCCTGGGCCTCCACTGCCCCCTCTGAGATAGGGGCACAGCACCCTCCTCCCGCATTCCATGGCTGGGATTGTGTATACAGTCGGCGCTACATCGTTGCAGGTTCCCCCCCCATCAGGTGGTCCCTGGAGGCTTTTGCCCCAGTTACTTGCTTCTCCTTCCCTCCGCTTTTTCTCTGGGGAGGGGTCATCTCCGCGCTGGGGTGGGGGTAGGGGTGCTGTCAGGGGTGGTAACCCAACCCCAGGGCACCCGTTCTCGGGGATCCCGGCGCGCGGGATGCCCTCGAGGGAATCGAACGTGGAACTTGGACCGTGGAGCTCGCAGCGTCCAGGGGCCATTGTCTGCGGCCGCGCGGATCGATACGGCGCGCCCTTGGGGTCAAATATCACTTCCAAAGTCGCTGTGGCTACGGAGGCGGCAGACGGAGGGAGGCTGGGGTGGCACGGGGCGGCCTTCTTCGCATGAGGGGCCCAGCGGTGGGGGTGGGGGTGGGAGCTGGGCTTGCCCATCTCAGGGAACCCCTCTGGGCTCACTCTGGGCCTTGGGTCACCGGAAATCGCCACTGGAAGGCCGGCAGGGCCACCGGAATTGACTGAAACGTCCCTCTCCCCCAGGGGTGGGTGCAGACCTGGGGCTCCTGGAAAAATCCCTCAAACTTTGGGTGTCTCTGAGACGGGCAGGGAGTGAAACGTTTCCGAGCAGGAGCCTTGGGCTGTCCCAGGTCGGAGACCTCTCTGGCAGGGCGTGGCCTTGCTAGCTGTTCTGGCGGAAGGTCCCCAGGGAAAGCGATCGGGGTTGTCCAGCCCGGGAGTTCTTTTCTCACCGTTCCCGGGCGAGCATCCGATCTGTCCGTTTATAAGCCCCTACTCTGCACCCCAGGAACATGCAGGGTCTCTGTGGAGCCCGTCTAGACGGTCTCAGTTCCCAGCTGCCCAAAACAGAGGCCCAAAGGCCCAGAGAGAGGTCCTGGTGCCTGCTTTGCGTTGGACATGGAGGGACGCTGCCCGAGTTGGGGGCACTGTGGGGGAACTGTGGGGCTAGGGTGGGGACCGCTGAGTTCGGATCGGAGTGGCCCCAGGGAGAACGGCTGATGGAAGGCTTGTTGGCTGAGGCCACCAAATAGGGCCCCAGGTACCCGAGGGTGGAGTTTGGCCCCAGGTCCCGGGTCAGGGCTGGCCTGGTGTGGCCATGTGTGGCAGAGCTGCCTTGCTCCCTCCTCCAGCACAAAGTGGGCCACTAGACTTTGGCCTCATTCTTGCTGCTGGAAAACCGCCTGCTCTCTGGTCATATCTTTAGGGAGGGTAAGGGAGGGGGGCTCAGGCAGTTTTGGGGTCCCAGGAGCTTCCTGAGGGTGGTGTCAGGGAGCAGCAATTTTGGGTGGGGGGGGCCTTGCTTGGAGCTGACAGGTTTGTGCTGTGTCAGTTGTGTGACCTGGTGAAATCACCATTCCATTCTGAGCTTCAAATGGATTGAGCAGGGTCTCGCTGGGGCCCAGCCTGGGTAGTTTGATGCCAGCCCCTCCAGAGAGACCCCAGCTCCAAGTCTAGCTCCTGAGAAGCCCCCAGTCTGGAGGAGACACAGTGAGACAGATGCCCCAAGTCTGTGGGATCTGGGGTCCCAGGGAGAGAGCAGAGGCTCTGCCTGGAGGTCAGAGAGGGCTGCCTGGAGGAGGCTAGGGGACATGAGCCTTGAAGCATGGAGTTGGCAGGTGGAAGAAAGGCCACAGGGACATGCCAGAATGTGGTCCAGACAAAACACTTAGTGGCAGACTGGGGGAGCTGTGCTGTAAGAGGGGGACTGTGCAGCCATGGGAGAAGTCAGAGCTAGGTGGGCCTGAAATGCTGGCTGAGGGTAATGGGGAGCCATAGAGGGTGTGTGAGCAGGAGAGGGCTCTGATCAAATTGGACTGGAGGCCAGAAGCCCAGGGAGGAAGCTGAGTTGGGCCATGGGGTTGGGCAAAAAAGCTTGCACTCTTTAGGTGGGATAACAGGAAGAACTTAACTGTTTCCCTCCTTGGAGGGATGGATCTGTCCCAATTCCACAGCTGGGGAAGTTGAGACTGAAGGTTCAGGGCCTCCCCTGAGGTCAGGGGCCCCTGAGCTGGGCCTCTGCCTGCCTGCAGGGCCGCCCCAGGCCAGGCCGTTTCCACCCGGCTGCCCTGGACCCTCCCACCACCCAGCCGCTGGGCTTTGTTCTGGTTCTGCCTGAGCTCCCTCTGCCCTAGTGGGGCCTCTTCCCAGGGGCTCAGTGGCTGGTGCTGCAGGACCCAGGCAGTGGTGGAGGGGGGGTACGGGGGAGTGGGCGCAGATCCTCAGCTTTCCTAAGTTGGGTTCTCCGGCTGGGCTCTGGGTCTTGGCACTGTCCCCCGTGAACCCCTCTGACCCAGTCCATCCCATATGATAGGGCAATATCTGACCTCCCATTTTCAGATGAGGAAACCGAGGCTCAGTGGGGCAGTCGCCACCTGAGGGGCAGGGCTGGGTATCTGCAGCTGAGATTCATCTGTTTTGTTTTGTTTTGTTTTGTTTTTGAGACGGAGTTTCACTCTTGTTGCCCAGGCTGGAGTGCGATGGCGTGATCTCAACTCACTGCAACCTCTGCCTCCCGGGTTCAAGCGGTTCTCCTGCCTCAGCCTCCCAAATAGCTGGGATTACAGGCATGCGCCACCATGCCCGGCTAATTTTGTATTTTTAGTAGAGACAGGTTTTCTCTATGTTGTTCAGGCTGGTCTCAAACTCCCAACCTCAGGTGATCCGCCCGCCTCGGCCTCCCAAAGTGCTGGGATTACAGGCATGAGCCACTGCACCCAGCCTTTTTTTTTTTCTTTTTTTTTGAGACAGAGTCTCACTCTGTCACCCTGGCTGGAATGCAGTGGGTCAATCTTGGCTCACTGCAACCTCCACCTCCCCAGTTCAAGCGATTCTCCTTCCTCAGCCTGCCAAGTAGCTGGGATTACAGGCATGCGCCACCACGCCCAGCTCATTTTTGTATTTTTAGTAGAGACGGGGTTTCACCATGTTGGCCAGGCTGGTCTTGAACTGACCTCAGGTGATCCACCCTCCCCCGCCTCCCAAAGTGCTGGGATTACAGGCGTGAGCCACTGCAGAGATGCATCTGTTTAATTCCCTTAAGTGGTGGTTCTACTCTGTGACTGTCTCTGTGTGTCCCCTGGGTGTCCAGCTGGAACCCCAGGGGTAGTTGCTCCAGGCCCAGGCCTTGGAGAGCCCCCAGCTCCTGGTGGCAAGAGACCAGGGGAGTCCAAGGGCAGGGGCCAAGGGGAGAAGGTTCTGGGGACATTTGAAGAATAAGGCCTGGACCTTCCTGCTTGGGGGCTGACCCAGGATGGGGAGCTCACCACCTCTCAGGGTGGGGCCACCTGTCTCATCCCTGCAAGAGGCAACGGCATTCACTGAGGGCTGACCAGGAAAATCTCCAGCTTGCATAGGGGTTGGGTGGTCCTCTCGGAAGAGCGTAGGTGTGGGGCCTTCAGGGCTGAGGACCAGAGTGACTTTGTTTACTTCCTCATTCCTTGGGGTGGGCATTGTGCGGGTGATAATGCTGGGGCCCCACAATGCTATGACCCCACAGACCACTAGCCCCTGGCCTGACCCCTAGTTAATTCACAAAGTCCAGCTCTCTGACCATGTCCTCTTTGCCTTCACATCTTTTTGGGGACAATGACCCTGCTCAGCCTGACAGTGACCAAATAAAATGAAACTCTTTAGGCCTCCATATTTGTGTATTTCAACCCTTTTGCTCTGGCTGTACCCTCTCTCTGGGATCACCCCGCCATTCACCTGGAGAACTCCTATTCATCCTTCAAAACCCATGCCAATGTGCCCTCCCTGGGGTGTTCATCTGCTTTTCCACAGATTCCTCTTCATCCATCACCACTCATCCGGGTTATCCTGTCTGGTTTGCAGACCTGCAAGCTGAGCTCCTGTACCCCTTTGGGGCTACCTCTCCAGTCTAGAGGGCCCCTACTAGTATTTCTGAGGGGCAGCCTCCAAAGGCGGCTCATAGGCTGGTTCGGGGAGGAGGATATGGGGGTCTCAGGGAGCCCTGGCTTCTGTGTGCCCCCAGGTCCAACCGTGACTGCCAGATCGACCAGCACCACCGGAACCAGTGCCAGTACTGCCGTCTCAAGAAGTGCTTCCGGGTGGGCATGAGGAAGGAGGGTGAGTACGTGCTGGGGACACACTGGGGACGATCACAGCCGCTGGAGCCGGGGTGAACAAACAGCTTCTTCCTCCCCTTTTTCCCCTCCCTTTCACCCCTCCCTTTCACAGGGGTCTGGGTGCCTCACAGGGTGGGGGCCGGCGCCTGCTAACCTCATTACCACTGATCCCTTGATCCCGTGGGCTGCAGTCTGGCCCTAGGCTGGAGGAATCCAATTAGGATCCGTGGCCCCCTGGTTGCTGCCGTGGAGCTGAAGAGGCCAGGGACGCCCCACAAGGGACTTTCCCCAGCCCCATTCTCTTGCAGGAGCTGCCTTCCCCAATTACCCCCGACTCCAGCCTCAGAGGCCAGTTCCCTGGCCCTGACACCTTGGTGACCTCTTGTCTGCTAGCGCGGCCACCGCGTTCTGAACAAGGATTTTTTTTTTTATTTGATTTGTTTCTCCTCCACCCTTCACCCATGCTTTTTGTTTGCCCAAGGCAGGAACTCTGCCCGATTAAGGCAAAGGGCAGCTTACCCTTTCTTCTGACCCCGGGCGCTGGGAGCAAGAGTGAGGCCCAGCTGTCTCTGCTCAGGGGACCCAGGTGGACGGGCGTATTCTGGGCTGCTGGGCCTAGAACTCTGCCAAACCCCCTTAGAATTCAAGTAGAACCCAGAGATTTCTGCATGGATTTCTGGGGTTCAGGAATAGAATCTAGCCTATTGGACGAGATCTCCTGTGCTGGGTTTCAGGTTCCTCTGGGGACTGTGTCGTGGGCCAGGCTGGCAGTTCTTTCTAATGTCTAACCTGAGCCTCCCCTGCTTTGAAGTTTTTTTTTCCTTATTTTCTTTATTTATTTTTATTTTTATTTGAGATGGAGTCTCGCTCCATCTTCCAGGCTGGAGTGCAGTGGTGTGATCTCAGCTCACTGCAGCCTCCGCCTCCCGGGTTCAAGTGATTGTCCTGCCTCAGCCTCCCGAGTAGCTGGGACTACAGATACGGGCCAACACGCCCAGCTAATTTTTTTTTTTTTTCTGAGACTGAGTCTTGCTCTGTCGCCCAGGCTGGAGTGCAGTGGCATGATCTCGGCTCACTGCAGGCTCCGCCCCCTGGGTTCACGCCATTCTCCTGCCTCAGCCTCCGGAGTAGCTGGGACTACAGGCGCCTGCCATCTCGCCCGGATATTTTTGTATTTTTAGTAGAGACGGGGTTTCACCATGTTAGCCAGGATGGTCTCGATCTCCTGACCTCGTGATCTGCCTGCCTCAGCCTCCCAAAGTGCTGGGATTACAGGCGTAAGCCACCGCGCCCGGCACGCCCACCTAATTTTTGTATTTTGTTTTGTTTTGTTTTTGAGACAGAGTCTCGCTCTGTTGCCAGGCTGGAGTGCTGTGGTGCCATCTCGGCTCACTGCAACCTCTGACTCCCTGGTTCAAGCGATTCTCCTGCCTCAGCCTCCTGAGTAGCTGGGATTACAGGCACATGCCACCACGCCCAGCTAATTTTTGTATTTTTAATAGAGATGGAGTTTCACTATGTTGGCCAGGATGGTCTCGATCTCCTGATCTCGTGATCTGCCCGCCTCGGCCTCCCAAAGTGTTGGGATTACAGGCGTGAGTCACCGCGCCTGGCCTAATTTTTGTATTTTTAATAGAGATGGTGTTTCACCGTGTTGGCCAGGCTGGAGTCTCCAACTCCTGACCCCAGGTGATCCGCTCGCCTCAGCCTCCCAAAGTGCTCGGATTATAGGCATGAGCCACCCCACCCGGCAGCTTTTTTTATTTTCTAGAGACAGAGTCCCACTATGTTGCCCAGGCTGGTCTCGAACTCCTAGCTTGAAGCGACCCTCCCACCTTGGCCTCCCAAACTACTGGGATTACAGGAATGAGCCACCATACTTGGCGTAAAGCTGTTGTTTTTTGGTCTAGGCCTTGGTGGGAGAAGCTGAGAGAGGCAGCTGAGGGGCTTTCTTTTAAAACTGATCACTCCCTGTGGCCCTTTTAAGTTTGGGGGTAACTTTCTTGTCCCTGCCCCCATAACATGGATTTTGCCTCTACTTGTCTATTTTACCTAAAATCCTCATATATCTCAAGTCATGGCCTCAGAGCAAACAGCCTCGCCAGAAGTCTCCAAAAGCCTCGGGTGGAAATATTTATGATGACAGCTCATGCTTTAAGCACACCTGCCTCGGGTCCTTTGCACGGGCTCTTCCCTCTGCCTGGAGTGCACTTTTTCCAGGTCCATACATGGCTCCCTCCCTAACCTTGCCTTCAAGGTTTGCTCAAACATCACCTCCTCAGGGAAGCCCTCCTGATCCCCCTGTATTTGACGCCACCTGTCTTGTTCTGTAATTTGCTTACACCCAGAATGTCCATTCCCTGTGGGCAGGTATTTTTGTCTGTCTTGTTCCCCAGCGCCTAGACCAGGGCTTGGTACACAGTAGGTGTTCAATAAATGGTCCTTGGCTTGAATTACCATGTAATTACCTTTCCTGTGTGGCAGGCATTATTTTAAGGTATAGATTCTCATTTAATTCAGTGATTGGTGACATCGTTTTTGAGACGGGGTCTCACTCTGTCTGGAGTGCAGTGGTGCGATCATAGCTCACTGCAGCCTTAAACTCCTGGGTTGAAGTGATTCTCCCACCTCAGCCTCCTGAGTAGCTGAGATTACAGGTGTTCGCTACCATGCTGGGCTAATTTCTTAATTTTTTGTAGAGACGGGGTCTCGCTATGTTGCCCAGGCTGGTCTCAAACTCCTGGGCTCAAGCGATCTTCCTGCCTCAGCCTCCCAAAGTGCTAGGCTTGCAAATGGGAGCCACTGTCTGCATTTTACAGATGAGGAAACTGAGGCACACAGCAGATTGGTGAGGCCATTTGTCAGAGAGCAACAGAGTTGTGATTGGGATTTGAACCTCCACAGTCTGGGCTGAAGAGCTGGGGAGGGGTTTGAGGAAGAGTGAACAGAAAGTGCAAAGGCCGGCCAGGCGTGGGGGCTCACGCCTGTAATCCCAGCACTTTGGGAGGCCGAGGTGGGCAGATCACGAGGTCAGGAGATTGAGACCATCCTGGCCAACATGGTGAAACCCCGTCTCTACTAAAAATACAAAAATTAGCCAGGCGTGGTGGCAGGTGCCTCTAATCCCAGCTACTCGGGAGGCTGAGGCAGGAGAATCACTCGAACCCCGGAGTCGGAGGCTGCAGTGAGCTGAGATTGTGCCACTGCACTCCAGCCTGGTGACAGAGCAGAACTCTATCTCAAAAAGAGAGAGAGAGAGAGGGAGAGAGAGAGAGAGGAAGAAAGGAAAGGAAAGAAGGGAGGGAGGGAGGGAAAAAAGAAAAAGAAAAAGTTCAAAGGCCCTGGGGTGGGAATGTGGCCATGTGAGGGAGTGGTGGTTGCTCACAACCCAGTGAACAAAGCGGGAGGAAGCTTCCTGGAGGACCGGGGAACCACTTTTGGGCCCCATCCACCTATCCCCATTTGACAGTTGACTCAGACTCAGGGACCCCTTGGAGCGGGCTTCAACCCATGCCCTGGCTTCTCCGCTTAGCTCTGTTCGCCCCTGGCTTCTGCTCGCGTTCCCCTCCGGTGTTTGCTCTACACAGAGTTGACCTGGAGTTCACGGAGGTGATGAGATGGGGCATGCCAGCTCATTAAAGCTCATTAATTAGTCTGCTGGCAACCAGCCCAGTCAGCCCTGCCATCCCGCCCACCCCGGCACAAGCCAGGCAGGCACATGGCCAACTCTCTTCCTCTTCATGCCTCAGTTTCCCTTTTCTCACCCACCTGGTCACTGCAGACGTGCCCAAGCCAGCAGCAGGGCCTCCCCGCTTCATAAGCAAGGCTACTGATGGCGGCTAATGTTTACTGAGGACCTATGGCAGCCCCCCTGGGACCCCTCCTTACTGTAGGTCCCCCCCAACCCTTCCCTGCACTGTAGCCTCTGCAGGGACCCAGACCGGCCCTCAGGGGTCACCATCTGGTGGGGAGGGGGATGGAAGGTAGAGAAATGATCCCTGTTCCATAGGAGAGAGCCAGTGCTGGGTGGGTATTGATCTGTTGCTTTGGGGACCAAGCTGGCCAGGGTCCCCAAGTCCTCCATGGCCCATCCTCAGCTCTGGGAACCCCATGACTATCTGTTAGGAGGCTCCAAAAGGTTTATTAGATGCTCCTCCTTGT
The DNA here is from genome assembly GCF_000001405.40 of Homo sapiens. Classification (NCBI taxonomy): domain Eukaryota; kingdom Metazoa; phylum Chordata; class Mammalia; order Primates; family Hominidae; genus Homo; species Homo sapiens. Next base: position 17,236,510 of record NC_000019.10, on the reverse strand, counting down.
CCCCAGGAGCTGGGGGTGGGGGGTGGTGGCTGGACCTAGACAGGGACTCCTGGACTCTTACTTTCTAACCAGCCTGGCGCCCATGGGGTGGGGTTGGGCATTCTGGGAAAGGCTGGGCCTGGAGGCTTTGGAGGGGAGGGCCTGAGTGACCCCTTGATGACTTTTGTCTCCCTTTCCCGTTATTCTCCCTACCTGCCCCCCCCCACCTGCCCCCCACCCCATGTCTCTATGGGCACCTACTTGGCCCCTCATCCCCCCTCTTCCGGCCCTCTCCTCTCTACCCCTCGCTTCCCTTCCTGTCTCTCCAATCTCCTCTCCTCCCGGCCTTCTGTGCCCCGCCCTCCCCTCCCCCATCTCCTGTCCCTCCCCCGTTTCCTGCTGCCCGCCCCCCCCCCCCCCGCCTCCCCTCCCGCCCCCATGTCCCTCCTGTCCCCGCCTCCCGCAGCGGTGCAGCGCGGCCGCATCCCGCACTCGCTGCCTGGTGCCGTGGCCGCCTCCTCGGGCAGCCCCCCGGGCTCGGCGCTGGCGGCAGTGGCGAGCGGCGGAGACCTCTTCCCGGGGCAGCCGGTGTCCGAACTGATCGCGCAGCTGCTGCGCGCTGAGCCCTACCCTGCGGCGGCCGGACGCTTCGGCGCAGGGGGCGGCGCGGCGGGCGCGGTGCTGGGCATCGACAACGTGTGCGAGCTGGCGGCGCGGCTGCTCTTCAGCACCGTGGAGTGGGCGCGCCACGCGCCCTTCTTCCCCGAGCTGCCGGTGGCCGACCAGGTGGCGCTGCTGCGCCTGAGCTGGAGCGAGCTCTTCGTGCTGAACGCGGCGCAGGCGGCGCTGCCCCTGCACACGGCGCCGCTACTGGCCGCCGCCGGCCTCCACGCCGCGCCTATGGCCGCCGAGCGCGCCGTGGCTTTCATGGACCAGGTGCGCGCCTTCCAGGAGCAGGTGGACAAGCTGGGCCGCCTGCAGGTCGACTCGGCCGAGTATGGCTGCCTCAAGGCCATCGCGCTCTTCACGCCCGGTGAGCCACGCTCCGAAGAGGGCCGCGGGATGGGGGGACCCAAGGGAGGTTAGGAGGAGGGCGGCCTGGACCCAGACTCCGGCCCCCATAGCGCCCCGCTCGCTCCCTAGGCCTGGGGCCCTGCACGCGCCGTGAGTGAACGCTCTTGGGTGGCTGTAGAGGGGTGATGTAAGCAGTGTGACACTGTGACACCCCCACTCCGTGATCCCAGGACTCTCGGAGAACTCTGAACCCCGGACCCCAGACCCAAGGCTGGGCCAGGACCAGGGCCCAGACCCCAGAACCCTCTTCCTGTTCCCAGGCTCCCTGAGACCCCTACTCCCTCACCAAAGGGCTCTTCAGGCTTAGTGAGCACTGATAGCACAAGGTTGGGGGGACGTGGGAGGGAAGGTCCTGACCCCCTGGTTCTGGCCCCCTCAGGCCCCCACTGGGCTCCCAGGGCAACCTCCAGGTAGCCAGGGTTGTAGGGATCTGGGTAGGGGCGTGGCTCGGAGGCCCCTCCCGTTGAGGGGCGGGGCAACCCCAGAACTTTCTTAACCATCAGCTATCTAGCAGTGGTAGCCCATCGTATTCCAGCGACTGGCGGTACAGCCAAATTTTTTTTTTCCACTTTATTTTTTTATTTGTATTTCCATTTTTTGAGACTGGGTCTCACCCTGTCACCCAGGCTGGAGTGCAGTTGTCCGAACACGGTTCACTGCAGCCTTGATCTCCAGGGCTCAAGCAATCCTCCCTCACACTTCAGCCTCTTGAGTAGCTGGGACCACAGGCGTGCACCACCATTCCCGGCTAATTTTTTTTTAAACGTTTTCTGTAGAGACGTGGTCTCACCGTGTTGCCTAGGCTGGTCTTGAGCTTCTGGGCGCAACCAGTCCTGCCTCAGCCACCCAAAGTGCTAGGATTACAGGCATAAGCCACCATGCCTTTAGACAAAGATCTCTCCAGCCTGTCTCCTGGGAGTTCTTTAACCTACTGGAAGTCTCTAGATCCCATCAGAGGTATCTTTGGGGCTAGGAACCAGATCCAGGCTACTCTGGGAGGTGGCTTTCATTTGATAAATATGGTTTTGGGCCTGCAAGGTGGCTCAGGCCTGTAATCACCGCACTTTAGGAAGCAGAGTTGGGAGAACCACTTGAGCCCAGGAGTTCGAGGCTCCAGTGAGCTCTGATTTTCCCACTGCACTTGAGCCTGCGCAACAGAGTGAGACCGCGTCTCAAAAATCAATAAATATGGCTTTATTTATTGTTTTCCCAGAAGATTTTTTTTTTTTTTTTTTGAGACGGAGTCTTACTCCGTCGCCCAGGCTGGAGTGCAGTAGCACGATCTCGGCTCACTGCAACCTCCGCCTCCCTGGTTCAAGCTATTCTCCTGCCTCAGCCTCCTGAGTAGCTGGGATTACAGGCACGCGTCACCACGCCTGGCTAATTTTTGTGTTTTTAGTAGAGACGGGGTTTCATCATGTTGGTCAGGCTGATCTCGAACTCCTGACCTCATGATCTGCCCGCCTCAGCCTCCCAAAGTGCTGGGATTACAGGCGTGAGCCACCGCGCCTGGCCTTCCCAGATTTCTTCTTGGCTTCCTATCTTGGGTCTCTCTCTAGAGGCTGCCACATTCTCTCACACCGTAGGCCCTTCTGGGCTCTGTCTTCCTCATCAAATTCCCTTCCCAGCCCCACCTTCCCTGCGAGCTTCCTTAGAACCCATCTCCTTGGCCTGGCTGGTGGCCCTGTAATCCCAGCACTTTGGGAGGCCGAGGTGGGGAGATTGCTTGAGGTCAGGAGTTCAAGACCAGCCTGGCCAACACAGCAAAACCCGTCTCTACTAAAAATACAAAAATTAGCTAGGCGTGGTGGAGTGTGCCTGTAATGCCAGCTACTTGTGAGGCTGCGGCAGGAGAATCACTTGAACCCGGAGGCAGAGGTTGCAGTGAGATCGTGCCACTACACTTCAGCCTGGGCGACAGTGTGAGACTCTATCTTAAAGAAAAAAAAATTAGAACCTGTCTCCCTGCCAAAGGCATGAGTTGGGTGCCAGCCACCCTTGAAACATCACTGCCTGCACCCCTATGTCACTGGTTAGATGAGAACACCTCACTATCTCTGGAGGATCGACACAGTCTTAGATAGTCCCATTTGCATCCCAGGGTCGTTTTTTGTTTTGTTTTGTTTTGTTTTGTTTTGTTTTGTTTGAGACAGGGTCTTATTACTCTGTCGCCCAGGCTGTGCTATGATCATGGATCACTGTAGCCTCAAACTCCTAGGCTCAAGAGATCCTCCCACCTCAGCCTCTTGAGGAGCTGGGACTACAAGCGTGTGCCATCACACTGGACTAATTTTTATTTTTTATTTATTTTGAGACAGGGTCTCCCTCTGTTGCCCAGGCTGGAGTGCAGTGGCACGATCTCGGCTCACTGCAACCTCCGCCTCCCAGGCTCAAGCGATCCTCCCATTAGCCTTCCGAGTAGCTGGAACTGCAGGCACGCACTACCATGCCTGGCTAATTATTCTTATTTTTAGTAGAGACGGAATATCATCATGTTGGCCAGGCTGGTCTTGAACTCCTGACCTCAAGTGATCCACCTGCCTCAGCCTCCCAAAGTGCTGGGATTACAGGCGTGAGCTACTGTGCCCAGCCCCAGCTGATTTGTTTTTGCAGAGAAGGGATCATACTATGTTGCCCTGGCTGGTCTCAAATCCTGGCCTTAAATGATGCTTCTGCCTTGGCCTCCCAAAGTGCTGGGACTGTGGCCGTGAGCCATCATGCCCGGCCCCCTGTTCTTACCCACAGTGGCGAGTGGTGTCCCCTAGTCACCCCTGTGGGCTCTGTGTTCTCTAGCTGCCTCCCACCTGTCTGACTTGCCTTTGTCCCCCTAGACGCCTGTGGCCTCTCAGACCCGGCCCACGTTGAGAGCCTGCAGGAGAAGGCGCAGGTGGCCCTCACCGAGTATGTGCGGGCGCAGTACCCGTCCCAGCCCCAGCGCTTCGGGCGCCTGCTGCTGCGGCTCCCCGCCCTGCGCGCGGTCCCTGCCTCCCTCATCTCCCAGCTGTTCTTCATGCGCCTGGTGGGGAAGACGCCCATTGAGACACTGATCAGAGACATGCTGCTGTCGGGGAGTACCTTCAACTGGCCCTACGGCTCGGGCCAGTGACCATGACGGGGCCACGTGTGCTGTGGCCAGGCCTGCAGACAGACCTCAAGGGACAGGGAATGCTGAGGCCTCGAGGGGCCTCCCGGGGCCCAGGACTCTGGCTTCTCTCCTCAGACTTCTATTTTTTAAAGACTGTGAAATGTTTGTCTTTTCTGTTTTTTAAATGATCATGAAACCAAAAAGAGACTGATCATCCAGGCCTCAGCCTCATCCTCCCCAGGACCCCTGTCCAGGATGGAGGGTCCAATCCTAGGACAGCCTTGTTCCTCAGCACCCCTAGCATGAACTTGTGGGATGGTGGGGTTGGCTTCCCTGGCATGATGGACAAAGGCCTGGCGTCGGCCAGAGGGGCTGCTCCAGTGGGCAGGGGTAGCTAGCGTGTGCCAGGCAGATCCTCTGGACACGTAACCTATGTCAGACACTACATGATGACTCAAGGCCAATAATAAAGACATTTCCTACCTGCACAGCCTCCCTGGTCTTTATTTTTATTTTTTATTTTTGAGACGGAGTCCTACTTCGTCACCCAGGCTGGAGTGCAGTGGCGTGATCTTGGCTCACTGTAACCTCTGCCTCACAGGTTCAAGCGATTCTCCTGCCTCAGCCTCCCCAGTAGCTGGAACTACAGGCACCCACCACGATGCCCAGCTAATTTTATTTTTGGTAGAGATGGGGTTTCACCATGTTGACCAGGTTGGTCTCGAACTCCTGACCTCAGGTGATGCACCTGAGGCCTCCAAAAGTGGATTACAAGCGTGAGCCACTGTGCCTAGCCTCACTTACTTTCTTTTGGTCAACCTTAATCTTTTTTTTTTTTTTTTTTTTTTTTTTTGAGATGGAGTTTCGCTGTTTCACCTGGGCTGGAGTGCAGTGGTGCAATCTTGGCTCAGTGCAACCTCTGCCTCCCGAGTTGGAGCAATTCTCCTGCCTCAGCCTCCTGAGTAGTTGGGATTACAGGTGCGCACCACCACGTTCAGCTGATTTTTGTACCTTAACTAGAGGGGTTTTGCCATGTTGGCCAGGCTGGTCTCGAACTCCTGACAGGTGATCCACCTGCCTTGGCCTCCCAAAGTGGTGTGATTATAGGCATGAGCTGCCGGGCCCTTAATCTTGTTTGGGCTCCAATGTCCTTGGGAGAAACCTCTGGGGCCAGTCCTGTCACATGATGTAAGGCGAGCCAATCAGAGACCACCATTCCCTGGGCCACAGCAACTGGTTTATGGAGGCCCTGGGATGCCAAACTAGCCAGTGAGATTGCACGGTGGGATTTGGAACTGGGAGAATCTAATTAAAGCAGAGCCAAGGATGGAAGATCAATTTCCCAAGATGCCTTTGGAGCCCCAGATCAAGCCATACCTGAAACCCTTGGGTGTTTTAAGTTCTGTGAACTCAGTCTCCCCCCTTTTGTGCCTGAGTCAATCTGACTTCAGTTTTTTTTCTCACATGGAACTAAAAATCTGTTTCAGAGATTGACGTTTGGGAGTCAGGCACCTACAAGGCCAAGACTTTGAAATGTGGGCTTCACTGGGTTGATACGGAATCATGTGGGGTACCAGGGACTCTCCCGTCCCAGCCTCGGGAGTGTGTGGCACAGCTCTGTGGTGGGAAAGGCACCTGTGGAATTCAGCACCAGAGCTGTAGGGCAGAGAGAAAGGGCCCGAATGGTGGTGGGGGTGGCACCTCTCACTGATGTCCTTCTGTAGCCAGGCGTGGTGGCAGGAGCCTGTAATCCCAGCTACTCGGGAGACTCAGGCACGAGAATCACTTGAACCTGGAAGGCGGAGGTTGCAGTGAGCTGAGATCGCACCACTACACTCCACTCTGGGCAACAGAGGAAGACTGTCTGAAAAAAAAAAAAAAAAGAAAGATGCCCTCCTGAAAACAGCAAGGGAAGAAGTCAAGTCTGTCACGCTGCCTGCTGGGCCAGTGCTCAGCTCTTAAGCAGCCCCAGTTTGCCAAAATGCTCCCTAGTCTCCCCATGTCCATCTTGAAGAAAGCCTTGGAAGACGAGAGATTAGGCCCCTCCTGTGGAGTCAGTGAGGGTTTCTTGTGGGCACGTTCCCAGAAGGGAACTGAGGCAGGGGCGGGATGGAGAGGACACCAGGTTCTCGTTGAAGGCTGCACTGGGTTTTGCATTAGGTCAGGGTCTCTCCATGGTGTCCTGTGAGTGAGTGGGTCCATGTCTACTCCAGTCAAACTGGACAGCAAGGTCTCATTTATCCAATGCACAGGACATCTGAGGGTTGAGTGAGACCATGGTGTCTGTCCTGCTGTTTGGCCCCAGGCCAGAGATCTGGATGTCTGTCCAAGGCCTGACTGCTGAACTCCTACTTTTCCTACAAAACCCTACCCACATGGCCCTTCCTGCGGGAAGAGATCTTGAGCCTCCCTGGCTATTAAGACTCTGCTGTGCAGCCTTCTTTTACTGGACTCAGGGCTATCTTCCCCAGACTAGGGCCTTCTTGAGGACAATCGTGGTGGCCCAGTGGTTGACGCTGTCTCCCCTGCATGTAGTTGGTCTTCCTGGTTGCTTCTTGCCCCTGTGGCTCCCTTGGGAGACTGAAACTCAGAGGACAGCTTCTGGTCTGCTGTTACATGGCTCCCACAGGGAGACTGGCCCCACCTGTGCCCCACCCATCACAGCTAGGGCCTGGGATGGGTCAGACACTGGAAGAGCCTCCCCCTAGGCCATGCATATGGACCGTGCCCACACACTGGGGTCAGTTGCTGTCCTGAAGTGCCCAGGGAGACACAGAGAGTGAAGAATCCAGCTGGACGTGGTGGCTCATGCCTGTAACCCCAGCACTTTTGGAGGCTGAGGTGGGCGGATCACTTGAGGTCAGGAGTTCCAGTCCAGCCTGGCCAACATGGTGAAACCCCGTCTCTACTAAAAATATGAAAATTAGTTGGGCATGGTGGCAGGTGTCTGTAATCCCAGCTACTTGGGAGGCTGAGGCAGGAGAATCACTTGAACCGGGGAGGCGGAGGTTGCAGTGAGCCAAGATCGTGCCACTGCACTCCAGCCTGGGCGACAGAGTGAGACACAGTCTCAAACAAAAACAAAAACAAAAAACAACTTTTTGTGTGTGTGACAACTGAGTGAAATCAGAAGTGTTAAGTAATTATACTCAGTAGGTGTCTAATACATGTTTATTTCACTGGGATGGAGAGCAGGCCCTACTTCCAGGGAACAGGTTGAGATCTGGAGTCCCTGTAGGGTCAGAGCTAGAGGACCCAGAGGAGGAAGTCCTGGAAGGCCTTCCTGGAGGAGGGGCTGTCAGAGCTGAGTCCAAACTGAAGAGGCATTTGCAATCCAGGAGAAAGCGACCCCTGGTAGGGGGAGCTGCAAGAGGAAAAGCTGAGAGATACCAAGAAATGCAAGGGACCTGCATCCCCATGCATCCCTCTGCCCATCTGCAGGGGCACTTAGAAGTACACGGAGCCCTCGCTGTCTCCTTGGTCATCGAATTTCTGGATCTGAGTCTTGAGATGCCTCAGTTTACCCTTCAGGTAGTGGCAGCGAGCCTGCTTGTCCAGGAAGCCAGGATCCTAGGCAGGGCGAGACCCGGAAGTCTTTGCAGCAGTCTGCCCTGTGGCCTTCAAGCTGCTTAACTCTCTGCCTTTCATTCTCCGAGCCTCAATTTTCTCTCCTTGAAACTGGGCACAGGCGACCGGGTGAGCCGGGCAAGGTGGCTCATGCCTGTAATCCCAGCAGTCTGGGAGGCCGAGGTGGGCGGATCACTTGAGGTCAGGAGTTCGAGACCAGCCTGGCCAACATGGTGAAACCCCATCTCTACTACAAATACAAAAATTTGCCAGGCACGGTGGTGGGCGCCTGTGATCCCAGCTGAGGCAGGAGAACCGCTTGAACCCGGGACGCTGAGGTTGCAGTGAGCTGAGATCATACCACTGCACTCCCGCCTGGGTGACAGAGCGAGATTCTGTCTCAAAAGAAAGAAAAAAAAAAGAAACTGGGCACAGGCACCCCAGCCTCACAGAAGTCTCAGGGGTGCAAGACCAAGCTGTGGGATGCAAGACTCACCATTCGCTTCATCTCAAACTCCCTCCAAACCCGGGCTGCAACTTGGGCCTCCTTCTGCAAGGGGAGGAGTAGAAAGGGGGTTTAGGGAGAGTTGAATTCAAGAAGGGATGAAGAAACTGAGGCTCAGACAGACTAAATGCCCATCTAGTGGGGACTTCAAGGGCTGACCTTAGCCATGTGTCACGGCGCCCAGCCAACCGAGAGGAGAAAGAGTCCTGGAAATCTGGACCCAGTGGGTGTCCCAGAGGCTTGGGTCGGGCCACTCAGAAGGGCTGCGGGGCAGGGCTTTCTCCCTAGTGCTGACCTGGCTTTGGGGTGGGGGCAGGGAGCTCAGCAGGGCCTCCAGCTGCCTGAGCTTTGCCTGTGCACACCCCACCTCGTGCTGGAGCTCCAAGAACTCTCCGTACTGGTCCTGGAACACTGCGACATAGCGGCTCCGTTCCCTCTCACTGCTCACTGGCGGGTACTTACTACCAGGTTGAAGAGGGTCAGAGTGTGAGTGTAAAGAACCCCACTCTTTCCCCCAGTCAGTGTAATTTGCTTTTCTTTGTCCATGCTGGGCCCCTACTAGAAACGTTCCTTTTCTCTCCCTCTTTTAATTTATTTATTATTATTTTTTGAGATAGAGTCTTGCTCTGTTGTCCAGGCTGGAGTGCAGTGTAGCGATCTCAGCTCACTGCAACCTCCACCTCCCGGGTTCAAGCAATTCTCCCACCTCAGCCTCTTCAGTAGCTGGGATTACAGGCATGCGCCACTATATCCAGCTAATTTTTGTGTTTTTAGTAGAGACGGGGTTTCACAATGTTGGCCGGGCTGGTCTCGAACTCCTGACCTCAGGTGATCCGCCTGCCTCAGCCTCCCAAAGTGCTGGGATTACAGGCATGAGCCACCGCGCCTCGCCTATTTATTTATTTATTTTCGGAGACGGGATCTCACTGTGTTGCCCAGGCTGGAGTGCAGTGGCTTATTCACAGGGACAATCCCACTACTGATCAGCAAGGGATCCTTTCCTTTCTACTCTTTGGTAAACTCTTATTCAACTATCAAAGCCCCAGCCTCAGTGCCCCTCTCCTGATCCCAGGCATGAAGAATCACATGGGGGACACTCACAGCTCATAGTCGGGCACTGGGTGGGGCCTAGGCTTATGCCCCTTAGGGATGGCTCCAATAGGCTTCTTGGCGCCCAGGAGGGCCTGGGAGAGCAACTCATCCTCAAACACAATCTTCTTGGTCTTTGCCTTGTGGGGTCCCGGCTGGGGCTGGCACGGAGGGCGGGGGGCGCTGGTTTTGAGGCCTCGGGGCGCCAGTCCCTGCAGCTGCCACAGGAATCGTGGTCTGGAGTTAAATCGGGGTGTCGGGAAACCGGAGTCCCTCAAACTGGAGGGGCTAAATCTTTTGCCTAGAGGCCCGGCCTGGGGACCCCCTCCCGGTCAGGCTCACCGGGGGCCCAGGCCCAGGCGGGTGAGTATGCAGGTGCCCCCGGGAGCCGCGAGTCTTTGGGGGCTCCCGGGTGGGCATCGGCCTCCGGGAGAAGCAGCTCAGGGGTTTCCGGGCTGATGGGCGGGTCCTGCGGGGGGCGTCGTGTCCCGCGCGCGGCGGGGGTGGTCTGCGGGCGGCCTGTGGGTGGACACGCGGAGAGGACACGCCTGACGACGCGCACGGAGAAAGGACGCGCGGGCAGCTCGGCCGAAGAGCGGCCAACTCTCACCCCGCGGGAGCAGAGTTCCCCAGAACGACCGCTATTTGCATAGACGCACGCGATTGGTCCGCAGCGACGTCCAGACCCCGCCCACGACTGCGCAACCCAAATAAGCGCTATGTAAATGAACTCTGACGTCGCCGCGCAGCCTGGGACCGGCTCGAGTTAACCCCCGCGCTGCCGGAGCCTCGACCTCCAGGGCGCGCAGAGCCCACAGACGACCGCGCCCGAGGAGCTCCTCGGGACCTCCGCCCCACCTGCAAGGCCGTCCGGCTCGCTACCGCCCCGGGTCACCTGTCCCAGCGTCTGGAGCTCCGAGCCTGGATCTGCTGTCGGAGAGGCACTTCCGTCCGGGTTGTGCATTTACTGCAGGATGGACCCGACTGGCGGGGTCGCTCAGCAGGGCTGGGGGCGGGGTCTGACGAAAGGGGGCTGGGCCTGACGGCCTGGGGGCGGGGCTGACCTGGCTGGGCGTGGCCACACACCTTCGAAACATGGTCGACTCCGACCTCGACCCTCAAGTTTGTCTGAAAAAACGGGATGGTTTTGCAAATTTAAACTTATTTATTTTTTTCAGCAATTATATGAAAAAAATTTTTTAACAAGAGTCTCACTTGCCCAGGCTGGAATGCAGTGGCGTGATCTCGGCTCACTGCAGCCTCCGCCTCCCGGGTTCAAGCGGTTCTCCTGCCTCCGGCTCCCGAGTAGCTGGGACTACATGCGCACACTTCCACGCCCAGCTAATTTTTTGCTGTTGTTGTTGTTTGTATTTTTAGTAGAGACGGGGTTTCGCCACATTGGCCAGGCTGGTCTCAAACTTCTGACGTCAAGTGATCCGTCCGCCTCGGCCTCCCAAAGTGCTGGGATTACAGGTGTGAGCCACCGCGCCCGCCCGGAGTTTCGTCATTTTAGCCAGGCTGGTCTTGAACAGCTTCCGGGACTCAAGCAATCCGCTTGCCTCGGCCTCCCAAAGTGCTGGGTTACAGGCGTGAGCCACCGCACCCGCCCCTTTCTTTCTTTTTCTTTTATTTCTTTTAAGGGCGAGCAGGTGGTGTTAGATGGCATCTTTACTGAACAGTACTGTTCCTGGCAGAGCAGAGCTAACTTATAGACAGTGTGCCCCAAATCGGCCTTTTATATATATATATATAGAGAGAGAGAGAGAGAGAGGCTGTGTTGCCCAGGCTGGAGGGCATGATCATGGCTCACTGTGGCCTCGACCTCCTTCCTAGCCTCAATTGATCCTTCCACCTCAGCCTCCCAAATAGCTGGAACCACAGGTGACACAACGCCTCCCTAATTTTTGTGTTTTTTGTAGAGACGGGATCTCGCCGCGTTGCTCAGGCTGGTCTTGAACTCCCGAGTTCCAGCAATCCACCCGCCTCAGCCTCCCACAGTGCTGGGATTACAGGTGTGATCCCATAATCGTGCTTGGCATTTTTTTTTTTTTTTTTTTTTTTTTTTTTTGAGAGGAAATGTCCTTATGGGTCCAGGCTGTTTTCCAACTCCTGGACTCAAGCGATCCTCCTGCCTCAGCCTCCTGTCTGGGATGTGTGTATTTTACATTTGGAACATACTGCCAAGTTACTCCTTAGTGAGATTGTACCATTTATGCTCCAAGAGATACAGGGGTTTTCCCACAACCTTGGCGGCACTGGCATGATAACGGATTCCCTCACCTGTACTTTCTTTTCTTTTTTTTTTTTTTTTGAGACGGAGTCTCGCTCTGTCTCCTAGGCTGGAGTACAGTGGCGCGATCTCGGCTCACTGCAAGCTCCGCCTCCAGGGTTCAAACCATTCTCCTGCCTCAGCCTCCTGAGTAGCTGGGACTACAGGCGCCCACCACCACGCCCGGCTAATTTTTTCTATTTTTTAGTAGAGACGAGGTTTCACCGTGTTAGCCAGGATGGTCTCGATCTCCTGACCTCGTGATCCGCCTGCCTCGGCCTCCCAGCGTGCTGGGATTACAGGCGTGAGCCACAGCGCTGGCCCCTCACCTGTACTTTCAAAGTTGAAAATATTGCCTACTAAGGCTAGGCGCGGTGGCTCACGCCTGTAATCCTAACACTTTGAGAGGCCGAGGCGGGCGGATCACAAGGTCAGGAGTTCGAGACCAGCCTGGCCAACATAGTGAAACCCCGTCTCTACTAAAAATATAAAAAATTAGCCAGGTGTGACGGCGGGCGCCTGTAATCCCAGCTACTTGGGAGGCTGAGGCAGGAGAATCGCTTGAACCCGGGAGGCAGAGGTTGCAGTGAGCCAAGATTGCGCCAGTGCACTCCAGCCTGGATGACAGTTGAGAGACTGTCTCAAAAAAAAGGAAATATTGCCTAGTGTATGAGTGAAAAAATTTAGAGACTATTTCTCTATTTCGTAATTCTTTTCCTGTTATATCCTGCAAATGTTTTTTCTTGTTGATTTTTAGAAGTTCTTCAAATGTCAGCCGGGCAAGGTGGCTTATGCCTGTAATCCCAGCACTCTGGGAGGCCGAGGTGGGTGGACCACTTGAGGTCAGGAGTTCAAGACCAGCCTGGCCAGCATGGTGAAACCCCGTCTCTACTAAAAATACAAAAATTAGCCAGGCATGGTAGCACACACCTGTAATCCCAGCTACTCAGGAGGCTGAGGCAGGAGATCACTTGAAACCGGGAGGCGGAGGTTGCAGTGAGCCACGATTGTGCTGCTGTACCACTCCAGCCTGGGCGACTCCAAAAAAAGTTCTTCAAATGTCAACAAAATTCGTTTAAGCAGGCAGTGTATCTTTTTTTATTGCTGCTATAAATGGGATGCTTTAATACATTTTAAAGCTATATACATATATAGTATACAAGAAATGAATTTTTAAATATCTATAAGTCTCTTGCTAGCTTAAGGAATTCTTTTATTGAAATATTTTTAGTCACATCGCTTGGGCCTATCATATATACGGTCATATCATCTGCAAATAATTTTGCCTTCTCATTTCTTATTTTTCTTCTCTTATTTTTCAATCTCATTTCTTTTTTTCTTGTTGTTTGTTTTAGAGATGGGGTCTCACCGTGTTGCACAGTCTGGAGTGCAGTGGCACGATCATAGCTCAGTGCAGCATGATCACTTGGGCTCCTGGGCTCAAGTGATCATTTGCCTCAGCCTCCTGAATAATTGGTACTATAGGCACGCACCACCACACCTGGATAATTTTTTTTTTTTAGACGGAGTCTTGCTCTGTCTCCCAGGCTGGAGTGCAGTGGTGTGATCTCGGTTCACTGCTACCTCCGCCTCCTGGGCCAAGCAATTCTCCTGGCTCAGCCTCTTGAGTAGCTGGGATTACAGGTGCCCGCCACCATGCCTGGCTAATTTTTGTATTTTTAGTAGAGACAGGGTTCTACCATCTTGGCCAGTGTGGCCTGGTGAGCCAACCAGGTGGCCTACACCTGGATAATTTTTAAATTTTTATTGGTAGAGATGGGGTCTCGCTATGTTGCCCAGTCAGGTCTTAAACTCCTAGGCTCAAGCAGTCCTCCTGCTTCAGCCTCCCAAGTAGTTGAGACTAAAGACATGAGCCACCATGCCTGGCATTTTATTTATTCTATTGACAGGGTCTTGCTATTGTTGCCCAGGCTAGTCTCTATCTTCTGGCCTCAAGCAATCCTCCTGCCTCAGCCTTTGAAGTATCTGGGACCACAGGCGTGCACCACCATATTTGGCCCCATTTCTTTTTTTCTTTTTTTTTCTTTTTTTTTTTTTTTGAGACGAAGTCTCGCTCTTTTGCCCAGGCTGGACTGCAGTGGCGCTATCTTGGCTCACTGCAAGCTCTGCCTCCTGGGTTCACGCCGTTCTCCTGCCTCAGCCTCCCGAGTAGCTGGGACTACAGGTGCCCGCTACCATGCCCGGCTAATTTTTTTTTTGTATTTTTAGTAGAGACGGGGTTTCACCGTGTTAGCCAGGATGGTCTCGACCTCCTGACCTCTAGATCCACCCGCCTCGGCCTCCCAAAGTGCTGGGATTACAGGCGTGAGCCACCGCACCCAGCCTCTTTTTTTCGTCTAGTTGTGCTGACTACCACCTCAAGACTATGTTACATTATGGAGGCAGGGCGACTGTAAGCATCCTTCCCCATTCCATTCCCCCCGTTTTTTTGTTTTTGTTTTTTCAGATGGAGTCTCATTCTGTTACCCAGGGTGGAGTGTAGTGGTGCGATCTTGGCTCACTGCAACTTCTGCCTCCTGAGTTCAAGTGATTCTCCTGCCTCAGCCTTCTGAGTAGCTGGGATTACAGGTGCGTGCCACCATGCCTGGCTAATTTTTGTATTTTTGTAGAGACCAGGTTTCACCATATTGGTCAGGCCGGTGTCGAACTCCTGAGCTCAAGTGATCTGCCTATCTTGGCCTCCCAAAGTGCTGGGGTTACAGGTGGCTTTAGCCACCGCACCTGGCCTATTCCTCATTTTGATGGCAGAAGTTTTGAGTATTTGCCCATTAAAGTCAATGCTCCCTTTGGCTTGAGATTTTTCAGTGAAGTGAGGAACATGTCCATCTATTTCCTTTCTTTTTAAATTAGGAGACTTTGGGTAACGGAGGCTAAACAGTACAATTTGTCATTTCAGCATCTGTGATTTTGTTTTCTGAGGCATTAATGTAGCTGGCTTTTGTTGTTGTTTGAGACAGGGTCTGGCTCTGTCACCCAGGCAGGAGTGTAGTGGTGTGATCACAGCTCACTGCATCCTCGAACTCCTGGGCTCAAGCCATTCTCCTGTCTCAGCCTCCCAAGTAGCTGGTAGTATTTTTTGTAGAGACAGGGTTTTACCATGTTGCCCAGACTGGCCTTAAACTCCTGAGCTCAAGTGGTCCTCCCACCTCAGCCTCCCACAGTGCTGGCATTACAAGGTGTGAGCCACGGTGCCCTGGCCAACGTGGCTTTCTAATAAGGAATCATCCCTGTGTCTCAGGCATAAACTTCCTTTTTTTTTTTTTTTTTTTTTTGAGTAGGGGTCTTACTCTGTCACCCAGGCTGGAGTGCAGTAGCATGATCACTGCTCACCGTAGCCTCCAGTCCCTGGGCTCAAGGGGTCCTCCTGCCTCAGACTCCCCAGTAGCTAGGATTACAGGCGTGAGTCACCATGCCTGGCTGTCTCCTTCTTATGATCTTTTTTTTTTTTTTTTTTTTTTTTTTGAGATGGAGTCTCGCTCTTGTCGCCCAGGCTGTAGTGCAGTGGCGTGATCTCGGCTCACTGCAACCTCCGCCTCCTGGGTTCAAGCAATTCTCCTGCCTCAGCCTCCCAAGTAGCTGGTATTACAGGTGCCCACCACCATGCCCAGCTAATTTTTTGTACTTTTAGTAGACATGGGTTTTCACCATGTTGGCCAGGCTGGTCTCGAACTCCTGACCTCAGGTGATCCGCCCGCCTCAGCCTCCCAAAGTGCTGGGATTACAGGCATGAGCCACCACGCCTGGCTCTATGTTCTACTTTTTAAAAGCTGCCAGTAGCACTTTTAAAAATCTCTACTTGGGCTGAGCACAGTGGCTCATGCCTGTAATCCCAGCACTTTGTGAGGCCAAGGCAGGAGGATTGCTTGAGGCCTGGAGGTCGAGGCTGCAGTGAGCTATGATTGCACTACTGCACCGTAGCCTGGGCCACAGAGCGAGACCCTGTCTCAAAAACAAAACAAAACAAAAAAAACCACACAACCCTACCTAAGGATTTTACACCCACGTCAGTGGGGGTCCACTGGGCACCTCCAAGTGTCCCCACAATGCCGTCAATGCTGCCATGGGGCAGACACCCCAAGCCCTCGTCACTGAGCCCCCTCAGTTGCTCTCACAGGCTGTGCCCTGTCTGGAGCTGGTGTGAGAGCAGGGCTCAGGACCCCAGAATTCCTACTCCACGACCCTTTTCAGGACCCCTACCCTAGTACTCACCCAGTTCTCCTTTGAAGTGATCAGACTGTGACCTGGGGAGGGCAGAGTCTCCAGTGAGCACTGGGCACGACCCATGTGTGTTTGTCGAGTGACTGTGAGGGATCTGTAGTGTCCCGAGAGCTGAGGCTGCAGTGTGGCTGAGCTGTGTCCTTGAACTATTGCCTTTAATTCCAGGGAAGACCTCGTGTTGATGCGCCCTCCTCCAGGCTGAGCTCCTGTCATGGCCCCACTCCTCCCCGACCCTCCAAGCCCCTGTTCTGCCCTTTGGCCTCACCCTGGCCTTACATCGCTGAAGGCACTGTGTTCGGCTACAAGTCTGCCAGTCGGAGGCTCCTAGGGCCTCCTGGGGCTGGGCCTCGTCCATTGTGGGGTAGGCTCCAGAGGAACATGGGCGGAGGCAGCGTTTGATGAGTCACCACCTGCCAAGACTGACTTTTTCTTTTTAGAATCTTTTTTTTTTTTTTTTTGCAATGGAGTCTCGCTCTGTTGCTCAGGTTGGAGTGCAGTACTGGGATCTCAGCTCACTGCAACCTCCACCTCCTGGGTTCAAGTGATTCTCGTGCCTAAGCCTCCCAAGTAGCTGGGACTACAGGCGTGCGCCACCATGCCTGCCTGATTTTTGTATTTTTTGGTAGAGACGGGGTTTCACCATGTTGGCCAGGCTGGTCTTGAACTCCTGGCCTCAAGTGATCCACCTGCCTTGGACTCCCAAAGTGCTGGGATTCCAGGCGTGAGCCCCCGCATCTGGCCCTGAGGTGGTTCTTCCCCTGCTCATGCACTGTCTGTCTGTGGCTCTTCAGGGACCTCCAAAAACCCTCCCATCTCATTGGCCAGCCTGAAAGGCACTGCTAGATGGGGGCAGGGGACAGACGGAAGACAGACAAGGTGGGCGGGGGTCTTTATTTGAGTTTAGGCATGATTCGAATGAAGAGGATCATGCTAATGAAGATGAAGCAGACGATAATGAGCATGGCCCAGAGCAGCCAGTTGACTGACTTCTGCGTGTGCTGCTCCAGACGCTCTGACTCCGTCTTCAGTTTCTCCAGGTTCTGGTCCGCCATTTTCAGTGAGTGTGACAGGGTCTGTGGGGGAGGTGGAAAAGGTGTCAACAGGACTGGGGCCAAGAATGGCCTCTCTCTACTTCCCTGGGACTGGCCTGCACCTCTTGTCGCTTGCTGGTGCTGTGCCCTCTGCTGGGAATGCCATTTTTGCCTTCTACGAAACTCCTATTCATCCCGCAAAGCCCCAGCCACAATGCTCCTGTGCTGGGAAGCCTTCTCTGATGCCCCAGGGCAGAGGCTGGAGAGCTCCCCCAGTCCCCACACCTGGTTGTCCTTCTTGATGACACTCTGGGCGGCCAGGGTATTGGTCTTGAGGCTCCGGGCCAGTCCTAGCATCTCTTCCGCCAGCTTTTCCTGGAGGTTCTGATGTCGCTGCAGGACGAGGTCTAGCTCAGCTGCCAACTGCTTCTCACTCACTGGCTGGGACCCTGCCACTCCACTGATTTCACACACGGGGGGAGGAGGACATGAGAGATGGAGTGGGAAAGGGGAGAAGACCAACACATTTTCTTTTTTTTTTTTTTTGATACAGAGTCTCGTTCTGTTGCCCAGGCTGGAGTGCAGTGGCATGATCTCGGCTCACTGCAACCTCTGCCTCCCAGGTTCAAGCAATTCTCCTGCCTCAGTCTCCTGAGTAGCTGGGATTACAGGCACCTGCCACCATGCACAGCTAATTTTTGTATTTTTAGTAGAGACAGGGTTTCACCATGTTGGTCAGGGTGGTCTCGAACCCCTGACCTCGTGATCCACCTGCCTCGGCCTCCCAAAGTGCTGGGATTACAGGCGTGAGCCACCGCGCCCGACCTTTTTTTTTTTTTTTTTTTTGAGACAGCATCTCGCTCTGTCACCCAGGCTGGAGTGCAATGGCGTGATCTCGGCTCACTGTAACCTCCACCTCCCAGGTTCAAGCAGTTCTCCTGCCTCAGCCTCCTGAGTAGCTGGGACTACAGGCGCATGCCACCATGCCCGGCTAATTTTTTGTATTTTTAGTAGAGACAGGGTTTTGCCATGTTGGCCAGACTGGTCTTGAACTCCTGGCCTCAGGTGATCTGCCTGCCTCAGCCTCCCAAAGTATTGGGATTACAGGCGTGAGCCACTGCGCCTGGCCTTTGACTTCTGGGAAGAGCATCCACAGAAGTGGCTTCTGGTTGGTTTAGATCCTTGTGGTAGTGCCTCGGTGGTCCAGGGTTTGGCCACTGCTACCCCGTCCCTGCCGCACCGCCCAATTGCCACTACTGCCCCAGGGCCGCAGACACTCACGTTCTCTTCCTTACGTCCATCTCAGGCTCTGAAAGCAAAACAGGCCAAGCAAAAAAGGCGAGTGTTGGTTTCCCGTTTCCGGCATCCTGAGCATTGCCTGTGCTGGGTCTACTGCTTGGAATGCTGTTTCCTCATCTTGTCTGCTGCCCCGTTGGCTTCTGACCATGCTTGAATACCCCCTCTTCTAGGAGGGTCTCCTTACTCCTGTCTCGGTTCCCTCAGACCCCAGGTCCCTCCCTCCAGCCTAGCCTTGGTCCCATAGGCTGGGAGTGCCTAGCTTTAAAAAATTTATTTATTTGCTTATTTTTGAGACAGAGTCTCTCTCTGTCAACTAGGCTGGAGTGCACTGGCGCAATCTCAGCTCACTGCAACCTCTACCTCCCAGGCTCAAGCAATCCTCCTGCCTCAGCCTCCCAAGTATGCTGGGACTACAGGTGTGCGTCACCACGCCTGGCTAATTTTTTTGCTTTTTTTTTTTTTGAGACGGAGTCTTGCTCTGTCGCCCCGGCTGGAGTGCAGTGGTGTGATCTCAGCTCATTGCAACCTCCACCTCCTGGGTTCAAGCAATTCTCCTGCCTCAGCCTCCCGAGTAGCTGGGACTACAGACACGTGGCACTGCATCCGGCTAAGTTTTGTATTTTTAGTAGAGACATGGTTTTGTCATGTTGGCCAGGTTGGTCTCAAACTCCTGACCTCAGGTGATCCACCTGCCTCAGCCTCCGAAATTACAGGTGTGAGCCACTGTGCCTAGCTTTGTTTCCTCTCGGGGCCATTTCCTCTGTCCTGGCTCTTCCTCCAGGTGTAGTTTGGTGATGCTCCTGTTGGAGTCAGGGCATGGAGTCTCGGCATGGAGGCCCCGGGGCAGCAAGGATACATGTCTTGTCCTAGTCAGCTGGCCCTCAAGTCCTGTTGTGTTCATGGTGACTCACCTGCAGAGTCCTGTGGAAAGAAGTAAGTGGCATGAGGCTGGGTGCAGTGGCTCACTCCCAGCACTTTGGGAGGCCAAGGTGGGCAGATCACCTGAGGTCAGAAGTTCGAGACCAGCCTGGCCAACATAATGAAATTCCATCTCTACTAAAAATACAAAAAGTTAGCCAGGTGTGGTGGGGGTGCCTGTGATCCTAGTGACTTGGGAGGCTGAGGCAGGAGTATTGCTTGAACCTGGGAGGCGGAGGTTGCAGTGAGCCGAGATCGCGCCACCACACTCTAGCCTGGGCAACAAGAGCGAATCTCCATCGCAAAAAAAAAAAAAAAAGTAAATGCCATGAAGTCACCCCCCTTGTCTTGTTCCCAAACCTGTCCCTTCTGACCTCAACCTCCTCACCTTCAGTCAGGACATGGGGAAATCCCATGACCTCTGAGCCTGTTTCCTCAACCTTAAACTGGTAACGACAACTCATATTTTTTTTTTTTGAGACGGAGTTTCACTCTTATTGCCCAGGCTGGAGTGCAATGGCTTGATCTCAGCTCACCGCAACCTCTGCCTCCTGGGTTCAAGCGATTCTCCTGCCTCAGCCTCCCGAGTAGCTGGGATTACAGGCGTGAGCCACCATGCCCAGCTAATTTTGTATTTTTACTAAAGACGGGGTTTCTCCATGTTGGTCAGGCTGGTCTTAACTCCTGACCTCAAATGATCCGCCCGCCTCGGCCTCCCAAAGTGCTGGGATTACAGGCGTGAGCTGCCGCACCTGGCCACAACAACTCATATTTTAAAAGATTGAGCTGATCCACATAAAGTGCTCAGAAAGGAACTTGTCATCCTCTTTTACGGCTGAAGAAACTTATGTGTCTTGTAAGTTGCAAGCCAGGACTCAAACCCTGCTCTTGGGCCAACTCTGGGGCTTAACCAGACACATTCCATTTTTGCCTTGTACCAAATTCCTATTCATCTAGCAAAGCCTTAGCCACAATGCCCCTCTGTTGGGCAGCCTTGTGTGATGACCCAGGGAAGAGATTGCTGGACCCCCTTAGGGTTCCTGTATCTGACAGTATTGTGGTTCTGGCTGCCTACAAGCATAGAACCCCTATTCCTGTCCAAGGGATTCCCAGGGACCAGGGAAGGAGCCCTACCGTGCCTAGTAGCTCACTCCGCATCTCGCTGGTGTACCGCGCCCGTGACTGCAGATGCACCGTCTTTGTGGCGGGCACTCGCTCTCTGGCTGTGGTTGGCACACGGCCAGGGGCCAGGAACTGGTTGGCCAGTGCTTTCTCTGAGGAGGAGGTCTGCAGAAATGTGGGAAGATAAGTCACTGGAGGGGCAGGTCCTGGGGACCAAAGTGAGCGGTGATGGGGGCTGAGGGGGCAGGGGCACCCCTTCTCACCAGCTTCTCGGCTTGCAGCATCCCCTTCAGAAAATCCACCTTCCAGGAATATTCATTGATCACCTCAGAGGCCGGTTTGCTGGAAGGCAGGAAGAAGAAAAACAAAACCTGTCCATGGTCCCCAGCTCAGGGAAGGGTCCCAGCTGGGATAGCGGTACTGGGATGTCCAGTAGCACAGCCACGTGCTGATGTGAAAGCCCTGAGGCTGCCTGCACTCACCTCGCGTGGACCTTCAGGGCCTGCAACATGTCCTCTAGGGCTCCCACGTACTGGGGAGGAAAAGTGGATTGTCACCCGGGGGTCTTTCCCATGTCCTGATCATGGGAGTCGGGGGGGCGGGGCCGACAAATGGGAGGGGTCAAGCGTAAAGGAGGCGGGGCCAGTGGGGGAGGGGCGGAGTCCCAGGGACGGGGGCGGAAGCTACAGGTGGACGTGGCGGGACTGACCGGAAAGGGCGCTGCCCGAGAGGCTACTGGGGCCGGGGAGTCGGGCCAGGTGGCTTCCAACCCTAGGAATCACCCCCCGGGAGTCGGGCTCTACGCGGCAGTGCGAGATCCCCTCACCTTCTCCAGGCGCCACTCGTCCGGGTCCCGTTTCTCCGCTGCCATCGCCTCGCAGCGGGATAGCAGCCGCACCAGGTTTAGCTCCAGCCTCGACGCCGCCATTATCGCCCGGCCCTACACCACCCCTTCCGCCGGCTCCATGTTAAGAGAGGGCGGAAGTGCCTTCAAGTGGCCTTCCGGGCGGATGTTTCCCCCGCGCTCGTTAGCTGGCCCATCTTTGTTTGGAGCGGAAGTAATATCTTGTTTTGAGACGGGGCGCTGGGCCGGGCGCGGTGGCTCAGGGCTGTAATGCCAGCATTTTAGGAGGCAGAGGTGGGAAAGGATTGCTTGAGGCCAGCCCGGGCAAGATAGCGCTACTCTATCTCTATTTTAAAAAAATAGGAGAGGCGCCACCCCATTCTTACTTAGGCGAATCACTTGCTTTTCCTCGAGAGCATGTTAACCCTTCGGGAATGATAGGACGACCGGGGTCTTCTGGTGTCAGACCCGCGTGCAGTGTGCCCTTTTGTTCTGTTTTGCCTGCTCAAAGTACCTCCCCGCACCCCACTCCTACCTGGATTCTTCCCAGTCGGAGCTATTTCACGTCCACACACCCTTCCCGATTTCTGTAGCCTGGGATTCAGGAATCCAAGGCTTCCCCCACCTCAGCAGGGCTCATCTGTATTGTGGTTATGGGTTTCCAGGTCACAGCTCCAGCTCTGATTCCATCCTCGGCCCTGGGAGAGTTTAACTTTTCTGGATCCGCTTCTTCCCCCGGGAAATGGACAGTGTGACAGTACCTGCCTCAAGGGGCACATGAGACAGCTCTGCCTGAGAGTGAGCAAGGTGGGGCTGGGTCCCCCCTAACGCCCAGACCCCCATGGAGAACCCCTTCCCAGCCCACCTCAGTACCTGGAAGCTGAGTACCCCTATGCCTTGCAGTGCCTCTCTTCTGGAGTGACAGGATGAGGGTGGGGGCTTCACAGGAACCAGGGCCTGGCATGCAGCCTTCATGTTTTCCCACACCTTAGGTCATCTGCACCTTGGTTACACCAGTGGGCCTGATGTCCTTGAAAAATATCATAGACGGGTAGGTGCGGTGGCTCACACCTGTAATCCCAGCACTTAGGGAGGCTGAGGCAGATGGATCACCTGAGGTCAGGAGTTTGAGACCAGCCTGGCCAACATGGTGAAACCCCGTCTCTACTAAAAATACAAAAATTAGCCGGGCGTGATGGTGGGTGCCTGTAATCCCAGCTACTTGGGAGACTGAGGCAGGAGAATCGCTTGAACCCAGGAGGTGGATGTTGCAGTGAGCCGAGATTGTGCCACTGCACTCCAGCTTGGGCAACAAAGCAAGACTCCGTCTCAAAAAAAAAAAAAAAAAAAGAAAATACCATGGAGGGCCAGGTGCGGTGGCTCACGCCTGTAATCCCAGCACTTTGGGAGGGTGAGGTGGATGGATCACTGGAGGTCAGGAGTTTGGAGAGCAGCCTGGCCAACATGGTGAAACCCTGTCTCTATCAAAAAACACAAAAATTAGCTGGGCTTGGTTGTGCGTGCCTGTAATCCCAGCTACTCGGGAGGCTGAGGCAGGAGAATCGCTTGAACCCGAGAGGTGGAGGCTGCAGTGGGCCGAGATCGCGCCACTGCACTCCAGCCTGGGTGACAGAGCGAGACCGTGTTTCAAGAAAAAAACCCACAACAAACAATGGAGACCAAACCCAGGGCCCATCAAAGGGGCCTCTAGAGGCTGGCAGGGCAGAGTCTAAATCCCAGCCATGCCCCTCCCAACTGTGTGGCCTTGGAGAAGCCCCTCAACCTCTGGCATGTGCTGTCTGAACTTGGGTTCTTCACGGTGCCCCAACCAATACCAGCCAGCCAGTTCCCACGACTCCCATCCGATGGCAGCCTGGGAGCCCATCTGTTCCTGTCCTGCTGGGCCCACCAGGAACTGGCCACCTCTGCTGGATGGGTGGCTGCTGCAGCTGACATTTAGGCTCCAGAGGCTGGGCACTGAATCAGGGAGGCCAGAGAGGGCTGCCAGGACAGCAGGCGCTCCTGGCCAAGTGAGGCTCTGCTGGGAGCTCCCTGTTTGGTGGAGGATCAAGACAGAACTTTGAGGACAGTGTTCCACCCATATTCTGCACCCTTCTTGGCTGAGGCCACAGGGCAGACCCCCACCCACCGGCCCTGTTCTTCCAAGCCCGATCCCATATGAGCAGGCGTCCCATGCACACACTTCTCAGGCACTTTTTATTTCATGCTGTGCGGGGGCCCCTTGTCCCAGATTTGTGGCCACGTGTCCAGGTGTCTGGGGGAGTGGGCCAAGCCTGAGAGAGGAGGGCCCTGCTCCAGAGATCCCCAGGTTGTCCCTGTTGACCTATAGGGAGGTCTGACTTCAGGCGTTGCCCTCCTGACCCGTGAGCAGTCCTGAGTCGCTGGCTCCTATTCTGTCACACGGGGTGGGTAGTGCCAAAAGCAGCCTCCTGCAGCCCTTGGCGTCCGGAAGAGTGACAGCCACATTCAAGTCTCCCTGGCACGTGAGGTCCATGGTGCCCCTGACTCATGTCCTGGCTCCAGCCAATAGCCCAGACCCCCATGGAAGGTTCCAGCATGTGCAAAAATGCACATTGGCCAGGTGGCTGCCCCCCGGAGACATGTGTCAGAGAGGCACGGGTCAGGTGACCCAAGTGTCCAAAACTCTCATGGAGGGTCCCAGCCCATTGGCCACCCCAAGCCAACCACAGCAGGGTCTGAGCCTCAGACGCGCAGTGGCCTAGTGGCTTCTGCTCTGACAGCTCACGTCCAGGTTATAAGGGAGACGGGCAGCGTTAATAGAAAACTTTGTACATACACATATAAAAAACCATTTGGTCTTCCATTAAGGCTGTTACAGTTTAAAGTTACGTAAACCACGTACAAAGAAACAGTTAAACGTACAAAAAGGGGAGTGGGGAGATGTGAGGCCGCAGGTGGAGATGTGGTGCTCCCCACAGGTGCGTCCATGATTTGGGGGCTGCGTGCGAGGGGGCCTGGCTCCAGCCGGCCTCTCCCTGCCTTGACTCTGCACTTGGGGCCGGTGCCCACCTCACGTCACTCTTGAGCTTTTGATTCTGGATCCTTCTCTGAGGGCCGAACACTAGCTCTGCAGCTCTGGCGCCCAGCTCCAGTGCAGGGGCCGTCCTCGGACATGCAGACTTTGTCAGCTGTGGCTCTCAGCCATTGGTCTGGCCCGAGGCGGGGGGCAGGCAGTACGTTGGGGGATCCGAGTACCTCCGCTTGGCCCCAGGTGGCTGGCCATCCTCTTCTAGGGGCTCCAGGGCGCCCTGCACTGGCAGGTCTGCCCCGGGCGTGATGTACACGGAATGTATCTGGTCCGGGCGGCGGGCAGGTGGCTCCCGGCGCCGCACTGGGGCAGCCGCCTCCCGGGCACCCGGTGCCCAGCGAGGCAGGTGGGAGGGCAGGCCTGGTGGGAGCTTGATGTTGGCCGTGGGCATGATGGGGGTCCGCCGGGGGGTCTTCACTCTGACCGTTACGAAGGACGACGGCCTTCGTCGTGGAGGGGCGGCCACGGTGGGGAGGGGGCTCGGGGTGGGCGCGCCGGGGCAAGGGAGAGCAGGCGCAGGGGGCCCTTTTGAGAGACAGATGGCAGGGTTACTGCAGCTTCAGGGCCGGCAGCCGGAGGACCCTCGCCCTGGGGCCTGCTGGGATGGACGGGAAGGAGAAAAGCAGACGCTACCTTAATACTGACCTTCCGAGGCCCCCCGCCCGGCCCGCTCCTCCAGCAGGCTCTCGGTGCTGGCCGACGTCTCCGAGTCCAGGTTCTCCTCGTCCGAGCCCCTTGGGTCCAGCTCCGGCAGCCGGTAGGTGATGTCCTCCCTGGAGGAAAAAGGGTAGTGGTGTCCAAGGCCACCCCACCGGAAGTGCTGGGCCAGTGTGGAACAGAGCAGGCTGTCCTGCTCCTAGATGTAACTCTGTGTCCCCAACCTCCCCCCACCCCAAGCAGGAGGATTGCTTGAGCCCAGGAGTTTGAACCCAGCCTGGGCAACATAGGCGGACCCTGTTCTGCAAAAAGTAAAAAAAATTAGCCAGGCGTGGTGGTGTGCACCACCTGTGGTTCCGGCTACTGGGGAGGCTGAGGTGGGAGGACCCCGTGAGCCTAGGGGATTGTGGCTGCAGTGAACCGTGATCGCACCACTGCAATCCAGCCTGGGTGACAGAGAAAGACCCTGTCTCAGAAATAAAGGCCGAGTGCGGTGGCTCACGCCTGTAATCCCAACACTTTGGGAGGCCAAGGTGGGTGGATCACTTGAGGTCAGGAGTTCAAGACCAGCCTGGCCAATGTGGTGAAACCCTGTCTCTATTAAAAACACAAAATTAGCAGGGCATGGTGGTGGGCACCTGTAATCCCAGCTACTCGGAGGCTGAGGCAGAGAATCGCTTGAACCCGGGAGATGGAGGTTGCAGTGAGCCGAGATAGCACCACTGCACTCCAGCTGGGCGACAGAGCGAGACGCCGTCTCAAAAAAAAAAAAAAAAAAAAAAAAAGTGTTGTTTGCCCAGTGTTAGGGATGACAGGACCAAACCTGGCGAGGTCAAGCGGACCACCAGGGATGGAACCTGCACTCCAGCTTGCCCTAAACATGAAGGACTGAGGGAGGGGACTGAGCCACTTGCTTCTCCTCCTTGATGGACTGGATCCGTTCAATGAGAATCTCCTTTTCCCGGTCCTCATCGCCGCCGGCTGCCTCCTCCTCCAGCAGCACCTCCAGCTCCTCCTCCTGGATGTCCCGGGTCTTGGGGCTCTTGTTCTGAAACAAAGAAGCAAGGGGTCCCACTGACATCTCTGAGTGGGCGAGGTTACTGCCGGAGGTGTGAGCAGATCCCAGGAGGTTAGTTGTGATGTGAGTGTGCTGGGCTCTTAGTGAGACTTCTCTAGGAATCCCATGGGACAGAGTGGTGGTCATGTGGCCGATTAGTCGTCCTGAGCACAGAAGGTCAGCAGGCAAGGGGCCTCCCCAGCATGCACTTCCGGAAGGTTAGGACAGGCTCTGTCTATCCTACGAGGGGCCCAGGGCCCCAGGGAACCCCAGCATGCACTGCACCGGGAGACATGCACCGCGGGCCCACCGAACGCGTACATACCAGGACCCCCTCATAGGGAGACGAAAACCCCAGTTTGAGAGGCCATGGCTGGGAGAGAGATGAACACAGGGTGACCACACGGGCCAAGACAGACACAGGCATGAGCTGGGGATACATCCAATGACCGGTACCAAGATAGGGGGTCCCTGGTTCCCACAGGAGCCCAGAGCCCGTTCCCCACTAACACACCCCTGCACTGTGGGGCTGATTCTTCTGCTATGGGAACATTTCCCCGTGGGTAGGGCCCAGGTCAGAAGGGACAAGGCTGGACGCATGACCTGAACCACCAGCAAGCAGGAAGCTGGTCCCCCTACCTGCCCCACCTAGAGGAACATAATTGGAGTGAGGCTGAGCGAGGACCATCGTCTTTCGTTCAAGGCAGTAAGTCTGCCCCTACCTGCAGGGCCTGGTGGCCCCAGCCAGGCTGGTTGTGGCCAAGGGTGTGGTAGGAGTGGGCGGGGAACTGGGAAGGGAGGCCCCGCCCTGCTACCCGAGACCACACCCACTACCCGGTCCCATCCTCGGCATGGGAGGTCCTGCCCACCCAAGGCCCCGCCCACCAAGACCCCACTCACCAGCCTTCCCAGCAACAAAGCCACGCCCAAGGCCCTGCCCAGCACCAGGCTCCGCCCCACCAAAGAGGTCCCGCCCCCACGATCACCGGTACTCACAGCATTTTGTCGCAGGAGCGAAAGCCTGCGGAAGGCGATACTCTCTGCAGCCTCCAGTTGGCTGATCTCCTCCATCTTCACTTTGTATTTCCTCATCTGCTCCTTGATCAGCATCTCCACGCACCTACAGAGAAGGCCCACGGGAGGAAGTGACTCAGTTACCGCCCCGGGGACGTCTGAGGTCCAGGGAGATGCTAGCTGGTGCCTGGGGGGCAGTGGTTGAGGCTCAGAGACCAAGCAGTGCCTGGGACACGGCTGTGCCAGCTCCCATGCAGTGTGACCTTCGGCAGCTCACTCTACCTCTTTGAGCCTGTCTCCTGTCTCTGCACGCCTCCTTGTTTGAAGGAGGGTCAGAGTGAACTGAACCCCTTAGTCACCAGTAGGGTGGGAATTATCCTGCCTCGCAGAGAAGTACAAGCTGCTGGGCAGTTTGTCCCAGGGGCAATAGGCAGATGGCCCCAGGGGCTCCAGACATGGGCTGACCCACAGTATGCCCACTTGGTGGTCAAGGCCAGCCTGGTGTTGTCAGTATCAGAGGGTCTCAGCTCGGAGTGGTCAGTGTCAGAGGGACTCAGCTTGGAGTGGTCATTATTGGGAGGAACTCAGCCTGGAGTGGTCAGTATCAGAGGGACCCAGCTTGGAGTGGTCAGAACCAGAGGGACTCAGCTTGGAGTGGTCAGAACCAGAGGGACTCAGCTTGGAGTGGTCAGTACCAGAGGGACTCAGCCCGGAGTGTTCAGTGCCAGAGGGACTCAGCCCTGAGTGGTCAGTACCAGAGGGACTCAGCCCGGAGTGGCCAGTACCAGAGGGACTCAGTCCGGAGTGGTCAGTACCAGAGGGACTCAGTCTGGAGTGGTCAGTACCAGAGGGACTCAGGTTGGGTGAGCTCTGTGGTGCGACCTGCAGGGGCTGCTGCTTGTTCCTTATCCTCCCGTGACAGGACGCTTTGTAGCAGAGAGAGGAATCCACTACCATTCACCTATCATCCAGCCTTTGTTAAAAGTTCTGTTTTAGGCTGGAAGCGGTGGCTCACGGCGGATCACAAGGTCAGGAGATCGAGAACATCCTGGCTAACATAGTGAAACCTCGTCTCTACTAAAAATACAAAAAATTAGCCGGGCGTGGTGGTGGACGCCTGTAGTCCCAGCTACTTGGGAGGCTGAGTCAGGAGAATGGCGTGAACCCGGGAGGCGGAGCTTGCAGTGAGCCGAGATCGTGCCACTGCACTCCAGCCTGGGAGACAGAGTGAGACTCCGTCTCAAAAAGAAAAAAAAAAGTTCTGTTTTAGTACAATGGGGTGTGCTCATTAAAGCACATTCAAAAAGACACAACTGCTGGGGCCACTGCCATCTGGATTTTTTTTTTTTTTTTGAGACGGAGTCTCGCTCTGTCGCCCAGGCTGGAGTGCAGTGGCGTGATCTCAGCTCACTGCAACCTCCACCTCCTGGGTTCAAGCAATTATCCTGCCTCAGCCTCCCGAGTAGCTGGGATTACAGGCGCCTGCCACCACACCTGGCTAGTTTATATATATATTTTTTATTTTTTTAAATTTTCTTTTTGAGACGGAGTCTCACTCTGTTGCCCAGCTGGAGTGCAGTGGTGCGATCTCAGCTCAATGTAGCCTCCACCTCCCAGTAGCTGGCATTATAGGCACATGCCACCAGGCCTGGCTAATTTTTGTATTTTGTTTTTTTTTTTTGAGATAGAGTTTCGCTTTTGTTGCCCAGGCTGGAGTGCAATGGCATGATCTCAGCTCACTGCAACCTCCGCCTCCTGGATTCAAGTGATTCTCCTGCCTCAGCCTCCCAAGTAGCTGGGATTACAGGCATGCGCCACCACGCCCGGCTAATTTTGCATTTTTAGTAGAGACAGGATTTCTCCATGTTGGTCAGGCTCGTCTCGAACTCCCGACCGCAGGTCATCTGCCCGTCTCGGTCTCCCAAAGTGCTGGATTACAGGCGTGAGCCACCTCGTCCAGCCTAATTTTTGTATTTTTAATAGAGATGGGGTCTCACCATGTTGGTCAGGCTGGTCTCAAACTCCTGGCTTCAAGTGATCCACCCACCTCGCCCTCCCAAAGTGCTGGGATTACAGGTGTGAGCCACCACGCCTGGCCTAATTTTTAAATTTTTTGTAGAGACAAAAATTTAAATTTTTATATTTAAATAAAAATTTGAATTTAAAAATTTAAATTTGGAAATTTAAATTTTTATATTTAAATACAAATTTCCAATTTCAAATTTTTTGTAGGGTCTTGCTATGTTGCCCAGGCTGGTCTCGAACTCCTGGCCTCAAGTGATCCTCTTGCCTTGGCCTCCCAAAGTAGCTAGGATTACAGGTGTGAACCGCTGCACTCGGCTCTGGACTTTTCTTACACATTTATTTACACAGGGATGGATGGAGCTGTCGTGGGGTCCTGGGTGGGGCTGCCCTGAGCATGCCTCCGGGGCAGGGTGGGCACTCACGTGGTGATCTTGAGGACGTCCTTCATGCTGGTCAGCGGGTCCGAGTTGTCAGGGCAGCGCAGGAGGCAGGGTGCGAAGATAATGGCCAGCGCCCCAGGTGACATGCGGTTGACATCCTCGAGCAGGGCCACCCTGCACAGCCACTGGCAGTTAGAGGATGGCTAGGGCCGAGGGAGGGAGGTACCAGGGAGCCCCGAGACTGAACTTCTGAGCCCTGGGGTGGCTGTTGGGAAAGCAGTGCCACAGCCCAGCACTGGGAGATGCTTCCGCAGCACAGAGAGGTACCTCAAGGGACCCGGGCGGCCCAGCAGCCTGGCCCCCTCCCAGAACCCCCAACAGTGGTCTGCATCCTGGTTCGAAACCACCACAGAACGCCAGCTCGGGTCCTCCTGGGAAATGCTGCCTCGCGGGTTCCCAATGCGACCCTAACCCCACAGAGGGCAGGTGGGGAGGCACTTGCTTGACAAGGTGGAAGATGAGTCTCTCCAGGGAGTTGTGGTTGGCTTCTGGAAGGTGCTCCAGGACGGCATAGATGGCAGCCAGCTGCTCCTGCTTCTCCGGCAGCTCTGCAGGCAGTGGGGTTTGAGGACGTCAGCTCCCAAGGGTCCCCAAGGTGCCTGTTGTCCCCACCAACACGACCTGAGATGCACAGGTGCCATCCACCCTGTGGTGCCCAGGCAAGAATGGATGGCTACAGAGGTGTCCTGGCCCCACCCCAAACTGGGGACCCGGTTTGGCTGGGCCGACTGCTTTGGGCCTCAGTTTCTCAGTTTGTGAACTGGGTGGTCCTGCCTCCTGGGCTGGTCACAGCGAACGCTGTATCCTGGCTGTGGCCACCTGCTGCCACCCGCACCGCCATGGGGCTCACCGACGGCTCGGAGGAAGTCGCCGTACTGTGCGAAGGTCATGAGGGGCTCGGGCAGCTCCCGCAGCCACTGCTTCAGCACCCCTGTGATGGCGTGGATGGGGAAGTTCTCCAGCTTGACTGCTGCGGGGTCTGTGGGGTGGGTGGGGTGGGTCTGGTGAGCGGCGCACTGGCAGGACGGCTGTGCCTGGGGCCTGGCACTGCACCCACCTGCCCACAGCGCCCACCTGTCTGCAGCGCCTGCCGGAGCTCCCGAGTGCGGTTGGCAGCACCCGACTTGCGGTAGAGGCCCTCGGTGTACAGGCCGTGCATCTCCACGTGTTCCAGGAGCTTCTCCAGCACGATGGGCACCGAGGCCTTGTCGCTGGTCAGGCTGTCTACGCACACGCCGAAGTGGCCAGGCTCAACGCCTGGCTCGCCCTGCAGTGCCGGGGTTGGGGGTCAGGTCTGGGCCTGGCTGTCTTCCTCTCCAGCTGTCTCTGGGGGCCTCTGCCTCCTGGTCCCGCACAAGGCCCTCAGGGCTTCCTCTGCTGTTCTGTCCCTCCCTGTCTCCTTCTGCGTGGTTGTTGGGGGTGTGGGGCTGCAGAAGTCAAGGCCAGCATGGCAGCCACTGGGCAGGGGCTTCCTTTGTAGGCCACCCAAGGCATGGGTGGTCCTTCGTGGGGAGAGAGCTATAACCTAGCCCCCACAGCCACCTCACAGAAGTAGACCCTGACTCTTGCTGCACCCCCAGCACCCAGGACCCCAACCTTATGCACAGAGTTGGGGGGCCTCCCTCTGCATGGCTCAGGACTCTCTCAGGAGCAAGGATGAGCAGGGCTGGGGGAGCTGAGACACACACACAGGCCTGGGCCCTGCCTGAGGGCCTCAAGGAGTTTGTACAGAACCGGGGACAATGGTGTGTTCTGCAGAACCAGAGGCCACAGCCGCCCCCTACTGGCTGCTCAATGCTTCGCTTGGCCCTCACATCAAGCACCACCTCCTGGTGCACCTGGCCGTGAGTGGAGTGTCATTGTAGAAAGTTCCAGGCCTCGTACACTCACCTTCCTCCCGTAGGTGTAGGAGCAGTGGCTCTGAATCTTGTGCACGCACTTCTTGTGGCAGGTCATCTTGCACACTAGGAGGTCCACAGGGTGGGAGTCACAGAGGGTGCTGGGGACCCCAGATTCCTGCAGCCACCCACCCAGCTGGCCGGGGGCCGCCAATTGCCTTCTTTTTTTTTTTTTTTTGAGATGGAGTCTCACTCTTGTTCTCAGGCTAGAGCGCAATGGCGTGATCTCGGCTCACTGCAACCTCCGCCTCCCGGGTTCAAGTGATTCTCCTGCCTCGGCCTCCCGAGTAGCTGGGATTACAGGTGTGCGCCACCACGCCTGGCTAATTTTGTATTTTTAGTAGCGACAGGGTTTCTCCATGCTGGTCAGGCTGGTCTCGAACTACCGACCTCAGGTGATCTGCCCACCTCGGCCTCCCAAAGTGTTGGGATTAGAGGCGTAAGCCACTGCACCTGGCCTGGATTGCCTTCTTTTTGGTTTCTCTTTTTCTTTTTGAGACAGGGTCTCACTCTGTCACCCAGGCTAGAGTGCAGTGGCACTATCATAGCTCACTGGAGCCTTGACCTCCCAGGCCCAGGTGATCCTCCCAAGTAGCTGGCACTACAGGCGTGCACCACCGTGCCTGGCTAATTTCTGTATTTTTTTTTGTATAGATGGGGTCTTGCCATGTTGCCCAGGTTGATTTAGAACTCCTGAGTTCAAGCGACCCTCCCGCCCCAGCCTCCCAAAGTGCTGGGATTACAGGTGTGAGCCACTGTGCCTGGCCTGCCAACTTCTAAACCCACACTGCAGGAACCTGTGCCCTGACTCCTGAGAGAGGAGGCTGTGTGGACAAACTTCATAGCTCCAAGGTGGCCATTCATGGCCTCAGACCCAGCCTGGCTAGCGGAACCATGAGCAGGTGTTTGTGGGGACCTGTGACATCCTTGCCCCAAGTCCCCAAGGCCACCTACTGGCAGAACTAAAGGTCTAAAGGTCCTGCCAGGAGGTGGCCTTGGGGACTTGGGACGAAGATGTCACGGGGCAAAGACAATGCTGCTTTTCCTTCTTCCAACCACACTGAATCCCAGGCCACCCAGCTGACGCCTTGCAGAGGGTACACTGGTTACGCTAAAGAAGAGAGTGTCTGGCACCTGGCAAGGATGGAATCAGGTGAGGGGACGGGCCTGGGTCCCGCATCCTTATCTCAGGACCATGACAACTGACTGTTGGACAGATGTGGGGTGGTGGGGCTGCCTTCTGGGCTGAAAAGACCCTGGCCCAAATGGTTCTGGCAGAAAAACACATGTAGGAGAGGCCCTCTTGACCCTGCTGGGCCTCTGGAGGCTGCCTGGGCTTGGGTACTGACTTGGCCATATCAAAGCTGTGTGAGCATGGATCAGCTGGGTCATTCCTGGGCCCTGTCTCTTAGGGTCCCCTGGGGCTGAGTCTGGCCTACAGGGGAGGGACCGTGAGGAGCCTGGGGAAGGAGGGGCCGATGGTTCAGGCGGTGGAGCAGCGTGTACAGAGACAGAGAGGCAGGGCCCACGAGGAGAGGAGGCTGCAGATGTGGGTGGGTGCTGGCTACTGGGGGCCTTGGGGCCAGCTGAGAATTGGGCTCTGCTCCTCCGGTGATGGTGGACGGTTTGAGGGGGTGGGATATGGCTGGGACAACGGTCCAGAAAGATCTGACCTGGTGGCTGGGCTGGGGTGAAGACCTTTTTTTTTTTTTTTTTGAGACAGAGTCTTGCTCTGTTGCCCAGGTTAGGGTGCAGTGGCGCGATCTCGACTCACTGCAACCTTCGCCTCCCAGGTTCAAGTGATTCTCCTGCCTCAGCCTCCCGAGTAGCTGGGATTACAGGTGCCCACTACTGTGCCCAGATAATTTTTGTATTTTTAGTAGTGATGAGGTTTCACCATCTTGGCCAGGCTGGTCTCAAACTCCTGACCTCGTTATCCACCTGCCTCGGCCTCCCAAAGTGCTGGGATTACAGGTGTGAGCCACCCCGCCTGGCCCTGAAGACCTCTTGAGCAGTGAGGGGTGGTGGGGGACATGGAGGGTTTTGGGGCCTGGTGGGGGAGCCACTCACCGCTGCAGAGCAGGGCCTTGTCCATGAGCCAGATATAGGAGAGGCACTGCTCGCACGACTGCGGGATGCTAACCTGGTAGCTGGCGAACACGTGCCCGTTGTGCTCCTGGACCTGTGAGGCCAGAGGAAGGCGCTGGGCAGGGAAAGGGGAAGGCAGCCCTCCCCAGCCACTGGTGGATGACGACCCATGGGATCTCAGGGGTGACTTATTCAAGACTACGGCTCCGTATATGCCGGGGGAAAAACACACTCACACGTGTCCACGCACACATACGCGTGCAGACGGGCCCATGCGCACATTGACACTGACACACACGTGCATGCTCCTGCCAATGTTCGCCTGCTCGGACTCTCATCTATGTGCAGCCTACTCACAGCACGCTCCTGCTTCCGCTTCTTCTTCTGAGCTTTGCTCTGCTGTGAGGAACACAAGGAGGAGGTTGGCGGGGGCCCCCCTGGGAAGAGCCCCAACCCACCCCTGGCACCCCATAACTCAGGCGTGTGGGTACCCTGAACCCTCCCTCACCTGGAGTGGCATCATTGTCCCTAACGCCCCCATTCAGACACCCCAGACCCAGAAGTGAGGCTCTGTTGGGGAGGGTGCAGGGCTCCCCACCAGGAGGTAGGTGTGGCACAAATGGGCACGGCATGGTATAGGTGGGCATGGCATGTAATCATGGCAAGGGATGGGTAGGCATAGCATGTTGCATGTCATAGGCGTGGCATGGCATGGGTGGGTGTGGCATGTCAGGTGGGTGTGGCATAAGTGATCATGGTGAGGCACAGGTAAGCATGGCATAAGTGGATCAAGTCATGGCACAGTGGCTGTGGTATGGGCAGGGCATGGGTGGGTGTGGCATAAGCATGGTGAGGCATGGGTGGGCGTGGCTAAGGATGGCGAGGCATGGGTAGGCGTGGCATGTCACAGGTGGGCGTGGCATGCTGGGCTGCCCACCTTCACTGGCTCGAAGTCGTTCTTGGTGTAGCCACGGGTGAACTCATCTAGCAGTGACTGGAAGAGGTTGAGGACCAGGTTGGTGTCCTTCTGGCCACGCTCAGTGGCCAGGTTGCTGACGACGATCTGGTAGTTCTCCATCAGATCCTTGTAGCCCACGTGGATCTTCCCGTTCTGTAGGAATGCTAGGCGTCACCCTGCAGGCCTGGGCAAGGGGCGGATGGGAATGACGGGTCTGAGCAGGGTATGGGAAAGGCTGAAGGCCGGGCCGCCACATACCGGGACAGAGTACATCGTTTTGATGTTGCTCCTGAACTTCTCGGTGGCTTCGATAAACAAGCTCTCAATGGGCGTCTTCTGGGAACGGAGGTCATTTATCTGGAAGGGGAGAGGAACTGACCCTGCGTGCCTCAGGCCTGGGGACCTGCGTACCCGAGGAGGTGCCCAAGGGGTCACTTCTATCCTCTCTTAAGTCATCCCCTAGGCTCTCGGGATAAAATCCAGTCCCTCTGGCCAAGCCTGGTCTCTCATCTTGTCAACCCAGAGTTAAAGCCACTGACATTGAGGGCAGGACTACTCTCCACATTGGGGCCTGCCCTGTGTACCACAGCAGGTTAAGCAGCATCCCTGGCCTCCACCCACCAGATGCCAACAGCGCCCTCCCCTGAGGCTGTGATAACCCCAATGTCCCCAGACATTGCCAGTGTTCCCTGGCGGACAGAATCCCCCCTAGATGAGAGCTACAGGTCAGTTCAGGCCCTTCCTGCTGCCCCACACAGGGGCTCAACACCCAGCCATACCTTAGGATGGGGATGCCTGGAATGGCCTGGTAATTTCAAGATGCCTCTACTCCTAGCAGGGTTTCCTGATCCTTCTGTGTCCCCATCGGCCCCCTGTGCCCGCTGTGCAGCTCCCAAATGTAGCTCTATCTGCTGCAGGATTGCCCACCCCCCACCCCCACGGGGTATAACCCTCCTGAGGGCAGCCACAGCTTGTTCGCCTCCACTTCTGTTGCACACAGTGCTTCATCAATCTTTGCTTTGAGACCAAATATGCATTATTATTTTTTTTGAGCCAGGGTCTTGCTCTGTCACCCAGGCTGGAGTGCAGTGCTGCGATCGTGGCTTGTGGTGCCTCGACCTCTTGGGCTCAAGCGATCTTCCTGCCTCAGCCCCCAGGAGCTGGGACTACAGGTGTGCACCACCACTCCAGCTAATATTTAAACCTTTTGTAGAGATGGGGTCTCTCTGTTGCCCAGGCTGGTTTTGAACTGCTGGGCCCAAGTGATTCTCCTGTCTCAGCCTCCCAGAGTGCTGGGATGACAAACATGAACCACTGTCCCCGGCCTGAGCCTGGACTTTGTATTCTTGACCTGCTAAACCCTGTGTTGTGTGTTTCAGAAAACAATGCCTGGCTGTGATGGTTCCCCTGGGGACCGGGCCTCATGCCCCTGGCCCTCGCCTAGTGATCCCACCTTGTTGAGCAGGAACTCGTCCAGGTACTTGAGCTCATTGGCGTTGGTGATCTGGCGGAACACCGATTCCCGCCACTTCTCTGACACTGTGATCTTCCCAATCTTGACATTTCGGTTCTTCTTCCCTTTGCCTCCTGGTTCCTTGGTGCGCTTCTCACCTGCAGCGTGGCGATGCTGCTGTCCGGAGGGGGCTGAGGGGGGACAGGAAGCAGCCGGTGAGGGTGGGTTCAGGGGGAGGATGCAGGGGACCTCCTATGGCACGCCTTTATCCAGGGCCAGAAACCCCTGGCTCTGTGCCTAGGGCTTGGCCCACAGCCAACTCAAGGCCCCGTTTGGGGACAGTGAATGTCCCCAGGGGCACTGGTGGCTCTACTGTCTGTCCCTGAGGCTGCAGGCTACCAACCTTCCAGGCCCTTCTTCATGGTGGTGGCTTCCAGCACCACGTGCCCGGACACTGCATTCTCCAGCTCCTCTGCGCCCTCCAGGCTGTATTTTTTATCCTTGGTTTTATGCAGAAAAAGCCTCTTAAACGTGGATCTGCAGGAGAAAGTACGTGGCTTCTTTTAAGTCTGAAATGAAAATGGACGTGAGGCCCAGCCTCCCTGTGACTGGACACATGGCAAATGCTCTATCAATGCCTGACTCAAAAAAGGATCTGGCCTGGCATGGTGGCTTATGCCTGTAATCCCAGCACTTTGGGAGATCCAGGCGGGTGGATCATCTGAGGTCAGGAGTTTGAGACCAGCCTGGCCAACATGGCAAAACCCTGTCTCTATTACAAATACAAAAAAATAGCAGGGCGTGATGGTGGGTTCCTGTAGTCCCAGCTACTTGGGAGGTTGAGGCAGGAGAATTGCTTGAACCCAGGAGGTGGAGGTTGCAGGTTGCAGTGAGCTGAGATCGCACCATTGCACTCCAGCCTGGGTGACAGAGTGAGACTCTGTCTCAAAAAAAAAAACAAAAAACAAAAACAAAAATGGATCTGGCTGGGTATGGTGGCTCACGCCTATGTAATCTCAGCACTTTGGCAGGCTGAGGTGGGTGGATCAGCTGAGCCCAGGAGTTTGAGACCAGGCTGGGCAACATAGCGAAACCCCTTCTGTACCAAAAATACAAAAAAAAAAAAAAAGAAAAAAAAAGAAAAAAAAATTAGCTGGGCATGGTGGTGCACACCTGTACTCCCAGCTACTTGGGAGGCTGAGGCAGGAGAATCGCTTGAGCCTGAGAGGTGGAGGCTGCAGTGAGCGGAGATTGAGCCATTGCACTCCAGACTGCCAGACTGGGCAACAGAGCAAGATTCTGTCTCAAAAAAAAAACAAACAAAAAAACAACACAGGATTATCTTATAAAGAGCAATAGCCCTTTCTTTGTACTGGCAGGGGAGTTATGTGAAGAAAGAAGGATACCAAACAGAAGCCACAGGGGGACTCCATTTTCTTTTCTTTTTGTTCCAGTTGGGGTGTGACTCAGTCTGGAGTGCAGTGGTGTGATCATAGCTCGCTACAGCCTCAAACTCCTGGCCTCACGAGCATGATCCTCTCACCTCAGCCTCCTGAGTTGTTGGGATTATAGGTACAAGCCATGCGCCTAGCTCATTATCTTTTTAAGTTAAAAAAAAAGTTTTTTTGAGACAGAGTGTCATTCTCTTGCCCAGGCTGGAGTGCAGTGGTATGATCACAGTTCACTGCAGGCTTGATCTCTTGGCCTCAAGGGATCCTCCTGTTTCAGCCTCCTGAGTAGCTGGGACTACAGGCATGCACCGCCCTGCCTGGCTAATTTTTGAAATTTTTTTGCAGAGACAAGATTTTGCCACGCTGCCCAGGCTGATCTTGAACTCCTGGCTTCAAGTGATCATCCCACCTTGGCCTCCCAAAGTGTTGAGATTACAGGCGTGACCTACTGCATCCATTCAGCCACGTGTCCTTTTAAGGGACAGAAGACAGAAGACACAGACACTGAGGGGAAGGCCAAGTGCCGATAGAGACAGAGATTAGAGTGATGGAGCCACAAGCCAAGGAACACCTGGAGCCCCCAAAAGCCAGAAGAGGCAGGAAGGATCCTGCCCTAGAGGCTTTTTTTTTTTTTTTTTTTTTTTGAGACGGAGTCTCCCTCTGTCACCCAGGCTGGAGTGCAGTGGCATGATCTCAGCTCACTGCAACCTCCACCTCCCGAGTTCAAGCGATTCTCCTGCCTCAGCCTCCCGAGTGGCTGGGATTATAGGTGCCTGCCATCATGCCCAACTAATTTTTGTATTTTTAGTAGAGATGGGGTTTCACCATGTTGGCCTGGTTGGTCTCCAACTCCTGACCTCAAGTGATCCACCCGTCTCGGCATCCCAAAGTGCTGGGATTATAGGCGTGAGCCACTGCCTGGCCTCCCCATTCAGTTTCTACTGAGCAAATGCCTTTGCGAACGTGCTTTGTAAACGTGATTGGTTTAGGAGGCCACACTGCTGCGAGGCCCTGGCAGGGACCCCGGGCATCCTCTGGTGGCCTGAGTTTCCCCCAAGCCCAATACTTACTTAGAGTCGACCTGAGAGCCCGGGGACAGCCCTGCGTCTGGGAGGGAGGATGCGTCGCCTGGCTTCTTCTTCTGGACAGCTGGCTTTTTCGCACTTCGCTCTCCGTCCGTGGTTTCTGCTGCAGGCTGCAAGACGGTGCAGTGGGGGGCTGCTAAGGAAAGGCTGGCAGTCCTGTGCTAGATGGGGAAGCCCCTGCAGGCATTTACACTCCATCCACCGACCTCACTTCCTGCTTTTTTTTTTTTTGAAACGGAGTCTCACTCTAGTTGCCCAGGCTGGAGTGCAGTGGCCTGGTCTCGCGAGGCTCACTACAACCTCTACCCTGCCACTGCGTTCAAGCGATTCTCTCGCCTCAGCCTCCTGAGTAGCTGGGGTTACAGGCAAGCGCCACCACGCCTGGCTGATTTTTGTATTTTTAGTGGAGACGGGGTTTTGCCGTGTTGTTGTTACCTGAGCCTTGGCCAGGGACGGGAGGAGCTTGGAGACGTCGCTCGTGGAGAAGGAGGTGCGCCTCTCCCTGCGAGATCACAGAAACATGGCTTTTACTGACTAGAGTGAGTCAGTGGCATTTTCTTGTCTTAGTGGTTCTTGGGTTCTCACTTGGGCAGTTCTGCCCCTGCCAGGGGACACTTGGCAATGTCTAGAGACAGTTTTGGTTGTCACCACTTGGGTGGGGGGAAAGGAGTGGGTGGGTACTTCTGGCCTCTGGTGAGTGGAGGGCAGGGATGCTACTCAATACCCTACAGAGAATGGTCTCCACCCCAGAGAGTGAGCCAGCCCCAGATGTTGAGTGTGGAGGGTAGGAAACCTTGCCTTAGCCCAAGAGACCCTGCCTGCCTGCCCATCTATCTATCTATGTATCTATCTATCTATCTATCTATCTATCTATCTATCTATCTATCATCTATCTATCCATCCATCCATCCTTCTACTCATTGACTCATTGTCTCTATCTTCCACCCATCCATCCTCTTTATCTGCCTTCCATCCATCTCTTCATCTGTCATCTCTATCTATCTTTTTTTTTTTTTTAGACGGAGTTTTGCTCTTGTTGCCCAGGCTGGAGTGCAATGGTGTGATCTCGGCTCACTGCAACCTCTGCCTCCCAGGTTCAAGTGATTCTCCTGCCTCAGCCTCCCGAGTAGCTGGGATTAGAGGCATGCGCCAACACATCCAGCTAATTTTTGGTATTTTTAGTAGAGACGGGGTTTCGCCACGTTGGCCAGGATGGTCTCAAACTCCTGACCTCAGGTGATCCACCCGCCTCAGCCTCTCAAAGTGTTGGGATTATAGGTGTGAGCCCCCGAACCCGGCTCTACCTATCTTCTACCCATCCGTCCCTCCATCATCTCTATCTTCCTCCCATCCATAATCTACCTATCATCTATCCATCCCTCCATCCATCAACTCTATGTTCCTTCCATCTCTCCATCTCTATCTTCCAGCCATCCACCCATCCTTCTGTCTGTCCATCCATCCATCCATCCACCCACCCAGCCATCCATCATCTCTACCTATCTTCCATCCCTCCATTCATTGTCTCTACCTACCTATCTTCCTTCCATCCATCTATCGTCGGCATCTATCTTCCTTCTATCCATAATCTCTACTTTTTTTTTTTTTTTGAGACGGAGTCTCATCTCTGTCATCCAGGCTGGAGTGCAGTGACTTGATCTCGGCTCACTGCAACCTCTGCCTCCCAGGTTCAAGCGATTCTCCTGTCTCAGCCTCCCAAGTAGCTGGGATTACAAGCATGCGCCACCACGCCCAGCTAATTTTTGTATTTTTAGTAGAGACAGGGTTTCACTATGTTGGCCAGGCTGGTCTCGAACTCCTCTCAAACTCTTGGCCTCCCAAAATGCTGGGATTACAGGCATGAGCCATCGCGCCCAGCCTAATTTCTACCCATCTTCTATCCATCCATCTCCCCATCATCTGTATCATCCATCCATCCATGCCTCTATCCATCATTACTACCTGTCTTCTATCTATCCATCCCTTCATCCATCATGTGTATCTTCCATCCATCCATCATCTATATCTGTCTTCCATTCATCACCTCTATCATTTTCCATCCATCCATCCCTCCATCATCTCTATCTTCCTTCCATCCATCCTTCCATCATCTCTATCTTCCATCCATCCACCCACCCACCCACCCACCCACACATCCTTCCCTCTCTCTCTCTCTCCCTCCCTCCCTCCATCCATCATCTATCGATAATACTCCTGGCATGTGGTAAGTGGAGGCCAGGGATGCTGCTCAACATCTTATGATACACAGGACAGCCCCCACCGCAGAGAATGATCTGGCCCCCAATACGAGCAGTGGGAGGCTGAGCAGGCCTGCTGCAGGGAAGGCCTGTCTCCTCCCTGATTTCTTTCCTTTGGTCCTGCAGGCCCTCTGGAAGAGGGAGCTGGAGATTCCAAGTCACTGACACTTGGCTTACTAAGGCTCAGGCAGAGCAAGCCCCTGCTCCTTTAACCCCGAGGAGTGCAGTTAGTCCTGTTCACCAATTAGAAACCAAGGCCCAAGATTTCTGGGCAGCAGGGACCTTGACCTGAGGAGCCACCTCTCTCAAGGCCGGGGCCTTTCTGTGTGAGCACAGCTCCTTCTGGGGACCCCTCAAGGCTCCAGGTCCCAGCCTGGGCCCTGGCTGGCTGCCTTGTCTTCACTTGGTCTTTAGCATGTCCTGCTCGTCCTCCTCCCTCAGGCCTCCCGCACACCCACTGGGCATGATTACACATGTGTTTCCAGGATGTGTGGCACTGCCCCTGGCCTTGCCCACCTGGCCTGGACCCTGGTGCTCAGACAAAAGAGGGTGTGGGGCTTACTCTGTGGGCGTGAGGGCGGCCCCTGTGGCCCGGTGTCTGTCGCTGAGGTCCAGGGACTGGCTGAGCATGGCACTAGGGCTGGCGGCGGCCACCAGCTTCTTGCCCCGCCACAGTTCCACGGCGCTGGCCAGCCGCTCGGCGTCCAGGTACCGCTGGATCTGCGTGGAGCCTCCGGGGCTGTCGGGCTTTTCCTGAACCCTTGGGCTGCCACATGGTTTGCTCTTGTCCTCGGGGGTCTCGGGGGCGCTGCCAGGGGCCGGTGGGCTGACCCTGCTGTCCAGGGCCAGGCTGGTCGGCCGCTCCAACTGGCCAGGCCTGGGGCTCCCACTGGGCAGCGTCTTCTCAGTTTCTTCAGAGACCTTGCCAACTGCCATGGCCTGGGGTTGCTCTGTGGGCTGCTTTTGAGATGTGTTCTCAGCCTCCGTCTCTACGACTAGAAGGGTTTCATCTTCTCTGCTCTCCTTTTTGTCTTCCAGGAGACTCACCCCTTGCTCCTGGGTGACCCTTCTGGAAGGTTCTCTGAGGGCACTCTCCTCCTTGCAGGACTGGATGTGTTTGTTCTGGAACTTGACGTGCTCCAGCCCTCTTTGCCGACGCGACTCACGCTTCTCCCGGCTGCTGGGGACTTTCTCGTGACTTTCAGCCGCCACGGTTTTCTGGGGTGGGAGAGTCTTCTCTGGGCTTGGGGCCTCCTTCTCAGGTGAGGAGTGCTCTAGGGGGGACCTGTCACTTGGCTGCACCTCAGGCTCCGATGCCAGGTGCCCGCCATCCTCCGCTGGCTCC
This sequence comes from Homo sapiens, assembly GCF_000001405.40. Lineage (NCBI taxonomy): Eukaryota > Metazoa > Chordata > Mammalia > Primates > Hominidae > Homo > Homo sapiens. The sequence goes on along the minus strand of NC_000019.10, from coordinate 17,194,690 downwards.
GGCCCCTGCTCAGCTACCTGCTGCCCTCCAGCCGCCTGACCCTGTCCGCCCTCCTCAGCACCTGCTCTTGCGGCTTCCAGGGCTTCCCTCTCCTTCTCTTCTGCCTTCTGCTTCTCCGAGATCATCTGGCTGAAGCTGGAGTGAGGAAAAAGCAGACAGCTGGTTCAGAAACAAACACTCCCTCCACCTCCCACTGAGTTCCGATGGGACCCCCAGCCTGCGGGCTGCAGACGGGGCTTCGCCTGTGCCCAGTGGCCCTGAGAGATGCTTCTGGAAAGCAGGAATCTCCTCGATCAGGAAAGGAGGCTGAGGGTGGTGCCCCCTCAGTGTCACAGATACCCCTGCCCTGCGTCTGCCTGGCTGCCTTGTTAGGGGAGAGGACCCTTGTTGGGGCTGTGGTGGGTGGGTTCTATTAAGAAGCCTCAAACTCCTTTGGGGTCCACTGTGGGCTTTCCCTTGGGTCTTTTTCTAGGAGGCTTTTTGTTTTGCTTTTATTTTATTTTATTTTATTTTATTTTTGAGACAGAGTCTCGCTCTGTTGTCCAGGCTGGAATGCAGTGGCACGATCTTGGCTTGCTGCGACCTCTGCCTCCCGGGTTCAAGTGATTCTTGTGTCTCAGCCTCCCTAGTAACTGAGATTATAGACATGCACCACCAAGCCCGGCAAATTTTTGTATTTTTCGTAAGATGGGGTTTTGCCATGTTGGCTAGGCTGGTCTCCAACTCCTGGCCTCATGTGATCTGCCTGCCTTGGCCTCCCAAAGTGCTGGCCTTACAGGTGTGAGCCACTATGCCCAGCCTGTTTTGCTTTTAGAGACAGTGTCTGGCTCTGTCACTTAGGCTGGAGTGCAGTGGTGTGATCATAGCTCACTGCAGCCTCGACATCCCAGGCCCAGGTGATCCTCCCACCTCAGCTTCCTGAATAGCTGGGACTACAGGTGTGTACCACCACACCTGGCTAAGTCTTTAATTTTGTGTAGAGATGGCATCTTGCTATATTGGCCAGGCTGGTCTTGAACTCCTGTGCTCAAGCGATCTTCCCATCTAGGCCTCCCAAAGTGTTGGGATTACAGGCATGAGCCATTGCACCTGGCCTAGGAGGCTTTTGCATGTGTGGGTAGGGCCTGCTCCGGGAGCTGGGACCTGACTTGTGGCAGAGCTGGGTCTGTGTGGGCAGGGGAGAGGTGAACAGGGTGCCTAGGTCGGGGAGGGGCTGGGCTCGGAGCTGTGGGTGCTGGGACGGGAGCTGCTGATATCCTCCTGGGGGCTTCTCTGTGCCCGGTGGATGCCCCAGCTCCATGTGAGTGTTGGGCTGGTCCAGGCAGCCCCTCCAACCCTGAATCCAGGTGTTCCCTGACCGATCCAGGTACAGGGGAGTCCCTGGGCAGAGAATGGGTGCAGCCAATGGCAAAGCAGGGCTTTGTCCCTGAGTGCTGCCTGCCAGCCTTGGAGCACTTCTCTGCAGCCCATGAGTGCCTAGGCATCTGGTTTCCCACCAGCCTTTCCCTGTGTCCAGAATGACATCCCCTTAGTGCCACAGGCCAGATGGTATATCACGGGCAGCAATTTGGTGAGTGACCTTTTTGGCTTCTGGAATATTCCGAGGAGCGTGGCCCGGCTCTGCTCACCTCTTGCGCTGCAGGTGCCCCCGACACAGGCTCTGCAGGCGGATGATGCTCTGTTTCTGGTGCCGGTAGAGCTTCCGCTGCCAGTAGCCCCTCCATGAGGCCTGGAGGTACACGGCAGCCTGCGTCCTCTCCAGCGCCCTCCGGACCCGGTAGGACCGCCAGCAGGCCTGGATGGTGACGGCGGCCCGCTTCATCTGCAGGAAGTGCCGACGCTCCAGCACCATCCGGAACCAGCTCTGCAGCAGCAGGATTTTCCGCACCACCTCCCGGTGCAGCGTCTCCTGCAGGGCTTGCCGCTCCGTCTCCTTCAGGAAGACCTGGTGGGCACGGGGTCAGGTGGGGTCAGCTGCACTGCCCCTGACACCATCTCTGTGCCTGGGAGGTCTGCATAGCCCACTCCAGAGTGAGACCTAGGCTGGTGTGCTGACCAACCAGGGCTTTATTTATTTATTTATTTATTATTTTTTTGAGATGGAGTCTCACTCTGTCGCCCAGGCTGGAGTGCAGTGGCATGATCTCGGCTCACTGCAACCTCCGCCTACTGGGTTGAAGTGATTCTCCTGCCTCAGCCTCCCGAGTAGCTGGGACTACAGGTGCCCATCACCAGGCCTGGCTAATTTTTGTATTTTTAGTACAGACAGGGTTTCACCATGTTGGCCAGGCTGGTCTCGAACTCCCAACCTCAAGTGATCTGCCCGCCTTGGCCTCCCAAAAATGCTGGGATTACAGGCATGAGCCACTGCACCTGGCTGTGGCCCCCCCTTTTTTTTTTTTTTTTTGAGATGGAGTCTCACCAGGCTGGAGTGCAGTGGCCCGATCTCAGCTCACTGCAACCTCCGCCTCCCGGTTTCAAGCGATTCTTCTGCCTAAGCCTCCCGAGTAGCTGGGACTACAGGTGTGTGCCTGTAATAAAACCCTGTCTCTACTAAAAATACAAAAATTAGTCAGGTGTGGTGGCGGGCACCTGTAATCCCAGCTGCTTGGAGGCTGAGGCAGGAGAACCAGTTGAACCTGGGAGACGGAGGTTGCAGTGAGCTGAGATCACACCACCTGTCTGGGCAACAGAGCAAGACTCTGTCTCAAAAATAAAAACAAAAAAGAAAAAAGAAATGAGATCTCGCTCGGTCACCCAGGCTGAAGTGCAGTGGTGCAATCAGGGCTCACTGCAGTCTCAAACTCCTGCCTCAGCCTGCCAAGCAGTTGAGACCACAGGTGCATGCCACCACGCTTGGCTAATTTTTAAATATTGTATAGAGATGGGGTCTCGCTATGTTTCCCAGGCTGGTCTCAAACTCCTGGGCTCAAGGGATCCTCCCACCTCAGCCTTTCAAGTAGCTGGGACTCTGCGTGCATGCCACCTCGCTTGGCTGGAAGGGAATTTTTTACACCAGGTGAGGCCTTCAGGGGGACTGACCTTGGCGCTTGTTAAACAAGGGTGGCTGAGTAATGCTCCCATAGCAAGAGGCAAACACATGCCCAGAGATGGGAGACAGTCTCTGAAAGGGAGGACAAGTGCAGGCCACCTCCTGCCTCATACCGTAAAGGGGACTGACCATCTCCTAAATCCTGCCAGTTAGCACGATCGTCCCTTTCCTACCTGTGAGGCAGCAATAAACAGGTGACGCGGAGGGAGTCGCTGAGCCCTGCTGAAGAACAGCAGGTGGGGCTCAGCCAGGGCGGCCCCTATCCCTTAGGTGCAGTGCTCTGCTGGGTCCCGAGAAATGCATTTCCTAGACAGAGCCCTGTATGTTTCAGAGAGTGGCCCTGGGGGCCTGGGGAGACACGGTGTGCGGTGGAAGGCAGGGTGTGGGTTTGTAGTGCCCCGAGGGGCAGGAGCGCTGACCTTGGTCTTCCCGATCTGGTAGTTCCTCTTGTCTATCTTCATTTTCTCCAGGAGGGTGGAGATGACCTCCCTGCAGGGCTGGGCATCCTTGGGCAGGAGCACCTGGAACTGCTCGGTGAAATCCTAGGTTATTTGGGTGGAGAAAGGAAAATCTAGGTGAGTGTTCTGGCCAGCGATGAGGAGACAGAGATCTGGTGACCCTGGTTAAGGTGAAGCTGGGTTTGACAGGAATGGTAATGACAAATCTAAAATTTCAGGCTTTCAGAAATAGTCTGGGCCGGGTGTGGTGGCTCACACCTGTACTCCCAGCACTTTGGGAGGCCGAGGTGTGTGGATCACCTGAGGTCAGGAGTTCGAGACCAGCTTGGCCAACATGGTGAAACCCCATCTCTACTTAGCCGGGCATGGTGGCAGACACCTGTAGTCCCAGCTACTTGGGAGGCTGAGGCAGGAGAATCACTTGAACCTGGGAGGCGGAGGTTGCAGTGAGCCAAGATTGCGCCATTGTAATCCAGCCTGGGCGACAGAGAGAGACTCCGTCTTAAGAAAAAAAAAAGAAATAGTCTGTTTTTTTTTTTTTTTGAGACGGGGTCTCACTTTGTTACCCAGGCTGGAGTGCAGTGGTGTGATCTCAGCTCACTGCAGCCTTGACCTCCTGGGCTCAAGTGAGCCTCCTGCCTCAGTCTCCCTGGAAGCTGGGACTACGGCACATAGTCCTGTAGCCACCATGCCCAGCTAATTAAAAAAATATTTTTGTAGGGACAGGGTTTTGCCATGTTGCCAAGGCTGGTATCGAACTCCTGAGCTCAACCAATGAGACCAGCCTGGCCAACATGGCAAAACCCTGTCTCTACCAAAATTAGCCAGGAATGGTGGCAGGCGCCTGTAACCCCATGTACTGGAGAGGCTGAGGAAGGAGAATCACTTGAACCCGGGAGATGGAGGTTGGAGTGAGCCGAGATCACACCACTGTACTCCAGCCTGGGCGACAGAGCAAGGCTCTGCACCACCCCCATCACACACACAAAAAACCAAAGAAATGGGTTCTCAGCTGGGTGCAGTGGTAAATGGGTCACGTGACCCAAAGTGCTAGGATTGCAGGTGTGAGCCACCATGCCAGGTCAACAGTCTGTAATCTTTTTTTTTTTTTTTTTTGAGACGGAGTCTTGTTTTGCCGCCCAGGCTGGGCTGCAGTGGCACAATCTTGGCTCACTGCAAGCTCCTCCTCCCGGGTTCACACCATTCTCCTGCCTCAGCCTCCCGAGTAGCTGGGACTACAGGCACCCGCCACCTCTCCCGGCTAATTTTTAAATTTTTTTTAGTAGAGACGGGGTTTCACCGTGGTAGCCAGGATGGTCTCGATCTCCTGACCTCGTGATCCGCCCGCCTCAGGCTCCCAAAGTGCTGGGATTACAAGCATGAGCCACTGCGCCCAGCCAACAGTCTGTAATCTTAAGAAAGACCACTGCAGATACAAGGTCCTAGATCTTTTAGATGGTCGAGGTGGCTGGGAACCACAGTCACCCTTGCAATGGGGCTTACAGTCTAGGACTTGTGGGGGAGTTAGATTGTAGCTGGAGGAACATGTTTTTTTTTGAGACGGAGTCTTGCCCAGGCTGGAGTGCAGTGGTGCAAACATGGCTTACTGCACCTTCAACCTCCCAGACTCAAGCAATCCTCCTGCCTCAGCCCCGCAAGTAGCTGGAAGTACATTGCATGCCAGCACGCCTGGCTTTTGTATTTTTATGTGGAGACGGGGTTTCACCATGTTGCCTAGACTGATTTTAAGCTCCTGAGCTCAAGCAATCTGCCTGCCTTGCCCTCCCAAAGTGCTAATTACAGGCATGAGCCACCACACTGGGCCTCTAGTTTTGTTTTGTTTTGTTTTGTTTTAAGACAGGGTCTTGCTCTGCCATCCAGGCTGGAATGCAGTGGCTCAGTCATAACTCACTGTAGCCTCAAACTACTTGGGTTCAAGTGATCTTCTCACCTCAGCCTCCTGAGTAGCTGGGACCACAGGTGCATACCACCTTGTCTGGCTAATTTTTTTTTTTTTTTGAGGCAGAGTTTTGCTCTTGTTGGCCAGGCTGCAGTGCAATGGCGTGATCTCGGCTTATTGCAACCTCCATCTCCCGGGTTCAAGCAATTCTCCTGCCTCAGCCTCCCAAGTAGCTGAGGTTACAGGTGTGCCCCACCATGCCTGGCTAATTTTTTTTTTTTTTTTTTGTATTTTTAGTAGAGACGGGGTTTCACCATGTTGGTCAGGCTGGTAACGAACTCCTGATCTCAAGTGATCCACCTGCCTTGGCCTCCCAAAATGCTGGAATTATAGGTGTGAGCCACTGTGCCCAGCTGATTTTTAAATTTTTTGCAGAGATGGGGTCTCACTATGTTGTCCAGGCTGGTCTCAAACTCCTAGGCTCAATTGATCCTCCTGCATTGGCCTCCCAAAGTGTTGGGATTACAGGCGTGTGCCACTACACCCGCCCAGAACATTTCTTTTGAGTAAATTATTATTTCAAATATTTAAGGGCCAAGCACTGGTAAAATACACCAGCATTTCTGCATTTTTTATAATTTTGCTTTTCTTATCCGCATAGGATTAGAAAGACACTATTTCTATTCAGTGGATGAGAAAAGAGGCACATTACATTCTAGTCCCTGGGGCTATGAAGGGAAAGCGTGAAAGGGAACCAGGCGCTGTCACCTCTGGCTTTGGGCTCAGGGTGACACAGGTACTAGCTCTTGGCATGAGGCAGGGGTTTCTTCTTTTTTTTTTTTTTTTTTTTTTGAGATGGAGTCTTGCTCTGTTGCCCAGGCTGGAGTGCAGTGGCTCAATCTTGGCTCACTGCAACCTCTGCCTCCTGGATTCAAGGGATCCTCCTGCCTCAGCCTCCTCAGTAGCTAGGAATACAGGCAGCTGCTGCCACACCCGGCTAATTTTTGTATTTTTAGTAGAGATGGGGTTTCACCATGTTGGTCAGGCTGGTCTTGAACTCTTGACCTCAGGTGATCCGCCTGCCTCAGCCTCCCAAGGTGCTGGGATTACAGGCGTGAGCCACTGCACCTGGCCAACCTGCTGAGTTTACACTCCAGCAAGGAGCTCTCTTTGGAAGAGGGTGATTGCCTTTGCCACGGAACAGGTGTGTCCAGGTATATGTGCTTGTGGCCTACCTGGAACGTGTACTTGGCGCTGTACCCTGACCTCCGGATGCGCACGGTCTCCAGCATGCCGGTGTAGCGCAGCTGCTGCAGGACCAGCTCGTCGTCAAAGCACAGCTCTTTCTGAAATGGGAATGCGAGACATCAGGCAGGTGGCCTTGACCTGACAGGATGCCCAAGTCTGTTGCTGGCTCAGGCCTGGGAACTGTGAGATGAGGGCACTTCCCCATGCGACCACTGCCTCTTGGGATGCCGAACACAGACATGGTCAGGGTGCACACGTGGGTGCTGGCTAGCCGACCTGGGAGTGTTCTACGGCACGGCAGCCAGGAGCACCTGGACAAGGGGTCCGTCCTTGCTCCAGACACTCTTTCTGGAATGAGGCCAAGATGGGAGGATCAGTTGAGGCCAGGAGTTCGAGACCAGCCTGGGCAACATAGTGAGACTCCATCTCTAGTCATTTAAATTTATTTTTTAAAAAAAAAAGAAAGAAAAAAGAAAAGAAAAAAAAAAAGAACCCAAATGCAAATCTGTTCTGGGCTTGTTCTCTGTGGCAGGCACTGGGGTAAGTGCTGGGAATTCGGTGGAGAGGAGAGCTTGGTCTGGGGGCAGGAGCCACACACAGGTGATGGGGCGGACAAAGCCCAGTGTTCCGGGCCTGTTCTCTGCCAGGCACTGGGGTAAGTGCTGGGGATTCGGTGGAGAGGAGAGCTTGGTCTGGGGTCAGGAGTCACACACAGGTGATGGGGCGGACAAAGCCCAGCACCCCATGGGAGGTGTCCCAGGAGAGAGGAGATGCTGGGCTGTGTCCTGAGGAGGGAACAGGCAGAGAACAGCTGGGTGGAGGCCCACAGGAGAAGGAAGAAGCCAAGGGTCTGATGGGGACACAGGGAGATGCTTCCTGCCAGGGGAGAGAAGAGGCTGGAAATGCAGCTGCCTCAGTGGGCTTTAAGCCTGGAGCTTAGGGGTCTGGACTTCACTCTGGTGGGCAGTAAGGGATAAGGCATGGTGTTGCTATAAAGACAAACGGTGCTGGGCGCGGTGGCTTACGCTTGTAATCCCAGCACTTTGGGAGGCTGAAATGGGTGGATCACTTGAAGTCAGGAGTTCAAGACCAGCCTGGCCAACATGGTGAAACCCCGTCTCTACTAAAAATACAAAAATTAGCTTGGCGTGGTGGGCACCTGTAATCCCAGCTATTTGGGAGGGTGAGCCAGGAGGATGGCTTGAACCTGGGAGGTCGAGGCTGCAGTGAGCCGAGATCGCACCACTGTACTCCAGCCTGGGTGACAGAGGGAGATTCTGTCTCAAAAACAAACAAACAAAAACAAACAAAGGCAAACGGGAAAGAATGAGGAGGGTTGTCATGACTGGGGGTGGATGTGGAGGCCAGGGATGCTGCCACCCTCCAGTGCACAAAATGGGTTTTATCACAGAGAATCATCTGCTGGCACAGCCCACGAGCAGAGAAGGTGCACTACGGAGCATCTCCCCAGGTACAGTTGGCGGGAGGTTCCTGCCTGGCTGTGTGCTCACATTTGTCTGGGAGCCCACACTCCTGCTCAGTCCCTGGCAAAGTCCCCGAGCTGTCCTCCCAGGGATGGAGTGGACCTCTGGGGTAAAGGAAGCCTGTGCCAGTGCTGAGCCTGGAGCCCCTGCTGGTGGTCCCACGGGGGCTCCAAGGGTCTCTCTAGAAACTTGTAATGTGAGCAGCGGGCTGTGTGTGCCTCTGAGACTCTGCTATGTAATCTCAGCCTCTGCCTTCTGGTAGACTCCTTGCACCGGCTACTCTTTGGGATGTATCTGAAAAGCACCCCTGACCTGTCGCTCCCTAATCAAACCTTCTCTGGGCCTCTCCATGTTCCAGATGATGTCCCTGCTCTTAAATGGCCACTTGGACCATCCTCACTGCTAATTCTCCATCCCCGGCTGCCTCTGGATGGACTGCTGCACCGTCCCCCATACTGCGTGGAGGCTGGGGCTGGATGCAGGGACACCGACACCCCTAAGAGTCCGGCATGGGCCTTCTCCTCCCAAACACCTTAGAGAAACTCACCTTTTCAGCATTGGAACGGATGCAGCGGATAAAGAAGGGCTCCGCCTTCCCCAGTGCCTCCAAGAGCTTGTTAAGGGATGTCTGTTAAGGGAAAGAGAAAGCATTTGGGTTGAATCAGGGACCCTGACAGCCGCTGTTCTGTGGGAGCAGACCTGGGACACTCTAGCATCAGTGTGGGGTGGATGGGGTCTGCACAGATGTGGGTCCCTGGTGGTGGGACACAGGAGGTTCCAGCTGGACGTTCTGACCCAAGCCTGCGCTATCCCTGGAAACCCTCGAGGGAGTTATGTGGTCCCCATGGTCCCAGGGCCACCAGTGCTTGTTTTTGCCTCAGGTGGAAGGCTGGGGCTGGGGAGGACCAGACAAACGCTTTCTGGAGATTTGAAACATGTGTCAACCTCAGAAGGGACCACGGATGTAGTGTTTTTTTTGTTTTGTTTTGTTTTTTTTTTTTTGAGACGCAGTCTTGCTCTTGTTGCCCAAGCTGGAGTGCAATGGCGTGATCTTGGCTCACTACAGCCTCCGCCTCCCAGGTTCAAGCAATTCTCCTGCCTCAGCCTCCCAAGGAGCTGAGATTACAGGTGCCCACCATGCCCAGCTAATTTTTGTATCTTTTTTTTTTTTTTTTGAGATGGAGTCTTGCTCTGTCGCCCAGGCTGGAGTGCAGTGGCGCCATCTCGGCTCACTGCAAGCTCCGCCTCCCGGGTTCATGCCATTCTCTTGCCTCAGCCTCCCGAGTAGCTGGGACTACAGGCACCCGCCACTACGCCCGGCTAATTTTTGTATTTTTAGTAGAGGTGGGGTTTCACCGTGTTAGCAAGGATGGTCTCAATCTCCTGACCTCGTGATCCGCCCGCCTCGGCCTCCCAAAGTGCTGGGATTACAGGCTTGAGCCACCGCGCCCGGCCAATTTTTGTATTTTTACTAGAGACGGGCTGTGCTCGGTGTCGGGTGAAGCTACACAAGCCTGAGGCTGAGCTGACCGCCACCTTCTGCCTCTCCTGCTCCACCTACCTGGAACTGGGCGCTGATGCTTGGTGGCTTTTTCTTCTTGTGCAGGTGCAGTAGGGACTTGGTGGTGCGGTCGTGCAGAGTCATGCTGATGATGAGTTTCAGGGACTTGGAGTCCAGTAGGTTCTAGGACAGACACATGGGGTCCGGCCTGCCCTCCCACAGCCCACACGGGCACGGGGAGGCATCACAGGTGTCCCCGAAGCCAGGGCAGAACAGCGTCCCCGCAGCGAGTGCCCGGGCAGCAGCTCTTAGGTTTGGTCTCAGGACCACACTATTGATGTGGGCCCAGTGGAATGAGGTGGGTTTGCACCTTGCACACAGCGCTGGTTCCGGGAGGGCTGATGACAGCCTCTTTCACAGCCTGAGTGGCTGCCCCATTTCCTCTTCCTCTGGGTTAGAGAGGAAGCCAGTGCTACTGAACCTGGCCGTCCCTCTCCTCTGCATAGCTCCTACAGTTTACATTACTTGAGTCAAGAAGGGCCAGGTCCTTTCTGTGCCATCCGCATGAGCTCATCGGACAGGCCACCATCATGTGTCAGCCAGTTCTATCAGCTGACAAGAGGAATTAGCCCTCTCCCATCTGCTAACTAGACTGCAAGGCTATTCTTACTCTTCTTGCAAATTTCTTAAATTGCTGCACTTGTATGTGGAAACGAGACAGAGCGCTTGGGAGGTTCTCTGTCCTGTCTGGAAGCAGCCCAGTAGCCAGGGACTGAAGATGGGGGTGTTAAACGGAAGGGTCCCATTACGTTGGGGCAGGATGAGCTCTGTGGTGCTATGAACCCACTAGAGCTCCCCATGGGACCAGGCTGAGGCCAGACTTCAGCTATGCTTACGCCCCTAGCTTCCTCCCTCACCCCTTCTCTCTGCCTTCTCACGTAAGCCCTCTTCCATAAGCCGCTGTGTGTGCAAATACCCCATCTCAGACCCTGCTTCTGGGAAACCCATAAAGAGACAGCTCTAAATCATCTCAACACGAGAACATTTTTTTTTTCTTGGAGGGAGGGGGAGATAGTGGGAAGGAGGAGGAAATGAAGTTGCAGAAGTGAAAGCTCTCAAGACGGGCAGAGAAGCAAGATATCTTGGAACGTGTCGCGCGGGGTGTGTTTTTTTTTTTACCTTTGGAATGATCTGCTTTTGTTTGATACCTTTACTTTTCCTGTCAAAATATTAAAAATGGTTTTGTGAACAAAAGGAACACAGTGTCGGGATTTGGGTTAGTTCAGCAAGCCACGCCTGGCGGGTTAGACTGAGAGACACAGAGAGAGGGGAGAGAGTGAGAAGGCGCAAGTGCAACAAGGCCACCGCCACCTCTCCACGCTGCACACCGTGGCGTGCCTCAGCCACTGTCTGTGGACACCAGTTTCCCTGGGTTGGCGGCACCCGGACTCTGCTGGTGGCTGCCCCAAAGCTGAGTAAAGTGTTTAGTCTGGGGGCCATTCGGATGTCTGAGAAGTAGGAGGGGCTGGCTAGGAATCTACAGGGTGGGACGTGCATCCAGCGGGGCTTGCTATGGAGGAACTGACATATCCCCCAGATCACAGCAGGATGCCGAGTGGGGCGGAGGGAGCCTGAGCAGTCCTGGTGGTGACCAGGTGACCAGGCTGTCTTTGCCATGTGCTGGTAGATGCCAAGCAGGCCCACAGAGGCCCTTCTGGAACCCTCTGCTGGCAGGGCAGGGACTTGCCCTGCAAAATAACCAAAATGGGGCCTGGGTGGGAGCTCCTTTCAGGATCATGCTGGTGGGAAAGAAGAAAACCAAAGCTGGCCAGGCGCAGTGGCTCACGCCTGTAATCCCAGCACTTTGGGAGGCTGAGGTGAGCGGATCACCTGAGGTCAGGAGTTCAAGGCCAGCCTGGCCAACATGGTGAAACCCTGTCTCTACTAAAAATACAAAAATTAGCCAGGTGTGGTGGCGGGTGCCTGTAATCCCAGCTACTCAAGAGACTGAGGCAGGAGAACTGCTTCAACCCAGGAGGCGGAGGTTGCAGTGAGCCGAGATCGTGCCACTGCACTCCAACCTGGGTGACAGAGAGAGACTCTGTCTCAAAACCCCCCCCAAAACCCAAAGCTGCTCTTTTGGCCGAGGTAAGGAAGGGGATAGCTCCTGTGTTCTCAGACACCTTATGGAATCTTGCAGACCAAGGGGGAAAATAAATAAATAAGTAAATATATTTATTTATTCAAAAGGCCTGGTGCCTTTTGAAGACCGGCTAAGGAGATGGTAACTTGTAGATCTGTGAGATGCCTAGCCATCCGTGGTTGCATTCAGTTTCACCTGAATCCCTGTGGGGTAAAATAAGGCACAACAAGGACAAAAGTTTGAGGCCGAGGTGGGCGGATCATTTGAGGTCAGGAGTTCAAGACCAGCCTGGCCAACATGGTGAAACCCCATCTCTACTAAAAACAGAAAAAAATTAGTCGGGTGTGGTGGTGCACACCTGTAATCCCAGCTACTTGGGAGGCTGAGGCAGGAGAATCACTTGAACCCGGGAGGTGGAGGTTGCAGTGAGCCAAGATTGAGCCACTGCACTCCAGCCTGGCGACAGAGTGAGACTCTGCCTCAAAAAAAAAAGGAACAGAAGTTTTAAACAGGCTCCCACTGGGTGCGGTGGCTCATGCCTGTAATCCCAGTGCTTTGAGAGGCTGAGGCAGGAAGATCGCTTGAGCCCAGGAGTTTGAGACCAGCCTGACAGCCTGGGCTATAACATAGCAAGATTCCACCTCTACAAACAATAAAATTAGACAGGTGTGGTAATGCGCACCTGTAGTTCCAGCTACTCTGGAGGTTGAGGCAGGAGGATTGCTTGAGCCCAGAAGGTCGAACCTGCCGTGAGCGGTGATCGTTTCACTGCTGCACTGTAGCCTGGGCAACAGAATGAAACCCCCATCTCTTAAAAAAGAAAAAAAAAAAAAAGGGCGGTGAATCATGCCTGTAATCCCAGCACTTTGGGAGGCCAAGACAGACGGATCACCTGAGGTCAAGAGTTCAAGACTAGCCTGGCCAACATGGTGAAACCCCATCTCTACTAAAAATACAAAAAATTAGCTGGAAGTAGTGGCAGGTGTTAGCAATCCCAGCTACTCAGGAGGCTGAGGTGGGAGAATCGCTTGAACCCGGGAGGCAGAGGTTGCAGTGAGCCGAGATCATACCATTGCACTCCAGCCTGGGCAACAAGAGTGAAACTCCGTCTCAAAAAAAGAACGAAAGAACGAAATAAAGAACGAACGAAAGAAAGAAAGAAAGAAAGAAACTGGCTCTCATTGGCTCCCATGCAGGTGCAAGCTTTGCTCTCAGCCAGCCCACACCCCAATGGCCACTAAAAGGCGAGATGTGGTGACCGCAGGTGGATGTCTTGTCAGCTGAGGCTGCTGCCTGCCTGGTGCTGGGTCAGCATAATGGAAGCATGAGAGTCATTACCCCATTTGCAGGCTGAAAGCAGAGACTACTCAATCCCACAGTGTGCTAACAGTCGGGATCCCAAACCGGTTTATGCACCTTCTGGGCTCTCCTGACTGGCTTATGTGGCCACCTGCAGAGATCAGGGCCACCCTCTCTGGGAAATCGCATGCCCTGCTGCAGATGGCTTCTCTGCAAACTCACAGTGGCAAAGGCGGGAGCAAGCTTTGCTCTGCAAGCCAGATAGGCACGGGGAGGAGACGGAGGATGGCACGTTTGCGGGTGGAAAATTAGATGCCTCGAAGAAGGAGTGCTCCTGGGAAGCTGCCCCGTGTGCTGGGAAGCCGGCTGTGCCTGGGCCACAGTGCAGACAGAGGCCAGGGGTGTTATTGATTGGCATTTAGTGATGGCTGGGGGTGGGCCATGAGACAGCACTGTGGTTTTAGTGGCCGATGCAAATTAGGAAGACTGCAGGCCCCGCCGGGGTCGCAGGAGTAGTGGGAGGCGGTTGTCGCACTTGTAAGCAGGGCCTTGGTGGGGGACTCACAGGATGAAGGCGCGGGGTTTCTGGAGCCGACTGAGGGACTGGAGAAGGCTACGGGGGTCCTCGCCCTGCCAGGGCAATCCTTTGATGCTCTTGATCATTTGGTTATGCAAATCGCTGAGGGGAGGGGTGGAGGGGGCGCAGTGACAGAAAGAAGATGGAGTTAGAAGCAGGCCTGCCACCTCGGGGTTCCCAGCGCCATTGGGACCATCCCCAGGCCACTGAAGCCAAAACATGCAGCTGGGGGAAAGACACTGTGCTCAATGCTGCCCCTCTCTCTTTTGCCAGAAATGGGGACTGGGCCAGCCTCCCCAAGCCCTGGAGCGGGGCAGGGCTTTGAGGCAAATTGGACTTGGCAACACAGATCATTGATCCTTTTCAATACATCATTTCCAGCTGGGTGCGGTGGCTCACACCTGTAATCCCAGCACTTTGAGAGGCCGAGGCGGGTGGATCACCTGAGGTCAGGAGTTCGAGACCAGCCTGGCCAACATGGCGAAACTCATCTCTGCTAAAAATACAAAAAGTTAGCTGGGCATGGTGGAGGGCACCTGTAATCCCAGCTACGTGGGAGGCTGAGGCAGAATTGCTTGAACCCGGGAGGCAGAGGTTGCAGTGAGCTGAGATAGTGCCATCCATTGCACTCCAGCCTGGGAGACAGAGCGAGACTCTGTCTCAAAAAAAAAAAAAAAAAAAAAAAAATTATTTCCATCTGGTCATTCCACTTTATTCGATCCTTTTCATTTGGATCACTGAAAAAGTTCTCATATTTAAGAGCCTTTGGGGATATTTATTTATTTATTTATTTATTGAGACGGAGTCTCACTCTGTCGCCCAGGCTGGAGTACAATGGCGCAATCTCAGCTCACTGCAACCTCTGCCTCCTGGGTTCAAGCAATTCTCCTGCCTCAGCCTCCTAAATAGCTAGGATTACAGGCGTGCACCACCATGCCCGGCTAATTTTTGTATTTTTAGTAGAGATGGGGTTTCATCATGTTGGTCAGGGAGGTCTTGAACTCCTGACCTTGTGATCGGCCCACCTCAGCCTTCCAAAGTGCTGGGATTACAGGTGTGAGCCACCGCGCCTGGCTGGGGATATTTATTTAGTTTTAAATTTATTTTTATTTTTATTTTATTTTTTTTTGGAAACAGTGTCTTGCTCTGTTGCCCAGGCTGGAGTGCAGTGGTGCGATCTCAGCTCACTGCAACCTCCACTTTCCAGGTTCAAGCGATTCTCCTGCCTCAGCCTCCTGAGTAGCTGGGATTACAGACATGCATCACCCTGCTCAGCCTATTTATTTTTTAAATTCCATGACAGGCTGGGCGCGGTGGCTCATGCCTGTAATCCCAGCACTTTCGGAGGCTGAGCAGGGCAGATCACCTGAGGTAGGGAGTTCAAGACCAGCCTGGCCAACATGGTGAAACCCCGTCTCTACTAAACACACAAAAATTAGCTGGGCATGGTGGCGCATGCCTGTAGTCCCAGTCACTCCGGAGGCTGAGGCACGACAATCGCTTGAACCTGGGAGGCAGAGGTTGTAGTGAGCCGAGATCGCACCACTGCACTCCAGCCTGGGCAACAGAGTGAGACTCTGTCTAAAAAAAAAAAAAAAAAAAAAAAAATCAGTTGGGGCGACTCAGAAAAAAGACCCTAGGGAGGGTCTCTGTGGGAGGAGCAAATTAGTCTCTCTCCATGATTTTGTGGCCAGATGTCAATCTCCTTGTTGGCTTCATTAAGGCCTTTGGAGGAATTAATTTGAATACAAGAGCCACAGTTTGAACACAGCAGTTCTCAACCGGGGCGGTACCATCCCCATCAGGGGACATCTGCCAATGTCTGCAGACATTTGTGGTTGCCATGACTTGGGGGTGGGGGTGCTCTCCTGGCATCTGGTGGGTGGAGGCCAGGGATGCTGCTCAACACCCTACAGTCTACAGGACGGGTGCCCACCCCAGAGAATGATCTGGCACAGTGCTGAGGTTGAGAAACCCTAGTTTTTTTTTTTTTTTTTTTTTACAGAGTCTTGCTCTGTTGCCCAGGCTGGAGTGCAGTGGTGTGATCTCGGCTCACTGCAAACCCCGCCTCCCAGGTTCAAGTGATTCTCCTGCCTCAGCCTCCCCAGTAGCTAGGATTACAGGTGCACACCACGCCTGGCTAATTTTTGTATTTTTAGTAGACACAGGGTTTCACCATGTTGGCCAGGCTGGTCTTGAATTCCCATCCTCAAGTGACCTGCCCACGTATGCCTCCCCCAAGTGCTGGGATTACAGGGGTGAGCCACTGCGCCCGGCCAGAGAAACCCTAGTTTAAGGGGATAATTACCCTCAAAGCACTCAACCTTACTCGCTTCATTTTGTTTGATGGCTGTGGGCTTAGGCTTGAGCACGCACGCGGAGGTGCAAACTTTGGCACTGATACCGTGTGTGAATTAGAATGCCTTAGAGATGAAAACTGGATGCTTTCAAACTAAATATTAGTGAGGAATGTCTAAATGACAAATGTTTTTGACAGAACTCAGAACTTCTAGAAATGAGGATCTGGTTTTTCCTGCTTTTTTTTTTTTTTTGAATTCCTTATTCCAGACATTTTATTTATTTTTTCTTGTAGGCGTGTGGTCTTGCTATGTTGCCCAGGCTGGTTTCAAACTCCTGGCCTCAAGTGATCCTCCGGCTTTGGCCTCCCAAAGCGCTGGGATTGCAGGTGCGTGCTACCGCATCCTGCTGGCAGTCGTTCAAAGCACATGTTTTAGCTCTCGGCAGGTGGCCTGGAAGGACCCGACCCCAGCCCCTGTGCTCCATGCACCATGCCAAGTGCCCCCATGGCCCCACTTACCTGCTCTCCCCAGCCCTCCAGGGAGGCAGAGCAAAGGCAACAGAGGGGTCGCCTGTCACCTCTATATGCGAGTGGCCTTCACACCCAGGGTGGTCAGTGCAGCGGCCACGGCTTGGAATGAGGCCCATGACTTTGGCCCACCCGCAGCCCTGCCGACCTGGCTAAATCTGCAAATCTGGCAGGAGTGGCCCTTGCAGGCCCTGGCATTCCCTGAACGGCCAGTCCTCTCTGTCTGTGTCCTGGACGCAGCACTGAGCACCTGGGGAAGATGGCTCCCCTTGGTGCCTTGCTGGCCTCGGGATCAAAGGCCCTTTCTGCACTTACTTCTTGCTTTCATAGAAAGCAATGATGTCCTCAAAAGCGTTAATATCGAACTCCTCAGAGCCGTCAAATGAGAAATCTAGCATTGAGCAGCTGAAAGGGAGAATCTGTATAAACTTAACATGCTCCTTGGGCGGGACCTGCAGCCCTGTGGCCAGGCCCTGGGGAGATGGATGCTGCTTCTGCTACCGCAGGTCAGAAGTCACTTTGTCTTTGGGGTAACGGAGGCAAGAAAAAAAAAAAAGAGGACTGGGTGTGGTGGCTCATGCCTGTAGTCCCATCACTTTGGGAGGCTGAGGTGGGAAGATGGCTTGAGGCCAGGAGTTTGAGATTAGCCTGGGCAACATAATCAGACCCTGTCTTTATAAAAGAAAAAATAAGCCAGGCGTGGTGGCGTGTGCCTGTTGTCCCAGCTACTTGGGAGGCTGAGGTGGGGGGATTGCTTGAGCCCAGGAGGTTGAGGCTGCAGTGAGCTGTGATTACACCACTGCACAATAGCCTGGTCTCAAGCAAAACAAAACAAAACAAAAATGCAACCCACACAATGAAATAGAAGGAAGTTTCTAGCTGTTGGGAACTTGGGGGACCAAAAAAAAAAAAAAACCAACAAACAAAAACAACAGAGGAATGCATTCTCCTTACTTGTGTCCCATTTTGGGTGAAAAAGGTGATTCCAAAAACTTTTTTTTGAGACAGAGTCTTGCTCTGTCACCCAGGCTGGAGTGCAGTGGTGCGATCTTGGCTCACCGCAACTTCCATCTCCCAGGTTCAAGCAATTCTCCTGCCTCAGCCTCTCGAGTAGCTGGGACTACAGGTACTCGCCACCACGCCTGGCTAATTTTAGTATTTTTAGTAGAGACGAGGTTTCACCATGTTGGCCAGGCGGGTCTCAAACGCCCGACCTCAAGTGATCCGCCCGCCTTGGTCTCCCAAAGTGCTGGGATTACAGGCGTGCACCATCACGTCTGGCCAGCCTGCTCACTTTTCTACCCTGGTGCTGGCACATGCTTGGGTGCGTGCAGGGCCCTTGGTCATTGCTAGGGTCCACAAAAGACCCCGTGTCATCTCATGTGCAATATCAAAGTGTATGTGTTTCTGACTGTGAATGAAGTAACTTGGCAGAACTACTTTTGGGCCACTCCAGGCAGGATGGGGGAAGAACTCTCCAATCAATCAAGCCCGTCTCTCCGCACCACCATCGATGCTTGGGCTCTACCTCCCAGTGCCCACCCTAGGCCATAAAATGGATCCTTTGTAAACTGAGCCTCCTCCCATCTCCCTAAAGCGCATGATGCACCACGGCCTGCTATTCTGTGTCCAGAAAAGCAGCCACCAAATGCTGCTTGGTTCTGGGTCTTTCTGTTTCAAATGGAAGCTCAGTGACTTATTCAGAGCAACCTCGACCTGGGTTTAGAATGTAGCATTCCCTGGTGGCTCACGCCTGTAATCCCAGCACTTTGGGAGGCTGAGGCAGGTGGATCACCCAAGGTCAGGAGTTCAAGACCAGCCTGACTAACATGGAGTAACTCCGTCTCTACTAAAAATACAAAATTAGGCAGGGTGCAGTGGCTCACGCCTGTAATCCCAGCACTTTGGGAGGCTGAGGCGGGTGGATCACGAGGTCAGGAGATCAAGACCATCCTGGCCAACACGGTGAAACCCCGTCTCTAGTTAAAAAAAAATACAAAAGAAATTAGCCGGGTGTGGTGGCGGGTGCCTGTAGTCCCAGCTACTCCGGAGGCTGAGAAAGGAGAATGGCATGAACCTGCGAGGCGGAGCCTGCAGTGAGCCGAGATCACGCCACTGCACTCCAGCCTGGGCAACAGAGCAAGACTCTGTCTAAAAACAAACAAACAAACAAAAACCAACAAAAAACAAAACAAAACAAAATTAGCTGGGCATCGTGGCGCATGCCTGTAATCCCAGCTACTCGGGAGGCTGAGGCAGGAGAATCGCTTGAACCCGGGAGGTGGAAGTTGGGGTGAGCCGAGATTGCGCCATTGCACTCCAGCCTGGGCAACAAGAGCGAAATTCCATCTCAAAAGAAAAAAAAAAAAAAAAAAAAGAATGTAGCATTCCCTAAGTTGTTTGAAACAATGCTGCTGCCACCTAATGATTTCAGTTTGGGCAAATCAGGGTCTTGCTCACCGGTAAAGTTTTTCCGAAGGGGTGCTGGCTCCTCTTGGCAGCTCTTCTGGGTGACTTTGGGCACCAGGGCTGCTCATACCTGCCGGAGACACAGAGTGGATGGTGGTGGGGATGGCCTCCTATGGAGGCTGCAATTATTTTAACCCATTTTATTTATTTATTTGAGATGGAGTCTTGCTCTGTCACCCAGGCTGGAGCACAGTGGCGCGATCTCGGCCCACTGCAACTTCTGCCTCCTGAGTTCAAGGGATTCTCCTGCCTCCGCCTCCTGAGTAGCTAGGACTACAGGCCACTGTGCCCAGCTAATTTTTGTATTTTTAGTAGAGACGGGGTTTTGCCATATTGGCCAGGCTGGTCTTGAACTCCTGACCTCAGGTGATCTGCCCACCTTGGCCTCCCAAAATCCTGGGATTATAGGCATGAGTCTCTGCAACACCCCCCAACCTTTTTTTTTTTTTTTTTAATTTTTTACCAACAGGGTCTTGCTGCATTGCCTAGGCCGAGTGCAGTGGTGCGATCACAGCTCGTGTAACCTCCAACTCCTGGGCTCAAGCAATCCTCCTACTTCAGCCTCCCAAGTAGCTGGGGCTACAGGCACATGCTGACACACATGACTAAGTTTCAACTTTTCTGGAGAGATGGGGTCTCACTATGTGGCCCAGGCTGGTCTCAAATAGCTGGCCTCAAGAGAGCTGTCTTGGCCTCCTAAAGTGCTAGGACTACCGGTGTGCACCATTGTACCCAGACACTTTGACCCATCTTTTAATTAATTAATTAATTAATTTATTATTTATTTATTTATTTTTTTGAGACAGAGTCTTGCACTGTCGCCTGGGCTGGAGTGCAGTGGCGCGATCTTGGCTCACTGCAACCTCTGCCTCCCCGGTTTAAGTGATTCTCCTGCCTCGGCCTCCTGAGTAGCTGGGACTATAGGTGCCTGCCACTGCACCTGGCTAATTTTTTGTATTTTTACTAGAGACGGGGTTTCACTATGTTGGCCAGGCTGGTCTCAACCGCCTGACCTCGTGGTCCACCCACCTCGGTCTCCCGAAGTGTTGGGATTACAGACGTGAGCCACCGTGTCCGGCCTATTTATTTATTTTCTGAGACGGAGTCTTGCTCTGTCATCCAGGCTGAAGTGCACTGGCATGATCTTGGCTCACTGCAACCTCCGCCTCCCGGGTTCAAGCGATTCTCCTACCTCAGCCTCCCTGTGGTAGCTGGGACCACAGGCATGCACTACCATGCCTGGCTAATATTTGCATTTTTAGTAGAGATGGGCTTTCACCATGTTGGTCAGGCTGCTCTTGAACCCGACCTCAAGCGATCGTCTGCGTCAGCCTCCCAAAGTGCTGGGATTTCAGGCTTGAGCCACTGCACCTGGCAGACCGATCTTAAAAAGCAGCTCATTGGCCAGGCGTGGTGGCTCACGCCTGTAATCCCAGCACTCTGGGAGGCCGAGCCAGACGGATCGTGAGGTCAGGAGATCGAGACCATCCTGGCTAACATGGTGAAACCCTATCTCTACTAAAAAATACAAAACAATTAGCCAGGCGTGGTGGCGGGTGCCTGTAGTCGCAGCTACTTAGGAGGCTGAGGCAGGAGAATGGCGTGAACCCGGGAGGCGGGGCCTGCAGTAGCCGAGATCGCGCCACTGCACTCCAGCCTGGGCGACAGAGCAAGACTCCGTCTCAAAAAAAAAAAAAAAAAAAAAAAAAAGCAGCTCATCACTCAAGTTTGGGGCAAAGTTGGGTGGGTAACTGTGAAGTTTTGGATCCCCAAAACAGAGCACTATTTCCTATTTCTCAGGAAAGCTTTATCCTTCCTCCTTTTCATGAAGCCCCTTCCGGAGACAGAAGCCACAGCTGATAACTGAAACTGAAGCTGAGGACGGAAGGTTGGAGCCCTTAGACCTGGGTGAGCCACTCAACCATGCAGGCCTCAGGTTGCCTCTGGGAAAAATGAGGACATAGCTTTCTGCCATCCTTCTATCAGCAACTCTATAGGGCTGGCCCAAGTCTTGAGTGGATCAGGCACACCCCCTGCCTCAAACCATCTCTGTCTAGGACGGGGGAACAGAAATGTCCCTTTGAGGCTGGGTTCCCAGTAGAGAATGCTCAGTTAAGAGAAGAGGCTGGGGCTGGGCATGGTGACTCACACCTGCAATCCCAGCATTTCATGAGTCAGAGGCGGGCGGATCACTTGAGGTCAGGAGTTCGAGACCAGCCTGGCCAACAGGGCGAAACCCCGTCTCTACTAAAAATACAAAAATTAGCCTATGTGGTGGCGGTAACCTGTAGTCCCAGCTACTTGGGAGGGTGAAGCAGGAGAATCGCTTGAACCCAAGAGGCAGAGGTTGCAGTGAGCCGAGATTGCGTCATTACACTAGAGCCTGGGCAAGAGAGAGAGAGAGAGAGACCCTGTCTCTAAAAAAAAAAAAAAAAAAAAAGAGCAAGACAGAGAGAGAGAAACAAGAGGCAAAACACTAGGAAGAGCTACATTATCACAATCAGCAAACTCCCAGGGCCAGTGGGATCAGAGGGCATCATTTGCAAAGGAGACGCCTGATGGAGTTGCTGATAGCATGCCCTGAGGTTAAATTACACACGCAGGTCGAGTTTCTGTTCAGGGTGACAGGAACACTTCAGGTAGACAGGTGGCGTTTGCACAACATAATGAATGTACTAAATGCCACTGAAGTGTTCACTTTAAGATGAACTCAGGATGTGCCCCCCTCTCGACAGTGACGCTTTTGTGGGTTCACGCCCCAGCTCCCACCTGCAGCCTTTTCGGCCCTCTCGGCCCGCAGGCGTCCGGCCTCCCGAAGCACTGCCATGGCCCGGATAGCAGCCCGGAGCACGGCCCAGCGGAACACGGCCACGGGGTCCATGCCGATGAGCTCCCGCACGTAGGAGCTGTCACTGCCCCGCAGCAGGGCCACGATGTCTGGCCGCATGTAGTCCATGTTCTTCTCCCGGAAGTCCTGGTGGGGGATGGATGTGGGCGGTCACTCGGGGATAGTCACTCACCGGCGCCTACCAAAGACCCCGGGCTGGCGCAGGAAGGGCTGACGGTGGGGTGGGGCCCATCCTAAGTGCAAATGGCAGTTCTTGAACTATGGCGCCTTGGACATTGGAGCCGGGGATTCGCGGTGGGTTCTGAGCACCCTGGAACCTCGCCCACAGGAGGATCCTCCCACATGGGCTTCTGGGCTGACTGTGGCTTCCCTCAGGCTTCCACCAGTGGTGATGGGCAGACACCTACCTTGATCTGATATTTCACCTTCCCTGCGAAGTGCTGGATGATGAAAGCTGGCTCCATGACCGGGGTGCCCAGGAAGTACTTATTGTCCTCATGTTGCTGTTTGAACTTGGCCAGCAGGGTCTGGCTCGTGGCGTGGGGGAAGCTGGGAACAGAACATGGAACCTTTGCAGGCATGAACAGCGGCTGATTTACCTGCTGTGTATTTTATCTTGCAGACCCCTGGTGCACGAGGTGGGTGGGTGCATGGGGTGGGCAGAGCAGTGAAGTGGCACAGGGCTCTGTGCACAGAGGGGTGGGTGAAGGAGTGAAGAAAGGAAGGAATGACAGTGCGCCTGCCTGCCTCATGCCGAACATGCTGGCAGAGGGCTGGGACGCTGCTATCTGGGTGTGCCTGCCTGCCTCATGCTGAACACGCTGGTGGAGGGCTGGGACTCTGCTCTCTGCGTCAGCTGGCATAGCTGCAGCCTGGTACAAGGAGGCTGAGGGTGAAGTGACGCTCTCAAGGCTTCAGGATTTTTAAAACAGAAAAATATTTGTTTCTTTGGAGACAGGGTCTCACTCTGTTGCCCAGGCTATAGTGTAGTGGTACGATCACAGCTCACTGTGGCCTTGACCTCCTGGGCTCAAGGGATCTTCCTGCCTCAGCTTCCTGAGTAGCTGGGACTATAGTACAATGTTTTTCTTTTTCTTAAGAGAAGGGGACTTGCTATGTTACCCAGGCTGGTCTTGAACTCCTGGCCTCAAGTGATCCTCCTGCCTCAGCCTCCCAAACGACTAGGATTATAGGCGTGAGCCACCGCGCCCAGCCAGGGCTGCAGAATTAACATTGAGTAGCCCAGTGCCTGAGTCTGGGTGGCTCACTCTCTTCGACCCCACATGGCTGTTTTCTAGGGGGCTTGGAGAGAGGTCGCTGACCAGGCTTGGTGGCGTCTGCAAAGTCTGTCCCCTGGGAGGTCTGGATCTGTTACCCATCGTAGGCAGCTCCTAAGAATAATCCTGGGCCTGGGTGACTTCTGGTCTTGGAGCCATTTGTACCTCAATGCCATACCTTGGACAGGGGGTCCTTCTCCTGCTCCACAGTTGGAAGAAGAGGCTAGGAGAGGAGGATGAAGCAGGGCTCTGTTGTGCTCCGGGGAGGGGGAGATTGTGGGGGCAGAATAAGGGACTCCTTGTACCTGACTGAGTCTGCCTCCCAGGAGGGAAATGATGTTGTTGGTTTGGCAAATGCTGCCTGAGCCCGGCCCCACTTTTGAAAATACAGGCAGCGGAACGCATGCCCAGATCCCAACATCGGGGGCTCCGCGTTAACGGGGCCAAGGAGGGGAGAGTCTATAGCTATGAAACATATCATTTCCAGGACTGTAAAGAGGGTATGGAGTGTAAGGCATCTGCCTTGAGTGTCCCCCAAAACCCTCAGTCATTGAGATAGGTAATATTTTAGCACAGTATTTCAGAAAATCTAAATCAATGTGCAAAAAGAAAAAAAAAATTCCATGATGAGCAAAAATAGCAAGATTTTAAAGAGACTCGAGCCTGCTGGGCCAGGCCTTGCCTCACGGGCTTCCCCTGATCTGACCCTGGGAGTTTCCTGGTTGTGATGACGTAGCTCCTCCTACTGCCGTCTCTACTTTTTTTTTTTTTTTTTTAATTTTTAGAGCTGGGGTCTTGCTCTGTTGCCCAGGCTAGAATGCAATGGTACAATCACAACTCACTGTAGCCTTGACTCTCTGGGCTCAAGTGATCCTCCTGCCTCAGCCTCCTGAGTAGCTGGGACTATAGGTGCATGCCACTGTGCCCAGCTAGTTTTTTTTTTTTTTTTTTTTTTTTTTTGTAGAGATGGGGTCTCACTATGGTGCCCAGGCTGGTCTTTAACTCCTGGTCTCAAATGATCCTCCACCTCGGCCTCCCAAAGTGTTGGAATTACAGGTGGGAGCCACCGCACCTGGCACAAATGCTCTTATCTGAACATTCTCTACCTGGACCCCAGCCTCAGAGGGATGTGTCTGTCTCCCTGACCTGGACAGGGACTAGGTTTGAGGCAGGGGATGTGCCTCATTCATTTGAGTCTCTGGCCAGCCCCTTGGAGATGTCATTGGCAAGGGATGGGTCTGATAGAGCTGCTGATAAGACAATATGTCCATATCTTAACCCCATACCACCAACTTTTGAATGTGACCTTATTTGGAAAATAGGGTCTTTGGAGATGTAATTAGTTAAGATGAGGTCATTAGCGTGGGACCTAGTTCCATATGGATGGTGTCCTTCTAAAAACAGAAGACAGGGTCAGGTGTAATGGCTCACACCTATGGTCCCAGCACTTTGGGAGGTCAAGGTGAGAGGACTGCTTGAGCCCAGGAGTTCAAGACTAGCCTGGGCAATACAGGGAGATTCCATCTCTACAAAAAAAAATTTTTAAGCAGCCTGGCCAACATGGTGAAAAAACCCCATCTCTACTAAAAATACAAAAATTAGCTGGGCATGGTGGCAAGGCACCTGTGATCCCAGCTACTCGGGAGGCTGAGACACGAGAATCGCTTGATCCTGGGAGGTGGGGGTTACAGTGAGCTGAGATGACGCCAATTAACTTGAGCCAAGATGGCGCCACTACCCTCCAGCCTGGGCAACAGAGCAAGAAGAGCCTGTCTCAAAAAAAAAAAAAAAAAAAAAAAAAAAAAGGAGGAGACAGGATTGAGATGAATGATGCAGACACAGAGGGAAGAAGTCCATGTGAAGAGGAAGAGGGAGGCAGGGACTGGAGTGATGTGGCCAAAAGCCAAGGAAAGCTTGGACCCCTAGAAGCTGGAGGAGGCAAGAAAGGGTCCTCCCTTGGAGCCTCTGGAGGCAGCACAGCTCTGCTGACAGTTTGACTTTAGACTTCCAGCTTCCAGAACCATAAGAGAATAGATTACTGTGGTTTTAAGAACTCCACCTCCCGGGTTCAAACAATTCTCCTGCCTCAGCCTCCCAAGTAGCTGGAATTATAGGCACCCGCCACCATGCCTGGCTAATTTTTGCATTTTTAGTAGAGATGGGGTTTTGCCATGTTGGCCAGGCTGGTTAAAAATTTTTTTGTAGAGATGGAATCTTTTTTTTTTTTTTTTTTTTTGAGACAGAGTCTTGGTCTGTCACCCAGGCTGGAGTGCAATGGAGTGATCTCCGCTCACTGCAACCTCCGCCTCCCAGGTTCAAGCAATTTTCCTGCCTCAGCCTCCTGAGTAGCTGGGATTACAGGCGCCTGTCACCATGCCCGGCTAATTTTTGTATTTTCAGTAGAGACGGGGCTTCACCATGTTGGCCAGGCTGGTCTCCAACTCCTGACCTCAGGTGATCCGCCTGCCTCGGCCTCCCAAAGTGCTGGGATTACAGGCGTGAGCCACTGTGCCTGGCCGAGGTGGAATCTTTCTGTGTTGCCCAGGCTGGTCTTGATCTCCTGGGCTCAAGAGCCCACCTGGCTTGTAGCGGTTCCTTAGAGGAGCCACAGGAAAGTAGTTCGGTATGTGTCACGTGATTTCAGTGACTACAACTGGGTGACCCAGAATGAGGTGCCTTATTGACCTGTCTGCCTTCACAGCGCCCTGTGGACTGTGGGGATGAGGGAGGAAGGCTCAGAAGTGAGACCAGAGCCCAGCAGCATCTGGGTCCCAATTCCACACACTGCACTGCCCTTTGTAACAACTCGCCAATCCTGTCTCTTGCTCCATTGCCCAGGCTGGAGTGCAGTGACACGATCACAGCTCCCTGCAGCCTCAACCTCCCAGGCTCAAGTGATCCTCCTGTCTCAGCCTCCTGAGTAGCTGGGGCCACAGGTATGCCCCACCACGTCTGGCCCCAGTGTCTAGTTTCTAGGCATAGGCCCATAATCCTTTGCTGAAAACTCCTGGCGGATGTGCCTCAAGTGCACGAATTAATCACACGTGTTGATGTTTTCACAATGAGGTGTTTGTGCATTTTGCACACACGAGCTTGGGTTTTGTGGTCAAGTGAAATGAACAGACACAAGTTCTCAGCACAAGGTCTGGCGTGGTGGCACACGCCTGTAATCCCAGTACTCTCGGAGGCCAAGGCGGGAGGATCCCTTGAGCTAAGGAGTTCAAGACCAGCCTGGAAAACATGACGAAACCCTGTTGCTACAAAGAAATACAAAAATTAGCCGGGTATGGTGGTGTGACCCTGTAGTCCCAGCTACTCCAGAGGCTCACGTCAGGGGATCACTTGAGCCCAGGAGGTCAAGGCTGCAGTGAGCTTTGATTGCACCACTACACTCCAGCCTGGGTGACAGAGTGAGACCCTGTCTCAAAAATAAAAAGGCGCTCTTGGGAAAGTCTGGATTTGGGGTAAGGCTCTGGGGGCTGCAGAACCTGACCCAGTGCCCATGCGTAGATGTGCCGGGATGGACGGGGTGTGGACACTCACTTGCTCTCCTCGTCCAGCAGGTAGAAGAGGCCCGTGGGTTTCTTGCTGATGAGATGGATGCAGCCGACATTGTCTGTGTAGCCGATGTTGTGCCACGTGATCCCCTCGCCCTGATATTCCTCCTGCAGGGGTGGCGCGGGGTCGGTAAGTTTCTTATCTCCCAGATATGTAATATCTACATAACATATATTGCATACAGGTCGAGTATCCCTAATCCGAAAATCTGAAATGCTTCAAAATAGGAAACTTTTTAAACTGATGCGTGGCTTAAAATTAACTCTAATAGGGCTGGGCACAGTGGCTCACGCCTGTAATCCCAGCACTTTGGGAGGCCAAGGCAGGTGGATCACCTGAGGTCAGGAGTTTGAGACCAGCCTGACCAACATAGCAAAATCCCATCTCTACTAAAGATACAAAATTAGCCAGGCGTGGTTGCACAAGCCTGTAATCCCAGCTACTCAGGAGGCTGAGGCAGGAAAATCGCTTGAACACGGGAAGTGGAGGTTGCAGTGAGCCAAGATTGCGCCATTAGTCCTACTCCAGCCTGGGCAACAAGAGCGAAACTCCGTCACAAAAAAAAAAAAAAAAAAATAGCTCTAATAATACACTTAATTTAACATGATATATCCAAAATGTGATCATGTTAACATGTAACTGACATAAAAAGTAACTGAGAGGCCAAGGTGGTAGGATCGCTTGAGGCCAGGAGTTCAAGACCAGCCTGGACAACATAGCAAGATCCTGTCTGTGCAAAAAATAAAAAGTAAAAAATACTTTACTGAGGCTGGAGGATGGCTTGAGTCCAGGAGTTTGAGACCAGCCCGGGCAATATAGCAAGACTCCATCTCAAAAAAAAAAAAAAAAATCCAAAACTTTTGGACTGCCAATGTTATGTGATGCTCAAAGACAACGCTCATTGAAGCATTTCAGATTTTGGATTTTCAGATTTGGGATGTTCAACCAGTAAGTATAATATAAATATTGAAAAATCTGAAAAAAATCCCAAACCTGAGACACTTCTGCTCCCAAGCAGTTTGGATAAGGGATCCCCACACTGTAGGAACATATTTATGTATCAATAGGCATGTTTACATATAAATGTATCTGCATGTGTGTGTTCTTTGCAGCACTATTCACAATAACAAATAAGTAATCTAAATGCCCACTAATGGATAAAGCAAATGTGGTGCATATACATCAAGGAATACTACCCAGCCATAAAAAAGGAATGAGGTCATGTCCTTTGCAGGAACATGGATGGAGCTGGAGGCCATTACCCTTAGCATACTAATGCAGGAACAGAAAACCAAATATTGCATGTTCTTATTTATAAGAGGGAGCCAAATGATGAGAACACATGGACACATAGAGGGGAACAACACACACTGGGGCCTATTGGAGGGTGGAGGGTGGGAGGAGTGAGCGGATCAGGAAAAATAACTAGTGGGTACTAGGTTTAATACCTGGGTGATGAAATAATCTGTACAACAAACCCCCATGACACAAGTTTACCTATGTAACAAATCTGCACATGTACCCCTGAACTTCAAAGTGAAAAAAAAAAACATAAATATATCAGTAACAAAATGCATATGAGTAAATCAATATGAATACATTAATAGTTACATAAACTTACTAGATAAATGAATGATTGTAAACAGGAAACAAGAATGCACATTCTTAAATACTGATCACAGCATGGCACTTTAAATATCACACAAGGGCTGGGCGTGGTGGCTCACGCCTGTAATCCCAGCACTTTGAGAGGCTGAGGTGGGCAGATCACCTGAAGTTAGGAGTTCAAGACCAACCTGGCCAACATGGTGAAACCCTGTCTCTACTAAAAATACAAAAATTAGCCGGGCCTGGTGGCACACACCTGTGACCCCAGCTACTGGGGAGGCTGGGGCAGGAGAATCACTAGAACCTGGGAGGTGGAGGTTGCAGTGAACCGAGATTGCACCATTGCACTCCGGCCTGAATGACAGGGCAAGACTCTGCCTCAAGAAAAAAAAAAAATCACACTTAAAATCATTTAGAGGTTGGCAAACTTTCTCTGTAATGGGCCAGATAGCACCTTATGAACCAGACAATGTCTGTTGCAACTAACAGTCGTGATGTGAAAACAGCCACAGATGATAATGCAAACCAAAGGCTATGTGCCAATAAAGCTTTATTTATAAAAACAATTTGTGGGACTGGATTTGACCCACAGGCTGTGGTTTGCTGGCCCCTGTTCCAGAGCTATGTTGTCCAACAGGAATCTTCACATTTTCTTTTTTTCTTTTAAGAGACAGGGTCTCACACTGTTGCCTACATTGGAGTGCAGCGGTGCGATCACAGCTCACTGTAGCCTCAAACTCCTGGGCTCGAGTGATCCACCTGCCTCAACCTCCCCAGTAGCTAGGACTACAGGCATGTGCCACTATATGCCTGGTTAATAAAAAAATTTTTTTTCGCAGAAACTCCATCTCAAATTTTTTTTTTTTAGAGACAGGGTCTTACTCTGTTGCCCAGGATGGGGTACAGTGTTGTGATCATAGGTCACTGCAGCCTTGAACTCCTGACCTAAAGCAATCCTCTTACCTTGGCTTCCCAAACCACTGGTATTGTTAGCATGAGCCACCATGCCCAGCCTCAAATTTTCTAATAATCACATGTAAAAAGTAAAAAAAAAGGTGAAATTAATTAATTTTTTTTTTTTTGAGACAGGGTCTCGTCTGTCACCCAGGCTGGAGTACAGTGGCACAACTGTAGCTCATTGCAGCCTCGACCTCTTGGGCTCAAGGGATCCTCCCACCTCAGCCTCCTCAGTAGTTGGGACTACAGATATGTGCCTCTGTGTGGCTCAAAATTAACTTTAATAATACACTTAATTTAACCCTGTGTATCTAAAATGTGATCACGTTAATGTGTAACTGACATAAAAATGACTGAGAGGCCAACGTGGGAGGATCACTTGAGGCCAGGAGTTCAGGACCAGCCTGGGCAACATAGCAAGACCCTGTCTCTACAAAAAATAAAACCAAAAAACTAGCTGGGTGTGGTGGTGTGCAACTACAGTCTCAGCTACTCAGGGGGCTGTGGTGGTAGGATCGCCTAAACCTCAGCGTTTGAGGCTGCAGTAAGGTACTGAGACCGTGTATGTTCTTTTTTCTCATGTGCTAAGTCTTCACAATTTAGTGTGTATGTCACACCCTTCCTGCACAACTTAATTCTGACCAGCTACACTCCCAATGCTTCACTGCCAAAAAGCTTAATAGGAAAATCAGCTGGATATTTACATAAGCCTGTCAGTTTCATTTTCCCATCAGAATCATCAACGTGAAGGAGAAGACATGAATAAGGATGGTTGACTATTTAGCTGCAAAAAGACACATCAGGGCCAGGCGCGGTGGCTCACGCCTATAATCCCAGCACTTTGGAAGGCCAAGGTGGGCTGATTGCCTGAGATCAGGAGTTTGAGACCAGCCTGGCCAGCATGGTGAAACCCTATCTCTACTAAAAATACAAAAAATTAGCTGGGCATGGTGGCATGCACCTGTAGTCCCAGCTACTCGGGAGGCTGAGGCAAGAGAATCGCTTGAACCAGGGAGGCAGAGGTTGCAGTGAGCCGAGATCGTGCCACTGCACTCCAGCCTGGGCAACAGAGCCAGACTCCATCTCAAAAAAAAAAAAAGACACGTCAGATAGGTTATCAATGTCCTTGAGCTAAGCAAATCCTTAAAAGGCAACCCTGTTTCTCAACTAACAAAAAGATTTTCTGTTTGGACACAGAAGCCCCCACATGAACTGTGGCTCAAAACATTCCTGACATTTGCCTCATCCTGGGCTGGGTGGGTTTTCTTAAGTTTTCCTTTTGACTGAGAAAAATTCTGGGGCAAGTTCACCAATGATCTGGGCCTCTAGGGAGATTCCGGTTCTAGCTCATGCTATTTTCCCTTTGGGCTGGGTGTGCAACAACATGATATTTCCTTATAAAATGCTGCAGCTGTTATGGAAAACAGTATGGTGGTTCTTCAAAAAAGTTAAAAACAGAATTACCATACGATCCAGCAAGTCCACTTCTGGGTATATACCCGAAAGAATTGAAAGCAGCGTCTTGAAGAGATATTTGCACACCCATGTTCAAAGAAGCATTATGCACAATAGCCAAAAGCTGGAAGCAACCCAAGTGTCTACTGAAGGATGGATGGATAAGCAAAATGTGGTACATCCAGAAAATGGAATATTACTCAGCCTTGAAAAGGAAGGAAATTCTGACACATGCTACTATGTGGATGAACCATGAGGACTTTATACTATGCGAAATAAGCCAGTCACAAAAAGACAAATAATGTCTAATTTCACTTATATGAGGCACTTAGTCAAAAATGATAGAGACAGAAAATAGAATGGGCCAGGCATGGTGGCTTACACCTGTAATCCCAACACTTTGGGAGACCAAGGTGAGCAGATTGCCTGAGCTCAGGAGTTCGAGACTAGCCTGAGCAACATGGCAAAACCTTGTCTCTACAAAAAATACAAAAATTAGCCAGGCATGGTAGTGTGCACCTGTGGTTCCAGCTACTCGGGAGGCCGAGGAAGGATCACTTGAGCCTAGGAGTTTGAGGCTGCAGTAAGCTATGATTATACCACTCTAGCTGGGTGACAGAGCAAGACCCTGTCTCAAAAAAAAAAAAAAAAAAAAAAGTGGAATGGGGTGAGTTCAGGGCTTGCAAGAGGGGGAATGGGGAGTGAGTGTTTCATGGGGACAGAGTCTCAGTTTGGCAAAATGAAAGAGTTCTGGAGATGTATGGTGGTGGCGTTTGCATAACAATGCGAATATGTGAATGTACTTACCGCCGCTGAACTGAATATTTACAAATGGTTAAGATGGTAAATTTCACGTGATGTCTGATTTACCAAGTTCAAAAAATTGACAAAAAAGCCCTTTCCGCACCTGCTCCAGCTTGAAGATGTGCTGGTTGAAGTAATACTGCAGCTGCTCATTGGCGTAGTTGATGCAGAACTGCTCAAAGCTGTTCCTCTCGAAGTCTTCAAACCCGAAGATGTCCAGGACCCCAATGGACAGGCACTGGGAGAGACAGAGAAAATGGTCACTGCCCGCAGGTGCACCCCGAGGGAGCCAGCCTTCATGAGAGGGGTTGGCTCTACAGGCTGTGACCTGTTAGGTCCCCAGTCCCTGTTGCTCGGCAGAACACTTTGCCATTACCAGCATGGAATCCATAATTTTTTTTTGGAGATGGGGTCTTGCTCTGTTGCCCAGGTTGGAGTGCAGTGGCGCCACCACAGCTCACTGCAGCCTTGACCTCCTGGGCTCAAGCAATCCTTCTGCCTCAGCCTCCTGAGTAGCTGGGACCACAGGTACATGCCAGAATCTGTCGTTTTTGAATAAGGGGCCTTATGTTTTCATTCTGCCCTGGGCCTGTTGAATTTCGTAGCCTGTCCTGTTTCCTGGGCCTGTCCTTGTGGGGAAACAGCCTCTTGATTGCAGATGCCTCGGCTCCGGATGTTCCAGGTCGCCCACCAAGGATATTGGTAGTGAGGATGTGGCCTCCCCTGGCCGGGCTTGAGGAAGCAAATGGGGGCACTCACCGAGACTGCCTCTTCCACGTCCTTCTTGTTGAGGAGTGCGTGGTTGATCCGCAGCACAATCCAGTCGAACAGGGCGCTGTACAGAGACTTGGCCATGGAGTCGCGGGCAGTGATGGCCTGTGGACACAGAGGGGGTGACTCACCTCCGGCACGGCAGGCCCTGCGCTGGAGTCTTGCTCTGTCATCCAGGCTGGAGTGCAGTGGCATGATCTCGGCTCACTGCAACCTCCACCTCCTGGGTTCAAGAGATTCTCCTGTCTCAGCCTCCCAAGTAGCTGAGATTACAGGCAAGCGCCACTATACCTGGCTAATTTTTGTATTTTTACTAGAGATGGAGTTTCACCATGTTGGCCAGGCTGGTCTCAAACTCTGACCTCAGGTGATCTGCCTGCCTTGACCTCCCAAAGTCCTGGGATTACAGGCATAAGCCACTGTGTCTGGCCAAGATGGCCCTTTGTACTTTTTTTTTTTTTTTTTTTGACACAGGGTCTCACTCTGTTATCCAGGCTGAAGTGCACTAGCGCAATCTTGGCTCACTGCAAACTCCACTTCCTGGGCTCAAGCAATCTTCCTGCCTCAGCCTCCTGTGTAGCTGGGGCTATGGCGCACAACACCACACCTGGTTAATTTTTAATATATACATATATTTTTGAGGTGGAGTCTTGTTCTATCGCCCAGGCTGAAGTACAGTGACACAGTCTTGGCTCACTGCAACCTCTCCCTCCTGGGTTCAAGCGATTCTCCAGCCTCAGCCTTCTGAGTAGCTGGGATTACAGGCACGCACCACCATGCCTGGCTAATTTTTGTATTTTTAGTAGAAACGGGGTTTTGCCATGTTGGCCAGGCTGGTCTCGAACTCATGGCCTCAAGCGATCTGCCTGCCTTGGCCTCCCAAAGTGCTGGGATTACAGGCGTGAGCCACCGTGCCTGGCCTTAATTTTTAATTTTATTGTGGAGACGGGGTCTCACTATGTTGCCAAGGCTGGACTCTAACTCCTGGGCTCAAGCAATCCTTCTGCCCTGGCCTCCGTAAGTGTTGGGATTACATGCGTGAGCCACTGCAACCAGCCAAGGTGGTCTCTGTCAACACTCGACTCATCCAACACCCATATTTCACCCTGTCCTGGAGGATGTGCCTGCACACTGAGGCGTTAACAGACCCAGTAGCCTCTGGAACGGCCGCTGAAGCCTTTCCATACGCTCCTCAGAGCAACCAAAATTGCTGCTGAGTGAGGAACCTGGGCTCGGGGAGGGGGTGGGGCGTGCGACTGTGGTAGAACCAGCAAGGAGGGTCTAACTAACTTCAGGCCCCTTGTTCTTCCGGGTGCACCATGTGGCTGTCACCGTGTGCATCAAAGCTCTTTTGTGGCCGGACGTGGTGGCTCACGCCTGTCATCCCAGTACTCTGGGAGCCGAGGCGGGTGGATTGCCCGTCTCTACTAAAGATGCAAAAGGAAAAAAAAAAAAAATCTGGGCACCGTGGCTCACGCCTGTAATCCCAGCATTTTGGGAGGCCGAGGCGGGTGGATCACCTGAGGTCAGGAGTTCAAGACCAGCCTGACCAGCATGGTGAAACCCTGTCTCTACTAAAAATACAAAAGTAGCCGGGCGTGGTGGCACATGCCTGTAATCCCAGCTGCTCAGGAGGCTGAGGCAGGAGAATTGCTTGAACCCTGGAGGCGGAAGTTGCAGTGAGCCGAGATCCTGCCATTGCACTCCAGCCTGGGCAACAGGAGCGAAACTGTCTCAAAAATAAAAATAAATAAATAAATAAATAAAAATGCAAAAAAAATTAGCCAGGCCTAGTGGCGCACACCTGTAATCCCAGCTACTCAGGAGGCTGAGGCATGAAAATCACTTGAACCCAGGAGGCAGAGGTTGCAGTGAGCTGAGATTGTGCCACTACACTCCAGCCTGCGCAACAGTGAGACGCTATCTCAAAAAAAAAAAAAAAAAGAAAAAAAAGAAGCTCTTAAGGTCTAATCTATATGGAATAAATTGGCTTTTTTCCCCACATATTCAGGTCTCAGCTCTGACAGATGTATTCAGCTACAGACAAGATCTAGAATGTGTCCCCCTCGTTTTGCATTTCTTGGGTGTCAAGGAAATGGAGCCACACAGAATGCAGCCCCTGCCTGGTGCCTTTGGCTCTGCATGGAGCCTCTGGGGACACCAGTGCTGCTCGGGTCTTGGGTGATATGCAGCAATATCACGTGGTGCCCTGGACCCATGTGGGCTCAGAATGTCCCCGGTGCCTGTTTGAAATGCCACAGCAGCTTCCCATCGGGTGAGGGGCTAAAAATCCCTGCCGTGATTAGGTACTTTCCTATTGTTAAACAAGCTGCAAGTGATCCTGCTCTTGAGATGTAAAAATGCAAGAGAAATACAGCACAGAGAAAACATCCAGGCTGGGGCAAAGACCAGAGGGAGGCACCTGATCAAGGTTTAGAGTCACAGGCTTGAGACTCACAGGCTGGGAGTTACATAAGGGTAGTCAGTGTCATGTTCCAGAGTCTAGGGATGGGCAAATTCTTTTCTGGAAGGGATGAAGGAGTCATTATTTTTGGCTTTGGGGCCTGATGTTCTCTGTTGCAACTGCTCTGCTTAGCTGCTATGGCTCCAAAGCAGTCTTAAGTGGTATGTAAATGAATGGGTATGGCCATGTGCCAATAAAACTTTATTAGCAAAACCAGGTGGAGGGCTGGATCTGGCCAACCATTGCTAGTGAGAACCAGCATGCACACGGAACATCTGGAAACACAGAGTTGAATGCATGTGGCTCAAGTTCTGGCCTGAGGCCCATGGTTTGCCTCCCAGGCTGGCTTGTGCCACACCTGAGCTTGCATGACAATCAGAGGCACTGCCTAGGTTCCATTCTAGCATTCAGGGACAGAACAGCCCACCCATGCCGGCTCTTTCCAAAGACCATTCCCACTTGGTTTTTGGGATCTGGCACCCTGTGAGTGCCTGGGCAGAGCTCACCTCGCTGAGGCTGTAGGGAAGGATAAGCTTGTCGTTGACGGTCACCGTTTTTCTTTTGGTCAGAACCTCCACCAAGATTTCTCGCTTCACCTGTTTGGAGGTCAAGGAGAGGGAGAAGGAAAAGGGAGATGGAGGACTTATCAGGCATGTCCTGGTATCACTGAGGCAACGCCCGGAGCCTGAGGCAGCTGGGAGACGGACCCCCAGCAGCCAGGCCTAGAAGTGGGACCTGAAGCCCACCCACCCACCCGCGATGTGCTGGTTTTTTGGTTTTTGTTTGTTTGTTTGTTTGAGACAGAGTCTCACTCTATCACCCAGGCTAGAGTGCAGTGGCACAATCCTGGCTCACTGCAACCTCTGCCTCCTGGGTTCAAGCAATTCTCCTGCCTCAGCCTCCCCAGTAATTGGGATTACAGGCACCCGTCACCACACCCAGCTAATTTTTGTATTTTTAATAGAGATGGGGTTTCTCTGTGTTGGCCAGGCTGGTCTCGAACTCCTGACCTTGGGCGATCTGCCTGCCTGGGCCTCCCAAAGTGCTGGGATTATAGGCGTGAGCCGCTGCACCTGGCCTGCGATGTACTGTTTTACACTTGGCAGGTTTCAGAATTCCCACATAGCACGGGCTTGCCGGATGCTCATGCTCCGTGGCCCGGGTATGTGTATGTACAGGCCTTATGTGAGTGCGAGCCACGGGTCCAGGTGGCCGCCTTGCCTATTGGAGCTGGTGGTTCCCATCCATTGCACAGGGCCTGGGCTTAGACCTTACCCAGACAGCCGACACGCTCATCCCTCCCCGCACTGCCAAGCTCCCTTTCAGAGCTGGTGGTCTCTGCCCACCAGCAGCAAGAGTGGGGAATAAGCGGCAGCTTTCTCCTTTTTTTTTTTTTTAGATGGAGTCTTGCTCTGTTGCTCAGGCTGGAGTGCAGTGGCGCAATCTTGGCTCACTGCAACCTCTGCCTCCTGGGTTCAAGTGATTCTCCTGTCTCAGCCTCCCGAATAGCTGGGACTACAGGCACCTGCCACCATGCCCAGTTAATTTTTGTATTTTTAGTAG
Organism: Homo sapiens; assembly: GCF_000001405.40. Lineage (NCBI taxonomy): Eukaryota > Metazoa > Chordata > Mammalia > Primates > Hominidae > Homo > Homo sapiens. The sequence continues at coordinate 17,158,427 of NC_000019.10, read as the reverse complement.
AGATGGGGTTTCTCCATATTGGTCAGGCTTTGGGGCCTGAAGTTCTCGAACTGGTCTCAAACTCCTGACCTCAGACGATCCACCTGCCTCAGCCTCCCAAAGTGCTGGGATTACAGGCGTGAGCCACCGTGCCTGGCTGGCAGGGGCTTTCTCTAAATATCCCAGCAGATGCTCACATATCCCCAAGAACTCAACAGAAGCTGGGGCTCCTGTACCAATAATGGAACGCAAAGCATAAATGGATTAAAAAACAAAAGACTGGGGTAGGGCTCCTCGGCCTCACTGCCATTTGCACTTGGGGTTGGATAATTCTTTGCCATTGGGGGGCTGTCCTGTGCGCTGTGGGGTGTTGGGCAGCATCCATGGCCTCTACCTAGCAGATGCCAGGAGCAACCCAGAGTATGGCAACCAGAAAGTTCTCCAGACATTGCCCAGTGTGTCCTAGGGGCAGAACTGCCCCTGGCTGAGAACCGGTGGAGGAGGAGGGGATGGCAGGTCCAATGAGAAAATGACTTGATCAAACTAGAATTTTTTGTTTTTTAAGAGACAGGGCCTTACTCTGTCACTCACCCAGGCTGGAGTTCAGTGGCATGATCACAGCTCACGGCGGCAATGAACTCCTAGGCTCAAGCAATCTTCCTGCCTTGGCCCCCTGGGTAGCTTGGATTACAGGAGTACACCACCAATACCTGGCTAATTTTTGTATTTTTTGTAGAGATCGACAGACGCTATGCTGTACAGGCTAGTCTGGACCTCCTGGCCTCAAGTGATCCTCCTGCCTCGGTCTCCCGAGTAGCTGAGATTACAGGTATGAGCCACCGCACCCAGCCCCAAGCTGTAGTTTTTTTTTGTTTGTTTTGTTTTGTTTTGAGACAGAGTCTCGCTCTGTCGCCCAGACTGGAGTGCAGTGGCGCAATCTTGGCTCACTGCAGCCTCTGCCTCCCAGGTTCAAGTGATTCTCGTGCCTCTGCCTCCCAAGTTGCTTGGACTATAGGCATGTACCACCACCACTGGCTAATTTCTTTTTGTATTTTTAGTAGAGATGAGGTTTTGCCATGTTAGCCAATCTGATCTCGAACTCCTGACCTCAGGTCATCCGCCCACCTTGGCCTCCCAAAGTACTGGGATTACAGGTGAGACACCGCACCCGGCCCCTGAGCTGTAGTTTTAAAGAGGCTTTCACTTGAGGGTGGGAGGAGGAGGTGCCCCTGTCCACAGAGCTCATCAGAAATGAGGAAGGAACACTGTAGAGATGATAGCGGAAGACGTGAGGTCCTGGTTGATGAAACCTCAGCTGACGTAGGAAGTTCTGGGTATGGTCCCTCGTACTGAGAGATAGCCAGCGGCCCTGAGCCAGGCCTGAGAAGGGACAGAGGTGGCAATCAGTACCTTCAGAAGCTGCGACAGGGTGTCCAGCACCTCGGGTGGCCCGACCTCCAACCCTTCCTCTCGGCCTGTAGCTCTCTTCTTATAAGTGACGTTGCCCAGGTACAGGATGGCCGAGAGGACGGCAAAAATCCTGGGAAAGAAAAGGCACTCATATTTGGGTAGTTTCTACGTTCCTAAGACAGCAGATACTTCCCAGGGAACCGGGCTGAATCCATAAAACCAGCAAATTCTGGTCGGAACGCATGAAATTTGAAAAATGTCTAAGGCCTCTGTTGAGGATGGCCTCTGTGGAATGTGACTTTGCAGACAGTTATCTTTTTCCTGGATTTGATCTGGCTCTGTCGCCTAGGTTGGAGTGCAGTGACACAATCATAGCTCACTGTAACCTCCAACTCCTGGGCTCAAGTGATTCTACAGCCTCAGCCTCCTGAGTAGCTGGTACTACAGGCCACCATATTTGGCTAATTTAAAAACATATTTTTAAAGGGATGGGGTCTTGCTATGTTGCCCAGGCTGGTCTCAAACTCCTGGCCTCAAGTGATCCTCCTGTCTTGGCCTCCTGAATAGCTGGGATTATTGGCACGAGCCACTGCACCTGGCTAGACAGCTATTTTCTTTTTTTTGGAAACAGGGTCTCACTCTGTCACCCAGGCTGGAGTGCAGTGGTGCGATCACGGCTCACTGCAGCCTCAACCTCCCCGGGCTCAGTTGAGCCTCCTATCTCAGCCTCTCAGGTAGCTGGGACTACAGGTTTGTACCACCATGCCTGGCTAGTGAAACTGTCTCACAAAAGAAAAAAGAAGTGTACGGATCCCTCTGACTAGCCCCCAGACCAAGAAATAGAACATTCCAAGTCCTGGATCCTAGAGCCCCCCAACACCAGAGGAACCACTGTCCTGACGTCTAATGCTGTCTGTGAACTTGATGGGATGGTACTTGTGTCTGGCCAGTCACTGGCTATGTTGTCCAGGATGGAGTCCACTGGCTATTCAGAGGTGCCATCTTTTTTTTTTTTTTTTGAGACAGAGTCTTGCTCTGTCACCCAGGCTGGAGTGCAGTGGCGCAATCTCGGCTCACGGCAGCCTCTGCCTTCTGTGTTTAAGTGATTCTCGTGCCTCAGCCTCCTGAGTAGCTGGGATTACAGGCGTGCACCATCATGCATGGCTAATTTTTCATATTTTTAGTAGAGACAGGGTTTCGCCATGTTGCCCAGCCTGGCCTTGAACTCGTGAGCTCAGGCAATCCACCTGCCTTGGCCTCCCAAAGTGCTGGGATTACAGGCGTGAGCCACTGCGCCCGGGCCAGAGGTGCCATCTTAGCTCATTGTAGCTGTGAACTCCTGGGCTTAAGTGATCCTCCCACCTCAGCCTCTCAAGTAGCTGGGACTACAGGTGTGTGCCACCATGCCTGGATAATTTAAAAAAAAATTGATGGGGTCTTGCTATGTTACCCAGGCTGGTCTCCAACTCCTGGTCTCAAGCGATCTTCCTGCCTTGGCCTCCCAAGTAGCTGGGATAACAGGCATGAGCCACCATGCCTGGTTTAAAAAAATTTAAATTGCTGGGCGCGGTGGCTTGTGTTTGTAATTCCAGCATGCTGGGAGGCTTACGCAGGTGGATGGCTTGAGCCCAAGAATTCAAAATTAGCCTGGGCAACATGAGGAAACCCCATCTCTACAAAAAATTGTCCAGGTGTGGTGGCACGCGCCTGTAGTCCCAGCTGCTTGGGAGGCTGAGGTGGGAGGATCACCTGAACCAGGGGAGGTCGAGGCTGCAGTGAGCCATGATCTCGCCACTTCACTCCAGCTTAGGTGAAAGAGCGAGACCCCATCTAAAAAAAAAAATAATTAAATTGTAGTAACATAAGCATAATATAAAATTCACTACCTTAACTTCTTTGATTTTTAGAGACAGGATCTTACTCTGTTGCCCGAGCTGAAATGAAGCGGTACAATCCTAGCTCACTTACAGCCTTGAACTCCTGGCTTTAAGTGGTCCTGTTGCCTTGGCCTTCCAAAGCACTGTGATTACATGTGTGAACAACCGTACCCAGCATTCTTTTTTTTTTGAGACTGGGTCTCGCTCTGTCACCCAGAGTGGCGTGATTAGTTCAGTGGCATGATCATGGTGGCTCACTGCAGCCTTGTCCTCCCAGGCCCAAGTGATCCTCCCACCTCAGCCCCACAAGTAGCTGGGACCACAGGTGCATACTACCACGCCTGGCTAATTTTATTTATTTTTTGTAGAGATGAGGTCTCACTATGCTGCCCAGGCTGGTCTTGAACTCTTGGGCCCATGCAATCCTCCACCTTGGCCTCCCAAAGTGCTGGGATTACAGGCGTGAGTGAGCCACGTGGAGCCTGGCTAAACCATTTTTAAGGGTACAATTCAGCAGTGTTAAGTATGTTCACGTTACCTTTAATTGGCATCGCCTAATGACCAATGTCTTGAGCCCCTTCTCATGTGATCGCTGCTATTGGGCCACACTCCCTATGGCGGCACTGTTCAGGACACTGCCTGCCTGTTTTCACTGGGTTGCAGGTTAGACCTCAGAGTGACTGGTAAGGGCCATGCGTGCCCCCTGTAGGCTCTGGGGGACAGGCCCCGGGAGCCCGCACACTTACTGCTTCTTGGTGGCGGGGAGGAAGCCCACCATCTCCATGGCCTGCTTGAGCCTCTCAAAGTCATGCTTCAGGTCCTCCCCATCTTCAATCTTCAAGTTATGCTGGAAAACAAAGGCATGGGTACTCTGGGCATTCCTGGGCCGGCAAGGGTGGCGTGCCAGAGTGATTTTGGCTGGAGCTGGTGGGGCAGGGCCCCAGGACCAGGGGAATGAATGGGTTCTTTTAATGCTGCCTTCTGGGAGCGGGTTCGGGGGCCAGGGCAGGCTGCCTCTGACTTCCCGGCTATACATAAACAGCTTGAGGCCGGGAACAGAGGTGGCGTTTGTGGCTCGGGCTTGAGGCTGTTTACCTGGTTGAGGTAGAAATAATCTTCAGGCTGCTTGAGCTGAAATTCTTGGCGCTCTTCCTCGCTGACCCCAAGTAACAAATAATAAAACACATGGTAGTTCCTACAGGTCAAAATTGGGAGGAAAATAGTTGTTTTTGGAGGCCAAGTAATAGCTACTCTGCGAACCACTACTAACATGGCTTTGGAGAGCACACCTCAAATATGTACAAATTTAAAACAGTACGTCAGTTCTTACTATGTCTTAAAAAAACAAAACAAAACAAATGAGTGTCGTGAGCGAGTAGATTTCTGGAGGATTGGAGGTGGGTGGGTGTACATCTCACTTATTTGTCAATCAGAAATGTTTCTTTCTTTTCTTTTTTTTTTTTTTTGAGATACGGTCTTGCTCTGTTACTCAGGCTGGAGTGCAGTGGTGCAATCACAGCTCACTGCAGCCTCGACCTCCTGGGTTCAAGTGATCCTCCCAGCTCGGCCTCCTGAGTAGCTGGGACTACAGGTGTGTGTCACCATGCCCAGCTAATTTTTTTTTTTTTGGTCTTTTTTGTAGAGATGGGATTTTGCCATGTTGCCCAGGCTGGTCTCGAACTCCTGGGTTCATGTGATCCTGCCTCTTAGGCCTCCCAAAGTGCTGGGATTACAGGTGTGAGCCACTGCTCCAGGCCTTTCTTTTTTTTTTTTTTTTAAAAGAGACAAGGACTCTAGCCGGGCGTGGTGGTGCATGCCTGTAATTCCAGCTACTCGGGAGGCTGAGGCATGAGAGTCGCCTCAGGCATGAGAATTGCTTGAATCCAGGAGGCGGAGGTTGCAGTGAGCTGGGATCACACCACTGCACTCTAGCCTGGGTGACAGAGCAAGACTCTGACTCAAACAAACAAAAACAAAAACAAACAAACAAACAAACCAAAAAAACCCCAACCAACCAACCAAAAACAGAGACAAGGACTTGCTCTGTTGCCCAGGCTGAAGTGTGGTGTCTAGCTCACTGCAGCCTCAACCTCCCGGGCTCAGGCGATCCTCCCGCCTAGGCCTCCTGAATAGTTGGGACTACAGGCACGTGCTACCATGCTTGAGAAATGTTTCCAATCTAAGTATATTTTGTGCAGACATCTGAGCACATACTGGGGATAAAACCTCCAGGGAGGCACACAAAGGTGGCTTGGGAGGTATGAGGACAAAGTGTGAGGCCACAGGGGCAGGTCTGGGGAGAAGATGGATGGGCAGGCCCTGCTCCTGTGAGAGCCTCCACGGCCTCCCCCAGAATTCCTCCGACCTCAGGACGTTTGCTTTGCTTCTCTCCTCTGTAGGAGGAAACGTAGACATGGCGTGGCATTCAGAGATTCCTGGGAAAACATTCTCCTACCTCTCATCCTTCTCCTGAGACACCAGGCGAGACTTTTCAAGCAGATATTTCTCGACGACAGCTCTGTCATTAAGAGAAAAACAGAAAGAATAAAACATTACATTTTAGTATTGTGTTAATATTGAGTTGTTTTTTTTTTTTTTGAGATGGGAGTCTCGCTCTGTTGTTCAGGCTGGAGTACAACGGCACAATCTCGGCTCACTGCAACCTCTGCCTCCTGGGTTCAAGCGATTCTCTTGCCTCGGCCCCCACAGTGGTTGGTTGGAACTACAGGGGTGTGCCAACCCCCACCCAGCTAATTTTTGTATTTTTAGTAGAGGCGGGGTTTTGCCATGTTGGCTAGGCTGATCTCAAACTCTTGACCTATGTCAAGTGATCTGCACGCCTTGGCCTCCCAAAGTGCGGGATTACAGGCATGAGCCACCATCCCTGGCCAATATTTGTTATTCACTGTCTTTTTTATTCTAGCCACCCTAGTGGGTGAGCAGTGGTATGTCCTTGTGGGTTTTTTTTTTTTTTTGTGATGGAGTCTTACTCTGTTGCCCAGGCTGGAGTGCAATGACGTGATTTCTACTCACTGCAACCTCCACCTCCTGAGTTCAAGCGATTCTCCTGCCTCAGCCTCCTGAGTAGCTGGGATTACAGGCATGTGCCACCATGCCTGGCTAATTTTGTATTTTTAGTAGAGACGGGGTTTCTCCATGTTGGTCAGGCTGGTCTCGAACTCCTGACCTCAGGTGATCTACCTGCCTCAGCCTCCCAATATGCTGGAATTATAGGCATGAGCCACTGCACCCAGCATTCGTTTTGACGCAGGATCTTGCTCTGTTGTGCAGGCTGGAATGCAGTAGCACGATAATGGCTCAATGCAGCCTTGTTCTCCTGGGCTCAAGTGATCTTCCCACCTCAACCTCCCGAGTGGCTGGGACTACAGGCTAGTTTTTGTAGTTTTTGTAGAGATGGGATTTCGTGATGTTGTCCAGGCTGGTCTGTAACTCCTGGCCTCAAGTGATCTACGTGTCTCAGCCTCCTGAAGTGTTGGGATTACAGGCGTGAGCCATGCATCTAGCCTGTCACTGTGGTTTGGATTTGCATTTCCCTGATGACCAATGATGCTGAACATCTCATGTGCTTGCTGGCCATTCATAGCTCTTCTCTGATGAAGTATACATTGACGTCTTTTGTGGTTTTCTTATTGGGTGTTGGTCCTTTTATTGAGCTGTAAATGCTCTTTCTATATTCTAGATGCAAGTCCTTTGCTGGTTCTGATTTGCAGGTACCTTCTCTGGGTCTGGGGATTCCTTTCCAATTTTGTCACAGTGTCCTTGGAAGCACAGGGGTCTGTGATACCCAGCAATACTTGGTTGTATCCATATGGTCTGGTGTTCTGCCGTTTATTTATCATTTTCTTTCTTTCTTTTTTTTTTTGAGATGGAGTTTTGCTCTCGTTGCCGAGGCTGGAGTGCAATGGCGTGATCTCAGCTCACTGCAACCTCTGCCTCCTGGGTTCAAGCAATTCTCCTGCCTCAGCCTTCCAGTAGCTGAGATTACAGGCGCCCACCACCACGCCCAGTTAATTTTTGTATTTTTAGTAGAGACAGGTTTCACCATGTTGGCAAGGCTGGTCTCGAACTCCTGACCTCAGGTGATCCACCCACCTTGGCCTCCCAAAGTGCTGGGATTAGAGGCGTGAGCCACTGCGCCCGGCCTTACCAATCATTTTCTCTGTGCCAAGCAGTTAAAGTGTTTCCTCCAAATTAAGTTCTCAGAGGTCCCTCAGGAGGCACCTGGCATCATGTGGGACCTTGAGTCTGAGGGTACCAGCACAGGGACTGGGGTGTCTCTGCAGCCCCAAATATCTCTCAATGCTAAAAGTAGTGGCAGTGAATGTTTTTTCGAGGAAAAATATGTTCTAGGCATCATTTGATGTATTTCTCAGGGACTCCTCTTCCATACTGGGGCAGGCACGGTGGCTCCTGAGGAGTGGACAAGGAGCCAAGGCTTGGTGAGACTATGTGCTGCCCAGGGCCCCTGTGGGAAGAGGGTGGCCTGGTGGGATCCTTTCGCACCAGCTGGGGCTGGCTAAGTCTGGTGGGGCCGGTCTATCACAGGGTCCGCCATCACCAGACATGTGAGCTCACTGGGGCCTCCAGATCACCCTCATCTGAGCCCATCCTGTTATGCAGGAGACACAGCTGGTGCCCAAGGAGTGGCAGGGCCAGGGGACAGCACGAGGTTCCCAATTCAGGGTCTGCTGAACGCCTGTCTCTCCAGCATAGCAGTCTTTTTTTTTTTTTTTGAGACGGAGTCTCACTCTGCCACCCAGGCTGGGGTGCAGTGGCATGATCTGGGATCACTGCAACTTCTGCCTCCCATGTTCAAGTGATTCTCCTGCCTCAGCTTCCCGAGTAGCTGGGATTATAGGCATGAGCCACCACACCTGGCTAATTTTGTTATTTTTAGTAGATGGGGTTTCACCATGTTGGCCAGGCTGGTCTTGAACTCCTGGCCTCAGGTGATCCACCGCATCACTCCCCCAAAGTGCTGGGATTACAGGCGTGAGCCACCGCGCCCAGCCCAAGACAGCAGTCTTTTGTCTGCAGGCTCACACAGGGACACACACGATGCACAGGTGGCTTCTGATGGCCCAGCCTGGGTCCTCTCTTCTTTCAAATAGGAGAAAAAAATGTTTCCTTCTATTCCTTTGCCGGGCTAGTAACCAGTTTCAGCACCTTCCTGCATTCCTGGGGAGGGAGGCTGTGTCCGTTTCTAGGAGGAAACTCATGTTTCAATCTCAGCCTGTGGCCGATTCCCCGTGCTGCATCTGCAGGTCTGGCATCAAAATGTCGCTTGACAGATGATGGCCCCTTCCCTTCCCCAATCATTTTCAAGGCCTGGGCCTAAAAAAGGGGTCTTATAGGGACCCAGGGCTCCTCCAGCACTGAGTCCTTGAACACACAGGAAGCTGCAGCCTCATAAATTGGAGAACTGGGTGGGGAGGCTTGGACTGTGCCTGACCCTTGGCCTTGGTGGGAATGGCATGGAGAAGTGTCACCTGCCTGAAAGTGGGCAAAAGCAGAACCGGTCTGAGCCGGCTCTTTGTGTGATCGCTGCGGCCATTCTTGGGATAGGAAGTGCACCTCCCTCCCTGGGGCGAGGATGGCCACAGTCCTGAGGTTGTGGGTGGAGGCAGGACTCCCTTTCCTGAATCCAAGGCCACAGATACGACTTTCCAAAGCTGGTCTGGGAGACCTGGCCATGGAGGTCCACTGGTCCTGAATATGATGGGAGCCTGGGGAAGGTCGGGGAGGCTAAACCATTTAGCTATGGGCTGGGCCAGGCCAGCCCTTCTGGTGTCTGGTCCAATGGTGGGCCCTGGAAGTTATGTCTCCTGGAACCTGGGGATATGACTTTATCTGGAAAAAGGGAGCTGGGCGCAGTGGCTCATGCCTGTAATCCCCAGAGCTTTGGGGGGCCAAGGTGGAAGGATCGCTTGAGGCCAGGAGTTCAAGACCAGCCTGGACAACACAGTGGGACCCCGTCTCTACAGAATAAAAATAAAAAATTAGCCAGGTGTGGGGGTGTGCACCTGTAGTCCCAGCTACTCAGGAGGCTGAGGCAGGAGGATCGCTTGACTCCAGGAGTTCAAGGCTGCAGTGAGCCATAATCATGCCATTGTACTCTAGCCTGGGCAACAAAGTAAGACCCTGTCTCAAAACATAAAAAAGGATCTTTGCAGAGGCCATTAAGTTAAAGGCCTCAGGATCATCCTCAATAATCCAGGAGGGCCCTAAATCCGATGACAAATGTCCTTAGAAGAGGGGGTCGGGCGTGGTGGCTCACACCTGTAATCCCAGCACTTGGGGAGGCCGAGGCAGGCGGATCACTTGAGGCCAGGAGTTTGAGACCAACCTGGCCAACACAGTGAGGCCCTGTCTTTACTAAAAATACAAAAATTAGCTGGGTGTGGTGGCATATTCCTATAATCCCAGCTACTTGGGAGACTGAGGCACAAGAATTGCTTGAGCCCGGGAGGCGGAGGTTGCAGTGAGCAGAGATAGTACCACTGCACTCCAGCCTGGGCGACAGGGTGAGATTCCGTCTCCAAAAAATAAAAAAATAAAAAGAGGAGAGACACATGCCACCTGAAGACAGAGGCAGAGATGGGAGTAATGTGGCCATGAGCCAAGGGAGCCACCAGAAGCTGGAGGAGGTAGCCAGGATCTTTCCCTAGAGACTCCAGAAGGAACCAGCCCTGTGGACACCTTGATATCCGACTTCTGGCCTCTGGGATGATAAGAGAATAATTCCTGTTGCTTCAGCCATACGGTTTGTCGTACACTGTTATGGCAGTCCCTCCTAGGAAATGCATACAGAGATAATGTTGGAAAGGGGGCGGTGCCCATGCGGAGGTCAAGCCTGCAGTGTCTGTCCAGAGCCAGCTGGACACCCAGACAAGACAAGGAGGCAGCTTAGCTTCTCCCCAAGGGAGGCATGGAACTGTAGCAACAGTATCTGTGTCATCTTCCCAACAAGGTACCCTGAATGCTTCCTGTGGGTCAAAATCTCTGCAATGTGGCAGATAGGATCGTGCAAAAGATGGACCCACGGGAAGAAAAAGAAAACCAAAGATAAGAGGTGGGGACCTTTGTGCACTGCTGGTGGGAAGGTAAAATGGTGTGGCTTCCATGGGAGACAGTATGGTGGCTTCTTAAAAAATTAAATGGCCAGGCGCAGTGGCTCACGCCTGTAATCCCAACACTTCGGGAGACCAAGGCGGGCAGATCACCTGAGGTCGGGAGTTCGAGACCAGCCTGACCAACATTGAGAAACCCCATCTCTACTAAAAATACAAAATTAGCCAGGTGTGGTGGCGCATGCCTGTAATCCCAGCTACTCGAGCTGAGGCAGGAGAATCGCTTGAACCCAGGAGACAGAGGTTGCGGTGAGCCGAGATCACGCCATTGTACTCCAGCCTGGGCAATAAGAGCGAAACTCTGTCTCAAAAAAAAAAAAAAAAAAAAAAAAAAAAAATTAAACATAGTGTCTGGGCGCAGTGGCTCACACTTGTAATTTCTGGATCACAGGCATGCACCACCACGCCCAGCTAATTTTGTTTGCTTGTTTGGTTGGTTGGTTGTTGGGTTTTTTTTTTTTTTTTTTTGAGATGGACTTTCGCTCGTCACCCAGGCTGGAGTGCAGTGGCCTGATCTTGGCTCACTGCAATCTCCGCCTCCTGGGTTCAAGCGATTCTCCTGCTTCAGCCTCCTGAGTAGCTGGGATTACAGGCGCCTGCCATCATGCCCAGCTAATTTTTGTATTTTTAGTAGAGATGGCGGTTTCACCACGTTGGACAGGCTGGTCTTGAACTCCCGACTTCAGGTGATCCACCCACCTCGGCCTCCCAAAGTGCTGGGATTATAGGTGTGAGCCACCACGCCTGGCCTTATGTTGTGTATTTTAACCCCCAAAATATGAAGTGAAAAAGGTGGGGTCTTCATGGAGAGGTCAGGGCCTGGAAGACAGGTGGGACAAGTGGCTGTTCCAGGTGTTTCTGATGAACCGGGTACACCCATGTGGGCAGGTGGTAGGAGTTGGGGGGCCACTGACTGCCTTGTGGGGGCTGAGGCCGAGGGGCCAGAGCAGCCCCTGACATTTGTCAAGGGCCACTCACCCACACCACTGCCTACTGGAGCCTGGGCACTGGGAAAAAGAAATGAAGCTAGAGGCGGAAGGTTCAGGAGAACAATATGCCTGTTTGTATCTTGAATATGAACCATCAGTTGAAATGATCATCAGTCAGGTTCAGACAGACAAAATCCTGGGACCTTTACAAATCCCATTGACACAGCAGCCCCTCACATGAGAATCTATAGTTAGTGGGGGATCCCTGTGAGTATCCAGGCCTTGGACCCTCTCAGATGCCATCTAAGTACTCATCCACCCATCAATGGATCCATGGATCCACTGATCAAGCCCATCCAATTCCATCCAATTTACCCATGAATCTATCCATTCGCTAATTGACACATCCACAAAATCTACCCATTTATTCATCCACCTACCCATGAATCTACTCATCCATCTATGAATAATCCATGTATCTCTCCATCCATGAATCCATCCACCCATGAATCCATCTATCTATCCATCCATCCACCCATCCACACACCCACAAATCTACTCATTTATTCGTCCACCTACCTATGATTCTATCCATTCACTTGTAAATCCATCCACCCAAGAATCCATCTATCCAGCCACCTGTGAATCCACTCACCCATAAATCCATCCACCCACCCATCCATCCATCCATCCATCCATGAATCTATCCATCCACCCATTCATTATATGAATCTACCCATTTATTCATTCACCTACCCATGAATCTACCCATCCACCTGTGATGGATGGATTCATGAGTGTATGGGTAGATCCACTCATGAATGCATCCATCCACCCATGAATCTACTCCCCCATGAATCAATCCATCGATCCATCCATCCATCCATCCATCCATCCATCCATCCATCCATCCATCCATCTATCCACCCACCCATTCATGAATCTATTCATCCATCCACTCATGAATCCATTCACCCAATAATTCATCTATCCATCCATTCAGCCATCCATGCATGAATTCATCCATCCATCCATCCATAAATCTGTCTATCCATCTACGTGCAAATCCATTCACCCATGAATCCATCTGTCTCTCTAACCATCCATCCATCCATCCATCCATCCATCATCCATCCATCCATCCATCCCCTCATGAGTCCATCCACCCACCCACCCTTCAGTATTTCCATGCACGACCACCTCACTTTGCAGCTCTGTACCTGTCATTTTCTGGCTAAAGGAGCACATGTTTGGCAAAGGCCAGAGTCCGCATCCCCACTGCCTGTGACACCCCCAAGACCTACCAAATTAGAAACTTTATCAAGACAGGAAATGGGCTGGGCTGTCCTTGCCTGTTCTCGGTAAAGCCCACTACCTCTAGCCACGTCCCCCAGCCCCTGCCCACATTTCCTACTTCAACCTACTGTTCCAGACCTTCACCTCAAAGACCTAAAAATCACACTCGCTCTCCCATACAAAGCATAAACATCCACACAGCCATGATCTCCACATCTCACTCCCATGTGTGTGTCAGGAAGCAACAGTGCGTGGGGCCAGCTCCCACCAGTGGGGACCCCAGGGACACCTCACCCTCTCACGATGCCACTCTCTAGGTAGCTGACTTGGATGAATTTCCCAAACCGGCTGGAGTTGTTGTTGTGGGCTGTCTTGGCATTTCCAAAAGCCTGCAAGGAAATCAAAAGCAGGTTTCAGATCAGGAGGGTGGAATTTCTTTTTCTTTTTTTTCCTCTCATTTTACACTGTGCTTTTATATTTTGTATTGTTCAATTTATCTATTTTTTCTCTTGGAGACAGTCTTGTTCTGTCACCTGGGCTGGAGTGAAGTGGCACAATCTTGGCTCACTGCAACCTCTGCCTCCCGGGTTCAAGCAATTCTCATGCCTCAGCCTCCTGAGTAGCTGGGACTACAGATGTGCGCTACCATGCTGGCTAATTTTTGTATTTTAGTAGAGACGGGGTTTCACCATGTTGTCCAGGCTGACGTAGAACTCCTGAGTTCAGGCAATCTGCCCGCCTCAGCCTCCCAAAGTGCATGAGTCACTGTGCCCAGTCTCTATTTTTTCTTTTTCTTTTTTTTTTTTTTTTTTTTTTGAGATGAAGTCTCGCTCTGTTGCCTTGGCTGGAGTGCAGGGGCGCAATCTCAGCTCACTGCAAGCACTGTCTCCCGAGTTCAAGCGGTTCTCCTGGCTCAGCCTCCCGAGTGGCTGGGATTACAGGCGCACGCTGCCACGCCTGGCCAATTTTTTGTATTTTTAGTACAGACGGGGTTTCACTGTGTTGCCCAGTCTGGTCTCGAACTCCTGAGCTCAGACAATCCGCCCACCTTGGCCTCCCAAAGTGCTGGGATTATAGGCATGAGCCACCACCCCTGGTCTCTTATTTTTTCTTTAACTGTTCCTGCAAAGTAGGGCTACCCAGTAAGCAGAGAGTAGCCCATTTTCTTTCACTCTTTTTTTTTTTGTTTGAGACAGGGTCACACAATGTCACCCAGGCTGGAGTGCAGTGTTGCGATCTTGGCTCAATGCAACCTCTGCCTCCCAGGCTGAAGCGATCCGCCTGTCTCAGCCTCCTGAGCAGCTGGGACCACAGGCATGCACCACCACGCCTGGCTAATTTTTTGTAGAGATGGGGTTTTGCCATGTTGCCCAGGCTGGTCTGGAACTCCTGAGCTTAAGTGATCCACCCGCCTCGGTCTCCCAAAGTGCTGGAATTACAGGCATGAACCATCATGCCCAGACTCGGTTTATTTAATTAATATTTTCCAGATTGTGACATAATTTGCAAAAACATCATTTTATCTGTTGTCTAAATAAACTTTATTTTTTAACCTTTTAATATTATTTTTGAGATGGGGTCTCGCTCTGTTGCCCAGGCTGGAGTGTAGTGGCATGATCTCAGCTCACTGCAACTTCTGTCTCCCAGGCTCAAGGGATCCTTCTGCCTCAGCCTCCCAAGTAGCTGCGACCACAGGCATGCACCACCATGCCTAGCCTTAACTTTTAAGGTTTTGGGGTACACACGCAGGTTTGTTAAGTAGGTAAACTTGTATCACAGGGATTTGCTGTACAGATTATTTTGTCACCCAGGTACTAAGCCTAGTATCCAACAGTTATTTTTCTTTTTCTTTTCTTTTTTATTTTGAGACAGAGTCTTGCCCTGTTGCCCAGGCTGGGGTGCAGTGGCACGATCTCGGCTCACTGCAACCTCCACCTCCCAGGTTCAAGCGATTCTCCTGCCTCAGCCTCCCAAATAGCTGGGAATACAGGCGTGTGCCACCATGCCCAGCTAATTTTTGTATTTGTAGTAGAGACGGGGTTTCACCACGTTGGCTAGGATGGTCTCGATCTCTTGACCTCATGATCTGCCCGCCCCGGCCTCTCAAAGTGCTGGGATTTACAGGCGTGAGCCACTGTGCCTGGCCCCAATAGTATTTTTTCTGCTCCTCTCCCTCCTCCCACCCTCCAGGAGGCCCCACTGTCTGCTCTTCCCCTCTGTGTGTCCATGTGTTCTCACCATTTAGCTCCCACTTGAAAGTGAGAACATGCAATATTAGGTGTTCTGTTCCTGTGTTAGTTTGCTAAGGATAATGGGCTCCAGCGAGGATGGAGCTTCTATAGGCCTCAGCCTGGAGCCCTGGGCCTCCCTCCTTCTCGGCTTTGAGGACACTCACTTGTCCCCAAGACAGTAGGCTATAAGTCACTTAGAAGCCCAGATAAGACCTGAAAAATACAGAGGTGTATAGCCAAGGCCCATTCCAACATTTCACTCTTTATCTCTGTGTCTGAGGTTGTGTGTGGTGCTCAAGTTTGTTTGTTTTTTTTTTGAAACAGAGTCTTGTTCTGTTGCCAGGCTGGGGTACAATGGCACGATCTCAGCTCACGGCAATCTCCACCTCCCGGGTTCAAGCGATTCTCGTGCCTCACCTTCCCGGGTAGCTGGGATTACAGGTGTGCACCACCACGCCTGGCTAACTTTTACATTTTTAGTAGAGACGGGGTTTTCCCATGTTGTCCAGGCTGGTCTCGAACTCCTGACCTCAGGTGATCTGCCCGCCTTGGCCTCCCAAAGTACTGGGATTACAGGCATGAGCCATCATGCCTGGCCGGTGTTCAAGTTTTAAGTCTCTGACATTAAAAATGGCAATTGCCTGAATTCTTTTCAGTTGTAACCATTCATCTGATAGGGTAAGCCACACCCTGTGGGCCAAATCTGGTCTGATGCTTGTTTTTTTAATCGCCTGCGAGCCAAGAATGGTTTTCACATTTGTAAATGGTGAAACAAGGAACAAACAAACAAACAAAAACCCAAAGAAGAATATTCCCTGACGTGAAAAACCTCTTCACATTTCAGCGTCCATCAATGAAGTTTTATCGGTACATGCCAGGCTCATTCAATTGTGTTGCAACAGAGACTACCATCTAGTCTGCGAAGGTGCAAATATTGCCTATCGGGCTCTTTGTGGCAGGAGTTTTGGGCTGATCTGGATTCTGGGCTCACTGCTGGACACAAGGCAGGGTATGTGGAAGGTCCCTTGAGGAGCCCTAAAGTTTGGTGGGAAGATAAGTGGGTTCACAGAGCAATTAAAAAAAAATTGGCGTAAAACATGACATACAATTAACCTTCTTAAAGTGTACAATTCAGTGGCATTCAGTACATTCACAATGTTGTGCAGCCATCGCCTTTACCTGGTTCCAGAACATTCTGATCCCCCGAAAAGGAGACTGTCCCCATCAGCAGTCCCTCCCCATTTCCCTCCCCTAGTCCCTGACAACCACCAATCTGCTTCCTGTCTCTATGGATTTGCCTGTTCTGGGTATCTCAGGTCAATGAGGTCATACACTTATGGCCTGTTGTGTCTGGTTGCCGCTTCTTTTTTCTTTCTTTTTTTTTTTTTAAAAGGCAGGGTCTTGCTGTCGCCCAGTGGTGTAATCATAGCTCACTGCAAGCCTCGACCTCGTGGCCTCAAGCAATCCTCCTGCCTCAGCCTCCCAAATAGCTGGGACCACAGGTGCATGCCACCATGCTTGGCTAATTTTTAAAATTTTTTGTAGAGACCGCATCTCTCTAAGTTGCCCAGGCTGGTCTTGAACTCCCGGCCTCAAGCGATCCTTCCAACTCGGCCTCCGAAAGGGCTGTGATGACAGGCACGGTGGCTCACCTGTAATCAATGTTTCATTCCTTTTTCACAGGACAATCTTTTTGCTCTGTACTGAGGAGTCCACACATACAGGGAAGTGTGTGCAGTGCAGGGAGTGTGCAGGGGTCCCCTCTGGGGCCTTCCATGTAACCATCACCTGGATGAAGATGGGGGACACCTACACTCTGTCCAGATTCCTGGGGTGCCCCCTTCCCATGAGGGACTTACTGCTCCAGAGTGGTTAAGACGGAGCCCCTGGGGGAACTTGAGGCAGGGAAGGTGCCTGGGGCAGGACAGAGAAGCTGAGAAGAGGTGGTGGCTGGCGGAAGGTGGGGGCTCTTTCGTTTAGGAAAAAGAAGATGGGGTGAGGCCAGCAGGATGCGGGCTGTAAGGCCTTGTAGATGAGAGAGAGGCAGCAGAGCTGGTCCTGGGGCCTGGTGTTCCACTGTCCCAGTCCTTGTGACCGCTAGGTTTGGGGAAGAGGTAACATGGCAAGGGGAGGGCACAGGGGCAGGGGGCACGCCCTGCAGTCACACGTGGAAAGTTTGGCAGCAGTGATGCTCCCATTTGAGAGGCTGGGCCACCCAGGGGATAGGAGAGAGCGAGGCCACAGTGTGAAGGAAGTGGCAAGGCCATTGCCAAGGTCCCATTGTAGGGGGTGGGGTAGGTGGTGGCCAAGCACACCAGGGAGGCGGAAACCGGAGACACAATGACACAGAGAGACAGGATCTTCCTGAAGGCCTCATTCCACAGGGGGATGGATACTGGTTGTTATGGACTTCATGTCTGTGTCCCTCACACAATTTTTTTTTTTTTTTCTGAGACAGGGTCTTGCTCTGTTGCCCAGGCTGGAGTGCAATGGTGTGATCTCGGCTCACTGCAACCTCCACCTCCTGGGTTCAAGTGATTCTCGTGCTTCAGCCTCCTGAGTAGCTGGGATTACAGGTGTGTGCCACTGCGCTCGGCTAATTTTTGGTATTTTTAGTAGAGATGGGGTTTTACCATGTTGGCCAGGCTGGTCTCGAACTCCTGACCCCAAGTGATCTCCTTGCCTCGGCCTCCCAAAGTGCTGGGATTACAGGCTTGAGTCACCATGCCTGGCCCCCGACAAACTTTATATGTTGAAATCTAACCCTGGCCGGGCACGGTGGCTCACGCCTGTAATCCCAGCACTTTGGGAGGCCGAGGCAGGCGGATCACCTGAGGTCAGGAGTTTGAGACCAGCCTGACCAATATGGAGAAACCCTGTCTCTACTAAAAATACAAAATTAGCCGGGCATGGTGGTACATGCCTGTAATCCCAGCTACTCAGGAGGCTGAGGCAGGAGAAGCGCTTGAACCCGGGAGGCGGAGGTTGCGGTGAGCCGAGATCGTGCCATTGCACTCCAGCCTGGGCAATAAGAGTGAACTCCATCTCAAAAAAAAAAAAGAAATCTAACCCTAAGGTGATAGGTTGAGGAGGTGAGGTCTTTGGGAGGTGATGAGGTCACTTACATGGGGCCCTCATGAATGGGATTAGTGCCCTTATAGAAGAGAACCCCAGAGAGCACCCTCACTCCTTCCACCGTGTGAGGACATGGGAAAAAACACCATCAATGAACCAAGAAGAGGGCCTTCACCTGACACCAAATCTGCCAGAGCCTTGACCTTGAACTTCTCACTTTCAGAACTGTGAGAATATATTTGTTGTTTCAGCCACCTGGTCTACATGGTACAGTCATGCACTGCACAGCAATGACCATCAACGATGGACCACATATATGACGGTGGTCCCATAAGATTATAATACTGTACTCTTACTGTACTGCTTCTATGTTTCCATCCATGCATCCATCCATCCACCCATCCATCCATCCATCCAATCATTTTTTCTTTTTTTTTTGAGACAGAGTTTCACTCTTGTTGCCCAGGCTGGGGTGCAATGGCGCGATCTCAGCTCACCACAACCTCCTCCTCCCGGGCTCAAGTGATTCCCCTGCCTCAGCATCCCGAATAGCTGGGATTACAGGCATGCACCACCACACCCGGCTAATTTTGTATTTTTAGTAGAGACGGGGTTTCTCCATGTTGGTCAGGCTGGTCTCGAACTCCCAACCTCAGGTGATCCGCCTGCCTTGGCCTCCCAAAGTGCTGAGATCACAGTCCTGAGCCAATGTGCCCAGCCCCATTCATCCAATGTTTTTTTGAGACAGGGTCTCACTCTGTCGCCCAGGCTAGAGTGCAGTGGCATGATCATGGCTCACTGCAGCCTCAACCTCCAGAGCTCAAGGTGATCCTCCCGCCTCAAGCTCCCAGGTAGCTGAGACTACAGGCACGTGTCAGCACACCTGGCTTATTTTCTTGTAGAGAAGAGGTTTCACTGTGTTGCCCAGGCCAGTCTCAAACTCCTGGGCTCAAGCAATCTGCATACTTTGGCCTCTCAAAGTGTTGAGATTACAGGTGTGAGCCAAAGTAACCAGCCTATCTATCTATTTAGAGACAGAATTTTGGTCTGTCGCCCAGGCTGGAGTGCGGTGGTGTGATCTTGGCTCACTGCGGCCTCGACCTCCTGAGTTCAAGCGATTTTCCTGCCTAGGCCTTGCAAAGTGCTAGGATTACAGGAATGAGCCACCAGGCCTGGCCTATGTTTAGATACACAAATATTTACCATTGTGTTACAACTGCCCACAGTATTCAGTACAGTAACATGCTGTACAGGTTTGTAGCCTAGAAGTAATGGGTTATACCTATTTGTTTTTGCTTTTTTTGAGATCGAGTCTCACTCTGTTGCCCAGGCTGGAGTGCAGTGGCATAATCTCAGCTCACTGCAACCTCCACCTCCCAGGTTCAGGCTATCCTCCTGCCTCAGCCTCCAGAGTAACTGGGACTACAGGCGCGAGCCACCATGCCCGACTAATTTTTGCATTTTCAAATAGAGACAGGGTTTCACCAGAGTTCGGGGCCAGGCTGGTCTTGAACTCCTGACCTCAGATGATCCACCTGCCTTGGCCTCCCAAAGTGCTGAGATTACAGGCGTGAGCCACCGCACCTGGCCAGCTACATCTATTTGTATAGGTATAGCCTATTAGTGGTTACATATTAACACACCTATTAGTAGTATATAACCTACTAAACACCTACAGCCGAAGTGTGTAGTAGGTTATATCATCTAGGTTTGTGTAAGTTCATTCTAGGATGTTCATGTGACCACAATATCACCCAATGACGCATTTCTCCCATAGTTAAGCAATGCGTAACCATATTCTGTGACAGTAGCCCGAACAGATTAAGACACTGGCTGACCACTGAGTGGAGGCTTTTGTGGGGCAGCCTGAATGGGGAAGTCCCATTAAAAATGCAACTGAGTGGCTGGGCGCAGTGGTCACGCCTGTAATCTCAGCATTTTGGGAGGCCAAGGCAGGAGGATGGCTTGAGGCCAGGAGTTCAAGACCAGCCTGGGCAACATGGCGAAACCCCAAATCTAGAAAAAATTTAAAAAATTAGCCAGGTATGCAGCAATCCCTTTACTGGGCATATACCCAAAGGATTATAAATCATTCTGCGATAGAGATACATGCACACGTATGTTTACTGCGGCACTATTCACAATAGCAAAGACTCAGAACCAACCCAAATGTCCATCAGTGATAGACTGGATTAAGAAAATGTGGCACATATACACTATGGAATACTATGCAGCCATAAAAAAGGATGAGTTCATGTCCTTTGCAGGGACATGGATGAAGCTGGAAACCATCATTCTCACCAAACTATCACAAGATCAGAAAACCAAACACCACATGTTCTCACTCATAAATGGGAGTTGAACAATGAGAACACATGGACACAGGGAGGGGAACATCACACACCAGGGCCTGTAGGGGGTAGGGGGCTAGGAGAGGGATAACATTAGGAGAAATACCTAATGTAGGTGACGGGTTGATGGGTGCAGCAAACCACCATGGCATGTGTATACCTATGTAACGAAACTGCACGTTCTGCACATGTATCCCAGAACTTAAAGTATTAAAAAAAAAAAAAGCCAGGTATGGTGGTGGGTGCCTGTAGTTCCAGTTACTTTGGAGGCTGAGGTGGGAGGATTGCTTCAGCCCAGGAGGTTGAGGCTGCAGCTGCATTTGCGCCCCTGCACTCCAGCCTCGGCGACAGAGCGAGACTCTGTTTCAAATAAAAAAAAAGGATCTGACCATGGGAGGCCCAGATACTCCCTTGGAGAAGGCTCCATTCAGCTGCAAAGCCTCGGGCAGAGCTTGAAGCCCGGACAGTTGCTGTGGCTGGACCCATGTGCGGGTCACACTACTCAAGGAGCTGGCTGTTTGGGTCATGGGACAAGGAAACAGGGAGGAGCTCAAGATCATGGGGCACGGAGCCAAGCAGGAAGGTGATAAGGAGGGGGCCCCAGAGAGAGATGACCTGGTCCTCTACAGAGAAGGGGGTCTGGGAAGTAGCCGGGTGCTTTTGGTGGGGGCGGACTGGGTCACCACATGAGCCTTGCTCACCTCTTGTTGTTGTTGTTGTTGTTTGAGACAGGGAGACAGGGTCTCACTCTGTCGCCCAGACTGGAGTTTAAGTGGTGCGACCATAGCTCACTGCAGCCTCAACCTCAACCCCCAGGCTCAGGCGATCCTCCCATTTCTGTCTCTTAAGGAGCTGAGACCACAGGTATGTATCACCGCACCTGGCTTTTTTTTTTTTTTTTTTGAGACAGTTTGCTCTTGTTGCCCAGGCTGGAGTGCAATGGCACAATCTTGGCTCACTGCAACTTCTGCCTCCTGGGTTCAAGCAATTCTCCTGCCTCAGCCTCCCGAGTAGCTGGGATTATAGGCACGCGCCATCACCCCGGCTAATTTTGTATTTTAAGTAGAGACGGGGTTTCTCCATGTTGGTCAGGCTGGTCTTGAACTTCTGACCTCAGGTGATCTGCCCGCCTCGGCTTCCCAAAGTGCTGGGATTACAGGCGTGAGCCTCTGTGCCTGGCCTAATTTTAAAAATTATTTTTGTCGACACGAATCTTACTGTGTTACCCAGGTTGGTCTGGGGCTCCTGGACTCAAGCAATCCTTCCATCTCAGCCTCCCAAAGTGCTGAGATTACAGGTGTGAGCCACTGGGCCCGGTCTGACCTGTTGAACTTTGAAACAGTCTCTGGAGGGTCTGATGAAACCCAGGGGGCTGGTCGGTGGGCGGGAACCACCAAGGGCTCTGCTGGTGAAGTTGACTTTCCTGGGTGCCTATGGGACTTTTTGAGGGTGAACCATCCTGTGTGATGGGGGCGTCCTGTGCACTACACGGTGTTGAACAGCGTCCCTGGCCTCCACCTACCCGATGCCATCTGGGATAACCAAAGAATGTCCCCAGAGATCGGCAAATCACCCCGGCTGCGGAGCATTGATGTACACAGACAGAAATAAAAGGGGTTGCAGGGCTGGGTAGTCGGGGCTCACTGGTCCCTTTGTCCCTTCCATAGGTTCCCATATGTGCTGCATTCTAGGTGCTGAGGGGTCCCTGCGGTCTTTCTAGGTTTCATTTCCAGCTCTCCAGAGGGTAGCTGGAGAACTGTTTTTTGTTGTTATTTGGAGTGAAACCCCCAGTCTCGAGGCACTGACTCGTCTCCTTGGATGCTCACGGGACCCTGCAGGGCCATAGTCTGGAGCTCACGCAGGAAATCAGCTTCAGCCTGGGGCCCGGTGCCTGGGCCTAGGCCCTCCTCCTTGCTCCCTGCCTGACAGCACGAAGCCCAGCCTCACCTATGTGGTCCCACGACCAGACTCTCCTCCCCAGTCACCCTCAATTCAAAGAGATCTGTCAGGGAAACCCTAAAATAACGTCCCAGGAAGGGGCTCAGAAAGCTTCCCTGCTTAACTATGAGCAGATGGCAAAGGGATGCCTGTCCTCAGGGGTGGGGTGGGGGGGACAGTCCTGTTGGTGGCCCTGGGGTGTCTGCAGCAGGAAACGGGTCTCTCTCTGAGTCAGGGTCCCCGTAGTACCTTGGTGTAAAGCCTGGTCTGTGGCAGAGGTGCCCCAGAAATGTACATTTGTACCTTAAAGAGCCACAGTGCTCACTTTAAACCCAGGGGACAAGTCTCTGCAGTGACTTCTAATATCACAGCCAGGCCTGGTGTCTTGGGAACGTAACACAGGGAACGCCTTGGGATATGAGGGGCCCCTCCCACCACCATGGCTGCCCAAGGGCTGGCTTTCTGGTTCTGCGATTACCCGATTACCCCGTGCACCAATTATCCATGCATAGAGGCTGCTCCCAGGCCCGGTGACCTCACGCGTCTGGTATGCGGTCTCAGCACACTGCGACTTTTCAAAGCCCATCTAAAAATATCCGGTTGGTGCTATTATACATCCGAGGGGGAAGTGCGGCCCAGCGCTCGCAGCGAGGGGTGCTATTGTGTTGCTGCTTGGCTGGGCTGGCCGGGGGCTCGCACGGTCTCAAAGCACAAGGGTGGCTGGTGTGCCTGGAGTATCATGTGGGGTCCAGGGTGGACAGAAGGGAGGAAGTGGGACCCCGGTGTCAACAACTATGCGATATAATCTGGCACACGCACCGGGAAGGCGGATGCCATGGTCCCCCCAGGCTATAAAACCCACAGCGCTGGACTCACTCAAAACCAAAAAACGCCTCTCCTTTAACAGAAACACATTTTTTTTTCTTTTATAATATAAAAAACATGTTTCTAATATAAGTTGTAAACTTTGGAAAAAAATTATTATCTCACTAGGTCTAGCAATCCCACTTCTGGGTATATATCCAAAGGAAATGACATCAGTACGTGGAAGAAATGCTTGCATTCTCACGTTCATTTCAGCACTAATCACAATAGCCAAGACGTGTGCATCAACAGATGAATGAATAGGCTGGGTTCAGTGGCTCACTCCTGTAATCCTAGCACTTTGGGAGGCCGGGGTGGGCAGATCACTTGAGGTCAGGAGTTCGAGACCAGCCTGGCCAACATGGCGAAACCCCGTCTCTACTAAAAATACAAAAATTAGCCGGGTGTGGTGGTGCATGCCTGTAATCCCAACTACCTGGGAGGCTGAGGCAGGAGAATCGTCTGAACCCAGGAGGTGGAGGTTGCAGTGAGCCGAGATCGTGCTACTGCACTCCGACCTGAGCAACAAAGCAAGACTCCGTCTCGAAAAAAAACAAAAAACCCCACAGATGAATGGATAAAGAAACTGTGGTTTATATACACTATGGAATAGTATTTGGCCATAAAAAAGGAGATCCTGGCTGAGCATGGTGGCTCACACCTGTAATTCCAGCACTTTGGGAGGCCAAGGTGGGCAGATCACTTGAGGTCAGTTCGACACCAACCTGGTTAACGTGGTAAAATCTCATCTCTACTAGAACAGAAAAATCAGCTGGGCATGTTGGTGGGCTCCTATAATCCCAGCTACAGGGGAGGCTGAGACACGAAAATCGCTTGAAACCGAGAGGCAGAGGTTGCACTGAGCTGAGATCGCACCACTGCACTCTGGCCTGGGTGACAGAGCGAGAGTCTGTCTCAAAAAAAAAAAAAAAAAAAAAAAAAAAACAAACAAAACGAAAAAAAAAACAAAGAGATCCTGTCATTTGCAACAACATGGATGAAGCTGAGGGATACTATGTTAATAAGCCAGGCACAGAAAGGCAAATACTGCATGATCTCACTCGTGTAGAATTTTTAAAAGTTGAACTCATAGTGGGAAAGGGGAGGAAGGGAGTGAGGGTTGAAAAGTTACCTATTGGATACAGTGTTCACTATTTGAGTGATGGGTATTTTAGAAGCCCAACCCTAACCATTACCCAATATATCCCTGTAACAAACTACACATGTACCCCCAGTCCAAAAAAAAACTCACAGAAGTAGAAAGCAGGCCAGGCATGGTGGCTCACGCCTGTAATCCCAGCACTTTGGGAGGCCGAGGCGGGCAGATCATGAGGTCAGGAGATCGAGATCATCCTGGCTAACACGGTGAAACCCCGTCTCTACTAAAAATACAAAAAAATTAGCCGGGCGTGGTGGCGGGTGCCTATAGTCTCAGCTACTCGGGAGGCTGAGGCAGGAGAATGGTGTGAACCTGGGAGGCGGAGCTTGCAGTGAGCCGAGATGGTGCCACTGCACTCCAGCCTGGGTGACAGAGCGAGACCTCCGCCTCAGAAAAAAAAGAAGTAGGAAAGTAGGGCTGGTGCTGTGGCTGATGCCTATAATCCCCCAGCACTTTGGGAGGCAGAGATGGGAGGATCGCTTGAGGCCAGGAGTTTGAGACCAGCCTGGGCAACATAGTGACACCCCATCTTTACAAAAAATAAAAAGCTAGGTGTGGTGGGACACACCTGTTGTCCTAGATACTCAGGAGGCTGAGGCAGAAGGATCGCTTAGGCCCAGGAAGTTGAGGCTGCAGTGAACTGTGATTGCACCACTGCACTCCAGCCTGGGTGACAGAGCGAGACCCTGTCTCAAAAAAACGGAAGTAGAAAGTAGAATACTGGTTACCGGGGGTGGCGGCAGGGTTGGGGAGATGCTGGTCAAAGGATATAAATTTCAATTAGAGAGGAGGAATAAATTCAAGCGATCTATTGTATAACATGGTGACTGTAAATATTTTTGTATTTTGAAAATTCCTAAGAGAGAAGATTTTAAGTGTTTTCATCACAAAACATGTTGAGTATGTCAGGTAACGCGTACGTTAATTAGCTCCATTGACCCTTTCCACAATGTATACGTATTTCAAAATGTCATGTTGCACATCATGAATATATACAACTTTCATCAATTAGAAATAAAATAGGCCGGGCGCAGTGGCTCACGCCTGTAATGCCAGCACTTTGGGAGGCTGAGACAGGCGGATCACAAGGTCAGGACATCGAGACCATCCTGGCTATCATGGTGAAACCCTGTCTCTACCAAAAATACAAAAAATTAGCCGGGCGTGGTGGCGGCGCCTGTAGTTCCAGCTACTCGGGAGGTTGAGGCAGGGGAATGGCACGAACCTGGGAGGTGGAGCTTGCAGTGAGCCGAGATCATGCCACTGCACTCCAGCCTGGTGACAGAGCGAGACTCCGTCTCAAAAATAAATAAATAAATAAATAAAAAAGAAATAAAATAAGGCCTGGCGCTGTGGCTCACACCTGTAATTCCACCACTTCGGAAGCCAAGGTGGGTGGATCACTTGAGGTCAGGAGTTCAAGACCAGCCTGGCCAACATGGTAAAACCCCATCTCTACTAAAAATACAAAAATTAGCTGGGCGTGGTGGTGGCGCCTGTAGTCCCAGCTACTCGGGAGGTTGAGGCAGGAGAATGGCACGAACCTGGGAGGTGGAGCTTGCAGTGAGCCGAGATTGCGCCACTGCACTTCAGCCTGGGCGACAGAGCGAGACTCTGTCTCAAAAAAAAAAAAAAAAAAAAATAATAATAATAAATAAATAAATAAATAAGAAATAAAATAAGGCCTGGCACTGTCGTTCACACCTGTAATTCCACCACTTTGGAAGCCAAGGTGGATGGATCACTTGAGGTCAGGGGTTCAAGACCAGCCTGGCCAACATGGTGGAACCCCGTCTCTACTACAAATAACAAAAATTAGCCGGGCGTGGTGGCACAAGCCTGTAGTCCCTCCTACTTGGGAGGCTGAGGCAAGAGAATTGCTTGAACCCAGGAGGTGGAGGTTGCAGTGAGTCAAGATTGCACCACTGCACTCCAGCCTGGGTGACAGAGCAAGACTCTGTCTCAAAAAAAAAAAAAAAAAAAAAAAAAGAAATAAAATAAGCCAGGCACAGTGGCTCACAACTGTAATCCCAGCAATTTGGGAGGCCAAGGCAGGAGATCACTTGAGCCCAGGAAGTTCAAGAGCAGCCGTGAGATCCTGTGTCTACAAAAAAGAAAAAAATAGCCAGGCGTGGTGATGCATGCCTCTAGTCCCAGCTACTCAGGGGGCTGAAATGGGAGGATCACTTGAGCCCAGGAGGTTGAGGCTGCAGTGAGCCATGATTGTGCCATTACACTCTAGCCTAGACGACAGAGTGAGACCCTGTTCCCCGCCCCACCCCCCAAAAAAATTAAAGAAAAATTTTAAAAACCTCGTGAAAAGCACAGAAGAAAGAAATCCATAAAGCTATTGGTCATAATTCAGCTTCCCCCCAGTCACGGTTTCTAGGTAAAACTAACGTAGAGGCAGTCTTGCCTCTTCCTCTGACAGGGCTGGCCTAGGTGTGGGCCCAGTGGGGATGCCATGTGCCCACCAGGGACATTGAGGGCTGGAAGAAGTCTGGCCGCCTTCCAAACGCCCCTGCCTTTGAGATTTTTCTTCTGGGCAATTTAAAAAGGTTTCTTGAATTGAGAAAGTTAGAGAAGAATTATTCAATAGGGCCAGGCACAGTGGCTCACGCCTGTAATCCCAGCACTTTGGGAGGCTGAGGCGGGCAGATCACCTGAGGTCAGGAGTTCAAGACCAGCCTGGCCAACACGGTGAAACCCTGTCTCTACGAAAAATACAAAAATTAGCCGGGCATGGTGGCGTGCGCCTGTAGTCCCAGCTACTTGGGAAGCTGAGGCAGAAGAATCGCTTGAATGCGGGAGGCAGCGGTTGCAGTGTGCCGAGATCATGCCACTGCACTCCAGCCTGGGTGACAGAGCGAGACTCCGTCTCAAAAAAGGATTATTCAATGGTACTCATTAACACATGGGCAGGATGCCTTTATTCCCACTACTGTGATGGGGCCTTCCAGTGGGGGAGAATGATTGGGCTCAAATCTGAATATGGCTTGGGCAAGCGGGACTTTATAACCAAGGAGCAGGGTGGGGGTCAGTGGATGGAAAATTACTAAGAGGAAACACTGAGCATACAGCAGTTTCTAGCTAAACCGACCTAACAGGATTCTTGCTGAAGACAGGCCAGGGTGATCAGATAGTACCTGGGGTATGGGGGAAGATACAGAGCCCGATCAGACATCAAGGGTGATCAGCTCTCAAGGGCAGAGGGTTCCTGTTAAACTGACTTAGCAGGGTCTCAGCTGAAACTGGATTTTATAAAGAAGTGCACAGATGGGACTGGGACAAGGTTCAGGAGTCTAATGTTCAGTCAAACAGAGAATCTGTGAAAAGAGACATCCAGGGTTGAACGTCCTATGTAGGCAAAAATTCTAGATTTTTTTTTTTTTTTTGAGACCAAGTCTTGCTCTGTCACCCAGGCCAGAATGCAGTGGCTCACTGCAACCTCCGCCCCCCAGGTTCAAGCGATCCTCCTGCCTCAGCCTCCTGAGTAGTGGGGAGTACAGGTGTGCACCACCATGCCTGGTTAATTTTTTTTTTTTTTTGAGACGGAGTCTCGCTCTGTCACCCAGGCTGGAGTGCAGTGGCACGATCTCGGCTCACTCCAAGCTCCGCCTCCTGGGTTCACGCCATTCTCCTGCCTCAGCCTCCCGAGTAGCTGGGACTACAGGCGCCCACCACCACGCCCGGCTAATTTTTTGTATTTTTTTTAGTAGAGACAGGGTTTCACTGTGTTAGCCAGGATGGTCTACGATCTCCTGACCTCGTGATCCGCCTGCCTCGGCCTCCCAAAGTGCTGGGATTACAGGCGTGAGCCACCGTGCCCGGCCAATGCCCGGCTAATTTCTGTACTGGTAGTAGAGATGGGGTCTTGCTATGTTGGCCAGGCTGGTCTCGAACTCCAGTCCTCAAGTGATTCACCCGCCTCAGCCTCCCAAAGTGCTGGGATTACAGGTGTGAGCCACTGTGCCTGGTCAAAAATTCTATATCTTCTATCTAAAGGATGGCTCTCCTCTTGGTTGGAATGCCTGGTAACATTTTAGGGAGGCCAGGCAGGTGGCTCACATCTATGATCCAAGCACTTTGGGAGGCCAAGGCAGGAGGATCGCTTGAGGCCATGGATTCAGGACCAGCTGGGCAACATAGCAAGACTCTGTCTCTTAAAGAAAAATAACTGAAAAGTTCACCAGGTCTGGTGGTACACACTTGTAGTCCCAGCTACTTAGGAGGCTGAGGGAGAGGGATTGCTTGAGTCCAGGAGGTCGAGGCTACAGTGAGCTATGATTGCACCACTGCACTCCAGCCTGGGCAACAGAGTTAGAACCCATCTAAAAACAAACAAACAAACCAAAAAACCAAAAAAACCATTCTCCCTAAAACATTTTAGGGAGAACAGAGACTATGACATATCATGACCTGTGGTGAGGAGTGGCCCACTAGGGGCATATACTGTGGGATTCGAGACTCCCTCTTCAACTCGCATTCCTTTAAGAAGCAGACCTGCCATCCCCATTTCAGACGAGGAAACAGAAGTGCTGAAAGGTCTGCCGCCCTCCCTCAAGTCCAAGAGCAGGAGGCTGACGCGTCCGTGGCTCCCCTCCTGGCCCATGCCCTGCCCACCTGCCCTGACACGTTTGGTTACGTTTAGCCACAGCTCAGGTGTCTTGGCCTCTGGGAGCCTCCCTGGACCTGCCTGGACAGAGTGGGCTGCTCACTTCCCGGAGCCTTGATGCTGTTTCTTTTTGTTGTTGTTGTTGTTGTTGTTGAAACTGTCTCGCTCTGTCGCCCAAGCTGGAGTGCAGTGGCACGATCTTGGCTCACTGCAGCCTCCACCTCCCGGGCTCGAGTGATTCTCCTGTCTCAGCCTCCAGAGTAGCTGCAACTACAGGAGCCCGCCACCAAGCCCAGCTAATTTTATTGTATTTGTAGTAGAGACAGGGTTTCACCTCGTTGGCCAGGCTGGTCTCGAACTCCTGAGCTCAGGCAATCCACCTGCCTCAGCCTCCCAAAAGTGCTGGGATCGCAGGTGTGAGCCACCATGCCCGGTCCCTTGATGCTGTTTCTTCCTCCCTCTGCAACACCACCTCTGGGTGAAGCCTCCACCCCCCTGCTCAGGCCATGAGCCACGCAGAACTTCTGATCTCCCCTGTCCCGTCAAGGCCATGCAGGCACTGAGATGAAGGAGTGACCGGTATGGCCAAGAGAGGCTGCGGCTGGAGAAAGAACATCTGCAAATATCGAGCCACCACAGAGCCTAAAGAAAGGGGCTGAAAGAGGGAGATTGTCCCCTTGCTTTTTGGTTTGCAAAAGTCCTCTCTCCTTCTAGCTGGGTAAGGTGGAGACCACCACATGACACTGGCCAGGGCCTGGCAGCCAGCTTGGACCTCCTGTTATTTCTTTCCTGTATTCTCCAAGTTCCTAGCAGAACTTTCTACCTGAAACAGCACTCGTCCCGAGGCCACGGAGTAGGTGACGCCCACCTGGGGACACTGACAGCAGTCAGACCCAGACGAGAGCTGTGACCCTGAGCGCCGGTGGCTCAAGCCGGTAGGCGGAGGCCACATCCCAAGGCTGTGCCAGGCCCTCATGGACACAGGAGCCCTATGGGCAGTGCCCTGTCCCAGGACGCCTGAGGGACCGGGGGGTTCTGCTCTGCCAGGTCTGCCAAGCAAACAGCCATGGGGCAGCCACTGGGAGCTGGGGCTGTGCTTCACGGAAATGCCAGGGAAATAAACCCCCAGGTCCTCATGGGGCTGCAGGCTATTTCTTTTAGTGAGACAAGGTCTTGCTTTGTCACCCAGGCTAGAGTACAGTGGTGTGATCCTAGCTCACTGCAGCCTCAAACTCCTGGGCTTAAGCGATCCTCCCGCCTCAGACTCTCAAGTAGCTGGGACCACCGGCGCATACCACTGTGCCTTGCTAAATTTAAAAAAAAAAATTTTTTTTTTTCAGTATAGATAGGGTCTTGCTATGTTGCCCAGGGTGGCCTTGAACTCCTGGGCTCAAGTGATTCTCCTGCCTCGGCCTCCCAAAAAGCTGGGATTACAGGCTTGAGCCACCATGACTAGCCAGGTTGCAGGCTACTTCTGCTGAGACACTTTGCAAGATTCAGTGGATCCTGGTGGCCAGGGGGAGGGTTGGAGGTTCAAGGCTACTGCTGGGCAATTTGGGCAAATTAGTTCACGGCTCTTGGATTTCAGATTTCTCTCCTGTAAGGTAAGGTTTTGGAAAAATCTCTGCCTTAGCAGATGGAGGATTAAGCGGGATTTTCTGTGTGAATCAGGGGCCAGTAAACTTGTTCTGCGAAGGGGCAGGTGGTGAATATTTTTGGCTCCATCTGCTGTCACCGCTCAGCTCTGCCAATGTGGCAGGAAAGCGGTCACAGACAAACAGGTAGGGGCATGGGTGTGGCCACATGGAGGACACCCTCCTGGTACCAGTGATCTCTACCGGGGGTCTGCAAAGTGTGGCCAGCCACCTATTACTGTACAGCCTACGTTCTAGGGACAGTTTTCACATTTTAAAAATGCTTAGGGGGCTGGGTATGGTGGCTCACACATATAATCCCAGCATTTTGGGAGGCCAAGGAGGGCGGATCACTTGAGGTCAGGAGTTCATGACCAGCCTGGCCAACATGGTGAAACTCCGTCTCTACCAAAATACAAAAGAAATTAGCCGGGTGTGGTGGTGGGCACCTGTAGTCCTAGCTACTCGGGAGGCTGAGGCAGGAGAATCGCTTGAACCTGGGAGGCGAAGGTTGCAGTGAGCCAAGATTGCGCCACTGCACTCCAGCCTGGGCGACAGGGCAAGATTCCAACTGGAAAAAAAAAATGCTTAGGGGAGAAAAAAAGTCAAAAAATTGGCCGGGCATGGTGGATCATGCCTGTAATTCCAGCACTTTGGAAGGCCGAGGGGGGTGGGTCACAAGTTTGAGACCAGCCTGGCCAACATGGTGAAACCCCATCTCTACCAAACTACAAATGAAATTAGCCGGGCGTGGTGGTGTGCACCTGTAGTCCCAGTTACTTGGGAGGCTGTGGCAGGAGAATCGCTTGAACCTGGGAGGCAAAGGTTGCAGTGATCCAAGATTGTGCCACTGCACTCCAGCCTGGGCGACAGAGTGAGACTCCATCTGAAAAAAAAAAAAAAAATGCTTAGGGGAGAAAAAATGTCAAAAGATCGGGTGGGTGTGGTGGCTCATGCCTGTAATTCCAGCACTTTGGAAGGCCGGGGGTGGGGGGTGGGGGTGGGGGTGGGGGTGGATCACAAGGTCAGGAGTTCGAGACCAGCCTGGCCAATATGGTGAAACCCCGTCTCTATTAAAAGCACAAAAATTAGCCGGGCATGGTGGTGGGCGCCTGTAGTCCCAGCTACTTGGGAGGCTGAGGCAGGAAATCGCTTGAACCCGGGAGGAGGAGGCTGCAGTGAGCTGAGATCGCACCACTGCATTCCAGCCTGGGCAACAGGGCGAGACTCCGTCTCAAAAAAAAAAAAAAAGAAAAAAAAAAGTCAAAAGATCTCTTGATGGCTGAAATTGATGTGAAATTCAATTTTCAGCAGCAGCAAATGACGTTTTCCTGGCACACAGCCACATCGGTCTGGGTCTGGCTTAAGGCTGCATTTGAGTTACAATAGCAGAGTCAAGCCATTCTGACAGAGACTGGGTGGCCCCTAGGATCTGTGTGAAATACAGACTGTCTGGTTTTCGTGAGAAAAGAGTGGCCAGGGGCCGCTGTTCTGGATCCTCTGTTAAATGGGGTTTTCCGGGGATCCCCGACATGGTTCCAGCAGGATGGGTCGGCAGGAGGTGAGTGTCACCCTGGGTGACTGGTCTCCCGAGGCCATGGTGGGGACGTGGAGGAGCAGGCCTGGGAAGCACCCAGGACAAAATGGGTCCACAGGGTCACGTGCCCAAGGAGGGCTGGGTGAGAAGAGACTCCCTGGGAGCTGGGAGCAGAGGGGGCGGAGGCCAGCAGGCAGGGCTGGAGGCGAGGAAATGAGAAGTTTAGCTGATGCTTTCAACAGAGCTCAGAGCTGTGGTGAAGGCGGGGCCGAGGGAATGAGGAGGTTAGTGGGGGCCATGTCGGGGATGATGCCAGCCAGGCACAAGGAAGACCCTGCGAAGGGGGTGGGTGTCATGGAGGTGAGGAGGCAGCTATGTGGTGCAAGACAGGACTCCCCACACCCCCAAGCCCAAGCCTGCACAGGAGGCAGCTGCAGGCTCAGTTGGCCTGCGGATGTGGGGGCAGGAAGTGGAAGAGTCACCCCAACCTCATGGCTCCCCTATTCGCAGAGGAGGAAGTGGAGGCTCTCCAGGGCCCCTAGCCTAGCTGCTGCCGGGTTCTGTTCTTTTCTGGTTGCTCAAGGGGTTTGGGGCACCCCGGCAGGCTCTCGATAGCTGGTTGCTGGTCAGATGGACGGACGGCAGGGATGTACAGAGAGCTGAGTGCTCCCAACGCCGTATGTCCCAGTTCACAAGAGACACCAACTGTCAGCCACAGACGCAGATGGCATTACAGCAAACACTGAAACGCAGCAAGGACTCCCAGGGCTAGGACGTGGCCCTTTAAGGACAGACTCCTACCATGAGCTAAAGTCTCACAGCAAACCCTACAGGGGTGGGGTAGGGGAAGCCTTAAATAACAACAAAAACCTAAGTGTGAAACAAGTTACTGAAATCTTACATATGTCACTAAATTTGGGTTTAGGTTATCACGAAACCACGTACTAGGTCACAGAAAGAATACAGAACAAACCAGGCTTTGATGGGGGAAGGTCCTGTTTGGTTCTCAAGGCTGTGAAAACATCTGAAGAATTTATCATATTTCCCCTAGGGCTCATCTTACCCTTTTTTTGGGGGGGGGGGGATGGGGTTTTACTCTGTTGCCCAGGCTAGTGTGCAGTGGCATGATCTTGGCTCACTGCAACCTCTGCCTTCCAGGCTCAAGTGATTCTCCACCCTCAGCCCTCCAAGTAGCTGGGACCACAGGCATGTGCCACCACGCCCGGCTAAGTTTTTGTATTTTTGGTAGAGATGGGGTTTCATTATGTTGCCCAGGCTGGTCTCGAACTCCTAAGCTCAACTGATCTGCCCACCTTGGTCTCCCAAAGTGCTGGGATTACAGGTGTGAGCCACCGCAGCTGGCCTCATCTTGCCCATTTGATGCCCAAATCATTCTCTTTGGGGGTTACTTTGTTCTTTTTTCTCAGCTTGAGATAGGACATGAATTCATTTACTTCCGTTCTTTCCTATTTGTGGATCTAATGGGTGTTCAGCTATGTGGTGTCCTCCTACCATCACTTTAAATATAGCCCATGGATTCTGATAACATACGGGTGTTTGTCACTGATTTTTAGAAAACCTGCAATTTTGGTCTGTTTGTACCTTTTTTTTTTTTTTTTTTTGAGACAGAGTCTCACTCTGTTGCCCAGGCTGGAGTGCAGTGGCGCGATCTCGGCTCACTGCAACCTCTGCCTCCCAGATTTGAGCAATTCTCTTGCCTCAGCCTCCTGAGTAGCTGGGATTACAGGTGCCCGGCTAATTTTTGTATTTTTAGTAGAGACGGGGTTTTGCCATGTTGGCCAGGCTGAGCTCGAACTCCTGACCTCAGGTGATCTGCCCGCCTTGGCCTCCCAAAGTGCTGGGATTACAGGCATGAGCCCCCACGCCCAGCTGTGTTTGTATCTCTTCATCTAAGAGTTGCTCAATATAAGTTTACTTTAAAAAAAAGTTCCACGAAGTTTTATTGCATTGTTAGAGTGTCACTTGTAATTGTTCTACTCTGGGAAGTTCTAAATGCTTTCTCTTTACCTGACATAGGAATGATTTTTATTTGTAGAGATGGGGTCTTGCTATGTTGCCCAGGCTGGTCCTGAACTCTTGGGCTCAAGTGATCCTCCTACCTCAGCCTCCTCAACAGCTGGGATTACAAGTGTGTACCACCACACCTGACTCTGATATAGAAATGATTTTTGAGTCCAGGTGTGGTGGCTCACACCAGTAATCCTAGCACTTTGGGAGGCCAAGGTGGAAGGATTGCTTGAGGCCACAAGTTGGAGACCACCCTGGGCAACATAGTGAGACCCCGTCTCTACAAACAATACAAAAATTAGCCAGACTTGATGGTGGTAAGTGCCTGTAATCCTAGCTGCTTGGGAGGCTGAGGTGGGAGGATCACTTGAGCCCACGAGATTGAGGCTGCAGTAAGCCAAGACTGCACCACTGAACTCCAGCCTGGGTGACAAAGTGAGACCCTGTCTCAAAAAAGAAAAATGATTTTTTGAGAATGTTCCATGTATGTGTAAGGAGGTTTATTCTCTTAAGAGTTCACGATATGGCCACAATGTCTGCCTTAAGCATGTGGTTTGGGCGTCTTAACATCCTTGCCTATTTTCTATCTACTCAACCAAGCTGTGTGTGTGTTTCTCCTTGTATCTTTTAGAATTTTTACTTTGTGGCCAGGTGTGGTGGCTCATGCCTGTAATCCCAGTACTTTGGGAGGCTGTGACAGACGGATCACCTGAGTTCAAGACCCGTCTCTACTAAAAATACAAAAATTAGCCAGGTGTGATGGCGTGCGCCTGTAATCCCAGCTATTTCAGAGGTTGAGGCAGGAGAATCGCCTGAACCAGGGAGGTGGAGGTTGCAGTGAGCTGAGATCATGCCACCGCACTCCAGCCTGGGTGACAAGAGTGAAACTCCATCACACACACACACACACACACACACACACACACACAAATTTCTACTGTATAAAGGCAGTGGCTATGTTGTTTGGTGCATAGATATTCACAAGTGTTATACCTTTATTGCAAAGTGAGGCTTTTGGCATCATAACCAATCTTTGCCACATGTAATGTGCAGAGGCCTGAACTATGTCCGAATTGCAGCTCTGCTATCTCCCGTTTCTCACTGCCTGGTACACCTGTGCTTGCTTTCCCCTTTGTTTTTAACTTCCTGAAGCCCTTTGATTTAGGTGTGTCTTGTGTATAAAGCAAGGAACAGAACTTGCTTTATATACTTGCAAGCCAAGCTGAAAATCCTTTCATTTTATTTACTTATTTATTATTTATTTACTGAGACAGGATCTTGCTCTGTCCCCCAGGCTGGAGAGCAGTGGTGTGATCGTAGCTCACTTCAGCCTCCAATTCCTGGGTCCTGCGGCCCTCCCACCTCAACCTCTTGAGTAGCACCACCTTGCACCACCACGCCTGTTTAATTTTTTAATTATTGTAGAGACAGGGTTTTGCTTTGTTGTATAGGCTGGTCTTGAACTCCTGGCTTCAAGTGAGCTTCCTGCCTTGGCCTCCCAAAGTGTTGGGATTACAGGCATGAGCCACTGCAACTGGCCCTGAATGATGTCATTTAAAGTTACCAGCATCATGGCCTCATTAGCTCCTAAGGCTCTGTCCACCATGGTTGAACCTCTTTCCTGCCTGCTAACTGATACCTGCCTGTCATTGGCTGTCTGTGTCTATGTCCCAAACTCCTGGGCTCAAGTGATCGTCCCGTCTCAGCCTCCTGAGCATCTTGGATTACAAGCATGTGCCACCACACCTGGCTGTGATGTAGGAATGATTTTTGAGACTGTTCCATGTAGACTTAAGGAGGTATGAGGGGAGTGATTCTCCAGATCACCTGTTTTTTTGAGGCAGAGTCTCACTCTGTTGCCCAGGCTGGAGTGCAGAGGTGCAATCTCCCGGGTTCAAGCAATTCTCCTGCCTCAGCCTCCTGAGTAGCTGGGATTACAGGTGCATGCCACCACACCCAGCTAATTTTTGTATTTTTAGTAGAGACGAGGTTTCACCATGTTAACCAGGCTGGTCTCGAACTCCTGACCTCAGGTGATCTGCCCCCCTCTTACTCCCAAAGTGCTGGGATTACAGGCCTGAGCCACTGCGCCTAGCCTCCAGGCAACTTTTGATGGCTTCCTGAAATAATGCATCTTTTGCAAGAAAGATTCTCAACCTCACTTTGCAACCAGCTTGCACCGTATTTGCATCATGGGAGGAGCCAGCCTTAGGCTAAGCTGAGAGGGGAGTCTGAGTGGAGGCTCATTCTGCAAGTGTTCAGCTCATTTGGAAAGGTTTCATCTTGAGATGACGTTTGCTTCCCCACACAATCTCCAAACCACAGGGACTTGAACAGCAAAGACTTCCAGTACTTTTTTTTTTTTTTGAGACAGGGTTGCATTCCTGTCGCCCAGGCTGGAGTGCAGTGGCACGATCCTGGCTCAACACAACCTCCAACTCCCGGGCTCAAATGATTCTCCTGGCTCAGCCTCCAGAGTAGCTGGAACTACAGGCACGCAGCACTGTGCCGGGCCAATTGTCATATTTTTAGTAGAGATGGGGTTTTACCATGTTTCCCAGGCTGGTCTCAAACTCCTGACCTCAAGCAATCCAACCGCCTCAGCCTCCCATAGTGCTGGAATTATCGGCGTGAGCCACCGCGCCCTTCCAGTACTTTTAATGCGGCAAAAGTGAACATTTGCACATGTAAAGAAAGGTAATCTCCTTAGGGAGGGCTGGAAGGAGGGTCTGTAGCTACCACAGCACCTCTCTGCCCTCCCTGCAGGTGCCACTGCCTCTCTCTGTAAACTTGGGGTGGGGGATGCCTTTTGGGGCCCCCAGGCTCCCCTTGGACCCACTCTCCAGAGCTGTGGTCAGCAACCCGTCATCCTGTGGCGGCAGCTCTTGGATATATATATATATATATATTTGGAATACATATCTGCTGTAAGTGTGGGTTCCCTCACTTATGGTAGTGGGGAAAGAAAGTCTGAATCACCAAGATTTCAGTTTGCCCTCATCTCCCGAACCCCAGTGTGGGACCACTGCTGTGTCCCTTCAGTGGGCTGTGGTGAGGAAGAGAAAAAGTTGACAATCCAAGTACAAGTAAGCGGGTGTGTTAAAAACAACAGGCCAGGCGCCGTGGCTGACGTCTGGAATCCCAGCCTTTTGGGAGGCCAAGATGGGTGGATGGCTTGAGTCCAGGAGTTCGAGACCAGGCTGGACAACATGGCAAAACCCCATCTCTACTAAAAATACAAAAATTAGCTGGGTGTGGTGGTGCACGCCTGTAGTCCCAGCTACTTGGGAGGCTAAGGTGGGAGGATCGCTTGAGTCCGGGAGGTGGAGGTTGCAGTGAGTTGAGATCACACCATTGCACTCCAGCCTGGGCGATAGAGCCAGACTCTGTCTTGAAAAACAACAACAAGAAACCCCAGACCGGGTATGAGGGCTCATGCCTGTAAATCCCAGGGCTTTGCAATCCTCCTGCTTCAGTCTTCTGAGTTATCTGCAACTACAGGCATGTGCCACCATGTCAGGACTAAACTGCTCTATATCTGCTGTTATATATCTCTCTCTCTCTCTCCAGAACATATACTCCAAGAGCTGCCGCCACAAACCCACTCCAGCCAGTTTATTCAATACTCACCATGAGGACTGTTACCAATTAGCATAAAGGAGATATACATTTAGATATCTATCTATCTATCTTTTTTTTTTTTTTTTTTTTTTTTGAGACAGAGTCTTGCTCTGTTGCCGAGGCTGGAATGCAATGGCATGATCATGGCTCACCAACTATAACCTCTGCCTCCTAGGCTCAAACGATCCTCCTGCCTCAGCCTCCTGAGTAGCTGGGGTTACAGGCACATGCCTGGCTAATATTTTTATTTTTTGTAGAGATGGGGTCTCACTATGTTGCCCAGGGTGGTTTCAAACTCCTGGCCTCAAGCAATCTTCCCGCCTTGGCTTCCCAAAGCACTGGGATTACAGATGTGAGCCTGAATGGCCCTTCATTCCTTTTTATGGCTAAATAATCTCCTTTGAATCCAATCTGCTCTGAAAAGGGGCAGTAGCGGTGGCTGCCCAGCCTGTCTTGGGCGCTCACTCCAACGCTGAATGGTATACTGTGTGGCATCCTCCTTGGGTCTGGGGAAGCCACAGCAGGCACTGCCCTGAGCCCAGAGGGATCATATGATACAAAGACCCTTGCTGCTCCTGACAGTTGGGCACAAGCTGCTCCTCATCACCTCCATCTTGGTTTACACATCCTGCCTTTGACATATCATGGGCCTGCAATCCTCCCACCTCAGCCTCCTGAGTAGCTGGGACTACAGGCATGCGCCAGCACGCCTGGCTAATTTTTGTATTTTTCGTAGCAACGGGGTTTTGCCACGTTGTCCAGGATGACCTCAAACTCCCGAGCTTGGCCGGGCGCAATGGCTTATAGCTGTAATCCCTGCACTTTGGGAGGCCGAGGCAGGTGGATCATGAGGTTAGGAGATCGAGACCATCCTGACTAACATGGTGAAACCCCATCTCTACTAAAATTAAAAAATTAGCCGGCCATGGTGGTGGTGCCTGTAGTCCCAGATACTTGGGAGGCTGAGGCAGAAGAATGGCATGAACCCGGGAGGCGGAGCCTGCAGTGAGCTGAGATTGCGCCACTGCACTCCAGCCTGGGTGACAGAACGAGACTCTGTGTCAAAAAACAAAAACAAAACAAAACAAACAAACAAACAAAAAACTCCTGAGCTCAAATGATCCTCCTGCCTCGGCCTCCTGAAGTGCTGGGATTACAGGTATGAACCACGGGGCATCTCTGCTTTTCTTTACGTGGCAGTTCCAGAGTAAGGATGGGAGCGCACTCAGGCATAGGAGGACCGCCCAGGCTCCCCTCCTCGGCCTCCCTGCTGCCTCAGTGTCCTGTGACTCCATCTCAGCACTCGCTCATTCCTGGCTCTTCCTCAGCCAACACCAGAAGCCGGCTGTAAGAAACACAGGGTCGCTGAAGAGAGCCTGCTCAGAGCCTCAGGGTGCAAGGCAGTGGGAGCCACACCCCATGCTTGCCCGTCATCCTGGATCTGTGCTCTGAATCTCCCAGTGGTGCTGTGCGCTGGCACTGAAGGGACATGGAGGCCTTTGGGTGGGACTTAAAAGGATGATGGTGGCAAGAGTATTCCAGATTGAGGGCACAGCACATGCAAAGGCCCTGGGGCGTGAGAGATCAGGAGGCAGAACAGAGAGGTCAAGTGACTTGCTGCAGGTCACACAGCATGCAGGCAGCCAAGCCTGCACTCAAACCCCCACATCTTGCTTCCTGGCCATTCCTCTGAACTCCTGGAGCTGGTAAATTCTGGTTTGTAGGGGAGAGGTGAGAGGTGCCGAGAACGGGTCCAGGCACTTTGGCAGGACTGGAGATGTCCCCTCAGGCCGGCCTGCACTGAGGGCCTCTCCAGGGGCTGCCTGCCCTTGTCGTCTTCTCATCCTCCTTGGAGGACAATCTTATTAACAATTACACCTTCCACAAACAGCTCCCTCCACACAGGTGGTGGCTTCATTTAAAAGAAAATTTAAATTAAAAAAACAGGCCCGGCATGGTGGCTCACGCCTGTGATCCCAGGCGTGATCACAGGAGGCCAAGGTGGGCGGATCACCTGAGGTCAGGAGTTTAAGACCAGCCTGGCCAACATGGCGAAACCATGTCTCTACCAAAAAATACAAAAATCAGGTGGGCGTGATGGCGCACGCCTGTAGTCCCAGCTATTTGGGAGGCTGAGGCAGGAGAATCACTTGAACCTGGGAGGCGGAGGTTTTAGTGAGCCAAGATCGCACCACTACACTCCAGCCTGGGTGACAGAGTGAAACTCTGTCTCAAAAAAATAAAAATAAATAAATAAATAAATAAATAAATTCATTTTAAAAAATTTTAAAAAATATAGAGACAGGCTCTCGCTATGTTGTCATGCTGGTCTCGAACTCCTATGCTCAAGCTATCCTCCTGCCTCAGCCTGCCAAAGTGCCGGGATTACAGGCGTGAGCCATGGCTCCCGGCCTCCATCTAGGTGGTGGCTTCTGAATTACCACTGCTCCCTGCAGATTCTGTCCAGAGCGCCAGACCAGATTTTCAATTGTACTCTCTAAAGGCCTCTAAACTAAAGCAGGTCTCTCTGCCTCAGCACTACTGACATTTGCAGCCGGGTCATTCTTTAAAGAGGGGGGCCGTCCTGTACACTGTGGGGTGTTTAGCAGCATCTTGGCCTCTACCCACCAGAAGCCAGTAGCATCTCTCCCTCCCCAGCTATGATAACCAAAAATGTCTCCAGCAGTTGCCAAACATCAACCGATGGCAGAATCAGCTCCAGGCAAGAACCTCAGTTCACATACCCGCTAACTAGAATCCTGTATATGTCTTTTCTTTTTTTTTTTTTTTTTTTTGAGGAAGAGTGTCGCTCTGTCACCCAGGCTGGAGTGCAGTGGCATGATCTTGGCTCACTGCAACTTCTGACTCCCGGGTTCAAGCCATTCTCCTGCCTCAGCTTCCTCAGTAGCTGGGATTACAGGCGCCTGCCACCACGCTTGGCTAATTTTTGTATTTTTAGTAGAGATGGGGTTTCACCATGTTGGCCAGGCTGGTCTCCAACTCCTGACCTCAAGTGATCAGCCTGCCTCGGCCTCTAAAAGTGCTGGGCTTACAGGCGTGAGCCACCGCATCGGGCTGAGAATACTGTAATGACACTGACAAAGACAGAGGTGGCCGTAATTCACTCTCCCTTAAAGAGGTGATGATACTGTCCGGGATTTACAGAGAACCCCCTCTAGGGAAGGTGTTGGGTGCTGGTGCCTGACCACTGCTAAGTCATCCCTTTCTTTCTTTTACCAGGAGGAACCACGTGTCGGGGTCACAGGGCCAGTCAGCAGCTGGGCAGAAGATGCCAAGCTGCCTCTGGGCACTCCCGGGAATGGGGTTCTCGAGGGGACTGGTTTCAGGAGCTGGTTCTGGCTTGCTGTGGCCAAGTCACACAGAAGGAAACCTTAGGTGGCAACTGCACTGTGACATTGGGGACTGAGCTGCCCAGGGCGAGGCCTGCAGAAATCGGATCTATCCTGGATAATCACTAGGAAACAAATTGGCAGCCAGGCCCTGTGGCTGATTGATGCCTGCCCACACTCCCGCCCCAAACATTGAGGCTGACATCGCCGATAGACAGATGGGTCCCCTGTCTCCATAACCCTGGAGCAGTAAAACCCCCAGAACATTTGGGGAGGGCAGGGCTGTGGCAGGGGTGTCCCAGACCTTACACTTCAGCTTTTAATCAACTTTCTCCAAATTCCAAGGAGACCTTTTTATGGTGCTTAAAATATACCCCATAATTTCACTCTTCTCTTAGATGCAGCATTCCCCAAAATATAACTTCCCCTTTTGTCTAAAATAGCCTTAGATCATTCCAAACGTCAGGGCTGTGTTGTTTTATGTGGCAGGGCACAGAAATGAAGCCGAGGGAGTACCTGGGGATTTGGGGGTGGCGGTGGGGTGCCCCTTCTACCTGGGGGTCAATGCAGCCTCCAGCCTCAGCACTCAGCTGTAGGGCACCCCCATCCTCTCCATACCCACCAAAGACAACTTTGGCTGATGTGCCCCATTTTTCAGCTTGGAGCGGCCTCTCTGCGGTCTGCACCCCTCCCTCCATTCCCTCTTTCCCACCCAGGCTGCCCCTCACAGCGCCTGCTGCTCTCTGTGCTCTGTGGGGGGAACACCCAGGCCTGCTGGTTTGTCTCCAGAGCTGGGGAAAAGGCACCAGGGCTGGGAATGCTGCCGGGTCACAATGACCACTGCCTTGTTCCCAGCCGCCTGACTCCGGGATGCCTGTCCTCATGCCATAATTCACTCTCCCTTAAAAGAGGTGGCCCTCTGGCTTAATTATCCCCCAACTGCAAGCTCCAGTACACCCTCTGAGCTCCTAGTCACACTTCTGACACCCCAGATGCCAGCTTCCTCCTAGGGGGTTTGCGGCCTTGGGCATGCACCTCTGGTCAGGCCCTGTCAGCTACAGTGAGGAAGGGGGCTGGTGTGAGAGACCAGGAGGATGACAGGGTCCTGCTCGGTGACTCTGGGCCCACAGGTTCCATGATCCTCTTCCCACTGAGTCCCTGGCAGACTGTGCGCCCTGCAGGCAGGATGCACGCGATCTCAGAGCCCAGGAGGCAGCTGGAAACCCTTCAAGAGATGGGGCCTGCTGATGTTCAGCCCTGTGAGGGGGTTCAAGGCAAGGAGGGAACCCCGCACAGCTCCTGCCAGCCTAGCCAGGTCCCAAATGCATGGGCTGTACTACCACTCCCAGCTGTGGGGCAGAGAGACAGAGTGAGTTAGCTCCGCCGAACCCTGTGGGACATCTCTATCTGTGTCCTCCTTTCCTGACTCCCCAAACTGCTTTATGACTCTGTGTGGGGAAATGGATGTTTATGAATACGTATGTATGTCTATGGCACGGATACAAATGCAGAGATTCCAGCTGGTGATCTGGGCTGTCTGGATCTAGGATGGAAAGCTGCTTTCATTACATTTGGGAAGGGGGAGCTGAGCAGAAGATAAGAAGACACCTGGGGGCCGGGTGCAGTGGCTCACACCTGTAATCCCAGCACTTTGTGGGGGACGAGGTGGGTGGATCACTTGAGGTCAGGAGTTTGAGACCAGCCAGGCCAACATGGTGAATCCCCATTTCTACTAAAAATACAAAAATTAGCCAGGTGTTGTGGTGGGCGCCTGTAATACCAACTACTCGGGAGGCTGAAGCAGGAGAATTGCTTGAACCCGGGAGGCGGAGGTTGCAGTGAACTGAGATCGCACCACTGAACTCCAGCCTGGGCGACCAAGCAAGACTCCATTTCAAAAAAAAAAAAAAAAAGGCATCTGTGAAATGGTCACCTTTATGGGGTTCTGGAACATTCTACGAAGCGGTGGATGTACTGGGGTAGACAAAGGAAAAAAAATTCCTATAAAGGGCCAGGTAGTAAATATTTTCAGCTTTGTGGGCCATGCAGTGTCTCGGGTGCAATTACTCGGCTCTGCACTCATGGTGCCAAAGATGCCAGGGATGATATGTAAATGCATGGGCATGGTTATGCACCAATAAAACTTTATTTGTAGAGATAGGCACTGGCAGATTTAACTCATGGGCTGTAGTTTGCCAACCCCTGGTAGATACCAAAGGAAATGAAACCTTGCTGGCGTGGTGGCACGTGGCTGTAGTCCCAGCTAATTTGGAGGCTGAGGCAGGAGGCTCACTTGAGCCTAGGAGGTTGAGGCTGCAGTGAACTATGACTGGACCACTGCACCTCAGCTTGGGCGACAGGGCTAGACCCTGTCTCTAAAAAAAATTTTTTTTAAAGTTAAGAAAAATGAAAAGACACTAAAAAGACGAAGTGTTTTATTAAAAAAAAAAAAAAAAAAGGGGAAAAGCAACTGGGGGAACCAAAAGAGATAATGAAACGTGTCATGGTTCTGCCAAAGTGGGGAATCTCTGGCCGCTGATCCTGTTTCCCGGCAGTGGTTCTTGACTTGTTTCCTGCTGGGGAGATGCTTAAAGGAGCGAGACCTGAGCCACAGCCAGCACCTGGCATAGGTTTCAAGAAGTCACCCCAGGAGGACAGGGAGGACCACAGAATCCAGGGCGCACAAACCAGCACTCTCCTGGATCAGAAAACCGGCAAACCTCTTTGATTACATTCCTTTGCAAAAAACCCCAGCAGGGAGCATGTTACTTCTCAGTGCAGGCGGAAGTCCTAAAATCAGGGACTGCGGTTTTTGGCATGGGGAGCAAGTCTTACAAACAACATTGTAAGACGTCACTCAGTGCACCTGGAAGAGCAGGCTCTTGGAAAGCCAGATCCTCACGCACCTAGGGCCGCTTCATCATCGGTGACACGAGGACATGCCTGATCGTGGGTGAGCAGTGACCGTCCCCTGGGCTCTGGGTGGGCAATGAGTGAGAGGTGAGGAGGCACACCAGTCACCTCCCCCAAGGGACGAGGGAGAACGCCGGACTGAAACTGCTTCCCGCCACGCCCAACAGCCACTCCACAATCGTGCCGAATTTGGTCGGGTTGATGTGTAACTCCAATGGCACAATGTTACCAAGAAAAAAAGAATCTACAAATATTTAGGCAGAGACCATCTGTTACAATGAAATCTATCTTGTCATACAGTTGGCCTAAAACAGCAGTTCTCAACTGGGGGGTGGTTCTGCTCCTCAGGGAACACCTGTCAACATCTGGAGACGTTTCTGGTTGTCGGGACTAGGGGCGGGGGTGCTATGGGCAACTAGTGGGCAGGGATCAGGATGCTGCTCAGTCCCCCATGATGCACAGGATGGCCTGGCCATAACG
Source organism: Homo sapiens (assembly GCF_000001405.40). NCBI lineage: Eukaryota > Metazoa > Chordata > Mammalia > Primates > Hominidae > Homo > Homo sapiens. The sequence goes on along the minus strand of NC_000019.10, from coordinate 17,113,989 downwards.
GAATGATCCAGCCCACATATCAACAGGGCAGGGGTTGGGAACTTGGGTTGGACCAGGAAGCCTGGCCTCTGTCCCCAAGGGTTTCTGACTGTGAGGTCTAAAACTGACCCTATATGATGGCTTATTCTGCTTTCTCGTCGCCTCTGGGGTTTGCCCTGCCCCGTCTCCTGCCTGCCCTGCATTCGGGCCCCAGCTCCTATCTCCTCCTCTGGGCTGCTCTGCAGACCCAGGGCCCCCAAAAACTGCTTCCCCCTACCTTTGTGCAAACATCCCGGGGAGGCCACACAGGAGAGGCAGCCAGAGATTGATTCTATCTTCGCTTCCTGTGGTGCCCGGGGTGCCCAGCTCACCCCCCTCAGGGACCTTCAGTAGCTTGCGGTCAGGGCCACATTGTACCTCCTCCTTCTGTCCTTGCACCACCCTGTCTTCCACACACGCCTGCCTGTGTGGATGGGTGACCTAGATGTTTGTGTGGATAACCATCCCGCTGTTTAGCCTTTCGGATGGCCTGGGCTAGCCTGAGTCTTGACCGCTCGCAGGGCGAGCAGGGGGGAAACTCCTGAGAGCCCTAATTCTGCCTCCTCTTTCCCCACCACAGCAGTGCGCCTACCCGAGAGGAGGACGGGCACCCAATGACCCTGGCCCTGCTTCCCCAACCCGGCCCTGGACACGCTGGCCTTCCAATCTCCCTTTGAAGTGCACCAGGCTGCTGCCCCGGACCCTCCTGAGCCCAAGCTTGCTGCCCACCCTGCTGCCCACTGACGCCCCACCTTCCTTCTCCCTCAGCCCAGCAAAGTGACAAGTGGTCTCAGAGACCCTCAGCCTCAAATACCTCTGCATTCATGTAACATAGACACAACTCAAGCCAGTGGGGGCTCCTGGACCCTTTGACAGACAGACGGGTGCTGACTGCAGGTATTGCTCTTCCTCAAACAAATGCTGGCTTCCCTTTGCTCCTCGTGACATGGGTGACTTCTGCCTTCTGAGGCCTTGGCCCCGTCCTGACCCTGAGCCTCCTCCGGTCTGTGGCCTATGCCCTGAATCTCATCCCTGAAATGCCCCCCAATGAGAGGGGAGCCACACGCCCCCTCTCAACACTTACCTCTCCTGACAAACTCACCTCCCTGTATGGCCAACAGCCAAGGGCTGGGTGAGTGCCTGGCTGGGAGGTGCCCCAGCTTGCTGTCTGTCCCTGACCCCTCTCTGACTGGGTCATGCGACAGGATGGCCTCTGAGGCCTGATGAGCCCTGGGGCTGCGGGATTCTTTGTGTGGCTGGTGCACAATTCTCCCTTGGATGCCCCATCAGCTGCTTGAACGAAGCACCCCAAACCAAATTCACCAGGACTGGCCTCCGGGCAGTTCCCCTGCAGCCATCTCTGACCCCCTCTCCTCCTCCCTTGGGACCTGTCCGTCCTCAGCTATCAGCCTCAGATCTGGCACATCCCCGCGGCTGGGGTTGCTCCCAGGACTCCCTCTCTGTCGCACTTGGGAAGCCACGTGCAAACGCTCCTGCCCGAGTCCAGGGCCCCCGCCAGCCGGCCCGTCCGCCCTGCTCCCTGAAGCCAGCCTCCCTCTGGCCACTGGCTTCTCAGCAGGCTGGGAAGAACGTGCAGATGGATGTCCCTGCTGTACCTGGACGTCCCTGCTATACCTGGGCACGCCTGCCCCCTTCTTGCTTCCTCCCACCCCGGCTCCTGGTCCCACCTGGTGTCCCTCGGTGGCTCCAGCCATTAGCACGCCCGAAGCAGCCTGCTGGAGAGGACTGCTCTCCTCCTTCCCAGGGCTCATGACAGTCTCCAGGGGATCCTCTGTGTGAGTGTCAATCCCCCCACTCCCCAACATTGTTCTTGTGGGGGACACTGATGGGGGAGGTTGGCCTGGCTGGGGCAGGGGTCCAGGAAAACCCCAACCACATACCAGCCATACAAAGGAATGAAATGCTGATACAACTGGTGGGCAGAGAAACAAATTATGGTCCATCCTCCATCCATACCGTGGAATATGATGCAGCCATGAAAAGGAAGGAAGCACTGATCCATGCTACGACGTGTATGAATCTCAAGAACATGATACCAAGTGAGAGAAGCCAGACACAAAAGGCCACAGAGTGTGAGAGATTCCATTGATCTGAAATGTCCAGAACAGGCAGATCCATAGAGACAGGAAGCAGGTTAGTGGCTGCCAGGGCCTGGGAGAGGGAAGTGGGGAGTGAATGCTGATGGGGACGGGGTCTCCTTTCAGGGGGATGGAAATGTTCTGGAACTGCATAGAGGCGACGGTTGCATACCACTGCGAGTGTACTAAATGCCACTGAATTGCACACTTTTGCCTGAGGCCAGGAGTTGGAGACCAGCCTTGGTGACATAACAAAACCCTGTCTCTACAAAAAATAAAAAAATTAGCCAGGGGTGGTGGTGTGCACCTGTATTCTCAGCTGCTTGAGAGGCTGAGGTGGGAGGATCACTTGAGGCCAGGAATTTGAGGCTGCAGATATAATTTAATTTACAGATTTATAAACTGCAGATATAATTTATACATTTATAAAATGCAGATACAATTTAATCTATATATTTATAAACTGTAGATATAAATATAAGGTATCTATTTATAAATAAGTAAATAGGTAAATTATATCTCCATAAGCTCTTAAACAGGAACCTCAACTTCAGAGGCATGAGAGTTGACACACACCTGGTTCCAGAAACTTCTATCTCTGCCACCCTTGCTGAGCAGCTCGTGTGCCTCAGTTTCCTCACATGTCAGGTGGGGGTGGTCAGTCTGCCCACATCAGGATGTGGTGAGGACGTATGAGATGACGCCCCCAATGCTGGGTGGAGGCTGGCATCCAACTGTGTCTTGCCCGACAGACTCAGGGGGAAAGGACGTGGCCCAGGCAGGTGTCCTTGAGGGCAGAGGTCGAAGTGGATAATGGCACTGTGGTCTAGGTGACCTACCCCAGTGCTGACTGTGGGTGGGGGAACAGAGCTAGTGGCCTGGCTGATGGCAGAGGGGCTGGGGGAGTTGGGGGAAACATGAGACTGGGTTTGTAGGGCCCCTAAGGAGGAGCTCAGGACCCGGTCCAGGTGGGTACGAGTCCTAGGTTCCTTTGCCCCAAGAGGGGGGTCTGGGGCAGTGGCACGTTCAGGACCCTTCCTCAGTCCCTCACTGGAATGTCCTGGGCATCGGCACAACTTCGGGTGAGCTTGGCTCCACCAGCTGGGGGCGTCCCTCTGCGCCCTGCAGCCCATCACTGTCACCGTGTCCCACTGTGGGCCGGGCCACAGGGGCTCCATGGAGTCCAGGGACCCTTGGGACAACAGCCTGACAAGCAAGGATCCTTATTTTATTTCTGCTTTCAGAATGAAAACCCCATGCACGCTGCCAGCTGCCAGCTGCACTTGCTACAGTTCAGGACAGATGAAGGGAACCCCAGCCTTTGGCCCCCTGGACTCAGCCTGCTCTCAGAAGGGCACCGAGGCGAGTGCCTGGTGGATCTGAGGCTGTGGGCAAAGGGAGAGGAGCGTGTTCTGGGTGTGCTTTGCGGCGAGACCCCATGGCCGATGCTGTAAGGTGCTCTATCCACAGCCCCTGGGCTGTCGACGGGCGCCTGCACTGGGAGGCTAGAGGCCATGTGGAAGATGGGGAGACTCATGGCTTCTGCAGCCCCTAGACTTGGTGAAAGGTGATGGCAACAGTTAACTGCAGTGGCGGGCAGATCAGCTGATTGGAACCGGCTTTCCACAGTGCTCCCTTCCTGTTTTTTGGTCAGCATTACACAGCGAGGCTGCAACCCTCGCGGGGGGCGGGGGTCAGGGGGTGCATCCAGCGACACTCAAACCTCAAAACAGCTCAACTTCTCCTTTCGGGGAGCTGAGAAAAAATCCCCAATCGATGCAGCGAGTTGTGCTGATCTCCGGCTTTCTGCAGCCCGGGCGAGAGAGGGGAGAGCAGAGAGGCAGCCTGAACGGGGGGCTGGGGCTCAGGCCGGGTTCAAACCCCGGGTTAGGCTTTGGCTCTCTGCGGTGTGGCCTGGGGAATCTACCTGCAGTGGGTTGACTTGTGGCTTCCCAAAAAAGACATGTCTAAGTCCTTACCCCCAGAACCTGTGACTGTGGCTTTATCTGGAAACGGGGTCTTGGCAGATGTCATGAAGGTAAGTATTTTGAGATGAGGTGATCCCATGAGAGAAAGGCAAGGGAGATTGGACACACACAGGGGAGAAGACCAGGTGACGACGGAGGGAGAGGGCAGAGTGATGCGGCCACAAGCCCAGAGCTCCAAGGATGGCTGAAGCCACCAGAACCCGGGAGAGAGGCCTGGGACAGATTCTCCCTCAGAGCCTCCAGAGGGACCCAGCCCTGCCCACACCTTGATTTTCAACTTCTGGCCTCCAGAACTGTGAGAGAATCAACCCCTGCTGTTTGAGGGCTCCCAGCCCGTAATACTTTGTTATAGACACCTCAGGAAACTCACACATCCACGTGTCTCTCTGGGGCTCAGTTTCCTCATCTTTAAAATGGGCAGAGCTGCCGTGAGGGATTAGAGATGATGGAGGAAAATCACGAAGCCCAAACCCTGATACCCAGTGGGCCTGAGGTCTTATTCCTCTTATTAGAAAATGATGGCCGGGCGCAGTGGCTCATGCTTGTAATCCCAGCACTTTGGGAGGCTGAGGTGGGCGGACCACGAGGTCAGGAGATCGAGACCATTCTGGCTAACACGGTGAAACCCCATCTCTACTAAAAATACAAAAAATTAGCTGGGTGTGGTGGTGAGCACCTGTAGTCCCAGCTACTCAGGAGGCTGAGGCAGGAGAATGGCACGAACCCGGGAGGCAGAACTTGCAGTGAGCCGAGATCGCGCCACTGCACTCCAGCCCGGAGACAGAGAGAAACTCTGTTTCAAAATAAATAAATAAATAAATAAATAAATAAATAAATAAATAAATAAATAAAATTAAAAAAAAGATTCTTGGGGCCAGGCATGGTGGCTCACGCCTATAATCCCAGCACTTTGGGAGGCTGAGGAGGGCAGATTACTTGAGGTCAGGAGTTTGAGACCAGCCTGGCCACTATGGTGAAACCCGTCTCTACTAAAAATACAAACATTAGCCGGGCACGGTGGTGGGCGCCTGTAGTCCCAGCTACTCGGGAGGGCTGAGGCAGGAGAATCAAACCCAGGAGGCAGAGGTTCCAGTGAGCCGAGATCGTGCCACTGCACTCCAGCCTGGGCGATAGAGCAAGACTCTATCTCAAAAAAAGAAAAAAAGAAAATGACTCTTAAGTTAGCACAGAACAGAAAGAACTCACAGATAATTTCTAAAAGCTCAGTGGCTGCAATGAACAGTGATTGGGTCTTATGGGAAGAACTCAAAGACAGCTGTTCTATTCCCAGGGGGTGATTTGTCCCCAGGGGACAACGGGAAGCTATTTTGTTAATACCTCTCTAATCAATGAAATGTCTGGGGACACTTCTGGGTGTCACACCTGCGGGGTGGGGAGTGCTCCTGGCATCTGGTGGGTGGAGGCCAGGGATGCTGCTCAATGTCCTTCAATGCACAGGATGACTCCCTCCCCAGAGAACGATCCGGCCCTGAATGTCAGCAGAGCCAGGTTGAGAAATCCAGCTCTCAGTGAAGACAATCACATCCCTTTGCAAACAGTCGCCCCAGGAAGCACGTTTATTGCCATGACGTGGATTTGGCTCAAGCCTGTTTTGGAAGCCGGCGTGGGCACCACCCTCGAGCGGCTTAGAACCGCTGGAGAAAACTGGCCTCGCCAGCCCCCGCTGCTGAGGCCCCAAGCAGGTTGGCCTGGCAGGACCGGGGGTCTGACTCACAGAGGGTGACTAATGGCTGTTGAAGGCATACTGGAGACTGTGCAGGCGTGGAGGCTGGAGGGAGCTTTGCTGGCATCCGGGGAGGAACTACCGGTCCCCAGGACAATCGCGGATCTGGGGCAGCCCTCAAGGACCCAGGCACAAGATGTCACCAAGTGGGACTTGCCAGGGGCCAGGTAGGACTTGAAGCAGACCAGGTGGGGCTGTATGGGGGATGCTGTGGGCTGACTTGAGCCCCCCGCCCCCAAAATTATATCCACATCCTCACCCCCAGAAACTGTGTATGTGACCTTATTTGGAAATAGGGTCTTTGCAAATGCAATTAGGTAGGATGAGGTCATGCCGGGGTAGGATGGGCCCTACATCCCATGAGTGGTGTCCTTGTTATAAGAAAGCCACGTGAAGACATGGACACACAGGAAGAACGCCCCTGACGACAGAGGCAGAGACTGATGTGACGTGGCCACAGGCCAGGGCACATCTGCAGCCACCAGAGAAGCTGAAGAGGCCTGAAGCATCCTCCCCCAGAGCCGGGAGGGAGTGCGGCCCCGTGGACACCTTGATTTCAGACTTCTGGCCTCCAGGACCATGAGAGCCTTAATCCCTGTTGTTGGAGACTCCCTTGCCCCTAACACTTAGCAACAGGAAACTTGTCCACGCCCTGGAGGGTCCTAGTGAGATGGCGCTGTGGAGGCAGCAACGTGGTGGGGAGGACATGGACCCTGAACTGAGACCTAGGTGGCAATCCTGCCTCCTGGCCGTGCCACTTTGAGACCCTGGGGCTGGGCGTGTCATTTCTGCGGGGCTCAGGCATTTACCCACCTGCCTAGTCCCATTTGGCAAAATGTCTGACATGGTAAATGTTGGATCTACCCTCTCATTCATTCACCTACTAAATTTTTTTTGTTATTTTTTTGAGACAGGGTCTTGCTCTGTCACCCAGGCTGGAGTGCAGTGTGTGATCACAGCTCACTGCAGTCTTGAACTTCTGGGCTCAAGCAATCCTCCCACTTCAAGCTCCTGAGAGCTGAGACCACAGGCATGCACTGCCATGCCTGGCTAATTTTTTATTTTTATTTTTAATTTTGAGACAGATTTCGCTCTTGTTGCCCAGGCTGGAGTGCAATGGTGCGATATTGGCTCACTGCAACCTCCACCTCCCAAGTTCAAGCCATTCTCCTGCCTCAGCCTCCGAAGTACCTGGGATTATAGGCGCTCGCCACCACACCTGGCTAATTTTTGTATTTTTAGTAGAGACGGGGTTTCACCATGTTTGCCAGGCTGGTCTCGAACTCTTGACCTCAGGTGATCCACCTGCCTTGGCCTCCCAAAGTGTTGGGATTACAGGCATGAGCCACTGCACCCAGCCTAGTTTTTAAACTTTTTGGTAGAGATGGGGTCTTGCAATGTTACCCAGGCTGGTCTGGAATTCCTAGGCTCACGCAATCCTCCTGACTCAGGACTCAGCCTCCTGACTCTGGGATTACAGGTGTGTGCCACACATGCTGAATTTTCAAGATCACTGTTTTATCTCGGGTGTGGATGCCAGGCACTGATGTTTTGGCCTGGAGAGCCGTTGAGCCCCCTGGCCACCTGCTGGGAGGACACTGGGGCCACTGGCAGTTTCACTGTGGCTGAGTCTCAGAGCTGGGATGACGCCAGGGCGGCCTCGGGAGACCAGAGCTGGGTTGCATCTACCTCTGCTCAGAACCTCTATAGCTCCTGTGTCACCCAGAGTCTTCCCCGAGTTCTACCTGGGGAGAATTTTGTGTTGACTTTGGCCACCACATAGCCCAGCACCTATATCATAGCCTGCCACACAGCAAATGCTCACACAGCAATGAACGGGCGGTCTGGGTATATAATGTAATGCACACAAGACAAGCCATATTAAAAACAGCTGAGGTGGGAGGATCACTGGAAGCCAGGAGTTCGAGACCAGCCTGGAGAACATAGTAAGACTGTGTCTCTACAGAAAATTTAAAAATTAGCCGGGCATGGTGGTGCACACCTGGAATTCCAGCTACTTGGGTGGGAGGATCGCTTGAGCCCAGAAGTTCTCGAGGCTGCGGTGAGTTATGATTGTGCCACTGCACTCCATTCTAGGTAACGGAGAGAGACCCTGACAAGAAAGGAATAGAGGAGAGGCGAGGAGAGGGGAGGGGAGAGGAGGGGAGGGGAGGGGATGGGAAAGGAAAGAAAATGGACATTCTATGGTGAAATTGCTCAGCAGTTTTATTAAAAGCTGATGTAAACAATGACAATGAATCTCTGTGTTACTTGCACAGGAGAAAACAGGAATAGGCTACATATGTCGGACCAGGGCTAAGTTGTATGACCCCAATTAATGTCTTACTGATGACCTCAGAGAGGAAGAGGAACTGAAATGTATTCCTAGGCACTGCTTAGATGTGATTTCAGTGAATTTGCATGGCAGCCCTCAGCTTGTGGGGACTAACAAGAGGCGAGAGGTCAAGGCTCCAGAAAGGGTGGGGTCTGACCCTGCCCCCAACTCCCTCTCTCCACTGAGGGGGCTCTCAGGATCCTACGTGTGAAGAAACTGACACATTCATATAATGAGCTACAATTCAGCAAAAGAAATGAGCTCTCAAGCCACGAAAAGACATGGAGGAATCTCCTCTCCCCTTTTTTTGGGGGACAGGGTCTCGCTCTGTCACCTAGGCTGGAGTGCAGTGGCCAGACGTTGGCTCACTGCAGCCTCAACCTCCCGGGCTCAAGCGATTCTCCTGCCTCAGACTCCCACGTAGGGGGGACCACAGGCAAACACCACCACACCTGGCTAATTTTTTTTTTTTTTTTTTTTTTTTTTGGTAGAGACAGGGTCTTGTTATGTTGCCCAGGCTGATCTGGAACTCCTGGGCTCAAGTGATCCTCCTGCCTCGGCCTCCCAGTGCACTGGGATTATGTAAGCCACCGTGCCCAACTGACATGCAGGAACCTTAAATGCTGGTTGTGAAGTGGAAGAAGCCAGTCTGAAAAGCCTGCAACACTGGGACTCCAACTACAGACAGCCTGGAAAAGACAGAACTGTGGAGGCAGTGAGAAGAGCTGTGGCTGCCAAAGGTCATGGAGGGATGAACAGGGGGAGCATGGAGGAATTTTAGGGCAGTGACACCACTCTGTGACACTCCAACGGCAGACACATTCATTATACTTTTGTCCAAACTCAAAGAATGTGCAACACCAAGAACCCTAATGGAAACTATGGCTGTTAGTAACAGTACCAACGTAGAGTTGAGTCAGGTGCAACCAACACACCACACGAATGCAAAATATAAATAATGTGAGAACCTGGGCGTGGGAGGGGTACATGGGAACTCTCTGCACTATCTGCTCGGTATTTTTATAAACCTAAAACTGCTCTAAAACAACCAATCTGTTTTTTTGTTTTTTTTTTAAGCGGAGCTGGGTACAGTGGTTCACGCCTATAATCCCAGCATTTTGGGAGGCCAAGGTGGGAGGATCATTGGCATCCAGGAGTTCGAGACCAGCCTGGGGAATACAGTGAGACCCCCATCTCTACAAAAAATAAAATAAAAATGAAAAAAAGGCAGATCCCACACCCAGAGGTGCAGACCCCTGAGGCCACACGCTGCCCCTGGCCCTCACCAGGTGGCGATGGTTGCGTTGTTCTGAGACATGTGGATGCACCTTGTCCTACAATCCCTGCAATGATGGGTGCTGTGTGGTCACCTCTGTAGCCCTGTGGCCACAAGACTCACCCACAGTGGCACATCGAGGGCTCCTGTGGGGTTTGGCTGATCAGGGCAATGAACAGTGGGCAGAGGGCATGAGGCATAAGAGCCTGGGTTGGTCCCTTCTCTGCTGCCTCTACAGTGAAACTAGGCAGCCCCCTCCCCGACAATGCTTCGCCATCCCCTTAACCCCCAGGCCTGCCGTACGCCTTGCTGGCTTCCTTCCACCCTGCTGGTCCCCCTAGAAATGTCCCGTTGTGAAGCACTCCTCAAACTGGTTTGAATACACCAGCCTTTTCTTTCAGGCACCTTGAGAATGAATGGCCATGTTCTGGAAGCCAAATGTGTATTAACTGTGACTATTTTTTTTTTTTTTTTGAGATGGAGTTTCGCTCTGTCACCCAGGCTGGAGTGCAGTGAAGCGATCTTGGCTCACTGCAACCTCCACCTACCGGGTTCAAGCGATTCTCCTGCCTCAGCCTCCCGAGTAGCTGGGATTACAGGCACACACCATCATGCCTGGCTAATTTTTATATTTTTAGTAGAAACGAGGTTTCATCATGTTGGCCAGGCTGGTCTCAAAGTCCTGACCTCCCGTGATCCACCTGCCTCAGCCTCCCAAAGTGTTGGGATTACAGGTGTGAGCCACCGCGCCCAGTGACTTATTTTCTGTATTTCTGATGCTCTGACATCTGGGGCCTGGCTGACCCCAGGGAGACGGCCCTTCCCAATTCCTAGATTGATTCTAGCCAGTTCCTAGAGATGGTTTGGGACTTGCCTTCCATATGCAAACCAACCAGTCCAGAGCCTACACCCCAGCCACCTCCTCTCTGGGACTCTCACACTCCAGCCCACTATCCCCTGCCCTCATCACCCCAGGCCCTGGCACCTGACAACAAGGGGCAGCCCCTATGCCCCAGAGCCCATTGAAATAATTCAAACAAGCCAATCCTAAGCCAGCTTACTCTGCCTAGCACATTCTGATGCATGAAAATCACAATAAAGTTTCCTGCCTCTCCCCGCTCCCTTTTTCCCTCTCTCCCTCAGCCTCCTGATGAGTCCCAGTGCTTCCCCCTGTGGCCTTCCATGGCATTGCATCCTCTTCTTTCGGGAACTGTGAGTAACAAACTCTCTTTCCAAGAGGCAGTTGCATCCTGACCAGTTGGCTTCGCAGTACCTGAATAATAACAACAATCAGAAAACCTCCACTTTTTCTCTCTTTAGAGGCAGGGTCTGTCTCTGTTGCCCAGGCTGGAGTGCAGTAGTGCAATCATAGCTCCAACTCGTGGGCTCAAGCGATCCTCCCGCCTTAGCCTCTCCAATAGCTGGGACAACAAATGTGTGCCACCGCACTTCGGTAATCTTTTTTTTTTTTTTTTTGTAGAGAGGGGGCCTTGCTGTGTTGACCAGGCTGATGTTGAATTCCTGGGCTCAAGCGATCCTCTTGCCTCAGCCTCTCAAAAACCACTGGGGTTATAGACATGAGCCACCACACCCAGCCTGAAATTTCTTTCTTTTTTTTTTTTTGAGATGGAGTCTCTCTCTGTCATCCAGGCTGGAGTGCAGTGGCATGATCATAGCTCACTGAAGCCTCGAACTCCTGGGCTCAAGTGATCCTCCTGCCTCAGCCTCCTGAGCAGCTGGGACTACAGGTGAGCACTACTATGCCTGCCTGGCTAATTATTTTTTTTTTTTTGTAGAGAAAAGATCTTGCTATGTTGCCCAGGCTGATCTTGAACTCCTGGGCTCAAGCAATCCTCCTCCCTCAGCCTTCCAAAGCATTGGGATTATAGATGTGGGCCACCGAGCTTGGCCTGAAACCCGCATTTTCCAAACAAATGCCCCCTCCCACAGACCGACCAGCTTCCCCGCTCACCTCCAGCACAGGGCCAGCACCCAGGATGGTCCTCTCGACGCCGCTGGCGTAGCCCTTCTGGCTGAGGGCGGTGAGGCAGTGGATGAGGAAGTTGGTGCTCTGGGTCTTGCCGGAGCCGCTCTCACCCGAGATCACGATGCACTGGTTCACGCGCTTCCTGAGCATGGTGTAGTAGGCCACGTCGGCCAGCGCGAAGACGTGTGGCTCCAGCTTGCCCAGCTGCTGGTTCTCATACATCTTCACGTACTTGGGGTTGTAGATGGGCAGGAACTTAAAGGGGTTGATGGCCACCAGGATGCTCCCCGCGTACGTGTAGATCTTTTGTTGCAGGAAGCGGTGCTTGAGGTTCTTCAGGAGGTTGCCCTCGGTTAGCTCGGGGAGGTTACACAGGTCATCAAAGTCCGCCTGCTGCCGTGGCAGGAGGCCACGCTCCACTAGGCGCCGGGTGGCTGTGGCCTGCGCCACCAGCTGCATATGCACGTACTTGATGGTTCCATCTGCGTTGCGCTCCTGCAGCAGGAAGTAGTAGCCATCCTCCTGAGGGTGCTCGTCCTGTGCCCGCCGGGGCCATAGCAGCACCCGGTGCACAGGCGAGTCGTTGGCGTCCAGCACCCATTCCTCGCCTCCCGACTCTTTGACCTCCACCAGCACATAACATTTGGTGCCGTCCAGCCGCAGGCTGGCAATGGCGTCCTTGATGACGTCCGAGGTGGTGCTGTCCTTGGTGGCAGTCACGCGGCACGAGGCCTGGCTCTCGGTGGTGGACAGCTGGGGGTAGATGTGCAGGTGGTAGGCCGCCTGCTCCCGGCGGCCCGAGCTGCCTGCCTCTTTCACACTCATCCTGCCGGCCGCCTGGCTTCAGCATGCCTCCCAGGCTCGGGGCGCGCGTGTCCTGGAGCTAGAAGGGAGGTCAGAGCCAGGCATGGTCAGAATGGTGGGAGGAAGTTTAAGGGGCATGTGGAGTCCCACTCCTGGGCAGATAGCACCTGACCCGATGCTGGAGTTCCCCACCCGACTAGGCTCGCCCAAAAAGCCAGAGGCAACCAGTCACGACATCCCGTGAGGGTCTGTCTGTCCTTCAATGTGACCTCAGGCTCCTGCAGTGGCTCATGCTTATAATCCCAACACTTTAGGAGGCCAAGGTGGGAGGATCGCTTGAGGCCAGGAGTTTGAGACCAGCCTGGGCAACATAGCGAGACCCCGTCTCTACAAAAAATAAAGGCATAGTGGTGCTCGCCTGTGGTCCCAGCTCCTCAGGAGGCTGAGATGGGAGGATCACTTGAACCCAGGAGATCGAGGCTGCAGTGAGCCATGATTATACCAGCTGTGCTCCAGCCTGGGTGAGAGAGAGAGACCCTGTCACTTAAAAAAAAATACAGTGGCTTTTACAAGTGACATCATCAGACAACCCCAAGACCTGACCCTTCCCCTGAGTTTGCTCCATCCCAGCCCCCATCCCACCCCATCCAGAGGCAGCCTCTCAATCCTGAAGCCCAACAAGCCATGACCCTCTTTCTGCTATGCCCTTCCCAGCCCACATCCTTCCTGACCTCATCTCTGAATAAACCTCCCCAGCAGCTCCCCAAGCAGAAGACGACTCGGCCCCACAGGCCTTGGCCACACAGCAGTAACAGCGAGAGGCATGTGGGGATGAGCAAGACTGAACCTGTCCTGAAATTTGGGATTCCCAAAACTCCAGGGTCCTTGAAACCCAACCTAGGAAGATGAAGTCCGGGAGAGCCACGAAAAATGCACTCGGGAATGGCCTAGAGTGTGGTTGCTTCTGAAGCCACAACTCCAGACTACTGGGGAGAAGAACATCAGGCAGGCCCAGGCTGGGGGCATCCTGCAGGAATATGGCTGGTGGTCCCAAGACTGCCAAGGTCACGGGCAACAAGGAAAGACTGAGGAGCTAGCTGTCCAAGACCACAGGAGATTCTCAATGCGATAGGACTCCCTGGAAAGGATCCTCTACCAGAGAGAGGGCTTGAATGGAAGAGCTAGTGACACCAGAAGCACACCAGGAAGGTGGTAAGTAGCAGTCTGCCAATACCAATTTCTTTTCTTTTTCTTTTTTTGTTTTTGAGATAAGAGTCTCGTGCTGTCGCCCAGGCTAGAGTGCAGTGGTGTGATCTCGGCTCACTGCAACCTCTGCTGCCTGGGTTCAAGCAATTCTTCTGCCTCAGCCTCCTGAGTAGCTGGGACTATAGGCATGCGCCACCACACCCGGCTAATTTTTGTATTTTTTTAAGTAGAGATGGGGTTTTGCCATGTTGGCCAGGCTGGTCTCAAACTCCTGACCTCAGGTGATGTGCCAACCTCGACTTCCCTAAGTGCTGGGATTAGAGGGGTGAGCCACCACGCCTGGCCTACAAGTGCAGGTTTCTTATACACATATATCGTGTAGTGGTGAAGTCTGGGCTTTTTTTTTTTTGAGATGGAGTTTCGCTCTTTGTTGCCCAGGCTCTAGTGCAGTGGCATGATGTCGGCTCACTGCAACCTCCACCTCCTGGGTTCAAGCGATTCTCCTGTCTCAGCCTCCCAAGTAGCTGGGATTACAGGCACCCCGCCACCACGCCCGGCTAATTTTTTTTGTATTTTTAGCATAGACAGGGTTTCACTATGTTGGCCAGGCTGGTCTCGAACTCCTGACCTCAGGTGATCCATCCTCCTCGGCCTCCCAAAGTGCTGGGATTACAGACATGAGCTACCGCACCCGGCCTTTTTTTTTTTTTTTTTTTTAAGACAGTCTCGCTTTTTCACCCAGGCCGGACTGCAGTGGCGCTATCTTGGCTCACTGCAAGCTCCGCCTCCCGGGTTCACGCCATTCTCCTGCCTCAGCCTCTCGAGTAGCTGAGACAACAGGCGCCCGCCACCGCGCCTGGCTAATTTTTTTTTGTATTTTTAGTAGAGATGGAGTTTCACCATGTTAGCCAGGATGGTCTCTATCTCCTGACCTCGTGATCCACCCGCTTCGGGCTTCCAAAGTGCTCTCATTATGTTGGCTAGGTGGCCTTGAACTCCTAAGCTCAAACGATCCTCCCGCCTTGGCCTCCCAAAGTGCTAGGATTACAGGAGTGAGCCACTGCGCCAGGCCAATCTGGGCTTTTGGGATACACATTGCCTGAATAGTGAACATCGTACCCAACGGGAAATTTGTTCACCCTCACCCTCCTCCCCCCATCACCTTCTGCAGTCCCCAATAACTATTCTGCTCTGTTATGTCCACGTATATAGATTGTTTAGCTCCCCAAAATTCACCCTCTTCATTTTTTTTTTTTTCTTGAGATGGAGTCTCACTCTATCACCATGCTGGAGTCCAGTGGCGGATCTCGGCTCACTGCAACCTCTGCCTCCCGGGTTCAAGTGATTCTCCTGCCTCAGCCTCCCGAGTAGCTGGGACTACAGGCGCCCACCACCATGCCCAACTAATTTTTGTATTTTTAGTAGAGACGGGGTTTCACCATGTTGGCCAGGATGGTCTCAATCTCTTGACCTTGTGATCCACCCACTTCGGCTTCCCAAAGTGCTGGGATTACAGGTGTGAGCCACTGCACCTAGCCCTTTTTTTTTTTTTTCCTAAGAGAGAGGGTCGCCCAGTTTCTTCTTCTTTTTTTTTTTTTTGTCAGGGTCTTGCTCTACTTCCCAGGCTGGGGTGCATTGGCATGATCACGGCTCACTGCAGACTTGATCTCCCTGGGCTCATGTGATCCTCTCACCTCTGCCTCACAAGTAGCTGGGACTATAGGTGCACACCACGATGCATGCTGGCTAATGTTTCTGTATTTTCTGTAGAGATGGGGGCCTCACTATATTGCCCAGGTTGTTGTCAAACTCCTGGGCTCAAATGATCCACCTGCCTAGGCCCCCTAGAGTGCTGAGATTATAGGGATGAGTGACTGTGCCCGGCCAAGTTTATTCCTAAAAAGTGCATTTGCTTCTGAAGGTTGCAAGAAAAAGAAATGCTGGTGCCAGCCCACCTAGGGGCTTGGATCAAGAGCCATAAATGCGGCATGAGTCAACCAAGAATGGCTGAGGGTGTGAAGATGAGGCCCAAAGCCAGGCAGGAGAGACTGGTATGCAAACAGACGTGAGTGTAGACGTGAATCCAGCGCAGCAGTTAAAAGACACACAGCAGGAGTGATTATCCTAAAGGACAAGAGAAGACATTAGGGGAGTAGGAATATCTAAGAGGGGTTCTAAGACCAGGCGCGGTCGCTCACGCTTGTAATCCGAGCACTTTGGGAGGCCAAGGCGGGTGGACTGCTTGAGGTCAGGAGTTCAAGACCAGCCTGACCAACATGGTGAAACCCTGTCTGTACTAAAAATACAAAAATTAGCCGGGCACGGTGGTGGGTGCCTGTAATCCCAGCTACTTGGGAGGCTGAGGCAGGAGAATCGCTTGAATCTGGGAGGTGAAGGTTGTAGCGAGCCGCAATCATGCCACTGCATTCTGGCCTGGGCGACAGAGTGAGACTCCATCGTGAAGAAAAAAAAGGTGGGGGGGGGGGGTTCTGAAGGATGAAGAGGAGTTCGTTCACGAGGTGAGTAGAAGAATAAAGGATGGTACAATAGGCCCACCACCTGTTTTTATAAATAAAGTTTTACTGGAAGGCAGCCTTGCCCACACTCCTTTCCTTATTGTCTGTGGCTGCTTTTGCTACAAGAGCAGAGTGAAATAGTTCAGGCACAGACTGTAATATTACAGCCTGGAAAGCCTAAAATATTTACTATCCAGCCCTTCAAAGCAAAGGTTTGCTGACCTCTGCCCTAAAGAGAAGCATGACTCAGCACTGTGACTGAGTGGGGTCAGGGCCACTAGAGGCTCTGAGAATTCCTGCAGAAGTGTTAGAAGGGCTGAGGCTGAAAGAAACGATAACTTATGAGGCCGAGGCAACAGTTCACACAGGGATAGGGAGTGGCGACAGGGAAGAAGGCTGGGGGACACACAAGATTTAACTCTTAAAACTTTCCCCCAGGTTAGTAAGTAACTGTCATGTTTTCTCCCAGGGAAATAGATATATACTGTATAGTTTAATAAATTTTGGATTGTCTTATCCATTTAGCTGTAAAACCTAATTCTTTCCTTGATATGTCAGTGCATTTGTATGTTCCTCCAGGTCATGAGATAAAGCTTTGAGAGCCTGGTTTATTTTTATTTTTATTTTTATTTTTACTATCTAAGATACAGCTTGAGCAACAGGGCGAGATGCTGTTTTTTTTTTTTTAATTTTTTTGAAATGGAGTCTCGCTTTATCACCCAGGCTAGAGCACAGTGCTGTGATCTTGGCTCACTGCAACCTCCGCCTGTTGGGCTGAACCAACTCTACTGCCTCAGCCTCCTGAGTAGCTGGGATTACAGGGGCCCACCACCATGCCCGGCTAATTTTGTGTTTTTAGTAGAGACAGTGTTTCTCTGTTTTAGTAGAGACAGCCATGTTGACTAGGCTGGTCTCGAACTCCTGACTTCAAGTGATCCACCCGCCTCGGCCTCCCAAAGTGCTGGGATTTACAAGCGTGAGCCACCACACCTGGCAGAGACTCTATTTCTTAAAAACAGCAACAACAGGCCGGGCGTGGTGGCTCACGCCTGTAATCCCAGCATTTTGGGAAGCAGAGGCGGGCGGATCACGAGGTCAGATCGAGACCATGGTGAAACCCCATCTCTACTAAAAATACAAAAAATTAGCTGGGCGCAGTGGCGGGCGCCTGTAGTCCCAGCTACTCGGGAGGCTGAGGCAGGAGAATGGCGTGAACCCGGAAGGCGGAGCTTGCAGTGAGCTGAGATCATGCCACTGCACTCCAGCCTGGGCGACAGAGCGAGACTCCGTCTCCAAAAAAAAAAAAAAAACCAACAACAACAACAACAACAACAACAACAACAACAACAACAAACTATCTGAACGAGGCAGCTCATCTGCTTTTTTATTTTTTGAGACAGGGTCTCACTCTGTCACTCAGTCTGGAATGCAGTGGCATGATCTCAGCTCACTGCAGCCTCGACCTCCTGGGCTCAAGTGATCCTCTGACTGTACCACCATGCCCAGCTAATTTTTGTATTTTTTTTTTTGCAGAGAGGGGGTTTTGCCATGTTGCCCAGGCTGGTCTGGAACTCCACCTGCCTTGACCTCCCAAAGTCCTGGGATTACAGGCATGAGCCACTGTGCCTGGCCCTCATCTGCTTTAGAAAACACTTCAGCAGTTTCTTTCAATGTTAAAACACATACCTAGCACGTGACCCTGCAATTCCCCTCTCAGGAGTTACTCAGGAGAAATGAAGCAGATGTCGAGACAGAGACGTGTAACTTCTGAGAGTCCCAAACTGAGAACCCAAATGTCCACCCACCGAATGAACACACTGACCACACCATGGAATATGGTTCAACAATGAGAAGGAACCAACGAGTTCAGGATGGCTGGTTCCTGATGCTCACAGTGATAGGAAACCAATTCAGAATTGTTGGGCTGAGTGAAAGAAGCCTGACAAGGCCAGTGCGGTGGCTTATGCCTGTAATCCCAGCATTTTGGGAGGCCGAGGCGGGCAGATCATGAGGTCAGGAGATCGAGACCATTCCGGCTAACACGGTGAAACCCCTTCTCTACTAAAAATACAAAACCAAAAAAAAATTCGCCAGGCGTGGTGGGGGGGCGCATGTAGTCCCAGCTACTTAGGAGGCTGAGGCGGGAGAATGGTGTGAATCCAGGAGGCGGAGCTTGCACTGAGCCTAGATCGCGCCACTGCACTCCAGCCTGGGTGAAAGAGCGAGACTCCGTCTCAAAAAAAAGAAGAAGCCTGACAAAAGAGATTACATAACTACATACAGACGTAGCAATTCTGCTCCCAGGTATAGACCCAAAAGAATAGAAAGCAGCGACTCAATTCCTTGTACACCAATGTCCACTGCAGCTCTATTCACAATAGCCGAAAGGTGGAAACAACCCCATGTCCATCGGCAGATGAATGCATACACAAAACGTGGTCCATCCACACAACGGAGTATGATTCAGCCATAAAAAGGAAGGAACCACTGCTCCGTGCTACAACATGGATGAACCCCAAAAACATGAAGCTGAGAGAAGCCAGACGCAAAAAAGCCACATGGTGTATGATTCCATTGATATGAAATGTCCAGAACAGGCAAATCCATAGAGACAGGAAGCAGATTGGTGGTTGCCAGGGACTCCGGGAGGGGGAATAGGGAGTGACTGCTCATGGGGACCGCGTTTCCTTTTAAGGGGATGAAAATGTTCTGGAATCAGATAGAGCTGGTCGTTGCACAACACGGTGAATGCACTGACTAGCACACTTAATTTTTTTTTCTTTTTTGAGACACAGTCTTGCACTCCATTGCAGTGCTGCGACCCTGGCTCACTGTAACCTTCACGTCCTGGGTTCAAGCGATTCTCCTGCCTCAGCCTCCCTTCCAATCTCAGGGGATTACAGGCATCCGCCACCACACCGAGCTAATTTTTCTATTTTTGGTAGAGACAGAGTTTCGCCATGTTGGCCAGGCTGGTCTGGAACTCCTGACTTCAAGTGATCTGCCCACCTCAGCCTCCCAAAGTGCTGGAATTACAGGCATGAGCCACTGCGCCTGGCCAAATTTTTATTTTTGAGACTGGATCTCATTCTGTTGCCCAGGCTGGAGTCCAGTGGTGCAATTGTGGCTCACTGCAGTCTCAACCTCCCCTGGCTCAAGCAAACCTCTCACCTCAGCCTCCTGAGCAGCTGGGACTACAGGCACATGCCACCACGCCTGCCTAATTTTTGTATTTTTAGTAGAGACTGGGTTTCATCATGTTGCCCAGGCTGGTCTCAAACTCCTGGGCTCAAGCATTCTGCCTGTATCAGCCTCCCAAAGTGCTGGGATTACAGGTTTAAGCTACCACACCCAGCCAAATTACACACTTTAGATGGTGAATTTTACCTTTTGTGACTTTTCCTTAATTAAGTTTTAAAAAGAGCCTATACTGTATGATTCCATGTATATAACATTCTAGAAAATGCAAATTGACCTATGAAGACAGAAAGCTGATCGGTGGCTGCTTGGGGATGTGGAGTGGGGAGGGATGCCAAGAGGCCTGAGGACACTTTTCAGATGATGGATGTGTTTATGGCATTGGTCGTGGTGGTGGGCTCATGGCTGTTGGCACACTGAGTAAGTGCAGCCTATTATGCAACAATTTCACCTGGATAAAACTGCTTAAAAAGGCCAGGTGCTTGGCCGAGCGTGGTGGCTCACGCCTGTAATTCCAGTACTTTGAGAGGCCAAGGTGGGCAGATCACCTGAGGTTGGGAGTTCGAGACCAGCCTGACCAACATGGAGAAATCCCGTCTCTACTAAAAATACAAAATTAGCCAGGCATGGTGGCGCATGCCTGTAATCCCAGCTACTCGGGAGGCTGAGGCAGGAGAATCCCTTGAACTCGGGAGGTGGAGATTGCAGTGTGCCGAGATTGCGCCATTGCACTCCAGCCCGGGGAACAGAGCAAAACTCCGTCTTAACAACAACAACAACAACAACAACAACAACAACAACAAAGCCAGCTGCAGTGGCTCATGCCTACAATCCTAGCACTTTGGGAGGCTGAGGAGGGCAGATTGCTTGAGCCAAGGAATTTGACACCAGCCTGGGCCACACAACTAGGTAACTCTACAAAGTAAATAAATAAATAAATAAATAAATAAATAAATAAATTAGCTGGGCATAGTGGCACACACCTTTAGTCCCAGCTACTTGGGAGGCTGAGGTGGCAGGACTACTTGAGCCCAGCGGGTGGAGGCTGCAGTGAGCAGTGACTGCACTACTGCACCGCAGCCTGGGCCACAGGGCAAGAACCTATCTCAAACCACCCCCCCCCCCACCCCCCGCAAAAAAACTGCTTTAAAAATTACATGGATTTAAAAGATCCCATTTCCCCAGGAGTTTATCTTTCTAAAACTTCTTACTCTGTATTCAAAAGTTCAGCCCTTGAGCCCAGGCACAGTTCCTCAGACACCACAGCAGGGAGATGGTCGGAAATCTAAAGGTACGTCAGGTTCCCAGGTGCCACATGGTATCGCTCACCTGGTCGTCCCAGGACGCCACGAGAGTTAATCATGGAATGTTCCCAGGCAGCTCCACAGGGCCAAGGAAGATGGACAGAGGTTTACGCACTTCTAATCCAGGTAAGGAATACAGGAGCCCAAACCGAAGATATATGTCTTTTTCTTTTTTTTTTTTTGAAATGGGAGTTTCACTCTTGTTGCCCAGGCTGGAGTGCAGTGGCACGATCTTGGCTCACTGCACCTCTGCCTCCAGGTTCAAGCCATTTTCCTGCCTCAGCCTCCCAAGTAGTTGGGATTACAGGCGTGCACCACCACGCCCAGCTAATTTTTTGTATTTTTGGTTGAGACAGGGTTTCACCATGTTGGTCAGGCTGGTCTCCAACTCCTGACCTCAGGTGATCCGCCCACCTCAGCCTCCCAAAGTGCCAGGATTACAGGTGTGAGCCACAGTGCCTGGCCAAGATACATGTCTTAATCACACATGCATGAATGTGTGTGTGCACTGGCATATGTACTTCCATGTGCTTGCATGTACACAGAGGAAACACATGTGAATACACACACTTCTGTGCATACAGTATACAAACATGAACACACCTCTGTGAACACAACATAGGACACACCCATGCTCATATAAACACAGCACACACATGGACACACTATGCACACACATGCTTGTACACATAGTCATATGCTTGTATACACACTCACATGCATGCACATGCATACAAGGACACAGGTATGAAAAAACATATGTGCAAGCGCTTTTTTTTTTTTTTTTTTTTTGACGGAGCCTTGCTCTGTCACCCAGGCTGGAATGCAGCGGTGCGATCTCAGCTCACTGCAACCTCTGCCTACTGGGTTCAAGAGATTCTCGTGCTTCAGCCTCCCATGTAGCTGGGATATAGGCGTGCATCACCACGTCTGGCTAATTTTTGTACTTTTAATAGAGACAGGGCTTTGCCATGTTGGCCAGGCTGGTCTCCAACTTCTAGCCTCAAGTGATCCAGCCGCCTCGCCCAGCATATACTTCCATATGAACACTCATGCACACACATGTGCCCAGCCACACGTATATGCTTGTACACAAAACACTTGCATGCACATGTCCACCCACATGTTCATGCCTACATACATGCGTACACCTGTGTATGTGCACACAGCGAGGCCTGGGCAGAGTTGGCCCGTCCTGTGACGTTCACTTTTGTGACCAGGGGCTCAGTGCAGCTCCCAGCTGGCGGGCTTTGGGCTGACTTATGGCTGAGCTGCCTGGATGTAGGCGACGCAAAACTCACTGGGATATGCCTACTTCCTCCTTCACAGCAGAGAGCAGCTCTGAGCGAGAAGCCAGGAGAACCCAAGGATGGGCTCTTTCTTCTGCTCCCGGCAGCCTCTGCCACCCACTGAGGGGACGGCTGATGCTAGCTCATGGAATCACAAGGGCTGAAGGCCACATGGACGGCTGCACTTGAGACTGCTCCGTGTCCTCCAGGGACTGCTGATGGAGCACCAGGAGCCCTCTGAGCCCTGCTGGGAACAAAGCCTGTGGGGGCTTCTGCAGCTCTGGGCCCCTGGTGTGCGGGGCAGAAGGGCAGACTCTCAGGAAACCCCACTCTCAGAGATGGGGCTGAAGGGGACGGTCACAGGACTGGCAGATGCGTGCCCCGCCCCCAGGCCAGGAGGAAGTGGATAAGGGCTTGCTCAAGGCGGCTGCTGAGCAGCCAGGGCTGCAGGGAAGGGGGTAGCCCTAGAAGGGACATCCCTCCCTGGGAGTGGGATGGGGGTGGTGGGAGCAGAAACTAGCTGGGACCACAAGCTGGCGTGCCCCCTGCAAGGCTCATCGGCCTGGTCCTCTCCTGCTCCCACAGGTGGGACCATGGGCCTGTCCTTTCACCCACAGCTCTGGGCTGACCCCCTATACCTGGGCCTGAACACTACCATACCCAGCTAATTTTTGTATTTTTAGTAGAGATGGGGTTTCACCATGTTGGCCAGGCTGGTCTCAAACTCCTGACCTCAAGTGACCCTCCTACCTCGGCCTCCCAAAGTGCTGGGATTACAGGTGTGAGCCACTGTGCCTGGCCACAAGACGCCATCTCTATAAAAAATTAAAAAATTAGCTGGGCGTGGTGGTGCACATCTATAATCCCAGCTACTCGGGAGGCCGAGGCAGGGGGATTGCCTGAGCCCATGAGGCCAAGGCTGCAGTGAGCTGTGATCATGCCACTGCACTCCAGCCTGGGCCACAGAGCAAGACCATGTATCAAAAAAACAAACAAAAAACAAAACAAAACTGCTTCCAAACATGGAAGCAACTGTTTTCATGCCTTTTGTGAAAGAATCCTTCCCTCCCTGGATTGGGGAGCCTCCTTTGTTAAATACTACACATGGCGTTATTTTATACATGTGGTCCGCCTCTGGGCTGCTGAGGCTTGTGAGGTGCCACGCTGTTTTGATTATCAGAGCTTCAGAGAATGTTCTCACTCGGCAGGGCTCAGTCTTTTGGGGTTTCCCAGGAGACCTGGGACCTGGAAATTAGTCTTACTGTGGCTTAAGATCCCTGCCCCAAGTGGATGTGAAACCTGCCCTTGGAAAATACCCTGGTTCTGGCGGGAATGGAAGGAAGCAGATTGGGGATGGAGGAACCAGGGACCTGAAGTCCCTGTGGGGGACAGCTCAGCCAAGTGGCGACCTCGGGTTATGGTTGTGTTTTGGGGTACGGGTCCTGAAAACGTGTTTCCTTCCTTAAACCGAATTGTCTCACCAAAATACCCCAAGGCTAACACACCCGCTCTACCACCTGACTCATGACCATCCCACGCACAGACAATGTGAACAGGAAGCAAAATACATCCTCCAGCTGACAGCATCAGTACGACCAAGGCCTTGTGTAAGAACAATCCCCTTGTCACCAAATGAAAATCAAACTGTCAGACTATAAAGATCCTCGAAGAAATGCCAAAAAGTGGTAACAAAGTGCCTGTCAACGGATAAATGGAAAAACACAACGTGGCCCATTCATCCAACAGAATATTATTTGGCCATAAAAAGGAATGAAGGCTGAGTGAGGCGGCTCACGCCTCTAATCTCAGCACTTTGCGAGGCCAAGGCCGGCAGACCGCTTGAGCTCATGAGTTCAAGACCAGCCTCGGGAACATGGCGAAACCTCGTCTCTACAGAAAAAAAACAACACAAAAATTAGCCAGGTGTGGTGGTGTGTGCCTGTAATCCCAGCTACTCAGGAGGCTGAGGTGGGAAGATGGCTTGGGCCTGGGAGGCAGAGGCTGCAGTGAACCAAGATTGTGCCACTGCACTCCAACTTGGCCAACAGGGCCAGACCTTATCTCAAAAAAAAAAAAAAAAAAAAAAAAAAAAAAAAAAAAAAAAAAAGGAAGGAAGCACCGATTCATGCTATAACGTGGATGAAACTAAAAAACATGATGCTGAGTGAGAGAAGTCAGACACGAAAGACCATATGGGGTGTGACTCCATTTATAGAAATGTCCAGAATGCCAGAACAGACAAATCCACAGACACAGAAAGTGATGAGTCGTTGTCAGGAGCTAGGGGATGAGGAGTGGGGAGTGATGGCTAATGGGGACGGGGTTTCCTTTTGGGGAATGAAAGTGTTCTGGAATCAGATAGAGCTGGTGTTGGCACAACACTGTGAATGCACTGAATGTTACTCATGATAAATTACACGTTATGTGCATTTCACTACAATAAAAATGATCACTCCTTTTAAAAAAACGGAGCGGTGCAAAAAGAAATGGCTATGTAAAACCAGGCCAGTATATGCTTTCTGCACTCTGAAAAAATGCCAATCTCAATTCAGGGCCTTTTCCTTGTGTTCTCATAGAAAGGAGGTGCAAGGAAAGGCATGACAACGAAAAAAAACAGGCCCTGGGGGTGGGGGTCAGTGGCCGGATGTGAATTAGCCGCTCTCAAGGCCGGCTGCACAGAAAGTAGGGTTCTGCCTACCAGTTTGGCGGAGGATTCGGAATTTACTGGAGAATAAAGGCCTCCGGACGGGGCCTCCAGAAAGTGTGGCGTAGCCGTTTCGTTTATATAAGGCCATAATTTGAAGCCACATGTTTATAGGATGAAATCATTCTCAAGCTAAGGGAAGGCTAACTAGCATTACAGCAGACTCATTTAGGATGCATCGTGCAGCATTCAGTGCATTTCACATTTTGTGTACATTTCCCTGATCCTGTTGAGGATTTTTTTTTTTTTTAGAAGAAACGCTCATGGGCAGTATGGGAAAGATGGACACACACACACGAAGGAATGACCACAAAGTCAGCCTATTGGTCAGGGTGGCTCAGAGTGGGAGGACGACTTAGAGACCTTTGTCCTCATTTTTCTACACCTGCAACCTAACCATAAGATGGCCACGCTCACGTGCCAGTCGGGAGGAAGAGGACACTCAAGAGAAGAAATTGTTAAGAAAACTCCAAGAGATGGCCCACTGCAGGTGACAGGAGGGAGGAACTAAGCTCTTTTGGGGCATTTCAGAAAGTGGGGATATGGCCAGGCGTGGTGGCTTATTCCTGTAATCCTAGCACTTTGGGAGGCTACTTGAGCCTAGGAGTTTGAGACCAGCCTGGGCAACAAAGAAAGACCCCCCAATTCTACAAAAAATAAAAAATGAGCCGGGCATAGTGGCATGCACCTGTGGTCCCAGGTACTCAGGAGGCTGAGGTGGGAGAATCACTTAAGCCTGGGAGGTCGAGGCTGCAGTGAGCCGTGATGGCGCCACTGCACTCCAGCCTGGGCAACAGAGACAGATCCTGTTTCTCTCTCTCTCACACACACACAAATAAGTAAATAAACAAAGTAAGTGGGGCTGCTTCCAAGAATCCACTGCAGAGGTCAATGGGCTCATACCACGGTCTGGTACAGGACATCACAGGAATTGGTGGGCATCATTGGTGGCCCAGGCCCTGCTAAGGGGCCAGGTCCTAGGGGTGGGACAGAGCAGGGATGGGAAACTCCTCGGGGAGCAGCTGGGGGAGCCAGCAGGGCCAAGAAACAGCGTCCGCAGGGCAAAATTACAAAGAGAGGCATTTCCAGTGGGGAGTTCATTCGTGCTCCCCAAAACTCATGCTTACCGCGAACCTCAGAATGTGACCTTGTTTGGAAATAAGGCCTTTGGGGATGTAGTCAGTTAAGATCAGGTTGTACTGGACAAGGGTGGGCCCCAAATCCAAAGACTGGCGTCCTTATAAAAGGAAAAGAGACATGTGCACACAGAGAGAAGGCGGCACGTGAATAAAGATGGAGGTGGGGATTGGAGTGATGTGGCCACAGGCCATGGAACACCTGGAGCCCCAGAAGCTAGAACAGGCAGGAAGGGTCCTCCCGTAGAGCCTCCAGAGGGAGTGTGGTCCTGCTGACACCTTTTTTGAGATGGACTCTTGCTCTGTTGCCCAGGCTGGAGTGCGGTGGTGCGATCTCGGCTCACTGCAACCTCCACCTCCTGGGTTCAAGCTATTCTCCCGCCTCAGCCTCCCGAGTAGCTGGGATGACAGGCACCCACCACCACGCCTGGCTAATTTTCGTTTTTTTTTTTTTTGAGACGGAGTTTTGCTCTTGTTGCCCACGGTGGAGTGCAATGGCGCGATCTCGGCTCACTGCAACCTCCGCCTCCCAGGTACAAGTGATTCTCCTGTCTCCGCCTCCCAAGTAGCTCAGATTACAGGCATGCACCACCACACCTGGCTAATTTTTTTGTATTTACTAGAGACAGGGTTTCACCACATTAGTCAGGCTGGTCGTGAACTCTTGACTTCAGGTGATCCACCCGCCTCGGCCTCCCAAAGTATTGTGATTACAGGTGTGAGGCACCGTGCCTGGCCAACACCTTCATTTCAGACTTGTGGCCTCCTCAGCCACCCAGGATAGGTACTTAGTTATGGAAGCCCCAGGACATGAATCCAGTTGCCCAGTGCAGAACACCTTGAGTGGAACACTCAGGCCAGAAGGTAGCTGGGTGAGCCCTTCGGTTGCTCCAGCCTTTTTTCTGCCTTAGCCGAATATTCCCAAGAAGCTCATCCCAAATGCTCTCTCGTGACTTCTGCCAATTCCACGCTCACCCATGGGGAGTTGAATGTGTTCTTCTGAACGTGTTCAGTTTGTCCCTTGTCTTCCCCAAGACATTCCCCCAGACCTTCCATCTGGCCTGACTGTTCTAAACCCCACGCCCTGGAGAAAGTCCCTTCCCAGGTATGTGTTCTTTCAGCGCATTCTGGCCACCCGCCTCCCCGTGGCCCAAGTGCTCTCCGACCTGTGCTATACGCCCACCCCTCCAGGCCCTGGGGTCTCCCTCCCTGTGATCTGTGCTGATGTTTCAGAGGAGGCTGCCTTCTTTCAACATATGGTTAACAAATGTTCCTTCAGTGCTCACCCCGGGCCAGGCTGATGCTGGGCACAGGAGAGAGAATGGGGAGGTGAAGGAGACGGATAACACACTCACCACAAAGCAAGGAGGTATTAGCAACAGTGATAAGTGCTTTGGGGAGGAAAAATCCAGCATAACTGTGCTAACACTGCAGTTCTCAGCCAGCAGTGAGTCTGTCCCTGCTGGGACAGACATCTGACAATGTCTGGAGACTTTTTTTTTTTTTGAGACGAAGTCTTGCTCTGTTTTCCAGGCTGAAGTGCAGTAGCGCTATCTCAGCTCGCTGTTACCTCTGCCTCCCAGGTTCAAGTGATTCTCGTGCCTCAGCCTCCCGAGTAGCTGGGACAACAGGCGTGTGCCACCACACCCAGCTAATTTTTGTATTTTTAGTAGAGACAGGGTTTCTCCATGTTGGCCAGGCTGGTCTTGAACTCCTGGCCTCAAGCGATCTGCCCGCCTCAGCTTCCCAAAGTGTTAGAATTACAGGCGTGAGCCATTGCACCTGGCCATGGAGACATTTTGGAAGTTACCACTTGTGGCGAGGGGATACTGCAAATGGTAGGTGGAGGCCAGGAATGCCACTCAGTGTCCCACAGTGCACAGCACGGCCCCCACAGCAAAAAATAATTGGCCCCAATACGAGCCGGGCCAAGGTGGGGAAGCTGGGGATAGGAACCTGTGGGGCGGCGCTCAGGGCAAATGGTTGCTGAGGCCTGTACAGTGCAAACGAGCTGGACGTGCCCAGAGCTTGAGGACAGCAGCCCAGGCGAGGGCGGGGAATGGGCAGGCGGGGCCAGAGTGGGTCTGAGAACAAGGAGCCCAGTGTGGCCGGTGGGTCCAAGGCTGGAGGCCGGGAGAGAGAAGCTGAGATGGGGAAGGTCAGATCTTCCAGGGCCCTGCAAATGTGGTTAGATTTTCATGCAAGTCCGACAGGGGAGCCCCGTGTGGTTTGATGCAGGGGCACCAGGACCAGAGGGACATTAAGAAAATGTCACCATCTGTGGCAGATGGACTCTGGGGGGCCTTGGTGGAAGCACGTCCTGTGGGTGCCTTGGCGGGAGCTGACAGTGGCCTGGGTCAGGCCCATGAGACACAGGTGGGTTCTGGTCACAGGTAGAAGGCAGAGCCACTGGGTGGTGGCTGGGCTGCAGGTCCTTCTCGGGTGACCTGTGGGCTTGTAACGAAGATAGGGAGGGCAGCCAGGGACGCGGGTCTGGAAGGGCAGAGGAAAAACCCTTGTATCCTGCTGTGCAATCACACAGCTCATCTGTCGTCACGCCCGGAGGAAAGCCATCCCCAGGGTAAGAACAGGGGTCTCCCTATGTTGCCCAGGCCGGTCTCGAACTCCTGGGTTCAAGTAATCCTCCCACCTCAGCTTCTGGAGTAGCTGGGACTACAGGTGCAAGTCCACATTCGGTAAATTTTTCAATTTTTTTTTTTTTTTATTAAAGACGGGATCTCCCTATGTTGCCCAGGCCAGTCTCAAACTTCTGGGCTCAAGTGATTCTCCTGCCTCAGCCTCCCAAAGAGCTGGAATTACAGGCATGAGCCACTGCCCCTGGCTAGAACATTTACATCACCTTAAAAAGAAACCCTGTACCTTTTAGCTATCACCTATCCCACTGATTCCCCCAAAGACCCCCCAAGTTTATTCCCATTCTCCACATCTGCTGAGCTGCCTAGGTGGCTCGCTACCTGGCCCCCCATCTGCCCCATGCTTCTAGTTTCCACGTGGAGTGCTCTCTGCCTGCCAGGATCTCCCAATGCTGCCCATCTGTGACCCAGCCCTTGCGGCCTTCAGACAGATGCTCCTCCTCCTGGCCATGAAACCCACCCTCTGCCTGGTTTCTACAAAGGACACAGGGAGCTCGTTCCATTTTCTGATCACCTGAGAGCGGAACTGGATGGTGGGGGACAATGGTCTCAGGATTTGCTGCCACCAGTGTCTTCGGTGAAACAGCCACTCCCCAGCTCCCCTTGAAGCTCATCCCTGTGCCAGGGACCCTGGTGATCACACCACAAAGGCAGGGGAGAAAGAAGTCACCTCAGGCCAGTCACGGGCTTGACCTGTAGGTCTCAACAGGCTCTGCTTGCCCCTCAAAAGCTTGGTGTTCTTCTATATCATTGTTTCTCCCCTGGAGCTGACTCTGTCCTCAGGGACACTTGGCAACCTCTGTCCCGAGACATGTTTTTTTCCCTTTGAGACAGAGTCTTGCTCTGTTGCCCAGGCTGGAGTGCAGTGGCATGATCTTGGCTCACTGCAACCTCCACCTCCCGGGTTCAAGCGATTGTTTTGCCTCAGCCTCCCAAGTAGCTGGGATTACAGGTGCACCACACCATACCTGGCTAATTTTGTGTGTGTGTGTGTTTTTCTTTTTTTCTTTTTTTTTTTTTTTGTATTTTTAGTAGACACAAGATTTCACCATGTTGGCCAGGCTGGTCTCAAACTCCTAGCTTCAAGTGATCTGCCTGCCTCAGCCTCCCAAAGTGTTGGGATTACAGATGTGAGCCACTGCGCCTGGCCCAGAGACATATTAAGGGTTGTTGGGACAGGGAGGATGCTACCAACATGAAGAAGGTTGAGGCTGGAAATGCTGGTCCACACCCCGTGGTGCTCAGGGTCCCACCACAGAGAGGGACCCAGCCACAAATATCAGCAGTGCTGAGGGTGAGAGACCCTACATTAATTATTTGGAAAAAAATTGATTCTTTCCTCACACTAAATACCAGAATACACAGAATACATTCCCAATAATTTTTTTTTTTTTTGAGATGAGTCTCACTCTGTCACCCAGGCTGGAGTGCAGTGGCACCATCTTGGCTCACTGCAGCCTCAACCTCCCAGGCTCAAGTGATCCTCCGGCCTCAGCCTCCTGAGTAGCTGGGACCACAGGCATGTGTCAACATACCTGGCTAATTTTTGTATCTTTTTTGTAGAGACGGGGATTCACTATGTTGCCAAGGCTGGTCTGGAAGTCCTGGGCCCAAGGGATCCTCCCACCTCCGCCTCCCAAAGTGCTGGGATTACAGGCATGTAATCACTTGGCCCCCAAAGGGTTATTAACCCAAAGGGTTATTAACCAGGAGAATCCACCTAGCCTCTCTGATTTCTCTCCTCTCTCCTTCCCCATTCACTTTGTGTATTTAAATGTGCGGGCTGGGCATGGTGGCTCACATCTGCAATCCCAGCACCTTGGGAGGCTGAGGTGGGTGGATCACCTGAGGTCACGAATTCAAGACCAGCCTGGCCAACATGGTGAAATTCCATCTCTACTAAAAATATAAAAATTAGCTGGGCGTGGTAGCGGGTGCCTGTAACCCCACCTACTTGGGAGGCTGAGGCAGGAGAATCGGTAACTTGAAGCTGGGAGGTGGAGGCTGCAGTGAGCCGAGGCCGTGCCATTGCACTCCAGCCTGGGCAACAAGAACGAAACTCAGTCTCAAAAAAAAAAAAAAAAAAGAGGGCAGCATCCTAGGACTTCGGTCAGTCAGATGATGACAGACGCAAAGTCACTTAGGAGTCAACAGAACCCGGAACTAGTGTTTCTCACCCAGAGCTGACTCTGCCCTCCAGGAGACACTTGGCCATGTCTGGAGACATTTCTGGTTATCCAGACACAGAGCAGGGGGTGCTACTGGCATCTGAAGGGTGGAGGCCGGGGATGCTGTTCAACACCCTACAGTGCAGACGGCAGCTGCTACCCAAGAGAATGATCTGCCCCCAATGTCACCAATGCTGCAGCTGAGAAGATATGCTTTAAATCAATCAGAAAAGTGGCTGGGCGTGGTGGCTCACGCCTGTAATCCCAGCACTTTGGGAGGCTGAGGCGGGTGATCACTTGAGCCCAGGAGTTCAAGACCAGGCAACATGGTGAAACCCTGTCTCTATAAACAATACAAAAATTAGCCTGGCGTGGTGGTGACAGCCTGTAGTCCCAAGCTACTAGGGAGAATGAGGTAGGACGATCACTTGAGCCCAGGGAGGTTGTCAAGCCTGCAGTGAGCCAAGATCATGCCTCTGCACTTTATCCTAGGTGACAGAGTGAGACCCTGTCTCAAAAAAAAAAAAAAAAAAAAAAGCAAGATTCACACACTTTCAGCCTCCTCGAGGACCCACGGGCACTTGACATGTTAGCATGGTTCCAACCCCACGCTCACTTGGCTGCAGGATATTGAGAGTGCGGAGTGCAAGAGGGAGCCAGCCTTGAGGACGTACCTGCCCCGGTTCAGGCCACTTTCTGCACTCCAGGACACCCCAACCCTTACCTTCTCCCTTCCCTGCTAAATCATGGGCCTGACTCCCGAGGGACCACCCAGGGGAAAGGAACCAGTTTCCACGGCACCTATGGGCCAAATAAGTACGATCACACTTTCTCCGCCTCTCTTGTTCTTGTGCCTACCCAATAAACAGCATCTCCACGTGACAAGACAAGGACCCCAGGGGTCTTCCCAAGCAGTGGGCAAGCTACCCCTTGCCCCCCATGGCACATTCACCAGGAAATTAAAGCCCCACGTGAGTACCCATACCCTGGGAATCAAAATCTCAAATGTCACCCTCCTGCCCCCGATCTCGTCTGCCCTGGAATGGGATGCAGGAGGTGGCAGACGCCTCCTCGTGGAGATGCTCTGAGCAGTGAGCCCAGGAAGATCCACAGCAAAGCCTTGAGCCTCCCACTGCTGCTGTGCTGCTGTGACTTCACTCGTGAGGAAGCAGCGGTGCCCACCTCGCAGGCAGAAGACCCAGGGCACGGCTGACTGGGGAAGCTCTCAGGTCTCCCACTTCCCCCATAAGCGAGTCCCCAGGCCAGGCAGGCTCCCGTCACAGGCTCGCCTGCTGCCGGCACCTTCACAGACCCCACTGGGCTGTTAATTTGACTTCCATGCTCGTGACTCCTGGCTGAACATCTGAACAGAGGCGAGGGCTATTTCTGTTCTCCTCAGTCTCCCCAAGGGCCAGCTCTGAGCCTGGCTCCCAGCCAATACTTCCTTTTTGCTGAAGGATTTTAAGACCTTCCAGAAACTTCTTTTGTTCAATCACTTGTGACAGCAGTTGGTCCTAAGGTCACTTGGGTCCAAGAGTGTAGTTACTTTTGGATATTCCTTGCCCCTGACCCTGGCAATACTGAGAACAGAGATATACCCCCGCCCCATGCCCTGTTTGTAAACTTCATCCTGCTTCCCCACCAGGCACACGCAGCCTTGTGGACCTGGCCCTCAACACATCCCCTGTAAAATCCCATGGGACCCACTCCGCCCTGGGCTGGGTCCTCGCCTCTTTTTTTTTTTTTTTTTTTTGAGATGGGATCTTACTCTCTTGCCCAGGCTGGAGTGCAGTGGCACAAGATCACGGCTCACTGCAACCTCTGCCTCCTGGGTTCAAGCAATTCTTCTGCCTCAGCCACCCAAGCAGCTGGGATTACAGGTGTGTGCCACTACACCCAGCTAATTTTTGTATTTTTAGTAGAGACTGGGTTTCATCATGTTGGCCAGGCTGGTCTCAAACTCCTGACCTTAGGTGATCCTCCCACCTCGGCCTCCCAAAGTGCTGGGATTACAGGCGTAAGCCACTGCACCAGGCCTCTCACCTCTCTTTAGTCACCCCTGAATGTATGAGTGTGAGATCTGGAAAACAGGGAGCGTCCAAAATTGATGTGGCCAACCAACCTGCTCACCCTTAAAGTGTTTATTTAAAGGAGTGAGAAGAGACAAAATGGACCTATTCTCTATTGACACGATCATTTCCCTCCAGGTTCCTATATTATCTAAAAATGTAAGTTGAGGCCGGGCACGGTGGCTCACATCTGTTATCCCAGCACTTTGGGAGTCCGAGCGGGCTGATCACCTGATGTCAGGAGTTTAAGACCAGCCTGGTCAACACAATGAAAGCCCATCTCTACTAAAAATACAAAAAGTAGCTGGGCGTGGTGGCGCACGCCTGTAGTCCCAGCTACTCGGGAGGCTGAGGCAGGAGAATCACTTGAACCTGGGAGACAGAGGTTGCAGTGAGCTGAGATCGCGTCACTGCACCCCAGCCTGGGTGACAGAGTGAGACTCTGCCCCCGCCCCCAAAATAAATAAACAAATAAATAAAAATGTAATTTGAATTTGTCCTTTTCTCAGTATTATGGGCTGAGCTGTGTCCACCACTCCCCTCCACAAAGAAATATTCACATATTGAAATCCTAAACCTCAGAACTTCAGAGTATGAGTATATTTGGGATTTTTTTTTTTTTTAAGAGATGGGGGTGTCGTTCTGTCACCCAGGCTGGAATGCAGTGCCATGATCATAGCTCACTGTAGCCTCAAACTCCCAGGCTCAAGCGATCTGTCTGTCTCAGCTTCTTAAAGTGCTGGGACCACAGGCATTCACCATCATGTCTAGCTAATTTTAGTATTTTTTTGTAGAGATGGGATCTTGCTATGTTGTCCAGGCTGGTCTTAAACTCCTGGCCTCAAGTGATCCTCCTGCCTCAGCCTCCCAAAGGGCTGAGATTACAGGCGTGTGCCACCAAGCCTCGCCTAGAGACAGGGTCTTTATGGGGATGATTCAGTTAAAATGATGTCATTAGGGTGGGCCCCCTTCCATATGACTGCTGTCCTCATAAGAGGAAATTTGGACACAGAGACAGGCACAGAGGGAGGACGATGTGAAGACCCAGGGGAAGACGGCTATGTATGAGCCAACAGAGAGAGGCGTGGAACAGATTCTCACAGCCCTCCGAAGGCACGAACCCTGCCAACACCTTGATCTTGAATGTGATCTTAAACGTCTGGCCTCTAGAACTGCAAGCCAATATACTTCTGTCGTTCTGGCCACCCAGCGTGCGGTTCTGTTACAGCAGCCCTAGCAAACTCAGGCACCCAGCAACAACAGTCATGAAACACCCCTAGCGGGGCTCCTTCTCTTGCACATACAGCCCTGTGCAGCAGGGCAGAGATGGGTTTTAAACAAGTGAGTCAGACAAGGATATCTTATTCATCACTCCGACGAACCCATGGGCTGAACCCTTGAATCACTACTTTATTTATCATCGGGCTCGGGCTCAGAAAGTCTCGCTGAGGAAATGAGTAGAACCCAAACTCGTCAGCTGCATTTCTGAAACATGCCTAATCTCTGAGGCTCTTTCCCAGCCACGATAGAAATTGAAAGGGAACGGGGCTCTGGGCTGCGGCGGTGGGCTGGTGTGGAGACAGAGCCCTTTGTTCTGCCACTCCAGGGACCACGAGGGCAGAAGAGAAGGGCTTGTCTTGCTTTGCCGAGAGGCCGCCTGGGGCCGTCTGAATGGCCGGCCGAGCAGGGGCAGCCTGGCACAGCTGGGCTGGGGATGCCGGGCACACAAAGGGCTGGTGGGTGGGGTGTGGGGGCAGCACCCAGAAGGGACCGTCAGTCCCGTGGCCCCAGAGCGTCTCCTCCAATCAAGGTAAAGCAGCAAAGTCACGGTCAAGGAGGGGGCCAAGCAGGGAAGGGGACAGCAAGATGGACCAAGAACAAAAATTCAGCAGTATGTGCTTGGGAACGGGCGGGCGAAAGGGCCCATGGAAGAGATAATGCAGCTTACAAAAGCGACGTTTATCCGGGGCAACCTCCAAAGTAGCTCTTGGGAGAGAATCTAATACCTCTAATCTCAGAAGAAAAGCAACAGATCATTCTAAGACGAGGACAGTTCCTCCAGAAATCCAGGTCAGTCACAAGACAAAGAAAAGACAAGGGCACCCGCTGTCCACCCTCGGGCACGTTGCCTACCCTCCCACAGTCCGTTCCTAACGGTTCCTCCTTTTTATCAAGACCCGCTCCCTCCTGATTAAGAACTGACTGGATGGCAGGATTCAGTTCCTGGTCTCTGCCCCTGTTCCCACTCTTAGTGGCAGTTCCTCAGGGGCTCCACAAACACCAAGGACCCACCAAGGCAATGATGGGCCCTAGAGGGGAACCAGGTTTTACTAATGAGCATCACATTTCACCTGGCGGGGGAGGTGATTCTGCCCCCAGGGGACACGTGGCCATGGCTGGAGTCATTTTCAGTTGTTACCCCTTGGAGGGGATGGAATACTACTGGCATCTCATGGGTGACAGCCAGGGACACTATTCCACATTCTACAGTGCACAGCCCCAACTGTCAATGGTGATGCGGGTGAGAAACGGCCCTGGAGATTTGGGTTTCCCCAGTTAAAGGTTACTAAGGATCCTGCATGTTTCTAGAAAGCTCAAGGAACCATCTCTGAAGTCATCACCTGCCTGGGCCTGTTTCTGTATCAGGAAGATAAGAACAAGGACCCTCGCACTGCCGGTTGGCAGAATGAGAGAGCTGGGATGCCCTGTACAGGCCGGGCTTCAAAGGTATCTGCTTGTGCAATCCCTTCCACCCGGAGTGGTTTAACACGTGGTATCTTTCCAGGTTTGACCTGGGGCCAGCCACTACTTCCGAGGAAACTTGCTGGAATCCCCCTTGTCCTAAAGCTTGCATTGGTTGTCCCTAATTCTCCCCCCATAATATCTTGTGGCCCCTCTGTCACCGTACTGATGACCTGATCTGAATTCCATTCTTTTTTTTAATTATTATTATTTTTGAGGGCATCTTGCTCTGTCACCCAGACTGGAGTGCAATGGCGCAATCTTGGCTGGCTGCAAACTCCGCCTCCTGGGTTCAAGCAATTCTCCTGTCTCAGCCTCCAGAGTAGCTGGGACTACAGGCGCACATCACCACGCCGGGCTAATTTTTGTATTTTTAGTGGAGACAGGGTTTCTCCATATTGGTCAGGCTGGTCTTGAACTCCTGACCTTGTGATCCACCCACCTTGGCCTCCCAAAGGGATTACAGGCCTGAGCCACCGCGGCCCAGCTTGAACTCCATTCTTTCTGAAGAGGAAGTGCAAAGTTGTCGGGGGCGGGCATTAGCGTGTCCGTCCTCTGGGTCATAAGGATTCACCTCTGTCCCCAGGAATCTACCAAGTGTCTGGCACAATCAACCCTTGCCTAACTGAAATCTAGGCCCACCCAAGACACACCATTTGGAAGAGATGAGGAATGGGAAGCAGCAAGTTAACAAGTCCATGTGGGGAGAGAATAACGAATCCTACAGCCAAACAGAAAGGGGAGATTCCCACGTCTCTACCTGCTCCACTGAGTCACCAGACTGGACCCGAGGGACGGTACTGCCTCGGGATTTCCAGAAATTTGCAGTTTCCAAAGCTTTGGGAATAGGTGCAATGTGCAAAAGCACCTTCAACACCGCAATTTTCTATTTGGACGATGAAGAAGCGGTTGAAAAAAAATCATTTTTGGATACAAACTGTCGAATGGAAAACGGAATAAAAGTAGGATCATCGCAGCCAGGAATGGAGAGTGGGGGTGCTGTGAGGAGTTCAAGGCCGGGAGCTGGGGGACATGGACTGGAGACAAGACGGTGATGAGAAGAGTTGGGTTTCAAGGTTGAAAAACGCTGATGGAGGTCAATTCATTCATTTTGCAGGTGAGAGGTCAGAAACAGGCACAGAGACTTGACCAAAGCCAGGATCTCCAACACAGTGCTCCCCCCACAAGACCCTGCTTGGCCATTCTCTAGCGGCAGGGAAGAGGCGATTGCAGGGCTGCGGGATCAGAAGATCCCGGTCCTGTTCTGTAGGCCAGTGCAAGCCTACAGTTCAATGTTTGCAGGAGGCATGACTGTGGGCTGTCACTGCATGTCCTGGGGCAAGCCAGGCCAAAGCCACCTTTCCTAAAGGCCAGGATATTCTGGAAGTGAAGGGGGTGCTTATCTTTCTGTGGCCCTCTTTATATTCCAGCTATCCGGGTTCATCTCCTGAATGAGCTATAAACTAAACATAAGCTGGGGTTCCCCAGCCCTTCTGGCAGATCCCAGATAAAGATCCCTACAGTTGGGAAAGGGGAGAAATGAATGCCAATCAAAAGCACCCTGCACAAAGTCCCTGCCAGGGCCACAAGAGCCAGGCCTGTCAGATGTGAATAACTTTCCTGTAGCCCAGGTCACCTCCGGCTGCTCCTGGACACCTTAAGATTCTGAAGACTCCAACATCAAAAAACAAACCGAGTTGGGACTCTCTGGCTGGAAAGTGTCCCCACGGGCTCCCACCTCAGACAAAGAGGCAGAGAAGCCATCCCTTAAAGACCCCTGGCCTCCAGGGTGCCCAGGAAAGAAAGGAGGGCTCGTGGCTGTCGTGCCTCTCCAGGGCTGAGCTCAGAGCAACCGGGGGACAGATTTCCTGTATGTCGTTTTACCCATTTAAGTCCAAGGATGCAGCTCTGCGGAGGTGGCGACAGTCCTGTACATGAGGGTGCATGCACACTCCCTCCTGAAACACAGTTCCGGCCCCACAACCGGCCCTGAGGTCCCTTCCTTGGATCCAGGGAATCCCAGAATCCTGCTAGTCCTGTCTTAAGGGGAGGGTGGTGAAGTTTCCAAGACGAGGACACTGGCACAGAGGGTGTTGGGACTCGTCCCAGGTCACCCAGCTGTTAAGTGTGAAGTCAGGAGGGACACGAATCAAGAGGGGAGGGTGGGGGGACGGAATCTCCAGGGGCTGCATCTCAACATCTATCTGCACGGGGCCACTCTAACCCCTTCCTTCTCTTCCCTCCTCTCCGGGCCCTCCCTCCCTAAGCCTACCCTCAGTTCTTACCGTGACTTCTACTCCGTTTACTTCCCTTCCAGCTCCCATTTCCCCGCTTCCCAATAGCCGGCTGCCGCATCAGTTAGTTCAGAACCCCCCGCATTTACTGAGCGCCCACTGGGGGCCAGGCGCCGCCCTCTTCTCAGACACCCTTCCTTCAATCGCGCGGGCAGACGTCCCCAGATCGGTCTCGCACCCCTTCCCCTCAACCGCACCCCGGCTGTCCCGCCCCTGGCCTTGCCCACTCCCCCAGCCTGGGCCTCTCGTTCCCGCCTCCGTGCCTCCCCACAACGCCGTTTCCTGCGACCCCCCAATTACCACTTAAGCCACGTCCTCTTCAGAGAAGCTGCTCAAAGCCACAAGACTCACCCCCCCCACGCCCTCGAACTCCCTCACCAGCTCCATCCCCATCCACTTTCTCCTTCACCGTCTCGCTTCCACCTCATCCCCAGCAATCTCTCCAAGACCCCCAGGCTCGTTCCCGCCCCCTCGACCCCTGCCGTCGCGTCCCCCATCAGCCCTCAGCTCCGTCCCTCTTCTGCGCAGCCCCCAAAGGCAGGCTTCGAGCTCGAGTCGCCAACCCGAGGCTGCCTGGTACTCACCTGGCCTCGGCCGCCGCGCGCCGCCGGTCCCGGGCCGGGTCCCCGGCCGGACGACCGCCTGCCAGCCCGCCGCTGCTCGAGCCGCTCCGCCCCGCCGCGCCCGCCGCTCCCCCGCGCGCTCCCGCTTCCGGGTTCCGGAGAGGCGGGGACGGGGGCGTGACGCCAGCGCTCCTAGGGGCGGGGCATCGCGAAAAGCCCCGCCCCTACTGTCCGACAGATCAGGTCCCACCCACCGCCCCTACCCACTACCGCCGATGGTGGGCGAGACCAAGTGCGAGGGGAGGACAGGCGAAGCGCGCGTCTGGGGCCGCGCTCTCCACACTTAGCCGGCGCTGCCTCACGCCTCGCAGCCACCCCTCCTGCGTCTCCACAAATGGTCCGACCCGCAAGCAAGGGGGCGGGTCCGGCTTTGAAAAGCCGGCGGGTCGGGCCTTGAGGTGGAAGGCGGGAAAATGGCGGATTCCTCGGGGCGAGGCGCTGGGTGAGTTGGGGCTTCCGCAGGTCTGGATTTGTAGACGCCATAGGGCTGGAGAGGATGGGCAGCGGAGGTGGGGAGTTAGGACCCTCGGGGTGAGTTCGGGTTCGACCCCGCCAGGAACTGCGCGGGCCCCTGAAGACCCCGATGGCGTGCTGCCTCTGCGCATGCTCCGGAGCGCTGACACCCGACCGGCCCTGAGTTCCGCGTCCTCGGCTGGGACGCTGGGCGACCTCCGGCAAGCGGCCTGACCGCCCAGTGCCTCGCTTTCCTCCGCTACGAAATGGGGCCGATGACGCAGCTCAACCTCGTAGGCGTCGCGTGAGGCTGAAACGCGCTTAGATCGGCGCCTGGGTCTTTACTGTGATGTCGCTCTTGGAATTATCGTTATGCAGTGAACAAGTGTTGGGCGACCAAAGTGTCCCCTTTAATCCTCCCACGCGCTTTATTCTGTGCTCCCAGTTTACTGAGGAGATGATGGAGACCCAGGGAGGGGAAGTGACTTGCCTAGGGTAACACACCATGAACAAGAAAGAAGTTGAATACTGACCGAGAGCTAGGCATGAATGATCATGAGGCTATATTTGTCTAGTTTTGTTAATTCTGCCAGTGTTGATTGTGCCAGGTGCAAACTGAAGTGAAATTGGCCAGCAAGAGGAATCACTCCACCGCCCCTTGCCGTAACCGATAGATTGACAGTAGCACCTCCCAGGTACAGGTGCAGTAGCTGAGGCTCGCACAGGTTGTAGGGACCCCCCTCAGGTCGCAGCAGGTTCACCCAGGAGCCCATTCGGTTTGAGGCCACAGCCCTAGCACAGTCCCCAGAGGGAGTCTGTGCTCTTGTCTCTTTCTGGCTGTGAGACTGCCCCGGGGGTGACCTATGTAAAACCTGTGCGTCTTTGTTTTGCAGCGACGAAAAAGCAGGTGTGAACAGTTAGGAAGCTGTCGGGTTAGGAGGAGCCTACGGGCGAGCGCAGCTGCTGGCACCTGGCGAACATTTGCTAAGTTGCCTCTCCCCACGGTGGCCTGGAAGTGTCCCCAACATTGTCTGGGTCTCACTTTGGGGTCCTGGGAGCCTGCTTCAGAGGAGGTGGCCGCAGGGACCAGTGGAGCCGCCTTTGGTGATGGGAGCAGGAGTTACAGTGCCCTGGCCTTGGCCCTGCCCCTCCACTTGCCCATCCACTTGCCCCTCCTGTGTTGCTGGTGTCTGTTCTTGGATCCCTTCTTTTCTCACCAGCTCAGGCTGAAACCCTGAAACCCCTAGTCATCCCAGATTCTCCCTCTCCTGCACCCCCACAGCTGATGAGTCAGCGATTCCTATCTCAGGGTCCCTTCTTTCCTATTACATCAGGCTTCATTCTATTTTTATTTTTATTTTTATTTTTATTTATTTATTTATTGAGACGGAGTCTCACTGTCACCCTGGCTGGAGTGCAATGGCGTGATCTTGGCTCACTGCAACCTGTGCCTCCCGGGTTCAAGCAGTTCTCCTGTGTCAGTCTCCTGAGTAGGAGGGACTACAGGCGCATGCCACCACCCCAGCTCATTTTTGTATTTTTAGTAGAGATGGGGTTTCACCATGTTAGCCAGGATGGTCTCGATCTCCTGACCTCGTGATCCGCCAGCCTCAGCCTCCCAAAGTGAGGTACCTGCTGGGACCACTCCTCGTACCTGCCTGTCAAGATGTTGTTCTTCCCTTTCTGGGAAGGAGCTCTGTGTTTTGTTACCACTGTGTCTCTACTGGAATATAGTAGGTGCATCAATGTCTGGTGAATGAATGAACCCAGGGATAATTTGAGATCTGCTGTGATCTCTTCCACAGAGCTCTCATTACCCTCCTCTCTTCTCAGTTTGGGTGTTCACCTATGCCTTCTTGCCCAGGTGACCAGGGCTGGCTGCTCCTTGTGTCCCTTTTCCTGTTGAGGTGGCCCACCCTCACTGAAATTGTCCTCTGGCAGCCCTTGGACTGGGCTGTCTGAGCTTCAACTAGCAGAGGCACCTCGCCGGCTTCCCTGTGCTTCTTGGGTAGTGAGGTGAACAAGACCTCTCTCTCTTCTCTTGCAGGAAGCCTGCAACCGGCCCCACAAATTCTAGCAGTGCCAAGAAGAAGGATAAAAGAGTTCAAGGTAAGCAGTGTCAGGATCTCTTTAAGGAACATGGTTTTCTTCTTTCATTACGTGCTTTTGGAGGAAGAAAAAAACAGGCCAGAGAAGGGGGCCTGTGGCTTTACTTCCTTGTAGTCACACCTGTGGGGATTCTGGGTCTGGCCATCCCAGCCCTGTGGCGAGGGCTGTGTCAGGAATGGTGGTGGTCATTTTGAGCAGTGGCTTCCCTTGGCAGCCATGGGGGTCATGGGCTGTGTCCGGGACATGTCCCCTGGAAGCGTGGGTGTGGAGACCATGGAGATCATTATCAAAAATCAAACTCTGCCTTTTTTTTTTTTTTTTTTTGAGTTGGGGTCTCACTATGTTACCCAGGCTGGTCTCGAACTCCTAACCTCAAGTGATCCTCCCGCCTCTGCCTCCCAAAGTGTTGGGATTACAGGCATTAACCACTGCCCCCGGCCTAAAATCAAACTCTCAATTCCCACTGCGTGAGCGTGTCAGTCTCATGAGGGGTGCCTGTACATCTGATTTCCACCTATCGGTCTGGGATCACCGTTAACGGCCTCCCCCACGAGCCAAGATCGCACCACTGCACTCCAGCCTGGGCGACAGAGTGAGACTCTGTCTCAAAACAAAACAAAAAAAAAGGAAATGTGGCTGGACACGGTGGCTCACGCCTGTAATCCCAGCAGTTTGAGGCGCCAAGGTGGGTGGATCATGAGGTCAAGAGTTCAAGACCTGCCTGACCAACATGGTGAAACCTCGTTCTACTAAAAATACAAAAATTAGCCGGCCATGGTGGTAGGTGCCTGTAATCCCAGCTACTCAGGAGGCTGAGGCTGGAGAATGGCTTGAACCTGGGAAGTGGAGGTTGCTGTGAGCCGAGATCGCGCCACTGTACTCCAACCTGGGTGGCGAGCGAAACTCCATCTCAAAAAAAAAAAAAAAAAAAAAAAGGAAATGCTCGGCTTGCATGGTAGATTCTAGAGTCCATCATTGGAGGCCAAGACTATGATACAATGAGGTATTTTCTCAGTGTGTGCAGTGTCGCAGGGCCCAATTCAGCGAGCTTAGAGCAGGATTTTATTTCCAAGTGAGGCAAGGTTTGTATGTTTCAGCATTGCTGGGTAAGTTGTCTTTTTATTTCCTGACCACTTATTCCCAAATTCTAAACATCGCATGTTAATCTCGCATATAACAGCTATAATATTTATGAGCTACCTCGTTCTTGGACAAGAATTGTATCCTTCTTCATAATATTGCTTCTGTGGAAAATTCAGCCTGTTTATTTATTTGTATTTATTTTTTTGAGATGGAGTCTCGCTCTGTCACCCAGGCTGGAATGCAGTGGCGTGATCTCGGCTCACTGTAGCTCCCGCCTCCCAGGTTCAAGCGATTCTCTGCCTCAGCCTCCCAAGTAGCTGGGAGCTGCCACCATCCTGGCTCATTTTTGTATTTTTAGTAGAGACAGGGTTTCACCATGTTGGCCAGGCTGGTCTCAAACTTCTGACCTCAAGTGATCCGTCCACCTCGGCCTCCCAAAGTGCTGGGATTACAGGTGTGAGCCACCGCACCTAGCCAGGCTGTTTAAAATAAACAGTTGTATCCTAGTTTTCAGGAAACTTGAAAGTGCTTTTGTTTCCCCACCGTCCAAGGCAGCCCAAGCCTGAGATCCTCCTTGTTGAGCAAAACTGTTTCCTGATGCTACTAGAAAGACCCGGGCTGGATGGTCTTTCTGCTGGGAGCTGGGGATGTCCTTTCTCTCAGCTGTTCGATCACCATCCAGGGTAGACTCTTTTTGTGGCCTGGTTGTCCCTGGGACCCCACCTGGTCCTGGCCTCAGCCCTTGGAGACCTGCACCATGAGAGTGGCCTTCCGATTGTCCACATCTGCCGGGCACCCACCTGCACCCACACTCGCTCTGCAGGCATGGTGCATTCCTACCCTGGGGCTGCCCAGATTGACAGCCCGGCCCTTTGGCTGACTGAAGGATCCTTGTTAACTCTGAGGGTACCTCCTTTCCTCTCAGGGTAGCAGCTGCAACCCCAGTCCCCAACAGAAGAATCAACTGGAACAAAGATATGGTCAAAGTCACAATCTCACTTGGCTGAACTCTCAAGCTGTGTGACATTGAGCATGTCACTCTCCCCGGGCCTCTTCAGTACAAAGGCAAACCTCTGAGCTCTATGGCACCGATACAATGCAGAACCGTTTTTTTTTTTTTATGAGACAAAGTCTAACTCTGTCGCCAGGCTGGAGTGCAATGGCACGATCTCGGCTCACTGCAGCCTCTGCCTCCTGGATTCCAGTGATTCTCCTGCCTCAGTCTCCCAAGTAGCTGGGATTACAGGCACATGCCACCACGCCTGGCTAATTTCTGTAGTTTTAGTAGAGACGGGGTTTCTCCATGTTGGCCAGGCTGATCGCGAACTCCTGACCTCAGGTGATCCGCCTGCCTTGGCCTCCCAAAGTGCTGGGATTACAGGCGTGAGCCACTACGCCTGGCCTAGAATCATTCATTTGACATATTATCGAGTGCCTACCCCGTACCAGGTGGTGGAACATAGCAGCGAGCGAAGGAGACAAAAATCCTGGGCCCCTGGGGCTCTAGGGAGGAGGTGGGCATTGCATGAGAACCGTAAGGAGGCTGTGGGGTTGCTAGATGATGACAGATGCTGTGACGAAATGGCAGGCAGAGACAAGTGTGCTGTGGTCTGAACTGAGCAGAGCCTTGAGAGAGGGAGGTGCCTGCAGGGGGATGCACAGCAAGGGGGTCCACGCGGCAGAGCGGCTGAATAGAGCAAGTGAGAGGTGACAAAGTGATAAGGTTAGAGGCAAGTTGTTGGTGGCACAGGGTCCAGAAGGTTCCCGGAGGCACTTAGGCTTCCTGAGCCCATGGACCCAGCACGCCAGCCTGTCTCAGCCCTGAAGGGCAGTTGGAGGCTGATGGAAGGTTTCAGGAAGCAGGGAACGAGCAGTGGTTGTGCCTGGTGGTTCAGATGACCAGGACTGAGAATGGACTGCTGGGCTCAGGAGCAAGGGAGGTCACGGTGGTCTTGTCCAAAGGTGTTCTGGTGCGGTGGTGTGTCTGCAAGCTGGATTGTGGGGGGCGGGATTCAAGGGAAGGAGAAAGGAGAGAAAGGGGAGCTGGTGAATAAAGAACTTGGGGTGTTTGCTGTCAAGGGGATGGGAGAAATGGGGGGAGGCAGAGAGTGCAGGTAGGAGGAAGAATGACCTCCAGCATCTGGTGGAGAGAGGAGCTGTGGGGATTCAGGCAGGGAGGTGGGAGTTGCGGGGCATTTCCTTTTGGAAGTGAGGGCTGGGCTTTAGCGCCCAGAATGGGGGGCGCTTTATCTGGGAGCACAAAGGTCCATTCACAGGGCCGGGGGAA
Source organism: Homo sapiens (assembly GCF_000001405.40). Lineage (NCBI taxonomy): Eukaryota > Metazoa > Chordata > Mammalia > Primates > Hominidae > Homo > Homo sapiens. The sequence goes on along the minus strand of NC_000019.10, from coordinate 17,069,903 downwards.
TGCAGCCATCAGGACTGGAGGTGGCTGGATGTGGTGGCGGGAGGGTCTCCTGGGGCCACTTCTGTCTTCCCAGTGAAGGAGGAAACAGGTCACCTGCTGAGACCAAGGGTTGGGCCTGGCGTAGGAGGTGGGAGGAACAGTTTTGAGGGAGGGGTCCGGGAGAGGGCTGGGGGACAGAATGGGACTAACCGGATCCAGTTCAGACCCCTACCTCCAGAAGCTGGGGTGACAGGTGGCATTTGTTCCATCCACAGTCACGCTCCCAGGAGTAGCCCTGGAAGGGGACCTGGGGTTGGGCTGTCACTAGGGATTTGGCTCTGTCTGAAGAGGGCCTGGGTGTTGGGCATGTCTCAGGGCAGGGGGTCCCAAACTGAGTAAGGGGCGGGGGGAGTAAAAGGTAGTACCAGGAGTGAGTCCTAGACACACAGGCGGGGGAAGGGGCCATTGGGGTCACACGAGATGGGAGGAAGGAGGAAGCCACCTGGAGGCCGTCAGTGAAAGCTCTTTCTTCTTTCCCTCCCGCTTGTCTGAGTGCACTTGCAGCTTTGACCTTGGAGGGTGTTCCTTGATCTTACTTCCTCAGGAACTCTGTGACTCCACACATGGCTTGGGACTTGCATACAGTAGGCGTCCCATGCATGCTTGAGGCTGCCGAAGGACGTGATCAGAGGCGAGCAGGAGGAGTGGTGACCTCCTCTGTTCTGGTCACTGAGTGGAGAGGGCCCCTGGCATCTGGGTCTCCGGGGCGTGGGGTCTGGGTGTGTGGGGTCTTCGGTCCTTTGTAGTTTTGTTGTGCACCAACAGTGTGTCCCCACAGGTGGAAGAGTGATTGAGTCCCGGTATCTGCAGTATGAAAAGAAGACAACCCAAAAGGTAAGGCCGCACCCAGCTTCCATTTGCAGCAGTTCTGAGCAAGGTTCTGAGCAACTGGAATTCCGAAACTAGTCATGGGAGGTGGTCACAACCTGGTCCTGAAGGAAGCATTTTGGGATCTTCACTCAGGTGCTTTTGAGACCATCAGCCCTTCATGCTGCCAGTTGTGAGTCTGTCATCGACGGCTCATGGCTATAAGCATCTCTTTTACGAAGCTGTGATCTCCATTGAAACATGGTATCGTTCTTACCCTTTTTTTTTGTTTTTGAGGCAAGGTCTCTCTCTGTTGCCCAGGCTGGAGTGCAGTGTGATCACGACTCACTGCAGCCTCAGCCTCCCAGGCTCAAGCCATCTTCCCACCTGAGCCTTCTGAGTAACTGGGACGAAAGGCGTGTGCTACCACACCAGCTAATTTTTAAACGTTTTTGTAGAGACAGGGTCTCCCTATGTTGCCCAGGCTGATCTTGAGCTACTGAGCTCAAGTGATGCTCCCGCCTCGGCCTCCCAAAATGTTGGGATTACAAGTGTGAGCCCTGGCGCCCAGCCTGTTCTTGCCTTTCAACCCAGTTAATTCGCTTTCTGGATTCTGAAGCTGTCTTATCCAGTGCCCAGCACACAGTTCTTGGTGTCTGGCTGGTATTTAAAAACAGCTACTTTGGGAGGCCGAGGTGGGCGGATCACTTGAGGCTAGGAGTTCGAGACCAGCCTGGCCAACATGGCGAAACCCCGTCTCAACTAAAAATACAAAAATTAGCCGGATGCAGTGGCGTGCACCTGTAATCCCAGCTACTCAGGAGGCTGAGGCAGGAGAATCGCTTGAACCTGGGAGGCAGAGGTTGCAGTGAGCCAAGATTGAACCACTGCACTCCAGCCTTGGCGACAGAGCGAGACCCTGACCCGTGTCTTCAAAAAAAAAAAAAAAAAAAAAAAAGAATAAAATAAAAAAACAGGTTTTTAGAGAAAAACTATGGGAAAAATGACATCCTTCGATCACTCCGAATTGGAGTAAGAGTTTAGTGAACTATTGTGTAGGCAAACCATGAAATATCGTGAAACCATTGAAAGTAATGGCATGAAAGATATTTAACCACGTGAGAACGTGCTTTGTGTGAGAGTTCGTGGGAGCAATCAGTAGATTATACAATTATATATTTTCTTTCAGTGAAGTCAAGGTTGGATTCTTCCCTCTGCTTTCCAAATCTTGGTTTATGATAAAATTAAGTCAAATTCCCACTGCCTGTCTTCCACTCTGGGTGGCTGGTGGGTTCTCGACCCTGTGACTTAAGATTCGGCTTGAGAAAAGAGGATACCTTTGCACAAACAGATACTCTTCTCAGAGCAGTTTTCAACAAAGGGTCACAGTCTTCCACGCTCCAAATTTTCATGTTGTTGCCAAGACTTGGTTACAGCGCCCCCGTGTGTCTGCGTGCTGTAACATTTTAGCCCTTTAGATCTTTTCTGTTTTTCCCCCCATTTTAAAAATCAGGGTGTCATTTACATGGAGTCAGCATCCCCCTTTTCAGCATAGGGTCTTGCCTGTTTTGACAGACATAGACAGTCATGGAACCGCCTCTATAATCAAGCTACAGAACGAGTCATCCCTAAATCCCCTTGTGCTCTGATAGGACCAGCCCCTCTCCCACCCCCAGGCAACCACAGATTGGCTTTCTGAATCTGCATTTTTGCCTTTTTTAGAAGGTCATATCTGTGGCATCACAGTTTGTAGCCCTTGCCTCTGACTCCTGACACTTAGCAGAGTGCCTTTCAAGTTCCTCTGTGTTGCATGTATTGCATGTAGGTGCTTCCTTCCTTTTTTTTTTTTTTTTGAGATGGAGTCTCGCTCTGTTGCCCAGGCTGGAGTGCAGTAGTGCGATCTCGGCTCACTGCAACCTCCGCCTTCTGGATTCAAGCCATTCTCCTTCCTCAGCCTCCCGAGTAGCTGGGATTACAGGTGTGTGCCACCCCACCTGGCTAATTTTTGTATTTTTAGTAGAGACAGGGTTTCAGCATGTTGGCCAGGCTGGTCTCGAACTCCTGGCCTCAAATGATCCACCTGCCTCAGCCTCCCAAAATGCTGGGATTACAGGCATGAGCCGCCATGCCCGGCCTGGTTCCTTCTTATGGCCGAATAGTATTCCATCAAGTGGATGGACCACGTTGTGTTCATCTGTTCATTGATTGACAGGCAGTCAGTTGGTTTCCTGTCTTGGTGATTATGAATAAAGCCTCCGTAAACATTCTTGTGTATTTTTCTGTGTAGACGTGGTTTTATTTCTCCCAGGAGGAGGATTGCTGGCTCGTAGAAAAACTCAAACTGTGTTTCCTATTCTCCCACTCAACAACAGTCAACACAGGACTTCTGAGGGTTCCCCCACCAGCAAGCAGCAGCCACCAGCTGGGTATCTTCCAATTCAATTCTGACACACTACCTGGAAATAGCATCAGAACCTATAGGGTGAGGGCTCAGTCTCCAAGACTGCCCCTCTTCTGCCTCTAGAACTTCTGACCAACCAAGTTCAAGTTGGGATTCCCATGACCCCCCTCTTTGGGTTCAGTTAATTTGCAGGAGTGACTCACAGAACTCAAGGAAACACTTAGGTTTACCAGTTTATTATAAAGGATATTATAAAGGATACAGATGGAGCCAAGTGTGGTGGCTCATGCCTGAAATCCCAGCAATTTGGGAGGTCGAAATGGGAGGATTGCTTGAGGCCAGGAGTTCCAAACTAGCATGGGCGAGACCCCGTCTCTGAAATTTTTTTTTTTTCATTAGCCAAGTGGCTGGGCATGGTGACTTAGGCCTGTAATCCCAGCACTTTGGGAGGTCAAGGTGGGAAGATTGCTTGAGCCTGAGTTTGAGGCCAGCCTGGGCAACATAGCAAGACCCTACCTCTACAAAAAAATAAAAATAGCTGTGCGTAGTGGTGAGTGCTTATAGTCCCAGCTACTCGGGAGGCTGAGGCAGGAAGATCATTTGAGCCAAGGAGGTTGAGTCTGCAGTGAGCCACTGCACTCCATCTTGAGTGACAGTGAGATCCTGTCTCTTTTTTTTTTTTTTAGAAGATAAGAGATGTGTAGAGTGAGATATGGGGGGAAGGCGCACAGAGCTTCCATGGCCTGTTCGGGCATACCACCCTTTGGGAATCTCCACGTGTTAGCTATCTGATCTGAAGTCTCTCCAAGCTCTGTGCTTTTTTTTTTTTTTTTGAGATAGAGCCTCGCTCTGTCGCCCAGTCTGGAATGCAGTGGTGCGATCTTGGCTCACTGCAACCTCTGCCTCCCGGGTTCAAGCTATTCTGCCTCAGCCTCTGGAGTAGCTGGGATTACAGGCGCATGCCACCACACCCAGCTAATTTTGTATTTTTAGTAGAGACGGGGTTTCTCCATGTTGGTCAGGCTGGTCTCGAACTCCTGACCTCGTGATCTGCCCACCTCGGCCTCTCAAAGTGCTGGGATTACAGGCATGAGCCACCACGCCCAGCTCCTTTGGGTTTTTATAGAGTCTTCATGACTTAGGCACGATTGAAGCATGGACAGCCCTGTGGAAATGTGATTGGTCAAAAAGGGCATGCTTTAAACCCAGCAAGTCCTGTCTGTTCAGATTCTTCTTGGCCTCTGTTGCGTTTTTTCCTCTGGGGTATGAGGCAGGACCCTCTCTGGCAGGTGAAAGGAGTGTGGGAGGTCAGAGAGATCCTGCTTACTGTAACAAGGGTTTATAGGAGTTACAAGCCATGAGTTGTAGATGAAAACATCTCTATATAATGGTAACAGGAAACTACCTGTTATCCACAGTGGCTGCACCATCTTTATGTTCCCACTAGGCACATAGATGAAAAGTGCAAGTTGTTACTTTCACATTCTAGCCAGTCTTGTGGGTGTGAAGTGATACTTCATTGTGGTTTTCATTTGTGTTTTCATAATAGCCGATGATATTGAGCATCTTTTCATGTGCTTATTTGCCATTCCTGTATCTTTGCGGATGTGTCTGTTGAGATCTTTTGTCCAGTTTTAAATTGAGTTGTTTTCTTGTTACTGAGTTTTGAGGGTGCTTTCTATATTCTGGATACCAGCTCTTTGTGGTGCTTTGCAAATATTTTCTTCTAGTCTGGCTTGTCTTTTCATGCTGTTAAGTGCTTTAATTTAAGAGGCAGTAGTTGACGATTTCGATGAAGCCCATTTGATCACTTTCCCCATTTGTGGATTGTGCTTTTGGAGTCTTATCCAGGATATCTCCACCTAATCCAAGATCACAGATTTTTCTCCTGTTTTCTTGTACGAGTTTTGTAGTTTAGGTTTTACTTTTAAGTCTGTGAGTTAGTTTTTGTGTATGGTGTGATGTTTAAATCAAAGTTCGTTTTTTCATGTATGGGTGTTCAGTTGTTGTAATCCCATTTATTGAAATGATTTTCCTTTTTCCCGTTGTATTCTCTCATCATCTCTGTCAAATACCAGTTGACCATGTATGTGCACATCATGTCTGGGCTCTGTTCTTTTCCATTGTTCTATGTATGCATCCTTATGCTAGTTCCACACTGCTGAGGTTACTGTAGCTTTGCACTAAGTCCTGAGAACAGGTAATGTGAGACCTCTCACTGTGCTTTTCCGAGACTGTTTAGTCTCTTCTCGTTCCTTTGGCTTTCCATAGAGATTTTAGAATTGTCATTTTCTAGCAAAATATCTGCTGGATTTTGATTATATTGAATCCATAAATCAGGGCAAATGCCTTCTTAATAAAAGCGAGTCTTTCAATCCATGAACATGGTATGCTTCTCCATTTATTTAGATCTTCCTGGATTTCCTCCAACATTGTTTTGTAGCTTCCAGATTATAGATCTTACACATATTTTATTTGGTTTATAACTAAGCATTTGGTGTTTAGTGCCATTGTATATGGTACTCTATTTTAATTTCAATCTCCAAACTTGTTCATTGCTACTTCATTGCTAGAAATATGAATTTTTACATATTGATCGTGTGTCCTGCACCCCTGCTGTATTAGAGTTCTCCAGAGAAACAGAACCAATAAGAGAGGCTTATAAAAGGATATGAATATATAAAAGGAGATTTATTTACACGGGATTGGCTCATGTGATTATGGAGGCTGAGAAATCCCAGGATCTGCTGTCTGCAAACTGGAGAGCCAGGAAGGTTGGTGGTTTAGTTCAGTGTGAGTCTGAAGGGCTGAGACCAGGGGAGCCAAAGGTGTAAGTCCCAGTTTGAGGACAGGTCAGGAGATGGGGTAAGATGTCTCAGCTCAACCAGGCAAGCAGGAAGCAAAAGGTATGAATTTCTCCTCCTTCCACTGTTTTGTTGTATTCAGGCCCTCAAGGGATTGGATGGTGCCCATACACACTGGGGAGGGCAGTTTATTGCATCCACCAATTCAAATGCTGATCTCATTAGTAAACACCCTCACAGACACACCCAAAAATGTTCAGTCTGGGGCACCCCATATCCAGTCAAGTTCACACACAAAATTGAAAGAAAACTCTTGTTAAACTTACTAATTTTAATAGCAGTTTTGAAGATGTTCGGGGATTTCCTACATGAAAAATTACGTTTGTAAGAACAGAGTTTTACTTTTCCTTTTCAACCTGTTTGCCTTTTACTTCTTATCTGAGGACCTCCACTGTGATATTGAATGAGAGTGGTGTCTGTGCGTCGTCATGTCGTTGCTCTGGTCTTGCTCTGTCTCCCAGGATGGGGTGCAGTGGTGTGATGGCTCACTGCAGCCTCAAACCCCTGGACCCGAGCGATCCTCCCAACTCAGCCTCCTGAGTAGCTGGGACCACAGGCGGGAGCCACTGCACCTGGCCATTGCTCTTTATAAGATTTTTGTTTTGCTTTTGGTTATTAGAAGGCCAGTGCTCCATGTGTTTCTTTAAAAAAATATTTTTTGACAACATATGTGTAAAAACTTTGTTTCTCCTGATGACCAAAGTTATATGTTCTCTCTGGAAAACTAGCAAATACTTAAATGTGTCTAGAAAAAAATCAGTCACCTGTAATCTACCATGTCAATAATCACCAGCAAACATTTTGGTAGTTTCCTATGTTCTCTGCAAGTGAGCATCTACATTTTGACAAAATTTGTTTGTCCTGTGTATATGAGGTAAGATTTCAAACCTCTTTAAATGTCTCCCCTGCCTCAAAGTAAGAGCAGTTACGAAACACAGTGCAGACCGCATCAGGGCCCGTTGTTGTGAAGGGAGGATGTCTTGTCCTCTGAGTGTCATGTGTTCCCATAACAGGCTCCTGCAGGAGATGGGTCACAGACCCGAGGGAAGATGTCTGAAGGTGGAAGGAAATCCAGCCTGCTCCAGAAAAGCAAAGGTGCGAAACAGCCATGGTCCTCGGGCAGTGATGAGCGCGGCAGTAAATTTTGTCTCCATGGGTGCTAAGTTAAAGTTCCTTCTTTCCTTTCTGGGAAGGGTCAGAAGCAGTGAGCAGAGAGAGTTGGAGCATAAGGACAGACTGGGGGGATGTGGGGAGGTGAGTGGGGATGCGGAGCAAAGGGGAGATCATTTCTTCCCTGTGTGGCCCCAGAGAAAAGCCACATTGCCATCATGGTACTGCTTTGTGACATCAGTTTCTTGTCTATGTGACTGTTTTCCCACTGGTGCTCTGAGAGCAAGACTCTTAGAGAGGCTGTGAGGACTCATCCTGAGGTCGGGAGTTCGAGACCAACCTGGCCAACATAGTGAAACCCCATTTCTACTAAAAATACAAAAATTAGCTGGCCATGATGGCACACGCCTATAATCCCAGCTACTTGGGGTGAGGGTGCAGGGCTGAGGCAGGCGAATCGCTTGAACCTGGGAGGCGGAGGTTGCAGTGAGCCGAGATTGCTCCATTGCATGCCAGCCTGGGCAACCGAGTGAGACACCGTCTCAACAACATCAACAAGAAGACTCAGCTCTGCTGTTTGTAACATTAAAAACAACCCCAGACCAGACATAGAGGAACAGGTATAGCTGTGTGCCAATAAAACTATTTACAAGCAAAGGAAGCGGGCTGGATTTGGCCTATGAGCTACAATTTGCCACTCCTGGTGTAGATGTTTGTGAGAATTCGCGCTATGCCCTTCCCAGGCGTGGTTGAGAAGCAGGCACACTAGAGCCAGCCTGCTAGTCTTTCCCCATCTAATTGGGTTGAAGGCCATGCATGAAGCTGGGAATGCTGGTGTGGCCAGGGGATCAGACTGGGCCTGCCACACCTTAAAACCAGTTCTTACTCAAGGGCGATTCTGACCCCCAGGGAACGCTTAGGCAGTGTCTGGAGATGTGTTTGGTTGTCATATCTGGGGGAAGGGGTTCTACTGGCGTCTGGTGGGTGGAGGCCAGGGAGGCCACTTAACATCCTGAATGCACAGGACACCCCCACCACCGCAAGGAAGGATCCAGCCCCATGTGCTCGCAATGCCATGGCTAAGAAACCTTAATTTAAACCACACCATAATGATTTCAAAGGACTGCTTGTTTGAGTTCCATTGTATGGCTTTGTAGAAAATTAATTTTTTTAGTGCAAATGCTATACATGCTGATGATAAAATATTCCAGGGCAAAAGCAATAACAATAAAAAGTTACCACCTCTAGCTGGGTGTGGTGGCTCACGCCTGTAATCCCGGCACTTTGGAAGGATGAAGCCGGTAGATCCCTTGAGCCCAGGAGTTCCAGACCTACCTGGCAACATGGTGAAACCCTGTCTCTACTAAAAATAAAAAAATAAAAAATTATCTGGGCATGGTGACACTTGCCTGTATTCTCAGTTACCCAGGAGGCTGAAGTGGGAGGATTGCTTGAGCCTGGGAGGCAGAGGTTGCAGTAAGCCTAGATTGTGCCACTGCACTCCAGCCTGGGTGACAGAGCAAGACCCTGTCTCAAAAAAAAAAAAAAAGAAAATTTCCACCTCCTCACCCCAGGCTCCCAGTCTGTGCCCTGAGGGCATGTGCTCTCAATAGATTTTTGCTGATCTTTCCAGATTTTTTTTAAGAATTTCAACACAAATCGTTGTTATATTGTACCCTACACATTGCAGTGACCTTCCTCTTTTCATTTCCAGGTCATTCATTTCCTCAGCTGCATAGTTGTTCATGAAATAGTCTCATGCTTAGTTCCTAACACAACATACCGTACGTGCCATCTGTTGGCATCTGCAGCACTCCTGGGCTCTTGTGTAGTGGTAGCATGCTGTATGCTAGTGCCCATCTTAGACAGTGTAAGGCTTAATTTTACAGTTTAGAATATACGTTAAAAGATGAAGGGAACTCCCAGGGAGGATGAACAGTCCAGAAGCTGCAGAAAAAAGATGGAAAGATTACTTGGCTGAGTGCGGTGGCTCATGCCTGTAATCCCAACACTTTGGGAGGCCGAGGTGGATAGATCACCTGAAGCCAGGAGTTTGAGACCAGCCTGGCCAACATGGTGAAACCTCATCTCTACTAAAATACAGAAATTAGCTGAGCATGGTGGCGAGTGCCTGTAATCCCAGCTACTTGGGAGGCTGAGGCAGGAGAATCACTTGAACCCGGGAGGTGGAGGTTGCAGTGAGCCGAGATTGCACCATTGTCACCTGGGTGACAAGAGTGAAACTCCGTCTCAAAAACAAAAAAGGTGGAAAGAGAGTAGAGGGTAGAATGGGAATATGGCATCGTATCCCACCTGTAGCATCTTGTGAACTAGCAGAAAGGCCTATTTGCGTCTCTTTGGTTATACAGAATGTCTCTGTCTTCTAGTGGTACTTTAAAAATAGAGTCAAGGTGATGGCTGGGAATTTCCACAGGTTTTTTTTTTTTTTTTTTTTTTAGCCTTTCCACCTTGGACGAAATTGGGCTTTTAGAAGCAAGTGGTATTGTTCAAAAACACGGCCTGCGTTTCCTGGCTTGAATGGAGAGTGTCTCTTGACTGTGCTGACTTTCGGGGATTCTTTTCTTAACAGCAGATAGCAGTGGGGTCGGAAAGGGTGACCTGCAGTCCACGTTGCTGGAAGGGCATGGCACAGCTCCACCTGACCTGGATCTCTCTGCTATTAATGGTAAATCATTTGTTTCACCCCTTCTGTCACTCACTGGGGGTTGCAGTAGGTCTCAGTGGGCTTCCAAAGTACAATTGGCCTACAGTGGGGTCACATCCAACAAACCCATTGTAAGTTGAAAATATTGTACATCAAAAATATACTTAATACCTTGGTAAAGGGTATTAAACTTGCCTTTTGCCCCTTGCAAAGTTGAACAACTTTAACTGGACTGTTATAAGTCCATATACTCCTCAATTTATGATGGGGTTACATCCCAATAAACCCATCATTAGAAAAAAAATGGCAACCAGGGACCAGTCTATATACGCTACTTGCCATTAAAAATGCTGTGCTTTATCTTAGACAAAAGCATCGTCAAAAAGACGCCACAGTTAGCAAAAACAATATCAAAGAAACCTGAGTCAACATCATTTTCTGCCCCTCGGAAAAAGAGCCCGGTAAGTGTCTGAAAGAAGAGGGCAGCCACAGATGGGTTGCATAGATCTGATTTAGAGTCCACTCTGAACCAGATGCTGAGTGCCCACGGATCCAAGAACATAAAAGACACCCATGCCCTTTAGGACAAAAATCAAGACTACAGATGTTCTTAGATCATTTGTAGAGTTTACATTTCCCCAAGTACACATTCAGTAGTGGATACCAATATGGAGCCATGTAAAAAATGAGACAGGGGACTTCTCTGTGCCCATGCTGTGCTGGGAAAGGCACAATGCCAGGCCCTGTCCCTTGGTGGGAGGACGGCTAGGCTGTGGTCTCACTGGGGTGAGGACAAGACTGGTGGTTGGGGGACCAGCAGGTGGGGAGACGGCATTCTGGTCCTGGTGCAGCACCAAATTGGTGGGTATTCTCAGCTTGTCCTTGACTACCCAGCTGCTGCTGTCTCTCCACCTGCCAGGTGCCAGGGGAAGGAAGGTTGTGGACCTCCCTCTTTCATCTCAGCGCCGCAGAAAACCAAATAAAAGAAAATAGAAGCAATAGACCCACTACAGTAGAGAACTACCGAATATCAAACTGAATACAGAAAATCCACACAAGCCAGAGTTCTCCCCCTGCTGGGAAAAGAGCTGGATTTATACCACTTCATCAGGAATTGAGAGGGTCTTTTTCTTTTCTTAAGGATTTATCTGAAGCAATGGAAATGATGGAGTCTCAGACACTACTGCTGACGCTACTATCCGTAAAGGTGAAAACAGTTTCTTGTTCACGTATGCCATGGATGGAAGGGTGGCCTCCATTCACGGGGAGGGAGTCCCCACCTGCTTGAGCTTTTCTTTCACATTTAACAGATGGAGAACAATCTTGCTGAGTTTGAAAGAAGGGCAGAAAAGAATTTATTAATAATGTGTAAGGAGAAGGAGAAGCTACAGAAAAAGGCCCACGAGCTGAAGCGCAGGCTTCTCCTCTCTCAGAGGAAGCGGGAGCTGGCAGATGTCCTGGATGCCCAGGTCAGTTGTAAGTGACACTCTGTGACCAGTGAGTGTTCCCTGTGAATCTGTCCCATCTCCACTGTTTCGGTAGCATTCGTGCTAGGGTATCATTGCTCACTGGCTTCTAACTGTGTTGGGCTTTTAATGCCACACTTGCTCTGGTCCTGGTGTTGGTCTATGATGACACTTTTAGAGAATGAGGTTACAAAGTAAAGTGTGAATGAATAAGGGAGGTGTGCACCTTCTATGCACTTGTGCAGAGACTTCCTGAGCGCCTGATGATCGTGAGCAGCAACAGGATGACGTGCTCTGGGACTCCCCTGCAGGGTCAGGGTACTGGTGAGAGGCACATCACTCCTAATGCTGTGTGGTCAGCAGTGTCCATGTGGGAGAAGGACAGGAACAAACCCCTGGAACCCAGAAAGGGCTGATTGGCAGGGGCGGACCCCCCACCCAGTGGGTGAGTTTCCTGTGGTTGCTGGGACAGAGTCCCACAACCTGGGTGGGCAAAACAACTGGAATTCATTCTCTTACGGTTCAGGAAGCTGAAAGTCCGAGATTGAGGTGTTGGTGGTTGGCCCTGTCTGAGGGCTGCGAGGGAGAATCTCTCCTGGCCCTGTCTTTGGCCTGTGAATGGTTGTCTTCTCTGTGTTCACATGTCCTCCCTGCTGTGTGTGTCTGTGTCCCCCTTTCCCCACAAGACACCAGTCGTGTTGGATTAGCATCCCCCCTACAACCCCCCTATCACCTCATGTTAACTTGATGACCCTGATAAAGTCCCTCTTTTCAAATAAGGGCACATTCCAAGGTACTGGGAGTTGGATCATCAGGTATGAATTTGGGGGGATACAGCTCAACCCCTAACATCCAAAATTTTCATGTGAGCACCCGTGCAGCTAGACCCTGGGCTTGAGTACAAGGTCTCTGACTTTAGGGAGCTCAAAATGGAAGAAAAAGAGACAAACCCAGTTGACCCTCAAACAACACGAATTTGAAGTGTGAGGTTCCACTTACATGCAGATTTTTTTCAATAAGTATATTGGAAAAAGTTTTAGAGATTTGTGACAATTTGAAGAAACTCATAGATGAACCTTATAGCCTAGAAATACTGAAAAAATTAAGAAAAAGTTAGGCATGTCATGAGTGCATACATACTTGTCCCAGCATGGGCAACATAGTGACACCCAATCTCTACAAAAAAATTTTTTTTTTTTTTGAGATGGGCGTCTTGCTCTGTCACCCAGGCTGTAGTGCAGTGGTGCTGTCTCAGCTCACTGCAACGTCCGCCTCCCAGGTTCAGGCAACTCTCATACCTGAGCTTCCTGAGTAGCTGGGACTACAGGCATGCACCACCACGCCCAGCTAAATTTTGTATTTTTAGTACAGACAGGGTTTTGCCATGTTGGCCAGGCTGGTCTCGAACTCTGGACCTCAAGTGATCCGCCCTCCTTAGCCTCTGAAAGTGCTGGGATTATAGGTGTGAGCCACTGCATCCGGCCAATTTCTATAAAAATTAAAAATTAGCCAAGTGTGGTGGCATATGCCTATAGTCCCAGCTACTTGGGAAGCTGAGGCAAGAGGTTTGCTTGACCCTGGGAGGTGGAGGCTGCAGTGAACTGTGATCACTCCACAGCACTCCACCTTGGGCAACACAGTAAGATCTGTCTATAAAAAATATGTATGTGCAGTGGCTCACGCCTGTGATCCCAGCACTTTGGGAGGCTGAGGTGGGCGGATTACTTGAGGTCAGGAGTTTGAGACCAGCCTGGCCAACATGGTGAAACCCCGTCTCTACTAAAAATACAAAAAATTAGCTGGGCATGGTGATGCGTGCCTGTAACCCAGCTACTTGGGAGACTGAGGCGCAAGAATTGCTGGAACCCGGGAGGCAGAGGTTGCAGTGAGCCGAGACTGCGCCGCTGCACTCCAGCCTGGGAGACAGAGCAAGATTCCATCTAAAAAATATATATGTGTATGTGTGTGTGTGTGTGTCTGTATGTGTGTCTGTGTGTGTGTGTATGTGTGTGTGTATATAGATGCTAATCTATTTACATGTTTATTGAATGTTTACTATCAGTAAGGTTTCAGTCAGCAGTAGCTATCAGTAAATTTGGGGGAAGTCAAAAGTTAGATACAGATTTTTGACTGCACAGGGGTTGATGCCCCAAACTCCCGTGTTGCTCAAGGGTCAATCGTATATCATTTCAAACCCCCATGAAGACCCAGACAGCATGTTTGGGGTGGGAGTGGGCCATGCCGGGGATGGCCTTGTGGAAGGCAGGCGTTTAGGCGCAGTACTCTAAAGCAGGTGGGCTCAGCTGAGGGCCCAAGCCTAGAACCGCTGGCAGACACATGTTCTCAGTAAGGGGCCTGGGCCGCCTTGCCATCCACTTGGCTCTCTTGGGAAGAGCTCACCACACCCTCGGAAACTTCCTGAGCTCTGATTCCCTGGGGGGTGGTGAAGAACAGCGCTGTATCTTAACCCTGCACAAGCCGTTAAGCTTCTGTTAAGTTTCCAGAGAGGGGACTCCAGGGTCTCCCCTGATTATCCCTTCTGCTTACAGATCGAGATGCTCAGCCCCTTCGAGGCAGTGGCCACACGCTTCAAGGAGCAATACAGGACATTCGCCACGGCCCTGGACACTACCAGGCACGAGCTGCCCGTGAGGTCCATCCACCTGGAGGGAGATGGGCAGCAGCTCTTAGGTAGGAAACGGGGCGTCCCAGTGCGTGTGCAGCAGGCGGGGCGAGGAGCGTGTGTGGGTGCTTCCTGTGGGCCTGATGTCATCACCGCAAGTGCCCTCTTCCCCAACTAAGGCAGAGGATGGGGAGGGCTGGCCAGGCTGTGGTTCCTCCAAGGGTCTCGCCCTGAGTAAGTAACCACACTGGGATTTGAACCTTGGGCAGTGGGATTCACAGTGATCTGTCCTGCCGAAAGGCATTTTGCGGGGACGACCTGTAGTCTCCTGAGTCCTGCTCCCAACAAATATGCCGTAGTGGTTGGGGGGTGACAAGACCACCAGCCCCACCCCGGCTTTCCCCCTCAGCAGAGCAGTGAGGTCCCTTTCAGGCATAGGGTTCCCACCTAATCCCTAACTTGAAGACTTTGGCAAGTGTGAAAAACTGCCGCGTTGCACCTTAAATTCTCTTCAGAACAGGTATCTTCCCACAGAGCAAGTTTTTGGCTACCCTGGAGTTTGGTTCTTTTTTTTTTTTTTTTTTTTTTTGAGACAGCATCTTGCTGTGTCGCCCAGGCTGGAGTGCAGTGGCACAATCTCAGCTCACTGCAACCTCTGCTTCCTGGGTTTAAGTGATCCTCCCACCTCAGCCTCCTGAGTAGCTAGGAGTACACGTGGGCACCACCACACCTGGCTTATATATATATATATATATATATATATATATATATATATATATATATATTTTTTTTTTTTTTTTTTTTTTTTTTTTTTCTGTAGAGACGGGGTTTCGCTATGTTGCCAAGGCTGGACTTGAACTCTTGAGTTCAAGCAGTCCTCCCACCTTGGCCTCCCAAAGTGCTGGGATTATAGACATGAGTCACCATGCCCTGCCATTGTTCTTTTTTTTCTGCGGAGGTGGAATCTTCTAGCGTAGTCACCCAGCCTGGAGTACAGTAGTGCAATTATAGCTCACTGCAGCCTTCAACTTCTCAGGCTCTACTCAGATCCTCCCACCTCAGCTTCCTGAGTAGTAGCCTCCCTAGTGCTTCAGGCATCCACCACTGCACCTGGCTAATTTATTTTTGAAACGGAGTTTCACTCTTGTTGCCCAGGCTGGAGTGCAATGGTGCAATCCTGGCTCTCTGCAACCTCCACCTCCTGGGTTCAAGCGATTCTCCTGCCTCAGCCTCCCGAGTAGCTAGGATTACAGGCATGCACCACTATGCCCGGCTAATGTTGTATTTTTAGTAGAGACAGGGTTTCTCCATGTTGGTCAGGCTGGTCTTAAACTCCCGACCTCAGGTGATCTGCCCGCCTTGCCCTCCCAAAGTGCTGGGATTACAGGCATGAGCCACTGCTCCTGGCGCACCTGGCTAATTATTATATTTTTTTTTGTAGAGACGAGGTGTGGCTATGTTGCCCAGGCTGATCTAGAACTGCTGGGCTCAAGTGATCTCCTACCTTGGCCTCCCAAAGCACTGGGTTCCTGAATAGGTGTGAGCCCCCTGCCCGGCCGGGTTTCTGATTTTATGACTGCGGTCACCTCCACATCTGTAACTCTTAGAAAACACTCAGTCTCTGCTCAGTTCCTTAGGTAGTTCCTGGGAACGGCCTAGGGATCGTGTTGAGTTTTCCGGGGCTGCCATACCAAGCGGCCACAGAATGGGTGGTTTGCAACAACAGAAAGATATTCCCTCCCAGTTCTGGGAGTCTTGATTTCAGCCAGAAGTCTGAAATCAAGGCGTTGATGGGATTGGCTCCCTCCAGGGGCTGTCAGGTGAGCTCATCCTGTGTCTCCCCCACCTGCTGGTGGCTGCTGGTGGCCCTTGGCGTTCCTTGGCTCATGGCCGTGTCCCTCCATTCTCTGCCCGTCCTCACGTGGCCTCCTCCCTGGCTGTCTCGTTATTGAAATTTCCTGCATCAGGCTCAGCACGGTGGCTCATGTTTGTTATGCCAGCACTTTGGGAGGCTGAGGCGGGTGGATCACGAGGTCAGTAGTTCAATACCATCCTGGCCAAGACGGTGAAACCCTGTCTCTACTAAAAATACAAAAAAAATAGCCAGGTGTGGTGGCAGGTGCCGGTAATCCCAGCTACTCAGGATCCTGAGGCAGGAGAATCGCTTGAACCCGGAAAGTGGACGTTGCAGTGAGCCAATATTGTGCCACTGCACTCCAGCCTGGGTGACAGAGCAAGACTCTGTCTCAAAAAAAAAAAAAAAAGAAAAAAAGAAATTTCCCGCATCCGATGAGGACACAAGTCACTGGATTAGGCCCCACCCATCTTAACTCCCCCCCATCCACAAAACCCTGTTTCTGGTTAAGGTCATGTTCACTAGGAGTGGAGGATTGGAGTGAAACGTACGTATTGGGGAGGGCATAATTCGGTCCACAGCCGGAGGGAGAAGAGGCTGGCTGATACGGCACTTAAAAGGCTCCCAAAATGTGACTCTCATGTACGACTGGCCTTGATGTGATGTATGTCAGGGTAGAGAGGCGTGTTGTCCTAGTGCAGGTGACACAGGTCCCGCAGTTGCAGGCATCCTTCTGCTCAGTGGTGCAGGCAACAAGGACTGTTTTTCAGTTGCTCATGGTCTGGCTTGGAGGCCTCAGGCATTCTCCCTGGCACAGCACAGCCCTTTTCACATTTGCATTGGTTTCTGTTGAGGACACCAGAGTGACATTTCAGTTCTGGTCCAATGCCCTCCTGGATAGATGGATGTGCCTGTCCCACAATCTCAGAGCACGGGATGGATAAGGGACGAATGTCTTCCTTGGCTTCTGCTTCTTCCCTGTGCGCTCTCCACGGTTCCAGCGCGATAGCCGAGCATCATGACAGAAGTCTGTCGGCCGCTCCACTTGTGTGTGCCTTGCGTGGGGCACCTTGCCATCCATCGCCCACCATCCCTCTTCCCCTCCAGACGCCCTGCAGCATGAACTGGTGACCACTCAGCGCCTCCTGGGAGAACTTGATGTTGGTGATTCGGAAGAAAATGTGCAGGTGCTGGACTTACTGAGCGAACTCAAGGACGTGACGGCGAAAAAGGACCTTGAGCTCCGAAGGTACCTCGGAAAATGCTTTAAGAAAGAGGTGGCACCCTGTTTGCTCAGGGCTGTTGGTGGCTGCACTGTTGGGGTGGTGCCGAGTTCCTCTAGGAGTTCAGAGGAGGTTCAGTCCCCTGAGCGAGCTGCTCTTTTCCCAGACGCTGCATGATACAAGAATGGCCAGCAGGTGTCATTGTCATCTGTATTGTGGATAACAAAATCTCCATCCAAAAGCACCCGCCTTGCCTTCCCTTTCTTTTTTTTTTGAGACAGGTTCTCACTCTGTCGCCCAGGCTGGAGTGCAGTGGCAGATCTCAGCTCACTGCAACCTCAAATTGCTGGGCTCAAGTGATCCCACCTCAGCCTCTTCAGTAGCTGGGACTGCAGGTGTGCGCCACCATGCCCAGCTAATTTCCCTTTTCTAGCCTACTTCTCAGTCATTTTTGAGCTAATGGGGACTCTAGGTGAAGTGAGGATCAAATATGCTATAAGACGTGTCCTAGATTCACAGAGTATAAGACTCAAGCAGAGCAGGGGGAAGAGAGAACAAAAGAGCTCAGAAAAATCCATGGAAGGGCCAGGCGCAGTGGCTCACGCCTGTCATCCCAGCACTTTGGGAGGCCGAGGTGGGAGAATCACTTTAGGCCAAGAGTTCAAGACCAGCCTGGGCAACATGGTGAGACCTTGTTTCTATTTATTTATTTATTTATTTTGAGACAGAGTTGCTCAGGCTTAAGTGCAATGTCATGATTTTGGCTCACTGCAACCTCCACCTCCTGGGTTCAAGCAATTCTCCTGCCTCAGCCTCCGAACTAACTGGGATTACAGGTGCACACCACCACGCCCGGCTAATTTTGTATTTTTAGTAGAGACAGTGTTTCACCTTGTTGGTCAGGCTGGTCTTGAACTCCTGACCTCAAGTGATCTGCCCACCTCAGCCCCCCAAAGTGCTGGGATTACAAGCGTGAGCCACCATGCCGGGCCTCTCTATTTAAAAAACACAAAAATTAGCCAGGCACACTGGTGCATGCCTGTGGTCTCAGCTACTCAGGAAGCAGAGGTGGGAGAATCATCTGAGCCTGGGGAGGTCAAGGCTGTAATGAGCTGTGGTCGTGCCACTGCATTACAACCTGAGCAGTAGAGTGAGACCCTGTCTCAGGAAAAAAAAAAAAAAAAAAAAAATCTATGGAAGTTCTCAAGCAGCTGGAAGAGAAAGGGTGTCACCTATCATTCACATCCTCAGAGTAACCCAGCAGCACAGGCGCCCTCACATCAGCCCTGTTGGTGTTTTCAATGCCTTCCAGGGTAAGGTCCCAGGAGGATGTTTTTTGAACTTCTGATTGATAGAAATGGCCCAGATCTTAAAGGACTGTGCAGTGGCTTGCACAGAGCACATATCCTTGTGCGTCCAGACCCCCAAAACCCATCAAGATCTCCCCCCGCTTTTTTTTTTAACCTCCCCCAGGAGATTTCTAACCACGCGCTTTTCTCCACCTCTTCCAGTAGAGTATCTTTTCTCTTTTTTACAATGCTAAATCTTTTTCCTGAGTTGCTTAAAATATTGGAAAAGGACTTATGCAAAACAGCCAGCCACCCACTGTGGCATTTCTTTCTCCTGTGGGTGGCCATGGATCAATTCAGGAGACATCAAAGGGTTATAAAGCCACAGTCCCACTCCCAGGATAACTCATTCATCCATGAACGGCAGAATGTTCATGAACCCAGTTACCTCTTAAAGGCCCCACCTCTCGCTGCTGCCACATTGGGGATTATTATTATTATTGAGACAGGATTTCATTTCATTGCTTAGGCTGGAGTGCAGTGGCGCGATCTCGGTTCACTGCAACCTCTGCCTCCGAGGCTCAAGCGATCATCCCACCCCAGTCTCCCAAGTAGCTGGGACTACAGGCGTGCACCACTGCACCCAGCTAATTTTTTTTTTTTTGAGACGGAGTCTCACTTTGTCGCCCAGGTTGGAGTGCCAGTGGCGCGATCCTCGGCTCACTATAGACCCTGTCTCCTGGGTTCAAGCGATTCTCCTGCCTCAGCCTCCCCAGTAGCTGGGATTACAGGTGCGTTCCACCACGCCCGGCTAATTTTTGTATTTTTAATAGAGATGGGCTTTCACCATGTTGGCCAAGCTGGTCTTGAACTCCTGACCTCAGGCGATCTGCCCGCCTCAGCCTCCCAAAGTGCTGGAATTACAGGTGTGAGCCACAGCGCCCAGTATTTTTAAAAAAATTTTTGTATAGACGTGGTTTTGCCATGTTGCCCAGGCTGGTCTCGAACTCCTGGCCTCAAGCCATCTGTCTGCCTCGGCCTCCCAAAGTTCTGGGATTACAGCACTTCAATCCCACTTTACCTGGCCAGGGGATTAATTTTTAATGGGAGTTTTGGAGGGGACAGATACTCCCACCACAGCAGCAGCACAGCACTGAGCTCCATGAACATTTCTTGGATGAATCTTTCCTTTCATGTCTGGTGCTGTTCTTGGGGGGTTTCCCTGATTGAGTCTTTTCAGACGGATCTTATTTGCTGGCCCTTTCCCACTGAGCACGTAGGGCATGTGAAAATCCGCCTCCCCGTGTGGCAGCCCTCCGTTCACCACACACATGCGCTTCACCTCAGAGGGTGAAAGCCGTTATTCTTTCTCCCATCCTCAACAGGAGCTTTGCCCAGGTGCTGGAACTCTCCGCAGAGGCAAGCAAAGAGGCAGCCTTGGCAAACCAGGAAGTCTGGGAAGAGACCCAGGGCATGGCGCCCCCCAGCCGGTGGTATTTCAATCAAGACAGTGCCTGCAGAGAATCTGGGGGAGCACCCAAGAACACGCCCCTGTCTGAGGACGACAACCCGGGTGCCTCGTCAGCCCCCGCTCAGGCCACGTTCATCAGCCCAAGCGAAGATTTTTCTTCAAGCAGCCAGGCAGAAGTCCCGCCCTCTCTCTCTCGTTCAGGGAGGGACTTGTCATGACTCATGGTTACATTCAGGATACTTGAGCACTTTATATACTACCGTAGCACTGTAGCTATTTTTTATGTGATAATCTTGTTTGATAAAAAAGTAAACCTGTTTTGCAATTGAAGCCTCCATTTTCTATGAAGGGGCCAGTTGGAAGACCTGTGTTTTCTCAAGTTCTTCTGGATGACTGGTCCTGAAATTCCGGGCCTCCACGACATGCCCAGTATCCCACTTTCAAGATGATTTCATGTCCTTCAGTCACAAGGGTGGTTTTGGGACAGCAAGTTAAGAATTGTCCCTCGAGTGGACATACTTTATTTACTTTTTTAGGGAAATGCAATTCTTTATTGGAACTCAAGTTTGTGTCTGTAAACATTCAACAGAAGGGGTAAAACAAGAACAATCCACATCATCCTTCCCCTGGCCCCAGCTTCTGGGGCTGAAGTAGGGAGCTTCCACTTTAACCCGACTGGCTCTGGCTCCAGGGCCTGAGATGCCTTCGTAATCTGGCAACTGGGTCCCAGGCAGCCTTGAGAAACTGCTGGGTCCCTGCCTTGCTGGCAGCTTCGGGAGGTCTCTGGGTCCCCATCTCGCTGGCAGCTTGAGAGACTGCAGGGTCTCGTCCTTCCACACCTCCACCAGGGAACCCTGGGTCCCGCCCTCCAGGACGTCCACCACTGGGTCCCGGCATCCCGCACCTCGACTGGAGGGGACATATTTCAGTTCCAGTCTCGGTAGTTGTCACTGGGAGATGCTCAGGCTCTTGCCATAAACCCCATCTGTGCTCCACTGGGACTTTGGCCCAGAACATTTTCCTCCAACCAGCTCTCCAGCTTCCACCCCACGCGGTGTGGGCTTTGGGAACTTACTGATCCCCAGGTCACATTTCCAATTCGTATTGCTGGAGGTGTGGGTTTTGTTGCCTGGTTTGTCTTTGTTTGGTTTTAGACAGGGCTTGCTCTGTCTTCTGGGCTGGAGTGCGACGAATCTGCCTGGTTGTCCCCAGTGAGTCCAGGTTGGGTTTCATGTTGTAGTGTCTGCCTTCAGCTTTTAAAATTTCTGCAAACTGGGGCAAATACAGCAGACTTGTCTGGAGCCCTTTAATATTGAGGGACCCCACGCAGTTGCTTCAGTTCAGCCAACGCTTCCATAGTGCTGTTTGTTTTTTTTTTTTTAATTTTGAGACAGAATCTTGCTCTGTCGCCCAGCCTGGAGTGCAGTGACATGATCTCGGCTCACCGCAACCTCTGCTGCCTCCTGGGTTCGAGCAATTCTCCTGCCTCAGCCTCCCAAGTAGCTGGGACTACAGGTGTGCACCACTGCACCCAACTAATTTTTGTATTTTTAGGAGAGATGGGGTTTCACCATATTGGCCAGGCTGCTTTCCAACTCCTGGCCTCAACTGACCTGCCTACCTCAGCCTCCTAAAGTGTTGCGAGCCACCGTGCCTGGCCCATAGTGCTGTCTCATCTTAACACCTTCGTTCATCCTATGAATGAATGTCCATTCTAGGGATTTAGGAGTTACGTGCCAGGAACTGTGGACAAAGACCAAAGAAGTTTTTATTATACCCCAAGGGGATATCATTAAATCCACATGAGCAGATAAAAGAGGATGTCTTTGGGCCAGGCACGGTGGCTCATGCCTGTAATCCCAGCACTTTGAGAGGCCAAGGCGGGCAGATCATTTGAGGTTTGGAGTTTGAGAACAGCCTGACCAACATGGTGAAACCCTCTGTCTACTAAAAATAGAAAAATTAGCTGGGCGTGGTGACACGTGCCTGTAGTGCCAGCTACTCTGGAGGCTGAGGCAGGAGAATCACTTGATCACAGGAAGCAGAGATTGTAGTGAGCCAAGATCACACCACTGCCACTCCAGCCTGGGTGACGGAGTGAGACTCAGATTTAAAAAAAAACAAAAACCCAAGACTAGGCAGCATATGAATATGATAGATGTTATGTGCAAGATTAACAAGCGATGTCTTAACATATAAAACTTGACTCATTTGGAACTAAAATCCTGCTCTATGTTTTCTGAATTGGGCACTGCCACAGGACACACATTGAAAAAAATACTTCATTACATCACAGTCTTGACCTCCAACAGCAGAGACCCTAGAATCTATCATCTAAGCCGGGCACCGCTGAGAGTCAACAGGAGTGGTGGATTCCACCCACAGGTGGAAATGGGCGGCACATGCCCGACTCTGTAAGGCTGACGTCCCTACTTCATGAGAATTGAGTTTGATTTTAGATAATGAATGAATTCGGCTCATGGTCTCCACACCCACGCCTCCAGGGGATGTGTCCTGGACACAGCCTGTGTCCTCCCATGGCTTGCAAGGGAACCTACTGCTCAAAATGACCACCATCATCTCCTGACATCCCTGGCCATGGGGCTAGGATGGTCAGACTTAGAATCCCCAGAGTTGTGACTACAAGGAAGTAAAGCCAGATGGTCTGTGTCTCACTGACTCAATTATTTTTTGGATTGACCTTGGTGCACAAAAGCAACCACGGGCAATATAGAAAGGAAGGATAAGGCTGGGCACAGTGGCTCTCACCTGTAATCCCAGCACTTTGGGAAGCTAAGGTGAGAGGATCGCTTGAGCCCAGGAAGTCGAGGCTGCAGTGAGCCACGTTTGCACCACTGCGCTCCAGTCTGGGCGACAGAGTGAGACCCAGTTTGTTTGTTTTTGAGATGGAGTCTCACTCTGTCACCCAGGCTGGAGTGCAGTGGTATGATGGTGTGATCTCAGCTCACTGCAACCTCCACCTCCCGGGTTCGAGCAATTCTCCTGCCTCAGCCTCCCGAGTAGCTGGGACTACAGGTGTGTGCCACCACACCCAGCTAATTTTTGTATTTTTTAGTAGAGACGGAGTTTCACCATGTTGGCCAGGCTGGTCTCGAACTCCTGACCTCAAGTGATCCGCCTGCCTCTGCCTCCCAAAGTGCTGGGATTACAGGCGTGAGCCACCATGCCCAGTCCCATCAGTGTATTTCACTTCAGTTTGCATCTGGCACAATAGACATTGGCAAAATGAACAAGTGAGGCAAACACAGCCTTGAAATTGAGCCTGGCACCCGGTAAGTGTTCGATGTTTGTCCTACTCCCTTTTGCTGTGCGACCTGGGTAAATGACTTCCCCTCTCTGAGCCTCCATCATCTCCTCTGTAAGTGGGGAAGAGTATGGGCTGAACTGTGTCTCCCCAAAATTCATACGTGAAGGTTATAACACAGTCCTTCAGAATGTGACTGTATTTGGAGTTAAGGTCATTATTAGAGAGGTAATTAGGTAAGGTTAGCAGCCAAAGGAAAACTAACACTATTTTTCACACAGATGTGAACCAGAACCTTCCACATCAGCACAGAGAGGAGGAAAAAGAACCACAGAGGACAAGAAGAGAGGAGTGCTGGTCCTGGTCCCTGGTGCTGGGAACCAGCTGGATGCCAGGACACACCAGGCACAGCCAAATCCCACATGGATCTGCAGGAGGGGCACCCCAGGATGATTATGGGGTCCTCCTAGGGAGAGCTCAGAGTCCCAGCCAATGCTCGTAATTGCCTGGGGTCAGTGGGTCGCTGAGCTAATCCTCCCAAGCACATCAGGGGTCTCTGCCATCACTGAGGGGGACTTCCAGAACTCCCTGGAACCCAATCAAGTCCAATTAACCAAAAAGGCAGGAATGTGGGCTGGGACCCCAGCAGGTGGGGGGCTTCTCGGCAGGGAGGCTGGGGTGGCCCAGGAACTGTCTCATTTGTGGGAAACAGACCCCAGGCCCCAGCCCCATCCAGGGCAGGGAGGGAGGGGACCCCCAGGCTCAGGTCAGTGGGGTCTGTCTGTTCAGCGGGGCTTTGGGCTGTGGGATCCAGATCCAGGGACACCGGCCTTGGTGGTTAATTTGATGTTCTGCTCATAGACATGTGATGATTTAAAAGCCACATTTCAGTCAGGCAGAGGAGGACAAATATTGCTTGATTGCACTTATGGGAGCCACAGGGAATAGCCAAATTCCTAGAGACAGACAGTAGAAGCGAGACTCCCAGGGGCTGGGGTAGAGGACTGGGGACTGTTTCAAGGGCTGGAGTGATAAAAAAAAAATTCGGGATGTAGATAGTGGTGATGATTGCACACATTGGGAATGCATTTAATGTCAGTGAATTGTACCTTCCAAGTGGTTAACATGATCAATATCATGTATATTTTACTACAATGGCAAGAAAAAGACTTTGACTAAGTTTGCAATCAGCATTTAACCATTTAAGGAAATTGGTTCATTAATGTATAGTTGGATTTATTAGTGGCATGACAATGTTTAAATATTTGGGGAAATGTACTTCCTAGATGGAAATGCTTAATAAATTGAATATTAAAAATTTTTGGGGGAGGCTAAGGTGGGAGGATTTCTTTTTTTTTCTTTTTTTTTTTTTTTTTGAGATGGAGTCTCAATCTGTCACCTAGGCTGGAGTGCGATGGCACGATCTTGGCTCACTGCAACTCCCGCCTCCTCAGTTCAAGCAGTTCTCCTGCCTCAGCCTCCTGAGTAGCTGGGATTACAGGCACGTGCCACCACACCCAGCTAATTTTTGTATTTTTGGTAGAGACAGGGTTTCACCACATTGGTCAGGCTGGTCTCGAACTCCTGACCTCAAGTGATTCGCCCGCCTCAGCCTCCCAAAGTGTTGGGATTACCGGCGTAGGCCACCGTGCCCAGCCATGTGCTTACCTTTTTAAAGAATGGAGTGTTAGTCTTACACAGACTCCCAATAGTGGCAGGTAGCACTTAAAGGAGGGGCGTGTTCCCACATCTGAGACCCTGGGTGGGGACTGCATCAACATCATCCTGGGGTGGGTGTGAGTCTGAACCCCCTGCTGGTGCCCCTCAGCTCAGCCCTCTAACCATCACCTGGCCTGGTAGGGTCAGTCCCCCTAGACAGTCCCTGTGCTGGGAATTACAGGTGTAAACCACCACGCTCTGCCCATTTTCCCGAATATTTAAACACTGCCACGCAAATAATAAATCAAGCTACACATTTCATGAACCAATTTCCTTAAATGGTTAAATGCTAATTTCAAACTTAAAGTCTTTATTTGACATTGTAGTAAACTCTACATGGGCCAGGCGCAGTGGCTCATGCCTGTAATCCCAGCACTTTGGGAGGCCGAGGCGGGTGGATCACCTGAGGTCAGGAGTTCGAGACCAGCCAGGCCAACATGGTGAAACCCTGTCTCTACTGAAAATACAAAAACTAGCCGGGTGTGGTGGCGTGCACCTGTAGTCCCAGCTACTCAGGAGGCTGAGGCAGGAGAATCACTTGAACCTGGGAGGCGGAGGTTGCAGTGAGCTGAGATCATGCCACTGCGCTCCAGCCTGGGGGACAGAGTGAGACTCTGTCTCAAACAACAACAACAACAACAAAAACCCCAACTCTACATGATAATGATCGTGTTAACCACTTGGAAGGTACAATTCAGTGACATTAAATGCATTCTCAATGTGTGCAACCATCACCATATCTACACCCCAAAGTTTTTATCACTCCAGGCCCTTAAACCAGTCTCCAGTCCTCTACCCCAGCTCCTGGGAGTCTCACTTCTACTGTCTGTCTCTAGGAATTTGGCTATTCCCTGTGCAATCAAGCAATATTTGTCCTCCTCTGCCTGACTTACTGAAATGTGGCTTTTAAATCATCATGCATCTATGAGCAGAACATCAAATTACCCACCAACACTGATGTCCCCGGATCCCACAGCTGAAAGCCCCACTGAACAGACAGACCCCACTGACCCGAGCCTGGGGGTTTCCTCCCTCCCTGCCCTGGACAAGGCTGGGGTCTGGGGCTTGTTCCCCACAAGTGAGACATCCCTGGGCCACCCTGGTCTCCTGCCGAGACCTCTAAGCCCTGCTGGGGTCCCAGCCCACATTCCTGCCTTTTTGGCTAATTGGACTTGATTGGGTTGCAGGGAGTTCTGGAAGCCCCGCTCAGTGATGGCAGAGACCCCCGATGTGCTCAGGAGGATTAGCTCAGCGACCTACTGACCCCAGGCAATTAGGAGCATTGGCTGGGACTATGAGCTCTCCCTAGGAGTACCTCATAATCATCCCGGGTGCCCCTGCTGCAGACCCATGTGGGATTTGGCTGTGCCTGATGTGTCCTGGCATCCAGCTGGTTCCTAGCACAAGGGACCCGGGCCAGCACTCTTCTCTCCTCATCCTCTGTGGTTCTTTTTCCTCCTCTCTGTGCTGATGTGGAAGGTTCTGGTTCACATTTGTGTGAAAGACCCATTTGGTTTTCCTTTGGCTTTTATTTTTCCATTTTTGATTAATTTTGAGACAGGGTCTCACTCTGTTGCTCAGGCCAGAGTGCAATGGTGCAATCCTAGCTTACTTCAGCCTTGAACTCCTGGGCTGAAGCGATCCTCCTGTTTCAGCTTCCTGAGTAGCGGGGACTACAGGTGTGCACCACCACACTCAGCTAATTTTAAAAATATTTTTTAGTGATTGGGTCTCCCTCTATTGTTCACAGTGGTCTCAAACTCTTGGCCTCAAGTGATCCTCCTGACTCAGCTTCCCAAAGCATTGGGATTACAGGTGTGAGCCACTGCCTGGCCTTCTTGCTTTTTTACCTGTGAGCAAAAGATTCCTCAAGCAGGCTGCTTTCTTCCCCCCAGGAATCTCCCTATAACCTTTGCAGATGCCTTTTTTTTTTTTTTCGAGACAGAGTTTTTGCTCTTGTTGCCCAGGCTGGAGTGCAATGGTGTAACCTTGGCTCACTGCAACTTCTGCCTCCCAGGTTCAAGCGATTCTCCTGCCTCAGCCTCCTGAGTAGCTAGGATTACAGGCGCCCACTACCATGCCTGGCTAATTTTTTGTATTTTTAGTAGAGACAAGGTTTTGCCATGTTGGCCAGGCTGGTCTAGAACTCCTGAATTCAGGTGATTCTCCCGCCTCAGCCTCCCAAAGTGTTGGATTACAGGCGTGAGCCACCATGCCTGGCCTGCAGATGCTTTCTGATAAATCTGCGTGAGGCGTGGCGGTCTGAGTTGCAGTGAGTGAGAAATAGAAACATTTAATTCACAACAGAAGCCTGGTGCCTAGCTTTCTTTTTTCCTTTCCTTCCGTCCCTCCCTTTGTCTCTCTCTCTCTCTTTCTTGTTCGACAGGGTCTCACTCTGTCACCCAGGCTAGAGTGCAGTGGTACGATCATAGCTTGGTGCAGCCTCAAACTCCTAGGCTCAAGCTATCCTCCCACCTTAGCCTCCCAAGTAGCTGGGACTACAGGTGCAAACCACCATGGCCAGCTAATTTTTTAATTTTTATTTTTCATAGAGATGAGGTCTCACTATGTTGCCCAGGCTGGTCTCGAACTCCTGTCCTCAAAGTGATCCTCCCACCTCAGCCTCCCACAGTGCTGGGGTTCCAGGCGTGAGCCACCGCACCCGGCCTCTTGTGACTTTTAAAAGCATTTCATCACAGCATGGTATGGGAGTGTTCATTAAATGCATTTTGTCTCTTTTCCTCTTTTTGATTGATTAAAAATGACTCGTGTGTTCCTGCTGAAAAGGACCCCTGGAGGTGATCCAAACACCCCCCACACCCCGCTCCACGCACACAGGCGGCTCTGGCCAAGTCGCAGCCTCCAGAACCCACTCCACCCCTGCACTGTGTTTCCTCAACAACCAAGCCTGGGAACATTCCCAAAAGGGTCCAGGAAGCAGCTCACTCAGCAGATGTTTGGTGATTTCAGAAAACAAAAGGGTCGGCAGGTCACGTCCATCAGCTCCCTGAAGAGTCCTCCAGGATCACGCCTGCTGCGTGGCTTGGCACAGCCTGCATCACGACAACACGGACTTTCCATCTTTACTGTCCTTTTGATCACTTCTGCAGGGGGATAGCTCAACTTACAAACCACGTAAATATTTTCCTTTCGGCACCAAACTTTCCCCTGGGGAGCTGGAAGCCCAGCTGGGGTCTTTTTGTCTCTGGCCTCCGGGTCCAGGGCTGACCTGGGATAGGAGCATTTGTACCAGCCTCCCGGAGTTGCAGTGAGAGGTACCGGCAGGTTTCAGGGACAGGAGGCTGTTAGGACTGCCACCCACCACATCTGGTGTGAGGGACCACAGGATGGAAGAAGGCAGATATGCGGAGTTCTGAGGCAGGTTATGTGGGCCCTTGGAGTTGCTGAACCAAAGTACACCTGCAATCATAAAGCCAATTAAGATGTTTGTTAAAGAGGCTGGGCATGGGGCCGGGCACGGTGGTTCACGCCTATAATCCCAGCACTTTAGGAGGCCGAGGTGGGTGGATCACGAGGTCAGGAGATGGAGACCATCCTGGCTAACACGGTGAAACCCCATCTCTACTTAAAAAATACAACAAAAATTAGCCGGGTGTGGTGGCGGGCGGCTGTAGTCCCAGCTACTCAGGAGGGTGAGGCAGGAGAATGGCGTGAACCCGGGAGGCGGAGCTTGCAGTGAGCCGAGATTGCGCCACTGACTCTGCCTCAAAAAAAAAAAAAAAAAAGAGGCTGGGCATGGTGGCTCACACCTGTAATCCCAGCACTTTGGGAGGCCGAGGCAGGTGGATCACTTGAGGCCAGGAGTTCAAGACCAGCCTGGCCAACATGGTGAAACTCTGTCTCCAGTAAAATACAAAAATTAACCGGTGTGGTGGTGCATGCCTGTGATCCCATCTACTCAGGAGGCTGAGGCATGAGAATCGCTTGGACCTGGGAGGCAGAGGTTGTAGTGAGTCAAGATTGCACCACTGCACTTCAGCCTGGGAAAGAGAGGGAGATTCCGTCTCAAAGAAAGAAAAGAAAAGAAAAGAAAGAAAAAGAGAGCTGTGTCCAATGCTTCTTGTAAATCAAATAAAACAAGCACACAAATAGAACATTCAATTAAGGAAATTGTCTATCATTGGTAACATTGATGAAATCAGTTTCAGGGGAGTGATGGGGAGGGAGAGAAACAGCTTGATTGGAAAGAAATGAAGGGGGAACGGGAGGAGATAAATTGGAGAACTTAAGACCAATACCAGAAAAATAAAGCAGACCCATACAAAAACCAAATAAGGCTGGGTGCAGTGGCTCATGCCTGTAATCCTGGTACTTGGGGAGGCTCAGGAGGGAGGATCGCTTGAGCCCTGGAGTTTGAGGCCAGCCTGGGCAACATAGCTAGACCCTGCTTTACAAAAAATATAAAAATTAGCTGGGTGGGCCAGGTGCGGTGGCTCACGCCTGTAATCCCAGCACTTTGGGAGGCCGAGATGTGCAGATCACAAGGGCAGGAGATCAAGACCATCCTGGCTAACACGGTGAAACCCAGTCTCTACTAAAAATACAAAAACAAAATTAGCCAGGCGTGGTGGTGGGCACCTGTAGTCCCAGCTACTTGGGAGGCAGAGGCAGGAGAATGGTGTGAACTTGGGAGGCGGAGCTTGCAGTGAGCTAAGATTGTGCCACTGCACTCCAGCCTGGGCGACAGAGCAAGACTCCGTCTCAAAAAAAAAAAAAAAAAAAAAAAAAAAGCTGAGTGTGGTGGTGCTCACCTGTATGTAGTCCCAGCTACTTGGGAGGCTGAGGCAGGAGGATCGCTTGAGCCCAGGAGATGAAGCCTGCAGTGAGCTATGATCATTCCACTGCACTCCAGCCTGGGCGACAGTGAGATCCTGTCTGAAAAACAAAACAAAACAAAACCCCCAAAATCACAATGCTGAGTGAAAGAAGCTAGTCACGAAACACCACATAGTGTGAGATTCCATTGATATGAAATGCCCACAACAGGCAAATCCATAGAGACAGGAAGCAATGAGTGGCTGCCAGGGGCTTTGGGAGAGGGAATGGGGAGTGACTGCTAATGGGGACGGGGTCTCCTTTTGGGGGATGAAATGTTCTAGAATGAAATAGAAGTGATGACAGTTGCACAACTGTAAGTATACTAAAATCTATTGATTAAATAGATCTTAATCAATAGTAAATCTATTGAACCAGACACTTTCACTGGGTCAACTTTGTGGTATGTAAATTATACCCCAATTATACTCCCAAAAAAAGATGGCTGGAGGAGGGGCAGTGTGGGTGCCCTCCAGAGCCAAAGCTTATTGGAGCCCTGGCAGGTGAGGGGCTGCTGGCTGGGAAGCGGGAATGAGCCAGCCGGGCTCACAGGGCAATGAGAGTCCAAGTCCCAGGGTAGGGCAGGGATGGCAGAGGCTGTGGGCTGGATGGGGGCCTGGGGAGCTGAATGGCGAGGGTGCCTCAGAAGGTTTGCATGAACAAGTGATGAAACAAACGTCTCCTCCTGCAACATCCCCCCGACCCCCACCCTGCCCCACCACCATGATCCAGCAGGAGCCAACTCCTCCCTCCCACTCCTGGGCTGCCTGGTCCCAGTGTCCCTAGGCTGCCGTTTATGGAACATTGACTAGGTCCAGGCTCAGGGCTGGCCTTACATTCCTGGGTTCCCATCCTCACCGGTGCCCTGTGGGGTGAGCCCTGCTGTCAGAGTTTCTAGAATGCACCTGTTTGGAACTGATCTGCCAAAATATTGGGAGCCACTGAGAGCTGGGCCAGTCTCCAGCACCTGGTATGCTGGCCTGGGTGGGGGCGGTGTCTGTGGACATTTGGTGATGGGAGGAAGGAAGGGAAGGAAGTGGTCACCTCACCTGGGGGCTATGTCCCTGTCTACCTCACCTGGGGGATTTCTATGCCTGTCCACCTCACTTGGGGGATTTCTACAACTGTCCTCCTCACCTGGGGGATTTCTACACATGTCTGCCTCACCTGTAGGATTTCTACACCTGTCAGCCTCAGCTGGGGGATTTCTACACCTGTCCACCTCAGCTTTGGGCTTTCTACGTCTGTCCATCTTACCTGGGGGATTTCTACATCTGTCCATCTCACCTGGGGGATTTCTACATCTGTCCATCTCACCTGGGGGATTTCTACATCTGTCCATCTCACCTGGGGGATTTCTACACCTGTCTGCCTCACCTGGGGGCTTTCTAGGCCTGCCCACCTCACCTGTGGGCTTTCTACGTCTGTCCACCTCACCTGTGGGCTTTCTACACCTGTCCACCTCACCTGGGAGATTTCCACGCCTGTCCAACTCACCTGGGGGATTTCTACGCCTGTCCGCCTCACCTGGGGGATTTCTACACATGTCCACCTCACCTGGGGGTTTTCTATGCCTGTCCACTTCACTTGGGGGCTATTTATGCCTGTCCCCCTCACCTGGGGGCTGTCTACCACCTATGTCGTCTAGGAGGCCATGCACCTACCCGTCTTATCTGGAGGACCATGCCCCTGTCTACCAGGGGCTGTCTACACCTGTTCACTTCATCTTGGGGGTTGTCTACTTCATTTGGGGGTTACCTATACCTGCCTACCTCACCTCGGCAGGCCATGTACCCACTCAGCTCACCTGGGGGGCCATGTGCCTGCTTGCCTCACTCAGGGGCTGTCTACACCTGGGTTGGACAGGCCATTGGCCGGAGTGGCCGTCTCCAGGCTTAGCTCCAATAGACAGAGGCCTCCTGCGGGGCTGGACGAGGCCACCCCCAGGGAGTTAGAGGGTGGCGAGCCCCCTCCGCAGCCCCTAGCATGTGCTTGGAACTGCTGGCAGCCTGGTGGCTCCTCAGCTTCTGCCCGGTCCAGGTTGTGTCCGGAACATTTCTGGTACTGAGCTGGCGTCTTCTCCAGGACAGATGCTGCTGGCGGAGCCGAGGCGGGCCAGGGTGTTCACTGTGGTGCTTTTATTTCCAGCCTGCTTGCCCAGAAGGCAGAGCTTGCCAGGGTGCCTACTGGGGCTGAATCGTGTCTGGGCCTCAGTTTTGTTTTCTTTTCTTTTCTTTTCTTTTCTTTTCTTTTCTTATTCTTTTCGTTTCTTTTCCTTTCTCTCTCTCTCCCACCCTGCCCCTCCATTCTTTCTTTCTTTCTTTCTTTTTCTTTTTCTTTTTTTTTTTTTTTTGACCGAGTCTCGCTCTGTCGCCCAGGCTGGAGTGCAGTGGCACAGTCTCGGCTCACTGCAACCTCCACCTCTTGGGTTCAAGTGATTCTCATGCCTCAGCCTCCTGAGCAGCTGGGATTACAGGCACCCACAATCACGCCCAGCTAATGTTTGTATTTTTAGTAGAGACAGGGTTTCACCATGTTGGCCAGGCTGGTCTTGAATTCCCGACCTCAAGTGATCCTCCCTCCTCGGCCTCTCAAAGTGCTGGGATTACAGGTGTGAGCCACCGCACCTGGCCAGGGCCTCGGTTTTCTTATTCCAGTGCTGTCCCAGGCCCCATTCCTGCTCTCATGTCACAGGAGCCTCTAAGAAGGAATGGTTGGGCAGAGATGCCACCTAAGAGACAGGAGATGGTGCCGGTCACCAGACCCCGGGC
This sequence comes from Homo sapiens, assembly GCF_000001405.40. Classification (NCBI taxonomy): domain Eukaryota; kingdom Metazoa; phylum Chordata; class Mammalia; order Primates; family Hominidae; genus Homo; species Homo sapiens. The sequence continues at coordinate 17,037,499 of NC_000019.10, read as the reverse complement.
CCTGGGAGTGTCTGATGCAGAGCTGCACTGAGGGCTCAGGTGCAGGTAAAAAGGGCTGCAGGCAGCATCTCCACCCTTCTTCCCGGACAGACGCACACACCCCTGCCCTGCTCCCTGACACTCCTGCCCCACTCCCTGCCCTCCGCCTGTGCTCACCCTGTAGGGACACAGTGAGGTGAGCGAGTGTAGTTAGCTCCCAGGTGAGGTGGGTGGGGACATGGCCCCCAGGTGGGTGTGGGTAAATCCTAGGTGAGGTGGATGGGTGCATAGTCCTCAGGTGGGATGGGGAGGTGTACATAGCCCCCAGGCAACAGGGACTGGTGTAGACAGCCTCCAAATGAGGTGGGTAGAGACATGGCCCTCCAGGTGAGGTGGGTGGGTGCATGGACCTAGGTGAGGTGGGTGGGTGTAGTCCCTAGGTGAGGTGGGTGGGTGTAGACCGTCCCTAGGTGAGGTGGGCGGGTGTAGACAGTCCCTAGGTGAGGTGGGTGGGTACATGGACCCTAGGTGAGGTGGGCGGGTGTGGCCAGCCCCCAGGTAAGATGGGCAGGTAGGGACCCAGTCCCCAGGTGAGATGGGTAAGTGTGGACAGCCGCCAGGTGAGATGGGCAGGTATGAACAGCCCCCAGGTGAGGTGGGCAGGTATGGACACAGCTACCAGGTGAGGTGGGCAGGTATGGACAGCCCCCAGGTGAGATGGACAAGTATGGACAGACCCCAGGTGAGGTGGGCAGGTGTGAACAGCTCCCGCGTGAGGTGGGCAGTTGTGGACAGCCCCCAGATGAGGAGCTCAGGTAGAGACAGCCTCCAGGTAAGGTGGACAGAGACATGGCTCCCCAGGTGATCTGGGCAGGTGCAGACAGACCCCAGGTGAGCTGGGCAGGTGCAGACTTCACAAGCATGCATTTGGAGGCACAGTCACCCAGCTGAAGGAGCACCCCAGAAGGGGCTTCACCATGGTGAAGCTGCCAGAAGGAGCCAGAAAGATGGGAAGAAGCCCTCTTGGTGCAGAGGGCGGATCACTGACTGACCTCCGAGGGCAGCCTTCAGGGGACATCTAGGGCATGCCCCAGGAACAGTGGGGCTGCGGTGGTGCCTCAAGGCTGTCTGGGGCTGGATGATCACAGGGCATTATCTTTGCTCAGACTCAGGGTCCAGGCAGGACAAAGCTACTCAAGATGGTTGAAGCAAAAACTCGGCAAACTCGGATTTTAGGGAAGTGGTTCTGGAGTTATGAGGCTGAAGCTTCCTCCCGGAAGTGACGTCAGAGCTTGGACCAGCTGTGAGTTCATCTTCTCCAAGGAGCTGCACATCCCCAAGGCCACCCTGAGGCTGACCCTAGAGCCTACACACTGGTCCCCACCGGCTGGGGACCAACTGCCCTGTGCTGTCCCCCGATGGCCTGCGTACACTCCCCGCCCTGAGGACACAGTGCAGGATTCACAGGGCAAGAATGGGAACCTGGCTTGATCTCTGGTCCCCACACCCAGAGAGGGCCTGTGGCAGCCCGAGTCTCCTTTGCCTTCCTCCACGCTTGGTGCTACTTGGAGCGGGCACGAGCTCCTTCCTGCCACAGGGCTGTGTGGCACATTGCTTGTGCTCGGAGCGGTTTTTGGGGCAGCTGGCATCTCCAAACCCCAGAGAGGGCTGAGTCCAAGAGGTTAAGCCCAAGGGCACTTCAGGTCGCCTTGTCCCAGACATAGACCTTTCTGAGGCCTCTTCCTCCATGGAAAGTCCCAGGCCTGCATCCTGTTATCCTGCCCCATCCTTTTTTTTTCTTTTTCTGAGACCGAGTTTTGCTCTTGTTGCCCAGGCTGGAGTGCAGTGGCGCGATCTCGGCTCATCGCAACCTCTGCCTCCCAGGTCCAAGCGATTCTCCTGCCTCAGCCTTCCTGAGTAGCTGGGATTATAGGTATGCGCCGCCACCATGCCCGGCTAATTTTGTATTTTCAGTAGAGACGGGGTTTCTCCATGTTGGTCAGGCTGGTCTCGAACTCCCGACCTCAGAAGATCCACCCGCCTCGGCCTCCCAAAGTGCTGGGATTACAGGTGTGAGCCACGGCGCCGGCTTTTTTTTTTTTTTTTTTTTTAAGACAGAGTCTTGCTCTGTCATCCAGGCTGGAGTGTAGTGGTGCAATCATAGCTCACTGCAGCTTCAAATCCTAGGCTCAAGCAATCCTCCTGCCTCAGCCTCTTGAATAGCTGGGACTTGCTGGGGCAGATCCCAGATGTCCCCCTAAAAGCCACCTTTGGAGGCCACTCAGCCACCACACACAGCTAATTTTTCTTTTCTTTTTCTTTTTTTTCGAGATGGAGTCTCTCACCCAGGCTGGAGTGCAGTGGCGCGATCTTGACTCACTGCAACCCCGCCTCCTAGGTTCAAGAGATTCTCCTGCCTCAGCCTCCCAAGTAGCTGGGATTACAGGCTCCTGCCACCAACCCGGGTAATTTTTGTATTTTTGGTAGAGACGGGATTTCGCCAAGTTGGCCAGGCTGATCTCGAACTCCTGACCTCAAGTGATCTGCCTGTCTTGGCCTCCCAAAGTGCTAGGATTGCAAGGGTGAGCCACCGCATCTGGCCAAATTTTTTAATTTTTTGTAGAGATGAAGTCTCACTATAATACCCAGGCTGGTCTTGAACTCCTGACCTCAAGTGATCCTCCCACTTCGACCTCCCAAGGTGCTGAGATTATAGGTGTGAGCCACTGTGCCTGGCCCAATTTTTGTGCTTCAGTGTACATTTTTGTTTTTCTAAACAGATGTATAGTTGGCCCTGAAGAACAATGGGGTTGGGGTGCTGAGCCTCCTGGCAGTTGAAAATCTGTGCATAACTTTTGACTCCCCCAAAACTTAACTATTAATAGCCTACTGTTGACCAGAAGTCAACAGATAACATAAACGATCAATTAACGCATATTTTGTATGTTCTATGTATTATATATCGTATTCTGACAATAAAGCAAGGGGGAGAAAAGAATAATAAACATGTTATTAAGAAAATCATTCCTGCCTCACTCCTGGTAGGTGTCATTGCATATTTTGGCTGGGCGCAGAGGCTCATGCGTGTAATCCCAGCACTTTGGGAGGCTGAGGTGAGTGGATCACCTGAGATCAGGAGTTCAAGACCAGCCTGGGCAACACAGTGAAACCCTCTCTCTACTAAAAATACAAAAAATTAGCTGGACATGGCGGTGTATGCCTGTAGTCCCAGCTACTTGGGAGGCTGAGGCAGAAGAATCGCTTGAACCTGGGAGACGGAGGTTGCAGTGAGCCGAGATTGCGCCACTGCACTCCAACCTGGGCAATGGAGCAAGACTCCATCTTAAAAAAACAAACAAACAAAAAATGATGCTGGGTGAGAGAAGGCAGACACAAAAGCACACATAGTGTATGATTCCATTTATACGAAATGTCCTGGACAGGCATGGCCTGATCTCCCTCTGGCCCTAGGAACCCTGTCAGGGGCACTGTGCTAGAAGACCCAGATCACTGCAGGCCATCAGGCTGTCTGTCTGTCTTCAGTCCTGACATCCAATCTCCTGGGCACCTGGCAGGCACAGGCACATGCTGGCTAAGTGGGAGAAAAACGCCCATTGGGCCAGGCGCAGTGGCTCATGCCTGTAATCCCAGCACTTTGGGAGGCCGAGATGGGCAGATCACTCGAGGTCAGGAGTTCAAGAACAGCCTGGCCAACATGGTGGAACCCCATCTCTACTAAAAAAAAACAAAAAAATTAGCTGGATTAGCTGGGCGTGGTGGCATGTGCCTGTAATCCCAGCTACTCGGGAGGCTGAGGCACGAGAATCACTTGAACCCGGGTGGCAGAGGTTGGCAGTGAGCCGAGATCGCGCCACTGCACTCCAGCTTGGGCAACAGGGTGAGACTCCATCTCAAAAAAAAAAAAAAAAAGAAAAGAAAAAAAAAGAAAAACGCCCATTGACAACAGGACAGTCTTTGCGGTCTTCCTCGTCCCCCATCCAAACTGCAAAGCTGCTCATCCTAGGCATGTTTGGAGATGTTTGACAACCACTTACCATGGGGCTAATGCAGCCAGTTCCGCCCTCACACAACAGGGCCATTCCTAAAAATGACCTCACGCTGCAAATTCACACAATCAAACCACAGGGCTCATGGGAAAACGGGTCAGGGCACAACCATCCAAATGTCACCAATGACACCTAAAAAAAAAATAGGCACCTACTAAAAATGGTAGTGACATTGTACAAATGTCAAATGGTTAAGAATTTCAAGAATATGGCCGGGCGCGATGCCTCACGCCTGTATAATCCCAGCACTTTGGGAGGCCAAGGCGGGTGGGTCGCTTGAGTCCAGAAGTTGGAGACTAGCCTGAGTGAGATGGCAAAACCCTGTCTCTACTAAAAATACAAAAAAATTAGCCAGGCATGGTGGTACATGCCTGTGGTCTCAGCTACTCGGGAGGCTGAGGCGGGAGGATCACTTGAGCCCAGGAGGTTGAAGCAGCAGTGAGCCCTGATTGTGCCGTTACACTCCAGCTTGGACAAGAGAGTGAGAACCCATCTCAAAAAAAAAAAAAAAAAAGAAAAGAAAAGAAAAGAAAAAAAATACACAAATACAGTATCAGCCTTGGAAAGACTGAAGGCTCATTTGTGGACCTGGGCATGGGGAGGTGGCAGCCTGTGAGTTACTGTGAAGGTCTGGGAGGAGATCATCTGAAATCAGGCGGGATATTGTAACCTCAGACAGGGACAGATGTGGCTCCTGGCACACAGCAAGGCACTGAGGGAGCACAGAGATGCTGGAGAGGGTGCAGGTGTGGTTTTTGTGTATTCCTACGTGGCTGGGGTCAGCCAGGTGCAGTTTTCTGCATTCATACCCAATGTTTCTTGCAGACAAAAATCTTACATAAGTGAACACAATATTTGATTTTATGCTCAAATCATTCCTAATGCATCCATCATGTCGGAACACATTTGTGCTTTCAAAACAAGTGATAAAGTGGAAGTGACTGTACTCCGCCCATGGGTAATTTCAACCTACTGGCGTGAAGTGACTAAACATAGAGTTAGGAAGAGATCTGTGTTATTATGGAGTATTTTCACCATGCATAACCTCAAGAGTACAGAGAATTGTAAAATGTAGTAAAATGAAGACGAAGTGATGAGTTTTGAGTACTTTCAGCGCCTTTGCTATTTATTTATTTATTTATTTTATTTGAGACAGTCTCACTCTGTCGTTCGGACTGGAGTGCAGTGGCATGATCTCAGTTCACTGCAACTTCTGCCTCCTGGGTTCAAGTGATTCCCTTGCCTCAACTTCCCAAGTAGTTGAGATTACAGGCATGCACCACCACCCCTGGCTAATTTCTTGTATTTTTAGGAGAGATGGGGTTTCACTATCTTGGTCAGACTGGTCTCGAACTCCTGGTCTCAAGTGATCTGCCCTCTTTGGCCTCCCCAAGTGCTGGGATTACAGGCTTGAGCCACCTCGCCCAGCCATATTTTTAATACACGTTGAGCATCTCTAATCTGAAAATCCAAATTCCACAAATGCTCCAAAATTTAAAAATTTTCAGCGCCAACATGACGCTCAAAGGAAACACTCACCAAAACATTTCAGATTTCAGATTTTCAGATTAAAGATACTCTGGGCATGATGGCTCATGCCTGTAATCCCAGCACTTTGAGAGGCTGAGGCAGGTGGATCACTTCAGCTCAGAAGTTTGACACCAGCTGGGCAACACGGTGAAACCCTGTCTCTATAAAAATACAAAAATTAGCTTGATGTGGTGGCATGTGCCTGTAGTCCCAGCTACTTGGGAGGCTGAGGTGGGAGGATTGCTTGAACCCAGGAGGTGAAGGTTGCAGTGAGTCAAGATCGCACCATTGCACTCCAGCCCAGGCAACAGAGCCAGACTACACACACACACACACACACACACACACACACACACACACACACACACACGATACTCTACCAGTAAGTATAATGCAAATATCCCCAAATCTGAAAAATTAAAAATCTGGAACATTTCTTGCACTGACCGTTTTGGAAAGTGCATTTTAGATTAGGCATTTTTTTCTTTTTGAGACAGGGTCTGGCTCTGTTGCCCAAGCTGGAGTGCAGTGGCCCATTCTTGGCTCACTGCAACCTTCACCTTCCGGGTTCAAGTGATTCTCATGCCTCAGCCTCCCAAGCAGCTGGGATTACAGGTGCCTGCCATGACACCCAGCTAATTTTTGTATTTTGTAGAGATGGGGTTTCACCATGTTAGTCAGGCTGGTCTTGAACTCCTGACCTCAAGTGATTCACCCACCTTGGCCTTCCAAAGTGCTGGGATTACAGGCGTGAGCCACTGCACCCGGCCGATAATGCATTTTGGCTACTCAACCTGTATAATGTGTTTCATTGCAAATCGGTATAATTTAGTTTTTAGTCATGGCTTTGTTAACTCAGGCTTGTATAATTCATGGAATAGTATCAACTGACTCTTCTAAGCAGCGAGCCTTCTCCCGTGTGCTGATGAGGCAGTAATCTGTGTGAGGTGTGCCCACTTTGAGCCAGGGGCTGCGGCCAGCAGCAAACGGGGGGCTCACATCCCAAAGAAGACAGACAGGAAGCAGATGTGTATGGAATAATAAGACCATGCTCTGTGTTTTGTGTACCATGCAGTCAAACTGGATGACCGGGCCATGCTAGTGTCCTCATTGGCTCCTATTCACCCATGATCTAAATCAAGGGTCCCCAACCCCTGGGCCACAGACTGACACTGGTCTGATATTGGATGAGTAAGCAAAGCTTCATCTGTATTTACAGCCTCTCCCCATCGCTCACATTATCGCCCGAGCTCCACCTCCTGTCAGATCAGCGGCAGCATTAGATTCTCAGAGAAGCCCAAACCCTATTACAAACTGTGCATGCGAGGGATCTATGTTGCATGCTCCTTATGAGAATCTAATGCCTGATAATCTGCCACTGTCTCCCATCACCCCCAGGTAGGATCTCTGGCTGCAGGAAAACAACAGCTCAGGGCTTCCACTGATTCTACGCGATGGTGAGTTGTATCATTATTTCATTATATTACAATGTAACAATAATAGAAATAAAGTGCACAATAAATGTCACGCACTTGATCATCCCAAAACCATCACTGTCCCTCCCATCACCTTGCCCCTTGTCCATGGAAAAAATGTCTTCCATGAAACCTGTCCCTTGTGCCAAAAAGGTTGGGGACTGCTGCTCTAAATAGTATGAGATGGGCCCGGCACAGTGGCTCATGCCTGTAATCCCAGGACTTTGGGAGGCTAAGGCAGGTGGATCACATGAGGTCAGGAGTTCGAGAACAGCCTGGGCAACATGGTGAAACCCTGTCTCTACTAAAAATACAAAAATTAGCCAGGCATGGTGGCAGGCGCCTATAGTCCCAGCTACTTGGGAGGCTGAGGCAGGAGAATCGCTTGAACCCGGGAGGCATAGGTTGCAGTGAGCTGAGATCACGCCATTGCACTCCAGCCTGTGTGACAGAGTGAGACTCCGTTAAAAAAAAAAAAAATAGGCCGGGCGCGGTGGCTCACTCCTGTAATCCCAGCACTTTGGGAGGCCCAGGAGGGCGGATCACGAGGTCAGGAGATCAAGACTATCCTGGCTAACATGGTGAAGCCCCGTCTCTACTAAAAATACAAAAAATTATCCGGGCGTGGTGGCGGGTGCCTGTAGTCCCAGCTACTTGGGAGGCTGAGGCAGGAGAAAAGTGTTAACTCGGGATGCGGAGCTTGCAGCGAGCCAAGATCGCACCACTGCACTCCAGCCTGGGCGACAGAGCAAGACTCCGTCTCAAAAAAAAAAAAAAAAGAGTATGAGATGGCCAAACATACAACATGTGACATTGGGTGGGTGAGATCTACAGTTTAGTGCTCACCTATTCTCACACAATGACGGGAGGAGGACCCTGTACACTGTGTGAGGCCACACAGGGGTTGCACTCGGGAGCACAATGAACAAGCAGGGGCTGTGGGAAGCAGGCTTTGTAGTAATAAGAGGGTGAGGCAGCCCCTGGTTCTCCTGGGAGGATGTGATTGGTTTCTTTCTTTCTTTTTTTTTTTTTTTTTTTTTGAGACGGAGTCTCACTCTGTCACCCAGGCTGGAGTGCAGTGGCGCAATCTCGGCTCACTGCAAACTCCACCTCCTGGGTTCAAGTGATTCACCTGCCTCAGCCTCCCGAGTAGCTGGGATTACAGGTGTGCACCACCACACCTGGCTAATTTTTGTATTTTTAGTAGAGATGAGGTTTCACCATGTTGGCCAGGCTGGTCTTGAACTCCTGGCCTCAGGTGATCCACCTGCCTCGGCCTCCCAAAGTACTGGGATTACAGGCATGAGCCACCACGACTGGGCATGGCTTGTTTCAATAACTTCTCAGCAGCTAGGGAAGTGAAGTCTGTGGCTGATGGGTGGGGTGCAGCTGGTCTGGTTGCTTGGTGAGACAGCCAGGTGGAGAGCAGCTTCTCTTGCCAGGCAGGGGGCATATTTGGCAAGAGTAGCTGAACGGTCGGTCAGGACATCGTGGTCCTGTGTGGCTCAACCATGCCAAGGCAGCACTGACATTTTAGACCTTACAAACCAGGCAGGCAGGGAAGGCACCTCCGGGCTAACCCTGAAGGTGGAGGAGAGCAGCCGGTCTTGTGATGCCACGGGGAAGTGCATCCCAGGCAGAGGGGACAGCTGGCACCTTGGCCCAAGATGGTGGTGGTGGGTGGGGGTCTGATGTATCTCAGGAGCAAATGTGGCCAGAGCCCAATGGTCAAGGGGGAGGCGGAGGGCTCAAAGGCTGGCCTGGAGGCTGAGGAGTGGAGGTTGGCTTAGGTAGGAGTCAGAGTTGGCCTGGAGGGGCCCGGAGGGGTGGCATGGGGCAAACTTCGATGATGAGGGTGAGATCAGATGCTGCTTCTTGGTGCTAGATTTTTGCACCTCCATGTGAGTTTAGCAGCCTGTTTGGGGTTGGCCTGGTCTGAGCTTGGAGGCAGGCAGCTCCTCCTCTTCTCCAGGCAGGAGAGACGGCTACTCAATCTACTCCGGCCCCTGCGCGCGTGCACGCACACACACACACCAACACACCATCATCAGTTACGTCCCCTCTGGGTTGTGTGCTCAGTGGCAGCAGGTCCTGTATGTCCCAGGGTCCTCATTGCCCAGCCCAGGGCTTGGTGCTGCCTGGGTGATCAGTGTTGGGTCCAAAGGCTGTTGACAGGGCTGAGAAGCCCCCAGAGGACCCACATCCCTAGGGGCAGGGAGGGGGCAAGAGAAGCTTCCCTTGAGTTTCCTGGAAGGATCAGGAGTTGGACTGGCAAAGGAGGCAGGTAGAGGAAGACAGAGATTAGGCAGAAGCAGGCAGTGGAGTAAGAACAGGGTGTTGGAGGAACTAGGCTGAGGTCTCTGCCATCAAAGCCAGAGTTTAGATTTGGTCTCAATAAACGGGAAGCCCTGGCTGGATGTGGTGGCTCACACCTGTAATCCCAGCACTTTGGGAGGCTGAGGAGGGAGGATCATTTGAGCCCAGTGCTCAAGACCAGCCTGGGCAACACAGTGCGACTCCGTTTCTAAAAAAAAATATATAAAAATTAGCTGGGTGCGGGCTTGCACCTGTAGTCCCAGCTACTCTCCAGGAGTCTGAAGCTGCAGTGAGCTGTGACTGCACCACTAAATTCCTGCCTGGGCAACAGAGCAAAACTCTGGTCTCAAAACATAAAAATAAAATGTAAAATAAACAGGGAGCCCCGAGGATTCCGGGCAGGAGGGGGTGTGGTCAGCACTGGAATTTTAGAAGAAGGGCAGTTGGTAGCTGGGGGAAGGGGGTTCCACACTGGAAGGAGGGGGTCCAGGACTTGGACATGGTATAGGATGTGCCGCCTGCCAGTGGGACCTAGGACAGCAGGACCATCACTGAGGTGGCCACACGGGGAGGGGCAGGAGGGGACACCCTGCTCTTGGAGAGAAAGGGGGTGCCCATCCACCCCTGCTGTATGAAGGGGAAAGGGGGACTCTGAGGCCCAGCGAGAGAGGGGACGGGCCCAAGGGATTTGTGGACAGTGGGGGTGGGGGAGAGGGGAGCAGAGAGCACAGATAGGGACCTGGGGCAGATGTGAGTCTGGGAGGTTCGACCCCTGGCTAGACTGTTTCCCCAAAGGGTCCTCTGCTCCTTGGGCTGTACGCACTGCACTGGGCACTAGATACAGGCCAGGGCTTAGGGCACGGCGGCGCCTGTGGGATCGGGGTTGCAGGCGGCGTCCAGACCCAGGGGCCCCTGGTGAGGGGCGGGCCCGGGGAGGGGGCCATAAGGGGCTGGCTGGGGAGGGAGGGAGGGAGAGGCCAGGGAAGGGACAGGTTCCGAGTGGACGCTGGGTGGAGAGGAGAGGGAGAGTGGGGGCGGTGGGGGGTCGGGTCCGAGGCGGGGCTGGTGGGGAGGGGGGCATCCGGGGGCGAATCCGGGTAGGGGGTGAGGAGGCGGGTTCGGAAGGAATCGGGCAGGGCCCGGGTGGGTCCGGTGAGTAAGTGAGGGGACGATCCCCGGAAGGGATCGGGGCGGGTCGGGGTCCGGAGATGGGCGGAGCAGGCGTCCCGGGAGGGTGCGCCCAGGAGCGGGGCGAGCGGGGCGAGCGGGGCGGTCCCGGAGACGAGGCGGGTCCGGGGAGGGGGCTGGCCCGGGGCTGCCCCAGCTTGGCCGGGCGCGGAGCGGGGCGCATGGCGCCGGGCGCACTGCGCGGGGGCTGCGAACAAAGGGCCCCCGGCGGCGGCGCGAGGACGGCCGCGCTCGGACCCTGGCCCTGGCCCAGCCCTGGCCCGGCCCCCTCCCCAGGCGCGGCGCCCCCCAGGAGCCGAAAAATGAGCGGCGCCCTGCTCTGGCCGTTGCTCCCGCTCCTGCTCCTGCTGCTGTCGGCGCGGGACGGCGTGCGCGCCGCGCAGCCTCAGGCCCCGTGAGTATCCTCCGGCGACAGAGGAGGTCGGTCGCCTTCTGGGGTGGGGGTCGCGGGTACTGGCTCAGAGTGTTGCAGCGACCTGCCCAAGGCCACACAGCCTCCGCGCTGGGCTGGACCTGGCCTCTTGTTCCCGAATCGTCTTGAGGAGGGGGCGCCCTAAAGTTTCCGAAGTGGCTCTGTGGAGGTACAGGGACTCCCAAAAGCTAAAGGTGCTGAGGTCAGCTCCCCCCGCCCCACCTCGCCCCCTTCGTGTGACCCGGGCTGTCATCATGGGTGGCGATTTCCAGTTGTCCAAGGTATGAAGGTAAGAGGAGCGTCTTGGCTGAGAAGTGGGAGGAGAGTGCGAAGGGGCACTTTCCCGTGGGTGGGCGTGGTGAGGGAGGAGGAAGTGTTTGTTTTGCTTCTACATTTTTCTAGAGGTTTGCTTGCAGGCTTCTGGTGGGTTGACAGCGGGGAGAAGGTGAATTAACTAACTGCTGGGGAGTACTGCTAAGTTGGCTTCACAGAGAATATTTCTAAACCTGGCAAGTTCGGGTGAGCTCTGCAGGGCTGCGGGTTCAGGGGGGCTGCCCTGGTCTGCACAAGACCAGCCTTTTAGTCCAGCTGGGCGTTTAGAAGGCGGCTTGTTCAAGCAGCCCTTGTTTAGGAGTTTCCAGAAAACTGGTAAGCAGTGAGACTAGGTGGGTGTCGTTATTTGCAGTGAGTAGTTGGTCCTTGCTGGTCACAGTTTTAAAAGCAAGACAGTCTACTGCGCTCTGAGCATCCAGACTTCCCTCTCCTAGGCTTCGTGAAATCGGAACCCTACAAATTTTCATCCTAATGCTTCTTTCAAAGCTGGCATCCCTTAGAATAGTGGTTCTCAGCCCTGGGGGGGATTTTTGTCTCCCTGAGGCCGCTGGGAAATGTCTGGAGGTATTTTTGGTTGTCACAAATAGGGAGAGGCATTTGGTGTTGGCATTAAGTGGGTGCAGGCCAGGAATGCTGGTAAACAGCTTTCGATGTGCAGGTCAGCTTCCACTGCAAGGAATGACGCGGCCCCACATGACAGACCTTGGCTCCAATGAGAGACCCTGCCTTATACAGAGGTTTTTGTTTGTTGTTTGTTGTTTTTGGGGTTTGTTTTTGTTTTTGTTTTGAGATGGAGTTTTACTCTTGTTGCCCAGGCTGGAGTGCAATGGCACGATCTTGGCTTACTGCAACCTCCGCCTCCCAGGTTCAAATGACTCTCCTGCCTCAGCCTCCTGAGTAGCTGGGATTACAGGCGTGTGCCACCACACCCGGCTAATTTTTTGTATTTTTAATAGAGATGGGGTTTCTCCATGTTAGCCAGGCTGTTCTGGAACTCCTGACCTCAGGTGATCCACCCACCTCCGCCTCCCAAAGTGCTGGGATTAGAGGCGTGAGTCACCGTGCCTGGCCCGTTAGAGAGTTTTAAACAGTTCTCCAGGGCGTTTTCCTCTGACTAAAGTCACCCTGTGATCTTACCATCTGTTAAGTGACATGGAATCCCTGTGCTGAGAGACACACTGGGGAAGAGATGTCCCCAAATGACCGACCTGGGATTCCAGATTAGCTGGCCTCTAAGCCAGGGGCATGGTTCACCCAGCCCAAAGGATCTCGTCTTAGGAATAGCTCTGGATGCCCACTTCTGTCACCTGAGAGATTTTTGTGTGAGGAATCTCTGATCCCAGAAAGCAGCACAGTTTGCAGTTGTAAGAGCAATTCTGTCTACACTGACCCAGACATCCCTTTCCCCAATCTGGGACCTTCTGAGACCAGCAGGATGAGAAGCAGTGTTGGCCCAGATGCTAGGGGTGGGTCAGGTGTGACAGTGAATGGCTGGCAAGCATCCCAACAGCTGGAAACAGCTGCAACTTCTGAATGGCAGGGAAACTTAATTTGGTGATGTCAGTTTCTCTGGGCAGTTGGATGAAGACTTGAACCCGTATTGTCAGGAGTTTCAAAGGTGACCAAGCAAAATGAACACGTATTCCTTACTCTCTCTTCTACACTCACCATGTACTATATGTGAGGCCCGTCTAAACTCTAGGGATCAGCTGGGAGCCAGACAGAAAGAGTATTCCCCTTTTAAAGGATGCCACATTCCAGTGCTGGAGCTGGACAGGACACCTGGACAGGGTAATTGCATGTCCTGGTCAGTGCTGGAGTTATGTAATACACAGCACATACCCAGGGTCTTGCAAACTCCAGTTGGTCCTAGAGTTGGACAGCACATGTGTGATCCCAGGGGACTGAACTCTGGTAATTATTCAAGGCAGATGTAGCACACTATGATCACAGGGTCAGTGCACACTGTGGCCAGGGCTGCAGTAAACAACCCAAACCCATTGTTCGTGTGCATGAAACAACACAAACCCACTGCGTCTTTTGAGATGCAAAATTGGTAATGATGTTTTCATGAAGTTTGGTTTATCAGTGAGTTATTTTATGGATCTTATTTTTGGTATCTTACTCAAGAAATCTTTGCCTAATCTAAGCATGCAATGACTTTCTCCTTTGTTTTCTTCTAGTGTTTCTACAAGTTTTACTTCTTCAATTTAGATCTGTTACTAAGATTAACTTTGAGTTAATCTAATTGCATGGTGTGAGGTAATGTTCTCAATTCATCTTTTTGCATGTGGATGTTGGGTTGTTCTAGAGACACTATTGAGGCCAGGTGCAGTGGGCCTGTAATCCCAGCACTTTGGGAGGCCAAGGTGCGCAGATCACTTGAGGTCAGGAGGTCAAGACCAGCCTGGCCAACATGGTGGAACCCAGTCTCTACCAAAAATACAAAAATTAGCTGGGTGTGGTGGTGCACGCCTGTAGTCCCAGCTACTCTGGAGGCTGAGGCAGAAGAATCCCTTGAACCTGGGAGGTGGAGGGTACAGTGAGCTGAGATCACACCACTGCACTCCAGCCTGGGCAACAGAGCAAGACTCAGTCTCAATTAAAAATAAATAAATAAATAAATAAAAATAAAAAAAGAAAATATTGAAATGAAAATGTCTCCTAATCTCATTGCATGGTCCAGTTTCCCCCTTTACCCTCTTTTCTTCTGATTTCCATCATTCTACATGGTTGCAATTGTGGTGCCTTTGCTATAATGCTCTTGGTGATTGTGGGGACACTGTAAGCATTTCATGAGGTTACAGGGCCTTTGTAATTTTCCATGGAAGGCTGCAGATACTGGGAGACAGGAGCTCAGGTGGGGAGGACCTGGGCCCTCAGGTCAGGTCCCCTAAGGGCACCTCAGTGCCCTCTTCTGCCTGGCTGTGTGATCTGGTGCATGTTCCTATTCTTCTGAAGCATCAACTTCCCATGGGGAAACTGGGGGTAATGCCTCCCTTCCAGAGGTGACTTCATAGTCAATCAGAAGATTTTAGGAAAGAGAGGCCTGCTTTGATTCCATTGTTTTCAGAGCTCTTTTTGTTTGAGGCCCTATGGTTTGTTTTCAGGGTTTGTTCTTAAAATGAATGTTGCAAAGAAGCCCTTTGCTTCTTTTTATCAGGTTTTGGAGTCTGACCGCCTGAGTTAGAATCCTGGTCTGTCACTGTTGCGGCTGGTGACTTGACTTCTCTGGGGTTTCCTTTCTGACTTTCTAAATGGGGCTGATGTCAGCACTTCTCACGGTGGTGGGGGACGGGGTGCACCGTGAGGATGAAGTGGGATCCTGCCGGTTACCTGGCTTGTGGAGGAGAGTATTTCAGACAGTGGGCATGACATGTGCAAAGGTCCTGGGCCAGAAGGGCCAGGCGTGGTGGATCACACCTCTAATCCCAGAACTTTGGGAGGCTGAGGAGGGTGGATCATTTGAGGTCAGGAGTTTGAGATCATCCTGGCCAACATGGCAAAACCCTGCCTCTACTAAAAAGACAAAAATTAGCCGGCCGTGGTGGCAGGCACCTATAATCCCAGCTACTTGGGAGGCTAAGGCACGAGAATCCCTTGAACCCGGGAGGTGGAGGTTGTAGTGAGCCGAGATCATGCCACTGCACTCCAGCCTGGGGGACAGAGCAACACTCTGTCTCCAGGAAAAGAAAAAAAAAAAAAGGTCCTGGGGCAGAAGGAAGTAGCTGAGTCAACAGGCTGGAGGCCGGAATAGAGAGAGTAAGAGGGGTTGTGCAATGCTGAAAAATCCAGTGAGGCCAGATTCTTACCCAGCATGGGGACTTCACAGGTGAAAGAGCCAATCCATGGACTCAAGAACTGATGGGGGGGCACAGACTCCTAGAGCATCAATGCCAGCCAGGTGTGGTCAGCAAAAGGCAGGAGTCTGCTGCGAGGAGAGCCCTGACCTAGCTGTGGTGGCAGCGAGACCAGGGGTCTGGGGTGAGAACTTCACCTCGGATCTCCTTTCCTGCAGGGGTTACTTGATTGCAGCTCCCTCTGTTTTTCGCGCGGGCGTGGAGGAAGTCATCAGCGTGACCATCTTTAACTCTCCAAGGGAAGTCACGGTCCAGGCTCAGCTGGTGGCCCAGGGTGAGCCGGTGGTGCAGAGCCAGGGAGCCATCCTGGGTAGGTCCCTTGGGTGCCAGACCAGGACTTCCCCTTCTTTTGCAAAGTGGAGCCACTTGCTGGCCTTCAGGGCTGGGGCAGTGTGGGTGTTGCTTTGCTTCCCTTCTGCCCTAAATCCCCAGGGGCATGGGAGGGAGGGAGGGAAGACAGGTTGCATTCTCCTCATTCTACAGATGGAGAGAGAGTAAAGCCCAGGATGGGCAGCTCAGCTCATGGGTCCTCAGCAGCCCTGGTTCTGTGGGTGCAGATCTGGGCAGAGCACGGGCACCCACCTGTGTCAGCTTTGACCAGAGGTGGGACAGGGGACCTGAAGGAGATCACATGACCCCCCTCTGACCTTTTGTTGGGTTTCCAGCACACCTGAACCATTAGACTCAGACCTGGGCTCACAGGCCTGTTACTAAGTGCAGCTCAGGCCCTCAGCCAGTCTCTCCCCTTCACTCCTTGGTCAAATGCAGACAGCAACAGCCTCAGCCTCCTGGTCAAGATAGTGAATGCAGATCCCTGGCTCAGAAAGCTGTAATCTCCCAGGGGAGGTAGACTCATTCCTCATGCCGAGAATGATGTAGCCACAGGAGACACAGAGAAGGCCAGGGGCTCCAAGGCCAGTGAAGCAGCACTTGTCTCTTAGGGAGGTGTGGCCAGAGAAGGTGGAAATGTGGAAGCTTCTAGAACCTTCTAGAAGCCCTTCTAGTCCTAGAAGAACCAGGCACTCCTGACTTGGGTGGCTAGCCAACTGAAACCCAACCCAGTTGGCTTCTGCAACAGTTTGTGGTCTCTCATACCTAGAAAGAAAGTCCACTGGTATTGCTGGCCAGCTTCTCCCCCTACCTCTTGATGCAACCAGGTCTCTCCTTAAGATCAGGGGAAGCACCAGTCTCCCAAGATGGCTGGATAAAGTCCCAGGATTCCCTCTGATTGGCCTATCTTGGTTCATGTGCTCAACCCTGAGCCAATCACTATGACCAGAGGGGAAGGCCTATGCTGATTGGTTCATTTTGGGTCATGTGCTCAGCCCTGAACCAATCACTGTGACCAGGGGGAAGGCCTATGCAGATTGGCTCAGAGTCCCAGGAAGGTGGATGGAGAGCTTGGGAGCCACGTGCGTTGTGTGCTGGGCAGATAGCTTGTCCAAGGAAATTGAGGATCTGTTAGCAGGAAATGGGATAATGGTTGCTGGGAGGCAAAAATAATAGATACCTAATTGAGTCCTGGAGGCCAGAAACCTAGTACAGTAGCACAAATGATTTAGTGTGGGTAGCAGAGAGAGGTGATGGGAGAACAGTCAGGTCCACTGGGGACCTCAGTCCCCTCTTCTTTCTCTCCACCCTTCTCCTTGTTCCTCTCCCCTGGTGTTTTCCCATTACTCCCCTCACAGCTTAGTTTGGACAGGAGCCAGGGGTGAAGTAAATCAAGTACTTAGGCAGGCCAGCTTTGCCCTGAATAGCTCAGCTTTGTCCATTCCCTCTGGCCTTCAGCTTGTGCCAGCTTGGAGGAAACCTCTGGCTTCTGCCAGTCCTAGCCTGGCCCAGTCCAGGCCAGCATGACCCAGGGTGTGTTTGTCCACATGAAACCCCTTTGGGTTAAGAAAGTTTGTGGTTTGTGAGGCTGCAGCTCAGGGAGGCAGGGCAACACAGCTCTTGATTTAACTTTTTTCATTTTATTTTCATTTTTAGATAAAGGGACAATCAAACTCAAGGTAAGCCGTTGATTTTTAAAATCATAAACCTGACCTTGGAAATAAAGAATTGAATTGGGCCAGGCGTGGTGGCTCACACATGTAATCCCAGCACTTTGGAAGGCCGAGGTGGGTGGATCACCTGAGGTCAGGAGTTCGAGATCAGCCTGGGCAACATGGTGAAACCGCATCTCTACTAAAAATACAAAATTAGCCAGGCGTGGTGGCACATGCCTGTAATCCCAGCTACTCGGGAGGCTGAGGCAGGAGAATCGCTTGAACCTGGGAGGCGGAGGATGCTGTGAGCCGAGATTGCACCATTGCACTCCAGCCTGGGCAACAAGAGTAAATCTCCGTCTCACCAAAAAAAAAAAAAAAAAGAAAAGAAAAAAAAAAAAGAATTGAATTGGGATGGAATAAGAGAAATTGCATGTGTTGTGAGAAAAATCATTTTTAAAAAAGAGATGTAAAAAATGAATAATGAGGCTGGGTGCCATGCTCACATCTGTAATCCCAGCACTTTGCGAGGCTGAGGTGGGTTGATCTCTGGAGCCCAGGAATTCAAGGCCAGCCTGGAAAACATGGTAAAATCCTGTCTCTACAAAAAAAAAAAATACAAAAATTATCCATTAGCTAGGCATGGTGGTTCACGCCTGTTCTCACAACCACTTGGGAGGCTGAGGTAGGAGGATCGCTTGAGACTGGGAGGTTGAGGCTGCAGTGAACTATGATCGCACCACTGCACTCCAGCCTGGGCAACAGAGTGAGGCCCTATTTAAAAAAAAATGAGAGAATAATGAAATTTAGAAAAGGAGAAATCCACCGATAATCCAGTTTTCATACTTTTCACTTTTTCATGTTTTCCACACATTCTTGTTCATGCACATACATTTTCTTTTCATAGTTTCAGTTAAAGGACACACACCACTGGCCGGGCGCAGTGGCTCATGCCTGTAATCCTAGCACTCTGGGAGGCCGAGGAGGGTGGATCACCTGAGGTCAGGAATTTGAGACCAGCCTGGTCAACATGGCAAAACCCCATCTCTACTAAAAATACAAAAGTTAACTGGGCATGGTGGCGCACACCTGTAATCCCAGCTACTCGGGGGCTGAGGCAGGAGAATTGCCTCAACCCATGGGACGGAGGTTGCAGTGAGCCAAGATCTCACCACTTCACTCCAGCCTGGGCAACAGAGTGAAACTCCGTCTCAAAAAACAAAACAAAACAAAACATAACAAAAGAAAACAAAACACCGTGGTGTTTCCTAGTCCCTCTTATCACACTGTTGTAAACAACTTCCATGTTTCCAAGTCTCTGTAATTGGAATTTCCATTTCATTGTAAGCAGCATCCTATTGCACCCCTCTTAAATATCAGTTTGCTAAGCCCCCAGCTAGATTTTTTCTAGATTGTTTCAGTGGTTTTTTTTTTCTTTTTTTTTTTTGAGATGAAGTCTCACTCTGTCTCCCAGGCTGGAGTGCAATGGTACAATCTCAGCTCACTGCAACCTCTGACCCTGGTTTCAAGCGATTCTCGTGCCCCAGCCTCCCAAGTAGCTGGGACCTCAGGCATGCACCATCAAGACTGGCTAATTTTGTGTGTGTGTGTGTGTGTGTGTGTGTGTGTGTGTGTGTATTTTTAGTAGAGATGGGGTTTTACCATGTTGGCCAGACTGGTCTGAAACTCCTGACCTCAAGTGATCCACCCACCTTGGCCTCCCAAAGTGCTGAGATTACAGGCATGAGCCACCCTGCCTGGGCTGTTTTCAGTGTTTTGATACTGTAATCCTTAAGTCGCCAGAATGTTTGTATGTAAAGCCATATTAGCATTCTGGATGCCTTCTTTAGGCTAAACAGCCAAATTGAAGAATTACCAGCAGGACCCAAGCCTCTCACTGGGTCTTGCTGTGTCCTGGAATACACAGCAGTACCTGTTCATGGAACCACCTGCAGTACATTAGGGATCAGATTTCTCCACTGCCTCTCAGACATTGAATATTGTTATTTTTAAATTATTATATGTACCAAACTATGTAAATAATTTTATGACATGGGTTTTCAAACTGGAGTCCTTGGATTTCAGATATTATGTAAGCCCTGGAATTGCGGCATTTGGGGGGTTAGCTATTCCTTAACTTTTACCACATGCTCAAAGGAGTCTACGAATGAATGGGCTAAATTGAGAATTATTTTAAATTATAAGGCGCCCATCTCCATTGATCAGAATGGAGGCTGAGATAGTTCCTTTTGTATGAGGTATACCACTAGTGCCTATTTGCTGCAGGACAGTGGTCTTCCTGCCTTACTTTTTTTTTTTTTTTTTAAGCAGTCTTGCTTTTTCTCCCAGGCTGGAGTGCAGTGATGCAATCTTGGCTCACTGCAACCTCCGCTTCCTGGGTTCAAGTGATTCTCCTGCCTCAGCCTCCCCAGTAGCTGGGATTACAGGTGTGCACCACCGTGCCCAGCTAATTTTTTTGTATTTTTAATAGAGATGGGGTTTCATCATGTTGGCCAGGCTGGTCTCAAACTCCTGACCTCAGTTGATCTGCCCACCTCAGCCCTCCCAAAGTGTTGGGATTACAGGCGTGAGCCACAGCACCTGGCCCCTCCATTACATTTGATGATAGAACCCTTTCTCTAAGGCAGCAGTTCTCACTCAAGGGGGCTTTTGCCCTACAGGGCACATTTCGTAAAGTTTGGAGACATTTTTGGTTGTCACAGCTGGGTTGGGGCTGGGCGGTGCCAGGTGCTACTGGCATCTGGTGGGTGGAGGCCACAGCTGCAACTCAACATCTTACAATGCGCAGGATCCCTTACAGCAAAGAAGGATGTGGCCCCAGAAGTCCACATTCAGGAAACCCTGAACCAAAACCCTAGAGCAGCAGTCCCCAACCTTTTTGGCACCAGGGACCAGTTTCATGGAAGACAGTTTTTTCCACGGACCAGGGAGCAGAAGAAATGGTTTCAGGATGATTCAAGGGCATTCCATTTATTGTGTGCTTTATTTCTATTATTATTACACTGTAATATATAACGAAATAATGATATAACTCACCATAACTGAAGAAACAGTGCAAGCCCTGAGCTTGTTTTCCTTCAACTAGATGGTCCCACCTGGGGGTGATGTGAGACAGTAACAGATCATCAGGCATTAGATTGTCATAAAGAGCATGCAATCTAGACCCCTCCCATGCACAGTTCACAATAGGGTTCACACTCCTATGAGAATCTAATGCCACCACTGATCTGATGGGAGGCGGAGCTTAGGCAGTAATGTGAGTGATGGGGAGCGGCTGTAAATACAGATGAAGGTTCATTTGCTCACCCACTGCTCACCTCCTGCTGTGTAGCCCCATTCCTAACAGGCCATTGACTGGTACCAGTCTGTGGCCCAGGGGTTGAGGGTCCCTGCCCTAGGGCTTCAATGCCTACAGAAGCATAAGGAAAAAAGAAAAAAAAAAAAAGACCCTAGAACTCCCTTTCCTGGCTTCCTGTGATTGGATTTCTTTTCCTCCCTCCTCCCTTCCTTCCTCTCTCTCTCTCCTGCCTTTCCTTTGTGTGATTAGATTTTTCTCTCTCTTTCTCTCTTTTTGGAGACAGAGTCTTGCTCTGTCGCCCAGGGTGGAGTGCAGTGGCACGATCTCAGCTCACTGCAACCTCTGCCTCCTGGGTTCAAGTGATTTTCCTGCCTCAGCCTCCTGAGTAGCTGGGACTGCAGACGCCCCCACCATGCCCAGCTAATTTTTGTATTTTCAATAGAGGTGGGGTTTCACCATGTTGGCTACTGTGGTCTCAAACTCCTGACCTCAAGTGATCCACCTGCCTCAGCCTCCCAAAGTGCTGGCATTACAGGTGTGAGCCACTGCACCCAGCCTAGATCTGCTTTCTTATGAGTCAGGAAGCCATTTCCCTGGAGCAGGTGTTAAGATGATGTGCAGTCCCTGGCCACCACACGTTAGAAGACACTCTTCACAGCACAGATGCTGGGAATTTGTAAGAGAGACTAACAAAGGGTTGTATAATTCTGGGAGAGGGGCCAAGGGCTCTTAAGACTAGACTTGAGATTCCCAAGAAAGATGCTTAAGATCCTTAGCATTTGGCCAGGCACAGTGACTGGTGCCTGTAATCCTAGCTACTTGGGAGGCTGAAACTGGAGGATCGCTTGAGGCCAGGAGTTGGAGACCAGCCTGGGCAACATAGTTGAGAGCCTGTCCCCTGTCTCTACAAACTGAAAATAAAAAATTAGCCGGGCATGGTGGCCTGCACCTGTAGTCCCAGCCACTCAGTAGGCCAAGGTAGGAGGATTGCTTGAGTCCAGGAGATCGAGGTTGCAGTGAGACGTGATCGCACCACAGCACTCTAGTCTGGGCAACAGAGCAAGAGCCTGTCTTTAAACACGGAAAGAAGGCTGGAGGTCCTTCTTGCCTTCTCTCCCTGTGGGAGGCATCCTCTTCCCTGGGAAGGTGTGAAGCTCTAGGGGCTGCCGTTTGGGGTCGGCCCCCTTTATGTGCTCAGCATAGTCTCTTGCCCGCCAGCCTCCCTGTCCCTCCAGCATACGGTCCTCAGCACCTCCGGTATCTCCCTCCTGCCCATCCTTGCCCTGCTCTTGGGTGGCCGGGACCTTTCCTCCCTCTTCAGCCTCTGGCCAGTGTTGAGATATTTCCAGAAACAGGGCCAGGTGAGGATTTTGGGATTGGAGTAGTGGGTGAGGTTTATTGCTTTGGTTGGTCTTGACGGGGAAACTGCAGTCAGAAGAGACCTCACAGGTCCAGAAGGCTGGTCCTGCGGGTGGCAGGTAGGAGAGGTCCCTCTGAGGCTGTTCAGAGCAGACAGGAGGTGGGTGGCTGGAGAGAGGGCTGGGACGGACCCCGTGTGGCTTCAGAGAGCGGGGGTCCTAGTGCACCCCGACCTCACCCACACAATGGTCATGACAGTGCAGAACTGTGATGATCAGTCAGATAATCTGGTAGATTGTTCCCCGTGATGGTCACCAGGGTCCATCCACCCCTTGAGGGACCACATGAGTAGATGCTGACATAGGGGTCCTCAGAAGAGGAACACCCCACAGTTGGATAGTTTTATTTTTACATTTTTTTTATTTTTTATTTTTTGAGATGGAGTCTCACTCTGTCACCTAGGCTGGAGTGCAGCTGTACCATCTCAGCTCACTGCAACCTCTGCCTTCTGGGTTCAAGCGATTCTGCTGCCTCAGCCTCCTGAGTCGCTGGGACTATAGGCGCCTGCCATCACACCTGGCTAATTTTTGTATTTTCAGTAGAGACGGGGCTTCGCCATGTTGGCCAGGCTGGTCCCGAACTCCTGACCTCAGGTGATCTGCCCACCTCAGCCTCCCAAAGTGCTGGGATGACAGGCGTGAGCCACTGTGCCCAGCCATTTGGGTGGTTTTAGGAACAGGTGGGTGCACATAGCTCCCCAGGTGATCTGCTTGGAGGTAATGTCCACCTGCTGGGTGCCCAGGGATGGCTGAGAGGGTAACTATCATCAAATACCGGTCACATAGAGGGAGGTAATATGGTTTGGTTGTGTCCCCACCTAAATCTCATCTTGAATTGTAGCTCCCATAATTTCCACACGTTGTGGGAGGGACCCAGAGGGAGATAATTGAATCATGGGGTGGTTTCCCCCATACTGTTCTCATGGTAATGAATAAGTCTCACAAGAGCTGATGATTTTATAAGGGGAAACCCCTTTTTGCTTGGCTCTCATTCTCTCTTGCCTGCCACCATGTAAGACGTGCCTTTCACCTTTCGCCATGATTGTGAGACCTCCCCAGCCACGTGAAACTGTGAGTCCATTAAACCTCTTTTTCTTTATAAATTACCCAGTCTCGGGTATGTCTTTATCACCAGTGTGAAAACAGACTAATACAGGAGGCATTACTTTTGTTTGTTTTAAGCATGAAAGGAGCTTTTATAGTGCATGACTCACATGCCAGGGCGTTCTGCCCATCTGCTTAAAAAAAAATAAGAGGACGGCCAGGTGCCATGGCTCACACCTGTAATCCCAGCACTTTGGGAGGCTGAGTCGGGAGGATCACATGAGCCCAGGAGTTTGAGCCCAGCCTGGGCAACATAGTGAGACCCCATCTCTACCAAAAAATAAAATAAAATAAATTAGCTGGGCATGGTGGTGCATGCCTGCAGTCCTGGCTTCTCAGTAGGCTGAGGCAGGAGGATCGCATGAGCCCAGGAGTTTGAGGCTGTAGTGAGCTCTGATCGCACCATTGGACTCCAGTCTGGCGACAGAGCAAGATATTGTCTCTAAAAACAAAAGAAAGAAAGAGAAAGAGAAAGAAAGAAAGAAGGGAGGGATGGAGGGAGGGAGGGAGGGAAGGAATGTGTAGTGTAGGAAGGATGGAAGGAAGGAAGAAAGAAAGGAAGGGAGGGAGAGAGGGAGGGAGAGAGGGAGGGAGGGAATGTGTAGTGAAGGAAGGAAGGAAGGAAGGAATTGTGTAGTGTAGGCTCCATCCTGAAGACTGAAGTGGTTTTTTTTTTTCTCCCATCTGTGTGGCAAAAACACAAACCAAACCAACAAAAAAGCCATCTAACCATTCTAAAACATATAATTCCGTGGCATTTACTACATTGACAGGGTTGTGCAATGCCCCCCCATCTAGTTCCAGAACATTTTTATCCCCGCAAAAGAAGACCCTGTCCCCATCAGTAGTCACTCCCCACTCCCTTCTCCCAGCCCCTAGCAACCACCCATCTGATTCCTGTCTCTGTGGATTGCCTTTTCTGGACAATTCAGATCAATGGAGTCATGCACTATATATGTGTTGTGATTTTTATTTTATTTTATTTTATTTTATTTTATTTTTTGAGGCGGAGTCTCGCTCTGTCATCCAGGCTGGAGTTCAGTGGTGTGATCTCAGCTCATGGCAACCTCTGCCTCCCAGGTTCAAGTGATTGGTGTGCCTCAGCCTCCAGAGTAGCTGGAACTACAGGTGCCTGACACACACCTGGCTAATTTTTTTTGTATTTTTTGTAGAGACAGGGTTTCACCATGTTGGCTGGGCTGGTCTTGAACTTCTGGCCTCAAGCCATCTGCCCACCTCGGCCTCCCGAAGTGCTGGGATTACAGGTGTGAGCCATCGCGCCTGGCTTGTGCTGTGACTTTATTTGTATTATTTGTTTATTTATTTTTTTTGGAGATGGAGTTTCACTCTTGTCACCCAGGTTGGAGTGCAATGTTGCGATCTGGGCTCAATGCAACCTCTGCCTCCTGGGTTCAAGCAATTCTCCTGCCTCAGCCTCCCGAGTAGCTGGGATTACAGGTGCCCACCACCACAGCTGGCTAATTTTTGTACTTAGTAGAGATGGGGTTTTGCCATGTTGGCCAGGCTGGTCTTGAACTCCTGACCTCAGGTGATCCGCCCACCCCAGCCTCCCCAAAGTGCTGGGATTACAGGTGTGAGCCATTGCGCTCAGCCTGTGCTGCGATTTTAGAGTGAGGCAAACACAGACACATATACATGATAGATATATCTGGACATGTACATATGTATATCAAGGGATCCAGGTCTCCTTCCACCGCTCACAGGCTGTGAATTCACTTGGCAAGAAGGGAGACAGTTCTTGTAACTCTCCAGTGATGATGACAGAAAACAGCTTTGCAACTCTGTTGAGTCAGAAGAGAAGGCTCCATAACTAGACCAGTGTTTCTCAGCCTCAGCATGGCTGAAAGCTGGGGCAGGCTTGGCACAGTGGCTCACGTCTGTAATCTGAGGCTGAGGTGGGAGGATCGCTTGAGCCCAGGAGTTTGAGACCAGCCTGGGCAATAGAGTGAGACCTTGTTTCTACCAAAAATAAACAAAATAAGCCTGGCTTGGTGGTGCATGCCTGTAGTCCCAGCTCTTTGGGAGGCTGAGATGGGAGGATTGCTTGCGCCCAGCAGGCCAAGGCCGCAGTGAGCCATAATTGCACCACTGCACTCCAGCCTGGGCAACAGAGATAAACCCTGCCTGAAAAAAAAAAAAAAAGAAAGAAAGAAAGAAAGAAAGAAAAAAGATATGGCCGGGTGCAATGGCTCACGCCTATAATCCCAGTACTTTGGGAGGCTGAGGCAGATGGATTGCTTGAGCCCAGGAGTTCAAGACCAGCCTGGCCAACATGGTGAAACCCCGTTTCTACTAAAAACATAAAAATTAGCCAGGCATGGTGACACACACCTGTAATCCCATCTACTCAGGAGGCTGAGGTGGGAGAATCATTTGAGCTGGGAGACAGAGGTTGCAATGAGCTGAGATAGTGCCACTACACTCCAGCCTGGGCGACAGAGTAAGCCTTGTCTCCAAAAAAAAAGATATTTGGGGCAGTTTGCCAAGGGCGGGGGTGTCCTGTGCTCTGTAAGATGTTGAGCAGCCTCTCTATTCCCCTCTCAAGTGACAGTAGCAATCCCCACCCCCAAAGCTATGACACCCCAAAACATCTCCAGAAACTGCCAAGTGTCCCCCTGGGGCACAGTCACTCCTGGGGTGAGTTCCCCCTGTTCCAGGCCTCCAAACTCCTTCCCCAGTATCTTGGCCCATTCCAGGGTGAATTCTTGTCCCAAAGCTCCTTCCTCTGCCTGCAGGTGCCCACGGGCCTCCGGGGCCAAGCGCTTCTGAAAGTGTGGGGCCGCGGCTGGCAGGCGGAGGAGGGGCCCCTCTTTCACAACCAGACCTCGGTGACCGTGGACGGCCGGGGCGCTTCTGTATTCATCCAGACGGACAAGCCTGTGTACAGACCCCAGCACCGAGGTGAGTGGCCAGCATGGATGCAGGGAGGGCCGGCCATGGTCTGGAGGTGTCACACGCCTCTCTTCTTTCTTCTAGTGCTCATAAGCATCTTCACCGTCTCTCCAAATCTGAGGCCTGTCAACGAGAAGGTGAGATCAGCTTCTAAAACCGCGGGCCCGGAGTGCACCCACTTGGGACTACCTGGCCAGGGCCACCATCGGAAACGGGTCTTTCTCTCCAGAACTTCTCTTTTCTATTTTCTTTCATGGTTGTTTCATGTCCCCCGGAGAACCCCAGGGAGTTCTTTGTGACAGAGGAAGGCTGGTGGGCGTGCCTGGCCCACTGCCCCTCAACAAGGAATGCCTTTGAGGGCTTTAGGTAGCCCTGGACTGTTGCTTAATTTTTTTTTTTTCCCCAAGACCGAGTCTCTCGCTCTATTGCCAATGCTGGAGTGCAGTGGCACTATCTCGGCTCACTACAACCTCTGCTTCCTGGGTTCTAAGTGATTCTCTTGCCTTAGCCTCCCGAGTAGCCGGGATTATAGGTGCCCACCACCACGCCCGGCTGATTTTTTTTTCTGTTTTTTTTTTGAGATGGAGTCTTGCTCTGTCACCCAAGCTGAAGTGCAGTGGTGCGATCTTGGCTCACTGCGACCTCTGCCTCCCGGGTTCAAGCGATTCTCCTGCCTTAGCCTCCTGAGTAGTTGGGATTACAGGTGTGTGCCACCATGCCCAGCTGATTTTTGTATTTTTAGTAGAGATGGGGTTTCACCATGTTGGCCAGGCTGGTTTCAAACTCCTGACCTCAGGTGATACACCCGCCTCAGCCTCCTAAAGTGCTAGGATTACAGGTGTGAGCCACTGCACCTGGCTATATTTATGTGCTTTCTTTCTAGCGCTCTCTCTCTGTCTGTATATGTATATATACTTACAAAATTATTTTAATGGTAAATAATGTGAGAATAACTTACAGATACTGTGCCTCTCTGGCCCTGAACACTTGGCCTGTATCCTTTAAGAGCAAGGACGTTCTCTTATACAACTCAAGGAGGATCATCACATTTAAAAATTTTGAGGCTGGGCACAGTGTCTCACATCTGTAATCCCAGCACTTCGGGAGGCTGAGGCAGGAAGATCGCTGTGGCCAGGAGTCCGAGACCATTCTGGGCAACATAGCGAAACTGTCTTGACAAAAAATTAAAATAATAAAAATTAGTTGAGCATGGTGGCATGTGCCAGTAGTCCCAGCTACTTGGGAAGCTGAGTCAGGAGGATCTCTTGAGCCCAGGAGTTCGAGGCTGCAATGAGCTGTGATTGTGCCACTTGAACTCCAGCCCGGGCAGCAAAGCACAACCCTGTCTCTACAAAAAACGAAAAACCAAAAAAAAAAGAGGAGGAAAATAATTTTGACATTGACACAATAATAATATCTAATATAAAATCCATGTTGTTCCAATAGTAACCTTTATAGCATGTTTCTTTGCTGGTCCAGGATCTGATCGTGGGTCATTTGTTGCATTTGATCATCATGTCTCTTGGTCTCCTTTAATTTGAATTAGTTCCTCACTGCCTTTCTGTGTCTTCCATGACATTGACATTTTTGGCAAGTCCAGGCAGTTGTTTTGCAGAACGCCCCTTGGTAGGATGGTCTCCTGGTTCCTTGTGACCAAGTTCAGTCTGTGAATCTCGGGCAGGATCCACAGAAGCAATACTGGATCCTCCCCGGTGCCTTGTATCAGGAGGCACCCAGCATGGGTTTGTCGTGTTGCTGGGGACATTAACAGGGTCCAGTGGTTCAAGTAGTGCCTGCCTGGTTTCCCCATTTCTTTTTTTTTTTTTTGAGACGGAGTCTCGCTGTGTCACCCAGGCTGGAGTGCAGTGGCGCAATCTCCGCTCACTGCAAGCTCTGCCTCCTGGGTTCATGCCATTCTCCTGCCTCAGCCTCCCGAGTAGCTGGGACTACAGGCACCCACGACCATGCCCGGCTAATTTTTTCTATTTTTTGTAGAGACGGGATTTCACGGTGTTAGCCAGGGTGGTCTCAATCTCCTGACCTCGTGATCCACCCGCCTTGGCCTCCCAAAGTGCTGGGATTACAGGCATGAGCCACCTGTAATGAGTCTTTCTAAAGACCCTACTTGGGGTTAGGATTCAACGGATGTAATCTAGGGGGACACTGTTTAACCCATAACAGCGACTGCCTGTCCCGGGGACCGAGGCCATGCATGAGCATGTTGAAAGGGTTTGGGGTTTGCTGGAAGATTTGCTCACTGCATCTGTGTCTTCATTACAGCTGGAAGCCTACATCCTGGTGAGTGGCCTCTGTCCTTCCTCGGCTTGGACTTGGGGCCCGGGTAGCCCACCTTCTGCAAGATCTGGTCTGTCTTCGCTCACTGTCTGCCTTCTGGGTTGAGCCGCTGTGCCTTACAAGGCTGGGACCTGGCCTCTTCTATCCTGGTCCCTGGGTCCGCCCTGGGATGGGCTGTGTGTGTGTCTGTCCGTTTCCTTTTTTTTTTTGAAATGGAGTCTCGCTCTATCACCCAGGCTGGATTGCAGTGGTGCTGATCTTGGCTCACTGCAACCTCTGCCTCCCGGGTTCAAGCGATTCTCCTTCCTCAGCCTCCCGAGTAGCTGAGACTACAGGCGTATGGCACCACACCCAGCTAATTTTTTTTTGTATCTTTTTTAGTGGAAATGGGGGTTTCACCATGTTGGCCAGGCTGGTCTCAAACTCCTGACCTCAGGTGATCCGCCCACCTTGGCCTCCCAAACTGCTGGGATTACAGGTGTGAGCCACCACACCCAGCCACGTCCATTTCTAGGTTTGTACACGGCTCCCTAAATGAGGAGGTAGGCCCAGCCCATCCCCTTCTGCTTTTCAAATCCTTCTCTATCCAGAGCTTTTTTTTTGCCCCGGGGTTAATGATTAATCTTGGGACCTTCGCTGCATGGTTGACATGCCCAAGAGAGAGGACTGGGAAAATCCTTACATTGGGCACATGCTAGGCTAGCCTGAGTTCACTCCGTGTGTCTGTCCCCCTCCACCACCAACAGGACCCCCGAGGCTCTCGGATGATAGAGTGGAGACACTTAAAGCCGTTCTGCTGCGGTAAGTTTCTTCCTCTGCGGCTTGGGGGCTGCAGATGTGATAAACCTTCCAGGAAAACAGAATATGCTCTGTCCAGGGCCCACCGCTAATGTACCCCCACTGCTGCTCCAGCTGGAGGGGACCAAGGAGGAGCGGAGGGCAGGTACCCACCTGGGAGGTGACAATGCCATGGGTTTGGATCTGGGAGCCTCAGCCCAGCCCACAGCACCTTCCCTGTGGATTTGGACCCTCTGCCCACGTTTCTCTATGCCCAGGACTCAGGCGGGGCTCCTGCTCAGAACTCAAGACCTTTGTGGAATACTGGGGCACCTGCTCTCACCTTGTTTTTTATTTTTTGAGACAGAGTCTCTCTCTGTCACCCAGGCTGGAGTGCAGTGGCACAATCTCAGCTCACTGCAACCTCTGCCTCCCGGGTTCAAGAGCGTCTCCTGCCTCAGCCTACCGAGTAGCTGGGATTACAGGTGCATGGCACCACGCCTGGCTTATTTTTGTATTTTTAGTAGAGATGGGGTTTCACCATTTGGCCAGGCTGGTCTCCAACTCCTGACCTCTCAGGTGATCCACCCGCCTTGTCCTCCCAAAGTGGTGGGATTACAGGCGTGAGCCACCACGCCCGGCCTGCTCCCAGCTTCTTCCTGCTATAGGTTGCAGATTTTATCATCCCCATTGCATGAGATATTTCTTTTCCAGCTAGAAGTCAGAAAGGACTTTGCTTTTTTCTTTTCTTTTCCTATGACTAGGAAGACTGTGTAATTGACATACCCCACTTTGCTTTGCCTGTGAGGGGTGTGATGCCCCAGGAGAGGGCAGGGGATAGGTAGGGTGTGGGGAGTCTGGGGATGGCCATGCACACACCCAGGCTGTCCAGAAATGGGGTAACAGTAGAGCCACAGGCAGGATCACGGGGGTCTGTTGGTGACCCTTCCTCCTTCTGTCTCCTGCCTTGGGTCTCAGCCTCTTTTCTTCTTCTTCATCTTCCTTCTTTCTTGTTCTTTCTTCTTCTCCTTCTCTTCGTCTTATTCTCCCTCCTCCTCCTCCTTCTTCTTCGATCTTCCTTCTTCTTTCCTCCTCCTCCTCCCCCTCTCCTCCTGCTTCTTCTTCCTCCTTCCTCCTTCTTCTTTCTTCTTCTTCCTCCTTCTCCTTTTTCTTTTCTTCTTCTTCTTTTTTTTTAAAATACAGTCTTGCTATTGTCACCCAGACTGGAGTGCAGTGGCACGATGTCGGCTCACTGCCACCTCCGCCTCCCGGGTTCAAGCCATTCTCCTGCCTCAGCTTCCCAAGTAGCTGGGATTACAGGCACGTGCCACCAGGCCTGGCTAATTTTTGTATTTTTAGTAGACACAGGGTTTCACCATGTTGGCCAGGCTGGTCTTGAACTCCCAAACTCAGGTGATCCGCCCGCCTCGGCCTCGGAAAAGTGCTGGGATTACAGGCATGAGCCACCGTGCCTGGCCTCAGCCTCTTTTCTTCTGTTCCATCTTCCCTGTCTGCCTTCTTTACTCCCTCTCGTTCCCTTGATTGCTGTCTTTGTATCAGCAGCTATTTGTTGGGCGCCACATAGATACTGCCATGGGGTGAGCTTTCAACCCAATGGGGGAAGCAAACATGAACTAAACAGCCTGGATAATGTCAGTTGTGATGAGTGCTAGGAAGGAGAAGTTCAAAACTCAGAGATGGCAAATGGGGCTCTATCCCAGCCCGGGGTGGCAGAGGCAATCCTGGAAGGCTGCCTGAAGGAGGATCCTTTTCAGCAACAAAGAAGGAACGGGGGACAGCCAGGCAAAGCAAGGGGGCCAGGAAGCATCTCCCAGGCAGGGAGTCAACTTATGGGAAGGGCTGTGGATGTCTAGGGTAGTGAGGTTGGAGATGGGGGACAGGAGAGAGATGTTGAGTGCTGAGAGCAGGGGTGACACTGGCAAGAGCCAGGGAAGAGAATGGATTTGATCTTTTTTTAAAAAGTTTTTTTTTTTTTTCTCAAGAGGCAGGTTCTCTCTCATTCTGTCACCTAGGCTGGAGTGCAGTGGTGTGATCATAGCTCACTGCAGCCTCTACCTCTTGGGTTCAAGTGATCCTCCCACCTCAGCCTCCCAAGTAGGTGGGACCACAGGCGCGTGCCACCAAGCCCAGCTAATTTTTTAAATTTTTGGTAGAGACAGGGTCTCAAGATGTTGCCTAGGCTGACTTGATCTTAAGAGCACAGAGTTGGGGAAGAGGTCAACCTCCTGTTTAAAAAAACCCTTTGAGGCCTGGCTTGGTGGCTCACACCTGTAATGCCAGCACTTTGGGAGGCTGAGGCGGGCAGATCACCTGAGGTCAGGAGTTCAAGACCAGCCTGGCCAACATGGGGAAACCCTGTCTCTACTAAAAATACAAAATTAGCTGGACATGGTGGCGGGTGCCTAAAGTCCCAGCTACTCAGGAAGCTGAGGCACAAGAATCTCTTGAACCCGGGAGTGAAGGTTGCATGAGCTGAGATCATGCCACTGCACTCCAGCCTGGGCAAAAGAGCAAGACTCTGTCTCAAAAAAATAAAAAAAAAACCCTTTGGGATGTGTGTAGACCCATGATTCTCAACCAGGGTGACTGTGCCCCTCTCTCAGGGAGCACTTGGCAAAGTTGGCCACAGACCCCTTACAAAACACGTGCTCAGGACACACATCCCCGAATGTCCTGTAACCATCAAAGGCCCACTTTGCCTGAATATGAGGGGGAAAAAGCCATTTTAGCCATCACATCTTCTGACTCCAATGTGATTGAGAGAAGCCGTGGGCGCCGCTATGGGTTTTCGGTTCTGTCGTGAGACCCAGGGGAACCACTCTCCCTGTCCCTTCCCTGTATGGCCCTCCCCATATGATCATTGGGGACGAGTGGAGCGTGTCACACTCAGGAGTGGAAGATCCCCTGGCACTGCCTAGAGTCAATGTGCCCTTTCCAACTCCTCCATGGCTCCCAGTGAAAACAGCTGCGGACGGGGCTCAGAGGCACAGGCGCAAAGCAAATGACAGCTCCCATGTCAGCGGCTGATGGTGTTTCTGGGGGGATGTTTGGGGAGAGAGTGCTCTGTTCTAAAGTGTGTGCGTGCTCTAGTTCAGTTGGGGGGTGGTTCTCATGGAGGGGTGGGGGGTCGGACAGGCGATTCTGCCCCCAGGGGACATGGCAATGTCTGGGGACATTTTGGCTTGTCAGGACTTTTGTGGAGGACAAGGGGTGCAACTGGCATCTGGTGAGTGGAGGCCAGGGAAGATGCTCAGCACCCCTCAGTGCTCTGGGATTTCCACCAAGGGGTGACTTTGCCCCCTAGGGGCGATATTGGCAATGTCTGGGGGACTTTTTTAGGTTGTTATATTGTAGAGGGCATTGGTACTACTGACCTTTGGTGAGTGGAGGCCAGGGATGATGGTCAGCACCCCTCAGTTTACAGGATGCCCCCACACCACAATGAATGATCTGGCCCTAAATGTCAGTAGTGCTGAGGCTGAGAAACCCTATCCTGGCAGGAGACCCTGTCTGTCTTGTCTGTTTCTCTCTCTCTCTCTCTCTGTCTGTCTCTCTCTCTCTCTGGGATTTCCACCCAGGGGTGATTTTGCCCCCTAGGGGCGATATTGGCAGTATCTGGGGGACTTTTTTAGGTCGTTATATTGTGGGGGGCATTGGTACTACTGGCATCTGTTGGGTGGAGGCCAGGGGTGCTGCTCAGCATCCTACAGCTCACAGGACACCTCCACCCCAGAGAGCCACGTGGCCCCAGGTGTCAGTAGTGCCCAGGCTGGAAATGACTCGGGTGGCGGGGGATGGAGTGAATGAGCCGGGCTGGCTCATTTCCCTCGTTTGTCCAGCTCACTGCCTGCCCCTGGCCCTGGCTGCAAGGCTGTCCCGGGAACCGCGGGTCCAGTCCCTTCCTGCATCCCTTCGAAGCCCGCCGGGGTGTCAAACCTGCTCCGCTGGCCTGATCCTACAGGGTGCTGCTCTGCACAGACCCCGCCAGCTTCTCTGTGGTCTCCAGTTCTCCTGGGGGGCTGCTCAGGGAAGGAGAAGGAGCAGGGTCCTGGCTCCCTCTTCCCGTACCTCACCGTGTCTGTGGCTCTCTGAAAAAGCCCTTGCCCTCTCTCTTCACACAGGCATCACCAACATGAGCTTCCCCTTGTCCGACCAGCCTGTGTTGGGAGAATGGTTCATTTTTGTTGAAATGCAAGGCCACGCGTACAACAAGTCTTTTGAAGTTCAGAAGTATGGTAAGTTGGAGAATCTCAGGGTCTTGGGATTTCAGATCTGGGAGAAACCTTAGAAACTGGTGAAGAAGGCCGGGTGCAAGGGCTCTCGCCTGTAATCCCAGCACTTTCGGAGGCCCAGGTGGGCGGATCACTTGAGGTCAGGAGTTTGAGACCAGCCTGGCCAACATGGCGAAACCTCGTGTCTACTAAAAATACAAAAATTAGCCGGGCGTGGTGGCGCGCACCTGTGGTCCCAGCTACTTGGGAGGCTGAGGCAGGAGTATCACTTGAACCGGGAGGCAGAGGTTGCAGTGAGCCAAGATCGCACTACTGCGCTCCAGCCTGGGCGACAGGGCGAGACTCTGTCTCAAAAAAAAAAAGAAAAAGAAAAGGAAACTGGTGAAGATGGCAGTGAAGAGGTGGAGGATGACATGAGTCCCCGTTTACTGAGGGCTCATGATGGCTGGGTATAGTTTCAGGGGATGGTCCTACACTCTTACTTTTTTTTTTTTTTTGAGGCAGGGTTTCACACCCATCACCCAGGCTGGAGTGCAGTGGTGCGATCTTGGCTCACTGAAGCCTTGACTTCCCAAGTTCAAGTGATCCTCCCTCCTCAGCCTCCTGAGTTGCTGGGACTACAAGTGTGAGCCACCACACCTGGTTAATTTTTGTATTAGTAGAGACAGGGTTTCGTCATGTTGCCCAGGCTGGTCTAGAACTCCTGGTCTCAAGCAATCCTTCCGCCTCAGCCTCCCAAAGTGGACTCTTGCCTTTTATAGAAAAAAGTATTGTAGGCCAGGCATGGTGGTGGCTCACACCTGTAATCCCAACACTTTGGGAAGCTGAGGCTGGAGGATCGCTTGAGGCCAGGAGTTTGAGACCAGCCTGGACAACATAGTCCCTGTCTGTATAAAACTTTAAAACAATTATCTGGACATGGTGGCACGTGCCTGTAGTCCCCGCTACTCGGGAAGCTGAGGCGGGAGGATTGCTTGAGCCCAGGAGATCAAGGCTGCAGTGAACTGTGATTGCACCACTATTCTCCAGTTTGGGTGACAAAGTGAGACCCTGTCTCAGAAAAAAAAAAAGGTGGCCAGGCATGGCAGCTAACGTCTGTAATCCCAGCACTTTGGGAGGCTGAGGTGGGTAGATCACTAGAGGTCAGGAGTTCAAGACCAGGCTGGCCAACATGGTGAAACCCCATCTCTACTAAAAATACAAAAATTAGCCAGGCGTGGTGGCATGTGCCTGCAGTCCCAGCTACTTGGGAGGCTGAGGCAGGAGAATTGCTTGAACCAGGAGGAGGAGGTTGCAGTGAGCCAAGATCGTGCCACTGCACACCAACCTGGGAAACACAGTGACAATCTGTCTCAAAAAAAAAAAGAAAAGAAAAGAAAAGAAAAGAAAGAACGAAAAGATTCTTAGGCTCCTACAAGAGTTCTCTCAGGACCCGATTCTTTCTGGTTTACCGGCTGCTCCAGGGTGTCACCTCCGCCCCTGGTGACAAGATGGCTTGATACTCCCAGGGCTGAGTCCAGAAGCAAATGGAGAAATCAGCTCTCTGTTGCAGTCACCCTGGGGATGCCCCTTGTTGGCTCCCAGGGCCACCTCTATCCCATGCACAGACACAGGGGCTAGGAGGAGCCTCCTGGCCTCGTGTCCACCCTGGGATAGGCTGGAATCCGCCACACTCTAAGCACGTGGTCTAAAAGTGACAGGGGAGGCCCCTTGAGGAAAATGGGGTCCTAGTCCCCCAAAGATGAGAAATAGATGCAGCCCACAAAATCCCCAGGGCTGCTCAGCAGAGTGGTGTGGATGGGTACAGTGTCAACCTCGGTGGTGGCCAGGTGCTGTGGTCCTCAGACACCTTGCACCGGTGTCAGGGCTCCTGAGGCCACCTTAGGGACAGAAGCCAGCCCCTCCTCTCTGCTTGCTTTCTTCAGTGTTGCCCAAGTTTGAGCTTCTGATTGACCCGCCCCGGTATATCCAAGACCTGGACGCCTGTGAGACAGGCACTGTGCGGGCCAGGTGAGAAAGAGGGACCCCTGGGGCACACTGGGGGGGCCCTTCCCCTTCCCCAACCATCACGCTGCTCCCTCAAGGTCGTTCCCCTCCTCTGCTGCCTCCCTCCCTCCCACATGGGTGTGCCCCTCCCTTCCTGGTTCCCTCCTCCCTGGGGTGTGCCCCTCCCCTAGTGCATCTCCCTTCCTGTGACTCTCTCCAGTAGGCGCCCCCTCCTCAGGAGGTGCCCCTCCCCCTAGAGTATCTCCCTCCCCACCAGGCTCCTCCCCTGTGGGCGCCTCCTCCCTGGGGTGTCCTCCTCCCTCTAAAGTATCTCCCTCCCTGCTGGGCTCCTCCCCTGTGGGTTCCCCTCCCCAGGATGTGGCCACCCGCTAGAGCATCATCCTTTCCCGTGCCCCTCCCCTGGGGGCACCCCCTCCCTGGAGTGTACCCCTTTCCCTAGAGCATCTTCCTCCCCCTGGGCCCCTCCTCTGCCCTCCCCTTCCATCTCCCCCAACAACCGGGCTTCCCCCTCCTCCTACAGGCAGACACTTCTTCCATGGCCTCCCTGCTCCCACAAGGGTGCCCTGTGCCCCGCTCCCTCCCTAGTACTCGGTGTCTCCCTGCCACATGAGTCTCTTGCACTCTACCCACTGCCTGTCTTTGTTTCCATGCTGGTGTCCTCACCCCTATGAGCACGCCCCTGTCTCTCCAAAGCATGCCCCTCTCCCGCTGTGTATTCCTTCCTCAAGTCCTGCCCTTCCACTCTAAGTTCTTCCCTCCCCAAGGGTCTCCCCTCCCCAAAGAATGCCCTACCCCCCAGGGTGTGACCCTCCCAACCCCACCATGTTCCCCTCTCCCCCAAGGCTGCTCCCCGCCCTCTGCAGGCCTCCCTGGCATCCAACAGCACCCCCGCCAGTGTGCTGACCCGAGAGGGGTTGATCCTTGTTTTTTTTTTTTTTTTTTTTTTTTCAGACGGAGTCTTACTCTGTCGCCCAGGCTGGAGTGTAGTGACAGTCTCAGCTCTCTGCAACCTCTGCCTACCGGGCTCAATTGATTCTCCTGCCTCAGCTTCTCCTAGTAGCTGGGATCACAAGCATGTGCCACCACACCCAACTAATTTTTGTATTTTTAGTAGAGACAGAGTTTCACCATGTTGGCCAGGCTGGTCTCGAACTCCTGACCTCAAGTGATCTGCCCACCTTGGCCTCCCAAAGTGCTGGGATTACAGGCATAAGCCACCATGCCCAGCCTGCACTCTCTCATTTTGCTCCTGTTCCCCATCCACCAGCATTCCCTCTGCATCAGGAGTGACATACAGACATTTAAGTTTCACTATCACCCCTGAGAGGGTAGTTTGAGTCCCATTCTCTGGGTGAGGAAACAGGCTCAGAGAAGTTCGGTCCTTGGTTCAAAGTCGAGCTTAATAGGGCGCTTAGGCTCAGGTGCCTCTCAGTCGCTCATGCCTCTGCACTACTCTGCTCCAGAGGTGGCACCAACCTAGCCTTCTCAGTTCCAGAGTTCCTCTCTGACCCTTGGTCTCTTTTTCTGTCCATCTGGAGGCTTGGTGCAGAGGATCGGAGGGCCTTGGCATCTTCTGTCCCGATTCCAGGCTGCAGGGAGGGCTGTCAGGACAGGATGCAGGGTGTGGAGGGAGCTGCATCCATCACTGTACTAGTGGCCACACTATGTCAACCTGGCCTTCCTGAGGCTGGGCCCTCCCTGCCATCTTGGCTGTGAAATTGAGCATGCTTTATCCTTTTGTTCCAGGTATACCTTTGGGAAACCTGTGGCTGGTGCCTTAATGATCAACATGACTGTTAATGGTGTAGGGTACTACAGCCACGAGGTGGGACGCCCTGTCCTCAGAACAACCAAGGTGAGAAACAGGGACCCCTTCTACCCCCTGACCCAACCCCCAGGTTCACCTCCACCAGCACACATTTTATTTTACTTTCTCTTATTGTTATTATTTTATTTACTGCCTTTAAAAAGTTTTTGAATAGAGACAGGATCTCACTATGTTGCCCAGGCTTGTCTTGAACTCCTGGGCTCAAGCGATCCTCTCGCCTTTGCCCCCAAAAGTGCTGGGATGACAAGTGTGAGCCACCGCTGTTTTACTTTCTAAAACAGTTATATGGCAGGGATTTTTCTGATGATAAAATTCCTGCAGGCTGAATATAGAGACTTTAGAAAATATAAAAAGGAAGAAAATAAAGATAACTTGTTCTCCAATAGGTGGACATGACCACTATCGATATTTTGATGTGTTTCCTCACAGGTTATTGTAAGTAAAGTTAAAAAAACACCAATTTGGCTGGGCATGGTGGCTCACACCCGTAATCCCAGCACTTTGGGAGGCCAAGGCGGGCGGATCACTTGAGGCCATGAATTCGAGACCAGCCTGACCACCATGGCCTGGGCGACAAAGTGAGACTCCATCTCAAAAAACAAACAAAAAACAAAAAAACACTAATAAACACTAATTTTATTGCCTGGAGTCCCAGCTCTTAATATTTGGAAGGTAGAGGCAGGAAGATCTCTTGAGCTCAGGAGTTCAAGGCCAGCCTGGGCAACATAGTGAGATCCCATCTCTAAAATAAAATAAAAACATAAACAATTTTATTGAGATATCATTCACATAGCATACAATTCACCCATGTAGAGTGTACAGCTTGATGGTTTTCTTTTCTTTTTTTTTTTTTTTGGAGATGGAGTCTTGCTCTGTTGCCCAGGCTGGAGTGCAATGGCGTGATCTCGGCTCACTGCAAGCTCCGCCTCCTGGGTTCATGCCATTCTCCTGCCTCAGCCTCCCCAGTAGCTGGGACTATAGGTGCCCACCACAACACCCGGCTAATTTTTTTTTTTGTATTTTTAGTAGAGACGGGGTTTCACTGTATTAGCTAGGATGGTCTCGATCTCCTGACGTCGTGATCCACCTGCCTCGGCCTCCCAAAGTGCTGGGATTACAGGCGTGAGCCACTGCGCCTGGCCACAGCTTGATGGTTTTCATATAGTTGCAGAGTTGTGCAACCATGGCTGTTATCCAATTTTAGAATTGTTCCACCATCCTTCCATACATCCTTCATGTCCTTTTGCAGAGAATCCTCATTTCCCTCCTCCTGTCTCTGGCAACTACTATCTGTTTTCTGTCTCTGTAGATTTGCCTGTTCTGGACATTTCTGTGAATGAATCATATGCTATATGTCCTTTTGTGTCTGGCTTCTCTCACTCAGCATCATGTTTTTGATGTTTGTCTACATCGTAGCATGATCAATGCTTCATTCCTTTTTTATGGCTGCATCATATTCCCTGGTACAGATGGACCACAATGTGTTTATCCCTTCATCCGCTGGTGGACATTTGGGTTGTTTCTGCTTTTTGGCTATTATGTCTCATGCTACTATGAACATCCCTGTGCAAGTTTTTCTGTGGACCTACATTTTTGTTTCTCTTGGGTTCTTTCCTAGGAGCGGAATTGCTAGGTCAGAGGGTAACACTATGTGTGACCTTTTGAGGAACTGCCAAATGGTCAATGTGGCTGCACTATTTTATATTCCCACCTGTTTAAAGTTTTGTAACCTTTTTTGGTCTTTCAGCATAATGTTACATTGTGAGTGGGCTACAGTACAACAGACACCCACCTTCCTGGAGATTCCCATCCCTTTGTAGGTGCCCGGACATTAAGCCTTTCAGCACCGGCTCCTCCCCACCTCCCACCCAAAGCTCCTTCTCAGTCCCTTTCCCACCTGAGACACATCTGCTCCAATGGGCTCCCCTCTCTTATGTCTGAGATATCTTTAATTTAATTTAATTTAATTAATTTATTTATTGAGATGGAGTCTCTCTCTGTCTCCCAGGCTGGAGTGCAGTGGCACGATCTTGGATCACTGCAGCCTCTGCCTCCTGGGTTCAGGCAATTCTCCTGCCTCAGCCTCCCATGTAGCTGTGATTACAGGCATGTGCCACCGTGTTGGGATAATTTTTGTATTTTTAGTAGAGACAGGGTTTTGCCATGTTGGCCAGGCTGGTCTTGAACTCCTGACCTCAAGTGATCTGCCGCTGCTGGCCTTCCAAAGTGCTGGGATTACAGGTGTGCACCATCACACCCAGCCCATCTCTCTGCTCTCTGAGGCTTCTCTTCCATGGATTGGAAACCATAAACCCCTACCTTTCCCATTCCTGACACTGGCACCTTGGAGAATCCCAGCCATTCTCCTGGGAGGCTACCAGCTGATGGTCTTTGACTTAGTTCTCTCATTTACGGAGTAATTTACTCCACAGCTCTTTCTGAATGAGGATTATTTGCCAAGTCCCAGGGTGGGATCCTGAGATAGGAATTGAATGAGGGAGTTCTGGTGCCCCAGAGTGAGGCTGAGCAGGTTCAGCTGCCCCCTCTGTTGCCTGGGCTGTGGGAGATTGTGTCAGCATGGGAATCTCTTTCCTCTTTTTTTTTTTCTTAACCCAGGCTGGAGTGCAGTGGCACAATTCAGGCTCACCTCAACCTCTGCCTCCTGGGTTCAAGCGATTCTCATGCCTCAGCCTCCCAAGTATCTGGGATTACAGGTGCCTGTCACCACGCCCAGCTATTTTTTTACATTTTTACTAGAGGCGGGGTTTCGCCATGTTGGCTAGACTGATATCGAACTCCTGACCTCAAGTGACCCGCCCGCCACAGCCTCCCAAAGTGCTGGGATTACAGGCGTGAGCCACCGCACCCAGCCTCTTTCCTCTTCTGCCCAATGGAGCCAACATCCATCTTCCCTGGGATGTTGTCCAGATCCAGTGAGGGACCCTCTGCATGGTCCCGTGGCATAGATTGGGTATGCCACCAAGTGACCCCTGGCCCTCCAAGCAGCTGAAGAGTCTTGCACCTCAGGTGTGTGTTTCAGGGACATCCCTCAAAGACACTCCAACCCTGAGTGAGCACGGGCTGTGTTTTTCCTCCCTCCAGATCCTCGGCTCCCGGGACTTCGACATCTGCGTGAGGGACATGATCCCAGCGGACGTCCCTGAGCACTTCCGGGGCAGGGTCAGCATCTGGGCCATGGTGACCAGTGTGGACGGGAGCCAGCAGGTCGCGTTCGATGACTCCACCCCCGTGCAGAGGCAGCTGGTGGACATCCGGTACTCCAAGGACACGAGGAAGCAGTTCAAGCCGGGCCTGGCCTACGTGGGGAAGGTAACTTGGGGGTGACTGTGCTGCCTCCCGCCCAAGGACCACCGTGAAACCACCACCACTAGCCACTAGCTCTGCAGTGGTGACTCAGCTGAAAACGGATCCCCTGACATAACCTTTGCGGAGAGTGGAGAGGGCTGGTGTTCCAGGTGAGGGGCAGGGGACATTTTCCTCCACGGGAAAGGACAATCTACTCTATTCCACTTGGACAGACATCTGAGTAGCCATTTATTAAAGCAACTGCTCTAAGGCAGTCCTGTTTCTTCAATGGGTTCTTTTTTTTTTTTTTTTTTTTTAGAGATAGTCACACTCCATCGCCCAGGCTGGAGTGCAGTGGCTCCATCTCGGCTCACTGCAACCTCCGTCTCCCAGGTTCAAGTGATTCTCCTGCCTCAGCCTCCCAAGTAGCTGGGATTACAGGAACATACTACCAAGCCCAGTTAATTTTTGTATTTTTAGTAGAGACGGGGTTTCGCCATGTTGGCCAGGCTGGTCTCGAACTCCTGGCCTCAAGTGAACTTCCCGCCTTGGCCTCCCAAAGTGCTGGGGTTACAGGCGTGAGCCATCACTCCTGGCCCTTCACTGGGTTGATTTTATCCCCTGAGGACCTAAGTTGAGAGCCCTGCAAAGGTAGACCTTCTGTTCCTGAGACTGACAGGTGCAGACCCATGTGACATTTTGAACGAGCCTCTGCCTCCCACCCAC
This sequence comes from Homo sapiens, assembly GCF_000001405.40. Classification (NCBI taxonomy): domain Eukaryota; kingdom Metazoa; phylum Chordata; class Mammalia; order Primates; family Hominidae; genus Homo; species Homo sapiens. The sequence continues at coordinate 16,996,408 of NC_000019.10, read as the reverse complement.
CACTCAAGTCTTATGCACGGTAAATTTTGAGGTGTCCAGATGTCATGATCCTTATATATGTTTTCTTCTTAGAGACAGGGTTTTGTTCTGTCGCCCAGGCTGGAGTGCAGTGGTGAGATCATAGCTCACCACAGCCTCGACATCCTGGATTCAAGCAATCCGCCTGCCTCAGCATCCTGGGTAGCTGGGACTGCAGGCATGAGCCACCACGCCCAGCAAATTTTTTTATTTTTAAATTTTTATTTATTTATTTATTTTGAGACAAGAGTCTCGCTCTGTCGCCCAGGCTGGAGTGCAGTGGCATGATCTCGACTAATTGCAACCTCTGCCTCCTGGGTTCAAGTGATTCTCCTGCCTCAGCCTCCAGAGTAGCTGGGATTACAGGCATGCCCCACCATACCCCACTAATTTTTGTATTTTTAGTAGAGACGGGGTTTCACCACATTGGCCAGGCTGGTCTTGAACACCTGACCTCAGGTGATCCACCTGCCTCAGCCTCCCAGAGTGCTGAGATTGCAAACAGGAGCCACCGCACCTAGTCAATTTTTTAATTTTTTGTAGAGATGGGATCTTGCTGTGTTGGCCAGACTGGTCTTGAACTCCTGGGCTCAAGCAGATCTCCTACCTCAGACCCCCAAAGTGCTGGGATTGCAGATGTGAGCCACTACACCCAGTCATTATTCTTATTTTAACTGTTAAACTGGGGTAGGCTGGGCACGGTGGCTCATGACTATAATCCCAGCACTTTGGGAGGCCCAGGTGGGCGGATGACCTGAGGTCAGGACTTCAAGACCAACCTGGCCAACATGGTGAAATACTGTCTCTACTGAAAATACAAAAATTAGCCAGACATGATGGTGGACACCTGTAATGCCAGTGACTCAGGAGGCTGAGGCACGATAATTGCTTGAACCTGGAGGCGGAGGTTGCAGTGAGCCAAGATCACACCACTGCACTCCAGCCTGGGAGACAGAGTGAGACTTCGTCTCAAATAAAAAAACAAAAAACAAAAAACAAAAACAAACCTGGGGCATCTTCACCCCAATTGCAGCAGCAGGAGTGGGGCAAGGCCAACAGAGCCCAGTGTCATGCAAGGGGAAAGTGGGCCACATCCCTGGCCCTGCATCTGTCTGCACCCAGTTCCCTTTTGCCGTCCATGAGTGATGCTGGCTGGCTGTCCTAACACTGAGTTCTGACCCTCTTGTTCTGCTTTGGAACCTCCTTTCTCTTCTCCATGCCAGTGTTGGAGCCACCTCTATCCCATGCACAGACACATCTCCTGTGTCCCTGGCTTTGAGGGCCCCAGCTTGAGTAGAAACTAAAGTACCTCGTGCGGGGTCAGAATGTGTATGAAGAAGAGGTTTAAGGCTACAAATTTGGTAAAGAGCGTTTCACATATGACAGAAAATACCTACCATCTGCATTCAAGAAAGGAGTGGTTAGGCTGGGCATGGTGGCTCATGCCTGTAGTCCCAGTGCTTTGGGAGGCCGAGGCAAGAGGACCACTTGAGGCCAAGGCAAGAGGACCACTTGAGGCCAAAAGTGTGAGACCAGCCTGGGCAACATAGTGAGATCCAGTCTCTACAAAAAATAAAAAGAAATAGGCCAGACGTTTGTGGCTCACACTTTGGGAGACCAAGGTGGGAGGATTGCTTGAGACTGGGAGTTTGAGACCAGCCTGGGCAATAGAGCAAGACCCCAGCTCTACAGATTTTTTTTTAAAATTAGCCAGGCATGGTATTGTACACCTGTGGTCCCAGCTATCAGGAGGATGAGGCAGGAGGATTGCGAGCCCAGGAGGTAGAGGCAGCAGTGAGCTATGATCGGGCCACTTCACTCCAGCCTGGGCAACAGAGCAAGACTCTGTCTCTCAAAAAAAAAAAAAAAAAAAAAGGGAGTGGTTAATGAAGATCATGTGGGCTGAATCCTGGTTCACTCCGTCACCAGATACCTGCACAGCTGAGGGCTGTTTTAGGGTTCTTCAGAGGCTACAATCTGTGCTCCTTTTAAAACATCTATGTCTGCCTCATTCTAGCTGGCTCTCCAACCAGTCTGAATGGGTGAGGTTTAAGTGTCACACTGAACTGTCCATACCCTGGTATGGCATCAGACTAATGACTAGCACATGTAATTTGTACTTCATGACCTCTTTGCCAAATCCAAGGGCATGAAGGTCTACCCTTATGTTTCTTCTAAGAATGTTATAGCTTTAGCTGTTACATTTAGGTCTGTGATCCATTTGAGTTTATTTTTGTATATGGTGTGAGGTAGGGATGCAACTTCATTTAAAACTTTTTTTCTCTTAAGAGACAGGGTCTCATTCAGTCACTCAGGCTGGAGTGCAGTGGCACCATCATAGCTCTCTGCAGCCTTGAAGTCCCAGACTCAAGTGATCCTCCCACCTCAGCCTCCTGAATAGTTGGGGCTATAGGTGCATGCCACCACACCTGAAATTTTAAAGTTTTTTGTAGTGAGGTCTCACTATGTTACCCAGGCTGGTCTGGAACTCCTGGCCTCACATGGGATTATAGGTGTGAGCCACTGCATCCGGCTTCCATGTCTGCCTTGGAAGCCTCTTGAGTAGCTGGGACCACAGGCACACGCCACCACTCCTGGACCTGTGAGTCCTTCTTTTTTGTTCCCTTTAAGGATTGTTTTTGCGATTTGGAACTCGTTGCGATGCCCTGTGAATTTCAGGAGCAGTTTGTCAATTTCTACAAAGAAGCCTGCTGGGATTCCAGTGGGGATTGCGTTGATTCTGCAGATCAGTTTGGGGAGCATGGCCGTCTTAACTCTGTTGTGTCTTGGGTGACCTTTTCTAGGTGGAGCTATCCTACCCCGATGGCAGCCCAGCTGAGGGGGTGACGGTCCAGATTAAGGCAGAGCTGACACCAAAGGATAACATCTACACCAGTGAAGTTGTGTCCCAGCGTGGACTAGTGGGGTTTGAAATCCCCTCCATCCCCACGTCAGCCCAGCACGTGTGGCTGGAGGTGGGTGAGTCCCGTGGACCCTTGTTATTCAGCCAGCAGGTATGGACTTGGGGCCTCCCCCAGGCTGGGTGCAGGCACCTGATCAGTGGGCCTGGAGCCCGTCCCAGCCCTGCAGGAGTACACATTCCACTAGACAGTGGGATGGACAACACAGCCATCCTGGGATCAGGTGGAAGGTCAAAGAGAGATAAGGGTGCCTGGACCAGTTATGCCAAAGGAGTCTTGTCCAAGGAGATCTCTCCAAATGGACTCCTGACCATGGGGAAGTCAGCCAGGCTGCTTCTGGGCGGGTGGAACAGCCTGGGTGCAGGTTCAGAGGCAGACCGTGATTATACTGTAATCAGAGTCTCACAAGTGCTCAACTACATTGAGCCATTTTGGAAAGAGATTGGGGAGAGAGCCAATGGTGGTTTCCGCCACCTCACGGGTGCTCAGTGGAAGGCAGTGTCAGGCGAAAGAGTGATCTGATTTTTTTTTTTTTTTAAGAGACAGGGTCTCGCTCTGTTGCCCAGGCTGCAGTGCAGTGGCATCATCATAGCTCACTGCAGCCTCTAACTGCTGGGCTAAAGGGATCCTCCTGAGTCAGCCTCCCAAGTACCTGAGATTACACGTGCATGCCCGTAATTAGCACCTCACCCAGCTAATTTTTAAATTTTTCTGTAGAGGCTGGGCACAGTGGCTCATGCTTGTAATCCCAGCACGTTGGGAGGCCAAGGCAGATGGATCACCTGAGGTCAGGAGTTTGAGACCAGCCTGGCCAACATGGCAAAACCCCATCTCTACTAAAAATACAAAAATTAGCCAGGTGTTGTGGCAGGTGCCTGTAATCTCAGCCACTCTGGAGACTGAGGCAGGAGAATTGCTTGAACCCGGGAGGTGGAAGTCGCAGCGAGCCAAGATTGCGCCACTGCACCCCAGCCTAGGCAACAGAGTGAGACTCCATCTCAAAAACAAACAAACAAGCAAATAAATAAATAATAAATTTTTCTGTAGAGATGGGGTCTTGCTATGTTGCCCAGGCTGGTCTCAAACTCCTGGACTCAAGCCATCCTTCCACCTCAGCCTCCCAAAGCATAGGGATTATAGGCCATGAGCTGCCATGTCTGGCCTGATCTGATTTTCGATACCCAGTGATCACTCCAGAGTCTTTAGTTGGGGGTGGTTCAGGGCGGGCCCAGGCAGGCAGACAGGAGGTGAGGACAGAGAGGTCTCCAAACTGGAGCTCTTGAGGAAGTAGATCCAGAAGGCCTTAGTGTCCCATCATCAGGGGAGGCAAGAACAGGAGGGACTGGAGAGGATGTCCCAGCCCTTGGCTTTGGGAACTGGCAGTGGACCTGGCGGCCCTGCAGAGAGTAAATACGTAGATGGGAACTGAGGACACTGTGGTCACTTTGTCCTCTGTGGGCACCATGTCCTAAAGGTTTTAACCACTGAAGCCACTGCCTTGCCACTTGACATTCACAGCCAGATGGGTTCACGCTTTCTTGTGTTGGACCTGCTGCTCAACACACAGCACAGCTGTTTGGTCACCTGGGCCACTGTTCTGTTGTTTTTTTTTTTTGATACAGAGTCTTGCTCTGTCGCCCAAGCTGGAGTGCAGTGGTGCAATCTTGGCTCACTGCAACCTCGGCCTCCCAGGTTCAAGCGATTATCCTGCCTCAGCCTCCCGAGTAGCTGGGATTACAGGCGCCCCCCACCACGCCCAGCTAATTTTTGTATTTCTAGTAGAGATGGGGTTTCACTATATTGGTCAAGCTGGTCTTGAACTCCTGACCTCAGGCAATCCACCTGCCTCGGCCTCCCAAAGTGCCAGGATTACAGGTGTGAGCCACCGTACCCGGCCCACTGTCCTGTTTTAAGAGAGTGACCACAGCCTGGCATCTCTCAGACTCCTTGAGGAACCAGAGATCTGCCCTGCCCATCCCCTACCAGGTGGGAGATTGCAGTAACTTCTGACACCAGCTACCTGGAGCTGGGCCACACTTCACAGGTGGTAGGCACAGCCCTCTCCACAAGACTACCCTAAATTCTGACACCAGCTGCAAGTCCAGGGGTCCCCGGGCCACCTGTGCTTCCCACCTACTGGCTGCAAATTCCACTACCCTACCACCTTTTAATTACAGCTTTACCATAGCAAAATGACATAAATTAGAACCAACCAAAGAGAGAGATGCATAGGGTGAGGTCTGGGCAATTCCCAGATTGGAAGCTTTGTGTGTTCTCTGCACAGAACCAGGATATGTAATCCCCACAAGCTGAGCATTGCTAAGCAGGAAAGCTCACCTGAGCTTTGGTGTCCAAAGTTTTTTGTGGGGGCCTCATTTCGTCTGCATGATTGATTAAATCATTGGCCATGGGACTAATCTCAATCTCCTGCCCTCTCCCTTCCCTGGAGATGGGCTGATAACCTGTGGCTCAAAGCCCAGCCATCTAATCACACAACTGGCCTTTCTGGTGTGGCCCGTTTATACCCTATTTAGAGTCTACCTACTTCCCAGGAGCCAGAGACAGAGGCAGGCCAACTTTTTTTTTTTTTTTTTTTTTTTTTTTTTGAGACAGAGTTTTGCTCTTATTGCCCAGGCTGGAATGCAATGGCGTGATTCCAGCTCACTGCAACCTCTGCCTCCCAGGTTCAAGTGATTCCCCTGCCTCAGCCTCCCAAGTAGCTGGGACTACAGTTGCCGGCCACCATGCCCGGCTAATTTTTTGTATTTTAGTAGAGACAGGGTTTCACCATGTTGGCCAGGATGGTCTCGATCTCCTGACCTCGTGATCTGCCCACCTTGGCCTCCCAAAGTGGTGGGATTACAGGCGTGAGCCATCGCGCCTGGCCCAACTTCTTTTTAAAATTATTTCAGAGATACGGTCTAGCTCTGTTGTCCAGGCTGGAGTGCAATGGTGTGATCATAGCTAAATTGCAGCTTTGAACTCCTGGACTCAAGTGATCCTCCTGCTTCAGCCTCCCCTAGTAGCTGAGTCTCCAGGCACAAATTTTTTGTAGAGACTGGATCTTGCTATATTGCCCAGGCTGGTCTTGAACTCCTGGGCCCAAGTGATCCTCACACCTCTGCCTCCCAAAATGCTGAGATTATAGGTATGCACCCACTCTGCCTGACCCCCAATACCCTTTGACCAATCTTGGATGCTTGCTTCTTTTTTTTTTGAGTCAGAGTCTTGCTCTGTTGCCAGCCTGGAGTGCAGTGGTATGATCTCAGCTCACTGCAGCCTCTGCCTCCTGGGTTCAAGCAATTCTTGTGCCTCAGCCTCCTGAGTAGCTGGGATTACAGGCATGCGCCACTACTCCTGGCTAATTTTTGTATTTTTTCAGTAGAGACGGGGTTTCTCCATGTTGGCCAGGCTGGTCTCGAACTCCTGGCCTCAGGTGATCCACCTGCCTCGGCCTCCCGAAGTGCTGTGATTACAGGTGTGAGTCACTGTGCCCAGCTGGACACTTGCTTCTTGATGCTAGGAAGAATGGGCTGGACAACTGGCTATTACTCCCTGAGGATTGGGGAGGGGGTTCCCCAAAGGGATATTGGAGCATGAGAGGGTGTTTCTTCTGGGCAGAGCAAGCAGAAGCATCCCCAAGACCCCCTTTCTGCTCTTGGCACTCGGGTGTTGATCTAAGCATCTTCTCTTCTCAGACCAAGGTGATGGCACTGAACGGGAAGCCTGTGGGGGCTCAGTACCTGCCCAGCTACCTCTCCCTCGGCAGCTGGTACTCCCCCAGCCAGTGCTACCTGCAGCTGCAGCCACCCTCCCACCCACTGCAGGTAAGATTTTCAGGAGCTACCCTTCCTGGGCCATGCGGGATCCAAAAAGCAGCATGAGCCAGGTGCTGTGGCTCATGCCTGTAATCCCAGCATTTTGGGAGGCCGAGGCAGGCGGATCACTGGAGGTTAGGATTTCGAGACCAGCCTGGCCAGCATGGTGAAACCCCATCTCTACTAAAAATACAAAAATTAGCTGAGTGTGGTGGTGCGTGCCTGTAATCCCAGCTACTCGGGAGGCTGAGGCAGGAGAATTGCTTGAACCCGGGAGGCAGAGGTTGCAGTGAGCTGAGATCACACCACTGCACTCCAGCCTGGGCGACAAAGCCAGACTCCTCAAAAAAGACACAGCATGAGTGAGCCCCTAAGGCAGCAGTAGCCAGCCTTTTTGGCACCAAGGATTGGTTTTGTGGAAGACAATTTTTCCACAGACGGGGGCACGGGCACGGGGGATGGTTTCAGGATGATTCAAGGACATTATGTTTATTTTGCACTTCATTTCTATTATTATGACATTGCAATATATAATGAAACAATGATACAACTCACCATCATGTAGAATCAGTGGGAGCCCTGAGCTTGTTTTCCTGCAACTAGACAGTCCCGTCTGGGGGTGGTGGGAGACAGTGACAGATCATCAGGCATGAGATTCTCATTAGGGGCATGCAACCTAGATCCCGTGCAAGCACAGTTCACAATAGGGTTCACACTCCTGAGAGAATCTAATGCTGCCACTGCTGATGTGACAGGAGGTGGAGCTCACATGGTAATATGAGTGATGCGAGCGGCTGTAAATACAGATGAAGTTTTGATTGTCAGCCTACTACTCACCTCCTGCTGTGTGACCTGGTTCCTAACAGGCCATGAATCAGTACTGGTCCATGGCCCTGGGGGTTGGGGACCCCTGCTCTAAGGGACCTAATACTACAGCTGACACAGGGATCCCTTATCTCCCCAGCAAGGGGAGAATTCTGCAGAATGCATGCATGCATTACTATTTGTTTCTTTTCTTTCTTTTTTTTTTTGTTTTGTTTTTGAGGTGGAGTCTCACTCTGTCAGCCAGGCTGGAGTGCAGTGGCACGATCTCAGCTCACTGCAACTTCCGTCTCCAGGGTTCAAGTGATTCTCCTGCCTCAGCCTCTGGAGTAGCTGGGATTACAGGTGCCCACCACAATGCCTGGCTAATCTTTGTATTCTAGTAGAGACGGGGTTTCACCATGTTGGCCAGGCTGGTCTTGAACTTCTGACCTCAAGTGATCTGCCCACCTTGGCCTCCCAAAATGCTGGGATTACAGGCGTGAGCCACCACGCCCGGCTCGTTGCTATTTATTTGTTATGGACATTTAGGCTGTGGCCCAGGGCTGACAATGATGATCACCACTCTGCCCCAGGGCACCACTGCACCCAGACCTGACATAGAGCTGCTGCTATGGGGCCAGATTCCCCACTGCCTTGAGCCTTCCCTTAGTGCAGAGGCCCTGGGAGTTTCTCCACACAGACACTCTGAGTGCAAAGACAAGGTAAATTTAGAGCCGTGTCTGCCATTCATTTTTCCTGGGTCTATTATTTTGCAATTCTGATTACATAAGGTGTGTGTGTGTATTTTTCTTTTAATTAATAGACTTAATTTTTTAAGAGCAGTTGTAACTTTATAAAAACCTTGAACAAAAAGTAGAGTTCCCGACCGGGCGTGGTGGCTCACACCTGTAACCTTGGCACTTTGGGAGGCTGAGGCGGGAGGATTGCTTGAGCCCAGGAGTTTGAGACCAGCCTGGGCAACATGGTGAAATCACATCTCTATCAAAACAAAAACAAAAACAAAAAAACCCCAGCCGGATGTGGTGGTGCATGCCTGTAGTCCCAATTACTCAAGAGGCTGAGGCAGGAGGATCACTTGAGCCCGGGAGATTGGGACCGCAGTGAAACATGATCGTGCCACTGTACTCCAGCCTGGGTGACAGAGCGAGACCCTGTCTCAAAACTAAACTTAACTAAACTTTATCTATAGCTTACTATTGGCCAGAGTCAATCAACACAGATTTTGTACTTTCTATGCATGATATACTGTATTCTTACAATAATGTAAGCTACAGGAAGGAAAATATTATTAAGAAAATCATAAGATTTTCTTACGCTGGCAGGCGCAGGTAAAAAAAATCATAAAGAAGAGAAAATATCTTGACTGTTCGTGAAGTGGGAATGGATCATTGTAAAGGTCTTCTTCCTTGTCATCTTCACGTTCAGTAGGCTGAGGAGGAGGAGGAAGAGGAGAGGGGGTCCTGCTGTCTTGCTTGGGCAGAGGTGGAAGAAAATCCACACATCAGTGTTGTGGGCAGTTCAAACCTGTATTTCTCAAGGGTCAACTGTATATATGTGCATATATATGGATATGCTGTGTACATGTGTGTTCATAGACATCTAGATACCCACATATACATATATATATATATATATATATATATATATTTTTTTTTTTTTTTTTTTTTTTTTTTTGACAGAGTCTCTGTCTCCCAGGCTGGAGTGCAGTGGCACAATCTCGGCTCACTGCAACCTCCATCTCCTGGGTTCAAGCACTTCTCCTGCCTCAGCCTCCCGAGTAGCTGGGATTACAGGCACCTGCCACCATGCCTGGCTAATTATTTTTGTATTTTTAGTAGAGACAGGGTTTCACCATGTTGACCAGGGTGGTCTCGAACTCCTGGCCTCAGGTGATCCACCCTCTTCGGCCTCCCAAAGTGTTGGGATTACAGGCGTGAGCCACCGCGCCTGGCCATACACATCTATATTTAAGATACATCACCCCTCTGTTAACTTTGTGGACTGGTGGCAGGCTCACTGGCTGGGCTGTTTGCATCCTGGCCGCAATCCCAGCAGAGCCTCTGGCTCAAGCTATAGCCCCAGCCTTGGCAGAAATGTCACCCCTAATGGAAACCAGTTGCCATCACAGCGCCCAGGGCCCTACCAGCCCATAAACCTCTCACACTCCTTTTCTGATCATATCGAGGCCCCTGGGGTTCAGCTTGGAGGAATCGTGGCGCCAAGGCTGCCTGTTTCCTGGGATTAACAGCCCTTTGCAGAGGTTGTAAGAATGAGAAGTCAGACAGGATCATGCCCAGCTTGGCTGAACACACTGTTCTTCTTGTAATTCCATTAAACCAGTGGTGCAGGGTGGGGACGCTGGTGCTGGCCTCCTCCTCAGGGGACAGGAAGGAACCTTGTGTTCTCAGCTGGCCAGACTGTTGTTCTGATTAGGGGGAGACCTGGCTCTGTCACTCAGATTTTGCTCCCCGGGTGAATCTCAATCCTGTTTGAGGTGGCTCAGAAACCCCAGCGCGTCCTACCCACCAAACTGCCATGAGGGGCCCGGGCACAACCTCAGGGCATGGAGGGAAGATGGGTTCATGCTGGGGCCAGGCTGGGCATGGTGCAGGGACCTCTTCCTCTTCTTCTAGCGCCAGGGCCCCGGCAGGGGGGAACTGGGGGGCTCCACTCCCCACATCTTGGCACCCATCCTTCTGAACCTGTTTTGCTTGGTGAATGGGGGCGCTCACTCCAATCTTTTAAGGTTGTTTTGATGCCATAAATTTAGTAAAGAAGAGGAGAAAGGTTTGTGCTCTCCTTTTCCCCCCAAGATCTCAAGCAGAAGGGGACTTCTGTTTGGGTGTCTTTTTATAAGGGGGACATTAATAAATTTAGAGTGAAATTGAAAAATGTTAATATAATAAACAACCATGAGACTTTCACCTAGATTTATAAATTAATGCTTTGCCTATATCCTTTCATTCATCCCTCCATCCACCCTCCATCTCTCTCTCCATCCCTCCATCTGTCCCTCTCTTCATCCCTCCATCCATCTATCCTCTCTCCCTCCATTCATTCACCCTTCCTCCCTCCCTCCACCCATCCATCCACCTACTACCCTTTATCCACTCATCTTCCCTCCATCCATCCACCCTTCATCCATCCATCCATCCTCCATCTATCTATTCATCCATCCATCCACCCTCCCTCTGCGCCTCCCTTCATCCATCCATCATCCATCCATCCATTTACTCTCCCTCCCTCCTTTCTTCCTTCCCTTCCTTCCTTTCTCCACCCATCTATCCACCCACTACCCCTATCCATTTATCATCCATCCATCCATCCTTCCGTCTGCCCTTCATCCACCCTTCATCCATCCATCCATCCATCCATCTACCCTCTCTCCCTCCTTCTTTTCCTCCTTTCTTTCTTTCCTCCACCCATCCATCCACCCACTACACTTACCTATTTATCTACCCTCCATCCATCCATCCATCCATCCGCCCTTCATCCATTCATCCACCCTTCATCCATCCATCCATACATGCACCCTTCATCCATCCATTCATCCACTCTCCCTTCATCCATTCTCCCTCTATCCCTCCCTTCATCCATCCATCCATCTGCCAATTCACGCATCCATCTATTTCTCTACACATTTTTTGGCTGCAGCATTTGAAAGCAAGTTACAAACATGATAGTGCTTCACTCTTAAATACTTGACCATAATGTATACTTAAAAAAAGGCATTATTTTACCTGACCTCAAGGCCATTTTCTTAGGTCACACCTAAGAAAATTACATTCACCAAATTATATTGTCTAATTCATAGGCAATATTCAGATTTTCAATGGGTACCCTAAAAATGTAATTTACATTTAGTGTTTGTTTGCATGCATATGTGACTGCATGATTGTATCACACATGTGTGACTACACATGAGTGTGCATGTGCATTTGTGTGAGTGTGTGTGCATGCTCACCCATGTGTATGTACTTGGTTTTTAGGGGTTTCACTATGTTGCCCAGGCTGGTCTTGAACTCCTGGCCTCAAGTGATCCTCTCTGCCTCAGCCTCCCAAGGTGTTGAGATGACAGATGTAACCACCACACCCAGCCCCACTACTGTTAATAATTGGGTTGTTTATCTTTGTTGAGTCGTGAAAGTTCTTTCTAAATTCTGGATACTAGCCCTCATCAGATGTGTAATTTGCAGACATTTTCTCCTATACTATGGGTTATCTTTTCACTTTCCTGACAGTGTCCATTAGTGCAACAAAAAATTTTAATTTTGATGAAATCCAATTTCTCTTTTTCTTTTGCTGCTTGTACTTCCGATGCCACATCTCAAAGAAACCATTGCCAAATCTAAGGTCATGATTTATCTCTGTGTTTTCTTTTAAGAGTTTTATAGTTTCAGCTCTTACATTTAGGTCTTTCATCTGTTTTGAGTTAATTTTTTTATATGGTGTGAGGTAGGGATCCAAATTCATTCTCTCTCTCTCTCTCTCTCTCTTTTTTTTTTTTTTTTTTGAGATAGGACCTTGCTCTGTCACCCAGGCTGAGGTGCAGTAGTGTGATCATAGCTCACTGCAGCTCAACCTCCTGGGCTCAAGTGATCCTCCCACCTCAGCTTCCTAAAGTGTTGAGATTGCAGGTGTGAGCCACCACCCACAGACCAACTTCACTCTTTTGCATGTACCTATTCAGTTGTCTCAGCACTGTTTGTTAAAAAGACTATGCTTTCCCCATTGAATGGTCTTGGCACCCTTATTTCAAATCAGTTGCCCTTAGCTGTCTGGATTCATTTCAGGGCTCTCACTTCTATCCCACTGGTTTCTATGTCTCTCCTTATGCTGGTACTACACTGTCTTGATTACTGTAGCTTTGTAGTAAGTTTTGAAATTAGGAAGTGTGAGTCCTCCAATGTTATTCTTCTTTTTCAAGATTCCTGAGTCCTTTGTGTTTTCATATAAATTTTAAGATCAGTTCCATTTCTGCAAAAAAGGCCATTGAGATTTTGATAGGCTTCCCCTAATGCTAACATCTTACAAGACTATGATCCATTTGTCATAACTAAGAATCAACACTGGACATCAGTGTTAACCAGACTCCAGATTTTATTTGGATTTCCCCAAGTTATCCCACTCATGGCCTTGTTTTCTGGTCCGGGATCACCTTTAGGGTCCCACGTCACATTTAGTCATCACGTCTCCTTGGTCTCCTCCAATCTGAAAATTTTATTCTTTCCTTGTCTTTCACGACCTTGACATTCTTCTTTTTCCTTTCTTTGTTTTTAATTAATTTATTTTTGAGACAGGGTCTTGCTCTGTCACTCAGTATATTAGTCCGTTTTCATGCTGCTGATAAAGACATACCCACGACTGGGTAATTTATAAAGAAAAATAGGTTTATTGTTATTTATTTATTTATTTATTTATTTATTTTGAGATGGAGTCTCACTCTGTCACCCAGGCTGGAGTGCAATGGCACAATCTCAGCTCACTGGAACCTCTGCCTCTCAGGTTCAAGCAATTTTGCTGCCTCAGCCTCCTGGGCTGGGATTACAAGCACCTGCCACCGTGCCTTGCTAATTTTTGTATTTTTGTAGAGATGGGCTTTCCCCATGTTGGGGAGGCTGGTGTTGAACTCCTGACCTTAGGTGATCCGCTTGCCTTGGCCTCCCAAAGTACTGGGATTACAGACGTGAGCCACCATGCCCAGCCAGAAAAAGAGGTTTAATGGATTCACAGTTCCACGTGGCTGGGGAGGCCTTACAATCATGGCAGAAGGTGAAAGGTACATCTTACATGGTGGCAGACAAGAGAGAATGGGAACCAAGTGAAAAGGAAAACCCCTTATAAAATTATCAGATCTCACGAGACTCATTCTCTACCATGAGAACTGTATTGGGGAAACTGTCCCCATGATTCAGTTATCTCCCACTGGGTCCCTCCCAGAACACATGGGAATTATGGGAGCTACAATTCAAGATGAGATTTGAGTGGGGACACAGCCAAACCATAGCACCCGAGGCTGGAGGGTGGTGGCACAGTCATGGCTTACTGCAGCCTTGACCTCCTGTGCTCAAGTGATCCTCCTGCCTCAGCCCCCCTAGATAGCTGGGACTATGGGCTTGTGCCACCACACCCAGCTATTTTTTTTATTATTTTTTGTGGAGATGGAGTTTTGCCATGTTGTTCAGGCTGGTCTTGAACTCCTGAACTCAAGCAATCTGCCTGCCTCAGCCTCCCAAAGTGTTAGGATTATAGGCATGAGCCACCACACTCAGCTGACATTCTTCTTTTTGCTGCTCAAATTTTCCAAATTTGGCTGTGGGAGTCCCTTAGGCCCAGCTTCTTAAACAGGCAGATTCTTCCTTTAGGGGGAGGTAGAATGACATTTATTTTTCTTACTATATATTTTTTTAATTAAAAAATATTGATTGATTGATTGAGACAGGGTCTCACTCTGTTGCCCAGGCTAGGGTGCAGTGGCATGATCATGACTCACCGCACATCGACCTCCCTGGCTCAAGTGATCCTTCCGCCTTAGCTTCCCGAGTAGCTGAGACCACAGGCACCCACCACCACATCCACCTAATTTTTGTATTTTTGTAGAGATGGGGTTTCACCATGTTGCTGTGGCGGGTCTTGAACTCCTAGACTCAAGCAATCCTCTCGCCTCGGCCTCTCAATGTGCTGAGATTACAAAGCATGAGCCACTGCGCCTGGCCAAAGTTTTTTGATTTTTTGTAGAGACGGGATCTCACTTTGTTGCCCAGGCTGGTCTCAAGCTTCTGGGCTCAAGTGATCCACCCACCTCAGCCTAACAAAATACTGGGATTACAGGTGTGAGCCATGGCCCCTGGCCAGAATGACACTTATTAGCCACCTACAGTGTGCATTGTGTGATGTTGAGCATGACACACACATCATCTCATTGGAGCCTCAGGACCCTCTGTCCAGGAGATAACAGCCTTATTTTACAGGTGGGGAAACTGAGGCTCAGAGAGGTGAAATGATTTGCCCAAGCTTCCACGGCAAGAATGTCACTCTTCCCCTACTCCAGATATCCCTCTTCTGGGCTTTCAGGGTGATCCCAACATTTGGGGACAGTCACAGATTGCAAAACATGGAACAGAGGCGGGATTCCTAGGGCAAAGTGTTGGACATGGCCACACGCCAACCCCCTAGGGAGATCTTAGGACCTGGGAGGCCTTAGCTTTCCTGATATCAGAATAATGGCAGCTTCAGGGTTCAATGTGGGGCCTTAGCATCAGTTCCCCTGAGTTTGAATCCTGCCCTACACTCATTGACATTGGGCAAAGAACCAAGGCCTCAGTTTCCAGTTTTCCCCTCTAGGAACTTGGGGACTATGATAGGACCCAACTCATTGAGTTCATATCCTAAGAGAAGGCCCAGCCCACTTGTGGCATTAGCACGTTCAAAGTTAGGAAACAGTATTTTATTTTTATTTTTTTTTGGAGACAGGGTCTCACTCTGTTACCCAGGCTGGAGTGCAGTGGTGCGATCATGGCTCACTGCAGCCTTGACTTCCTAGGCTCAAGTGACCCTCCCACTTCAGCCCCCTGAGTAGCGGGGACTACAGGCATGTGCCACCACGCCTGGCCAATTTTATGTGTGTGTGCTTTTTGTAGAGATGGGGGTCTCACTATGTTGCTCAGGCTGCTCTCTAACTTCTGGACTTGAGCGATCTGTCCGCTTCAGCCCCCCAAAGTGCTGGGATTACAGGCGTGAGCCCAAAATACTGGGATCACGAGGTCAGGAGTTCGAGACCAGCCTGGCCAACATGGTGAAACTCCGTTTCTACTAAAAATACAAAAATTATACCGGCATGGTGGCGGGCGCCTGTAATAGCTACCCAGGAGGCTGAGGCAGGAGAATCACTTGAACCCAGGAGGCAGAGGTTGCAGCGAGCTGAGATCTCACCATCGCATGCCAGCCTGGGTGACAAGAGTGAAACACTATCTTAAAAAAGAAAACAAAAAACAAAAAAGCTAGGGGCCAGGACTGGATGCTGGGCACTCCGCTCCCTCAGCCATCCCAACCTCCCTCTGGCCCCAGAATGGCCGTCTTCCTGTGGTGGGTTGCAACATTGGTGCGAGGCAGAGCCCCCCATGCTGCGTGTCTTCCATAGGTTGGGGAAGAAGCCTATTTTTCTGTGAAGTCCACATGTCCCTGCAACTTTACCCTGTACTACGAGGTGGCTGCACGGGGCAATATTGTGCTATCGGGCCAGCAGCCTGCCCACACCACCCAGCAGCGAAGCAAGCGGGCGGCCCCTGCCCTGGAGAAACCGATTCGTTTAACACACCTTTCTGAGACAGGTGAGCCGGGCAGCAGGGAGAAGGTTCCTGTTCTTCCTTCTGAACAATTGAGACTGAGATGGGTGCTCCTGCAAGGAGGGACAAGGCAAGACCCAGCAGAGAGGGGAGCATGCCTTGGGTCAGAGGGGACACATCCTTAACAATACCAGACTGGGTCCAGGAAGACAGTGATCAGCTGCTGGAAGTGGAGAGGTTCAGGCCCCAGACTCTTCTCACTCTGTGTGTGCAGGGGACAGGGAAAGCCAGCCACAGACTAGGCTCTTGCACTGGCCCACATTGTGCTGTTGCCTCTTTGCCCAGGCGGTTCTGCCTATGAGTCCTCTTCCTCTTCTCTTTTTGACACCATGTGCTCCTCATAAGGCCCTCCTCCCAGGGGACTTCCTTAGTCCCCTCCTCTTCAAAGCTCTTCTTCTCAATACAGGGTCCCCAACTTGAGCACTATAGACATATATAAGGGGGTGGATCACTCCAGAGTGGGGGCGTCCTGTGCACTGTAGGGTGCTGAGCAGCATCCCTGGTCTCTCCCCACCAGATGCCAGTAGTACCAACTTTCCACAGTATGATGACCTAAAGAGTCTCCAGATATTGCCACTATCCCCAGGGGGCAGAGTCACTTCCAGGTGAGGACACTGAGATAGGTAGGTAGATAGACAGAATGATGGGTGGATAGATAGATAGGCAGGATCTCTCAGGCGAAGGCAAGGTTTCTCAACCTTGGCACTATCAACATTTGGGCAAGATCATTCTCTGTGGTGGAGGCACTGTAGGATATTGAGCAGCATCCCTGGCCTCCACCCCATAGATGCCAATAGCCCTATAGATGATAGAGGGATGGATCAATGGATGGATGGACAGATAGAAAGATGGATGAATGGATGGATGGATGGATGGACTGATAGAACAGTGGATAGATGGAAGGATGGATGGATGGATGGATAGGTGGATAGATGGATGAATGGACAGAGAGATGGATGGATGGATGGATGGACCAAAAGATGGATGGACAGAAGGATGGATGGATGGATGAATGGACAGATGGATGGGTGGATTGATAGATGGATGGATGGATGGATGGACCAAAAGATGGATGGATGGATGGATGGATGGATGAATGGACAGATGGATGGATGGACAGATGGATGGATGAATGGACAGATGGATGGCTGGATGAATAGATGGATGGATGAATAGATGGATGGAGGTACAGAAGGATGGATGGATGGATGGCTAATGGGTGGGTGGATGAGGATTAGATGAATAGATGGATGGATGGATGGATAGTGGGTGGGCGGATGATGACTGGATGAATAGATGAATGGATGGATGGATAGTGGGTGGATGGGTGGATGATGGATGGATGAATAGATGGATGGTTGGATGGATAGATGGATGGATAGTGGGTGGATGAATGGGGGATGATGGATGGAAGAATAGATGGATGGATAGTGGGGTGGGTGGATGAGTGGATGATGGATGGATGAACAGATGGATGGATGAACAGATGGATAGATGATTGGATGGTGGATGGGTGGGTGGATGATGGATGGATAAATGGATGGATGGTGGGTGGGTGGATGATGGATGATGAATAGAGGGATGGGTGGATGGTTGGATGGGTGGATGATGGATGGTTGATGAATAGAGGGAAGGGTGGATGGTGGGTGAGTGGATGGATGGGTAGATGGTGGATGGATGAAGAGATGGATGGATGGATAGATAGAAAGATGAGTGGATAGATGGATGGATGGATAGATAGACAGACAGAGAAGATCCCTCCTTCTTAGGCAGGCTTTCTCACCCTCTGCACTGTCAACATTTGGGACCATCCCATGCACTGTAGGATGCTGAATAGCATCTCTGGCTTCTATTCACCGGAAGCCAGTAGCATCCCCTCCAGCAGTGATGACCAAAAAACATCCGCAGATATTGCCAGCATCCCCTGGGTAGCAGAATTGCCTTGGCTGAGAACTGCTGGCCAGAGTCCTGCTTTGGGCATGGTGCACCTTCACCCTCTTGGTCTTCTCTTCTCTTCTGGGTGAAATAACAGGGACTTTATGTCTCCCTGGAATCCTTGTCCAGGGCCAGCCCTGGGCTTGGAACTCCCCACAATCTGTCCCCATTTAACCCCACTGCAGCCTGGGATGGTGGTGGTTCCACTGTGTCCATCTGCAGATGAATGGGCTGTGACTTGGGGGTGGGGGTTTCAGGGACTTTCCCATTGCCTAGTAGGGGCCAGAGCCAAGATTTGAACCCCAAGGCCGATTGGGTACCCACTTCCTCCTGTTGCCCATGAGTTTCCTTGTGTCCCCGCTTTCCCCTACCATCCCTGTCCACTGGCTGCTCTGAGCTCTGCACAGAACCAGCTGACAGATGGCCCATTCTGGAACTGGGAGCCTTTCTACCCTCATTCTCTTGCCGTAGAGTATTTGGGAGTGCCTGGACAGGCTTCTAAGATCCTCTATCCTTTAAGGATCATTTACCCACAGGGAAGGCAGTATGAACTCGGTTCAAGTCAGCAAATAATGGCTGCCCAGGTCTGCTGGCCCCAGGCCCCAGCAAGACAGAGCCAATCAGAGGGAGGGACTGGAGGTCAGGGGCATATTGGGGAGCTGCAGTGGTGCTGCCTGGACAAGCCAAGGTGGTTTTGGTGTCCGCGGAGGAAGCAGAGGGCTGGTCAGGGAGCAGGGACCATGTTCCCCGGCAGAGAGGATGATTCTAGGCAAATTCCAGCCTGCTCTGTAGGAGCCCATGGTGACCCTAGAGCTGAGTCAATAGAAAGAGTCAGCATTGACTGAGGATGTAGCCTGGGAAGGGCATCTCAAAACCAAAGATGCAGACTGTCTCAATGCGTAGACAGGAGCATAGCGCAGGGCAAATTGGGGCAGAGCCTGAATGGCTGAGGTTGCATGTCGGATGCGGAGAATTCACCACCTCTCTCTACTTTTGCTCACCTCAGAGCCCCCACCAGCCCCAGAAGCTGAGGTCGACGTGTGTGTGACCTCTCTTCATCTGGCCGTGACCCCCAGCATGGTCCCCCTTGGTCGCCTGCTGGTCTTCTACGTCAGGGAGAATGGAGAAGGGGTCGCCGACAGCCTTCAGTTTGCAGTCGAGACCTTCTTCGAAAACCAGGTAGAGCATCGTGCACTGAACCTGGGACACAGCCAGGGGCCATCGGGGCTTCTCCAAGGTGCTGGCCAGGGGGTCTGTGCACACCTGAGACTCATGTTGTGTCGCAGCATGATGTAAGGAATTATGGGAACATGAGTTGCATCTTTACTGAAGCATCTCCAAAAGTCACACAAAAGGAGATTGCATTCAAAACACATGGGGAAAGCCATCAATTATTCTCTGCCTTTGTTGAATTCAGGATTTAAGGGACAGCACTTGTTTCCATTGGCACCCTCAGCCTCCTCTCCCCCTCCCTGCAACAACTTTATTATTATTATTATTATTTTGAGACGGAGTCAAGCTCTGTCACCCAGGCTGGAGTGCAGTGGCACGATCTCGGCTCACTGCAACCTCTGCCTCCCGGGTTCAAGCAATTCTCCGGCCTCAGCCTCCCGAGTAGCTGAGACTACAGGCATGTGCCACCATGTCTGGCTAATTTTTGTATTTTTAGTAGAGATGGGGTTTCACCATGTTGGCCAGGCTGGTCTTGAACTCCTGGCCTCAAGTGATCCACATGCTTCAGCCTCCCGAAGTGCTGGGATTACAGGTGTGAGCCACTGCGCCTGGCTCCTCCCTGCAACTTGTAAACAAACTGCCACAGGCTCTCCGCCAGCACCTGCCTTCCCATCTCTGCCTGTCCCTCTGTGTTCCCTTCTTTGTGCCCGCTGCACAATGACCAGCTGCCCTTCACAGTGTGGGACCAGTTTCACCCAGGTAGCGAGGCCAGGTTCCCAGCTGAGCTGGCAAAGACCCACTCTCCTTGGTGGGCAGGGGGTGCATGGGTGGGGCAGAAGAGATGCCTCTGGACTAGACCAAACCTGGATTGAACCAAGTTTCTTTTTTTCATTGTTTGAAATGGAGTTTCATTCTTGTTGCCCTGGCTGGGGTGCAACCACACTCTCTCAGCTCCCTGCAACCTCTGTCTCTGGGCTTCAAGCGATTCTCCTGCCTCAGCCTCCTAAGTAGCTGGGATTACAGGCACCTGCCACCATGCCCAGCTAAATTTTGTATTTTTAGTAGAGATGGGGTTTCACCATGTTGGCCAGGCTGGTCTCGAACTCTTGACCTCAGGTGATCCACCCGCCTCGGCCTCCCAAAGTGTTGGGATTACAGGCGTGAGCCACCACTCACAGCCAACTGAACCAAGTTTCTTATCCCTTGCTGCATTTGCGCCAAGGTTTCAGTGACGTATTCAGCAAATGAGACCCAACCTGGGGAGGTTGTCGACCTGCGGATCAGGGCTGCAAGGGGCAGCTGTGTGTGCGTCGCCGCAGTTGATAAGAGTGTCTACCTGCTCAGGTCTGGGTTCCGGCTGACTCCTGCCCAGGTGAGCAGACCCCTCGGGCTTGGGTTCTAGACCTCCACGGGGCTTTACCTTCTCTTGCTCTCCCTTTCCCATCTCTCATTCCAATAAATGAAGAGTGGCATTTGAATCCAGATTCGCTTTCTCCGTCGGGTTCATTTTTCAGGGAACCTAATGGGTGTCTGATAAATCCTTCCTGCTGCTTCAGCACAGTTGCAAGATCAGGGAGTCAAGGTCATCAGATTTTTGCAACATGACATTGGGCCAGGTCTCACCTCTCTGGCTCCAATTTGCCCATCTTATTTTATATTATTTTTAGAGTTGGGATGTTGCTCTGTTGCCTGGGCTGGAGTGCAGTGGCGTGATCATAGCTCACTGTAGCGAACACCTCCTGGGCTTAAACGATCCTCCCACCTCAGCCTCCAGAGTAGCTGGGGCTACAGGCATGCACCACCACGCCTGGCTAATTTTTTCTATCTTTTGTAGGGGCGGGGTCTTGCTATGTTGCCCAGGCTGGTCTCGAACTCCTTTGCACAAGCCAGCCTCCTGTTTCAGCCTCCCCAGTAACTGGGATTAGAGGCATGGGCCACTGTGCCTGGCTCCTGTTTGCCCATCTTAAAATGGGCTGATGCTACCAGTGCCCATCTCCTGGAGGTTGTCATGACGTGATAAAGAGGTTGGGATGGGAGCATGCCACACCCACGGGAGCCAGTTTGGGTTGTAAAGAAAACTTCAGCTGACAAGTCTCTGTCCCCCTTTGCCTGCAGGTTTTCCAGGAACTGGAAGATTATGATGTTTCTGATTCCTTTGGCGTGTCCAGGGAGGATGGTCCTTTTTGGTGGGCTGGGCTGACGGCACAACGACGCCGGCGCTCCTCTGTCTTCCCGTGGCCTTGGGGCATCACCAAGGACTCTGGGTTTGCCTTCACCGTAAGGAGAGGTGGTCTCAGATCCCTCTGCCCCCTTCTAAGTTCCTCTTGCCTAGAAATAAGAGTCTTGGAGATTCAGAAATGGGTTGGAAACAGAATTGGAAGCTTTTCTTTCTTTTTTTCGAGATGGGGTCTCGCTCTGTGGCCCAGGCTGGAGTGCAGTGGTGTGATCATAGCTCACTGCAGCCTCAAACACCTGTGCTCAAGTGATCCTCCCACCTCAGTCTCCCAAGTAGCTGGCACTACAGGTGCATGCCACCACACCTGGCTAATTTTATTTTGCTTTATTTCTTTGTAGAGATGGGGTCTTGCTACGTGGCCCTGGCTAGTGTCAAACTCCTGGCCTCAAGCAATCCTCCTGCTTCAACTTCCCAAAGTGTTAGGATTACAAGCATGAGCCATTGCACCCAGCCTTCCAAACTTTTCTTTTTCATTTCTCCCCAGTGAAAGCTCACAAGTAGATTCTTCCAATTTGCAAAGCCGTGGAGAGCAGAATGTTATGCATGTCAATGGTCAGGTTCAAATGGGTAACTTGAACTTGTGATGGGACGTGTTATGACATTGACGTGCTTTGCTGCGAGGAAAACCTTCTCATTGGGAGCTGTGGGTGCCAGTAGCTCTTAGCTCTGCCTCGGCTTTGGTTAACTTGGTTGTGTGTCTGGCAGCTTTCAAGCAGAAGGAGGTGGCTGTGATCCCAGGTGGCAGGGGGTCTGAACTGCATAGGTGATCCTCGTGCCCCAGCCTCCCTAGTCGCTGGGATTAGAGGCATGAGCCACTGTGCCCAGCTCCAGTTTACCCATCTTAAAAAGGGCTAAGGGGGCGCCTGTAGTCCCAGCTACTCGGGAGGCTGAGGCAGGAGAATGGCGTGAACCTGGGAGGCGGAGCTTGCAGTGAGCCAAGATTGCGCCACTGCACTCCAGCCTGGGCGACAGAGCGAGACTCCGTCTCAAAAAAAAAAAGGGCTAATGCTGGCTGAGCGCGGTGGCTCATGCCTGTAATCCCAGCACTTTGGGAGGCTGAGGTGGGCGGATCACAAGGTCAAGAGATCGAGACCATCCTGGCCAACACGGTGAAACCCCCTCTCTACTAAAAACACAATAATTAGCTGGGCGTGGTGGTGCATGCCTGTAGTCCCAGCTACTTGGGAGGCTGAGTCAGGAGAATCACTTGAGCCCGGGAGGTGGAGGTTGCAGTGAGCAGAGATCACATCACTTCACTCCAGCCTGGTGACAGAGCCAGACTCCGTCTCAAAAAAAAAAAAAAAAAAAAAGGGCTAATGCTATCAGGTGCCCATCTCTGGACGTTTTCATGATGTGATATAGATAGAAAGGGATTGGGATGGGAGCATGCTTCGCCCTTCAGGGTCACACCTTAGGGTGCTGGTGGTCTCCACTCAAATGCGTGTCCCATTGGAGGGTGCCTTTCATTTCAGCTTTAAAAAATATTTCTGGCCAGGTGTGGTGTCTCACGCCTGTAATCCCAGCACTTTGGGAGGCCAAGACACGTGGATCACCTGAAGTCAGGAGTTCGAGACCAGCCTGGCCAACATGGTGAAACCCCGTCTCTACTAAAAATACAAAAATTATCTGGGTGTGGTGGTGGGCGCCTGTAATCCCAGCTACTCGGGAGGCTAAGGCAGGAGAAGCTCTGGAACTGGGAGGCGGAGGTTACAGTGATCACGCCACTGCACTCCAGCCTGGGTGGTAGAGCGAGACTCTGTCTCAAAAAAATGAAATTAAATAAATAAATAAAATTTCAAAGGCATCCTTCCCTCCCCAACCTGTGTTGCTTTTATGATGAAAATTTCCAAACATGCAGAAAAGTTGAGCGAATTAGACAAATACCCACATGCCTGCCACCTAGTTCCCACAGTTCTATTTGCTAAAAACAAAACAAACAAACAAAAAAATCTCTTATTTTTCTTTTTTTGAGACAAGATCTCACTTTGTCACCCAGGCTGGTATGCAGTGGCGTGATCTCAGCTCACTTCAGTCTCGACCTCCTGGGCTCAAGCGATCCTCCTGCCTCAGCCTCCTGAGTAGCTGGGACCACAGACACACGCCATCATGCCTCGCTAATTTTTTTCGTATTTATAGAGATGGGGTTTCACCATGTCACCCAGGCTAGTCTTGAACTCCTGGGCTTAATGGATCCACCCGCGTTAGCCTCCCGAAGTGCTGGGATTACAGACATACACCACTGTACCTGGCAAAATAAACCTTTGTGTTTTGTTTTTTGTTTTGAAAAATAACATTTCATTTATGAGTATGTGAACTGCCTGGCAGTTTGAACTCCAGGTCCCTTCTGGAAGTCAGAGGTGACGCCTTTGAGTCAAAGGAACTGGGTTTGAATTTCTTATTCAAAGGCTGGGCGCGGTGGCTCACGCCTGTAATCCCAGCACTTTGGGAGGCTGAGACGGGCGGATCACGAGGTCAGGAGATCGAGACCATCTTGGCTAACACAGTGAAACCCCGTCTCTACTAAAAATACAAAAAATTAGCCGGGCGTGGTGGCGGGCGCCAGTAGTCCCAGCTACTCAGGAGAATGAGGCAGGAGAGAATGGCATGAACCTGGGAGGCGGAGCTTACAGTGAGCCGAGATCGCGCCACTGCACTCCAGCCTGGGCGACAGAGTGAGACTCCGTCTAAAAAAAAAAAATTCTTGTTCACAAATCCAAGTCAGCCCAGGCTACAGTGAGTCTTCTTTCAAATCCAGTTGCTCCCAGTAATTAGTACAATGATGAGGACAGAATAAAAAGACTAATTGCATAGCCGGGCATGGTGGTGCACTCCTCTAGTCCCAGCTACTCAAGAGGCTGAGGTGGGAGGATCACTTGAGCCTGGGAGTTTGAGGCTGCAGTGAGCTATGATTGCAGCACTGCACCCCAGCCTGAACCACAGATGGAGGCCGTCTCTAATAATACTAATACTAATAAAAGAGATCATTGCATCCCACCGTTGGTCCTTGGTTGGGGTCAGGTACTGCGCCAACTGATTTCCTCCCCTGCTCTCCCCTCACTTCCCCTTCCTTCTTTTCTTTTCTTTTTCTTTTGAGATGGAGTCTTGCTCTATTGCCCAGGCTGGAGTGCAGTGGTGTGATCTTGGCTCACTGCAACCTCCGCCTCCTGGGTTCCAGTGATTCTCCTGCCTCAGCCTCCCAAGTAGCTGGGATTACAGGTGCCCACCACCATGCCTGGCTAATTCTTGTATTTTTAGTAGAGATGGGGTTTCACCGTGTTGGCCAGGCTGGTGTTGAACTCCTGATCTCAAGTGATCCGCCCACCTCGGCCTCCCAAAATGCTGGGATTACAGGCATGTGCCACTATGCCTGGCCATGATTTTTCTAATCGAGATGAAATTCATATAACATAAAACTCACCGTTTAAAATTCAGTGGCATTTATTATATTCACAGTGCTGTGCAACCACCACCCCTACTTAATTCCAGACCATTTTCATCCCCCAAAAGGAAACCCCATCCCCAGTAGCAATTACTCCCCATTTCCCCTCCCTCAGCCCCTGGCAGTCACCAGTTGATCTGCTTTCTGTCTCTATGGATTTGCCTGTTCTGGGCGTTTCATCTCAACGGAATCATACAACATATGGCCTTTTGTGTTTGGACCATCTGATTTGGTTGCACAGTTCAAATGTGCTGTTCTCTCTTCTCCACCCTGGATGGTCACTGGGTCCCACGTTCTCCCCAGCCTGTGCCACCAAACCCAGAGTAAAAGAATGATGCCCCATGGTGACGGGCACCTGTAGTCCCAGCTACTAGGGAGGCTGAGGCAGGAGATAGGCGTGAACCTGGGAGGTGGAGCTTCCAGTGAGCCAAGATTGCGCCACTGCACTCCAGCCTGGGCGACAGAGCGAGACTCCGTCTCAAAAAACAACAAACAAACAAAACAAAACAAAACAAACCCAAAAAAGCAAAAAAAGAATGATGCCCCCAAGGTTGCCACAAGCTGATATTGGGACAGTGGCCACAGGGTGATTCATTCCCTTATGCTTCTGGGGGCTGTCAGCATCCACTTCCCCACCAATGGTTTGGGTGTTGTCTGTTGCCTAGGAAACGGGACTGGTGGTGATGACCGACCGAGTGAGCCTGAACCACCGGCAGGACGGTGGCCTCTACACCGATGAGGCTGTCCCCGCTTTCCAGCCCCACACAGGGAGCCTGGTGGCAGTGGCTCCTTCCAGGCACCCCCCCAGGTAACGGCTTATACATTGAGCAAGGTTTTCTAACCCTGGTCCTATTAACATCTGGGGCTTGTCTTTGTCCTTCCTGGCTGCTATAACAGAAGACCATAGACCGAGTGGCTTATAAACAACTGAAATTTATTTCACATGGTTCTTGGGGCTTGGAAGTCCAAGAACAGGGCACCAGCTGATTGGGTGTCTGGTGAGGGCTCACTTCCTGCTTCATTGATGGTGCCCTCTGGCTTCTTGCTGTATCCTCATATGGCAGAAGGAGTGAGGGAGCTCTCTGGAGCCTTTTTTTTTTTGAGATGGAGTCTCACTCAATCTGTCCCCCAGGCTGTGTGACCACACCCCCAGTGGTGTGATCTTGGCTCCCTGCAACCTCCACCTCCCAGGTTCAAGTGATTCTCCTGCCTCAGCCTCCTGAGTAGCTGGGATTACAGGCATGCCACCATGCCTGTCTAATTTTCGTATTTTTAGTAGAGACAGGGTTTCACCATGTTGGCCAGGCTGGTCATGAACTCCTGGCCTCAAGTGATTTGCCTGCCGCAGCCTCTCAAAGTGCTGGGATTACAGGTGTGAGTCACTGTACCTGGCCTGGAAGAAAATTTTAACTAAATAACAGGTGTCTTTCTCTCTTTCTTTCTTTTTTTTTTTTTTTTTTGAGACAGAGTCTTGCTCTGTCTCCCAGGCTGGAGTGCAGTAGTGCGATCTCAGCTCACTGCAAGCTCCGCCTCCCAGGTTCACGCCATTCTCCTGCCTCAGCCTCCTGAGTAGCTGAGACTATAGGCGCCCGCCACACCCCGCTAATTTTTTTTTTTTTTGTATTTTTAGTAGAGACGGGGTTTCACTGTGTTAGCCAGGATGGTCTCGATCTCCTGACCTTGTGATTCGCCCACCTTGGCTTCCCAAAGTGCTGGGATTACAGGCATGAGCCACTGCGCCTGGCAATAATAGGTGTTTTTAAAGTATAATATTAACAACTGCTATTAGTAAGTTTTTCGTTGTTTTTGTTTTTTTTTTTTTTTTGAGATGGAGCCTGGCTCTGTTGCCCAGGCTGGAGTGCAGTGGTACGAGCTTGGCTCACTGCAACCTCCACCTCCCAGATTCAAGTGATTCTCCTGCCTCAGCCTCCTGAGTAGCTGGGATTACATGCCACCATGCCCAGCTAATTTTTGTATTTTTAGTAGAGACAGGATTTCACCATGTTAGGCACACTGGTCTCAAACTCCTGGCCTCAAGTGATTTGCCTGCTGTGGCCTCTCAAAGTGCTGGGATTACAGGCGTGAGCCTCTGCACCCGGCCTAGAGTCCCTTTTATAAGGGCCCTAATCCCATTCATGAGCAATCCACTTTCATAACCTGATCATCTCCTAGAAGCTTCACCTCAACACCATCACCTCGGAGGTTAAGATTTGAACATATGAATTTTCAGGGGGATGCAAACATTGAGTCCATTGCAGGGTAGGATTATTCTGTGCACTGTGAGGGGTGTCCTCTGCACTGTAGAGTGTTGAGCAGCATCCCTGACCTCCACCCACTAGATGTCAGTCACACTCCTTCCCAGTTGTAACAACCAACAATATCTCCAGACATTGCCCAATGTTCCCTGGGGGCCATTGGCATAGCAGGCTAGGA
Organism: Homo sapiens; assembly: GCF_000001405.40. NCBI lineage: Eukaryota > Metazoa > Chordata > Mammalia > Primates > Hominidae > Homo > Homo sapiens. Next base: position 16,969,265 of record NC_000019.10, on the reverse strand, counting down.
CACTGATTGCTTCATATACCTCCTCCCTACCCAATTCTTAGCCCTACCCCAGTGCACAAGATTAGGGATATGGAAGAGAGAAGAAAATGAATCAGGAGAGCTGACCTGTCTGAGGACAGAGGGATCTGGGCAGGGTGAGAACCTGGGGCTTGATCTCCCAACTCTCAGAGACTCTGTTTAGAGAGTTCTTTATTTTGTCCTTTCTCCTTCCTCTCATCCTTCCCTCCTCTTCCTTTTACTCTGTTTCTCCTTCTTCTCCAACTCTACCTTCATGAGTTGACACAAAGTAATTACTTTTCAGTCTTTCTCATCTTAAATATAAACACTTGGCTGGGCACAGTGGCTCATGCCTGTAACCCCAGCACTTTGGAAGGCCAAGGCAGGCAGATCACTTGAGCCTAGGAGTTTGAGACCAGCCTGGGCACATGGCAAAACCTTGTCTCTACACAAATACAAAAATTAACCATGTGTGGTGGCTCATGCCTGTAGTCCCAGCTACTTGGGAGGCTGAGACTGGAGGATTGCTTGAGCCTGGGAAGGTTGAGGCTGCAGTGAGCTGTGATTGTGCCACTGCACTCCAGCCTGAGTGACAGAGTGAGACTCTGTCTCTAATTTAAAAATAAATAAATAAATAAATAAAAACACTTAAGCCATTAGAGGATTATGAATTTTCCTCTGAGTACTGCTTTGGCTGCAGTCACATTGTGCTATGAAGTATTTCCAGTATTGCTCACTGCCAAATAGGTTCTAACTTTTGGAATGATGCCCATTTTGATGTATGACCTGTCCAGGAAACCTCTTGATTTGGTGGCCAGCCCTGATGAGCCTGTCCATGGAAGTGTTCTCCATCTTTCAAGCCCTCTCTATATAAAACAGGAACCTTCTTGTGCCCCTCCGTCTGCTCCCCAGTGGCTCCTGGATGCTTCAGTCCCCCAGGCTCTTCCTGCTGGGGCCACACGTTTAGCAGGCCTACAGGGTTCCTAGTTTCCCAACTCCTAATCGGGGAATTGGCAGATTAGGCTTCATACTGTAGTTTGGATACACATGGAAGCATTTCAAGATGTGATTGGATGAGGAAGATTGGAATGCTGGCCCCAGGGCCTCTGTCAGCTGGCAGCCACCCCAGAGGCCCTGACCCACTCACATGCATAACCCCTGAGAGCTTGTCCTGGGGCTGGTATAGAAGCAGCAGCTTTGTAAAACTCAAAACCATGAAGGCAATTGTAAATCACAATGGAGAAAGGCATAAGAAATGCCTTCAAAATCAAGTGCCCATGCTTTTTTGTAATTGGAACAAACACATCCTTATTCTGAGAGCAACATGTATATATATACACACATGTGTGTGTATATATGCACATATATACACACACATGTGTGTGTATATATGCACATATATACAAGTATATACACGCACATATGTGTGTATATATATACATATATATATATATTTTGGTGAGACAGAGTCTCACTCTGTTGCCCAGGCTGGAGTGTAGTGGCGCCATCTTGGCTTACTACAAGCTCTGCCTACCGGTTTCATGCCATTCTCCTGCCTCAGCCTCCCAAGTACCTGGGACTACAGGCACCCACCACCATGCCTGGCTAATTTTTGTTGTATTTTTTAGTAGAGACGGGGTTTCACCATGTTAGCCAGGATGGTCTCCATCTCCTGACCTCATGATCCGCCAGCCTTGGCCTCCCAAAGTGCTGGGATTACAGGCATGAGCCACTGCACCTGGCCATATATTTTTAATTATATATGTATTTTCTTTTTTTAAAAAATTATACTTTAAGTTCTAGGGTACATGTGCACAATGTGCAAGTTTGATAGGTATACATGTCCCATGTTGGTTTGCTGCACCCATCAACTCATCATTTACATTAGGTATTACTCCTAATGCTATCCCTCCCCCGGCCCCCCACCCCCCGACAGGCCCCAGAGTGTGATGTTCCCCGCCCTGTGTCCAGGTGTTCTCATTGTTCAGTTCCCACCTATGAGTGAGAACATGCAGTATTTGGTTTTCTGTCTTTGTGATAGTTTGCTGAGAATGATGGTTTCTGGCTTCATCCATGTCCCTGCAAAGGACATGAACGCATCCTTTTTTATGGCTGCATAGTATTCCATGGTGTATATGTGCCACATTTTCTTAATCCAGTCTATCATTGATGGACATTTGGGTTGGTTCCAAGTCTTTGCTATTGTGAATAGTGCCACAATAAACATACGTGTGCATGTGTCTTTATAGTAGCATAATTTATAATCCTTTGGGTATATATCCAGTAACGGGATTGCTGGGTGAAATGGTATTTCTAGTTCTAGATCCTTGAGGAATCGCCACACTGTCTTCCACAATGGTTGAACTAATTTACACTCCCACCAACAGTGTAAAAGCATTCCTATTTCTCCACATCCTCTCCAGCATTTGTTGTTTCCTGACTTTTTAATGATCGCCATTCTAATTGGCATGAGATGGTATCTCATTGTGGTTTTGATTTGCATTTCTCTGATGGCCAGTGATGATGAGCATTTTTTCATGTGTTGGATGCATAAATGTCTTCTTTTGAGAAATGTCTGTTCATATCCTTTGCCCACTTTTTGATGGGGTTGTTTGTTTTTTTCTTGTAAATTTGTTTGAGTTCTTTGTAGATTTTGGATATTAGCGCTTTGTCCGATGGGTAGATTGCAAAAATTTTCTCCCAATCTGTAGGTTGCCTGTTCACTCTGATGGTAGTTTCTTTTGCCATGCAGAAGCTCTTTAGTTTAATTAGATCCCATTTGTCTATTTTGGCTTTTGTTGCCATTGCTTTTGGTGTTTTAGTCGTGAAGTCTTTGCCCATGCCTATGTCTTGAATGGTATTGCCTAGGTTTTCTTCTACAGTTTTTATGGTTTTAGGTCTAACATTTAAGTCTTTAATCCATCTTGAATTAATTTTTGTATAAGATGTAAGGAAGGGATCCAGTTTCAGCTTTCTACATATGGCTACCCAGTTTTCCCAGCACCATTTATTAAATAGCGAATCCATTCCCCATTTCTTGTTTTTGTCAGGTTTGTCAAAGATCAGATGGTTGTAGATGCGTGGTGTTATTTCTGAGGCCTCTGTTCTGTTCCATTGGTCTATATATCTGTTTTGGTACCAGTACCATGCTGTTTTGGTTACTGTAGCCTTGTAGTATAGTTTGAACTCAGGTAGCGTGATGCCTCCCGCTTTGTTCTTTTTGCTTAGGATTGTCTTGGCAATGTGGGCTCTTTTTGGTTCCATATGAACTTTAAAGTAGTTTTTTCCAATTCTGTGAAGAAAGTCATTGGTAGCTTGATGGGGATGGCATTGAATCTATAAATTACCTTGGGCAGTATGGCCATTTTAACTATATTGATTCTTCCTATCCGTTAGCATGGAATGTTCTTCCATTTGTTTGTGTCCTCTTTTATTTCATTGAGCAGTGGTTTGTAGTTCTCCTTGAAGAGGTCCTTCACATCCCTTGTAAGTTGGATTCCTAGGTATTTTATTATCTTTGTAGCAATTGTGAATGGGATTTCACTCATGATTTGGCTCTCTGTTTGTCTGTTAATTGGTGTATAGGATTTTTGTGATTTTTGCACATTGATTTTGTATCCTGAGACTTTGCTGAAGTTGCATATCAGCTGAAGGAGGTTTTGGGCTGAGATGATGGGGTTTTCTAAATATACAATCATGTCATCTGCAAACAGGGACAATTTGACTTCCTCTTTTCCTGATTGAATACCCTTTATTTCCTTCTCTTACCTGATTGCCCTGGCCAGAACTTCCAACACTACGTTGAATAGGAGTGGTGAGAGAGGGCATCCTTGTCTTGTGCCAGTTTTCAAAGGGAATGCTTCCAGTTTTTGTCCATTCAGTATGATATTGGCTGTGGGTTTGTCATAAATAGCCCTTATTATTTTGAGATATATTCCATCAATACCTAGTTTATTGAGAGTTTTTAGCATGAAGGGCTGTTGAATTTTGTCGAAGACCTTTTTTTTTTGAGATGGAGTCTCACTCTGTCACCCAGGCTGGAGTGCAGTGGTGCGATATCGGCTCACTGCAAGCTCTGCCTCCCAGGTTCACACCATTCTCCTGCCTCAGCCTCCTGAGTAGCTGGGACTACAGGCGCCCGCCACTATGCCCGGCTAATTTTTTGTATTTTTAGTAGAGACAGGGTATCACCGTGTTAGCCAGGATGGTCTCGATCTCCTCACCTTGTGATCTGCCTGCCTCAGCCTCCCAAAGTGCTAGGATTACAGGCGTGAGCCACCGTGCCCAGCCCGAAGACCTTTTTTGCATCTATTGAGATGATCATGTGGTTTTTGTCAATGGTTCTGTCTATGTGATGGATTTCGTTTATTGATTTGTGTACGTTGAACCAGGCTTGCATCCCAGAGATGAAGCTGACTTGATCGTGGTGGATAAGAAGCTTTTTGATGTGCTGCTGGATTTTGTTTGCCAGTATTTTATTGAGGATTTTTGCATCGATGTTCATCAAGGATATTGGTCTAAAATTCTCTTTTTTTTGTTGTGTCTCTGCCAGGCTTTGGTATCAGGATGATGCTGGCCTCATAAAATGAGTTAGGGAGGATTCCTTCTTTTTCTTGATTAGAATAGTTTCAGAAGGAATGGTATCAGCTCCTCTTTGTACTTCTGGTGGAATTCAGCTGTGAATCCTTCTGGTCCTGGACTTTTTTTGGTTGGTAGGCTATTAATTATTGCCTCGATTTCAGAGCCTGTTATTGGTCTATTCAGAGATTCACGTTCTTCCTGGTTTAGTCTTGGGAGGGTGTATGTGTCCAGGAATTTATCCATTTCTTCTAGATTTTCTGGTTTATTTGCGTAGAGGTGTTTACAGTATTCTCTGATGGTAGTTTGTATTTCTGTGGGATCGGTGGTGATATCCCCTTTATCATTTTTTATTGCGTCTATTTGATTCTTCTCTCTTTTCTTCTTTATTAGTCTTGCTAGTGGTCTATCAATTTTGTTGATCTTTTCAAAAAACCAGCTCCTGGATTCATTGATTTTTTTGAAGGGTTTTTGTGTCTCTGTCTCTTTCAGTTCTGCTCTGACCTTAGTTATTTCTTGCCTTCTGCTAGCTTTTGAATTTGTTTGCTCTTGCTTCTCTAGTTCTTTTAATTGTGATGTTAGGGTGTCGATTTTAGATCTTTCCTGCTTTCTCTTGTGGGCATTTAGTGCTATAAATTTCCCTCTACACACTGCTTTAAATGTGTCCCAGAGATTCTGGTGTGTTGTGTCTTTGTTCTCATTGGTTTCAAAGAACATCTTTATTTCTGCCTTCATTCCGTTATTTACCCAGCAGTCATTCAGGAGCAGGTTGTTCAGTTTCCATGTGGTTGTGTGGTTTTGAGTGAGTTTCTTAATCCTGAGTTCTAATTTGATTGTGCTGTGGTCTGACAGTTTGTTGTGATTTCTGTTCTTTTACATTTGCTGAGGAGTGCTTTACTTCCAATTATGTGGTCAATTTCAGAATAAGTGTGATGTGATGCTGAGAAGAATGTATATTCTGTTGATTTAGGATGGAGAGTTCTGTAGATGTCTATTAGGTCTGCTTGGTGCAGAGCTGAGTTCAATTCCTGGATATCCTTGTTAACCTTCTGTCTCACTGATCTGTCTAATATTGATAGAGGGGTGTTAAAGTCTCCCATTAGTATTGTGTGGGAGTCTAAGTCTCTTTGTAGGTCTCTAAGGACTTGCTTTATGAATCTGGGTGCTCCTGTATTGCATGCATATACATTTAGGATAGTTAGCTCTTCTTGTTGAATTGATTCCTTTACCATTATGTAATGGCCTTCTTTGTCTCTTTTGATCTTTGTTGGTTTAAAGTCTGTTTTATCAGAGACTAGGATTGCAACCCCTGCCTTTTTTTGCTTTCCATTTGCTTGGTAGATCTTCCTCCATCCATTTATTTTGAGACTATGTGTGTCTCTGCACATGAGATGGGTCTCCTGAATACAGCACAATAATGGGTCTTGACTCTTTATCCAATTTGCCAGTCTGTGTCTTTTAATTGGGGCATTTAGCCCATTTACATTTAAGGTTAATATTGTTATGTGTGAATTTGATCCTGTCATTATGATATTAGCTGGTTATTTTGCCCATTAATTGATGCAGTTTCTTCATAGCATCAACGGTCTTTACAATCTGGCATATTTTTGCAGTGGCTGGTACTGGTTGTTCCTTTCTATGTTTAGTGCTTCCTTCAGGAGCTCTTGAAAGGCAGGCCTGGTGGTGACAAAATCTCTCAGCATTTGCTTGTCTGTAAAGGATTTTATTTCTCCTTCACTTATGAAGCTTAGTTTGGCCGGATATGAAATTCTGGATTGAGAATTCTTTTCTTTAAGAATGTTGAATATTGGCCCCCACTCTCTTCTGGCTTGTAGGGTTTCTGCCAAGAGATCTGCTGTTAGTCTGATGGGCTTCCCTTTGTGGTTAACCCGACCTTTCTCTCTGGCTGCTCTTAACATTTTTTCCTTCATTTCAACTTTGGTGAATCTGACAATTATGTGTCTTGGGGTTGCTCTTCCTGAGGAATATCTTTGTGGTGTTCTCTTTATTTCCTGAATTTGAATGTTGGCCTGCCTTGCTAGGTTGGGGAAGTTCTCCTGGATAATATCCTGCAGAGTGTTTTCCAACTTGGTTCCATTCTCCCCATCACTTTCAGGTACACCAATCAGACGTAGATTTGGTCTTTTCACATAGTCCCATATTTCTTGGAGACTTTGTTCATTTCTTTTTACTCTTTTTTCTCTAACCTTGTCTTTTTGCTTTATTTCATTAATTTAATCTTCAATCACTGATACCCTTTCTTCCACTTGATCGAATCGGCTATTGAAACTTGTGCCTGCGTCACAAAGTTCTCGTGCCATGGTTTTCAGCTCCATCAGGTCATTTAAGTTCTTCTCTATGCTGTTTATTCTAGTTAGCCATTCGTCTAACCTTTATTCAAGGTTTTTAGCTTCCTTGCGATGGGTTTGAACGTGCTCCTTTAGCTCAGAGAAGTTTGTTATTACCAACCTTCTGAAGCCTACTTCTGTCAATTTGTCAAAGTCATTCTCCGTCCAGCTTTGTTCCATTGCTGGCAAGGAGCTACTATCCTTTGGAGGAGAAGAGGCGCGCAGGTTTTTAGAATTATCAGCTTTTCTGCTCTTGTATCTCCCCATCTTTGTGGTTTTATCTACCTTTGGTCTTTGATGCTGGTAACCTACAGATGGGGCTTTGGTGTAGATGTCCTTTTTGTTGATGTTGATGCTATTCCTTTCTGTTTGTTAATTTTCCTTCTAACGTCAGGTCTCTCAGCTGCAGGTCTGTTGGAGTTTGGTGGAGGTCCACTCTAGACCCTGTCTGCCTGCGTATCACCAGTGGAGGCTGCAGAACAGCAAATATTGCAGAACAGCAAATATTGCTGCCTGATCCTTCCTCTGGAAGCTTCGTCTCAGAGGGGTACCCGCCTATATGAGGTGTTTGTCGGCCCCTCCTGGGAGGTGTCTCCCAGTTAGGCTACATGGGGGTCAGGGACCCACTTGAGGAGGCAGTCTGTCCGTTCTCAGAGCTGAAACGCCATGCTGGGAGAATGACTGCTGTCTTCAGAGCTGTCAGACAGGGACGTTTAAGTCTGCAGAAACTGTCTGCTGCCTTTTGTTCAGCCATGCCCTGCTCACAGAGGTGGAGTCTATAGAGGCAGTAGGCCTTGCTGAGCTGCAGTGGGCTCCGCCCAGTTTAAGCTTCCCAGCCACTTTGTTTACTTACTCCAGCCTCAGCAATGGTGGGCACCCCTCCCCCAACCAGGCTGCCACGTCGCAGTTCGATCTCAGACTGCTGTGCTAGCAGTGAGCAAGGCTCTGCGGGCGTGGGACCCGCCCAGCCAGGCATGGGAGAGAATCTCCTGGTCTGCTGGTTGCTAAGACCATGGGAAAAGCTCAGTATTTGGGCGAGAGTGTCCTGTTTTTCCAGGTACAGTCTATCCCGGCTTCCCTTGGCTAGGAAAGGGAAATCCCCTGACCCCTTGTGCTTCCCGGGTAAGGCGACACCCCGCCCTACTGCGGCTCATCCTTCATGGGCTGTACCCACTGTCCAACCAGTCCCAATGAGATGAACCAGGTACCTCAGTTGGAAATGCAGAAATCACCCATCTTCCGTGTCAATCACACTGGGAGCTACAGACTGGAGCTGTTCCTATTTGGCCATCTTGGAATAGCCCCAACATATTTTTTTAACCATGTAAATGTGGTTAACATTTTTTTCAAGCAGTAGAAGAGGATATATAATGAAATTTAAGTCTCCTTCCCACCCTCAGACCCTCCATTCCCTTCTTCAGAAGGGAAAGCTGAATAATTTTTTTTTTTTGAGGAGGAGTCTCACTCTGTTGCCCATGCTGGAGTGCAGTGATGGGATCTCAGCTCACTGCCTTCCATGTTCAAGTGATACTCCTGTCTCAGCCTCCTGAGTAGCTGGGATTACAGGCCTGCACCACCAAACCCGGCTAACTTTTGTATTTTTAGTAGAGAGGGGGTTTCACCATGTTGGCCAGGCTGGTCTTGAACTCCTGACCTCCAGTGATCCACCCACCTCAGTCTCCCGAAGTGCTGGGATTACAGGTGTGAGCCACTGTGCCCAGTCTGAATAATTTCTTAGATATTCTTCTGTGCATATGTAGGATTAAAAAAAAAAAGAATAGAAGAATACCATAATGTCATTTTGTACATTTCTTTTGAAAGTTAACAACAAGTCTTGGAAATCATTCCATATCAGTAAATGCATGTTTACCTCACTCTTTTTTTTTTTTACAAATATATAATAGTCCACCAATGAATATACTATCATTTGATTTTCCAGTCCTCCTAATGATGGAGATTTGGGCTATTTGCTAATTTTCCTAGTGCCACGATGAACCACTCCATCTCTCTGTGTTTGCACACACGTCTGCGGGTGTTTCCGGGGTCTGCTCCTAGGAGAGGTGTTGATGGTTGAAAGGATAGGAGCATTTTTATTTTTGCCAAATTTTGAGAAAGCCTTTTTTTTTTTTTTGAGAAAGGAGAAGGAGCAGCCTTTGAGGAGGGTGAACTGTGAGGCTTCTGAGGCTCAAACAAGAATGCATGAAGGCACTCCTTAGGAAACAGAGGATGGGTGAGCAGGAGGTGGAGAGTTCAGTGTGATGATGAAGATGAACGTGGTAAAACCCAGGGAGGGAAATTAGCAAAGGGAGGGATATAGGGTGGCCCCTGCAGGCCTTTATCCCTTCTGCATCCAGGAGAGGAGGCACGACTGTTTAAAGATGGACTCTGCCAAGCCTTTGATACCTTGCTTCTTCTATTCTTAAGTAGAATGTTAACGCTGCCAGGTAAAAGAGTTAACAAGTTACATCCTTGAGCAGACACTTTTCAAAGAAGATACACATGCAGGCCGGGCGTGGTGGCTTATGCCTGTAATACCACCACTTTGAGAGGCTGAGGTGGGTGGATCACAAGGTCAGGAGTTCGAGACCAGCCTGGCCAATATGGTGAAACCCCATCTCTACTAAAAATACAAAAATTAGCCGGACATGGTGGTGGACGCCTGTAATCCCAGCTACTCAGGAGGCTGAGGCAGGAGAATTGCTCGAACCTGGGAGGCGGAGGCTGCAGTGAACCGAGATTGTGCCATTGCACTCCAGTCTGGGCAACAGAGAGAGACTCCATCTCGAAAAAAAAAAAAGAAAATATACGTGCAGCCAACAAGCATATGAAAAAAACCTCAATGTCACTGAACTAGAGAAATGCAAATCAGGCCAGGCACAGTGGCCCACACCTGTAATCCCAGCACTTTGGGAGGCCGAGGCGGGTGGATCACTTGATGTCGGGAGTTTGAGACCAGCGTGGTCAACATGACAAAACCCCATCTCTACTAAAAATACAAAAATTAGCCGGGCGTGGTGGCACACCTGCAATTCCAGGTGTAATTCAGGAGGCTGAGGCATGAGAATCACTTGAACCTGGGAGGTGGAGGTTGCAGTGAGCAGAGATTGCACCACTGCACTCCAGCCTGGGTGACAGAGCAAGACTCCATCTCAAAAAAAAAAAAAAAGGGAAATGCAAATCAAAACCACAATGAGATGCCATCTCATGCCAGTCAGAATGGCCATTATTAAAGAGTCAACAAATAAGCTGAGTGTGGTGGCTCATGCCTGTAATTCCAGAACTTTGGGAGGCCGAGGCAGGTGGATCACCTGAGGTCAGGATTTTGAGACCAGCCTGACCAACATGGTGAAACTGCGTCTCTACTAAAAATACAAAATTAGCTGGGTGTAGTGGCAGGCGCCTGTAATCCTAGCTACTCGGGAGGCTGAGGCTGGAGAATCGTTTGAACCTGGGAGGCAGATGTTGCAGTGAGCTGAGATTGTGCCATTGCACTCCAGCCTGGGTGACAAGAAGGAAACTCCATCTCAAAAAAAAAAAAGAAAAAAAAAGTAAAAAAATAACAGATGTTGGTGAGGTAGTGGAGAAAAGGGGATGCTATGCATAGTTGATGGGAGTGTAAATTAGTTCAACCATTGTGGAAAGCAGTGTGGTGATTGCTCAAAGAACTAAAAACAGTACTACCATTTGAGCCAGCAATCCCATTACTGAGTATATACTCAAAGGAATATAAATCATTCTACCATAAAGACCCATGCACACAAATGTTCACTGCAGCACTATTTACAATAGCAAAGACCTGGAATCAACCTAAATGCTCATCAATGACAGATTGGATAAATAAAATGTGGTACAGAAATACCATGGAATACTATGCAGCCATAAAAAAGAACAAAATCATGTCTTTTGTGGAAACATGGATGGAGCTGGAGCCCATTATCCTTAGCAAACTAATGCAGGAACAGAAAACCAAATACTGCATGTTCTCACTTATAAGTGGAAGCTAAATGATGAGAACACATGGAAACAAAAGGGGGAACAGACACAGGTCTACTTGAGGATGGGGGATGGGAAGACAGAGAGGATCAGAAATAATAACTATTGGGCATAGGCTTAGTATCTGGGTGATGAAATAATCTGTACAACAAACCCCCATGACACACATTTACCTATGTAACAGACCTGCACATGTACTTCTGAACCTAAAATAAAGTTTTTAAAAAAACAAGTTATGTCCTAATCAAGTAGACTGTTAACCCTGCCAGGTAAGAGAATTAACATGTTATATCCCAGTGAAGTACAATGTTAACCCTTCCAGGTAAAAGAAATTAACGCGTTATATCTGATCAAATAGAATGCAAAGCTGCTAGGTTCACATAAGATTTGTTATGTTCATGAAACCTTAATCGTTTCTTTTTTTCTTTTCATAGAACAGAGAAGAGAAAAAGGACTTTCTTCCCCGAAACATGGATTTGGCATTGTCTCAACATCAGGTACATTAAGATTTCTTTTCTGCGCTGACTTTGCCGGTTGAGTGAAAGACACTCATGCGGGTCCAGAGAGCCTCCGGTGAGATGGGCAGGCCTGATACCAACATCTGAGCAAGACACTGTGCATCTTTTTCTAACACACAAAACTTCAAGCCATGAAGCCAGCCTTGAGTCCCGCTGCACATTTGGACGTTTGCCTGTGAAATATGAAATGCAAGGGCTTTGTGCCTCTTATAACTCCCTCTTGGGGTTACTCTATCTGCTCTGTTTGTATAACGAGCTCATTAAAATGATTACAGTTCCCTGGAACATGAACTTGACTCCACCTACCCCCACTCCTTGCTCCTCAGGGGACTACAGCTCTTGCTCAAAAAACAGGATGCCTTTCTCAACACATTTCCTTTCTGCATTTTTCCCCGTTTAGTTCTCTTTGAAGCAGGAGTGTAGGCAACCCTTTTCTGCTGGATGCAATTGACTTTTTTTCTTGCAATGCTCAGCGTTAGAGCACCAATGACACTAGTAAAAAGTGGCACTGGCGTGCCCCGGCAAACCAGTTTGGCATGAAAACTGACTCTTGGTCCAGCCCGGGCCAGCAGGTGGGCTGACTGCTGGAGCTGTGCCCTTCCTCCAGGCACAAGGTGCTGTGGCAAGTGCTTGGCAGAGCCAGGCACGCAGCTGGGGGCCCCTCAGACTGCTTTGGGGGATGTGTATGTCCTCATCGTGGGAAGGTTTGACTGCTGATCAGAACACATCCAGTTCACTGTGTTTTGTTCTGGGGGCCCAGCTGTAAGACAGGCTATCTGTCCATCATCATTCAAATGTATCTACTTTCTGGATGTCTGGTGAGCTTTTTTTATTGTTAAAAAATTTTTTCAATTAACTTTTATTAGGGCTGGGCATGGTAGCTCATGCCTGTAATCCCAGCACTTTGGGAGGCTGAGGCAGGTGGATCACGAGATCAGGAGATCGAGACCACCCTCTCTAACATGGTGAAACCCTGTCTCTACTAAAAACGCAAAAAATAGCTGGGCATGGTGGCGGGCGCCTGTAGTCCCAGCTACTCGGGAGGCTGAGGTAAGAGAGTGGCATGAACCTGGGAGACGGAGGTTGCAGTGAGCCAAGATGGCGCCACTGCTCTCCAGCCTGGGTGACAGAGCAAGACTCCGTCTCAAAAAAAAAAAAATATTTCATAGAGATGGGGTCTCTGTATGTTGCCCAGGCTGGTCTGAAACTCCTGGCCTCAAGTGATCTTCCTGTCTTGGCCTCTCAACGTGTTAGAATTACAGGTGTGAGCTACTGCTCCTGGCCCGGATGTTTTTGATGTTAAGGATGGTCCCTTGAATAAGGTAGACAGAGTCCCAGCACTCATAACATTTTCATTGTAGCTAGAGTAGACAGGTGCCTAAAGAGCCATCATGGTGCAGTGGGGTTAGTCTTCTGGAAGGCTGGGCATGGAGCTTGGGAGGCAGAGAAAGATGGTGGAATCCTTTGGAAAAGCCAGAGAGGGTCCTCAATGTAGGGCCCAAGCTGAGTCCCACCATATGAATAAGCAAGAAAGGGAAGGGTGTCCAGGAAGGACCAGCATGAGCAAGTGCTGCAAAGTAGGAGAGGCTGGTGGATTTCCACATGGTTGAAATGAGATGGAAGGAGCTGAGGAGGATGCAGGGAGTATGAGACCATGTGGGCTGTGGGGGTGGGGTTAGGGGTGCAGGTGTGGAGAGCCAGGGATTTGGGATTTAGGATTCGGGATGTTCTCTCTCCTCTCTTGTTGGCTGGAGCAAGGATGAATCAGAGGGGACAGATCTGAGACCAGGGAGGAGGTTCCTGCTGGACCCAAAAGAGGACTGGTCAACTCTCTTTTAAACCACACCCGTTTAAAGGCGGGGTGTGGTGGCTTATGCCTGTAATCCCAGCACTTTGAGAGGCTGAGGCAGGAGGATTGCTTGAGCCCAGGAGTTCAAGACCAGCCTGGGCAACATAGCAAGGCCCCATCTCTAAAAAAAATTTTTAAATTAGCCAGGTGTGGTGGCACATGCTTGTGGTCCTAGCTACTTGGGAAGCTGAAGTGGGAGGATCGCTTGAGCCCAGGAGGTTGAGGCTGCAGTGACACGAAATTACACCACTGCACTCCAGCCTGGGCTACAGAGTGAGACCCTGTCTCAAAAAGGGAAAATGATTCAAAAATGAATTGGTTTAAAAAATTATGGTGAAATACTCCACATAAAATTTACGATCTTAACCATTTTTAAGTGTATAGTTCAGTGGTATTAAGGACACTCACGTTATTGTGCCAACATCACCATCACCCATTTCTGTGACTCCTTTCATCTTACAAAACTGACACTCTGTCCCATTAAACACTCACTCCCCTCTCTTCCCTTCCCCCAGCCTTTGGTAACAACCCTTTCTGTCTCTGAGTTTGACTATTCTAGGGACCGCCTGTAAGTGGAATCATGTAGTATTTGTCGTTTTGTGACTGGCTTATTTCAACATGTCCCCAAGGTTCATCTTTGTTGGAGAATCCATGTCAGAATTTCCTTCTCTCTTTTTTTTTTTTTTCTTGAGATGGAGTCTTGCTCTGTCACCAGGCTGGAGTGCAGTGGCACAATCTCGGCTCACTGCAACCTCTGCCTCCAGGGTTCAAGTGATTCCTCTGCCTTAACCTTCCAAATAGCTGGGACTATAGGCATGCGCCACCATGCCCAGCTATTTTTGTGTGTTTGTGTGTGAGACAGCATCTTGCTCTGTTGCCCAGGCTGGAGTGCAGTGGTGCGATCTCGGCTCACTGCAAACTCTGCCTCCTGGGTTCACGCCATTCTCCTGCCTCAGCCTCCTGAGTAGCTGGGACCACAGCCGCCCACCACCATGCCCTGCTAATTTTTTGTATTTTTAGTAGAGACGGGGTTTCACCGTGTTACCCAGGATGGTATCGATCTCCTGACCTCGTGATCCGCCCGCCTCGGCCTCCCAAAGTGCTGGGATTGCAGGCATGAGCCACCGTGCCCAGCCAATGCCTAGCTAATTTTTTGTATTTTAGTAGAGATGGGGTTTCACCATGTTGACCAGGATGATCTCGATTTCCTGACCTCGTGATCCACCCCCCTCGGCCTCCCAAAGTGCTGGGATTACAGGCGTGAGCCACTGTACCCAGCCTCCTTCCCTTTTAAGGTTGAATAATATCCTATTGCATGGATTCCCTCATTTTGTTTATCCATTTATTTTCTGTCGATGGACCCTTGAGTTGCTTCCACCTTTTGGCTATTGTGAATAATGCTGTGAACAGGGGTATACAAATATCCCTTTGAGACCCTGCTTCCCATTCTTTTGGGTGTATACCCAGAAGTAGAATTGCTGAATCATGTGGTAATTTTATGTTTAATTTTTTAAGGAACCTCCAGACTAATTTCCACAGCAGCTGCAGCGTTTTACATTTCTACTAACAGTGTACCAGGGTTCCAATCTTACCACATCCTCAGAAACACTTGCTGTTCTCTTTTTCTTTCTTTTCTTTTTTTTTTTTTTTGAGATAGAGTCTCGCTCTGTCACCCAGGCAGGAGTGCAGTGGTGCAATCTCAGCTCACTGCACCCTCCGCCTCCCAGGTTCACACAATTCTCCTGCCTCAGCCTCCCAAATAGCTGGAACTACAGACACGCACCACCACACCTGGCTAATTTTCGTATTTTTAGTAGAGACGGGGTTTCACCCACTACTTCTGGGTGTATACCCAAAAGAATGGGAAGCAGGGTCTCAAAGGGATATTTGTATACCCATGTTCACAGCGTTATTCACAATGGCCAGACTCCTGACCTCAAGTGATCCACCCACCTCGGCCTCCCAAAGTGCTGGGATTATAGGTGTGAGCCACCATGCCCAGCCTTTTTTCTTGCCTTTTCTTTTTTAATATCCTAATTAAGTACATGAAGTGGCATCTCATTGTGGTTTTTATTTGCATTTCCCTAATGATTAGTGATGTTGAGCATCTTTCATGTATTTATCAGTCATTTGTCTATCTTCTTTGGTGAAATGTCTATTCAAGTAATTTGCCCATTTTTGAATCATGTTGCTGTTTTTGTTATTGAGTTTCAGGAGTTCTCTATATATTCTGGATATTATTTCCTTATCAGATATATGACTTGCAAATATTTTCTCCCACTGGGTTGACTTTTTACTCTGTTGATAGTGCCTTTTTTTTTTTTTTTTTTGAGACAAGGTCTCACTCTGTCACCCAGGTGTTCAAGTGATCCCCCAACCTCAGCCTCCCAAGTAGCTGGGTCTACAGGTACACACCACCACTCCTGGCTAAATTTTTTAATTTTTTGTAAAGATAGGGTCTTGCTGTGTTGCTCAGGCTGGTCTCAAACTCCTGGGCTCAAGTGATCCTCCTTCCTTGGCCTCCCAAAGTGCTGGGATTACAGGAGTAAGCTACCATGCCAGCCCTTGAATAGTGTCTTTTGATGCTCAAAATTTTGCAGTTTTCATAAAGTCCAACTTGTCTACTCTTTTTTTTTTTTTTTTGCTTGTACCTTTGTTTTCATATCCATGAAATCATTGTCAAACCCAATGTCATGAAGCTTTTGCCCTGTTTTCTTCTAAGAGTTTTATAGTTTTAGTTTTTACTTTCAAGTCATGGATTCATTTTGAGTTAACTTTTGTATATGGTGTTAGGTAAGGTCCAAATTCATTCTTTTGCATATGGATGTTTGCTTTTTCTAGCAGTATTTGTTAAAAAGATTGTCTTTTCCCTAAAGTATCTTGATGCCCTTGTCAAAAATCATTTATCTGTGTCGTCAAGGTTTATTCCTGGGCTCTCTATTTGATTCCATTGGTCTGTATGTCTGTCTTTATGCCAGTAACACATTGATTTGAATATGGTAGCTTTGTGGTAAGTTTTGAAGTGTGAGCTCTCCAGCTTTATTCTTCTGGTTTCTTTGTTTGGCCACCAGGATCCCTTGAGATCCATGTAAAATCTCAAGGTGGAGTTTTCTATTTCTGCAAAATAAAATAAAATAAAAAGTCATTGGGGTTTATGATAGGGGTTCCATTGAATCTATAGATCACTTTGGGTAGTTTTGACATTTTAACAAGTCTTTCCGATCCATGAACATGGGAAATGTTTTCATTTATTTATGTCTTTTTTTGTCTTTTTTAGTTTCTTTCAATAATATTTTTGTGTGTGTGTGACAGGGATCTCACTCTGTTGCTGAGGCTGGACTGCAGTGGCGGGATCACAGCTCACTGCACCCTCGACCACCTGGGCTCAAGTGAATCCCCCACTTCAGCCTCCTGAGTAGCTGGGCCTACAGGCATGTGTCACTATACCCACCTAATTTTTAAATTTTTTGTAGCAACACGGTCTCATCATCTTGCCTAGGGTGGTCCGGAACTCCTGGGCTCGGGCAGTCTCCCACCTCGGCCTCTCAGAGTGCTGGTATTACAGGCATGAGCCACTGCGCCCAGCCCATGTTTTCTATTAGAGTCAGGGCTGAGGGACAGTTTTTTTCCTGTTGCCGCTTTTGTGATGCCTTCAATGCTTGTTTCTAAGCTCCTAGGGTGCCTCTCTGAGCCATGCAGCCTGGGTCATCCATGCCCACTGGCCCCCCTGAGGCATGGCCCTGGAGAAGGGCCCCCCATCATGGCTGTCTGTCTCTCCGCAGTGACCCATCTGGTGAGGGGACACTCAGTGTGAAGGTCCCGGACTCCATCACCAGCTGGGTGGGTGAGGCCGTGGCCCTGTCCACCTCTCAGGGCTTAGGCATCGCCGAGCCCTCCCTGCTGAAGACCTTCAAGCCCTTCTTCGTGGACTTCATGCTCCCCGCTCTCATCATCCGTGGGGAGCAGGTCAAGATCCCGCTCAGTGTCTACAACTACATGGGCACCTGCGCTGAGGTACTCAGCCCCCCAAATACATAGCCTTCCTCCATTCAGTGGGGAGTTGGGACTGCATTGGTGCTATAAGGTAGGCAGGGGTGGGACAGTGTCAGCTTGGGGGATTTAGGAGGGCGAGAGCCTCTATGATGTTGAGGAGGCAGGGATGGGTGGGCTCAGCCTGGGGGGCTTTGGGGAGGATGCGTCATCTGTGCTGTCAGGGAGGCAGGAGTGGGATGAGATCAGCCTCTGATTCACCAACCGTCAAAGCCGGGTGAGGAGGAGGTGGGGACGCATGTGTGTGAGTGAGAGGGACTTGGTGTAAGTGGAGCTGTTGTCCCTGACTCCCTGGCCTAGCAAGGGCGTGCCTGGACTGGTATCATATATGATAGCATGGAGCTTTCTCTGTAAAGGGCCAGATAGGAAATATTTCTGTCTTTGCCAGCCACACAATCCCTGTGGCAGCGACTCAACTCAGCCCTTATAGCATAAAAGCAACCTAGATGATCTCTTACCTGAATAGATATGGCTGTGTTCCAATAAAACTTGATTTCTAGACACTGAAATCCGAACTCCATAGAATTTTCACCTGTCACAAAATAATCATTCTTCTTTTAATTTTTTTTCCTCCTAACCATTTGAAAAAGATGAAAACCATCTTTAGCTTGTGGGCCCAAAAGACAGGTGGTGGATCCGGTTTGGCCTATGGGTCTTAATTCACAGGCTCCCCACAAAGTACCAGGAAATCCTGGTGGTGAACAGAGAGGGTGCTTGGGATCCCGGTTTATACTCATAGAGCTGCTGATCTTGGGCACGTTATTCAATCTGTTGGTGTGTCGGAGCCTCGCTGGGCGTTAAAGGGTTAAATGAGTTAGTCTCAGTAGACACTGAGAACATTAAGCAGGGCTGTTTTTCGATGATATTATTGGGGTTCCAGTGTCTGCCAGAGGTGTGCAGTGAAGGCCAAAGCTCTCTCTTGGAGGCGGCAGGAAAGGCTGCTGTCCTAGTCTCCTTGGGCTAGTAAGGTAGCCCAAACCAGGTGGCTTAAAACAACAGAAATGTATTGTCCCACAGTTCACGAGAAGAAGTGTGAAGGCAAGGTGTCATCAGGGCTGGTCCCTTTTGGAGGCCCTGAGGGAGAATCTGTCTATGCCTTTCTTTCTCTCTCTTTCTCTTTTTTTTTTTTTTTTTTTTTTCGAGACAGGGTCTTACTCTATCACCCAGGCTGGAGCGCACTGGTACAATCACAGCTCACTGCAGCCTTGACCTCCTGGGCTCAAGCAATCCCCCCTCCTCAGCCTCTCAAGTAGATGGGACTACAGGTGTGCACCACCATGCCTGGCTAATTATTTTATTTTATTTTCGTAGAGATGGCATCTCCATATGTTGCTCAGGCTGGTCTTGAACTCCTGGCCTCAAGTGACCCTCCCACTTCGGCCTGCCAGAGTGCTGGGATTACAGGCATGAGCCACTGCATTTGGCCCCTCTCTCCCTGTCTCTTGGCTTCTGGTGGCTTGTGCCAGTATCAGAAGATCCCGTCATGCAGGATGTGAGATCCAAGCTCAACCTTGGAGCGAAGTGGTTTGTGTTTAGATCCCACTCACTCAGTTTTGGTGGGGCATGTACTTCTGCAGCTGGTGCTGGACTGACAATTTTACCTGCATTATTATTTATTTATTTATTTATTTATTTGAGATAGGATCTCGCTCTGTCACCCAGGCTGGAGTGCAGTGGCGTGATCTTGGCTCACTGCAACCTCCGCCTCCCGGGTTCAAGCGATTCTCCTGCCTCAGCCTCCTGAGTAGCTGGGATTACAGGCGCCCGCCACCACGCCTAGCTAATTTTTGTATTTTTAGTAGAGACGGGGTTTCACTATGTTGGCCAGGCTGGTCTCGAACTCCTGACCTTAAGCCATCTGCCTGCCGTGGCCTCCCAAAATGCTGGGATTACAGGCATGAGCCACCACGCCTGGCCACCTTCATCATTTTATCAAGCTCCTGTGTGGGCCAAGGAAGAAGGGTCTGTGATGGAATCATTCACCATTAGGAAGCTCAAAGAAGCATTGTCATGGGTTCAGGGGCCTCCAGGGAGTGAGTGGTGGAGCTGTGTGTTAGAATCAATGTCTACGGGTGCCGGGACAGCCCAGAAAAGGGGAAGTCCCCCTGAACCTGAGAGTCTGCAGGTGATGTTTGAGTCAGGCATCGGGGCGGGAAGGGCATTCGCAAAGAGGGAACAGCATGTACAAGCAACAGAAGCAGGAGGCAGCTTGACCTTTCCTGGGTCCTGCCTCAGACATAGTTTGGCTTGGCTTTGGGGTCTGGTCAGGGAAGATGGAAAAGCAGGTGAGGAGCAAGAGGACGAGGAGGTCAGAGGCTCCTGCCATTGTCTAGGCAAGAGGCAAGGAGGCAGGAAGCAACCAAGGCAGCGGTCACAGGGTGGCTTCGGTGAGGAGTAAATGGGAGATGTTAGACTCAGAATGGCCAGGTAGTGGTGCCCAGAATCCTAGCTTCAGTCCCAACCTTTACAATCCATCCTTTACCGTTCTTTTTATATGGATTATGGTTGGGAGGAATAGGATCTCGGTTTCCAAAAGAAAGCATACACACAGACTATGCCCTGACCTGTAGGTTGGCCCCTAAAGGGAGGTTTCCCTCTGAAACCTGTGAGCAGAATCCCCAGATGTCCGGCTTGGCTCTGAGCGCATGCTGGTGTCTAGCTTTTCCAGCAGGAAGAAGGAAGTCCTGCTGGGCAGTGTATGTGCTTAAGGACCACCCCAGCTTGTATGACCATCCCCAAGACAGAGAAAACATACCCATTCAGACCCTCCAGTGGGGAGCGCTGGTCATTTCACTCAGGACCTGGAAAATGGCTCATTGACACTGTTGAGTTTCTTTCTTTCTCCTTCCTTCCTCCCTTCCTTCCTCCCTCCCTCCCCCCCTCCCGTCCTTCCTTCCTTCTTTCTTTCTTTTCTTTCTTTCTTTTCTTTTCTCTCTCTTTCTTTCTTTTCTTTCTCCCTTCCCTTCCCCTCCCCCTCCCCTCCCCCCTCTGCTCCTCTCCCCTCCACTCCCCTTCCTTTCCCTTCCCTTCCCTTCCCTTCCCTTCCCTTCCCTTCCCTTCCCTTTCCTTTCCCTCCCTTCCCTTCTCTTCCCTTCTCCTCCCTTCCCTTCCCTTCCCCTCTCTTCCCCTCTCTTCCCCTCCCTTCCCCTCCTTTCCCGTCTTTTCTCCTCCTTACCCCTTCTTTCCTTTTCTTCTTCTTTTGATGGAGTCTCGCTCTGTTGCCCAGGCTGGAGTGCAGTGGTGTGATCTTGGCTTACTGCAACCTCCACCTCCTAGGTTCAAGGATTCCTCTGCCTCAGCCTCCTGAGTAGCTGGGATTACAGGTGCCCAGCACTACGCCTGGTCTTTAGTAGAGATGGGGTTTCCTCATGTTGGCCAAGCTGGTGTCAAACTCCTGACCTCAGGTGATCTGCCTGCCTCAGCCTCCCAAAGTGCTGGGATTACAGGTGTGAGCCACCGCACCCAGCCTCTTTCTTTCTTCCTGGGAAAATGCTACCTTGAGGGGGATGTGGGGATTCCTGATGTGCACCCTGCAGCAGCCATTGGCTCTCAGATCTAGCTGGGCCTTTCCTTTGTCAGGATTCAGGACTCTATCATGTATGCCACTTCACATTTTCCCCGCATGCTTCTCTCCACATCACACCTGCAGCCTCTGTGCCAGTCCTTGGGTGGGACAACATTCTGAGGCTCAGCAATCACTCATGTCTTGATCAGCCATTTCTTTAATTCCTAGCGGGGCACCCAGTAGGTGCTCCATATATGCTGGTTGGACAAATGGATGTGGAGCAAAGATTTCCTCTTAGATGGAGGGGTTGCAAACGTGCTTGCATATGCACCCACAATGCACATGCACACACCCTGCAAAATGCACACACATGCACACAGAGACCAGTATGTGTGAGCATGCACATGATGCACCCACACAAGTCATCATGGTATACATATGCACATGTACATGCATGATACATGTATACACATGCCATACTTGCACATCCATGCACAGACATGCACATGGAGTCCCATGGGTGCATCCATAGCACCTCTGTACCCATATAGGCACACACATGCATGCAGAAACTAGCATGCCCATACACACACACACGAATGCATATCCACATGCCTTCACCCGGTAGATGCACATGTGTGTACATGCATGCATGCACATGTGTATGCAGTCTGTGCTTGCATCCATGCACACAAGTGTGCACCCAGGGGACACATGCATTCACAGCACACACATGCACATGAATAAACACACACGTGCACACACAGAGCTGTACTCTGACATCATGGAGCTGCACGGTTGGAAAGAGGGTCAGGAGAGGCACTCTGTGGACCTGCTGTGGGAGAGGTTACATCCATCTGGAGTCCCGGAGTGGATGGACATGCAGGAGAGGCAGCCCTGGCTGGAACTGGCAGCTTCAGTCCATGGGAGATCTGGACCTGTGAGGATACGGAGGGCTGTGGGGAGGAGAGGTCTCACAGCAAGACAGATGGGCATGAGAAGGCCAAGTGGGGCACCAGACAGCAGAGGGTAGTTTGTTCTGATCGGAAATGGAAAGGGGACCTTCCCGGGGGGAGCATGGCTCTTTGGGAGGCTGACAAGTCTGGTGTGTGCAGTGAGTGGTGGGATGTGTGTTGGGCCTCCAGGCACTGGGAGGGGGTCTGGATTCCAGGCGCCATGAGCCAATGCCACCCTCTGCAGGTGTACATGAAGCTCTCGGTTCCCAAGGGCATCCAGTTTGTTGGGCATCCTGGCAAACGCCATGTGACCAAGAAGATGTGTGTGGCCCCCGGGGAGGCTGAGCCCATCTGGGTCGTTCTGTCCTTCAGCGACCTGGGACTCAACAACATCACGGGTGAGGACCCCACAGTTCTTGGGGTGTCCCCCCTCTCCAGGCCACAAAAGTGTCCTGGCATTGACCCGAGTTGGGGATGAGGGGTGGATGGGGCAGCAGGTAAGGTCAGGACTGTCCCAAGGAAAATGGGACAGCAACTGGGGCAAGCAGGACAGAAGGAATGGGCCCAGGAGGAGTGGGGAGGCAAGCCCTGGGGTCTCACCTGTTGGGGGAGCTGGGCTCTTAAGGTGCCAACCCAGTGTAGCACACACACATGCAGACATGCATACACACACAAATCCACACACACGCCCACATGTGTAGACATGCACACACACAAATCCACACACACACGTCCACATGTGTAGACATGCATACACACACCACAAATCCACACACACACCCACGTGTAGACATGCATATACACACACACAAATCCACACACATGTCCCCATGTGTAGACATGCATACACACACCACAAATCCACACACACACGCCCACGTGTAGACGTGCATATACACACACACAAATCCACACACACGCCCACATGTGTAGACATGCATTCACACACACACACAAATCCACACACACATGCCCACATGTGTAGACATGCATACACACAGATCCACACACATGCCCACATGTGTAGACATGCATTCACACACACAAATCCACACACATGCCCACATGTGTAGACATGCATATACACACACACAAATCCACACACACACACCCCCACGTGTAGACATACATACATATACAAACAAATCCACACACGCACATGCCTGCATGTGTAGACATGCATCACACACACGAATCCACACACACACATGCCCACATGTGTAGACATGCATCACACACAAATCCACACACACAGACACATGCCTGCACATGCAGACATGCACACACACACACAAATCATACACACACACATGCCCACATGTGCAGATATGCATTGCACACACGAACCTGTACAAACACATGCACACACATACACACATGCATATACACATACAAACTTGTACACACAAACATGGAAAAATGCACACACATGCATATACACACAAACACACGTACAGATACACACATGCATATGCACACACATATTTGTACACACACAAATGCACACACAAACTCGTGCACACAAATGCACACACGTGCATATGCACAAACTCGTACACACAAACACATGTACAAGTGCATGCATATGCACACATGAGCCTGTACATTCAAACACATGCATACATGTGCAGACATACACACTTGCATGCATGCACACATCTGCATATACACACACACATGCACACACACACACATGCATGCATGCACACACATCTGGGATAAGGATAGGGATGGGACAGCCCCCATCTTGGGTGGAGACCTGTTCTGAGACCAAGACATCAAATTTCTGCAGCCAAAGCCCTTGCTTACGGAGACACAAATTGCTGCCGGGATGGGAGGTCCAGCAAACACCCTGAGGAGAATCACGCCGACAGGAGGGTCCCCATCGGGGTGGATCACGTCAGGCGCAGTGTGATGGTTGAGGTAAGGCCGTGTCCTCATCTCTGGTGCTTAGCCAGGGCCTCATTCCTTCAGCCATGAAGCTGGGCCCAGCTGGAGTGTGTGGTCTGAGGCTGAGCCAGGGCCTGGGCAGCCTTCACGGGTTGTGCTTGAGAGCTCAGGTGCCTGGACTTTCGGGTACTTCCTTGTTAGAGGATCATGGTAGTCCGTTCCCTCCCTAAAGCGCAGAGTGGGCTTCGGTAAAGCAGCTTGGGACTCTTCAGGGGCTGCAGCAAGTGCTCCCTGACCCCTGGGTGAACTATTTAGGAAGACCATGTCCCTCATCTCGTGCTTGTCATAGGCATTTATGGGGACCATGACTCAGCATTTGGGGCATTGTCATTGGATGGCCTGTGTAGGAAGGACACAGAGCTGCAGGGGGCAGAGGCAGGCGCCAGGATCTTGCAGACCCCCAGCTATGAATCCAGGATTGGCCACTTACCCATGATCTCGGGAAGCATCCTGGCTTTCCAGCCCCGCTCTGTAAGACGAGGGGCTCACCTTCATAAGATGGGGTGGGAAGCCAGAGATGACACACAGATGTCTCAGGGCTGAGCATGCAGCAGCCACCATGCCTCATCTTTTCTTGGCTGCTTGGACACATCAGAGCCCTACTGAGGCTCCATTTGGTGCCGCACCAACAGCCCCTAACAGCAGCCCGAAGGGACTCACATTCCCCAGAGGCCCAGCTGCAAACAGCTGCTCTCCCTCCCTGCTGGGATCCTGCTGGCCCTGAACACAAGTGGCTTCTGTCAGCACCAGGAGTCATGTGCCCACTGGGCAGAACTCCGGAGCGGTGACAGTGGACAGGTCACCGCTGTAGTGTCGTTGATGTGATGTGATGGATTCCTTGGGGACAAGAGTGCTGTCAGGTGGGGACCGAGATCTCTGTGAGCCAGCAGGGTGGGAGGGTCCAGATGGGGAAATGCAGAGACCCCCAGTCACCCTTTGCCCAGCCAGGGCATCCTCCCTGGGCCACAGCCTGCCCTCCTAAGGCCCAAGAAGGAGGCAGCGAGCCCCTCCGAGCTGCAGAACCTGGAGGCCTGGCGTTCTTGCCTCCTCCCCTTACAGAAGGGATTTCTCAATGCACACAGGGGGACTCTTGAGGGTCTCCTTCCCTGGAGCCTTTCCTCCCATCCATGCCGCAGAACTGTCTCTGCACCTGCAGTATCCACTTGTCCGGCTTCCTGGAGGCAGCTCTGGGGAAAGATACAGGCATCAGAAGACTTGAAATGTTGATGCAAAAGATGAAGCTACAATTAGAAAAGCAATTTATGAAACAAGAGGCACCAGGATGTGTGGCTTGATAAAGCAGCAAAATGCTCCTCCTACCTCTTCCCACCGGAGGACTGTGGGCGCCACCAGCTGAGATGGACTTAGGAGCAGGAAGCTGAATACGATGCATGGGCCGGTGGGGAATCATCATCTGTGCACGGCCCATCATGGGCACTGTACCAGGGTGGGGATGGCTTGGCAGGTGCAGGGAGTACGGACACCGCTCTGCCTTGCTCCCCTGCTGGCCTGCAAGGGGACTAAGATCCTCTATATCTGCTGGGAGGCTGAGAGTGTTCAATCATCTCCACGTGAATTTCACTTCAGTGAAATTCCAAGGAGCAAAGAGGAGGCAGAAATAATTCGGGCCTCACTGGAGTGATAGGAGGGCTGGCCAGCCAGGGAGTGGGCTCTGGAGTGAGAGCCCCAGATTCGGATGGAAGCGTTGGATGGTTAAATGAGAGTGTTGGTGGAAAGCCTCTCATGGTATCTGGCCTGTCTACTAAAGACCCACGTGCTGTTGTCACACAGGCATTTATAACAGTCAACTGGGGAATCCCAAACCAAAGTCAGGGATACACTTTCTATTTTAGGAAATGTCCATCAGCTGATGAATTAGAGAAATGAATGTGGGTCAATGAAATGCAATTCCTCAATGCAATGGAATATTATTCAGCTGTGAAATGGAGTGAAGGGCTGGGTGTGGTGGCTCACACCTGTAATCCTTGTGCTTTGGGAGGCTGAGGCAGGAGGATGGCTTGAGGCCAGAAGTTGGAGGCTGCAGTGAGCTATGATTATGCCACTATACTCAGCCTGGAAAACAGAGCCAGACCCTGTCTAAATGAATGAATGAATGAATAAATAAATAAATAAATAAAGCACTGATCCATGCTACAACGTGGATAAACCTAGAAAACGTGATACCGAGTGAAAGAAGACAGACACAGGCCGGGCACGGTGGCTCACGCCTATAGTCCCAGCACTTTGGGAGGCCAAGGTGGGCAGACCACCTGAAGTCAAGAGTTTGAGACCAGCCTGGGCAACATGGCAAAACCCTGTCCCTACTAAAAATACAAAAATTAGCTGGGCGTGGTGGCACACACCTGTAGTCCCAGCTCCTCAGGAGGCTGAGGAGGGAGGATTGCTTGAGTCCAGGAGGTGAGAGTTACAGTAAGCAACAGAGGGACTCTTGCAACACTGCACTCTAGCCTGGGTGAGAGAGCCAGACCCTGTCTCAAAAAAAAAAAAAAGAAAAAAGAAAAAAGAAAAAAGTCAAACACAAAAGGCCACATGGTGTATGATTCAATTTATATGAAATGCCCAGAACAGGCAAATCCAGAGAGGCCGAAAGGAGTGAAGCACAGATCTGTACTACAAGGCTTTAGAAATGCCCAGCCGGAGCTACTATTCGTGCATCATGCAGGCTCCGTGTTCTGAGATCTGGCCCCAAGCCAGAAAGAGCACAGAGACAAAGGAGGTTGGAACCAGGATGGACAAGTGCAGCCCGAGATGGGCTAACACTCAAGGAGCAAACCCAAGCCACGGCAGAGGGGCAGAGTGGAAGAGATGGGCATCATTGAGGAAGCCAGCTGTGGGGTCCTCTGTGAGCTGAGTCAGCAGAGGTTTCTTGGGACCCAGAAACCATGAGGGGCCCCTGGATTTGTGCCCAGGGCCCCAGCCAATGGTCAGCCAGAGGCACAGTGCATCCTTGTTGTATTAGTTCGTTCTTACATTGCTATAAAGAAATACCTGAGACTGGGTTATTTATTTATTAGTTTATTTATATTATTACTAGTTTTGGGGATGGAGTCTCACTCTGTCGCCCAGGCTGGAGTGCAGTGGTGCAATCTCAGCTCACTGCAACCTCCACCTCCCAGGTTCCAGTGATTCTTCTTTCTCAGCCTCCTGAGTAGCGGGGACTACAGGCATGCACCACCACACCTGGCTAATTTTTGTATTTTTAGTAGAGACGGGGTTTCACCATGTTGGCCAGGTTGGTCTTGAACGCCTGACCTCAGGTGACCCGCCCGCCTCGGTCTCCCAAAGTGCTGGGATTACAGGCATGAGCCACTGTGCCCGACCATGACTGGATAATTAGTAAAGAAAAGAGGTTTAATTGGCTCACAGCTCTGTAGGCTGTACAGGAAGCATGGCTGGGGAGGCCTCAGGAAACTTACAATCATGGCAGGAGGTGAAGGAGAAGCAGGCGTGTCTTACATGGCTGGAGCAGGAGGAGGAGGGAAGGGGAGGTGCTTCACAGTTTTGTTGTTGTTGTTCTTGTTGTTGTTTTGAGATGGAGTCTCGCTCTGTCGCCACGCTGGAGTGCAATGGCATGATCTCAGCTCATTGCAACCTCCAGCCTCCTTGTTCAAGCGAGTCTCCTGCCTCAGCCTCCCGAATAGCTGGGATTGCAGGCACCTGCCACCATGCCCGGATAATTTTTATATTTTTAGTAGAGGCAGGGTTTCACCATGTTGGCCAGGCTGGTCTCAATCTCTTGACCTCGTGATCCACTCACCTCGGCCTCCCAAAGTGCTGGGATTACAGGCGTGAGCCACCGTGCCCAGCCGCTTCACAGTTTCAAACAACCAGATCTCATGAGAACTCACCCATTATCACGAGAACAGCAAGGGGGAAATCCGCCCCCATGATCCAATCACCTTCCACCAGGCCCCTCTTCCAACATTGAGGATTACAATTCAACATGAGATTTGGGTGGGAACACAAATCCAAACCATATCACTCACCACCAACAGAATGGATCTGGTTCTGTCTCTATGGATTTGCCCACGGGACATTTTGTATCAATGGAATCATACAACATGTGGCCTTTTGAGTCTGGCTTCTCTCACTCAGCACAATGTGTTCAGGGTTCATCCACGGTGCAGCATAGATACGTGCTTGCTTCTATGGCTCAATCATATTCCACTGGATGGATGAACCACATTTTCTTTATCTGTTCACCTATGGTGGACATTTAGGTTATGCACAATTTTTAGGATTATGTAGCTGTTAAAAAGCTACCATGAGGCCAGGCACAGTGGCTCATGCCTGTAATCCCAGCACTTTGGGAGGCCAAGGCAGGTGGATCACCTGAGGCCAGGAGTTCGAGACCAGCCTGGCCAACATGGTGAAACCCCGTCTCTACTAAACTATACAAAAAATTAGCCAGGTGTGGTGGCAGGCACCTGTAATCCCAGCTACTTGGGAGGCTGAGACAGGAGAATTGCTTGAACCTGGGAGGCAGAGGTTGCAGTGAGCTGAGACTGCGCCACTGGACTCCAGCCTGGGCGACAGAGCGAGATTCCATCTCAAAAACAAAAAACAAAAAACTACCGTGGGTTACAATGGCCTAGCCCTGCCCATTGCTCCAAATCCCTTTCCCGACAAGGGGCCAGGCAGGTAGATGGGGGGTTACTGAGGCCTAAGCAATGCTTCTGGGGCCTTCCCTGGTGCCCCCTAGCTTAGCAAATGACCCGTGGGTGCCACATCGGGCCTAGCAGGTGTGAGATGAAATCCTGGCAGGTGGACGGCTCGATGTAGCCTGAGATGGTGTCCTCAGCCTCTCAGCACCAACCCTGGGAACTTTACTAGGAAGTGGATGTGAGTGGGGACAAGCATCTCCTGGACTCATCAGTATAGACACATGACAATTTCAAGGAGAGCTTTGTAATGAAAGTAGGTAAGGATGAGAAAATATAACAAGAACTGACTGTCAGTAGCACTGAGAAGACTCCAGACCCTTTCTGAAGCATGATAACCCCGTCACAAGGTGAAGTTGGGGGTCTTTAACCCCCATCTTAGAGATGAAGAAATGGGGGCCCAGAGAGGTTGAGTGAGTGGCCCTAAGCCAGTCAGCAGGAATGGTTGTATTAGGATTCACCAGAGAAACAGAAATCCGCACCCCCTACATACATAGAATGAGATTTGTTATATAAACACACTCCCACACATACATCTGTAGGATAGGTTTATCATAAGGTACTGGCTCATGCGCTTATGGAAGCCGAGAAGTTTACAAGCTGCCCTCTGCAAGATAGAGACCCAGGAGGCCGGGCGTGGTGGCTCACGCCTGTAATCCTAGCACTTTGGGAGGCTGAGGCAGGCAGATCACCTGAGGTCAGGAGTTCGAGACTAGCCTGGCCAACATAGTGAAACCCTGTCTCTACTAAAAGTACAAAAATTAGCTGGGCCTGGTGGTGGTGCCTGTAATCCCTGCTACTCAGGAGGCTGAGGCAGGAAGATCATTTGAACTCAGGAGGCGGAGGTTGTAGTGAACCGAGATCGCGCCATTGCACTCCAGCCTGGGCAACAGAGTGAGACTCCATCTAAAAAAAAACAAAAACAAAAACAAAAAAAACCCAAAACAACAACAACAACAACAAAAAAGCTAAAGACCCAGTAAAGCCAGTGGTGTAGCTGGAAGGCCTGAGAGCTGGAGAACCAATGGTGTAGATTCCAGCCCAGGTCTGAAGGCCTGGGAACCAGGAGCAGGAGAAGATCAATGTCCCAGCTCAAGCAGTTGGGCAGAGAGTGGAACCAATCTTCCTCTGTCTTGTTCTATCAGGAGACGTTTAACAGCTTGGATGGTGCCCACTCACATTGGAGAGGGCCGTGTGCCCTACTCAGTCCTCCAACACCAATGCTGATCTCTTGCAGAAGCACTTCCTGGACGCGCCCAGATAGAGTGTTTAACCAGCTACCTGGGCATCCTGGAGCCCAGTCCAGTTGACACCTAAAATTGACCATCCTAGGCTGGGCACGGTGTCTCATGCCTGTAATCCCAGCACTTTCGGAGGCCGAGGCAGGCGGATCGCTTGAGGTCAGGAGCTTGAGACTAGCCTGGCCAACATGGCAAAATCCCATCTCCACTAAAAATATAAAAAATTAGCTTGGCGTGGTGGCATGTGCCTGTAGTCCCAGCTACTTGGGAGGCTGAGGCATGAGACTTGCTTAAACCCAGGAGGCAGAAGTTTCAATGAGCTGAGATCACTCACACCACTGCACTCCAGCCTGGGCGACAGAGTGAGACTCTGTCCATAGATAGATAGATAGATACATAGATAGATAGATAAATAAATAAATAAATAAATAAATAAATAAATAAATAAAATTGACCATCCTAATGGGGAAAGGGGCTGCCAGGCCTTCTGGTTGCAGCTGCCCCATGTTAACCCTTTGAGGTCTGATCCAAGGGCCCCCACAGGGGCCGTGTTGGTCAGACCAAGCTCCGCAAGGTATAGGGGGTTAAATTCTGGGCATCCCTTTTTAAGAGACTGAGACAGCTGCCTTCTGGTATTTGGGGTCATCCATAGAAGAAGCAGAAATGAGAACCCAGATGGAAGAGACAGGAGACAAGAGATGTGGTAGACAGACAGTGGGACGGAGACTCGTCCTTGGCAGATGCAGGAGCCCCTCTCACAGTGCTCACGGATGTCAAATGAGGCCTCAGAACCTGGCTTATTTGTCCTCATGATGTCCTCTGCCCAGAGGGAGATGGGAGGAAGAGGGTGGCTGGGAGGGTAGGGTAGGGATGTGGGCCCCATGACAAGTTTAGAAGCAGTTGGTGAGTTCCTTTTGGCCAGCAAGGGGGAGCAGCCTCAGTTTCCCCATTGGAGCCTGGGAAGTGGGTGGCCCTGTCCTGCTCCACGCACCTGTGATCTTGGTGTGACCGTGCTGATACCACGTAAAACCTGGAAGCACAATTATGTGGTCTGGACTTGAAGTCATTGCTGTGGGAGAGCCAGCTGCTCCGCTGAGCTGACCATCCCCCTCACCGCCCCAGCACTCAGTTCTCCTTGTTTCTTTGTTTCAGGCGGAAGGAGTCCCCCGGGCGTACACCTACAGCGCATTCTTCTGTCCCAGTGGTGAGTCCCCCGTGCCCATTCTGCTAAGGTGTGGCCACCTGGCTGGGTCAGGACTTTGGCCTTCCCCCTTTCCCACACTGTGGGGGCTGTCCCGCTGCAAAGTGAGCACCTGCCCTTCCCCTGGGAAGGGGGCACTGTGGTTTAGGAAGAACGATGTCCCAGCTGGGGACAGGCAGAGCCAGTGAGGGTGGGGCATGAATGAATGAATACACAGGGAATGAATACTCAGGGAATGAATACACAGGGAATACGCAGGGAATGAATACACAGGAATGTGCACTGCAGGCACCAAGCAAGAAGGTTAGGCTGCCCGGGCACGGTGGCTCACACCTGTAATCCCAGCACTTTGGGATCCTGAGGAAGGTGGATCATTTGAAGTCAGGAGTTTGAGACCAGCCTGGCCAACGTGGTGAAACTTATCAATACTAAAAGTACAAAGTTGGCCGGGCGCGGTAGGCTCACGCCTATAATCCCAGCACTCTGGGAGGCCGAGGCGGGTGGATCACAAGGTTAGGAGTTTGAGACCAAGCCTGACCAACATGGTGAAACCCCATCTCTACTAAAAATACAAAAAATTAGCTGGTCGTGGTGGCACGCACCTGTAATCCCAGCTGCTCAGGAGGCTGAGGCAGGAGAATCACTTGAACCGGGGAGGCGGAGGTTGCAGTGAGCCGAGATCACGCCATTGCACTCCAGCCTGGGTGACAGAGCGAGACTCCAACTCAAAAAAAAAAAAAAAAAAAAGTATGAAGTTAGCCAGGTGTGGTTGTGTGTGCCTGTAATCCCAGCTACTTGGGAGGTTGAGACAGCAGAATCTCTTGAACCCAAGAGGTGGAGGTTGCAGTGAGCCAAGTTTGCATCACAGCACTCCAGCCTGGGTGACAGAGTGAGACTCCGTCTCAAAACAACAACAACAACACATGAGGCTGGACCTAAAGATCACACCTTACACGAGAATGAACCCTAAATGGATCATGGACTTAAACGTAAAACCATAGTGCTTTTAGAAAAAAACACAGGACAGCCTGGGCAACATGGTGAAATCCCATCTCTACAAAAAATTAAACAAACAAGCAAACAAGCAAACAAAAACTTAGCCAGACGTGGTGGTGCACGCCTGTAGTCCCAGCTACTTGGGAGGTGGAGGTGGGAGGATTGCTTGAGCCCAGGAGGTGGAGGTTGTAGTGAGCCTTTATTGTACCACTACACTCCAGCCTGGTTGACAGAGAGAAACCCTGTCTCAAAAAAATGAAGTAAGGAAGGGAGGGAGGGATGGAGGGAGGGAAGGAAGAAAGGAAGGAAGGAGGAAGGAAGGAAGGAAGGAAGGAAGGCAGGAGGGAAGGAAGGAAGGGAGAAAGGAAAGAGGAAGGGAAGGAAAGGAAGGAAAAAAGGAAGGAAGGAAGGAAGGAGAAAGAAAAGAGGGAAAAAAAGATCTGCCACCTAGAGCCAAGCATATAGTTTTTAGACTTGAAAAGTACAATCTATAAAAGGAAACATTAATAAATAAACCTCTTCAAACTTTAAAAGTTTTTTTCTCCACAATAAACCCTGTTAAGGGAGGAACTACAGTCTACAGACTGGGAGAAAATACATTTGCAAACCTTATCAAATTACTGGTTTTTAGAATATATAATGAAGTCTCCAATTCAGTAGTGAATAAAACAAACCATCTAATTAAAAGTGGGCAAGGCCGACTGTGGTGGCTCACACCTGTAATCCCAGCACTTTGGGAGGCCGAGGCAGGTGGATCACTTGAGGTCAAGAGTTCGAGACCAGCCTGACCAGCACGGTGAAACTCCATCTCTACAAAAAATACAAAAAAAAATTAGCCAGGCATGGTGGCAGGTGCCTGTGGTCCCAGCTACTTAGGAGGCTGAGGCATGAGAATAGCTTGAACCTGGGAGGCAGAGGTTGCAGTGAGCCAAGATTGCGCCACTGCACTCCAGCCTGGGTGACAGAATGAGACTCCATCTCAACAACAACAACAAACAAACAAACAAAAAAGTGGGCAAAAGAAATAACCAGACATTTCACCAGAGGAGACATACAGATGGCAAATTGCACATAAAAAGATGCTCAACATCATTTATCATTAGGGAAATGCAAATTACAGCATAATGACATACCCCTACACACCACCTATAAGAATGGCTAAGATTAAAAATAGAGCTGGGCGCAGTGGCTCATGCCTATAATCCCAGCACTTTGAGAGGCCAAGGTGGGTGGAGAACTTGAGTCCAGGAGTTCAAGACCAGCCTGGCCAACATGATGAGACCCTGTCTCTACAAAAATACAAAATATTAGCTGGGCATGGTGGCTTGTGCCTGTAGTCCTAGCTACTTGGGAGGCTGAGGAGGGAGGATTGCTTGACCCTGAGAGGCTGAGGTGGCAGTGAACTGTGATGGCACCACCACACTCCAGCCTAGGCGACAGAGTGAGTTGCTATCTCAAAAAAAAAAAAAAATAGTGAACACTAAATGATGGCAAAGATGTGGAGAAAGTGGACCACTCAAACTTTGCTGGTGGAAATGTAAAATGGTACAGCCACCTTTGGTAGTTTTTAAAAACAGTTTGGTGGTTTCTTAAAAAACTGAGCATGCAACTACCCCACCACTCAGTAGTTGTACTCCTGAGTATTGATCTCAGAGAAACAAAGACTTATGTTCACACAAAAACTTGTACATAGATGTTCATATTAGCTTTATTTGTAGTAGCCCCAAACTGGAAACAGCCCGGATGTCCTTCAGCAGGTGAATGACTTAACAAACTGTGCATTCAAGCCTTGGAATACTACTCATTAATAAAAAGGACAAACTATTGATACATAAAACAACTTGGATGAATCTTGAATGAAGGGAATTGAGTGGGAAGAAAATCCCAAAAGATACATGAATTATTCCATTTATATTTTTGAAATGACAAAATTTTATAAATGGAGGTCATATTAGTGGTTGCCAGGGGTTAGGGAGAGGGAGAAGGAAGTAGGGGATGGATATGGTTATAAATGGGCAACGGTGAGAATCTCTGTGGTGTTGGGAATGTTTAGTACCTTGACTGTGGTAGTGGATTCGTGTACCTACATATGTGATAAAATTACATGGCACTCACATAAAAAGTACAAATAGAATTGGAGAAAGCTGAATAAGATTGATGGATTTTATCAATGTCAATATTCCTGATTGTGATTTTGCAAGATGTTACCATGGGGAGAGGGGGAAACGGGTACAGAGAGCTCTCTGAATTATTTATAACAATTGCATGTGATTATCTTAGCAAAACTTTAAGTTAAAAACATTTTTAAAAGCAATACATATGTACAAATACCATATGATTCCACTTATATGAGGCACTTAGAGTAGTCAAAATCATAGAGAAAGAAAGTAGAATGGTGTTTACAAGAGGCTGGGGGAGGAGGGAATAGGGAGCGAGTGCTTAATGTAATAATGGGTGCAGAGTTACAGTTTTACAGGATGAAAAGAGTTCTTGAAATGGGTGATGGTGGTGGTGGTTGCACAACATTGAGTGTACTTAATGCCATTGAACTCTACCCTGAAAAATGGTTAAGATGGTACATTTTATGTTATATATATTTTACCACAATTAAAACATTGTAAAATGAAAAGCAATACATGTGTATTGCAGAAATTTGGGAAGGTAGAAGGAAAAGCATCTCCTCTGGTTCACACCCAAAGAAGACTTCCTTTGACATTTTGTTGTATTTGCTTTCATAGGGTTGATTATTGTTTGTTTTAACATAGTTGTTACTTCACGCACTATGTAATTATATATGCTGCATTTTTCACTTAACACATTCTGAGCACTTTTTCTGGTTAGTATAAAGTCTTTATGAACAGCATTTCAAGACAGCCTCAGAATGTTTCATAATAACTGTTCCATAATTTAACCATTATGGAGCATTTTAGAACATGTTATGGAACATTTTGGAACATATTACTGGACTTTCTTATAGTACTTCTACTTTTTAATATTGTAATTAACACTTTTATGAACATATTTATATGAATAGTAAAGGCAATAATATTTTAAATATGTTTATTGAGGCATAATTGACATACAATAAATTACACACATTTTAAATGTGCAATTTGGTGAGTTTTAACATATATGTACGTCTGTGAAACCATTGTCACAACTAAGATAACAAACATTTCCTTCACCTCCCAAGAGTCATGCCCGTTTGTAATCTCTCACTCCTGTTTACTCCATCACTAGGGACCACTGAGCTGCTTTCTGTCTCTGTAGATTAGTTTGTATTTTCCAGAATGTTATATAAATGGAATCATGTCGTATGTATTCTTTTTGTCTGGTTTCTTTCAGGATAATAATTTTGAGATTCATCCATGGTGCATGTGTCAATAATTCAATCATTTTAAGGCTGAGTAGGATTCCATTGAATGGATATATCACAATGTATTCATCCATTCATCTGTTGATGAACTTTCAAGCTGTTTCCAGTTTGGGAGTATCTCAAATAAAGCTACTATTATCATTTGTGTCTTTTCTGGGTAACATGCTTTCCTTTCTCTTGGGTCAATAGCTAGGAATGAAAGAACAGAATCATATGGTTCGTGTATGTTTAACTTTTTAAGAAACTGCCAACCTGTTTTCTAAAGTGCTCAGGCCATTTTGTATTCCCACCTGCAGTATGTGAGAGTTCCATTTCCTCCCCATCCTCACCAACATTTAGTATTGTTAGTCTTTTTACTTTTAGCCATTCTAATAGATACCCAGTGACATCTCCCTGTGGTTTCAGCTTGCATTTCCATCATGACTGATGATCTTAAGCATATTTTCATTTGCCTGTTTGCTATGAGTATGTCTTTTTTTTTGTGGAAAAACGTCTGTTCCAATCTTTTAACCTGTTCAAAATTGAGTTGTACTTTTTTTATTGCATTTTGAGATTTGAAAATATATTCTGGATACAAGTTCTTTATCAGATAAATGCTTTGCAAAAATATTTCTCCCAGACCGTGGCTTACCTTTTCATTCATTCTCTTAATTATATCTTTTGAGAAGCAGAAGTTTTTTTATATTAATTAAGTGCAATTTATTATTTTTTCTTTTTATTCATTAATGCATTTGCTATATTTAAGAAATCTTTGCTAAACCCTGTTTTTTTTTTCTCAAAATTTTGTAGTTTTAAGTTTTACACTACAAAGTGGCCATGATTCATTTTGAGTTAATTTTGGATTACCATGCAAGATATGCATCAAAGTTTATGTTTCTGCATTTGGATAGCCAACTGTGCCAGCACCATTTATTGAAAAGATTATGTTGCCCAGGCTGGTCTTGAACTCCTGGCCTCAAGTGATCTTCCTGCCTCAGCCTCCCAAAATGCTGGGATTACAGGTGTGAGCCACTGTGCCAAGCCCTCTCTTGCTGTCTTTAGAACTATCTTTTTGTCCAACCACACTGGAAAAAAGGGAAAAGAAAAAGTAAAAGAAAAAAATGATATTTTTGTCTTTTGACAGTTTGACCATAATGTGCTGTGGAGAAGACCTTTTTGAATTATACCCATTTGGAGGTGTCTGAGCTTCCTGTATCTGGATGCCTAAATCTCTTATTAGACTTGGGAAGTTTTCAGCTATTATTTTGTTAAATAGGTTTTCTACCCCTTTTGTTTTTTCTTCACTTTCTGGGACACCAAAATTTTGAGTATTTGGTTACTTTATAGTGTCCCATTTGTCATGTTGGCTTTGTTCTTTCTTTTATCTTTATTTTTGTCTGATTGGGTTATTTTAAAAGATCTGTCTTCAAGTTCTGAAATTCTTTCTTCTACTTCATCTAGTTTATTATTGAAGCTTCCTATTTTGTATTTCATTTAATGAATTCTTCAGTTTCAGAATTTGTTTGGTTCCTTTTTGAATTGTTTTTCTGACTTCTTTGTATGGTTCTTACGTGTTCTCTTTTGTCTCACTGAGCTTCTTTTATATCATTACCATTACTATTTCTTGAGACAGGATCTCACTCTGTTGCCCAGGCTGGAGTGCAGTGGCACAATCATGGCTCACTGCAGCCTTGACCTCTTGGGCCCAGGTGATCCTCCCACCTCAGACCCCCAAGAAGCTAGGACTACAAGCACATGCCACCACGCCTGGCTAATTTTTTGCATTTTTGTTAGAGATGGGGTTTCGCCATGTTGCCCAGGCTGGTCTTGAATGCCTGGCCTCACCTGCCTTGACCCTCAAAGTATTGGAATTAGAGGTGTGAGCCACCACACTCAGCTAATGTCATTATTTTGAATTATTTTTCCAAAATTACATACATTTTTTTTTTTACTGGAATCTGTTGCTCAAGAATTATTGTGTTTCTTTGGTGATGTCACGTTTCCTTGCTTTTTCACGTTTCTTGTGTTCTTACAGTGATGTCTATACGTTTGGTGTTTGGTGTAACAGTCGCTTCTTCCAATCTTTTGAATTTGCTTTCATAGAGGAAGACTTTTTCCTGAAGATCTATCTGTGGTGTTGGTTGGGTACAGCATTTAGATTGATTCTGAATGTGTATAGTAGTGTAGTCTCCATATGATTTCTTTAGCTATAAACAGCATCAGTGGTGTCTGTGATTTCCTGAGTGGCTTAGGGTGCAGTTATTAGTGGAGGCTGTGATGAAGTTTTGCTGGGGATGGGGAAGCCAGATGGACCTGTCCTCAGGTCCCAGTGTTGGCAGCAGTGGGCAAAGCATGACTTCCTTGAGCACCAGGGCATTCTACACTGGTACCAGTGTTAGTGGGTCCAGGTGGGCCAACTCTTGGACTTCCAGGAAGCTAGCTTGAATGCCAGTAGTGGCAGCGGTGGACCAGGAACATGGATAGGTTCTTGAGCCCCTGGGCAGTGGGCTTGGCATGGGCACTGGCAGTAGCAGTGGTGAGATGACCCTCCGGCTCCCAAGCAATCTGCTCTGGTGTTGGTGGTGGCTGTGACAGGCTGGGTAGGCCAACCTCCTTGCCCACAGGTGGCATAGGCAGGTGTGTGCCAGCTGTGGTGTTAGTGGCACACATTAGGTTGGGTGAGCCTGACCTCAGATGCCTAGGAGGAGCGCTCAGGTGCCGGCTGTGGTGAACTAGGCTGGGAGTCTCAAGGCCCTTGGATGGCACCCTCAGGCACTTGCGGGGACAGAGCTGGGCTGGGCCGACCTATCTCAGGCTCCCTGGTGGTGTGTGCAGTTGCTGGCTATGGTAGGCAGGGGTGGGGTGATTCTTAGGTCTCTGGTGGAATGCTCGGGTTCAGCCTTGCTACTGGGGAGGGTGCAGTTGCTTCCAGTGACAGCAGCCATATGCAGTGGCTGGGGAGCATGAGCTTTGCTCATGCTTTGGCCCCTGGCTGCAGCATCCCATAGCGGCAGTTGCTGCAGGTTGGGGAGTTAGCCCTCGGGGCACGTGAAAGTGTGCAGCAGCTTCACTGCTGGGGGCAGTGAGGTCATTGCCAATGGCTTGGGCTTCATTCCTGGTGGCAGCAGCCAGCCTTGGTGGTGGCTGTGAGCAGGGAATGTAAGTGGGGCTCCAGAGATGTGAAGATGCAGGAGCTGTTTGGCCCCCAGGCAGAATGCAGCCTGGCAGTGGCTAGGATCTCGATACGGTGCCCTGCTGTAGCTGCTTAGGGCTCAAGGGTGTGTGAGACCCAGCCTTAGCCCCCTCTCTGGAACAGTATCTTTGCACAATCTCTGGGTATCTCCCTAGGCTAGTCTGTGGCCCACGAGGATCTAGGGGCTCTCCCATGGCTAGAGCTGCTAGAGTCCACGGTGGGAATGGGGACCACGGGGGTTCACTCACCCTTTCCTCACACTGGGGAGCTACTCCCGGCCCCCAGCTGATTCCCGCCAAGCACCATGTATTATTTCCATTTCCTTCTTCGCTTTAGGTGTTTCTTGTCACTTCTCTGTTGAATTCCAGTGTTCTTAGATGAACTAGTCAAAGTGTGATGATCTACTTGTTATTTTTGTTCGTCAAGGAGGCAAGTACCAGATGCCTCTAAGTAGCCCCTCTCCCCACATAATAATTGGTGCATTTATGTTTCCTGATACTCATATCACATTGTGGTGATTCCTGTCACTTTATGGTAAGTCTCAGTGTCAGAGAGTGTGAGTTTTCCAGTTGTGTTCTTTTTTTTTTCTTTTTTTTTTGAGATGGAGTTTCACTCTTGTCGCCGATGCTGGAGTGCAGTGGCACGATCTCAGCTCACTGAAACCTCCACCTCCTGGGTTCAAGTGATTCTCCCACCTCAGCCTCCTGAGTAGCCGGGATTACAGGCACCTACCCCCACGCCCGACTAATTTTTGTCTTTTTAGTAGAGACGGAGTTTCACCATGTGGGTCAGGTTGGTCTCAAACTCCTGATCTCAGGTGGTCCACCTGCCTCAGCCTCCCAGAGTGCTGGGTTCTTTACCAAAGTTGAGCTCTCCTAGGTCCTTTGCGTGTCTGTATAAATTTTGGAATCCAGTTAGCAATTTCTCCAAAAGAGCCTCCTGGGATTTTGACTGGGATTGCTTTGAATCTGTAGAACCATCTGGGGAAGAACTCTAATGTTCATGATAGTCCATGAACATGGTCTAGCTTTTGTTGATTTGGGTTTTCTTTTGTTTCTCTCTTCAGCCTTTTGCAATTTTCAACACCTTGCTCATCTTTGGTCAGATTTATCCCTGAGCATCTTATCTTTTTGTTTTTAGAGAGAGAATCTTGCTTGTTTTTTAGAGAGAGAGTCACCCAGGCTGGAATGCAATGGTGCAATCATGGCTCACTGCAGCCTTGAACTCCTGGGCTCAAGCGATCCTCCTGCCTTGGCCTCCCAAGTAGCTGGGGCAACAGATGCATGCCACTGTTAACTTAAAAACATTTTTGTAGAGATAAGAGTCTTGCTATGTTGCCCAGGCTGGTCTTGAACTCCTGGCCTCAAGTAGTCTTCCTGCCTCAGCCTCCTAAAGTGCTGGGATTACAGGTGTCAGCTACTCTGCCCAGTCCCATTTTATCTTTTGTGTGCCATTGCCAATGCCATTGTTAGGCCAACACCATTCCACCATGTGTGCCGAGTCACAGTGAGACCCACTCCTTGTGGTCCTGGTGCTCACCTCCAGGTACCATCAGGGAAAGTGGGATGCCTCCAGGTGCCCTCTCAACTCCCCATCTCCTTTCCTCCATCCAGAGAGAGTCCACATCTCCACCCCCAACAAGTATGAGTTCCAGTATGTGCAGCGGCCACTGCGCCTCACCCGCTTTGATGTGGCTGTGCGAGCTCACAATGATGCCCGTGTGGCCTTGTCTTCTGGGCCCCAGGACACAGCAGGCATGATCGAGATCGTCCTGGGGGGGCATCAGAACACCAGGTCATGGATCTCCACCAGCAAGATGGGAGAGCCCGTGGCCAGTGCACACACGGCCAAGATCCTCTCCTGGGATGAATTCAGAACATTCTGGATCAGCTGGCGTGGTGGCCTTATCCAGGTATACAGCAGAACTGCCTGGGGCTTGTGCAGAAGCCTCA
Source organism: Homo sapiens (assembly GCF_000001405.40). Taxonomy (NCBI): domain Eukaryota; kingdom Metazoa; phylum Chordata; class Mammalia; order Primates; family Hominidae; genus Homo; species Homo sapiens. Next base: position 16,928,901 of record NC_000019.10, on the reverse strand, counting down.
TGTTCCTCCAATACTAGCTGCTTCCTGTTTGGTGCCAGGCTTTGATCCAGGGTCAGGAGGAGCAAGGGAAACATGGAGCACCACCTCAAGTTGTTCTTAGTCTAGAGTCGCTTACCGAAAAAAAAAAAAAAACATGTAGCAAGAGCTGTGGCAGAGGAAGCACCCAAGGATCAGGGAGCAGAGAGAGGAGGTAGGGGAGAAAAGAAGAATGGACATGAGCAAGTGAAATGGGGGTTGGGGGGTGTTTTCTGGGCCAAGGAAAAAGAAGATATAGAAGCTAACACAGCTTCCCAACACAGGAAGCTAATACTGCTTCCTAGAGGAAGAACATAACCAAAGTAGGTTTTGAAGTATGAATAGGAGTTCGCTAGGCAAAATGGAAGCAGAGTAGGTTCTCTAGGCAGAGCAATAGCATGTGCAAAGGTCCAGAGGTTCCAAGGAGCCCAATGACTTTGGAACCTGTAGATGCCATGCCTTATGTTTCTGTTGGCTGTTTAATGGATGGGGTAACCTGATTTCTCTCACCTCTGACTCCCCGAAGACCCTTCCTTGCACTGTGAGCATGGCTGAGGCCTCTGACCCTGGCCACAAAGCTGGTGTCACTGCCACCTGAGTGCCTACTGCCTGCTTCCTGCCAGCGTCCAGCAGCCTTGGTTTCTTTTTCCAGGTTGGCCATGGTCCAGAGCCATCCAATGAGTCTGTCATTGTGGCCTGGACCCTCCCGAGGCCACCAGAGGTCCAGTTCATTGGCTTTTCCACCGGCTGGGGCTCCATGGGTGAATTCCGAATCTGGAGGAAGATGGAGGTGGACGAGAGCTACAGCGAGGCCTTCACCCTGGGGGTCCCACACGGCGCCATCCCTGGGTCTGAGCGAGCCACCGCCTCCATCATCGGTGCGTCTGTCCCACAGCCTGGCTTGGAGAGGTCAGGGGGCAAGAGCCGAAGTTGAGACTCCAGGCTTAGTCTCAAGCTGGGCTTTGCTGGGGACCTGTGTCTTGGGGTGTCCACCCATACACCCACTCACCTGACAAGCAGCTTCCAGTGCCTTCTCTATGCCCATCCATGTGCTGGGCATTGAGGAAGCCCAAGAGCTGATCCCAACCCCACCCTTGAGGGACTCCTAGTCCAGGTGAGATGGCAGATCTAGAGCCCCCCAAGTCTAAACCTTATGCAGAGGTCAGGGTAGGGTGACCCCTAAGAACCTGCAGTGAACCCTGTGAGGGCAGTGGGCCAAGGACAAGATCCAAGAAAACACAAATACCTGAATAAGTCAGCCAGATATGCGGTGCAGGATGGAGGCCTGGGGGGTCTTGGTGATGGGGCAGGCGTCCGGAGCAGTTGCTGAGTAGGGGTGAGAGGCTCTGACTAGGGACATTGGAAGCAGCCTTAGGGGGTCTGTAGGGTTGGGATGTGTATTAGTCTGTTTTCATGCTGCTGATAAAGACATACCCAAGACTGGGTAATTTATAAAGAAAAAGAGGTTTAATTGACTCACAGTTTCACGTGGCTGGGGAGGCCTCACAATCATGGTGGAAGGCGACAGGTACGTCTTACATGGTCCCAGGGAGAATGAGAGAATGAGAGCCAAGTGAAAGGGGTTTTCGCCTTATAAAACCATCAGATCTCGTAAGACTTATTCACTACTGCGAGAACAGTATGGGGAAGCCGCCCCCATAATTCAGTTATCTCCCACCGAGTCCTTCCCACAACATGTGGGAATTATGGGAGCTACAATTCAAGACAAGATTTGGTTGGGGACACAGCCAATCCATATCAGGATGCCTCTAGTAGCCCAGGTGCTGGAGGGGCTGTGATTGATCCAGGGCTAGGAGTTGGGCAGAAGGGTGGTGAGAGTTTGGGATGGGCCTGAGTCAGGGAGGAGAGGGTGAGAGGCCGGAAGGAGATGGACAGACCCAAATGAGGGTGTCGAGGCTCTCTCTGACATCAGAGGGTGGAGGCCCTGGGACTCAGGCAGGTAGGTGGTTGTGGCCAGATCAGAGGAATTTCAAGTTTACAATTCCTGAGGCACGAGAGCAAGTCAGAGTGGATGTGGGGCTGAGTGACTAAGATGGAACTGAATGAGATAGGAGAAGAAGCAGAGAGGCAGGAATGGAGAGGAGGCGACGTCTGGGATCTGTGTGCCAGTGCCTTCAGTGACACAGCAGATGGAGAAAAAGCTGGGGAGCCTAGAGCCTAGAAAGTAGCCAGGCTATTTGTGCAACAAGAGCTGTAGGGGCAATGGCAGCCTCAGTGAGACATGCAGAGAGGCTAAAGAAAGAAAGAAGGGGCCAGGCGTGGTGGCTCACGCCTGTAATCCCAGCACTTTGGGAGGCCGAGGCAGGTGGATAACGAGATCAAGAGATGGAGATCATCCTGGCCAACATGGAGAAAGCTCGTCTCTTCTAAAAATACAAAAATTAGCTGGGCGTGGTGGCACAAGCCTGTAATCCCAGCTACTTGGGAGGCTGAGGCAGGAGAATCACTTGAACCTGGGAGGCAGAGGTTGCAGTGAGCCAAGATCATGCCACTGCAGTCCAGCCTGGTGACAGAGTGAGATTCCATCTAAAAATAAATAAAATAAAATAAAATAAAATAAAGAAGGAAAGAAGGTGTGTTCAGGGGACATTGGGGGTCCCAGGGGGGTCCATCAGAAATATTTGAGACAAGGAAGCCAAGAAGAGGAATACGGAATGTCAAGGGGATGGGAGAACCATAATTTTTTTTTAAAGAGAGAAAACTGAAAAATGCACCTCCAACTCCATACATATAGAAACTTTTTTTAAAAATTGAAGTGCTCTTGGTTAAAGAGAAAATCTGAATATTTTAGAAAGAATATTTTAGGACCAGGTGCAGTGGATCACGCCTGTAATTCCGGCACTTTGGGAGGCAGAGGCAGGTGGATCACCTGAGGTCAGGAGTTCAAGACCAGCCTGGCCAACATGATGAAACCCTGTCTCTACTAAAAAAATAAAAATAAAAAATTAGTTGGGTGTGGTGGCACACGCCTGTAGTCCCAGCTACTCAGGAGGCTGAGGCAGGAGAGTTGCTTGAACCTGGGAAGCGGAGGTTGCAGTGAACCGAGATTGTGCCACTATACTCCAGCCTGGGTGATGGAGTGAGACTCCATCTCAAAAAAAAAAAAATATTTTAGAAAGACTAGAATAGAATGAGAATGATTGTATAGACATACCAATATTTGTAGGATGCAACCAAAGTTGTACTTAGAGGCCAATGTATAGCTTTCAATGCACCTATTTTAAAAGCCAGGGAGGGAAAAAGCATTGAACAGAATGAAAAGCTAGAGAAAGAAAGCCTGAGTTAAAACTAAAGAACACAGAAGGAGGTGTGTAAAACTGTCACCAAAGCCAGGACACCAGCTGGTCTGAGCAGGCAGAGGGTGCCAGTCCCAAAGGGCAGTTGGGTGGCTGACTGCATGACACTCACTGTCTCCCATCCCTGGGTAAAGCTGTCCCTGTTCTCTACTGAACTGGGACAGCCCCCAACTCAACTCTCTTCTCCTTCCCACCAGGGGACGTCATGGGGCCAACCCTGAACCACCTCAACAACCTCCTGCGGCTGCCGTTTGGCTGTGGAGAGCAGAACATGATCCACTTTGCACCCAACGTCTTTGTCTTGAAGTATCTTCAGAAAACCCAGCAGCTCAGCCCTGAGGTGGAGAGAGAGACCACCGACTACCTAGTACAAGGTATTGGGGAAGAAGTGCCTGGGTTGAGGTGGGAGCAAGGGAGGCAGGTTCAGCCTTCAGTGGAGAAGACCACGCTGGAGGTGGCCCACACACCAGGTGCAGCAAAGGGGAGGAAGTGGGCAAAAGAGGCCATTCAGGGTGGCCCTGATCTTGTCACTGTCAGCAGGAGCCTGATGTCTGTGGCTGTTAGGATGAGATGGTGCTGTTCAGATACAGGGAGAGGAAAAGCATCTTTTTAAAGTGTGGATTTTTTTACAACAATAATAATATAACAGCATTATTAAAAATAACATTTAGAAAATAAAAGAGAAGGCCAGGCACAGTGGCTGATGCCTGTAATCCCAACACTTTGGGAGGCCGAGGCAGGAGGATTACTTGAGCCCAGGAGTTTGAGACAAGCCTGGGCAACAAAGCAAGACCCCGGTCTCTACAAAAAATAAAAAAAATGTTAGCCAGACATGGTGGCACACCCCTGTAGTCCCAGCTGCTCAGGAGGCTGAGGCAGGAGGATCACTTGGGCCCAGGAGTTGGAGGCTGCAGTGAACTGTGATTGTGCCACTGCACTCCAGCCAGGGTGACAGAGTGAGACCCCAACTGTAAAAAATAAAAAAGAATAAAGAAGAAGAAACAGTCAGGGGTTGCTCTAGGCTGAAAGTCTGGCATCTTGAAGGCTGATCATGGACAGCTAGGAAGGCCAAGTCCACTGAGGCCAGGTCCTGGGGGCTCAGATTAGCACTTGTGAGGGTCTGGGAGATGGGTGGACACCAGCTGGTGGATCCATCCAGGCTCAGGTCCTTAAACACCACCCAGAGTTGAATGAGCCCTCCTCGTGAATAACAGCCTGTACCTCCAGGGGACAGCCGGACCCTGTGTGCATCCAGCCAACTCGCAGTTCAGACTCAACAAACCCCAAATCAACCCCCGCCATCTTCCCCCCAAACCCACTTGTGTTCATTTCCTAAAACTGCCACAACAAAATGCCACAAACCGGGTGGCTTAGAACGACAGAAATGTGTCATCTCCTCATAGTTCTGGAGGCCAAAAGTCAAAAATAAAGGTGTCCGCAGAGCTGGTTCCTACTGGTGGCTCTGAGGGAGACTGTCCCAGGCCTCTCTCCTGGCGTCTGCTGGCTCCAGGAGTTCCTTGGCTTATAGACTGATCAGCCTGCTCTGTGCCTTCACAATCACATGGCTGTCACCTCTGTGACTAATTCCCTTTCTTTTCTTTTTTTTTTTTGTAAGAGCTAGGGTCTCGCTCTGTCACCCAGGCCGGAGTGCAATGGTGCGATCATAGCTCACTGCAGACTTGAACTCCTGGGCTCAAGTGAGCCTCCCACCTCAGCCTCCTGAGTAGCTGGGACTACAGGTGTGCACCACCATGCCCAGCCAATTCTTTGTAAAGATGGGGTTCCGCTATGTTGTCCAGGCTGGTCTTGAACTCCCGGCCTCAAGTGATCCTCTCACCTTGGCCTCCCAAAGTGCTGGGATTCCAGGTGCAAGCCACGATGCCCGGCCTCTCTTTTCTCTTACAAGGATGCCTGTCATTGGATTTAGGGCCCATCCTAAATAAATCCAAGATGCTCTCATCTGGAGATCCTAACCTTAATGACATCTGTAAAGATCTTTTATTTCCAGTAAGGTCCCATTTTTGGGTTCCAAGTGGATGTGAATTTGGGAGGACCCACCCAGTACAGAATTTCTTTGGTCACCGGTCCTGTCTCTGTGGACACAGCCCTGTCCTTCCTGAGGCTCAGACCACACACAGTGGTGCCCTCAGATTCGTCCTTCTTTCCCTCACAGGCTGTGTCTGGCTGAGTAGCTCTGCCTTCACCCCAGGAAGGCTCCCCACCTCTGTCGCCGCCACTGGGTCCAAACTCATCATTGCACACTGGGAGGGTTCCCCGTCCCCAGCTTTCTGTCCAGACCCTACGGTCCACTGGCTCTATATGTCTCCTCACACTCTTCTCCTACTCACACGCCACCCATGGCTCCCTATGCCCTTGCAGGAAAACCACACTCCCAGCCCAGCCTTGGAGGCCCTGTGGCCCACCGGCCTCTCACCTCACCCCCTCGTTCCCTGCTCCGTTCCCTGTCCCCGGCACCACCAGTTCTCTGAGCTTCCCAAGCTCTCGCCCCAGCAGTTGGAGCAGCCCCCACGCCTGGGGACAGAGGGCTGTGGGGGACAGAGGGCGCTGCCCCAAGATGGTGGTTTTGCTGACCTCCTGGGAGTGACCGAAGGCCAGTGTGTGACCAGTAGTCACGAAGGGGCAATGTCAGTAAACAAGATGAATGAGTTGGAGGTTACAGCCACCCTAGATGTAGTGTGGGGCAGTTTCAAGGACCTCAGATGTGGTGTGAGGTAGTTCCAGGGATCCCCGATGTGATGTGGAGCAGTTTCAGGGACCCCCAATGTGGTATAGGGTAGTTTCAAGGACCCCAGATGTGGTGTGGAGCAGTTTCAGGAACCCCAGATGTGTGGAGCAGTTTCAGAGACCCCAGATGTGGTGTGGGGCAGTTCCAGGGACCTCAGATGTAGTGTGGAGCAGTTCCAGGGACTCCACATGTGGTATGAGGCAGTTTCAAGAACTCTAGATGTGATGTGGAGCAGTTTCGGGGACCCCAGATGTGCTGTGGGTATGGGGCAGTTTCAAGAACCCCAGATGTGGTGTGGAGCAGTTTCAGGGACCCCAGATGTAGTGTGGGGCAGTTTCAGGGACCCCAGGTGTGGTGTGGAGCAGTTCCAGGGACTCCAGATGTGGAATGAGACAGTTTCAAGAACCCTAGATGTGATGTGGGGCAGTTTCAGGGACCCCAGATGTGGTGCGCTGCGGTTCCAGGGACTCCAGATGTAGTATGAGGCAGTTTCAAGAACCCCAGATGTGGTGTGGGGCAGTTTCAGGGACCCCAGATGTGACACAGGGCAGTTTCAGTGAGCCCAGATGTGGTGTGGAGCAGTTTTAGGGACTCCAAATGTGGTATAAAGCAGTTTCAAGAACCCCACATGTGGTATGGGGCAGTTTCAGGGACCCCAGATGTGAGTGTATGGCAGTTTCAAGGACTCCAGATGTGATTCGAGGCAATTCCAGGGACCCCACATGTGGTGTGGCTTCGGAGATCCGGGGTAGGGGACGGCAGAGTGGTGTAGGTCCCTGGGGGCGGGCCTGGGCCAGGCCACTCAACAGGACAGGGTCCTCTCTGCTTGCCCCACAGGCTACCAGCGCCAGCTGACCTACAAGCGCCAGGATGGCTCCTACAGCGCGTTTGGGGAGCGGGACGCATCGGGGAGCATGTGGTGAGTCCCCACCGCCCTGGGCATTGCCTCTGAGGCTCCCCGCCCGACGCCATGGCCTCACATCCAATGCAGTGTGACCAGATCACTTGGCGCCTGATCCCCGGATGACAGGGAACACAGCTGGGAAGTAAAGACTGTGGTGGTCCCAGCTCCAGAGATGGAGGTTGGGGCTTGGGGCCAGTGCAGAGCTGGTGATCGTAACCATTCCTGTTTCTGCTGCTGTTACCACAGTGAGCAAGACTCCATGCCCTGCTCTCTGGCCCCTTGGGAGTGAGCCCTGGATGCCCTGGGCTTCCTCAAGCTCCCAGGACTCAGGAATAGCGGTGACTGGAGCAGGAGGAGATGGCAGGGCAGAGGGGTCAGAGGCCAGACCAGCACCTTGAGGCTGGGGTGTGCTGTGTGCAGGAGCAGCCTGGGATCTTGTTTCTGTGGTAACTGCAGGGAGGAGACCAGGGCAGGGAGGGCCCCTGGGAGGCCGGGCACACCTGGGTCTTGTTTTCCTGATATCCTCAGGCTATTGCAGTTCTTGGCATCATCATGGGGTTCACCTGAGACTGTGAGTCACTTTCCAACTCCTGTACCCATCGCCGGACTCCTTCTCGGAGATTGCCACCCTGGTAGTGCCGACAGCAGCTGTGAGCGTGGAAACTGCCCTGTCTTTAGTCCAACAGAGTGTCCACTGCACAGTCACAGTGCCAGGATCCCAGGGAGTGGGGACATGTGGCTGAGTACTTCCTGCCATGGGCAGCATCACTTACCTAGCTCCAGAGGGGCCCAGGGTTGGCGACTCACCCAGCCTCCCCCAGCCCCAGGAGCTCATCCACACTGTCCCAGCTCTAGTCCCAGGGCCCTGCCTTGCCGACAGCTGATAACGCAAGGCCCCAATCACGTCTTAGCAAGCAGAGGCCCCGCCCACCCCAGGGACAGCTAAAGCCACTGAGTCACTCTCCAAAAGCTGGCTGAGCCCCAGCAGCCCCTAGGAGGCCTCCACCAGCCAGGATTAGCAAGTTGTGACGCATTGGACCTTTTTTTTTTTTTTTTTTTTTTTTGAGATAGAGTCTAACTCTGTTCCCCAGGCTGGAGTGCAGTGGTGCAATCTTGGGTCACTGCAACCTCCATCTCCTAGGTTCAAGCAATTCTCCTGCCTCAGCCTCCTGAGTAGCTAGGATTACAGGTGTGCACCATCATGCCCAGCTAATTTTTGTATTTTTAGTAGGGACGGGGTTTCACCATGTTGGCCAGGCTGGTCTCAAACTCCTGACCTCAGATGATCCGCCTGCCTTGGCCTCCTAAAGTGCTGGGATTACAGGCGTGAGCCACCGTGCCCGGCCTAGACACTCAGTGTGCACACACCTCCTCAGCATCTTCCGGGGATTAAACTCTCAGCATGAGCAAGAAAAATCAAATTTCCTTTTTGTTTTTTTTGAGACGGAGTCTCGCTCTGTCACCCAGGCTGGAGTGCAGTGGCGCCATCTCGGCACACTGCAAGCTCCGCCCCCTGGGTTCACGCCATTCTCCTGCCTCAGCCTCCCGAGTAGCTGGGAATACAGGCGCCCGCCACCACGCCTGGCTACTTTTTTTGTATTTTTAATAGAGACGGGGTTTCACCGTGTTAGCCAGGATGGTCTCGATCTTCTGACCTTGTGATCCGCCCGCCTCGGCCTCCCAAAGTGCTGGGATTACAGGCGTGAGCCACCGCGCATGGCTGAAAAATCAAATTTCACTGTGTGCATGGAAGTCAGCAGCTTCCAGGTCCCCTCTCACCTCCTGAAACATTCCTGTTGGTCTCCAAACATGGACGTCTTCCTGGGGACCCTGTAGGACAAGGAGGCAGTGAGCGCAGGGCAGTGGCAGCAGCACCCACCCCGAAGCTGGACAAACCTCAGCTCTGTCTCATGTGAGCTGTGTGGCCTTAGACCCGATGATCAACCTCTCTGAGCCTGTTTCCTTACCACACATCCCTCTAAGAACCTGGATCCATGGGATAAGCATGTGGTACACTCAGTGCAGTGCCGTCCTGTTAGCACCTCCCCTAACTACTTACCATAAGGCTCCAAGATCCTGCCAGGGAGCCTGAAAACTTGGGATCTGTTCTAGATGGGTTCCCTTATACTCAACGCACATTCATTCATTTATTCATTGAGTGAGCTAGGCTCTGGTCTTCATCCTGGGGGAAAAAGGAACACATGGTTCCTACCTCCAGGTCCTCGCTGCCCAGTGCAGGAGAAAGACCCTGTGAGAGATGCAATAGTTATCCACTGCTGTGTAACAAGTGACCCCAAATGTAGCCATTTAAAACAACAAACGTATTATCTCTATTTATTATGTATTAATTCTTATGGATCAGGAATTCAGGAGCAGCTTAGCTGGGTGTTTCTGCCTGGGGATCTTTGCTGAGGTTGCAGTCAAGGTGTTGGCTGTTGCTGTCTTCATCTGAAGGCTCTACTGGGGCTGGAAGATTTGTTTCCAAATTGGCTCCCTCACATGGCTGTTGGCAGGAGGCCTCAGTTGCTCACCACATGGACTTCTCCATAGGGACTACTTGAGTGTTCTTACAACATGGCGGCTGGCTTCCTCTCACAGTGAGCAATTCAAGAGAGAAAGCGGGAAGGATGCCATAGCGCCTTTTGTTACTTGGTCTTACAAGTCAGGCTGTTACTTCTGCCTCATTCTATTCTATTCCTTTTTTTTTTTCTTTTTTTGAGATGGGGTCTCACCCTATCACCCAAGCTGGAGTTCAGTGGTATAATCTCGGCTCACTGCAACCTCCACCTCCTGGGTTCAAGCAATTCTCCTGCCTCAGCCTCCTGAGTAGCTGGGACTATAGGCACCTGCCACCATGCCTGGCTAATTTTTGTATTTTTAATAGAGACAGGATTTCACCATGTTGCCCAGGCTGGTCTCGAATTCCTGACCTCAGGTGATCTGCCCACCTCAGCCTCCCAAAGTGCTGAGATTACAGGTGTGAGCCACCGTGCCTGGGCTCCAAGATGCTTTTAGTGCCAACCTCATGCTCAAGGGAAATGTTCATTGGAGCATTTCAGATTTTTTGCATTTGGGATGCCCAAGTATACAGGTAGCCCTCCGTATCTGTGAGTTCCACAGGATTCAATCAACTACAGATCGAAACTATTCAGAAAAAAAAAAAAAAAAAAAAGTCTGGGTGTGATGGCACGTGCCTGTCATCCCTGCACTTTGGGGAAGCTGAATCGGGAAGATTGTTTGAGGCCAGGAGTCGGAGACCAGCCTGAGAAACATGGCAAGACCTCATCTCGGCAAAAATGTTAAAAATAAGCTGGGCGTGGTGGTACATGCCTTAGTCCCAACTACTGGGGAGGCTGAGGTGGGAGGATCCCTTGAGCCCAGAAGTTCAAGGCTGCAGTGAGCTATGATTGTGCCACTGCACTCCAGCCTGGGTGACAGAGCAAAACTCCATCTCTTAAAAAAAAAAAAAAAAAAAAAGTTTTAAAAATTCCACAAAGTTCCAAAAACGAAAAGTTGAATTTGCTGCATGCTGAGTACAATATTGAATTCATGCAAATGAAGTGACATGTGGGCATTGTATTAGGTGTTCTAAGTAATCAAGACATGCTTTAAAGTACACAGGAGGGGCCGGGCGCTGTGGCTCACGCTTGGAATCCCAGCACTTTGGGAGGCCAAGGTAGGCGGATCACCTGAGGTCAGGAGTTCGAGACCAGCCTGGCCAACATGGCGAAACCCCGTCTCTACTCAAAATACTAAAATTAGCTGGGCATGGTGGTGGGCGTCTGTAGTCCCAGCTACTCGGGAGGCTGAGGCAGGAGAATTGCTTGAACCTGGAGGCAGAGATTGCAGTGAGCCGAGATTGTGCCACTGCACTCCAGCCTGGGCAACAGGGTGAGACTGTGTCTCAAAAATAAAAATAAAAAATAAAGTTCACGGGAGGATATGTGTCGGTTATATGCAACTACTACACACTCGTATATCGGGGACTTGAGCATCAGTGGATTTCGGTATCCTTGGGGGTCCTGGAACCAGTCCCCTACAGATACCAAGAGATTCCCGTAAATGCAAATATTCCAAAATCCAAATTCAAAATCTGAAACACTTCTGGTTCCAAGCATTTCAGATAACAGATAGTCATTAGACTTTACTTTTTATTATTTATTTTAACTAATTTTTTTTGAGACAAGATCTCGCTCTGTTTCCCAGGCTAGAGTGCGGTGGCACAATCAGGGCTCACAGCAGCCTTGATTTTCTGGGCTCAAGCAATTTTTCCGCCTCAGCCCCGCAAGCAGCTGGGACCACAGGCATGCACTACCATGCCCAGCTAATTTTTTTGAATTTCAGTAGAGACCAGGTGTTGCTGTGTTGCCCAGGCTGGTCTCAAGCTCCTGGCCTCAGCCGATCCTCCACCTCTGCCTCCCAAACACTGCTGGCATGAGCCACCTCGCCCGGCCATAGATCTTACTTTTTAGAAGAGTTCTAGGTTTCCAGAAAAATTGAGTAAATAGAACAGAGTTCCCATACACCTCTACACCCCCATACACAGCTTCCCATGTGATAGGCATCTTGTATTAGTGTGCTGTATTTGTTACAATTGATGGACCGGCATCAAAACGTTATGAACTAAGGTTCATAATCTACATTAGAGTTCACTCACACACTCATTTTTTATTTATTTGTGTGTTTGTTTATGAATAACAGGGTCTCACTATGTTGCCCAGGCTGGTTTCAAACTCCTGGCCTCAACTGATCCTCCTGCCTCAGCCTCCCAAGGTGTTAGGATTACAAGTATGGGCCACTGAATCCGGCTGAGAGCTCATTTCTTTTTATCACTTGATAACATTTATCCTGTTTGCGTTTTACAGTGGGAAAGTAGAGAGCACAGTATGCTAGACCATGGGAATTCCACAATTCCCAGCACACAGCTGGCTTGGTTCTGTCCTTGCCTCCTTTCCCTGCCGTGCCCAAAATGCATGGAGTTTCCCCCTGGTTGCAGTGTGCATAGCTGGTAATGGGGTGGGGATGAGCCTGGGAGCCATGGGGTCTCCTGGCTAATCCAGGGAACATGGGAATAGAAAGAAGAGGATGCATTTGAGGTACCTGAGAGGGAGAACGGCCTGGATGAGCTTTGGGTATATTTTATTTTATTTTATCTATTTATTTATTTATTCTTTTTTGTCTGAGACAGGGTCTCATTTTGACACCCAGGCTAGAGTGCAGTGGTGCGATCTCAGGTCACTGCAACCTCCGCCTCCTGAGGTCAAGCAATTCTCTTGCCTCAGCCTCCCGAGTAGCTGGGATTACAGGTGCCCGCCACCACGCCTGGCTAATTTTTTTTTATTTTTAGTGGAGATGGGGTTTCGCCATGTCAGTCAGGCTGGTCTTGAACTCCTGAATCCCAGCACTTTGGGAAGCCAAGGTGGGAGGATCACTTGAGGTCAGGAGTTTGAGATCAGTCTGGCCAGCATGGTGAAACCCCGTCTCTACTAAAAATACAAAAATATTAGCTGGGCATGGTGGCAATCCCAGCTACTCGGGAGGCTGTAATCCCAGCTACTCAGGAGGCTGAGGCACGAGAATTGCTTGACCCTGAGAGGCAGAGGCTGCAGTGAGCATGGTGGCTTATGCCTATAATCCCACCACTTTGGGAGGCCATTGTGGGAGGATCACTGGAGCCCAGGAGTTCGAGACCTGCCTGGGCAACATAGTAAGACCTCATCTCTATAAAGAATTTAAAAATTCGCTGGATGTCGTGGCACGTCCCTGTAGTCCCAGCTACTTGGGAGGCTGAAGTGGGAGAATCGCTTGAGCTGGGAGTTGTAGGCTACAGTGAGTTAGGACTGCACCACTGCACTCCAGCCTGGGTGACAGAGCAAGACCCTGTCTTGAAAAGCAAGAAAGCAAGAGAGAGAGAGAGAGGAAGGGAGGGAGGGAGAGAGAGAGAAGAAAGAAAATCAAGAAAGAAAAGTAGGAAAGAAAAGAGAGAGAGAAAAAGGAAGGAGAGAGAGAAAGAGAAAGAAAGAAAGAAAAAGAAAGAAAAGAGAGAAAGAAGAAAGGAAGAGGGAGGGAGGGAAGGAAGGAAGGAAGGAAGGCAGGCAGGCGGGCAGGCGGGCAGGCTAATGCATCCCATTTTTGTGGTTCATATAAAGAGCCTAGAGCCACTTGATTTTGAAGACAGCTTATTCATTGATCCTGAATTTGCGAAGTTTCCTCTCCTGACAATTTTGGTTTTCATCCCTCATGGCCTCCTGGCTTCCATCCTGTGCTTCTCTCCTTCATTTGTTCATGCATTCATTCCCTGGCCTTGCCAGCTCTTACTCAGGGTGGCACCTGCAAAAGCAGGGCAAGGGAGATGGGGTGGATGAGGGACAGGCCACATAACAGAGATGTTTTTGGCTGAAAACAACAGAAAACGGGCTGGAGAGCAATTCTGAACATCAGCTCACACTGCAGGGCTGGGGAGGTGCTATGGTTGGCTAATTCAGCAGCCCCATAGTGCACTGGGGCTCGTTTTTTTCCTTCCATCCCTGGGTATTCCCTCCCTTGGCACATGGCTGCACCCCTCATGGTGGCAAAATGGCTGCAGCTGCTCCCAGCATTGCATCACATGCCCATTCCAAAGCCATTCCCAGGCTCAGAAACTGGAATGCCCATGACTGGCTGGCTGGGACCACAGAGAAGCACAGATCTCCAGGGCACATGGCTGCTGGCCCCTGAATGAGATCAGGGGCCTTTTGGCAAGGACCAAGCAAGAAATGGCTGTGAGGTCGGCAACCAGAAGGGTCTTCCTCACATGGCAGGACAGGCAGGGCTAGACCAGCTCACAGAAGGGCCTTGAGTGCCGAGCAAGGAGCAGACCTGAATGCCACTAGGGTAGAGGTCCAGGTAGGAAGGAGAGAGCTCCGTCTTCAAGCCCCACTGGGTGCTGGGCAATGTGCCCCCTCCTCCACTCTGACAGCCCTGTGGGGACAGATGGGACCCCTCCCATCTTATAGATGAGGAAATGGAGGCCGGGGGTGGTGCCAGGAGCTTGCTGCAATCCCTCAGCCAGCATGTGGGGGCTGACCATTCTGCAACCCCTCAGCTGACACCCTGTCCTCTTTCAGGCTCACAGCCTTTGTCCTGAAGTCCTTCGCACAGGCTCGCAGCTTTATCTTCGTGGACCCCCGGGAGCTGGCTGCCGCCAAGAGCTGGATCATCCAGCAGCAGCAGGCCGATGGCTCCTTCCTGGCCGTGGGCAGGGTCCTGAACAAGGACATCCAGGTGAGTGGCCCCTTGAGCCTCCTTCCCGGGCCCCTCACCTCCTCCCAGAGCCCCAGCCCTGACCTGCCTGTTCCTACTCCCTGGAGCTGCCTGGGGGAAGTGGGGGGAAGTGGACTGTCTCCTTTGGCTTAGGGTGAGGCCTGTGAGTCCCCTTGCAGGGTGGGATCCACGGCACTGTCCCGCTGACAGCCTACGTGGTGGTTGCTCTCCTGGAAACAGGCACAGCCTCAGAGGTGAGTACAGAAGGGGTTTGGGGAGACTCGGGGCTGGGCACTGGAGGAGCAAATGGAAGGTTCCCTCCTTTATGCCAGGGGTGATTTCTTCCTCCCTGCCCTCCTTCTGCTCATTATCGAGGCTTTTTCATGCTTTTCATCAACAATGGTCACATTACATCCAGTTTCTTGTAATCTGAGCAGAGGAGAGAGAGATTCCCATGCTACTAGGGGGAAATTGGGCACATGTTGGGGGCTGGGGAGGTGCCCTGAGTACAGAGCCTCCCATGACTGTCCACAGCCCCTAGACCTCCTTCAGAGAATCATTTCAGGCTAGTTCAGGTTCCTGGCCAGTGACCCAAGGGTTGGCTTCAGGGAACCCTACAAAATGTTGGGCTCATGCATGTTTTTGCAGGGAAAGGGGTTAGGATATTCAGAGACAGTTGGTACTGGATGGGGCTTAGATGGCCCAAGAGACTTGAGGGCCATAGTCTCTTCTATGAGGCTTTCCTGGGGTGGGGGATGGCACAGTCTCTGCAGAGAAGGCTTCCACGATGGATCTCAGCCCTGGGTGAGAAGAATCTGCCCTCCCTAATACCTACATCAATTCTACAATCTCTCATGATAAATTATGAGTTTGGGCACTTCTCAGGATTCTTGGTCTCACAATCCAGACAACTAGTGGGTCTACAGTTTGCTGTGACCTAAGACCGCCCCCACCATGCACAATGTCCAGAGGGCCCCTTGCCTTGTGTTATGGGCTGAATTGGTTCTCCCCTGACCAAATTCTTATGCTGAATTCCTAATGCCCTGTCTTAGCTTGGGCTGCAGAAACAAAATACCATGGAGTAAGTGGCTTCAACAATAGGCATTTATTTTGCACAGTTCTAGAGGATGGGAAGTCCAAGACCAAGGCACAGGCAGATTTGGTTCTTGGTGAGGGCTCTCTTCCTGATTTGTTGACTGCCACCTTCTCACTGTATGTTCACATGGCGTTTCCCTAGTGTGTGCATGTGGAGAGAGAGCTCTAGTGCTCTTCCTCTTCATATAAGGACACTAATCCTATTATTTTGGAGGCCCCATCCTCGTGACCTCAGTCTAAACCTAATTATCTCTCAAAGGTCCCCAACTCCTAATACCATCATATTAGGAGTTAGAGCTTCAACATATGGATTCTGAGGAAGATCACACGTATTCCATGACACCCCCTCATACCTCAGAAGTCCTCCTCCACATCTCCCATGGAAGTGGTCAAATATGTCACCTCCCAAATGCATTTTTCTGGAAACTTCCCTGCCAGAGCCCTTGGCCCCCACTCGAGTTGGAATGGACAGCACCCAGGATGCTGCACAATTGCTACCCTCCTTTACTGAGAAAGGGTTTTGGGAGGCACATTTTTTGAGACGTTGCATGTCTGCAAATATTCTTATTCTGGCCCTGTATGATAGCTGGGCTGGGTATAGAATTCCAGGTTGGAAATTGTTTTCCTGTAGAATAATTGATGATGTTCTATCATCTTCTAGTTTCCTGTGTTCCACTGAGAAGTCGGATGTCATTCTGAGTACTATCCTTTGTATCTCGTTTGTTCTCTCCTCTGGAAGCTTTCCAATCTTCTCATTGTCCATATCACTATGGACAACAAGATATGTACACTTTTATGACACATATCTTGAGGTGAGACTTTTTTTTTTCAGCTCACTGCAACCTCCGCCTCCTGGGTTCAAGTGATTCTCTTTGGCTTGGGGTGAGGGCTGTGAGTCCCCTTGCAGGGTGGGATCCATGGCATGGCAGCTTCAGACTCCCGAGTAGCTGGGACTACAGGCATGTGCCACTGCATCCGGCTAATTTTCGTATTTTTAGTAGAGACCAGGTTCCACCATGTTGGCCAGGCTGGTCTCAAACTCCTGACCTCAGGTGATCCTCCTGCCTTGGCCTCCCAAAGTACTGGGATTACAGGCATAAGCCACCATGCCTGGCCCTCCCTTATGTCTTCAGTGAACACTCAACAGGCCCTCTACCTCCTTCCTATCCCTTGAGGTCACTTCACTTCTCCCAAGAATCTTTTTCTGCCTTCTCCATAGCCTTCCAACCTATTTCTCTTCTGAACCTGAAGGCCTGCCCTGCAGGGCAGCAGTTGTTTCTCCCTGGTCTTCTGAGTTCTGGTCTCTTAGATCAGCAGTATCCAACCTTTTTGGCACAAGGGACCAGTTTTGTGGAAGACAATTGTTCCATGGACTGGGGAAGAGGGGGTAGTTTTGGGAGATTCAAGAGCATTACATTTATTGTGCACTTTATTTCTATTATTATTACATTATAATATATAATGAAATAATTATACAACTCACCATAATATAGAATCAGTGGGAGCCTGAGCTTGTTTTCCTGCAACTAGACTGTCCTTTCTGGGAGTGATGGGAGACAGTGACAGATCATTAGGCTTTAGATTCTCATAAGGAGTGTGCAACCAGCTGGGTGCAGTGGTTCACACCTGTAATCTCAGCACTTTGGGAGGCCAAGGCAGGCAGATCACTTGAAGTCAGGAGTTTGAGACCAGCCTGGCCAACATGATGAAACCCTGTCTCTACTAAAAATACAAAAACTGTCTGGGTGTGGTGGCTCACGCCTGTAATCCCAGCACTTTGGGAGGCTGAGGCGGTGGATCACAAGGTCAGGAGATCGAGACCATCCTGGCTAATCTGGTGAAACCCCGTCTCTACTAAAAATACAAAAAATTAGCCGGGCATGGTGGCAGGCGCCTGTAGTCCCAGCTACTCGGGAGGCTGAGGCAGGAGAATGGCGTGAACCTGGGAGGCAGAGCTTGCCGTGAGCCGAGATGGTGCCACTGCACTCCAGCCCGGGCAAGAGTGCCAGACTCTGTCTCAAAAAATAAAATAAAATAAAAATAAAAATACAAAAATTAGCTTGTGTGGTGGCGCATGCCTGAAGTCCCAGCTACTTGGGAGGCTGAGGCAGGAGAATCGCTTGAACCTGGGAGGCAGAGGTTGCAGTGAGCCAAGCTCGTGCCACTGCACTCCAGCCTGGGCAACCAAGCCAGACTCTGTCTCAAAAAAAAAAAAAGAACAAAAAAAAAAGGAGTCTGCCAGCAAATGCCTCACATGCTCACAGTTCACAATAGGGTTCATGCTCCCACGAGAATCTAATGCTGCTGATGGTCCGATGGGAGGTGGAGCTCAGGTGGTAATACAAGCGATAGGGAGTGGCTGTAAATACAGATGAAGCTTTGCTGGCTCACCTGTCACTCACCTCCTGCTGTGCAGCCCCTTCCTAACAGGCCACCAACCGGTACCAGTCTGTGACCCGGAGGTTGGGGACCCCTGTCTTAGATCGTTCCCCAAAGGAGGCAAAACCTGCTGTCTTCATTTCCTGTGGCTGCCATAACAAATTGCCACAAACTGGGTGGCTTAAAACAACAGAAATACATTCTCATTGCTTTGGAGACCAGAAGTGCAAAATCAAGGCATTGGCAGGCCCTTGCTCCCTCTGCAGGCTCTAAGGGAAGAGCTTTCTTTGCTGCCTCCAGCTTCCAGGGACCCCAGGCATTCTTTGGCTTGTGGCTGCATCACTCTAGCCCCTGCCTTTGTCTGCGTGTGACCTTCTCCTCTGTCTTCTCCCCTTCTCGTCTCTTAAACAACACTTGTTGCCATGTGCAGCAGGGCATTCCTGTAGTCCCAGCTACTCGGGAGGCTGAGGCAGGAGGATTGCTTGACCCAGGAGTTCTGGGCTGTAGTGCACTGCACCAATCAAGTGTCTGCACTAAGTTCAGCATCAATATGGTGACCTCTTGAGAGCAGGATGACCAAGTTGTCCAAAGAGGGATGAACTGGCCCAGGTCAGAAATGGAGCAGGTCAAAACTCCTGTGCTGATCAGTAGGGAGATCGTGCGTATGAATAGCCACTGCACTCCAGCCTGGGCAACATAGTGAGACCTGTCACTAATTTAAAAAAAAAAAAAAAAGGCGGGCCCAGTGGCTCCTGCCTGTAATCCCAGCTCTTTGGGAGGCTGAGGCGGGCAGATCACCTGAGGTTGGGAGTTCGAGACCAGCCTGACCAACATGGAGAATCCCCGTCTCTACTGAAAATACAAAAATTAGCTGGGTGTGATGGCGCATGCCTGTAATCCCAGCTACTCGGGAGGCTGAGGCAGAAGAATCGCTTGAACCTGGGAGGCGGAGATTGCGGTGAGCTGAGATCACGCCATTGCACTCCAGCATGGGCAACAAGAGTGAAACTCCATCTCAAAAAAAAAAAAAGTTAAAGGTTCTTGTCATTGGACGCCAAGCACAGTGGCTCATGCCTATAATCTCAGCACTTTGGGAGGCTGAGGCAGGTGGATCACATGGGTCCAGGAGTCCGAGACCAGCCTGGCCAATATGGCAAAAGCTTATCTCTACTAAAAGTACAAAAATCAGCCAGGCACCATGGCACGTGCCTGTAATCCCAGCTACTCGGGAGGCTGAGGCAGGAGAATCGCTTGAACCTGGAAGGTGGAGGTTGCAGTGAGTTAAGATTGCACCACTGCACTCCAGCCTGGGTGACAGTATGAGATTGTTTTAAAAACAAACAAAAACTCCCGTGCCGATCAGCAGTGGGATTGTGCCTATGAATAGCCACTACACTCCAGCCTGAGTAACACTGAGTAACAGTGAAACCTCTGTCTCTAATACAAATTTTTTTTTTTTGAGACGAAGTTTCGCTCTTATTGCCTAGGCTGGAGTGCAATGGAGCGATCTCAGTTCACTGCAACCTCTGCCTCCCGGGTTCAAGGATTCTCCTGCCTC
This sequence comes from Homo sapiens, assembly GCF_000001405.40. Lineage (NCBI taxonomy): Eukaryota > Metazoa > Chordata > Mammalia > Primates > Hominidae > Homo > Homo sapiens. Next base: position 16,909,645 of record NC_000019.10, on the reverse strand, counting down.
AGCCTCCCAAGTAGCTGGGATTACAGGCATGGGCCACCATGCCTGGCTATTTTTGTATTTTTAGTAGAGATGGGTTTGTTTGTTTGTTTGTTTTCCCTTTTTGAGATGGAGTCTCGCTCTGTTGCCCAGGCTGGAGTACAGTGGCGCGATCTCGGCTCATTGCAAGCTCCGCCTCCCAGGTTCATGCCATTCTTCCACCTCAGCCTCCTGAGTAGCTGGATCTACAGGCGCTCGCCACCACGCCCAGCTAATTTTTTGTATTTTTAGTAGAGATGGGGTTTCACCATGTTAGCCAGGATGGTCTCGATCTCCTGATCTCATGATCCACCTGCCTCGGCCTCACAAAGTGCTGGGATTACAGGCGTGAGCCACCGTGCCCAGCCAAAAAAAATTTTTTAAAGATATTTGTCATTGGATTTGAGGCCACCTTAATCCAAGGTGATCTCATCTCAAGACTCTTAATTACATCTGCAAAGACCCATTTCCTAAATAAGTCAGCATTTACAGGTCCCAGGGAATATATCTTTTTGGTGGGCCACCGTTCAACCCGCTACACCTGTGCTGGAATCAGATGAGCTGGGGGGCAACCAGCAAATGACCTTGACCCCTTGGAGTTCCGTTGCATCCGCTTGTCTGTAAACGGGAGGATCTGCACAGCTGGGGCCGGGCTGGGTCCATCCCTGCTTGGTGTGGTCTCCGCAGCGTCCTTGAGACCCGTCCTGGCCCGCGTGACCTGGGGTAACTCCCATGTCACTGTTCCTGCCCCTGGGATGGGGATGTCCAACCTTCCCCCACCCCCAGGCAATGGACTTGTGAGGGCCAGTCCTAGGGTCTGGCTAGTCAGCCGGGTTCATCCCTGGCACATGCCTCCCAAAGGGCATCTCAATGTCACACCTTAGGGACAGTTCCCACGTTTGTCCTGGTCTAAGGATGGAAAGCTTTGGAAACATTCTTTCTATGACCAGGACAGTTCCGAAAGCAGAGTTAGCTCAACTCCATACCTCTATTGGGCCACCAGAAGACTCTGGTTCCATTGCTAAATTTGTTAATGCTTCTGGTCACTCATTTCTTCCACATAATATTATTGGGCAGCTTCTCTGAACCAAAACCATCAGTAGATTCTGGACTTGGTCCCTGTCTTCCAACAGATCACATTCTAGGGAGGGCATGAGCAGGGCTGGTGGGCTTCTCTAAGGAGGTGACCAGGCCTGGAGGCTGGGGAGGGCCTGGGCTGTGGAGGTCTTAGGAGCCAGCTTTTTATTTCTATTATTTTTTTTTTTTTTAAGATGAGGTCTCACTCTGTTGCCCAGGCTGGAGTGCGGTGGTGCAATCTCGGCTCACTGCAACCTCTGCCTCTCGGGTTCAAGGGATTCTTGTGCCTGCCTCAGCCTTCTGAATAGCTTGGATTATAGGCGCCCACCACCACGCCTGGCTAATTTTTGTATTTTTAATAGAGATGGAATTTCACCATGTTGGCCAGGCTGGTCTTGAACTCCTGACCTCAAGTGATCTGCCCACCTCGGCCTCCCAAAGTGCTGGGATTACAGGCATGAGCCACTGTACCTGGCCTTAGCTAGCTGTCTTAACAAAGACCTGGCCATGGGGCTGGGTGGGACAGGGTGGCCAGGACTCTGCCTGCTTCCCCTAGAGTATCACTGTGCTCATTTGCCATGCACTTGGGCATCCTGGCCAGACCTCATTTGGAAAAAGGAGTGCCAACTTACAAGAATGGTAATGGGAGCCAGGGGCAGTGGCTCACTCCTGTAATCCCAGCTCTTTGGGAAGCCAAGGTGGGAGGCTCGCTTGAGCCCAAGAATGTGTGACCAGCCTGGGCAACATAGTGAGACTCCATCTCTACAAAAAATAAAATGTTAGCTGGGCGTGCTGGTGTGCACCTGTAGTCCCAGTTACTGGGGAGGTCAAGGCGGGAGGATCGCTTAAGCCCAGGAAGTGAAGGTTTCAGTGAGCTATGATCGTGCCACTGCACTCCAGCCTGGGCAACAGAGTAAGATGCTGTCTGTATTTTTTTTTTTTTTTTTGAGACGGAGCCTCACTCTGTTGCCAGGCTGGAGTGCAGTGGCGCGATATTGGCTCACTGCAACCTCCAACTCCCTGGTTCAAGCAGTTCTCCTACCTCAGCCTCCCAAGTAGCTGGGATTAAAGGCATGTGCCACCATGCCCAGCTAATTTTTGTATTTTTAGTAGAGATGGGGTTTCACCATGTTGGCCAGGGTGGTCTCAAACTCCTGACCTCAGGTGATCCACCCACCTTGGCCTCCCAAAGTGCTGGGATTACATTGCGCCCAGCCTATTACCAAAAAAAAAAAAAAAAAAAAAAGGCAAGAAAGAAAAGAAAGGAGATGGGGTTTGAAAATTGGGTCTGCAGGCAGTGAGAGCCACAGAAGGATGCAAAGCAAGGGGCTAGGAGTCACCCAGAGCTCTCCTCGGGGATGCCTCAGAAGCCAGTGGGTGGGTGGGATGGGGGCAGAGCAGCCTCCCAGGTTTCACCTTCCCACCCCACCCTGCAGGAGGAGAGAGGCTCCACTGACAAAGCGAGGCACTTCCTGGAGTCTGCTGCGCCCCTGGCCATGGACCCTTATAGCTGTGCCCTGACTACCTACGCGCTGACCCTGCTCCGCAGCCCGGCAGCCCCTGAGGCACTGCGCAAGCTCCGTAGCCTGGCCATCATGCGAGGTAGGTGTCCCTGGCCCTCCCCAGAGGCCACAGCGTCGGGAAGCCCACTGTGGAGTCTGGTAAACAACTCATGAACATATTTATCACAACTGACGAGTCATGTAGTCCCAGCTACTCAGGAGGCTGAGGCAGGAGAATCGCTTGAACCCGGGAGGCGGAGATTGCAGTGAGCAGAGATCGCGCCATTGCACTCCAGCCTGGGTAACAGAGCAAGACTCCGTCTCAAAAACAAAACAAAACAAAACAAAAAACTGATGAGTCGACCAGGCGCGGTGGCTCACGCCTGTAATTCCAGCACTTTGGGCAGATCACTTGAGGCCAGGAGTTCGAGACCAGCCGGGCCAATATGGTGAAACCCCGTCTCTCCTAAAAATACAAAAATTAGCTGGGTGTGGTGGCAGGTGCCTATAACCCCAGCTACTCGGGAGGCTGAGGCACAAGAATCACTTGAACCCAGGAGGCAGAGGTTGCAGTGAGCTGAGATAATGCCATTAGAAAGAAAGAGAAAGAAAAGAAGGAAGGAAGGAAGGAAGGAAGGAAGGAAAGAAAGAAAGAAAGAAAGAAAGAAAGAAAGAAAGAAAGAAAGAAAGAAAGAAAGAAAGAAAGAAAGAAAGGGAAAGAAGGAAGGAAGGAGGGAGAGAAGAGAGAGAGGGAGGGAGGGAGGGAGAGGAAGAAAGGAAGGAAGGAAGGAGAAAGGGAAACTGACGAGATGCCTTTTGCTTGTCAATTGCTTTGTTGATTATAGTATTCATTCATTATCGCATCTGCTAGTGACTTTATTTGAGGAAGTGGCTTGTCCAAGTCACACCAGCCCCAAGCATCACTTTCCTTGCCTGTGAAATCTGGGATGCCAACCCCTCTGGAAGGGGAGTTCTCAGAGAGGGATCCCCAGCAGAGAACGCATCCCCCGCCTCCGGCCAGGCTTCCTGGAAATCATCCCAGGACAGGGGTGCTGGGAGACAGGGGAGGGTTGGGTCTCGCTTCCACCCTTCCCTCCACTTGCTGAGTGAGCCCTGGAAAGCTTTTTTGAGCTGTCAGTCTCCCCACCTACAAAATCATCACCCCACTGGGACTCCAATCCCTGAGCTTTGACTTTCTCAGAATGCCCCCAAACTTAGTCTCCTCCTACTTCACCCAGACCTCCCCACTCCACCCCTACCCCCAGCAGCTGCACTGGGGCTCAGACAGGTTTCTCTGCTTAAGCATTAAGATGCCACCTGAAGAATTGTTTTCATTGCTTCCGAAAGAAAAAAGTTTAAAGAGGATCCAGGGATGGAGTGGGAGGTGGTGGTGGTGGGCTGGTTTCTCTCTGGATTTGAGAGTCTTTACACCTCATGCGAGCTCAGAATCCTTGGAGCCTTTTTCTTTTTTTTTTTTTTTTTCTTTTCTTCCTTTTTTTTTTTTTTTTTTTGAAACGGAGTTTCGCTCTTGTTGCCCAGGCTGGAGTGCAATGGCGTGATCTCCTAACTCAGCCTCCCAAGTAGCCAGGATTACAGGCATGCACCACCATGCCCAGCTAATTTTTTGTATTTTTTAGTAGAGATGAGTTTCTCCATGTTAGTCAGGCTGGTCTCGAACTCCTGACCTCAGGTGATCCGCCTGCCTCAGCCTCCCAAAGTGCTGGGATTACAGGCATGAGCCACCGTGCCTTGCCATTCTTTTTAAATTATTATTATTATTTTTATTTATGTATTTATTTATTTATTGAGACAGTCTCACTCTGTCACCCAGGCTGGAGTGTGGAGTGCAGTGGCTCGGTATTGGCTCACTGCAACCTCTGCCTTCTGGGTTCAAGCAATTCTCCTGCCTCAGCCTCCTGAGTAGCTAGGATTACAGGTGTGCACCACCACACACAGCTAATTTTTGTATTTTTAGTAGAGATGGGATTTCACCATGTTGGCCAGGCTGGTCTTGAACTCCTGACCTCAAATGAGCCACTCACCTCAGCCTCCCAAAGTGCTCGGATTACAGGCGTGAGCCACTGTGCCTGGCCAGAATCTTTGAGCCTTTGCAAGTCGAGTGTGGCTGCTTGGGCACTAAGTAGGAACATCAGGGGCTGGATCAGTACCTGGTCAGGAGGGAGGCTATTGACTAGTGATGTCTGTGTCCAGGAAGGGGAAGGTGGCCTTTGATTAGTGATGTCTGCCAGGGGTAAGGTTGGGTAGCCATTGATTCACGATGTCTGCCAGGGGCACAGGAAGGGCTGGGGCTGCCATAGGTTTGCAGATCTGAGATGGAGCCCCAAGGCCCTTCCTGTTCCAGCTGTCTTCCCCTGATACTCTTCTCCCACTGGGGTCCCACAATACCTTTTCTTTAGACCCCATGCTTGGATGCGCTCCATGGGATGCCAGGCTACACACTGGGTGGGTTATAGCTCTTGACCACTCCTTTCCTTGCAGATGGGGTCACCCACTGGAGCCTGTCAAATTCCTGGGACGTGGACAAGGGCACATTCTTGAGCTTCAGTGACAGGGTCTCTCAGTCAGGTACTGGCCACCCCAGCTCCCGGGTGCCTGCCTTGGCCATACCTCCATGCACTGGGTCCATGTCCCTGTGTCAAAAGTCCCCAGTGGGCCTCTTCCATTGCAGTGGTCTCGGCCGAGGTGGAAATGACAGCCTACGCCCTTCTGACCTACACTCTGCTGGGTGACGTGGCTGCCGCCCTGCCTGTGGTGAAGTGGCTGTCCCAGCAGCGAAATGCACTTGGGGGCTTCTCCTCCACTCAGGCGAGCCGGGCAGGGCCAGAGGGAGGGGCTCAGGGCTGGGTGGGTGGGGTCCCTGCAGTCCTTGTTTTGAGCTCTGAGGTGGCCAGGCAGTCTGGCCCCTTCTCACCTTATGGAGCCCCAAAGAGGGCAGGGGTTGGGGGTGAGGGACAGATGCCCCTGGATCCCCCATGGGAGCCCAGCCTCTGCCTCTGGGGACACACCAACCTGGCTGTCCTGAGGCCCCCAGTGCCATGGGTGTCTGCACTGGGTCCAGTCTCTATTCCAGCCCCGTTGGTGCCTGTTTTAGGCTAGGCTTCCAAGACGGGGTTCAGGGGACCACTGGCCAACTCAGTCTCAGGGTTGATGGCCGTCTCCTCCTCCATCCCCAGGACACCTGCGTGGCTCTGCAGGCCTTGGCTGAATATGCCATCTTGTCCTATGCTGGAGGCATCAACCTCACTGTCTCCCTGGCCTCCACCAACCTGGACTACCAGGAAACCTTCGAGCTGCACAGGACCAACCAGAAGGTTCTGCAGACAGCAGCGGTGCGTGTTCCTGGGATGAGGGTTTGGGGGTTGTTGGAGGAGGGGTCAGCAGGGCCTCACGGTGACTTCTGTCTCCAGATCCCCAGCCTCCCCACGGGGCTGTTTGTGAGTGCCAAGGGGGACGGCTGCTGCCTGATGCAGGTGAGGTTTTGGGGAGCACGAGGTGATCTTGGGCTTGTCCTCCTGTGCCCCATTCCCTCCAATCACACAGTGGAACCCCAGGGACCCCCAGAGGGTTCTGAACTCAGCAGCATGCCAGACTGCAGGACAGGTTTTCAGCCTTCTAATACTGCCCAAGGCAGGTGGCCATGGGTCCTCTCAGGTGTGCCACCCCCACACCTGAGAGGGTCCATTTGACCCTCAGTCCAGGGATCTCTGACCCATTGACTCAAGCAGATTTGCCTAAGGGCTCGAGGTCATTCCCCCTGCTGTGGCCTGGATTTAGCCCCAGACCAGGCTGGGGCAGGTGCATGTCACGGGTTCTGACTGGCAGTCAGAGGGCAAGTTTCCCGCGATGACTCTCGCTAGCCTCCGTTTTCTGATCTCTAAAATGGGAGCTCAGATAACACTGTGGATGAGAGGGAGACCCCTAGACTCAGACATAGCTGAGCACAGCTCTGCACCCCAGATCCATAAAACTGGTCTGATGATTGTACCTACACCCGCTTCAGTGATTTCAAGGCTAAAACGAATAACGGTAGTCTCTAAAACTGTCATGGATGTCATTGTCCTCATAATTCTGGCTGTTCCCACCTCCCCACTGCCCTTCTCCTCCCCTACCCTGCACCTGTTATGGAGGGCCCAGGTCCCTAAGCCTCCATCCTCCAACACCCCCCAGATTGATGTCACCTACAATGTGCCTGACCCGGTGGCCAAGCCAGCTTTCCAGCTGCTCGTAAGCCTCCAGGAGCCTGAGGCCCAGGGACGCCCGCCCCCCATGCCTGCCTCCGCAGCTGAGGGTTCCCGAGGAGACTGGCCCCCAGCTGACGATGATGACCCAGCGGCCGATCAGCATCACCAGGAATACAAGGTGATGCTGGAGGTGTGCACCAGGTAAGGCCACCTGCCCTGCTGGCGTGGGCATCCCAGGAGGGTGCAATGTGCGGAGAGGATGGCCTCCTGGGACCAGGAGGAGCTTCCGGCTCCAGGCACTCAGTGGTGGTTTTTGTTTTGTTTTGTTTTTTTGAGACAGAGTCTCACCCTGTCGCCCAGGCTGGAGTGCAATGGTGCGATCTCGGCTCACTGCAACCTCTGCCTCCTGGGTTCAAATGGTTCTCCTGTCTCAGCCTCCCGAGTAGCTGGGACTACAGGTGCCCGCCATCATGCCCAACTAACTTTTTTGTCTTTTTAGTAGATACAGGGTTTCACCATGTTGGCCAGGCTGGTCTCGAACTCCTGACCTCGTGATCTGCCCGCCTCAGCCCCCCAAAGTGCTGGGATTACAGGTGTGAGCCACCTCGCCCAGCCAGTTTTTGAAATGAATGAAAGAAAAGCAAATGGACACAGAAGACTCCAGTATGGTCGGGGCGGGTGGGCTGGATGGGGACAGCGATGTGTGGCTGGGACACTGGTCCCTGCCCGATAACACCAGCACCAGACCCCTTGGTTTCCAAGAGTGAGCCTGGGACCCGGCCGCAGCGGGCCCTCACCCTAAGAAGATGTTTGTTGCCATGGTGATGGATGCTTGTCACCATGGCGACGATTGGTGGGTGAGTGGTTGCCATGACACTCGCAGCCCATCAGAGCCGCTACCCCGGTAACGGCTGCCCTGACCTTGACTCTCAGCCCGAATGTGTCCAAGTTCCCCATCTCAGAAAGTTCTGGAAATCAGAGTCCAGCTTGGTGCACTCCCCGCAGCTGCAAGCTCCACTCTGAATGTTGGCTTCCTCTTCCTTGTCCCCAACGCCCTATAGGAAGCGCCTGGCATATTGCAGGCTCCAGAGAGTGCCCAGTTACCTCCCTCCCCGCCCCACCATGTTACAGAAGGAGAAACTGAGGCCGGAGCTAGGGGGTTGATTTCCCAGAGTCTCCTGCAGGGTGGCAGTGTTGAAGCACCTGAGCTGTGGCTGCTCTGTGCAACCATGTCCAGAGTGGGGTCGCCAGCTGCTTCCCAGGCTGGGGACACAGAGTGAAGTCCAGGACAGAACACAATGCTTAGTCAAGAGACCTGGTCAGGCCTAGAGCCCTTGGCAAGGCCCTTTCCCTCTGGTCTCAGTGTCCCTGCTGTAAAATAGGTTGACTGAGTTGACCGAGCCAAGGATGTGTGTGCTGTTGGCCTGCCGGCCAGGCCCCAGGGCAGGCTTCCTGGGACATCAGCTGTGTGGGCTCCAGGGGGAGAGGGGACCTTGAATTCCACCTCTGGGCTTGAGCTCTAGGGCCTCTCTCTCTCCCCTGTTGTTGGAAGGTGGCTGCATGCAGGGTCTTCCAATATGGCTGTCCTGGAGGTGCCCCTGCTGTCAGGCTTCCGGGCAGACATCGAGAGCCTGGAGCAGGTGAGGCAGCGCCGGTGAGCAGCGGTGGGCAGGGATCTCTGAACAATAGGTAGGGCTTAGGCACCCAGGGTCAGGCTGGCTGGCAGTCCAGACCTTTGTAAAATGCTATGGGTATTCTTTTCTTCCCTCTCCCTCTCCCCCTCCCCCTTCCCCTCCCCCTCCCCTTTTACCCTGTTTCTCTTTCTTTTTTTTGACATAGTCTTGCTCTGTTGCCCAGGCTACAGTGTAATGATCTGATCTTGGCTCAAATTCCCAGTGGAGCCTTGAACTTCCAGGCTCAAGTAATCCTCCCACCTCAGCCTCCCGAGTAGCTGGGACTACAAGCATGCACTACCATGCCCTGCTAATTTTTGTATTTGTGGCAGAGACAGGGTTTCGCCATGTTGCCCAGGCTGGTCTCAAACTCCTGGGCTCAAGCAATCCTCCCGCCTCAGCCTCACAAAGTGCTGGGGTTACAGACATGAGCCACTATGCCCAGCCCCTTTTTTCCTCCCCTTTCTGGGCAAAAATGGCCCATCTGTCTACTGAGGAGTAGATGGGGTGAGGTGGGGGCTGCTCCAACAGGTGGATCTCCCATGCGGCCACTGTCACTATTATTATTATTATTATTATTTGAGATGGAGTTTTGCTCTTGTTGCCCAGGCTGTGCAATGGCACAATCTCAGCTCACTGCAACCTCCACCTCCCCGGTTCAAGCAATTCTCCTGCCTCAGTCTCCTAAGTAGCTGGGATTACAGGCATGCACCACCACGCCCAGCTAATTTTTTTGTATTGAGTAGAGATGGAGTTTCTCCATGTTGGTCAGGCTGGTCTCAAACTCCTGACCTCGGGTGATCAGCCCACCTCAGCCTTCCAAAGTGCTGGGATTACAGATGTGAGCCACAGCACCGGGCCCACTGTCACACTATTATAAATGCCACCTAGAACTTCAGCAAAGTTCCATGTGCTTTGGCCCTGGGTGGGGAGCCATGGGGTATTCTCAATCCACATTCTGCCGAGACCAGCTGTCACCCTCACAACCCTAAGACAGACCAGTGCCATGTCCCCATTTTGTACAGGAAGGAAGAGGGACATGGGGGTGGGGATTGCTGCCCGGCTCTGGCTGGGGGAGAAAGAGGACCAAGAAGCGAGGGTTTCAGGGACCAAAGGAGGTCTGCAGTGTGGGGAGGGTGGAACAGGAAAGCTGGGCCTATTGTCACCTCCCCTCCAAGGAGGCTGCACGGAGCACCAGGGGATGAGGATGTGGTCAATTCAGAGGCCTTGGAGTGGGTGTGGATTTTTTTAAATCAAAAACTGAAAAAAAAAAAAAAATCCCAGGCTGGGAGGGGAACTTGAACAGTGCAGCTGAGACACCAGCAGGCGGCAGGGCTCAGCCGGGCACCTCTTTGGCCACGGAGAAGCCTGACCTGGGCTTGGGGCTGGGTTGAGGGAGTGTATAGGGAGGCGAGGCAGGTGCTCCCAGCGGGGATAGCCATCCTTGAGCGTCCTCTCCTGGGTGCTGAGAGGCTGGCAGGGCCTGGGGAGCACTGACCAGCACCCAGACCCCAGCCCATGGTAACTTGTGGGCAAGTCCAAGCATCCCACTGACCACTGCCCCCAGGGGATGGGAGAGGAAGCAAGTAGAGAGTCTGAGGACCCTGACTTCTGGCTTCCTCTGCAGCTGCTCCTTGACAAGCACATGGGGATGAAGAGGTATGAAGTGGCTGGACGCCGAGTGCTCTTCTACTTTGATGAGGTACCACCAGCCGGGGTTGGTGGAGGAGGCTTCCCTGGTGTGCATGTTGGTGAGGGTGCACCGGTCACTGCCTGGTGTGGCTCCCTGCAAGTATCTTGTACCATAAAAAAGACACTGGGGCCGGGCATGGTGGCTCATGCCTGTAATCCCAGCACTTTGGGAAGCCGAGGTGGGAGGATCACTTGAGCTCAGGGGTTCGAGACCAGCCTGGGCAACATGGCGAGACCCCATCTTTACAAAAAATATAAAAAAGTGCCCAGGCCCTTTGGCTTACGCCTGCAATCCCATCACTTTGGGAGACTGAGGCAGGTGGATCACCTGAGATCAGGAGTTCAAGACCAGCCTGGCCAACATGACAGAACCCTGTCTCTACAAAAAACACAAAAATTAGCCAGGTGTGATGGCACGCTACTGTAATCCCAGCTATTTGGGAGGCTGAGGCAGGAGAGTCGTTTGAACCTGGGAGGCGGAGGTTGTGGTGACCTGAGATTGTGCCACTGCACTCCAGCTTGGGTGACAGAGCAAGACCTGCAAGACCTTGTCTAAAAAAAAACAAAAAAAAATAAGACACTGGGAGAATAAATTCCAGGCAGAGTTGGCCATGCTGACAGCTCTGTGCCCTCGGCTGATGGCAGTTGGTAGAAAAAGCAGGGAGGGGCCGCAGTGGATATTATCCATCTGTAGGAAGGAGCGAAGCATTGATCCATGCTACAGCATGGATGAACCTCAGAAACATGATGCTGAGTGAAAGAAGCCAGACACAAAAGGCCACAGAGTACATGATTCCATTGACATGAAATGCCCAGAACAGGCAAATCCGTAGAGTTGGAAAGATTTGTGGTTGCCAGGGGCTGGGGGAGTGGGGAGTGAGTGCTGATGGCGATGGGGTTTCTTTGGGGGAGAAAGAAACCGTTCTGTAACTAGACAGAGGTGATGATTGCACAGTATCGTGAATGTGCTGACTCCCACCCACACATGCTCAGCCATGCGTGCACACACACAAAAAGGAGTGGTGTTTCAGAGGCCACCTGAGACGTTTTCCCAGTGGGATGGAAGGACCCAAAGAATAAAAAATGGGACCGAGGCGGATCACTTGAGGGCAGGAGTTGGAGACCAGCCTGGCCAACATGGTGAAACTCCGTCTTGATCAAAAATACAAAAAATTAGCAGGGTGCGGTGGTGGGCGCCTGTTATCCCAGCTACTTGGGAGGCTGAGGCAGGAGAATCATTTGAACCCAGGAGGCCGAGCTTGCAGTGAGCCGAGATCACGCCACTGCACTCCAGCCTGGGCAACAGCGCGAGACTCTGTCTCAGGAAAAAAAAAAAAAAAGAAAAGTAAAAGAAAAAAAGAAAATGGGATCACGTTTCTTCTGTGTTTCACGCGTCCTGGGTATCCCTGAAATCAGCCAGTTCTGGGCCTGAGCTCAGCGCCCCGGGCCTCCTGGCCCGGGTCGAGCCTGCGCCCGCCGCTGCCCCACAGATCCCCAGCCGGTGCCTGACGTGCGTGCGGTTCCGTGCTCTCCGGGAGTGCGTGGTGGGCAGGACGTCGGCGCTGCCAGTCTCCGTGTACGACTACTACGAACCCGGTAGGCCCGCGCGCCCGCACCCCCGGCCCGGCCCGGTCCCTGACCCGTCGCGCCTGCACTTGGTCACCCGCCACCCTCGTCCCGTAGCCTTCGAGGCCACTCGCTTCTACAACGTCAGCACCCACAGCCCACTCGCCCGGGAACTGTGCGCCGGACCCGCGTGCAACGAAGTGGAGCGCGCCCCTGCCCGGGGCCCGGGTGAGTGCGCGGAGCCACTGCCGCCCCCCACCGCGGCCTGCCACACCCCGACTCCCACCCTCGGACGCCAGGGAGGGCTCCCCTGGGGGCTTGGCAGAGGAGGGGCCAACGTAAAGTCAGGAGAACGCAGCATAGAGGTGGGCGGGCGCTCTGCCTGTACGGGGGAGGCGGGGCTGGAGGAGCGGTCAGCGGGGAGGGGCGTGGCTGGGGGAGTGGTAAGTGCGGAAGGGAAGTGGCTGGGGAATGGTCAGTATACTGGGGGCAGGGCCGAGCCAGTGAGGGTGTGGTCACTGTGGTGGGGACTGGGCGCAATGGGTTGAGGGTGGTCAGTGTGGTGAGGGCGGGGTCGAGCGGCGAGGGGGAGGTGAGTGCGGAGGGTGCGGGGTTGAGGGCGGGTGTGTTCAGTGCGGGGGGCGGGGCCGAACGGGGTGGGTGTGGTCAGTGCGAAGGGGACGGGGTTGAGAGTGGATGTGGTTAGTGCTGAGGGGATGAGGTTGCGGTGGGTGTGGTCAGTGCGGGGGGCGGGGTCGAGGGTGGGTGCGGTCAGCGCTGAGGGGCGGGATTTGTGGTGGGTGTGGTCAGTGCGGAGGGGGCGGGGTTAAGAGTGGTCAGGACGGAGGGGGCGGGGTTGAGGGTAGGTGTGGTCACCGCGGAGGGGGCGGGGTTGAGGATAGGAGCGGTCAGTGCGGTGGGGGTGGGGTTGGGGTGGGTGTGGTCAGTGCGGAGGAGGCGCGGCAGGGGACGGGGCTGTTGTTGCAGGGCGGCCCAGACAGGACGCCCTGTCTCCTTTCTCTCCTACAACCGCTTTTTAAAAGTCTGTTTCTGTTTTTGTAAGTATTAGGCAAATACCTGCGTGAAATTCCATAAGGCCAGGGCTCAGGACCTCCCATTAACTGTCGCGCCCCAAGACCCACCGAGGGGGTAGTGGGCCCGGGACCCAGGGACATCTTCCCCACCCCCAGGTTCTGTGGGGGCGCGGGCAAGGTTCAGGGTGGGGGGTCTGTCGAGCCTGCCTCGTCCCCCAGGCTGGTTCCCCGGCGAGTCGGGCCCTGCCGTGGCCCCTGAGGAGGGGGCGGCGATCGCGCGATGCGGCTGCGACCACGACTGCGGCGCCCAGGGGAACCCGGTGTGCGGCTCCGACGGGGTGGTCTACGCCAGCGCCTGCCGCCTGCGGGAGGCCGCCTGCCGCCAGGCCGCGCCCCTGGAGCCCGCGCCTCCCAGCTGCTGCGCCCTCGGTGAGGACCCTACCCCCCGCCTAGCCTCGGGGACACCATCGCTGCTGCTCTGGGCCACGGATCTCCTCCCCTCGGCCCTTGGGTCCCCTCCCCGCCACGCCCTCCCGACCGAGGCCCCCTTCCTTCCAGAGCAGCGGCTGCCGGCCTCGTCGTCCTCCACCTACGGGGATGACCTGGCTTCTGTGGCCCCGGGGCCTTTACAGCAGGACGTGAAGCTGAATGGAGCCGGCCTTGAGGTGGAGGACTCAGACCCTGAGCCTGAAGGGGAGGCGGAGGACAGGTAACAGCTGGGCCCACCCCAGAGATAAGAGACATAGGCTCAATATCTCCCCACCTCCCTCCCCTACCAACCTCCCCCGACGACCTGCCCCGACTCCTCCGCCCCGCCCCGACCCCCCACTGGCAGTGGGAGTGACTCAGGGTCAGAGGCTCAGAGTTCCTGGGGACAAAGTGGGACATTCATCCTCCCTCCACCCTGGCCCACGCAACACCCACCAGCGAACAGCTGTGCGCGGGCGCACGCGCGCGTGTGTGTGTGTGTGTGTGTGTGTGCGTGCGCGCGCGCGCGCGCATACGGGTCAAGGATCCCTTATCCGAAATGCTGGGGGGACCAGCAGTGTTTCGGATTTCAGATTTTTTCACATTTCAGAATGCTTGCATTATATAGTTAGCTAAGGTTCAGCATCCCTAATCTAAAAATCTGAAATGCCCCAATGAGCATTGCCTTTGAGCACGTCAAGTCGCTGCTCAAAAAGACTTGGATTTTGGAACATTTCAGATTTAGGATTTTTGGACTAGGGAAGTTTTGCCTGTAGTTAACAGTGTGCGGTTTCCTCATGGGCAGATTTGTGTAATCTCAACCATAGTCAACAAACAGCCCATCTGCACAGGATCCTTCCAGCTGCTCTTCCATAACTTCATCTCTCCCCTCAACACCTGCAACCACTAAGCCATTTTCCCCCTACCCGTCTGTAATTTTGTTATTTTGAGAATGCCAGGTAAATGGAATCAGAGCGGATAATCTTTGGAGCATGATTCCCTTGCATTCACCTGTGTTGTTTCGTGTATCCATAGTTTATTCTTTTTTTAATCTGGGCTCACTGCAATCTCCGCCTCCTGGGTTCAAGCGATTCTCCTGTCTCAGCCTCCCCAGAAGCTGGGATTACAGGGGCCCGCCACCATGCCCGGCTAATTTTTTTTGTATTTTTAGTAGAGGTGGGGTTTCACCATGTTGGCCAGGCTGGTCTTGAACTCTTGACCTCAGGTGATCCACCCGCGTTGGCCTCCCAAAGCGCTGGTATTGCAGGCATGAGCCACCATGCCAGGCCTATTCTTTTATTTTTCAAACGAGGTCTCACTGTGTTGCCCAGGCTGGAGTGTAGTGGCGTGGTCATGGCTCACTGCAGCCTTGACCTCCTGAGCTCAAGTGATCCTCTTGCCTCAGCCTCCTGAGTAGCTGGGACCACAGGCACACACTACCACCACGCCCAGCTAGTGTGTGTGTGTGTGTGTGTGTGTGTGTGTGTGTGTGTGTTGTAGAGATGGGGTCTCTGTATGTTGCCCAAGCTGGAGTGCCATGGCTGTTCATAGACATGATCATTGTGCACTGCAGCCTCAAATTCCTGGGCTCAAGTGATCCTCCCATCTCAGTCTCCCAAAGCTTTGGGATTACAGGCGTGAGCCACTGTGCCCGGCCTGGAGTTTGTTCTTTTGTATTGCTGGGTAGTGTGCTATGGGTAGCTTTTCGATTTGGTTGGTGGTCTGACACAAGCTACTCCCCTCTTACCGCACATGGACACCCAGAGCCCATCACTGTGGTCCACTGGAAGGGGAAAGGAGGCAGAGTTGTACAGTGCCAGGCCTGGGCCATGTGTCCCCCATCCAGTTGGGGTTCTGCCATCTAAATGAGGAGGTGGCAGCTGGCCTGAGCCCCGTGGAGTTGGGTTCAGGAAAGGGGTGTGGGGTCCCATCCCGAAGTCCTGGCGGCCCCATAGGAATCTTTCTCCTCTCCTGGCCAGTCAGAGCGGCTTCTCTTCCTAACGGCTGCCCTGCTGAGAGCAGGACGACACCATCTGGCTGCATCCTGTCCCTATCAGCCTGTGACTCTGTATGGTGGGTGGGCAGACCTCAGCCCAGGTGACACCTGCCTCTAAATGAACCCAAGGAACAGAATGACAGAGATCTGCCCGTCCCTAGGATGAGACTCTTGGGACCCAGGTGTGGGCTCAGCAGTCACCGGTGTGGTGCAGGGGGGACAGCTGGAGGTCCCTTGGGAGATCCCCCACCTTCCTAGCTACAGCTGGAGCTCCAAGCACCCCAACCCCCCAGCCTTGGAGCTGGGCATCATTTTCCTGGGGCCACGGCAGCTCCCACAGCCTGACATTCTGTTCCCGGGAGAAGAAACATTCCCAGAAAGCACTCGTGTGGCCAAAAGCCTCTTTCTGAGCAAACACGATGTGGACTAAATTAGCAAAACATCCAGCCGGTGGGCAACTTCAAAACGGAACAGGCTGCGTTTCTCTGAAACACAAAGCCCCGGCCTCCCTTTGGGGCACCCAGGACCCCAAATTGCCCTAAGACTGTCCCAGCTCTCGCACCCTCTGCCTTCGCCCCCCGGGGACCTCGGGCTCACATCACAAGGCCCTGCGGGGAAGCAGATGGCTCTCAGCAAATGCACTTTCAGCTTCCGGCTGCCGGGGCTGGGTGACCCCGGTGCTTCCTCACCGTGAGTTCCTGATGTCCTCGTGCCCAGAGGACCAGCCCACTCCCAGGGCCCCCAGGCCCAGAACCTGCCTGCCTTGGGGGGCCCTACCAGCTGCCTGCCACCAGTACCAGCAGACTTTGATTCCCCTTTGTGACCCCTGGCACCTGCTTATGTCTGCATTTGCCCATCTTCTCCGGGGTGGTATTTATTTCAGCCAACACCGCTCAGCCCTGATCTCTGCCAGCACGGAGGCCCCTCGCTGCCTGTGAGATCAAGGTCTGAGGCTGCCCTGGCCGGTGGGTTCCCCACCCCTGGCACCCTACAAGCGACAGGCCCTGTGGCTCCTTCCTCAGCCCGAGGCCCCGTGCCCACTTGCTGTAGAGGATGTTGTAAGATAAAACCTCATCTCCAGGGTCACAGCCGGGCCTCGGCCTCCTGTGAGCAGCGGGAACCTGGAAAGCAGCACCCAGAGCGCCAGCCCGTTCCACAGATGGGGCCAGACTCCGGCCCCTCAGAGACATAGTGGCCGGGTGGTGGGGGCCCACAGGCCAGGGCTTCTGAGCCCTGTCTTCGTCTACAGCCCAGCCTTTCAGAGTGGTGGGGAGGAGGGTTTATGGATGTCAAACACCTGCACCTTGAGATAATCCTACAACCACATGCAGTTGTGGGACCGCAGTTTGGTCCTGGGGACCATTCATACCCACACACCCAGCTTGTGCCTGTGGTTAACATCTCAGAAAACTCTGGTAAATGATCACTCCAGGATATTGACAAGAATACACGTTACTGATCTTACTCACATGTTCTGGGGTGCACATGAACTTTGTGTGTGCATGTGTGTGTGTGTGCATGTGTGTGTCCCGGGCACCTGACACCCCCAGCCCAGGGCTGCCCAAAGTTGGGCTGATCAGAGACATAGACCCAATGAGGAGCCCAACAGTGGCCCTCCAACCCTCTGCCTTGCCCCCATAGTTCATGCCCCAGTGGTCTTTGAAACTGCCCTGTGCCACTCCCTGGAGTGAGCAGCGGTGTCTCTGTGTGTGTGTGTGTCTGTGTCTGTGTGTGTGTTTGTGCACCAGGTGCTGAGGCTTCTCCCCTTCCCCACACACCAGCTGTGTCCTCCACAGCCACTGGCATGGCCCCTTGTGGTCTGTCCCGTGCAAGGCTTACAACCGGCTGCCAACATCCTGGCAGAAGGGAGTTCCAGGTCTGCAGCACCCGAACCCCCCAGCACACACTGTCCACCCCCACCCCCCATTGTCCCACCTTATCCCTGGTGACATTGACAGAAAGTGAAAAGAAGGATCAGCCTGCAGGTGAGAGGAGGGAAGGCGAGGGTCCCCAGCAGTCAGGGGATAGCAGGAGGCTGAGCCGTGCTAGTGATGGGTTTTGGGGAGCAGAGTTGGGGGTGCTATTCTGGTTGCTCAAGAGACATCCCAAAGCCAGAAGCTGGTGGGCATGAGAATGGCCAACCAGGCTCTGGGCCTGGTGGGGCCACAGCATTGGGCACTGAGGATGGGGTGCCCTCAGCCTCCTGGGCAGGAACTTGCAGTGAGTCTCCAGGGAATGCAGCCCCAGCCCCAGCTCCAGCCCCATCTCAGACACCAGTGCGTCGTGGGCTGCATCCAGCCCAGAAAGCCGAGCCAGAGATGCTGGCAGGGCCCAGGAAGCAGAGTTTGATCCTGTTTCAGATTCCTGGGCTGCCCTGACAAAGTGCCACATGCCAGGCAGCTTAAAACAATGAGAGTTTATTGTCTCACAGTTCTGCAGGCCAGAAGTCCAGGGTCAAGGTGGTGGCAGGGCTGGTTCCCTCTGGAGGCTGTGAGGGAGAGCCCGTCCCAGGCCTGTCTCCTGGCTGCTGGTGGCTGTTGGCTGTGCTTGGCATCGTGGCATCCCTTAGTTTGTGTCCGTCCGCATCACTCCCATCTCTGCCTCTGCCGCCACATGGCTTTCTTCTCTGTGTGTCTCTGTGTCCTCTCCTCTTCTCTTTTTTTTGGAGACAGAGTCGCTCTTTCGCCCAGGCTGGAGTGCAGTGGCACCATCTCAGCTGACCGCAACCTCCGCCTCCCAGGTTCAAGCGATTCTCCTGACTCAGCCTCCCCAGTAGCTGGGTGGGCACCTCCCCAGTACAGGTGCCCACCACCACGCCTGGCTAATTTTTGTATTTTTGGTAGAGATAGGATTTCACCATGTTAGCCAGGCTGGTCTTGAACTCCTGGCCTCAGATGATCTGCCCACCTCGGCCTTCCAAAGTGCTGGGATTGCAGGTGTGAGCCACCACACCCACTATCTCTCGTCTTCTTTTTTTAATTTTAGTTTGTTTATTTTTGAGACAAGGTCTTGCTCTGTTGCCCAGGCTGGAGTGCAGTGGTACAATCATAGCTCACTGCAACCACAACCTCCCAGGCTCAAGTGATCCTCCCGCCTGTGCCTCTTGAGTGGCTGGGACTATAGGCGCATGCCACAATGCCTGGTTCATTAAAAAATTTTTTTGTGTGTAGAGATGGGATCCCCCTATGTTGCCCAGGCTGGTCCCAAACTCCTGGCTTCAAGCAATCCTCCATCTTGGCCTCCCAGAGTGCTGAGATTATAGGCGTGAGCCACTGCACCTGGCCGTCACTTTTCGTCTTTTTAAAATTGAATTAAATTAATTAATTAATTAATTTAGAGACAGGCTCTCTGTCACGCAGGCTGGAGTCCAGTGGCGCAATCTCGGCTCACTGCAACCTCTGCCTCCCAGGTTCAAGCGATCCTTCTGCCTCAGTCTCCTGAGTAGCTGGGATTACAGGCGCCAGCCACCAAGCCCAGCTAATTTTTGTATTTTTGGTAGAGATGGGGTTTTACCATGTTGCTCAGGCTGGTGTTGAACTCCTGGGCTCAAGTGATCCATCCGCCTTGGCCTCTTAAAGTGCTGGGATTACAGGCGTGAGCCACCAGGCCTGGCCTCTCCTTATCTTATGAGGACACCACCCACACTGGATGTAAGGCCCACCCTTCTCCAAAGTGACCTCCGCTAGTGACAGTTGTAACAACCCTATTTCCAAATAAGGTCACATTCTGAGGTCCCAGGAAGGACGTGAAGTGGGGGAAGGGACCCTGTTCGACCCAGTACAGCCTTCCCCACTTTGTGTCACTGGAGCAAAGAGGAGTGGGTGCCCATGCCCCGGCTGCCCCCTTCCGCAGAGGCCTTGGAGGCCACGGTGTCCCCCGGCGACCGTTGGAAGAGCCCTGCCCGCACCTTGTCCCTGAACTCGGCCGACACGTAGTAGTAGATGAAGGGATCCACGCAGCTGTTGAGGGTGCTCAGCGCCAGGCTGGGCACGTAGGCACCATAGAGGTTGCCCCAGGCGCTGGGGCTCGGGTCCGAGTAATGCAGCAGCAGCAGCAGGTTGCTGGGCACGAAGAAGGCCACGGCGGAGGCCAGCACCACTGCGGTCAGCCTCAGCGCGTGGCCGTAGCGCCGGCCGCTGGCCGCCAGCGTGTGCAGGGTGGCCCCGTAGCACAGCAGCATGGCCAGCAGGGGCAGGAAACAGCCCAACAGCGCCAGGCAGGTGAAGGCCGGTTGCCAGTGGGAGGCCTGTGCGTCCAGGGGCAGCGCGTCATGGCAGAGCACGCGATCGGAGCGCGCCAGCCGGAAGGTCTGCCGCTGCAGTGTCAGGGGCAGTGCCAGGGCGGCCGCCATGAGCCAAGCAGCCATGCAGAGTCCAAGGGCCAGGCGCCGGCCACGCAGGGCGCGGGCCCGCAGCGGGTGCACCAGGGCCAGGTAGCGATCCAGGCTGACGGCGGCCAGCAGCAGCACTGAGCCATACATGTGACCATAGAGTGCGGCCGTGGCCAGGCGGCAGGCGGCCTCCCCGAAGGGCCAGCGCTGGCCACGCAGGTGGTAGGCGATCCGCGGGGGCAGCGCCAGGGCCAGCAGGAGGTCAGCAGCCGCGAGGTTCATCAGCAGCATGGTGGAGGGCAGCCGAGGTGCCTGCGTGGCCAGCACCCACAGCGCCAGCCCATTGGCCGGCAGCCCCACCACCAGGACCAGCCCATAGAGGGCGGGCACCAGCCTGGTGGGCACCCAGCCCAGAAGCAGTGCCCGTGAGCTGTCCGGGAGCTCCAGGGTGTCACTGTCATTGGCACAGACTTGGCCTGGGTAGCCGCGGGGGGCAGGCAGGATTGAGGGCGTGCTGTCTGGGAGAGAGAGGGGACCTCAGTCAGCCCCTGCCTCGGCAGGTGACGAGAAGCAGCAGGGAGGGAGGTGCTCAGAGCCTGGGGTCTGCCCTGGTGGGAAACAGCTGGACATGACACTCAAGGGAATAGCCCAGCCCTATGGGGTCAGAGACGGGATACAGAGTGGGCTGGGCTGAAGCCCGCAACTTCCCGGCCTCCCCCTCCCCAGCTCCGGGCCCCCAGCTCCATCTCTGATGTAACCCCATCTCTGCACCCCAAAGCCAGGACCACTCACCATCACCACCTCCGGTGCTCCCGCTCTCGTCGTAGACGCTGGGGGTCTGGGTGCCGCCAGACAGGCTGAACCCCAGCACCAGGGGCCACAGGAGCAGTCGCCCCCACATGACTGCACTCAGGCTGCTCTGGGCTGTGGCCTCAGGCTTCCTGCCTCGCCGGACCCTGAGCCCCAGCTTCTGGAGCCGAGGCGGACGAGCAGATCGCGCCGGTAGAGATAAACCAGGAAGGCTGCCCCTGCCCCCGCAGACCCACCAGGGCCGCTTGCCAGCCAGCCCGTGGGAGGACTGGAGTGTGGGTTATGGAGACCGGGCTGCCCCACGTGGCTATATCCAGTGTGGCGCCTCCCAGGGACCCAGGTGCCAGGCCAGCAAGATGCAGGGGGGGGGGTCCCAGCTGCAGCCAGCACCCCCGGTCCCTGACCAGCCCAGGAAGCATCTGCGGTTCAAGTGGCCACTTCCTGCCAGCCGCTCACATCTGCAGCCACTGTTCTCACGACAGCCCTGTCCTCACCCCAATCCCCACGCCCATCACGGGCTCTGGGCCTTTCCTGAAGTCACCCCCCGACTTCCTATCTCTGGTGAGCAGGATAAGAAGAGCCCTGCTAGGCCAGGCACGGTGGCTCACGGCTGTAATCCCAACATTTTGGGAGGCCAAGGCAGGCAAATCACCTGAGGTTGGGAGTTTGAGACCGGCCTGACCAACATGGAGAAACCCCATCTCTCATAAAAATACAAAAATTAGCTGGGCTTGGTGGCAGATGCCTGTGGTCCCAGCTACTCAGGAGGCTGAGGTGGGAGAATTGCTTGAACCCAGGAGGTGGAGGTTGCAGTGAGCCGAGATCTTGCCACTGCACTCCAGCCTGGGCAACAGAGCGAGACTCGGCAAAAAAAAAAAAAAAAACCAAGGATGGGCGCCTCCCAGAGGGTAATAGCGAGGGTCCCTTCAGACCCCCAGAGCAGCACGAGCCCAGCGTCAGGGACTCTGGCTGAACCTCGAGAGCCCCTCAGCATCCTCGGCTGACCCCATACTCACAAGGCACCCCTGTATGAGTGCCTCACTTCACTCTTGCCCAGGGGACACACGGGCATCTGTAGGGGAGACAGTGATGCTGGGGACAGCACCTGCCGAGGACCGGGGGGACTTCGGGGTGTGTGGCTCGCCTGCTCTGACCTCTGACCCTGAGTGAGGTGGCCAGGTTGAAGGGTCCCCAAGCCAGCCTCCAGGGGGCCTCCCTCCTCTAGCCCCAGCACATCCCCACTCCTGGGTACCATTGGATGGGGGCTCATCGGGCAGATGAAGAAACTGAAGCTCGGGGGGGTACCCCTTCCCTCTTCTGCACAAGGCCCCTCAGTGTTGTCCCTCCCTGCCTCAGAGAGGCCTCAACCCGTCGTGCCCTGGGGGAGTCTGGTATGGGTGGTTCTGGCCCCAGTGTGCTCAGCGCTGGGCTACAGGGGATGGGGGACAGGGCTTGGGGGGGTCTGGGAGCAGGAGGGCCTAGTTGGGAGCCATGAGGATTGGGGAAAATAAAATGAACTAGGGATGGGGGAGGGAGGGGTCCAATGTGGCCGTTTCCTGCCTGGGGGAGCCCTAATCTCATCACACACTTGAGCACTCGGGGATCAGCCAGGAAGTGACTGAGCAGAGTCTTGGACAGAGTCAACACCCAGCTCCAGGAGGAGACACTGAAGCCTGGAGAGAGAGTCTAGCTGGGGCAGGGTCTCAGAGGCCCTGCTCCCATTTCTGGGCAGTTTCCATGGCCACCAATGAGAAAATCAGCTTCACGTCAATGACTTGGGGAAAAAGGTGGCTGAGGACACCCTCAGCACACGGAAAACCCACGCCTGGGCTCCCCCCTCCACCGTCTTCTCTGTGAGCAGAGTGGGAAGCTGTGCAGGGGAGGCTGGGCACACCGGCAGTCCAGTGATGCTGGGGCAGGGTGGTTTGAAGATGATGCATCAAAATAGTGATGCACGACCGGGCGCAATGGCTCACGCCTGTAATCCCAGCACTTTGGGAGGCCAGGTGGGTGGATCACGAGGTCAAGAGATCGAGACCGTCCTGGCCAACATGGTGAAAACCCGTCTCTACTAAAAATACAAAAATTAGCCAGACATGGTGGCGCACGTCTGTAGTCCTAGCTCCTCAGGAGGCTGAGGCAGGAAAATCTCTTGAACCCAGGACGCAGGGGTTACAGTGAGCTGAGATCACACCACTGCACTCCAGCCTGGGCAACGGAGCGAGACTCCGACTCAAAAAAAAAAAAAAAAAAAAAAAAAAGCCAGGCACAGTGGCTCACACCTGTAATCCCAGCACTTTGGGAGGCAGAGGCGGGTGGATCACCTGAGGTTGGGAGTTCGAGACCAGCCTGACTAACATGGAGAAACCCCATCTCTAGTAAAAATACAAAATTAGCTAGGCATGGTGACATATGCCTGTAATCCCAGCTGCTCGGGAGGCGAGGCAGGAGAATCACTTGAACATGGGAGGCAAAGGTTGCAGTGAGCCGAGATTGCATCATTGCACTCCAGCCTCACTCCAGCCTGGGCAACAAGAGTGAAACGCGTCTCAAAAAAAAAAAAAAAACATAGTGACGCACATGCCCTTATACTCAAGGGTTCCATGTCTAGGAATTTCTGCCAGACACACGCACAGGAAGATGTCCTTGGGAGGATATCCACACAGCAGCACAAAGCAGGGAGGTGCCCGCCAACAGCCCCTCCCCGGGAACAACACGGCAGCACAGGCTGTCGGGGGAACCCCAGCAAGCAGAGGTGACGATGACATTGCCCCTGTCAGGCACAAGCTGTACCCAGGCGACACTGCCCAGGTACTTCCCGGAGGACGCTGGGCGCGACAGCTTTGGAGGAGAGGAAACCATGTGTCTGTTTTGTACTGTTGGAGTTTTCTGTGCACTGTGTTACTTTCCATAAAAACTTTTTTTTTTTTTAAGATGGAGTCTCGATCAGTCGCCCAGGCTGGAGTGCAATGGCGCAATCTCAGCTCACTGCAACCTCTGCTTCCTGGATTCAAGCAATTCTCCTGCCTCAGCCTCCCCAGCAGCAGGGATTACAGGCGCCTGCCACTATGCCCGGCTAATTTTGTGTATTTTTAGTAGAGGCGGAGTTTCGTCGTGTTGGCCAGGCTGGTCTCAAACTCCTGACCTCAGGTGACCCACCTGCCTCAGCCTCCCAAAGCACTAGGATTATAGGCATGAGCCACTGCACCTGGCCAAAATATTTTTTATTTAGAGATGGAGGTTCGCTCTTGTTGCCCAGGCTGAAGGTGCAATGGTGCCATTTCGGCTCACTGCAACCTCTGCTTCCTGGATTCAAGCGATTCTCCTGCTTCAGCCTCCCGAGCAGCTGGGATTATAGGCACCCGCCACCATGCCTGGCTAATTTTTGTATTTTTGGTAGAAACGAGGTTTCATCATGTTGGCCAGGCAGGTCTCAAACTCCTGACCTCAGGTGATCCACCCGCCTCAGCCTCCCGAAGTGCTGGGATTACAGGCGTGAGCCACCACGCCCGGCCAAAATCTTATTTTCTTAAAAAGGGCAGACAGCCAGGCCGGGCTGTTTCAGAGTGGTGGCTCATGCCTGTAATCCCAGTGCTTTGGGAGGCCGAGGTAGAGGGATCGCTTGGGCTCAGGAGTTCAAGACCAGCCTGGGCAACATAGTGAAATCTTGTCTCTACAAAAAATCAAAAAATGAGGTGGGAAGATTGCTTGAGCCCAGGAGGTCGAGGCTGCAGTGAGCTGTGATTGCACCACTGCACTCCCACCCGGGTGACAGAGTGAAACTCTGCCAAAAAAAAAAAAAAAAAAAAAAAAAAAGGCAGCCTTAAAAAGTAAGGGAATTCTGACATATGCTACATTGTGGATGAATCTTGAGGACATTATGCTGAGGGAAATAAGCCGGTCACGGAAAGACAAATCCTGAGTCATTCCACTCATGGGAGGTCCCTGGAGTGGTCACCTCCATAGAGACAGGAAGTAGAATGGGTTGGGGGGTGCCAGAGGCTGGGGGAGGGGGATTGGGGAGTGAGTGCTTAAGGCCACAGTGTTTCAGTTTTGCAAGATGGAAGAGTTCTGGGCTGGGTGAGGTGGTTCACGCCTGTAATCCCTGCACTTTGGGAGGCCAAGGCAGGTGGATCACTTGAGGTCAGGGGTTCGAGGCCAGCCTGGGCCACAAAGTGAGACACCCCCCCAACCATCTCTACAAAAAAATACAAAAATTAGCCGAGTGTGGTAGTATACACCTGTGGTCCCTGCTACTCGAGAGGCTGAGGTGGGAGGATCACTTGCGCCTGGGAGGCAGAGGTTGCAGTGAGCAGAGACTGTGCCACTGCCCTCTAGCCTTGGTGACAGAGCGAGACTCTGTCTCCAAAAAAAAAAAGTTCTGGAGATGGATGGTGACAATATGAATGTACTTACTGCCACTGAGCTGAACACTTAAAAATCATTAAGATAAACTTGACCACAATTCAAATAACTTTTTTTTTTTTTTTTTTTTTTTTTGGAGACAGAGTCTCACTCTGTTGCTCAGGCTGGAGTGCAGTGACACAGTCTCTGCTCACTGCAACCTCCACCTCCAGGGTGCAAGTGATTCTCCTGCCTCAGCCTCCCGAGTAGCTAGGATTACAGGTGCATGCCACCACACCCGGCTAATTTTTGTATTTTTAGTAGAGGTGGAGTTTCACCACCTCGAACTTCTGGCCTCAGGCGAGCCGCCTGCCTCAGCCTCCCAAAGTGCTGGGATTACAGGTGTAAGCCACTGCACCTGGCCCTTTAAATAACTTTTTTAAATGGGGAAAAATTGGCAGACAGGCGCAAGTCAGTGGCGTGTCCTGGATTTCATTGTCCTCCAACCCCTCAGGTCCCTGGAAGCTCCTGGATGTGGCCTCCACTCTCTCCTGCCTTCACTGCCTCCAGCAAAAGGTCAGGGTCAGGGAACAAGTTAGAAGCCACATGGGCAGGCTGGGTGCGGTGGCTCATGCCTGTAATCCCAGCAGTTTGGGAGGCCGAGGCAGGCGGATCGCCTGAGGTTGGGAGTTCAAGACCAGCTTGACCAATTTGATGAAACCCTGTCTCTACTAAAAATACAAAAATTAGCTGGGCGTGGTGGTGCGTGCCAGTAATCCCAGTTACTCAGGAGGCTGAGACAGGAGAATCGCTTGAACCCGGGAGGTGGAGATTGCAGTGAGCCAAGATCGCGCCATTACACTCCAGCAGCAAACATGGTGCCACCTCCTCTCATTCCCTGGCTGGGCAGGGACATTAACCCAGTTGAATGGCCATGAGAGGCAGGTGCTGTGACCCTGTCTCACCAGGACTGACAGTCACTCCCAGGGTCGCACGGACAGCCATGGTGGAAGCAGGGCTTGGGGTCCAGCCTGTCCAACCCCTGGATTCCCAGCGCTTCCTCTCTGGGGCCCCAAATCAGAGTTTGTTTGCTCCACTGTACCAAGGGCTGAGGCTCCACTCCCAGAGCCACAGAGAGAAGGGACTGGCCAACCTCAGGGTGGGGCAGAATCTGAAACCTAGGCGGGACCCAGCAGCCAGCCCAGATTGCAAAGGTCCCCAGAAGGGAAGAAGAGAAGGGAAACCACAGAGGTGCAGACACATTCCTGAGACCTCAGCCTGCCTGCACCCGTCCCTGCAAGTTCCTGCCCTGGCCTGTTCTGTCCCCCACCCCCTGGCCTCCTGAGACTGACTTTGGGTCAAATTGCTTTTTTAAAAAAAACTTTATTTTTTAGAGCAGTTTTAGGTTCACAGTGAAATTCAGCAGAAGGTACAGAGTCCCCATGTAACCCCACCCCACACATGCAAGCCTCCCCCGCTATCTATGTCCTTTACCAAAAGCGGTGCCTTTGTTGCAACGGACAAAGCTGCATGGACACGGCTCTGTCTTCTGGAACCCCGCGTTTCCATGGGGGTTCACTTTTGGCACTGTACCTTCCATGGGTTTGGACATATGTGTCATGATATGTCCACCATTGACCATAGTGTCGCACAGTTGCGTCACTGCCCTAAAAATCCTCCCACCTCCACCTATGGATTACTTCCTCCCATCTGCCCCCTGGCAACCACAGATCTTTTCACTGCCTCTATACTTTTGCCTTTTCCAGAGTGTTCTATAGTTGGAATCATGCAGTGTGCAGCCTTTCCAGGCTGGCTTCTTTCACTTAGTTAGATGCATTTGAGGCCCCTTTGTGTCTTTTATTTTTTGAGACAGACTCTCGCTCTGTCACCCAGGCCGGAGTGCAGTAGCGTGATCTCGGCTCACTGCAACCTCTGCCTCCCAGGTTCAAGCAATTCTCCTGCCTCAGCCTCTGGAATAGCTGGGATTACAGGCGCGTGCCACCACGCCTGACCAATTTTTGTATTTTCAGGACAGACAGGGTTTCACCATGTTGGCCAGGCTGGTCTCAAACTCCTGACCTCAGGTGATCCTCCTGCCTCAGCCTCCCAAGGTGCTGGAATTATAGGTGTGAGCCACCACGCCTGGCCCCTTCATGTCTTCACAGCTTCATGGCTCATTTCGTTTTATATCCTGTTGTCTGGAGGTGACATGGTTTATCCGTTTGCCCGCTGAAGGACGCCTTGGTTGTGTCTGAGTTTGGGCACTGGTGAATAAGGCTGCGTATATCTCTTGTGCAGGTTTTTGTGTGGACCCAAGTTTTCAGTTCCTTTGGGCAAATACAAAGGAACGTGATTGCTGGATGGTATTCAGTTTGCTGTTTGGAGTAGTTAGCCTCATTCTCAGCAAGTGAGGACATCAGGCGGGAAGCACTGGTTATATGTTGCAAAAGCCAGTGAGACAAACACCTCACTAGCAACAGAATAAATGTTCATGGGGCCCCACTGGAAGCCCCTGTCCCAGCACCCTCTGTCAGCATCACATGTAGTGTTGTGGAAACAGGAGGAAAAGAGAGACCTTGGGGTGTATACAGGAGGATCTTTATTGAGTGCACTCAGACCCACTGGACT
Source organism: Homo sapiens (assembly GCF_000001405.40). NCBI lineage: Eukaryota > Metazoa > Chordata > Mammalia > Primates > Hominidae > Homo > Homo sapiens. The sequence goes on along the minus strand of NC_000019.10, from coordinate 16,882,308 downwards.
CAACGTCTAAAAACTGGGCCTAGAATAAAGACAGCACTTGACTTAAACACACTTTTAAAAAGGGGTGGGTTAGCTTGAAGCAGGCTTACAGTGGCGTGAAAGCAGGGATACAGAGGCAGGACAAAGACAGTTAATCAAATTATAACAGGCTCATAACTCAGGATTAGACATGACCGTTGCTGTGCAACTCAGATGGCCATTATGTAGGTTTGCCCTAGTGCTTAGCATGGCTTATTCCATGGCCATCACTATGGCACCCAGGTGGCTCTATCTCAGGCTGCTCAGACAGTTTATGACCTTCACTCCACTGCTGATAAAACAGAATATTTGAAGTCACTAGGTGTAGAGAGCAGGAATCTATAAACTCATACCATGAAACAAAGGAAAATTTGTTTTTCTTCTCCCTATGTTGAGGGAGTGCTGGGAGAGGCTCCAGAGCACATTCCTTTGTGTCTTGGCTTCTTAGTATTATTAAGACTTTTCCTGGGTCTGGGCTGTGCCTGTTGCTGCCTCTGAGACAAGTCAGCCTAATACAGGAAAAGCTTAATTCTCTTTTTAATTTTTTCTTTTTTCTTTCATTTCCCCCCTCAGTAGGGGTTCCTGAGACCCTCAGCCACCTCCCCGTACTTGACGGAGGTGGAAGGGGAGGTGCTGGACATGCAGCGGCTTTATTAATGCTGCTGTATCTATCTCTGGATAATGAATGTGGCTCACAGCCACACGCCTCTATGACCTTTTGTTTCCGTGGGTCAGGGGTCCAGCCTGGGAGGCTGGGTCTTTGGTTCAGGGTCAAATGAGGCTGAGATCAAGGTGTCAGCTGGGCTGTGTCCTTATCTGCTGCTCGGGGGCCTTTTCTGGGCCCAAGTGGACTTGGGCAGAATTTGGGTCCTGGTGGTAGTGGTGGCTCTGAGGTCCCCCTTGGCTCTTGGAGGCCACTCTCTGTCCCTTGCCACAGGGTCCCCTCCCCAGCACAGCGGAGACATCTTCAGGGCCAGTGAGGAACCTCTCTCAACTCATGTCATATCACCTCATCAAGGCCATGGGCCCTACTTGAGGGCAGGGGACCCCTCAGGGCAGGGCCACCTCGGAGATCTGCTCTTTGTCTGCTCTCCTGGGACCAGCACAGCCTTTCCCAGCCCCTGCAGCACTTCTGACCAAGGAAAGCCAGTCTGGGGGCCCACAGAGGACCCTGGGCATCCCCAGCCATGGGATCAAGGCAGAAGGAAACAGGGCGGCCTCCGGTCTGGCTTGCCACGCTCCCTGGGAGCCCTGACCCTCCGGTGGGGGTGTGGTCAGAACTGCCAGAGACGCTTGGGTGTACAGGGAGCACATGGGTCACTGGGAGGAAGCTATGGCCCCTCCCCTACAGAGGATGGAGGAGCCCATACTGAGGGGGAGGGGCTGGCCACTTCTGCCTTGGAACCCTCCAGGTATGTCAGCCAGGGGACACAGCAGAGCTGGGGCTTCTGCTACCCGGAAGCAGGTGTGGAGCTTGGGATGCAGACAGGGGGCAGGAGATGAGGAGAAAATGATGGTGAAAGCCAGGAAGTGGGTGGGGCCCCAAGGAGTACAGAGGGTGGTCGTGTGGGGTGGGTGGGCAGGCATGGGCCTGGACGGATAGGTTGGGCATGGGAAGCTTAGAACAAACACCTTAGAGCAAACACCATGATCTTTAAATTGGGTTCTGCATGAGAGACACTCGGGCGAAGGAGACGCTTCTAATTCCCACTAAATGTGCAAATGGAATGGGGAAAGAATATTCTAGAAGACACTCCCATGTCGTGGCGGGGCAGGTGCAGGGTGTGAGATGATCTTGGTTCAAGGAGGGGCTTCGACTCCCCTGGTCCCAGGTAGGCACACCCAGCCACCCCTTGCTCTCATGGGTCCAGCCCACTGACCTGGTGGCAGGAAGTCAGCAAGGCTCTCACAGGAAGACCAACACACCCTCACGGCTTGATGTCAATATTCAATTATTAACTTTAATGTGCAAATAAATAGAAAAGGAAAACTACATTCAAAACAGCTGCAAAGGAAGGACAAGCCCCAGAACAGAAATTCCTCAAGAACGGAAAAGAGGCGCTCCCTAGAAGCATGCGGGGATGGGAATACTGGGAGGAGGGGCTCGGCGGGGTCTCCGGCTGCACCCGGGGCCCAGGTGGCTCTGCCCGAGACGGCCGTGGGCCTGGTACAGGAATCTTGATGGCAAGTTCCCTTCTTAGAAAACCAGGATGTGTACAAAGTGCCTGTGTGACACTTGGGGAGCGGGGGTGGGGAGCCCAGGAGGACGGGTCAGCATCGGAATCGCCCAGCCTGGAGTCAAAGGCATCAGGAGCCTCCAGGTTCCACAGGAAACTTCTAGAAACACATCTCCACTTCCTGGAAACTTGAGTCCAGCTGTTGCAGGATGGCAAGGGTGGCGGTTATTCTGGGCCTACTGGTGTGCAGGGGCCAGGGCCAGGGGCTCTCATGGTCGGGGAGAGAGGCCTGGAGAAGTGGTCCCCAGCCCCAGTCACTTGGGATTCTTGGCACAGAAAGCCTTGGATGCCTCCATGGGACAGTCGCCTCAGCCCCTCACAAAAGGACAACAATGATCCCTGGAGTGGCCGCGTGGGTCCCAGGGTGGGTGGGCGGATGGGGCTCCTTGGGTGGCGGCTGGGACTGTCAGGGCGGCTCTCGGAGTTCCACAAAGGGAGATCTCAGCCCCAGGGAGCCGCAGGACTTGGCTGCTACAGAAATAACAACCACTAAAAGCGAAAGGAATAAATATCTGTGCGTGTATACACATACGCCTAGGGTGCCCACTGCAGGAACACGACTGGGCCCGCCGCCCCACAGCAGGGTCGTGCCGGCTCTGAGGGAATACTGGCTGGGGTCCCTCCCCTTGTGGGCCCAGAGTCCAGCTGCTGGAGTTGGGGTTGGGTGTCTTATCCAGAGCGGGGTCTCCCAGGGCACTGCCCGCCTGCTCCAGCTCTGGACTTCAAAATGGGATCCCAAAGGTTTGGCTGAAGGGTTCTTCTCACTTCCAAAGTGACTGAGGGCCTGAACACCAGCCAGGCAGAGCTGATGCCCAAACCCTCAGATGATGTTTCTGGCAGCTCTGAGAATATTCTGGAAGGACTCACTTTTCAAGCAAGCCTACCCAGGGCTCAACTCCTTCCTTGTCAGGGTCTCTTGGACATGGACCCCCTCCAAAGTGTGGGCCTCAGGAGGGCTGTCACCTGTGACTTTTCCAAGACACGGCAAGAATATGGGGCAGGAGCCATCTGCCTGCCAGGGATTTGGCACATGTGACGGACGGGGACGCAAACATGATTGCTTGTTCCTCGGCCAGCACGTCCACCCGCCCCTGTGGTGGGGCTGAGCCCCAGGGCTCGGGTGCAGGTAGCTCAGGTTTGGCACACAGCAGGCCCACAGGAGACCGGGAGCCACGGGGGCGGCGTCCTGCCCTGGAGTGCGCTGTCCGGCAGCAGAGGGGCTGGGAGATGCCTCTCACGTCGTTCAAGAAAACGGCCCCGACACGACCAAGGCCGAGGGCACGTCTGTGCTCTGTGAGGCGCCTGCCCGGTGCCCATGAGGGCGGGTCAGGGCGAGGCCGGGCGGCGGCTGTACTGCACGCGGTAGCGGGTCACGGGCAGGCCGTGCACGTGCACTGTCTCACACAGCGTCTTGCAGGGTACCATGTCCTCGTCCTCCTCACCCATCAGCCAGTCCTGCACCAGGCTAGCCGCCTCCACCGTCACATTGTCCTCCAGCCAGCGGCTGTGCCACTCCTCAAAGTGCTGGTGGTGGCGGAGCAGGACCAGGGGCTGCACCTGTTGAAGAGGCCGGGTGTCAGGGCAGCTGAGGGCTGGACCCCCAGGGCCCCAGGACTTGGGGTGAGGAGGGGCATGTCGGGGCAGCCCAGGCCTCCCCTGGCACCTGCTTGGCCCGGCAGAGGGTCCCGCGACGGTACATGTAGTCCTCGGAGTTCACGATGAACACCATCTTGTGAGTGCTGAGCTTGAAGCGGCAGTCCACGTCGCAGGCGCTCTCCACGCCCACCAGCCGCTTCCAGGAGCTCCTGGCCTCACCGCGCAGGGCCCGCGCCTGCTCGCTCTGCCACCGGCGGCGGAACTTCTTGAGGTTCCTGGGGGCGAAAGGAGGTGGAATGGACTCTGGCTCTCGGCATTGTGGGAGGAGGATTTGCAGGCTGGGAAACCCCCAGGCCTGGGACCATCAGAAGATGTGCTACCTCCCAGGGGTCCACAGAAAGCAAATGGAAGCAACAAGAAATGCCCCCAGATCTGAACACCCACCAGCAGCCCCCACTGGTCCCATAGGTGCCATCCTAGCCCGACCTGAGGTGGTCCAGGGTCCTGCCACAGCCACCCGCCTCTGGCCTGGCCCCACCAGCTCTGGCAGCGTCTCCCTCCAGTCCGGGCATTCACTCTTCACCCACTGACGCATCGTGGGGTTGGCCTTGCCCCTCCTACACCTCACCGTCCTGGGGTTACTAATCCCTCCACTGCAAACCACAAGCCTCAAAAGGGCAGGGCCTGCCTCAGCACACAGCAGGCACCTACTAAGTGCTCCCAGACAGTGTGCCATGGTCCAGCCCCCGTCAGGACAAAGGGGACACTCCCTGGGCCCAGGAAGGAAGGAACAGAGCATGCATCTCAGGGCCTCTTACCTCTGCAGGAACACAGGTTTCAGGAGGAAGCCCTCAGTGGGCGAGCTGGACGCGCCCTCGGTCCCCACATACTGCTCCACGTACCGAGCCAGGTGCTGGGGACAGGGAGAGACACAGCCCGTGATGCCCCTACAGCAGGGCTATGGCCACTCTTACTCTGGACTCTGAGTTCAGGAGCTCACAGGGGTTCTGTGCCCCCCACTGCCAGAGCATGAGGAGAGCCGCTGCAGAGGACTCTGATCCCTGACGGAGACCCCAACAGACTATAGCTCTTGACAGAGGACCCAGTGACAGCGGGACTCACACAACCAGGCCACAGCTGAGGAGCGCCAGAAGCCCCCGGAAGCTGGAAGAGCAGGAAGGATCCGCCCCAGAGCCTTTGGCAGGAGCACCGCCCGGCCCACACTGTGGTTGTGGACTGCTGACCTCCAGGACGTTGAGGGAATAGACTTCTGTTGTTTGAAGCCACGTGGTTTGTGGTCATTGTGGTGGTAGCCCCAGGAAATGAATGGGGTTGGCCTAGCTGAGTAATGTGCACACACACTGGACCTGTTGGCAGGTGCCGGGAGCTGCAGGCCCCAATGACCACCCTGGGGACACACACGGGTCAATGCCTCACTGTCACCAGGATGCGGGAGGTGAGCAGGAAACATCTGTCCCCGCAAAAATTGTGACTGGGAGCTGGGCCCAGGTGGCTCCTCTGCTGGGGATTAGGAACAGGATGCAGCCCTGACACAAGAGGTGCAGAGGTCACAGCCACGGGATGCCCTGAGTGGGAGTCGGGGGCCAGGGAGAGGTGGCTTGGTTCCCCTCCTGCCCTGGGACACAACCGCTTGCTCAGGAGGAGTGGTCTGCTCTTTGGAGAGGGGGCACAGAAGAGAGCCTGGTGGGGGAGCAGGGAGGGAGGCAACCCCACCCACCAGGCCTCAAGGAGAGCCTGTGGCCTGCAGAGGGAGGGTCTCTGGATGCTGCGCGGCCTGCGCTTGGCTGGTGGGAGCCCCATGCTGCTGCCCTCAGGCGCTCCCTGGTATGCGTGGCACAGACTGGGGCCAGGGCCTCACCTGGACCTCCACAGGGTCCTCCGTCTGGGCCTCCTCGGTGTCCAGGAGCTCGATGGTCATGATCACCTGCCCTTTGCGCTGCAGGAACATCACCTGCGGAGCAGGAACGCTGACAGCCTCCACTGCCGGCACAGCCCAGCCGGCACAGCGCAGGCTCGCAAGGCCACCCGCCTCCCGCCTTTGCCACCCTCCCAAAGCCCTGATGCTTCCTGCAGGTCAAAGGTACCTCATGGGCTCTGCAGCAGGGCCGGTGTCCCAGCCGCTGAACCAGGGTCCACCCAGGACTGAGTCCAGAGCGGAGTGAGCGGCCGGGCCTCCCGGCGTGTTCCCAGCCCCAGGCCTCCTCTCACCTTGAAGCAGTTCTCGTCGGCCATGCAGCGCTCAGCCTTCCACTGGTAGCTGGTCTCCCTAGCAGCGCGGACGCAGCGGGAGGACAGGTTCCCACCAGCGGCACCCCGCTTCTTCTCGTTCAGGTAGAGCTCCACCACCTTCAGGCAGACGTCATCGCTCACGAGGTGGTGCAGCTGGCGGGAGGAAAGCAGGTGGTGCGGCCACCCCGCCTCCTGCGGGAGTCCCCACCTCACCCACAGAGGAAGTCGACAAAGGCCAGAAACACATCAGGATGGAGAGTGCATGACACAGGGATGAAGAGACCAGAATCCTGACAGGCTGTGGGCAGACCAGACCAAACAGACCAGACCAGACCAGACCAGACCAGACCAAACAGACCAGACCAGACCAGACCAAACCAAACAGACCAGACCAGACCAAACAGACCAGACCAGACCAGACCAGACCAGACCAAACAGACCAGACCAAACAGACCAGACCAGACCAAACCGACCAGACCAGACCAAACCAGACCAGACCAGACCGAACCGACCAGACCAGACCAGACCAGACCAGACCAAACAGACCAGACCAGACCAGACCAAACAGACCAGACCAGACCAGACCCAAACCAGACCAAAACCAGACCAGACCAAACCAAAACCAAACCAGACCAGACCAGACCAGACCAGACCAAACAGACCAGACCAAACAGACCAGACCAGACCAAACAGACCAGACCAGACCAAACCAGACCAGACCCAAACCAGACCAAAACCAGACCAGACCAGACCCAAACCAGACCAAAACCAGACCAGACCAAACAGACCAGACCAGACCAAACCAGACCAGACCAAACAGACCAGACCAGACCAAACCAGACCAGACCAAACAGACCAGACCAGACCAAACCAGACCAGACCCAAACCAGACCAGACCCAAACCAGACCAAAACCAGACCAGACCAGACCCAAACCAGACCAAAACCAGACCAGACCAGACCAAACAGACCAGACCAGACCAGACCAAACCAGACCAGACAGACCAGACCAGACCAGACCAGACCAAACAGACCAGACCAGACCAGACCCAAACCAGACCAAAACCAGACCAGACCAAACCAAAACCAAACCAGACCAGACCAGATCAGACCAAACTAAACCAGACCAGACCAAACCAAAACCAAACCAAACCAGACCAAAACCAGACCAGACCAGACCAAACCAGACCAAACCAAAACCTAACCAAACCAAACCAAACCAGACCAAATCAAATCAGACCAGACCAAAACCAGACCAGATCAGATCAGACCAAACCAAAACCAACCAAACTAGACCAGATTAGACCAGACCAAAACCAGACCAGACCAGACTAGACCAGACTAAAACCAAACCAAACCAGACCAAATCAAATCAGACCAGACCAAAACCAGACCAGATCAGATCAGACCAAACCACACCAAACCAGACCAAACCAAAACCAACCAAACTAGACCAGATTAGACCATACCAAAACCAGACCAGACCAGACTAAAACCAAACCAAACCAGACCAAACAGACCAGATCAGACCAAACCAAAACCAAACCAAACCAGGCCAGATCAGATCAGACCAGACCAGACCAAAACCAGACCAGACCAGACCAAACCAAAACCACACCAAACCAGACCAGACCAAATCAGACCAAATCAAAACCAAACCAAACCAGACCAGACCAGACCAGATCAGAGCAGACCAAATCAGACCAAATCAAAACCAAACCACACCAGACCAGATGAGACCAGACCAAAACCAGACCAGACCAAATCAGACCAAACCAAAACCAAACCAAATCAGACCAAAGCCAGACCAGACCAGACCAAACCAGACCAAACCAAAACCAAACCAGACCAGACCAGGCCAGACCAAAACTAGACCAGACCAGACCAGACCAAAACTAGACCAGACCAGACCTGAACAAAACAGACCAGGCCAGACCAGCAAACCCTGCCCGGGTGTGAGAAACACACAGAAAAGACACGGAAAAATATGTTCCAAAGCAAACCCAGGAATGAGCTGAAGGTGGCCTGAGTGCAGGCTGTTCCTTTCCCCTAAATGCTTGGCTGTAAATACACTGCTACTCCTTTTACCTTTGCACTGAAGAAGGAAGGAATGGAAACAGCAGGGATCGTGGGGCAGACAGGGCTGTGTGAATCACCCGCCTGCACAGCCCAGGCCCTGGTCAGGGGACCACACTCCTTGGGGGTTCCATGTGCAGCTTTGTTGAATGGATACAATAACACCTGGACACGCATAGGTTTCAGACAGTACCTGGCACACAGCAAGTGCCCACTGAATGCCAACTGCTACTGCTAAAAAACAGCAATGCTAATTTTTAAGAAAAAGGGAGGCAGAGTCCAGACATGGCCTCGAGGCAGGTTACAAACAGTGTGGAGGGGCCCGCAGTGAGCACCTGGCCCAGGGAGATGCAGCTGGGGTGTGGTGCAGCCACAGCTGGGACAGCAGGGCAGCATGTGGCTCTCACTACAGCTCCAGCCAGACAGCCCCATTTTCATTGCTTTGTTTTTAACAGGTTCTAGAGGAGTTGTTTATGGAAGGGGGGGATTTTTTTAAAGCATTAATCAATGCTTTCCATAAACCATCTGGTCCAATCTCCTGGTGTCACAAGCAAGGTTGCTGTCCCCGAAGCCATGGCCCATGAGGGGTGCCCAGCCTGGGGGGGGGGGGAGGGGACAGACTGCCAGCCCCCTGGCGTCCCCTGCGTCACTTCCCCAACACCATGTGCTGGGCCCTGGGTGTCCTCTCTCCAGGCTGCCCCGTGCGTGTTTCCCTCACCTGGGGAGTGGCCACTGCTGTGGATGGTGATGGGCAGGGACCCATTTCGGGCACACGGAGGGAAAGTGGAGGGGGCTGAAGCGAAGGTGTCAGAACGCAGCTATGGGTTTCACTAAGTCCTCATGGCCAGACACAGAAATCCTCCCAGTCACCAACAAGGCAGACGCAACGGAAACAGGCGCAAACACCGTGGATAGCTTTCCATGAGAAAAGATGTCCCAACGGCCATGAAAGGACAGGGCCCCAGCCACATTTGCCATCAGGGAAATGCAACGTGAGCCCACCGAGATTTGAACTCCCAGCTGATGGAGAGACGCCCCTGAGCCCCAGGGAGGACACAGAGTGCGGCCTCGCACAGCACTGGTACGAGTGACCCAGGAAACGGAAAGTTGCCATCAGCGGGACACACCTCTCTGTGCCTTACCCCAAGGGCAGCAGCAGAAATGTACATAGACGGCCACCGCAGACACACCCACGGGGCACCGCCCATGCCTGTCCTCAGGAGACAGGTGGACGGAATCGGGGGTCGTTCCTCGGAATCCTTGGCCGGTTCATCTCAACACAGGAATCTCACAGAATGACGCTCCCAGGATGCGGCTGGGCGCTGTGTGCTGCTGTTAACACACAGCTCGAGGCCAGGGATCTACCTCTCTGTAGAAATCAGGGTTGTGATGCCGGTGCGGTGGCTCACGCCTGTAATCCCAGCACTTTAGGAGGCCAAGGGAGGCGGATCACCTGAGGTCAGGAGTTCGAGACCAGCCTGCCCAACATGGTGAAACCCCCTCTCTACTAAAAATACAAAAATTAGCCAGGCGTGGTGGTGCGCACCTGTAATCTCAGCTACTCAGGAGGCTGAGGCAGGAGAATTGCTTGAAACCAGGAGGCAGAGGTTGCTGTGAGCAGAGATTGTGCCATTGTACTCCAGCCTGGGAGACAAGAGCAAAACTCTGTCTCAAAAAAAAAAAAAGAAGAAGAAGAAAAAGAAATCAGGGTTGTGGGTGTCCATGGGTGGCAGGTGGCTGGGTGGGGACACAGGGGCAGGGGTTCTGTTGATGAAAAGCCCATCCATCTGCCCCCTTCAAATTTGGGGACTTTTCTGCTTGGGTATTTTAGCTCCATTAAGCAGTCTTTAAAACCTGGAAGGAAACGTCCTGTCTGAAATGCTTCTCGTGGCTGTGTCTGGGTGGGAGAGTAATGGCATTATTTTTTTTCCAGCTTTTTTTCCACTTTATGATGAACAGCCTTACTTGGTGACCAGGAAATGGAGGTCACCATGAACAATGATTCTGGCAGAAACCAGGCAGGACCCATGTCCTGGAACCACACCCAGCTCGTCTGGGACGTCTGCTGTTTATATTTACGTGACCAGTTTCCTTGTGTTGACATTCAGTGGGGCCTGGGTTTTTGCTACTACTAAAACCAACGCAGATGAAATCACTATTCCCACCCTCCCTCAGGATAAGTGGGTTAAGGTTTTTTCCATGTTGTCAATTTAACCTCAAGAAAGGTTTGTCAACAGGGACACGGAACAAAAACTTGTACACAAATGTTCAGAGCAGCATTGCTCACAATCTCTATAAGGCAGCCACAGCCCAGATGTCCACCAAGAGATAGAAACAAAACGTAGCTACCCACGCAATGGAGTATTACAGAGCCATAAAAAGGAATGAAGCACGAGGGAAATACAGAGGCAGAAAGCAGTTGACTGGATGTCAGGGGCTCGGGGCAGGGGAATGGGCAGTGGCTGCTGATGGGGATGGGGTCTCCTTTTGGAAAGATGAAATGTTCTGGAACTAGACAGAGGTGGTGGTTGCACAATATTGTGAATGTACCAAATGTTACCAAACTGTACACTTCAAAATGGTTAATTTTACGTTATGCGAATTTTGTCTCAATTAAGAAAAAACAGGATAGGTTTGCTGTGCTGACCACGGGCCCCCTCCCGAGCGGGGAGTGAAATGATGGTAGAGCCATTTCCGCCGTCCTCAGGGCCGGCCCCACCCCGGCCCGGCTCACCTGCCGCGCAATGTTCTGCACCAGCTTGTCCATGGTGAAGCCCACGTAGGCATGGATGGTGAACATCTCGCGTAGGGTGTCCTCGTACTGCGTGGGGTCGATGCTGCCCTCCAGCAGGCTCCGCACCATGTCCAGGAAGGCCGGGTAGTACTCCTCCAGCTCCACTTCACCTGCGGAGACACACCGCCTCATCCATATGCCTCCTGGAGAGCGCAAAGTCACGCAGGCCAAACTCTGGCATGACAGAGCCCCAACAAATGCCCCCATGGGGCCCAACAGCCCTCACCTGCCACCCCTGGGGCAAATGTGGGAATCACCAGGAAACCCGAGTAGCTGGTGTTCACTGCCACCCTCCGAGGCTGCCTAATCTGGCCGGCAACCCAGGGATGGCAGCGAGAATGCTGTGGAGGCCAGGCATGGTGGCCCATGCCTGTAATCCCAGCACTTGGGGAGGCTGAGGCAGGCGGATCACCTGAGTTCAGGAGTTTGAGACCAGGTTGGCCAACATGGTGAAATCCTGTCTCTATTAAAAATACAAAAAATTGGGCTGGGCGCGGTGGCTCATGCCTGTAATCCCATCACTTTGGAAGCCCGAGGCAGGTGGATCACAAGGTCAGGAGTTTTAAGACCAGCCTGGTCAAGATGGTGAAACCTCGTCTCCACTAAAAATACAAAAAAAAAATAACCGGACATGGTGGTGGGTGCCTGTAATCCCAGCTACTCAGAGGCTGAGGCAGAGAATTGCTTGAACCTGGGAGGCGGAGGCTGCAGTGAGCCGAGATCATGCCACTGTGCTCCAGGCTGGGCAATAGAGCAAGACTCCATTTCAAAAAAGAAATACAAAAAATGAGCCAGGCATGGTGGTGAGCGCCTGTAATCCCAGCTACTTGGGAGGCTAAGGCAGGAGAATCACTTGAACCTGGGAAGTGGAGGTTGCAGTGGGCCGAGATCCTGCCACTATACTCCAGCCTGCGCAACAGCGCAAGACTCCATCTCAAAAAAAAAAAAAAAGAAAGAAAAAGGGTACTGTGGAGCTGGGCCATGACGGCTCCACGAGAAAGCCCATGAGAAACAAATGTTCCCCAGTCAGGAGAGGGTGCTACACCCAGGACAGGTGCCACGGCCAGGGGAGCCTGGGCGAGGGGTACGTGAGACCTCTGTCTTATGCTGGCAACTTCCTGTTTGCAATTTCCCATTTGAAATCACAGAATTCTCTTAAAATGAAAAGCCAGAAAGAAAAGTAACAGGACATGTCAGATCATGAGCTGTGACCCCTAACCCCAGGCACCCCCCGGGGCCTCCCGGCAGGCTTTGGAGCCTTACTGGGCTGCTTCAGCCGCAGCTCCATGGCGGGGTCGCTGCCCTTCTCCCTGCGGCCCTCACACAGCAGCTTCTCCCGCTCCTTCTCGGTCCGATACTCCAGAAGCTGCTTCTGCGCCTGGCGGTAGATCTTCAGCAGCCTGGAGCACAGGGTCTGGTGCAGGCGCAGGAAGAAGTACCAGTTGTTGTTGGCAAAAAATAGGCTGTAGACATCGTCCAGGGGCTTGTGCGGGGCTGGGGGCGGCAGGGGTGGCTGCTCAGTGGCCGGGGCATCCCCGAAGGCCCCCTTCTCCTCTGGGGGGCTACTGTGGGGTCCTGGCGCCGGCTTCTTCCGCTCACTGGGGTCTGTGGTCTGCCCCTGGGGGCTGTCCCGGTCCTCATCAGCTGACTCCTCGGAGGCGCCCAGGTCCAGCTGCTGAGAGAAGAAGAGGCTGGGCACGAACTGGTGCAGCAGCTGGTGGATGGTGCCCTGGTCCTCCTTCTGGATGGCCGGCTGCCGCTTCACGTAGTAGCTGATGAGCGCTGCTGCGTCCTCCAGGATCTGCCGGTCCTCGTACACAAAGATGAGGTGCGGCTCGCTAGAGGGGGCACTGCGGCCCTCCGAGTGCTGCTCCTGGTGCTGTGGGGGGAAGGGCGGCCATTAGGTGGAAAGCCACCCAGCACCCAGAGGACCCCCAGTGCCCATTCACGACTCGCTGTTAACTGGGCCACCAAGGTGGATGAGCGCTGCCCAGAGCAGGATGGGTGGCGAACATCGGTGAGGCAGCAGGGCCTGGGGGGTAGGTCGCTTGCCTCAACCTCTTGTGCAGCCCCATGTGCTCCTGGTCCCCTCTCCGAAAGTGAGGCAGACCCAAGTCATCCCGGGACCCCAGACAAAGGAGCCAAGAGGATTCTGAGATGTGGGGCGGGGTTCACAGGGGGTCTGACAGCGTCAAGCCTGGGTCTGTCGCTCAGCCCAGCTCCAGGACAGAACGGGGCCCCGTGGCTCAGCATGGAGAAGCCTCTGAGGCTGACCTCCTCCTACTGAAAGCAACGGTGGCGCCTGATTCCAGCTCGACCGGGGCTGCCCACACCATGCTATCGATGAAGTCAAGGAGGCAAAGGGTGAGCCGTGACCTCTCTGCCTCTGCCCTCCATCTACTACCCGGAAGGCCTGCAACTGCTCACATCTGAAGACCTGCACGCCCATCGTCACCAAGCCCCCGCCTCCGCTGCTGTCCCCGCCAGCCCCTGCACGTGCTTGCTACCACCATCATGTCACCAGCCCTCCCACCAGCTCCCACCAGCCTGCTCCAACCACTCTCCTCACTGGGTCCAGGGTGACTTGGCCCACAGGAGCATGGTCACCCCAACTAATGCCCTTCAGGCTTTCCCAGGCTGCTCAGAAGACGCCGGCCCCTGATGTGCCCCTCCACAGCTCCTCCAGCCTCACCGCGCCAAGCTCCCTCCTGCGTGTGCAGGGCCTTTGCACATGCCCATCTGCTCTCACTCCCTGGAAAACCCTGTCCCAGGCTCACCCCTCCCCTTGGTCTTTATCTAGATCATGACTTTCATTCCCTCACACCATTAGACAATCACCCCTTCCTCCAGCCTCCCACACCACTGTCCTGGCACCCAGGGCCTCTGCTGGGCAGCCCCAACCCCCTCAGTCCAAGGCAGGGAGGCAGACGCAGCAGGGCTCTTGGGGAAAATGAGCGTGGATGCCATCTCTGCAGGCTCCCGAGGGAAGGACCGGGTCTCCTAGCAGCCTGAGGTTTCCCTTCCTCCTCCCCTGCAAGGCGGCTTAGAGGCTGGTAGGGCCAAGCACACTGACCTGGTTCCTAGGAGTCTGCACGCTCAGCCCTGCTCTGGGCTCTTCAGTGTGACCATCGCCCTCTGACTGCTTCCTAAGTCCCCCAGGTCTCATTTATGCCATAAACACTCTGAAAATTCCTTTACAGTCCCCTCTGAAGCAGGGTCCCCATGTCCATGATCTGTAACCATGCTTTGTAAATCACGTGATGGAATGGGGTTCTGACTTTGGAATTCATCAAGGACCTGCATGTGCAGAGATCTGCATATGAACCTTGGTGCCCCTCCCTTTGTCAGCCCCAGCCCCAGGGAGGGATCCAGGAACTCAGGGTCGCATTGGTGGATTTCCAGGGCTACTTCATCATCTGCACTTTGCAGACACCACAGACCCACAGAACCTATACGGGGTCTTGGGCTTGAGGATCGCCGAGGACTAGAGTGAGGAAGCCAGAGTGGTTGTGGGTGGGCCTGGGGCGAGGGTGGCCCACGGGAAGGGAGGTGGGAGGGAAGGGGGTCCCCACAGTCCCACAGGCTCTGGGAGAGGCCTTGGGCCAGCAGCCCGGCTCCTGTGGATTCCGTTTCTGTGTTGTAAAAGAAGGAGCGACCGCTCACTGTGCAGTGACAGGAGCAAGAAACCAAATCAGGTGAGGCAACACCCCCTGCCCAGGTGGGCACCAGGCTGATAACGCAGCCCGTGCCATGATCTGGGCACTGCCTGGGGAGTAGTGTGCCCTCCTAAGCCACCTCCTCAGAGTGTCCAAGGACCTTCCCGACAGCTGGCTATCACCACGCCCGGCACCCTGCCAAGCTTCCCACCTCAGGATCCTGCAAGCAGGCACTCCCTACACACAGCTACTAACAGGCCCAGCTCCTGGCAACCTGAGGGCCCCGCTGGCCTTGGTTCTATGACTCAGGCCTTGTGAGCCTGCAGTGAGGACATGCAGCCGAAAGCCTCGAACCCAATGACTCAGAGCCCTGGCCCCCTGCGACCAGCCCAGGCAAATGCAACCTCTTGTGCCTCAGTTTCCCCACTGGTAAAATCAGAATAATGCCGCAGCAGAGTCAGGTTCAGGAGTGAGGTCAGATGATGCATTACTCTTTCTGTGTTGCTAACACCGGTGCCTGGCACAGTCGGCAAGAAAGAAATGAAGGCTGCTGCCACCCACTACCTAAGCCAAAGTCCATCACTGCCCCACGGGAGGGACGGAGACTTCGCTAGACAATGGCAGAGTCGGCCAGGAGCGGTGGCTTACGCATGTAATCCCAGCACTTTGGGAGGCTGAGGTGGGTGGATCACGAGGTCAGGAGTTCAAGACCAGCCTGGCCAACATGGTGAAAACCCATCTCTACTAAAAATATAAAAATTAGCTGGGTGTGGTGGTGTGCGCCTGTAGTCCCAGCCACTCAGGAGGCTGAGGCAGAAGAATCACTTGAACCCAGGAGGCTGAGGTTACAGTGAGCTGAGATCACACCACTGCACTCCAGCCTGTGTAACACAGCGAGACTCTGTCTCCAAACAAACAAACAGATAGACAATGGCAGAGTTGCTGGTTCTCCTAGGGCAGGCCACAGGCTGGGCATCACAGAGACATGAACCCTCGCCTCAACACAGCCCTGAAAGGGCAATGCCACTACCCTGCCTAACCACCAGGGAAACAGAGGCACAGACCCGGCGGTCGGGAGAGCCAGGACCCCACCCCCACCGGCCGGCAGGGCTAGGGAAGGCTTTACCTCGTCGTAGACGCTCTCGATCTCGTTGAGCAAGCTCTTGGAGCGCAGGGCCTTGGTGTCGTTCTGCTTGAAGTTCACAGCCTGGTGGTCAAGGGACTTGAGGTACGCCTTCTCATACTGCTCCCGCCAGATCTTGTTGAAGCCCTGCTGGGCCTCCCGCCACTCCTCTTCCTTGGCCTTCAGTCTGCGGGGGGAAGAGAGGTCAGCACCAGGGACAAGCCAGGGCATCCTCCCTGAAGCATCCCAGGGCTGGCCTGTCTTCCTCTGGGACTTGACTGGGGGTCCAGGACCCAGGCCCAGCCAGCTCCCAGCCTAGTCTGTGCAGTGGGCTCTGTGCACGTCAGAGGGAGGGCGTGATGGCCTTACAGAGCCAATGTGGCCGGCTTCCCGGTTCCTCCACCTCCTCCCTGGCACCCAGCACTCTCCGCATGGCTGTTGGCTCAACCACTCAGGTCCCCTGCTCAGCTGTGAGTCCCAAGAGAGGGACTGGGTCTGCCTCACTCAGCTGCATAATCCCAGGGCCAAGCACTGCACCTGCCTGAAAGTGACCACTTGATAAATGCCTGTTAACTAGCGCCGGACGGCATCCGAAATGCAGCATTAAATAAAATGCAAGCCACAGTGTAGTGGTCGCATCTGACTCTTAAAGCAGTTATTTAGATGTCTAGATGTATTATGTGCAAGGTGGAAAGTCCTAGAAGGTCACAGTGCTCTCCTCTCAGGAGTGGGAGACTGGGAAATACAGGAAGGCACCCTTAGGCCTCAGAGACCACCCCTGGAGATGACACCTGTTGACAAACAGCACTAATGAGCTCTCCAAGGGCTCCCTGCAGTGGGGAGGGGAGGGGAGGGGAGGGGAGGGAAGGGGGAAGGGGAAGGGGAAGGGAAGTCGGGACGCCACAGGGCACCTTTTCAGGACAACGGGGACAGCGGTGACAGGGTTCTTCTTGAGGCTCTCGATGATCTCCGGGGCCTTGTCGCCATAGATGCGATAAATGGCACGGCGCTGGATCACCTCCGACGTGCCTCCCAGGGAGTCGTCCAGCCGGAACTTCTCCTGGTCTTCCGGCGCCATCCGAGACAGCTTCTTCTGCACACTTTCCAACACACGGATTGTGGCCAGGTTCGTCTCCAGGACAACGTCTAACTATGGAAAGGAAGGCAGGACGGGGTCAGCCACTGGGGAACTCAAGAGGCCTCAGAGAGGAGCCTGGGACCTCAGAGACCAGAGGATTTTTTTGGGGGGGGGGTGTGTGTATTTAAGAGATAGGGTCTTGCTCTGTCACCCAGACTTGAGTGCTGTGGCACAATCAAAGCTCACTGCAGCCTCAACCTCCTGGGCTCAAACAATCCTCCCACCTTAGCCTCCCACGTAGCTAGGAATATAGGTGTGCACCACCATGCCTGGCTAATTAAAAAAATTTATGGCCGGGCACGGTGGCTCACGCCTGTAATCCTGGCACTTTGGGAGGCTGAGATGGGCGGATCACAAGGTCACGAGTTCGAGACCAGCCCGACCAACATAGTGAAACCCCGTCTCTACTAAAAATAAAAAAATTAGCCAGGAATGGTGGTGTGCCTGTAATCCCAGCTATTCAGGAGGCTAAGGCAGGAGAATCGCTTGAACCCAGGAGGTGGAGGTTGCAGTGAGCCAAGATCATGCCACTGGACTCCAGCCTGGGCGACAGAGTGAAACTCTGTCTCAAAAAAAAAAAAAAATTTTTTTTTTGTATAGATGGGCTCTTGCTTTGTTGCCCAGGTTGGTCTTGAACTCCTGGCCTCAAGCAGTCCTCCCACCTCAGCCTCCCAAAGTGCAGGGATTACAGGCGTGAGCCATCGTGCCCAGCCAATAAAACTTTTAATTACAAAAATTAATGTAGCCTGGGCAATACAGACCCTGTCTCTAAAAAAAGGAAAAAAAAATTAGCCAGGTGTGGTGGCTCATTCCTTTAATCTCAGCACTTTGGAAGGCCAAGGTGGGAGGATCGCTTGAGGCCAGGAGTGTGAGACCAGCCTCGGGAACACAGTGAGACTTCATGTCTACAAAAAAAGTAAAAAAAACAACTTGGGCATGGTAGTATGGACTTGTGGTTCCAGTTACTCAGGAGGCTGAGGTGGGAGGATCATTTGAGCCTGGGAGGTCAAGGCTGCAGCGATCCATGATTACGCCACTGCACTTCCAGCCTGGGAAACAGAGCAAGCAAAATAAATAAATAAATAAAATAAAAATAAATTTAATTTTTACATTAAAGAAACTTTTTAGGAGACAGGGTCTCATTCTGTTGTCCAGGGTGGAGTGCAGTGGTGTGATCTCGGCTCACTGCAGCCTCGGCCTCTCTGGCTCAAGCAATTCTACTGCTTCTGCCTCTCGAGTAGCTGGGATTACAGGCGCCCGCCACCACGCCCGGCTAATTTTTGTATTTTTGGTAGAGATGGGGTTTCGCCATGTTGCCCAGGCTGGTCTCAAACTCCTGAGCTTAAATGATCCACCTGTCTTGGCCTCCCAAAGTGTTGGGATTACAGGTGTCTGCCACTACGCCCAGCCCAAACAAAATTTTTAAACAGAAAGAAAAGTGCCATCTGGTAGCCAGCCCAAAGGCCAGCAAGACCCGGCAGGAAGCTTCCAGGAGCTGTTGGAATGTGCTGCAATTCCTGCTCCTCCAAACGAGACTGGGGCAGTGGAGGAGGATCAGGATGCATGTCCCATGGAGAAGGGGAACAGGCACATGCCGGGGGACCCGGCCACAGCAGCACACACACCTCGAAGCGCTCGTCCTCACAGCGGTGAAGCTGCTCCTCGTACGGTGTCTTCTTGGAGCTGACGAACGTGGAGTCCTCAGACCAGGAAGGGAAGGAGACCCAGGTGTCGTTCAGTACCTGCACCAAGAGGAAATGCCGTGAATGACGCTGCATGCCCCAGGAGCCAAGATTTACTGTTAGCCAGTGTAGAAAGTACCAAGATACATAATACCATCCTGATACATAATACCAACTGCCTTATACAAATGGGAAGGTGCATAAAGTTTTTAAGGAAAAACATGACTTTGGTCAAGTGGACACTCCCTTGGTATCCTGGGAGATTGGTTCCAGAACCACCCCTGAAGACCCAAATCCACAGATACTCAAGTCCCTGATGTCCAATGGAATCCTATTTGCATATATCCTATGCAAAATCATCTCTAGAATACTTATACCTAATGCAATGTAAATGCTGTGTAGATCATTGTTACACTGCATTCTTAAAATGTGGATTACGCTTTATTGCTGTATTGTCATTTTTTGGTTTCTCTTTCCCCACGTATTTTCAATCCATGGTTAGTTGAAACCACAGATGAGGAACTTGCAGATCCGGAGGGCCGATTTCATTTCAGACATTGGTAAATTCTCTCTGCAAAGGGTCAGACAGCAACCATCTCAGATTTTGCAGGCCATCCCAGATGAATACTCAACTCTGCCTTTGTGGTGAGAAAAGCAGCCACAGGCAATATGTAAAGGAATGGTTGTGTCTGTGTGACAGTAAAACTTTATTTACAAACACGGGCAGCGGGCCAGGGCCCGTGGGCCAGAGTTTGCTGACCCCTGCACTATATCCTGGAATCCAGCAGGTATTCTTGAACTTGGACATGCAGTAATCGTCTGTCCACGAACCCTGGAGAAGTGTCCAATGGTCAAGCTAAACAGAAACACACTGAGGTCAGTGAGCCCGGGACAGAGCAGAATCATGGCAGCAATAAACCTAAGTCAAATAACAGATGAATAAGCCGAACTCCACGTTATCCCTGGCACTCTGTGTTTTGCCAAAACTACCAGCAGGGTACAACACTGTTGTCTCTGCTCAGGTGGTTTTGCCGGGCCACATCCCAGCACCACCCATAACCCAACATTCAGGAGGGCTGAGCACACAGCATTTCATTCATAACGGGGGTATCGGGTGTTTGCTGGGGAGGGGTGGGGGATGCACCATGTCAACGAACATTTGAGCCCCAGGGAGCGCTACCTCCTTGCAGATGGCTGTCCTCCCACTGCACTTGGGCTGCTGGTAGGTTTTGGGGAGTGCCCGGTAGCTGGATCCTATGCGCTTGCAGGATGCATAATCAATTTCCCGGCTTATCCCGTCCCCGGATCTGTCGCTCATGGGTGGCGCGAAGGACAGCTCTTTTACCCCCAGGAAGGACTTGAACTGTGCAAAGAGTTCTGGAAATTTCCTTCAAAGATAAAGACACATGGTAACTGGTCATCCCCAGGGCCTTCTGAGAGGGATCTGGAGATTTTAGAATGGCTTCATGTGGACATTACAAGTTAAACAGAGTCAGAATTCAACATCATGGATGCGAATGAGAGGCGGAAGAATCCAATACACAGGAAGTCACTGCAAGTCCCGGGGTGTGTGAATGAATGGGCCTCCCACCCATCTGTCACACACCAGGTCCCTTCCTGTGCCTATTAATCCCATACTCACAGTAAGGCTTTGAAATACACCAGAAAAGATGACTTAAACTGGCAGAAGCTGGAACCCCTGATGTTCCCTGACTGGAAGAGGCCAGGCTTCAGGCCAGGGAGTGGCAAGCCACAGCCAGTCTGCACACTGCCTGTGTTTTGTTTGGTTTGGTATTTTCTTTTTAGAGATAGTGTCTTACTCTGTTGCCCAGGCTCAAGGGCAGTGGCATGATCTCAGCTTACTGCAACCTCAAACTCGTGGGCTCAAGAGATCCTCCCACCGCAGCCTCCTCAGTAGCTGGGACCACAGGCATGTGCCACCACACCCGGCTAAATTTTTTTTTTTTTTTTTTTTTGAGACAGAGTTTCACTCTTGTCGCCCAGGCTGGGGTGCAATGGCACAATCTCGGCTCACTTCAACCTCCACCTCCCGGGTTCAAGCAATTCTCCTGTCTCAGCTTTCTGAGTAGCTGGGACTACAGGCATGCACCACCATGCCCGGCTAATTTTTGTATGTTTAGTAGAGACGGGGTTTCCCCATGTTGGCCAGGCTGGTCTCAAACTCCTGACCTCCGGTGATTCACCCGCCTCGGCCTCCCAAAGTGCTGGGATTACAAGTGTGAGCCACCATGCAGGGCCAATTTAAAAATTTTTTTGTAGAGATGGGGTCTTGCTATGTTGCCCAAGCTGGTCTTGAACTCCTGGCCTCAAGTGATCCTTTCACCTCAACCTCCCAAAGTACTGGGGTGACAGGCGTGAGCCACCATGCCTAGCCATCCCATTGTAAATAAAGTTTCACTGGCCTGCAGTCACATCCACTTGTGTACGCACTGCCTGTGGCTGCCTGCACAAGAGGGGTTTGAGTCATTTCCACAAAGCCCATCTGGCCCCTCAGAGATCAAGTTTGCCTATCTCTGATCCACAGTCTTCCTCTCATGAGGGAGACTTCTCTCTGTGAACCCCTCTCTGGACACAAGCTTGAAAGTCATAATGTCATGGCTGTGGTCGACAACAGGAAGGCTTTAATGCAAATGACCCTACAATGCCACCTGGATTTCTGTTTAAAATAGTATCAGACCTGGTGGTGTGTACCTGGAATCCCAGCTACTCAGGAGGCCAAGGCGGGAAGATCACTTCAGCTCAAGAGTTTGAGACCAGCCTGGGCAACAGAGCAGGACCCCGTCTCTAAGCAGTAACATCAGATCCTACCAAAAAAGTTGCAGTTATGGCCAGGCGCAGTGGCTCATGCTTGTAATCCCAGAACTTTGGGAGGCCGAGGCGGGCGGATCACGAGGTCAGGAGATCGAGACCACGGTGAAACCCCGTCTCTACTAAAAATACAAAAAAAAAATTAGCTGGGCGTGGTGGCGGGCGCCTGTAGTCCCAGCTACTGGGAGAGGCTGAGGCAGGAGAATGGCGTGAACCCAGGAGGCAGAGGTTGCAGTGAGCCGAGATCACGCCACTGCACTCCAGCCTGGGCGACAGAGCGAGACTCCGTCTCAAAAAAAAAAAAAAAAAAAAAAGTTGCAGTTACTTTGACTGCTGGTGCCACAATCCTGCTGTGACCTAGCCACCCAGCCCACCCTCGCATAACGACGTCCCCCTCATTGATGTGGGCTCCGTCGTTCCCCGTATTTAAGAACCCTATGCCAACCCTGCTCACAAGGAAAACCCACAAGCCGATGGAAACGTAGGAAGGAAAGAGACCAACAAAAAAGCTGCAGAGATGCCTGAGGCTACTGCTGGGATAAACGCAAATCGTGACTGCTCTGAAGGGAATGCTCAACCCGATCCACCCTGGCTGCCACGCGGCTGCCAGCTGCGAGGGGCAGTTCCCTGGGCCGTGTTCAGCTGCCCAGCCCAGCTGAGCACTTGACCGCAGGTTGAACACGCGGAGGAACGCCACATGGTGGTGAACGCTCCTAACCCAACCAGGCCTCGTGTCAAGCACACGCAGAGGCCCGCTTCAATTCTGGACCTTGCTCCATACAGACCCTTCCCCAAACGCCCTTCCCCATACGAGTCTCTACTGCTGAAACATGGAAACAAGAACAGCTGACTGTGCTCCGGCACTGCCCATCTGTTCAGCACCTTGCCTTTCAGATTCTCACCTTTCATGTTCCTTCTGTCTTCCCCTCTAACCTCCTGATAAACCCAGGAGGGAGGTATGGCCATTTTACAAAGACACTGAGGCTCGCTTGGCTAGTAGGAAGCAGAGTCCCAATTCCAACCCGGGGTGGTCACGTGCCCGCTGGACCCAGGTGCCAACACCAGCTCCACACACAGCCCCTGGGGGCCCCTTTTCCCAGGTGGGACCCAGGCTCAGAGAGTGCTGGATTCTAAGCCCAGTGGAGGCAACTCAAGGTGAATGTGCATTCCACATCCACAGAAAAAGCCCAGCCGTGTGCCCACCACCCACGTCACAAACAGACCCCAGGAGTCCCCGTTTTGGCTGAGACTAGAGTAACACCATCCTGCTCTGGGCTGTTCTTCAGGGCGTTTACAGACCTTCAGCAGCCCAAGAAAGAAAACCCACTGAAAAGATCACCCCAACACGTGCATGCCTGAGACCACCAGGGAAAGGCCTTCTGATGGGCTCAGCTTGACCCATGAGGGTCGCAGACTCAGGAGCATTTGCTGTCAACACCACTTACAGGGAGGACTAGAGACAAATGTCCATTGTTAGAGACCCTGGTAAGGGAAGGAAAAGCGGTGCAGTTGCTTAAAAATGAGGACATGGGTTCACATCTGATGCTGAAACACTTCCAAGAAATGCTGAGTTAAAAAAAAAAATACACACCGAAGCCCAGCAGCCACTGTGCCCAGAAGGCAGAGAACATGCAAAGGGCTGGCTTTGGGGCTGGAGCACCCTGGCTGCCGCCTAACAGCACGCTAAGCTCACCTATGAGTGCTTGTCCTAGAGTAAGTTAGAGGGGTTCGACCTGAGCCTCAGCTTCCTTATTTTTTTTTGAGACAGGTTCTCACTCTGTTACCCAGGCTGAGTGCAGTGGTGAGATCAGGGCTCACTGCAACCTCTGCCTCGAAAACTCAAGCGATCCAGCCACCTCAACCTCCAAAGTAGGTACAGGTACACGCCACCACTTCTGGCTAGTTTCTGACGAGGTCTCACTATGTTGCCCAGGCTGGTCATTTTTTTTTGTTTTCGTTTTTTTGAGACAGCTTGCTCTGTTGCCCAGGCTAGAGTGCAGTGGTACAATCTTTGCTCATTGCAACCTCTGCTTCCTGGGTTCAATCAATTCTCCTGTCTCAGCCTCCCAAGTAGCTGGGACTACAGGCACAGGTCACCATGTCTGGCTAATTTTTTTATTTTTAGTAGAGAAGGGGTTTCACCATATTGGTTACGCTGGTCTTGAACTCCTGACCTCAGGTGATCCACCCGCCTCAGCCTCCCATAGTGCTAGGATTACAGGCGTGAGCCACCAGGCCCGGCCTTGGTCTTAAACTCCTGGATGCAAGTGATCCTTCCCCCTCGGCCTCCCAAAGTACTGGGATTATAGGCATGAGCCACCACGCCTGGCCCCTCACCTTTAAAAGGACTAGAAACGGTATTGAAACGCATCAAATATATTTTAAGTCCATGAATTCATTAAGATGCTAAAAAAAAACAAAGGAAACAACCTAATTGGTCCCCTTGGGAAGATGATATGAAAGCAGTTCATCACTCTGAGGCCGTGACTAGGGAGGAATCAAGGCTGTAATCAAGCAGCTATCCTGGGCCACTTCTTATAAAAGGTGAGAAATGCTGTGGTGATCCTCCTGTGTAACCCCAAATGAATGAGCAAACCTGGGAGGCTAATATCACAGAAATAACAGGGACAGGGATAGGCAGAGGGGCATCAGGACAAAAATAGTAAGGACTAGAATCGGAGGGAATCAGAGGTGAAAGGAGACTTACGAGATGTATTAGAAAACAAAACCCAGGGCCTGGGCGCCGTGGCTCACACTTGCAATCCCAGCATTTTGAGAGGCTGAGGCAGGCGGATCACTTGAGGCCAGGAGTTTGAGACCAGCCTGACCAACATGGCGAAACTCTGTCTCTACTCAAAATACAAAAAGTAGCTGGGTGTGGTCACAGGCACCTGTAGTCCCAGCTACTCGAGAGGCTGAGGCAGGATAATCACTTGAACCTGGGAGACAGAGGTTGCAGTGAGCTGAGATCGCACCATTGCACTCCAGCCTGGGTGACAGAGTTAGACTCCGTCTCAAAAAAAGAAAAGAAAAGAAAAGAAAAGAGAAGAGAAAAGAAGCAAAGCAAAGCAAACCCAACCCAGATGGGGGTGAGACTGAGTCATGTATTTGGCGATGCCCACCTGGGTGGCTGTGCCGTCATTAGTGCAGGTGGCGGTCACTCCTGAAGTCAGGACACTCTCACAGTGAGGGGCAGGGACTGGAATGGTATGCGGGGGTGCTCCTGGAGTCTATTTTTGATGTGGGTGGTGGGCACATGGGTGACTGCTTAATAAAGATTCAAGCCATTTGTTGGCCATGTGGTTTCTTGGATCTGTGCTTTATTTTACATTAGAAAAATGTTTATGTGTATATATACACACACACACACACACACACACACACACACACACATATTTTTTTTAAGTTAATGCAAAAGGGCTCACACAGCACCTGTCCCCAGGGTTGATTCAACTTTTTCCCATTTAGAACAAAAAAAAAAGTCCAGCTTGCTGCCAGCGCTCATTTAATTTTACATAAACACACTCTTTGAGGCTGAAGCAAATCTGACTGATTTTCAATGTGAAAGTAAAATATAAAAACTGTTCTTGGAGTTATTTCTAAACAGAACATCAGAATCGTCTGAATCACCAGAATCGTCTATTTTGGAACAGTCAGATTCATCAAATGAATCTTTGGCCAACAACTGTTTGAGAACAATGTTAACATCAAGTGTAGGAATGCTACATTTTCCAAGATTTGACATTTTCAGTGATCAAGAATTACTATATTTTGTAACTGGAAATATCACTACTAAAAACAGGATGCTATACATAAAATGATGTCTTTTATTTCCAAAGTTGATATATGACAGCAATGCAAAAATAATAATAAAAATGAGATGCTTCATGGCAAAGTTATCTTGGGGTGAACGCTACAGCCACAAGTGCTGTCAACTACTATCCCTGGGGTAAATGGGAAAAGGGCTAAGGACTGAATGGACTGATCATGTTAATATGTGCACCCACCATGTGCAAGAACCATTAAAAAAAAGAATCATGGCCAGGCATGGTGGCTCACGCCCATAATCTCAGCACGTTGGGAGACTGAGGCAGGCAGACTGCTTGAGGTCAGGAGTTCGAGACCAGCCTGGCCAACATGGCAAAACCCCATCTCTACTAAAAATACAAAAATTAGCCAAGTATGGTGGCACACATCTGTAATCCCAGCTACTCAGGAGGATGAGGCAGGAGAGTCACTTGAACCTGGGAGGTGGAGGTTGCAGTGAGCCAAGATCGCGCCACTGCACTCCAGCCTGGGCAACAGAGCAAGACTCTGTCTTGAAAAAAAAAAAAATCTTCACGTGTATTTTTCTCCATGCTCTTCGATTCTTTAGGAAAGATCCAAGTTTGTGACTTACATCATTTCCTTCTGCCGAAAAAATCGTCTTTTCCTTTTATTTGTGAGATTCTATTGTATTTGAAGGGCCCTGCAGGTAGCGCCCACCTGCAGCTCTCAGGAACCCCACATAGGTCGGTACATTTACTATCCCCATTTTACAGCAAGGAAACAGAGGCTCAGACTGCCCAAGTGACTCACCCTAGTCACAGGGCTGATGTGCAGGAAGCAACACTGGCCCCAGCTGGCTCCCAGGTCTCAGCACTCACAGGCCCGCCTACTCCTACCGCGCACACTCCTGTGAGCCCGAGAATGGATACGAGTGTGCGCAGTTGTTTCCAGGCCCCTCCACTCAGTCCCAGCCCCTTCCTGAGGCTGACCTGGCCACCAGAGGTTAGAAGCTACTCTTAGACCTGACCTGCTAATGAGGCTTCTCTTTGTGCAGCAGAGGTATAATATATATACATATATTTTTTGGATACAGGGTCTCACTCTGTCACCCAGGCTAGAGGACAGTGGCGTGATCACAGCTCACTGCAGCCTTGACCTCCCTGGCTCAAGCTATCCTTCTAGCTCAGCCTCCTAAGTAGCTGGGACAACAGGCGTGTGCCACCACCCCCGGCGAATTTTTATATTTTTTGGTAGAGACAGGGTTTGGCCATGTTGCCCAGACTGGTCTCTAATTCCTGACATCAAGTGATCCACCCACCTCGGCCTCCCAAAGTGTTGGGATTACAGGTGTGAGCCACCGCACCTAACCCAAGCCCGACCCAAGGGTTAGAATTATTTTTTTGTTTTGTTTTGTTTTTGAGACAAAGTCTTGCTCTTGTCGCCACCCAGGCTGGAGTACAATGGCGTGATCTCAGCTCACTGCAACCTCCGCCTCCTGGGTTCAAGCGATTCTCCTGCCTCAGCCTCCCAAGTAGCTGGGATTACAGGCGCCTGCCACCACGCCCGGCTAATTTTTGTATTTTTAGTAGAGATGGAGTTCCACCATGTTGGCCAGGCTTGTCTCCAACTCCTGACCTCAGGCAATCTGCTCACCTCGGCCTCCCAAAGTGCTGGGATTACACACGAGCCACCGCACCCGGCCCAAGTGTTAGAATTTTTAAAAGTATTTATCAGGTGAATCTCCAGGGAATTTTGCTGGGGGGGGGGGGGGGAAGGTTTCTCCCAGAGGGTTCCTCCTGTACAGTTCCATTACTGTAACATTGTCTAGAGAACAGATAAGTAGTTGCCAGGGGTTTGGAACAGACTCCGGCTGAGGCAGGGTTTTGGGATGGAGATAAAAGGTCAAGGCCAGAACTTGACAGTCCTGGAGCCGTTCAGTATCTTCACTGTGGCGGACGCACAACCCTCCACAGTGAGAAAGCTGTATAAAAACACACACACCAGACGTGTATGAGGAACACGGAGAGTCTGGAAAGAACGGGGGTTGTGTGAGAGTCAGTACAGTAAGTCCTCACTCAACATCATCAACAGGTGTTAGAAAGCTGTGTCTTTAAGTTGAAAAGATGTGTAACAAAACCAATTTTGCCACAAGCTAATTGACACATAAACAAGAATGACGTTCCTACGGCGTATTTTTGGTCACAAAACAATCACCAAATTTCTAAAGAGAGACCAAAACACTTCTAATATTAAACACTGAAATAAATGCAAGCCACACATACAGATAAGAAAGATGAGTAAAAACAAGTAAAATAACAATTTACCCAATTATTCCAGTTCAGGATCTTGGGTGGCCGGACCCTATCCCAGCAGCTCAGAGCACCAGTGGGGCACCCACCCTGGACAGGACGCCACCCCACTGCAGGGCGCTCACCCCGCCACACTCACTCAGGCTGGGACCACGGAGACTCACCGCTTAACCTAGACTTAACCTAACATGCACATCTTTGGGATGTGGGAGAAAATCCACGCAGACATGGGGAGAACGTGCAAACTCCACTCAGACCAGAAATGAATGTCTTCTTTTCTCATCGGTGTTAAAACAGTGTTAAATGAAAAGGCATTACTCGAGGACCCACTGTATTCTGGTGAGGATACTGACTACAGATGTTACTGGTAAAGGAACCAGCTGGAGGGTACCCAGGTGGTGTATTGCTCCTTACAAATGCATGGGAATCAATAATTATATCAATCACGTCAATTAATAAACAGGATTTTAGAAAAGCACAATCATTGCTCAAAAACAGTAACTAAAAACCAAGTAGATGGAGTTGACAGGAACAGAACCCCCCTAGGGAGCCCTGGGAAGTCAGCTGCTCACCCCAGAAATGGGCTGACGAGCTGCAGGAGCTCAGAGCCAGACACCAGCTCCTGGTTGAAGAGTGCGATGCAGCGGAGGAAGTTTTCATACACCTCCTGGCTCTTCAGCACCCGGCGGACCTGCAGAGAGAGCAGTCAGGGACCACTGTGAACCCCTGCTCCTCAGCCTCTGGGCCTGGCTCACTTGTAGGTCAGCCACATGGGTGTGCGATATGGGAACCAACTGTGTCTATAAGTAAATGATATCTGTGCTGCAATTCACACAGCCCATGCACGCAATCCATGCACCAATTCACGGCCTGTGCAGGTGATCCATGCAGCAATTCACAGCCCGTGCACATAATCTGTGTAGCAATTCACACAGCACAGGCACGTGATCCATGCAGCAATTCACAGCCCATGCACGCCATCTGTGCAGCAATTCACACAGTCCCTGCACGCGTCCATGCAGCAATTCACAGTTTGTGCATGCGATCCGTGCAATTCACACAGCCCCTGCACGCGTCCATGCAGCAATTCAGTTCGTGCATGTGATCCGTGCAATTCACGCAGCCCGTGCACGCGATCCGTGCAGCAATTCACACAGCCCATGCACGCAATCCATGCAGCAATTCACAGCCCATGCATGCCATCTGTGCAGCAATTCACACAGTCCATGCATGTGTCCATGCAGCAATTCACACAGCCCGTGCACGTGATCCATGCAGCAATTCACAGTCTGTGCATGCAATCCATGCAGCAATTCACAGCCCATGCACACGGCCACCTTGTCTGCTCTGCCCACAGACCCTGGGCGGGAACCCTACAATCATCCCTGATATAAGAAAAAGCCACACAGCTGCAGGGTGGCAGACATGTATGTCTTCATACTCTGCTTGGAGTCTCAGCACCCACTGGGACTCCTGCCCACAGTATATGCCTGGGCTCCAAGGAGGCCCACATTCCCTTCCGCAGTGAAAGCTGGGGGCCAGCCCCGCCGGATCCATCCTCAGACTGCACCCACCCTACCTGCTCCCCGCCCCAATCCTGGGGCAGGCCCAGGGAGCATTGGCCCAGCCAGCTGGACATGGCATCCCCAAGATGGAAGCCAGGGCCCACCCTCACCTTGTCAAAGAAAGAAAATTCCTGCAGAGTCCCGTACTTCCCCACTGCAGCGATGGACAGGTCTTTGGTACCACGAAGTTTCATTTTTTTCTGTGGGGAGAAATTCTATGCAGTTAACACTGTGCCTCCCACCGGTGGCCTCTGTCCATCGCTGTCACAGAGTCTCAAGAAGGCTAAGACCGTGCTCTCCTTTGGGAACTGCCATGAGATGCTCAGTGAGGGACAGGCAGGAGCCGCTCAGTTACCCAGGACCCCTGAGATGACACCTCTGGGGATACCTGCCACTGCCAAATCTGGGATCTCCATCTCAGCAGGGTAGGGCTTTGGGTAACAGGCAAGAGTGCCACAGCATCAGAAAGGCAAGGGGGATGTGCCCCTGGCTACGACAATCTCAGAATCCTTTCCCTGTTTTGTCCTGAGAGCCAAGACAGCAACAAGAAGCGGACAGGAAGAGGGTGGCACTGGGAAGACCCTGGAGAAGCCAAATGTTGAGTCTCTGCAGGCTTTTGTCTCTAAGCTGGACTTGGACCTGAACTTGGATGCACGATCATGGCAAGAAGGACAACACTGTCCATCCAGAACTATCTCCAAAGTGCCTGAAGAATGAGGATGAGCTGGGTGCAGGGACTCACGCCTGTAATCCCAACACTTTGGGAGGCTGAGGCGGGAGGATTGTTTGAGCCCAGGAGTTCGAGACCAGCCTGGGCAACACGATGAAACCTCATCTCTACAAAAAGGTGTGGTGGTGCACACCTGTGGTCCCAGCTACTTGGAAGGCTGAGGTGAGAGGACAGCTAGAGCCCAGAGGTCAAGGCTGACTGTGCCACTGCACTCCAGCCTAGGTGGCAGAGTGAAACCCCATCCCCCCACAGGAGAAAGAATGATGAGGACATGCCAAAAGGACACAGGAAGGCTGAGGCAGGACAATGGCGTGAACCCGGGAGGCGGAGCTTGCAGTGAGCCGAGATCGCGCCACTGCACTCCAGCCTGGGTGACAGAGCGAGACTCTGTCTCAAAGGAAAGAAAAAAAGGACACAAGAGCCAAAGGGACCCCGCTGGCCCAATCTGGAACAGTATGGACATCAACACTAGAATGGATTATAACCCAGAGTCCATATCTAATATACATAACTAAATAAATGGGAGGACGACAAAGTTCCCACCAATAGTAGAAAGCCAAGTAGTAACTGCACAAGGAATAATGGAATCGGAAAACCACCATTGCAGGTGAAAGGCGTGACAGGAGCTGGATCCCAGCCCCTCTCTGCCCTCAGCTGTGCAGTGACCAACCTGAACAAACGTACATGGCGGCCTTGCCTGTGAGAGAGTCCTGAGGGTGAAAAGGAGACTGGGTGGTACACCCTGTTTCTTGGGACCTAGGGCAGGGTTAACACTCCTTCCTCCTCCTCCTTTTCAAAACAATCTCACAGGACAGGGAGAACGGAAGAACAGCCACCTTAGAGGAGAGCTGACTTCCAACGGTCCCACTGCCGGTGAACCTCACACAGCCCCCGGTCCAGCCCCGAACCCCTGCTGGGGCCTCTGTTCCCTGGTCACATGCTGGGAAGGCCCGATTTGCTGGGGGCCCCGCGTGCAGGCATGGCTGCATGTGGCTCACAGGTACCTTGGCGGGTGCAGACACGGGGCGGAGGAGCGAGGGCCGGGAGCGCTTCCTGCTGTGCTCCGGGGTCTTGTCGTGCTCGTTCTTCTGCACGCTGTGCATCTCGCACGGCCCGTTTCCTGTGAACTAAGGACACATGTGGGAGGTGGTCAGCACCGGAGACGTGGCTGGACCCATGCACCTGAGCATGCAGAGCTGCTTCCAGCTCAGCCCACAGCCCGGTGGGCAATGGTGGCCACGGGCACCAGGCCAGATGCTCCGTCCATGCGTGAGGTGACTCCAGCAAGATGCTCACATTCCAAGGTAACCGAATCATCACAGACTAACACTGCCAGGCTGGGAGAAAGCTCCTGTGAGGCCTTTATGGATAAGGGAGGGAGAAGGGCTGGGGGTTTCAGGAGGGAGACAGCTGAGTTGGGTCTTCCCGTGCGGGGGCTCATGTGGCGGCCACTGGTGGGGCATCTCGCCGTGTGCATGCCGGCACCACAGAAACACAAGGTGCAGTGGACAGAGAAACAGGCAGCAAGGGGAAGTGGCTGATGTTTGCCAGGGCACTGGTGGGGGCCTTGGGGCCAGGTTTTGAAGTCTTTTCTATGAATGACAAAACGTTTCTGGGGGATGATGTCGTCACTTGCTGGGAGCAGAGTGGGGCTCGTGGCTGGTTCGGGGCCTGCCTCCCAGGCTCCAGCCATCGGCTAACAGGTCGAGGATGCTTGTCCCGAGCAGGGTGCCTACAGGGTGCCAATGACATTTACAAAGAACTGTTCTGCAACAGTCTACTATGAACATACTGGAAGGCTGGACAGGCAGGGGACGATGGACAGACCGCAGCTTTTCTGCAGGACGTGGGCAGAGCTGGAGAGGCCCTACAACGTTCTGTGCCACTGCGGTCACCTCCATCGTACTCCGCCTTCCCCTGCCACCACAGGACCTGGATGCAAAGACACCCCCAAAGACCTAAAGTGTGGGTGAGATGGACAAGTCATGGTGCATCTGAACAAATCAGCCCGCAGCGATCAGATACTATGGGCTGGCTCTGGGCTGCTGTTAGGGACAGGCATACCTGAAATAAAACAAACAAACAAAAAAAAACAAGGAAAAACCCCAAAAACCCAAGGGGCAGAACAAATAGGATGCCGTGTGTCGCTTTGTAAAAAGTATTTGTTACACATGCAGAGGAAATTTCTGGAAAGATATACAAGACACTTAGAAGTGCTAACCTCTGAGAAGAATGACTAAGAACTGAGTCAAGGGAGAGGAAGTTTGCATTAAAAATTTGATACTCTTGCTAATACTTATTTTTTCATTAGTGTATACTATTTTTACCATAATAATAATAAAGACATTATTTAGCCACAATACTACTACTACTACTAAAAAAGACTTATTATTTAGCCACAGTTAAGACTTAGAAGAATAATTTGGGGGGAATAATTACCAAAACTCAAGGCTATTTGAGTTTTGGGGGGAATTATTTGGGGGGAATAATTACCCAAAATTCAAGGCTATTTCGAGAGCTGTAAGTGGAGAAATTGGCATCTACACAATTCTCCACTGGTACATCTTTTTTTTTTTTTTTTTGAGACGGAGGTCTCACTCTGTCACCCAGGCTGGAGCGCAATGGTGCGATCTCAGCTCAGTGCAACCTCCGTCTCCTGGGTTCAAGTGATTCTCTTGCTTCAGCCTTCTATGTAGCTGGGATTACAGGCACGAGCCACCACGCTTGGCTATTTTTTGTATATGCTGGAACAGGTGTAAACTGATTCCCAAAAGATGCAGCTGGGCGACCATATGACAAATGCTGAACAAGAACAGGGGACCTGGAGGGGAAACCCGCCATGCGTCCAGCCAAGCTCACCAAGCAGGTATAGCAGATCTTCCCCAACAGTTCACATGGTTCTTGCTTTTCAGTTAATCTCCCAATTATGTGAACATCTGAGCTAGATGGACCCCCAAAGACCACCTAGGCTAGGGAATGGCAAATTAACACAGGGCCTGTTGTTCTCATAAATAAAATTTTTTATCAGCACCTAGCCACACCCATTCCTTTTGTAAAGTTATTGGTACCCAGTCATGCCCATTCATTTTGTAAATAAAGTTTTGTTGGTACCCGGCCACACCCATTCATTTTGTAAATAAAGTGTTATTGGCACACAGCCCTGTCCAGTCATTGACATACATATTCCATGACTGCTTTCAAGCTACTAGGGCAGAGGTGAATCTTTACACAAAGATCAACTGGCCTGCAAAGCCTGTGATACTTACTATCTGGCCCTTTGTAGAGAAGGTTTGCCAACCTCTGATCCAGGCCAGTCAAATTTAATTAGAGCAATGCCAAATTTCATCTTGGTTTCTTTTTCCTACAGTTTTAATATATGTCCAAAAGTTAACATAAAGATTATACTTCACACAACAGATGCAGTGCTTTTAATAATTTTAAAAAGTTGATCCAATCTTTCTAAATATACAAGATAGCTCTAATAAACCAATACACACTAAAAATCTTAGCTAAATTGGTAATAAATGTTATTTGAGAGTCTCATGCTCTACTGACTGAGCTAGCCGGGTGCCCTGCATAAATGCCACTTAAAGAAACCATGGACTGGGCACAATGGCATATGCTTGTAATCCTAACACTTTGGGAGGCCAAGGTGGGAGGATCGCTTGAGGCCAGGAGTCTGAGACCAACCTGGACAACATTGTGAGACCCTGTCTCTACAATTAAAAAATAAAAGTAGGCCGGGCGCAGTGGCTCACACCTGTAATCCCAGCACTTTGGGAGACTGAGGCAGGTGGATCGCTTGAGGCCAGGAGCTCGAGACCAGCCTGGGCAACATGGCGAAGCCCTGTCTCTACAAAAAATACAAAAATTGGCCTGGCATCGTGGTGGTGTCTGTAGTCCCAGCTACTCAGGAGGCTGAGGTGGGAGGATCACCTGAGCCTGGGAGATGGAGGTTGCAGTGAACAGTGATCAATTACGCCACTGCACTCCAGCCTAGGTGACAGACAGAGAGCCTGTCTCAAAAAATAAAAACAAACAAACCTTAATGCAATAAAACTTCACACACTGATGGCTACTAAAAACAAAAGGCAAAAAAAAAAAAAAAAAAACCTGGAAAAGAACAAATGTTGGCCAACATGTGGAGAGACAGAAACCGCAGTCCATTGCTGATAGGAATGTAAAATGGTGCGGTCACTGTAGAAAACAGTTTAGAGGCTCTTCAAAAAGTCAAAAACAGAATTAACATGTGACCCAGGAATTCCACTCCTAGGTGTCTACCCAAAAGAACTGAAAACAGGTGTTCAAACAAATCCGTGCAATAAATGTTGATGGCGGCACTGTTCACAACAGCCAAAAGGCAGAAACAACCCAAATGTCCATCAACAGAATACGGATAAACAGAATGTGGCTCATCCATCTAACAGAATATGATTCAGCCAGGAAAAGGAATGAGCACTGATCCACGGTACGACATGGATAAACCTTGAAAACATGATGCTGAGTGAGAGGAGCCAGACACAAAGGCCACATATGGTGACATTCCACCCATCTGAAATGTCCAGAATGGGCGAATCAAATCCACAGAAACAGGAAGCACATGGGCGTTGCCAGGAGCTGGGGGAGGTGAATGGGGTGGCTGCTGATGGGGACTGGGTCTCCTTTCAGGGGGATGAAAATGTTCTGGAACTAGGTAGTGGTGAAGGTTGTACAACACTGAGGATGTACCACATGCCATGGAATTGTTCACTTTCAATGGTGAATTCGATGTTACATAAATTTCACTTCAATTTTTAAAAAAGTCTTATGATCATAGTGGGGGAAAAAAGAGGAATCGGAACAGGCGGCCCTGGCAGCTTCAGGCCACAGGCAGGGGAGAAAGGCTGACTGTGCAGGGTGAGCCCTGAGCCCTGTCTAAGGCCCCTCCTCGCCCATCTCTGCTCTCTACCACCATGGTCAGGGCCAGGCCACAGGCCACCCCCGCTACTGGCTCCTCCAGATCCAACCTGCTGGAGCCCCAGATCAGTCTCATCCAACAGGGGAAGCGATGATTGTGGACCCAGCCCTCCTGCACCTTCCCACAGGGCTGGGGTCCCAGGCAGGGTGGGGCTCTGCAGGGCAGACACAGGAGGTGGAACCCCTGGGCCCATAGTCTCCACTGGAAGATGCTCTCTGCCTCCCAAACCACCCCAAGATCCAGGTACTGTCTGTACAGAGAAGCACCTTGGCAAATCGTTTACGAGCTTGCTGTGCAGGTGGAGCCTACAGTGAGGAACCCCTGGGTATCTGCAACCTGCGTAGCTTCTGGGGGACCCTAGTGTGGCCTGGAGGGTACATAGGCTTGGCCCGGACATGGGTCAAGCTGGCTGGGGCCCTCCGTCCTCGCTGAGGCCCCCGAGGCTGGGCAGGGGCTCTCGGCACTCACCAGAGACCGCTTGGCTTCGGGCAGGAACTGTCCAAACTCTGAGAGCAGGTCCTCCTGGCCCCGGAAGAGGTTGGCCACCTCGGTGAACACCTCCTCTTCAGACATGCCTCGGAATGGCCGGCCCCTCGTGTTCAGCTGCTCCTTCTGCCAGTTTTCAGGAAAGGGAAAATAAGTCGTTAGTCAAGGAGTGCTGTGCCCTGGGCCGGGACACTCAGGCAGCCCTCCGTGAAGGGGACAGGATGACTCTCAGGAAAGAGCACCTGCCCGCAGGGTCCTGTCTGCACACTTGTGGATCTTGCTGCCCAGCATGGCCTGAGCCCCGGCCATGGGCAGGTCCCGTCCAGGAGTATGGTGGGGACCCAGCAGTGTCCACGAACAGAGGGGGCAGGGAGGTGACAGGCTGGCTGTAATCAGGGGTGGGCCGGGGAAGTACAAGGTCAGGGGCGAACCCCAGGCCTTCCCAAGGGAAATGGGGAGTGTAGAACTGGGGAGCGCTGGGCCATGAAGGGAAGGGACTTCCAGGCCGAGGCACCTACTGGCCCGGAGTCACTGAGACCCAAGGAAAATGGCCTGATCCAGACCTTAAAGCAACAAGAGGACCAAAGGGAACCCAGGTTGGAAGGCAGGAACGGGCCAGCAAAACCGCCGTGGCTGTTAGAAATACGTCCGTATCAATTTTACACCCAAGAGTGTCACAGAACAAGAGGCAATAGCACCGGAGCCTCCCGGATAATATGGCGTGGCTTCCAGAGTCCCACTGCACGGCTGCAAAGCAGGAGGAATCCCTGTGCTGGCGCCTCCTGCCCCTCTGCACCCGCTGCAGCCTGTGGGAAGGGAAGCAAGTTTTAAATCTTGGCACCGGCAGCACCTACACTGCAGGGGAAAAAAAACACCACCCTTCCAAAAAGTCATCAAAAGACACTAAAAAGCAAAACTTAAAAACAAGCAAAGGCCACTCAGTTCAGATAATAAATAGAAATGATCTATCTGCATACGGACAGAACAACGACCACACTGAGTGAAGTTTAAAGAAACAATTTAGGCTGGGCATGATGGCTCATGCCTGTAATCCCAGCACTTTGGGAGGCCGAGGCAGGAGACTGGCTTCAGTCCAAGAGTTCAAGACCAGCCTGGGCAATACAGTGAGACCCTATCGCTACAAAAAATTTTACACTTGATCTTAGCCAAAATGCTGAGAAATGATTAAAAAAATTTGTTTTAAACATTATGTAGGCATGGTGACACACTCCTGTGGTCCTAGTTACTTGGAAGGCTGAGGCAAGAGGATTGCTTGAGCCCAGGAGCTCAAGGCTGCAGTGAGCTACCATCATGATAGTGCATACTCCAGCCTAGGCAACAGAGCAAGATCCTATCTAAAATAAATAAAGAAGAAAAGAAACAATGACCAAATTGACTGATGTTTAAAGAAACAATTTAAAACAGTGCCACAGCCATCTCTGCTCATCTGACTACACAGACAGAAGAGGCTAGGATTTCCGATGAGGGTGTGGGGAGCAGGTGCTCTCAAACACAGAAGGCAAGGCCAGGTGCGGTAGCTCAGGCCTGTAATCCCAGCACTTTGGGAGGCCAAGGTAGGCGGATCACCTGAGGTCAGGAGTTCAAGACCAGCCTAGCCAAGATGGTGAAACCCTATCTCTACTAAAAATACAAAAATTACCCGGGTGTGGGGGCGCGTGCCTGTAGTCCCAGCTACTCGGGAGGTTGAAGCAGGAGAATTGCTTGAGCCCAGGAGGCGGAGGCTGCAGTGAGACGAGATTGCGCCACTGCACTCCAGCCTGGGTGAAAGAGACTCCGTCTCAAAAAACAAACAAACAAACAATCAAACACGGAAGGCAGAAAGACAAATTGGTACCACCTTTTAGAAGGAAATTGAGTGATCTCTATGAATGCATAGTACGCCCTCAACTTAGGGAAGTAGTTTCTGGAAATTCATGCTGCAGAGACAGTCAGTTCTGCTAGAATGCTTATTTTGAACAAGATGTCTGTCTAAATGAGATACAAGTACTGGGAATAATTTGAGCATGAGGTGAATTTTCTGTTTGCTTCTCTTCTATTTTGTGCAGGAGAAACACCAGGTGAATGCAGAAACTGCTCCCGGCTGACCAGAACCCCGTGGGAGTATGCAAAACCACGCCAGCACCCCCTCCCATGTCCATGCACTCTCTCAGCGTTCCCCTGTGCTAGGGGCCAGCCCTGTCCCCATCTGAGGCCACAATGACCTGTCTGATTTCAGATGACCTCCTCCCGGCCTTCACATAATTCACAGGCTGCCACCAGATCCACAAACCAGCCTCAGGTCTCTTCCAAGGTCAGTACCCGATTTGCTGTGGCATTCATGTAATTCTCGGCCACTTAATATGCGCGTAACGGCGCTGCTGTTTAGAGTCGGTGCCTATCTTTTTCTAGGTGTCCCTGAGGAAGTTTTTGAATGTCATACCCTGAGTCTGTTTCCCATGAACCTGCAGTTCCCATCACACTTTGCAACTCTGCAGAGGGAGCTCGTTTTTAGGGTCCCACTTATGTTAGGGCAGGACTAACTGTTCATCCCAGCACACACAGGACATGCATACGTGGCTGTGTAATGGGTGACAGTTACCCAGGGGTGACCTGAGGCAGGCTTGTGCCTGAACTGGTTGCTCAGTTAACCTCACTGAACCCAGGCTCATTGGCACCACCAGTTTTGTGGCCATTTTACGGATAAGAACCCCGAGGGAGAAGGTGGCAGAGAGAAAGTCTGAAGGAAAGCCCCACAAAGATGGAGAAACAGTAACACACGGCCAGATGGACCCTGGAGCTGCCTGGTTTGGCTCTAACAGTATCCCTGAAATATCTGAACCAACATTCTAAAACCAGGATAATTTACACAACAGTTCAAACTTACATTTGAAAAAACTAGACAACCTGAGGCTGGAGTCACCAGGGGCCTTGTTTAAAATGCAGATGCCATCCAGCTGGGTATGGTGGCCCACGCCTGTAATCCCAGTACTTTGGGGGGCTGAGGTGGGTGGATCACTTGAGGCCAGGAGTTCCAAGACCCACCTGGGCAACATGGTGAAACCCCGTCTCCTCTTAGCCCTTAGCTGGGCGTCGGAGTGAGCGCCTGTAGTCCCAGTCACTCAGGAGGCTGAGGTGGGAGGATTGCTTGAGCCCAGAGAAGTAGAGGCTGCAGTGAGCTGTGATGATGCCGCTGCACTCCAGCCTGGGCAACAGTGAGACCCAGTCTCAAAAAAATAAAAACAAAAAAAGAAACTGTGCCGATGCCGGGCGGGCCCTGATGAATGGGAATCCTGCATGGTGGCCAGGTGTCTGCATTCTCAACCAACTCTCAGCAGCCCGGTTTGGGTTGGGGGATACTGCGTTGTCCCTTCCCATGGCACTCTCTCTGAAGGAGTCTGTGGCAACCCCTCATTGTGACCTTGTCTAAATTCATCTCTAGTGTCTTTAACCTGCCCCTTCCTTTGCCACAGAACAGAGCCACTGCACAGACTGCTCTGATGCGCCTTCCTAAATGTGATGACCCCACAAAGCCTGGGAGGGGCCCACAGATTCTACGATCACAAGCACATCCCTCCACACAGACCAGATGCTCACAGCAGCCACTGGCAACCACTCATCCATGACAAACAAGCGTTCTTAGGGCTGTACCAGCCTCTCACAGATGCTAAGGCCCATGATGATGCCAGCACGGTGGACAACAAATGCTGTGGAGTTCCCAGAACACAAATTCTATCCATTTGATCTGAAACGCTTATGCTGAAAAGAATCCCGCTTCTTGACTCGACATGTCAAGGCTGCAGGGATTTCATTTTAAAAAATGGGTTCTGCTAATTAGCTGGGCGTGGTGGCCCATGCCTGTAGTCCCAGCTGCTCAGGAGGCTGAGGCAGGAGAATTGTTTGAAGCCGGGAGGCTGAGGTTGCAGTGAGCTGAGATTGAGCCACTGCACTCCAGCCTGGGTGACAGCGCAAGATTCTGTTTCAAAAAAAAGAAAAAAAATGGGTTCTGCTGCTAAAAAAAATTCCAAGCGTTAGAGACTCCACGTCTGGGTGAAGAGGACGTCTAAGCCCCACTCACGACACAGATGTCCCTCGCCACCAGCCCACCTGCATTGCCCAAGTCCCCTGCAGACGCCCTGATGCCGCTGTCTGCTCTGGTCTCTGGACCTTTGCACAGGCCATTCCTGGCACCAAGAATGTCCACCCTTCCTCCAGGCTAACCTGCCTACTGGTTCCGACTGATATGTCAAGATTCAACCTGACTGTCCCCTCCCTGGCCCCGGACGGGTTGGGAACCGGGCTGGGAATCATATTAACCCTGACTCACCTCTCCTGCCCACATCCTTTCTTTTCCACCCCAATCCACCTCTGAGTTTCTTCCCACCACTGCAATGAACAGCTAAGCAGGAGCAGCCATTTGTCTCTGTAGCCCCAGCTCCTGGTGCTGGGCCCAGTTGTAATCAGCAAAGTAAAGGATGGCCGTATTGCCTAAGCAATAACAAAGTCATCTGATAAAAAGACTGTCTTGGCCAGGTGTGGTGACACACACCTGTACTCCCAGCTACTTGGAGGGCTGAGGCAGGAGGATCGCTTGAGCCCAGGAGGTCAAGGCTGCAGTGAGCTATTATTACACCACTGCACTCCAGCCTAGGTGACAGAGCAAGACCCTGTCTCAAAAAAAAAAAAAAAAAAAGGTGGCTGGGCACGGTGGCTCACACCTGTAATCCCAGCA
Source organism: Homo sapiens (assembly GCF_000001405.40). Classification (NCBI taxonomy): domain Eukaryota; kingdom Metazoa; phylum Chordata; class Mammalia; order Primates; family Hominidae; genus Homo; species Homo sapiens. The sequence goes on along the minus strand of NC_000019.10, from coordinate 16,842,366 downwards.
CTTTGGGAGGCTGAGGTGGATGGGTCGTTTGAGTTCAGGAGTTCAAGACCAGCCTGAGCAACATGGCAAAACCCTGTCTCTACAAAAATTACAAAAATTAGCTAGGTGTGGTGATGTGCGCCCATGTTCTAGCCCCAAGTAGCCTCCGCTACTTGGGAGGCTGAAGTTGGAGGATGGCTTGAGCCCAGGAGGTGGAGGTTGCAATGAGCCGAGTCCGTGCCACTGCACTCCAGCCTGGGTAACAGAGCCAGACTCTAAGAAAAAACAAACAAAAAACCCCACAACTAATTAGAATTTTACAGGATTTTATGAATTCCGACAAGAAAATCTGAATATCTGCAGGGCCCCAAACTGGATGAAATCCAAAACCCACAAGGAATTGTAATCTGAGTTCTTACCTGGTACGTGTGCAGGATCTCCAGGAATGACCTGTAGATTTCTGGGTGGTCTAGGAAGCGGGTTTTAATCTTATTCACATAGCTGATGGCGTTGTTGAATTCCACGGAATCGGACTCCAGGGGCACCTGGGGTTTGTCCTCTTTATACGGCACCTGCTGCTTGAAGTCCTCTGCACCGTCCCCGTGGTTGTGCGAATTCTCCTGACAAGGCGACAATGAGTTACTGCCAGGCCCGACACTGGAAACAGATTGTGAAAAACACCAGGCCCAGCCACTGTCTGCACAGGAACAGAAAAAACTCAGCACGGAGCCAAGCTGTATTAGAGACAGGGAAAGGTTACTTCTGAGAGCCTGGAGGCAAGCAGGGCGGGGTGCACAGGTGAGTCTTCCCAGCTCACCTCCACCCGATCCTTACCAATCTACTCAAGGAACACAACAAGTTCAACGAGCACCTTGCATTTGGAAAACTTCACATTCAGGAGAAATGTACAAAGTGGATGTTTAAGCCTCTGTGGTGCCAAGTGCTGGGCTGCATATAATAGAGAAGTCTCCCACGCCTCCTGCAATCTGTTTCAGCAAGATTGCTTTCACGTGGAAAGGCAACTGCTGCCAGCAGTGATGCCAAGGTAGGATATATAAGATGGGGACCCTGGAGGTTAGAGGCGACCCACTGTCCAGGTTGTTGGGGACTTCAAGGGACATGACATTTTTGGTGCTAAGACCCAGGCCAATCGCAATAAGGTGCATCGGTCGCTTGGGAGAAAAGACAGGCCCTGAACACCCACCAAGAATGCCCTCTATGCGTGTACTTTTCAGCCGATATGAGCAAAAATAGAAAGAAGCTTGCCTCCCTCCCATGTTGTGGTGGGACAGGACCACTCCCCCAGAGGAGGAGCTGTTGTTTCTAAACCAGAATTATGCTGCACCATCCCCAGCACACAAGGGCTGGGTCTCCAGCCAGTCAGGATTCCTCCAGCCTGGCTGAGGTTTTTGCTTGGATAAGCCCTGCTTGGTGAGTCCTAGAGAACGCTCTTTCACCAAAGTAAAATGACGCCACCTCCTAGCACTCCTGCATTTTTCTCCGCGGCCCGTCACCACCTTATGGATCATGTATTTTACTCATTGCACTGTCTGCCAGTCCCTGACTAGATGGCGAACTCCACGAGGGTGGGGGTTTTGATCAGGGCTGTATCCCCAGTGCCCAGAACAGTGTGAGAAACAGAGTGAGCTTCACCCACTGTTGGGGATGATCAGGTGAACGGATGAAGGGACACACAGACTTCACTGTTTCCGCTGCCCTGCAGTGCCCAACACTGCAGGTGACCCAAACGCTGACCCTGAAAATCTACTGCAACAGGCAAGGCCAGGCACACCACTACCGTCTTGTACTGAAACAGGTACCTCTGCTGGGCACAGGCACCGTCAGTGGGGTGAGTGCATCCATCAGCTCAGGCTGCCACAACGAGGTACCCCAGACTGGCTGAAACAACAGAAGTTAGTAGTTCTCAGTTCTGGAGGCCTGGAGGCCAGGAGGCCAAGGTCAAGGTGCCAGGAGGTTTGGTTTTCTCTAAGGACTCTCTCCTTGGCTTGTGGGTGGCCACTGTCTGTGTCCTCATGTGGTCTTCTCTCTGTGCACGCATGTCCCTGATGTGTGTCCCAATCTCCTCTCTTATAAGGACACCAATCAGACTGGATTAGGGCCTACCCTAACGGCCTCAGTTAAATCACCTCTTCAAAGGCTCCATCTCCAAATACAGTCACGTTCTGAGGCGCTGGGGCTAGGGCTAAAATACATGAATTTGGGGTGGAATGTGGGGTGGGGGGATGACACAATTCTGCCCAGAACAATGGGTACAGAGACAATTCTAGAAAGTCTCAGCTGAGAAAAGCAGAAATACAAGACGCAGAGCAGCCACGATTCTAAAACAATTTCTCCTTGGTGGCGGGATTTGTTCTTTTTGTTTTGAGATGGAGTCTTGCTCTGTCTCCCAGGCTGGAGTGCAGTGGTATGATCCCGGCTCACTGCAACCTTTGCCTCCCGGGTTCAAGTGATTCTCCTGAGTAGCTGGGATCACAGGTGCCGTGCGACCACGCTGGCTAATTTTTCTATTTTTAGTAGAGATGGGGTTTCACCATATTGGCCAGGCTGGTCTCGCTTGACCTCAAGTGATCTGCCCACCTTGGCCTCCCAAAGTGCTGAGATTACAGGCGTAAACCACTGCGCCCAGTCAGTGGCGGGGTTTGTTGTAAGATTCTCTGGGGATGTCCGGAATGATTCTCTGCTCAGGCTCACAGGGGGCTGCGTCTGTTTCTCCATGGTGCACAGGTTTGATGGCAGAAGGGGTCGGAACGAGCAGGGTGTGGGTATGTAGGGAAGCAGCATGGAGCCAAGGTCTGTTTCAGAGGCAGCTGTAGGCTCACTGCGAGCCCCCCACCATTCCAAGGAGGCATTTCCAAGCTCCGCATGCACCCTCTGATCCCCTAAAGTGTGCCACTGCGACAAAATGGGGAACCACGCTCTAGACCAGGGCTTGGCAAAAAGAGCCAGATGGGACGGTACAGCCACCACGAGGGACAGTGTGGCAGTTACCTCAACAGGTTGACCATGGAATTATTGCTACCATATGACCTGGTAATCCCACTCCCAGGTCTATAACCAAGAGAACTGAAAAAAGGTGCTCAGGCCAGGGACAGTGGCTCAGGCCAGGCGCAGTGGCTCACACCTGTAATTCTAGCACTTTGGGAGGTTGAGGTGGACAGATCCCTTGAAGTCAGGAGTTTGAGACGAGCCTGGCCAACATTGCAAAACCCCGTCTCCACTAAAAATACAAAAATTAGCCAGGTGTGGTGGTGTGCACCTATAGACCCAGCTACTTGGGAGGCTGAGGAGGAAGAATTGCTTGAACCCAGGGGGTTGTGGTGAGCCGACAATGCACCACCGCACTCCAGCCTGGGAAACAAAAGCAAAACCCCATCTCAAAAAAAAAAAAAAAAAAAAGCCAGGCGCGGTGGCTGGAACCTGTAATCCCAGCACTTTGGGAGGCCAAGGATGGCGGATCACGAGGTCAGGAGTTCAAGACTAGCCTGGCCAACATGGTGAAACCCTATCTCTACTAAAAATGCAAAAAAATTAGCCAGGCGTGGTGGTGGGAACTTGTAATCCCGGCTACTTGGAAGGCTGAAGCAGGAGAATTGCTTGAACCTGAGAAGCAGAAGTTTTAGTGAGCTGAGACCCCGCCACTGCACTCCAGCCTGGGCGACAGAGCGAGACTCTGTCTCGAAAAAAAAAGAAAAAGAAAACACGTGTTCCAACACATCCTCACACATGAATGTTCGTTGCAGCACTATGCACAACAGCCAAAAGGTGGAAACAGGCCAAACATCCATCAACAGAAGAGTGGGCATGCGAAATGTGGTCCTGCCATACAGTGGAGAATGATTCAGTCTTAAGGAAGGAAGCACTGATACCGGCTCCGATGTGAATGACCCCGGAAAACACGATGCTGAGTGAGAAGCCAGACACCAACAGCCACACGGTGTATGACCCCACTGATATGAAATGTCCATACGGGCAAATCCATAAAGACAGGAAGCAGACTCATGGTTGCCAGGGGCTTGGGGAGAGGAGAATTAGGAGGTTCAGGGTTTGATCCTGGGGTGATGTTAATGTTCTGGAATTAGTGGTGATGGTTGTACAGTATTGTGAATATACTAACACTTTAAAATGATGATGATTTTATGTTATGTGAACAGTATCACAATATGAAACATTTTTAAAAATTTAATCCTTTGAAAATGTAAAAATCACAACCAATCACACCGAGCCAGGCTGGCTTTGGTCTCCAAGCTACCATTTGCCGACTGTGCTGCTCTAAACCACCCAGCACAAGCCCAGTTTTCTTTTTCTTCCGGCACCTCCTCTCTCCCCGTGCCCTGGGTGGCCTCATCAGGCAGAGTTCGAACTGCCTCCCACACCATGACAACCATCCTGCGTGGCCGACACGTCCATCTGAGCATCCACACACAGCCCCGCCTGGGTACTGATTAACAGAGCCTCAAATGGCAGGCACCGCACAGACACATAGCAGCCCCCCAACTGCCCTGGCCTTATGCACCTCAGCAGGGGCCCACACTTTTACCCAGAGAATCAGGCATCCTGAGATCAGCCCAGACTTCTCACTCTCACTGACACCCCCGCTCCTGATCTACATCATCATCCACTCTGCCCCCATCACATGGGAACCCCCTCTGGTCCTTGTCACCAGTCACTCTGTCCCCATCACTCAGGGCACTTCTCTGGTCCTTATCACTGTCCACTCCGTCCCCATCACTCGGGGGATCCCTCTCCAGTCCTTGTTACCATCCACTCTGTCCTCATCACTGTCTACTCAGTCCCCATCACTTGGGGACTGTCTCTGGTCCTTGTCACCATCCACTCTGTCGCCATTGCTGTCCACCTCTGTCCCCATCACTCGGGAGGCCTTCCCTACTCCTTGTTACCATCCATTCTGTCCTCATCACTTGGGAATTGTCTCTGGTCCTTGTCACCATCCTCTCTGTTCCCATCACTTGGGACCCTCTCTGGTCCTTGTCACCATCCACTCTGTTTCCATCACTGTCTACCCCGCCTCCATCACTTGGGGCCCCTCCCTGGTCTCCCAGGGGCCTCCTGACCCCTCATTCTCAGCACAGCAGCAGAACCGCCTCCCAGAACCATCCAGTGGTTCTCACGCTCCTGGCTCCCTCTCCCCCTTCTCTCCTTCAGCTCCTGACCCTGCCGTTCTCCTTGGCTGTTCCTCAAGCACACCCACTCACTCTCACCTCAGGCCATCACTCCCCACCAGGAACAGTCCCTCATGAAACAGGTCCTGCCCACAGCAACCTCCTCCCACCCTTCCCTGGCCTGCTCCATCCTCTCTCTGCCCTCTCCCATGCGCCACCCGCATCTGCCCATCTGTTTCTCATCGGACCCCCCACCTTGACTGTGCAGGAACCCTGAAAGCAGGGCCTCTGAATAAACCCCAGGGCCTGGCTCGGAGAAGGGGTCACCGCCTGCTCCATGAGCCAAGAAGATACAAACACAAGAATCGACTTGTTGACAACTAGCGGGACTTCCCCCAGAGAACAGCCAGGGGGCTCCCTTTGAATGTCGAGGGGCTGCTTAAGTTAGGAGCTGCACGTTAAGGGGTTATCTCTGTCTCTGTCCAAGCCAGCTGTCATCTTCCACGAGGCAGGGTCTGCCCTGAAGAGGACCCGCTAGCTGAGAGCGGCCATGTTCCCACCAGCATCCAGTTTCTCATTCCTGCACCATGCACTGCTCCCTGGCGACGTTCCAGAAGGTGGATACAGTCATGAACAAGACAGTGCAGGGCCCACCTCATCTTAAGGACTCACCGTCAACCAAGGAAGGAAAACCAATAAGAAACAATGCATTCTGAACTTCTTTTCCTAGCCGTTTTGAAATACATAACCCAGGGTGGTGTAAGAATGACACAGGGTAGGGACTAGGGGGCTCTCTGTGGAGCTGACATTACAACCAAGGCCTGAATTACCAGACAGTAAATGATGCTGACTCAGGAGGCCAAGGCAAGGCTCCAGTAAGAAGCTGTTCCTTCCTCCAAATTCCCCAGGTCGTCACTGGCCACACACCACGGCCTGTGTCTGTCTTCCCCTTTAGACTCGTGTTCTCAACCTGAGCAACTCTGCCACCCAGGGGACACTCGGCAACACGGGAGACACTTTAGGTTATCACATCTAGAAGCATCTGGTGGGTGGAGGCCAGGGAGGCTGCTCAAATACCCTTCAGTGTGCAGGACGGCACCTCGCCATAAAGAACAGTCTGGCCCCCAAAGCTGAAGACACCCTGCGCCAAAGGCTGCCCGAGGCTGGGACTCTCTTATTCACCTTCCTTACCACCTATGGGCCACTCCCTACTTGTCAGTAGCTGGCAGGCTTTGTGATAAAATTGGGGGGGGAAAAAGATACTTCAAAACAGTCAAACTAGAAAAACTAAGCAACAGAGAATACTGGCCAGGCGTGGTGGGTCACACCTGTAATCCCAAAACTTTGGGAGGCCAAGGCAGGAGGATCACTTGAGTCCAGCCTGGACAACATGGTGAAACCCTGTCTCTGTTTTAAAAATGTAAAAAAGGCCAGGCACAGTGGCTAACGCCTGTAATCTCAACACTTTGGGAGGCTGAGGTGGGGGATCACTTGAGGTCAGGGGTTCGAGACCAGCCTGGCCAACATGGTGAAAACCTGTCTCTACTAAAAATACAAAAATTAGCTGGGTGTGGTGGCACATGCCTGTAATAGCAGCTACTTGGGAGGCTGAGGCAGGAGAATGACTTGAACCTCAGAGGCGGAGGCTGCAGTGAGCTGAGATCACGCCATTGTACTCTAGCCTGGGTGACAGTGAAATGGTGTCTCAAAATTAAAAAATAATTCAATTAAAGTAAAAAAAAAAAAAAAAAGAACTTTGGGAGGCCGAGGTGGGCAGATCATGAGGTCAGGGGATTTCGAAACCAGCCTGACCAACATGGTGAAATCCCATCTCTACTAAAAATACAAAAATTAGCTGATAGTGGTGGCAGGCACCTGTAATCCCAGCTACTCAGGAGGCTGAGGCAGGAGAATCACTTGAACCCGGGAGGCAGAGGATGCAGCGAGCCAAGATCGTGCCATTGCACTCCAGCCTGGGCAACACAGCGAGACTCTGTCTCAAAAAAAAAAAAAAAAAAGATGGCCAGGTGCAGTGGCTCATGCCTGTAATCCCAGTACTTTGGGAGGCCGAGGCAGGCAGATCACGTGAGGTCGGGAGTTCAAGACCAGCCTGACCAATATGGAGAAACCCCGTCTCTACTAAAAATACAAAATTAGTCGGGCGCGCTGGTGCATGCCTGTAATCCCAGTTACTCAGGAGGCTGAGGGAGGAGAATCGCTTGAACTGGGGAGGCAGAGGATGCGGTGAGTCGAGATTGTGTCATTGCACTCCAGCGTGGGTAAAGAGCGAAACTCTGAAACTCTGTCACAAAAAAAAAAAAAAAGAAAGAAAAGAAAGAAAGAAAGAATATCACCAGGGCCTCTGTGTGTGGGAAACCCTGTGAGGCTTTCAGACGATGGCCTCTCAAAGGACTCCAGGGAGCCGAAAGCTCAAAGGACTCCTGAAGCCACGCGAGTCATGGCCTGGACCTGGGATATCTCTCATGTTTCTGTCCTGAAGCCACACAAACAACAGCCCAGACTGCTGGGAAACAGGGCTGGAAACCTGACAGCACCTGTGTCAATATCAACTGGAAGCCAGTGGGCTCCCAGGGGCCCCCGAAGAGAACAAACTTCTACACCTAAGCCTGGAAATGACTGTTCCCAGGCTGCAGCACGATGACCAAGGCCCTGCTGAGTAGCTACTAAGTGAAAGTTCTTTTCAAGCCTTTCCCCAAGTCGATGGGTCTGCACCGTCATCATTGTCACCTAAGCCACCTACGGGGAGACAAGACTGCCAGCCCTCCACGGTTGGGGACCCGCAGCTACTTAAAGGAAGAGCCAACTCCAAATACAACCAGTGTGGCGCCTGTCAAGATCTAGCCCTGAAAGCCGAGTTACTCCACGGGCAGGGACTCTGCTGAAAGGCAATTTCCACATGCAGGACGCACAGTTCACATCTTTTCACTCTGGCTCTTTCTGAGTGAGTGACAGGAACGAGACCCAGAGTTTCCACAGCATTCAGGCTCTGCAAAGTGCTCTGGTGGACGCTGCTATTGCAAATGAGCTTGGCTTTCTCCCGCAGTCGTGACTGTTCTGGAGATCAGTCTTGCTAAGGCTTTCATGGTCTAAGACACAAGCAGTACATCTGGATCCTGGGGCTTCATTTGCAAACAGGAAATGGAAGGCTCTTCAGAGTTCAGTGGCCACACGCTTCCAAGTTCCCCTTTAAAGCTGAGATTCAGCTGGGTGCGGTGGCTCACACCTGTAATCCCAGCACTTTGGGAGGCAGAGGTGGGCGAATCACGGGGTCAGGAGTTCGAGACCAGCCTGACCAACATGGCGAAACCCCCATCTCCACTAAAAATACAAAAAAATTAGCCGGGCATGATGAAGCGTGCCTGTAATCCCAGCTACTCAGCACGCTGAGGCAGGAGAATCTCTTGAACCCAGGAGGTGGAGGTTGCAGGGAGCCGAGATTGCGCCACTGAACTCCAGCCTGGGTGACAGAGCGAGACTCCTTCTCAAAAAAGGCAAAAAAAAAACCCTGAGACTCGCTCCTTGGCTTTCAGGAGACAACAGGCTGATGGCAGAGAGGGTCTTGCACAGAGAAGCAGCAGAATTTTTTTTTTTTTTGAGACGGAGTCTTGCTCTGTCACCCAGGCTACAGTGCAGTGGCACAATCTCTGCTCACTGCAACCTCCGCCTCCCAGGTTCAAGCAATTCTCATGCCTCAGCCTCCCAAGTAGCTGGGATTACAGGCATGCTCCACTGCGCCTGGCTGATTTTTGTACTTTTAGTAGAGACAGGGTTTCACCATGATGGCCAGGCTGGTCTTGAACTCCTGACCTTGTAATCTACCCATCTCGGCCCCCCAAAGTGCTGGGATTACAGGCGTGAGCCACTGCGCCTGGCCGAGAAGCAGCAGAATTGACACACACCTTGCACATGGAATTAATACAAAAGCACTGCCACATTACCCTTCGCTGTTCTCTTTCCAACTGACTGCGGAGTGTCAGATCCCTAATTGATTGGACGCTCTATCATCTCTTCCATCAAAGAAGACCTACCAAGTGCTTCCAGCAGTAGATTCTGACACTCCCTGCTAAAACTCTCGAGGCAAGGACTGGAGGAGGTTGGGAGAGCTGGTCCACTTACACCGGTGGTTCTCAACAGGGGCACTTTTGCCCCCCAGGGAGACACCTGGCAATGTCTGGAGACATTTCTGGCTGTCAGAACTGAGTGAAGGTCTGGTAGGTACACGCTACAGATCCTGCTAAACACCCCACAATGCACTGGGAAGCCCCCAACAGCAAAGAATTATGCCTTAAATGGGAAATAGTGTTGAGGTGGAAAAAATGACAATGGTCATCTTATAAAAGGAAATCTTAAGTAGGCTTTCTTTTTCTCAGAGGCGCTAGTAAGCTCAAGCATGAAGAGACTGCAGAGATAGAAGGGGCAGTGAGCCAGGCACAGTGGCTCACTCCTGTAATCCCAGCACTGTGGGAGGCCAAGGTGGGCACATCGCTTGAGGCCAGGAGATCGAGACCAACCCTGGGCAACATAGTGAGACCCTGTCGCTACAAAAAAAATAAATAAATTAGCTGGCCGTGGTGGTGCACGCCTGTAGTCCTAGCTACTTAGGAGGCTGAGACGGGAGGATCACTTGAGCCCAGGAGGTTGAGGCTGCAGTGAGATATGATGGCACCACTGCACTCCAGCCTGGGCAACAGAGTGAGAACCTGTCTTAAAAAAAAAAAAAAAAAAGGAGGCTGGGCACGGTGGCTCACGCCTGTAATCCTAGCACTTTGGGAAGCTGAAGCAGGCAGATCACTTGAGGTCAGGAGCTCAAGAACAGCCTGGCCAACATGAAGAAACCCCATCTCTACTAAAAATACAAAAATTAGCTAAGCATGGTGGTGCACACCTGTAATCCCAGCTACTCGGGAGGCTGAGGCAGGAGAATTGCTTGAACCTGGGAGGCGGAGGTTGCACTGAGCTGAGATTGCGCCACTGCACTCCAGCCTGGGTGACAGAGCCAGACTCCGTCTCCAAAAAAAAAAAAAAAAAAAAAAAGAGGGCCAGCACCTATCACCCAAGAAAAAAGGGACCAAAGCAAAGCCAGGAGTCCCAGCTGAGCTAATGATCCTATCAACAATTAAATGAAACACAGCCAACATAAACGTGGCTACTCACACACCATCTCGACCACTTTATTTTGTAGGTGGTACTGAGAGTGATCAGAGGCAGACGAGGACATGCTTAAATACAAGGGCAAGCCTGCCTGGTATGCTCGCTGGGAAAGCCTCAAGCCAAGACCTCAGCAACTGCTGAGGTGGTTATTTAGACTTCACACAAAATTCTGCGTTAGGAGGATACCTCCCTGACATCCACTCTTGATTTAAATCTTCCAAACAGATCAATTTGGGAGGCAGAGGCTGCTTGTGTAGGTGTTTCCATATCTATTTTGATTTGTGCTAGAAGCAATGAGCACGTCTAGAAAAAGAACAGATCTTAAGTGGCTTTCTAGCAATGATACAGGAGAGACACGTGGCCCAACCTGAGTAGCAAGACATACTCGGTGAAGGCTGAGATCACCCGAACCACTGTAGTGGCATACCTGGCTTGTCAGAGGCGACTGTATGTTTAACTTGCCATTCTTGGGAATGTCTATTCTATATCCGAGGGGAAGAAAAGCGTTGAATCCAACAATGAGGTCAGGGTGCTCGTGGAAGAGCTGCGAGACACGTCTGATGACTCCAGGAGTATCGATGCTAGAAGAAACAACGGAAGTGGGCAAAAGGGTCTTGGGAAATAAATGAAAAATATAATCTATTCCCCACTCCCTTGATACTGCCACATAAAAACCTTCTCAACAGACAACAAAGGAACCTAAAATGTGACCCACCAGGCGCAGTGGCTCATGCCTGTAATCCCAGCACTTTAGGAGGCCGAGGCAGGCAGATCACCTGAGGTCAAGAGTTCGAGACCAGACTGGTCAACATGGTGAAACCCTGTCTGTACTAAAAATACAAAAACGAACTTGGAGTGGTGGTGCGTGCCTGCAGTCCCAGCTACTCAGGAGGCAGAGGCACAAGAATCACTTGCACCCGGGAGGCGGAGGCTGCAGTGAGCCCAGATCACACCACTGCACTCCAGCCTGGGCGACAGCACGAGAATCCATCTCAAAAAAAAAAAAAAAAGTGCCCCCATGTGATAGCATCTGTACACCATGACCTATCTCCTGACTGGCTAGGCCTGAGCTCCCTGTTCCCTCCTGGTGAGAACCAGAGAATACTGACATCGCTCAGCTCCCCTAAAACACTCCAAGAATGGGTACTCGGTTCTGAAAATGTCAGGAGAGCCAACCGCAAGGCCTGGACTCCAAGAAATGGCAGGAGGCCAAAGTCCTCTAAGCAATGTGAAAACTTCCCTCATTTTGTATCAGATAGAGATGACTATGACACAGGTTTCCATCTGAGCAAACAATTGCAATGCATAAATACCAATGGTACTGCCAAGAATGGGAAAGGTGTAAGAAAAATAGGAGGGGAGAGATGGGGTCTCCCTTCTGGCTGCATTGCAGCCCAGCCCTTAGCACTGGGCTCCCGGAAGGAAACCAGGCCAGCCCCACCATGTTTCCTAAGAGGGGGCAGCAGTATGGTAAGCATGTGACTTCCAAGAATCTGAGTCAGAGGGTCTGAGTTCTAGTGACACCTCTGCCACTTAGGTGGGTCCCTTACCCACTCCAAACCTCAGTGAGTCTCCTATAAAAACAAGGGCATGATCCCAGGGTTTCCCATCTATCTGTAATCTTCCTTGATTCTGGGCCTGCAAAATCATCTCATGTGTTTTAAACGTTTTCTGTGTGCCAGCTCCCTTACTAAGCATTTTATGCGTCTTACTTCCAAGCAGGCCTGGGACCACAGTGAGCCCAGAGAAGCATCTTGAGGACAAGATTAAAGGGGAAGAGGGTGCCAAAAATTTCAATCATCAAGACAATAACATTTTACAGCGCTTGAAAATAAAAATCAAAATGGGTCCCACCAAATCTTTCATGAACAAAACTAATATAAAAATCAACATATTAAATCAAGGCAGGATTTGACTCTATGAGTGTGCACGGCCTCGCCCTCCCTGCCTCCCCCCAGATCCCTGTCCTGCTTCCAGGAATCCCCACAAAGCTCCACAAGGTGGGTACTACCCATTTCCATTTTTGTTACGAGAAGGAGCTAGGGCTCTGAGAGATTGGACAACCTGCGCAAGGTCACCCGGCTAAGGGGGCAGGCTGGAGAGGGGAGGTCTCACCCCGCTAGGCCCGATTCCGGCCCAGGGGGGTCCCCTGAGGTGGAGAGGGGCCCCGCTGGTACCTCTGGCTTTTGAACTCCTTCATGATCTCCAGGAAGCCGTTGTAGGTGGCAGGGTCGCTGCCAAAGCGGATCTTCACCTGGTCCAGATAGGTGAGGGCGTCTTCTACCTGCAGAGAGGGGGAGGGTCCCGGTGGGCCCTGGCCGCGGAACGAGGGGACGAGGGGCCGGGGTCCCTGAGGGGAAGGGGATGGGCTGGGCTTTCGGAGGGCCGAGGTGAGAGGTGAGGGGTGAGGGGTCCGGGGCAGTGCAGAGGGGAGGCCGAGGTGGGGCTGGGGCCGGGCGGGGCCTGGGTGAGGGGCGCCCGCCCGCGGGGTCCAGAAGATGGGTTCCCCGAGGGAGGGCGGGGACGCCACTCACGTGCACCGGCAGCTTCTCGTGGCCTGCGGAGCCCGAGCGACCCCAGCGGGCGCCGCTCAGCCCCCGGCCCGCGGGGCCGCCGGCACCGCTGCCACCGCTGCCACCGCCAGCGTGCGCCATGTCCGAAGTCGGAGCTGCGCCCCGCCCCGCCCCCGCCCGAGGTCCTGCCGCGCATGCGCAGCCTCCGCCTTTGGAGGCGGGGTTTGATGACGTTGAGGGGCGGTGCTCTTTGAGGGACTCTTCTGAAGACCTTCTCCTTAAGATTGGTATCATAATTAATGATTTATATAGCAGGGGTAGGCGAGCCAAGACCCGCCGCCTACTTTGTCCGGCCCCGCAAGCTCAGAATTATTTTTACATGTTTACATAGCCGGGGGAAAAATCCAAAGAAGAATAGTCTATGACCTGTGAAAAGTTTGTGAAATTCACATTTGAGGGTCCCTGAATAAAGTTTTATTAGCACACAGACACGCCCACGCGTTTACCTGGCTTCTCTGCCTGCTTTCGCCTTACAACAGAGTAGGTAGTTGCTAAAGATCCTACAGATCTGCAGACCCTGAAGTATTTACGATCTGGCCTTTTATGGAAAAAGTTTGTTGGCCCCTGCTTTATAGAGTTGACGGGACGATGAGGTATGAGCCCCCAGCGCCCTAATATAGGGCCTTGCGTGGTGAATTTTTGCTAAATGGCCTTTAAGTTAGTCCTACTCCTCCCATCTTCACTTCCCTATCCTTGGCCCCGTCACTTCCCATCTGGACCAGTTTAGGAGCCTCCTAACTCTGGTACTTTCTTTTTTTTTTTTTTTTTTTTTTTTTTTTTTTGAGACAGAGTCTCGCTCTGTCGCCCAGGCTGGAGTGCAGTGGCGCGATTTCCGCTCACTGCAAGCTCCGCCTCCCGAGTTCACACCATTCTCCTGCCTCAGCCTCCTGAGTAGCTGGGACTACAGGCGCCCGCCACTGCGCCCTGCTAATTTTTTGTACTTTTAGTGCCACCCCACCTGGCTCTAACTCTGGTACTTTCTCAGCCCTGATACTATCAAGAACTCTAGGCTGGGGATGGTGGCTCACGCCTGTAATCCCAGCACTTTGGGAGGCCGAGGCGGACGGATCACGAGGTCAGGAGATAGAGACCATCCTGGCTAACACGGTGCAACCCCGTCTCTACTAAAAATACAAAAAATTAGCCGGGCCTTGAAAAAAAGAAAAAGAAAATGAAAAAATTGGCTGGGCGCCGTGGCTCACGCCTGTAATCCCAGCACTTTGGGACGCCGAGGCGGGCAGATCACCTGAGGTCTGGAGTTGGAGATTAGCCTGACCAACATGGAGAAACCCCGTCTCTACTAAAAATACAAAATTAGCCGGGCTTTGTGGCGCATGCCTGTAATCCCAGCTACTCGGGAGGCTGAGGCAAGAGAATTGCTTGAACCCGGGAGGCGGAGGTTGCAGTGAGCCAAGATCACGCCATTGCACTCCAGCCTGGGCAACAAGAGCAAAAACTCTGTCTCAAAAAATTAATTAATTAATTAATTAAATAATAAAATAAAATGAAAAAATTAGCTGGGCGTGGTGGTGCACACGTTTAGTCCCAGCTACTCGGGAGGCTGAGGCAGGATTGCTCATGCCCAAGAGTTCAAGGCTGCAGTGAGCCATGATCTTGCCACTGCACACCCCAGCCTGGGAAGCATAGCAGTGCTTTTTTTTTTTTTTTTTTTTAAAGAGCATCTCATCTCTTAAAAAAAAAAAAACAGAAAAACAAAAAACTCCACTTTTTCCACCACTCCTTCCAAACCTCCAAGGTCTTCCTATTTCTAATGAGATGAAATCTAAGCACCTACATTGCAGGCTGTCAGAATTGGTCCTTAGGAACCTTTTCCTGCAGGATTTTCCAAGCAAACTGCCTGCCTCTGTGCAGAACTTCACACAATTGCCTGACCAACCTGGCTGCTTCCTGGTCCCAAGCATTGGCACTCACCATTTCCTTTGCCAGAAGTACTGTCATGCCTCTTTGTTATTCAGAAAACACCTATACATCCTTCTAAACGCAGCCCAAATATCCCTTTCCCTCAGGAAGTGTTCCCAGTCCCCTTCTATGTCTCCCCTCAGTCCCTTGTATTTCATATTTGTTTTGTGTCCGTCTCTAATACAAATCCCTGACACAGTCTCTCAGTCAGCATTCATCAAATAAGTGAACGTTCAATTAATGACCAAGTGCTTTCTCTTTTTATAAGTGAAGAGGTGCAGGAAAGTTGAGAGTAAATTGGCATCGAGTGCATCATTTACCAGGCACCTTGCTAAGTGTCAGGAATAGAATGGTAAAAAGGAACGCAAATTTGGCCGTTAAGAGCTTTTAGTCTCTCAGGATAGACAGGAATCTAGTAATCACACAAATGTAAAGTTTCACATGTAACAAATACTTTAAAGAGAAGGTATACATGTAACAGTTCCTAAATTTCTGTTGCTATGACTGTGTAACAAATGAGCCCTTGACAATCCCAGCACTTTGGGAGGCCAAGGTGGGGGCATGCATTGAGGCCAGGAGTTTGAGACCAGCCCAGGCAACATAGCAAGATCCCATCTGTACAAAAACATTAAAAAGAAAGAAAAATGGAGAGAAAAAATAAAAACATTGTAAGGTCTGGGCTTTCTGTAAAAGAAAATAAAAAGCAGCTCAAGACTTAGAAGCTTCAAATGACAACAACATTCACGGGGCAAGTGGCTCATGGCTGTAATCCCAGCACTTTGGGAGGCAGAGGTGGGTGGATCACATGAGGCCAGGAGTTCAAGACCAGCCTGGACAAGATGGTGAAATCCCATCTCTACTAAAAATACAATAATTAGCCAGGTGTGGTGGCACACACCTGTAATCCCAGCTACTTGGGAGGTTGAGGCATGAGTATCGCTTGAACCCAGAAGGTGGAGGTTGCAATGAGCTGAGATTGCGCCACTGCACTCCAGCCTGGGGAACAGAGCAAGAGCAAGACCCTGTCTTGAAAAAAAAAAAAAAAGAAAGAAAAGAGACATTCATTTTACTCTTCAATCTGCAATTTGGGCAGGCTTGGGAGGAATAACTCAACCTTGGCATCAGCTGGGTGGCTCAAAGTCTGGGGGCTGGAATCACCTGAATGTTTGCTCACACATATGTATGTCAGTTGCTACAGGCTACAGGCCGAGACCCTCGCTGGGGCCGTTGCTTGGAATACCTACATGTGGTCTCCTTGCAGCCTGAGCTTCTTCACAACTACCGTTCTAAGAACAAGTGAGCGTGTGAGCCAGGTGGGAATCATATCATCTTTTCTTTTTCTTCTTCCTCTTCCTCTTCTTCTTCCTCTTCTCCTTCTCCTTCTTCTTCTTCCGGAGATGGCAGGGGTTGGGGTGGGACTCAGGGTCTCAGGCTGGCCCAGGCTGGCCTCAAACTCCTGGACTCAAAGGATCCTCCCACGTCAATCTGTTGAGTAGCTGGGACTACAGGCATGCATCACTGCACCCAGCTCCCATATTACCTTTTCTCACCCAGACTCGGAAGTCACGCAGAATCATTTCCATTGCATTCTTTCCATACAGGCTGTTACAAAGTTTTTCCTAAATTCAAGAGGAGGGCAAATGGCCAAGAGTATCATGTGGGACAGGAAATATGTTGTGGCTATTTTTGGAAAATACCACCTGTTACCTAGGGAAACCTAACCCAGTCTTGCAGGAGATGAGGGAGGCTTCCCAGAGGAGGTGGCATTCTAGCTGAGATCTGAAGAATGCGTAGGCATTCATCATGAGAAAAATCACGAACAGCTGTGATTTTTGAGGTGGGAGACAGCATGGTACATTTCAAGAGTTTTTTTTTTTTTAAGACGAGTTTCCCAGGCTGCAGAGAGGGAGGGGAAGAAAGAGAGTACAAGATAATCCCGGAGCAGCCAGAGGAGCGGAACACACAGCACCTTATGCACTGAGTTCAGGCTTTAGCATTCACGCTGGTGGAAACCATCCAAGGGCTTTGAGCGGAGGAGCTGCAAGTTCAGGTTTGCATTTGAAAGTGATCACTCTGGCTGCTCTGCAGGAAAGTGATTGGAGCGGAGCCAGGGAGGGTGGAGGGAGGCTGTTTCATCATTTAGGCAAAGGACGATGGTGGCTTAGACCAGGATGGGAGCAGTGGAAGTAGAGAGCGGTGGGTGGAAGGGAGTGGTATTTAGAAAGTAAAGCATGGAAGATTTGTGGCTCCCAGCCAGGAAGAGCAGCGAAGGCAGACTGAACACTCTGTGGCCACCAGATGTCTGGACAGTCCGTTTCTTACCAAAGCCTCCCAGTGTTACAGGAAATGGGTCCCGATCCAGACCCCCCAGAGAGGGTTTTTGGATTTCACGCAAGAAAGAATTCAGGGAGAGTCTGTAAAGTGAAAGCAAGTTTATAAGGAAAATAAAGGAACAAAGAATGGCTACTCCACAGACAGAGCAGCCCCGAGGGCCGCTTATTCCCCATTTTTATGATTTATTTCTTGATGATATGCTAAACAAGGGGTGGATTATTCATGCCTCCTCTTTTTAGACCATAGAGGGTAACTTCCTGACGTTGCCATGGCATTTCTAAACTGTCTTGGCGCTGGTGGGAGTGTAGCAGTGAGGACCACCAGAGGTCATTTTGATTTGGGTAGATTTTGGCCGGCTTCTTTACTGCAACCTGTTTTATCAGCAAGGTCTTTATGACCCGTATGTTGTGCTGACCTCCTATCTCATCCTGTGACTAAGAATGCTTTAACCATCTGGGAATGCAGTGCAGTAGGTCTTAGTCTTATTTTACCCAGCCCCTATTCAAGTCGGGGTTCCTCTGGTTCAAACACCTCTGACACTGTTACGGGAAAGGGGTCCCAATCCAGACCCCAAGAGAGGGTTCTTGGATCTCACGCAAGAAAGAATTCAGGGCCAGTCCATACAGTAAACTGAAAGTAAGTTTATTAGGAAAGTAAAGGACTAAAGAATGGCTACTCCATAGACAGAGCAGCCCCCAGGGCTGCTGGTTGCCCTTTTTCTTAGACAGAGTCTCGTTCTGTCGCCCAGGCTGGAGTGCAGTGGCGCCATCGTGGCTCACTGCAAGCTCCGCCTCCCAGGTTCATGCCATTCTCCTGCCTCAGCCTCCCGAGTAGCTGGGACTACAGGCGCCTGCCACCACACCTGGCTAATTTTTTTTGTATTTTTAGTAGAGATGGGGTTTCACCATGTTAGCCAGGATGGTCTTGATCTCCTGACCTCGTGATCCGCCCACCTTGGCCTCCCAAAATGCTGGGATTACAGGTGTGAGCCACAGCGCCTGGCCGCCCATTTTAATGGTTATTTCCTTTTGAGACGAAGTCTTACTCTGTCGCCCAGGCTAGAGTGCAGTGGCGCGATTGCAGCTCACTGCAACCTCTGCCTTCCAGGTTCAAGCGATTCTCCTACCTCAGCCTCCCAAGTAGCTGGGATTACAGGTGCGTGCCACCACGCCTGGCTAATTTTTGTATTTTTAGTATTAGAGACGGGGGTCTTATCATGTTGGCCAGGCTGGTCTCAAACTCCTGACCTCAAATGATCTATCCACCAAAGCCTCCCAAAGTATTGGGATTACAGGCATGAGCCACCGCGCCTGGCCAGTTATTTCTTGATGATACGCTAATCAAGGGGTGGATTATTTATGCCTCCCCTTTTTAGACCATATAGGGTAACTTCCTGATGTTGCCATGGCATTTGTAAACTGTCATGGCACCGGTAGGAGTACAGCAGTGAGGACAACCAGAGGCCACTCTTGTCTCCATCTTGGTTTTGGCTGGCTTCTTTACTGCAGGCTATTTTATCAGCTAGGTTTTTTTTGTTTGTTTGTTTTTGTTTGTTTTAGACGAAGTTTCACTCTTGTTATTCAGGCTGGAGTGCAATGGCGCAATCTTGGCTCACTGTAACCTCCACCTCCCAGTTCAAGTGATTCTCCTGCCTCAGCCTCCCGAATAGCTGAGATTACAGGTGCGCACCACCAGGCCCGGCTAATTTTGCATTTTTAGTAGAGACGAGGTTTCTCCATGTTGGTCAGGCTGGTTTCAAACTCCCGACCTCAGGTGATCCACCCACCTCAGCCTCCCAAAGTGCTGGGATTACAGGCATGAGCCACCGCGCCAGGCCAGTAAGGTCTTTATGACCCGTATCTTGTGCTGACCTCCTAACTCATCCTGTGACTTAGAATGACCTAACCATCTGGGAATGCAGCCCAGTAGGTCTCAGCCTTATTTTACCCAGCCCCTATTCAAGATGTTGTTGCTCTGGTTCAAATGCCTCTGACATCAGCAACCTATTAGTCATCGTCCTTGAGGGCCAACAGAGTTGTCCCACAGTGTGCCCCTCCCCACAGGGAGTGTGGCTTCTACTCAAATTTGTTTTCTCTCAAATGATCAGCAAAGGCCCTCTTTCATTTGGGGAAGAGGAAACTGTTACCGAAAAGGGGTCTTCATCCAGACCCCAAGAGAGAGTTCTTGGATCTCATGCAAGAAAGAATTCTGGACAAGTCCATAAAGTAAGTTTAAGAAAGTAAAGGAGGCCAGGTGGCTCACGCCTGTAATCCCAGCACTTTGGGAGACGAAGGCAGACAGATCGCTTTTTCTCTACAAAAAACAAACAAACAAACAAAACAAAACAAAAAATTAGCCTGGCGTGGTGGTGCACGTCTGCAGTCCCAGCTATTTGGGAGGCTGAGGCAGGAGAATTGCTTGAGTCCAAGAAGTCAAGGCTGCAGTGAGCCATGGTCGTGTCACTGCTCTCCAGCCTGGGAAACAGAGCAAGATCCTGTCTCAAAAAAAAAGAAAAAAGGCTAGGTGCAGTGGCTCATGCCTGTAATTCCAACACTTTGGGAGACCGAGGAAGGCAGATCACCTGAGTTCAGGAGTTCGAGACCAGCCTGGTCAAGATGGTGAAACCCTGTCTCAACTAAAAATACAAAAATTAGCTGGGCATGGTGGTGGACGCCTGTAATCCCAGCTACTCGGGAGGCTGAGGCAGGAGAATCACTTGAACCTGGGAGGCGGAGGTTGCAGTGAGCCGAGATCGCACCATTGCGCTCTAGCCTGGGTGACCAGAGCAAAACTGCATCTCAAAAAATAAAAATAAATTTTAAAAATGAAGAAAAAGAAAGTAAAGGAATAAAAGAATGGCTACTCCACAGGCAGAGCAGTGATATGGGCTGCTCGATTGCATATACTTACAGTTATTTCTTGATTATAGGTTAAACAAGGGATGGATTACTCATGAGTTTTCTGAGAAAAGGGGCGAAGATTTCCCAGAACTTAGGGGTCCCTACCCTTTTAGAACCTATAGGGTAACTTCTGGAAGTTGCCATGGCATTTGTAACTGTCATGGCGCTGGTGGGAGTGTCTCTTAGCATGCTAATGTATTATAATTAGTGTATAATGAGCAGTGAGGACAACCAGAGGTCACTTTCACACCATGCTGATAAAACCCTGCATCCTGGCCCGGCACGGTGGCTCACGCCTGTAATCCCAGCCCTTTGGGAGGCCAAGGTGGGCGAATCACCTGAGGTCAGGAGTTCGAGGCCAGCCTGGCCAACATGGTGAAACCCCCATCTTTACTCAAAAAAAAAAAAAAAAATTAGCCAGGCGTGGTGGCGGGCGCCTGTAATCCCAGCTACTCAGGAGGCTGAGGCAGGAGAATCGCTTGAACCCAGGAGGTGGAGGTTTCAGTGAGCCAAGACCATGCCACTGCACTCCAGCCTGGGTGACAGAGCAAGACTCTGTCTCAAAAACAACAACAACAACAACAACAACAAAAACCCTGCATGGGCCGGGCGCAGTGGCTCACGCCTGTAATCCCAGCACTTTGGGAGGCCGAGGCAGGTGGATCACCCGAGGTCAGGAGTTCGAGACCAGCCTGATAAATATGATGAAACTCCGTCTCTACTAAAAATACAAAAATTAGCCAGGCATGGTAGCATGTGCCTATAATACCAGCTACTCAGGAGGCTGAGACAGGGGAATCTCTTGAACCCAGGAGGCAGAGTTTGCAGTGAGCCAAGATCGCGCCATTCATTGCACTCTAGCCTGGGCAACAAGAGCGAAACTCTGTCTCAAACAAAAACAAAAACAAACAAACAAACAATGCCCCCCGACCCCCACCCCGCCCCAGAATCCTGTTTTATCAGCAGGGTCTTTGTGACCTGGGTCTTCCGTCCACCTCCTACCTCACCCTGTGGCTTAGAATGCCTAACCTCCCGGGAATGCAGCCCTGCAGGTCTCAGCCTCATTTTACCCAGCCCCTATTCTAGATGGAGTAAGCTTGTTTCAAACGCCTCTGACAAAACCACAAGCCAGTTCCATCTGGGGCATGTGTGTACATGTATGTATGTGCACACATGTGTATATTTATCATGAGGACAATAGTACAAAGACATCTTTTAATTTTATTTCCATTTATTTATTTTCTGAAACAGGTACTCGCTCTGTTGCCCAGGCTGGAGTGCAATGGTGCAATCACAGCTCACTGCAGCCTTGACCTCCTGAGTAGCCAGGACTACAGGTACGTGCCACCATGCCTGGCTAATTTTTTATTTTTATTTTTTTTACAGACAGGGTCTCACTAAGTTGCCTAGGCTGGATATTCTTATTTTTATCAAACATAAAAAGGTGCTACTGGGCCAGGTGCAGTGGCTCAAACCTGTAATCCCAGCACTTTGAGAGGCAGGCGGATCACTTGAGGCCAGGAGTTTGAGACCAGCCTGGGCAACACAGCAAGACCTCATCTCTAAAAAAATTTTTTTTGTTTTTTGAGACAGAGTCTCACTCTGTCACCAGGCTAGAGTGCAGTGGCATGATGTTGGCTCACAGCAACCTCCATCTCCTGGGTTCAACTGATTCTCCTGCCTCAGCCTCCTGAGTAGCTGAGACTACAGGCGCGCACCACCATGCCCAGCTAATTTTTTGCATTTTTAGTAGAGACAGGGTTTCACCATGTTGGCCAGGATGGTCTGTATCTCTTGACCTCATGATCTGCCAGCCTGGGCCTTCCAAAGTGCTGGGATTACAGGTGTGAACCACTGCACCTGGCCAAAAAAAAATTTTTTTAAAAGACAATCTGAGTCTGAGTCTGAGTCTGAGTTTGAGGTCAGAGATGAAGCATCAGAGAAATACAATGCTGCTGGCCTTGAAGAAGGAAGCAGCTGTTTTGCAAACTGCCTATGGAGAGGGGCAGCTGAGGTCTCCACTCCTATAGCTTTGAAGGGCTTAATTCTGCCAAGAATCTGAAGGAGCTTGGATGAAGACCCTGAGGCTCTCAATGAGAGCCCAGTCCGGCTGACACCTTGTGAGATCCTGAACAAAGAATCCAGTCATGCCATGCCCAGACTCCTGACTTGCAGAAATTGTAAGATAAGAAGTGGATGTTATTTTAAGCTTCTAACTTTGCAATAATTTACTAAGTAGTGATGGAGAATGGACACACCTATGAAGTATACTTGTCAAAAATGTCTATCCTGGGCCAGTTGCAGTGGCTCATGCCTGTCATCCCAGCACTTTGGGAGGCCAAGTCGGGTGGATCACTTGAGGCCAGGAGTTTCAGACCAGCCTGGCCAAAATGGCAAAACCCTGTCTCTACTAAAAATACAAAAATTAGCCTGGTGTGGTGGCGTACACCTGTAATTCCAGCTACTTGGGAGGCTGAGGCAGGAGAACGGCTTGAACCCGGGAGGCGGAGGTTGCAGTGAGCCGAGATCGCACCATTGCACTCCAGCCTGGGCAACAAGAGCAAAACTCCGTCTCAAAAAAAAAAAATTGTCTCTCCTCTGATAAGGAAGTGTCAATGCGAGTTCATCCATTGTAACAAATGCACCGCTCTGCGTTTGTTAGAGTGAGGGATGTTGATGGAGGAGGCTGTGCATGAGGGGTGCATAGGGTAGATGGGAAATCTCTGCACCTTCCACTTAATTTTGCTGTGAACCTAAAACTACTCTAAAAAAAGAAAGCCTATATAAAAGATGTTTACCCTAAATTTAGCCAAGCTTTAAGACCAAGGGTAGGCATATATACATAAGTATATGTGTGTGTGTGTGTATGTATATATGTGCATATACACATATGTATATACATATGTGTGTGTATATATACATATATACATATGTATGTGTATATATACATATATACATATGTATGTGTGTATATACACACATATATACGTATATATGTATATGTGTATATATATGTGTATATATGTGTGTGTATATATGTGTATATATGTGCATGTATATATATAGACACGTATATATTTGGTAAATATATATATATATTTTGGTAAAGGGCCAGATTAGAAATATTTCTGATGGCCAGGCGCCATGTAATCCCAGCACACTGGGGGGATCGCTTGAGCCCAAGAGTTGGAGACCAGCCTGGGCAATATAGTGAGACACCCTCTCTACAATAAATTTAAAAATTAACCAGGTATGGTTGTGCACATCTGTAGTTTCAGCTACTTGGGAGGCTGAGGCAGGAGGATCACTTGAGCTCATAAGTTCAAGGCTGCAGTGACCCATGATCATACCACTGCACTCCAGCCTGGGCGACAGAGAGAGACCCTCTCTGAAAAATAAAAAAGATATTAACTAACAATTAGTAATTCTCACAGGTGTGTGTGCTTATATAGGAATATGACCTTCCTAAGACACTTGTCTGATGTATGTAGGGGTGAGGTGTCTTGATGTCCCCAGGGCCAGGAAGAGGGTGAGGTCAGTTCCTGCAAATGCAGGGTCAGATACCAATTTTATATAGAATGTTGATGTTTTGTTCATCATTCATTTTTAAATTCATTTTGATTTTTAAAAATATGATAATAGGCCACACACGGTGGCTCATGCCTGTAATCCCAGCACTTTGGGAGGCCAAGGGAGCACAGATCACTTGAGGTCAGGAGTTCAGGGCCAGCTTGGCCAACATGGCAAAACCTCGTCTCTACAAAAAATACAAAAATTAGCTGGGCGTGGTGGCCTGTAGTCCCAGCTACTCAGGAGGCTGAGTCAGGAGAATCGCTTGAATCCAGGAGTCAGAGGTGCAATGAGCCGAGGTCGCACCATTGCACTCTAGTCTGGCAGCAGAGCAAGGCCTTGACAAAAAAAAAAAAAAAAGATAACAAAATATTATTTGTCTTCCAAAAGAAAAGAAAACAAGAAAAAAAAGAGAGAGAAAACATTATTTGTCATGATTGCTGAGCTTTTCGGCATCCCTTAATTTTATTTTATTTTTTTTCTGAGACATGGTCTCACTCTCTTGCCCAGGCTAGAGTGCAGTGGTGCGATCATAGCTAACTACAGCCTTGATCTCCTGGGCTCAAGTGATCCTCCCACCTTGGCCCCCTGAGTAGCTAGGACTGCAGGTGTGCACCACCATGCCCAGCTAATTAAAAAAAAATTTTTTTTTTTTTTTTTGGAGAGACAGGGTCTCAAACTCCTGGGCTCAAGTGATCCTTCTACCTTGGCCTTTCAAAGTGCTGGGATTACAAGCATTGACCAGCCAACTGTCAAACTTTCTTAGCAACCAAACTCTTTTTCAAATGAATAAACACTGCAAAAACTCCCAATATAAGCAATAATTTGTTGTAGCATTTTATTAGTAAAAAGGCATTTCCAATGTTTAAATTAGGATTTATCTACAAAACAATCAATTCTCACTGAGGCTGTGGAGATGGACACAGGCATTTAAAATCAGAATTTGTAGGTGAAATCTTAATTGGTCTCAACATCTACTTTATTTCTGCATTGGGTAAGCCCTTGATTCACAGAGAAGCAGTGGCAAAGAGTAGCTAATTTTTTCAGGGCTCCCTTCACAATTTAATTGGGCTCTTCAGTTAAATCAGTTAAATGAAAATGGCAGAAGAATCCTAAATTATTAGGTTGATGCAAAATTAATTGTGGTTTTTGCCATTACTTTTTTTTTTTTTTTTTTTTGGAGACAGAGTCTCTGTCACTCATGCTGGAGTGCAGTGGTGCGATCTCGGCTCACTGCAACCTCCGCCTCCCGGGTTCAAGCCATTCTCCTGCCTCAGCCTCCCAAGTAGCTGGAATTACAGGTGTACGTCACCACACCAGGCTAATTTTTGTATTTTTGAGTAGAGACAGAGTTTCACCATGTTGACCAGGCTGCTCTTGAACACCTGGCCTCAAGTGATCCACCCGCCTCAGCCTCCCAAAGTGCTGGGATTACAGGCGTGAGCCACCGAGGCTTTTGCCATTATTATTATTATTATGAGATGGAGTCTTGCTCTGTCACCCAGGCTGGAGTGCAGTGGCACAATCTCAGCTCACTGCAACCTCCGCCTCCCGGGTTCAAGTGATTCTCCTGACTCAGCCTCCTGAGTAACTGAGATTACAGGCACTCACCACCATGCCTGGCTGATTTTTGTATTTTTAGTAGAGAAGGGTTTCACCATGTTGTCCAGGCTGGTCTCAAACTCCTGACCTCAGGTGATCCACCTGCCTCGGCCTTCCAAAGAGCTGGGACCACAGGTGTGAGCCACTGTGCCCAGCCAGTTTTTGCCATTATTTTTAATATTTTTAATGGCGAAAACCACAGTTACTTTTTGCACCAACCTTAGTAATCTTCAACACCTTAGAAGCTGCTGCCCAATACATCCAAGCATACATCTTAAAATTACAGTTTAAAATATTTTTAAATGAAATTTGACACTAACATTTGCAGAACTACCAAAACCTGCCTTGGAAAACTGGTTTGGAAAATGGATGAATAAGACAGCAGTAGGGTCTTGTTCAGCTCAAAAGCCTCTGTTTCTAAGGTTGCTTTTATTGAGACTCTATCAGGAATTCCACGGAGGGGAGAAGGGATAGCCACCTTGAAGATTTAGACTATCCTAGCATTAAAGTAAAAGCCTGAGAAGACTGAGAAGGGCTTTTAGAAGGCTGTGGGCAAAGAAGAAAGATCCACTTAAGTGGAATGAAAACAGTTTGACTGTTGAACTTGCACAAGGCAGACAGTTCAAAAGCAAAGCAGGGAGAGATCAGCAGCTCTTTCTACTTCCAAGAGCCTCCAGTTTTTAAGATTAAAAACCCACATCTTTATCCCAAAAGTTTGGGAGCCAAGGAATAGAGAGGGATGAACTATAACATGTTGATTGTTTTACTGCCAGCGTGAGTCCTGAAGTCAGCTCATTAACCAAAGACGCACATGCCAAATGCACTATAGATATAAATTCAACCAATCGCCAACTTTAAAAGTCAGAACATTTTTGCATAAAAGTCTGGATTTCTGGCTTTGCTTATTACAACTGGAAGCACTGACAGCAGTGGGCTTGTTTGGCCATGGTGATTCTGGGCTACAGTCAGGCTGCTCATACCCACCCTAGACACAATCTCTGCCTTCCACATGTCCAGTCTCTGTCTCTCCCTGCTGCTCACCCAGGTGCATGGAAGTGTCTAGATTAGTCACTAGCTCCTGTGAGCATTTGAGTGTGGTGCCTGTGGAAGAGATGGTTGTGCTCTGCAGACTGAAATTGGAGTGAGGTCTAACAGGAATGGGACAGAAGGCTCACTCTCAGAGCTCTTGCACCTTGGACTTGTGACCTGAATCAAATTATAACTACTTCCGCAAGGCTCAGTTTCCTCATCTGTAAAATAGATACAGAAACTCCTGCCCTCCCTAAAGTATGAGTTGTGATGAGGATCAGATGACAGCACCTACAGCTTTATAAACTGTGAGGTTCTGTGGTCCACATCAGTGATTTGCTGTATCTCACATTCATCCGTTCCCCCTTCATCTGGTACCAGAACTCCAGTTTGCATCTCAGGAGTAATCTCTTCTATTCTCAGTCCCAGTGGTGGACATTGGATCAGTCTAGCCGATTAGAGCTCTGCATTCTCCCAGATATAATAATTGGTTTAGGGCTAGGCGTATGGGCCAATTGGGACCAGTAGAGTTGAGGCTAGGACTGTTGGGAAAGAGAAGCTCTCTTTTCTATTGAAATTGGAGACAGCAGCATATTGGCCACCATGTTGCTAACCTGGGGGTGGCAAGTCTGAGAATGAAAATGAAAAAGAGGAAAGAATAATGGAAAGATGAGAAGAGACAAGGTCTGAAGCCATAATCTGAAGCCATGGGTCCAGATATACACCAGCAAACGTATTCTTTTTGCTTTAACTAGATTAAATGGGGCTAACTCACTGGAGCCCCATACCCCCACAGGGTTTTTTTATTTTTATTTTTTTACACTATCAGGCACACTTGTGAGCATTTGTTTGATTTGGTTTCATTTCCCTGGGCACTTTCTGACTCCAAGTCCTGGGGAGCTCCTGCAGCTGCAACTAGCTCCTCTCTCTGCCTGGATTTGACCATCCACATTGCCTTCTTGAAGTTCTTAAGAGGGTCCTGCGGTGAGGCTTTTGCTGAAAGGCACTGGAAATTCTCTCGGATCAGATAACCATGCCTGGTGGGGGCAATGAAGCCACTGGTGGTTGGGATGATTCTGTTTACCACAGCATGGACAAACTGGACTGTCAGCAGGGTGCCTGTAAGGGTGAAGAGAAGGACACAAATGAGAAAAATGGGGTGTAGAGGTCCAATCCTACACATTCCAGAGTTGGCTGCATGGAATAAAATTCCTGCTATGCCCTCTACTAATTTTGGCATGACATTTATTATGCCAAAGAGTCCCTCTTCCTTTATCTGCACAATGGGAATGATAACAGAACCTACACCTGCTCAGGGCGATTTTTAAGATTGAAAGGCATCATGCAGGTCATGTGCTTAGTGTAGGTTTTTGGCCCAGAGTGAGCTCAGTAAATATTATTGTTGAAGGAGGAGAAGGAAGAGAGGTTGTGAACTGGCCCAGGATGGGCTTTTAAGGCCACAGTCCTCAACCTTCATCTTCTGAGCCATCTGTAACTTTATACCAGTTGTATATATCTTTGCTACAGCATATTATACTACAATGTATAATAGTGTTATAGTTTACTATGTATCAGATTACAGTGTATTCAACTACAATGTAGTAGGCTCCACCTGATATTTATTCAGCCACTTACTTGTTTTGTGACCTTGGGCAAGTCTCCTAACCTCTCTGATCCTCAGCTTCTTCATTGTCAAACAAGGATAGCAATGATACTTATCTCCTACTAGTGTCATAAGGGTTCAAAGAGATAATACACAATGAGCGCCTTTTCTATAGGAGACAGTGTAAGAAAGTGACAAAGGCGTACTGAAATCAGGAAGGTCAGCCTCAAACCTAAGCCTACTAGTTACTCACTGTGTGACCTTAGGCAAGTCTGCCAGCCTCTCAGAGCCTCAGTTTTTGCTCTGTAAATGGGAGTGAGTGTTGAGAGAGTTAAATGACTTAAGGACAGTACCCAGTATACAAAAAATGTTAACTCATTTTTTTTGACAGGGTCTCACTCTGTTGCCCAGGCTGGAGTGCAATGGTGCTATCATGGCTCACTGCAGCCTCAATCTCCCACACCTCGACCTCCCATGATCACTTTATCCTCCTGAGTAGCTGGGACTACAAGCATGTACCACCATGCCTGGATAATTTTTAATTTTTTTTTTTTTGTAGAGACAGAGTCTCGCTATGTTGTCCAGACTAGTCTTGAACTCCTGGCCTCAAGCAGTCCTCCTACATCGGCCTCCCAAAGTGCTGGGATTGCAGGCTTGAGCCACTGCACCCAGCCAGTGTTAACTCTTGCTAAGACCTTAGCATAATACTGAACAGACCAAGAGACACGGTGTTTCCAAAGTGGTTGGTCTTAAAACAGGCTGCTTCTGGCCAGGAATGGTGGCTCACATCTCTAATCCCAGCACTTTGGGAGGCCGAGGTGGGTGGATCACCCAAGGTCAGGAGTTCAAGACCAGCCTGGCCAACATGGTGAAACCCTACCTCTACTCAAAATACAAAAATTAGCTGAGTGTGGTGGTGGGCGCCCGTAATCCCAGCTACTCAGGAGGCTGAGGCAGGAGAATCACTTGAACCTGGGAGGCAGAGACTGCAGTGAGCTGAGATTGCACCACTGCACTCCAGCCTGGGTGACAGAGCTAGACTCCATCTCAAAAACAAAAAACAAAAAACAAAAACAGGCTGCTTCTAACATCTATAAGGCGGGGGCAAAGAATGAAATAAGACCCACATCCAAGAAGACACCATATATAAACATTGCAATTCTAGGGAATAAACTATTAAATAGAATATGCTGTGTCCTCTTATATTGATGAAGGAACCTTCACAAACACCTGGAAACAGATTGAGAATTCTTGGGCTCCTCAGGGTTCTATGCTGGAATGTAGTGATGTAACCAGCCCCCCACTACTAGTGACTTGACCCTCTTCTCACTCTTCTCAGCTCCATCTCACAACCAACTCAGACACCCAAACTCCATCCATACCACCCCATGGCTACTCCTGAGCCCAGAAGTGCACACACCAGGAGCCCAGTCTATCCTCGGAAGGATGGCTGTATGCAGGAAGCCTGTGCATGCCCTAATGAAAACTCAAGGGAGGGAGTTCTCGAACTCCAGAGCATGGGTCTAGAAGAGGGATTGTGGGCCCTTTGCCTTTGCCTGCAGACACCTTCCTAAAAGCTAAGGGATGCAGCTAGAGGTGGCCAGAGCAGGGCCCTCTAATGCCCAGGACCCAGGTCAGAGCCTTTTCTCTCCAGATCGAAGCTCAATCCTGCCCTAAAAGCAAAATGACTCACCATCCAGCACACTCCAAACAAGTATAGAGCGATCCTTTAAGCCCACGTACACATACTTGTCATCCTTGGAGAAGCAAGCACATTGGACCCCTCTGCAGTAAGAACTCTGTTGAAAACAGACAATATGATCTCTCTTTTTCTTGGGTTTTTTGTTTGTTTGTTTGTTTGTTTGTTTGTTTTTGAGATGGAGTTTCACTCTTGTTGCCCAGGCTGGAGTGCAGTGGTGTGATCTCAGCTCACTGCAACCTCCACCTCCCAGGTTCAAGCGATTCTCCTGCCTCAGCCTCCCAAGTAGCTAGGATTACAGGCATGAGCCACCATGCCTGGCTAATTTTTGTATTTTGAGTAGAAATGGGGTTTCACCATGTTGGCCAGGCTGGTCTCCAACTCCTCACCTCAGGTGATCCACTAGCCTTGGTCTCGCAAAGTGCTGGGATTACAGGTGTGAGCCAACGTGCCTGACCCAGACAATATGATCTTGATTCCAAACTGAAAGACACCCAGGAAACCAGCCCCAAGGAACCAGGCCTTTTTTTTGTTTTTGTTTTTTTTTAACAGGTCTGACCCAGGCTGGAGTGCAGTGATGCCATCTCGGCTTGACTGCAACCTCCACCTCCTGGTTTCAAGCTATCCTCCTGCCTCAACCTCTCAAGTAGCAGGGATTACAAGTGTGTGCCACCACACCTGGCTAATTTTTGTATTTTTAGTAGAGACAGGGTTTCACCATGTTGCCCAGGCTGGTGGTGAACTGACCTCAAGTGATCTGCCTGCCTCGGCTTCCCGAAGTGCTGAGATTACAGGCATGAGCCACTATGCCTGTTTTTTGTTTTTGTTTTTGATGGAATCTCGCTCTGTTCCTGAGGCTGAGGTGCAGTAGCCTGATCTCGGCTCACTGCAACCTCCGTCTCCTGGGTTTAAGCGATTCCTCTGCCTCAGCCTTCCAGGTAGCTGGGACTACAAGCTCCTGCCACCATGCCCAACTAATTTTTGTGTTTTTAGTAGAGAAGGGGTTTCATCATGTTGGCCAGGCTGGTCCCAAACTCCTGACCTCAGAACCAGGCTTTGAAGCGCCCCACAGGGGGATGGATCCAATGAAAACCTGGAGAGATGAGCAGCACAGATACTACCCCAACCCAGGCACACCTCCATAGAGATTGGATAGAAAGGTTTAGATACATTTTGCACTGAAAGGAACAATTGTAGGACTCAATTTCTTTTTTCTTTTCTTTTCTTTTTTCTTTCTTTCTTTCTTTTTTTTTTTTTTCTGAGACAGAGTCTCGCTCTTGTTGCCCTGGCTGAAGTGCAATATCACGATCTTGGCTCACTGCAACCTCCATCTCCTGGGTTCAAGCGATTCTCTTGCCTCAACCTCCCAAGTAGCTGGGATTACAGGCATGCACCACCATGCCCGGCTAATTTTTGTATTTTTATGAGAGATGAGGTTTCACCATGTTGGTCAGGCTGGTCTCGAACTCCTGACCTCAAGTGATCCACCCGCCTCAGCCTCCCAAAGTGCTAGGATTACAGGCATGAGCCACTGTGCCTGGCCATAGGATTCAATTTCTTTTTTCGATGGGGATTCAATTTCTTAAATTACTTTGGTTATACGGATGTTAGCTATGATTGTATTTAATTAAAAGCTATGTGCTAATCTCACATGGAATCCTGGATTGGATTCTAGAATGGAAAAAAGGAATGAATTGAAAAGCTGGTAAGATTCCAATAAAGGCTGGATGTGATAGCTCACACCTGTAATCCCAGCACTTTGGGAAGCCAAGGTGGGTGGGTGAAACCCTGTCTCTACAAAAAATTAAAAAATTAGCCAGGTGCAGTGGCACATGCCTGTAGTCCCAGCTACTTAGGAGGCTGAGGTGGAAGAATCACCTGAACCCAGGAGGCGGAGGCTACAGTGAACTATGATTGCACCACTGCACTACAGCCTGGCTCACAGAGTAAGACCCTGCCTCAAAAATAAATAAATGAATAAATAACAAAAAATAAAAAATTCCCATAAGGTTGACAGTTTAATTAATAGTACTGTTCACATGTTAATTTCTTCATTTTTGTTTATTAGTTAGTTTTGCTCGAGAGACAGAATCTTGTATCGTCATCCAGGGTGGAGTGCAGTGGCGAGATCATAGCTCACTACAGCCTCGAACTCCAGGGCTCAATCGATCCTCCCACCTCAGCCTCCTAACTAGCTGGGACTACAGGCACACACCTCCACACCTGGCTAATTTTTTTTTCTAGAGATGGGATCTTGCTGTGTTGCTGAGGCTGGTCTTGAAATCCTGAGCTCAAGCAATCCCCCTGCCTCGGCCTCCCAAAGTGCTGGGATTACAGGCATGAGTTGCTGTGCCTAATCTAGACTTACAAGGCCTTCTTTTTCTTTCTTTTTTTTTTTTTTTTTTTTGAGATGGAGTCTCACTCTGTCGCCCAGGCTGGAGTGTAGTGGCGTGTTCTCGGCTCACTGCAGCCTCTGCCTTCCAGGTTCCAGTGATTCTCCTGCCTCGGCCTCCCGGGTAGCCGGGATTACAGGCACATACCACCATGCAGGGCTAATTTTTGTATTTTTAGTAGAGACAGGGTTTCACCATGTTGGCTAGGCTGGTCTCGAACCCCTAACCTCAGGTGATCCACCCGCCTCAGCCTCCCAAAGTGCTGGGATTACAGGTGTGAGCCATGGTGCCCAGCCTTACATGGCTTTCTTAAGCAGCAGCCCTTGCCATTTATTGAGCATCAAGGAAATGTCAGGAGTTCTCCTAGGAACAAGGGAAACTTCAGTGAGCAAAACACACACACAAAAAAATCCTTTTGCCCAGACAGAGCTCACTGTGTCTTCCCAACTACAAAGTGGCTCCAAGACATGGGATAGAGTCTCCCTGTGACCAGGCAGATAGAAAGGGGTGATAGAAAAGCAACCCTTGTGATAGAAAGGGGTCCTGGCAGAGGTTTTTCAATAAGTATCAGTTGGATAAAGAAATAGCACGGAGCAGCCAGGCACGGTGGCTCATGACTGTAATCCCAGCACTTTGTGAGGCCAAGGTGGGCGGATCACGAGGTCAGGAGATTGAGACCATCCTGGCTAACACGGTGAAACCCCATCTCTACCAAAAAAATACAAAAAAATTAGCCAGGCGTGGTGGCGGGCACCTGTAGTCCCAGCTACTCGGGAGGCTGAGGCAGGAGAATGGCATAAACCCGGGAGGCAGAGCTTGTAGTGAGCCGAGATCGCACCACTGCACTCCAGCCTGGGTGACAGAGCAAGACTCCATCTCAAAAAAAAAAAAAGAAAAAGAAAAAGAAAAAAAAAAAGAAATAGCACAGAGCCAGGATTAGGGTGAAGAGAGTGAAGCAGCACTAAGCCAGTGCAGGATTTGATCCAGTTTTTACCTATAATGTTGAGATTTTGTTCTTCATGGAATTTTGGTATTCATTTTAGATTTTTAAAAATATTGCATTAAAATATTACTTCTTGGCCAGGTGCAGTGGCTCAAACCTGTAATCCCAGCACTTTGGGAGGCCAAGGCAGGTCACTTGAGGCCAGGAGTTCAGCCTGGACAACATGGCAAAACCCCTTCTCTACTAAAAACACAAAAATTAGCTGGGCATGGTGGTGCTTATCTGTAATCCCAGCTACTTGGGAGGCCGAGGCGGGAGAGTTGCTTGAACCCGGGAGGCTGCAGTGAGCTGAGATGGCGCCACTGCATTCCAGCCTGGGTGACAGAGCAAGACTCCATCTCAAAAAAAAAAAATTATTTATCTTCATTGCTGAGTTTTTGTTTTTTGTTTTCTTGAGACAGGCCTTGCTCTATCACCCAGGCTAGAGAGCAGTGGCATCCGGGCTCAATCAATCCTTCCGCCTCAGCCCTCCAAGTAGCTGGATCACAGGTGCACATCACCATGCCCAGCTAATTTTTGCATTTGTTTGTAGAGATAAGGTCTCCCTATGTTGCCCAGGCTGGTCTCCAGCTCCTGGCCTCAAGTGATCCTCCTTCCTGGGCCTCCCAAAGTGCCGGGTGAGCCACTGCACCTGGCCTACCATTGCTGAGCTTTTTGGTACTCCTTTGAACTTTGTAGCCAGGTCCGGTGGGTCATGCCTGAAATCCCAGTGCTTTGGGAGGCTGAGGCGGGAGGATCACTGGAGCCCAGGAGATTGAGGCTGCAATGAGCTATGATTGTGCCACTGTACTACAGCCTCGTGACAGTGGGGTCCCTGTCTCTTTAAAAAAAAAATGAAAACAAAAAAAACTTTGCTTCTGAGACAAATGCCTCACTTTTCTTTTCTTTTCTTTTCTTTTTTTTTTAAACGGAGTGTCTGTAGTCAGGCTGGAGTGCAGTGGCGTGATCTTGGCTCACTGCAACCTCTGCCTCCCAATTTCAAGCGATTCTCCTGCCTCAGCCCCCCAAGTAGCTGAGATTACAAGCATGCAACACCACACCTGGCTAATTTTTGTATTTTTAGTAGAGACGGGGTTTCACCATGTTGGCCAGGCTGGTCTTGAACTCCCGATCTCAGGTGATCCGCCTGCCTCAGCCTCCAAAAGTACTGGGATTACAGGCGTGAGCCACTGCGCCTGACCAAGTGCCTCATTTTCATCACCCCAGTCCCATCCTGGTCGATGGCCCATGGTGTGTGCTTAGTAAATGATGGCTATCTATCAGTTTTCCAATGCCTGGGTCTAGCATGAACATGGGGAGGCGGGCCACCCACCGTGTAGCTCATCTCGAATTTCCACTTGCGTGCCTGCAGGTCCCAGAGACACAGCAGGGCATCCTCAGACCCGCTGACCACCAGCTGCTCCTTGTGGCTGACCTCCACACAGGCAACTCGGCTCCTGTGGGTCTCCAAGGGAAACGCTTTGGAAGTTGCACACTCGTAAAGAAAGAGGTCCCCATTGGTCATGCTGTAGACCACGCGGTAGTCCGTCAGAATGGCCACGCTGGAGAGGGTCTCGGGCAGCTGAGTGTAAAAGGTGTATCTTGGCCCATCGATGACCGGGCAGGGGTCCCCGGAGGTGATGTCCAGCACCAGGACGATGTTGTCATAGGCGATGGCCAGGCGGTCCTCGCACTTGCTCAGGGACATGCAGTTGATTGCTTTCCGGGCCTCGGGAGGGGGAATGCATATCACGTCCTGCCTGGAATTCAGGGGGAACACAAGGACGACCCCCGACACGAGGCCCGTAAATAGGAGCTTGCGCTGCTCAGCAACCTCCAGACACCTGATCTCACTGGAGGTGTCCAGGGAATCTTGTTCCTCGCCTGCCAGGGAAGAAAAATGAGAATGACTTACACTGAGAGTGAATCACAGCAGCCCTGCTTCCCTGGTGGTTTTTTTTGTTTTGTTTTGTTTTTGAGATGGAGTCTCACTCTGTTGCCCAGGCTGTAGTGCAATAGCACGATCTCAGGTCACCGTAACCTCCACCTCCTGGATTCAAGCAATCCTCCTGCCGCAGCCTCCCGAGTAGCTGGGATTACAAGTGTGTGCCACCACGCCCAGCTAATTTTGTATTTTTAGTAAAGGTGGGGTTTCTCCATGTTGGCCAGGCTGGTCTCTAACTCCCAACCTCAGGTGATCCACCCACCTTGGCCTCCCAAAGTGCTGGGATTACAGGCGTGAGCCACCACACCCGGCCTGGTGTTCATATTTTCTTTCTTTCTTTTTTTTTTTTTTTTTGAGACAGTATTCTGGAGTGCAGTGGCGAGACTGAAGCTCACTGCAGCCTCCAACTTTTGGACTCAAGTGATTCTCCTGCCTCAGCCTCCTGAGTAGCTGAGACTACAGGCGCCTGCCACTGTGCCCTACTAATTTTTTTATTTTTTGTTTTTTTTAGACAGAGTCTGGCTTCGTTGTCCAGGCTGGAGCGCAGTGGCACAATCTCGGCTCACTGTAACCTCTGCCTCCCAGATTCCAGCAATTCTCCCACCTCAGTCTCCCGGGTAGCTGGGACTAGAGGTGCGCACCACCACGCCCAGCTAATTTGTTTGTATTTTTAGTAGAGACGGGGTTTCGCTATATTGGCCAGGCTGGTCTTGAACTCCTGACCTCAAGTGATCCGCCCGCCTCGGCCTCCCAAAATGCTGGGATTACAGGCATGAGCCATCGCGCCCAGCCTATTTATGTATTTATTTATTAAGAGACGGAGTCTCACTCTGTTGCCCGGGCTGGAGTGCAGTGGCACGAACATGGCTCACTGCAGCCTCAACCTCTCAGGCTCTAGTGATTTTCCCACCTCAGCCCCCCAAGTAACTGGGACTACAGGCTCGGGCCACCACGCCCAGCTAATTTTTGTAGAGATGGGATTTTACCATGTTGCCCAGGCTATTCTTGAACTCCAGGGCTCAAACGATCCTCCCACCTTTGCCTCCCAAAGTACTGGGATTACAGGCATGAGCCACCATGAATTGTCCCATCTTGAAGCAAGGGGGCCAGACTTTTGTATTCCCACATCAGGCAGTCATTGACTGGGGCCATTTCAGGGGCGGTGGCCACATCCCCCTGCCATTTCCAGTTGAGAGGCTTCTTTCATCAGTGGGCAATTCCCAGGAGTAAAATGAAGGTGGGGGCACTGCTGGGTCTGCGAGAATTGGACAGTGAGGGATTTCTGAGTTTCTCACCAACAGTACTTGGCACAGTCCTGCTGGGAGGATAGAGGTATAGAAACTCCTGTTAATGGCAGGGCGTGGTGACTCACGTCTGTAATCCAAGCACTTTGGGAGGCCGAGGTGGATGGATCACCTGAGGTCAGGAGTTTGAGACCAGTCTGGCCAACATGGCAAAACCCTGTCTCTACCAAAAATACAAAAATTAACCAGGCGTGGTGGCAGGCACCTGTAATCCCAGCTACTTGGAAGGGAGGCTGAGGCAGGAGAATCGCTTGAACCCAGGAGGTGGAGGTTGCAGTGTGTCAAGATTACGCCACTGCACTCCAGCCCGGGCAACAGATGGAAACTCCCTCTCAAAAAAAAAAGAAGAAAAGAAAGAAAAAGAAAAAAGAAACTCCTTGTTAATGATGAAATAATAGGAGAAAGGAATCCTGATTTTCAAGCTGATTCTCAACTTCATTCAGTCGTTAATTTGGCAAACATTTTTAGAGTAACAGCCCACTAGGCAAAGCTCTGGGGGTTGGCAGGGAGCAAATCAAGTGAGGTTACAATTCTCGAGGTGCTTGTTTGCTGGTTGCAGGGTGAACCAGGGCCCAAGGAAATGGAGAGATGCCAGGTGCAGTGGCTCATGCCTGTAATCCCATCTATTCAGGAGGCTGAAGTGAGAGGATGGCTTGAGACCAGGAGTTCAAGACCAGTCTGGGCAAAAGAGTGAGACCCCTGCCTCTGCAAAAACATTAAAAAAATTAACCAGGTATGGTGGTGTGCGCCTCTAATCCCAGCACTTTGGGAGGCTGAGGCAGGCAGATTGCTTGAGCCCAGGAGGTCAAGACCACCCTGGGCAAGATAGAGAGACCTTATCTCTACAAAACACACAAAATTTGGCTGGGCACAGTGGTGCACACCTGTAATCCTAGCACTTTGGGAGGCCGAGGCAGGTGGATCACTTGAGGTCAGGAGTTCGAGACTAGCCTGGCCAACACGGTGAAACCCCATCTCTACTAAAAATACAAAAATAAGCCAGGCATTGTGCTGCACACCTGTAATCTCAGCTACTCGGGAGGCTGAGGCAGGAGAATTGCTTGAACCCGGGAGGCGGAGGTTGCAGTGAACTGAGATCACGCCACTGCACTCCAGCCTGGGTGACAGAGCGAGACTCCATCTCAAACAAAAGAACAACAACAAAAATAAAATAAAATAAAAATAAAAATAAATAAATAAATAAATATTTTTAAAAATTTTAAAGTCTCCAGGAGTCAGGCATGGTGGTGCACCTGTGGTTCCAGCTACTCAGGAGGCTGAGGCAGGAAGATCGCTTGAGCCCAGGAGTTCGAGGCTGCACTGAGCCGTCATTGTACCTCTTCACTCCAGCCTAGACAGTAGAGTGAGCCCTGACTCTTAAATAAGACAGAACAACAAAAAAAAGAGGCCCCAGGGAGCTTCTTTGCCCCTTTCTACCATGTGAGGACAAAGAAAATCTGGCCATCCATGACCCAGAAAGAGGACACTCACCAGATACCAAATTTAAAAAAAAATTAATTTAACCCAAGACAACAAAGTTGCTGGCACCTTGATCTTGGACTCCCCAGCCTCCTCCAGAAATATGATAAACAAATTTCTATTCTTTCTTTAAATTAAAAAAAAAAACAGAGAGACAGGGTCTCTGTTGCCCAGGCTGGAGTGCAGTGGCATTATCATAGCTCACTGCAGCCTTGAACTCCACGGCTCAAGCAATCCTCCTGCCTCAGACTCTGGAGTAACTAGGACTACAGGCATGTACCACCAAGCCCGATACCTTTTAAATTTTTTTGTAGAGGTGGGGTCTCACTATGTTGCCCAGGCTGGTCTCAAACTTCTGGTCTCGAACTTCTGGCCTCAAGTGATCCTCTCTCCTCAGCCTCCTAAAGTGCTGGGATTACAGGCATGAGCCACCACACCTGGCCCCATTTGCTATTCTTTCTAAGCCACCCAATCCATGGCATTCTGTTATAGTGGCCGGAATTGACTAAGACTGGTGCTCTACCTCTTCCAGGGCTCCCCATGGAATGATGCTGAGAGGGACTTTAGCTGAGCCTGCATTCTTGCTCAACCCTTTCCCCCGCCAGCCCCATTTTCTCATCTCCCTCTGGGGTTCTCCTGGAAACACCCCTCAATACATCACTTGTGCAAATATCCTCATCACAGATTCAGCTTCTAGGTAACCTGAATTAAAACAGGCCAAACGGAAACAACCAGATTGCCAACTACCTCATGCAGAAAATGTATAAAATGAAATCCTGTTTTTGACCAGCTACTTTCTTTTTCTTTTTTTTTTCGGGTGGTGGAGTCTCACTCTGTTGCCAAAGCTGGAGTGCAGTGGCATGGTCTTGGCTCACTGCAGCCTCCACCTCCCAGGTTCAAGCAATTATCCTGCCTCAGCCTCCCCAGTAGCTGGGATTACAGGCACACACCACCACGCCCAGATAATTTTTTTTTTTTTTTTTTTTAAGTAGAGTTGGGGTTTCGCCATGTTGGCCAGGCTGGTCTCCAACTCCTGACCTCAAATGATCCGCCCACCTCAGCCTCCCAAAGTTCTGGGATTACAGGTGTGAGCCACCACACCTGGCCATGACTAGCTAGTTTCCACCTGATTGAAGTTATAGGCGTGTTATGGACTGAAGATTTGTGTCCCCCTGACAAATTCCTATGTTAAAATCATCACCCTCTGTGGAATGGTATCAGGAGCTTGGGCCTGTCTTAGTTCATTGGTGTTGCTAATGAAAACCTGTTTTTGACTAGCTACTTTCTACCTGATTGAAGTTATAGGAATGTTATGGACTGAAGATTTGTGTCCCCACCCCCCCACCAAATTCCTATGTCAAAATCCTCACTCCCCATAGGATGGTATTAGGAGCTGGGGCCTGTCTAAGTCTGTTGGTGTTGCTATGAAGGACTACCTGAGGCTGGGTAACTGAGATGGTTTGGCTGTGTCCCCACCCAAATCTCATTTTGAATTGCAATAATTCCCACAGGTCAAGGCCGAGGCCAGCTGGAGATAATTGAATCATGGAGGCAGTCTCCCCCATACTGTTCTTGTGGTAGCGAATAAGTCTCATGAGATCTGATGGTTTTGTAAAGGGCAATTCCCCTGCACACACTCTCTTGCCTGCCACCATGTAAGACGTGACTTTGCTCCTCATTTGCCTTCTGCCATGATTGTGAGGCCTTCCCAGCCATGTGCAAATGTGAGTCCATTAAACCTCTTTCCTTTACAAATTACCCAGTCTCAGGTATGTCTTTTTTTTTTTTTTTTTTGAGACAGAGTCTGACTCTTGCCCAGGCTGGAGTGCAGTAGCAAGATCTTGGCTCACTGCAATTGCCACCTCCTGGGTTCAAGCGATTTCTGGCTAAGTTTTGGAATTTTAGTAGAGACAGGGTTTTACCATGTTGGCCAGGCTAGTCTCGAACACCTGACCTCAAATGATGCGCCTGCCTTGGCCTCCCAAAGTGCTGGGATTACAGGTGTGAGCCAGCAGGCCCGGCCTCAGGTATGTCTTTATTAGCAGTGTGAGAACAGACTAATACAGTAATGCATAATTATGAATAAGAGGTTTATGTGGCTCATTGTTCTGCAGGCTGTACAGGAAGCATGGTGCCAGCTTCTGCTTCTGGTGAGGGCCCCAGGCTGCTTCTTCTTAATACAAAAGGTGAAGGGGGTTGGGGTGTGCAGAGGTCATACGGCCAGAGGAAGCAAGAGAGAGGGAAGTGCTAGCTTCCTTTTTTTTTTTTTTTTTTTTTTAATTGAGATAGGGTCTTGCTCTGTCACCTAGGCTGGAGTGCAGTGGTGCAATCACAGTTCACTGCAGCCTCAAATTCCTGGGCTCAAGCGATCATCCTGCCTCCATCTCTCAAGTAGCTGAGACTACAGGTGAATATCACCATGCCCAGCTCATTATTTTTATTTTTATTTTTATTTATTTATTTATTTTTGAGACAGAGTCTTGCTCTGTCACCCAGGCTGGAGTGCAATGGTGCTCAATGCAACCTCTGCCTGCCGGGCTCAAGCGATTCTCCTGCCTCCCTCCTGAACAGCTGGGATTACAGGTGCCCGCCACCACGTCCGGCTAATTTTTGTATTTTTAGTAGAGATGGGGTTTCACCATGTTGGCCAGGCTAGTCTTGAGCTCCTGACCTCGTGATCCACCCAACTCAGCCTCCCAAAGTGCTGGGACTACAGGCGTGAGCCACCATGCCCGGCCATTATTTTTATTTTTATTGCGACAAGGTCCATGTTGCCCAGGCTGGTCTTGAACTCCCGGCCTCAAGCAATCTTCCTGTTTCTGCCTCCTGAGTAGCTGGGGTCAGGTTCTTTTTAACAACCTCGCGAGAACTAACAGAGTTAGAACTTACTCACCACCACCACTGCCTTGCCAGGAGAGGGCATTAATCTATCCACGAGGGATGTGTCCTTATGACTCAAACACCTCCCGTGAGGCCTCCCTCCAACACTGGGGATTAAATTTCTTTTTTTATTGTTGTTTTGTTTTCAAACAGGGTCTTGTTCTGTCGTCCAGGCTGGAGTGCAGTGGCACAATCTCAGCTCACTGCAACTTCTGCCTCCTGGGCTCAAGTGATCCTACCACCACAGCCTCCCAAGTAGCTTGGACTACAGATGTGAGCCACTACACCGAGCTAATTTTTGTCTTTTATGTAGAGACGTCTGGTCTCAAACTCCTGAGCTCAAGTGATCCGCCCACCTCAGCCACCCAAAGTGCTGGGATCACAGGTGTGAGCCATCACGCCTGGCTTTTTTGTTTGTTTTTAGAGACAGGGTCTCACTCTGTCACCCAGGCTGGAGTGCAGTAGTGCGATCATGACTCACTGTAGCCTCAACTTCCCAGGCTCAAGCGATCCTCCCACCTTAGCCCCCAAAATAGCTAGAACAACAAGCACATGCCACCATATCCAGCTAATTTTTTTTTTGAGACAGAGTTTTGCTCTTGTTGCCCAGGCTGGAGTGCAATGGCGTGATCTCGGCTCACTGCAACCTCTGCCTCCCAGGTTCAAGCTATTCTTCTGCCTCAGCCTCCTGAGTAGCTGGGATTACAGGCATGCACCACCACGCCCAGCTAATTTTGTATTGCTTTAGTGGAGGTGGGGTTTTTCCATGTTGGTCAGGCTGGTCTCGAACTCCCGACCTCAAGTGATCTGCCTGCCTTGGCCTCCCAAAGTGCTGGTATTAGAGGTGTGACCCACCATGACTGGCCACATCCAGCTATTTTTTAAATTTTTAGTAGAAATGGCATCCTCTCATCTTGCCCAGGTGTTCTTGAACCCTAAGCTCAAACAATCCTACTGCCTCGGCCTCCCAGAGTGCTGTGATTATAGGTTTAAGCCACCATGGCCAGCCGGATATTAAATGCCAACATCTGGTTTGTAGGGCCAAACCTCCGAACTGTAGCAGAGTGACAGGGAAGTGATTAGATCATGAATGTGGGGCGTTCCTGAATAGGATTAGTGCCCTTATAAGAAGAGACACAAGAGATTTCTCTCTCTCTCTGGGGACACATCAAGAAGATGGCCATCTGTGAACCAGGAAACGGGTCCTCACCAGACACGAGATCTGCTTGCACTTTGATCTGGAACTTCCCAGCCTCCAGAATGTTGAGGAATAATGTTTCTTGCTTATGCCACCCAGTCTATGGGGATAATTTATTTTATTTTATTTTTCTGGGACAGAGTCTCACTCTGTCGCCCAGGCCGGAGTGCAGAGTCAGGATCCCGGCTCACTGCAGTCTTCGCCTCCCAGGTTCAAACAATTCTGCCTCAGCCTCGCAAGTAGCTGGGGATACAGGCATGTGCCACCATGCCCGGCTAACTTTTGTATTTTTAGTAGAGACAGGGTTTTGCCATGTTGGCCAGGCTGGTCTTGAACTCCTGACCTCAGGTGATCCACCCGCCAAGGCCTCCCAAAGTCCTGGGATTACAGGCGTGAGCCATGGGGCCCAGCCTGTGGGGATGATTTGTTACAGTAGCCTAAACTAAGACAGATGGCTCCAAGCCTTACCCACAAAAATGACCATACTTATACCTTACCAACCTTCTGCCAAGTCCCAAATAGTGACTTTGTTTTTGTCCCCAATTTTGGGGAAGTAGACGTAGCTTCCATTGTGGGACACTGCGGTGAGGCCGGTGCGGTCCAGAAATGGTGCAGGCACCCGGGACCTATGAGCATCGCTGAGATCCCAGACCTTGAAAGATGAGGACTGTGGGGAAGCAGATGCCACCAAAGCCCCGCCGCGGGCCAGCAGGCTCACGGGGGCCCCGACGCCTTCCAGGATGTCCAGAAGGGTCCCCTGTTCTGACAGACTCCACACCTGAGGAAGCAGAACAGGAGGGCAGATCTGACATCTTCTGTGGACAACTATAGTTCAGAAATACGCTTCAGCCCATTGGGCCAGGCGCGGTGGCTCACGCCTGTAATCCCAACACTTTGGGAGGCTGAGGCAGGTGGATCACCTGAGGTCAGGAGTTCGAGACCAGCCTGACCAACATGGAGAAACCCCATCTCTAATAAAAATACAAAAAATTAGCCAGGCTTGGTGGTGCATGCCTGTAATCCCAGCTACTCAGGAGGCTGAGGCAGGAGAATCGCTTGAACCCGGGAGGTGGAGTTTGCAATGAGCCAAGATCGTGCCATTGCACGCAAGCCTGGGCAACAAGAATGAAACTCCGTCTCAAAAAAAATAAAAATAAAAATAAATAAATAGGCCAGGTGCAGTGGCTCACACCTGTAATCCCAGCACTTTGGAAGGCTGAGGCGGGTGGATCATGAGGTCAGGAGATCAAGACCATCCTGGCCAACATGGTGAAACCCCATCTCTACTAAAAATACAAAAATCAGCCAAGCGTGGTGGTGCACACCTGTAATCGCAGTTACTCGGGAGGCTGAGGCAGGAGACTCACTTGAACCTGGGAGGCAGAGATTGCAGTGAGCTGAGATTGCGCCACTGCACTTCAGGCTGGCAACAGAGTGAGACTCCGTCAAAATAAAAATAAAAATAAATAAATAAGAAAATAAGAAATACACTTCAGCCCATTCATAAACCTAAGGTGAATTTTCAGGCTGTAAGTTCAAGGGCCTTCACATCTTCCCATTCCTTTAACTTACTCAGGCTTGAACCCATCAGCTTCCAGAGCAGTTCCCAAAGTGTGTTCCAGGGAACTCCTGGAGGGTGCCCTGTAAACCTTTTTTAGAGGGTGCCCTGTAAACCTTTTTTAGAGGGTCTGGAAGCTCAAAACTTTTAATGTTTTTTTTTTTTTAATTATTTTATTCTAGCCAGACATGGTGGCTCACGCCTGTAATCCCAGCACTTTGGGAGGCCAAGGCAGCTGATCACCTGAGGTCAGGAGTTTGAGACCAGCCTGGCCAACATGGCGGAACCCCGTCTCTACTAAAAATACAAAAATTAACCAGGCATGGTGGTGGGTGCCTGAAATCCCAGCTACTTGCGAGGCTGAGGCAGGAGAATTGCTTGAACCCAGGAGGTCGAGGTTGCAGTGAGCTGAGATCATGCCACACTGCCCTCCAGCCTGGGCGACTGAGTGAGACTTGGTCTCAAAAAATAAAGAAAATTATTCTTATTTTTTTGGAGACAGGTTCTTGTTTTGTCACCCAGGCTGAAGTGCAGTGGCGTAATCACAGCTCACTGCAGCCTCTACCTCCCAGGCTCATGTGATCCTCCCACCTCAGATTCCTGAGTAGCTAGGACTACAGGCACATGC
This sequence comes from Homo sapiens, assembly GCF_000001405.40. Classification (NCBI taxonomy): domain Eukaryota; kingdom Metazoa; phylum Chordata; class Mammalia; order Primates; family Hominidae; genus Homo; species Homo sapiens. The sequence continues at coordinate 16,798,477 of NC_000019.10, read as the reverse complement.
CATGACGCCCGGCTAATTTTTGTGTTTTTTTGTAGAGATTGGGTCTTGCTATGTTGCCCAGGCTGGTCTCGAACTCCTGGGCCCAAGTGATCCACCTGCCTTGGCCTTCCAAAGTGCTGGGATTACAGGCATGAGCCACTGTGCACAGTCTATTTATCAATTTCTTTAAAACTGGAAAAAATAGCTCATAAGAAGGAGGGGGAAAAAAAGAGAACTTCAAGAGGCCTGAGACTAAAACACTGAAGATCTGCTATTTCACCATCTACTTTTCTCTCCAGCTTGGACAACTTTGAACTTAAATTGAGAATTTTCCTCCCCCACAACCCTGCTCCACTCTGAAGGCACAAATCTGCCCCCAAGGTTTGAGGATCAGTTTGGGAATGCTACCTCCTTTGTTGAACATTTCAGTAATTCTCACCCAGGTCTGCCACTGGGGCGGAGGATACACCCCCATATCCTCCCAATGAACTCACCTATTTTGCCTGCACTCATTTTTGTGGGTGTCTGTATTTTGCAGCCAAAAATCCCTAAAGAATCAGTGTCTGTTCCCGAGGTGGAGGTGAGGATGAAGGGTCCCAGATCTCCCCTCACCTGAATGAGCGCATCAAGGGACCCCGTGATGATCAGGTTGTTCTCAGTACCAAAAACAGCCGTCTCCACCATGTCTTCATGTTCCAGATCCATGGCCATGAATCGGCGAAAGCCCCTCGAGTCCGCCAAGAATATCCGCACCGATCTTCCAAAGCCTGAAACGGCAGGAACTGGGGTTACACCTCTCATGTCCAGAGGAGATTGAGGGTCATTCCTTCCATCAACAGAGGTGTTTTGGAGGCCGGATGTGGTGGTTCATGCCTGTAATCCCAGCACTTTGGGACGCCAAGGCGGGCAGATCACTCGAGGTCAGGAGTTCGAGATCAGCCTGGCCAACATGGTGAACCCCGATGTTTCATGTATTTTATTCTCTACTAAAAATACAAAAATTAGCCAGGTGTGGTGGCACATGCATGTAATCCCAGCTACTCAGGAGGCCGAGGCAGGAGAATTGCTTGAGCCCAGGAGGCAGAGGCTGCAGTAAGCTGAGATTGCACCACTACACTCCAGCCTGGGCAACAGAGCCAGACTCTGTCTCAAAAAAAAAAAAAAAAAAAAGAGATGTTTTGGAACCCCTGCTAGGTGCCAGGAGAAGGGATCCAGGACGGGGAAGGTGGATTCAGTCCTGTCCCCATCTGCACATAGCCCACAGCTGGTTGGGGGAGGGCCTGACTTCTGTAATCACTCATCAATTTTTTTTTTTTTTTGAGATGGAGTCTCGCTCTGTCACTGAGGCTGGAGTGCAGTGGCATGATCTTGGCTCACTGCAACCTCTGCCTCCTGGGTTCAAGCGATTCTCCTGCCTCAGCTTCCTGAGTAGCTGGGCTTGTAGGTGCTGACCACCATGCCTGGCTAAATTTTGTATTTTTTAGTAGATACCAGGTTTCACCATGCTGGCCAAGCTGGTCTCAAACTCCTGATCTCAAGTGATCCGCCCACCTCGGACTTCCAATGTGCTGGGATTACAGGCCTGAGCCACCGTACCCAGCCAGTAATCACTCATCTTAAGGAAACTTGTAAAGTTATTATAATGAAACTGTAAGTTCCTGGAGGGCAGGGACTGCCTATTTGGCTCATCATGGTATCTCAGAAACTAGCACAAAGCTGGGCACACAGCAGGCCTTTGATAACTATGATGGAAGGAAGGGAGGAAGGAGAGAGGAGAGTCAAGGAGGTAGAGAGGAAGAAAAGTAAAGAGGAAGGGAGGAAGGAGAGAAATGAGAAGGGGAAGAAGGAAGGAAGAAGAGGAAAGAAAGTAAGAAGGGAGAAAGGAAGGGATAGCGGCAGGAGGCAGGCAAATGCCTAGGCAGATAGGAATGGGTCCCCAGTGAAACTGTACCTTTGAACCAAAAACAGCCTGGGCTGCTGTTTCCAAATGAAATCCACAACCCAGAGTGAGAACTCCTGTTCCTGTTTGCCCACCCTTTCCTGATTGATTCTTTCTGAATAAGACTTTTGTGGCAGTGGCATGATCTTGGCTCACTGCAATCTTCACCTCCTGGGTTTAAGCAATTCTCCCACCTCATCCTCCCGAGTAGCTGGGATTACAGGCGCCTGCCACCATGCCCAGTTAATTTTTGTATTTTTAGTAGAGACAGGGTTTCACCATGATCATCAGAAGTTCAGATCAGAAGTTCACTGATCTGAACTTCTGATCTCAGGTGATGGCCCACCTTGGCCTCCCAAAGTGCTGGAATTACAGGCGTGAGCCACTGCACCTGGCCTGAATAATGCTTTTTAACCAATTGAATGTTACGTTTTCCAATACTACCTACCACCTGCCCCTCCCCCATCCTGTGCCTATAAAAACGCCCAGACTCAGCCACACTGAGAGAGATGACCCAACCTTCACATCCCCTCTCCCCTGAGAGCTGTTTTGTTGCTCAATAAAATTCTCTGTCCTTATCACTTTTCAATTGTCAGCATGACCTCATTCTTCTTGGACACGGGACAAGAGCTTAGGACTCACTGGATGCAGGTACCCAGGAAGGCTGTGACACTGTGGCCCTCTGTCCTTGATGGCAGAGGGAAGCTGCTCCACGCAATAGAAGCAGTGGTGGGGCCAAGCCAGTCCCAGAACTGCAGGCCAGAATGGGGAAAGGGGCTGACTGAACTGCTAACATGCCACCATCCATTGGGTTGCAGATGGTGGAACTAAAAGAGCAAATTAGGCCAGGTGTGGTGGCTCATATTTGTAATTCCAGCACTTTGGGAGGCAGACGCAGGCAGATAACCTGAAGTCAGGAGTTCAAGACCAGCCTGGCCAACATGATGAAACCCCATCTCTACTAAAAATACAAAAATTAGCGGGACGTGGTAGCAGGTGCCTGTAATCCCAGATACTTGGGAGACTGAGGCAGGAGAATCGCTTGAACCCGGGAGGTGGAGGTTGCAGTGAGCTGAGATCATACCACTGCACTACAGCCTACGCAATAGAGCGAGACTCGGTCTCAAAAAAAAAAAAAAAAAAAGGTAATTAGCACACTGTAACACCCCCTCTGGGGCTTCAGGGTCGTGGACCCCTTGTGTTTCCTTTGGGGTGACACATGGCCTGGTCTGCCCATGGGCCCTGCATGGAGCCTGGCCCTGTGTCAGTGCTTGAAGCAGCCAGCTGGACCCTACATTCACTTGCTCACATGCTCCCTCCTGCTAGGGGCTGAGTGCTCAGTCGTGGCAGTGGCCATGGGAGCCGCGGGCTGGGCCAAAAGCCAGATGTGACCCCACAGGCTGAATAAATGGGGTGCCCCCTGCTCCCAGCTTGGCAAAGAGGCCAAGAAAAATCCTGCATCAAAAGGAAAGAAAGGGCTGGGCGCAATGGCTCACGCCTGTGTAATCCCAGCACTTTGGGAGGCTAAGGTGGGCGAATCACCTGAGGTCAGGAATTCGAGACCAGCCTGGCCAACATGGTGAAACTCCGTCTGTACTAAAAATACAAAAATTAGCTGGGTGTGGTGGTGTGTGCCTGTAATCCCAGCTATTCAGGAAGCTGACGTGGGAGGATCGTTTGAGCCCAGAAATTCAAGGCTGCAATGAATTATGATTGAGCCACTCCACTCCAGTCTGGGTGACACAGCAAGACCCTATTTAAAAAAAAAAGAAAAATAATAGAAAAATAGTGTCTATGCTAGTTTATGTACCACAACTGCAGAGTTGAGTCTTTGCAACTGAGGTTGTCTCGTCTGGACTGCAAAAAATGTTTACTATGAGGCCATTTGGCAGAAAACGTTGCTAACCTCTGGCCCTAGGACTTCTCTCTGTTCCCAAGCCCCACCCCCTTCTCCAACCTGATCCTGATTAGCTTCCTCACTACTCCAAATGAGAGCTAAACGCTACCTGCGGCGAGGAGGGACTCATCTTCAGAGACCACCAGGAACCTCACAGCATCTGGAAGCTTCTCCAGCAATCTGTCCCCTTTGGAGGAAACCTGTGCAGAACCAGGGATGCCTGTCAGGCACTTCCACGGGTTAAGGGTTACAAGTCTGGAATTTTTTAATTTTTTAATTTTTATTTTTTTTGTTTTTGAGATGGAGTCTCACTCTGTCTCCCAGGCAGGAGTGCGGTGGTATGATCTTGGCTCACTGCAACCTCCGCCTCCCGGGTTCAAGCAATTCCCCTGCCTCAGCCTCCCAAGTAGCTGGGATTACAGGCACCTGCCACCATGCCCGGCTAATTTTTGTATTTTTAGTAGAGATGGGGTTTCACCATGTGGGCCAAGCTGGTCTCAAACTCTTGATCTCAGGTGATCCGCCCACCTTGGCCTCCCAAAGTGCTGGGATTACAGGCGTGAGCCACCATGCCTAGCTGACTCCATCTCTTAATAAAAATTTTAGCTGGGCATGGTGGTACACCCCTGTGGTCCCAGCTACTCAGGAGGCTCAAGCAGGAGGATCACTTGTGCCCCTAGGAGTTGGAGGCTGCAGTGAGCTATGATTGTGCCACTGCATTGCAGCCAGGGTGACAGACTGAGACTCTGTCTCTAAAAAATTTTTTAAATTAAAAACATAAAAGTTGGCCAGGTGTGGCGGCTCATGCTTGTAATCCCAGCACTTTGGGAGACCGAAGTGGGTGGATCACTCGAGGTCAGGAGTTTGAGACTATCCTGGCCAACATGGTGAAACCCCATCTCTACTAAAAATACAAAAATTAGCCGGGCGTGGTGGCACATGCCCGTAGTCCCAGCTACTGGGGAGGCGGAGGCAGGAGAATCGCTTGAAGCTGGGAGGTGGAGGTTTCAGTGAGCCGAGATTGCGCCACTGCATTCCAGTCTGGGCGACAGAGCAAGACTCAGTCTCAAAAAAAAAAACAACCAAAAACCAAAAAACAAAAAAACAGTTAAAAAAAAAAGGTAAAAAACAAATTCTGGCCAGGTACAGTGGGTCACGCCTGTAATCCCAGCACTTTGGAAGGCTGAATGAGCCCATAAGTTTGAAACCAGCCTAGGCAACATAGTGAGACCCCCACCTCTACAAAATAATAATAATAATAATTAGCCAGGCATGGGGGCATGCGCCTGTAGTCCCAGCTACTCAGGAGGCTGAGGCGAGAGGACGTCTTGAGCCCGGGAGGTCGAGGCTGCAGGGAGCCATGATCGTGCCACTGCACTCCCGCCTGAGAGATAAAGTAAGACCCTGTCTCAAAAAACAAAACAAAATATCTGCAAAGAGGCTTGAGAAAAAGAAAAACAACCCCAAGGATTTGGGAGTATCTTTCGTTGTTGTATTTGGTACCTTGAGAACTCATGAAGACCACAGGTCATGAGGTTCAGAAATGTGGAGCTTTGGGATTTGGGATGATTCTTCTTCTTCTTTTCTTTTCTTTTTTTTTTTATTTTTTAATTTTTTTGAGACAGGGCCTGGCTCTGTCACTCAGGCTGGAGTGCAGTGGTGCAATCTTGGCTCACTGCAGCCTCCACCTCCTAAGCTCAAATGATCCTCCCACATCAGCCTCTCAAGTAGCTGGGAGTACAAGTATGCACCACCATGATTCCTTTCTTTTTTTTTTTTTTTTTTTGAGATGGAGTTTTGATCTGTCACCCAGGCTGGAGTGCAATGGCATGATCTCGGCTCACTGCAACCTCCACCTCCCGGGTTCAAGTGATTCTCCTGCCTCAGCCTCCCTAGTAGCAGGGATCACAGGCACCCACCACCACACCCGGCTAATTTTTGGGCTTTTGTTTTTGTTGCTGTTGTTTTTTGTTTTGTTCTGAGATGGAGTTTTGCTCTTAATGTCCAGGCTGGAGTGCAGTGGTGCAATCTTGGCTCACTGCATCCTCCACCTCCTAGGTTCAAGCAATTCTCCTGCCTCAGCCTCCCAAGTAGTTGGGATTACAGGTGCTCACCACCACGCCCGGCTAATTTTTTGTATGCTTTTTTAGTAGAGATGAGGTTTCTTCATGTTGGCCAGGCTGGTCTCGAACTCCCAACCTCAGGTGATCCACCTGCCCCGGCCTCCCAAAGTGCTGGCATTACAGGTGTGAGCCACCGTGCCTGGTCAATTTTTGTACTTTTAGTAAAGACAGGGTTTTGCCATGTTGGCCAGGCTGGTCTCGAACTCCTGACCTCAAATGATCCACCCCCCCTCAGCCTCCCAAAGTGCTGGGATTACAGGAGTGAGACACAGCGCCCAGCCAGTCTATATGTTAATGTCCATGAAAGCAGCCGTCCACCAACCACCAACAGGGCAGGTGGATAGAGCCCAACTCCTAGTCCCTCTGTGGCGCAACTCTCAACCTCATTCCACACCATGTCTTAGAGATCCCCTGAAGGACTGAGCTTCAACAATTGCCCACATTGGTCAGTCCCCAAGAGACGCCAACAGATGTTTCCTGAACTGTGCTGAACTGCAAATCCCTACGATTAAGAAGCCAAGCGTGTGGCCGGGCACGGTGGCTCATGCCTGTAATCCCAGTACTCTGGGAGGCCGAGGTGGGCAGATCATCTGAGGTTGGGAGTTTGAGACCAGCCTGACCAACATGGAGAAACCCTGTCTCTACTAAAAACACAAAATTAGCCAGGCGTGGTGGCACTTGCCTGTAATCCCAGCTACTCGGAAGGCTGAGGCAGTGAGAATCGCTTGAACCCGAGAGGCGGAGGTTGCAGTGAGCTGAGATTACACCATTGCACTCCAGCCTGGGCAACAAAAGTGAAACTTCATCTCCAAAACAAAACAAAGATACAAGGCAAGATTATTTTTCCCAACTTCTAGCACATCTGAGCACTTTCAAGCTGAGTTAATGTTCACATCATAGTCAGTAAAGGTGCTTACCAAAGAGATGGAGCCATTGCTAAACCCGGTAACAAGCTTTCCTTGCTTCTGGACTGAGACGGCACAGGTAGGTGTTTCTTCTTTGATGCTGGACATATGTTGCTTCCCCTGAAGTTTTCCCGTAGCTGAGCTCCACAGACTGACCACACCATCCCTGGACACTGTCAGCAGTGTGGCCTGGGAGGCCAGCACGGCCATGCACATCCAAGGATCAGAGGCATCTCCCAGGATATGGAATACCGGCTCTGCAGTTTCCAGATTCCAAGCATTGATCTAATAGAATAATGAAGAGGAAGCAGCATCTTGGCAGGAGACCTAGACTACAAGTTTCCCGGAGTCAAATGCAAGATGCCTTCTCTTGTATACTTTATGCATTTTCTTTTCTTTTGGAGACAGAGCCTCTCTTTTTCACCCAGGCTGGAGTGCAGTGGTGCAATCATGGCTCACTGCAGCATCGACCTCCTGGGCTCAAGCAATCCTCCTGCCTCAGCCTCCCAAGAAGCTGGGACCACAGACACGCACCACCATGCCTGGCTATTTTTAAATTTGTTTTTGTAGAGGCAGGGTCTGACTATGTTGCCCAGGCTGCTCCTGAGCTCCTGGGCTCAAACTATCCTCCCTGCTCAGCCTCTCAAAGTGCTGGGATTATGAGTGTGAGCCACTGCACCCGGCCTATGCATTTTATTTTTAACACTCCCAATTCAGAGAAAAAAAGGAGAGGTGGGCCAGGCCTCACATGTGATTTTAAACTCATTAGCTACCTTACAAAAGGTACAAAGAAACAAGTGAAATCAATTTTAGTATTATATTTTATTCAACCTAATATGTCCAAGTGGTATCACTTCAACATGTAATCAATACAAAAATTATTATTGAGATGGTTTATATTATTTTTACTATACTAGGTCTTTGAATTTCAGCATGTTGGGACAGTCACATTTCAAGTGTTTTTATTTATTTATTTATTTATTTATTTATTTATTTTTTTTTAATGTTACTTTCAGTTTTGGGATACATGTGCCGAACGTGCAGGTTTGTTACATAGGTATACATGTGCCATGGTGGTTTGCTGCAACTATCAACCCGTCATCTAGGTTTTAAGCCCCACATGCATTAGGTATTTGTCCTAATGCTCTCCCTCCCCTTACCCCCTACCCCCCGAATTTCAAGTGTTTAATAGGTACATCTGGTTGGTGACTCCTATTTTGGGCAGCATGATTTATATGCACTGATATTACTGTCAACAACCACCAATTACTTATGTAACATAATAATAAATAGATATCAATTATTTGGTGCTTACAGTGTGCTAAGCACTATGCCAGGATATGTCTCATGATCTTATGAGGAAGAGGCAGCAATAAGACTCAGAATGGTGAATGACACAACCAAGGTCACTGAGTTCCCAAGAAACTCAACTGGTAGTTAAATAAAGATTTTTTTTCCTCCTGGCATCAATTAGTAAGCTATCACCCACGAAGTTATTGTGTGTCTCCATTTATAAAACTATGAAATCACAGGGTTATGATTGATGTAATGGAATAACACAGTGGAACAGACATTGTTTTCAGAAGCCCACAGATCATTTAGAGAGACTATAAAACAAGCTAGGCATGATGGCTCAGGCCTGTAATCCCAGCACTTTGGGAGGCCAAGGCAGGTGGATCACCTGAGGTCAAGAGTTTGAGACCAGCCTGGCCAACATGGTGAAACCCTGTCTCTACTAAAAATACAAAAATTAGCTGGGCGTGGTGGCGTGCGCCTGTAGTCCCAGCTATTCAGGAGCCTGAGGCAGGAGAATCACTTCAACCTGGGAGGTGGAGGTTGCAGTGAGCTGAGATTGTACCACTGTACTCCAGCCTGGGCGACAGAGCAGGACTCCATCTCAAAAAAAAAAAAAAAAAAAGAGAGAGAGGAGAGAGAGAGACTATAAAAGAAGTCTCAATGAATTTGAAAGGTTTTACATCATCAAAATGGAATTTAATTAGAAAAAAAATACAGAACAGGACCCTATCCAGAAATTCCTCAAATATCTGGAAACTAATAGTATACTTTTAAATAGCCCATGGATCAAAGAAGAAATCAAAAGTGAAATCTGAAAGTATTTTAAACTGAATGTAAATGAAAACACACGTCAAAATTTACAGGATGTAGGTAAAGCAGTACTTTGAGGGAAATTTATAGCCCTAAAATGCTGATATTCAAAAAAGATGAAAGGTTTCAAATCTTGGGGTCAGAAAGAATTATCAGGATTGTCTAATCCAACTATGAAGTCTGAAACCTCTTATAGCACCCTCTCAAGTGGTTGTGTACTCCATTTACACCCCCACCCCATCACTGTATCAGGGAGCCCTCCTTATAGAAATGGCCTATTCTGTCTTTGAATGCTCTGGTCTCAGCTTTCCTTTACAAACAGGGCATATGTTTGTTACCTTTGAGCCAGATGCTGAATACACAACTTTGTGTGCCTCATCCACATGAAGGTTCCAGATCTGAGGTTCAGCGGGATTTTTTGAGCCTCCATCCCAAATGGTAAATTTCTCCTGGCCAGAGAGTAAGTTCCACAAGTGCAGCGTGTAATCCTTTGAAGCAGAGTTGGCGAGGGTCCCTTTGGCAAATATTTTCACACACCTCACCTCTCCTGCAGCAGGCCAGGGTAGGGGAGAGTATATTAGCTGGGAACATTTTGGCCTTGCAACTATTAAAATGCTTGTCAGCTTGGAAATACCCTCATTTACCAAAGAAAAGATGGATGGAATTGAATTGTGAAAGTCATCAGAATAAAAATGGAGTCAATAACATTAAGAAAACCCTGGCAAACAGGCTATAAAGGAAGGCTATGGAGAAAGAGTTCTCACGCTTGTATGCCTAATAACAGAAAAAACTACAAAAATCACAACCTTGCACAAAGGCTACTGCAACCTTACAGAAAAAATACATCTGCAAGGCAATCTGCCCAGCAACTTCCTGTCCAGCCACACCCTCATTATTGATTTTTGTAATCAAGGATAATTATTTCAAAACAATTATGTAACCCTCTTTTTTTTTTTTTTTTTTTGACGGACTCTCTCTGTCACCCAGGCTGGAATGCAGTGGCTCAATCTTGGTTCACTGCAACCTCTGCCTCCTGGGTTCAAGTGATTCTCGTGCCTCAGCCTCCCATGTAGCTGGGATTACAGGCACCTGCCGCCATGCCTGGCTAATTTTTTCTATTTTTAGTGGAGACGGGTTTGACTATGTTGGCGAGGCTGGCCTTGAACTCCTGGCCTCAAGCGATCCACCCACCTGAGCCTCCCAAGTGCTGGGATTACAGGCATGAGCCACCATGCCTGGCCTTTTATTATTATTATTATTATTATTATTATTATTATTATTATTATTATTATTATTTTGAGATGAAGTTTTGCTCTTGTTGCCCAGGCTGGAGTGCAGTGGCGTGGCCCTGGCTTATTGCAACCTTCACTTCCCGGGTTCAAGCAATTCTCCTGTTTCAGCCTCTCGAGTAGCTGGGATTACAGGTGCCCACCACCACACTTGGCAAATTTTTTGTATTTTTAGTAGAGACACAGTTTCATCATGTTGGCCAGGCTGGTCTCGAACTCCTGACCTCAGGTGATCTACCCACCTCGGCCTCCCACAGTGCTGGGATTACAGGCATGAGCCGCCGCGCCTGGCCTATGATGATGATGATGATGATGATGATGATGATGATGATGATTATTATTATTATTATTATTATTATTATTGTTATTATTACTATTTTGAGATGGAGTCTTGCTCTGTCACCCAGGCTGGAGTTCAGTGGCATAATCTTGGCTCACTGCAACCTGTGTCTCATGGGTTCAAGCAATTCTCATGCCTCAGCTTCCTGAGTAGCTGGGATTACAGGCATGTGCCACCGCGCCTGGCTAATTTTTGTATTTTTAGTAGAGATGGGGTTTCACCACATTGGCCAGGCTGGTCTCAAGCTCCTGACCTCAGGTGATCCACCCGCCTCGGCCTTCCAAAGTGCTGGGATTACAGGCGTGAGCCACTGTGCCCAGCCTCTTTTTACTTTTGTTTTGTTTTGAGAGCCTCTCTCTGTTGGTTAAATTGATAGAACCTGTCCAAATGGAAAATAATGAAATGTGGCAAAGCAAAATTCAGAGGGCCACAACTGGTTGGGAGTCAATCAGTTGCCCCAGATGTTGAATACTAAACAGATAATTGAGTTTTATAAAGATTCAGCATCTAAGAGTGTCTAAAATTAATAACCACGTAAAAAAGGGGCAACTTCTAGAAAAATTATAGGATTTCTCTCATCATTTTTATAATCTTGCAAAAAAATAATTAGCCAGGTGGGGTGGCATGCACCTGTGGTCCTAGCTACTCGGGAAGCTGAGGTGGGAGGATCATTTGAGCGCAGGAGGTTGAGGCTGGAGTGAGCTATGATCACTCCTCTGCACTCCAGCCTCAGCAACACAGCAAGACCTTGTCTCAAAATAAATAAATAAATATAATAATCTTAGAGAGCTATTTGCTAAGCAAAACGTACAATTTGGAAGGCATAAAGGGGAAAAACTGACCAACTGGATTATGTAGAAATGTAAAACTTCAGGAGGATAAACTGCAGTTGGAAGGCACATCATGAGAGATGTGGAGGAAATATTTGCAACATATAACAGACAAATGGAGATTCTGCTTAATAAACAAAAAGTTCATCAGGCTGTGATTAGGTTATGAGGATGGCGCTCTGGGGAATGGGATTACTGTCCTTATAAAAGTAATCCCAGGCTGGGCAGGGTGGCTCATGCCTGTAATCCCAGCACGTTGGGAGGCTGAGGCGGGCAGATCGCCTGAGCTCAGGAGTTCGAATCGAGACCAGCCTGGCCAACAAGGCAAAACCCCGTCTCTACTAAAAATACGAAAGTTAGCTGGGTGTGGTGGTGTGCGCCTGTAATCCCAGCTCCTCGGGAAGCTGAGGCAGGAAACTCGCTTGAACCTGGGAAGCAGAGGTTGCAGTGAGCCAAGACTGGACCACTACACTCCAGCCTGGGCAACAGAGTGAGACTCTGTCTCAAAAAAAAAAAGTGTCCCCAACATAAAGATGGGAACAACAGATACTGGGGACTACTGGAATGGGGAAGGAGGAAGAGGGTCAAGGGCTAACAAAATTCCTCTTGGGTACCATGCTCACTACCTCAGTGATGGGATCATTCGTACCCCAAATCTCAGCATCACTCAATATACCCATGTAGCAGACATGCACATGTACCCTGTGAAATTGATGGTGGAAATTATAAATGAAATAAAATACAATAACAGAACAAGGATATGACTGGGCCAGGTGGCTCACACCTGTAATCCCAGCACTTTCAGGGGCCGAAGTGGGAGGGTCACTTGAGCCCAGGAGTCCGAGACAAGCCGGGCAACATAGTGAGTCCCTGTCTCTAAAAAAAAAAGTAAAAATAATAAAAATAGGCTGGCACAGTGGCTCACGCCTGTAAACCCAACACTTTGGAAGGCCAAGGTGGGTGAATCAGTTGAGGTCAGGGGTTCGAGACTAGCCTGGCCAACATGGCAAAACCTTGTTTCTACTAAAAATACAAAAATTAGCTGGGTGTGGTGGCAGGCGCCTGTAATCTCAGCTACTTGGGAGGCTGAGGCAGGAAGATTGCTTGAACCTGGGAGGCGGAGGTTGCAGGGAGCCAAGATCATGTCATTGCACTCCAGCCTGGGCGACAGAGTGGGACTCTATCTCAAAAACAAAAAAATTTAAAAAAAAGAGTCAATGGACACAAAAGAATGTTTATGGCAAAACATTGATAAAAATATATATATAGTATATATTTATATATTTATGTATATATTTGTTTTTGTATATATGTATATATACTTTCATGTATGTATATATTTATGTTTTATTCACACATATATATTATGTTTTACATACATAAAGCATAAATATATACATACACAAAAATATAGATTAAAATATGTATATATAAGTGTATATATATATAAGTTCAGAACATTTTCATAATCTCAGAAAACAGTCATCCTCTTTTTTCTTTATCACGTTAATTTTTTAAATTTTGTTTGTTTATTTTATTTTATTTTATTTTATTTTTTTGAGACAGAGTCTCACTCTGTCTCCCAGGCTGGAGTGCAGTGACGCAATCTCGGCTCACTGCAACCTCCCACTCCAGGATTCAAGCGATTCTCCTGCCTCAGCCTCCTGAGTAGCTGGGATTACAGACATGCGCCACCATGCCCAACTAATTTTGTATGTTTAGTAGAGATGGGGTTTCACCATGTTGTCCAGGCTGGTCTCGAACTTCTGACCTCAAATGATGTGCCCGCCTCAACCTCCCAAACTGCTAGGATTACATGCGTGAGCCACCGCGCCTGGCCTATCACATTAATAATTTTAAAGCAAACAATCCAGTGGCATTTAGCCATTCACAGTGTTGTGCAACCATCACTCTATCTAGTTCCAGAACATTCGCAACCCCCCAGAAGGAGACCCTGTCCCCATCAGCAGTCACTCCCCACTCCCCTCCCCTAACCCCTGGCCACCACTAATCTGCCTCTTGTCTCTCCTGTCTCTGTGGATTAGTCTGTTCTGGACATTTCATATCCATGGGAGTCGCACACCATGTGGCCCCTGGTGACTGCTGTTTTTGTTGTTGTTTTGTTGTTTTTTTTTTTGGAGACGGAGTCTCACTCTGTCATCGCCCAGGCTGGAGTGCAGTGGCGCGATCTCGGCTCACTGCAACCTCCGCCCCCCGGGTTCAAGTGATTCTCTTGCCTCAGCCTCCTGAGTAGCTGGGACTACAGGTGTGTGCCATCACACCTGGCTAATTTTTGTATTTTTAGTAGAGACAGGGGTTCACCATGTTGGCCAGGATGGTCTCGATCTCTTGACCTCGTGATCTGCCCACCTTGGCCTCCCAAAGTGCTGGGATTACAGGCGTGAGCCACCGCGCCCAGCCGACTGCTCCTTTTTATTTGACATAATCTCTGGAGCTCCAGCCTCATGATTTCCTTGCTGTTCTGTAGACCCGCCAACCTCATTCCCCTCTCAGGGCCTTTGCACTTGCTGCTCCCTGTGCCTGGGAGGCTCTTTCCTCTCCCCTGCCCTTCCTTCACCCCTGCGGATACCAAAATCCACAGATGCTCCAGTGCCTTATACGAAATAGTGTCGTATTTGCATATAGCCTATATATATCCTCCTGTATACTTTATTACTATTGTTACCATTATTATTATTTTTAGAGATACGGGTCTGGCTGTGTTACCCCGGCTGGAGCATAGTAATGCAATCACAGCCCACTGCAGCCTCGATCTCCCAGGCTCAAGCGATCCTTCTGCCTCAGCCGCAGCCTGGGACTACAGGTGCTCCTGTATACTTAATTTTTCTTTTTTTTTTTTTCTTTTTAAGACTGAGTCTCACTGTCACCAAGGCTGGAGTGCAGTGGCATGATCTCGGCTCACAGCAACCTCCACCTCCCAGGTTCAAGTGATCTTCCTGCTTCGGTCTCCCAAGTAGCTAGGACTACAGGTGTGCACCACCACGCCCAGCTAATTTTTATACTTTTAGTAGAGATGGGGTTTCGCCATATTGGCCAGGCTGGTTTCGAACTCCTGACCTCAGGTGATCCGCGGCCTCCCGAAGTGTTGGGATTACAGACGTGATCCACTGTGCCCGGCCACTCCTGTATATTTTAAATCATCTCTAGGTTACTTACAATACCTAATATGGCATACGTGCTATGTAAATAGTTGTTATACTGCATTGTTTGGGGGACAATGACAATAAAGGTCTGTCCATGTTTAGTCCAGATGCAGTTAACTATTTTTTTCCCAAATATTTTCCTTTGTAAAAATTGTATTTATTTGTTTATTTGTTTTAAGAGACAGGGTCTTAAATTTTATTTTTATTTATTTTTTATTTTATTATTTTATTTTTATTTTATTTATTTATTATTTTATTATTTTTATTTTTTGAGATGGAGTTTTGCTCTTTTTGCCCAGGCTGGAGTGCAGTGGCGCGATCTCGGCTCACTGCAACCTCCACCTCCTGGGTTCAAGTGATTCTCCTGCCTCAGCCTCCCGAGTAGCTGGGATTACAGGTATATATCACCACGCCCGGCTAATTTTGTATTTTTAGTAGAGACAGAGTTTCATCATGTTAGCCAGGCTGGTCTCAAACTCCTGATCTCAGGTGATCCACCCACCTCGGCCTCCCAAAGTGCTGGGATTACAGGCATGAGCCACCGTTCCCCACCTTTAAATTTATTTTTAAGAGACAGGTACAGTGGCTTATGCCTGTAATTCCAGCACTTCAGGAGGCTGAGGTGGGAGGATGGCTTGATACCAGGAATTCAAGACCAGCCTGGGAAACACGGTGAGACCCAGTCTCTACAAAAACTGTTTTAAAAAGTAGTTGGGCATGGTGGCATGCACCTGTGCTCCTAGCTCTTCAGGAGGCTGAGGTGGGAGGATTGCTTGAACCTGGGATGTCAAGATTGTAGTGTACTATGATTGCACCATTGTGCTCCAGCATGGATGACAGAGTGAGATCCTGAAAAAAAAAAAAGAAAGAAAGAAAAGAAAGAAAGAAGGAAAGAAAGAAAGAGAGAGAGAAAGGAGGGAGGGAGGGAGGAAGGAAAGAAGGGAGGAAGGGGAAGGGGGGAAGGAAGGGAAGGAAGGAAGGAAAGGAAGGAAAGAAGGAAGGAAGGATGGAAAAAGAAAGAGAAAGAAAGAAAGAAAGAAAGAAGGAAAAGGAAGAAAGAAAAAGAAACACAGCCAACAACAACCAAAAGACAGGATCTCACTCTGTTGCCCAGGCTGAACTCAAACACCCGGGCTCAAGGCATCCTCCTCCTTGTAGCTGGGACTACAGGCACACACCACTGCATCCAGCTTTTCCAAATATTTTCAATCCACAGTCGGTTGAATCTATAGATGCAAAACCCACAGATATGGAGGGCCAATTAAACTTTTGATTTTTCAAAAGATTGTGTCATAATATTATGTATCTTGTCAATTGAGCCTTTTAGGGCACCCCTTTAAATTTTTTAAAAATTTGAATATGTCATCTCTAATAGAAATTTGATTCAGCTCTTTAGACCTTCTCCACCCCCACCCATTTTTCTGTTTGTTTGGTTTTTTGGAAACAAGGTCTCACTCTGTCGCCCAGGATGGAATACAGTGGTGCAAACATGGCTCACTGCAGCCTCCAACTCCTGGACTCAAGCAATCCTCTTGGCTCAGCCTCTCACGTAGCTGGGACTTCAGGTGCACACCACCATGCCTGGCTAATTTAAAACACTTTTTTTTTTTTTTTTTTTTTTAGAGGTGACGTCTTGCTATGTTGCACAGGCTGGTCTTGAATTCTGGGCCTCAAGTGATCCTCCCATCTTCAAAGTGCTGGGATTACAGGTGTGAGTCCTGTTTTATTAATTAAATAAAATGCCCAACCTGTTTTCTTAATTACATAAAAGGGTTAGATTAGATTCTTTTTTTTTTTCTTTTTTTTTTTTTTGAGACAGAGTCTCACTCTGTCGCCCAGGCTGGAGTGCAGTGGTGCAATCTCGGCTCACTGCAAGCACCACCTCCTGGGTTGATGCCATTCTCCTGCCTCAGCCTCCCGAGTAGCTGGGACTACAGGCACCCACCATCACGCCCAGCTAATTTTTTTTGTATTTTTAGTAGAGACAGGGTTTCACCGTGTTAGCCAGGATGGTCTCGATCTCCTGACCTTGTGATCCACCCGCCTAGGCCTCCCAAAGTGCTGAGATTACAAGCGTGAGCCACTGCACCTGGCCTAGATTAGATTCTTTCTAAAGCTAATTTTCGATGACTTGATTCTGTTAAATGTATTTTTTAAACACATGGGATATTTTAACTTATTTATTCAACAAATAAGCATGGAGTATGTTGAATAAAACATAACCCTTGCCCTCAAACAATAGTAATAAGATCTCAGGTCAACAAATAAATGTAGTCTTGCTTTTTTTTTTGAGATAGGGTCTCGCTGTGTTGCACAGGCTAGAGTACAGTGGTGTAATCACAGCTCACTGTAGCCCCAATCTCCTGAGCTCAAGCGATTCTCATGCCCCAGCCTCCCAAGTAGCTGGGACTAAAGGTGTGCACCACCATGCCTGGCTAATTTTTGCATTTTTTGTAGAGATGTGGGTTCACCATGTTGCCCAAGCTGGTCTCAAAATCCTGAGCTTAAATGATCTGCCTGCCTCAGCCTCCTAAAGTGCTGGGATAAGCCACCACGCCCAGCCAACTGTAGTCTTAGCCAATGTGGTCCTATGTATATCAAGCTGCAGGAGAGCACAAGGTAGCTAGTTATGAACTCTACTGTGGGAATCATCTCTCCCAAAGGGAGGACCCTTGAGATTAGTCTTCAAGAATGAATAGTTTTCCATCCTAGTCCCGACCCTCGTCTATCTCTCTTCAGCATCTAGAACAGGACCTGGTACTCAGCAGGCACTCAACAATTGATTACAGAAATAAGCCATATCTGTTAAGGGACTATGTAGAAATAAACAACCTTACTTAGGATCTGAGGTCGACAAATGCAAAAAGGACCACAATTCTTTACCCTTACTGATCCACATCCTTGGCAATGTGACTTTGCAGCTCCTCCCATCAAAAAATGAAGCCTAGGCTGGGTGTAGTGGCTCACACCTGTAATCTCAGCACTTTGGAAGGACAAGGCGAGAGGATTGCTTGAGCTCAGGAGCTTGAGACCAGCCTCAGCAACATAGTGAGACCCTGTCTCTACCAAAAAATACAAAAATCAGCCAGGTGTGGTGGTGTGTGCCTGCAGTCCCAGCTACTCAAGAGGCTGAGATGGGAGGATTGCTTGAGCCCAGGAGGCTGAGAGTGCAGTGAGCTGAGATTGTGCCACTGCACTCCAGCTTGGGCAACAGAGCAACACCCTGTCAGAAAAAAAGAATGAGAAAAAGAAAAGGAAAGAGAAGAGAAAGGAAAGGAAAGGAAAGAGAAAAGAAAAGAAGGCAGAAAGCCTATTTAGCCTATTTCCCTACTGGACTGCTCTTGTGAATTCCTTTGGTCAAGAGAATGTGAATGTGACCAGGTGCCAACTCCAAGTCCAGGCTTAAGAGATTCTGTGAGTGCCTACTTGTTTTCTTGAAACCCTGCCTTTGGCTGGGCACGGTGGCTCACGCCTGTAATCCCAGCACTTTGGGAGGACGAGGTGGGTGGATCACAAGGTCAGGAGATTGAGACCATCCTGGCTAACACGGTGAAACCCCGTCTCTACTAAAAAATATAAAAAATTAGCCAGGCATGGTGGCGGGCGCCTGTAGTCCCAGCTACTCGGGAGGCTGAGGCAGGAGAATGGCGTGAACCTGGGAGGCAGAGCTTACAGTGAGCCGAGATTGCACCACTGCACTCTAGCTTGGGCGACAGAGCAAGACTCCGTCTCAAAAAAAAAAAAAAAGAAACCTTGCCTTTGCTGGGGATGAGAGACCTGAAGGACGCTGAATGATGACAGACCACGTGGAGCAAAGTTGAGTTGCCTCATTTGAAAATATTCAGATTCAGCCAGCTCCTAGATAATCCACTGACTGACTGCAGATACATGAGCAAGCCCAGCTGAGAGCAGAAAACTGCCCAGCTGCGTCCAGCCTGCATTGCCAATGCACAGGAAGTGAGCTAAAGAAATAGCTTGTTTGTGGCTCAAATTTGTAATCCCAGCTACTTGGTAGGCTAAGGAGGGAGGATCACTTGAGCCCAAGAGTTTCAGACCAGCCTGGGCAACATAGCAAGACCCCATTTCTAAAAACATTAAAAAATTAGCTGGGTATAGTGGTATGTGCTTGTAGTCCCAGCTACTCAGGAGGCTGAGGCAGGAGGATCACTTGGCCCAGGAGTTTGAGGCTGCAGTGAGTTATAAACACACCACTGCACTCCAGCCTGGGCAATACAGTGAGATCCCATATTTAAAAAGAAAAAGAAATGGCTTGTTTGAAACTACTGTGTTTGGGGATGGTTCATTATGCAACTATAGCTAAGTGATGCAGGAACAAAGGCCAGGGTTTCAATACAGAGAAGTGAATCTGTGGGGAAGGGGCTCTGAGAACCAACTTTTCACTATGGAAGCTGACCACAAAGCCCACTTCCCAAGTCTCACCTGTGTGTCCAGTTAGCATGTGGATCACATGCTGCTCTTCCATGTCCCACACAGCCATGATGCCATCCTGGGTGCCAATCACCAGCAGCTTCTCCTCCACACCCCATGCCATGGCGGTGATGCCTGCAGCCACACAGAGGCAACAGCAATGATCTCAGTTCCTGTGTCCAAGTATTCAGCTATGGGGTCCTCTAATGAGCCCCCCACTTCACAGATAAGACAACTGAGGCACAGAGAGATTTGGTCCCTTGCCCAAAGCTGCACAGCAAGGATTAGATTCGCAGACTCAGATGCACAGATTCACACTCTGGCCTGTGACATTCACTTCGCTCTTAGGTAGGGAAGGGGACTGCATCACAGTGTGGTCATAAGTGTCTGTCTAGTCTAGCAGTGCTCACCCAGCGGACACATATCGGTTTCTGGAGACATCTTGAGGTGCCACAATGGGGACAAGGATGCTCAAGGACAGTACTGCCATCTGGTGGGTGCAGGCCAGGGATGCTGTTCAACACCCAGCAACGCATGACAACCCCATCCCAGAGAAAGATTCAGCCCCAGAAGTCAGCAATGCCATGGCTGAGAAACCCTGCCTTAGTTGAAGAAAACTCAGAAACAAAATCACATTGGCCATGGCCGGGCACGGTGGCTCATGCCACCCAGCACTGTGGGAGGCCAATACTTTGGGAGGCCAAACTTTGGGAGGCCGAGGTGGGCGGATCACTTGAGGTCAGGAGTTCAAGACCAGCCTGTCCAACATGGAGAAACCCAGTCTCTACTAAAAATATAAAAATTAGCCAGGCATAGTGAAGCACACCTGTAATCCCAGCTACTCGGGAGGCTGAGGCCAGAGAATGACTTGAGCCCAGGAGGTGGAGGTTGCAGTGAGCTGAGATCACACCACTGCACTCCAACCTGGGTGAGAGAGGGAGACTCTGTCTCAACAACAACAACAACAACAAAAAAAAAAAAAAGAAGAAGAAGAAGAAGAAAGAAAAGAAAAGAAAGAAAGAAATTATATTGGCTGAGAATGAGGATTATGTTTTTGACATCTCTGAGTTCAACTGGTGTAGAAAAACAAGGGCTGATGTCCTAAAGAAAAAAAATATATATTTGCCAATGAATTGGGCAAACACACCCCAAGGATCTCTGCCTGGTGGAGTTTGATTAAAATATCACTGCAGAGAGAGAAGGGCCAAGATATATTGGAGAAAACGTGGGCCTAGACACTAAGAAACTGAACTTTCTGAATGTCCTGGAGTAAAGAAAGGAAGTCCTTTTCCTTCTGTGTGCCTCTTCCACATGTGTAAAATGGGTGGTGCTGAATCAGAGCCCGTCAAGCTCTGAGAATACAGAATTTTGTTTCCACCTCATCGGGACAGAGAGTGAGGAGATGGGATTTGTTTTCTTTTCCTTTCTTCTCCTCCCCTTCCCTCCCTTTCCCTTCCCTCCCCTTCCTTCCCTTTCCCTTCCCTCCCCCTTCCTCCATTTCCTTCCCTTTCCCTTCCCTCCCTTTCCTTTCCTTCCCTTTCCCTTCCCTCCCTTTCCTTTCCTTCCCCTCCCCTTTCTCTTTCCTTCCCCTTTCCTCTCCCCTCCCCTTCCCCCCTCTTCCCTTCCCTTTCCCCTCCCCTTCTCTCCCTCTTCCCTTCCCTCCCCTTCCCTTCCCTTCCCTCCCCTTTCCCTTCCCCTTCCCTCCTCTTCCCTACCCTCTCATTCCCTCCCCTCTCCTTCCTTTCCCTCCCATCCCCTTCCCTCCCCTTCCCTTCCCTTCCCTCCCCTTTCTCCTTCCCTCCTTTTTCCCCTGCTCTCCCCTTTCCCTTCCCCTTCCCTCCCCCTTCCCCTCCACTTCCCTCCCCTTTCCCCTCCCCTCCACTTTCCCCTCCCCTCCCCTATCCCCTCCTCTCCTTCCCCTCCCCTTCTCTCCCTCTTCACTCCCATCCCTTTCTCACCTCTCCCCTCCCCTTCCCTTTCCTCCCCTTTCCCTTCCCCTTCCCTCCTCTTCCCTCCCCTCCCATTCCCTCCCCTTTCCTTCCCTTCCTTCCCCTTTCCCTTCCCCTTCCCTCCCTTTCCCTCTCCTTCCCTCCCCTCCCTTCCCCTCCCCTCCCCTTCTCTCCTCTTTCCCCTCCCCTTCCCTTCCCTCCTCTTTCCCCTCCCCTTTCCTCCTCTTCTCTTCCCTCCCTTTCCCTCCCCTCCCCTTCCCTCCCCTTTCCCTTCCCCTTCCCTCCCCTTCCCTCCCCTCCCCTTCCCTTTCCCCTCCCCTTCCCTTCCCTCCCCTTTCCCCTCCCCTTCCCTTCCCTCCCCTTTCCCTTCCCCTTCCCTTCCCTCCCCTTTCCCCTCCCCTTCCCTCCCCTTCCCTTTCTTCCCCTTTCCCCTTCCCTCCCCTTCCCTTTCTTCCCCTTTCCCCTTCCCTTCCCTCTTCCCTCCAGTTCCCTTTCCCTTCCCTCCAGTTCCTTCCCTCTTCCCTCTCCTTTCCCTCCCTTCCCCTCCCCACTCTCCTTCCCTTCCTTTTCTTCTTCTTTTTTTTTTTCAGATAGGGTCTCACTCTATCACCCAGGCTGGAGTGCAGTGCCACAATCACAGCTCACTGCAGCCTCGAACTCTTGGGCTCAAGCCATTCTCCCATCTTAGCCTCCTGAGTAGCTGAGACTATAGGCACATACCACCATGACCAGCTTTTTTTTTTTTTTTTTTTTTTAACTTTTTGTAGAGGCAAGGTCTCCTTATGTTGCCCAGGCTGGTCTTGAACATCTCGGCCCAAGAGATCTTCTTGCCTTGGCCTCCCAAAGAGCTGGGATTATAGGCATAAATCACTGTGCTCAGCCCCTTTTACTTTTTTTCTTATGCACTCATTGTGTGACCTTGGAAATATTAACTCATACTTTTCATTTTTTTTTTTTTTGTGAGACGGAGTTTTACTCTTTCGCCCAGGCTGGAGTGCAGTGGAACGATCTCCGCTCACTGCAACCTCCGCCTTCCAGTTTCAAGCAATTCTCCTGCCTCAGCCTCCAGAGTAGCTGGGATTACAGGTGTCCGCTACAACGCCCGGCTAATTTTTGTATTTTTAGTAGAGACAGGGTTTCACCATGTAGGCCAGGCTGGTCTTGAACTCCTGATCTCATGATCCACCTGCCTCAACCTCCCAAAGCGCTGGGATTACAGGCGTGAGCCACCATGCCTGGCCATACTTTTCATATTAAAAATGAACAAACTGAAGTCCACACAGGTAAGAACTTTCTCAACTTTAACAGAACTAGAGGATGTACAGCGGGGCACAGTGGATCTGAAACACAGAACATTTCCCTGCCCCAGAGATGAGAAAAATGTCACGCTAAGCTGTAACTTCCTATGCCTGTGCCATGACAGACATCATTAATCAATCACAGCACTATGTGCGATTTGTGCCCCCATAGTCATTCTATCATCTCACCTTTAGTAATAAAACCCAAAAGCCTACAGGTTTTAGCTGAGTACATAGTTATCCGCACAAAGACCACATTTCCCTGGCTGAGCACAGTGGCTCAACCCTGTAATCCCAGCACTTTGGGAGGCCAAGGTAGGCGATCACCTGAGGTCAGGAGTTTGAGACCAGCCTGGCCAACATGGTGAAACCCTGTCTCTACCAAGAATACAAAAATTAGCCAGGCATGGTGGCATGTGCCTGTAATCCCAGCTACTTGGGAGGCTGAGGCAGGAAAATGGCTTGAATCTGGGAAGCAGAGGTGCAGTGAGCCGAGATTGCGCCACTGCACTCCAGCCTGGGCGACAAGAACAAAACTCCATATAAAAAGTAAAAATAAAAATAAAAATATAAAAACATATTTCCCAGGCTTCCTTACAGTTGGAGATATCCAAGTTCTTGCCAATGAGACAGGAGTGGAAATATTTAGTTCTGCTTCCAGGTCGTGCCCTTAAAATGAAGAGGCCTGCCATCTGCTTCTCCTATTCCCCACTGGCTGGAATGCCATCTTGATGGTAGGAGTTGGAGCAGCTATATTGGGCCAACGAGGACAGCCCTACACTGAAAATGGCAGAGCGCCAGACTGAAAGAGTATGGGTCCCAGACACCCTAAAGACTCCCTCTTGCCTCTGCTTTTGCTTGAACTATTTCAAAAGAGAGAATTAAACTCCTATCTTATTTAAGCCACTGATATTTTGGCCATTTTTTTTTACAACATCTGAGCCTATATTCTAACAAATACACACTCTTTCCCACTAAGCTAGCTTCAGTCTTAGAATCCTCAACACAGCATTCTAGTGGCTGCCCCTAAATCAACTCCTCCATGCATTGTACTTAGTGTCTCTTAGCATTTCTATTTTGAAAATAATGTGCCTGGGGAGTGCAGCTCTCACTGCCAGGTCATGTGGCACAGTAAGGAGCTCTGACATTTGAACCACAAGTGAACTCAGTGGTCTCACAATCAGTGTGAGAGATTGTGGGTGGGCAGATAAATAGATGGGTGAATGGAGGTAAATGAGTGGGTAGACAGGTGGCTAGTTGGATGAGTGAGTGGGTGAATGGATGGGCAGGTAGATGGGTAGATGGAGGAATCAGTTTCTCGATGAAATTGAAGTGAGAAAGTTGATGAATGGCTAAGTGTGTGGATGGGTGGAGGCGTAAGTGAATGAATGGAAGATGATCAGATGAAGAAAATGGAAGGATAAGTGGGTAGAGGGGTGGATGACTGATGGGTGGATAGAAGAGAGGAAGGAAGGAAGAAAGAAAGGGTTGAAGGATGAATGAATGGATGAATGGATGGGTGAGTGGATGGATGGAAGGAAAGGTGTGTAGGTGGGTGAGTGGATGGAAGGGTGGGTGGATGGACGGATGAAAGGATGGGAAGGTGATTTGATGAATGGATGGATGGATAGATTAATGAAAAGGTGAGTAAATGATTTGATGAATCGATGAATAACGGATGGGTGGATGGATGAATGGGGCTAGATAAATGAAACAGTGGTAGGGTAGATGGATAGATGGATGGATGGGTGGATGGGTGGATGGATGGAACAGTGGAACAGTAGATGAATGAAAGAGTGGGAGGGTAGATGGATTTAGAGATGGGGGATAGATGGATGGAAAGGTAGCAGGGTGGGTAGATGGATGGGTGGATGGGTGGGAGGATGGATGGATGGATGGATGGAGAGGAAAGTGGTTTGATAGATGAATTGATGGATAAATGGAAGGGTGGGTAGATGATTGGATGAATGGACAACTGATGTATGAATGGGTGGGTGGATGAGTGAATGGATGGATAGATGGATGGAAGGGTGGGAGGATAGATGGATGGGAGAGTGGGAAGGTGGATGGATGGATGGATGGATGGGGCAGTAGATGGATGGAAGGGTGGCAGAGAAGATGGGTGGATGAATGGATGGGTGGGTGGGAGGACGGTGGATGGATGGATGGATAGATGAATGGAAGGGTGGGAGTGTAGATAGATGGATGAATGGATGGGAGGGTAATTGGATGGAAGAGTAGGAAGGTGAATTAATGGATGGATGGATGGATGGATGGATGGATGGATGGATAGATGGATGGATGAATGGATGGGTGGGTGGGAGGCTGGTGGATGGATGGATAGATGAATGGAAGGGTGGGAGGTAGATAGAGAGATGAATGAATGGATGGGAGGGTAATTGGATGGAAGAGTAGGAAGGTGAATGAAAGGATGGATGCATAGATGGTTGGATGAATGGAAGGAAGAAAAAAATGAATGACAAATGGATGGCAAAACCTAAATCCTCTCCTCTCCCTTACATTCTGGGATTCCAAGGGCTGCTTACAGTTCCTTCAGCTTCTCAGAGGACTGTCAGGCATCAGTTCCTAGCTTTCAGAATTACTAGCATGAGCTTGTAAATAGCTGAAACTGTCAGATGGGCACCAATCCCTTGGAGATGGGAAGCTTGGAGGCACCCCCTAGCATCGGGCTCATTAGAAGAATTTATATGAGACATCTACAGTCCCTTGAGGTGGGGCAGAGAGAGCTGATTCAGCATGAGACAGCAGGGGCAGGCTCTGATGGCAAGCTTGGGGCCTCCCAACTAGCACAGGGGAGTCCCAGAGGACAACCTCAAACACCTGGCCTTCACTGCCCCCAGGCAAGCAGGTGCCTGCTGGGATTTTTGCTATGCTGGGGAGACTCACCTTTGTGACAGCCGCTGAGAGTTGCCCGGAGGGGTCCTCCCGGGGGCTGGAGGAATCCTCCGAGGGGCACCAGCACAGGGTGTGCGCACAACTGGAACCAGCTCTGGGCCTGTTGGCATAGCTGTCCCACCAGTGCTGGATGTGAGGTGGCGAAGAAATGGAGTCTGGCCAGCAGTTCTGTGTACAGGAGGCTCCTCTCTGCAACAAAGGGATGTAGACTAAGTTGCCTGGATTGAGCCCCCTCTACCCTCCCTGCCAATTGAGTCTCTGCTCCCTGCAGGGGCTCCAGAACAAAAGAAGACACAATACCTCAGCTACTGGCCTCTGCTGTCCGCTCCTGTCTCCTTCTCTGCTCTCCAGACACACTTACCCTTGCTTCAGAGGCACCCAGCTGTTTCCAGTCTCCAGCCTTTGCCCAGGTTGCCTAGAATGCTTCCCTTTCCTTCCTCCCTCCCTTCTTCTCTCCCTCTCTCCCTTCCTTTCTTCCTTCCTCTTTTATCACACTCTGTTGTCCCGGCTGGAGTGCAGTGGCATGATCAAAGCTAACTGCAGCCTCAAACTTCTGGGCTCAAGCAATCCTCCCATCTCAGCCTCCCAAATACTAGGGACTACAGGCATGCGCCACCACACTCAGCTAATTTATTTGTTTGTTTTATTTTATTTTATTTATTTATTTTTGAGATGGAATTTTAGCCTGTCACCTAGGTTGGAGTGCAATGGTGCGATCTTGGCTCACTGCAACCTGCACCTCCCAGGTTCAAGCGATTCTCCTGCCTCAGCCTCCCTAATAGCTGGGACTACAGGTGCCCGCCACCAGGCCCAACTAATTTTTGTGTGTCTAGTGGAAACGGGGTTTCACCATGTTGGCTGGGCTGACCTCAAGTGATCCACCTGCCTCGGCCTCCTAAAGTGCTGGGATTACAGGCATGAGCCACCGCGCCTGGCTATTTATTTTTTTAGAGACAGGGTCTTACTCTGTCACCCAGGCTGGAGTGCAGTGGCACGATCGCAGCTCACTGCAGCCTCAAACTCCTGGGCTCAAGCGATCTTCCGGCCACAGCCTCTATATTAGCTGGGACTGCAGATGCACGTCACCACGCCTCGTTAGTTTTTTATTTTTTGTAGAGACGGGGTCTCGTTATGTTGCCCAGGCTGGTCTCAAACTTCTGGGCTCAAGATATCCTCCTTCCTCGACCCCTCAAAGCTCTGGAATTATAGGCGTGAGCCACTGTGCTCAGACTCAACCTTTTCAATAAAAGTAGGATCAGAGGAGGGATATATTGGAAATCTTTGTACCTTTCACTCAATTTTGCTGTGAACCTAAAACCGTTCTATTAAAAAATGGGCTATTAAGAAAAATTAGCCGAGCATGGTGGCGCGCAGGCCTGTAATCCCAGCTACTCGGGAGGCTGAGACAGGAGAATCGCTGGAACCCAGGAGGCAGAAGTTGGGTGACAGAGCGAGGCTCCTTCTCAAAAAAAAAAAAAAAAAAGGACTCGTGATCGCGTTGGATCATTTAGGATGTTATGTTGAATGGTCCCCATTCGCCAGCGTGCTTGGATGTACGGAGAGCACATGGTTGTCCAGCAGCGCCCTCTGGTGATAACATTTGTTCCTACACCTCCTCCTTGTGCTGGGGGAGCCACAGGTTGTCAATCAAGGGGCTTTGCAGGGAACTTGCTGAGAGATCTGGGCTTTTAAATCTTCCTTAAAATGGGAAGTCATGCCCAAGGCTGTTTTCCTGGGAAGTTGCTCCATCAAGGTTTACAACTCCTGGCGAGCGCCTCTCGCGTTATTTTTCTTTCCAGTTGCCTTAAATTCCAGTTGTTTGGTATGCTGTTCCATCTCCTTCTCTTTATTTATTTGTGTATTTTGAGACAGAGTCTTGCTCTGTCGTGCAAGTTGGAGTGCGGTGGCGTGATCTCGGCTCACCGCAACATCTGCCTCCCGGGTTCAAGCAATTTTCGTGCCTCAGCCTCCCAAGAAGCTGGGATTACAGGCATGCACCACCACACCCGGCTAATTTTTGTATTTTTAGTAGAGATGGGGTTTCACTGTCACCAAGGCTGGTCTCAAACTCCTGGCCTCAAGCAATCTGCCTGCCTCGGCTTCTCAAAGTATTGGGGTTACAGGCGTGAGCCACTGTGCCCAGCCATCTATCTATTTTTAACTAATTAATTTTTTTTTACAGAGATAGGGTCTCGCTATGTTGCCCAGGATGGTCTTGAACTCCTGCCCTCTAGCAATCCTTCTGTCTGGGCCTCCCAAAGTGCTGGGATTAGAAGCGTGAACCCCCGCACTCGGCCCCATCTCCCTCTCTTAAAGGCTGAGACAAACATTAACTATATTTAGGTCCCTGTGGGAGCTGGGGCTATGGCAGATAATCAGTAGGGGTTGTGTGAATGCATAAGAAAGGCATAAATGATTGCAGGCACCAGCATCTTCACATTGGGTGGAGTTCTGGACACATTTTAGTTCAATTGCACATTTTGCAGATGACAAAAATAGGGTTTCAGGGCAGAAATAGCTCATCCTAGGCTATTCATGTCAACAATGCTATCATATGACAGTAACAGGACCCTCGATGGCAACACGGGTGGAGGTTCTGTGTGAACTGATGCGCGTACTCTTCCCAGCAGCCCTAGGTGGGATGGTCACTCAGCATCCCTATTCTGCAGATGGGAAAACTGAGGGCTGTGGGGCAGGGGGAGGGATGGTAAAGGGTTTGCAAGGTCACACTGCCAAGAAGTGGCAGCGCCAAGATTTCAATGGACACGGTGGGGCTCAAAATTTGTGGTCTCTGTGTGTATTTGTCTGTTCTCATGCTGCTAATAAAGACATACCTGAAACTGGGTAATTTATAAAGGAAAGAGGTTTAATTGACCTACAGTTCTGCAGGGCTGGGGAGGCCTCAGGAAACTTACAATCACGGTGGAAGGGGAAGCAAACACGCCCTTCTTCACAAGGCGGGAGGAGAGAGAAGAATGAGAGCTGAGCAAAGGGGGAAGCCCCTTATTTTAAAAAGCCCCATCAGATCTCTTGAGAGCTTACTCAGTATCAGGAGAACAGCATGGAGGAAAACACCTCCATGATTCGATTATCTCCACCTGGTCCCTCCCTCAATGTGTGGGGATTATGGGAAATACAATTCAAGATGATAGCTGGGTGGGGACACAGCCAAACCATATCAATGTGTTAAAGGTAAAAATTTGGCAGGGAGAAAACAGATGATGCCATTGGCCTTATGGAGCTCAGAGTCTGATGTGGCAGACAGATGATGCAAAAGAAAACCAAGAGAAATCATAATTAAAGGCAAAGACAAGCCAGGGGTGGTGGTGTGCACCTGTGGTCCCAGCTACTTGGGAGGCTGAGGTGAGAGGACCACTGGAGCCCAGGAGTTTGAAGGTGCTGTGCGCTATGATCATGCCATTGCACTCCAGCCTGGACAACAGGGCAAGACTTTGTCTCTAAAAAAAGAAAAAAGAAAAAGAGCCAAGACAGATGGAAAACAGGGTGCAGTGATAGAAAATTCAGAGGCAAGGATCGGGGAGACATAGAGAAGTTAAGCTTCAGTGGTGGCCAGACAAGGCTTCTCTGAGGAATCGCATTTAGCTGAGCTCCAAAGTTGCCACAGAAGGGCTGGGGGAGGCGAGTCCCAGCCCAGGGCCCCCGGCACGCAAGCTTGGATGTTTCCATCACTGTCTGGGGCAGTAAGGATGGAGACAAGCATCTCCCAGGAGAGTGAGTCATACACAGCCATGTAGGCTACAGTACTGGAAAGGTCATTATCCCAAGGACAATGGGAGAACCATCTAGAAGATTCAATAGAGATACTTAGTGAGATTTGGGCTCTTTTTTTTTTTTAATGGAATTTTGCTCTGTCGCCAAGGCTGGAGTGCAGTGGTGTGATCCCGGCTCACTGCAACCTCTGCCTGCTGGGTTCAAGCAATTCTCCTGCCTCAGCCTCCCGAGTAACTGGGATTACAGGTGCGTGCTACCGTGCCTGGCTAATTTTTGCATTTTTAGTAGAGATGGGGTTTCACCCTGTTGGCCAGGCTGGTCTCAAACTCCTGACCTCAAGTGATCTGCCTGCCTCAGCCTCCCGAAGTGCTGGGATTATAGGCATGAGCCACCACACCTGGCCATCTGATGGTTTTATAAGGCAATTTTCCCAGCTTTTGTTCCCTGTCTCTTGAACACCTGGCATCAAGTGATCCACCTGCCTCAGCCTCCCAAAGTGCCGAGATAACAGGCTTGAGCCACCCCGGCCGTTTTGGGCTTTCAAGATTCTTCTGAGTGCTGTATGGAAAATAAACCAAAGGGTAAGAATGAATCCAAAGTAGGCAGACCTCCGAGGATGCTGTCTGGAGGAGAGACAGCAGCACTGGCCCTGGGCTGATGGCCAGGAGAATAAAGAGAAGCAGATAGTTCAAGGATGGTTTGCAGGGCCAGGATTAGAAGCTCTGCATAGGAATCACAGGCCACTGGTCATCCTTTTTAACATCCTATTCACATCCATGGGGAAGCACTTTGGATACAGAGACTTAAGCATCTTGAATACTCCCCCTTCCTTTGTGAATTCAGCTCACAATTTATTGCTCTTTGTTAACATGGTATTTAAGGCCCCAGGTCTAAACACTCCTTTGAGTTTTCACTTTTCTGTGAAACTTCTGTGCATGTAAAATTAAAATGTGTGAGCCCTTTCTCCTGTTAAGCTGTCTTAATTCACAGGCCCCTATCACTGAACATAAAAGGGTAGAGAAAAAGATATTATTTATTGTCTCCCATAGTTTGATTATAAAATGGTGTAGCTTTTGTGGAAAATGAAGTGGTCGTTCCTCAAAAAGTTAAACACAAAATTTCCATGTGATCTAGTGATTCCTTTTCACAATATCCAAAAGGTAGAAACACACAAATGTCCACAGACAGATGAACGGATAAACAAAATGTGGCATATTCATACAATGCAATATTATTAAGCCTTTAAAAGGAAGGAAATTCTTAGCCTTGAAAAGGAAGGAAATTCTTAGCCAGGCATGGTAGCTCAAGCCTGTAATCCCAGCACTTTGGGAGGCCAAGGTGGGCAGATCACATGAGGTCAGGAGTTCGAGACCAGCCTGGCTAACATAGCAAAACCCCATCTCTACTAAAAAATACAAAAATTAGCTGCATGTGGTGGCACACACCTGTAATCCCAGCTACTCTGGAGGCTGAGGCAGGACAATTGCTTGAGCAACCCAGGAGGTGGAGGTTGCGGTGAGCTGAGATCGTGCCACTGCACTCCAGCCTGGGTGACAGAGCGAGACTCTGTCGTGCAAAAAAAAAAAAAAAAAAAAAAAAAGGAAGGAAATTCTGACATATGCTACAATGTGGATGAAACTTGAGGACATTCTGCTCAGTAAGAGAAGTCAGAGAATAAAGGACAAATACTGTAAAATACCACTTATATGAAATACCTAAAGCAGTCAAATTTATAGAGACAGAAAATAGCATGGTGGTTGCCAGGGACTGGGGTGAAGGGAGAATGGGGAGAGATATGGGTTGGCTCTGTGTCCCTACCCAAATCTCATCTTGAATTGTAATCCCCATAATCCCCACATGTTGAGGGAGGGACCAGGTGGGAGGTGATTGGATCATGGGGGTGGTTCCCCCATGCTGTTCTCATGACAGTGAGTTTTCACGAGATCTGATGGTTTTTTGGGTTTTATTGGAGACACAGTCTCACTCTGTCACCCAGGCTGGAGTGCATGGTGGGATTTCTGGTCACTGCAACCTCTGCCGCCCGTGTTCAAGCAATTTTCCCACCTCAGCCTCTCAAGTAGCTGGAACTACAGGCATGTGCCACCACGCCTGACAAATTTTTGTATTTTTAGTAGAGCTGGGGTTTCACCATGTTGGCCAGGCTGGTCTCAAACTCCTGACCTCAAGTGATCTGCCTGCCTCGGCCTCCCAAAGTGCTGGGATTATAGGCGTGAGCCACCACACCTGGCCGTCCGATGGTTTTATAAGGCAGTTGCTCCCTCTCTCTCGCCTGCTGCCATGCATGAACCCAGGAGGCGGAGCTTGCAGTGAGCCGAGATCGCACCACTGCACTCCAGCCTGGGCGACAGAGCGAGACTCTGTCTCACCAAAAAAAAAAAAAAAAAAAAAAAAAAAGACGCACCTCTTTCCCTTCTGCCATGATTGTAAGTTTCCTGAGGCCTTCCCAGCCATGCAGAACTATGAGTCAATTAAACCTCTTTCCTTTGTAAATTACCCAGTCTTGGGTGTTTCTTTATAGCAGTGTGAAAACAGACTAGTACAGGGAGTGAATGTTTAATGAAAACAGAGTTTCACTTTAGGAAGATTAACAAGTTCTGGAGATGAATGGTGGTGATAGCTGCACATTATTAATATATTTAATCACTGAACTGCACACATAAAAATGGTTAAGATGGGGGTCAGGCACAGTGGTTCATGCCTGTCATCCCAGCACTTTGGGAGTCTGAGGCAGGAGGATTGCTTGAGTCCAGGAGTTCAAGACCTGCCTGTGAAACATGGCAAAATCCCGTCTCTACAAAATATACAAAAATTAGCCAGGCATGATGATACATGTCAGTAGTCTCAGCTACTCAGAAGGCTGAGGTAGGAGGATCTCTTGAGCCTGATAGGCGGAGGTTGCAGTGAGCTGAGATCATGCCACTGTACTCTAGCCTGGGTAATGAAGCGAGATCCTGTCTCAAAAAAAAAAAATGGTTAAGACATGTATTTTGCTATAATTAAAACAAAACCAAACAGAACATCCTCATGGCCAGAGCGTCTAAAGACTTGGAGAGATTCTTCAAGCTCTAGGGCAGGGAGTAGCAAATTGCAGTCTGAGGGCCAGACCCAGCCCAAGTCATCTGGGAGCTAGAAATAAGTTTTTTTTTGGTTTGTTCGTTTTGAGACAGGGTCTCGCTCTGTCACCCAGGCTGGAATGCAGCGGAGCAATCACAGTTTACTGCAGCCTCGACCTCCCAGGCTCAATTGATCCTCCCACCTCACCTTCCCAAGTAGCTGGGACTACAGGTGTAAGCCATCATGCTCAGCCTGAGAATAATTTTTACAGCCATGTGTTTGCAATGGACCAGATAATAGTGAAAACCAACTCTGAACCTGAAGTTTTGTACTCAGTTATTATTATATTTTGAATTTCATCAATAAAAAATATGTGGGAACTTTGTTTTCTCTCTTATCATATATGTACCTACATAATTTCCTCGAGTTTTCTCGAAATAGTTCCTATCTGGTGCTTTCTTTTCTTTCTTTCTTTTTTTTTTTTTTTTTTTGAGACGGAGTCTCACTCTGTTGCCCAGGCTGGAGTGCAGTGGTGCGATCTCGGCTCACTGTAACCTCCGCCTCCCAGGTTCCAGCAATTCTCCTGCCTCAGCCTCCCGAGTAGCTGGGACTACAGGTGCCCACCACCACACCCTGCTAATTTTTGTATTTTTAGTAGAGACAGGGTTTCACCATATTGACCAGGCTGGTCTCAAACTTCTGACCTTGTGATCTGCCTGCCTCGGCTTCCCAGAGTGCTGGGATTACAGGTGTGAGCCACTGCGCCCAGCCCTACCTGGCACTTTCTAAAGAAAAGTCCAGGGCAACAGGATGGGCCCTGCTTTGGTAGTATTCAGTCCAAAGCTCTCCCAGGCTCAATTTAAAATTCTAGGCCAGGCGCCATGGCTCATGTCTATCTATAATCCTAGCACTCTGGGAGGCTGAGGCAAGAAGATCCCTTGAGCCCAGGAGTTTGAGACTAGCCTGGGCAACACAGTGAGACCCTGTCTCTACGAAAAATAGAAAAATTAGCAAGGCACAGTGGTGCATACCTGTGGTCCTAGCTACTCAGGAGGCTGAGGTGGGAGGAGCATTTGAACCCAGGAGTCTGAGGCTACAGTGAGCTACGATTGCACCACTGAACTCCAGCCTGGGTGACACAGCGATACCACATGTCAAAAAAAATTCTAGAAGCACTGCTGGGGGAAAATTCACATGTTTAGACAGGAAAGGTATGAGAATTGATGAAAATCCAGCTCATGACTCAATGAGGAGAGCATGTTTCTAGAAGTCAGTGCCCGTCCTGGTCACTCCTATCCAGGCCATCTGGACTCACCCATGCCTCGGAGCTCCACAGCAGGGCGGCAGAGCTGGAGGGCTTCACGGACCAGGCCAACCTCAGGGGAGTCCAGGTGAGGGGCACACAGGTCAAAGTCATCCAGCAGGTCTTCAATGCCCCCAGAGATGCCCCGGCAGGAAATCCAGCTCATGCTGCCTGAGGGAGAGAAGGGGGGAGGATGTGGGAAGTGCCTACCTCCCTCCAGTTCATCCTGGGAGGTGGAGAATCATCTCTCCATTTCCTCCAGGGCATCTCAGGCTCAGCAGTAGTGACACTGGGGCAGGATCATTCTCTGTGGTAAGGGGCTGAACTATGCATTGTGGGATGTAAAGCAGCAACCCTGGCCTCCACCCACCAGATACCAGTAGCACTCCCACCCCAAGTGTGACAATCAAACATGTCTGCAGACATTGTCAAGTGTCCCCTGGGGGGGCAGAATCTCTTCTGGTTAAGAATCACGGGGATTGGTGAATGGATGGATAGAGAGAGAGAGAGAGGGAGATAGAAAGAATGTTGGGTGGATTGGTGCATGGATGGACAAACAGAAAGATAGGTGGGTGGATGGATAGAATGATGGGTGGATGGATGGATGGATGACCAGAAAGGTAGATGAATGAATAGATAATGGACATATAATGGGTGCATGGATAGATAGATAGAATGATGGATGGATGGATGGACAGACAGAAGGATGAGTGGATGGATGGATGGATGGATGGATGGTTATAACCAGCTCATGGCTCAATAAGGAGATCATAGATGGATGGGTGGATAAATGGATAGTTAGATGGATGGATGGATGGATGGATGGATGGATGGATGGATGGACAGAAGATGGGTGGATGGATGGATGGATGGATAGGTGGATGAACAGACTGACAAATAGACAGACAGACAGATAGGGTCTCTCATGATAAGGCAGGGGTTTTCACTCTATGCACCAACATTTGGAGCTAGATTATTTTCTGTGGTAGGGTGTCCTGTGCACTGTAGGGTATTAAGCAGCATTCCTGGCCTCCACCCACCAGATTCAAGTAGTGCCTTCTCCCCTAGCTGTGACAACCAAAACTATCTGCGGACACTGTAAGGCATCCCCTGGGTGTAGAATTGCCCCTTGTGAGAACCTCTGCCTTAGGAGGAACGAAGGATTTCCATGTTTGCCCTTCACCCTCCCCAGGCTCTAGAAGACTGGAGCGTGGTGCAGTCACCAGGCTCGGTCCTCTGAGATGGGGGGCAGCCCTTACCCAGAACCTCCTGTTTCAGCTCCTCCAGGCGGCCCGAGTGAAGCAGGTGATAGGGCAACTCCTTCAGCTTCCGCAGGTTTGCAACCGTATGTGAGAACCACAGAGGCTGCGGGGCCACCTGGCAGAGGAGAAGGGAGACTGCAGCTTGGACACAAACCCATTCATTCACTCCACGCACAAGCCCATTCATTCACCTCATGCTCCAGACAGTGCTGGAGTGGACGAGAATGCAATGGAAGACAGACATACCCCCATGTGCCCATTGGTCAGGGCTGGAGCAGAGGACGACATCTGGGACTCAGAGAATCAAAGCCAGAGGTCATGGGACTTTCTGGGAGGAATAGGGAATGTTTCCTGAAGGCAGAGGCATCGGAACTGAGCCTCAGAATTAAGTGGGCATCTATGTGGCAAAATGTGTCAGAAAACAATGGCATTCCAGGGCAAGGGAACAGCATGGGCAAAGGTCTGGAGGTGTGAAAGAGCAGGCTGAGTTTGGGAGGACTGAATTATACAAGTCAGGTTAGGGGATGCGGGTGGGAAATGAGAGTAGGGAGCTTGTAAGCAGCAGATCACGAAGGCACTGAATATCAGGCTGGGTAGGTCAGGCTCAAGACTGAGGGCACTGGGGAGCTATGGAAGGTTTTAGACAAGAGGCATAATCATAATCAGATTGGATGGTCAGAAGCATCCTTGGGAGGATGCACTAGGGCAAGAGACTGAGAGGCTAGGTGAATGAAAGGGGCTCAGACCATGTCCTGGAGAGGCAGGATGAAGCTGAGTCTGCAGGGACTCTGGGCACACAGGAAAGGATTTGTGAATGGGTCTCGGGGGGAGAAGAGAAGGGTCAGCACCAGGCTAGGTGTGGTAATCCCACCTGTAATTACACGCCTGTAATCTCAGTGCTTTGGGAGGCCAAGGCAGATCACTTGAGATCAGGAGTTCGAGACCAGCCTGGCCAACATGGCAAAACCCCGTCTCTACTAAAAATACAAAAATTAGCCAGGTGCAGTGGCACACACCTGTAGTCCCAGGTACTAGGGAGGCTGAGTGGGAGAATCGCTTGAACCTGGGAGGCAGAGGCTGTAGTGACCTGAGATCATGCCAGTGAACTCCAGCCTGGGTGACAGAGCAAGACTCTGTCAGGAAGGAAGGAAGGAAGGAAGCGAGGGAGGGAAAAAGAAAAGGCAGCACCAAAAAAAGAATAGAGCCTGGTCCTGCCTCCAGCCTCCCCAGTCCAGCAGGGAAGACAGAGAAAAAGAAACATCAAGCTATAACCAAAGAATTAAAAGTGTAATTTCCTAGTTGCAATCATTATACAACAGTTATATAAGATTTTAACATCAGGGAGAAGAGTCCACAATAACTCTGTACTTTGTTTGTTTGTTTGTTTTTGAGACAGAGTTTCTCTCTGTTGCCCAGGCAGGAGTTCGAGACCAGTATGGCCAACGTGGTGAAACCCCGTCTCTACTAAAAATACAAAAATTAGCCAGGCATGGTGGCGGGTGCCTGTAATCCCAGCTACTTGGGAGGCTGAGGCAGGAAAATGGCTTGAACCTGGGAGGCAGAGGTTGCAGTGAGCTGAGATCACGCCATTGCACTCCAGCCTGGGCGACAGAGTAAGACTCTGTCTCAAAAAAAAAAAAAAAAAGGAGTGGGGGGGACAGTAGAAGGGACATCTTGCCCTCTGTGCGGAAAGGAGAAGTAGGTCGGGAGGACATTTCGAGTGCAAAAAGGGGAAGGAAGGAGGTGAGCAATGCCAGGCAGGGTGGAGGTTGCAGGTGGGGAATGGGGGTCCCAGGTACCTCACCTTTCGGTCCAAGTTCAGTGGTTTCCCCACAAGTGGCAGAGTGATGAGCTTCTTGGTACCCTGGCTCCAGGTCCCTGAGAAGAAGTCGGCCAGGACGCCATGCCTCTTGGCTCTCTCGGATCCTGACAGGTAGCGCTCACGGACCACCTCGACCAGCTGTCTACAGAGAGGGTATACAGACTGATAGACCTGGGTGACCCATCAAGCTCAAAGGTGGCTGCTTGTCTTCCTGGAGGCAGTTCCCAAATCCCAAGCCATCCTAAACCACTCTGTTGACCACCTGTGCTATTTGATACATCACATCTATCTCTAAATTGGTCCGTGTTTTTTTTTTCCTTACATCAATTTACTTTCCTTACATACATTTCAAAGAGGAACATTTGAGCTCCTCCAAAATTTACACATAAAATAACTTACCACCTGACCCAGCAAATCCACTCCTGGGTATATACCGAGAATTAAGAAACAGGTGTTCA
Source organism: Homo sapiens (assembly GCF_000001405.40). Taxonomy (NCBI): domain Eukaryota; kingdom Metazoa; phylum Chordata; class Mammalia; order Primates; family Hominidae; genus Homo; species Homo sapiens. Next base: position 16,761,662 of record NC_000019.10, on the reverse strand, counting down.
GGCTGGGTGCAGTGGCTCATGCCTGTGATCCCAGCACTTTGGGAGGCTGAGGCGGGTGCATCACCTGAGGTCAGGAGTTCAAGACCAGCCTGGCCAACGTGGTGAAACCCTGTCTGTACTAAAAAAAAGAATACAAAAATTAGCTGGGCGTGGTGGTGTGCTCTTGGGAGGCTGAGGCAGGAGAATCACTCCTCCCAGGTGGAGGTTGCAGTGAGCTGAGGTGGTGCCACTGCACTCCAGCCTGGGCAACAGAGAGAGACTCCAAAAAGAAAAAAGGAAAAAAAGAGAAAGAAGGAAAGAAAGAAAGAAAGAGAAAGAAAGGGAACAGGTGTTCAAACAAAACCTTACACATGCATGTTCACAACAGCAAAAACGTGGAAACAATGCAAGTGTCCATCCATAGACGAAGATAAACAAAACCTGGTCCATCCATACAATGAAATATTATGTAGCCATGAAAAGGAAGGAAGCACTGATCCCTGCTACAATGTGGATGAGCCCTGAGAACATAATGCTGAGTGAAAGAAGCCAGACACAAAAGGCCACATAGTGTGAGATTTCGTTGATCTGAAATGCCCAGAACAGGCAAATCCACAGAGACAGGAAGCAGATGAGTGGCTGCCAGGGGTTAGGGAAGGGGAATGAGGAGTGACGGCTGATGGGGACAGGGTCTCCTTTTGGGGAGATGAAAACGTTCTGGAACTAGACAGAGGTGAGGGGTGCAACATTATGAGTGTACTAAAATACCACTCAATTGTCAACTTTAAAATTCTGACTGGGCACAGTGGCTCACGCCTGTAACCCCAGCACTTTGGGAGGCCAAGGCGGGCAGATCACCTGAGGTCAGGAGTTTGAGACCAGCGTGGCCAACATGGTGAAACCCGTCTCTACTAAAAATACAAAAATTAGCTGGGTGTGGTGGCTCATGCTTGTAAACCTAGCTACTCAGGAAGCTAAGGCAGGAGAATCGCTGAAACCTGGGAGGCAGAGGTTGCAGTGAGCCAAGATTGTGCCGCTGCACTCTAGCCTGGGCAACAGAGCAAGACTCTGTCTCAAAAAATAATAAAATAAAATTAAATAAATAAAATAAAATGTGGTGAATTGGCCAGGCATGGTAGCTCACACCTGTAATCCCAGCACTTTGGGAGGCCGATGTGGGTGTGTCTCTTGAGCCCAGGAGCTCGAGACCAGCCTGGGCAATGTGGTGAGACCCCATCTCCACAAAAAAATTTAAAAATTAGCCAGGCATGGTGGTGCATGCCTGTAGTTCCAGCTACTCCGGAGGCTGAGGTGGGAGGGTTGCTTGAGTCCAGGAGTTTGAGGCTGCAGTGAGCCATGATGACAACCACTGTACTGCAGCCTGGGCGAGACCCTGTCTCAAAATACATAAAATAAAATAAAATAAAATAAAATAAAATAAAATAAAATAAAATGGTGAATTTTATGTTTCATGAACTTCACCTAGTTTAGTTTAGTTTAGTTTAGTTTAGTCTAGTTTAGTTTAGTTTGAAACAGGATCTCACTCTGTCACCCAGACTGGAGTGCAGTGGTACAGTCACGGCTCAGTGTGGCCTCAAACTCCTGGGCTCAAGTGATCCTCCCACCTCAGCCTCCCAAGTAGCTGGGACCACAAGTGTGTACCATCACACCCAGCTAATTTTCTTTTTTTTGAAATGGAGTCTCGCTCTGTTGCCAGGCTGGAGTACAGTGGTGCGATCTTGGCTCACTGCCACCTCTGCCTCCCAGGTTCAAGTGATTCTCCAGCCTCAGCCTCCCGAGCAGCTGGGATTACAGGCACGTGCCACCGCGTCTGGCTAATTTTTGTATTTTTAATAGAGACAGGGTTTCACCATGTTGGTCAGACTGGTCTCAAACTCCTGACCTCAGGTGATCCGCCACCTCAGCCTCCCAAAGTGCTAACACACCTAGCTAATTTTCTTATTTTTTTTGTAGAGATGGGGCCTCGCTACGTTGCCCAGGCTGATCTCCAACTCCTGGCCTCCAGCAATCCTCCTGCCCTGGCCCCACAAAGTGCTGGGATTATAGGCATGAGCCACTGCTTCCAGCCTCAACTCAATTTTAAAAATAAGTGAATTGTGTCAGAGTTCTAACTGGACTTGATTCCCTGGGAATGGTAAGTGAAGGATCTGATACTGAGAAGACCCCCGGCCAGTGAGTCCTCATTCTTGGGGTCCCACCCAGACAGTGTCGCTGCCACTGCTGCCTGGACCTACCTGTGGGCAATGGCCAGGAGGGTGAAGCCATCCACGGGCCGCCGGGCCAAGTAGTATCCCAGATCCCGACGAAGCCGCACCCACAGCAGGGGCGGGAAGCGCAGCAGCTCCTTGCTGGGCGGGGTCCAATCTCGGTACACATCCTGCAGGACCTCGTCGTCCAGGGACAAAACATCCTTCAGCTCCGCCTCCGAGAGACCGTGTCTGAAGGGAGGACCAGTGGGGCTTTGAGGCACATCTCATGTCTTCTGCATTTGGAGGATGCAGAATCCAAGAGAGGGAGGGATACAGCCACCCGCGCGGTGTCCAGCACATCACCTGGGATCAGCATTTGGACAGCGCCCACAAGGTACCAAGCACGGTTAGGGCAATACCCACCAAGGAAGACCTTTTCCGATTTTTTTTTTTTTTTTTTTTTTTTTTTTGAGACAGAGTTTCACTCTGTCGCCCAGGTTGGAGTGCAGTGGTGCAATCTCGGCTCACTGCAACCTCCGCCTCGCGGGTTCAAGCGATTCTCCTGCCTCAGTCTCCTGAGTAGCTGGGACTACAGGCGCCACCACGCCTGGCTAATTTTTGCATTTTTAGTAGAGACGGGGTTTCACCATGTTAGTCAAGCTGGTCTCCAACTCCTGACCTCGTGATCCACCTGCCTCGGTCTCCCAAAGTGCCAATCTTTTCCTCTGCATGCACACCTACAGAACCATAAATGGCCCGCTCCTCAACCTCGAAGGGGTCTGAGACAGACACTATAGGGAGGGAAGTGGTAACTCAAGGAAAATAATGCAGAAACCAACTGCACCTACCCCACTCCACCCTGGCCCACCAAGGCTTGTCTTTAAATTAGGATAATTGGGCTGGGCGTGGTGGCTCACACCTGTAATCCCTGCACTTTGGGAGGCTGAGGCAGGAGGACTGCTCGAGGCCAGAGCTCAAGACCAGCCTAGGCAACAAAGGGAGACCCCATCTCTACAAAAAAATTTAAAAATTAGCTGGGCATAGGGGCACACACCTGTAGTCCCTGCTACTCTAGAGGCTGAGGTGGGAGGATCACTTGAGCCCAGGAGGTTGAGGCTGCAGTGAGCTGTGATTACATCACTGCACTCCAGACTGGGCAAAAGAGTGAGGCCCTGTCTCTAAAATAAATACATAAATACATGAACAAATAAATACAAATAAAGTTAAACTGGTTAAAAATTAATAAAATTCAAAATGCGGTTTCTTGGTTGCATGAACCATCTTTCAAAGTTTTAAATTCAGTTTCTGAGTTGTGTGAAGCACCTTTCAAGTGTTCCATAGTTTTTGTGGCTTGTAGTTACCATATTGGTAATAATGTCATACCCAACACTGTACTCTTTCCAAAATTCTTTTTTTTTTTTTGAGACAGAGTCTCACTCTGTTGCCTAGGTTGGAGTTCAGTGGCGCCATCTCAGCTCACTGCAATCTCTGCCTCCTGGCTTCAAGCGATTCTCCTGCCTCAGCCTCCCATGTAGCTGGGACTACAGGTGTGCACCACCACGCCCGGCTAATTTTTGTATTTTTAGTAGAGATGGGGTTTCACTATGTTGGCCAGGCTGCTGTTCAACTCCTGATCTCAGGTGATCTGCCTGCCTCAGCCTCCCAAAGTGTTGGGATTAGGCGTGAGCCACTGCACCTGGCCTGCAAAATTCTATGATATGGTATCAGACAGAGCCTAGGAGATGTGCCCCTGGTCATGGGTGAACCGCTAGGTTGAGAGCCTATCTTCATCCCTGAAGACATCCCCTAAGCAATGCGAACCTCAGAGCGGGCACCTCACTTGGCACTCCCAGAGGACCCGCCTAGCCTGAATTGCAAAACAGGGCTGTGCATGGTCATCAGGCTTGCGTTTGAGCCTAGCTGGGAGACCTTGGTGAGGAATGTACCTTCTCTTTGCCTCAGTTTCCTCATCTGCCAAAAGCAAAACTGTTGAGGGCTAAGAAGAAAATGCACTAGTTCCTCTTTTTCTGAACTCTTATTCTGGCGAGTATGATCTCATTGGTCCTTCCAGTAGCCTTGGAGGATGGATGCTCTCCCAACCAGCCCCTCCATGCGGAGGAGGAAGTGAGGCTCCCAGAGGGCACAGGGCATGCTGAGTGCAGCGTTTCTTGGGCTCGCATGGTTGATGTTTGGGGTCAGATCATTTTTTAGGGTGGGGACCGTCCTGTGTGTTGTAGGGCAGCAGTCCCCAGTCTTTTTGGCACCAGGGACCGGTTTCTTGGAAGACAATTTTTTTCCCGCGGACCAGGGTAGGGGTGATGGTTTTGGGATGATCAAGTGCATCACACTTGCACACTTTATTTCTATTATTATTACATTGCAATATATAACGAAATAATTCTACAACTCCCCATCATGTAGAATCAGTGGGAGCCCTGAGCTTGTTTTCCTGAAAGTAGACAGTCCCATCTGGGGGTGATGGGAGACAGTGACAGGTCATCAGGCATTAGATTCTCATAAGGTTCAAGCAACCTAGATCCCTCATATGCGCAGTTCCCAACAAGGTTTGTGCTCTTATGAGAATCTAATGATGCTGCTGACCTGACAAGAGGGGGAGCTCGGGTGGTAATGGGAGTGATGAGGAGCAGCAAGAAGTGGCTGTAGATACAGATGAAGCTTCACTTGTTCGCCCACTGCTCACCTCCTGCTGTGCAGCCTGGTTCCTAACAGGCCACGGAGCAGTACCGGTACTGGGGGATGGGGACCCCTATTGTAGGATGTGTAGCAGTCTCCACCCAAGCCTCCACCCACTAGATGCTGGTAGCATGATAGACAGGCAGATGTATAGATAGGCATATAGATTATAGATAGACAGATTATATGGAGAGATAAATAAGAGATAGAGCAATAGATACAGAGATAGATAAACATAAAGATAAATAGACAGATGATAGATAAATAGATATAAATAGGCAGATAGACATATAGTTGACCCTTGAAGAACACAGGTTTGAACTGCATGAGTCCACTTATATGTGGATTTTCTTCCGCCTGTGCTGTCTCTGAGACAGCAAGACCAAGTCCCCTTCTCCTCCTCCCCTCTTCCTCCTCTTCCTCTGCCTACTCAATGTGAAGATGACAAGGATGAAGACCTTTGTGATATCCACTTCCACTTCATGAATAGTACATGTATTTTTCTTCCTTATTATTTTCTATTTTTTTGAGGCAGAGTCTTGCTCTGTCACCCAGGCTCAAGTGCAATGGCGTGATCTAGGCTCACTGCAACCTCCGCCTCCCAGGTTCAAGCAATTCTCGTACTCAGCCTCCCAAGTAGCTGGAATTAAAAGCATGAGCCACCATGCCCAGCCCCCCTTTATGATTTTCTTACTATCATTTTCTTTTCTCTACCTTGTTTTGTTGTAGGAATACAGTCTGTAATACATAGAACATATGAAATACATGTTCGTCGACCATTTATGTTACTGGTAAGGCTTCTGGTCAACAGTAGGCTATTAGTATTTAAGTTTTAGGGGAGTCAAAAGTTATACATCAATTTTGAGGTACGTTGGGAGACAGCTGGTTCCCCTAACTCCCAGTTTGTTCAAGAGCCAACTGTATATACAGAGATAGATTATAGGCCAGGTACGGTGGCTCACGCCTGTAATCCCAGCACTTTGGGAGGCCAAGGTGGGAGGATCGCTTGAGCCCAGGAGTTTGAGAGCAGCCTGGGCAACATAGTGAGACCCCATCTCTACTAAATAAATAAATAAATAAATAAATAAATAAGGCTGGATGTGGTGGCTCATTCCTGTAATCCTAGCACTTTGGGAGGCCAAGGTGGCAGATTATTTGAGGCCAGGAGTTCGAGACCAGCCTGGCCAATATGGCAAAACCCTGTCTCTACTAAAGATACAAAAATTAGCCAGGCATGGTGGTGCACGCCTGTAATCCCAGCTACTTGAGAGGCTGAGACATGAGAATCATTTGAACCTAGGAGGCGGAGGTTGCAGTGAGCTGAGATTGCACCACTGCATTCCAGGCTAAGCAACAGAGTGAGACTCTGTCTCAAAGAAAAAAAAGAAGAAATAAATAACTGGGTGTGGTGGCATGCACCTGTAGTCTCAGCTACTCAGAGGGGGCTGAGATGGGAGGATCGCTTGAGCCCAAGAAGTCAAGACTGCGGCGAGCTGTGATCGCTTCAGTGCACTCCAGTCTGGGTCAAGAGAGTGAGACCCTGTCCCCCCCCAAAAAAGAGAGAGAGAGATATTAATGATAGACAGGATCGATATAGATGAGAAATAGAGAGATAGATATAGAGATTTATTGATTGATTATAAATGACTAGATGGATAGAAATAGAGATGATAGATAAATAGATCATTTAAATAGGTGGATAGATTAAAATGATGTATTTGTAGATGTGGGATAGATATAGAGTTAGATAGGTATAGACAGATGGTAGAGAGATACAATGATAGATTACTAGAAGTGATAGAGATAGATTGAGACTATACATATTTATCGATGGGACATAGAGAAATATATAGATATATAGAGATAGACATAGATAGATAGATATGACGGATGGGTGGATGAATGGATGGATGGATGGAAGATAGAGATGATGGATGCAGGGAAGATAGAGATGATGTGTGGATGGATGGATGGATGGATGGATGGATGATAGAGATGATAGGTGGGTGGATGGATGGATGGCTATAGAGATGATGGATGGAAGGAAGATAGAGATGATGGATGGATGGATGGATGCTAGAGATGATGGATGGATGGAAGATAGAGATGATGGATGCAAGGAAGAATAGAGTGGATGGATGGATGGATGGAAGATAGAGATGATGGATAAAAGGAAGACAGATGATGGATGGAAGGATAGATGGACTTTAGAGAGAATGGGTGGAAGGATGGAAGATCGAGATGATGGATAGATGAATGGAAGATAGAGATGATGGATGGATGGATGGATGGATGGATGGATGGATGGATGGATGGAAAATAGAGATGATGGATGGGAGGAAGATAGAAATGATGGGCGGATAGACGGATGGATAGATGGATGGAAGATAGAGATGATGGGTGGATGGATGATAGAGATGATGGATGGAAAGAAGATAGAAACAATGGGTGGATGGATGGATGGATGGAAGATAGACATGATGGGTGGATGGATGGATGGAATATAGAGATGATGGATAGATGGATGGAAGATGGAGATGATGGATGGATGGATAGATGGATTTAGAGAGAATGGACGGAAGGATGGAAGATCGAGATGATGGATAGATGGATGGAAGATAGAGATGATGGACGGATGGATGAAAGGTCAAGATGATGGATAGATAGATGAATAGATGGATGGATGATAGAGATGATGGATGGAAGGAAGATCGAGATGATGGGTGGATGGATGGATGGATGGATGGATGGATAGATGGAAGATAGAGATGATGGATAAAAGGAAGATAGAGATGATGGATGGAAGGATAGATGGAATTTAGAGAGAATGGATGGAAGGATGGAGGATTGAGATGATGGATAGATGGATGGAAGATAGAGACAATGGATGGATGAAAGGTCGAATTGATGAATGGATGGATGGATGGATGGATGGATGGATGGATGGATGATAGAGATGATGGAGGGAGGGAGGGAGGGATTGATGGATGGATGAATGGATAGGGTCTCTCAGGCTAAGGCAAGGTTTCTTACTCTCTGCACTATCAACATCTGGGGCTGGATCATTCTCTAAAGTAGGACAATCCTTTGCACTGTAGGGTGTTAAACAGCATCCCTGGACTCCACTCAGTAAAGACACCAGGAGCACCACCCTGCTCAGTCATGACAACCAAAAATGCTTCCAGACACACTGTCTAGTGTCCCCTGTGGGGGGATGGGGGGCGTGGAGAACTATCCTGAGGTGACGACCTCTAGCCTAGAAGGATCTCAGGTCTGCTCCAAGAGCAAAGCTCTCACCATCCTGCCACATGGATCTGATGTGTAAGCATAACATATTTTCATGGAACTGGAGCAACCAAAATCATCCACCTTATCATCATGCTTTATAAACCACCTCCCCCGCCACCCCTGTGAGAGATCTGGCTTTACTAATTGGACCAGATATGGGACCAAGTAGGCCATTTGATTTCTGTCTCCCTGTACTTTGGAATTAGGACCCAAAGAAAAAGTCAGTAAGATGGCACCTGGTCACAGAAATATGGGCTCCTGATGCCAACTGTGGCTCAAGGCAAGCTGAAGTTCCAGAGGGGCCGAAGGAAGAGTCTACAAGAGGAGTTGATGTGCAGAGAGGACCCCAGAGGGAGAAGGAAGGAGAAGCTGCTCTGATTTTTATGACAGTTTCCATGACAACTCACTTCCTCCAAGTCAACTTCAACAGAATGGCCCAATGGGCCACCCCTCTATTCTGGAACATGCCCCAGTTGTTATTTGCACTGTTTTTGGAGACAGGGTCTTGCTCTGTTGCCCAGACTGGAGTGCAGTGGCATGATCACAGCTCACTGCAGCCATGACCTCCTGGCTCAACAAATCCTCCTGCCTCAGCCTCCCGAGTAGCTGGGACTACAGGTGTGAGCCACCACGCCCAGCTAATATTTTTACTTTTCACTGAGGCAGGGGCTCTCACTTTGTTGCCCAGGCTGGTCTTGAACTCCTGGGCTCAAGTAATTCTCCCACCTTGGCCTCCCAAAGTGCTGGGATTACGGGTGTGAGCCACCACACCACGCCGTATTTGTACTCTTATAGAGTGTAAGCCAGTCGGGAAATCTGGGATATGTCCCCTGGAGTCAGCTATAAGACAGACTTGAATTTCCCTAACTCTTCATTGGAAGGAAGCCCAGTGGCACAATTATGGCTTACTGCAGTCTTCAACTCCTGTGCTCAAGTGATCCTCCCATCTCAGCCTCCGGAGTAGCACCACCATGCTCAGCTAATTAAAAAAAATTGTTGTATAGACAGGGGCCTCACTCTGTTGTCTAGGCTGGTCTCAAACTCCTGGATTCAAGTGATCCTCCCACCTCAGCCTCCCAAAACGCTGGCATTACAGGAGTGAGCTACTGCACCCAGCATATTCTCTTATTTCCTACACTAGCATGAATGTGTTTCTATTTCTGGCAAAGAAACAGGCAGAAAGACCTCCTCGTTGGGTTGACCACCACCCTCTAGATGAATTTGTGGTAACCGACAAAGGTCTGAAATGGCACAGGCTGAGAAAAAAAAAAAACAACCCTAAAACTGAGAAGAGGCAAAACTATGTCGTCCAGCATTTTGGATGATGGTTTTGAGTGTTTGCTGTTGGCCAGTTGCAGTAAAGGCAAAGTTTTGTTCCTTGGCGTCTCTGCCAATTGGCAGAGGACAAACTCAGAGGAGGGAGTGTGGCTGCTTGGGTGCTTCTGATTAACCCCTTCCTCTCTGCTGCTTGTTATTTTTGCTTTTGCTTCCTTCCTTCCTTCCTTCCTTTCACTTTTTCTTCTTCTTCTTCCCTTCTTCTTTTCTTTCCTTCCTTTCTTCTTTCCTCTTTCCTTCTTTCCCTTTTTCTCTCTTTCTCTTTCTTTCTTTCCTTTATCTCTTCTTTCCTTCTTTTTTTTTCTTTCTTACTATCTTCCTTCCTTCCTTCCTTCCTTCTCTTTCTCTTTCTTTTTGAGATGGAGTCTTCCTTTGTCGCCCAGGCTGGAGCACAGTGGCACTATCTCAGCTCACTGCAACCTCTGCCTCCCGGGTTCAAGTGATTCTCCTGCCTCAGCCTCCCAAGCAGCTGGGATTACAGGTGACCGCCACCATGCCGGGCTAATTTTTGTATTCTTAGTTGAGATGAGGTTTCACCATGTTGACCAGACTGGTCTCAAATTCCTGACTTCAAGTGATCCACCTGCCTTGGCCTCCCAAAGTGCTGCGATTAAAAGCGTAAGCCACCATGCCAGGCCTCTTTCCTTCCTTCCTCCCTTCCTTCCTTCCTTCCTTTCTCTTTCTTTCTCTCTTCCTTTCTTTCTCTCTCCTTCCTTCCTTCCTTTCCTTCTTTCACTCTTCCTTTCTGTCTCCTTCCTTCCTGTCTGCCTTTCTTCCCTCTTTCTCTCTCTCTTTCTTTCTTTTTCTTGCTATATCCAAAAAGCAATATATGCTTGTTACTTTTGACTCCTCATCCATACCTGGCTGGCATCTCTGAGCAATGGCCCCAGACTATCATGACCCAAGTTTATTGCATTTTTTTTTTTTTTTTTGAGATCGAGTTTTGCTCTTGTTGCCCAGGCTGGAGTGCAATGGCGTGATCTCGGCTCACGGCAACCTCCACCTCCCGGATTCAAGTGATTCTCCTACCTCAGCCTCCCAAGTAGCTGGGATTACAGGCATGCACCACCACGCCTGGCTAATTTTTTGTATTTTTAGTGGAGACAGAGTTTCTCCATGTTTTGTCAGGCTGGTCTCCAACTCCCAACCTTGGGTGATCCGCCCGCCTCGGCCTCCCAAAGTGCTGGAATTACAGGTGTGAGCCACCACGCCTGGCCTAGTTTATTGCAATTTATAGCTCCGAGACTTTTACTAGGCTAAGCAACCATGTAGGCAGTCCTTTCTTTCTTTTACATGTGTGTATTTATTTTCCCAGCTTTTGAGGTATAGTTGACAAACAAAAACTGTATTTAGCTGGGCACAGTGGTGCATGCCTGTAGTCCCAGCTACCCTACTCGGCAGGCTGAGATGGGAGGATCACTTGAGCCTGGGAGTTGGAGACTGCAGTGAGCTATGATCATGCCACTGCACTCCAGCCTGGGTGACAGAGCCAGACCCCTATCTCTAAAAATAAAAATAAAAATAAAAAAATTATATTTTGCTGGGCACAGTGGTGCATGCCCGTAGTCCCAGCTACTCAGCAGGTGAGGCGTGAGGATCACTTGAGCCTGGGAGTTGGAGACTGCAGTGAGCTATGATCACACCACTGCACTCCAGCCTGGGTGACATAGCCAGACCTCCATCTCTAAAAATAAAAAAAGAAAACATAAATAAATAAATAAGAGTTTCAAAACACAGAGACTTACCGGGAAGACACAATGTAGCCCAGCACGTGGGCCACGAGGAGCTGCCCGTGTGTCTGCTCCAGGCGGGTGCAGAGTTGGTGCGTGGCTTCCTCTGCGGTGGTGGCCAGCGGGACAGGCACGGTGAAAGAGGCCCATTTCCGGGCTTCCTCAAACGCCAGCCTCAGCCGCCCTGGGTTCCCACACTCTGGGAGGCTGGCCCAGAGCAAATCTGTGTGCACCGGGCTCAGCGTCCTCCTTGCAGCTGCCAGCAGGAGTTGGATCATCTGCTGGCCTTGGTTTCCGGAAAGGGGCTTCACCTCCCAGTAGGCCTCCGGGTCCAGGAGCACCCGCTGCAAGGTGTCCAAAACCCCCAGTGCCCCCGAGCAAGCTGAGAGGATGAGGTGCACCCTCGGGGGGCAGTTGAGAGGCAGCCAGGGAACCCTCCGAGCATGGCGGACAGAGTCCAGGTCATCCATAGCATCCAGCAGGAGCACGAGAGACTCGAAGTTTCTGCAAGAGACAGTGTGGAGGAGGGTATGGAAAAACTGGACCACCCTGGTGTGGGCGTCCAGAACCTGGGCAGGGGGCAAGGGCAGCCCATAGGCCAGGCACACCTGGAAGCAGATGCTCTTCAGCAGGCCACGGGCATCTGAGCTCATTTGTGACGTCCCCAGCAGCCGCAGGACGGTCACTGTCTTGTGCCCCAGCAGCCTTGGCATCTGCTCAGCCAGCTTGCACATCAGGGCTGTCTTTCCAATGCCTGGGGGCCCAAAGAGTACCAGGGGGGTGTGCTGCTTGCTGTCATCGTGCCTGAGCTGCTGCCCAAGCCGGGCCAGGAGTTCCTGGCGTCCGCAGAAGGTCTGAATGACCTCCGAGCTCTGCCAAAGGTGGTGGCGGATCTCTTGGTAGAGCCACGCCAACTCCTGTCCGGCCGTATCCAGCTCACGGAGGCGTGTGAGGACCTGGTGATTGGCCCTCACCACAAACTGCTCACCCAGCTCCTTCAGGTAGCAGGCGTGAGTCTTGTTCTTGGGGTTCACCAAGTCGCGGCTCCACGGCAGGCGGTGGGTCTTGAGGACCCCTGGGTGCATGTCAGTGATGTGACTTTTGAGGCTGCTGAGAAGGTTCTGGGCATCAGCGTCCAGGCAGCCATCCGCGAGCCGGTCCACCATCCTAAGGGCGCAGTCTTCAAGGATGTGTTTGTGGAGGTCTTGGATCTCTCTAAGGAAGACGGTGGCTCCCTGTTCCCGGTCCTCTGAGCTCAGCAGGCTCCGCTCTATCTCCCACTCAATGACTGCCAAAGTGGGGAAGGTGGGAAGGAAGTGTGGTCATTATTGGGTCAGCAGCTGACCTAAATGGGGTTGCTGGGAGACCTGTTGTTGGGGGATGTGCATTGGTTCTCAAGATTAACGTGCACCAGAGTCTGACCTGGGGGTCTCGAAAAGACCCACATGGCTGGACCCCACCTCCAGAAGTGATTCAGCAGATCTGAGTGGGGCCCCGGAGTTTGCATTTGCAACAAGCCAAGGCTTGCTGGTCCAGGGACTGCACCCAGAGTTACACTAGTTAAGCCATTACTCTTATTCTTCTTCTTATTATTATTATTATTGAGACAGGGTCTCACTCTGTCACCCAGGCTGGAGTGGAGTGGCGCGATCTTAGCTCACTGCAACCTCCGCCTCCTAGGCTCAAGCGATCCTTCCACCTCAGCCTCCCGAGTAGCTGGGATTACAGGCATGCACTAGCACGCCTGGCTAATTTTTGTATTTTTTGTAGAGATGGGGTCTTACTATGTTGCCCAAGCTGGTCTCCAACTACTGAGCTCAAGCAATTCAACCTCGGCCTCCCAAAGTGCTGGGATTACAGGCGTGAGCCACTGCGCCCGGCCTGATTTAGCCATTATTAATCAAAGACCCCTCAGGGTAGGCAACACAGAGGTCCCATGTGAGGAGCAGTCACACTGTAAAACAATGCTGTCATCCTCAAAAAGTGAAACATGGAGTTACTATCACGCCCAGCAATTCCACTCCCAGGTATCTGCTGAAAATACCTGAAAACAGAGACTCCAACAAATATTAATACACCCTAGCTTGTAACAGCACCATTCACAATAGCCAAAAGACAGAAACAATCCAAACATCCATCAACGGGCTGGACATGGGGTCTCATGCCTGTAATCCCAGCACTTTGGGAGGCCAAGGTGGGCAGATCACCTGAAGTCAGGAGTTTGAGACCAGCCTGGCCAACATGGTGAAACCTTGTCACTACTAAAAATACAAAAATTAGCCCAGCGTGATGCCGCACGCCTGTAATCCCAACTACTCAAGAGGCTAAGACAGGAGAATCACTTGAACCCGGGAGGCAAAGGTTGCAGTGAGCCAAGATCATGTCACTGCACTTCAGCCTGTGCAACAGAGCGAGACTCCATCTCAAAAACAAAACAAATCAAAACAAACATCCATCAACAGATGAATGGATAAACAAAATATGGTCCTTCCACACAATGGGATACTATTCGGCCATTGAAATGGATGAAGTACTCACAGGTGTTAAAATGTGGATGAACCTCAAAAATATGATGCCAAGTGAGAGAAGCCAGACACAAAAGGCCATGTAGTGTGAGATTCCATTGACATGAAATGTCCAGAACAGGCAAATTAATAGAGACAGAAAGCAGATTGATGGTTGCCTGCGCTGGGAGAGGGGAGATGGGGAGTGTTTAATGGGTAGAGCTTCTTTTGAGGTGATGAAAATGTCTTGGAGGGCCAGGTGTAGTTCATGCCTGTAATCTCAGCACTTTGGGAGGCAGAGGCTGGACGATCACTTGAGCTCAGGAGTTCGAGACCAGCCTGTGCAAAACGGCAAAACCCCGTCTCTACAAAAAATAAGTTAGCCACCTGTGATGGCGTGTGACTGCGGTCCCAGCTACTGGGAAGGCTGAGGTGGGAGGATTGCTTGACCCCAGGAGCTGGAGGCCACACTGAGCCGTGATCGTGCCACTGCACTCCAGCCTGGGCAACAGAGTAAGACCTTGTCTCAAAAAAAATTAAATAAATAAATAAATAAATAAATAAATAAATAAATAAAAAGAAAATGTCAGCCAGGCGCGGGTGCTCATACCTGTAATCCCAGCACTTTGGGAGGCCAAGGCGGGCCGATCAAGAGGTCAGGAGTTCGAGACCAGCCTGAGCAACATGGGGAAACCCCGTCTCTACTAAAAATACAAAAATTAGCCAGGCGAGGTGGCGCATGCCTGTAATCCCAGCAACTTAGGAGGCTGAGGCAGGAGAATTGCTTGAACCTGGGAAGCAGAGGTTGGAGTGAGCTGAGATCGCACCACTACACTCCAGCCTGGACAATAGAGCAAGACTCCATCTCAAAAAAAAAAAAAAAGAAAGAAAAAGAAAATATCTTGGAACTAGACAGAGGTGGAAGTTACATGACACAGTGTTGGCCATTGAAGAACATGGGCTTGAACTACACAGGTCAAGTTTCTTCTGCCTCTGCCACCCCTGAGACAGCAAGACCAACCCCTCCTCTTCCTACTCAAGGTGAAGATGATGAGGATGAAGACCTTTGTGACTGATGATCCACTTATGTTTAATCAACAGCAAACATATTTTCTCTTCCTTGTGATTTTTGTAATAACATTTTCTTTTCTCTAGCTTACTTGATTGTAAGAAAACAGGATATGATAGATAGAACATGCAAAATATGTGTTCATCGACTGTTTTTTTTTGTTGTTTTTTGTTTTTTGTTTTTAGACAGAGTCTTGCTCTGCTGCCAGGCTGGAGTGCAGTGGTGCGATCTCAGCTCACTACAACCGCTGCCTCCCGGGTTCAAGTGATTCTCCTGCCTCAGCCTCCCGAGTAGCTGGGACTACAGGTGTGCACCACCATGCCCAGCTAATTTTTGTAATTTTAGTAGAGACAGAGTTTCACTATTTTGGCCAGGCTGGTCTTGAACTCCTGACCTCGTGATCCGTCTGCCTCAGCCTTCCAAAGTGCTGGGATTACAGGCATGAGCCACCGCACCCGGCCAACTGTTTATGTTGTTTCTTTGTTTGTTTGTTTGATACGGGGTCTCACTCTGTCACCCAGACTGAAGTACAGTGGTACAATCTTGGTTCACTGCAATCTCCGCCTCCTAGGCTGACGCAATCCTCCCACGTCACTCTCCTGAGTAGCTGAGACTACAGGTGTGCACCACCACACCCAACTAATTTTAATTTTTTTTTTTTAAATAAAGGTGAGGTTTTGCCATGTTGCCCAGACTGGTCTCCAACTCGGGGCTCAAGTAATCCACCCACCTCAGACTCCCAAAGTGCTGGGATTACAGGCATGAGCCACCACACCTGGTCAACAATTTATGTGATTGGTGGGCTATTAGTAGTTACGTTTTGGGGGAGTCAAAAGTTATACACAGATTTTCGACTGTGCAAGGAGTTAGAGTCCCTAAACACTATGTTGTTCAAGGGTAGACTGTATTTTATTTAATTAATTAATTTATTTATTTAGAGACAGGGTCTCACTCTGTCACCCATGCTGGAGTGCAGTGGCAAGATCATAGCTCAATGCAGCCTCCAACTCCCGGGCTCCAGCGATCCTCTCATCTCAGCCTCCTGAGTAGCTGGGGCTACAGGCATGCACCACTATACCTAGCTAATTTTGTTTTTGTTTTTGTTTTTGTTTTTTGAGACAGGTCTCTCTCTGTAACCCCGGCTGGAGTGCAGTGGCATGATCTTGGCTTACCACAGCCTCTGCCTCCTGGGCTCAAGCAATCCTCCTGCCTCAGCCTCCTGAGTGGCTGGGACTACAGGCATGCACTACCACATTTGGCAAATTTTTAAAAGTTTTTTTTTTTTTTTGTAGAGATGAGGTGTCACTATATTGCCCAGGCTGGTCTCGAACTCCTGAACTCAAGTGATTCTCCTGCCTCGGCCTTCCAAAATTCTGGGATTACAGGTAGGCACTACTGGGCTCAGCCTGTCAGATTTTAGTAATACAAATCCTGCATCCTAGGAACCCCTCCGTCCCAGGCAAACTGGGATGGTAGTCGCCCTGCATTGCTCCCCCTGATATGGTTTGGCTGTGTCTTCACCCAAATCTCATCTTGAATTGTAGCTCCCATAATTCACACGTGCTGTGGGAGGGACCTGGTGGGAGATAATTGAATCATGGGGGATAGTTTCCCCCATACTGTTCTCGTGGTAGTGAATAAGTCTCACAAGATCTGATGGTTTTATAAGGAATTTCCCCTTTCGCTTGGCTCTCACTCTGTCTTACCTGCCACCATGTAAGATGTGCCTCTTTGCTTCTCCTTTGCCTTCAGCCATGATTGTGAGGCCTCCCCAGCCATGTGGAATTGTGAGTCCATTAAACCTCTTTCCTTTGTAAATTACCCAGCCTCAAGTATGCCTTTATTAGTGGCATGAGAACAGACTAATACGGCCCCTGTGCCAGGAACCTCCCTGGGAGACAAGAAGAAAGAGCCAGCGAGGAGAGGAAGATCCTGAGACCAAGATTGATCAGGAACATGGCTGAACTATCTTGGATCAGTAAAACAGCCTTTCTCAGAGCCGAGGGACCAGAGGTTGACTGGTTTGGCATTTGCAAGAAATGCAGACTGTTGCATTTTTGCCAACAGGGGATGGATATTCTGAACACGTGGTCAGTTTCTTGTGGGTCTCCAGAGGGGAGTCCCTGCGGCCTCACCTGACCGGTGGTAGTGCTGCCACTGCTCCTGGGTGATGAGCCCCAGCCTCCGGGCCTCCTGGGCTCCAGAGCGTAGGACAGAAGTTAAGGTGGCCTCCTCTGGTTCACAGGCCTCCCCAGTACCTGGTGCCTGCAGGACGTAGGTGGGAGGAAACGCATTCTCGTCCCTCTGGAAGTATCGTGCCACCAGCTCCAGGTCACTTGGCCTGGCAGTCAGATGGTCCCTCAATACCTCCCACTCCTTCTCATCGATCCGCGAGGGAATCAGACAGGGGCCGTACTGATCACCGATGAGGGCCTGGCAGAGAGGAAGTCACAGATTCAAATCTCACTTTTTTTCTTCAGACAAGGTCTTGCTCTGTCGCCCAGGCTGGAGTGCGGTGGTACAACCATGGCTCACTGCAGCCTCAACCTCCTGGGTTTAAGTGATCCTCCCACTTGGACCACAATCACATGCCACCATACCCAGCTAATTTTTAAGTTTTTATTTTCGGTACAGATAGGGTCTCACTACATTACCCGGGCTGGTATTGAACTCCTGTACTCAAGGGATCCTCTCATCTCAGCCTCACAAAGTGCTGGGATTACTGTCGTGAGCCACTGTCCCCAGCCACAATTTACTATTCTTTCTCCAATTCAATATATAAGTAAATGACTCTAGCTGCTTTTGTGGGTCCTTATTTCCTTATGAGGGTTCTTATGCCATGTAAAACACTTGTATTAATAAATGTATATCGGCCAGGCGCGGTGGCTCACACCTGTAATCCCAGCACTTTGGGAGGCCAAGGCGGGTGGATTACCTGAGGTCAGGAGTTCAAGACTGGCCTGGCCAACATAGTGAAATCCCATATCTACTAAAAATATAAAAATTAGCTGGGCGTAGTGGTAGGTGCCTGTAATCCCAGCTACTTGGGAGGCTGAGGCAGGAGAATTGCTTGAACCCGGGAGAGGGAGGTTTCAGTGAACCGACATGGTGCCACCGCAGTCCAGCCTGGGCAACAGAGTAAGACTCTGTCTCAAAATAAATAAATAAATAAACAAACTAATAAATAAATAAATAAATATGTATGGTTTCTTTTCCTGTTAATCAATTTTATGTCAATTCAATTCTTCAATCCAACCAGCACTCTGAGAAGATGGAGGTGAAGTTGACCGCCCTTATAGCCTGGAGCCACCAGAAGTCACGAGGGTCAATAAAGAATTGTCCCCTAGGCTAGGCATGGTGGCTCACGCCTGTAATCCCAACACTTTGGGAGGCCAAGGCAGGAGGATCTCTTGAGCCCAGGAGTTAGAGACTAGCTGGGCAACATAGTGAGACCCCATATCTATAAAAATTAAAAATTATCAGGGTGTGGGGGTGTGCATCTGTAGTCTCAGGTACTCAGGAGGCTGAGGCTGGAGGACCGCTTGAGCTCAGGAGTTCGAGGCTGCAGTGAGCTGTGATCGCACCACTGCACTCCAGCCTGGGGGACAGAGTGAGACCCTGTCTCTAAAGAAACAAATAATGGGGCCAGGCAAGGTGGCTCACGCCTGTAATCTCAACACTTTGGAAGGCTGAGGTGGGCAGATCATTTGAGGTCAAGAGGAGTTCGAGACCAGTCTGGCCAACATGGTGAAACCCCTACTAAAAATACAAAAATTAGCCAGGCATGGTGGCGTGCAGGTGTAATCCCAGCTACTAGGGAGGCTGAGGCAGGAGACTTGCTTGAAGCCGGGAGGCGAAGGTTGCAGTGAGCCAAGATGGCACCACTACACTCCAGCCTGGGCGACAGAGCAAGACTCTGTCTCAAATAAAATAATAATAATAATAATAATAATAATAATAATAATAATAATAGGCAACATAGTGAGACCCTGTCTCTACAAAAAATTTTTTTAAAAATAGCCAGGCATGGTGGCACATGCCTGTAGTCCCAGCTGCTCGGGAGCCTGAGGCAAGAGAATCGCTTGAACCCTGGAGGCGGAGGTTGTGGTGAGCCGAGATTGCGCCATTGCACTCCAGCCTGGGCAACAAGAGCGAAACTCCGTCTCAAAATATATATACAATTTATCTCGATAATTAAGATTTAAATTAAATCTTGTGGTGGTTCTCCATTCTAGTTCTGGTCCTTCCAGGGAGAATCAGAGGTGAAGCAGGGCTAAGAGGACCCTAAGTCCAGCTCTCCCCTTTTATTATCATGGAAACAGGGGCCTGGGGATGGAACAGAGTTAGTCCAAGGTCACAGGATGGCTTAAGGGCTGACCACGGAGAAAGGGAGAGATCAGAGCTCAGTATGAAAGCGCCACATTCTGAGTACAGTCAGCCCACAGATATTTATTTATTTATTATTTATTTTATTTTTTTGAGATGGAATCTCCCTCTGTCGCCCAGGCTGGAGTGCAGTGGCACAATCTCAGATCACTGCAACCTCTGCCTCCTGAGTTCAAGTGATTCTCCGGCCTCAGCCTCCTGAGTAGCTGGGATTACAGGCGTGAGCCACCACGCCTGGCTAATTTTTATATTTTTAGTAGAGACAGGGTTTCGCCATGTTGGCCAGGCTGGTCTCGAATTCTTGATCTCAGGTGATCCGCCTGCTTCAGCCTCCCAAAGTGTTGGGATTACAGGCATGAGCCACTGCGCCTGGCCTATTTACTTTTTTTGAGACACAGTTTCACTCTGTCACCCAGGCTGGCGTGCAGTGGTACAATCTCAGCTCACTGCAACCTCTACCTCCCCAGTAGCTGGGACTACAGGCGCCCACCACCACACCCGGCTAATTTTTGTATTTTTAGTAGAGACTGGGTTTCACCATGTTGGCCAGACTGGTCTCAAACTCCTGACCTCAAATAATCTGCCCACCTCAGCCTCCCAACGTTCTGGGATTACAGGCAGGAGCCACCGGGCCCAGCCAACCTTGGAGTCTTAGCCAAAGAGGCAGGCATCAATCTAGAATCAGACCAAGGTCAAATGGCAGCTGTTAGAGTGCTAGGAAGAAAGGGTAAAACATGGGTCGTACGTAGCCTGGGGAGTCAGGGAAATTCACCTGAGCTGCAGAATAAGACATGAAAAGAGCCAGGCATGGTAGCTCATGCCTGTAATCCCAGCACTTTGGGAGGCCGAGGCAGGTGGATCACCTGAGGTCAGGAGTTCGAGACCAGCCTGGCCAACATAGCGAAACCCCATATCTATTAAAAATATAAAAATAATTAGCCGGGCATGGTGGTAGGTGCCTGTAATCCCAGCTACTTGGGAGGCTGAGGAAGGAGAATTGCTTGAACCCAGGAGAGGGAGGTTTCAGTGAACCGACATGGTGCCACTGCACTCCAGCCTGGGCGACAGAGTAAGACTGTCTCAAAAAAAAAAAAAAAAACACAAAAACAAAACAAAACAAAAAAACCAAAAACATGAAAAGGAGTTTATTAGGCAGAGTATCTTGCAGGCAGGGGGAGCAGCATGTGCAAAGGCCCTGTGGCAGGAAGAAGCATGGCTGCTGTAGGAAGGGCACAGCGACTAAGGCACTGGCAAGAAGAGGGACAGCGAAGGGGGATAAGGCTGTCCCCTCCCCCTTTTCTTTTCTTGAGTCAGAGTTTCACTCTTGTTACCCAGGCTGGAGTGTAATAGTGCAATCTTGGCTCACTGCAACCTCTGCCTCCCAGATTCAAGTGATTCTCCTGCCTCAGCCTCCCAAGTAGCTGGGATTATAGGCACCCACGACCACAGCTGGCTAATTTTTTGTATTTTTAGTAGAGACAGGGTTTCGCCATGTTGGCCAGGCTGGTCTTGAATTCCTGACCTCAAGTGATCCGCCTGCCTCGGCCTCTCAAAGTGCTTGGATTACAGGCGTAAGCCACTGCACCCGGCCCCCCTGCACAAGATTCTGTAGGGCATGGGAGGCCATAAAATTTTGGTCTTAATGCCAGAACCACACTTGGAGTAGGTGCAAACCGGAATCCAAAAGAGTTAACCTGGGCCAGTGCGGTGGCTCACACCTGTAATCCCAGCACTTTGGGAGAATAGGGTGGGCAGATCACTTGAGCTTAGGAGTTAGCCTGGGTAACGGAGCAACTCCATCTCAAAAAAAAAAAAAAAAAAAAAATAGAAGTCTGGGCGCAGTGGCTCACGCCTGTAATCCCAGCACTTTTGGAGGCCGAGGTGGGTGGATCACCTGAGGTCAGGAGTTCAAGAGCAGCCTGGCCAACATGGCGAAACCCTGTCTCTACTAAAAATATAAAAAAATTAGCCAGGTGTGGTAGTGGGCACCTGTAATCCCAGCTACTCAGGAGGCTGAGGCAGGAGAATTGCTTGAACCCAGGAGATGGAGGTTGCAGTGAGCCAACATGTTCCCACTGCACCCCAGCCTGGGTGACAGAGTGAGACTCCATCTCAAAATAATAATAATAATAATTTCTTTTCTATTCTTTTTTCTTCTTTTTTTCTTAAGAGACAGACTCTTCCTCTGGCACCCAGGCCAGAGTGCCACGGTACAATCATAGTTCACTGCCACCTCAGACTTCTGGGCTCAAGGGATTTTCCCATCTCAGCCTCCGGAGCAGCTAGGACTACAAGCATGAGCCACCACCCCAGCTAACTGTTCTTTTTTTTTTTTTAGAGATGGGGCCTTGTTACGTTGCCCAGGCTGGTCTTGAACTCCTGGGATCACACGATCCTCCGGCTTTAGCCTCTCAAAGCGCTGGGATTACAAGTGTGATCCAAGGTGGCCAGCCTCATCTCTTTATAACTAGTCAGTTTCAGGGATTCTGTTATAAGCAACAGAAAATAGACTAAGACACAAGCCAACCACAGACCAGAGGTTATATGAAGGAAACAGGTGGTAAAAAACAAAACAAAACAAACTGCTCCAATCTGTGGGATCAGAGCAAGGGAAATAGGAACAGTTCCCACCAGGAACAACTCTCAGAGCTCTGGAGACACTGGGGCTGCTGATAGCCCAAGAGACAGGAGCCTCTCTAAAAGGAAGTGCCATGGGGAGCTGTCCCCGGCCTCGGTGCTGCCTAATGACTTATTTACCAGAGAGACACCTCTCCAAGGGCCTCCAGCACATCTCTGATTTTTGTGGAAGGCGCCCCCACAAATCAGAGTCATGGAGCAGAATGATGCTGTGGCTCTTGGGCAGTAGAGGGGTGATGCCTGGTTCAAGATGGAAGCAGGAAGGAAGTCCAGCTCAGCTGGCCATAGGGCCTTTCTGGAAGGTCCCAGGGCCGGTTGGTCAGGCCCCAGAGAAGCTCAGAGATCACCCCTAGGTTCTCTGTGCAATCAGAAAGCTGCACTGTGCTTTTGGCTGCCTGCAATTTGGGTTGCAAAATCAGATTCCTCCTGGAGTTCTTTGTCTCCCTTCTTTTCCCTTTCTTCCTTAAAAAAATAATTTTTTTTTTTTTTTTTTTTTTTTTTGGTAGAGATAGGGTCTCACTATGTTACTCAAGCTGGTCTTGAACTCCTGGGCTCAAGTGATCCTCTCATCTCAGCCTCCTGAAGTGCGGGATTACAGGCATGAGCCACCATGGTCAGCCTCTCTCTCCTTTTTTTTTTTCTTGGAAACTCATTAAAATGATCATTGGGCTCCTTTGAAAAATTAAACTTAGGAGACTGGAAATTTAGGAGATTTACAACAGAATGTAGAGTTTTCCAAACATTAGGATATATTTTAAAGCAGTAATAAATAAAACAGAGTGGCACCAAATTACAATAGAAGTGTAGATCAAAAGAATAACTGTAATCCCAGCTACCCAGGAGGCTAAGGCTGGAGGATTGCTTCAGTCCGGGAGTTCAAAACCAGCCTGGGCAACATAGCAAGACCTTGTCTCAAAGAAAAAGGAGTGAAATATATATATATATAATATATAATGTATTATATATTATAGATAATGTATTATATATAATATATAATGTATACATTATATATTATACATATAATAGTATGTTATATGTTATTATATATTATATATTATATATCATTATATTATATATATATAATATATATATTATATATAGATTATATATATATGTTTTGCCCATTATTCCTGGCTCATAATTCCCAAAGCCCTTGTTACAGTCTTTCGTTATAATGTTGGGACACTTTAGGTCTCAGAAAATAGATCTCAGAAAATAGAATATCTCTCTGGCCCTCACCTTCTCCTTTTTTTTTTTTTTTTTTGACAGAGTCTCCGTCTGTTGCGCAGTCTGGAATGCAGTGGCACAATCTCGGCTCACTCCAACCTCTGCCTCCCAGTTTCAAATGATTATCCTGCCTCAGCTTCCCAAGTAGCTGGGATCACAGGCATGTGCCACCACGTCTGGCTAATTTGTGTATTTTTAGTAGAGATGGGGTTTCACCATGTTGCCCAGGCTGCTCTCAAACTCCTGACCTCAAATTGTCCACCTGCCTCAGCCTCCCAAAATGCAGAGATTACAGGAGTGAGCCACCATACCTGGCCATGGTACTTTTCTTTACTTTTTCCCTCTTTACTGTCCAGGACAGGGATCAGCACATTTCTCCTGGAAAAAGTCAGACAGTCAATACTTTTGGCTTTACAGGCCAGATGGTCTCTGTCAGAACGACTAAACTCTGCCATTATAGCTTGAAAGCAGGGCTAAACAATGTGTAAACAAGTGGACATGGCTGTGTGCCAATAAAGCTTTACTTACAAAGACAGGCAGCAGGCCACACTTGCCTTTCAGGCTATAGCTTGTTGGCCTCTGCTCTAGAATTTCTTTTCTTTTCTTTTCTTTTCTTTTCTTTTCTTTTCTTTTCTTTTCGAGATAGAGTCTTGCTCTGTCGCCCAGGCTGGAGTACAGTGGCATGATCTCGGCTCACTGCAACCTCTGCCTCCCAGGTTCAAGCAATTCTCCTGCCTCAGCCTCCCAAGTAGCTGGGATTACAGGCACGTGCCACCATGCCCAGCTAATTTTTTAGTAGATATGGGACTTCACTATGTTGCCCAGGCTGGTCTCAATCTCCTGACTTCATGATCCACCCACCTTGGCCTCCCAAAGTGCTGGGATTACAGGTGTGAGCCACCACGCCCGGCCCCCTGCTCTAGAATTTCTAAGGAAAATGTGATCGTTCTTGGATGTATCTGGAACTCGATGTAATAAATTAGGACTCAGGCCAGCCTGGGCAACATAGCAAGACCCATCTCAAAAAAAAAAAAAAACTTAAAACTAGACCAGGTGCATT
This sequence comes from Homo sapiens, assembly GCF_000001405.40. Lineage (NCBI taxonomy): Eukaryota > Metazoa > Chordata > Mammalia > Primates > Hominidae > Homo > Homo sapiens. The sequence continues at coordinate 16,737,543 of NC_000019.10, read as the reverse complement.
GGCTTATGCCTGTAATCCCAGAACTTTGGGAGGCCAAGGTGGGAGGATCACTTGTGCCTAGGAGTTCAAGACCAGCCTGGGCAACATAGTGAGACCCCATATTTCCAAAAAAATACTAGCCAACTGTGGCGGCACACACCTGTAGTCCCAGCTACTTGGGAGAACAAGGCAGGGAGATCAGAAGCCCAGGAGTTCAAGGCTGTAGTGAGCCATGATCTTGCCACTGCACTCTAGCCTGGGCTTTTTTGAGACTCTGTCTCAAAAAAGAAAAAGAAAAAAGACTCAGGAATATCATTCAATTTTAATAGCCAAAACCATTAATTGTGGACTGGAGATTGATTTTTTGATAGAAGGGGTGCAATTGGAAGAGAGAGGGGAGAAGTCCCCACGACCTGAAACCAGTGGGCACATGGAGGAAAAAAAATATCCCAAGACCCTGTGGGTTTCCACCTTTTCCATGGCTTTCCAGGATCCCAAAGTTCTATAGACATAAAGTGGAGGGGGTGGGGAAGGTGGGAGAAAGTCCAGATCAAATTCCAAGATTCCTTCTGGCTTCAACATTCTACTCTCCAAGCCACCTGCTGCTTCCATTTGACTGCTAATGTCTGGATCCCATTCAGCTCTGCAGAAAGAGTTCTGTGATTGATTAGTAATGTCTGCCACAGGCAGGCCATAGGGATAAGGTACGAAAGCAGAAACGGTACCTACTTCCCTCTGCTGATCAGTTTGTCTAGAAAGCAGGGGGCATATCCTGGAGGAGTAAGAGCTAACCCATTCCTCCCAAGACACTCACAACAAAAGCTGGCCCTATGGATGTTTTCCAACACCGGTCAACCTCCTCCAAGCAGAGTTCTGTGGTCAAGTGGTCAGTGGCTTCAATGTTCCGAATACCCCACCTCAGATCAACGACCTGGGAAATAGAAACACAAGTTTGTCAGAGAGGTGGCATGACAGGTGATTTGTTTTTTCAATCCCTTTTGACAAAGCAGAAAGTTTCTTTCAAAAATTTTTGACAGCCTCTTCCTGTAGGGGGATGTCTGGATTAAAAGAACTTGAACCAAATTCATAACCTCAGTATAATCATGAGAAAAATAACAGACAGACCCAGACTAGAGGGAAGGGCGTTCTTCAAGATGCCCTGCCAGTCAAAGCCAAGCATGGTGGTGGGCACCTGTAGTCCCAGCTACTCGGGAGGCTGAGGTAGGAGGATCAATTGAGCCCACAAGGCAGAGGTTGCAGTGAGCTCTTATTGTACTACTGCATGCCAGCCTGGACAGCAGAGCCAGGCTCTGTCAAAAGAAAGAGAGAGAGGAAGGTAGGAAGGAAGGAAGGAAAGAAGGAAGGAAGGAAAGAAGGAAAGAAGGAAAGAAAAAGACTGCCAAGGTCATGAGAAATAAGGTGACTGAGAAATTGACACAGACCAGAGGAGACTAGGGCAATAAGACAACGAAATGCAATGGGGTACCCTGGATGGGGTTCTTCACCAGAAAAGACTTAGATAGAAGAGCTGGCAACATTTGAATAAAGTCAGGAGGTTAACAGTCATGTACCAATGTTGATTTATCTTTTTTTTTTTTTTTGAGTTGGAGTCCTGCTATGTCACCCAGGCTAGAGTGCAGTGGCGCAATCTTGTCTCACTGGAAAATCCTTCCTTCCTTCCTTCCTTCCTTCCTTCCTCCTTCCTTCCTTCCTTCCTTCCTTCCTTCCTTCCTTCTTTCCTTCCTTCCTTCCTTCCTTCCTTCCTTCCTTCCAGTGGCATGATCTTGGCTCATTGTAAATTTTGCCTAATGGGTTCAAGCGATTCTTATGCCTCAGTCTCCTGAGTAGCTGGAACTACAGGCGCACACCACCATGCCTGGCTAATTTTTTGTATTTTTAGTAGAGATAAGGTTTCACCATATTGGCCAGGCTGGTCTCGAACTCTTGACCTCAGGTGATCCACCCACCTCGGCTTCCCAAAATGCTGGGATTACAGGCATGAGCCACTGCCCCCAGACTGATTTCTTTCTTTCTTTCTTTCTTTTTTTTTTTGGTCAGGGGGACAGAGTCTTGCTCTGTCACCCAGGCTGGAGCTTAGTGGTGCACTCTCAGCTCACCACAACCTCCGCCTCCCGAGTTCAAGCAATTCTCCTGCCTCAGCCTCCCGAGTAGCTGGGATTACAGGCGTGCACCACCACGCCTGGCTAATTTTTTTGTATCTTTATTAGAGATAAAGTTTTGCTATGTTGGCCAGGCTGGTCTCAAACTCCTGATCTCAAGTGAACTGTCTGCCTCAGCCTCCCAAAATGTTAGGATTACAGGCACGAGCTACTGCACCTGTCCTCAAAGTTCATTTCATAGTTGTAACAACATAGTTGGTTGTGCTGTGGTTAGGTAAAACGTTAGGAGACACAGAGTGTGGGGTGTATGGGAACTCCGTACTGTCCATGCGTTTCCTGTAAGCCTAAATTCCAAATTCAGAAGTTTATTTATAAACATTTAGTCGGGCACGGTGGCATGTGCCTATAATCCCAGCTACTCTGGAGGCTGAAGCATGAGGATTGCTTGAACCCAGGAGTTCAAGACCAGGTTGGGCAATGTAGCAAGACCTCATCTCTAAAAAAATAAAAATTAAGAAATAAAAAAGCAAGTTAATTAAAATAAAAAAATTAGAACAGAGGCAGGGCAAAGTGGCTTACCCCTATAATCCCAGCACTATGGGAGGCTGAGGGAGGAGGATCTCTTGAGGCCGGGAGTTTGAGACCAGCCTGAACAATATAGGGAGACATTGTGTCTACAATAAATAAATAAATAAATAAATAAATAAATAGCCAGGTGTAGTGGTGTGTGCCTGTAGTCTCAGATACTTGAGAGGCTGAGACAGGAGGATCACCTGAGCCCAGAAAGCTGCAGTGAGCTGTGATTGCATGCCTGCACTCCAGCCTGGGTGACAGAGCGACACCCTGTTGCAAGAAAAACAGAAAAAGAAAAAAGAAAAAAAAAAAGAAAGAAAATCTTTTTTTTTTTTTTGAGATGGAGTCTTGCTCTATCACCCAGGCTGGAGTGCAGTGGCGCAATCTTGGCTCACTGCAAGCTCCGCCTCCCGGGTTCACGCCATTCTCCTGCCTCAGCCTCCGGAGTAGCTGGGACTACATGCCCGGCTAATTTTTTGCATTTTTTAGTAGAGATGGGGTTTCACCGTGTTAGCCAGGATGGTCTCAATCTCCTGACCTCGTGATCTGCCTGTCTCGGCCTCCCAGAGTGCTGGGATTACAGGCATGAGCCACCTCGCCCTGACAGAAAAGCTTTTTTAAAAAAGGAACTTGGCCATTTTCAAACTGTTGCTTTGAAAGCAAGGACGTGTCCACACTTGTTCACAAAGCTTTCCTTGCAAAGGAGGGTGTTTAGTTTGGCCAGCACTGGACGTACCAAGGTCTCCTTGGCAACCGCACGCTTGCAGTTCATTTGTGCCTGCTCGCCATGGGGAGGCTGGGCAGAACAGCTCAGTTCAGGTAGGCAAAGCTGACCCTGTGGAAGGCTGGGGTGACAGGGAGACAAAGACAACTCGGAACAGTCCCTGCCTCCCTGAATTCTTTAGCACCGAGAGAAAGACACATAGATTCTTAAGACAAGTGGTGAGAGGCCAGCAGTACTCAATGTGACTGGAGGAAGAAAGGGGGAGGAACAATGAGTTAGAGGAGCAGGAAAGGAAAAGGGGTCAGGAGCCAGCCTCTGGAAGGAGCTTGTGCTTCTGGAGGGACCGCCGTCTCCCGATGTGCGTGTGGAGGATGTTGACAGCATCCGCGTCAGAGGACGGGCATGGGCATTAAACAGAAAAGCTTGACCATTTCATCAGCTCTCAGTGCTGATGCTTCCATAGTGCCTTTGACATTGAACTATGTCTCATGATCAATGGTGGGCAGAGTGGAATTTCCAGCACTGCTTCTTTCTTAGTAATAAATATACAAACCATAACGATCATGCATCTTTTTCCTTTTCTTTTCTTTTTTACCCAAAGAGCCACTTGATTTTTTTTTTTTTTTTGAGACAGAATCTCATTCTGTTGCCTAGGCTGGAGTGCAGTGGCGTTATCTCGGCTCACTGCAACCACCACCTCCCAGGTTCAAGCAATTCTCCTGCCCCAGCCTCCCGAGTAGCTGGGATTACAGGTGCGTGTCACCACATCTGGGTAATTTTTGTATTTTTAGTAGAGAGGGGGTTTCACCATGTTGGCCAGGCTGGTCTCGAACTCCTGGCCTCAGGTGATCTACCCGCCTTGGCCTCCCAAAGTGCTGGGATTACAGGCATGAGCCACTTCGCCCGGCCCAGATTTTTTTTTTTTTAAAGACAGCATCCCAATCTGGCACCCAGGCTAGAGTGCAGTGGCTCCATCACAGCTCACTGCAGCCTCAAACTCCTGGGTTCAAGTGATCCTCCCACCTCAGCCTCCCCAGTAGCTGGGACTACAGGTGGGCGTCACCACACCCAGCTCATTTTTTTAATTTTATAGAGACGGGATCTTGTTATATTACCCAGACCGGTATCAAACTCCTGGCCTCCAGCAATCCTCCTGCCTTGGCCTCCCAAAGCACTGGGAATACAGGTGTTAGCCACTGTGCCCGGCCTCATCTTTTAACCAAATGGGACTTTGGTGCAATGAATCATTCTCATAAGCAGCAAGGAGGCAGCCCTCAAGTTAAGCTGAGACTCCAAAGATGTTCATCAGTTTCCACAGGGAAATGTGCAGGCAGAAACATCCCCGGTTAGCCAGGGATAGCGCTGCATGTCTGTAGTTTCAGCTCCTCAGAAGGCTGAGACAGGAGGATCCCTTGAGCCCAGAAGCTCAAGGTTGCAGTGAGCTGTGAGATCACACCACTGCACTTTTTCACTTTTTCTTTTTTTTTTTTTTTGAGATGAAGTCTTGCTCTGTCATCCACTGGACCTCATCTGAAAAAAAAAAAAAAATTCCCTAGCCAGGGATTGGTACAAGGAGACAGCATTAGGGGCTCCTACTGTTTTGGGACTGTGCCAAACAGGTACACCATCAGCGTTCTAGAAAAAGGCATGTCCAACCTCCATGCCCATCCCCCATATCGCAAAGCCCTCTTATACTCCTCCTGAAGCCCAGTACGAAGAGGGCCAGGAAGCTCTGAAGGCAAGACAAAAACAGCAGCAACAACAACAGACAGTTAAATGACATGTCCAAGGTCACACTGCAAGGGACACAGCGATGAATCTGTGTTCAAAAGCATTCACTCCTACTCACTTTTCTACACCACCTGCCATGCTAACCAAGCACGGTGCACATGGCTGTAACCCCTCCATCTGCCTTTTTTTTTTTTTTTTTTGAGACGGAGTCTCACTCTGTCACCCAGGCTGGAGTACAGTGGCTTGATCTCAGCTCACTGCAATCTCTGCTTCCCAAGTTCTGGCGATTCTCCTGCCTCAGCCTCCTGAGTAGCTGGGACTACAGGCATGAGCCACCACGCCCGGCTAATTTTTATATTTTTAGTAGAGACAGAGTTTCATCATGTTGCCTAGGCTAGTCTCGAGTTTCTGACCTCAAGCGATCTGCCCGCCTTTGCCTCCCAAAGTGCTGGGATTACAGGTGTCAGCCACCGCGCCCAGTCCCACCTGCCTTTTTATAGTCCCAAGGATTTTTATCTCCAGGGCCAGATCTCCAGGACCAACTACAGAATCTACGGGGCTCGGTGCAAAAAGAACATGTGGGACCTTTGTTTAAAAATCACTGTGAATTTTAAAACTCAACAGTAAAGCATTAAAAGAGTATGGATAGAGGGGCGTGGTGGCGGGCACCTGTAATCCCAGCTACTCAGGAGGCTGAGGCGAGAGAATCGCTTGAACCCTGGAGGCCAAGGTTGCAGTGAGCTGAGATTGCACCATTGCACTCCAGCCTGGGTGGCAGAGCGAGACTCTGTCTCAAAAAAAAAAAAGCATGGGGCTGGGCTCAGTGGCTCACGCCTGTAATCCCAGCATTTTGGGAGGCCGAGGCGGGCAGATCACAAGGTCAAGAGATCAAGACCATCCTGGCCAACATGGTGAAACCCCGTCTCTACTAAAAATACAAAAATTAGCTGGGCGTGGTGGCGCACGCCTGTAGTCCCAGCTACTCAGGAGGCTGAGGCAGGAGAATCGCTTGAACCCGGGAGGCAGAGGTTGCAGTGAGCCGAGATCGCACCACTGCACTCCAGCCTGGCGACAGAGCAAGAACTACGTGTCAAAAAAAAATAAAAAAAGCATGGAGCCCGGAGTGACTTCCAGTTACCTCAAACATCAAGCCGTGCCTCTGGCAGAAGGTCTGGCACTTCAGGGTAGGCAGTGCTCTGCAGGGCTTCCCTCTCTGCATCCATATCTGCAAGGAAGGGCATGGAGGGTATTAGTGGAAAGGACTCAGAACTCTTCCCAGCCTCATAGCTCTGCTTTTATTTTATTGATTTACTTTTGTCTTTTTTCCCCTTTTTTGTGGAGAATGGGATCTCGCTATGTTGCCCAGGCTGGTCTCGAGTTCCTGGCCTCAAGAGATTCTCTCTCCTCTGCCTCCCAAAGTGTTGGGATTACAGGCGTGAGCCACTGCGCCTGGCCTGCGGCTAAAGCCTCATCTGCTGCCACCATCTCAAAAAAAAAAAAAAAAAGAAAGAAAGAAAAATAAAAAAAATCGCAATAGGCAGTTATTTTATTTATTTTGTGGAGTCTCCTTATGTTTCCTAGGCTGGTCTTGAACTCCTGGACTCAAGCCATCTTCCCACCTCAGCCTCCCAAAGTGTTGGGATTACAGACATGAGCCACCATACCCAGCCCTGTATATATTTTTAAAAAAATGTTTTTTAAGGGACAGGTCTCACTCCATCACCCAGGCTGGAGGGCAGTGGTGCAATCATAGCTCACTGTAACCTCAAACTCCTAGCATCAGTCAATCCTCCCACCTCAGCCTCCTGAGTAGCTGGGATTATAGAGGGGCACCACCACAGCCATATATATTTTTTTAAATTTTTTGTAGAGAAGGAGTCTCACTATGTTTTCTAGGCTGGCCTCAGACTCCTAGGCTCAAGCAATCCAATTGCTTTGGCCTCTCAAAGCACTGGGATTACAGGAGTGAGCCACTGTGACCAGTGGATTATATCTTGTTTGCCATTGTACCCCTTATGCTTAACCAAGGGGCACAATAAATAAATACATAAATAGATTTTGGGTTTTTTTTTTGTTTTTTTGTTAGTTTGTTTTTTGAGACGAAGTCTTACTCTGTCACCAGGCTGGAGTGCAGTGGCGTGATCTCAGCTCACTGCAACCTCTGCCTCCTGGGTTCAAGCAATTCCCCTGCCTCAGCCTCCCAAGTAGCTGGGATTACAGGCGTGCACCACCACACCTGGCTAATTTTTTGTGTTTTAGTAGAGATGGGGTTTCATCATGTTGGCCAGGATGGTTTCAATCTCCTGACCTTGTGATCTGCCCACCTCGGCCTCCCAAAGTGCTGGGATCACAGGCGTGAGCCACTGCGCCCGGCCCATAAATAGTTTTAAAAAGTACTTGCAGTTTGTGAAGAGTGCTATTGAAAACACACGGGTGGGCTGGGCTAGAGAATAACAGGGACAAATCTTTCTTTCTTTTCCTTCTTTCCTTCCTTCCTTCCTTCCTTCCTTCTCTCTCTCTTTCTTTTCTTTTCTCTTTTTTTATTTTTTGAGACAGAGTCTCGCTCTGTGCCCAGGCTTGAATGCAGTGGCACAATCTCGGCTCACTGCAACCTCCGCCTACCAGATTCAAGGGATTCTCCTGCCTCAGCCTCCTGAGTAGCTGGGATTACAGGCGCACACCACCACACTGGGCTAATTTTTGTATTTTTAGTAGAGACGGGGTTTCACCATGTTGGCCACGCTGGTCTCAAACTCCTCACCTCAGGTGCCTCGGCCCCCTAAAGTACCGGGATTACAGGTGTGAGCCACTGCACCCAGCCTATTTTTTTTTTTTTTTTACTTTTTGTAAAGATGGGGCCTCGCCATGTTGCTCAGGCTGGTCTTGAACTCCTGAGCTCAAGCAATCTGCCCACTTCAGAGGGACAAATCTACTTTACATCGAGGGGCAGAGAAGGGCTCCCTGAAGACGGGGTGTTTGCACTGAGACCCAAAGGATCAGAATAAGAAGGAGAAGAGGGAACCGTGAGAGTGATAGTCCTGATATGGGCCCCAGGGCCTTGTGGGTTCCCGGATCTATGGATTCTGGTGTGGATATGACAGGTAGACAAGGGAGTGACCACATGAGATAAGGTTGGGGAGGTGAGCAGGGTCCGGTCACACAGGGCCATGCAGCTGTGGCAAGGTTCTGGCAGTTTTTAAGCCTGACACACAGTACATTGGTCATAAATATTAGTTGTAACATCGTATGCCACTCACAGCAACTCTATCAAGTTGGGTTCTCAGTCTGGCTTCTCGAGGAGGAAACAGAGGGTCCAGGAGGCTCCCACATGAGTCACTACCTGAGCTGCATTCACATCATAGAGGTTTCCCAATTCTCCCACCTCGGCCTCCCAATGTGCTGGGATTGCAGGTGTGAACCACCACACCTGGCCCACAAGCTGCAATTACTTATTTTTTTTTTTTTTTTTTTTTGAGATGGAGTCATGCTCTGTTGCCCAGGCTGGAGTGCAGTGGCATGATCTCGGCTCGCTGCAAGCTCCGCCTCCTGGGTTCACGCCATTCTCTTGCCTCAGCCTCCCGAGCAGCTGGGGCTACAGGCGCCCGCCACCACGCCTAGCTAATTTTTTGTATTTTTAGTAGAGACAGGGTTTCACTGTGTTAGCCAGGATGGTCTCAATCTCCTGACCTCGTGATTCGCCCGCCTCGGCCTCCCAAAGTGCTGGGATTACAGGTGTGAGCCACTGCACCCGGCCTGCAATTACTTAATTTATGTGTCCATTCCCCGAACCAGGATGTAATTTCTATGAGAGCACATATACATGGAGTGGTGTGGCCAGGCATGGTGGCTCACGCCTGTAATCCCAGCACTTTGGGAGGCTGAGTGGGGCAGATGACCTGAGGTCAGGAGTTTGACACCAGCCTGGTCAGCATGGTGAAACCCCATCTCTACTAAAAATACAAAAATTAGTCAGACATGGTGGCAGGTGGCTGTAATCTCAGCTGCTCAGGAGGCTGAGGCAGGAGAATCCCTTGAACCTGGGAGACAGAGGTAATAGTGAGTCCAGATCGCACCACTGCACTCCAGCCTGGGCGACAGAGTGAGACTCCATCTCAGAAAAAAAAAAAAAAAAAAAGAGCAGTGACCCAGCAAATGTTCCATAATACTCTGTTCTCCAAAACAAATTTTTTTAAATCCGATTTGTATTTTCTGCCAATTTCCGTGGTTTAAATGCTCCACCCTGGTTAATATCAAGTTGCCAACTGACTTCACTGAATGTGGAGTTAGGCAGTGCTGTGTAGCTGCATGCTATTATCTAATATCTCCTTTTTGAGTTTTTGGTTTATTTTGTTTCTTGAGACAGAGTCTTGCTCTGTTGCTCAGGCTGGAGTGCTATGGCGCGATCTTGGCTCACTGCAACCTCTGCCTCCCAGGTTCAGGGATTCTCCTGCCTCAGCCTCTCAAGTAGCTGGGATTACAGGCACCCACCACTACGCCCAGCTAATTTTTTGTATTTTTAGTAGAGACAGGGTTTCGCCATGTTGCCCAGGTTGGTCTTCAACTCTTGACCTCAAGTGATCCACCCGCCTCAGCCTCCCAAAGTGCTGGGATTACAGGCGTGAAACACAGTACTTGGTTCACGTCTAGGTCTCTTAAAGGACTCCATGAGCTGTGCCCATTGCCCTGACACCGCCTGAGCGTGCCAACCTGCCTCTGAGCCCCCATCCATACCCTGCACCTTACCTGAGACTGTGGAACTGATGAAGATGGTCACACCGCTGGGTGGAGGTGCTGGGAGGGGGCCGGCTTCACCCCGCAGAAGCCGCCGGCGGGTACTCGGGCTGAGAGGGCCCACGCTCATTGCCGCCCACCCACCAAGATGACCCTTCCCCTGGAAAGGGCGTGGGGCTCAGAGACCTCACGCCAGCAGCCAGGCAGCCTTCCTGGTAGGCCAGCCGGGCAGGGCCATCAGGAACGGGGAGCCAGTTTCACCTTCCGAGGCTCCCCCAGTGACCTGCAGCCCCCACCACCTCCAGTGCCTCTGGGGAGCTGAACCAGCTCCTCTCCACTGCTTTCCTTGGTCTGCAAGCACTCATGGAGGGATATTAGACAGTGGCCTCCCCGCCAAGACCTCTGGATGTTGGCTCCTCTAGGCACGGGAGTCCTCTTCCCAGCTCCTCGTCCTCAGAGCGCAGTAGTCACCATAGCAACTATGGTTTCCCAGTGCTGGGCATTGGGGCCCGGGGACCAGCCAACCTCTTGAACACCTGGGTCCCCTGGGGCCTACCCGTGTAAGTTGAGCCTGAGCCCAGGTGTGCAGAGGAGAGGCTGGGAGCCATGCCCAGCCCCACAGCCCAGACAAGAAAGACAACCGCTTGACGAAAGTCCCACCCCATTCTGCCCTTCCCACCCCCTCCCACGAGGCAAAGTCCTTCCACGTCCAGGCACCGCACATACTATTTCAACCAGCAGTTCTCACTTGGGGACCATTCAGCCCCCAGGGGACACTTGCAATGTCTGGAGACCTTTCCAGTTGCCACGACTGGAGGATGCTACTGGCATCACGTGGGTGGAGACCAGGGATGCTGCTCAACATCTAACAATGCCCAGGAAGCCCCCACAAAGAATGATCTGTTCCCAGTTGTCAGCAGTGTTGAAAAACTGAGAAACCAGTTTTAGGCCAGGTGCAGTGGCTCACACCTATAATCCCAGCACTTTGGGAGGCCGAGGTGGGTGGATCACTTGAGGTTAGGAGTTCAAACCAGCCTGGCCAACATGGTGAAACCCTGTCTCTATGAAAAATACAAAAATTAGCCAGGTGTGGTGGCGCAGGCCTGTAATCCCAGCTACTTGGGAGGCTGAGGCAGGAGAATCGCTTGAACTCAGGAGGTGGAGGTTGCAGTGAACTAAGATCACACCACTGCACTCCAGCCTGGTGACACAGCAAGACACCATCTCAAAAGAAAAAAGAAAAAAAGAAAGAAAACAGTTTAAAATCAATTCTAGTAGCTGAGCACAATGGCTTGTTCCAGTAATCCCAGCTATTCCAGAGGCCAGGGCAGGAGGATCTCTTGAGCCAGCAGTTCAAGGCCAGCCAGGGCAACACAGTGAGCCCTCATCTCTGCAAAAAAAAGTTTTTTAAAAATAGAGCCATGGGCCAGGAGCTGTGGCTCACGCCTGTAATCCCAGCACTTTGGGAGGCCGAGGTGGGCAGATCACCTGAGGTCAAGAGTTCGAGACCAGCCTGACCAATGTGGAGAAACCCTGTCTCTTCTAAAAATACAAAATTAGCCGGGTTTGGTGGTGCATGCCTGTAATCCTAGCTACTCCGGAGGCTGAGGCAGGAGAATCACTTGAACCTGGGAGGCAGAGGTTGCAGTGAGCCAAGATCGTGCCACTGCACTCCAGCCTGGGCAACAAGAATGAAACTCTGTCTAAAAAAAAAGCAAAAAAAAACAAACAAAAAAAAAACAATGTAGCTATGGCATGATGGTGCCTGCCTGTTGTCCCAGCTACTTGGGAGGCTGAGATGGGAGGATTGCATGAGCCCAAGAGTTCAAGGCTGCTGTGAGCTACAATCACGTGCCTGTAATCCCACCGCTTTGGGAGGCCAAGGTAGATGGATCACTTGAGGTCATGAGTTCAAGACCAGCCTGGCCAACATGGTGAAACCCCATCTCTACTAAAAATACAGAAATAAGCCAGGCATGGTCCTGAGCCCCTGTAGTCCCAGCTACTTGGGAGGCTGAGGCGGAAGCATCGCTTGAACCTGGGAGGCGGAGGTTGAAGTGAGCCAAAATCATGCCACTGCATTCCAGCCTGAGTGACAGAGGGAGACTCCATCTCAAAAATAAATAAATAAATAAATGAACAATAAAATTAAATAAATAAATAAACTCTAGCTAGTTATCTTTGCCTGCAGGAGGTTTGTTGTTAGGTGATACAGAGTCTTGCTCTGCCACCCAGGCTGGAGTGCAGTGGTGTGATCATAGCTCACTGTAGCCTCGATCTCCTGGGCTCAAGTGATCCTCCCATCTCAGCCTCCCAAGTAGCTGGGACTACAGGTGTGCACCATCACGTCTGGTTAATTAAAAAAAAAAAAATTTGTGTAGAGTCTGGGCCCAGTGGATCATGCCTATAATCCCAGCACTTTGGGAGTCCAAGACAGGCGAATCATTTGAGCCTAGGAGTCTAGGATCAGCCTGGCCAACCTTGCTTCTACTAAAAATACAAAAATTAGCTGGCCATGGTGGTGCACGCCTGTAGTCCCAGCTATTCGAGAGGCTGAGGCATGGGAATTGCGTGAACCTGGGAGGCAGAGAGGTTGCAGTGAGCCAAGATCATACCACTGCACTCCAGCCTGGGCGACAGAGTGAGACCCCGTCTCAAAAAATAAAAAAATAAAAAATAAATAAAAATTTTTGGCTAGGCATAGTGGCTCACGCCTGTAATCCCAGCACTTTGGGAGGTCGAGGTGGGTGGACCACCTGAGGTCAGGAGTTCCAGACCAGCCTGGCCAACATGGTGAAACCCCATCTCTACTAAAAATACAAAAAATTAGCTGGGTATGGTGTCACATGCCTGTAGTCCCAGCTACTTGGGAGGCTGAGGCAGGAGAATTACTCGAACCTGGGAGGCAGAGGTTGCATGAGCCAAGATGGCGCCATTACACTCCAGCCTGGGCAATAGGAGCGAAACTTCGTCTCAAAAAAAAATATTTTTTTTGTAGAAATGGGGTCTCACTGGGTTGAGTTCAAGGCTGGAACTTGGCAGGCTCCTGCCAACAAACGATCCTCCCACCTGAGCCTCCCAAAGTGCTGATATTACAGGTGTGAGGCCCCACGTCCAGCCATGATCTGACATTATTGAAAATGCCCTGGCGACCTGAATCCTGCCCAACCTCTTCACAACAGTAGCAAACCACCGCTGGAGGCAGAGAGAACACGCGTATACCTTGGCATCCGTGAGCCTGGTTGGAATGCCGGCTCCTCCATCGCCCTCCTGGAGGACTTAAGCAAGTGGTCTCCCTCCCAGGGCATCGGCCGCATGGTCTGTGAAATGAAAGTAAGAGCCATTCAGGGCGCTTGTCTCTGCAGCAATATATGAGGTAGTGCAATGTGTTAGCAGATCAAAATTAATGCCGAAAATATCCACCTTGAACAAAACATCAACAAGGCGGTTGGGAGATAGGTCTATAAAATGCCCAGCATTAGTGAGCTCTCAACAAAACAGTGATATTGATTCTACTGGGTCAACTGTATTTTCAAACCTTTGTGTCTTTGCTCTTACTATCCTCTCTGCCTTGACTTCCCTTCCCTGCCTTGTCCACCCAGGACAGACTCTGCCATTGAGGGATTCCCCAAGAGCACCCTCAAGCTCCATGATTCCTTAGGACTCAGAGAATTTAAAAATGGTGTCATAGCCCAGGCGAGATGGCTCACGCCTGTAATCCCAGGACTTTGGGAGGCCAAGGCGGGCCGATCACTTGAGGTTAGGAGTCGGAGACCAGCGCGGCCAACATGGTGAAACCCCGTCTCTACTAAAAATACAAAAATTAGCCGGGCATGACGGTGCACGTCTGTAATCCCAGCTACGTGGGGGGCTCAGACACGAGAATCGCTTGAACCAAGGAGGTAGAGGTTGCAGTGAGCTGAGATCACACCACACCCAGCCTTGGCAACAGAGGGACAGTCCATCTCAAAACAAAACAAAACAAAACAAAACAAAACAAAACAAAACAGAAAAAGCTGTAAAATAGGTACTCATAGGTTATGATGAATGGATATAAATTAAAATCAGCCAAGGGGCCAGGCACAGTGGCTCATGCCTGTAATCTCGGCACTTTGAGAGGCTGAGGTGGGGATTGCTTGAGCCCAGGAGTTCAAGACCAGCCTGGGCAACACAGGGAGACAGTGTCTCTACAAAATAAAAAAATTATCCAGGGCCAGACTTGGTGGCTCACGCCTGTAATCCCAGCACTTTGGGAGTCCAAGGGTTCAAGACCAGCCTGGGCAACATGGTGAAACCCCATTTCTACAAAAAATTTAAAAATTAGCCAGATGTGGTGGTGCACACCTGTAGTCCCAGCTATTCACAAGGCTGAGGTGAGAGGACCACTTGAGCCTGGGAGGCAGAAGTTGCAGTGAGCCAAGATCGCAACACTGTACCCCAGCCTGGACAACAGAGCGAGACCCTATCTCAACAACAGCAAAAAAATCAGCTGGACATGGTGATTCGTGTCTGCGGTCCTAGCTACTTGGGAGGCTGAGATGGGAGAATCACTTGAGCGCAGGAGGTTGAGGCTGCAGTGAGCCACCACTGGGCAACAGAGAGAGACTCTGCCTCAAAAAATAAAATAAGATCAGGCACAGGAAGAGGCATCCAAGGCAGGGTCCAGAAGAGACCAGGTGTGAGATTTCAGTCGTCCCCTCCCAGTGAAGTTGTATGGCCAGCACTTAAATCTCCCAGCAGTGATGTGTGACAACATGAACAGTTTGCCACCAACTAGGAAAGCTCTCCTGAGCCTTGGTGTCCGGGGTTTTTATTGGGAGTTGGTCACGTAGACATGATTGACCACCAGCATAGCTGACCTTAATCCCCAGCCCCTCCAGAGGTCAACCAATATCACGTGACTTAAAGCTCCCTCTCTAAGTCATGTTGTTAGTATCTAGTGTGAGCCAAGGCTCTCCAGGTAAACAAAGACACCCTTATCCCATTCCAAGGGCTTAGAGGTCACTTCCCAGGAGCAGGTCAAGAGCTACAGCTTTAATGTGTGGGGTATGGACAACTCAGGCCTGCTGAGTTAATTCTTTTTTAAGAGTGAGGGTCGGCCAGGCACAGTGGCTCACATCTGTAATCCCAGCACTTTGGGAGGCCAAGGTGGGCGGATCGCCTGAGGTCAGGAGTTTGAGACCAGCCTGGCCAACATGGAGAAACCCCGCCTCTACTAAAAATACAAAATTAGCTGGGCGTGATGGTTCATGCCTGTAATCCCAGCTACTCAGGGAGGCTGAGGCAGGAGAATTGTTTGAACCCAGGAAACGGACATTGCAGTGAGCTGAGATCGCACCATTGCACTCCATCCTGGGTGACAGAGCAAGACCGTCTCAAAAAAAAAAAAAGTCAAGTCTTGCTCTGTCGCCCAGGCTGGAGTGCAGTGGCACTATTGTGGCTCACTGCAGCCTCCATCTCCTGTCCTCAAGTGATCCTCCCACCTCAGCCTCCTGAGTAGCTGGGATTAACAGGCACACACCACCATGCCTAGCTAGTTTTTTAGTTGTTGTTGTTGTTGTTGTTTTTTTCAAGAGACAGGGTCTCACTCCATTGCCCAGATTAGAGTGCAGTGACATGATCATAGCTCACTGCAGCCTTGAACTCCTGGACTCAAACCATCCTCCTGCCTCGGCGTCTCAAGTAGCTGGAACTATAGGCATGTGCCACCATGCTAGGCTTAAGTTTTTTATTTTTTGTAGGGACGGGAGTCTCACTGTGTTGCTCAGGCTGTTCTTGAACTCTTGGCCTCAAGCCATCCTCCTGCCTCAGCCTCCCAAAGTGCTGGGATTAGAGGCATGAGCCACCACGGGCAGCCAGAGTTAATTATTTTCTCAGCAGTAAAGGCCCAGTAAATAGAGTTGAGCGTCACCATTCAACAGATGAGAAAACTGCAGCTTAGAGTGAGAACTTTCTCACCAGCTAGAAGGGCAGAGTCAGGGAGCGAGTGCGGGTCAGACCCCCTCTCCTCCACGGACCCCGCCCCCATAAACCCAGCCCGGCCCCCCAGCCACCTTCCCACAACTCACCTGGATACCACAGTTTAGCTGCAGCCTGCTGATCTCACTGAGGCCCCAGTTCTGGGTCCCAGCATCTCTCCAGACCTCTCTTAGCACCTCCTCCCCAATCTTCTGATCTTGAATTTGCCTCCACCACAATTTCTGTTCCTTCTCTCGTTTTCCTGGGTCCCAGCAGGCTCCTTGGACCCGAATTCACTTCAGCGCCTGGCCACGCTCCCTTGGTTACTGCCTGCTGATGATCGCAGGAGGATAAGAGTCTTTGACCTTGCCTTTCACCTCTAGGCTTTTTCCTAGTCTCTCTCCCAGACTTCCTCCATCTCAGTATGACAAACATTTGAGGCCAGATCATCCTCTGTGGTGGCAATTGTCCCATGCATTTTAGGATGTTGCAAAGCATTTCCGGCCCCCACCCACTAGATTTCAACAGCACACCCCCACCACCACCACCAAAGTCGTCACAATTAAAAAGTATCCCTAGGCTGGGTGCAGTGGCTCACACCTCTAATCCCAGCACTTTGAGAGGCCAAAACAGGCAGATTACTTGAGGCCAGGAGTTCGAGACCAGCCTGGCCAACATGGCGAAACCCCATCTCTACTAAAAATACAAAAATTAGCTGGCGCGGTGGCATGTACCTGTAATCCCAGCTACTCGGAAGCCTGAGGCAGGAGAATCGCTTGAACCCGGGAAGCAGAGGTTGCAGTGAGCCGAGATCGTGCCACTGCGCTCCAGCCTGGGCAACAGAGCAAGGCTCCATCTCAAAAAGAAAAAGTCTCGGCCAGGTGCGGTGGCTCACGCCTGTAATCCCAGCACTTTGGGAAGCCGAGGAGGGCAGATCATGAGGTCAGGAGATCGAGACCATCCTGGCTAACACGGTGAAACCCCGTCTCTACTAAAAATACAAAAAATTAGCCGGGCATGTGGCGGACACCTGTAGTCCCAGCTACTCAGGAGGCTGAGGCAGGAGAATGGTGTGAACCTGGGAGGCAGAGCTTGCAGTAACTGAGATCACGCCACTGCACTCCAGCCTAGTGACAGAGCGAGACTCCGTCTCAAAAAAAAAAAAGTCTCCCTAGACATTGCAATGTCCCCTAGGGGGCAGAATTCCCCTTACTCGAGAACCCCCTAGTCTAATGCATTTAGCTTATTTCAACCTCAGGGCCTTTGCACGTCCTGTACTTTAGTGCTCTATGCTGCATCTGTTCATGTTGTTCACATTTTAGCTTCAATGCTACCTCCTCCTGAGAGGCTGTCTCTGACCATCCCATTGCGTAGTGACCCCTTAAGTCACTCCCAATGCCATCGCCTTATTTTAATTTTCTGCATGGTACTCACCAACAGCTGATATGTTTCTACATGTTATTGTTTGTCTGTCCCACGAGAAAGTGAATTCCATGAGCCCAAGGATCTTGTCTGGTAAGGCTGGCGTGCCTGGCACATAGTAGGTGCTCAGTAAATTATCATCACAACAGCTTCCTCCACAACTGTTTCTCTTTCTGGACTTCTGTTTGTTGCTGAAGAAGACAGCTGAGCAGGACTGGGCTTCCCCAGTAAGGACAGAGGCCCTTTGCAGTGTCAGCGTTCTGGCTGTCCTGGGGGCTCCAGCCTCTCTTTAGCCTTTGCTGGTAGTTGAACGACCAATTTAGACTCCTCTGGGGAAATAGGTTAGAGAGGACAGTTTCCTGGCCTCGGCGCCACCCGGAAGACAAGCCCCTGGCTATCCTAGTAACTTTCGTCTTAGGTATTTTATGGGTCTCTCCTTGCCCAATTCTCCCAGCAACTGGGATAATGAAAGCGATTGTTTGCACTAGGGCACCAGCTTAGCCGGGCATTCAGCCCAGACTTAGTGGTTAACTATTGTGTGCCAGGCTGATACGGCTCCTCGTAAAAGATGCCATTTGCTGACAGTCTAGGAGGTGCAGTTGGTTGGCATTTGGCATTAGCAGTCCACATTATTACCCCAAGAGACAGACATTATGATCCTGTTTCACAGATGAAGAAAACAAGATGCAGAAAGGTGAAGTCCCTTGCCTGTGACGCTTCACTACTCTGCACTTGAATTTTCTCACTAACTTCCTGTGTTGGTGAGACAATGAAAAGCATTTATATAGAGAGTGAGACTAACACTACACCTACATCACAGGAAGGGCCCGTGAGATGTTAGCCATGATTAATTACCATTAAAACTCCAAGACCGGGCACGGTGGCTCATGCCTGTAATCCCAGCACTTTGGGAGGCCGAGGCAGGCGGATCACCTGAGGTCAGGCATTCAAGACCAGACTGGCCAATATGGTGAGACCCCTATCTCTACTAAAAATAGAAAAATTAGCTGGGCGTGGTGACGCATGCCTGTAATCCCAGCTACTTGGGAGGCTGAGGCACAAGAATTGTTTGAACCTGGGAGTTGGAGGTTGCAATGAGCCGAGATCCTGCCACTGCACTGCAGCCTGGGCGACAGAGCAAGACTTTGTCTCAAAAACTCACAAATCACCCGGGCATGGTGGCTCACGCTAGTAATCCCAGCACTTTGGGAGGCCAAGGCAGGCAGATCACGAGGTCAGGAGATCAAGACCATCCTGGCTAACACGGTGAAACCCCGTCTCTACAAAAAAAACAAAACAAAACAAAACAAAAAATTAGCTGGGCGTGGTGGTTTGCACCTGTAGTCCCAGCTACTCAGGAAGCTGAGGCAGGAGAATGGCATGAACCCGGGAGGTGGAGCTTGCAGTGAGCCGAGATCGCACCACTGCACTCCAGCCTGGGTGACAGAGCGAGACTTTGTCTCAAAAACTCACAAGTCACCCAGGCATGGTGGCTCACGCCAGTAATCCCAGCACTTTGGGAGGCCAAGGCAGGCAGATCACGAGGTCAGGAGATCAAGACCATCCTGGCTAACATGGTGAAACCCTGTCTCTACATAAAAAACAAAAAACAAAAAACAAAAAATTAGCTGGGCGTGGTGGTTTGCACCTGTAGTCCCAGCTACTCAGGAAGCTGAGGCAGGAGAATGGCATGAACCTGGGAGGTGGAGCTTGCAGTGAGCCGAGATTGCGCCACTGCACTCCAGCCTGGGCGACAGAGCAAGCCTCCATCTCAAAGAAAAAGTAATAATAATAGTGTTACTATATTTTCAGGGATAGAAGTTTCAGATACTTGGTCAGGCGCGGTGGCTCATGCCTGTAATCCCAGCACTTTGGGAGGCCGAGGTGGGCAAATCACCTGAGGTCAGGAATTTGAGACCAGCTTGGCCAATATGGTGAGACCCCATCTCTACTAAAAACAAAAATTAGCCAGGCATGGTGGCAGGTGCCTGTAATCCCAGCTACTTGGGAGGCTGAGGCAGGAGGATCACTTAAACCTGGGAGGCAGAGGTTGCAGTGAGCAGAGATTACGCCATTGCACTCCAGCCTGGACGACAGAGCCACACTACACTCCATCTCACAAAAAAAAAAAAAAAAGAAGTTTCAGGTGCTGCCAGGCACAGTGGCATGCTCCTGTAGTCCCAGCTACTGGGGAAGCCAAGGTGGGAGGATCACTCAAGGCCAGGAGTTCAAGACCAGCCTGGGCAACATAGTGAGACCCTCATCTCTACAACAACAACAATAACAAAAAATTAGCTGGGCGTGGTGGTGTGTGCCTGTAGTCCCAACTACTCGGGAGGTTGAGGTGGGAGGATTACTTGAGCCCAGAAAGTCAAGGCTGCAGTGAGATATGATTGCCTCACTGCACTCTAGCCTGGGCAACAGAGCAAAACCCTGTCTCTTTAAAACAAAAAAAGAAAAAGAAAAGAAAAGAAGTTTTAGGGGCTGAAATTTTAGGAAACATACTGTCTCCAATACTCCAAGCAATCTGGGGGCTTCAATTTACTATCCCAGTTCATTGATGATGAAAACAGGCTTCCAGACCAACGTGATGAAACCCTGTCTCTACTAAAAATACAAAAATTAGCTGGGCGTGGTGGTGAGCACCTGTAATCCCAGCTACTCGAGAGGCTGAGGCAGGAGAATCGCATGAACCCGGAAGGCGGAGGTTGCAGTGAGCCGAGATCACGCCATTGCACTCCAGCCTGGGTGACAAAGTGAGACTGCGTTTAAAAAAAAAAAGAAGAAGAAAGAAAATAGGCTTCAAAGAAGTTAAACAATTTCCCAAGTTTCCTTGGCAAGGAAGTGAGCTAACAGCCAAATTCGGATATGATTCCAAAACTCCACAGTTATTGGCTAAACTGGAATCTACAGATATTAAAAAATTATTGGCAAAGTTTTTGCAGTGTGACAATGGTATTGCGGTGAGGTTTTTGTTTTTATTTTTGTTTTTGTTTTCGAGACAGTTTTGCTCTTGTCATCCAGGCTGGAGTGCAATGGCATGATCTTGGCTTACTGCAACCTCCGCCTCCCACGTTCAAGCAATTCTCCTGTCTCACCCTCCCGAGTAGCTGGGATTAGAGGCACCTGCCACCACACCTGGCTAATATTTTGTATTTTTAGTAGAGACGGGGTTTCACCATGTTGTCCAGGCTGGTCTGGAACTCCTGACCTCAGGTGATGCACCCGCCTCGGCCTCCCAAAGTGCTGGGATTACAGGCATGAGCCACCATGCCCAGACTGGTTAGGCTTTTAAAGAGTCTGGGCCAGGTGCAGTGCCTCATGCCTGTTATCCCAGCAGTTTGGGAGGCCAAGGCAGGAGGATCACTTAAGCTCAGGAGTTCAAGACCAGACTGGCCAACATATTGAGACTCCATTTTTACAAAAAATTAAAAAATTAACTAGACATGGTGCATGTGCCAGTGGTCCCTGCTACTCTGAGGTGGAAGGATCACTTGAACCTGGGAAGTTGAGGCTGCAATGAGTCGTGATCACGCCACTGTGCTCCAGCTTGGGCAACAGAGTGAGACCCTGTCTCAAAAAAAAAAAAAAAAGAGTGTGTATGTTTTAGAGACATATAACAAAATATTTATGGAATGATAAGATAGCTGAGATTTGCTTCAAAATAATACCTGACAGGAAGGCAAATGGGATGGGGGCGGGGTTGGCGAGGTTGAGTAGGGGGTGATGGTGGTTAGGGTGGGCTGCGGTTCATTATACTATTCTGCCTACTTTAGTGAGTGTTTTAAATTCCCTATCAGAATATGCTTCAATTTTGTACTCTTAAAAAATAGTGGCTGGGGCCGGGCACACTCCCAGCACTTTGGGAGGCCCAGGCGGGATGATCACTTGAGGCCCAGAGTTTGAGACCAGCCTGGCCAACATGGTGAAATCCCATCTCTACTAAAAATACAAAAAAAAAAAAAAATTAGCCAGGCGTGGTGGTGCATGCCTGTAATCCCAGCTACTTGGGAGGCAGAAGCAGGAGAATTGCTCGAACCCAGGAGGCGGAAGTTGCAGTGAGCTGAGATCACACCACTGCACTCCAGCCTGGGGGACAGAGCAAGACTGTCTCAAAAAAAAAAAAAAATAGTGGCTGGGAATGTTGGCTGACGCCTGTAATCCCAGCATTTTGGGAGGCTGAGGCAGGTGGATTGCTTGAGCCCAGGAGTTCGAGACCAGCCTGGACAATATAGTGAGATCCCATATCTACAAAAAATAAAAATTCACCAGACTTGGTGGTGCATGCCTGTAGTCCCAGCTACTGGGCAGGCTGAGGTGGGAGGATCACTTGAGCCCAAGAGGTTGAGGCTGCAGTGAGCTATGACTGCACCACTGCACTCCAGCCTGGGTGACAGAGCAAGACCCTGTTTTAAAAAAAAAAAAAAAAATCGTGATTATCCTTATGCATTGAGTAACCACGAGCCCAGGGCTAGGGGATTTCTGTGTAGTCAACCTTAGAACCAACACAGGGGTTAGGAGTGCCAAGCTCACCCCTACAGTCAAAAATCTGCATGTAACTTTTGACTGCATGTAACACCTACTATTGACCAAAAGCCTTATTGATGACATAAATGGTCGATGAACACTGATTTTCTACATTCTATGTATTATATACTGTATTCTTGCAATAAGTAAGCTAGAGAAAAGCAAATGTCACTAAAAAAATTCTGGTGTTTTGTTTTTGTTTTGTTTTTTGTTTGTTTGTTTCATTATTTGAGATGGAGTCTCACTCTGTTGCCCAGGCTGGAGTGCAGTGGCATGACCTCAACTCACTGCAACCTCTGCCTCCTGGGTTCAAGCGATTCTCCTGCCTCAGCCTCTGAGTAGCTGGGATTACAGGCGCCCACCACCACGCCTGGCTAATTTTTGTATTTTTAGTAGAGGCAGGGTTTTGCCATGTTGGCTAGGCTGGTCTTGAACTCCTGGCCTCAGGTGATCCACCCGTCTTGGCCTCTAAAGTGCTGGGATTACAGGAGTGAGCCACTGTGCCCGTCCAAACTTCAAAGGAAGAGAAAACATATTTACTATGGATGAAGTGGAAGTGGATCATCACAAAAGTGTTCATCCTTGTCGTCTTCACCTTGAGCAGGCTAAGGAGAAGGAGAAGGAGGAAGAACAGAAGGAGGGCTTGGTCTTGCTGTCTCAGGGGTGGCAGGGGTGGAAAAAAATCCACGCCTGAGTACATCCGTACAGTTCAAACTCGTGTTGTTCAAGGGTCAACTGCACTTCCTTCGTCATCCCTGCGTGGCTAACATTATAATACCCACTTTGCAGAAGAGGAATCTAAGCTGGAAGATGTTAACAAACCCAATTAAACTGACTAAGGAGTCCTGGCTGAGCATGAGTGGGGAAGCAGCGCCCCCTCGAGGCCATCACGCGAATGACCAGAAGCAGCTTGAACCCAGGGCAGAGTCAGAGGAGAGGCTGCGGAGAGGCGCTGGACAGGGAGCAACATTGGGGGAGAGCGGTAAAAAGAGAAAAAAGCAACAAAGATAAAGAATATTTTTTCCAATTTTTTTATTGTGTCCAAATAATACATAATATTTAAATACTTTTTTTTTTTTTTTTGAGACGGAGTTTGGCTCTTGTTGCCCAGGCTGGAGTGCAATGGCGCAATCTGGGCTCACTGCAAACTCCGCCTCCCGGGTTCAAGCGATGCTCCTGCGTCAGCTTCCCGAGTAGCTGGTATTATGGGCACCCGCCACCACACCTGGCTAATTTTGTTTTTTTTTGTTGTTGTTTGTTTGTTTTTTGTTTTTTTTTATAGTAGAGACGGGGTTTCACCATGTTGCTCAGGCTGGTCTCGAACTCCTGACTTGAAGTGATCCACCCGCCTCAGCCTCCCAAAGTGCTGGGATTACAGGCATGATCCACCACACTCGGCCTTAAATACATTTTTTTAAATTATTACTATTTTTAGAGACAGGGTCTCACTCTGTCACCCAGGCTGGAGTGCAGTAGCATAGCCTTGTTCACTGCAACCTTGAACTCTTGGGCTCAAGCAACCTTCCCACCTCAGCCTCCAGAGTAGTTAGGACTGCAGGTGCACGCCACCTGCCTGGCTAATTTTTTTATTTTTTTTATTTTTATTTTTTTTTTTCGTAGAGATGGGGATCTCGATATGTTGTCCAGGCTGGTCTTGAACTCCTGGCCTTAAGCGATCTTCCTACCCCGGCCTCCCAAAGTGCTGGGACTACAGGCGTGAGCCACTGCACCTAGTGATTATTTTAAAAAATTAAAATTACTGGGCCGGGCACGGTGGCTCACGCCTGTAATCCCAGCACTTTGGGAGGCCAAGGCGGGGAGATCATGAGGCCAGCAGATTGAGACCATCCTGGCTAACAAGGCGAAACCCCATCTGTACTAAAAATACAAAAAAAAAAAAAAATTAGCCAGGTGTGGTGGCAGGCACCTGTAGTTCCAGCTACTCAGGAGGCTGAGGCAGGAGAATGACGTGAACCTGGAAGGCAGAGCTTGCAGTGAGCCAAGATCATGTCACTGGACTCCAGCCTGGGCGACAGAGCGAGACTGCGTCTCAAAGAAAAAAAAATTAAAATTAATGCAGAAACTACACAATGAATAAAATATCAAGATTTATTTATTTATTTTAATTTTTTTGACACAGGCTCTCCTTCTGTCACCCATGCTTGACTGCAGCAGCGTGAACACAGCTCACTGCTTCCTGGGGTCAAGTGATCCTCCTGCCTCAGCCTCCATACTAGCTGGCACTACAGGTGCACACCACCACACCTGACTAATTTTTAAATTTTTTGAGGAGGTGGGATCTCACTATGTTGTCCACGCTGGTCTGGAACTCCTGGCCTGAAGGGATCCTCCCACCTCAGCTTCCCAAAGTTCTGGGATTACGGGCATGAGCCACTCAGTCTGGTCTATTTGTTAATTTACTTATTTAGAGACCAGGTCTCCCTCCATCACCAGGCTGCAGTTTAATGGCACAATTACAGTTCACTGCAGCCTCGAACTTCTTGGCTCAAGTGATCCTCCTACCTCAGCCTCTCAAGTAGCCAGGATAGGCACGAGCCACTACACTCAGCCCTAAGACAGGTATTTTTTTATACTTAATTTATTATTGTGGCTTTTTGCAACATGGCAAAACATTACAGCTTAAAGCAGACATCATCTCCTTATAGAGGAGGAAAAAGTTTTGCAGTCAAATCAAATTGTAATTAAGAGGTCATTGCTATACCATTCTATTCAGTTTAATAAAAATGATATTATAACTTCATGAACTCCAGAGATAATAGGTTACTTAATAACATAGGCAAAAAACCAGAGGATACACTGGTTGAATAATAAAGGACATGGTAAGGAATATAGGTCCATCTATGCCTATGATAATAAACATAAAAGACTGCAGAACAATTTAAGAACTTAGAATAATCACAGATCTATTCATAAAAGTTCAAAATGTGCCTGATTACCGAAAAGGAATTATTAAGGTATGCAGTGAAGGGAATGGAGCAGGGCTGGGCGCGGTGGCTCATGCCTGAAATCCCAGCACTTTGGGAGGCAGAGGTGGGTGGATCACCTGAGGTCAGGAGTTCGAGAACAGCCTGACCAACACGGTGAAACCCTGTCTCTACTAAAACTACAAAAATTAGCCGGGTGTATTGGCATGCACCTGTAATCTCAGCTACTCAGGAGGCTGAGGCACGAGAATCGCTTGAGCCTGGGAGGCAGAGGTTTCAGTGAGTCGAGATCACACCACTGCACTCCAGCCTGGGTGACAGACCGAGACTCCAGCTTAAAAAAAAAAAAAAAAAAAGGAAATGAAAATGAAGCGGAATAAAATATAAAATGTCTTTTTATTTCTCTCTGATTTCAACTTCCTTTTTATCTGTATGTTGTATAGGGAGAAGATGTGCCTCAGTATTGAAGATCCAATGCTCCAGTGGAAGAAGATTGTCATCAGAAAATATCAGGTACAGGCCGGGTGTGGTGGCTCACGCTTGTAATCCCAGCACTTTGGGAGGCTGAGGCGAGTGGATCATGAGGTCAGGAGTTCAAGACCAGCCTGGCCAACATAGTGAAACCCCGTCTCTACTAAAAATACAAAAAATTAGCTGGGCGCAGTGGCGGGCGCCTATAATCCTAGCTACTCAGGAGGCTGAGACAGGAGAATTGCTTGAACCTGGGAGGTGGAGGTTGCAGCGAGCCGAGATCGTGCCACTGCACACCTGCCTGGGCGACAGTGCAAGACTCTGTCTCAAAAAAAAAAAAAAGAAAAGAAAAAAGAAAGAAAGAAAACATTGGGAACAAATACAACAGGAGGTCTCACTTTTGCACAGTGAGCCATATTCTTCTTGGGATCACAGACTACATGAGACCCTCAATAAAAGCTTTGGACCTCCTCCTACCAAATAACACGTGCACACAATTTTGCCTACACTCTTACAGGATGCACGGAACCTCTAATTCCGGTCCTTGGATTTTCTAGCAGCCAATGATGCCCAAGCTAAGAGGCCTCAAGTCAGCCAAATACTCTGAGATTCAACCATGTAAGAAACTAAGTATCAGCTGGGCGCGGTGGCTCACGTCTGTAATCCCAGCACTTTGAGAGGCTGCAGCAGGCAGATCACCTGAGGTCAGGAGTTCGAGACCAGCCTGGCCAACATGATGAAACCCTGTCTCTACTAAAAATACAAAAAACTAGCCGGGTGCAGTGGCTCACGCCTGTAATCCCAGCACTTTGGTAGGCCAAGGTAGGCGGATCACGAGGTCGAGAGATTGAGACCATCCTGGCCAACATGGTGAAACCCTGTCTCTACTAAAAATACAAAACTTAGCTGGGCGTGGTGGTGCACACCTGTAGTCCCAGCTACTCAGGAGGCTGAGACAGGGGAATTGCTTGAATCTGTGAGGCAGAGGTTGCAGTGAGCCAAGATTTGCCTGTAATCACAGATACTTGGGAGGCTGAGGCAGGAGAATCACTTGAAACCTGGAGGCAGAGGTTGCAGTGAGCCAAGATCACGCCACTGCACTCCAGCCTGGGCAACAGAACAAGACTCTGTCTCAAAAAAAGGAAAGGAAGGGAAGAGAAGGGGAGGGGAAGGGAGGGGAGGGGAGGGAAAGGGAGAAAGAGAAGGAAGGAAGGAAAAAGAAAAATAGAGAAAGAAAGAGAGAGAGAAAGAAAGAAAAAGAAAGAAAGAAAGAAGGAAAGAAAGAAAGAAAAAAGAAAGAAAGAAAGAAAAAGAAAGGAAGAAAGAAGGAAAGAAAGAAAAAAGAAAGAAAGAAAGAAAGAAAGAAAAGAGAATAACACCTAATTGGCTTCTCCTTGACTCTGGGCTGGACTTAGTGACTTGAATAAAGCAATGTGATGGTGTTTGACTCAGACCAGATCAGAAATGGTACTAGGTCTTCTTTGCTTTCTTGGATTGCTTGCTCTGGGGAAGTTAGGTGTCATGTCATGATAAAATTCAAGCAGCTTGTGCAAAAGCCCATGTGGTAAGGAACTGAGACCTCCAGCCAAACGCCAGCTAAGGGTGACGTTTTGGAAGTGGATCCTCCAGCCCCAGTCAAGTCTTCAGATAGTTGCAGCCCTGGCTGACATTTTTTTTTTTTTTTTTTTTTTTGAGACAGTTTCTCTGTATCATCCAGGCTGGAGTGCAATGGTGCAATCTCGGCTCACTGCAATCTCCGCCTCCCAGGTTCAAGTGATTCCCCTGCCTTGGCCTCCCAAGTACCTGGGATTACAGATGCACACCACCACACCCGGCTAATTTATATATTTTTAGTAGAGATGAGGTTTCACCATGTTGGCCAGGCTAGTCTTGAACTCCTAACTTCAGGTGACCCGCCTGCCTTAGCCTCCCAAAGTGCTGGGATTACAGGCATGAGCCACTGCGCCTGGCTCTGGCTGACATCTGATGGTAACCTCAGGAGAGATCCCGAGCCTAAACCACCCAGCTAAGCTCCTGAATTTCTCTCACACGAAAACCATGAGATAATAAATATTTGTTAAGTGGCTAAGTTTTGGTGAACACCTGTTACACAGCAATAGATAACTTGTAAATGGCTGAGGTGTGATTTGGACTCAGGTAGTCTGGTTCCAGAACCCAACATCCCAGCATCAATCATAATATCAAAAATTAGAAATTTTGGGGCTTGGCGTGGTGGCTCACGCCTGTGAGCGGGGAAGCAGGCAGGAGGATCATCTAAGGCCAGGAGTTCGAGACCAGCCTGGCCAACATGGTGAAACCCCGTCTCTACTAAAAAAATACAAAAAATTAGCTGGGTGTGGTGGCACGTGCCTGTAATCCCAGCTACTCAGGAGGTTGAGGCAGGAGAATTGCTTGAACCTGGGAGGCAGAGGTTGCAGTGAGCCGAGATCACGCCACTGCACTCCAGCCTGGGCAACAAGAGTGAAACTCCATCTCAAAAAACAAAAGAAAGAAAGAAAGAAAGTTTGTAAATGTTACTGGGCACAGTAGCTCACACCTGTAATCCCAGCACTTTGGGAGGCCAAGGTGGGTGGATCACCTGAGGTCAGGAGTTCCAGACCAGCCTGGCCAACGTGGTGCAACCCCATCGCTACTAAAAATACAAAAAATTTAGCCAGGCGTGGTGGTGGACACCTGTGATCCCAGCTACTTAGAACGCTGAGGCAGGAGAATCCCTTAAGCCTGGGAGGTGGAGGTTGCAGTGAACTGAGATCACACCACTGCACTTCCGCCTGGGTGACAGAGCTAGACTCCATCTAAAAAAGAAAAGAAAAGAAATTTTGTAAATTTCTGAAATGTAAATTTCAGAAATTTAGTAATAATATAAATAAATGACATCAATAGGAGATTGGATAAATAAATTATGCCCCATCAATGGAATTACCTGCAGGCATTGAAATAAATGAATTAGATCTTCAGAGCATTGCCACAAAAAAATGTTTATGTCCCATCAATATAAGAGCAAAGTGCCAAAGGAAGCGTGTTGTCCAAACAAACGAACTCTTTCCCCAACGCCCAGCTAATTGTTGTATTTTCAGTAGAGACAGGGTTTCACCATGTTGGTCAGGTTGGTCTCAAACTCCTGATCTCAAGTGATCCGCCTGCCTCGGCCTCCAAAAGTGCTGGGATTACAGGCATGAGCCACCGAGCCTGGCCTCTGTATATGTGTTTATATGTGCATAACAAAAAGGACTGTTCATAGTTTACTTTTGGAGGGTTGTGGGTGAGAGGAGGGCCCACCCTAAACCAATATAACCTTATCTTAATTACATCTTTGCATCTGCAAAGATCCTATTTCCTTTTTTTTTTTTTTTTTTTGAGACGGAGTTTTGCTCTTGTTGCCCAGGCTGGAGTGCAATGGTGCGATCTTGGCTCACTGCAACCTCCGCCTCCCGGGTTCAAGCGATTCTCCTGCCTCAGCCTCCCAAGGAGCTGGGATTACAGGCATGCGCTACCACACCCGGCTACTGTTGTATTTTTAGTAGAGACAGGGTTTCTCCCTGTTGGTCATGCTGGTCTTGAACCTCCAACCTCAGATTATCCGCCCGCCTCGGCCTCCCAAAGTGCTGAGATTATACCACCCTGCCTGGCCCTTTTTTTTTTTTTTTTTTTGAGACATGGTCTTGCTCTCTCAAAATTCCACATTTTCATTGGATTTAGGGCCCATCTAGACAATCTATAATGATCTCATCTCAAATTCCTTAATTTAGTTAAATCTGCAAAGATCCTATCTCTAAATAAGGGCACATTCACAGTGCAGCGGCGTGATCATGGCTCACTGCACCCTTGACGTCCTGGGCTCAAGCAATCCTCCTGCCGCAGCCTCCTGAGTAGTTGGGACTACAGGTATGTGCCACCACACTCGGCTAATTTTTGTATTTTTTAAAATAGAGATGGGGTCTTGGCTGGGCAGGGTGGTTTACGCCTGTAATCCTAGCACTTTGGGAGGCCGAGGTGGGCGGATCACCTGAGATCAGGAGTTTGAGACCAACCTGGCCAACAGGGTAAAACCCCTCCTCTATTAAAGATACAAAAATTAGCCAGGTGGTAGGGACCTATGCCTGTAATCCCAGCTACTCAGGAGGCTGAGGCAGGAGAATCACTTGAACCCGGGAGGTGGAGTGGAACCCAAGATAGTGCCACTGCACTCCAGCCTGGGTGACAGAGTGAGACTCTGTATCAAAAAACAAAAAAAAGAATCGGCCGGGTGCGGTGGCTCACGCCTGTAATCCCCGCACTTTGGGAGGCCGAGGCGGGTGGATCACGAGGTCAGGAGATCGAGACCATCCTGGCTAACACAGTGAAACCCCGTCTCTACTAAAAATACAAAAAATTAGCCGGGCGTGGTAGCGGGCGCCTATAGTCCCAGCTACTCAGGAGGCTGAGCCAGGAGAATGGCGTGAACCTGGGAGGTGGAGCTTGCAGTGAGCCGAGATCGTGCCACTGCACTCCAGCCTGGGCGACAGAGCGAGACTTCATCTCAAAAAAAAAAAAGAATCTTGCCCTAGATCCTTCAGAGGTACCACTGTGGTACTAATAAGGAAAAATTTCCAAAATAGATAGTGAAAAGAAGAAAGAAAGAAAAGAAAAAAGGCCGGGCACAATGGCTCACACCTGTAATCCCAGGACTTTTGGAGGCTGAGGCAGAAGGACTGCTTGAACCCAGGAGTTCAAGGCTGCAGTAAACTGTGATCACACCACTGCATTCCAGTCTATCACACACACAAAAAAAAAAAAAAAGAAGCAGAAGAAAAAGAAAGGCAGGCACAGTGGCTCATGCCTGTAATCACAGCACTTTGGGAGGCTGAGGCGGGGGGATCACAAGGGCAGGAGTTCAAGACCAGCCTGGCCAATATGGTGAAACCCGCCTCTATTAAAAATGCAAAAATTAGCCAGGCATGGTGGCGGGTGCCTGTAGTCCCAACTCGGGAAGCTGAGGCAGGAGAAATTGCTTGAATCTGGGAGGCGGAGCTTGCAGTGGGCCAAGATCCCGATACTGCACTTCAGCCTGGGCGACAGAACGAGACTCCGTCTCAAAAACAAAAAAAGAAGAAGGAGGAGAAGGAGAAGAAGAAGAAAAAGAAAGAAAAAACAAGATGCAAAAGAGGTGCATGGTTACATATGAAAATAGTTTCTTTTTTTTTTTTTTTTTTTTTTTGAGACAGGGTCTCATTCTGTCACCCATGCTGGAGTGCGGTGACGTGATCACAGCTCAGTTCCAGGCTGGTTTCTAATTCCTAGGGTCAACCAATCCTCCCGCCTTGGCCTCCCAAAGTGTTGGGATTACAGGCATGAGCTCCCACACCTACCTCGTTTTTACCTTGCAGCCTTGATCTCCTGGGCTCAAGTGATCCTCCTGCCTCAGCCTCCCAAAGTGCTGGGATTACAGGCATGAGCCACCATGCCCGCCCAACTGGAAAGAATATTTCTAAAAGGATATTTGAGTAAGGGGAAAAAGGGATGTCTGCGGAGGGGTACTGGGGGCCAACTTGCCTTGCACTCCTCCCGCCTTCATAGCTCTGAATTTTTTCCCACATGAATGTATTATAGGGACCTATTTTTTTTTTTTTTTGAGATGGGGGTCTCACTCTGTTACCCAGGCTGGATGGAGTACAGTGGCACAATCTTGGCTCACTGTAACCTCCTCTTCCTGGGTTCAAGCGATCCTTCCACCTCAGCCTCCCGAGCAGCTGGGATTACAGATGCCTACCACCACGCCTGGCTAATTTTTGTATTTTTACTAGAGAGGGGGTTTCGCCATGTTGGCCAGGCTGGTCTCAAACTCCTGACCTCAAGTGACCTGCCTGCCTCAGCCTCCCAAAGTGCTGGGATTACAGGCGTGAGCCACTGCGACTTGCCTGTGACCTCATTTTTATTTTTAGGTGTTGATTAGGAATTTTCTAGGGAGGCGCTGTCTGACAGAACTTTCTGTAATGATGGGAATATTCCCTATGGGAGCTGTCCAGCAGCCGCCAGCCACGTGTGGTGACCAAGTACTTGAAAGGATGCTAATTCCACCAAGAAGGAGGGCTTTCCATTTTATGTAATTGTCATTCGTGTTAATGTAAATGGGCACATGTGGCTGGCCACTACCTATCAAATTGTTCACAGACACCGTGTAACACTGCAGAAAATATCCTAGGATAACACATCAGGTGAAAATAGACAGGTTCAGGCCGGGCACGGTGGCTCATGCCTGTAATCCCAGCACTTTGGGAGGCCAAAGTGGAAGTATCACTTGAGCCCAGGAGGTCAAGACCAACATGGGCAATGTAGCAGAACCCTGTCTCTACCAAAAAACACAAAAATTAGCTGGGCGAGGTGGTGCGCGCCTGTAGTCCCAGCTACTTGGGAGGCTGAAGTGGGAGGATTACTTGAGCCCAGGAAGTCAAGGCTTCTGTGAGTTACAATCTCACTCATGCACTCCAGCCTAGGGGACAGAGTGAGACTCTCTCAAAAACAGCAAAAAACAAGAGAGAGTGTCCCAGAGAGCTGCTTTCTCTCATTCCGCCATGTGAGGACACAGACAGTAAGCACCATTTCTTTCTTCCTTTAAATTTCCATTTTTATTTTACTTATTTATTTATTTATTTTCGAGACGGAGTTTTGCTTTTGTCGCCCAGGCTGGAGTGCAATGCCATGATCTTGGCTTGCTGCAACCTCTGCCTCCCAGATTCAAGCGATAATCCTGCCTCAGCCTCCCTTCCCAGTAGCTGGGACTACAGGCGCCTGCCACCATGCCCAGCTAGTTTTTGTATTTTTAGTAGAGACGGGGTTTCACCATGTTGGCCAGGCTGGTCTCGAACTCCTGATCTCAGGTGATTCACCTGCCTCAGCCTCCCAGAGTGCTGGGATTACAGGCGTGAGCCACCACGCCCGGCCTCCATTTTTATTTTAGATTCAGGGGGTACATGTGCAGGTTTGTCATAAGAATATATTGCATGATGCTGAGGTTTAGGCTTCCATTGATCCCGTCACCCAGATAGTGAACACAGTACCCAATAGGAAGTTGTTTTTTGTTTTTGTTTTGTTTTGTTTTTGTTTTTGTGACAGAGTCTTACTCTGTCGCCCAGGTTGGAGTGTAGTGGGGCGATCTCGGCTCACTGCAACTTCCACCTCCCAGGTTCAAGCAATTCTCCTGCCTCAGCCTCCCAAGTAGCTGAATAACAGGTGCCTGCCACCATGCCTGGCTAAGTTTTGTATTTTTTTTAGTAGAGACGGGGTTTTGTCATGTTGGCCAGTGTGGTCTCGAACTCCTGACCTTGTGATCCACCCCCCCCCCCCCACTCCAAGCCTCCCAAAGTTCTGGGATTACAGGCGTGAGCCACTGTGCCCAGCCTGGCTTCAACATATCTTTTGGGGGGGACACAATTTGCCCCATAACAGGAGAGGGCATGTCTTTTTCATATTCTGACTAGCAATACGGGAGGTCCACATAAAATTCCCCTGCTGAGGATTCAGTCCTTGGTCATCTCTAGAAAACGTGATTGAATGATGGTTTGCTGCCTCCACAGCCAAGCTAGTGGCCTTTCTCGGGTAACACCATTTTTACTGGAAATGTCTGACAAACTGTGATTCAGATGTGGCTGCTTGGCAGACATTTTCTCAAAAATGAACAAAATGAGGCTGTCACTTCAAGGAAAACAATTTCAGGTTTTGTTGCCCACAATAAAATTCAAGCTTTTAAGGAGAAATCAGAATTTTGGAAAATGTGTAGCCACCACTGTGAGTTTGGCAGCTTCTTGACATTTAAAGACTTTTCTAAGCCTGTAACCCCAGCTACTTGGGAAGCTGAGGCGAGAAGATCACTTGAGGTCAGGAGTTTGAGACCAGCCTGGGCAACAAAGTGAAACCCTGTCTCTATAAAAAGTTTTTTAAAAAAATTATCCCGGCGTGCTGGCATGTGCGCCTACAGTCCCAGCTACCAAGGAGGCTGAGGTGGGAGGATCATTTGAGCCCAGGAGGTCAAGGCTGCAGTGAGCTATGATTGCACGGCTGCACACTTTTCTGATGAGATGAATAGTGATATTAATGAAGAGGACTTTTTTGATACAAAATAATGTAATGGGACAACATCTGCATCACTCATTGAACTAATATTTTCCAAATGATCAATGCATGTTATAGGCATGAATGAGTAGAACCATTCCCAGTGTAAGACAGACCAAAGACTTTTTTTTTTCTTTTGAAACAAGGTCTCACGTTGACACCAAAGCTGGAGTGCAGTGGCATAATCTCAGGTCACTGCAACCTCTGCCTCCCAGGCTCAAGAGACCCTCCCACCTCAGCCTCCCAAGTTAGCTGGGACCACAGACACACGCCAGCATGCCAGACTAATTTTTGTTCATATTTGTAAAGATGGGGTCTTGCTACATTGCCCAGGTTGGTCTCAAAAACTCCGGGGCTCAAGCAATCCACCCACCTTATCCTCCCTAAATGTTGGGATTATAGGCGTGAGCCACCATGCCTGGCCTCAGACCAATGTTGTTGTTGTTTTTGTTTTGTTTTGTTTTTGTTTGTTTTGAGACAGAGTCTCACTGTCTCACTCAGGCTGGAGTGCAGTGGCACGATCTCAGCTCACTGTGACCTCTGCCTCCCAGGTTCAAGCAATTCTTGTGCCTCTGCCTCTCGAGTAGCTGGGATTACAGGCACGTGCCACCATGCCTGGCTAATTTTTGTATTTTTAATAGAGATGGGGTTTCGCCATGTTGGCCAGGCTGGTCCGAACTCCTGGCCTCAAGTGATCCTCCTTCCTCTGCCTCACAAAGTGCTGGGATTACAGGCATGAGCTACCACACCCAGCCCCATGGTCAGTTTCTGTTGAGGAAACATGGACATTTGCGGGATGGTGAGATACTCATTTGTGCAGCTCAGAGTTTGATAAATTTCTCTTGGTTTTTGCCTAGTTAATTGCAATGTTCACTTCCTCTATGAATTCAGATATTTAGAGTTAGAAGGGATCTTCAGCATCATCCAGTCCAGGGGTTGGCCAACATTTTCTGCAAAGGGCCAGAGAGTGAATATTTTCAGCTGTGCAGGTAAGGTGGTCTGTTGAAATCACTCAACTCTGCTGTTGTAGCACAAGATCCACTATAGGTACCAGGCACAGTGGCTCAGGCCTGTAATCCCAGCACTTTGGGATGCCGAGGCGGGCAGATCACCTGAGGTCAGGAGTTTGAGACCAGCCTGGTCAACATGGTGAAACCCCGTCTCTACTAAAACTACAAAAATTAGCCGGGCGTGGTGGCAGGTGCCCGTAACCCCAGCTACTTGGGAGGCTGAGGCAAAAGAACCACTTGAACCTGGGAGGCGGAGGTTATAGTGAGCCTAGATCACACCACTGTACTCCAGCCTGGGCAACAAGAGCGAAACTCCGTCTCAAAAAAGAAAATAATAATAATAATAATAAATCTCTATAGGCGATAAGTAAACAAATGAGCATGGCTGCGTGCCAAGAAAATTTTATTTACAAACACAAGTAGGGGCCAGATTTGGCCCTTGGGCCATGGTTTACACACTCTTGACCTGCCTGGTTCAACATTTTTCTTTCTTTTTTTTTTTTTCAACTGAGGCAGAGTCTCGCTGTGTTGCCCAGGCTGAAGTGCAGTGGTGTGATCTCGGCTCACTGCAACCTCCGCCTCCTGGGTTCAAGCAATTCTCCTGCCTCAGCCTCCCGAGTAGCTGGGATTACAGGTGCCCACCACCACACCTGGCTAATTTTTGTACTTAGTAGAGATGAGGTTTTGCCATGTTGGCCAGGCTGGTCTTGAACTCCTGACCTCAAGTGATCTGCCCACCTAGGCCTCCCAAAGTGCTGGAATTACAGGACTTTGGGAGCCACCGGGCCGGCCTAGTTCAACATTTTCAATCAGCCAAGAAGGGTTCACCAAAGGTCACACGCAAGTTAGTTGCAAAACCAGAGCTCACACTCAGGCCTGCCAACATCTGTCTTTGTGCAGTCACTTTCACCTCTCAGCTGGCTTCAATGGCCTCAATTTCCTCCACTAATTGAGCTGGGAGTTTTCCTACATGCCTTCAGGCAGGCGCTAACAGGAAAGCACAGTGTAAACGCAGTCATAACCACCCACGTCTGTGGTCACCAGGGATGATGATCTAGGAACCAGGAGAGCAGGATAAGAACTTGCCTTTGCTAATGCCTGCTCTAGGTATTATTTGCTGATGCCTGCTCAGTGTCAAGGATAATGCTGAATTGTTCCATGCATGTATCTTACATATTCCTAAAGAGAATCAGAGAAGTGAAATGTGCAAGAAAAAGCATAGCTTTAGAATGAGATGGGCCTGGATTTCAATTCTTTTTTTTTTTTTTTTTTTTTTTTGAGATGGAGTTTCACTCATTCTGTCACCCAAGCTGGAGTGCTGTGGCGTGATCTCGGCTCATTGCAACCTCTGCCTCCCAGGCTCAAGCAATTCTCCTGCTTCAGCCTCCCGAGGAGCTGGGATTACAGGCATGTGCCACCTTGTCTGGGTGATTTTTTGTATTTTAGTAGAGACGGGGTTTCGCCATGTTGGCCAGGCTGGTCTCGAACTCCTGAACTTAGGTGATCTGCCTGCCTTGGCCTCCCACAGTGCTGGGATTACAGGCGTGAGCTACTGCACCAAGACTGGATTTCAATTCTGACCCACTGTCAGTAAGAGGTGACTGACCTCCACTCACCTTAGCACCCAGCCTCATTTATTTTCCACAAAATGAGGGTAACAAACCACCTTGACGATCTATTATATGTAAAATACCTGCTTATGGCTGGGCATGGTGGCTCACACCTGTAATCCCAGCATTTTAGGAGGCCAAAGTGGGAGCATCACTTGAGGCCAGGAGTTCAAGACCAGCCTGGGCAACATAGCAAGACCTCATCTCTACAAAACATTTAAAAATTAGCCAGGTGTGGTGGTGTACACCTGTAGTCCCAGCTACTTGGGAGGCTGAGGCAGGAGGATCAATTGAACTTAGGAGTTTGAAGCTGTAGTGTGGGATAATTGCACCACAGTGGCTCACACCTGTAATCCCAACAGTTTGGGAGGCCGAGGCAGGAGGATCACTTGAATCCAGAAATTCGAGGTCAGCCTGGGCAACATGATGAAACCCCATCTCTACTAAAAATACAAAAAATTAGCCAGCGTGGTGGTGCTCACCTGTAATCCCAGCTACTCAGGAGTCTGAGTGGAAGGATCACCTGAGCCCAGGAGACAGAGGTTGCAGTGATCCAAGATCGCACCACTGCACCACTCCAGCGTGGGCGACAGAGCAAGAACCTGTCTCCAAAAAAAAAAAAAAAAAAAAAGGCATTTCCATACACCTAACCTACTGAACATCATAGCTTCACCTAGTTGTCCTTAAACATGGTCAGAAAACTTACATTAACCTACACTTGGGCAAAATCAACTAACGCAAAGCCCATTTTGTAATAAAGTGTTGAATAGCTCATGTAATTTATTAAATACTGTCCTGAAAGTAAAATAGAATGGTGGTGTGGGTACTTGAAGCATGGTTTCTACTGAATGTGAATCTCTTTCGAAACATTTATTTTTTGTTTATTTTTATTTTTATTTTATTTATTTATTTATTTTGAGACAGAGTCTCAGAGTCTTGCTCTGTCGTCCAGGCTAGAGTGCAATGGCACAGTCTCGGCTCACTGCAACCTCCACCTCCCCAGTTCAAGTGATTCTCCTGCCTCAGCCTTCCAAGTAGCTGGGATTACAGGTGCCCACCACGTCTGGCAAATTTTTTTGTATTTTTAGTAGAGACCAGGTTTCACCATGTTGGCCAGGCTGGTCTCAAACTCCTGACCTCAGGTGATCCGCCCACCTCGGCCTCCCAAAGTCCTGGGATTACAGGCGCCCACCACCATGCCTGGCTAATTTTTTTTGTATTTTTAGCAGAGACAGGGTTTCACCATGTTGGCCAGGCTGGTCTCAAACTCCTGACCTCAGGTGATCCACCCGCCTCGGCCTCCCGAAGTGCTGGGATTACAGGCGTGAGCCACTGCACCTGGCCTCTTTTGAAACATTGTAAACTCAAGAAAATTGTAATTTGTAAATCGGAGAGCACCTGTATTGTATGATTGTACCTATATGAGGTTCCTAGAGTCATCAAATTCAGAGAGACAAAGTACAATGGTGCTGCCAAGGGCTGGAAGAGGGAAGTGGGGAGTGAGTGTTTAATGGGTACCTTTGCAGGATGAAAAGATTTCTGGAGCTGGGTAATGGTGGTGGTTGCACAACAATGTGAATATACTTTTTTTTTTTTAGATGGAGTCTCGCTCTGTTGCCCAGGCTGGAGTACAATGGCACAGTCTGGGCTCACTGCAAACTCCGCCTCCTGGGTTTAAGTGATTCTCCTGCCTCAGCCTCCTGAGTAGCTGAGATTACAAGTGCGTGCCACTGCGCCCAGCTAATTTTTGTATTTTTAGTAGAGATGGGGTTTCACCATATTGGCCAGGCTGGTCTTGAACTCCTGACCTCAAGTGATCCACCCGCCTTGGCCTCCCAAAGTGCTGGGATTACAGGCATGGGCCACCATGCCTAGCCAATGTGAATATACTTAATGCCCCTGAAGTATACACTCAAATGTGGCTAAGAAATTTAGGACATGTGTGGTGGCTCATGCCTGTAATCCCAGCACTTTGAGAAGCCAAGGTGGGTGGATTGCTTGAGCTCAGGAGCTTGAGACCAGCCTGGGCAACATGGTGAAACCCGGTGTCTACTAAAAATACAAAAAAATTAGCCAGGCATGGTGGTGCACACCTGTAGTCCCAGCTACTTGGGAGGCTGAGGTGGGAGGATGGATTGAGCCCAGGAGGTCAAGGCTGCAGTGAGCTGTGATTGTGCCACTGCACTTCAGCCTGGGCAATAGAGCAAGACCCTGTCTCAAACAAACAAAAAAAAGATGATAAGTTTTATGTTGTGTATTTTACCACAATTTTTTTTAAAAAGGATAAAAAGAAACTTTCTCTCATTCCAAGACCAAGGAAGTTACTGAGTGTAACTTGCAGCCAAATTAGCCTGGACTTTGAGAGCCGATCCTCCAAGTTCTCACACCCACACTGGGACAACAGCCCCAGCCTGCCCCGCCAATCATTCTCCACCTGGCCAGTGGCTTGCACACCCCCTTCGCAGACTAGGCTGGGAGGCTATTTTGGTACAATCTGTTCTCTTGGAAAATGAGATCTCAGAACATTAGTGCCAGAAGGCAGGGAGCCGACTTATCTCCAACACCCACCAGATGCTAAATGAACCCGACCAGGGGTTCTGTGAGCACTTTGACAGAGGCAGCTTTTGTCCCAACTCCAGACCTCACTTTGTGCCAAGGACTTTCCAGTCACTCCTCCTAGCCATCCTAAGAGGAAATTGAGGCTCAGAGAAGGGGAGTTACTTGCCCAAGCTACGTATCTCGGAGATTAAAAGCCAGGGTTTGGCCAGGCATGGTGGCTAACACCTGTAATCCCAGCACTTTGGGAGACCGAGGCGGGTAGGATCACTTGAGGTCAGAAGTTCAAGACCACCCTGGCCAACATGTTGAAACCCTGACTCTACTAAAAATACAAAAATTAGCCAGGCATGGTGGCTCTTGCCTGCAATCCCAGCTACACGGGATGCTGTGGCAGGAGAATCACTTGAACCCGAGAGGCGGAGGTTGCAGTGAGCCAAGATGGCACCACTGCACTCCAGCTTGGGCAACAGAGTGAGAATCTGTCAAAAAAAAAAAAAAAAAAAAAAACAAAGACAGGATTTGAACAGATTTGGGAAACCCCAAAGGCTGCTCTCTTTTTCCTTTTCTTTTTAGATTAAGGTAGAATTTAGCCACAAAATTCTGCAAGGTTTTTTTTGTAGTGTTTCTTTGTGGGTTTTTTGTTTTGTTTGTTGTTTGTTTTTTTGTTTGTTGTTTTGAGACAGGTCTGGCTCTGTTGCCCAGGCTGCAGTGCAGTGGTGCAATTTCGGCTCACTGCAACCTCTGCCTCCCAGGCTCAAGTGATTCTCCCACATCAGCCTCCTGAGTAGCTAGGACTACAGGCACATGCCACCATGCCCGGCTAATTTTTGTATTTTTTGCAGAAATGGGGTTTCACCATGATACCCAGGCTAGTCTCAAAGTCCTGGCCTCAGGTGATCCTCCCACCTCAGCCTCCCAAAAGGGCTACGCTGCCGGGCGAATTCTGCAAGTTTATACAAACATATACAGTTGTGTAACTACTGCCACGTTAAAAATGCAGAACAGTCCCTTCCCTCCCAAAATTCCTCTGTCTCTCTTGTGGATAATCTCTCCTTCCATCTCAACTCCTGGCAGCCACTGATCTGTTTTCTATACTTAAAATTTTGTCTTTCCTTTTCTTTTCTTTTTTTTTTTTTTGAGACGGAGTCTCGCTCTGTCACCCAGGCTGGAGTGCAGTGGTGCACGATCTCAGCTCACTGCAACCTCTGCCTCCTGGGTTCAAGCAATTCTCCTGCCTCAGCCTCCTGAGTAGCTGGGACTACAGGCACCTGCCACCCCCAGCTAATTTTTGTATTTTTAGTAGAGGCAGGGTTTCAGGCTGGTCTCAAACTCCTGACCTCAAATGATCCACCCACCTCGGCCTCCCAAAGTGCTGGGATTACAGGTGTGAGCCACTGCACCTAGCCCAAAATTTTGTATTTCTAAAATGACCTACAGCCGAGTATGTGGCACGCACCTGCAATCCCTGCCACTCAGGAGGGTGAGGCGGGAGGATCCCTTGAGCCTGGGAATTTGAGGCTGTAATGATCCATGTTCCTGCCACTGCACTCCAGCCTGGGTGACAAAGCAATACCCCATCTCTAAAGATAAAATGTCCCGCCAATGGGAGCACACAGTCTCTTGGGTCTGGATTCTTTCATTTAGCAAATGCATTTGAGATTCAACCACACTGCTGTAGAAGGTCACTCCTTTTCATTGCTGTGTAATGTTCCATCACATGCATAAACCAGGTGGCTCATCCGCTTACCAACTGATGGACATTTGGGATGTTCCCAGTTTTTGGTGATTACCAAAAAAAAAAAAAATAGGTGAATTTTTGTTTCACCACAATGGGACTGTTGTGTTTATAGGGTAAGTGATGTTTAATTTAATAAGAAACTATCAGGGATTGTTGTGTTTATAGGGTAAGTGATGTTTAATTTAATAAGAAACTATCAGTCTGGGCAAGGTGGCTCACACCTGTAATCTCAGCACTTTGGGAGGCTGAGGCAGGAGGATCACTTGAGCCCAGGAGTTTCAGACCAGCCTGGGCAACAGGGCGAGACATCATCTATATAAAAAATACAAAAATTATCTGGATGTGGTGATGTGTGCCTGTAGTCCCAGCTACTCAAGCGGCTGAGGCGGGAGGATCACATGAGCCCAGGAGGTCGAGGCTGAAGTGACCTATGACTGCACCACTGGACTCCAGCCTGGATGACAGAGTGATACCCTATCTCAAATAAATACATAAATAAATAAATTTAAAAGAAACTGTCCAATTGTCTCCCACCAGCAGTGTGCGAGCTCCAGCTGCCCCCAAATCTTTACCTGCACCAGGCATTGTCAGTTACTTTAATTTAATCCATCCTTAAAGGACGCTGGACACAGAGACTCACATCCCTTTGTTTTGGGAGACCAAGGTAGGAAGATCACCTGAGTCCAAAATTAGCCCCAAGGTGATGGTATTAGGAGGTGCGGCCCTTGGGAGGTGATTAGGTCATGAGGATGTGGCCCTCATAATGGGATTAGTGCCCTTCCACAAGAGGCCCCCAAGAAACTCCTTGATCTTTCTACCATGTGGGGACACCAAAAGAAGACACCATCTGTGAACCAGATAGCCAGCCCTTACCAGACAGTGAATCTGCCAGCATTTTGATCTTGAACTTCCCAGCCTCCAGAACCATGAAAAATAAATTTCTGTTGTTTACAAGCCACCAGTTTATAGTATTTTGTTGTAGCACACTGAAAGGACTAAAACAGGAGATAAGGTCTTTTTTTTTTAAATTTTTTTAGCACCAAACTGATTGAGATAAGGTCTTTAAAGAGACAATTAAGTTAAAATAGTCAGTCAAGCAGGGTGGCTCACATGCCTGTAATCCCAGCACTTTGGGAGGCTGAGGTGGGTGGATCACTTGAGATCAAGAGTTTAAGACCAGCCTGGCCAACGTGGTGAAACTCCATCTCTACTAAAAATACAAAAATTAGCCAGGCATGGTGGCACGTGCCTGTAATCCCAGCTACTCGGGAGGCTGAGGCATGAGAATCACTTGAACCCGGGAAGTGGAGGTTGCAGTGAGCCGAGATGGCGCCACTGCACGCCAGCCTAGGCCACAAAGCCAGACTCCATCTCAAAAAAAAAAAAAAAGATAATTAAGTTTTAAAAAAAGTCTATAGGTGGGCCCTGATCTAATTCACTGGTGTCCTCGTAGGCAGAGGAGACTAGGATACAGACATACGAAGAGGGAAGACTATACGAGGACAGAGAAGGCGGCCGTCTGCCACCCAAGCAGAGAGGCCTTGAGAAACAAAACCAACTGACACCTTGATGTCAAACTTCCACCCTCAAGAATTAGGGAAAAATAAATGTCTGTGGCTTAAGCGACTCTGTCTGGAGTATGTTACTGCAGCCTATTCATTTATTTATGAGACAGGGTCTCACTCTGTCATCCACGCTGGAGTGCAGTGGTGCAATCTCAGCTCATTGCAGCCTCGAACTCCTGGGCTCAAGCGATCCTCCCACCTCTGCCTCCTGAGTAGCTGGGATTACAGGCTCACATCACCACAACTGGCTAATTTTTTTTTTTTTTTTTTTCTGCAGAGACTGGGTCTCACTGTGTTGGCCAGGCTGGTCATGAACTCCTCAGCTCAAGTGATCCTTTGGCCTCGGCCTCCCAAAGTGCGGGGATTACAGGCATGAGCCACCATGCCCAGACTTTTTTTCCTTATAATTGAAAGCTTCTTTTTTTATAGCTTTACTGAGGCATAACTGATAGATGAACTATGCATATATAAAATGAAAACTTTTAAGTACTTAGGTTGAATGAGTGGGAAAAAAAGAAGTAAAAAATAATTAATTAAAAATAAATAAAAAAGAGGCCGGCGTGGTGGCTCAAGCCTGTAATCCCAGCACTTTGGGAGGCTGAGGCAGGTGGGTCATTTGAGGCAAGGAGTTCGAGACCAGCCGGGCCAATATGGCAAAACCGTCTCTACTAAAAATACAAAAATTAGCCAGGCGTGGTGGTGGGCACCTGTAATCCCAGCTACTCTGGAGGTTGAGGCAGGAGAATTGCTTGAACCCAGGAGGCAGAGGTTACAGTGAGCCAAGATTGCACCACTGCCCTCCAGCCTGGGCGACAGAGCGAGACTCTGTCTCTCTAAATAAATAAATAAGAAAAAAGTTAATTTTTTTTTAAATCTTAAGTAATCAAAGCAAAATTTAGACCAGGCACAGGCACGGTGGCCCACGCCTGTAATCCCAGCACTTTGGGAAGCCGAGGCGGGCAGATCACCTGAGGTTAGGAGTTTGAGACAAGCTTGGCCAACATGGTGAAACCCTGTCTCTGCTAAAAATACAAAAATTAGCCAGGTATGGCGGTGGGCACCTGTAATCCCAGCTACTCAGGAGGCTGAGGCAGGAGAATCACTTGAACCCAGGAGGCAGAGGTTGCAGTGAGCCAAGATCGTGCCACTGCACTCCAGCCTGGGTGACAGAGCAAGACTCCATCTCAAAAAACAAAACAAAACAAAAACCCAAAAGTAAAATTTAATAGATTCAGACATGGGTATAGACCCAAGAAACCAGCACAATCAAAGCCATCAGCAGATCCATCACCCGAGTTTCCTGGTGCCACTGCAAAATTCCTCTCACCTGCCCTACCCTGTCCTTCTTTCCCCAACCACATGCTGATCAGCTTTCTGTTACAATAGTTTGCTTTTTCTAGGATTTCAGATAAATGGATGCCTATATTACACATTCTTTTTTGTATGGCTTTTTCCCACCAATCTGGATACATTCGAGACTCATTCATGTTTTTGCATGTTCACCACCTCCACCGCCTTTTTTTTTTTTTCGCTGAACAGTAGGCAATACTATGGGCGGAGCACAGCTGTTCATTTATTCACATTTTTGTTTTTTTAAAGACAGAGTCTTGCTCTGTCACCCATGCTTCAGTACAGTGGCACCATCACAGCTCACTGCAGCCTCAACCTCCTGGGCTAA
The DNA here is from genome assembly GCF_000001405.40 of Homo sapiens. Lineage (NCBI taxonomy): Eukaryota > Metazoa > Chordata > Mammalia > Primates > Hominidae > Homo > Homo sapiens. The sequence continues at coordinate 16,694,093 of NC_000019.10, read as the reverse complement.
AACAGTCCTCCGTCCTGCACCTCCCAAAGCCCTGGGATTATAGGTGTGAGTCACCCATGACCACCCTATGTTTAACTTATAGTGTTTTTGTTTTGTTGGTTTTTTTTTTTTGAGACGGAGTCTTGCTCTGTCACCCAGGCTGGAGTGCAGTGGCGCAATCTCAGCTCACTGCAACCTCTGCCTCCTGGGTTCAAGTGATTCTCCCGTCTTAGCCTCCTGAGTAGCTGGGATTACAGGCAGGTGCCACCATGCCTGGCTAATTTTTGTATTTTTACAAAATTACACCTTGTTGGGGTTTCACCATGTTGGTCAGGCTGATCTCAAACTCCTGATCTCAAGTGATCTGCCCACCTCGGCCTCCCAAAGTGCTGGGATTACAGGGGTGAGCCACTGTGCCAGGCTAACATTTTGTTTTTTGTTTTGTTTTGTTTTGGTTTTTTTTTTTTTTTTTTTTTTTTTTTTGGAGATAGAATCTTGCTCTGTCACCCAGGCTGGAGTGCAGCGGTGCAATCTCAGCTCACTGCAACCTCCCCATCCCAGGTTCAAGGGCTCCTCCCGCCTCAGCCTTCAAGTAGCTGGGATTATAGGTGCACACCACCACGCCTGGCTAATTTTTTGTATTTGTAGCAGAGACAGGGTTTCACAACGTTGACCAGGCTGGTCTCGAACTCCTGAACTCAAGTGATCTGCCCACCTTGGCCTCCCAAAGTGCTGGGATTACAGACGTAAGCGATTGCACCTGGCTTCTATGTTTAACTTATAAAAAAACCTGCCAAATTGTCTTCCAAAGTGGTTGCACCTTTTTACCTTCCTACCAAAGCATATGAGAGTTCCTATTGCTCCACATCCTCACCAGCACTAAAATGACCATATTGTCATTTTAATTTTAGCCATTTTGTTGGATGTGAAGTGACAACTCACTGTGGTTTTGATTTGCATTCTTCTCATGGCTGAAGATGTGTATCTGACTGGGCATGGTGGCTCACGCCTGTAATCCCAGCATTTTGGGAGGCTGAGGCAGGAGGATTGCTTGAGCCCAAGAGTTCAAGGCCAGTGTGGGCAACAGAGCACGACTCCGACTCTACAAAAAATACAAAACTTTGCCAGGCATGGTGGCATGCACCTGTAGTCCCAGCTACTCAGGGGGCTGATGTGGAAGGATCGCTTGAACCCAGGAGGCGGAGGTTACAGTGAGCCAAGATTGAGCCACTGCATTCCAGCTTGGGCGACAGAGCAATACCCTGTCTCAAAAAAAAATGTAAAAAATTAAAAATTTTAAAAACATAAAAAACCTTAAAAGAAACTGTCCAATTGTCTCCCACCAGCAGTGTGTGAGTTCCAGCTGCCCCCAAATCCTTACCTACACTGGATATTGTCGGTTATTTTTATTTTATCCATTCTAAAAGGTGGCGGGGAGCAGTGGCTCATGCTTGTAATCCCAGCACTTTGGGAGGCCAAGGCAAGAGGATCACTTGAGCCAGAAGCTGGAGACCAGCCTGGGTAACATAGGGAGACCCCAACTCTACAAAAAAATTAGGCCGGGTGCGGTGGCTCACCCCTGTAATCCCAGCACTTTGGGAGGCCGAGGCAGGTGGATTACCTGAGGTCAGGAGTTCCAGACCAGCCTGGCCAACATGGTGAAACCCTGTCTCTACTAAAAATACAAAAAATTAGCTGGGCGTGGTGGCACATGCCTGTAATCCCAGAGGCTGAGGCAGGAGAATCGATCGAACCTGGGAGGCAGGGATTGCAGTGAGCTGAGATGGCGCCACTGCACTCCAGCCTGGGCAACAAGAGGGAAACTCCATCTCCAAAAGAAAAAAAAAAAAAGGCCTTATCTCCTGTCTTAGTCCATTTAGGGTGCTACAAGAAAATACTAGAAAATGGTGGCTTATAAACAACGGAAATTTATTTCTCACAGTTCTGGAGGCTGGGAAGTTCATGATCAAGATACTGGCAGATTCACTGTGTGGTAAGGGCCGGCTTCCTGGTTCATACGTGTCTTCTCTCTGTGTCCTCACATGGTAGGAAGAGCAAAGTGTTTCTTTGGGGCCTCTTCTGTAAGGGCACTAATCCCATTATGAGAGCCCCACCCTCATGACCTAATCATCTCCCAAGGGTCCCACCCCCTAATACCTTAGGGGTTAAGACTTCAACAAATGAATTTGAGAGGAACCCAATTCAATTCATAACAGGTATGCAGTGGCATATGCTTGTGGTTTTAATGTGCAATTTATATGATATCTGCCAACCATATAATTTCTTTGGTGGTGTCTATTCAAATCTTTTGCCCAGTTTTTTTTTGAGACAGGGTCTTGCTATGTTGCCCAGGTTGGACACCACCTAACGGGCTCAAGTGATCCTCCTGCCTTGGTCTCCAGAGTAGCTAGGACTACAGGTGTGAGTCACCATGCCCAGCTTCTTTTGCCCAATTTGGTGTGGAGTTTTTTTCTACTTTATTCTTATTTTATTTATTTATTTGAGACAGGGTCTCACTGTTCCGCCCAGGCTGAAGTGCAGTGGCCCAATCTTAGCTCACTGCAGCCTCAACCTCCTGGGCTGAAGTGATTTTCCCCACTCAACCTCCAGAGTGCCTGGGCCTACAGGCACGAGTCACCACCCCCGGCTAATTTTTAAATTTTTTTTTGTAGAGACAGAGTCTCACTATGTTGTGCAGGCTGATCACCAACTCCTGGGCTCCAGTGATCCTCCTGCCTCAGCCTCCCAAAGTGCTGGGATTACAGGCGTGAGCCACCAAGCTCGCACTTTTTTCCCTTATAATTGAAGGGTTCTTTTTTACAGCTTTATTGAGGCATCACTGACAAATGAGGTACTGTGTGTATTTGCAATGTACAATGTAATAGGTTCTGACATGTGTATAGACCCGAGAAACTAACACAATCAAAGAAGTTAACAGACTCATCACTCATGTCCCCTTGCCCCTTCAAAATCCCTCCTGCCCACCCCACCCTACCTGCCTTTCCCCAAGCACCCACTGATCAGCTTTCTGTAATTATACATTAGTTTGCTTTTTCTAGGATTTCATATAATGTATGTAATGTATACTGTACACAGTATACATTTTTTTTTTTTTTGAGATGGAGTCTCGCTCTGTCTGCCAGGCTGGAGTGCTGTGGCGCGATCTCCGCTCACTGCAAGCTCTGCCTCCCAGGTTCACGCCATTCTCCTGCCTCAGCCTCCCAAGTAGCTGGGACTACAGGCGCCCGCCACCACATCCAGCTGATTTTTTGTATTTTTAGTAGAGATGGGGTTTCACCATGTTAGCCAGGATGGTCTTGATCTACTGAACTCGTGATCCACCGACCTCGTGATCCACCTGCCTTGGCCTCCCAAAGTGCTGGGATTACAGGTGTGAGCCACCATGCCCAGCCTTTTTTTTTTTTTTTTTTTTTTAAAGAATGAGTTTTGCTCTTGTTGTCCAGGCTGGAGTGCAATGTCTCCACCTCAGCTCACCGCAACCTCCACCTCCCAGGTTCAAGCGATTCTCCTGCTTCAGCCTCCCGAGTAGCTGGGATTACAGGCACCTGCCACCACACCTGACTAATTTTTGTAGTTTTAGTAGAGGCAGGGTTTCACCATGTTGGCCAGGCTGGTCTTGAACTCCTGACCTCAGGTGATCTGCCCGCTTCAGCCCTCCAAAGTGCTGAGATTACAGGGATGAGCCACCATGCCCAGCCATCCCCACATCTTGAGGCCAAAATCCCAGGCATGTGGCTGGGCTCAGTGGCTCACACCTGTAATCCCAGCACTTTGGGAGGCCAAGGTGGGTGGATCATTTGAGGTCAGGAGTTCAAGACCAGCATGGCAACATGGTGAAACCCCGCTTTTACTAAAAATACAAAAATTAGCCAGGTGTGATGGCGGGCACCTATTATCCCAGCTACTCGGGAGGCTGAGGCAGGAGAATTGCTTGAACCCGGGAGGTGGAGGTTGCAGGGAGCCAAGATCGGGCCACTGCACTCCAGCCTGGGCAAGAGTGAGACTCGGTCTCAAACAAAAACAAAAACAAAAAACAAAATCCCAGGCATAAATCAGACAAGCCATGAGGGTTCATTCACAATGATTTATTGGCTGCCCCTCCACACCGAGCTGAGGTGGACAAGCAAGAGGATGAAACCTCCCCAGGACCCACCTAACTCCCAGGCATCACAGGAACAAGGCAATTTTCCAACAGCCTGGCAACGTCTGGGACTCCAACGAGGTCTGGGCCCAAACCTCACCTGAGACTGGCCACGCCCGTCCCATGCACCCACCCCTCTCAGACATCCTGGTGACCTAGGCTGAGATGAGGGTGACCAGGAGGGACCCTTCAGCTATAATATCATCCACCTCGCTCACACTGAAGCAGGCTCCTGGCCCGCCCAGCAGCAGCACAAGGCTGACCACAGAGCAGGTAAGCATCTGTATGTTTGTTCAATGGCTGAATGAGTGACAGTGGACTCCAGCCTGAGGGAGACCTGATACATCCAGGTCCCAACTGTGCACACTCAGAGCCCCTTGATAGAGCTGGATCGTGGAACCCCAACCAGCTGTTTCCATTTCTTTGGTTTAGGGGGAGCCTGAGACGAACAGATCACAAGCCTTTCACGCCATCTGATCTCTCAAGCCTGCCCTAGACGTGTCTACTGAGGGCTTCCTTTGTGCCAGGGAACTTGTGCGTTTCTCTGATCCACACACACGAATGATCTAAAATGCAAAGCCATTTGCAATCATAATTTCCAACTGTCCTGGTCTCCCCTCCTGACTGCACGAGGCTAGGAGCATGTGAGCCTTTTTTAACTGCAGCTTCGCATCGGCCCTTCCGTACAGAGGGGGGCCAAGGGTCTCCACTATACAGATGGGGAGCGCCAAGCTCAGAGGAGGAAGGCAACTTGTCCAGGGACGCCCAGCAAGAGTCGGGACTTTCTGGCCACGTGAAAATGTCTAGCCACTGAGGAGCGTGGTAAGAAGAGACTTTGAAATGGCAGCACCTGGCTCACAGGTACTTAGAAAATGTCCATCAAATGAATGGATCTCAACATGGCTTGAAGTTCTTCAGGAGTCAATATGCAATTTTTTTTTTTTTTTTTGAGACAGGGTCTTGCTGGAGACAGGTCTTATTGGCCAGGCTGGAGTGCAGTGGGAAGATCTCAGCTCACTGCAACCTCCACCTCCTGGATTCATGTGATTCTCCTGCCTCAGCCTCCCGAGTAGCTGGGATTAAAGGCGTGCACCACCACGTCTGGCTAATTTTTGTATTTTTGGTAGAGATGGGGTTTCACCATGTTGGCCAAGCTGGTCTTGAACTCCTGACCTCAGGTGATCTGCCCGCCTCGGCCTCCCAAAGTGCTAGGATTATAGGCATGAGCCACTGTGCCTGGTCAAGATGCAATTTTAAAGAAGGAAAAATACAACTAAGAATATCATGCCAACCAGTGACATTCTTGACTGGAGCTGCTGCCAGGATTCTGTGAACCCCTCCAAAAGCTGTGACTCTATGGGGTCCTGGCAGAGAGAAAGAGGGAACCCCGATTTCTACAAAAGTTCTTCATCCTCATCCCCATATCTCAACCCCCACATCAGCCCTGGAGGGTGAGCCAATGACCCTGATTTGCAGATGGGGAAGTCAAGGCCAGGAAAGGATAGATCTGAGCGCAGGAAGCCTCCCAGCTCAGAGGGTCCTGGGTCCGGGTCCTCTCCCCGGTGCCCCTTGGGCCACCCCCTAATCCGCCTTCTTGGCCTTCTTCTTCCTGGAGCCCTCGCTCAACTCCTCCTTGGACTTGGCGGGCATGGCCGAATGCTGAGCTCCTGGCCCACCACCGCTGTGGGACCCACCATGGTTGTCGTGGTGATGGTCACCCCCGCAGGCCGAACCAAACAGCACGGGGCAGATGTAGCCCTCCAGGGCATCAAAGGGGGAGCTGTGTGAGTGGGTGGCTGTCAGAAACACCTGAGGTGGGGTGGCCAGGGAGACAGCAAGAGAGACAGAGGGAGACCAAGGTAGAAAGCAAAGGAGTGGAGGGCAGGGTGGGGAGAAGAGGGGAGAGAATGTCATCAAAGTCAAGGTTGGAGGTAGCCCAGACCCAGCCCTCTGGCTGCATGCACCCCCAGGATGATGGGCGACCATCTCAGGTTTCCCAGGATGCCAGATTTCAAGTGTTGACCCCTGGAAAGTTCCAAGCACACTGAGACTGCTGGTCACCCATCCCCCAGAATTCCCCACGACACCTGGGCTCAGAGAAAAGCTGTGCTAAGTGCAGGTCTGAAGGTCTGTGTCCTCCCAAATTCATATGTTGAAACCTATCACAAAGGTGATGGTATTAGGAGGTAAGGCCTTTGGAGGGGTAATTAGATCATAAGGGTGGAGCCCTCAGGAAAGACATTAGTGCCCTTATAAAGAGGCCCAGGAGAGCTAACCAGTCCCTTCCACCATGCGAGGACACAGTGAGATGCTGCCTATCTGCAACCAGTAAAGAGGGCCCTCACCAGAACCCGACCAGGCTAGTACCCTGATCTTGGACTTCCCAGCCTCCAGAACTGTAAGAAATACATTTCTTCCTTTTCCTTTTTTTGGAGACAGGGTCTCACTCTGTTGCCCAAACTGGAGTGCAATGGCATGATCTCAGGTCACTGCAGCCTCCACCTCCTGGGTTCAAGCAATTCTCATGCCTCAGCCATCCAAGTAGCTGGGATTACAGGCATGCGCCACCACGCCTGGTTAATTTTTGTATTTGTATTTTGTTTGCCTGTTTGTTTGTTTTTGAGACAGAGTCTCAATTTGTTGCCCAGGCTGGAGTGCGGTGGTGCGATCTTAGCTCACTGCAACCTCCACCTCCCGGGTTCAAGCGATTCTCCTGCCTCAGCCTCCCGAGTAGCTGGGATTACAGGCATGTGACCCCACGCCTGGCTAATTTTTGTATTTTTAGGAGAGATGGGGTTTCGCCATGTTGCCCAGGCTGGTCTTGAACTCCTGGCCTCAAGTGATCTGCCTGCCTTGGCCCCCTGAAGTGTTGGCATGAGCCCCCGTGCCTGCCCAGGAATAAATTTCTGTTGTTTCTAAGCCACCCAGTCTATGGTACTGCATTCTGTTATACAGCAGCCTGAATGGACTAAGACATTTGGCCTGGGGTAGAGCTACAAACATAGCAGGACAGGATCCCAGCCATCTGCTTGCCTCTCCCTTCTCGCCTAATGCAGGAAGACATGCTCACTCCCTTTTGACAGCCCTGGAGTCCTCACCCAGGGAAGACACAGCCCTGAGCTAAGATCTTCATGCAGAGGGAGAGAGCCCAGCCCCTGAAGACCCCTCCTGGGTGGGGTGATGTCAACTCAAGGCATGACTGTCAGACTAGAAGTATTCCTGGTCCAACTGAGTTCCTGGGTACCTGATGCTGCCATTTCAGCTTCTTGTCCCTCTGGTCTCTGTACCCAAGAGAGTGGGCCCACCTTGACCCTGGCTCAGGCTGGGTCCTTTACACAGAAGGCCTGTTCCTCTCATCTGTGTCCTGGCTGCTGGACACTGCCTTTTAAACTCTCTTCCCAGTGACCTACTGGCAAGCATCTCCCCTCTCTGGGCTGCCTGTCCCAGCCACATAAGGCTGGGAGTGTCCAATTTCCCCACTCCCAACCTGGAGGTGGCAGGGTGGCATTGGTCAAGGCAAGAATGCTGCAAGAAGAGAAAGGCTTACCTTACAGGACACCATGAACAAGGTGAAGATGAAGATGAGGCTGGCTTTGGACACTGGGAGCCAGCGGGTCTGCTGGAGGGTGAAGAGGATGGCTCCATACAGGCTGGCCTTGGTGGGGCTGGAGGGAGCAGCTGTCATTACCGGGAGGTGCCTGCATGGCTCAAGTCTTCATAACTCTGGCCCAGACACCCCCCTGCCCTGGCACCAGCTCCCATCCCAGCTTCTCTCTTTTCTTTTCCTTTTGAGATGGAATCTCACTCTGTTGCCCAGGCTGGAGTGCAGTGGCACAACCTCGGCTCACTGCAACCTCCACCTCCTTGTTTCAAGTGTTTCTCCCACCTCAGCCTCCCAAGTAGCTGGGATTACAGGCATATGCCACCATGCCTGGCTAATTTTTGTATTTTTAGGAGAGACAGTGTTTCACCATGTTGGCCAGGTTGGTCTCGAACTCCTGGCCTCAAGTGATCTGCTCGGCCTCCCAAAGTGCTGGGATTATAGGCATGAGCCACTGCGCCCAGCCACAGCTTCTCCTGATTGTAAGGTGGCAGGTTGAGATGGTGTCATCCTATGCATGATGGGTTAACCTGGTCCAAGGAAAGATCTGGCCTTTGTCCAGCTCCTGGAATATGCCCTCTAAGCCCTTGGAGTGTCCTGCCTTGATAAGACTGTCTTTGTTTGCCTGAGGACGGCCTTGGGCCACACCAGGTAGTAACAACGTAATTTATGGTGGGGGTCTTGGGCCATGCAGCATCAGGTGGACCTCTAGAGGGGCTGAAGACTGAGGTCAGCCACACAGGTGGTTAGCTAGTTCTGAGCCACAATAAAAATCCTGGATACCCAGGCTCAGAAGAGCTTCCCTGGTTGGCAGTACACCATGCATGTTGTCACACATTGCTGCTGGGAGAATGAAGCCCTGTCCACATGATTCCACTGGGAGAGGAAAACTGGATATTTTCACCTTTTCTTTCCTGTACTCTGCCTCATGCACATTTTGCCCCTGCTGATTTCTTGTTTGTGTATGAGTCAGAGTCTCATTCTGTCACCCAGGCTGGAATGCAGTGGCATGATCTCAGCTCCCTGCAACCTCCACCTCCTGGGTTCAAGTGATTTTCCTGCCTCAGCCTCCCGAGTAGCTGGGATTACAGATGCCCGCCACCACGCCAGCTGATTTTTGTATTTTTACTAGAGATGGGGTTTCGCCATGTCGGCCGGGCTGGTTTTGAACTCCTGACCTCAAATAATCCACCCGCCTCAGCCTCCCAAAGTGCTGGGATTACAGGCATGAGCTACCACGCCCAGCCAACCCCTGCTGATTTCGTTTTATTTATTTATTTATTTATTTATTTATTTATTTACAGAGACAGGGTCTCTCTCTATCACCCAGGCTGGAGTGCAGTGGTCTGATCATGGCTCACTGTAACTTCAAACTCTGAGGCTCAAGTGATTCTCCCACCTCAGCCCCCCAAGTAGCTAGGGCTAGAGTTATGTGCCACTGTGCCTGCTTAATTTTTAAGTTTTTTTTTTTTTTTTGTAGAGATGGAGTCTTGTTCTATTGCATAGGCTGGTCTTGAACTCCTGGCCTTGAGCAATCCTCCTATCTCGGCCTCCCACAGTGCTGGGATTACAGGTGTGAGCTGCCTCTGCTGATTTTATTCTATATCTTGTCACTGTAATAAATCATAACCCTGAATATAATGGCTTTGCTAAGTTCTCTGAGTCCTTCTAGCAAATCATGGAACATCAGGATGATCTTGGGGATCCCCCATCAGCTTATTTCCCCCAGAAAATGTGATTACAACATGCAGAGTTTTCCTTAACTTTTATTTTTTTCCTTGCAAAATAGGTTTAAGATATTTTTATTTGTTGCAAAAGACAGACCTGTGACTTCTATTCCTGATGTCTGTCTCTCATTGCTTTTTTTTTTTTGAGACAAGGTCTCGCTCTGTTGCCCAGGCTGGAGTACACTTGTGTGATCACAGCTCACTCCAGCTTCAACCTTCTGAGACCAAGCGATCTTCCTGCCTCAGCGTCCTGAGTAGCTGGGACTACAGGCACACACCACCACACCTGGCTAATTTTTTTTTTCTTTTTTTTTTTAGAGATGGGATGTTGTAATGTTGCCCAGGCTGGTCTTGAATTCCTGGTTTCAAGCAATCCCCCTACCTCAGCTTCCTGAATAGCTGGGATTACAGGGGTGGGCCACCATGCCCAGCTTCACTGCATGTATTTAATAATCCTTCCTTCCTCTCTCTCTCTCTCTCTCTGTTTCTTTCTTTGAGACAGAGTCTTGCTCTATTGCCCAGGCTGAAGTGCAGTGGCAGGATCTCGGATCACAGCAACCTCTGCCTCCCGGGTTCAACCGGTTCTCCTGCCTCAGCCTCCCATGTAGCTGGGACTACAGGCATGCCACCACCCCTAGTTAATTTTTTTTTTTTGAGATGGAATTTCGCTCTTGCTGCCCAGGCTGGAGTGCAATAGCGTGATCTCGGCTCACTGCAACCTCCGCCTCCCAGATTCAAGTGGTTCTCCTGCCTCAGCCTCCCAAGTAGCTGGGATTACAGGCATGCACCACCACACCCAGCTAATTTTGTATTTTTAGCAGAAATGGGGTTTCTCTATGTTGGTCAGGCTGGTCTCAAACTGCCGACCTCAGGTGATCTGCCCACCTCAGCCTCCCAAAGTGCTGGGATTACAGGCGTGAGCCACCGTGCCCAGCCTAATGATGATAATTCTCTCTAATATTTCCAAAGCACTCACCAGGTTCCAGGGCCAGGTGATTTAAATGCATGATCCCTTTTTTTTTTTTTTTTTTTGAGACAAGGTCTTGCTCTGCCACCCAAGCTGGAGTACAGTGGCATGATCCTAGCTTACTGAAGCCTCGAATTCCTGGGCTCAAGTAATCCTCTTGCCTCAGCCTCCTGAGTAGCTGGGACCACAAGTGCATCCCACCATGCCTAGCTAATTTAACTTTTTTTTTTTAATATAGAATAGGTCTCACTATGTTGCCCAGTCTTGTCTTGAACTCCTGGACTCAAGCAAACCTCCAGGCTTGGCCTCCCAAAGTGCAGAGATTACAGGTGTGAGCCACCACACCCAGCCCCCAACAAGGTCTTTTAAAAATGCACTAAACTGTCCAGGGCAGGGTGGCTCATGCCTGTAATCCCGGTATTTTGGGAGGCTGAGGTCGGCAGATCACTTGAGGTCAGGAGTTCCAGACCAGCCTGACCAACATGGTGAAACCCCATCTCTACTCAAAATACAAAAATTAGCCGGGCATGGTGGCACATGCCTGTAATCCCAGGTACTCAGGAGGCTGAGGCACGAGAATCTCTTGAACCTGGGAGGTGGAGGTTGCAGTGAGCCGAGATCATGCCAGCATACTCAAGCCTGGGCGACAGAGCAAGACTCTGTCTCAAAAAATAAAAAAATAAAAAACATTAAGCTAAATGCAGTGTGGGATCCTGCATTGGGTCTTGGATGCTGTCACCTGGCCTTGTCCACTTAGCTCCAGATATGCTCCCAATGCACACTCCATATCCCATGCATACCCTGTACCCTGACCCCGCACACCCAGCAGCACTGCTGCTCTTCTGTGATTTCACAGTTGGCAGAGATGCTGGCCTCTGTTGGGAGGCTCCTTCTTGGCCAGTGAACTCCTGCTCACCCTTCAAAACCCCAATCAGGTATTGCCTCCTTCCTGCAGCTCTGCCCTCCCCAACCTCCACACTGAGCAGAGCTATGGCTCTGCTTTGAGCTTCCCCAGTCATAGCCTCTGAAAGCTCCTGAAAGGCAGAGTCAAGGGTTGAGGCCTCTCTAAGTTATCAGCAGCATCCAACTCAGGGTCAGGCACCCGGACATACAGGAGGCATGGAGGGAGAGGTGGAGTGGGATACTCACAAAGACATGTGCAGGATCTCGTTGGTCTCTGGCTTCCAGACCCCTCGGAGCAGCTGCTCAAAGTTGGACATGAGGGCGACACCAGAACCTACAGGACAGGGTGCTTCTGAACAAGCCCACCACCCCCAGGTCTCCTTTCCTCTTGTTTGAATTCCCAAGGAAGCAGTCTCTCCACTCCCAGAATCTTCTCTAGAAGGACACTGAGCCTGGGGGTGTATGATCATCAGCTGCAGGTGGGGAAACTGAGGCTCAGAGAGGACAGAGCCTTGCTGAGGATCATATGGCAAATTCAGAGCAAAAGCCACCTAAAGGAATCAGTCATGTCCCCACCTGCAAGGCAGGTCTTCAACCTGGGGTTGTCTGTCCTGATGCCCCTAATCCAGGACCCCAAGCTGTGTATGAGGCTTCCAAGGCAGCCCCCACCCGCAGTCTCTCTCCTCCTCAAGGCTCCAAGTTCTTAATCTTTCTCAAGCCACCCATCCTCTGGAGGAGATGCTATACCCCTGGGGAATCTGCTCAGTACTAAAAGCTTCCTGGAGAGACAATAAGAAGACTCAAATGGAGATAGAATGATTAAATTTCTGGAAGAATCTTCCCATTTACCCTAAATGTACTGGTTAAATAGACTTGGACATCCACTCCAGGAACTGCTGCACCAACTGGGTGCCTGAGATGTACTACTGGACCAGGGAATCGCATCTGGGGCCATTTTGCCCCCAAGGAAGCATCTGGCAATGTTGAGAAACACTTTGAGTTGTCACAGCTGGGGAGGGAGCGCTACTGGTATTTAGTGAGTCGAGGCCAGGGAGGTGGCTCACCATTGTATAATGCACAGGTTGGCTCCCCATAGCAAGGAATAACTGAGGACACCATGGCTCAATGGAGGGTGATTCTAGGTCTTGGCACTTTGTGGGTACCCATATCTGGTGGGCAGGAAGCGAGGATAAAGTGCCCAATGGTTTTTGGCACTTGCTCAGGCCTTCTTTCCCTGCTTTCCTGTTACTCCTTGGCCCACTTCTCCAACTTTTAATGTTGAATTATCTCTTTCTCCCCTAACTTCTGTCCATTTTTGCTTTATGTATTTTGGTGCTCTGTTTCTAGGTGCATATATGTTTATAGTTGTTATATCTTCCTGGTGGATTGACCCTTTTATCATTATAAAACGTTCTTTATTTCTAATAACATTTTCATTATTACTTTATTTTTTAATTTTAATTTTTTAGAGACAGACTCTTGCTCTGTTGCCCAGCTGGAGTGCAGTGGCACAATCATAGCTCACTGTAATGTTGAACTCCTAGGCTGAAGTGATCCTCCCACCTCAGCCTCCTGAGTAGCTAGAACTACAGGCATGAGCCACCATGTCTAGCTCTATTTTCTGCACACGAAAGGGTCTGTAGGCTTCACTGGCAAAAGGGCCATGGTCCACAAAAGTTAAGAACTCCTATAGCTAGAGCTCTAGAGAAGAAGGGGTTCTCACCTGCAGCCATTTTGCCCTCTAGGAGGCGTTTAGCAATGTCTGGAGACAATTTCTTTGTCACAGCTGGGGACAAGTGTGCTACTGGCATCTCGTGGGTGGAGGCCAGGGGTGCTGTTCAACATCCTATAGTGCACAAGGCAGCCCCCACCACAAAGAATGATCCAGCCCCACATGTCAGTAGTGCTGCAAGTGAGAAAACCTGCTCTGGCAATGCTGGCTTTTGTCATCATCATCACTGTCTTAGGTACCCCTGACAGTAACATTTCTAGAAGAATCTTCCCATTTACCCTAAAGGTATCGGCTGATACCTGTAGGGAGGTTTGAACACCTACTGCAGTCTTTATGCCCCTGTGCCTGGAGCAATGGCTTTCCTAGCTGGGGTGCCTGGTAGTACCACTGAACCAAAAGTTCTCCACTGGGATGATTTTTCATTGTCATCATCCTATTTACCTTTGACCCACCCAGTTGCAATCATGACGAACCACCCGTGGTGGTAGTGGTGATGGGCGTGATGGATGCCCACCGCGATCTTGCGGACTCGCACCACCTCCTTCATGGCCACGAAGATGAGTTTCACAGGCAGGAAGCAGACACACTTGTAGAAGAGGTCCAGGGGGCAGAAGAAAATCAAGTACCTTTTGGGGAGAGAACAGTGAGTGCCAGGGGATGGGCAGACTGTGAAGGATGGGGGTAGGGAGCTGTGGTTATATCAGACCACCCTCCCCAACGTGCTGTGCCTAGACCAGAGATGGGCATGGAGGGCAGCATATTCAGGGCCATCATGAGGGCTGTTGCTGGTGCATTCTAATTCCTCCAACCTCTCTCCTCCCTGGTGCCCAGGTTGTTGTTTCCCCCACCCGGCTCTGCTCTCCCATGCCCAGCATGGCTTACCAGACAGCTGAGGCCAGCAGGATGCTGGAGTTGTTGCTGAAGTAATCGATCAGTGGCTCCCCAAGGAGCAGATCAGCCAGGATGTAGCTCCCGAAGCAATGCAGCATGGCGCACAGCCAGGACGCGATGGGGTGGCGCCGGGACAGTTCGACTGCTCCTGGGAGGCACAGGAGTGTCCCCCATCATCACCAGCATGCCAAGGGCAGGCTTCACTCCCATATGCTCTGGTCAGCCTATCCTAATCCAGAGCGCCCACCCAACACTGTGCAGTTTGTAAGTTTCAGAGGAGGAACCAAGGTTCAGAGAGGCTGTACGCATGCCTGAGGTTGCACAGAGAAAATAGAGAGCCGAGTGGGAGTCCTTTCCTTCATGCCCAGAGAGGTGGCAATGATGATGACACTAGTTCACATTTAGGACTTAATAAATCCTCATCAGTGTCCCAGCCAAGTGATGGCTTTTATTATCAGGAGTCTCATTGTCAAGAGGAGACTGAGGCTTGGTGAGACGGGCCAGCTTGTACCTGGGAGTACTTTGAAATTGCTACTCTGGGCCGGGCATGGTGGCTCACACCTGTAATCCCAGCACTTTGGGAGTCCAAGGTGGACAAATCACTTGAGGTCAGGAGTTCAAGACCAGCCTGGCTAACATGGTGAAACCCCGTCCCTAAAAATACAAAAATTAGCCGGGAACGGTAGTGCATGCCTGTAATCCCAGCTACTCAGGAGGCTGACAGGAGAATCACTTGAACTCAGGAGGTGGAGGCTGCAGTGAGCTGAGATTGCACCACTGCACTGCACTCCAGCCTGGGCAACAGAGCAAGACTCCATCTAAAACACACACATACACACACACACACACACACACACACACACACACACACACACACACGAAACAAAAGAAATTGCTATTCTGACCTCAGCTGATCCCAAGATCCCTATGAGCTTATGCTGGTATTCTTTTTTTTTTTTTTTTTTAACTTTTTTTGTTTGTTTCAAACAGAGTGTCACTCTGTCACCCAGGCTGGAGTGCAATGGTGCAATCTCAGCTCATTGCAAATTCTGCCTCCCAGGTTCAAGCGATCCTCCTGCCTCAGACTCCCGAGTAGCTGGGATCACAGGCAGCCACCACCATGCCTGGCTAATTTTTGTATTTTCAGTAGAGAAGGGGTTTCACCATGTTGGCCAAGCTGGTCTCCAACTCTTGGACTCAAGTGAACCTCCCACCTCAGCCTCCCAAAGTGCTGGGATTACAGGCATGAGTCACCGTGCCCAGCCTTATGCTGGTATTCTTACACCTGCTGTCTTAAAAAGAATTTTTTTTTGTAAAATATACATTAAATTTATCACTTTACTTTTTTTTTTTTTTTTTTTTTTTGGACACAGGGTTTCACTCCCATCACCCAGCCTGGAGCGCAGTGGTGCAATCACGACTCACTGCAGCCTTGACTTCCTGGGCTCAAACACTCCTCCCACCTCAGCCTCGAAAGTATTTGGGACTACAGGCACGCGCGCCACCATGCCAGGCTAATTTTTTGTATATTTAAAGTAGGCACGGGGTTTCGCCATGTTGCCCAGGCTGGTCTCAAACTCCTGGGCTCAAGCCATCCACCTGGCTCAGCTTCCCAAAGAGTTGGGATTATAGACGTGAGACACCATGCCCAGCCCATTTTAAACATTTTTAAGTGTATAGCTCTTTTTTTTTTTTTTTTTTTTTGAGACAGAGTCTCACTCTGTCACCAGGCTGGAGCGCGGTGGCGCGATCTCGGCTCACTGCAACCTCCTCCTCCCGGGTTCAAGTGATTCTCCTGCCTCAGCCACCCGAGTAGCTGGGATTACAGGCATGCGCCACCACGCCCAACTAATTTTTGTATTTTTAGTGGAGATGGGGGTTCACCATGTTGGCCAGGATAGTCTCAATCTCTTGACCTTGTGATCTGCCCACCTTGGCCTCCCAAAGTGCTGGGATTACAGGCATGAGCCACTGCCAAGTGGCTGGCCAAGTGTGTGGTTCTATGGCATTATATTCACATTGTTTTGCCATAATCACCACCAACCATCTCCAAAACTCTTTCATCTTCCCAAACTGAAACCTATTAAACACTCACTCCTCATCCCCCATCGCCTAGCCCCTGGCACCATTCTACTTTCTGTCTCTATGAAATTGATGACTTTAGGAATCTCATGTAAGCGAAACCATACAAACTTTGTTGTTTTGTGTGGCTTATTGAGCATAATGTCCTCAAGCTTCATCCCCATTGTAGCATGTATTAAGCTTTTATTTCCGGGCTGGGCACGGTGGCTCACACTTGTAATCCCAACACTCTGGGAGGCTGAGCCACGTAGATCACTTGAGCCTGGGTGTTCGAGACCAACATGGGCAACATAGTGAGACCCCACCTCTGCAAAAAATTTTAAAAATTAGCTGGGCGTGGTGGCATGCTTCTGTAGTCCCAGCTACTCGGGAAGCTGAGGTAGGAAGATCACTTGAGCTGGTGAGGTGGAGGCTGCAGTGAGTCATGAGCATGCCACTGCACTCCAGAGCAAGACCCTGTTGAGAGGGGAGGGGAAGGGAGGGAAGGGGAGGGGAGGCCAGCCTGGGCAACACAGTGAGACCCCATCTCTACAAAAAATTTTTTCTAATTAGCTGGGCATGGTGGCATGCACCTGTAGTCCCAGCTACTCAAGAGGTTGAGTTGGGAGGATCACTTGAACCCAAGAGTTTGAGGCTGCAGTAAGCCATGAGTGCACCACTGCACTCCAGCCTGGGTGACAGAATGAGACTCTGTCTCAAAAATAATAAATATATAAAGTCTGTAGTTGAGTTAATGATAGTGTACCCATGCCAATTTCCTGGTTTTAATAATGCACTATCATTACATAAGATGTCATTGGAGGAAGCTGGGTAAAGGGTATTTGCAAATTCTCTGTACCATTTTTGCAACTTCTTGTGAGTCATAAACTCTTCCAAGATAAGAAGTATTTTAAAATTCCATATTAAAAAGAAGGGGGCTTGAAAACCCCATTGCTGAGTCCTTAGGTCCTATAGCTGGGCTTTTTTTTTTTTTTTCTTTTTAAAAAAAGGGCTGGGCACGGTGGCTCATGCCTGTAATCCCAGCACTTTGGGAGGGCGAGGTGGGTGGATCACCTGAGGTCAGGAGTTCAAGACCAGCCTGGCCAACATGGTGAAACCTCATCTCTACTAAAAATACAAAAATTAGCCAGGCGTGGTGGTGGGCGCCTTTAATCTCAGCTACTCGGGAGGCTGAGTCAAGAGAATTGCTGGAACCTAGGAGGCAGAGGTTGCAGTGAGCTGAGATCGTGCCATTGCCCTCCAGCCCAGGCCAACAACAGCGAGACTACCTCTCAAAAAAAAAAAAAAAAAAAAAGGTCATGAAAATGCAACACTCGGGGTACAGTATTAATGTCTATTCACTAAATCCTTGCATCTTGTATTACTCATGTAAAGCCTTTATAATCTTTATAAATAGTTCTATCCTTATGTTGTATCTTCGTAATCTTCTAAGGCCACACCTTGGAGTTAGAACTTGTGTCTCCTGGTATGACCACTTCTTTCATCATATTGATTCTGTCTTTCCCAACTAGTTTCGTTTTGCAGAGAACAACTTTATGATCAAGTTGTAAGGTACAGCTACTCTGTACATTACATGACCAGAGCCAAAACCAACGATTCCCCTAATACAACTTATTCTAATGAAATGAAAACTACAGTCAGTATTGACATGAGATAACAAGGTCACAAAATGTAATCTCTCTCTTTTTTTGTTTGAGATGGAGTCTCGCTCTGTCCCGCAGGCTGGAGTGCAGTGGCGCAATCTCAGATCACTGCAAGCTCCGCCTCACAGGTTCATGCCATTCTCCTGCCTCAGCCTCCCTAGTAGCTGGGACTACAGGCACCCGCCAGCACGCCCAATTTTTTGTAATTTTAGTAGAGACGGGGTTTCACTGTGTTAGCCAAGATGGTCTCAATCTCCTGACCTCGTGATCCGCCTGCCTCGGCCTCACAAAGTGCTGGGATTACAGGTGTGAGCCACCGCGCCCGGCCAAAATGTGATCTCTTATTAGTCAAATCAAAAGACTAAGCAAAAGAAATAATCAGTTTTGTCTATTTTTAGCAGGGAAGAGAAAGAGTGTCTGTTGTGGACAGAATGTTTCTGTCTCTCCAAAATTCGTATGTTGAAATCCTACCCCTCCCCGCTTGTGATAGCATTAGGAGGTCGGGCCTTTGGGAGGTGATTATGTCACCAGGGTAGACCCCTCACGAACGGGGTTAGAGCCTTTATAAATGGTGGCTCACGCCTGTCATCCCAGCACTTTGGGAGGCTGAGGCGGGCAGATGACAAGGTCAGGAGTTCGAGACCAGCCTGGCCAATATGGTGAAACCCTGTCTCTACTAGAAATACAAAAATTAGCTGGGCGTTGCGGGAGGCGCCTGTAGTCCCAGCTACTAGGGAGGCAGAGGTAGGAGAATCGCTTCAACCCGGGAGGCAGAGGTTGCAGTGAGCTGAGATTGCACCATTGCACTCCAGCCTGGGCGACAGAGTGAGACTCTGTCTCTAAAAAAAAAAAAAAAAAAAAATAGTCAAGAGAGGCCAGGCGTGGTGACTCACACCTGTAATCCCAGCACTTTGGGAGGCTGAGGCCAGAGGATCTCTTGAGCCTAGGAGTTCCAGACCAGCCCTGGGAACATAGTGAAATCTCATCTCTAAAACAACAACAACAATAAAAATTAGCTGGGCGTGATGGCAGGTGTCTGTATTCCCAGCTACTTCTGAGGTGGGAGGACCACTTGAGCCTGGAAGGTTGAGGCTGCAGTGAGCCGTGATCAAGGCACTGCACTCCAGCCTGGGTGACAGAGCAAGACTCTATCTCAATAAATAAACAAATAAGAGTCATGAGAAAGCCTGCTGCTCTCTGCTGTCTACCATATGAGGACACAAGGAGAGGTTGATCATCTGCAAGCCAGAAGAGGGCCCTCATTAGAACTTGACCATGTTAGTGCCCTGATCTCAGACTTCCAGCCTCCAGAACTCTGAGAAATAAATTTGTTGTTTATCAGCCACCTGGTCTACTGGTTTATTGCCACTGCAACAGATTATAGCATCTGCAACAGATTAAGAAATCTGTATATACTAATGATACATTCAACGGGTGGATTTGATCTTCATCCCTCCGTGAGTTCAGCAACCACGGAGGCCTTCTCTGCCACTGAATGGGGGCTGTGTTGGACACATTGTATGGGTTCAAGAAATAACTGTGAATGAATTTATGGGAAATGTGCATCCCTCTGGGTCCTGGTTTTTTTTTGTTGTTGTTGTTTGTTTGAGACGGTGTTTCGCTCTTGTTGCGCAGGCTGGAGTTCAATGGCGCGATCTTGGCTCACTGCAACCTCTGCCTCCTGGGTTTAAGCAATCCTCCTGCCTCAGCCTCCCGACTAGCTAGGATTACAGGCATGGACCACCACGCCCGGCTAATTTTGTATTTTTAGTAGAGACAAGTTTTCTCCATGTTGGTCAGGCTGGTCTCAAACTCCCGACCTCAGGTGATCTGCCCACCTCAGCCTCCCAAAGTGCTGGGATTATAGGTGTGAGCCACGGCGCCCGGCCTTGGGTCCTGGTATTACAATAATGAACAAGACAGGTGAGGTCCCTGCCCTCATGGAATTTACATTCTAGCAAACATAAAGTCATCATGGTTGTGTTGGATCCCCCCAACTTTTTTTTTTTTTTTTTTTGGAGACAAGAGTTTTGCTCTGTCGCCCAGGCTGGAGTGCAGTGGTGTGATCTCGGCTCACTGCAATCTCCGCCTCCTCCTAGGTTCAAGTGATTCTCCTGCCTCAGCCTCCCAAGTAGCTGGGATTACAGGCACCTGCCACCACGCCTAGCTAAGTTTTGTAGTTTTAGTAGACAGGGGGTTTCTCCAAGTTGGCCAAACTGGTCTCGAACTCCTGACCTCAGGTGATCCACCCACCTTGGCCTCCCAAAGTGCTGGGATTACAGGCATGAACCACAGCGCCTGGCCCTGGACACTTTTTTTAAGAGACAGCATCTCGCTCTGTCACCCAGGCTGGAGTGCAGTGATGCAATCATAGCTCACTGCAGCCTCAAACTCCTGGGCTTGAGCCTTCCAAGTAGCTAGGAGTACAGACGTGTGCCACCATGCCTGGCCAATTTTTATACTTTTTTTTTTTTCTTTTTTTGTAAAGATAGGATCTCACTGTGTGGCCCAGGCTGCTCTTGAACTCCTGGCTTCAAATGATCCTCCTGCCTTGGCCTCCCAAAGTGCTGGGATTTCAGGTGTGAGCCACCAGCAGGCCTGCGCATTTCTGGTGACATTGTAACAACAATGACCTTCTCTGTTCCATTTATTAATTGAGAAAGGTGTAGTGCACTCTACTCTGTAAAAGGAATTACGTTCTTCTTAGCTTGGTCAACCTCACAGGGGGAAATAATCATCAATGCCAGAGTTTCTCCTACAAATCCAGGTGAGCGCATCAGTGGGCATTACCATGTTAGAGGCAACTTGGCAATACCAGGGAAATATGAAGCTGTGCATCCCCTGGACCCCAGCAATTCCACTCCTTGCTATTAACCCCAAAGAAACAAGCACCATAAACAAAGACTTAGAGAAGGAAGATGTTTCACTGATACAATGTTGCAACAGGAGAAAAGTGAAATCAACAGTCTCTTAGTAAAGCTGTGGGAAGCCACAAAATGTGGAGTGCCATAGAGTAGCTATTTAAAAGTGAACCAGGCTGGGTGCAGTGGCTCACCCAGCACTTTGGGAGGCCAAGGCAGGCGGATCACTTGAGGTCAGGAGTTTGAGACCAGCCTGGCCGACATGGTGAAACGCTGTCTTTACTAAAAATACAAAAATTAGCCAGGCATGGTGGCAGGTGCCTGTAATCCCAGCTACTCAGGGGGCTGAGGTAGGAGAATCGCTTGAACCCGGGAGGTGGAGGTTGCAGTGAGCCAAGATTGCGCCACTGCACTCCAGCCTGGGCGACAGAGGGAGGCTCCATCTCAGAAACAAACAAACAAACAAACAAACAAAAAGAAAAAGAAAAGTGAACTAGACCTTGATCAGGGTTTTTCAACCTCAGCTCTGTTGACATTTGGGATCAGATCATTTTTTGCTATGGGGGCATTCTGTGCATTATAGCATGTTAAGCAGCATCCCTGGCTTCCACCCACTAGATGACAGTGGCACCACACAGCTGTGACAACCAAGAATGTCTCCAGATATTGCCAAATTTATCCTTTGGGAACAGAATCCCTTCTGGTTGAGAATCTCTGTTTTAGATGTATCAACAAAGACAAGTCCCATAAGCTTACTGCTGAGTGAAAAGGTTGGGCTGCAAAATGATACACTTATGGCCGGGCTCAGTGGCTCACACCTGTAATCTCAACACTTTGGGAGGCCAAGGCAGGTGGATCACTTGAGGTCAGGAGTTCGAGACCAGCCTAGCCAACATGGTGAAACCCCCATCTCTACTAAAAATACAAAAAGTAGCCGGGCGTGGTGGCATGCGCCTGTAATCTCAGCTACTTGGGAAGCTGAGACATGAGAATCACTTGAATTCAGGAGGTGGAGGTTGCAGTGAGCCAAGGTCACACCACTGCACTCCAGCCTGGGCCACAGAGCAAGACTCTGCCTCAAAAAAAAAAAAAAAAAAAATGAGGTTTTTTTGTGATTTTTTTTTAAGCTCATCAGCTATCGTTAGTGTGAGTGTATTTTATGTGAGGCCCAAGATAATTCTTCATCAAACATGGCCCAGGGAAGCCAAAAGATTGGACATCCCTGTTTTAGAGTAAGTAATCAATACACTTGCCCCTCTCCTCGCTATCCCCACCAACTAACAATGTGATCTTGAACAAGCCACTTTTTTCTCTCCACATCTCTTTTTTTAAAAAACAAAGTAGAACGTTGCTTCTTTGTCTAACTCCTGATGAGGACTGGAATGAGCTTTTCCCTCCTCTAACCTCACCCTGGAGTTATGAGCCCAAAATGCAGCTTCTCCCTGCTCTCAAGGTTGTCCTACGTCTTACCATTGACCAAGGTCCTAGGGTATGAGGTAAAATGCTTCAGCTCCTCTCCTAGGGTCTATTTAAAACACAACTGGCTGAGAGTTAATCCCTCAGAGCAGCTGGTGGCCTGTGCAGAGGCCAGGTCGGGTGAGGCACCCATGTTTTGCAGAAATGGATACCTCTGCATCTAAAAATAACTCCCAGGGACTGAATTCTTTCCAGGATCTTTCTTGTGCCCTCTGGGATCATCCCAGGGACCGAGGTTGGGGAGTGGGGGTAGGGACCTAGCGTTTGCATGAGTTACGCTCTGACGGGCAGATGCCCATGTTTGCAGTATGTGTGTGCCCTGCTATAAAAGTCACATGCCGGCTGGGCGCGGTGGCTCACACCCGTAATCCCAGCACTTTCGGAGGCCAAGGCAGGCAGATCACTTGAGCTCAGGAGTTCAAGACCAGCCTGGGCAACATGGCAAAACCTCATCACATGCCTAGCTTCTGGCTCTGCTACTCACTCTAGCATGGCCTTGGGCAAGTGACTGCCTGCCCCCCCAAGCCTTAGTTTGCTTCACTGTCAAAAGACCAAGATGACGGCCAGGCGCAGTGGCTCACACCTGTAATCCCAGCATTCTGGGAGGCCGAGGCAGGTGGATCACTTGAGGTCAGGAGTTTGAGTTTGAGACCAGCCTGGCCAACATGGTGAAACCCCGTCTCCACTAAAAATACAAAAATTAGCTGGGTATGGTGGCGGATGGCTATAATCCCAGCTACTCAGGAGGCTGAGGCAGAATTGCTTGAACCCAGGAGGCGGAAATTGCAGTGAGCCAAGATCGTGCCACTGCACTCCAGCCTGAGTGACAGAGTGAGACTCCGCCTCAAAAAAAAAAAAAAAAAAAAAAGCCCAGGTCCTTTCCCCTTTCCATACTCCTTGGTTTCTCTT
Organism: Homo sapiens; assembly: GCF_000001405.40. Lineage (NCBI taxonomy): Eukaryota > Metazoa > Chordata > Mammalia > Primates > Hominidae > Homo > Homo sapiens. The sequence goes on along the minus strand of NC_000019.10, from coordinate 16,671,160 downwards.
GATGGGTTTGGGACAGCCCCATGAAGCCAATAGGTTTTCAACTGCCGCATGCCATGAACACATTCCCCTCTGACTGGGTGAGCTTAGGCTAGTCCCTCCCTTCCCTGGGCCTCAGTTTGCCCATATGTAGGAGGGGGAGGCGGTCTAGGGTGACCAACTATCCCCCTTTGCCTGGGTCCCAGGGGTTTCCTGGGACATGGGACTTTCTTTTATTCTTTTTTTGAGATGGGGTCTTGCTCTGTCGCCCAGGCTGGAGTGTAGTGGTGCGATCTTGGCTTGATGCAACCTCCACCTCCCGGGTTCAAGTGATTCTCCTGCCTCAGCCTCCCGAGTACCTGGGATTACAGGCACCCGCCACCAGGCCCGGCTAACTTTTGTATTTTTAGTAGAGATGGGATTTCTCCATGTTGGCCAGGCTGGTCTCAAACTCCTGACCTCAGGTGATCCACCTTCCTCGGCCTCCCAGAGTGCTGGGATTACAGGCATGAGCCCCCGCACCCGGCTGGACATGGGACTTTCGATGCTCATCTTGGGAAAGCCTGGACAAGGTGACCACACCAGATCTATATCAGTCATTTCCAAAGATGCCTGTGAGGGTGAAAAAGAGATTGCTTAGCGCCTAGCAACGACGCAAGAGGTATTTCTGGAACAGTGCGGAAATGGAAAGTACCTGTGGGTGGAAATTTCAGTAGATGGATTTTTTAAAAATCAGCTCTGCCTCGGCTGGGCACGGTAGCTCATGCCTGTAATCCCAGCTACTCCGGCAGCTGAGGCAGGAGAATCGCTTGAACCTGGGAGGCGGAGGTTGCAGTGAGTCGAGATCATGCCACTGCACTCCAACCTGGGAAATAGGAGCAAAACTCTGTCTCAAAAAAAAAAAAAAACAAAAAACAGGCCGGGCGCAGTGGCTGATGCCTGTAATCCCAGCACTTTGGGAGACCGAGGCGGGTGGATCACAAGGTCAGGAATTCGAGATCAGCCTGGCCAATAGAATGAAACCCCATCTCTATTAAAAATACAAAAATCAGCTGGGCGTGGTGACAGGCACCTGTAGTCCCAGCTACTCGGGAGGCTGAGGCAGGAGAATCGCTTGAACCCATGAGGCGGAGGTTGCGGTGAGCTGAGATCGCGCCACTGCACTCCAACCTGGGCGATAATAGCGAAACTCTGTCTCAAAAAAATAAAATAATAAAATAAAAATAAATAAATAAATAAACAAACAGAAAAAAATCAGCTCTGCCTCAGAAGAGAGGAAAAAGCTTTGGGTCCCTAAGTCCTGGTCTGCAATGGACTCTGTGACTTTCCCTTTTCAGGGGTCAATGCCTCATTTGCAGATGACTGGGTGGTACTAGAAGGGTCCCCAGGGCACTCTAGCACTGTGCTATTCAGTCAGAGGTGTATGAAGCATGGGGTACTGACCGAGTCTCTCAGTGACTCTAGGACCAGTCTTCTCCTCCTGAGCTTTTGAGCTCAGCATTCTGCCTCAGTTTCCTCCCCTGTTAAATGGAGATAGCAGCCTCTCCCTCACAAGGTGGAGCAGGAGTCAACAGCCTCCTGCCCTCAAAAAGCTTGTAGTTCAAACCAGAGATCTCAAATCAGGGATCAAAGAATGGTTTTCTTTGGTCCTAACAGCATATGAAAAATGTTAAAACTTGTCTGGGTGTGGTGGCTCACACCTGTAATCCCAGCACTTTGGGAGGCTGAGGCGGGTGGATCACTTGAGGTCAGGAGTTCAAGACTAGCCTGGCCAACATGGTGAAACCCTGTCTCTACTAAAAACACAAAAATTAGCTGGGCATGGTGGCGGGCACCTGTAATCCTAGCTACTCAGGAGGCTGAGGCAGGAGAATTGCTTGAACCAGTGAGCCGGAGGTTGCAGTGAGCCGAGATCACACCACTGCACTCCAGCCTGGCAACAGAGTGACTCCGTCTCAAAAAAAAAAAAAAAAAGTTAAAACTGCAACCAAGATGTCCTGCAGGGAGTGAGTGGATAAACAAACCATGAAACATCCTTACTATGAAATACTATTTGGCCGGGTGCAGTGGCTCACGCCTGTAATCCCAACACTTTGGGAGGCCAAGGCGGGCAGATCACCTGAGGTCGGGAGTTCGAGACCAGCCTGGCCAACATGGAGAAACCCCATCTCTACTAAAAATACAAAAAATTAGCCAGGCGTGGTGGCACATGCTTGTAATCCTAGCTGCTTAGGAGGCTGACACAGGAGAATCACTTGAACCTGGGAGGCAGAGGTTGCAGTGAGCCAAGATCAAACCATTGCACTCCAGCCTGGGTAACAAGAGCAAAGTCCATTTCAAAAAAAAAAAAAAGAAAGAAAAAGAAAAAAGAAAGAAATATTATCCAGTGAGCTATCAAGACATGAAAAGACATGGAGGAACCTTAAATGCATATTCCTAAGTGAAAGAAGCCAGTCTGAAAGGGGTACATACTGCATGATTCCAACTAAAGGACATTCTGGAAAAGGCAAAACTCTGGAGGTAGTAGAAAGAAAGATCAGTGGTTGGCCGGGTGCAGTGGCTCATGTCTGTAATCCCAACACTTTGGGAAGCCAAGGCAGGTGGATCTCCTGAGCCCAGGAGTTCAAGACCACCCTGGGCAACACAACAGAACCCCCATCTCTTTTTTTTTTTTTTTTTTTTGAGACAGAGTCACTGCAACCTCCGCCTCCCCCCAGGTTCAAGCAATTCTCGTGCCTCAGCCTCCGGAGTAGCTGGCATTACAGGCTTGCGCCACCATGCCTGACTAATTTTTATATTTTTAGTAGAGACAGGGTTTCACTGTGTTGGCCAGGCTGGTCTCCAACGCCTGGCTTCAAGTGATCTGCCTGCCTTGGTGTCCCAACTTGCTGGGATTACAGATGTGAGCCACCTCCTTCAGCCCCATGATTCTGAGTTATTTATTTAATTAATTTATTATTTATTATTTATTTTTCTGAGACAGAGTCTTGCTCTGTTGCCCAGGTTGGAGTGCAATGGCATGATCTCTGCTCACTGCAACCTCCGCCTCGCAGGTTTAAGTGATTCTCCCACCTCGACCTACCAAGTAGCCAGGACTACAGGCGCCCGCCATCACGCCTGGCTAATTTTTGTATTTTTAGTAGAGACAGGGTTTCACCATGTTGGTCAGGCTGGTCTCAAACTTCTGACTTCAGGTGATCCACCAGCCTCAGCCTCCCAAAGTGCTGGGATTACAGGCGTGAGCCACCATGCCTGACCCACAATTCTGATTTAAATGAAAGAGGGGTGACAATCAGGACAAAAGGATTTTTTTTTTTTTTTTTCTGAGACGGAGTCTTGCTCTGTCACCCAGACTGGAGTGCAGTGGCAAGATCTTGGCTCAATGCAAACCTCCACCTCCCGCGTTCAAGCAATACTTGTGCCTCAGCCTCCCAAGTAGCTGGGATTACAGGTGCACACCACCATGCGTGGCTAATTTTTGTATTTTTTCTTAGTAGAGACGGGCTTTCACCATGTTGGCCGGGCTGGTCTCGATCCTGACCTCAAGTGATCCACCCGCCTTGGCCTCCCAAAGTGCTGGGATTACAGGCATGAGCCACCACGTCTGGCCCAAAAGGATTTTTAAAATCTCCCTAGGTGAGTCTGGTGTGTAGGTGAGTTTGAGAAGTACTGGTCTGAGAGATTCTTTGGATGGGTCAAGGCTCAAGGCAACCAGGATTGTCATTGATTCACTCATTTCTTCAGTTTTGCAGCCAGCACTCAACTGCTTCCTTCTCTTTCCTCACATGGAGCTTGGAGGCCCCAGAAATGAGCCAAATCACCCGCAGATTTTGCTCAAATACAGACTCTCATTGGGCAGAGCTGGGTGGGGCCTGGGTTCTGCATTTCTTTCTCTTTTTTTTTTTCCTGAAATGGAGTTTCACTCTTGGCTCTTGTTGCCCAGGCTGGAGTGCAATGGCGCAATCTCGGCTCACTGCAACCTCCACCTCCCTGGTTCAAGTGATTCTCCTGCCTCAGCCTCCTGAGCAGCTGGGATTACAGGCGTGTGCCACCATGACTGGCTAATTTTTGTATTTTTAGAAGAGACAGGGTTTCGCCATGTTGGCCAGGCTGGTCTCGAACTTCTGACCTCGGGTGATCCGCCCGCCTCGGCCTCCCAAAGTGTTAGGATTACAAGTGTGAGCCACTGAGCTTGGCCAGAACTCTGCATTTCTTTTCTTTTTTTTTTTTTTGAGATGGAGTTTCGCTCTTTTGCCCAGGCTGGAGTGCAGTGGTGCGATCTCAGCTCACTGCAACCTCCATCTTCTGGTTTCAAGCGATTCTCCTTCCTCAGCCACCCAAGTAGCTGGGATTACAGGAGCCCGCCACCATGCCTGGCTAGTTTTTGTATTTTTAGTAGAGACGGGGTTTCACCATGTTGGCCTGGCTGATCTCAAACTCCTGACTTTGTGATCCAGCCACCTTGGCTTCCCAAAGTGCTGGGACTATAGGCATGAGCCACCGCAGGGGCTCTGCATTTCTAATCAGCTTCCAGGTGACATTGACACTGCTCAGTTGAGGACCACACTCTGAGCTTCATTCTTTCTCAGGATTCTCAAGAAAGCCTCACCCAGCCAGGCACAGTTGCTCATGGGAAGCTGAGGTGGGAGGATTGCTTGAGCCCAGGAGTTGGAGGCCACAGTGAGCTATGACTGTACTACTGCACTCCAGCCTGGGAGACAGAGCAAGACCCTGTCTCGAAAAAAAAAAATTTTTTTAAAGTTAAATTGGCCAAGAGCAGTGGCTCACACCTGTAATTTCAGCACTTTGGGAGGCTGAGGCGGGTGGATTACTTGAGTTCAGGAATTTGAGACCACCCTGACCAACATGGTGAAAACTCATCTCTACTAAAAATACAAAAAAAATGGGCCAGGCGCAATGGCTGATGTCTGTAATCCCAGCACTTTGGGAGGCCAAGGTGGGCGGATCACGAGGTCAAGAGATTGAAACCATCCTGGCCAACGTGGTGAAACCCCGTTTCTACTAAAAATACAAAAATTAGCTGGGCATGGTGGCGCGTGTCTGTAATCCCAGCTTCTCGGGAGGCTGAGGCAGGAGAATCGCTTGAACCCGGCAGGTGGAGGTTGCAGTGAGCCGGGATCGAGCCACTGCACTCCAGCCTAGAGACACGGCAAGACTCCGTCTCCAAAAACAAAACAAAACAAAAAAATTAGCTGGGTGTGGTGGTGGATGCTTGTAATCCCAGGTACTTAGGAGGCTAAGGCAGGAGAATCACTTGAATCTGGGAGGTGAAGGTTGCAGTGAGCTGAGATCGTGCCACTGCACTCCAGCCTGGGCAGCAAAACAAGACTGCATCTCAAAAAAAAAAAAAAGGAAAAGAAAAGAAACAGAAAAGTAAGCAAGCCTGACCCAGAAAATGCCAGTATCCCAAGTAATATATTCCTCCCTAGACTTCCAAATAAACATCACCACCCCTCACAAATGCCTTAGACCTTATCCCTGACAAAATTCTCAATAGATCTTTACAATCGCTAGGAAAGGGAGTCTGGGGTTCTCTTACCAATGATCCCATTTCACAGACAAATAAACTGAAGCTCATGGTGGTGAAATAACCATTGTGGTGTTTACTCAGTGCTAGTGGTAGAACTGACTCCCATGATTCAGAGACGTTTAGTTTCTTTTTTCTTTTTTTTTTGAGACAGGGTCTCACTCTGTTGCCCAGGCTGGAGTGCAGTGGCACGATCATGGCTCACTGCAGCCTCCACCTTGCAGGGTTCAGGTAATCCTCCGACCTCAGCTTCCCTAGTAGCTAGGACTACAGGCACATGCCACCACACCTGGCTAATATTTTTGTATTTTGCATTTTTTAATTTTTATTTATTTGTTTATTGAGACGGAGTTTCATTCTTGTTGCCCAGGCTGGAGTGGAATGGCACAATCTTGGCTCACCGCAACCTCTGCCTCCCAGGTTCAAGCGATTCTCCTGCCTCAGCCTCCCTAGTAGCTGGGATTACAGGCATGTGCCACCACGTCCGGCTAATTTTGTATTTTTAGTAGAGACAGGGTTTCTCCATGTAGGTCAGGCTGGTCTTGAACTCCCGACCTCAGGTGATCTGCCCACCTCAGCCTCCCAAAGTGCTCGGATTACAGGCATGAGACACCGCGCCTAGCCATTTTTGTATTTTTTATAGAGAAGGGGTTTCACAATGTTGCCCAGGCTGGCCATGAACTCCTGGCCTCAAGCAATCTTCCAACCTTGACCTCCCCAAATGCTGAGATTATCTGACCTATGCTGACATTCTTTTTTTATTATTATTATTATTTTTTTAGGAGACACGGTCTTGCTCTGTTGCCCAGGCTGGAGGGCGGTGGGGTGATCATAGCTCGCTGCAGCTCCCAGGCAACATTGATGCTGCTCTGTTGAGGACCACACTCTGAGCTTCATCCATTCTCAGGATTCTCAAGAAAGCCTGACCCAGCCAGGCGCAGTTGAGCTCCAACTCCTGGGCTCAAGTGATCCTCCAGCCTCAGCTTCCCAAGTAGCTGGGACCACAGACACACACCACCATGCCTGGCTATGAAATTCTTAATTTCTGAACAAAAGGCCCCACACTGATACTTTGTATCGGCCTGGCAAATTCTGTAGCTGGTCCAGCACACAAATTCTGAGAAGAAAATTTACAGATACCCAGCACGCACACCAAACTGGGACTAACAGTTCAATCCGACACCTCACTTTTCTTTTCTTTCTTTCTTTTTTCCAAGACAGAGTCTCAGCCAGGCTCTGTCACCCAGGCTGGAGTGCAGCAGCGAGATTTCGGCTCACTGCAACCTCCGTCTCCTGGATTCAAGCTATTCTCATGTCTCAGCCTCCCAAGTACCTGGGATTACAGGCGTGCGCCACCACACCTGGCTATTTTTTTGCATTTGTAGTGGAGACGGGGTTTTGTCATGTTGCCCAGGCTGGTTTCAAAGTCCTGGGCTCAAGTGATCCACCCGCCTCGCCTCCCAAAGTGCTGGGATTACAGGCATAAGCCATCACATCTGGCCTCCAACACCTTTCTTTTCTAAGGAAACCAATCTCACATCAATTGTACTGATTCTTAGAGTCAAGCAGACCTGGGCTGAGTCCCGAGGCTGCAACTGACCAGCCATGGGACCACAGGCTCATTGTGTATTTAAGATAGCTTAGCCACTATTTCCTGTTTCCCCAGTTATGAAAGGAGGAGGTTGAACTGGGTGGAGTATCCTCAGCCCTGATAACAGACATCAGTCACTGAGGGAGGGGAGATTAATATTCTGATTCAATTGGTGGGGGGTGGAGATAGGGGGTTTAAAAGCTCCTAGGAGGCCGGGCGCAGTGGCTCACACCTGTAATCCCAGCACTTTGGGAGGCCGAGGCAGGCGGATCACAAGGTCAGGAAATCGAGACCATCCTGGCTAATACGGTGAAACCCTGTCTCTACTAAAAATACAAAAAAAAAAAAAATTAGCCGGGCATGGTGGTGGGCGCCTGTAGTCCCAGCTACTTGGGAGGCTGAGGCAGGAGAATGGTGTGAACCCAGGAGGCGGAGCTTGCAGTGAGCAGAGGCGGCGCCACCGCACTCCAGCCTGGGCGACAGAGCGAGACTCCGTTTCAAAAAAAAAAAAGAAAAGAAAAAAAGCTCCCAGGAGCGTCTCATGAATTCATGAATAGCCAGGGTTTGGAACCACTTCTCAGCCTTCAGGAACCTTCAGGCTCTGGCACTTAGAGCCTGGATGGCTTATTCTAGGACTTCTGCAGAAATATCTTGAACCTTCCTGCAAGTTCCCAGGCAGCTTGGAGACCTCTTTTCTCAAGACATTTGTGTCCTACATTCCCACAGGGCTCCAACCCTCCTCAGTTTCAGATTTTTTTTTTTTTCGAGACAGAGTCTTGCTCTGTCGCCCAGGCTGGAGTGCAATGGCGTGATCTCGGCTCACTGCAACCTCCGCCTCCCAGGTTCAAGTGATTCTCCTGCCTCAGCCTCCCAAGCAGCTAGGATTACAAGCATGTGCCACCATGCCTGGCTAATTTTTTTATTTTCAGTAGAGACGGGGTTTCTCCATGTTGGCCAGGCTGGTCTCGAACTCCTGACCTCAGGCGATCTGCCCGTCTTGGCCTCCCAAAGTGCTGGGATTACAGGCGTGAGCCACTGTGCCCAGCCAGTTTCAGATTTTCTAAGGTTCTGCAACTGCCCAAGGAACTGGCCTGAACCACCAAGAATTCTTCCCCAGAAAGGAAAGATAGCCCCATGTTCATGCTAGGACAACACAAAAGCCTATTTTGTTTTGCAAAGTAATGTTCTCCAGGATAGCTTTTAAGAAAATAGGCTCTGGCATGTGGATAGGCAAAAATAGAATAAAAATTCCTAGCAAATAGAGTGTAATCCTGTTAGCATAAGAGCGTGCATTGGCTGGGTGCAGTGGCTCACGTCTGTAATCCCAGCACTTTGGGAGGCCTAGGTGGGTGGATCACAAGGTCAGGAGATCGAGACTATCCTGGCCAACATGGTGAAGGCTTGTCTCTACTAAAAATACAAAAATTAGCCAAGTGTAGTGGCGGGTGCCTGTAGTCCCAGCTACTCAGAAGGCTGAGGCAGGAGAATCGCTTGAACCTGGAAGGTGGAGGTTGCAGTGAGCCGAGATCACGCCACTGCACTCCAGCCTGGGCGACAGAGCGAAACTCCATCTAAAAAAAAAACCGCAAAAAAAAAAAAAAAAAAAAAAGCGTGCATTTACGTTTATAACTATATAGCCGTAAATGAATAGAAGAGACATCAAGAAAGGTGGCTGGCCACCAGTATGTTGACAGTAATTCTCTTTTTTTCCTTTGCCCTTTTCAGTTTGAGTTTTTAGTAAACAGGGGCGCTTATTTTTATCCTCTGAGAATAAAGCTATTTCCTTTCTGAGCTATAGTGGTAATTTACATCTAAGTGGGAGAAAGGCTTATGAAGTTTGGGGTTCCTTTATTTTTCTAAGCCTAAAATCTATTATCTAGTAAGTTGCTGGTGTTCTAGAATAACGGTGAACAAGAAACATTTAAACATTTGTTCACGGTGAACCTTTTATAAAAATAGAACACGTTCTAAGGAAGCCATTCATCCTCATTTTAAAAATTAAGAAGCAGGCTGTACCCTCCTGTGACCTCCCCAGCGTGGAGTCTGGAGCTGAGATGGAGGACACTGACCCCAAGTCACCCAGCCTTGGGGCCGGTTCTGCTCCGTAAGTGGAAAGGATCTGGAGCCAGGGCTGGAAGAATTCCCGTGGGGGCTCGGAGATTCAGCACCGTGGGGGAAGGGAGGGGAGTGGAGGGTGCTGGGCAGTTGCAGTGGGGAGGAGAACCGGTGTCACTTTCGCTGAACCTGACCGCAGCCCCCAGCGCAGTGGCCCTTATAGACACTCCGCTGGCGCTCTCAATCCGCGTGCCAAGGTCAAGGAGGGAGGTCACACCTGCGCGCGGCCAGAACAGATGCACCGACCCCCACCTGCACCCTCGCCACAGCCGGCGCCCCTTGCCCAAGTTCCTGCAGCTCTGACCCAACCAGGAGCCCCGACCCCAAGCACCTGTTCCCCCTCCTCTAAACCCGCGCACGCCTCTCCTTCCCCTCCCCCAGCTTCATCGTCCTGGGGGCTTCTCCCCCGGGCTCACCCCGGCGTGAGAGAACCCCACGATTCTAGCGCCTGCCTACTCCCACGATGCAATCCTTGAACCTGTCCCTCGCTCCCTCCACCACGCACGGGCTTCCCCTCTCTGCGACCCCCGAGCTGCCCCGGCCCGCGCCACCCGCTGCCGGTCCCCTCCAGCCCCCCGCCCCGGCTCACCTGGCTCATACTTGAGGTAGAGGATGGAGACGATGAAGTAACTGAGGTCGAAGACGGGGAAGAGCGGCACCCGCGAGAAGCTGAGCGCCAGTTCGCCCAGGCTCAGCGCCGAGAGCAGCTCCATGGCGCCCGCCTGCCCGCCTGCCGGGTGCCACCCGGGGCCCCGGCCTCGTCCGTCCCGCCGCCCGCGGCCCGGCGACTGCGCCCCCGCAGCTGGGCCCGCCCCCGCCCGCCAGGCGCCACCCCAGGCCCGGCCCCCGCGGGAGAGGAGGGGCGACGGCCCACCCCGGGACAGGTGGTGGGGACGCCCAGCACCACGGACGCAGCTGGACGGTCGGGCGTCCCAGGCGTTGACCCTCCTGCCATCGCTACCCCGTTCCGCCCAGCGAGGCGGGGTGCGGGGCACCCGTGCAAGGCGAGGGAGGCTGGGGAGCTGCCTGTTCTGGGGGCCCGTCCCTCACGGAGCCCACCCACGCGGGACGCCCGTTCCCAGGGGGCCGGATCGGCCAGGACTTTGTCCCCGTGGGCTCAATTAGGACCCCGATCTTCGGTGGAGCCCAGTGAGGACCCCTACGCCATGGTGGGACCCCATGAATCAGAACCCCTGTTCCCCGTGGAGATAGGTTAGGACCTCGGTCCTCTGTGGAGCCCCGTCAAGACTTTTCTGCCCCATAGGGTCCGTTCGATCAGGAACCCCGTCTCCGGTGGGGCTCTGCAAATCAGGACGTCTTGTGGGGGGCAGCTCAGTGGGAACCCCCGTTCCCCATGGGGCCCAGGAGGATCTCATTTTAGAGCCCAGTTGGTTGGGGCACCCGTTTCTAGGGACCCCACTGCGTCAGGACCCCGCACCCTGTGCAGCTCAGGAGTCAAAGGATTCCTTTTGTCCAGAAGCCCAATTTGGGACCCCAGAAAGTGAGTAGGAATTGCTGCCCAGCTAACCCTACGGCATCGAGACCTCACGCATGCGCGGCACGCTTCGAACGCGTGACCCAATCCCGCCCCCAGGAGACCCCGCTCCTCCCATTCTGGCTCTCGGGGCCTCCCCAGCGAGGTGGGGCGCTCGCGCTCCCCTAAGGGGGTCTGGCCTGCAGAGGGCGGGACCCTCCCAGCCTTGACCTTCGATTGGCCCAGCCCTCGCCACTGTTGCTTTAGGATTGGTCGGCTTGTGCTCCTCTCCCCTCCCTCCCTGGGGCTTCCGCTTCCGGTTCTGACGGACGCTTCGGCCGTAACGATGATCGGAGACATCCTGCTGTTCGGGTAATTAGGGGGACCAGAGGCTGGGAAGAGAGAGCCAGGCAGGACGCGGGGGCGCCCCTAGTAACTGTAATTCTCCCTCTGCAGGACGTTGCTGATGAATGCCGGGGCGGTGCTGAACTTTAAGCTGTGAGTAGGTCGCGGCCGGACTGCGGCTCCATCCGGGGAACCCGTAGCCCCGCCCTCATAAGCGTGATCTCGGCGCACTTCTCAGGCCCCGCCCCCAAGCCGCAGGCCCCGCCCTATCCGCCCTCTGGGCACGCCTCCAGCCTGGTTTATCTTCCTCGCCCCCCACCCCCCGAGAGACCTTAAACCCATACTCTCCGTTCCTTGGTTGTCCCTCTGTTCACCTTCCTGGAGAGCTTAAGCCCCATCCCCCAAGAAATAGCCCCACCGCGGACCTTCCGCCCTGCACCCGCACTGTCGGGCCACTTTGTAAACGGTCGGTGGCTGCTGACCTGGCTGTGATTGTCCGGGCAGTGGGGGCCCAGAGAAGGGTATTGAACGTCAGAGGTCACACAGCAAGTTTGCGGCAGGGCCAGGGCTGAAACTTAGTGTTTGTGGCCTTCTGAGCTGGGGGTCAGGGGGCTGAGGACTCTATGTCCCATTGAAAGTGGACACTGTCTGCTCCTCTTTGTAGGAAAAAGAAGGACACGCAGGGCTTTGGGGAGGAGTCCAGGGAGCCCAGCACAGGTAAGGTCTAATTGGATCCTGGAATTGCATGGTCCACTTCAGAGGACAGTTCTGTTTCGCCAAGCCCTACCTTCGTTTTCTTTCTTTCTCTTTTTTTTTTTTTTTTTTTTTTGACACAAGGTCTTGCTCTGTTGTCCAGGTTGGAGTGCAGTGGTGCGATCATGGCTCACTGCAGACTCGACCTCCTGAGCTAAAGTGATCCTTCCACCTCAGCCCCCTTAGTAGCTGGGATTACAGGTGTGTGCCACCATGCCAGGCTAAATTTTGTATTTTTTGTAGAGATGGGGTTTCTCCACGTTGCCCAGGCCGGTCTCGAACTCCTGGGTTCAAGTGATCCCTGCCTTGGCCTCCCGAAGAGCTGGGATTACAGGCGTGAGCCACAAGTTTTCTCTTTAATTGAGCGTGTGTGTGAGTGGGAGATGACTGAGAATGTGCTAGCCTTTCTGCCTACCTCTGTCATCTATTTCTTTCTCCTACCAGACCTCCCTGATGTGAGCACTCACATCACTTCCTACCGTTATAATGTTCTGTTATGTTTGCTGTCATCTGGCTAATGTCTGCCCCTCACATATGACTGTAAACTTCAGAGAAGAGGCCCTAGCTTGGCTTGTCCCATCCTTTGTTCTTGCCGTACCCGTCCTCCGATGCCTGTGAATGAATGAATGAACAACCTCACACATAGCTGTTGCTTTCAGAGTGCTGCAGACCTGCCACTTTTAAAATTAGATGCCAACATTAGATTTTTAATCAGGAGATTTTATATAAAAATTAAGATGTCTGATTTTTCTTGAAAAATTGGAACATTCTGCAACTCAAGATTCAGGAGAGCTGTTTGCATCTATTGAGTGTAGTTGAGAAGGACTCTGAGGAGGTGGGGCCTGTAGACTCTGCCTCATCCCAGCCCTAACCCCTTCATATGTCTATCATCTGCCTGGGCCCTGGAGGCCCCAGAATTTACACTTCCTGCTGAATTTGATTGTGTAACTATTTGGAGTCTTAAGGGGATCTGTACATGACTATTGTATCCATTCATTAATTCTTTCATTCACCAGATATTTGAGTACCTAACGCATGCTGGCTACTGTGCTAGGTGCTGGGGTACAGCAGGGGTAAGACAGATAGAGTGGAACTTACCATGGGGTGGGACACATGGTTTCTAAGCAGGGAATAGATAGTGACAGAGGTGACGTTAGGTGACAGAGGCAGGGAGTCACAGGATGGTGATGGGGTTGCCCTCCTGCTGGGGTGTGGAAGGGAAGGCCATTTGAGGAGGCGGCGTCACAGTCAAGGCGGTGGATGCCATGATGGAGCACTGCCCAAGGATGGGGGAACCCTGAGGAACAGAGGTTTTCTTCTTTTAGAGACAGGGTCTTGCTCTGTTGCCCAGGCTGGAGTGCAGCGGCACAGTCATAGCTCACTGCAGCCTTGAGCTCCTGGGTTCAAGAGATCCTCTTGCCTCAGGCTCCCAAGTAGCTGGGACTACAGGCACTTACTACCACGCCTGGCTAATTTTCTAAATGTTTTTTGTAGAGATAGGTATCTCGCTGTGTTAACCAGGCTGGTGTCCAACTCTTGGTCTCAAACGATCCTCCCACCTCAGCCTCCCAAAGTGCTGGGATCACAGGCATGAGCTACCACGCCTGGCCGAGCTGAGATTTTGAAGACACTCCAGCAGCTCCCCTTTTTGGGGGCCTGCCCTTGGGTGCTGACCCAGTTAGGTGCTTCCTGTTAGTGTTGCATTCTCCCTCCATTCTTAAAAGATAATGGTCACTTTCCCATTTTACAGATCAGGAAACTGAGGGTCAGAGATGTGGCTCAACTTTTTTGTGGCCACATAGGGAATCAATGAGAATCAGGATTAGAACCTGGGTTTTTCTGACTCTAGCGGTTGTGCACTCAATCACTAGACCATCTGTCCGTCTATCCATTGATCCATCCATTCATACATTGACTCAGCAGCCATGTGTTACTTAACCCCCACGTGGAAGGCACTACCAGGCCCTAGAGTTGCACTGTACAGATCCGAATCAGAGCTCCAGTGGGCGGGAGATTTGGCACAAAGTGGCAGGAGCATCAGTGACAGGGATGCCAGGCAGGGCACCAGTGCTCTGTCAGGAGCTTCCTGCTTTGCTGTGTCCAGTCTCCTTCCAGCCCAGGTGCTGCACCTGCTGCTTCCCCTGTGGGAGCTGCTCTTTGCCCTCCATCCTCTTTGCCTGGCTTAACTGTAATACCATAGTGGCTGCATTTGTTGAGAGCGTCATGCGTGCCAGGCAGTGTGCTAAGGTCTTCCTAGCTGCCTGACACCCCTATTGACACAAGAGGGAATGCACATAGATAGTGCAGGGATGGTCCCAGGTCACCAGGTCACCTGTGCAGAAGGACAGAGGCAGGATTTGAGCTCACATTTGTTAAACTGCCCATGTTTGAGGTCAGAACTTGGAGCTCTGGCACTTCCTCAGAAAGCCTGTTTTTTGTTTTTTTGTTGTTTTTTTTTTTGAGATGGAGCCTCTCTCTGTTGCCCAGGCTGGAGTGCAGTGGCACCATCTCAGCTCCCTGCAATCTCCGCTTCCTGGGTTCAAGCAATTCTCCTGCCTCAGCTTCCCTATTAGCTGGGATTACAGGCACCCACCACCATGCCCAGCTAATTTTTGTATTTTTAGTAGAGATGGGGTTTCGCCATGTTGGCCAGGCTGGTCTCGAACTCCTGACATCAGGTGATCTGCCCTCCTTGGCCTCCCAAAGTGCTGGGATTACAGACTTGAGCGACGGCACCCGGCTGGAAAGGCTTTTTTTTTACCTCCCACCCTTCCCCATGCACATGCCATGTTGGGTCTCTGCAGTGTGTATTCCCAGGACACCCAAACTTTCCCACCAGAGCAGTCACATGTGAATATTTGTTTAGTATTTCTCCTCCCCATATGCTTGTTGGGGCAGAGCCACCGGTCTTTGTTTCTTTCTGTATCCCCTGTATACTGCTGTTGCCTGGAATGAGTAACCTTTTTTTATTTTTTGAGACAGAGTCTCACTCTGTTGCCCAGGCGTGCAGTGGCGTGATCTCAGCTCACTGCAGCCTCCACCTCCTGGGTTCAAGTGATTTTCGTGCCTCAGCCTCCCGAGGATTTGGGATTACAGGCACGCGCCACCACGCCCTGCTAATTGTTTTGTAGTTTTAATAGAAACGTGGTTTCACGATGTTAGCCAGGCTGATCTCAAACTCGCGACCTCAGGTGATCCACCTGCCTCGGCCTCCCAAAGTGCTGGGATTACAGTTGTGAGCCACTGCACCCGGCCTGGAATGAGTAACGTTTGATTGGCATCTGTTGATGGTGGGAGGTCCTGTTTTCACGATCCTTCGCTAGGGGAAGGGTCTTGCTGAGCAGCGCCTCTCAAAACTTCCTGGAAACAGACCAAGCATTTAATGTTTCTAGTCTGTGCTGGATCAGCCCTGTATACAGGTTGTGCTGCACGTGACTAATCCTGTCGGCTAGATAATACTAGGCTCGTCTAAACCGTTTTCAGCAAGATGGTGTGTTCAGCACAAGCTCGGATGGAGCAGGGATGTCAGGTTGTCATCCCTGAAAAAGTAGAAATTTCTGGGCTTGTGTTGTGTATGCTGTACTTACCATGCAGCCCCAGTCTGCAGATACTTCGGGTAGCACCCTTGTAGATCACCTAATCTGGAGCCATTCTTTTTTTTTTTTTTTTTTTTTTTTTGAGATGGAGTCTTGCTGTGTCACCCAGGCTGGAGTGCAGTGACACCATCTCAGCTCACTGCAATCTCTGCCTCCCAGGTTCAAGTGATTCTCCTGCCTCAGCCTCCTGAGTAGCTGGGATTACAGTCATGCACCACCACACCCGGCTAACTTTTGTATTTTTAGTAGAGACGTGGTTTCACCATGTTGGCCAGGCTGGTCTCGAACTCCCGACCTCAGGTAATCTGCCTGCCTCGGCCTCCTGAAGTGCTGGGATTACAAGTGTGAGCCACCATGCCTGGCCTAATCTGGACCCATTCTTTTCATTCTGGAGGGCTTGAGAGGGAGAGTGATTGACTGGAAACCCTGGAAGAAGGGTCTAGAACCCAGGTCTCTGGAGTCTTCACGTACTAAATTGCCTTCCCTCGGAGGGGTTTCTGTTCCTTGGCATTCAAGGGGACCAGAGTAAGTCATCACCAAGAAACACCTTCCCTTTCACTTGCCTGAATTAGGATGCTTTCAGTTACAAACACTGCAAACCCAGCTCAAAGTGGTTAAAGCAAATTGAAACATCCAACAGAATTGTTTTCAGGCACCCTGGGTTTAGGTGTCAAACCAGTCCTTCAAGATTAGGGTTGGGGTTGGAGTTGGGGTTAGGGTTAGGGTTAGAGTCAGTATCTGACTCTCTGCAGCTCTCAATTCCCCTTTCTTTTATGTTGGTTTTACTGTGAGACTGGTTAGGGTTGGCAAAGATGACCCCAGAGCAGGGGTTGGCATGTTTTTCTGTAGAGGGCCACATAGTAAATATCTGAGGGCTTTGCGGGCCATATGGTGTCTGTCTGGCACAACAATGTGACTCAGCTCTGCTGTTGTAGTACAAAAGCAGCAGGACATGATATGTAAATGAATGGGTATGGCTGTGTGCCATAAAACTTTATTCATTGACACTGAGATTTGAATTTCTTGTAATTTTTGTGTCTCACAAAATAGTCTTCTTTCTTTTTTTTTTAATGTAAAAACCAGCCGGGTATGGAGACTCATGCCTGTAATCTCAACACTTTGAGAGGCTTAGGCGGGAGGATCACTTGAAGCCAGGAGTTCAAGACCCACCTGGGGAACATAGCAAAACCCCATCTTTATATTTTAAAAAAAAGTAAAAACTATTAGCTCATAGGCCATCCAAAAACAGGTGGAAGAGGCTGCTGGATTTGGCCTGTGGGCACTGAGCTTACTGAGCTTACATCTTCCCAGCTCAGTAAGCCTGGCAGAAGGTATCTCTTTCCCAGTAGTTGGGGGAAAAGTCCCAGGGTGGACTCTCATTGGACAGACTTGGGTCACATGCCCCTTCTTGAGCCAATCAGAGGCAGAGGGGCTTGGTGCTTTCAGGGGATTGGTCAGTGGTAGACACAGCCTGATGAGGGTAGGGAAGAGGGAGAAACCAAAAGGAAAAGCCACACTGTTGCCGAAGTTGGAGGCAGCAAGCGCCGGGTGGGTGGAAGTCACAAAAATCCACTGCTGAGGTGGCAGTAGGGATGGGATGTTAGCTGTGCCATAAAAGTGCTTTCTGATTCTTCCAGGTGACAACATCCGGGAATTCTTGCTGAGCCTCAGATACTTTCGAATCTTCATCGCCCTGTGGAACATCTTCATGATGTTCTGCATGATTGTGTGAGTCCAGCCTGCCCTTTCCTTTCACTGTCGTCTCTTAGTCTCCTTCTCCAGGGTGACCCACCTGATGGTCATTCTCTGTCTTTTCAGTCATCACTCTTGTATCCTGGTTTCTGTTTTCTTTATTTTTTGTTTTGTTTGAGATGGAATCTTGCTCTGTCGCCTAAACTGGAGTGCAGTGGTGCGATCTGGGCTCACTGCAACCTCGGCCTCTTAGGTCTAAGCGATTCTCCTGCCTCAGCCTCCCGAGTAACTGGGACTACAGGTGCGTGCCACCACACACGGCTGATTTTTTGTATTTTTAGTAGAGACGGGGTTCCATCGTGTTATCCAGGATGGTCTTGATCTCCTGACCTTGTGATTCGTCCACCTTGGGCTCCCAAAGTGCTGGGATTACAGGAGTGAGCCACTGTGCACGGCCCTGTTTTTTTTGTTTGTTTGTTTTTGTTTTTGAGATCGAGTCTTGCTCTGTTGCCCAGGCTGGAGTGCAGTGGCGTGATCTCGGCTCACTGCAACCTCTGCCTCCCTGCTTCAAGCGATTCTCCTGCCTCAGCCTCCCGAGTAGCTGGGATTACAGGTGCCCACCACCACACCTGGCTAATTTTTGTATTTTTACAAGAGACAGGGTTTCATCATGTTGGTCAGGCTGGTCTTGAACTCCTGACCTCATGTGATCCACCTGCCTCGGCCTCCCAAAGTGCTGAGATTACAGATGTGAGCTACCACACCCGGCCCTGCTTTCTGTTTTCAAAATAAGTAAGTGAGGGAACCAGTATCTGAAGGGGTTAAACTCTGTCCCTGTGTCCCCACCAAACCGGGCTGGAACTTTTATTGGAACATGGAGTTCTCCAGCCCCCGGCTATGCCCGGCACCTCTGCAGGGGCTGCCAGGAGATGCCGTCCCTGAGCCCATGGCCCTGTCACGTCTCACCAGTTCTTCTGCATCTGCCGAGGTGGAAAATATGGTTTAAATGTCCAGCACACTGCCAGATCCTGCTCCACCTGGGCTGGAAGCCAGTAGAAATGTATTCAGACTTTATTGTTTTAAATTCTGGCTTTTCATTTTCTCATTAGGCTGAGAAAACTCAAGCAGATTGCCTTTCCATCTAGCACTGGGGCCATAACTCTGATACTACTGTTAACGAATTGTGAGATTTGCTGTAAATGGATTTAGGAAAAGACACGACGGGAGAATCTGGTGTTCTTGGCCTCTGTGGGTCCATCCCTGTATGCTTCCCCCAGAAAGAGAGAGGACAAAAAGTTGTCTGTCCTGAGTGATTGAGACTCCGAATGTGGGGTTGCTGTCCAGTCTGCGTGCCACCCCAGTGGCTGTTTGCGAAGATGCTTCCAGGACATAGGAGATCTGGGGAGGATGGCATTTCACCCTCATCACAAGGACCGTGATGTATTCCCAGGAAGACTGTTGCCAAGGTATCCTACCTGGCAGAGAGGATCTGAGAGCATGTATGAGACTTGCCTAGGAACAAAGAAGGCTTGTGAGGAGATCAAGGAACTTACATGAAATTGTAGGAACGGCCAGGGGCAGTGGCTCAGGCCTGTAATCCCAGTACTTTGGGAGGCCAAGGTGGGAGAATTGCTTGAGCCCAGGAGTTCAAGACCAGCCTGGGCAGCATGGTGAAACCCTGTCTTTACCAAAAATAAAAAAATTAGCCGAGTGTAGTGGCGCCTGCCTATAGTTCCAGCTCCTCGGGAGGCTGAGGTGGGAGAATCACTTGAGCCCTGGAGGCAGAGGTTGCAGTGAGCTGAGATCCTGCCACTGCACTCCAGCCTGGGCAACAGAAGAAGACCCTGTCTCCAAACAAATAATAATAAATCAAGACCTAAAGGACAAGAAGACGTTTGCCATTTGCAGAGCTGGAGAAAAGCATGGTGGCACAGGAAGTGGCATGTGCAAAGGTCCTGGGGCAGGGAAGAAGTCAGCATTCTTCCCTCATTCTCGTCTTTGCAAAGGTCCTGGGACAGGGAAGAAATCAGCATGCTTCCCTCATTCTCGTCTTTGCAAAGGTCCTGGGGAAGGGAAGAAGTCAGCATGCTTCCCTCATTCTCGTCTTTGCAAAGGTCCTGGGGCAGGGAAGAAGTCACTATGCTTCTATGCTTCTCTCATTCTCGTCTTTGCAAAGGTCCTGGGGCAGGGAAGAAGTCAGCATGCTTCTCATTCTCATCTTTGCAAAGGTCCTGGGGCAGGGAAGAAGTCAGCATGCTTCTCATTCTCATCTTTGCAAAGGTCCTGGGGCAGGGAAGAAGTCAGCATGCTTCTCTCATTCTCGTCTTTGCAAAGGTCCTGGGGCAGGGAAGAAGTCAGCATGGTTCTCATTCTCATCTTTGCAAAGGTCCTGGGGCAGGGAAGAAGTCAGTGTGCTTCTCTCATTCTCGTCTTTCCTGTGCACCTGCTTCATCATCCTCTCCTGTTTGACCAGCATCTTCACTCCCTCATCTGCTAGTCTGTGACCAGAACAGCAGCCTCGGGCATCCTCCCAGCTCAACTTTCCAAGACCTGCATAGTCAGTAGCCCAGGGTCCTGATTTTGTTTCCTGGGGCAGAGTCTGATTGACCCACCTTGGTGTCACTCTGGTCCATTTGGGGTGGGGGTTCTTGATTCTGCCATAACCACTTAGGTCAAGGGTCATCAGACCACAGGCCAAATCTCCCCACTGCCTGTTTTTGTGAATGAACTTCGCAAAAGTTCATGTGTGTGGCTGCTTCTGTGTCACAGCGGTGGAGTTGAGTTGTGTGACAGAGATGACATGGCTTGCAGAGCCAGAACTGTTAGTAAACAGTCACCCATTACAGAGAAAATGTGCCAACCTCTGACCCAGGCCAACTCTTTCACTGGGGGCCATGGGTGAGAGAAGATTCTCTCAAGAAAGGGCCCTCTCAGGGAGGTAGTGACTGGCTTTCCCAGGATATTTAAAAACTGGAAATCACCTAAGTGTCCAAGAACAGGGGAAGGATCAGGTAACTTGAAGGATGCCCATGTGACTGGCTGTCACAATACCATCACTGATGATGTGCCAGAAGGTTCTGTCTGCATGGGGAAATGAAACGTTCTGAAAGTGAAGAAGGCCGGAGGGTACTATGTCTGTGCAGCCTAACTTCAGCTGTGTAATGTGCATGCAGTAACCATGGATAAACCTTAAATGAGTGCCTTAAGTATGGGAGTGAAACACTGTTTAGCCAGGGAGTTGGAAGGATCCACTCCAGATGGGGTAGAGAGGTGACCCTGTGGCAGTTGCTGAGGAAATTGGCAGAGCCTGGGCATGGTTCAATATTCCGTGTGCCTATTTCTTCTTTTTTTTTTTTTTTTTGAGGTGGAGTCTTGCTCTGTCACCCAGACTGGAGTGCAGTGGCACAGTCTCAGCTCACTGCATCCTGCATCTCCCAGGTTCAAGTGATTCTCCTGCCTCAGCCTCCCAAGGAGCTGAGACTACAGGCACGCACCACCACACTTGGCTAATTTTTCTATTTTTGGTAGAGATGAGATTTCATCCTGTTGACCAGGCTGGTCTCGAACTCCTGACCTCAAATGATTCACCTGCCTCGGCCTCCCAAAGTGCTGGGATTATAGGCGTGAGCCACCGTGCCCAATCTCCCTGTGCCCACTCTTGTGTTGTTTGAGCTTTGGAAAGTTTAAGAAGTTATGAAAAGTCTGAAATAGGGGAGAAACGTCCCTGAGTATTTAGGGATCAGTAGCACTGTCATCTATAACTTACATTGAAACACATCAAAAATACGGATAAATGGTTAGATAGATGGATAGGTATGTGGTACAGCAAAGTGTTAATTGCAGAATGTAGGTGGTGGCAGTGTGTTTCAACACAACTCTTCTGTGTGTTGAAATTTTCATAAAATAACAAGAGGAAAAGTTAGGGAGAAAATGAACCATGGAGAGGTTTTACAAGTAAAAGGCGGAAGTCTGTCTTCACAATCCGGTATTTTATAGAATATTCACAGGATTATGCAGCCGCTATCTCTATCCAATTTCAGAACATTTTCATCAACACAGAAAGAAACCGCGTCCCCATTGGCAGTCACGCCCCATTTCCCCTCCCTTAGTCCCTGGCAACCACTCGTCGGCTTCCTGTCTCTGTGGATTTGCCTCATGTGGACAGTTTATATAAATGGAGTCATACACTGCATGGCCTTTTGTGTCTAGCTCCTCTCACTCAGCATCATGTTTTTGAGGTTCATCCACGTTGTAGCCTGGAGCAGTGCTTCATTCCTTTTCATGGCAGAATCATTCTCTTGTATGACTATTCCCCAGTTTTCCATCTGTCAGTTGGTGGACAGTTGAAATGTTTGTATTTTTTAGCTATTATGAAAGTGGTGACAAGAACATTCATGTACAAGTTTTTGTACAGATTTATGTTTTTAGTTATGAGCTATATAGGAGTGAAATTGCTGGGTTATATGATCACACTACGTTTATAATTTTCTTTTTTTTGGAGACAGAGTCTCGCTCTGTTGCCAAGGCTGGAGTGCAGTGGCACGTTCTCAGCTCACTGCAACCTCCACCTCCCGGGTTCAAGTGATTCTCCTGCCTCAGCCTCCTGAGTAACTGGGGTTACAGGTGTGCACCACCATGCCTAATTTTTTGTATTTTTAGTAGAGACGGGGTTTCACCATGTTGTCCAAGCTGGTCTTGAATTCCTGACCTCATGATCCACCCACATCGGCCTCCCAAAGTGCTGGGATTATAGGCGTGAACCACTGCGCCTGGCTGAAACAGGGTTTTACCACGTTGGCCAGGCTGGTCTCGAACTCCAGACCTCAAGTGATCCACCCACCTCAACCTCCCAAAGTGCTGAGATTAAAGCCGACCTGTGTTTATCCTTTTGAGAAAACACCAGAGTGTTTTCCAAAGTAGCTACGACATTTTACATTCCTACCTGCAGCCTACGAGGGTTACACTTTCTCCGTATCCTTGCCAACTCTGTTACCGTTAATCTTTTGACTGTGGTCATCCTAGTAGGTATGAAAGTTTTTTGTTTGTTTTTGAAACAGAGTCTCACTCTGTTGCGCAGGCTGGAGCTGGAGTACAGTGGCACAATCTCAGCTCACTGCAACTTTTGCCTCCTGGGCTCAAGTGATCCTCTGGCCTCAGCGTCCTAAGTAGTGGGACTATGGGTGTGCACTACCACACCTGGCTAATTTTTGTACTTCTTGTCTCTACAAGAAGTACTGGGTTTCGCTATGTTGCCCAGGCTGGTCCAGAACTCCTGGGCTCAAGTGATCCACCCACCTCAGCCTCCTAAAGTGCTGGGATTACAGGCATGAGCCACTGTGCACAGCCAGTTCGAAGGTTTTGATTCACATTTCCCTGATGGTTAATGATATTGAACATATTTTCATGTACCTATTGGCCATTTGTCCACCTCCTTTGAGGAAATGTCTTCTTAAGATTCTCTGCCCTTTTTAAAAATTGGGTTATTGCTGATCCATAAGGGTTCTTTGTGTATTCTCGTTATCAGTCCATTATCACGTGCGTATTTTGCAAGCATTTTCTCCCATTTTGTATGTTGTCTTTTCACTTTCTTGATGGTGTCATTTTAAGCACAAAAGTTTTTTATTGTGAATGGCCAGGCATGGTGGCTCATGCCTGTAAACCCAGCACTTTGGGAGGCTGAGGCGGTTGGATCACTTGAGGTCAGGAGTTTGAGACCGGCCTGACCAACATGGTGAAACACCGTCTCTACTAGAAGTACAAAAATTAGCCAGGCATGGTGGCGGGTGCCTGTAATCCCAGCTACTCGGGAGGCTGAGGCATGAGAATCGCTTGAACCCAGGAGTCAGAGGTTGTAGTGAGCCGAGATCGCCCCACGGCACTCCACCCTGAGCAACAGAGTGAGAGTCCATCTCAAAAAAAAAAAAGTTTTTAACTGTGATGAAGTTGAGTTTATGTTTTTGTCTTTTTGTCACTTGTGCTTTGGGTATTATAGTAAGAAATCATTGTGTAACCCAAGGTTACAAAGATGTACACGTAAGTTTTCTTCCAAGAGTTTTGTAGTTTGGATTCTGGAGGATAGTTAGGTCTGTGACCTATTTTGAGTGAATTTTTTTATATGACATAAAGCAGGGGTCCAACTTTATTCTTTTGCATGTGGAAATCCAGCTGTTTCTGCACTCTTATTTTTTTCAGATAACCTTTTTATTTTGGAATGAGTTTAGATTTGTGGAAATGTTGCAAAGATAATACCGAAAGTTCCTGTATATATCTTTTGTTTAACAGCTGTACCGCTTTCCCTTATAGGGTGGTGGTGTTGGCTGTGCGGAGTGGCTCACGCCTGTAATCCCAGCACTTTGGGAGGCTGAGGCGGGTGGATCACTTGAGGTCAGGAGTTCGAAACCAGCCCAGCCAACATGGTGAAACCCCATTTCTACTAAAAATACAAAAATTAATCTGGCTTGGTGGCAGGCGCCTGTAATTGCAGCTACTCAGCAGGTTGAGGCAGGAGAATCGCTTGAATCTCGGATGCAGAGGTTGCAGCGAGCTGAGATCGCACCACTGTACTCCAGCCTGGGCGGCAGAGCCAGACTCTGTCTAAAAAAAAAAAAAGAGTATATTCTTCTTTTAACTGTGTAGTTCAGTATTGTTAATTATATTCACAGGTGGATCACAGGTTACTTTAAAAAATCAGACAATCATGTAAAATCATCTAAGTAATAGGTAATAGTCATGTAAAATAATCGCTGACAATATTTTTAGAACAGTCACCTCCTATCCTCACAGACATTTCTGCCCTCTGACTTCTCCAGGCTGTTCGGCTCTTGAATCCCAGCGATGAAACCAGGAACTCACTTTCCCGGGATGCCGAGTCTCCATTCCTCCATTCCTGATGACTTCAAGAATGTTTTTGACCAGAAAACCGACAACCTTCCCAGAAAGTCCAAGCTCGTGGTGGGTGGAAAAGTGTTCGCCGAGGTGTGCATGGTTTCCCAGCCACGTCCCTGTTTTCAAAGATAGTTTCACTTTGGTCTCTGAATTGAAATGCTGTCTACTGAAAGGGTTTCAGGAGCGTTTATGTAAGGGGCTGTGATGAAATTGCATTCCCCATAGATAAAAGAAAAATCATTTCTATCCAGAGATCTGAGCAGAAGGATTGGCTTGTTAGTTTAACACAGCCGTATTTTTGGACATTCAGTGTTACTTGCTGAGTCTGACAGCCTCTGGGCCCGGCCAGGGGCCCTGTTAACAAACTGCTTTCACATCCCAACAGGGTCTGCTTGGCCACTCAGTGCAGCTGCGATTAACCCTAAAGGCTTTAAGGAACGGGCCACCTGTAACAGAGACACCAGCCTTCCTGTATAGACACTAAATTGTTAGCAAGAGTGTTGAGCTAGTTCCTGGTGAAGTGTTTCCACAGAAGACATGTGGAGCAGTTGTGGGGATATTAAGGGAAACTTTCCTCTGCCTTGACCCCTTTGTTAAATAAAATGACTTTGGGAGCCATTCATTGTACAGTTGCAGGAATGAGAGTGATTTTATGATGTGGTACATTGGGACCATGTTCTAAAACCTTGGGTTTCTGAGTCTGCTTTTTGAGTAGGTGATTTTGAGGTTGAAAAACCAGGGGCCTTCATCTAGGAAATACAGCATTTTCCAGAAGCTTCTTTGAAAGGGAATCCTGGTTTTGTTGCCAAAATGAAACGCCCGGGGTTGGCGCTGAATCCCACAACTGTGTGATTTGCTTGTTGAGTTTTTTGTTGTCTGGTTTTTTTGTTTGTTTGTTTATACCAATAAGAATGAGCCTGAATGTTGGTGGTTTTTGAAATCCTGACTTGGAGGTAAACCTGGAGGAAGGAAAAAAAGTAAATATGCAGGCTTTTAGGACTGAGTAGCCTTGAAAATAAACCTCATTTCTAAAAAGGACCTTTTGTTTATACTTTTTTTTTTTTTTTAACCAAGAAGTCAATTTCCAACCTGAGTCCTTTTGAATTTACCCTGCTGGAAAAACCTAGGATTCATTTTGGAGGCCATGAGAAAGAAAAGAGTCAGTGGTAGAGTTTCCTTTTTGGATTTAGCTCAATAAATGATGGTCAAGAATTGGGCAAGTGGGGCTGCGCGCAGTGGCTCATACCTGTAATCCCAGCACTTTGGGAGGCCGAGGTAGGCGGATCACTTGAGGTCAGGAGTTCGAAACTAGCCTGGCCAACATGGTGAAATCGCATCTCTACTAAAAATAGAAAAATTAGCCAGATATGGTGGCACACGCCTATAATCCCAGCTACTCGGGTGGCTGAGGCACAAGAATTGCTTAAATCTGGGAGGCGGAGGTTGCAGTGAGCTGAGATTGAGCCACTGCACTTCAGCCTGGGTGAGACAATGAGATTCTGTCTCAAAAAAAAAAAAAAAAAAAGAATTGAGTAAGTGGAATTTTGACTGGAGCTGCTCCTGAAAGTATTGAAAGAGTCATTGCTAATGGTGGGCTCTTGCTAGACCAGGGTCAAGTCCACTTTTGCTGCCTCTCAGGTTGTGGAATTCTCCTTGATCACTTCTGCAATTCATTTCCTTGCCAAATCTCAGCCAAGCATCACCCCAAGGTCTGTAAGTAGCAGAGATCGGAGCTGCTGGGTCTGGCTTTGCTGAGGCCGGTGTCGCTGTCAGAACAGGCACGCCAAGATCTTGGCTGGGTCCCTCACAGGCCAGATGAATGGTGTGAAGAAACCTTCCTGCCTTATTCAGACTGGCGCGGAGGTCTCAATGAGGCGAGGCATTTGTCCATTATGGGGATGAATCGTGCTCTCAGAAGAGAATCCTGTCATTGAGGTTTTGTTTCAATAGTCCTCTTTTTCTCCAGAGAACTGTTGTCTCATTGTTAATAATAGCAGCGTGGCTTTTTCAGATGCTGGTTGGTGGCTGCTGTACATTTTAAAAATGGAATCTCATGGTTGTGTCTCTTAAGGAAGCTTTTCAAGAACTTTACTGGCACCAGAGGTTATCAGAGTTTGAAGTTTGGGTGCCTAGTGTCTCACAGTGTTTAAGCACTAATGTTCTGGGTCAGTTAGGTGTGAGTACAAATCCCATCTCAGCTCATTCTGAGAGGGACCTTGGCTAATTGCTTTCTCCTCTCCAAGCCTCAGTTTCCACATCTCTAAAATCGGCCTGCAAGTAGTGTGTGCCTAAGGTTGTTGTAAGTTTCAATGAACTCGAATGCGGCTGAGTGCCTGAGAGCACCTGTTGCTGTGGGTATCATCACCGTGTGTGTTTTCTGTCTTCTCATCCACTTTTCTTTGTGCAGTCTGCACACACACCATTAAAGGCTGATGACAGCATTTTTACGAATTGCAAACAGAGGCCAGCGCGGTGGCTCCCAGCACTTTGGGAGGCCGAGGCAGGTGGATCACGAGGTCAGGAGTTCAAGAACAGCCTGGCCAAGATGGTGAAACCCCGTCTCTACTAAAAATGCAAAAATTAGCTGGGTGTGGTGGCATGCCCCCTGTAATCCCAGCTACTCAGGAGGCTGAGGCAGAGAATTGCTTAAAAACCCAGGAGGTGGAGGTTGCAGTGAGCTGAGATCGTGCCAGTGCACTCCAGCCTGGGTGACAGAGCAAGATCTTCTGTCTCGGAAAAAAAAAAAAAAGTTACAAACAGACTGAGTGCAGTGAGAGGCTCACACCCTGCAATCCCAGCATTTTGGGAGGCCAAAGTGGGCAGGTCACCTGTGGTCAGGAGTTCGAGACCAACCTGGCCAACATGACAAAACCCCGTCTCTACTAAAAAATACAAAAATTAGCCAGGTGTGGTGGCGTGCGCCTGTAATCCCAGCTACTCAGGAGGCTGAGGCAGGATAATCACTTGAACCAGGGAGGCGGAGGTTGCAGCGAGCCGAGATCGCGCCATTGCACTCCAGCCTAGGCGACGAGCAAAACATCTCAAAAAAAAAAAAAAAAAAAAAAAACGCAAACAATTTCCAGCCTGGTAAACCTTTTCCTGTCTTCACCATCCCCATGCAGCATTTTCCATATTCCTGTATGTATGTTTTGAGAGTGGATAAGGAAGGATGAGTTCTGCTGTGTTCATTTCAGCATCATTTTCTTTACACTTGCTTTGTTGCTAGGAGGTGTTACAGTTCTCATTTTTACTTACGGTGCAGTGTCAGTAAATAGGTCCTTAGCCACCTTGTTGCTGGACTTGGATTATATTTTGTCCACTGTGATCAGGGCTGCCCCTGGCACCAGTGTTGTGATCTTCATTGGCTTCTATTGTGGCATTAGCTTCCTTGGGCAGATAACCATGGAGGGGTCCATAATATCCTTAAATACCATTGGTGTGGCTTTAAGTGGCTTTTGTTTGTTTTACTTTGCTTGAAAAAATTTTTTAGGCCTGGTACGGTGGCTCATGCCTGTAATCCCAGCACTTTAGGAGGCTGAGGTGGGTAGATCACTTGAGGCCAGGAGTTCAATACCAGCCTGGCCAATATGGTGAAACCCTATCTCTACTAAACATACATATATTAGCTGGGCATAGTGGCACATGCCTGTAGTCCCAGCTACTCAGGAGACTGAGGTAGAGGAATCACTTGAACTCGGGAGGCGGAGGTTACAGTGAGCCGAGTGGTGCACTTCAGCCTGAGTGACACAGTGAGACCCCTGTCTCAAAAAAGAAAAATTTTTTTTAAACTACTAATGCATATTCATTGAAGAAACTTATCAAATGCATACTTGCTAGAAGAGGAAAAATAAATCACCCATAGTCACATTCTCCGGAGACCATCACCCTAGGTACATATTCTTCCAACCTTTCTTCTGTGCATAATCATCTAGGTGTGGTGCTTACATTTTCTTTTGGCAGTGTTATCTTAGTATCTTCCAGCATGGTTTTCTCACCTGATACTGTAACCATACTTCCATATCCTCAAATGTGTTGTTTTCTAAAATAACTTTTTTTTTCTTTTTTTAGAGACAGAGTCTCACTTGGCCAGGTGCGGTGGTTCACGCCTGTAATCCCAGCACTTTGGGAGGCCGAGGCGGGTGGATCACGAGGTCAGGAGTTCGATGAAACCCCGTCTCTACTAAAAATACAAAAATTAGCCAGGTGTGGTGGCGCACGCCTGTAATCCCAGCTACTCAGGAGGCTGACGCAGGAGAATCTCTTGAACTTGGGAGGTGGAGGTCGCAGTGAGCCATGATCGCGCCGCTGCACTGCAGCCTGGGTGACAGAGTGAGACTCTGTCTCAAAAAAAAAAAAAAAAAAGATAAGGTCTCACTCTGTTGCCAAGGCTGGAGTGTGGTGGCGTGATGAGAGCTCACTGTAGCCACGATCCTCCCACCTCAGTCTCCCAAGTACCTAGGACCACAGGCATGTACCACAGGCTAATTATTTTTTTATTTTTATTTTTTGGGAGAGACAGGGTCTCCCTGTGTTGCTCAAACTGCTCTCAAACTCCTGGGCTCAACGAACCTCCCACCTTGGCCTCCAGTATTTCTGGGATTACAGGCATGAACCACAATATCATTCTTTTTTGTTTGTTTGAGACAGTCTCACTCTCGCCCAGGCTGGAGTGCGGTGGTGTGATCTTGGTTCACTGCAACCTCCACCTCCCAGGTTCAAGCAATTCTCATGCCTCAGCCTCCTGAATAGCTGGGATTACAGGTGCCTGCCCAGCTAATTTTTGTATTTTTACTGGAGACAGGGTTTCACCATGTTGGCCAGGCTGGTCTCAAACTTCTGCCCTCAAGTGACCCACCCACCTTGGCTTCCCAAAGTGCTGGGATTACAGGCATGAGCCACCGTGCTCAATCACAATATGATTCTTAATAACTGCAAATACGCCATTGTAAAGACATACCATGATTAATTTAACCAGTCCCCAGTTGATGGGCACTTGGTTTGTGTTCAGATTTTGTGTATTAGAAAACAAGGCTACAGGCTGGGAGTCACTGCCGAAGTGATAAGCTGTGGGTGGTGAATGCAGAGAAGGCCACAATGTACAGCACCTACCCTGGGAGTGTTCACTTGGGGTTCATGTTGGAACCCATTTTGCTTCCTCCACCATTGCACATTGAAGGAGAATGTATTTTTGCACGCGCTTCTCATTGCCCTTCATGTACATCTGCTCTAGGGCAGGAGTCAGCAAACTACAGCCCAGAGGGCATGTCTGGCCCACGGCTTGTTTTTGTAAATAAAGTTTTATTGGAGCCGGGTGCGGTGGCTCACAACTGTAATCCCCACACTTTGGGAAGCTGAGCCAGGCGATCCCTTATTAGCCTGACCGCTGTGGCAAAATCCTTTCTCTACTAAAAATACAAAAACTAGCCGGGTGTCGTGCTGCACGCTTATAGTCCAAGCTACTCAGGAGGCTGAGGCAGGAGAATTGCTTGAACCCAGGAGGTGGAGGTTGCAGTGAGCCGAGATTTTTCCACTGCACTCCAGCCTGGACGACAGAGCTAGACTGTCTCCAAAAGAAAAAGTTGTACTGGGACCGGGCACAGTGGCTCACGCCTGTAATCCTAGCACTTTGGGAGGCCAAGGTGGGCGGATCACCTGAGGTTGGGAGTTCGAGACCAGCCTGGCCAACATGGAGAAATGCTGTCTCTACTAAAAATGCAAAATTAGCCGAGTGTGGTGGTACAGGCCTGTAATCCCAGTTACTAGGGAGGCTGAGGCAGGAGAATCACTTGAACCTGGGAAGCAGAGGTTGTGATGAACCGAGATTGCACCATTGCACTCCAGCCTGGGCCACAAGAGTGAAACTCCATCTCAAAAAAAAAAAAAAAAAAAGTTGTATTAGAATCTGGCCACACCCCTTTGTGTGTGTATTACTTAGAATTGCTTTAGCAACCTCCATACTATAACTTCAAAGTGGAGTAGTGGCACAGAGACCATATGGCCTGCAGAATGGAAAATGTCACCTGTTTGGCCTCTTACCAGAAAAATTTGCCAACCGCTCAACTAGGGTGTGATGGAGAATCCCAAGGTGTCCCTTCCCTCCCAAAGCCACTCAGGGAATCATCTGTACCCTTGTGGCCTGCATTTTAACAAACATATACACAAACACATTTTTTAAATTTGCTAGAAATCTTCCCTCCCATTTTCAAGTGTGGTTAATCAATTGACCAAAACCCAGTTTTCTTTCTTTCTTTCTTTCTTTTTTTGAGACTCTGTCACCCAGGCTGGAGTGCAGTGGCGCAATCTCAGCTCACTGCAGCCTCCGCCTCCCGGGTTCAAGCGATTTTCTTGCCTCAGCCTCCCAAGTAGCTGGGACTACAGGCACCCACCACCACGCCTGGATAATGTTGGTATTTTTAGTAGAGATGGGGTTTCTCCATGTTGGCCAGGCTGGTCTCGAACTCCTGACCTCAGGTGATCCGCCCACCTCAGCCTCCTGAAGTTTTGGGATTACAGGCGTGAGCTGCTGCAACTGGCCTCTTTCTCTTGATAGTTAGACGAAAGACCCCTCTCAGGCTCCCTGAGACTCCTCAGAACAGCAGAACAGCAGCAGTGCGATGTTGGATAATGAGATCTGCTCTCTTCTGAAGTGGTTAGATTTGAAAAGCCAGCGAAGCTGTCATTAGCAAGGCATTTTCTTTTCATTTCAACCATTTCATTATATCCTTTACCAAATTTGAGTTTATGAAATATTTGACAGGCCTCCTGATGTTTTCCTATGTTGATGAAAGACGGATGCTGTTTGTGTAAAAGGAAAAGGCATGCTATAAAAAGAAAAAGAAGGATAAAAAGGGCCGGGCAGGGAGGCTCATGCCTGTAATCCCAGAAGTTCGAGACCAGCCTGGCCAACATGGTGAAACCCCATCTCTACTAAAAATACAAAAATTAGCCAGGCGTGGTGGCACGTACCTGTAATCCCAGCTACTTGGAAGGCTGACAGGAGAATCGCTTGAACCTGGGAGGCAGAGGTTGCAGTGAGCAGAGATCGTGCTGCTGCTAAAAAACACAAAAATTAGCTGGGCGTGGTGACGGGTGCCTGTAATCCCAGATACTCAGGAGGCTGAGGCAGGAGAATCGCTTGAACCCGGAAAGTGGAGGTTGCATTGAGCTGAGATTGAGCCATTGCACTCCAGCCTGGGCAACAAGAGCAAAACTCCATCTCAAAAAAAAAAAAACAAAAAACCGAAAGATTGCCTGAGACTGGGTAATTTATAAACAAAAGAGGTTTAATTGACTCACAGTTATGCACGGCTGGGGAGACCCCAGGAAACTTACAGTCATGGCGGATGGGGAAACAAACATATCCTTCTACCCATGGTGGCAGGTAGGAGAAGAATGAGAGCTGAGTGAAGTGGATGCCCCTTATAAAAACATCAGATCTCGTGAGAACTTACTATCACTAGAATAGCATGGGGGAACCACCCCATGATTCAGTTACCTGCCCCCAGGTCTCTGCCACCACACATGGGGATTATGGGAACTACAACTCAAGATGAGATTTGGGTGGGGACACAGGCAAATTATATCAGCTGTTGTGCTCATTAGTTTGTATATCATCCTTGGCTCCTTTAGCACTATAAGGGCAGGATTGAGTCCTTGCAACAGAAACCATTCAGCCTGCAAAGCTGAACCTATTTACTTTCTGACCCTTTATGGAAAAGTTTACTGATCTCTGGACTAGACAGTTTTTTAAAAATGACATCTTATGACCGGGCGCAGTGGCTCACGCCTGTAATCCCAGCACTTTGGGAGGCGGAGGCGGGCAGATCATGAGGTCAGGAGATCGAGACCATCCTGGCTAACACGGTGAAACCCCGTCTCTACTAAAAATACAAAAAATTAGCCGGGCGAGGTGGTGGGCGCCTATAAT
Source organism: Homo sapiens (assembly GCF_000001405.40). Taxonomy (NCBI): domain Eukaryota; kingdom Metazoa; phylum Chordata; class Mammalia; order Primates; family Hominidae; genus Homo; species Homo sapiens. The sequence goes on along the minus strand of NC_000019.10, from coordinate 16,639,258 downwards.
CCCAGCTACTCGGGAGGCTGAGGCAGGAGAATGGCGTGAACCTGGGGGGGCGGAGCTTGCAGTGAGCCGAGATCACGCCACTGCACTCCAGCCTGGGCGACAGAGCAAGACTCCGTCTCAAAAAAAAAAAAAAAAAAATGACATCTTACTAGTGGATCCTGTTTCCTGTTCATTGGTGTCTAGTTTACATTATTATCTTGGCAGTTGGTGGTAAACCTAGGCAAAAGAGTGTGGACTGTGCCAAGGGAACTGTGGAAATGTTAGGGGAAATAAAGCTTTACATCTAATTAGAGTACATTGTGTGCATGAGAAAGAAGGTGGAAAAGGTGGTTGCAGCAGAAAGCAAGTTGGAGGTGTAGCTCAGACCTGGGTTCTGTGTCTTGGCCCTTCTGCACCTCCACGTCCTCATCTGTGATATGGGTACAGTGAAGGAGACAGTCTTGATATGGGCCTATAACATGCCTGATGCTGGGCAGCCACTCAGTAGTTGTCACTGTTTTTATTAATGTTGTTGCTTTTATTAAAAGACTTTCTCAGCTGGGTTTTGCAAGCCTTCAGTGAGATGGTGGTATATTAGTCAGCTAGAGCTGTGTATTAGGCCATCTTGCATTGCTATAAAGAAATGGGTAATTTATAAGAAAAGAGGTTAATGGCCAGGCACGGTGGCTCATGCCTGTAATCCCAACACTTAGGGAGGCTGAGGTGGGTGGATCACCTGAGGTCAGGAGTTCAAGGCCAGCCTGGCCAATGTGGTGAAACCCTGTCTCTACTAAAAAAAATTACAAAAATTAGCCGGGCATGGTGGCGGGCACCTGTAAATCCAGCTACTCAGGAGTCTGAGGCAGGAAAATCACCTGAACCCGGGAGGCAGGGGTTGCAGTGAGCCGAGATCGTGCCATTGCACTCCAGCCTGTGCAGCAAGAGTGAAGCTCTGTCTCAAAAAAAAAAAAAAAAAAAGAAAAAAGAAAAGAGGTTTAATTGCCTCACGGTTCTTTTGAGACAGAATCTCTGTCATCCAGGCTGGAGTGCAGTGGCGTGATCCCAGCTTACTGCAACCTCCGCCTCCGGCTTTAAGTGATTCTTCCTGCCTCAGCCTCCTGAGTAGCTGAGATTACAGGTGCGTACCACCACGCCTGGCTAATTTTTGTAATTTTTTTTTTTTTAGTAGAGGTGGGGTTTCACCACGTTGGCCAGGTTGGTTTTGAACTGCTAACCTCAAGTGATCCACCCACCTCTGCCTCCCAAAGTGCTGGGATTACAGGCGTGAGCCACCACAACCAGCCTCCCTTTTGTCAGCTTATCACCCCACCCTTATGACCTTATTTAACCTTAATTACCTCCCAAAGGCCCTGTCTCCAAATACAGTCCCTGTTGGAGGTCAGAGCTTCAGCATATGAATTTAGTCATGGGTAGGTGACACAATTCAGTCCATAACAGATGGTCAAAGTCTGACCCATAGTGTTCAACAGCTGCTGTTAGTTACTCTCCTTGGCTAGTAGTATGCCTTGAGGCATTAAAGAACAAACACACAAAGCTAGTGTGGTGTAGGAGGCACCCTGAGAAGTTCTGTGATGGGCTCTGTCTCCTGGTGCTGCAGAGGAAGGCATTTGTGTGTAAGTGACTGGTGGCCTCAACCATGGGAGGGTCTCAGATTTCAACATCCTCCTAAATCCCTTGGGGGTGTTTTTGTGGAATTCAGATTCTGCCTAACAGGCTGGGGAGGTACAGGCTAAGGGCCTACATTTCTTTTCTTTTTCTTTTTTGAGACACAGTCTCACTTTGTCACCCAGGTGAGGCGATCATGGCTCAATGTAGCCTCAACCTCCCCCAGGCTCAAGCGATCCTCCCACCTCAGCCTCCTGGGACTACAGGCACATACCACCACAGCTGGCTAATGTATTTTTTTGTAGAGACGAGGTTTCACTATGTTGCCCAGGCTGGTCTTGAACTCCTGGGCTCAAGTGATCCTCCTGCCTTGGCCTCCCAAAGTGCTGGGGTTATAGGTGTGAGCCACCACACCTGATCAAGGACCTATGTTCCTAAGGAGCTCCCTGGTAATGCTAATACTGCTGGTCCACGGACCACACTTTTGAGTAGTGAGGGCCTGTGTTCAGCAGCACAGTAGCCAGGAGCCACGTGTGGCTGTTTCAGTCTCCGTCTTAGTTAAATAAAACTAGAAAATCCAGTGCCTCAGTGACTGTAATTGCATTGCATGGAGGAAAGTTCTAATTGGGCAGTGCCACATCTTAAAGGACCGAATGATCCACTTTTTCTTTACTTTTAAATTTTCTTTCTTTATATTTTTAGAGACAGGGTCTTGCTCTGTAGCTGAAGCTGGAGTGCAGTGGCACTATCTTAGCTCACTGCAGCCTAAACCTCCTGAGCTCAAGCTGTCCTCCCACATCAGCCTCCTGAGTAGCTGGGACTACAGGCACATGCTACCACACCCAGCTATTTTTTTATTTTTTTTGTAGAGATGGGGTCTCACTATGTTGCCCAGGCTGGTCTTGAACTCCCAGGCTCAAGCAGTCCTCCCACCTCAGCCTCCCAAAGTGCCAGGATTATAGGCATGGGCCATTGTGCCTGGCTAGCTTTTTCTTTAAAGCCGTATTCGTGTCCTCTTGCCACTGTAAAAAATAACCACAAACTTCGTGGTGTCAAACAAAACAAATTTAGTCTGGCTAACATGGTGAGACCTTGTCTCTACTAAAAATACAAAAACTTAGCTGGGTGTGGTGGCGCATGCCTGTAATTCCAGCTACATGGGAAGCTGAGGCAGGAGAATCGCTTGAACCCGGGAGGCAGAGGTTGCAGTGAGTCGAGGTCATACCACTGTACTCCAGCCTGGGTGACAGAGTGAGACTCTCAAAAAAAAAAATTCCACAAATTTATTCTTTACAATTCTGGAAGTCAAAAGTACAGAATGGGTCTCTGTAGGCTAGCATCAATGTGTCCGCATAGCTGGTTCCTTCTGGAGGCTCTCAGGGAGAAATTTTCCTCGCCTTCTCCAGCTTTTAGAGGCTGCCCACATCCTTGGTTCACGGCCTCTTCCTCCATCTTCCAGGCAACCAATAGCCTGTCAAGTCTTCCTCATGACACCCTGTCTCCTAATTCTGACTCCTCTACCTCTTTCTTCCCCATTTAAGGACGCTTGTGACTCCATTGGGGCCACCAGGAGAATCCAGCAGTCAGTTGATGAGTTATGTTAATTTCACCTGTACCCTTAATTATCCCTTGCCATGACATATTTACAGGTTCTGGGGATTGGGATGGGGACATTTAGGGGAGTAGGGGCAAGTACTCTGCTAACACAGGGTCAAATTGTGTATACATACATATATATATATATATATATATATTTTTTTTTTTTTTTTTGAGACAGGGTCTTGCTCTGTTGCCCAGGCTGGATTGCAGTGGTACAATCTGGGCCCATTGCAACCTCTCCCTCCCAGGTTTAAGCGACTCTCCTGCCTCAGCTTCCCAAGTAGCTGGGATTACAGGCGCCTGCCACCAGGCCCAGCTAAATTTTTTGTCGTTCTCTTAGAGATGGGATTTCACCATGTTGGCCAGGCTGGTCTCAAACTCCTGACCTCAAGTGATCCGCCCGCCTCGGCCTCTCAAAGTGCTGAGATTACTGGCGTGAGCCACTGCACCTGGCTACTCTCTTGATGTTGCCTTCTGTGTTGGGGCACAACTCTGCACCTTTGTTTCTGGGAAGCTCCATTGGCTAGGGTGAGTTTGTTGTTTTTTTCCTTCAGATCCACCCTCCTAGTTGGTTTTGGACATCAGCACCTTGGTCCTCTCCTGTCTGCTCTTTGGGGAAATGGCTTATACTTGATTTGGTTCAGAGTCTGGGAACCCTGAGCTCTGGGCTGGACTTTTTTTTTTTTTTTTTTGAGATGGTGTCTCACTCTGTCACCCAGGCTAGAGTGCTGTACTGTCTTGTCAGCTCACTGCAACCTCCGCCTCCCAGGTTCGCGTGATTCTCCTGCCTCAGCCTCCTGAGTAGCTGGGATTACAGGCATGTACCACCATGCCTAATTTTTTTTTTTTTTTTTTAGGAGGGATGGGGTTTTGCCATCTTGGCCAGGCTGGTCTCAAACTCCTGGCCTCAAGTGATCCACCTGCCTCAGCCTCCCAGAGTGCTAGGATTATAGGCATGAGCCACTGTGCCCGGCCACGGGCTGGACTCTTTAGCCAGCCCCAAATCCCAGCCACATGACTTTGGCTGGGTCACTCCTTTGAGGCACGAAGACCACGTCACTTGGTTGCATGCTTGGGTGCCCAGTGGGACAGGTATGAGAAGACCCACTCAAGAGTGGTGAGAAAGAAGGCTGGCTAGGAACCCAGGTGGGGCAGGTTGTCTGCACGTTATGGCTATTATGAGCAGTGCTGCTATGGACATTTACATGTACGCACGTCTTTCTGTGAGTATATGTTTTCAGTTTTCTTGCCTTTTTTTTTTTTTTTTTTTTTTTTTTAAGACAGAGTCTCAGTCTGTTGCCCAGGCTGGAGTGCAGTGGCACGATCTTGGCTTACTGCAACCTCCACCTCCTGGATTCAAGTGGTTCTCCTACCTCAGCCTCCCAAATAGCTGAGACTCCAGGCATCCACCACCACACCTCCCTAATTTTTTGTATTTTTAGTACAGACAGGGTTTTGCCATGTTGGCTACGCTGGTCTCAAACTCCTGAGCTCAAGTGACCCGCCTACCTCAGCCTTTCAAAGTGCTGGGATTACAGGTGTGAGCCACTGCACGCAGCCATGTTTTCAGTTTTCTTGAGGGAGATTCCTAGGAGTAGAATTGCTGGGCTGTGTGGTAACTTCCAGGCCTCCTTAAAGCTTTAGCCTGGACTGGGTAGAGCATGGTTTCCACTGCATTCTCTTAGTCACAGTGAGTTGCAGGTTCACCCCAGCGTCAGTGGCGGGCGGGAAGTGGGGATGACACAAGGACCTGAGTGTCCAAGGGGGCTTCATGGAGCCCTCATGTGAAGTCCCCAGCATGGACCCTGACACATCGTAGGTCCTCAACAAATGTCACTCCCTGTTGTCACTCTGTTTAGTACTAAGAATAATGATATAAAACTGGGACAGTAAGGAAAACACAAACTGTTGGGACCTATATCTGAATCTATTAGTCTGCCTAATAGAAAAGCCACCATCAGGATTTTGGAGATTACAAGCTCACTTTAGATTAGCCATACTGGAGTCAGCCCTGGAGGCTCCCAGAGATCAGAACAATCCCAGCGCTTGACAGGATGGCTGGGAAACAATACATATGAATGCCGGAAAATGCAGAACTAATCTAGGAAAAAGTGTAAGAAGAAAATAAACATCATCTGTCATTCTATCTATCAGAGATAACTGCTGTCAATATTTTGGTTTCCTTCCAATATTTTTTCTATTCACTCTGTGCATAAGTATGTATATTTTAATAAAAGTATAATTAAGATCACAATGTATATAGTTTATATGCTGCATTTTATTATTTATTGGGAGCGTTTCTCCATCAATAGTGGCTTTATTTTTGTTGTAAGAGACGGGATCTTGCTCTGTCACCCAGGCCAGAGTGTAGTGGCACAGTTGTAGCTCACTGCAGCTTCAAACTCCTGGGTTCAACCGTCTCAGCCTCCCAGTAGTTAGGACTGCAGGCGTGAGCCACTGTGCCCAGCTCAATACAGGTTTTCTTAGTGACAACATCACACACACACGCACACACTTAATTTACTTTGGAAGTTTAATTTACAGCAGTGTACAACTTGGTGAATTTCTTCCTTTTTTTTTTTTTTTTTTCTTTTTTTTTGAGACAGATTCTCACTCTGTTGTCTAGGCTGGAGTGTAATGGCACCATCTCAGCTCACTGCAACCTCTGTCTCCTGGGTTCAAGTGATTCTTCTGCCTCAGCCTCCCGAGCAGCTGGGATTACAGGCGCGCACCACCTGCCTAGCTAATTTTTGTATTTTTAGTAGAGACAGGGTTTCATCATGTTAGCCAGGCTGGTCTCGAACTCCTGACCTCAGGTGATCCATCCACTTCTGCCTCCCAAAGTGCTGGGATTACAGGCGTGAGCCACCGCGCCTGGCCAGCTTGGTGAATTTCTACATGTACAAACACCAGTGAGGTCACCGCTCACATTGAGGCTTAGATTATTGTAGCACCCACAAGGCTCCCTGTGGCGCCTTCTAATTCATAACCTTCCCATTGTGGGGAACTAATCACAGTTTATTTACGTACTCCCCTATTGCTAGGCACTTACATTGCTTCCAATCTTTCACTCTTACAAATAGTGCTTCAGTGAACTTCCTTGTACATACACATTTGTCTACATCTGATTGCCTCCTTCAGATAAACTTTTAGAAGTTGTGAATTTCAGTACGCTCATATCCACAGGGTCAGAGGGTATGAGCTTATTGAAATGCTCCCAGTTGGCCGGGCATGGTGGCTCACGCCTGTAATCCCAGCACTTTGGGAGGCTGAGGCGGGTGGATCACCTGAAGTCAGGAGTTCCAGAGCAGCCTGACCAACATGACGAAACCGCATCTCTACTAAAAATACAAAAATTAGCTGGGCATGGTGGCATGCAACTGTAATTCCAGCTACTCAGGAGGCTGAGGCACGAGAATCACTTGAACCCAAGAGGTAGAGGTGAGCCCAGATGGCACCATTTCACTCCAGCCTGGGCAACAAAGCGAGACTCTGCCTCAAAAAAAAAAAAAAAAAAAATGTTCACAGTTAATGACTTTTTTCATTCGTTGGTGTCCCAGCCGTGTTGTGTTTGTACAGTGCAATTAAAGTATTGTATTCATGAATTCCCACCCCCCAACCAGGTTCCGGGGCTTGCGTTCAGAACTGGAACCTTTCTGTATCCCCATCCCTACTTGAAGATGGGATTAAAAAATTGAGGTCTTCTACCTATCTTTGACATGTCAAGGTTAGTCAAAACCAATTTAAATTGGTTTCACTTTTAGAGTAAACAAGACTTAGTGCAAAGCCAAGCAGAACTATGAAACTCATCTCTAGGTACTTCTGAGATAACTGATAGGGTTGAATGAGTTCATATATGAGAAAGGGTTTTAAAAATTTCTGCCAGCGGCCGGGTGTGGTGGCTCATGCCTGTAATCCCAGCACTTTGGGAGGCCAAGGCAGGCGGATCATGAAGTCAGGAGTTTGAGACCATCCTGGCCAACATGGTGAAACCCTGTCTCTACTAAAAATACAAAAATTAGCTGGGTGTGGTGGCACCCGCCTGTAGTCCCAGCTACTCGGGAGGCTGAGGCAGGAGAATCGCTTGAACCTGAAAGGCGGAGATTGCAGTGAGCCAAGATCACGCCACTGCACTCCAGACTGGCAACAGAGTGAGACTCTCTCGAAAAAAAAAAAAAAAAAATTCCACCCGCCTGTTAAAGCAAACATAGGGGTCAAAGGAGGGTGGTTGTTTTTGTCACACTGGCTTTTTCTGTTAATCCCTGGAGCCCTCACATCCCTTATTAGGGTAAGTTTAGTAACCCTGTGCTTTAAATGGCCTGTCTCTCAGGGGCTTGCTTCTGACATGTCTGATGAGCGCATTCCTGCTGTTGCTCCTGGCTATTACAAGGTGTCGCTGTGGAAGACTATTCCTGTACAGCTGTGTGAACCTGCCTCGTCACGGCTTCCTCTGCAGTGCTCTTGAATATCCCGGTTCCTGCTTAGGCCACAGCAGTGAGTCCAGGGAGAAGCATCCTTCTACTCCCTCACTGTCCAGGTTGGCTGAAGATGCTCTGCACTTGACCTCCTGACACTAACTTCCTTGCCTTTTCCCATGGCAAGAGCAAGTCATGGACTCTGAACTACTTCCTCTCCCTTTTTTCTATTTATTTTATTTTATTTTATATTTGTGATGGAGTCTCGCTCTGTCACCCAGGCTGGAGTGTGGTGGTGTGATCTTGGCTCACTGCAACCTCTGCCTCCCAGGTTCATGCAATTCTCCTGCCTCTACCTCCCAAGTAGCTGGGAATACAGGTGCCCACCACCATGCCCGGCTAATTTTTGTATTCTTAGTAGAGGTGGGGTTTCACCATGTTGGCCAGGCTGGTCTCTTAACTCCTTACCTCAAATGATCCACCCACCTCGGCCTCCCAAAGTGCTGGGATTATAGATGTGAGCCACTGCACCCAGCCCTTCCTCTCCCTTTCTCTTTGGGGTTCCCTTCACAAACAGGTGAGGCAGCTTTTTCAAGGGCATTCCAAGCACAAAAGACCTTGTTGTACCTAAATACTATAAGGGACCTGTCATTGAGGACGAACCATCACAGCAAGAGGAATTATCTCGTGCCGCATCTTCGCATAACTGACAGGATCCCTGGCAAGGATGTCTCAATGCAGAAAGTTGGCTAAGTGAACTGCAGTATCTACCCTGGACCTAAAAGAACTTGCTAATGTTTTCAAGACTACAATTCAGAGGCTGTCTGATTTAATCTTTGCATTTACAAAAACACCCTTTTACGTACATTAAATGTGGAATAAAACTAAATATCCGTGTGTGTGTTGTGTATCCTGGTGTATATAGTATTATATTTTATGAAGTATTTCATTCATTCCAGAAATAGCTCTCCAGACCCATGGTGTACCAGATCTGTAGAAACTGAAATGCATTCATATGTCTGGGGGTGTGTGTAACGCTACCGTGTATTTGATGAAACTTTTCATTGACTTACTCCACAGATACTATTTTTCTATCTACTGGGGATACCAAAAAGAGCCAGTGCCCTTGAGGAACCAAGTCATGTCAGTGCTTCTTAGTTTTTAAAAAGTGGGTAAGTTGAGTACTTTCCAGATGTTTGTTTATTTTTCAAGACAGTCTTGCTCTGTCACCCAGGTTGGAGTACAGTGGCGTGATCTCAGCTCACTGCAGCCTCTGCCTTCTGGGTTCAAACAATTCTCGTGCCTCAGCCTTCTGAGTAGCTGGGATTACAGGTGTGTGCCACCATGCCCGGCTAATTTTTGTTTTTTCAGTAGAGAAGGGGTTTCACTATTTTGGCCACGCAGGTCTCGAACTCCTGACCGCAAGTGATCTGCCCACCTCGGCTTCCCAAAGTGCTGGGATTACAGGCATGAGCTACCAGGCATGAGCCACCGTGGCTGGCCCCACATTTTGTTTGAGACAGAGTCTGTTGCCCAGGCTGGAGTGCAGTGGTGTGATCTTGGCTCACTGCAACCTCCGCCTCCCGGGTTCAAGCAATTCTTCTGCCTCAGCCCCCTCTAGTAGCCAGGATTACAAGTGCGCGCCAGCATGCCCGGCTAATTTTTGTATTTTTAGTAGAGATGGGGTTTCACCATGTTGGCCAGGCTAGTCTCGAACTCCTGAGCTCAAGTGATCGCCCACCTCCGCCTGCTGAAGTGCTGGGATTACAGGCTTGAGCCACCACGTCCGGCCCAAATGTTTCTTAAAATAACCTGACCCATGCAAAATAAATTGCCTCCTATGTAATACTTTATTAAAAAAAAAAAAAGATACTGTACATCCGAGTTAGAAATTAAGAGAGAGGCAAGACCAGAATATGCCTGAGGAAGGCTTTGCTTATTTTGCTTATCAGAAATGAGAGAATTATCTCCGAATGGGCCAGTTTCCAACTTGGACCATGTACACCATGTACACAATGCACCGCATTCTGGGAGGGGCGAGGTTGGGAGCAGTAAATGACAAGTGTTTTGCCCGTGTTTCTTTTCTCCTCCAAGTGTGATGTAAAACTTTTCACATGTGCAGAAGCACGCAACCATAGCCACGTGCAGAAGCAGCCGTTTTTGCAAATGAAAATATTTCCCAGAAGCACAACAAATACAAGACTAACAGGTGTCGGGCAGCTCCAAGGCACACATGTGGTTCTCATCAGCTGTCTTCCTCCTGTTTTAAATCTAGGTCTTCCTGTAACAGTGGGAAAAAAAAGATTTCTCCCGAGGCCGCCGAGCTTGCCTTTCCATCCCGTCTCACAAGAGCATTTCCAACAGAGCTCCCAGAGAGAGGGGAGCAATTACCAAGGCAATAAACAGGGTGGAGGGAGGAGGGGCGCCCTTAAACTTGACATCTGCGGTTCTGGGCTTAACCCCGAAGTCTAGGTGACCTTGGGCCTCCGTTTCCTCCTCTGTGACGTGTTTGGTTAAGAGAATGAGCATCTCAGTTTTACAGAATCTCAAGGCAGAGGCGGGTAGAAGGGTCTTTCAATCACGGGGTTCTCTGCCGGTGGGGGGGCGGGGGGACTGTGCCCCCACAAGGGACGGCGGCAATGACTGCAGATTGGGGGAGGGGGCGCTTCGGAGGCCAGAGATGCCGCTCAACTTCCGACAGATCGGGGGACCCGCCCCGAAGACAGAGCGATCCCGCCCAAATGCCAGTGGTGCCGAGGTGGAGAAGCCGCCGCGTAGACGCAGATTTGCAACCTCCGGCTTTCCCAGCTACGGCGGGCGGCTTCTGCCAGAGGCGCTTTGCCGCCTCACGTTTTCGCGATCGGGGTCGCGCGTGGCGGTGCAGACCCCCGCCCTGCCACCACACCCATTCCCACACCCTCTGAGGGGCGGGGGGGCCGCGGCGACACCCCCGGACTCCGATGACCCTTCTGCGCGCAGAATCACAACGTGGACGTCTGGTTCCCTCGCCCTCACAAAAAACTCGGCAGCTGCTCAGCCTGCGACTCCCGTCCCCCAGTCACGCGCCGGGAAGGCTCTCCCAGAGGAAGGATTTTCCCGCCGCCCTCCCCGCCCCGAGGTAGCCGCTGCGAGCGTCCGGGTTCAAGGACTCTTTGCGCGCGCGCTTCCGTCAGAAAGCCCCGCCCCGTGACCTGGACGGGGGCCGTTGCCCCGCCCAACCTCCTCCCAACGGCTGCCTAGGCCGGGCGGCTGGGCGGGGCGTCACGGGCGGACGAGTGCGCCTGCGCGCGCTTGCGCGGAGGCGCGGGGCGTGGCACACGGGCAGCCCCGCCCAGGCCTGGCGTCTCCGCCCGCCCCATCTCCCAACCTCCTCAGCGTGGCGCCGACGCTGCGTGCGGCGCGGACTACCCAGAGTACTCCGCGCGGGGGCAGCTCACTGGAGTTTGGTTCTCGAGGCGGCGGCAGCGAGCGGCGGCGGCTCCGGCGGCTCCTCCTCCTCCTTTGGTGGCGGCGGCGGCCCGGGACCGAGACCCGGCCCCGGCTCCCCTCTCCGCCACCCCGCGCGCCCCCAACCCCCCGGCGCCGCGGGGAACATGCGGCTCCGGCTCCCGGAGGCCGGCGAGTGAGTGACCCCCGTCCCCCGCCTCAGCCCGCCCGCCCGCTGGCCCGGCCGCAACCCCCCGCCTCGCCCAGGCAATGACAGCGGCTCCGGCGTCTCCGCAGCAGATCAGGGACCGGCTGCTGCAGGCCATCGACCCCCAGAGCAACGTAAGTACCCGCCGCGCGAGCTGGGACGGAGGCCGCATGGGCCCGGGACCCTCCCCCTCTCCTGTACCCCTCGCCCACCGGGCTTCGGGGGACCCGTCTGGCGCCCACCTCCCCTCGAGGGCCGCTGCCATCCCTGCCTCTCGCTTCTCGGGCCCGGGCCGGGGGCAGGTCGGGCAGCCCGGCAGCGCTCGGTACGTGAGGCCGAGGCTTCCGTGCGGCCTGGGCGGAGGAAGCAGACGGGGGAGCTGAGGCTAGAGTTTTTCCTCCCTTTCTGCTCCAGCTCTACGACCCTCACTGCTCTGGACGAAGCTTCTCTGCCTCGCCCTCCCTCCGGGACCCGAGACCCCCGGGAAGCCCTCCCGGAGCGGGAAGGGGAGGGAGAAGGGCTGTGAAGCAACTGGTGTCCGGGGTATGACTCGGGGAACCTATGTCTCCCATGTCTTGGCCTCCTGGGTGATCAGGGAAGTCCTTCTTCCCCCTCCTCTCGGCTGGCAGCACCTTCCTGGCTTCGGAGAGAACCCCCAGTCTGTTTTGCCCCTGGCCGGGTACCTAGGGTACGTGGAGAGTCTGTCTCCCTTCTGTGACTAGACACGCCTTTGCCAAAACCCTCTTGGGGTCGCTGCCGACGATAGATGATCTCGGGGAGGGTGGGATCCTTCCTGTTGCCTTTCTGGGCCTCAGTACCCATTGCGTCTCTGACCAAGCCAGAGCTCCATTTTTTAGGTAGTGAATTAAAGAGGACTTTTCTCTCCCGTTTACCCAAGAGCTCTGTTTCAGTAGGCTCTTTCCCTCACCTGGGGGTCTCAGCCTGGTGGTTTTTGACCCAGACTGTCGGGGTTAACTCCAGAGTGTCGCTTCCTCGGGTGCCCCTTTGCTGAGGCTACTGTTTGCGGAGGGACCGCCCCCTCCCCTTCCGTGTGTGTGTGTGTGTTGTTGCGGGGGTGGGGGGGTGGGGGGGAAGACTGATCTATTCTCATATTTTCTCCAAGAGTTTCTTGGCAGTAGGGGTCATTCTTCCCGCGGCAGGAGCAGGGCGGTAGGAAGATGCAGTAGCATCCAGGTATGAGGGGAGGCCCTGCTTCCCAGGAAGTGGCCATTGAGATCACTTTTTAATGTGCTGTGAATGGAAGAAAAATATCATCTTTGGCTTGGCCAGGTAACTCAGGTTTCTCTCACCGTAGGGGTTTTTGCTTTCATTTTTACATGAGCTTGGCTGATTACTCTTAGCAATATGCTTCACTCTGATGATGTTTTGGGAATAATTCACATTGGCTTATACAATTTTTGGTTAAGACTGAAGGGTTATGAGTTTTTTCGAAGGCTCTGGTTGCTGTGATATAAGTACTTCTCTTATCCCTGGTATTCAGGTCCCATTAACATTGACTTGATGGTAATTGTCTTTAACAAATGTTATATTGTACATTTTTGTTATGACTTTGGGGGTGGAGTGGGCACAAGCTATATAAAACCTTCTAGAATGTCCTTTTTGCAGTAACTGGTGTCACTGCAATTTTAAGACTGAAATATTAGAGGATAAAACTAGTGACATGAAAAAAATAGCCTTGGTGACTTGTGCATCTTTTGTGGAGCCGGAAGGTAATTTTTTTAATTTCACGCACTCGCTTTCCTTCTGGAGAGTCTGAGAGGTTGCTGAGATATTAGCACTGATCCTTAATGCCACCTCAGAGAGCTTTGGGATCAGGCGGCACTTTGACAGGCGATCACAGTGTTGTAGATTAGGTCACTCCAGTGACCTCACAGTTTCCAGTATTGTATAGGGTTCTAATCTAAAGGGTTCCTTGAGGCAGAAGAAAGGAGGATGGAACAAATCTTAGTTTTGTGTGTCTTAGCACATGCAGAAATGCTATATAGGTCCCTGGTTATGTTAGCTGGCATGGAATTTGCATTTCATACCGCTTATTTTCAGGGACTTTAGTGATGATCTTGGGCAGAGTCCTACTAACATGGGGTGGATGGATTTGGGAAGTTATCTTCTTGACTATGAACAATGAGGAAAGTGCCTCCTTTGTGATTGACCCTCTGAGCGCTGTTATGGGCCATTTGACAGGACCGTTTGCTTTGAGCAAACACCATGCAGAAACACAGAGCCGCGGTGGACAGGATTGCTGGCGGAGGTGATGGTGAGAGCCGGGCATGTCAGTGCGTCTGCAGTTTCTCTTGGATCAATGTGGGCTCAGGTGAGAGCAGGTGGCTCCAGCACAGGTGCTGCCGGCGTGCCGCTCTCTCCTCTCTGCCCTGCCCAATGATGAACTCCACTACTGGATATTTAGTTGACACATATTTAAGATGCTCATGAAAAAAAAAAAAACGGGGACAGTGTTGAAGAGCCAACACTAAAATTAAACCTCTTCTGAGAGAAGCGGCAGAGAATTGTGTCATGTAATGCTTACCTTTATGGGCATGCAATTATGGTTAACAAACTTAGCTATTGCTTGCAAAATCGGTGTCAGGAACTGACCTAATATCCACAAGTATCTGGAAAGTTAGGGAAGTGACGAAGTCGTGTTTACCAACCATCTCCTTGACAAAGGAATTCTTAGGAGGAAAGTAGTTTCTGTGCTCTCACTTTTAGCCCCTGGAGTATGCATTTGAATTCCTATAGCAGCAGGCTCAGAGTTAATAATTTCTGCCAATTCAGTAATAAAGTAAATCCTCTACTCTCCTTTTGAAAAGGCTACTAACAGTTTTTCAGAGCAGTTGGAGCTTTTCTTTTCGTCGTGCACCCTTTCAGCCCAGGGTGTTGAAAATCTCTCCGAAGCGCAGTGTGTGCATGATTGTTCCAGCTTACTCTCACTGCATTGTGGGTAAAGTGAAGGACTGTGTCTTACTCTCGCACAGCAGTCATAGTGAGCAGTCTCCTCAGCAGGTGATTCGGTTCCCATCTGCCTGGGACACTCGTTCTGTGGAGGTATGAGCTTTATCTTCCTGTGCAGCACGCAAGCTTCTTGGGGATGTTTCCTGTCTTGTCTTCTCCCTCTAGAGCAGAAGCATTAGGCACACTTTCTACCTGCTGCTTAAACTGACTGAACCCTAGCATCCATCTTGGACCTGTGCCTGAGGAGCTACATTTGAGCCCCATTTTACCAAGAAGCCTTTGTGACCACTTTATGCCCAAGAGTTCAGTCGTGGAATATTCTAATGCAGAACTTTGGAGAGTGGAAGAATCACAGGTGGCTTGAGATGCTACTCAGTAGAACTGTGAGGAACACAGATGTTAAGTGATGATTAACAAACTTAGCTTTTAGAGGAAAGGTCCGACGAATAGTAGACGGTGTACTGCATCCTCATGGCAAGTAAAATAACCGCACAGGGCAGGGCTTGCTAGCTGCAGGTGAATGCCCTGTGTTCAGACCAGGGAGAGGCCTGAGAAGGTCCCGCAGCAAAGAGGGACTTGAACTAGCCCTGGCCGCGTGTGTCAGTGCCTCCAGCTGCCAGGCTCTGAGCGGGAAACGTCCTTGGGAGCTGCTTTCTTTTTCACAGCTCTTCAGGCAACAGAGACCAAGGGAGAGGTGACCGAGGCACTCTGCAGAGAGACACAGCAAGAAAGATCATTTTCCCACCTAAGAATTGGAAGGTTGGATGTTGCTTACCTTGGTTTGCCTGCAGATTTCTTGTCCACAGGGTGGGATTGGGAACTGGTGTATGCACCCCATAAAGCTCCTTCCAGATCTAAGTTCAGATCCTAGAAGGGACAGCAGAGACTAATGTCAATTGTTCTAGAAGGGGTTTTTTTTTTTTAATATATCTTTGCAAGGTACATTGTGTGAAGTTTCTCAACTAACAAAATTCTAAACCAAGGTGTATGCTTTGTTAGTTTGTGTGGCACCCTGTCAGAGAGTTCTGCTTCTCCCCAACAGCCTTGTGAGTGGGGGAGCCAGTCTCCCCTTTTGCAGGTGCAGAAGCCAGCAGCATCAGGTAATAGGTGCTGCTCAGTGGGTGTCTCCAGGGGCAAGCAGAGGATAAAATGCTTTTGTTTCTTACTGACTTAATGGGAGGTGGTGGAACCAAAGTTAGGGACTTACCCAGAGTCATTAAGTGACAGTCCTTAGAGTCCTTTCAACTCTGAACACCACCACGCTGCCTTGAAAGTTGGAGAGATGGCTCCGGAAGAGGCACGAGGGGGCAGCATTTTTGAGCTGGTAAGAAAACGTGTGAGGATCCTGTAACGTCCCCTACAAGTGTATGTGAGATTACAGATTGGGGCTGGATTTACCTATGTTACATCTAACAGGGTGGTGATATGACATAGCCTGTCCCGTGAACATCTTAAGGTCTCTGTCACAGACAGAAACCTGGGCCAGACCACGGTGTGGCAACTAGCAACCGATGTGGAACTTTTCATGAATCTGTGTGACCAGTTTGCTCTCTACTTCAACATTACAGCACTTTTGATATTAACTTAAAATGCCATTTATTCTGCAGAAAAGCAGAATGGTGTAAATTGCAAAATGAAGGACTCTTGATTCTGACCCTATCCAAAATAGTAGAGGACCCTAAACCCAAACATGTAAATGCCACCTGATCCACAATTGCCCAGATTCAGGGACTCTCCTGTCTTTACTCTGTATATTGTGGCCAGGACACAGGAGAGGAGCAGCGTGGTGTTCTCTGACTTCGGGAAATGGAAAGGTAGCAAGTATCACCTGTGACACAGGTGTATGTCCTTGTCTTTGACTCATTCTGTCCCTCAGGAGAAAGTGGACTTTACAGTCTCTCCTCACTGAGGTTTCTGGGTGGTCCTCAGAATATGTTGTCCTGGTTGGAGGTCCCAGAGCCCTGGAGGACTGTCCAAGACCAGCATGTGGTCAGGGGCTTTGTTCTGGATACAGATGTAAAAAGGCACCATGGTCACGTCAGCCCCTGGGCAGCTGTGTAAGATAGGACATGTAGCTTAAGGGCGCCAAGGTCTCTTAGGTGAAGGAGGACACTTGGCTTTCCTTTTCTTGGTTTTGGGGTCTGCGAGCATCTTCTCAGATGGAGCTCTAGTTTAACCAGGCTGACTCCAGGTGACTCCAGTCCAGCGGGAGGGGTCCCCTGGCCACTTCCCCACTATCATCTCCTTCTGGAAACTGGGTGCTTTGTTACTGCACGTTGTGCTTTTCCTTTGTATTCCTAGTGGTAGGCTGTCCCACGTCTGCCTGGTTCCTTTGGGGACCAGGAGCTGGTTGTCAGAATGGGTGGCCAAGTTTGTGGCACAGTGAGTAAAGGAGAGGCAGCACATTTCATTCCAGTGTGGTCTCGCTAGCACCCATGCTTGGAGCACCTTCCAAAACAGCCGCTTTTCACTCTTAGAGCAGGGTGTGGATTTGCCATCGGGATTCCCTGAACCGGGAAGCATTTCCTGAGTAAGAAAGACATACCGATAATTCTACATGCTGTATTTAAAGGCCTTCTCTGAATACATTCCATGCCTTGGGAGGCACTGCAGTTACATTTCAGTCACTAACTGATTAGCAAGTGCTCGTGTGCTGGGTGTAGAGGGTACAGACCTGAAGATGCTCAGCCCCTGTGCCCAAGGGGCTTGGCGCCTCATAGGGAGGAGGGCAGATAGAGCATGGTCATGAACGAGCTTGGGTGGGGTGCCGTGGCATGTGGGCTCGGCAGTCAGGGATGGCCTGATGGTGCCGCAGGTCTCAAGTCCAAATGGAACAGTTCTCCCCGTGCCTTATTTGAAAACAGTTGAGAATTCTTAAGAATATGAGATGGCTTTCTTAAGTATATTCTATCATCCAGGTTTTCAGAATAAGTTCTGTAGTCAGGCAGGCAGGCTCTTCTTGCGTTGTCTCTGGCATGAGGGGAACAGAGCTGGAAGGAACAGTCGGCAAATTATTGCACAGTTTTCCCTCTCTGCTGTGGGATGGGGCACAGGCAGATGTCGAGCTGTGTCTGTGGGTATGGTTGGGGTGTCTGGGCTTGAGAAAATGGGAAGGGCCTTGGGGTAGCATTACATGGCACTGGTTTTCAGTATTTGGGGTGTTGTTGTACCCTCTGGATTAGATTTGCTCTGTGTGGCTTTTGGAGGCAAGCCTAGGGTGGGGAAGGTGAGAGTTCTGTGATGTGCTTAGGGAAGTGGTGGATTATTGTCAGAGCTGACTTAACACAGTCTGGGGGCACTGTGAGATGGCTATGTGGACATACCCAGGCCCTTGGATTCTGTGTATAGGCCTTTGGATTCTGTGACCATCCAAGTACCGGGAGGTTCTGCGATTCTCTGTGGAGCCTATTCAAAAGGAGAGGGGTCATGTCAGGTGAAGTACCAGCAGCCCTCTGGGAACTCACATCCCAAGGATTGCCAGGCAATTGGGGTTAAAGGCCTTTGGATGTTACTGTGACTGCAGCAAAGTTTCCTGGGTTCATCCACTGCAGGAAAATGAATCTTGGAAAACGTCAGGGGGCTCATCAGGTTTCCCCTGCATGCAGAGTTAGGCTCGGTCTCCTGTGTGCCAGCAGCAGTCTCTGTTGGGCAGCAGAGGCTGCAAGACGAACAGCCGCTGTTTACTGAGCACTTACACAGTGCCAGACACTACTGTGTGGAGTGTCTCATTGCTTCTTTGAATTACTTCTAGGGTAGGTGCTTCATCTTCATTTTAGGGGCTAGGAGAGATTCACCGATTTGTCTGGTATTGCAGACAAGGGAACCAGAAGCCTTGGGTCTGAATCCATCACTGGGTGGTTCTGATGTCAGAGGGCTTAACTACGACAGTCTTCCGCTTCCCACATCGGTGGTGCCCAGCATGGAAGCTGAACTCCATTGCGTCTTCCAAGGTGTACCCTTGCAAACATGAAGTGTTTTCACATGTTACATTTTGAATTCCATTCCTTCCCAGTTCCTACAACTTTTCCCCCTTTAAATTCCTCTAGCCTAGTGGCTCCAAACCTTTTTGAGTATGAGGGTTCATTTTTATCATCAGAAACCTTCTGGAAGCTTCACATAACAACAGGTGTGCTTTGAGTAACTGTTTTAAAGAAAATTCGAGGACAGAACCTACTCCTAATCCAGTCATGCTTCGAAATGAAGTTCTGTCTTGTCATCAAAACAGCATCAGTGTAACTCTGAGAGCAGGCCTTACCTGTATGTGTGTGACACCTGGAATTTGACCTTTGTGCTGCCTCCAGTTGGGAGCCTCCTGTCATCCCTACTGCCTCCCTTTTCTGAAACCTTACCTGGCTTAATCCAAGACCGTCTCCCTCAGGAACCATTCATCATTTTAACACCTTATATTCCTGCTGATAACAGGTCTTGTTGGTTACATTTTCCATGTGATTGTGAAGTGCCCAAGTAGGAGAGCAGGTGTTGCTCCCTTAGTGTCTAGAACTGCCACAGCACGTGGGTGCCCAAATGCTTGGTGCTCTCACTGTAAACAGGGCCAGTTTTGGGAATGGCTGTCAGCGTTACTGAGCAGGTCCTAGGTGCCAGCGGTTTTCAGCACTTCACCTGCATTCAAAACACATTTAATCTTCATAGCAGGTGTAGATTAAACAGGAGGCAGGTACTAGTGAGGAAACTGAGGCTCAGCGGACACAGCTGGAAGGAGGCTAGATGGGATGAGGCTGGGGTTGGAACACAGCCACCTGCTGGCTGCCTCCCTTGTCATGTGAGAGGCCAGTGGGCACTTGCTGCGCAGGCACTCCCCTTTCTTGCCTGGGTCCAGCTGTTTATGCTGGATTCATCTGTGCACTGCTCTTATGCCAGACTGGGAGGACAGTGGTCACTAAAATGCTCTGTGCTTTCTCTGGAACTGGCTGAAGAAGGGGTGTGAGGTGTGTTTTCCTCTCTTTCTCGTCAGGTATTTTTCACCCTAATAGAGAAGGCGGCGCTTGATCTTAGATTTCTGCCTGTCCATGGTCCCTAGACACTGTTCAAATGTCACTTCATCTGTGAAGCCTGGGTCCCCAGCGATCCTTCGGCCTTTTTTGGTCATGTGACAAAACATGGCATTCCTGGACACACATCCCCCCAGATTTTCATTTGCTATGGTGAGAAAGTAGGGTGCTGCTTTGTCCAGGCCACACCCTGGTGGTGGGTCAGCCTCGTGGCTGCTGTGGAGACTCGGGTATTCGTGTGCTGGGTGCACAGCATGGTTTTATAGGGCGTTGGCTGTGGCTGGCCTTGACTCTGGTGGGGGTTCTGTGGTGCAGGCATCAGCAGTGGGTGAGTTACTGGGAGGACTCAGGTGGGTGTGACCCATGGCCCACACCGAGAGCCCAGTGGGCTGGCAGCACTCCCAGGCCCTGGCAGCCCCACTGCCTGCTTGTGCCTTCAGCACGGTAGTGCACTCTTCTGTTTCCCACCCACACTCCTGGTCACATTGGCTCTCTGGGCAGCCCCCTGCACACACTGGGTTTAAGTTCTTATCCCCTTGATGACTTGTTTTGATGTCCCCCGTTCTAGTCATCAGGTTCCTGGCCCAGCTTGAGTTAGGCATGGAGAGGTGGCCACATCCTCGTTCCCCCCAGGGTGATGTAGTAGTTACCATGGTAGCTAACGGCTCTCCTGTTCTGCAGGCCAGCCCTCCAGAACCCTTTATAGATGCTGCCCAACTCCATTCACCTCCCAGGTGCATCTTGCATGGTGCCTAGGCAAGCAGTCAGCAAGCTGGCTTTTCAGTGCTGTCAGTGGGAGACCCGTGATACTGATGTGAAGGGATATAAAATAAGAACAGTTTTATCCTTTTGGGTGGTCATTGGTTCACATTGTTTCCTTCCGTGTTAATTGGTTGCCTGCACAGCACTTGTCTTTACTTCCTATACTAATTCTGTGGCCTGTCCAGCCCTAAAGGGAGGTTAGCACTGTGCTGGTGGCAGGAGCTTAGACACAAAGGGGCTGATGGTCATGCAGGCCCAAAGGCAAGTCTGCGGTCAGGTGAGGACCTGGTTTTTCTGTCTCCCTCTTTTGCAGTGTTGCCTTCACACAGTAGGGTGTCTTCCTCTCCATCCCAGCAGTTTCAGGATTTTCCCTCACCGAACTCCCGACTCTTTGCTGGAAGCCCCACCAAACGTTTCCTTATGCCTTCTCTGAGCTTTGATTGGATTAGCAGTTTGATTGAATTAGTTGATTGGCTTACCCCTGAATCTGCTGTGGGTTCCACCCAAACAGTCCCACAATAGAGGGGATGTTCCCAGGAGACATCAAGGTCCTGTTAACGGGAGAAGAATAGTGGATCCAGTGTCCATGGATGTGCACTGATGTCATCACCTCTCCTGATGTGACCGCCAAATAGTTGGGCCTTGGCTCCAGAAGGCAAAATGGGAGTTTTTGGGGAAAAAAATGGGAAATGTAAGGTCCAGAGTAGCAACAGGGTGGTTTGGCTGGTGTGAGGTCACCGCGTGGAGTTGTGAGTACCTTCTTGTTCTGGTTAAACCACAGACTCCATTTGCCTGTAGTCACCCTTGGGGACCTCGCTGTCACGCTGTCCGAGTGCAGGTGCTGGCCAGCTGCAGCTTCAGATCCTGTCCTGGGCTGGAGACAGTCTTGAATGGTGCTGTTTTTTCCTCCCTGTCTTGACAGTCTCTCCTGGTGCTTCAGTCACTGCCTGGAATGGAGCTCATTGCTGGGGGAGGTGGTGCGGTCCAGGTGGCCTGAACCCCACCAGGCCTCCTGTGGTCATGAGGAGACTGCGCTGTGACCCAGGCAAGAGCTGTGGCCCCTCCTGTAGCTTCTCTGAATTTGTGGACCCTGGGCAGAGGCTGGGAGATCTGTTGGGTCTGATTGTCCTGCCTGTTTCCTCTCATCTGTGCCTCCCCTCTGGGTAACCGGAAACTCGTACCTGTGTTTCCTGGCCTGGCTTCTTCCCCTTCGGTTAATGGAGAGGGGTAGAGTCAAGTGATCTTTCTTTTGCAGCCTCCATTTCCCCAACCCCACCTTGTGTTTCTGGGGGGGCTCTCAGTAAGCACCTGATGTTGGTGTCTGCTCCCCCTTTTGCCTGGCCGTGACGGAAACGGGCCACATGTTAAGTCTCAGCTCGTCTGTGAGGGAAAGTTTTGTGAATGGGTATTCCACCTTCACTTCTGCCTTAAGGGAGCTTCTCAAGCATTTCATTTTCTCACCTTGATGGTTGGTGGGCAAGCAAGTGCCTGAACTTGTGGGCCTCTGAATGAGGAGCCTGTCTTCTCCCAGGAAAGCTTCAGCACTGCTCTCCTGTGAGCTCCTCCGCATTTGCTCCCCAGCTTTTTCCTTCCTCTAAACACTGAGCTGAGCTTAAATAAGTGCTGTTTGGGATTGAAATTGGGGTGGAGAGAAGGGAGAGGGAATCTTTTCTGTTTCTGGTCCTCCACACTATGTGTGTGTGTCTGTGTGTCCGCCTGTCTTGTGGATGGGCTGCTTCATGTGTTGGGAAAGGCAGCAGCTCCTGAGTTTGACCTGTTGTAGACAGGAGTTACTTTCTAGTTTCCAGTTCCGGAAACTTCAGGAGACACACTCTGGCTTGGTTTGGGGTGCCATGGGAGGGTCTTGTAAGAAAGTGGCAGTGCCCACAGTAAGTCAGGGAGGTGTTTCCGAAGGAGCAGGACCTTTTGTGCAGACAGAAACAGCATGTGCCCCCAGGCTGCTGCAGCCCTGTGTACCTGAAGGAAAATGGTGAAAACCCTGGCCTGGAATGGGGAGGGGGCACGTTAGGTGTTCTGGTGTAGTTGGCAGGTGGTATTTGTGCTGGATGGTATGTGGAAGACTTGTGCATTGCCTCTCTGGACACGCTGTCAGCCCAACAAGGAGTTAGGGGTGTGACCGAGTGGGCACCTCCTCATCACCCTGGTGATGATTCTTCTGTGTTGAGAGCACTGTGAACACGGTTTCCTATCTGGTCGGGTGGTGGGCTCCCTCAAGTTGGGAAGTAGGAAGTGGCATCATCTGTTTAGGAAGATGAGCTGTCCTTGGGCACAAGGATGCCTGTTGTGTTTGTCACGCCAGGTTGTCTTCTCTTTAGGGCGCTGTTCTCTGTGCTCACCATGGGCACTTGGAATGAATGACAAGGCCTAGCAGTGGGGGGGTGTCTGCCTACCTGGTTCCCTTGCCCCTTGCTGCATTGGTCTCTTTTTTCTCTACACAACCCTTTCCAGTGGTGCCTGCTCCCCCTAAGCGTTTTGGCTTTGTGTAGCACTGCTCACGGTCTTCGGCCCTTAAGACTTTCCCCAGGTAGTCTCAGAGCCACAGCTTCGTTGGCACCTGGACACTTGCTCTCTCCTGTGCCTGGATGTCTAGACAGCCCACTCCAAAGTGGATACACCTTCTTCATCTCTGCCTTTGTCATGCTGTGCTGTGTCTGTTGGTGGTGCCATGATCTACTGCTCTGTAGACCACCTTAGGGCCATCCTGGAGTCCTTCTTCCTGCAAGCTGGACCTCCAGGGGGTCTAGTGCAGCAGTGTCCTAGTCAGTCTCCTGCCTCTGTGTGTCTGAAAACAGATAGGGATGTTTGACTTTTCTGGTGGTGTCGTGTTGCTGGCTGGATAGAGTCTCAGCTCTTTAGGTGGCATATAGTGGAGAAGACAGTCTTTCTCCTGGGTGGAGGACTTAAGCAGAATGGAGTTGGAACCATTGACTCTGCCATTCACCTTGCAACCTTCGACAAGGTTAGGTTTGCAGCCTTTGTTTTTCCAGAAAGATGTAAAAAATGCTGCATAGGAAGGCTTTTAAGAATGGAACATGGCCCTGTGCCTGAAGCATCCTGGGTGCTCACATGCATGCTACCTAATAATACACAGGCTTGGTGGTAGAGAGCCCATCTAGCTCCCATGGCCTTCCTCCTGGTCTCTGCATCCTCGTTTTCCTGAGAGCTGCCCCTTCCTCTCTCCAGTCCATGCCCATTGGATGGTTAGTAATGTAGGTAGGACTGGCCAGTAATGGGGCTGCATCTTCCTGGGCAGTGATTGGTTCAGAGACAGACCTGTGACCCAATCAGAGCCTGTGAAAGTTGTAGCACTTTGCTGGAGTAGGTTGGGGAGACTTGAATGGAAGAGGATGTGAGCTGTTTTCTGCTGGGGTTTGCTGCCTGGAGGCAGCCTGTCCAGGATTAAGACCTGGTCAGAGGAGTGGAGAGGACTAAGACCTTGTGGCTTGGCTGGTCTGAGGTGAAGCCTGTCCTAAACTTTTTTTTTTTTTTTCTCCCCCAGAGATGGAGTCTTGCTCTGCCTCCCAGGCTGGAGTGCAATGGTGCAATCTCAGTTCATTGCAACCTCTGCCTCCTGGTTTCAAGCAGTTCTCCTGCCTCAGCCTCCCAAGTTGCTGGGATTACAGGCGCCTGCCACCACACCCAGCTAATTTTGTATTTTTAGTAGAAACAGGGTTTTGTCATGTTGGCCAGGCTGGTCTCGAACTCCTGACCTCAGGTGATCCACCCACCTTGGCCTCCCAAAGTGCTGGGATGAATGACAGGCGTGAGTCCCCACGCCTGGCTGCCCCAAATTTTTAAGCTAAGTGAGCCTGTGGTTTCCTTTCTTGATAAAACCCATTTGAGCTGACTTTTCCCTCACTTGCAACTGAGAGAGTCAGTAAAGAATCATCTGAGCACATTGTGCCCCAGGCTCTGGGTCAGGTAGCCCTTCTTATTCCTCTCCTGCTCCAGCCATGCTCAGCTGCTCATCAGTCAGCTCCTGACCTTTTTGTGCACCCCACCTGATCACCTGCCCTCTCTCCCTCCTTGCCTCTCTGGTCTCAGGGTCCAGAGCCTCCATAAGCATCCCTGTCTTCTGACTATTGCAGGCATCCTGGTCTGATCTTTCCCGCAGTGCTTCCTGTAACCGGTCTGACTTGCCTGTCATTTCCCCCACCCCCATTCCCCTTGAAGCAAAGACTGGTTGGTTGTTTTCTTGCTGGTATTTAGAGAGCCATTCATTCTGTTAGGGCCAGTGACCAGTTTACAAATGGATGTGGGTCCATTTCTGACTTCAGATTACAGAAGTAGCATTGCCTAACCTGGGAGGACCCAGTTGGGCTTGGGGGTAAGAATTCAGGCTTAGTGGGGCTTAGTCATTTAGCTGATTAGTATTGGGGTTGAGGTGGCTGCGGCTGGATTTGGCCAGACCCCTGGAGGAAGCCCCCTTCCTGTGATGGTTACTTGGCTCTCTCCAACCTTCAGCCCTTTGGATTCCTCCCATGGTTCGAGGGGTCTGTTGGAGCCATACTGGCATGGTCTGCACCCAGGCGCTGAGCCTGTCCTGTGTGTATCGCTCAGTTCCGTTAGGTTTGGGGATTCCAGAAGCCGTCGACAGGACCCAGTGGCCTGGTGAACCCCTCAGGCCCACATGAGCCTGCACGTGCCTCCTCCCTCCAGGCCTGGGCAGACACTCCCCACCCACCCCCCACCTTTTTATTTTATTTTATTTTATTTTGAAATGGGGTCTTACTCTGTCACCCAGGCTGGAGTGCAGTGGCACAATCGGCTCACTGCAACCTCTACGTCCCCGGCTCAAGTGATCCTCCTACCTCAGCCTTCTGAGTAGCTAAGACTACAGACACACGCTACCACACCCAGCTAATTTTTTGTAATTTTTGTAGAGTTGGGGTTTCACCATGTTGCCCAGGCTGGTCTCAAATTCCTGAGCTCAAGCGATCTGCCTGCTTCGGCCTCCCAGAGTGCTGGAATTACAGGTGTGAGACCGTGCGCCGGGCCAGACACTACCCTTAGCACAGCTTCTGGACCTTAGCTGGAAGGCTTCAGGTCCTTCTCAGCTGCTTCTACTTTGGTGACCTTGGAGCAGATCACTTAATGTCTCCGAGCCTCAGTCTTTTTACTTGTGACATGGAGCTGGTGTTGCCATCACCTGGTGATACCATCCTGTGGGGCTTGAGGTATGTTGAGAGCCTGGCACAATGCCTAGCCTCCATTTAGTCACCCTGATCATGAAGATGCTGGTACTGTCTTCCTGTGACAGATGAGTTTGGGATGTTGTCTTCCTGAGGCCATGCGGTTGGAAGGGGGGAAGTGAGGATTTTAACTCCATCATTGATTCTGTCACCAAGCCCAGGGCATGGATCTCATTGAATCTAGTTACCAGTCCCACTTCACAAACCAAGGGCTCGACATCCTTTGGTGTAAATCTATAAGGGACTATAAGGACTTTATCCTGGGGCCATAACAGAAATGGTTGCAAGGACAGCAGCATCAACTCTTACTGTGTGCTCACTCTGTGCTAAGAATTATCCCATTTTATAGATGGGCTGATTCAGGAAACTGAAGCATAGTGAGGTTAGGTCGCTGGCACTGCACAGCTGTGAGCCCGACTCCTTCTGCCCTCAGAGCCTTTGCTTTCATCCGGAGATAACACTGCTGCCCACTGTAGAGGGAAGGGGGATGCATGTGAAGCCAGTGCCACCTAGACAGTGCCCGTCAAGCGCCTTGGGTAGAGAGCTGGGGACTCTGCTGTCTTTTTCCACCTCGGAAGTGGGGGAGTTTGTGCCTGAGCTGCTGTGGAGTGCAGAGGATCCCGTGTCCCTTCCCCAGCCAGACACGGCCTCTGACATCTCTAGAGCCTTTGAGCCATGTCAGCTCCAGTTGATGAGGTCTTTTCTTGTGGAGAAGGGAGGCTTTTCATTTCTTATGAGTAGGTTGATGAATAGGTTTAACAATCAACTAGAAATCCTCTAAGCCTCCTCTCCCCTCCTCCCAAAGAAAGAAAGATGGAAAGAAAGAAAAGTATTTAATATGTAAGAGTTTGGGAATTAGACCTGGATTCGAATCTCTACAGCTCCGTCTCCAAGTTATATGTCCTTGGACAAATCACATCAAATATTTATCAGTGCTATTAATACTCTCTATAAAGTGAGGACGTCCCTATCCTACTAAAGGTAAACAGTGCCTGAAAGGAAATTTAGTACCTAGTAGGTACTAAACATGTATAAGCCCCTTCTCGACTTTTCAGGAGCTAGGGGGTATTACACCCCTAGATGAGTTTGTAGATACTGAACTTTGATTTTCACAAATGCTGTTCTTTTTCAAGGGTAGTCTTTCCTTTAGTGTCAGCAAGGAGCAGTTACAAGACAACATTGCATAATTTACACATTTCTAAATGCTCCCTCGGGGGAAAACAGGAAGAAATTGGTTGTAGAACAAAATCCCAGACGTCAGGGTCCAGAGCCTCTTCCTTGGAAGAGGTGCTTAGGCTGAAATTCACAAGCAGGTTTAAAAGCTGCCTGTACTTTTCCAAATCTCTCTGTGCTGCAGTTGCAGGTGGGGATGATCAAAATACAACTTTGTGCACATGAAGCTGCCTTTCAGAAGCAATAGCCAATATTCTTCCTGTGTAGAGACATACTTTAGAATCAACAATTGTGGCTAGGCATGGTGGCTCCAGCCTGTAATCCCAGCACTTTGGGAGACCGAGGTGGGAGGATCGCTTGAGGCAAGGAGTTTGAGACCAACCTTGGCAACATAGTGACACCTTGTCTGTAGTAGAAATCACAAACATTAGGTGGGGCTGGTGGCATGTGCCTGTAGTCCCAGCTACTCGGGAGGCTGAGGTGGGAGGATCGCTTGAGCTGTGTAGGCTGAGGCTAGGGTGAGCCAAGATCACGCTACTGCACTCCAGCTTGGGTGATAGAGCGAGACCCTGTCTCAAGAAAAAAACCAAACACACAAAAAGTAATCATAATCATAAGATCTCCAAGATTTTACTGGACAGAAAAATGTTGACGTAATTGATACCTGGAACATATACCTTGCACAAAAACATGTGGGCAGAATGGCCTTGGTGGGTAATCAAGACTGGATGTTAAGCCAGCGGGTTGCTGTTTTATCTCTCCCGGCCTATCTCCTACCCCACCCCCAACAACCTGCATCACCCTGTTGGCAGGAGCTCAGAGCCACTGTCACCCTCTTGGAAACTATTTATGTAGCAAGAGGCATAGACATGCTCATGTCCTGTGACCCAGTAATTTTACTCTTGGAAGTTTATTTACAGGCTGAGCTTGGTGGCTCACGCCTGTAATCCCAACACTTTGGGAGGCCAAGGTGGCAGGATCGCTTGAGGCAAGGAGTTCAAGACCAGACTGACCAACATAACAAGACCTTGTCTCCATTTACTTCTTTTTTTTTTAATGAAGTTTATTTTTAAACAGCATGGGAGAAGCTTCAGAATCATGGTGCATCCACAGAGTCAAATAGCCTATAGCCGAAAGCGTGATTCTGAAGGCTCTATAGAAAAATGGGCAGGCCTTACCATGAGGGGGAAAGGAGTGGTTTTGTGACTCAGGCATCTGGATAGGCTGGATGCCTAAAGAACTAGAACTTGGGGTAAAATGGAAGCACTTGTGTTGGTTGGGGCAGGGGGAATGGGTTGGTTTGTTTTCCCCTATGCTCCATTGTCTTTTCAATTAAACTGTAAAAAAATGAAAATAAAAGTAGGCTGCTCTAGCCTGAAGAGCACTTGAGCACTATAGAGAGCAATCGGCTGTGGAGTGGATTGCGGGCCTCTATGTACTGCAATCAGTGGAGAGGATTAGTTCCCCTCTCATACGTTTCCGGAAGGTTCAGAACACTAGTGTGCAACATAACACTCCAGTCAAGGCCACCAGTCATGTTCTTCATGTTCCCAGAGGTCCATCCCACCAAAAATGACTGGACAACACCTGGTTTTCTCCACACAGTCAGTGAAGCCACACCCCATGGCTCTGCTAAACACCCTGGAGTGGTCCATGCCTCTGCCTTCCTCTCACCTTAGTCACCTACTCCACCTGTGAGGCCCGGGGGCTACTGCCAGGATGCATGTTCTCCAGCCCTCCTCTGCCCTCCATCTCGAGTCCAACCCTGGCCATTTCCCTCTTGGTCCTGTCCCTTCCATACCGATAAGCAGATGACACCACTGTCACTTCACATCCTTCAGTGGTTTTCCATCACCCTTAGAATAGACGCCCACATTCCTTATTGTCATGATCTACACATGCTACAGGCCTTGGGCCCTTCTTTCCTTTCTCAGCTTAACTTGAACCCTTGCCCTCATTCTTGTGGGAGAACCTTCTCCCTCATCCAGTTCTTGTGACAGTCGGACTTCTTCAGGCCTCTCCTGGCCACCCATTATACAGAGCCCATGCCCTCCTGCTGTCACACTGCTTTCAGCCTTCCATGTCATGGCACACATAGGAAACAGTGGCATCCACAGGGTGCAATGGGTAATTTGGAGGCGAGACTAGGGGAAAGTGCATGTGCTGTTTCTACCATAGAAATTATAAGGATGGTGGCTCACGCCTGTAACCTGTAATCCCAGCACTTTGGGAGGCTGAGGCGGGCGGATCACCTGAGTTCGGGAGTTTGAGACCAGCCTGACCAACATGGGGAAACCCCATCTCTACTAAAAATACAAAATGAGCTGGGCGTGGTGGCTAATGCTTGTAATCCCAGCTACCAGGAGGCTGAGGCAGGAGAATTGCTTGAACCTGGGAGGCGGAGGTTGTGGTGAGCCGAGATCACACCATTGCACTCCAGCCTGGGCAACAAGAGCAAAACTCAGTCTTGAAAAAAAAAAAAAAGAAATTATAAGGAAAATAAAATACAGGGTGTTAGGGAGCATAGTTAATACTGAACTTGTGTTGAATAACATTATGATTATTATTATTTTTAGAGGCAAGGTTTTGCTTATTATTATTATTTTTTAGAGACAGAGTCTTGCTCTAAAAACTTTACTTGTCCAGGCTGGAGTGCAATAGCGCAATCATAGCTCACTACAGCCTTGAGCTACTGGGCTCAAGGGATCCTCCTGCCTCAGCCTCCCAAGTAGCTGGAACTACAAGTGCTAGCCACCACACCTCACTAATTTTTGTATTTTTTATAGAGACGGTCTCGCTGTGTTGCCCAGGCTGGTCTTGAACTCCTGGCCGCCTTGGCATCCCAAAGGGTTGGGGTTACATGTGTGAGCGACCACACCCGGCTTGAATAACATTACTGAAATAACATTGCCTTTTTTTTTTTTTTTTTTTTTTTTTAAAGAGTGCTTGTGTCCAAGAACATAACTTTTATATGTTAGGGTGTGGGTTTTGTTTTTGTTTCTGTTTTGCTTGACTTTGATAATTGTTGTGGAGAAATTTTGTTTGCACAAGAAGGTGATAAAACTTGGAAGCATTTTTTTTAGTAAACATTGAAAAATTTATGAGTTGGCATTTCTAAAAAATCCAGATTCTTTAATCTTTTCATTTATATGTAATGTTGAAATACAATAATGCAAATGGACTTTAGTTTCATTCAGACTCTATTTCAAGCACTTCAAAATAATGAAGCTCTAATTTACATAAGGCATATACTAAGGTATAGACAGTGGTGTGCTGGTGAAAATTTGACAACCAGCTCTCAGGAAAAAGAAAAGAAATCCATACATATACATATGTAAATATGCATGTAAGTTTATGAGTTTTACTAGTATAAAGGATGGGTGGCATATAATTTGCAAATAATAATGAAATATACAACACTGTTGTCAGTTCCATATAGCCAATTGCTTCTCACCAGCTGCTTCCGTTGATTTTTGCTGAGCTTTTGTATCAGCTTCTGATTGGTTTTGACATGACTTTGGTTAATATCTTATTCTCTCTCTTTTTTTTTTTTTTTTTTTTTTTTTTGAGACGGAGTCTCGCTCTGTCACCCAGACTGGAGTCCGGTGGTGCAATCTCCGCTCGCTGCAACCTCCACCTCCCGGATTCAAGTGATTCTCATGCTGCCCCCTAAGCAGCTGCGACTATAGGTGTGCACCACCATACCCGGCTAATTTTTGTATTTTTAGTAGAGACAGGGTTTCTGCATTTTGGCCAGGCTGGTCTTGAACTCCTGGCCTCAAGTGACCCACCTGCCTCAGCCTCCCAAAGTGCTGGGATCACATGTGTGAGCCGCTGCACCAGCCTGGTCGATATCTTTGTATTAATGAGTCAAGTGATGTCTTTGCTGAATTAGATAATAGTTTTCAAATACCTGTACTATAAGAATATTTTCTCAATTGTCCTGTTCCCAATGTAATGACTTCAGGCATGACACGCTTTTTAAGTTTAATTGCATTATTAACATTTTCTCCATCACTTTCTTAAGTCTAAACCCCAGGAGTTGGCTAACTTTTTGTAAAGGGCCAGATAGTAAATATTTTCATCTTTGCAGGCCATATGGCCGTAGAGCTTCTGTTGTACTGCTATCTTTGTAGCACAAAAGCAGCCAGAGACAGTATGTGAGTGAATGAGCGTGACTGTGTTCCAGTAAAACTTGATGTGGTTAATTTATGTCAATGTGAATTTTACCTCAATAAACAGCATGTAAAATGAAAAAAGTAAAATCTTCATTTACAAAAACAGACAGTGTTATGGAATGGCCCAGGAGTTTGCAGATTTCTAGTTTGGAGCCCATAAAATCAAGCCCTGATTTATAGTGTTTACTGATTTCTGTGGTGGAAATACTCTCACCATGGCTGGCTTCAAGCCACTAACATGAGATCACTGAATGTGAGGTTGGGAAAGAGACTCAGTAGCACACCATGTCCTCCATGCCCATACAGTAGTCATGAATAACCTCAGAAACCTAGATAGTACTAAGTTTGGTAAAATAAGTAGGAAGTGATGAGTTTTGAGTACACAGTACTGAAAACTTCCTCCTTTGTTCTTATCACAACTTATTGTAAGCTTATATAATGTAATTGTTAGTAATGGCTCCTTTGATTCCTGAAAGTGTCACCACGGGCTTGCTCTCTCAGTAAAGCTGGCGTGAGCAGGCTCCAGCACACACCTGGGTAGAGTCCCTGCCCCTTACCTGGCTTGGATGCTGAAGGCTCGCGGCCCCAGAAGAGGAGATGTATTGGAACGTGTGCAGACGGAGATCTGGCCTGGGCCTGGAGCCTTGCCCACCAGGGCCCTGGTGCCCCTTGGCCTGCTTGCCGGGCTTCAGGCCACAGACAGGTTCCTTGTCCAGATGGTGTCTGCGCCTTTGCAGCTGGCTGCTGGGACAGTTCTCGTGATCGTAGTTTCCCATTGGCCCTGTCTAGCACCCCTCATTGGCTCACGAGGAGCCAGCTGCCCTGAAGGGGAGGCAGGGTATCATGCAACTTGCTCTAGATCGGGGTGTCCAATCTTTTGGCTTCTCTGAGCCACATTGGAAGAAGGATTGTCTTGGGCTGCACATAAAATACACTAACACTGATGATAGCCAATGAGCTTAAAAAAAAATCTCATAATGTTTTAAGAAAGTTTACGAATTTGTGTTGGGTTGCATGTGGCCCGAGGGCCATGGGTTGGACAAGCTTGCACTGCTTCTTGCTCCAGATGTATTACCTCCCCGGGTTCTCTCAGGGCTCCGGGGTTGAAGTGACCACCTCATCTGGCCCAGTGGTTGTGAGGGAAGCCTTCAACTCACATTAATCACACTGTTTATTTTCTTCATGGCTTTTAGTGTGGCTATGGTCTTGTCTGTTGCCTGCCTTCCCCAACATGAGTGTGAGCCCTCTGTCTGCTCCCTGAGTTCCTCTTCAGAAGGCACGAGGCACACAATATGGACATGCTCCTTTTTTTTTTTTTTTTTTTTCCCCACAAAAGGAGATAGTCTCTGTCACCCAGGCATGAGTGCAATGGCATAGCCATAGATCATTGTAGCCTCGGATTTCTGGGCTCAAGTGATCCTCCCACTTCAGCATCCTGAGTAGCTGGGACTACAGGTATATGCCACCACACCCGGCTAACTTTTTAATTTTTAAATTTTTATTTTTATTATCTATTTATTTTTTAGAGACAGGGTCTCACTATGTTGCCCAGGCTGGTCTTAAACTCCTGGCATCAAGCGATCCTCCCACCTCAGTTGCCTGCTTAGCTGGGATTACAGGTGTATGCCATCGTGCCTGGCCAACGTTCTTATTTTTCCAGGAGATAAATAGCAGCTGAGACCAGATACAGTGGTTCACACTTGTAATCCCGACACTTTGGGAGTCTGAGACAAGAGGATCATTTGAGCCCAGAAGTTTGAGACCAGACTGACCAACACAGGGAGAGCCTTCTGTGAAAAGGTGACTGAATGAATTCTCGTGTCTGCAGCAGTTGCATTGTGCATCCCAGGTGGGTTTGGGTTCCCACCAAACCTGCAAAAGTGCTCCTGATGCCAGACACCAACATTGCTTCTTGGTGTGTGCCAGGCACCCCTCCCCTGGGAAACGAGCAGCCCTGTCTCAGCCTACTCCCCTCCCAGATGGTGGCAGTCACTGTTGCTGACTTCATCACTGAGCCATCAAAAATCTCTCTAGGTTTCATCGTGGCTAATGCCACATTTGCTTATCCCCCGCTCCCCTCCAAAAAATGGAAACCCTCCCTCATTGTGTCTTTTGTTTTTGTTTTTATTTTTATTTTATTTTTATTTTTTTTGAGACGGAGTCTCGCTCTGTCACCCAAGCTGGAGTGCATTGGCATGATCTTGGCTCACTGCAACCTCTGCCTCCCGGGTTCAAGCAATTCTGCCTCATCCTCTTGAGTAGCTGGGATTACAGGCATGCGCCACCACACCCAGCTTATTTTTGTATTTTTAGTAGAGATGGGGGTTTCACTATGTTGGCCAGGCTGGTCTTGAACTCCCGACCTCAGGTGATCCGCCCACCTCAGCCTCCCAAAGTGCTGGGATTACAGGCGTGAGTCACTGCACCCGGCCCCATTGTGTCTTCAGGCTGCTTTGTGCTGACTGTGCTGGCCTCATTTATGGGGCCATACAGTCTCCTGAGATTCAAGAGTCACCGCAGCCTCTCCTGCTGGCCACAGGGCCTGTCTCCTGACCTCACCTGCTGCCGTGGGCCCAGGCGTGTGGATTCCAGATGACCCGCTAAGGGCGAGGTAGAGCTACAGCTTGGCTCTGTCTGGCTGTCTGGTGTGGTAGTGATCCGATGCTCTATCCCTTGCCAGGCCTCAGTTTTGAGTGAAGGAAGAAGGGGAAAACTGGCCTGTCTGGATGACAGATTTGCCATGCACGAATATCCGCACACAGTGATGTAGAGCTTTGGCTCTTTGTAACCAGGAGTTCGATAGGAAGACAACTTTGAAAAAGCACTTTGTGACTGGCAGGGTGCCATGCAGCCTCAGCTGTTCATTTCCAAGGGTCATCCATTTACAGGATGAATGCTCAAGCCTCTTCCTCCCGGTGCCATGGAGTCTGCCTGTCAGTCCCCTCCTTGCCCAGCATCTCCCGCCTGCCTCCTTGTTCCCCTATGCCTTCACCAAGCCATGTCTCCCACCCTGTTCACCCGAGCCTCTCCTCTCCTTTCCTCTAGTGCCGCCTGGCTGGGACAGTGCAGAAACACTGCTCCTGGCAGGGCGCCCTGTGCCTGTCCCCTTTCCTGCTGCTCTCTCTGACTGTGTGTGTGCAGTGAGTGGGGCAGCCTGGCCAATCCTACCTGCCTCAGGTGGATGGTGGCCCCAGGTGCTGCTGCCACTGTCTCTGTGTTCTATCCATTTCCCCTTTCCATGGGCGTTGTTCATTCACCTGGTCACTCATGGCCTTCAGTTCTCATCTCAGTCTGAGGACCCCCTTTGGCCTCATCAGTGTGTCCTGCCCACACTGGTGTCTCAAACTCCAGGCATTAAAAACCATACTTAGGGACTTTCCTCTCAGCTGTCTTTCTGATTCTACCTCCAACAATTTAAAAACTGCCTTTAGTGAGGTCTAATTTACATACAGTACAATGTGCCTATTTCAGGTGTACATTTGGCAGTGGAAGTCCCTCATTAAACAGTTATGTCTGTCTTGCTTTCACATTTGTCTTTTTATTTAGCTCTACGCTACATTTTGATGCATTTTTGACAAATTCGTATACCTGTGTAACTACTCCAGTTGAGGTGTAGAATATTTCCGTAACTTAAAAAGTTCTCCCTCCCCCCACTGAGGGGCTACCACCAATCCCCAGTTCACCCCGCCACCGGCACCACATTGGCACTGCTGGTGGGTGCTGTCGAGTACTGCAGGTAGGTACTGATTTTCTTACCTGTGGTGGGAAAATGGGGTAACAGCACCCATATGAACAGATGAGGCTCACAGAGGCTTGGGACGGACACATATTTTTGTGGTCCCCAACCTAGTTGTGTGGGCTTGTGTCACCATGAGCCGGCTCCCAGGGGTAGGGGTGGCGCAATCGCTGTGAGCCATTCCCTGCCCCCTGTAGCTAGGGTGACTGTGCATCTTATCAAGACCAGGACACTTTTCAGATGAATGAGGTGCTATTAAGAATGACAGTGAGTAACAGGTGTCACCCAGCAAACCTGGCCTAAGGTGGCCTTCTGCAACCCATTGTCTCTGATATCCTTGTGTACAGTCCTTAGAACCAGCCTTCCCCATGCAGAATGGAATCTAGGTGGCTCATGGTCTTTGAAGCGTCCTGGGACCCAGCCTCAGCCTGCACATCCAGGCATGGCCCTGCACTCCTGGGCGTTCCTGAGCTTAGTCGTTCTCCTTAATATGTTTCTTTTCCCTTTTTTCTCACTGACTTTTCAGTACACAAGCAATAAATACGTCTTCCTTTAAAAAAGTAAAATGTTTGAGTTACAGCTAAAGGCCTCCTTTGACCCCTGTCCCTGATGCAGTTCTTCTATCCCTCTGGAGAGGACCCATGTCACTAGTGTAGAGTCCATTTTCCTGTGCTGTGCAGGCACAGCCCAGAGCACTGGGCCATACTGTGCATGTGGCTTTTCAGTCAGTTCTGGCACACAGGGCAATCACTCTACACCTAGCTCACCTCCCTCCACAGTGTGTCCCAGCTTTCTGTGCTTGGTTACACATGGGTCTAGCTCACTCCTTTAACTGCAGCATAGCATTCCCTGCTAGAAGCCGCTTCATGATCATGGAACTGGCTTCCAGAGTTTTGCTAATGAAAAGGTGTTTTGCAGATATTCATGTGAATGTCTCCCTGTGCACCCAGGGGAGCCTCTACTTGTGCTTAGGTCTGCCAGGCAGTGAAAGTGCTGGGTGGTAGTTTTCACAGTGGCAGATAATGGAGGGGAGTCTTCTGTGGGTGCCCCTTGCAGGCAGAGGCACCTTTCCATGGGTACCTCTTCCATGGCTCTGCCCAGAGCCTGTACTCACAGGATGTGCATTCCAACCTCGGGGTCCTCTCACCACTGCCTGGAGCCTTACGGAGCCAGAGACCCTTCCCTAATGCCCTAGCTCCCCTGGTCCCCCACTGCTTTACTTGAACAGCCGAGGTTGGGTGTGTGGGCTCCAAGAGGCCTGCCAGAGTGAGCCTGGGGGAGAGTACCTGTTTACATCTGGCCCCCACATACCGAGATAGGCAGTGTTGGGGCCCTGCTATTGACCGATGGGGAGACTGCGGCTCAGGGGCTGAGGTCCCTTCCCCAGGATCTTCCCATAGCTCCTGCAGATGTGGTATTAGCATTCAGAAAGGCCCTTGATACATCAGCATAGTGTGGGAAGTTAAGAAGAAAAGAAGGGAAGAATTTTTTTTTTAAAAAAAGCCCTCAAGCACTCATGAGCACTCATGGCTTAACAGTGGCCCTAGAGGTGATGGTTTCCATGCTTCCCATTGCACAGATCGAGACCCACCTCCAGCTGGCTGGCACTTGACTATGGGCCTTGCAAGTTCTCCCACATGGCCATCTGATCCCTCCCACAGTCCCACAAGGGAGCGATGTTCATGCTTATCTTGGAAATACAACTTGCTCCACAGCCTCAGGAGGTTTTCCTGGTCTCAGTTCCAAGCCCAGCCCCTCTCTTCTTTGGCTGCCCTGTCCATTTATTTGCACATGAGACTCCCGTTTGCCTCAGTGGCCTGTGCAGGAGGAGCAGAGGGCCCAGGAGCCACCTAAAAGATGCCTGAGGGAGAGTGGTCCTGGCAGGAGGACCTCTTAGGAACTTAGGCAGCAGGGGCTCTGCCAGGGTCCCGCTGGTGTTTTTGTTTTTGTTTTTGTTTTAATTGTAAAATATACATCCCATAAAACTTAACCATCTTAGCTGTTTTTAACTGTACAGTTCAGTGGTCTTACACACTCACATGGTTGTGTGGTCATGATCACCATCTGTCTCCAGGACTCTTCATCTTGCAAAACCGAGCTCTGTTCCCATTCAACACTCACGTCCCTCCCCTTCCCGAGCCCTGGGCGCACGTACTGTTCGACTTTCCACCTCTCTGATTTTGTCTACTGAGTATGAGTGGAATTGTGCAGTGTTCATGCGACTGGCTTCTTTCCCTCAGCATAATGTCTTCAGTCTTCATCTGTGTTGTTGCATGTGTCAGGATTCCCTTCCTTTTTAAGGCTGAAATACTGTCCTGTTGTTCAGATATATCACACTTGGCTTATTCATTCATCTGTTCCTGAACACTTGAGTTGTATCCACCATGTTTTAGCCATGGCAAATAATGCTGCTGTGGACATGGGTGTGTAAATGTCTGTCCACGTCCCTGCTTTCGGTTCTTTTGGGTACATACCCAGAAGTGGAATTGCCTGTAGCGGTTGTTTCTGAGTTAAGTTTAGAAAGGTGGTAGGGGTGTGGCATTCAGGGTCCCATTCATGACAGTTGAGGGGAGAGGGTAGTGGGGATGGCTTATGGTTCCAGGCTGTGTGCAGGGTGTGAGGAAGACCTTCCACCTGGACCTACCTCCAAGTGCTCAGGGTTGCTGTGAGAAGGAATGAAATGCCCATTTCAGTCGCATTTCTGTGTCTTTGAGGAGAAGCTGTGTGTTCCAGTCGGCACCATTTTTTCCCTCATGGTCAGTGATGTACTGGTGTCCCAGAATGGGTACAGCGTGATCTGCCAAAAGTCTGTGCTCAGAACTTTCCATAGGGAATGAATGAACCAGCAGGTGCACGTCAGTAGGACAGGCTGACGGCGGCTCCCTGGTGTCTGGCTACAGGTATCCCGCCATCCATCCCCTGACACCCCTGCAGGCACACAGCCGAGTGGTGGGCTTCCCGGCCTGCCTTGAGTCCTCCCTCTCTCAGCCCCGCTGCTTCCCACAGCCACGTCCCTTCCTGCCCCTCACCATGTCGCTCCCTGAGGCTGGCCAGCGCCCACAGAACTGTCTCCCTGCTTCAGCTGTGTGTTTGCTTCTGCATAGCAGAATGAGCTATTTAAAACGACAGTCTGACCCTGTCACTCCCTGAGCTGAGCATGGCCCGGGGTGGCCTGCCGGGAGGTGTCCCCACCTTGTCTGGCACTCTGCGCATGCTGCGCTGCTGTGTGCCCAGCCCTTTACTTGTGCTGCTCCCGGGTCCTTGCCTCCCCAGCTTGTCCAGAGGACTCCTGCTTACTCTCCAGGTGTCCTCGCAGACTCCCTCTGTCACCCTCCTAGGGGCCCCAGAGCATCCTGAGTGTCACAGCCCTGCCTGCTACACACTTAGAAGCTCTCTCATCACATGTCTGCTCGCCTGCCAGGCCAGGAGCACCTTCAAGGCCACAGGCGTGCTTTATCTGTGTGTTGCTGTGAGTGGCAGCTGAGAGTGTGGTAAAAGAGCCAGTACTTAGGCCGGGCGCGGTGGCACACACCTGTAATCCCAACACTTTGGGAGGCCGAGGTGGACAGATAACGTGAGGTTGGGAGTTTGAGACCAGCCTGACCAACATGGAGAAACCCTGTCTCTACTAAAAATACAAAATTAGCTGGGCGTGGTGGCGCATGCCTGTAATCCCAGCTACTCGGGAGGCTGAGGCAGGAGAATCGCTTGAATCCAGGAAGCAGAGGTTGTGGTGAGCCGAGTTCATGCCATTGCATTCCAGCCTGGGAAACGAGTGAAACTCTGTCTCAAAAAAAAAAAAAAAGTCAGTGTTTGTAACCAGGCTGCCTGGGCCCCAGACCCAGCTGTGTGACCTCAGGTAGATTAGCTGACCTCTCTGTGCCTTAGCTGCTTGTAAAAGGGCTGGAGTGCAGTAGCACAGTCTCAGCTCACTGCTGCCTCAACCTCCTGGGTTCAATTTTCGTGCCTCAGCCTCCCCAGTAGCTGTGTCTACAGGCGTGCGCCACCACACCTGGCTAATTTTTGTGTTTTTTGTAGAGGCAGGGTTTTGCCATGTGGGCCAGGCTGGCCTTGAACTCCTGGCCCCAAGTGATCCACCCGCCTGGCCTCCCAAAGTGTTGGGATTACAGGTGTCAGCCACTGCTCCCGGCCAAGAATTTCTTAATAAATAAAATAGTGCCTGATCGGCCTCACTGAGGCTGTGAAGAACCAGCTCTTCCTAGTCCATCTTCAGCAGAGCTCCTACAGCAAGCAGGAGGGCCTGTGGGATTCTCTTTGGGAGGAGCAGGTTGGGGAGGAGAATCCCAGAGGCCTCATCTTACACTTGGGGTCAGTGGGGGTGGTGCAGTTCAAGGCAGTCTTGGAGGCCACTGGCAGGAGGCTGAGAACCCAGGGAGCTGATAGGGGCTTAGAAAGTGAGGTTGAGGCTTCCTCACAGGGCCTCTGGGGTCTGTGGGGAGAGGCAGGGTTGTCAAATTCTGGCAGTATTAGCAGATGTGCAGTTGGATAGGGGGATTGCTGGGCATACCTGAAAAGGAGAGGGCAGGCCCCCCTGCACCCCAACGATCAGTGAAGCTCCAGGTAAAAGTGGATTTTGAGGCCAGATCCAGCTTCAGGGCCAGGGGTCCCAGTCATTGATCAGTGTTAATGCATCACTAGAGGGGGTGGTATCTGCTCTCCTTTCCTCAGCCTGGCACAATTCCAGGGCTGTGCCAAGAGGAGGTGGAAGTAGAGCCCATGCAAGGCTGTGCGGAGCAGGAGGGGGCTGCTGCAGGGACCTGTGGCAGGAGGGCCCGGGGGGATGAGGGGGGACCTAGGGAGGGTGCACCACAGCCAGGGAGGTGCTCCTGGGCTCCTGGTGGGCCTGGGCCTGGGCCTGGGCTGGCTGCCTGTTGACTGCCTGTCCCCCCTCTCACAGGTGGGTGCTTGGAGAGTGTGTCCTCACCCCATCTCAGGCACCAAGAGGGCAGAGGGTAGAATTTGCATCCATCTAGGTCTAACTTTTGAGGCTTCTGTGGCAAGTGGTTAGTGCCCTTTGGTGGTGAGACCTCTACGTCAGGCCCCAGGGCAGATGCTTTGCACATAGCCTCTCTCCTGTCCTCAGAGCACCTGTGGGCTCAATGGCACAGTCCCCTGTACAGGTGTGTCCTGTGGTGCACAGAGAAGTGGCTTGCCCAGCTGCGCTGCAGGGTGCTACAGAGGAACCCCAGTTCCAGCCCCAGGCCAGCAGGGTAGGGGAGCGGTTTGGCAGGGGCTGGAACTGGGGTTCCTGAGGGAATCCGTTAAGCCTGGGCTGCTCCTGGAGGGAGGGGGCGCAACAGTGAGGGTGATCAGGAGTCAGAGGGCCGGAATGCATCAGAGCCTTAGGGCTTCTTCCCTGGCCTCTCCCACCAAATATCACCCCCTTTTAATATGGGATTCTGGGTGACAAAAGCTAGTATTTAAGGGAGCTTGGATGGGCTCTTCCCTGCAGCTGTTCCTGGGTCCTGCACATCTGCTACCTGCAGGTCTGGAGACACCACACATCACATTTACTCTGTGTTTGTGAGAGGCGTGACATTTGTTTAGGATGGCCAGAGTCTGCAGCTTATCTGTGATTTGAAGGGGCTGCTGATAAATAAAGCAAAGCCTATGGGTTAGAGGATCCATGTTTCCTGCCGTGAAAAAGGACTTTATGGGCTTGTAGGTGAGCATGTTTTATTTTGATAGCTATGCATTTATTTTCATGGGTACTAGGGAAAAGTATAACCCACGAAATATCACCCAAGTCCAGGTATTAATTGTTTAAGACAAGAGTGAAGTAGAAAAAAAATGGAAAGGGCAATCAAAATGATTCGATGGCATCTGGAGCCCTGCCTGACAGCAGTCTCTTCCCCCAGGCTTCCTACTGCACCAGCGCCAGGACACATGAGGCCCTCCAGGAGCTGTCCAGTGGAGGACATGTGTCCCCAAGCGGGGAGGGGCAGGGAAGCTCAAGAA
This sequence comes from Homo sapiens, assembly GCF_000001405.40. Lineage (NCBI taxonomy): Eukaryota > Metazoa > Chordata > Mammalia > Primates > Hominidae > Homo > Homo sapiens. The sequence goes on along the minus strand of NC_000019.10, from coordinate 16,598,985 downwards.
GTTTGACTGGTGGGACTTGGTACTTGATTTCAGTTGTTTCCCCAGTATGTGTACTGTGTTTTTTTTATTACTTTTGTTTTATTTATTGTAGCCATTAAATTTTTCAGCAACATTCTCCTGGTTTTCAGCAGCCAGTGAACTCATTATTATTTGATGTCATCATAGCACATTTTCTCCCTTACAGTTTGTCCTAAAGGTTATTACAGATGATGGGTCCGGCACAGTAGGCCTGATGCGCCAGTGTCAGAAGTGAGGTCTTCAGTGGCCCAGGGTCTGTGGACCTCTGGGGTGGCAGGACTGGAACTGTCAGTGCTGGTGGTGGAACTTGTCAGAGGGTGTGCAGGGGAACAGCAGTTGTTGACGCGACTTCTCAACTGTAGCAAAAGCAGTGGATTTTTTTGCTGTGTTGCTGGGAGGGAACAGTACTGGATGCCAAGTGGGGCAGTTCATGCCACCAGCAAGTGCTGCTGGGTTAAGGAGAATGATGGGGTGCATCTGGGAGGCAGGCCAGGGCATCACCATCATGTCGCCAGAACCCAAGTGGGACCTGAGTCAAGGGGCAGTCTTGTGTTCCGACCTTCTGGGGGTGGGGTGAGCCTGGGCTCTGGAAGCTCCAGGGAGGTAATTTTTTTTTTTTTTTTTTTTTTTTGAGATGGAATCTTACTCTGTCGCCCAGGCTGGAGTGCAATGGCGTGATCTCAGCTCACTGCAGCCTGCGCCTCCCGGATTCAAGCCATTCTCCTGCGTCAGCTTCCCGAGTAGCTGGAATTACAGATGTGCACCACCTCGCCCGGCTAATTTTTTTTTATTTTTAGTAGACACAGGGTTTCACCATCTTGGCCAGGCTGCTCTTGAATTCCTGACCTCAGGTGATCCACCTGCCTTGGCCTCCCAAAGTGCTGGGATTACAGGCGTGAGCCACTGCACCTGGCCAGGGAGGTAATTTGAAAACAGCCTTAGAGGCTGGGCACAATGGCTTGCGCCTGTAATCCCAGCACTTTGGGAGGGCAAGTTGAGCGAATCATCTGAGGTCAGGAGTTCAAGGCCAGCCTGGCCAACATGATGAAACCCTGTCTCTACTAAAAATACAAAAAAATTAGCCGGGCAAGGTGGTGCACACCTGTAATCCCAGCTGCTTGTGAGGCTGAGGTGGGAAGATGGCTTGAGCCTGGGACGCAGAGGTTGCGGTGAGCTGAGATCACATGCCACTGCGCTCCATACTGGGTGACAGAGTAAGACCCTGTCTCAAAAACAAACAAACAAAAAACCAGCCTTAGAAAGTGGCTGGCTCTGATGTGGCAAGAACAAAGGGTAAACGAAGGCTGCACCAAGCAGCCCACAGAGCCGGACGCACCTCTGTGTGCTGCTGGGAACCAGGAGAGAGAGGGTGAACTCAGGACCGTGTTGGTGTGTGCCTCCTTTCATATTTTCCGATGGCAAACTTTGCAAACAAACTTAACCTGATGCTCACCCAGGCATGATTGTCTTGGTGTGTTGTTTCTGTTGTCTAACCTTAAATGTTACCTGTTTAGGAAGTGCGGTGTGAAACAACAGTGGTAAGTTGACTTCTTGCCTCAAGAGGTGCTGCTGAAATAAACTAGGAAAGTGGGAATGTCGGAGAATGTGTCATACTGGGATCTGGTATATAACAGTAGCAGGAGAGCCCTGAATGGGTCCTGCACTGCCTGTGAAGTGGGGGAAACTTAACTTGCTTTTGAGGCTGTTCTGAATTGAGATTATTGTCAGCTGGCAGTGCTGGGCACAGGGACGTGGGATTGATAGCTGAGGTTGTCATCTCAGGCTACAGCTTTTGTACTGTACCCGTGTCCCAGAAGAACCCAGAGTTCCTAGAGAAGGATCTAGGCTCTGCCACCATCTTGGCCCTGTCTGGTAGACATGCTCGGGCTCAGGCTTGGTGTTCTCATGAACCTGGGGGCACTGTTCCCCTCTGGCATCTGTCACCCTCTGACCATGTGGGCGTGGTCTGTGAGATATAGGACTTCGTGATGGAGTGGTGGTCTTCTTGTGAGGTTGGAATATGAACTGCTGCAAGTTGGCCCACCTCATTCTTGGCCATTTGTTTGCAACTTTGGGGCTGTGGCACAGTGTGCCGTGCAAGGGCTACAGGCTGGGAAGCCAGCAGATGGGAAGTGGCTAGGCTGTGGAACCCCGTCCAGGGCCTCACTTTGCCCAAGACACCTGGAGGAGTCTTGGAAGACCTTACCCCAGGTCCTGTCACCCCGTTCCTTTGTGAAGGGCGAAGGGAGTGGCGTGGAAGAGGGGCTAGATCTGCTCTTGCCTCTTCCACTTCAACCCCGCATCCTGCCCAGCATCCCAGGAACATCCCCACCCTGTGCCAGCATGTTCCTGAAGGAATGTAACCTGCTCCAGGTAGAGCAACAATGGCATTGACACATGCCTGTCTGAGTTAGAGCTGGGTGTGGCAGCGTGCAGCCGAGTTGTCTGCATCTCTCCACGCAAGGAGGTGTCCCACGTATGCACTCGATGGCTGAGGCTGTGGTCAGCAATTGTGGGCAGTATGGCTTCAGTGCCAGTCCTAGGAAATTATTTATGAATGTCTGTGCCAGATCCTCTCTCTTGCCTGACTGGCCTTCACGTTTGGAGACACACTGCCATACCTGTGCAGAGTCAAGGGAAACATAAGGAGGGCAGGATAACAGCTCTGACGCAGCATGGGGTTGCTTTCTGGGACCCTTGGCAGGGCACAGCAGATTTAACTGCTTTCTCCCTCCCTTTTGTGATGGGGTCATTGCACTGTGGAAGCCAAGAGCCAAAAACAGTTGAAGCATGGCTGGGCACAGTGGCTTGCCTGTAATCTTAGCACTTGGGGAGGCTGAGGCAGGAGGATCACTTGAGCTCAAGTGAGGTCGAAGCTGCAGTGAGCCACGATGGTGCCACTGCACTCCAATCTGGGCAACAGGGCGAGACCCTGTCTCAAGAAAAACAAAAAGAAAAAAGTTGAGGCAGTACCAGTTGCCATGACAGTATTTGAACTCTCTTGGAGTAAAGTTTAACACCTGGGAATTGATTCCTAAGGAAAAAATGAGAGAAGGAAGCATGTTTGAAGATGTTCATTCCAGTACTGGTTGCAGCAGGAGAACCTAGAAAGAAGTGAACTGCCCAGCAATCGGAGAAGGTTAAGGGAATTATGATACATTAATAGAACATTTAGCTGTTAGACATGATCTTGAAGATTATGTAGCAACAAGAAGTGTTAAATGAAAAAAGAATGCAGTATCTGTGATGCAGTGATATAATTGTTACTGGCACTGGACTAGGACGGGAAAGTCACCCAGGAAAGCATTGCTGTTGGGGGAGTGAAGGGTGTGAGTTGGCTCCACACTTTGTTCTGTGCAGAGCTTGGCCTCTGAGGTCAGACCTGAGCACTGGTCTCCATTCTTGGGTCTGCTGGGCACTCTCAGCCTGAAGCCACCACAGGATGTCATCCCTTCCTGAGTTTCCAGGTGTCCATTTGTGCAATGACAATGTTCATCTCACCTCCTGAGGCTGCTGGGGTTCAAGACAGCGCACATCTGACAACAGCAGTGGCTCAGTAGATGCTCTCAGAGGAGAGGAAGACCACAGGGGCAGGGTGAGAGCACGTGCACAATCAAGTCACCAGGTCCCTTCTTGCTTCCCTCGGTGTGCTCGGTCAGCACAGCATTAGGCCCAATGTGGTCAGAGTGTCTAGACAGTCACAGAGCTGGAAAGAGGTGCGCACGTGTCACGAGTTGGGTTTGAGGAGGGCTGGGGTCAACCATCTCAGGGCTTTGAAACAGGGGTCCAACGCAGAGGCACCTACTGGAGGTGACTCCTGGACTGTGGGCTTTCCTACATGGGGGGTGCTGCCACTGCTCCTGGAGTGTGAATCCGCAGTGAGGGAGGAAGGATCTGGGGTTGGGGCCTGAGGAGCCCCAAGTGGAGGAAGTTGAGACTGTAGAGGGGCCACCGGCAGGAGCAGAGTTCAGGAGGAAGGAGCAGCCCTGGATTCGAGGAACTGCTCTGAGAGGTGAGGCCGAGGCAGGCTGATGGGTCCCTGGCTTTGGTGACAGGTTCCCTGGGTAGAGCCGTTTTGGTGTGGTGACAGGTAGGGTCCAGAGCCAGCACTTTTTAATGCTGCCTTAGGGTGTAGTAAAAACATGCGTTCCTGCCCTTAATTGCACTGTTGCATTTTCTGTGGCTGTGGTTGACTGTCAGCACTTGTGTGGTGAAGATGAAGGTGGGGGAAACCAGATTTTTTTTTTAAGTTAAAAAAGGTTTAAAATATTGAAGAGGTGCTGTTAGCAAATGAAGAAAGTTCTGGTTTTTTCCCCCTTCTTCATCTTCACCGTGGTGAAAAATGAACCTTCTCCATGTCCAGTGGTCTGCCACCTCTGCAGGCCACTTCAGTGCCTCTCCTAGAACCCAGCTCAGACCCCACCTTGCCTTGGACATGTCATGACAAGGGAGCACGAGTCTCGCTGCAGGGTGTCCTCTGGCATTTAGCCCAGGCCAAATCATGGCCTCTCAGGTTGGTTTCGCTGCCCCTTCCCCACTTGTGAGATGCGCGTGGTTCAGGTCCACAGCAGGAAGTACCGGTGAGATCCGCTCCACCCCACTTGGGGCTTGACTGGGGCCACTGCTGTGTGGCTGGGCTTTCCCCAGAGCCACCAGGGGCTGCCTAGCCTTTAGTGGGAAAGGAAGGAAGTGGTTGATTTGGCTCTCGGCGGCAAGTGGCCTCAGGAGCCCTGGTGGCCCTTGAGTGTGCCCTCACTGTAGCCAGCAGATAACACAGGCTTCTACCAGCAAGCTTCCACTCTCCCTGCCTTGCCACACTGTGCCGCCACTATATGGATAATCCTGTCACTGAGTTAACCACAGTGGATTGTTAGGTTTAATTTCCACATTGCTTTAATTCGTGGCTTTGCAAAAATCTCATGTGGCTTCCCTTCTCCCTCCTTATATAACAATTTGGAATAGCTTTAGGATTGCCAAGAAGGTAAACTGGAGAAAATTTGTGTGGTCATAGTAACTTCCAGGACCTCTGCATTGAAAACGAAGGCTCTCTCAAAACACGTTGAGCCTTGCTGAGCAAACATGTTTGCCTGAGAGAGAGCAGCAGAGCCAGTGCCACCATTGACCACAGCTTTGGAGGGACAGGAGAGGTGGCCTTCTGTCTAGCAGCATCTCCAGGACCCACTCAGAGATGGCACCCTTGACCTGGACTTTGATGAAGCTTTGTGAGGACCACCAAGAGTCACTGTGTTCTCATGATCCTCTGGGATGGCCAGTGCAGGTGACAGCTGACAACGGGACAAAGCGTGTTTGCTCTCTAGGTGTTGACTTGCCACAGAGGGAGACCCCTGAGATGTTTGTGATATTGGAGTGAACATGGTGGCCAGCAACCGTGGATGAGGGACTTCATCCACCCATCATTTGGCATGTATCAAGTCCCTGCTAGTTGCCAGGCACTGTTCTAGGCACTTAGGAGGCAACAGTGAACAAAACCAAGGTCCCTGCACCTGAGGAGCAGACCTGCAGGTGGAGGCTGGACCACATGTGAGAAAGCGGGTGTGTTGCAGGCAGTGAGGGCTAAAGAAAGTCTGAGCAGATGTGTGGGCAGGTGGGAGGAAGAGCTCTGTGAGCCAGATGACCAGGGGAGGAGCTCCCTCATGCCTCCCTGCCTCTCCCTTGCTGGAAAGGGCTTGCTTTCCAGACCCAGTGAATGGTGAGGTGGTGATTTGGCCCTGTCCTCTGCACAGCCTGGGCCAGAGGGTGCCGATGAAATATGCAGTGACTTCGGATAGGCACCTCGGCATCAGGTTGTTGGGTCTATGAGATGTCACTGAGGGCCGTAGGAGGATTTCTTCTTTTCTCCTTGCAGGCTGTGGGCTGGTGGCCCTCCTGGGGACCAGGTGCTGGTGTCTGGATTGGTGGGCATCAGTTGCCTGCTTGGCCCACCTACAGAGTCGGCGCCAGCCAAGCAGGGCAGAATTCGGCCAGTCCTGTGGGAGGTTTGGCTGTGAGTTGGGGGTGGTGGTGCAACTTGTTATTTTCGTTGACTTGTGTTTTTAAAACAGAGGGTTGAGTGATGCCGCCTTTGGAACAGTTGCATTCCAGGGCAGTGGTTTGTAAGGCAGTTGATTGGAACCAAGACAGCCATCATCTGCCCTTAGAAAATGTCCCCAGTTGCAATAACTGGTCATCGGTCCAGCCCGCAGAAGCTACTCAGGTCCTTATTGGAGCTGAAGTGGAATTATCTTAGAAACACCGGCTTTGAGGTTTAGAAGAAGGGGGTGCCGTTTTGACCAGGAGCTCTGGGAGCCAAGTGGATGAAGGTGGGGACACTGGTTATGAAGCTGGTGACAGGCTCCACATGTCATGCCTAGGCGAGCGGGTGAGACCTGCTGCTGCTGAACTTTGTTTGGAAGGGACATGTGTGGCGTGATTTGCTAACATCCTCTGGGAGCTCCCCAGCCTCTGCCAGATGCCATTGTCCCTGACAGTGGCCATTGCTGGTTGGTGGCGGTACGTCCCCCACCAGCCTGGATATTTCCTGTCCTTTCATCCTGTTGTGGTTTGTCTGGACCCTGTCACACCACCATCGGGAGAGGCTTTCTCTGAGATTGGCATGGGACGGGACAGGGCCCCACAGCTGTGCCTGGTGGGCTCTGTGGGGTCGTGGTATGGACTCTGCAGTCCCCTCCTGCAGATGGAACTTGGGCACATCACACCCCCTCAGGGTTTACAGTTGTCAGAGGGATTGGATGAGTCACACCTGGGAGGGACTCTGGAAAGCAGGGTGCAGGTGGTGCCAGGAGTGTTACCAGGGAGCCTCTGATTGGCTGGCCACAGAAGTAGGGGTCAGGGCTGCAGCTGGGCACATGGTGCCAAGCAGAGCCCACAGCCTTGGGTGCCTCTGCCCATCATCCCTGTGGGGCTGGGCCTCCTTGAGGGCTTGTTGGAATGCAGCTTCTGATGCAGGAGGTCTAGGGGGGATGGGGATGGGGATTGTGCGTTTCAAAGCAGCTCCCTGGTGATGCCCGTGCTGTTGACCCCTAGGCCACACTTGAATAGGAAGGATCTAGATCAGCTCTCTAGCGGGGAAAGTCAGGATTTCAGACAGATTTCTCACTCTAGGAGCTTAATTCCCATAGGAGAAAACCATGCGGAATTAGGAGGGAAAAGACTCTGTCAGACGCACCGTGGCTACTTTCAGGTCAGGAGGATGGATCCAGCATCATTGCTTGCACCATGTTTTGGGGAGAGCAGACTGTCGTTTGCCCAAGACTTTGCAGATGTCTGCAGCCGCTGGCCTTTTCTCGAGTGTAGGAAGTTGGTTCCTTCACCTGGGTCTCCAGTGAAGTATGACCAAACCCTATAGGTAGGCATACAAGGGGGTGTGTGTGTAAGTTCAGCCTTGGGAAGTGGCTTGGTGGCTGCTTGGCATTTTATTTCACAGCTCATAGGACACTGTGACCCAGCTTCAGCTACAGCTTTTTTCCAAAGCTACAATTAGGATGCCTAATCAGTGCAGTGCACAAGTGTTTGTGGGTGCATACAGAATGTCCCAGAAGGAAAAAGCAGGTGCCTACTGATGCCTGCAGGAGTCTGGTCTGAGATGGGGAGTGCATTGTGTGCATTCTCAAGTGTATCTTTCAGTCCTTACAGTCCCTCTGAGATCCTAGGCGTGACAGTCATTCTCCTTCTACTGAGGAGAGAAGGAGCCTCCCCAAAGGGCCCACCCTCCTTCCCCAGGGAGGACAAACCCAGGTGGCATCTGGTTCCCCTCTCTAACAAAGAAGCAGTCCTTCTCTCTGCCTGCCATCCCTCCTACTTTTCCTAGGACCTGCTGCATCTGTCTGCCTCCATGGGTGTTTTTTTAATAGCTTTATTTATTTATTTATTTATTTATTTATTTATTTATTTATTTATTTTATTTTATTTTGAGAAAGTCTCTCTCTGTGGCCCAGGCTGGAGTGCAGTGGTGCAATCTCAGCTCACTGCAACCTCCACCTCCCGGGTTCAAGTGATTCTCATGCGTCAGCCTCCCAAGTAGCTGGGATTACAGGTGCCTGCCACCACGCCTGGCTAATTTTTTTGTATTTTTAGTAGAGACAGGGTTTCGCCATGTTGCCCAGGCTGGTCTCAAACTCCTGGCCTCAGGTGATCCACCTGCCTCCACCTCCCAAAGTGCTTGGATTACAGGTGTGAGCCGCTGTGCCTGACATTAATAGCTTTATTGAGATATAATTGACATACAATAAACTGCGCATAGCAGAAGTATATAATTTGATAAATTTTAACTTGTAAGTACATCAGTAACACCAACACCACAATCAAGGTAGCAAAGAAAGGGAGCTGAAATTAAAGCAAGGGAGGCAGATAACATTTGAAAATGTGTGTAATCAACCATATTACAAGGCCAGAAATGAAAAGCCTTATAATCATCCCAGTACATGCAGGAAAAGCATGTGACAAAATCAGACATCTATTCCTGATAAAACCTCTCAGCAAACTAGGAGTAGAAGAGGCATTTCTTCACTGTCCTTTTCCGCTGTATAGATGTGCAGATTTGCCTCATCCTAAAGTGTCCTGTGTCACAGTGGAGCAGGGAGGCAGGTGTGTGCTGGCTGCATGGGGTAGCAGGTTAGGTTAGTAACGAATCTGTGGCCAGCTGGCACCCTGGCTTCTTGGATGGGAAAGTGGCTTAATACCTGTTGGGGGTGGAGGGGGCGTATCTGTGGTCTCAGGGGAGACCATGGTGTGGCAAGACCCCAGTGCCCTGCAGGGTGCTGGCACCATGCCCAGTGGGTGCTGCCTGCCTGCCTCTTTCCAGTAGCATTAGTGCTCACTTCTTCCTGGGGACACTCATCTGTTGAGTACTCCTGCCGGGGAAGCTTCAGAGTGCCCTTGTCCTCCTCAGTCCCATCCAGGGCAGGAGAGTGCAGACACGTTTCTCAGTGAGCAGTGAAGTGCAGTGCACATTGCATCACTGTGTGTTGTAGAGGTGGCCAGGGCTTGTGTTGAAGCTGTTTTCAGACCTTGTTCTGTGGGGCTCTCAGAGGGTCTGGGCCGTGGGGAACGAGGGGCTGCTTTGCCAACACCTCCCCCTCCTCCACAACCCTGACAGCTTCACCATCTGTTTCTGTAGGATGAGGTGGCCTCTAAGATCATGGAATTCACACACAGTAGGTTATTTTTAACAACCTTTGTAAATATAGTCTAGAAAATATACATCTAGAAAAGTGTACAAGTCCCAAGTTTTACAGCTGAATGAACATTTATGAACACATCTGAGAACCCCAGTCCACCCAGGTTAAGGAACAGAGCCTTTCCCCTGAAGCCATCTTCAACGTCCTCTCCTAGTCATTCTCTGCCTGCCACTACCCTGACTGCTCTCACCATCTAGAAGTCTTGCCTGCTTTTGACCTTTTAATCCAGGACAAAAAAAAAATGTGTTTTTTTGTGTTTGGCTCTTTGACTCAACGTTGTTTTGAGATTTGTCTTTGAGGTTATGTGTAGCAGCAGTTTGTTCATCCAACATTGAATGGACAGACCATGATTTATTTATTCGGTGTTCTGTTGGTGGCTGCGTGGGCTGTTTTCAGTTGGGGCTGTTCTGATACAGCTGCTCTGAGTGCATTTCTGTAGGTGCTGCTTGGAGTGGAATTGCTGGATCATAGCGTGAGTGTCCATCCTTAAATGGTGGTTACCATGGGATCCACAGAGTCACCAGACTCTTTCTTGGGTGACAGTGTCCTTGGTTCTCTGCACCGTGGCCCTCGTTGCAGGAATGCCCAATGAGAAGGCCCCTGTGCCCACTCCTGTCCCTCCAGCTCCACACAGAGCCCAGGAGCTGTGGGGGAAGGGGTGGCCCTGGACCTGAGCCAAGTGTAGTCCTCCCCTGGGGTTTCCTGGCAGCCTGGGTGAGAGCCTCAGTGGTGGCATTTTATCTGTTGCTTCTGTTCTTGACCTTGGCTGTCTCTGTCTACTCCTCCGGGTCAGTACACAGGGATCCTAACGCCCCCTCCCAGCATCCAGCGGGCCCAGAGTTTGGTAGAGCACCTGTGTGCAGTCGGTGCTCAGAGAGCATTTGATGACTTGTCTCGGGGAATTCTAGAAGGTCACTAGTTCTCAGGATCTTACAGCAGCCCAATTGGACAGGCAGGCGGGGGGCTGCTCTCCTTCGGCTTCCTCTCTCAATGGGCCTCTGAGGCTGCCTCCAGGCACCGTGCTGGGCACTGCCCTGCCTGAATGGATCTTACAGACCACAGAGCAGCCCAGCAGAAAGTGCAGTGTGCGGGTCCTCGTGGCCTGGCCCCTGGGGGCGTGGTCTCCAGCACACCATTCATGCTCTACAGACACCATCTTGTGGTTTTCTCATGCTCTCAGAGGAGGAACTGGGCTCCAGTCAGTGATAGGTCTTGCTTGCGTCAGTGCTGGAGGCCAGGTGCGGTCCCCTGCTACAGCTATGCGCGGCTCAACCATCAGGTCCTTGTCTGCCCAGCCTCAGCTAGGATCTTCCAGGCGGCGGCACAGGGTGCGCTGTTGTGTGCATCTCTGTGCTTGGCAGTCTCTTGAAGGTTGTTCCCTGTTGATTCCTGAAAAGCTGGCTCGTTCTTATTTGGGCTCTGTCTTTGGCGGAACATATATGGGCCGAGCACTGTGTGTGTGTTTCCCCCGAGGATGTTGGGTCATTTCCAGTCTTCTGCAGCTGGCATTCTTATCAGCTGCTCCTAGAAGAGAGAGGCTGAGAGGGAGAAGCCCCCACCCAGCGTGCTATCACCAGGACTCCGCTTGGCTTCCCACTGCTCCAGTTCTATCCGCGTAGCAACGAGTCAATTTACAGATGAGCTTTGAGAGCTCTTGTGCCTTCACAAAGGGCCAAATGGCAGTAAGAATCGTAAGTTCTGCAGACCTGAAGCAGAGGTCAGGAGAGTCTAGGTTGGTAGTTTGGTTGGGAAGAGCTGCTAAAAACAGAAAGTGGGAGGGAAGGACGCTGTGGGGGCAGTGGCTGTGGAGAGCAGCGCTGCCTGCCTCCTGGCTTCATCTGCAAGTTTCCCTCGCTGCAGAAGTCAGGCATGCCTACTGATGGAGCTCCTACTTCTGCCCCAAGCCCTGGGCTTCCTCTTTCTGAGTTGCTCATGGGGTTCAGTCAGGGCTCCGCGTGCTGCCTGTACTCAGGTGGCATTTCCCGTCCCCCGGGCTGAGTTGTAGCATGCAATTGCATACTTGCCCAAGCATTACAGGAGCTGTGGCTGCAGGACAGGGAGGGCCACATGGACATGACAGACCACTCAGGTGGCCGGCTGCTCCTGGGAGTAGCAGGAGGGCCCCAGCAGGAAGTGCTTTTCAAGTGGTGAGCTTGGTGGCTGTGGCCGAGACATGCACCTTCCCGTCATTGTTCCTCCCAGTGTCATTCTTCCTCTGAGAAGCTGTGAACTTGAGGCTTTGCCCCTGGGGTTTGAGGCTCCCATGAGGTCCCCTCAGAGGAAGGTGCCTTCACTGGGCAGAGCCTGGTGGACCTGCACCAGCCCCATGAGGCTGAGCGGAGAGTGCAGGGTGGGGCCCGCCTGAGGGTAAGCACAGCAGCACCCCTCAGGGCTGCGCTTTCCAGAGCTGAGAGGGAGGGCAGAGCTGGGGTCTTGGGGTGGAGGTGGGGTGGGGATGCAGGTGCCGCCTCTTGTACTGACTTGCACCAGAGGCAGTTTGGCTCCCAGCTGCCTGGGAACACGTGCGGAGTTTGTCAGAAGCAGGAAGACTTGGTGTGGCGGGAACCAAATCACAGACACACACTCTCCCAGCAAAGCCCTGTTTGATTCACCCGTGTGTCCTCAGCAGACACGACTGTGTGTTGGGGGTTGGGGGGTGGGCGAGGTGACTCAGCCGCGGACGGCATTAGAATGCTTAGCACATTGAAGGCAGACTGTCTGTTTCTGGGTGCCATCTGTGGCATGTTTGGGTTTGGAAGGACAGCTTGCTTGCTGATGAACACTTCCACAGTCTTTTGAGCTAAGTAGTTTTTGTAAATTACTGTCTAGACCATTCTGCATTAAAAAAAAAAAAAAAACCCGACAACATCCCCATTGTTGTTTTTAAAGTGAACCGGTTTTTACAGGTGCTTTGCCACTGAGGCCTCAGCAGGGGCTGTTTTGAGCCCAAGGAGCAGGTTATGTGGGCTGTGGGGCACAGGTGCGGGCCCACAGGCTGCCAGGGCAGTGCCGCCCACCGTCCAGGGTGGTCAGGAAGGCTGGCCGGACACCGAGGTGGGGGAGTGCAGAACTGCAGTCTGTGCTCCATGTGCACTGTTCCCAGGGCCAGCCCGGTGGGGAGTGGGCTCCAGTGCCATCTGAAGCCCTGCTGTGGTGGCCCGTGCATGCCTGGGTCACCCTGGTCCTGCCTCTCAGGCATCCTGGGGACAAGGCATAGACAACACGGAGACCGTGGAGGTGGCCCTGTGTGGGTTCAAGGAACTGTTTGTAACCTGTGCATTTCACTGCAGGAGCACGTCAGGAGAGTCTTTACAGAGTGCCGACATCACCACAGGCTGGTGGCACCTGGTACCCTTCACCCCACCTACTCAAAGCACCAGATGGGCCCTGTGTGTTTGGTAGCCATGTCAGGCTAGTGGAAGGCCAGGCCTCACCATCTTCTAGCTGTGTGGTCTACCCGGGACCTCCATTACCTTCCTGGCCCTCAGTTACCTTATCTGTAGAGTGCGCTTGTGAGGATGACGTGAAAGAACTTGGCACAAGGGCAACCCACCAGTGATGGTCCTGTGCGAGTTGTGCCCGGTTGGGCCTGCCCAGGCTCAGCACCCTTGGGACTATTGGTTGGTCAGACCTTGGGCAGCACAGGGTTTCCCCTTTGCTACCACAGCTGCATTCCCAAGAGGCTGGGGATCTCAGGCGGGGTGGGAACAGTTCAGATGTGGAGAAAATGGAGAGGCAAGCCAAGGGGCTGCTGGGACTCAAAACTCAGTCTCAGTTCCTTGTTTCAGACCAGGGCTGGAAATCCCCAGCAGTAATTACTCAGGGCCTGAGGGTTTTACTTACACACCCCTGTAATAAAGCGAGGAAGAGGTTGGCCAGTAGCGGGTCCACTCCACTGAACAGGCCCCAGCTTTGCACTCAGACCCAGTGATCCTCTTCACAGAAGAAAAACTCGGACACATGCCGTGGCCCAATTAAAATATTTGCCGACAGGAGTTTGGTTTGAAAGGTGATTCCACGCACCCTGTCGTAGGTGGGTTTTCAGAAGAGTCTAGTCTTCCGGACTCCGGAGGGGTCAGAGGTGTCACTGGGTTTCACAGGGCCACAGAGGAGTGCTGCTGGCTGGCCTTTGAGGGAAACCTGGAAAGAAAGTTCTGAGTGGCTGTGTCCTGTGGCTCAGCTGTGCCCAGAGCCATAGGATGTGGATCGCAGATGGGAGGGAGGTGGTGCTGACTGGGGCTGGGCAGGTCCTGGAGTGACGGCTGTCCCTTCCCTGGGTTACTGCTGGCTCATTGTTATGTTTCTCCCCTTCTGGAAGAGAGTGACCTAGCCCCCACCCCTTCTTGCCAAGTCCTCCCTCCTGGTCTGGGCCACTTGAGGGCCTGTCCTCTCTGTGGTGGTGGCTGTCCTGGGCTCCTTCCTGGTACAGGTCAGGCCTCTCCCTGCAGGAAGGAACTGTCGACCTAGCGTGTGCCCCTGGTTCGGGCTCTCTGTGGTTTCCTTTAGAAGAGAGGCGTGAGGACACCTGAGAGTCGGACCGGGATGGACAGCTGGCATGGGTACTCAGAGCTCCCCTCTCCAGCCCCAGGGGTGCCTGCTGTTTCTGCACCAGGTCTGTTAAGCAGCAGCCCAGTACCAGAGTAGGGGAGCTTGGTGAGGGGCTCCTGGGGTCTCACCAGATAGATGGTGTTGTGCAGTTCAAATCAGTTAGGAGGCCTGAGACTTGAGACAGGCTCACGTGGAGGGAGGTGGCATCCTACCCAGCCCTCGGCCCTTGCTGCCCCACTCAGGGGCCAGATGGTGGACAGTGAAGCCACTATGAGGAGTTGGAAACAGCTATTTGCTCACTTCCCCTTTAGATGGCTGCCAGTCCTTCTAGATCAGTGAACTCTCCCAAACAAATGCTAGGAAATAGATGTATTTTCTCATCTTTATTTGTGAGAAATTTCAAGCATAAAAGTAGAGAAAGGTAACCATCCTGCTTCAGTAGATAGCTGCTTACAGCCATGTGACTTTGTTTCACCCATCCCCCTCCTGTCACTCACCCTAGGGGATGATTCTGTAGCAAATTCCAGATTGTATTATTTCTTCAGGAAAGTGTCACTGAAAGACGAGGATGCGTGGTGGGTCTTTAATAGCTCACACGGAGCGTGGTGTGCTGTGAAGTCGCATACAGGGTTCCCCACTGCTCCCAGGGTGTGGGAGAATGAGGTGTCTCACGCAGCTCCAGGCGCCTGACCCAGGCTGCTTCTGAGGGGTGCTGGCCCCTCCCTCAGGCTGTCTCTGTGCGTGTCCAGCCCCGCCTCCTTCCTCACATTTCCTGTGAGCTGAACAGCACATGTCACCAGTTAGGCTGGCTGGAATTGTGGCTTAGCACAGGCTATGGGGCTCTCTGGGGACAAAGGTGCCAGCCTTTCCGGAAGCCTTTCTTTTTTTTGTTTTGTTTTTTGTTTTTTTTTGGCGGGGCGGGGGGGGGCAGTGTTTGGGTTTCGGTTTTTTTTTTCTTTTTCTTTTTTTTGAGACGGAGTCTTGCTCTGTCACCGAGGCTGGAGTGCAGTGGCGTGATCTCAGCTCATTGCAACCTCCGCCTCCCAGGTTTGAGCGATTCTCCTGCCTCAGCCTCCCGAGTAGCTGGGATTACAGGTGCACACCACCGCGCCCGTGGAAGCCTTTTTAAGTTCTCATGTGGAAGGATGACCACAAAAGAGCCCTGGGACAGCCAGACCTCTTGTGGTCTTGGGCGAGAAGTTGTCCCCTCCATGCCCCCATGCGTGTGTTCCTGGGGCATCCCTGAAGTGTGGGGCACCTGTGTGCTGAGGGTTGTGCTGGTGGCCCCAGTTCACCCTCTGCCTGGATGCAAACTGTTCTTCCTCAGTATCTATGCTAGCTGTGATGCCTATGACCTGAGACCAGGCCTCCCTGCTTGGTTTTTCTGAGATTCCAGAAGGACGAGATTAATGTTCACATTCCTATTGGCCCATGTGTACCTGATCATGCCTCATGGATTTCCATTCTAAGACCTGAAAGTGTTCGGTGTGACAGTGGAGTCAGTTCCATCAACATTCATGTACCAGGCGGCTGGGCTGGACCTGCATGTATACCTGTGCCACACCTGGTCCCACCTGCTAACTTCCTGCCCTGCCTGCCTTTGGAGCAGGCACCCCAGGGAGGTCCCACCTGCTTCCAGAGTGCTCCTTGCTGCATTTACCCCTGCTTCTCCTAGTAGCTGCATGGAGGTTCTGCTGTCGACACCCCCCACCCCCACCCAACACCCTTGCCCTTCACAGGCACTTCCCGCAGCAATGAAGAGGCCAAACTGAAGCAAATTAAGTGGGCAGGGGCGGTCAGTGTTGGTAGAAAGGGGAGGCAACGCCTGTCTTCGTTGATGGTTAAGGAAGTTCAGACCCATCTGCATCTATTGAGGGGTCCCTAGTGGAGAAGTGAGAGGCTACAGTTCCTGACGGGATTCCTGCCCCTTTGGGAAAGCAACTTGGCAGGTGTTTTGAGAGGTTTTTTTGGACTGGGAACAAATCCCAAGGGAGAATCCAAAGGAGGAGGGGGCCTCAGATGTGCCAGGCTATTCCTGACAGCAAGAGGCTGCAATTGGCCATCGGGCCACAGACATGGCCCTGGCAAGCCTGAAGAGCTGCCTTAAAGCCATCTTTTGAGGCCATCGCCTGGAGCGGCTCCCCATGTGGAGTCAAACTGTGTCTGTGCTGAGATTAGGATCTAGTGTACTTCCCCAGATAGATGGACAGGTGCCAAGGGCATCCCAGAAACAGGGCAAGGGCAGGTGGTCTGTGGGGGCAGTCGCTAAGGGGGATAGAAGACAGGTTGTGAAGGAGCCACCTTGGGTCTTTTGGGTCTGTTTTTCCTCCCGGTGTCCTTACCCATGGCCTCTCCCCTGCCGCAGGGCTTTGGTGCTGTCTGGCCAGCTCCCTGCCCATCCTTCTCCAGCTCTTTTCTGCTTTCCAGCATGGAAGTCGGTCTCCAGCCCAGGTGGACACAGCTCGTTCTGCCACATCCTTTTTTGACCTCCCTGGGAGGCCACCTTAGGTGCTGCCCTCCCCCTGTGGCCTGCCTCCCTGCCCTGAGGGTTCATGCTGGACTTAGCAGGCCTGGAGTCAGAGCGGGAGCCTCCCCTCAGCCACATACGAGTCCTGGTGTCTCTGTCACTCACAGAGGGCCACCTCCATGAGAGTGGGAGACCTGCCACTCCTGGGTGGGGGGTCAGTTGGTTGTTAAGGCAGGGTCCCCAGGGCCAGGGTCAGAAGCCAGCTCCTATTTTGCTCCTATGGGACCAGCACCAATTGGGTGCTAAGTGTTCTTTGGGACAGACTGTGGCCATCTATAAAGAGGCTCTGTGGAGCCTTCTGGCTCAGTGTGCCTGGGGTCGGGGCCAGGCCCTTTGCAGGGATTCCTCGCTGCATTGCTCAGTGTCTGCCTCCTGGGCCTGGGAGGCCTGTGTCTGGATGCCCAGGTGGTGCTCCCCACACAGTGTTCAGACTGCTTGACATCAATGCCCCAGAGGTCGCAGGGCAGGGCAGTCTCACCTTGCCCCCATCCTTAGCTCTGCTGACATCACTGACTGCCTTCTGCTGGCTCCAGGGAGTGGCCGCACTGGACACTCACCCTCTCTCTGTGTCTTACACAACACACATTTATCATCTCAGGCTCTAGGGCTCAGAAGTCAGCTCCAGTCTCACCGGGCTGGGATCCAGGAAGCAGCGAGCTGCGCTCCTCTCTGGAGGATCCATTTTCTGCCCCTTCAGGTGTTGGCAGAGTTCATCTGTTTACGGCGTAGGACTGTGGGTTTCTAGCACCTTACAGGTAGAGCAGGCGGGCTCCTCTACTCCTCAGGTGAGCAGCTCACACGGTGGGGACAGAAAGGGGACTGCCAAGGCTGTAGCATTTCCCTTGGGGCTCCTAGAGGCTGAAGGCCTCTCTGCACACGCTTAAGCGTGGCTCATAAGGCAGGGGAGGGGCCAAGGGTAAGGATACACAGTCACAGGGCCCTCACACCTTCGCCTGGTGTCCCCAGCTCCCACACAGTTTCCAGGAGACTCTTGGGACTGGCTGTTAGTTCAGCGGTGATTTCTGGGGCACCAGCTCAGTACCAGACCCTGGGGTTGCCCAGGTGTTCTGTCTCCTCCCTCTTGTCTGGCAGCAGGATGGTGTCTGCCCAAGGACAAGGACACTTTGTGCCACCAGGCTAGCTGGGTCTGGGCAGTGTTCTGCTCTGCAAGGACTGCTGCTTCAGGAGTATGTGGGGAACCAGGGCTCCAAATATACCAGGGTGAGGTCAGCAGGGTGGAGGTGAAGCCATGTGGCAAGCCCAGGGACTGAGTCGGTGCTGGAGTGCCTGGGGCAGGGAGTGGTTGGCCTTGCTGTCTGTCTGGGACTGGCCTCCTCATCGCACAGTCTTCCCCTGCACTGATCCCTGCCCATTGCACGAGGAGTGCGGACAGGACTGTATCTCCCCTCATATCACCCGTCCACCCCCACCATGACACAGCTTGAAGCAGGGTTTTCAGGGTCATTTGGAGCCCTGAATGGAGAACATTGCAAGGCAAGGCCGTTGTTGCCAAAGAGCAAATGGGCCCATTGGCAGGGCAGCTTTGTGGGAGTTCTGCGGGGACTGCTGTCGTGGCTCTGCAACTTTACACCCAGAGGAGACAACACGGGAAGGGAGGGAGTGGCAGTGGCTGCCTCCCACTGGAAGTGGGGCAGAAGAGTAGAAAAGCCAGAATCCATGAGGCCAGCAGAATTAACAGCCCTCAAGGACGTCCACATTCTAGTCCTGGAGCCTGGGCACATGGTACCGTACATGACAGATGTGACTAAGGGAACAGCCTGGAGATGGGGAGGTGATCCGAGATCATCTGGGCAGGCCCTGCCTAGTCAGGGAGTCCTTAGAGATGGCACCTATCCTGGCTGGGTCAGAGAGATGCCGGGTGAGGACTCAGCCTGTAGCTGGCTTTGAGCATAAGGGGAGGGGGTGTGAGCTGGATGCAGTGCCCTCCAGAAGCTGGGAATGGCTTCGGATGACAACCAGCAAGAAAATGGGCCTCATTCCTGTAGTGTAAAGAGCTGAACTCTGGGCCGGGTGCAGTGGCTCACGCTTGTAATCCCAGCACTTTGGGAGGCCGAGGAGGGCAGATCACCTGAGGTCAGGAGTTCAAGACCAGCCTTCAACATGGTGAAACCCTGTCCCTACTAAAAAAAAATACAAAAATTAGCTGGGCGTGGTGGCGGGTGCCTATAATCTCAGCTACTCGGGAGGCTGAGGCAGGAGAATTGCTTGAACCCAGGAGACGGAGGTTGCAGTGAGCCGAGATCGTGCCATTGCACTCCAGCCTGGGCGACAAGAGTGAAACTTCATCTCAAAAAAAAAAACAAAATAAGAGCTGAACTCTGCTAACACCTGAAGGAGCAGGAAATGGATCCTCTAGAGAGGATCCCAGCCCAGTGAGACTCAGACCTGATTTCTGAGCCCTAGAGCCTAAGATGATAAATGTGTGCTGTGTAAGATGCTAAGTTTACAATCATGTGTTACGGAAACTCTTGCCACGCAGTCTTGGCAAGGATGTGGCCTGGTGGGAATGGAATAGAGCAGCCTCCCTGGGGGTGAGGTGACCACCCTGCATGGATGTGGAGCCCCAGCTCCTCCATGGCTGTCTGTGCACTAGCTCAGAGTCAGGTCTGTCACTGCCGTCGGTTGCAGCCTTATTTTGTAATGGCGGACGGAAAGTGCCTAAGTGTCCCACAGCATTCAAGTCGGGCCTTCCCCACTCTGGAAGGGATGGTGAGCCAAATGAGGGGCTCTGTTTGAGGCTGGACATTGCTGACATTAAGTCAGAAAAGGCAAGAACCACTGTCAGTTTGGTTTTGAAATATGTGATAAGTGTGGATGTATACGCCTATATACACAAGGGATATTTTTGGAAAAAAATGCAAGGAAATGCTACAGTGGCTGGGTCAGAGATGCCCATTTCCTTGTGTGCCCTTTTATGCTGTTTTAATTTGTATCATGTGCCCGCTTAACTCCTTTATCATGTTGGGGTGGGGGGGAGTTGAGTAATCTACTCACTGTGGTTTCCTCAGGGCCCCTGGGCTCCCACCCGCTAGCCAGCCCACCAGAAACCTGTAGTTGCTGGAGGTGGTGGTTGAGTGGTAGGAATTCTTGTTGTAACAATTAAGGGAGTCAGTAATGTGTGGGAAGTGCTTAGAACAAGGTGTGGCTCCTAGCAAGATCCTAAAAGGGAGGGATTACTTGGTCATGGGATGTGTTCATGCTTCACTCTGCCAGACAAAGCCCAGCAGTCCCCAAAGTCAGCTGTATCCCCCGAAGTACCTAGTGTTGTCAGTGGGGCACGTGTATCATGTATCCATTTGTGGGTTCAGTTTGAGTTTTCCTGATTATCGATAAAGCTGAGAGGCTGAGCATCAGCACTGACATTTCATTGCCGTGTGCCTGTTCCTGTCTTGTGGCCAGTCTACGCCGGGCTCCTGGTCAGCTGTACTGCTGTACAGGCATTCTGTGTTCCAGATACAGCTCCTTGGGGGCCTGTGGCCTATGCCTTCTCCCACTTTGTGACTTTCTGCTCTCTTTATGGTGTCTTTGGATTCAGATTGACTGGTTTATCATTATTATTATTATTATTATTTTTTACACGGAGTCTTGCTCTGTCACCCAGGCTGGAGTGCAGTGGTGTGGTCTCAGCTCACTACACCCTCCGCCTCCCGGGTTCAAGTGGTTCTCGTGCCTCAGCCTCCCAAGTAGCTGGAACTACAGGCGCATGCCAGCACACCCAACTAATTTTTGTATTTTTAATAGAGATGGGGTTTCACTGTGTTGGCCAGGCTGGTCTCAAACTCCTGACCTTCTGATCCGCCTTCGTCAGCCTCCCAAAGTGCTGGGATTACAGGTGTCAGCCACCGCGCCTGGCCTGTGTATTGATCTTTTAAGCTTTGTGGATTTTATTCGATGAATTCTTCCGTGTCTCCTCTCCCACTCCCATCAGATGGCAGAGTAGAGGTCATCTTAAGTATCAGGAGCAGCTCTTGTTCCACAGGCATCCTGGGTTTCAGCAGGTGGGTGGGTATGTACCATGTACACTGGAGGGCTTGGGGCAGCCCGCACACCACACACTGGAGGAGGTCAGACGGCAGGTGAGGATGAGCACTGGGTGCCAGGTTGGCCCAGGGAGCAGGTAGGAGACGACATGGAGTGGGGGCTTCAGTGCTGCTGGCTCCTCTTGCTCTGGGGTTGGGGAGAGACTGGAGCAGGCTGGGGCAGGGTGTTCCAGCCTCCCAGTGGAGAAGGACAGGGACCTGACAAATGGCTTTTTATTTCCACAGATCCGGAACATGGTGGCGGTGCTGGAAGTCATCTCCAGCCTGGAGAAATACCCTATTACCAAAGAGGCACTTGAGGTGAGTATCCCAGACCCCAGCATTTGGGAGGGCAGAACGGGGGGCAGGGGATGGTACCAACCAGGTCCTTCCGCAGCTTCTGGGAGCATCAGTGTCTTTGCTTCGGAGGACCAAGAGAGGCGGTGTGCCCTCACAGCTCGTGCCTCGCGATCTTGCTCTCCCACGGGCACTGCAGAGACCAAGTGGTGTTACTCCCATCCTACATGCCCAGCACACTTCGTGGGCACGTGGGGACATCAGGAGAGGTGTGCTTGGAGGAGGCTCCAGTGAGAGGCACCATCCCCAACCCTCCACTTGAAGCGGACCCTCTGTGCTGTCGCCTCGGCCACAGCACCCTCTCACCCAGGAAGCCTCTCTGGCAGTGTCCTTACAGTGGCCTTGATGGTCCACAGCCCCCTGACACCAGGAGCCTGGGTGACAGCACTGCTGAGAAGCCACCTGGGACCCTGAAGGTCTGGGAACTAGGTTTGAGAATTTATATTGTCACAAAGGACCGGAAATCCCCAGAAGTTTTGTGTCAGGGAAGCTGGCAGTTTAGGGCTCAGTGGGAACCGGGTCATTTCACTGTCAGGGCCACTTCCCACCATTTCTGGCTCAGCTCATGGAGAAGTTCCTGTCCCGAAAGTATGTCATCATCTCCCTCTGGTTGTAGGAAACACGACTTGGGAAGCTCATCAACGACGTCCGCAAGAAAACCAAGAACGAGGAGCTCGCCAAGCGGGCCAAGAAGCTGCTGCGGAGCTGGCAGAAGCTCATCGAGCCGGCACACCAGCATGAGGCGGCGCTGCGGGGGCTGGCGGGGGCCACCGGCTCTGCCAACGGGGGCGCACACAACTGCCGGCCGGAGGTGGGGGCGGCTGGCCCACCCAGGAGCATCCATGACCTGAAGAGCCGCAATGACCTCCAGAGGCTGCCCGGGCAGCGGCTGGACAGGCTGGGCAGCCGCAAGCGCCGGGGTGACCAGCGTGACCTCGGCCACCCAGGGCCGCCACCCAAGGTCTCCAAAGCTAGCCACGACCCCCTGGTCCCCAACTCATCCCCCCTCCCCACCAACGGGATCAGTGGGAGTCCAGAGAGCTTCGCCAGCTCCCTGGATGGCAGTGGGCATGCAGGCCCAGAGGGCAGCCGCCTGGAGCGTGACGAGAATGACAAGCACAGTGGCAAGATCCCCGTCAACGCCGTGCGACCGCACACCAGCTCCCCGGGCCTGGGCAAGCCCCCTGGACCCTGCTTGCAGCCAAAGGCTTCGGTGCTGCAGCAGCTGGACAGGGTGGACGAGACTCCGGGGCCTCCCCATCCCAAGGGACCCCCTCGCTGCTCTTTCAGTCCTCGGAACTCACGGCATGAGGGCTCCTTTGCCCGGCAGCAGAGCTTGTATGCACCCAAGGGCTCCGTGCCCAGCCCCTCACCGCGGCCCCAGGCACTCGATGCCACACAGGTGCCGTCACCGCTTCCACTGGCACAGCCGTCCACACCCCCCGTACGGCGGCTCGAGCTGCTGCCCAGTGCGGAAAGCCCAGTGTGCTGGCTTGAGCAGCCTGAGAGCCACCAGCGGCTGGCGGGGCCGGGCTGCAAGGCAGGGCTGTCCCCAGCCGAGCCCCTCCTGTCCCGGGCAGGCTTTTCCCCAGACTCCTCCAAGGCGGACAGTGATGCTGCCTCCTCAGGGGGCTCGGACAGTAAAAAGAAGAAGAGGTACCGACCTCGAGACTATACGGTTAACTTGGACGGGCAGGTGGCTGAGGCGGGCGTCAAGCCTGTCCGGTTAAAAGAGCGGAAGCTCACCTTTGACCCCATGACGAGACAGATCAAACCTCTGACCCAGAAAGAGCCAGTGCGGGCAGACAGCCCTGTGCACATGGAGCAGCAGTCCAGGACAGAGCTGGACAAGCAGGAGGCCAAGGCCAGCCTCCAGAGCCCCTTCGAACAGACGAACTGGAAGGAGCTGTCACGCAACGAGATCATCCAGTCCTACCTGAGCCGGCAGAGCAGCCTGCTCTCATCATCGGGCGCGCAGACCCCAGGGGCTCACCACTTCATGTCTGAGTACCTGAAGCAGGAGGAGAGCACCCGGCAAGGGGCCAGGCAGCTGCATGTGCTGGTGCCTCAAAGCCCGCCCACGGACCTCCCTGGTCTGACCCGGGAGGTCACACAGGACGATCTCGACAGAATCCAGGCCAGCCAGTGGCCGGGGGTGAACGGGTGTCAGGACACACAGGGTAACTGGTATGACTGGACGCAGTGCATATCGCTCGATCCGCACGGCGACGACGGGCGCTTGAACATTCTGCCTTATGTCTGCTTGGACTGACCGGCCTGTCAGCCACAAAGTGCATTCCCATCTTGCAGAAGCCGGGTGGGCGGGCAGGCAGGTGGGCAGGTGGCCGGGGCCCAGCTGCCTCCTGCGCTGGGAACTCGGGGAGTCCGGCCCAGGCGGGAGGGAGGGGGCGGGAGTCACGCGGTCTCTCTGCGCTCTTCCCTCAAAACTCTTTTTGTGAAATGCTGCTACCAGTTTACTAACAAAATTGCGAAGAAGGACCGCGTGGAAGGAAGGACGGCAAAGTGAGTTCAGAACTCTATAGCAAACCAGCTATAAAAAGCGTTAGTCCCTCACCCCCAAAGAGGTGCGGACACTTTCCAGCACCTGAAAGCTGGGGCCTCAGTTGCAGGCAGGCACAGAAAACCTGTGGGAGAGGTCACCTTTAACACAGCAACAGAAGCACGCATCTCATCTCTCTTGCATTTTCTGTTCTTTAATTTGGCCCTGAGTGTCTTGAGACAGTGGGCCATGCCACTGCCTCTGTTTGCTCCCTACCCAGCCACTGTCAGGCCAGTGTTGTCTGTCATGTGCCAGAAGCTTCTCAGCTGTGGTGAGCCACTGGCATTGGGCAGGCGGGCCAGCTGGCCAGCCAGTGTGACCCACACTCCATGGGCAGCCACCTGTTTATATCTGGTTTCAGTTATAACCCAGTTTTTAAAGAAATGCTGCAAAAATTTAAGTTTTCTCATGTTTATTTTAAACAATTCCTCTTCCATCAGACCACCAGACAAAAAAACCTTTCCTTTCTTCCTCCCTTTTCTTTTTTCCCTTCCTGTACACATCTAGAAAACTTCACCTTTCTAGAGTCCCCCCAAAACAACACAAAAGTTATTGTGGGTGCTACTGGTTTTATGCTGTACTGTGGGGCGAGGGGGAAGACCTGTCTGTACGCTGGAAACACTCATAACCATTCCTTTAGATTCGTTTGCCTTATGGTTATTTGTCATAAACGCGATTTGCAAAAACAAGGAGCCTTAGTGAATGTACAGTACCTAGACTTCTGTGTTCTCAGGACGCAGAAGGGAGCAACTTTGCTATTTGGTCCAGTAAGTGGACACCTTGTGATATAAATGTGGAAATAAAAAAAAAAAAAAAACCATTTGCACAAACCAGTCTGAGAATCTTTTCTCATTTGGACCTTCACAACCAAATCAGCCCTTTCCTGGATTGTGGATTATTAGCCAGGAACACCCAGACCCCAACAGCTGCAATGCAGGGAGACAGGGCAGGGCACAGCCTTGCAGTCCACCTGTTAGCCTGCTGCTGCATTTGGGAGGACCTCCACATTTTATTCATTCAGGGCCACATTAAGGAATGTTTTCTTGTCTCACCCAGACTTTACCTGGCCTAGAGAGCAGCCCTCTGTAGGAGGCTCCCATAGCACAGGTCTCAGTGACTACCCCCACCTCAACAAAATACCTAGTTCTTACAAGGTATGGCCCAGAGGCTCAGAGCTGTGTGTGTGTGTCTGAAAGGCCACCCCATGGCCCTGGCCCCCAGCTGCCTTATTAGCTGGTTGGTGCTGACTCCAAAAAAATTTTTCTCCCTTGACTATAAAGTGCTCATCTTTTAGTTCCCCCTCGTCCCTGAAACTGTAGGCTAAGACTTTGGTTTTCCAGTTTTTCACTTTGGAATAGGTCATCTTACCCATATCTGCTTAATTTCACAAATGAAGAAACAGCTACACCTTAAGACATGCAGTCTCACAGGGCAAACCAAAGGTTCCTTCCAGCCTGTAAGACTACAGTCAGTCCAGAGCCAGTTTGAGAGCTAGCAGGGATTCCTGGCAAAAGCTTGGTGCAGAACACACTCCCCTCCCCAACAAAAGGCCATGGGCAAAGTGGCTTTGAAGGCAGGATGAGGTTGAACCCAGGCCTACCACCCACCAGCTGTGTGGCTCTGAGCTCATCTCTTCACTCCTGTGCACATGTCCCCATTTGGGGGGTGAGAATACCCCAGAGTTGTGAGAACTAAAACACAAAGCATGTCAGTGTGTCAGTGGAAGTATCTGACACTCAGCTGTGCTGTAGGGTGCCTATAGTTATACTTTCCTAATTTCACTGTGCCTATGTTTAACAGCTCTGCTGAGACATGGTGTCCCAAGGATGTGACTTTACTCTGATCCACAGAGGGTACAGCTGGAGGATATTAGGGTGCAGAGCTTGGCCTCCTATCAGCATCTCTAGAGTTTTGGGATAGGTTGCAGCTCCCCACTACCCCTGCCTGCAGGGACTACCATGCCTGTGTCCATGTATCCAGAAGGGCCTAGGGCCTTTGAGAATGCAAGGATAAGCTAAGATACCTTCCAACATTTGGGGAGCCAAGTTGGGTTGCTGCTTTCTACTTTTCTTTGAGACTGGGTCTCGCTCTGTCACCCAGGCTGCAGTGCAGTGGCGCCATCATAGCTCACTGGAACCTTGACCTGGGCTCAAGCCGATCCACCCACCTCAGTCTCCCTAGTAGTGGGTACCACAGGCGTGCGCCACCACGCCTGGCTAATTTTTGTATTTTTTGCAAAGATGAGGTTCTGCCATGTTATCGATGCCACGATCTCCAACTCCTGAGCTCAAGCAATCCGCCCACCTTGGCCTCCCAAAGTGCTGGGATTCCAAGCTTGACTCACTGCACCCAGCCGGTTGCTGCTTCTAATTTGACAAGTAAAAACACTGTAACGGAATTTTAACACCCTTTCCCCGAAAAAGTTGGAGGCACACGATGTGGAGAACAAATTATAGCCCTTGAATTAGTATAAGATCATCTTACTGAAAACCTCGTCCTGTTTTCCTCCACTGGGGCCTCCTGGGGCTGGTCCATCCCGGCTGGTCCTTGGACATCAGCCGTCAGGGCCCGGCACCTCCCCCTTCTGCAGAGCCTTGGAGACAGGTGTCCAAGGACGCTACCATGACCACGGTCCCCAGTGTGGCCAGGAAGCCTAAGACAAGTCGCTTCCCCATTCTGGACTTCGGTCTGTGAAATGCGGACAGTGATACCTACCGCACCGCGTTCCTAGGATTCAGTGGGATGATACCAGGGCCACGCCCGAGAACTGCGCACGTCGCGGTGGTTTCCAGAACATGATTCCAGGGATCGGGTGCTCCGGGATAGTCCCACTGCCAGAGTTTGGCCACGAGCGTGCGCCCCCAGTTTGCAGAGCGAGTTTAGCCCAAGAGCTTTTCACAAATGGTTTCTTTCCCTAAAAGGCCTTTTACCTTTGGTGTCAGCCGCCGCCAGCCATCAGGAATCAGGAATCTAGTTAGCGGTTGCCCTTGTATCCCTGGTCGAGGCCCTGATGTTTGGCCCACGCACAGACGCCGACGCTGCGAAGCCCTCCGCGCTTCTGTTCGCCCGTCCCGTTCGAGCTCCGGCTCCCGGTCACTGGGACCGCCCACGTCTCAGGTGGCACAGCTTGGACGCAGGTCTGTGTCCCCTTCTTCCGCTTCCGGCCTCGGCTCCGCCGGAAGCGCATCTACAGTGGACTGGGCCTGCACTCGAGACGTGGTGGCTGGCGCGTCGGCCGGCGCGGAGGGATGACGCGAGGAGGCAGCGACCAATGGGAAACGGCGTAGACCGGGGCGCCTGCCCCCCCGCCCAGCCCCGCCCCCGCCCGGCGTCGGGCCGTCGGACGGGCTGGAAGGGGCGGCCGCTCGGGCAGGATGGCGGCGGCCGCGGTGGGCGCGGGCCACGGCGCGGGGGGCCCGGGCGCAGCGAGCAGCAGTGGTGGGGCGCGCGAGGGCGCGCGGGTGGCGGCGCTGTGCCTGCTGTGGTACGCGCTGAGCGCGGGCGGCAACGTGGTCAACAAGGTGATCCTGAGCGCCTTCCCGTTCCCGGTGACCGTGTCGCTGTGCCACATCCTGGCTCTGTGCGCTGGGCTCCCGCCGCTGCTGCGCGCCTGGCGCGTGCCCCCCGCGCCGCCCGTCTCGGGCCCCGGACCCAGTCCGCATCCGTCGTCCGGCCCGCTGCTGCCGCCGCGCTTCTACCCGCGCTACGTGCTACCGCTCGCCTTCGGCAAGTACTTCGCGTCCGTGTCAGCGCACGTCAGCATCTGGAAGGTGCCCGTGTCCTATGCACACACCGGTAGGTTCCGCGCCCGGCCTCGGGGGCGGCGGCCGGGCCCGCCGCTTCGGGTTTGGGCGCATGGATAGGAGTGCGCCGCCCGGGGCGCGTCCCGCCGGACTGAGAAGTCAGCAGAGGGGCTGCCAAGGGTTTGGTAGGGGAGGGACACGCACGGGGTTCTCAGGGAGAAGAGGAGCTGAGAAGAGAGCTGAGAGGTAAGCAGGACAGACCACAACAGCCGTGGCAGGAGGAAGCCCTACCGAAAGAGAAGGGGCGAAGAGGTGTGAGGGGCTGCCAGGCCCTCCCATCCCGCCGTGGAGGTGGAACAGGTTGGGCCCTGAAATTCAGGCAGCCCCCTGAGTGCCCATCCCTCTCTTTGCAGTCAAGGCCACCATGCCCATCTGGGTGGTCCTCCTGTCCCGGATCATTATGAAGGAGAAGCAGAGCACCAAGGTAACCCCGGGCAGGGACTCTGGGCAGATGGGAGCTCCAGGGGGTTCCTCCCTGTTGCCAACTGGTGACGTGGTCAGGATCCTGGTCTGCAGGCTGCCTGGCTTCCCGTCAAATAGGGAAGTCAGTGTAGAGGTCTCCAGTGGCCTTTTACTACTCAAGTTCTAGAATCACCCTGTGAGCAGTGGTGTGTGGAGTATGTGTCCCTCTGTGATCTCTGCTGTGTGGTCTTAGGAACACTGTTGTCCCTTTCAGATCCAATTTTCCTCCCCGTTTTGATTCCCTACCTGGGTTTGCTGGTAGGTGATGGGTTGGTCACATCTTGGCCATACACCCCATGTGTGGCCTTTCCAGTGGGACTAGGGATGGATGGATCAGAACGCTGTCGGTTAGGTGTTCACTTTTTTTTTTTTTTTTTTGAGACGGAGTTTTACTCTTGCCCAGCCTGAAGTCCAGTGACACAATCTCAGCTCACTGCAACCTCCGCCTCCCAGGTTCAAGCAGTTCTCCTGCCTCAGCCTCTCAAGTAGTTGGGACTACAGACGTGCACTACCACACCTGGCTAATTTTTTTGTATTTTTAATAGAGACAGGGTTTCACCATGTTGCCAGGCTGGTCTCAAACTCCTGACCTCAAGTGATCCGTCCGCCTCAGCCTCCCAAAGTGCTGGTATTACAGGCGTCAGCCACTGCACTTGGCTAGGTTTTCACTTCTTGACAAGAGATTTCTGTCAGGGGACCTCTGGGATCAGAAGCCAGACGCGATCCAAGGAGTTCGATCTTGGCAAAATCCAGCAAAGTCTTAGAAATTAAAACAGCCAGAAGTTGTGATGGTCTGGGAACGGAAGCGAAAGTGGCACACAGGACTCAGGGCTGCATAAGGAGGATGCTTTGGGCACAGTCCAAATTCTGTTCAAGATGCCAAGCCAGGGTATTTCCTGGCTTGGGGCAAGAATAGCCATGGCTTTAGCCGGAGACAGCTTTATCCCGTATTCTTAAGTGGAAGTTGGGCGCTTGTTGTCTCAGCCGGAATCCATTTCATGCTGATGCTGGACACCGTGCCTCTTTTCCAAGTGGTTGGTTTCTGGCATGTTGTATTTTATGTAACTCAGAGAGGTAGTGCCCTGGATCGGCTTATAGAAATTGGGCCACCTATGGCTGATTTTTTTTTATTCCTGCCTGTCTTTGTCTCAGCAAGACCTGTGTGTGCTCTGTAGCCCTGCTCCCCCAGGGTGATGTCAGGCTGTGACTTGGCTCCTGAGAAGTCAGAGTTGTCCCTGAGGTGTGTAGCTGCATCACCGGATATCATCGTGTGTATCAGGTTTCCCCGTTGTACGGGACATTGTACCCAGCTTGGGCAAGGAGCCGGAACTTCACACAGTGAGGAAAGACTGGGAATTGGCCCGGTTAGGCAGCCAGACTAATTATAATGACATCATAACTTCTAGGAACCTGCCCTGCAAGGCAGATAAGGCCAGTAGTCATCATTCCTGATCTCAGGTTTTCCTGAGATGGACTGAGAGGGGAGAATCATGTGCCTGAGGGCCACAGCCTGATATTCGGGAAGCTGGAATTCAGGTCCACAGCCCTCGGTCTGCCCTCCTTGTGGCATGACCACTCCCTCCTAAAATCTCCACCTC
The DNA here is from genome assembly GCF_000001405.40 of Homo sapiens. NCBI lineage: Eukaryota > Metazoa > Chordata > Mammalia > Primates > Hominidae > Homo > Homo sapiens. The sequence continues at coordinate 16,569,875 of NC_000019.10, read as the reverse complement.
TCCTATCTCTCCTTAAGAGTGTTTGTTTTTCTGAGACGGAGTCTCCCTCTGTTGCCCAGATTGGAGTGCCGTGGTGCGATCTCAGCTTACTGCAAGCTCCGCCTCCTGGGTTCAAGCGATTCTTGCCTCAGCCTCCCGAGTAGCCGGGATTGCAGGCGCGTTCCATCACTCCTGGCTAATTTTTGTATTTTCAATACAGACAGGGTTTTACCATGTTGGCCAGGCTGGTCTCAAACTCCTGACTTCAAGTGATCTGCCCTCCTCAGCCTCCCAAAGTGAAGAGTGTTCTTTGTAGGACAGGATTGAGCCGAGAGTCAGAAGAGCTGGACACGCGGGAATGGATCCTGGTGGATCCTGGAAGTTGGGAGTTGTTTAGCCCTGCATGCCAGACCTTCTAGAAGGCTCTCTGTCACTATGTTTGCTACTCGTTCATTCAGCTAGCAGCTATTGAGTGCCTACTGAGTGCTAGGCACCAGGATAAAGCAGTGAACAAGGACCTGCTCTAAGGTACACTAACGGGACCGGATGATGTAACAGACAGAGTGGGTGGAGAGGCTGGGCACGGTGGCCCACGCTTGTAATCCCAGCACTTTGGGAGGCCAAGGTGGGCAGATCACGAGGTCAAGAGATCGAGACCATCCTGGCCAACATGGCAAAACCCCATCTTTACTAAAAATACAAAAATTAGTTGGGCGTGGTGGTAGGCACCTGTAGTCCCAGCTACTCAGAAAGCTGAGGCAGAAGAATCGGTTGAACCTGGGAGGCAGAGGTTGCAGTGAGCCGAGATCATGCCACTGCATTCCATCCTGGTGACAGAGCGAGACTCCGTCTCAAAAAAAAAAAAAAAGAGTGAGTGGAGAGCTCTCTGCTGGGGAAGTCCAGGCAGTGGCCCTGGGAGCACAGCACAGGAGCCTCCCAAGGTGGAGGTGGGTTGGAGAAAGCACTCCTTGTGGAGGCAGGAGGTCACTGGGAGGAGAAGGCATCAGTGGAGTGTGCCAGCCAGGAGTAACCATACTGGAAGAGCCTGAAGTAAGAGGGAATGGGGGCTGGGCACAGTGGCTCACACCTGTAATCCCAGTACTTTGGGAGGCCAAGGTGGATGGATGACGTGGATCAGGCGTTCAAGACTAGCCTGGCTAACATGGCGAAATCCTGTCTCTACTAAAAGTACAAAAAAATTGGCCGGGCGTGGTGGCACATCCCTGTAATCCCAGCTACTGGGGAGTCTGAGGCAGGAGAATCGCTTGAACCCGGGAAGCAGAGGTTGCAGTGAGCCACGATTGTGCCACTACACTCCAGCCTGGGCGACAGAGCGAGACTTTGTCTCAAAAAAACTATTTTTTAAAAAGAGGGAATGGGGGAGCCTTATAGAGGATCAGGGCTTCAAACCCTGGTGCGTCAGTGGCAGCTGAACAGATCTGTGGAGTTAGGACCAGCCCCGGGCTGTGGCCCTGAGCAGAGGCTCTTAATGGGGGTGACGGTATGGGGATGGGGCTACCCACAAATAAGCCCTGCCCCTGGCGCTCTGATAACCACCTGCCCCCAGCCACCCACCAGAGCGTCACTGGCACAGCAAACACCACTTTCAAAGTGTTAGGTGGTATCCCTTTGCTGAGGGAGGAGAGGGGCTCTTCCCTGGGCATCTGTGGCATGTGGCCCAGCTCTAGTCTGGCCTGTGAGCCCTTCTTGATGACCTCTTCCTGCAGGTATACTTGTCACTCATCCCCATCATCAGCGGTGTCCTGCTGGCCACCGTCACCGAGTTGTCTTTTGACATGTGGGGACTCGTCAGCGCCCTCGCCGCCACGCTGTGCTTCTCGCTTCAGAACATTTTCTCCAAAAAGGTATTTGGTCACCATCAGCGGACATGCATGGGGTTTCAGGGGTGTGCGGGCAGCAAACTGGTGGCATTGGGAAAACAGGCGGAGTAGAAATTTCTTTGCTATTAGAGCAGAAAAATCTTGATTGCCATTCTGCTGATTTTCTGTTTGTCATTTTGCTTTTTAAATAGTTTGTTTTTCTGGCCGGGCGCAGTGGCTCATGCCTATAATCCCAGCACTTTGGGAGGCCAAGGCGGGCGGTTCACTTGAGGCCAGGAGTTCAACACCAGCCTGACCAATATGGCAAAACCCCATCTCTACTAAAAACATAAAAATTAGCCAGGCACGCATCTGTAATCCCAGCTACTCCAGACACTGAGGCACAAGAATTGCTTGAACCCAGGAAGCGGGGCTTGCAGTGAGCTGAGATTTTGCATCACTGCACTCCAACCTGGGCAAGAGTGAGTCTCCATCTCAAAAACAAAAAAAAGTTTTTCTATTATAAAGTTAATGTGCTCAATAAGAAAAAAATAAAGAAAAGCTCTTTTATTGAGACCAAGGCTCACTGTCGCCCAGGCTGGAGTGCAGTGGCACAATCATAGCTTACTGCAGCCTCAGTCTTCGAAGCTCAAGTGATCCTCACACCTCAGCCTCATAAAGCACTGGGATTACAGGCATTAGCCACCAGGCCTAGCTAAAAACTTCAATTTAAAACAAGATTTTAAAACTTGTTGAAGCCTAGTGCAGTGGCTCACATCTATAATCCCAGCACTTTGGGAGGCCAAGGCAGGAGGATCACTTGAGGCTAGGAGTTCGAGACCAGCCTAGGCAATAGGAATAGAGTGAGACCCCGTCTCAAAAAAAAAAATTGCTCTTAACTCCTGTGATAATCACACACTTTTCAGGTACCACAGTTAATGCAGTCTCTCTATTGGAAATACCACTTATTTCCAACTTTTCATTGTAATGTAGAAACAATCACGTGTGTGATGTTTTCCTGTCTCAGTTATTTCATTATGATAGGCTTACAGTTCTCAGGTTAGAGGGTATGAAACGTTAATCACTCTTAATATGGTTTGTCTGGTCGTATTTTAGAAAGGTTATACCAATTCAGCCTCAAACCAGTGGAATTTCAGAGTGCCTACTTCACTTCATCCTCACCAGCACTGAGTGTTACTGTTTTATTTTTGTTTTCTTTTCTCAGTCGTTTATGCGTGGAGCATGGTGCTTGTTTCAGGCCTGTGCTGTGTATGTCCTCACAAATGCACTTGCAGGTTTGGTGTCCAAGCTCAGATGTCAGGGTTAATGTCCAGTCACTGTGTTTGGGGCCTGAGTCACTGGAGCCCTTTTTGCCACATATAGTTTTAATCACCCTCTAAAGAGGCTTTCCCTTTCCAGGTCTTGCGAGATTCACGGATCCACCATCTCCGGCTGCTCAACATCCTGGGCTGCCACGCCGTCTTCTTTATGATCCCCACCTGGGTTCTGGTGGACCTCTCGGCTTTCCTGGTCAGCAGCGACTTGGTGAGTTGTACAGCACCAAGAACACGCCATTTTCTTGGCTAGTTCCAGAATAGGTGCTTTGTTGAGGAGCTGTAGCTGCATGTTAACATTGTGGTATCTTTTGGGCACCTGACAGCCAGCGCTTTCAGCAGTCAGTCCTCTGTAATGCCTCACGGTGACGATGCACGCCATCGAGGAAGTGGGTTTCCTGTGTATTTCCTTCTCTGGTGTGCTTGATCCCAGGTGCTGATAGCTGCTGTGTGTGCGCCAGTAGCGTCAAGGAAGAGAAGGTGACTCTTTCACCTCCTGACAGTATAGTCCAGATAGCACATTGACTTTTTATTTTTACTCATTTTTTATTTTAAATGTTTATTTTTTAGAGACAGAACCTCGCTCTGTTGCCAGGGCTGGAGTGCAGTGGCACAATCATGGCTCACTGCAGCCTTGACCTCAATCCGGGGCTCAAGCGATCCTCCCACAGCCTCCCGAGTAACTGGGACTGCAGGCGAATACCACCATGCCTGGCTAATTTTTTTTTGTTTGATTTTTGTTTTTTTACTGTTTTTGGAGAGACAGGGTCTCACTATGTTGCCCAGGCTGGTCCTGAACTCCTGGCGTTAAGAGATCTGCCTTGGCCTCCCAAAGTGCTGGGATTACAGATGTGAGCCACTGTGCCTTGCCAGCCCTGGAACTTTGAAAACTATGCACTGGCCAAAAAAAAAAAAAAAAAAAAAAAAAGCCGGGCGCAGTGGCTCACGCCTGTAATCCCAGCACTCTGGGAGGCCAAGGCGGGCGGATCACGAGGTCAGGAGTTTGAGACCAGCCTGGCCAATATGGTGACACCCTGTTTCTCCCAAAAATACAAAAATTAGCCAGGCATGGTGGCTCGCACCTGTAGTCCCAGCTACTTGGGAGGCTGAGGCAGAAGAATTGCTTGAACCCAGGATGTGGCGGTTGCAGTGAGCCGAGATGGTGCCACTGCACTCCAGCCTGGGTGACAGAGGGAGACTCCGTGTCAAAAAAAAAAGAAAAAAACATGCGCTGCCTGGGTGTGGTGGCTTACGCCTATAATCCCAGCACTTTGGGAGGCCAAGGTGTGTGAATCATTTGAGGTCAGGAGTTCGAGACCAGCCTGACCAATATGGTGAAATCCTGTCTCTACTAAAAATACAAAATTAGCCAGGCGTGGTGGTGCACGCCTGTAATCCCAGCCACTTGGGAGGCTGAGGTGGGAGAATCGCTTGAACCCAGGAGGCAGAGTTTGCAGTGAGCCGAGATCGCACCACTGCACTCCAGCCTGGGCAACAAGTGTGAAGCTCCGTCTCAAAAAAAAAAAAGAAAGAAAGAAAACTGTGCAGCTCAGTTCCTCCCTGGTCTCTGTTTCCATTTACTCCACGTCGAATCTTTTTGCCACCTGCAGGGTCTGCCTTCAGAGAATGTGTTATAAATGAATGCAAGTGCCTGCGGTGAGGAGGAGGCCAGTGCGATTCTTCCAGACTCGAGTTAGAAAGGAAAAGTAAATATTTATTGAGGTCTTAATGTGGTCTAGCTGGATTTGTGACATTTCTTATCTTTAATCCTTGGCTCCACCTGCTGAAGTAGTGGATATTACCTCTATTTTCCCAATCAGTAAACCATGGCTCACTTTTCTAACTTTCGTTTCACATTGATGAGCTGTAATTCTTCTGTGAAGAACTTTCCATCTTCCAGGACTAGTTTGTTACCTTGAAGTATGGTACGAGAAAGGCAGTTTAATGCTTAACTGTTCCTTTTGATGACTAATTTTCAGGATAGAGAGTTGGAGCTTACTCCAAATGTTGACCAGAGTTGAGGGTTTGTTTGGGGGTAGGGAAGGGGTTCTCTTTTTTTCTCCAGCATCATTGTGAACTTTTATGTGTTTGTCAGTTGCATGAATTATTCGTTTTCCTAGTCAAATTGTCCTGTCTTGGCCAGGCGCAGTGGCTCCAGCCTGTAATCCCAGCACTTTGGGAGGCCGAGGTGGGCAGATCACTTGAGGTCAGGAGTTCAAGACCAGCCTGGCCAACGTGGTGAAACCCCATCTCTACAGAAAATACAAAAATTTGCCAGGCATGGTGGTGCACGCCTGTAATCCCAGCTACTCAGGAGGCTGAGGCAGGAGAATTGCTTGAACCTGGAAGGCGGAGGTTGCGGTGAGCTGAGATCGTACCACTGCACTCCAGCCTGGGCGACAGAGCGAGACTCCATCTTAAAAAAAAAGAAGAAAAAAAAATTGTCCTGTCTTAGCCATTGGAGCCCTTCTGATTGGCTCCTTGCCCTTCTAGCACTGTGGGTCAGCGTTTCTCCCAGCGGGATGCCCGCCTTCACCTTGTGTACTTCCCATCCCAGAGCTGCAGTCAGCCCCTCCTTCAGGACTCCAGGTGCCGTTAGTGGGGAGCGGTATTTAGAGACACAATCCAGGTGCCATGGGTGCTTTTTGCTGCTGGGTGGTCATTGTTGTTAGGCCTTTACTGTGAAAAATTAGGAAGTACACACTTGGGGCAGCAGCAAAGAGTTCCTAGCAATTAGCGTCACTTTCAGTTGAACAGTCCAGATCTTTGCTGTTTTGAATTTCATATTTAGATCTCGTCGCTGGTATGCTTGGTTCCGCTCCTCGTTTCTTAGTTGCTTATTCTACCCGTTATTCACTGATGTTATTCTACTGTACACTCACTCATATAATTGCTTCAGAATGAGCATTCTCACAGCACAATTGCAACTGGAGTGCTGAGAAAAGGTTAGTATTTCTTTGCAGGCTGGGTGTGGTGGCTCACACCTGGAATCCCAGCACTTTAGGAGACCGAGGTAGGTGGATCCCTTGAGGCCAGGAGTTCGAAACCAGCCTGGCCAACGTGGGGAAACCCCATCTCTAGAAAAAATATAAAAATTATCTGGTGTGGTGGCGTACGCCTATAATCCTAGCTACTAGGTAGGTGGAGGTTGCAGTGAGCTGAGATCACGACACTGCACTCCAACCTGGGTGACAAAGTGAGACTGTCTCATAAAAATAAAAAAAAAGAAGAAGTCTGGTCATGATTCCTGTACTCTCCCTGTCCCCTCCCTGACCATGGATAACATTTCTTAGGCTCCTAGTTCACCTGTTCCATATTTTTGCAAATATAAGCAAATTTGCATGTATAATCACCCTCTGTCCTTATTACACACAGAGTAGCTTTTTATTTTATTATTTTATTTTATTTTATTTTATTTTTTGAGACGGAGTTTTTCTGTCTCCTAGGCTAGAATGCAATGGCATGTTCTCGGCTCACTGCAGCCTCCGCCTCCCGGATTCAAGCAGTTCTCCTGCCTCAGCCTCCCGAGTAGCTGGGACTACAGACACCCACCACCGCGCCCAGCTAATTTTTTGTGTGTTTTTACTAGAGGTGGGGTTTCTCCATTTTGGCCAGGCTAGTCTCAAACTCCTGACATTAGGTGATCCACCCACTTCGGCCTCCCAAAGTGCTGGAATTATAGGCGTAAGCGACCACGCCCAGCCCAAAAAGTAGCTTTTTAAATTTACAGGTCAGGCACAGTGCCTCACACATGTAATCCCAGTATTTTGGAAGGCAGAGGCAGGCAGACTGCTTTAGCCTCAGGAGTTTGAGACCAGCCTGGTCAACATGGTGAAACCCCGTCTCTACGTAAAACAAAACCAAAAATTAACCCGGCATGGTGGCACATGCCTGTAGTCCGAGCTACTTGGGAGCCTGAGGTGGGAAGATCACTTGAGCCCGGGAAGGTCAAAGCTGCAGTGAGCCATGTTTGAGCCACTGCACCCCAGCCAGCATGACAGAGCAAGACCCTATCTCAAAAATAAATATAAACATACAGTCATCCTTCCATATCTGTGGGTTCCACACTAGTGGATTCAGCCAACTGCGAATTGAAAATATATGGTAGAAAAACAAAATACTATAATAAAGAATAAGACATTTTAAAATAATACAGTATAACAATTATTTGTATAGCAGTTTTATTGTATTAGGGATTACAAGTAATCTAGCGATGATTTCAAGTATATGGGAGGATGTGCATGGATTACATGCAAATACTAAACCATTTTATAAAAGGGACTTGAATATCTGTAGATTTTGGCATCCGCAGGGGTCCCTAGAACCAGTCCTCCGTGGATACTGAAGGGGAGCTGAACTATTCTGCACCTTGTTCATTTCATCTCATCGTCCCAGAGAGCTCTTCATAACGACATAGAAGGCCTTTCTCATTTCTTGTACGGCTGTGTAATAGTGTCAGTGGGTTTCCTGTCAGTTCCTCTGCTGTTCTGTGTTACAGCTCATTAGAGTATGTATGTGTCCACACATGGACAGAAACATACAGGCTTTTGCTGTGTTTTTTTGTCTTTGCTTTTCTTGCACTTAGGACATTTTGTGTTGTTATTGTTGTTCTAGTCATTATCTTTTTTGTTGTTGTAATACCTTAAGTAACCTTTTTTTTTTAGTTGAGGCTATGTATGTTATGTTTGGTGGTGTTTTGTTTGGTTGGTTCTTTTTTTTCGTAGAGACTGTCTCCCACTGTTGCCTAGGTTGGTCTTGAACTCCTGGCCTTAAGCCATCCTCCCGCCTTGGCCTCTCAAAGTGCTGGGATTACAGCTGTGAGCCACCACACTTGGCCCATATGTTTTTTAACATGAGCATGACTTTGTGTATTTTAATAGCAGCCCTAGGCATACACCATATTCACTAATGTTGCAGTCTGAAGATGGGGTTCCCACATGTCTGGGTTCCCCCTCTTTGTCTTGTGTCTCCCACATAGACTACACAGACAGCAGGTTAGTTAGCACCGTCGCAGTCCTGTTCTCCAGAACAGGCGGGAAGAGGATGAGATGGGAGAATGTCAGCTGGTGTCTGCTGCTCTCCAGTCTACCAAGAATCAAAGGCTGCAGTGGGCAGTTCCCAGAGACGCCTGGCCCAGTTGCCAAATGGCTTGGCAAAAGACAGGCGGGGATTCCTAGACTCTGGAGCAGGTGGCCTGGTTTCAAAACTTGGACAGAATGCATGAAGCAGCTACTTGAGAACCGAGAAATAAATGGTAGCAGGCAGATGGGCGGAGGAAAGACCAGAATTCAGAGTGCCTTGGAGCCACCAGTGAGTTCGTCATTCTTCTTCCTCCTGTGTCTTCAGCCTGGACATGAGGCAGCTCAGAAGGTAGATGTGGGCACTGAATGAGAACAGAGATGTTCTCTGCTTGGAGTCTGGAGAATGGGAAAGGAGACTCCTAACCCTCAGAGAGAATGGAGGAAATCCCCTGTTAGGCTTTCTCTTTTCTTTTCTTTCTTTTTTTTTTTTTTTTTTTTTTTTTTTTTTGAGATGGAGTCTTGATCTGTTGCCCAGGCTGGAGCGCAGTGGCGTGATCTCAGCTCGCTGCAACCTCTGCCTCCAGGGTTCAAGAGATTGTCCTGCCCCAGCCTCCCATATAGCTGGGATTACAGGCACATGCCATCATGCCCAGCTAATTTTTATGTATTCTTTTTTTTTTTTTAGTAGAGATGGGTTTCACCATGTTGGCCAGGCTGGTCTTGAACTCCCGACCTCAGGTGATCTGCCTGCCTCGACCTCCCAAAGAGATAGGATTACAGGCGTGAGCCACCACACCTGGATGCCTGTTAGGCTTTTTCTCTTTTTTTTTTTTTTTTTTTGGTTTTTTTTTTTTGTTTTTGAGATGGAGTCTCACTCTGTCACCCAGACTGGAGTGCAGTGGCACGATCTTAGCTTACTCTAACCTCCACCTCCCAGGTTCAAGTGATTCTCCCACCTCAGCTTCCTGAGTAGCTGGAATTGTAGGCGCGCACCACCACTCCTGGCTAATTTTTGTGTTTTTAGTAGAGACGGGGTTTCACCATGTTGGCCAGGCTGGTCTCGAACTCCTGACCTCAGATCATCTCCCTGCCTCAGCCTCCCAAAGTGCCGGGATTACAGGCGCCAGCCGGCACGCCCGGCTGTCTGTTAGGTTTTTTTCTATTTTCTTTTTTGCCTTCATCTCTTGCTTCCCAGGCTCCTGACAATCCTACGTTGGTGGCAGCAGCAGCAGGTTCCACAGCCACCTAAAACCCTGAGAAGGGCGACTCTTCCTCTGCTGTTTGAGGACATATAGTCCTCAGAGGATGGGATGAGCCCTTTTGCAGCTTGTTCTCTGTACTGTCACTGCTTGACCCTCAAATGGGGGTGTAATCACAGGAAGTGAACAGCAGAGTACGGTGATTAAACCTCAGCTTTCTGACTGGAGGGCCATGAAAGGGAGGGACTAGGAAACTAGAAAGTACTCAGGAGATTGTGTGGAGGGAGGAGCTGAGGACAGCGACCTCATAAAGTCGCCCATGGAATCCCAGGCTCGCCCCTGAGCGTCACACATGTGAGGATGAGATCTTAAACAGCATACCAAAGACTAAGAACAGAACTGTGGGAGAGACCACCGCTTGGCTTTCAGACTGACCACAGGCGGCACAGACTCAGGACAGAGCCAAATACCACTGGAAAGGCTTTGAAAACATAACTGACATTGGAACCACAACCCACAGAAGGCTGGTCAAGCCTGCAGCCTGAACCCAGCATCATCAATTGCCTGCTAAAACAAAACATCAACATTCTTCATAGGATTTAAATAAGACCCAGACTTTTATAATATGCGAAATGCCCGGGATTCCAGCCAAAATTACGTAGTTTACGAAGACCCAGGAAATTCCAGGTGGTTGGGAAAAGACAATCAACAAGGGCCAACAGTGCAATGATACAGATGTTGGGATTATCAGACAGACTTTAAAGCAGTGATTACCATCGTGCTCCAAGGAGCAAAGTAAAGACTCTGGAGACAAATGTGAACAGATAGAAGATAGAGTGAAGAACCAAATGGAAATTTTTTAAATTCCTTTGAGAGAGGGTCTCATTCTGTGCTCAGGCTGGAGTGCAGTGGTACAATCACAGCTCACTGCCACCTCAACCTCTCTGGGCTCAGTGATCCTCCCACCTCAACCTCTTGAGTAGCTGGGACTACACGTTCACACCAGCATATCTGGTTAACTCTGTGTGTGTGTGTGTGTGTGTGTGTGTGTGTGTGTGTATTTTTTGTAGAAAGAAGGTTTTGCCATATTGCCCAGTCTGGTCTCAAACTTCTGGGCTTAAGTGATCCACCCGCCTCAGCCTCCCAAAGTGCTGGGACTATAGACATGAGCCACCAAACTTGGCTAGAAATTTTCTTTTTTTTCCCTTAGACGGAGTCTTGCTCTGTCACCCAGGCTGGAGTGCAGTGGCGGGATCTCGGCTCACTGCAACCTCTGCCTCCCAGGCTCAAGTGATTCTCCTACCTCAGCCTCCCGAGCAACTGGGATTACAGGCGCCTGCCACCATGCCTGGCTAATTTTTATATTTTTAGTAGAGATGGGGTTTCACCATGTTGGCCAGGCTGGAGGCCAGAAATTTTTAAATGGAAGATAGTAACTTAAAAACTCACGGGATTGGCTGGGCGTGGTGGCTCATGCCTGTAATCCCAGAACTTTGGGAGGCCAAGGCAGATGGATCACAAGGTCAGGAGTTCAAGACCAGCCTGACCAACATGGAGAAACCCCGTCTCTACTAAAAATACAAAAATTAGCTGGGCGTGGTGGCACGTGCCTGTAATCCCAGCTACTCAGAAGGCTGAGGCAGGAGAACTGCTTGAACGTGGGAGGCGGAGGTTGCAGTGAGCCAAGACCATGCTGTTGCACTCCAGCCTGGGCGACAGAGCGAGAGTCCATCTCAAAAAAAAAAAAAAAAAACTCAAGGGATGGACTGAAAAGCGGAATGGAGGTAACAGAGGAAGGAGCCAATAACTTGAAGATAAATCAGTCTACATTATCCAGTTTAAACAACAGAGAGAAATTAGATCAGAAGACAATGGACAGATGGCTGGGTGCAGTGGTTCATGCATATAATCCAATCCCAGCACTTTGGAAGGCCGAGCCAGGTGGATCACTTGAGGTCAGGAGTTCGAGACCAGCCTGCCCAATATAGTGAAACTCCTCCTCTACTAAAAATAGAAAAATTAGCCAGGTGTGGTGCGGCACACCTGTAGTCCCAGCTACTTGGCAGGCTGAGGCAGGTGAATTGCTTGAACCTGGGAGGCAGAGGTTGCAGTGAGCCAAGATCGTGCCACTGCACTCCAACCTGGGTGACAGAGTGAGACTCCGTCTCAAGAAAAAATAGGCCGGGTGTGGTGGCTCACACCTGTAGTCCCAGCACTTTGGGAGGCCAAGGTGGGCGGATCACCTGAGGTCAGGAGTTCGAGACCAGCCTGGCCAACATGGTGAAACCCCATCTCTACTAAAAATACAAAAATTAGCTGGGCATGGTGGTGGTTGCCTGTAATCCCAGCTACTCGGGAGGCTGAAACAGGAGAATCACTTGAACCCGGGAGGCAGAGGTTGCAGTGAGCTGAGATCGCACCATTGCACTCCAGCCAGGGTGACAAGAGCAAAACTCTATCTCAAAAAAAAACAAAAACAAAAAAAAAACTTCACCATCCTGGCTAACACGATGAAACCCTGTCTCTACTAAAAATACAACAATTAGCCGGGCATGGTGGCGGGCGCCTGTAGTCCCAGCTATGCGGGAGGCTGAGGCAGGAGAATGGCGTGAACCCAGGAGGCGGAGCTTACTGTAAGCAGAGATCCCACCACTGCACTGCAGCCTAGGTGACAGAGCAAGACTCCGTCTCAAAACAAAACAAAACAAAAAACTTCAGTACATGGAATGTTACACACAGTGGAGCATTACTCAGCAATGAAAAGGTACCAACTCTTGTCCCTCACAACATGGATGAATGGCAGAGTTGCCACACTGAGTGAAAGCAGCCTGTCTCCAAAGGTTCCCAGCCATGTGATTCCAGCTCCATGACAGTCTCCCAAGGACACACGGATCATGACAGAAAACATGGATGGTTGCCAGGTTTAGGAGGAGGGGGTTAGGACAAAAGAGAAGCCCCCCAGGAGTGTCCTAATCCCTGATGGTCATGGTGGTTCCATGAATTGATGCATTTGTTAAAATGCCTGGAATTGGCCAGGCGTGGTGGCTCATGCCAGTAATCCCAGCACTTTGGGAGGCCGAGGCAGGTGGATCACGAGGTCAGGAGATCGAGACCATCCTGGCTAACACGGTGAAACCCCGTCTCTACTAAAAATACAAAAAATTAGCCGGGCGCGGTGGCGGGCGCCTGTAGTCCCGGCTACTCGGGAGGCTGAGGCAGGAGAATGGCGTGAACCCAGGAGGCGGAGCTTGCAGTGAGCAGAGATCGCGCCACTGCACTCCAGCCTGGGCGACAGAGCAAAACTCTGTCTCAAAAAAAAAAAAATGCCTGGAATTGTGCACCGTGCTGCCAAATCAGTCCATTTTATTATGTATCTTTTTTTTTGTTTTAAACCAGATTGGTTGGGTTCCCTTCCCAGAAGATAGATATCTATGCAAGCAGGAAGAAAATAGCATGGAAATCCTAACCGATCACCTTAGGGAGCGACCCCTGGGAGAACAGGCTGGCCCAACATGAAGGCATCCTGGTGGGCTCATATATATTACAGGGGCTATTCCTCCAGTGAGGTTCCCCGCAGAAGCTGCAGGGTGTATGGCACAGGTAAATGGATTTGCATTTGGGAGTTCCAGTCTTGAGTTGGTTGACATTGAGCTGGTCGCCTAAGCGTGTCTTCTTGCATTTGAGAGGACCGTGTGATCCTTCTCTCTTGGAGTGCAGTGGAGATGGAGTCAGGTAGACATCCTGCAGCTCCAGCAGGGCCGCCAATCACGGTCACCCTGGGCTGAGCCAGCTCTGTCCTCCTGTGGCCAAGGTCAGCGTGGCCTGGAAATTGGCCTACAGGGCAGTGTCTACCTGGTTCTCACCTGTCTGCCTGTCCTGGGACCAGCCTAGGCTCTTTGGGGGATTCCATGGTCCCGATGTCTGCTAGTTGTGATTTCTTAATTTCTGGATCCCTTAGTCAGAATGGCCTCATTCTGGTCAGGGTCAGATGGTAAAGTTTTGTGGGGTTTTTTTGAAACAGTGTCTTACACTGTCGCCCAGGCTGGGGTGCTATGGCGCCATCGTAGCTCACTGTAGCCTTGAACTCCTAGGCTCAAGCGATCCTCCCACCTCAGCCTCCCAGGTAGCTGGGACCACAGGTGTGCACCACCATGCCTGGCTAATTTTTTTTTTTTTTTGTAGAGACAGGGTCTCACTGTGTTGCCCAGGCTGCCCTCGAATGATTTTTTTTCCTTAGCCTCCCAGAGTGCTGGGATTACAGGCATGAGCCACCACGCCCAACCTAAACTGGTTTTTTTGTTTGTTTTTTTGAGACAGAGTCTCGCTCTGTTGCCCTGGCTGGAGTGCAGTGGTGCAATCTCAGCTCACTGCAACCTCCACCTCCCAGGTTCAAGAGATTGTCCTGCCTCAGCTGGGATTACAGGCATGCGCCACCACACCACACCACACCCGACCAATTTTGTATTTTTAATAGAGACACAGTTTTACCATGTTGGTCAGGCTGGTCTTGAACTCCTGACCTCAGATGATCCAGCTGCATCGGCCTCCCAAAGTGCTGGGATTACAGGTGTGAGCCACTGCACCTGGCCTCAGCTGTTGATGGTAACGTCACCTCTTGTGTTTGTTTGGCTTGAGATTGTTGTAAAGCACTTCAAAAGCCATGATTCTGTTCATCCTCGCAGCAATAGGTGCAGACCCGTGGCTTTCGTATTACCAGGTACTTCGCAGGCTCAGAGCCACCTTCCCAGGACCTCCAACCCTGTAGAATGCATTGCGTCCAACAAGCAGATCCCTGCTTTGCCAAACCCAGGGTTCCTGGCTGTTCACTGCCAGGGAAGGCTTTGGCTTACGTCTTGCTTGGTGCCCTTTGGGGACCTGGCTTCACCTGTTTCCTTGGCAGGAGACGGCGGGTGATTCCCATGCTGTGTGGTGTCATGAGGTTCTGAGGTCATGGACCTAAAGCACCTAGTGTCTCTTGGTGACACATCTGGACTGGCTGCCTGTGGACCATGAGGCTCCAGATGAGCCCCTCCACATCCCTTCCCCTAACCCTGCCAGGTGGATACAGGGAGGCAGGGTCACCGCTGCCCACTGAAGTGCTGTCTTTACCTTCCGGTCTCTGCAGACCTACGTCTACCAGTGGCCCTGGACGCTCCTGCTCCTGGCTGTCAGCGGCTTCTGTAACTTTGCCCAGAATGTTATCGCCTTCAGCATCCTCAACCTCGTTAGCCCCCTGAGCTACTCGGTCGCCAATGCCACCAAAAGAATCATGGTCATCACGGTGTCCCTGATCATGCTGCGCAACCCAGTCACCAGCACCAACGTCCTGGGCATGATGACCGCCATCCTGGGGGTCTTCCTCTATAACAAGGTGAGAGTCTGAGAGGCTGGGCAGGGAAGGAAGCCGGCCCCCCAACACCCAGGAAGTCAGAAAAGGAAGGGCCTCCCGGGCGCTCAAGGCTGGGGTTGTATGTCAGAGCTTTGCCACTGACTGGTTTATGATCTTGGCGTAGCCCCATCCCACTCTGGCTTCCTTTTTCCTGCATAGGCAACCTCAGGTCCTCAAATCATTCCGGCTGTGTCTCAGCTGGGGTTTTCCCTCCCTCCTCTCAAAGGCTCTGTTTAGTGCGGTGTAAGGACATGGGATGGCCAACAGGGAGGGCTTGCCTTCTTTTCCTTTTCTTTTTTTTTTTTTTTTTTTTCGAGATGGAGTCTGGCTCTGTCACCCAGGCTGGATTGCAGTGGCGCTCCATCCCAGCTTACTGCAACCTCCGCCTCCCGGGGTCAAGCGATTCTCCTGCCTCAGCCTCCCGAGTAGCTGGGACTACAGGCGCCTACCACACCTGGCTAATTTTTGTATTTTTAGTAGAGATGGGGTTTCACCATCTTGGCCAGGCCAGCCTCCAACTCCTGACCTCAGTTGATCCACCTGCCTTGGCCTCCCAAAGTGTAGGGATTACAGGCATGAGCCACCACACCTGGCCTCTTCATTTGTTTCTTAACACATGTAGATATGGGGTCTCTCTATTTTGTCCAGTCTGGTCTCCAACTCCTAGCCTCAAGTGATCCTCCCGCCTAGGCCTCCCAAAGCACTTGAACTACAGGCATAAGCCACTGCGCCTGGCCAAGGACTTGTCTTCTGAGTCTGTCCATGCACTGTGGTCTGGTCCATTCAAGTCTGCTTTCCTTGCTCAAGCCCTATGACTTATGCCGGCCCCGGAGGTTAACTGACTTTTTTTTTTTTTTTTTTTTTTTCTGAGACAGCGTCTTGCTCTGTCTCCCAGGCTGGAGTGCAGTGGTATGGTCCCAGCTCACTGCAACCTCCGCCTCCTGGGTTCAAGTGATTCTTGTGCCTCAGAACGCCTGAGTAGCTGGAACTACAGCATGCGCCACCACACCCGGTTAATTTTTTGTATTTTTAGTAGAGACGGGGTTTTGCCATGTTGCCCAGGCTGGTCTCAAACTCCTGAGCTCAGGTGATCCTCCCGCCTCGACCTCCCAAAGTGCTGGGATTACAGGTGTGAGCCACCGCAGCCAGCCAGTTGATTGACTTTGAATTACGAGCTCTTATGCCCCGGGCATGTCCTGTCTCATTGCTCTCTTTCTGGCACAGACCAAGTACGATGCAAACCAGCAAGCCAGGAAGCACCTCCTCCCCGTCACCACAGCAGACCTGAGCAGCAAGGAGCGTCACCGGAGCCCACTGGAGAAGCCCCACAACGGCCTCCTCTTCCCCCAGCACGGGGACTATCAGTACGGCCGCAACAACATCTTAACAGACCACTTCCAATACAGCCGGCAGAGCTACCCAAACTCGTACAGTTTGAACCGCTATGATGTGTAGAGTCCAAAGGACAGGACCAGACTGTTGGTGACTCCTTCCCCGGCCCCCACAGCAGTATCAGAAACTTCTGACAATCAGTGAATGTACAACCCAGCCGAGGGGACGGTGCATAACTCTCCATCAGAAGCCCTGGGGTTCCTGGCCCCCCGTGAGCCGCAGGAGGATGCGTTGCCTGCAGTGCAGACGGCCGTGAGCTCTGGGCAAACCTAAACAGAGACCAGTGTCTCATGCTCTTTCTTCCTGGAGTCTGTCATCTGAGGGCCGTGTCCCTGCGGAGATCTTGGCCACGTTGTACCTTTCCATGTGGAATTATTCCCCAAGCAGTGTAGCTCAGAGCACTTGTGTCTGCATTCCAGATAACATTCAGGACCTGTGTGAAAAGCTGGGGTCACTGTGGCTGTAGACCATGAACTGGCAGTGGGGGTGTCCAGGGCGGTGCTTGAGAACGTCAGACTGGCTAGTTTAATTCCCTGGCGCAGATACGCATAGGACCAACAGGGTCACCAAGCAGACAGGGAGCCCGCGAGAATCATTCAAAACATCCCCAGCCACAGAGATGGATCCAGTTTCCTGGTCATCCCCTTAGCAGTTCACAAGTTCCTGGCAAATGTTCCAAAGCAAAAAGCGATTGCAATTAGCATCCAGTTCCTGCAGCCTGGTGCTCTGCCCTGCACGTCAGGGTTGGCATCCACCCAGATCCAGATGGAAGGGAAACTTCTCTCTTCTCCTTTGCCTCCTCTTCCCTCACCAGAGCAGGGCGCTTCTCTTGGGGTGGTGAGAAGGATCTTCGAGAAATCGTGTTCAGTATTTCAAGCTCTATTTCTGTGGCACATGTCTTTTGAGAGGCATCTTCACCTCTTCTGTGATGACTTGGTATGTTGTTTGGTAGAGAGATCTTGATTTTCGGAGGATCTTGCATTTTTCTAGGGAATATTTTGTAGTTGTGTGTGTGTGTTTTTGCCTTGGTCCCCATTATGGGATGCATTAGGACTGGCCTATGCATCGAAAATCTTTTTGTTTGTAAACGTTTAAAAACAAAGTTCCCCGGCCAGGCACAGTGGCTCACACCTGTAATCCCAGCACTTTGGGAGGCCAAGATGGGCGGATCACGAGGTCAGGAGTTCGAGACCAGCCTGGCCAACATAGTGAAACCCCATCTCTACTAAAAATACAGAAATTAGCCGGGCATGGTGTCGCGTGCCTGTAGTCCCAGCTCCTCAGGCTGCTGAGGCAGGCGAATTGCTTGAACCTGGGAGGCAGAAGTTGTGGTGAGCCGAGATTGTGCACTCCAGCCTGGGTAACAGAGCGAGACTCCATCTCAAAAAAAAAAACAAAACAAAACCAAGTTCCCACTGGTGATGCCTGTCTGACACGTTTTGGTATTTAGTAGGAAATGAAGTGTTTCGAAGCTTCGAGAGAAGCTTCAAAATTGTCACAATTGCTGAAAACAGAATGAATCGTGAACATTATCTCAATATTTTGTATAATAGACAAGACCACAGTGTTTTGGTTCCCTGACCTGTTTTTGTGTTTATGTTAGGATCTGAATCATGTTCTGGGTAAGGGGACGAGGAGCGAACACTGCACTAAGATTTGGTTTGCCAAATCAGATTCTTTGGTCAAGAGTCAGTTTGGGGCCAGGCGTGGTGGCTCATGCCTGTAATCTCAGCACTTTGGGAGGCTGAGGTGGGTGGATCACTGGAGTTTGAGACCACCCTGGCCAACATGGTGAAACCCCATCTCTACTAAAACAAAAATTAGCCAGGCATGGTGGCACCTGCCTGTAATCCCAGCTACTTGGGAGGCTGAGGCAGGAGAATCACTTGAGCCCAGGAGGTGGAGGTTTCAGCGAGCTGAGATCACACCACTGCACTCCAGCCTTGGTGACAGAGTGAGACTCTGTCTCAAAAAAAAAAAAAAAAAAAAGGAATCAGTTTGGGTCTTGGCAGAAATCAACATAAGGAATATGACAAGACCCCAGTAGGTAACCCTGAGTGCTCAGGTCCGAGCTGTGGTCTCTTTTACGGCTTCATGAAAGGACCGTGCCCTCACGGAGGGGACCACGGCTTGGCTTGTGGGGTCTTAGGTGATGGCTGCCTTCTTTCTTCATCACCACACCCAGCTTCTTGCTGGCACTTAGGGGAAGAGAGCAGCAAATGAGAGATTTACCTTTTATCTCCCAGCGAGCGAGATGTTTCCCTGTTCAGAGAGGAAGTAACATCACTTATGCTTGACTGGTGTTTCTTTTGTTGTTGTTTGTTTTTCTTTCAATTGGAATTCTGTATTTAAGATGTTATGTCAGCTGACACATGGGACACTCCTGAAGAGGTGACTGGCCCCCCACCCTGTTTGGCGGTGAGTTTCCGCACCACCGGCCTCAGAAGTGTCCCTCTTGCTTCGTCTCTTGTTCGCTTGCTTTGTAAATACTTTGGTCCCAAGCTGAGACAATTGCTGTGTAAAACGTGAAGAGTCAATCCCAAAGGGTGTTATTTGTCAGAAGAACTTGCCGTGTGCCTTCACCGAAGGCAGTCAAGTCTGCAGTTGGATTTTTCTCACTGGTGAATGACAAGAAACAGGGATAATTTTGCACTGCGGAGATATTACGGGAGTTGTCTATATGATTATATATAGTACCTGATTCTTTGAACATATTATTGAACTCCAAAATGAATTCGACCTCCATTCAGGCTTCCTGAAATCTCTGAAGTTGCTGAAATTTGTATATTATTTTCCTTTTCCAATGCAAGATCTGCTGGTGACGGGAAATGACTGTCTGGTTTTATTATGGTTTATAAATTAATAAATGGGCTATTTAATTCTGTATATAAATTTACAGCAAGTACGTACACTGGAATGAATGAGGCAATCACGTTACACCAAATCAGCAGATCAAAAGACAAACACATATTTCTGAGACTTGAAGGTCCACATCCCCCCGCCCCCTGCCAAGATGGAGTCTTGCTTTGTTGCTCAGGCTGGAGTGCAGTGGCGCAGTCTCAGCTCACTACAACCTCCATCCCCCGGGTTCAGGTGATTCTCGTGCCTCAGCCTCCCGAGTAGCTGGGATTACAGGCATGCACCACCACGGCTGGCTAATTTTTTGTGTTTTTAGTAGAGACAGGGTTTCACCATGTTGGCCAGGCTGGTCTCGAACTCCTGGCCTCAAATGATCCGCCCACCTTGGCCTCCCAAAGTGCTAGGATGACAGGCATGAGCCACCGTGCCCAGCCTGATTGACAATGGCCTCTTGAAGGCTGGGTTTTCCCAGCCGGACAGTGCCCGCCCCACATGCTCCACTCCCACGCTTTCATCTGCAGGCCTGCCTTCCTCTCAGCCACCTCACTGCTGAGCTCTGTGGTAGAGAATTTCCTTTACCCATCAGGGTATGGTCTGGCTGGTAATACTGACTCCAACCCAGCTCCTTCATTTTATAGAAGGAGGCATTTCTGAATCATGTTTGTTCACCATGGCGAGACTCACTGCAGAATTTTTAACCACCTTATTTTAAGTCATTCATTCTAGGAACAGTCAAGCCCCTACCACAAAGGGGCCAGATCCGTTCAAGTGAGGAAGCACTTGCAGTTTCTGAATTTTGCTGTATATTTGTCCTATGTCACCCAACAGGCCCTTTGCTATAGCTGGGACATTACCAGACCCCAATACCTTAGGGTCTCACAGCCTGAAGGACACAGAGCATTGAATTATTAAAAGACCTGAAAATATTATAATGTTTTTCAATTGTCACCTGTTTTCAAGACTTAAATGCTATAGACTTTTCTGCAGGAATGACGTGTATATTCCTCACTGGCATTTACCAAAAATAAATGATGGTTTCCAGGGAATCAAAATTGGTCCCGATTTGTCAGCGAGGGTCTCTTTTTGAGTGGCCCTGTCTTCAGTGTGCCCAGCAACAAAATGTGGAAGGAGGAGAAAGAGCAAGCCAACTTGGCTGTCACGTCTGGATTTACTGCAACCTTTGTTTTTTCTTCTGAGCCAAAAATAAGGACGTGCAATTTGTGAATTGATTAGATGATACAATGAAAATAGGATCACAGCTAAATTAATGACGTGACTTTATTGAACGGAATAACATGGGAAGTCCAGGAACATTGTGGCAGCTGTGCTTATGAAACTTTTTTTTTTTTTTTTGGTATGTTTCATGTTTTTTGAGACAGGATCTCATTCTGTCGCCCAGGCTGGAGTACAGTGGCGCAATCCCGGCTCTCAGCAGCCACAACCTCCCAGACTCAAGGGATCCTTCCGCCTCAGCCTCCCAAGTAGCTGGGATACAGGCATGTGCCACCAAACCTGGCTAATTTTTGTATTTTTTGTAAAGATGGAGTTTCACCTTGTTGCCCAGGCTAGTCTCAAACTCTGGGGCTCAAGCTATCTGGCCTGTTATGTTTTTGGTTTAAGAGACAGGGTCTCACCTTATTACCCAAGCTGGACTGCGGTGGCACGACCACAGCTTCCTGCAGCACCAAACCCTACATTCCAGTCCCCTGCCTCAGCCTCCCAAGTAGCTGGTCCAGGTGTACACTACCACACCCAGCTAATTTTTAAAATATTTTTAGAGATGGGGCTCTGTGTTACCCAGGCTGGTCCGGAACTCCTGGGCTCAAGTGATCCACCTGCCTTGGCTCCCATAGTGTTGGGATTACAGGTGTGAGCCACCGTGCCCAGCCTGAAGCCATTTTTGAGTATTGACAGCCAAGACTGTGTACCTGCTACATGCCCAGCTCAGTGGTGAGCTTTTCACACACGATACCTTTGTGAGTTTTATTAGCCTTGTTTTTCAGGTGAAAATGAGGCCCAACGGGGTCAAGTCACTCATCTGGGATTACATAACTGCTTAAATCTGGCTCCAGAACCCATTTTTCCCCATTACTTAAGCCATCCCCAGCAAAGGATTTCTTTCAGACAGAAAGGGTTTGAGTTTCTGCTGAAACTGTTGCCCATGTCCTTTTCATTCATAATCTTTTTGTTTAGTGATTTACTAAGCACTGGCTGTGTCAAGCAGCAGGAAACAGATATGTAAGCCTCCTACCTTCAAAGCACTCAGCCTAAATGACAGGTATGTAACTAAGTAGCACATGGGAGCTACTTAGAAATGCTAAGACCCGGGGGATGGGGGACTAGGGGGAGGTGGCAGGGCTTACGCCTGTAATCCTAATATTTTGGGAAGCCAAGGTGGGCAGATCACCTGAGGTCAGGAGTGCAAAACCAGCCTGGCCAACATAGTGAAAGCCCATCTCGACTAAAAATACAAAAAACTAGCCAGGCGTGGTGGCACGCTCCTGTAATCCCAGCTACTTGGGAGGCTGAGGCAGGAGAATCGCTTGAACGTGGGAGGCAGAGGTTGCAGTGAGCCGAGATCGCACTGCTACACTCCAGCCTGGGTGACAGAGCGAGACCCTGTCTTCAATAAAACCCCACAAAACTTTAGTTACCATCTGACCCTGACCACAATGAGACCATTCCGATTAAGGGGTCCAGACTCAAGAAATCACAACTAGCAGACATATGGGCCACAGAACCCCCTCAGTGCACCTGGCCCTCCATGTTGCTGCTTAGGTGAGTCCCTTCACAAGGCTCATCTCACTCGAGGTGTCCACTTTACTTGCTGGAGAGTATCTGCAGCAGCCAGTCTACCAGCTCTTTCTACTGCTTTCTTCTGACCAGTAGATTCTGATTTGACCCTTTGAAATGAGCTTGGTAGAGGTCCCTCTGAGGCTTATATTTTCAATCTCAGATACATGGCTTTTTTGTTTCTGTTTTTGTTTTGAGACAGAGTCTCGCTCTGTCACCCAGGCTAGAGGGCAGTGGCGCAATCTCGGTTTGCTGCAACCTTCCCCTCCCAGGTTCAAGTGATTATCCTGCCTCAGCCTCCTGATTAGCTGGAATTAAAGGTGCCTGCCCCCACGCCCGGCTAATTTTTGTATTTTTAGTAGAGATGGGGTTTCACCATGTTGGCCAGGCTGGTCTCGAAATCCTGACTTAAGTGAGCCGCCTGCCTCAGCCTCCCAAAGTGCTGGGATTACAGGCATGAGCCACCATACCCAGCAGCATTTTAAACAATCTGAAACAAATGTATGAAAGTAGTGACCGTGGGTGTACTAACTTTCTAGAAGGTAGCTGAGCAATCTCAGTATTGAATTTGCACACCCTTTGACTCTACACAAGGTTTGTATCTACTAAGACACTTTTTTTTTGAGACAGAGTCACTCTGTTGCCCAGGCTAGAGTACAGTGGTGCAGTCTCGGCTTACTACAACCTCCACCTCCAGACTCAAGTGAGTCTCCTGCCTCAGCCTCCCGAGTAGCTGGGATTACAGGCACGTGCCACCACGCCCGGCTAATTATTTATTTTTTAGTAGAAACGGGATTTCTCCATGTTGGCCAGGCTGGTCTCGAACTCCTGGCCTCAAGTGATCTGCCCGCCTTGGCCTCCAAAAGTCCTGGGATTACAGGCGTGAACCTCCACGCCCAACCCTATATACACTTAAGACACTTTTAACAGTGGCCTAAAAATGGAACCAAGCCAGGAGACTAGAGTCTCACTTCAGTAAATTGTGGTGAGTCCACACCATGGCATCCTATGCAGCCTCAAAAATCACAACATCGCCCGGGCGCAGCAGCTCACGTCTGTCATGCCAACACTTTAGGAGGCCGAGGCGGGTGGATCACGAGGTCAGGAGTTCAAGACCAGCCTGGCCAGCATGGTGAAACCCTGTCTCTACTAAAAATACAAAAATTAGCTGGGTGTCATGGCACATGCCTATAATCCCAGCTACTCAGGAGGCTGAGGCAGGAGAATCTCTTGAACTTGGGAGGCGGAGGTTGCAGTGAGCCGAGATCATGCTACTGCACTCCAGCCTAGGCAACAGAGTGAGACTCTGTCTAAAAAAAAAAAAAAATGACAATACAGATTCATTAACCTGTTCTGATTGAGGAGCCTATTAAGAATCCTGTAAACGCTGTGTATCTTCAACCCTCAAAAAGGCATTTATTTTGCTACCAATTTTGTTCATGGTTCTCTGAAATCTATCCATTGGAGATCCCAAGTTAAAACTCCTTGATGTAGCCGGGCACGGTGGCTCACACCTGTAATCCCAGCACTTTGGGAGGCCGAGGCAGGTGGATCACCTGAGGTCAGGAGTTTTAGACCAGCCTGGCCAACATGGTGAAACCATCTCTACTAAAAATACAAAAATTAGCTGGGGGTAGGCCGGGCGCAGTGGCTCACGCCTGTAATCCCAGCACTTTGGGAGGCCGAGGTGGGCGGATCACGAGGTCAGGAGATTGAGACCATCCTGGCTAACACGGTGAAACCCCGTCTCTACTAAAAATACAAAAAATTAGCCGGGCGCGGTGGCGGGTGCCTGTAGTCCCAGCTACTCGGGAGGCTGAGGCAGGAGAATGGTGTGAACCCGGGAGGTGGAGCTTGCAGTGAGCAGAGACTGCACCACTGGACTCCGGTCTGGGCAACAGAGTGAGACTCCTCAGAAAAAAAAAAAAATTAGCTGGGTGTGGTGTGCACCTGTAGTCCCAGCTACTCGGGAGGCTGAGGCAGAATTGCTTGAACCCCAGAGGCAGAAGTTGCAGTGAGCAGAGATCACACCACTGCACTCCAGCCTGGGTGACAGAGCAAGACTCTGTCTCAAAAAAAAAAAAAACAAAAAAAACAAAAAAAACTTCTTCATGTAGATTTTACCTGGCATGAAAAGTGCCCACACTCTGGATTACTGACTGTTCTTCAAATAGTATGGGCTGGGCACGGTGGCTCATGCCTGTAATCCCTGCACTTTAGGAAGCCAGGGCAGGCAAATCAGTTGAGGTCAGGAGTTCAAGACCAGCCTGGCCAACATGGTGAAACCCCGTTTTTACTAAAAATACAAAGATTAGCTGGGTGTGATGGCAGGCGCCTGTAATCCCATCTACTTAGGAGGCTGAGGCAGGAGAATCACTTGAGTGTGGGAGGCGGAAGGTGCAGTGAGCCGAGATTGAACCACAGCACTCTAGGCTGGGCAACAGACAGGACTCCGTCTCAAAAAAATATATAAAAAATTTAGGGCCAGGCACGGTGGCTCATGCCTGTAATCCCAGCACTTTGGGAAGCTGAGGCGGGTGGATCACCTGAGGTTGGGAGTTTGAGGCCAGTCTGACCAACAGGCAGAAACCCCATCTCTACTAAAAATAAAAAACTAGCCGGGTGTGGTGTCGCATGCCTGTAATCCCAGCTACTCGAGAGGCTGAAGCAGGAGAATTGCTTGAACCCGGGAGGCGGAGGCTGTGGTGAGCCGCGATCACGCCATTGCACTCCAGCCTGGGCAACAAGAGTGAAACTCCATCTCAAAAAAAATAAAAAATAAAAAATATTTTTTAAATAAACAGTATGATCCCACACTGTTCTCTCTGCCTGTTTAGGGTGTTTAGAGCTGGCCCCTTGTTCAGATCATAGTGCAGACCTCACCTCGAGAGCCTTTCCTGACAACCCTATCAGCCTGGGCCTCACCCTCCCTTGTATCATAGTCTCAGCATCCTCTTCTTAATAACACCTTTGAGATGATATATTTGTTTACTGATTTTGGGACTCTTCCCCGCCATAGACTGAGTCCCCTGAGAGCAGAGCTGAGATCTGAGTTGTGCATGACCGTATCTATAAACCACATCCAACTGGCCGCCTGTTTTTGTGAGCCAGGAAGGTTTTTCAAAGGTGAACATGTACCATCAATTGACGACAGGAAATACAACTGGGAGCCCCAATTAAGTGAAATGTTATCCCCCAAAAGAATTCCACTCTTATGAATAGACTTGGGTCTTAGTCCATTTTGCATCGCTATAAAAGAACACCTGAGACTGGGCAATTTTTAAAGAAGAGAAATTTATTTCTTACAGTTCTGGAGGCTGAGATATCCAAAATCAAGGGCCTTCTTGCTGGTGGGGACTCTGCAGAGTCTTGAGGTAGCACAGGGCATCACATGGCTAGCAGGCTGTGTGCAAGCTCAGGTCTCTCTTCCTTTTTTTTTTGAAACGGAGTCCTGCTCTGTTGCCCAGGCTGGAGTGCAGTGGCACGACTTTGGCTCACTGTAACCTCCACCTCAACCTTTGCCTTCTGGGTCCAAGTGATTCTCGTGCCTCAGCCTCCCAAGTAGATGGGATTACAGGCATCCGCCACCATGCCCGGCTAATTTTTGTATTTTTAGTAGAGATGGGATTTCTCCATGTTGGCCAGGCTGGTCTCGAACTCCTGACCTCAGGTGATCTGCGTGCCTTGGCCTCCCAAGGTGCTGGAATTACAGGCATGAGCCACTGAGCCTGGCCTTTCTTCCTCTTTTTATTTTATTTTATTTATTTTATTTATTTTTTTTTTTTGAGATGGAGTCTCACTCTGTCGCCCAGGCTGGAGTGCAGTGGTGCAATCTCAGCTCACTGCAAGCTCCAAACCAGTCCCACTCCCATGATAACCTATTTATCCATTAACACATGAATGGCACGACCTCATAACCCAATCACCTCTTAAAGGCTCCACCTCTTAATACTGTTTCACTGGGGATTAGGAACAAACATTCAAACTGTAGCAACTTGTATTTAAGAAACTACTCAGTTATCATATTTTGATTTTCACCAACAAAAATTTTATGAACTTTTCTTTCTGGTTATAGAAATACCTAAATAAGGCTGGGTAGGGTGGCTCACACCTGTAATCCCAGCAGTCTGGGAGGCCAAGGCAGGCAGATCATGTGAGGTCAGGAGTTCAAGACCAGCATGGCCAACCTGGTGAAACCCCATCTCTACTAAAAATGCAAAAATTAGCCGGGCGTGGTGGTGCGCACCTGTAGTCCCAGCTCCCCTGGAGGCTGAGGCAGGAGAATTGCTTGAGCACGGGAGGCAGAGGTTGCAGTGAACCGAGATCACACCACTGCACTCCAGCTTGGGCGAGAGAGAGCAAGACTGTGTCTCAAAAAAAAAAAAAAACCAAACAATTAAGATCCTCGATCTTCATGAGAAAATATGAACTAGAGGACATTTAGAAAAAAAAAAATCCTTGATCTTGCCTCCTGACCTGCAGAGTCTAAAATATTTGCTTTCTGTCCCTTTTATACAAAAAGTTTTGTTGATTCCTAGCCTACAGCAACACTTGATGTAGAGTTGTCAATCCATAAGCATCTGGTGGAAAAATGCTGTTAACAATAAAAATGAAACTAATCTAAAATACATGTGCATTTATTTGCACAGAAAAAAACAGGCTGGGTAAAGTAGCTCATGCCTATAATCCTAGCACTTTGGGAGGCCGAGGCGGGAGGATTACTTGAGCACAGGAGTTCAGGGCTAGTGAGCTATGATCATGACACTGCACTCCAGCGTGGGCCACAGAGCAAGACCTTGTCTCAAGAAAAAAGAAAAAAAAAAACGGATAAAGGAAAAAAAAGCGGCGGGGGCGGGGGGCAGGTATAGCCAACTAAGCATTAACCATCTCAAGAGGATCAGTTTATATCGGACGTCCACAGCAGAAATTTGCTGCTTCTGGCTATCTTTTCCCCACAATTAGCAAGGGTTAGCTTCATTATTTTAGAGGCAACCCAACTGCAGCTTTTAGAAAGGCGCTGTGCCCTCTAGGCCAGCAATTTGAGGGCATGGGTTGGGGGGTACCCCGCCCCAGTCTTCCTGACCAAAGAGTGGAGCGGAAGAAAGCCAGGAGGAGGATGTTTTGAACCTAAATACGTCCAGCTGCAATCCCAGTCAAGCTCGTCGCCCCCAGTTCTGCTCCACCTCCGGTCTGGCCGGGGAGAATGTGACAGTCGCCGCAGCCCGGGATCCACCCGGACGCACCTCACCTCGCAGTCTCCTCACTGTGCCCGCGAAAGGAAAGAGACCCTGGCCCAGGCACGAAGTCCCCAGGCCCCTGGTCGCCCGGAGGTAGCAACCAGCCAGCCCATCGGGCTGCGACGCCGACCAAGGGGCACGCCCCGCGCCCCCCGGTCTCGACTAACACCCACCCGCGCCGTTCCAGCCTTTCCGCGGCGCCGCGCGACGGGGACCCACTCTGCGAAAGTGTCAGGAAACTTCTGCGCGTGCGCGTCGCTAGCCCCTCCCGCGCGCCAGGCATCGCGCGGCTTCTTCCCGCCTGCCTCCCGCTCTCACTTCCGGAGTTTCCCAGCGACGGCCGTAAGTGGCGGGCGGAAGCGGCCCTAGAAGCCCGCCGTAAACGGCTCCCTCGCGCCACTTCCGGCCGGCTTCCGCAGACGGCGCTGGTGGTCGATCGTGTGGCGCCGGAGGACGTTCCCCGCGGCCGGAGCCATGGAGATGCCGCTGCCCCCCGATGGTGAGACCCAAACCGGCCGAGAGACCGTTTCTCTCTCCCCGGAACCTCCTATTGGCCGGCCCCGCCTCCCGGAGTCCCCGGGTCTGGGAGGGGGCGGGGCTCGGCCTCGCGGCTTCGCCTGCGGCCTCTCCCGTGGGTCCCCGCATTCCCGGCGAGCGTGTGGCCCCTATCGGGACCCGTACAAGGGCGGCCTCTTCGGGGCCCACCCCCTTGGGGTCCCCGGCAAGGCGGACGGGGGCTGGGGCGCCGAGTCCCCCGGCTTTGGGCGGTCCTCGCTGACGCCCCGCGTGGCCTTTTCTCCGTCCTCCAGACCAGGAGCTTCGAAATGTCATCGACAAGCTCGCCCAGTTCGTGGCTCGCAATGGGCCCGAGTTTGAGAAGATGACTATGGAGAAGCAGAAGGACAACCCCAAATTCTCGTTTCTTTTCGGAGGCGAATTCTACAGTTACTACAAGTGCAAGCTGGCGCTGGAGCAGCAGCAGCGTGAGTCCCCTCCGGCACTCAGGCCGTCCCATCGAGCGCTTCCTTTCTCGGATTCCAGTCCGGGCTCTGCCACAAACCTCTTTCTTTCGGGTCGTTTATTCTTTGAAGTGGAGCAGCTCGGTCCACACGATCCCTGTTCCGCTGTTCCCACGGCCCTGCACAGAGCGGCTGCTGGGTGCCACTGTAATGGAGAACAACGAGGTTTTCGATCCTCCCCCCTGGGCTCTGGATCAGGGATTTTGCTGTTGTTTTGCAGACTGATGACGGAGATTAGCAGGAGTAGCGTGATTGTTTTAGTGTTTTCTAGGGAGGAAGTGATAGAGGCCGGATGGGAGTCCATGGGACAGGCACTGTCCAGCCCCCTTTGCCGTCTCCCTGTGGGTCCAGCAAGGTTTTGTGCATTTCAGATGCCTGCAGCAGAAATCAAAAAGAATTATCCCTCTGAGTTTTAGTTATTGGCAAGTGTTTATCAATGTTCGTTCATTTAGGCAACAGGATTCCAGTCCTGCTCTAAAGAAGTTTAAAGTTAGGAAGCAGAGCTGGCCTTTGAATAATGGATAGTCACCAGGTGGTGCGGCTGCTCAGGGCAGGTATCACATCTGTCACGTTCAGTACCCAACCCCGTCTCTAGATTGTTTAAATGAATAACTAGGAGTTTGCCAGGTAGATGGACATTGAGAGGTGGTTGTCCGCTGTTTGATCGAACGCCAATTGTGTGTTATGTATTAAGGTACAATGACCCAAACAAGGTCTGTTTGGCTTCGGCGAGCGTGTAGTTCAGGGGACTACACGCTCGTCTTGTATTAAGGTACAAGGTCATTGTCCCTTAATACATAACACACAGTTGGTGTTCGATTAAACAGCTTGAAAGGAGGCCTGTTGCAGTGGCTCATACTGTAATCACAGCACTTTGGGAGTCCAAGGCGGGCAGATCACTTGAGGTTAGGAGTCTGAGACCAGCCTGGCCAACATAGTGAAACCCTGTTTCTACGAAAAATACAAAAATTAGCCGGGTGTGGTGGCCCGCGCCTGTAGTCCCAGCTACTTGGGAGGCTGAGGCGGGAGAATCGCTTGAACCCGGGAGGTGGAGGTTGCGGTAAGCCAAGACCACGCCATTGCACTGCAGTCTGAGTGACAGAGTAAGACTCCATCTCAAAAAAAAAAAAGAAAGAAAGAAAAAGAAAAGGCTTGAAAGGAGGCCAGGCGTAGTGGCTGACGCCTGTAATCCCAGCACTTTGGGAGGCTGAAGCGGGCAGATCACTTGAGGTTAGGAGTCTGAGAACAGCCTGGCTAACATAGTGAAACCCTATCTCTACTAAAATTACAAAACTTAGTCAGGTGTGGTGGCACACACCTGTAGTCCCAGCTACTGGAGAGGCTGAGGCAGAAGAATCGCTTGAACCTGGGAGCTGGAGGTTGCATTGAGCCGAGACCACACCATTGCGCTCCAGCCTGGGTGACAGAATGAGACTCCATCTAAAAAAAAAAAGCAGCTTGAAAGGAGGCCAGGCCCAGTGGCTTGTGCCTGTAATCCCAGCACTTTAGGAGGCTGAGTCAGGCGGATCACTTGAGGTCAGGAGTTCGAGACCAGCCTGGCCAACATGGTGAAACCCCATCTCTACTAAAAATACAAAAAAAATTAGCCAGGCATGGTGGTGGGCACCTGTAGTCCCAGCTACCCGGGAGGCTGAGGCAGGAGAATCGCTTGAACCTGGGAGGTGGAGGTTGCAGTGAGCCAAGATCGTGCCACTGCACTCTAGCCTGGGAGACAGCGAAACTCCATCTAACAACAACAACAACAAAAACTTGAAAGGCTGAGAGAGTAGAACATTGCAAAGGGGCAGTTTCTTGAACAAGAAACAGAGAGAGAGTTTATGTGTGTATTGCCAGGCACAGTGGCACACACCGTACCCCCAGCTACTCAAGAGGCTGAGGCTGGAGGGTTGCTTGAGCCCGGGAGTTCAGGGCTGTAGTGCGCTGTGTCGATTGAGTGTGTGCAGTAAGTTCAGTGTCAGTATGGTGACCCCCTGGGAGCTGGGGACCACTCGACTGTCTAAGGGGTGGTGAACTGGCCCAGGTCAGAAATGGAGCAGGTCGAAACTCCTGTGCCGATCAGTAGTGGCCTCACGCCTGTAAATAGCCACTGCACTCCAGCCTGGGTGACATAGTAGAGAATCTATTTAATAAAAGAATGTGCTTGTATGAGGGAAGAGTTTGACCTGGAGTGTTAACTGCCAGGGGAAAAGTTTGGGTTTTTTCACTCAATCCAGGGGTTTTTCTGATGCCTATTTAGGTTTGAGATGCGGGGGTGGGGTGGAGAGAGATCAGCTGCCTGAAATCGTAAGCAAAATATTGTATGTGCTTATGTGTTTCTAGAGCGATCCTTCCTTAGCCCCAGCACACCAAGTTTAAAACCGTTGCTAGGCCGGGCGCGGTGGCTCACGCCTGTAATCCCAGCACTTTGGGAGGCCGAGGCGGGCGGATCACGAGGTCAGGAGATCGAGACCATCCTGGCTAACACGGTGAAACCCCGTCTCTACTAAAAATACAAAAAATTAGCCAGGCGTGGTAGCGGGCGCCTGTAGTCCCAGCTACTTGGGAGGCTGAGGCAGGAGAATGGCGTGAACCTGGGAGGCAGAGCTTGCAGTGAGCCGAGATCGCACCACTGCACTCCAGCCTGGGCGACAGAGCGAGACTCCGTCTCAAAAAAAAAAAAAAAAAAACCGTTTCTAAAGGCAGCGGGAAGCCACAAGAGTTTTAAACAAGGGAGAGGGTGGCTTGGGTTGTGTGGCCGGTGGTGTAGGACAAGCTACAGGGACCAGCCTGGGGAGCAGTGAGGCCTGCAGGGGAGCAAACAGGGCAGTTGTTTAGGTGAGAGATGGTGGGGTCTGAATTAAGTCAGTAGGTTGAGCCTGAGGGAGGGAGCATGGGGGGCAGGTGGGGTGAAGGGGTAGAATCCATGAACTTGGGCGCCAGTTGCATATTGACGACCTGATGGTGTAATGAGCAGGGGAGGAAGACACCTCAGACGGTGCTTTGGCTTGGGTGACTGAGCTAAGGGCTGCTTTCCCTTTCTGGGGCGGGGGGGTGGCCACTTGGAAGCTGGTGCCATTATGAGGAAGGAGAGGGTGCTTATGCTTATAGCCCAGGAAGATTGAAGCCAAGAAGTGCTTTCTTTTTTTTTTGGAGATGGAGTCTTGCTCTTGTTGCCCAGGCTGGAGTACAGTGGCAAGATCTTGGCTCACTGCAACCTCTGCCTCCCAGATTCAAGCGATTCTCCTGCCTCAGCCTCCCAAGTAGCTGGGACTACAGGCGTGCGCCACCACACCCAGCTAATTTTTGTATTTTTAGTAGAGATGTGGTTTCACCATGTTGGCCAGGATGGTCTTGATCTCTTGAACTCATGATCCGCCCACCTTGGCTTCCCAAAGTGCTGGGATTACAGGCGTGAGCCATCGTACCCAGCCAAGAAGTGCTTTCTGTGGGTGATGATATCTTGGCTAGATGTAAAGGGTGTGTTGGAGTTGGCCAGGTGAAAACAAGGGGAGAAAAGTGTTCCGGGCAGAGGAAGGAGCCCTTGGAGGGAATGGGGAACCCAGAGCTTAGGGTGGCTGAAGCCCAGAGTAGGAGGGGTTCTTGGAGTGGCCAGAGGTGGGGGTGCAGAATTGGGAGCCTGGCTTGGGGAGGAGTTGGAGGCCTGGCTTGGGGAGGAGTCGGGGACCTGGCTTGGAGAGGAGTGAGGAGTGTATCCTGGAAGCGTGGGAGAGACTCGTGGAAGGTTTAGGTCTGTGTTGTGAAGCTGGGTTAGCCACAGTACAGCCAGTTCTGCACCCCACGCCTTAAAGCCTGGGCCTCAACTGTTGTAGAATGGAGCTTCACGAACTCTGTGGTGAAGGACCATTTCTGGTGTTGTGTTTTAAGTTTCTAACCTGTTGTGTGTGGACCAAAACTTCTGCAAAGCACAGTAACAATGTGGACCGTGAACCATCACGCTGCTAGAAAGGTTTTGAAATGCTCCCTTTCTGGTTCCATAACCGTCTGTCACCGCTGGGTAGCCCAGGGACCACTCCATAAGTGGCAATACCATGACTGCCATGTCAAAAAGAGGTAGAGGGATGGGACCTGATGCAGGAAGACCGGTTCTGGGGTGACGCAGGTGACAGCAGATCCATGGTGGTGACAGCGGGGACATAGACTGATTGGAGTGATGTCTCGGAGGCCGCCTTGACACTATGTGGCTCGTCACTGGGAGGCACATGCTACTTCTGGCCTGGGTTTCTGGGCAGATGGTGGTGCCAACCATGGTGCGGGGAGCACAGGAGGGGACATAGGTGTAGGGGGTGAGAGGAAACACAGGCCCCTTGGAAACACAGTGGGCCGTGCAGTTGGTGGTTAGGGCCAAAGCTCAGGAATCCAGAATGGAGATGATGGATTTAGGAATCACACCATGCACAATCGCAGCCACAGGAATGAGTAGCTCATGTTGCCCGGCGGTTGCGTAGAGCGGAGGACAGGGCTCAGAACACAGGCCGCGCACCCCAGCATGTGAGGGTCCAACGGGAGAGGGGTTGGTAAAGGGGGAGAAAGGGACTGAGGGGGCGAACACATGGAGGCCAAGGGAGGCAAGCACCTGCGACAGGCCCGGGGGGCTGAGTTGAGTGAGGGTGTCCTCAGCTGCCTGGGGGAAGGAGGGGGGTGCGGGGAGTGGCAAGCAGGCACCAGGCTGAGATAAAGGGGAGGTGAAGATCTGGAGTGAGTCTTGTCTGAGAAATCGTTTAGAGAGGGATCATGGGGTAAAGGGAGAAGTTTCCAACCCAGAATATTCTGATGTGTTTATTTATTTCCTTTTTTATTTTTTGAGATGGAGTCTCACTCTGTCACCCACACTGGAGTGCAGTGGCGCCATCTCGGCTCACTGCAACCTCCACCTTGCAAGCTCAAGCAATTCTCCTGCCTCAGCCTCTCAGGTAGCTGGGATTACAGGTGCCCGCCACCACGCCCGACTAATTTTTTGCATTTTCAGTAGAGACAGGGCCATGTTGGCCAGGCTGGTCTCGAACTCCTGACCTCAGGTGATCACCCGCCTTGTCCTCCCAAAGTGCTGGGATTATAGGCGTGAGCCATCATGCCCAGCCCAATGTGTTTAGATGCTGCTGGGGAGGGACGGGTAAAGAGGGAGGAGTTGGAGAAATAAGAGATAGAAGAAATATCAATAAGCAGTGTCCCTCAGACAGTGGGAGGGGTGGGATTCAGTGCAGAAGTTGGGGGTCATCCTGTAGGGTGGCTTTGGGTGCACAAACTGGAGGGCACAGTCAGCCCCGAGACTTGACTTGAGCGCCCAGTGAGGGGCGACACCTTCCACCTGACACCCCACCTCCCTTATCTTTGGCTTTGTCCTGGTCCCCTTGGAGTGGGGCTCTGGAGGGCTCCAGGGGTACCTGGTCACATTTAGACCAGGCGGCCCCAAGACGGAGAGAGAGGCAGGTCATCTTGTCCAGGGCCTCCTTATGAGCCGGGTCCCTTCCTCAGAGACCTCACCACCTGCCCCATCTGGCCAGAGTTGGGACCTGCGCCCACCCTGACCCAGGCTTCTGCCGGCAGAATGGGTGTCTCACTGCTGCCTCAAACTGGATGCACCCCTGAATGCAGAGGGGTCTCTGTCCCCAAGGGCTGGAGAAGCAAGGAGAGTCAGTAGAAGGACAAGGCAGGTGTGGGGGAGGCCGCAGTGTGCGCTCGGGGGTGCGGCTTCGTGCCTTTCTGGCCAGATGTGCAGAGGCCCGGTGGCTGTGACATCTTAACAGTCAATGGGTAGCTTAAGTGGCAGAGGTCAGGGAGTGGCCGAGGAGGTCGGAGGATGAGAGGTACTGAGGCCTGGGTTCTGCATCAGGTGGGGCCTAGGTGGGTGAGGAGGTGGGCAGGCAAGCTTAGCTTGCACCGGAAGGACACTGCGCAAGGACTGGATGGTGCTGGCGAGAGAGCGGCCAGGGGACTTCCTAGGTTCTCCGAGGAGGGGACGGCCCGAAGATGGAATGCTGAGGCTGGGATCCTGTGAGAGGGAGGGCAGGACCCGAGACTAGGAGGAGCTGGTTTGCGTGGGCATGAGGCTATGAACAGGCCCTCGTGGATGGTGAGTCCCTGGGGAGGGGGAGGCCCCTGTGGCTGAGAGGTGGCCAAGGGGACACCTAGACCCCCATCTGCATTCTCATGGGGCACCCCTCCTCCTCTCCCTCCAGTCATCTGCAAGCAGCAGACCCCGGAGCTGGAGCCAGCCGCCACCATGCCACCCCTGCCACAGCCCCCGCTGGCCCCCGCCGCGCCCATCCCGCCGGCCCAGGGCGCGCCATCCATGGACGAGCTCATCCAGCAGAGCCAGTGGAACCTCCAGCAGCAGGAGCAGCACTTGCTGGCGCTCAGACAGGTATGGGCCCGCCGCCTCCTCGGCCAGACACCAGCAGCTCCCCTGTGCCTCTGTTTTTGCGTCTGCTCATCAGAATGAATAACAGGTGTCAGTGAGGACAGGGCCCCCCCTGCCACCCAGGGCTCGGTGCATGTCAGCCACTGTCACCCCCAGCCCTGATGCCAGACACAGAGGCTGCTTCTCATCTCAGTGAAGCCACTGGACGTGCGTGCACCCATCACCCTGGGGTGGACCCCCCTGAGTGGGACTGTGGGGCACGTATGCACCTTGAAGCTCCCTAATGGCTGTGGCCAGGCAGCCTCTGGTGCCTACCATTGGCCCCACCACACAGTAGCTAGGTCACCTGGAGCTGTTGGTTGGGGAAGGACCCTTTTTTTTTTTTAAGTCTTGTTCTGTCGCCCAGGCTGGAGTGCAGAGGCGTGATCTCAGCTCACTGCAGCCCCTACCTCCCGAGTTCAAACGATTCTCCTGCCTCAGCCTCTGGAGTAGCTGAGATTACAGGCATGCACCACCACACCCGGCTAATTTTTCTATTTGTAGTAGAGATGGAGTTTCACCAGGTTGGCCAGGCTGGTCTCAAATTCCTGACCTCAGGTGATCCACCTGGCCAGAAGGACCCTTTTGTCCTTCCTGGTCCAACAGTTTGATAACTTTCGCCAAATAGAATACAGGTGCATTGGCTGGGTGTGGTGGCTCACACCTGTAATCCCAGCACTTTGGGAGGCTGAGATGGGCAGATCATGAGGTCAGGAGTTCGAGGCTAGCCTGGTCAACATGATGAAACCCTGTCTCTATGAAAAATACAAAAATTAGCTGGGCGTGGTGGTGCACGCCTGTAATCCCAGCTACTTGGGAGGCTGAGGCAGGAGAATTGCTTCAACCTGGGAGGAAAAGGTTGCATGAGCTGAGATTGCACCACTGCACTCCAGCCTGGGTGACTGAGCAAGACTCAGTCTCAGAAAAAATAAATAAATAAAATACTACAAGTGCATTGCCAGAAAAATGAGAGGAATAGAATACCAAACCTCCAAAACACCAACCCCACGCTCAGTACTAGGTTCAGGGCATAAAATCACACTGTCATATTGCTCTCAGAAAATTCCAGCTGGGCACAGTGGCTCAGCCTATAATCCCAGCACTCTGGGAGGCCAAGGCAGGCGGATCACAGGGTCAGGAGTTTGAGACCAGCATGGCCAATATGGTGAAACCCTGTCTCTAGTAAAAAATACAAAAATTAGCTGGGTGCAGTGACAGGTGTCTGTAGTCCCAGCTACGCGGGAGACTGAGGCAGAATTGCTTGAACCCGGGAAGTGGCGGTTGCAGTGAGCTGAGATTATGCCATTGCACTTCAGCCTGGGCGACAGAGCGAGATTCCATCTCAAAAAAAAAAAAAAGAAAAGAAAAGAAAGTTCCAGAATGCTCACCCTCAGCTTCTGTTCATCATGGAGTGGGAGGCCTGCCTTGACCAGCCGTAACTGACCGCTGGTCCGCATGGCAGCTCTGTTTTTACCAGTCGCACTTTAACCGGTGTTTCCTCTTGAGGAATGAGATTGCCCCCTTCTTGCTTCACTAGAGGCCATGGGTGTATCCTCTTCTTCTATTGCCTGTCGTTCACACCATGCCTCATTTGTCTTTTTTTTTCTTTTCTTTTCTTTTTGTTGTTGTTGTTGTTGTTGTTTTGTTGTTGTTAGAGACAAGGTCTTGCTGTGTCACTCAGGCTGGAGTGCAGTGGTACAGTCACAGCTCACTGTTTAACTTTGAACTCCTGGGTTCCAGCAATCCTTCCGCCTCAGCCTCCCAAGTAGTTGGGAACACAGGCACACACTACCATGCTCAACTAATTTGTATTTTATTTTTTGTAGAGATGAGGTTTCGCTACGTTGCCCAGGTGGTCTGGAGCTCCTGGGCTCAAGCGATCCTCCCGCCTCAGCCTCCCAAAGTGCTGGGATTACAGGCATGAGCCACCGCGCCCCGCCTTTGTTTTTTGTTGAGTTGGTTTGCAGAGGTTGTTTGTTCCTCTGGGCTGCAGTGTTTTCCTTGGTTACCTGGAGGGCAGGTGTTGTCTCCTGGTATGTCCTGTCAGTGCCCTGCCCACTCCAGGAGGGACTGTCACAGATTCACGGCAGGCATGAGAGACAGAATCTCCTCCTGCTGGGGACAAGCAAGGGAGCTGATGGCCAGAGCAGCCCAGAGTCCGGGCATCGCCACCATGTCCCCACCCCGCCCCTGCTGAGCCAGGCCGGAGGGCTCAGGCTGCGGGTCCCTCCTCATGTGTTCTCGACCCCACCGACCCCCGCCCGCAGGAGCAAGTGACAGCGGCCGTGGCCCACGCGGTGGAGCAGCAGATGCAGAAGCTTCTGGAGGAGACCCAGCTAGACATGAACGAGTTTGACAACCTCCTGCAGCCCATCATCGACACGTGCACCAAGGACGCCATCTCGGTGAGGGGCCAGCACTTCCCAGAGCCCAGCTTTCCCTTGGTCCCTCCCTGAGGCAGGGCCTGTCGTAGCCAATCTGGGCTAAGGGCTGTTACAATGGGTGCCCTTCCCTCCCGCCTGGAGCTCCTGAGGCTGTGGGACCCTGTGCCCCCCACGCTCATGGTGTGTCCTTCCCTGAGCTGATGGTGACGCGCTCTCAGGGATGCAGTGGGTGCCTGGGGGAGCCGCGGCCCTGCTCACTCGTCATTGGCTCGGTTGTTGCAGGCCGGGAAGAACTGGATGTTCAGCAATGCCAAGTCCCCGCCGCACTGTGAGCTGATGGCCGGCCACCTCCGGAACCGCATCACGGCTGATGGGGCACACTTCGAGCTGCGGCTGCACCTCATCTACCTGATCAATGACGTGCTGCACCACTGGTGAGCGCCGCCACCCCGTGCCCAGAGCGCCACTTCCTCGCGCTCCTCCTCAACCCTCCTGGGTGGCCGCTTGCTCCGGTCGGTAGCTTGGCTTGGCCTGTCCCGAGACTAGGGGGCACTTGTCCGGGGACCCCGGGTGGGGGGTCTCTGTGAGCCACCAGGCTTCTGTCTCCAGGACTGCGAGGTCTAGGTGTCCTGTGCACCTTCGCTGCATGCCCTGTCCTCTCCCCTAGACCCCGGCCTCACCTGTCACATTGCTGTCTCCTGGGGGCCACTGTCCCCTGCACTCCTTCCTCTCATGGGGCAGCTTCTTGGCGTCTCCTTGTTGCCTTCTCAGCCACGGCCTCCTTGGCCTCTGTGTCTGTCTCCTGCCCTCGTCACTGATTTGCACGCACACACACGCGGTCACCTGACTTTGCTCAGCCATCAGGACCCTCCTTTGGGATCCCCTTCTCCAGCCCTGACCCATCTCTCAGGCTTCAACAGAGCCACATCTGCCGACCCTCTGTCCCCACCCAGCCCTCACCCTTCCCACTGTTGCTGTCTCCACCCTCCCCAAGGTTGGGTGGGTATTTCCTTCTACAGGGTCACTGGGGCCCTTCTCACAAAAATTAGCAAAAAAGAAAAAAAAAACAATAGAACCCCAGGCCAAAGGCCCGCACGTGCGGGAGGAGACAAGCATTGCTACTGAGCCTAGCGGGCAGCAGTCCTGGCCTGGCGCCTCGTGTGCCTCTACAGTGGGCCAGGCTGCCAGCACCCATCTCGCCCCATCTATCACATGCAGCACTGCCTGAGTCCCTCTTGCCTCCCCACCTCAGTCCCTGTTTCTCTCCTGCTGGGAAGTGAGTTGCGGCTCGGCACCAGCTCTGCCCTTCTGCTCCTCCTCATGCCTCCATTTCTCCCTGCCTCTGAGTCGGGTGCCTTGCACGGATGCACAGTTTCCCGCATTCTCCAGCCACGCGCCTCTCTAGCTCTACTCTGTCCGAAGCCAAGTGCTGCTCGCCCAGCCCAGGCCCTTGCTCCCCTGAGCCCCCTGCGGCAAGCTGAGGGCTGAGGGGCTTCCAGCTGCTCCCCTCCTGTCTTGCGTCCCTCCCCAGGGGCAGCCATCTCCCTGCGCAGCGGCAGGGGCCTCCCAGGCCAGGTATGCACAGTGTCCTGTGCAGCACTGCACAGCAGCCCTGAGAGGACATGGGCCCGGCGCCTCCCCCCGCTGGGCATCCGGTCACTCTTCTAAAGTGTTCTAGGTTCCTGAGGGACTGGGCACCCTCCCTCCTTCTCCCAAGAGGCCTGGCCTGGGCCGAGGTTTCCTTGTGCATAGTGAGTGACAAGGACAAGACCCCCACTCCGCAGCAGTCCCATCCCGCCCATCATACACAGGCAGGGGCTCCCGCCGGCCCATATCCCTTCACCCGCAGCGCCACCCAAGAGGGAAGGAGGGAAGGTTATTTCCTATCAAGGGGACTGGACCAAAAGGCCTTGCTCAGAACGGCCCCAGGCCACGTTCTCTCCCTCCCCTGCTTGCTGTTTTTCCATCTGTCCCTTCCTCGAGCCCAGGCACCAGCACAGGTCTCGTGGGAGCCCAGCCATCGCCCTGACCGGGTTGGGGACCCGATTCCCGAGAAGGCAGAGGGCGCTGAGGCTGGAGCCGCGATGGTAACGGGCGCGTGGCCGGGTCCCGCCCCAGGGCCCTGACGCGCGGAAAGTCTCTCCCTCACAGCCAGCGCAAGCAGGCCCGGGAGCTGCTGGCCGCCCTGCAGAAGGTCGTGGTGCCCATCTACTGCACCAGCTTCTTGGCCGTGGAGGAAGACAAGCAGCAGAAGATCGCCCGGGTGCGTGGGCCCCGGGCCGGGGGTTGGGCAAGACCGGGACACACAGGCCTTTCCCCTCCCCACTGACCCGGCCTCTCTCTCCTCCCACCGCCAGCTCCTGCAGCTCTGGGAGAAAAACGGCTACTTCGATGACTCCATCATTCAGCAGCTACAGAGCCCAGCCCTGGGGCTTGGTCAGTACCAGGTGAGTGTCCCTGCCCACCCACACCTCACCCTAGAGCTGGGGCGGGTTCCCCAGGAGGGTTTGGGAGTGTGGGGACAGCAGCTGCCACCCCAGCAGCCAGAGAGCCCATGTCCCCTGCCTGTGCTAGGAGTAGCCAGTGTGTGTTGACCAGAGAGTCCCAGGTGACATTTCCCAGGCCTTAGGTGTGTCTCCCTGACTTTCCTGGAACACTAGAACCAGGCGGCCTTTCGGAGTCATTGCACATGGCCCATTTGCTCTGGTGGTCAGGCATGTTCCGGTGTGGTGGAAGCATGAGGAAGCCCAGACGTGGCTTAGGCTGTGGCAGCCCCTCTTGCTGAGAGCCACATGGCGAGTGGGAGGCAGAGCCCATGAGCGTGTCCCAGAATGTTGGTGGGCAGTGTTCGCTGAGCAGCCACGAAGCGGCCAGGACACGGCTGTCGTTGCTCGTTCTGTTATCAGGGAGTCGTAAAACACGCTGCAGCGAACATCCTCATCCCCAAATCTCTGGCCAGATCCCAGCGCACACTGATTGCCCAGACTGTGTTGGCTGTTTCACGTGACGGTTCCCTGTCCACCTGCCCCAGGTCCCCCAGGCTCTGCTGCTTTCCAGGCGTTTGTCCTCTGGCGCCAGGCAGCGAGCCCCAAGGCCGCATACTGAGCAGCGGGTGCTCTTCTCTCTCTCAGGCCACCCTCATCAACGAGTACTCCTCAGTGGTCCAGCCGGTGCAGCTGGCCTTCCAGCAGCAGATCCAGACCCTCAAGACGCAGCACGAGGAGTTTGTCACCAGCCTGGCCCAGCAGCAGCAGCAGCAGCAACAGCAGCAGCAGCAGCTCCAGATGCCGCAGATGGAGGCTGAAGTCAAGGCCACGCCTCCACCGCCTGCTCCACCCCCGGCCCCAGCACCTGCCCCTGCCATCCCGCCCACCACCCAGCCTGGTACGGGGCTCCCTCAGCTCAGCCTGCCCCCAGGAAACAGCCCCCAGAGGCTGGGCACCGAGTGTAGTCAGAAAGCAGTCTGCCACCCTCAGACTCAGTTCTTGTTCCCTCGTCCCAGGCCTGCTCCTAGGCCCAGGTTTTCATCCATTTACAAGCACGAGCCAGGTGATCCTAGA
Organism: Homo sapiens; assembly: GCF_000001405.40. Classification (NCBI taxonomy): domain Eukaryota; kingdom Metazoa; phylum Chordata; class Mammalia; order Primates; family Hominidae; genus Homo; species Homo sapiens. The sequence goes on along the minus strand of NC_000019.10, from coordinate 16,529,471 downwards.
GTAAAACTACAACCATCCCATTCCTGAACAGCAGAAGATCTGTTTCCTGTTCCCAGAGAAAAGAAATAGAGGAAAGGTACCCAGATCATTCCCCAAGACTAGGGTAACTATTACATCAGGCAGGAAGGACAATGCACAGACTGAAAATATAATTGGCTAGGCATGGTGGCTTACGCTTGTAATCCCAGCACTTTGGGAGGCCAAGATGGGCAGATCGCTTGAGCCCAGGAGTTTGAGATTAGCCTGGGCAACATGGTGAAACCCCGTCTCTACTAAAAATAGAAAAATGGTGCTCACCTGTCGTCCCAGCTACTTGGGGGCTGAGGTGGGAGGATCACTTGAGCCCATGAGATTGAGGCTGCAGTGAGCTGCATTTACACCACTGCACTCCAGCCTGGGTAACAAAGCGAGACCCTGTCTCAGAAAATACAATCTAGTGTCACTTCTGAAAAAGACACGGAAATACTGAAGGAAATCTTAGCAGAATCTAGCAAAGGATTTTGTTTTTGATTTTTTTTTGAGATGGAGTCTTGCTCTGTCGCCCAGGCTGGAGTGCAGTGGCGTGATCTCAGCTCACTGCAAGCTCCGCTTCCTGGGTTCACGCCATTCTCCTACCTCAGCCTCCTGAGTAGCTAGGACTACAGGCGCACGCAACCATGCCCAGCTACTTTTTTGTATTTTTAGTAGAGACGGGGTTTCACCGTGTTAGCCAGGATGGTCTCGATCTCCTGACCTTGGGATCCACCCACCTCAGCCTCCCAAAGTGCTGGGATTACAGGCGTGAGCCACCGCACCCGGCCTAGCAAAGGATTTTAAAATTACATTCTGATCAAAGAAGATTTGTTGTAGGAATATGAGGATTGTATAGAATAGAAAATAACAGATGTGGGGAAATGACCTTTTAATTAGATACAGTAAAGATGTCTAATCAAATTCAGTGTGGATAGAAATTCTTCAGCAAACCAAGAAGGCAGAAGTGAGGCCTGTTTCTTGTAAAGCTTTGAAAAGGACAGATGTGTGTCATGTTCAAGGTCGAAACCTCCCCTCGCCCTGTCCCCTTCCTGGAAGCCAGTGATAGTCATGGTTTTAGTGGGTCCTGAAGCGATCATCCACTGGGCACTAAAAGCGGTAGCCTGGTTTGCTCTGGGGTAGTGTGGAGAGGAGACAGCGCCTCCTGCTGCCAGGCCTGCTCTAACTGCCTGTCACTTGGATTTAGATGACAGCAAGCCTCCCATCCAGATGCCTGGCTCTTCAGAGTACGAAGCTCCAGGAGGGGTCCAGGATCCTGCAGCTGCCGGCCCCCGGGGCCCCGGGCCACACGACCAGATCCCACCAAACAAGCCCCCTTGGTTTGACCAGCCTCACCCCGTGGCTCCTTGGGGCCAGCAGCAGGTATTGATTGGAACCTGGGGTGGGAGCAGATGGGGCACACTTGGCCTGATGGGGTAGCCTCCCCTATGCCAGTTGGTGGGCGTTGAGTGGCTTACTGGGGAACAATGAGGGATATTCTGTGGCAGAGCTTATGCTGGGTTAGTGACAGCCCTGTCTTCCTGTGGCTCCGGGACAGGTCAAGTGACAGGTCTTCACGTCCCTTCCCCGAGCTTTGATGGTTTGGGCTTCTCTGTAGTATAGATCACCATTGTCCTGCGAGTGCAGGGGAGTTTAACGCTGCAAGGCACGGCAGGGTGTTCTGTTTCCTGTCCTCCTTAAACAGGTTAAGCTAGTTGAGTGTCAGTGTTTTGTCATCCTGGAAAGAACAAGGTGCTTTTGTAAGGAAAGGGGGAATGTCAGAAATGTCAGCCGTGTTGCCCCTGGGAGGCCTCAGATGCAGCTTTGCTATGGGTCACATACCCCTGGGCCAAGGCAGGGGCCACCTTATGTGGCACAGCATGGCTGTGAAATGCCCTGCAGCGTGCTGGGTCCACTTTCAGCACTGAGGCACAGCCCCGGGTCTTCCAGGGCGTGACTTTCCCCCTTGCCCGTGGGGCCTGGTTGGCTTCGCAGCGTGGCCTTTCCAGGTGACTCCCTGTCTGCAGGGACAGGTGTAAGGATGGCAAGGAGACTGGCTCTGGACTGAGACTTGGTGGTTGTGGCTTTGAGCCTCCCATCCCCAGCTTCAGGACACGAAATTGAACCTCACAAAAGATTGGACACCCCCATAAAGACAGCTCCCACCTCCAAGTGCTGGCCAGGAGCCAGATGGTGGTGGCTGTTTTGCAGGTACCCTCTGCTGGGGGGGGCAGTTCTTGTCCCTGTTTTGTAGGTGTGGAAACAGGCCCTTAGTGTCTCCAGGCTCAGTCTTTTTGCAGACCAGAGGGTTGGGCTCAGGACAATGGGCACGCCCCTCACTGAGGGTGCCCGCTAGGCCAGCAGTGCATCCTGCAGTCCACACTGAGAAACAGCAGCCTGGCCTGCTTGACTTGGCCATGTGGGGTCTTAACACGTTTAAAAGTAATTTCTCAAGGCAGGAAGATTGCTTGAGGCCAGGAGTTTGGGACCAGCCTGGGCAACAAGGCAAGACTCCATCTCTACAAAGAATAAAAATAAGCTGGCATGGTGGTGCACACCTGTCGTCCCAGCTACACAGTGGTCTGAGGCAGGAAGATTGGTTCAGCCAGGACTTCAGGCTTCATTGAGCTATGGTCATGCCACTGCATTCCAGCCTGGGTGACAGAGTGAGACCTTGTCTCTAAAAAAGAAAAGCAAGGCTGGGCGTGGTGGCTAACGCCTGTAATCCCACACTTTGGGAGGCTGAGGTGGGCAGATCATTTGAGGTCAGGAGTTTGAGACCAGCCTGGCCAACGTGGTGAAACCTCGCCTCTACTAAAGATAAAAAAATAGCCGGGCATGGTGCCAGGCGCCTATAATCCCAGCTACTCGAGAAGCTGAGGCAGGAGAATCACCTGAACCCGGGAGGTGGAAGTTGCAGTGAGCCAAGATCGCGCCACTGCACTCCAGCCTGGGCAACAGAGCGAGACTGTCTCAAATTAAGAAAAAGAAAAACAAGTAGTTCCTGATATTTAATATCTGGCTCTCTGGCTTCTCTTGGAAGCCTGGTGAATGTGGCAGCCTGGGCCAGCCTCCCCTTAGTAGGGGTCAGCGCAGTTACCCAGCTGTGACCCTAGACACCGGCCTTCTCATTGGCCTCTGTGCTCCTCCCCTCCCCTGCCCAAGCTGGAGTTTGCCCTCCTGGCTTTAAGTCTCCAGAGCAGAAGCTGATGAGGGAAGAGCCTCCCGTCTTCAGTCTACAGGAAGATGCTGGCTTGGTTTGAAAGTCCCCAGAAGCAGACCCCAGGACAAGGATGTGTGTGCCGCAGTGTATCTGCCCAGCAGACGGCTTTTGGGGAGAGGGGGAGTGAGGCAGGGCAGGGGGTGTCAGAGTGAGCCCCGCCCCATGGGTGCCTGGGGTGCCCTGAGAAGCGATACCGTCTGTGCCTCTGCACCTGCCCCTGAGGGGCGAGGGAGCTGGCGTTTGTCTGGCAGTGGTAGCGGGGAGCACCTTGTGGCGCGGGCGGCCTGTGTGCGGGTGCAGCGCGCCCCAGCGGCAGAAACAGCCCCGGGACTGAGATGCGGGTGCAGCGGTTGGGTGTCTGGTCATTTTGCAGCAGCATGTGGTGCGGGCTGAGAGCAGGTGCCCAGCATCCTCGCAGGCGTCAGCGTAGGAGGCGCCTCAACGTGGCCAGGGCAGCGCCTCCATGGTCTGAGCCAGCGCTGTGATGCTGCCGAGCGCTGTGATGCTGCCGAGCACTAGGGCCTAGACCACGCAGGGCTCAAGCCTGTCCCTTCCCTTGCAGCCGCCAGAGCAGCCACCCTACCCGCACCACCAGGGCGGCCCACCCCACTGCCCCCCCTGGAACAACAGCCATGAGGGCATGTGGGGCGAGCAGCGCGGTGACCCCGGCTGGAACGGCCAGCGCGACGCGCCCTGGAACAACCAGCCCGACGCCGCCTGGAACAGCCAGTTCGAGGGCCCCTGGAACAGCCAGCACGAGCAGCCGCCCTGGGGCGGGGGCCAGCGCGAGCCACCCTTCCGCATGCAGCGGCCCCCACACTTCCGGGGGCCCTTCCCGCCCCACCAGCAGCACCCGCAGTTCAACCAGCCTCCGCACCCCCACAACTTCAACCGCTTCCCGCCCCGCTTCATGCAGGACGACTTCCCGCCACGGCACCCCTTCGAGCGGCCGCCCTATCCCCACCGCTTCGACTACCCCCAGGGGGACTTCCCTGCCGGTGAGTGTACGGGCGCCTGGGTAGGGCCTGGCGGAGGCATCCACGGCTCGCCTGCCGAGCAGGCTGGTGGCGCTGCTTGTGGCCCTGCCATGCTCCTGAGTGCACAGTGACAGACACAGGGTCATGGGACGTCCGAGGAGCCCGGCCTGGGTTCTCAGGAAGTGGGGGCACAGACTCAGTTTTGCCGCCCTGATGAGGCCCGGCTGGCTGCAGATGAGGCAGAGCCAGTAGGAAAAGGTTCCTGCCGTGGGTGGGCGTGGCGAGGGCAGGGCGGGGCCTCGTTCTTTTTACTGCTGCTGCTTGTTTTTTGCATCAGTTTTCCCGTTGTATTAGTTCGTTTAAAAAATCAATACTTGGCGTGGTGTCGGGCGCCTATGGTCCTAGCTGCTCAGAAGGCTGAGGTTGCGGTGAGCTGTGATCGCACCACTGTACTCCACCCTGGGCGACAGACCGCTGTCTCAAAAAAAAAAAACAAAAAACTACTTTTCTTTTTTAAAAAAATTTTATTTTATTTTAAATAGAGATGGGGTCTTGCTATGTTGGCCAGGCTACTTTCAAACTCCTGAGCTCAAGCAGTCATCCCACCTCAGCCTCTAGAGTAGCTGGGTCTACAGATGTGAGCCACCATGCCTAGTATCTTTGTTATTGATTTTATTTCTAATCTTTTAGTACTTTTTTTTTTTTTTGAGACAGAGTCTCACCCTGTTGCCCAGGCTGGAGTGCAATGGCACAATCTCAGCTCACTGCAACCTCCGCCTCCCAGATTCAGATGATTCTCCTGCCTCAGCCTCCCGAGTAGCTGGGATTACAGGTGTGCGCCACCATGCCTGGCTAATTTTTTGTGTCTTTAGTAGAGACAGGGTTTCACCATGTTGCCCAGGCTGGTCTCGAACTCCTGACCTCAGGTGATCCGCCCGCCTCGGCCTCCCAAAGTGCCGGGATGAAAGGTGTGAGCCACCTCGCTTGGCCTTTTGTTGTTGTTGTTTGTTGTTTTTTTGAGACTGAGCCTCACTGTCACGCAGGCTGGAGTGCAGTGGCACAGTCTCGGCTCACTGCAGCCTCCTCTTGGGTTCAAGTGATTCTTCCACCTTGGCCTCCTCAGTAGCTGGGATTACAGGCATCAGTCACTATGCCCAGCTAATTTTTGTATTTTTAGTAGATGGGGTTTCGCCATGTTGGCCAGGCTGGTCTCAAACTCTGGGCCTCAAGTGATCTACCCGCCTTGGCCTCCCAAAGTGCTGAGATTACAGGCGTGAGCCACCATGCCCAGCCTTCTCTCTTTAAATACATTTCTGATTATAAATGCAGCTTGAAGACCGCTTGGCACATTTATTGCTTTTACTTTTTGGCTTGGGCTGACATGATAAGTCCCACAGCCTGGACGGCTTCAACAGCTGGAATGTATTGTCTTAAGGATCTGGGGGCTGGAGGTCCAAGGTGGAGGTGTGGCGGGTTCAGGTTAGTGTCTTGGAGGCCTGTCTCCTTGGCTCATAGGTGACCGTCTTCTCTCTACATGTCTGTGTCCTAATCTCTTATTATAACGGCAACAGTCACGTTGGATTCGGGCCACTATGGCTTCATTTTAACTCATTTGTGTCTTTGAAGGCTCTGTCTCCAAATACAGTTCCGTCCTGAGCTACTGGGGGCTGGGACCTCAGCGTATGGATTCGGAGGGTCACAACTTAGCCCTCACCGTGCAGTTTTGGGGTTTTGGGGTTCTCTTCTCTCAGCCTCAAGCTCCCTCGGCTGTGCCTATGGGTGCGGGACAGGCCCCTCGGAGCCTGGCTCCTCGGTGCCTTGCTGCCTGGTCTTAAGCAGTGAGAGAAGATGCTGGACAGGCTCCCAGGAGGGGTTCGTCTCCTGGCCCTTCACTGAGCCCCTCCCCTCCAGCACTTGTCGCCTGGGAGATCCTGACTGGCCTGTGGTCCTGAGGCAAGTCTCTGTTTTGCAGAAATGGGGCCCCCTCACCACCACCCTGGCCACCGCATGCCTCATCCTGGCATCAACGAGCACCCGCCTTGGGCTGGACCCCAGCACCCTGACTTCGGCCCTCCCCCCCATGGCTTCAACGGGCAGCCCCCACACATGCGGCGACAGGGCCCACCCCACATCAACCACGATGACCCCAGCCTGGTCCCCAATGTGCCCTACTTCGATCTCCCTGCTGGGCTGATGGCCCCCCTCGTGAAGGTAATGCCCCACAGTGGGCTCCAAGCTGAGCACGCTTACCATACTGGTCCCCGTTTCTCCTTGTGAAAAGTGAATGCACGGGACCGGGTGCCTTCCGGGGCTCCCCTTCATCTCCCACTCCCTAGGGACCCTGATCCGTCAGTGGGAGGTGCCGAACCGGAGTAGCACGGTGTGGCTGTGAGCGACACCATGTCTGCCCTGCCCTGCCCCTCCTATCCCTCCCACCACAGGGAGCTTCAGCCATGTGGGGCTAGCTAGGCTATGAGGCTCGAGTCCTCTCTTCGTCCTTCTTGGTCCAGGGCCTCAGAAGCACCTTGTCCCAGGGCTGCTGATGGAGGGAATGTCTTAGAAGGAGCCACCTGTGAGCTGTGCCTACCAAGCACACAGGGAGGGGGGTGGCCCTGGAGAAGCCGGGCAGGGCTGGCAGCAGCTGGTACCACTGTGGGATGGCCGGAGCATAGGGCAAGAGGTGAGGCAAGAAGGGGCCAGGTCTGGCCAGGCGTAGTGGCTCACACCTGTAATCCCAGCACTTTGGGAGGCCGAGGCGGGCGGATCACGAGGTCAGGAGATCGAGACCATCCTGGCTAACACGGTGAAACCCCGTCTCTATTAAAAAATACAAAAAATTAGCCAGGCGTGGTGGCAGACGCCTGTAGTCCCAGCTGCTCGGGAGGCTGAGGCAGGAGAATGGCATGAACCCGGGAGGCGGAGCTTGCACTGAGCCGAGATCACGCCACTACACTCCAGCCTGGGCGAGAGCAGGACTCCGTCTCAAAAAAAAAAAGGGGGGGTTGGGGAGGCCAGGGCCGGGGCTTGGGGCCTCCAAGGGCATGCTGGCCACTGCCACTTCCCACCCCCTCAGACACATCCACCTGAAGTCCAGGCAGACTTCACGGAGCCATGGGCAGCAGGGAGAGCTGCGGGCGGGGGCCCAGGCAAGCCAGGCAGGGCAGGGCCTCAACAGGAGGACAGAGACGGAGCAGAAGAAGGATACAGGCCAGGGGGCTCCAGGGCCGGGGCTGAGGCTGTTCTGAGCGGGGGCCCAGGGTAGGCATTGCAAGCAAAGGGTGACGTGAGGGGCCCGCTGCATGTCTGAATAAACCAGAGGGTGTTCAGGTCACCTGAGTTTGGAGACCATGTCCCCTGTGGGTGATTTTCTGAAGAGAGAACCCTGTGACTGTCATCAGCCTCAGAGCAGCTATGACCCACCATGGTTGGTGTGGCTGAGGTCCTACAAGAGAGTGGGATCCCCAAGAGGGAAGCATGAGGAGCTCTGGTGCCCAGGGTACCCTTGACACTGAACCTGGGCCCTGCCCTGACCCCACTCCTTGCAGACCCTGGGTGGGCCTGAGAGGGCTCTGCCCAGGCATGGTGACAGCTGGGGTTCTCTGCTGCAGCTGGAAGATCACGAGTACAAGCCTTTGGACCCTAAAGACATCCGCCTCCCACCCCCCATGCCGCCCAGCGAGAGGCTGCTGGCTGCAGTGGAGGCCTTCTACAGCCCCCCGTCCCACGACAGGCCCAGGAACAGGTAAGGGGCCCAGGTCAGTGGGGTGGGCGGGAGGCCTCTGTCCCCTCTCCCGGCTCCCTGCAACCACACCTTCTGTCCAGGCTAGAAAATGTGGCTGTCCCTCAGGAGAAACTGCCCTCCCCCCGCCTGAGTGACAAGTGTGTGTCACAGGCACAGCACACACGTGGCCCTCAATGAAGGGCGTTTTAATGGAGACACATCAGAAGAAGTTAGGGAAGGTGTGGCACGGCGGCACGTCTCAAGCAGCCGGCTGCCACAGGGCCCTCAGCCCACCCTTCCCAGTGGTCACCCCTCCTTCCTGTGCTGGGCTGCAGGCCTGTCCACCCATGAGTCAGTGTTCCTGTTTCCCAGTTCCACAGACCATGGGTCCCCACCACCTCAGCGGAACAGCAGGGTGGCAAGGGCGTGGGCACCAGAGGAGCCACTGGGCTGCAGGAGGACAGCCCTGTGGGAACACTGAACCAAGCTCTACTGCGCCCATGCTCGGAGCCCACAGCCACAGGGCCATGTACTCTCCAAGGTTCTGTGGATTAACTCCTGATGACTTTTTCACGACTTCCTTGTGGGTGGGTGTCACGTGGTCACACACGGAATGCCGTGTCTTACAGTGAAGGCTGGGAGCAGAACGGCCTCTATGAGTTCTTCCGAGCAAAAATGCGGGCCCGGCGGAGGAAAGGCCAGGAGAAGAGGAACAGGTAAAAGCGCAGATGTCTGCAGTGGCCGGGGGGCCAGGGTCCACAGCTTGTGATGGGTGGGAGCAGACCCCAGATACACTCATCACGTCCACCCTCACACAGCCTGTGCCTATGGGGCGGTGTTTTCCACAAGGCCTGAATTCACACAGCAGCAGGCTCGGCCACACTATTTAGGAACTTGGTACCGTTGCTGTGGCTATGGCGCCACATCCACAGCCAGAGCCCCTGCATCTGGGGTGGTCTAGGAACCTGAGGGCCAGGGTGGGCTGGGTGCAGCCCATCCACTGGGGCACCTGATCATCAGGCCTCTCCCCACAGCGGACCCTCGAGGTCTCGGAGCAGATCCAAGAGTCGAGGGCGTTCTTCCTCCCGCTCCAACTCAAGATCCTCCAAGTCTTCAGGCTCGTACTCAAGGTCAAGGTCGCGCTCCTGCTCCCGTTCCTACTCCCGCTCCAGATCTAGGTAGGCAGAGGCTGCCTCAGGGCAGTGCCTGAGGCCTCTTCCTGTGGCCTCCCCACGACGCCTGGCTGCTGCTGACCCTTGGGCACCCTTCCCTGCAGAAGTCGGAGCAGGTCGCGCTCCTCCAGAAGCCGCTCCCGGTCCCAGTCGCGGTCCCGGTCCAAGTCGTACTCCCCAGGAAGAAGACGCCGGTCACGGTCCAGGAGCCCCACCCCGCCGTAAGATCCTGTCTTAAGTGCTGCGCTGGTAACTCTGGGAAGCTGCGGTGCTTTGCTGTGAATGTGGAAACATTGGTGGTTAGGAGACTGTGTTAGGAGGCCGCCAGCATTAGCCCGGGGACAGTGGCACCCCTCACCCTTCACCACAGTAGCCACTTGGCGAAGCCTGAGGCAGTAACTGGGGTCTGCTTTCTAACCACCATCTGGGTTGGAGGTGTCCTGCTCTCAATGCTGAGCGTGGGGTGGGGGCCAGCGTCTGGAGCCCCCTTATCTAGCTGAGACAGGATAAACGGGTAGAGACGCAAAATCTGCATACGGTGTCACCTGGTGACAGTGAGCATGCACGCAAGCTGCGGCTGTGAGGTCCTCATCACTGTCATTCCAATAAATGTCTCAGTTACTTCTTAAAAAGAATAACCTGTCTCGATTTTAGTTCCTCTGCTGGTCTGGGTTCTAATTCGGCGCCTCCCATCCCTGACTCAAGGCTCGGAGAAGAGAACAAAGGCCATCAGATGCTGGTGAAGATGGGTAAGGCGAGGGAATGGGGAGGGCGCGGGATGGGTCCTCACGCGTGCTGGGCCCGGGAGTCACCAGCGCTTTCTCTTCCTCAGTGCATGTGGGGATGGATGGAGTCAGGCCGGTTCTGACTCCACCCAGACCCTCTAGACAGGGCCGGCCTGCGGGTTCTCTCTACCCATTTCCCATGTCTACACTGCCTGTCTGGACATTCAGCCCCCCACGTGCACCCCCATCTGCCTCCGCCTTGTTGTGGTTGTGACTGCGTCTCTGTTTCCAGGCTGGAGCGGCTCAGGCGGCCTCGGTGCGAAGGAGCAAGGGATCCAGGACCCCATCAAGGGCGGGGACGTCCGGGATAAGTGGGACCAGTATAAAGGCGTGGGCGTGGCTCTGGATGACCCCTATGAGAACTACCGCAGGAACAAGAGCTACTCCTTCATCGCCCGCATGAAGGCCAGGGACGAGTGTAAGTAGGCGCCCATGCCGGGAGCCGCGCCGGTGGCCAGCGGTGCCGGCTGTGGGACCTTCCTGGCTGACTGGCAGAGGAAGATTGCAGTGACAGCTCAGTTCTTACACCGTCTCCACTTGTGGAGAGCCACAGGAAGAGAAGGAAGACCAGCGCATGCCCAGTGGGAACGCCGTGCTCCATGGCGTGGAGGGCACGGGTGCCACCCACAAACCACACCAGGAGGCGCTGCAGCCACCAGGGCCCCAGGCTCGTTTTCCTTTATAGCGAAGCAAAAAACACAAGACCCTCCGCCCGAGTAAATTCTTCAGCCACGAAGGGATGGATGTGCATCTGCCCTAAGTCAGATTGAAGCCTCCTCCTAGGCTCCAGGAGGAGCATGTGCAGGAAGGGTTGGCCTGAGCCAGAGCCGGCACCCCAGCTCCTTCCTCCAGCTCCCCGCACCCACCGGCCCTGACCTGGCTTCCCCTCGGCTGTGTAGGGACAAAGCCGAAGCCCAGTGCCATGACTGCCCGCGGATTGAAAAACAGAAACACAAAACTTTGACTTGACTTGCGAAGTGAAGCAGGGTTTTCATTTTTACTCTCCTTGGTTTAGGTCTAGAAAGAAGAATACTGACCTGAGAGGAGGCCCAGTGAGATTCTGAAACCTAATTCTTCGAAGGCGTACTGGCCCTTAGTTCAGTTATTTTAGTTGTATAAGTTGATATTTTTTTTCTGGAATGTAGCCATTTGCTGTTATCTGGGAAACAAGATTCTAACAGGAAACCAGCCTAAGACACTTCAGGTTGAGCGCTGCCTCGGAGTCTGTGCCCGTCGCGTCCCCTGCTTGAGTTTTGCACTTGGAAGAACCCTGCACCGGCTGGCGTGTGCGACGGCCCAGTCCCATCCAGAGCATGGAGCCCGACCCCAGCCAGCGCCTTCCACTCCATCATTTCATTTCACACCCCCGAAGGGAGGGGAGGCCAGGAGGGGAGCTGCTCCTGCCAGAAGCTGGTGGGTGACCGTTGGGAATCGGCCACACCTGGTGTCCATGGGCAGCCTGGTGCAATTCCATTCATTTGTACAGAAACATTTTTGAAAAATTCTTTTCAATAAGATGCAAAATCTTCCAACTTTTCAACCCAACGTGATGAATATTTGATTTTGTTCTAGATTTCCTGTAGCTGTGAATTGTTAAAATGTATGATTCAGGATAAAACGTAAACACGTGCTGTTAGTAATTTCTTGTGGATTTCATTGTTTTGCCTTCAAATAAAGCCTTTTTTTAAAGACCTTTCTCCCGCACATGTGTAAGTCAGAAGTGTGCACGGGCTGAGTGAGGAGACACATGTCCTGGTTTGAGCTGTGCAGCCTGGGGTCAGAGGCCGTGTCCAGGGGCTCACATGGCGTCCCCAGCGTGCTGACCTGGTCCCATGTCCTTACCCTCGAGCAGGGCTTCTCCCATCCACCCTGTCTCCCTCTGGCTCACTGGGATGCCAGGACCTGCCTGGGTGGAGCTGCTCTGCAGAGGCTGGTGGCCCCTGTCCTGCTGTGAGTGGGGACAGCTCCACTGAAATTCTATTTCCACTGGCCTGTGGTGTCATAGAGCTGGGCATGCTGCTGGGAGAGCTGTCACTGAGCTGGGATTTGGCTCAGAGGAGTCTGGGGCCCTCACCGCAGCACCACCTGCCCCACCATGGAATGTCACACCTGGATGCTGACTGTGTGTGTGTGTGTCCATCACCCCAGTACCACCTGCCCCCACCACGGAACGTCACACTTGGACACTGATGAGCTCTATGTTTGTGTGCGTGTGTGTGCACTGAGTACACAGGACGGGATACCTTTTGTTAAGACGTCACGTCAAGCTCCACCTGCTGGCGCTCACAGCTCCTTGTTCACCTCCTCCAGGGCATCCTCCATGGTCAGTGGGGCAGGTCTGTGGCACCTAATGTACTGTCAGGCAGAGAACAGACCACGCCATCACCATCGTCACCTCAGTACACTCTGAGACAGGGTGCTGGAGGAGGGAGTGGAGCCAGCACCTGTCCCCAGCAGGCTCCTGTCAGTGACAGAAGTGTAAAACCACAGGATGTGTGTGACAGGTTGGCGCACGGGGCTGTGGGAACACAGGGTAGAGGGTCAGCCCTGCGAGGGGTGAGCCCTGACAGAGAAAGGGAGGGGTGCCTGTGAGTGCCCTTGGAGTGGCTGAGATCAGGGAGAAGCGCCTGGAGCAAGCAGCTGGGAGCTATGGTGGGCTGCAGCCAGGTGGCACAGTCAGATGGCTTCTGCCTGCATCGGATGGGCTGATGGACGCCCAACAGAGGCATGAGTTCAAAGCCCCCAGAGGGCTGCAATGAGCAAAGTTGACATTGTAGAGACCCGTGGGACTCACAACCTGCCCTCTTCAGCAGATAAACCACAAGGAAACGAGAGGCCTGGCATGCAGGGGACTCGGCACAGTTCCAAAGCAGCGTCCCGGGGCATGTGGGAGAAACGCCTAGCTCCAGGCCCACCCCGCCTGCTTGCGGGCCCAGCATCGCTTTCACAGGGCTTCCAGGGGATCCCCAACCGCTCAGCATTGAGAACCGGTCGCTGCTCTAGATTAAGAGGCTCAAAGGACATATCGGATAGTATGGACTTTGGATCCGAATTACCAAATCGGAACAAAACACACAACTTTAAATCAGACAAGCAGAAATCTCAACACTGGATATTCCTTGATACTTAGTAAATTTGGTTTGTGTATTATTGCATTATGGTTGTTTGTTTGAGACAGAGTCCCGCTTTCTCCCTCACTACAGCCTCAACCTCCCCAGCTCAAGTGATCCTCCCACCTCAGCCTCCCAGAGAGCTGGGACTACGGGCACACACCACTATGCTAAACTTAAACTAGTTTTCTTGTATTTTTTAATAGAGATGGAGTCTTGCTATGTTGCCCAGGCTGGTCATGAACTCCTGGGCTCAAGCGACCCACCCTGCCTCAGCTTCCCAAAGTGCTGGGATTACAGGAATGAACCACCACACCTGGCTTTAACATCACTTTTTAGAAATAAACACTGAAAAATTTGTTATGTAAAATGTTTAAAGCAGGGGGCGGTGGCTCACGCCTATAATCCCAGCACTTTGGGAGGCCGAGGCAGGTGGATCACCTGTGGTCGGGAGTTCAAGACCAGCCTGACCAACATGGAGAAACCCTGTCTCTACTAAAGATATGAAAAATTAGCTGGGCATGGTGGTTCGCACCTGTAATCACAGCTACTCAGGAAGGTGAGGTAAGAGAATCACTTGAACCCAGGAGGCGGAGGTTGCAGTGAGCTGAGATTGCACCATTGCACCCCAGCCTGGGCAACAAGAGTGAAACTCAGTCTCAAAAGAAAAAAAAAAGTTTATGAATAGATCACCATAAAGGACTGCATATAGTATAATGCCATTTCTATAAAGAAATACGTGGCCAGGCATGGTGGCTCGCACCTGTAATCCCAAAAATTAGCTGGGCATGGTGGCAGGCACCTGTAATCCCAGCTACTTGAGAGGCTGAGGTAGAAGAATCGCTTGATCCCAGGAAGCGAAGGCTGCAGTGAGCTGAGATCACACCACTGCATTCCAGCCTGGGCAACAAGAGCAAAACTCCGTCAAAAAAAAATTTTAAAAAAAAGAAATACGCATACTATGGTTCATACAAGAGTCTGAAGGAGTATATATATCAGCTTGGTAATAGTTACCTCTGAAATTAAGGAGAACTTGCAGGTTACACATCTCTGCAACAAGATTTTCAGAAAACAGCCACGTAATTTTTGGTAATCAGATTTTAAAAAGTTTTTTTGAGACGGAGTCTTGCTCGTCACCCGAGCTGGAGTGCAGTGGCACGATCTCAGCTCACTACAACCTCCACCTCCCAGGTTCAAGCGACTCTCCTGCCTCAGCCTCCTGAGTAGCTGGGACTACAGGCGCCCGTCACCATCCTGGCTAATTTTTGTATTTTTAGTAGAGATGGGGCTTCACCACGTTGGCCGGGCTGGTCTCAAACGCCTGACCTCAAGTGATCCACCCATCACAGCCTCCCAAAGCACCAGGTGTGAGCCACGGCACCTGGCTGGTAATCAGATAAAAATTCTTAGAGGGTAAAAAAAGAGGTGAGGGTGATTGCTGAGGAGAACAGCTGGGCCGCCTCTGGCCCCATCTCGGGGATGTCTCAGGAGGCTCAGGGAAAGGGACAGGACCCCTCCCATGGGAGAAAACAGTGCCACGAACAGTAGGTCCCTTTAGTCTGAGGTCACACAGCCCAGGCGGGGCTGGCTGCAAGGTGCAGGAGCTCAGCACCCCACCCTGTACCAGCTTTTGCCACAGGGTGGCAGGAAATGAGGCTCCCTCCACAGGGACAGGTGATGGCCCCACTGCATCCCTGCAGCCCTGGGCTGAGCGCTGGAGCCCAGGCCCCGGCCCATATCCCTTCGGCCCGGCCTCTGGGAGCTGCCGCTCCCCTACTGCCCTGCCCCTGCCCATGGGGAGCTGCGCTCACCTCTTTGGCTTCCTCCAGGGTGTGGTAGTGGAAGGAGTCCGCGTCCAGGGAGCGCAGGAGGGAGGCGTGCAGGTGCCGGCTGGCCTGGATGAACTGCTGCGTCAGGCTCAGCTGCTGCTTCAGCACATCATGGAGTGCCAGCACGGCCGGGCTGTAAGCGGTCAGGGCTGACCCAGCTCCGCGTTACTCGGTGGCTTCGCTGGGGCCCCACAAATTCTGCAGCCCCCCCCCCACCGCTCAGGTGCCAGGCTGCTCTCTGAAATCTTTTTTTTTTTTTCTGGAGACAGGGTCTCGCTCTGCCACCCAGGCTGGAGTACAGCGGTGCCATCACAGCGCACTGCAGCCTCGAACTCCTGGGTTTAAGCAACAGTGGCTCACACCTGTAATCCTAGCACTTTGGAAGGCTGAGGCAGGCGGATCACAAGATCAGGAGTTCGAGATCAGGAGTTTGAGACCAGCCTGGCCAACATAGTGAAACCCCATCTCTACTAAAAAAACAAAAAAAAAAATTAGCCAGGTGTAGTGGCAGACACCTGTAGTCCCAGCTACTTGGGAGGCTGAGGCAGGAGAATCGCTTGAACCTGGGAGGCAGATGTTGCAGTGAGCCAAGATCACACCACTGCACTCCAGCCTGGGTGACAGGGCAAGACTCCGTCTCAAAAAAAAAAAATTAAAAAATTGAAAAGGGAAAAAAATAGTAGGTACCAGATGGACCCCTACGTGTATCACAAGCCTTTATTGGCTCCACTGGACTCGACAAAGACTAAACTCTCTAAGATGGCTGCTGGGGCCCCTCCCTCATGCCTCAGGCTGGACTGGAGCCTTTGTGAGGGCCACACAGACTCAGCCCAGGAGGCAAGGGAATGTCTACCCAGGCTGTGCAACTCAGCATCAGTCAAATACATGTCTTCAGGGGAAATAAACTATGGCTTATTGATGTAATGCCACCAAGGGGAACATACAAAACAAAAGTGGTCTTGTGCCAGGCAGGGCGGCTCAGGCCTGTGATCCCAGAACTTTGGGAGACCGAGGTGGGCAGATCATTTGAGGTCAGGAGTTCGAGACCAGCCTGGCCAACATGGAGAAACCCTGTCTGTACTAAAAATACAAAAATTAGCCGGGCGTGGTGGCAGGTGCCTGTAATCCCAGCTACTCGGGAGGCTGAGGCAGGAGAATCGCTTGAACCCAGGAGGCAGAGGTCCCAGTGAGTGGAGATCGCGCCACTGCACTCCAGCCCGGGCAACAGAGCGAGACTGTCTCAAAACGAACAAACAAAAAAAGTGGCCTTGTTGGGGTGCAGGGCACAGAAGCATCACTCTTCACCCTCTTGTTTTGTGTGACATTGGTGTCTCTTTGCAAGAGACAGAAGGTTCAAGGGCATCCACACCTTTTCTCTCCTCATGGCAGGTGCCTGTGGCTGCAATAATCCCTGCCCAATGGACCCCTGGAAGCCAGCATGCAAGGGGTGCCACACCTCCAGAGTGGGTGTGAATCTGCAGGTGAAATGAGTCCTGTAAAATGTGACAGGAAGGATCCCCCGAGCCGGGCTGTTACCTTCTATTGCATCTGCACTGATAACATGATTGGCGATGGGTGTCGGGTCCACGTAGGCGCCTCCCAGGGCAGGCCCCATGGCTGCCATGCTGGCCACTATCTCGGGGACAAAGAGAGGGGTAAGCAGGCAGGACGCAGAGAAATGACTTTCGGGTCCACAGATACGACCCTGGAATAAACTACGTGACCTTGTTCTTCCCTCTTTCTGAAGGTGATCGCCACTCTTGCATTTTTTTTTTTTTTTTTTGGTTTGAGACAGGGTCTTGCTCTATTGCCCAGTCTGGAGTGCACGGCATGATCACAGCTCACTACAGCCTCCTGGGCTCACGTAATCCTCCCATCTGTCTCCCAAGTAGCTGGGACTACAGGTGCGCCACCACGCCTGGCTAATTTTTAAAATTTTTTGTAGAGACAGGGTCTCCCTATGTTGCCCAGGCTGGTCTTGAACTCCTAGGCTCAAGCAATCCTCCTGCCTCAGCCTCTGAAAGTGCTGAGGTGTAAGCCACCGCACCCGGCCCTTCTTTACTTTTTTTTACCCTCTTCCCCTTTCAAGTATTTCCCAAGGCTGCCTCCATTTTTCTGCTAGGTTTTCTTGGCTCAAGGCACGGGTATCCTAGCTGGGTGCAGCGGTGGCTCCGGCTCACGGTGGCTGCAGTCGAGAGCAGTGGAGGATGTGCTTTCCCAGCCCTTCTTCTAAGGGTCACTGTTGACCTCAGGATGTTGCGTGTTCTCTGGGCTCTGAGGCCAGCGTGTTTATGGCTGCTGTTTTTTCTTTCTCCTTTCCCTGTCAGTCCTAGTCTAGGAAAACAGCCTCGCCAGTGTTTCATGAAAGCATCCCTAAATTGCCAAAAATATGGACAGAAGTGCAGAGAGACACAAACAATTCTGAGCCCAGATCCCAGGTTGAAAATACCATTTAACACCTCCAAGGTGATTTGACTCAGTCCATGTGATTGACTTTCCCTCCTGAGAAACAGACACCACTCACCCTCTCCTGGGGGGCCCGTCAGGCTGATGTTAGGTTAAGCCCCCAAATCAAAACAAATAGATCCAGTGAGAATTACATTGCCTTTTTTTTTTTTTTTTTTTTTTTTTGAGACAGAGTCTCACTCTGTCGCCCAGGCTGGGGTGCTATGGCACGATCTCAGCTCACTGCAACCTCCACCTTCTGGTTTCAAGCGATTCTTGTGCCTCGGCCTCCCGAGTAGCTAGGACTACAGATGCGTGCCACCACACCAGGCTAATTTTTGTATTTTTAGTAGAGACGGGGTTTCACCATATTGGCCAGGCTGGGAACTACATCATTTTTCACATCCAGTCTACCTTGTCAAGAGCCATATGGATGAGAAAAGAGATATTAAAAGGGAATGTTTATTAGCCAGGCGCCTCTAGTCCCAGCTATTGGGGAGGCTGAGGTGGGAGAATCGCTGAAACCCAGGAGGTGGAGGAGGCAGTGGGCCGAGATTGTGCCACCGCACTCCAGCCTGGGCAACAGAGCGAGACCCCATCTCATAAAATAAAATTATATAAAATAAAATAATAACATGGGAATGTTTAAAAGAATGGGGCCTTTCCACCAGCAAGAGCCGAGACTGAAGCTGGGAATGAGAGAAATGCCCGAAGGCCAGGCATGGTGGCTCATGCCTGTAGTCCCAGCACCTTGGGGGGCCAACATGAGCAGGTGGAAGGATCACTTGAGCCCAGGAGTTCAAGACCAGGCTGGGGAACATAGGGAGACCCTGTCTCTACAAAGAACATTTTAAAATTATACAGGGGGCCAGGTGCGGTGGCTCACACCTATAATCCCAGCACTTTGAGAGGCCGAGGCAGGCAGATCACGAGGTCAGGAATTTGAGACCAGCCTGGCCAGCATGGTGAAACCCCATCTCTACTAAAAATACAAAAATTATCTGGGCGTGGTGGCACATACCTGTAATCCCAGCTATTCAGGAGGCTGAGGCAGGAGAATCGCTTGAACCCAGGAGGTGGAGGTTGCAGTAAGCCAAGATCGCACCACTACACTCCAGCCTGGGCAAGAGAGTGAGACTCCATCTCAAAAAAAAAAAAGATACAGGGCCGGGTGCAGTGGCTCACGCCTGTAATCCCAACACTTTGGGAGGCTAAGGCTGACAGATTGCTTGAGCCCACGAGTTTGAGACCAGGCTGGGCAATATGGCAAGACCCTGTCTCTACAAAAAATATAAAAATTAGCCAGGCATGGGGGCGCATGCTTGTAATCCTACTACTCAGGAGGCTGAGGTAGGAGGATCACCTGAGCCTAGGGAGGTTGAGGCTGCAGTGAGCTATGATTGGGTCACTGTACTCCAGCTTGGGCAACATAGCAAGACCCCATCTCTAAAAACAGAGTGAGAGAGAGAGAGAGAAATATCTGGAAAGTCACCCAGGGTGTTCATTCTCCAGGACAAAGGCATCCTGTGCACTGCGGGGTGTGGAATAGCACCCCTGGCCTCCACCCAGCAGATGCCGATAGCATTCCCCACCCTGAGTTGTGACAACTAATAATGTCTCCAGACCTTGCTGGAGTCCCCCCGTGAATCATCCTGTGGGAGGTGCTACCCTAGTCCTTGGTTCTGATCCTTCTGAATGCTTCAGGGCTAGGAAGACATCGGGACACACGAGGGCGGCTGTCCCTCGTCCATGGAAGAGGAAATGGTGAGCCAAGGTCCCTAGGTGACTTTTATTTTTTTTGAGACAGAGTCTCATTCTGTCACCCAGGCTGGAGTGCAGGGGCATCATCTCAGCTCACTGCAACCTCCACCTCCCGGGTTCTTCTCAAGCCTCAGCTTCCTGAGTAGCTGGGATTACAGGAACACACCACCACAGCCAGCTAATTTTTGTATTTTTAGTAGAGATGAGGGTTCCCTGTGTTGGCCAGACTGGTCTTGAACTCCTGACCTCAAGTGATCCTCCCGCCTCGGCCTCCCAAAGTGCTGGGATTACAGGCGTGAGCCACCTTGCTTGGCCAACCCCTCCAGGTGATTAATAACAAGAGCCCAAATCTCAGGAACCTGAGCTCTCCCACGTGTCTCCCAGGATGCTGTAAACCACACGCTGAGCTCCTGTCCCGGCTGCCCCGGCCCCCACGGGCCCCAAGGCTTACCCTTGGTCCACTCGTAGGTGAAGGCAGGATCTGGCGTCTGCACAGCTGTGTCCTTCACAAGCACTCTTGTCACGTGCCTGCCCGACTTTTTCCTAGACTCGGCTGTTTGTGGAAGGTCTGTCTTCACACTTGAAGAGGATTCAGACAAAGCGTCCAGTGTTCTGTCAAGAGACTCCTTGGAATGGGCGGTTGGCTCAGATGCTGTCAGACTTGGAGAGTTTTCAAAATCCTCCGAATAAGCTGAGCTGACTGTGTTCACCATGGGGGCTTCAGATGGTGGCTGCATGCTGGAAGTGCTGTCCTGCTGGATGGCAGAAGCCGAGCTGGCACTGAGATGCTCCGAGACCTCGCTCTCATCCCCCTCTGCAGAGGCGGCCTTTCCCTGTGATGCCCAGCTCCTCGCCTGGGCCTGCCTCGGGGCATCCTGCCCAGTGGACGCCTCGGCTCTGAAGATTTTGCCAGCTGTTTTTTGTCTCTGAGCACTTTCCTCCTAAAATGAAGAATGGCAGAGGTGGCTGGGAAGTGTTTTGGAAATATCAACATGCTAGGAACACTGCACTCCTAGGAGCTGGGGACCTGCAGCACTCCCGCAGACAAGGGGACACACCAGGTCCTCATTAGATGTGGGCACGGAGTATTCTAAACAGAACTGTGGCGTCTTCAGTACGGCATGTCCACGGGGCTGCAGGAATCCTGATGGTGTGACGCATGCTTAGGTGGCACGTGGATGGCATTTAACATTTCATCATGGACTTAAGGACTTTAGGTGGTTGAGGCGGTAGGATCCTTTGAGCTCAGGAGTTCAAGACCTGCCTGGGCAACACAGCAAGACCCTACCTCTATAAGAAAAAAAAAATTAAAAAATTTTCAGCCGGGCACAGTGGCTCATGCCTATAATCCCAGCACTTTGGGAGGCCAAGGCGGGCAGATCACCTGAGGTTGGGAGTTTGAAACCAGCCTGACCAACATGGAGAAACCCCGTCTCTACCAAAAATACAAAATTAGCCAGACATGGTGGCACGTATCTGTAATCCCAGCTACTCAGCAGGCTAAGGCAGGAGAATCACTTGAACCCAGGAGGCAGAGGTTATGGTGAGCTGAGATCACACCATTGCACTCCGGCCTGGGCAACAAGAGCAAAACTCTGTCTCAAAAAAAAAACATTTCATCATGGACTGATGAAATGTTAGGTGGCTGAGGCGGCAGGATCCTTTGAGCTCAGGAGTTCAAGACCTGCCTGGGAGACATAGCAAGACCCTACCTCTGTAAGAAAAAAAATATTTTAAAAATTAAGTTTCATCATGCCTGGGGGCAATGGCTCACACCTGTAATCTCGGCACTTTGAAAGGCCGAGGCAGGAGGATTGCTTGAAGCTGGGAGTTCAAGACCAGCCTGGACAACCCAGCCGGTCCATATCTCTACAAAAAAATAAAAAATTAGCCAGGCATGGGTGCACGCTTGTAGTCTCAGCTACTCAGGAGGCTGGGCAGGATTGCTTGAGCCTAGGACATCGAGGATGAAGTGAGCCATGATCCCCCAACTGCATTCCAGCCTGAGTGAGACCTGTCTCAAAAATAAATAAATTGGGCCAGGCATGGTGGCGCATGCCTGTAATCCCAGCACTTTGAGAGGCCAAGGTGGGTGAATCACCTGAGGTCAGGAGTTGGAGACCAGCCTGGCCAACATGGTGAAACTATCTCTACTAAAAATACAAAAATTAGTGGGGTAGGGTGGCGGGTGCCTGTAATCCCAGCTACTCAGGAGGCTGAGGCACAAGAATTGCTTGAAACCAGGAGGTGGAGGTTGCAGTGAGCTGAGATTGTGCCACTGTAGTCCCAGCCTGGGCGACAGAGCGAGACTGTGTCTCAAAAAAATAATAATTAAGGCCGGGCGTGGTGGCTCACGCCTGTAATCCCAGCACTCTGGGAGGCCGAGGCGGGCGGATCACGAGGTCAGGAGATCGAGACTATCCTGGCTAACACGGTGAAACCCCATCTCTACTAAAAATACAAAAAAAATTATCCGGGCCTGGTGGTGGGCGCCTATAGTCCCAGCTGCTCGGGAGGCTGAGGCAGGAGAATGGTGTGAACCCAGGAGGCGGAGCTTGCAGTGAGCTGAGATCACACCACTGCACTCCAGCCTGGGCAGCAGAGCGAGACTCTGTCTCAAAATAATAATAATAATAATAATAATAATAGGCCAGGCGCAGTGGCTCATGCCTGTAATCCCAGCACTTTGGGGGGCCAAGGCAGGTGGATCACTTGCAGTCAGGAGTTCGAAACCAGCCTGGCCAACATGGTGAAACCCCGTCTCTACTAAAATATACAAAAATTAGCTGGGCATGGTGGCAGGGGACTTAATCCCAGCTACTTGGGAGGCAGAGGCAGGAGAATCGTTTGAACCCGGGAGGTGGAGGTTGCAGTGAGCCGAGATCGAGCCATTGCACTCAAACCTGGGGGATAAGAACAAGACTTCTCTCAAAAAAAAAAAAAAAGTTTAAAATAAAAAATAATAATAATAATAAAATAAAAACAATAAATATTTTAAAATAAAAATAAAATGTCATCACTGTGTATAACCAACACGTGTATCTGACAGTGCCGGTGGCCACCAGGACAAAAATCACAACAGGGAGTGTGACTGGATACGGCTGGTGAAGTGTTGCCTCCGTGCAGATGTTGTCATGGGCGGCTTTACGTGGGATGTGCTTTAATCACCAGCTAACCAAGGTAGCTTCATCCTGTTAGCACCTAAATCAGGGTCTCTCACCTACTGCACTCTTGACATCAGAGGCCACAACATTCTTGGCAGCTGGGGGCCACCCGGTGCATTACACAATATGGAGCAGTGTTCCTGGCCTCCACCCACTCACAATGCCAGTGGCATCTGTCACCCACCCCCTAGTCATGACAGCCAAAATGTCACCAGACATTGCCAATGTCCCCTGGGGGGCAGATTTGAAAACTATAGGCCTAAATGAAACATTACTTGCTTTTCCACATAAGAATCGACATTGGGCCAGGCATGGTCGCTCACACCTGTAATCCCAGCACTTTGGGAGGCTGAATCGGGAGGATTGCTTGAGCCCAGTTTGAGGACGGCCTGGGCAACATAGTGAGACCCTGCCTCAATTTTTAAATTTTTTAAAAATTTAAAAAAAAAAATGTTGAAGCCAAAAACAATCGACCATGAAAAATGACTTTGTTGTACTTACTTCCTGTTCCAAATCGGAGTTCTCACTGACAGCTGGAGCCAGACCGTCAAGCGATAAAATATTTATTCTAAACTCTGTAATTAAAAAATGAGTATAAGCGTTTACATTTACTCTCTTATTTACTCCATAAATTTTTACAAACCTTCCAAATTTCTTTTTTCTTTTCTTTTCTTTTTTTTTTTGAGATAGAGTCTCACTCTGTCACCCAGGCTGGAGTGCAGTGGCACGATCTTGGCTCACCACAACTTCTGCCTCCCAAGTTCAAGTGATTCTCTCACCTCAGCCTCCTGAGTAGCTGGGATTACAGGTGCCTGACACCTCGCCCGGCTAATTTTTCTATTTTTAGTACAGACAAGATTTCACCATTTGGCCAGGCTGGTCTTGAATTCCTGGCCTCAAGTGATTCACCTGCCTCGGCCTCCCAAAGTGCTGGGTTTACAGGTGTGAGCCACCGCAGCCAGCCTAATCTCCCACAAATGTTTAGAAAGATATGAAGACATGGCCAGGCGCGGTGACTCACGCCTGTAATCCCAACACTTTGGGAGGCCGAGGCGGGCAGATCACAAGGTCAGGAGATCGAGACCATCCTGGCTAACACAATGAAACCCTGTCTCTACTAAAAATACAAAAAATTAGCCAGGCGTGGTGGCGGGTGCCTGTAGTCCCAGCTACTCAGGAGGCTGAGGCCGGAGAATCTCTTGAGACCAGTTCAAAGCTGCAGTGAACTATGATCACACCACTGCACTCCAGCCTGGAGCATAGAGAGACCCTGTCTCTAAAAAATAATAATAATCATCGGGCATGGTGGCTCACGCCTGTAATCCCAGCACTTTGGGAGGCCGAGATGGGCAGATCAACTGAGGCCAGGAGTTCAACACCAGCCTGGTCAACATGGTGAAACCCGATCTCTATTAAAAATACAAAAATTAGCCAAGTGTGATGGCACGTGCCTGTAGTCCCAGCCACTCAGGAGGCTGAGGCAGGAAAATCGCTTGAACCCGGAGTTGGAGGTTGCAGTGAGCCAAGATCATGCCACTGCACTCCAGCCCGGGTGACAGAGCAAGGCTCCGTCTCAAAAATAATTATCATAACAAATAATGATAATAATAATGATAAAAAATAAAAGGCTAGCTGGGAAATTTCCAGCTTTTGGGGACAGACTGACTCAGCTCCAATGTCATAGTGTGAAAGCAGCCATAGACAATGTGTAAAGGAAGGAGCGTGGCTGCCTTCTGAGAAAGCTTTATAAAGACAGAAGACAGGCTTGGTGCAGTGGCTCATGCCTGTAATCCCAGCACTTTGGGAGGCCGAGGCAGGTGGATCACCTCAGGTCAGGAGTCGAAGACCAGCCTGGCCAACATGTTGAAATCCCGTCTCTACTAAAAATAGAAAAATTAGCTGGGCGTGGTGGCAAGAGCCTGTAATCCCAGCTACTCGAGAGGCTGAGGCAGAAGAATTGCTTGAATCTCGGAGGCGGAAGTTGCAGTGAGCCAAGATCACGCCATTGCACTCCAGCCTGGGCAACAAGGGCAAAACTCTGTCAAAAAAAAAACAGACAGAAGACAGGGCCGGGCACAGTGGCTCATGCCTGTAATCCCAGCACTTTGGGAGGCTGAGGAGAACAGATCACAAGGTCAGGAGTTCAAGACCAGCCTGACCACCAGGTACGGTGGCTCACGCCTGTAATCCTAGCACTTTGGGAGGCGGAGGCAGGCGGATCACAAGGTCAAGAGATCGAGACCATCCTGGCCAACATGGTGAAACCCTGTCTCTATTAAAAGTATAAAAATTAGCTGGGCGTGGTGGTGGGCACCTGTAGTCCCAGCTACTTGGGAGGCTGAGGCAGGAGAATCGCTTGAACCCAGGAGGCGGAGGTTACAGTGAGCCGAGATCACGCCATTGCACTCCAGCCTGGGTGACAGAGCGAGATGTCATCTCAAAAAAAAAAAAAGACCAGCCTCACCAACATGGTGAAACCCCGTCCCGTCTCCACTAAAAATACAAAAAATTAGCCAGGCATGGTGGCGTGCGCCTATAGTCCCAGCTACTTGGGAAGCTGAGACAGGAGCATCACTTGAACCTGGGAGGCAGAGATTACAGTGAGCTGAGATCACGCCACTGCACCCCAGCCTGGGCAACATCTCAAAAAAACAAACAAACAAAAAAAAAAACAGACAGAAGACAGGCCTGCTAGCCCCTGGTCTAGACAGATTAGCAGCTGATCAGAGTGTACTGTTGGAAGTTGCTGAGAAGTACGTGTGTGGTGTAAGGGGTGGGAGGTGGCAGGGCAGCCAGCCAGCTGGGGGGAAAGAGTGGGAAGACTGTGGAGCAGGGGCAGACCTGAGACATGGCCCCAAAGCATCCTATGTTGTCATTTACAGCAAGTTAATAGACTGTGAGTTCTGAAAAAAAGAGTTCTAAAAAACAAAAAAATAGTACAGCAAGTCAAAGGCACCACAGAACCTTAGGGTGGAGGCCAGTGCCTGAACCAAGTGTGTGCCGGGACCCAGGAGTGTGGGGTTCTCTGTGGAGATTCTGGTGCCCCAACAGGTTTTTGGGTTTAAAAAAATTTTTTTTTAGAGATGGAGTCTTGCTCTGTCACCCAGGCTGGAGTGCAGTGGTGTGTTCATAGCTCACCGCAGCCTCCAATTCCCAGGCAGGCTCCAATTCTCAGGCTCAAACGATCCTCCTGCCTCAGCCTCCCCAGCAGCTGGGACTACAGGTGCGCACAACCACACCCAGTTAATTTTTGTATTTTTTGTAAAAACAGGGTTTCACCATGTTGCCAGGCTGGTCTCAAACTCCTCCTGCCTAGGCTTTCCAAAGCACTGGGATTGCAGGCGTGAGCCACCAGGCCTAGCCTCCAACAGCTTCCAACAGGTTTAAATTGACTCAAGAGATGAGTTGGTAAGCCAGGTGTAGTGGCTCACACTTGTAATCCCAGCACTTTGGGAGGCCAAGGCAGGCAGATCACCTAAGGCCAGGAACTCAAGATCAGCCTGGACAACATGGTGAAACCTGGTCTCCACAAAGAGTACAAAAATTAGCCCGGTGTGGTGGCACACGCTTGTGGTCCCAGCTGGTCAGGAGGCTGAGGCAGGCGGATTGCTTGAGCCTGGGAGGTTGAGGCTGTAGTGAACCCTGATCATGCCCACTACACTCCAGCCTGAGCGACAGAGCAAGACCCTGTCTCAGAATTAAATAAATAAATAAAGATAGCACAAAAATCGGACTTGGCCCCTCAACCAGACAAGAAAGTTAGAAAGCTGAGTGTGAGATGCGACTCAAAACTCCCTGCCTGTGGCAATGCCCCATGACCACTGCGTCAGGGACTCTAAAGGTGGCCCCACCCTTCCTGCCCAAGGTACTGGCTTTGCACCGGGACTGGGATTACCGTCGAGGCTGTCATCAGCACCTTCTGAGACTGGCTCGTCCACAGTCTCAGCCTCACTCCTTCCCGGGGAGGACACAAGCTTGACATGCCCCATCTTTAAAGACACTGAGTTTGAAAAGGCGCCTGTGATGGAAACTGACGGCGTGTGGGAGGCGGTGTCACTGGAAACGTGACTCTGTGGGTAGTCTGCTCTTGAGCGAGTGCTGTGAAGGGTTCTGTCTGCTGCCAGGGAGGTTGGCAGGTGTGATGTCTGAGAAGGCTTTGCGCTGGAGAGTTCCACGCTGGGTACAGTAAATGCTCTCAGTTGAGATGGGACCTGATATAAAACACTTGAAATTAACAAACTTATGACAACTAAGGTTTTTTGTTTTTTTGTTTTTTGTTTTTTTTTTTTGAGAAAGGGTCTCACTCTGTTGCCTAGGCTGGAGGGCAGTGGCTCAATAGCTCACTGTAGCCTCGACATCCTGGGCTCAAGCAATCCTCTCACCTCAGCCTCCCAAGCAGCTAGGACTACAAGTATGTGCCACCACACCTGGCTAATTTTTTTTTTTTTTTTGTAGGAATGGGTTTTGCCATGTTGCCCAGACTGGCCTTGACCACAGCTGAAGCAATCTACCCACCTAAGCTTTCCAAAACCCTGGGATTACAGGTGTGAGCCACCATACCTGGCTGATACCTAAAAGTTCTTATGGTTAAACAGACAGTGCAATTAGCGGGGAGCATGAGACCAAGACCACAGGTATCACATTTTTCTCTTACTGCATCCCCTTTCTCTCTTCATTTCTGAAAGTCACAGTACAATATTTAGGTAAGATAATGTTGGGAGTAGAAAATAATTCCACAAGGCTGGGCGTGGTGGCTCACGCCTGTAAATCCCGGCACTTTGGGAGGCCGAGGCGGGCAGATCATGAGGTCAAGCGATCGAGACCATCACGGCCAACAGGATGAAACCCCATCTCTACTAAAAATACAAAAATTAGCTGGGCGTGGTGGTATGCTCCTGTAATCCCAGCTACTCGGGAGGCTGAGGCAAAAGAATTGCTTGAACCCAGGAGGCAGAAGTTGCAGTGAGCCGAGATCAGGCCACTGCACTCCAGCCTGGTGACAGAATGAGACTCCATCTCAAAAAAAAAAAAAAAAAAAAGGAAAGAAAGAAAATATTCCACAAATAGGCCACGCACACTGGCTCACACCTGTAATCCCAGCACTTTGGGAGGCTGAGGTAGGCAAATCACCTGAGGTCAGGAGTTGGAGACCAGCCTGATCAACATGGAGAAACCCTGTCTCTACTAAAAATACAAAATCAGCCGGGCATGGTGGTGCATGCTTGTAATCCCAGATACTCAGGAAGGCTGAGGCAGGAGAATCACTTGAACCTGGGAGGTGGAGGTTGCGGTGAGCTGAGATCACGCCACTGCACTCTAGCCTGGGCAACAAGAACGAAACTTGGTCTCAAAAAAAAAAAAAATACAAAAAAGTAGCCAGTCACCGGCCGGGCATGGTGGCTCATGCCTGTAATCCCAGCACTTTGGGAGGCTGAGGCGGGCAGATCACCTGAGATCGGAAGTTCAACACCAGCCTGACCAACATGGAGAAACCCCATCTCTACTAAACACATAAAATTAGCTGGGCGTGGTGGTGCATGCCTGTAATTCCAGCTACTCGGGAGGCTGAGGCAGGAGAATCACTTGAATCTAGGAGTGGAGGTTGCGGTGAGCAGAGATCGTGCCATTGCACTCCAGCCTGGGCAACAAGAGCAAAACTCCATCTCAAAAAAAAAATTAAATTAAATAAATTAAAATAAATTTACCAAAAAAAAAAAATCTCACCGAAAATAGTTTTCTTTCTTCTTCCTCGCTGACGTTAGCGCTGCTGAAGCCTTGATTCGTGTTTTTTTCTCTAGAAGAGTCCATCAAGCTTCCTAGCAATACTTTCATTTCTTCTTCGTCACTGTCTGGAGAATCAAATGTTCTAGCAGGTTCTTTCTGTTTGGGGGTTTGCAAAGTCCTCTCTTTCCCAGCAGGTGCTTCAGGGGATATGTTTTCAACAGGTGCTTGTTTCTTCTTTAGAAACCTACTGACCTTCGCGTTCTGTGCATTATTTTCGGTGACAGGAAGTTCACGGGCTTGATTCTGGGAAGTTTTGTCTGTGTTCTGGGACGCGAGTTCGAGTGCACCCCCAGAGAGGATTCTGTCAGCTCTCTTTGGAAGACCAGCATCGGCGGTCATTGAGTCAGATTCCGTGTCAGACAAATTCCTCTGCAGCTTCCGATTCATGATCCGGGTTTCCAGCTGGGCCAGCTTCATGAGTGCGGCATTGGCTCGGATCCTGGAGGCAGTGGTGGGCGGTCTACATGAGGCAAGCCTGGGTCCACTCCCGAGCACAGGGTTCTCTTTCAGGAGTAAGTGTTTCTCATCTAGAGTTTGGTTTCTTTTTAGAAATCTGCTATGACCAGGTGCTATTTTGGTAAGATTTCTACTGATCTGGAAGTTTCTGATTTCTTCCATTGTTGAATCTTCCAAGGAAACATCACTGAAGTCACCAAAAACATCACGCATGGGACGGCTGGCTTTCCTTGCAGAAGCCATTCTGTGGAGGAAGAGGAGCAATTTTGCATAAGAGTACCTGCTGTTTGTATTGAGCATTCAATGGCTCCTACTTGGCAAAAGCTCACACTGTCTTTTGCAACCCAGCCACAGTCTTCCCTTCAAGCCCAAGGATGACAATGAAAATGACCAGGCTGGGTGCAGTGGCTCACACCTGTAATCCCAGCACTTTGGGAGGCCGAGGCAGGTGGATCACGATGTCAAGAGATTGAGACCATCCTGGCAAACATGGTGAAACCCCGTCTCTACTAAAAATACAAAAATTAGCTGGACGTGGTGGTGCACAACCTCTCAGGCTCAAGTGATCCTCCTGCCTCAGCCTCCTGTGTAGCTGGGACTACAGGTGCACACCACCATGCCTGCCACTGCACTCTAGCCTGGGCTACAGAGTGAAACCCTGTCTAAAAAAAAAAAAAAAGAAAAAGAAAAAAGAAAAGACAAATTACCTGAAAGAGCAATAAGGTGACGTGTGAAAATCGAGGTATCCCTGTATTTAACAAGCCCCCAGAAAATCAGATTTCACTTAGTGTAAGAACCATTACCAATGGCTGGGCTCAGTGGCTCACACCTATAATGCCAGCAGTTTAGGAGGCCAAGGCAAGCAGATCACCTGAGCCCAGGGGTTCGAGACCAGCCTGGCCAACATGGCAAAGCCCCATCTCTACTAAAAATACAAAAATTAGTCAAGCGCCAGGCGTGGTGGCTCATGCCTATAATCCCAGCACTTTGGTAGGCCGTGGTGGGTGGATCACGAGGTCATAAGTTCAAGACCAGTCTGATCAACATGGTGAAACCCCGTCTCTACTAAAAATACAAAAATTAGCCGGGCCTGGTGGCACCACCTGTAGTCCCAGCTACTTAGGAAGCTGAGGCAGGAGAATCGCTTGAACCCGGGAGGTGGAGGTTGCAGTGAGCCGAGATCACACCACTGCACTCCAGCCTGGACGACAGAGCGAGACTCTGTCTCAAAAAAAAAAGAAGAACCGCTACCCTGGGAAAGAGGGGGGCTATGGACAGGCACAGCTCCCCAGCAGGCCAGCAAATCTTTACCGTATGTGTATATTTTTCTAGGTAGAAATATCAGAGCTTTCATCATATTCTCAGAGTTCCCATATACCCCTGAAAGAGTATGAACAACCCACTGCAAGACTTACAAAGGCTTCCGAAGATTACAAAGACTTTAAAAGATGAAAAACTACAGGCCGGGTGCGGTGGCTCATGCCCGTAATCCCAGCACTTTGGGAGGCCAAGGCGGGTGGATCACGAGGTCAGGAGATCGAGACCACGGTGAAACCCCGTCTCTACTAAAAATACAAAAAAATTAGCCGGGCGTGGTGGCGGGCGCCTGTAGTCCCAGCTACTCCGGAGGCTGAGGCAGGAGAATGGCATGAACCCGGGAGGCGGAGCTTGCAGTGAGCCGAGACTGCGCCACTGCACTCCAGCCTGGGTGACAGAGTAAAACTCCGTCTCAAAAAAAAAGAAAAAAAAAAGATTCTATACAAGAATGAATTATGATTCCTATTAACAATCTGTTTCCCGAATAAACTTGTTTGCTTGTTCCTATCTTAACTACCCTGTACTAGGAGTGCCCAGCACAGGACTGACCACAGGGGTCAGAGAACAGAAAAATATGCCTGGCAGAAATAATGCAGACTTCCTGGTCTGTGTGACCCCGGGCAAGTTACTTAATCGCTCTGTGTCAGCCTGCTCATCTGTAAAAATAACAATTACTACCCTCATAGGATTCCTATATATTCTGTGTGGGACATGAAAAAGTGCTCAGTAACATTTAAATGCCAGTAACAGACTAGGCGTGGTGGCTCACGCCTGTAATCCCAGCACTTTGGGAGGCCGAGGTGGGCGGATCATGAGGTCAGGAGATAGAGACCATCCTGGCTAACACAGTGAAACCCCGTCTCTACTAAAAACACAAAAAATTAGCCGGGCGCGGTGGTGGGCGCCTGTAGTCCCAGCTACTCAGGAGGCCGAGGCAGGAGAATGGCATGAACCCAGGAGGCAGAGCTTGCAGTGAACCGAGATCGCGCCATTGCACTCCAGCCTGGGCAAAAGAGAGAGACTCCGTCTCAAAAAAAAAAAAGAAAAAAACCATGAGGAGCTACTACTTCACATCCCCTAGCATGGCTATAATCAAAAATACACGTAACAAGTGTCAGTGAGGAAGTGAACAGATTGAAGCCCACAGTGGCTCACACCTGTAATCCCAGCACTGTGGGAGGCCAGGATGGGAGGACTGTTTGAACCCATGAGTTCGAGACCAGCCTGGGCAACATAGGGAGACTCCATCTCTACAAAAAATGAAAAAATTAGCTGGGTCTGATGGCACACACCTGTAGTCCCAGTTACTCGGGAGGCTGAGGTGGGAGGATTGCTTGAGCCCAGGAGTTTGAGGCTGCAGTGAGCTATGATCGTGCCACTGGACTCCAGCCCGGATGATAGGGCAAGACCCTATCTCTAAAAAAAATAAAGAAATTGGAACCCTCATATGTTGTTGGGGGAATTGTAAAATTATGTAGTCCTCAATGTGGAAAACAGTTGGTTCCTCAAAAGGTTAGACATAGAGTTACCATGTGATCCAGGGATTCCACTCCCATGTGGCCCAAGAGAAATGCAAATGTATGCAAATGTTCGTAATAGTTTTGTTTTGTTTTGAGACAGGCTCTCACTCTGTTGCCCAGGCTGAGTGCAGTGGTGTTATCATGGCTCACTACAGCCTCGACCTCCCGGGGTCACGCGATCCTCCCACCTCAGCTTCCTGGGTAGCTGGGACTACAGACACACATTGCCATGCCTAGCTAACTTTTTGTAGAAACAAGGTCTCACTGTGTTGCCCAGGCTGTTCTCAGATTCCTGGGGTTCTAGAGATCCGCAGCCTCAGCCTCCCAAAATGCTGAGATTACAATCCCACATCATCATACCTGGCCCCATAATATTTATTACTCCTAGTAGACTAAAACGGAAAACAATGTAACTATCCATTAATTAGTGAATGGATTACAAACTATGGTCCATCCATACAGTGTAATACAGTTCAGCAATTTAAAAAACAAATACTAATATAACAGCACGCAGGAATCTCAAATACATCACGCTAAGGGAAAGTAGCCAAGCCGGGCGCAGTGGCTCACGCCTGTAATCCCAGCACTTTGGGAGGCTAAGGCGGGCGGATCACGAGGTCAGGAGATCGAGACCAGCCTGACACACATGGTAAAACCCCGTCTCTACTAACAATACAAAAATTAGCGGGGCGTGGTGTCATGCGCCTGTAATCCCAAATACTCAGGACGCTGAGACAGGAGAATTGCTTGAACCTGGGAGGCGGAGTTCGCAGTGAGCCGAGATCGCACCATTGCACTTCAGCCTAAGTAACAGAGCGAGAATCTGTCTCAAAAAAAAAAAAAAAAGGAAAGAAAAAAGAAAGTAGCCAGACACTAAACTCCACACACCCTATCATTTCATTTGTAAGAACTGTCAAGAAAAGGCAAACCAATAAACTCAGAAAGCAGATCGGGCCGGTGCTGTGACTCACGCCTATAATCCCAGCACTTTGGGAGGCCAAGGCTGGCAGATTACGTGAGGTCAGGAGTTCGAGACCAGCGTGGCAAACATGGTGAAACCCCATCTCTACTAAAAATACAAAAAATTAGCCGGAGTGCAGTGGCATGATCACAGCTCACAGCAGCCCTTGACCTCCTGGACACAAGCAATCCTCCCTCCTGCCTCAACATCCTGAGTAGCTGGGACTACAGGCGCGTGCCACTACACCTGGCTAATTTTTTATTTTTATCTTTTTTAGAGATGGGGTCTCGCCAGGTTGCCCAGGCTGGTCTGGATCTCCTGGCCTCAAGTGATCCTCCCGCCTCTGCCTCCCAAAGTGCTGGGATTCCAGGCGTGAATCACCGCGCCCGGCCTGACGCAAAGTTCTAAAGCTGGATGAGCTGGATGGTGGCGACGGCTTCACAACTTTGTAGATTTACTAAAAATAACGGAGTCGTCAGCTTAAAAGTGGCGAACACTATGGTATGTAAATGAAGGCTCAATAAAGTTGTTACAAATCAACAAACCAAAACTTGAAAACCCTGGCGCCCCTGAGACCATCCTGCTCTTCTCCCCAGCTATGAAGCGACCCGCGCAGGACCATGCTCCAATAGACCCCAGACAGGGAAACTGAGGCGCGGGACCATCCTGCAGCGGCCCAACCAGCTCAGCCCCGGAGAAGGCCCCATTTCCCCGTATCCCCCTCGCGAGCCCGGACGCCCAGCTAGGTCACCTCCCCACCAGCCCTGCCGACCTCTTCCCACGCCGTCCATTCGCAGAGGCAGCCGCCACATTCACGCCTGAAGGAGCGGTTGCCCTGGGCAACAGAGCCAGAGCAGAAGAGACTACATCTCCCGGGAAGCACCGCGCCCCGCAGACCAATGGCGCCCCGAATCACAATCGCGGGGTGTCATGGGAGCGGTAGTTCCGGGGCGGGCCCAACGTGCCCCGCGCCGCAGCGACCAATGGGACCCTCAGGTCATAATCGCGAGTTGTGACGGGAGTTGTAGTTTCGGGACGCGCCTGAAGAGCCGCAGAGAGAGCTGGGAGCTAAGGGGTGGCGGCGACCGGAAGCGCAGTGCACACCCCCATGGCCCGGGCTTTGGTCCAGCTCTGGGCCATATGCATGCTGCGAGTGGCGCTGGCTACCGTCTATTTCCAAGAGGAATTTCTAGACGGAGGTGAAGGGGCCACGCCCGTGGTGGCGGAGGTGTAAGCTCCCCCATCTCCGCCCCCTAAGGCTGGCCAGAGTCGCCACGGGGTCCACGGCAGCGAACCCTCGAATCCTCGAGGGTCCCCTTCACCCTTCCCTTAGCCCAAATTAACCATTATCACCTCTAACCGGTGTTATTTCCCCTTCCCCACAGAGCATTGGAGAAACCGATGGTTGCAGTCCACCAATGACTCCCGATTTGGGCATTTTAGACTTTCGTCGGGCAAGTTTTATGGTCATAAAGAGAAAGATAAAGGTTAGTGTAGAATCAGGACCAAATTGAGCCTAATGTTACATTTCCATAGCAACCTCTCTAGGTAGTTGTGGCACAGCCAAAACGCTTTTATTCCCGTTTTACAGATGAAGACATTAAGGCAAAGGTAGAACTTAAGGGGCTCCTTTCCTTGTTTTTTTGTTTCTTCTCTCCTTTTTTTTTTTTTTTTTTTTTGAGACGGAGCCTTGCTCTGTTGCCCAGGCTGGAGTGCAGTGGCGCGATTTCGGCTCACTGCAACTTCCACCTCCCGGGTTCAAGCAATTCTCCTGCCTCAGCCTCCCGAGTAGCTGAGACTACAGGCGCGCGCCACCATGACCGGCTAATTTTTGTACTTTTAGTAGAGACAGGGTCCACGTTGGCCAGGCTGGTCTCGAACTCCTGACCTCATGATCCACCCACCTTGGCCTCCCAAAGTGCTGGGATTACAGGCATGAGCCACAACATCCAGCCTCCTCTCTCCTTTCTTTATTGCCAAAGATTCCTTTTTTTTTTTTTTTTTTTTTTTGGTAGTAGGAGTCTCGCTCTGTCGCCTAGGCTAGAGTGCAGTGGCACGATCTTGGCTCACTCAAACCTCCGTCTCCCGGGTTCAAGTGATTCTCTTGCTTCAGGCTTCTGAGGAGCTGCGATTACAAGCGTGCGCCACCATGCCCTGCTAATTTTTTTAGAGACAGAGTTTCACCACATTGCCCAGGCTGGACTCAAACTCCTGGCCTTAAGTAATCCACCTGCCTCGGCCTCCTAAAGTGCTGGGATTATAGGCGTGAGCCATGGTGCTTGGCCTATTATCATTATTATTACTTTTATTGGTATTAGGTCCCCTGAAGTCCAAGGAGACATATTCAGCTTATTTGGTATAATAAAATCATACTTGAAGCACTGTCAAATATGCAATGGTATTTAACCTTCTTTGGATTATATTTATATGAATGTGTTATTAGTAGGCATTACCAAAATTGCCCCTCTTAATAGACACTAGTCAAGTGCATTTGAGGATCAAGGGCCATGCCCCTCAGAAGGAAAAGGTTAGTGGGTACTTTTTCTCATTTTAATTTTCGTATTAAAAAGAAAAATAGGCCAGGCGCGGTGGCTCATGCCTGTAATCCCAGCACTTTGGGAGGCCTTAGGCGAGCGGATCATGAGGTCAGGAGTTCAAAACCAGTCTGGCCAATACGGTGACACCCTGTCTCTACTAAAAATACAAAAATTAGCTGGGTGTGGTGGCTCATGCCTGTAGTCCCAGCTACTCGGGAGGCTGAGGCAGAAGAATCACTTGAACCCGGGAGGCAGAGGTTGCAGTGAGCAGAGATCATGCCCCTGCACTCCAGCCTCAGTGACAGAGTGAGACTCCATCTCAAAAAAAAAGAAAAATATGGTCAGGCACGGTGGCTCACGCCTGTAATCCCAGCATGTTGGGAGGCCAAGGCAGGCGGATTACTTGAAGTCAGGAGTTTGAGACCAGCCTGGTCACCATGGTGAAACCCTGTCTCCACAAAAATACAAAAAAGTTAGCCAAGTGTGGTGGCGCACAACTATAATCCCAGCTAATTGGGAGGCTGAGGCAGAAGAATCGTTTGTACCCAGGAGGCAGAGGTTGCAGTGAACTGAGATTGTACCACTGCACTCCAGCCTGGGTGACAGAATGAGACTCCATTTCAAAAAATAAAAGAAAAAAATACAGAGATAAACATTACATCTTGTCGCCTGCACATTCTTCAGGGTACAACACAATGAGCTTTTACTTTTGTACAGGCAGGTCAAGATAAGGCAAGCGAATCACTTGAGGTTGAGACCAGCCCGGCCAACATGGCGAAACTCCGTCTCTATTAAAAATACAAAAATTAGCTGGGCATGGTGGCACACATCTATAATCTCACCTACTTCAGAGGCTGAGGCAGGAGAATCACTTGAACCCAGGAGGCGGAGGTTGCAGGGAGCCAAGATCATGCCACTGCACTCCAGCCTGGATAACCGAGCAAGACTCTGTCTCAAGAAAAAAAATATATATATATACAAATATTAGCCGAGCATGGTGGCATAGGCCTGTAGTCCCAGCTACTTGAGAGATTGAGGCAGGAGAATCACATGAACCCGAGAGGCGGAGGTTGCAGTGAGTCGAGATCGTGCCACTACACTCCAGCCTGGGCAACAGAGCAAGACTCTGTCTCAAAAAAAAAAAAAAAAAAAAAAAAATTCTAGCTTCAAGAGAGCTAATTCAAGCTCAAAGTTTAAGGACAACTGTGTGGAAAACACAGATCCCAAAGAATAGAAGTCAGTGTTCTGAAGTGTAGAAGTTTGGGATCATTTGTATAGACAAAGTTTAGAGAAGCTTAACAGAATTTCAGCATCTTTCTAGGCAAGGCTTGATAGATAATGACCATGATCCCATTAGTCAAGGTGGTCTTTTTCTTTTGAGAAGGTATATTTAACATTTCACCCTGAAGATGTAACAGTCACGGCATCTTTTGTGCCATCTGGTCTGAGTTAGGTACAGGTCAGTCCTGGAGGCAGTTAATCTGTAACTAAGGTCAGTGGTCACAAATAGAGGAGGCCTGGTCTCTGGTTTGTCCTAGTCATTTGCCAAACAAGAACAATGAGGAAGAAGGTTTATCTATGATTTAAGAAGCAGAGGTTACACCTGCATGCTGCATGACTCAGATCACACAACTTGCTCAAGGTTTTTATTTATTTTATGTATTTATTTGAGAGAGAGTTTCACCCTTGTTACCCAGGCTGGAGTGCAATGGCGTGATCTCTGCTCACCACAACCTCCGCCTCCCAGGTTCAAATGATTCTCCTGCTTCCAGCCTCCCAAGTAGCTAAGATTACAGGCATGTGCCACCACACCTGGCTAATTTTTTTTTTTTTTTTTTTGAGACGGAGTCTCGCTCTGTAGCCCAGGATGGAGTGCAGTGGCGCGATCTCGGCTCACTGCAAGCTCTGCCTCCTGGGTTCACGCCATTCTTCTGCCGAGTAGCCGGAACTACAGGCGCCTGCCACCACGCCCGGCTAATTTTTTGTATTTTTTTTTTTTTAGTAGAGACAGGGTTTCACGTGTTAGCCAGGATGATCTCGATCTCCTGACCTCGTGATCCTCCCGCCTCGGCCTCCCAAAGTGCTGGGATTACAGGCATGAGCCACCGCGCCCGGCCTAATTTTGTATTTTTAGTAGAGACAGGGTTTCTCCATGTTGGTCAGGCTGGTCTCCAACTCCCAACCTCAGGTGATCCGCCCGCCTCGGCCTCCCAAAGTGTTGGAATTACAGGCGTGAGCCACTGCGTCTGGCTTATTTATTTTTTTAAACGGAGTTTCGCCCTGCCACCCAGGCTGGGGTGCAATGGCTCCTCCATCTCCCAGGTTCAAACAGTTCAGCTGCCTGAGCTTCCCGAGTAGCTGGGACCACAGGCACGCGCCACTACGCTCGGCTAATTTTGTATTTTTAGTAGAAATGGAGTTTCCCCACGTTGGCCAGGCTGGTCTCGAACTTCTGACTTCAAGTGATCCACCCGGCTCAGCCTCCCAAAGTGTTGAGATTACAGATGTGAGCCACCATGCCTGGCCTCTCAAGGCTTTAAATTGTATTTGCTTTCACATATGTGAAAGTTTAGGCCAGGCACAGTGGTTCACACCTGTAATCTTAGCACTCTGGGAGGCCAAGGTGAGTGGATCACTTGAGGCCAGGAGTTCAAGACCAGCCTGGGCAACGTGGTGAAACCCCATCTCTACTAAAAATATGAAAATTAGCCAGGCATGGTGTCGCACGCCTGTAGTCGCAGCTACTCAGGAGGCTGAGGCAGGAGAATCGCTTGAACCTGGGAGGCGGAGGTTGCAGTGAGCAGAGATTCAGTCTGGGCAATAGAGCGAGCCTCTGTCTCAAAAGAAAAAAGAAAAGAAAGAAAGAAAGTTTAGTGTCCATTAAGTTTCACTGGAACACAGCCACATCCATTCTTTTTTTTTTGGAGACGGAGTCTCACTCTGTCACCCAGGCTGGAGTGCAGCGGTGCAATCTCGGCTCACTGCAACCTCCGCCTCCTGGGTTTAAGCGATTCTTCTGCCTCACTCTCCTGAGTAGCTGGGACTACAGGCACATGCCACCACACCCCGCTAATTTTTGTATTTTTAGTAGAGATAGGGTTTCACCATGTTGGCCAGGCTGGTCTCAAACTCCTGACCCCGTGATCCGCCTGCCTCAGCCTCCCAAAGTGCTGGGATTACAGGCGTGAGCCAGCATGCCTGGCAGTCCATTCATTTATATATTGTCTATGGCTGCCTTTTATGCTGAAAAGGCAGAGTAGAATGTTTAGGAAAGGGACCAGTCGGGCACGGTGGCTCACGCCTGTAATCCCAGCACTTTGGGAGGCCGAGGCAGGCGGATCATGAGGTCAGGGGATCGAGAACATCCTGGCTAACATGGTGAAACCCTGTCTCTACTAAAAATACAAAAAATTAGCTGGGTGTTGTGGCCAGCGCCTGTAGTCCCAGCTACTCGGGAGGCTGAGGCAGGAGAATGGCGTGAACCCAGGAGGTGGAGCTTGCAGTGGGCAGAGATCGTGCCACTGCACTCCAGCCTGGGCGACAGAGCGAGACTCCATCTCAAAAAATAATTAATTAACTAATTAAGAACAGTGGTATATTAAGAACAAAAACTTCCAGGTGTGTGAAATAAAAGTTGTATGGGCCAGGCACGCTGGCTCACACCTGTAATTCCAGCACTTTGGGAGGCTGAGACGGGCAGTCACCTGAGGTCAGGAGTTCAAGACCAGCCTGACCAACATGGAGAAACCCTATCTCTACTAGAAATACAAAAATTAGCCTGGCGTGGTGGCTAATTGTAGTTGTAATCCCAACTACTCAGGAGGCTGAGGCAGGAGAATCACTTGAACCCGGGAGGTGGAGGTTGCAGTGAGCCGAGATCACGCCATTGCACTCCAGCCTGGGCGACAGAGTGAGACTCCATGTCAAAAAAAAAAAAT
The DNA here is from genome assembly GCF_000001405.40 of Homo sapiens. Lineage (NCBI taxonomy): Eukaryota > Metazoa > Chordata > Mammalia > Primates > Hominidae > Homo > Homo sapiens. Next base: position 16,490,762 of record NC_000019.10, on the reverse strand, counting down.
TATATAGAAGCAGAGTGCCTGCTAGTGGTCTACCCATTATGCATTATTGTATAATGCTCTGTTGGCACTGTAGATCACTGTAAATGGTTAGGACATTTATGTTTGGGAGTAAGGGAAGGACATCGATTTAACTTCCTGCGTTACTTAGCGCAGCGTCATTCCTGATCCTTCATGAGTATATTTTGTTCAAAGGTCTGCAAACCACTCAGAATGGCCGATTCTATGCCATCTCTGCACGCTTCAAACCGTTCAGCAATAAAGGGAAAACTCTGGTTATTCAGTACACAGTAAAACATGAGCAGAAGATGGACTGTGGAGGGGGCTACATTAAGGTCTTTCCTGCAGACATTGACCAGAAGAACCTGAATGGAAAATCGCAGTACTATATTATGTTTGGTGAGTTTACGTGGTGCAACACAACCACTTCTAGTGACTTTGAAAACCCTCCCACTTCACAGGATCTTTAGACTAAGACTTTGCTAATGTAGTGAAGGTAGTAGTATTGAGTATATCGGATCCAAGGTTTGTAGTAGTATTGAGTGTATCGGATCCAAGCACTATTAAGCCTAATTAATATAAAAAGGCAACTGTACCAGTCTGTTGTGTTCCTGAAGAAGTTATTTATTCACCATTAATGTTGCCCTCATGCAGGGTAAGGATACCTTATCTGAAATGTTTGGGACCAGAGTGTTTTGGATTTTGGAAATTTTTTTTGGATTTTGGATTATTTGCATTATCCTTACTGGTTGAACAACGCTAATCTGAAAAATCTGAAATCCACAATGCTCTGATGAGCATTTCCTTTGAGCATCATGTTGATTCTAAAAGTTTTGGGTTTTGGAACACTTCAGATTTGCGATTTTTTGATTTGGGATGCTCAACCTGTGTAGTTTTTTTGTTTGTTTGTTTTTGTTTTTGTTTTTGTTTTTGTTTTTGTTTTTGTTTCGAGCCCGAGTTTTCACTCTTGTGAACCAGGCTGGAGTGCAATGGCAATGGCTTGATCTCGCCTCACTGCAATCTCCGCCTCCTGGGTTCAAGTGATTCTCCTATCTCAGCCTCTTGAGTAGCTGGGATTACAGGCATGTGCCACCATACCTGGCTAATTTTTTTGTATTTTAGTAGAGATGGGTTTTTTTTTTTTTTGAGACAGAGTTTCGCTCTTGTTGCCCAGGCTGGAGTGGAATGGCATGATCTCGGCTCACTGCAACCTCCTCCTCCCAGGTTCAAGGGATTCACCTGCTTCAGCCTCCCAAGTAGCTGGGATTACCGGCATGCACCACCATGCCCAGCTAATTTTTGTATTTTTAGTAGAGACGGGGTTTCTCCATGTTGGTCAGGCTGGTCTTGAACTCCCGATCTCAGGTGATCCGCCCACCTCAGCCTCCCAAAGTGCTGGGATTACAGGCGTGAGCCACTGCACCCGGCCAAGATGGGGTTTCACCATGGTGGTCAGGCTGGTCTCGAACTCCTGGCAGGTATCGAACTCCTGACCTCAGGTGATCCACCCACCTTGGCCTTCCAAAGTGCTGGGATTACAGGCGTGAGCCACCACGCCTGGCCTCAACCTGTGTTTTGAATCCTTCAGTACTCAGTAAACCTTGGCCGTGGGCCAAATTGGCCCACTGCCTGTGTTTATATAACCTGTGAACTAAAAATGTTTTTTACGTTTTTAACTGGTTGGAAAAAATCAATACAAGATGATATTTTGTGATACATGAAAATTATATGAAATTTAGATTTCAGTGTGCATAAATGAAGTCTTACTGGAATGCAGCCTCACTCTGTTCATTTATATGTTGTCTGTGGCTGCTCGCCAGTACCAGTGGCAGAGTTAAGTTGTCATGACAGAGATCATTAGGCTTACAAAGCCAAAAATATTTTACCATCTGGCCTTTATAGAAAAAGCCTGCAAACCTCTAGAAAATATTAAATGTCTCCTGACAACAGGGGTACTTGATTAAAATTTGTGCTAGAACTGGGAAGGGACCACACTGGGCCACAGGAAATAGACCTAAGTATAGTGTAACTTAAAACTTTAATAATAAATGTACCTCAGGCCGGGTGTCGCGGCTCACACCTGTAATCTCAGCATTTTGGGAGGCCAAGGTGGGCAGATCACTGGAGTTCAGGAGTTCAAGACCAGCCTGGCTAACATGGTAAAACCCTATCTCTACTAAAAATACAAAAAAAATTAGCCGGGCATAGTGGCACATGCCTGTAGTCCCAGGTACTCAGGAGGCTGAGGCAGGAGAATTGCTTGAACCTGGGAGGTGGAGGTTGCAGTGAGCCGAGATCTCACCACTGCACTCCAGCCTGGGTAACAGAACGAGACTCCATCTCCAAAAAAAGAATGAATGTACTTCCAAAATATTCATCCTCAGCTGGGCACAGTGGCTTATGCCTGTAATCCCAGCACTTTTGGGAGGCCAGGCAGGAGGATTACTTGAGTCCAGGAGTTCGAGACCAGCTTGGCCAACATAGTGAGACCCTGTCACTACAAAAAATAAAAATTAGGGCTCTGTGCGGTGGCTCACGCCTGTTATCCCAGCACTCTGGGAGCCAGAGGCGGGCGCATCACCTTAGGTCGGGAGTTCGAGACCAGCTTGACCAACATGGAGAAACCCCGTTTCTATTAAAAATACAAAATTAGAGCCGGGCGCGGTGGCTCACACCTGTAATCCCAGCACTTTGGGAGGCCGAGGTGGGCAGATCACGAGGTCAGGAGATTGAGACCATCTTGGCTAACACAGTGAAACCCCGTCTCTACTAAAAATACAAAAAATTAGCCAGGTGTGGTGGTGGGCACCTGTAGTCCCATCTACTCGGGAGGCTGAGGCAGGAGAATGGCCTGAACCTGGGAGGCGGAGCTTGCAGTGAGCTGAGATCACGCCACTGCACTCCAGCCTGGGCAACAGAGTGAGACTCCGTCTCAAAAAAAAAAAAAAAAATTGAAAATTAGCTGGGCGTGGTGGCGCATGCCTGTAATAATCCCAGCTACTCAGGAGGCTGAGGCAGGAGAATCACCTGAACCTGGGAGGCAGAGGTTATGGTTAGCCGAGATTGCACCATTGCACTCCAGCCTGGGCAATGAGAGCAAAAATCCGTCTCAAATAAATAAATAAATAAATGATACAAAATACAAAATAAAAATAAAAATAGAACTAAAAAACACCCAGATATCTGAAACATCAAGGGAGGATCACTTGAGCCCCGGAGTTTGAGACCAGCTTGGGCAATATAGCAAGACCCCATCTCTACAAAATGTTTTTTTTTTTTTTTTTGTGGAGACACAGCTTCGCTCGTCGCCCAGGCTGGAGTGCAACGGCACGATCCCGGCTCACTGCAACCTCTGCCTCCCAGGTTCAAGCGATTCTCCTACCTCAGCCTCCCAAGTAGCTGGGGTTACAGGTGCCCACCACCATGCCCAGCTAATTTTTTTGTATTTTTGTAGAGACGGGGTTTCACCATGTTGGACAGGCTGGTCTCGACCTACTGACCTCAGGTGATCCACCCACTTTGGCCTCCCAAAGTGCTGGAATTACAGGCGTGAGCCACCACGCCTGGCCCCATCTCTACAACAATTTTAAAAATTAACCCAGTGAGGTGGCGCACCCCTGTGGTTCTAGCTACTCAGGAGGCTGAAGCAGGGGAATCCCCCGAGCCGAGGAGTTTGAGGATGCAGTAAGCTATGATCACACAACTGCACTCCAGCCTGGATGACAGAATAAGACCCTGTCCGAAATAAATAAATAAATAAATAAAGACCCCTATATAGCATGTGTCTACTACATCTGAATTGCCAAGCAGCATAATTTGGGGTCAAAAAAAGATTAAAATAAATTTTTCTTAGTATTTCAGTTTTTAATTCAACAGTTCCATTTTACTCAAACCCACTCTGTTACTATTGGGACACTTTGTTGCAATGAGTCAGCGCCAGCCATTAGTGTGAGGGGAGCTTGCTGAGGGTGAGGGGTTAAGGAGGAGGACAAGGGAAGCACAGTTATTGTCAGTCTTGACATTTGCATGAATTCCTATGCATAAGTTATGCATAAAACCTCAGACAGGCAACACAGAGCCCATCTGTCTACATTTCCTCATGAACATCCATTACATGTGTAAATACCTTTTTTTTTTTTTTTTTTTGAGATAGAATCTTGCTCTGTCACCCAGGCTGGAGTGCAATGGTGCAATCTCGGCTCATTGCAACCTCCGCCTCCCAGGTTCAAGCCATTCTCCTGCCTCAGCCTCCCCAATAGCTGGGATTACAGGCGTGTGCCACCATGGCTGGCTAATTTTTGTATTTTTAGTAGAGGTGGGGTTTCACCATGTTAGTCAGGCTGGTCTCGAACTCCTGACCTCGTGATTCACCCGCCTCAGCCCCCCAAAGTTCTGGGATTACAGCCGTGAGCCACCATGCCCAGCCCACACTTTTTTTTTTTTTTTAATTGAGACGGAGTCTCGCTTGGTCACCCAGGCTGGAGTACAGTGGCCCGATCTCAGCTCACTGCAACCTCCACTTCCTGGGTTCAAGTGATCCCCTCACCTCAGCCTCACAGGTCCCTGGGACTACAGGGACACGCCACCACTCCCAGCTAATTTTTGTATTTTTAGTACACACGGGGTTTTACCATGTTGGCCAGGCTGGTCTCAAACTGGCCTCAAGTCATCTCCCCACCTTGGCCTCCTAAAGTGCTGGGATTAGCAGGCCACTTTGAATATTTAAATAAGCTTCAGAACACACTCAAAAGTGAGTGGAAAGCCAGGACATTGTCCTTTAACAACAATAATAAGATATTCACACATGTGACCAGATGCAGTGGCTCACACCTATAATCTCAGCACTTTGGGAGGCCAAGGCAGGCAAATCACTTGAGGTCAGGAGTTTGAGACCAGCCTAGCCAACATGGCAAAACCTGTCTCTACTAAAAACACAAAAATTAGCTGGGCCTGGTGGTACATGCCTGTAATCACAGCTATTCTACTCGGGAGGTTGATGCAGGAGAATCACTTAAACCCGGGAGGCGGAGACTGCAGTGAGCCAAGATCCCACCACTGCACTCCAGCCTGGGCGACAGAGTGAGACTCTGTCTCAAATAAATAAATAAATATCTTAGTGTGAATATCTGATTATATGTAAGAAGAATGGACTGCACGTGGTGTTTCAAGCCTGTAATCCTAGGACTTTGGGAGGCCGAGGCAGGTGGATCACAAGGTCAGGAGTTTGAGACCAGCCTGGCCAGCATGGTGAAACCCCATCTCTACTAAAAATACAAAAATTAGCTGGGCATCGTGGCATGCGCCTGTAGTCCCAGCTACTCAGGAGGCTGAGGCAGGAGAATTGCTTGAACCCAAGAGGCAGAAGTTTCCGTGAGCCAAGATCACTGCACTCCAGCCTGGGTGACAGCAAGACTCCGTCTCAAAAAAAAAAAAAGAATGGTTGTGGGTTGGTTATTCTACGGTGATGCATTATGGAAAGAAATTGAGAGCAGCTAATCTTTTTTGTAGGACCCGATATTTGTGGATTTGATATCAAGAAAGTTCATGTTATTTTACATTTCAAGAATAAGTATCACGAAAACAAGAAACTGATCAGGTGTAAGGTAACTGCTCTTGTATTCAAATAAATGAGTGTTAACTCCTGCCAGACTAAGTTTAGAAAAAATAGTTTTGATAATAAAATACTTAACTGAGCCAGGGATGGGTCTTTGTAGACATACCTCCTGTTTCCAGTTTCCAGTTTAGGGGGCCCATTGGAGATACTTCTCTCCTTTAACTGGTTTCCTGAAGTTTTTACCCCATCAGGAGGGCACTCTCATTTTTTACTGTGAGCTATGACATGTCATCATTTGCCCTATGAGGGTTACAATAGTACAGTCACATTTCAGCCACATCCATCCTCATTAATGAATGAAATATTCAGGATGAAAAAAACATTCTGGAGAAATGTCTGGGTGCAGTGGCTCACACCTGTAATCCCAGCAGTTTGGGAAGCTGAGGCAGGAGGACTGCTTGAGCCAAGGAGTTCAAGACCAGCCTGGGCAACATGGCGAAATCTTGTCATGACAAAAAATACAAAAATTAGCCAGGTGTAGTGCCAGGAACCTGTGGTCCCAGCTACTGGGGAGGCTGAGGTGGGAGGGTCACTTGAGCCTGGGAGGTCAAGGTTGTAGTGAGCTCTGATTGCACCACTGCACTCCAGCCTGGGTGACAGAGCAAGACCCTGTCTCAAAAAAATAAAAATAAAAATAAACTGCATATTTAGACTTGCATTAAAACATCGAGAGTTGGCCGGGCGTGGTGGCTCATGCCTGTAATCCCAGCACTTTGGGAGGCTGAGGCAGGTGGATCACCTGAGGTCAGGAGTTCGAGACCAGCCTGGTCAACATGGTGAAACTCTGTCTCTACTAGACACAAAAAATTACCCAGGCATGGTGGCAGGTGCCTGTAATCCCAGCTTCTCAGGAGGCTGAGGCAGTAGAATCGCTTGAACTCAGGAGGTGGAGGTTGTAGTGAGCCGAGATTGTGCCACAGCGCTCCAACCTGGGCGACAGAGTGAGACTCCATCTCAAAAAAAAAAAAAAAAAGAAAAGAAAAGAAAAAAGAAATTGAGGATTTAATTGTTACGCTTTTCCCCCTAAAATATGCAGGTTGATGGCTTCACACACCTGTACACTCTAATTTTAAGACCAGATCTTTCTTATGATGTGAAAATTGATGGTCAGTCAATTGAATCCGGCAGCATAGAGTACGACTGGAACTTAACATCACTCAAGAAGGAAACGTCCCCGGCAGAATCGAAGGATTGGGAACAGACTAAAGACAACAAAGCCCAGGTGTGAATTTTTCCTGGGCAACTCTAAAAAGTGCACAAATGTAGTTTGTAAGTACCCAGTTACTGGACAATTGCTGCATGGCTGGTAGCCACGATGGCAATATTATAGAACCAAATGCCCTCCCCAGAGCACACACTGCAGACCAGCCACATCTCTACACATCTGAAGGTATCGTAAAACATTTATTTATTTACTTATTTATTTATTTTTTGAGACAGAGTTTCGTTCTTCTTGCCCAGGCTGGAGTGCAGTGGCGTGATCTCAGCTCACGGCAACCTCCGCCTCCCAGGTTCAAGTGATTCTCCTGCCTCAGCCTCCCGAATACCTGGGATTACAGGCACCCGCCACCATCCCTGGCTAATTTTTGTATTTTTAGTAGAGATGGGGTTTCACCATGTTGGCCAGGCTAGTCTCGAACTCCCGACCTCAAGTGATTTGCCTGCCTTGGCCTCCCAAAGTGCTGGGATTACAGGTGTGAGCCACCACATCTGGCCATCACCATCACTTTTTGCACCATCATTTTTCACTCTAGCCACTACTTGAGGTTTCCACACCGCTGCTCCTCTCCATAGCATGCAGGAAAGGGCTAAAGTCATATGGCAGGTTAGGGAGAAAAATCTAGGCAGTGTGGTGTTGCCCTGAAGTCCTCAGTGGGATTGGAAGCACCAAGCACTTGGCCTCCTGACCACCAAACTGAAGAAGGGAGAGGGACACTGGGACAGGGGTCACCAGCCTGTGCCTGCCACTTGGCATCTAATAATTTCCTTTCTCAAATCTGAGCATCTGGCTGGGTGTGGTGGCTAATGCCTGTAATACCAGCACTTCCAGAGGTCAAGGCAGGAGGATCGCTTGAACCCAGGAGTTCGAGACCAGCCTGGGCAACAGAGGGAGACCCTGACTGTACAAAACATAAAAATAGTAGCCAGGTATGATGGCGGGCGCCTGTAGTCCGAGCTACTTGGGAGGCTGAGGCAGGAGGATCACTGGAGCCCAAGAGGTTGAGGCTGCAGTGAGCCATGATTGCACAACCGCACTCCAGCCTGGGTGAGAGCAAAACCTAGTCTCAAGAAACAAAAACAGAAGCAACAACAACAAATATATGAGCATCTGACTGATTTTACTTTTTCCTTACATGTCTTTGAAGGACTGGGAGAAGCATTTTCTGGACGCCAGCACCAGCAAGCAGAGCGACTGGAACGGTGACCTGGATGGGGACTGGCCAGCGCCGATGCTCCAGAAGCCCCCGTACCAGGTGTGTGGCCTCTTTGTATGATGCCAGGGATGCCCCAGGGCTGCCCCTCCGCTGCCCATGTCATTGAGACCACCCCATATGGTTTTTTTGATACAGGATGGCCTGAAACCAGAAGGTATTCATAAAGACGTCTGGCTCCACCGTAAGATGAAGAATACCGACTATTTGACGCAGTATGACCTCTCAGAATTTGAGAACATTGGTGCCATTGGCCTGGAGCTTTGGCAGGTCATTTGGTTTTAACTTTACTTTAGATTTTTTGCGTGTGTGTGTTTTGTTTTGTTTTGTTTTGTTTTGTTGAGACAGGGTCTCATTCTGTCACCTAGGCTGGAGTGCAGTGGCACCATCCTAGCTCACTGTAGCCTCAAACTAGGCCCAAGCGATCCTCCCACCTCAGCCTCCCAAGTAGCTAGGACTACAGGCACAAGCCACCACATCCAGATTTTTTTTTTTTAAGAAATGGGAGTCTAGGCTGTGCGCGGTGGCTCACTCCTGTAATCCCAGCACTTTGGGAGGCTGAGGCGGGTGGATCACAAGGTCAGGAGATCGAGACCATCCTGGCTAACATGGTGAAACCCCGTCTCTACTAAAAATACAAAAAAAATTAGCCGGGCGTGGTGGCGGGCGCCTGTAGTCCCAGCTACTCGGGACGCTGAGGCAGGAGAATGGCGTGAACCCGGGAGGCAGAGCTTGCAGTGAGCTGAGATCGGGCCACTGCACTCCAGTCTGGGTGACAGAGCAAGACTCCGTCTCAAAAAAAAAAAAAAAAAAAAGAGATGGGAGTCTCAGAACTTCTAGGCTCAAGCAGTCCTTCCACCTCAGCCTTCCAAAGTGCTGAGAGTTTTGTTTGTTTTTTTGTTTTAATGCTTTGGTGATCCCAGCTGGGCTCAGTGGCTCATGCCTGTAATCCCAGCACTTTGGGAGGCTGAGGGGGGCAGATTGCCTGAGCTCAGGCGTTTGAGAGCAGCCTGGGCAACATAGTGAAACTTCGTCTCTACTAAAAATACAAAAATTAGCTGGGTGTGGTGGTGCGTGCTTGTAGTCCCAGCTACTCAGGAGGGTGAGGCATGAGAATAACTTAATCCTGGGAGGAATCACTTGAACCCAGGAAGTGGAGGTTGCAGTGAGCCAAGATCGCGCCACGGCACTCCAGCCTCCGCAACAGAGTGAGACTTCACTTCATCTCAAAAAAAAAAAAAAAAAAAACAGAGCGAGACTAAGTCTCAAAAAAAAAAAAAGTTTTGGTGATCCCGATGTGCAGCCACGTTTAAGGAACCAGTGCCTTAGAGGGAAAGGATATTCTAGAAATGGGTTTAAGCACCACCTACTATTCTAATTGCTGTTATAGTATACACTACTGAGCAAAATACAACTGTTTCTTTTTGAAAAGTTGTTACATATGTCACATCAATAATGAAGGCCTAGTAGCCAGGGACAGTATGGCTCACGCCTGTAATAGTCCCAGCTACTGGGGAGGCTGAAGTGGGACCATCACATGAGCCCAGTTCTTTTTTTTTTTTCTTTGAGACTGAGTCTCACTCTGTCACCCAGGCGGGAGTGCAGTGGCACGATCTCAACTCACTGCAGCTTCTGCTTCCCGGGTTCAAGCGATCCTCCCACCTCAGCCTCCCAAGTAGCTGGGACTACAGGCATGCACGACCACACCTGGTAATTTTTGTATTTTTAATAGAGATGGGGTTCACCGTGTTGGCCAGGCTAGTCTTGAACTCCTGACCTCAAGTGATTCACCTGCCCCAGCCTCCCAAAGTGCTGGGATTATAGGTGTGAACCACCACGCCTGGCCAAGCCCAGAAGTTCAAATCCAGCCTAGGCAACATAGCAAGACCCCATCTCTAAAAAATAAAAAATGTCACCTGAGCTTCATGTATTTCCAAAGGAAAAAAGAAATGAAAAATAAACAAATAATAAAGAATAAAAGCATAATAATGAAGGCCTTATTTTCATCTGCAGGTGAGATCTGGAACCATTTTTGATAACTTTCTGATCACAGATGATGAAGAGTACGCAGATAATTTTGGCAAGGCCACCTGGGGCGAAACCAAGGTATGAAGCACGTGATTAACTCTTCCTACATCACTATTTCATTTGTGTAAATTTTTTTTTTTTAGATGGAGTCTAGCTCTGTCACCCAGGCTGTAATGTAGTGGCATAGTCTCGGCTCACTGCAACCTCCACCTCCCGGGTTCAAGCGATTCTCCTGCCTCAGACTCCCAAGTAGCTGGGACTACAGGCGCATGCCACCACGTCCGGCTAATTTGTGTATTTTTAGTAGAGAGGGGGTTTCACCATATTGTTCAGGCTGGTCTCGAAGTCCTGACCTCAGGTGATCCACCTGCCTTGGCCTCCCAAAGTGCTGGGATTACAGGAGTGAGCCACTGTGCCTGGCCCCATGTAAGGTTAATATTGGCAGGTTCCAGGGATTAGGACATGAATTTTTTTTTTTTTTTTTTTTTTTTGAGACGGAGTCTCGCTCTGTCGCCAGGCTGAAGTACAGTGGCGTGATCTCGGCGCACTGCAACCTCCACCTCCCGGTTCAAGCGATTCTCCTGCCTCAGCCTCCCGAGTAGCTGGGACTACAGGCACCTGCCACCACACCCAACTAATTTTTGTATTTTTAGTAGAGACGGGGTTTCACCATATTGGCCAGGATGGTCTCGCTCTCTTGACCTCATGATCTGCCTGCCTCGGCCTCCCAAAGTGCTGGGATTACAGGTGTGAGCCACCGCGCCCAGCCAGGACATGCAATCTTTACAGGTTCTTCTTATTCAGCCTATCCTAGGTGGTGAGGAGGCTTCTAGAAGGCAGGGTCTGCCTGAGTACTGACATGCATTTGGCCACATGGAAGCATAACCCCTGGCCTCTGGGGCTTTTTTTGTTTTGTTTTGTTTTGTTTTGTTTTGAGACGGGTTTTGCTCTGTCACCCAGGCTGGAGTGCAGTGGTGCCATCTCGACTCACTGCAACCTCCGCCTCCTAGGTTCAAATGATCCTCTCACCTCAGCCTCCCGAGCAGCTGGGACTACAGCCACACACCACCACGCCCAGCTAATTTTTGCTTTTTTTTTTTTTTTGAGACAGAGTCTTGCTCTGTCGCCCAGGATGGAGTGCAGTAGAGTGATCTCAGCTCACTGCAAGCTCTGCCTCCCAGGTTTAGGCCATTCTCCTGCCTCAGCCTCCCGAGTAGCTGGGACTACAGGCGCCCACCACCACGCCTGGCTTTTTTTTTTTTGTATTTTTGGTAGAGACTGTGTTTCACCGTGTTAGCCGGGATGGTCTCGATCTCCTGACTTCGTGATCCATCTGCCTCGGCCTCCCAAAGTGCTGGGATTACAGGCACGAGCCATCGCACCCGGTGGGGCTTATGTTTTTTCTTTCTTTCTCCAGGGTCCAGAAAGGGAGATGGATGCCATACAGGCCAAGGAGGAAATGAAGAAGGCCCGCGAGGAAGAGGAGGAAGAGCTGCTGTCGGGAAAAATTAACAGGCACGAACATTACTTCAATCAATTTCACAGAAGGAATGAACTTTAGTGATCCCCATTGGATATAAGGATGACTGGTAAAATCTCATTGCTACTTTAATCTATGTTTCAAACTCAAATGTCTACATGGCACTTTGTCCAATTTTCTTTGAACAGTGTTTCATGCTTCTGGGTGGGGTAGGTTGTATCTCCCCTGGTGACCCCCTTGCACTGAGAAGTTCCCTCTTGACAATTTTACACACTGGAAGCCAGAGGCCAGCAAGGGTCTGGCCAAAACCATGATCCCCTTTTCTTAACTCCCAAAAGTCTTTTTATAAAATAAAAGTTGACCAGGCAGTGTGCCTCACGCCTATAATCCCATCACTTTGGGAGGCTGAGGTGGGCGGATCACTTGAGCCCAGAGTTCAAGACCAGCCTGGCCAACACAGTGAAAACCCGTCTCTACTAAAAATACAAAAAGGAGCTGGATGTGGTGGTGCGCACCTGTAGTCCCAGGTACTTCAGGCTGAGGCTGGAGGCAGCCTCAACCTCCTGAGTAGCTGGGACTACAGGCGCCCGCCACCACACCCGGTTAACTTTTTGTATTTTAAGTAGAGATGGGGTTTCACTGTGTTAGCCAGGATGGTCTTGATCTCTTGACCTCGTGATCCGCCTGCCTTGGTCTCCCAAAGTGCTGGGATTATAGGCATGAACCACTGCAGCCAGCCATATTTTTTGTTTTTTAATTTAATTTTTATAGGGATGGGAGTCTCACATGTTGCCCAGGCTGGTCCTGAACTCCTGGACTCAAGCCATCCTCCCACCTTGGCCTCTCAAAGCTCTGGGCTTACAGGTGTGAGCCACTGCTCCTGGCCCAGTCTTCTTCTGGAAGAGGCCCATAATCATACTGAAACTCATGATGAAAATAATCAAATTTGTGACACCAGAAATTTGGAATCTAGTGATGTTATGAATAAGCCAAATAAATTGGAATTTATATACAGAATATTGAGAGTTGACCAGTGTGGGCCGGGTGCAGTAGCTCACACCTGTAATCCCAGCACTTTGGGAGACTGAGGTGTGTAAATTGCTTGAGTCCAGGAGTTCAAGACCAGCCTGGGCAATGTGGCGAAACTCTGCCTCTACAAAAAATACTAAAAATTAGCTGGGTTTGGCGGTGCACACCCGTGGTCCCAGCTATTCGGGAGGCTGAGATGGGAGGATCACCTGAGCTTGGGAGGTGGAGATTGCAGTGAGCTGAGATTGTGCCACTGCACTCCAGCCTGTGTGACAGAATGAGACCCTACCTCAGAAAAAAAAAAAAAAAAAAGAGAAAGAAAGAAGAAAAGAAAAAAAAGAAAGTTGATCAGTTTCAAAAGCCTGGCTGGGAAGTGAAGTTCTGCAGAATTTTGCTCTCACTCTGGTCAATGTTGGCAGACCTTTGCACCTGGATTTTTTCTGATGGTGGCTACATCAACCTTCACCAATTATTAGGGATTGATTATTACTCTGAGAAACTAAAGACTCCCTTCCTCCTAATGCAAGGGTGGCAAACATTGCCTACCTCTTTCACCTCTGAACAGGGTGAGTAGTGTGAAAAGAATCAGAGGCAGACCTGGAGAGAAAGTGCTGGTACCAATTAGTGTACAAAGGTGAGTCAGGCCAGGTGTAGTGGCTTGTGCCTGTAATCCCAGCTATCTGGGGGGTCAAGGAGGGAGGGTCACTTAAGACCAGGAGTTTGAGACCAGCTTGGGCAACATAGAGACCTTGTCTCTAAAAAAAATTTTTTTTGTAATTAGCTGGGCATGGAGGTACATGACTGTGGTCCCAGCTACTTGGGAGGCTGAGATGGGAGGATCGCTTGAGTCCAAGAGGTCAAGGCTGCAGTGGGCTATGATCGTGCCACTGCACTCCAGCCTGAGTGACAGAGCGAGACCCCCTCTCTAAAAATAAAATAAAGTGGAGCTAACAAGACAAAAAACGGTGAGTGAGACTGGCTCAGGCTCTGAAGATTCGTTGGGAGCAGCGTTGTCCGAGAGAATTTGTCACATGTTGCTTTTTTTGTTTGTTTGTTTTTGAGACAGAATCTTGCTCTGTTGCCCAGGCTGGAGTTCAGTGGCGCAAGTATGGCTCACTGCAACCTCTGCCTCCTGGGTTCAAGCGATTCTCATGCCTTAGCCTCCCAAGTAGCTGGGATTACAGGCATGCGCCATGCCCATCTGAATTTTGTATTTTTAGTAGAGATGGGGTTTCGCCATGTTGGCCAGGCTGGTCTGGAACTCCTGACCTCAAGTGATCTGCGTGCCTCAGCCTCCCAAAGTGCTGGGATCACAGGCGTGAGCTACCATGCCGGGTCACGTGTTGCTATTGAGCTCTTGAAATGTGGCTAGTGGGACCAAGAAATGACTTTTTAATCTTATTTCATTCTAGTTAACTTCACTTTAAACTTTGTTAGAGGAAAAACTCTGGACATATTAAATTTCATGGAGTGTAACTGAGCAAAGAACAATTCATAAATCAGGTAGCTGCCAGAGCAACTCCATCTTGAATAGGGGCTTAGTAAAATAAGGCTGAGACCTACTGGGCTGCATTCCCAGGCGGTTAAGGCATTCTTAGCCACATGATGAGATAGGAGGTCAGCACTAAAGACCTTGCTGATAAAACAGGTTGCAGTAAAGAAGCCGGCTAAAACCCACCAAAACCAAGATAGTGATGGGAGTGACCTCTGGTGGTCCTCACTGCTACACTCCCACCAGCGCCATGGCAGTTTACAAAGGTCATGGCAACATCAGGAAGTTACTGTATATGGCAGCCTGAAAAGGGGGCCGGGCGCGGTGGCTCACGCCTGTAATCCCAGCACTTTGGAAGGCTGAGATGGGTGGATCACGAGGTCAGGAGATCGAGACCATCCTGGCTAACACAGTGAAACCCTGTCTCTACTAAAAATACAAAAAAATTAGCCGGGCGTGGTGGTGGGTGCCTGTAGTCTCAACTACTCGGGAGGCTGAGGCAGGAGAATGGCGTGAACCCGGGAGGCGGAGCTTGCAGTGAGCCGAGATCGCGCCACTGCACTCCAGCCTGGGTGACAGAGCGAGACTCCGTCTCAAAAAATAAATAAATAAATACATAAATAAGTAAAAAGGGAAGGCATGAATAATCCACCCCTTGTCTAGCATATCATCAAGAAATAACCATAAAAATGAGCAACCTGGCCAGGCACAGTGGCTCAAGCCTGTAATTCCAGCACTTTGAGAGGCCGAGGCAGGCGGATCACTTGAGGTTGGGAGTTCAAGACCAGCCTAACCAACATGGAGAAACCCCACATCTACTAAAAATACAAAATTAGCTGGGCGTGGTGGTGCATGTCTCTAATCCCAGCTATTCAGGAGGCTGAGGCAGGAGAACCACTTGAACCCAGGAGGTGGAGGTTGTGGTGAGCTGAGATCCCGTCATTGCACTCCAGCCCTGGCAACAACAGTGAAACTTCTCCCAAAAAAAAAAAGCAACCAGCAGCCCTTGGGGCTGCTCTATGAAGTAGCCATTCCTTTATTCCTTTACTTTCCTAATAAACTTGCTTTCACTTTACTGTATGGACTCGCACTAATTCTTTCTTGGGTGAGATCCAAGAACCCTCTCGGGGTCTGGATCAAGACCCCTTTGCGGTAACAGTACAAAGGGTCTGATTGTGAGAAGTGGCAGGGATCACTGGAACTCCACTTCAGATCCCATCTGGATCATCAAAACATCAACCCTAAATAAATAAATTCAGGAAATATGGTTAAATATAGAGTTTAGTTTAGCACAAAAGTTTGAGGACGGCCACCCTGGAACACAGATTCCAAAGAATGGAAATCAGCATTCCAAACTGAGGAAGTTTGGGGGTCATTTATATAGGTAAGGTTTGGGAAGCTTGACAGCGTTTCTACATATTTCACACAAGGCAAGTACATAGTTAACAGTAATCTGATTAGTCAAGGCAGTGGTCTTTTTGGGAAGGGTATATTTAACATTCACATAGAGGACATAACAGTCACAGGACCTTTTGCACTATCTGGTCTGATTTAGGTGCAAGATAATAGAGGAAAGGTCAGCAATGAAGAAGGGCGATCTTAACGCTGATGCCATTTAGTCTTGAAATGAATCTACAGAGCAAGAACAGGAGAGTTAATCTATAATCTATAAGCAGAAGTTGTAGTTACATGCTGTCTGGCTCAGATCACACAGTCCCGTTTTCTTCAAGGCTCAACATAATTCTTAGGGTTCAAAAGTGTATGATTAAGTTTGGATTTTTTTTTTTTTTTTTGAGACGAAGTTTCTGTGTTGCCCAGGCTGGAGTGCAGTGGCGCGATCTCGGCTCACTGCAAGACCCGCCTCCTGAGTTCATGCCATTCTCCTGCCTCAGCCTCACAAGTAGCTGGGACTACAGGCACCCCCCACCATGCCCGGCTAAATTTTCGTATTTTTAGTAGAGATGGGGTTTCACCATGTTGGCCAGGATGGTCTCGATCTCCTGACCTCATGATCTGCCTGCCTCGGCCTTCCAAAGTGTTGGGATTTCAGGCGTGAGCCACCATGCCCGGCCTTTTTTTTTTTCTTTTTTTTCTTCTGAGACGGAGTTTTGCTCTTGTTGCCCAGGCTGGAGTGCAATGGTGCGATCTTGGCTCACTGCAACCTCCCCATCCCAGGTTCAAGCAATTCTCCTGCCTCAGCCTCCCGAGTAGCTGGGATTACAGGCACCCGCCACCACGCCTGGCTAATTCTTGTATTTTTAGTAGAGATGGGGTTTCACTGTGTTGGCCAGGCTGGTCTCGAATTCCTGACCTCGTGAACTGCCTGCCTCGGCCCTCCAAAGGGCTGGAATTACAGGTGTGGGCCACCGCGCCCAGCCAAGTTTGGATTATTTTTACAAGATGATGCTGGAGAGTTTCTATGGCCACCACCATTCTAGACTCTGATACTGGCACTTAAAGCCTGCATGCTACATTTCCTGGACGCCGTTGCCAATTGGCAACGTTCCTGTCATGCTTTATTAGAACAAAGTTGGGAGGCAGAAAGAGGGGAGAAACCATTTTTTCAGACTTCTGCCAGTGGCTTAGGTGGTGGTGACAACAACAACTGTGACTTTCGCAATCATGGTGGAGGCAACTGTGGCTAGCAAGGGTGAACACATCTGGGATCCTTCTGTAGGCACAGTGATTGTGGGTTATGGGTCCTCCTGTGCTTTATTTATTTATTTATTTTGAGACGGAGTTTCGCTCTTGTTGCCCAAACTGGAGTGCAGTGGCGTGATCTCAGCTCACTGCAACCTCCGCCTCCCAGGTTCAAGTGATTCTCCTGCCTCAGCCTCCCGAGTAGCTGGGATTACAGGTGCCCACCACCACAACCGGCTAATTTTTGTATTTTTAGTAGACACGGGATTTCATCATGTTGGCCAGGCTGGTCTCAAACTTCTGACCTCAGGTGATCCATCCACCTCGGCCTCCCAAAGTGCTGGGATTACAGGCGTGAGCCACTATGCCCAGCCACCTCCCCTGCTTTAATCTTTCAGCTCTAGAGAGGCTAGCAGCCTCATATAGTTATGAATCTTTAGGTAAACTTACCTTCCTCTTTTGTTCTTCCAGTACTTCCAACACTTTTATACTCAGTCCCCTGTAGTCGTTTATGTATTCATTTATTTTTATTTATTTATTTTTTAGACAGAGTCTCGCTCTGTCACCTAGGTTGGAGTGCAATGGTGAGTTCTCAGCTTATTGCAACCTTCCCCTCCCAGGTTCAAGCAATTCTCCTGCCTCAGCCTCCTGAGTAGCTGGGATTACAGGCACCTGCCACTGCACTGGGTTAATTTTTGTATTTTTAGTAAAGATGGGGTTTCTCCATGTTGGCCAGGCTGGTATCAATCTACCTGTCTCAACTGGATTGCTGGGATTACAAGTGTGAGCCACAGAGCCTGGCTCAATCCCCTGTATTCAATATCCTCTGTTTGAAGTACCTAGAAGGACTTCTCTTTTCCTTATGGAATACGTACTGATAAAGCACTCAAGACTGTTAAAAACCTTCATTACTCTATTGATGTAACAAAAGAAGCTGAGGCAAAGTTAATATAAGTAGAGAGTTTGGGCCAAGGTTGAGGACCGCAGTCCAGGAGACACAGATTCAAGTTGCCCTGAATGTATGCTTTGATTAGCAACAGTTACAAGTGGGTTCTTTTTGTTTTTGACTTTGTTTTGAGACAGAGTCTCACTCTGTCACCCAGGCTGGAGTGCAGTGGTGCAATCTTGGCTCACCGCAACCTCCACCTCCCGGGTTCAAGTGATTCTCTGGCCTCAGCCTCCTGAGTAGCTGGGACTACAGGCATGCACCACCACACCTGCTAATTTTTGTATTTTTTTTAGTAGAGATGGGGTTTCACCATATTGATGTTTCACCATACTGGCCAGGCTGGTCTCCAACTCCTGACCTCATGACCCTCCCACCTCGGCCTCCCAAAGTGCTGGGATTACAGGTGTAAGCCACTGTACCTGGCAACAAGTGGGTTCTTGTCTTATTTATTTATTTATTTTTGAGACAGAGTTTCGCTTCTGTTGCCCAGGCTGGATTGCAATGGTGTGATCTTGGCTCACTGAAACCTCTGCTTCCTGGGCTCAAGCAATTCTCCTGCCTCAGTCTCCTGAGTAGCTTGGATTTCAGGTGCCCGCCACCACAGCCAGGAGGACGCCTTGCGGGGCAGGGTGAGGGGGGCAGGGTGCGGGTCCCCCAAATTAGCGCGCACACACACACACACACACACACACACACACTGCGATCCTAGGAACAGGGCGCTTTGCGGGGCAGGGTGAGGGTCCCGACCCTCCGCGGGGTGGGCGACCGCCTCCCCAGGCGCACTGGCAGGGGGACGGCATCCCTAACAGAGAACCAGGCCTCGGCATGGGCTGGAGGGATGACACAGCATGGTCGACTCGGACAGCGGCCAGCGGCATGAGAGTCCGAACAACGTTGGAAGGAGGAGTAGGGGAACGGGCAAGAGAGCACGGAAGACGCAGATGCCTCAGGCCCAGCCCCTCCAGGCTGCGTGTGGGCGGCCCCGCCCCTGCCCCCGCCCCTCCCGGCCTGACTGCACATGCGTGGCCCTGTCTACGGCCCCGCCCTCTCCCGGGACAGGCGGCCTGCGCACCGCCCTCCCGTCGTCCCAGTGCGCACGCGTGGCTGCAGCCCCGCCCCCGTTCCCCCGGCGCTCGGAGCCCGAGTCCGCGGGAAGATGGCGGCGCCGCTCATCCCCCTCTCCCAGCAGGTACGGGCCGGGCGGGCCTGGGGGCGGCGCCGGGGTGCGGGGCGCGAGGCGAGCGGTGCGGCGAGGCTGAGGCGCTGGGAGACTCAGCCAGGCGGCGGCGGGGGCGGCGCGTGCTGAAGGGCTTGCGGCGGGCGGGTGGGCAGGCGGCCCTGAAGGTGACAGGCCGGGACCCGCGGCCTCCCGTGCCCGAGCGACCCTCGCGGGCACCGGCGAGGCGAGGAGGTGCGCAGCGCGTGTCCTCTCCGCCCAGGGCCCGGACCCTGCCGCCGCTGAAGCTCCCAGGCCGGGGACCCGCGGAGGCGCTGGGCTGCATCCCGGAGGGGTGGGCGAGGGGTGCGAGCGTTTCTGTCGGCGCGGCGGCCCAGCGAGTCTTTGTCTCCCTCCGGTCCCGGCGCCCGGGCGGGCAGGGTCCCGCCGGAGCCCGGACCCGTCAGCAGCAGTGCGATCTCAGACTGATCCCCTGCCTCCTTGGAAGCTGCTTCCGCCACCCCTGCACCGGGCGCAGATCGTACGTCTCCGGGCGCCTCTCTGTGTCCTCAAATTCGCCTGATGCGCTTATGAAGGGGCAGTATCGATAGCGCGACACAGACATGCGAAAAAGAGCCATGCGTAGGCAGCTCTGTTATTTGGGAGAGACTTTCATTCATTCATTTTCTATCCATCCCTCAAATGTGCGTTGGGTCAGGTGCTGGGAGCGCTGCATTCTTCCAGACAGACAAGGTCGCTGCTTTCCTGGAGGTGACACTCGTGGGAACTAGAAACTACCTGTGTTATGCTAATCACAGCTGCCTTTATTTGCTGAATACCTGTGTTGTGCAAAGCACCATATAAGCATTTTGCTAGAATGATCTAGCACAGCATGGTGATTAAGAGTGAGGACACAGGGTCAGATCATGTGTTCAAATCTTGGCTCCAGCCCCGATTTCTCTGTGCCTTTGGTTGAAGCTCTTAGCCATTCCACCCATCAGTTGCTTCCTTTGGAAAATGGAGATATAAAAATGTGTTGGGATTATGTGAAAATTAAGCACGTGAAAAAGCGCTTAGAACAGTGCCTAGCATATGAGAGGCACTCAGTGATCCTATAATTACTGTCATCATTTAATCTCTGCCAGATTTGGACGTTTGGGAGTAGAGACCGCAGCAATTAAGAATTCCAAACCCAAAGAGAGTTGATAGGCCGGTTGCATGCTTGCATGACTGGTTAGCTGATCCAAGGAGAGAGAAGTGCACAGCTAGCCAATTTGCAACACTGTCACTAAGTTAACAGTGCTAAAACCCGGTGATTATTAATTAGCAAGTTCTTGTTACTGACATGAAAGTGCTCTGTAAACTGTTAAGTGTCCTACCGATAATAGGTGTTAATAGCTAAGTGCTACAGTTTAGAGTATGTAGTCAGGGGGTGGGGGGCGGGGAAGGCGGGAGTCGGGGGAAAATCACCTAAGATCATTTCATGAGAAAGCACTAAGCACTCCCAGTTTGGGAGGCGTGGATCTTTCTAAAACTTCCTGTCCAATTTTTTTTTTTTTGAGATGGAGTATTGCTCTGTCACCCAGGGTGGAGTGCAGTGGCATGATCTCAGCTCACTGTAACCTCCGCCTCCCGAGTTCAAGTGATTCTCCTGCCTCAGCCTCCTGAGTAGCTGGGACTACAGGCACGTGCTACCACACCCGGCTAATTTTTGTATTTTTTTTTTAGTGGAGACGGGGTTTCACCATTTTGGCGAGGCTCGTGTCAAACTCCTGAACTCGAGTGATCCACCCGCCTTGGCCTCCCAAAGTGCTGGGATTACAGGCGTTAGCCACTGCGCCTGGCCAGGTCACTGACTTCTTAGCCTCTTCCTGTTCCTTTCCCTATACATTTGTTGAATGAAGGCGTGGCCTGGTTTTCTTCGTTTGGAAATGTCAGCACTTCTTTACACTTGCTCTCGAGTGAAAATCTACACCATGGGTTACTGTTGGCCCAGGTGTGAGGCATGGCCCTCCCAGGCCCTTACTGTCTAGCTCAGGAGATCACTTGGGTTCACAGATAACTCTGGGGGAACCAAGGGTATAATTCCAAAATTTTTGGTTGGGGGCAAAAGGGAAGCACCCTGCAGCAGGTGGCTGTGATCTGGTTGGATTTAGGTGACAGAGCACACTTGGCAAGCAGATGGCCAGGTGAAGGTGAGCAAAGTGGATAACCCAGCGGGCTAGCCTAGGGGAGGAGGGGTGTGTTTTCTCCACCCCCACTCCTGTCTGCACTTTTCCCATCAGCATCTTTTTCAGTCTGTTCTGTACTCCATGACATCATCTCAGAATCTCCTTCCTTATATACTCTTTTCTGACCCTGAATATCAACGTAAATTCGAAAGGTCTGCACCTCTGCCTCTTTAGGAGTGATTTTTTTTTCCCAACAGCATCTCAGTGATTTGTGTGTCTCCCTGTCCCCCTGCTCAGCTCTCTTCTGCTTTCCAAAAAGCCTTCCGTGGAAATGCATCCAGATCTCTTTCCTCCTTGTACTCCCCGAGGTTACCGGTGGCCCCTCCGTCCTTAACCCCGGTGCCCTGTGGCTGCAGCCGATCCTCCTCGAACTCCGCAACACTGGAGCCCGTCGGTCTTCACTCTTCATCCTCTCTCCTTTCAGTCTCTCCTTCTTGTCCCCTAATTTCAGCCTCCCTACCTGCATCTTATCTCTCTGTGCGCTCCCTCCCCTGGAGCTTCTGTGCAGAGGACTTCAAACCTGCCTTCTAGAGTCCAGAAGGTGTCTCTCTCCTGCACCTCTGCCAGCCTGCTGGACTCTGGAATGGGCCATTTCCTTGCCATGCCCCAAAGTGGTCTGGGCCATTCTACTTCCTACTTGCCCACTCCCTCCCACTTAATCCCACGCCACTGTGGAAGTCATCTTTTTGATTTTTGAGACAGGGTCTCGCTCTGTCCCCCAGGCTGGAGTGCAGTGGTAGGATCATAGCTCACTGCAACCTCAAACTCCTGGGCTCAAGCAATTCTCCCACCTTGGCCTCTCAAGTAGCTGGGACTACAGGAGCGCAGCACCAATCATACCCAGCTAATTAAACAATTTTTTTTTTGAAGAGATGAAGTCTTGCTATGCTGCCTAGGCAGGTCTTAAACCCCTAGCCTCAAGCAATCCTTCTATCTCAGCCTCCTAAAGTATTGGAATTACGGTGTCAGCCACTGCATCTGGCTAGGATTCATCTTCTAAAACATATTCCCCTGTTCCAAAAACCTTTCACAGCTCCCATTCCCCTTCCTCCAAAAGAACTCAGTTTATGGCTGGGCGCTGTGGCTCATGCCTATAATCCCAGCACTTTAGGAGGCTGAGGTGGATGGATTGCTTGAGGCCAGGAGCTCGAGACCAGCCTGGCCAACATAGCAAAACCCTGTCTGTACTAAAAATACAAAAGTTAGCCAGGCATAGTGGCAAACGCCTATAATCCCAGCAACTTGGGAGGCTGAGGCACAAGAATCGCTTGAAACCAGGCGGCGGAGGTTGCAGTGAGCTGAGATCGCGCCACTGCACCCCAGCCTGGGCAACAGGGTGAGACTCAGTCTCAAAAAAAGTCAGCTTTGATGACCTTAGTAAGCCCTGAATCGACTCCACCTAACCTTGCTGGGTCCCTTTCCTGCACTTCTGGCTCTTGGCAACACTTTCTAGCCTCAGCATCCTTAGCTGTGTTGCTCCGGTTGCTAGAACATCACTGTGAGCTCCTGCCGTATGCTGCCTGCCCTGAAGGACGGTCTTTGAGGCCTCCCCTGTGTTGTCCTCCCTTAGCCCCACCCGAATGAGAGTTCTCTCCCTTGTACCTTCCGTGGGTCCCTTTTGTGACCGCTGTACCTAGGAAGCGCGTGGTAACTGGGCTCAGTGATGAGGAGAGACTGCCCTGGGCCCAAAGAGCTACACCTTCCTCCTTTCCCCCTTGTTATGTGTTCTTCATCCAGGAGCTTTTGCTGTATTTCAGTAGGTGCCTCCATTCTAGGAGGCTTTTATTCCCCTTTTACAAGTGAGGAAACCAAGACCCACAGAAATAGAGTAACTTGCTGAAGTCTCATAGTTGGTGGGCGCAGAGCTGAGGTCACACCTGCGTCCTCCTGCCGCAGAGCCCTGCTGTTCCAGATGGCCTGCTGGGCACCTCTCCCAGAGCAGCACCCGGCCAGTGTGTCTGGAATGAATGCTGAGTGGCTCGGACACTTACTTGTCCTCTTGTCCCTTGTTTCTTTTCTTCCTCTGAAATAAGTGCTAGTCTATCTTAGTAGAATGCTAATGGCAATGCAGTCTAAATTGATGAGAACGAAGTTTTAGAGTAAAATCCACTCCTGAAAGATCCAGAATTCCCTGACTGTCACTTATTGACCTGCACTGGCCTGTTTTTTTTTTGTTTTTGTTGTTGTTGTTGTTTTTTCGACTAAATAGATTCTCCCTGGGCAAGACCCCTCCACCTCCATTCTGAACTTTAAAACAACTTTCCAGGCCGGGTGCAGTGGCTGACGCCTGTAATCCTAGCACTTTGGGAGGCTGAGGCAGGTGGATCACCTGAGGTCAGGAGTTTGAGACCAGCCTGGCCAACATGGTGAAACCTCATCTCTACTAAAAATACAAAACATTAGCCTGGCGTCCTGGCGGACGCCTGTAATCCCGGCCACTCGGGACCCTGAGGCAGGAGAATCACTTGAACCCAGGAGGCGGAGGTTGCAGTGAGCCAAGATCACTCCACTGCACACTCCAGCCTGGGCAACAAAGTGACACTACGTCTCAAAAAAAAAAAAAAGAAAAGAAAAGCAGGCACCATCAGGTGCAGTGGTGCCTGCTTTTCAATGTTTAGGTCCTTAGATGTTTGTTTGGATTCCCAGATATTCCTTCACTGCCCTCAGTCCTGCAAATACTTTCTGTACCTTAGTTTTCTCATCTGCAGAATGGTACTGTGGACTCGCTTGACCTGCTTTGTCACAGTAGAGTGTCAGGACCCTGCCGTGTGACGCATGTGCTCTCAGTGCTTTCCTTTTTTTTTTTTTTTTGAGACAGAGTTTCACTCTTGTCACCCAGGATGGAGTGCAATGGCGCTGTCTTGGCTCACTGCAACCTCTGCCTCCTGGATTCAAGCGATTCTCCTGTCTCAGCCTCCTGAGTAGCTGGGATTACAGGCGCCCACTACCACACCCAGCTAATTTTTGTATTTTTAGTAGAGATGGAGTTTCACTATGTTGCCTAGGCTGGTCTCGAACTCCTGACCTCAAGTGATCTGTCTGCCTCAGCCTCCCAAAGTGCTGGGATTACAGGCAGGAGGCACCGCGCCTGGCCCTCATGCCTGCCTTTTGTAGATCACACTGTTCGTTCAGTGAGTATTTATTTGGCATCTTCTTTTTGCTGGACACTTTCTGGGCAGTGGATGGAACAGTGAATCTGAAGGCAGTGCCGCCTCACGGGGCTGACATCGTTGGGAGGGGCCCAGATATAAAGAAATGAGCCCAATGTGTAGTGCATTCGGTGGGGATTGATGCTGTGAGATGAGTAGAGCAGGGCAGGTTCCGATCTGATGATGGAGGTCAGGAAAGGTCTCACCACCAGGCTGGAAGGACTGAGTAAAGAAAACATCATAGATTGCCTGGTTCATCCTCCCGGTCACTCTGGCCAGTATTATCTTCAGTGTATAGGGGCAAGAGGGGCAGATCACTGGAGGCCAGGAAGGGCAGATCACTGGAGGTCGAGAGTTCAAGACCAGCCTGGCCAACATGCTGAAACCCTGTCTCTACTAAAATACAAAAATTAGCCAGGCGTGGTGGCACATGCCTGTAGTCCCAGCTCCTCAGGAGGCTGAGGCAGGAGAATTGCTTGGACCTGAGAGGTGGAGGTTGCAGTGAGCCGAGATTGCACCACTGTACTCCAGCCTGGGTGACAGAGCAAGACTCTGTCTCAAAAAAAAAAAAAAAAAAAATAGATAAAGTGAGGCCAGAGATTGTTACGTCCCTTGCCCAAGTTTGTACCCAGTGAGCTCAGGCAGACATGGCTTTTCTGACACAGGTTCAGGCCTCTTCATTGCACCATAGTTTCTTGTCTTGGAAAGTTATTTTTTTGTTTGTTTGTTTTTAAGTTTATGACATCTCCTAACCTCATTTGTTTTTATACCTAGTTATTAGATATCATGTAGTCTGAGTTTTTATTTTATTACTTTAATCTCATCTCATTAAAAGGTAGAGAGGGACATGGAAAGGCCTGCTTATTGTCTTCCTTTTTCCTTTAGAGACAGGCTCTTGCTCTATTGCCTACGCTGGAGTACAGTGGTGCAATCAAAGCTCATTGCAGCCTCGACTCTTGGCCTCAAGTGAGCCTCCCACCTCAGCCTCTCAAGGAACTGAGACTACAGGCATGCAACACCACACCTGGCTAATTTTTAATTTTTTTGTAGAGACAGGATCTTGCTATGTTGCCCAGGCTGGTTTCGAACTCCTGACCTCAAGTGATCCTCCTGCCTCTGCCTCCAAAGCGCTGAGATTACAGGTGTGAGCCACCACTCCCAGCCAGTTGTCTTTAGGAGAATCCAAAGGTTTCCCTGCCAGAGTGGTAATCAGTGCTCCTGGCCCATGCAGAATTGAGTTGTCCAGGCCCGGCCCACAGCAGAGGCTCAGGTCACGGGTGGTCCAAGCTGCAGGAGGGGCAGATGACTGGCTTCCATTTGGGTGTTGGACATGGTTGTATGGAGGAGAGGGCGTGTTTGGTGTAGGCCAAGCTTGTCCAACCCATGGCTGCATGTGGCCCAGGATGGCTTTGAATGCAGCCCAACACAAATTTGTAAACTTTCCTAAAACATTATGAGGTTTTCTTGTGAATTTTTTTTTTTTTTTTGAGACTAAGTCTCGCTCTGTTGCCCAGGCTGGAGTGCAGTGGTGCAATTTCGGCTCACTGCAAGCTCCGCCTCCTGGGTTCATGCCATTCTACTGCCTCAGCCTCCTGCGTAGCTGGGACTACAGGCACCCGCCACCACACCTGGCTAATTTTTTGTATTTTTAGTAGAGACGGGGTTTCACTGGTTAGGCAGGATGGTCTCGATCTGACCTTGTGATCTGCCCGCCTTGGCCTCCCAAAGTGCTGGGATTACAGGCGTGAGCCACCATGCCCACCCGTGAATTTTTTAAAGCTCATCAGCTATCATTAGTGTTAGTGTTAGTGTTAGTGTTAGTGTTAGTGTTAGTGTATTTTATGTGTGGCCCAAGACAATTCTAGTGTGGCCCAGGGAAGCCAAAAGATTGGACACCCCTGGTCTAGGCCATGGGGAATAGCCTTTCACACGGAGGCAAAGAGGACTGAGCCAGAGCTGAGAGGCTGCAGGTCTAGGTCAAAGGGCCAAAACATGCGGCTGGGACTTTGGGGTTCATGTCCTTCCTTTAATTTAGGCAGCTCAGGGATGAGAGGAGGAAGGTCTTTTGGTAAATAAGACGTGAGAGTTTGTGTCTGGGCTACAAATCGGCCGAACTGACAGGATGTCTGCTTGCCGAGAGAGTGGCCAGTGGCTGGTGGGGGCTGAGGAGCTGAGACCTGCCCACTGTCCTTCGCGCTGGACTGGGTTTTACCGCTGGTCAGAGTGGTGGCCCTGAAGTTTGCTCCTGCATGGAGTGCAGACCATTAGCTCTTAAAGCTTCTTTGGGCTTTTCCCTTCATAGGAGTCCCAGCTCTTGATACTACAAGCTTTGGGGTGAAAGTAAAGGTCACAGATGACCACAGACATTTGTCTCGGATTTCCATCTGCACTGCCTGTGGTGTGGAATGTAGACCTGATAACAGAATCTGTTTACTGACTGCCTGCAGGTCAGGCTGACATAAAGTCACTTCTCCTCCTCTTGGGCACACCAGCCAGGCTGGATCAGGCGCTGCTACCGGCAGCTGACAGCACACCTGCTCCCCGTGTTTCCCAGGCCTGCAGTCCTCATTCCCTCTGCTCTGTGGCCCCCTGGCCCCTCTTTCTGTCATCTGCGCAGGCGATCCTTCATCTTGCCTCAAGGCGTTTGCATCTGCTATTCCCTCTCTCTGGAATGCTCTTTCCAAACCCTTCATCCTCTGGTGAATCCCTACACCTTTTCATATCAGCTGGGGCATCACTTCCTCAGGGAAGCCTTTCCTGACAAACTGGCCCAGCATCTCTGTTACCACTGGTGGAGATGGACACCTTTTCCATTTAGCCGTTTATAATTTTCTCTTTGCGGGGTTGATTGATGGTCTGTCTTCCCCAACCACCTAGACTAGGTCCACAAGGGCAGAGACTGTGCCTGTTTTATTCATCCTTGTTTGCCAGGCTGCAGCTGGCACTCAGGTGCTCAACAATCATCTGTTGAGGGAAGAGTAGCATGGGCCACATTATGAGAGGCAGTAGGGAGCTATGGCAGGTTCTTGAGGAGTGACACCTTTAGATGATCTGGCTGCTTACACAGGGAGTGCTTGGAGCTGGGTTCTAGCTCCGAGACAGTCTCTGTGATATGGGCATGAAGTGATCAAGAGGAACCTGGCCTGAGGTTGTTTCAGGAAGAGTAGAAAGGGCTGGGGGTGAAAGGAATATGTGGGGTAGCTGTTTGGACAGGTGAGGGTCTAGGTGGGAGAGGAAGCAGGGGGAAGAAGCAGGCATAGTGTCTGCAACCGTCAGGTTGAGGCCACCTTCAGGGAGCCAGGACAGCAGCAGTGGGAGTGCCTGGTGGGCAGAGCCTGGTGGGCTGTGGCTGTGTCAGTTGAGTCAAAACCCATCACTTTGCAGGAAACCCTCCAAGCCACGTGAGACCCCACATTTAGGTACAGTCAAAAAGAAGACCAGCTCTGGGGCTGGGGCACCATGAGATTCTGTCTGCTGAGCTACTGTGTGCTGTCTTGGGACCAAGATAAATAAAACCGAGCCCCACCCTCCAGGTCAGCTCAACTGCAGCTGGGCACCCAGGCACACAGAAAATTAGGACATAGTGTGACACACTCGTGGAAGTCAGGTGGCACCCACAGCGGTGGGATGAATCACCTCCACTGGGCTGGGAATAAAGGACAGGAGGAAGAGGGCGCCTGTGCCTCCTTTTGTCTTTTCCCTCCTCTGTTCCAACAGGCCTGGAGGAAGCAGCTGGGTGCAGCCTCTCTGACTGGCTGTACACTGCGTGGACCAGTGTCCTGCCCCCACCCTTTGCACAGGCCCTGTCTCCCACCACCATCTTCACAGCTTCCTGGCCCCCTCTCTGCCTTCTCAGAGTCCCACTTCCCTGATTCTTTGTTTTACTTTATTTTTTCTTGAGGTGGAGTCCCGCTTTGTCACCCAGGCTGGAGTGTAATGGCATGATCTTGGCTCACTGCAGCTTCCGCCATCTGGGCTCAAGCAATTCTGCCTCAGCCTCCCAAGTAGCTGGGATTACAGGTGCACACCACCAAGCCTGGCTAATTTTTTTGTATTTTTGTATTTTTAGTAGAGACAGGGTTTCACCATGTTGGCCAGGCTGGTCTCGAACTCCTGGCCTCTAGTGATCCACCCACCTTGGCCCCCCAAAGTGCTGGGATTACAGGTGTGAGCCACCATGCCCTCCCCCCCACTTCCCTGATTCTGGTAACCTGGTCTCCCAGAACAGGTGGCAACGGGACCCCAGCCCTGGTGGTACCCTGACTGCCCTCACCAGTGAGTGGGCCCAGGCAGGCAGCTCTGGGCCCTGGGGAGAGATTTGGGGCACAGGTCTGATGCAGGAGTGAGGGAATGTTGTGGGACCAACAATGGTGCCATTGTCCCTGTGCTTGTTTCTAGATGAGGAAACTGAGAGGGAGAGAGGTAAAACAACTGGTCAGACCCCCATGGAGAACAGGCGTCTGAATCAGACCATGGGCTCCAAAGCCACCATTTTGTCCTATGATTGCCACACCATGGGCTCCGGGAGGGTCGAGGAGCTCTGTCTTTCCTGCTCCCTGCTGGGTTCCCAGCCCCTGAAATCTGGGCTCCTGGCACATAGTAGGCTGGTGATATCTGTTGATTGGAGGCTGGGTACTTGGAACAGCAGCCAGGAGCGCAGTCTGTCTCTCCAGCTGTCTTTGAGGGTAGTTGACAGAAGGGAACGTTTTGTCTCTTGGGTGAAGAAACAGGCACAGGGCCCAGAGCCGCCTGCTCGAGCCCACTGGCCGGTGACAGCAGTCAGGGCACCACCAGGGCTGGGGCCCTGCTACCTCCTCACCTCCGCTCATCAGAGGGTGAGGAAAGGGCTTTCCTCTTGTGTAAGTGACATCAACAAGTGTGCCTCTGTCATTACGCCAATCTGTAGAAAACTGGCTTTTCTTTCTTTCTTTCTTTCTTTTTTTTGAGACAGAGTCTCACTCTGTGACCCAGGCTGGAGTGCAGTGGCGCGATCTCAGCTCACCGCAACCTTTGCCTCTTGGGTTCAAGTGATTTTCCAGCCTCAGCCCTCCGAGTAGCTGGGACCACACGTGTATGCCACCACACCCTGCCAATTTTTGTATTTTTTGTAGAGATGGGGTTTCTCCATGTTGCCTAGGCCAGTTTCGAACTCCTGAGCTCAAAGCGATCCACCTGCCTCGGCCTCCGAAAGTGCTGGGATTGCATGTGTCAGCCACTATGCCCAGCTGGCTTTTCTTTCTTTCTTTTTTTTTTTTTTTTTAAGAGACGGAGTCTTGCTCTGTCGCCCAGGCTGGAGTGCAGTGGCGCAATCTCGGCTCACTGCAAGCTCCGTCTCCCGGGTTCATGCCATTCTCCTGCCTCAGCCTCCTGAGTAGCTGGGACTACAGGCGCCTGCCACCACGCCCGGCTAATTTTTGTATTTTTAGTAGAGACGGGGTTTCACCGTGTTAGCCAGGATGGTCTCGATCTCCTGACCTCATGATCCGCCCGCCTCGGCCTCCCAAAGTGCTGGGATTACAGGCGTGAGCCACCGCGCCTGGCCCCAGCTGGCTTTTCTTAATCTGAAGAGGACGTGCTTTTCAATTTTATATTTTCCAGTGGAAGAGAAAACTATCTCATTTCACACTCTCCAAAGGGGAAAGATGAAACACGAAAAAACTTGATGATGAGGCCCTCACACTGAGCGTGTTTAACCAGGACTGTACGGTTATGGGGATGGACTGTCCCCCTCAATTCCCCCCACACCCTACAAATGGCACTGTTTGTGGTTGGGGGGTCCCAGACACGATTGGCCTAGGCGCATGTTCTTGCAAACGTTCTTCCCTTTGAGTTTTTTCTTTGCTGAGAACTAGAACGCTCTGTGCCCGCGGCACCCCCGTGCTGGCTTTGGAAACTTTCTCTGTGGGTCGAGGCTTCTGGAGTGGAGGAGCAGGCTCCACAATTGCTGATGGGCTGGGCAAGGTTGTCCATCACCAGGGTGCAAATTGTTGCTGTTATTTTGCTTGCTCACACCAGGCCATGGAGTTGGCATTTTCTTTTAGGCCAGCCTCTGAGTTGGCATTTATAGTCAGTTGACTTTATTGATTTAATTTGTTGTTGTTGACTCTTAGCCACTAGAAAATGTCCTTTAATTCACATTTAATGCACATTTAAAATGTCCTTTAATTCACACTAAGTGGGTTTTTACAGGTGTGTACTTATCTGCTGTGTGTAAAATTGTATTTTTTTTAAGAAAATGACAGCTGAGACTAAGAGAATTGGTGAAACACTGTTCTTTTTTTATTTTTAGAGACAGGCTCTGTCGCCCAGGTTGGAGTGCAGTGGTGCCATCACGGCTCACTGCAGCCTCAGACTCCTGGGTTCATCCTCCTGTCTCAGCCTCCTTAGTAGCTGGGACTGCAGGTGCTCCTCAGCACACCACCACGCCCAGCTAATTTTCTGATTTTTAATTTTTGTAGGGCTAGGGTCTCACTGTTTTGCCCAGGCTGGTCTTGAATTCCTGACCTTAAGGGATCCTCCTGCCTTAATCTCCAAAGTGTTGGGATTACAGGCCTGAGCCACCATTCCCAAACTGAAATATTGTTCTATCCTAGATGTTGGGAGCTGCTTAGCTGTTGAGTTGAGAGAGCAAATGGCTACCATATGTACCATAGTGTAGCCAACATTTGTTGAAATACTTTATTGCTTGGCAAAGATCAATTGGCAGGGCAGGCTATAAGGACTGTGATTTTACACCTGCAACTCACGTGCTGATTCACAGCCTTGCCTGACCTCCCTCCCCGCCCACCATTCTTTGTAAATACGGCCTGCTCCCCTGTCTCAGGAATAATAATACAAGAGTAACCATAATAGGGGATGTAATAATGGCTTCCCATTGCAGAGTGTATTTCACTTGCATATTCTCATTTGGGACTTACCAGCATCCTCAGGCCAGGTGCTGTCTATTCTCATTTTACAGATGGGGACACTGAGGCCCAGGGTGGCTTGGTGGCTTGTCCTCACTGCTACTGAGCCACAGAGCTATGTCTGCCCGCTCCCCACTACCAACTGCACCTTCCTGCACTCAGCCCACCACCTGCCTCCCTCAACACTTTAATCTCACCCATGCCCTCAACAGACATTTACTGAAGGCCTGCTTCTAGGAGGGCACAGCGTGATCCCTCCACCCTCCAGGCATTAAGAATGTAGTGAGAGGGGCCGGTCATTACAGCAGCTTTTCCATCAAATCAACTTCAGGAAGTGTCCCTTGTCAAAGTTTGGGGCTATGGGAGTGTGGAGGCAGGAGGGACTTATTTCATTTGGGGGAACCTAGGGTCATCTTAGAGCAGGGCGTTGGCCTGCAGCAGGCAGCGGCCCCAAGCATAGGGAATGCAGTCACGCACCGCATAACCATGATGGACTGCATATGTGACAGTGCTCCCGTAAGATTATACTGCTGTATTTTTCCTGTGCCTTTGCTATGTTTAGATATGTTTAGATACGCAGCTACTTAGCATTGTGTTACAGTTGCCTGCAGTTTTCTGTACCGGGCCACGCTGCCCAGGTTTGTAGCCTGGGAGTAATAGGCTAGACCACAGCCCAGGCGTGGAGCAGGCGCTGCCTTCTAGGTTTGTGTAAGTTCACTCCAGGATGTCCTCACGACGATGAAATTAACCTGACGATGCAACTCTCAGGACGCATCCCTGTAGTTAAACGATGCATGACTGCATCTTGTGCCAAGACAAGGAGTGAAAGGTGCCCGATATGTTCAGTAGAGCTCTGCCAGCCGGGGGAAGGAGGTGAGACTTGAGTGTGATATATGTGAGTGTGAGTGTATGTGGGTGAGCCTGAGTGTACATGTGTGATTGTGTGTATGTGTGTGTGGCTGAGTGTGTGTGAGTGAGTGTGTGTGTGGAGTGAAATCAGCCCGGCAAGGTAGGAGATGGCCAGGGAGCACTTTCAGGACTGGGCTCAGGGCTTGGACCTTAGCCTCCGTTACACACCCTGAAGAGCCTTTCTGAGCAGAGGAGTGGCTGTGTGCGAGGTGCAGTGGGGAAGCGGGTGAAGGCAGGGCCGTGGGTGAGGAGGCTGGGCCAGGCTCTGTAGAGGCATGTATGGGGCAAGCGGGGTGGGGGCGGGGCGGCCCTCCCATCAGGACAGAGCCCCTGTCCTTGTCCTTGTCACCCCTGCTGTGCATTTGCTCTTCTGTGTTGGTGTGTGTGTCAGCTCACTGGCTTTGATGCCCTGACTATGATGCTCCATGGTGGCAGCAACCATCTTTCTGCTCACTGTGGGGTCCGGGAGCCTCGAGGGGTGCCTGATGTTTAGAGGGGCCAGAAAAAGAACAGTGCACTAGGAGGCTGACGCTGTCACCCACAGCGATGAGGAGGAAGGTGGCATGGCACTGACCTGGCCAGTGCAGGGGATCTTGGCGTCCTTGGCAGGGAGCCACCCCCCACTGTCAGGAACACCCCGACAGGAGGCCAGACCCATCCCAACCGAGTCCTGGGCAGTGTGCTCTGTTAGGGAGTAGTAGATGGCAGGGACATTGGAGCCCAGGAGTAGCTGATGCAGGAAAGGAATGTTGGGAAGGCCCGGGGTACACTTTGGAAAGTTGGGAGACTCTGGGAAGTGGGCCCTTGTGGGAGGCGGTGGGTGTTCCTGCTGCGGAGGACACACTGCTGAGTCATTGAGCCCCTCTCGGTGTTCCCCCCTCCCCCCCAGTCTTGGGTGACTGCTCTCCCATGTCTCTCCAGGGAGACCGCTCATGGGTCAGAGGAAGGAAACAGATGGAACTGAATAGGTCTGTTCTCTGAGATGCCCGGGAGGGGTGATGTCCAGGGGACACAGGTCAGCAGCTGGGAGGGCTGCTCAGAGGCTTCATCTGCTTTTGCTCTTAAGCAGCGTTTTCAGGAGGGAGGGCTGGAATCTGTTCCCCTCCTGCCCGGGCGCCATTCCAGTTCCATCCCTTCTGCCCTCTGCATGGCTGCACAAGACCCTTGAGCCCTTCCCTACACGCCCGCCCCTCCATCCCTCCAGGACCCAGCTGCCCTGGTATTTCCTGTGGTGGAGCCTCCTCCCTCCCTCCCCGTGGCAAGCCTGTCTCTGGCACTGCTTTGGTGCGGGTGCTCCACAGCCTCGCTTGACTGAGTCTCCCTGGACAGGCTCAGCCATGGAGGGGGGGCCTTCCAGGTCTCCTGGTGCCCTGGGTGTATGTCTGCTGCTGGCTGCGGACTGGCCCTCCATCCTGTCTCTTCCATCTAGCTCTTGGCAGCCGTCTCTGTGCTTTGTCACAGCTCCATGAGGCTGTGGGTGGGGAATGTCCCGTTGTTCACCTCCACACCTGCACCAAGGTGTCTAGAATGGCAATTAGATTTCCACCTCAATGCCCCTGGGGACATCCCAAGGAAACACATTCGTTTTTAGGGAACTGGCATGTCCTCCTTCTCCGGGTGTCTGCATTGTGAGTCGCTGCAGTCCCCAGGCTGCTGGAGTTCTGCTGCTGGAGGGCCATGGCAGTCTCTCTCTGATCACTTCCTTCCAGCCCTGCTCCTTGCAGCGGATTTCTGCCGTTTACCATCTCATATGCATATGCGCCCACCTTGCTGGCCTGCAGGCACCCCCTCCCCATGTTCTGCTTGCCCTGGGGATGACATCCTGTCTTTTCAGCACAGCGTGCACAGACCCTGGCATCCTATGCACATGCCCTTCCACCTGACTGGGGCCGTGCTGAATCACCCACAGCTCACCTGTCTTCTCTGTCCCGGTGCACACCTGGCCCCAAGCCCTGAGTTCCCCTCACTGTGCCTACTGCTGCAGTCATATCATGCGGTCCCCTGTGCCATAGTCCTGGGCTGACTTTGTCCCGCCTGCCCTTCCTGAAGCCCAGGACTCTATTTTTTGTTTGTTTTGTTTTTGTTTTTGTTTTGAGATGGAGTTTCACTCTTGTCACCCAGGCTGGAGTGCAATGGCATCATCTTGGCTCACTGCAACCTCTAGCCTCCTGGGTTCAAGCGGTTCTCCCGCCTCAGCCTCCCAAGTAGCTGAGATTACAGGTACCCGCCACCACGCCCAGCTAATTTTTATATGTTTAGTAGAGATAGAGTTTCACCATGTTGGCCAGGCTGGTCTCGAACTCCTGACCTCATGTGATCCACCCACCTTGGCTTCCCAAAGTGCTGAGATTACAGGCGTGAGCCACCACGCCTGGCCTGAAGCCCAGGACTCTGTCCTACACACTTTTGTATCCTCAGTGCTGCCTCTTAGCACGAGTTCAGCATGTGTTGATTGAGTGAGCAAACAAATAAATTTCCAGGTCCAAAGAAGGGAGAGCTGGGGAATCCAAGGGTGGACCCTTTTTCAGGAGGGTTTTTTGTTTGTTTGTTTGAGACAGGGTTTTCCTCTTGTTGCCCAGGCTGGAGTGCAATGGCACAACCTCGGCTCGCTGCAACCTCTGCCTCCTGGGTTCAAATGATTCTTCTGCCTCAGCCTCCTGAGTAGCTGGGATTACAGGCCTGTGCCACCATGCCTAGCTAATTTTATATTTTTAGTAGAGACAAGATTTCTCCATGTTGGTCAGGCTGGTCTCGAACTCCTGACCTCAGGTGATCCACCCGTCTTGGTCTCCCATATTGCTGGAATTATAGGTGTGATCCACTGCGCCTGGCTTTCAGGAGGTTTTATGCGAAGGGTGGGGGGAGGTCAGTAGCTGGAGGTGGAAGAGAGATGGAGGGATGTTTCTGGGGAGAGGGTACATTTTTACCTGGAGCCAGTGGAAGGAGGGCGATGAGGAGGATACCAGGAATCACAACAGCCGGTGATTGACAAGTCCCCGGGGGTGGGAGTGCTCACCCTCATCTCCAGATGCAGAAGCTGAGGCACAGAGAGGCTGCTCGTCCTGCCCCAGGGTTGCACAGCATTCCAGCAGCAGGACAGGACTCAAATCCACATTTGTCTGGCAGCACTGTTGACCTCCACATGAGACAGCTTCTCTTAGTGAAGCAAGATGGGAGAACACAGCCCATAGGTGTAGATGGAGCTGGGCAGTCTCTCCTGAAGACGTTTAGGGCTCAGCATAGTCCTGCATCCTCCACAGGGCAGTGCATCGAGGCAGGAAGCCTGCTGCAGGCAATGTTTTTTCTCCAGCAGTTCTGTTTCTGGAATGCTGAGTTTGGTGCTCATGCCTGTAATCCCAGCACTTTGGGAGGCCAAGGCAGGAGGATTGCTTGAGGCCAGGAGTTCAAGACCAGCCTGGCAAAATAATGAGACCCCCCCAATCTTTACAAAAAAAAGAAAAAAAAAATTAGCCACACATGGTGGTGCATGGCTATGGTCCCAATTACTCAGGAGGCTAAGGCAGGAGGATCACTTAAGCCCAGGAATTTGAGGCTACAGTGAGCTATGGTCGTGCCACTGCACTCCAGCCTGGACAACAGAGCTGTCTCTCTTTTTTTTTTTGAGATGGAGTTTCGCTCTTGTTGCCCAGGCTGGAGTGCAATGATGTGATCCTGGCTCACTGCAGCCTCTGCCTCCCTAGTTCAAGCAATTCTCCTGCCTCAGCCTCCCAAGTAGCTGGGATTACAGGTGTGCGCCACCACACCTGGCTAATTTTATATTTTTAGTAGAGACAGGCTTTTACCATGTTGGCCAGGCTGGTCTCAAACTGCTGACCTCAGGTGATCCACCCACCTTAGCCCCCAAAAGTGCTGGGGTTACAGGTGTGAGCCACCATGCCTGGCCCAGAGCTGTCTCTTAAAAAAAAAAAAAAGAAAAAAGAAAGCTTTCAAACCTTGATTCTGTGTTCTGACGACCTTCCTGGTCCATGTCATTGACCTTGCTGCTTTGCTGCATGTCTAAATGCTCGGGGCAGTTCTCTTGCTTGTTGGTTCCTCTCCAGGGCAGCGACTGTAGGCCTTACCCCTGTGCCATGCCCCACTGTAGGCCCTGAGTTCTGTCTGGTTTGGATGGAGGCCTTGAGCCCCGAGCATGTTCGTCTTCTGCTGGTCTCACAAGGCACTCATTTGGGTCCCTGGGGAGAATCCATGAAAATTCCTTCAGATCCTGCTTTTCCTTGCACATCTTTCTATTTCTGTCTAATTTACAAAAGCAGCTCATGCTGACATAGTACACCAGGGAACATAGGAAGCCATGAGGAAGCAAACTAGCTGGCCCGTAGAAATCCTGGTAAGCATGGCCCTGTCCCGCCAGGTTCCAGTAGCGGGGCGATAGGATACCGTGTGCTTATAAGCCAGGTCACACACTGCACCTGCTAGATTGCCCCCTTCTCATTTAGCAAGCTGATGAAGATTGGACCCCATTTGTAAACATTCTGCTGTTTTGATGGCTGTAAGGTATTTATTCTGTCCCATGGAGACTCAGCAATTTATTAGCAGCTTAACCAGTCCTCTGCTGTTTCCAGTGCCTTGCAGTCTGCATCTGTGCCCTCAAGGGGGGAAAACAGCGAACCCTCTTACCCTTCCCCCACTCCTGCATCACTTCTCAGTCTCCCAGGAGCAGACCTTGTAGCCATGGTAGGGCACACTTGTGTGTGTTCTAAAGGAATGCCAGTTTGTATTGTTTCACAGAAGCACGATCCTGTCACCAAGCTCTCCTCATTTGTCACACTTAAACCTGACGCAGCTTGTGCCATTAGGGTCCTTGCCAAGGCAGAAGCACATCAAATGGCCTTTTTTTTTTTTTTATAGGAATTCTTTTTTCTTTCTTGGATTTCAGCTTTTTTTATTGTAGATACAGAGAGTACATGTGCATATTTGTTACATGAGAGTATTGCATGATGCTGAGGTTTGGAATACGGATCCTGTCACCCTGGTAGTGAACATAGTACCCGATAAGTCATTTTTTTTTTCTTTTTTTTGAGATGGAGTCTCGCTCTGTCGCCCAGGCTGGAGTGCAGTGGCTCGATGTCGGCTCACTGCAAGATCCGCCTCCCGGGTTCACGCCATTCTCCTGCTTCAGCCTCCCGAGTAGCTGGGACTGCAGGCGCCTGCCACCACGCTGGGCTAATTTTTTGTATTTTTAGTGGAGACGGGGTTTCACCGTGTTAGCCAGGATGGTCTCGATCTCCTGACCTCATGATCCGCCCACCTCGGCCTCCCAAAGTGTTGGGATTACAGGCATGAGCCACTGTGCCCAGCCCAAATGGCCTTTAAACACATTAAAAGTTGATGGCTGGGCATGCTCACACCTATAATCCCAGCACCGTGGGAGGCCCCGGTGGGAAGATCTTTTGAACCCAGGAGTTAGAGACTGGCCTGGGCAACAAAGCAAGACCCCGTCTCTACAAAAAATAAAAAATAGTAATTAGCTGGGTGTGGTGGCATGCACTTATAGACCCAGCTACTTGGAAGGCTAAGGAAGGAGGATCCCTTAAGTCCAGGAGGTTGAGGCTGCAGTGAGCTATGATGGCACCACTGTACTCTAGCCTGGGTGACAGAGCAAGTCTCTGTCTCTATGAAAAATAAAATAAAGCCCGGGCGCGGTGGCTCACACCTGTAATCCCAGCACTTTGGGAGACCGAGGCGGGCAGATCATGAGGTCAGGAGATCGAGGCCATCCTGACTAACACGGTGAAACCCCGTCTCTACTAAGAAAAATACAAAAAAATTAGCTGGGCATGGTGGTGGGCACCTGTAGTCCTAGCTATTCGGGAGGCTGAGGCAGGAGAATGGCATGAACCGGGGAGGCGGAGCTTGCAGTGAGCCAAGATCGTGCCACTGCGCTCCAGCTTGGGGGACAGAGCGAGACTCCATCTCAAAAAAAATAAAAAAATAAAAAAATAAAATAGATGTAGAGGGAAGGGTTTAATGAATTCCCATGTACCCACTGCCCATTTACAACAGTTATCAATATTTTGCAGATTTCTTTGTACCACCCTTTGATCTTTTCCCCCACCTACGTATATTTTTAGTTCTTAGGTTTTTTTTTTTTTTTTTTCAGATGACATTTTGCTATGTTGTGCAGGCCGGAGTGCAGTAGCCATTCAGAGGCCCAGTGATCATAGCTCACTGCAGCCTGGAATTCCTGGCCTCAGGCAATCCTCCTGCCTTAGCTTCTCGAGTAGCTGGGACTACAGGCGAGTGCCACTACACCTGGCTCTGGCTTGTGTTTTTTTTTTTTTTTCGAGATGGAATTTCACTCCTGTTGCCCAGGCTGGAGTGCAGTAGCATAATCTCAGCTCGCTGCAAACTCTGCCTCCCGGGTTCAAGTGATTCTCCTGCCGCAGCCTCCTGAGTAGCTGGGATTCCAGGTGCCTGCCACCACGCTTGGCTAATTTTTATATTTTTAGTAGAGATGGGGTTTCACCATGTTGGCCAGGCTGGTTTAGAACTCCTGACCTCAGGTGATCTACCCACCTCAGCCTCCCAAAGTGCTGGGATGACAGGCGTGAGCCACTGCACCCAGCCTCCTGTTGTGTGGTTTTTTTTTTTTGAGACGAAGTCTCACTCTGTAGCCCAGGCTGGAGTGCAGTGGCGTGATCTTGGCTCACTGCAACCTACGCCTCCTGGGTTTAAGCATTTCTCCTGCCTCAGCCTCCAGAGTAACTGGGATTACAGGTGCACGCCACCGCACCCAGCTAATTTTTTTGTATTTTTAGTAGAGACAGGGTTTCACCATGTTGGCCAGGCTGGTCTTGAACTCCCAGCCTCAGGTAACTGCCTGCCTCGACCTCCCAAAGTGCTAGGATTACAGGTGTGAGCCACCGTGCCTGGCCTGTTTTTTTTTAATCTTAGAAATTGTAGGCCAGGCGCGGTGGCTCACGCCTGTAATCCCAGCACTCTGGCAGGCCGAGGCGGGTGGATCACGAGGTCAGGAGATCGAGACCATCCTGGCTAACATGGTGAAACCCTGTCTCTACTAAAAAATACAAAAAATTAGACGAGTGAGGTGGCGGGCACCTGTAGTCTCAGCTACTTGGGAGGCTGAGGCAGGAGAATGGCGTGAACCCGGGAGGTGGAGCTTGCAGTGAGTGGAGATCTCACCACTGCACTCCAGCCTGGGCGACAGAGCAAAACTCCATCTCAAAAAAAATAAAAAAAATAAAATAAATAAATAAAAGAAATTGTATTTCAACATGCACCTCTAACAGTTAAGACCGTTTTCCTTTACATAACCACAATGCCTTATCACACCTTACACAACTAATAATAACGCCTTTGGTATTGGTATTATCTGATAACAAGACCATATTCACATTTCCCTGATTGTCTGCAAATGTCACCTTGCATTTGGTCATTAGGTTTCCTAAGTCTTTAAAGAAAAAACAAAACTTCTCATTTTGAGATGATGGTAGACTCACTTGCAGTTGTTGGAGAGTCTGGGCGGGCGCGGTGGCTCACGCCTGTAATCCCAGCACTTTGGGAGGCCGAGGCAGGCAGATCACCTGAGGTCAGGAGTTCAAGACCAGCCTGGCCAACGTGGTGAGACCCGGTCTCTACTAAAAGTATAAAAACTAGCCGGGCACGGTGGTGGGTGCCTGTAATCCCAGCTACTCGGGAGGCTGAGGCAGGAGAATTGCTTGAACCTGGGAGGCGGAGGTTGTAGTGAGCCAAGATTGCACCACTGCCATCCAGCCTGGGCAACAGAGCGAGACTCTTGTCTCAAAAAAAAAAGAGCCTGTACCATTTATCCAGTTTCCTCTGAAGCAACATTTGCATAATGGTGGTACAGTATTGCATCTGGGATATTGATGATGATGGCTATGTTCAGGTTCTGAAGGAAGAGTCCTGGATTCTCTGGGGACCCAAATGACCACCTTGCGAGACCAGCAGAAGTTGGACATGCCCTGGCCAGGCGTGGTGGCTCACGCCTGTAATCCCAGCACTTTGGGAGGCTGAGGCGGGTGGATCACCTGAGGTCAGGAGGGCGAGACCATCCTGGCCAACATGGTGAAACCCTGTCTCTACTAAAAAATACAAAAATTTAGCCAGGTGTGTTGGCATGCATCTGTAATCCCAGCTACTTGGGAGGCTGAGGCAGGAGAATCACTTGAACCTGGGAGGCGGAGGTTGCAGTGAGCCGAGATCGCACCATTGCACTCCAGCCTGGGCAACAAAGTGAGACTCCGTCTCAAAAAAAAAAAAAAAAAAAAAGAAGATGGACATGCCTGGGGCTCACGGCCTCCGTCCAGCCCAGACAGAACTCAGGGCCTGCAGTGGGGCATGACACAGGGGTAAGGCATGCGTTCCCTGCCCTGGAGAGGAACCGAGAAGCAATAGAACCACCCCTGAGAGTTTAGACATTCAGCAAAGCAGCAAGGTGAATGACATGGACTGGGGAGGGCATCAGAGCACGGAATCAAGGTTTGAAAGCTTTTTTTTTCTTTTTTAAGAGACAGCTCTGTTGCCCAGGCTGGAGTGCAGTAGCACGATCATAGCTCACTGCAGCCTTGAACTCCTGGGCTCAGGTAATCCTTCTGCCTCAGCCTCCTGAGTAGCTGGGACCACAGGCATGTGCCACCATGCGTGGCTATTTTTTTTTTTTTGTAGAGATAGGGTCTTGTTGATAGCCAGGTACAGAACACGTCCCTCCTGTTGCCCTTTTATAGCCACACCCACTTCCCTCCCAGCCCATCTCTTCCTTATCCCCGGCAACCACCACTCTGTTCATTTCTACAATTTTATCATTTTAATGATGTTATGTGATGGAATTATTCAGTATGTAACCTTTGAGGTTTGGCCTTTGTCATTCAGCATAATTCTCTGGAGAGTCATCCAGATTATTGCATATGTGTCAGCTGTTCATTCCTTTTCATTGCTGAGTAGTATTCCATGGTGTGCTTGGACCACAGTTTGCTGAACCACTCACTTATTGGAGGACATCCGGGGTGTTACCAGTTTGGAGCAGTGACATATAAAGCTGTGGCCAACACTGCATACAGGATGTGGTATGAACATGACTCTTCATTTCTCCCGGGTAAATGCCCAGGACAGTTGCTGGTTCATGCGGTAGTTTCATGTTGTGTTTAGTTTTTTTTTGTTGTTGTTGTTTTAAGAAACTGCCAGTCTGTTTCCAGAGTCACCGTACCTTTTAACTTTCCCATCAGCAGTGTATGAGTGGCCCAGTTTGCCTGCATCCTCACCAGCATTTGATGTTGTCACTATTTGTTATTTTAGCCACTCTGATAGCGTGCAGTGGCATCTCACTGTGGTTTTAATTTGCATTCTTCTTTTTGCTAATGATGTTAAACATATTTTCATACGTTTATTTGCCATCTGCTATATTTCCTCTTTGGTAAAATGTCTTTTTGCCTTCAGATCTTTTGCCCATGTTCTTTTCTTCTTCGTGTTTTTTTGTTTGTTTGTTTGTTTGTTTGTTTGTTTTTTAAGAAATCAGATCTTGTTATGTTGCCCAGGCTGGTCTTGAACTCCTGGGATCAAGCAATCCTCCTGCTTTGGCTTCCTGAGTAGCTGGGACTACAGGTGTGCACCACGACGCCTGGCTAGTTTTTTAATTTCATGTAGAGATGGGGTCTCACTATGTTGCCCAGGCTGGTCTGGAACTCCTGGGCTCAAGCAGTCCTCCTGCTTTGGCCTCCCAAAGTGCTGGGACTACAGGTACGCACCACCATGCCTGGCTTGCCCATGTTCTAATTTGATTGTTTTCTTTTTTATGCTGTTGAATTTGAGAGCTCTCTAGTATATATTTTAGATAGTAGTCATTTGTTGGATATGTGCTTTGCAAACCTTTCTTTCTAGTCTGTAGCTTGCCTTTTCACCTTTTTATCTGGCTTTTTTTTTTGAGACGGAGTCTTGCTCTGTCACCCAGGCTAGAGTGCAGTGGCACAATCTCGGCTCACTGCAGCCTCTGCCCGCTGGGTTCAAGCAGTTCTCCTGGCTTAGCCTCCTGGGTAGCTGGGATTACAGGTGCACACCACTACACCCAGCTAATTTTTTTGTATTTTTAGCCATGTTAGCCAGGCTGGTCTTGAACTCCTGACCCCAGGTGATCCGCCTACCTTGGCCTCCCAATGTGCTGGGATTACAGGTGTGAGCCACCGCGCCCGGCCTTTCTCCCCCCCCCTTTTTTTTTAATACGGAATTTTGCTCTTATTGCCCAGGCTGGAGTGCAATGGTGCAATGGTGTGATCTCGGCTCACCTCAACCTCCATCTCCCGGGTTCAAGCGATTCTCCTGCCTCAGCCTCCCGAGTAGCTGGGATTACAGGCATGCGCCACCATGCCTGGCTAATTTTACATTTTTAGTAGAGATGGGGTTTCTCCATGTAGGTCAGACTGGTCTTGAACTCCCAAACTCTGGTGATCCTCCTGCCTCGGCCTCCCAAAGTGCTGGGATTACAGGCATGAACCACCACGCCAGGCCTTACATGGCTCTTTCACAGTGCAAACATAAAGTTTGTCTGCCAATCTTTCCTTTTGTGAATCGGGCTTTTGGTGTCAAGTCTAAGAACTCTTTGCTTTGCCCTAGATCCTGAGGATTATGTTTTACATTTGAATTCATGATCCACTTTGAGTTACATTTTGTACGAGGCATAAGACTTTTAGTTCGAGGCCCATGTTTTTCCTATGGATGCCGATTGCTCCAGTGCCCTTTGTGGAAAGGCTTTCCTTCCTCCTGAAATACTTTTGCACCTTTGTCAAGAAATCCACTGGGCAGATCTGTGTGTGTCTGTTTCTCAGATTCTACATTCTGTTCTGTGCATTACTGTCTGTGCCCGCCCCCTGCCAATACTCCACTGTCTTAACTACTCTAGCTATAGAGTCAGTCTTGAAATCAGGTAGACTGACTCTTTCCACTTTATTATTCTTTTTCAGAATTGTTTTAGCTTCTCTGCCTTTTTTTTTTTTTCCGAAGATGAAGTCTTGCTCTGTCGCTCAGGCTGGAGTGCAGTGGTATGATCTCGGCTCACTGCAGCCTCCGCCTCCCAGGTTCAAGTGATTCTCCTGCCTCAGCCTCCTGAGTAACTGGGATTACAGGCACCTGCCACCATGCCTGGCTAATTTTTGTATTTTTAGTAGTGATGGGGTTTCATCATGTTGGCCAGGCTGGTCTTGAACTCCTGACCTCAGGTGATTCACCCACCTTGGCCTCCCTAAGTGCTGGGATTACAGGTGTGAGCCAGAGTGCCTGGCCCTGTAATACTTAAATTACTAGTGAGATGGAACATTTTCTTTCTAACTTTGCTGCATCTCTTCTTTCTGAATTGCCTCTCTCTTTGCTCATTTTTAATTGAGATGTCTTTTTCCTTGTGATTTGGAAAAGCTCTCTTTTCACTTGCCAAGTCTTCTCCTTCTCTTGGTAACATTTACCTTAGCTCTGCTGTAGAAACCTCTGATGGAGCAGTTGGAGAGAGCTGCCCATCCAGTCCAGGAAGGTTAGACATACCCCAGCGTTTCCCTGATGCCTTTTGAATGTTTTGAGTCAAGTCCCAGTTCTGCCCCGTGCTTGCCACATGACTGAGCCAGGTTATCTCACCCGCAGAATGTGGGCCGGCCTGCTGGGAGGGCTGGGCTCACATTGGGTGATGGTTGTGCAAGGCCTGTGGGGGCCTCTAAGGGGAAGGCAGAAATGGAAGGATTATCAAGCAAGCTCTACTCCGGGCTATGTTTTTGCATCCATATGTTTTTCTAAGTAGGAACTCAGACTGAGATGTGTTTCAGTGTTATATGCCTAACTTCCTGCAAAACTTGGCAGTGGCATTGAAAAACATAGCCATTATGGGGTCTCAGCTTTCCTGGGGAAATGGCAGGTCATCGAAAACACTGGCTTTCAAGTCCATTTATATGCTCAAATTGAGTGTTGCCTTTTGACCTCTTCTGTTTAATAAAATGCTCCAGCACGTCATCACGGACGTGCATTTTCCCAGGCCAGCATATGCATGAGGCTGTCCTGTGGTCCGGTGCACAGCCCTGTGACACCTGGGCTGTCATTACAGGGTGCACAGTAGGTGAGGGTCTGACTCCAGGACCACCTATCCTGGGTGCTTCACTGACTGTTGCTCATTGGCTGTTGTGGTCCTGAGTAGGGCAAACTCAGTTTCCCCACCTGTCAACTGGACTAGTAATATTACCTGCCCTTTAGCGTTGTCGGGAGGATGAGAGGTACTGGATAGGAAACAAGGGATTATAGGTACTTCTCTGAACATTTTACAGTGAAAATGGATTGCTTTCCAAAAGTCATTTTGAACCAAGGCTGATGATCATTGGTTTGTTTTGCACAAGAGCGCGTACTTTGCTAGCAGAGTGAGAGTGAGAGTTTGGGCAGGAGGCAGCCAGGCATGAAGATGTAGGAGGCGTCCTGCCCTCGGC
This sequence comes from Homo sapiens, assembly GCF_000001405.40. Lineage (NCBI taxonomy): Eukaryota > Metazoa > Chordata > Mammalia > Primates > Hominidae > Homo > Homo sapiens. The sequence goes on along the minus strand of NC_000019.10, from coordinate 16,446,302 downwards.
CACGTGCGGGGATCAGAGTTGGGTGAACCCTGCTTAGGAGTCGTTAGAACACAATCCTGAGACAGTTTCTCCTCCGAGGTGGTTCTGCTGGGTTTCTCCATCTCAACTGCTGTTGTCCTGGGTTACAGTTACAGGCGCTTGTGTGAATTGCGGTGTTTTAAAGCCTTCAGAGCAGAAGGATGTGAACTTGTCCTTCTCCTTGTGCCCCTCTCTCTGTCATCCCACTTGTAAATTGTTTCTGGGCTGGAGGATAAGTGAGGAGGCCACAGGAACTTTGCATGTTGTCTCTTAGCATTTTGAGTTAGGAAGAGCAACTGAAAGACCGAGCTGAAAGCTACACTGAACCTCATCAACAATTCACACACTGCAGAGGCGAAGATGGCGTCTTCTCAGCACAGTGGGCTGGGTCAGGAGAACACATCGGGTCAGCTCTGCTGCACTTCCTTCCATTCCTACGGCCATCCTGGTGCCACCTGCAGCCTCTTACGGTGCAGGCCTCATCCCCTGGTGCGTCCCCTCTCTGCTGTTGCCTCGGGCTTGGCCCCAGGCTCACTTTGGGGTCAGACATGGGTGGGCAGCTCCAGAGGCTGCTCTCAGCATACAGAGGGCTCTTTCCCAGTAGCTGTGAATCTTCCTTTTGGGGGCCAAGAGGTCTCTGCACAGGGGCCAGTGACAGACTGCCTGGGGCTGGGGATTTATGTCATTAGCAACATGTGTCTTCAGTTCTGTCGCAATGACATATCAGGGCAGCGTGCAGGTGTGAGTCCATTGTTCCTGGGAAGAAGCCTGGCATAAGAGGAAGTGGCAGTTGGGGCCTGGTGCTGTACCTTCTTTCTTCCCCCTTCTGCTTTTGCATATGCAAAACCTGACATATGTGTAATTAGATCAAAACCTCTGACCACTGTCATTGTTCCAGGTTACCCAGATGGACTCCCGTGGTGATGAGCAATGGTTGAGCCATACTCCCTGGGCTTTCCCTCAGCTGTAGGTCTTTTGAGAGTGACATCCGGTGGTCATCAAGTGTTCGAGCCGGATGAGCCTTTAGCATGGATGGGCAGAGGTTGGAGCTCTGGGCTGTGTCCTTCAGCGACTCTTCTGGATTAGTCCAGGCCTTGTTTCTCTTGGTTGCGGATCTTGTTGCTCATTAGCGCCTGGGAAGTAGAGCAGATATTTAATAACCCTGCATGCCTCAAAGACTGAAACTCTTTTTTTTCCACTGGAATCACAGTAGCTTGGAAACCTCTTTCCCTTGCTTCCCATGAGATTGTTAAAAAACTCGCCTGGGGCTGGGCGTGGTGGCTCATGCCTGTAATCCCAGCACTTTGGGAGGCCAAAGCAGGCGGATCACCTGAGGTCAGGACCAGCCTGGCCAATATGGTGAAACCTCGCTTCTACTGAAAATACAGAAATTAAGTGGGCATGGTGGCACGCACCTGTAGTCCCAGCTACTCGGGAGGCTGAGGTAGGAGAATGGCTTGAATCCAGGAGTCAGAGATTGCAATGAGCTGAGATTGCGCCACTGCTCTCCAGCTTGGGTGACAGAACAAGACCCTGTCTCAAAAAAAAAAAAAAAAACTTGTCTGGAAATGTGCTTCAGATCCAGACCTCTCTGATCATTGGCAGGAAGGGCACCTTTGTCATCTGAAGTGAGGGCCTCTGGAGTCTGTGAACCCATGGCAGGCGATGTGCTGTTTGCTGCCTAGACCTGACCACTGTCACCTTTACTGACAGATGACAAACAGCCTGCCTGCCTTGGCCTCCTTTCTGTGGGTCTTCTTCCTCTGGGGAGACATATTTTGGAAATAAGCTGGAGTTTGAGCCCAGAAGTTGACACAGGTGTGATGGCTGGACACTGTCATCTAACGAGGTTGTAAGATGCTAAGGGTGATAGCCACTCCTTCCTGTACCCCTCACCCAGGAATGGTGTCACTGCCTCCAAGCACGAGGGGGGCAGCCATCTTGGGGCTGCTGTTGCTATACACACTTACCTCCTATGTCTTTTCCATGATGTCTTTGTCTGTTTTAAAATGATGGCTCCTAAATCTCTGGCTTTTCTTGCTTTTTCATGTTATTCTAGTTTTTTCTGCCTTTTCAGTGTTTCCCCCTTTCTTTTCCTCTTTTTTTTTTTTTTGACTTTTTCCCTCTCCCCTTTCAGATCTTTATGCTATTTTCCTTCTATTTTCATTTTGTCATGGTAGTTTTCTCTGTACTTTCACTTCTTTTTTTTTTTTTTTTTTTTGAGACGGAGTCTCGCACCGTCGCCTGGGCTGGAGTGCAGTGGCGCGATCTCGGCTCACTGCAATCTCTGCCTCCCGGATTAATGCAATTCTCCTGTCTCAGCCTCCTGAGTAGCTGGGATTACAGGCGCACACCACCACACCTGACTAATTTTCTGTATTTTTAGTAGAGACGGGGTTTCACTATGTTGGCCAGACTGATCTTGAGCTCCTGACCTCGTGATCTGCCTGCCTCGGCCTCCCAAAGTGCTGTTTGGGATTACAACTTTCACTTCTTTATACATTCACAGGTGTTGGCGTCCCCCAGAGACGCTGACCATAATCCGGGCATTATTATTTTTTTCTTTTTATTTTTGAGACAGAGTTTCACTCTTGTCACCCAGGCTGGAGTGCAGTGGTACGATCTCGGCTCACTGCAACCTCCGCCTCCTGGGTTCAAGCGATTCTCCTGCCTCAGCCTCCCAAGTAGCTGGGATTACAGGTGCATGCCACCACGCCTGGCTAATTTTTGTATTTGTTGTAGAGATGGTGTCTCGCTTTGTCATGTTGGCCAGGTCTCGAACTCCTGACCTCAGGTGATCTGCCTGCCTTGGCCTCACAAAGTACTGGGATTATAGGCGTGAGCCACTGCGCCCGGCCTGGGCATTATTTTTAGCTTCAAATGACCCTTTGTAGCACAACAATATGCAAGTGGTGGGTGCGTATTGGTTCAAATCCAATGACTATAACTGGAAGGAGTCTACGTCCCCCTGGTTTTATTCATTGTGAGAAATCGTACAACAGCAGTCCCAGAATTTGTTGGATAAACACTGTAATCCTGCCCCCAAGATAGTCCTCTTTTCCCTGCCCAGTTCTATTCTCTTTAGCTGTTTACACATCCATTCTGTATAATTAGGTGTCATTGTGCATTCTTCACTTTTATCGCTTATTACATCAGCGGCAGGTTTGTGTGCTCTTTTTTCACCTCACTTACTAAAACACCAACGCACGTAAACTTTTACAGCCAGCATTTCAGGGACTGCATAATTCCCCACCAGGTTGGCACACTCCCCTGGGTGTCCCTCCCCTTCCCTGGGAGACGTCTGGCAGAGCTCAGGACACAGCGGGAAGTGTCTGGACTTGGCCGCCAGCCAGGCTGGATCCAGGTGTGGCCTCTGGTGGCCCCGATTAGCTGCGTGACCCTAGATGGGGAAGTGACCTCCAAACAGCGATGTCTTGGGGCTCTGAGGTGTCGGGAAATGGAATATCTTCAGTGCCAAGCTGAGGACACTGCACTTCCTTCCTTCCCTGGTGGGAACAGTTACTGGCCAGCGCTCTCCGGGCGCGGGCTGGTCAGTGTGCGTCTCTGAGCACTCAGGTAGCTGGAGGAGGATGGATGGGATGGTTGAGAACCAGACCCAGGCCAGGGAAACTGGTCGAAAGCTTGCAGGCCTGGTGATTTATGATAATGCGTGGAAACTTCTTTTCTGATTCCGGAGCCAGAGAACAATCTCAGAGGATAGAGTGTCCTTTCCCTCTGAGCTCTCCAGGAGCTGAAATCCCTTTGCTCAGTGAATGGAAATTGACACTGGGCTGCTGCTGCTGTTTCCTGAGTGACTATATTGTTTGCCCTAGAATCAGGATTTATTAAAGAACATTAAGCTTACTTTTTCTAAATCAGGTAAGCATAATAATATCTGTGTCTGAAGATAAACTGAATTCTGTGTTCAGAGGATGTTTAAAGTGCATGCATTTTGACTCTAACTATCATCATATATTTTGGTCATGACAAAATTGAGGGGGCAACCCTTTTTTTCCCCAAGGGGTTGTGTTCACTTTTGACCAATATCTGTGGTTTCATTTACAGATTCCCACTGGAAATTCGTTGTATGAATCTTATTACAAGCAGGTAAGTTTAGCTGATGTCTCTTCAGATGGAACTAGAGCATGCCTGAGCTGAAAGCACAGTACAGAATAGAAGCCCGGCTGAGCGGCCTTTTGTCCTTTTCTGTTCACTGTCAGCGGATAGTTAGCGTGGCGGGTGCCACTTCACCTGCTGCTGCATTTGCTGAAAAGTTATTTTGCCTCTTGGTCTCCCATTTCAGGTCGATCCGGCATACACAGGGAGGGTGGGGGCGAGTGAAGCTGCGCTTTTTCTAAAGAAGTCTGGCCTCTCGGACATTATCCTTGGGAAGGTATGTGAAGATGAATAGTGATTTCTCTTCTGTGGCTGCCCTCACAGCTCCCCCCGCAGGTCAGGGCCAGCCTGTGCAGGCCTCCTTCCATGGGGCCCGGCCTCCTGGGTAGTGGCCTGGTCGCTGCAGACCTCTCAGGCTGCAGCTGGTGGATCCAAATGCCCAGGTGGCAGCCCCCACCACTACTTTGGTAGCAGATAAGAAACCCGAGTACTTTTGGGGTCTTGATAGCTTGTGGACTTTTTTTTTTTTTTTTTTTTTTGAGACAGAGTTTCGCTCTTGTTGCCTAGGCTGGAATGCAGCGGCGCGATCTCGGCTCACTGCAACCTCCTCCTCCCGGGTTCAAGTGATTCTCCTGCCTCAGCCTCTTGAATAGCTGGGATTACAGGCACATGCTACCACACCCGGCTAATTTTTTTTTTGAGACAGTCTCGCTCTGTCGCCCAGGCTGGAGTGCAGTAGCGTGATCTCAGCTCACTGCAAGCTCCACCTTCTGGGTTCACGCCATTCTCCTGCCTCAGCCTCCCGAGTAGCTGGGGCTACAGGCACCTGCCACCACGCCCGGCTAATTTTTTGTATTTTTAGTAGGGACGGGGTTTCACTGTGTTAGCCAGACTGGTCTCGCACTCCTGACCTCAGGTGAATCGCCCACCTTGGCCTCCCAAAGTGCTGGGATTACAGGCGTGAACCACCGCGCTTGGCCACTTGCGGACTTTAGTTGGGGGAAGAAGGGTGTCATAAACACCATTGGCTTGGGAGCTGAGTGCACCTGGATGTCCTCTGGGCCCTGCCGCTGACTGGCTGTGCGCCCCTGGGCAGATCATTCACCTGCTCTGAATTGGCTTCTTCATCTGCAGGACAACCTGGGGACAGTCACTCCTGCCCCGCAAGGCCAGTGATGGGGTGGTGGCGGCTCTGGTTTTTGTTAACACGTGGACAGTGATCGGCAGTCATGCTTATGAGCATTTTTGTGTTTCCGCAGATATGGGACTTGGCCGATCCAGAAGGTAAAGGGTTCTTGGACAAACAGGTATATACACATGTACACAGAGCAAATGGAGGGGCTGGGCAGAGCCCCCAGGCTGGGTGACCTCCACGGCTCCTTCCACATTCCTCCACTGTCAAGTATTACTAGGCATGAGCACGGCTGTCAAACTTAACACGGGAAGTTTTCATTTTGAAATAAAGGTCTTTTAAACACTTGGAGCCATCTTTCATGGCTAGTGTATCTTTTATTTATTTATTTATTTATTTTTCTTTTAATGTTTTGTAACCTTACATGTGATTAAAGTGTTGTCCAGACTTTTTATTTTGGACCAGTCTCTCGTGGAAGTTGCACAAATAGCTTGGAGGGTTCCTGTGTATCTTTTGCCAGCTCTCCCCAGTGATGGTGTCTTACATAACCACAGCACAGTGATCAGAGCCAGAAAATAACATTGGTGTTATTTTTTATTTTTTTGACATGGAGTCTCACTCTGTTGCCCAGGCTGGAGTGCAGTGGTGCAATCTCGGCTCACTGCAACCTCCACCTCCCAGGATCAAGTGATTCCCCTGCCTCAGCCTCTGGAGTAGCTGGGATTACAGGCGAGAACCATCATGCCTGGCTAATTTTTGTATTTTTAGTAGAGATAGTGTTTCACTATCTTGGCCAGGCTGGTCTCGAACTCCTGACCTCAGGTGATCTGCCCACCTCGGCCTCCCAAACTGCTGGGATTATGGGCATGAGCCACCACGCCCAGCCACATTGGTGTTATTAATGTAACAAAGTAGACATTGGTGTAACTTTGACTAAAGGCCTTAATCAGAGTTTTTTTTTTTTTTTTTTGGAGACAGAGTCTAACTCTTGCCCAGGCTGGAGTGCAGTGACATGATCTTGGCTCACTGCAGCCTCTGCCCTCTGGATTCACAAGATTCTCATGCCTTAGCCTCCACAGTGAAAACCCCATCTGAAAAAAAAAAAAAAAAAATCTGAAATCTGAAACTCTTCTGATACCAAGCATTTGGGATGAGGAATACTCAGCCTGTACTTATAAGTGATTTTAAGTGGTCGTAGATGGCCATTTTGTTAGAAGGGACCTTGTTTGTGCTGTGCCATGACTTGTGATCCAGTCTGTCCAGGAAGCCCCCTTCACTTGTACCTCCCTTCTTTGAGGTTCATGGTGCATGTCTGCATGTTTGTTGTTTTGTTTTTTTATTTTTTATTTTTTGAGCCTCGCTCTGTTGCCCAGGCTGGAGTGCAGTGGTGCGATCACTGCTTACTGCAGCCTCGATCTTCTGGGTTCAAGTGATCTTCTGCCTCAGCCTCTCGTGTACCTGAGGCCACAGGCACACACTGCCACACCTGGCTAATTTTTATTATTTTTTTTGTAGAGACGAGGTCTCACTATGCCCAGGTTGGTCTCAAACTCCTGTGCTCAAGCAATCCTCCCATCTTGGCCTCCCTAAGTGCTGGGATTATAGGCATGAGCCACCGTGCCCGGCCTCATGTCTGCATGTTAAAAGTTCTGAGAATTCCTATGGAAAATAAATTTGACTTTGCTTAATGCAGTTCCTCTAAACTTACTTAATTCCTTTTTCTTTTTTTCTTTACTATTTATTAATTTTTCTCTTTTCTCAGACCTTGCAGGGATGAAAGGTCCCCTTTTCTCAAAACCCTCTTATGATCCTCTACACTCTGCAAGGGCTTCTGAGGACAGCAGGCTGAGAAAGGCCGATCCTAGCACTTACCTCTTTGAAGACACTTTTAAAACTGTTAACAGTATTTATAGCTTTAAAAGTATCCATGTTCTTAGGCCAGTTAATAAAAAAAAAAAAAAACAGAAAAAAAACAAGCTAAGTGATCCCTCACAAGTCCACTGAGCCTTTGTGTGGTGGGTCCTGGGTTAGGAGGGAGGCACCTGACAGCCTAGTTCAACTTCCTTCCCGTGTCTAGGTGGGGTCCACGTCAGGCCACTGGGGGTGGGCAGGGGATGTTCCATTCAACGAGGCCGAGGGGATCGTGGTGAACCACAGATATGAGTTTCTGACCAACCGTGTGTATTTACGACTGCTTTAAAAAAAATTCAACACATAGCCAGGTGCAGTGGCTCATACCTGTAATCCTAGCTACTCAGGAAGCTAAGGCAGGAGGACAGGAATTTGAGACCAGCCTGGGCAACATAGTGAGATCCCACCTCTAAAAAAATAAATAAAAACTTAGCTGGGCATAGTGGTGCACACCTGTGGTCCCAGCTACTCAGGAGGCTGAGGCAGGAGGATCGCTTGAGCCCATGAGTTTGAGGTTGCAGTGAGCTGTGATTGCGCCACTGCACTCTGGGTGACAGAGTGAGACCCTATCTCTAAAACAAACAAAAATTCGGCACATATTTGGTCCATCATTCGTAACCTTAACCATGTTTAATTTTGTTGCTTTATACAACCTAACATTTCCTAAATGTTGGGAGCTCATAGTTTTTGGAAAATATATGCATCTGAAATTTTACAGATTTCCAGATGCAGTGGAATAAGTCCATTTTATTTTATTTTATTTATTTATTTTGAGACGGAGTTTTGCTCTTTTTGCCCAGCCTGGAGTGAAGTGGCATGATCTTGGCTCACTGCAGCCTCCACCCTCTGGGTTCAAGTGATTCTCCTGCCTCAGCCTCCCAAGTAGCTGGGATTTCAGGCACCTGCCACCACGCCTGGCTGATTTTTATGTTTTTAGTAGAAATGAGGTTTCGCCATGTTGGCCAGGCTGGTCTCGAACTCCTGACCTCAGGTGATCCACCTGCCTCGGTCTCCCAAAGTGCTAGGATTACAGACATGAGCCACCACACCTGGCCAGGATAAGTCCATTTTAGTGTATTCATTTAAGCGATGTCCCCAAGGTGAGTCCAGTTCAGCCCAACGCTCCAAGGGGTTTTTGCACGGACGGCCTTCATTGTTGAAGTGCACATCCTCTTTCCCTGAAGCCTGCTGTTAGAGACAGCTCCCCCTACCCTCACTGGCGATATGCTGTTTACTCCTTCCCTTTCTTTGGACTTGCAGGGTTTCTATGTTGCACTGAGACTGGTGGCCTGTGCACAGAGTGGCCATGAAGTTACCTTGAGCAATCTGAATTTGAGCATGCCACCGCCTAAATTTGTGAGTGTCCAAGTCCTTCAAGTTCACATTCTTCTAATACCAGATGTGTGTGTGTGTGTATGTGCATGTGTGTATGTGCATGTATATTTCCATGTTTTCTCTAGCCTTCCCCTTTTATTGTGGTGAAATTCACATAATAGAAAATTAATAATTTTAAAGTGAACTATTTAGTGGTATTTAGTGCATTTACAGTGTTGTGTCTTCATTACCTCTGTCTAGCTCCAGAACTTTTTCATCCCTCCGCAAGGAGACCCCATCCACATTAAGTAATCACTCCTTGTCTCCCCCTCCCAGTCGCTGGCAACCACTAATTTTATTTCTGTCAATGGATTTGCCTGTTCTGGACATTTCCTATCAATGGAATTCTCTAACATGGTCTTTTGTGTCTGGCCTCTCTCTCAGCATCGTGTTTTCAGGGTTCATCCATGTTGTAGAATGGATCAGTGTTTCCATATTCCATTTACTGGATGGACCACATCTTTATCCATTCATCTCTCTGGACATGTGGGTTATTTCCACCCTTTTGACTGTTGTGAATAGTGCTGCTACCAGCATTCATGTACAAGGATTTGTTTGGACATCCGTTTTTAATTCATTTGGGTCAATACGTAGGAGTGGAATTGCTGGGTCATGTGGTGATTCTGTGTTTAACTTTGTGAAGTCTTCCCTTTTTTGAAAGCACTTTGAAACGTGTATCCTTTTCAGCAAACCCACCCACCTATGATTTAATTCTGTGCCAGCCACAAAGGAATGTTTCTCTCTCTTCTCAGCACGACACCAGCAGCCCTCTGATGGTCACACCGCCCTCTGCAGAGGCCCACTGGGCTGTGAGGGTAAGTGAACGGGAATAGCTCCCTCCTTGGCTCTCCTTCAGATAGAATTGTTCCAGCAGTTGTTCTAGAATTGTTCTGGAATTGTTCTAGTTTGATGTTGTTCAGAACATTTTATAGGATGATTGTGTCAGCTCTTCTGTCTCAGTGTGAGTGGCCACAGCACTTGGATGAAACGCCTCTTCTAATGAACACCTTTTACAAAGGCTGTGGCCCTTCACTGGAATTGGGAGTTGCCTACCTGGACAACTAAGTGTCAGGAGTTGGATTATTAAAGGGCTGCAGTTTAAATCTTGCATCTTTAGGTCACATTCTGTGGTTTTTGCTGCTTGTGTTGGTTATTCAGAATAGAAGAGGAAACGGTGAGAGCTTGCAAGCACGTGGACCCCCAAATGTGTCCCTTGCTTTCTCGCTTCTTTCCAGCCACTTTGCATGTTACCATTCTTTCCTCCCTGATGTTCTGATTGCTTTGTGAAAAGCCTCTCTCAGCACTTGAAGTGTTATTTTTAAAACAGAGGATGTTGTGGCTGGAAAGATAAGCTACTGCGTCCAGAAAGAAGAAAAAAAACGAGGGCTGTCTTCTAAGTACAGAATTCCTTCTAAAGGAAGTGAGCATGGTCCCTCCAAGTAACATCAGGCCTCCTCACCTTCCCTTCACTTTCAGACTGTCACATTTCCTCACGTTTATGTGGCTTAAATCCTGACATGAATAACACTCTTGCTCTCAAATAAAGGTCCCAAGCACTTTCGTCCCATGTTTACACGGTTGGTTTGCTCCCTTCTTGGAGAGGTCATGGGCTGGGTGGGGGTATCTGTGCAGGGAGAGGACATGAAGATATGTCATGTGACTGAGGAGTCATGCAGTCACCTCTGTCATCAAGCACTTTGCCAGTGGCAATCACTGTGGTGAAGGGTTTCTCCCTGTCACCCAGCGCATTGTGTGGACTTTGAAAAAGAGCTACTTTGTCATGGGAAACAGTGCCAAGAGATCTTATACTTTAAAATGTGATGGCTCTTTTCCACCAGGGGTTATGTCCAGGCCTCACTGGAAGAGCTGGGACTGAGGGGCCTGGGGACCTCGCAGAGAGGAGTCAGGGAGCACAGGACCAGATGCTGTAATTGGGGTGTACTGTGGTCGAGAGAGATTCTGCATTCCATTCACAGCCACAGTCAGAAAGAACAAGCCCGAAGTGCCAAGTGTTTGTTTCCGTTGTGAACATTTCTGGGCTTCTGAAGGCACTGAGTCAGCAAGTCCGATGGCCAGGAGAGGATCCCAGGCCCCCGAGAAAGACCTGCAGCGCTCAGCTTCTTAGCACCAACAGCTGTGAAAGCATGCGGTGTCTGCCGGTGATCTCATCTCTGTGACTGAGGGCTCTGTCTTGGTTTTTGTCTTTTAAAAATTAAAAAATTTTTATTGTGGTTGAAAGACACATCATGTAACATTTACCATCTTAACCATTTCTAAGTGTACAGTTCAGGAATGTTAAGTTTCCTTTGGAGGGTGGAACAGACTGGAAGCCACTGCCTCACTCATGGCCCCTTTTACGGGCTGCCTGCCCTATGTCTTTCAGAACAGCAGGAACTGTGACTCCCCATCCTAATGCTGTACCTTCCCTCTGTTCATGAAGAGCTATTCCTATTTACGTATTAATTTATTTACCATTAGAAATGGAGGGCTTCCTGTATGTGGCTGGGCTTGGTGGCTCACACCTGTAATCCCAGCACTTTGGGAGGCCGAGGCAGGCGGATCACTTGAGGCCAGGAGTTCAAGACCAACCCGGCCATCATGTTGAAACACCATCTCTACAAAAAATACAAAAATTAGCCGGGCCTGGTGGCGCATGCCTGTGATCCCAGCTACTCGGGAGGTACGAGTGCTGAGGCACGAGAATTGCTTGAACCTGGGAGTCGGAAGTTGCAGTGAGCTGAGATTGTGCCACTACACTCCAGCCTGGGCAACAGAGCAAGATTTTTGTCTCAAAAAAAGAAAAAAAAAAAAAAAAAGAGGACTTCCTGTACTTTAAGTTGATTTTGATAATTATTTGCTCAAGCACTAACATCTGCTCACACTTTTGTCTTTCTGGTACAAGTGGGCTCCTTGGAGGCAGGTGAGACTGATCTTTGTCTCCCTGCAAAGACACTGCCCCACCATGGGAGACTCCTGCCACACTCAGGCAGCAGCTAGGACGAAGGACAAGACCCGGGGCCAGGGCCTCCCTCCTGAGGACCTTGGCTCCCAGATCCGAGGTTGCCATAACGTTATTTCCTTCAGGGTATATGTTCACTTTGGAAACCAAGGGGCCAAGACTGTTCTAAGATCATTTTGTGCTTTTAGCCAAGGGTGATGATGGGTCCGTGGCCATTTTCACTTGGCTTTCGGTCAGAGCTCGGTCTGGACATTCACACAGGTGTGCTCTCCTACTTACTCGGGCTATTTCTTTCCAACTAGGTGGAAGAAAAGGCCAAATTTGATGGGATTTTTGAAAGCCTCTTGCCCATCAATGGTTTGCTCTCTGGAGACAAAGTCAAGCCAGTCCTCATGAACTCAAAGCTGCCTCTTGATGTCCTGGGCAGGGTAAGTGGGCCACGGGCTTGGTTCTTCTGCACTCAGTGTCCCTGCTGTGTGTGGGCGCCACTGTTCTCTTTCCCCATGGTGCTTACAAGGCTCTTGCTCTGTTTTCTCCCTGTGCCATCAGGGGCTTTCATCAGCGCTCCTGTGGGTCCAGCCCCAGCTGGCTCAGGGCTTCCTAGGGTGTGGCTTACAGTGTTCACCCAGTCCCTGGGGAAGGTGCCAGAATCCTTCCACTTCACAGATGAGGAGGTGGACTCAGAAGTGAAATTGCTGCCTGGGGCTTTGGGACCAGTAGAGCTCAGTCTTAAGCTCCCCAACTTGGGCTTTCCCCCTTTCCATTGTGCTGAATGTGGGAATGTGTGTCTGTGTCTATTTATTTATTTATTTATTTATTTATTTATTTATGAGATGGAGTCTTGCTCTGTTGCCTAGGCTGGAGTGCAGTGGCACGATCTCGGCTCACTGCAACCTCTGCCTCCCCGGTTCAAGCAATTCTCATGCCTCAACCTCCCAAGTAGCTGGGATTACAGGTGCATGCCACCACGCCCAGCTAATTTTTGTATTTATAGTAGAGATGGTGTTTTACCATGTTGGCCAGGCTGGTCCCAAACTCCTATCTCAGATTCACCCGCCTCGGCCTCCCAAAGTGCTGGGATTACAGGCGTGAGCCACCACACCCGGGCTTTTTTATTTCTTTTTTTGAGTTTTTAGAGATGGGGTCTCACTGTGTTGCCCAGGCTGGTCTCGAACTGCCAGGCTGAAGCCATCCTCCCACCTCAGCCTCTGGAGTAACTGGGACTGCAAGAGCACCACCACTCCTGGCTCTTTTCTACTATTAATTACTCTTTTTCTTCTGATAAAGCTCAAGGTAAAAGTATTTTCAACTCTGCTGCAAATTTAGGAAAAATTTTATGCATTCTCTTTAAAGAAAGTCTTAGCCTGGTGCGGTGGCTCACGCCCGTAATCCCAGCACTTTGGGAGGCCGAGGTGGGTGGATAACTTGAGGTCAGGAGTTCGAGAACAGCCTGGCCAACATGGTGAAACCCTGTCTCTACTAAAAAAAAATACAAAAATTAGCCAGGTGTGGTGGTGTTCGCCTGTAATCCCAGACACTTGGGAGGCTGAGACAGGAGAATCGTTTGAACCCAGGAGGTGGAGATTGCAGTGAGCTGAGATTGCACCACTGCACTCCAGCCAGGGCAACAGAGCGAGACTCTGTCTCAAAACAAAAACAAAAACAAAAAAAACCCTCAATTTAGGCTGGTGTGGCGGCTCATGCCTGTAATCCCAGCACTTTGGGAGGCTGGGGCGGGCAGATTACTTGAGTCCAGGAGTTTGAGTCCAGCTTGGGCAATATGGTGAAACCCCATCCCTACTGAAAAAAAAATACAAAAAACTAGCCAGGTGTGGTGGTGCGTGACTGTAGTCCCAGCTACTCTAGAGGTTGAGGTGGGAGAATCACACCTGAGCCTGGGAAGTCGAGGCTGCAATAAGCTGAGATCGTGCCATGGCACTCCAGCCAGGGCAACCGGATTGAGACTCTGTTTAAAAAAATAATAATAATAATTAATTTTTTGTTTTGTTTTGTTTTGTTTGTGAGACAGAGTCTCGCTCTGTCACCCAGGCTGGAGTGCAGTGGCATGATCTCAGCTCACTGCAACCTTTCCTCCCAGGTTCAAGCAATTCTCCTGCCTCAGCCTCCCGAGTAGCTGGGATTACAGGCATGCACCACAACAGCCGGCTAATTTTTGTATTTGTATTTGTATTTGTATTTGTATTTATTTATTTATTTATTTATTTGAGACAGAGTCTCGCTCTGTTGCCCAGGCTGGAGTACAGTGGCGCAATCTCTGCTCACTGCAAGCTCCGCCTCCTGGGTTCACGCCGTTCTCCTGCCTCAGCCTCCCAAGTAGCTGGGACTACAGGCGCCCGCCACCACGCCTGGCTAATTTTTCATATTTTTAGTAGAGATGGGGTTTCACCATGTCAGCCAGGATGGTCTCGATCTCCTGACCTCATTATCCGCCTGCCTTGGCCTCCCAAAGTGCTGGGATTGCAGGTGTGAGCCACCATGCCCAGCCAATTTTTGTATTTTTAATAGAGATGGGGTTTCACCATGTTGGTCAGGCTAGTCTTGAACTCCTGACCTCAGGTGATCCACCTGCCTCGGCCTCCCAAAGTGCAAGGATTACAAGCGTGAGCCACCGTGCCTGGCCAAATTAATTAATTTTAAAAGCCTCAATTTGTTTCTGTTAACTAAAAGTACAGTTGTCCCTTGGTATACTTAGGGGGATTGGTTCCAGGGCCCCTATCATACACCGAAATGTACGCATACTCAAGTCCTGCAATCAGTCCTGCACATACAAAAGTCGGCCCTCTGTATATTCGGGTTTCACGTCCCACGACTACTGTATTTTGTATCCACGTTTGGTTAGAAAAATACAAGCATAAGTGAGCTTGCACAGTTCAACAAACCATGTTGTTCAAGAGTCAACCGTGTTTTGCTTTATTTTGCGTTTCATTATTTTTATTTTTGATGATACATAATAGTTGTAGTGTGGGGTCCACGTGGTGGTTTGATACATGCACACAATGTGTAATCATCCCAGCAGGGTAATTAGCATATCCATCACCTCAAACACTGATCCTTTCTTTGTGTTGGGAACATTCAAATCTTCTCTTCTGGAAGACTCTGAAAGATATGATAAATTATTGTTAGCTATAGTTCCCCTGTTGTGCTGTTGAACTTTAGAACTTATTCCTTCTGGCCCGGTACGGTGGCTCACGCATGTAATCCCAGCACTTTGGGAGGCCGAGGCGGGCAGATCACGAGATCAAAAGATCAAGACCATCCTGGCCAACATGGTGAAGCCCCATCTCTACTAAAAATACAAAAATTAGCTGGGCATGGTGGCACACTCATGTAGTCCCAGCGACTCGGGAAGCTGAGGCAGGAGAATCGCTTGAATCTGGGAGGCAGAGGTTGCAGTGAGCCAAGATCATACCACTGCACTCCAGCCTGGGTGACAGAGTGAGACTCTGTCTCAAAAAAAAAAAGAATGTATACCTTCTATCTAACCATAAATATAAGTATTATTTATTTATTTATTAAAAAAAAGTTTTTTTTTTTTGAGATGAAGTCTCGCTGTCACCGAGGCTGGAGTGCACTGGCACCATCTTGGCTCACTGCAACCTCCGCCTCCCTGGTTCGAGCAATTCTCCTGTCTCAGCCTCCCAAGTAGCTGGGAACACGGGTGCACCCCATCACGCCCAGCTAATTTTTATATTTTTAGTAGAGATAGGGTTTCACCATGTTGGCCAGGCTGGTCTCGAACTCCTGGCCTCAGGTGATCCGCCTGCCTTGGACTCCCAAAGTGCTGGGATGGATGACAGTCGTGAGCCACTGTGCCCGGCCATGCATACATCTTTGTATCCATGCATCTATGCACCCATGTCCCTCCGCATCCCTATGATCCATTCATCTGTGTGTGCACATGCCCATGCAATGTATTTATCCACATCTGTGCATGCGTCTTTGTGCCCATATGTCTATGCTGCCATGTCCCCGTGTGTCCATATTTATACATTCATCCGTGCGCACTTGCATCCGTGCTGTCATCCATCTGTGCATCCAGGCACTCACACATCGTGCATCTGGTCAGTCATTCAGTAAGCATTTTTCAGAGCCTGCAGTGGACCATGCCTTGTGCTGGGCAGTGGGAAGGTGGGGATAATTAGATACCGTCAAAGAAGTCAAATAAGTAATAGCTAAGAGGCTGAGACTTATTTACTGAGGGCTTAGTATGGGCAGGCCGGGCCCTAGTGCTCTGCGTGAAGACACACATCCAGCACTTGCAGCCCTCCTGTTAAGGACTGTGTCTCACACCCCTCCACCACCCATTTTTCAGATGGCGAAGCAGATCTTCAGGGTGGTTGGGAAGTCACCTTGGTTGCACAGTTGTGGAAGGGTGGAGAAGGGATGAGGTCCTACTGTGGACAGGGCGGGGCAGGGTCCAGTGTGCATTCTGGAGCAGCTGTCCCTAGAGCCTGCCCTCTTCACCTGCCCTGTCCATTAGACACCCCCACAGCATCCCTGATAATCACAGTTTGGCCCAGTGAGGGCAGTGGTGGAGGGGAGGGCCCCTGACCCACTCGAGCACGGGGAGCAGGGCAGCTGGGGAAGACTTTCTAGAAGAGGTGCCCCTGGTCACATCCTCCAGGGTGAGGGGGACTCTGGTAGAAGTCTGGGCATGTGGGCAACTTGAGTGAAGGCACAGAGGCCTCAGGCAGTCTGGCATGCCAGTTAGGGCCACAGCTCCCCCTGGACACTTCCACCCCCCAGGGGACATTGGGCAATGTCTGGGGACATTTTTGGTTGTCACACCTGGGTCGAGTGCTGCTGGCATCTGGTGGGTCAAGGCCAGGAATGCTGCTCACCACCCTGCAGTGCACGGCATGGCCCACACCCCAGAGCATGATCCAGCCCTAACAGGCAGTAGTGCTGAGGTGGGGAAGCCCTGGGCTGAGGGAGGACTGTGGAGCCAGAAAGGCCTGTTGGAGTCCTGGATCCCTGGTAAAGTAGGTGGAGGTCCCCGTGGAGTCTGTGGAGGCTGGGTTGGGGTGCAGGGACCTGCTACCGTCAGGGGCTCAGCAGCAGCCAGGTGACAGGGCCCCATCTGCCAGGCTGAGGAGCAGGGTGGGGCAGGGTCAGGTGTGTGTTCTGGAGCAGTTCCTGTGGTAGCCATAGGGACAAGACTGGGATAGGGAGGCCAGCTGGAGGCTCTTGGCTGTGTGGGCTGGTGAGGCCTGAGCCTCGGGCGCAGCAGCAGAGGTGGAGAGGAGGACCAGATGTGAGAAACCTGCATGGACTGAAGCCCTGGTGATTGGCTGGAGAGAGGTGATGCTGACACATGAAGCATCATGGATAGAGCCACGGGCATCTGCTTAGATCCGGGGACTGGCAGCCTGCCCAGCGTTGGCCTGGCAGGCAGTGTGCCCATCCAGGAAGGCTGGCATGGGTCAGGAAGCTGGCAGCGTGATGGTGCTTGAGATCTGCACGTGTCTTAGGCACGCTCCAGAACCCACGCCTGCCTGCCTTCTCTTCAGCGCACTGAGTGGCCTGACACCTGTCTCACCATCCACTGCTGGGGAGTGGAGACGAGACCCACAGACCTGCTCAGACATGAGCTCGCAGCCCTGCCCAGCTGAGAATGCAAGGGAGGGGTGGGGTTTGCAGGAGTGAGCATAGGGAGTGTGGGTGTTTAGGGCAACACCTGTACTCAATCAAAGCTGTCTTTTCTAAGATGTCTCTGTAAGACAATAAAGAAGAAACTCAGGGTAAGTTTAAAGTATAGCCTTTAAACTTATAATCTTATAATCAATATGATTATAATCATGATGATTGTCAGACCACAGATCTGGTAGTTGACAGTACTTCACAGGTGATGGTTTTTCTGAGAACTCGCGGACTGGTCCTGAAATGTATATTGACTGCCGTCTCCTGAGCCCAGTGAGTGCCACGGCTGAGAGTCTGAGTTCCGGCAGGTGGTCTCACTCTCACCCAGTCCTTCCTCCCACAGTTACCCATGCTGGTCTCTCCCTTGCAGGTCTGGGACCTCAGTGACATTGACAAGGATGGGCACTTGGATCGAGATGAGTTCGCTGTGGTAAGTCCTGCTGTTTCCTCCCCACCCAGCCCAGGAAGGAAATGTGCAGTGCGCAGGGGTTGCTGGATTCGTTTGTCTTTCTCTCTTTTTTCTTTTCTTTTTTCTTTTCTTTTCTTTTCTTTTCCTTTCCTTTTCCTTTCTTTTCCTTTCTTTTCTGTCTTTCTTCCTTTCTTTCTTTCACTTTCTTTCTCTCTCTCTCTCCCTCCCTCCCTCCCTCCCTCTCTCCCTCTCTCCTCTCTCTGTCTCCCTCCCTCCCTCCTTCCTTCCTTCCTTCCTTCCTTCCTTCCCTCCCTCCCTTTTCTTTCTTTCTTTCTTTTTTTTTTTGTTTTTAGATGGAGTCTCACTCTATCGCCAGGCTGGCATTCAGTGGCCCGATCTTGGCCAGGATGGTCTCCATCTCCTGCCTTGTGATCCACCCGCCTCGGCCTCCCAAAGTGCTGGGATTACAGGCGTGAGCCACTGTGCCTGGCCTTCTTTCTTTCTTTCTTTCTTTTTTTTTTTGATACGGAGTCTTGCTCTGTCACACAGGCTGGAGTGCAGTGGTGTAATCTTGGTTCACTGCAGCCTCCGCCTCCCAGGTTCAAGCAGTTCTCTTGCCTCAGCCTCCCAAGTAGCTGGGATTACAGGCACCTGCCACTATGCCCACCTCATTTTTGTATTTTTAGTAGAGACAGGGTTTCACCATGTTGGTCAGGATGGTCTCGATCTCCTGCCTAGTGATCCACCCGCCTTGGCCTCCCAAAGTGCTGGGATTACAGGCGTGAGCCACTGCACCTAGCCTTCTTTCTTTCTTTCTTTCTTTTTTTTTGACACGGAGTCTTGCTCTGTCACCCAGGCTGGAGTGCAGTGGTGCAATCTTGGTTCACTGCAGCCTCCACCTCCTGGGTTCAAGCAATTCCCATGCCTCAGTCTCCCAAGTAGCTGGAATTACAGGTGCACTCCATCACAGCCAGATAATTTTTTTGTATTTTTGATAGAGATGGGGTTTTACCATATTGGCCAGGCTGGTCTTGAGTTCCTGGCCTCAAGTGATCTGCCCGCCTCTGCCTCCTAAAGTGCTGGGATTACAGGCATGAGACACCACACCCAGCCTTCCTTCTTTCATTTTTTAAGTGTTTGTCTTGACATAGTTCTTTGTATGTAGGAAAGTTTCAGTATAGGTTGAGTATCCTTAATCTGAAAGTCTGAAACCAGAATGCTTCAAGATCTGACATTTTTTGAGCATCAACATGACACTCAAAGGAAATGCTCATTGAAGAATTTCAGATTTTGGATTTTTGGATTAGTAATGCTGAACCAGTAAGTGTAATACACACATTCAGAAATTCAGAAAACTCCAGAACTGAAACCCTGTGGTCCCAGGCATTTTGGATAAGGGATACGCAACCTGTAATACAGAGAATTATTTTTTGTTTTTGAGACAGAGTCTTGTTCTGTCACCCCAGCTCCAGTGCAGTGACGTGAACACCCTTGCTGCAGCCTCGAACTCAACTCAAGCGACCTCCCCCCTTGGCCTCCGACAGAAAATTCTTTTGAAAACTCTTCAGTCAAATTTCCCAGTGTCACTAATTTCCTACATTTGTTTTATCTTTCTCCTCCCTTCTTCCTCCCTCCCTCCATCACTCTCTCGCCCTTCCCACTGCTGCACGAAGTTTTCCTGTGAACCATTTTAGGGTTAAGTTGCAGACATGATGCCTCTTCATCCACAAACACTTCAGTGCGTATTTCCTAAAAACAAGGACTTCTCTCACACATAACCATTATCCACTTCAAAATCAGGAAATTCACATCATAGCATTGCATTTATGATGTTTTCATTATATCCTGTATATACCCCTTATATTCTGTATGAGCGTGTCTATTATTATCTAATCCCAGGATATTACTCAGATTTTATCAGTTGTCCCAAAAATGTTCCTTGTGTCTAAAGAGAACCCAGTCCTGTGTGTTACATCCTGTTGTCTTTTGTCTTTCGTTTCCTGGGATCTAGAACAGTTCCTCCATCGCTCTTCGTGTCTCTTGACGTGGACTTTTTGTTTTTTTGTTGTCGTTGTTCTGTTTTTGAGAGGGAGTCTCACTCTGTCATCTAGGCTGGTGTGCAGTGGCATGATCTCAGCTCACTGCATCCTCCACCTCCTGGATTCAAGCGATTCTCCTGCCTCAGTCTTCCAAGTAACTGGGATTATAGGTGCCCACCACCACAGCCAGCTAATTTTTTTTTTGAATTTTTAGTAGAGATGCGGTTTCTCCCTGTTGGCCAGGCTGGTCTTGAACTCCTGACCTCAGGTGATCTGCCCGTCTCGGCCTCCAAAGTGCTGAGATTACAGGCATGAGCCACCATGCCTGGTTTCAACGTGGACATTTTGAAGAGCACAGGCCAGCAGTTATGGAGTGTTCCTAGGCCTGGGCCTGGCTGCCAGGTCCTCTTGATGACCCAGGTCATGCACTCTTGTGAGACAGGAATCCCACGGAGGTCACACCCGCCCCACATGGGCCTCCCACCTGGGGGAACGTGATGTCAACATGTCTTCTTACTGCCATGTTGACATTCATCACTGGGTCAAGGTGGGTCAAGGTTGTGGGTTCCTGTGGGCAGTTGCTCTTTTTCCCTCTGTGCTCAGTTCATCTCATGTGGGGCACGCCTTGATACGGTCAACACCCATGACTCTCAGACTCTTCCATGAGAGTTCCACCATCGCTGATGAGTCTCGCCTTAATCTGGCAAGATTAATTATGATGATGGTGGCTGCCAAATGGTGATGTGCTAATCAAAACCATCATTCCTTGCACTTTTATTAGTTGGCCTTCCACAAGGAATTTATTTCTATGGCTGTGGCCTGCCTCATGGATGCATCCTCAGTTCCACTGTTTTTTGTTTTGTTTTGTTTTGTTTTATAGAGACAGAGTCTCGCTCTGTCACCCAGGCTGGAGTGCAGTGGCGCGATCACAGCTCACTGCAGCCTCCATCTCCTGGGCTCAGGCAATCCTCCCACCTCAGCCTCCCAAGTAGCTGGGACTACTCCTGAACGTCTTGAAGTACAGGTCTCTCTTCTGGTGTCTTTAGACTTCCAAATCCAGTACTGGGAAGGTGCCAGCCCTGGAGCTGGTGGCCTCCCTGAGTGGTGAAGGGATGCATATGGAGTCTGGCTTGATTGGATTCTTTCTGTGTGCATTTCAGTCTCGAGGAATAATTCAACACATGTCTTGGAAAGTTACACATAAAAGATAACTCATGAGGAATGATTTCTTTTCACTCTGGTCAGCTTGGGAGCGTCCTGACAGAGTGTCCTGTCACTGCAGCCCCCAAAGGGCTGCCCTCTGCCTTCTCCTGATGGTCCCGGCCCCAGCCTTGCCCCTTCAGTGCCATTGTTGTTTGCACCTGCAGGCCATGCACTTGGTGTACCGAGCCCTGGAGAAGGAGCCCGTGCCCTCCGCCCTGCCCCCGTCCCTCATCCCACCCTCCAAGAGAAAGAAGACTGTGTTCCCTGGCGCCGTCCCCGTCCTGCCTGCCAGCCCCCCACCAAAAGACAGCCTCCGCTCCACGCCGTCCCACGGCAGCGTCAGCAGCCTCAACAGCACAGGGAGCCTGTCCCCCAAGCACAGCCTCAAGCAAACACAGGTACGGAGCCCTCAGCGGGCACAGCCCCCTCTCAGAGCACAGTAGGATGTTTCTCGGGAGTTCTTAACATGCAACCCCAGAACGGTCAAGCTTGTGATGAAATGTCTTTAAAAAATGCTTGTGGCCAGGTGCGGTGGCTCACGCCTGTAATCCCAGCACTTTGGGAGGCCGAGGTGGGCAGATCTCAAGGTTAGGAGATCAAGACCATCCTGGCCAACATGGTGAAACCCCGTCTCTACTAAAAATACAAAAAAATTAGCTGGGTGTGGTGGTGCGCACCTGTAATCCCAGCCACTCGGGAGGCTGAGGCAGGAGAATTGCTTGAACCTGGGAGACGGAGGTTGCAGTGAGCTGAGAGCGCGCCACTGCACTCCAGCCTGGGCAACAAGAGCGAAACTCTATCTCAAAAAAAAAAAGTATTCATTTATCTCATTATTTCAACATGGTCTCCCCTATGTTACTCAGGCTGGTCTTGAACTCCTTGGCTCAAGTGATCCTCCTGCCTCGGCCTCCCAAAGTGCTGGGATTACAGGTGTGAGCCACCGTGCCCAGCCTGTGTCTGCAGAGCTCTTGCCAAGAGTTTTGAAAGTCAGGTTAGGGGAGGTACTTTACTGGCAACGAAGCTAGTGGGGCCAAACTCACTGGTAGGCACAGGTCACCCAGCGTCATAACCCACCTCTCTAGTGATCTTCTGGTGGTTCTCTCAAGACCCTCTGACTAGACCGATTTTACCAGTGGCCCCTGGTGGGGTGGGGTGGGAGGGTATAGCTCCTGCCCCCACGACGGCATTGGTAGGATCACAGTCATGAAAACGAGCATTTCTGGGGGCCTACAGTCCACATGCTCCCCCTACTCCAACTTCCTCATCTCCAGGCCAGCAATGCTCTTGTCTGGGCCTCCCAAGGGCCACCCGATTTTGCCCTCATGCCAGGTTTGAGTGAAGCCACTTCCAGCCACCAGGGTCTGATATCCTTCCTTTGGGACCTGTGGCTGCTGAGCCGGCCTTAAAGCCCAGCTGTCACTGGGAGAGCCAGCTCCACGGCAAGGCTGCCCCGTGTTGGGTTTATAGTCAATTTGGCATCAGAATCTTGCTGCTAACATACTCTGAGGCTCCAGAAATCAGGCAGTGAGTTCCTTTTGTTTGCCCAGCAAGTATTATTAGGACTCTTGTCATCCCAGAGCTATAATTTCATACGTAATTTCTTCTTGGGACCCGTGGGACACAGAACCCCCCTTGTTTCTGTGTCCCGCCACAGCTCAGCTTGTCTGACTCCTGTTACCTCTTTGTGATCCCTGGCTTCTGAGGTTAGCTTGCTGTAGCTCCGTGACTTAAAAGGCAGCAAGCCCATTTCTCATTAGAATTCCTTTATTGGCATCTTTACGTCCACCAGACTTGAGAAGGCTCACAAAATTTACACAGTACAATGCCACAAGTAAAAATCAGGTTGCTCTTGCCATCTGAACTCTCATCATTTGAATTAGATCCATAGATTTTTTTTTTTTAAATATATAAGAGACAGGATCTTGCTCTGCTGCCCTGGCTGGAGTGCAGTGGTGCAATCACGGCTCATTGCTATCTCAACCTCCTGGGCTCAAGTGATCCTTCCACCTCAGCCTCCCTAGTAGCTGGAATAGGTGGATGCCACCACACCTAGCTAATTTTATTTATTTATTTATTTTGTAGAGATGGGGTCTTGCTGTGTTATGCTGGCTGGTCTTGAACTCCTGGGCTTGAGGGATCCTCCTGCCTTGGCCTCCCAAAGTGCTGAGATTACAGGCATGAGCACTGTGCCTGGCCTAGCTCCATGGATTTTGATAAATTGTTTGATCAAGTCCTTGCTGTACTTCATCACACATACTTGCTACGTGAAACCCCTGAACTAAGCTGATCTGGGTCACATGGTATCCCTTGTTTCCCAAGCTTGCTTTCTGATTTCCCTGAGTTGGTATCAGGAGCCTGTTAGATTTGGACATCACAGGAGACTCGTTCATGAAGAGTAAACGAGTTTAACCATTGTTTCCCAGTCTTGACCATGAGTCCCTTCTCCTCAATCCTATGGACATCTTCGGGTTGTCAACACTGTGAGAACTCTTTGAGAAATCCCCCCCCCCTTTTTTTTTCCCCGAGACGGAGTCTTGCTCTGTCGCCCAGGCTGGAGTGCAGTGGCACAATCTCAGCTCCCTGCAACTTCTGCCTCCCAGGTTCAAGCAATTCTCCTGCCTCAGCCTCCTGAGTAGCTGGGATCACAGGTGCCTACCACCACACCTGGCTAATTTTTCGTGTTTTTAGTAGAGAGGGGGTTTCACCATGTTGGCCAATCTGGTCTCAAACTCCTGGCCTCAGGTGATCCACCCACCTCAGCCTCCCAAAGTGCTGGGATTATAGGTGTGAGCCACTGCACCCAGCCTAAGAAATCCTTTCATAACTGAGAGGAATGACTTTGAGTGGCAGTTTCAGGCATCATGGCGTTCATTGAAGGTGAGGAGTGGAGTGGCTTTTCTGTACAGTTGCTGCGTGGAGAAGGAACAATCGATCCCTCCAGCCACATTTGCCTGTCCTTTTTCTCTCCACTCCCTCATCATCTAGATAATTCAATCAGGTGTTTATTCTCATTGCTATTATGAGATTGTTTAAAAGGAGTGATTTGTGTAAATATTTAAAAAAAAAGGGAAGAGGAAAAGCACGTCTAGAGTTCAGGACACAGATGCCGTGAACTGTGGCGTGGTGGGTGTATTGAAGGCCCGCGGTAATGCAGGTGGAGTAGGCCACGGAAGGGGCCTGCCCCTGAGTGCCTGAGGGGCCTCAATGCCTCTGAACCAGGAGGTGACCGGGCCCTGGTTGACCCATGATGGCGTTTGCCTCTCTCAAGTTAACTGTGAGCTGGTGGCGAGAGGGGTCGCACGTGCAGCGGGTGACCCAGCCCCAGGGCTGTGAACTTTGAGCTGCACTGGGCTCGTGGCTCCATCTGCCCTGGTGGGGTTGGGGCTGCATGAATGTTGGTGGGGCCTCGTGGGTGGTGGCCCTCTTGGATGGTGGTGTCTCATTTGTTACCTGTCAGTGACGTGTGTGTACTCACACCTTGGGGGTATCTTTGTTGTCTCAGGAGTGGGGCAGGGACATAGAAGGGTGGTCTTCAGAGTCCTGGGACAGGACACTTTGGCTGCCTGTAGGGCAGCCTTTGCGGGCTGAGGAGTGGGAGGACCAGGGAGGCTGGCATGTGGCCGGGCCGGTTCTCCAGGGACGGTCCTTCCAAGTGGGTGCTCGGGAGGGTCTTTCCTGGCATGCTTGAACCCATCCCCTGAAGATCACAGCCTCCCTCACACCCTGGGTGGCAGGGTGGATGGACAAGGAGAGCGGGTGATGGGGTGGAGAGAGGTGCAGACTGGCATCTGGGTGAGCTTCACAGAGCCAGCCTCAACCTGTCTCAGCCTCAGTTTTGCCAGTTACAGAACAAGGATCACATCTGCCCTCTTGGCTCATGGAAGTGAGGAGAGTTTGATGCCAAATGTGCATGGAAGTGCTTTAATCGCCCCATCATCAAAAAGCATGTGTCTGGGGGTCATAAAAAGCTTCCAGATTAACTGTTTTGCCAAAAACTGTTTCAGCCAACAGTGAACTGGGTGGTGCCCGTGGCAGACAAGATGCGATTTGATGAGATATTCCTGAAGACCGACCTGGACCTGGATGGCTACGTGAGTGGCCAGGAGGTGAAGGAGATCTTCATGCACTCGGGCCTCACCCAGAACCTTCTAGCACACATATGGTAAGGCCGGACAGGTGGCAGTTGTGGCTGTGGGTGGCTCCAGGGGGCCTGTGGGTGAAGACTGTGGAGGGTGGTGGTCAGGGGGCCCCCTCCAGCCTGTCACAGGCTTCCGCTGTGTCTGGCGTCCTTTATTCTCCCTGGCCTGACAGAGGCTGAGCAAGGTGCACGTGCCAAGGCTCGAAGCCCGCGCTCCGTGACGGTCAGTTCACTGTCTTTCAGTAGGAAGGGCCTCTGGTCCGTCTTAAGTGCTCCCAGGCCATTTGCTTACACAGCTGGGCCCTATTCTTGCTGGCTGTGATGCTGGCTCTAACAGGAGGCCTGGACTTTGTCACAGCCGCCTCCGGGAGGTGCGGGCAGCAGGGCCTTGGAGCCTCTAGCAGAGTGGCCTGGCAGGGTGAGGGCGGGGGCAGGAGGCCCTGCTCTGGAAAGGCCAGTGCTTTGGCTCCTGGCGGGAGGGTGAGCACAAGGAGACCCTGTCAGTGCCTCAGAGCCCAGTCGAGGAGTCGGCCTCAACCCCTCTTTCCCCCAGGGCTGGACACAGCCGACTTCATAGGGCTGGGGCACTCCTCTTGCCACTGGCCAGGGCTGAAGTCACTTTTGAGCTTGTTGCTCAGAGCCTTGTGGCCTTAGAGAAGGCTTCACTTGGGAGCTATCAAAAGGAAAGAATTGCTGGATAATTCTCGAGAGGCAAATACCTCCAAGTAGAGCAGTGAAATTCAGGATGTTACTTAGTGGCTTGGGGGAAATGACTGTCCTTAGTGGTAATTCACAGATGACCACACTGTGAGGTGGGAGCCTGAGAACTAGCTGTCGCAGAGTCATCACCCAAATGGCCAAGCCGCCTCCAACTGGCTAGGGACAGTGGGTCTCAGCTGCCTCAGATCCAGTGTCCCTTTTAGAAACCAACAAAACACAGTGTCCCCTTTATGACTCTGAAACCAACACACATACAGTTCCTGGTTAGCGCCCTGACACCCTGACTGTCATGTCTAGGGGTCAGTAGAGGGAAAGTAATTTATAATGCATGCTGCAATTGACACATGATGTAATGACATGGAAATGACACAGGAAATCACTAATCCACCTGGATCAAAAGAAGGAACTCAGAGGTCATTCCATGCGGGCAGCAAAGGGGAAGGAAAGGATGATCAGGCTCTTGAATAACCATGAGAAAAGAAGTCTAGATGTGTCTGCGAGTGGCTGGGGCGGGGCATGGCCCAATGTAGATGACACACCAGGAGGGACTGGGAGGAGGGGGAGCATGAAGACAGAGGCTTTTTCCCTGCGATGGCTGCCACCGTACGGGTCAGCAGAGCAGGATGTGGTGTCAGAGCCGGATGGCCGCTGACTGAGCCACCCCTAAGCTTGCTTCTCCTTCTTTCTCTCAGAACCTTCCACAGGTGGGCCTTGGAGCCCACACTCCTTGAGAGATGGCAGGAGCAGAGAAGGGGCGGGAGTGGAGAGGCAGCTGCAGCCCACGAGCAGGCTGGGGCCCGCAGGGGCAGACTGGGGAGAGACAGTGGCAGTATGAAATCGTCAGGGCCTCGAACTGTGGGGATAACTAGGCATTTATCAGCAATGTTCTTTGAGATCTGCTCATTCTCCGCAGCTCTGTTCACGGACTGCATTTGGGTATAAATAAGTCTGTTAGAACGGTCCCAGCTCTCTTTTGGTAAAAGGGGAAACTTCTGTTGTAATGGCTTCTGCCGCAGCTACACGGGAGGTGGGAAACGAGGTCCCTCGTTGAGAGGGCAGCATGGGTGAAGGAAGACATTTTTCATAGATGCCAAAGGCCTTGTCCTTACTCCACAAGGGTCCCTTCCCTTCCTGGTTGGCTCCTCATTTTTTTATTTTTTTTTTTTGAGACAGAGACTCACTGTTGCCCAGGCTGGAGCGCATTGGCGCAATCTTGGCTCACTGAAACCTCTGCCTCCTGGGTTCAAGTGATTCTCGTGCCTCAGCCTCCTGAGCAGCTGGGATTACAGGCGCGCGCCACCATGCCCGGCTAATTTTTGTATTTTTAGTAGAGGCGGGATTTCCCCATGTTGGCCAAGCTGGTCTCGAACTCCTGACCTCAGGTGATCTGCCCGCCTCAGCTCCCAAAGTGTTGAGAACACAGGCATGAGCCATTGCACCCGGCCCTGGCTGGCTCCTTGATTGTGAGTGTCGCGGAGCCTCTCACCTCAGCTCCACAGGACCACTGTGTGCTGCTATTCAGATGCTGCCTTGGCCCATCTTTCAGGACATCCAAGAGCTATGTGGGCAGGGGACGCTTAGTTGTGGGGGACTGTCCTGTGCATTGTGGCCATGCCCCTGTGGCAGCCTCATTTGGGCACAAGAGGAGTGTTTTAGACCATTGGGCTGCTGTGACAAAGTGCCATAGACAGAGTGGCTTAGAAACAGACATTTCTCACGGCTCTGGGGGGTGGAAGTCTGTGATCCAGGCACCAGCAGATCCAGTGTCTGGTGAGGGCTCACTGCCTAGTTTGTAGACGGCCACCTGCTTGCCGTGTCCTCACATGGCAAAAGGAGCAGAGAGAGCCTTCTGGGGCCTCTTTTATAAGGGCACTAATCCCACTCCTGAGGCTCCACCCTCATGACCTCATCACCTCCCAGAGGCCCCACCTCCCAACACCATCCCATTGAGGGATAGGATTTGGACATAGGAATCTGGGGGGACATAAACGTTCCGTTCATAACAAGGAAAGAGAGTCGTTGCTGATTCTTTCTTCATCATGATGACACCCCAAAGTGCTGCTGTCATCCCCATTGAAGGCCAGTAGCCGGGGCCATTCAGATGACCCAGAGCTACAGGGACAATGCTTGGTCTCAGCACCCATTTCCACGGAAGGGCTGGTCTACTCCATGCCTGCAGCATCAGAGCCTGCCCCACGCACGAGATAAGCCAAAGGAAGAGGCAGCTGCATCTCAGCCCTAGTGAGGTTTTCCCAGGGGGTCGGCTCCTCAGCCCAGGTCAGGGGCTTGGGGTTCTTCAGCCCTGACAGCCCTCCTAGGGTGGGGGACACTGGGAGCGGGGAACCCCTGGGCCACTTCCTGGGAAGGAGATGTGAAGTAGGGAAGGAGCTGGGGCTTGCCACCACGCCCTGCCGTTGTTTTCGTCGCTGTCGTTTTTGAAAAGCAAGGGATCGGTGACTTGGGTTCAGGCTGAGTCGGCGCCTGTGATGTGTAATTAGCATCCCCACGTTTCTCCCAGGGCCCTGGCCGATACGAGGCAAACGGGGAAGTTAAGCAAAGACCAATTCGCGTTAGCTATGTATTTCATTCAGCAGAAGGTCAGTAAAGGCATCGACCCTCCTCAAGTCCTCTCGCCGGACATGGTCCCGCCTTCGGAGAGAGGCACGCCCGGCCCGGTGAGTGGTGCTGGTCATGCCCTGGGGGTATTGACATCCCTTCCCACCGCCTGCCACCAGGTGGCACTGGTGGCACACATGAGCCCACGGTGGCGGGTGCTGCCTGTGGTCCCTGCCTTCCTCAACAGGGGCCCCCGGGAGGGTGGCTTGGCTGCCCAGGTATTTCCCCAGGCAGGGGGCTGACACTTTTGCTACCTCACCCTGTGTACTAAAGGGACAATTTTATCCCTGGGCCCGAGAACTGCTGGTGCCTCCTGTCAGGTGATGTCAGGTTGCTAATTAGAGATCTCGCCTCTGAATTCAATTCTAGGACAGTTCAGGCTCTCTCGGCTCCGGGGAGTTTACTGGCGTGAAGGAGCTTGATGACATCAGTCAAGAGATTGCCCAGTTACAAAGGTATGTTGGAAACGGCCCTTCCCTCCACATCCAGATGTTACACGAACTCTCCCAGGTTGTTATCGGAAATATCAGAGGCTCACCTGGAAGTTTGCTCATCACAGGTTTATTCAGAAGGAAGGAAAAGATACAGCTTCTGAGGTCCTAAACTGGCTCAAGGGGCTTGAAGAATGACATCTTCCATTTGAATCAGCCTCAGCCAGAGCCCGTAGCATCTGTGTGGTCTCAGGCAGGTCTTGACCAGAGCCTGTGGGTGGCAGCTGTGTGGTCCCAGGCAGGTCGTGGGCAGAGCCTGTGGCAGCTGTGTGGTCCCAGGCAGGTCGTGGGCAGAGCCCGTGGCAGCTGTGTGGTCCCAGGCAGGTCATGGGCACAGCCTGTGGCAGCTGTGTTGTCCCAGGCAGGTCATGGGCAGAGCCTGTGGCAGCTTTGTGGTCTCAGGCAGGTCGCAGCTCAGTAGCCCCAGGCATCAGCCCCTCCCCAGTGCTAGGAAGGCCTTGTTATCCTTGACAGCTAGGGCAATTGGGTCTCAGATGGCGAGGAGCGGGCTTAGGACCCAGCAGCTGAAGGTGTGAAGGGGCCTCCAGGTCTGTGGCTCCCCTTCTTGCCTAGTGCCTTAGTTTCCTCATGTGTAAACGAGGGCTTTGGATGGGCTGTCTGTACTTTTAGAGTCTGGTATAAAGAAATGCAGTCACTTCCTGTATTCCCCTCTGGATCCTCTTCAAGAATGACATCCTTTTTTGTTGTTTGTTTTTCAGACAGGGTCTCGCTCTGTCACCCAAGCTGGAGCGTAGTGGTGTGATCATGGCTCACTGTAGCATCTGTTTCCTAGGCTTAAGCAATCCTCCCACCTCAGCCTCCCGAGTAGCTAGGACGCACCACCATGCTGGCTAGATTTTTTTTTTTTTTTTTTAATTTGAGACAGAGTCTCATTCTGTCACCTAGGCTGGAGTGCAGTGGTGTGATCTCAGCTCACTGCAGCCTCTGCCTCCTGGGCTCAAGTGATCTTCCCACTCACCCTCCCAGGAAGCTGAGAGTACAGGTGCATGCCACCATGCCTGGC
This sequence comes from Homo sapiens, assembly GCF_000001405.40. NCBI lineage: Eukaryota > Metazoa > Chordata > Mammalia > Primates > Hominidae > Homo > Homo sapiens. Next base: position 16,416,491 of record NC_000019.10, on the reverse strand, counting down.
TAATTTTTTTATATTTTTTGTAGAGATGGGGTTTCGCCATGTTGCCCAGGCTGGTCTCGAACTCCTGAGCTCAAGTGATCCTCTGGCCTTGGCCTCCCAAAGTGCTGGGATTACAGGCGTGAGCCACTGTGCCAGCCAGCATCTTTTTTCCAGTCGATTCTAGGACAGGGTGGACTCTTGTGATGACGGGGCACCATGCAGAAGGGCCCAAAGGTGCTTTGCCCTCTGTGGGAAAGAGATTGTTTACTTGGCTGAAAATGGAAAGGGCTTTGACTTTCCCAGGGAGGATGGATCCTGGTCCTAGCTGGGGGATCCCCGGGGGTCATATTAACAGGTGCAGTATTCTATCAGCTCCTCTGGCCTTGGTTTTGTGCTGTTAGCAGAGCCCTGATGAGCAAAGGCAGGTTAGGTCTTGGAGGGGATCAAGGTGGGTGGCTGGTTAGAAAACCTGAGCCACGGCCTGAGTCAGGCATCCCACTTCATGTTCAGTGCAGCAGATGGTTCCTGTTCTGTCTCAGCTCCTGGGGGCCGTGTTATCCAAACTGGCGATCAGCAAGGATGTGCAGCCTGACAAGGCTGAGGGTGTCTTGAGGATGCAGGGCCAGCATCCTAGAGCCTGGGCAGGCCTGAGAATCAGGACCGGGCAGGCCAAGGATGGAGGGAGCCCCTGTCGTGCAAGGGTCAGGGTCTAGGAAGGGACGCTGGGGCGTGAATCACCCCAGTGTGGCCTCAGACAGCCAGAAGCCTTGTTTCCCCAATGTGGAGGTGACAGGCTGGTGTGTGCAGAGTGCCCATCTGTAGGAGGCTGGGGCCTGCAGTGGCCCCTTGAGCAGGTGGCTCTGAGAGTGGCCCTTGATTCGGGGAGTGTGGGCTGAGCTTTCCTCTTATGATTTCACACTGCCATAAGCCAGCAAGGGCATGTCAGGTCCTTCAGTTTAAAGAGCACTTTGTATTGTAAGTTTCTGGGCTTGTGGAAATGAATATTCCAATGATCACTTACTGTGTGTCTGGCGACATGTCCCTGAGAGGGCCTTATTGTTGCACAAGTCCTGGGTCCCTGGGCAGGAGGCAGGGTCTGTTAGACACATGGTGTTCCTGTCCCTGAGGCAGCCTCTTTGGGCACAAGAGGAGGGTCTTAGTCCATTCATACTGCTATAACAAACCACTCTGAATGGGTGACTGAAACATCAGACATTTCGCACAGTTCTGGAGGCTGCAAAGTCCAACCTCCAGATACCGGCAGATCGGGTCTGCTGAGGACCCATTTGCTGATTCCTGGAGAGTCACCTTCTTGCCGTGTCCTCACAGGGCAAAAGGAGCAAAGGAAGCTCTCTGGGGTCCTTCTTATAAGGGCACTAAACCCTGGGCCTTGTGGCTCACACCTATAATCAATTTTTCCTGTTCCAAGCCACCCAGTTGGTGATTTGTTACAGCAGTGCTAGGAAATACATGCACGAATTCTATCTCAGTTTAAAAATAAAAGAAGGCTGGGTGCTGTGGCTCATGACTGTAATCCAAGTGCTTTGGGAGGCCAAGGCAAGAGGATCGGTTGAGCCCAGGAGGTCCAGACCAGCCTGGGCCATATATTGAGACCTCGGCTACAAAAAATAAAAAATTAGCCAGGCCTGGTGGGGCACACCTGTGGTCCTAGCTACTCAGGAGGCTAAGGTGGGAGGATTGCTTGAGCCCAGGAAGTCAAGGATGCAGTGAGCTATGATCGTGCCACTGCAGTCCAGCCTGGGTGACAGAGCAAGAGCCTGTCTCAAAAAAAAAAAAAAACAAAACCAAAAAAAGGCCAGGCGTGTTGGCTCACGCCTATAATTCCAGTACTTTGGGAGGCTGAGGCGGGCGGATCACTAGGTCAGGAGATCAAGACTATCCTGGCCAACACAGCGAAACCCCGTCTCTACTGAAAATACAAAAATTAGCTGGGCGTGGTGGCACGTGCCTGTAGTCCCAGCTACTAGGGAGGCTGAGGCAGGAGAATCGCTTGAACTGGGGAGGCGGAGGATGCAGTGAGCTGAGATTGCGCCACTGCACTCCAGCCTGGGTGACAGAGCGAGACTCTGTCTCAAAAAAAAAAAAGTAGTAGTTCAGACAGGCTGTCCTGGGCTGTCCAGGGTGTCACAGGCTGAGGTCAAGGCGTCGGCTGGGCTGGGCTCTTGTTGGAGGCTCTAGGGGAAGAATCTGTTTCTAGGCTCATTCAGGTGTTGGCAGAATCCATTTCCCTGCGGCTGGGGGTCCGAGGTCTCTTTTTCCTTTCTGAGGTCAGCCAGGGCCACTCCATGCTCCTGGACACTGCCCCTGTTCCCCCTCACGTGGCCCCTCCACCTTCAAAGTCAGCAAGGGCGCTCTGGGTCCTTATCACACTTGGGACATCTCTAACTTCCACTTGGGCAACCAGGTGGAGAAAGCGCGCTGCTTTTAGAGGGTGGTTACATTGGGAGCGATCCCTCCCATGGTCACAGGTCCTACCTACAGTTGACGGGGAAGGGACTGTACAGGGCGAGCAGTCGCTGGGTCTCATTCTTAGACTTCTGCCAGCACACAGAGGGGCTTTTGTGGGGGTGAACAGAATCAGGCCTTGGGAAGGGGTGGAGGCTTATTATTCACTCTTGTTTTCATGAAATATTTTTAAACATTCAGAGAGAAATATTCACTGGAACAAGACATTCGAGAAAAGGAAGAGGCAATCAGACAGAAAACCAGCGAGGTGCAGGTAAGGGTCTCGTTCGTTTTGGTTACATCTACTTTGTGCTAAATGTAGTTCAGGAAAACTTCCCTCCCTGGCTGGTGGTGGGGAAGGGCAGGGGTCTGCCCTGGATGGAAACATGAGCTCTTGGGGGCTGCAGAATGAAGTTTTTGTTTTTTTTTTTTTCAGGCTGAATTCACTTTATTTTTCTTGTATAAAAACCCTATGTTGTAGCCACAGCTGGAGCCTGGGTGCTCTGCATGGAGACTCTGGTGTAGGTCTTGACAAGGTGGTCAGTGAACTCCTGATAGGGAGACTTGGTGAATACAGTCTCCTTCCAGAGGTTGGGAGTCAGGTAGCTGTAGGTCTTAGAGATGGCATCAAAGGTGGCCTTGTCGAAGTTGCCCAGGATGGCAGTGCAGCCCCTGGCTGAGGTGTAGCAGTCATTGATACTAGCCATCATGAGCAGCTTCTTGGACACAGGTGCTGAGACAATGCCAGTGCCCCTGGGCGTGGGGATGAGTTACACCAGCACAGAGTTGCAGTGGCCTGTCACCTTGCAAGGGACAATGTGGGGTTTGCTGATCTTGTTCCCCCAGTAGCCTCTGCACACGGGGACAATGGAGAGCTTGGCCAGTATGATGGCCCTGCGGATGGCAGTGGCCGCCTCCTTGGAGCACTTAATACCCAGACCGATGTGGCCATTGTAGTCCCCGATAGCAACAAACGCCTTGAACCTGGTGCACTGGCCGGCGCGGGTCTGTTTCTGCACTGGCATAATCTTCAAAACCTCATCCTTGAGAGAGCCCCCCAGGCAAAAGTCAATGATCTCAGATTCCTTGATGGGCGGGAGAAGAGATAGCTCTCCTCCAGGGACTTGATCTTCATGTCCTTGACCAGGCGGCCCAGCTTGGTGATGGGCATCCACTCCTTATCCTCGGCCTTGCCTCTGCAAGCTCCGTGGCCTTGGTCCCGGCTCCGGTGCTGTCCACGGCCGCGACCCCAGCCCCAGATGCCACTGCTGAAACCTCCGTGGAAGTTACTGTGGTTGCCCATCCCAGGGCCTCTGACACCCCCCCCCCCCCCACCCCCCGCTGCACCGGTGTCATCCGCCATTCGGTGTTTTCTCGGAGAAGAAGAAGTTTTTAAAAATATATATATATATATTTTTCCAAATAGAGATGGGGTCTCAGACTCTTGAGCTCAAATGATTCTCCTGTCTTGGCTTCTCAAAGTGTTAGGATTATAGGTGTAAGCCACCAAGCCTGGCGAGAGTGAAGATTTTTTTTTCTTTTTTTTTAAAAATGGAGTCTTGCTCTGTTGCCAGGCTGGAGTGCAGTGGCACGATCTCAGCTCACTGCAATTTCCGCCTCCTGGGTTCAAGCGATTCCCCTGTCTCAGCCTCCCAAGTAGTTGGGATTACAGGCACGCACCACCATGCCTGGCTAATTTTTTGTATTTTAGTAGAGATGGGGTTTCACCATGTTGGCTAGGATGGTCTTAATCTCCTGACCTCGTGATCTGCCTGCCTCAGCCTCCCAAAGTGCTGGAATTACAGGCTAAAGTTTTTAAAGTTGCTTATAACCATAGACGGTGGCTTCTCTTTTTCTAAAATTGAGACAAGTTGGCCCTCTGTATCCAAGGGTTCTGCATCTTTGGATCTAACCAACCACAGATTAAAAAAATAAAAAAATAAAAAATAATCCAAATTGATGAAACAATACAATATGATAACTATTTACATAGCATTTACATTATATTAGGTATTATAAATAACCTAGAGATGATTTAAAGTATACGAGGCTGGCTGTAGTGGCTCACACCTGTAATCCCAGCACTTTGGGAGGCCGAGGCCGGAGGATCGCTTGAGCCCAGGAGTTTGAGACCAGCCTGGGCAACACAGTGGGACCCTGTTTCTACAAAAATATTTGCAAAAGCCGGGTGTAGTGGCATGTGTCTGTAGTCCCAGTTACTCAGGAGGCTGAGGTGGGAGAATCACTTGAGCCCAGGAGTTTAAGGCAGTAGTGAGCTGTGATTGCACTACTGCACTCCACCCTGGGCAACAGAGTGAGACCCTGCCTCAAAAATAAATGAATAAGTAATATGGGGTGGTGCTAGGGTAGGGGACATGTGTAGGTTATATGCAAACACTGAACCGTTTTATGTCACACTTGAGCATCTGCAAATTTTAATACCAATCTGAAGGATGGCTATGTAATTAATGTCAAATGTGCTGTATTAAAGTGTACATTTCAGTGGTGTTTCGCATAATCACCGTGTTGATTAACCATCACTCTATCGAGTTAGAACCTGATTGTTTCTCCCGTAGGCGCCAGTAGGCCCATAAAAACATCTAGCCCTGAACAGTAAATGGAAGGTTACTTTCTGAAAGATTCATCGTTAACTGTTCTCTTTCAGTGAGTGGAAGAGTTTGACACTAACTTTCCATTAACCCAAAAGGAAACCTCATCCCCATTAAGCAGTTACTTCCCATTCTCCCCTTTCTCCAGCCCCTGGCAACTACTCATCTTTTTTCTGTGTGTATGGATTTGTACCCAGCCACAATGGGGCACATTTCCTTCATCTGTTCCTCCCATCGGGGAATATTTGGGTTTTCCCACTTTTTGGCTGTTGTGAATAATGTTGCTAGGAACATTTGTCTGCAGGTTTTCGTGCGAACACCTGTTTGCATTTATCTCAGGTACCTGGAGTTCCGGACATTTCCTGTCAGTGGAATCATACAACACATGACCTTTTGTGCCTGGCTTCTTCCACTCAGCATCATGTTTTTGAGGGTCATCCATATTGTAGCATATATTAGCGTTGAATTCCTTTTTATGGCAGAATAATATTCCATTGTGTGGATGGAGCACATTTTTTGTTTTAAGAGGCAGTGTCTCACTCCATTGCCCAGGCTGGAGTACAGTGACACAACCTTGGTTCACTGCAACTTCTGCCTCCCAGACTCAGGTGATCCTCCCACCTCAGCTTCTCGAGTAGCTGGGACTACAGGCATGCACCACCATGCTTGGCTAATTTTTAATTTTTTTTTGCAGCGACAAGGTCTCACTGTGTTGTCCAGGTTGGTCTCAAACTCCTGGACTCAAAGCAATCTGCCTGCCTCGGCCTCCCAGAGTGCTGGGATTACAGGCATGAGCCACCATGCCAAGCCACGATGGGCCACATTTTACTCATCCATCCCTCATTGATAGATGTTTTGGCTTTGCAAATATTGTTGCTAGGAACATTTGTCTGCAAGTTTTTGTGTGAACACCTGTTTGCCTTTATCTCAAGTGTATACCTGGGAGTGAATTTGCTGGGCCACATGGTAACTGTTGAGGAGCTGCCAGACTGTTTTTCAAAGTGGCTGTACCATTTTACATTCCCATAAGCAGTGTACTAGGGTGCCAGCTCTGCACAGCCTCACCAACACTTACCCATTTCCCGTTTTTCCTTCTAGCCGTCGTGGTGGGTGTGGAGCACTGCCTCATTGTGGATTTCATTGGCATGTCCCTCATGCTTCCCTAGCGACGTCAAGTATCTTTCCATGTGCTTATTAGCCATTTGTATGTAGTCATTGGAGAAAAATCATTCCGATTCCTTGCCCTTTTATATTGAAAAAATTTTTTTCTTGCCGATTTTTAAATTGCATTTTTTTTTTTTTTTGAGACGGAGTCTCACTCTGTTGCCTAGGCTGGAGCACAAGGGTGCAATCTCAGCTCACTGCAGCCTCCGCCTCCTGGGTTCAAATGATTTTCGTGCCTCGGCTTCCCGAGTAGCTGGGATTACAGGCATGTGCCACTACACCTGGTTAATTGGGTTCTTTTTATAGCTGATTTTTTTTTTTTTTTTTTTTTTTTTTGAGACAGAGTCTCACTCTGTGGCCCAGGCTGGAGTGCAGTGGTGCGATCTCAGCTCACTGCAACCTCCGCCTCCCAGGTTCAAGTGATTCTCCTGCCTTAGCCTCCCAAGTAGCTGGGATTATAGGTGTGCACCACCACACACAGCTAATTTTTGTGTTTTTAGTAGAGACAGGGTTTCACCATGTTGGCCAGGCTGGTCTCAAACTCCTGACCTCAGGTGATCCTCCCACCTTGGCCTCCCAAAGTGCTGGGATTACAGGCGGGAGCCACTGCGCCTGGCCTATAGCTGAATTTGAAGAATTCTTTATCATTTCTAGGTAGAAGTCCTTGTCAGATATGTGACTTGCAAATACCTTCTCAGCATCCACTGAGAGTCCACTCTGGATTGTCTTTCCACATTCTTGATGGTGTCTTTTGAAGCACAAGTTGTTAATGTTGGTGAAGTCTGGTTTATCCTTTTTTTGCTGCTGTTGCTTTTGGTGTCATAGCTGAGAACCCATTACCAAATCTCAGGTCACATGATGTATCCCTGTGTTTTCTTCTAAGAGTTTTATAGTTTTCGCTTTTCCATGTAGGTCTTTGATCCATTTCTAGTTAATTTTTGTATATAGCATAAGGCAGGGATGCAATGTCATTGTTTTGCATGTGGACATCTAGTTGTCATGGCACCATTGTTTTTATTATTTTACTTTAAAAAATTTGTTTTTAGAGACAGTCTCGCTCTGTTGCCGAGGCTGGAGTGCAGTGGTATGATTCTAGTTCACTGCAGCCTCAAAATCCTGGGCTCAAGGGATCCTCCTGCATCAGCTTCCTGAGTAGCTAGGACTACAGGGTGTGCACTGCCACACCTAGCTAATTCAAAAACAATTTTTTTTTGTTAAGAGACAGGGTCTCGCTGTATTGCTCAGGCTCATCTCAAACACCTGGCCTCTAGGGATCTTCCCACTCTGGCCTCTCAAAGTGTTGGGATTACAGGTGTGAGCCACCATGCTGGGCCAGTGCCATTTGTTGAAGAGCCTCTTCTTTCCCCCGTTGAATGGCCCTAGCATCCTTGTCAAGGATGAGTTGACTATAGCTGTGCATTTATTTTTGGACCCTCAGCTCTATCCCATTGACCTATCTGCCTCTCCTCATGCCACTACATCACTGACTTGATTACTGCAGCCCTGTAAAAGTTTTGAAATCAGGAAATGGGCATCCTCCATCTTTTTCTTCTCTGTCAGGGTTGTCATGGCTATTCTGGGTCCCATGTGTTTCCATGTGATTTTTTTTTTTTTTTGAGACGGAGTCTCACTGTCACTCAGGCTGGAGTGCAGTGGCGCAATCTCGGCTCACTGCAACCACTACCTCCTGGGTTCAAGTGATTGTCCTGCCTCAGCCTCCCGAGTAGCTGAGAATGCAGATGCGTGCCCCCACACCCAGCTAATTTTTGTATTTTTACAAAATTTTGTAAAAATTTGTATTTTTACAAATTTGTATTTTACTGGGTTTCACCATGTTAGCCAGGCTGGTCTCAAACTCCTGACCTCAGATGATCTGCTTGCCTTGGCCTCCAAAAGTGCTGGCATTACAGGCGTGAGCTACCGTGCCTGGCCCCATATGAATTTTGGAATCAGCTTGTCTGTTTCTGCAAAGAAGCCAGCTGGGATTCTGACAGGGATTGTGTGGACTCCGTGGACTGTTGGGGTTATTTTTGTCTTCTTTTTGCTCTGAGCTCCCCTTCCTAACCTCGAGCTGGTGGGTCTTTGTCCCTCTGGGACTTTCTGATGGCTCCTTCTCCATTACGGAATGAGGTCCAGGTTCCTTCAGTTCCACACTGTTGTTACCTGGTGTCCAGAGCTACCCCATCCGGCCTAACGCTCTTCCCATCTTCCCTTCCCTTATCCATCACTCCCCTTAGATGTGGCCACCCACATCCCCAGCTCCCACAACTAACTCTGTTTCAGTTATTCTGTGTTATCACCCCCAAACTTCTTAGACTTAATGCCTCAGTTCAGGGGTTTGGAGACACAGTCTCTGTCCCATCAGCAGCCACCCCTTCTGGCCCAGGGTCTCCACTAGTGTCTAGGGGAATCCAGGAGTTGTCACGTCACAGGGGTTGGCTGCGCTGTGGCCTGACGGAGCAATGACATTTTTCAATGAAGGGGGAAGACGGAGACTGCCCTGAAGGAAACTGCAGCTCAGGTTCCTAAATGGGGGAGAAACTATGTGCAAAAAATTACCCAGCAAGGTTTAAACAATTGTGTATTTCAGCTTTATTGATTTTATATATCAAGAAGGGAGAAAGCAAGAATCAAGAAGGGGAAAAGAAGGCCAGGCATGGTGGCTCACACCTATAATCCCAGCACTTTGGGAGACTGAGTCTGGCGGATCACTTGAGGCCAGGAGTTCAAGACCAGCCTGGCCAACATGGTGAAACCCAGTCTATACTAAAAATACAAAAACACAGAAACAAAAAAATCACGCAACTGGGCGTGGTGGCGTGCACCTGTAGTCCCAGCTACTCGGGAGACTGAGGCACGAGAATCCCTTGAACCCAGGAGGCAGAGGTTGCAGTGAGCTGAGACTGCACCGCTGCACTCCAGCCTGGGTGTTAGAGTGAGATTCTGTCTCAAAAGAAAAAAAAATGCTGGGGAGTGGGGAGAAGAAAGGGAAGGGAGAGCCAAGAGTGAGTAGGGCAGGAGCTTCTGAGGAGGGGTTGAGACTGTGAGAACCCTCTTAGAGAAGTGGTGAGGTACCCTGAGCACCTTTGTCACTGCAGACGCTGACATGGCATGTGTGTCTTAGTCCATTTGGCTTGCCATAACAGCACACCATGCACTGGGAGGCTTATAAACAACAGAAGTTTACTGCTCACAGTTCAGGAGGCTGGGAAGTCCAAGATCAAGGGGCCTGCAGATTCAGCGTCTGGTGAGGACCCACTTCCTGGTTCATAGGCAGCACCTTCTTGCTGTGTCCTCCCTCAGTGGAAAGATCGAGGCAGCTCTCAGGGGCCTCTTTTATAAGGCCACTAATCCCACTCACAAGGGCTGTACCTAATCACCTCCTAGAGGCCCCACACCTAATACCATCATCTTGGGGGTGAGAATTTCAACAACAGACATTCAGTACACGGCATGTGGCCAGTGAGTTCCCTCTTGTCCTCCTGTCATGCCTCTTCTGGGCAAATATTCTCTGCTCTGTGCATGAAGGATGTGATGTACACATTTTGGCATCTTTGGTTTGAGGAGGAGGTAAAGGAGGGAACTTCTCTGGGCAGGCCAAAGGTGTTGGAGCCCCTAGTGTCCTGGATCCATGGGCCGTGGCCTGGAAGGAGCCAGTGTGGCGCTAACTAGAACCCTGAGGCCCAGGACACCAGGGAGTTGCTGCCAGCGTTACCCGGTGATGGGGCCAGGGTTAGACTTAGGAGGCTCTAGAGGCTTCCGTCCCTGGTGGGAGCATCGCTCGGAGCATTGGGCTACCTCAGGCTCTCTCTGTGCCCCCCACTGGACACCTCACCCATTCCCACGTGTTTAAATACCACCTTGATGCTGACACGCCTGACTTTATGTTTCCAGCATCTTCCCTTCCTGGCACACTCACTGGAGTCTTTCTCCTGAGTTTCCTGTCGAACATGTCCATAAGTGACCCTGATTGTCCCCTCCAGATCCAGCCCTCAAGTGAAAGGCCAGGGGCAGGGAGACTGGGGAACGGAGACCCCAGCTTCCTGAGGCATGATTTGCCTATCGAGGCAGGGAAGCACCAGGATGTTTTTGTCCCCATAGTGAGGAGAGGGGAGACCCTGGGCCACCTCTGGTTTTGTTATCTCAGGGCACCAGCCACCCCAGCAGCCCAGGCTGGCTCTCGGACTCAGCCCCACCACCCAGCCATGGCTCCCCGCAAACCCACCCCTCCTCTCCATTCTCACGACCACCACCTCACTCAGGCCCCAGCTGCTGCTGCCTCTCCCTGGACCCCACCCGAGGCCCCTGCAGTTCCTGCGTCCTGATGGCCCCTTGCACCACGCTCCACATGGCAGCTGGAGGGAGGAGGCTTGTCACAATGCCCGTTGTGCTATTTCAGCTTTGGTTATTTATCTTAAAGACAGATAATGCATTTGCGTGGTTGAAAATCAGGAGGTGAGAAGCCTCTGCCCTCTTCTTGGGTGTCCCCATCCCCGGAGGTGCTGTTCATGAGCTCCTGGAGGGGGCCTTCCAGAAAGGTTGATGCATACCACACATACCCTCCCCTTCCCGTTCGCACAAATGCAGTGTGCTCATGTCCCACTGTAAGGCAAAGCACACGGCGCCATCCCGTTCCATGGCCAAGGAGCGTCCCACAGTGTGGGCTGTGCTGGAACCTTCCAGCCAGCACCTCATGGACATCTGCATTGTTTACGGATTTTGCTGTCATAGACGTTGTATACCTCTGCACACGCTGTATGCTTCCAGGATGCTTTTCTTGGAAGTGGAATCATGGGGCATTGGAGCCTCGGGCTGACCATCTGGATCCATCCCACGGGGTCAGAGAGAGCTTCAGAAACAGAATCATGATGTCCCGCCTCCCACACTCACACATCCCACCGGGCTCCCCACCACAGAGCCCAGCGCAGTCTCCTTGGCGTGGCCTGTGGGGTGCAGCCTCTGATGCCTCCACCCATTCCCTTTTGCTCTAGCTGGAGTGCGACACCCCCCGACCCTGGGGTCCCTGTGGTTCCCTCCGCCAGGCTCTGTCCCTGGCTCTTCACCTGCCTGGCACCTGCTCACCTGTTGGCCCCATCCTAAATGCTGCTTTTGTGGGCATCTTCCCTGCCCACAAGGTGTGACTGTAGTTTCCCTGTGACCCCCTTGGTGCCACTTGTCCACGTTTATTTGCGTTTGGGTGATGTTCCCCTCCGCAGCCACAGCTGCATGTCATCCGGGAGCTGGGGCCTTTTTCTCACAGGGACCCAGCCCCTTCTCTCGCACCTGGCCTCTGTTAGGCCATCGGGAAATACCTGCTGAGGGAGCTGGTGAGACAGTGGCCCTGGGCCTCCAGCCCAAGAGGCACACATTGGCCGTGGGTGTGCACGGAATGCTGGCCCTGAGCACGGTCACAGTGGGTGGTTTCGGAGGCTTCCCCTGGACTTCTGGCCCAGGCTGCCCCCCGTTATCTTGGACATGCTTCATTTTTCCCATCCTCACGTAAACCCCTGCAACTCCTCCCTAGGAATTACAAAATGACCTAGACCGGGAAACAAGCAGTTTGCAGGAGCTCGAGGCTCAGAAACAGGATGCTCAAGACCGCCTGGACGAGATGGACCAGCAGAAGGCCAAGCTCCGAGACATGCTGAGCGACGTCCGGCAGAAGTGCCAGGATGAGACTCAGATGGTGGGTCCCGGCCACCTCCGGGGCAGCGCCCTATGCACAGGCAGGGGCTTCCCAAGGACTCCCCTGAGCTCGTGTTACCTGGGAACACAACACTTAGACATCCTACTGGGTCAATAGAGTTCCTCCAAACACCACGTGGAAAAGTGTCCAAGCACCTGTGGCTTGACTTCCTGGCCACCCCCCTGTACTCCTAGAAGTCAGGTTGTATAAGTGAATGGCCTTGGTCCCTGCGAACTTGTGCCCTGAACACACCCCACCTGGCTGTGCCCCACAACACAGGGAGTTCCAGGGTGCCTGTGTCCCCTCCTCAGGTGTCTCTGAGGCTCCTCACAGATCCCGGAGGCTGCAACCTCAGAAAACTCTATGACGTTCAGCCTCTGGGGGGATGGACAGATTGTTCGTGCTTGGTCATGCCCCTCATTATTCCAAAGTGATCTTCCGTTAGCCACAGTGGGATGAGCCCATCTGCCTTTTCATTTGTGTCTCTATTTTGGGTGTAGAAAGAGGCCTGTAAGGAAGCCAGGTGTCGGGCCTGGGTTAGGTGTCTGCGTCCCTGGCTTAGCTTGTTTCGGGGATGGGGGCTAAGAGTTCTTTCTCGGAGTCCCATTTCATCCTGCACTGTGAATCTCTTTAACATCTTTTAACATCTCATTTCAGATCTCATCACTGAAAACGCAAATCCAATCTCAGGAATCTGACTTAAAGTCCCAGGAAGACGATCTGAACCGAGCCAAGTCGGAGCTGAACCGATTGCAGCAGGAGGAAACCCAGCTGGAGCAGAGCATTCAGGCTGGGCGAGTCCAGCTGGAAACCATCATCAAGTCCCTGAAGTCAACGCAAGACGAAATCAACCAGGTACTTCACGGAGTCGGGTCCCTGCCACATGCCAGGGACCAGCGAGCCCCAAGAGCCGAGGCTGCCACTGCTGAACTCCTTTGCTCTCACCCTTGTTACTTACGTGAGGGTCTCTTTTGGGAGGCTGTGGTGCTGGCCTGGAGGCGCAGGGCCAAGGACTCCCCAGGGCATGTTCCAGAGTTTGTTGGCATTGGCCTGGAGGAGTTCACTTTCCTTTCCTGAGCACACAGCATCTTCAAGGAGTAGGCGGGGTGGGGTGGGAACACTTAATTAATGGCTCATTTGGAGAGAACTTGGGGTTCTTTCCAGCCTGGTCCTCACACAAACAAGAGGGACAAAGTCAGAGAGATGACTTCTTTGTCCTTGGGCAAGAGAACAGACGTCATCCTCCACAGCCACTGGTGTGTTCAGGAGGCGCCACCCTGGAGCATCACGCCATGCAGGACCCCCATTCTCTAAGCTGCCTGGGACGCCCCCACCCTCTTCCCAGTCCAGGGGGGGGCGCTGGCTTCTCGTGGCCTGCAGCCGTTGCCCTTCCCTGCTCTCCTGTGGGCAGTAGATGAAGGCCTCTGTCCTGGCCCTGGGCATCCAGTCTACACAGTGGTTGTGACACTGGCCCTCGCCTGTGTCGGAGTGGCCAGGCACACTTCTTTTACCAATTGAACTGGTCTCTGTCTGTGCTCCATTAGCCAGTTTATAGGCCACAGTTGATCGCAAGCATGGACCGCTCAGAGATTTACCACCCTTTCTTGTGCTTTATGGTTAATATCTGTAGGATTACTTTCAGTGTTTTCTCTTCTAACCCTTAGAGTTTGTAGTTGGGTGTCAGGAGCAAAGATATGTTGCTTTGCGCAGTGCAGTGCCTTACACCTGTCATCCCAGCACTTTAGGAGGCTGAGGCAAGAGGATCACTTGAGGCCAGGAGTTCAAGACCAGACTGGACAACATAGCGAGACCCCATCTCTACAAAAAATACAGAATTTTTTTTGTATTTTTTGCAGAGATGGGTCTTGGTTTGTTGCCCAAAAATATAGGTGGTGACACGCACCTGTAGTCCCAGCTACTCAGGAGGCTGAGGCAGGAGGAGCTCCTGAGGTCAGGAGCTCAAGGCTACAGTGAGCTATGATCACTCCACTACATTCCAGTCTGGGTGACAGAGTGAGACCCTGTGTTTTAAAAAAAAAAAGCGTCTTTTCTGACATGTTTTCCTGACCCTGCTTAATGCTGATGATGTCTTTGTTGCACAGGCAAGGAGCAAACTTTCCCAGCTGCATGAAAGCCGCCAGGAGGCCCACAGGAGCCTGGAGCAGTATGACCAGGTGCTCGATGGAGCCCATGGTGCCAGCCTGACCGACCTGGCCAACCTGAGCGAAGGCGTCTCCCTGGCAGAGAGGGGCAGTTTTGGAGCCATGGTAAAGGTTGAATAAACGTATTACAGTATGGGGCTCTGGTCCCCTGGTGTGACAGCAGAACATCCCACCCGCCAGATCTGTTCATGGCCAACGTTGGTTCCAGCCAAGTGCAGGCGGCTGTCTGTTGTTTTTGCTGCCACTTTGCGCGTTCACACCAGGCCTTGCAGCCTGGCACAGGTGGCCATGCTGAATCCTGGCTTCCAGAACAAAGTCCAAGATAGGCCTGGATCCTTTCAGAACCTGTTTTGAATGCCCTCCATCTCTGCGGAAGTATTTACATTGGGCCAACCACCCAAGTTCAGAGGGCTTCTCAAACTTAACCAAAATTGGATCAGTTTCTGCTCATTGTGGAAACCCCACATTCTACTAATCAGGGGGCAGGGGACATCTGAGGGGCATGTGTCTATGTGTATGTGTGTTTCCACAAGGAACACCTTGAAAAGCAAATGTGTTGCTAAAGATGAGGAAGTAATGGCAAGCAGCGCCCCAGGGTGTTGCTCTTTCAAGTAAGAATTGGCCTCTCCTGAAATTTTGGTTATGTTTAAAAACCTCTGCACTTTACTCTGACCTCATGACCCTGGAGTTGTGATCAGGCCTGGGGCAGGGGACTGTCGGCCCCTTACATTTTTGAGAGCTCTTGAGCCCCTGATACCAAGACAGGTGTGACCTTTTCCTTAGGTGGTCACATCCCCCCTGTTCACACCAGAGTCTGCCCCTGCAGCCTCGAACCTGGGGACATGTAGTTTCCCATTTCGTCTTGGTGCTGTTCCGGGAGCGGATGGGCCGGGCCGCGCATGTCTGGATGTTTCCTTGGTGCTCTGCTGCCTCCAGCAGCTCTCTCCGTGCTGCCACCCTCTCTCCCAGGGCTCCTCCCTGGAGCCCTTCTGCTCCTGGGCCTCTGTACGTCATGGATTCCTCTTCCTCCCTGGAATAAGAGTGAGCGCTCGTGCTCTCTAAACACCACACTTGCCTCTTTATGTTCAATGCTTGATGTGTTTCTTTTCTCAGCAGCCAAGTCCTCAGTCCCAAGGATTTATGGGGAAGCACACGCGTCCCCTGGGCTGCTGGGAAGGCACTGCTGGCGAGCTCATCTGTCTCTTGTGTCTGGCCCCCGCTGGGTGCACCGCCTCCCTCTTTCCTCCCATACTCTCTTTTCTCGTGGACTCGTAATGAGGTGGTTTCCATAGCCGCCCCCGGGCCCGTCATCATCAGCTTTATCGTCTAAATTTAAACGATGAGCATTCATCCTTCATGAGTTACGAGAAGCCAGAACTCCTCGCTTTGCTCCCTGGCTGTTCTTGGCGTGTGTGTTTCCGTCTCACAACCCGGCTCCTACTTTCCCCATCTGGCATTGTCCCCTGGCACCGCTTTTGGCTTGTCCTGCTCAGTCTTCGTTCAGGGAACAGCTTCCTCTTAAATGTCCCTTTTGCAGGTTTTTAGAAACCGGTTTTCTTGGATAAAAGTTGGCAGTGAAGTGGCAGTTTGCAAGTGGCCAGTGATTCCCCCAACTCCAAAGACAGATTTTTACCTTTCTGGTTATTTTTGTTCATCTTTTGGGCAGGGCAAAGGTTACCTGAGACACAATTACTTTGGGAATGTAGATTAAGATACGTTACATGGAAACTTGCAACTGGCATCCGAAAGAAAAACTGTTTTTATCCTGTTGTACAAATACAGTTTTTAAAGCATTTTTCTGGCTTGTTTCTATTTCTTAATAAATACTTGGAAGAGAGATTTTTGTTTACTCCTGAACACTTCAAGACTGCTTCAGAGCCGAGAGAGAGGTGTCTTAGTTCTCCCTTGTGGGTCGAAGTTGGGGGTTTTAGGTCCCTGAGAATAGTGTATCCACAGTGGTACATCTGGAACTTCCTATGTTTGGACAGTTCTACTCAGGTTACTAAATTCCATGTGAAGCTCACGCAGTGTGACTTTATCTCAAAAGTCAGGGGTTTTTTTTTTTTTTTGTTTTTGTTTTTTTTTTTTTGAGACGGAGTCTCGCTCTGTCTCCCAGACTGGAGTGCAGTGGCACAATCTCAGCTCACTGCAACCTCTGCCTCCCGGGTCCAAGTGATTCTCCTGCCTCAGCCTCCCGAGTAGCAGAGATTACAGGCACGTGCCACCATGCCCAGCTAATTTTTGTATTTTTAGTAGAGACGAGGTTTCACAGTGTTGCCCAGGCTGGTCTTGAACTCCTGACCTCAGGCAATCTGCCCGCCTCGACCTCCCCAAATGCTGGGATTACAGGCGTGAGCCACCTCACCCGCCAAAGTCAGGGTTCTTAAAGCCATATTTATTTCTTGTCTATCATCTGATTATGAGAATATTGACCTCTTGCTCACCATCCAATCAACTTATGGAGAGAAGCTAATAAATCATCCCAGACTTAGGCCTTACTGAGGACAGATTAAGAAAGGTTGATTGATCTGTCACATCCAGACCCAGTGGCATGCTGGAGCCAGTTTTTATTGACTTTCCAGAACCGATTATTAAATAGGAACTGGCCGGGCACAATGGCTCACACCTGTAATCCCAGTCCTTTGGGAGGCTGAGGTGGGAGGATTGCTTGAGGCCAGCTGCGTGCCACTGCACTCCAGCCTGGGTGACACAGCGAGACTCAATCTCTAAAAAAAAAAAAAAAACCCCAAAAAGCAAAAAACAGGAACTTGTGAGCTAGTTGCTTGGAAACTTGAAATCAACCATGATGAGACTGTTTACACCACAGGAATTGGCAGAAGCTCTAAACCAGGGCTTTTTTCTGAGAGAACTGATTCCCAGCACACCCCTGCTGCCCAGCACTCCTCTAAAGGGCGGGAATGTCACAGAAGCTTCTTCAGCCCCCTTTCAGAGTTGCCGTGTGTATTTCCTAAGAAGGGTACAACTTCACACTGGTTGCTGAACTTGTTCAAGATATTACATCTCTGCCAAGGGCCGTGTCATTCATCCTGGCCCTTGTCTGCTGTACTCGTGTCCCCCAAGTTGGCAGATGGGTCTGTTCTCCTTAGTAGGTGGTCTGCAAGGGGTAGAGTTGATGGTATCTTTGTAACAGGGAAATCTCGTTTCCCACTCTGATTCTGTGCAATGGAATCAAAACCACTATTAGTTACCCTGACCTCCTGAATCCTGCTGGGGTCTCAGGCTTCCCCTTGGAAGGGGAAGGAGTGATTGTGGCTTCAGGCCAATGACTCCTGAGAAAGTGATTGCAGGCCTGACTGTCAGTGCAGGGGGCTTGCAGCCAGCATTCCCAGAACCTCAGTCTCTTCTCTGCCATTGTTCACTGTTACTTGGCAGTCTTCCAAGTGACGACTGAAAACACTGAAAAAAAAAAACCTTATAAATAAATGCCAATTAAAAACTAAATAGAGCCAGGCATGGTGGCGAGTGCCTGTAGTCCCAGCTACTTGGGAGGCTGAAGCAGGAGGATCCTTGAGCCCGGGAGTTCTGGGCTGTAGTGTGCTATGCTGATTGGGTGTCTACACTAAGTTAGTCATCAGTATGGTACCTTCTGGGAGCAGGGGACCACCAGTCGCCTAAGGAGAGGTAAACCTGCCCTGGTCAGAAGCGGAGCAGGTCAAAACTCCCACGCTGCTCAGTAGTGGGATTGCACCTGTGAATAGCCATTGCCCTCCAGCCTGGGCAACGTAGTGAGATCCTACCTTTAAAAACAAACTAAATAGAAGCTTTCATTCTGAGGTCAAGCTGGCATTCTTAACTCGCTGCTTTATCCAGGTCATGATTCCTCTCTTTCTTCTGGAACAAATACATTCCTCCTTCCATGGGGCAGTGTGAAAGGCAGATTTTCCACGTGGGCCTCCTGGCTTCTTTAGAGTAGGACTTCTCCATCTTTATCTGCATCCGAGACCCCCATCAGACGCTTGCTGGGCGTGTGTGTCTTGTGGTCGTCAGCACCTGACGTCCACTCAGCACTGTCTCCAGCTGCAGTGCTTGTGGACATCTGTACTTAACTTGTCTAAGAACCCGGCTTGGTTTCCCCACCTTGGGAAAACCCTGTGGTCGGAGGCTCCAGCTATTCTTTCCCAGGTAAGAAAAACCATTCCATGTTCATCAGATGGCAGGGATGTGGGTGCATTCTCCTGAAGTGGGGGCCGAGGAAGCGGCACTCATGCTGATTCACACTCATTCACAGCCCAGACCGGTGGCTTGTCTTAACTCTGTACCTCTCATAACTGTCCTGCACCCCTAAGTTGGCTGCCCCAGGGTGGTGGCAGCCTTGCTAGGAAACTTTCTTTTGGACCTTTGATGTCATTTCCCCACACCATTGTCCCTATTTTTGTGGACGCCCCGGCTTTTTAATGATTTTGTTTTGGTCGGTTGGAATACTGGACTGGTTTGTGAGTCCTACGCAGGAATGCCAGTGTGTCTGCCAAATTCAATGAGGGTGTTGTGCTGTTTTTTTAATATCACAGTGAAACATTCATGTTTTCACTGAGGGTGTGTCTTTATTAACTAAAACAGAGTCCTTATTTAAACCAACTGTATTGTTCCCATGTATATGACAAACCCACCCTTTTCAGACTACTTCCCATTACAAAAATGTGCTCTTCAAAAGTAAATATTTTTTCTTCTCGTTTAAATGAACCTGTTTGTTTCTAGAAATACACACTTTAAAAAAAAAATGCAAAGCATTGTGTATGCTCTAGTAATTCTAACTGCATAAGTACTCATTTCCTCATAGGACAGAAACAACCAGCATGTTTCTTGGTATGAAAACTCCATTTTCCCAAATGCCCACCTAGGTACATACTCACCGAGAAAAGGATGATTGAGGAAGGTCACACCTCTGAAATGAGGCCTGTGCTGCTGTTGTTGAGTGGCTCTTTACAGTTTTCTTCATGGCATTTCCAAGTTTATTATTTTTTTCTGACTCATTGATTAAAAAAAAATTGTTTAACTTTCAGGTAAAATAGACAAACAGCCGGGCGCGGTGGCTCACGCCTGTAATCCCAGCACTTTGGGAGGCCGAGGGGGGTGGATTACTTGAGGTCAGGAGATCAAGACTGGCCTGCCCAACATGGTGAAACCCCATCTCTACTAAAAATACAAAAATTAGCTGGGCATGGTGGTGCACGCCTGTAATCCCAGCTACTCAGGAGGCTGAGGCAGGAGAATCACTTGAACCCGGGAGGTGGAGGTTGCAGTGAGCCGAGATCACGCCACTGCACTCCAGCCTGGATGACAAGAGTGAAACTCTGTCTCAGAAAAAAAAAAAGAAAGAAAGAAAAATAGACATAAACTTGACCATCTTCACTGTCTTTAAGTGTACAGTTCAGTAGTGTTAGGTATATTCACATTGTTGTGGAACCCAGCTCTAGAACGTTTTCATCCCCATGAAATACCCACTCCCCATCCCCCCACCCACAGCCCCTGGCAGCCACTGTTCTACTTCGTCACTGTGAATGTGATGACTCTAGGGTTCTCATAGAAGTGGAATCATACCTTGTGTGTTGTTTTGTGACTGTGATTTCACTCAGCAGCCTCTCCTCAAGGTTCTTCCATGTTGGAGCATGTGTCAGAATTTGCTTCCTTTTGAAGGCTGAATCAGATTCTGTTGTGTGGCTCGTTACAATTTTCTTGATGACATTTCAAATTCATTATTTTTTTCTGACTTAGAAAAAAATTTTGTTTTTCCGTTTATCCATTCATTCATCGATGGACATTTGAGTTGCTTCCACTCAATGATTTTTTAATGAACTTTTATTTTAGAATAGTTTTTAGATTTATGAAAAAATTGCAAAGATAGGCCAGGTGCGGTAGCTCATGCCTATAATCCCAGTACGTTGGGAGGCTGAGGTGGGAGGATCAGTTGAGCTCAGGAGTTCAAAACCAGCCCTGGCAACATAGTGAGAGACTTCATTTCTACAAAAAATATAAAAATTAGCCAGGCTTGGTGGTGCGCGCCTATAGTCCTGGCTACTCGGGAGACCGACGTGGGAGGATCACTTGAGCCCAGATGGTCAAGGCTGGAGTAACCCATGAGTGTGCAACTGCACTCCAACCTGGACAACAGAGTGAGACCCTGTTTCAGAAAAAGAAAAACTGCAAAGATAGTGCATAGTTCCTCTATATCCCACACCCAGTTCCTCCTGTTAGTCACATCATATATAGTACATTTGTCACAACTAATGAACCAGTATTAAACATTATTATTCACTCAAGTTCATACTTCTTCAATGATCTTTAATTAATTTTTTTTTTTAAAGATACAGGGTCTTGCACTGTTGTGGCTGGAGTGCAGTGGCACAATCATAGCTCACTGTAACCTCCACCTCCTGGGTTCAGGCAATCTCCTGAGTCAACCTCCCAAGTAGCTGGGATTATAGGTACACGCCACCACACCTTGATTTTTTTTTTTTTTTTTTTGAGATAGACTCACTCTATCGCCCAGGCTGGAGCGCAATGGCGTAATCTCAGCTCACTGCAACCTCCACCTCCTGGGTTCAAGCAGTTCTCCTGCCTCAGCCTCCCAAGTAGCTGGGATTACAGGTGCCCGGCACAACACCCAGCTAATTTTTTGTATTTTTAGTAGAGACAGGTTTTCACCATGTTGGCCAGGCTGGTCTTGAACTCCTGACCTCAGGTGATCCACCTGCTTTGGCCTCCCAAAGTGCTGGGATTACAGGCGTGAGCCACCATGCCTGGCCTCATTTTTAAATTTTTGTTTTTATAGAGATGGGATTTTGCTATGTTGCCCAGGCCAGCCTCGAACTCCTGGCTAAATCATTCTTTTTAGGGTCATGCTACTCAAAGTGGAAATGTGAGTTAAGTATGGAATTCCGTACTTTGCTTTAACTCAGAAATAATAAAATCCCTGTCCTGTTTCTTCACAAAATTGTAGGATGATCCTTTCAAAAATAAAGCCTTGTTATTTAGCAACAACACGCAAGAGTTGCATCCGGATCCTTTCCAGACAGAAGACCCCTTCAAATCTGACCCATTTAAAGGAGCTGACCCCTTCAAAGGTATCTCACTTGCTACCCACTTTCTCATTGAAAGACTGTGTGTTTTATGTCGAATTTAGAGTGGTTCTTCAACTAGAAAAGTAAGGACATGCCACAATCTGAAATGGAGGGGGAAAGGAATGCCTTTTTTTTTTTTTTTTTTGGAGACGAACTCTCGCTCTCTTGCTGTCAGCCAGGCTGGAATGCAGTGGCGCAATCTCGGCTCACTGCAACCTCCGCCTCCTGGGTTCAAGCAATTCTCCTGCCTCAGCGCCCATCACCGCACCCGGCTAATTTTTGTATATTTAGTAGAGTTGGGGTTTCACTGTGTTGCCCAGTCTGGTCTCGAACTCTTGACCTCAGGTAATCCACCCGCCTCAGCCCCACAAAGTGCTGGGATTACAGGTGTGAGGCACCGCACCCAGCAGGAACGCCTTTTAAGCTTCTTATCTCACCCTGTTAACCAGAGAGCCAAGGCATCAAGATACAGTGGGAAGTGTTCCAAGCTCACCACAAGACCCACATTTGAAGGCAGCTTGGCCAGCCCCCTTGAACCCTTCAGTACTTCAGTTTCCTAATCCCTCAGCAGGTTAATAAATTTCCTCCTTGCTCACCTCACAGGGTTGATAAAATAATCAGAGCTAGTAATGATCATGAAAGTACCTGGAAAACCATGGATTCCTACATAAACCTAAGGTCTGGATAATTTTAGGAGTCTGTCCAGAGCCACACCTGAGTCAAGAATAACTAAGAATTCCAGAAACAAGATTTCCAAGTTTCTGTCCATGTTTCAGAGCAAAACAGTATTTCCAGGAGGAAGGCTCTCTACATTTTTGAGAAAAACACTGAGGTGGGGAGAGGGCAGCGGGAGCTTGAGCTTCAGCTTGGGTTTGAAGCCTGCCGGGTCTGAGAGGCGAATCTGGCAGCCCCTGAAGCCCAGGGGTGCCGCCGCCTCATTGCTGCAGGGCCGGTGATAAAGTGAGGGACAGCCCAGGGTCCTGTGTCCTCTTACCCAGGGAGCTGGCAGGCAGATGGGATAAAGGAAACCCAGCATGGGAAGAGAGGAGTGAATTCTAGCCCACTCTGTGTCTTCCCCAACTCCAGTCTGTGTGGGACAGCCAGCAGTACCTTCCTTCTCATCTTAAACATCCTAGCCAGAAACAGCTGCCTCCTCCAGGTCCCCCTCTTTGATTTGCCAAGGTTTTGAGGGCAGGTGGATAGTAGAGAAGGAACTAACATTCTCTCCCTACACTGGAGGAGTAGAAGGCAATGAAAGGCTTGGGAGGTGGGTGGCTGTGTCCAAGGGCCCGGCCCGCATCCTGTGCCCTAGAGCTAATAAGCATTTCTCTCCTCTTCCAACCAGGCGACCCGTTCCAGAATGACCCCTTTGCAGAACAGCAGACAACTTCAACAGGTAAAATTCAGTGTTTCCCGGACCGGTCTTTAGACTGTGTCCAGTCCTGGCTCAGAAGTCGCATGTGGTGGGACTTGTGTCCACATACACCGGGGATGGCAGCCATGTAACTGGGAAGGACGGCCGTCCATCCATGTTGTACCCATTCTCGGTCCCGTTCCCTTCTGGAGGTGGCTCCCCTCCCCAGGTCCAGTCACTGCCCGCACCCCACCCTGGAGTGTGGTGGGATCACATTGCTTGCTAATTTATTTATTTATTTTATTTATTTATTTATTTATTTATTTTTTATTTTTTTTTTTTTTGAGACGGAGTCTCGCTCTGTCGCCCAGGCTGGAGTGCAGTGGCGCGATCTCGGCTCACTGCAAGCTCCGCCTCCCGGGTTCACGCCATTCTCCTGCCTCAGCCTCCCAAGTAGCTGGGACTACAGGCGCCCGCTACCACGCCCGGCTAATTTTTTGTATTTTTAGTAGAGACGGGGTTTCACCGTGTTAGCCAGGCTCGTCTCACACTCTTGACCTCAGGTGATCTGCCCACCTTGGTCTCCCAAAGTGCTGGGATGACAGGCGTGAGCCACCATGCCCGACCGATTTATTTTTTTTCAGGTGAAATTTATGTAACATAAAAGTCACTGTTTTAAAGCATCCAATTCAGTGGTATTGAGCACACTCACAGTGTTGTGCAATGATCACCTTCATCTAGTTCCACAACATTCTCATCCCCCCAAAAGGAGACCCCATCCCAATCAGCAGTCACTCCCCATTCCCTCCCGCAACCCCTGGCACCCACCAACCTATTTTCTGTCTCTATGGATTTACCTGCGTTGTTTATTATTATTATTATTATTATTATTATTATTATTATTATTATTATTATATCCAGCTCCTGCAGGATATTTTATTTATTTATTTAGAGATGGGGTTTTACTCTATTGCCTAGGCTGGAGTGCAGTGGCGCAATTATAGCTCACTGCAGCCTTGACCTCCTGGGCTCAAGCAGCCTTTCTGCCTCAGCCTCCTTAGTAGCTGATACTACAGGCGTGTGCCACCACACCTGGCTAATTTTTTATTTTATTTTTCTCTGTGTTGCCCATGCTGGTCTTGAACTCCTGGCCTCAAGTGATCCTCCTATCTCAGCCTCCTAAAGTGATGGGATTACAGGCATGAGCCATTGTGCCTGGCCAGGATATTATTATTTTTAAAGTCAATTTTATTGAGTGGCATAATTTACACAGAACAAAATTCACCCATTTTACTATGTAATAAGATGAGTTTCATTAAATATGCACGGTTGTGTGCAATTTGAGAACACTTCTGTCATTCCTGAGGCCCCTTTGTTGTCACCCTCCACCCTCTCCTCAGGGTCCCCTGGCCACCATTATCCTGTTTTCCGTCACTAGCGTTCTTACCTTTCTAGAATTTCATGTAAACGGCATCATTCTGTGATGTGTTCTTTTATGTCTGGGTTCTTTCACTTGGTATAATGTTTACTTATGGGGCATTTTTCCTTCTAGATCCATTTGGAGGGGACCCTTTCAAAGAAAGTGACCCATTCCGTGGCTCTGCCACTGACGACTTCTTCAAGAAACAGACAAAGAATGACCCATTTACCTCGGATCCATTCACGAAAAACCCTTCCTTACCTTCGAAGGTGAGTGGGGTGGGACGTTGCCCGGGAGAGCTGCGTGCCTGCTCTGTGTGGTAAGGGTGGCGCTTCCCGAAGGCCCCCTTCCCTTCGTGGAGCGTACATGGTGCCTGCGAGTGTGGGCCATGGTGTCTGTTCTCCGGGAGCTGGTATCCCAGGCTGATTTCATTCCTGCTGAGTGAGGGAGCTCACTGGCCTAGTCACTGCAGTGACATCCTGTGAGCCCCAAGGTGCAGTTAGCAGTCCAGTGGCCCCACATCAGGGCAAGGAGGATGTCACCCATAGTTCTTATTTCTCTATCCCCATTCCTACCCCTCAACTCTAGTCATCTGCCCCCACTGCCCCTTCATCTCCCAAAAAAGACTAAATCACACAAGCACCACATGCTCGCATGGACCCGGCCACCCTGCACGGTCCTTGTAACACACAGCACTGGTGGGGACCTTAGAGTCACGTTTGGTAGGTGCTCCCGTCACGGCAGGAGTAAGTGCAGGCGTCTCAGCCCGGCTGCCTTGCCTGGTGTCTCCTGAGAGCATCAGCCAACTCTGACCCTCCAGTTTCCAACTCCAGCATACCTGTACTCCCATCCCCGGGCGTGGCAGACACCGGGTATTTTGCATATTATGCCCAAGAGATTGGGTTAAATAGGTGTCAACTTGGATTTCAAAACCAAAAAAAAAAAAAAAAGCAGCCTCGGTGATGGAGCAGAGGATGTTCATGATGGAGTGAGCGTGCTTCATAGCCTTCTTCCGTTTTCTAGGCTGCAACCCAGGCCCGGGGCCTGCTCAGAGACGGGCACTCACCCTCCTTCTCAGGGCTCCTGCTACCCTGGCGCCCACCTCGCTCACTCCCTGTGGACCTTTTGGTCTTTAGCGCTTGAAGCTCCTTGAAGGCAAAGACTCATTTGCAGTATTTTCTTATTGGCCCCTTTTTAATGTCCTTAAGACCTGTAGTGAGAATTTCCCTAGCATTCCTGGTATTGGTGATCTGTTTACCAATTTCATTGACCTTTCCCATAACCAGCTTTTGGCTTCATTTTTCTCTACTGCTTGTTTTCTATTTCATTGATTTTCTCTTTTCTATTTCTATTTTTTTCCATTTCCTTACTCCTATTTATTTGGGGTTACTTTGCTCTTCTAACATCTTAAGATCCAAGCTTCATTCATTAATTTTAGACTTCATTTTCTAGTACTGGCGGTCCCTGACTTACGATGGTTCAATTTACAGTTTTTTGACTTTACAATAGTTTTATCGAGATGCAGTCCCATCATAAGTCAAGGAGTGTCTGGACTTAACATTGGTTTGACTTCTGATTTTTTGCTTTGTGATGGGTTTATTGGGATATTACGTACATTTTCAACTTAAAATATTTTCAACTTACAATGGGTTTATCAGGATGTAACCCCATGGTAAGTCAAGGAGCATCTGTATAAATTTAAAGCAACATATTTCCCTTAAGCACTGCTTTACATGTATTTCATATATTTGAATACTTTATCTCTTCATTGCCATTCAGTTTTGAGATATTTTCCAGTTTCCCTTGTGAATTCTGTTCACTTATGGATTACTTAAAAGTATGTTGTTTCATTTCCAGATACTTGGCTTTTTCTCCTAGGTATATTATAATACTATTATTATTGATTTTTAATTAAATTTGTTATTTGAGAACATATTCTGTATGTTTTCAATACCTTCACATTAATCAAGGGTTGTTGTTTGTGGCCTATGTTGGTGAACAAACCATGTACACTTGAGAAGAATGTGTATCTAGTTGTTGGGTGTAATGCTCTACAAATGGCAGTGAGGTTGAGGTTCCTCATAGTGTTCAGATTATCTGTGTCTTGTTTGTTTGTTTTTTAGTCCTACCAGTGTCTGAGAGAGAGGCGTTAAACATTCTCCTATGATTGTGGAATTGTTCATACTGCACTTTAATTTGATCAAGTTTTGCTTTGTGTATTTTGAAGCTTTGTCAGGTGCATAGGTGTTTATGATTGTTGTGTCTTTCTGACACAACAACCTTTTTATCATTATAAAAGATTCCCATTTGATCTCTGGTGATGTTCTTTGTCTTGAAGTCTGTTTAATCACTTCATTCTCCTCATGTTATTCACTACATGATACATCATTTTTCAACCATTTACTTTCAACTTACCTGGATCTTTAAAACTGATAGGTGTCTTTTGTAAGTAGCATAGTGTTGGGGCTTGCTTTTTTTTTTAAAATCCAGTCAGAAGTCCCTGCCTTGTAAGTGTAATGTTTAGTCCATTAACATTTAATGTAATTATTGATATGGTTTAAGTCTACTATTTTATTATTTGCTTGCTTTTTATCCCATGTTTTGTTTCCTGCTTTCTTTTGAATTGTTTGAATGTTTTTTTGAATTCTGTCTATTGGCCTTTTATTATTTTAATCATACCTCTTTTAATGATTGTTTAGAGGTTGCTTTAGGAAATATCATGTACAGCTTTAACTTTTCATAGTCTACTTGAGGTTAGTATTGTATTATCTCATGTAAAATATAGAAAACTTGCAACCATGTAGGTCCATTTGTCCACCCACCCTTGCAGCCAGCATGTCTTATGTTATAGCCGTCATGTGAATTTCATACATCTAAATACATTAGAAACTCCATAAGACTGTTACAATTTTTGTATTAATCCATTGTGGGTATTGTAAAGAAAGAGGAAAAAAGTAGTCATTTAGTTTTACCCAAATATGTACCATTTCTGATACTCTTCATTTGTTACTGAAGATTGGTTTTCCCTCCATTATCATTTTCCTTCAGCCTAAAGAACTTTCTTTAGCACTTCTTATAGCTCAGGTCGACTGTGTTGTCATTTTTTTATTTTTAGTTTTGAAACAGAGTCTCACTCTGTTGCCCAGGCTGAAGTGCAGTGGTGTGATCTTGGCTTACTGCAACCTCAACCTCCTGGGCTCAAGCAGTTCTCCCACCTCATCCTCCCAAGTTGCTGGGACCACAGGCATGTACCTCCACACCCAGCTATTGTTTTATTTTTTGTAGAGATGGGATTTCCATATGTTGGCCAGGCTGGTCTCAAACTCCTAGGCTCAAGCAATCCTCCTGCCTCAGCCCCTCCAAAGTGCTGGGATCACAGGCTTGAGTCACTTCACCCAGCTATTATTCTTTTCTTTTCTTTTTTTTTTTCCAACCTCCGCCTCCCAAGTTCAAGCGATTTCTGGTTAATTTTTGTATTTTTAATGCAGATGGAGTTTCACCATGTTGGCCAGGCTGGTCTTGACCTCCTGAACTGAACTCAAGTGATCTGCCCGCCTCGTCCTCCCAAAGTGATAGAATTACAGGCATGAGCCACTGTGCCAGGCCTGTTGTCATTCTTGAAGGACATTGTGTTTGATGTAGGTTGTTGGGGTTTTGTTTGTTTGTTTAGTGTGTTTTTCCACTGCCTTCCAGCCTCCATTGTCCTTAATGAGAAGAGTTTTTGTTTGTTTGTTTGTTTGTTTTTTTGAGACAGAGTTTGCTCTGTTGCCCAGGCTGGAGTGCAGTGGCGTGATCTCAGCTCACTGCAAGCTCCGCCTCCCGGGTTCACGCCATTCTCCTGCCTCAGCCTCTCGAGTAGTTGGGACTACAGGCGCCCGCCACTATGCCCAGCTAATTTCTTGTATTTTTAGTAGAGACGGGGTTTGACCATGTTAGCCAGGATGGTCTCGATCTTCTGACCTCGTGATCTGCCTGCCTTGGCCTCCCAAAGTGCTGGGATTACAGGCGTGAGCCACCGTGCCCGGTGGAGAGGAGTATTTCTTCAGGTCATTGTTATCCTGTATGTAATAGGTGGTTTTTCTCTGGCTACTTTCAAGATTCTCTCTTTATCTTTGGTTTTCAGTAGTTTTTGAAGTTTCTGGGTGTAGTTTTCTTGGTGTTTATACTGTTTAGGCTTTGCTCAGCTTCTTGAATCTGTAAATTATGCTTTTCAACAAATTTGATAAGTTTTCATTGCCGGTTCAGTGGCTCATTCCTATAATCCCAGGACTTTGGGAGGCTGAGGTGGGCGGATCACTTGAGGCCAGGAGTTCGAGACCAGCCTGGCCAACATGGTGAAACCCCGTCTCTACTAATACAAAAATTAGCCAGGCGTGGTGGTGCACACTTGTAATCCCAGCTACTTGGGAGGCTGAGGCAGGAGAATCGCTTGAACCTGGGAGTCAGAGGTTGCAGTGAGCTGAGATTGCACCACTGCGCTCCAGCCTGGGTGACAGAGTGAGACTCCCATCTCAAAACAACAAAACAAATTTGGTAAGCTTTCAGCTGTCAGTTCTCCTAATTTGTTTTTTCTGCCCAATTTTCTCTCCCCTCTCTTTCTGGGATTCCAGTTACATGGATATGAGACCCTTTGTTATTGTCCCACAGGTTCCTGAGGCTCTATTTATTTATTTATTTTTCATTCTTTTTTCTCCTTTTTCTTCAGATTGAGTAATTTCTACTGCTCTGTTTTCAACTTCACTTACTCTTTCTTTTATTCTTGGTTATTTAGCTAACCTAATGAAGTGGGGTTTTTTTTTGTTTGTTTGAGACAGAGTCTCGCTCTTTCGCCCAGGCTGGAGTGCAGTGGCATGATCTCAGCTCACTGCAACCTCCACCTCCTGGGTTCAAGCCATTCTTCTGCCTTAGCCTCCTGAGTAGCTGGGATTACAGGCATGCACCACCAAGCCTGGCTTATTTATTTTTCAAACGGAGTTTCACTCTTGTTGCCCAGGCTGCAGTGCAATGGCATAATCTCGGCTCACTGCAACCTCTGCCTCCTGGGTTCAAGTGATTCTTCTGCCTCGGCCTCCCAAGTAGCTGGGATTACAGGCATCCACCACCACGCCCATCTAATTTTTTGTATTTTTAGTAGAAATGGGTTTTACCATATTGACCAGGCTGGTCTCAAACTCCTGACCTCAGGTGATCCACTTGCCTTGGCCCCCACAGTGCTGGGATTACAGGCATGAGCTACTGTGCCTTGCCCGCCTGGCCAATTTTTGTATTTTTAGTAGAGACAGGGTTTTGCCATGTTGTCCAGGCTGGTCTTGAACTCCTGATCTTGGGTGATCCACTGACCCCGGTGATGAAGTTTTTATTGTAGATACACTTTTTCAGTTCCGGAACTTTCATTTGTTTCTTTCGTATATTTTCTATTTCTCTTCTAAGGTCACCTGTGTTTTCACTCATTTTAAGTGTATTTTCCTTTTCCTCATTCAGCACAGTTATAATCACCGTTTTACGTTGTCCCTGTCTCAGAGTTCCACCATCTGGGTTATTTTGAGATTGGCTACACTGATTGTCTTTTCCGGTGAGAGGTGGTCACATTTTTCCAGTTCTTTATATGTTTAGAAATGTATCTGATACATGGTGAGCGTTCTGTGTAGAGACTGTAGTCTGTTTTCTCCAAAGAGCAGGAATGGATTTGTTTCAGCAGGCAGTTAACTTGGTGCCACTCACACTGCAGACACTCACCAGCAGATGGCAGAAGCTCCAATCCCAGCTCAGTTCTTGTGGCCTCAGCTACAGGCTGCCTCGAGTCCCCCCAGGCTTGCGTGTGCAGAGGCCAGCCTGAGACTTGGGGGAGAGTGGATCATGAAGTTCAGGGCTTGCATCTTTGCATCTCTGCCCCTCCATCCCGATTCCCCTTCCTTTCCCCTGGGAGTGGTTGTCTCTGGGCTCCATCCTCTGGTGGTCAGATTCTACCAGAATCTTAGGCACCCTCACTGTGCCTTCCTGCTGTAGCTGGCGGAATGGAAACTCAACCTCCTGCTATGTTCTTCTGCCACATTCAAATTCTCCTCCAAAGTCTTCTTCCTGTCTTGTTCACTTCCCAGCCTTCAGGCCACTGCTTTTTGTATTTGTAATTTTGGGGATATTCCGTCCAGGTTGATAGGTGCTATCTGCAGGAGGGTTGATCTGTTGGGATTTTACTCTGCCTGGGTTGAGTTTTAATCATTCCACTTTCCCTCTGGCTCAGCACTGGATGTTGTACATCGACGTCAGGAAGGTCTGGTTGAATGAATGGGTGATGGAACCAACGAACTGCTTTTTACTCTTTCCTCTCTCCTTTCATTTAGCTCGACCCCTTTGAATCCAGTGATCCCTTTTCATCCTCCAGTGTCTCCTCAAAAGGATCAGGTGAGACCCATGACTTATTTTTCTTCCTGACTATTCCTTGGGCAGTAGCAGAGCTCCCCCGCAGTTAACACTTTCACTCCCAAAGCCAGCGTGGCCTCTGTGTTTGTGTCATCAGTCAGTGGCACCCAGATCCTGGCCTGAGCCCATTAGGCCAAAACAAGCACCCGCTGCTGCTCCCCTTCCTGGGCACGCGCTGGCATCTTTCCAGAAAGGAATTTTGGCAGTAGGAATTCAGTAATAGCACCAGTGATATTAACTACTGTTTACTCACTCCTCCTTATAAATCTTTGGTTTGTATCTTTGGGTTTTTTCCCTAAAAGAAATCCAGAATTTGACCCCAGGTACTGGCCTATGTTGTGGGTTCTGTGTTTGAAGGAACCTCATCTCACAGTGTAGAACTCGCAGATGCACGCTCGAGCCTTTATGCAATGGGAGCATCTGTGGACACCCCCTTTCTTTTGGGAACAGGCCCCGCTTGGTCCTGCAGCTTGCGTGGGGCGGGTAGCAGTGTTTGGTATCATAGGCGAGTGTATCCAGTACTCTAGGCAAATCCCTTCCAGGTTAGAGGAGAAAACACAGCAAAAACCTCTATCCAAAGACACCACCCTGTATAAATCATGTGGGTGGCAGGTCGCCCTGGAGTTGCTCCTCGCCTCCTGACCCATTGAGACCCAGTGGGACCCAGGGGCCACGCCTCTGTGGCAACTTGTCACTCTTCTGATGACCGTGAATGATGCTGGCCCTCCCAGAGTGGTCGTCACAGTGAGAAACCGTCTTGCCATGCCAGAGTGGGCAGGGGGGCCTTGCTGAGAGGCCTTCATGCAGACACACGTGTCTAATGAATAAATGCAGCCTTCCTGAGTCTCCTGGTTCAGGGGCCATCTAGCATTTCCCCTCCACCCCAGAAGGCATGTTCTCTTAAAGACCTGTAACTCTGACTTTGTTGGTGCCGATTGCAGATCCCTTTGGAACCTTAGATCCCTTCGGAAGTGGGTCCTTCAATAGTGCTGAAGGCTTTGCCGACTTCAGCCAGATGTCCAAGGTAAAGCCCCTCCACGGAGCCCCCGCGCCTCTGCTAGTGTCTTTGTGCCTCTTGTCATGGTGTGGGCTGCCAGGCGTAATTGTTCATGTCACGTATGTATCTCCCCGGCACCTTTCCAACACAAGGTCAGGTCTGGAAAGCATCCATGGCTGTGATCCAATGCACTGCAGTCCCGTGGGGTGAGCCCTGACCCTTCCCAGTGGCATAGGTGCCCTGGGCTCCCCTGGCTCCCACTGGTGTCTGACGACCATCAGGTCTCAGACGGTGAAGTCATTGCCATGGCCGAGTAGAAACTTGAGAAGGCGTTGGGCACAGGCGTCTCGAGAGGGCCATGGGCAGCAGGCCTGCAGGTGCGAGGCGTCCAGGGAAAGTGGGCCAGCGAGTGTTCAGAGTCGCCCATGTGACAGAACTCTCAAGGGGTGTTGAAAAGTGAGGGCCGGCCTCCTTGAATAAATGCAGACAGATCCACAGGTGAGGAGTGAACTGTTGAAGGAGGACAGCAGCGAGGCTGGTTACCAGACTGGACCCGTTGGTGTCCGGCCCTCACCACACGGTGACCTGAACTCACTGTGGCTCTGGTCCCAGACAGCTGTAGGGCTTCTCCAGACGCTGGCAGTGTGGTTGGAGCTCATCTTTAAGGTAGCATAGAGAATTCAACAGGGAACATCCAGAATGGACAAGTCAAAAAACAACAATAGAAGCCCCTTACGACTGAGGTGCCTTCCGGAAGAAACTGCTGGAAAGTTGGAAATGGGGGCTGTGGTGAGTGGGAAGGACAGGGCTGCGGCACCATTGTGCTTCCTTGTGAGTTGTATGTTTCCCTGTTTGAGTGAGGAGCATTTTTCTTTGGCAGGAATGAAGGAAAGCAGATGAGGTGTGTCCCGTCCCTGACACCTGCGTCCACTCTGTCCCTTCTCGGCAGCCCCCAGGCAGGGGCAGATGGGCTCTGTCTTCGGGGGGCTGCAGGGGCCTGCTTTCCTCACGAGTTCCACCTGCAGAGGCCCAGGCATTATCCACGCTGCGGGAAGAGGCAGTAGCCACAAGCAGAACACAGCCCCCCTCCTGGAGCCCATGGCCCAGGTGGTAAGGGGTGGCCGGTGTGGGGGGTCCCCTGGAGCAGCTGGGCCCAGTCCCTGTGAGCGCTGCTGTCAGCCTGAAGGTGGTGAGGGGAGGGAGCCCCGGGAGTACCTGGAAGACGCGTGCCCCAGGCATGAGGCCCCCTCGGGGCCCCACCGGCCCCATGCCCAGGTGCCCCAGGTGCCAGTGTGACTGGGCAGTCTCCCTTGGCTGCCCCGTGTTCACTCAGCTGGTGGAGCAGATGAGTCTCTGAGCATCTTGGGGTTGGCAGCGGTCGCAACTTGTGATCACAGAACACAGATTCCGAGAAGCACTTGAGATTCTGTTCAGGTTTTCAAAGACGCGTGTGTGCGTGCCCTGGCGGCGCAGCAGATCCCACTTCTGACCGAGGCAGGGTGTGTGTTTACACAGATGAGCCTGGGCAGAGGGAGCCCAGAGGCCCTGGCATGGCGCCCCCCTCCTTCCAGCACACGGAGAAGGCCTCCATCCCTCATATGCCACGCTGTGACACGGTTTGGGACTGGCAGAAGATTTAGGGCCCAGTGCACAGGCTCCTGGGCAGGCGGGAAACCATCTCCCGAAAGCAGAAAACGTTGGCCACACGGTGGCAGCAGTCCCTCAGGCGTCCTGGTCGTTTCTGGTTGTCGCAAGTGGACTCCTCTTCCTTTGGGAGGCTGGATCTGTCTTCCTCCTCTCACTGTGAGCAGAGGGAGGGAGAGCTAGCAGAGCCTGAGCTAGGGCCGGGATCTAATGACCGCCCTCTGCCTGTCCTTGGGCCCTGAAACCAGGGGCTCTTCACACACATGCAGCTGTGATTTCAGAGCCGGTCTCACTTCCTATTGGCGGTGCCGGGCCAGGACAGAGTTGGACAGAGCTGTGGAAAATGGGTCTCCAATACTATCTTGTTTTGATTCCAGCGTTCCATCAGCTGCCTTCATGACACTTGTACAGCCGCATTCTGAGCTCAACCCTGACCTTGCAGCTCTGTTTTTCCTTTTTGGTTACCTATCTGTTTTTCAAGAACAACATTGTGGATATAAATAAAATGCTAAGGGAAATGAAAGTGGCAAGAAGGTGTTTTTTTAAAAAACAAAAAAAAACCATCATCAACTTTTCCCCATCTGAGCAGAGCAGGGAGGCCCTTTTGTAAGTCCCTGAATTGAAGCACCTTACCTCTGCGTGGCTTTGCTGAGGAGAGTCACAGCCCACAGCCTGATTCTAGAAGTTTCCTTTGGGAGGCTCTTCGGGCCTGCACTCTTAGTTGAGGCCCCACCCTCACCTGAAGAGATTTTTCTAGACAGTATCAAGCCTATGTGACATAAGCTCACTTTAAAAACAGATTCCCCAAAGTATGTTTCCAGGGAGCATTTGAGAATAAAAACAAGAGTCCAACTTATTTCACCCTCTTCTGCCCTGAAAAAAAAAAAAAGCCATCTGTGAAATACTGGGTTAGTCGTCAGCCCATTTTTAGCAACTTCTCAATTGTTTAAAGCTGTGCATTGATATTTAGGGCTGCTGTTTACAAATTCAGTCTTCTGTTTTGAACCAGTTCTTCAACTGGTGAACTCAAACGTGTTTCTCTTAGAGCTGGTTTTCATAGTAGCTTTTTCTGTCTTCCTTTTATTTTAAGCACACTTCACTCTTGCCGAGCCCAGAGAGCCCCTGACAGCTTTACTGAAACCTTTCTAAAAATAGAGATTTTCCTTGAAGCCGCTGCCCGAGTAGGAAAGAGTTGAGTCCCCAAGGAGGCTTCTTGGGAAACTTGAAGTCATGAAAATTGGGATTCGGAAATGACGCGGGCATTCTGGAGCTAGGAGTGATCTGATTCACTGCGGAGGCAGTGCCAGGCGTTTATTGAAAGCCTGTCGCCTCGCGAGTTGCCAATTGGCCTCGTGGGTTTAAACACACATGGGAGGCGCCAAGCCGGCTTGGCCCGAGGTGTCCCCGGTCAGCCTGGAGGGTTAGGCGGCTCTGATTTGAGTGTGTCACCAGGTCTTACAACTTTGGACGTCCAGGCTGAGTGTGGTTTTATTGCCCGGGTCCTATTGCGCGACACAGAGGGTAGAAAGGCTCACTGCAGCCACTGGAACCGAGGCCCCACTCCGAGTCTGGAGATGTGGCCCAGAAGCCAGCACATGCCCAGGGAGGACAAGGCCCAGCCGGTCACACCACTTCCCATCTAGACCTGCTTGGCTCCCCATCCCAGGCCGCGGGGGACTCGCACGGGCCCTAGGCCCAGGGACATGTTCCATGAATCGCAGAAGCACCCACAGACGGGCCAGTGTTTTTCCCCCATTCTTTCCCAAACAGCCGACCCTAAACGGCCCATTTTAAAGCTAAGCTGCAGGCCGACACTGCCCCTCATGTCTCGGACAGGCCTGGGGACAACTGGGGCAGCAGATGGGGGCACTCCCAGATTCCAATCGCAGCTTCGTACTTGGTGTGATCATTGTCGTGTGGTCCATGTGCCAACTTTATCTAGTGCCAGTGAGTGGACTGATGCCTGTCACATGGCACCTCATTTCCTTCTTGCCGGAGCCTTCCGAGCTCTGTCACTCTTGCCATTTTACAGATGAAGAAACCAAGGCACAGGGTGTTGAGTAGGTGGCAGGGTTGGGGTTCCAGCCTGGGCAGGACAGTCTGCCCAGGACGAGGCCCTGGACCCACCACTGGGGTGGCCCTCGGCAGCTGAGGGCAGCGTCTGGTGGCCCCAGCCTGGGAGGCAGACGATGTGGCAGCCCTGGATCCGCCGTGGACCTGCTGTGTGATGTGGGCAGGCTGCGCCTCCTTTGTGTGCCTCAGTTTCCTTGTGTGTAAGGCAGAGGTGCTGACAGTGGGACCCCCTGCCAGGTCACTGGGCCTATTATTAGGTGAGAAGATCAGCACAGAGCGAGTGTCTCCTGCCTGGGCAGCTTCAGAGGGCGGCGTGAAGCCCAGGGAAGGGATCTGGTGGGGTCATCTGTGCAGGAGCCTTTGGGGCCCCTTCCCCTCCCTGGGGGCACCTGCCACTGCCCTTATCGGGGGGACCTGGAATGGGTAGGCTGCCTCTTAGAGGGGCCACCTCCCTGTTCTGTCTCTGATGTGGCTCTGACTGGGCCGAGCAACCTCGACTCTAGGACTACACAAGGTCCGAGGCAGCCATATCTCTGTGACGGGACGCAAATAGCCCAGATCGATGCATCTCTGTAACTAGATGCTAGAGGCCTAGATGACTGCATCTCTATAACTAGCTGCCAGAGACACAGGTGGCCACGTCTCTGACTAGACTCCAGAGGCCTAAACGGCCATGTCTGTGCAACTAAATTGTAGAGACCTAGAGAGTCGCATCTGTGTGACTAGATGCCAGAGCCTCAGACGACCGCATCGGTGTGACTGGAAGCTAGAGCCTCAAATAGCTGTGTCAGTGTGACTGGATGTGTCAGTGTGACTGTGTCAGTGTGACTAGAGCCTTAGATGGCTGCGTCTGTGTGACTAGACCCTGGAGCCTTAGATGGCCACGTCGGTGTGACTGGACGCTAGAGCCTTAGATGGCTGCGTGTGTGTGAGTAGACCCTGGAACCTTAGAGGGCCATGTCTGTGTGACTAGACACTAGAGCCTTAGACGGCTGCATTGGTATGAGTAAACGCTAGAAGCCTAGACGGCTGCATCTGCATGACTGGACACTAAAATCTTAGACGGCTGTGTCTGTGTGACTAGACGCTAGAGCCTTAAATGACCACGTCTGTGTGATTAGACGCCAGAGCCTTAGGTGGCCGTGTCTGTGTGGCTAGATGCTGGAGCCTTAGATGGCTGCATTGCTGTAACTAGACACTGGAGCCTTAGATGGCCGCTTTGGTGTGACTAGATGCTGGAGCCTTACACGGCCACGTCTGTGTGACTAGATGCTGGAGCCTTAGATGGCTGCGTCTGTGCGACTAGATGCCGGAGCCTTAGACGGCCGCATCTGTGTAACCAGATGCCAGAGCCTTTGGCAGCCGCATCTGTGTGACTAGACACTGGAGCTTTAGCTGGCTGCATCAGTGTGACTAGATGCTGGAGCTTTAGACAGCTGCATTGGTGTGACTGGAAGCTAGAGCCTCAGACAGCCGCGTCTATGTGACTAGACACTGGAGTCTTAGATGGCCGTGTCTGTGTGACTAGGTGCTGGAGCCTTAGATGGCTGCATTGGTGTGGCTAGTCTACAGTCTTAGACAGCCACTTTTGTGTGACTAGATGCTGGAGCCTCAGATGGCCACATCTGTGTGACTAGATACTGGAGCCTTAGACCTCTGCACTGGTGTGACTGGACACTGTAGCCTTAGACGGCCACGTCTGTGTGACTAGACGCTGGAGCCTTAGATGGTTGCATTGGTGTGACTAAACGCTGGAGCCTTAGATGGCCTTGTCTGTGTGACTAGACACTGAAGGCCTAGATGGCCGTGTCAGTGTGACTAGACGCTGGAGCCTTAGTCAGCTGCATCGGTGTGACTAGATGCTGGAGGCAGAGGCAGCCATACCTCTAAGACTGTCTGCTGGACGTGGTGGTAGACCTTTTCCCCCACATCTGCAATCTGTTGCATTCAGATTCTCGAGGGAAACCCTGGGAGTGTGCCTTTGTACTCTTGACCTGTTCTCTGTCTCTAGGCCTTCCCTGCTGGGGAGAAAGTTAAAGACCCCCGGCCCCTCCCTCCACCTCTGCCCCACTCTGATCTTTCTCTTCTATGCTCTTGGAGGAACACATGATCTTTTTTAATTTTTTTTATTTTTTGAGATGGAGTCTCGCTCTGTTGCCCAGGAGTGCTGCTGTGGCGGGATCTCAGCTCACTGCAAGCTCCGCCTCCCAGGTTCACGCCATTCTCCTGCCTCAGCCTCCCGAGTAGTTGGGACTACAGGCGCCCGCCACCACGACCGGCTAATTTTTTGTATTTTTAGTAGAGATGGGGTTTTTCACCGTATTAGCTGGGCTGGTCTTGATCTCCTAACCTCGTGATCTGCCCGCCTCGGCCTCCCAAAGTGCTGGGATTACAGGCGTGAGCCAGTGCGCCCGGCCAGGAACACATGATCATTTTTACCCCTATTTCTGCCCATTCCTTTTGTTTCCTGTCGCAGTGTTATCTCTTTGTCCTATAATTTCCTAGTTATTTTGCATTTTTGTAACAATGTGTTTCCTCTGTTAGTAAAAATGTAGTTATTTTCTATTTTATTACAGACTTAATTATTTTCTGTTTTAGTAAGAGTGGTTACTCATCCTTCTTCTGCCCATAGAAAGTGATTTTCTCCCTCCTGGGACACCCCAGCCCCTTCCCTCAGACGCCTGAGATATGCTGGCCCTTCTGTGGCTGATGGAGACCCTGGCTCCCCTGTGCCTCACCGGCGCTCCAAGTGAGGGACAAGCATCCCCCCAGGTGGCGGCGCTTAGTATCTGCTCATCACAGGCCTGGAGGCAGCAGGTGCCGGGGAGAGGACTGTGCTTGCCCTCCAGGTGGGAGAGGCCTGGAAGCGTGTCTCTGTGGCTCAGTGAGCAGTGCAGGCGTGGGTGGCAGGAAGCAGCCCCAGGGAGAGCCCTGGGAGAGCTCTGGGGGACGGCAGTGGGGTCCAGCCAGGCTCTGAGCAAGGAGAGGGGTTCCTGGTGGACGAGGTGGGCCGAGTTCCCCAGCAGGAGACCTGAGTGTTGCAGGACTTGGAAACAGGAGGCTGAGTCAGCGGCTGGGGGGTCAGTGGGTTCTGGGGACTAAGGAGGCATTGTGAGGGGAGGGGTGACTTCAGAGGTGAGCCTGAAAAATCAGGCAGCTGGGGCAGCGATGAAGTCCCTGCATGCCTTAATGAGAGCTTGGAGCTTCCCTATAGGAAGTGCCTACCTACCTACCTACCTGCAAGACGTCGCCACATATCTGCCTCCCTGTCTACCACCCACCCGCCTCCCTGTCTCTACCTGCCCATCCATCCATCCATCCACCCACCCGCCATTCATTCGTCCATTAATCCACATATATGTCTATCCATTCATCCAACTACCATTCCATCCATCTGCCCACCCACCATCCATTCATCTATCCAATTGTTATAACTATCTCTGACTGTCTCTCTCTTTAAGCTGGAGGATATGGTCCGATTTGGGTTTGAGACAGCAGGTGTGGGGTGGAGGATGTGGATGGGTGTGATGGAGGCTGACCGAGGGTCCGGGCCAGAGGTGGTCAGAGCCCAGTGGAGGTGGCGTGGGCATGCTGACCAGTGCGGGTGGCCGGGCATGTGAGGATGCACTTCCACCTGAGGTGCTGCATGTGCAGCCCAGAGGCATGGAGGAAGAAAGTCTGGTGCCAGCTGACCCAGCACCTGGAGCTGTCCATCACTAACTGAAGGCAGTGACCACACCGGCCAGCTCAGTGGGGAGGCGGCACACCAGGGCATGTGCCAAGCACCACAGCCAGCATACAGGTGAGGGTGGGGCGTGTCTCTGAAGTGTAAGCAGGAGGCCCAAGGGACCCTATGTGCCAAGTCCTGGAGTCAGGAAAGACCCAGTGTGCCTCGTGTGACTGGGGATGCCCTTGGTGCTAGAAGCCCGTGGAGGTATGGGACTGCTCTCTGCCACCCTATGTTGGGCAGCTCATCACCCACAGGCCAGAGGGCCCCTGCTGTTGAGGGTGGAGGAAAGCATGGGGCTTGAAAGAGACCCCACGTCCAAGCAGGGCCATGTTGTGCAGTCCAGAGGGTAGGAGGCCTTGCCAGGGCCCTTGGAGCATGAGCGTCTGTTCAGTGGACATCCGTCACCTTTGTTTTAACAACTATTTTTGCCTCTCTTTCATGTCCTCTCTTACAGCCCCCACCTTCTGGCCCTTTCACCTCCTCCTTGGGAGGGGCAGGATTCTCAGATGACCCCTTTAAAAGTAAACAGGACACTCCTGCTCTGCCTCCGAAGAAACCTGCTCCTCCACGGCCTAAACCGCCCAGCGGTCAGTAAGCTTTCTTCTCTCGCAGCCACCGCCTACCGGTGCCGGATGGCGGGGGACCAGGGCCTCCCTGCTCACCAGCCCAGAGTAGCAGCAGATGCCGTGGGACCCTGTGTGGGGAGCAAGAGGGTCCCCCCGGCCCAGCTGCCCAGGTCCACGCAAGTGCCGTATGTGCGTGGTGTGTGCCTCCTGCCTGCCCGCCCTCGCCCCGTCCTGTGGGCCCCTGGGCTTCTGGCTCTGTATTGGAGTGCACAAAGCCTTGGCCTTAGAGCTCCCCTTGTGGCTGGGGGCGCTTCGTGCGGCCTCCGCCTGAGCATGTCAGTGCCACCCCGACGCCCTGGCTATACTTCAGGAGCCACTCATGGCCGGCAGCCCTGTGGCCACTCTGGCCCCTTCTCTTCCGTCCTTCTCCCTGTCCGTGCTCAGGGAGGGCCTGTTGGGGGTGAGGGTGGCAGGAGTCGCTGCTTGGTCCAGTCCCTTCCCAGCTGCTTCAGGACTGAGAGTGGAGGGAGCGGGAGATTGTCCTTGGTGGCATCTGATGTGAGGAGGCAGGATGGCTCGGGGCTCCCCTCTGCCCCAGCTTGCCCAGGCATCTCAACGCACAGCTCTGAGGAGGGGACTTCCTACAGGCCCTGCCCCTCTTCCCCATGGCCAGTGCTGCCAATGTCTCCTAGCCTTGGCCCTCGAGGGTCCCCTGAGGATTCTGAAGCCCTTTAACTCACACGTGGGATTTCTCTCGTATGACAGAGTTAGGCCGGCGGCCAGTTGGCCAGACTCTCAAACAGAAAGCTATTGCTTCAAGTGGCAGAAGGAGTCACTGCAGCTCCCTGATCCATTTATCTACCCGGTCATTGCCTGTTCCATCTGTGCCCCGGTCTGGGACGCCTCCTATTCTCTAACCTCCAGGCAGACTGTTCCCCACACTGTCCCTGAATTGTGGGCAGCCACAGGAGACCCACGCACTCCCAGGATCATGCCTTCTGTTACCTGTCTTCCCTAGATAGGGCATGCCCCCGAGCCCTTTCCATCAGCTCCAGCGAGGGAAGTGGTGCTCACCCTCCTGCCTACACGTGCCCCTCCCCTGGAATCTGCCACTGGCCTCACTTTGCAGCCCCTGTGTCATCGCAGGTCCTGGAATGGACCTAGCAGGCTCCGCATGCCCCCAGCTCACTAGTTACGAGTGACCCTCGGTCCTGCACCTCGGCCACCTGTCAGTAGAGGTGAACATAGGGGAAGTTATTTTTAGAACACCGCCTCTCTCCTCCT
The DNA here is from genome assembly GCF_000001405.40 of Homo sapiens. Lineage (NCBI taxonomy): Eukaryota > Metazoa > Chordata > Mammalia > Primates > Hominidae > Homo > Homo sapiens. The sequence continues at coordinate 16,375,858 of NC_000019.10, read as the reverse complement.
GTCCCCTGGGCTGGCCATGGCCTTCTCTCAGGAGGATGGGGACCCAGCCCGCAGTGCCCAGGTTGGCTTTCTTGTGGATGAGTCAGGAGAAAAAGTATGACCAAGTATGGGCTGTGTGGATTTAGAGCAGATTTTCTGTGAACTGTTGAGCAGATACAGATGCGTAAAGAGATCATTTCTGTAAGCCACACATCAAAGACATTTACCATCAGGAGGAAAAACAAAACAACAAAGGGACTCCCTTCCATCTGCAAGAGGCCACCTGTGCCTTACACAGAGGCAGTGGCTCTTCAGGGATCCTTGTTGGCTTCCTGATGGAACGGCAGTGGGCCTCTTCACTCTGCCTAAAAGATGGGAGCAGAAGCACACACACACACACACACACACACACATATATGCATAATCACAATGCATGCACACAGCTGGCACACATGCATGTGCACATTCCCACGTGCGGCCATGTATTTTTATGCATGTATGTGCACGTACACGTGTATGCTCTTGCATGCACATGTGTACCCTGTGTACACACATCCTCCACGCCTGCAGACACATGCATGCATGCACCTGTTTGCACATGAACACACATGCATACAGGTGAGCATGCATTCACATACATACTGCATCACATGAGTATTCTCGCATGTGCCTGCATGTACGCATATGCAGGCACACACGCACTCTCCCATGCACCCCTCCGTGCACACTCTCCATGCTTATATGCATCTGTGGACATGTGTGCATATTCTCTTGTCAGTACACACATGCATGCATAGAGATGAGCAGCATGCACTCACATACTGCATTGTGCATGCCTGCACACACACATGCTCTCATAGATAACAGCTGGGCATGCACACCCTCCATGCTTATATATGTGCATGCATTCATTGAGACATGCACATATTCACATGTGAACATATACATGAATACAGGTGAGCATTACACAGATATTGCATAATGCATGCATGCAAACGTGCACACACATATGCGTGCGTGTGTGCTCATACACACCCGGGCATGCACACTCTGTGCTTACATACGTGTACACACATTTACACACATGTGCACGTATTCTCATATGGGTGCACACACTTGCCGAGCAGTGCCGTATTTGCTGGGCCCTGAGGAGGAGCCATCCCACTCAACAGCTCACAGGTGCAAAGCTTCATTTTCAGTGTTTCATGGAAACCGCCACCCCCGCCTCCCCACGTACCTAAACCCGGCGCTGGGTCTGCTTTTGAACTTTCCCTCAGTTATCACCTCCCATCGTGTCTCCCTCTGCAAGCCTACCCACCCCACCTTGGCTTCTGCTGTTAGTGTACTGTGGGCTTCGAAAGCAGAAAAGAATGCTTGTTAAAAGTAGAACGTTTGATAACGGGAGTTTGGGTGACTTCCTTGGGCCTGGCTTCAGGGTTCAGGCTTTTTAGGGAGCTGTTGCACAATTTGAGACCCAGGGGGTCCTGGGCTCCTTTACTCGTGGCACAGGCCACTGCATCTTTGTTCTGCTGTGGTTGATGGTTGCTGTGCCACTCGGTGCTCTGCAGAAATATATTAACATTGATGGGCCCTTAGGAAGTGCTTGAACAGTTCTTATCTCACTAGGTCCCAGCAAGACCCGTGAGGGAGACAGGCCAGGCCATGCCCATTTCCTGGAAGAGGAAAGGCGGGGAGGGAGGTCATGGGGGCTCCCCAAGGTCACACAGCAAGGTGGCAGCAGGGCCAGGTCTACACCCAGTGACCTGCCTCCTGCCCCAAGACAGGAGTAACGAGAACCAAGCCATGAGCTTCAGAACATTCTCTAAAACAGCCAATGCACGCGCAGCATTTTAAGTCCGGAGCAACTGCAGATCTGTGTGGAGGCCTAAATATTTCTCATTTGATTCTTTTACCCAGAAGCAATGGCTGAACAGAAAAATTCTGCATTGTACTCGCTGCTGGGTGGTAGGTACAGACCGTGTGGTGGTTGCCGTTTGAGCTTGCAGCATTATTTGTGCTGTGATTCCGTACTAACCTCTAACAGTCCAAACACTGAGTTGACCCAGTGGTTGACCTTTGGTGAGTCACATGTTGGGGAGAAGTGTTTGGCTCTTTGGGGAATTGCAAAGGAAGATGCTTGCCCTACCCTTGCTCTCTGGTCAAGGGAATCAGAGCCGGGCTCTGTACAATTCCCTTCCCGGTTCCTGGCCACACGGCACAGACCCACGTGCAGCCCAGGAGGCCTCTGGTTATGGGCAAGAGCGGTCAGCAGATGAGTGTCGGGTGAAGTCGTGCTCAGAAAGTTCGCCAGGAAGACACAAGGCAGATCTCTTGTTTTCTTGGCTTCTTTAAGACAGAAGATAGTGAAGCTAATCTGTGAATTTTTTTTTTTTTTTTTAAGCATAAAGTCCAACGTTTTCAAACTGCTGGACTTTATGTTTTCTTAAAACAAACAAACAAACCAAAAAAAGCCTTTCTGCCTTTCTTGCTACCCCAGGCTTTTTCTGCTCAGGGAGACCACACGGCCAGCACACAGTGACGGCCGCCTTCCCCTGGCCACCCCAGGGCTTCCCAGATGCTGGGGCTTTGCGCGAGATGCGTGGGTCCCAGCGTGGCTGAGTGAGGAGGAAGGTGAAATGCGACCCCCTGTGAGCCTGGCGGTCGAGCCTTGAGCTGGTGGAGATAGACAGACTGACAAAAAGTCTGAAGGACCCATAGGCTGTCCAGTGGGCAGTCTTAAACATGCACACAGCGTTGACACCTGCACTCATGGAAATCACAATGAAGGAACAAGCTTTTCTGTCATCTCTCCGCCTGGCACATGGAACATGTCTGATGTCCCATGCTCCCATCCAGGGTTTGTCCATCCCAGGGCACCCAGAGGTTTCTAGAACCCTGCTAGGCCTCTGTGCCAGGAAATGGCTGATGTGTGAGGCCAGGACAGGAGAACTGAGGCCGCTTCCTTCTGTCCTCTGGGCAGCCAATTCTGCTAGAATCCAGGGGACTGCTTGATCAGGCTGGTTTCTGGACATTGGAGGAAAGGGAGGCCCCGGGTGGGTCACTTAACCTCCCTGAGCCTCAGTTTTCCTGCCTGACCATGGGACCCACTCAGGCCTAGCAGGTGGGTGTGTGGGTGAAGCGCCTTGCACGGTGACGTGCTGTATGTGGTCTGTAGCCCCCATCCCCACCCTGCGGCACAGGGACCGGGACGCAGGCTTCTGCCATATGGGCACCTTTTCCAGGAAAGACAGGCTGGGCAGCTGAGGTGGCTGCACACATTCTGGGAGTCATTAATTGGGCCCTTTTCTCCCTGTGAGGTCACAGTTTAGTGGAAATCTTTTCCGTTAAAAAAAGCGTGCAGGGAGTTGAACTTCAAAGAGGGCTCCAGCGTCCTCTGTGGGTCATCGCTCATACAGGACCAAATGTGAGTTTGGGTCTGAGTCACGTGTGGCTTTGGTGCCATCTCTTGTGTTCTAGAGGCTGCAGTTTTCAAATTCCGTGGGAGCTGCTTGTCTTATTTTGTTTAAAGGTCAATTGAGGTGAAATTGACATTTGGTGTGGCTGGCATGCAGTGTGGGTGCACGGGCAGACAGGTGTTGACCTGGACAGTCACAGGTGGACCCCTCCACCTGGGAACCTGCAGAGGTTCCTCGAGGGAGAGTTCCGGTCACAGCGTACAGCTGAGTAGCCCACAGTTGGCCATCTGCCCTCAAGGCCACATACTCAGTTCTGTCTCCATCTAAGCCAGAAAGTGCACTCTGGGGACCACCAAGGGCCATCTCCTGGGGCATGCATGGAGCTTTGGTGTGGGCACTAAGTTCTTCTTGCCTGGAGGTCTTTTCAAGAAAGGTGTATCAAGGTATTAAATAACCAGCAGGTGTCTGTTTTGGGCAGAAGAAACTGGTTTCTTTCAGGCAGATGCAGCACAGACCCGGCAGGCTGCCGAAACCTGTCAGTTAGAGTTAGGTTAAAGTTAGCCGTGGCACACACCTCCCCCAGGTAAACAATGGTATATTTTCTGCAACGGACCGGAGATCAAGATCAGTCAGAGCTCACCGCTGAAGAGTTTCTAGGTAAAAGTTGTTGATTTGCAAAGAGAGAAACAGATTTTTTTTTTAAGTGCAGGAAACGGCTGTGTGGGTGTCAGTGATTGGGCCTCAGCCCTGCTGCGATAGTGGGATCCTGCGACCGGCCCCACCCTTGCCACTTCCTGCCAGCGCGGCCCTGCGTTGCGGTTCCTGCCTGCAGCGCCCGGTGACACCAGCCAGCGCAGTTCTACCGCTAACCAGCCAGTCACCTTTAACCTCTCCCCAATTTAATGATTATTTTATTACTGCTAATGACCTTTTCACCTCCTAAACAAAGCCGCATAGGTGATGGTGATGAGCATGTCTTTTCGCCCCCTCCCCACAGTTGCACTAACGAACAGCTTTTACCTAAGTTTAACCAGCGGCTGTCCTGTTTGATTTGAGCAGCTCTCTCAACAAAAGAAGAAGACAAAAGTCATTCTTCCCCTTGCAAACAAGCCCCTCCCGTACCTGTGTGTGGCATCCACCCAGGGTGGCCGTGAGTTCTTGACCTCCCTGCCGGGGGTGCCACACAGGATGCAGCCACCGAGGAAGCCCTGAGGTCCTAAGTGCTGCCAGCTCTCCCACTTCTCTGAAATGCCAGGCCAACATCGAAACCAGGGCTCAGTGACCTCTCCCCATCATGTGCCCATGTGGGTCCCAAAACCTTTTGTTGATTGCACAAGATCCACTTTAAAAATGGCATCTCCATTTGAACCCTGCGGTTAGCACCTCAGCCTTGAACTTAACTACTTCAATTTCGTTCCCACGATGATCTCAGAGAGATAATCCGGTGGGTACATGTGAAATTCTACAATGGGACAAGTGGTTCCACCATCTCAAGGGGCCTGGAAAATTCTGGCACTTGCCTGCCAGCCAGGATGGGGAGGGGGTCCCAAGGAGCCTAAAACGGCCAACCAGGTGGAGTCCCTCTTTCCTGCCCACGCCCCCCATCCCCCAGCACTGCTGTGTTCAAGGAAGCTTCAGAGCTTCCGTCTGAGCCCTCTGGAAGGTCTGTCTTAGGGCTGGGTGGGACCTGCTGACGGTGCCAAGGAACGGTCCCACTCTGAGAGGGAGGAATGTCAGCCTTGTATGTTTAAACTGACTGCAGGCAGATTGCCGTTTGGAGCACTTTCTGTTCTGTAAAGACCACTGAGTTTGAAAATAGAAGCATTTGCCTTCCTGGGCACACTGTACCCAGAGGCGGATCCAGGGAGTGTCGTGTGACTCGATTATCATCTGGTGTTCAGTGGGGTGCAAATGCTGAGGCCTGGGGGGCTGCAGGGTGGGGTGCAGGCCTAGAGTGGCTGGGCTCCCACCCCAGCATCTGAGTATAGGTGTGAACAGACGGGAGCCATCGCCCTGGGGACATCGGGTGTACCTGCCTCCAGGACACCTCAACCCCTTGCTTGGCACCTGAGGGAGGTGAGGGCTGGGGCAGACGCCTCAGAAGGGGGCTCTGGGTGCAGCTCTGGGCACCGCCTCCCTGCTTTTCTGGCGGGGTGAACATGGCCCCTCATCTTTCATCTCTCCTATTCAAAGCCCTGAGTCAGCGCGCCCCTTGCCTGCCACTGCTAACTGCAAAATATCACATGCACTCGGGCAATGGGGAATCTGGCCATAAAGAGAGCAAAAGTGTCCCCCACCATGGGAGCTCCTGGTGGGCTCTGCGCCTCACTTGCTCCCCTCCCAGGGGCTCTTTTGGGTCCTTTCATGCACGACCCCTAACCAGCTTTCAGACTCGCTGCACGGCGTTCTCAGGGATCTTGTTACATGTGGGCAAGGCGCCTTCCTACCCTTTGCAGAGGTGGCGTCTGCGACATTGGCACACTCCGTAGGGAGGAACAAAGCTGGGCCCCCTTGCCCTGTCAGGGCTCCCCGTGCCTGGCTCATGCATAGATAGCATCTCTCCCTGGAAATCCCCCCAGAGGATGGGGCTGACACCCAGGGGTGTTCACGCAGGGTATGTCAAAGGTGCCCGCCAGAGAACAAATGCGAATTTTCAAAGAAGCCAGAATTGTGACACCTGCCAGTCTGTATTATTTTTGTCATGAAGACTGGCTTGTGATTTGTAAATTCATTTCCAAATCACATACCCCACCCTACACACACACACACACACACACACACACACACTTTTTTTTCTTCCAGGGCTGGTGCAGCCCTTGCCTGGCAGGTTTTATGTAAATGTCATGGGAGCCTTTTGTGGTGACCTCTAGAAAATTGTTATTTCTCACTTCAAATGATATTTGCCTTTTGAGGACCCCAAGGCACAGCACCTTTTCCCCACTTTCTTCTTTTAATGGCAAGATGAGGCCACAGCCATTGGGTTCAACAGCCCCCTGCCCACCTCACACACCTCACAGGGCAGGAAAACACAGCGGCCAGCAGTGGCTCGTAGTAAATATTTGTTCAGCTTTTCTCAACAGTTCAGAACCAAACCTCATCCTGTTCCCTTCAATGCATGAAGCAGATTTTCTCAAAATTCGGTAAATATTTTTAGTGGAAAATCTCAACGCTGCGATCGCAGGGACCTCAGATTCTTATCTCCCGGGGCTGTGCTGCTTGACACAGCTTTGATCTAAGGCAGAGTGCGCGCGGGGCTGGTGCCTGCAGGACTCCCAGCCTGCAGGTCCCTTACGTGGTCCCGTGTGTCACATTGTAAAAAACAAACTCCCCTCATGTGTCTTAGATGGGAGCCAGAGGAAGACGTTGACGTGTGTTGGGGAAAAGCACTCTTTCAAGACAAGTCCCCGAGCAGTGATGAATTTTAGAACCTATACTGTTTTCTTTCTCCCCTCTCCCCGCAGCTAAGCTTTTTTTCTGGCAGGATGGGGAGGGTGGAATAAGACATGTCAGTGGCCTTGGATGAGCTCTGCTGGAGTGGTGCCCCGCCCGGGCCACTGCTCTCCTAGGCAGCGTGACTCTCAGAAACCTGGCAGTTGTATGGGCATCTGTGTTGTGTAGGATGAATGACAGTTGTGGTTGTGTGGGATCACCTGTTGTGTAGGGTGAATGACAGTTGCATAGGTGTCTGTGTTGTGTAGGGTGAATGATGGTTTTGTGGGATCACCTGTTGTGTAGGGTGAATGACAGTTAGGTGGGTGTCTGTGTTATGTAGGGTGAATGATGGTTTTGTGAGATCGCCTGTTGTGTAGGGTGAATGACAGGTGGGTGCCTGTGTTGTGTAGGGTGAATGATGGTTGTGTGGGCACCACCTGTTGTGTGGAATGAATAACAGTTGTGTGGGTGTGCATGTTGTGCAGGATGAACGAGAGATGTGTGGGATCACCTGTTGTGTAGGGTGAATGACAGTTGTGTGGGTGTCTGTGTTCTGCAGGATGAATGACAATTGTGTGGGCATCCTCTGTTGTGTAGGATGAATGGGAGTTGTGTGAGTGTCCATATTGTGCAGGATGAATGACAGTTGTGTAGCCATCTCCTGTTGTGTAGGATCAATGATGCTTGTGCATGTGTGTCCCCTGTTGTGTAGGATCAATGATGGTTGTATGTGTGCGTCCACTGTTGTGTAGGATCAGTGATGCTTGTGTGTGTGTGTCCCATTGTGTAGGATCAATGATGGTTGTGTATGTGTGTCCACAGTTGTGTAGGATGAGTGAGAGTTGTGTGATCGTTCTGTGTTGTATAGGATAATAGCGAAGGTGGGCAGCTTCCCTGACCACAAACCCTTGTTTTGTATTTTTTTGTTTTCTTTTTGTTTTTGTATGTATCTCTCATCTGCAGAACTGCATTTTCCAAGTACAGCACTGAACTGAACTGTATAAACAGAACCTAGCCAGGATCAAACACACACACACACACACACACTCTCTCTCTCTCTCACTCTCATGTTTATTACTAATATTTTTATTAATCGGATTGATTGAGACCATACCTCACCTGAACCTTTTATGCTCCTCCTAAGCAAAAAATTTAAACCAAGAGAGTTTCCTTTCCAAGGTTTTTATAGCATTCACCGTTTTTATGGTTTGCAATTGTATATTTCTATTCAATTTTTTGTTTGTTTGTTGTTTTTTGGGTTTTTTTTTTTTTTTTTTTGCTTTGCACCCAGCTCTTGAGGATGCTTTTAAGCGGAGGGCTTCCTGCAAAGCAAGATAGAAAAGTCAGAACCTTGAAAAACTTTGCTGACCAAGAACGCTAGTGCAGCAGAGCCAGCCCCATCACAGCCCCGATCCCGGGTGCTAGGGGCGTGCGCAGCCTCGAGAAGAAGCTTGAGAAATAGGAGAATTAAAGAAATTTCTATCAGGGTGGAGCCGGCCACCAAGTTTTTTTTTTTTTTTTTTTTTTTTTTTTTAACAGCACATACTGTGGTAAACCATTTGGTTCATATTGTTTTTGCTAAAGTCAGTCCTGTGTGTGGTTTCGGTACACCGCTTGGGTAACTGTTGAAACTGCTGTGGTTTGAAAATAAGTTCTATTTTGTGTTTTCTTCAGTCTTGTATCCCTTGCCCCCTGTTAATGAAGTCTCCCTGCGGTAGGCAGTCAGCACACCCAAGAGGGTCTTTAATTTCATTTGTCTTTATTCACTGCCGTCTGCTGTGGTCCCCGGTAGTTCCCGCTGCAAATATCTAGGATTGATGGCATCGAACCAGGTGCCAGGATGATGCCTGGCACCTGGTTTGATGCCATCATTCCCAGATGTTTCTATACCCACTTTTTTGGGTTTTGTTTTCATGATTTCCATCCCCTTTTCTGAAATGCGCGTCAGTAAAGCTCTCTCCTTACTCATGTTTTCTGGAGCCATAAAAAAGTATAAAACCCTGGCGTGGGTGCGCGTGGCAGCTTTTGCTTCAGGGCCTGGAGGCAGATTAAAGTTACTTTGTCACGTTTGAGATAAGCTATACCTCACAAAATCGGAAAAAACGATTAAGGAGTTAGCAGAAGTGGTTACATAAAAGCAGGAACTAGACCTAGAAGGTTTGAAAAATACAGCCGCTAAAAATAAATCGCTGAGCAAAAGTGGGAAGTTTGGGCTGAGGGCCGTGGCCCTACAGTGATGCCGGGGGCTTTCTTTGCTCAAAGCGTCTGGTCATTAGCAAGGTCGAGAGCTGGACCGGGCACTCGGCTGACCTCACACGTGTCAGGTCCAAAATCTCCTCTCTTACCAAAGCACAAACACTAACAACTGAGAAAAAAACCGTTGTTGTTGTTGATGTTCCTTCTGAAAACAAGAGGCCAGCAGTTGATGTGCCCTGGTTTCATATTACCATAGTCATGATTTCTAAATAACAACGGTTTCGGCAACAGAGCAAAACCAGGCACAGGCAGTTCTTGGTGTGAACGAAGCTTTTCATCTCTCTGAACATCTCTTTGCGCATCAGAAACCTCAGCTTGAAATGGTAGCAGGCAGAATTCTTAACCGCTCCTCCCAAAAACCAATTTCTTTTTTTTAAACCCCCCAAACCAAGGGAGGAAGATCTTCATTGAAAAGAAGAAGAAAAGCAGCTCAAAAATGACTGATTTATTTGAACCTTCTGTACCGTGGCAGTCGCTCTTGGGGGCCTGGCTGGGGCGTCCTCCCTTTACACCTCCCTCCACATTCTTGCAAATCTGCCTCAGGTGATCACTCCCTGCAGGAACGGCTTCGAGAAATCAAGCAGTGTCCACCCTGGACTTGCTGCCCGTCCCAGGGGGCTACACCGTGTCCTGGGACTTTGAGCTTCTCCCCTGGAAACACTTAACTGTTTCCTCTGCTAGAATCTTGCTATTTGATCCATATCACATAGGTATTCGAGGAAAAATCAAATACCCAAGCATGCACAGTAACATTGCTGTTTCCTGCAAACCAGGAAGGGCAGATGCCTTTATTCCCTTCTCGCTCCCCAGGGTGTTGCTCCAAAGGGCCCCAGGTCCCTGGAGACCCGTGGAATCTGTAACAGGTGGCACCTGGTTCACCAGGACCTCCTGAAGCCCACTGTGTGCCGAGCCCTGGGCTGGAGGGCACCAGGGACATGGGGCAGTATTGGCTGGCATTTGTGGTATGCTGGGCCCGCTTTTCACAGAGCTGACCCTCAGCCGTGCCAGAGGCCAGTGCCACGGGAAGCAGAGTGGTGAGGGACCCTGGGGGAGGGGGGGCTTTCCCGTGGAGGGAGAAGCTGGGCAGAAGCAGGCAGGGGCTCGAGGGACTGGCTGAGGTCACTGTCCCTATCCCCTGCAAACCCACAGGCTGGGGTGCAGGACACTGTCACACTGTCCCCCAGGGTGCCCCTGCCGGTGGCTTTGGTGGCTCCCTGCTCACACTTGCTCTATCTCAGCCTAAACAGCAGACATGGATTGTCCCGCAGTTCTAGAGGCTCAAAGTCCAAGATCAAGGCGCCAGTGGGGTTGGTTTCTTCTGAGACCTCTCCTTGGCCTGGTGCATCTTCACATTGCTGTTCTGTGTGTAGATCTGTGTCCTAAGTTCTTTCAGTGAAGACAGTCATTGATCCTTTGACTTCGTTTTAACTCAGTTACCCCTTTAAATATGCTATCTTCAAGTATGGTTATATTCTAAGGCACAGGGGTTAGGACTTGAACGTATGAACAATTGTTGGGGGGACACAGCCCTTTGTTTGGATTAAGAAACAGGCTGAGGGGGGTGGCCGCCATGCCCCACACCGTCTTCCAGGGCCACTCCCAGCCCCAGGGCTTGGCTGCAGAGCTGAACACAGGCATGATGGGGAAGGGGCTGCCATTTCTTCCCTGAGAAGGCCACTGCCTGTGATGGCATTCCAGTTGGGAGTGCCTTCCAGGCAGAGGGACAAGGCATAGCCAGGAAAGAAGCCCTGGGTTTGGGGGTTCCTGGGGAAGGAGGTGCCACCTGGACAAGACTGGGGTGTCATCCCCAAGCGGGAGAAGCCCTCAAGCAGTCTGGGCAGGGTGCTGGGGCCCACCTGTGTTGAGGCCACTTTGCTGGGTGGGTTTGGCTCACAGGGAAGGGAGCCGAGCTGGTGGGCGGCCGATAGGGAGATGAGGCTTCTAGGGACGGGAGGGTGGAGGTGAGGGGCCCTCGCCCACCCTCCATCCTGCTCAGGAGCCCTAGGGAGCCCCTTCTGCTCCAGTGGACAGCCTGGGGCTCACAGGAGGCTGGGCAGGCCTCACTTGACCCCCGCCCGCCAGAGCTGCCTGCCCGTCCCTTAGGAGAGGGAACGGGGCAACTCCGGGAGACCTGGCAGCGAGGCCTTGGCTTACCATTGGCTCATGCCTGGGACCAGGAGTGGCCCTGCATGGGAGGCCGTCTCAAGGTGGGGGTGTGAGGCAGTTCCTCAAGGCCAGCGGAACCAGCCCGGGGTCTGCGGGCTGGGCCAGATCACCCTGCTCTCTGCAGCCCCGGGGAGGTCGGGGTAGGAGGAGGCCGCAGTAGAGCTGAAGGTGGGAGGGACATCTGGGGATAGAAAAAGGGAGACACCTAGAAAGCTCGGGTGTGGGGACTGCCCTGAGAGGGCAGGCGCTGTCGGAAGGAGAGGGGCCACATTCCTGTCCTGCCCGCGTGGGCTGGGCACTGCCCCTCTAGGGAAGGGTCTCCAGCATGGCTTGCCCACAAGTTTTGGCAAAGATAGGCCCCTTCCAGATTGCAGGGCCCCCTCTGCTAACTGGGCCTTGGGTCTGACAGTGAATTGATTTGAGGCCACAGGAGGAGACTGATACCAGGCCTCGACCTCCCCTCTTTCTCATCCATGTGAGTCCTAATAGAGCCCAGGACAGCTCGCCCTCCAACCCTGAGGAGGAGCCTCTTAGATGGACTCACACAGACAAGGAGTCTGGAAGGATCTCCCGCAGCTGGTGGCCAGAGGTCAGCTAAGGATGCAACGGCGACCCCGGTGGAACCCTGTGGGACGGGCAGAGGCGGACAGGCAGGCCGCAAGGGTGGGCTGCAGGGGAGTTTGTCTCCGAGTCCTTCTGTGCAAACCGTGGGAAGGAAGACTGTTTTTCCTTGAATATGCAAAAAGAAAGCAGCAGTCCTTATGCTGGCCCAGAACTGCCGGTTGAGAGAAAAGTGAATTTCCATTTCCAGAAGTAGGGCTACAGGCAAGGGGGGGCTACGGGCCAGGTTCTCACTGGCCTATGCTGGGCACGGCGGTGCAGGACACTGAGTGGGAGGAGACTCCTGGACCCCAGGAATGTCACCTTGTTTGGCGCCCTCCTTCTCATTTCCACTTCACAGATAAGGAAACGGAGGCCAGCTGGGAGGAGGCACTTTCCCTTGCCGAGGCCCAGAGCTAAAGGTGGCAGATGGGGGCTGTAGCCCCGGAGCCCACAAGGACACCTGGGGCCTCAAAAATGAGGCCTGGGATGGCTGATCTGCTGGGGGAACAGAGGGAAAGGCTTTAGATCTGGGCATGGAGAGGGACCGAGGCTGGCCTGTGTGGGCTCGTTCTACCGGATGAGGAAGGCAGGTGTCCCAGGCTCAGGTGGTGGGCGGGGCAGGTGTGGCTGGGAGCCAGGGTGCTCTCTGGAGGTGCAGCCAGAGATCCAAGGTCAACCCTGGAGGGACAGGCAGTTCCTGGTTTTTTCTAAACATTAGCTTCGAAACTTCCAGAGTTAACACGCCGGAATCGTGTTGCATATTATTGAGCTTCCAGTCTGGGGTGCTGCGTGGACCACGTTGAATGCCCAGGGACTCCGTTGGGCAGATAGAGGGGTGTCAGGAGCATGGAGTCAGCCCGGCTGGCCTGCAAACTGCAGATGCTGGAAGGCCCGTCAGGTGGGACCTCCCGTCACCAAGCAGATCTTAACAGGCCTCTGCTTCTTGGTGGAATGTTCTGGTACATTGGCAGGATGCACTGGGAAAAGCTACCATCCTCAGGCCATGTCCCCCACACAGTGTCATTTTCCTCCATTTCTGAACACTTCTCTCTCACCTCCCTGTCAAGATATACCTTGCTGGGACCGGGCATCCTGGAGTTCCCTGCTTGGCAGAAGCCCAGAAAGGCCCAGATAAACGCTGCCCCTTGGAGCCACCAACACCAGAGGGACAGAAGTGGGGGCTAAAAAAGAACTTAAGGCCAGGTGCAGTGGCTCATGCCTGTAATCCCAGCACTTTGGGAGGCTGAGGCGGGCAGATGACTTGAGGGCAGGAGTTTGAGGCTAGCCTGGGCAACATGGCAAAATCCCATCTCTACTAAAAATACAAAAATTAGCCACGCATGGTGGCTCATGCCTGTAGGAGGCTGAGGTGGGAGGATCGCTTGAGCCCTGGAGGCCAAGGCCGCAATAAGCCATGATTGCACCACTGCATTTCAGCCCAGGTGACAGAGCAAGACTCTGTCTCTGAAAAAAAAAAAAAAAAAAAAAAAAAAAAGAACTTAAACCTCAGCATGGCAGAGCTGTGTGCAGACCCTTATAACTAACACACCGAATAACCATACCACGTTGTGAAACTAATTCCTCCTTTTCATTTGCAAGTAACTCTCCCCTCTGCCTTTTTTTTTTTTTACTGTTAGAAGCTTGCAGTGTATTTTTCTGCTCAGCCATGATTTTTTAAATTAGTATGTTAATAAATGTGTTGCCATGCTAAAATGAATCTGTTTGAAACGTACCTGCATGCAAACTATTCTAGGACAACTCAAGTTTTAGCTGCTCTGTGTGCGTTGTGTATGGGAGTCATCTGAAGTGTTTTTCCTGTGTTGTTCACAACCCGTTAAGCCCCTGGGATAAAGCTGATTAAAACTGGGATTCCCCAGGGTACCCCCGTCCAGCCTGTTAGCCAAGTTACAAGCTTTTCTCAGAGAAGCGCCCCGGGCTTGTGCCCACCAGCATTCTGCTCTGTCCGGGTGAGTAACTCATATTTCTTTCTTTCTCCTTTTTTTTTTCTCCTAAACTTTCCAGGTAAAAGTACACCTGTAAGCCAGCTTGGTTCCGCAGACTTTCCCGAGGCCCCCGATCCATTCCAGCCACTCGGGGCTGACAGCGGCGACCCGTTCCAAAGTAAAAAGGGGTTTGGGGACCCGTTTAGTGGAAAAGACCCATTTGTCCCCTCCTCTGCAGCTAAACCTTCTAAGGCCTCTGCCTCGGGCTTTGCAGACTTCACCTCTGTAAGTTGAGTCCTCCGCCTCCGGGCCACCCCACTCCCTTCCGCTTGCAGCTTCCCTGGGATTTTTGTCTCCTTTTAAAGGCAAACCTCCCAGCTTCTTTAGCCTCTTGGTACCTCACACTCTCTGTCCCTCGCGTTATTTATTCTACACTGCCACTTCTGTAAGAAAAACAGTTTCTCAATAAAAAAAAAAAGAGCCGCAGTTTGGATGCTCTATCATAAGGGCACGTTTTCTTCCAGCAGGGAGGCGGGACCTATCTGTCCTTCACGGTAGATTCATTGTATTATTTCTGACGCACCGAGGCTGTTGTGTTCACTGGTTTTTGGAAGCCAAGATGTCAAACACTTCCGAAGTATGAAAAGAAGATTGCGAAAGTTACATTAGGGTTCTGCTGTCCCCAAAAAGCCCTTTGTGCACAAGTTCTCACAGTCCCGCCCCATGCATTTTGTGCCACAAGTGCAAATTGAAGGACTTCAGGCAGATCGCGCCAGGGAAGAGCAATTTGAAGTTTTTTTTTTTTAAAGCTTTTAAATTTCAGTTACCAGCTCCAATGAAAAAAGAAATCCAGTCTAGAACAGCCACTCTGAAAGCCAAAACAAAAAGAGCTCCAAAAAACTGTTGAGCAAAGTTAAGTGCCTTTTCGGAAGCAAATCTCGGGATTTCGAAAGCCTGGCTTTGTTTTTCTCTGTGTGAAAAAATATTCCAGATTGTAACATGCCGTCGCTTCAAGGAGTTTTTAGCAGCTTCCTTGATACATGAAAATCTTGTTCTCTGAAAGCTTCAGGTGTTGTCTTCCCAGAATTGGTTTCACTATGTGTGATGCCCTCGCTTTCTTCCTTTGGGCTTGTTAGTTCCTTCATCATTAGGTGTGAGATGTGTTATTTATAGATGCTTCGACTCCTGGGATGGCTCTTTGAACACAGCCCTGCCATGTCAATGCACAGAAAGCACCCGATTTGTTTCTGAGCCGTCTTGATAATCTCTACCGTGCACAGCTATCCTATGGCTTATTTGTCAATTTATTTATTTTAGTGACAGGGTCTCGCTGTGTTGCCCAGCCTGGTCTGCATTGGCGCGATCAGAGCTCACTTGTAACCTCGAATTCCTGGGCTCAAGCGATCCTCCTGTCTTGGCCTCCTGAGTAGCTGGGACGACAGGCGTGCAACACCACGCAAGGCTAATGTTTAATTTTTTTTTTTTGTAGAGGTAGGGTCTTGCTGTGTTGCCTGGGCTGGTCTGGAACTCCTGGCCTCAAGCGATCCTCCCACCTTGAAGTACTGGGGTTACACGTGACTGGCCCATGTGGCTTATTTAAATCGCCCAAGACCCTGACCTGTTTCTGGCTCTTGGTGACCTATAAATATTTTACAACGGCAGTGAGTTTGATTTTGTTGACCCTAGATGCGCACTGGGGGTCTATACAAAATGGTGACATTGTTAATAAAAGCCAGAAACAAAACCTGCTTTATCTAGAGTTTCTTGAATAGCCCTTCATTTATTTTCTGGTGGAAAAATATTAAACGCTGATTTAAAAAAAACAGAACTCTTCACACATGACTCAGGTACTCTGTCTTGGGTAGGGAAGAGTTAGGTAAGTGGGGTGAACGGCAGCTTGAAGAAATGACTGTTCTCTTTCTGAAATTCATAATTCTATTTCCTGTGACCCCAACCCGCAAAGGGCTCGTTTTTTCGAAAAGCATAAAAAAAAAAAAAACACCCAAGGTTTCAAGGTATCATTTGGCTTAGCATTTCTGGTAGTTCCAGAACAATTGTTAACTTCAGTTTTAAAATAGCGCCAGCCATTTTATCACCCTCATCTCCTGGTGGGAAAGCAAATTCCACCCAGGCCTGGATGCAGCCCTGTTGTTTTCTGTTTTTTTTTTTTTTTTCCCTAAGTTTTTGGTTTTTACATATTTGGAGATGAGTCTCGCTCTGTTGCCCAGGCTAGAATGCAGTGGTGCAGTCACAGCTTCACTGCAGCCTTGACCTCCTGGGCTCAAGCAATCGTCCCACCTCAGCCTCCCACGTAGCTGGGACCTCAGGCGCGCACCACCACATCTGGCTAATTTTAAAATGTTCTGATAGAGACAAGGTCTCACTTTACTACCCAGTCTGGTCTTTGAACTCTGGGCTCAAATGATCCTTCTGCCTCAGGCTCCCAAAGTGTTGGGATTACAGGCATGAGCCCCTGTGCCCGGCCTGTTTTCTGTTTAAAATCACTTTTCCCACTGCAAATACCCCAGTTTTTTTCCAGAGGAAATGATCAGATAGTGTACTTCAGCCACTCTGAAGGGATGGGTTGAGTGAAGACAGGACCCTTAATTGTTTTTGTTTGTCCCCTTGGGTCGTATCATTGTCTAAAATCATCCATAACCAGCTCTCCTCTGGGGACTCAAGATGACGTCTCTCCATGTTCACGGCATTCGGGGGCTCAGCCGATCAGCTGGTGGTTTCTGGGTTCACTGGATCTTGACTATTTGTGCTAACTTAGAAGAGGGCACAGCTGCTTCCTCTGGTTTGAATGATTCCACTTCCCTGAGCAAATGCCAAGAGGGCTGTCTGACTGCCCGGCAGATTGGCAGCGTGACTCTTTCAGCGTGGACGTTCTGAGACTGCTGTTCAGGGCATGTTTTTACCTGTGCAGGAGCAGCCCAGTCCATGCTGGCAGTCAGGGGGGCCCAGGTCACCCGCACCTCACTTGTGGAGGTGGTGCCCCGGCGGTGCCTCTCCAGAACCCTCTAATTTACAAACCCCAAATTTCCATCAATGGGTTATTTGCGTGTGTGGCTGTTCCCGGGAAACCTCTTCCCTCTCTGGTATTTCTTTAAAAGCAGGCCTTTCTGTCTCAGGCAAATGTGTGTATTAGGAAGTGGCATTTCTAGGTTAGCGGAACGGTTCTTTTGGAAGTTCGCATTAAGAGTAGTGCAAATACCAGATCAGCTAGGCCGTGCTTCGAATTATTGAAGGAGTTGGATACAATTTCATTGTCGGTAAATGAATGAATGGGAAGTGGCTAGGCATGTCCTGCACATGGTGGGGTGGAAGTGCCATCAGACACCTTGGAGCGCCAGTGAGGACAGGTGCCGGGCGCCTCCCGGGGCCATCCCATCGCCCAGCGTGCCGAGCTGTCTAAACTGCGGATTTCCAAGAGGCTGCTGAAATGAACCACTTATTTGCTTCTGAAAATGAACCCCATCCTGAGTGGGCAGGCCTCGGCTAGGGTGGTGTCATGCCCCTACGGTGTCTCGGTTCCATGGTAATGCCAGAGGGAAGCAGAAATCAGAGCCAGTGTGTTTCCCAGCCACTATTGGTTTTGCATCGGCCACAGACATCCAGATTCTGGCCCGTGTGACCCACCCAGATACGAGAACTAGAAGGTGGCCCCGTCCAGGGCTAAGACAGCAGACACAGAGGGAGCTGCGGAGTCCCCTTTCAGGAGAGCTCTCCCAGGCCTCACAGCCCAGCGTGCCTCCTAAGTGCATACAGACCTCACCAATGCAAGTCTCCACAGTGGATTCGTGAGCTGGCCTTGAACCGGTCGACTCTGAAGGCACCAGGAACTTTCCTGCTGACACCTTTCATTTGGAAACACAGACCCGTCAAGGGAAGGCGCTTCAGTGACACTGTGACACGGGGGCTCAGTGGGGCCAAAGGCGGCCAGAGGGCTGTGGTTCAGACCCAGCAGGCCGGTTACTTGGTCGTTCCAGGCTTTGATTTGGATCCAGGCGAACATTACTGTCAGCTCCCACCCACCCTGTCCTCAAGGCTGGTGGAGGGTGAGGTCCCCGTCAGCTGCACTGTCTCCCTCCCACTGTTGTCAGCAGCACCATGGAATAATTTCCACCTGCACTTGTTGGTTTTTCCTTGTTTTTCTCCCCATGAGGTGTTGGAAAATTCCCCAAACTGGGGCGGGGGGGATGCTTATCTGTGCCCCTGGCAGTGACACAATGGCGGGGAGGGAGTCCGACCTGGAGACTCATCAGACCCCCAAGTGTTTAGCTGGGCAGTGCCTCTTTAAGAAGTCAAGACTCAGCCCTTCCTCCCAGGGACATCTTTTCTTGATACTGACACTCCGCCTGTCCCCCATCTGGGTCCTGAGGCCAGCTAGAGGGAGGCCTCCAGGGCCCCGCATCCCCCTCACTGCCACATCTGCCTCCCAACCAGGTTCCTTGCATTTATCTGCTCCTGCACCTTGCCCAGTCCCCCCAGCCCTGCCATCTGGCCCTCCTCTCTCCTGCTTCCCGCTCATGCCACCATCAAGCCGTGAAATATCCAGACGCTGCCAATCTGATCACCCAACTCGCTCGCCCAAGGAGCCTCCACGGGGAAATCCCAGCTCCTTCCTGGGGCCCACGAGCCCCTCCTCAGTCTGGCTTATCCCACCCCACGCTTCATCCTGGCTACCCCAAGGTCGGGCACTGAGCCTCACACCCAGAACCTCGCAGGGACGCATCCTCCCTGTCAGTTTCACCTAGTATCCTGCTCCCCACAGGCCTGGGGGGGAAAAAGTCTAGAGTGTGAGCCACCCCTTCCCTGGCCTCAGTGTCCCCAGCTGTCAGAGGGATGAGATGACAGCGGGCCCACCCCCAGGTTGTCACGCAGACCTAGTGCTGCGTGTGGTGGAGAGGCCGTGAGTGTTCCTGTGTGCTTCTTTCCCCCACCTTCCTGGGTTAGTCTGCAGGGCCCTCCTCGAGAGCCTGGGTCCTTGGGTCCTGGATCGTTCTGGGATTGTTTGTATATTTCTGCTCCCAAGGGTGCCTGGGGAAGAGCCACTGCGCATGTTATCTTTGGTGTTACTCCAGTGTTGAGCAGAGAGCTGGTCAGAGGCAGTGCATCGCAGAGAGACATTAATAAGGGAATCCTTTGAATCCCTAAGCAGCAGCAGCTTTCCTGAGGGGGCCGATGATGCCAGTGACCTCTCAGGGAAGTCTGGGACATTGGGACCCACCCTGGGGGAGGAGCTTGTGGGATGTGGCTTTTCTTTTCATGACTAAAGTACTTTGAGTTGTTTGAAATCACCTATCTCAGCATCAAGATGGTTTTCTCCCTTTTTTAAGTTTTTATTTTAACTGAACATTTTAGAAAAACACCCCACGGATAAAAACTTGACTAAATGGCAGTGTAAGTGCCACACCTTTTGTCAGTGTTCTGGGAGAAATTGACCCTCAGAGCCGGGTGCGGTGGCTCACGCCTGTAATCCCAGCACTTTGGGAGGCTGAGGCGGGTGGATCACAAGGTCAGGAGTTCAAGACCAGCCTGACCAACATGGTGAAACCCCGTCTCTACGAAACATACAAAAATTAGCTGGGCATGGTAGCGCATGCCTGTAATCCCAGCTACTCAGGGGGCTGAGGCAAGAGAATCCCTTGAACCTGGGAGGTGAATGTTGCAATGAGCCGAGATCGCGCCATTGCACTCCAGCCTGGCGACAGAGCGAGACTCCATCTCAAAAAAAAAAAAAGAAAAAGAAAAAGAAAATGACCCTCAGAGGGTCTCAGAGCTCTCTGGAGCATGGCTGGAGGTAGAAATACCACATTCCCAGAGTGCAGAATTGTCTGCGCCGTGGGGCTTTAGAGCCATGCACGCTGGAAGTTCCCCATCTTTGCACCTCTTGGCCACCAGCGTCAAGGGCCCATCCTCACTTCTCTGCGTGGGGCGGGGTGGCTGGTTTCTTTGAGGCCCAGAGGTCATGGTTAAGGTCACACTCAATCACATGCATCCCGTCCACTCTGCTTTCCAGATGGGGGGCCTGAGACAGGCTCGCACGCCCACTGGGCCCAGCCAAGACATGCTTATCCCCTGCACATCGGACCCTCCGCTGGGCGGTGGGCAGGACCCTGACCCCTCCCACGCATTCCCTGCCTCCCTCCAGCTTGCAGGTCCCAGCCCCAGGGCCACATCACCCACTCTCCGTTTTTCCTTTGCAGTTTGGCAATGAGGAGCAGCAGCTGGCGTGGGCCAAGCGGGAGAGCGAGAAGGCGGAACAGGAGAGGCTGGCGCGGCTGCGGCGGCAGGAGCAGGAGGACCTGGAACTGGCCATCGCGCTCAGCAAGGCTGACATGCCTGCCGCCTAGGCGAGGGCCGTGTGTAGGCGGGACAGGGCACGGGCGGGTTCCAGAGAGGGGGCAGTGCAGATGTCTATATATACACACACACACCGTCGCCACCGTACTCCAAGGACCGGGACTCGGGGGCTTGTTCAGGGTGAGCAGACTCGGCTGCAAGACCTGGAAAGGTCACATCTCCTGGGGAAGCCCTTACAGAGGCCTTGGCCACCACTTCTGCAGGTCCGTCTCTCCACTGTGCCATCCCCCCCGGGGCTGACTGCCTCCCGCTCTTCCTCTGGGGACGAACACACAGCGGTCAGTCGAGGAGAGGAAGCACCCAGGGCTTCCCCGCCTCCTCCCTACTCATAGCTGCAGACATCCCCACCCGCCCTCCCACGCATCAGTCAGACACTCCCCCAGTGGTGTATGCACTCGTTGTATAAAATGAAGTTTGAATGATTAATATAAAATATTTTAATACAAAACAAGAGAAGCTTCTTTAATCTCTGTAAACATTGTTTTCCCTGCATGGGTATCAGGAAGCAGATCAACCAGGTGGAACATTGCTCTTTAAATCTTAAGTTTTTACTTTTAAAAAAAATTTTTTTTTAAGAGATGAGATCTTGCCATGTTGCCCAGGCTGGTCTCAAACTCCTTGACTCACACAATTCTCCTGTCTCAGCATCCCAAAGTGCTGGGATTACAGGCGTGAGCCACCAAGCCCTGCCCATTTTTATGTTTTAACCAACTTTATTTTTTAGGACAGTTTTAAACCTGCAGAAAAATCACAAAGATACAAAGAGTTCCCATAAGCCCCTTAGACAATTTATCCTTAAAAAAAATTTTTTTTTGAAACAGGGTCTGAGCTCTGTCACCCAGGGTGGAGTGCAGTGGTGTGATCTCAGCTCACTGCAACCTCCACTTCCCCGGGCTCAAGTGATCCTCCCACTTCAGCCTCCCAAAGGGCTGGGATTACAGACATGTGCCACTGTGCCTGGCCAGTTTTAAATTTGCAGAAAGATCGCAAAGAAAATACGAAGGGTTCCCATAAGCCCCTTAGAGAGTTTACCTTATTTTTAACATCTTACATTACACATTACTTACATCCCAATTAATGAACCAATACGGATTCATTATTATTAACTAGAGTCCTTACTTTATTCAGAATTGCTCTGTTTTTTTGGCTGAGTGCGGTGGCTCATGCCTGTAATTCCAGCACTTTGGGAGGCCGAGGTGGGGGGGATCACTTGAGGTCAGGAGTTGGGGACCAGCCTGGCCAACATAGTGAAACCCTGTCTCTACTAAAAAAAAACAACACAAAAATTAGCCGCGCGTGGTGGTGCGCACTTGTAATCCCAGCTACTCGAGAGGCTGAGGCAGGAGAATCACTTGAAACTCAGGAGGTGGAGTTGCAGTGAGCCAATATCATGCCATTGCACTCTGGCCCAGGCGACAAGAAAGACACCGTCTAAAAAAAAAAATGCAGGTAGGGCACGGTGGCTCACACCTGTAATCCCAGCCATTTGGGAGGCCGAGGCAGGTGGATCATTTGAGGTCAGGAGTTCAAGACCAGCCTGGCCAACATGGTGAAACCCCGTCTCTACTAAAAATACACAAAAAATAGCCGGGTGGTAGTGGAGCATGCCTGTAATCCCAGCTACTCGGGAGACTGACGCAGGAGAATCGCTTGAACCTGGGAGGTGGAGGTTGTGGTGGGCCAAGATCGCACCTCTGCACTCCAGTCTGGGCCACAGAGTAAGACCCTGTCAAAAAAAAAAAATTCGTTTTTCCCCCTAATGTCCTTTTTCTGTCCCAGGATCCCCCATGACATTCAGACCTTACATCTCGTTAGAATTCTCTGGGCTGGGTGGAACCCCGTCTCTACTAAAAATAGAAAAATTAGCCGGGCGCAGTGGCAGGCGCTTGTAATCCCAGCTACTCAGGAGGCTGAGGCAGGAGAATCGCTGGAACCCGGGGGGCAGAGGTTGCAGTGAGCCGAGATCACACCGCTGCACTCCAGCCTGGGCGACAGAGTGAGACTCTTGTCTCAAGGAAAAAAAAAAGAATTCTCTGGGCTGTGTGAGTTTCTCAAACGTTGTGTGTTTTTGATGACAGTTACAAGGAGAACTGGTCAGGTGCTTTGTAGAATGTCCCTCCACTGGGATTTGTCTGATGTTTTTCCCGTGACTAGATGTGGAGCTGGACTTGGGGGAGGAAGACCACAGAGATGAAGTGTATTGACATCAAATCACATCAAAGATCCATGTCATCAACATGACTTAGAAGGCTGGTGTTGACCTGGATCCACTGGACATAGATTTATTTTTATTTATTATTTTATTTTATTTTGGGACAGAGTTTCACTCTTGTCACCCAAGCTGGAGTACAATGGTGTGATCTCAGCTCGCTGCAGCCTCCACCTCCCAAGTTCAAGCAATTCTCCTGTCTCAGCCTCCCAAGTAGCTGGAATTACAGGCATTAGGCAACATGCCTGGCTAATTTTTTGTATTTTTAGTAGAGATGGGGTTTTGCCATGTTGGCCAGGCTAGTCTCAAACTCCTGGCCTCAGGTAGATTTATTTTTAAAAAGCAGTTTTTCAGCCTCAGATATTTTGTTACATAGACTCGTCTCAGGGCAGTAATTCATGAGATTGAAAATACAGGGCCGGGCGTGGTGGCTAACGCCTGTAATCCCAGCACTTTGGGAGGCCAAGGCAGGTGGATCAAGAGGTCAGGAGATTGAGACCATCCTGGCCAACACAGTGAAACCCCGTCTCTACTAAAAATACAAAAATTAGCTGGGCATGGTAGTGGGCACCTGTAATCCCAGCTACTCGGGAGGCTGAGGCAGGAGAGTGGCTTGAACCCGGGAGGCAGAAGTTGCAATGAGCCGAGATCGTGCCACTGCACTCCAACCTGGTGACAGAGCAAGACTCTGTCTCAAAAAAAAAAAAAAAAAAAAAAAAAAGGCCAGGAGCAGTGGCTCATGCCTGTAATCCCAGCACTTTGGGAGGCCGAGGTGGGAGGATAACTTGAGGCCAGGAATTCGAGACCAGCCTGGCCAATGTGGTGAAACCCCATCTCTACTAAAAATACAAAAAATTAGCCAGGCGTGGTGACAGGCACCTGTAATCCCAGCTACTCAGGAGGCTGAGACAAGGAGGATCGCTTGAACCTGGGAGGCAGAGGTTGCAGTGAGCCAAGATCGTGCCACTGCAGTCTAGCCTGGGCAACAGAGCGAGACTCCATCTCCAAAAACAAAAAAAGAAAATCCTCAGGAAAAGGAAGAGAAAAAATATTGGCCATCCATTAAGTGGAAGTGGATCATCATAAAGGTCTTCTTCCTCATCATCTTCCCATTGAGTAACCCGAGGAGGAGGAGGAGGAAGGGTTGGTCTTGGGGTGGCAGAGGTGGAAGAAAATCCACATACAGGCAGGGCACAGTGGCTCATGCCTGTAATTCCAGCACTTCAGGAGGCTGAGGCGAGTGGATCACCTGAGGTCAGGAGTTCGAGACCAGCCTGGCCAACATGGTAAAACCCCGTCTCTACTAAAAATACAAAAATTAGCTGGGTGTCGTGGCAGATGCCTGTAATCCTAGCTATTAGGGAGGCTGAGGCAGGAGAGTCACTTGAACCCGGGAGGCGGAGGTTGCAGTGGGCTGAGATCGCACCACTGCACTCCAGCCTGGGCAACAAGAGTGAGACTCGGGCTCAAAACAAAGAAAATCCACATATGACTGAACCCACCCAGTTCAAACCTGTGTTGTTCAAGGGTCATCTATAAACCATAAACTGAAGTTTATGGTGGATTTGGGCGAATGTAAAGATTCCAAACCTTTGGTAATCCCCCTTTTCCAGGTTACAGACCCTCGAGGGGTCCCTGCAGTCCTGGAGATGAGGGTGTTGGGAGGGGACGTCTTCTTGGTGCCCATGGAATGGGCCTGCTTTGTGGATTGGGGCCTGGTGGGGCCTCGTGGGCTTTGTAACCTCTGAGATGCCCCTAATCTTCTCTGCAAAAACGAGCAGCTTCCTGAAAGTGGTCATGGCCGGAGGCAATTCCCAATACTTCCTTCCTCCTGCAGGAAAACCCCAGAGTGAATCTGAAGGTCCCAAGCCATGTGCTTCTGCCGTGATAGATCCCTTTGGAGAAGGCGCTGAGTCACCTCTCTCCAGGGTAGTCACAGCTTTGGCACCATTTGGTTTGGGACTTCACAATTTTCACAGCGATTCAGCTTCCATTATCTTGTTGGAAACTCAAAGCAACCTTGTAAATGAAGAGGGTGGATGTTAGCCCATTTTCCTGAGGGAAAACTGAGACTCATTCCCTGCAGTCATTTGCCCAGAGCTCCGAAGCCAGCCAGGGGCGGAGGCTCGTTTTGCTGATTTGAGAAAAGAATTGAGGGTTTCTTAGAAAACTTCAGGGTTTCTAGTTTCTTGTTGTCTTCTGCTTATTTGCATATTCACCGTACCCAGAAGAGGCAGGTGATGGCTCTTGATATCTTAGAAATGGAAAACCATGTATTGAATTAGGAGCTCTTACCCAGGGGAGGGGACGTTTTTAGGGAAAGCAGTGAACCCCTGAATGCACATTTGCTGGTTTTTTGTTTTTGTTCTTTTTTTTTTTTTTTTTTTTTTGAATCGGAGTCTTGCTTTGTCACCAGGCTGGAGTGCAGTGGCGTGATCTCAGCTCACTGCAACCTCTACCTCCTGGGTTCAAGTGATTCTCCTGCCTCAGCCTCCCAAGTAGCTGGGACTACAGGCACACGCCGCCATGCCTGGCTAATTTTTGTATTTTTATTAGAGATGAGGTTTCACCATGTTGGCTAGGATGGTCTCGATCTCTTGACCTCGTGATTCGCCTGCTTCAGACTCCCAAAGTGCTGGGATTACAGGCATGAGCCACCGCACCCAGCCCTGGTTTGTTTTTTATTGTATGTGGGTTTGCAGTGTTCATAACTTTTTATCTTTTTTTTTCCCCTTTTTTAAGAGATGGGGGTCTCGCTCTCTCACCCAGGCTGGAGTGCATGGCGCAATCATAGCCCACTGCAGCCTTGAACTCCTGGGCTCAAGTGATCCTCCTGCCTCAGCCTCCTGAGTAGCTGACCACATCCGGCTAATTTTTTTTTTTTTTTTTTTTTTTTTTTTTTTTGAGACGGAGTCTCGCTCTGTCACCCAGTCTGGAGGGCAGTGGCACGATCTCGGCTCACTGCAAGCTCCGCCTCCCGGGTTCACGCCATTCTCCTGCCTCAGCCTCCTGAGTAGCTGGGACTACAGGCGCCCGCCACCACGCCCAGCAAATTTTTTTGTATTTTTAGTAGAGACGGGGTTTCACCGTGTTAGCCAGGATGGTCTCGATCTACTGACCTCTTGATCTGCCCACCTCAGCCTCCCAAAGTGCTGGGATTACAGGCATGAGCCACCGTGCCCGGCCCTGGCTAATTTTTTTTAATTTTTATTTTATTTTTATTTTTATAGAAACAGGGTCTCACTATGTTGGCCAGGCTGATCTCCAACTCCTGGCCCCAAGTGACCCTCCCGCTTCGGCCTCCCAAAGTGCTGCTGATGACAGGTGTGAGCCACTGTGCCCAGCCTCCATCTGATTTTTAAAGAGGTCCTCAGACCCTTTAAAAAGTTAGAAGCCAGTCTCAAATCCTGTTTCCTTCCTTCCCTGCTACACACACACACACACACACACACACTCCCCTGCTGTGTAAATAATCAACATCAAATCCACAAATCCATCCCCTCTCCCATTGGCAGTCTCTTCCACGGCAAAGGACACTCACGCCCTTTCCTGAAGAATAGAGTATCCAATTGGAACAAATGTATGATGAAAATTTCCAAACATAATAGTTGAAGAGAAAAGGACAGTAAACACCCCCACCCAGCGTCAACTGTCATCCAGATTTTCCACCTTTGCCGCATGGCTGTCTTCCTTTGCTCTGGAGAAGCACTTTAGAGCAAGTTGGAGTCAGGATGCCATTTCGCCCACGTGCCCTGAAGCGCACGTCACTGAGACGTGTGGCGACTGACATGCTAACGTATACTCGATGCCAAGGTCACGTCTGAGAAAATGAACAATGACCCCTCCTAGCCATCAGATCTTTCACATAAGAGGCAACTTTTGATTGTTTTTTTTCAAATGGTTTCTTTCTCTCTCTCTCTCTCTTTTTTTTTTTTTTTTTTTTTGAGATGGAGCCTTGCTCTGTCTCCAGGCTGGAGTGCAGTGGCGCGATCTCAGCTCACTGCAACCTCCACCTCCTGGGTTCAAGCGATTCCCCTGCCTCAGCCTCCCAAATAGCTGGGATTACAGGCACCTGCCACCATGCCCGGCTAATTTTTTGTATTTTAGTAGAGATGGGGTTTCACCATGTTGGCCAAGATGGTCTCGATCTCCTGACCTCGTGATCTGCCTGCCTTGGCCTCCCAAAGTGCTGGGATTAGAGGCGTGAGCCACCGCGCCCTGCCTCTTTTTTTTTTTTTTGAGACAGAGTCTCTCTCTTGTCACCCAGGCTGGAGTGCAGTGGCGCAATCTCCGCTCACTGTAACCTCTGCCTCCTGGGTTCAAGTGATTCTCCTGCCTTGGCCTCCCAAGTAGCTGGGATTACAGGCACCCGCCACCATGCCTGGCTAATTTTTATACTTTTAGTAGAGACGGGGTTTCACTGTGTTGGCCAGGCTGGTCTCGAACTCCCAACCTCAGGTGATCCACCCGCCTTGGCCTCCCAAAGTGCTGGGATTACAAGCGTGAGCCACCGCCCCCGGCCCCTTTTCAAGTAGTTTCGATCTAGGGTTGGTTGAATCAGCAGATACAGAAACCTCCAATACAGCAGACAAGAGGCAACTTTCATTTTATTTTTGTTTCTTTATTTTTAGAGAAAGGGCCTTACTCTGTCACCCAGGCTGAAGTGCGGTGGTTGCGATCATAGTTCACTGCATCCTCAACCTCCTGGGCTCAAGTGATCCTCCCACCTCAGCCTCCCAAGTAGCTGGGACTACAGGTGTGCACCACCATGCCCAGGTAATTAAATTTTTTTTTTGTAGAGATGGGGTCTCGCTATGTTGCCCAGGCTGGTCTCAAACTCCTGGCCTAAAGCAATCCTCCAGCCTCAGCCTCCCAAAGTGCTGGGATGACAGGGGTGAGCCGACACACCCATCCGAAAGAGGCAACTTTTTTTTTTTTTCTTTTAGAGGCAGAGTCTCGCTCTGTCAGCCAGCCTGGAGTGCAGTGGCATGATCTCAGCTCACTGCAGCCTTCACATCCTGGGTACAAGCGATTCTCCTGCCTTAGCCTCTTGAGCTGGAACTACAGGCACATACCACCATGCCCGGGTAATTTCTGTATTTTTTGGTAGAGATGGAGTTTTGCCATATTGCCCAGGCTGGTCTCGAACTCCTGACCTCAGGTGATCCACCTGCCTCAGCCTCCCGAAGTGCTGGGATTACAGGCGTGAGCCACCACACCTGGTCGCAAGAGGCAACTTTTGACTGCAACCCCATTGCGTTTTGTCTCCCAGATTGTAACGAGCCGTGTCCTCTTTGTGGGTACCCTTTATCTTCTCCGCATCCAACAACCCAGTTTGGACTGGTGTTCAACTGGAATTCAAGGGCCCACATTGCCCGGTCCAAGCCATGTTTTGGAAAAGGATGACGAATGATCTACAGCCTCCTCTGAGTAAATGAAATCACATCTTCAAAGCCCATTTTATGTAAAAGGACATTCTCATCCTGGAACAGTTGTGGAAGGCTATTTTTAAAACTGTCAGGAAGCGTCTGGGAAACAAAGAAACTGCCTCTTGAAATAATGGAGTCAATATTTCTGCCTCTTATCAGATCAAGTTCCTTTGAAACATGCTACTTTTTTTTTTCCAAAATTTTCCCCAAAGTTACTAGGACCTGTACAAATTGTATCATGAGCTGTTTTTGGAAAAATATAAAAGGAAATGGAAATATGATGGTTATCGCAAGCTTATTCCAAAGAGATGACGTGATGTGGGCTTGCCTGGGTAGAGTCGTGTTTACGTTGAGTGGTCTTTATTTTTATTATATTATTATTATTATCATTATTATTATTATTATTATTATTATTTTGAGACAGTTATGCTCTTGGTGCCTAGGCTGGGGTGCAATGGTGTGATCTCAGCTCCCTGCAACCTCCACCTCCCAGGTTCAAGCAATTCTGCCTCAGCTCCCCGAGTAGCTGAAATTATAGGCACCCACCACCACGCCGGGCTAATTTTGTTTATTTTTAGTGAAGATGGGGTTTCACCATGTTGGCCAGGCTGGTCTCGAACACCTGACCTCAGGTGATCTGCCCACCTCAGCCTCACAAAGTGCTGGGATTGCAGGCAAGAGCCACTGCGCCCAGCCGAGTGGGTCTTTAAATATCACTCCTTGATTTGCTTCCTGGTTTTGTTTTGTTTTGGGGATAGGATCTTGCTCTGTTGCCCAGGCTGGAGTGCAGTGGTGTGATCATAGCTCACTGCAGCCTCGACCTCCTGGGCTCAGGCCATCCTCCTACCTCAGCCTCCTGAGTAACTGGAACCACAGGCATGTGCCACCATGCCCAGCTACTTTTTAAAAATTGGCCAGGCATGGTGGCTTACACCTGTAATCCCAGCATTTTGGGAAGCCGAGGCGGGTGAATCATGTGAGGTCAGGAGTTCAAGACCAGCCTGACCAACACGGTGAAACCCGGTCTCTACTGAAAATACAAAAAAATGAGCTGGGCATGGTGGCGGGTGCCTGTAGTCCCAGCTACTTGGGAGGCTGAGGCAGGAGAATCGCTTGAATCAGGAGGCAAAGGTTGCAGTGAGCCGATATCGCACCACTGCACTCCAGCCTGGGCAACAGGGTGAGACTGCCTCAAAAAAAAAAAAATTATTCATAGAGATGAGGTCTCTCTATGTTGCCCATGCTGGTCTGGAACTCCTGACCTCAAGCAATCCTCCTGACTCAGCCTCCCAAAGTGCTGGGATTACAGGCGTGGCCTCTGTGCCCAGCCTGATTTCCTTTCTGACTGACGTGCAGGGGTGCTCTCTATTCATGACCTTGGACCTAACCTCAGTGCACCTCAGTTTTCTTATTTGGCCAAGGAGGTTGGACCAGACAACCAGTGAAGACCTTTCTTTTTTCCTTTTTTTTTTTTTGAGACAGAGTGTCACTCTGTCACCCAGTGGCACAGTCTTGGCTCACTGCAACCTCTGCCTCCCGGGTTCAAGTGATTCTCCTGCCTCAGCCTCCTGAGTAGCTGGGATTACAAGCACCCACCACCATGCCCGGCTAATTTTTGTATTTTTGGTAGAGACGGGGTTTCACCATGTTGGCCAGGCTGGTCTCAAACTGCTCTCAGGCTGGTCTCAGGCTGGTCTCAAGTGATCTGCCTGCCTTGGCCTCCCAAAGTGCTGGGATTACAGGTGTGAGCCGCTGCGCCCGGCCCAGTGAAGACCTTTCTAGCTCTAAAAGCCCTTAAGATGATTATTCAAGTCTCCAAAAAGACACATATTTTAGGATCTCAGATAATAAAAAAAGAAAAATTGAATAAACATTATCTTATGAGCCTCATCTTTATTTAAAATATTTTGCTCACTCTTGATAACCTTAATTTCATAGTTAAGGGGGAAATCCTAGTTCAAATAACACTAATGTACAGGCCGGGCACAATGGTTCATGCCTGTAATCCCAGCACTTTGGGAGGCTGAGGCAGAAGGATCACTTGAGGCCAGGAGTTCGAGGCTGAGGTGAGCTACGATGGCACCACTGCTCTCCAGCCTGGGCGACAGAGCAAGACCCCAACTCTAAAAACAACAAAAAACTCCCCTAATATAATGTCTCAAAAATATATCAACAATGTGTAATTATATCAATATGTTATATATCAATAATATATCTCTTATAAACTTTTAAAACACCATTGCAAGAAACACTAGTTTAATAAACGAGCAATTCTGTGACTTTCCATTGTTATTCCTATATTAACCTTCACTTGGGAGAGAGAACGCTTTCTGAGGCCAGAAACAAGGACTTTGAGATCCTGGTCTGTGATGAACATTATTTCTTTGTACTAAGGACAAAGGGCAGAATTTCCACTACGAGAGCCAAAAAAAGACTCAAGACAAGATGTAGCAATTGTTCAACTGTAAACACACTTTTTAAAGGAAATGAGGATCCTAGTTCTAAGAGAACAATATGGTGGACCAGAACCCTGGTTTATTTTCCGGTTCTAGATCCTGGAGCAAGATACCTGTGGCTTCTCTTCCCCTGAGGTAGACCAGAGAAGATGTTGAAGCCATGGAGGGGCAACAAACATCTTGGAAAAGGCACAGCCTTAAGTCAGAGTTGGTGTGAAGACAGCTTCACCCCTGGAGAGTGTGACCTTGGGTTGCTCAAATCACTACTTGGAGTCCCCATTTTTCTTCATCTATAAAATAGAGGTCATTGGCCGGGCACAGTGGCTCATGCCTGTAATCCCAGTACCGTGGGAGGCCGAGGCAGGTGGATCACCTGAGGTCAGGAGTTCAAGACCAGGCTGGCCAACATGGTGAAACCCTGTCTCTACTAAAAATACAAAAATTAGCTGGATGTGGTGGCGGGTGACTGTAATCCCAATTACTCAGGAGGCTGAGGTGGGAGAATTGCTGAACCTGGGAGGCGGAGGCTACAGTGAGCTGAGATCACACCACTGCACTCCAGCCTGGTCAAGACAGACTGAGA
The DNA here is from genome assembly GCF_000001405.40 of Homo sapiens. NCBI lineage: Eukaryota > Metazoa > Chordata > Mammalia > Primates > Hominidae > Homo > Homo sapiens. The sequence goes on along the minus strand of NC_000019.10, from coordinate 16,345,017 downwards.
CTCCGTCTAGAAAAAAAAAAATGGAGGTATAACAGCTATCCCTCAGGGCATATTCTAGATGTTCAAGTAAAGTAGTAGAAACAGTAGTAGTGGTTTTTTTGTTTTGTTTTGTTTTGTTTGAGATGGAGTCTCACTCTGTTGCCCAGGCTGGAGTGCAGTGGCGTGATCTCGGCTTACTGCAAGCTCCCTCCGCCTCCCAGGTTCACGCCATTCTCCTGCCTCAGCCTCCTGAGTAGCTGGGACTACAGGTGCCCGCCACCATGCCTGGCTAATTTTTTGTATTTTTAGTAGAGACGGGGTTTCACCATGTTAGCCAGGATGGTCTCGATCTCCTGACCTCATGATCCACCCGCCTTGGCCTCCCAAAGTGCTGGTATTACAGGCGTGAGCCACCGCGCCCGGCTGGATTTTTTTTTTTTTAATTAAAAATTTTTAATTATGGCCAAGCTCAGTGGCTCACACCTGTAATCCTAGCACTTTGGGTGGCCTAGGCAGGAGAATCACTTGAGGCCAGAAGTTTGAGACCAGCCTGGCCAATCTGGAGAAACCCCGTCTCTACTAAAAATACAAGAATTAGTGGGGTGTGGTGGCACACACCTGTAATCCCAACTGCTTGGGAGCTGAGGAACGAAAATCGCTTGAACCTGGGAGGTGCAGGTTGCAGTGAGCAAAGATTGTGCCACTGCACTCCAGCCTGGGTGACAGAGCAAGACTCTGTCTCAAAAAAAAAAAATATTAATTATGATAAAAAACATGAAACTTACCATTTTAACCATTTAAAAATTTATTCAGCCGGGTGTGGTGGCTCACACCTGTAATCCCAGCACTTTGGGAGGCCGAGGCAGGTGGATCATGAGGTCAGGAGATCAAGACCATCCTGGCTAACACGGTGAAACCCCATCTCTACTAAAAATACAAAAAATTAGCCGGGTGTGGTGGCGGGCACCTGTAGTCCCAGCTACTTGGGAGGCTGAGGAGAATGGTGTGAACCCAGGAGGCGGAGCTTGCAGTGAGCCGAGATCGCACCACTGCACTCCAGCTGGCTGAAAAAGCAAAACTCTGTCTCAGGAAAAAAAAAATTATTCATTTATTTTATTTTATGTATGTGTTTATTTATTGAGACAGGGTCTCACTCTGTTGCCCAGGCTGGAGTGCAGTGGTGCGATCTCGGCTCACTGCAGCCTTCGCACCCCGGGCTCAAGTGATCCTCCCATTTCAGCCTTCTGAATAGCCGGGGCTATAGGCATGCAGCACCACGCCTGGCTAATTTTTGTATGTTTTCTAGAGATAGAGTCTCACTACTTTGTGCAGGCTGGTCACAAACTCCTGAGCTCAAGGGATCCTCCCAAAGTGTTGGGGTTACAGGTGTGAGCCACCATTCCTGGCCTAAATTTATTTTTAATTTATAGAAATTTTTATTCTTTTTTTATTTTTTTAGAGACAGGTTGTCACTATGTTGCCCGGGCTGGATTCAAACTCCTAGGCTCAAGCAATCCTCCCGCCTCGGCCTCTGGAGTAACTGGGCCTACAGGTGCATGCCACTGCATCCAGCTCCACTTTAACCACTTTTTTTTTAAAAAAACCACTTTCAAGTGCGTGGTTCAGCAGTGTTAAATATATTCACACCATTCTGCAACAGATCTCTAGAACTTTCTCATTTTGTGAAATTGACACTCTGTACCCATTGAGCAATTCCCCATAACCCCACTTCCGCCTCCTAGCCAGTGGTACTGGTTTTTGTTATTATTCATTCAGATGGGTATTATTCTTATTATTTTAGATGGAGTCTCACTGTGTCACCTGGGCTGTAGTGCAGTGGCACGATCTCAGCTCATGTAACCTCCGCCTCCCGGGTTCAAGCAATTCTCCTGCCTCAGCCTCCCGAGCAGCTGGGATTACAGGTGCCCGCCACTAAGCCCAGCTAATTTTTTTGTATTTTTAGTAGAGATGGGCTTTCACTATGTTGGCCAGGCTGGTCTCGAACTCCTGACCTTGTGATTTGCCCGCTTCGGCCTCCCAAAGTGCTGGGATTCCAGGCTTCAGCCACCGCACCCGGCCCAGATGAGTATTATTAAAGCTATGGTTACTGTCCAGGGATTGCTTTGAGCTTTTAGAGCAGGGCCTGTATATTCTAGCTCCACTACCCAAGAACCGACTGAGGGGCAGTTCTGTCTGTATTAACTAAGCTACTACATTATTCCTCATTATAGGAATGGAATCTCATTGTAAAGGAAACCGGTGTGGTGGAGGGGAAGTCCCAGCCCTGCGTCTCCATTCCGTGCCATTGTACGAAGGTCATGGGAGAGAAGGGGGCTCGAGTGTCCTGGGTGCCTTCTATGGACCAAGCACTTTCTCGACCACCATTCAGATGGTCACATCCAAGACCAAGATGTTCACTTGAATTCAGAGGCTTGGCCAGGGGACTTTCCATTTGACAGGGACAGATGCCATTGCCTCTCTGTGGCACTGCCTGGCTGCATCACGAGCTTGTCTCTGCTTCAACAGTGGTTATTTTTATAGCTGACAATGAGACTTACTGGAAATGGTTTGGCACTCATGCGTAGAAAGCGCCTGTATTTAAATTTGAGGAGTCGGAGTGCCTGGGCCCTGGAAGATGGGTGGTTCTTCAGGCCCTTGGCCAAGACCTTTAAGCCATAGAGCAGATCCCTTCCAGCCCAGGAAAAATTCCAGGGATTCTCAGCCTTTCTGAGGACTGGTTCTCTCAGAGCATCTGTTTGAAGCCTTGGAACTGTCATCCTTTCTCTTGTCTGAGGGCCCTCCAGCCCTCACGGCTCACCCCAGTCCATTCATGTTACGCAGCAGAGCTCTTGTCAGCTTGTAAAACTGAAACTCTGCCCCCACTAAATACTCATTCCCCATTTCCTCCTCCCCCAGCCCCTCGCACCCACCATTCTACTTCCTGTCTCTATGAATCTGATGCATGGACTCATACAGTATTTCTCTTTTTGTGTCTGGCGTATTTCACTTAGGATAGTTCCTGTTGGAGCATGTATGTGTCAGAATCTTTCTCTTTTTCTTTTCTTTTCTTTTCTTTTTTTTTTGAATTGTAGTCTTGCACTGCTGCCCAGGCTGGAGTGTAATGGCGTGATCTCGGCTCACTGCAACCTCCGCCTCCTGGGTTCAAACAATTCTCCTGCCTCAGCCTCCCGAGTAGCTGGGATTACAGGCACGCACCGCCACGCCCAGCTAATTTTTGTATTTTTAGTATAGACTGGGTTTCACCATGTTGGCCAGGCTAGTTTCGAACTCCTGACCTCATGATCCGCCCGCCTCGGCCTCCCAAAGTGTTGGGATTACAAGCGTGAGCCACCGCGCCCGGCCCTATAATCTCTTTCTTTTTAAAAACTGAATACTATTCCATTGTCTGGATAGATGGATAGACCACATTTTGTTTATCCATTCATTCATCAGTGGATACTCGGTCCAAACTTTATGTTATATTGACAAAATAACTGTATTAAAAATAGTAATGTGGCTGCGCATGGTGGCTCATGCCTGTAATCCCAGCATTTTAAGAGGCCAAGGTGGGTGGATCACTTGAGGTCAGGCATTTGAGACCCTTCTGGCCAACACAGTGAAACCCGTCTCTACTAAAAATACAAAAATTAGCTGGGAGTGGTGGCGGGCGCCGGTAATTCCAGCTGCTGGGGAGGCCGAGGCAGGAGAATCACCTGAACCTGGGAGGCGGAGGTTGCAGTTAGCCGAGATTGCACCACTGCACTCCAGCGTGGGCGACAGAGCAAGACTCCGTCTGAAAAAAAAAGTAACGTTTTACAACAGAAGCAACTTATTCTCAATTGCTTTTTTTACACCTTAAAATTGAGCTGAAATTCACATAACATAAAACTAACCATGAAGTGTACACGGTAGTGGCATTTCGTGCATTCACAATGTTGTGCAACCATCACCTCTGTCTAATTCCAGAACATTTGCATCCCCCAAGAGGAGACCCTGTCCCCATCAGCAGCCACTCCCCATTCCCCTCCCCCAGCCCCTGGCAGCCACTCATCTGCTTCCTGTCTCTCTGGATTTGCCTGTTCTGGGCATTTTGTATCAGTGGAATCTCACACTATGTGGGCTTTCGCGTCTGGCTTCTCTCACTCAGAATGTTTTGGGGGCTCATCCACATTGTAGCATGGATCAGTGCTTCATTCCTTTTCATGGCTGAATAATATTCCATTGTATGTATGGATCACAGTTTTCTTATTCATTCTCTAATGGACACTTGGGTTGTTTCTACTTTTTGGCTGTTATGAATAGTGCTTTGATGAACATCCCAATTGTTTTTTGAGACAGTCTCACTCTGTCGCCCAGCAGGTTGGAGTGCAGTGGAGCAATATTAGCTCACTGCAGCCTCTGCCTCCCGGGTTCAAGTGATCCCCCTGCCTCAGCCTCCCGAGTAGCTGGGATTACAGGTGCACTCCACCATGCCTGGCTAATTTTTGTTGGCCAGGCTGGTCTGGAAGTCCTGGGCTCAAGTGATCTGCCCGCCTCGGCTTCCCAGAGTGCTGGGATTACAGGCATAAGCCACTCACTGCTCTGGGCCCCCAGTTTCTTTAAGCAAGCAAACAATAATAAAAGTTAATTGCCAAAACTTTTCCTCCAGGCAACAACCTTTCAGGGACCTCTCCCACTTAAAAAAGCACCAAAGGAGATGCACATTTACATTTAAGAAAGGCCCAGTTCAAGGTCAGGTCGTGGGCAGACACCCTCCCTCCGCCCGTGCTGAAGTTAGCTCCTGGTGGGGCAGTTGCTGGTGACGTCAGGATTCTGTAAAAACATGGAATTTCTCCACCCCCAACCTGCCTCCCAGAGACCAGCGGAATTAAGTAGAATGAATGGGCTTGTTTCCTTGGATTTTTTTTCTCTCTCTCTCTCATTTATTTATTTAGAGACAGGGTCTCTCTCTGTTGCCTAGGCTGAAGTGTAGTGGCATGATCTTAACTCACTGCAACGTCCACCTCCTGGGTTCAAACAATTCTCAGCCTCCCCAGCAGCTGGGACTACAGGCATGCACCACCACACCGGGCTAATTTTTTTTTTCTTTTTTTTTTAAATTAGAGACAGGGTTTCGCCATGTTGGCCAGGCTGGTTTCAAAATCCTGACCTCAGGTGATCTGCCCGCCTTGGCCTCCCAAAGTGCTGGGATTACAGGCATGAGCCACCGCACCCAGCCTAGAAATTATGTTTAGATTAATTTTTTAGTGATTATTATTCAGCCAGGCACAGTGGCTCATGCTTGTAATCTCAGCACTTTGGAAGGCCGAGGCGGGTGGATCACCTGAGGTCAGGAGTTCAATAAATTATTATTACTATTATTATTTTAAGGACAGGGTCTTGCTCTGTTGCCCAGGCTGGAGTGCAACGGTGCAATCATAGCTCATTGCTGTCTCGACCTCCTGGCCTCTAGGGATCCTTCTGCCTCAGCCTCCTAAGTAGCTGGGACCACGGGTGCACATCACCATGCCCAGCCCTGTCTCCCTCTCTCACTAATGGGCACCATTCCTTCACTGAGCACCTACTATGTGTCAGGCATAGCCCAGATTCCATCCATTTGAGATAGAGCCCGGCCAAGATAGCTGCTAAGAGCCCAGCTCTACAGAGGAGGAAAGAGACTGAGAGCCGCCTTCCCGTGCCTGAGGTTGACAGTGGTGACATAAGGAACTGAGCTTAGATTTGTCCAGGGCCCCTGGCCAGTGCCTCCCGAGTCACTGAGAGCTCAGATCCAAGCATCAGGGAATAGCAGCCCCGCCAGCAATTCTTGTACAGATGCAGGGAGGGAGGTTGGTGGGAACGGCCTCCAACTTCTGAGATGAGAAACCCTTCCTTCGACAAATCTCTGTATGACTCAAAACGAGCTCCCGGCAAGGTGGCCCGAGTCACCACCAGGGCACATTGAGGAAATGAGATGTCAGGATGTGTTTGCGGTTTGGGGTTCAACGGAAACACACCAGGAATGTGGAGAATTCTGCCCCAAGAGCCAGGATCGGTGCCTCTGAGTTACATTAAAGCCAAGAGGAGTGGGATGGGGCTGGCCAGACTTCTGATTCCTGAGTTTTTTCCCTGGAGCTGGAACATCTCATAGCTCCGAGGCTGCAGACGAGGGCTTGGCTGTGAAGTGTGTCTCTCGATCTTGGGACAGTCCCCAGAAAGGCCAACCTGGGGTCAAGGTTGAAAGTGGAGGGCAATTCAGGAGGCAGCCTGCGGAGTTACAGCAGCCTGCTGAGTGGCGCCTGGCATTCGGTGGGCGAGGCGCTATTTCCTGAATGACTGTGTCCATTTAGAGCCACGTGTCTCGGCGAGTGGCCCATGGACGGATGCATGGCCGAGCCAGAGTGCCTGCTCGTGTGCCAGCTCCCGGACCCTGCCAGAGGGCCCCCAGTTGGGATTCTACCCACTCGAGAGGATGCGGGTGGAGGGAGGCTGAGCACCCAGCAGGGTGGCAGGAAACAGCACTCTCGGTTTACTTTTCTCACCAGCCCTGGTGGGAGGGAGCTGTGGCTCAGAGAGGGCCAGGCGTGCGCCCAGGGCCATGGCCAGGGGCAAGGGGCAGAGGTAGGGGCAGCCAGGGCTGAGGGACTCTGAATGCTGTCTACGCTGCATACTACGTGCTCTACCCAGCATCTCCAGGCAGCCAGGGCCAGCGGATCCAAGTCCCCGTCTACACTACACGCTGCACACTCTACCCAGCATCATCTTGGCCTTGAGGTCAGAAATTCTGTCATCCCAGGAATCCTTGGATTTTGTGTGTTGCTCTCTGTGACTATGACAGGGGAGTAAAACCACTGTCCCCTTCACGGTCCTGACCCCTTGTCAACCAGGTCCCCCGAGTCATTCAGCACCCCTCTCTGCTGCTGCCCAGTCTAGTGGGAAGGAGGAGCCAGCCACAGATCTGGCGCTCCCACCCTGTGAGGTCCAAGCTGGCACGGGGCAGGCTGGGGTGCTTCTATGGGAATCAGGGCAGGCTTCCCAGTGGAGGTGATGCCGGAGCCAGGCCTTGGGGGGCGGACTGGCATCTGCCCCACGGACACACAGGAAGGGCTTTTTGCCATGAGGAACAGCCTGTGCAAAGATGTGGGATTGGGGAAGGGTCACAGGAGTTGGAGGACCTGGAGATGTGGATGGGAGCAGGGGATGCTGTTGTGGGAGGGGTCCTGACTAAAGCTGGGGACACGTGGCAGCCCCCCAGAAGCGGACCTCCAGTGGAGTCCCCACTGGCAGCCTTGAAGCTGTGGGGAGCAGCCACTCTTGGTGTTCCCCACAGTGATCTTGGGGGAATCATCCACTCTAGAAGCTACGAGCCCACAGGAGCCCTCAGAACTCACTAGGGCAACATCCAGAAGAGCCCATGCACATCTCATATCTGCAGAGAGAGCCCCAGGTGCACTGAGTCCCTGCACAAAGCCGGACTGGTCCCCACTCAGGAGCTTAGGCCCCTAAAGGACCTTCCCACTGCTAGAATGTTTTTTTGTCTTTTTTTTTTTTGAGGTGGAGTGTTGCTTTTTTGCCCAGGCTGGAGTGCAATGATGCGATCTCAGCTCACTGCAACCTCCGCCTCCCGGGTTCAAGCGATTCTCCTACCTCAGCCTCCTGAGTAGCTGGGATTATAGGTGCCTGCCACCATGCCCAGCTAGTTTGTTTTGTGTGTGTGTGTGTGTGTGTGTGTGTGTGTGTGTGTGTGTGTGTTGTCTTTTTTTTTTTTGTATTTTTAGTAGAGATGGGGTTTCACCATGTTGGCCAGGCTGGTCTCGAACTCCAGACCTCAGGTGATTCACCTGCCTCAGCCTCCCAAAGTGCTGGGATTACAGGTGTAAGCCACTACACATGGCCTTTTTCTTTTTTTCTTTTCTTTTCGTTTTTTTTGAGACAGGGCCTCACTCTGTTGCCCAGGCTGGAGTGCAGTGATGCGATCGCGGCTCACTGCAGCCTCTACCTCCCTGTTTCAAGTGATCCTCCCACCTCAGCCTCCCGAGTATCTAGGATTACAGGTGCACGCCACCAGGCCCGGCGATTTTTTGTATTTTTTCTGTGGATGGGGTCTCACCATGTGGCGCAGGCTGGTCTCAAATGCTGGGATTTTCTGATGAATCTTAGAGTAGGTCCTCCTTGTCTTTACAAGTGCGTTCTTGAATTTCTACATATTTCTTAAGTTTGCCAAATTCCTCTCTGTTTCTTATTTCTCACTTCATTCCATTGTGGTCAGAGGACATACTTTATAGAATTGCGATCCTTTTCAATGCACTGGATTTATTCTTTGGCCTCTCCCAGGGAATGTTCCTTGCACCCTCAAGAAGAAAGTGTGTCCTGCTGTTGTGTGGAGTGTCCTATAGCTGCTTGTTAGGTCTCATGGATTTATAAACTCCCCATGTTTAAAGAAAAAGGAGGGGGGATGGCGGGGAGAGAAAAAACAAAATGGCTTGCAATGACAAACCATTGACAAAATGTCAATTTTGTGGCAATTGACAAAATGTCAATGCAATGTTCTGTTTACATCGTTCTAGATGATATTATTTATTTACTTATTTTGAGACAGGGACTCACTCTGTCACCCAGGCTGGAGTGCAGTGGCGTGATCGTGGCTCATTGCAACCTCCATCTCCTGGGTTCAAGTGATTCTCATACCTCAGCCACCCGAGTAGCTGGGACTATACCTGCACACCACCGCGCCCGGCTTAATTTTTTTTTTTTGTATTTTTAGTAGAGACAGGGTTTCACCATGTTGGCCAGGCTGGTCTCGAACTCCTGGCCTCAAGTGATCTGCTCACCTTGGTCTCCCAAAGTGCTAGAATTACAGGCATGAGCTACCTTGCTTTTTTTATTTAATTAAATTAAATTAATTTTTATAACATTTATAATTTTATAATAAATTATAAAAATAATTATTTATTTATTAGAGGCAGGGTCTTGCTCTATCACCCATATCAGAGTGCAGTGGCACAATCATAGCTCACTGCAGCCTCAAACTCCTGGGCCCAAGTGATCTTCCCACCTCAGCCTCCTGAGTAGTTGGGACTATAGATGCATGCTACCATGCCTGCTACCACGCTCTTTTTTTAAGAGATGGGGTCTTGCTATGTTCCCCAGGCTGGTCTCAAACTCCCAGCCTCAAGTGGTCCTCCCACCTCAGCCTCCCAAAGTGCTGGGATTACAGGTATGAGCCAGCACACCTGGCTGTTCTAGGTTAAAACGGGGTCAAATCCTGGCAAGCCATGTCCCTGGTAGGAACCCCACCTGAGGGACCAGCTCCTCCTGTGGGATTTGCGTTTGTGGCTCAGGAAGACCCCAAGACCCATGTAGGTCGGTTGGCGTCTGTCTGCCGGAGGATTTGGATACCCGGGCCTCAGTTTCCCCACCCTGCAGAGTGAGGGCTTTTCAGTTTAGTCGCCGGCCTAAGAGTCTCTGGGTCTGGTGTGCAGGAGTCTGTGTCCCCTCCGGAGGAGGCTGTCTTGAGATGGCCGGGGCCTAGGTGGGGAGGGGAGCTGGCTGCGCAGAGCTGGCTGCGCAGAGCAGGCTGTGGGCTGAGCAGGCGGCGGGTGTGCCGGGTGTGAGCGGCACCTCCACCTCAGGCCCGTCCATCTCCCTGACAGCCTCTGCCTCTCTGCACAACCCAAGCTGCTGCAAAACCCCGATTTCCGGGCGGCCCCCAAGGCCAGGGCACCGGCCGTGCTCCCACTGCTCTGCGCTGTTACCCCCATTTCAAAGAAGAGGAAATCGAGGCCCAGAATGTTGCAGGCTGAGGCGACAGATGCCGGCTGGTGTGAATCTGAGCTCTCAGGGAGGCTCGCAGACGATGCTCAGCCTGGGTCAATGGCTCTTAGGCGAGCTGCTAAGGAAAGAAAAACTCTTTTGAGCGTTATCAGCAGCCACGAATAAAGTTTAAAAAAGGATACCCAGGCCAGGCGCGTTGGCTGACGCCTGTAATCTCAGCACTTTGGGAGGCCGAGGCAGGAGGATCGCTTGAGGTCAGGAGTTCGAGACCAGCCTGGCCAACATGGTGAAACGTCGTCTCTACTAAAAATACAAAAATTAGCTGGGTGAGGTGGTGCACGCCTGTAATCCCAGTTACTTGGGAGGCTGAGGCAGGAGAATCACTTGAACCCGGGAGGCAGAGGGTGCAGTGAGCTGAGACTGCACCACTGCACTGCAGGCTGGGCGAGAGAGTGAGACTCTGTCTCAAAAAATACTAACAGTAAAAAGTAAAAAAGGGTATCCAGCCATTCCACTGTTAGGGACACAGCCCCAAAAAACTGATAGCAGGGGCTGGAATGGGTATTTGCACACTCATGTTCATAGCAGCCAAGGGGTGGAAATGACCAAGTGTTCATCAAGGAATGAATGGACATACAAAATGTGGTCCTTCCACACAATGGAATATTACTGAGTCATAAAAAGGAAGGAAATTCTGACACACACTACCACGTGGATGAATCTTGAAGACATTATGCTGAGTGAAATAAACTACAGGAAAGGACAGATACTGTATGATTCCACTCCTAGGAGGTCCTCAGAGTGCTCAAATTTGTAGAGACAGAAGGAAGAAGGGTGGGGGCCAGTGGCTGGGGAGGGAGAATGGGAAGTGAGTGTTTAATGGGATCAAAGTTTCAGTTTGGGAAGAAGGGAAAAGCTCTGGAGATGGGTGGTGGTGAAGGTGGCACAATGCTGTGAATGCTGCTGAACTGAACACTTAAAAATAACCAATTTTGTGCTGGGTGTGGTGGCTCACGCCTGTATTCCTAGCACTTTGGGAGGCCAAGGGGGGCGGATCACCTGAGGTCAGGAGTTTGAGACCATTGGCCAACATGGTGAAACCCCGTCTCTACTGAAAATATAAAAATTAGCCGGCTGTGCTGGCGTGCGCCTGTAATCCCAGCTACTCGGGAGGCTGAGGCAGGAGAATCACTTGAGGTGGGAGGTTGCAGTGAACCGAGATCGTGCCACTGCACTCCAGCCTGGGTGACAGAGCAAGACTCTGTCACAAAAAAAAAAAAAGTGAATTTTAGCCAGGCACAATGTCTCACTCTTGTAATCCCAGCATTTTGGGAGGCCAAGGTGGATGGTTCATTTGAGCCCAGGAGTTTGCGACCAGCCTGGGTAACACAGTGAGACTCAGGCTCTACAAAAAATAGAAAAATTAGCCAGGCGTAGTAGCACACTCCTATAGTCCCAGCTGCTCTGGAGGCTGAGGCGGGAGGATCACGTGAGCCTGAGGAGGTCGAGGCTGCAGTGAGCTGTGATCGCACCACTGCACTCCAGCCTGGGCAACAGAGTGAGACCCTGTCTCAAACAAAACAAAACAAAAACAGTCAATTTTATGTTATGTATATTTAATCACAATAAAGAGAAAGAATGAAAGAAAGAAAATATGGGATGAGAGAGAAAAGAACACGGTGATGGGGCAGATCAAATCACGCTGGAGAAAGAGCTCAGGCTACGAGCAGAGGGTTGGTGAGGCCCCTGTCTCCAGCCTCCTGGGCTCAGTATCCCTTCTAGAACTATAGAGATGACTTCCCTAACTGGCATCAGCTTGGGCCTGTTCTCTGCACTCAGGGGAGCCCCCAGTAAGAACCAGCCCGAGAGGCTGATGCAGGAGGATTGCTTGAACCCAGGGGTTCGAGGCTGCAGTTAGCTGTGATCGCACCACTGCACTCCAGCCTGGGCAACAGAGCGAGACCTTATCCCAAAAAACAAACACAAAAACCACTGGGTCATATGGATATACCACACTTTTATTGATTCATGAGTTGATGGGTATTTGGGCTGTTTCCACCGTCTGGCGCATGTAAATGGTGCTGCCTCGAACACGTGTGTGCAAGTATCTGTTTGTGTCCCGGTTTTTATTTCTCTTGGGACTATACCTAGGAATGGAATCACTGGGACCTATGGCAATTCCATGTTTAGCATTTTTTTTTTTTTTTTGAAACAGAGTCTTGCTCTGTTGCCCAGGCCGGAGTGCAGTGGTGCAATCTCGGCTCACTGTAACCTCTGCCTCCTGGGTTCAGGTGATTCTCCTGCCTTAGCCTCCCGAGTACCTGGGATTACAGGTGTGCACCACCACGCCCGGCTAATTTCTGTATTTTTTTTTTTTTTTTAGTAGAGATGGGGTTTCACCATGTTGGCCAGGCTGATCTTGAACTTCTGACCTCCAGTAATCCACCTGCCTTGGCCTCCCAAAGTGCTGGGATTACATGCGTGAGCCATGGTGTCTGGCCCCCAGGCTCGTCTTAACTTATTATTATTTTTTTTTTGAGATGGAGTCTTCCTCTGTCGCCCAGGCTAGTGTGCAATGGTGTGATCTCGGCTCACTGCAACCTCCGCCTCCCGGGTTCATGCAATTCTCCTGCCTCAGCCTCCCAAGTAGCTGGGATCACAGGTGCCCACCACTACTCCAAGCTAATTTTTGTATTTTTAGTAGAGACGAGGTTTCACCATGTTGGCCAGGCTGGTCTCGAACTCCTGACCTCAAATGATCCACCTGCCTTGACCTCCCAAAGTGCTGGGATTACAGGCGTGAGCCACTGTGCCCGGCCTCCTCCTAACTTCTTATAGGGCACCTCAGGGAACCCTATTCACCCAGCCTCTTCCCGACCCCTTGTCCCTCCCTGTCTGGGATATTCCTGGCAAATGGGCTTCTCAGTTCCTTTTAGACAAAAGCCTAGAAGGAACTCAGCAGGGCTTCCAGGAACCCCTAGAACCTGTGTGTGGAGGGAAACAGGGCAAACCTGATGCATTGGTGCATTCAGATGTTTCTAGGCACAGGAGGAGTTGCGGTGGCCAGGCCAGGCAGACCTGGGTTGAAGCCTCAGCTCTGCCACCTGCACCAGGTCCCCCAGCTAACCTTCCCCTCTCTGAACCCCACTTTCCACCTCTAGAAAATGGGGGTGCTTAGGCAACCCTCAGGCTTGTGGGGAGGTTGAAAGAGATAATTTGTTGAAGGTGCCCAGAATGAAAGCACCCAAGCTCGAGTCACAGGGTCCACCGTTAGCACAAAGTTAGGTCATGCGACAAACATTTTGGCACTGACTCTGGGCAAGGCCCAGAGGCTACGTCACTTTTTTTTTTTTTTTTTTTGAGACAGAGTCTCGCTCTGTCTCTCAGGCTGGAGTGCAGTGGTGTGATCTCAGCTCACTGAAACCTCTGCCTCCCGGGTTCAAGCAATTCTCGTCCCTCAGCTTCCCGAGTAGCTGGGATTATAGGCGCCTGCCACCATACCCAGCTAATTTTTGTGTTTTTAGTAGAGACGGGGTCTCACCATGTTGGCCAGGCTGGTCTCGAACTCCTGACCTCAGGTGATCCACCTGCCTCGGCCTCCCAAAGTGCTGGGATTACAGGTGTGAACCATTGCGCCCGGCCAGAGTCACTCCTGAGATTCTGAGTCATATCTGCTTGCCATACAGAGCATCTGCTGAATGAACAGGTGAATGAATGAATGAATGAGCGAAGAGGGTTGTGGGGAGAGGGAGAGAGAGGGAGGAAGGGGCCTTAAAATTCAGGCACACCAGCTTTATCAGAGGACACTCACTGTGCTGGCCACACCCCAGGGGTGGGCTCTGAGCTTTAGTGTCTCATTTCATTTTCACAGCAGCAAACTCATTTTCCACCCAAGGAAACTGAGGCACAGGCAGGCAAAGTCGCACGGCTGATCTGAGGGTTTCTTTCTTTTTTTTTTTGAGATGGACTCTCCCTATGTCACCCAGGCGCCATCTCAGCTCAGTGCAACCTCCGCCTCCCAGGTTCCAGTGATTCTCCTGACTCAGCCTCCCAAGTAGCTGAGATGACAGAGATTATAGGCGCCTGCCACCACACCCAGCTAATTTTTTTTTTTTTTAAGTAGAGACAGGGTTTCACCATATTGGCCAGGCTGGCCTCGAACTCCTGAGCTCAAGTGATCCACCCGCCTTGCCCTCCCAAAGTGCTGGAATTACAGGTGTGAGCCCCCGGGTCTGGCCAGGGGACGGGTGTTAATTGGCATTGAGTCGGTGAAGGCCAGAGATGCTGTTGAACACTGCAGTGCACAGGGTGGCCCCGCACTGGAGAATGATTCAGCTCCAAATGTCTTTTGTTTTTTCTCTCTTCTCTCTCTCTTCCCCCGCCCCCCACCCACCCAGAAACAGGGTCTCTCTATGTTGCCCAGGCTGGTCTCAAACTCCTTGGCTCAAGAGATCCCCACACCTCGGCCTCCCAAAGTGCTGGGATTACAGGCATGAGCCACCGCTGTGCCCAGCTCCAAGGCTGATGCTCGCTGGTCTGGCACAGCTGACACAGCTCAGGCCGGGGCAATCGGAGCCACCCAGCCCTGGCACCTGACAAATCAGCTTGAGCCTATGGTCCTGGGACTCCACCTGGGGCTGCCGGGCGTGGGTGCTGACTCAACCGTGTTGACAGGGCTGGGTGCTGAGTCAGGGGTGAGCCTATAGACATCTTGCCCTCTGACAACGCCCCCTTCCTCCTCCCACTTCACACCACATCATTCTGCAGCCTGCCTGGGTGCTGGGGCCCCCAGAACTACAGGAAGTGCCTAGCAGAAAAATAGCTCCTACATCTCTCCCCAGCACCATGCCAATAAGCCCCTCAAAACTGTCACCTCTCCCCCACCCCCTGCCATAGCTGGGCTTGGTGGTCTGCATCTTTAATCCCAGCATTTTGAGAGGCTGAGGCGGGAGGATTGCTTGAGCCCAGGAGGGGCAATATAGTGAGATCCCCTCTGTACAAAAAAATGTAAAAATTAGCTGGGCATGGTGATGCATGCCTGTAATCCCAGCTACTCGGGAGGCTGAGGCAGGAGGATTGCTTGAACCCAGGAGGTCAAGATTGTAGTGATTGTGCCACTGCACTCCAGCCTGGGTGACAGATGAGACCCTATCTCAAACCAAACAAAATAAAACCTTCACCCTTTTCAACCCTTTTACCCACAGTGCTTGTTTCCATAAATAACTCCTGCCATATCTAAAAGGAATATTATGCAGCCATGAAAATGACAATACAAATGTATAACTGGGGGAAAAAACAGCATCGACAAATGATTATAACTTTGCCTGGGGAAAAGAAAGAATATAGCGAAAATCACAGCCATGAAAAGTAATTCAGCCAGTGACCACAAATCTCCTGCTCTAAAAAGAGAGAGAGAGAGAGAGAGTTTGGGTGCGGTGGCTCACTCCTGTAATCCCAGCACTTTGGGAGGCTGAGGTGGGTGGATCACCTGAGGTCAGGAGTTCGAGACCAGCCTGGCCAACATGGCGAAACCCCATCTTTACTAAAAATCCAAAAATTAGTTGGGCTTGGTGGCGCGCGCCTGTAATACCAGCTACTAGGAGGTGCTGAGGTAGGAGAATTACTTGAACCCAGGAGGCAGAAGTTGCAGTGAGCTGAGATTGTGCCACTGTACTCTAGCCTGGGCAACAGAGCGAGACTGTCTCCAAAAAAAAAGAAAGAAAGAAAGAAAGAAAGAAAGAAAGAAAGAAAAACTTGCATTGGGATTGGGTTGTAGAATCCTAGGTGAAGATGGCCCCAGGGTGAGGTTTTCTTTGTACCTTTTTCTGGGTGGCATTTGCCACCAAAGCTTGCTTCGTGGCACAGAGTCACCTTCTTGCTGATAAGAGCAATGATCTTTTAGGAACCAGAGGCGATGTCTCAACCTCAGCACTGCTGACATTCAGAGCTGGGCTATTCTCTGTGGTGGGGGCTGTCTGTACACTGCAGAATGCTTAGCAACATCACCCACCTCTGTCCACCAGATGCCAGCAGCACCCCCGAGTTGACAACCAAAAATGTTCCCAGACTGGGTCACTCTCCACTGAGCATCACAGATGCAGAAGATCATGGAAATTGGCATTTGAGTGTCAGAAAGGGGCAGAAAAAAATGATGATGGGATATTTCTGGATTAGTCGGTATGACCTAGCGCTGCCTGAGTTGGTGTCTCTTACTGAAACGTACAACTATCACACTTTCTATTCTGTCTGTTCTCCAACAGAACATACACGCAAGAAACAGAAACAGCTTCAGCCCCGTGAACGATTTGCCTTTCACTGGACTCAGAAGCTTCCAGGAGAAACCTGGAAGACATTTTCAAATAAGCAAGAAAAATAGCTTGATCACTAAGTTTAAGCTGAACAGGGAAACCTGGAGACCCTTAATATTGTTTTAAACCACCCGCGAGTCCTTCTTCTGCCCCTGCACTGCAGAGGCCAGCTTTTAAAAAGGGGGATCATCTCCCCAGGTCGAGGGGCCAACATTCTGTCTTGGGACGGTTTTTGCAGAAGCTGCACGCAGAGGGTACAGGAGGCTCAAAAACATTCACACCCTTCATCAGCAGCGGAAGTGAGGCCAGGCTATTTACTCTCGGAAAATGAATCAGATTGTCAAATCGTATTTCTGCTTTTCGTGGATTACCAAACACCTCTCAGCTGTTTCCAGGGCTGCCGTAGTTGGGGAGGAGGAAGGATGCAGGGAGGGAGGAAATCCCAGCCTCTGTCGCAACGGGGTGAGAGTGTTTTAAAGCAGGCGCTGCTTACGAGCTATTTTCACTTTCTGGAAACTTGTGCAATGGTTGGTGGTCATGGTTACCCGGGGCCCCTGAGAATGGGGAAGGTGAGGGGTGGCAGGTGAAATCTGGGGGGAGAGATACCTCCTTGCCTGAGACACTTGGGGTGGTGGGATTTAGGGGTCTCCTCTGCTCTCCAGGTGGGTTTCCAGACTGGTCACCTCCTACCATTGAGGCAGTGAATTTTTTGCACCAGGAGACCTACAGGGGAGGAGGCTCTCCTAGCCTTCCAATGCACACAACAGGTGGGTCATTGTAGAAAGCTACCACTCCCTTCCAGTGGGGTTCAGGGACCCTTGGAGGCAGACAGAGCAGGCTAACAACCCAACTCCACCACCCTGCCGCTACCTCTCCGGGCCTCCGTTTCCTCATCTGGAAAAGAGCTTCATGCATGGCCCTCGAATGCAGGTTTCACTGTTTTCCGCTAGCAGAATGGGGAACTCACCCCTTAAGAAAAGACTTGCTAAATGTCGAGACGAGTAAAGGGCAGAACATGCCAGAAACTCAGCAGGTTAACCCCCTTTAAAAATAAAAATAAAAATATAGAGCTGGCACTCCAGAAATTTGGCTAAAACCTCAGAGGCTTCCAGGAAGAGGTAAGTAGTTTTATTTTTTTCAACGTAGAGGAGGCCACGTCAGTGGGACCAGCACTTTCCCCAGCTGTGGGGCAAAGAGGCAATTTATGGCTCAAAGAACAACCTTAAAATAACCCTCCCTCAGTCCTAAAATGCAGTGTCTAAATTTACAGAAAAACCCACAGGTTCCTGGCAGGCAGGCACAGCAGCTGGCAGTCCCGGTGCTGGCAGACGCAGGACCCACTGCACACGATGCTTTAGTGGGGCTGCCCTCCATCAAACTCTCCGCTCCCCCCTCCTCCCAAGTGCCCCAAGGCCCCAGTTCCAAGCAACCAGACCAGTGCTGTGATTTTTTTTAAAAGATGCAAAACTTTTTAATTAAAAAAAAAACCAACCCAGCAAAATCTTATAAAAACGAACCAGGTAGCCCAAAAATGCCCACCTGTCTCTCTATGTACAGTAATACAATATTTGTCAGTCACTATATACAATATTATAAAAAATGCCGCAGACAGTACAAATTAAGGCCCTTATTTCTCACAAGGCATCACAAGCCTCGATCCTCTAGTGTAGACCCGGTGGGAGAGAAGATGCCACTTAAATTATTGCACCATTTTGAAAAACAAAACTCGTCAAGGAGGATCGTGGTCTTTTCCCACCGGGCCTTCAGTCACAGACGGGGGCTGGGGTGGTGGCGTCGTCGTCGTCGTCATCGAGGGAGACCCTCTGTAGCCACGCTGTGCCCGGCCCGGTTCTCTGGGTCCAATAAATACCAGTCACAGTTTGGGAGGGGGCCGCGCCCGGCGCGTGGGACCCGCCACGGCCGCGCGCAGGTGGGCGGGGGCGTCCCGGCTACATGTGCCGTTTCATGTGCAGCGCCAGGTGATCGGAGCGCGAGAAGGCACGATCGCACAGATGGCACTGGAATGGCCGGTGGCCCGTGTGCTTTCGGTAGTGGCGCGTGAGCTCGTCTGAGCGCGCAAACTTCCAGCCGCAGCCGTCCCAGTTGCAGTGGTAGGGCTTCTCACCTGCAGGGAGGGGGCGAGAGTAAGCGTCAGTTCCCCTCCCAGGACAGGGCACGTATGGCTACCCCGGCGAGCGCAACCTATCCCTAACCAGGGCCTTGACGCGCTCCCCGCGGTAGTGTTGCGCCCCTGAGGGATCCTTGCCCTACATCCCCAACTCCCCCCACAATCCGGATCCTCACCCCCAGGGGGTCGGAGGAGCGCAAGGTCCACTCCCCACTGTTGTCAGCCACGCTCCCCGACGGGTCCTAAGCATGCACCCTCTCTCCAGCATTCTAAGACACGGAATCTCTCAAGGTTTCCCAGCGAACACTCCCTCCCCAAGGTCCTGAGCCTTGTCCCCAGAGGAGTCCCAAGCCTGAGCGCCCTCCCCAACTTCCTGAGACGCAGCATCTCCCCGGGGTTCCTAAACGCGCACCTACTCCCCAACTACCTGAGCCTCAGCCCCGGGGATTCTGAGCCAAGTGCCCAGCGGCTCCTAAACCTGCTCCCCCTCCCCAACTTTCTGAGACTGTCTCCCTAGCCACGCCTCCAGGAGGTTTTCTAAGTGCTCTTCCCAACCTCCGGAGGCCCCCCTCGTCCTAAGCGTGCAAGCCCCCACCCCAACCTCTCGGATCACACTTCCTTAGGGAGTGTTCCTGTGTGCCCCCCCAACCAACCTCCCGAGCCACGCCTCCTGGGGAGTCCTAAGCGTGCACCACCTGCCAGATCCCCCTGAGCCACGCCCCAAGGGAGGTCCTAAATTCATTTTCTGGCGCGCGCTGGGAATCCGACCTCTCCTCCCGCGTCCCCCCGCCTGCGCTCCTGGCTCGTGCGTGCCGCCCACCTGTGTGCGTGCGCAGATGCGCCTTCAGATGCGAACTCTTGGTGTAGGTCTTGCCGCAGCCCGCGTAGCTGCAGGTGTGAGTGGCGGTGCGTTTGCGGGGCCAAGAGCGGCGGCCGCGCTTTGGCTTGGCCTCCAGCAGCTCCAGCGGGGACGCAGGCGGCGTGAGGAGACCGCGGGCGGCGGGGGGCGCCAGGCCCAGGGCTGCCGCGGCGGCGGCCGCGTCGTCGAAGAGACCGAAGGCTGGGGGCGCAGGCGGCGCGTAATGCAGGCCGGGCCCGGGCGCGCCGAAACCAGGGCCACCGAAAGGCGGCGGGAAGGAGGCGCGCGGACCGGGCGCGGGCAGGCGCGCGGGGCCGTCGGGGCTGAGCGGCGGTGTGTCGGGCGGCGGCGGGGGGCGGCCCCCGGGACCTCGCATGCACGAAGCCGCCGGGCCCGGGGCGCCCTCGCGCTTGAGGCCGCGCGGTCCACGGGTCAGCCCGGGGGCGCAGCCGTAGCCGCCGCCGCCGTCCGCTTCAGGGGGCTCGGCCTTGACCAGGCGGCCGGGCGGCGCCAGCAGAAAGCGGCCGTGCAGTGCGGGCCCCAGCGGCGCATCCAGCTCGGGTCGCAGCAGCTCAGACACCAGGCCACCCGCGGGGGCGCTGTAGGGCGGGGGCGCGCCGGGTTCGGGGTAATAGAACGCAGGCGGCGGGGGCGGCGGCGGCGGCTCCGGGGCGGCCTCGGCGCCCAGGCCATCCAGCCCCATGGACAGGATGAAGTCCAGCACGCTGTTGAGGTCGTCGTCGGTGCCGCCGGACTCGGGTTCGGCGCGCGGCCAGCGCTGCGGGCGACAGGGCAATGGGCGTGAGCGGGCGGCGGGGCTCGGGGGGCGCTGCTTGCCTTTTACCACCCTAAGTCCGCGATCCCCGTGGCCCGCATCCTCCTCTCCTGAGTCTGCAGTCCCCGCCTTCGCGTCCTGTCACCCCGCAGCCCACGTTCTACTACCCCGAGCCCGCCGCCCACGGTCCCGGCCGCCCCGCCGTCCCCGCCGCCCTCACCTCCTGCAGGCCGCGCTCGCGGCACGGGCTGGCGAAAGTGGAGAAGGACGGCAGGATGGGTTCACTCAGCGCCATGGCCGGGACCCGGGGAGAAAGGACGCGGACGGGGACACCGGTGAGTGGCTGCCCGAGGCCGGGCTGGTCGGGGCGCGGGCGGGCGGGGACGGCTCTGTGGGCCGCGGCCGGGCCCGCCCAAGCCTTATAGGCGCGGCGCGCGCGGGGGCCGGGCCAAAGCGGCGGCGGCGGAAACGCGTCCCGGATGGGGACGAGCTCCGGGCGCAGCCTAAATTTAGCCGCGGTATATAAGCCGGCGGGCGGCAGCGGCCGTGGCCACTGCGGCGGCCTGGGCCTTGCGCTGACAGCCCGGCCCCTCGCGCGCCGCCAGGGCCGCGCCTCCCCCTCTCCCGGGCCCCGCCCCCGCCCGTCTCCCCGGCGACGTTGTCAACACGCGCTCCACAACAGCGGCGTGACGCTCAGGGATCCCCCGGGCGCCCCGGGCTCCCGCCTGCGCGAGCATCCCGGGGACCTGGAGCGGGGGCGGTGTCGGGGCCTCTCAGAGACTCTCAGGGGAGCACCGGGCTTGGCGGTCTCCCCGGATCCCTTGACGGAAGGGGAGATTGGCTCCAGCCTCAGAGAGGGCTGCAGAACCCTGGATGGATGGGAAGTCTGGAGTCTCCAGGATTCATGGATGGGTGAGGCTGGGCCCCTCATCTGTTGTGGGACCACCCAGAGGGACCCACCGTGTGCACATCACCCTGTAAAAAAAAACACCTTGTGTAGACCTGGTGCAGTGGGTCACATCTGTAATCCCACCGCTTTGGGAGGCTGAGACAGGAGGATCACTCGAGGCCAGGAGTTCAAGACCAGCCTGGGCAACACAGTGGCCCCCATCTCTTAAAAAATAAAAAAAATTAGCTGGGTGTAGTGGGAGGCTGAGGTGGGAGGATCGCTTGAGCCCAGGAGGTCGAGGCTGCAGTGAGATACAATCACACCACTACACTCCAGCCTGGGTGACAGAGGAGACTGTCTCAAAAAAACAAACAAAACAAAACTTTTGTGTGGTAACATCAAGACACATTAAATCTTTGACATTTGAGACACCCACCCCCTCCTCCCCAACCTCAATAAGCCCGTCAAGTGCAGGGAAACTGAGGCAGAGGTGGCTGGGAGAAGTTGGAGTTGCGGCAGGCACAGGCAGGCTGGGTTCCTTTACTGACTTCCATAAATGAATTAAGTAACTCAGAGGACGGTGATGACAGTCATTCCCCCAATACAGCTCCAGCATCGGGGGCATCAGAGGACAATGCTGCCCAATGGGTCCCTTCAATGCTCCACCTCTGTCCCCCACACCATATCCCTGCTGGCCAGGGACTGTCACTCCTGTTACAACTGTCTGCCAGCCCTGGGTAGGCACTGGGGACACAGTAACCAAGAGATAGACAAGATCCCTGCCCTAGGGGACCTCCACTTTAGTGAAGGAGGGAAGGATAGAGGTTTATTCATTTGAGTTTTTTTGAGACAGGGTCTCCCTCTGTTGCCCAGTCTGGAGTGTAGTAGTGCAATCACAGCTCACTGCAGCCTCGAACTCCTGCGCTCAAGAGATCCTCCTGCCTTAGCCTCCCAAGTAGCTGGGATTACAAGGTGCACACCACCATGCCTGGCTAAATTTTTTTTTTTGTATTTTTTTGTAGAGACGGGGTCTCACTATGTTGCCCAGGCTGGTCTTGAAGTCCTGGGCTCAGGCGATCCACCCGCCTCGGCCTCCCAAAGTGCTGGGATTACAGGTGTGAGCCATTGCGCCTGGCCTTACTGATAGGGGTTTAAAAAGAAAAATGGAGCAGTAGAAGGGACTAGAAAGTGAGTGTGAGATGAGGGAGTGGGAAGGAGAAAATGGGGAAATTCTGAATCTCACCCAGGGGGTGAAATGTGAGCTAATGTGAAAAAGTCATTGGGGACCATGTGGGTATGGGAGGAAGAGCATCCCAAGGAGGAACTTGGAGCCAGGTGGTGAGGGATGCAGGCAGCTCCTGCCCTGGAAGCTTGGACTCTCAGCCTCTGCAGAAATGCACTCTGCAGGGTCCCCTCTGCAGCCCCCACCAAACCCAGTCACCGGAGACTTCAAGTTGAATACAAACTTGCTTTCTGCAGTTGCCACTGAAATGGCTGCGAGTCAGCCTCAGCCACTGAGCACGCGCTGTGTGACCTTGAACCAGTGGCTTTGGCTGTTTGGGCTTGCCTCCTCAATCTTCGAAATGCAGATAAGAATAGTACCTTACCCCAAATGGCTATTGTGAGTTCACACAGGCTCTTTTCTTTGTTGTGGAAGTAGGTGACATCTTGTGTGACACTGAATTCTCTACCAGCGCTTGGGAGATGGGCCTGCTTGTGTGCTTTGGGAATTGAATTGCCTTTCTCTGGGCCTCAGTTTCCCCGTATGATAATGATGGAAAGATTAAGGGAATCAGGAATTTCTCCTCAAGGATATGGGATGCCTGGGCAGCTGCCGGGAAGGGTTTTTGTTTGTTTGTTCCTTTGCTTTGGCCAAGACCGTCGGCTGGGCGCAGTGGCTCACACCTGTAATCCCAGCACTTTGGAAGGCTGAGGCGGGCAGATCACTTGCGGTTAGAAGTTGGAGACTAGCCTGGTCAACACGGTGAAACCCTGTCTCTACTAAAAATACAAAAATTAGCCGGGCGTGGTGGCGTGTGCCTATAATCCCAGCTACTGAAGAGGCTAGAATCGCTTGAACTTGGGAGGTGGAGGTTGCAGTGAGCCGAGACCGTGCCACTGCACTCCAGCCTGGGTGACAGGGTGACAGAGTAAGACTCTGTCTAATTAAAAGAAAAAAAAAAAAAAAAAGACCTCTGACCACAGCATCCCTCTAGTTTGTCAGAGAGCACCTTGGTCCCCTGGGCCTCTGAGCCTTGCTCACTGGCACCTGCAGCTTGTCTGAGGTACCTCTCTGCCTTCCTCCTCTCTCACTGTCTCTGTTTGGGTCCTGAAACACACCAAGCACATTCCCCTCTGCGCTCACTGCGCCCCCGACCAGCGTTCCTTTCTTTCCATTTCCAATTGTGAAGCTCCGTCGTCTCTGCCTGTCTCTCTCTCTCTCTTTTTTTTCAACCTCCCTTAACTAACGTACTTTATTTATTTGTTTATTTTTGAGACAGAGTCTTGCTCTGTTGCCCAGGCTGGAATGCAGTGGCTCAATCTTGGCTCACTGCAGCTTCCGCCTCCCGGGTTCCAGGGATTCTCCTGCCTCAGCCTCCTAGGTAGCTGGGATTACAGGCACCCGCCACCATGCCCAGCTAATTTTTGTTTGTTTGTTTGTTTTGTTTTAGTAGAGACAGAGTTTCACCATGTTGGCCAGGCTGGTCTCAAACTCCTGACCTCAAGTGATCCGCCCGCCTTGGCCTCCCAAAGTGCTGGGATTTGGGAGGCGTGACTCACAGCGCCTGGTCTGGACTTTTATTTTCTACAGCAGTTTTAGGTTTACAGAAAAATTGAGCACGAAGTACACGGCGTTCCCAGGTAGCACCCCTCGCACCACCCCAACCTTTCTCCTATTATCATCTTGCATTAGTGTGGTGCATTTGTGACAATTACTGAGCAGAGAGGAATATATTGTTATTAACTAATAATAATAATAATCCATAGTTTATTTATTTATTTATCTTGACACAGGGTCTTGCTCTGTCATCCAGGCTGGAGTGCAGTGACGCGGTCATGGCTCACTGTAGCCTCAAACTCCTAGGCTCAAGCCATCCTCCCAGCTCAGCCTCCCAAGCAGCTGGGACTACAGATGTGCACCATTATGCCTGGCTGATTTTTGTTTGTAGAGACAGGGTCTTGCCATGAGTAATTCAATCCATGAGTAATGGGTTAAATAGTGGCCCCACAAAGAAATGTCTGAGTCTCAATCCCTGGCACCTGTGACTATGACCTTATTTAGAAAGAGTTTCTTTGGCTGGGCACAGTGGCTCACGCCTGTAATCCAAGCACTTTGGGAGGCCGAGGCAGGTGGATCACCTGAGGTCAGGTGTTCAAGACCAGCCTGGCTAACATGGAAACCCCGTCTCTACTAAAAATATAAAATTAGCCAGGCACGGTGGCTTGCGCCTGTAGTCCCAGCTACTTGGGAGGCTGAGGCAGGAGAATCACTTGAATCCGAGAGGTGGAGGTTGCAGTGAGCCGAGATCGCACCCTTGCACTCCAGCCTGGGCGACAGAGTGAGACTGTCTCAAAAACAAAAAGAGTTTCTCTGCAGACATCATGAAGCGTCTTGAGGTGAGACCATCCTGGATTAAGGTGTGCCCTGATCCAGCGACAAGAGTCCTTAGGAGAGAAAGGACGCAGGAACACAAACACAGAGAAGAAGGGCATGTGAAGATGGCCAGAGATTGGAGTGAGGCAGCCACAGGCCCAGGGATATCTCCGGAGCCACCAGCAGCAAAACTGGGAAAAGATTCTTTTTGTTTCTTTTTTTTTTTTTTTAGATAGAGTCTCCCTCTGTAGCCCAGGCTGGAGTGCAGTGGCGTGATCTTGGCTCACTGCAGCCTCCACCCCTTGGGTTCAAACAATTCTTGTGCCTCAGCCTCCCAAGTAGCTGGGATTACAGGTGCATGCCACCATGCCCGGTTAATTTTTGTATTTTTAGTAGAGATGGGGCTTCATCCTGTTGGCCAGGCTGGTTTTGAGCTTCTGACCTCAAGTGATCTGCCTGCCTCAGCCTCCCAAAGTGCTGGGATTACAGGCTTGAGCCACTGCACCTAGCCAAGGGAACAGATTCTTTCTCAGATGGCTGGGTGTGGTGGCTCACGTCTGTAATTCCAACATTTTGGGAGGCCGAGGCAGGAGTATTACTGGAGCCCAGGAGTTTGAGACCAGCCTGGGTAACAAAGTGAGACCCCCTCGCTACAAAAAATACAAAAATTGGCTGGGCATGGTGGCGCATACCTGTGGTCCCAGTTACTCGGGAGGTTGAGGTGGGAGGATCGCTTGAGCCTGGAAGGCAGAGGCTGCAGTGAGCCGAGATTGCACTCACTGCACTCCAGCCTGGGCAACAGAGTGAGACTCCATCTAAAAAAAAAAAAAAAAAAGATTCTCCCTCGGAGCCTCCAGAGGGAACCAACCCTGCTGATGCCTTGATTTTGGGCTTTTGGCCTCCAAAACTGTGGGGAATACATTTCCATTGTTGGAAGCCACCCAGTCTATGTCTTTTGTTGCGGCCACCACAGGAAACTCATACATCGTGGTAACCAGCTGTTCTCCCGCCTGGCTTCCTCCCCAGACGGTGAACC
Source organism: Homo sapiens (assembly GCF_000001405.40). Lineage (NCBI taxonomy): Eukaryota > Metazoa > Chordata > Mammalia > Primates > Hominidae > Homo > Homo sapiens. The sequence goes on along the minus strand of NC_000019.10, from coordinate 16,319,698 downwards.
CCTCAAGACAGGGGCCTCCCTTGACTCATCTCTGTGTCCCCCTGGGCCCAGCTGTGGACCCGATTTGTTGAAACAAAAGTGATGTAAAGACAGTGGCCACCCACTGAGGACCTCCCAGGGCAGCGTGAAACATTTCAGCAGAGTGCCTGGCCAGCAGAACCAATGCAGAGAGCTGCCAGTGCATGGAAAGAACACGAACTTTTCATTTTATTTTACAGAAATGAGGTCTCGTGGGCTGGTCTTGTGGGCCAGGTGTAGTGGCTCACACCTGTAATGTCAGCACTTTGGGAGGCTGAGGTGGGCAGATCACCTGAGGTCGGGAGTTCAAGACCAGCGTGAAAAGAGACCGTGGTGAAACCCCGTCTCTACAAAAACTACAAAAATCAGCTGGTCGTGGTGGCACGTGCCTGTAATCCCAGCTACTCGGGAGGCTGAGGCATGAGAATCGCTTGAACCCGGGAGGCAGAGGCTGCAGTGAGCTGAGTTCGTGCCACTGTTCTCCAGCCCAGGCGACAGAGTGAGAACCTGTCTCAAAAAAAAAAAAGAAAAGAAAAAAGCGGGAATGTTGGCTCACGCCTGTAATCCCAGCACTTTGGGAGGCTGAGGCGGGTGGATCTCGAGGTCAGGAGTTCAAGACCAGCCTGGCCAACATGGTGAAACCTTGTCTCTACTAAAAATACAAAAATTAGCCAGGCGTTGTGGTGAGCGCCTATAGTCCCAGCTACTCAGGAGGCTGAGGCAGAGAATTGCTTGAACCCGGGAGGTGGAGGTTGCAGTGAGCCGAGATCGCACCACTGTGCTCCAGCCTGGACGATAGAGCGAGACTCTGTCTCAAAAAAAAAAAAAAAAAAAAAAGAGAAATGAGGTTTCAGTGTGTTGCCCAGATTGGTCTTTAACTCCTGGCTGGCCTCAAGTGATCCTCCTGCCTTGGCTTCCCAAAGTGCTGGTATTACAGGCATGAGCCACCGTGCCCGACCTAGAAGAATTTTAATTGCCACATTAGCTGTGTGACCTTAGGCAAGCCACTTAACCTCTCGGAGCCTCAGTTTCCTTTTGAGAATATGAGATGGCATTTGTCAGTGTTCAACAGTACTTGCTGGCTGATTGTGAAGATGAGTGAATGAGCCTTTTAGGGGATCTCAGGCACTGTGGAATCTCTCTGTGCAGGAGAGGCTTGGCACTGGGAGGGGGCCTGGAGCACAGACCCGCTCCTGCTGTTGTCCTATGAACCTGCTATCTGGTTGGCATCTGCCTGCACAGGTATCTGTCCTCGTGAAGTCCCAGCCAATGATGATGTTGGAGAAAGAGCACCGGGCATGAAGTCACATTCTCAGCCCTGCCTGGAACTAGTTAGGTGACTTTACCCTCAGAGCTCTGCAAGCCTTGGCTGGGTGCGGTGGCTCACGCCTGTAATCCCAGCACTTTGGGAGGCCGAGGCGGGTGGATCATTTGAGGTCAGGAGTTTGAAACCAGCCTGGCCAACACGGTGAAACCTCGTCTCTACTAAAAATACAAAAATTAGCTGGGTGTGGTGGCTCATGCCTGTAATCCCAGCACTTTGGGAGGCTGAGGTGGGTGGATCACCTGAGGTTCAAGACCAGCCTGACCAACATAGTGAAACTCCATCTCTGCTAAAAATAGAAAAATTAGCCAGGGATGGTGGCAGGTGCCTGTAATCCCAACTACTTGGGAACTTGGGAGGCTGAGGCAGGAGAATCCCTTGAACCTGGAAGGTGGAGGTTGCAGTGAGCTGATTGTACTCCGTCCTGGGCAGCAGAGCGAGACTTCATCTCAAAAACAAAGCAAAATTAGCCAGGCATGGTGGCACACATCTGTAGTCCCAGCTACTTGGGAGGCTGAGGCAGGAGAATCACTTGAATCTGGGAGGCAGGGTTGCAGGGAGCCAAGATCATGCCACTGCACTCCAGCCTGGGTGACAGAGGGAGACTCGGTCTAAAACTCCTGACCTCAGGTGATCCACTCACCTAGGCCTCCCAAAGTGTTGGGATTACAGGCGTGAGCCACCACACCTGGCCACTGTTGGGAACTTTATGTTTCCTGATGATGATTTGTTTTTTGGAGACAGGGTCACCCAGGCTGGAATGCAGAGATGCGATCATAGTTCACTGCAGCCTTCAACTTCCAGGCTCAAGCAATACTCCCGCCTCAGCCTCCTGAGTAGCTGGGATTACAGGTGTGCACTACCTCGACTGGCTAATTTTTATTTAATTAATTAATTAATTAATTTTTGAGATGGAGTTTTGCTCTTGTTGCCCAGGCTGGAGTGCAATGGTGCGACCTCTGCTCACCACAACCTCTGCCTCCTGGGTTCAAGCAGTTCTCCTGCCTCAGCCTCCCGAGTAGCTGGGATTACAGGCATGCGCCACTATGCCCGGCTAATTTTGTATTTTTAGTACAGACTGGGTTTCTCCATGTTGGTCAGGCTGGTCTTGAGCCCCCAACCTCAGGTGATCTGCCCGCCTTGGCCTCCCAAAGTGCTGGGATTACAGGCGTGAGCCACCGTGCCTGGCCTGGCTGGCTAATTTTTAATCTTTGTAGAGACAGGGTCTCACTTTGTTGCCCAGGCTGGTCTCGAACCCCTGGGCTCAAGTGATCTTCCTGCCTAAGCCTCCCAAAGTGCTGGGATTACAGGCATGAGCCACAGTGCCCAGCCTCGATGGTGATTATCTTATTGTCATCTCTTTCTTGCTGCCCCTTATCTTCTCCTAACAACTCAACATTATAAATGTAGACCAAGGAGGCAGAATATTTTCCTCAAATCTGTTGATAATAGTTGCTTTTAGCACTGTGCTGGTGCAGATTCTGAGGTTGTAGCCAGGCCCAGTGCTGTGATGGATTGGTCATGTCTGTGATTGACTGATTGACTGGTGATGTCTGTCACTAACAGGGGATTGGATAAGTGGTACGTGTGCAGCTTTGCATTTGTTGTCTCCTGCCAGGCTGTCTTCAAGGGCTCAGGAAACTTGCAAACAAGAAGTTTTTCGTCTGAGCCACAAATAAATACTGAGCTTCCGCTCCATGCTGAGCTGAGCATGGAGAGGAAACTGATGAAGTATATGGCCTGTTTCTGCACATAGAGAGATTACAATCTTCTTTTACTGGGCCCTGGACATTTCTAGTAACCTTGAATTCTTTCCACTTTTCTTCAGGGTCTAAGCTGCCTTTCTCTTTACCAGCTGTTTTGCCCCAAATAGCTATTGTGTGCACTTGGCTCAGATCCCAAGAGCAAGTACTCAGGAATTCTACAGAAAACACGTCATGTAAAATACAGCTGAGCTTCCAAGACAAATTATGAACACTGGAGGAATTACAATCACATTACAGCAGCAACTGGATGATGACTCCCAGCTGGGGCAATTGGGGTGTTTCTGCTGAAGTTTGCACAACCCTTTTTCAGTATGTTGCAAAACTTGGCTCCTCATGTTGCAAAAATGTTTGATAGTTCTGTGTTTCTTGAGGATGCGGAGAGATACGGGCAGAGGCACCCTCTGCAAGTGCGCTTCTTATCTCGGGTCACCACCTTGTCGCTGCAATGCTTGGAGCTGAGGTCTGATAGGAAAGGTCACTTTGTGATTTGCCTGGTTGTCTCTGGAGTTTGTGTGTGTGTGTGTGTGTGTGTGTGTGTGTTTTGACAGGGTCTCGCTCTGTCTCCCAGGCTGGAGTATAGTGGTGTGATCATAGGTCACTGCAGCCTCAAACCCCTGGGCTCAAGCGATCCTTCTGCCCTTGCCTATCAAAGCACTGGGATTACAGACCTGAGCCGCCACGCCTGGCCCTGCCTCTGGAGTTTTCTTACTACTACATAAATAGGTCGCGAGTGCTTGGGGAAGATGCGGGATTGCACTGGGCTGATGACTGATGGGTTCCCATCAGAACCTCTCATCATCTTCTTGCCAGCCAGGCCATTACTGCCTCGCTCTTATTGACACACAGGACAGAAGAGGGGGAGAGAGCAATACTTACTGAGCACCTAATGTATACCAGGCCCTATGCTGAGGATCTGGATGTATTTTCTTTTTTTTTTTTTTTGAGACCAGGTCTCACTCTGTCACCCAGGCTGGAGTGAAGTGGCACGATCTCGGCTCACTGCAACCTCCACCACCCAGGTTCAAGTGATTCTCCTGCCTCAGCCTCCCAAGTAGCTGGGATTACAGGCACACGCCACTACACCTGGCTAATTTTTGTATTTTAAGTAGAGACGGGAGTCTCACCATGTTGGCCAGGCTTGTCTGGATGTATTTTCTCATTTAATCCTCCCAGTTGGTCTGTTCAGTGAGGTAAGCGATGGACAGCTGGAGCCCTGAGTTTAGATTCTGGCACTTGTACTTGTTGACCTTGAGTGAATGATATTCTTTTTTTTTTTTTTTTTGAGATGGAGTCTCGCCCTGTTGCCCAGGCTGGAGTGCAGTGGCGCAATCTCAGCTCACTGCAACCCTCTGCCTCCCAGGTTCAAGCAATTTTCCCGCCTCAGTCTCCTGAATAGCTGGGATTACAGACATGTGCCACCACGCCCAGCTAATTTTTATATTTTCAATAGAGACGGGGTTTCACCATATTGGGTAGGCTGGTCTCAAACTCCTGATCCCAGTGATGATCCGCCTGCCTCAGCCTCCCAAAGTGTTGGGATCACAGGCGTGGGCCACTGCGCTGGCCTGATGTTTTCTTTTTGAACTTCAGTCCCTCATTCGTCAAAGGGGCATGAGAATGCCTGCCCATCATGTGTTTATGAAGGTAGCAGACAGGAGAATCGCTTGAACCCTGGAGGCGGAGGTTGCAGTGAGCCGAGATGGCGCCATTGCACTCCAGCCTGGGCAACAAGAGCGAAACTCTCTCTCTCTCAAAAAAAAAAAAAAAAAAAAAAAAAGATTTTTCCTAGAAGAACCCTTCCATCTCTGGGAGCTATTTTTATTTATCTTAATTGGAGGCTGGCAAATGGTGGCTTGCAGCTTAAAAAAAAATCAAAATATCAATAGTGTAATTCTTTACATTCTATGCATATTCCTATGTAAATTATATCCATATGTATATATGTTCTTATCGAGGTGAAGCTCACATAACCTGAAATTAACCATTTTATTTTATTTCATTTATTTATTTATTTTTGAGACAGTCACTCTGTCTCCCAGGCTGGAGTACAGTGGCGCGACCTCGGCTCACTGCAGCCTCCATCTCCCAGGTTCAAGTGATTCTTCTGTCTCAGCCTCCCAAGTAGCTGGGATTACAGACGTGCGCCACTCCACCTGGCTAACTTTTGTATTTTTTGTAGAGATGGGGTTTCACCGTGTTAGTCAGGGTGGTCTCGAACTCTCAACCTCAGGTGATCCACCAGCCTCGGCCTCCCAAAGTGCTGGGATTACAGGCGTGAGCCACTGCGCCCAGCTGAAATTCACTATTTTAAAGTGCACAATTCAGTGGCATTTGCTACATTCAGTGCTCTGCGAATGTCACCTCTGTCTGGCTGCAGAACATTTCTGTCGCCGCCAAAGAAAACCCTGTCCCCATCAGCAGTCACTCCCCACTCCCCTCCCCCAGCCCCTGGCAACCACCAATCTGCTTCCTGTCTCTATGGATTTGCCTGTTCTAGGCTTTTTTTTTTTTTTTTTTCCTTGAGACGGAGTCTGGCTCTGTTGCCCAGGCTGGAGTGCAATGGCGCGATCTCGGCTTACTGCAACCTCTGCCTCCGGGTTCAAGCGATTCTCTTGTCTCAACCTCCTGAGTAGCTGGGATTACAGGCACCTGCCACCACACCCGGCTAATTTTGTATTTTTACTAGAGACAGGGTTTCTCCATGTTGGCTAACTTTTGTATTTTTTGTAGAGACAGGGTTTCACTGTGTTGGTCAGGCTGGTCTCCAACTCCTGACCTCAGGTGATCTGCCCGCCTCGGCCTCCCAGAGTGGTGGGATTACAAGCGTGAGCCACTGCACCAGCCAACATTTTTATATGAATGGAATCATATAATATGTGGGCACTGCAGCTTTCATTTGGCCCATGAGCTAAGCATGGATTTACATTTATGAATGGTTGGAAAAAAAAGAATAGTACTTCGTGAAACACAAACATTATATGAAAATCAAATTTCAGTGTGCATAAATACATCTTACTGTCAGTGATACCCATTCATAGATCCATCATCTATAGCTACTTTTTTTCTTTTTGAGACAGGGTCTGGCTCTGTCTTCCAGGCTGGAGTGCAGTGGCACGATCACAGCTCACTGCAGCCTTGACCTCCTGAGCTCAGTTGATCCTCCCACCTCAGCCTCCCAAGTAGCTTGGAACTACAGGCGTGGGCTACCACGCTCGGCTGATTTTTTGTAGAGACAGGGTCTGTGTTGTCCATACTGGTTTCGAACTCCTTGCCTGAAGAGATCCTATCCTGCCTTGGCCTTCTAAAGTGTCGGGATTACAGGCATGAGCCACTGCGCCTGGCAATGGCTACTTTCCTGGGATGACGACAGAGTTGAGTCATTTTGAAAGGGACCACGTGGCCCACAAGGCAGAAAATCTTGACTCTGGCCAAAGCTTAGAGACGTTAGCTTCAAGCACAGGGAGAAGCCAGCAGAGCTATGTTCAACTCCAGAGTCTGGACTGAATTCCCAGACTATCGCTGCCTCTCAGTATGCTTTTTTTTTTTTTTTTTTTTTTTTTTTGAGATGGAGTCTTTCTCTGTTGCCCAGGCTGGAGTGCAGTGGCGCAATCTTGGCTCACGGCAACCTCCACCTCCCGGTTCAAGCAATTCTTGTGCCTTAGCCTCCCGAGTAGCTGGGACTACAGGAGTGTGCCACCATGCCTGGCTAATTTTTGTATTTTTAGTAGAGACAAGGTTTCACCATGTTGACCAGGCTGGTCTCGAACTCCTGACCTCAGGTGATCTGCCCACCTCAGGCTCCCAAAGTACTGGGATTACAGGTGTGAAACACCGTGCCTGGCCTCAGTATGCGTTTAATAGACACTGATGAACACTCTTTTGTTGTTGTTGTTGAGACAGGATCTTGTTCTATTGCCCAGGCTAGAGTGCAGTGGTGCAGTCATAACTCACTGCAGCCTCAAACTCCCGGGCTTAAGTGATCCTCCTGCTTCAGCCTCCTGAGTAGCTGGGACTACAGGTGCATGCCACCAAACCCTGCTAATTTTTTATTTTGTTTGTAGAGACAGGGTCTCCCTATGCTGCCCAGGCTGGTCTCCAACTCCTGGTCTCAAATGATCCTCCTGCCTTGGCCTCCCAAAGTGCTGGGTGTGAGCCACCATGCCTGGCTAAGGAATACTTCTTATTGGGCAGGTGCTGGAGTGTGAGCTGTCTACCAGAATGGGCCAGTCTTTGCCCTCATGGAGCTTCCAGACAGGGAGGAGCCTGAGGGTTAACTGAAGCTCTATCCAAGCAACACAGAGTCACAGGCGGATGGGAAGGCTGAGGGAAAAGTGGGGAGTGCTCAGGGCAGGATAACAGGGCTCTGGCTTGGATTGGAGGGGAGGCAGGCAGAAAAAAACTTTTTTTTTTTTTTTTGAGACAGAGTCTCGCTCTGTCGCCCAGGCTGGAGTGCGGTGGCACAATCTCGGCTCACTGCAAGCTCCGCCTCCCGGGTTCACACCATTCTCCTGCTTCAGCCTCCCGAGTAGCTGGGACTACAGGCGCCCGCCACCACGCCCGGCTAATTTTTTGTATTTTTAGTAGAGAGGGGGTTTCACCGTGTTAGCCAGGATGGTCTCGATCTCCTGACCTCGTGATCTGCCCGTCTTGGCCTCCCAAAGTGCTCGGATTACAGGCATGAGCCACTGCGCCCGGCCCGGAAGAAACCTTTTAAGGCTGGGTGCAGTGGCTTACGGCTGTAATCCCAGCACTTTGGGAGGCTGAGGCGGGCAAATCATGAGGTCAGGAGATCGACACCATCCTGGCCAACATGGTGAAACCCTGTCTCTACTAAAAATACAAAAATCAGCTGGGCGTGGTGGCATGCGCCTGTAGTCCCAGCTACTCAGGAGTCTGAGGCAGGAGAATCGCTTGAACCTGAGAGGTAGAGGTTGCAGTGAGCCGAGATCACGCCACTGCACTCCAGCCTGGTGACAGAGTGAGATTCTGTCTCAAACAAACAAACAAACGAACAATCAACCTTTTAAGCAGAAACTTGAAGGCCGAGGGGTCACGTCCAGGAGAGTGGCGAATCTGGACTGTTAATGTCAGCGGTATGAACATCACTAGCATCTGGGACATTTTAAGTACGTGGTTGTAAATGTCTGATTTACGAGTGCTAACTTCAGAGTGATTTCTTTTTTCTTTTCTTTTGAGACAAGGTCTTGCTCTGTTGCCCTGGCTGGAGTGTAGTGGTGCGATCTCAGCTCACTGCAGCCTTGATTTTCCAGGCTCAAGCCATCCTCCCACTTCAGCCTCCCGAGTAGCTGGGACTACAGGTGGCAGCCACCACGCCTGGCTATTTTTTTTTTTTTGTCTTATTAGTAGAGACAGGGTTTCTCCATGTTGCCCAGGCTGGTCTGGAACTCCTGGGCTCAAGTGATCTACCCGCCTCCACCTCCCAAAAGTGCTGAGATTACAGGCAAGAGCCACCTCACCCGGCCTTTTTTTTTCTTTCTTTCTTTGCCATATATCTGGGCTAGGGACTCCTTTTTCTCTTTTGTTTCATTTAGTTCTTACAGATTTATTGAGATATCATTTACACATCATAAAATTTATTAGTTTTTTTTTTTTTTTGAGGCAGAGTCTCTCTCTGCCGCCAGGCTGGAGTGCAATGGCACGACCTTGGCTCACTGCAACCTCCGCCTCCCGGGTTCAAGCGATTCTCCTGCCTCAGCCTCCTGAGTAGCTGGGATTACAGGTGCCTGCCACCACGCCCGTCTGATTTTTTTTGTATTTTTAGTAGAGACTGGGTTTGGCCAGGTTGGTCTCGAACTCCTGACCTCAGATGATTTGCCTGCCTCGGCCTCCCGAAGTGCTGGGATTACAGGCATGAGCCACCACGTGTAATTTATTTATTTATGTATTTATAGACAGCGTCTTGCTCTTGTCACCCAGGCTGGAGGACAGTATAATTTATTATTTATTTATGTAGAGACAGCATCCTGGAGTACAGTGGCATGATCACAACTTACTGCAGCCTTGATCTCCTGGCCTCAAGCAAGTTATCTCACCCCAGGCTCCCAAAGTGCTGGGACTGCAGGCATGAGCCATTGTGTCTGGCAAAGCCATCTCTTTGATCAGCCCTTTTGGACTCCCTGACATGCTCTGCCCACCAGAGGTGGCTGGCACACTTCCCTTCTCATAACGCCATTGCACTCCAGCCTGGGTGACAGAGTGAGACCCTATTTAAAAAAAAAAAAAATGGCCGGTCACAGTGGGTCATGCCTGTAATCCCAGCACTTTGGGAGGCTGAGGCAGGTGGATCACCTGAGGTCAGGAGTTCAAGACCAGCCTGGCCAATATGGTGAAAGCCCATCTCTACTAAAAATACAAAAATTAGCCAGGTGTAGTGGTGGGCGCCTGTAGTCCCAGCTACTCAGGAGGCTGAGACAGGCGAATCACTTGAACCTGGGAGGCGGAGGTTGAAATGAGCCGAGGTCACGCCACTGCACTCCAGCCTGGGCAACAGAGCGAGACTCCATCAAAAAAAAAAAAAAGTGTCAGAGGAATGCAAACAAATCCTTATACACACACACACACACGCACACACTCACAATAGCCCCAAAGTGGAAGCAAATCAAGTGTCCATCCACAGGCAAACGGATCAACACAATGTGGTCCATGCACAGTATAGAATATTATTCAGCCATGAAAAGGAAGGAAGCACTGACCCATGCTACAGCATGGATGAACCCCAAAAACATGATGTTGAGAGAAGCCAGACACAAAGGCCACGTAGTGTGAGATTCCATCTGTGTGAAATGCCCAGAACAGGCAACTCCATACAGCCAGGAAGCAGATGGCTTCCTGTGTCTTCTGTGTTCAGCAGAATTGGTGCCTGGAGCAGGAATGGGTCCATTTTGATGGGGAGAGTGGGGAGGCCCAGGGCCAGGGGGACAGTGGTTGAGTTTGAGCCCCACATTTTGGGATCCTGGGGAGCTCTTTTTGTGGGAGCAGACTTCTGACTTGCCTTGTAATTTCAGTGCTTCAGCCTGATGCCCTTCAGCCTCATAATTGGGGTGGAAAATCATAATGATGTTGTTAAGCAATTATGTCATTATATATTATTAATAATGACAGCTATCATGAAGAGAAACTCTTCATGTAAGAGGTAAATCTTACACGGAAGGGGTAAGTCACCGAAGGACTCCATTTAACATGCTTGAAGTGTATTTGTAAAATTCCACATCTTTTAGGTGACTGGGTGTTTCTGGGTGCCTGTAACAATTTCCTTGGAAAATGGAGTGTAAATATCTTCTCTTTCCATTTGTTTCGCATTTTCATTTTTTAAAAAATTGAGGTGGAATTCACATAACATAAAGTTAGCCATTTTTAAATTTTATTTTATTTTTTGAGGCGGAATCTCACTCTGTCACCCAGGCCCGAGTGCAGTGGCATGATCTTGGCTCACTGCAACCTCCATCTCCCGGGTTCAAGTGATTCTCCTGCCTCAGCCTCCTGAGTAGCTGGAATTACAGGCGCCTGCCACCACGCCTGGCTAACTTTTGGATTTTTAGTAGAGACGGGGTTTCACCATGTTGGCCAGGCTGGTTTCAAACTCCTGACCTCAGGTGATTCACCCGCCTCAGCCTCCCAAAGTGTTGGCAATTATAGGCATGAGCCACTTTGCCCGGCCAATTTTATTTTATATTTTTAGAGATGGGGGGTCTCGCCTCTTGCCCAGACTGGAATGCAGTGGTGTGATCATAGCTCGCCTCGACCTCCCAGGCTCAAGCAATCGTCCCACCTCAACCTTCTAAGTAGTTGGGACTACAGGCGCGTGCCACTATGCCTGGCTAATTTTTAAATGTTTTGTAGAGATGGGTCTCACCATGTTGCCCAGGCTGGTCTCAAACTCCTGGGCTCAAGTGATCCTCCCACCTTTGCCTCCCAAAGTGCTGGGATTACAGAGGTGAGCCACCAGGCCCGGCCAAAGGTAGCCATTTTTAAATGTACAATTTGGTGGCATTTAGCGCATTCCCAGTGTTGTGCAGCCACTACCTCTGACTAGTCCCAGGACATCTTCATCCCCACAAAAGGAGACCCTGTCCCCATCAGCAGTCACTCCCCATTCCCCTTCCCCAGTCCCTGGCAACCACCCATCTGCTTCCTGGCTGTATGGAGTTGCCTATTCTGGGCATTTCACTCAGATGGAATCTCACGCTATGTGGCCTTTGTGTCTGGCTTCTCTCAGCATCGTGTTTTCGGGGTTCATCCATGCTGAAGCATGGGTCAGTGCTTCCTTTTCATGGCTGAATAATATTCCATATTGTGGATGGACCACATTGTTTCGGTCCATTTGCCTGTTGATGGACACTTGATTTGCTTCCACCTTGGGGCTATTGTGAGTGTGTGTGTGTGTGTGTGTGTGTGTGTGTGTAAGGATTTGTTTGCATTCCTCTGACACTTTTTTTTTTTTTTGATGGAGTCTTGCTCTGTTGCCCAGGCTGGAGTGCAGTGGCGTGACCTCGGCTCATTTCAACCTCCGCCTGCCAGGTTCAAGTGATTCTCCTGTCTCAGCCTCCTGAGTAGCTGGGACTACGATCCACCTGCCACCTTGGGAGTCACCTTAGCCCCCTGTCCCTCCCCTCCTTCAAGGTCCCCAGAAGAAACTCACCTGTCAGCCTTCGACTTGGGACCTCCAGGACTGTGAGAGAACACGTTTCCGTTGTTGGAAGCCACTGTGAACCCCGAAAATTTGAGACAGTTCTTAGTTAATTTAGCAAGTTTATTTTGCGGCCGGGCATGGTGGCTCATGCCTGTAATCCCAGCACTTGGAGAGGCCGAGGCGGGCGGATCACCTGAGGTCAGGAGTTCGAGACCAGCCTGACCAACATGGTGAAACCCCGTTTCTACTAAAAATACAAAAATTAGCTGGGTGCCTGTCATCCCAGCTACTCGGGAAGCTGAGGCAGAAGAATCACTTGAACCCAGGAGCCAGAGGTTGCAGTGAGCCGAGATCGTGCCACTGCACTCTAGCCTGGGTGACAGACAGAGACTCTGTCTCAAAAAAAAAAAAAAGAAAAAGTTTATTTTGCCAAGGTTGGGGATGCCCGTCCATGACACAGACTCAGGAGGTCCTGATGACATGTGTCCAAGGTGGTCGGGGCACAGCTTAGTCTTGGACATTTAGGGAGACAGGAGACATCAGTCAATATATGTAAGAACTACATTGGTTCAGTGTTGAAAGGCAGGACGACTCGAAGCAAAGGCAGGAAGACTTGAAGCCAGGAGGGAGCTTCCAGGTCACAGGTTTCTTAATAGCAACCCCAGGGAACTCGGGACGGCGGGAGGGGACAGTGGGGGCATCTGTGCAGTTCCACACCAGGGCTAGGCGTGGCGGGGGACGCGGGCGTGAGTCTGGCTCGATGCCCCTCAGGTTCCCAGGCCGGGTAAGGAGCCAGAGGAGTCCAAAACCAGCCCGGGTGGAGCAAGATTTATGCTGTGGGGGAGGTGCAATTATCGTCATCACCATCATTATTAAGAGCCATTAGCAGCTGCTGTAAAATGAGCTCATTATCCCCCCTCCACTCCGGCCTCTGTTTCCCACCTCAGTTAATGGAACCCCTGCCACCCAGGTGCCAGATCCAGAGCCGGGTGCTGACTCTGGGCCCCACCCCCAGCCCACTGGGTCCTTTCTACCGCCTAGACTAGAGTTTTGGGCTGAAACACAGGACCCCCCACTTAAATGTAAATTTCAGATAGAGGCCAGGTGCAGTGGCTCGTGCCTGGAATCCCAGCACTCTGGGAGGCCAAGGCGAGTGGATCGCTTGAGCCCAGGAGTTTGAGACCGGTCTGGGAAGCACAGCAAGACCTTATCTCAACAAAATTTTTTTTTTTTTGATACAGTCTCTGTCGCCGAGGTTGGAGTGAAGTGGTGCAATCTCGACTCACTGCAACCTCCACCTCCCGGGTTCAAGCGATTCTGCTGCCTCAGCCTCCCGAGTAGCTGGGAGTATAGGCGCCCACCACCACGCCTTGCTAATTTTTGTATTTTTAGTAGAGGCGGGGCGGGGTTTCACCATGCTGGCCGGGCTGTTCTCGAACTCCTGACCTCAGGTGATCCATCTACCTCGGCCTCCTAAAGTGTTAAAACTACAGGCGTGAGCCCTGCGCCTAGCCACAAAAAATTTTTTAAAAATTATCCGGGAGGCCGGGCATGGTGGCTCATGACTGTAATCCCAGCACTTTGGGAGGCCGAGGCAGGTGGATTGCCTGAGGTCAGGAGTTCGAAACCAGCCTGACCAACATGGTGAAACCCTATCTCTACTAAAAATATAAAAATTAGCTGGGCGTCGTGGCATCTGCCTGTAATCCCAGCTACTAGGGAGACTGAGGCAGGACAATCGTTTGAACCCGGGAGGTGGAGGTTGCGGTGAGCCAAGATCGTGCCATTGCACTGCAGCCTGGGCAACAAAAGCAAAACTCCATCTCAAAAAAAGAAAAAAAAAATTATCCGGGCATGGTGGCTCGTGCCTGTGGTCCCAGCTACTCAGCCGGATTGCTTGAGCCCAGGAGGTCAAGGCTGCAATGAGCCATGGTCACACCACTGCACTCCAGCCTAGGCAACAGAGTGAGGCCCTGTCTAAAAAATAATCATAAATAAATACATTTCAGATAGGGAAGGATTTTTTTATTTAAGTATGGGTAAGTTCCAATATTGCTGCTTATGTCTCCCTTCTTAGCTTACTTTTTTTTATTTTTTTTTTTTGAGACAGGGTCTCACTCTGTTGCCCAGGCTGTAACCTTGACCTTCCGGGCTCAAACGATCCTCCCATCGCGACCCCTCAAGTAGCTGGGACTACGGGTACATGCCATCACTCCCGGCTAATTTTTGTAATTTTTGTAGAGATGTGATTTTGCTGTGTGGCCCAGGCTGGACTCAAACTCCTGAACTCAAGGAGTCCTCTTGCCTTGGCCTCCCAAAGCATTGGGATTACAGGTGTGAGCCACTGCACCTGGCATGAGTTGTAAAATAAACGTCTTATAAGTGTTTTATTTTGGAATCAGTTTAATGGCAGGAAAGTTGCAAAGAGGCTATGCAGCACTCCCATGTCCCCTTCCACCAGCTTCCTCTGATGTTGACATCTTTCCCTACCTCAGTACATTTGGTGAAACTAAGAAATTAATGCTGGGACAATGATGCTATCAACTAAACTCCAGACATTCTATGTGGATGTCACCAATGTTCCCACAAATGTCCTCCCTCTCTTCCAGGATCCTTCACCTTATTTAGCCCCCGTTCCTCCCTGATCTCCTCTGGTCTGTGATGGTTTCTTAGTCTTTCCTTGTTTTTCATGACCTCAGCAGTGTTCAATCTCTTGTTGTTTTTTTTTTTCTTTTTTTTTTTTTTTAGACGGAGTTTCACTCTTGTTGCCCAGGCTGCAGTGCAGTGGCGCAATCTCAGCTCACTGCAACCTCCGCCTCCTGGGTTCAACCGATTCTCCCACCTCAGCCTCCCGAGTAGCTGGGATTACAGGCATCCACAACCACACTCGGCTAATTTTTGTATTTTTAGTAGAGATGGGGTTTCACCGTGTTGGCCAGGCTGGTCTCAAATTCCTGACCTCCAGTGATCTGCCCGCCTCAGCCTTGAAAAGTACTGGGATTACAGACCTGAGCCATTGTGCTTGGCCCGTTTTTTTTTTTTTTTTTTTTTTTTTTTTTTTTTAGACAGGCTCTCACTCTGTTGCTCAGGCTGAAGTGCAGTAACTTGATCGCAGCTCACTGCAGCCTCAAGCTCCTGGGCTCAAGTGATTTTTCCACCTCAGCCTCCTGAGTAGCAGGGACCATAGGTGTGTGCCATATGCTTGGGTATTTTTTTAAACTTTTTGTGCAGATGGGGTCTTGCTATGTTGTCCAGGCTGGTCTTGAATTCCTGGACTCAAGTGATCCTCCTGCCTTGGCCTCCTGAAGTGCTGGGATTACAGGTGTGAGAGACTTTGTCAGTCTTTTTTTTTTTTTTTTTCTGAGATGGAGTTTCGCTCTTCTTGCCCAGGCTGGAATGCAGTGGCACCATCTCAGCTCACTGCAACCTCTGCCTCTGCCTCTTGGGCTCAAGTGATTCTCATGCCTCAGCCTCCCGAGTAGCTGGGATTACAGGCGCCCACCCACCATACCCACCTACTTTTTTGTGTGTTTTAGTAGGGAGGGGGATTCATCTGTTGGTCAGGCTGGTCTTGAACTCCTGCCCTCAGGTGATCAACCTGCCTTAGCCTCCCAAAATTCTGGGATTATAGGCATGAGCCACCGTGCCTGGCTGACTTTGGCAGTCTTAAAGAGTGCTGGCCGGTCCCCCCCCAGGGCATCCAAGTGTACCCCAATCTGTGTTTGACATTTTCTTGTGGTTAGACAGGAATTGTGGGGTTTGGGGAAGAAGACGGGAGCATGCCCTCCTCATCACATCATATCGGGGATGCCCAGTGTCCCCATCCATACCCCCAGTCATGCCAATACTGTGCATTATGGCTGGGGAGCCAAACAAATGCTCCCCAAGCATCTTCCCTCCCCAAGTATCTTCAAGAACTGGAAGGAGTTCCAGTTCCTCAGAGCCAGACACAATAACATATCCCAGACACTGGCCACTTGGCTGGAGGCCGAATTTTAATGGGAGGAAGTGGACATAGAAGAATATTGCCAGCTGCAGAACCTAGAGCCCCTACATAGTTCTCCTATCTTCTCCCCAGTTTCCCAATGTGGACACTTTACAGCCTCAAACAAGCATGCATCTGCCTGCATGTGTTTCTCTAACTTGCCGCCTGAAGACTGTCAACTGACCTATTTTAAAATTATTTAGGCCAGGCGCGGTGGCTCACACCTGTAATACCAGCACTTTGGGAGCTCTAGGCAGGCAGATCACCTGAGGTCAGGAGTTCGAGACCAGCCTGGCCAACATGGCGAAACCCCGTCTCTACTAAAAATACAAAAATTAGCTGGGCGTGGTGGTGCGCGCCTGTAATCCCAGCTACTCAGGAGGCTGAGGCAGGAGAATCACTTGAACCAGGGAGGCGGAGGTTGCAGTGAGCCAAGACTGTGCCACTGCACTCCAGCCTGGGGGACAGAGCCAGACTGTCTCAAAAAAAAAAAAAAAAAAGGTGGTAGGGGGTAAGCCGGCATGAGATGAGAAATGGACTCTTCAGGGGCTGGTAAGCAGGATTTCCCAACTTCAGCACTTGAGGCCGGATTATCTGTGTGGCAGAGGCCATCCCGTGCATTGTAGCATCCCTGGCCTGCACCCACCAGATACTATTAGGTTGGTGCAAAAGTCATTGCCGTTCTTGCCATTATTATTATTATTATTTTTTGAGATGGAATCTTATGCCGTCGCCCAGGCTGGAGTGCAGTGCTGCAGTCTCGGCTCACTGCAACCTCCGCCTCCTGGGTTCAAGCGATTCTCCTGCCTCAGCCTCCCCAGTGGCTGGGATGACAGGTGCGCGGCATCATGCTTGGCTGATTTTCGTACTTTTTTTTTTTTTTTTTGAGATGGTGTCTCGCTCTGTTGCCCAGGCTGGAGTGCAGTGGCGTGATCTCCGCTCACTGCAAGCTCCGCCCCCTGGGTTCATGCCATTCTCCTGCCTCAGCCTCCGGAGTAGCTGGGACTATAGGCGCCCGCCACCACACCTGGCTAATTTTTTTTGTATTTTTAGTAGAGACGGGGTTTCACAGTGTTCGCCAGGATGGTCTCGATCTCCTGACCTCGTGATCGACCTGCCTCAGCTTCCCAAAGTGCTGGGATTACAGGCGTGAGCCACCGCGCCCGGCCATGATTTTTGTATTTTTAGTAGGGACAGGGTTTCACCATACTGGCCAGGCTGGTCTAGAACTCCTGACCTCAGGTGATCCACCCGCCTCGGCCTCCCAAAGTGCTGGGTTACAGGCGTGAGCTACCGCGCCTGGCCCTTGCCATTACTTTTTTTTTAATGGCAAAACCCACAATTAATAGCATTCCCCCGACGCGCCTCCCCGAGTCGTGAGGACCAAAAATGTCTCTAGACGTTGCCAAGCTTTCTCAGGTGTGAACCTGTGTCTAACCATAAGAGGCCAGGCTGCACTTCAGAGCTGTGATTTGCATTTCTAGGAAACCCTGGGGGCTGTACTGGGTGTTCGACACCCTCCCCGACCCCAGCCCTGGGATGGAAACCTCTCTCCGTGTCACTGGTTCTGCATGGGGTATGTTGGACATTTGCAATTTGATAAGTAAAGTCCCAGCTCCCCTGACCCAGAGAAGTCTGTCCCTGAGTGATCTGCGCTGCATACCCAAAATAATGACTGATGACCCACAGAAGGCCTGGCACATGCGGTGTTCAGAACAAGAGAAAAGACAGGAACAGTGGGCAAATGCAGCCTGACTCATGCCGGCCGGCCGTGCAAGGAGTGCCAAGGCCTGACTCACAGCCCACGATGTCACACTTGCACCTGTGTCCCAGCAAGGGCGCCCCGTAAGAAAATATTGGCTAAACCCCTAGCAATCAAGCGGGGACGGCCCCGTGCCTGCACAAGCCTGTGGCGAGAAGGGGCATGGGGCCCACGACAGCCTTGTACACTTGGTGAACCCTGGGCTGTTTGCAGGAGGAAGGCTGACTCAGCCGAGGAGTGTGGAGACCCCCGGAGACCCCTGGGGAAGGGGAGTTTCAGAGGCTTCCCATTGTTGTTGTTTTTTTTTTTTTTTTTTTTTTTGAGGCAGAGTCTTCTTGGTCTGTCGCCCAGGCTGGAGTATAGTGGCACCATCTCGGCTTACTGCAACCTCTGCCTCCCGGGTTCAAGGGATTCTCTTGTCTCAGCCTCCTGAGTAGCTGGGATTACAGCATAGGCCACCATGCCTGGCTAATTTTTATATTTTTAGTAGAGATGGAGTTTCACCATGTTGGCCAGGTTGGTCTCGAACTCCTGACTTCAGGTGATCCACCCGCCTCGGCCTCCCAAAGTGCTGGGCTTAGAGGTGTTGTGAGCCACTGAGCCTGGCTTTATTTTTTTATTTTTTGAGATGGAGTTTCATTCTTGTTGCCCAGGCTGGAGTGCAGTGGTGCGATCTCGGCTCACTGCAACCTCCGCCTCCTGGGTTCAAGCGATTCTCCTGCCTCAGCCTCCCGAGTAGCTGGGAGTGCCTGCCACCACATCCAGCTAATTTTTTTGTATTTTTAGTGGAGACAGGGTTTCACTATGTTGGCCAGGCTGATTTCTAACTCCTGACCTCAGGCGATCCGCTCGCCTCAGCCTCGCAAAGTGCTGGGATTACAGGCGTGAGCGGCCGTGCTCAGCCGTTTTTTTTGTTGTTGTTGTTGTTTTTTTTTTTTAAGACGGAGTCTCCTCTCTCTCTGTTGCCCAGGCTGAAGGGCAATGGCGTGATCTGGTTCAATGCAACGTCGGCCTCCTAGGCTCAAGCGATCCTCCCACCTCAGCCTCCCGAGTAGTTGGGAATACATTTGTGCACCACCACACCTGGCCAATTTTATTGGTATTTTTTGTAGAGATGGGGTTTTGGGATTACAGGCTAAAGCCCAGGAGTTTGAGACTAGTTGTCCAAATAACTAGTACCCAGCCTGTATGCATTGATTTTTGTTTTAAACAACAACAAAAAAATTAAGGTGAGCTGGGCTCAGTGGCTCGCGCCTGTTATCCCAGTATTTTGGGAGAGGGAGGCAGGGGAATCACTTGAAGACCAGGAGTTTGGGACCAGCCTGGGCAACATAGAGTGCCCTCTGCCCACCCCACCAAAAAATAAAAATAAATTAGCTAGGTGTGGTTGCTCACGCCTGTAGTCCCAGCTACTTGGGGGGCTGAGGCGGGAGATCCAGGCTGCAGTGAGCTGTGATGCCACTGTGTACACCCCCTGTGATGGCACGTGTAATATACAAAGGGGGACAGGATGATCACACCTCCAATGTCACTGGGGTGTGTACACGCCCCTGTAATAATATACAGGGTGGGACAGGATGATAGTATCCCCAATATCGCAGGGGGCGTGTACACCCCCTGTAATACCAGTCATAATATACAGGGCATGACAGGATGATAGTACCCCCAATATCGCAGGGGGCGTGTACACCCCCTGTAATAGCAGTCATAATATACAGGGCGTGACAGGATGATGGTACCCCCAATATCGCAGAGGGCGTGTACACCCCCCTGTAATACCAGTCATAATATACAGGGGGGACAGGATGATAGTATCCCCAATATCGCGGGGGGCGTGTACACCCCCCTGTAATACCAGTCATAATATAGATGGGGGGACAGGATGATAGTACTTCCAATATCGCAGGGGGCGTGTACACCCCCCTGTAATACCAGTCATACGGGGGGGACAGGATGATAGTACCCCCAATATCGCAGGGGGCGTGTACACCCCCCATAATACCAGTCATAATATACAGGGGGGGACAGGATGATAGTACCCCCAATATCGCAGGGGGCATGTACACCCCTCTGTGATACTGGTCATAATATCCAGGGGAGGACAGGATGATAGTATTCCCAATATTGTAGGGGGTGTGTACACCCTCAAGTGATATTGTGCGTCATATCAAAGGGGGGACAGAATGATGGTACCCCCAATGTTACAGGGAGTGTGTACACCCCCCTGTGATATCACACATAATATTAATAATTAGCAACCACACCTAGCTAATTTATTTTTATTTTTTGGTGGGGAGGGCAGAGGGCACTCCATGTTGCCCTGGTTGGTCCTGAACTCCTGGACTTCAAGTGATTCCCTTGCCTCCACCTCTCAAAATACTGGGATTACAGGTGTGAGCCACTGAGCCCAGGAAGTGACAAGATGATAGTACCCTCAATATCGCAGGGGGTGTGTAGGGTGTGTACACTTCCCCGTGATACCGTGTGTAATATTGAGGGGGGACTGGATATTATGAACAATATCACAGGGGGGTGGACACTCCCCACGATATTGGGAGTAATGTCATTCTTCTCTCCCCCCCTGGAGACTACGAACCATATCACAGGGTGTCCTGTACGGTACAGTGCCACTGTGCTCCAGCCCAGGCAACATAGTGAGACCCTGTCTCTAAAACAAAACAAAGACAACCCCCTGAATGGTAAAATAACATACATAACATTTATTAAAATTCATCTTAACCATTTTTTTTTTTTTTTGAGTCAGAGTCTCACTCTGTCGCCCAGGCTGGAGTGCAATGGAGTGATCTCGGCTCACTGTAACCTCCACCTCTTGGGTTCAAGTGATTCTCATCCCTCAGCCTCCCGAGTAGCTGGGATTACAGGTGTGCACCACCATGCCTGGCTAATTTTTGTATTTTTTTGTAGAGACGGGGTTTTGCCATGTTGCCCAGGCTGGTCTCAAACTCCTGGCCTCAAGCAATCCACACCCCTACTTGGCCTCCCAAAGTGTTGGGATTACAGGCGTGAGCACCTGGCCTCATCTTAACTCTTTTTAAGTGTACAATTCAGTGGCATTAAGTTTATTCATGATGTTGTGTAACGATTGCCACTTTTTATTTTTTGAGACAGGATCTCACTCTGTCACCCAGGCTGGAGTGCAGTGGTGCAATCTTGGCTCACTGCAGCCTCGACCCTCCCAGGCTCCAGTGATCCTCCCACCTCAGCCTCTTGAGTAGCAGGGACTACAAGCATGTACCACCACCTGCCTAATTTTTAAATTTCTTGTAGAGATGGGGTTTCACCATGCTGCCCAGGCTGGTCTTGAACTCGTGGGCTCAAGCGATCTGCCCCTCTCAGCCTCCCAAAGCGCTGAGATTCCAGGCATGAGCCACCGTGCCTGGCCACCATTGTCACTTTCTATTTCCAGAACTTCTTTATCATCCCAAACTGAAACTCTGTCCCTATTAGACCCAAACTCCCCATTCCTTCTCCTCTAGCCCCTCGTACCCACCATTCTACTTCCTGTCTCTATAAGTGTGACCACTCTAGAGACCTCCTATAAGTGAAATCAGACAGTAGTTGTCTTTTTGTGATGGGCTCATTTCACTTAGCATAATGTCCTCAAGCTTCAACCACAGTGTAGCATGAATCAGAATTTTATTCCTTTTTCCTGGCTGAATAATATTCCACTCTATGGCTACACTATATTTTGTGTATCCATTCATCTGTTGGTGGACGCTTTGGTTGTTTTCACTTGCCATCACGGTTTTTTTTTTTAAATTAAAAATTTTAAGGACTGGGCATGGTGGCTCACACCTGTAATCCCAGAACTTTGGAAGGCCAAGGTGGGCAGATCACCTGAGATCGGGAGTTTGAGACCAGCCTGCCCAACATGGAGAAACCCCGTCTCTACTAAAAATACAAAATTAGCTGGGCATGGTGGTGCATGCCTGTAATCCCAGCTACTTGGGAGGCTGAGGCAGGTGAATTGCTTGAACCTGGGAGATGGAGGTTGCAGTGAGCCAAGACTGCACACGCCATTGCACTCTAGTCTGGGCAACACGAATGAAACTCCGTCTCAAAAAAAAATTAAATTGTGGTTAAATATACATAACATAAAATTTGCCATTAGACTCAGGAGCAAAATTGATGGTTGAAAAAAAAATTACCATTAGATCCTCTTTCAAAGCACTCTCCTGATTAGGTCAGGCCCACCCAAGGTAAGCTCCCATTTGATGAACTCAAAATCAAATTATTTTGGACCTTAATTATATTGGTAAGGTTTTCTCACCTTTGCCTTAAAATGTCACCTTATCAAGGAAGTGACACCCTCACTGACTCACTAGTCACACCCAGACTTACGGGATTATAGCAGGTGTGTACGCAGACTGCCTGGAATCTTGGGAGCCTCTTAGAGTTCTGCCTGCACTGAACGCAGCCTCATTCCCTGCCCCTGGTTGGTTTTGGGCCAAGATGAGAGGATTGCTCAGGTGACCGGTGGGTGGAACTGGGTGGGGGTGAGGAGGCTGTGGGCCTGTCTCTCCCTTTCTCCTCGTCAGGGGCAACATGCTGCTCATTCCTTCCAAATAGAGACAATGGGCTGGGCGTGGTGGCTCACACCTGTAATCCCAGCACTTTGGGAGGCTGGGGCGGGTGGATCACAAGGTCAGGAGTTCGAGACCAGCCCAGCCAACATAGTGAAACCCTGTATCTACTAAAAATACAAAAATTAGTCGGCCGTGGTGGTGGGCACCTGTAGTCCCAGCTACTTGGGAGTCTAAGGAACAAGAATCGCCTGAACTGGGGAGGCAGAGGTTGCAGAGAACTGAGATCGCACCACTGCACTCCAGCCTGGGTGACAGAATGAGACTCCATCTCAAACACACACACACACACACACACACACACACACACACACACACACACACACACACACCATTCATGGTGAAGGTGAAACAATTTGTCTTCCAGGCTGGGATACTTGATGCCCCAAATAAGTGAGGCTCACCGGGACAGAATGAAGGAATCGCATTCACGTTGAAAGTCTTCTGTCCCCATGCACAAAGAAGGGTATGTCTGTGCACTTTTGAGGACTTTCAGAGATGATTGGCCATTGGCTTTTGTCCTCATCAGGTTCAAAGAGGACCACTTGGAAAGGTTTTACAAAGCGCTGGCTGCCCAGCTGCCCGGGCCATTTACCAGGCTTGTCCATCTGTTGCCACAAAGGGTTTTGCCCCAGACAATCTGACGGCTTTGTCTTGTGACTCACTGTGTCCCAGGCACCAAGAGGCCATGTACAAAAGGTGGGGTGGCCGTCCAGAGAGGCAGCTCCCAGACACACCTTGGCCTGGTGGGTACTGAGTCACCAGCGAAGCCAGCAGGCAGTGGGGACCATCACCACCTTCAAGGGGCGGGTCCCTGTGGGTTCCCACGAGGTTTTACAGCCCCCTTTGGGGACAAACCTGGCTGCTGAGATGTATCCCATTTTGTCCCAGCTTGGGGACCTCGGGCAAGTCACGGAGGCTGCATTTTCTATTCTTTTTCTTTTTTTTTGAGAAGAAGTTTCGCTCTTATTGCCCAGGCTGGTGTGCAATGGTGCCATCTCGGCTCACCGCAACCTCTGCCTCCCGGGTTCAAGCGATTCTCCTGCTTCAGCCTCCCAAGGAGCTGGGATTACAGGCATGTGCCACCACGCCCGGCTAATTTTGTAATTTTAGTAGAGATGGCGTTTCTCCATGTTGGTCAGGCTGGTCTCGAACTCCTGACCTCAGGTGATCAGCCAGCCTCAGCCTCCCAAAGTGTTGG
This sequence comes from Homo sapiens, assembly GCF_000001405.40. NCBI lineage: Eukaryota > Metazoa > Chordata > Mammalia > Primates > Hominidae > Homo > Homo sapiens. Next base: position 16,296,388 of record NC_000019.10, on the reverse strand, counting down.
GATTACAGGCATGAGCCACTGCACAGGCTGGAGGCTGCATTTTCACACCTGCTCATCCTGGACTGGGAAGTGGCCCTGTGAACACTGGTCCAATCAAATCACGCGCTGGGACCTCTTTCTACCACCATCCACTCCTCCTTGATCTTTGAGACCAGGACAGAGCCTTATCCCTCGTCTGTGGACTCCCTCTGCTTACCCTGCTGCACAGCCAGAGTCAGAACTGATTGGTTTTTCTTTCCAGACACAGCAGGGGTTCTCTGGGGCATGGGGCTTCTGGGATTCCAACCACCTGCATGGATCGACCGTGGCTGGAAGTTTCTGCAGCAGCATCTTACTTGGTTTGCGTCTCCTCCACTTGGCCTCCTGGTCCAGAGTGGCGGGGGTCTCTGTCCTCGTTGCCTTTTTAGGGTCTGGCATGCAACAGGTGCTCAATAAATGCCTGTTTGATCTTTTCTTTTTTAAATTTAAGACAGAGTCTCACTCTGTCGCCCACGCTGGAGTGCAGTGGCGTGATCTCAGCTCACTGCAACCTCCACCTCCCAGGTTCAAGAAATTCTCGGCCAGGCGCGATGGTTCACACCTGTAATCCCAGCATTTTGGGAGGCTGAGGCAGGCGGATCACGAGGTCAGGAGATCAAGACCATCCTGGCCAACACAGTGAAACCCTGTCTCTACTAAAAATACAAAAAATTAGCCAGGCGTGGTGGTGGGCACCTGTAGTCCCAGCTACACGGAAGGCTTAGGTAGGAGAATCACTTGAACCCAGGAGGAGGAGGTTGCAGTGAGCCGAGATTGCGCCATTGCACTCCAGCCTGGGCAACAGAGCAAGACTCCGTCTCAAAAAAAAAAAGAAGTCTCCCACCTCACCCCCTCAAGTAGCTTGGACTACAGGCATTCGCCACCACGCCCGGCTAATTTTTTGTATTTTTGGTAGAGACGGGGTTTCACTATGTTGTCCAGGCTGGTCTCTAACTCCTGGGTTCAAGTGATCCACTGGCCTTGGCCTCCCAAAGTGGTGGGATTACAGGCGTGAGCCACCACACCCAGCCTTGATCTTTTCCAATGAAGACAGAACTGCATGCCGCACAGCGCGATCATCTCGAGTGTACACGCTGGATTCTGCTGGCAGGATCAGTTCCCTGGATCCAGACACAGGAATGTCTAGTGCCTGCAAAGCCTCCCTCTCCGCGCAACTCCAAGCTCTGTCGCTGGAGAGGAGTTTTGCCTAATTTCCCTAAAGTGGAATCACAGTGATGCTCCTCCTCCTCCCCCTCCCCCTCCCCCTCCTCTTTTTTTTTTTTTTTTTTCGAGTTGGGGTCTCACTCCTCTCGCCCAAGCAGGAGTGCAGTTGGTGCAATCACAGCTCATTGCAGCCTCGACCTCCCGGGCTCAAGTGATCCTCCTGCCCTACTTTTAAATTTTTTGTAGAGACGAGGTCTCACTGTGTTGCCTAGGCTAGTCTTGAACTCCTGGGCCCAGGAGATCCTCCTGCCTCAGCCTCCCAAAATGCTGGGATTATAGGTGTGAGCCACCATGGCTGGCCCGTTTTCATTGTTCAGCATCACGTCCACTCAGTTCCTTCATGTTCTGCATGTAGTCGGTGCTTGTTCTTGTTCTTTTTCTTTTTCCTTTTTTTTTTTTTTTTGAGACAGAGTTTCCCTCTTTGCCCAGGCTGGAGTGCAGTGGTGCGATCTTGGCTCATTGCAACGTCTGCCTCCCGGGTTCAAGCGATTCTTCGGCCTCAGCCTCCTGAGTAGCTGGGATTACAGGCACTCGCCACCATGCCCGGCTAATTCTTGTATTTTTAGTAGAGACGGGGTTTCGCCATGTTGGCCAGGCTGGTCTCGAACTTTTGACTTCCAGTAATCCGCCCGCCTCGGCCTCCCAAAGTGCTGGGATTACAGGCATGAACCACTGCGCCCGGCCGAGGGACAGGGATCTTTAAGGGAAATCCCGTGGCAGCAGACAGATTTCACTTTAGGCTTTCTCTGTGTGGTTTATCCCTGAATCACATTCCACCTCCTCTCTCTGCACTTTGGGTTTTGTTTTCTGCAAAATGGGAGAAGACATTAGGAACCAAATAGAGCCCCCAAGGGCCCTAGGAGGGTGGAGGAGATGCTGCTAGAAAGTGTCTACACCCTCCTGTTGAGGCTTGGTGTGGTGGCTCACACCTGTCATCTCAGTACTTCGGAAGGCCGAGGTGGGAGGATCACGTAAGGCCAGGCGTTCTAGACCAGCCTGGGCAACATAGCAAAACCCCTCCCCCCATCTCTACAAAAACTTAAAACAAAAACAAAAACAACAAAACTTAGCTGAGCCGGGTGGCATGTGCCTACTTAGGAGGCTGAGGGTGGGAGGATCCCTTGAGCCTGGGGGGTTGAAGCTGCAGTGAGTTATGATTGCACCACTGCACTCCAGCCTGGGTGACACAGCAAGACCTTGTCTCTAAAAAAATTAACACACGAGCAAGCAAATAAGTAAATAAAATCCTGGCACACCACCAGTGACCCAAGGGTGCGCCAGGGTCTCAGGCTGGAGGAATCTATTCCACAGGACCTCTGTGATGCTTTACGAGAACCTGGCCTTGCCAACATATTTCAAATACGCAGTTGGCCTCCCAGCTGCGGTCCACACCGCCCTTATCACTTTCATGGGGGAGTCGGGGATTCTTGCCAAAGGCTGACTTTCCCTTCTCACGACTTTATTGCTACTCAGAGCCTCTGCAGCTGGGGAGGCCCGTCTAGTTGTTTCCAGGGGCTGATTGCATAAACTCTGTGTAACGTAAGCCCTGTGTCGATTTTTGGAAAACTCCCTTTTTTTCTCCCTGCCTTTAGAAGATTTTTCCAGCATCACCCAAACACCCGGCCACGGGAGGGGGTGGAGAGGTTGCTGTTTACAATTCTAGGTGAGAACAGTGTGTCTGAATTTCAGGGCGAGATGTGTGTGAGCGCCTTCGATTGTGGAAAAACAAATGTGATTTGAGGGGAAAAAAAAAAGAAGAGGGAAAATGAAACGGAAAACAACTGCTTGCTGAGTGGGAACTTTGAGGCGCGGCCCGGATAGTATGATTTCTGACGACTCGAGAAGGAATGTTCTGGAATATTTTGGGAGTTTTTTTGTGCTTCTGGCAGGCTGACAGCTCGTGTCCCCCCCACTCCCACCTCCAACCCCGCACTCCACGTCACTCCAGTCATTCTGGACAAGCTCCCAAGACAAACGGCTTCTCTTCTTTCCATGGGTTGCAGACATATGTCCCCAAGCACTTAAAAATAGCCGCCCGTTTACTGCAGACCTGACTTTAAACAATCAGGTTTTTCTTAAGACGTAAAAAACTTTTCCACTGAAAGGGCAGTTTTTGAAACTATGTGTAGTGAGAGGGAGTTTTCCTTCTTTTTTTTTTTTTTTTCCCTTTCCTCAGGAATAAATGTGAAGGTCTTGAGTCCAAAATGGCCAGCTTGGCTAGGCGCGGTGACTCATGCCCATCATCCCAGCACTTTGGGAGGCCGAAGCAGGAGGATCGCTTGAGCTCAAGAGTTTGAGACCAGCTTGACAAACATGGTAAAATTCTGTCTCTACTAAAAATACAAAAATTAGCTGGACGTGGTGGCGGGTGCCTATAACCCCAGCTACTCGGGAGGCTGAGGCAGGAGAATTGCTTGAACCCGGGAGGCAGAGGTTACAGTGAGCCAAGATTGCGCCACTGTACTCCAGCCTGGGCAACAGAGCAACACTCTGTCTCAAATAATAATAATAATAATAATAATAATAATAATAATAACAACAAATAAATAAATAAATAAATAAAATGGCCAGCTTGGCCAGGCGCGGTGGCTCACACCTGTAATCCCAGCACTTTGGGAGGCCGAGGCAGGAGGATTGCTTGAGCCCAGGGGTTCAAGACCAGCCTGGGCAACATAGTGAGAATTTGTCTCTACTAAAGATAATAATAACAAAAGTCAATCTATCAATGAAATGGCCAGCTGTGTTTTTTCAGGCTCATGCTCACACGTGTGTGTGTGTGTGTGTGTGTGTGTTTGAGAGTTTGTGGAGCATCAGGCTGACAGGGGAGAAGAAAACTGTTTATTGAAAACCCAGTATATGCCAGGCCCTGCATGGATCCTCCTTAGTTTTTGGGACTCGGAGAGCCAGTAATATTTCCACCACTCTATAGTGATGTGCTGGAGGAGGAAAACTGAGGCACGGTTGATCCTTGGCTGAGCCACGATTTAAACTGATTTCACAGGCTTTGATCTGGACCCAGGATTGTTCCCCTGTGTGAGCTTCAGAGGGGTTCATGGACCCCCTGAAACTAAATGTAAGTTGCAGGCACTTTATCTACAAAGAAAAGTATCTATAGCTTACACCCCACAGAGCCCAGAGCATCAAAAAGATACAAAATCAAGCTGGGAACGGGGGCTCATGTCTGCACTCCCAGCACTTTGGGAGGCTGAGATGAGAGGATTACTTGAGACCAGGAGTTCAAGGTCAGCCTGGGCAACATAGCAGGATCCCATCTCTACAAAAATAAAAAATAAAAATAAAATTAAAAAAAAAAAGCTAAGTGGCTAAGTATGGTGGCATGCACCTGTAATCCCAGCTACTCAGGAGGCTGAAGGCGGAAGATCACGTGAGCCCAGAAGTTCGAGGCTGCAGTGAGCTACAATTGCATCATTGTACTCCAGCCTGGGCAACAGAATGAGACCCTGTCTCTTAAAAAAAAAAATCACTGTCCCCACAAAAGTTTTTTAGAGAACAATAGCCTAGAGCTCGGTCAAGTTGTTTCTCTTTTCTCAGCCTCAGTTTTGTCATCTGAGAAATGGGTTGTATCTCCCGGTACATGCTGGATATGGGATCCTCTGTCCCTCCTAACATTCAAAAACATACAGTGTGGCCGGACGTGGTGGCTTATGCCTGTAATCCCAGCACTTTGGGAGGCCAAGGCGGGCAGATCACCTGAGCTCAGATGTTCGAGACCAGCCTGGCCAACATGGTGAAACCCTATCTTTACTAAAAATATAAAAATTAGCTGGGTGTGGTGGCACGTGCCTGTAATCACAGCTACTTGGGAGGCTGAGGTAGGAGAATCGCCTGAACCCGGGAGGTGGAGGTTGCAGTGAGCCAAGATTGCACCACTACCCTCCAGCCTGGGCGACAGAGTGAGACTCTGTCTCAAAAAAAAAAAAAAAGGCTATTTTTTTGTGGGCTCTTAAACATTCCAGGGCCCTGGGCCTTGTATGTGTGATGGATCGGTGGGCCCTGGACAAAGCGTCCCTGGGGGAACAGAACAGCAATGGACGGCAGGGGTTTCCTCACTTAGAATCCTCTGACATCCCCCAGGCATCCTGTGTTGGGCCCGGAGCCGGGTTCTGGGAAAAATCGAGGGGGAGAAATGTTACCTGCACTGGCTGACTTACCCCTGGCAGGGTTGCTTCCAGCTGCACCGACTCTGTTTGAATACGAGGAAGCGTGAATCAGACCTCGGTGGCCCAGGAGGCAGGGCTGAGGGAGGCATGTTTTCATAGAGCGGTGATTCTATGCTCACCCCATGCTCACTAGCCTTTCCGGCGGCCTGGGGTTGGGGACCAATTTAGATCATGTGTCATCTGACAAAAGTGGACCTTCAAAGACTTCCCAGGTTCTGAACCAATTCTTTGTCACCAGACTTGTCTTGGGGAATGGTGGAGAATTGGAGACATCTACTTGGTGGATTGAGTCCCAGCAGGTGGGCAACATAGCAAGAGCTCATCTCTACAAAAAAATACAAAAATTAGCCAGGCATAAGAGCATGCACCTGTGGTTCCAGCTACCTGGGAGGCTGAGGTGGGAGGATGGCTTGAACCCAGGAGGTCGAGGCTGCAGTGAGTCCAGATCACCACCATTGCACTCCAGCCTGGGTGACAGGCTGGATGGGTGGATGGGTGACTTGGGGTCTGAAATACCTAGCATCAGCCGGGCGTGGTGGCTCACACCTGTAATGCCAGCATTTTAGGAGGCTGAGGTGGGGGGATCACGAGGTCAGGAGATCAAGACCTTCCTGGCTAACATGGTGAAACCCCGTCTCTACTAAAAATACAAAAAATTAGCCAGGCATGGTGACACATGCCTGGAGTTCCAGCTACTTGGGAGGCTGAGGCAGGAGAATCGCTTGAACCCAGGAGGCGGAGGTTGCAGTGAGCCAAGATCGCACCACTGCACTCCAGCCTGGGCGACAGAGCAAGACTCTGTGTCAAAAGAAACAAACAAACAAACAGAAAACCTAGCATCCCCTTCAATTTCTGCCTGTCTGTGAGAACCAACTGTTACAAAGGCTGCTTACCAGGTTTTGCAAGTAAAACGCAGGACACTCCATTAAATTGGAATTTCAGATAAACAACAAGTTTTTTTTTTAGTAGAAGTATATCTCGAATAGTGCATGGAATGGGATATACTTATACTAAAAAAAAGAATTCATTGTTTATCTGATGTTCGCATTTGAGTAGGGCGTCCTGTGTTTAATCTGTCAACCCTACCTGGGTTGGGGGTGGGGTAGGGGAACAATGATTTTCATTTGAGCTGCCAGGCCACAGCTGGGGCCTTTTCTGACATCATCTCCTTACATTGTCACCACGGCTGATGTACAGATAAGGAAGGTGAGAGCTGAAAGAGCTGGTGCAGTTTGAGGATTGTTCCTGGGGGCCGCCATCAGGGAGTTGGGGGAGCTGTGGACAGCAGGTGCGTCCGAGGGAGTGTGGATAATTCAGCCTTAATTCTGCCAGGGCCAAAATCAGGAGGGTTCCTCAAAAAGTGAAACATAGAATAAAAAAATTAGCCAGGAGTGGTGGCATGCACCTGTTGTCCCAGCTACTTGGGAGGCTGAGGCGGGAAGATGGCTTGAACCCAGGAGGTTGAAGCTGCAGTGAGCCATGATTGCACCACTGCGCTCCAGCATGGGTGACAGAGCAAGACCCTGTCTCAATAAAAAAGAAAAAAGTGCAACATAGAATTACCTTATAACATATCATGGCCGGGTGCGGTGGCTCGCGCCTGTAATCTCAGCACTTTGGGAGGCTGAGGCAGTCGGATCGCTTGAGGTAAAGAGTTCAAGACCAGCCTGGACAACACAATGAAATTCCATCTCTCCTAAAAATACAAGAAAACTAGCTGGATGTGATAGTGTGCACCTGTAAGTCCCAGCTACTCGGGAGGCTGAGGCAGGAGAATTGCTTGAACCCGGGAGGCAGAGGTTGCAGTGAGCCAAGATTGCACTACTGCACTCCAGCCTGGGCAACAGAGTAAGACTCCATCTCAAAAATAAATAAATAAAATAAAAAAATTACCATATACCATAGCAGCTCCACCCTGAAGTGGTAACTCATATACTCAAAAGGATTTTGGTATTCGTTGGTGTATTCTTGGGGAATATCCCCAAAAGAATTGAAGGTGGGTGTTCACACAAAGATGTGTGCATGCATGTTCACAGCAGCACTGTTCACAACGGCCAAAAGGTGGAAGCAACTTGGGTGTCTGTCAACGAATGAACAGATAAACAAAACGTGGTCCATCCAGCAATGGAATATTACGCAGCTGTGAAAAGGAATGAAGCACTGCTCCATGCTACAACGTGGATGAACTCCAAAAATATGCTGAGTGAGAGAAGCCAGACACAAAAGGCCACATGGTGTATGATTTCATTGATATGAAATGCCCTGAACAGGCAAATCCGTAGAGACAGGAAGCAGATTAGTGGCTGCCTGGGGTGGGGGAAGGGAAATGGGGAGTGACTGCTGACGGGGACAGGGCTTTTCTTTTTTCTTTTTTTTGAGACAGAGTCTCCCTCTGTTGCCCAGGCTGGAATGCAGTGGCGCGATCTCGGCTCACTGCAGCCTTCGTCTCCTGAGTTCAAGAGATTCTCCTGCCTCAGCTTCCTGAGCAGCTGGGATTACAGGCACCTGTCACCAAACCCGGCTAATTTTTTTGTATTTTTAGGAGAGACAGGGTTTCACCATGTTGGTCAGGCTGGTCTCAAACTCCTGACCTCGTGATCCACCCGCCTCGGCCTCTCAAAGTGCTAGGATTACAGGCGTGAGCCACCGTGCCCCGCTGGGACAGGGTTTCTTTTTGGACTGATGGAATGTTCTGAAGTAGATACTAGTGGTGGTTGAACAACCTTGTGAACGTGCTGAATGCCACCATATTGCACACCTTACGATGGATAAACTTTATGTTACATGTATTTTACCACAATTTAAAAAAGGTCAGGCATGGTGGCTCACACCTGTAATCCCAGCACTTTGGGAGGCCAAGGCAGGTGGATCACTTGAGGTCAGGAGTTTGAGACTAGCTTGGCCAACATGGTGAAATCTCGTCTCTACTAAAAATATAAAAATTAGCTGGGCATGGTGGCATGTGCCTGTAGTCCCAGCTCCTCGGGAGGCTGAGGCAGCAGAATTGCTTGAACCTGGGAGGGAGAGGTTGCAGTGAGCCGAGATTGCACCACTGGACTCCAGCCTGGGTGACAGAGTGAGGCTCTGTCTCCAAAAAAAAAAAAAAAAAAAGGCCAGGTTCAGGCAGCCTCCCCTGTTGGCCTGGTTGCAAGACTGCCCCTCTCTAAGCCTGCGTTCCTCCGTAAGGTGGGGTAGGGGCAGTGCCTTCCCTTAGCACAGGGATGTCCCCAGAGCATCAGCAGGTGTGCTATTGGCCGTGGGCTGCTCTTTATTGAGACCAACCCCCTGGGAGTTCATGGTCACCCAGGACAGCTTGGCAGGAGCTCCAAGTCCCTTCCCAGAGAGGTCCGGACATCTATTTATTTAATTAAGAAAATCTAGTTGCAAAGAGTGCACAGCCTTCTTCTAAAAGCTTTGAATGAGACCAGAAGTCAGGGTCTCCCTGCTGGGACATGGAGACCGAGGGGCGGCTCTGAACACACAGCGTGCCTTGGAGTTGGAGGGTCGACTGTGGGACGGGCAGCCACTCAGTCCGCAGTCTTTTCCCCATGAAAGGAATGGAGGCCGTAGGGCCACCCTTCTTGTTCTTGGGGTATGGGGTGCTCGCCCTGCCCAGGCACAGCTGCGGAAACACAATGTATACCCTGGGAGAGACGTGGAGGGTCAGAGAGAGAGTCAGAGATAGAGGAGATAAAGAGAGACAGAGAGGGAGAGACAGAGACAAGGAAAGAGAGGGAGAGAGATATATAGAGAGAAACGGAGACACAGAGAGAAAGAGCAAGAGATGGAGAAAGAGGGGTAGAGACAGAGAGACGAGGGAAGAGAGTCAGACACAGAGAGAGAAGGGGGAGAGACTCATGCCGGAGAGACTCACATGAGAGAGACAGATACAGAGACACACAGAGAGACAGAGAAGAAGAAAGTCAGAGACAGAGAGAGAAACACACACAGAGAGAGACAGAGAGACAGAAAAGAGTCACAGACCCAGAGAGACAGAGAAGAAGAAAGTCAGAGACAGAGAGAGAAACACATAGAGAGACAGAGAGACAGAAAAGAGTCACAGACCCAGAGAGACAGAGAGAGAGGGAGAGAGAGACTCAGAGAGAGAGAGAGAGACCCAGAGAGAGAGAGTGAGACCCCCCCACACAGAGAGACACACAGAGAGAGGGAGGGACAGAGAACAGGATGGAGAGAGGCAGGCAGGGCAGGACCCTGGGACTGGTTGATGGAATTCCAGCTCCTGCGACTTTGGAACAAAAGCCCCCTATGAAGTGAAAGCCACCATTGGACAGATGAGGAAACCGAGGCCCGAGGTCCCTGCCTCCACACCCCATGGCCCAGGGCTGCAGACACTGCTCCCCGCAGAGACCCTAACCACCGGCCACAGCCCTTGGCCTCTCCAACACCCGCCATCCTCTCTCCCCTCAAGTCCCCCGCTGCTGCTGGCCCATAACAACTCCCCTTTGGCCAGTTAAAAATAGCCCACGTCAGAGCCCATGGAGGACGCTGATGACTCCTGAAAGGGGCTTCGGAGCCAAGGCGGCCTCGATCTGCAGGCCGCAGTCTGGGACGGCGCTAATTGTGGCAACAAGCAGCGTACAAAGGCGCCCTTCAGGGGAGCTGGCACTGCGGGCTCAGATTTCTGGAGAGCAAATATGTCTTTCATTTCCCTGAGCCCCACCGGGGCTCTGCCCTAACGGCAGAAGAACACGCCTCCCTGGAAGGGAACAGGATCTTGTTTTGGGGGGCAGGGAGCCCCAGCGCCCCTGTGAACAGCAGGAAGCCAGCCATCGGCACCTAGGACAGTCCCCAGCATGCCTGGAGCAGCCCCTGGTATAAAGCCAGTCGGGAAGCTTTCTTTCCTGTTCAGTTTGGTGAAAGCCCTTGTGTAAGGTTGGTGCAAACGTAATTGCTTAAAAGTCATGGCAAAAACCGCAATTACGTTTGCACCAACCTATCAAAGTGATGCTCTCTCTTCCTTAGATGTTTAGGGGAAATTTACCAGGGACGCCATCCAGACCTGGAGTTTTCTTTGTAGAAAGGCTTTTGTTTGTTTAGAGACAGGGTTTCACTCTGTCGCCCAGGCTGGAGTGCAGTGGCACAATCATAGCTCACTGCAGCCTTGACCTCCTAGGCTCAAGTAATCCTCCCACCTCAGCCTCCCAAGTAGCTGGGACTGGTTGATGGAATTCCACCTCCTGCGACTTTGGAACAAAAGCCCCCTATGAAGTGAAAGCCACCATTGAAACCCACCATGTCTGGCTAATTTTAAAATGTTTTTGTAGAGATGGGGTCTCACTGTGTTGCCCAGGCTGGTCTCAAACTCCCGAGGTTAAGTGAGTCTCCTACCTCAGTCTCCCAAAGTGCTGAGATTATAGGCACAAGCCACCAAGCCCAGCTAATTTTTATATTTTTTGTAGAGATGGGATCTTGCTATGTTGCCTAGGCTAGTCTTGAACTCCTGGCCTCATGTGATCCTCCTGCCTTGGGCTCTCAAAGTGCTGGGATTACAGGCACCCACCACAATGCCTGGCCTGTAGGAAGTTCTTTTTACAACAATGTTGATTTATCCCATAGACACAGGGATATTCGGGTGATCTATTTCTCCTCCTCCTCCTTCTCCTCCTTCTTCCTCCTCCTCCTCCTCCTTCTTCCTCCTCCTCTTCTTCTTTCTACTTTCTTCTTCCTCTTATTCCTCCTCTTCCTCCCCTTCCCCTTCTCTTTCTTCTTCCTCTTATTCCTCCTCTTCTTCCCCTTCCCCTTCTCTTTCTTCTTCTTTCTTTTCTGTTTTTTTGAGACAGAGTCTCACTCTGTTGTCCAGGCTGGAGTACAATGGCACGATCTCAGCTCACTGCAACCTCCACCTCCGGGGTTCAAGCAATTCTCCTGCCGCAGCCTCCTGAGTAGCTGGGATTACAGTGGCCGCCACCATGGCCAGCTAATTTTTGTTGTTTAGTAAAGACGGGGTTTCACCATGTTGGCCAGCCTGGTCTCAAACTCCTGACCTCAGGTGATCCGCCTGCCTCGGCCTCCCAAAGTGCTGGGATTACAGCACGAGCCATCGCGCCCGGCCGATCTATTTGTTCTTAAGTAAGCTTTGGTAATTTGTGTCTTTCAAGGAATGTGTCCATTTCATCCCTGTCACTGAATATTTTGGCATCGAGATGTTTATAACATGTCCTTGTGATCCTTTTTGTATGTGTTGAATCTGTTGTGGGGTCACCTAGGCTTGGAAGCCTCAAACCCTGGCATTGACCCCAGACACAGGCTTTTGCTCTTCTTGCTGTCTGGGCAGCTGTTCCGATGGCAATGACAACTCTAAAAATCTGCTTGTGGCCAGGCGCAGTGGCTCATGTCTGTAATCCCAGGACTTTGGGAGGCCGAGATGGGGGGATCTCTTGAGCCCAGGAGTTCGAGACCAGCCAGGGCAATATAGTGATACCTTGTCTTAACTGAAATTCAAAAGAAAACTAGCCAGGCGTGGTGGCGTGCATCTGTGGTCCCAGATACTTGGGAGGCTGAGGAGGGAGGATCACTTGAGCCTGGGAGGTTGAGGCTGCAGAGAGCCGTGATCTTGCCACTGCACTCCAGCCTGGGTGACAGAGTGAGACCCTGTCTCAAAACAAAACAAAACAAAACAAAACAAAATCTGCTTATGAAAGGGCAGACATCCATTTCCCAGGTCACACCCTCCTAACTCCCAAAGCTTAACTTCTGTGTTTAGTGCTTACAACAGCATAGGAGCTATTGTTAGTTCCATTCTACAGATGGAGAAACTGAGTCCCAGCGTTAGGTGGCAGAGCCGGGATTTGAACCCTGGCTGCCAGCGCCCCCCAGCCTGGGTGCGCTACATCGTCACTGCCAGGCACAGCCAAAATCACGGCCCAACCTATCTGGGTGGCGGCGGGGGGCAGGGATTCCTCTACCCTGACAGCAGCTTGAGGTTACGTTCTTTGCTGGAGAAAAGCGTTTTGAAACAGAAACGCCCACGGTGTCCCTGACGCTGAGTTGTGGAAGTGAGGCCGACTTGGGGCTCTGAACTTGGCTGGTGTCTTCCCCAGCCAGGGGCCCAGAGGCGGGGGTTTGGCCTTCCCGAGGCCCCAAACCACCTGCTCGGCCCTGCGTCCAGCCGGCCGGCGCCCGAGTGAGCGAACAAGGGGACCCTCCGCTGTCTTTATATACCGGAGTTATTTTTAACCATCGCCTCCCAGAACATTACGGAGCTTCCTCTCTCCAACACGCAGGAAACCCTACTTGGCTGTGCTTCCTGCTAACACGAGGCCCTGCGATTGCTGAGAACAACAGCCCCGAGACTGCGCGGCTCCGGGGGGAAAAAAACCTGGCCCCCTTTCAAGCCTTGACAGAAAACCTTTCAGAGCCCTGAACTCCCACCAGCCCGAGGACGGCTCCGATAGCTCTGACAAATGAGCCGGGACTGTGCCCAGGGCTCCCAGGCTGGGAGGGGACCCCGGCTCCCTTGTTCCTTCCTAAGGTCGGAAAAAAAAGCGCGTGTCCCTTCCTCCACCACAGAGGAACAGAGAAGTGTTTGCATTGGTGGATTTTTAAATACTTGTTTATTTTTATTAAAGTGCAATTCACATGAAATTAACCATTTTTAAAGTAGTGGCATTTTATACATGCAGTGTTGTGCAACCGCCACCTCTACTTAGTTCCAGAATATTTTCATCACCTTAAAGGGATACCCTGTCCCCATTACCAGTCACTTCCCATTTCTCCACCCCCAGTCCCTGGCAAACACCAATCTGTTTTCTGGCCCTATGGATTTGCCTCTGTGGGCATCTCACATAGATAGGATTGTACAATATGTGGCCTTTTATGTCTGGTTTCTTTTACTCTAGGTAATATTTTCTTTTTTTTTTTAATTTCTTTTTTCTTTTCTTTCTTTTTTTTTTTTTTTGAGACAGAGTTTCACTCTTCTTGCCTAGGCTGCAGTGCAATGGCACGATCTCGGCTCACTGCAGCCTTGACCTCTGGGGTTCAAGCGATCCTCCTGCCTCAGCCCTGCACCATGTGCCACCATGCCCAACTAATTTTCCTATTTTTAGTACAGACAGGGTTTCACCATGTTGGCCAGGCTGATCTGGAACTCCTGACCTCAGGTGATCCACCTGCCTCGGCCTCCCAAAGTGCTGGGATTACAGGCATAAGCCACCGCACCCGGCCCAACTTCCAGTTTCTTCTTTCTGCCCACTCCCTCTCCACGTGGCTCATCAAAGTGTGGAGTTTGTTTCATGGTGGTTACAGCACAACCCCTCCCCATCCACCTGTGCATCCACTCATTCGTTCCTTTAAACATTTATTCAATCAATCCTTCCCCATCCCTGGGGCGCCTGGCACTTGGCCTGCTGCTGCCACCTAGACCCCAGGCTCATCGTCGCTAGAGCAACCCCACCTCCCTTCCTGGAGCAGGTGCGTCCTCACCCAGATTTGCCTTATTAGCAAATCCCCTGTGATTCTGGGTTCCACCCGGCCCTCGGTCTGGGTCTCACACACTTTTGGTCCAAGTGCCAACCTGTTTGGGTTGCTCTGTGATTAGCAGATGATGACCCCAAGGTCCCATCTAGCCCACCACCTGTGTTTCGGCTTTCAAGCTCGGAATGTTTTATTTATCTTTTAAAACTGTGATAAAATATACATAACAGACAGGGCACAGTGGCTCACACCTGCAATTCCAGCACTTTGGGAGGCTGAGACGAGCGGATCATTTGAGGCCAGGAGTTCAAGACCAGCCTGGACAACACGATGAAACTCTGTTTCTACTAAAAATACAAAAATTAGCTGGGTGTGGTGGCAGGTGTCTGTAATCCCAGCTACTCGGGAGGTTGAGGCAGTAGTATCACTTGAAGCCGGGAGGCAGAGTTGCAGTGAGCTGAGATTGCGCCACTGCACTCCAGCCTGGGTGACAAAGACTCAGACTCAAAAAAAAAAGTATATATATACACACACACACATACACACACACACACACACATACACACACACATACACACACACATATATACACAGATACACACACAAACACACACACACATATATATATGTATACACATAACAGAAAATTGACCATTTTAACCATTTAAAAAAATAGATGGCGTCTCTCTTTGTCATCTAGGCTGGAGTGCAGTGGCACAATCATAGTTCACTACAGCCTCAACCTCCTGGGCCCAAGCCACCCTCCTGCCTCAGCCTCCCGAGTAGCTGGGACCACAGGTGTGCACCACCATGACTGCCTAATTCTTTTTCTTTTCATAGAGATGGGGTCTCCCTATGTTGCCTGGGCTGGCCTTTTTACATTTTATAAAATTTGGGAGAATATTAAAAGAAAAATATTTTGTGACATGTGAAAGCTCTAGGAAATTCAAATTTTGGTGTCCATAAATAAAGTTAATGGCACATGCCTGTGCCCATTTGTCACATCTCATCTTAAGGCTGCTTTGGGGACACAAAGGCAGAGTTCAGTGGTTGCAACACAGACCTTATGGCTTGCAAAGCCCGCTCTTTGCAGGAACACTTTGCCCAGCCTGCAATTCCTCCTCGTTTCACCAGCCCCCTCCAACTCTGCCGAGCCACCTTCATCTTGCCCGGGGAATCAACCCGAGCCATCTACTTTCTCCCCTGGCCCAACAGCTCATTCTCCACCCGTCAGCCAGAGGGACCTTCTGAAACATCACGGGATCGAGGGAGAGGCCTCAGGATATGGCCTCTGGGACATCACCTTCTGTCACTCCTTTCCCTCGGCCCCAGCCCAGGGGCCTATTGTCACTGTTCCTCAGACCCACTGGGTCTTTCTGGACTCACATGTGTGTGTCCACTGAACCCCCACGCTGGGCCTGCAAACTTTACTCGGGGTGGCACGTTCAGATCCCAGCTCAGATGTCACAACTGCAGAGAGGCCACCCTTGGAAGATGCTTCTCTTAGTTCAAGATTTCTGAGCCACATGTCAGTAGGGATACATGCCTCCCTCCCCACTGCACCCATCCATGACAACCAAAAATATCCCAGACATTGTGAGAACCAGGGCAGTACTCACCTTGTTTTTATAAAAGCAGCTTAATATTTAATAAATTAATTAATTTAATTAATATTAATAATTTTATTTTTTGAGACGGAGTTTTGCTCTTGTTGCCCAGGCTGGAGTGCAATAGTGCAATCTCAGCTTACTGCAACCTCCGTCTCCCCGGTTCAAGCCATTCTCTTGCCTCAGCCTCCAGAGTAGCTGGGATTACAGGCATGCGCCACCACGTCCAGCTAATTTTGTATTTTTAGTAGAGACAGGGTTTCACTACGTTGGTCAGGCTGGTTTCGATCTCCTGACCTCAAGTGATCCATCCGTCTCCACTTCCCAAAGTGCTGGGATTACAGGCATGAGCCACAGTGCCTGGCCTTGAAGATGGGTGATTTGTAAAGAAACAAAATGTATTTGTTAATTTCTGGAAGCAGGGAAGTCCAAGGTCAAGGGACAGTTCTGGTGAGAGTCTTCCTCCTGGTGGGGACTTTCTGGAGAGGAGTCTGGGCATGCTAACTTGCTATCTCAGATCTTTCTTCTTCTTTCAACTCTTTCTTTCTTAATTTTTTTTTTTCAGAGACAGAGTCTCACTATGTTGCCCAGGCTGGTCTTGAACTCCTGGGCTCAAGGGATCCACTCGCTTTGGCTTCCCAAAGTGCTGGGATTACAGGCATGAGCCACCGAGCCTGGCCCCAGTCATAACATAATCTAATCATAATCTAATCTAATCATGATTTTAAAGGTCTCACTTCTCAATGCTGCCACATTGAGGATTAAGTCTCTCTTTTCTTTCTTCCTTCCCTTCTTTCTCTTTCTTTCTTTCTCTTTCTTTTTCTTTCTTTCTCTCTGTCTTTCTCTTTCTTTCTTTCTCTCTTTCTTTCTCTTTCTTTCTCTCTTTCTTTCTTTCTGATGGAGTCTCGCTCTGTCGCCAGGCTGGAGTGCAGTGGCGCGATCTCGGCTCACTACAACCTCCGTCTCCTGGGTTCAAGCGATTTTCCTGCCTCATCCTCTGAGTAGCTAGGATTACAGGCACCTGCCACCACACCCAGCTAATTTTTGTATTTTTAGTAGAGACGGGATTTCACCACATTGGCCAGGCTGGTCTCGATCTCCTGACCTGGTGTTCTGTCCACCTTGGCCTCCCAAAGTGCTGGGATTACAGGCATGAGCCATCGTGCCCAGCATTTTTTTTTCTTTTTTTTTTGAGGCAGAGTCTCTCTCCGTTCCCCAGGCTCGAGTGCCGTGGCATGAGCCTGGCTCACTGCAATTTCTGCCTCCCGGGTTCAAGTGATTCTCCTGCCTCAGCCTCCTGAGTAGCTGGGATTATAGGCACACGCTACCATGCCCGGCTAATTTTTTGTGTTTTTTAGTAGAGATGGGGATCTCACCATGTTGCCCAGGCTGATCTCAAACTCCTGAGCTCAGATGATTTGCCTGCCTCGGCCTCCCAAAGTGCTGGGATTACAGGCATGAGTCACCGTGCCCAGCCCTCCTTGACTTTTGGAGTGGACAAACATTCAAACAGTAGCAGCGTGTAACATTGACTCATATACAAATCACATCAAATCAAATTACAAAGTCACCAACCATGAGTCATCTGGATACATGGGAAATACAGTATTGGGTGCTGTAACTTCCTATCCTCAGCACCACTGACATTCGGGGCTGGATTATTCTCTTTGTGGGGCCATCCTGCGCCCAGTAGGCTGCAGAGCAGCATCCCTGGCCTCCACCCACCAGATGCCAGTAACATCCCCTCCCCAGATTTTCTACAACAACCAAAAATGTCTCCAGACATTGCCTGGTGTCAGCAGTTAAAATTACCCCCCAGTTGACCAATCTCACTTGCCTATTTTTGATGGGAGGTAGAGGAGGGAGCAGAGGCCGGGTGCAGCACTTTGGGTGCCTGTAATCCCAGTACTTTGGGAGGCCAAGGTGGGCGGATCACCTGAGGTTAGGAGTTCAAGGCCAACCTGGCCAACATGGTGAAACCCTGTCTCTACTGAAAATACAAAAATTACCTGGATGTGGTGGTTCACGCCTGTAATCCCAGCACTTTGGGAGGCCGAGGCAGGCAATCATGAGGTCAGGAGATCAAGACCATCCTGGCTAACATGGTGAAACCCCGTGTCTACTAAACACACACACACACACACACACACACACACAAACAAAATTAGCTGGGCATAGTGGTGCGCACATGTAGTCCCAGCTACTCAGGAGGCTGAGGCAGGAGAATCACTTGAACCCGGGAAGTAGGTAGAGGTTGCAGTGAGCCAAGATTGCGCCGTTGCACTCCAGCCTGAGTGATAGAGTGAAACTCCATCTCAAAAAAAATAGTAATTAAAAAAAGTAAAAAATAAAGGCTGGGCGCGGTGGCTCACGCCTGTAATCCCAGCACTTTGGGAGGCCGAGGCGGGTGGATCACGAGGTCAGGAGATCAAGACCATCCTGGCTAACATGGTGAAACCTCGACTCTACTAAAGAATACAAAAAATTAGCCATGCATAGTGGCGGGCGCCTGTAGTCCCAGCTACTCGAGAGGCTGAGGCAGGAGAGTGGCATGAACCCGGGAGGCAGAGCTTGCAGTGAGCCAAGATTGTGCCACTGCACTCCAGCCTGGGCGACAGAGCGAGCCTCCATAAAAAAAAAAAAAAAGGAGCAGACATCCCCCTCCACACAAGAATAGACAAAACCCTGAGTGTGCCCAGGTGCAGAAGCTCACTCCTGCCATCTCACCACTTTGGCAGGCCGAGTTGGGAGGACTGCTTTAACCAAGGAGTTGGAGACCAGCCTGGGCAACATATTGAGACCCTGTCTCTATGAAAATATTAAAAATAAATTAGCCAGGTGGGCTGGGCATGATGGCTCACGCCTGTAATCCCAGCACTTTGGGAGGCCGAGGTGGGCAGATCACGAGGTCAAGAGTTTGAGACCAGCCTGGCCAACACGGTGAAACCCCGTCTCTACTAAGAATACAAAAATTAGCCAGGCGTGGTGGCAGGCGCCTGTAATCCCAGCCACTAGGGAGGCTGAGGCAGGATAATTGCTTGAGCCCGGGAGGCGGAGGTTGCAGTGAGCAGAGATCATGCCACTGCACTCCAGCCTGGGCGACAGAGCAAAGACTCTGTCTCAAAAAAATAAAATGAAATGAAATGAAATAAAAAACAAATTAGCCAGGTGTGGCAGCATGAACCTGTGTTCCCAGCTACTTGGGACGCTGAGGTGGGAGGATCACTTGAGCCCGGGAGATGGAGGCTTCAGTGAGCCATGAATCAGCACCACTGCACTCCAGCCTGGGTGACAAAGTGAGACCCTGTTTCAAAACAGAGAAACAAAGAAACCCTGATGGAGGCTGTCTCCAGGATGTCATTTCATACCCAGCATTGAACAGATTTTTCACCGCCCTCCCGTGAGGTGTGAATTACTCACCCCCGTTAGCAGATGGGTAAACTGAGGCTTGGTGAGGGAAGCCAGCCATCTGTCCCTCCGTTCTCTGCCCCCCATATTCCTGCCAAGGCTTTCCCCGAGCAGCAAAAATTACAGACCTGAGATCCCAAAATAGCTCCCAGGCAGGGACTGAACACAGAGGCCTGTGGTTCAGCCTCCAGAGAGGCAGGGATAAAATCAGAGATTCAAATCCAGTTGCCTGTAGATCGTAAACTTCAAAGAAGGCAGAGTGGTCTGTTCCCTGATGATGGGGGCATGAATGTGCTTCCCCACCGCATGGGGAAACTGCCACTAACATCTGATGGCGAAAGTCCAGATGAGCCCCTGACAGGGGACCAGTGAACCCCTGGGCTGTCCTACTGGGTGAGACAGAAAAAGGCCCCTGGAGACTTCTCCGGGAGCCCCAGAACCCTTGAAATGGCACTAAGGTGCAGCTCATTTCTAGGATGTGGCTCAGAGGCCATCTCCTCCAGGAAGTCTCTGGGAATGCATCTCATCTGCCCTCACATGGTCCCCTCTTCTGGCTCAGAAAAGGGTCTAAGCCATCCCTGGCCCTGCTGGCTCCGTGTCACCTGGCCCGATCAGACATTGGGCTTACTTGCAGATGTTTTTTTGAAAGAAAAAAGGAAAAGACATGGCAGTGAGGGAGCCCTGAGACAGAATGGAGGCTGGGGCCAGCGGGGCTCTGCAGATAAGAGATTTAAGGGAGTCATTTCTAGCTCCTCCTGCACATTGGGGTCCCTGCTCTGGGAAGATTTTAAGACATATAATCCCATCGCCTGAATCATAAGAGCACATTTGGCCGGGCGCAGTGGCTCACACCCGTAATCCCAGCACTTTGAGGGGCCGAGGCAGGAGGATTTCTTGAGGCTAGGAGTTTGAGACCAAACTGGGCAACACAGTGAGACCCCCTTTCTTTACAAAGAAATACATATTTTTTAAATTAGCAGGGCATGGTGGTGCACACCTGTAGTTCAGCTACTTGGGAGGCTGAGGCAGAAGGATCACTTGAGCCCAGGACCTGGAGACTAAGGTGAGCTATGTTTGTGTCACTGCACTCCATCCTGGGTGACACAGCAAGACTGTCTCTAAAAAAAAAAAGAGAGAGAGAGAGAGAGAGACTGGGCATGGTGGCTCCTGCCTGTAATCCCAGCACTTTGGGAGGCTGAGGTGGGTGGTCAGGAGCTTAAGACCAGCCTGGCCAACATGGTGAAACCCCGTCTCTACTAAAAATAAAAAAATTAGCCAGGCGTGGTGGCAGGCAGCTGTAATCCCAGCTACTCGGGAGACTGAGGCAGGAGAATCACTTGAACCCAGGAGGTGGAGTTTGCAGTGAGCCCAGATTGTGCCACTGCACTCCAGCCTGGGTGACAGAATGAGACTCCATCTCAAAAAAAAAAAAAAAAAAAAAAAAAGAAAGAAAGAAAGAAAGAAAGAAAGAAAAAGAAAAAGAAAAAAATAAGACTACAGTTAACATCCCCAGTAACTGGACAAGCCAATGTCAGGTGCCTCCCGATACGACGCACCAGGGAAGATCCACTATTGCTTCTGTGGATCCTGCCCCAAATTCACACCCTCTACCTGGTCACAGGGAACCATCAGGCCAGCACCCTGGGATATGTTCCACAAAACAACTGACTTCAACTCCACCAAAATGTCCATGTCGTGAAAGGCTGGGAAAGACTGCAGCATGGTTCCTGATGAAAGGTAGTGAACGAAACAGAAGCCCCAGGGGCAATGTGTGAGTCTGGATCGGATCCTAAGTGAAAAAGGAAAAAGTGGCCATAAAGGTTGTTACTGGGGAAGCTGGGGAAATTTGACTATAGTGAGCTGGGTGGCAGATGGCGGTGGTCTTCCTGAGGCCCAGCCTCAGTATCCCCATTCTGCCTACAGATGGCAGATTCAGATCTGAGAATGCTAAATTGTTGCTTTAAGCCCACCAGCTGGTCACTGGCAGGCCAGGGAGGATTTAGACCCAGAGCCTCTGTTCTTACCACTCCCCAAGTTACATGCCGTTTTTGTTTTGTTTTGTTTTCTTTTCTTTTTTTTTGAGATGGAGTATCGCTCTGTTGCCCAGGCTGGAGTGCAGTGGTACAATCTCGGCTTACTGCAACCTCTGCCTCCCAGGTTCAAGCGATTCTTCTGCCTCAGCCTCCCGAGTAGCTGGGACTACAGGCACCTGCCACGATGCCCGGCTAATTTTTGCATTTTTAGTAGAGACGGGGTTTCATCATGTTGGCCAGGCTGGTCTCAAACTCCTGACCTTGTGATCCTCCCACCTCGGCCTCCCAAAGTGCTGGGATGACAGTCATGAGCCACCGTGCCTGGCTTTTTTTTTTTTTAAGAAATTCATACAATATAAAATTACCCATTTTAAAGTCAGCAGGCTGTGCACAGTGGCTCACGCCTGTAATCCCAGCACTTTAGAATCTGCCCCGAGGCAGGCAGATCACCTGAGGTCAGGAGTTCGAGACCAGCCTGGCCAATGTGGTGAAACCCTGTCTCTACTAAAAATACAAAAAATTAGCCGGGTGTGGTGGCGGGTGCCTGTAATCTCAGCTACTCGGGAGGCTGAGGCAGGAGAATCACTTGAACCTGGGAGGCAGAGGTTGCAGTGAGCCGAGACTGCATCATTGCACTCCAGCCTAGGCGACAAGAGCAAGACTCTGTCCCAAAAAATAAAATAAAAATAAAAACAAAAATAAATAAAGTGAGTAATTCAGAGGTATTTAGTACACTCAGAATATTGTGTAACCACCACCTCTATCTAATTCCAAAATACTTTCATCCCTGCCAAAAGCAGGCCTTGTCCCCATCAGCAATCACTCCCCACTCCCCCACAGCCGGTGGCAACCATGCTTCCTCTTCTTCCTCTTTCTGTCTCTGTGGATTTGCCTGTTCTGGGCATTTCATATCAATGGAATCTCACACTACGCGGCCTTGGTGTCTGGCTTCTCTCATTTGGCGTTATGTTTTCGAGCTCATCCTCCTTGTAGAATGGATCAGTGCTTCTTTCCTTTCTATATCTGATTAAGTACATTACTTTTTTTGTTTGTTTTTGGGACAGAGTCTCACTCTGTCTCCAGGCTGGAGTGCAGTGGCAAAATCTTGGCTCACTGCAACCTCTGCCTCCCAGGTTCAAGCGATTCTCCTGCCTCAGCCTCCTGAGTAGCTGGGACTACAGGCGAGCGCCACCACGCCCGGCTGATTTTTGTATTTTTAGTAGAGGTGGGGTTTCACCCTGTTGGCAAGGATGGTCTTGACTTCTTGACCTCGTGATCCACCCACCTCTGCCTCACAAACTGCTGGGATTACAGGCGTGAGCCACCGCGCCTGGCCAAGTACATTACTTTTTAAAAATCAAGGCTTTAGGCTGGGTGCGGTGGCTCACGCCTGTAATCCTAGCACTTTGGGAGGCTGAGGCAGGAGGATGCCTTGAGGTCAGGAGTTGGAGACCAGCCTGGGCAAACACAGCAAGACCCCCATCTCGACAAAAAATAAAAAATAAAATTAGCCAAATGTGGTGGTGCATGCCTGTAGTCCCAGCTACTTAGGAGGCTGAGGTAGGAGGATCACTCAAGCCCAGGAGTTGGAGGCTGTGGTGAGCCATGATCGTGCCACTGTACTCCAGCCTAAGCAACAGAGCTCTCCCTCTGTCTCTTAAAAAAAAAAAAAAATCAGGCTGGGCATGGTGGCCCACAGTGCCTGTAATCTCAGCACTTTGGAAGGCCGAGGCGGGTGGATCACCTGAGGTCAGGAGTTCGAGACCAGCCCGACCAACATGGTGAAACCCTGTCTCTACTAAAAATACAAAAAATTAGCCAGGAGTGGTGGTGGGCGCCTGTAATCCCAGCTACTTGGGAGGCTGGGGCAGGAGAATCGCTTGAACTTGGGAGGCGGAGGTTGCAGTGAGCTGAGATTGCGCCGTTGCACTCCAGCCTGGGTGACAATAGAGAGACTCCGTCTCAAAAAAAAAAAAAAAATTAGGGCTTTGCTTATAGAAATGCAAAATGCTATATTTGGCAAACATCAAGTGATGTTTGTTTGGTTTGTTGTTGTTTTTTTTAAATCCACTCCACAAATAGCTCCAAATTGGCTCATGCTACCAAACATCACAAGTCCCAGCGCTTTGCCACAAGCCCAGGGGCCTCCTGTGAAGGAGTCCTGGGCTCGGACAGGGCCCTGTGGGAATCACGTTTTAATTAAAAAGTCATACAATGACAGGCTCCCAAGCAGCATAGGCCTGAGCCTGGCGGGGCGAGAGCCATGCTTGACATTCCAGGCTGGCCTCCTTGGAGCCCCGGCAGCCGCAGAAGTCCCCAAGCCGAGCCAGGAATAGTTCTGCCTTTTATTTGGAAAAAGAATTACAGGGCGAGTGGCCCAGCCCCGGGTTTGCTGCTTCGAAGCCGTATTTTTGAACACGACCCTAACCACACACTTGCATTGGATAGTTCGTTCCAGGCTAAATGCTGTCAGCTGCCTAAACACTCAGCTCGCAGCTCTAAACACAGGTTCTTTTTTCTTCTTGTTTGAAGGTCTATCCGTCTATTTTTGTGCAAAAACATATTTAAAATCTTGCTGGCTCAGGAGGCCCTAGCAGCTGCCAAGGCCGCCTTCTCTCTCCTCCCCCTATGTGAATCTCAATTAGACCTGCCTTGTTCTTGTGAATTTTCCTAGGTAGGGGAGTCACCTCTTGGTTCCCCAAATTTGCCCCCAGCCCATTGAGTGTGAACCTCTAGGATTGATAGCCCCGCTGGCCATGCTGAGACAGGTGGGTTCCTAGAGGCAGAATTGGGTGTTGCTACCAGGAAAAGCAAGATGCATGATGGGAAAGAAAAGGATCCAGTGGTCACAGTGGTTAAGCCAAGATTTGAACTTGGGTCCTAGTTAGTTGAAAGCCATAAGGGTTCAAAACTACTGAGCCATTGCTGGTGGGAATGTCAAATGATGCTGTCGTTGAAGCCTGGTAGGTCCTCAAAAAGTTAAACACAGGCTGGGTGCAGTGGCTCACACCTGTAATCCTAGCACTTCAGGAGGTTGAGGCAGGAGGATTGCTTGAGCTTAGGAGTTCGAGACCAGCATGGGCAACATGGTGAAACCCTGTCTCTATGAAAAGCATAAAAAAATTAGCCAGGCGAGGTGATGCACCTGTATTCCCAGCTACTTGGGAGGCTGAGGGAGTAGGATCAGCTGAACCCAGGAGGTTGAGGCCATGGTGAGCTGTGATTGAGCCACTGCACTTCAGCCTGGGCAATAGAGTGAGACCTTGTCTCAAAAAAAAAAAAAAGTTAAACACAGAATTGCCATAAATATGGCCCAGCAATTCCACTCCTAGGTATATCCCCAGAAGAGTGGAAACAGGTGTTCAAATAAATCCCTGGACATGAATATTCATAGCAGCATTATTCACAATAGCCAAAAAGTGGGAGCAATGCAGATGTCTATTAAAGGGTGAATGGACCAGCAAAACATGGCCCATCCGTGCAAGGGAATATTATTCAGCCTTAAAAAGGAATGAAGGGCCAGCATGGTGGTTCACGCCTGTCATCCCAGCAGTTTGAGAGGCTGAGGTGGGCAGATCACCTGAGGTCAGGAGTTCGAGACCAGCCTGGCCAGCATGACGAAACCCTGTCTCTACTAAAAATAAAAAAATCAGCCAGACGTGGTGGCAGCTACCTATAATCCCAGCTACTCAGGAGGCTGAGACACAAGAATCGCTTGAACCCGGAGGTGGAAGTTGCAGTGAGCCGAGATCGTGCCACTGCAATCCAGCCCGGGTGACAGAGCGAGACGTTGTCTCAAAAAAAAAAAAAAAATAGCCGGGCACGGTGGCTCACACCTGTAATCCCAGCACTTTGGGAGGCCAAGGCGGGCAGATCACAAGGTCAGGAGTTCGAGACAAGCCTGACCAACATAGTGAAACCCTGTCTCTACTAAAAATACAAAAATTAGCCCAGCATGGCGGTATGCGCCTGTAGTCCTAGCTACTGGGGAGGCTGAGGCAGGAGAATCGCTTGAACCAGTGAGGTGGAGGTTGTGGTGAGCCGAGATCGCACCACTACACTCCAGTCTCCAGTACTCCAGCCTGGGTGAGACTGGAGTGAGACTGGGCACGACTGGAGTGAGACTGGGTGAGACTCCATCTCAAAAAAAAAAAAAAAAAAAAAGAAAGGAAAGTGGGAGGTGTCTAGATCTCTCCCCAAGCAGAGAATTTATTTGAGGTTTCAGGGTGTATTTTGAAAGCTCACAAGAAATTTTCCTTCTCTTCCTGAACGTTTTCTTGTCAGCTTTGCTATAAGACCACATGCAATCTTTCCTTTTTTGTTTTTGTTTTGTTTTGAGATAGGATCTCTACACTGCCTGGGTTGGAGTGCAGCAGCCCAATCACGGCTCACTGCAGCCTCAACTTCCTAGGCTCAAACGATCCTCACATCTCAGCCTCCCAAGTAGCTGGGACTACAGGCACGCGCCACCACGCCTGGCTAATTTCTTTTTATGTTTTGTAGAGACGAGGTCTTTCTATGTTGCCCAAGCTGGTCTCAAGCTCCTGGCCTTCTAAAGTGGTGAGATTACAGATGTGATCTTGTACCACTGCACCAGGCCTTTTTTTTCTTTTTTTAAGAGATGGGGTCTCACTCTGCTGCCCAGGCCAGATTCAAGCTCTCAGGCTCAAGTGATCCTCCTGCCTCAGCCTACTGAGTAGCTGGGACTATAGGCACACACCACCACGTCCAGCTAATTTTTGTATTTTTTGTAGAGAGGGGTTTTTGCCATGTTGCACAGGCTGGTCTGGAACTCCAGAACTCAAGCGATCCTCCTGCCTGGGCCTCCCAAAGTGCTGGGATTGCAGGCATGCACCACTGCACCTGGCCTAGGCCTTTGTTTTTTAAGAGATGTGGTCTTGGCTGGGCGCGGTGGCTCACTCCTGTAATCCCAGCACTTTGGGAGGCTGAGGTGGGTGGATAATTTGAGGTCAGGAGTTCGAGACCAGCCTGACCAACATGGTGAAACCCCGTCTCTACTAAAAATACAAAAATTGCCCAGGCATGGTAGCGTATGCCTGCAATCCCAGCTACTTGGGAGGCTGAGGCAGGAGAATCGCTTGAACCTGAGAGGTGGAGGTTGCAGTGAGCTGAGATTGTGCACTCCAGCTTGGGGGACAGAGCAGGACTCTGTCTCAAAAAAAAAAAAAAAAAAAAAAAAAAAAAGAGATGAGGTCTCCCTATGCTGCCCAGGCTGGATTCAAACTCTCAGCCTCAAGCGATCTTCTTGCCTTGGCCTCCCGAGTAGCTGGGACTACAGGTGTGTGCTGCTGCTCCCAGCTCTCCCTCTGAACCTGGCACACAATTCCCCAGACACACTTTGCTCACTATTGAACAAATTGTCCCAGCTGGGTGCAGTGGCTCACGCCTGTAATCCCAGCACTTTGGGAGGCCAAGGCGGGCAGATCACCTGAGGTCGGGAGTTCGAGAACAGCCTGACCAACATGGAGAAACCCCGTCTCTACTAAATATACAAAATTAGCTGGGCGTGGTGGTGGGTGCCTATAATCCCAGCTACTCGGGAGGCTGAGGCAGCAGAATCGCTTGAACCTTAGACAGGGAGGTGGCAGTGAGCCGAGTTACGCCATTGCACTCCAGCCTGGGCAATAAGAGCGAAACTCTGTCTCAAAACAAAACAAAACAAAACAAAACAGTCCCTGAGCCACTCCTGTGCCCCTGAGACAGGCACAGTCTCTGTCCTCATGTAGCTCTCAGGTTAGATGCAAGCAGTAGACTGGCAAACAGTCATCAATAGAGCTCTGGGACTGCTTATTGGCTGGACATGGTGGCTCACGCCTGTAATCCCAGGACTTTGGGAGGCCGAGGCATGTGGATCACCTGAGGTCAGGAGTTCAAGACCAGGCTAGCCAACATGGTGAAACCTCGTCTCTACTAAAAATACAAGAATTAGCTGGGCGTGGTGGCGGGCGCCTGTAATCCCAGCCACTTGGGATTCTCCTGAGGCAGGAGAATCACTTGAACCCGGGAGGCAGAGATTGCAGTGAGCCGAGATCACGCCACTGCATTTCAGCCTGGGCAACAGAGTAAGACTGTCTCAAAAAATAATAATAAAAATAAAAATAATAAACAAATAAATAAAGCTCTAGGTACTGAGGTTCCAGGGCAAAAAATGAATTGAGGCGAGGGGAAAAGAGGGCCCATTGGTGCATTTAGCTGGGGGAGTCAGGGAGGGTTTTTCCCAGGAGGAGAGAGAGGCCAGTGGCAACCTCCAGGAAGATTCTAGAAGGTGCCCCCAGCAGGGGGGGGGGATGGACAGTGCAAAGGCCCTGAGCCTCGCAGCCATCCTGCGAGGTTGATATTTTTAGTCCCATTGCTCAGGCGGATAAACTAAGGCTCACTTCTTGAAGGAGCTCCAGAGAGTCAATGGCTAAGCTGGGCTCCGATCCTGGCTTTTGGAGGAGGGTCCTCTCCCAGTCCTGCCTACATGGGCAGCTCACGAGGAAGCCAGGTGGGTAGGGGGATGCAGGCAAGGCGGACGAGGGAGCCGGGGAAGCCAGGCGCCAGGCAGACGGGCTGGTGGGTGGGCGGAGGAAGTGGCTTAGCAGGTAGACAGGTAGCAAAGGCGCAGAAACCCCAGTGTGGGCGGGTGGGGGGCCCAGCTCCTGTTGCCACATCTGAGGGGCAGCCCCTGGCACCTTTCCTGCTGGGAGAAGCGGAGGAGCAGCTGGGTGGTTGCGGCTCCCAGCAGGAGCTCACCTGGTCATGGCTTAGGTGACAAGGAGCTCAGTACCTACCTCCTTCAGCCGCTGCCCAAAATGCCTTCTATCCAGAGGTTCAGAGCTGCCTCCTGGGTTTCCCGGTGCTAAAGTGAAAAAGGCCTTCTTGATCTTCTTTTGTCTGTTTTGTTTTTTAACAGTTTTGTTGAGATATAATGCATCGACCACACAATTCACTCATTTAAAGTGTCCAGCTCAGCCGGGCGTGGTGGCTCATGCCTGTAATCCCAGCACTTTGGGAGGTTGAGGCGGGAGGATCCCTTGAGGCCAGGAGTTCAAGACCAGCCTGGGCAACACAGTGAGACCCCATCTCTATAAAAAAAAAAAAAAAAAAGCAAGCAAGCAAGCAAGCAAGAAAATTAGCCAGACATGGTGGTGCACCCCTGTAGTCCCAGCTACTCAGGAGGCTGAGGTGGGAGGATTGCTTGAGCCTGGAAGGTTGAGACTGCGGTGAACTGAGATTGCACCACTGCACTACAGCCTGGGTGACAAAGTGAGACCCTGTCTCAAAATAATAATAATAATAATAATAACAAAGATTCCAATTCAATGGGTTTTAGGGTATTCACAGAGTTCTGCAACCATCACCACTCCATTTGGGAACATTTTATTTTATTATTTATTTATTTATTTATTTTTGGCATGGTGTCTCTCTCTGTCGCCCAGGCTGGAGTGCATTGGTGCAATCTTGGCCCACTGCAGCCTCTGCCTCCCAGGTTCAAGCAATCCTCCTGCCTCAGCCTCCCAAGTAGCTGGGATTACAGGCATGTGCCACCATGTCCAGCTAATTTTTGTAATTTTAGTAGAGACATGGTTTAGCCATGTTGGCCAGGCTGGTCTCGAACTCCTGGCCTCAAGTGATCCACCTGCCTCGGCCTCCCAAAGTGCTGGGATTACAGGTGTGAGCCACCGTGCCCGGCCTGTTTGAGAACATTTTAATCACCTCAAAAGGAAACCCCTTCCCCTTTAGCTATCAACCTCCATCCTGTTCCCATCCCAGCCCCCAGCCTTAAGCAACTACTAATCAGCTTTCTGGCTCTACGCATTCCCTGGCATTGCCAGGCCCTCCTCCTCCCATCCAACCTGCTTGTGGCTTCTCCCCAGCGTCCCCTCCTGAATGGTGTCACTGAATCCTCACACCATCCCCATTTCACAGATGAGAAAACTGAAGCTGGGAGTAGAACCAGGATTCAAACTTCACCCTGGCTCTTAACCTCCCCACTCCCCAGCTTAAACCCTGCCAAATCCCTATTGCTCTTCAGATAAGCCCCAGCTCATTAATTAACCTGACTTTGCCAGAAGCTCTTTTTTTTTTTTTTTTTTTTTTACTTTTTTGAGACAGGGTCTGGCTCTGTCACCCAGGCTGGAGTGCAGTGGTGTGATCCTGGCTCACTGTAACCTCCACCTCTCAAGGTCAAGTGCAAACAATTCTCCCACCTCAGCCTCCCAAGTAGCTGAGACTATAGGCACGCACCCTGCCTGGCTAATTTTTTTTTTTTCTTTGTAGAGATGGGGTTTCGCCATGTTGGCCAGGCTGGTCTTGAACTTCTGGACTCAAGCGATCCTCCCACCTCAGCCTCCCAAAGTGCTGGGATTATAGGCATGAGCCCCTGCCCCCAGCCTGTCACAAGGTTCTTATCTCCAAACCTCTGCCCATGCAGGTTCTTCCACCTGCAATGCCTACCCCATCTTCTGCAACTAACCCTCCCTCGCTCCCTTCCAGCATCCCTTCCTCCAGGAAGTCTTCCCAGAAGCCCCTCGACCCAGCCCTGCTTCCCCCCTCCCCAATGCCCTGACCCCTGGGCTGCAAGACCGGGATACATCAAATGGAGAATCTCTGAAAACAAGGCCCGTAAACAAGTTGTCGGGCGCCTTGAAGGCCCTTATCAGCAGGGATCGCGATGAGGGGGCCTGATAAACAAGCTGCTTTGTGCCAAGCACCCTGCGATGACATGGCTGGCTCTTCTGAGAAGTGCACGGAGGGGCCCCGAAACCACCGCGTCCCGCCACTGATAGCAGATAACAGCACCCTAAGTTGTGGTTTTTTAAGACACCAAACTGGTGGCACCAGGTCAGGAGAGCAGGGTGAGAACAAAACAGTATCAGGACCCGGCTGCGGTCAGGGGCAGAGGACAGTGCGTGTGTGCTTGGGGGAAGGAAATTGGGGACCCCAAAGCTGCTCAGAGGGATGTGGGGGCCCCCAGGGCTGGACAATAGACCTGGTGGGTTGTTATGATGCGCCGCGGGGCTTTTTCTGTCCATTTCACAGATAGGGAAACTGAGGCCTCGTTGGTCCCTGTGCCCCTCCCTAGGTCTGGCCTGGGCGAGTGGGTGTCCGTTGCCAGATGGATCCTAAACACCCTTTATTTCATAGACGGGGGCTGGGGGTATTGAAGTGAGCCCCTGTCAGGCCTGGAGTTACTGGGGAGCTTGCAGAAAGCTCAGGTTTCCCTGTCCAGGTTGGTGGCCTCTTTGTATCACAGTCAAGTCACCATGAAGCAACAGCACGTCGTGGGCAGCACGGTCTTTGTGGCTGGCAGGAGGTGGCCAGGGACTCAGTCCCTGGGGCGGCCAACTCAGTTCTGCCTTACAGGAGACAGAGCCTCCACGCAGTTCCCAAATGCATCCATGCTGTTCCATGCAGTTTCACACTGTTCCATCTTCCACAGGAAGGTCTGCAAAGACCTGAATTCCTTGCACCCTGGGGTCTCCATTTGAAGGCCTGAAGCACCAAAGGTAGGGCTGACTCTGTGGTATGTCCCTCTTCTTTCAATAAA
Source organism: Homo sapiens (assembly GCF_000001405.40). Taxonomy (NCBI): domain Eukaryota; kingdom Metazoa; phylum Chordata; class Mammalia; order Primates; family Hominidae; genus Homo; species Homo sapiens. Next base: position 16,265,931 of record NC_000019.10, on the reverse strand, counting down.
TATTTTTAGAGCAGTGGTGGAGAACGGAGCCCTGTCCCAGGTTTGAAATAAAACCCAAACCTGGCCGGGCACAGTGGCTCACACCTGTAATCCCAGCACTTTGGGAGGACGAGGTGGGCGGATGACTTGAGGCTGGGAGTTCGAGACTAGCCTGGCCAACATGGTGAAGCCTTATCTTTACTAAAAATACAAAAATTAGCCAGGCATGGTGGCTCGCACCTGTAATCCCAGCTATTCAGGAGGCTGAGGCAGGAGAATTGCTTGAACCCGGGAGGTGGAGGTTACAGTGAGCTGAGATTGCACCACTGCACTCCAGCCTGGGTGACAGAGCCAGACTCCATCTCAGAGACAGACAAACAACAAAACAAGACAAAACACAAACCTCTCACTGAGGCCCTCAAGGCTCTGTGGTCTGGCCCCGGCCACCCTGTGACCCCATCTCCTCCTGCACACCAGCCTCCCCAACACACCAGCCTCCCCACAGTTCCATGATCACACCAGGCATGGTCCTGCCTCAGGGTCTTGGCACTGTCTGTTCCCTCTGCTGCAAATGCTGTTCCCTTCAGCCACTCCTTTATCTCCTGCTGGTCTCAGCTTAAATGTCACCTCCTCAGAGAGAACCTCCTTGACCTTCTCGGCTAAAATGACCCTCCGGGTCCCACCTACCATGTCATGACCTATTTTTCTCCATCACAAAGATTTCACTCAATGTTATTTTGCCCACTTCATGGCTGTCCAAAACAGGCGAATCCAAAGACAGAAAGCAGATTTGTGGTTGTCAGGGTTCTGGGGAGGGGGATAAGTGACTGCTTCTCAGTCACTTCTGAGGTGGCCAACTCAGTTGGAGACGGGGTTTCCCTTTGAGGGGATAAAATGTTCTGAAATTAGGTATAGGTGATGGTTGTACAACCTCATGAGTGTGCCCCAAACCCACTGAATCATATACTTTAAAGCAAATGGTGAATTTTGTGTTGTGTGAATTTTATTTCAATTTTTTAAAAAGTTGGCCGGGCGTGGTGGCTCATGCCTGTAATCCCAGCACTTTGGGAGGCCAAAGATAGTGCATTGCCTGAGGTGAGGAGTTCGAGACCAGCCTGGCCAACATGGTGAAACCCCATCTCTACTAAAAATAAGAAAATTATCTGGGCGTGGTGGCAGGCGCCTGTAATCCCAGCTACTCAGGAGGCTAAGACAGGAGAATCACCTAAACCTGGGAGGCAGAGGCTGCCCTGAGCCGAGATCACACCATTGCACTCCAGCCTGGGTAAGGAGAGTGAAATTCCGTCTCAAAATAAATAAATAAATAAAATAAAAATTTAAAAATTCAACCCAGGTGCAGTGGCTCACGTCTGTATTCCCAACACTTTGGGAAGCCGAGGCAGGAGGATCGCTTGAGCCCAGGAGTTCAAGACCAGCCTGGGCAACAGTGTGACCCCGTCTCTACAAAAAATGTAAAAGTTAGCTGGGTGTGGTGGTGCATGCCTGTAGTCCCAGCTAGCTACTCGGGAGGCTGAGGTGGGAGGATCACTGGAGCACAGGAGGTCAAGTCTGTACTGAGCCATGATGAACCTGCTGCACTCCAGCCTGGGTGACAGAGTAAAATCCTGTCTGAAAAAAATCAAAATAAAATGGTGAATTTATGTTGTGTGAATTTTATCTCAATTTTTTTTTAAAAGTCAGAGCTAGCAGCCAGGCACGGTGGCTCACACCTGTAATCCCAGCACTTTGGGAGTCTGAGGCAGGCAGATCACTTGAGGCCAGGAGTTCAAGACCAGCCTGGCCAATGTGGTGAAATCCCATCCCTACTAAAAATATAAAAATTAGCCGGGCGAAGTGGGGGGGCACCTATAATGCCAGCTACTTGGAAGGCTGAGGCAGGAGAGTCTCTTGAGCCTGGGAGGCGGAGGTTGCAGTGAGCCGAGATCATGCCACTGCACTCCAGTCTGGCGACAGAGCAAGACTCCGTCTTAAAAAAAAAAAAAAAAAGTCAGATCTAGCTGCTGGGATCATTCCTGCTTCAGGGCAGGGGGTTTGGGGGTCTACATGAGCCGTTCCTGCTCCCTGTTCCTCTAGCCCAGCAACCAGGATTTGGGGCCTCCGGTGCGCAGAGCAAGTCCTAAGCGCTGTGGGTGCTGGAAGCCGGCTTGGCAAACGGGAGCGGGGGTCAGGGAGGCCTATGTCCAGCAGCCGTGCCCAGGTGGCAGCAACTCAGGCCAGAGTGGGTTAAAGGGGAAGTGGATCTTTTCATGGTCCCCAGGTTTCTGGATTTGCATCGACCACTTTTACATAAAAATCTTTCCAGGCTGTGCCCAGCGGGCCCTGAAGCCGGCCGTGGGGTCGGGGGCTGGGTGGGCAGCTTCTGCGGGAGGTTTCTGCAACACAGGGTGCCCCTCGCTGGTTCCTGTTTTGGGGGAATGTTATCACCATTGGCTTCTTAGAAAGAGCTGGAGGTGGGGGAGAGAACCCAGCACCTTCAGAGCCTCACTGGTCACTTTTATCCTCTCTTTGCCTGGTGGGGGAGGAAGACAGAGCCCCATCCAGGGATCAGCAAGGGGACACCCCTGGGGGAAATGACAGTGGCTGGGTATCTCCGGTGTGCCTGGCCTTTTTTTTTTTTTTTTTTTTTTTTGAGACAGTCTCGCTCTGTCACTCAGGCTGGGGTGCAGTGGCGCAATCTCAGCTCACTGCAAACTCTGCCTCCCGGGTTCAAGCGATCTTCCTGCCTCAGCCTCCTGAGTAGCTGGAATTACAGGCACCTTTCACCACGCCTAGCTAATTTCTGTATTTTTAGTAGAGATAGGGTTTCACCATGTTGGTCAGGCTGGTCTCAAACTCCTGAGCTCAAGTGATCTTCCTGCCCCGTCCTCCCAAAGTGCTGGGATTACAGGCGTGAGCCACTGCGCCATGCCAGGTGTGCCTGGCTTTCTATGTGCTGTGGGTTATCTTTGGGGACCCCTGGCGAGAAGTGTCACCCCCCAGACCTGTTGTTTAGCTGAGAAGAACTGGGGCTTGTAGGAGGGATGGCCCAAGCTGAGCTGGAGTTTGGTCCCGAGCCAAGCTGATAACACTCCCTGCTAAAGATAAGGTGGGCCTGACCCCGTGTATTCAGCCAGCAAATATTTACTGAGCGCCTTTCGGTGCCAGGCTCCAGGCTGGGGAGTCAGAAGTAGGATGGATGGAGAAGCAGGGAGAAAGCCAGCTGGGTCCTGCCCTCCCACGGGTAGCGGTGGGGATGGACGAGCAAAAGGCAGAAAACCAAGGTGACTCTGGAGAGACCACAGTTGAAGACAAGACCACAGTGGGGGTGATACTGAGGGGCCTGAAGTGTCTGGAACAGGCAAATCTGTAGAGACAGAAGGTGGCTTAGTGATGGCCAGGAGCTGGGGGACACAGTGTAACTGGGTGTGACTGGTGAAAGGGTATGAGGTCGCCTTTAGGGGTCAGAGAAGAGAAAGATTCCCTATGGGGAGGTTTAGGGGAAGGAGACCCCAGGTCAAGGTGCAGCCCGGATAAAGGCTCGAGGTAAGGCCAGGAGCTGTGGCAAGGGTGCCTGGGTGGTGATCTGCCCAGATGGTGTCCCCGAACCCCCTGCCCTGCGTGTGGCACGAGTCCCTTCTCATCAGTGCCTTTTTACTTCTTCCATTTCCCCCAATGCGGCTGAATTTGCATTACTGAGTTATTTCTTTTTAGAACTCCTACCTTCTCCCCTTCCCCCAGAGTTTTTCCTGGTGCAAGCTGAGGGTGCCACCCCCACCCCCACGGCATTCGAAGATCAGAGAGTTTCCTCCTTGGGGCCGGGCTTCTCAGAAAAGCCACCTCTGCAGTGCTCGGGTTATGAAATGCCCCCTCCACTGCCCAGGCACTCTTGGCTGGAATCGCAGTGAAATCCGTGGTAAAGAGTCGCTGGGCTGCCTGCAGAGGGGTCGAAGATGAGACTCACCCTCCCAGGCCCCCGTTTGACAGGTGAGGACACTGAGGCCAGTGAGCTCAGAGTGAGACTCAAACTTGGGAGATCTGGCTGATTCTTGGGCACAGAGGTTGTGACCACTCTCCAAGTGGGTGCAGCTGGGAGAAAGTGGCCCTTGGGCGAGCTGGGCCAGGCTCACATTGCCCCTCCACCTCCTACTTGTAGCCAAGCAGCCTGGATTCACCGGGCCTCAGTATTCCCCTCTGGCAGATGGGCTGAGCAACCCTTTACCACTCAATCATAAATGCCCTTGCTCATGGCTTCAACCGCCCTTCCACATGTCCATTCCACTTAATCATCAGCCTCCACTTAAACTTCTCGGCTTGGCACCTGTCTCGGGGTAACATCCATGCACCCTGCTGTGGCTTTTGAGGGTCTGCATGGCTGGTCCCTGCCCCCACCCAGCCACACGGGCCTCTGCCAGGTCCCTCAAACACCAAGGCTGCCTCAGGACACCAGGCCTTAGCCGCGCCGTGCCTCTTGCCTGCAGTGCCCTTCCCGAATCCATCCATGCCCTCAAACCTCACCTAGTTATTATCTACTTAGCTTTCATTCTCAGTCCGAGACATCAAACTGCTTTCTTTCCTTTTCTTCTTTTAAAATATTTTATTCAAGGAAAACATACAGACATTAAAGTACCCAAATCCTAGGTACACAGTTCTGTAACTTCTCATAAAGGGACTATGCCCAGGTAACCAGCAGCCAGCTCAAGAAACAGGACACTCCGGCTGGGCTTGGTGGCTCATGCCTGTAATCCTAGCATTTTGGGAGGTCGAGGCAGGAGGATTGCTTGAGGCCAGGGGGAGTTCAAGTCCAGCCTGGGTACATAGCAAGATCCCATCTCTACCAAAAAAGAAAAGAGAGAGAAAAAGAAACAAGACATCCCCATCCCCACCACCTTCATCAAAGCTCCCTTGTGGGGCTCAATATTTGGAATTGACGAATGGTTACGTGAACGGGCCCATTGCCTATGACATAGGTGTCCAGCAAGCCGCTGAGCCCATGGGTTGCATTACTGGAGGTATAGACTCCAGAATGGGGAAGGTGATTTCCCTCTCCATTCTGGGCTGGTCAATGCTGTCAGGCAGGGGGCCCTGCCACTTCAAAATGGGGATAGATGGATAGTGGCAGGTTTGGGGAAGACCACCATGGTGTGTGTGTGTGTATGTGTATACACACTTCTAAGTGGTGTCCTGGGAGAAGGCCCTGGAGGCTTTAGGGCATTTAACCTAGAGAAGGACTGACTTAGGTCTCTGTCAGCAGTCCCAGGTGGCTGGATGGCAGAGCAGGGCAGGGTGGGGACTGAGCCACTCTGAAGGAGGCACCCACTTTCACTAAGCCACACACTAGGCTGCCCCGGCTGGCAGTGAGCATGTCGTCAGGAAAGAGATGCCAGTCCAGTGCCTCCCTGGCAGCAAACTGAGCCAAGTGGTTGTGTGGCATGAACTAGAAGACATCTTGACCCCCAGTCCCCACCAGATCTTAAAGAAAGGTGGGCAGGGATGAGGACTTCAGGGACACCTGAAGGGGCCCATTGCCTGTGACATAGCTGCCCAGCAAGCTGCTAGGCCCATGGGTTATATTATTAGAGGTATAGGCTCCAGAATGAGGGAGGTGATTTCCCTTTCCATTCTGGGATGGTCAGAATGGTCAGGCAGGAGCCTCTGCCACTGCTGAGACTTTTCTGTGGCCAGTGGGGAGACTGAGATCCAGAGAAGGACAGTGACCTGCCCAGAGTCATTGGGCCAAAACTGGCTTTCCAGGCACGGGCCAGGCCTCGAGCTCTGGTTTTGGGTGGAGTTCAGGCCAGGTTATATGTGGTGTGGCTGTTCCCTTTTGCCAGCTGCAGCTGCCTGGGGTGGGGGCCGGCCGGGCACGCTTCATCACCTGCCCTGGCAGGCAGTCGCAGGTGCTGGGCCGGCCACTTTACATAGCCACGCTTGGGTTCCTCTGCCCGCGCTGCCGTCCTGCCCCCTTGCCTCTCCCCAGGAAAGGCCGAGGCTCTGAGGTCAGGAGCCGGCTGCGGGCCCCAGTGAGTTCTTGAGTATTTTTATTTCACTTCTTCGTTTCACTTTTACTGGTCCTGGGAGAAATATGCATGTTATTCAGGACCAGAGCAGTCATCACTGGGCCCAAGATGGCACTGTTCTGTGCCAACAAGGGGTCGTGGAGCAGGCAGACCCGGGTTCAAATCCTAACCCCACTGCTTGTTGGCTGGCCACATCACCCCTGGAGCATCTCCTGAGAGGTGCACGGGGTGGAGATTCTGATAGGGCGTGGCCTCTGGGCTGCTGTGTGGCTTCAGGCAACTTCCTGCCCCTCTCTGGGCCTCAACCCCTCTTCTGTAAAATGGGAATAACTACAGCCCATTCTTATAATGTGGCTCAAATTCAGCAGTTATGCGGTGTCACGCTGGGTGCCTGTCCACTGAACTTTTTGGGTGGAGGAGCTGGACCCACCGTATGTTCTTGAACTTGAGAAGCTTGGGCTTGCGTATGGATCCCTGTTGTGTGTGTGTGTGTGTGTGTGTGTATGTGTGTGTGTGTGTGTGTGTGTGTGTTTAGACGGAGTCTTGCTCTTATTGCCCAGGCTGGAGTGCAGTGGTGCAATCTCAGCTCACTGCAACCTCTGCTGCCTAGGTTCAAGCGATTCTCCAGCCTCAGCCTCCGGAGTAGCTGGGATTACAGGCACCAGCCACCATGCCCGGCTAATCTTTGTAATTTTAGTAGAGATGGGGTTTCAACATCCTGGCAAGGCTAGTCTCGAATGCCTGACCTCATGATCCACCCGCCTCAGCCTCCCAAAGTGCTGGGATTACAGGTGTGAGCCACTGTGCCCGGCCAAGGCAGGTTTTAAGATGCAGATTCCTGGGCCCTGCTTTGCATTGGGAGAAAGTGGGTTGGCCCTCAGATGTCGGCCCAGAAACTTCAGAAAAGGCTCCAGGACCTGGAGGTGTGTTTTTCCCTGGGACAGGATCAAAGGAGGGATGTGGGGAGGGGGAAACTGAGGCACAGGGCGGTGAAGCCACTTGCCCAGCAAGTGAGAGTGTCTGCACCAGGACTGAATAGGGGCTAGCTCGATTCAGAGCCAGCACCCTCTGGCCTGCAGTGATGCCCGGACGGAGTCCACCCCTGTCACTCTGTCCCGCTCAGCTCCTGAGCTCCTCCCGGGCCCCGTGTTCCAGCAGCCTCAGGGCTGCCGCAGAACATGAAGCCTGAGGCTTCCCCGGGGAACAGCTTGGAGCCGAGTTGGGGTTTATATAGTGGCTCCCAAAATATCTGGCCGCTGATAGGCTGAGCCGGGTGCAGGCGCGGCTGACCCATGCCGCGCTTCCTGTCCTGCCAAGATGTTTCCTGCCGATAGCCGGGCCCAGCGGCCTTATCTGTGACCTCAGGGACACCCAGGGGACAGGGTGTCCTGGCCTGGGCAGGGGCTGTGGGGAACCAGGAGGGGGTCAGGGCACAGGTGGTGGGTTCTCCATACACACAAGTTTTGGAAGGAGCACTGGACTTGCAGTCTGGCTGCCCAAGAGTTGAAAATTGGCTCTGGGTCTAAACAGCTGTCCCCCAGGGAAGCTGAGCCCCTCTAGAAATCTCAGTCTCTTATCTATCAACGGGGGGTACTGGGGTCTCCATTTCATTTATTTTTTATTTTTATTTTTATTTCGAGATGGAGTTTTGCTCTTCTTGCCCAGGCTGGAGTGCAATGTTGCGATCTCGGCTCACCGCAACCTCTGCCTCCCGGGTTCAAGCGATTCTTCTGTCTCAGCCTCCCGAGTAGCTGGGATTACAGGCATGTGCCATCACACCTGGTTAATTTTGTATTTTTAGTAGAGACGGGGTTTCACGATGATGGCCAGGCTGGTCTCGAACTCCTGACCTCAGGTGATCCACCCACCTCGGCCTCCCAAACTGCTAGGATTATAGGCGTGAGCCACTGCACCCAGCCTGGCATCTCCATTTTTATAAAACACTCGCCATCCCCTTGTGTCCCCTAGCCCAGTCCTCAAGGAGCCCCCAGTCTCAGGGAGACAGAGCTGGACACAGATGGCCACAGCCTGCAGGATCAGGGCTCGGTTGGAAGGCGGGTGGGGATGAGAGAATTTGGAGCATCTGTCTGCGGCAGCTGCCTGGAGGAGGGACATCACAGTTGGGGTTTAATGATATGTAGGAGCTCTCCAGGCAAATGACACGGAAGGGATGACCACGCTGAGGGAACAGCATGTGTGAATGCTTGGAGTCAGAGTGTCACTATCCCCATTTCACAGAGAAGGAACCTGAGATTCCAAGAGAAACTGATTCTGTGGCTCTGAAACCTGGCTCTTTCCTCTGCACCTGCTGACCAAGATCTCAGCTTCCGGAAGAGGACACGATAAGGACTAAGGGCTTCAGATGTACCCCACAATCTGAACAATTATATTTTTATTTCAAAATAATGTTATTACAACCCAAATAGTGAAATTAACAGTATATAATAAATTACACGCATCTACATCTGTATACATATACATATACACCCACATCTTAAGTTATAGGAAAGAGTTTATTTTGGCAGATAGTGTGAAACAAAATTAAAGTAGCATGAAAGAGTAACATAACTCAACTTCCTTTTTTTTTTTTTTTTGAGATGGAGTCTTGCTCTTGTTGCCCAGGCTGGAGTGCAGTGGCGTGATCTCAGCTCACTGCAACCTCTGCCTCTCAGGTTCAAGCTATTCTTCTGCCTCAGCCTCCCAAGTAGCTGGGACCACAGGCATCTGCCACCATGCCTGGCTAATTTTTGTATTTTTAGTAGATACGGGGTTTCACCATGTCGGCCAGGCTGGTCTCGAACTCCTGACCTCAGGTGATCCACCCGCCTCAGCCTCCCAAAGTGCTGGGATTACAGATGTGAGCCACCACGCCTGGCCTCAACATCCTTAATGTGGTATAAGTGTGACACATTTCTTGTCACTATGTTCTGCGAAATCATCATACCCACACTTCTTTATCTAACGGATACGCTGAAATTTAATATTACACTATTCACTTACATTGTGATTCTCTCTCTCTCTTTTTAAAAAAACAGGGTCGGTCTCACTCTGTCGCCCAGGCTGGAGTGCAGAGGTGCTACCATAGCTCACTGCAGTTTCCAACTCCCAGCTCAAGCGATCCTCCCACCTCAACCCCCCTAGTAGCTGGGACTACAGGCATGCACCACTATGTCTGGTTAATTAACTTATTTATTTATTTTTTTAAGAGATGGGGGTCTCACTATGTTGCCCAGGCTGTTCTCAAACTCCTACTCAAGCGATACTCCTGCCTCAGCCTCCCGAAGTGCTGAGATTACAGGTGTGATGTCACTGCACCCAGCCCCTGTGCTCTGATACTAAAAGGGTTTTTCAGCCGGGTGCAGTGGCTTCCTGCCTGTAATGCCAGCACTTTCAGAGGCTGAGGCAGGAGGATCACTGGAAGACAGGAGTTTGAGACCAGCCTGGCCTGGACAACAAAGTGAGAACCCATCTCTACAAAAAGTAAAAAATTAGCAGGGCGTGGTGGTGGGTGCCTGTAATCCCAGCTACTCAGGAGGCTGAGGCAGAGAATTGCTTGAACCTGGGAGGCTGAGGTTGCAGTGAGCCAAGATGGAGCCATTGCACTCCAGCCTGGGCGACAGAGCGAGGCTCCGTCTCAAAAAAAAAAAAGGCAGGGGAGAGGGTTCACCTTTTTCTCTCATCAGCCCAACTTCAGGGACCAGAAGGATACTTGGGAGCCAGTGTCTGGTGCTGGGAGCCTGGCAGCAGCCACACAGAGAGGGGAAGCTAAAGGCCACTCCCAAGGTTCCAGGTGGGTCTGAAACTGGGTCTCCTGCCCCTGCCTGCCCCGTGGCTTCAGGGAGGTCCTTGTGTCCTCCAGCTCAGTCCTGCTTTGGGACTCAGGCCTGTGACCCGAAGCAGCCTGGCTTTGAGACGTTCTGAGGTTGTCCTCTCCTTCCCTCCCATCAGAGGGGCTACAGTTTCCCGGGATGGTTCACCCTTGAGGATGCAGTGTCTGCCCACGCACTGGTCCCCCACTCCCTGGCTTGGGTTTGGGGCTTTTGAGCCGCAACATAGGGAGGGGCTGAGGGGCGAGGGGTGAGGGAAAACTGTTGGTTTGGGTCTCCCTCTCTTTCTCTCTCTTTTTTTGATAGATTCTTGCTCTGTCACCCAGGCTGGAGTGCAGTGGCGCGATATTGCCTCACTGCAATCTCCACCTCCCAGGTTCAAGTGATTCTCCTGTCTCAGCCTCCCGAGTAGCTGGGATTACAGGTGCCCAACACCACGACCGGCTAATTTTTGTATTTTTAGTAGAGATGGGGTTTTGTGAGGCTGGTCTCGAACTCCTGACCTCAAGTGATCTGCCCACCTCTGCCTCCCAAAGTGCTGGGATTACAGGTGTGAGCCACCGCAACCAGCCAGTTTGGTTCTCTTTTAATGTTTTTCAAGTCATGAGTATAATGTGGAATTTTTTTTTTTTTTCAGTAAATCAGAACCTCCCTCCAAGGGCCTGAGTTACTTGGATCTCCTGGTCATAGAACACAAAAAGTGTGTTGGAAGAACCAAACAAATCCTTGTACACACATACACACACACACAGACACACACACTCACAGACACACGTACACACACACACAGACACACGTACACACACAGACACATGGACCCACACAGACACACACATTCACAGACACACACACATACACAGACACACAGACACACTCACACAGACACACAACATAGACACACAGACACACACACTCACATAGACACACAGACAGACACACACATACACAGACACATGCACTCACAGCAGCGCTATTCACAATAGCCCCAAAGTGGAAGCAACTCAAGTGCCCATTAACAAGTGAACAGGTCAACACAACATGTTTCATCCACACAATGGAATACAATGCAGCCATGAAAAGGAAGGAAGCACTGCCCCATGCTACAGCGTGATGAGCCCCCAAAAACACGGTGCTGAGTGAGAGAAGCCAGACACAAAAGGACACACGGTGTAGGATTCCACTGATATAAAATGCCCAGAACAGGCAAATCCATAGGGACAGGAAGCAGAGGAGTGGCTGCCAGGGGTTGGGGGAGGGGAATGGGGAATGGCTACTGATGGGGATGAGGTCTCCTTTGGAAGTGGAGGTCATGGTTGGATGACATTGTCAATGTACTGAATGCCACCAAATTGTTCACTTTAAAAATGGTGAACTTTATGTTATATTATGTAGCTCTCCCGGCCTGCTGGGGCCCCTCCTGCACACATCTCCCAAGCCCCCTCATAGAACCCTCCTGTGAGGTAGGAGAATCGCTTGAACCCGGGAGGCAGAGGTTTCAGTGAGCTGAGATTGTGCCATTGCACTCCAGCCTGGGTGACAGAGCAAGACTCCATCTCAAAAAAAAAAAAAAAAAAAAAAAAAGAAGAAGGCCAGGCGCAGTGGCTCATGCCTGTAATCCCAGCACTTCGGGAGGCCGAGGCGGGCAGATCACTTGAGGTTAGGGGTTCGAGACCAGCCTGGCCAACATGGTGAAACCCTGTCTCTACTAAAAATACAAAAATTAGCCAGGTGTGGTAGCACATGCCTATAATCCCAGCTACTAGGGAGGCTGAGACAGAATTGCTTGAACTCAGGAGGTAGAGGTTGCAGTGAGCCGAGATCACACCACTGCACTCCAGCCTGGGTGACAGAGTGAGACTCTCAAAAAAAAAAAAAAAAAAAAAACCCTCCTCCCTCCTTTGAGGTAAAGGCTGGCAAGTGGCTGAGCCTGGGTGGTACTCAGGTCTGGCTGGCTCCAGTGCTTGAGTGCTCAGTGCCCCACACGCCCCTCTTAGTGGCTCTGTTACCCGTGGCCCTGCTCCTCCTGCGCAGTGGCATGGTGGGGGCTGCAATGTGACTGCACGTCTCCACACACACCCACTCACGTGGCTGGCCTCCTGCTGCCCAGGGCCTTCTGGGAACTGTGCAGGTGCAACCTGTTTCTCTTGGAATGGAACAGAGCCAGGGGTGGGATGGGAAATGTGCTCAGCTCAGCGTCAGGGCAGGCGGGGCGGGGGAGGGGCCCTGCAGGAACTGCCGTGGGGATGGGAATGTTCTGGGCTGCAGGGAGGCTCCCAGCCTGCTGTCTTGGGAGCTGGCACGTGCCAGTCCTTGCCCTGTGTCCCTGCCACGTGAAGGTCCTGGCTCCAGCTCACTCCTGACTATTCAGAGCTTGGGGACATTGCCTCTGCTCTCTGACCTCAGTTTTCTTCTGCAAAATGGGCTTTTTTTTTTTGAGACGGTGTCTCGCTCTGTCACCCAGGCTGGAGTGCAGTGGCACGATCTTGGCTCACTGCAACCTCCGCCTTCCGGGTTCAAGCGATGTATGTGTATGTCTGTGTTGTATGCATGGTGTCTGTGTGTCTCTGTGGCTGTTGTATGCTTGTGTCTCTGTGCATGTTGTGTGTCTGTGTGTTGTGTGTGTAGTTTTGTTTTGTGTGTCTGTGTGTGTTGTGTGTGCTTGGTGTGCATCTATGTGTTATATCTGTGTTGCACATGTGTTGTGTGTGTTATATGTGTGTCTGTATGCTGTATGTCTCTCTGTGTTGTGTGTAGTTGTATTTGATGTGTGTGAGTGTTGTATGTGTGCATCTGTGTTATGCGTTTGTCTCTGTGTTGTACGTGTGTGTTGTATGTGTGTCTGTTGTCAGTTTCTGTGTGTCTGTGTGTTGTGTGTCTCTGCGTATGTGTCTGTGTGTGTTGTATGTGTGTCTCTGTGTGTGTCTCTGTGTGTTGCATGTCTCTGTGTGTGTCTGTCTCTATGTTGAGCGTAGTTGTGTTTGATGTGCATATGTTATGTGTGTGTCTCTGTGTTGTATGTGTGTGGTGTGTGGTGTCTCTGTGTCTCTGTCTCTGTGTGTTGTGTGTCTGTGTGTGTGTGCATCCATGTGTTGTGTGTGTGTGTCTGTGTTGTGTGTGTTGTCTGTATACCTCTCTGTATATCGTGTGTCTCTGTGTGCAGGTGTGTGTGCCTGTGTGTGTCGTGCGTGTCCGTGTGCATGCTCTGCCCATGTGCACACACGCGCCAATGTGGCATTTTTGAGGAACTGAATCTTTGGTCAGATGTGTATGCTGCCCAAAGGGTGTGGGGGCCCCTCCACGCCACCCTCACCCCATGACCTCCCCACCCCCACAACCCTGCTGGCCTCAGCCTCTTCCACTCTCTCTGGCTGCACCCAAATCCCACAATTCCCTCCCCACCCGCTCTCCAGTGGGGCCCCACCATCGCTCCCTGCTCCCGCCCTGGCGCCCTGACCTCCCTCCTGCCCGGGTTCCTCCCTCTCCCATCGGCGGCCAGAGGTGGCCTTGACGCCCAGAACCCGCTGTGGCTCCCCCGTGCCCTCCTCACAGCCCCAGCCCCCAGTACAGGGCCCCGTCTCCAGGGACTTGGGGTCTCCATCCTGCTGTGTCCTCGCCTCCCCTCCTGCGCCTGCCCGCCCGACAACCCATGTGCCATGTGGTGACAGTCAAGGTCATCTGTCTCCCATCCCATGACTCCCCGGGACTGGGGTTTTGTCTGTCTGTGTCAGTTGAGTCTCTGTACATACACAGCAGGTGCTCCATAAATACTCAAACGAATGAATGAATGAGGGTCAGGAGTGGGGCTGGAGAGTTCAGGGGACACTCAGACTGGGCAGAGAGCTGCCTGTGGGCCTGGACAAGGGCTGAGCACTGAGAAGGTGCCCAGATGCTTTCAGCAAGCACCATGGGTCTCAGAAGCGTCTCTGGGGTGTTGGACAAAAGGGTGAGCACCAAAGAAAGAGAACTGGTCAGGCATGATGGCTAACGCCTGTAATCCCAGCACTTTGGGAGGCTGAGGCGGGCGGATCACTTGAGGTCAGGAGTTCGAGACCAGCCTGACCAACATGGAGAAACCCCATCTCTACTAAAAATACAAATAAATAAATAAAAATACCTGGGCGTGGTGGTGCACGCCTGTAGTCCCAGCTACTCAGGAGGCTGAGGCAGAAGAATCGCTTGAACCTGGGAGGCGGAGGTTGCAGTGAGCCAAGATCGCTCCACTGCACTCCAGCCTGGGCGACAGAGCAAGACTCCAGCTCAAAAAAAAAAAAAAAAAAAAAAAAAGGCAAAGCAAAGGAAGAGAGCACTGAGGCCTTTCACGACACAGCCCAGCTCTGAATAGTCAGGGATAAGCCAGAGCCAGGACCTTCCTGGGAGATCCAGGAGGGCTGCCTGAAGGAGGGGTCATCAGAGCTGGGCTTTGTAAAATAAGCTGGAGATTGCCAGAAGAGTCTGGGTGGTGAGGGGTCCTCTAATCAGAAGGACACACCCACTAACTTTCTCCAGCCTGAGCCCACAGGAGCTCCAAGAAGAGAGATGGGTCATGGGTCATCTCTCTTTTTCTTTTTTTTTTTTTTAGACGGAGTCTTGCTCTGTCGCCCAGGCTGGAGTGCAGTGGCGCAATCTTGGCTCACTGCAAGCTCCGCCTCCTGGGTTCACGCCATTCTCCTGCCTCAGCCTCCCGAGTAGCTGGGACTACAGGCGCCCACCACCATGCCCAGCTAATTTTTTGTATTTTTAGTAGAGACGAGGTTTCGCACTGTTAGCCAGGATGGTCTTGATCACCTGACCTCGTGATCCGCCCGCCTCGGCCTCCCAAAGTTCTGGGATTACAGGCATGAGCCACTGTGCCCACCCCCTTTTTCTGTTTTTATAATCTCTAAAACAAAACAATTTGGGCAGCACTTTATTATTTATATATTTATTTATTATTTTATTTATTATTTTTATTTTTTTGAGATGGAGTCTCGCTCTGTCACCCAGGCTGGAGTGCAGTGGTCTGATCTCGGCTCACTGCAACCTCTGCCTCCCAGGTTCAAGTGATTCTCTTGCCTCAGCCTCCTGAGTAGCTGGGATTACAGGCACGCACCCCCACACCTGGCTAATTTTTTTTTTTTAAGACTGAGTCTCCCTCTATCGCCCAAGCTGGAGTGCAGTGGCGTGATCTTGGCTCACTGCAACCTCTGCCTCCCAGGTTTGAGCAATTCTCCTGCCTCAGCCTCCTGAGTAGCTGGGATTACAGGCACTCACCACCACGTCTGACTAATTTTTGTATTTTTAGTAGAGACGGGGTTTCACCATGTTGGCCAAGCTGATCTCGAGCTCCTGATCTCAGGTGATCCATGCGCCTTGGCCACCCAAAGTTCTGGGATTACAGGTTTGAGCCACTATGTCCGACCAATTTTTTGTATTTTTAATAGAGATAGGGTTTCACTATGTTGGCCCAGCTGGTCTTGAACTCCTGACCTCAGGTGATCGGCCTGCCTCGGCTCCTAAAGAGCTGGGATTACAGGTGTGAGCCACCGCGCCCAGCCTGGGTAGCACTTTAAGTATACAAAATATCAGTAGCATTCAAAGCATGGATGATGGGGACATAACACAGGTGCAGATACTGCCCTGAGGCTGGGCGGGCTGGGGTCGCTTTGGAAGGGGACTATGGTCAGCCAGGGTCGAGCAGGCTCTGGTGGGAGGGACGGGTTGATGCAGAGGAAAGCGCTCAGAGAAAAGAACTTGCCAGAAATTTCTAGGCACTATATTCCCAGTTTGGCCAGGGGCCTTATAAAACACACACACACACACACACACACACACACACATACACACACACACACACACATACTCACACACACACGGTGAAATTGTGAAATTCCTCAGAAAGTTAAGCCTAACATTACCATATGATCCAGGGAGTCTATTCCTGGGTATATACCGGGAATAATTGAAAGCAGGTGTTTAAACAGACACTTGTGTGTGAAAGTTCATAACATGGCTCATGATGTCTGAAAGGTGGTAACAGCCTTCATTTTTGTTGGCAGATGAACTGATACACAGAATGTGAGTTATCCATGCAGTGGGATATTATGCACCCGTAAAAAGGAATGCAGCGCTGATCCATGCCGTGACAAGGGTGAACCTCAAAAACCTGATGTTGGCCGGGCATGGTGGCTCACACCTGTAATCCCAGCAGTTTGGGAGGCTGAGGCGGGCGGATCAGTTGAGGTCAGGAGTTCAAGACCAGCCTGGCCAATGTGGTGAAACCCCTTCTCTACTAAATATACGAAAAATTAGTCGGGTGTGGTGGCGGGAGCCTGTAATCCCAGCTACCTGGGAGGCTGAGGCAGGAGAATCGCTTGAACCCGGGAGGCAGAGGTTGCAGTGAGCTGAGATCGTGCCACTGCTCTCCAGCCTGGGCGACAGAGCGAGACTCCGTCTCAAAAAACAAACAAACAAACAAATAAATCCCCACAATGCTGAGTGAGAGAAGCCAGACACAAAAGGCCACGTAGTGTGAGATTCCATTGATATGAAATGCCTAGAACAGGCAAATCCATAGAGACATAAGGTAGATTGGTGTTACCTGGGGCTGGGGAAGAGGAATGAGGAGTGATTGCTGATGGGGACGGGGTTTCCTTTTGGGGTGATGGAAATGTTCTGGAATCAGACAGAGGTTGCACGACATTGCAAATGTCCTAAATGCCACTGAATTGTTCACTTTCAAATGGTTAACTGTAGCCGGGCACGGTGGCTCACACCTGTAAGCCCAGCACTTTGGGAGGCCGAGGCGGGAGGATCGCTTGAACCCAAGAGTTCAAGACCAGCCCTGGCAACCTAGTGACACCCTGTCTCTACCCAAAACTACAAAAATTAGCCAGGCATGGTGGCATGCGCCTGTTGTCCCAGCTACTCAGAGGTGGGAGGATCGCTTGAGCCCAGGAGGCCGAGGCTGCAGTGAGCTGTGATCGCACCACTGCACTCCAGCCTGGGTGACACAGTGAGACCCTGTCTCAAATAAAAAATAAAATAAAATAAAATGGTTAACCATGTGTTATGTGAATTTCACCTCAATTTCAATAAACAACAGCGCACTGGCCATATCAGGGTCTTTGTGTCATGTAAAAGAACCTCAGTGCTTAGAAAGAGCATCTGAGCAGTTCTTAATTGGTTGACAAGTGATCTTTTTCTTCTTTTAGAGACTCTTCTAACAAAATGGCATGAAGAGGCCCCCAGTGGACAGAGAAACAGGCCCAGAGAGGGCAAGGAGCCTGTTCAAGGTCACACAGCACGGGGAGCCAGGTTTGTGGGGCACAGCTTTGAACACGGGGCTTCCCTACCCACTCCAGGGGCAGGCCACTGGGCGTTTCCTCTTGTGGGGGGTAGTCTGAGTTTGTAGCCCCTGGATGAAGCTGGGTGGGCTCAGACTCAGTTCTCCATCTATTGAATAGGGAACTGGTGGGAAGTGGGTGAGGGGCACCCGCCTGCTGTCGTCCACACTGAGTCCCCAAGCCCCAGCACAGATGGCAGCTGGGGAGGATTCGTTGGGCAGCAATGGTGTGGCAGGACCTGCCGGGTTCTGGTGTACAGAGTCCAGCTCCAGCCTGTCTCTGAGCCTCAGTTTCCCCATGTGTGCAATGGGAGCTGCTGAACCCAGGCAGGGATTGGGCTGCCTGTGTGAGCTGAGGCTCCTCATGGACAGCAGGGTCAGTCTGAGCCTGGCTGCCCTGACTTGGTCCTCCCAGCCAGGCCAGGGACCCCAGCGTCCCCACCCACCCTCCATCTGTAGCTTCCCTGTCAATGTCCTGTGAGGAGGGGGAAGGAGTGTTTGACATTTCTGTGGCTTTTTTTTTTTGAGATAGAGTCTCACTCTGTTGCCCAGGCTGGAGTGCAGTGGCATGGTCTCGGCTCACTGTAACCTCTGCCTCCTGGGTTCAAGCGATTCTCCTGTCTCAGCTTCCTGAGTAGCTGGGATTACAGGCACCCACCACCATGCCCAGCTTTTTTTTTTTTTTTTTTTTTGACATTTTTAGTAAAGACAGGGTTTCACCATGTTGGCCAGGCTGGTCTTGAACTCCTGACCTCAAGTGATAAAGTGCTGGGATTACAGGCATGAGCCACCGCGCCCGTCCCCTGTGGCCTTTCTGAGCCTCAGTTTCCTCATCTTCACCATCAGGCTGCAGGGAGGACCCTCAGGAAGGATAGCAGTGGTGTTGGGGTCGCTGTGTTCAGAGAGGGCTGGAGTCTCCCTCTTCCCAGGCCTGTCCCGCACACCTCTCTCTGTGGCCTGGCCGGGTGGGTCTCCAAGCCGTGGTTTCTGACCCGTGGATGCCCCCTGGTGGTCACGGCTGGCAGAGCCTTGCATCCCCAGATCCCAGTCCCAGAGCAGTACTGCTCTGGACCCTAGAGACACAGCAGTGACAAATCAGATGGGGCGGGGGTGTCCTTGTGGAACTTCTAGGCAGACCAGGGGTGTGCCAGCAAAAGTGGAACAAATCACAGCTGCATGTTTCGACAAGCTGGAGTGGCTGGAGGGGAGGGGACACTTGAGTTGAGCAATGAATTTCAAGGAGGCAGCGGAGGCAAGGGTGCACCAGACAGAAGGCACTGGCAACTGCAAAGGTTCTGAGGTGAGAACAAGCTTGGGGCAAAGAGGCGCGAGTGGCAGGTGAAGAGGGAGGAAAGGCGAGAGTGGAAGCCAGAGGAGGACCAGCTGGACCCGGAGGACAAGGGAGCGGGGACTTTACTCTGAGGGCACTGGAGAGCCATGGGAGGATTTTGAGCAGGGGAGGGGAATGACCTGAATTACAATCTTTATTAAAAGATGGTCTTAGGCCATCACAGACATGCTGATGATGGCTCTATCTTTTATTATTTGGCCATAAATAATACATCATTTTGTTTCATGTAATTTTAAACTTTGCACACATAATGGGGACAACGTCCTTCAGCAAGTCACTCTTTTCCTTAGCATCATTTATTATTATTATTATTTTATCGTGTCTTGGCCTTTTGGCTAAGATCAAGTGTAGTTTTTTTTTTTTGAGACAGAGTCACTCTGTTGCCCAGGCTGGAGTGCAGTGGCGTGATCTCGGCTCACTGCAACCTCCGCCTCCCAGGTTCAAGCGATTCTCCTGCCTTAGCCTCCCGAGTAGCTGGGATTACACGTGCCTGCCACCATGCCCAACTAATTTTTTGTATTTTTAGTAGAGACGGGGTTTCATCATGTTGGCCACGCTGGTCTCAAACTCCTGACCTCAGGTGATCCAGCTGCCTCAGCCTCCCAAAGTGTTGGGATTACCGGCGTGAGCCACCTACACCCAGCCCCTAGCATTGTTCATACTGTTCTAGCTATTGTTTTTTTTTTTTGATAGGGTTTTATTCTAAATATTCTTTTATTTGGGGGTCCACTAGCCTGTATCGTGTTTTGTGAATTAGAAAAAGAAACCCCTTTCTCGCTATGTGGCTGGAACTCTAGGCCAGGGATCACAGCTTGGTGAGCAGAAGCTCTCTACCCTTGGGAAGTGAATACCTCACACAACCCTAGACATGTGTCCTGTTCTAATCGTTTTAATGTCTTTAAATCTATAGTAATGTCTCCCCCAACCCAATTCCAGTAACAGCTATGTGTGCTTTCTTTTCATGTTGATCAATTTCCCTAGCGGTTTTTCAATTTCATTCATTTTTTTTTAAATAAACTCACTTTGTTGATTTTCTTTATTGAGTGTTTCTTTTCCATTTTCTTTGTATCTACTCCCTATTATTTCCTTCTTTCTGTGCTCTTACATTTATTTTGTTGTTCTTTTTCTAACTTCTTGAGATGGAGGCTTAGATCATTATTTTAGCCTTTATATATGTATATATGTGTACACATTTAATATCTACTCATATATATTTCTTTCTTTTTGAGATGGAGTTTTGCTCTTGTTGCCCAGGCTAGAGTGAAATGGTGAGATCTTGGTTCACTGAAACCTCCGCCTCCCAGGTTCGAGTGATTCTCCTGCCTCAGCCTCCCGAGTAGCTGGGATTACAGGCACATGCCGCTGTGCCCGGCTAATTTTTGTATTTTTAGTAGAGATGGGGTTTCACGATGCTGACTTCAGGTGATCCACCTGGGCTGGCCTCCCAAAGCGCTGGGATTACAGGCTTGAGCCACCTCGCCCAGCCTAGAATTGTAACTCTCAAACATTCAAAGGAAAACAATGACTTTATTTTTATTTTTTAAATTATTTATTTATTTTAGCCCCCTGCCTTTTTAAATATAAGCTCTCATCATTCAAGCAATGACTTTTTTTAAAAGCCACAAACAATCTGTAATAAATCCAGAGAGGACATAAAAGAGAACATAGAAAGGACAAAAATAGAAAACAAAGTAAGACGGTAGATTTAAATTTATACTTAAATGTAATATCAGTTATTACATTAAATGTAAAGGGACTTAATGCTCCAGCTAAAAGTCATTTTGTCAAACTGAATTTTAAAAATTCCAACTCTACGCTATTTTCCCCCCCAAATGCTGTCACACTCCTAGGAACAGAGAGGTCATTCTGGGTGGAATTCTGGTCTCCCCGCACTTTGGGAGGCCGAGGCAGGTGGATCACTTGAGGCCAGGAGTTCTAGACCAGCTTGGCCAATATGGTGAAACCACAACTCTATAAAATTACATAAATTAGCTGGGTGTGGTGGCGTGCACCTGTAATCCTGGCTACTCAGGAGGCTGAGGCAGGAGAATTGCTTGAACCCAGGAGGTGGAGGTTGCAGTGAGCTGAGATCACGCCACTGCACTCCAGCCTGGGCGACAGAGTGAGACTCTGTCTCAAAAAAACAAAACAAAGAAGAAAAGCAAAGTTACAGTGCTAAAATAATAAAAATGTTTTAGCTCCCTTAGATAGTAAAATGCATACTTATCAAAATGCAGATTTGGCTGGGCGCAGTGGCTCATGCCTGTAATCCCAGCACTTTGGGAGGCCGAGGCGGGCGGATCACCTGAGGTCGGGAGTTTGAGACCAGCCTGACCAACATGGAGAAACCCCGCCTCTACCAAAAATACAAAGTTAGGCAGGCCTGGTGGCGCATCGTGTAATCCCAGCTACTCAGGAGGCTGAGGCAGGAGAATAGCTTGAACCCGGGATGCAGAGGTTGCAGTGAGCAAAGACCGCGCCATTGCACTCCAGCCTGGGCAACAAGAGCGAAACTCCGTCTCAACAACAACAACAACAACAACAACAACAACAAACAACAAATTTTATCCATGTTATTTATTTATTTATTTATTTATTTTGAGACGGAGTCTCGCTCTGTCGCCCAGGCCGGACTGCGGACTGCAGTGGCGCAATCTCGGCTCACTGCAAGCTCCGCTTCCCGGGTTCACGCCATTCTCCTGCCTCAGCCTCCGGAGTAGCTGGGACTACAGGCGCCCGCCACCGCGCCCGGCTAATTTTTTGTATTTTTAGTAGAGACGGGGTTTCACCGTGTTAGCCAGGATGGTCTCGATCTCCTGACCTCGTGATCCGCCCGCCTCGGCCTCCCAAAGTGTATCCATGTTATTTATTCTCCTCCCAGACAGTCATTAACTTGGAACATTTTAACTCAGTTTACTCCCTGCAGACTTTTTTTCCTGTTGTATAATTCTATCACTTAAAAAAACTCCAGAAACTGTTTATGCAATCTTTGTCTAGATTTTCTCATGTATTTTCTACTTCTTTGCTTTTATTTCTTCTTGCATCATGCCCTTCCGTCTGAGATCACTTTCCTTGTGCCTGATGTGAGTACACTGTTTACAATTTTCTTTAGTGTTAGCCTGCTGCTGGCAAACTCTTTCGTTATTTGTCTGCAAAATGTTTTTACTGTAACCTCATTCTTGAAATACTTTTGCTGGGTCTCTGATTTGGGTTAGTGGTTTTCTTTTAGCATGTTGAAAATGTCACCCAACTGTTTTCTGGGTTCCTTTGAAAAGCCAGCTGTCTGTCTGTCTGGTTGTCATGTCTGAAGGTGATGTGTCTTTACCTCTGGCTGCTTTAAGTATCTTTTGCCTTTTTCCCCTTTGTGAATGTTTTTGCTGAAGTGTAACATATACACAAAAGAGTGTGCAAATCATCAATGCTTGATGGATTCTCGAGAGCACACCCATGTCACCTGCATCCAGATTGAAAAATATTCTCTAATTATTTATTTG
The DNA here is from genome assembly GCF_000001405.40 of Homo sapiens. Lineage (NCBI taxonomy): Eukaryota > Metazoa > Chordata > Mammalia > Primates > Hominidae > Homo > Homo sapiens. Next base: position 16,243,942 of record NC_000019.10, on the reverse strand, counting down.
GAGACAGACTCTCGTTTCGTTGCCCAGGCTGGAGTGCAGTGGCACAATCTCAGCTCACTGCAACCTCTGCCTCCAGGGTTCAAGCCATTCTTGGGCCTCAGCCTCCTGAGTAGCTGGGATTTACAGGCGTGTGCCACTACACCTGGTTAATTTTTGTATTTTTAGTAGAGATGGATTTTCGCCATGTTGGCCAGGCTGGTCTCGAACTCCTGAGCTCAAGTGATTCACCTGCTTCAGCCTCCTAAAGTGCTGGGATTATAGACATGAGCCACTGCACCTGGCCATTCTCTAATATTTTCTAACTTCCATTATATTTTCTTCTTTGACACATGGTGATTGAAAAATGTGCTTTAAAATCTCTCATATTGGCTGGGCATGGTGACTCACACCTGTAATTCCAGCACTGTGGAGGCTGAGGCAGGTGGATCACTTGAGCCCAAGTGCAAGACCAGCCTGGGCAACATGGCAAAACTCCATCTCTACTAAAAATACAAAAAAAAAAAAAAAATAGCTGAGCTTGGTGGTGCTCACCTGTAATCCCAGCTACTTGTGAGACTGAGATGGGAGGACTATTTCAGCCTAGGAGGCCAAGGTTGCAGTGAGCTGACATCGTGCCACTGACTGCACTCCAGCCTGGGCAACAGAGACCCTTTCTCAAAACAAAAACAAAAACAAAAACAAAAACAAAAACAAAAAAAACCTCTCATATTTGGAAATATTTTAAAGTAATTTATTTCTTGTTGAATTCTAACTAATTTCTCTTGAAAATTCCTCAGAGAGTGGGAACTCTAATAATAATTCTTGGAGTTGTGTGGAAACTTCTCGGGGATCTAATACATTTTTTCTTTTGCTTTCTTGCTTTAAAGTCTATTCTGGCCGTGTGTGGTGGCTCACACCTGCCACTAGCACTTTGGGAGGCCAGTGGGGGTGGATCACCTGAGGTCAGGGTTCAAGACCAGCCTGGCCAACATGGCAAAACCCTGTCTCTACTAAAAATAAAAAAAATACAAAAATAAAAAAATTTAGCCAAGCATGGTGGTGCATGCCTGTAATCCCAGCTACTGAGGAGACTGAGGCAGGAGAATCACTTGAACCCGGGAGGCGGAGGTTGCAGTAAGCAAAGATCGCGCCACTGCACTCCAGCCTGGGCGACAGAGCGAGACTCCATCTCAAAAAATTAAATGAATGAATAAATAAATAAATACATCTATTCTGTCTGGAATTAATATAACCATATGAGATTTCTTTTGGCATCTTTTAATGTCTTTTTACTTTTAACTGTGTTGTGTGCTTATATTTTAAGTGTCACATCTTTTAATGTTTTTTTACTTTCAATTGTGTTGTGTACTTACATTTTAGATGTATCGCGTATAAACAGGATATCACAGGATTTTGTATTTCAGTTCAATCCGACAACATCTTCAACTAGCAGCTTTGCTTCATTTACACCTGTTGTGGTTCCTAATATCTGGATTTATTTCTACAATCTTATTTTATGCTTTCTGCAGCCAGAGATGCTAGGGGTGTCCCAAAAGTCCCAGTGCAGTTTTAAGTACTATTATTTATTATTTTAAAAAGTTTAGAACATCCCTGCATTTATCCTGATTTTTCCTTTATTTTATTTTTTTTTTTTGAGGCAGGGTGTCACTCTGTCACCCAACCTGGAGTGCAGTGGTGCAATCACAGCTCACTGCAGCCTCAGCTTCCTGAACTCAGGTGATCCTCCCAACTCAGCCTCCTGAGTAGTTTGGACTACAGGTGTGCGCCACCATGCCTGGCTAATTTTTGTAGAGACAGAGTTTCTCCATGTTGCCCAGGCTGGTCTCAAACTCCTAGGCTCAAGCAATTCACCTGTCTCAGCCTCAGCCTCCCAAAGCACTGGGATTACAGGCATGAGCCACTGAACCTGGCCTCCTGATTGTTCTTTTTCTTTTTCTTTCTTTTTTTTTTTGAGATGGAGTTTCGCTCATTGCCCAGGCTGGAGTGCAATGGCGCGATCTCAGCTCACCACAACCTCTGCCTCCCAGGTTCAAGCGATTCTCCTGCCTCACCCTCCCGAGTAGCTGGGATTATAGGCATGCACCACCACACCCGGCTAATTTTATATTTTTAGTAGAGACGGGGTTTCTCATGTTAGTCAGGCTGATCTCGAACTCCCAACCTCAGGTGATCCGCCTGCCTCAGCCTCCCAAAGTGCTGGGATTACAGGCGTGAGCCACCGCGCCCAGTGCCTCCTGATTTTTCTACGCCTCCTTCTCTTTTCCTTCTTCCTATTAATCTGTTAAAAGTTTTCTTTCAACCCTTTTCCAACCACTGGTCTAGAAATTATATATAAATACGTGGCCCTCGTGGACTTTAGCCGAATCTCCTCCCAAATAGCATAGTGACCTTGAAAGGCATGAACACCAGGATGTTGTCTAGTACTTCAGTTGCGCCTTTTGTCGCTACTCTATACGTTAGTCACTGTTATTATTGCTTTACACAGTCAATGACAGTTTAGACAGATCCAATGGTTTCTAAGGTTTTCCGGCATTCCTTCTCACATCTTTCTTCCTTTCCTTATGTACACAAGTTCCTTTTTTCGGGGAATCTGTTATTGATAAATTGTTTTTATCTTGTCTTTTTTTTTTTTTGAGACAGAATCTCACTTTGCCCAAGCTGGAGTACAGTGGCGCGATCTCGGCTCACTGCAACCTCTGTCTCCCTGGTTCAAGCAATTCTGTCTGCCTCAGTCTCCCAAGTAGCTGGGAACACAGGTGCCCGCCACCACACCTGGCTAATTTTGTATTTCTAGTAGAGATGGGGTTTCTCCTTGTTGGTCCGGCTGGTCTCAAACTCCTGACCTCTGCCCGCCTCGGCCTCCCAGAGTGCTGGGATTACAGGCGGGAGCCACCATGCCCGGCTTGTCCTACCTTTTACAGATGAGGTGGGCTCAGAATTCTAGACTGCACTTCTCTCAGTAATTTGAAGCCATGCTCTATCTTCGGACTTTTGTTGTTCCAGTTGTGAAACCAGTTCTCTGTCCAATTGCTCTTTGGAGAGACATTTTAATCTCTTAGTGTTGCTGTTAGGATCTTCCCTGAGTCTGATATGTTCTGTGGTTCGACTATGATTATTTTAGTTACGAATTTAGGTTTGTGTATCATGCTTTGGACTCAACGGTTTCCTGGATCTTAAAATTTCAAGATTTTCAGGCTGGGCGCAGTGGCTCATGCCTGTAATCCCAGCACTTTGGGAGGCCGAAGCAGGCAGATCACCTGAGGTCAGGAGTTCGAGACCATCTTGACCAACATAGTGAAACCCCATCTCTACAAAAAATACAAAAATTAGCCGGGCGTGGTGGTGTGCACCTGTAATCCCAGCTGCTTGGGAGGCTGAGATATGAGAATTGCTTGAACCTGGGAGGCAGAGGTTGTAATGAGCCGAGATTTCGCCATTGCACTCCAGCCTGGGCAACAAACGCGAAACTCCGTCAAAATGAAAAACAAAAAACACTTCAAGATTTTCATTAATTTTGGAAAATTCTGGCCACGATCTCTTTGCATGTGGCTGCTCCCCAGTTCTCATTTTTTGGTTTGTGTTAGATACTTGCTGGCATGTTGGGCCTTCTTATTGTCTTGTGCTAACCACACACGCACATCACACACACACACACACACACACACACATACACACACACACACACACACACACACACACAGAGTCGTCCCTCCATATCCTCAAGGGATTGCTTCCAGGACTCCCCTTGGATACCAAAATCTGAGGATGCTCAAGTCTTTTATATAAAATGGCACAATATTTGCATATATCCTATGCACATCATCTTTAAATCATCTCTAGATTACCTAATACAATGTAGATGCTACATAATCATTATACTGTATTATTTAAGGAATAATGACAATAAAAAAGAAAACCTGTACATGTCCAGCACAGACACAATTGTTTTTCAAATATTTTCAACTCACTCTTGGTTGAATCCATGGATGCAGAACCCATGGATGTGGAGGGTTGACTGTAAATATATATATGTCTCATTAGCTGTGCTATGTCCCGGGTAACTGCCTCAGACAGCTCTCTTCTAGTGCACTAATTCTCTTCATCTATGTCTCACTTGTATTTTAACACCCTCCAACCAAGTTGTTAATTTTTTTTTTTGAGACAGTGTCTCACTGTGTCGCTCAGGCAAGAGTACAACGGTGCCATCTTGACTCACTGCGAGCGCCATCTCCCGGGTTCAAGCGAATCTCCTGCCCCAGCCACCTGAGTAGCTGGGATTACAGGTATGAGCCACTACGCCCAGCTAATTCTTTTGTATTTTTAGTAGCAATCAGGTTTTACCATGTTGGCCAGGCTGGTCTCAAACTCCTGACCTAAAATGATCTGGCCGCCTCAGCCTCCCAAAGTGCTGGGATTATAGGCGTGAGCCACCATGCCCGGCCCCAAGTTGTTAATTCCTATGACTACATTTTTAATCTATTTTTTTCTTCCAAATCTGCATTGTCATTTTTGGGGGGTGTTTTGTTGGTTTGTTTTAGAGACAGGGTCTCACTATGTTGCCCAGGCTGTCCTTAAACTCCTGGGCTCAAGTAATCCTCTAGCCTCAGCCTCCCAAGTAGTTGGGACTACAGGTGCATACTACCATGCCCAGCTTTGCAGTCTTAAAAAAAAAAAAAAAAAAAAAAAAAAAAAAAAAAAAAAAAGAGAACTGGCCGGGCGCGGTGGCTCATGCCTGTAATCCCAGCACTTTGGGAAGGTGAGGGGGGCGGATCACCTGAAGCCGGGAGTTCGAGACCAGCCTGACCAACATGGAGAAATCCCGTCTCTACCAAAAATACAAAATTAGCCAGGCATGGTGGCGCATGCCTGTAATCTCAGCTACTCAGGAGGATGAGGCAGGAGAATTGCTTGAACCCAGAAGGCGGAGGTTGCAGTGAGCCGAGATCACACCATTGCACTCCAGCCTGGGCAACAAGAGCAAAACTCTGTCTCAAAAAAAACAAAAACAAAAACAAAAAACAAAAAAACTACAAAAAGTATATTAAGAACTACAAAAAGGGCTGGGCACTGTGGCTCATGCCTGTAATCCCAGCACTTTGGGAGGCCAAGGTGGGAGGATCACTTGAGCCCAGGAGTTTGAAGCTGCAGTGAGCCGTGACCATGCCACTGCACTTTGGCCTGGGCAACAGAGTGACACCCTGTCAAAAAAAAAAAAAAAAAGCATAAAGAAAGAATACAGAACAAGCCACTAAGCAATACCAAGCTTAAGGAAATTGCCAACACAGCAGAGGCCCCAGTCATACCCCCTTCCTGTTTTTGCCTTTCAGAGATAACCAGGGATGTGAATTTTTTCAAATTCTCAAGCATCTCGTTAGACTTTTGCTGGATATATATAGATCCCTAAGCACGCAAAATATTATTTCCGTATTTTATACTAGATTACTGCATTTTCTTTTGTAAACATTTTTCCCGCTCAATGTTGTTTAAGTTGTATTCTGAGCCATATCACTGCTCTAGTTGAATTCATTTTCACTGCTGTAATCTCTTGCATGAATGGACTACAGTGGTCCCTTTTCCTATTGAAGGACTTTTGGTTGCTTTCCAATTTCCTGCTATCATGAACTATGCTGCTGTAAGTGTAACTGTACACCTGATATTTCTCTATATATTGGTGCATGGACTTCTCAGGGCTTTTCTCAACTAGAGTTCTGCAAGAGAATTCTGGCATAAAGATGACTTCAGGGAGGATGTTCTCAACTTTCCCACAGTCAGTACATAGCTAGCACGTTCTAGATGTTCAGGAGGCGTGGCGAGGTGGCTCACGCCTGTAATCCCAGCACTTTGGGAGGCCAAGGCAGGATGATGGCTCAAGCCCAGGAGTTGGAGACCAGTGTGGACAAAATGACGAGACCCCATCTCTATAAAAAATATGAAAAATTGGCCCAGCATGGTGGCATGTGCTTGTAGTCCCAGCTCCTCAAGAGGCTGAGGCAGGATTGGCTGAGCCTGGCAGCTCGAGGCTGCAGTGAGCCGTGATCACGCCACTGCACTCCAGCCTGGGTAACATAGCAAGACCCTGTCTCAAAAAAAAAAATTTTTTTGGGGGGGGCCGACATGATGCAAATAGCATCTAACTGTGGTCTTGGTTTATGTGTACATATTTCCTGAATAGCTACATGGTTGAACGTTTGCCTTTTTTTTTTCTTTTGAGATGAAGTCTTGCTCTGTTGCCCAGGCTGGAGTGCAGGTGGTATGATCTCGGCTCACTGCAACCTCTGCCTCCTGGGGTTCAAATGATTCTGATGCCTCAGCCTCCCAAGTAGCTGGGATTACAGGCGCCCGCCACCATGCCTGGCTAATTTTGGTATTTTTAGTAGAGATGGGGTCTCGCCATGTTGGCCAGGTTGGTCTCGGACTCCTGACCTCAGGTGATCCACCCGTCTCAGCCTCCCAAAGTGCTGGGATTACAGGCATAAGCCACTGCGCTAGGCCGGTTTTTGTTGTGTTTTGAGACGGAGTCTCGCTCTGTTGCCCAGGCTGGAGTGCAGTAACACTATCTTGGCTCACTGCAACCTCCACCTCCTGGGTTCAAGCCATTCTCCTGCCTCAGCATACTGAGTAGCTGGGATTACAGGCACGCACCACCACACCCGGCTAATTCTTGTATTTTTAGTATAGATGGGGCTTCACCATGCTGGCCATGCTGGTCTCGAACTCCTGACCTCCAGTGATCGGTCTGCCTCGGCTTCCCAAAGTATTGGGCTCACGGGCGTGAGCCACCACGCCTGGCCGAACGGTCGCCATTTGTATTTCATCTTCTTCATACTGTCTGTTCACACACAGCCCATTTTGTTAGGTTCTCTTTTTCTGATTTGTAGACGTTATAACCCGCATGCAAATTATTTGCCTTGTTGGATGTTGTAACAGCTCTGTCTTAACAGCATTTTGCTCTTTTCTATTCAGAGTCTCTGTGCCTTTAGGCACTTGCAACAGATTGACTGCATAGTGTATTTGTTTACATGCCGATAATCTTTGAAGTTCGTGAGGATCTGATCCTGCTGTTTCAAGTTTGCTTTCATGCACGTGTTTTGTAATTTTCAGGATGTGCCCTCATGTTGAGGGTCTATTGTGTGCGAGGATCTTAGGTAACAAGGCATGAAGTTAGGTCCCTCCAGGGAGGTTTTCTGTCATAAACATCTTGGCCTGGTTGTCTGCAAACCAGATTGATATTACAAGCGTGGGGTCTAAATGAGTGGTGACTTTTTCTCCTGTGGATCTCAGGCAGAGAGAGGACACAGTGCTTATTCTCAGGGGTGGAGGGCAAATGTTTTTTCTAGTCCATCTTTTTACTGTTAAGTATCATGACCCTCGAGGATCCCAGCTTCACGCAGGAGTCATCTCCACTGCATTTCACCATCTTCCCGATGCCCAAAGTCCTATCTGCCACCTGGCCCCCAAACCTAAACCCGGTGGTTTCCAAGAGCAACTCCGGTGTGAGCCCCCACGGTGTCTTCCGCGTCTACTTCCTTCGTCTTGGGCTCCTGTGGGTCTCCTTGCTTTTTTATGGGCACGGCTAGGTGCGTCTGCTTCATTTCCTGCATTTCTACAGTCTGTAGTGGAGGGTTTGCAGGTCTTATCTGATAAGTTGCTGGAAACTGAAGTCTCTCTTCTGTCCTGTGGACCAGCCCTCTCCTGTCCCTGCGGTGTCCCAGCATGGGGGCTCCACAGGGTGGGGACAGTGACAGCCCACACTGGAGCTAGGCCCCGGGGGTGGCAGCGAGGATGGCAAATGGGGTCAGCCCCAGGGTTTTCTGGAGGGGCCATGAGGGCTGGCTGCTGATATGGGTGTGGACAGTGAGGGGAGGGGCCCCAGGGATGCCTTCAGGGCTTTGGTCTGAGGCCTGGGCTGGGGCAGCGTCATTGACTGAGATGGGGAAGACCTACGTGGGCGGAAGGTTCTACTCAGGCTGTTAGGTCGGATGCCCACTAGACACCTGAGGACGAGCTCGGCAAGACAGGAGAGGGAGGGGGAGAATGAAGGCAAGAGGGTGCTGGCCAGGCAGGGCCATCAGCACTGGTCGGGGAGGGGGCCAAGAGCAGGCAGCACTTCCTGCATATGTGCTATTTCCCCCATGGACCAAGTAGCAGTTCACAGAAGAAGCATCTGGGGGCCTTGTTAATGTTTTCCGGGACCCTGGCCCCAGAGCCTCCACTTTGGCAGGTCAGGGCTGGCCCACGAACCTGCATTTCTAGCTAGGACACAGGGGATGCTGCTGTGGACACAAGGACCATGCTCTGAGTGGGCCATCAGTTTGGGGAGAGGTGGGGACAAGCTGTTGGCCATCTGAGGGTGCAGCAGATTGGATGAGAGAAGACTCTGCCTCTGTGGCCTCCTCTGTGTGGCCCAGGAGTGGTGGCCCATGGTCCAGCACTGCAGCTGCCTCTTCCCGCAGCTGCTTTTCCTGTGTTTCAGCTGGGGAAGCAGAGGGAGCTGGTGACACCTCGTGGGGCCACAGGGAAGGTCGGCGACAAAACCAGGCAAGCCCTGTGGTCACGCAGGAGGAGTTGGGACCACGCTGCATCAGAGGAAGGCTGTGGAGTATTCAATGAATGGAATTTAATGTAACTATGACATAAACACACACAGGGTGGGGAGGACGGGTGACCAAGCGCAGACGTGGGTGACACGTGGCCCCGCTCTCTGGACCCTCAGTGGGAAAAAGTCTGAGGCTGGCGTCTCTCACCAAACCCCACCTCCCCTGGTGGGTCAATACTGATCTGGCTGAGTGACAGCATCTCGTGACCCAGGCTGGCCCTGGGAAGGCGCCACAGGCGAGGCCTGCGAGTCCAGGGAGCAGGCAGACGCTACAGTGGCCCCCGAGCGCGCCAGGTGCCAGCCTCGACGTGTAAATGGCCCGCTGCGGGCGCTGCCGGGAAGGAAGACAAGAAGGGTGAGGGCTCGTCCTCACCAAGTGCTTCCTGAGTGCCGTAGGACGTGGGTGGGACATGGGGACAGTGAGGGTAACACAAACAGCAACGAATGCACAAAGACAAGTTCCAGGAACACCCATAAACCCATAACGTTCAACAAAATGGCAACAAAACGACGCCCCTGCTGGCCTGGCGAGGCTGGCGCTTCCTTCGTGGCAGATGCCACCTGCAGCTGGCTGGCTGGCAAGCGTTGGCCAAGCTTTTTGGTACCTGGGAGCTCAACAGCATAAAAGGCTGTAACCTCTACACGGAAAAATTTCACATCCTTCCCCTGAAACTGACTTCAGGGGCAAAGAAACGAGACTTCTTGAAGACCAGCCTCTTCTGGGAAAGGGGCTTCTGAGACGAGTGTCGACGGCAGAGCAGATGGCCTGGGGAAGGCAGGGGTCCCTGGGCAGAGGCTGGGAGGGTGGCCAGAGACCAGGGAGGGCCCCTCCATCTGGTGGGTTTGGCAGGTGTGTCCCCTGGTGCTGCCACCAGGAGCCCCGAGGCCGGGGTGTTGGCTGCGACAGCCCCTCACTGGGTCCGGAGCTGGTAATCTAGGAGACAGGAGGGAGGCGTCATGCTGGGCTCTGCACCCTCCCTGCTTTCGGGACCCGACCCGATGGCTCCACCCTGGGGGCAGCCACAGAGGACCCCTCAGTACAACCCCACCCCACGGGTAGGGCCTCACTCACCTCCATTCTGCGTGATATAACGCACCCAGGGCAGGGCCTGGTACCCACTCTTCTCAATGATCTTCAGGTAGCGCACCTGGGGCACAGGTAGCAGGGCCCTGAGCACCGCAGGCTCCCGCCCTGTTGGTCCCCCCTTAATCTTTCCTGCTGGGGCAGCCTGGGGCTGGCAGGGGAGGCCATGACGACAGGATGAGCACAGGCCTCAGGGGGGTGAAAGGGATTTGTCTGGACCATGCAAATGTGTGGGAGGGCAGAGCCGCCTCTGGAAGTGGTGAGCAGCCAGGATGTGGCTTGCAGACACGGCCTCAGCAGCCTGCTTGGGGGGCCCGGCCAGAAGGCCCCTGGCTCTCTGGGAGCCTCTCCTCCCTCTGTGGGCTTTTGAGGGGGTGCCAGGGAAAAGAGGTCCCATGGGGCATGAGTGGACGGCAGAGCCTCAAATGCTAGTTTGGGGCAGAATGAGTGAGCTTTGAGCTCAGGGGTCAGGGCTGAGCAGAGGCAGCCTGGCCTCACCCTGTCTGTGGGGAGGCAGAGGCCCACAGCACAGCAGGGTCCTGATTGCAGCTGACTGACACCCTTTCCCAAGCTGGCTGCATTGATATCTGTCACCTGCGGCCTCTGTCCCTGTTCTGGGCCCCGGCCGCCTGGGCCTTACGTACCTGGATGCCGGAGGTAGTGAAGTAAGGGATCTCGAACTTGACACTGATCGGGGGCTTGCCCTCCTTGTCTTCGGCCTCCACACTAGGCAGGCCGAAGTGGGCCCGCATCAGGTACTCCTTGCCGCCCTGGGGAGCAGACGGGGGAGGCGCTCAGGCCTAGGCCCTGCCCCAGCTTAGCCAACAGCTCTGGCCCTAGTGGCGATGGGCAGAGACTGACCACTCACCCCAGTCCAGGGAGGGGAGCATGAGCCCCTGTGCTGGGGAGCCAAAGCTCGGCCCTGTGCTGCCCCAGGCTGGTAAGGACAGCCCCTGCTCTGGGGTGCCCAGCTGCCCCATGAGGATACCCAGGCGCCCAGAGCTGAGCTCACCAAGCTGCCAGCCCCAGTCACCAAGCCCCTGCCAGTGTGGTCTGCAGTGGCCCAGCACCCCCCGCCCAGCTCCCCTAATGCACTTTCCTCCAAGGCTGGTGAACTAGACAGACCGGCCATGGGAAGGAAGAGTGTGTAATGACCGTGGCAGGGGAGGGCTGCTGGGGACAGGGGCCACACGCCCAGTCTCAGAACAGCATGTGAAAGAAAAGAGAGTGTCCAGGTGAGAACCATGACCAGGGAGAGGCGACAAAAGGAAGAAACCAAGGAGCATGCACTGAGTGACGATTCAGCCCTGGGTCCTGCTCCTGAGGGTGAGCAGGGGGTGGCTGTGGCTCTGACTGGAACCCGAGTCCTGGCTGTGACCTTCACCCTCTCTCTGCCTTGAGGAGCAACAGGTTGCAGCCTGGTCACCCCCAGCGCCTGGTCTCGCCCTGAGCAGTCGGGGGCACGATCTCAGCTCTGGCTGTGCCTGGGACCCCACAGTCTCTGCTCCCCAGGGCTCAGGCCGAGGTTCCGTGGGAGCTACTGCCGCCTAGGGCTGTTTCTGCCTCACAGCAGGGGCGGTCCCCGTGCACCTGGGGCAGGGCCGAGTGGTTCATCTCTGCCTACTGCCACCAGGGCAGCGTGAGAGTGAGGACTCTGCCTGACTTGGTGACATGTGCTGAGTACAGACTCCAGGAGGATGACGGGGGGAAGATGCGACATCAGCAACTGGTAAAGCAGGCAGCGAGGGAACAAACCCGCTCGGTGACTAGCCTGTGCCCCAAACACTCAGCCAGACCCCAAATCTGAACCTTAGCAAAGACCAAATGGAAAACACAAACAAAGAAAATGCAGGGAAGCAGACGCCAGGGGCGATGGAGGCCTGCACACCCAGCCTGTGTCGTCACGTTGAGCCGAGTGGGTTTAATTCTGCTCTCGATGAGAGCTGTAGGCTGGCGCCGGCTCACACACCAAAACCCACTCGACGCCACAAAGGCACAGTGAGAAGGGCTCCCCGGGTAGGAAGAACAGGCATTGACAGGCGTGCTGCCAAAGGCAGACAAAAGAGGACAGGGCTGCCATCATCACAAGGGAGAAAGGTGCACAGGAGGACAGGCCACAATCCTAGAGGCTGCCGTCCCATAAGCCACAGGGACAACACAATAGTCACAGGTACCCACGCATGAAGTAACATGGCAGCAACTTCTGTGAAGCAGGTGCTATAGGAGATGCAGAGAGAGCCAGGAGAAGGCCTGGACGCAAGGCCCGGCCCAGATCTCCATCCAGGTGGACAGTGTCATGTGCCATGGCCACCCATGGGCACATATCAAATTCCCTAACCTGGTAACAGACAGCAGTAGGGACAGGACTGAGAAACACTCTAGGTTTAAAAGCAAATAGCCTACACTATGGCACTTCCACAAAAAGTTGAAAATAGAATCACCATATGATCCAGCAATTCCACTTCTGGGGATACACCCAAAACAAATGGAAGCTGGATCTTGAAGAGGTATTTGTGCACTCGTTCACAGCAGCATTATTCACAATAGGCCAGGCATGGTGGCTCACGCCTGTCATCCCAGTGCTTTGGGAGGCCGAAGCAGGCAGATCACCTGAGACCAGCCTGAGCAACAATAGCGAAACCCTGTTTCTACTAAAAATACACAAATTAGCTGGGTGTGGTGGCATGTGCCTGTAATCTTAGCTACTTGGGAGGCTGAGGCAGGAGAATCGCTTGAACCCGGGAGGTGGAGTTGCAGCAAGCCGAGATCATGCCTCTGCAGTAAGCCGAGATCGTGCCTCTGCACTCCAGCCTGGGCAACAGAGTGAGACTTCATCTCAGAAACAAAAAAAACTAACCTAAAAAAAAAAAAACTTTTAGTATGGAGCAATCTAAGAAAGGGGGAAGGATATCTATCTATCTATCTAATCTGTATTTCTAATCTCTCTCTGTGTTTTTTTTTTTTTTTTTTTTTTTGAGACAGAGTCTTGCTCTGTTGCCCAGGCTGGAGTGCAGTGGTGCAATCTTGGCTCACTGCAAGCTCCGCCTCCCGAGTTCACACCATTCTCCCACCTCAGCCTCCCGAGTAGCTGGGACTACAGGCACCCACCACCACACCCGGCTAATTTTTTGTATTTTTAGTAGAGACGGGGTTTCACCATGTTAGCCAGGATGGTCTTGATCTCCTGACCTTGTGATCCGCCCGCCTCAGCCTCCGAAAGTGCTGGGATTACAGGCGTGAGCCACAGCGCCTGGCCCTCTCTGTATTTCTTAAAATTTATTTTTTGCAGTTCCTTTTGTCCTTAGGGTGTGTTATTTGAAGTGACGTGTCTCTGTGGTTGTCATCAACTTGATACGCTGATGAATTAATTTTGCTTTTGGTTTTTAGGAATTACCTTTTTTCCATTGTGATTTAATTTTGTTTTCTATGCATGGGAAGCACTGACAGGTGTACCTTCACACAGTGCAGGTTTGGTTCCAGACCACTGCCATAAAGCACATAGCACAGTTAGGCAAGTCACACACATTTTTTGGTTTCCCAGTGCATGTAAAAGTTACGTTTACCAGCCGGGCACGGTGGCCCACACCTGTAATCTCAGCACTTTGGGAGGCTGAGTCAGGCGGATCACAAGGTCAGGAGTTCGTCACCAGCTTGGCCAACATGGTGAAACCCCGTCTCTATTAAAAATACAAAAATTAGCCAGGCGTGGTGACACATGCCTGTAATCCCAGCTGCTCAGGACGCTGAGGCAGGAGAATCACTTGAACCTGGGAGGCACAGGTTGCAGTGAGCCGAGATTGTGCCACTGCACTCCAGCCTAGGCGACAGAGCGAGACTCCGTCTCAAAAAAAAAAAAAAGGTTACCGTATACTGTAGTCTGAATGTGCAACAGTATTATGTCTAGGAGAATGTACATACCTTAGTTAAAACATACTTTATTGCTAAAAAGTGACAACACAGAGACCACATGCTGTTGGAATAATGACATCAACAGACTTGCTCAACGCAGGGTTGCCACAAACCTTCCATTTGTTTAAAAACTAAAACAAAAATAAAAATGCAGTATCTGGGAAGCACAATAAAATGAGGTGTGCCTGTGCATGGCTTCGAAGTAAAATCTACACAAGCACAGTCCACGCCAGCCTGTGTCTCGGCCCTTAGCCCTGTCCCTTCCTCCCCCGTCTACAGCTCACCATGCTGTTTATTTGATGAAGTATTCTCCCAGTGTGTTTTAAATGATAAACACTATTTTCAACAGTGGAATTGCAGGAAAAGAGGAGCTAATCCAACTATCCGGGATGGTCACCACCCCTCCATGGAATATCCACAGCTCCCAAAGGTGACCGCCAAGAAGACAGTCAATACCAGAAGGAAAACGCTCTGCCGCAGCGCCACGTGGAAGGGCAGGCACTGAGCTGGCTCTACTTGCACATAATGAGGAAAAGCAAAATACGCAGAAAGAAAGGTGAGGAGACACGCGGAAAGGCTGACGGGAGTATTAGGTGGTGGGGTAACTGGCTTTTCTCTCTCCTTCCTCTACTTTCTGTATTTTATGTCATGTGATTAGACTGAGGCTGGGAGGGAAAGTACCATCATGAAATTCAAGGCACTTGAATTGCAGCATTTCCAGCTTAACTCAGCTGGGGCTGTCCCCAAGTCCCCCTGGGATGCAGATGGAGAGAGAGGGGAGAACATGGAAAGCAGCGCCTGCCCTGAGCCCCCCTGGTGGAGCAGGTCAGTGCCACCCGGCTCAGCTCCAGAGCCATGCCTGGGCCTAGCCTCTCTGTGCACTGTGTACACCCGGCAAGCCCAGACTCAGCTCCTCAGAATCCTTAACATGTTGTCAGGGAAGCCACGCCGATGCAGAGCTGGCCCAGGACATGGGCGGCTGGTGCGGAGCTCTGGAGGCTGTGCTGCTCCGGCCTACAGGCAGCCGTTCCCCTTGATGGCAGGCAAGGCTGAGCCTGCACAGAAAGGGCCTTGGACCTGCCAGTGTGGACGGGGCTCCTTCAGGGCCTGCATGGACAGGAGCCCCATCTCACATCAGTACTCAGGGGCATCACAGAGAGGGAGGGAGAGGGCACTGCCCTGAGGTGAAGACAGAGGCTGGTTCACAAACAAGAGGAAGGCAGAAAGGGGCCCAGGGGCCGAGTCAGCCTCTGCTTCCTCCCACTCCAGTCCTCAGCTCTCCGTCCACCCTTTCAGAAGCCCCAGGTGTGGAAGACACAGTGGCCACTGTCACCCCATCTTGAGGTGCAGGGGGTCCTGAGGCACCCAGGCTGCCTTGCAGAGACAGGCGCAGGGGGCACGTGGATGTCTGGACAGAGTGCTCACCGGGAAGGACTTGATGGACCACACGATCTCGCTGTTCTCGGGGACCCACTTAACGCTCCCCACCGTCGTCTTGAACTTGGGTGAGTCGGCATCATTGGGCACGGGAATGTGGATCTCCACGTTGTTGGCTGTTGACCGCCGCTTGAACTGGCTTTTGGCCTGCAGGCCAGGCCAATGCGGCCCGGGGTTATGGAGGCCAAGGTGAGCTGGCCAGCCTCTCCAGGACACATGCCCCTCAGCCTGGCCCGGGGGATCCTCCCTAGCCCCGCCCCTGGCCCCACTTCTCCAGGCACTACCCACCCCTTCTCCTGCCCTCGAGACTCTCCCAAGACCTAATTTCAGGAGTTTCATCTTCATCCTCCTGTCTGCTCAGCTTCCAAGGCTCCTCATCCCTCCCTCTGCCCTGCCCTCCTAGGACAATGTCTATGTCCCAGGGCCAGGCTGCGCTGGACAGGGTCGCTGAGGGGCAGAGGTGCTCCACCTGGGGGCAACACCTCTGGGAGTGTCCTGGATGCCTGGCTACAGGCCCCTCCCCACAAGTGGCACCATCTAGGAGCAGGCCCCAGGCGGTGTCCCCTCAGTGTCAGGTCACTCCTGCATCTGAGGCCACAGTGAGGGTGCACGGATGGCAGCCCTACGGCACCCCCAGCCCTCGGTTAGGCTCCTGGGACGGGCCAGAGACACCAGAAGGCCCTCAGTGGGTGGCCTCGGCCCACGCACCTTGATCATGTACTCGATGCGGCTGTGGGAGTGCTTCTCGATCACCGACTCGATCCATATCAAAGGCTTGACCTGCCAAGGAGGGCAAAGAGGGTGCTCACACCTGGCCTTGTTTGACAAAGGCCCATTTCAGAGGGGAAACCAAGGCCCAGGGCAAGGGACCATCTGCCCAGGTGTGGGCCCAGAGCCCTGCAGGGAGCGTACAGCCAGCGTCAGGGAGGGCCAGGGCAGACAGGCCGAGGTAGCCGGGAGCTACCGGGGAGGCCTTGGGGCAAATGCAGAAAACATGACCAGGGCCTGCTCTGGGGGCTGCCTGGGAAAGGGGTGGTGGTGGCCAAAGGGGTCTGTGCCCCTCAGAAAGCTCGGAGTCCCAAGTCCTCAGACTCCATCTCTGCAGAGCCAGGCAGCTCATGGAGCGTGGGGTGGGGCTGGCCCTGGCGCCTGCCTGGGCTTCACCTCCTGGAGGTGAAGGGGAGGAGGAGTCTGCCGACAGCCCAGCCCCAGGGTGGCGCACTCACGTGGGTGTTGAGACGGTAGGACATGAGCTCGAACTCGCCGTCGGGTGGGATGAAGGAGATGGTGCGGTCATTCTCGAAGCGTGATAGCCGCACACACTGGTGGAACTTCACATCCTCCAGCTCCACGGATTTGCTTTTGCCGCCTGGGGTCAGGGGTGAGGGTAGGACAGATCTGGGCCCTCCGGGTCACTATCTCAGCAGTACTCCTACCACCTGCAACCCACCCCGGCAGAGCAGGGCCCCCAGTCCACGCACTGAGAGCAGCCTGGGCCACAAACACCAAGGGGGCTGGGTCCCAAGACAACTGCCCCATCACTCCTCACACCCCTGGGGTCCCCAGGGGCAGGGCTGGTGGGTCTGGTTCATGCTGAGTCCCCAGCGGCCATCCCAGGGCCCAGCCAGGGGACCTGCTCAGGACACGTTCACTGAATGATTGATCAGTGGACTTGGCTGGGGGATGGCTCGGGGCTCCCCAAGGGCTCAGGCCCTGGCATCCACGGGGTCCTGGGTCCTACCTTGGTTTGCCACCTCACTGAGGGCTATGTGGGTGGGGCCCTGCCCAGCCCCAGGCGGGGAGCTGCCCTGATAGACTGATGCCCGAGAAGCCCTCACCGGGCTAGGAACGGGGGCATGCCCAGCCACTGCACCCTCTTCCAGTGGCCTGTGACAGCTGAGTGGGAGGCACAGTTCACAAAACCAGGCCCTGGGCCCCTCTGCCCCCGCCCTGCTGTGGGAAGTGTTAGAGGCCAGGCGGCGGGAGCGAGAATCACCATGCGTGGCCTTCACACGGCCCACACCTAGGGCCCAAGGTGAGGGGAGAAACCTGGCCTGGGAGGGAGAGAGCAAGGCCTTAGCCTAGGCCCCAGTGCCCCAGGCAGAGCAGGGCAGGGTGCAGGACCTGGCGTGTGAGGCCGGGTGACGGGGGCCTCCCAGCTGGACTGGAGGATCTTCACTCCCCTGCACCTTCTATGTCCAGGGAAGGATGAATACTCTACACAGCTGTCTCAAGCAGTGTGAAGTGCTGCTCAACCAAGTGCTTGAAACCAGCTCGTTCCTCCGCCTGGCCCAACCCTGCCCTAGGCTGTAATGTGTGTGCCTGGTGAGGCCATCCTCATGGGCAGGGCCCTTGGCAAGGGTACTCACGGCCCGTGTTGTCAAAGAGGACCTTGTCGTTGAGGCCCAGGCGCAGCTCGGGCATGCCCGAGAGGAAGACTCGCATCTTGATGGAGCCCACGATCTCGCTGCGCAGGACATTGCCGTTGGCGCTGACCTGGGGGTGGCGGTGTGGGCGTGAGGGGAGGTCCCCAACTCACCAGCCACTGCCTCCTACCACATCATGTGACCCTCTGGCCACCCCACTCTCAACGCCCTTCTCACCTCCAAGCCCATCCCTCTCCTGGGCATCCCCTGAGCTGGGAGAGTCCCAGCTGTGGCTAAGGTCTACCCCTAACCCACACCAACCCACGCCTGGCTGAGGGTCCCCAGGCTCACCCCTCCAGCCTTCATGCCGAGGCCCTGTGGACATGAGGTGGACACTGTGGGTCCTGCCCTCTAGGCCTCAGGCCACACTGGGACCTGATGATGCGTGCCTGGAGCCCCCTCTGAGGGTTCTCTATCAGGTACCAGTCCCTCCCTCCCAGGAGCCCCCTGAATGCTCCGGGCCGGCCCGGCAGCTGGTCCCCACGCTGAGTCAGCTTTGAGAGTCCATGAGCTCGGCTGGACCTGGGCCAGGACCCTGTGGTCCCTGCTCAGCCGATGGGCTGGGCTGGGCTGGGGTCTCTTGAACCAGGCCAGACTTGCTTTTCTTGAAAGCTGTTTCTCCTCTTGGCCTCCCAGGGAGGCCACTGGCCCCTCACCCCCCAGGGCTTATGAGAGATGGTGCTTCCTGAGTCCTGACCCCTTCTTGCTTCTCAGGGCCACCCTGAAGTGTGATAACACTTGATCCAAAATAATCAACTTAAATCCAGTCACAGTGGCTAACACTGACAGCATTTCCACTGCGCCAGGCATTGCTCCACACACGCCTCGACAACCTCTGGGGCAGGGACTGTGGGGAGATGACCTGAGGGGCTGTAACCCACTGCGCATGCCGAGATGCATCTGAAAGTGCAACTGAAAATCCACACCGGGGCGACGGTCCTGCACCCCCTAGCCTGTCCTGCGTGAGCCAAGATGCTGGAGCATCTCTTCTTGCATCCATTTTAGAGGTGAGGAAACAGGCACAGATCAGAGGCCCCGTGCTGAGGGCACAGAGTGACTGGCAGAAGAATCGCTGGGGCTGCAGCCCTGGCCACCACTGCACACTGCTATGCTGCACGAGGCCATGCTCACACCAGCAAGTGGGCCAAAGGCCACCGACTTGGATACCTGGGCCCAGATGCTGGCTCCAGCCAGGCTAACATGTGCAGGGCCTGCATTTCCTGTCTGCAGAGTGGCAGGAGAGTCTGTGCAGTCTTATGCATGATGTCCAAAAAGCACTGGGTAGACAAACAAAAGCCCCTCACCAGCTTGCCGCCTCTGAGGGAATTGGGAAAACTGAGGTGCCAAGCAAATGACAGCCCTGGGAGGGGCAGGGAACCGGACATGGCCCCAAGGGCTCCGGTTCTGTCACCTTCCCCAGCCTCACCTCCTCGTGCTGTCCTGTCCTCATCTCGCAAGCGGCTCCCTGATCCCATGGTGCACAACAGCTTCCCTGCGTCTGCCTGCTTGTCTCTCTCTCTCTCTCCCTGCTGGGGGAAGCCACGTGGGGCTGCGCGCTGCCGTGTCCAGCACCAGAAACAGCGTGTGTGGCAGGAGGTGCTCAGTGGGCAAGCGGAGGCTCAGGAGCTCGGGACCCTCACTGGCCGGGGCTCCAGGAGCCCGAGCATTGGGATTTTGCCTGCCTCTTTCTCGGAGGGCCCTCCACTCCACTGTGACGGCCCCTAATTCCCCTTGGGTGCTGCCTCCCCCTCAGGGAGTTGGGACTGGCCCTGGCAGCCAGCTGTAACTGAACACATGAGGTCGTGAATGCCGCGAGAGCAGGCCCAGGGAGTGGAGCTGAAAAGCTGCCCAGCCCACGAGGCTGATCTCGGCCCTGCGGGCAGCAATCAGAACCTTCTCAGCTGAGGTGTGACCAGCCACGCAGAGCCGGTGCCCTTCCCAGGGCGGGTGCTGAAGGGATGCTTGCTCAGGGCCCGGCTGTGTAAGTACCAGGCTGCACTCAGATGATCGCATCTGGAGGCAAATGTTGACCCAGCCACCAGCTCTGCAAGCCACTTAGGAAGGTGGCATCCTGACAGCTGCCCTTGTGCTGACCTGTTTGGAGGAGTGGGATCCTTCCGGGCGGAGCCACATGCAGCAGCGCACTGTGGCGGGGACCCCCGCAGCCCTAGCGCTTTCCTGCTCGACTCTCTCTAAGCTGCCCCCTGGGACTTGCCTTTGCACCCCACAGCACCCAGATGGACCCTGTTTTCGGCTCAATAAACAATCAGACAAGAGTCCCCAGGGGAGAGGGGAATGTGGTTAGCGAGGCCACTGTCCCGTCCCGGAAAGTAAGAAAGCGAAGAGGTCTGCACGGAGTGCGCGAGACAGTCTTTCTGGGCAGCACTCTCCTTGGCAATTCCATGTCTGCAGCCTCAGTCCTCCAGAAATCCTGGCCCAGGTCACGGAGACACCCAAGTGCACACGTCTGGGGCTGAGCAAGCGTGCTCAATGCTGCACTGCCAGTGGCCGTCAGAAACGGGACCTGAGTGACCTGCATGACTGGATTGGCTGAGCCCATACAGTCCACCCACACCGCAGGGATGAGGCCAGCGTGAACACAAAAGAAAGCAAGCGGCTGGTGAGGCAGGTCGGCTGGCGCCCCTTCCCCTGCCACTGACTACAGCTCTGAAACCTGGGCAGGAGGCTTGGCAGCTGCCGGAAGACTGAAGACAGCAGCAGGTGGACCAGGGAAGAGCCACGAATGCAGAGTGTTCCCACCGCCCCCCACGAGAAAGTGCAGCAGCAATCTGGAAGCAGAAGTGTGCACCACAGAGCACACGAGAGCTCAGCAGAGCCTCCAGGCCTGGCTCTGGGGCCAGAAGAGGAACTCCTGACTCTCCTGGAAAACACAGAAGCCCCCCATCTCCCCTGTTCCTCATGCCCCAGGCCCTGTGGTGCCAGCTACTGTTCCGAGGGGGTGGGGCAACCGTTGTCCTTTTCTCTCTCTGTCCTCTCTCCATGTGGGCTGGGAAGTGGGCCCAATGGCAGACGTGTACAACAGTAAACCGCAAGGAATCAGAAAAGTACCAGGTAGACAGCACAGAGCCAGAAGCTCAGGAAAGTCACCCCATGAAGTGGTTTATGTCTCCAGAACTCTCTAGAATCGAGCATCTGTGAATCCTGTGCATATACCATAGTTTGACTTACGAAAGAGTTTGAGAACTGAACTAACCACTCGGGTCCCAGAATGACCACTGGGCAGTGCACGCCCAGGAGATCTGACCAGGAAATGGCACGGGGGCTTTAAAAACTGACGTGATGCTCATGGCCTACAGGTTGGGGATTGGAACTTGTGGCCTGAAAGTAAGATTGGCTGTTGGCTAAAACAAAAATATCAATATTTCCCATATAGCTTAAATAAGACCTAGAGTATCACCACATAATGCTCAAAAAGTCCAGGATGCAATCCAAAATTACTCAGCATACAAACAACCACGAAAATGTCAACTTGCCTGGAAAACCCAATCAACCACTGTCAACACTTCACAGATGTTGGGATTATCTGATGAAGACTTTAAACAGCTATTTTTAAAATTGCAAATGCTTGCAACAAATGTTAAAATAGAAAGTCTCAGCAAAGAAACAGATGATAAAGAAGAATCAACCAGGAGTTCGAGACTAGCCTGGGCAACACAGCAAGTCCTGGTCTCTACAAAATAAAAAATAAAAAAAAATTAGCCAGGCATGGTGGTGCGTGCCTGTGGTCTCAGCTACTCAGCACACTCAGATGGGAAGATCACTTGAACACACGAGGTTGAGGCTGCAGTGAGCTATAACTGCACCACTATACTCCAGCCTGGGCAACAGAGTAAGACCCTGTCTCAAAACAAAAACAAAAACAAAAACAAACAAAAAGAGAAGAATCAAATGGAAAATTTTTAAAAATATAGTAACTGAAATAAACAACTTGCTCAATGGACTTAATAGCAGAATGGAGGCCAGGTACAGTGGCTCATGCCTGTAATCCCAGCACTTTGGGAGGCTGAGGTGGGAAGATCACTTGCCCCAGGAGTTCTAGATCAGCCAGGGCAACACAGAGAGACCCTCATCTCTACAAAAATTTTTTTTTAAAAATTAGCCAGGCTTGGTGGTGCACACCTGTAGTCCCAGCTACTCAGGAGGCTGAAGCAGAAGGATCGCTTGAGCCCAGGAGGTTGGGGCTACAGTGAGCCATGCTTGCTCCATGGCTCTCCAGCCTGGATGACAGAGTGGGAACCTATCTCAAAAAAAAAAAAAATAATAATAATAATAGTAATAATAATAATAACAGAATGGAGATAAACAGGAAAGGGCCAAAGGACCTGTGAACTTAAAGGCAGTTCAATGTAAATTATCCAATCTAACAGAGAGAAGAAAAGATAGAATAAAATAAGCAGCCTCAGGGACACATGATATAATAACCAAAGGTCTTTCATGTCACTGGAGTCCTGAAGGAAGAGTAAAATGACAAAAACATATCTGAGGGCTGGGTGCGGTGGCTCATGCCTGTAATCCCAGCACTTTGGGAGGCTGAGGCAGGTGGATCACCTGAGGTTGGGAGCTTGAGACCAGCCTGATCGACATGGAGAAACCCTGTCTCTACTAAAAATACAAAATTAGCCAAGTGTGGTGGTGAATGCCTGTAATCCCAGCTACTCGGGAGGCTGAGACAGGAGAATTGCTTTGTAGAAAGTAAAAAAGTTCCTCTTCAAAGTTTCCCTTCTCACTAAAGAATAAATCATAAGTGTTAGAAATAATGTACATTCTATGTCCTTGTACTTTAACCGAAATATTTGTTTTAGACATAAAGGATGTTAGATATAAGGGAATGAGTACATTCTGTGTCCTTGTACTTTAACCAAGATATTTGTTTTTAGATGTAAGGGATGTTAGATATAAGGGAATGAGTCAACTTCCTCTTTTTCCTTTGTTCTCCCTTGCCTTTATCTATTTAGGAAAGTTTTAAGTTATTAGCCAGTCAGGTTTAGCTTAGATTGTGAGGTCTGGCTCCAGCCAATGGAGATAGGACACAGCAGCAGGGACAAGCTGCATAAGGGATAAAAACGGCTTTCCTCCTTTGTTCGGGTGTGCTCTCGCCATTGTTCCATCTGCGAGGAGCACCCTTTCTGCAGAAAGTAAATTTGCCTTGCTGAGAAAACTTTTTGTTTGAATGCTGATTTTTCCTTGTGGTACCGAGGAACAAGCATTCTGTTTCTGAATAAACATTTTACTTATAACAGCTTGAACCTGGGAGGCAGAGGTTGCAGTGAGCCAAGATTGTGCCATTGCACTCCAGACTGGGCAACAAGAATGAAACTCTGTCTCAAAAAACAAAACAAAACAAAAAAACAAAAAACCATATTTTAGGAAACAATGATTGATAACTTCCCAATTTGATGAAAGACATAAACTTACAGATCCAAGAAGCTGAACAAATCCCAAACAGTAGAAACACAAAGATGTGCACACCTCATCTAACTGCTGAAACTAAAGGCAAAGAAAAATCTGGAAAGCAGCCAGAGGACAATAATACATCACCTATAGGGGAATAAAGATTTGGGGGACTGTGGATTTCTCACCAGAAATGATGGATGCCAGAAGGAAGTGGTATAACATATTAAAGTGCTAAACAAAAACCGTCAATTCAGAAGTCCATATCCAGTGAAAATAGCCTTTAGGGATAAAGGTAAAATATAGAGACATTCTTAAAGGAAAGCCAAGGGAATGTGTAGCCAGTAGACCTCCTCTACAAGAATGGCTTTTAAAAAAACCTTTTTAGGGCTGGGCGCAGTGGCTCATGCCTGTAATCCCAGCATTTTGGGAGGCCGGGGTGAGCAGATCACTTGAGGTCAGGAATTTGTGACCAGCCCAGCCAACAAGGTGAAATCCTGTCTCTACCAAAAATACAAAAATTACCCAGGTGTGGTGGTACATGCCTGTAATCTCAACTACATGGGAGGCTGAGGCTGGAGAATCGCTTGAACCTGGGAGGCAGAGGTTGCGGTGAGCTGTAATCGCGCCACTGCACTCCAGCCTGGGTGACAGAGCAAGACTCTGTCTCAAAAAAAACACAAAAAACAAAAAAACCCCAAAAGCCGGGCATGGTGGCACACGGCTGCAGTCCCAGCTACTTGGGAGGCTGAGGCGGGATGATCACTTGAGCAAGATGATCACTGGAGTCAAAGTGTAGTGAGCTGTGTTCACGCTACTGCCCTCCAGCCTGGGCAACAGATCGAAGCCCTGACTCAAGAAAACACTTTTTTTTGAAATTAATAGTTAAAAGCATTTTGTAAAATAA
Source organism: Homo sapiens (assembly GCF_000001405.40). Classification (NCBI taxonomy): domain Eukaryota; kingdom Metazoa; phylum Chordata; class Mammalia; order Primates; family Hominidae; genus Homo; species Homo sapiens. The sequence goes on along the minus strand of NC_000019.10, from coordinate 16,220,171 downwards.
ATCTCCAGGCTCGGATAGTTTCAGTGGTGAATTCTAACAAATGTTTAAAGAATTAACATGGATTCTATAAAATGTCTTCCAGAAAACGGAAGAGGAAAAAACACTTCCTCCATTACCTTGATACCAAAACCAGACAAAAACATTACAAAAAAGAGAAAATTACAAACCAGTATCTCTTATGAGTGTAGATCCAAAAATCTCCAACAAAATACCAGCAAAGGAAATCCAGCAATACATAAAAAGAATACAGGTTAAGCATTCCTAATTCAAAAATCCCAAATCCAAAATGCTCCAAAATCCAAAACTTTTTGAGCCCTGACATGATGTCAAAAGTAGAAGATTCCATACCCAACTTCATGTGACAGGTTGCAGTCAAAATGCAGGTGCACAATGCAGTTTATTCAGCATCTCCAAGGGAAAAGTAAAATTACCTTCAGACTACGTGCATAAGGTGTATATAAAACATAAATGAAGCCAGGTGCAGTGGCTCACACCTGAATTCCCCCAGCACTTTGGAAGGCTGAGGCAGGTGGATCACCTGAGGTCAGGAGTTCGAGACCAGCCTGGCCAACATGGTGAAACCCCGTTTCTACTAAAAATACAAAAATTAGCCGGGCATGGTGGCAGGTGCCTGTAATCCCAGCTACTTGGGAGACTGAGGCAGGAGAATCGCTTGAACCCAGGAGGGAGAGGTTGCAGTGAGCTGAGATTGTGCCATTGCACTCCAGCCTGGGCAACAAGAGCGAAATTCCATCTCAAAAAAAAAAAAAAAACAAAAAAACAAAAATGAATTTCACGTTTGGACCTGGGTCCCAGCCCTAAGATATCTCATGATGCATATGCAAATATTCCAAAATCCAAAGAAATCTGAAATCCAAAACACTTCTGCTCCCAAGCATTTGTATAAGGGATACTCAACCTATAATACACTATGACCAATGGGATTTTATTCCAGGAATGCAACACTGGTTCAATAATCAGAAAGCAGTCAGTGGAATACACCATATTAACAACCAAAAGAAGAAAACTCATGTGATTACATCAATTGATGCAGAAAAAGAACTGAAGAAAATACAACACCCACGCATGATTAAAAAAAAAAAAAAACTGTTAGCAAACTAGCAATAAAAGGGAACTTCCTCAAGGTGAAAAAGAACACCTATAATAAACCTACAGCTAACATCCTAGTTGGTGGCAAAAGACTTAATGGTCTCCCTCTAAGATCAGGAACAAAGCAAGAATGTCAGCTCTCACCACTCATATTCAACACTGTGCTGGAAGTCTCAGTGAGGGAAGACGTAAAGCAAAAGAGATAAAAGAAGCTTCCAGAGAGCTGAACACGTGGAGGTTCCTGGAGGGTGGTGTGTCCAGAGAGGGCAAGGAAGCTCTGGGTCCCTTCCCTCTATACCTTGCTTACCCAAAGAGGGGTTTGTGAGAACCCTAATTTGAAGCTGTTTAAAGACTGCCTAGATTTTGCTCCTGCTCCAAGATGGCCAACTAGACGCAGCCAGGAGAAACATCTCCCACTAAGAGACAGGGACACTGTGCAGACAGGTGCACTCCTAGACTCCTAGATCTTCAGTGGGAAGGCCCTGAGAGTGAACGGAGGGAAGACATAGAGGCTGGATGGAAGGCAGAGGAGGAGGCTGGGAACCCTGCACAGGGCTACTGTGCACCAGGAATCATTCCTGGCTCCCAGTGACTCCTGTGGAGGGGGTGAATTGAACTAGCAAGGGGCAACCCACTCTTGCCATGGCCTCTGGAATCCCGGCAGGAAGGACCCCTCGACTGCCACGGCCAGCTGCGTTGGCAGGGGAAGCTGCTTAAAGAAGTGGTAGTGATGCAGGGCAGGCGAGCCCCAAAACTGAGACAGCCCGGGAGGGTTCTTGGTTTCAGCCAGGAAAGAACTCAAGGGCGAGCTGGTGGTGATAAACAGAACTTTTACTAAAGCAGCCATGTGCACGGCAGCAGAGGCACTGCTCCCTATGGAGCGGGGCTACCCCATGGGCAGTGCGCCCAGAGCGGCAGCTCAGAGGCAGCTCTGCAGTCACATTTATACTGACTTTTAATTATATGCAAATTAAGGGGCAGTTTATAAAGAAATTTCTAGAATGTGGGTGGTAGCTTCTAGGTTGTTGGGTCATTGCCATGAAAAAGGGTAGTAACTTCCAAGTGTTGCCACGGCAATGGCAAACTGACATAGCACACTGTGGGGTGGGTCTTATGGGGAGGCGCTTCTGCCCTGACCTCTTTTAGCTAGCCTCAATTTGGTCTGGTGTCCAAGCCTCACCTCCTAAGTCGAGTTCTGCCTCCTACCTCAGGCGGGGCAGAACTCCAGCCTAAGCCAGGCCAGGGGGTTTGATGCAGAAGCATATGTGGTGGAGCACAGCCAGGACACCCATCCCCTAGGCTTGACTTGCTCTCATAGGAGACTTTAGCCGTAGGGGAACTGTCAGACCTGAACTCTCCAGGGTAGTCTTGCCCATCAGATGGGGCTGGTCTGACCTGAGCAACCCTCAGTCTGCTGGCCTCTCCTGGGGCCCCAGCCTGGCCAAGCCTGCTTGCAGTGCAATCCCCAGGTACCTCTTGGGGGCGGCATCAGAGCTCCTGCACTGGCAGACTGTACCTGAACGGGGAATACTCCTGCACAGCGGCCCCATGGACACACTAGCCCACCTGAGCCCCGCTCCCACTGCAGCCTCCCCTGTGCAGTTTTGCCTGCAGGTTCTTGCCCACAGGCACCCTCAATATTGTTTTGCTGGTGGTGTGTGCGTGGGTGGACCTAGCCCACCCTTCCCCAACAGCATGCCTGTGTGTGCACCCTGCTGTGCCACTGTTGCCAGCATAAGTGCACCCCAGCCCCTCATTCTCCTCTCCCACCACCGTTGTTGTCAGAGTGTTGGCAGCATAGAGCCCGCCAGCCCCACCCCTCCCAGTTCCCCACCTATGCTGGGCCTCCCACAGGAAACTAGGCAGAGAAAACAGAGGACCTACCCCTAGCCCTGAGCAGCCACTGCTGCCAGTGTGAACATGCACAAAGGGCACACACAGTCCTGCACCCACCAGTGCCCCCATGCTAACCCCATCATCGGCACCAATGAACAGGTGCACAGTTGCCAGCGTGGCCCCTGCCCCCACCCCAGCCATACTGCCACTACTGCTGCTGCTACAAATGCCCTCCCAGAGGCTGGCTCCCTGACATCCACTAGCACTCTGTCACAGCCGATAAGCGTGCACCCCGCTGTGCTGCCGCTGGCACATGCAAACAAGAACAGATCCTGCTGCCACTACCCTATGAAGTGCTTTGCCTGGCACCACCCATTGGAGTGTTGTGACCAGCTGTCTGGGAGCAGCTTGGCCCCTCTAGCAGAGCAGGTTCTTAACCTGAAGGAGCCAGAGATCAAAGCCAGGGCTGGATACCAGTCCTCCAGAGTTAGAGCATGCAGTTCAGGAGTCCTAAGCTGAGCCTTGGTCCCCTAAAATCTTCCAATAATGAAGCCATCCAACTGAACCCACCTTATACACAATCAAACCCCCAGGGTCATCAAATAGGATAAAGGAAAAAGAAACCCATTCAAAGGACAGCAACTTCAAAGACTAAAGGAATATCAGCCCACAAAAATGAGAAAGAACGAGCACAAGGACTCTTGACAACTCAAATAACCAGAGTGTCCTCTTTCCTCCAAACTGCAGTAGTTCTCCAGCAAGAGTTCTTTTTTTTTTTTTTGAGACGGAGTTTCGCTCTGTCGCCCAGGCTGGAGGGCAGTGGTGCAATCTCGGCTCACTGCAAGCTCCGCCTCCTGGGTTCACGCCATTCTCCTGCCTCAGCCTCCCAAGTAGCTGGGACTACAGGCGCCCGCCACCACACCCGGCTAATTTTTTGTATTTTTAGTAGAGATGGGGTTTCACTGTGTTCACCAGGATGGTCTCAATCTCCTGACCTTGTGATCCGCCCACCTTGGCCTCCCAAAGCAAGAGTTCTTAACTAGGCTGAGATGGCTGAAATGACAGAAATAGACTTCAGAATATGGATAGGAACAAAGATCATTGAGATTAGGAACATTGAAACCCAATCTAAGGAGGCTAAGAATTATAATAAAACAATATATGAGCTGGCAGACAAAACAGCCAGGATAGAAAATGATGTAACTGACCTGATACAGCTGAAAAACACAGTATAAGAATTTAATAATGTAATCACAAGTATTAACAGTAGTACAGACCAAGCTGAGGAAAGAATCTCAGAGCTTGAAGACTGGCTTTCTGAAATAAGACAGTCAGATGAGAATAGAGAAAAAATAACGAAAAGGAATGAACAAAGCCTCCAAGAAATATGGGATTAAAAAAGAGAGCAAATCTACAACTCATTGGTGTCCCTGAAAGAGATGGGGAAAATGGAAGCAACTTGGAAAACGTATTTCAGGATACTATCCATGAGAACTTCCCCAGTCTAGCTAGAGAGGCCAATATTCAAAATCAGGGAATGCAGAGAACCCCTGCAAAATACTTCACAAGATCATCCCCAAAACACATAATCATCAGATTGTCCAGGGTCAAAATGAAAGAAGCTAGAGAGACATAGCAGGTCACCTACAAAGGGAAGCCCATCAGACTAGCAGTGGGCCTCTCAGCAGAAACCCTACAAGCCAGAAGAGATTGGAGGCCTATATTAAACATTCTTTTTTTTTTTTTTTTTTTTTTTTTTTTTGAGATGGAATCTCATTCTGTGGCCCAGGCTGGAGTGCAGTGGTGGGATCTCAGCAGGTCACTGCAACCTCCGCCTCCCAGGTTCAAGCAATTCTCCTGCCTCAGCCTCCCAAGCAGCTGGGACTACAGGCATGCACCACCACGTGCTGCTAATTTTTATATTTTCAGTAGAGACCAGGTTTCACCATGTTGGCCAGGCTGGTCTTGAATTCCTGACCTCAGGTGATCCCCTCCCCTCCCCCCTCCCCCCTCTCCCCCCCCCCCGCCCCCGCCTTAGCCTCCCAAAGTGCTGGGATTACAGGTGTAAGCCACCACTCCTGGCCAATATATTAAACATTTTTAAAGAAATTCCAATCCAGAATTTCACATCTGGCCAACCTAAGCTTCATCAGCAAAGGAGAAATGAGATCGTTTTCAACTTGGGTGTGGTGGCTCAACCTGTAATCCCAGCACTTTAGGAGGCCGAGGTGGGTGGAGTGCCTGAATCCAGGAGTCTGAGACTAGCCTGGGAAACATGGCAAAACCCCATCTCTACCAAAAACATATACATTAGCCGGGTGTGGTGGTACCTGCCTATAGTCCCAGCCAATTGGTAGGCTGAGGCCAGAGAATAGCTTGTGCCAGGGAGGTAGAGGTTGCAGTGAGCCATGATCATGCCACTGCACTCCAGCCTGAGCAACAGAATGAGACCCTGTCTCAAAAAAAAAGAAGAATAAAAAAGATCCTTTCAGACAAGCAAATGCTGAGGGAATTTGTTTACCAGCAGACCTGCTGTACAAGAGCTCCTGAAAGAAGTACTAAATATGAAAAGAAGGCCGGGTGTGGTGGCTCATGCCTGTAATCCCAGCACTTTGGGAGGCTGAGGCAGGCGAATCACCTGAGGTGTGGAGTTCGACACCAGTCTGGCCAACATGGTGTAACTCCATATCTACTAAAAATACAAAAATTAGCCGGTCATGGTGGTGGGTACCTGTAATCCCAGCTACTCGGGAGGCTAAGGCAGGAGAATTGCTTGAGCCAGGGAGGCAGAGGTTGCAGTGAGCAGAGATCATGCCATTGCACTCCAGCCTGGGTGACAGGGCAAGACTCCATCTCAAAAAAAAAAAAAGGCCGGGTGCAGTGGCTCACGCCTGTAATCCCAGCACTTTGGGAGGCCAAGGCAGGTGGATCACGAGGTCAGGTCAGGAGATCGAGACCATCCTGGCTAACATGGTGAAACTCTGTCTCTACTAAAAATACCAAAAAAAAATTAGCTGGGCATGGTGGCATACGCCTGTAGTCCCAGCTACTCGGGAGGCTGAGGCAGGAGAATCACTTGAACCTGGGAGGCAGAGGTTGCAGTGAGCCAAGATCACGCCATGGCACTCCAGCCTGGGCTACCCAGTGAGACTTTGTCTCAAAAAAAAAAAAAAGAAAAAGGAAAGAAAAGGCCATTACTAGCCACTACAAAAACACATTTAAGTACACAGACAAGTAACACTATAAAGCAACCACACAAACAAGTCAGCATAATAAACAGCTAACAACACAATGACAGGATCAAATACATGCATATCAATACTAACCTTGAATGTAAATGGGCTAAATGCCCCAATTAAAAGGCATAGAGTGGCAAGAGCTGGATAAAGAAATAAGACCAAATGATATGCTCCCTTTAAGACACCATTCTTGGCTGGGTGCAGTGGCTCATGCCTGTAATATCCCAGCACTTTGGGAGGCCGAGGCGAGTGGATCACTTGAGGTCAGGAGTTCGAGACCAGCCTGGCCAACATGGTGAAACCTCGTCTCTACTAAAAATAGAAAACCGCCAGGCGTGGTGGCGCGTGCCTGTAATCCCAACTATTTGGGAGGCTGAGGCAGGAGAATTGCTTGAACCTGGGGGACAGAGGTTGCAGTGAGCCGAGATTGCGCCACTGCACTCCAGCCTGGGCAACACAGCAAGACTCTGTCTCAAAAGAAAAAAAAAAGACCCATCTCAGATGCAATAACACCCACAGACTCAAAATGAAGAAATGGAGAAAAATCTACCAAGCAAATAGAAAACAGACAAAAGCAGAGTTGCAATCTTAATTTCAGACAAAACAGACTTTAAGCCAACAAAGATCAAAAAAAGACAAAGAAGTGCATTGCATAATGGTAAGGTATTCAATTCAACAAGATCTAACTAACCTAAATAAATATGCAGCCAACAGCAGCACTCAGATTCATAAAGCAAGTTCTTAGAGACCTACAAAGAGACTTAGACTCCCACACAATAACAGTGGGAGATTTCAACACCCCACTGACAGTATTAGACAGATCACTGGGGCAGAAAATTATCAAAGATATCCAGGACCTTAACTCAGCACTGGATCAACTGGACCTGATAGATATCTACAGAACTCTCCACCCAAAAACGAGAGAATATATCTCATCTGTACATGGTACATACTCTAAAAACCACCACACAATTGGACATAAAATAATCCTCAGCAGATGCAAAAGAACCAAAAGCATACCAGCCACTCTCTCAGACCACAAATCAATAAAAATAGAATTCAAAACTAAGAAAATCACTCAAACCCATACAATTACATGGAAATTAAACAACCTGCTCCCAAATTACTTTTGGGTAAATAATGAAATTAAGGCAGAAGTCAAGAAATTATTTGAAACAAATAAGAACAAAGATACAACAGACCAGAATCTCTGGGACACGGCTAGGGCAGTGTTAAGAGAAATTTACAGCACTACATGCCCACATCAAAAAGTTAGAAAGATCTCAAATTAACAACCTAACATCACAACTAAAAGAACTCACGAAGCAAAAGCCTCCAACTCCAAAGCTAGCAGAAGACAAGAAATAACCAAAGTCACAGCTGAACTCTAGAAGACTGAGACACAAAAACACCATTCAAAACATCAAGTAAGCCAGGAGCTGGTGTTTTAAAAGAATGAATAAGATAGATAGGCTGCTAGCTAGACTATTAAGAAAAGAGAGAAAACCCAAATAAACACAATTAGAAATGACAAAGGGGATATTACCATTGACCCCACAGAACTACAAATAACCCTTAGAGACTATTATTAACACTTCTATGCACACTAACTAGAAAATCTAGAAGAAATGGATAATCTCCCGGACACATATACCCTTCCAAGATGGAACCAGGGAGAAACTGAATCCCTGAACAGACCAATAATGAGCTCCAAAATTGCATCAGTAATAAATAGCCTAACAACCAAAAAAAACCTGGACCAGACGGACTCACAGCTGAATTCTATCAGACGTACAAAGAAGAGCTGGTACCATTCCTACTGAAATGATTCCAAAAAAACGGAGGAGGAGGGACTCCTCCCCTACTCATTCTATGAGGCCAGCATCATCCTGATACCAAAACCTGGCAGAGATACAACAAAAAAAGAAAACTTCAGGCCAATATCCTTGATGAACATTGATGCAAAAATCCTCAACAAAATACTAGTAAACTGAATCCAGCAGTACATCAAAAAGCTAATCCGCCACAATCAAGAAGGCTTTTATCCCTGGGATGCAAGGTTGGTTCAATACATGCAAATCAATAAACATGATTCATCACATAAATAGAACTAAAGACAGAAACTACATGATCATCTCAATAGGTGCAGAAAAGGCTTTTGATAAAATTCAACATCTCTTCATGTTAAAAACTCTCAACAAACTGGAGTTTTTTGGTTTTGTTTTTTGTTTTTTTTTGAAACAGGGTCTTGCTCTGTCGCCCAGGCTGGAGTGCGGTGGCACAATCTGGACTCACTGCAACCTCTACCTCTGGGGCTCAAGTGATCCTCCCACCTCAGCCACCCGAGTAGCTGGGATTACAGGCGCGCATCACCACGCCCGGCTAATTTTCCTATTTTTAGTAGAGCGGGAGCTACCATGCCCAGCCAACTAACTAGGTTTTGAAGGAACATACCTAAAATAATAAGAGCCATCTATGACAAATCCATAGCCAACATCATACTGAATGGGCAAAAGCTGAAAGCGTTCCCCCTGAAAACTGGCACAAGACAAAGATGCCCTCTCTCACCACTCCTATTCAATATAGTATTGGGGGCTGGGCATGGTGGCCGACGCCTGTAATCCCAACACTTAGGGAGGCCGAGGAAGGCAGATCACCTGAGGTCAGGAGTTCGATACCACCCTGACCAACATAGTGAAACCCTGTCTCGACTAAAAATACAAAAATTAGCCGGGCATGGTGGCATGCGTCTGTAATCCCAGCTACTTGGGAGGCTGAGGCTGGAGAAGCACTTGAAGCCCGGAGGTGGAGGTTGCACTGAGCCAAGCATGCCACTTGTACTACAGCCTGGGCTACAAAGTGAGACTCTGTCGAAAAAAAAAAAACACTGCTAAGAGAATAAAAAGATAAGCTACAGACTGGGGGAAAATACTTGCAAATCACCTATCTGACAGAGGACTTCTATCTGGAACACACAAAGAACTATCAAGGCTCAACTATATGAAAATAACCCAATTTAAAAATGCTAAAAAGATGCACAGAGACATTTCTCCAAAGAGGATATACAGATGACAAAGAAACATGTAAAGCAATGCTCAACATTATTAGCCATTAAGAAAATGGAATAGGCCAGGCGTGGTAGCTCACACCTGTAATCCCAGCACTTTGGGAGGCAGAGGCGGGTGGATCATCTGAGGTCAGGAGTTCGAGACCAGCCTGGCCAACATGGTGAAACCCCGTCTCTAGTAAAAATACAAAAATGAGCCAGGCCTGGTGGTGGGTGCCTGTAATCCCAGCTACTCGGGAGGCTGAGGCAGGAGAATCGCTTAAGCCTGGGAGGCAGAGGTTGCAGTGAATGGAGATAGTGCCATTGCACTCCAGCCTGGGCGACAAGAGCGAGACTGTGTCTCAAAAACAAAAACAAAAACAAAACACAAAACTGTGCTGACATACTACTACATACCTATTAGGATGACAAAAATAAAACTACTGACAAAGGATGTGGGGTCATCACAACCCTCATCTGTTGCTGGCGAGAATGCAAAACAGCAATGGTTTGGCAGTTTCTTATAAAGGTAAACATACACTTACCGTGTGACCCAGCCATCCCACTCCTGGGTATTTACCCTAGAGAGATGAAAACTTATGTCCACACATAAACCTGGACACGACATGTTTCTAGCAACTCTATTGACAATTGCCAAAGATTGGAAAACCACCCAAATGTCCTTCTGTGGTTCAGAACAGAAAATAAATATAAATAAATATAAAAGGGAACAGACTTTTGATATGCAAAACAATTGGATTTGGATGAATCGCAAAGAATTAGAATGAGTTAAAGCAGCCAGACTCGAGAGCTCATGACTGTATGACGCCATTCATACGACAATCTCAGAAAGACAGCTGCGGTGACATATGATGCCACTCGTGTGACAATCACAACACGATGAAGACTCCAGTGATGGAGAACAGTTCAATGGTGGCCAGGAAATGGGGAAGAGGGGAGCATGGAGCTACAAAGGGGCAACATGAGGAGGTTTTGAGGTTCTGTGTCCTGGGTGTGGTGATGGGTACACAAATCTGTACAAGCGCTAAAATTCATTTTCAAAACGTCAACTTTCCTCATAATTAAAAAACCAAAAGAAAAAAATATACAAAACAGTAACACTGAACGCAAAATCAAAACCCAAACAACAACCACCACCAAAAAAACAAGCTGCAGGAGAACCACATCTTATGATCTCAGGTTTATAGAAAAATCAATATACTTGTTTCTGTCTGTCTACAGAATGAGGCCCGAGAGGGTGACGGTGAATAAATCCTAATCTTTCTGATTATAGGAGCCCTTTAGTTTCTTTTTTTTTTTTCTGTGCATGGTGACTGATAAGAGCCCTTCACTTTCTAACCTCATACCCTGCTTCTAATTTTTAAAAATAATGTGCATGTATGGATTCTCAGTCAGCATAAATGCTAATAAAGAAAACAAGCTTTAGCCGAGCGTGGTGGCGGGTGCCTATAATCCCGGCTACACGGGAGGCTGAGGCAGGAGAATCGCCTGAACCTGGGAGGCGGAGGTTGCAGTGAGCCGAGATCGTGTCACCACACTCTAGCCTGGGCGACAGAATGAGATTCCGTCTCAAAAAAAAAAGATAAGACAAACTCACATTTCAATGAGTGGCCCAAACTGAATCCTGCTATCTGTTACCACACAGAACGGCTCTCGGGGCTTTGCCAGTTTTAAAATGCTGTGTTTATTTCTATCGTGGAAGAGATAAAACCCTACAGAAGAAGGAAAGAAAAGAGGCCTACCAAGAGGTTGACAGACTCGATGACGTCCAAGAACACCTCATTCTTCCGATACTTGATGCCTTCGGACCGCCAGGACACCGCGTTGGTGACGGTGGCTGGTGGCCGCGGGGCCCCTGTTTCCAGCTTGTGGCCTTCCTGAGTGATGTACCTGTGGGGCCACACGCTCAGAGTGAAGGAGGTGGTACCCGCACCAACGCCACAGCTTCTGGCCTTGACATTTCGGCAGGGTTGGGTGGGGGGTACAGGGCAGGTTCTGACCGACTTGAAAATAGCCCTTGGATTTCAGCAGCTCCAGAAAAGGCAGCCTCTGGTTCACCTGGGGCTGCTTCATACAGAAAAATCTTCACAATTTCCAAAAGCCAATACACTCAAGTTATAGAGGCTGAAGTGCTCATTTTGGGGGACCAAGAAGACCATGTTGGGAAGGAAAACAAGAAGTGGGTGTGAGCTGCTTCCCGTCCCTGCTGAGCACGTGGATGGAACTGACGCCTCGGAGTGTAACCTGGTGACCCCATCCTGCTGAAGGAGCAGGAGGTGCAGCGGTTAGGAACACAGGCTTCTCTGGGAGTCTGCTTGCTTGTCCCCTGTAAAATGGGGAGACGGTATACGGGGAGGCTGTGAATCGAGTGAATGTGAAGTGCTGGGGCCCGGCCCCCAGGAAGCACTTAATTCACATTGCTTCTTATCTGAAGGGCAGGATTCCAAAGAGGGGAGATTTCGATCACAGTCTCATTTTATGACAGTAAAAACAAGGGAGGTGACTCCTTAGTAGCAAGGTACTGAAGGCATCTGTGTGGATGGAGAGTAAAGATGAGGAGCAGGAAAAGCACGGTTATGTGGGGGCGTAGAGGAGGAAACGAATTAAAACCACTAAGAGCAACTTAGTAAAAACCCGAATACTGCTGGAGGTGGGAGGCAGGTGGGGGACAACATGAACACAAATTTGCCCCTTCTGTTTCCACACCTGATGACGTCGATGTCATGACACCGCCCAGGCCTGGCCCCAGGCCCCACCCCTGCCCACTCACTCCTGCAGGATCTTGCTGTCGGTGGTCTGGGGGTAGCCGAAGTCCATGAGCTCGTCCAGCAGCTCGTAGATGATAACAAAGTTGTCCCGGATGCTCTCCTCCTCCAGCTCCTTGAAGTACTCGGAAAACACCTGTGGCGGTTGGGGAGGGAGGGAGGAATGGGAGGCAGATCATTGAGCGGACGGATGAGGAATGAATGAACGCTTGCACACATTCATTTGCCCGCTAAGTCCTACCAACAGCCTACTTCCCAGGCTCGGTGGTGTGCTACAGGGCCCTGGACCCAGGTTATGGGGCAGGACAGCAGTGGCTGGCTGTGGGGTGGGGCCAGGCTGGAGCCACTGCAGATGTCCCGAGGCCTTCAGAAGCTCTGCGTTCCCATTCTCTTCCCTGCCCAGACACCCGCAGACAGGCAGCCCCTCCTGAGCGACTGTAACTGTCATCCCTTTCTGAGTCTGGAGTGACTCAGGCAAGGACCTGATGAGCTGCCATCTTCCCCATTTCAGTGGAAAGCTTGATGCATCTTCCCCATTTCAATGGAAAGCTCAGAAGGTTAAGGAAGGGACGCCAAAGAAGAGGGGCTGTTAGAAGCACTTTTGCAGGCACAAATGCTGAAGGAAGGAGCGTCACTAAAACAGAAAGGCACAGCCCAACCCTTGGGTGAGGACCTTCCCCTTCCCGCATCCCCCATTCTCTGATCTGCTGACCCCTGCGCGCTTCAGGACTGTGATCACCCGGCCTCTGCTTGGAAACCACAGGCAGCACAGCCAGGCCCAGCCCTGCCTGTGACAGCATCACCGGTCCAGTGAAGGCAGCCCTTGGCCTGCACGTGGGGCCTTCCCAGGTGACCCTCGGCTCCTTCCCCAAGCCCTCACCGCCCAGGCTTGCCCCTGTTCCCCAACATTCTGCACAGGCAGCATCAGTGAGGGATGAAAGCTTTCCCAGGCCCAGCACAGGCCTCCTGGGTCCTGTTCCCCACTTTCGTGAGCCCCACAGCCCACCTCGGCCAGGCCCATCCTCTCCGGGAAGCCAGCAGCAGCCTCCTCACTGGCCTCAAGTCCTCCTTCTGCTCAGCAGCCAGAGAGGCTGCTTTAGATCAAACCACGTCTTGTCAGTCTCCTGCTTAAAGCCCTCCACTACCTTTCATCAGAAGTGGAATGAAATCCACACTCCTGTATAATCCGCCCTCTTCCCAGCTGACCTCAGCCTCATACTCTGCCACACGCACGCTGGCCTCCCTAGCTGCACCACACATACACCTGTCCTGGCGCCTTCACCCTGGCTGCTATCTGTGTCTCACTGGCAGCCTGGGCCTGGCGTGTCAGCTCTCTCCAAGGTGGGCGTCAGGCATCTGTGCCTTGAGAGCCCCCTGGGAGATTCTGAGGTGGGCTCAGCTCTGCAGCTCTGCTGGTTATTCCAGCCCCATCCAGCTGGTCACCCCACATCCTTCCAAAGCTCGCTGACCCCTGCTTGTCCCTTCCAGGGTCAGGGCACCCCTGCTCTGAGCCCTACCTTTTCCTGTTCACTTTCCTTTCTTCCCCACGGTAGGGGAGCAACGTGAGCTATAGAATTCCACAGGCGTGGGGAGTTGGGACTCCCCTTTCCCACTTCCTGGGCTTCCAGCCCCAGTGCTCCCTGGGGATGCCACAGCTCTCTGTAGGGTGGCCAGGTATGGGGAGGTCCACAAGCAGAGCCAAGACAACCTCCACCCAAGCCCACGGCCCCTCCGAGCGAGACTCACCTGCACCACCTTATAGAGGAAAGAAAAGACCAGCGACACGCACGCGTTCTTCTTGGATGTGGCAACCACTGCATGGCGGCCACAGTTAAGGAGCATTCAGAGGCTGGGGCTGCTGCCTGGAAGATCCTGGTTCATGGAGGGACCCCCTAACCCTCACAACCCTCAGAGCCTTCCCTATCCCCACTCCCAGCCGTTTACTTGGCCCATGGTGGGCTACAAAGCTCCTGGTCCAAGCTAGACCTGGGACACAGGAGTCACCAGCCAGATGCGCTCCCAGGCCCCAGGGAGCACTCACTGAGATGGAGAATCACAGGGATGGCAGGTGGCACAGGGCACCTGTCCCGGCGGCTGGGTGAAGGGCTGCCTTGAGCAGGGAGGGAGTGAGGCTCATTCCAGGAGCAGAAAGCAGGACACACTGGCCCTGCTCCTCCAAAGCTGACCTCATCATGACCCTGCTGAGGTCCAGGGTCCCCCGGCCAGACTCTGTGGCAAGCAGCCAGGGCCAATTCTGGCTTCAGCCCTTCCTGGCTTTGGAAACACAAGCCTTGGCCCATGAAATAAACCTTTCTAGAGAAACCTTGATATTTCTCTCCTGTGTAATGGAGGCCTGTGAATGAACTCACCAAGGCAATGTAGGTGAGATGTCTGGCACAGATGTTCCCTTCTGCCACAGGAGCCAGCCCCTGCCTCCCAGGGTCAGTGTGTGCTGGGCGCTTCCTATTCCTTTTTCCCTAATGGGTCCCCGGGCCGCCAGAGAAGGCTGGTTCTTCCTCTGTAGGCCCATGCACTGCACCCTGGACATCCCTGTTCATGGCACATCTGTGCTGCCTGGCTCGTCTGCCCAGGAGTGAGCTCTAGGAGGGAGGGTGGGGGCTGTATCCTCTCCCTTCCCGCCTCACCCCAGCACAGCACAGGGGCCCAGGAAAGGGACGCTGGCCCAGTCAAACGAGTGCTGGCCTCCCTCCTGCTGCCTGGCAATGTGCCCTCCCCAGATGCTTTATAAGCAGGGGCAGTGGGGGCCTCTCACCTTCTCATGGGTGCCTCTCAGCCACGGCCTTGCTGAGCACTGTCCCGGCTGGGGGTGAAACGATGTCCACTAAGCCAGAGGGGTGAGCCCTCCCTGTCTCTTCCCTAGATGCCCAGGTGTGAAATGTGGGGGCCCAACCAGAAACTGATCTGATGGCTCCTGCTGAGCTCAGACCACAGCCACCTCTCCCTCTCCCAATACCTGGGCGGCTTCAGAGGACTGTCAGTTCCCTGGGTTAAAAGCCACCTAGGCCGGGCACGGTGGCTCACGACTGTAATCCCAGCATTTTGGGAGGCTGAGGCGGGCGGATCACGAGGTCAGGAGATCGAGACCATCCTGGCTAACATGGTGAAACCCTGTCTCTACTAAAAAAATACAAAAAAATTAGCTGGGCGTGGTGGCGGGCGCCTGTAGTCCCAGCTACTCGGGAGGCTGAGGCAGGAGAATAGCGCGAACCCGGGAGGCGGAGCTTGCAGTGAGCCCAGATGGCGCCACTGCACTCCAGCCTGGGCGACAGAGCGAGACTCTGTCTCAAAAAAAAAAAAAAAGCCACCTAAGATCATCTTCAGAGCTATTCTCAGGGCCTTCCAGAGCCAGGTGAAATCTACACAGAGGCACACCACAGGGAGCCCTGGGCCAGCACGGCCCACATGGGAATGTGCACACCGGCCACCAGGAACAAATCTTCCTACAATGCAGATTCTGACGGGGCAGGGCTGGGTGGAGCCTGGGATTCTGCATTTCCAAAGGGCTCCCAGCGGATATTCTGGCCCGTTGGCCACACTGTACTGGCAAGGCCCCAAGTGTCTCCAAGAACACAGGAAAGGGCACAGAGCCCATGCCTGCTGGGAGCAATATGCACAAGTCAGTTCAACTGACCCGAATGGTCCTGCAGTGAGGGGTCGTTGTTCCCACTGAACTGTGGGAAGGTGAGGGATCCCCCATGGCTGCTGGAGCTGGGGCTCAAACGGGCTGTGAGTGGCAAAGCAGGCCCTTCCGCAGTAGTGTGGGTACTGAGATGGGCTTGCGGGTCTGCCCAAAGCTGTGGGGTGGCCAGTTAGACCTCCTGGATAGAAACTGGCTTGGCCAAGTCTCCCCATGGGCCCAAGGACAGGAAGGGTGGGGGGCTCTGAGATCTGGGCGGGGCTGTACCCCACCACCCCTCCGTGGTCCAGGCCACTTCCCCTCCCACCTGCACGATGGCCCCAGCCTACTCCCCACCTACCCATGTCCTCTCCTGTCCCCACAGTCTTGCCCCACTCAGCAGCCAGAAACCTCCAGAAGACACACATCTAAAAGCCTCCAGAGACTTCCTGTCACATTTCAGATGATGTTCTTTGAGACCCCAGACCCCGCTGACCACTCCAGCCTCGCTGCCCTACACGCCCCCTCTCCAGCCACCCCGAGTGCAGCTGTTGGAATGAGGCTCTTCCCTGCAGAGCCTTCACCCACGCCTAGTGCCTGCCCACCCCTCCAGCTGGCAGAAGCCAGGCCTCCCTGCAGGCTTCCTCCAGGGTGTCATTTCCCTTCCTGGGCCCCTGGGCTGAAGAGGTTCAAGTCACACCTGCTCCTCTCCCCACACCCATCACACATGTCATCGTGCATTGTCTGCCTGTCTCCGCAGGCAGCAGGGAGCTCCAGGAGGGCATGGCTGTGTCCAATGCTTGCGCTGTGCACAAACCAGCCCTGCTTGCAGGCGTGTGGATATGCACACACACCAACACCCACACAGGAGTCCCCTGGGAGCACCCCCAGCAAAGGGATACGATACAGGTTGTTGTGTTTGATCCACATGAAACGGACCCCCCCGTGGGCCAGGATGGGCGACAGCATCCCCTCCTCCTCCTTCTCCATCAGGATGGGCATGAAGTGCTCCACCTCTGACATGTCCACGTCGCCACGGTAGTTCCGGCAGATGAGCACCTGGGGTGGGGAAGGAAGAGAAAAGATGCTTGCATTTTCAGTTCTACAATCTGGGGGCTTGGGGCAGGGGGTGAGATGCACCACCCTGCTTCGCTCTGGGGACTCCGGTCATGGCCACTATCCGCAAAAGAGCAGGACTTGAGGCCGTTCTGATCTCCATCCCCCAGGGAATTCCTGGAGAAGAGCATCTCCCAGTGTGAATGCCCACAGGGGCCACTGCAGTTCTTCGCAGGGTGAGGGTAGAGGCGAACTCTGCAGCAAAGGTCCAGGACTGAATCACCCAGAGACATCAGGTTAAGCAATGCCTCACAAGCTCTCAATGCAGACCTTCTCAGAGCCTTTGCCGGGCCAACGCACCTTGCTCTCCCGCCTGTGTCAGGGCGCCCACTCCCGCTGAAGGTTCGTATTTACTGAAGTCCACAGGTGGCCTGAAGGGAGAAGCCCTCTTCCTGGTCTCTCTCTTTCATAGCCTGTGGGTCAGGATATACAGCATCCAGAACCCCTGTCCACTGCTGATAGGAATGGAAAATGGGACAACTACTTTGGTGTAGTCTGGCAGTTTCTCAAAAAGTGAAACCCAGAGTTACCATACGATCCAGTCATTCCTCTCTCTGGTATTTACCCAAGAGAAATGAAACCACATGTCTGCACAAACACTAGCACGAGAATCTTAACAGCAGCTTTAATTGAAACAGACCCAGACTAGAAACAATGCCAATGTCCTTCAGCAGGTGAACTAGAAACAAACTGTATCCGTGCACACCATGAGAAGCATGCCTCAGCAACGGAAGGGATCGGACTCCCGATACACAGGCGCATCAGAATCACTGTGCTGGCTGAGAGAAACCAGACAAACGAGAGCTCATCCTGCATGACTGCACGTGTATAAAATCCTAGAAAATGGTGATGAAAAACACATCGGTGGGTGCCTAGGGATGGGGCTAGACAGCAAAGGGGTGTGAAGAAGCTTTCGGGGGCGATGGAATGTGTGGTTATGGCTTCCCACATGACTGAGCTCATCAAATTGTACACTTTAGATAAGTGCAGGTTATTAATGTAAATTATACCTCATTAAAGAATAAAAAGGAGGTCGGAAGTTTTGCTAGCCTGGGCATGGCTGCGGTTGGAGATGCTGCCTGGAGCAGCTGCAGCTCTTGGGGCCTGCAGGACAGCCAGCTGCAGGACTCAGCAACATGCTGAGAAGGCCATTGCGGCGCTGACCATCCTGGGAACCACCTGCCTCAGAACTTGGCATTTCATCACACGCTGCCTTTATTCTCTCAAGGCGAGACTGGGGGTGGTGCGGGGTGGCACCTTCCTTTCCTAGTGTCTGCTTCGTGGCCTGTGGAACTGATTGGAGGGAGGCAGGTGATGACGTGTTGAGGGAACAGCCCCTCCCCCTGCTGTCACTCTTGACCCCCCAGGTCCTTCCTCACAAAGGGTGACAGGGCTCTTCCTACACAGAAGCCAGACGGGGTCTCTCCCCCACTGCTGAACTGCCACTTACCCCAGCCTCCCCGGCACTGAGAACAAAGCCCAAGCCCGTCCCCATGGCTCCCAAGGACCAGCGTGGTCTGGCTCCTCACAGCCCCTCTGACGCCTCTCTGCCTGCGCTGCCCTGGTTCACTCTGCTCCAGCCTGGCCCCTTAGCTGGTCTCTGAGTGATCCACATCTGTTCCCACCTCGGGCCTTTGCCCTGACCTGGCTCTTCTCATTTCTCAAGCCTCAGCTCAAATAACACCTCCTCTAGGAAGTCCTCCCAGCTGGGCGCGGTGGCTCACGCCTGTAATCCCAGCACTTTGGGAGGCTGAGGCAGGCGGATCATCTGAAGTCAGGAGTTTGAGACCAGCCTGACCAATATGGTGAAACCCTGTCTCTACTAAAAATACAAAATTAGCCAGGCGTGGTGGTGCATGCCTGTAGTCCCAGCTACTTGGGAGGCTGAGGCAGGAGAATCACTTGAACCTGGGAGGCAGAGGTTGCAGTGAGCCGAGATTGTGCCATTGCACTCCAGCTTGGCTGACAGAACGTAACTCCATCTCAAAAAAAAAAAAAAAAAAAAAAAAAAAAGAAATCCTCCCTGCTTGCTCTGGCTGAGATCATGTCCCATCCCTCTGAACCCTGACCCCTGCTTTATCCCTATCACCTGGTGCATTAAACATTTATTTCTATCCTCCTTTACTGTCTGACATCCCCTGAGAACAGCAACTACTCCTGTCTCATTCACAGCTGTTTTCCAGCACCCAGAAAGGGGCCTGGACCATAGTAGGTGCTCAGTAAACATTTGTGGAGTGAAAACAGGGGTGAGGAGACAAAGGAGGCGAGGATAACGTCCAGGTCTCTTGTGCAGATGGCTGAATGGGTGATGGCATCACTGAAATGGAAAGAGAGCAGGTACAGGGAGTGCATTTAGAAGAATGCTGAATTTATGGTGGCGGCGGGACCTCTCTGGTGTCTCAGAGGCCACTAGATCTCCAGAGAAATGCTGTGAACAAAATTGAGAGTCACTGGCCCATGGACATGAGTCAAAGCCCACCTGGGAAGAGTGACAGCATGGGGAGGCACGCGTAGGCCTGAGCCGCTCCACAGCCCTGGGGAGGGCAGAAAAGGAGGAAAGTAGGCAGTGCAAGAAACAGGAGGAAACCCCCCAGAGCGCAGCCTCCTGGAAGCGGAAGGGAGCACTGAAGAGGAGGTGGTTAGTGGTGTCAGAAGCTGCTGAGAAGCCAGTTAGATAAAGCGGAGAAGCTTCCTACTAGGACAGCTTCCTCCCAGCCCAGTGTGGCCACGCTGGTGTCCTCGGTGACCAGACACGTGGCCATGAATTTCTCAGTGTGCTTTATTGTTGATTAAATGCAGTCGGCTCACGAGGCTGACTTTGGAAACAGGAGGTCCGTGGGTCGTGGAATAAGAAAGGGCATCATGGTTGCAGAGGAAGGGAAGGAAGCCCACGGCTGCCTTGGGGAGCTTTCTGAAAGGCAGGTCTGATCATGCCTCTCTGGGCTACGGTCTCCTCACGGTGGCTCCTGGTTGGAACTGAAGTGGTCCCCTTGGTCCCTCTCTCCCATCTCAGCATTAGCCAGGACTTCTGGCTTGGCAGCCCCAGCAGGCTGCCCCTTGCAACACCTCTTTTCCACATGATCGTGCCTTCCAAACCTACTTCCAGCGTCGCCCTCTTCAGGGAGCCTTTCATAACCACCTCCCCCTTCCACTGGCTAAAGATGAGGTTGAGCAACTGCAGGACTTGGGACCTTGTTCCTGCCCCTGTGGCTGCCTGGATCCAACTGTGTGGTAATGTCTCTGCTTCTAGGTGACTCCCCTGCTAGACCGAGAGGCCTGGGAGAGCTAACATGGACCATGGGTGGTGCTGAGCCTGTCTCATGCATCTGCTCAGCAAATCTGCACAATAACTCCATAAAAGCCTCTTTTGACCAGTGAGGAAAGTGAGGCTCAGACAGGAGAAGGTGCCTGTCCCAGGTCACACAGCTGAGCAGCAGGGATGGGTTTTGAGCTCACCCCTAACACCACAGCCATGGCGCCAATGGACACCCTATGCCCGGCATAGGGCAGGGTGCATGCTAGGTGCTCATGAAATGTTTGCTGAAGGAATAAGCAAGCCAAGACAGGCAGCCCACTGGCACCTCTGGGGAGGCAGTGGCCAGGGTGGAAGCAAGACTCATTCCACCAGGACTCATTCCACCGCACCACCCAGCCCCTGGCGTGCTCTAAGACGGGTGTCTTCCCTCCTTCCAAGAAGGCGGGGGAGGGAAGCCCAGCACTGGGTCTCACCAGTTGTTGACTTTGGGTGGCTTCCAGAGCAGGCACCCACTCAAGGGACTTCAGGAAAGTGCTGGGGGTGGGGTGGGGCGGGAAGGGGCAGCCATTTCACCTCTTCACTCTCAGCTGCTTTAGGGCTCACCCCTGCCCGCCTCACCTAGGACCTGACACCCATGTTTGTTTCTCTCACTGATCAATGTTGGGCTTCACATTGTTGGACCGGTTCTTGTTGCTTCCACATGCAACAGGCCAGGCAGCCACCTGCCTTGCACCTGGGATGGACTTAGGAGAAGGCAGAGGACCATTTCTAAAAGGTGGGGACAATCCCTTCTTAAAGTTTTCTCAGATCCTCTGGGGAAGATGCCTGGGTTCTAGTTTATGTCCAGCTCCCTGGTGTCTCTGGTCCATTTGTCACCCCTCCTCAGGGAAACCCTCTCTCATCCTCGGGCTGAGGCTGACTGTCTGTATAACACACTCGCCCCTCAACACCACTGCAATTGACATTTATTTGTGTTTTTGGAGATGGGTATCCATCTCCCCTACCAGCCTGTGAACACCGTAAGAACACAGATTGTTGAGCCCTGGCACATGACTCACACCTGTAATCCCAGCACTTTGGGAGGCTAAGACAGGTGGATCACTCGAGGTCAAGAGTTCGAGACCAGCCTGGTCAACATGGTGAAACCCTGCCTCTACTAAAAATACAAAATTTAGCTCGGCGTAGTGGCAGGTGCCTGTAATCCCAGCTACTTGGGAGGCTGAGGCAGGAAAATTGCTTGAACCCGGGAGGCGGAGGTTGCAGTGAGTGGAGATTGCACCACTACACTCCAGACTGGACGACTGAGCATGACACTATCTCAAAAACAAAACAAAAAAAAAGGGACTGTTTTTTGCTAAACACAAATCGACCCCAGGCTTAGTACCCTGCCCGGCATTAGTAGGTGCTCCCCAGATATCAGCTGAATAAACGAATGATTCTGGATCGGACTCCTAGACTTGCTACTTCTCTGTGACCATTGTGACCTTGGTCAGGTTGCTTCACCTCTCCATGCCTCAGTTTCTCCCTCTATAAAACGGCACTCGTGATCACCACTCACCTCACCTAATCCTTGTAACTCACTATCACAATGAACGTGGAGAAATTCCTACTGAGAGAAAGTGCACGATAAACAGAAGCTGTAACGCCCTGAGAAGGCGGGACTGGCTCGAGAGCACCCAGTCCCCGCCACGCCTCGCCACCCCCGGCCAAGGGTCGCGCAGCCCCTGGACGCCCTGCCTGGCTCCGAGGCCGGCTGCGGCCCCGCTTCTGGGTCCTCCACCGAGGCCCGAGCCCCCGGCCCCGGCGCCGGGGAGCAGAGGGCGGTGCAGTCAGTTACCTGGCAACGCGGTGGCTGCAGCCCACCGCGTTACGTAGCAACAGGGCGGGGATTACCCACTTAAGACCCCCGCCCGGTTACCCAGAAACAGGATGGGGCTCTCAGGTGAGGTCTACCGGCCTCTCTGCCTCACACCAGGATGGGGCTCATAAGCCGGTTACCTAGCAACAGGGTGGGTCCCCGCGGGCGGAGGCCCCTGCCGGTTGCCTGGCAACAGGGAGGGTGGGGAGCCCTCAGTACCTTGCCCTTCAGGTCCAGCACGTAGACGGCGCTGGCGGACATGATGGCTGCAGGAGGCCTCGGCAGCGGCCGAGGGCGGTGGCGGCGGCAGCGACGGTGGGGACTGCTGGGCGTTGAGCAAGGCCGGGCGCCGCCCGCGACAGCTCACCTCCACTTCCGGTTCGGGGAGCCGCGCGGGGACCGTTATGTCCGGTCCGGGAGGTGCTGTCAGGAATGCGCAGGCGCAGGACGGACTGTGCGCAGGCGCATTACGTCGTATGTAACCATGTTTCTTGCTCCCGCCAGAAGCATCCCGGAAGTAAGGCCCGGTGGGGCGGGGCCGACCAAATCAGGGCACCCAGTGGCCGCTGCCAGGCTGAGCTATGGAGCCAGAGCAGCTGGAAACGGCCTCCCGTGGGCCGAGTTAGGCGAGAGAGCCTGGTGGTGAAACCGACCTGGGGCCCAGCCCTATGGAGCTCACAGTCTGGTGGGGAAGTCTATGAAACAAGTGTACAGTCACCAATTGTGATAAGCTCAAAAGAGAGAGGTAAGGTCGTGGTTACTTGGAAAGAGGTCAAACAAACTTTCTGAATGGCAATCAAACCTTATCAACAGTCACCACCTGTCATTGTCAACATTTATCAATGAATGAGTGTGCCTGTTTATTGCCTGGAATGTTATGAAAACCAGCCTCACTGAACCTTGACCCAACATACCGTGTTTCATTTCTGCAAAGTTAGTAATCAGTAATGCAACTGGTGGCCCTTGATTAATCCATTGAGTCATATTTAATTTGCTTTTATGAACTCTTGGGCTTTGGAGAAATGCCTGCATTCTGTTCCAGTTAGCCATCATAGTACCCTGGGGATCCCAACCCTGCAATACCAGAGTGATTTACCCAGGATGCCTGCCTCTCACATCTTTTATTTTCTGTCTTATCTCCGTTTTGGCGTTTGGAAAGATGATTTTTGCAACTCGGTAATTATATAGTGTTTTGCTTAGGAAAGAAATGTGACCGAAACTCTAGAGAAGCAAACTAGAATGTTTGAAGACTGCTAAGTGACTCCTGGGCTGGAAGGATTCTTGCTCAAGGCACAGAGCAAGCAGCCAAGAGAGGGTTTTTGTTGTTTGCTTTTTTTTTTTTTTTTTTTTTTGAGATGGAGTCTCACTCTGTCACCCAGGCTGGAGTGCAATGGCATGATCTCGGCTCACTGCAACCTCTGCCTCCTGGGTTCAAGTGATTCTCTTGTGTGTCAGCCTCTCAAGTGGCTGGGATTACAGGCATGTGCCACCACACCTAGCTAATTTTTGTATTTTTAGTAGAGACGTGGTTTCACCATGTTGGCCAGGCTTGTCTCAAACTCCTGACCTCACGTGATCCACCCACCTCGGCCTCCCAAAGTGCTGGGATTACAAGGGTTAAGTTAAATATTAAAAGATAAGAGAGCCAGTGCCCTTATACAAAGGCTGGGATGTAACAAAAGCCCACCCAGAGTTGTGCCTAGGCCTTTCCTGGGCCTTGAAGCATGACAAGATAATGAAGGAATTCTTAACAGGACCCTTTTAGGATTAAACAAGCTTTATTGGCGGTCTGAAGAAACTCCTCAGGCCTCCACAAACAAGTTTATTGGGGTTTGAAGGAACTCCCCCAAACCTCCATGATTTAGCAGGAGATAAGATAAGGGTAATCACCCCAGCACCTGGACCCACTTAGATTAAGTAAATTTACTGAGGCTCCAGAGGAAGGTCTTCAGGACTCAGATCTTAGTTATGGGTTAAAAGACTATAACTTACTTACGTCTTTAGATGAATGCACACCTACACGTAGACATATAGCTTAGAAGGTATATGAGCTCTGGAAGACTTTGTAATTTTGGGTTGGTCTGGTGATATTTTCCAGGCCTTCTCCCTGTAACCAGTTACAGAAATAAAAACTCTCTTCCTCCCTAGTTCATCTGTGTCTCATTATTGGGCTGTGAGATATAGAAGCCCAACCCTCAGTTTGGTCTGGGAATAGGTTAGGAGTGGGGGTCTCAAAAGCCCCCCCAATACAACACACACAATAAGAACCACTGAGGCCTGAAAGCCATGTATAGAGATTTTGTTTTAATTGGTCTGGGCCAGGGTTTGGTTATTGGGATTTTTCTTTTTTTTAATTTTTTTTTTGAGACAGAGTCTCACTCTGTCACCAGGCTGGCATGCAGTGACACGATCTCGGCTCACTGCAACCTCTGCCTTCCAGGTTCAAGTGATTCTCCTGCCTCAGCCTCCCAAGTAGCTGGAACTATAGGTGCCTGCCACCATGCCCAGCTAATTTTTGTATTTTTAGTAGAGACGGGGTTTCACCATGTTGGCTAGGATGGTCTTGATCTCTTGACCTTGTGATCCGCCCGCCCCACCTCCCAAAGTGCTGGGATTACAGGTGTGAGTCACCGCGCCTGGCCTTCTTTTCCTTTCTTTTTTTTTTTTTTTGAGGCACGGTCTTATCCTGTCACCAGGCTGGAGTGCACTGGTGCAATCTCGGCTCACTGCAACCTTCACCTCCTTGGCTCAGCTGGGACTACAGATGCACACCATCAAGGCCAGCTAATTCTGGTTTTTTGTTTTTTTTTTTGAAACAGGGTCTCGCTCTGTCACCCAGGCCGGAGTGCAGTGGTGCAATCTCAGCAGCTCATTGCAACTTCTGCCTCCTGGGTTCAAGCGATCCTCCAACCTTAGCCTCCTGAGTAGCTGGGACTACAGATGTGTGCCACCAGGCCCAGATCAGTTTTTGTATTTTTAGTAAAGATGGGGTTTCACTATGTTGGCCAGGCTTAATTTTGCGATTTTTGTACAGATGGGGTTTCCCCATGTTGCCCAGGCTGGTCTCAAACACCTCGGCTCAAGTGATCTGCTCGCCTTGGCCTCCCAAAGTGCTGGGATTAAAGGCATGAGCCACTGCGCCCAGCCTGGTTATTGGGATTTTTTTCCAAGCTCCCCAGATGATGCTAATAGGAAACAAAATTTGAGAAACCCTGGTGTATCATAATAGGTATGATCTTTCTTTCTTTTTTTATTTTATCTTTTTGAGACTGAGTCTCAAATAAAAAAAAAAAAAAAGTTGCTTGGTTCTATGGCTCATGCCTGTAATCCCAGCACTTTGGGAGACAGAGACAGGAGGATCACTTGAGCCCAGGAGTTTCAGACTAGCCTGGGGAACATGATGAAACCCCATCTCTACAAAAAATACAAAAATTAGCTGAGTGTGGTGGCACACACTTGTAGTCCCAGCTACTTGGGAGGCTGAAACAGAAGAATCACTTGAACCTGGGAGGTTGACAAGGCTGCAGTGAGCTATAGTGGCATCACTGTACTCCAGCCTGGGCAACAGAGTAAGATCTCTAAAACATTACAATAAATGGGGCAAAATATGAGACTAGGTCCAACAGGGTTTGTTACATATCGCGTCTATTTCTGTTAACTCTTGGTGAACAGACCCTGATGTTCTTCCTGAGCAGTGGGAAGTCACAGCTGTGGCCGGGCTTGGTGGCTGACACCCACAATCCCAACACTTTGGGAGGCCGAGGCAGGAGGATCACTTGAGGTTGAGGCCAGTAGTTTGAGACCTGGGCAACATAGGGAGACCCTATCTCTACAAAGAGATAAATAAATCAGCTGGGTATGGTGATGTACACTTGTGATCCCAGCTACTCAGGAGGTCGAGGTGGGAGGATCACTTCAGCCTGGGAGGTCAAAGCTGCAGTGAGCCGTGATCACACCACTGCACTCCAGCCTGGGCAAGAGAATGAGACCCCATCTCAAAATAATAATAATGGTAATAATAATAGTCCTGACATCTCATCGGATTCCTTCTAGAGCTTAATCACTGGGCAATTAGTATCAAAAGCCTCTCTTGGCTGGGCATGGTGGTTCACGCCTGTAATCGCAGCACTTTGGGAGGCCGAGGCAGGTGGATCACCTGAGGTCAGGAGAGTTTGAGACCAGCCTGGCCAACATACCGAAACCCTGTCTCTACTAGAAATACAAAAATTAGCCGGGCACGGTGGTGCATGCCTGGAATCCCAGCTACTCCAGAGGCTGAGAGGCAGGAGAATTGCTTGAACCCGGGAGGCAGAGTTGCAGTGAGCCGAGATCGCACCAATGCACTCCAGCCTGGGCAATGAGCGAAATGCCATCTCCAAAAAAAAAAAAAAAATTAACCACTTAGTCAGTACTTAAACAGTCATTATGAAGGCCGGAGGCCTGCATTAGTGAGACCTGGCCTGCCACAACACTCCCTACACACAATAAGAATCTCTGTTCTCCAGGCTCGCTTTGAACTCCTGGGCTCAGGCAACCCTCCAGCCTCAGCCTCCTGAGCAGCTGGGATTACATTTGCATACGTCGCACTGTGCCTGGCACCAGAACTTGGCGGTTTTTAATGCTCCCCAGGTGATTCTAATGTAAATTTGAGGACAGCGGTGGTGGACTGTAAGGGTATTGGATCCCAGTAAACCACACCTCCTAGTGTTCATGCCCTTGTGGAGTTCCCTGCCAGACTCCGGGTTTGGCTAGGTGGCTTGTTTTGGCCGCTGAAATAGGCTATGTAGGCCGGGCGTGGTGGCTGATGTCTGTAATCCCAGCACTTTGGGAGGCTGAGGCAGGCGACTCACTTGAGGTCAGGAGTTCGAGAGCAGCCTGGCCAACATGGTAAAACCCTGTCTTTACTAACATACAAAAATTAGCCGGGCGTGGTGGTGGGTGCCTGCAATTCCAGCTACTCAGGAGGCTGAGGCAGGAGAGTCACTTGAACCAGGGAGGCGGAGGTTGCAGTGAGCTGAGATCGCACCACTGCACTCCAGCCTGAGCGACACAGCGAGACTCTGTCTCAAAATAAATAAATAAATATAATAATAATAATAACAACAATAATAAAGAAATAGGCTTTGTGGAGGGAGATCCTGGAGGGTGAGATGCCACCCTGGACTTTCTGGCCCCGGGAAAGCCAACACAACTAAATGAGTGAACTGAACCACACTCCATGGAACAGAATCCTCCAGCCTAGCACAGTCAAGCCAGAGTTGTGATAATAAATAAAGTTTTGGCCGGGTGTGGTGGCTCACACCTATAATCCTAGCACTTTGGGAGGCTGAGGCAGGTGGATCAAGAGGTCAAGAGATCGAAACCATCCCGGCCAAAACGGTGAAACCCTGTTGCTACTAAAAATACAAAAATTAGCTGGGCGTGGTGGCACGCACCTATAATCCCAGCTACTTGGGAGGCTGAGGCAGGAGAATTGCTTGAACCCGGGAGGTGGAGGTTGCAGGGAGCCGAGATCGCGTCATTGCACTGCAGCCTGGGCAACAGAGCAAGACTCCATCTCAAAAAAATAAAATAAAATAAAATAAAATAAAATAAAAATACATTTTTGTTGTTTTAAGCCACTGCCTTTTGGAGCCGTTTGTTATGCAGGGAAAGAGCTGAAATAACTACCTTTCCACTATACTAATAAAGGGTTTCCACAGTAGTACATAATGCAGACTCCTGCTGCTAGCTTGTGGAAGGAAAAGGTCTGAAACTGTCTTTCCACCAGGCCATGGGAGAATCACTGGCAAAAGCCACTGCTAATGAGAGTGTGTGTCATCTCTCTTAGGTGTGAACCATAGGCGGGAACAGATGTGCCATCGAAATTTTTCCACCTGAGTTGCCGTTTTCCAGTATGAATATTTTTCTGTGCCACAAATCCAAAAGACATTTTGGTGACAAACAGCCTATAAGAGGACACTCAGCACTTTGGGAGGCTGAGGCGGCAGATCACTTGAGGTCAGGAGTTCGAGATCAGCCTGGCCAATATGGAAAAATCCCGTTTCTAACTAAAAATACAAAAATTAGCCAGGCGTAGTCGCGGTTGCCTGTAGTCCCAGCTACTTGGGAGGCTGAGGCAGGAGAATCACTTGAACCTGGGAAGTGGAGGTTGCAGTGAGCCAAGATTATGCCACTGCACTCCAGCCTGGGCAAGAGAGTGAAACTCTGTCTGGGAAAAAAAAAAAGAAGACACTCAGACTTACAATAACTGACTTTTGCTTTATTGTGTAATTTACACAGGACAACCCCAAATTCCACACTTCGTTTTTCTCTTCTGCCTTCATTATTCTTTCAATATCTACGTCAACAGAAATCGTTTCTCCCAATAACATATGTGGTTTGATCCTCAGCCAGGACGCACAGGCCCTACAAGATCCCAGCCCTCCAACACGGACACCTGGACCCTCCCATTTGACTGCAGCCTTGTCTGTTTGTACCGGGGCTCTGCCCTGGTCCTGTCACCCCTGAGACGTCCGTAAGGTAGGAATGCCAAACAGGATCTGTGTGATGTGTCAACTCTGAGTAAATACAAGAGGCTGCTAGGAGCCCCCAGCTGAGGATTGAGAGGCAGGCTGTGTCTGGTTCCATTTCAAAGAATGCTGTGATGCATTAGCAGCGTCTGCTATGGCAACACCCATTAGAAGCACCTGGAAGGGGGGTTTTGGGAAACGGGCTCAGAAAGGAGCAAGGTGTGTCCGTTCCATTCTTGCCTTAGGTGGCTGTTCCGTTACCCAGGCTATGCTGTCTCAGTGGCCAGGTGGCTGAGGAGGAAGTCTGAAGGCCGCATAGTTGCAAGTGGCTTCCCTAGGGCCTGCAGGGGACAGCATAGGCCCAAAGCTAGAGGAAGCTTGGAAGGGCGCCCACGCTGGGTCCTGCGGGGCTCTGCATACTGCAGGCCACCATGGCGCTAGCTCCTTACCCTCTGGAGTCTGTCTCATCCAGGAGAAGACAGCTGGCTGGCCTCAGAGCGTTACATGCAACTCGGGTGAAAACATTTTTACATGACACAGACACACAATGGGCTTTACCTCTGGATAAACTTAGAAACTTTCCATCCAAACGAAAAGGGTGTATCTTCTGTATGTTGCCAAGAAGCCTAAACTGAGTACAAGGAC
Organism: Homo sapiens; assembly: GCF_000001405.40. NCBI lineage: Eukaryota > Metazoa > Chordata > Mammalia > Primates > Hominidae > Homo > Homo sapiens. The sequence continues at coordinate 16,191,130 of NC_000019.10, read as the reverse complement.
GATCTTACTTTAATCAAGTTCCAGAATGAGGGTACACAGCTTCGAAAAGCAGTCTGTAGCAGAAGATGCAAGGGTGTGTGTAGCCATGTTTCCAGAATATACCAAAGGAAACACACACAACCCCAGTGTGGCCTTTTGCGAACCCTCGATGCTGCTCCATACTGGGGGCAGGCGGCTACTTCGTCCAGCTGACTTTGGGAATGTCGTAATGCTCCGTGAGTGTGTCCAGGTGTCTGTTGAAGTCCTGGGGAGGTGGAGTAGAAGGCCGGTGTCAGCGCAGACCCAAGTGGGGTACTGGGGAGAAGTGGCACTGCCCAGCCCCACCTCTCCCACATCCTATCTCTCCTGAGCCCCCTCCTCTCAAACTCACCCTGCCAGGTCTTACAGACTCCTGAACCCTGGGCTCCCCTTTGAATAACCCTGGGGAAGTGTCACTTCTATTAGGTAAACTTCCCTTCTCGTCAACATGCCAACAGCTCCCTCTGCCAGCTGATAGCCTCTGGGCCCAGCTGGGACCCTGAATGGCTCAGTCTCCCCCACTGGACACGGCGACTCACCTCCACTCTCTGCTTGTGGGTTTTGGATGCCTTCTTTAGGATCCTTTCCATTTGCTGGAGAGAGAAGAGACATGGAGGTGAGTTTACAGGCTCAACACAGCCCAGGCTGGCATGGGGTGGAAGATGGAGCCTGGCCAGACTGGCTCTCACATTTAGAACAGCTGGAGGTTTCAGGCTCTGTGCCTTGTCCCCCTCCCTCAACTCCACCCAGGCTGGTCCAACAGGGAACCCAGGTCACTTGCCAGCTTCGTGAGTGGCAGGAAATGAACCAGCAATGCCTGAGCGCGTACCCATGAGCAGACTCTGCTGGGAGCTGTCGGCATGCTTCCTGCATCCTGAGGAGGCTGTTAGCACTCCCAGTTTGGAGGAAAACAAAGTCCCAGAGCGGGTTTCAGGAATGATGAGAAAGAGAGAGGTAAAGGGTCTGACATAGAGCAGGTGCTCAAGTGACACTTCCCATCCTGATGTTAGGGCTACAAGACCAGGATCACCATCCCCAGGGTTATTCTGAAATATGCCTCCTGCACCATGACCTGCTCTGATCCTCACTTCAAACACTCAATGACACCTGGAAAGGTCAGTATCTGGTAGCAGCTGGGAGTGTGGGCTGGGCGCGGTGGCTCATGCCTGTAATCCCAGCACTTTGGGAGGCTAAGGCAGGAGGATAGCTTGAGCCCAGGAGTTCAAGACTAGCCTGGGCAACATAAGGAGACCCCAACTCTACAAGAAAATCAGCTGATTTTGGTGGTGCACACCTGTGGTCCCAGCTACTCAAGAGGCTGGGGTGAGAGGACTGCTTGACCCAGGAGGTTGAGGCTGCAGTGAGCTATGATCACACCAATGCACTCCAGCCTGGGTGACAGAGAGAGAGACCCTGTCAAAAAAAAAAAAAAAAAAAAAAAAAAGAGTTGGAGTGTGGGATATAAAGCCAGACAGATCTGAGGCCACACCTGGCTCCACACTTCCTGGCTGGGTGACTGTGGCCCACTCTTTGGTGGCCCCTATAACTGTGCTGCCTATGATTCATCCCTTGTGCAGTCCCCATGCCACACTGACTCTGACCTGGCCGTGGACTCAGTTAACTCGAAGGAACACAGTACCAGTTCTGGGTCCATGCATAAGACCTGGCAGCATTAGCTTTGTGCCCTTGGAAGCCAGTTGCTGTGCAGGAAGTCTGATGGCCCTGCTGGAAAGAAAGGACCTGGAAGATGAGATGACATGAAGGAAGAGGCCACGAAAGAAGCACTGAGAGGTGGGGCATGGCGGCTCATGTCTGTAATCTCAGCACTTTGGGAGGCCAAGGTGGGAGGATCACTTGAGGCCAGGAGTTTGAGACCAGCCTGGCCAACATGGTGAAACCCCGTCTCTACTAAAAATACAAAAATTAGCCAGGTGTGGTGGCATGCGCCTGTAGTCCCGGCTACTTGGGAGGCTGAGGCAGGAGAATAGCTTGAACCCGGGAGGTGGAGGTTACAGTGAGCTGAGATCTTGCCATTGCACTCCAGCCTGGGCAACAGAACGAGACTGTCTCAAAAAAAAAAAAAAAAAAAAAAAGAAGCACTGAGGCACCAGCTATATGGCGACAAAGCCATCTTAGATGCTGCAGCCCAGCTGCACCTTCAGAGACTCCAGGCCCAGCTGCCATCTGACCACACCAGACTCCAAGTGAGGTCAGACCCTGCTAAGCCCAGTCAACCCAGAGCATCATGAGATATTATTGGTAGGGGCCACCTGGCTGCTCCTCTCTGTCCCCCCCTTCTCCTTCATTCCCTCACCTCCTGTGTCCAGTCAGCCCTCACCTGGCTGATTCTCCCTCTAAGGCGAGTGCCCTGCCCATCTCTGTCCCTCTTCCTGCTGCTGTGAGCCCAGCCAAAGCCTGTGTCTCCCTGTGAGAAGCCACACTGACTTGTCCAGCTGCCACACAATGCCAGGCACCTGGCTGGGCTCTGCCCACAGGCGTGACACCCAGCTACTATTTTAGTTTTTGAAGAGACAGGGTATCGCTATGTTGCCCAGGCTAGTCCTGAACTCCTGGGCTCAACTGATCTTCCCACATCGGCCTCCCAAAATGTTGGGATTACAGGCATGAGCCACTGTGCCTGGCTGACTCCACTTGGATTTCTACTGGGGCACTGCATTTACCTTCTTTAAAACTATAGCTTTGGTTCCCCCTCCCTCAACTCCCACTCCAGAAAACCTGCTTTACCTGCAATCCTTCCCACCCCAGTAAACAGCACCTTCATTCATCAAACTGCCCAGCCCAAAGTCTTGGTCATCCTTGACTCTTCTTTCTTTCCCAGCTTACATCCAACCCAACAGCTAACCCTGAATTCATCCTTGAAAACCTATTCCAAACCTGTTACCTTCCACTGGCTCCATCACGACTGCTCTACTCTGAGCTCCCATTATTAGTCTCTTAATAGCTGCCTAAGTCTCGCATAAGTCTCATTCTGGCTTCCAGCAATAAAATCTCAGCCCTGCCTCTGACTACAACCTCAGGGTTAGAAGGGAAAGAAATGCATTTACTTGGCCAGGCATGGTGGTTCACGCCTGTAATCCCAGCACTTTGGGAGGCTGAGGCGGGTGAATCACTTGAGGTCAGGAGAGCGAGACCAGCCTGGCCAACATGGTGAAACCCCGTCTCTACTAAAAATACAAAAATTAGCTGGGCATGGTGGTGGGCGCCTGTAGTCCCAGCTACTCAGGAGGCTAAGGCAGGAGAATCGCTTGAACCCAGGAGGCAGAGGTTGCAGTGAGCTGAGATCATACCAATGCACTCCAGCCTGGACAACAGAGCGAGGCTTTTTCAAAAAATTAAAAAAAGGCCGGGCGTGGTGGCTCACGCCTGTAATCCCAGCAATTTGGGAGGCTGAAGCAGGCGGATCACCTGAGGTCAGGGGTTCAAGAACAGCCTGGCTAACGTGGTGGAACTCCATCTCTACTAAAAATACAAAAAAATTAGATGGGCGTCGTGGCAGGCGCCTGTAATCCCAGCTACTCAGGAGGCTGAGGCAGGAGAATCGCTTGAACCCCGGAGGCGGAGGTTGCAGTGAGCCGAGATCGAGCCACTGCATTCCAGCCTCGGTGACAGAGCCAGACTGAGTCTCACTGAGACGGAGTCTCACTCTGTTGCCAGCCTGGAGTGCAGTGACGTGATCTCGGCTCGCTGCAACCTCTGCCTCCCGGGTACTGGTTCAAGCAATCCTCCTGCCTCAGCCTCCCAAGTAGCTGGGATTACAGGTGTGTGCCACCATGCCCGGCTAATTTTTGTATTTTTAGTAGAGACAGGGTTTCACCATGTTGGCCAGGCTGGTCTTGAACTCCTGACTTCGTGATCCGCCCGCCTGACTTGTTAAATCCTTACCACAACCCTGTGAGGCAGACTTTAGTGCTACTTTAAGTAATAGGTAGCCGGCTTGCCCAGGGTCACACCACTAATTTGTGGTAGAGGCAGAGTCAAACTCAGGTCTGTCATGCCAGAGGTAGTGCATCCATGTGTTTTCTGTATGCCTGAATTAGATCTGGGAGTAAGGAGTTAATTGTCCCCAAGGTCCATTTTCCCCAGTGTCACCGTACAGAATCACCTAGACCAGGGTTAGGGTTTCTCAGCCTCAGTGCTACTGACATTTGGAGCCGGATCACTCTTTGCTGCGGCAGGCTGTCCTGTGTATCGCAGGGTGTGTGGTGTCATCCCTGGCCTCTAGCCACTAGTTGCCAGTAGTCCCCACCCCAACCCAGTTGAGAACCAAAAATGTTTCCAGACATTGCCACATGTGCTTCGGGGTGGGAGTTTAGGGGGGTGGAGACTACCCCCAGGTGAGAATCACTGACCTACACTGATTATTCCCTCTCCCCAGCATAATGGACCCAGTTTCTGTCTTACTGTGAACTCTTCTGTTCTCCACTGCACACATTTATGGTGTTAAGAAAAAATAATTTATCGGAGCCTTATAATACAATACAAACAAAGTCGTCATGGGCATGGCCATTCAATATCAACAGCTGAGACTGGGTGCGGTGGCTCACGCCTGTAATCCCAGCACTTTGGGAAGCTGAGGCGGGCGGATCACTTGAGATCAGAAGTTCGAGATCAGCCTGGCCAACATGGTGAAACCGCATCTCTACGAAAAATACCAAAATTAGCCAGGTGTGGTGGCGGGCGCCTGCAATCCCAGCTACTCGGGAGGCTGAGGCAGGAGAATTGCTTGAACCCCGGAGGCAGAGGCTGCAGTGCTCTGACCCCGCCAAAAATAACTAATTTTTTAAAAAATACAGCATGTTTGAATCTGCCAAACAAAGTTGTCTTGGAAACAAACTTTGTGGTGACTTCGAGCGGCGAGCATGGCCATTTAATATCAAGAGCTGGCATCCACTGAACATGTATGCACTGCTTTTTACTTTCATGACTTCCTCTCAAGTTCCCAACCCTCTTAGAATAAGTTACTACCCTGACTCGTACAGAAGAGGAAACTTGAGGCACGGAAATAAGAAAGTCACTGGCCTAGTGTCGCAGGGCAAATAAGCCACAGCACTGGAATCCAAACCCGGGTCTCCAGCTCTGGCCTCCTTTCAACGCCAGTTCTAGCTCTCCCCTCTGCTGCCCACTCGGGCCAGCGGGGTCTTCTCATCCTTGGAGCTCCCCCGGCAGAGGGCGACTCTTCTCTCACTCACGTACAGCATCCTCTCCCCGTAATTAAGGTCTCCTCTGACCGCTCCCCTGCCCTCGGAGCGTCCCAGCCCTGACCCCAATTTCCAGTCTCCCGGCGCCGGGTGTTCCCGCCTCCCCGCCGCCTTCTGCTTCTGCTCACCCGCTTCTCCTGCATTTTCTCGAAGGCCGCCTGGGCCGGGGTCCGCTTGTCCAGGCCGCGCCGCTTCTCCTCCTCGTTCTTTTTGCTCGTTCCCATTGCTTCCAGGAGTTTCGCTTTGTCTTTGTCCTTCTTTTTCTTCTTCCTGGAAAAAGACATGAGGAGGCGGCGGGTCGGAGGATCAGGGCCAGGGGTCCCGAGAAAAGGTCTAAGGGGGATGAAGACGGAATCCCGCGGGCCCTCGGGCCTCACCGCTTGGTCACTCCCAGCTCTGCGACGCCTTTCAGCTTCAGGGGTCCCTTTTGGACCTGCTCGTAGGCCTCCATGACACTCTCCAGTGCTTCGGTAGCTGGAGTGCCACACTTCCTGTTTGCAAACACTATTTCCGCCCGAATGGCCGCCTCGCTTCTCTTTGATTGGCTGAGCTACAAGGTGAGCATGCGCTCTTGGTTCTGGACCCGGGCCACACTTCCGGGTAGTGGGCGGGACAGAGAGCCAAGCGAATGAGTGCCCTTCGATTCCTATCTGCTGCCACACTTCCGAATTTGGCGCCCACTTCCGGTCTCCCATTCTTCACACAGGGTGCTGGAAACCCAACCCCTTTTTGAGCGTTTTGCGCACTTTTGGGTGACCTGTTCTCTCTCCTTGATTTTTTTTTCTTTTTTAGAGACACGATCTTGGTCTGTCACCTAGGCTGGAGTGGAGTGGCGCGATCGTGGCTCACTGCAGCCTTGAACCCTTGGGCTCAAGAGATCCTCCCGCCTCAGCCTCCCCAGTAGCAGACTGCAGACGGGCGCCACTGAGCGCGGCTAATATTTTCATTTAAATTTTTTTGTCGAGATGGGGTCTCGCTGTGTTGTCCAGGCTGGTCTCGAACTCGTGGGTTCAAGTGATCCTCCTGCTTCGGCCTTCCAAAGCGCAGGGATCACAGGCCTGAGCCACGCCCCACCACCCCCGTTCTCTTTTATTGCCATATTTTGAGCGTTCACTGGATAGCTGAACCTAATTTTGTAAACCTAATCAGTATTCATTAATTTTTCAGCTTTAGGTAAATGACAATATCATGTGACAAGGTTGGTGGTATGTTAAAACAATTAAAAATCTATTTTATGCCGGGCGCGGTGGCTCACGCCTGTAATCCCAGCACTTTGGGAAAACGAGGTGGGCGGATCACGAGGTCAGGAGATGGAGACCATTCTGGCTAACACGGTGAAACCCCGTCTCTACTAAAAATACAAAAAATTACCTGGGCGTGGTGGCGGGCGCCTGTAGTCTCAGCTACTCGGGAGGCTGAGGCAGGAGAATCGCTTGAACCCGGGAGGCGGAGGTTGCAGTGAGCTGAAATCACACCACTGCACTCCAGCCTGGGCGACAGAGAGAGACTCCATCTCAAAAAAAAAGTACATATATATTTAAATCAGCACTTTGGGAGACCAAGGTAGGCGGTTCACGTGAGGTCAGGTGTTGGAAACCAGCGTGGCCAACATGGCGAAACCCTGTATCTACTAAAACAAAACAAAACAAAACACAAAAAGCAAAAATTAGCTGGGCATAGTAGCCTGCGCTTGTAGTCTCAGCTACTTGGTAGGCTGAGGCAGGAGAAGCGCTTGAACCCGGGAGTCGGAGGTTGCAGTGAGCCAAAATCGCACCACTGCACTCCAGCCTGGTCAACAGACAAAGACTCCGTCTCAAAAAAAAAAAAAAAAAAAAAAAATCAATAGAGATAGGGTATTGCTGTGTTGTCCAGGTTGGTCTCAAACTCCTGTCCTCAAGCAGTCCTCCTGAAGCATTAGAATTACAGGCGTGAGCCACCACCCCTGGCCCTTTCTTTCTTTCTTTTCATCCTTTCAGTACTGTGCGGTTTTCTTACATACGATGTGTACATGCATATATCTTTTTTTTTTTTTTTGAGACAGAGTCTCGCTCTGTTGCCCAGGCTGGAATGCAGTGGCACGATTTTGGCTCACTGCAACTTCCACCTCCCAGGTTCAAGAGATTCTCCTGCTTCAGCCTCCTGAGTAGCTGGGATTACAGGCGCCCACCACCATGCCCCGCTAATTTTTGTATTTTTAGTAGAGATAGGGTTTTGCCATGTTGTCCAGGCTGGTTTCGAACTCCTGAACTCAGGTGATCCGCCTGCCTCAGCCTCCCAAAGTGCTGGGATTACAGGCGTGAGCCACCGTGCCCGGCCCTTGAATATATCTTTTTAATGTCAGCAGAGGACTATCGGAATTTTTGGTTTCTTCTCTATTTCCCTCTGTATCAAAAACCTAGTAAAAAAAAAAACTATTATGGGAAAAATTTAAAAAGGCTGTGCCTACCAAGTATCTGTGAAGATGTGTTGAAACTGGAACTCAAACGTGCTGCTGTTGTGAATGTAAAATGGCATAAACAGTTTAGAAATCAGTCTGACAGTTCTTTAAAAGATTAAGCATTCACTTATACTATGACAAAAGAATTAGATTCCTACGTTTTAACCCAAGTGAAATGAAAGTATAGACCCATATAAAATTGTGTAAATGAATGTTCACTGCAGATTTATTTGTAATAGCCAACAAATTAGAAACAGCCCTAATACTGCCCTAGATAAATGAATGAACACAATCCGTGCCCACAAATCTTGGCTGACTTTTGCAACCAATGGAATTACTAGGTCCAAGGTTATGCACGTTTGCACGTTTTATTTCTCATAGATTTTGTCCAAATTGTGCCAGGGTGGCTTTTTTTTTTTAATTGCTGGCGGGGGGTGGGGTAGTGGGGAGAAGGCAAAGGAGGTGGAGAAGAGAGAAGCAAACGTCCCCAAATCTACCGGACACAAGAAAAAGGAGGGCACAGGGGCTGCCTTTCTCAGTCTTACCTGCAGGGGGCAGCAAGTCACTGCCTAATTATCCGTCCACACCTGGAAAAGACTGTGCAGAGGGGCTTCTGGTACCAGGGGATGGGGGCTGCCAGCACTTTTGTGTCAAAAGCAAGGCGATCTTTTTGCCGGGCGCGGTGGCTCACACCTGTAATCCCAGCACTTTGGGAGGCCGAGGCGGGCGGCTCACGAGGTCAGGAGATGGAGACCATCTTGGCCAACATGGTGAAACCCCGTCTCTACTAAAAATAAAAAAAATTAGCCGGGCGTGGTGGCGCGAGCCTGTAATCCCAGCTGCTCAGGAGGCTTGAGGCGGAGAATCACTTGAACCCGGGAGGCGGAGGTTGCAGTGAGCGGAGATCGTGCCACTGCACTCCGCCCTGGCGACAGAGCAAGACTCCGTCTCAAAAAAAAAAAAAAAAAAAAAAAAGAAAAGAAAAAAATTAGCCGGATGTGGCGGGGCACACCTGCGGTCTCAGCTCCTCGGGAGGCTAAGGCAGGAGGATCACTTGAGCCTGGGTGTAGGTGTTCGAGGGTGCAGTGATTTAGGATCTTGATTGATGCACTCTAGCTTGGGCACTAGAGCAAGACCCTATCTCAAAAAAAAAAAAAAAAAAAAAAAGGAAAAGAAAATGATTATGTTGAGTCTTGAATACAAATTAAAAAAAAACTACAAAAAAAGAAAAAGAAATAGTAACGTGCCAATGTTAAATTCTTAGTAGTGCTAAATATGCTGTGGTTGTGTAAGATGTTAACATTAGAGCCGGGCTCAGTGGCTCACACCTGTAATCCCAGCACTTTGGGAGCCGAGGCGGGTGGATCATTTGAAGTCAGGAGTTTGAGACTAGCCTGGCCAACATGATGAAACTGCGCCTCTACTGAAAATACAAAAATTAGCCAGGCGTAGTGACGCACACCTGTAGCCCCAGCTACTGGGTAGGCTGAGGCAGGAGAATCGCTTGAACCCAGGAGGCAGAGGTTGCAGTGAGCCGAGATTTTGCCATTTGCTATTTCACTCCAGCGTGGGTGACACGGTGAGACTACATCTCAAAAATAAATAAATAAATAAATAACAAAAAAAAAAAACCATTAGAGGAAGCAGGTCAAAAGGGTTATGGGAGCTGTCTGTATCATCCTTGCACTTAAATTAAATTAGTTAATTTGTTTATTGAAATGGAGTCTCACTCTGTCACCCAGGCTGGAGTGCAGTGGCACGATCTTGGCTCACTGCAACCTCGACCTCCCAGGTTCAGGCAATTCTCCTGCCTCAGCCCCTGCAGTAGGTGGGATTACACACATGTGCCACCACATCCGGCTATTTTTTTTTTTTTTTTTTGAGACAGAGTCTTGCTCTGTCATCCAGGCCGGAGTGCAGCAGCGCGATCTCGCTTACTACAACCTCTGCCTCCCAGGTTCAAGCGATTCTCCTGCCTCAGCCTCCCGAGTAGCTGGGACTACAGGCACATACCACCACGTATGGCTAATTTTTTGTATTTTTAGTAGAAATGGGGTTTCTCCATGTTGGCCAGGCTGGTCTCGAACTCCTGACCTCAAGTGATCTGCCTGCCTTTGCCTCCCAAAGTTCAGGGATTACAGGTGTGAGCCACTGCGCCCAGCCCATCCTTGCAATTTTAATGTAAATTTAAAATTATTTCAAAACTAAAAGTTTATTAGGAAAAGAAAGAGGCTGGGCATGGTGGCTCATGCCTGTAATCCCAGCACCTTGGGATGCTGAGGCGGGTGGTTCCCCTGAGGTCAGGAGTTCAAGAACAGCTTGGCCAACATGGCGAAACTCTGTGTCTACTGAAAATACAAAAATTAGCCAGGCGTGGTGGCAGGCGCCTGTAATCCCAGCTACTCGGGAGGCTGAGGCAGGAGAATCACCTGAACTTGGGAGGCGGAAGTTGCAGTGAGCCGAGGTCACACTACTGTACTCTAGCCTGAGTGACAGAGCAAGACTGCAAGACTCCATCTCCAAAAAAAAAAAAAGGGAAAAGAAAGAATCTGTAAAGGAATTAAGTGAGGGTGGGGCTTGACTTTCTAGCCAGCTTTGCAATAATGTCAGGCTTGCTGAGTGAGCTCCCACTTCAGGAATGTAGCTAAGCGCATGGGATTCCACACCCCCATTCCTCACATCCTAGGGGATTTTCTTCCTAGCCTCTGCCTCCATTCTGTGAGTTTTGAAGCGGATGCTTTTAATGGGTGTGCATGTATAGGCAATGAGAATGCTCCAACAGTACTTTCGAGATGCATCTTGATTTTGGAGGTATTAAAATGTGAAACAAAATGTGTTTAAATGGAGGGGAAGTAATTTTTTTAATTAAACTTTTAATTTGAAATAATTGAAGGCTCACATGCAGTTTTAAGAAATAAACAGAGGCGAGGCATGGTGGTTCACGTCTGTAATCCCAGCACTTTGGGAGTCTGAAGCGGGCAGATCCCTTGAGCCAAGGAGTTCAACACCAGCCTGGGCAACATGGTGAAACCCTGTCTCCTCCCAAAATACAAAAGTTAGCTGGGTTTGGTGGCAGGTGCTTGTAGTCCTAGCTACTCAAGAGGCTGAGGCAGGAGGATTGCTTCAGCCAGGGAGTTTGGGGCTGCAGTGAGCTATGATGGCACCACTGCACTCGAGCCTAGGCGACAGAGTGAGACCCTGTCTTTAAAAAAAAAAATTCCTCTTGTTGCTCTTTTGTAGCCATACACACTTATCCCCTCACCTCCATTCCTGCACAGCTGGCAAACAGGGATCTGTTCTCTATTTCTCTGATGTTGTCATTCATTTTAAGAATGTGATATAGCCAGGCACGGTGGCTCACGCCTGTAATCCCAGAACTTTGGGAGGCCGAGGTGGGTGGAACACGAGGTTAGGAGATCGAGACCATCTTGGCTAACACGCTGAAACCCCGTCTCTACTAAGAAAAATACAAAAAAATTAGCCGGGCGTGGTGGCGGGCACCTGTAGTCCCAGCTACTCGGGAGGCTGAGGAAAGAGAATGGCGTGAACCTGGAAGGCGGAGCTTGCAGTGAGCGGAGATCACGCCACTGCACTCCAGCCTGGGCGACAGAGCGAGACTCCGTCTCAAAAAAAAAAAAAGAATGTGATATAAATGGAATCATACAATATGTAACCTGCTAGGATTGGTTTGTTTTCCACTCAGCATAATGCCCTAGAAGTTCATCCAAGTCGTAATATTTACCTTTTCTATTCTCCAGTAATTTTCTATGGTATGGACGTATCCATTTGCTTAAACATTCACATGTGGGTTGTTTCCAGTTTGGGGTTATTAAGATAAAACATCTGTTACAGATTTTTATGTGAACATAAGTTTCCATTCCTTTGAAATTGCCCAAAAGTGTAATTACGGTAGCTGCATATTTAAACTACATTAACAAAAAATTGTGATAAAGGCTGGGTGTGGTGGCTCATGCCTGTAATCCCAACACTTTGGGAAGCGGAACAAAAAAATAATGGTAAAGTCTGGGCGAGGTGGCTCACACCTGTAATCCCAGCACTTTGGGAAGCCGAGGCGGGTGGATCACCTGAGGTCAGGAGTTCAAGACCAGCCTGATCAACATGGTGAAACCCCGTCTCTACTAAAAATATAAAAATTAGCCGAGTGTGGTGGCGGGCGCCTGTAATCTCAGCTACTCAGGAGGCTGAGGCGGGAGAATCACTTGAACCCGGTAGGTGGAGGTTGCAATGAGCTGAGATCACGCTATTGCACTCCAGCCTGGGCGACAAGAGCGAAACTTCATCTCAAAAAACAAACAAAAAACCCCCTAAGACATTGTGGTAAGAACACAATGTGTGATTTGCCTTCTTCTTCTTCCTCTTCTGTTTTTAGAGACAGGGTCTGTTGCCCAGGTTGGAGTACAGTGGCACAATCATGACTCACTGCAGCCTCAACCTCCTGGGCTCAAGCAATACTCCCACCTCAGCCTCCCAATAGCTGGTACCATAGAGCATGCCACCACATCTGTCTAGATTTTGTATTTTTTGTAAAGACAAAGTTTCATCATGTTTCCCAGGCTGGTCTTGAACTCCTGAGATCAAGTGATCCACCCGCCTTGGCTTCCCAAAGTGCTAGGAATACAGGTGTGAGCTGCTGTGCCCGGCTGATAGTTTTAATTTTTTTTGAACCTTCATACTGTTTTCCATAGCAGCTACACCATTTTGCATTCCCACCAACTATGTAAGTGTTCCAATTTCTCCACACCCCTGACAACACTTGTTGTCTTTTGTTGTTGTTGTTGTTGTTTTGGTTTGGTTTGGTTTTTTTGAGACGGAGTCTCACTCTGTCACCCAGGCTGGAGTGCCGTGGCGCGATCTCAGCTCACCATAACCTCCGCCTCCTGGGTTCAAGTGATTCTCCTGCTTCAGCCTCCAGAGTAGCTAGGATTACAGGCATGTGCCACTACGCCTGGCTCGTTTATATATTTTTAGTAGAGACAGGGTTTCTCCGTGTTGGCCAGGTTGGTCTCGAACTCCTGACCTCAGGTGATCCACCCACCTTGGCCTCCCAAAATGCTGGGATTACAGGTGTGAGCCACCTCGCCTGGCCAAAATTAATTTTTCTATGTCAGGCTGGGTGTAAATTTTCTATGCCAGGCTGACTCACACCTGGCCTGGTGTGCAATCCAAACACTTTGGGAGGCTGAGGCAAGAGGATCACTTGAGCCCAAAAGTTTGAGAACAGCTTGAGCAACATATTGAGACCTCATCTCTACAAAAAATACAAAAAATGCAGATCACGAGGTCAGGAGATCGAGACCATCCTGGCTAACACGGTGAAACCCCATCTCTGCTAAAAATATAAAAAATTAGCCGGGTGTGGTGGTGGGCGCCTGTAGTCCTAGCTACTCGGGAGGCTGAGGCAGGAGAATGGTGGGAACCTGGGAGGCGGAGCTTGCAGTGAGCAGAGATTGCGCCACTGCACTCCAGCCTGGGCGACAGAGCGAGACTCTGTCTCAAGAAATAAATAAATAAATAAATAAATAAATTAATTAATTAATTAATTAAAATATAAAAGTAAATAAAAAACTGAAAATAGTAACTGCTGGAGAAGATGTGAAATAACTAGAACCTACAAACACTGATGGTGAGAAAGCAAACTAGTGCAGCCTCTTTAGGAAGAAGTTTGGCAAGTTTCTTATATACTGAATATGAGCCATTAATCCTACCCCTCGATATTTACCCAAGTGGAATAAAAAAAAAATACAAAAAATTAGCGAGTGCGGTGGCACCTGCCTGTGGTCCCAGCTACTTAGGAGGGTGAGGTGGGAGGATCAGTTGAGCTCAGAAGGTAGAGACGAGTCTGAACGACATGGTGAGATCCCATCTCTACAAAAATTTAAAAAATTAGCCAGGTGTGGTGGTGTGCACATTTCATGTAAATAGAATCACACTATATGGGACTGTTCATCTCTAGCTTCTTTCACTCAACATAATGTTTTTGTTTTCTTCTTTTCTCTTTTTTGCAAAAGTTACCTTGATCAGCATAATGTTTTTATTTGGGTTGTCTTTCTAGTTTTGAGATGTAAGAGTTCTTAGTTTTTATCGTGGGTTTTGTTTTTTGGTTTTTTTCGAGATAGAGTCTCGCTCTTGTTGCCCAGGCTGGAGTGCAGTGGCACGATCTCAGCTCACTGCAACCTCCCCCTCCCAGGTTCAAGCGATTTTCCTGTCTCAGCCTCCCGAGTAGCTGGGATTACAGGCGCCCACCACCACACCTGGCTAATTTTTTGTATTTTTAGTAGAGACAGGGTTTCACTATGTTGGCCAGGCTGGTCTCTAACTCCTGACCTCAGGTGATCCACCCACCTCATTCTCCCAAAGTGCTGGGATTACAGGCGTGCGCCCGGCCCTGAGAGTTCTTTATATATTCTGAATAGTAGTTCCTTATGAGATATATGATTCACAAATACAGTTAGCCCTTCATATCCAGTTTCCTTATCCATGGATTCAATAAACCACGGAGTGAAAATACCTGGAACCAATAAAATAAAAATAATACAACAATAAAAAGAATACAAATAAAAATGTGTAACAATTATTTATGTAGCATTTATATTTCATTAGATATTATACATAATTTAGAGATAATTTAAAGTCTATGGAGGGCCGGGCATGGTGGCCCATGTAATCCCAGCATTTTGAGAGGCCAAGGTGGGCCGGATCACTTGAGGTCAGGAGTTTGTGACCAGCCTGGCCAACATGGCAAAACCCCGTCTCTACTAAAAATATAAAAATTAGCTGGACACAGTGGTGTGCACCTGTAATCCCAGCTACTAGGGAGGCTGAGGCAGGAGAATTGCTTGAACCTAGGAGGCAGAGGTTGCAGTGGGCTGAGATTACGCCACTGCACTCCAGCCTGGGTGACAGAGCCAGACTCCAACTCGAAAAAGTAAAATAAAAATAAATAAATAAATAAATAAAGTGTATGGAAGATGTGCACAGGCTATATGCAAATATTATGCCATTTTATATAAATGACTTGAGCACTGAGCATTTGTCCCATTCTGTGGGCATGACAGGTTTTTGTGTGAACCTAGTTTAAATTTTTTTTTTACACTATACTTTATTTTTTTAGAGCAGTCTTAGTTTCACAGCAAAATTGATCAGAAGGTACAGAGATTTCCCGTACACCTGCTGCTTTCATACTTGTATAGCTTCCCCTACAATCAACATCCTCCACATGCAAGTGCATGACAGTAGCTAGTCTGTTACAATTGATGAACTGACACTGATACATCATTATCACCCACAGTGGTTAGTGGATAGTTTACATTAGGGGTCACTCTCAGTTGAACATAGGTTTTTATTTCCCTTGGGTAAACACCCAGGAGTCTTTTTTTTTTTTTTTTTTTGAGACAGGATCTCACTCTGTCTCCCAGGCTGGAGTGCAGTACAGTGGAGTGATCATAGCTCACTTCATCCTCGACCTCCCTACCTCAAGCAAACCTCCCAAGTAGCTGGATACCACCAAACCTGGCTAATTTTTGTATTTTTGTAGAGATGGGGCTTCACCATGTTGCCTAGGCTGGTCTCCAACTCCTGGGCTAAAGTGGTCCTCTTGCCTTGGCCTCCCAAAGTGCTGGGATTACAGGCATGAGCCACCATACCAGGCCCTGAATCTTGTGGTAAGGTTAAGTTTAATTCTATTTAAAAAAAACCCAGCCAACCTATTTTCCAGAGTGTCTATACCATTTTGCATCAACACCAGCAATGTATGAGCATTCCAGTTGCTCCATACCCTCACCAACACTTGATATTGTTTATTTTTTGAAAGTTATTCTTGGATGGCTGGGCATGGTGGTTCATGCCTGTAATCCCAGCACTTTGGGAGGCTAAGGTGGGTAGATCACTTGAGGCCAGGTGTTCAAGACCAGCCTGGGCAACATAGACAGACCCTGTCTCCACAAAAAATACAAAAAAAAAAAAATTAGCCGGATGTGGCAGCATGTGCCTCTAGTGCCAGCTACCTGGGAGGCTGAGGAAGGAGGGTCGCTGCAGTGAGCCATGATTGTATCACTGCTCTCCAGCCTGGGTGACAGAGTGAGACCCTGTCTCAAAAAAAAAAAAAAGTCATCCTTGAGGCATCTTTCAAGCCTGATCAGGGTCACATTTTACAAGATGACTGCACAGATTTGGCAGAGGATGCTTGATGAGGCCGAGGCAGGAAAGCCTGCTGGGAAACATTGCAATAGTCCAGGCCAGGTAGAGAAAACACAGGTGAGACCCAAAGTGAGAAGGGCATGGAGGGCCAGGCTAAGAAATTTAGACTCTCAGATTCTCCACCCAAGAGGATTCTGGGCCTTAATAAAGTTGGTAGCTGCTACATTAGATCTGCCCTTTGGGCCGGGCGAGGTGGCTCACACATGTAATTCCAGCACTTTGGGAGGCCGAGGCGGGTGGATCACCTGAGGTCAGGAGTTCGAGACCAGCCTGGCCAACATAGTGAAACTCTGTCTCTACTAAAAATACAAAACTTAGCCAGGCGTGGTGGTGGGCGCCTGTAATAATCCCAGCTACTCGGGAGGCTGAGGCAGGAGAATGGCCTGAACTCGGGAGGTGGAGCTTGCAGTGAGCCGAGATCACGCCACTGCACCCTAGACTGGGTGACAGAGCGAGACTCCGTCTCAAAAAAAAAAAATACAAAAAAAATTAGCTTGGCATGGTGGACACCTGTGGTCCCAGCTACCTGGGATGCTGAGGCAGGAGAATCACTTGAACCTGGGAGGCAGAGATTGCAGTGAACCGAGATCACACCACTGCACTCCAGCCTGGGCAACAGAGTGAGACTGTCTCAAAAAAATAAAATGTAATAAAATAATAATGTCAATGCACACCCCAGAACTTCATCTAGCTTGTTCACCATTATGTTCCCAATGCAGTGATGCAATCATGGCTCACTGCAGCCTCAAACTCCTGGGCTCAAGCAATCCTCCCACCTCAGCCTCCTGAGTAGCTGGGACCACAGGCATGCACCACCACATCCAGCTAATTTTTGTATTTTTAGTAGAGATAGGGCCTTGCCATGCTGCCCAAGCTGATCTTGAACTCCTGGCCTCAAGTGAATCTCATGCTTTGTCCTCCTAAAGTGCTGGGATTACAGGTATGAGCCACCTCGCCCAGCCAAAACCTTTTTTTTTTTTTTGGAGATGGAGTCTTACTCTGTCACCCAGTCTGGAGTGCAATGGCGGGATCTCGGCTCACTGCAACCTCCACCTCCTGGGTTCAAGCAATTCTCCTGCCTCAGTCTCTGGAGTAGCTGGGATTACAGGCATGTGTCACAATGCCAAGCTAATTTTTGTATTTTTAGTAGAGATGGGGTTTTGCCGTGTTGGCCAGGCTGGTCTTGAACTCCTGACCTCAGGTGATCCGCCTGCCTGGCCCTCCCAAAGTGCTGGGATTACAGGTGTGAGCCACCTTGCCCAGTCAAAACCTTTTTTTTTTTTTTTTAAATCTCAGATCCTGAGAATGACCCTATGAGGTAGGTATAATGTAATTTTCATCTCATGAATGAGGTTCAGAGAAGTCAGGTGACTTGCCCAGGGCCACACAGCTAGTGGGCAGAGAGCTGGGATTTGAGCTGCAGTGTGCCCATAGCCCTTCTGTATACCCTGCCTGTCTCTTGAGTGTGCCCCATAACCCCAGCCTCACCTTGTGGTGGCAGATGTGGCCTCCCCACTGAGGTCTTCTCTGTGACATCCCACAGCCCTTATCCTTACCCATGGACACATTCAGGCTGTTGTCCAGAGAGCCTGGCTGTAATTTGAGTCTCATCAAGCAGGGGGTGATGGCGTAGGTGGGTGGGTGACAGCCAGGGCAGGGAGATTTGCCCAGACACTGGTACACAACAGCCTGGCAACCCGTGTGGCCCCGAGGAAGCTGGGAGCCTTTGGGGTGCATCCCCAAGTCTGGGCTGTGGTTCACACCATGGGCAACAAGCAGACAGTCTTCACACACGAGCAGCTGGAAGCGTATCAGGTAGAGGGGGGCAGGATGGGTCCTCAGTGGGTTTGACAACTTTGGTTCCGTGGTCTGGGAAATGGGAACAGAATGCCTTCATCTGGGTGTACCGTCCGCCTGGGTTCCTGGTTCTGCTCTGTGTGTGGCAGCATCAGGCCATCTGTGTGAGTGTGGGGTGGAGGGAGGAGGCCGTGGGAGGAGGCCCCAGAGGCAGGGTTCGGGTTAAGACAACACCTCTCTCCACAGGACTGCACATTTTTCACAAGGAAGGAGATCATGAGGTCAGTCCAGGGAGGAAGGGAGAGAAGATCTGGAAAAACAACTTTCTATTCATTGCTGGAGGATATTTGCAATTTGGTGTGTGTGTGTGTGTGTGTGTGTGTGTGTGTGTGTGTGTGTGTAAGTAGTCTTTCTTTCTTTCTTTCTCTTTTCTCTCTCTCTCTCCCTCCCTCCCTCCCTTCCTTCCTTCCTTCCTTCTTTTCTTTTTTTTTGAGACAGGGTCTGTCTCTATTGCCTGGGCTGGAGTGCAGTGGTGCAATCATGGCTCATTGCAGGCTCGATCTCCCAAGGTCAGGTGATCCTCCCACCTCAGCCTCTCGAGTAGCTAGGACCACTGGTGCGAGCCACCACATGTACCTCATTTTTGTATTTTTTTATAGAGATGGGGCTCTCACTATGTTGCCCAGGCTGGTCTTAAACCCTTGGGCTCAAGCGATCCCCCTGCCTCAGCCTCCCAAAGTGCTGGGATTACAGGTGTGAGCCACCATGCCCAACTGGTATTTCCAATTTGTTGGGACTCAAATGGGGAAGGGGGGCAGGTGTGGTCAGTGGACAGAGGCAGAGATGGAGAAGCTGACAAGTCACATCTTGTCATACTGTCCCAGTCTCTAGGCTGATGAGCTTGGGCTTTCTCCCAAGGGTGGCAGGGAGCTATGGAGCATGCATGAGCAGGGGAGAGACCATCAGCACGTTAGAAAGATTCTCCTGAGGCTGGGCGCGGTGGCTCATGCCTGTAATCCCAGCACTTTGGGAGGACAAGGTGGGTGGATCACCTGAGGTCAGGAGTTTAAGATCAGCCTGGCCAACATGGTGAAACCCCATCTCTGCTAATAATACAAAAATCAGCTGGGCGAGGTGGTGGGTGCCTGTAATCCCAGCTACTCAAGAGGCTGAGGCAGGAGAATTGCTTGAACCTGGGAGGTGGAGGTTGCAGTGAGCCGAGATCACGCCACTGTGCTCCAGCCTGGGTGACAGAGCTAGACTCTGCCTCAGAAAAACAAAATGAAAGATAAAGATTCTCCTGAGACTGGGACTTGAGGCTGGGAGCCCAGGTGCAAAGTCCAGAGCCCAGTCTGGGTTGTGGGCTTGGCATTAAGATGAGGGTGTGAGGAGGTGGCCCAAGGCTGCTGCAGGTCCCTGGCGTGACCCAGCACGATGGGCACAGATGAGTATCCCACATCATCACTCGGCCTGTGGGGCCATTGCCCAGGGGCCCCGACCCATGAACTTGGAGCTATGAAACCCAAGCTGGCCAGGGTTCAGCTGCAGTGTGATCGGGGCCAAGGCCCCAGTTGTGTAGTAACAGGACATCCATTATTGATGGCCACACCTTTTACTAGTGAGCCCCATTGTTTGGGTGAGGACAGCTTGCAGGGTCACCTCGGCCATCACGATCAAATTACTGATGGGGAAACTGAGGCTCAGACAGGGCGGGGCTGATCCCAGGCTGAAGGGTAAATGCACAGAGCCCCAAGGCCCCAAGGACAGACATTTTGTCTGTCCCAAGCTTCTTGCTTATCAGATAGAATAACCAAGGCACAGAGAGGGAGAGGAGAGGAACATGCTCAGAGCCACACAGAAACCTAAACCCAGGGTATTCCCTGATGGGACCCCGACAGGGAACTGAGTGGTCAGGATGAAAGTTCTAGGTCTCCCCACCCCACCTTCATTGAGTTCCTAGTCATCATATGACCTAGGGACTCATGTCTCTCTCAGAGACAGTCCCTAGCAGCTTGGGGACCTCAGACCCACCAAGGATGGTCTCTGCAAGGCTGCTGCTCAGCATGCCCTAATGAAGGTATGGTGTCACAGGTGAGGGCTTCTGAGTGGAGAACTGGCCTTATAATCTGGATAGTGTGTGTGGTATTCAGTTATTTGCAAAATATCTTTTGTCTGCCCTTTAGAAAAAATGTGACTATTAGCTGTTTGTCTCTGCTCTGCCCCATTGAGGAATCCCTCCTTTTTTTTCTTTCTTTCTTCTTTTCTTTCTTTCTTTTTTATTTTTTATTTATTTATTTTTTTTATTGAGACCGAGTCTCATTCTGTTGCCCAGGCTGGAGTGCACTGGCTTGATCTCGGTTCACTGCATGCTGCGCCTCCCGGGTTCACACCATTGTCCTGCCTCAGCCTCCGGAGTAGCTGGGACTACAGGCGCCCACCACCACGCCTGGCTAAATTTTTATATTTTTAGTGGAGACGGGGTTTCACCATGTTAGCCAGGATGGTCTTGATCTCCTGTCCTCGTGATCCACCTGCCTCGGCCTCTCAAAGTGCTGGAATTACAGGCGTGAGCCACCGCGCCCGGCCTCTTTCTTTCTTTTTTCTTTTCTTTTTTTTTTTTGAGACAGAGTCTCGTTCTTGTTGCCCAGGCTGGAGTGCAGTGACACGATCTCAGCTCACTGCAACCTCCAGCTCCCAGGTTCAAGTGATTCTCCTGCCTCGGCCTCCCGAGTAGTTGGGATTACAGGTGCCCGTCACCACGCCCAGCTAATTTTTTGTATTTTCAGTAGAGATGGGGTTTCACCATGTTGGCCAGGCTAGTCTCGAACTCCTGACCTCTGGTGATCCACCCGCCTCGGCCTCCCAAAGTACTGGGATTACAGGCATGAGCCGCTGCATCCGGCCTCTTCCTCCCATTATAAGGAGAGGAAGGGAAGGTATGAAAGTGAAGGTATCTTTGGAGGCAGGGTCTTGCTGATAACATGACAATATCCAGAGATGTGTGGATTATATAGGATTCTCTGAATGCTTGCTGTGATCTGGCCATAAGCACCCTCCCTTCTCCCAACTCCATCTGCTTTAGAAGCTCCTACTCATGCTTCAAAGCCCAGAACCAATGTCCCCTCTTCCAGGAACCCCCTTCTCCTCGCTAGCTTGCTTCCCCCAGTCCAGTCTCCCTTTGTCCTGTGGCCCTCTCTGCACCTTGACCCTGCCCCCAGGGAGGTTAGGGGTGCCTGTGTCAGGCTCTGTATGCTTGAGGTCCAGGCCCAGGGCTGAGTGTTCTTGGGGACCCAGTATACCTCAGTGTGCAGTGAGCAGCTGTGAATGTGAAAGAGAAGGGACTTGGCCAGGTGCGGTGGCTCACGCCTGTAATCCCAACACTTTGGGAGGCTAAGTCAGGTGGATCATCTGAGGTCAGGAGTTTGAGACCAGCCTGACCAACATGAAACCCCGTCGCTACTAAAAATACAAAAGAATTAGCCGGGCGTGGCAGGGTGTGCCTGTAATCCCAGCTACTTGGGAGGCTGAGGCAGGAGAATTGCTTGAACCCGGGAGGCAGAGGTTACAGTGAGCCGAGATTGTGCCACTGCACTCCAGCCTGGGTGACAGACCGAGACTCTGTCTCAAAAAACAAAGAAGGGACAAGCGTCTTGCCTGCTCCCTGCTCCCAGTCTTTCCCAGCTTTTTCCTCCCCACATCAGGCTCTTCTATCGCTACCAGGACCTGGCCCCACAGCTCGTGCCCCTCGACTATACCACCTGCCCCGATGTGAAGGTGCCCTACGAGCTCATTGGCAGCATGCCCGAGCTGAAGGTATGCCCAGGCCATGGGACAAACAGGGTAAAAAATAGTAGAGATGTCTCTCGTTGCATTCCTCTGAGGTCAGTGCTGCAGTTATCCCCATTTTAAAGATAAGAAAACTGAGACTCAGAGAGGTTAAGACACTTGTTCATGGTCACACAGCTACAATGTGACAGAGACAGGGTTAAAACCCAGAGTTGGCTGGTGTGGTGGCTCAAGCCTGTAATCCCAGCACTTTGGGAGGCCGAGGCGGGTGGATCACCTGAGGTCAGGAGTTCGAGACCAGCCTGGCCAACATGGTGAAACCCCGTCTCTACTAAAAATACAAAAATTAGCTGGGCGTGGTAGTGCACACCTGTAATCCCAGCTACTAGGGAGACTGAGGCAGGAGAATTGCTTGAACTCAGGAGGTGGAGGTTGCAGTGAGCAGAGATCTAGCCACAGTACTCCAGCCTGGGCGACAGAGTGAGACTCTGTCTCAAAAAACAAACAAACAAACAAACAACAAACAAAAAACACCCAGAATTGGGAGGATGAAACGAGATAATACAGGCAACAAATTCAGTACAGGGTGTGTTGTGTGTCAAGTACTCAGAGAACGTTAGTTCTTCTTGTAACAGGAGCTGCTAAATGCAGGTTTTTATCAGCAGGATGTTTGACACATGGTTTGTGCCTCCAAGGGGAACTTGTGGGTTGAGTAACTGACTGTGAGTAGGGTTGATTTTATTGCAAGTGACAAAAACCTTATTTGAGAGGGACAGAATGGTTTGGATCAAAATGGATTGCCCCTGAACAACAACAAAAAAATCCAGAGGCAGGGACAGTGTCAGGTACAGCTGGAACCAGGGCCTCTGATGATGTGCTCAGGAATCTCCCCCCATATCTCGGCTCCTCCCAGGAAGAGGTTTCAGTCTAAGGCAGCCTCACCTCTTGAGGCTGTGAAGGGACCTCTCAGCCACTCAGCTTTAGCTTCTGTGAGCTTTGCAAGCAGCAGTAATCAGGTCCCCTCCCTCCCAATTTTTCAGAAAAATATCCCAGGTCAGCCTCTGATTGGCTAGCTTGAGTCACATGCCCATCACAGAGCCAATCACTATTGCCAGGTGAATGGAACTCTCTGATTGGCCTTGCCTGGGTCACATGGCTGCTCCAAGAGCTGGAAGTTGGGGCAAGGTTGCTCAGATCACAGGGGTGGAGGGTGGAGTTGTCCAAAGTCCTGTCCAGGGACCATGGGAGGGAGTGGGTCTTGATGGAGGGTACTTGGAGGTTCCCAGAAGGTGGGTGCTGATAGTGAGACCACATGGACCCCAGAGACCTTGGGGGTCAGAGGATGGCCTCCCAGCTTCCTTTCTGTCCCCAGGACAACCCCTTCCGCCAGAGGATTGCCCAGGTATTCTCTGAGGATGGGGATGGCCACATGACCCTGGACAACTTTTTGGACATGTTTTCCGTGATGAGTGAAATGGCTCCCCGCGACCTCAAGGCTTACTATGCTTTTAAAATTTATGGTGCGTGCGTGGCCCTGGGGTTGGGAAGCATGGGGATGGGGTGGGGAGTGGGAACTGGGTGGGTGGCACCCACATCACAAATATCTCCCCAGGGGTTTTGAGGCCCTATGTGGCCCTGTCCTCCACCCCACTCCAATGCCTCCCCACCTCATTTATTTGCTAACTCTATTCCAGCCACATGGGCCTTGCTGTTCCTCAAACACAGTCTTCGGCCTCTGGGCCTTTGCCTCTGCTGAACCCTCTGCCTAGAACACCTTTCGCCTTGCTCCTTATTTATTTATTGATTTTTATTTTTTATTTTTTTGAGATGGAGTTTCGCTCTTTTTGCCCAGGCTAGAGTGCAGTGGCTCAATCTTGGCTTACTGCAGTCTCCGCCTCCCAGGTTCAAGTGATTCTTCTGCCTCAGCCTTCCGAGTAGCTGGGATTACAGGCAGGTGCCATCACGCCTGGCTAATTTTTGTATTTTTAGTAGAAACGGGGTTTCACCATGTTGGCCAGGCTTGTCTCGAACTCTTGACCTCGGGTGATCCGCCCGCCTCGGCCTCCCAAAGTGCTGGGATTACAGACGTGAGCCACCGCACCCAGCTCCCCTGGCTCCTTCTTACCCTTGAAGTCTAGGTCAAAAGTAGGCCTCTCCCCATTCATCCCCCCATCCCACCATCCTATTTCTCTTCTAGCACCAGGCAATGCTGCTTAATTTCTTGTTCCTTGACCTGTTCACTTCTTATTGACTTTGTCCCTGAGAAGACTCAAAGGTACCAACAGTATCTATTTTGCTCACCACCTGTCATCTGAGCCTGGCTCAGTAAATATTTGTTGAATGACTGAATGAAAGAAAAACAGTTATCTTAGTGCCTGGCACCTTGTGTGCACTCAATAAATACTTGTTTTTTTTGTGTGTGTGTTTTTTTTTTGTGAGACAAAGTCTTGCTCTGTCCCCCAGACTGGAGTGCAGTGACGCGATCTCAGCTCACTGCAACCTCCGTCTTCCGGGTTCAAGCAGTTCTCCTGCCTCAGCCTGCTGAGTAGCTGAGATTGATTACAGGTGCCTGCCACAACGCCTGACTAATTTTTTGTATTTTTAGTAGAGACGGAGTTTCACCATGTTGGCCAGACTGGTCTCGAACTCCTGACCTCAGGTGATCCACCCGCCTCAGCCTCCCAAAGTGCTGGGATTACAGGCATGAACCACCACGCCCAGCCAAATTTTTGTATTTTTAGTAAAGATGGGGTTTCACCATGTTGGCCAGGCTGGTCTTGAACTCCTAACCTCAAGTGATCCACCCACCTCGGCTTCCCAAAGTGGCAGGATTACAGGCATGAGCCACCGTGCCCTGCCACCATAATACTTTTTGAGTGAGTACATGAAAAATAGTTATCATGGTGCCCAACACATAGTAGGTGCTCAATAAATACTTGTTGCATGAATGAATGAATGAAAAAGTTATCAGAGTACCTGGCACACAGTAGACACTAATACTTGTTGAGTGAGTGAATAAAAGAGTTATGGTGCCCAACATGTAGTAGGTGCTCAATAAATACTTCCTGAATGGATGAATGAATGAATGAATAAATGAAAAAGTTATTACAGTGCCTGGTGCACAGTAAGCAGTTAAAAAGTACTTTTTGAGTGAATAGATGAAAAAAGTTATCACAGTGCCCACTACACAGTAGGCACTCAATAAATACTTGTTGAGTGAGTGAATAAATGAAAAACAGATATCATGGTGCTTGATACGTAGTACGTGTTCAAGAAATACTTGAATAAATGAATGAAAGAGCTGTCACAGTGTTTGGCACATAGTAGGCACTCAATAACTATTTTTATTTATTTATTTTTTTACTGAGACAGCGTCTCACTCTTGTCGCCCAGGCTGGAGTGCAATGGCGCGATCTCAGATCACTGCAACTTCCACTCCCTGGGTTCAAGCGATTCTCCTGCCTCAGCCTACCTAGTAGCTGGGATTACAGGCACCCGCACCACGCCCCGCTAATTTTTGTAATTTTAGTAGAGATGGGGTTTCACCATGTTGGCCAGGCTGGCCTGGAACTCCTGACCTTAGGTGATCTACCCATCTCCACCTCCCAAAGTGCTGGGATTACAGGCATGAGCCACTGCGCCGGGCCCATAACTGTTTTTTGAATGAGTAAATGAAAAATTATTATCACAGTGCCAGGACACAGTAGGCACTCAATAAATACTTGTTAAGTGAGTGAATGAATGAAAATTGCACTCAATAAATACTTGTTGAGTGAGTGAGTGAATGAAAATCAGTTACTGTGATGCCTGACACATAGTAGATGCTCAATAAATACTTGTATGAGTGAATAAAAAAGTTATTACAGTGCCTAGCACACAGCAGGCACTCAATGCTTGTAAAAATGAATGAATGAGGTTGGGTGTGGTGGCTTCCACCTGTAATCCTAGCACTTTGGGAGACCGAGGTGGGTGGATCACCTGAGGTCAGGAATTTGAGACCAGCCTGGCCAACATGGGGAATCCCATCTCTACTAAAAACACAAAAATTAGCCGGGCATGGTGGCAGGCACCTGTAATCCCAGCTACTTGGGAGGCTGAGGCAGGAGAATCACTTGAACCCAGGAGGTGGAGGTTGCAGTGAGCCGAGATCGTGCCACTGCACTCCAGCCTGGGCGACAGAGCGAGACTCCGTCTCAAAGAAAAAAAAAAAGAACGAATGAAAAATTCATTGCATAAATACTTGTTGAATGAATGAATGAACTCCCAGCAGGTCCCTGCCCAATTTTAAGGCAAGTTCCAGATTTTACACCAGGGTCTCGGGTGCCCTCCCAGGGCCTCAGTTCCTTTTTTTTTTTTTTTTTTTTGGACGGAGTTTCTGTCTTGCTGCCCAGGCTGGAGTGCAGTGGTGAGATCTTGGCTCACTGCAACCTCCACCTCCCGGGCTCAAGTGATTCTCCTGCCTCAGCCTCCTGAATAGCTGGGATTACAGGTGCATGCCACCACACCTGGGTATTTTTGTATTTTTAGTAGAGATGGGATTTCACCATGTTGGCCAGGCTGGTCTCGAACTCCTGACCTCAGGTGTTCCACCCTCCTCAGCCTCCCAAAGTGTTGGGATTACAGGCGTGAGCCACCGTGCCCGACCTTAGTTTCCCCTTCTTGTAACATGGGCACAGTATGTGCCCACAGCCGGCCTAGCCCTCCTGCCACCTGCTGTCACTCCCCATCCATCCTGCTCTGCAGATTTTAACAACGACGACTACATTTGTGCGTGGGACCTGGAGCAGACGGTGACCAAACTGACGCGGGGGGGGCTGAGTGCCGAGGAGGTGAGCCTGGTATGTGAGAAGGTGCTGGATGAGGCTGATGGAGACCATGATGGGCGGCTGTCCCTGGAAGATTTCCAGAACATGATCCTCCGGGCACCAGACTTCCTCAGGTGATGCTCTCCGTCACCGCCCACAGTCCATTTGCACATCTGAAGGGGCTCTTACGCAGACAGTTCACAGACTCTGTTTCTGAAAATTCCTCTATTCATTCTTTCATGACCTTGGGAAACTTTCTCAATTTCCCTAGTCTCAGTCCCTGCATCTGTAAAATGGGGATAATTAGGGACCCCCTGGGCACCTCTTGCGAGTGGATACACCTCTTTCAGCAAGCAGAATGTGGCTGGACTTCAGCCCTTGTTGCCTGAACAGTTTGCAGTGAACAGACTGTGTAACTGTACTTGGCAGCCTTTGGGGAAAATCAGCCGCCACTGCAGGGCAAAGTACGGCCAATAGGCCAGTCTGACCCAAAGCCTGGTTTTGTACCTCCTGTGAGCTAAGAATGGCTTTTATATTTTCAAAAGATCAAAAAACAATCAAAGAATAATAATATTCCAACCAGGTGGGGTGGTTCATGCCTTTAATCCCAGCACTTTGGGAGGCTAAGTGGGGAGGATCTCTTGACCCCAGGAGCTTGAGACCAAACTGGGGAACATAAGGAGAGTCCATATCTACAAATAAATAAATAAATAAATAGCCAGGTATGGTGGTGCATGCCTGTAGTCCCAGCTACTTGGGAGGCTGAGGCGGGAGGATTGCTTGAGCCCAGGAGGTCAAGGCCGCAGTGAGCTCAGATTGTGCCATGCACTCCAGCCTGGGTCACAGAGTGAGATTCTGTCTCAAAAATAAATAAACACATTAAAAATTTTTTTTTAATTTAAAAAAAGATTATTCCATGACACGTGACAGTGATACGAAATTCACTTTTCTGTGTCCATCAGTAAAGTTGTATTGGCTCACAGCCACACCCATTTGTGTACATTTTGTCTATGGCTGCTTGTGTGCTTCAACAACAGAGTTGCGTCATGGTATAAAGTTGAAAACATCAACTATTTGGCCATTTACAGAAAAAGGTTTGCTGAACCCCAAATTAATATATGGAGAAAATTCAGCACAGCTCCTGGCACACAATAGGTGTTTAATAAATTGCTGTTGCTATTATTATCTTATAATTTTTAAATTTCACTTTATTTTTTATTTTTTGAATTGACAAATAATGATTGTACATATTCATGGGGTACACAGTGATGTTTCTTTTTGTTTGTTTGTTTGTTTTGAGACGGAGTCTTGCTCTGTTGCCCAGGCTGGAGTGCAGTGGTGCAATCTCAGCTCACTGCAACTTCCACCTCCTGGGTTCAAGTGATTCTCCTGCCTCAGCCTCCCGAGTAGCTGGGATTACAGGCACGTGCCACCATGCCCAGCTAATTTTTGTATTTTTAGTAGAGACAGGGTTTTGTCATGTTGGCCAGGCTGGTCTTGAACTCCTGACCTCAAGTGATTCACCTACTGTGGCCTCCCAGACTGCTGGGAGTACAAGCGTGAGCCACCACGCCCAGCCCGTTTGTTTGTTTTGAGACAGGGTCTCACTCAGTGACCCAGACTGCAGTGCATGGTGCAATCGGCTCACTGCAGCCTCTAACTCCTCGGCTCAAGAGATCCTCCCACCTCAGCTTCCTAAGTAGCTGGGACTACGGGGCCGAGCGCAGTGGCTCACACCTGTAATCCCAGCATTTTAGGAGGCTGAGGCAGTAGTCTCTACTAAAAATACAAAAATTAGCCTGGGCATGGTGGGGCACACCTCTAGTCCCAGCTACTCGGGAGGCTGAGGCAGGAGAGTAACTTGAACCCGAACCTGGGAGGTGGAGGTTTGCAGTGAGCCACGATTGCGCCACTGTACTCCAGCTTGAGCGAGACTCTGTCTCAAAAAAAAAAAAAAAAAAAAAAGAAAAGAAAAGAAAAAAGAAATAAAATAAGAATAAACCAAGTAGCTGGGACTACAGGTACGTGCCACTGTGCCTGGCTAATTTTGTTTGTTTTATTTTATTAATTAATTAATTTATTTTATTTTATTTTTTTGAGATGGAGTCTCGCTCTGTCACCCAGGATGGAGTGCAGTGGCACGATCTCGGCTCACAGCAACCTCCACCTCGCAGGTTCAAGCACTTCTCCCTGCCTCAGCCTCCCGAGTATCTGGAATTACAGGCGCCCGCCACCACGCCCGGTTAATTTTTGTATTTTTTTAGTAGAGATAAGGTTTCGCCATGTTGGCCAGGCTGGTCTTGAACTCCTGACCTCAGGTGATCTGTCCATCTTGGCCTCCCAAAGTGCTGGGATTACAGGCGTGAGCCGTCATGCCCGGCCTGTTTTTGTTTTTATCTATAAGCTGAGGCAGTGCTGAAAATGTTGAGACAGGGTCTCACTTTGTTGCCCAGGCTGGAGTGCAGTGGCACAATCATAGCTCACTGCAGCCTCTACCTCCTGGGCTCAAGAGCAATCCTCCCACCTCAGCCTCCTGAGTAGCTGGGAGTACGGGCACACACCACCACGCCTAGCTAACTAAAAACTTTTTTTTTTTTTTTTTTTTTTTGTGGAGACAAGGTCTTGCCTTGTTGCCCAGGCTGTTCTCAAACTCCTGGCCTCAACTGATCCTCCTGCCTTGGCCTCCCAAAGTCCTGAGATTACAGGGGTGAGTCACTGCACCAGGCCACATAATGGTTTCGATACATATAATGTATGATGAGCAGATCAGGGTCATTAGCATATCCATCATCTCAAACATGTATCATTTATTTGTGTTGAGAACATTCAGTATCCTTCTTCTAGCTATTTGAAACTTTATATCATATGGCAGGATGTGGTGATTCATGCCTGTAATCCTAGCACTTTGGGAAGCTAAGGTGGGTGGATCGCTTGAGCACAGGAGTTCCAGACCAGCCTGGGCAACAAAGCAAGTTGAGAAACTCCGTTTCTACTGAAAATAGAAAAATTAACTGGGCGTGGTATCATGCACCTGTAATCCTAGCTACTCGGGAGGCTGAGGCATGAGAATCACTTGAACCCAGGAGGCAGAGGTTGCAGTGAGCCAAGATCACACCACTGCACTACAGCCTGGGAGACAGAGCAAGACCCCATCTCAAAAAAAAAAAAAAAAAAAAAAGAATTAAAAAATTAAAGGCATGTGCTCTCAGCCCCTGTAGGGGTCTCCCGGCCTAGGGTTGTTTGAGGGGTCCATGTGGCATCCTTCCTGCCTGTCCCAGGGACTTGCCGTGAGCGTGTTGAGGGGGAGGAGGAAAAGGGGTTGTCCACTCCTTGAAGGCCTTGACTCCTTTTCTCTCTGCACACAGCACCTTCCACATCCGAATCTGATGGCACCACAGAGGAGCCGAGCTATAGGAGGGCGGGGTGACCCCTCACCCGCTGTGGACTCTGGTTTCTGAGAATAAACACAAGTCACTGAGTCACACCTGCTGGGAGGACACATTTTTCCACCTTAAAACTGGAAGATGGGAGGGAGGCGGCGTAGAATTTTATCTTTGACTTTGCTGTGTGACCCTGAGTGTGGCCACACCCTCTCTGGGCCACGATCTCCCTGTTTGTACAAGGAAGGGGTGACTCCTAGATCGTCTTCACTGTGAAGGCTGGAAATGCCTTGTTGTGGGTGTCCGTGGCGGAGGTGAGGTGGTGGGGAGATCGGGCCCGTGCTGTCCTACCCCAGGGTTCCCACTCTGAAGGCCAAACCTCACCCTTCACTACTCAAGTTTCTTTTTATCCCTCAAACCCTGAGTCATCAAAGGGATTGAAACTTTTCCTCCCGGGCTGACTCATTAGAGCTGCCAAGAGGAGACCACTGATTGGGAGGGGTGGAAATGTCATTCACTGAGGTGGCTGCTGCACTTTACAGTTTATGATGCATCTGCCCCCTAACGTGACACTGACCCCCTATAACATCCCTGCAGAGTTGGCCGAGGATCATGCCCTCATTTGGAGGGAGCAGAGTGACTTGCCTAAGGCCACCCCACAAGTCATTTGCAGGGGCGGGCTTGAACCCAGGTGCACCTCATACCAGATCCCAGATGTCTGAACCTTGTACATTTGGGGAACCCCACACCCCCTCCACCTGGGGTTGCCCCAGGGCCCCCATCTATGCCCCAGTCAGTCCAAGGAGTAGTCACTCCTGCAACCAAGACCAGCCCCTAGGGACCTTCCCAGACACCTCCATTGTACAGTATGTCATGTCTAGAGAGCTCACTCCCATCTTAACCCGCTAATAAATTAAGCAGCTACTGGGCTGGGCACGGTGGCTCAAGCCTGTAACCCCAGCATTTGGGAGGCCAAGGTGGGCAGATTGTCTGAGCCCAAGAATTTGAGACCAGCCTCAGCAACGTGGTGAAACCCTGTCTCTACCAAAAATACAAAAATTAGCTGGGTGTGGTGGTGCATGCCTGTAGTCCCAGCTACTTGGGAGGCTGAGGTGGGAGGATCGCTTGAGCCCAGGAAAGGGAAGTTGTAGTGACCAGAGATCGTGCTACTGCACTCCAGCCTGGGCAATAGAGCGAGACTCTGTCCAAAAAAAAAAAAAAAAAGGAGCCAGGCACAGTGGCTCACGCCTGTAATCCCAACACTTTGGGAGGCTGAGGCGGGTAGATCGCCTGAGCCCAGCAATTCGAGACCAGCCTGGGCAGCATGGTGAAACCCTGTCTCTACCAAAAATACAAAAAGTAACTGGATGTGGTGGTGCATTCCTGTAGTCCCAGCTACTCAGGAGGCTGAGGCAGGAGAATCAATTGAACCAGGAGGCAGAGGTTGCAGTGGACCGAGGTCGAACCACTGCACTCCAGCCTGGGCGACAGACCAAAACTCCTCCGTCTCAAAGAAAAAGAAAAAAAAAGAAAAACACCTACTGTGCACCAAAGTCCCAGGTTTTACATGCATTCTGCCAGTTCATCCTGAAGAGGGACTGCTCTTCTCATTTTCCAGGTAAGAAAGTAGGCCCAGAGATGTCTAGACTTGCCAAAGGTCACACAGCCCCACAACCTAGGATTCCCTCCAGAGCCCTCCACCATCATGGCCCTGTGATGCCTCCTCCGTCCCCAGCCTTTTTTTTTTTTGAGATGGAGTCTTGCTCTGTCACCCAGTCTGGAGTCTTGCTCTGTCACCCAGGCTGGAGTGCAGTGGCTTGGTCTTGGCTCACTGCAACCTCCGCCTCCCAGGTTCAAGCGATTCTCCTGCCTCAGTCTCCTGAGTAGCTGGGATTACAGGCGCAAGCCACCATGCCTGGCTAATTTTTGTAGTTTTTAGTAGAGACGGGGTTTCACCATGTTGGCCAGGCTGGTTTTGAACTCCTGACCTCAGGTGATCCACCTGCCTTGGCCTCCCAAAGTGCTGGGATTAGAGGTGTGAGCCACTGCGTCCGGCCAGCTTTTTCTTTCTTTTTTTTTTTTTTCTTTTCTGAGACAAGGTCTCTCTCTGTTGCTCAGGCTGAAGTGGGGTGATCATGACTCACTGCAGCCTTGAACTCCTGGGGTCAGATGATCCTCCCGTCTCAGCCTCCCAAATAGCTGGGACTACAGGTGTGTGCCACTACACCTGGCTAATTTTTTGAATTTTTGTAGATACGAGGCCTTGCCATGTTGCCCAGGCTGGTCTTGAAATCCTGGGCTTGAGCAATCCTCCCACCTCCCACCCTCCTCAAGTGCTGGGATTACAGGCATGAGCCACCACACACGGCTGCCTCTTCCCTTTTTTTTTTTTGAGACAGACTCTTCACTCTGTCACTCAAGCTGGAGTGCAGTGGTATGATCTTGGCTCACTGCAAGCTCCGCCTCCTGGGTTCACGCCATTCTCCTGCCTCAGCCTCCCGAGTAGCTGGGACTAAAGGTGCCCGCCACCACACCTGGCTAATTTTTTGTATTTTTAGTAGAGACGGGGTTTCACCGTGTTAGCCAGGATGGTCTCAATCTCCTGACCTCATGATCCACCTGCCTCGACCTCCCAAAGTGCTGGGATTACAGGTGTGAGCCACCACGCCCGGCTGCCTCTTCCCTTTTTAAAGGAAAGACGCTCATGTGCTTCTCCTGAAGCCAACACTGATGATGTCCAAGTGCCTACTGCACACCAGGCCCTCAACACAACTCGTCTCCTTCATCTGCATGAAAACCCCAGGAGGAAGGCATGAACAGCCAATGGTGCCGCTGGGGACACACTCGGAGTTGAGCCTGGACGAAGCTCCGGTTGGAGAGAGACCCTGCAGCGTGCTTTTATTTTTTAATTTCATTTTTATTTATTTATTTATTTTTTGAGATGGAGTCTCACTCTGTCATCCAGGCTGGACTGCAGTGATGCGATCTCGGCTCACTGCAACCTCTGCCTCCCGGGTTCAAGCAATTCTCCCGCCTCAGGCTCCCAAGTAGCTGGGATTACAGGCATGCGCCACCACGTCCGGGTAATTTTTGAATTTTTTAGTATAGACGGGGTTTCACCATGTTGGCCAGGCTGGTCTCGAACTCCTGACCTCAAGCGATCTGCCTGCCTCGGCCCCACAGAGTGCTGGGACTACAGGCATGAGCCACTGAGCCCGGCTTGCAGTGTGCTTTTAGACAACAGAACAAACAGATGATATGGGAAAAGGGCTCGGATTCACCTGGCTTCAAATCCTGGTGCTGACACCCATAGCTCTGTGGCCTTGGTCACGCCTCTTATCCTCTCTGAACCTCAGTCTCTTCTTCAAAACATGGAGGATGACCCTCCCTGAGGGCCTTGCTCTGAGGCGTAAAATAATGAATAGAAGGTCTGGCACTGGGGCTGATGTATAGCTGGTGCCCCAAACCATCAGCGTCACTCTGATGATTGTTGCTAAAATAACCAGCTCACCCCATGGGTGAGTGCAGGAACAGACCCCAAAAACATCTTTATTCCATTTCCCGGGTTCCCGAAGACCCCCGGATGCCATGGTGTGGGGCCATGGAAGAAATGTTAAGGCATTCAGGAGTGTGGCAGCCCCTGGCAGCGAGTCCCAGAGCCAGGGTGGACCTGTTCTCTAGCAGTACCCAGGGGCAAAGGGTGGCGGTTGTTGGTACTCCTCCGGGAGCTGGTCGTTCTCAGGCTCTGCCAAGCCCTGGTGCTCTGGCTTGGACTCCTGGGAGGATAGGGCTCTCACTACCATTTGGTGCCAACTCCTGTCCCCTGGGGTCACCTCAATGCAGCTGACCGACCTCTCGGCCTTCCTGGTGGGGACCTTTCTGTCTTTTGGTGCCTGGGGCTGTGAGGGGCTTTTGAGAGATGTGGCCACACAGGGATCCGTGTAGCCTCTGTCCCCCGAGGTGGGATCCCCTGAGTGATCTTGGCTGCCTTTTCCGGTCCCAGGGCCTGAGATCACCGTGGATCTCCGGACATCCAAGAGTGACGACAAGTTCACAGTGGCGAGGTGGCTTTTTAGCTGCTGCCGGACCCTCTGGCCTCTCTCGGGGAGCATTTTGAGGCTCCTCCAGAGTTTCTGGCGGGTCTCTCCAAGAGGGGATTTTGGGGGGCAGGAGGAAGTGGCTTCCTTGGTGGTTATTCTGTTCATCTCTGCTGACGGCTTCCTTTCCTTTGATTGGTGACACAGGACTGGCTTTGGGGAGGCCTGAAAATGAGAGTAGGGGAGGCCTGGGGCAGCTTGCCCACCAGAGCACCATGTCTGTCCCAGAAATTGGAGCCTGGGTTCCACCCAGACACCCTGTGGCTGAGAAACGTCCCCGTGTGAACCCCCAAACCTGATCCCATGCCCCATCTTTCTCGTCTCAGTAAATGGCTTCACTGTCTCCCCCAGGGGTTGGCAAACTTGTTCTTCTTCCTTTTTTTTTTTTTGAGATGGAGTTTCACTCTGTCGCCCAGTCTGGAGTGCAGTGGCACAATCTCGGCTCACTGCAACCTCCACCTCCTGGGTTCAAGCGATTCTCCTGCCTCAGCCTCCCAAGTAGCTAGAACCAAAAGCACACCACCACGCCTGGCTAATTTTTGTATTTTCAGTAGAGACATGGTTTCACCATGTTGGCCCTGGTGGTCTTGAACTCCTTACCTCAGGTGATCCACCCACCTCGGCCTCCCAGAGTGCTGGGATTACAGATGAGAGCCACCGCACCTGGCCTGGCAAACTTCTTTTACAAAGAGTCAGAGAGTAAATATTTCAACTTTGCAGGCTGTACCATCCGTCTCAATTATGTAGCTCTGCTGTTGTAGCGGATGCCAGAGGTCACACGTGAACCAATGAGCGTGCCTGGGTTCTAATATAGCTTTATTGATAAACATGGAAATATGAATTTTATCTGATTTTCACAGGTTACAAAATACTATCTTTACAAAAATGTGGGGCCAGGTGTGATAGCTCATGCCTGTAATCCCAGTGCTTTGGAAGGCTGAGGCAGGAGGATTTTTTGAGGCCAGGAGTTTGAGACCTGCCTGGGCAATGTAGTGAGACCCCATCTCTACAAATCTTTTTTTTTTTTGAGAGGGTCTTGCTTTGTCACCCAGGCTGGAGTGCAGTGGTGCAATCATGGCTCACTGCAGCCTCGACCTCCCAGGCTCAAGCAATCCTCCCACCTCAGCCCCCAGAGTAGCTGACTACAGGCGTGCGCCACCATGCCTGGCTAATTTTTTTATTTTTTGTGGAGACGGGCTTGCTGTGTTGCCCAGGCTGGTCTCAAAGTCCTGGCCTCAAGCAATCCTCTCCTCTCAGCCTCCCAAAGCACTGGGAATACAGGTGTGAGCCACTACGCAGACCAAATATCCATGTTTCTTTCCACACCTGGGCTCTCATTTTTGTCCCTCCCACCTTGACACTGTCCTCCACCCCCACCTCACTTCCTCCTTCTTTCCATCTCCACCAGTGCCCAGGAAAGCCCCTTCTGCAGCCAGTAGCCACAGGAAACATTTAAAACCACCAGTTCCGGCCAGGTGTGGTAGCTCACGCCTATAATCCCAGCACTTTGGGAGGCCGAGGTGAGCGGATCATGAGGTCAGGGGTTTGAGACCAGTCTGGCCAACATGGTGAAACCCCGTCTCTACTAAAAATACAAAAATTAGCACGCACCTGTAGTCCCAGCTACTCAGGAGGCTGAGGCAGGAGAATCGCTTGAACCTGGGAGGCGGAGGTTGCAGCGAGCCTAGACTGTGCCATTCCACTCCAGCTTGGTCGACAAAGCAAGACTCCGTCTCAAAAAAAAAAAAAAAAAAAGTCCTCCCATGCATACACTCTCCTTTGGCTCCTCCCTGGTGCAACTGGACTAGAATCCCAGCTCCTCACCTTGGCTCCAAGGCCCTGCACTATTGGCCCTTCCTGACCCTGGGGCTTCAACTTCTGACAATCTCTCTCTCACTAACCCCAATCCATCTATATGCTGGCTTTTTTTGTTCTGTTTTCCAAACACACCAAGCCCCAGGACTTTTGCAAGTGCCATTCCCGCTGCCTGGAATGTCCTCCCTGTGTCTGTGTGTATGACTGGCTCCTCCTCACCTTGCAGATCTCAGCTATAAGCCACCTCCTCTAGGAAGCCTTCCCTGACTGCCTTCCCCCACTTGCACCCCCCACCTCCACTGATGTCCATCACACCAGCCTGTTTCATTTGTACCACTGTCATAACTTCCCCTGCTGGGCAGGGGGCTTGGAGAGCACTTAGACTTCAACCTAGGGGTGCCTAAAGGTCTCCCAAACCCCAAGATGCTGTGATACATTCATTCATCTACTCCACAGATTCATTAGTTAAGCACCTTCAATATGGCAGGTCCTTTCAGAGGGGTGGGAGAAGCAAAGGCAAACAAGCCAGATGGAGTCTCCAGTCTCTCAGAGCTCACAGTCTGACTGGAAAGGCAGCCAGGGAGCATGTAAACCCATAAGTAAATAGGATTTTGAGGAACACTTTTGGGAAGTCCGCTGCAGTGAATAAACAGGGTAATGTGAAGGAGAATCCAGAAGGTGTTGCTTTAGGTCTGGGGCCTGGGGAAGGAGGCACTTGAAGGAGAAATGAATGAAGACATGGGAAATCTAGGGGCAGGGCACACAGTTTGTGCAAAGGACCTGAGGTGGGGCCGGCACACGCAGAGACCCCGAGGCTAGCTTGGTGTGTCTGAACAACAGACGGTATGGCAGCAGGGCTGGCGCTGGGTAGGTGACAGGCAGAAAGAGGACCTCAGATTGTAGTTTGAATTTTAATCTCGGTGTTGCAAAAGCACTGGAAAGGTTTAAAGCACCAAGCTGTAGGATCGCATTCTCATTCTAGAAGGAGCCTCCTCTGGAAGCTGTTGACCACCTCCACTCCTGCCCCTCAGCCAGGTGGGAGGTGCCAGCCTCCTGTCATATACATACCTCCTCAGGGGCAGACACCGGGCAGGCAGCTTCCTCGGCCACTGCGTTGGAGTAGAGGAAGAGATCCTCGTAATCCACGTTTGCGGGATCCTTCTGCAGGGCGGAAGGGGCCTGTAGCTCAGCACTAGGGAGGGGGAAAGGTCCTGCACGGACCCTGGAAGGCAGGTCTCAGGGACCATCCCTTGAATAGCAGTTTCTTAGTACCTAGGCCACGCCCACTAAGCGTTATAAGAAAATATGCCCCACCCACAGCCATTTCTTAGGGATTGGGACACACCCACTGAGCCTTCTAAAGAAAGATGCCCCGCCCATAGCACGTTCTTGGGAGCTAGGCCACACCCACTGAGCCTTCTAAGGAAAGATGCCCCGCCCACAACAGTTTCTTGGGCGCTAGGTCAGGCCCACTGAGTCCTATAAGGAAAGATGCCCCACCCACAGCAGTTTCTTGGGAGCTAGGCCACACCCACTGAGCCTTCTAAGGAAAGATGCCCCACCTACCACAATTTCTTGGGAGCTAGGCCAGGCACACCAAGCCCTATAAGGAAAGATGCCCTGCCCACAGCAGTTTCTTGGGGACTAGGCAACACCCACTGAGCCTTCTAAGGAAAGATGCCCCGCCCACAGCAGTTTATTGGGAGCTAGGCCACACCCACTGAGCCTTCTAAGGAGAGATAACCCCCCTCAGCAGTTTCTTAGGGGCTAGGCCACGCCCACTGGGCCTTCTAAGGAAACATGCCCTGCCCACAGCAGTTTATTGGGAGCCAGGCCACCCACTGAGCCTTCTAAGGAAAGCGTATTGGGAGCCAGGCCACGCCCACCGAGCTTCTAAGGAAAGATGCTCCACCCACAGCAGTTTATTGGGAGCCAGGCCACACCCACTGAGCCTTCTAAGGAAAGATGCTCCACCCACAGCAGTTTATTGGGAGCCAGGCCACACCCACTGAGCCTTCTAAGGAAAGCGTATTGGGAGCCAGGCCACGCCCACCGAGCCTTCTAAGGAAAGATGTCATTCCTTCAGATGAGCCAAGATTATACCTGGCACATGAACCCTTATAAAAAATCAGCCTGTTGACATGGGCCTGGAGGGCGGAGCCATGGGGAAGCAGGAACCACAACGGAGACCGCTGTGGGGGGCAGAGGGACTACTGGGGTGGGGCCGGAGGGGCCAAGGACCATGAGAGTGACAGAATCAAGAGGAGCTGATGGGGGCGTGGGAAACAAAGGGGTCTGGGGGGCTTGGCCCCAAGGAAATGGCTGTGAACCTTGTGGGTCCCCGCCCTCACCTGCCTGCAGGGCTGTGTCAGCAGCTCCCTGCGCGGCTCAATTGGCTTCTGCTGGTGGAAGGTGACCAGGGCGTCCAGCGAGGTGTGGGCCACCTTCTCCCCGGGGATCATGAAAGTCCCATCATCCAAGAGCTTCACCATGAAATGGCAGCAGCTGCTTTGGGCTCTGCGGAGACACTGCGGGGGCTGGGACATCCTACTCCCCCTCATCCCTGCCCCAAGTCCCCAGCCCTTGGGCCGGCAGCGTCACTGCTACAGCCAGACTACCCCAGGTTCCCATGCAGGCTTCTTCACTCACTGGCCATGCAACACCCAGCAGGTTACTAACCTCGCTGTGCCTCAGTTTCCCCCATTTATAACACAGGAGTACAAAGGCTGGCCTCAGATAAAACATGCCACTACGGACAAAAGCTTCACTCATTGCTTGGCTAGCAGCTCCCGTTCTCAGATCCACAGCCTCAGTTACTGCTGCTTTCTGAGAAGCTATGACATGAAGCACCCCTTGCCCCCTCCAAGGAAACCCAAGAGCCCACCTGCCCCTGCCCTGGATCCCGGCCCAGGCCTTACTTGTAGGAGAGTGTGTAGCCCACATGGCTGTGACTGACCCTGATGAGAAAGGATCCCAGTGGCTGTGACTCCAGCAAGTTCTCAGCATCCCTGGAAGGGCACACACAGAAAGGAAATGAAACAGTCCAGCCGCCCCACGTACCAGTTAGACTCCTGGGGCCATGGGATCATTCATGGAGAAGGCTGGTAGTTTTCATTTTTCTTTTTTCCTTTTTTTTTTTTTTGAGACAGAGTCTCGCTCTGTCCCCCCGGCTGGAGTGCAGTGGCGCGATCTCAACTTACTGCAAGCTCCGCCTCCCGGATTCACGCCATTCTCCTGCCTCAGCCTCCCAAGTAGCTGGGACCACAGGCGCCAGCCACCACGCCCGGCTAATTTTTTGTATATTTTAGTAGAGATGGGGTTTCACTGTGTTAGCCAGGATGGTCTCGATCTCCTGACCTCGTGATCCGCCCACCTCGGCCTCCCAAAGTGCTGGGATTATAGGTGTGAGCCACCGTGCCCGGCCTCTTTTTTCCTTTTTTTTTTTTTTTTTGTTGAGACAGAGTCTCGCTCTGTCTCCCAGGCTGAGTGCAATGGCGTGACCTTGGCTTACTGCAGCCTCAACCTCCTGGGTTCAGGTGATTCTCTTGCCTCAGCCTCCTGAGTAGCGGGGATTACAGGCGCCCGCCACCATGCCCAACTTTTTTTTTTTTTTTTTAGTAGAGACAGGGTTTCACCATGTTGGCCAGGCTGGTCTCAAACCCCTGTCCTCAAGTGATCCGCCTGCCTCAGCCTCCCAAAGTGCTGGGATTACAGGTGTGAGCCACTGTGCCCGGCCTGTTTTCTAAATGAACAAACACCCCAAACCCATCTTTTTTTTTTTTTTTTTTTTTTTTCAGCTGTGGCAGACCTTGGGCTATTCAGGGATTAGGGATGTTCCCCCCGAGGAGCTAGGAGGCGTCTGATGACCTTGATCTCAGGCCAGACCTCCTCCCATCTCCCACAGCCCCTTCCCAATGCCTGGAATCCCCCGATTAAGGCACCTTTGGGTGGATCAAGGTGTCACAAGTAACAAAGAAGGACCTGTATGCTCAGATGCATTCGAGTTCATAACCCAGCTCTACTGTCCATCAGCTGTGTGACCTCAGGCAATCGTCTCTCCCTTTCTGACCTTCAGCTTCCTCAAGGGGAGAGTAAACTCCACTTCCAAGGCTGCTGTGAGAACAGAAAGAACTTGCAACATAAGCATGACAGCTGCTACCTGGTAAGTGCTCCCAAAATGTTTGCTGTTATTATTACTATTATTCTCTCTCTCTCTCTTTTTTTTTTTTTTTTTGAGTTGGAGTTTTGCTTTTGTTGCCCAGGCTGGAGTGCAATGATGCAATCTTGGCTCACTGCAACCTCTGCCTCCCAGGTTCAAGCTATTCTCCTGCCTCAGCCTCCCAAGTAACTGGGATTACAGGTACCCGCAACCACGCCCAGCTAATTTTTTGTATTTTTAGTAGAGACGGGGTTTCACCATGTTTGCCAGGCTGGTCTCGAGCTCCTGACCTCTGGTGATCCGCCCGCCTCGGCCTCCCAAAGTGCTGGGATTACAGGCGTGAGCCACCGAAATCAGTCTATTTTCTATATTATTACCATTATTATCTGGAGTTCACAGAGAGGAAGGCCGCCTTCTGTGGGACAAGCTGGGGAGACTTTGGTCCTGCACTGTTCAATACAGAGGCCACTGGCCTTTTGTACTGATTTCCAAAACAACACAAAAAAGGAACATATGCTGTTTCATGAATTGTTTTTTGTTTTTGAGACAGGGTCTTACTCTATCACTCAGGCTGGAGTGCAGAGATGCAATCATAACTCACTGAAACCTTGAATTCCTGGGCTCAAGAGATCCTCCCACCTCAGCCTCCTGAGTAGCCAGAACCACAGGCATGTTCCACACGCCTGGCTAATTTTTTTAATTTTTTTTTTTTTTTGAGCTGGAATCTTGCTCTGTCACCCAGGCTGGAGTGCAGTGGCATGATCTCTGCCTGCAGGGTTCCAGCAAGTCTCCTGCCTCAGCCACCCGAGTAGCTGGGATTACAGGCACGTGCCACCGTGCCCAGTTAATTTTTTTTTTTTTGAGACGGAGTTTTACTCTTGTTGCTCAGCCTGGAGTGCAGTGGCACGACCTCAGCTCACTGCAATCTCCGCCTCCTGGGTTCAAGTGATTCTGCTGCCTCAGCCTCTCGAGTAGCTGGGATTACAGGCATGCGCCACCACGCCTGGCTAATTTTGTATTTTCAGTAGACACAAGGTTTCACCATGTTGTCCAGGCTGGTCTCAAACTCCTGACCTCAGGTGGTCTGCCAGCCTCGGCCTCCCAAAGTGCTGGGATTACAAGCATGAGCCACTGCACCCAGCCTAAAATTCCTTTTAGAGATGGAGTCTCACTATGTTGTCCAGGCCAGCCTTGAACTCCTGGGCTCAAGCGATCCTCCCGCCTCAGCATTCCAAGTAGCTGGGATTAAAGGTAAGTGCCAGTGCAGCCAGCTGCTTCTTTTAATATAACTACTAAAATTTTTTTAAATTGCAATGTGCAACTCATGTTATATTTCTGTTATTCAGCAAGGCCCCAGAGCTCAGAAACCATGACCAATACTACTTCCTCTCTGTGGCCTTCACAGAATTTTCTCAATTTCCTGCATGCAGAGAGTGGCCATAAATATTTTTTCCTCCATTTAGTTAGAGCCGGGCCCACATCCTCAGAGCTCACAGTCTGAGGTAGAAAGGGCACATTGGGGCCAGGCACGGTGGCTCATGCCTGTAATCCCAGCACTTTGGGAGGCCGAGGCCGGCAGATCACTTGAGGTCAGGAGTTTGAGACTAGCCTGGCCAACATGGTGAAACCTCGTCTCTACTAAAAATACAAATATTAGCCGGGTGCGGTGGTGCATGCCTGTAGTCCCAGCTACTCATGAGGCAGGAGGATTGCTTGAACCCAGGAGATAGAGGCTGCAGTGAGCCGAGATCGCGCCACTACACACCAGCCTGGGCAACAGGAGCGGAACTCTGTCTCAAAAAAAAAAAATAGAAAAAGAAAAAAAAAGAAAGGGCACATTGGTTGTATCCTGATGGGTTGAGAGCAGCTGCTTGGAGTACTGTGTTCAGAAAGATTCTGGCCGGGTGCGGTGGCTCACGCCTGTAATCCCAGCACTTCGGGAGGCCGAGGCGGGTGAATCACTTGAGGCCAGGAGTTTGAGACCAGCCTGGCCAACATGGTGAAACCCTATCTCTACTATAAACACAAAAATTAGTCAGGCTTGGTGGCATGTGCCTGTAATCCCAGCTACTTAGCAAGTTGAGGCGGAAGAATCACTTGAGTCCGGGAGGCAGAGGTTGCAGTGAGCCAAGATTGCACCACTGCACTCCAGCCTGGGTGACAGAGTGAGACCCTGTCTCAAAAAGAAAGAGAGAAAGATTCTGAGGCTGCATGCTGCCATCGTTGATTGGTAATGCTTGGCCTGGGCGAGGTGTGGGGTGCTGCCAGGTCCCTGGCAGTGCTGGTCTGTTGGCCACTTGTATAGAGAAAGCTGAGGCTCAGAGAGAGCAAGTAACTTGCCCCAGGTCACACAGTGAGCCCAAAGAGGTGGCAGGATTCAAGCCTGGGAGCCTGGAGCTCATTTTAGCCTCTTGCCACACTGAGCTGAGCCAAGTCCAGAATTCTGCAGTTAAAAGCTGCCCAGGGTAGGGACAGACAAGGACAGGGTGGGGAGGGCAGGGTGGAGGGTGTGGGTGTGTCCTCACTCTCTTGAGATTGCACCATGGAACCACTCGGGGACCCCGTCTTGGGCCAGCTGGCCCATCTGGGTGTGCACAAACCAGTCCAGCCGTGGGGGTAGCGGTAGGGGCAGCTTCCCGGCCTCTGTCATAGCTTCCTGGGGTGGAGGGAAGGTCACCTGGGTAGAGAAGGGAGGGAAGACAAGAATCAAGCTTGATGCACCTCTTATCTTTGCTCTATTCTTGAAGCTTGTGGTGCCTCCTCCTTTGAGAAGTCCTCCAGGGTGGACAGAGCAATGGACTTAAAACTGGCTTGTGGCTGGGTGTGACGGCTCACATGTGTAATCCCAGCACTTTGGGAGGCCAAGGTGGGAGGATTGCTTGAGCCCAGGAGTTCCAGACCAGCCTGGGCAACATAGTGAGACCCCCATCTCTACAAAAAATTAAAAAATTTGGCCAGGTGCGGTGGCTCACGCCTGTAATCTCAGCACTTTGGGAAGCCAAGGTGGGTAGATCACCTGAGGTCAGGAGTTTGAGACCA
Organism: Homo sapiens; assembly: GCF_000001405.40. Classification (NCBI taxonomy): domain Eukaryota; kingdom Metazoa; phylum Chordata; class Mammalia; order Primates; family Hominidae; genus Homo; species Homo sapiens. The sequence continues at coordinate 16,148,361 of NC_000019.10, read as the reverse complement.
GCCCGGCCAACATCATGAAACCCTGTCTCTACTAAAAATACAAAAATTAGCTGGGTGTGGTGGTGGGCACTTGTAATCCCAGCTACTCCGGAGGCTGAGGCAGGAGAATCACTTGAACCCGGGGGGCAGAGGTTGCAGTGAGCCAAGATCATGCCACTGTGCTCCAGCCTGGGCGACAGAGTGAGACTCCTCAAAAAATAAATAAGCAAATAAATCAATAAAATAAAATTTAAAAATTAGCTGGGTGTGGTGGTGCATGCCTGTAGTCCCAGCTACTCAGGAGGCTGAGGTGGGAGGATCCCTTGAGCTCAGGAGGATATGGCTGCAGTGAGCTGTGGTTGTGCCACTGCACTCCAGCCTGGGGAACAGAGCAAGACCATGTTTCAAAAACAACAACAACAAAAAACTGGCTTGTGTGGCTGGGCGTGGTGGCTCACGCCTGTAATCCTAGCACTTTGGGAGGCCAAGGCAGGTGGATTACCTGAGATCAGGAGTTCAAGACCAGCCTGGGCCACGTGGTGAAACCCTGTCACTACAAAAATACAAAAATGAGCTGGGCACAGCGGCCTGTGCCTATAATCACAGCTACTTGGGAGGCTGAGGCACGAGAATCACTTGACCCCAGGAGGCGGAGGCTGCAGTGAGCCGAGATTGCACCACTGCACTCCAGCCTGGGCAACAGAGTGAGACTCCGTCTCAAAACAAAACAAAACAAAACAAAACAAAAAAAAAACCACTGGCTTGTGATTTTTTGGGCACCTACTATGTGCCTGATAGTTTTTACACATTCATTCATTGGCTCATCCCCAAAGGCCTTCAAGGACTTTTCCTTTTATTCTTCTTATGCCATTGTGTTTTTTTTCTTTTTTTTTTTTTTTGAGACAGGGTCTCACTCTGTCACCCAGGCTGGAGTGCAGTGGCCCCATCTTGGCTCACTGCAGCCTCGACCTTCTTCCCTCAAGTGATTCTCCCACCTCAGTCCCCCAAGTAGCTGGGACCACAGGCATGTGCCACCACGCCTGGCTAATTTTTGTATTTTTGTAGAGATGGGGTTTCACCTTGCTGCCCACATTGGTCTCAAACTCCTGGACTCAAGAAATCCACCTGTGTCAGCCTCCCAAAGTGCTAGCATTACAGGTGTGAGCCATTGTGCCCAGCCTTTTATGCCATTATTGCAAGGACTAGAAAGTTCATTTTATAAATAAATGTTTTGAAATTTAAGAATAGAGTATTTAGAGCTGGGCATGGTGGTTCACGCCTGTAATCCCAGCACTTTGGGAGGCTGAGGCAGGTGGATCACCTGAGGTCAGGAGTTCGAGGCCAGCCTGGCCAACATGGTGAAACCCCATCTCTACTAAAAATACAAAAATTAGCCAGATGAGGTGGTGGGTGCCTGTAATCCCAGCTACTCAGGAGGCTGAGGCAGGAGAATTGCTAGAACTCAGGAGGCAGAGGTTGCAGTGAGCCAAGATCGCGCCATTGCACTCCAGCCTGGGGGGCAGAGTGAGACTCCATCTCAAAAAAAAAAAAAAGAGTAGAGTATTTAAATATTAAGTAAATATCAAGGCCCCTGGAGGAATAAGGAAATGACAAAATGGCAAGTGAACGAAATAAACAGCTGACCCAACGGTGGTGGTCAAAAAGGGTTGCCCTGATTTCTTTCTTTCTTTTTTTTTGAGACAGGGTTTCCCTCTGTTCCTGAGGCTGGAGTGTGCAATGGTGCAATCACAGCTCATGCTCACTGCAGCCTCAACCTCCTAGGCTCAAGCAATCCTCCCACTTCAACCTCCTGAGTAGTTGGGACTACAGGCATGCAGTACCATGCCTGGCTAATTTTGAAAATTTTTTTGTAGAAACAGGGTCTTGCTCTGTTGTCCAGTCTGGCTTTGAACTCCTGGGCTCAAGCAATCCTAACACCTCAGCCTCCCAACATACTGGGATCACAGGCATGAGCCACAGTGCCTGGCTGCCTTGGTTTCATTAAACACCAGAGAAATGTGGCTTCAGACAGTCACTTCTGCCACCAACGTCACTACACGTTGTAGCCACTCATGGCACACCTACGATATGTCAGATGCATCATTAATTCACACACTTTCTTGACAATTTTAAGCAAGCGGTACCATGGGACTTTGTGTACCAATGACAGAGCTGGAGAGAGAAAGCAGCACCGTTTTGCAAAACATTATTAAGTGAGTGTAAGACAAGCCAAAGGATTGTATCTTGCTAGATAGTTCCTTCAGGACCCCTCTTGCTCACCCTTAATTCTTTTTTTTTTTTTTTTTTGAGATGGAATCTCGCTCTGTTGCCCAGGCTGGAGTGCAGTGGCGCGATCTCAGCTCACTGCAACTTCCGCCTCCCAGGTTCAAGTGATTCTCCTGCCTTAGCCTCTTGAATAGCTGGGATTACAGGCATGTGCCACCACGCCTGGATCATTTTTGTATTTTTAGCAGGGATGGGGTTTCACCATGTTGGCCAGGCTGGTCTCCAAATCCTGACCTCAAGTGATCCACCCACCTTGGCCTCCCAAAGTGCTGGGATTACAGGCGTGAGCCACTGCGCCCGGCCACTCACCATAAATTCTGTCCTTAAACTGGAGCTCACTCCCTCCACCCATTGGCCCCATCTAATGTTTCAATATCTCAAAAGATCTTTTTACTGGGCTGTCTCTATGAGGAGGCGGGGTCTGTTGACCAATGGCAGTCAATATTGACTTTCTCCAACCAGATGTCAAGCATACCCTCTGGGGTATGGCCTGAGGGAATTCTGGGGCAACCAAAATTAAATAACTGTATTAAGAAATGTTTAATAAAGCAGGGTGACAAAATGATTAAGAGCCTGGAATTGGAGGCTGGGTGCAGTAGCTCACACCTGTAATCCCAGCACTGTCAGAGCCTGAGGCAGGCGGATTGCCTGAGGCTGGGAGTTTGAGACCAGCCTGGCCAACATGGTGAAACCCCATCTCTAATAAAAAGACAATCATTATCTGGGCAAGGTGGCTCACCCCTGTAATCCCAGCTACTCAGGAGGCTGAGGCAGGAGAATTGCGTGAATCTGGGAGGCGGAGGTTGCAGTGAGCTGAGATCGAGCCACTGCACTCCAGCCTGGGCAACAGAGCAAGACTCCATCTCAAAATAAATAAATATGAAATAAAAATACAAAACTTACAGTGGCATGTGCCTGTAGTCTCAGCTACTCAGGAGGCTGAGGCAGGAGAATCATCTGAACTCGGGAGGCAGAGTTTGCAGTGAGCCAAGATCGCACCACTGCACTCCAGCCTGAGCAACAGAGCGAAACTCTGTCTCACAAAAAAAAAAAAAAAAACCCCAAAAAAAAAACCCATCACCACCAACAACAAAAAAAGAGCCTGGGACAGGTGCGGTGGCTCATGCCTGTAATCTCAGCACTTTGGGAGGCTGAGGCAGGCAGATCACGAGGTCAGGAGATTGAGACCATCCTGGCTAACATGGTGAAACCCCGTCTCTACTAAAAATACGAAAAATTAGCTGGGTGTGGTGGCGGGCGCCTGTAGTCTCAGCTACTTGGGAGGCTGAGGCAGGAGAATGGCGTGAACTCGGGAGGCAGAGCTTGCAGTGAGCTGAGATCGAGCCACTGCACTCCAGCCTGGGCGACAGAGCAAGACTCCGTCTCAAAAAAAAAAAAAAAAAAAAAAAAGAGCCTAGAATTCGACCCAGATGGCCTGGGTTCAAACCCTAGCTCGCCCACTTAGCCGCTGTGTGACCTCAGATAAGTCACTTAATGGCTCTCTGTCCCTGTATTTCTGTCTTTAATTTGGGAATAATGATATTTACCTAGGAAAGTTTAGCTAGCACTGTGTATATATAGAGATATATATACAATATTCATGAATCCAGTTGTGACCTATCATGGGGTAATGTTTACAGGCTTATTCTTTTTTTTTACTTGGAAGAGCTCCTATTTATCCTTCAAAACCCAGTAAAAATGTCCCCTCCTCCAGGCAGCTTTCCTGCATCTCCCCCCAGACAACACCCTGGCACCCCTCTCTGTCCCCAACGTTCCCCCCTGTTCCTCTCTCTGGTCCAGCCATGACTCCATGGAGCTAGAGTGTCTTTATCTTGCTCTGTCTCCACCAGCCTGAGGGCCTCCTAGGGATCAGGGCTTAGGGCTAGGTTCCTGTGTTGTTGTTTTTTTCTGTGTCCTGGTGCTGGCCTGGCACAGAGGAGGGTGCAAGGGTCTTTGCTGGTGAACAGCTATCTAGTGATGAAAGACCGCATGCTCAAATTCAAGCTCCTGACCCTGGCCTGGGAGCCTCCTCTACTTCCCCGCTACCCACATTCTAGACCTAAAGACATCCTTGCTCTCTCTCTCTTGCCTCTCCATACCTTTGCTCATGCTGTTGTCTTGCCAAGACCCCCTTTTCCCTAACTCCAGCTCCATTTTCCATTTGTGGTCACCACAAATACCCCCTCCTCCACGAAGCTCTCCCCCATGCCCCTAGAAAATCCCTCCTGCCACCCCAGGCCCCACTAGCCCTGTCCCTCCTTCTGGCCTAGCCCAGCCCCCACGTTCTGTCTCCTCGAGGGCTGAGGCTCTTGGGTCACATACCTGGGAGACCCTTGGATGGCCGAGGCCCTCGCTGTAGCTGTGCCAGTGCCTGCAGGAGCCTGGGTTTCGATTCAAGGTCTGCACGTCAATGGGGCGGGGCTGGCTGCCCCGAGGCAGTTCCTGTTTCCTCAAGCAGGTGAGCCCTGGGGGCGGAACAAGGACAGCTCAAGTCACCCTGTCTGCAGTCCAACAAAGCATCTGGTGCCACAGGTGCAGAGACAGCTTGCTCCTGTCTTGCCCCCAGCAAGTTGTTATTGAGCACCTACTGTGTGCCTGCTGTTTGGAGGACACAGGGGTGACACGGAGACAGGTGCAGGCCCCCTGACTCCTGGCATCTATAATCTATCAAGCAGTGAAGAGGAGTGAGACATCATTACAAAGGGAGAACGGGGAACGGGTGCGGTGGCTCACACCTGCAATCCCAGCACTTTGACAGGCTGAGGCAGGCGGATCACTTGAGGTCAGGAGTTTGAGACCAGCCTGGCAAACATGGCAAAACCCCGTCTCTATTAAAATACGAAAATCAGCCGGGTGTGGCGGCGCACGCCTGTAATCCCAGCTACTCAGGAGGCTGAGGCACAAGAATTGCTTGAACCCGGGAGGCGGAGGTTGCAGTGAGCAGAGATCGCACCATTGCACTCCAGCCTGGGCAACGGAGTGAGACTCCTTCTCAAAACAAAAACAAAAGCAACAAAGGGGGAACAGAAACTGGGCGCGGTGGCTCACGCCTGTAATCCCAGCACTTTGGGAGGCCGAGGCGGGTGGATCATTTGAGGCCAGGAGTTTGAGACCAGGCTGGCCAACATGGTAAAACCCTGTCTCTACTAAAAATACAAAAATTAGGCGTGGTGGCGGGTGCCTGTAATCCCAGCTACTCAGGAGGCTGATGCAAGAGAATCGCTTGGACCAGGGACGCAGAGGCTGCAGTGAGCCGAGATCACGCCACTGCACTTTAGCCTGGATGACAGAGGGAAATTCTGTCCCCCGCAAAACAAACAAACAAAAAAACACCAGCTGGGTGCGGTGGCTCATGCCTGTAATCCCAGCACTTTGGGAGGCCAAGGTGGGCAGATCATTTGAGGTCAGGAGTTCGCGACCAGCCTGACCAACATGGAGAAATCCCGTCTCTACTAAAACTGCAAAATTAGCCCGGCGTGGTGACACATGCCTGTAATCCCAGCTATTTGGGAGGCTGAGGCAGGAGAATCGCTTGAACCCGGGAGGTGGAGGTTGCGGTTTGCTGAGATCTCACCACTGCACTCCAGCCTGGGCAGCGAGAGTGTAACTCCGTCTCAAACAAAACAAAACCAACGAAAACCAAACAAAACAAAACAAAAAAACAAAAAACCCCAAACAAACAAAAAAATCCAAAGGGGAAACAGGAAGTGGGAACAGCAGTTGCACAAACCCACAGAGGTGACCTAACTGACGTGAAGGAAGGGGCATTTGAGGGTGAGAAGGAATCATCTTGATTTGGGGAGTGCGTAGTGCAGAAAGAGTATATTTTTTTGTAGAGATGGGGTCTTGCTATATTGCCCAGGCTGGGGGAGGGAAGAGCAGGCACAAAGGCCTTGAAACTGAATTGAGCCTGGACAGGCTGGGGTCTCATGGCACGCATAGGTCCACACCAGGACTTCCTCCATTATAAAATATTTTAAAATATTTTTATTAATTGACTAACCTATTTTAGAGACAGAGTTTCACTCTGTCACTCAGGCTGGAGTGCAGTGGTATGATCATAGCTCACTGCAGTCTTGAACTGCTGGACTCAAGTGATCCTCCTGCCTCAGGCTCCCAAGTAGCTGGGACTACAGGCACACACCACCACACCTGACTAATTAAAAAAATATTTTTTTTGGAGATGGGATCTTGCTGTGTTGCCCAGGCTGGTCTCAAACTCCTGGGGCTCAAGCGATCCGCCCACCTTGGTTCAAGTGACTCTCCTGCCTCAGCCTCCTGAGTAGCTGGGATTAGAGGTGCCCACCAACACGCCTGGCTAATGTTTGTATTTTTAGTAGAGACAAGGTTTCACTATGTTGGCCAGGCTGGTCTCAAACTCCTGACCTCAGGTGATCCACCCGCCTCAGCCTCCCAAAGTGCTGGGATTACAGGTGTGGGCCGCCGTGCCAGCTTAAAATTCTATTTTACAACTGTGTTGGCATTAAGACCGATGTGGTCCAGGCTGGATTCCTTATTGTATATTTATTATTAGGATGTTCAGTTTTTTTTCTTCTGATTTTAAATAAGCTGAAGCCCTTTGGGAAGTCCCACACAGCACTTGGGTCCTGGGTGCAGGCCCTGTGTGCCTAACAGATTGGCCAGCTCTGGCCGTGTGCTCGTACCCCAGGCAGACAAACAAAACTACTTCCTCCTCTCCTTTCAGGCAGAAAGGGCCCAGATCCTACTGGGGGCCTCCCCAAGGGCCTATTGCCCTGGCCCAGCTGGGCTAGATAACCCCAGGCTCACCCTGGGTGCCTCTCTCACCCCCCTGCTCCTCCTCGGCAACAGCAGCACCTCGTCTGCCCTCTGTGGTCAACAAGGTCTAAGCAGGAGACACGTGGAGCCCTGCTTCTCACTCACCTGCTGTGTGTCCTAAGGTGAGTTGCTCAGCCTCTCTGAGCCTCAGTTCTGCATCTGTGCAATGGGCATAATAGCCCTCCTTAATCATGTGAAGATGCTAGGAGAGGCAACTCTCCAGCACAGCACATGGAGATGAGTTGGGAGTGAGAGAATCAGGACTCTTTGTTGTGACTTAATTCAAGCAAGGCCTTTGTGTTTGCCTGGGGGAGACTCTGGCTTGGGCCTCAGACCTCATGGGCTGAGCTGCCTTGGGCAACTCACTTCACCTCTCTGTGGCTAATCTCTTTTTCTTCTTCTTTTTTTTTTGAGTAGGGTCCCCTCACTCTGTTGCCCAGGCTGGAGTGCAGTGGTGCAGTCTCAGCTCACCACAGCCTCTACTTCCTGGGCTCAAGTGATCCTCCCATCTCAGCCTCCTGAGTAGCTGGGACTACAGGAGCACCACCACCACGCCTGGCTAATTTTTGGATTTTTGAAGAGATGGGGTTTTGTCATGTTGCCAGGTTGGTCTCGTTCAAGTGATCCTCCCGCCTCAGCCTCCCAAAGTGTTAGGATTACAGGTGTCAGCTGCTGCATCTGGCCTTTTTATTTTTGAGATGATGTCTTGTTCTATCGCCCCGGCTGGAGTACAGTGGTGCGATCTTGGCTCACTGCAACCTCCACCTCCCGGGTTCAAGCGATTCTCCTGCCTCAGTCTCCCCAGTAGCTGAGATTATAAGTGTGCACCACCACTCCTGGCTAATTTTTATATTTTTAGTAGAGACAGGGTTTCACCATGTTGGCCAGGTTGGTCTTGAACTCCTGACCTCAAGTGGTCTGCCCACCTTGGCCTCCCAAAGTGCTGGGATTATAGGCCTGAAGTATTTATTTATTTATTTTTATTTTTTATTTTTTTGAGACAGGATCTTGTTCTGTTGCCCAGGCTGGAGTGCAGTGGTGCAAGTACAACTCACTGCAGCCTCAAACTCCTGGCCTCAAGCGATCTACCTGCCTGGACTTCCCAAAGTGCTGGCATTACAGGCATGAGCCACCGGGCCTGGCCTTCACTTCACTTCACTTCTCTGATCCTCCTGGGAAAGTCTGACCATCGGGGCTCTTATTTGCATGGGGTTTAGAGTTTCCAGGAACATGGGGGTACGCTGGCCCAGCTCTAGCACAGTCCCCTAAGACCTCACCACAAACGGCCCAACCTCGCTTCCCCTGACCTGCTTGGGTGATGTGGTCTCCCACAAACTAACGTCTTCCTTTCAGATGTCGCAACAGAATCACCCCCACACCCCTCAGTGTCCGCAGGCCTCGGCCCGCAAACGGACATGCGTCCCCCAGAGGAAGGAAGGGTGTGGAGGGGAAAACGAAGGTGCCCTGATGGGGAGATAACGGGGCTAGAATTCCAAGGCCCCCTCTCTCTGATACCAGGTTCTCCAGGGAGACAGATCTGGGCTTCTCAGCAGAGGCCGCAGCTGGTAAGTGGGCCATTCACAGATTCACGTGGGGTGGCTCTTGGGGGAGGTGGCCACAATGCCATCTTAGTGCTGGGAAAATGCTGGGCCCATACATGTCAGGGAGTGGGGAAGCCCTTAGGCTCTGCCAACACTGGGTTTGATGCGATTCTTTTTAGAGACAAGGTCTCACTCTGTTGCCCAGGCTGAAGTGCACTGTGCCATCATAGCTCCCTGCAACCTCAAACTCCCGGGCTCAAGTGATCCTCCCGCCTCAGCCTCCCAAGTAGCTGCAATCACAAGCTCACACCACCATGCCCGGTTAATTTTTCAATTTTTATTTTGTAGACAGGGTCTTGCTGTGTTGCCCAGGATGGTCTAGAACGCCTGAGCTCAAGCAATCCTCACACCCCAGCCTCCCAGTGTTGGGATTATAGGCATGAGCCACTGTGCCCAACCCTGGACTTGATGTAATTTTATGATTTTAGCTTCCTACAATGCCTTCATTCTATTCATTCATTGATTTCACAAACACTGGCTGAGCCCCAGCTCTGGATGGGCACCATGCTAGATGCTGCAGATGAAGCAGAAGGCAAGATCGGGCCGGGTGCTGTGGCTTATGCCTGTAATCCCAGCTCTTCGGGAGGCCGAGGTGGGCAGATCACCTGAGGTCAGGAGTTCAAGACCAGCCTGGCCAACATGGGGAAACCCTGTCTATACTAAAAACACAAAAATTAGTTGGGCGTAGTGGCTCATGCCTGTAATCCCAGATACTCAGGAGGCTGAGGCAGAAGAATTGCTTGAACTGGGAGATGGAGGTTGCAGTGAGCTGAGATCATGCCACTGCACTCCAGCCTGGGTCACAGAGTGAGACTGTGTCTCAAAAAAAAAAGGCAAGATTGGCATGGTCCCCACCCTTCTAGGGCCCACAGTCTATGAGGAGACAGATGCTGAATGAGTTCACATGCAGGACAGTCAGGCAGAAAAGAAAATAGCAAGGGCAGGCTGGGTGCGGTGGCTCAAACCTGTAATCCCAGCACTTTGGGAGACTGAGGCAGGCAGATCATGAAGTCAAGGGATCGAGACCAGCCTGGCCAACATGGTGAAACCCTGTCTCTACCAAAAATACAAAAATTAGCTGGGCATGGTGGCGCACGCCTGTAGTCCCAGCTACTCGGGAGGCTGAGGCAGAAGAATCGCTTGAACCCGGGAGGCGGAGGGTGCAGTGAGCTGAGATCTTGCCACTGCACTCCAGCCTGGGCAACAGAGCGAGACTCCATCTCAAACAAACAAACAAAATCAGCACGGGCAAAGGCCCTGTGGTAGGAAAGAACTTGGTATGTCTGAGGCACAGATGATGACAGCTAAGGTGTCCAAACGGTGGAAACAACCCAAATGTCCATGAATGAATGAATGGGTAAACAAAACGTGGTTCCATCATCCACACCATGAAATATGATTCAGCCACAGAAAGGAAGGAAGCACTGCTCCATGCTACAATGTGGATGAGCCCCAAAAACATGATGCTGAGAGAAGCCAGACACAAAGGCCACCTAGTGCATGATTCCATTGATATGAAATGTCCAGAACTGGCTGGACACGGTGGCTCACACCTGTAATTCTAGCACTTTGGGAGGCCAAGGTGGGTGGATCACCTGAGGTCAAGAGTTTGAGACTAGCCTGGCCAACATGGTGAAACTCCATCTCTACTAAAAATACAAAAATTAGCCAGGCGTGGTGGCGGGACCTGTAATCCCAGCTACTCGGGAGGCTGAGGCATGAGAATTGCTTGAACCCAGGAGGCAGAAGTTGCAGTGAGCCAAGATTGCACCACTGCACTTTTCTTGGGGAACAAGATGAACAATGGTGGTCATAGTAATAACAGGGTGGGTGTGGTGGCTCACACCTGTAATCCCAACACTTTGGGAGGCTGAGGTGGGAGGATCACTTGAGGCCAGTTCAAGACCAGCCTGGGCAGTGAGACACCATCTCTACAAAAAAGTAAAACAATTAGTTGGGTGTGGTGGTATGCACCTGTAGTACCAGCTACTTGGGAGGCTAAGGCAGGAGGATCACTTGAGCCTGGGAGGTTGAGGCTGCAGTGAGCCATGATCCCACCACTGCACTCCAGCCTGGGCAACAGAGCAAGACCCTGCTTCTTTTTTTCTTTTTTTTTTTTTTTGAGACGGAGTCTCGCTCTGTTGCCCAGGCTGGAGTGCAGTGGCATGATCTAGGTTCATTGCAACCTCCGCCTCCCTGGTTCAAGTGATTTCTGGCTAATTTTTGTATTTTTAGTAGAGACGGGGTTTCACCATATTGGCCAGGCTGGTCTCGAACTCCTGACCTCAAGTGATCCACCCACGTCGGCCTCCCAAAGTGCTGGGATTATAGGTGTGAGCTACCGCGCCCGGCCGGATGACCCTGCTTTAAAATAATGATAATGATGATGATGACAGTGATGAGGACAGTGATGATGCTGATATCAGCCTATTCTGTCTCTGTGCTCATTATGTATGTACCTGTGCCTCCTCTGGGATCCATCATCTCCCTGGCTCTTCATAGCCATCCTATGAGGTGGAAACTATGATCCCCCCTATTTTGCAAGAGAGGAAACTAAGTTCAGTTGTTGAGGGCATGTGTCCAAGGCTGTGCCATTGAAACGGCCTCATCTGGGGTAGATACCCGAGATTTGTCATCTCATGGCCATGGAGAACAAGGACGTGGACACACAAGAGTGAGGTTAAGAGAAGCTTAATAGGCAAAAGAAAGAGAAGAGTTCCCTCCTGCAGAGAGAGGTCCTGAAAAAATGCATTGACAGATGCACAGTGAAATGCAGGGGATTTTATAGATGCCTGGTGAGGAGGCAGTGTTTGATTTACATAAGGCGTGAAAGATTGGTTGGACTAGGTGTTATATTTGCATAGGGTGTGAAAAACTGGTTAGGACTAGGTGTGCCATTTGCATCGGGTGTGAATTTCTGGCCACCCCTAATCTTTTATCATGCAAGCGGGTCCTCTGCCTGAGCTGTGCCATGTTGCCCATCCCTTTACTGTACACGTGGTAATAAAAACAGGGAAGATGGAGTCTCCACGTTGGTCTTGCCTGGCACCCAGGCAACTGTTTTCTATTGACGCAGCTGCTGGCATTTCCCCGTGCAAGCTTCTAGCTCGCTTATCTATGTCTGCAGCTCGATTTCTCAGACTGCTTTTTGTTAGAAAAAATAATTTCTTGGGCTGCTTTTTGTTAGAAAAGAAATTCCGCCAAGGACTCTGGTGCCCTCACTATCTGCCTAAATAATTTCTTTCTAGCTCCTCTATCACCGTGGGTCTTGAGTGGTGCTGGGATTCGGGCCCAGGCAGCTCCCTCTTATCCGTGACCCATTAAGGGCTCAGAAGAAAGCCAGGCACAGGATGGGTTCCCAGTCAGGATCTGCTATTCATTGCCATTGGCTGTCACTGTCTCCGAATTTTGCAGTTTTGGACAGAAACTGCAAAGTTTCGTGGAAAGAAAGCAAGTTTCCCAAAGTGGCCATTTATCAGGCATCCGTGGCAGGGGGTGACTTTTGAGTTTTAGTATCAGGATTCAGGGTCCTCCTGAGTGCGTGCTCGGAGGCTCAAGGATAGAGATGACAGAGATTTTGATGGGAGCTAAGCCAGGGACCACCAGGGCAGGCCTCTAGCATGGTCAGGTGGGAAGGGAGTTTGTGGCTGGGGGTTCCCAAACCCACTGAGTTTGCAATGCCTGGGGAGCTGCCCCCTAGGCTGCAGAGGCTGCAGGATCAACCCTGGAAGCTGGTTTCTTTGAGGGAAGAGGATGTCTCCTCCCTTGTGCTCACCCTAGAGGCCATTTGCGTGTCCTTCATTAATTCAATGGGTTCAGGCCACACACAAGCACACTACAGAAGTCCCTGTCCTCATGGAGGTTTTGGGCTGAGTGGGGACAGGGTTGGCAATGAAAACAGGTAACTTCTCATAAATGCTATGAAGATGAGCTAGGAAGAGAGAAGGGCATGACTGGGAGAGGCCTCTGCAGAGGTAGCCCTGGATAACCATGATGTGATGGACAGTGGGCTTTGCACATTTCAGGAGACTACAAGACTAGGGTGTGGCAAGTGCAAAGGCCCTGGGGCCTTCTCAGTGATGAGTGTGGAGTGAAGGAGTAAGGAAGGAGAGGATTGGAGTGGAGTGAGCCAGGAAGGGCAGCCAGAGAAAGAGGAAGGAGTAGGCAGGGCTATGGCTGCAGCGTGTAGAGGCTTGTGCCCCACGGTGAGGGGCGTAAGTTGTATCCCTAAGCCCAAGGAAGACCTGGGGAGGTTTTTTGTTTTTTTTTTGAGAAAGGGTCTTGCTCTGTCACCCAGGCTGGAATGTAGTGGTGTGGTCACAGCTCACTGCAGCCTCCAACTCCTGGGCTCAAGTGATCCTCCCTCCTCAGCCTCCTGAGTAGCTGGGACTACAGGTGCATGCCACCATACTATTTTTTATTTTTTTGAGACGGAGTCTTGCTCTGTCACCCAGGCTAGAGTGCAGTGGCGCAATCTCGGCTTACTGCAACCTCTGCCTCCCAGGTTCAAGCGATTCTCCTGCCTCAGCCTCCTGAGTAGTTGGGACTACAGGCGCGTGCAACCATGCCTAATTTTTGTATTTTTAGTAAAGATGGGGTTTTGCCATATTGGCCAGGCTGGTCTTGAACTCTGAACTCCTGACCTCAGGTGAACCACCCACCTCGGCCTCCCAAAGTGCTGGGATGAGGCATGCGCCACTGCACCCGGCCAATTTTTGTACTTTTTTTTTTTTTTTTTTAGAGATGGGGTCTCACTATGTTGTCCAGGATGGTCTTTAACTTGAACTGGCCTCAAGCTATTCCCCTGCCTCTGCCTCTCAAGGCACTGGGATTATAGGCATAAGCCACACACCCCAGCCCCTGGGGAGAGCTTTAAGCAAGGAGGTGACACTGATTTCAGTTTCGTAAGGACACTCTGAAAATAGTTTGAAACACAGAGGTGAGGACCTGAAACCCATGAGGAAGTGGTCACAGAGGTCCAGGTGGTCGTGGCTACAACTCGGGAGGGGTCAGCTGTGGGCACGATGGGGAAGGCAGGGATGGAGTCCAGGGTCAGGGCTGTGTTATGCTTACGGTGCCGATGAGACATTCAAATTGGAATAGAGAGTGGCAGGTGAAACCGACCTGGGTCTGGCCTGGATTTGCAGCTTGAAAGCCACTGGCCTATCTAAAAGCATAGTGTGTGCAGAAAAGAATGAATAGATCTGAGGCTGCTTCCTGAGAAAGGCCTGCTGGCAAGGTGGGCCTGCAGTTGGTAAAGTTCCCTACGGATATTAAAACTTCCCTACATGCGTGGCTCATACACTTTCTGTACAAGTGATGCGGTTTATGCTAAACCCCTGCTTTCTTTGTAGGAGTCTGGAATCCTGATAAGTGCCAGGTAGAGGGTTCCTATGTGACTGGCTCCATAAACACCTGGGTACAGAACTGCCAACTAGCTTTCACAAAAGACACATTACACACCTGTTGTTACAACTCATTGTTGGGGGAGTTAAGCATGGGGTGTGTGACCCCACTGTGAGAGGATTCTGGATGCTTCTGTCTGGTTGCCTCTGGACTTCACTCTGCATGCCTTTTCCCTTTGCTGATTTTGCTGTGATCTTGGCTGTGAGTACAGCTCTCTGCCAAGTCCTAGGGAATGACTGGACCTGGGTGTGGTCTTGGGAAGGACCCTGGATAGAGTGGAAGGAATGCCCTGGAAAGCCAGCCAGGAGAGGGCCCCTAGAAGGACCTGCCAGGGAGGCAGGAGGGACACAGTGGCCGAGCTGTGTGCCAGAAGCCAGGTGACGCAGGCTCACCATGTTGGCCAGGCTGGTCTCGAACACCTGAGCTCAAGTGATCAGCCCGCCTTGGCCTCCCAGAGTGCTGGGATTACAGGTGTGAGCCACTGCACCAAGCCAGGAGGCTTCTTTTCCCAATTTAGTCTTTTGATGATGGGTGGCATCTCCTCTGAGGTGGCCGCTCGATGGGGTAATCCATGGGCTCTACCATCTTGTCCAGACCCACCCCCAGCACCTGGCCATGTCCGTGTGGCCTACAGGGAAAATGTGGACATAAAAATCCTTGGACTTTAAGATGAGCTTTAATTTGTTTGTTTTCCTTAAGTGCATTTATCGATGTAAACAGAGCATGTTAGAGATTCCCGGGGAGAGCAGACTATTGCTGATATGTTGGTTTTAATTCAAAAGAAACGATGATGCCAATGGTTTGGATTGACAGCAGCTTAAGGAGGAAAAAAAAAAAAAGAAAGAAAAAAAGAAAAGGCTGGTGACACCCCCCTGGCGTGGTTGACCTGGTCCCAGTCGCAGTCCCTATGGGACAGCAGAGCTGTCAAAACAGAACCCAATGATGACGGCTGAAAATCAAGCCAGACTGCTGTGCGGTCAGCTTGCCGCCGTGGAATGCCTTGTGTCTTGGCCATGTCCAGCCAAGGGTACAACGTGCTTGTTCCCGATCACCCAGGTTTGCCATTGGAAGTCAAAGACAGAATCGCTTCATGGCACTACAGATGTGGAAAAATAAAAATCTCAGCTAGAAAGAACGTCCGATTTGGAGATAGCGGGAGGACACGAAGGAGTGGGGGCCATTTTGGTGCTGAGAGGAGGGTGCCCCAACTTCAGGAGGACCATGTGACGGCTGTGGTTGTTTTCGGGGTCACTTGCAGCACACACAGCGTCCCCTTGATGCTCGATGGGGACCGCAGACGGGCCTGCAGACCTAACCCCTGGCTGTGGACAGGAGAGGCTGCTCCAGGCTTCTTTCCTTCTCAATGCTTTACACAGGATTTCCTTCATTTGTGCTTTCCTTTGGTTTAACAGTTAAAAAAGAAGAGTGAGGGGGCAAAATGGTTTGTCACTTGTCCAAAACTGAGAGAAGAGGTGGAAGTGGGCGCCAAATCTCCTGGGTGATGCTTCCTGGTCCTGGCGATCGGTTGCCTTGCTCAGGGTTTGGGAGCTGTTGCTCCTGGAACCACCGCTGGCCTTCTGGGACCTCGCTTCCGTGGTAGGGGACGTGAACCAGCCTCCTGGTGGAGCTTTGTGTTGCAGTGAGGCCACAAAGCAAAGGCCCAGAGGCAGAGGCCTGACACTGGCTGTGGTCGACGGTCACACCTTGACTCCCTCTCTCTCTCTGAATATACAACGTGTGGGTGGGCCCGTTCAGCAGATGTTACAGGAAAAATAGCAAATTTTTAACTTATTCCATCTCCAAAGTTGAAAAAGATCAGACAGTTACTAAAATAAACGATTTCTCAATTGCATTCTGGTGGCCGTGGGCCCGGTGGCCGCGGCGTGGGCGGGGCGTTGGAGGTGGGAGGGCCCCGGCTGAGTGAGGGGCTCACTCAGAACAGGCACAGTCAGCTGGGCTGAGCGAGGCTCAGAGTAAGGCGGTGTTCCTCACAGAAGAACACATCGGAAAAAGCTGCTCCTCTTCTGCTGGTCCGGTGTGATTTTGACTCCCTGGTTGCTCCCCTGGGGGCTGTTGCCTTCCTGAAATCACAAGAGGTTTTCTGAGGTTATCACTGAGAATCAGCACTACGTCTCACAATCAACCAGCCATCCACCTAACCATCCACCTAACCATCCATCCAACCATCCAACCAACCAACCAACCAACCAACCAAACAACCAAACCAATCAAACCAGCCAAACCAACCAACTAACCAACGAGCCATCCAACCATCCATCCATCATCTGCCAGGTCATCCATCCATTACCATTCCAGCCATCCAACCAACCAATCA
The DNA here is from genome assembly GCF_000001405.40 of Homo sapiens. Taxonomy (NCBI): domain Eukaryota; kingdom Metazoa; phylum Chordata; class Mammalia; order Primates; family Hominidae; genus Homo; species Homo sapiens. The sequence goes on along the minus strand of NC_000019.10, from coordinate 16,131,957 downwards.
GCCATCAAACCATCCATCCATCATCTGCCAGTCCGTCCAGCTGTCCCCTTCCAACCATCCAACCAACCAACCAACCAACCAACCAACCAACCAACCAACCAACCATCCATCTATACCCTTTCAACCATCCATCCATCCACTCACCCATTCCCTTCCATCCGTCTATCCACCTGCTTCCAACCAACAAACCAATCAACCAACCATCCATCCCTTCCAACCAAGAACCATCCACTCATCCATCCCTTTCCAACCATCCATCTTCTTCCAACCATCCATCCCCTTCCAACCAACCAACCAACCATCCATCCCCTTCTAACCACCTCATCCAACCAACCATCCATCCATCCCTTTCCAACCATCCATCCACCCATCCATCTCCTTCCCCCCATCCACCCTCTTCCAACTAACCATCTCCTTCTAACCACCCCTTCTGACCAATCAACCATCCATCCATCCCCTTCCAAGCAACCACCTCCTTCCAACCAACCATTCATCCATCCCCTTCCAACCAACCAACAAACCAATCATCTATCTATCCAACCATCTCCTTCCAACAAATCAACCATCGATTTATTCCCTTTCAACCAACCATCCATCCATTATCTTCTACCCATCCATCCAATTCTCTTACAACTGATAATTCGTTTTTCAGAAACAGATCTATTTTCCATCTGCTATATACCACCCCTTCCAACCACTCTCTCACTTATCTGCCCACCCCATCATACCCTTCCCAGCACTTTGGGAGGCTGAGGCAGAAGAACTGCTTGAGCCCAGGAGTTTGAGTCCAGCCTGGGTAACAAGTGAGATCCTGCCTCTTAAAAAAGAAAAAATGGCCAGGCGGGGTGGCCCACACCTGTAATCCCAACACTTTGGGAGGCCGAGGCAGGTGGATCACCTGAGGTCAGGAGTTCAAGACCAGCCTGACCAACATGGTGAAGCCTCGTCTCTACTAAAAATACAAAAATTAGCTGGGCGTGGTGACATGTGCCTGTAATCCCAAGTACTCGGGAGGTTGAGTCAGAAGAACCGCTTGAACCTGGGAGGCAGAGGTTGCAGTGAGCAGGGATTGCACCATTGCACTCTAGCCTGGGCAACAGAGCGAGACTCCTTCTCAAAAAAAAAGAAAAAGAAAAAAAATTAGCCAGGCATGGTGGTGTGTGCTTATAGCCCCAGCTACTTGGGAGGCGGAGGTGGGAGGATTGCTTGAGCCCAGGAGTTGAAGGCTGCAGTGAGCTGTGATGGTGCCACTGCACTCCAGCCTAGGTGGCAAAGTGAGACTCTAAAAAAAAAATCTCTTTTTTAACTAATAAGAAAACTAAAAGAAAAAAGAATCAGACCTTGACCATTATACTGAAGAAAAAAAATTGCAAGAAAATCCCAAATTATTGTTGGTCAGTGCACTGGTTTCCATGAACTGTTTCCCATTTTAATTTAATGGCCAAAGAGCTGCTATTAAATCAATCACATGCCTCACTGTTCAACACACCGCATCTTAGAATTACAAAACAGATTTGCTTACATCAGATGTAAAACTTGAACGGCATTTTGTATTTTATGTGCATTCTCAAGTGACCAGACTTAACCCACAAATAGAGCGCCGTGTGCTCCTCGATTGGACAACCAATGTAACATGGCCGGGAAAGGGCAGTTGCTGGAACCAGGGCGAGGGAGGAAGGGTCACTACGGTGTTTAGGCACTAAATGCCCCCAAAGTACAGGGAAGTGTTTGATTCCATCAAGAAAGCACCATTGATACTGAGCGCAGCGGACTAGGAAATCGCTAACGTGGTAAAAAAAAAAAAGCAAGAAACGAATGAGAGGGTAGATGGGTAGGGATTCATGCAGACTTCCCTGGAGGCCTCAGAGAACCCTGGGACACAATGAAGGTTGCAGAGCTGTCACAACTTGTAGCATCTGGGGCTGGGGTGGAGCGGGGGCAGGTTCTTGATCTGCCATGCTTGTCAAGACGATGAGCCAGCAGTTATCAGACACCAGCCCTGGCCCTGCCCAAGCGACCTAGGAAGCTTTTCTCCGAGCCATGGCTCTCTGTCCTTGCACACCATGTTGTCTTTCTGGCCCTTGAGTGGAATGGAAAAGGCCGTGTGCTCCCTGCTAGCCTGGGGATTCACCGGGCACGGCCTTGTCTGCTTGGGCAGCGTCCCCAGGCTGGCACTGCCTGATGCTGATGCCCCAGCCACACCTGCAAACTCTTCCCCCTTTCCCAGCAATGTCCCATGGGGTCTGGCTGGGCCCTAAAAAGCAGGATCTAGGGCACGTCATATCACTGCTGCTAACGACGATGGCTGGATCCCAGAGATCCACCCGGGGATCTCGGAAGGACACACACTCACCAATTTTTTGTCCATTTTTGCTTTGATATCTCTGGCGAGAGTGAAAAATGCCTGTGGAATAAGCACATTGTGAGTCCTTGGGATGGCAGGACCCTGAGTCCTCAGCCGCCCGTGTACAGCGGGTGTGGTGAGACAGCTTCCCAGGCGTGGGCCTCCCATTTGGCCCTTTGATGCCCGCCTCTGGCAGTGGGTTCATCTGGCCTGTCCGGCCCCAGCTCATCCTTCCCCGGCTCCCTCTGCCTCCCACCCACCCTTACTCTCTGACATCAACTCTCACTTCCGCAGAGCACCTTAGCATTGACGGGACTTTACGCATGTGCCACCTCCCCTAAGCCCTGTGAGATGGGGCGACACTCAGTTGGCCAGAGAGGAAACTGAGGCTCAGAGAGGCCAAGTGACTTGTCCAAAGGAACCCAGCAGTTAACCGACCAATCCAGAAGGATCTAGGAGTGCCCAGTTCTTTGTCTCTGACTCCTAGGTTCTGTCAGCTCTGGCCTCCCTTCTGATGGTCAGGGAAAAAGGCAAGCAGCTCTGTGGCCAAACAAGCTTCACTCGGAGTCCTTGCCTGGCAGGGCTGGGAGCGGGAGCAGGTTCATCTCCCAGCACAGCCAAGGGTTGAGCTGCTGTCACAGCCTTGAGGAGGGGACATACAGAGATGGCGGGAGGCGTGATCCCAACATACATCCCCATGATGTGGGAGGTTCTGGAGAGGAGAGTGGCTTGGGGTGCGGAGGAAGGCCCAGGGGAGACTGAAGGTGTTCTTGGGGAGAGGCCCCCAGGGCCAGGCCCTGACTAGAAAAGGGAACCTGGCAGGCAGAAAAAGGGGCACACAGGAGGGAAATGCAGTGACGTATTGGAGAAGGGAGCAGCCCAGGTGGCCTGGGGAGGGCAAGGCCTGAGCCCTGGGTGGCAAACACCAGCTGTAGCCGGTGAGGGAGGGCCTTCCACGCCAGGCAAGGAGTCTAGCCTTTGTCTTCACGTCAGCATAGAGACTTTAGGTCGGGAGTGATATGGAAGATCCGCCTTGGAAACATGACTAGGATGGGGAAACATCACAGGATCGGCCGCAGGGCTGGGGTCGCCCCGTGGAGAGGGGAGGGTGGCATGGGCCCAGGTCCCATCAGGGCTCCCTGCTATGTCTGGGCTTTTTTGACAGGGGCCTCTCCAGGGTGAGTGGTGTGGCTGAGAGGGTAAACACAGAGCTGGGTCTTTCTGAGCCTTAGTTTCCTCACCTGTAAAACCGTGCCTATTCCCCAGGGCTGCCCAAGAGCCCGTGAGATGCGTCCTAGGTGCCCTTTGTGGTGCCTGTCCCTGCTGATGGCACATTCCCAGGGGCTGCCTGTGCTTGGCACGTGGCACTGCCCAGGAAATGTCCCTCAGAGGACTGACTGGCAGCCCTGAGCCCGAGGCTGGTCCGTCTGGCAGGACCTCCTCGGAGGACGCCAGCTCCCCCTTTAGCCTGAAGGGGCCGATCCTGCAGGCCCCATGTCTCCCAGCAGGGCCCGGGACTCACATTTTCCACATTGATGTTGGCCTTCGCGCTGGTCTCCATGAACTTGATTCCATAGTCGAGGGCCAGCTGTGAGAGAGGGAGGCACACGCATGAGCACACCAGCCGCCGGGCGCATCTGAGCTTGCCTAAAACAGGAGCTGAAGGCAGGGCCGGCGCCAAGAGGGAGCAGCAACAGGGCTGGGGCTGTGGGCGTGACTTCCTGGATCACTCCCTCAATTCTATAGTGAATGCCCCTCCACAGGGCCTCACAGGGCATGGAGTTGCTGGGGATGGCAGCTGAGATGGGAGGGTGGCGGGGACCTGCTGGGATCAAACTATGGCTCTGTTCCCCGCTCCTGTGGTCTTGAAAGTCTGGAGCGGGGCCATGGTAGGTTTTGATGAGATGCCCGCAGAGTGCACCCAAGAAGCCCCGGCTGGGTGTGTGCTTCTGTCATCCCATGGCACGTGCCCCACTGGGGTGACCAACTCGTCTCAGGCCCCTGGGGCAGAGGAGGGACAGGGGAAGGCCTCTGCACAAGAACCCCAAGACCCCGAGGCCCTCTGCCCCTTGTGCCACCATGCCCACCTTTTCTCCCCGTTCCTTGGAAACTTGTCTCTTGTCATTCACATCACACTTGTTCCCGAGTATCATCTTTTCGACGTCTGCAGAGGCGTGCTGAGAGGGAGGGGGACAGACGGGGGATCAGACCGGATGACACAGGCCAGGTGCCTCTGCCAACACACAGTCTGTCCCCAGAAATCAGAGCGGTGGGGTCAGGACTGCTAGGTACAGCCTGGTCTAAGGGACAAGCTGAAGCTCAGAGAGGCCAAGCAGCCGGCCCCATGTCACACAGCCAATGCCAGGGCTGGGGCCAGGGTTCTAGCTGCTACTCTGAGCAAATGCACATTTTCTGAAATGCTTTCTGGCAGCTTCTATGGCTGTATCAATCAAGCCCCCGCACCTGGGATGCTGGGCGGGTCTAGCCTATGGGAGGTGAGTGAGGCTGAGATATTTACCCCCCGACCTTGGCTTTCCTCCTTCCCTCCCTGGCTCCTCTGCAAGAGGCCCCAGCTGTTGTCCTGGGACCTTCTGCTTTGACACTTTTTTTTTTGTTTTTTTTTGAGATGGAGTCTCGTTCTGTCTCCCAGGCTGGAGTGTAGTGGCATGATCTCGGCTCACTGCAACCTCTGCCTTCAGGTTCAAGCGATCCTCAACCTCCCGAATAGCTGAGATTACAGGCATCTGCCACCATACCAGGCTAATTTTTTGTATTTTTAGTAGAGACAGAGTTTCGCCATGTTGGCTAGGCTGGTCTCAAACTTCTGACCTCAGGTGATCTGCCCGCCTCAGCCTCCCAAACTGCTGGGATTACAGGCATAAGCCACCTCGCCTGGCCCTGACATTTCAACTATTTTTGGGCTCCAGAAACAGGCCGTGCCTGAGGTGGTCGCAACTCGAGGCCGTCACCAGCTGCAGGCACTTCACCACCCTGTCTGATGTTGCCCAAACTCTGCCCTCATACCCAAAGGCAGCTCCTTCGTCAAGTCTCCCTGGGTCCCCATGGAGCGGACCACGCTTCCTGGAGGACGGGGACACTGGAAACTGCTGTCTTCTTCCACCAGCTCAGACTTGGTCTCTGGAACCTACTGCGCCACTCCCTGCCTCACTTCCCATGAACCAGAAGGTGGCTCCTGCCCGCTGGCCAGAAACAGAGACCTTTCACAAAGACCAGGCTCTCCTCCTCTCCACGGATGAAGACAGCTTTCCCAGCTGGGGTGCAGCCCTGCACTGGCAAATTTGGCAGCACAGCCCTCTCAGGGTCACTGGGGAGGTGAGCCCAGTGCAATGACTCACAAATGATGGGGTGGCCTCTCGGCCTGGCCTGGGAGGTCCATGAGTCCTGGGTGGACAGTGATATGCCCTTTTGCTGTGGTTTTATAGATGGGAAAAGTTCTCTGGCTGTGCCTCAGACCTGAAGCCCCACATGGTTAGTTATAGAAAGCTGCAGGTGCCGGCAGCCAGGAAGGCTTTGGGGGTGAGGTCAGCTCTTTGGGGAGCAGAAGATGAAGATGCTGGCTTTGGGAGGGGAGGAGGGGTTGGCCTACTTCTCACTGCTCTATGGTTCAAGGTCTGAACACAGGTCGTTTGTACCAGGTCACACCCTGCTCCGATATAGCTCAAAGTACAACTGACGCCTGCTCACCACACCCTCCAACTACAAGGGTCACACCTGTGCTAGACCCTTCCTTCTCTAGAAAGCACCCAACACTCATGGTGACCACAAGCTTGGATATCCTTTCTCTTATAACCATGACACTGGCCAGATCCAACAGCCTAGCTGGAGGGATGGGCTCCGAGGGGCTCCGGGGTGGGGCCAGGCCAGTGTGTGGTCCCTGGGGCCGGCTGCTTGCATCTCAGTCCCTGCTCCCACCATGTCCCTGACTAGGAGGCTGTGGGCAAGTGGCCTGTATGTGTCTCTGCACCTTGGCCTTCTCATGAGTAAACCAGAGGGCTCTGGGACAAGGACTGAAGCAGGGACAGTGGGAGGAGCCGGAGGGCCTCACCTCCTCAATGTTGCGAATCCAGTTCCGGATGTTGTCGAAGGACTTCTCGTTGGTGATGTCGTAGACCAGCATGATGCCCTGCGCGGGGAGAGAAGACACAGGTGCCTGATCGGCTGCAGGCTCTGGAAGGGAGGCCTCAGCGGCACCAGAGAACAGTGGTGGGGAGCCCAGCACCCACTGCACAGCCAGGCCCATTAGCTGCCGCCCTCCCCACCTCTGTGGAGCCCCGGAAGCCAGCCCCCTCCTCTCCATCCCTGTGGCCCTTCTTTCTGCTGGGTTCTGGCACCAGCCTTGTCCTGCCCCCCGGGCCGCTGAGGTGACCCTTCTGCCTCACAGGCCAGCCCCTGCCACGCACTCGCTGACAAGCCCGGCTGGCTCCCCTCATGGCCCACGGGGTGGTGCAGCCTGACGGTGGGAGCCGGTCCACAGGCCCACTGCCAGCAGCACTCCCCTCACGCTGACCCTCCCCTGCAATCGGCCTCCTCTTCACCCCTTGCTCACCCCACGCTCTGCCTGAGCCACCTACCAGGCACAACTGAGCCCAGGAAGTCCTGACCCGACATCCACACAACTTCCAGTGACCCCACCACAGAGGGAACCGGCTGTGTGAAGATGGAGCCGAGAGTGCCAAGGCCCTTCCAGTTCCCTAACCTAGACGTGAGCAACTGGGAGACGGCTCGTGGGTCCTGGAAGAGCTTCGGGGCAGCCCCGCCTCAGCCTGGGTCCACAGCCTCGCTACTGCTGTGGACAAGCGCAAACATGCCCATGCGATGCAAGGGGAAACTGAGGCACAGAGACGTGACCTTTAAGATTCAAGCACGGGGGGCGGGGGGGGGCTAACTCCAAAAGCACTGATGACACCTATCCTCTCAGCAATATCCCTGGGCCTTTTTCAGCCCCAGAACCCACATGTGGGGGCCACCCTCTGACGGTCTGTGTGGTTCTCGATGTCCTTGTGGAGTGCCCACAGCGGGCCAGCCTGCAGTGCCATCACAAGTCCCCCTTTGTTGCCGGGCATCCTGGGCTCCAAGGCACGTGGCCTGCTCATGGCCAGGCCTGGATTTCTTCCTTCCTCCTCGCTACCTGCTCCCCAGGCCCAGCCCTGCATCTGTGGCACCTGAGGGCACTGATGACTTCTGCTGCTGGCCAAGTTGTCTGGGGCCATCCAAGTTTGCAGAATAAGGACACGGGCCATGTGGTAATGGTGAGACAGATGTGGGTGCAAGAGTGTGGGACAAAAACGACACAGATGGGGCAAGAAAGTCACTGCAACCCCAAATCCTCCTGGGAATTCAGGGACATGAATAATGGCCTCACAGTCAGCCGCAACCATGGCGAAGAACCTCAAGGCTGCAGTGGCCCATGATGTCTGCCATGCCCCATCCACGGTGGGCACACCCTGTGACTGTGACATGGTCAGGGACAGGGGGCGTGGGGCCCTTTATCCGGGGACTGGACCCTCTGAAAGCCCAGGATTCCTGCCTTCACCACTAAGTTGGTGACATGTGCCTAAGACTCAAATTCCTGGATTATACCTATTTCAGGGAGCTGAGGGGAGAACCTGGACGTTAGTGGGGCAGTGGGTAGAGCTCTCTCTTAGAATCAAGCAGAAGCACCTGGAAAACACTGAGCCAGCCATCCTATTCCAGGTTTTCCTGGAAACACCCCTCAGGGCTCCAAGTGACTATTTTCCAGGGCCCCGTCTGGGCAAACCTCACCATGGGTCTCTAGGCATCCAATGCTTCCCAAACTTGGGATTTTGAGGCCCAAGGGTCTATGAGCATGCTGACAGAGATGAGGACACAGCTGCAATGGTGGTGCTGTCCCATATGACTGATACTGGCTACACAAGGCTCTAGGGCATCAGAAACATAGCTGCTTTGACCCAAGGAGCTGGATTTTCAATGTTTTTTAAAATTAATTAATTAATTAAGTAGTTAAGCGACGGATACTTGCTCTGCTGCCCAGACTGGAGTGCAGTGGTGCAACCTCGGCTCACCGCAACCTCCGGCTCCCAGGTTTAAGCGATTCTCCTGCCTCACCCTCCTGAGTAGCTGGGATTACAGGCATCCGCCACCACGCCCAGCTAATTTTTGTATTTTTAGTAGAGATGGAATTTTACCATGTGGCCAGGCTGGTCTCCAACTCCTGACCTCAAGAGATCTACCCACCTCGGCCTCCCAAAGTGCTGGGATTACAGGCATCAGCCACTGCGCCTGGCTGGATTTTCAATGTTAATTGGGTAAATTCAAATAGCCACATGCAGCCAGTGGTGGCATCTGTTCAGGTTGGCCTGGGTCTAGGAGGATGGAAAGCCACGATCATCTTGGTGCTGGTTGAGGATGTGGGTGCTAGAGACAAACAGCCCAGCCCAGCCTAGCCATTTACCTGCTGAGTGAACTTCAGCGGGGCAGGCCACCGGGCCAAACCTCAGGTTCTTTGTTATAAAACAGGGATGACAATGGCGCCTGCACAAAGAGGTTCACAGCCAAAATGCAATGAGATAATCTGAGCTAAGACCTGGGCCCACTGCCTGGTGCAGGGGAGGGCTTGGTGGTCAGGGCAGGGTGGAAGGTGGCTATTTGGGCCCAGAGAAGATCGGGACAGGCCCCAGGTCACAGTTTTCTCCAGAGGCTGAAGCTCCCCAAGACCCCAGTGCCCTCAGGCCGCCTGCCCACCCTCCACCAGAGAACTGTGAGGTGGGGGGAAAGAAATACATTAATTTTACTGAGGCACACTAAGGCTGCAGCCCACACGAGTGGGTTGCCATGAGGTTTCGGATGCCGTGTGGGATGCTCTAAACACATAATGCCTCCTTCCATCTCCACCCTCCACAAGTCTTTCCTGAGCAACTACTGCAGACCCAGCAGGTTCCCCGGGGCCAGGCAGATGGCAGGGACCAGGATGTGGCGCTGCCCTCATCGAGGAAACAGGCAGCTGCCTGAGCAATTAAATGATGGGGTATGCGGAGGAAAGAGTGGGGAGCAGAGGGACCTGGGAATGGGGAGAGGCAGCCGTTTATCCTCAGCACAGCCCGAGACACAGTGCTGTGCTCCGTTCCCTTTTCCAAGTCAGGAGATGGAGCTCAGTGGGCAAGCCAGGGTCTCAGGTCAGGTCCAGGGGCTCCACCTCCTGCTCCCTCTACCCCTGAATGCCCTGCCATGTACACACAGGGCCCCTGACACAGGACCTCGTCCCATCCCTGGCCGCCTTCTGCATCTAGTTAAGGCCTGGCCCAGAGAAGGTGCTTGAGAAATGTTTTGAGGGATGATGACTGAGTCTTCCCATCACGTCATCCCGCCTCAGGCCTGGGTGACGGATATAACGGCCGACAGCCCAGGGCAGGTCAGCTCCTGGAAGATCTTCAAGCTTTTGGTAGCAAATTTCAGAGACAGATGCAGGTCATGTGACAGCTCCTAAAAGTCGGGGCATGCCGGCTTTAACTGCACTGAGCTCACCTGGAAGAACCGGCTTCCTGTGTCTTTCTTCATTCCCAAAGAATTATGTTTCCACTTTATTTAAACCTTGCATTGTCTCTGCAGCCAGAAGGGGAGGTATGTACATGGGGGTAGGCCGGGGCACAAAGCCTGTTCCTAAGACTAACTTGGGACCAAGGAGCCCTGAGGAGTTGGGGCACGGGCTCCACAGAAACATCTAGGCTTCGGTAACCAATGCACAGTGACGCTCCCATGTTGACTTAAAAAGCAGATAAAAACAACCAAACAAAAAGTCCCTACCATTGCACCCCTGTAGTAGGCCGTTGTGATCGTCCGAAACCGTTCCTGACCGGCTGTGTCCCTAAACATGAAGAGAAGGGATATTAGCAACATTAAAGGAAAATAACTGTCCTCAGTAGGAGACAAGGAGCATCTACCCGGGATGCCTGGCTTTCTCACCGTTCAGCCACTGTGATACCTTCTTCTGCTAAGGCAGCACCTTCTAATCTCCCTATTATTACAGGGAAGGACACTGTGGCCTGGAGGGGTCATTTGATGTGGCAGAGCCATGATGGGATCCCTGACCCATGCGCCTTCTCCTCTTCTGCACCTTTGCTTCCAGGGAATTCTCCCTGGAGTTTCTGGTTCACAGAAGAGCCAGTCATGTGGCTCAGGAACATAGCTCTTGCTGTTGAGGGTGGCTGGGACTCAGGAAAAGCTTTCAGGCCTGCCATCTTGGTTTGAATGATGGGGAAAGTCCCTCCTCATCTGCATGACAAGGAACACAGGGCCTATTGCCCGGGAGGTGATGCCTGGGTAAGACATACCCATGCCCAGTCCAGCTCCTGGCTTGAAGGGTACTTAGTGTTTGGTTTAAAGGTAGGTAACCTAACTGGCCGGGCGCAGTGGCTCACATCTGTAATCCTAGCACTTTGGGAGGCCGAGGCAGGTGGACCACCTGAGGTCAGGAGGTTGAGACCAGCCTGGCCAACTTGGTGAAACCCCGTCCCTACAAAAAATACAAAAATTAGCCAGGCATGGTGGCACGTGCCTGTAATCCCAGCTACCTGGGAGGCTGAGGCAGGAGAACTGCTGGAACCCAGGAGGTGGAGGCTGCAGTGAGCCGAGATTGCACCACTGTACTCCAGCCTGGGTGACAGAGCAAGACTCCGTCTCAAAAAAAAAAAAGGTAACCTAACTGGCCTGGTGCAGTGGCTTACATCTGTAATCCCAGCACTTTAAGAGGCCGAGGCGGGTGGATCACCTGAGGCCAGGAGTTCGAGACCGGCCTGACCAACACAATGAAACCTCATCTCTACTAAAAATACAAAAATTAGGCGGGCATGATGGCGTGGATCTGTAGTCCCAGCTACTTAGGAGGCCGAGACACAACAATCGCTTGAACCTGGGAGGTGGAGGTTGCAGTGACCTGAGATCGTGCCGCTATATTCCAGCATGGGTGACAGAGTAAGACTCTGTCTCAGGAAAAAAAAAAAAAAAAGCCAGGCGTGTTGGCTCACTCCCGTAATCTCAGCACTTTGGGAGGCTGAGGCCAGCAGATCACCTGAGGTCAGGAGTTTGAGATCAGCCTGACCAACATGGTGAAACCCTGTCTACTAAAAATACAAAAGTTAGCCAGGCATGGTGGCAGGTGCCTGTAATCCCAGCTACTCGGGAAGCTGAAGCACGAGAATTGCTTGAACCAAGGAAGTGGAGGTTGCAGTGAGCTGAGATCATGCCACTGCACTCCAGCCTGGGTGACAGAGTGAGACTTTGTCAAAAAAAAAAAAAAAAAAATTAAAGGTGACCTAACTGATTGGTGACAGAGCCAGGGCAAGACTCAGGTCTTTTGTCTCCAAGCCCAGGGTTCCTCCCACGGCCCTGCTGGGACCCGGAGGGCTCTATACGTCTGGATTGTGCAGAAACACCTTGCTTGGAGCTAAGCTGACTTTCTGACACCAGCAGCAGGAGACATGAGTGGTTAAAAACAGTCATTTTTGCCAGGTGCGGTGGCTCACGCCTGTAATTCCAGCACTTTGGGAGGCCGAGGCGGGTGGATCACCTGAATTCAGGGGTTCGAAGCCAACCTGGCCAACATGGCGAAACCCCGTCTCTACTAAAAATACAAAATTAGCCGAGCGTGGTGGCAGGCACCTGTAATCCCAGCTACTTGGGAGGCCGAGGCAGAAGAATTGCCTGAACCCAGGAGGCGGAGGTTGCAGTGAGCCAAAATCGTGCCACTGCACTCCAGCCTGGGCAACAAGAGCAAAACTCTGTCTCAAAAAAACAAAGAAACAAAAAAAAAAACCAGTCATTTTTTTTTCAACTACAGTCCTTAGAAGAGTTTTGAGTCACTAACCTCACCACGATTGCTAAGAGCAGAAGCAGGAAGGCAGGAGGAAAGTGAAACTTCTGCTTGCTGATGCAGTGTCACTTTGGACTTGGGAACAAAGGGTGACATGGCACCAACGTGCTGGAAGTGGAGAAACTTCCATGGCTTGGAACTTACAAGGCAGCCAGAGCTTGACTTACTACCAATGTCTGCAGGATGAACTGCAAGTTAAACCTACCCGACTCCCAAAGTCAGATTAAGAGGTGAACAGTAGGGCCGGGCGTGGTGGCTCACGCCTATAATCCCAGCACTTTGGGAGGCCGAGGTGGGTGGGTCACCTGAGGTCGGGAGTTGGAGACCAGCCTGACCAACATGGAGAAACCCCGTCTCTACTAAAAATACAAAATTAGTTGGGCGTGGTGGTGCATGCCTGTAATACCAGCTACTTGGGAGGCTGAGGCAGGAGAATCACTTGAACCCGGGGGGCAGAGGTTGCGGTGAGACAAGATCGCGCCATTGCACTCCAGCCTAGGCGACAAGAGCGAAACTCCGTCTCAAAAAAAGAAGAAAAAAAAAGAAGAGGTGAATAGCACCTGGAGTCAAGGGTAGCTGTGGGGCTCCCTGAAACTGGCAAGTGGGGGTGACCGGTCAAACTTTGAGACTTGAGGGAGGATGACTTCGTGGCCCATCTCCTGGCACACTGCTCCCACTCAAAGGCACTTGCCTGGTTTGGGTGACAGGGAAATTGCACCATGCTCTTAAATGTGACTTCTCTTTGTTTTGCTCAGGGCCAGTGACTCTGTGCGAGTGGCATGTGTGCAGGGCAGGACCCCACTATACCCGCCACCTGAACTCAGTCTCAGCAAACTAGAATCAGGCCAGCGATGGCGACTTGGAGTCTCCCCACTTCCCTAATTGTATGTGCATGGGAAGTCACCCTTAGTTCTCAGGAATGGAAACAGGTCTCAACATGGGGCCCGGCCCTCCGCTTAATTTCGGTTTGGGGTTTCGGTCTGTACGCTAGGAAGGGAGGCCAGGCCTGCCCCAGGGGAGAAAAGAGGAAGTGAAGTTGGACCTTTATGCTTCTGAGTGGGTTGAGAGGCTCAAAAGGAAACTCTCGGCTGGGGCATCTCACAGTCCCTGCAGGCGTCACCAGCACCTGGCACTGAGAGGGCTCTCTTCCCGTTCAACAGAAGCAGCCCACTCTGAAGGCCAGACCCAGATGGTGCCCACTGTGGAACACTGAGCTAGCCAGGGCTGGGCAGCTTTGTGCCTATGATGCTGTAGGCCCTGGTGCCCTGCAGCCAGCAGAGGACAGCTCTCTGGGCTGGGTATAAACCTCCAGGAGCTTCTGGAGAAAGCCCCATGTGCCAGGACTGGGCACCAAGAAATGGAGGCCAAGGTCACAGGGACGGTGGAGGGAGAAGGCCAAGGGCTTCTGGCTTGAAGCCATTGCCAGGTGGAGAGAATGACAGAGAACAATGACTCTTACCATATCTGCAGTTTAATTCTCTTGCCATCGAGCTCTATGGTCCTAATTTTAAAGTCAATTCCTGAAAGAAAAAAGAAAAAAGGCACGTCACTGTCAGCCCATTTCCCAAGTTGTGTCTGAGCTGGGCGCCACCAACCTGTGCAGGTGACAGCTGTTGTGGCTTACGGAGACCCTGCCTGGTGCTGGGCATGCAGGATGTCGGAATATCCAGATCTGGAAACACTTGGAGATATTTTCCCTCTCCAAGAGCTGATGGGAGCAGTGCAGAGCAAACCCAGGGGGCGCGGGTGGCAAAGCCCTGCTCTTGTCCCTTGCTGCCAGCTGAACCCGCCTCCCCACCCCAGGCAGTTGTACGGAGTGGGTCTCAACAGAGCCCTCTGCAGGCCTGAGTCCCTTGCTCCCCAACACCCTGCAGCTGACCAACCCCCAGGCACACAGGGCCTTAGGCCCCACCATGCGTCAATGCACATGGTCACGTTCTCTCCTGCCCCCAGCTTTTGTACATGCTATTCATTTTCTGCGGGTGGTCTGTGTCCCACTGGCCCGTCAGCTAGGCACACTTCTCCTCCTTTAAGGCCCCCTTGAAGATCACCTCCTAACAAGCCTTCCTGACCCCATCTTCCTTGTCTCTCACCTCCCGCTTTCATCCCCTTTCCCCACGGTGACCTCGCAGCCACCTTGATGTTCCCCAGGCTCCCACTGTTCACCCGCAGTCCCCTCCCCAGCCTTCAAAAATATAACCCTAACCATGTTACACAGCTAACCTCTGCTCCAAACTTACTTTCTTTTTTTTTTTTTGAGATGGAGTCTCGCTCTGTCGCCCAGGCTGGAGTGCAGTGGCACAATCTTGGCTCACTGCAGCCTCTGTCTCCCAGGTTCAAGTGATTCTCCTGCCTCAGCCTCCCGAGTAGCTGGGACCACAGGTGCCTGCCACAATGCCCGGCCAATTTTTGAGTTTTTAGTAGAGATGGGGTTTCACCGTGTTGGCCAGGCTGGTCTCAAACTCCTGACCTCAAATGATCTGCCTGCCTCAGCCTCCCAAAGTGCTGGGATTATAGGCATCAGCCACCGCACCCGGCCCTCTGCTCCAAACTTTCTAGTATGTCCACCAACAGATGAATGGATGAACAAAATGTGGTCCAACCATACAACAGAATATGACCCAGTCATAAAAAGGAACGGAGTACTCATCCATGCTATACAATGTGGATGAACCTTGAAGACAGGATGCTGAGAGAAGCCAGACACTAAAGGTCACTTAGTGTGAGATTCCATTAACAGACATGTCCAGCATAGGCTCATTCATAGAAACAGAAAGCTGATTAGCAGTTGTCTGGGGCTGGGGGGGCACATGGGGAAACTGGAAGGGTTGGTATCCTTTTTTTTTTTTTTTTTGAGATGGAGTTTCTCTGTCACCAGGCTGGAGTGCAGTGGTGCGATCTTGGCTAGCCTGGAGTGCAGTGGTGCGATCTTGGCTAGCCTGGAGTGCAGTGGTGCAATCTTGGCTCACTGCAACCTCTGCCTCCCGGGTTCAAGTGATTCTCCTGCCACAGCCTCCCAAGTAGCTGGGACTGCCGGCACGCGCCACCATGCCCAGCTAATTTTTCTATTTTTAGTAGAGACAGGGTTTCACCATGTTGGCCAGGCTGTTCTCGATCTCTTGACCTCGTGATCTGCCCACCTCAGCCTCCCAAAGTACTGGGATTACAGGCGTGAGCCACTGTGCCACCGTGCGTGCCTGGCCTTGGGTTGGTGTCTTTTTGGCATAATAAAAATGTTCCCAAATTGCCTGTGGTGATGGTTGTGGAACTCTGTGAATGTACCCAAAGCCACTGAATTGTACACTGCAAATGGGTGAACTGTATGCGAATTCTATCTCATAAAGCTATTTTTTTTTAAAGCCTCTTTCAGTGGCTTCCCTGCCCCACTTCCCTCGAATAAAGTGGAAACAGCTGCTCATGTGTGTCAAGGTCCTGCCTAACCTGGTCACCTCTCAGCACTCTGGCTCATGACCTGCTCTCTCTGGCCACACCATCCACACAGCGATTTCCTCAACATTCCAAGCATGCTCCTGACTCGGGGCTTTGATGTTTGCTCTTCCCTGCCCTGGAAAGTTCTTTCTTCTGTAGCTACCTGGCTATCCCTTTGTTCAGGTTCCCATTCAAGTTCCCTCCTCAGGGGAACCTTTCTGACCATCCTCATCAGTTCTCCCTTTACCTATTTATTAACATAACTGACATACATGTATGTATCTGCTGCATGGACCTGGGCATAATGCTTGCAGATCATAATGGCCCATGTAGATGAGAAACAGCCAGACCCAGCCTTTGCCACCAGGAGTTTGTTCAAGTGCCTGCTGGGGAAGACTTGAGGCCCAGGCCTGGCTGGGCCTCTCTGAACCCAGGGTGGGGATGCTAATTCCATCCATCCAGCCCCAGCACTGGACTTTCGCCCTCTCAAACGTAAGCTCCCTGGGGCAGGGAACTGACAAGTCTCATCCACTGCTATTACCTCCAGTGACTGAACACACAGGGGTTGAATACACATTTGCTAGAAGCTGGTACCCCAGTCCTGCACGCACCTTGACTCACCTGTGTCCTTTCTGCAGCCCTCTTGCCAAAATGGCTGCCTGGCCCACAGAAGACACTGGCAAAATATGGCTGGATCAAAGTATTAAAGCGCAACAGGGTCTACGCGGTGTTGAGCGGTTCACAAAGCACTTTCTCAAATGCCAACCCTTTCACTGGAGGAATCAATGGGCCCCTGAGGAGGCAGTGGCGCCGAGCCAGGCTGGTGAGAACCCATTCCAGGGAGCTACAGGGCCAAGTTCACACCACAAATGATCTATGGGGCTTCTGAGAATAGGCTTTGATGAAATGTAACTTTTGGCAAAATGTTAAGGATTGAGTGGCAGAAAATGAATAGCCACTCAATCCTTGTCTATAAAGAAAACCCAGAGGTACACTCAGCCAATATAGAATTGCTTCTTTTTTTTTTTGGAGACAGAGTTTTGCTCTGTTGCCCAGGCTGGAGTGCACTGGCACAATCTTGGCTCACTGCAACCTCTGCCTCCTGGATTCAAGCGATTCTCCTGCCTCAGCCTCCTGAGTAGCTGGGAATACAGGCAAGCGCCACCACGTATGGCTAATTTATGGAATCACCTTTAAGCATTAAGGTGATACTGCTTCAGGACTAGACAGCCCAGTGTGCCTGGGCTTCCTAAAACATTCCCCATTTCCTGTCACACGTGTACAGGGACACAAAAAATCGAGGAGCACTGTTAGGTTGGCCAAGCTCCACAGCAGCACTCCGCCCTACACTCCTCTGGGTTTTATTAACATGCCAAATTTAATTAGGAAGTGTAAACTTTATGAGGCCTAAGAATTATGAGGTCTGACCTTCAAGGTCATGGTGAATTAGACTTTCCTAGAAGACAGAAGGCTACAAATGGAAGGAGGGGAATGAAGGGGTGGGAGGGAGGGATCTTAGGGTCAGGTGCCACCTCCACCTTGCTAGGTAACTTTCACCAAGTCACATCCTCATCTGCAAATGGAAGAAAGCCTCTTTAAAGCTCAAAGTAACTCTAAAGAGGGGGGTTGGGCTGGGCGCGGTGGCTCATGCTTGTAATCCCAGCACTTTGGGAGGCCAAGGTGGGCGGTCACGAGGTCAGGAGTTCGAGACCAGCCTGGCCAACATGGTGAAACCCCATCTCTACTAAAAAAAAAAAAAAAAAAATACAAAAATTAGCTGGGCATGGTGGCAGGTGCTTGTAATCCCAGCTACTTGGGAGGCTGAGACAGGAGAATCGCTGGAACCTGGGAGGTGGAAGTTGCAGTGAGCCGAGATCGCGCCACTGCACTCCAGACTGGGTGACAAAGAGAGACTGTCTCAAAAAAAAAAAAAAAAAAAGAGGGGGGTTTGTGGGGAAGGCTGGGAAACTGGGATCTGAGTGAATGCAAGCCAGTCTGCTCACAGTTAACATCATTTCTTTCTTTCTTTTATTTTTATTATTATTTTTTAAGACAGGGTCTCGCTCTGTTGCCCAGGCTGGAGTGCAGTGACACCATCACAGCTCACTGCACCTTGACCTCCTGGGCTCAATCGATCCTCCCACCTTGGCCTCCCAAGTGGCTGGGTCTACATGGGTGAGCCACTGTGCCCGGCTGATTTTATTTTATTTTTTGTAGAGATGGGGTTTGCCATGTTGCCCAGGCTGAATTAACGCCACTTCTTGATTGGTTGGAGCACAAGAATTACCCTAAAGTTTAGCCTTGGAGTGGGGGAGGGGGAAGAATTCAGAAACATCTGTCTTCAGAGGCTGGATGCTGTCACTGCAGGAGCCATTCATTTGCTTCCTCTAGATAGCCTCTGGTTGTGGTGACAACCCCTTATTGTCTAATTCTAATCCTCAACCACCAGGGCACTAGGCTGGGCAGACAGTGTCACTCCTGCTCTAAAGACAGCAGGGCTCAGAGAGGGGTAGTGCACATTCAAGGGCAAACAGCAACTGGAAACCAGACGTAATGATTTCCAGTCAATTCTCTCTATTTTACATCTGGCATATAACTGTTTTATAAAGCACAGCTCCGCTGGGTGCGGTGGCTCATGCTTGTAATCCCAGCACTTTGGGATGCCAAGGCAGGCAGATCACAAGGTCAGGAGTTCGAGACCAGCCTGACCAACACAGTGAAACCCTGTATTTACTAAAAATACAAAAATTAGCTGGACGTGGTGGCGGGTGCCTATAATCCCAGCTACTAGGGAGGCTGAGGCAGGAGAATTGCTTGAACCCGGGAGGCAGAGGTTGTAGTGACCCGAGATCCTGCCGCTGGATTCCAGCCTGGGCAAAAGAGCTAGACTCCGTCTCAAAAAATAAAATAAAATAAAATAAATAAAGCATAGCTCCTGGAGGAGGGCAAGAATGGAATTAGCACATTATCTTGGGGTTCAGGGAGATAACACGATTCTGTCAAAGTGACACAGTAAAGCAAAGGCCATTCCCTAGGTTTTCTTGAGTCGGAATAAACTCCTGGACTTAGTGACCGTTCCCCCACTTTCCCCATCCCTAGCAGGGCTACAGAGCTCACAAGCCACTCAAATAGGTGTTACTCCTGGGTCAAACCTTTTCATTGTGGGCCAGGACTGCTTTTGTGGCACTGAGAGAGGTCAGCTCCACTTCTGTGGACATCACAACTGAGATGCACCAAGCCAATTCTGTTCAACCACAATGTGGGCTGGCCCTACAGGAAAAGCTGTTCTAAAGTGACAGCTGGAGTCTTGGGCCCTTTGATAGGGAAGTCAAGGCTGTCTGTGGCAGTGGCTGATTTAGTTTCTCGCTGAGGCTTTTATCTTGCATCTTCTTGGGGATGACAGGTCCCAGGGCAGGCAGTGCTGTCACTTGCCATTGCTGTCATTCCTGGAGCAGGATGAAAGGTGGGCAGGGAAAAGGTCCTGACTCTTCTTATCATTCCTTCTAGAGGAAAATACGCTTATGAGGGGAAGCATGGTCAGGGAGAGGGGCTCAACCTCTGAACGCTCCAGAGAAAAGAGCAGGAATGGTGTGGGTTAGAGTCCCGGCTCCAAGGTGCATTAGCTGAGCTTGTCATCAGCTGGGAGTGTGCAGTGGCATCTCTCTAGGAGAGCTAAGCCTCGAGTTTTGGGTTGAGACACAGCCAGGTTCAAATTCCATCAAATCCCATTCTCACCACGTGCAGACTGTGTGGCCTTGGGCAAGTTCCATGCCCTCCCTGAGCCTCAGATTCCTCATCTTGTCAGACGGGCTCATAACAGCACTTAACACCAAGAACTGAAGAGTGTGAAAATGCACGTGAAGCACTTGGCACATAGTAAATGCTCATTAAGGTGAGATGCCACTGTCTTTTTCCCATGGCCAATTCCCCATGACTCAGTTTCCACTTCTGTAAGGCAAGAGCCTCAAAAGAACCGCTTCGAGGGCTGCTGCTAGGACAGATCGAGAGGACGGGCGCGAAGACCCCAGCCCAAGACATAACACGCCCTAACGAGCGGGCTGAGGGTCGGAGCCTCAGTCTCCCTATCTGCAAAATGGGCACCTGGTCTCCCCCACCACGGCCCAGGAACCCCCGAACGGCGGTGCAGGCGACTGCTCTTCTCCCTTTAGGCCCCCTCGACCCTCTCAGCGCCCTCGGCCCGTCCAGCCCTGTAGATCCCTCAGCCCCAGCCCCTCAGGGGCGCGCCCAGCCCGGGCCTCCGGCGCCCCCAGCCATTCCCCGGTCCCGTTACCTATGGTGGAGATAAAAGTGGAGTTGAAGGCGTCCTCGGAGAAGCGGAACAGGACACAGGTCTTCCCCACCCCCGAGTCCCCGATCAGCAGCAGCTTGAACAGGTAATCGTAGGTCTTCGCCATATTACACTCTCTCCCCGACGGGAAGTGCGGCCAGCGCCTCTCCACTGGCCACCAGCACCGTCCATCAGCACCGAGCCCGCCCCTTATTGGCTCCAGGCCCGCTGCGCGTCACCGCGGCCGACGCCCGCCCCTGCGTCCCGCCAGTCGCGGGGAGACCTTGGGAGGGGGCGAGCGGAGCGCGGAGCCGGAAGCAGCCCGAGCGCACCTCCCATTGGCCGGCACTAGGGAGAGCACGGGCTCTGATTGACCAGCAGTGAAGAGTCGCGGGGCTTCAAATGGGGACGAGGCGGGGGCGTGGCATTATGTGGCCCCCGCCTTCCACCCCCGACTCGGGCGGCCCGGCCCCGCCCCACTGTAGGAGAGGGAAGGCAGGGAGCGGCGCCAACCGCTCGCGCGCCGGCAGCCTGGCGGGGCGTGGCTTGGGGTGCGTGCGCACGCGCGCCCGGAGTTCCGTTAGGCGACAGCAGAGGGCGCACGCCAGTAGTTGGGGCGGGTGTCTCTGGGTCCCGCCCTCACAGCTCGCGCAGGCGCAGTAGGCACCGAGGCGAGCGCGGGAAAGCAAGGTAGCGCTCTCAGCCTTGTCTGCGGCCTGCGAGTCGGGGCAGTGGGGGCCTAGGGAGGAAGGAGAGAGGAGGAGCTGTATACTCGAAAAGTGACCCAAGCCGGACGCGGTGGTTCACGCCTTTAATTCCCACACTTTGGGAAGCCGAGGCGCGTGGATCACGAGGTCAGGAGTTCAAGACCAGCCTGGCCAAGATGGTGAAACCCCGTTTCTACTAAAAATACAAAAATTAGCCGGGCGTGGTGGCGGGCGCCTGTAATCCCAGCCACTCGGGAGGCTGAGGCAGAGAATTGCTTGAATCTGGGAGGCGGAGCTTGCAGTGAGCCGAGATCGCGCCATTGCACTGCAGCGTGGGCGACAGAGAGAGACTCCGTCTCAAAAAAAATAAATAAAAGTGACCCAAGACGAGCTCCGAGGTCTGCGGCCTAGCGATCTGCTTAGAGATACCCAAGGCCTCCGCCATCTGAGCGGCTTCACCGCCACAAGCTGTGCCCGGAAGCGCGCGCCGGCCTCCTCAGGGCCCGCCCTCGGCCACCTTAGGGGTTGTCCGGGCCAGCCCGGGGATGGTGGGGGGGGAGGGGTTAGAGCAGTGAGGATGCTGGGTCCTATCTAGGGGCCAGGGCTCTCAACGTTGAAAAAACTGGCCGGGGCGTTGGCTCCCGTCTGTGATCCCAGTGCTTTGGGAAGCCAGGAGGTTGAGGGTGCAGTAAGCCGTGATCGCCCCACTGCAATTCGGCCTGGGCGACAGAGCAAGACCCTATCAAAAGAAAAAAAGGCTGGGCGCGGTGGCTCAGGCCTGTAATCCCGCACTTTGGGAGGCCGAGGCGGGCGGATCAGGAGGTCAGGAGATCGAGACCATCCTGGCTAACGCGGTGAAACCCCGTCTCTACTAAAAACACAAAAAATTACCCGGGAGTAGTGGCGGGCGCCTGTAGTCCCAGCTACTCGGGAGGCTGAGGCAGGAGAATGGTGTGAACCCGGGAGGCGGAGCCTGCAGTGAACCGAGATCGCGCCACTGCACTCCAGTCTGGGCGACAGAATGAGACTACGTCTCAAAAAAAAAAAAAAAAAAAAAAAGAAAGAGAAAAACAGAGGAGAGATACATTTGGAAAATCGGGCTTGCAGCTGGGTGTGGTGGCTCAGGCCTGTAATCCCAGCACTTTGGGAGTCAGCACTTTGGGAGGCAGGAGGATTGCTTGAGCTTAGGAGGTCAAGACCAGCCCGGACAAGATAGGGAGATCCCCATCTCTACAACAAATAAAATTAGCTGGGCGTCATGGTGCACGCTTGTAATCCCAGCACTTTGGGAGGCTGAGGTGGAGGTTCATTGGAGGCCAGGAGGTGGAGACCAGCCTGGGCAACATAGCAAGACCTCCATCTCTGCAAAAAAAAAAAAGTTTTTTGGCCAGGCGAGGTGGTTCACACCTGTAATCCCAGCACTTTGGGAGGCCAAGGCAGGTGGATCACCTGAGGTCAGGAGTTCCAGACCAGCCTGGCCAACATGGTAAAACACCATCTCTGCTAAAAATACAGAAACTAGGCAGGTGTGGTCATGTGCGCCTGTAGTCCCAGCTACTCAGGCGGCTGAGGCACCAGAATTGCTTGAATCTGGGAGGCGGAGGTTGCAGTGAGCCGAGATTGTGTCACTGCATTCCAGCCTGGGTGACAGAGCAAGGCTCCATCTCAAAAAACAAAAAATTTTTTTAAAAAATTAGCCAGGTATGGTGGTGTATGCTTGTAGTCCCAGCTACTCAGGAGGCTAAGGTGGGAGGATCCCTTGAGCCCAGGAGGTCAAGGCAGCAGTGAGCTGTGATCGCACCATTGCACTCCAGCCTGGGCGACGGAGCAAGACCCTGACTTTTTTTTTTTTCTGAGATGGAGTCTCTCACGGTCACCAGGGCTGGAGTGCAATGGCGCGATCTTGGCTCACTGCAACCTCTGCCTCCCGGGTTCAGGCGATTCTCCTGCCTCAGCCTCCCAAGTAGCTTGGATTCCAGGCACCCACCACCACGCCTGGTGTGGTGTATTTTTTTGTATTTTTAGTAGAGATGGGGTTTCACTGTGTTGGCCAGGCTGGTCTCGAACTCCTGACCTCGTGATCCGCCTGCCTCCACCTCCCAAAGTACTGGGATTACAGGCGTGAGCCCCTGCACCCGGCCCCTGACTCTTAAAATTTTAATCCCAGTACCAGCCCAGCAAAACGATGTTATTGTTTTTTTCCTGTTTAATGGTGAGAAAACTGAAGCCAGAGGAGGTTAAGTGACTTTTCCCCCTTCCTGCTTAAAAGTGGGAATTTGGTATCTGAACTCAGAGTGCCAAGCTTCCCAGGCCGCAGTTTGATCACTAGGGCTCCCTGCTTCTTAGAGATGGTCCAGTCTGTTCTAGGTCACTCTGGGGCCTCCGGGGCCTTGAGGCTTACTTAAGGATCTGTGGAAGGAGGGCCCAGCCTTTCCTCCTCCCTTCCACTTCAGCTCATTCTTCTGCTAATCTAGCTCTGGTTAAAAAAGCTTCAACCAGAGGCATTGACCACCTACAGGCCTCAGCCTCTGTGGTATTTGATAGTCTTGATCACCTCTGAATATTCTTTTTTCTTGGTATTATCCTCATTTATTTACTTATTTTTGAGACAGGGTCTTGTTCTGTGGCCCAGGCTGGAGAGCAATGGTGTGATTTCACTCACTGCAACCTCCGCCTCCCAGGCTCCAGTGATTCTCCCACCTCAGCCTCCAGAGTAGCTGGAACTACTGGCATGCACCACCACGCATGGCTAATTTTTATTTTTTGTAGAGATGGGGTCTTGCTATGTTACCCAGGCTGGTCTGGAATTCCTGGGCTCAAGCCATCCTCCCACCTCAGCCTCCCAAGTAGCTGGGACTACATCTGCACGCTACTATGGCAGGCTAATTTTTTTATTTTTTGTAGAAATGGGGTCTCCCTATGTTGCCCAGGCTGGTCTCAAACTCCTGGGCTCAAGAGATCCTCCAGCCTCCACCTCCCAAAAAGCTGGGATCACAGGTATGAGCCACCATGCCTGGCCCTATACCATTATTATTTTTTTTTTTGAGATGGAGTTTCACTCTTTGTTGCCTAGGCCGGAGTGCAGTGGCACGATCTCAGCTCACTGCAACCTCTGCCTCCCGGGTTCCAGTGATTCTCCTGTCTCAGCCTCCTAAGTAGCTGGGATTACAGGGGCCCACCACCACATCTGGCTAATTTTTGTATTTTTAGTAGAGATGGGATTTCACCACATTGGCCAGGCTGGTCTCGAACTCCTGAGCTCAGGTGATCTGCCCACTTCGGCCTCCCAAAGTGCTGGGATTACAGGTGTGAGCCACCACGCTTGGCCCCTATCCCCCTTTTTTTTTTTTTTGAGATGGAGTCTCGCTCTTTCACCCAGGCCGGAGTAAAGTGGCATGATCTCGGCTCACTGCAACCTCTGCCCGCCGGGTTCAAGCGATTCTTCTGCCTCAGCCTCCCGAGTATCTGGGATTACAGGCACGTGCCACCACGCTCGGCTAATTTTTGTTATTTTTAGTAGAGACAGGGTTTCACCATGTTGGCCAGGCTGGTCTTGAACTCCTGACATCAAGTGATCCCCTCAAAGTGCTGGGATCACAGGCATAAGCCACTGTGCCCGGCCCTGTCCCTATTTTATTTGCTGGTTTCTTCTCCCTACCACCTCTGCCTCTGCCTCCCCTTCTTTGTTTGTTTGTTTTTTCCTCAGACCCCATTGAAGTCTTTTTGAGGTGGGGGAGGGGTGGGTTCTGCCTGTCCCTTAGTGTTTGTGGTCCTCGTTGTTCTGTCTCTGTTCTCACTTTCTGGGGGCTCCTAATCCATGCTGACCATTCTCAGTGTTTTATCCTTAGCCCAGCCATCTCTTCACATCCACCTGCGTTCAGGACATCTCCCTTTGGATTTGTCAGATACTCCTAGCTCAGCATGTTCACAACTGAACCCATCAGCCAATACCCAGACTGGCTTGTCCTGATTTTCCTTAGGAGTGAAACTTAAGCTGTCTTTGACATCTGCCTTTCATCTCTCATCCGTCACATTCTGGTTTTTAAGGAGGTTCTAAATAGCTCTTGAGGGCCGGGCGCGGTGGCTCATGCCTGTAATCCCAGCACTTTGGGAGGCCGAGGTGGGTGGATCACCTGAGTTAGAAATTTGAGACCAGCCTGGGTAACATGGTAAAACCCCGTTTTTCCTAAAAATTAAAAAAATTAGCCGGGTGTGGTGGGCATCTGTAATTCCAGCTACTCAGGAGGCTGATGCAGGAGAATGGCTTGAATCCGGGAGGCGGAGGTTGCAATGAGCCAAGATTGCACCACTGCACTCCAGCCTGGGTGACAGAGCAAGACTCTGTCTCAAAAATAAAAAATAAAAAAACAAATAGCTCTTGAATTGCATTCTTCCATTTCCATTGCCACAGTGGAATCATTACATTTCTCCACTGGTCTCCCTGACCATTTTCTCTAACCCAGATTCCACCCTGCAGTGTGCTTATTCTAAAATACTTTAGGCTGGGCACGGTGGCTCATGCCTGTAATCCCAGCACTTGGGGAGGCTGAGGCAACCAGGTTACTTGAGGTCTGGCATTTCAGACCAGCCTGGGCAACATGGCGAAACCCTGTCTCTATTAAAAATACAAAAATTAGCTGGGTACACATCTGTCGTCCCAGCTACTCGGGAGGTGGAGATGGGAGGATTGCTTGAGCCCAGGAGGTCGAGGCTGCTGTGAGCCATGATCACGCCACTGCCCTCCAGCCTGGGTGACAAGAGTGGAATCCTGTCTCAAAAAGCAAAACAAACAAACAAACAAACAAAAAAACCACTTCCTTTAATAGCCATCTGTGGTCTCTGGGCAGGATAAAGTCCAAAATCTTCCTCTTAGCGTTTGAAATCCCTCACAGTCTGGTTCTGACCTCATGCTGTGTTCCAGCCATACTTCATGGCATTGGGAACTCCCCAAAAGTTGGGACAGGTCCGTTGAACACAGTGAAGTGTGAAGTGCTGAGGCCATAAGCATGACTAAAACAGCATCCCGAGATGAGATTACAACCCAAGTGGGGAGGGAGGAGGGAGAAACAGACACACAAAGGAGGAACTGTGGTCAAATCATGGCAGGGCCTTTATTGGAGGGTGTGACTTTATTCATTCACATTCTCTGCACCAACCATCTGAATCAGCCCAGTGCCCATTAAAGGTTGGATTGGCCTAAAGGAAATGCTTTAATTGTATACTTTTATTATAACTACATTTTCGGTTATTTATTTTATTTATTTATTTAAAGACAGAGTCTGTCACTCAGGCTGGATTGCAGTGGCGCGATCTCAGCTCACTGCAGCTTCCACCTCCCAGGTTCAAATGATTCTCCTGCCTCAGCCTCCTGAGTAGCTGATTATAGGCACCCACTACCACACTCAGCTAATTTTTATATTTTTAGTGGAGACGGGGTTTCACCATGTTGGCCAGGCTGGTCTCAAACTCCTGAATTCAAGTGATCTGCCCACCTCGGCCTCCCAAAATGTTGGGATTACAGATGTCAGCCACCGTGCTCAGCCAGTTATTTATTTTTTATTAATTTATTTTTGGAGAATGGGATCTCGCTATATTGCCCAAGCAGGTCTTGAACCCCTGGCTGGGCTCGTTATCCTCCCCTGTCTCTGCCTGCTGTTTTTTTTGAGACAGAGTTTTGCTCTTGTTGCCAAGGCTGGAGTGCAGTGGCAGGATCTCAGCTCACGGCAACCTCCGCCTCCCAGGTTCAAGCGATTCTCCTGCCTCAGCCTCCCGAGTAGCTGGGATCACAGGCATGCGCCACCACACCTGGCTAATTTTGTATTTTTGGTAGAGATGGGGTTTCTCCATATTGGTCAGGCTGGTCTCGAACTCCCAACCTCAGATGATCCGCCCGCCTTGGCCTCCCAAAGGGCTGGGATTACAAGCGTGAGCCACCGTGCCCGGCCTGTTATTTTATTTTTGAGACAGAGTCTTGATCTGTTGCCCAAGCTGGAGTGCAGTGGCGCAATCTTGGTTCACTGCCACCTCTGCCTCTTGGGTTCAAGCAATTCTCCTGTCTCAGCCTCCCAAGTAGCTGGGATTACAGACGTGTGCCACCACGCCTGGCTAATTTTTGTATTTTTAGTAGAGACAGGGTTTCACCATGTCGGCCAGGGTGGTCTCCAACTCCTGACCTCAGGTGATCTGCCTGTCTGTGACCTCAGATGATCTGCCCACCTTGGCTTCCCAAAGTGCTGGGATTACAAGTGTGAGCCACAGCGCCCGGCTTGTTATTTTTTCGATAACAGAAAGTTGTCTGCAGACTCCATTAATGTTTTAAAGGCTTTCATTTCTCTTTCTGATTCACTGCCTCCCCTCCTCAAAAGAAGATCTTGAGGCAAAATATCAAAATTCAGGTAGTGAAACTGTAGTGGTCTTTGACATTCTGTTCTAAGTTCTCTGCCATCCAGCGAGCTAAATTTTAAGATTACTTCCTTCGAATCACTTCTTCCCTCGTATTCCATGGCAACCTGTACTGGATTATTGAAACCTTTTCCTAACTGGGCTTCCTGCCTTAGTCCACCCCAATGCTAGACCTTCTTGAAGATGAATGCTAAGTGGATTTTCCTAATGTATTGCTTGACTTGTTTCCTCCAGTCTTTTTTTTTTTTTTTAGGTGGAGTCTTGCTCTGTGGCCCAGTCTGGAGTGCAGTGGTGTGATCTTGGCTCACTGCAACCTCCGCCTCCTGGGTTCAAGCGATTCTCCTGCCTCAGCCTCCCGAGTAGCTGGGATTACAGGTGCGTGCCACCATGCCCGGTTAATTTTTTGTATTTTTAGTAGAGATGGGGTTTCACCCTGTTAGCCAGGATGGTCTCAATCTCCTGACCTCGTGATCTGCCCATCTCGGCCTCTCAAAGTGCTGGGATTACAGGTGGGAGCCACTGCACCTGGCCTCTTCCAGTCTTTTTAGTCTTTATTTTTTATTTTTGGAGACAAGAGTCTTGCTCTGTTGCCTAGGCTGAAGGGCAGTGGCATGATCTCAGCTCACTGCAACCTCTACCTCCTGGGTTCAAGTGATTCTCCTGCCTCAGCCTCCTGAGTAGCTGGGATTACAGGTGTGCACCCGCTAATTTTTGTATTTTTAGTAGAGACGGGGTTTCACCATGTTGCCCAGGCCAGTCTTGAACTCCTGAGCTCAAATGATCCACCTGCCTCAGCCTCCCAAAGTGCTGGGATTACAGGTGTGCACCCAGCTAATTTTTGTATTTTTAGTAGAAACGGGGTTTCACCATGTTGCCCAGGCCAGTCTTGAACTCCTGAGCTCAAATGATCCACCTGCCTCAGCCTCCCAAAGTGCTGGGATTACAGGTGTGAGCCACCGCACCTGGCCTCCTCTAGTCTTTAGTGGCTCTCCACTCCTGACTAAATTAAGTTCAGGCTGTCATCAGTGTGGGCTCAGCCTACCTTCCAGCTTTTCTGCTTCTGCTTTGCTTTATTTATTTACTTATTTTGAGACAGGGTCTTGCTCAGAGACGGTCCCCCAGGCTGGAGTGCACAGGCCAATCATAGCTCACTGCATCCTCTGCCTCCTGGGCTCAAGCGATCCTTCTTCCTCAGCCTCTCGAGTAGCTGGGACTTATAGGCATGTGCCACCACACCCCACTAGTTTGTGTGTGTGTGTTTGAGACAGAGTCCCGCTCTGTCACCGGGGCTGGAGTGCAGTGGCGTGATCTCGGCTCACTGCAACCTCCGCCTCCCGGGTAGCTGGGATTATAGGTGTGCACCACCATGCCCAGCTCATTTTTGTGTTTTTAGTAGAGATGGGGTTTCACAATGTTGGCCAGGCTGGTCCTGAACTCCTGGCCCTAAGCGGTCCGCCAGCCTCGGCCTCCCAAAGTGCTGGGATTACAGGTGTAATTTGGCCACTGTACCTGGCCAAATTTTTGTTATTGTTTGTAGACGGGGTCTCACTATGGTGCCCATGCTGGTCTGCTTTCCTTTGTATGTGTAACTCAGCCTTAGCTAGGCAGATCTTCCTAACTCAGGCAACAGAGATGATTTTCCCTGCTTTTATCTCTTAAAATCCTACTCATTCTTCACAGCCTGGCTTAGGCAGCGTAGGGGATAAGGAAGGCCAGGAGTTTTCGAGTGACCGAGGCTGAGTGCTCTCGCCTGCAATGAGACTGTAATATCCTTGTATCATGAAGTCACAGTATAAAGCAAATAGATAACCTTGTCTACATTCTTGGCTCTGGTTATTTTCCCTTTCCATCCCTTTAACATTTGTTGAACCAAAATGCTCTGTGTACCCCCACACATTCTAAAATTCACGCAAATTGTAGTTTATGTAAAAATTTATTTGACCAAAATGTAGAAAAAGTGATACTATTACATATGATACAGTTGCAAGAATCTAAAGTGTGGATTTTATTCCATTGCACAATTTGCTAGTGTATTTCCTGGGTAGTGTGGTGCTGAATAAATAGGAGTAGGGTGGTGGGGTGGGGTGGGTAAGGGATTCAGATAAGCCAGAAGCAGGGTGATTTTTAGTTGGAATTGTAAACTTTAGTCAGCCCCCACACGCTGCTGGGGAATGTGGAATGTTCTAGCTCTGAGATGTTAACTGAGAAAAGAGAAGTCAAACAAAGCCGATACGTGCAGCCCTGTCTACAGAATCCTTCATTATCCAGTTTAATCAGGAGTTTCTTGGTCTTTTATTAACTTGGTCCCAAAGAAGGAATTCAAGTCCTAGATAAGTAAATCCTCAATTTGCTGTTCCCTGAAGTATGGAAATGAAGTTGGGCCAGTTTTTAATCTCTGCTGCCAGAGAGGCCCTTTCTGCTAATAGATAAAAACTCTTTTGCTCAACTTAGTAATGACTTGTGGTCTTTTGGATATGGCTGACCTGAATTGGACTGAACTCCACCATATTCCTGCTGAGTGGGTCATTACTGGAATGAGACATTTGCTCTTCAGAGAACAACTTTATTTTTATTTTTTCTTGAGATGGAGTCTCACTCTGTCGACCAGGCTGGAGCGCTGTGGTGCGATATCGGCTCACTGCAGTCTCCACTTCCTGGGTTCAAGCGATCCTCCTGCCTCAGCCTCCCGAGTAGCTGGGACTACAGGCAGGCGTCACCATAATTTTTGTATTTTTAGTAGAGACATGGTTTCGCCATGTTGGCTGGGCTGGTCTCGAACTCCTGACCTCAAGTGATCTGTCCTGGCCTCCCAAAGTGTTGGGATTACAGGCGAAAGCCAACGCTCCCGGCCAGGGAACAACTTTAGAATGAAGGAAATATGCAAAAGAACATCACATCAAGGATCAATTAATTACCATCTATTAATTACTATATGTGGGTAATTATGACTATTTCCCAAGCATTCTACGTTGACTGCTTGAGAAGATGTTTGTCCTGCATGGTGGAGAGTGGAGAAGGGCCAGGATTCTTAGGTTGATCTATCTGTGGGTTATGACTTCCCACAATAGCCACCCCCGGCCCCCACCAGTCCTTTTATTGGCTCTGGATGGAAAATCCCTACCCATGTGATGGTCCCTGGTCTCTCCTATAGTTTGACCAACAGTTGACCCAAAAGGTTATGGTCTTCAGCGTTTTAATTATATCCACGACTAGATACTGGGGTCTGTATTCTTCAAAGTGTGGGGCTGCCTATTCTCCCAGGAACCAAATGGCCTCCGTCTTAAGAAAGTATGCTTACTAGGAAATACCCTGCCTACCTTAGGAATAAATGCTACTTAAGGAAAAAATAAGAGAGCTGAAAAAGCTGGTGCCATTTGAAAAAAAAAGGGAAGGAATGAGATTTAACTGGTGCTCAAAGCTTCTCCGATACAAAATATTTGGTCATGTATTCATAATTTGCTTGACATTTCCAGCAAAGCGAAGATGGCAATAACAAAAGGAACTTCTTACAAGAGAAGAGAAAGACCCACGGAGCTCCAGAGTTTCTGTTGGAACAAGACTCTTCTGTTTTGCTTATATACAGTTAAGTTCGTTTAGTGTCTGATCCAGTGTCTGATGTAAGCCCACGTTCTCTTCTTTGGCCTGGGCAAGTTTCTCTGGTGAGGATTAAGAGTATGGGGAAAGATAAATTAATAAGCGTCTTTGTTAAATGAAAGAAAAAAAAAGATTTGTTTTTTTTTCTTCTTCTTGAGACAGGGTCTCATTCTGTCACCCAGGCTGGAGTGCAGTGGCGCGATCTTGGCTCACTGCAACCTTCACCTGCCAGGCTCAAGCAATTCTCCTGCCTCAGCCTCCCGAGTAGCTGGGATTACAGACGCGTGCCACCACCACCCGGCTAATTTTTGTATTTTTAGTAGAGATGGGGTTTCACCATGTTAGCCAGGCTGGTCTCGAGCTCTTGACCTCAAGTGATCCACCCACCTTGGCCTCCTAAAGTGCTGGGATTACAGGTGTGAGCCACCATGCCCAGCACCCCCCCAAAGATTTCTAAACCTGAAACTGCCAGGGTGAAAGTCACAAGAGAGAAAGTACTTTTTTTTTGAGACAGGGTCTCACTCTGTTGTCCAGGCTGAAGTGCAGTGGCGTAATCACGAATCACCGTAGCCTTGACCTCCCTGGGCTCAGGTGATCCTCCCACCTCAGCCTCCCGCATAGCTGGGACTGCAGGTGCATGCCACCACCTGGCCAATTTTTGCATTTTTTCTAGAGACAGGGTCTCACCATGTTACCCAGGCTGGTCTTGAGCTCCTGGGCTCAAGGAACCCATCTGCTCAGCCTCCCAAAGTGCTGGGAATACAGGTGGGTTATAGCCACCATGCCTGTCCAGTACTTTGTATTTTTAATTACAGCAGAACATCACAGAATACTAAGGAACAAGCACCAAATTTGGGAGTCACAGTTGTAAGATAAAATGCAGGGCGCCCAGTTAAATTGAATTTCAGATAAACCACAAATAATATTTTAGTGTAAGTATATCCCAAATGTTGCATGAGATGTACTTATGCAAGAGATATACTTATGATTAAAAAATTATTCATTGCTTATCTGAAACTCAGATTTAAGTTGGTGTCCTGTATTTTTCCTTGTGAACTCTGGTAACCCTTGAGTCAGAATACCTGAACTTAAGCTCCAGTTGTATCACTTAAGTAAGCATCTAACCTTCCTAGGTCTGTTTTCCCCGTCTGTCAAATGGGGGTAACGATATCAATGCGTGGTGTGGGGGTTATGATGAGGAATAAAGGAGAAATACTTCAGAACCTATGACGTGCTGCTACATGAAGATTTCAGTCCTAGATATGTGTGACTTAATATAAATTTCCACCCAAGTGCTAGTTAATTAGCCCCTGAGCCTTTGATAGTTAAATCTAAAATCCTGTAACCCATCTTTCCTTCGGAGCTTCTGGGAATGGCTGTTTAAATTATACACATAATTGTGTAACTGTCTATGAATCCAGGAGAACGGAGACAAACCCCAGGTAAATGCGAAATTTAAGCCATTCTACAGGCATGTTATTAAGTAACTGAGCTGATGAAACAATTTAAATTAAAAAAGAAAGAGAGAGAGAAAAAAGACGCCATTTAGAGCTATGCGTGACAGAGCACGAGAGAGAACTTAGTTTGCAGTAAGTGATGGCTGATAAGGGACAAGGCCAAGACTCATTAAAATGCTGGGGGAAAGCAAAATGCCTCATAAAATGTGATATCATCAGCCTGGAAATTTACAGAAAGAAAAAAATGACTGCAGAAGATGGCAGCCTTTCTTATTTATTTATTTTTAAACAGGGTCTTGCTCTGTTGCCCAGGCTGGAGTGCAGTGGCATGATCATAGCTCACTGCAGCCTTGACCTCCTGGGCTCAAGTGATCCTTCTACCTCAGCCTCCCAAGTAGCTGGGACTACAAGTGCGTGCCACTACACCCAGCCAATTCTTGTATTTTTAGTAGAGATGGGGTTTCGCCATGTTGCCCAAGCTGGTCTCATGCAATCCACCCACCTCGGCCTCCCAAAGTGCTGGGATTACTGGCATGAGACACCATGGATCCTTGATGTAAGGAGTTCGAGACCAGCCTGGCCAACATGGCGAAACCCCATCTCTACTTAAAAATACAAAAAATTAGCCGGGTGTGGTGGCGCACACCTGTAATCCCAGCTACACAGGAGGCTGAGGCAGGAGAATCACTTGAACCCGGGAGGCGGACACTGCAGTGAGCCGAGATTGCGTCACTGCCCTCCAGCCTGGGTGACAGAGTGGGACTCCATCACACACACACACACACACACACACACACAGAGTCAAGTGACTATGACCTGGGAGGATTCTATCAGACAGATCAGTGACCTGGGCCTATCCAGTCTGGGTGAATAGATGTTAACTGAATGCTGACTATGTTGGACGAGCCAGTTTCTCCATTATCTCATTTAATCCTCATAACAGAGATATCACCTTTATTTTGCAGAAAACCTAAGCAGCTTGTTCACGTTGGCATGGTTAAAGTAGTAGAGCTAGGATTTTAAATCCTGGTCTCTTTATTTATTATTTTATTAAAAAATTTTTTAAAAATAAAATATTATTATGAATAATTTTAGAGATGGGGTCTTGCCATATTGCCCAGATTGGTCTCAAACTCCTGAGCTCAAGTGATCCGCCTGCCTTGGCCTCCCAAAGTGCTGGGATTACAAGTGTGAGCCACTGCGCCAGGCCTTAAACCCTGGTCTCTTGACTACAAATCCTGACTTCGCTTCATCTTGTCACTCAGATGCTTTAGCATCTATTTTGTTATTAGGTCTGAGATAAAATGACTTTCCCTGAAAGTGTTAACTGCCCTTGAGAATCACGACAAGGCTCACAGACTATCAACAGATAGTGTAGACCTCCATAGTGCTAATCTCTTTTCTTTTCTTTTCTTTTTTTTTGAGGCGGAGTCTCACTCTGTCGCCCAGGCTGGAGTACAAAGGTTCGACCTTGGCTCACAGCAAGCTCCGCCTCCCAGGTTCAAGTGATTGATTTTCCCACCTCAGCCTCCCCAGTAGCTGGGATTACAGGCCCCCATGACCATGCCCGGCTAATTTTTGCATTTTTAGTAGAGACAGAGTTTCACCATGTTGACCAGGTTGGTCCTGAACTTCTGACCTCAAGTGACCTGCCTGCCTTGGCCTCCCAAAGTGTTGGGATTACAGGCGTGAGCCACCGTGCCCGGCCATAGCACTAATCTCTGAAATTCCACTTATGTGCTTAGTTAGGTAGAATAACTGGATAGACAGGCTGCATAGTTACTTCAAAGGGTGGAGTCCAGAAATGCCTGGAGAAATTCCAGGGACAAACACACAGACTCCAAACAAAAACCAGCCCCCTACACAGTCTGTAATCTTTCCAAGGGCATATATATGGCAATGTGTGAGGGGAATGGTTTTTGCAGAAGTTCAGGATGGACGGCAGTTAGGAGCAGGGAGAGGCTGAGGGTGGAAAGGTGGAGGTGGTTTAGGGGAGGTGCATTTTGGAGGAATGGATGAATAGAGAGAGTAATGGGGACAGAGCTTCCCACCTGGACAAAAAAATAGGATGAGGAATAACAATGGATACCGAAAATTCAGGATCTAGTTGGAGATTTTCATGCCATTTCCAGGTTCAAGGGGTAGTCTGGAAGATGTGGCTTGAACATCTAAATGTCAATTATCTGTGATAATTTGAGGTGGTAGTGGTGGTAGGATGCAGGGGAGAACCAGATGCACTATTTGAAATTTTGGGACAAATTGGTATGTTTTTGATCATTAGAAAAGCATAGCTTGGGCCAGGTGCAGTGGCTCACACCTGTAATCCCAGCACTTTGGGAGGCCGAGGCGGGTGGATCACCTGAGGTCAGGGGTTCAAAACCAGCCTGGCCAACATGGTGAAACCCTGTCTCTACTAAAAATACAAAATTAGCCAGGCATGGTGGCGCATGCCTGTAGTCCCAGCTACTTGGGAGGCTGAGGCAGGAGAATTGCTTGAACCCGTGAGGCAGAGGTTGCAGTGAGCAGAGATGGCGCCACTGCACTCCAGCGTGGGCAACAAGAGCGAAACTCCGTCTCAAAAAGAAAGAAGAAAAAAAAAAGCAAAGCATAGCCTGGGCCGGGCAAAGTGGCTCACGCCTGTAATCCCAGCATTTTTGGAAGCTGAGGTGGGCGGATCAGTTGAGGCCAGGAGTTTCAGACCAGCCTAGCTAACATGGTGAAACCCCATCTCTACTGAAAGTACAAAAATTAGCTGAGTGTGGTGGTCCGCGACTGTAATCCCAGCTACTCGGGAGGCTGAGGCATGAGAATCACTTGAACCCAGGAGGCGGAGGTTGCAGTGAGCCAAGATGGCGCCACTGCACTCCAGCCCGGGCAACAGAGTGAGACCCTGTCTTGAAAAAAAAAAAAAAAAAAAAAAAAAAAAAAAAAAGAGTGACCTTGTTTTCTCCATATTCCTCATGTAGGAAAAAGCATGACCTTTTATTACCCACAGGTCAACCTTAAGAGCTATTCTAAACTAAAGCAAGGTTCCTGTTATAACTAACTGAAATATGAATGGAGATTGATGTTAGCAGTCTCAGGCAATTCTGGAATTCGGGAAAAGAATTCTAAATTCACGTCTTCTGACGTCACAGCACTTTCCCTGTTCATGGAGGCCCGTTCACTCCTTGTACAGTCAGTTTTCTAAGGGCAGGGCGTGGAGGTGAACTTCCTCCCAGGACTGGGAGCTGGATGAACAGTGAAGAGTAAAGCCACGGGAAGCCCCAGTCACCACACTCACAGTGTAACACAGAGAAAAGACACAAGAAAAGGAGGAAATGGAGATCAAAATGTCACTGCCGCTGTTTGAATCTGTAGCTCAAGCCCCATTCAAGGGGAGCCTCATTTTTGACACAGGCTTGCTGGTTTTTCCAAATCCCTGTTGACTCTTAAGCTGCCTAAGCGGTTTACAAGGATGAGCCTCCATTCACAACAATTTCTATTTAAGGAAAAACCATTGGGGATGGGCGCGGTGGCTCATGCCTGTAATTGCAGCACCCTGGGAGGGTGAGGTGGGCAGACTGCCTGAGCCCAGCAGTTCAAGACCAGCCTGGGCAACATAGTGAAACCCTCCCGCTTCTACAAAAAGTACAAAAATGGCCAGGCGTGATGGCTCAAGCCTGTAATCCCTGCACTTTGGGAGGCCAAGGCAGGCGGATCACAAGGTCAGGAGTTTGAGACCAGCCTGACCAACATGGTGAAACCCTGTCTCTACTAAAAATCCAAAAGAAAAATTAGCCAGGTGTGGTGGTGTATGCCTGTAATCTCAGCTACTTGGGAGGCTGAGGCAGGAGAATTGCTTGAACCCGGGAGGCGGAGGTTGCAGTGAGCCGAGATTGCACCACTGCACTCCAGCCTGGGCGACATAGTGAGACTCCGCCTCAAAAAAAAAAAAAAAAAGTACAAAAATTAGCCTTGTGTGGTGGTGCACACCTGTAGTTCCAGCTACTTGGGAGGTCGAGGTGGGAGGATAGCTTGAGCCTTGTAGGTGGAGGTTGCAGTGAACTATGATGGTGTCACTGCACTCCAGCCTGGGTGACAAAGCAAGACCCTGTCTCAAAACAAAAAAACAAAAAAAAATTATTGGCATGCAGATGCCGTTAGCTAACAGCGGTATCTGAGAGCACATGCCCAGTTTGCTTTTGTTTTCACGTCTTCAGAAAAGCATCCTGTAGGCATAATTTTCTTTTTGTAATAAGCTTTTCATTTGTGAGTGAGAGAGGCTAACCACCCACTTTGTGTTTCAGGCTATGGTTAAGGGCACACAGCTACAGCTCAAAGGCAGCAAGTGGAGAAAATGAGAATGAGGGGGCATGAAGAGGAGGACTGCCCGTCTTTATTTCGGTTGTAGAGTCACAGACACATCAGAAGAAGGCTCTGACGTTCAAACCAGAAGGCAGGCCACCGGAGCTCCTAGAAGCCCACAGGGGCGTAGGAGGCACCATGTGAGAAGGACAGAGGGCAGCGACCTGGCTGCCTCTCAGAGAGAGGTCATGTCGTTGAGAGCGTGGTCCAGTTCCTCGCTGATAGCTTTGTACTTGAGCTTCTGAGCGTATAACTCATCTAGAGGGCGGAGGTCCCCAGGGAGACAGTTCAGAAGTACAGGGGACAGAAGGCAAGGGTCGGAATGGAGTGCCACAGATGAACCACAAGAGGAAGAAAAAAACACGTGAGCAAACAAAGCACAGACTAGGAGAAAGCTGTGTTCCATGTGAAACAGATGAAGAAAACCAAAGATCTATGGAGTTGATCTCTAAGTGGTTTGAGGTTCTGCAGGGGGATTAGCCACAATGAAGCTTCAAAACAGTGGTAACCAGAAGTGACAGAGCTTCCCCCCACTGGTCCCCACCCCTCAGTTTATTTCGGATTTCCAATGACGTCACCCTGTCCAAAGGTCGTATTTTGGAATGGGGCATTTTCCCTTATATGGGAACCTCACTTCCCCAAAAAAACATTGGAAGATATGGTCTGAAGAATGTGTCCTTTCTGGGTGGGATGGGCAGTTTGGAAGATTCCATTTGAACCCCAAGATTCTGGAATTTCTGAGGCCGAATGTTAAACACTGGAACTCTTGAAAAAATTCTGGGAGAAGTGGGCCCCAGACTTGCAGACTAGTCTTTATTGCAGTCCCTACACTTTCTGTATTTCTGTTTTTTTTTTTAAATACTATGATAAGCTTTGAGCTCCCTGGGACAGAGCTTCTGCAAAAATGCAAGGCATGTAAAAAAAAAATGCAAGGCATCTATCAGAAATGAGCAAACAGAAGGAAATTGTGAAGTTTTTTTTTTTTTGAGACGGAGTCTGGCTCTGTCACCCAGGCTGGAGAGCTGTGGCGTGATCTTGGCTTACTGCAACCTCCGCCTCCCAGGTTCAAGGGATTCTCCCTGCCTCAGCCTCCCCAGTAGCTAGGATTACAGGCGTGCACCACCACGCCTGGCTAATTTTTTCTATTTTTGGTAGAGACGGGGTTTCACCATGTTGGCCAGGTTAGTCTCAAACTCCTGATTTCAAGTGATCCGCCCGCCTCGGCCTCCCAAAGTGCTAGGATTACAGGCTTGAGCCACTGCGCCTGGCCTGAGATTTTTAATTTATTATTAATATTTTTTTAATCAGAGAGAGCCATACTCTTTTCTCTATACTTGCTCATGGGACTAACTAAGCAGAGATATTTTACCTCCTGAAAGTGGCAATTCAATTAGCCAGGTGTGGCGGCACACGCCTGTAGTCCCAGCTACCTGGGAGGCTGAGGCAGGAGAATCACTTGAACCCGGGAGGCGCAGGTTGCAGTGAGCCGAGATGGCGCCACTGCACTCCATCCAGCCTGGGAGACAGAGCCAGACTCCGTCTCATAGAAAAAAAAAAAAAAAAAAAAAAGGGCCATTCAAGCCTGAATGCTTTGCATTATCCTATTCCAGTGTTCCAGGACATCCAGATATGACATCACTATGCGCTTTACTTTCCTAAGGCAAACAAAGCCCAACCCAGCCCCTCCACAAACATTCCCCAACTGTCCGTGGATGTGTCCCAGAGGGGAAGGCAGGGCAAGGCAAACATTTAGATGGTAACCTCATACCTTCCAGGTCATCAATTGTCTTTTCCAGTTTTGCAACCGTTCTCTCTGCAAATTCAGCACGGGTCTCAGCCTAGATAAGAAGAAAGGAGTTACTATCATGGCTTCAAGACCAGCCCCAGGAGAAACCAGAGCTCGCTGGGTGCCACCACACTCACCTCTTTCAGTTTGTCAGACAGAAGTTTAATTTCTTCTTCATATTTGTCCTCCTTTTCAGAATACTGTGGGAGAAACCAAAACACTGCTTTAAGAAAAGGAGGCCCAGCCAGGCATGGTGGCTCATGCCTGGAATCCTGGCACTTTGGGAGCCTGAGGCTGGTGGATCACAAGGTCAGGAGTTCGAGACCAGCCTGGCCAACATGGTGAAACCCCGTCTCTACTAAAAATACAAAAATTAGCCAGGCTTGGTGGCATGCAGCTGTAGTCCCAGCTACTGGGGAGGATGAGGCAGAAGACTCACTCGAACCTGGGAGGTGGAGGTTGCAGTGAGCCGAGATCACGCCACTGCACTCCAGCCTGGGTGACAGAGTAAGACTCCATCTCAAAAAAACAAACAACAACAACAACAAAAACAAAAAAAAAACAGAAAGAAAGAAAAGGAGGGCTGGGTGTGGTGGCTCTCACCTGTGATTCCAGTGTTTTGGGGGACCATGGTGGGAGAATTACTTGAGCCCAGGAATTTGAGACCAACCTGGGTCACATAGTGAGACCCCGTCTCTACAAAGAATTTAAAAATTAGCCAGTCATGGTGGTGAGCACCTGTAGTCCCAGCTAATGGGGACGCTGAGGAGGGAAGATGGCTTGAACCCTGGAATTCAAGGCTGCAGAGAGCTCTGATTGGACCACTACACTCTAGCCTGGGCAACAGGGCAGGACCCCATCTCAAAAAAAAGGAGGAAGAAGCATAAAAAGAAGTAAGCAGGCCAGGCACGGTGGCTCACGCCTGTAATCCCAGTACTCTGGGAGGCCAAGGCGGGTGGATCGCTTGAGGTCAGGAGTTCGAGACCAGCCTGGCCAACATGGCGAAACGCTGTCTTTACTAAAAATACAAAAATTAGCCAGGTGTGGTGGTGGGTGCCTGTAATCTCAGCTACTCAGGAGGCTAAGGCATGAGAATTGCTTAAACCCAGGAGGTGGAGGCTGTAGTGAGGCCAGATGGCGCCACCGCACTCCAGCCTGGGGCGATGGAGTGAGACTCCATCTCAAAAAGAAAAAAAAAAAAAAGTAGGCAGAGTAGAGGCAGGCACCTTTCCCCAGCAGAAGAAATATGTGTGAAATGTGGAGGATGTTGGGGAGAGTCCTGTAGGATGGTATTGATCAGAAGGCCTAAACTGAGAACTTGAGATAAAAAGTATGGCGAAGAAAGGGAGATAACTGGGAATCTGTTACTCAAGGCCCCCTCTGTATTTCCAACCCCATTCTCCACCACCTTCCCCAGGGTGACAGGCACTCCCTGATCATAATCTGTGGACTCCTGAGTCCCAGTCCCTGTCCATGAATGCACCCCTTAGCATGGAATGTTCCCCTCCCCATGATGACCCATCAGAAATTATACTTTTCTTTTCTTTTTTTTTTTTTTCAGACAGAATCTTGCTCTGTCACCCAGGCTGGAGTGCAGTGGTACGATCTCGGCTCACTGTGACTTGCAACTTCTGCCTCCCAGGCTGAAGCAATTCCCCTGACTCAGCCTCCCAAGTAGCTGGGCCTACAGGCGCCCACCACCATGCCCAGCTAATTTTTGTTATTTTTAGCAGAGATGGGGTTTCGCTACGATGGCCAGCCAGGCTGCTCTCGAACTCCTGACCTCAGGTGATCCGCCTGCCTCGGCCTCCCAATAATAACTAACACTTATTAGCTGCTTACCATGGGCCAGACATAGTTAATGGCATCACAGCCTGGTATCTGTAATCCCATTTTATAGGGGAGGAAAGGGTCACAGAAAGGTGAAGTTATTATTTTGCCTAGGGTCACATGGCTATTAAGTGATCAAGTCATGACTGAAGCCTGACTCTGGAGTGCAGTGGGGCAATCTTGGCTCAATGCAACCTCCGCCCTCCAGGCTCAAGTGATCCTCTCACCTCAGCCTCCCAAGTAGCTAGGATCACAAGCATGCACCACCATGCCCAGCTAGTTTTTGTATTTTTGGTAGAGACGGGATCTCTCCATGTTGCCCAGGCTGGTCTCGAACTTCTGAGCTCAAGCGATCCTCCCGCCTCGGCTTCCTAAAGTGCTGGAATTACAGGCATGAGCCACCGTGCTGGACCTACAGCTGTTTTAAATGTCGCCTCCTTGGTGACACCGTTCACAACCTACCAAGGTCCCTCTATTGTATTCCCAAAGCACTCTGTGACTTTGTCAATCCCTTCCACTAGACTCGACTCTGAGCTCTTCAAGAGCAGATGCCAGGCTGGGCACAGTGGCTCACACCTGTAATCCCAGCCCTTTGGGAGGCCGAGGTGGGTGGATCACTTGAGGTCAGGAGTTTGAGACGAGCCTGGCCAACATGGTGAAACTCCGTCTCTACTAAAAATACAAAAATTAGCTGGGCGTGGTGTGTGCGCCTGTATTCCCAGTTACTCAGGAGGCTGAGGCAGGAGAATTGCTTGAGCCTAGGAGGTGGAGGTTGCAGTGAGCTGAGATCGTGCCTCTGCACTCCAGCCTGGGCGACAGAGCAAGGCTCCATCTCAAAACAAAACAAAACAAAGCAGCTGAGGTATTAGTGGTGTTACATCTATCCCCCTGGCCCGGGGCAGTGTCTGGCATACACACACCAACTGGATTCATTCCTTACACATCCTAGTATCAGATATATGCCAGGGCTGGCACATATGGGAGACAGAGGCAGGTGGATCACTCGAGGCCAGGAGTTTGAGATCAGCCTGGGCAACATGGTGAAACACCATCTCTACTAAAAAAAAAAAAAAAAAAAAAATTACACACACACACTACAGATATATGCCAGGCACAATGCTAGTACTAGGGACACAACTCTGAACAAGATGACATGGTTCCTGTCCTTACAACTTACAATCTAGCAAGGAAGGCATGCAATTAATGGAGTAACTATAATAAATGTAAGAAATCATAATGCCAGCAAAAGTATAGACAGGGCTACACAGCAGAGAAATACCTAACCTAGATGAGAAATCAGAGAAGGACTCTCAGAAGTGATGTTTAAGCAGAAGCTCAAAGGATGAACAGGAGGCCAGGCTCGGCGGCCTCCCAAAGTAATCCCAGCACTTTGGGAGGCCAAGGTGGGAGGATCACTTGAGGCCAGGAGTTCAAGACCAGCCTGGCCAACATGATGAAACCTTGTCTCTACCAAAAACTAGAAAAATTAGCCAGGCACGGTGGCCCACGCCTGTAATCCCAGCACTTTGGGAGGCTAAGGTGGGAGGATCACTTGAGGCCAGGAGTTTAAGACCAGCCTAGGCAACATAGACTGTGCTCTATAAAAAAAAAAAAAAAAATACAGTTTTGGAGTAGTGGCACATGCCTGCAAGTC
The DNA here is from genome assembly GCF_000001405.40 of Homo sapiens. Classification (NCBI taxonomy): domain Eukaryota; kingdom Metazoa; phylum Chordata; class Mammalia; order Primates; family Hominidae; genus Homo; species Homo sapiens. Next base: position 16,090,251 of record NC_000019.10, on the reverse strand, counting down.
CTAGCTACTCAGGAAGCTGAGGTGATAGGATTATTTAAGCCCAGGAGTTTGGGGCCTGCAGTGAGCTATGATCACGCCACTACACTTCCAGCCTAAGCAACAGAGCAAGATCTCATCTCTAGGCCAGGTGCAGTGGGTCATGCCTGTAATCCCAGCACTTTGGGAGGGCGAGGCGGGCAGATCACTTGAGATCAGGAGTTCGAGACCAGCCTGGCCAATGTGGTGAAACCTCATCTCTACCAAAAATTATAAAAATTAGCGTGTAATCGGGAGGCTGAGGTGGGAGAATTGCTTGAACTTGGGAGTCGAAGGCTGCAGTAAGCTGAGATCACGCCACTTCACTCCAGCCTGGGTGACAGAGTGAGACCCTGTCTCAAAAAAAAAGAAAAGAAAAAAAAAGGCTGAATAGGGGTTTATCAAGCAAAAGGAAAGCCACACCCAGTTGAGTGAATAGCAGGTGGTGGCTGAGGTGGGAGGATCGCTTGAGCCTGGGAGTTCAAGGCTGCAATGAACTATGATCATGCCACTGAATTCCAGCCTGGGCAACAGAGCGAAGCTCTGTCTCAAAAAAAAAAAAAAAAAAGTGGGGGGTGGAGGTGATGGGAGAACAAAGAATGTCTGTGAAACTGCAAAAGCAGGAGCAAGAATGAGGAAGAGGCTGGGAAATTCAGTGGGGTTCGGCCGTGGAAGTGTGTCCTTTGTTCCCGACGTAGCTGCCACGTAGCAACTGCTTTGGGTGCTGTTTCAAACTAAAAAGCCCAATTCCACCTCTGATCATTGCTATACCTTTGAGATGGTATTTCTGGAGGAACCAGGGGAATCAGGTGAGAGGCAGGCTCTGTATTTATTTATACAACTATGCTCAGATCTCGCTAAGAAGAGCCTCATGTTCTATCTCTATCCTCCTGAGATGGAGATCAAAGATGGTGCTCAGACCCCATGGAAGAGGACTCAAGAGTGTGCAGGAGAAATCCAGCTCTTTCTGTAGGGGAAAAACCCTGGCTGCCAGGCACCAACGCTACTGTTAAATAAAGGGCAGATTCCCCATAACCTGACAGGCTCCTGCATCCCTCGGGAGAAGAAAAGAACAAAGTCCAGCAAGCCACCCTCCAGCTCAAGCCAACCACCTACCTTTTCAGATGCAGCCTCCAGAGATTTCAGATTGTTAGTAACATTCTTGAGTTCTTCTTCCAGGTCACCACATTTTCTGCACAAAGACAAAGGATTTTTGTGTCTTATCTTCCCTTACAGCCGGCAATAATAGCAATCGCCCCAACAATAAATTTTCCAAAGGAGAAACCTACACAGCTCCCCCGGTGGGGGGCAGAAGGAATGTGGGGAGAAAATGTTAATGGATTTTTCTGCAGTGTGATACTATGGGCTTATCAAAGGCTTATCATACCAGGCAGAGGCGAGGTGCGCCCGAAGAGTATTTGGAGGGCTTGGAAAACACTCCTGGTCTTTTGCCAAGGGTAAGGCTGCAAGGACTTGTGAAATCTATGATTGATGAGGCCGACTCCGGAAGGTGTAAGAATGGGACTGAGGGCAGAAGGCGGGCAGAGAGCAATGGGAGTTTGCAGGGGACACTCCGGGAAGGAAGCCCGGAGTGGATTTGTGAAACCAGATCTCTCTCAGCACTCCCGGATGCTCTGTGGGGCTGAATTCCTCACCCGGGGCCAAGAGGACAGGTGTTTTGTTTTTCGGTGCTTGCTTGTGGGATTCTGGTTAAGCTTCTCACCTTCCCGCCAGGAATGTGTCACGGCCAAACACTGACAGGAGCAAAAGCATTTACATACTGACCGGGGGAGCCTGCCTTCTGGAGCAGGTCAGTGTTCTGTTAAGATGGCACAGCCCCCTGAGATATCCTCTCTGGGAAAATGGGACTTCTGGGCTTCCCTGCTGCCTCCTGTCTCACTCCTATTTCCTCATATCTTTGCAGAAAGGGTCAACACGTGGGCAGTGCTTCCCATGGCAGTAAGAACAAGTCACCACCTCTTTGTCACAGAAGCCAAGAGAAAAGATGAGCCATGAGCCCCTGACGCCCGTCCACTTGAGCAGAGACCCCGGTCAGAGCCAATTCCCAACACAGCCAGCTCCTTCCCACTCCGCCCCAGGAATCGAGCCAGCCTCGCTCAGTCCTGTTCTGCCACTCACAGTTCAGACACCTCCGCACGCTCCTCTGCCCTCTCCAGCTCACCCTCCAGGATGACCAGCTTACGAGCTACCTGCAGAGACAGAAAGGCCCAGCTGAGCCCGATCCCCACCAGCCGTGTCCTCTCCCATCCACTGCAGACAGCCCCCAATGATGCCCCACCCAGACCCCTAGACCAGCTGCAACATGGGTTTTTCTGGTGTTTCTTTTTTTTGCAGGGGGACGGAGTCTCCCTCTGTTGCCCAGGCTGGAGTGCAGTGGCACAGTCTCGGCTCACTGCAACCTCCACCTCCTGGGTTCAAGCGATTCTCCTGCCTCAGCCTTCCAAGTAGCTGGGACTACAGGCGCGTGCCACCACGCCCAGCTAATTTTTGTATTTTCAGTCGAGATGGGGTTTCACCGTAGTGGCCAGGCTGGTCTCGAATTCCTGACCTCCTGATCCACCTACCTCGGCCTCCCAGAGTGCTGGGATTATAGGCATGAGCCACCACACCTGGCCTCTTTTTTATTTTTTTATTCTTTTGAGACAGAGTCTCGCTCCATCACCCAGGCTGAAATGCAGTGGCTCAACCTTGACTCACTGCAACCTCTGCCTCCTGGGTTCAAGTGAATCTCCTGTCTCAGCCTTCCAAATAGCTGGGCTTACAGGCATGCACGACCATGCCCGGCTAATTTTTGTATTTTTTGTAGAGACAGGGTTTCACCACGTTGGCCAGGCTGGTCATGAACTCCTGACCTCAGGTGATCTGCCTGCCTTGGCCTCCCAAAGTGCTGGGATTACCGGCGTGAGCCACCATGCCCAGCCCTTTTATGTTTTTGACAGAGGGTCTTGCTCTGTCTCCAAGGCTGGAGTGCAGTGGCGTGGTCAGAGCTCACTGCAGCCTTGACTTCCCAGGTTCAAGCGATCCTCCTGCCTCAGCCTCCCAAGTAGCTGGGACTACAGGTGCATGCCACCACACCCAGCTAATTATTATTATTATTATTTTTAGAAATGGGGTCTCACTATGTTGCCCAGGCTGGTCTCAAACTCCTGGCCTCAGGTGATCCTCCCGCCTCGGTCGAAGTGCTGGGGTTACAGGTACGAGCCACCGCGCCTGGCCTTTTGCTGGCGCTTCAACTGAAAGAGCCATCCTGGGGCCTGGAGGAAATCCTGATTCTCTTCCTCAAGCCTGAGGAGCGAGGCAGACAAGAGGCGGGAGGGAAGAGCCGAGCCATCGAGGGAGGCAAAGGAGGGCCTGAGCTTGCATGGTCTGAAACTCCATGGCTTGGGACCACAATCCTCCATTTTTGCCCAACTGTGCCAAAACTCCCAGCTAACGACACAAGTGAGCTGATCATTCGGTTTTCCCATTACGTTAGACAAGCGTCCGCAGCACTTTCTGGCATCGTGGGAGATAGTTTCCTAGCCAAGTGGTTGTCTCTGGACAAACATATGTTCACGCAGGAGGACAGCTGACCTAACCGAGAGCTTCCTTTCGTTGGCCCCGGTGTCCTCCCTATCTCAGCAGATGCATTTCCTCCCACTTCCTGCTGCTGCGCCATCTGCCAGCCCCACTCACCTCCTCGTATTTGCGGTCAGCCTCTTCCGCAATGTGCTTGGCCTCTTTGAGCTGCATCTCCTGAATCTCCATCTTCTCCTCATCCTTCATGGCCCGGTTTTCTATCACCTTCATTCCTCTGCAAGGAGCAATCTCATCAGGACGGCCGTTCACTCACACCCCTCCACCCACCTCTCATCTATCTTTTCTTTCAGATGGAGTCTCGCTCTGTCATCCAGGCTGGAGTGCAGTGGCACGATCTCAGCTCACTGCAACCTCCACCTCCCGGGTTCAAGCGATTCTCCTGCCTCAGCCTCCTGAGTAGCTGGAATTACAGGCACCCGTCACCATGTCTGGCTAATTGCGTGAGACACCACCCCTAGTCCCATCTCTCATCTAAATGAGTCTCTGAATCTACTGAGCACTGTAACACACTGCAAAGATGGAACTCTGTGCACACATTTCCTTCATCTTGGTTTTTTTTTTTTTTTTTGAGATGGAGTCTCGCTCTGTCACCCAGGCTGGAGTGCAGTAGTGTGATCTCAGCTCACTGCAGCCTCCATCTCCTGGGTTCAAGCAATTCTCCTGTCTCAGCCTCCAGCATAGCCGGGACTATAGGCATGCACCACCGTGACCGGCTAACTTTTATATTTTTAGTAGAGAGGGGGTTTCGCCATGTTGGCCAGGCTGGTCTGGAACTCCTGACCTCAAGTGATCTGCCCGCCTTGACCTCCCAGAGTGCTGGGATTACAGGTGTGAGCCACCGCGCCCAGCCTCCCTTCATCTTTACTACCAGGCACTTTTCTAAGTGCCTTCACTTTCACAACTGCCCTATGGAGCAGGTAAATTATCCACATTTTACAAATGAAGAAACTAAGGCATAGAGAGAGGGTAAGTAACTTAAGGTTACAGAGCTGGTAAGTGGTAGAGCTGAGGCTCAGCCCTTGGCAGTCTGACTCCAGAGTCTGTGCCCCCTTTCTTTTTCTTTTATTTTGAGAGATGGTGTCTCACTCTGTTGCCCAGGTTGGAGTGCAGTGGTGCCCTGAGAGCTCACGGCAGCCTTGTCCTCTCAGGCTCAAGCAATCCTGTTGCCTCGGCCTCCTGAGTAGCTGGGACTATAGGTGTGCACCACTGCACCCAGCTAAACTAAAAAAAAATTTTTTGTGGAGGTGGGGGTTTTGCAATGTTGCTGAGGTAGGAGGATCGCTTGAGCCCAGGAGTTCAAGGCTGCGGTGAGTCGTGATTGCACCACTGCTCTCCAGCCTGGGTGACAGAGCAAGACGTTGTGTATTTATTTATTTTTTTTCTTGAGACAGGTTCTCACTCTGTTGCCCAGGCTGGAGTGTAGTGGTGTAATCATAGCTCACTGCAACCTTGCCTTCCTGGGATCAGGTGATTCTCCCACCTCAGTCCCTTGAGTGGCTGGGACTACCAGCATGCACTACCATGCCTGGCTAATTTTTAATATTTTTTTGTAGAGATGGGGTCTCACTATGTTGCGCAGGCTGGTCTCAAACTCCTGGGCTCAAGCGATCCGCCCGCCTCCCAAAGGGCTGGGATTACAGGTGTGAGCCACCGCACCCTGCCAAGACCTTGTGTATTTAAAACAAGAAAAGAAAAGAAAAGAAGAGGCCAGCCTGGGATAATGTGTCATTGATATGTATCATTCCCACCCAGCACAGAGACCATATGCTTCTTGCTGTCCAATAAATATGTTCACGTGGGGTGTCACCCGTTCTCAGCTAAGTCTCAAAACACCCTCCCCCACCTGTACGAGGTCTCACCCTCAGCATGTGAGCAAGCTCTCTGGGTTATTTATTGCCCCAAAACCCCTTGTAGTACCCAAGAGATCAAAGTGACTTGCCTAAGGCTCCATAGAAAGTGCCAGTGGTAGAAGCTGACTCTAGATCCCCAAGCTTCAAGTATATAATTCTTTCTACTGAGACACAGCAGTCTTTAACAGGGGTGTCACCAAAGGCCTCTGGGGACATGGTGCAAACAAGAGACTGGCCTTCGCAGCCTCCCTTGGTTTGCCAATATGGGAGCCCTCAACGTCAGCATCCAGCCAGGCTGGTCTGACTGTGAACAGCAGCTAACCCAGGCCACAGGCACAGCCAGGAACTCTCGTGACTGGGTCCTTCCACTGCCCCGTGGCTGCCGGAGCTGCCACTCTCTCCCTTGATTCAGTGGCTGAAGCAGAGTCTGCAGTAGCGTCTGTTCCCTCTGCCCTGGCTGTTCCACTACTTGGGAAGAAATTTCCAGCTTGGGTGACATGCAATCTCCAAGATTCCTTAGCTGGTTTCTAATCTCTGGTTAGTGGTCACAGCAGCACAACCAGAAATGCATCTTAAATTAGCTAGGCGTGCCAGCACTTTGGGAGGCCAAGGCAGGTGGATTACAAGGTCAGGAGCTTGAGAACATCGTGGCTAACACGGTGAAACCCTGTCTCTACTAAAAATACAAAAAAATTAGCCGGGTGTGGTGGCGGGTGCCTGTAGTCCCAGCTACTTGGGAGGCTGAGGCAGGAGAATGTCGTGAACCCAGGAGGTGAAGCTTGTAGTGAGCTGAGATCACGCCAGTGCACTCCAGCCTGGGCGACAGAGCGAGACTCTGTCTCAAAAAAAAATTAGCTGGGCATGATGGCATGCGCCTGTAGTCCCAGCTTTACTCTGGAACTCTGGAGGCCGTGGCGGGAGGATCGCTTGAGCCCAGGAGGTCGAGGCTGCAGTGAGCTGTGATCGCACCACTACATTCCAGCCTGGGTGATAGAGTAAGACCCTGTCTCAAAAAAAAAAAAAAAAAAAGAAATGAATCTTTGGGAGGTGTTTATACTGCAAAAGCATGGTGGCTGGCTCAAGTGAGAACTCCGGTGTGAATGAGGGGCAGACGCGATGATCACTGGTCGGGCCCACACCATTGCCACACAAGGAACTCCTTTTCCACCACACACAGACTGCTGCTTCTGTGAATTACACAATCTACCCTCAGTCTTCCAGAGAGCCTGTGCCAAGGCGTGCCAGAGAATGATCTGGCTACCGAGGAGAAGGCACCCTACTGGTGGCTGGGTTGCAGCACAGATACCATGGGCGGGTGAGGAACGTGGTCAGTTTCTTTTTGAGACAGAGTCTCACTCTGTTGCCCAGGCTGGAGTGCAGTGGTGCGATCTTGGCTCACTGCACCCTCTGCCTCCTGGGTTCAAGCTGGGGGATCTTGCCTTAGCCTCCTGAGTAGGTGGGATTACAGGTGCCCGCCACCACGCCCAGCTAATTTGTGTATTTTTAATAGAGACGGGGTTTCACCATGTTGGCCAGTCTGGTCTCAAACACCTGACCTCAGTTGATCCACCCGCCTCGTCATCGCAAAGTGCTGGGATTATAGGCGTGAGCCACGGCACCTGGTGCATGGTCAGTTGCAAGTACATTAACCATGCTGGTTTGCAACTGTCCCTGAAATAGCTGTCACCGTCCAAAAGCCTAAAGCCTGACAGCTCTGCTAACAATCACCTGTGCATCCCAAGTTTCCTTTCCTCCTCTCCACAGTACTCTGCTTTTTTTTTTTTTTTTTTTTTTTTGAGACAGAATCTCATCTGTCACTGAGGCTGGAGTGCAGTGGCACAATCTTGCCTCACTGCAGCTTCAAACTCTTGGGGTCAAGTGATCCTCCCACCTCAGCCTCTTGAGTAGCCAGGAGTACAGGCGTGCACCACCACACCCGGCTAATTTTTGTATTTTTTGTAGAGACAGGGTCTCACCACATTGCCCCAGTTGGTCTTGAACTCCTGAGCTCAGGCGATTTGCCCGCCTCTGCCTCCCAAAGTGCTGGGAGCACAGGCAGGAATCACTGCATCCGGCCTACCTGAAATTTGGTGTCTAGAGAACACTAAGAGGCACTGTGGCTTTCAGAGAAAATACGAGAAGCAGTGCTTTGCAAACTGACCACCATGGACAGTCATACTTGCAGTCTCACATCTGCCCGTTCTGTTTGCCTTTCTGTCTGTCGGAAGTTTCTTTTCATGGTTACCGTAAGGATAAACACCCCTCACTTTATTTTGAGATGGAGTTTTGCTCTTGTTGCCCAGGCTGGAGTGCAATGGCACGATCTCGGCTCACTGCAGCCTCTGCCTCCTGGGTTCAAGAGATTCTCTTGCCTCAGCCTCCTGAGTAGCTGGGATTACAGGTGCCCGCCACCATGGCAGGCTAATTTTTTTGTACTTTTAGGAAAGACGGGGTTTCACCATGTTGGCCAGGCTGGTCTCAAACTCCCAACCTCAGGTGATCCGTCCGCCTTGGCCTCCCAAAGTGCTGGGATTACAGGCATGAGCCACCGTGCCTGGCCACGGATAAACATCTCTACCCATGGAGTGATGGTTTACAAAGTGCTGTCATGCACTTTTTTGTGGACACATGCATGTCCTTGTGACCTTGTTTACTTTCACACCAGCTCTGCGAGGTCGGCAGCATGATCCCCATTTTCTAAAAGCAAACACGGATGCCACCAGATTCAAAGCGTCCTTACCTCTCACTCTCATCTGCAGCTTTTTCTGCCTCCTCCAGCTTCTGCAGGGCCGTGGCCAGTCGTTCCTGAGCCCTGTCCAACTCCTCCTCAACGAGCTGGATGCGTCGGTTGAGGGCGGCCACATCACCTTCAGCCTGGGGAGGTCGGAGGTGCAGCCATGTTAAGAAGTATCAGGCCAGCCACCAGTGGGAGCCTCCCCCATGTCCTGCCCTCTGTTAACCTGATCTTCCCCGTCAAAGCCCACCCAGGAGTCCAGGCCATAGGGAATTTACACTCATACCAAAATTTCAGTATGATCTTCCCGGAAAATGTCTGGGAAAAACATCTACCACTCCATAGCAAAAGATGAGCATCGCCAAGCGTGGTGGCTCATGCCTGTAATCCCAGCACTTTGGGAGGCTGAGGTGGGTGTATCACAAGGTCAAGAGATCGAGACCATCCTGGCCAACGTGGTGAAACCCTGTCTCTACTAAAAATAGAAAAATTAGCTGAGTGTGGTGGCACGTGCCTGTAGTTCCACATGCTCAGGAGGCTGAGGCAGAAGAATCACTTGAACCCGGGAGGCGGAGGTTGCCGTGAGCTGAGATCGTGCCACTGCACTCCAGCCTGGTGACAGAGCAAGACTCCGTCTCAAAAAAAAAAAAAAAAAGCGAGTGTCCCAGTACAAGATGGGTAGTTGAGTCAACATAGGAGTCAAACATACCATGTGCTTTGAGATGAATGTCAGTGCTGGTCTCTCCAGCAACACAATAGACCCAACGTTAGGCTAAGATCTAAGATAGGCTCTTCTCTGAAAAAGGCACACAGTGTTACCACGTAGAGAGTTCTAGGGCTCACTGTGAGATTCTTAGAAAGCAAGGCCATCAGTGACCCGGCTCATTGTGTCCTGTGAGTTCCGCTCCCATTCACCTGAATGGCAAGATAAATGCAAGACTATGGAGCCCTCAGTTAAATGTTGGCCATGCAATTACCAAGGTGGGACGAGGCGGGGGAGCCTCGTTGGAATTCCATCCTTCAATCCGCCTGGCTGAGAGATGGCAGGACAAAAAGATATGGAAAGGGAAAGAAAACTTGGTTGCAGGCATGGAAGACATACCCCAATAGTGTTATTGGCTTTTCAAGGTGTTTTTACCTACAAGAAAGGAAGTACAATGGGAAGCATTAAACCAGGAACTCCAGGGCCAAAAAGTGCTGGGCTGGAATCCCCGCTTTGTCATTTTCTTTTTAATTTTTTTTTTGAGATGGAGTCTTGCGCCGTCACCAAGGCTGGAGTGCAATGGCATGATCTCGGCTTGCTGCAACTTCTACCTCCCGGGTTCAAGCAATTCTGCCTCAGCCTCCTGAGTAGCTGGGATTACAGACGGACACCACCACGCCTTGCTATTTTTTTGTATTTTTAGTAGAGACAGGGTTTCGTCTTGTTGGTCAGGCTGGTCTCAAACTCCTGGCCTCACGTGATCCACCCGCCTTGGTCTCCCAAAGTACTGGGATTACAGGCGTGAGCCACTGCGCCCGACCGTGCTTTGTCATTTTCACAGCCACGTGGTGTTGGGAAGGTTGCTTCCTCATCCTGGCCCTCTCCATCCCAAAGCCTGATTAGTTACCGGACTGCCTTGAGGCTGTAACTCCAGAGGGTGGCGCCGCTTATGCCCAGCAGGTGGGATGTGCCAGAGAAAGGCATCTCTTACTGCCACGGTTTTATTTTACTGCAATTTCATCCTCACACATCGCACCCATTTTACAGGTGAAGAAACCGAGGGGCCCCACTGGGGGAAGTGGTTTTATTCAGTGACTCAGAATTGGTAAGAAATGAATGGCCTCTTAAGACCCACCCAGGGCTCTTCCTTGTCAGAACCTGTCCCCTAGGTCCTGCCAGGGCTACGAGGCAAGGCGAGTTTTCCAGCGATGCCTGCTCTTTGGAAGGAATATTGAGAACGGGTCAAACGGGCCTCAACCGAGAGGAAAAGGGAAGCCACGCTAGCTTTTTCCTATCAGAACAAATGAAGAATCCCTGAACTGGGGAAGGCTATCAAAATTATTAGGAAGGCCGGGCGCGGTGGCTCACATCCGTAATCCTAACACTTTGGGAGGCGGAGGTGGGTGGATCACATGAGGTCAGGAGTTCGAGACCAGCCTGGCCAACATGGTGAAACCGCATCTCTACTAAAAATACAAAAAAATCAGTTGGGTGTGGGGGCAGGCGCCTGTAATCCCAGCTACTTGGGAGGCTGAGGCAGGAGAATCGCTTGAACCCGGGAGGTGAAGGTTGCAATGAGCCGAGATCGCGCCACTGCACTCCAGCCTGGGTAACAGAGCAAGATTCCGTCTCAAAAAAAAAAAATTATTAGGAAACCACTCCCTCTCCTGCCCTGAGTTCATACTGGGGGAAAAAAAAATAGAATGAGGCTAACGTGGCCGAAAAACTACACAAATAGAGTCAGGAAGGTTTCTCAGCCTCAGATTCCTAGAAGCAGAAAGAGGGCACTCCCACAGGTGTTTCGTATTGCAGTGTCCTCTGAAACACCAAATGCAGAGAATTGTGAAAACCACTGATGAAACTGTCTTAAGAAACGTCACTGAGGCCTTCCCATGAATGGGTGCCTTTCATTCTTTTTAATTGCCTAGATCTTAACTCCTCCTACCACCTTCAGTAACTGGGCCAGGAACTGATGTTGCAAAAACACTCTGCAACCAACACCATTATCGAATTCCAGGACATTTTCATAACCCGCCAAAGACAAACAAACAAACAAAAAACTGTGTACCCATTAGCAGTCGAGGAATTGATTTTAAAGATCAAACAGAGGTGCTTGATTCATGAGTTGTCTTTTAAGAAGTGAGTAGCCCTTATGTGGGAAATTCTGAATCCTGGCAAACAACGCTTTTGGCAGATTTTCAGCTGTCTGGAGTTGGGAGATACACGCATATCTGTACATGCATACATATATATGTATTTTTGAAAAACTGCTAGTCACGGCCGAGTCATTTTGGGTTCCACCCCTTCCTGCAATCAAAGCCTTCCACACGCTACAAAGGATTTCCCTTATAAGGTAAAAGAGGCTTGCTAGATACATGTGGCAAAGGAACAGGAAGATGTCAGTTAATCACACAAAAATCTAAACGAAACCAGCTGTCGGGAAACAGGCCCAGAAGTCTACCACACGCCGGCTCCTGGCTTATTCTACAAGAGTGAAAGGTTTTTTTTTTTTTTTTTTTAACCCACCCCTGGTCTTAGTTCCTTTTGCCCTGGGAGAGGTTTTCCCTCTCCCAGACGGAAAGAAGCATCCTTTGCTTTTTCAAGAACTTTTCGAACTTTTTCAAGAAGTCTTCAACTCTCCAAAAACATCTTCTCTCCCAACTAGACGGTCTTGCTCCTAAATCTTGGCTCCAGGCTGAGGGCCATTTTGAAGCCGAGTTAATTGTCCTCCAGCGAGATGACTTGGGATGAGATCAGAGCAAGAGCTGTGTCGGTTAAGTGTGAGAAAGAGGCCAGACCGGCTACCGATTGAGGCTTACACCGGGTTTCTAAGGCCTCTTGGGCCAAAGCAGCCCTTACAGGATTAGAGGCTTCAACCAAGGCCCATGCTGCAGCCCCCATCTGGGCTCTTTCCAGTCCTGGCAATTCACACCACCAATTCCATCTGGCTGGGCATCTTTTGCCTCTCTAGGGTCCCCACCCTGAGCCTCAACACTGAACTTTCAGGGCTTTTGGGCTTCAACCTCTATCCGCACACCCCCCCACCCTCATCATACAACTTTCTTGCCTCTGAGTCTGTGCACACCCATGTCTCTGGTCCCAGCAAACTTATTTATTCTATAAGACCCAGCTCAACCTCCATTTTGGAGCCTCCCCTGTCATGCTCCCATAACTGCACAGAAAACCCGTGGAATGCAGACCTCGCTCCATCAGTGAGTCAGCTCCCCTGCCTCCATTTGTCTATGAGCTCTTCCCAGGGCAGAGAAAACACAATTGAGGCTGGGCGCCGTGGCTCACGCTTGTAATCCCAGAACTTTGGGAGGCCAAGGTGGGCAGATCACGAGGTCAGGAGTTCGAGACCAGCCTGGCCAGCATGGTGAGACACTGTCTCTACTAAAAATCCAAAATAAAAAAAAAAAAATTAGCTGGGCGTGGTGGCGGGCACCTGTAATCCCAGCTACTCGGGAGGCTGAAGCAGGAGAATCTCTTGAACTCGGGGGGTGGAGGTTGCAGCGAGCCGAGATCGCACCACTGCACTCCAGCCTGGGCGACAGAGTGAGACTGCCTCAAAAACAAAACAACAAAAAACAACAACACAATTGATTATTTACAAAGCGCCAGGCTCCACGCCTGAGATTTACTCCTGGGACCCTCCCTGCTACTCTGGGGGGTCGGGATTCTTATCAGTCCTACTCGCAGATGGGAAAAAAGCTCCTAGAGAGCAAATACCAAGTCATGAAGCCTGTGGGTGGCATGATATGGGACCAGAATCCAAATCTGTCCCCAGACCCTGGCGGTGCCACCATCTGTCCCGAGGGACAGCCAGGAGGATGATGCAGAGAGGATGGTGAAACTCCCTCCTTTTTCAGACCCATTGTTTATCTCGGGCCCTGCGACTCGCGGCGGAGGCGCACAGCAGGCGCTCAAACGATCGTGGGTTCAGGGCCCCGCGCCAGCGTTCCCGGGGCCTTCTGGAGAGAGGCAGGGTCCCGCCGCCCCGGTTCCCGCAGGAATCAGCTGGAGAAAGGCGGGCGGCTTGGGGCTGAACTTCCTCCACCCCCCATCCCCCCCGCCGCCTGGAGCAGACACGTCGCCGCCGCGCCCCTGGGAACGGTCAGGGAAGCAAGCAGAAGCCGGGAAGCCGCGAAAGAGGCGAGAAAGTGCGACCCCCTCCCCAGATCCCCGGTCCCCCGTCGAAATCCCTGTCGGCCGGTCAAACCCTAGACAATGGAAGCTCCACGTTTTCATCCTCATTCTCCCCCACAAGTCCGGTCGCGGGTTCCCCTCGGCCCGGGACCCCGGCGCCAGCCCCGGAGTCGGAGCCTGCACGATACGCCCCCTCCCGCCGCTCCACTTCTCCACCCGGAGATCGCTCACCCCCTCCGCCCCATCCCCCCATTTCCCGCTTGGCCGGCCCCGCCCGACCCGGAGGCGGCGCCCCCTCCCCTGTCCCAGGCCCAGGAAGGAGGACGGCGGAGGAAGTAGGGGGTCCTGGCTGCGGGCGCAGGGATGTGGGTCGGCGATCGGCGTCCGAGGGCGTAAAAAGGCGGCCCGAGGACTGCGCGCGGGCGGGCAGCGCGGGAAGCCGGGAAGAAAGGAGGGCGCGCGGGGGAGGAGGCTGCGGGTGCGGGGCCCGAGGCCGGGGCGCTCACTTTCTCGCGCCGCTCGCGCTCGCCGTCCAGCTCCCGCTGCAGGCCCTGCGCGCGGTCTTCCGCCTCGTCCGCCTGCTGCTGCAGGGCCTGGATCTTGCGTTTCACCGCCTCCAGGGAGTTGAGGCCGGCCATGGCGCGGAGGCGCAGAGGCGCACGGGCAGCGGCGGACGCTCGGCTGGGCTCGGCTCCGGCGAGAGCTGCACAGCCGCGCCCCGGCCCCCCAAGCCTTTGCCTGCGCGGGGGCCGCCCCCGCCTCTCCCCGCCCCCCGGGCCGGCTGCCGTCGGGGCGATGAGGTCACCCGGCCGGACCGCCGACGTCAGCACCGCTGGGGGAGGGCCTGACGTCGGCACCGCTGGCCACAGCTGCTGGAAAGTGCCCCTTTTCGGGACTTATTTGGAGAAAGCGCTGGGAGGCGCCGCCTTCTCCTCCTCCTCTTCCTCCTCCCCCTGCGGCTCTCCCCGCCTTCCCGGCCCCGGGGCTCCGGCCTGGCCCCGCCGCGGGCTCCCGCATCCCTGCACACGTACGTCGGAGGCCTTCTTCTCCGTGAGCTCCAGCTTCTCCTGCGCGTCCTTCAGGTCCTCGGAATATTTATCCAGCTCGTCCTCTGTCCCTTTTAGTTTCTTCTGGAGGTGCGTCAGCTCCTCCTCCACCTGGGGACGACAGAGCGAGGAACGGGTCAGCCTGGGGGGGGGGTCACGTCCCCGAGGTGCAGGGGCGGTCCCCCCCAATATTCACAAGAGTCCTCCGTCTCTCTCTGGGCATCAGTTTCCTTATCTGTAGAACAGGGGTTGCGATAGCATGCACCACGCCATCCATGCTACCTGATAGTGGGATTTTCACATCTTTCCCTCGTCCTGAGGACCAGCTGTTTTGGGCTTATTGGGGTCCCCAGTACTCTAGGGAGATCAATGGCAGCTTTTGGGAAACTGAAGACTCCAAATGTTTTCCAGAAATACACACATTCCAGTTTCAGAGGTGCAGCCTCACCATGATCTGGAGTTAAGCAATCTCATTCTCTGCGCGTGGATCCCTCCGCCCATCCCTGTCCCCAGCCTTTCTCCCTCTGGTTCTGACCCCAACACGGGGTCAGAGAAACTTTCTAACAAATACGCCTGCCCTCTTTCTGCCTAGAACCTGCTATGGCTCCCTATGGCCCAAGGCAGTGGTTCTTAGACTGTCTTACCAAAATACTCTGAAGGGCTGAAGGGCTCAGACCTAGTCCCTCATTTCTGGGCTTTGGGGAGCTTGGCTAGAAGAGACTCGCCCCTACAGGATCACTTTCTTTGAAGGCTCGGGTTAAATCTTTAAAATTTTTGCATATAGGCCATGTTCATTTTAATAAAAATGTCCCCTACTTTCCCTAAATTTTCAGTCCTCTGTTTATCCCAAGAGTCCTATCCTCCCATCACTCCTAGTTTGAGAAGCTCAGGCCTATGGATTACAAACCACAGACCCCATCACCTCTCTTTGTCACCCCCCACCACACCGGTCTAGAGTTGGCTCAAGAAGACTTTTCTGTCACCTCCAGGCTGAAACTCCCTCCCTGGGCCCCCAACTCTGGATTAGGGTGATCATATCCAGCTCATGCCTGGATCTGACTTTTTTTTTTGAGAGTCTCGCTCTGTCACCAAGGCTGGAGTGCAGTGGCACGATCTCAGCTCACTGCAACCTCCGCCTCCTGGGTTCAAGTGATTCTCCTGCCTCAACCTCCCCGGTAGCTGGTACTACAGGTGCACACCACCACGACTGACTAATTTTTGTATTTTCAGTAGAGACAGGGTTTTGCAATATTGGCCAGGCAGGTCTCAAACTCCTGACCTCAAGTGATCTGCCCGCCTCGGCCTCCCAAATTGCTGGGATTGCAGGCGTGAGTCGCCACACCTGGCTTGGATCTGACTTTTGCCTTAGATGGTTTGACACTGATCTTGTTCCTGCTCCCAGGGTGGGCAGACAGCCCCCACTGAGCCCAGCTTCATTCTCCTGCTTCCTCCCCACAGCAGGAGGCTCAGAGAGGTGGGATGACTTTCCCCAGGTCACACAGCACAGGGTTTGAGCCCAGGTCTTCTGGAATATAAGCCTATAATGAACTGAATGCTTGCTTTTGCCCCCTCTCCAATTCATGTGTTGAAGCCCTCATCTCCATGTGATGGTAATTGGTGATGGGGCCTTTGGAAGATGATGAGGTTTGGGTGAGGTCATGAGGGTTGACCCACCATGATGGGATTAAGGCCCTTATGAGAAGAGGCCAGAACTTGGTTATCCTCTTCCAATGTGAGGACACAGCAAGAAGGTGGCTGTCTGCAAGCTAGCTAGAGAGCGCTCACCAGACATTTAATCTGCCAGCATCTTGATCTTGGACATCTAGCCTCCAGACTGTAAACAATAAATGTCTATTACTGAAGCTACCCAGTCTATGGTGTTTTGTTATAACTGCCTGAGCTGACAAAGACAAAGCCCTTGGCCCTGTTCCTCACACTAGGCCAGCTTCCCTTCCTCCCTCTCTGACTTGCTTCTCTTCTTTTTTTTCTTGAAGAGGGTATGTTAAAAAAGCTGCTGTGCCCGTGGCTTCTAGACTGAGCTCTGAATCCTGTCTGGGCTACGTGCTCACCCCTGAGTGGATGTGCAAAATGTACCAGGTGCCCCATATGTGTGTGTGTGTGTATGTTTTTTTTTTGCCTTTTTTTTTTTTAACCTGATCTTGCTGTGTGTGTGTGTGCATTATTTTTTTTTTTTGCGTTTTTTTTTTTTTTTTTTTTTTACATGGTCTTCCTGTGTCTCCCAGGCTGGAGTGCAGTGGTGTGATCATAGCTTACTGCAGCCTTGACCTCCTCGGCTCAAGCGATCCTCCCGCCTCAGCCTCCTGAGTAGCTGGAAAGTGTGAACTCCAGGCTTCCCATCTTGCGGCCTGCTGGGTGTCAGCTGGAGGATGGGGTGGAGGCTGGCAGCTGGAGGTTCAGCTGATGTCACTGAGGTGACCTGCAAGGGTCTCTAGCTGAGATGTGACAGAGAGCAGGGAGGGCTATCCTGTCTGAAGTCCTCAGGAGCATCCCAAGCTATGGGGAGATGACAGGGCCCAATCCAGGGTGGCCAGCTGATCAGGGCAGGGTCAGAGTCTATAGGGCCTGACCTTGACCTCCGGGTGGGGAGCCTGGAAGCCTGACTCCAAATCCAAGCTCTGCGACCCCCGTCCCCTTTTCTGGCCTCAGATTCTCCATCTGCAGAACAGAAACCTTGACATGCTGGTCTCTGAGCATTCCGGCAGCTGCTTTTGAACTTCTGCCTTGACTGAGAAAATGAGCCAGTTTCCTTAAAGACGTTTCATAGGTCAACCCTGACCTACAGCATCCACCTGACTTCCTTCCAGATCTGTGGATCACAGCATTTATTGGGTGCCAACTGTGTGCCCAACACAGGACTCTCCTAACATGTAGGAAGAGTGAGAGCAAATCTGACAGCATGGACTCATCAGGGTATGAAGATGGTTTGGGTGTTTTGTTTTGTTTTTGTTTTTGTTTTTTTGAGATAGGATCTCGCTGTGTTATCCAGGCTGGTCTCGAACTCCTGGGCTCAAGGGATCCTCCCACTTCAGCCTCCCGAGTAGCTGGGACAACAGGCATGAGCCACCCCACCTGGCTGGTTTGGGGTTTTTTTGTTTGGTTTGGGGTTTTGACTACTTTTTTGGGGGAAATGTTTGGGCAAGAACATGTGAGGACAGGGATAAGGCCGACAGGGGGCTATCTGGCATTTAGAATGTGTTGGGCGTGTTACAATTTGTTTTGATATATTTTTTGAGACAGAGTCTTGCTCTGTTGCCTAGGCTGGAGTGTAGTGGCTGGATCTCAGCTCACTGCAACTTCCACCTCCCTGGCTCAAGTGCTTCTCCTGCCTCAACCTCCCTAGTAGCTGGGATTACAGGCTCATGCCACCAAGCCCAGTTAATTTTTGTATTTTTTGTAGAGACAGGGTTTTGCCAGGCTGGTCTCGAACTCCTGACCTCAGGTGATCCCCCACCTCAGCCTCCTGAAGTGCTGGGATTACAGGTGTGAGCCACTATGCCTGGCCAGGGCGTGTTACAAATATTGTCTCAGGGAAGCCCCATACTACAGAAGGGCAAACTGAGTCTCTGAAAGGGGAAGGGACTTGCCTGATGCCACACAGATGGGGGATTTGAATCTTTGTTAGTCTGATTCCAAAGCTGGTTTGCTTGACTTCTAGACCATGCTGGACCCACTGCTAAGAATGACTTTCTACTTTTCACTGGGAGGGCATCTACCGTCCCTCCATGCTCAGTCCCAAGGCTCCCCAACCCTGGTGGCCTGCTCTGCTGCCCTGAGCAGAGCTTTCGCCACGCCTACAGCTGTCCCAGCCTCTGTCCCTCCCTCTGGTCCGGCCCTGACCTCTGAGCTGGAGGTATTCATGGTCTGTCTCCCTCAGCTTGGAGTTTCTTGAGGGTCAGTTCTGGGACTGAGGCCACTATGGGCCCCAGCATTAGAACACTGTAGGAAGTGTTTGGGATGAATCGAAGACACAACCCCAAACCCTTCAGTGGTAGGCAGTGAGGATAAAAAATAAATGAGAGCTGGGCGCAGTGGCTCACGCCTGTAATTCCAGCACTACGGGAGGCCGAGGCGGGCGGATCACGAGGTCAGGAGTTTGAGACCAGCCAGACCAACATGGTGAAACCCCGTCTTTACTAAAAATACAAAAATTAGCCGGGCCTGGTGGCGCGTGCCCGTCATTGTCCCTCTGTGAGCCTCAGTTTCCCTATCTGTCATAGGATTACCTTAGTCCCTGCAAATGGGGCCTTGGGGCAGGGCTGAGGCAGGATGTGGGGTCAAAGGCCAGTGGTGGAGGATGTTGCTGCCCTGGGAGGGGAGTGGGCAGGAAGCGGCCGGGCTGGGCCTCTTTGTCCTTTTCCCACACTGGGTAAGCAGGGCCAGAAATCAGTGCTTGGCTGCTGGGATCAGGCTGGCCCGAGAGCTGCTCTCTCTGGCCTCCTGCAGCGTCAGGCGCTCTAAGTGCCTCTATTCCCCAGCAGGACTGGCCGTTAGCTCCTGTGGGGCGCTGGCTTCTGCTTCGGAATTCTGGGATCTTGAGTTCCACACCTGAACTTCAGAAGGCCTCACGTGTTCCCATTTCACAGATGAGGACACTGAGGGCTCAGAAATGTGCAGGAACGTGTCCTCAGTCATGAAGCTAGGAGAGTCACAAAGACCAGGCTCCGTGGCTCAAGTCTGTGATCCCAGCACTTTGGGAGGTTGAGGTGGAAGGATCACTTGAGCCCAGGAGTTCAAGACTAGCCTGGGCAATAGTGAGACCCTGTCTCTACTAAAAATAAAATAACTAGCTGGGCGTGGAGGTGTGCACCTCCACTGGGGAGGCTGAGGTGGGAGGATCGCTTGAGCCCTAGGAGTTTGAGGCTGCAGTAAGCTGTGATTGCACCACTGCACTCCAGCCTGGGCAACAGAGTGAGACCCCCATCTCTAAAAAATAAAAATACATTTAAAGACTGATATACACAAAGTATGTGCTAGTCTATGGAGGTTTGCCTGAAAGCTAGTCTGTGTAGACTTGCTTTGAGCCCAAGTCTACTCCAGTGGGCATCTTTGTGGGACAAAAAAGGCATAACCTCCTTGGCCACGCAGCTGGCTGGAGGCTTTGAGGATTCTTCCTTTTTGAACTTGTGGCTGTCCTGGGAGATAGCCACTCACACCTTAGTAAGAATTAGTGCTATAAACTTGTTTCTCTCCGAATCTCTGGCTAAGTCCCTCATGGTGAGGGCTAAATGATGGCTAGAAGCTGGCCCAGCACAGGATGAATGTCTGTGTTTGCCAGGGAGGGGCACAGAGAAGGCGGAGAGAGCTTGTGGCAGGGAACACTGGGGTGGGGCTTGGCCTGCACGAATGTGCCACATACTCTTAGGGCAGCCCTGGGGCACGGGGGGCTGGGGAGGCCCAAAGGGGAAGTAGGGCGGGGCAGGAAATCAACCTACATTTATTGAGTGCTTACTCTGAGCTAGGCTCCGGGCCAAGGGTTCCACCTGTACAGTCACCTCTAATCCTGTCATGGGGTGGCAAGGGAGGCCCTACTGTCACTTCCGTATCTCACTCATGCAGGCGTCCGGGACACCTAGCGACTGAGCCATGACTCAAACATGGCCAGTCTGAGCTCCGAGCTTTCGCCTTTAGCTGCCGGGCTGGCCTGGCTCCTGGCCTGGGTGGGGCTGGGCACTCGGTGCCATGGTCCTAGGCATCTCCCAGGGTTTATCGGAGACCTGGATGCTCCCCAGGGCTTGGCAGTTGACATCGGGGTGTGGATAAACATTGTGGGGAACATGGCTCTGTGGGAGGGGACTCCCTTCCTTCCTCCCACCCACTGCTCCTGTCTGCTCTGCCCCAAACCATGGCCACGGCCTTGGAACTCCAATGCATTCTCATTGCCAGGGTTCCCAGGACTCTTGTCTCCAAAGTTCTGGGTCTGTGTGGGCTCTTGGCTGCCAGGAGATGGGAAATGGCCTCCCTCTCCTCCGTCCACCACGGGCAGCCCACCTGCCCCGGCCTCCAGGCTTTTAGCAGGGACACCCCCACATACACAATGAGATTCTCAGACTCACTCTCAACTCTACTCCCATCCCAGTCCCCAGACCCCACCCAGTCACCCCTGCAGCAGGTCACAGCCCTGGGCCCCCACCACACACACACACACACATGCCGTGCCATTCTCCTGGGCAGGTGCCCATGAGACAGCGGGCTTCTGTCACAGTGGAGGCTTCCTGATCCAGGGGCATAGTGTCACCTACACGCACACACAGGTTCGCACAGCCCCCCTCACATCCATATGCACACGCCAGCAGAAACAGTCACTGACACACACACTCACCCCGACAGAAACACACACTCATTCACACACACACCAATCGAAACACACACTCATCCACACATGCACACACCCCCCAATAGAAACACACTCATACACGCAACCCCATAAAAACACACACTTATCCACACACACACCCCAACAGAAACACACACTCATCCACACACACACCAACAGAAACACACACTCACCCACACACACACAGCAACAGAAACACACATTCATCCACACACACCAATAGAAACACACACACCAATAGAAACACACACTCATCCACACACAACACACATACACACCAATAGAAACACACAATCATACACACACCCCATCAGAAACACACACTCATCCATACACATTCACACACCAATAGAAACACACACTCATTCACACACATACACACCAACAGAAACACACACTCATACACACACACCAATAGAAACACACACTCATCCACACACATACACACCAATAGAAACACACAACCATACACACACCCCATCAGAAACACACACTCATCCATACACATTCACACACACCAACAGAAACACACTCATACACATAAACACACCAACAGAAACACACACTCATCTAAACATGCACACACACCCCAACAGAAGCACAGTCACCAATACACACAACAGAAACACACATCCAAACATGTGCGTGGGTGCACACACACACGCCATCAGAAACCCATCACCCTGATACACAGATGCCAACACAAACATAGCCACATCAACATGTACTTTCAATCACTGTCATACCAGCGTTTGCTCAAGCACACACACAGTCAGCCTGTCCCGCTACCCTCACAGACCCCCACCATCTACACACAGGCTCACAAACACACCCACACTCTTTCACACCTACTTTCCAACAGCCGCACGCAGCGTCCCACACACAGCTCTCCTAGTACACACTCATTCTCACAGTCACCTTTACCCCTCCGCACTCTTTTCAGCTGAAACATATGTGCATGTACAGATAGACACGTAAAACAGACACATACAACACATGTGCACACACAGAAAGGCTCAAACACACACAGATACACTCACACACACACAGAACTGCTCTCACACACACAAATATGTGTACACACACACGCAGAAATGCTTAAACACATACAGATACACGCACAGAGAATTGCTCAAACACACAAATATGTGTACACACACAGACATGTGCAGAAATGCTTAAACACATAGATACACACAGACACACGCTCAAACATACACAATACATGTACACACAGACACAAATGCTCAAACATGCAGATACACACACAGACACACACAGAAATGCTCACGCACACACACAGAGAATTGCTCAAACACACACAAATGGCCGGGCGCAGTGGCTCATGCCTGTAATCCCAGCACTTTGGGAGGCAGACGCGGGCGGATCACTTGAGGTCAGGAGTTTGAGACCAGTCCGGCCAACATGGCGAAATCCGGTCTCTACTAAAAATACAAAATTAGCCGGGTGTGATGGTGGGTGCCTGTAATCCCAGCTACTCGGAGGCTGAGGCAGGAGAATCGCCTGAACGCAGGAGGCGGAGGTTGCAGTGATCCGAGATTGGGCCACTGCACTCCAGCCTGGGCCACAGAGCGAGACTCTGTCTCAAACACACACACACACACACACACACGCACACATGCACACACACACCAGAGGCAAACACGCACACACGTACACACACACGTACACACACATACGCTCAAACACACGCAAATACACACACACAGCATGTCCCCAACCGCCCTATCTAGTACACAACCTCCCAGCGCAAACGACACCTCGCTCACGAACGTTCTCACTCTCCCTCCCCCGCCAACTCTCTCTCTGTCAAACTCACTTTGTTCGCACTGGCCCTGCTGGGGGTGGGTCCGATCGTCACCCCTCTTCCAGCCCAGGACCCCATCCAAGGAAGGCAATGGTCCCCTCGCTCTTCCTCCGCCAAAGCATCAGCCTCCTATCCTCCCGCAGGTGTCTGCGACCCCCAACTGGGCTCCAGACCCCGGCCTTCCGCACAGAGAGGACTCCCAGCAGCCCGGAGCGGCCCAGCGGAGGGCACCTCACCTGCTTGCACTTGTCCTCAGCGGCTTTCTTATCCGCCTCCGCCTGCTCCGCGCGGTCGATGGCATTCTCCTTGTCCAACTTCAGCATCTGCATTTTCTTCTTGATGGCCTCCATGGCTGGGCGCTGGCGTGGGGGACGTGGGGTGCGCGGCGGGCTCTGTGGGGGCTGCGGCAGTCAGGGGCTGTGGCTGTGGGGCAGAGTGAGCCTGGCAGGGTGGAGGAGAGGGCCTTATAGCCTCCCGGGGTGCCTCCGCCCTCCTGCCAGGCGAGTCTTGGAGGAGGCCCAAGCCCAGGCCGGCCGGGCCAGCCGCCACTCGCTTGCTCAGGAGGACTTGGCCAGCTCACCGTGCTCCCGGCAGCCCTCGCCTTATTTGGACCTAGGATTTTCTTAAAGGAAGAAAAAAAAAAGGTCCTAGCTGTTTCCATTTTTAACCTGGTGACACAGGTCCCGCGTGGGCGTGTCCCGGGCAGGACCTAGGGTGGGGGCTGCTCTGGGCTGCCTCAGTTTCCCCATCCATCGTTGGGAGGAATGAAGAGGGCTGTGGGTGGGCTCGGGGTCCCGGTGCTGCAATGTGGGGAGGCGCCTGTCTTTTCTGCCTTGGTCTTGTCTGTGGCCCACTGAGTACCTGGTCCCCTAAAAATGGGAAAGTACTTGTTAAGTAAAATGAGCAATTCCCCGTTTCCCCCCTCCCCCACCGCCCACACACACACTTTTCTCTGCCTAGGAAATGTAGGAAACGTCTATTTATCTTTCAAGGCCCAGATCCAATGGCCCCTCCTTCAGGAAGCCGTCCTGGATTCCTAGACAGACTTTTGGACTTCCTGCCTAGCATCAAGCTTTCTCCTCCCCTCTAGGTCCTGCCTCTCTAGTATCAGGGATTAGGCCTCCACCCTATTTCCGGCCACCACCCCCAGGGAGCCTTCCTGGATTTCTCCCACCTCTTTCTGCCATGCCCCTGTCTCTCTTCTGGTGACTGTCGCTGTGTCTCTCTCCATCTCTCCATCTCTTCTGCCCCCCTGTGGCTTCTACTGCTTGTGGCTCATGACAGGGAGAAGGCCACTCAATCAACTGATCTGGGCCATCTCTGAAACTCTTGGAGCCCAGGGCAGGCTCCTGCTGTCCTCTCTAGATCTCAGGTCTTCCTTTCCTCCCTCTTGTGCTGGGAATCAAGGTGTGGCTCCCCAGTTCCCAAAGAACAGGAGACGGCCTTAGTGCCTTAGCTCCCCGCTTAAGACTCTGCCCCCAACTCTCTCCACACTGGACCCCTGTACTCCAGTTTTCCCACCCCCAGGCCTTTGTGCCGTCCATCTCCTTGACCCTACTATGCCTCCGTTCTCCCCTCCAGCAATCAAGGGCAGGATTTGCTGACTCCAGAAAGCTTTTTCCTTCCTTAGATAGTAGAGCTAAAAGAATAAAACAAAAAGAATTTTTTTTTTTAAAGAGAAAGTTTAATTTATTGGCTCATTCATTCAGGCACTGAATTCCTGTCACATGCTGTGTCCTAGCAGCGCACACTCAGCATGTGGGAGCTGTTACTATTATTGTTATTATTCAAGCATCATTTATGAGATGTGAACTCTTTGGGGCAGGCCATGGGGCTGGGTCTTGTCTGTGGTCTTCTGAGTACCTGGCCCCTAGAAGATAGGAAAGTGTTTGTTAAAATGAAACACACACACACACACACACACACACACACACACACTTCGCTGCCTAGGAAACTTCTATTCATCCTTCAAGGCCCAGATGCAATGGCTCCTCCTCTAGGAAGCCTTCCTGGATTCCTAGACAGACTCCTGGACTCCCACCCAGCATCAAGACTCCTGTGTGGGATGAAGTGGAGGTAGGGAGGCCTCCTTGTTTTCTGCCCAAGGCTGTAGAGGAAACAGGATCGTGGAAGAGATGGGTAGTGGTCAGTGCCACTGGGGACTGTAGGTTCGGGCCAAGAGTGTCCAGCTTCCCTCTGCCCCCTCCCAGCTGCCTCACTGTTCATTAAGCCAGCTTCCTTCTCTTTGTCATGGTGAAAACTTCACCCCTGTTGGTGCAGGGGCTGAAAAGGTAGCAAATAGAACATTCTAGAACTTCTTTCATGCGCTAAAGACATTGACTTCTCCCTGTGTTCCGGAGTTAAGGGGGCCAAGCCCAGACCCCTCCCCAACTCCGTTCTTCATCCTCCTCCCTTATCCCACCCCTCCCCCATGCTACACAGACAGTTTCGTCCTGTGACAAAAGCAGACCAGAATAATTGCATCTCGAGGGACGTCAGTCATGATGAAAGGACCCTGGGTGGATAATGAAGAAATGCTGTTCATGGACTAAGCCTAGCAGATGACTCACAGATCCCACTTTGAGCCATAAGCTGGAGGGGGGGGCACTGTTTTTATTCCCCTCTTTTTTTTTGAGACAGAGTCTTGCTCTGTCACCCAAGCTGGAGTGCAGTGGCATGATCTTGGCTCACTGCAACCTCTGCCTCCCAAGTTCAAGTGATTCTCCTGTCTCAGCCTCCCGAGTAGCTGGGACTACAGGTGCCTGCCACCACCCCTGGCTAAATTTTTGTATTTTTAGCAGAGACGGGGTTTTGCTATGTTGGTCAGGCTGGACTCCAACTCCTGACCTCATGTGATCCACCCACCTTTGCCTCCTAAAGTGCTGGGTTTACAGGCATGAGCCACTGTGCCTGGCCTTTTATTCCCATTTTTACAGAGGAGGAAATTGAGGCTGGCCCTCTATGTCAGAGGCCATCCAGCCAGGTGAGGCAGCTGCAACGTAGGCCCCTTTGCCTTTACAATGAACTCCAGGAATGAGCTGCGGTTATAAGCCCCTCCCTGTGTTACAAATAGGGAAACTGAGGCCCAGAGTGACTCACCCACAGTCACCCAGCTTGTGAGTGGCCCAGCTGACTCTAGGACCGAGCTGGCAAGAAGTCCTAAGACTCCCTCACCCACCCCGCTCTGCCACAACCAGGCCTCCATGCCCACCATTTCTCATTCTCTTCACTATCTCAGGCTGAGTCATCAGAGGTCAGTCCTGATGTCCTCTCCACCCCTGCTGTCCCCCGCTGTGTCCCCAGAGACCCTGGGACCAGCCTCGCCGCAGGTGGTGTGGCTAATTCCAGGCCTGACACCACCGACCTCGGAAAGAGATTCCTCCCGCAGGAGATATCTGCGTGCTTCATGGCCTTGTAGGGAAGACCCTTGTCCCTGGTACGGTTTCTTGCAAAGGGAGCTCCCAGAGGTGGAGTCTGATGCGGAGGAGGGGAGACACAGGCTAGGAATGGCGCTAGGACTAGCTGCATGACCCCATCAGCATCTTTAGTGTGTCGTCTGCAGCCTTGGTAATGGACTTACATCCCCTCTGGGCATGAGCTCCAGGGAACACCCCAGGAGCCCTGGTCAGGGCCGGGAGGGTCATTTGGGGTTCCCGGACGCTGGGGGCCCTGCCCCAGCTGTTCAGGCTGTGTATTCTGGAGCATGAGGCAGGTGGAGGCTGCCATTTATAGCTCAGGAGTGAGCTTCCCTCCTGCACTACAACCTCTCCAACTGGGGGCTTCTAAGGACAGGATGGGGGAAAGAGAACAGCCCATCAGCATCCCAGCCACCTCCCAGTCATGAGACCCAGAGTCATTTATCAAGCATCTACTACCATGTGCGTGTTTTTGGAACACTGTGGTGGACATGACTCATCCCAGTGGGGCAAGACAACCAATAACTGCAATTATGGAATGAATTACAATAGGGCAAATGACTGTCTTTTGATACAAAAGTTCAAGGAGGTCAGGCAAAATGGCTCACGCCTGTAATCCCAGCACTTTGGGAGGCTGAGGTGGAAGGATCACTTGAGGTCAGGAGTTTGAGGCCAGCCTGGGCAGCATAGCAAGACCCCATCTCTACAAAAGATACAAAAACTAGCTGGGCATGGTGGTCTGTGCCTGTCGTCCCAGCTACTCAGGAGAATAAGGTAGTTGAATCACTTGGGCCCTGGAGTTTGAGGCTGCAGTGAGCTTCTTTTTTTCTTTCTTTCTTTTCTTTTCTTTCTTTCTTTCTTTCTTTCTTTCTTTCTTTCTTTCTTTCTTTCTTTCTCTTTCTTTCTTCCTTTCTTCCTTTCCTTCCTTCCTTCTTTCTTTCTTTCTTTCTTTCTTTCTTTCTTTCTTTCTTTCTTTCTTTCTTTCTCTTTCTTTCTTTCTTTCTTTCTTTCTTTCTTTCTTTCTTTCTTTCTTTCTTTCTTTCTTTCCTTCCTTCCTTCCTTCCTTCCTTCCTTCCTTCTTTCTTTCTTTCTTTCCTTCTTTCCTTCTTTCCTTCTTTCCTTTCTTTCCTTCTTTCCTTCTTTTCTTTCTTTCTCGAGACAAGGTCTCACTCTGTTGCCCAGGCTGGAGTGCAGTGGCACAATCGTGGCTCACTACAGCCTAGATCCCCCAGCTTCAATTGATCCTCCCACCTCAGCCCGCTGAGTAGCTAGGACTACGGGCATGTGCCACTATGCCTGGATACTTTTTTGTTTTTGTAGAGGTGGCGTCTTGCTATGTTGCCCAGGCTGGTCTTGAACTCCTGGGTTCAAGTGATCTTCCTGCCTTGGCCTCCCAAACTATTGGGATTACAGGCATGAGCCCCTGTGCCTGGCCTGCCGTGAGCTATTATTGCACCACTGCACTTCAGCCTGGGCATCAGATACCCCATCTCTTAAAAAATGCAAGGACAAATAGTTTATTTGGGAAGTGACCCAAGGAGATACAAGTAGAGGATGGGAAGTGAAATAGGGAAAAGAAAGTAACCATTAAGCATGCATTATGAAACCAGTTACTGCCATGGACAAATAGGGTGCAGTCCCACTGAGGGCCTCTGGAGGCAGCAGAGAGCATGCTCTTTGGAGTTGTCCCAGCTGAGGGGCGAAGGAGCTGGGGTATTTATCCACCAATTCCATGCTGCTGTTGATTGAAGGCTGCTCTTAGGGGCTGTTGATTGTGCTGATCTGCCCTTGTATGGGTCACACTCACTTCAGCAGCTGGAGGAAGACCGCCTCTCCCCCTAGCAGAGAGATGAAGCTGCTAGAAGTACCCCTTGGTGTGGAGAGAAACAGTAGGAACCCAGTGGATCTGGGCAGGCACCCAGAGTGTGAGCTAAATTTTTTTTTTTTTTTGAGATAGTCTTGCTCTGTCCTGCACTCCCAGGCTGGAGTGCAGTGGCACGATCTCGGCTCACTGCAACCTCCGCCTCCCAGGTTCAAGCAATTCTCGTGCCTCAGCCTCCCAAGTAGCTGGGATTACAGGCATGCACCACCACACCTGGCTACTTTTTGTATTTTTGCAAAGACAGGGTTTCACCATGTTGGCCAGGCTGGTCTCGAACTCCTGACCTCAGGTGGTCTGCCCACCTCGGCCTCCCAGAGTGCTGGGATTACAGGCATGAGTCACCACGCCCAGCCTAAAAATGTTAATGCATGCAAAATGCAGGCACCTGATTAGTCTTGGGTGGAAGTCAGGAAAAAGCCTCCCTGAGGAAGTGGCAATTGAGGGAGGCCTGAACGGTGGTGATGGGGTCTATGCGAAGGTCATAGGAGGAAGGGACTGAGGGCAGGTGAGAGTGTCTGCCGTTGAATGCAGAGGTGAGGATGTGGTGTGGTGTGGTGTGGTGGGTGGTGAGGCTGCAGAGATCAAACAACAGAAGAGAGGATGGGGACTGCCCCCAAATGTGTCTCCTGCAGTTTGAGACATGCAAAGAGACCAAGGCAACAGGTGAGTTTACTGAGTTCCAATAGAAAAGAGCAAAAATGTTCTCAGCTTGCACTCTATGGAGTTTCATTTCATGGGGTACAATAGAGTAATAAGATGACAAGGATGACAATAAAAATGACCCTGAAGCTGGGTGCAGTGGCTCACGCCTGTAGTCGCAGCACTTTGGGAGGCAAAGGTGGGAGAATTGCTTGAGCCCAGGAGTTCAAGATCATCCTGAGCAACAGAGCGATACCCCATCTCTACAAAAAATTTAAAAATTAGCTGGGTGTGGTGGCATGCATCTGTAGTCCCAGCTACTCCAGAGGCTGAGGCAGGAGGATCACTTGAGCCCAGGAGTTTGAGTCTGCAGTGAGCCATGCTGGTACCACTGCACTCCAGCCTGGGCAACAGAGTGAGACTCTATCTCTTAATAAAAAAAGAGTTTCTAGACCAGGTGTAGTGGCTCACACCTGTAATCCTGGTACTTTGAGAGGCCAAGGGGTTGGATCCCTTGAGGCTAGAAGTTCGAGACCAGCCTGGCCAACATGGTGACATCCCGTCCCTACTAAAAATACAAAAAAATTAGCCGGGCATAGGTGATGCACACCTGTAATCCCAGGTACTTGGGAAGCTGACAAGTATTGCTTGAACCCGGGAGGTAGAGGTTGCAATGAGCTGAGATTGCACCACTGCACTCCTGCCTGGGCTACAGAGCAAGATCCTGTTTAAAAAAAAAAAAAATTATCCGGGAAGGGGCAAACCATTGGTGGGGCGGGCAAGGAGAAAAGGGCTCTAAGTCCTCCCCAAAGTCTCTGAGCCACACTCCGAGGGAACTGTGTGGGTTAGAGAGCTTGGCCATTAATCCCGTAAAACAGGCATGACCACAAGCTTGGTGGCATCGTCACGATAATTAATAATAATTATAGTTAACACTGACATGTCTTTAATGTGTCCATGCTGTTCTACGTGCCTTGCACACATCAGCTCACTTAATTTTCACAATAACCTCGTGAGATAAGTGCTGCTGTCATTTCCATTTTATAAAAGGAGAAATTGAGGCACAGAGAGGTGAAGTAACTTGCTCAAGCCAGCACAGCTAAGAAGTGGTGGTGTTGGGAGTTGAACCAAGAGTGGCTGACTCCGGATTCTACACATTGACCCACAAACTATAACCTGAGCAGCCTCCCCTATTCAACCTCCTACCTGAGTTACCTTCATGGACAGCCACTGCCCATTAGGTGTCAATGGTGTCATTGGAGAACAATTCTCCACGGGTCTCTTGCATTTCTGTACACCCCAAAATCAGGGGCTCAGACAGCTTTTATTCCAGCTATCTTTTCAAGGATGTTTGTATAGCAAACAGCCTTGGAAGACAGAGTTTCTTCCTGTGAAGCAGAGGGCAGTTTCATTTGCTATCCATATAATAAAGATAATGTCTCCCTCTGGTATTAAAATAGACCAGGTTTGTTTGCAATCAACTATAAAAATCGAGATCTTTAAGCTCAGAGTTCCTTGGCTGTGGAACTAACCCAATGTGGGCTAGTGCAAACACAAAGTTCATGCTGCCTGCTGTGCCATGAGTAATAAAGTCCTTTGTCTCTGATACTGGAGTCTCGTGTCTTCTGCCCACATCCATAAAACTGTAGCAGGTTCAATTGTCCACTTGCAAGTAGGATAAGATCCCAGACTCTTCACAGTTCTTGACAACTACTTGTGTCTCTGGGATGACAACTGTCACCAAGGTGTTTCTCTTGGGATCCTAGATTTGGCCTGGTTAGGTCTCACTTTTACTGCTACCTTTCTTTTCTTTTCTTTTCTTTTTTTCTTAAAGAGACAGGGTCTCACTCTGTTGCCCAGGGTGGAGTTCAGTGATGCAATCATAGCTCATTGCAGCCTCCAACTCCTGGCTCAAGTGATCCTCCTGCCTCAGCCTCCCAAGTAGCTAGGACTGCAGGTGTGTGCCACCACACCTGGCTAATTTTTATTTCTTTCTCTTTTTTTTTAATTAATTTTTACATTTTTGGTAGAGGTGGGATCTTGCTATGTTGCCCAGGCTAGTCTTGAACTCCTGGCCCCTCAAGCTGTCCTCCCACCTTGGCCTCCCAAGTGCTGGGATTCCAGGTGAGATCCTCCATGCCCAGCTAAATGCAGCTACTTTTTATTTATTTATTTATTTATTTTTAATTTTTTAATTTTTAATTTTTAATTTTTTAATATTTTTTGGAGATGGAGTTTTGCTCTTGTCACCCAGGCTGGAGTGCAATGGCACGATCTCGGCTCATTGCAACCTCTGTCTCCTGAGTTCACGTGATTCTCCTGCCTCAGCCTCCTGAGTAGTCAGGATTACAGGGGCCCGCCACCACGTTTGGCTAATTTTTGTATTTTTAGTAGAGATGGGGTCTCACCATGTTGGCCAGGCTGTTCTCGAACTCCTGACCTTAGACGATCCACCTGCCTTGGCCTCCCAAAGTGCTGGGATTACAGGCATGAGCCACTGCGCCTGGTTTGTAGCTACCTTTCAAAGTAGGTGCAGAGTGGGACGGCATACCTTAACTCTTTGCTGCCTGAATAATTTTTTTTTTTTTTTTTTTTTTGAGACAGGGTCTTGCTCTGTCACCCAGGCTGGAGTGCAGTACTGCAATCATGGCTCACTGCAGCCTTGACCTCCTGGGCTCAAGCAATCCTCCTGCCTCAGCCTCCCGAGTAGCTACAGGCATGGATTACAGGCATGCACCACCATGCCCAGCTAAGTTTTTTGGTTTTTAGCAGAGTCGGGGTCTTGCCATGTTGCCCAGGCTGGTCTTGAATTCCTGGGCTCAAGCAATCCTCCCGCCTCAACCTCCCAACGTGTTGGGATTACAGGCATGAGCCACTGCGCCCGGCCTCATGGATTGTTCTTTATAGCACAAGACTTTCCTATGCATTGGAGGATGTTGAGCCACATTCCTGGCCTCTACCTGTTACATGCCAGTAGTATCCCATCCCGTCACCACAGTCAAAACTGTTTCTGGACACGGCCAAATGTCCCCGGGGCTGGGAGCGAGTGAAATCATCCTCCTTGTTGACAATCACTTCTTTAAGGAAGGACCACAATCTTAAGACATCCTTCAAAGCTGCCTTCTTTGGCTTAGGGGGTCCTTTTTAAAATAAGAAATCCCTCTACACTCCCAAATCACAGTCAACCCTCGGTATCCACAGGGGATAGATTCCAAGACCCTCTGAAAATACAAAAAACCCAGGATGCTCAAGTTTCCTTTTTGTTTTTTTTTTTTTTGAGACAGGGTCTTGCTCTGTCGCCCAGGCTGGAGTGCAGTGGCATGATCTTGGCTCACTGCAACCTCCGCCTCCTGGGTTCAAGCGATTCTTCTGCCTCAGCCTCCAGAGTAGCTGGGACTACAGGTGCACGCCACCATACCCAGCTAATTTTTGTATTTTTAGTAGAGACGGGGTTTCACCATATTGGCCAGGCTGGTCTTGAACTCCTGACCTCATGATCTGCCTGCCTTGGCCTCCCAAAGTGCTGGCTCTTTCTTTCTTTCCTTTTTTCTTTTCTCTTTCTTTCTTTCTCTTTTTTTTCTTCTTTCTTTTTCTTCCTTCCTTCCTTCCTTTGTTCTTTCTTTCCTTCCTTCCTTCCTTTTTCTTTCTTTATCTCTCTCTCCTTCCTTCCTTCTTTCCTTCTCTGTCTCCCTCATTTTTTTTGAGATGCAGTTTTGCTTTTGTTGCCCAGTCTGGAGTGCAGTGGCGCGATCTTGGCTCACTGCAACCTCTGCCTCCCCAGTTCAAGCAATTCTCCTGCCTCAGCTTCCTGAGTAGCTAGGAATACAGACATCTGCCACCATGGCCTGGCTAATTTTTCTTTTTTGAGACAGCATCTTGCACTGTCGCCCAGGCTGGAGTGCAGTGGCGTGATCGCAGATAACCACAACCTCCACCTCCTGGGTTCAAGTGATTCTCCTGCCTCAGCCTCCCAAGAAACTGGGATTATAGGCGCATGCCACCTTGGCTGGTTAATTTTTATATTTTTAGTAGAGACGGGGTTTCACCATGTTGGTTAGGCTGATCTCGAACTACTGACCCCATGATCTACCTGCCTTGGCTTCCCAAAGTGCTAGGATTACAGGCGTGAGCCACTGCACCTGGCCAACCTGTCTAATTTTTGTATTTTTAGTAGAGACGGGATTTCATCATGTTGCCCAGGCTGGTCTTGAACTCCTGACTTCAGGTGATCCACCCACCTCAGCCTTTCAAATGAAAAGCCTATTTACCACTCACTGTTGGAGAGATCAGGGTCAGATGATTTCTCCAACTCTTTGTGGACTTTTATCTGTGGATTCTTCCATCTCTGTTTGCATATTGGTCAAGTTCTTGACCACTAAGTCCCCATCTTTCTTATACCTGCCTGATGAAGACTGTGTTTTAGCCAGAGATTTTGGACTCTGAGCTGGATGCATCAATAACATGGGATATTGCCTTCTTCCAGGAAGGGTATAAAGGTATTCCATGGTGGGAAGAAGCATGCTTTTATATATTTGGTGGCTAGAGGATGGAATGTGGACTGCTAGCTCTCTACAAAAATCCATTCTCCCCTTCTATAATAACGAAATCACAGCCTAGCAACTTGGTTGACCATGTTTTACCAAATGTTTTGCCTTGGCCTAAGGAAGATACTCAGCTTTCCAGTCTGAAATATCTGCGTCCTCACAACCCTGTCATTAAGCAAATGCCATCTATTTTTATGGTGTACCCCACTTCTGGAACCAGTTACTGCGTTTGTTAGGACAAAAGTCTAAGCTCCAGTAAAAAGAAGTGAGAGGTCCAAAATTCAATATTTTAAAGTTTACTTTTCTCTCTAGTTTCAGTTCAGTATGCGATTCTGCTTCACGCAATTATTTAGGGACCAAGGTTCCAATGTCATATTTCTTGGCCTCTCTTGCAGCTAGGTGTAATCCAGTGTGGAATGTGAAAAGTAGGTGGCATTTCCAGACAATAGGCTTGCCTCCTCTATGCACTCTGATTATTATTATTTTTTGTAATCCAGAGTTCACAGCTTTGCTCTTATAAACAAGAACAATGTTTAGGAAATAGGTGGGAAACAAGACTCAGGAAACTTGGGTCTCTGAGTGACTGAGAGGAGTAGAGCCATGCACTGACCTAGGATTCTGTTATGTGAGAAATAAGCTACTATGTTGCTTCAGCTATGAATCCACTCACTAGAGTCTTTTTTTTTTTGAAACAGAGTTTTGCTCTTGTTGCCCAGGCTGGAGTACAATGGCATGATCTTAGCTTGCTGCATCCTCCACCTCCTGGGTTCAAGCGATTCTCCTGCCTCAGCCTCCCAAGTAGCTGGGATTATAGGCATGTGCATGTGCCACTATGCTTGGCTAATTTTGTATTTTTTTTTTTTTTTTTTTTTAGTAGAGATGGGGTTTCACCATGTTGGTCAGGCTAGTCTTGAACTCCTGACCTCAAGTGATCCACCTGCCTTGGCCTCCCAAAGTGCTGGGATTACAGGTGTGAGCCACTGCACCCGGCCTTTTCTTCTTTTTATTTTTAGCAAATCTTATGAGTTGGATTATGTCTCTTCTCCCAGTTCATATGTTGAAGTCCTAATCCCCAGTATCTCAGAATGTGACCTTATTTAGAAATAGGATTAAGTATAATAACTAAGATGAAGTCATACTGGAGAATGGTGGGCTCCTAATACAGTATAACTGGTGTCCTTATAAAAAGGTGACATTTAAAGACAGATACGCACACAGGGAGAATGCCGTGTGAAGATGAATGCAGAGGTCTACGAGCCGAGGAACATCAAAGATTGGCAGCAAACCACAAGAAGCTAGGGAACAACATCATACTGAACATGAAAAAACTTGAAGCATTCTCCTTGAGAACTGGAACAAGACAAAGATGGCCACTCTCACCACAACTGTTCAACATAATACTGGAAGTGCTAGCCATAGCAATTAGGCAAGAGAAAGAAATAAAAGTCATCTAAATAGGAAAAGAAGAAGTCAAACTATCTCTCTTTACTGACAATATGATTCCATACTTAGAAAACCCTAAGGACTCCACCAAAAAGCTATTAGAACTAATAAACAATTTTAGCAAGGTTTCAGGGTACAAAATAAATGTACAAATATCCGTAGCATGTCCATACACCAATACATCCAAGCTGAGAGCCAAACCAAAAACACAATCCCATTTATAGTAACCACACAAAAAAGTACCTAGGAATACATCTAATGGAGGAGGTGAAAGATCTTTACAAGGAGAACTACAAAACACTTCAAAGAAATCATAGATGACACAAACAAATGGAAAAACATTCCATGCTCATGGATTAGAAGAATCAATATCATTCAAATGGCCATACTGCCCAAAGCAACCTACAGATGCAATGCTATTCTTATCAAACTACCAAAACCATTTTTCACAAAATTGAAAAAACTATATTAAAATTCTTATGGAACCAAAACAGCTTGAATAGTCAAAGCAATCCTAAGAAAAAATAACAAAACTGGAGGCATCACATTATCCGACTTCAAACTATACTATAGGGCTACAGTAACCAAAACAGCATGGTACTGGTACAAAAACAGACACACAGACCAATGGAATAGAATAGAGAGCCCAGAAATAAAGCCACACACTTACCACCATCTGATCTTCAACAAAGTTGACAATAACAAGCAATGAGGAAAAGACTTCCCATTCAATAAATGGTGCTGGGATAGCTGGCAAGTCACATGCAGAAGAATGTAACTGGACCCCTCCCTTTCACCATATACAAACATTAACTCAAGATAGATTAAAAATTTAAATGTAAGACCTCAAATCATAAGAATCCTAGAAGAAAACCTAGGAAACATGAATTTATGACTAAGTCCTCAAAAGCAGTTGCAATGGAAACAAAAATTGACAAATGAGATCTAATCAAATTAAAGAGTTTCTGCACAGCAAAAGAAACTACCAACAGAGTAAGCAGACAACCTACAGAATGGGAGAAAATATTTGCAAACTGTGCATCTGACAAAGGTCTAATATCCAGAATCTACAAGGAACTTAAACAATTGAACAGGCAAAAACCAAATAACCCCATTAAAAAGTGGGTAAAGGACATTAACAGACACTTCTCAAAAGAAGACATACAAGTGGCTAGCAAACATATGAAAGAATGATCACCATCACTAGTCATCAGAGAAATGCAAATAAAAACCACAATGAGATACCATCTCACACCAGTCGGAATGGCTATTCTGAAAAAGTAAAATGAACAAACAAACAAAAAACAAAAATAAAAACCACCAGACATTAAAGAGACTGTAGAGAAAATGGAATGTTTATCCTGTACTGATGAAAATGTAAATTAGTTCAGCCACTGTGGAAAGCAGTTTGGAGATTACTCAAAGAAATTAAACAGAGCTACCTGGCCGGGTGCGGTGGCTCGCACCTGTAATCCCAGTACTTTGGGAGGCTGAGGTGGGTGGATTGCCTGAGGTCAGGAGTTCGAGACCAGCTGGGCCAACATGGTGAAACCCCGCCTCTACTAAAAATACAAAAATCAGCCAGGCGTGGTGGTGGCTGCCTACAATCCCAGCTACTTGGGAGGCTGAGGCAGGAGAATCGCTTGAACCCAGGAGGCGGAGGTTGCAGTGAGCCAAGATCACACCATTGCACTCTAGCCTGGGTGACAAGAGTGAGACTCCATCTCAAAAAAACAAAAAACAAAAAACAAAAAACAAAACCCAAAAACAGGGCTACCATTCGACCCAGTAGTCCTGTTACTGGGTATATACTCCAAAGAAAACAAAAATCAGTCTGCCAAAAAGGCACATGCATGCATGTGTTCACTGAAGCACTATTCACAATAGCAAAGACATTGTGACACAGAGGTGCAAAGTCAGAGGTCAGGGTGCAATGCAACAGGTTCCTCCCATTGAACTGGACACTATAGTGTCCGATGGTGCACAGCTCTAATGTACGTCATATACAGAAGCTTGTTTTCCAAACCTTACAGCTCAAAATTACATAAACTTGATAGAATTTCCCCCAATTTGACAGTCACCCCGAACATTTATTTTTTACATTTCCAGCAATAAATTGTAAAGTTCAAATAATTTTTTCAACAGGCTGGGTGTGGTGGCTCCTGCCTGTAATCCCAGCACTTTGGGAGGCCAGGGTGGGCTGATTACTTGAGGTCAGGAGTCTGAGACTAGCCTGGCCAACATGGTGAAACCCCATCTGTACTAAAAATACAAAAAAAATTAGTGGGGCATAGTGGTGCGTGCCTGTAGTCCCAGCTACTCAGGAGGCCGAGGCCGGAGAATCACTTGAACACAGGAGGCGAAGGTTGCAGTGAGCCGAGATCACCCCACTGCACTCCAGACTGGGTGAAAGAGCAATACTTCACCTCCCCCCTCCCCCCACAAAAAAAGCCCTGGAGGGGCTTGTTTGCCCCTTCCACCATTTGAAGGCATCATCTATGGGCTCTCACCAGACACTGAATCTGCTGGCACCTTGATCTTGGACTTCCCAGCCTTCAGAACTGTTAGCAATAAACCTCTGTTGTTTATAAATTATTCAGTCTAAAGTATGTTGTTCTAGCAGCTAAAACAAACTAAGACATTGGTACCAAGAAGTGGAGTGTTATTGTAAAAAAAATACCCAGTAATGTGGAAGCAGCTTTGGAACTGGGTAATGGGTAGAGGCTGGAAGAGCGTGCAGGTGCATGCTAGAAAAAGACTATGTTATTGTGAACAAGGCCTTAAAAGTGATTCTGGTGAAGTCTTAAAAGAAAAGGAGAGAAAGCCTCAATCTTTTCAAAGTTTACCTAGGTGGCAGTGATGAGAATGTTGTAGCAATATGAATGGCAAAGGCCATTCTGAGGAGGTCCCAGATGGAAATGAGGACCATGTTGTTGAAAACTGGAAGAGGCCAGATGCGGTGGCTCGCACCTGTAATCCCAGCATTTTGGAAGTCTTAGGCAGGCACACTTGAGCCCCAGAGTTTGAGACCAGCCTGGGCAATATGGAGAGACTTCATCTCCACAAAAAATACAAAAAATTTAGCTGGGCATGATGGCACACGCCTGTGGTCCCAGCTACTCGGGAGGCTGAGGTGGGAGATCGTTTGAGCCTGGGTGGTTGAGGCTGCAGTGAACTATGATCATGCCACTGCAGTCCAGCCAGGGTGACAGAGTGAGACCTGTTTAAACAATACAACAACCACAAAAAATGGGAGGAAAAGTGATTATTATTATGAAGTGCCAAAAGAATGTGTGGCTGAATGGCATTCATGTCCTTGTGTTTTGTGTAGCGGTTGCACCGTCACATTGTTGAGAGTGGCGTCTGAGCAGGCCAACTTCAGCAGCTGGCTGAGGTTGCAGAAGACATGGCTGACCCACTCGTAGGTGCAGAGTGAGAGGCGGGTCAGTAACACTGGGTGGGTCAGGGCATTCCTGAATGCGAAGGTCCAGGAGGCCACCACCAGGAGGCCACAGAGCTATGGTGTCACAGACCTGATGGAGTTCAGAGAGTGACAGATGGCCACACAGTGTTCATTGGCCATTGCAGTCAGCAGGAAGCTGTGGATGCCTAACAGATGAAGAAGAGCATCTGGGTCAGGCAACCAGCATAAGGAATCCCTTTGCATCCTGACATGACACAAGGGATCTCTTTGCACGTCCAGCATCTTGGGGATGGTGGTGGAGGTGAAGCAAGTGACCACGAAGGCCAGGTTGGCAAGGAAAAAGCGCACGAGCACAGAGAGCCGGGTGTCAGTGGCAATGGCTGGGATGATGAGCAGGTTCTTTTTTTTTTTTGAGCCAGAGTCTCTCTCTGTCGCCCAGGCTGGAGTGCAGTGGTGTGATCTTGGCTCACTGCAACCTCTGCCTCCTGGGCTCAAGCAATTCGTTGATGAGCAGGTTCTTCAGCCCAGTGACCAGGAATATGCTCAGGAAGAGGATGAGCATGAGTTCCTCCAAGAGGCCCAAGAGTAGAAACTCAGAGACCCAGGCAAGATGTTACCAGATTACCAGACGGAAGGTCTTGACTGTGAGTTGTCCAAGTTCTTGGAGTGTTGAACAAAGCAAAGCAATAAAAGAAAGAAGCAACTAAAGACAAACAAGCAACAGAAGAACAGAGTCATGAAAGCACAGATTTATCGAAGCAAAAGTACATTCCATAGAGTGGAAGTGGGCTCGAGCAAGTGGCTCAAGAGCACCCCCAACTGAGGTTTTTATTAAGCTAGAATAATTTGGCAACACCTCAGGTGCCCTTTAGAGGCCTCTAATTGGCTACACCCTATGAAGGGTGGCCCTGTGACCAATCAGAGGCTGAAGTGGAGACAGCCCAGGACCAATCAGAGGCTGAAGTGGAGACAGCCCATGACCAATCAGAGGCTGAAGTGGAAACTTCTGTCTTGTTATTATAGGAGGGAGGATGTGGCCTGGATACTGCCTAATGTTGCCTAGAAGTGGCTGCCCCTGCTGTTCTTATGCTTGTGCCTTAACCCGTGGTTATCCTAATTCGCTATTCTGCCTTAGACGTTCATCCCTTCCGTAGCTAACCTGGGTCAACTAGAAAGGAAACGGAGGAGCTGTCCACGGTTCTGGCTGAGGCCAGCCCCCGACCCCATTGCATCCCGATCTCATCCCCTCTTTTGGGTTCAGACATTCAGCAATTCTCCCAACTCTTTCCTGCAATAGAATTTCCTCCTTCCTATTGGCTCAATTATTCCTTTTTTAAAATTTTTATTTGTAGAGACAGGATCTTGCTGTGTTCCCCAGGCTGGAGTGCATTGGTGAGATCATAGCTCACTGCAGCAGCCTTGACCTCCTGGGCTCAAGTGATCCTTCCGCCTCAGGAGGAGCTGGGACAACAGATGCATGCCAGCACACCCAGCTAATTTTGAAAATTTTTTAGAGATGGGGTCTTGCTGTGTTGCCCAAGCTGGTCTTGAACTCCTGGGCTCAAGCAATCCTCTCTCCTCGGCCTCCCAAAGTGCTGGGATTACAGGTGTGAATCTGCACCTGGCTTGCTCCTTCATTTTTATCAGCAAACACACTGAAGCAACACTGTTTATTTTCCCCCAGCCCATGTGCAGGGTGTCATCTGGGTGGATGGCTCCCAGACACACTGACCCTTTACCTCTACCACCATGTGTCTCTATGCCCGAGGGCTTCATCTGACCACAGGAGCAGGCTCAGCCTGCACATGGGGGTAATGTGGATGTGCTGGGAGTTCCCACTCCTAGAAGTGACCCTTGGCTGTTGAGGGACAGGGCTTGTTGGGTGAGTCCCTGGCTTCCTCACTCCTGAGTGGGGCAGTTCTGGGGTGTTCTATAGTATTATATCTCAGGGATTACTCCTTTGGATTGCCCAGCCTGGAGTGCAATGGTGTGATCATAGCTCACTGCGGCCCTGACCTCCTGGGTTCAAGCGATCTTCCTGCCCAGAGGGGAAGGTTTAACCGCACCCTTCCTTCCCATTTCTCTTCTCCAGGTGCTCACTGGGTCTCTGGAGATTATCTCCTGAATATTTACACTCAATTCCTCGACTCAAAACCTGCTCTGGGGAGAATCCAGCTCCAGATGTAAGGATTCTATAATTTCTTCCAGCTTTGAAAGAATCCCTTCTTTCTTCCAACTACCTCCTTTTCTCTGCTCCTTGGCTTTCAATGCTCCTCAAAAACATTGTCTGTCCTTGCATGTCAATACTTTCTTTTGGCTTTATAAGAAGGAAATATTCCAGTCCTTAAAACTAACAATAATGTACATAGCAATCATTTAGTACCTAGCAATGTGTATTAAATGATACCTAAAACGTGGTTGAACACGTAATAGTAAGTTATGAGAATGATGAAACAGAAGTGTAATTGTAAGATATTATAGAAGTAAATGTGATATACCATTTGAAAACCAATAGGATCTAGCCTTGGCAACATGGCAAAGCCCTGTCTCTGTAAAAAATACAAAAATTAGCCAGGCATGGTGGCGTGCACCTGTAGTCCCGGCTACATTGGAGTCTGAGGAGAGAGGATTGCCTGAGCCTGGGCGGTTGAGGCTGCAGTGAACTACGATCATACCACTGCACTCCAGCCTAGGCAAAAGAGTGAGACCCTATCTCTAAAAAACTAAACATTAAAAAAAAGAAAGAAAAGAAAAGATAACTAACAGAATTAATATCAATCTTGAGAGAACAGTGGTATAAAGAAACTCTCAGAGGGTCAACTAAATTTTATAAAAATGAATTTGTTGTTTGGTGAAGAAAGTAAAAAATGTAAATTTATTGAATCCTAGAAATCAGTTAAAGGATGCCTGTAAAGCTCTGTGGAACAAATATTAATAAAGTCAAACTGATCAAATAAATATGATGATTAAATAATTTCTGGGACTTAATCAATGGGTGAGGTGTTGAATACATAAAACCTCAGACAGGTCTGGCACAGTGGTTTATGCCTGTAATCCCAGCACTTTGCGGGGCCAAGGTGGATGGATCACTTGAGGTCAGGAGTTCAAGACTAGCCTGGCCAACATGGTGAAACCCTGTCTCTACTAAAAATACAAAAATTAGCCAGGTGTGGTGGTGCACACCTGTAGTCCCTGCTACTTGGGAGGCTAAGGCAGGAGAATCACTTGAATCCCAGAGACAAAGTTTGCAGTGAGCCGAGATTGCACCACTGCACTCCAGCCTGAGCGACAGAGTGTGACTCTGTCTAAAACAAATAAACAAACCTCAGACAGTATTATGAGAACTAAGACTTTGCTTTTAGTTATAATTCTGTTAGTTCAATAGAAGCTAAGAGAAGACTCAACACTTTGAAAAAGATTATTGATATTAATAGAAAATCTCTCTCTACAAAAATTAGCTGGGTGCGGTGTGCCTGTGGTCTCAGCTACTCAGGAGGCTGAGGCAGTAGGATTGCTTGAGCCCAGGAATTCAAGGCTGCAGTGAGCTATGATCAAGCCACTGAACTCCAGCCTGGGTGACAGAATAAGACCCTGTCTCAAAAAAAAAAAAAAAAAAAGGAAAAAAAAATCCCTTTTTTTTTTAAGGATGCAAGAGACCTGGTGATTATCTCAGTAAATAGCAGCTCCATCCTTCTGGTCATTCTCATCCAAAACCTTGAAGTCATGTTTGACTGCCTTTCTCTCACACCCACACCTGAGCCTTCATCAAATCCTGTTGACCCCGCCTTCCAAAAATATCCATGTATCCAAACAGGCCTCACTACATTTTCTACACCCATCCTGTTCCAAGCCCCTGTCTTTAGCACCTGGCTCTAGCAGTTGTTACCTGACTGGTTTGTCTACTTCTAGTCTTGTCCCTGATGGGCTTGTCTCCATGTGACAACTGGGGAAAATAAATTTATTTATTTATTTATTTATTTATTTATTACGGAGACAGGGTCTCACCCTATCACCCAGGCCAGAGTGCAGTAGCGTGATCTGCACTGCAACCTCTGCCTCCCAGGCTCAAGTGATCCTCCCCTCTCAGCCTCTGGAGTAGCTAGGACTACAGGCATGCAACACCATGCCCAACTAATTTTTGTATATATATATATATATTGTTTTTTGGTAGAGATGGGGCATATTAGTCTGTTATGCTGCTAAAGAAGACAGACCCAAGACTGGGTAATTTATTTTATTTTATGTTTTTTCTTAATTTAATTTTTTTTTTTTGAGACGGAGTCTTGCTCTGTCTCCCAGGCTAGAGTACAGTGGTGTGATCTTGGCTCACTGCAACCTCCGCCTTCCAGGTTCAAGTGATTCTCCTGTCTCAGTCTCCCTAGTAGCTGGGACTACAGGCGTGTGCCACCACACCCAGCTAATTTTGTGAATTTTTAGTAGAGATGGGGTTTCATCGTGTTAGCCAGGATAGTCTCAATCTCCTGACCTTGTGATCCACCTGCCTTGGCCTCCCAAAGTGCTGCGATTACAGGCATGAGCCACCGCACCCAGGCTGAGACTGGGTAATTTATAAAGGAGAGGTTTAATTGACTCACAGTTCCACAGGGCTGAGGAGGCCTCAGGAAACTTACAATCATGGCAGAAGCAGAAGCAAACACGTCCCTATTCACATGGTGGCAGGAAGGAGAAGCACCTAGCAGAAAGGGGCAAAAGCCCCTTATAAAACCATCAGCTCTCCTGAGAACTCACTCACCATCATAAGCACAGCGTGAGGGTAACCACCCCCATGATTAAGCTACCTCCCACTGAGTCCCTCTCATTACACGTGGGGATTATGGGAACTACAATTCAAGATGAGATTTTGGTGGGGACACAGCCACGCCATATCATGGGGTTTCACCATGTTGCTCAGGCTGGGCTTGAACTCCTGGACTCAAGCTATCCTCCTGCCTCAGCCTCCCAAATAGCTAGGATTACATGCACGTGCCACTACATCCAGCCACAATTCTATATAGTGTTCATGAATACATCCCATGTTGTAAAGGTAAAAAAAAATGTGCATGGGAATGATAAATGCTAAATGAGAGGGAGACACAGAGAGAGAGAGGTAAATGGAAGTGAAGTGGTGTATATACAGCATCAGTATTATCCGTGATTTTTTTCTTCTTAAGTTGGGTGATGAATACAAGCTGTGTTCCAGCACGAATTATTATCTATGCTTTTTAATTTTTAATTTTATTTTTATTTATTTATTTATTTTTGTAGAGACAGGTTCTCTCTATGTTGCCCAGACTGGTCTCCAACTCCTGGGCTCAAATGATCCTCTTGCCTTGGCCTCCCAAAGTGCTGGGGTTACAGGCGTGAACCACAACACCTGGCCCCTATCTATGCTGTTTATTTATTTATTTATTTTTGAGACAGTGTCTTGCTCTGTTGCCCGGGCTGGAGTGCAATGACGCAATTGGCTCACTGCAATCTGCATCTCCTGGGTTCAAGCAATTCTCCTGCCTCAGCCTCCCAAGTAGCTGGGATTACAGGTGTGCACACCATACCTGGCTAATATTTGTAGTTTTAGTAGAGATGGGGTTTCACCATGTTGGCCAGGCTGGTCTGGAACTCCTGGCCTCAGGCGCCATCTGCCTGCCTCGGCCTCCCAAAGCGCTGGGATTACAGGCATGAGCCACTGCGCCTGGCCTACTTTTATTTTTTAATATATAGAGACAAGGTCTCACCATCTTGTCCAGGCAGTTCTTAAACTTCTAGGCTCAAGTGATCCTCCCACCTTGGCCTCCCAAAGTGCTGGGATTACAGGTGTGTGCTACCATGCCCAGCCTATCTATGCTTTTGTATGCCTGAAATATTACATGCACGTGCACACACGTACAAAGACACACACACACACTCAATGTGGCTCCCACCATCAAGGAACTACTAGGAGAGGGCTGTGTGGGTGGGTAAGTAAATTGCAGATTCCATCACCATTCTCCCGTCAAGGTCACTGCGTCCTTCGAGCTCCCATCCTGAGAGTTCGGACACCTCCTGGGCGCCCTTGTTTCCTGGCTGGTCTTGCTTTTGAGCCCACAGACTGTGTGCCAAACCCAGTTCGGCCTCTATCCCCAGTTCTTTTTTTTTTTTTTTTTTTTTGAGACAGAATCTTGCTCTGTCCCCCAGGCGGCTGGAGTACAGAGGTGTGATCTCCACTTACTGCAACCTCTGCTTCCCGGGTTCAAGCGATTCTCCTGCCTCAGCCTCCCCAGTAGCTGGGACCACAGGTGCCCGCCACCACGCCTGGCTAATTTTTTTTTTTTTGTATTTTTAGTAGAGATGGGGTTTCACTGGGTTAGCCAGGGTGGTCTGGATCTCCTGACTTCGTGATCCGCCTGCCTCGGCCTCCCATAGCACTCAGCTTGTTTTTGAAGTTCTTTCACATTGCAGCATGGATTAGAACTTTCTTTTTTTTTGAAAGAACAAGATACTGTTTGTCTTCACCTGGGACATCATAAGTGCTCCAGAGGTCGCTGAAACCATTGACCTCTGCAGTGAACTGTGATCAGGCCACTGAACTCTAGCCTGCATGACAGAATAAGACCCTGTCTCAAACAAAAAAAAAAAAAAAAGGAAAAAGAAAATATCCTTTTTATTATTATTTTTTTTGAGGATGCAAGAGACCTGGTAATGATCTCAGTAAACAGCAGCTCCATCCTTCTGGTCATTCTCATCCAAAACCTTGAAGTCACCCTTGACTACCTTTCTCTCACACTC
Source organism: Homo sapiens (assembly GCF_000001405.40). NCBI lineage: Eukaryota > Metazoa > Chordata > Mammalia > Primates > Hominidae > Homo > Homo sapiens. The sequence continues at coordinate 16,045,864 of NC_000019.10, read as the reverse complement.
ACGCCTGAGCCTTCATCAAATCCTGTTGAGACTTATATTTTTCTTTTCTTTTCTTTTCTTTTTTTTTTTTTGAGACGGAGTCTCGCTCTGTTGTCCAGCTGGAGTGGCGCCATCTCAGCTCACTGCAAGCTCCGCCTCACGGGTTCATACCATTCTCCTGCCTTTCAGCCTCCCGAGTAGCTGGGACTACAGGCACCTGCCACCATGCCTGGCTAATTTTTTGTATTTTTAGTAGAGACAGGGTTTCACCATGCTAGCCAGGATGGTCTTGATCTCCTGACCTCGTGATCTGCTTGCCTCGGCCTCCCAAAGTACTGGGATTAGGCATGAGCCACTGCACCCGGCTGAGACTTCTATTTTTCTATTTAAGTATTTCTATAAGTGTTGAGTCTTCTCTCAGGTTCTATTGAACTAACAGAATTATAATTAAAAGCAAAGTCCTAGTTCTCATAATACTGTCTGAGGTTTTGTTTGTTTGTTTGTTTTGGACAGAGTCTCTCGCTCTGTCCCTCAGGCTGGAGTGCAGTGGCTTGACCTTGGCTCACTGCAACCTCTGCCTTTTGGGCTCAAGCAATCCTCCCACCTCATCCTCCTGAGTAGCTGGGATTAGAGGTGTGCACCTCCATGCCTGGCTAATTTTTGTATGTTTTGTAGAGATAGGGTTTCGCCATGTTGCCCAGGCTGGTCTCCAACTCCTGGGCTCAAGCGATCTGCCCACCTTGGCCTCTCAAAGTGCTGGGATGACGGGCATGAGCTACTGTGTCTGGCCAGAACTTTATTTCTGTATATTGCTGAGTAATATTCCATTGTCCCGGACGGACACTTGGATTGTTACTACCTTTTGACTAGCGTGAATAGAGCTGCTATGATGTCAGTGTACAAATATCTATTTGCGGTCCTGTTTTCAGTTCTTTTGGGTATATCTCTAGGAGCGGAATTGCGGGGGCATGTGGGAGTTCTATATTTAGCTTTTTGAGAAACTGCCAGATTATTTTCCATAGTGGCTGCACCATTTTGCATTCCCACCAGCAATGCACAAGGATTCCAATTTCTCCACATACTTGCTGACATTTGTAGTTATATTTTTGCTTATAGCCACCTCAGGGAGTGTGAAGTGTGAAGTCTTTCTCTCTCTTTTTTTTTTTTTTGAGATAGTCTCACTCTGTCATCCAGGCTGGAGTGCAGTGGCGTGATCTCAGCTCACTACCTCCGCCTCCTGGGTTCAAGGGATTCTCCTGCCTCAGCCTCCTGGGTAGCTGGGATTACAGGCATCAGCCACCACTCCCCACTAATTTTTGTATTTTTAGTAGAGACAGGGTTTTGCCATGTTGGTCAGGCTGGTCTCAAACTCCTGACCTCAAGTGATCCTCCTGCCTTCACCTCCCAAAGTGCTGGGATTACATGCCTGGCCTCATTTTGGTTTTGATTTGCATTTATCTGATGGCTAATCATGTTGAACATCTTTTCATGTTCCAACATTAAAAATTTTTTTTTCTTTTTTTTGTAGAGATAGGGTCTCACTATGTGTGTTACTCAGGCTGGTCTCAAACTCCTGGTCTCAATGGATCCTCCTGCCTTGGCCTCCCAAGGCACTGGGGTTACAGTTGTGGGCCATTGTGTAACAGTTTTGTACAGGCATATTGATTTAAAAACTAAATATTGCACCACCAGAGTAGTGTGAACACTATAAAACATGTTTTCCAAACTGAAATTAACAGGGGAAGCTATTAGCATATAATAAACTCTTGGGTGTGTCATACCATCTTAATACTGATACTAAGAATAGCCAGTACTTTGATGCATGCCTTGGGGCAAAATTCATGGTTAAGGGTCGTGGATGGGTCCCTCACAACCTGGCTCCACTTGTCCTTGCCAGTCTCCTCTGTAGTCATTTCCCACTCCCTACTGTATCCTGAAACCAGGTTTTCTTGAGCTGCAGGGCCTTTGCCTCTGCAGTTTCCTCTGCTTGGAATGTCCCTGTTCCTACAGACGATTCCTCATACCCTGCTTTCCATACCAAGCCCAAGCACCTTCTATGGGACATATTCCTGTCACTACTCCCCATTTCCGGGCCCTTGCTCTGGCCCATCCCTAAACATCCATTCACCCATTCATCTCTCCATCCCTCCTTTCATCCCTTTATCCATCTACCCATCCCTCCATTCCTTCATTCATCCATCCATCCACCCAGTCATTCATCCCTTTATCCCTCCCTTCATCCCTTCATCCATTCATCCATCTACCCATTCATCATCCATCCCTCCATCCACTCATTTATTCATCCATCCTCTGCCCATTCATCCCTCCATCCCTTCATCCATCCACCCATCCATCCCTCCATCCCTCCCTCCATCCATTCATCCATCTACCCATTCATCCATCCCTCCCTCCATTCCTCCATCCATCCACCCATCCATCTACCCATTCATCCCTTCATCCCTCCATCCATTCGTTTATTCATCCATCCTCCACCCATTCATCCATCCATCCATCCATCCATCCACCCACCCATCCACCCCTCCTTTCCTCCCTCCCTCCATTCATCCATCTACCCATTCATCCCTTCATCCCTCCATCCATTCGTTTATTCATCTATCCTCCACCCATTCATCCCTCCATCCCTTCATCCATCCACCCATCCATCCCTCCATCCCTCCCTGCATCCATTCATCCATCTACCCATTCATCCATCCATCCCTCCATTCCTCCATTCATCCATCCATCCATCCATCCATCCATCCATCCATCCATCCACTCATTCATCCTTCCATCCCTTCATCCATCCACCCATCCAACCATTCATCCCGGCCTCTCTCCTTCCCTCCCTCCCTTCCTTCATTGAACACACAGGCCAGTGATGTCTGTGTCTGGCTCTGTGCTCCAACCCCCAGAGAGGAGCCTCTCAAGAGTAGGGTTTTGGGTTGAGCTTTCTCTACTGCCCCGACACGGCTCAGCACAGGGCTGTTGTTGAATGTGCCTGATTTTGCAGGATGACTTTGTGAGCCAGTATTCATATTTTTGCAATGAGGTCATATGTATTTTGAGTGGCATGGGAAGGCCCTACAAGGACAAGCCTATCATGCTTATGCACCTGTGTTCATTCATTCATTCATTCATTCATTCATTCATTCATTCATTCATTCGTTATTGAGCCCTTAGGATGTTCCAGGTGAAGACAAACAGTATCTTGTCCCTTGGGACCAGGGAAGGTTTTCCTGAAGTGGTAACACTGAGCTAAAATATGAAGGATGAATGGGAGGTGAATTGGCTGATGTGGGAAGGGAAGGGTGATGGAGGCCAAAGGGAACAGCATAGGTGAAGGCAGAGGGCTGTATGGCACATCCCTGGGTACCTGCACTCGTGGAGGACTTGTTTAATATCAAACATTAAAAGGCACTCACATTGAATGTATTTCTTCCTGTTAAAACAAGAAGAAGCTGGGTGCGGTGGCTAACACTTATAATCCCAGCACTTTGGGAGGCCGAGGCAGGAGGATCACTTGAGCCCAGGAGTTTGAGACCAGCCCTGGCAACATAGTGAGACCCTGACTCTAAAAAAATAAAAAAAATTAGTCGGGCGTGGTGGTGTGCATCCTCGCAGCTACTTGGGAGGCTGAAGTGGGAAGACGGTTTGAGTCCAGGAATTTGAGGCTGCAGTGAGCTGTGATTGCGCCACTGCACTCCAGCCTGGGCAACAGAGCAAGACCCTGATACACACACACACAAAGTTAAAAAAGTAGAAAGGATCGTTATCTTTTTGCTTTTGAAGTTATTGGGGTCCCATTAAACTCATATGCTTCTTGGGCATGTACAGGCATTCTTGCCAACAGAGAACATCTAACCCACAAAAACTTTCCAACGTGATGACACCGTGGGGGGGATTCTGGAGCCAACAGTGAATCCAGGTGGCACTATGTCTAGCTAAGTAGACATTTCCTTCAAGCGTTCATTGATTTTGATTTTGCAGCCTTGCTTTTACGTTGTCAAATATCAAAGTGTGTGGTTTTACAGTTTTTTTTTCCTTCCAGGTCTTTAACGTTTTCGGGGACCTCTGGAAAACCTACAGGCGCGGCCCTGGGAAGCTCTGGGTCCCTAGGAGGGGAGGTGACTCCGCGGCGTCCCGGGAATGATCCTCGCGGAGCTCGCGAGGTACTAGCGCCCCCCAGCGTCTGGATTGAGAAACGCACCCTGCGAGGGTGGAGAACCAGCCCAGCCCCAAAGTGAGGTGGCAGAAAAACGAACTCACGGCCAAGGACTGGCTGAGGTTAGCCAGAATTGTGTAAATGTGTTTTGTCTTGCTGGGCTGCCCCCTCTCCTGGTCCTTTGGCTAGGGAGAACAGGATTTTGTTTGGGATTTTTCTTTTGCTTTTTTCGACTGTGCCTGTTGGCGTTCGCGGGTTGCCAGCTTCTTCAGGTCCAAGCCTGGGCTGTATGTGGCGAAAAACAAAACAAAACACCAAAGAATTGACTTTCGTGTCATTCCTTGGGTCCTGAAATTCCCACTGTGTCTGCCTTCCCTCCATCATTCAGAGTCTTACATTTTTCTAGTTTGATCCAATTTCCCAATCACTTTTTATTTTGACAAAGTTGTAAATATGATGCATAGAACATGTTTTGACATAGGCGTACAGCGTAAAATATCTAAATCAAGCTAATTTAACATTTCCTTGACATACCCGTGACCATACCTCCATGCTTATCTCTTTTTCTGTGGTAAGAACACTTAAAATTTGCTCAGCAATTCAGTTTTTTTATATTGAAAAAAAAAAAAAAAAAAAAAGAGATGAGGTCTCACTATGTCGCCCAGGCTGGTCTCAAACACCTGGCCTCAAGTGATCCCCCTCAGTCTCCCAGCGTGCTAGGATTACAGGTGTGAGCCACTGCGCCCAGACTACTCAGCATTTTTCAAGAATAAAATACATTGACTAGAGTCACCATGTTGAACAATTCCTCTTGTGCCCTTTGGCCAATATCTGTTCAGTCCCTCCTCCCTCCCTCAGTCCCTGGAGCCACCATTCTACTTGGGAGTTCAGCTTTTTAGATTCCACAAGTGAGACAGGAAGTATTTGTTTTTCTGTGCCTGGCTTATTTCACTGAACGTCTTCCGGGTTCATCCACGTAAACACAAGCTTTGTTTTTAAAGGCTGAATCTTATTCAGAGTCTTATGTTTTTATGTATGATGTCTGGCCCAGGGTTTTAGTTGTGCTTCGTGGGAGGAATGGGAAAAATTATGTATACCTTGTCCATTTGAATTTGAGAAATGTGCATGATTACACGATCACGTTTTGATCATATGCATGGAATCACAACATATGTATTTTGGTCAACAGCTTCTTATTTCCTTTGTTCTGCCTTCCTCCCTCCCCTCCTCCACGTCCAGTTCTCTCCATCTTTCAAATTCAGGCTCACTCCTTCTCCCATGGATTACTCCAATTGTTCCCCCTTTTTATCGCTATTGGTCATGTCTGGACTTGGAATAAACCCTTTCTGTCCACATGGGCCCTGTCTGCCTGCTGACCTTCCTCTCACTCCTGGCCTCAACATCATCATTCATTCATCAAACACTAAGTGTCTCATTTTGGGGGCACCCCTGAACCTGTGATCCCTCGGAGTTGACCGGGCAAGAAGATCTCCTTACGAAGCAGAGACAGCAAGTGGCGGGGGTGGGGGTGGGGGGGCCCAGTTGGCACAGGATTAAAATACAAGGGCACCCAACCTCACCAGTCATGAGGAACAAGAAGCCACCATGAGGCATTTCAAACCCAACACCCAACATAAATGAAAAGTCTGGCAACACCAGCAGTTTTGGAGGCAGGTAGAAACCCTCAATGGTGGGAGAGCACATTGGTGAAATCACTGTGAAGAATGTGGAAATACCTGGAAATGTTGAAAACGTCCAGATTCTGAAGCTTAGCCTCTCCCCACTTGGCTTTATACCCTAGTGAGCTCCATGGAACTTAAGAAAATGGCTTTGGTCTGGGGCCAAACCCATTTTCTTAGATGGGTTGACTTAAGAAGATGGGCCCTTGTCTGTGGGTAGATGGTCACGGGGGACCGGGTCAGTGGTGGCTTGGTCACTGGGGGGGACTGATCAGTGGGACCCAGTCTGCAGGGCTTGGTCAGCACAGAACACGATCAGTCCGGCTTAGTCAACAGGACCTGGTGGGTGGGGACCTGGTGAGTGGGGGCCTGGTTAGTGGGGACTTAGTAAGGACGAGGTCAGCTGGCTGCTGGGTGACCTCAGGCAGGGGGTTTGTCCTAGAAGCCTCCTTTCTTCCATTTGTAGGGGAGATGAAATCAACTGCACCCCAGAGAGCTACTGGGAGGAGGAGAAGTGCATTGAATATGGCCCTGCTATGCAGATTTAGTACCGTATACACTGAGTCCCTCCCGAGGGAGGGGGTTTCACCCACGGCACTGCCCTGCCCTGCCTGCATCCCCAGGACCACCCTGCCTGAAGGCAGAGGCTGGGGCGCACCTGTGGATGCTCTGATGCTGACCACAGGCCCTGGGGTGACAGTGATGAGGACATGGGGGCACACGTGATTGGGGAAGCCAGGGCCGGCCGGAGGAGAGACACACGCTCACACGCACCCGCACATATCCACCTGCACTCAAGTGCACAGACGCATTGCACGCACACGTCGACAGTTCAGGAGGGGCAGAGGATGCCGTCTCTGGGCCCTGCTGACCCATGCAGGGCTCCGTTGTGATGGGTGCCGTGAGCCCACAATGTCACCATTACCCAACACCCAGGTACCTGCCCGGCTCTGTGTCGTAGAGCAGTTGGAGACACAGTGTGAGTGGGTTCTGCCCAAAGGACGCTTTTCTCTTTTCTAGGTGAGAGGCACATCTCTGCACGGCTGCTTGATCAGACTTAGGAGAGCGTGACCTGCTCTCTTCCCTCCCTGCTGACTTGGGGACAGTCGCTACTGGGTGGGCGGCAGCTGCCCGAGGAGGGTCATCCTCGAGTGCTCACTGGGTGCCCGTTCTGTGCTGACCAGGCAGACAGTCATCCTGTTCATCCTCACAGTGACTCTGTTCCAGGAACATGCCAGGAAGACCCCCAGCCCCACTCCCCAGGACAGACCTGGACTGGCCCAGGGACAGCACCCTCACACTGTCCCCATGACCCTTTGCTTCAGTCTGGAGGGCCAGGCTGGGCCTGTTGTGCTGAGCAGGACACTGAGTCCTCCCAGACAAGGAGCCCACCTTGACAAGACCCAGATCAAAGGCAGGAGTGTGGTGGGCACCTCCTCACCCAGGCCTCCCCCTGGCCATGGCCTCCTGTGCACAGCTGGAAGCCAGGGGTGGCTGCAAAAGGACCCAGAACCTCCCAGTGGGAGGTAGCTGTGGTGGAAACCTGGGTGTGGGCACCGACCCCTTCCATGCTACCCCCTTGTCCCTAGAGTGCCTCATGAATATGTCCCAGTCTGGACTATAAGGATTGGTTCAGGAGACGTTCTCCCAGGCCTGGGCCCTGGAGGACGATGTGGTTCTCACGCACTTTTGGGTCTGCATGAAGGAACTGACGAGGAGACACTGGGACCTGCCACCCCTAGGGAGGCTCCAGCATCAGGTCCCCTCCTGAGTCATCCTCTGGGGCAGTTGATAGTAGAGGGGGCCTGGGTCCCTGCAGCCCTACTACCTGGACCTTCCTCCCACACCTCTTCCTCCTCTACACAGAGAAACTTCTACAAATAGACCTGCCGGTTTTCAGGGGATGTGCTGAGTGCACGTGTACTGGACATGCTGCTCAAGACAGGCGGGGGTGCCCCCTGCACCTTTTACACTCTCTCTGGTCTGTGCGAGCTCCCTGCCCCCGCTGTGAGCATCAACAGACGCCGGGAGGAGCAGGGTCCCCTCACTCCACAGCGCGCCTTCAGGGATGCCAGGTGAACAGGAGAATCAGTGTTTCTGGCCCAGAGGATTCGGGGAGAGGACACGGGCAGGAGCTCTGGCCCAGGGCCAGAAACAAGAGTTCAGCCAGGCGTGGGAATGGTCCAGTCCTGGCATGGAGTGGATGGCCCCAGAGAGCGGAGAGGACCCCGTGCCTGGGGCCATCTCACCCACTGTTGAGACAGGCCCCCATGTGAGGTGGCAAGGGGGCCAGGTGACAGTGAGAGCTTCTTCCCACCTGAGCTCCTAATCAGGGCTGCATCCCCGGCCCCACAGCCCTGGGATGAGGATACGAGGCATAAGCCAGCCTAAAGCCTGTGTTACCTGTCCCAGGGGGGATACCCAGGCAGCTGCACACACCCCTTGCTCTGGGATCTGCAGCCTGCAGGGGTGTCCTCTGTGTCAGGCTAGGGTGGAGGACAGAGGGGCCCCAAGGACTCCAGAGACCCAGATGTGCAGAACCTGGCCCTGCGACAACATCTGATGGGTTTGGTGGAGAGGCTGGGTTCATCTGCATTCTCTTCAGGCAAACTTAAGGGAGGGACCCCAGCACCCAGGGCTCTTCGGGTATTTCCCAGCATTGAGCCTCTCTGCAAGGGGGATGGGCTGGCCCTCCCCGGCCCACCCGCCCAGCTCCAGCAGCACATGCAGGCGACTCCTCTGGAATGGGAGCCTGGTCCTCCCTTACCCTAGCCTGGCCAGGCTGTCCCCGAGGCCAAGGCCCAGTGGCATGAAAAGGGGGTTTCTGCAGCGCCCAGGGCAGAAGGTTGCTCTCTGGGAACCTCCGGGGCTCAGGGTGTGGCCAGGCCGTCCCTAGCTCAAGACAGACCTTGGGTGAACTGGCGGTACCTCTGGTGGAATTCCATGCCAAAGCTTCCGATGGAGCAGGCTGGCGTTGGGGGCTTGTGTTTCCTGTGGTATGACCTTGAACAGGGATGCTGAGCTCCTGTCACTTCCACATCTGCCCTGGATCGGCTAAACGGCTTCATCAGAGCCCAGACACCAGAAACTACTGTGCCCCATGATAACCAAGAGGCAGATCCAGAGACATTTCTCTACACAATGGCACCTGCATCCGACTCCTCTTGGAGGGCAGTGACCAGCCCGGTGTGGAAGGAGTTAGGGCAGCACCCGGCTAGCTGCTCCACAGCCCTAGATGGCTCTTGGGCCTTGGGAAGTCATCTCTAATGAGAACGCCGTTCACTCTAAGACTTCCCCAGAGAGGGGTGAGTGTGGCACCCCTGCAGCCCTAGCCATCAGTAGCGTGCCTTGCGGCCTCTGACTCAACCTGCAGGACAGAGCCCCACCCTCAGGGCACACTTCCTAGGACCAGAGGGGCCTGGCCTCAACCTGAGCCCTGGGAGGGGAGGGGAACTAGAGGTGTCACGTGCCTCCACAGTGGCCAGGATGACCACGCAGGGAACCCATGGCACTGTGGATTCAGTTGCTGTACCACTTGATGGCAGAAAATTTGAGAGTGATCTATGAGAACATGAAGTGCTGAGCCTGTGTAGTGAGCAGGACATCAAGGGCTGACTCGCAGGGGCTCATGGCCTCAGCAACCCTGGCCTTATATCTGCAGTGCAAGTGGTCTGCAACCCTGGACTGGCCCAGCGCGCCATGGCTGCCCCTGTGCCTTGACCCACTGTGCCATGGCCATTGTACCACCCAGAGGTTTCAAGGCCCTGCCCGGTGCACTGCCTGCCTCCTTGAAGCCATCTCTCAGTGCTTTCCAGCTGCTACTGCAGCCGCAGCTGGTGCCACCACAGAGTGCCTTCCAGCAGCCAGCGCAGGATTTCCAGGCGGTAGGGATGCCCTGAAGCCGTGGCCTCAGCAGCTCCTTGGTGGCAACTAGGCCAGCTAGGGCAGTGATGATGACTGGGACGACAAGTGGGATGGCAGCTCCATGACGGTGAACGATCCAGGTGCACTGGGCAGAGGTGCATACCTGGAGCTCGACGGCTCCCTGGGTCCCCACGTGGGCAGGAGCTCGGTCACTGTGAGCCGCAACCTCAACCGCTACTCTGCCTTCATCAAGTCGGGAAGGGAGGCCTTCGTGCTTGGCGAGGCGTTGGGCTCTGTGAAAGACAGGGACAAGCTGTGTGCATGGTGCTGTTGGTGCTTGGCCCCATGGCCCCAAGTGGCAGGAAAACCCCTACCCCATGGCCCCAAGTGGCAGGAGAACCCAGTGCACCGCTGGCGACACCACTCAGTAGAACAAGTTCAAGGACATAAAGACCTACTTCTCCTGCAAGCTGGTGCACGGCGCGACAAGCCCTTGAACCGGCTGGATGCGTGTCTAGTGAAGTTCCCAGTCGTCTCCATGCTCCACCTGCCCGAGAACAGGGCCACGGGCTGCCTCCAGAGGGACTCCATCTCCATGCACAGGAAGAGCCTGATTTGCGGGATGAGCCACACGGCTGGCCGCCTGGTGTTGGTGCAATGCCACGTCCTCCAGCACTTCCTGACGTGGCCCAGCAACACTGCGAGGAGGCCTGGAAACAGGGCAAGAGGAAGGGTGAGAAGGGTGGCATGGTGGGGGTCAGCTCCTTCCTGACCCTGAGCACTACCCCCACCACTGCCCTCAACCTGCAGGAGGTGGAGAGCAAGATGGATAGCTGCAGATGCTTGCCCAGGAAGGTGGACAACAGCGCTGCTGCTCAGCCACAGGGCATGGAGCTCACTGCCAGCAGGTGAGGGGCTTCAAGAAGGAGCATCAGCAGGCGGCCAGCCCTTCTGTGGCCTCAGCCAGGCCTTGGAGTGGGCCCAGCAGGCCTCTGGGTGGTCCTGAACCAAACCATCCCCTTCCCCGAGGTGCCTGTGATGCCATTGGCAAGCTCTTCCCGGATTGGCCCAGGCAGGACCTGGACCCCGTCTCGGACCTGTTAGTGCGGTCCCAGGAGCACTGGGCCAACTTCCCAGACCACCTCCACGTTCACAGAGGAGCTCTTACCAGAGTCACGGGGAGCAGGAGACTCGTGGGAGGAGGGAAGATGGAGGTGCGGCGGCTGATGGCGTTCAGGAGCGCGGGACACGAGTTCTTTGGGCGCTCTGGCTGAAATTCACCATCTCTATCCAATTCCAGTAGAGACTTGAGATCACAGATGCAGCACTGTTTACCACAACAGATATTTTTTCCAAAAAGTGACCCAGAATTCGGAACCAGCTCTTCACAAAAATGGAGTGTTGAATTGGGGATTTTTTTTTCTGGTTCAAGGATAATTTCTACGGCAGAACAAAAATTGCTATCAAAGAGCCATGGCCAACTATTCATGGTGGTACAAGGATGGTTTTGTGCTCAACTGAGGCCGGTTGAATAGAGAATTACATAGGAAATAAAGAGCGAACATGGTGATGGAGTAGAAACAGCACCACGTGTTGTAATTTTGTAGGCATCGGTACTACGGAAGTTCCTTCCTTCCTTCTCTCCTTCCTGCTGTCTGAGCCTCCTCCCAGCATTGGGCATCCCCTGGGCCTGGGTCTGTGCTGGGAGAGACACAAAGGACACCATTGGCTGCAGGCCAGGGACTGGCATGGTCAGGGGAGCCTGGTGAAGTCAGAGTGTTCCCTGAGGATCAGTCCTGGGATGACCAGGTCCAACTGACCAGGCAACCAGGGCCCCATCACCCGGGCCTTCCATGACCTGGCCCTCACTAAATGGGCCCCGATGACCAGGTCTCCACCGACCTGGTCCCCCATTGACCAATCCCCAATATCCAGGACACACTGACCAACCCTGCCGACCAAGTTTTCACTGACCAGGCCCCCGATGACCAGGTTTATTGATTGGGCTCCCTCTGACTAGGAGCCTGCTGACCAGGATGTCACTGACCAGGCCCCACTGACAGCCACCCCCCCTCACCCCTCCCCCACCTCTGCCAGGCCCCGATGGATTAGGTCCAATGATCAGGCAGCCACTGGCCAGGGCTGCACTGACCCCTACTGATCAGTCACCTGCTGACCAGGCCCCTGAAGACCAGGTTCACACTCACCAGGCACAAGGCCCCACTGACGAGGCCCCCACTCACCAAGCCCTCACTGACTCACTGACTAGGTCCCCCTGATGAGGCCCTCACTGCCTGGACCCCACTAACTAGGCCTCATCAATGAGACTTTCACTGACCAGACCCTACTTACCCAGGACCCCAATGACCAGGCCTCACTATCCAGGACCCACTGATGGCCTAGGTCTCCACTGACCAGGCCCCCACTGACTGGACCCAACTGACCAGGTCCTTAACTGACGAGATTCTGACTGGCCAGGTCCTTAACTGACGAGGTTCTGACTGGCCAGGTCCTTAACTGACGAGATTCTGACTGGCCAGGTCCTTAACTGACGAGGTTCTGACTGGCCAGGTCCTTAACTGACGAGGTTCTGACTGGCCAGGTCCTTAACTGACGAGGTTCTGACTGGCCAGGTCCTTAACTGACGAGCTTCTGACTGGCCAGGTCCTTAACTGACGAGGTTCTGACTGGCCAGGTCCTTAACTGACGAGGTTCTGACTGGCCAGGTCCTTAATGACCAGACCTTTACTGACTAGGCCCCACTACCCAGGACTCCCACTGACTTGGCCCAACTGACAAGGCCCCCACTGACCAGGTCCTCACTAACCATGTCCCTACTGACCAGGCCCCCAGTGACTGGGCCCAACTGACAAGGTTCCAACTGACCAGGTCCTTAACCGACAAGGTTCTGACTGACCAGGTCCTCAGTGACCAGACCTTTACTGACTAGGCCTCACTAACCAGGACCCCAGTGATCCAGGCCTTTACTGAATAGGCCCCACTCTCCAGGGCCTCAAAGACCAGGTCCCTACTAACCAAGTCTCTCTGAATAGACCCTTACTGACTAGACCCCACAAACCAGGACCTCAGTGACCAAGCTCCCATTGACCAGGTCCCACTGGCCAGGCCCCAGTTGATGAGGCCCCGCTAACCACATCCAACACTGACCAGGTCCCACTGAGCAGGCCCCAGCTCTCCAGGCCCCCAGTGGCCAGGTTTCACTACCTAGGCCCCACTGACCAGGCTCCTTCTAACAAGGGTCCCCTGACCAGGTCCCATTGACAAGTCCCCACTGACTAGGTCCCCACTGATGAGGCTCCAACTTACCAGGACCCCACTGACCAAACCTCCACTGACCAGGCCCCACTAGCCAGGCCCCACTGATGAGACTCCCACTGACTTGGGCCCAACTGACAAGACCCCCTCAGACCAGGTCCCACTGACCGGGCCCAAAGTGACAAGGTTCCAACTGACCAGGTCCTTAATGACCAGACCTTTAGGGACCAGGCCCCCTTACCCAAGTCCCCACTGACCAGTCCTCCAGTGACTAGGCCTCACTATCCAAGACCCACTGATGAGGCTTCCATTGCCAGGTCCCCACTGACTAGAGCTCACTGACACGGCCCCAACAGATGAGGTTCTGGCTGACCAGGCCCTGAATGACCAGACCTTTACTGACTAGGCCCCACTACCCAGGACTCCAGTGCCCAGGTCCCTACTGACCAAGTCCCACTGACTAGGCCCTCGCTGACCAGGTCCCCACTGACTGGGCCCCAACTAAGAAAATTCCAACTGACCATGTCCTTACTGAATAGACCTTTACTGACTAGGCCCCACTACCCAGGAGCCCAACGACCAGGCCCTCACTGCCAGGCTTCCACTGACCACCTTTCTATTGAACAGGCTCCAGTGGCCAGGTTTCCAATGACTAGGTCCCCATAGACCAGACCCCCAATAATCAGATCACACTGACCCAGCTTCCGCTGACCAGGCGCCCACTGACCAGGTCCTCACTGATGAGGTGCCAAGTGACTAAGTCCTTAACTCGAGGACCCATGATCAGTCCCCTCTGACCAGGCCACAGCTGACCAGGCCTCCCACAGACCAGATCCTCACCGAGCAGGTCCCTGCTGACAACACCCCCATTTACTAGGTGTTTTCTGACTATGTCCCCAAGGACCGTGTCCCCATTCACAAAGCCTCCGCTGACCGGGCCCCCATTGACTAGGACACATTGTTTAGGTCCCATTGATCAGGCCCCGCTGAGCAGGCCACAATGTCCAGGTCCCACAGATCAGGCCCCCACTGACCAGACCACAATGTTCAGGTCCCACTGACAAGGCCCCCGCTGACCAGGCCACAATGTCCAGGTCCTACTGATCAGGCCCCGCTGAGCAGGCCACAATGTCCAGGTCCCACTGACAAGGCCCCTGTTGATCAAGCCATAAGGTCGAGGTACCCACTGACCAGGCCTCAGCTGACCAGGCCACAATGTCCAGGTTCCCACTGATCAGACCCCCGCTGACCAGGCCACAATGTCCAGGTCCCACTGACAAGGCCCCCACTGACCAGGCCACAATGTCCAGGTCCCACTGACAAGGCCCCTGTTGACCAAGCCACAAGGTCCAGGTCCCCACTGACCAGACCAGGCCTCGGCTGACCAGGCCACAATGTCCAGGTTCCCACTGACCAGGCCCCTCAGCCATGGTGCTCAAAGTCCGTTCCTGTGGCCCCCACTCAGCCCACAGACTCTCCCCTCCCCACATCTGCACTCACAGGCCAGGCCCCTGAGGGTCTTTTTGGGACAGGGCCCCTCCTCCAGGACACAGGGAGGGACAGCTGGCCTTAGGCTCCAGGCGCCCAGCTTCACACTCGCCCCCCACAAGGCCCTATGGGCTCATCTCAAAGGGACAGTAAATTGGCATGGCACCACCTGGACCTTTTGCTGAGCTGCAGTCCAGGGAATGGAGGGATGTTTGTCACACCAGGCATCCTTTGTGCTAGGCATCCCAAGCCCTTCCCGTGGAGTCTGGATCTAGAGACACAGTGCAGATGCGGTGAGGTGACCAGCCCAGGACCCTCGAGGCTGAGCTTAGGAACACATGAGGACTGTCCCCAGATGTGGGCGAAGGATTACCTAGGTGCCGAGGCAAGAGACTGAAGGCACAAACTGTTTCAGTATAATAAAGAAAATAGTTAGAATAAGAATAGTCATAATACAAATTAGATACAGAGATGATCATGGACAATTATCAATCATTAATATAAACATTATTAATCATTAGCTTTTAATATTACTCTTTGTTGCATTACTAATATAACCTAGGAATAACCGACGAGTAGAGAGGGTCAGGTGCTGAAGGGACAATGTGAGAAGTGACCTAGAAGGCAAGAGGTGAACCCTCTGTCACGCCTGCATAAGGGCCGCATGAGGGCTCCTTGGTCAAGCGGTTAATGCCAGTGTCTGGGAAGGCGCCCGTAACTTAGCAGACCGCGAAATGGAGTCTCCTTTCCTCGGAGGACTCAGGGAACACTCTGCTCCACCAGCTTCTTGTGGAAGGCTGGATATTATCTAGGCCTACCCGCAGCCTAAACCCCTCCCTGTGGTGCTGTGTTCCAATGGTCATGACGCTCCTTGTCCACTTTCATGTTCCTCCCGTACTCCTGGTTCCTCTTTGAAGTTTGTAGTAGACAGCGGTAGAAGAAATAGTGAGTCTTAAAGTCTTTGATCTTTCTTATAAGTGCATAGAAGAAAACGCTGACATATGCTGCGTTCTCTCTCTGCTTCCGCTACCTAAAAGGGAAGGGCCCCCTGTCCTATGATCACGTGACTTGCTTGACTTTGTCAATCACTTGGAAGATTCACCCTCCTTCCCTGCCCTCCTTGTCTTGTACGCAATAAATTTCAGCACGCCCAGTCATTCGGGACCACTACCGGTCTCCGTGTCTTGGTAGTAGTGGTCCCCTGGGCCCAGCTGTTTTCTCTTCATCTCTTTGTCTTGTGTCTTTATTTCTTACAATCTCTCATCTCCGCACACAGGGAGAACACCCGCTAAGCCCCGTAGGGCTGGACCGTACACCCAGACAGCCAGAAGACTCTGCTAGTTTCTCAGTCCTTCCTTCCTTCCTTTTTTTTTTCTTTTTCCCCTCACTATATTGCCCAGGCTGGTCTTGCACTCCTGGACTCAAGCGATCCACCCGCCTTGATCTCCCAAAGTGCTGGGATTACAGGCGTGCGCCACCACGCCTGGCCTCAGTATGTCATTTCTTACCAGTTACCTTCCTCCACCAAGAAGCCCCTAGATGCCAAGTCAGTGAGAAGAGGAAGGCGGTCAAAGAATCCATGGAAAGAAAGTGACACAGGCTTAGGATGTGGGGGTGCCACATGCTGGGAGGAGGTGCAGGCAGAAGGAAGAATGGACAGAAGGAAGGAAGGGCTGCTGGAGCCCAGCCACCCAGGGACAGAGGTGATCACGGACCCTCCCAGGAATGCTTTGCACGGACCATCATGAATGTTCCAGAAGTCACTGGAACCCCCGCCCTCTGCTCCTGTCCCAGGCTCCTCTGTGGCCTTTGGGAGGTGGAAGCTGAGAGAAGCTGGGTGGAGCCTGGGTTGTGCTGCCCTCTCCTCCCGCCTGCCCCAGGGTGTCCGGGGCTTCCTGCAGAGAGCTTTGGGCTTAAGTGATCCACCCGCCTTAGCCTCCCAAAGTGCTGGGATTATAAGCGTGAGACACTGCGCTCGGCCTATTTAATCATTTTGACTCACCAATATTTCAAACTGACTTCCTTCTGTATGACCATTTCAGTCAAAAACAGGCAGGTCATAACGACAGAGAAGTGATTTGTGTTTTAACCAACGAGGGCGGGGACTTGAGGCCAAGGAGGGGGTCCTTGCTTCTGAGAGGGAGGCCTTCAAAGGGATGAAGGCATTGGTACTGGCAGCCCTGGTCCCCCCCATCGCCCCCAACTTTGTAGCTTGGAGCCTCCCTGCAGTGTGTGAGACCTCCTTTCCTGAGTTGTTCTTCCTCCTCCTCCTCCTCTCCCCCTCCCCCTCCCCTCCCCTTCCCCTTCCCCTTCTTCTTCTTCTTCTTCCTCTTCCTCTTCCTCTTCCTCTTCTTCTTCTTCTTCTTCCTTCTTCCTTCTTCCTCCTCCTTTTTTTTTTTTGAGAGGGAGTCTTGCTCTGTCACCCAGGATGGAGTGCAGTGGCGTAATCTCGGCTCACTGCAACCTCCGCCTCCTGGGTTCAAGCAATTCTCCTCCCTCAGCCTCCCGAGTAGCTGGGATTACAGGCGCCTGCCACCACGCCTGGCTAATTTTTACATTTTTAGTAGAGACAGGGTTTCCCCATGTTGGCCAGGCTGGTCTCGAACTCCTGACCTCAGGTGATCCACCTGCCTCGGCCTCTCAAAGTGCTGGGATTACAGGCGTGAGCCACCACGCCCGGCTATTTCCTGAGTTTTTCTAACCGTGAAATGCAGCTGCCAAGAATGGCAGATGTAGGGACCTAGCCTCCTGGGCCCCCCTTTGCCCAGTTTTCTTCAGTCCTAGTAACTGAAGCAGGTTTTTTTTTTGTTGTTTTTTAAAAACAGAACAATATATTTGGCTGCAGTTCCACGTATCCGTAGTCAAGACAAAGTCACGTTAAATCAGGCTCTAAGTCACCTAAGGTATAAAATTAGACAAAATATCAAAATTGTGATCATCTGACCTTAAAATTTAACCCATATGAAATTATTATTATTATTTTTTTGAGACAGAGTCTTACTCTGTTGCCCAGGTGGAGTGCAGTGGCGTGATCTCAACTCACTGCAACCTCCACCTCCTGGGTTCAAGTGATTCTCTTGGTTCAGCCTCCCAAGTAGCTGTGATTATAGGCTTGCACCACCATGCCTGGCTAATTTTTATATTTTTAGTAGAGACGGGGTTTTGCCATGTTGACCAGGCTGGTCTCGAACTCCTGACCTCAGGTGATCTGCCTGCCTTGGCCTCCCAAAGTGCTGGGATTACAGGCGTGAGCCAGCGCACCCAGCCTGAAAAGAGAGTAAATGTACTGTTGGGCATTATTTCACTTTTCTTTTTAAATAAACAGACCGTTTTTTAAATCTTTTTTTTTTTTTTTTTTTTTTTTAAGGCAGGGTCTGGCTGTGTCACCCAGGCCAGAGTGCAGTGGTGCCATCTCGGCTCACTGCAGCCCTGACTTCCCAGGCTCAGGCCATCCCCCGACCTCAGCCCCCTAGCTGGAACTATACAGGCGCGCACCACTAGGTCTGGATAAATTTGTTTTGTATTTTTTGTAGAGACAGGGTTTTGCCATGTCGCACAGGTTGATCTCAAACTCCTGGACTCAAGCAATCCACTGCCTCAGCCTCCCAAAGTGCTGGGATTACAAGCGTGAGCCACTGCACCTGGCCTCTTTAATCATTTTGACTCACTGACATTTCAAATTGACTTCCTTACTTCTGTATGACCATCGCGGTACCCAGGGATTTCTGAGGCAGCAGTAAGTTTGACTTCACGGCAACAGTAGATAATTTAACCTTTAGGTGACAGATTTAGAAACTGTCAATTACCATATGATTTAGCTCAGTAACTACAAAAACATTGAAACTTTGGCATTGCAAGCCAGAATCCCTTCCTGCTCTTTCAATTAAGCAGCTTTTGAATCTCTGTGGCATTTTCCAGCCATTTGTATTTCTCTTACAATAATAATAGCTTAAAACTGATTTTTAAGGTTTAATGTCCTGGGGGACTTACCAGTAATACTTCTATTTAAAACACAGTATAAACCAATTATTCCTGCCTTCAGTATTTGAAACAGTAGAAATTATTTCAACCAACAGATCTGCCCACACCAGTTTTCATGACATATAACACTGAAATTTACAGACATCCCTGAGAAGTTTTTAAGTAAACCAGTGAATCTCAACAGAGTCTCAGTTAACAGTGTAGATCCATTAAAAAAAAAATCTTCTCCAAAAAAAAAAAAAAAATCAAAACCAAAACTCTCCTAAGAACTGAAGCCGAGTGTGTGTTGTCACTGCCTCTATATTTTTAATCCCGATGGGCTGACTCCCTCTTCTCTTCTCTGTAAGACACATTTGCTGAAATCTTCAAGCTGAGTTTCAAGACACTTGCGTGAAGAGGTGATGCTCTAGCCGCCTCTGAGGGAACAGACATCATTATTAGAGATGAGCGTTGCGTCTGCCTCCTCCGCATGCACCAGCATCCATCCTATCATCCACTTGGCCCTGGCAATTGATGGCAGCTGCTCCTCCTGCCTCTCCCACTGCCAGTATGTGATCCTGAGTTAGTCATTCCGTGTGTTAGCCTTGCACCCTTTCAATCAGAAAAGTTGCAGCTTACTGGAAGGAAGAAGGGAGCAGGGAGAAATGCAAAACCAAGAGTCTAAAGGCACAAAGCTGCAAGGCTGCTCTGTGTGTTTGCAAGCAGACTACAGGTGGAATGTAAATCACCCTGATCTACGAGAGTAAAAGGCATCCGCAGCAGGCTCCATCCATCCGGCTTCTTTGAGACTCTTCATGGATTTTGAAGTCTACAAAGTGTGCATAAAAATACTCGTACTTCAAAAAGCAAGAAGGCAAACGGTATAATCTCATGATCTCAAATTTATAACGGTGGTACAGGCCCAGCGAGCCTTTGAGGACCACCGGGTGCGCACCCAGCCTGTCCACCAGTGTGGAGCTGTTTGCTCACTCATCATCCTAGTCATCGTTGCTGCCCTTGTTGGCCTGGCTGCCACCAAAGAGCTGAGGCAACGGCTGCTGGGCGCTGCCACCGTCTGGAAAGCCTGCACTGGCCGCGACACCTGTTGCGGCTGCAGCAGTGGCTGGAAGGCGTCAGGAGGCAGCTTCCAGGTGGTGGGAGGTACAGCGGGCAGGGCCTCGAAGCCTCTGGGCAGCACATTGGCCTGGCGGGCTTGGGGGCCCGGGCTGCTGCTGCTTGCTGGGCTGGGTTTAGGAGCAGGCGTGGATCACTTGCACTGCACAGATGGGGCCGGGAAGAGGCTGCGGTGGCCGTGGCTCTGTAGACCCCTTCGTGCCAACCCCAGATGAGTGCTGTTTGCTGCACAGGCTCAGGACCTCATGCACCTGCTTCAAGATCTTGCCTGGATTCTCCAATGAGAAGTACAGTGCCCAGGTGTGCAGCGCCATGGTCCCCCATGTGGTCATCCTGGTGCCCCTCCCTTCACAGGGCTCTGGTTGAGGCTGGGCCCCGTGTCCTGGGAAGTGTGCCCTGGGATCAGAGCTCTGTCTCATAGGTTGAGTCAGAGGCCACAGGACATGCCGCTGGCTGGTCGGGACTGCAGGAACGCCTTGCTCACTCTTCCCTCTGGTGGCCTCTGAGGGAGTAGGTTTCCCCGTAGAAAGTAGAAAATGAGGTCCAGAGGCACTGGAGCCATCGGGGGCTACAGGGCAGCTGGCCAGGTGCTGGCCAGGTGCTGCCCCGGCTGCCCCCACACCATGCCAGTCACTGCCTGCTGAGAAGTTGGATGCAGGTGCCATTGGGCAAAGTGGATGTCTCTGGACTTGCCTCTTGGTTATTATCACAGTGTCCGGCAGGGCCGGGTTTCAGGGCCCCGGTGGGCTTGCTGGGTCGGTCCCCACCCCATGGTTCTGGGGCTGTCCAGGGCACACGTGTAAGGTCCAGAATCCCTATTCAAAGTTAAACCACAGGCCCCTGACGTCCAGGTCCATGGCAGAGCTTGGGCAGGGAGTTCCAGAGGAGGTACGCAGGACAGCCTATGATCTATCCTGAGTTGGGGACAGCCTGGCCACACCTTGAGCCCGCTGGGGCCCCAAGAGAACAGCCTGCTCCCCTGGGCTCTACAGAAGTCCTCTTGTGCCTCTGGGCCTCAGGGTCAGGGACAGCCTGTGGGGAGCAGGGTGGGGAGGACCAGGCTCTTTTTCTGGAGAGGCTGCCTGCAAGGCTGCTGGAGCTGGACAGCCTGGGGTGGGCCAACCCGTCTCCCTTGCAGAAGGGCTTGCTGTTGGGGGATGCTCGCAGAGTCCTGGGTGCCGGGGACCCTAGTTCCAGTTTCGCTGAAAGGAAAGCAGATGTGTGGCGTCCGCTTCTCCAACTGAGCCCATTAGGTCCTCACAGGGCCGGGCCCCCCAGACCCGGGTCTTTGGAGTCCCTGCGGTCCCTGTGTGGCTCCCTGAGTCCGATGCTGCGGACTCTCCTGCAGGTAGCTGATCCTGGAGTGACAGTTTTGTGTGCGCTTGGGCGGGGGAGCTGTTGGGGCACCTCAGGTTGCTCCTAAGACAGCCCCGAGGGTTTGGGCTGGCTCAAGGCTTCCTGCCTCTCTCTCTCACCCCAGGGCTGTGCCGGCTGGGATGCGGCCCCTGATTCAGAATTCAGATGGGAGAGGCCTTTGCTGTCACCTGGCCCCCTTGCCACCTCACTCGGGGGCCTGTCTCCACAGTGGGTGAGATGGATGGCCCCAGGCCATCCACTCCATGCCAGGACTGGACCATTTCCATACCTGGCTGGACTCTTGGTTCTGGCTCTGGGCCAGGGCTCCTGCCCGTGTCCTCTCCTGGAATCCTCCCTGGGCCAGGGATACTGATTCTCTTGTCTCCACAGCTCAAGGCTTGTTGTCCTGATGCTCTTGGAGGGGGTTCAGGGGTAAGGGGCCCCGCTGCTCTCTGAGGCTGTGGATGCTGCAGGTAGGGCTGTGGGCTTGCAGAGATGGGTCCCCTTCAGCGAGCTTCGAGGGCAAAAGCAGGGCACTGTGGAAGGTGGCAGTGGTGGGGCTTGGAAGAGTCTTTCCCCTGGTTCCCCTGCCTGATCTGCAGCATGTCCAGCACACATGTGCTCAGCACCTGCCCTGAGGACCCACGGGCTTATTTCCAGAAGCTTCTTTTTTGTTTGTTTTTTGTTTTTTGAGATGGAGTTTCACTCTTGTTGCCCAGGCTGGGGTGCAATGGTGTGATCTCGGCTCACTGCAACCTCCACCTCCTGGGTTCAAGTGATTCTCCTGCCTCAGCCTCCCAAGTAGCTGGGATAACAGGCGCCCACCACCACGCCCGGCTAATTGTTTTGTATTTTTAGTAGAGACAGGGTTTCACCATGTTGGCCAGGCTGGTCTCGAACTCCTGACCTCAAGTGATCCACCTACCTTGGCCTCCCAAAGTGTTGGGATTACAGGCGTGAACCACCACGCCCGGCCTCCAGAAGCTTCTTAGAGGGGGAAAAAAGGTGCAGGAGGAAGGCCCAGGTAGTGAGGCTGTAGGGGCCCTGGCCGACTGCCCCAGAGGGTGACTTGGGAGGGGACCTGGTACTGGGGCCCACCTGGGGGTAGCAGGACTCAGCGCCTCCTCATCAGTAACCCCATGGAGACATGAAGGTGCCTGAGCGCCATGGCATCCTCCAGGGCCCAGGCCCGGAAGAACTGGTCCTGGATGAGCTCCCCCAGGCTGGACTGGGACAGCTTCATGAGATGCTCTAGGAGCAGGATGGGCATCAGGCTGGGAGGGGTCCCTGGGAGAGGTTGGTGTCCACACCCTGTTTCCACCATGGCCCCCTCCCACTGGGCAGTGCTGGGTCCTTTTCGGGCCACCCCTGGGGTCCAGCTGTGCACAGGAGGCCACGGCCAGGGGGAGGCCTGGGCAGGAAGGGGCTCACCACACTCCTGCCTTTCATCCGGGTCATGTCGAGGGTGGACTCTGTGTCTGAGAGGTCTCATGGTGTCCTGCCCCTCAGACTGGAGCAGAGGGTCATGGGGACAGGCTGAGGGTGCTGTCTGTCCCGCGTGTTCCCCTGGATAGCCTCGGGCACGCCAGGACTTAACTCTGCCAACTCTGGAGGTTTTGTGCCTTCGGTACATGCTAGCCATCCAGAACGTAGCTGCCTGGCAAGCCCAAAGAGAGTCTTTCGGAACAACAGGAGTGGGAGGACCTGACCCTTCTTAGCTGGGGGCTGGTGGCTTGAGCAGGGCCCATTGGGGTTTCAGTGCCCTGGAGCACCAGGGACCCCTCCCCATGGGATGAGATCCCCCACCCCACTCCCCTGTGAGGCTGGATCAGAAGAGGTCCTGTAGTTCCTCATGGAGGAGACTCATTTCAGTGGGGATGTGGCTCCTGGAAGGAGAGGCTCCCCAAGGGCTTGGGGCTTCCCTGGGCTCTCCCAGGTTGAGTCCTGGCCCTGTCTGCCCATGAGGCTGGGCTGAGCCCCGGCCTCTGCTGTGGGATGTCCCCTCTGGGGCATTGCCTGGCTTATGTGCCCTGCAGGGACACGCCTGTGCCTCCTGCCAGGTGGGGGTGAGCCAGGTCCTCCTCGGGAGCCAGATCTCAGGGCTGGGGGATCCGGGGGATCTGGGGAGTATGGGGCAGGAGGGTCCCTGGGCTGGAGGGCTGGGGGATGCAGGGAGTGTGGGCAGGAGGGGATGCAGGGACTGTGGGGCAGGAGGGTCCCTGGGCTGGGGGCTCCCTGCTTACTTCACTGATGTATGACTGTACCTGCTTACTTCATTGATGAGGCACTGGAGGAGTCAGCGTAAACGTGGAATTATGGGCACGCAGCTCATCTTTGTCCTAATGGGAGCAGCAGAGGTCCTTGGGGCTCCCAGGCCTGCCCCCAAACCTCCCCATTCCAGGCCCCTCTGCAGACCCTTCCCTGAGGGACAGAACACCAGGTGGTGGCTGGGGCACCCCTGACACCTGCCCCCTGCATGGACCCCCGGGACATACTTCCCTTAGCCCTGCTCAGCCCAAGCTCGGCCCGGGTTGAGTGCCTCTGCCTGCTCCAGGGCGGGAAAAGGAAACTCCAGCTCCGAAGCCATGGAGAACTCCATGTCCCTGGCTGGGACTCAGCCTCTTGCCAGCCCCACCAGGGGCTCCAGCCGCCCCTTTACCCCTGGCCCATGGGACCCAGGGCCTCTGGGAAGGAGCCAAGGGGACCGTCTGTTCACCAAGTGCCGCAGGATCTTTGGGAATGACGTTCATAACACGTGCTCCTCGTGGGCTGGCACAGTTTGGGCTAAAGAATCCTGAGAAGCCCCTGACCCATCTTGAAATGAGAGGCCCTCCCAACATGTGGAGCCGTCAGCTGGAAGGGCTCTGACAGGGTTCAGGTGGAGGGGAAATTGGACCCCTGCCTGTTTTCCGATGAAGAAGAGGGCTTCTCGGATCCAAACTCATTTCGTGACGAGAGCCACGTCCATCAGGCACTTCAGCAACTTATTCAAAATGTTTCCTGGGAGGACCGTCCTGGGACACCACCAAGCTCTGGGGGGCTTTGGGGCAAGTCTGGGAGGAGGGCGTCATTACTTGCTCTGTGAAATGGTGGTCAAGCTCAGGTTAGACCAGGGGTCTGGGCCTTGACCTCTTTCCATCTTACTTTGACACCTTTGAGACCCTTCTCCTCCTGCTTGGATGCCCAAGCCAGTAGTGAGCTTGAGTCCTAACTACTGCGTCTTGGTGGGTCGCAAATGCTGAAATTTTTTTTTTTTTTTTTTTTTTTTGAGACAGAGTCTTGGTCTGTCACCCAGGCTGGAGTGCAGTAGCATGATCTCGGCTCACTGCAACCTCCGCCTCCTGGGTTCAAGCGATTCTCCTGCCTCAGCCTCCTGAGTAGCTGGGATTACAGCTGCGTGCCACCACGCCCGGTTCATTTTTGTATTTTTAGTAGAGACGGGGTTTCACCATGTTGGCCAGGCTGGTCTCAAACTCCTGACCTCAGGTGATCCACGCGTCTTGGCCTCCCAAAGTGCTGGGATTTCAGGCGTGAGCCACCGCGCCCGGTCATGAACTCTGATCTTGACCTACTCCTTCCTTCGGGTCACCAGGGGGTGTCCCTACCCCTGAGCTAGGGCTGGCCCTGGCCCTGGCATCAGACTCTCTCCTGGCAAGATGAGGTTTGCAGGGAAGAACAGGAAAGCTGGTGTCCCAGTGTAGTGTCCACCCTCTGAGAGGCTGGGGGTGCCAGGACACAGCCGTGGGAGCCCGTCACCCTGACTCTGTAGAAAGTGGTCACGGGGCCCTTCCCTCCCCATGTCACCTCCTTGCCGCTCCTATGTCGCTGGCAGTCGAGAAGCACCTGGAGCCATTTTTCTGTGTCCCTCATCTCCTGATGTCTTCTCTGTCAAATAAGATGAAGTTAGTGGAGCTGCCAGGATGCCCCTTGGATGCTGGGTCCTGGGCTCCAGGGCCCTGACAGGATCAAACTGGAAGGAGCCAGGAAAGGGCCGGCCCCAGGGAATGGAGACCCTCTGACTGAATGAGCACAGGTGTCCTGGCCTCATGACTTGGGACATGCCATCCTCAGGCCACAGGCACCCCGGGCGTTGGTGGAGTCCCAACATTCAGGTGGGGTCTTGGCACAAGTGGGCAGTGACTGCTGAGCCACGACTGTGGTTCTCGGTTTAGGATTTGATCAAGCCACCATGGGGACAGAGTCTTGAGGTCAGGTCCCGCAGGCCCAGGGACAGCCTGTCGCTCCCACTCATCACCACCCAGGCCCACAGCCTGCTGACCACCCACTGGGTCCCCCTGTCCCTGGACCAACCACTCACACAGCAGGGTCAGGCTCTTACCTTCACTTCCAGGGCACTGATGGGTGGCAGCTACGTCTCACTGTAAGGCAACCCAGGCAGAGCTGAGGACCTGTGCTGGGCCAGGAACTGTCCTCCTCCTCCCCTAGTGGGCCCCAGGAAAGAACCAGCCCTGTCCCCCACCCCCGCCCCAGGTCTCCATCCAGGGGACACACAGGGAAGGGAGGACCGGTGCTTCCCTGCCAGCTGGCGCCTGGGAGGGGCTGGGGCCTGGGAGAAGAGGGAACTAGGGCCCACCCAACAGGGGCTGCCTGGGGCTTGTGGAGGGCGAGGCTTGGATTGCACAATGGGGGTGCCCCTCCTGGGCTAGGCAGCACACTCTGCGGGAGCTCAGAAAATCCAGGCCTGAGGCGGGATGGGTGTGGCCCAGGGTGGGTGGTCCGGTCCCAACAGCATTTCCCGAGGGAGTGACCACATCACTGGCCCGAGGCCTGCCCAGGGCACTGAGGGTGCGCCGGGGCCCTGTCCCACTTGATGCCCCCAAGGGCCCTCGTGGGGCCTGACCTTCCAGCATACACCTGCCTCTCCCTGCACCCCGGCTGCTGACCCTGCCTGTTCCTTGACTTTGCCCATCCTCTCTGGCCCAGAGACTGGACAGCCTGGCCCTTCTTCGACCCTCATCTGTCAGAACCCTTGAGAGAGGGCCCTGGATCCATCCACACGCCTGCCTTGACCGCTCTCTCACTGGGCTGCTAAGTGCTGCCGGGGAGATGCCAGAGGTGACGAGGGTGAGCAAGAGCCCCGCGGGCAGCCGGGATGGCCACACAGCCCCGTCTCCAAACTCAGCTGGCTCTCGGGGCTGTCGTCCATCCATCAGTCCTTGCCCTCCTCTGAGCCACTGTGGCAGCCATGCACTGGGCCCCTGGTTGTTCCCCCACTGTCTTGCCTGCCCCTACTCGGCCTTCCTGCTCCTCCCTCTGCCTTTGTGCTGACGGATCCAGCGGGGAGCCAGGGTCTCCGGAGGGCCATGCAGAGCCCTGGGGACTGACTGAGGCCCCTCTGCTAAAGCCCCACCTCATGTGTTGTTCACCCCAGGCCATCAGCTCCACCCTAGGCTGGCTCCATTCAGGTGCGTCCCAGAAGTGGCACCTCCCGTGGGATCGTCCCCAACCAACCTCCCCCAGGCTCCTCCCTCTCTCTGTCCTGTGACTCCTGAGGGGCAGGCTCCAGGCTGGGCTCCCCTTCCCAGGACCCAGGCTCCCTCTCAGCACCAAGGCAGGTTGCCTTCAGCTGCAAGTTCTGCTGCATCCCTGCCCTCACCCTGACATGCCCTGGCTGACACCCTGCCCGTCTTCCCCTCCGCCCTCCCAGGGGTATGGCCCTCACTGCCCCCCACGCCCCTCCCTGTAGGGTGGCTCAGCTGGGCCCCCTGAATCCTCAGAGACCTGCTGGACAACTGCCCACAGGCTGGGCCAGGCACCCCCTTGCCCTGTGGCCACAGCCTGCGGGTCTCACTGGGGCAGGGCCCAGGGTGACAGGGCCAGACCCTCAGGCTGTTCCCTACTCTCATGCTGCCTTTGAGACTGCTCTGCTGAGAGCCTCTCCATCCCCACCTGCTCCCCCAAGATCCCTAGATGAGCCTCGCAGCTCTGGCCTGCTGCAGACCACCTGCAGGGTAGCCAGCTGGCATTCCTACCCTGGAAAGGAGGCTGGCCCAAGCTGGGAAGACGTGTCCTGCCTCAGAGAGGCTTTTCTAAAAACAAAACTCATCCTCTGAGGTGAGTTTGGTGATGGTCGGGCAGCAGGGACAGAGGACTCACTGCAGAATCTCGAGGCGATCGGTAACTTTGTAAGCTGTCCACATCCTTGGGCCCTACAGCGTCCCTGGGACCCAGAGGGGTCCAGAGTGAGGGGGCTGAGGTGAAGGGCTGTGGGGGCACAAAGGCATGGGCAACCAGCTCCCACCCTGCTTCCTAAGGGAGCCCAGGATCCTCCCACCAGGGCACAGTGGGAGAGGCGAGGCCCCACCTCTCTCGAGGGAGCAGCCCGACCTGTACCTGCTCACACTGGGCAATGATGCCCCCTGCTCCTGTGCAAGTAGGGTAGCCACGTCTTCCTCCACGTCCATCCTGTGAGACAACATCGCCCAAAGGCAACGCTGCACCTGAGCGCTTCAGAGAACATCTGAACCGCTCCCGGGGGCTCTGAGACACCGCCGGCCGGGTGAGCCCCATGCCACCACAGCCCTGGGTGAAGACCCAGTGGCCCCATGCCTGCTGGGGTCTCTGGAGTCTCTGCACCTGACAGGGGGACCTGGACACAGAGGCCTGTTGTCCCCAGACGCCCAGAGACAGGCACACACAGGATGAACTGCGTCCACCTGCCAAGGGTGAGGGGCTCCTGATGCGCTATCCTGGGCACCTGGAGGCAGACTGGGGTCAGGGACCAGAGAGCTCCATATGCTCAGCCTCCCAGATCGCTCAGGGACCACCAAGAGGCCCACTTTCCTACAGGGAACAAGACACCTTGTGACTCCTCCATTTCACCCCCATCTCCACTCCTTCTGGCCAGAGAAGCCGCGTCAAGAATAATACCAGCCAAATGGGAGGGTGCTTGGTTTGGGCCAAAGCAGCCTCTGTGCTCACGGAGATGTCTCAGGTGGCGGGATGGTGGATCCCACAGTTCTGAGCTGTCAATACAGGAAGGGGCCTCGTGTTTCCGGATCACCAAGAAAGAATGAGAGAACTCTGGGGACTTGGTTCTGGAGAACCCCAGAGGGACCCCTCCCATGAACAGTCAGGGCAAAGAAAGGGCGAGGCCTCTAGGGGACCAGGCAGAGAAAGGGCCACGTGGGGAAAAGCCCCAGACCTGGCGAAAAGGAGGAATGATCATTACCTTCTGGCCAGCCCTCTGGACCTCCGTCATTTTCCACAACTGCCCAAGGATAGAGGGCTCCCCACCCCACTCCCAGACGAGGGACCCAGTATGTCCAGTGGGTTCCACAGCAACCCCCACTGACTGCACCCGAAGTCTGGGTTGATGAGATCTCCCCCTGTGGGGACCCATCTTAGAGCACAGACTTGGACGGAGGACCACCCTCCACCCCACCCACAGGGGCTCCATCCTGGGGGCTCTTCTAGGGCGAGGCTCAGCTCCACTGGGGTCAGAAACCCCAGGCAGATGTGCAATCCAGAACACGGAGGTCACAGAGGTCAAGGCTTGAGTTCAGCATGGCACAGGCCAGGGCTGAGAGCATGGCCCAGGGCCACGTCTGGGTCTCTGGGCCAGTTACTGCCCCTCTGACCTCAGGCGTCTCACCTATTCAGTGGGTACATTTGAGGAAAGCACCCCTCCACCCCGCCATGGAGTCGCCGTGAGGATGAAGGAGACGACTGTTTGCATGGTCAGCATAGAACGGGCACCCGGTGAGTGCTCATGGATGACCCTCCTCGGGTAGCTGCCACCCACCTGGTTGTGACTGTCCCCAAGTCAGCAGGGGGGAAGAGAGCAGGTCACGCTTTCCTGAGTCTGATCAGGCAGCGGTGCTGAGATGTGCTTCTCACCCAGAAAAGGGTCCTTTCTGCACAACCACTTACAGCACCTCTGTGTCTCCAACTGCTCCATGACACGGAGGTAGGCTGGCGGCACTTGGCACAGTGACAGCATGGGTTCACAGCCTCTGTCATGACGGGGCCCTACCTGGCTCAGCAGGGCCCAGGGTCAGCGTCCTCTGCCCGCTTAATGGTCAACATGTATGCGTGCAATTTGTCTGTGTATGTGAGGATGCATGTGTGTGGGTGAACACGTCTCTCCTCCAGCTGGGCCTGGCTGCTCCACTCAGGTGTGCACCTGGATCCCTGTCACTGTCACCCCCGGGCCTGTGGCCAGCATCAGAGCACCCATAGGTGCTCCTCAGCCTCTGCTCTTTCCATGCTGGGTGGTCCTGGGGATGCAGATGGGGCAGGGACATAGGGCAAAGGGCAGAGGGCAGAGGGCAGAGGGCAGAAGCCAGGCTTCCCCCTTGGGGTGACTCGCGTAGTGTGTAAAGTGCCAGGTCTGTGTGGCAGGGCTGGATTCAATGCAATGCACCCTCTCACCTCCTCCTCCCAGAAGCCCACTGGGGTGCTGTGACTCACCCCCCACCCCATGGATGGAGGCAATCACGGAGGCTTCGAGGACTAACCCGTGGCCTGAGATCACCCAGGATCCCACTGGCCAGGCTTCCAATGGTTAAGCTCCCACTGAACAGGTCCTAGCTGACCACCCCCACAATGACCAGGTCCCACTGACCAGATGTGGACTGACCAGGTCCTGCTGACTGGGCCCCACAGACCAGGCCCTGGCTCATCAGACACCACTGACAAAGGCCACAATAACAAGGCTGCAACTGACAAGGCCCTCACGGCCCTCACTGACTAGGTCCCAACTGATGGACCCCACCAAATAGATCTCACTAATCAGACCCCCGCTGACCAGGCCCTAACAACTGCTGGACCCCTGCTGGCCAGGCCCCAAATGCTGAACCCCACTCACCAGGCCCCAAAAGCTGAACCCCACTGACTGGGCCCCAAATGCTGGATCCCTGCTGACAGGCCCCAACTATGGGATCCCCACCAACCAGGCGCCAACTGTCAGACCCCTGCCAACCAGGCCCCGGACGCTGGACTCCACTGACCATGTCCCAGCTACTGGACCCCCACTGACCAGGCCCCAACAACTGCTGGACTGCACTGATCAAGCCCAAACTGCCAGACCCCACTGACTGGGCCCCAACTCCTAGACCCCTCCTGACTGAGCCCCAACTGCCAGACCCTTGCCAACCAGGCCTCTTCTTATGAGACCCCTGCTGACCAGACCCCAACTGCTGGGCCCCTGCTTACCAGGCCCCCACATCCACACCTCACTGACTAGGCCTCACTGCTCTGATCCCCGCCGATCAGGCCCCAAATGCCGGGCCCAGATGACCAGGCCTCAACTGCTAGACGGCCCACCAACCAGGCCTCAGCTCCTGGACCCCTGTTGACCAGGCCCCAACTGCCAGACCCCAATGACCAGGCCCCAACTGCCAGAGCCCTGCTGACCAGGTTCCAACTGCTGGATCCCCTTTGACCAGGCCCCAACTGTTGGACCCCCGACAACCAGGTCCCAACTGCCTGATTCCGCCAACCAGGCCCCAACTGGTAGACCCCTGCTGACCAGGTCCCAACTGCGAGACCCATGCAGATGAAGGCCCAGCGTCCAGACCTCACTGCCTAGACCGCACTGATCTGATCCTCACTGACCAGGCCCCAACCGCCAGACCCCACCTACCAGGTCCCAGCTGCTGCATCCCTGCCAAATAACCCCCAGCTGCCGTATCCCCTCTGACCAGGCCCCAACTGCTGGACCCCCTCCAAACAGGCCCCAACTATAAGACCCCGCTGACCAGGCCCCAACTGCCAGACCCCCATGGACGAGGCTGCAACTGCCAGATCTCTGCTCACCAGGCCCCAACTGTGGGACCCCCGCTGGCCAGACCCCAACCATGAGACCCTCGCCAAACACGCCCCAACTACTGGACTCTTGCTGGCCAGGCCCCAACCCCCAGGGCCTAGTCAGTCAGTGAGACCTGACTAGGTCTCACTGATCAGATCCCCGCTGACCTTGCCCCAGCTGCAGACCCCTATTGACTGTGGGCGGAGGATTACCCAGGTGCCGAGGTGAGAGACTGAAGACACAAACTGTTTCAGTATAATAAAGAAAATAGTTAGAATAAGAATAGTCATAATACAAATTAGATATAGAGATGATCATGGACAATTATCAATCATTATTATAAACATTATTAATCATTAGCTTTTAATATTACTCTTTGTTGCGTTACTAACATAACCTAGGAATAACTGGCGGGTAGAGGGTCAGGTGCTGAAGGGACATTGTTAGAAGTGACCTAGAAGGCAAGAGGTGAGCCCTCTGTCAACGCGTGCATAAGGGCAGCTTGAGGGCTCCTTGGTCAAGCGGTAACGCCAGTGTCTGGGAAGGCGCCCGTTACTTAGCAGACTGCGAAAGGGAGTCTCCTTTCCTTGGAGGAGTCAGGGAACACTGCTCCACCAGCTTCTTGTGGAAGGCTGGATATTATCTAGGCCTGCCGCAGTCATCCGGAGGCCTAAACCCCTCCTTGTGGTGCTGTGCTCCAATGGTCACTTTCATGTTCCTCCCGTACTCCTGGTTCCTCTTTGAAATTTGTAGTAGATAGCGGTAGAAGGAATAGTGAAAGTCTTACAGTCTTTGATCTTTCTTGTAAGTGCATAGAAGAAAACGCTGACGTATGCTGCCTTCTCTCTCTCTGCTTCGGCTACCTAAGAGGGAAGGGCCCCCTGTGCTGTGATCACGTGACTTGCTTCACCTTGTCAATCACTTAGAAGATTCACCCTCCTGACCCTACGCCCCTTGTCTTGTATGCAATAAATATCAGTGTGCCCAGCCATTCAGGGCCACTACTGGTCTCCGCGTCTTGATGGTAGTGGTCCCTCGGGCCCAGCTGTTTTCTCTTTATCTCTTGGTCTTGTGTCTTTATTTCTTACGCTCTCTCGTCTCTGCACACGGGGAGAACACCCGCTAAGTCCCGTAGGGCTGGACCCTCCAATCAACCAGGTCCCAACTGCTGGACCCCACTGACCAGGCCCCAGGAACTGCCGGCCGCCTGCTGACCAGGCCCCACTGGTCCGATCCCCACTGAGCAGTCCCCTGCTGATCAAACCCCACTGACCAGATTTTCCATGACCTGACCCTCATTGAATGGATCCCGTTAAGCCGACCACAATGACCATGTCCTCACTGACCAACACCCCCGTGAGTAGGCCCCCCCACTGACTAGGCTTCTGATGACCAGGCCCACACTGCCAGGGCCCCACTGACCAGACCACATGACATGGCCCCACAGACCAGGCCCCACTGACCCAAACCACTGACTGGTCCCAACTGGCCAGGAGCTCAATGACAAGGTCACTGCCAACAGTGCCCCTTACAACCAGGCCTCCACTGACCAGGGCCCCACTGAGTAGGCCCCACTGGGGAGTCCTTCGGTGGCACCGCATTAGCTGACCACACCCCTGACAACCAGGTCTCTGCTGACATGGTCCCCACAGAACACGTCCCCATTGACCAGGTCCCAAATAACCAAATCCCATGGACCGGGATCTGCTGACTAGGCCACACTGACATGCTTCCAATGGTGAGACCTTCGCTGACTGAGCAGGACCACACCGCCAGGCCTCAGCTGACTAGACCACAATGACGAGGTTTCCACTGACCAGGTGCTAACCGCCCAACCCCTACTAACGAGGCTCTACTTTTCAGATCCCGCTGACCAGACCCCCAGTGACCAGGCCCCTACTGAACAAAATACCACTCCCTACACCCCCACTGACTAGGTTTTTTGTTGTTTGTTTTTGAGATGGAGGCTGCCTCTGTCACCCATGTTGGAGTACAGTGGTGTGATCTTGGCTCACTGCAACCTCCACTTCCTGATTAGGTTCAAGTGATTCTCCTGCCTCAGCCTCCCGAGTAGCTGGGACGACAGGCACATGCCACCACGCCTGGCTATTTTTTGTATTCTTAGTAGAGGTGGGGTTTCACCATGTTGGCCAGACTGGTGTCAAACTCCTGACCTCAGGTGATCTACCCACCTCGGCCTCCCAAAGTGCTGGAATTACAGGCATATTCCACCATAACTGGCTAATTTTTGCATTCTTAGTAGAGGTGGGGTTTCACCATGTTGGCCAGACTGGTGTCAAACTCCTGACCTCAGGTGATCTATCCACCTTGGCCTCCCAAAGTGTTGGAATTACAGGCATGAGCCACCGTGCCTGGCCCACTGACTAGATTTTTACAGATAAGGCCCATACTGAGCAGACCCCAGTGACCAATTCCTCACCGAGCAAAACCCCACTGACTTAGATCCTGCTGACCGGGCTTCCCCCTCACTGACAAGACTCTGGCTGACCAGGTCACCACAGACAAGGCCCGCAATGACTATGTCCCATTGACTGGGCTTTTGATGACCAGGCCCCCATGGACCACAAAAGTGAATGACCAAGGCAAAGTCTCAAATCATCCAAGTTTATTGAGCCAGTGTGAGGACCCGCCAGGGAAAATGTGGGTCACAGAAGCACCTGTGGCTGTTATAGATATACGTGTCCCTGTGATAAATCAAGCAGCTGACCAACCATTACCTCTCCCTTCCTGCTCTTTCCATCTATTAAATACGAAGGGCTGTAGAAGCTCAGGGCCTTTGCTCACTAGAAGCGAGGAGCCCCCTGATCCTTCTTTCAAAACAGATCTTTTTGTCTTTGTCTTTATTTCTGCATCCGTCCCCCTTCATTCACTCCCAAACTGACAGCGCTACTTCATGTAGTATGATTTTATTGTACTAAATTAGTCAAATATGTCTCTCATGGACTTCAGGAGATCTAATATAAAAAATAATGAGGTCACAAAGACTGAATTTAGAAGTTGATTTTGGAAAGTTAGTCAAATATCGAAAGTCTATGACACTTAATATCACAAAATAGGATCATAGGTGATTGTCTAAAGTCATTCATTTAGCCAAAGTAGTAACTCAGACACTTCAAAAAAATGCAAAGACCTTAAATTATTATTTTTTGAGAGAGGAGACTTACTTTCCTAAATAATAAGCCCTAATAAGGGACAAGGTATGGGGCCAGTTTCTCAATCTTATAAACAAGCTTCAATCATCTTGACCATAAGATATAATTTATATAAGCCAGATGCTGGTCTTGCTTCAGTGTGCCTTTAACATTAATGTTTAAGTTATAGAGAAACTCTGAACTAATTTCATCTCTCAAAATTGGCCCTTACAATCTTGCATGCTCACCTTTTCCATGATAGTCCCTGGGTCTAGAGGGGTTCAATAATAATAGTTTTAATTTCTGGCCTTGTGTCTCACGAACACAGTTTATTTTGATTGTAATCTTCTCTAGGGTCCAAAAATGAGGCTTTAACTGCTGTCAGTGTTTAAAATTTTGCAGGTCTTGGTGTCCTTTTTAGACCCAGGAGTCAAAGTCCTGTAACTTAAGAGCACAAGGACTTTAAAAGTAATGCCGAAAGTTACATTAATGTCATAATCTTAATTTTTTACAATCTCAGTTTTCTTAGGAAAATCAATAATAACAATAACATAGGAATTATTTTGATAAGATGAAACATTTGCTTGTTACATCAGTTACCAAAAGGCAAAAAAAAAAAAAAAAAGACCTTTTGGCCGGGCGCAGTGGCTCATGCCTGTAATCCCAGCACTTTGGGAGGCCGAGGTAGGTGGATCACGAGGTCAGGAGATCGAGACCATCCTGACTAACACGGTGAAACCCCGTCTCTACTAAAAATACAAAAAAATTAGCGGGGTGAGATGGCGGGCGCCTGTAGTCCCAGCTACTCGAGAGGCTGAGACAGGATAATGGCGTGAACCCGGGAGGCAGGGCTTGCAGTGAGCTGAGATCACGCCACTGCACTCCAGCCTGGGCGACAGAGCAAGACTCCATCTCAAAAAAAAAAAAAAAAAAAAAAAAAAAAGACCGTCTGCAGTGTGATTGCTTTTCTCCATGGGGAGTCCATTTAGATAAGCTGCAAGTCAAATCTAATGAAAATTGTACTGATTTAGACACAGAGTGTGTCCCGAGTCATAAGTGAGTTTTTAATTTCATAGACGAATTTAAAGCCAAGAGCACAAGAATGTTATATTAGATGAAAACATTTCCTTTAGACTTTAAGACAAAACATTTCTGACATCAGGCCACATCAGTTAGAATGTGATGAAAAACAGTTACAGAGGCCGATGAAAAGTTGAAAGAGACAGTTACTATCTCAGAACTTCTTGAAGGGGAGAGAAAGCTGAATACAGCAAGAGATGCAATAAAAGTTGAACTTTTGGGTTAAAAATTAAAACTTTTTATAATTTTATTAAGAGTAAATCAATACTGTAAGAAAATTTACTCGTTCTAACCAATTCTTTAGGGTTTTTTTTTTTTTTTTTTTGAGAAACAGTCTCTGTTCCCCAGTCTAGAGTGCAGTGGTGCCAACTCAGCTCACTGCAGCTTCTAACTCCTGGGCTCAAGTGATCCTCCTACCTCAGTCTCCTGAGTAGCTGGGACTACAGGTGTGCACCACCAAGCTTGGCTAAGTTTTGTATTTTTTGTAGAGACAGGATTTTGCCACTTTGCCCAGGTTGGTGTGTTAGTGCATTTTATTTATTTTTTTATTTTTGAGACGGGTCTCGCTGTGTCGCCCAGATTGGAGTGCAGGGGTGTGATCTTGGCTCACTGAAACCTCCGTCTCCCAGGTTCAAGTGATTCTCCGGCTTCAGCCTCCAGAGTAGCTGGGATTACAGGTGCCCACTACCATGCCCAGCTAATTTTTTTTTATATTTTTAGTAGAGGTGGGTTTTGCCATGTTAGCCAGACTGGTCTTGAACTCCTGACCTCAGATGATCTGCCTGCCTTGGCCTCCCAAAGTGTTGGGATTAGCGGCGTGAGCCCCTGCACTCGGCCAAGATAATTCTCTTCTGGGCTGCATTTATAGCTTGATAACCCTCACGCCAAATCTTGACATCTTATGATATTTAGCAGAGATAAATATAAAACTGCTTGACCAATACATCTAAACAATAACTTATGTTGACAATTCTGAAGACATTTCTAATTTTATTTTACCAGTAATTTTAAATCCAGCTTATTTATTAAAGATTTACTTAAGTCACATGAACTGGAAAAGTATTTGGGTTTATTTACTTAATTTATAGGTATTCTTTTATTTTAAAGCCAAATTGGTATCTTGTGGCCACAATAGCAAAACACGTGTAAATACACATAAACACATCTAAACATGAGTGCGTGTGTGTGCACACACACACGTACACAAATAAAGATATTATAGACTGGACGCAGCGGCTCATGCCTGTAATCCCAACAGTCTGGGAGGCTGAGGGAGGCAGATCACTTGAGGTCAGGAGTTTGCGACGAGCCTGGCCAACATGGTGAAACCCCATCTCTACTAAAAATACAAAAAAAAAAAATTAGCTGGGCTTGGTGGTGGGCGCCTGTAATCCCACCTACCCAGGAGGCTGAGGCAAGAGAATCGCTTGAACCTGGGAGGCAGAGGTTGCAGTGAGCCGAGATCGCGCCATTGCACTCCAGCCTGGGCTGGAGTGAGACGCAAAAAAAAAAAAAAGATCATATAGCTTTTACTTTAGAACTCTAGCCATTAATATCAAATAGAAACTTACCACTTCACACACACACGCAAATGGTTAGATACAGTGGTTTTAATCTCAATGCCAGTAGAAAGGTCCTTTAAATTAGAAAAAATTGTATTTTCTTAAGCAAAAAAGACATCGTCATGTTTTTTATAAACGTCACCAAAAACACATCTTACTCTCCTACTATTCTAACTCTTAGAACCCTAATTCCCAGCGAAAACCCTAGGATTACTTAACATAACATGATTTAAAGATTTTAAATTCCTCAAAATAATTTTGAGACTAAATTTACCAAGTTAATCTTACCAAAGATTACTAAAGTCGTGTGAACTGGAAAGCCTCTGAGCTAGCTTTTACTAGTCTGATAAACATTTACTTTTCTATTTTTTTTTTTTTTTGAGACAAGGTCTCACTCTGTCACCTAAGCTGGAGTGCAATGGTGTGATCATGGCTTACTGCAGCCTTGACCATCTGAGTTCAAGCCATCTTCCCACTTTGGTCTCCCAAAATGCTGAGATTACAAGTATGAGCCACCATGCTCAGCCAGCTTTTCTTCTTTTTTTTTTTTTTTGTAGAGACAGAGTCTTGCCATGTTGCCCAGGCTCGTCTCAAACTCCTGGGCTCAAGCCATCCTTCTGCCTCAGCCTCTCAAAGTGCTGGGATTACAGGCGTGAGCCACCATGTACAGCCAACTTTTTTTTTCTTGTTTACTTTAAAATTTTTATTATTTATTTATTCTTAACCCAGCCTTGCTTAAAGAACCACCTTTTTTTTTTTTTTTGAGATGGAGTCTCACTCTGTCACCCAGGCTGGAGTGCAGTGGTGCGATCTCGGCTCACTGCAACCTCTGCCTCCCGGGGTCAAGTGACTCTCCTGCCTCAGCCTCCCGAGTAGCTGGGATGACAGGCACGCACCACCATGCCCAGCTAATTTTTGTATTTTTAGTAGAGACAGGGTTTCACCATGTTGGCCAGGATGCTCTCGATTTCTTGACCTCGTGATCCACCCGCTTGGCCTCCCAAGTGCTGGGATTACAGGCATGAGCCACCGCACCCGGCTTGAACCAACCTTTCTTTAAACCAACTAATGAGAGCTCTTTTATATGATTGATAGTGAAATCGTATTTCCACATGACACATATTAACATATAGACATAAGAGATCCAAACAGAAGTAGATCTTATAGTATATTTCCTGAGTGCCTCAATGAAACAGCCCTGAAATAGAACGGGATTTTCAACTTTCTCCTGAGTTATTTCTCCCATCTTATCATAAAAAACTGGCTTAACTGCACACTTTTTCCTACCATGTATTAAACAAATTAGCATATGGTTTCTGTGTTTGAGATCTTGAGATTTTCTCTGATAATCCTACTGGGGTCTAGATCTGGAACCACATCCCCTCCCACATGATAAATGGTATGGCCTGGTGTATTATCAGGGTTCTCTAGAGGGACAGAACTAATAGGATAGATGTATATATAAAGGGGAATTTAGCCCGGCATGGTGGCTCATGCCTGTAATCCCAGCACTTTGGGAGACCAAAGCAGGCGGATCACTTGAGGTCAGGAGTTGGAGACCAGCCTGGCCAACGTGGTGAAATCCCATCTCTAATAAAAATACAAAAATTAGCTGGGTGTGGTGCTGCACGCCTGTAATCCCAGCTACTTGGGAGACTGAGGCAGGAGAATCACTT
Organism: Homo sapiens; assembly: GCF_000001405.40. Lineage (NCBI taxonomy): Eukaryota > Metazoa > Chordata > Mammalia > Primates > Hominidae > Homo > Homo sapiens. The sequence continues at coordinate 16,007,724 of NC_000019.10, read as the reverse complement.
GAACCCGGGAGGCAGAGGCTGCAGTGAGCTGAGATCGCGCTCCTGCACTCCAGCCTGGGCGACAGAGCTAGACTCCATCTCAAAAACAAAAAAGCGAAACAACAAATCTAATTATACAACCATTATAATGTAAAGAACCATGCCTAGGCCAAATCTGTTGGTTTGCCAACTTGAATTGAACCCAAACATATTGCAATAGTAAATGATTTTTTTCTTTTTCAACTTGCCCAATAATTTGAACTTATTCCAATTGCCTGAAAGACATCCTAGTGGCAAGTTCCTTGGGATGCTTGGTGATGTCCTTATGTTTAGTAAAGATCACTACAAGGGGTTTCAGTTAGCCTAAGTTTAGCAAATGCCTTTTCACTTTTCCCTTTTACTTCTTTTCCTTTTTTTTTTTTTTTGAGACAGGGTCTTACTCTGTCCCCCAGGCTGGAGTGCAGTGGCTTGATCTTAGCTTACTGCAACCTCTGCCTCCCAGGCTCAAGCAATTCTCCTGCCTCAGCCTCCCAAGTAGCTGGGACTACCGGCGTGCGCCATCGTACCTGGCTCATTTTTGTACTTTTTGTAGAGACAGGGTCTCACTATGTTGCCCAGGCTGGTCTCGAACTCCTGGGCTCAAGTGATCCACCTGCCTTGGCCTCCCCAAGTGTTGGGATTACAGGTGTGAGCCACCATACCCAGCCCACTTATCCCATTTAATTTCCCACTTTATATAGATAGCAAAATGTTACAAAAGTGGATTATGAGCTTCAAATGGGCAGTTGGATGTTAAGCCTAAATTCCACAGAAAATGAGCATTACCCAGAGAGGGGGGCCAACCAAATAGTGACTGTGTAAGCGAGGAAGGGAAGGGTAAACATTGCACAAAGGGAGACCTTACGGTCCTTGACTTGCCAGAGAACTTACGTAGTAGTGAAGACGCCAAAAAAAAAAAAAAAATTAATGTGGCCACTTGTCTATTGCTGTAGGTGGCTGTCTGTCAGGCCAGGGGCCTGGGAACTCCCAATTCCTTTGACCAAGAGGGGCTCGAGCAAGGCAATTGGTAAGACAGTACACAGGAAAGGGCTAGCAACTGGCTATTAGGAAAATAGTGCTTCTTTTTTTTTTTTTTTTTTTTTTTTTGAGGCAGAGTCTCGCTCTGTCCCCCAGGCTGGAGTGCAGTGGCACAATCTTGACTCATTGCAACCTCTGCCTCCCGGGTTTAAGCGATCCTCGTGCCTTAGCCTCCCAAATAGCTGGGATTACAGGCGCCTGCCACCACGCCTGGCTAAATTTTGTATTTTTAGTAGAGATGGGGTTTCACTATGTTGGCCAGGCTGGTCTTGAACGCCTGACCTCAAGCAATCTACCCATCTTGGCCTCGCAAAGTGCTGGGATTACAGGAGAGAGTCACTGTGCTTGGCCAGGAAGATGGTACTAACTTTAGGGCAGAAAAAGACATGACCAATGTTCCCTTAGAGGGAGGGCTATAATCCATAATCCTACAGGGAATGTCAATGTTGAAAACCCCAGAGCATCCAGGGGGTGGCCAACATAACAAAGCTGAAGACTCAGAAGTGCCCAAGTTTCAGTCAACGAGGGTCCCCTCACCAATGCCAAAAACCCTGGGGCACCCCAGGGGTGGCCAAAAGTGAACCCAAGTTGGGGACACAGAACAACTCTGGTTCTGATGTCCCAGAGTCAACACAACGGAAGACCGCTCACAACCAAGTGTCCCACAGTAGTCAATTGCCCATGGAGAGTTAACAGAAAGTTAAAAGCAAATGTAACACTGCACATATTTTAGGGCTGAAAATAAAATGACTGGCGGAGACATAAAATGGAGTCAGAAGGGAAAGGACTGCAGGAAGGGGTGACAAGGACGTGCTTTGGGGCACTCATATAACGAGCTACTACTGGGGGATCACCTGGCCAAAGGCTCTTATGTTATCCTATAGTTCTCCCAAGACTGCGGGGGTGAGGGCAGAAGGGACATCCCTCATCCACCAGAGGAGAAATGGTATTGACTGCTCTGCCTGGGTGGGTGAATGAATATCTTTTTTTTTTTTTTTTCAAGATGGAGTTTCGCTCTTGTTGCCCAGGCTGGAGTGCAGTGGTGCAATCTCGGCTCACTGCAACCTCCGCCTCCCGGGTTCAAGCAATTCTACTGCCTCAGCCTCTTGAGTAGCTGGGATTATAGGCACCCACCACCACAACCAGCAAATTTTTCTATTTTCAGTAGAGACGGGGTTTCACCATGTTGGCCAGGCTGGTCTCAAACTCCTGACCTCTGGTGATCCACCTGCCTTGGCCTTCCAAAGTGCTGGGATTACAGGCGTGAGCCAATGTGCCTGGCCAGGGTGAATGGATATCTCTCCAGCATCCCTCAGCTTGGGTGGGCTCGGCTGTCATGGTGCGAGGGGCCTGCATGGGGACCAGTAACCCACTGGTCTGCCAGTCCAATTGGTGGGTCCCACACAAGGCAGCAGCACTATGGCCACTGGCCCATCTGCTCAGTTCCACTGCCTGCCAGGGAAAATGATGGCTCAGAAAAGAGCCTTTGGTTAGGCTGGGCACGGTGGCTCACACCTGTAAAGGACATAATCTCGTTCTTTTTTATGGCTGCATAGTATTCCATGGTGTATATGTACTACAGTTTCTTTATCCAGTGTATCATTGACGGGCATTTAGGTTGATTCCATATCTTTGCTATTGTGAATAGTGTTGCAGTGAACAGAGGTGTGCATGTGTCTTTTAAAAATAGAACAATTTCTATTCCTTTGGGTATATACCCAGTAATGGGATTGCTGGGTCAAATGGTGGTTCTGTTTTTAGCTCCTTGAGGGATAACCACACTGCTTTCCACACTGATTGAGCTAATTTACACTCCCAACAACAACGTATCAGTGTACCTTTTTCTCTGCAACCTCATCAGCATGTTTTTTTTTTTTTTTGACGTTTTTAACAGCCATTCTGATTGGTGTTAGACGGTATCTCATTGTGGTTTTGATAAGCATTTCTCTAATGATCAGCGATGTTGAGCTTTCTATTATATGCTTGTTGGCTGCATGTATGCCTGCTTTTGAAAAGTGTCTGTTCATGTCCTTTGCCCACTTTTTAATGGAGTTGTTTATTTTTCTGTTGTACATTTGTTTAAGTTTCTTATAGATTCTAGATATTAGACCTTTGTCAGATGCACAGTTAGCAAAATTTTTTCCCATTCTGTAGGTTGTCTGTTCACTCTGTTGATAGTTTCCTTTGCTGTTTAAAAGCTTTTTAGTTTAATTAGATCCCATGTGTCAATTTTTGCTTTTGTTGCAGTTGCTTTTGGCTTCTTTGTCATGAAATATTTGACCATGTCTATGTCCTGAATGGTATTGCCTAGGTTGTCTTCCAGAGTTTTCATAGTTTTGGGTTTTTCATTTAAGTCTTTAATCCATTTTGAGTTAACTTTTGTATGTGGTATAAGGAAGGGATTCAGTTTCAATCTTCTGCGTATGGCTAGCCAGTTATCCCAGCACCATCTACTGAATAGGGAATCCTTTTTCCATTGTTAGTTTTTTTGTGTGTCAGATTTGTCAAAGATCAGATGGTTGTAGGTGTGCAGCCTTATTTCTGGGCTCTCTATTCTGTTCCATTGGTCTATGTGTCTGTTTTTGTACCAGTACCATGCTGTTTTGGCTACTGTAGCCCTGTAGTACAGTTTGAAGTCAGGTAACATGATGTCTCTAGCTTTACCTTTTTTGCTTAGGACTGCCTTAGCTATTCAAGCTCACTTTTGGTTCTATAGGAATTTTAAAACTGTTTTTTTTCTAGTTCTGTAAATAATCTCACTGGTAGTTTAATAGGAATAGCATTGAATCTATAAATTGCTTTGGGCAGTGTTAAGGCAGAAATTAAAGAAAAATAAACACTGCATTTATTCACTCCAGAAGAAATAAGGGTTATTTGAAAAACACAAGTTTTCCTCTGCTGCAGGCAAGGCTATAGACAGGTCATGGCGACCTGGCCTGCAGAAATGAGCTGCAGACACTCCTGAGAAAGGTTAAAAGAACAACAAATTCCTTCAATGTCTCTCCTGTACTGAACTATTAGTTATGACTATGTTTGCCAATGCTTGTATTTAGTAAGATTTGCAAAGTTCCTGTTTTAATTTTTTTCTGATGCGCTGCATATACAAGGCCACAAGTTATGCCAAGTTAGCAGTTACACTATAGATTATGTGGCTTGTCACTGTAAAATTTATTGTCTTTGTTTTGCTCTTGTATGCTAGCCTATATAAGTTAACTTTTGTTTTTGTCCAACGCTCAGCTTTTTGGATGTGAATCCACTGAACTGGTGCATACCTTAAAATAAATATCCTCCTGTTCTCCCATATCGGTCTCTGTTCCTCAGTTTCCCACAACATTTCTGAAGAGCCAGCCAGGAGTGGAGACAACAGGCTTACTGTCTCCTTTGCCTGTGGGGGCTGGAGGAGCCCTGGGCCAGGGGAGACCTGTGACCCCAGGCACTGCCCAGAGAACTTCAGCCCGGAGGGGAGATCGGGTCTCTCATGACCTGGTGCCCCTACCCAGCAGCACAGTGGAACCTGAGGGGCTATGGGATGATTCCAGGAGCAGCGTGCTTCCTTCAGGACTGCAGTAAGGTTTTGGGGCCCAAGGCAGGACCCACCCCATAAGGATGGAAGGGGAGCCTGATCACCTCCTGGGATGTGACTATTAATCCAACCCAGAAGGGCTGGGGGTGGTGAGAATGGCTCGCCAATTCAGATGAAACTTACACCCCAACTGACATAGGATGCAAGAGTGGCTCACTAAGTTGGTTAGGAAAAGGAAACTGGAGGTAGTGAGAGTGGCTCACCACCCCAATTAAGAACATGGGAACTGGGAGTGGGGAAGTGTGTGAAAGTGTGTGAATGGAGGGGCCTAATTAGGTTCATCAGTTGCAAAGTGGGGAGTCACAGATCTCTTAGCCTGGACTGTGTGTTCTGAGCAAAGTGTGGGGCCGACTAAGACTAGCGGTGATCTGCATATGGCTAATAGGAGCTGCCCTACGACTGCAGCAGTTGTAGCAGGAATAAGGAACTCTCCGAAGCCAAGCAGCATCTGAAAACTCCTGTAATAGGAGATGGTATATTCAGCCGAAACAAGAGGAAGAGTGAGTGTGCAAGAGTGAGTGTGCTGCGCTGTAAAGGGAGGAATGGGAGGAAAGTCATCAAAACTTACTCCATTGGAATGCATGTTACAGAACTTTAAGAAAGATTTTGCAGGGGATTATGGAATTAAGTTAACCCCCCAGAGGTTGAGAACTCTCTGAGAATTAGAATGGCCTTCTTTTGGTGTTAGATGGCCGACTGAAGGAACTATAGACAAGGAAATAATTGGTCGTGTATTTAGGGTGGTGACAGGGGTCGGAGGACAGCCAGGGCATCCAGACCAATTTCCTTGTATTGATTCATGGTTAAATATAGCACAGACAAGACCAGCCTGGATCCAGCCCCGTTTAGCACCTTATTGCAAAACACTTGTAGCCTGAGCCAACCCAAAAGTGAAAGTAAGAGCAGCTTCACTGGCAGACACAGAGTTAAAGGGAAAGTCCCAGAGAGAGCAAGAGAGGCCAGTTTTGCAGGGGCCACCAGAGGGAACAGAGATTCTTCCTCCATATGTCCCAGCCTACCTCGCTTTACAGGGGCTGATAGCTCCAGCTCCCCAGGAGCCAGACTCAAAAGACAGCATGCCCCAAGTCTCACCCTGAAGGGAAGGATCGGAGCCTCGGGGGGCCAGGGAAGGAAGTCAAGATAGTCAAGCAGACCAACTCAAATCTGGCCATGCTCGAGCTATGCAAATGCCTCTCAGGGAGACGCGAGGACCCATTTATTATAATGACCAAGTCCAAGTCCGGCGGGGGGCAATGAACTTGCATCTACCAGCCCTTTTCAACCACTGATCTCTTAAACTGGAAACACCATACCCCCCCTACACAGAGAAGCCCCAAGCTCTCATAGATCTGATGCAATCCATCTTTCTGACACACAATCCAACCTGGCCAGACTGTAGGCAGCTTCTTCTCACGCTGTTTAACACTGAGGAGCACAGAAGAGTAACACAGGGAGCTCTCCACTGACTAGAAGCCCCTGCACCAGCAGATGCAGTGAACGCTCAGGCATATGCTCAGGGCCAGCTCCCAGACCAAGATCCCAACTGGGACCCAGAGGATGCAACTCAGCTTCAGCGTTTGCAGAGGTACCAAGAGGCACTTCTGCAAGGGCTAAGGGAGGGTGGAAAGAAAGCAATTAATACAGGGAAGATTTCAGAAGTGCTTCAGGGAGCTGATGAGAGCCCAAGTCAGTTTTATGAGAGACTCTGTGAGGCATACCAACTTTTCACCCTGTTTGACCCTGAGGCCACTGAAAATCAGCGTATGGTGAATACATCATTTGTAGGACAGGCCCATGGTAACATCAAATGAAAGCTTCATCAGTTAGAAGGTTTTGCAGGCGTGAACGCCACCCAGCTTATAGAAGTAGCCACCAAAGTGTATGTTAACTATGACCAGGAGGAAAACAAGGAAGCAGATTGAAGGCTTAAAAAAAAGGCAGATCTGTTGGCAGCAGGCCTTATAGAAAAAGAGATTAGCAATGTGAGAGGACACGGACGTGGACGTGGACATGGAAGAGGTTAAGTTAGACAAAGATTTGAAAGCCGACCAAATTTGAAAGCTAGAGAGGGATCAATATGAGAGATGCAAAAAGAAAGGACACTAAAAGGATGAATGTCCAGAAGGCAATGAAAGAAATGGCCAAGGCCGTGAGACAAAGAGGCCATCGGCCAAGGGCTGCGGTGCCTTAGAGGAACCAGATACTGACCTGATTGGGCTGACAGGAGCTGAAGGATGTGAGGATTAGGACAGACCAGGCTCCTTCTCATTAGGCCTCCAGGGGCCTGTGGTCACATTAAAAGTTGGAGGCCAATTGATGAACTTTATTGTAGATGCTGAGGCTGAACACTCTGTAGTAACTTGACCCATAGGGCCACTATCCAAGAACTATACAACTATTGCAGGAGCTGCTGGAGTCTCAGAGAAGAGGCCATTTAGTCAGTCAAGGAGGTGTGTTATAGGAAGACGAGAAGTCTAGCATGAATTCCTATACCTCCCAACTTGTCCAGTTCCCTTGTTAAGAAGAGACCTACTTCAAAAACTGCAGGCACAGATTACTTTTAGGCTTCAAAAAGATATGACTTTCAATCTGACTCACCCAAAAGCCATAGTGTTAACCCTTACCATTCCACAGGCTGAGGAATGGAGACTTCATAGAAAGAAACTGCAGGCGCCAGTGCAGCTTCATACACGGAAAGAAGAAAAATTATTATTTGGACTAGTTAATAAAATTCCTAAGGTATAGGCTGAAGATAACCCACCTAGGCTGGCTGTAAATCATCCACCAGTAGTAGTTAAACTGAAACCAGGAGCAACTCTGGTTCGAGTTCGTCAGTACCCGGTCCCCTGAGAGGCTATTTGAGGCATTTGTAAGCATTTAGACTGGCTCTATAAACACAGGATCTTAGTCCGATGCCAGTCTCCCCGGAATACTCCACTTTTGCCAGCATGAAAGCCGACACCAGGACCAGGGTCTAATGTGTATAGACCAGTGCAAGACTTGCGGGCTAGAAACAGGGCCACAGTGGCTATCCACCTAGTAGTACCAAACCTATATACTTTAATGGGACTTATTCCAGCAAGTTGCCACTTGGTTTACGGTCTTAGACTTAAAAGATGCCTTCTTCTGTATCTGACTGGCACCAGTTAGTCAGCCCATTTTTGCATTTCAATAGGACAAGGAAGCTACACAGCTCACCTGGACTAAGCTCCCACAAGGGTTCAAAAACTCTCTTACAATCTTTGAGGAAGCACTGGCCTCAAACCTCAAGGCCTATACCCTGCCAAATGATAACTGTGCCTTGTTTCAGTACGTGGACGACCTTCTTTTGGCAGCCCCAACCCGAGAGGATTATTACCAAGGAACCCAGGACCTCCTCCATCTTTTATGGAAAACAAGTTACAAAGTATCTAAAAAGAAAGCCCAAATTTGCCATGAAAAAGTTAAATATCTAAGTTTCATAGTAAGCCACAGAGAACACCAGCTTGGCTATAAACAGAAGCAGGCCATTTGTGCACTCCCAACCCCAACCACCCGGTGTCAAATACGATAATTTTTAGAGGCAGCAGGATTTTGCCATATTTGGATTCCAAATTTTTCATTAATGGCTAAACCATTATATGAAGCCACAAAGATAGGAGAAAAACAGCCCCTCCTTTCGAAGACTAATCAAGAAATAGCATTTGAACAGATCAAGGAAGCTTTAACTTGGGCCCCAGCTTTAGGACTACCAGACATAACTAAGCCTTTCTTTCTATATGTTCATGAACAAAAAGAAATGGCTATAGGAGTTCTGACTCAAGTTATAGGGTCATAACATTGCCCAGTGGCATACTTATCCAAAGAACTGGACTCCATGCATGGTGCTAGGATGGCCTCCTTTTCTTTTCTTTTTTTTTTTTTTTTGAGACGGAGTCTTGCTGTGTTGCCCAGGCTGGAGTGCAGTAGCGTGATCTCGGCTCACTGCAACCTCCGCCTCCTGGGTTCAAGAGATTCTTGTGTCTCAGCATCCCGAGTAGCTGGGATTACAGGCCCCTGCCTTGCTTGCAGGTCCCCACATGAAGGAGGGCATGAGAGTTCTGACTCAGCTGGTGGCCACTTACCCCCAGGGCTTTAAGATCTGGATGAACCCCATTACTCCCATCATCAGGTTGTGCCACCCCAACATCATCTGGTCTGTCATCAATGCCTCAGGTACCATCTGAAACACCTGGTGGTGAATGCCGTGGTGCATCTGAGGCCTGCAAGCCCCTCCTCCCCCAAGCTTCTGTGTGGCCGCTGCAGTATCCAGGCCCTTCCTTCTTGCTTCACCCTCAGCCATCTTCTCTTTCCTTCATGTATTCACCAACCCCCATCTCAGCGTCTCCTCCCACTACTGCCATCCCCCCACCACCCCGGCGTTCTGTGCACTACTGGAGCCCCATGAGGCCTCAACCCAAGGCTCTGTCCTGGAAGGATCTCCCAAGCTTGAGGAGATGGATCTGGGCAGAGACATCCCCAAAGTCATGGGGTCAGGAGTGGTCCAGAAGGAGATGGGCTGGGAGAGCCCAGAGGAGAACCTGGTCTCTCCTGGGGCAGGCTGGAAGGCTTCCTGGAAGAGAAGTTGCTGGAGCTGGGTTTCTAACAATGAGTAGGAATGTTTTAAAGTGGGGGATGAAGCGATGCAATGGGCAACATTAGAATTCAAGACCTCCTGCCAGGCCTGGCATCACCTTGCATGTCCCCAAGCCCAGAACAATGAGGAGGACATGCAGTTGGTGGAGGATCTGGACTGCTATTTTCATGACATTCACCTCTGTGGGTCGGTTCCTTCTACCCCATCCTGTGGTTCTTCCACTATATGCTCATTGCCCTCCTGCTCCAGGCCCTAGGAATCTCCAGTAGGAGACGCCACCCGAGCCTGGAGCCCTACCCTTGCCCAAACGTGAGGCGCATCCCAAACATGGCCCAGACGTCACCAGCAGAAGAAAAAGACTATCTCAAACAGAATCGCAGACAAACCCCACATACCCCAAATACTCTTGGCCACAGCTGAGCCCTAGACATAACCATCTCCATATGATCCCAGGGATGTGCCTCATGTCTGGAACCCAGGGTCTGTGTGTAAACATTCTGAGACATTGTTTGAGTATTGTTTGAGACAGGCTTCAGGGTATATTTGAGTCATGACTATGGAACATTTGGGACCAGACATGGGCTATTTCTGGGATATTAAAGGGACCATATTTAAATCTGAATCCTAACTGGGGCCTGCCTATAGGGCATGCTAAGGTCATTTCAGAGTGTCTAAGATCCTTGTTAGAGCACAGCATAGCATGCTAGGGCTTGTTGTGTATTTTGTGACCATGTCAGGACATGTTAACACATATCGGGGCCATGTCACATGTTTCTACTATGCTGCGCTTTGAGGGAGTAAGTGTGGTCTCTGGCTTGGAGCCTCACCCCACACCCAAAGTCCCTCCCTCACCCTTTCCATGGTTTCTGATGGTCCTCATTCATGTCAGCCACCATTGCACCAAAAGACGAGGCCTTCTACAAGTTCCTGAAGCCCTGGCTGGGTGAGTACCTGTAGGTGAACAAGGGTGGGAAAAACCTTGGGGGATGGGTAAGAAGAGGGAGATACCCTTGCCCATGGCCCTTGACTGCCTCTACTAGGGGATGGGCTCCTGGTAAATGCCAGTGACAAGTGGAGCTGCCACCGTCAGATGCTGATGCCCGCCTTCCATTTCAACATGCTGAAGCCCTATATGAAGTTTTTCACTGACAGTGTGAATATCATGCACGTGAATTCTTTGAACCCAGAGTTCCAGCTGAAGCCTTGGGGTGGAGGCACCACAGACAGATCTGGTCTGGAATTTTGGCTCTGCTGGGTGGCATTCAGCATTGCTTTTCCTCTCTGAGCTTTGGTTTCCTCAGCTGTAAAATGGGTATAATAATCCCTACTTAAAAGATGGTCAAGGTGATGTAATGGAGTCATATCCCTGGTGCATAGTAGGTGCCCAGAAAGTGTCTGTTTCTATATTTCCTCTTGTAAACTCAAGAGGGTCATGATGACAATTGTATAGTAGCTGTTGCTGAGTAAGAAACAACTTGAGAACTCATTGGTTTAAAACAATAAGGTTTTATGATTGCTAACAAGTCTATGAGACAGGTGGCTGGTATATTAGTCTGTTCTCATGCTGCTGATAAAGACATACCTGAGACTGAGTACTTTAAAAAGGAAAGAGGTTTAATTGACTCACAGTTCCACATGGATGGGGAGGCCTCACTATCATGGTGGAAGGTGAATGAGAAGCAAAGTCATGTCTTACATGGTGGCAGGCAAGAGAGTGTATGCAGGGGAACTCCCCCTTTATAAAACCATCAGATCTTGAGAGGCTTATTCACTATCATGAGAACATCATGGGAAATACTCACCCCCATGATTCAATTATCTTCCACTTGGTCCCTTCCATGACACTTGGGAATTATGGGAGCTACAAATGAATATGAGATTTGGGTGGGGACACAGCCAAACCACATCTTCTATCCCTGCCCCCTCCTAAATCTCATGTCCTCACACTTCAACACCAATCACACCTTCCAAACAGTCCCTCAAAGTCTTAATTCATCTCAGCATTAACTCAAAAGTCCACAGTGTAAAGTTTCATCTGAGATGAGGCAATTCCTTTCCTCCTATGAGCCTGTAGAATCAAAAACAAGTTAGTTACTTCCTAGATACAATGGGGGTACAGACATTTGGTAAATACACCATTCCAAATGGGAGAACTTGTCCAAAACAAAAGGGCTACTAGCCCCATGTAAGTCCAAAATGCAGTAGGGGAGTCATTAAACCTTAAAGTTCCAAAATGAACTCCTTCGACTCCATGTCTCACATTCAGTTCATGCTGATACAAGAGGTGGGCTCCCATGACCTTGGGCAGCTCCACTCCTGTGGCTTTGCAGGGTACAAGCCCCCTTCTAGCTGCTTTCACAAGCTGGTGTTGAGTGTCAGTTGCTTTTCCAGGTGCACAGTGCAAGCTGTCAGTGGATCTACCATTTTGGGATATTGAGTGGCCCTCTTCTCACAGCTCCACTAGGCAGTGCCCCAATAGGGACTACGTGTGGGGGCTTGCACCCCACGTTTCCCTTCCATATAGCCCTACCAGAGGTTCTCCATGAGGGCCTCACGCTTGCAGCAAACTTCTGCCTGAATATCAGGCATTTCCGTACATCCTCTGAAATCTAGGCCGAGGTTCCTAAACCTCAATTCTTGACTTCTGTGCACCCACAGGCTCAACGCCACGTGGAAGCTGCCAAAGCTTGGGACTTGCATCCGCTGAAGTCATGTACCTTGGCCACTTGCCATGGCTGGAGCAGCTGGGATGCAGGACACCAAGTCCTTAGGTTGCACACAGCAAAGGGGCCCTGGGCCTGGCCCAAGTAACCATTTTTTCCTCCTAGGACTCTGGGCCTGTGATGGGAGGGGCTGCCACTAAGGTCTCTGACATGCCCTGGAGTAATTTTCCCCATTGTCTTGGTGATTAACATTTGGCTCCTTGTTACTTCTGTGAATTTCTGCAGCAGGCTCGAATTTCTCCCCAGAAAATGGGTTTTTCTTTTCTATTGCATCATCAGGCTGAAAATTTTTCAAACTTTTTTTCTCTGCTTCCTCTTGAATGCTTTGATGCTTAGAAATTTCTTCTGCCAGATACCCTAAATCATCTTTCTCAAGTTCAAAGTTTCACAGATCTCTAGGGCAGAAGCAAAGTGCTGTCAATCTCTTTGCTAAAGCATAGCAAGAATCACCTTTATTCCAGTTCTCAACAACTTCCTCACCTCCATCTGAGACCACCTTAGCCTGGACTTCATTGTCCATATCACTATCAGCATTTTGGTCAAAGCCATTCAACAAGTCTCTAGGAAGTTCCAAACTTTTCCACATTTTCCTGTCTTCTGAGCCCTCCAAACTGTTCCAACCTCTGCCTGTTACCCAGTTTCAAAGTCACTTCCACATTTTTGGGTATGTTAACAGCAGCACCTCACTCTACCAATTTACTATATTAGTCCATTCTCATGCTGCTAATAAAGACATATCCAAGACTAGGTAATTTATAAAAGAAAGAGGTTCAATTGACTCACAGTTCTGCAGGGCTGGAAAGGCCTCAGGAAACTTACAATCATGGTGGAAGGGGAAGCAAACACGTCCTTCTTCACATGGCAGCAGCAAGAGGAAGGGCTGAGCAAAAGGGGGAAAAGCCCTTTATAAAACCATCAGATCTTGTAAGAACTCCCTCACTACCATGAGAACACCATGAAGGTAATCACCACCAGGATTAAATTGCCTCCCACCAGGTGTCTCCCAAGACAAATAGGGATTATGGGAACTATAATTCAAGTTTGGGTGGGGACACAGCCAAACCATATCAGTGGGTTCTTCTGGATGTGCAAGAGATATTCATGGCACATGAGAAGCTGTGGGTCAGGTAGGCAGCCTTGCTGGTCTTGGCTCAGTTCTCTCAAACGTTTGGGTTTTGTCTGGTTTCAAATTGACACAGATGTCCTCAGCTGGGACTCCTGGACTTTCCTCCAGGGATTCTATCCCTCCAGAAGGCACCCCATGGTTCACATGGCAGAGAGGGTTCCAGGGAGTGAGACGAGGCAGGTTAGATTCATTAGTTATTACCTCATCAATTTCACATTGTGTTTTGTCAGAGAAAGCCAAAAGTCCAACAGAGAATCAAAAAGTGGTGGGTAGTAAAAAATGCTCGGTCTCTTAATGGAAGTCACTGAAAAAATCACATTTCAAAGGGTATGGATATGGGGGGCAAATGAAGAATTTGGGCAAGGGCTTCGTGACATCTCTAGAATTTTTTTAAAAATTGCAAATTGATAAGTTATCTTGTTATGGTTTCATGGATTCTGCCAGAAGACAGAGATTTGTGGGTAAGAGACAAAGCATGATTTATTACTCATAGCACAGCAAGGAGCATGTGTTTCTTGTTGGTTTGCTTTTTTCTCCAAGCCACCCAAATCCCATGGGGCAACACAGGTGGGCTTCTACTGATGCTTGCTGACATAGTATATTGCATTACAGGGATGGAGCAGTAGGCTTAGGAGATCTGCTTTTATAGCAAGCCTGATAAGTGTCAAAAGGGAGTCATTACCTCATCCCTCAAGGCTGTTCTCTGCAAACACAACTCTCAGAAATGGCTCCAGTTAAGAATATCAGTGTCTTACATTCTTGGCATACCCAGAAAGGATACTCAGGGCACATGGAGGACTACCTCTCCCAACATAGGGATAGTGTAATAAATTCTTGTAATCAATTTATAACAATGCAGGTGAGGAAATCCAACATTTGTTGAGTATGCCCCCTATTGGCCAGAAACAATGCCATGTTCCCACTCATTGATAACAAGTATATATTGACTAATTTACTTTTAACAACTCTGTGAATGAGAGATTATTTCTGCCTCAGTGTAGATGATGAAACAGTGGGTCTAAGAGATTAGGGAGCTTGCCCAAGTTTACCTAGCTAATAATCGAGGTTGGAATAGTGGAGCAGGATTTCTAACCTTGTTTATGTGGCACCAAGGTACATCATCTCAACTGTTCCTGAAGATTTGACAGGGGAAGGGAGGTTAATGCATTGACCAAGGGCATGCAAGGGTGGAACATGAATCCAAGTTCTCCTGAACCCCCGTCTTGGGTCTTTGTCTCTTAATAGTAACAGTTGTTGTTCCCAGCACAACCTGGTCCTCCTTGGGGAGGGGTTCCTGGGGAGAAGACAAAGAGGTTGGCTTTGGGGAAGTCCATCTTGATGGTTGGGCTTGGGGAAGGACTCAAAGGAGCTAGGGACCAGCCCCAGCTGTGTCCCCTTCTCTGGCTAGGCCAAGTGGCAGCTCCTGGCCTCAGGGGGCAGTGCCCATCTGGACATGTTTGAGCACACCAGCCTCATGACCTTGGACAGTGTGCAGAAATGTGTCTTCAGCTTTGACAGCCATTGTCAGGAGTGAGTCTTTGCCCAGGGACTGAGAACTTGAGCCATGAATCCAAAGAAGTAGGTTGGGGTCCGGCAACCAGAAGTGCCTACCTCATCGGGACAACCAGAAGTGCCTGGAGGAGTTATGTCATAGTCTAAATGACTGGTATAAATGTTATCATGAGGTTTCTAGGGAGCCCTTGAAGGGGTTTGAGCTGATGGGCATGGTCAGAGCTGAGCTCTGTGGGGGAATAACTGTAATGTAGATGTTGCATGGAGTTGACATTGGATGCAAGGATACTAGGGTGGGGCATGGACTTCGGACCAGCTGGAAGAGCAGGAATTCTGAGCTTTGTGGATAGTTTCAGGAAGGAGAAGGGACAGAACTCTATAATGGGGGCAGGGGAGAGCGAATAAGAGCATGATGTTCAAGTTGTGGTCTGAGTGCCCAGGGGCATGGAGGAAGCTCCTAGAGATGGAAATCAGGGAGATAAGAGAGTTTGGAGAGTGAATCTCATGGGTGATCCTCACTCTGTAACTGTGGGGGCATCTGTTTTTGGATACTGTGCTTCCTATAGGAGGTAGCTCCTGGATGCTGGTGGGAGATGCTCCTGTGGCTTCAGGTGTGTTAAGTTGTTGCCTCCCTTTCTGCCCTTATCCTGCAGAAAGCCCAGTCAATATATTGCCACCATCTTGGAGCTCAGTTCCCTGGTGGCAGGGCAGGGCAGAAGCAAAGTGCTGTCAATCTCTTTGCTAAAGCATAGCAAGAATCACCTTTATTCCAGTTCTCAACAACTTCCTTACCTTCATCTGTGCATGGACTTTCTGTATTATCTCATCCCCAGCGGATGGCGCTTCCGCAGGGCCTGCTGCCTGGTTCATGACTTCACAGAAGCTATCATCCAGGAGCAGCGCCACACCCTTACTAGCCAGGGTGTTGATTATTTCCACGAAGTAAAGGCCAAGTCCAAGACTTTGGACTTCACTGATGTACTCCTGCTGAGCAAGGTGGGGTTCTCTGGGATCTGAATGCAAAAAGTAGAAGGGAGCTTCATGTCAAATGTCAGATCAAAGAACTTGGATGTGATCCAGAGGGCACTGGGGAGCATTGGAAATTGCTTGAGCAGGGGAGGGACAGGTCAGAGATAGTTTTTAGAGATGACTGAGTGAGACACAAATAGCAGGGGACCTCTAGGTGTGAAACTGACAAGTCTGATATTTTACTCTATTTACAAATTAATAAGCCAGTGTGTCACATTTTTATCTATACATCTACATCTATATCTATGTCTATGTCCTGTATATGTCATTGTCTATGTCTGAGTCTGTGTCTGAGTATGACTATGTGTCTGTATGACTATGTCTTTGTCTTTGCCCATGTCTGCATCTTTGCCTTTTTGTGTGTTTATGTCTATATCTTTATGTGTGTTTATGTCTATATCTTTGCCTGTGTCTTTTTTATGTCTATGTCTATGTCTTTGTGTCTTTTCTATGTCTTTGTCTTGGTCTGTATTGTGTCTTTTTCTATGTCTTTGTCTTGGTCTGTATTTGTCTATGTCTTTGTGTCTTTTCTGTGTCTATGCTTTTGTTTACATCTCTGTCTATGTTTATAGCTTTGTTCATGCAAATATCTATGTGTATATCTGTGTCTATCTCTATCTTTTTGCCTTTTTCTGTGTCTGAGTCTTTGTCTATGTCTATGTGTATTTGTGTGCCTGTGTCTGTTTCTATATCTGTGTCTTTCTCTTTGTCTATGTCTGTCTATGACTATGTCTATGTTGATGTCTTTGTTTACATCTGTGTATTCGTCATTGTCTGTCTATGTCTTTCTCTATGCCTATGTCTTTTTTATGTCTATGTCTATGTTATTCTCTATGTCTGCCTTTGTCTATTTCTATGTCTACATATTTCTCTATGCCGATGTCTTTGTCAGTATCTATATCCATGCCTATGTCTTTGTCTATATCTATATCCATGCCCTTGTCTTTGTCTATGTGTCTGTGTCTATGCCTATGCCTTTCTATGTATATGTCTATTGTGACAGATGCATTAAACACCTGGATCAGAGCAGCCCATTTATTGCTCACAGCAATACTAGCAGCCAGAGTAGGATTGTGGCACTGGCTCTCCATTCCCAAATCAAATTCCTCCAAGGAGAATGCAATGTTTTTACCTTTATGTGCAACGGAGTTTGCACCCTAGGAGAGGTGCCCTACATTATGAGTCTTGGCATATCTTCTATTTCTTTGCTCTAGTGAGAGAGAAAGAGAGAGGGAGAGAGAAAGAGACAGACAGGTGGGGGATGCAGGGAGGAGAAAGTATTTTGTTCTGGAGCATAAACAAATCCTCTTTAGTGAGATGCCATAGTCTGTAGACTTACAACCCAAATATCTCCAGGGGACATAAGATAAGAGTCTATGGATTTGGCACTCTAGAATGTGAGCAAATATTTTTGGAGCAATACTTAATCTCTAACTTGCAAAGCAAATTGCCAATTATCCTGTAACCCAGGTTGCCAGGAACTTTTTCTCAGAAAGTTCTCATCATGCAGAAATATGAAAATATTCATAGGTCATTGAGTCCTCCCACTAGGGACAAAAGAAGAGACAAGGAGGCCAGGGAGGAAGCCTGTGAGTTGGGGGCTCTCGTGATGGTGATCAAGAGACATCTAGGCATGCAGGGTGGGCTTGGGATTCTGGAAGGAGGGGTCTTCAGAGATTGTCTGACTTTAAACTGAGGATCCCTCAGAGCTAGTGTGATCTGTATGTGTGTGTGTGTGTGTGTGTGTGTGTCTTGCCTTCTCACCAGGATGAAGATTGGAAGGAGTTGTCTGATGAGGAAATAAGAGCAGAAGCTGACACCTTCATGTTTGAGGATGAGTGTCCCAGTGTGGGACTACAGTAGGGACAGAGGCCTCTCCATCCCAGGGATGTGGGAGATGAACCCTGCATCACTCCATTCAGCCCATCCTCCCCCCAACCCCACCATCCTCCTGAGAACCTAGATGCATGGACGCTGTCCACCCTCTGGTACTGAAGCAGCCCAGAGACTCAAGCCTGTCTTGCTGCCCCTCAGGTCATAACACCACGGCCAGTGGCCTCTCCTGGGTCCTATACTACCTTGCAAGGCACCCAGAATACCAGGAGCACTGCTGGCAGGAGGTGCAAAAGCTTCTGAAGGATCACGAGCCTAAAGAGATTGAATGATGAGTGCAGGTTCTTCTGGCCAGTTCCTGAGGCCCTCTCATTGGCTCTGCTCCCCAAGTGGGAAGTGGGGAAGTTGTTTTGTCAATTCTGCCACTTTTGCTTACTGGGAATAGAAGCAGAGGACCACAGGCAGGGCCAGCCTGGCTAACAGGGGAAAGATTGCAGGCTGCTAGGACAGAAAGACCTGGGCTACTATTCCTTAAAGAACTAAAAGTATAACTACCACTTGATCCAGCAATCCCTCTACTGGGTATCTACCCCCCAGAAAGAAGTCATATATGAAAAAGACACATGTACATACATGTTTTTAGCAGCGCAATTTGTATTTGCAAAAATATGAAACCAACCTAAGTGCCCATCAACCAATGAGTGGATATAGAAAATGTGGTATATGTACACCATGGAGTACCACTCAGCCATCAAACAGAATGAAATACAGCTTTGCAGCAACTTGGCTGGAGCTGGAGGCCATTATTCTAAGTGAAGCAACTCAGGGATGGAAAACCACATATCATATGTTCTCACTTATAAGTGGGAGCTAAGCTATGGGTATGTAAAGGCATACAGAGTGGTTTAATGGGCACTGGAGACTCAGAAGAGGGAAGGTGGGAGGGGGTGAGGGACAAAAAACTACATATTGGGTTCAATTTATGCTACTGACCGGCATAAGGATGATATAATGGACTTAGGGGATTCAATGACAAGGATGAGAGGGGGTTAGGGAGAAATGATTACATATTAGGTACAGTGTATGCTGCTTGGGTAATGAGTGCACTAAAACCTCAGAAATCACCACTAAAGAACTTATCCATGTACCACCTGTACCCCCCAAACTATTGAAATAAATAGAAATAGAGATGCAGCTGGGCGCGGTGGCTCACGCCTGTAATCCCAGCACTTTGGGAGCCTGAGGCAGGTGGGTCATGAGGTTGGGAGTTCAAGACCAGCCTGGCCAAGATAGTGAAATCCCATCTCTACTGAAACTACAAAAAATTTAGCCGGGCGTGGTGGCAGGTGCCTGTAATCCCAGCTACTCAGGAGGCTGAGGCGGGAGAATCGCTCGAACCCAGGGGGTGGAGGTTGCAGTGAGCCGAGATCACGTCACTGCACTCCAGCCTGGGCGACAGAGTGAGACTCCGTCTCAAAATAAATAAATAAATAAATAAAATAAAATAAGAGAGAGAGAGAGAGAGAGAGAGAGAGAGAGAGAGATGCAACATGTAGATAACAAGTATATTAGATATAGATTAAAATATAAAAGGAGAGAAATAAATATTTGAAGGAATAAGGGAAAGAAAATTAAAAAGGAAAGACTGGACTGCTGAGAGAATTAGTGACAATAAGTGAGAGGAGATGAGGCCACTCAGCACACGTTCTGCAAATGAATGCCACACCCTTCCTTTTCTCCAGGAAATATTTTTTCGAACATTTTCACTTCCTTAATGGTTGCTCTTCTGTTCTCTAATTCCCATACTTATGTCCAGTCCAGGGATTCATGATGGAGACCTCAGAGTAAAAATCATTCATTTATTGTCCAGAACACCTGGATTGTTCATCCACCCGGTCCTCATTCAGCAAACATTCCCACACTGTATTCCCACCCCCAGTTCTTTTCACATTACCTGTCTGTGCTCTGGAGATTTTGGGAAGGACACAACCCAGGGACCTATTTTCCAGGTGCTTCCCGCCCACATGGGAGCAGTCCCTGGTCAGGACACTCCCAGCCCATATGGGCAGGGATGGGTTTTACAGTAAGAGAAGCATGACTCGGGGGTATAGAAAGTGTCTCAGTTGAGACCCTGAATGATGGTCAGTAGATATTTGGGTGCAGTTGGGGAACAGTGGCTCTAGCTCAGTAAGATCTCCTGGGTTGAGAGAAAGGAGCAGAGAGAAGGCGAAGGAGAGAGAGAGGGAGAGATTCGGTCATAATGAGATGATGAAACTGGAGATGGCAGCAGGGGCTGGCTATGGAAGCCTTGGGGAAAATGTTAATGACTTTGGCTTTTACCCAAGGGCAATGGGGAGCCAAGGGATGCGTTTGAGGAGGGGAGGGAAAGGTCAGATCTGGTACCAGGAAGATCTTTCTAGGGCTACTGTGGAGGGTGTACTGGAGAGGACCAGCAAACTATCAAACTATAGTCACCCCACTGATCCATTGAGTACTGTTTTGTTTTTTGTTTTTTTTTGAGACGGAGTTTTACTCTTGTTGCCCAGACTGACGTCCATTGGCGCGATCTCAGCTCACTGCAACTTCTGCTTCCCAGGTTCAAGTGATTCTCATGCCTCAACCTCCTGAGTAGCTGGGACTACAGGCATGTGCCACCACCATGCCCGGCTAATTTTTGTATTTTTAGTAGAGACAGGGTTTCACTATGTTGGTCAGGCTGGTCTCGAACTCCTGACCTCAGGTGATCTGCCTACCTAAGCCTCTCAAAGTGCTACGATTACAGGCGTGAGCCACCTTGCCCAGCTTGAACAGTTTTTATTTCATCTATCAAACCATACATTTGCACCTATTAATCAACTTCTCCTTATCCCCCCTTTCCCTCTACCAATCTACTTTCTATTTTCATAAGATCCATTTTTTTCATCTCCTGCATATGAGTGACACCATGCAATATTTGTCTTTCTGTGCTTGGCTTATTTTTCTTACCACAATGACCTTCAGTTCCATCCATGTTGCTGCAAAGAACAAAATTTCAGCCTTTTTATGGCTGAATAGTATTCCATTGTGTAGATATGCCACATTTTCTTTACCCATTCATTCACTGATGGGCACTTAGCTTGATTCCATATTTTGGCTATTGTGAATGGTGTTGCAATTAACATGGGAGTGCAGGCACCTTTTCAATATATTGATTTTCTTTCTTTTGGATATATAGGCAGTAGTGAAATTTCTGGGTTATATGGTAGTTCTAGTTTTAGTTTTTTTGAGGAACCTCCATGCTGTTCTCTGCAGTGGCTGTACTAATTTATATTCCCACCAACAGTGTGTGAGAGTTCCCCTTTCTCCATATCCTCACCACCATCTATTATTGCCTGTCTTTTTGACAAAAGACATTTTAACTGGGTTAGATGATATCTCCTTGTGGTTTTAATTTGCATGTCTTATGACGATTAGTGACATGGAGCATTTTTTCCATCTACCTGTTGGCCATTTGTATGTCATCTTTTGAGAAATGTCTACTCAGATCTTTTGTCCGTTTTTAAATTATATGATTTGTTGTTGTTTTTTTTCTTTACTATTGAGTTGTTTGAACTCCTTATATATTCTAGTTATTAATCTCTTGCTAGATGGATAGTTTGGAAATAATTTCTGCCATTCTATAGCTTGTTCCTTCACTTTGTTAATTGTTTCCTTTGCTGTACAGAAGCTTTTTAGCTTGATATAATCCCATTTGTCTATTTTTGCTTTTTTTTTGCCTGTATTTTTGAGATGTTACACAGAAAATCTTTGCCCAGATCAATATTCTGGAGTATCAAACCAAGATTTCAAGCAAAATTATGCACATGGTTAAAAAAAGTGTCCAAAAGAGTTTATGATAAAAATGAACTTCCTTATTAAGCTCCACCCGAGCGTTGACTGTGGTCAATAGTTTTCTGTGCATTCTTCTAGAAAATGGCTATCCTGATGCCCACATTTATATAAACACACACTCCCCTTTTCTGTATAAATATATAAAATACACACAGGTCTGCGCATTAACAATATATCTCTGAGGCCAGGCATGGTGGCTCCTGCTTGTAATCTCAGCGCTTTGGGAGGCTGAGGTGGGCAGATCATTTTAGGCCAGGAGTTCGAGACCAGCCTGGCCAACACAGTGAAACCGTGTCTCTACTAAAAATAGAAAAAATTAGCCAGGCATGTTGGCACATGCCTGTAGTCCCAGCTCTTCAGGAAGTTGAGGCGTGAGAATTGCTTGAACTCGGGAGGTGGAGATTTCAGTGAGTTGAGATGATGCCACTGCACTCCAGCCTGGGTGACAGAATGAGACTCTGTCTCAAAAAAAAAAAAAAGAAAAAAAAACAACATATATATATATATACACACACATATATATATGTATATATATGTGTGTATATATATGTATATATACATATATATGTGTATATATATACATGTATATACATATATACATATATACACGTACATGTATATATGTGTATATACATATATATGTATATATATGTGAGATTTAAAAAAATTTTCTCAATTAACAAGTTTTGGGAAATGAGTTTGTTTTTTACTTTTAATTGAGAAATTTTATTTATATATACTTATAGAGTGTGATATTATGATATATATATACAATCTATGGTAATTAAATCAAGGTGCTGAACTCACCCACCACCCCATTTACTTATCATATTTGTGGTAAGAACATTTGAAATTTTTTTTAAAGCATTTTTAGGTAATACAATACGTTGTTAACTAAAGTCACCATGCTGTGTCCAATAGATCTGAACTTATTCCTCTTTAACTGAAACTTGTACCCTTTAACCAACATCTCACCATTTCCTCTCCCTTCCCCTCAGCCCTGGCCTCCAGTAACCACTGTTCTACTCTCTGCTTCTATGAGCTTGACTATTTTAGATCAAGTTTTACTTATTTCAGATAAGTAAGATCATGCGTGTTTGTCTTTCTGTGCCTGTCTTACTTCACTTAGCATAAGGTCCTCCAGGTTCTTCTATGTTGTGGCAAATGATATATATTTTTTTGTGTTTTTAAGGCTGAATGATATTTCATTGTGTATATATACCACATGGAAAAAGAGCATTAATTTACAAAAACAATGATGAGAACAAGTTCTTCTTGCACCAAATGAGATATTACAGATAAGACAAGGGTTATCCTTGACAATCCTTCTACCCCACTTAATTCCCTCCCTTTCTCCAAATGGGTCTCTAGAGCCATAGAATTGTCTGTTTATCTCTCTCTCTCCTCTGTTTCCTCTATCAATCATCATCATCTACAATGTATCTTCTATCTATGAATTATCTATGTCATCAATATTCATATACATCTATATACTTTTTCCCTTTTGCATATACGTATC
The DNA here is from genome assembly GCF_000001405.40 of Homo sapiens. Lineage (NCBI taxonomy): Eukaryota > Metazoa > Chordata > Mammalia > Primates > Hominidae > Homo > Homo sapiens. The sequence goes on along the minus strand of NC_000019.10, from coordinate 15,984,858 downwards.
TATACATTTTATAACTGGTTTTTGTCACTCAACAGTGTGTCTTACAGCTTTTTTTTTCTATTTCACATTTTATTCAACTCATTCCTATATTGGACACTTATGTAAAGGTTTCCATAGGCAGTTGGCATGTGTTTACAGTGACCTTTGCTTACAAGTGTAGACACCTCTGCAGGACAAATTCTGTGAAGTGGAATTGAAGAATCAAAGACCATTTGCACTGTACAACTTCAATTATGATAGAAAGTCCATTTCTATTAGCTGATTTGATGGTACAGGCTTTCCAGTAACTTTACCAAAAGTAGTGTTGTACTATTGAATTTTAAATCTTTGTCAATCTTTATATTTCTACTTTTAATGAACATTTTCCTAATTAAGGGTGAGATTGAACATCTCTTGCACATGTTGATAAGTTATTTGTTTTCTTTTTATGGAAGTGGTTTTCTTATTTTTTGCTGGTTTTTTTTGGATTCTTTAAAAATATTTACTTTTACAAATGTGTATTAAAATTAATCTTGTTTTCTCTGTTTTGTTACAAACTATTGCCTTTTAACTTTTGGAGGATACTTTTGATGAATTTCTATGAAGTTAAATTCCTCCACTTTTTTTCTTCTACAGCCAGAAAATCCATCCATTTCTCCAAGAGTTTTAGGGGACTCCCTTTACCAGATGTGACATTTTAGCTTATTCATGTGTCTGTCTCTGAGTTCTCCATTCTGTTTCATGAGTCTATTTTCTTATTTTTGCAATGATGCCACACTATTTGTATTCGTGTGACTTTGCAGTCGTTTTTTTAACATTATTTTTTCTTTTTTGGAGACAGGGTCTCTCTTTGCCGCCCAGGCTAGAGTGCAGTGGTGAGCAATCACAGCTCACTGTAGCCTCGAATACCTGGGCTTAAGCAGTCCATCTCAGCCTCCTGACTAGCTCGGACTATAGGCCTGCACCACCACATCTGGCTAATTTTTTAAAAATTATTTTGTCAAGTTGGGATCTCACTTTGCTTCCCAAGCTTGTATTGAACTCCTGGTCTCAAGTGATCCTCCTGCCTTGACCTCCCCAAATGCTGTGATTACAGGCATGAGCTACCATGCCCAGCCTGTAATAGTTTGTAATACTGGGTGGAATGACTTCCCTCTCTTTAAATTTTATTTTCAGATTGACTTAGTTCTTCGTGATCTTTTATTTTTCAGAAAAAAATTAGAGTATGTTTATCAACTTCCTCAAAAAATCAGATAGATTTTTAAAGTTGATTTGAATATATTTTATTGGTTGACTTGGATATATGATTGATATGTGGAAAATGGGTTACTTCACATAGCAGTGATACATTCTACCCTAGTGTGTGGATTGGATATCCATCTAGTCTCCCTGTAACGAACTCCACATGGAACAAATGTCTGGGGATTAGAAAACCACAAAAAAAAAATTGAAAGGTTCCAAAGAAAATTTAACCAGGTAGTTTAAAAAGACATATTTTAAAAAATCAAAATGCCAACTGTAAGAAAAAAGAAAATGAATTTGCATAAAAATAAGTATTCTTTGTGGCAAGAGAGCAAACGCATAATCCAAATGAATAAGAAACAAAATATACATTCAATGTTTTGCTTGTATTCATCATTGCACTAGAGATACTAGCAAATGCAATTAGACAAGGAAAAAAGAGTATGTAATTTGAAATGTGGGGGTAAATGTATCATTTTGGCAGACAGTGATTCTGATTCTGTACTTAAAAGAAACAAGAGAATCCATCAGAAAACTTTTACAAACACTGATGACCCAGTAAGGGAGCTGAATTCTTTTTCTTGACATTTCTTCCTTTTGTGTGGCTGTTTAAATTTTTAATACCAATGCACTTAACTGGTTCAAAATCTATAAAGTTTACTCACCCCAATGGCCAAAACCACCCAAATTCCACACGCACACAGATTGTCTAAGTTATTATATTTTTATGTATTTTTCCAGAGCTACTTTTAGCATCTTTAAAAAATTCCACAGTAACATACTATACGCTGCATGGACTGCTTTGTATCTTTTCTCTCTCTCTCTCTCTTTTTTTTTTGAGACAGAATCTTACTCTGTTGCCCAGGCTGAAGTGCAGTGGCATGGGCTTGGCTCACTGCAACCTCCACCTCCCAGGTTCAAGCAATTCTCCTGCCTCGGCCTCCCAAGCAGCTGGGACTATAGGTGCAGGCCACCACACCTGGCTAATTTTTGCATTTTTAGTAGAGATGGGGTTTCACCATATTGGCCAGCCTGGCCTCAAACTCCTGACCTTGTGATCCACCTGCTTTGGCCTCCCAAAGTGCTGGGATTACAGGCTTGAGCCACTACGCCTGGCCCTTTTCTCGTTTAAGTACATATTGCTCTCTTCTTGTATATCTCCTGGGACCTGTGTGAAAATAAGGTTTTCTTAATCTGGAAGTATAAAATAATATTCCCATGGTTTCTTCTATAGCTTTTAAGATTCTTTAAAAAAATTTTTTTTAAATACTTGATTCATCTGGACATTATCTTGTTATAAGACATGAGAACCAGGTTAAGTTTACTCTTTTTCCATGCTGTTCCCCAGTCATCCCAAGGGCTTTTATTAAATGATCAATAATTTTGCTATTGATATGAGACACCATTTTTAGCATGTACTGTGTTCATTGGGCACACAATTTATATGTATTCATTAGTCTTTCTTGGTAGAAATAACAACCAGCTGGAAAACAGCATGAAAGAAAAGATGCCAATAATAATAATAATAATAATAATAATAATAATAATAATATAAAATACCTGGATTAAATTTAACAAGAAACACAAAATCTCTATATTCCAAATGAATTCATAAATTTCCCTGAACCCAAATAAAAGGTGACACATTTTTCCATAGCAACAAAAGTATCTAGGAGTGGATTTAACAAAATATGCCTAAGATATCTAAGCAAATTTTAAACTCTATTAAAAGACTCAGAATCACTGTTCCAAAATGATACATTTACCCCACATTTCAAATTACATATTCTCTTTTTCCCTTGTCTAATTGCATTTGCTAGTATCTCTAGTGCAGTGATGAATATGAGCAAAACATTGAAAGTATATTTTGTTTCTTATTCATTTGGATTATGAGTTTGCTCTCTTGTCACAAAGAATACTTATTTTTATGCAAATTCATTTTTTTTATTTTACAGTTGGCATTTTGATTTTTTAAAAAATATGTCTTTTTAAACTACCTGGTTAAATTTTCTTTGGAATCTTTCTATTTTTTTTTTCTGGTTTTCTAATCCTCAAACATTTGTTCCATGTGGAGTTCGTTACAGGGAGAAAAGGTCTCACTTGCAAACAGAGAACTGGAGAGTTGTGTCTTTGCTACCTTGATAATGATTGGGGCTGGGTGTTTCTTTAGGGATGACCTGGCCCAGCTGCCCTTCCTGACCATGTACATTAAGGACAGCCTGTGGCTGCATCCCCCAGTCCCTGTCATCTCCCGATGCTGCACCCAGGACATTGTGCTCCCAGGCGGCTGAGTCATCCCCAAAGGTGCCCACAGCCTCATGGGGAGGTGCCTCCTGGGTAGGAAGAGGGGCCTCTCAGGCAGGGGGACCTTGTCCTGACTGCCCCCTTCTCTCCTACAGGCATTGTCTGTCTCTTCAGTAATTTTGAGACTCACCACAACCCAACTGTGTGGCTGGACCCTGAGGTGCTGCCTCCCCAATACCCCCCTTTTTAAGGTCCATTTTAGGGGTCCTAGAGGAGGGGGCAGGGTTTTGACCAAGAGAATCCAACATCACCTCCCTCCAAGACACACACAACTGTCTGTCTCTCCAAGGCTGGCATACCTGGGAGACCCCACCCAGCAACCCTTCTTGGTCTCACCTCCAGGTCTATGACCCCTTCCGCTTTGACCCAGAGAATAGCAAAGAGAGATCACCTCTGGCTTTTATTCCCTTCTCAGCAGGGTCCAGACAAGGGTGGCCTGTGTCTGAGGCAGGGATGGGGTGATGGGTGTGGGGCTTGAAAACTGAGGATGTTGCAGATGGTCCCAGTTCCAGATTTCCTTTCCTTTCCTCCTCTGGAGTTTATGGGCAAAGGTCCATAGAACAGGTTTGGGTAGTTCCAAGAATAGTCTGTGATATGCTCAGAGCCCCCACCCCCTCTGCTGGTCTCAGCTGGGGCTGGAGTCTGGGCCAGGCTCCGGGGATATGCAAGCCCATATGGGGGTCCCAGGCACAGTTAGCTCCCTTCTCTGCCCCTCCCTGGCTGGCTTTTGGAATCCTTAGTTCCCTTCCTTGCAAATGTCCCACTGCTCTGTCTGCCCCTCCTGGTTGGTGTTCTCTGTGACCCACTTCCCCTGCCTTCAGGGAACCCCCTCCCTTTCTATTCTGGGTCCCCTGATGCTACCCAGGCAGCCTGGCCAACAGATGCTTCCTGAGACCACCCTCTCGCTCCCCAACTGTGTGCCAGGCGCTCTCCCAAGAGTGTCACGGGGAGGGCGAATCCCCACCCTTTCACCTACAGGTTCCTCCTCCATTCCCAGCACAGCCCACCTTGGCCTATCTTGGGGTGGGGTCGGGGTCAGGGCCATCCCTTTTGACCCTTGAGATTCAAAGCCAGACCGCTGGATGCAAACACCACCCCAAAGGCATGGGATCTGGATCAGATTGCTTAGGCTCAAGCCTCAGCTCTGCTGTGTGACTTGGGCAAGTTAATTCCCCTCTCTGAGCTTTATTTTCCCAACCATATAATGGTGACAACACTACCTACCTCAGGGTTGTCCAGAGGACTAAGTGTAAAAACTCAGAGTTGTGTGGGCCTGATTCAGGGTCTGGGGCCAGGGATGGGGCCGGGATGCGGGTCCTGGGTGCAGTCAGAGTCCCTTCCCCCGCACCAGGAACTGCATTGGGCAGGCGTTTGCAATGGCTGAGATGAAGGTGGTCCTGGCGCTCACGCTGCTGTGCTTCCGTGTCTGTCCAGACCACATGGAGCCCCGCAGGAAGCCGGAGGTCATAATGTATGCAGAGGGCGGACTTTGGCTGTGGGTGAAGCCCCTGAGCGCAGACCCACAGTGACCCATAGCCGCTTGGCCTTGGACCCCACCCAAGCCACCCACCCACACCTTTGCAGAATCCCATGAATAAAACTGTGCTGTCCTCTTTGCCTGAGTCTCACCCAGAGCCATCACGGGGTGCTTGGGGACTGTGAGGATTCAGAGGTGGGCTGGGTCAGTGGGAGGCAGGGGATCAGGGCAGGGGGGCATCTCTGAGAGCAACACCCTGACTGCCTCCCTGGCTGAACACGAGACCTACACTCTGGTAGCAGGTTCTCTTGGAGGCCAACTATGGAGTTTATCCAGTGGGCAATAGGGAGCTATGGGAGGTATTTGAGCAGGAGAGGGACCAGGGTTATAAAGGCATTTAAGGAGAAAGACTGAGGCTCTGAGTAAGGAAGAAGAACCTGTAGAGGTAGATCCATTCATCTGGGCTGCTGGTGCCCCCAAGACAGAGGCCCTTGGCCAGCCCAGAGCACAGGGAAAGAGGGGTGCATCTTCCGCCCTGGCTGGCGCTTCAGAATTTTTAGTTCCTTTCCTTGCCAATGTCCCCCTGCTATGTCTGCCCTTCTAGTTGCTTTCCTCTGTAGCCCCCATTGCCTACCTTCAGGGAGCCCCCTCCCTTTCTCTTCTGGGCTCCCTGATGCTGCCCAGGCAGCCTGGTCAACAGGTGCTACCACAACCCCCTCCCACCATTCCCTCCTCCACTGTGTGCCCGGCACTCTCATGAGTGTCAGTGGGAGGACGGGCCCCACCCTTTCATCTCTAGGTTTCTCCTCCATTCCCAGCACAGGTCTCCCTGGCCCATCTTGGGGTGGGATTGGAGTCAGAGCCATCCCTTTTGACCCTTGAGATTCAAAGCCAAACCATTGGAAGCAGACATCACCCAAAGGCACGGGATCTGGAACTGGACTGCTTGGGCTCAAATCTCGGTTCTGCTGTGTGACTTGGGCAAGTTAATTTCCCTCTCTGAGCTTCAGCGTCCTAACCATATAATGGGGACAACACTACCTACCTCAGAGTTGTCCAGAGGACTAAGTGTAAAGGACTCAGGGCAGTGCCAGGTCACAGTAAATGCTCAAAAAATCTGCCCATTATTACTTCCTCTCTCAGAAAGCCTGGCTATTAAAGCATGTTGCCTTTCAAGACAGTTGGTTCTGCCATGACTTTTAGGACAGTGTCTTGGAGATCCAAAGCAAAAATTGAAATATTTGTGCTCATTGGATCAGCGTTACCCCTAGAGGGCTGTGCATATAGGCGGCAATGTTTTCCAAGAGTGGTGGTGTAAGAGTTAAAGAAAGACGAAAGAAACACAAAAAGAAGCTCAACAAAGACAGGCTTATTTTGGAGAATAGACCTGATAGGGGCTTCTGGCTGATTTCGGTCAGGAGCACTCTCTCTTACAGACTAAGGGTATTTATTGGTTTTAGGGTGAGAGAGCTTATTACAGGCTTGGAATGTTTCTTTGTGGGGGAAATGTTTATGGCAGGGTTGGAATGTCTGTGGTCAAAGGGGAGATTGTCTTGGTGCAGACATCTCTCCGGCTGGAGGGGAGGTTATCTCAGGGCTGGCATGTCTCTGGTTGGGGAGGGGTTTATCTTAGGGTTGGAATGTTTCTGGTCGGAGATGTCATTTGTGGTTTATGGTCATGCTGACCTTAGCCATTAGGCTGATGCCCTTTGGATTTAGGCAGTTTTGATCAAGGCAAACTTTAAAATGGTGGTGCTTGTCCAAGATGGCGATGCTCCTGCTCTGTCAGTGGGAGCACCTGGAAGGGTAAGGGGTAGGAGAATAGAAGGAGCTTCAGTTAATGTCTCAAAATAAAATTCGGCTACAGATGCTGATCTCCTTTCACAGCCTAAGGGACTGTGCACCACTGAGCCCTGCTAACTCTTCACATCTCCTCTCCAGCTCTTCTCCCTTCTTCGTGGCCACCCTGGCCTTGGCCCCCGCATGGATGATCTTTTCTTGTCTTGGGACCTTTTGACTTGCCTGTCCCTGCCCTCAGGATGCTCTTCTCCAATTCTTTCATGATCGAATCTCATCATCCAGGGCTCAACTGTAAAGTCATCTCCCTGGAGACGTTCTTCCTTTGCTATGGAAGCACCACGGATCCTGGGAATTTCTATCCTAAATGATACAGGCATTAAAAAGAAATTATTTAGGCAGGTAGTGAGGGTAAGAGAGTCCTCAGTAAAGTTTCCCTTTTAATGAAAAGCAGCCCCCAAATCATTTGTTTTCTAACAAAAGCAGCCTGTAAAATCAGGCTGCAGACATAGATAAGCAAGCTGGAAGCTTGCAAGGGAGAATGCTGGCAGCTGTGCCAGTAGGAAAAGGCTATCTGAGGGCCAGGCATTTTCAACGTGGGGGCTCCCTCTTCCCTTATCTTTGCCAACCACGTGTATAGTAAGGAGCAGGCAACATGCTGCTGTCCAGGTAGAAAATCGATTTGCATAATGAAAGATTAGGGTGGATGGCCAGCTTCTTTGCAGCACTATGTAATCGTCACTCCTGGTCCAACCAACCTTTGGGCCCTATGTAAATCAGACACAGCCTCCTCAAGCCAGTCTACAAAACCCTGTGCACTTTGCCACGGGACTAGAAGACCCACTTGGGCGCCCCTATCTCTCTGCGGGAGAGAGAACTATTCTCTTTTCTCTTTCTGTTGCCTATTAATCCTTCACTCTTAGCCTCACTCAGTAAGGTTTTCCTTTTAATGAAAAGCAACCCCAAATCATTTCTTTTCTAATAAACAGCAGCCTGTAAAATCAAGCTGCAGAGATAGATAAGCAAGATGGAAGCTTGCATAGCAGCTGTGCCAATAGGAAAAGGCTGCCTGGGCACTAGACATGTTCAACATGGCTGCTCCATCTTTCCTTTTCTTTGTCAACCACATGTACAGTAAAGAAAGAGGTAACGTGGCGCAGGTCAGGTAGATTACCCATTTGCATAATAAAATATTAGGGTGGGGTGGCCAGCTTCTTCTCGCAGTATGTAAATGGTACACCTGGTCCAACCAATCTTTGGGCCTTTTGTAAATCAGACACTGCCTCATCAAGCTAGTCTATAAAACCCCATGCACTTTGCTGGACTGGAAGTCCCACCTGGGAGCCCCTCTCTCTCTGCAGAAGAGAGAGCTATTCTCTTTTCTCTTTCTTTCACCTATTAAACTTCCACTCTTAAACTCACTTCTTGTGTGTCTGCATCCTCAATTTCCCTGGCATGAGACAAGAACCTTGAGCATTTACCCCAGACAAGGACACTGCTTCACTCTCCTTAATGTTAGGGCCCGTCTTAGTTGATACAGGGGCATCTGTTTTGGCGTCTCAGTTCACATTCTCAGAAAGGACAGATGCTGCCACTCTCTCCTCCTCCTCTCCCTCTCTTCCTCTCTCTATAGGTGTGGGAGTGGTGCATCCCAATGGGTTTTGGAGTCTGGGGGAGAAGTACATCCAATGAGCGCTTGCTCCAGATCTCCACAGTGAACAGAGAAAAAATGCAACAAAGAATAGAACACTAAAAGAAATTCAGGAAAGCCTCAGCCTTCCCAAGTCAAGTCTTCCTAAATTTAGCTATGGGGAAGGAGTCTTGAGGCTGCCTGCAAGCCCCCAACCCATGCCTGTTGATAGGGTCTGACCCACCCATCTACCAAAAGGCCTGATGTGGAAGTAAATCTAAAACCAAAGAGAACAAAAGCAATAATAATCAACATGGTCCCTCACTCATCAGCAGGGCAATCCATGTTTACCCAGCATTTACCTAAGGGCGTTAAAGTGTTACCAGATGGTATCACGCTGTTCCAGGCTCTTCATGCCCTGAACAAAGAATTGTGTGAGATGCACACAGATAGCAAAGCAGCAAAAGTTTATTAAGCACAGTATTACACTCTTGGAAAAGGGAGAGTGGACTGACCTTTGAGAAATGAGATCAGCACCAGTTAGGTGTATTTGGGTTTCTTTGATATGTTTTTTTCTCTTCTTTTCCCAAGGCTGCCTAATCTTTAGCCAGTGTCTGCCTTTTGATTGATAGGTGGGTTACTTAGTTACTTTGACCCTTGTGCACTTGCATGTTGCCTCCATCCCATACTTTTAAGTACATGCACGATATGCAGTCCATATGCATGAACCTTAAGTAGCTGATGATCATGTGCGGTCATTTTAAGGATACCTTTTCCTCAAATGCACATGCCCATCTCTGAGGAGCTGCCCCTGACAGGTTTGGTCCAGATCTTGCTGGCCATGGGGTCTCTTTACTCACTTATTTTATCTCACCTTTGTTTTGGCTGCTCAACTTCTGCTTATTATCTTGCTTCTTGCTCACCCACCTCTTTATCCTGCTTCTACTCCTACTCATTCCATCCTTTATCCAGCCTCCAATTCTCCAATTCCCTCTGCTATTGTCTTGCCTCAAAAGAGGAAGAACCAGATGAAACAGAACTAATCTCCAAGCAACAGACCCAACAGAAGGAAGAAAAGACAGCCCAATAATTTGCTCATTTCCATTTGTCATGGGCTCAGCTAAGAAGGAGAGAGAGCTGAGCTGCCCAGTGTTGAAGGACCCAGTGAAGATAGCAAGCCCACTGCATTAGTCAGGTCTCACACTGCTAATGAAGACATAACTGAGACTGGGTAATTTATGAGGGAAAGAGGTTTGATTGACTCACAGTTCAGCGTGGCTTGGGAAGCCTTAGGAATCTTAACAGTTGTGGTGGAAGGGGAAGCAGACACGTCTTTCTTCACGTGGTGGCAGCAAGAAGTGCTGAGCAAAAGTGGGAAAAGCCCCTTATAAAACCATCAGATCTCATGAGAACTTACTCACTATCATGAGAACAGCAGCATGGGAGTGACCACACCCATGATTCGATTACCTCCCACTGGATCCCTCCCATGACGTGAGAATTTTAGGAACTACAAGTCTAGATGAGATTTGGGTGGGGACACATCCAAACCATATCACCCACACTAAAGCAACAGTCAAGACTTTCATCACTTGCTGTGATAGCACAGGAATGAGGCTCCATCAGAGAAAGCACCAGCTTCTACCATTCCATTTTTTCCCACTCGCATCACCAAATGGTGATTTGAGGGTAAGGTAGATTGCACAGACGTGGGGGTCATCTCACTGCTGCACAATCCTACAACAAAAGGCTTCTGCAGTTTTATGGAATGGAGGCTAAGGGGAGGAAGAGGAGGAAGGGCTAGGTGTGGAAAAGTACTGGGTACTGAGTCATAGTGGGTGAAAGTGTGTCTTCATGTTTCCCCTGTTTTTCTATGACAAGGATGTCTTGGCAGAGGTGCCCAAGGAAGCCCTCCGCTGAAGGTAACTAATAAAGGTAACTTTGAAAGGAGATACGTGTAAGACCATGGCTGGTCAAGGGGACTCGAGTCCTTGACTGCAACTCTCCTAGGAGACTGTGACGCATTGATTATGCACTGGGTCTGGTGTGGGGAGGACAATTTCCCCCATGAGCCCTGCCAGTTAAAGCCTCTGTAATTCTATAATTGCCTACGGTCAGGCTTGAAAGATCACATGGAGGGGATTTTGTTGTTGTTGTCTGAGACAGAGTCTGGCTCTGTCATCCAGGCTGGAGTGCAGTGGCGTGATCTTGGCTCACTGCAACCTCCACCTCCTGGGTTCAAGTGATTCTCCTGCCTCAGCCTCCTGAGTAGCTGGGATTACAGGCACTTGCCACCACACCCGGCTAATTTTTGTATTTTTAGTAGAGATGGAGTTTCACCATGTTGGCCAGGCTGGTCTCAAACTCCTGACCTCAAGTGATCCACCCACCTTGGCCACCTAAAGTGCCAGGGTTACAGGTGTGAGCCACTGTGCCTGCCCTCACGTAGGTTTTTAACCAGGAGCTTGACTCCTCACTATTCTCTCCAGAGACTTCTTCACATGACAGTGCACCCAGAGAAGAAAATGGTGCTATTAAAACGAGGGATCATGAAACAGTTCTCATAAATTTCAAGCACAAACACAAAATTAAATGGGAAGATACCTGAACGAACCTATAAATTCATTGCAGTAGCACTATTCACAATAGCAAAGACATGGAATCAACCCAAATGCCCATCAGTGATAGACTGGATAAGGAAAATATGGCACATATACACCGTGGAATACTAGGCAGCCATAAAAGGAGCAAGATTATGTCCTTTGCAGGGACATGAATGGAGCTGGAAGCCATCATCCTCAGTAAACTAACACAGGAACAGAAAACCAAACATGGCATGTTTTCCCTTAGAAGTGGGAGCTGAACAATGAGAACACATGGACACAGCGAGGGGAACAACACACAATGGAGTCTGTTGGGAGGGTCAGGGGGAGGGAGAGCATCAGGATAAATAGCTAATGCATGCGGGGCTTAATACCTAGGTGATGGGTTGGTGGGTGCAGCAAACCACCATGACACACATTTACCTGTGTAACAAACCTGCACATCCTGCACATGTATCCTGGAACTTAAAATAAAATAAAATTTAATTAAATAAATCATTGCAGTCCAAATGAAATCCCAGCAGGATATTTGTGGAACTCAACAAGAAGATTCTAAAGTGTATCTGGAAGAGATACATTTATGAACTGGCAATTAAATTTAGTGGGTCTTAGGAGACTAAGTTTTGCAGGTGGAAGGGAAATTCAGTTTTCACAGATCACTTTGTAGCATCTGACTTATTTTTTGTGTGTTTCCACTGCATGTATTAAAACTTCTTTAAAATAGACATTTTTTAGAGATAGAGTCTCGCTCTGTTACCCAGGCTGGAGTGTGGTGGTGTGATCATGGTTCACTGCAGCCTCGAACTCCGGGGCTCAAGAGATCGTCTCGCCTCAGACTCCCCAGTAACTGGGACCACAGGTGCGCCACCATGCTTGGATAATGTTTTTAATTTTCTTTAGAGACAGGGTTTTGCTATGTTGCCCAGGCTGGTCTTGAGTTCCTGGGCTCAAGCGATGCTCCCACCTAAGCCTCCCAAAGTGTTGGGATTGCAGGCGTGAACCACTGTGCCTGGACAATAGACTTTATTTTTTAGAGCCGTTTTAGTGTCACAGCAAAATTGATCAGGGAACACAGAGTTCCTGTACACCCTTACTCCGCCCTCCTAACACACAAGCCTCTTGAGTATCAACATCCCTTACCAGAGTGGCACATTTGTTAAAATGAATGAACCCGCATTGACACATTATTATCGCTCACGGTACATAGTTCATATTAGAGTCCATTCTTGGTGTTGTACATTCTATGGCTTTGGACAAATGTATAATGACATGTGTCTACTATTATAGTATCATACAAAATAGCTTCACTGCCATAAATCTTCTATAATCTCCACCTACTCATCCTTCCCTTCCCTCTATCTCCTGGAAACCACTGATATTTTTTACTGTCTCCATAGGCCTTGCCTTGCCTTGCCTTGCCCTGCCCTGCCCTGCCCTTCCTTTCTCTTTCTTTCTTTTCTTTCTTTCTTTCTTTCTTTCTCTTTCTTTCTTTTTCTTTCTTTCTCTCTTTCTCTTTCTTTCTTTCTCTCTCTCTTTCTTTCTTTCTTTCTCTCTCTTTCTTTCTTTCTTTTCTTCTTTCTTTCTTTCTTCTCTCTTTCTTTCTCTCTTTCTTTCTCTCTCTCTTTCTTCCTTTCTTTCTTTCTTTTTTCTTTCTTTCTTCTTCCTTTCTCTCTCTCTTTCTCTCTTTCTCTCTCTCTCTCTCTTTCTCTCTCTTTCTTTCTTTCTTTATTTCTCTCTCTCTCTCTTTTTCTTTCTTTCTTTCCTTCTTTCTTTGGTCTCCCTCTGTCATCCAGGCTGGAGTGCAGTGGCACAATCATGGCTCACTGTAACCTCTGCCTCCTGGACTCAGGCAGTCCTTCCACCTCAGCCTCCTGAGTAGCTGGGACTACAGGCATGTACCGCATTGCCTGGCTAATTTTTGTATATATATATATTTTTTTTTGTAGAGACAGTTCTCACCATGTTGCCCAGGCTGGTCCCTTTCAAGAATATTGTATAGTTGGAATAATACAATATGTAGCATTTTCAGATTGGCTTCTTTCACTTTGTAATATGCATTTAAGCTCCTTCATGTCTTTTCATGACTTCGTGGTTGATTTCTATTCATGCTGAATATATTCCATTGTTTGCACATATCACAGTTTAATTACCCATTCAGCTACTGAAGGACGTCTTGATTGCCTCCAAGTTTGGTCAATTATAAATAAAGCTGCTGTGAACATCAGTATGCTGCTATAAACAGTGTGTGGGCATATGTTTTCAACTCCTTTGGGTAAACAGTAAGGGGCACATATCCTGAATTGTATGGCAAGAGTATGTTTAGTTGTGTAAGAAACTGCCAAACTGTCTTTCAAAGTGACTGTGCCATTTTGCATTCTCGGCGGCAATGATGAAAGTTGCTGCTGTTCCACCTTCTCACCAGCATTTGGTGCTGTAAGTTTTCTGAATTTTGACCACTTTAATATGCGTGTGCTGATACTTCATTGTTGTTTTAATTTGCATTTCCCTGATGATATAGGATGTGGAGCATCTTCTCCTAAGCTCACCTGCCATCCACATACCTTCTTTGAGGAGGTGTCTGGTCAGACCTCTTGCCTATTTTTGAATTGGGTTGCCCATTTTCTTATTGTTGAGCTTTAAGTGTTCTTTGTATGTTTTGGATAACAGTACTTTATCAGACATGTCTTTTGCAAATATTTTTTTCACTGTCTGTGGCTTCTCTTTTTATCCTCTTACCAGTGTCTTTTGCAGAGCAGAATTTTTGTTTTGTTTTGTTTTAGTTGTTTTTCTTGTGGCAGAGTCTCACTCTGTTGCCCAGGCTGGAGTGCAGCTATGCGATCTCTGCTCACTGCAACCTCCACCTCCCGGGTTCAAGTGATTCTCCTGCCTCAGCCTCCCAAGTAGCTGGGATTACAGGTGTGTGCCACCATACCTGGCTAATTTTTTTGTATCTTTGGTAGAGATGGGGTTTCACCATGTTGGGCAGGCTAGTCTCTAACTCCTGATCTCAGGTGATCTGCCTGCCTCAGCCTCCCAAAGTCCTGGGATTACAGGCATGAGCCACCACACCCAGCCTTCAGAACAGAAATTTTTGACGTTGATGAAGTCTAGCTTATCATTTTTTCTTTTATAAATTATGCCTTTGGTGTCATATCTAAAAATTTATTGCCAAACCCAAGATCATCTAGATTCTCTATGTTATTTCCTAAGAGTTTTATAATCTTATGTTTTACATTTAGATCTATGATCCATTTAAATTTTTAAATTATTTTATATATTTATATATTTATTTAGTTTTTATTTTCATTCATTTATTTATTTATTTTTGAGAGATGGTCTCACTCATGTCGCCCAGGCTGGAGTGCAGTGGCACGATCTTGGCTCACCACAGGCTCAACTTCCTGAGCTCAGGTGAGCCTTCTGAGTAGCAGGGACTATAGGCAAGCACCACCACGACTGGCTAATTTTTCATATTTTTAGTAGAGACGGGGTTTCGCCAGGTTGCCCAGGCTGGTCTCAAACTCCTGGGCTCAAGCGATCCGCACGCCTCGGCCTCCCAAAGTGCTAGGATTTCAGGCTTGAGCCACCTTGCCCAGCCCTATGGTCCATTTTGAATAAACATTTGTGAAGGGTGTAAGATCTCTGTCTAGATTTTCTTTTGTGTGTGGATGTCCAGTTGTTCTAGCACCATTTCTTTTTTTTTGAAAAGAAAAGACTAATTTTCTCCATCATGTTGCCTTCTCACCTTTGCCAAACATCAGTTGACTGTATTTACGTTGATCTATTTCTGGGCCCTCTATTCTGTTCTATGGGCCTGTTTGTCTTTTCTTTCACTGATATGACATTTTCTTGATTACTGTAGCTTTATGGTAAGTCTCGAGGTTGGATAGTGTCAGCCCTCCAACTTTGTTTTAATCTTTCAATATTGTGTTGGCTATTCTGGGTCTTTTGCCCCTGCACATAAACTGTAGGATCAAGTTGTTGATATTCACAAAATAACTGTCTAGGATTTTTTTTTATTATACTTTAAGTTTTAGGGTACATGTGCACAACGTGCAGGTCAGTTACATATGTATACATGTGCCATGCTGGTGTGCTGCACCCATTAACTCGTCATTTAACATTAGGCATATCTCCTAATGCTATCCCTCCCCCCTCCACCCACCCCACAACAGGCCCCGATGTGTGATGTTCCCCTTCCTGTGTCCATGTCTTCTCATTGTTCAATTCCCTCCTATGAGTGAGAACATGCGGTGTTTGGTTTTTTGTCCTTGCGATAGTTTGCTGAGAATGATGGTTTCCAGCTTCATCCATGTTCCTACAGAGGACATGAACTCATCATTTTTTTATGGCCGCATAGTATTCCATGGTGTATATGTGCCACATTTTCTTAATCAAGTCTATCATTGTTGGACATTTGGCTTGGTTCCAAGTCTTTGCTATTGTGAATAGTGCTGCAATAAACATAGATGTGCATGAGTCTTTATAGCAGCATGATTTATAATCCTTTGGGTATATACCCAGTAATGGGATGGCTGGGTCAAATGGTGTTTCTAGTTCTAGATCCCTAAGGAATCGCCACACTGACTTCCACAATGGTTGAACTAGTTTATACTCCCACCAACAGTGTAAAAGTGTTCCTGTTTCTCCACATCCTCTCCAGCACCTGTTGTTTCCTGACTTTTTAATGATCGCCATTCTAACTGGTGTGAGATGGTATCTCATTGTGGTTTTGATTTGCATTTCTCTGATGGCCAGTGATGATGAGCATTTTTTCATGTGTCTGTTGGCTGCATAAATGTCTTCTTTTGAGAAATGTCTGTTCATATCCTTCGCCCACTTGTTGATGGAGTTGTTTGATTTTTTCTTGTAAATTTGTTTAAGTTCTTTGTAGATTCTGCATATTAGCCCTTTGTCAGATGGGTAGATTGTAAAAATTTTCTCCCATTCTGTAGGTTGCCTGTTCACTCTGATGGTAGTTTCTTTTGCTGTGCAGAAGCTCTTTAGTTTAATTAGATCCCATTTGTCAATTTTGGCTTTTGTTGCCATTGCTTTTGGTGTTTTAGACATGAAGTCCTTGCCTATGCCTATGTCCTGAATGGTATTGCCTAGGTTTTCTTCTAGGGTTTTTATGGTTTTAGGTCTAACGTTTAAGTCTTTAATCCATCTTGAATTAATTTTTGTATAAGGTGTAAGGAAGGGATCCAGTTTCAGCTTTCTACATATGGCTAGCCAGTTTTCCCAGCACCATTTATTAAATAGGGAATCATTTCCCCATTTCACAAACCTGTCTAGGATTTTTATTGAGATTGCTTTGAATCTATAGATCAAGTTGGGAAGAACTGACATCTTGAAAACATTGAGTTTTCCTAATCATGAATGTGGAATATCTCTCTATTCATTTAGTTCTTTGATTTTTTTCATCAGTTTTGTCCTTTTTCTCCTATAGATATTGTACATATTTTGTTAGATTCATACATCTGTAATTCAATTTTCAGGGTACCAGTGTCAATGGTATTGTGGTTTTGATTTCAAATTCCACTTGTTCATTGCTATATAGAAAAGTGATTGACTTTTATGTATTAACCTTATATCCTGCAAACTTTCATAAAGACTTATAAATTCTAGTTTTTTTTGTTGTTGTTGATTCTTTTGACTTTTCTGCATAGATAATCATGGCTTCTGCAAACAAAGACAGTTTTGTCTCTTCCTTTACAATCTGCGTACTTTTTTTTTTTTTTTGAGATGGAGTTTGCTCTTGTTGCCCAGGCTGGAGTGCAATGGTGTGACCTTGGCTCACCGCAACCTCTGCCTCCCGGGTTCAAGCGATTCTCTTGCCTCAGCCTCCCAAGTAGCTGGGATTACAGGTGCATGCCACCATGCCCGACTAATTTTTGTATTTTTAGTTGAGGCTGGGTTTCATCATATTGGACAGGCTGGTCTCGAACTCCTGACCTCACATGATCTGCCTGCCTCAGCCTCCTAAAGCGCTGGGATCACAAGCGTGAGCCACCACCCCCAGCCACAATCTGAGTACTTTTAATTTTCTCCTATTATCTTATTGCATTAACTGTGACTTCCAGTACAATGTTGAACAGCAATGGTAAGAGAGGACATCCTTACCTTACTGCTGATCTTGGCGGAAAAGCTTCTAGCTTCTCACCGTTAAGTATGATGTTAGCTGTAGGGTACTTTTGCATATTCTTTATCAAGTTGAGGAAGCTCCCTTCCAATCCTATTTTACTGAGCATTAAGAAAGCCACGAATTGGTGTTTAATTTTTTTATCAAATGCTCTTTCCGCATCCATTGTTATGATTAGATAATTTTTTCTTTAGCCTGTTGATATGATGGTTTACATTAACTGATTATAAATATTCAAACAATCTTATGCCCCTGGGATAAATGCCATTTGGTTGTGGTGTGCAGTTGTTTTTATACACTGTTGGATTCAATTTGCTAATATTTTATTGAGATATCTATGTTCATCAGAAATATTGGTCAGTATCGTTTCCTCTTATTTCCTTTCTTCCTCCGCCCCTCCCTCCCTCCCTCCCTTCCTTTCCTCTTCCCTCCCTCCATTTCCCCCTTACCTCTTT
Organism: Homo sapiens; assembly: GCF_000001405.40. Lineage (NCBI taxonomy): Eukaryota > Metazoa > Chordata > Mammalia > Primates > Hominidae > Homo > Homo sapiens. The sequence goes on along the minus strand of NC_000019.10, from coordinate 15,967,229 downwards.
TCTTCCTCCCTTCCTTTTTTTCTTTATTTTCTGGTAATGTTTTTGCCTGCTTTAGTAGTTAGCGCAGTGCTGGTCTCATAGAAACAGTTGAGAAATATTTTCTCTGCTTTCGTCTTCCAAAAGAGATAGTAGAAAATTAGCATACTTTCTTTCTTGTATGTTTCGTGGAATTTATCAGTGAAATCAATCTGGGCTTGAGGCTTTCTGTTCTGGAAGGTTGTTTATTAATTACTTATTGATTCATTTCTCTTTTTAAAATTAGTATTCTCCTACTATATTTGAGCTGTCAGAACAAAATACTAGAGAGAAATATTTTTGTGACATGGAAACAGATTGTGACATGGAAACAATTTTCAATAATTGTAGGCCTATTCAGATTGTCTGTCACATTTTTTTTCTTTTTTTTCTTTTTTTTCTTTTGAGACAGGGTCTCACTTTTTTCCCCTAGGCTGGAGTGCAGTGGCACAATCTCGGCTCACTGCAACCTCCACCTCCGGGGTTCAAGTGATTCCCCTGCTTCAGCCTCCTGAGTACCTGGGATGAAAGGCGCACACCACCATACCTGGCTAATTTTTGTATTTTCAGTAGAGACGGGGTTTCATCATGTCGGCTAGGCTGGTCTATAACTCCTGACCTCATGTGATCCACCTGCCTAGGCCCCCCAAAGTGCTGGGATTACAGGCATGAGCCACTGCACCAAACCTAGGAATATTTTTATGATATGGAAACAGATCAATGTTCAGCAATTGTAGGCCCATTTAGATGGTATATCACACTTTATTTCTTTATTCTTTTCTTTCTCCTTCCTCAAATATTTTGGATAGATCAAAGGTGAATGATAGTGTATAAATATGATCCAACATTATGTAGCTGATAAAAATTATGAGAAACACAAGGTCTATATCAGTTGTTTACATATTTAAATGATAAGCATGTAAAATATTTATGTAATAAGTATAAAGGTCAAAGGACATTATGAAAAATATAGTTAGGTAAATTGCACAGGTGTTTAAAGAGATTACTTTTTTAAGGTTAGTCAGGCAGAGTGGCATACAGGAAAGAAAACTAATTTTATTTTATTTTTATTATTTTTTGAGACAGGGCCTCACTCTGTCACTGAACTCCAGGCTGGAGTTCTGTGGCACAATCAGGGCCTCAAACTCCTGGGCTCAAGTGAGCCCCCAACCTCAGCCTCCCGAGTAGCTGGGACTACAGGCATGCACCACCACACCAGGCTAATTCTTAATTCTTGTTTTTTTTTTTGAGACGGAGTCTCACTCTGTAGCCCATGCTGGAGTGCAGTGGCTTGATCTCAGCTCACTGCAACCTCTGCCTCCTGGGCTCAAGCGATTGTCGTGCCTCAGCCTCCGGAGTAGCTGGGACTACAGGCATGCACCATCACGCCTGGCTAATTTTTTGTATTTTAGTAGAGATGGGGTTTCACCATGTCGCCCAGGATGGCCTGGAACTCCTGTGCTCAGGTGATCTGCCCGCCTCAGCCTCCCAAAGTGTTGGGGTTACAGGCGTGAGCCACTGCGCCTAGCCTCGGCTAATTCTTTAATTTTTTGTAGCGTCGAAGTCCCACTGTGTTGCCCAGGCCATTCTAGAACTCCTAGGCTCAAGCGATCTTCCCACCTTGACCTCCCAAGGTGCTGGATTACAGAAGTGAGCTACCACCTTCGGCCCAAGAAAAGTAATTTTAAACCCAGTGACATTATATTTCAAATGCCAGCAGAACCACTTACTAGCTTTGGAATCTCGAAAAAGGGCTTTAAAGCTCTGAGGGTCCTAGCACTGTAATAATTACAGAAAAAATTCTGATTACAGGATTCGGAAGTAGAAACCACTCAATAATAGCGATTCTCTCCTCTCTTCTTGTTGAATTAAATTCCTAATTTCTAAATGTAAATGAAAGTAAATAAAAGCATTGGGGAACTACCTTACCCTGTAGTGTTAAAGGAGAAGATTCTCAAGCACAACTTGCCTAAGTTGAAATAGCCACAGCTCCATCTAGAAAGAAGATGTGAGATTTTGGATGCTACATTGACCAGAAACCTAGCATGAACCACATGTGCTGGCAGCAGTCCAGGGAGTATCCATGACCATGGACAGAAAATCATGGTTGGAGAGGAAGCTTGCTGCTCAATCCGTTTTGTGCCCCTCTGCCTGAGTTCTCTCCCCCACCATTTTATTTGATGACAAGCTATCTAGATAATGTTCTCCCTGGACTGAGCCAGGAAGGAAATGTGTGAGATTTGATGGAGGCAGTTTTCTTTTAAGAACTAGTGGAGAATATTTGTGTAGAGTTGTGTAAAGTGGAGAATATTTGTGTAAATCTGGGCAGCCCAGGCTGGGCACGGTGGCTCATGCCTGTAACCCCAGCACTTTGGGAGGCTGAGGAGGGCGGATTGCGTGAGCTCGGGAGTTTGAAACCAGCCTGGGCAACACGGTGAAACCCCGTCTCTACTAAAAATACAAAACAATTAGCTGGGCATGGTGGTGTACGCCTGTAGTCCCAGCTACTCGGGAGGCTGAGGCAGGAGAATTGCTTGAACCCAGGAGGCAGAGGTTGCAGTGAGCCAAGATTGTGCCAGCCTGGGTGACAGAGCGAGACTCCAGCTCCAAAAATAAATAAATAAATAAATAAATAAATAAATCTGGGCAGCCCAGAGCAGAGTGAGCTGAAGACTGGTCTGAGGGCAGGTATGGGGCTGGAAGTCTCCACACAACCTCATAGTCCTGGGGTCCAACCCTCCACCCAGGCCATGGGAGCAGGTGAGGTAAGAGTTGGGCAGGGTAGACCTTTAATCCACTCTGATAGGCTGGAGTGTGGGCTTATGGTGCTTCTCCTTTGACATGATTAGCCTCCACTCCCAGTGTATCTCTGTGCAGAAGGCTCAGCGAGATATATCAGACATTGTAAATCCTCAGCATAAATAATACTTCAACCTAGAATCCAGAGTCCAGGCAGGGAGAGGAGAGGTCAACATGTAGATATCTTCTCCCTTATCAGGACAGAACTCAACATCAGAAAGTTCACCCCCAGTGGGCCAGAGAGTGAACCAGAAAACCCCGAGGTCAGGGCGTGTCCGTTGGTGGGTACTTCTCTGCTACCAGACCTCCTTTGAATTAATTTCTCCCCAGAATGATGGGATCAAACATTAAATCCCTGGAGTTCATCGCCTGACGGTGACCCTGACTCTGTTTGTAGTGGTCACTTTTCTCGGCATTGTTCTGATAAAAGAGCCGGGGCTGGCCTGGTGTGGTCTGGGGTGATTGGAGTGACCCAAGATCCCCAGTTCCCATCTCGCAAATGAAGGACCCCACAGAGTCAGGGCAGAGATGAAAAAGAAGGGATAGCCAGGGCCTTGGAGTAGCTCGACTGCTGTGGGGATGGCAAGGGATGCAGAGGGGGCTGTGTCCTCTTTTTTGTCCCCAGCCTTGGAGACACCTCATGTGTTTCATCAGGTGAACTTGGAGCAAGACTCAATGGCAAGTGACCCCTTACAAACAGCCAGTGGTGAACATGACGAGAACATCAGGGTCTGGTGGCAGGGTGGCTTTGTGGTAAGAACTCAGGCTCTGGGGTCAGGCAGAGCTGATTCAAGTCCTAGCTCTGCATCTTCCAAGATGTACATCCCTGGGTGAGAGCCACAACCTCATCCAGCCTCAGTGTCATCATTTTCACCATGAATCCACCTCAGAGGCTGCTGTAAGCAATTAATGAGATGGCGAGAGGATGTTATTTAGCAGAAGTGGCACATGGTAACTTCTAAGAGAAAGGGCATCAGGTGTGTGTAGGATGCAGTGTGGGCTTGGGGAGGGGGTCGAGAGAGTATCGAGAGAGGATAAAGGGAGGGGAGGAGAATTTCCAGAAATAGAGGAAGCAGCTCTTTTTCAAGAGCAGCCCACAGTGATGGCATCCTCCTGTAGTCCCAGCTACTCAGGAGGCTAAGGTGGGAGGACTGCTTGAGCCTGGGAGGTCAAGGCTGCAGTGAGCCACGATTGCACCACTGCACTCCAGCCTGGTGACAGAACAAGACCCTGTCTCAAAATTTTTTTTTTTAAAAGAGTAGCCCACAGGCCCACAGAGCTAAGCCCCATCCCAGACACTGGCTGCATGGCCCTTCTCTCCCTCTGAGATTGTCCTGACCACCCTCCAGACCCCCGGAGTCAGCCACCACCATGTAGCTGAGCTCACCGGGGGAGCTTCTGGAGTTCTGAATTGGGGGATACTAGTGGGCCTGCTGTCAGGGGTGAGTAGAGCTGGTCCTGGGGGCAGTGTGCAGTGGGAGCTGGACAAATCCTCTGATCCTTGGGGACTGAAACAGGAGCTAGAAAAAAGCTGGGTTGAACCACAGATCCTGGAGGGTTTCTGGGTTCTGAGAACCCTGGAGTGGGGTTGGGGGCTGGGGATTGCACATTTGACCTCATCCTCCACCCACTATCCTCTAAGAAGCTGATATAGCTGCAGGAAGAGCTGAGTGGCGAAAGTGAGCACAAGCTGGGGACTCAGTGGACACCTCCCGAGGACTCCTGGCCACCCCTGCCAGTCCCTGATAGCTCTTCTTTTGAATCTCCCAGTGACCCAGGAACAGGCTGATGTGAAGCACAACCCGGACTTCATCCTGTGCCAGGTGTTCTGGGAATTGAGAGGAGGGTGCAGGGGGTGTAGAGGCTCCTCCCTCTTCAGCACCAGGGACAGCGACCGCCTTGAGACTCCTTGGCCTCTGTGGCTGCAGGAGCGCCTGCTTGCTCATGTGCATCCTGTAGATTCCTGCAGTTAAGAGTCCAAGGCCTGAGCGCTTTGCAGGGTCCCACAGAGTGGGGGCTTGGGAGAAGCACTGATTGTCAAAAGAGAAAGAAAATCCTCCACACTTGAAATTAAATAAAGGTTTAATATATCCTAAGTTGAAAATTATTCACTTCAGAGTTCATCTATGCAAATATGATAAATATGAGTATATATATTTACTCACACTTCACCCTGTCTTAGAGAAAATATTGCAGACTATACCTGGTGTTGTGCATTTGGTTCTTATCCTTGGTATCATATCTTAACTCTCTTGACATGTGTGCACATAGCATTTTAAGATGTATGTTAAACAATCCCCCTCCTTATTGATTTTCCAACTGGTTATGTTTGATGCTTACTGCTTTAGAGTATTTACCTTTACGTGTTTTGTTAAGGCAGCGTGTGTGTGTACAAGCATGCACAGGCTCACACACACTGAACTCTCTGTGCTGAGGGGCATTCAAGCAGAGATTATTGGCTCTTGGGGATGCTGAAGCTGGGTGGTGCCCAGCACCCCAGAGCAGCTGACCTCTTCCCCAAGAATTCACCTGTGAGTCCTGCTCAATGCTTAGCAGTTGTTCTAGAGCTCCTGTTACTACTCCTCCATACACATATCTTTTGGATTTAGATGAAAGTCTCCCTGTGCCAAGGAGGGTTGTCACAAAGTTGCTGTCTACAGCCCAATGGTGAGGACAGGCTGAGCTTTTGTTTTTGTTTTGTTTTGTTTTGTTTTTTTGAGATGGAGTCTCACTCTGTTGCCCAGGCTGGAGTGCAGTGGCATGATCTCGGCTCACTGCAAGCTCTGCCTCTTGGGTTCACGCCATTCTCCTGCCTCAGCCTCCTGAGTAGCTGGGATTACAGGCACCCACCACCATGTCTGGCTAATTTTTTTTTGTATTTTTAGTAGAGATGGGGTTTCACCGTGTTAGCCAGGATGGTCTCGATCTCCTGACCTCATGATCTGCCCGTCTCAGCCTCCCAAAGTGCTGGGATTACAGGTGTGAGCCACTGCACCCAGCCAGGCTGAGCTTTTAAGGCCCTTCTCCAAGACAGTGCAAAGTCATGTCTCTGGCCCCTGCAGGATCCAGTTCAAATTCCATAGTGCAGCCTTCAGTCAGGGATTATCTCCCCCTCCCCACTGCCCTAGCACATAGATATATCCAATCATGCATTTTCATACTCCATACTTTTAGTGAGTTCAGTCCTTTTGCCTGGAATGCTATTTTCTTTGTCAGCCAAGAGAACTCCTATTGACCCTTTAAAACCCAGAGGAAACATTCCTTCCTCCACATCTTTTCATAATGTCCAGCTGATGTCTCCATCACAACTCTTCACATTGCACTGTGGTTGCCAGATCATGTATCTGGGACTGGATATGATCTATCTGGGTGTTCCTAGGGTCTAGGACAGTGATGGGAATACAGTAACAACTCAAAACATGCCTCCAGCATGGAGTTGAATGACAGAGCCTTTTCTACTGCCAAAGTCCAAATGCTCAAGCCTGGTGTTCGGCGTCCTGTAATAACATTCCTCCGTGCAGATGTTTTAAGCACATAGCAGGTGGCACATACAGTATTGATATGAACACAACCAACTCTCCCTAGTAGGGAAAGTGCCATTATTATCCCTAGTTTGTCAATGAGGAAACCTAGATTCAGAGGTTTGGGTCTGCTATAAACTGAAGATTTTTGTACCTCCAAAATCCATATGTTGAAATCCTTACATTCCATGTGATGGTTTTAGAAGGAGGGGGGCATAGAGTGGTGATAAGGTTATGAGGGCAGAGTTCTCACGAATGGGACTGGTGTACTTATAAAGGAGGCCCAGAGAGCTGATTCCCCACTTCCACCATGTGAGGACACAGGCATGAAACAGCCTTCTGGAACCAGGAAGTGGGCTGTCACCAGGCACCAGATCAGCCACAGTCCTGATCTTGGACTTCTCAGCCTGCAGAACTATGGGAAATAAATTCAGTTGTTTACAAATCACCCAGTCTACAGTATTTTGTGATAGTTGTTCAAACAGACCAAGACAGACTCATAGCTCCCTGAGGTCAATGGCATGTTGGTGATAAGGCTAGACACCAAACCAAGGGCTCTAAAGAAAACATCGGCTGGAAGGTCTCATTGGTGTTACAGAGCAATGATGTCAAAACCTTTGGAGGAGAGGCCATCTTTGAGACATGGCTGAGCATGTGGCTCAGAGTCTGACAATAATCTGGTGGTTATATCAGGGGTCAGCAGCTGAGGGTGCACAGGGGAAATGACTCCTGCTACCATACCTGCCCTCTTTGGATGCTGTGGACCAGAGACAGCGCCTGATAATAAACACACAGGATTGGAAACACAGGTCCCCACATACCTCAGGCCCTCAGGTGGTGGATCTTGAACCATTTGAAACCCAGAGCCTGTAACTCCTCCTGGGTCCAAGATGAATGGACCCCAAAATAAACTCTTTTGCACTATTAACAAAATCCCAGGTGAATTCATAAAAAAAAATGCCATGACAAAGAAGCATAAGTAGAAGTCCAGAACAACTTAAGACATATGGTCAACCCCACATTTGGGGTTAATGATCAAGATTGCCTCAAAGGTTGGGCACAGTGGCTCATGCCTATAATCCCAGCACTTCGGGAGGCTGAGGTGGGTGGATCACTTGAGCCAAGGAATTCAAGACCAGTCTGGGCATCATGGTAAAACCCCACCTCTGCAAAAAAAATACAAAAAGTAGCTGGGTGTGGTGGTATGAGCCTATCTATAGTCTCAGCTACTCAGGAGACTGAGGCGGGAGGCTTGCTTGAGCCTGGGAGGTGAAGGCTGCAGTAAGCTGTGATTGCACCACTGCCCTTTAACCTGGGTGACAGAGCAAAATGCTATCTCAAAAATAAAATAAAATAAATGATTGCCTGAAAGGGAAGAACTGGGGATCAGGACTTGCTCTGCCAGGTTCCAGGCACCAAAGGGGACTTTGGACATTTTTTTGGGGGGAGCTATTTTCCTGTGGTTGGACTGACTGAGAATCAGTGTTGGCCTGGACTGCCCCACCTGGAGTCAATGAACATCCTGGCTGATTTCAGGTCCCAGAGAACCTCCTTCAAAGAAGACACTGAAGAGTGTGGGTCCCAGAGGTGCAGAGCCCAGTTAAGTGCCAATTTTGCTCGGTCTAAGGAAGGACCACACCCTTTAACAATATCTATAGCTGACATTATCCAGTGCTTATGAACTGCCAATCATCATGTCCTCATTAATATTATTATTTTCACTTTACAGATGAGGAAACTGAGTTTCAGAGGTTAGTTCACTTATCTGAGGACACATCACATGAGGAGTGGGTATGGGACTCAGACATTCTGAGAATTCTCTAGGAAGTATGAGAGATAATCAACCACAGATTCAAGAAGCTCAGAGAATTCCAAAAGGATAACTTCTTTTCTTTCTTTTTCCTTTTTCTTTTTTTTTTTCGAGATGGAGTCTCACTCTCTCTCCCAGGCTGGAGGGCAATGTCATGATCTTGGCTCACTGCAACCTCTGCCTCCCGGGTTCAAGCGATTCTCCTGCCTCAACCTCCTGAGTAGCTGGAATTACAGGCACATGCCACCAGGCTTGGCTGATTTTTGTATTTTTACTAGAGACAGGGTTTCGCCATGTTGGCTAGGCTCATCTCAACTCCTGACCTAAAGTGATCGACCCACCTCGGCCTCCCAAAGTGTTGGGATTACAGGCATGAGCCACCGCACCTGGCCTCCAAAGGGATAACTTCTAAAAAGTGCATATAGACAAACATGAACACAAATATATACATACACACACACAAAGCCCTAGACACACAGTAGTCAAAACTGCTGAAAACCAAAGAAAAAAGAAAAGTTATGATTGTAGCTAGGCTAAAAGACACAAAAATGATACAATCTATGAAATTTTCCCAGCAATGCGTTTGATCACTGAAAGGTTCTCTGCAAATATTAGCTCACTTTTCCTTGCTGCATCATATTCTGTCTTTAAATTTTGAAGTTATACATGAGTTATACATGAACAACTTTGACTGCATTCTCTGAGAAAGGAGTTGTAAGAACAACTCCTACGTTGTCATAACCACACCTTTATCTCTGACAAATATCTTTACAAATTCATGTAACAAGAAACCTGGAAGGGAAAATGCACCAGAGGCTGGGTGTGGTGGCTCACGCCTGTAATCCCAGCACTTTCGGAGGCTGAGGTTGGCAGATCACTTGAGCTCAGGAGTTCGAGACCAGCCTGGGCAACATGGCGAAACCCCGTTTCTACCAAAAGTACAAAAATTAGCCAGGCATGGCGACATGTGCCTGTAGTCCCAAATACCTGGGAGGCTTAGGTGGGAAGATCGCTTGAGCCTGGGAGATTGAGTCTGCAACGAGCCATGATCGTGCCACTGCACTCCAGCCTGGGTGCCAGAGTGAGACCCTATCAAAAAAAGAAAGAAAGAGAGAGAGAGAATGCAACAGGTATCTCCAGGCACATTCTTGGGGAAGCTACTTTCCCCAGCAATATGGAGGGGAACTAAATTTGTGGAGAAAACCTGTGAGAGGCAAAGTGCCTTCTCAATATCTGTGTCATCTCCCCATGACATGCATTGATAATAACAGCAGAGATATTGCTGAGCAAGAAGGGAAACATTTGGCAGTTTACACAGGGGTGGACCTTTCCTTTTCTTTTCTTTTTTTGAGACAGTCTCACTCTGTCACCCAGGCTGGAGTGCAGTGGTGTGATCTCAGCTCTCTGCAGCCCCAACCTCCCAGGCTCAAGCAATCCACCCACCTCAGCCTCCTAAGTAGCTGGGACTACAGGCATGCACCACCATGCGTGGGCTGTGTGTGTGTGTGTGTGTGTGTGTGTGTGTGTGTGTGTGTATTTCTTTTTCTTTCTTTTTTTTTTAGACGGAGTCTTGCTCTGATGCCCAGGCTGGAGTGCAGTGGCTTGATCTTGGCTCACTGCAACCTCTGCCTCCTGGGTTCAAGTGATTCTCCTGCCTCAGCCTCCCAAGCAGCTAGGATTACAGGCACCCGCCACCATGCCCAGCTAATTTTTTGTATTTTTAGTAGAGATGGGGTTTCACCATGTTGCCCAGGCTAGTTTCTAACTACTGAGCTCAAGCAATCCACCCACCCCAGCTTCCTGAGTAGTTATGACTAGATGTCTGTACCACCATGCCTGGGCTTTTTTTTTTTTTTTTTTTTGTATTTCTTTTTGTAGAGATGGGGTTTTGCCATGTTGGCCAGGCTAGTCTCTAACTACTGAGGTCAAGCAACTTGCCAGCCTTAGGTTCCCAAAATGCTGGGATTACAGGTGTGTACCACTGCACCAGGTCAGGGGGTGGACATTTTCTATTATAGAAAGGGTGTGTCTTCTTCAATAAAAACCATCCTTGCCCTTATTAGTTACTGCAGACTACAGATGACACCAGAAAATGAATATACAAAGTCAGACACACAGGTTCATAGAAACCCACACCCAAGGTTGCTGTTGATCTGTCTGTATGCCACAGCCCTGAATTCAGTGTGGGTTCATGTGGAGTGACCCCCAAATCAGTGCATCAGCCCCATCAGGCTGCCAAATCCCAGTTACTCCCATGAAAGCAATGCCATACCAGTGGGTCACAGGTGCAAAGCTCAGAGCTATCTGGGTCTTCTGGTCAACCTCGGGTGTGAGTTCAAATGTTAAAATTTCAAACATGGAAGATACAAGAAGTAGGGCTGGCCCTGGCAGTTGCCAGGCACCAGAGGGGACATTGACATTTTTGCAGTAGGGACTTTCCTACTTTTGCTGAGCAGCCAATGTGAGTAGAAGCATGGGAATCAGTGGTTACCTCCCTAAGGCTTCCAAAGCACTGCTTTTGGATCCTGACAGCAGGTCCAGGTGTCTGGAGGATGCTGCGAGGGTGAGAGGAGGGTGCAGGGGAAGGAAGGGGATCCATCTCCTTCAGCACCAGGGACATTGACTGCCCTGGGATTCCTTGGCCTCCTAGGCTGCAGGGAACTCTGGCTCAGGTGCATCCCACACACTCCTGCAGTAGAAAGTCCAATGACCAGGCACCTTGCAGGGTCCTACAGAGTGGAGACCGGGGAGGATTACTGGTTATACACACAGATGGAATAAATGTTGCAAGTGAAATATGTAAACATATAAATAGTTATACATACATAAACAAGTACATGTTAAGCTGAAAAGTTATTCATGCTAGAGTTTATTTATGCAAATATGACAAATAGAGGCATATGCATTTATGCACTCTCCACCTCATTTCTGTGAAAATGTTGCAGACATACCTGGTGTTCTGTACCTCACTCTCTTAGCATCGTATTTGCCTCCCTTGATATGTGTGCACGTAAAGGAAGACACATTTTAAACAACCCCCCTCCTCATCAATTTTATGACTGGTTACATAAGGCCCATTGCCATTCAGTATCTACCTTCTAATATTCTGTAAACGAATAGGGTGTCTGTGCGTGTGTGTGTGCTGAGCTCTCCATGCTGGGAGGCATCTAAGTAGAGACTGTCAGGGATGCCGTAGCTGGGCTGTGCAGAGCTTACGTCTTCATTGGATGGGAGGCTGGGCTCCATGGGTTGTCCAGTTCCCAGCCCCAGAATAGCTGATGTCCTTCCCCAAAATCCACCTATGAGTCTGCCTTAACATCTGGCAGGAGTTCAAGGTTTCCTGTTGTTCTCCATGGAAAACTCTTCTAGATTCAGGCCAAGGCTCCCTGTGTCCAGGAGGTTGCTCTCCTAGCCATTACCCACAGCCAAAGAGAGCAGGTGGTGAGGACAGGCTGGACCTTTAGGGCCCTTCTCTCAGACAGCGCAAGGCCATGTTTCTGCCCCCTGTGGGATCCAGATCAGACCCCATATCCAGCTTACACAGCAATCGCAGTAACAGCAGGAACAGTGAGTTGCACTTGCTGAGCCCTTAGTCTGCCTTGTGTATTTTGCATGCATTGTCTGTTTTAGTTATTACCATGACCTTGTGAGGCGGGTGCTGCTGAAACGCCCATTTATAGACGTGAAGGAGCACAGCCCGGTGGTGAGGGTGGCACAATGTGAGACTGGGTGGGTAGTCTGGGGGTGTACAGCCTGGCTCCACCAGCTGTGTGACTGTGGGTGGTCACTTAAATATCTCCCGGACTTAATTTCTCATTTGTAAAATGCAAAACAAGGTGGTTAATATACTTAAAAGACTTAAAACAGGTTCCGTGACTCATGTTGGCAAATGTCAATGGCCCTAGTAGGAAGGACTGCATCTCGTGGGTTGAGTGCCAGCTCAGCCACAATAAATACAATACCAGGTAGATTTCTAAAGTTTTTGATGCCAGTCCCTGGCACACAGTACTAATAATACCAGTCGCTAGCAACTCTGGACCCACGCAGGGCATGGGGCAACTCGCTGCCCTGAAGGGAAGGACACAAGTCCAGCTGGCTTCACCACCTGCTGACTGCGGAGTCCCAGGGCCTTGAGTGAACTTAGGCAGTAGCCAGGTAGTGGTCATAGGAGGTTTTGTGTGGGATCCAGTGCTCTGCTGGTTTTAGGTCTAACCCAGCACAGCTCCAGTGCTGATGGCCACAGAGGTGCTTGTGTCAGTGCTTCCCCAACTCCTGGAGGCTTAGAACAGAGTGAGAGCAACTATGTTTGTTTCTGAGAAAGTAAGGGGGAAAAAATAAGTGTCTCTGCCTGGTAATCCAGAGAATTCTCTTAAATGTCATCTAAGACCATCAAGGTGGTACCTTTATGAGTCTGCAAGAACCACAGTGTTATTGGGCTTGGGGTGCCCCCTAATGCAGATACAGCGTATTTTATACCACCTAAGTCTGAATACCTGGAAGCCTTCCTAAGAAAGATGGGTACAAACAAACCCAGACTGAGAAGATTACAATAAACACCTAATTCTTCAATGACCGGACACAGATGAATATCTAGAAGCATCAAGACCATCCAGGAAAACATGACCTCACCAAAGGAACTAAATAAGTCACCAGAGACCGATCCAGGAGATACAGAGACGTGACCTTTCAGCAGAGAATTCTAAATAGCCGTTTTCAGAAAACTCACAGAAATTCAAGATAACATAGAAAAAAATTCAGATTTCTATTAGATAAATTTAACAAAGAGACTGAAATAATTTAAAAGAATCAAACAGAAATTCTGGCATTGAAAAAATGAAATTGACGCACTGAAGAATACACGAGTCTTTTAATAGAAGAATTGATCAAGGACAAGAAAGAATTAGTGAGCTTGAAGAAAGGCTATTTGAAAATGCACAGTCAGAGGAGACAAAAGAAAAAAAAATTTTAAATGAAGCATGCCTACAGAATATAGAAAATAGCCTCAAAAGGGCAAATCTAAGAGTTATTGGTCTTAAAGAGAAGGTGTAGAGAGAGATTGGGGTAGAGTGTTTATTCAAAGGGATAATAACAAAGAACTTCTCAGACCTAAAGAAAGATATCAATATTCAAGTAAAAGAAGGTTACAGAACACCCAGCACATTTAACCCAAAGTAGACTACCACAAGGCATTTAATAATCAAACTCTAAAAGGTTAAGGTTAAAGAAAGGATCCTAAAAGCAGCAAGAGAAAAGAAACAACATAAAATAGAGCTCCAACACATCTGGCAGTGGACTTTTCAGTAGAAACCTTGCAGGCCAGGAGAGAGTGACAGGACATATTTAAAGTGCTGAAGGAAAAATCTTTTACCCTAGAATAGTAAATTCAGTGAAAATGTTCTTCAAAGATGAAAGAGAAATAAAGCCTTTCCAAGACAGTCCTTACTTATCAATCATAACATGGAATGTAAATAAACTAAACTCTTCAATCAAAAGACATAGAGTGGCTCCGTGGATTAAAAAATAAAAAAGACCCAATGATTTGTTGCCTTCAAGAAGCACATTTCACTTGTAAAAACATACTTAGTCCAAGAATGATGGGATAGAAAAAGACACATCATGTCAATGGAAGTTTAAAAAGCATGGGAGTACCTATATTTATATCACACAATATAGATGTCAAGACAAAAACTATAAAAAGAGACAAGAAGGTTGTTGTCTCTTGGACCTAATTGATATTTACAGGACATTTCCTCCAATGGCTGCAGAATATACATTCTTTTCCTCAGCACATAGATCATTCTCAAGGAAACACCAGATGTTTGATTACAAAACACGTCTGAAAACATTCAAAAAACTGAAATAATATCAAGCATCTTCTCTGATCACAGTGGCCTAAAATGGAAAGAAATAATACAAGAAAATTTGGAAACTATACAAACACATGGGAATTAAACAAAATGCTCCAGAATGACCAGTTGGTCCACAAAGAAATTGAGAAGGAAATTGAAAAATTTTATTAAGCAAATGATAATGGAACCCCAATATATCAAAACCTATGGGATACAGTGAGAGCTATAAACGTTCCTCTTATTGCTGCTCTCACTGTATTCCATAGGTTTTGGTAAGCCAGGCACAGAAATACAAACATCACATGTTCTCAAATATTTGTGGGATCTAAAAATCAAAACAGTTGAACTCATGAAGTTGCCAGAGGCTGGGAAGGGTAGTGATGGGTGATTGGGGGAGCAGGGGCAGATGGTTAATGAGTACAAAAAGTAGTTAGAATGAATAACATTTGATATTTGATAGCACAACAGGGTGACTATATTCAATAATAATGTAATTGTACATTTTAAAATAACTAAAAGTATAGCAGGATTGTTTTTAACACAAAAGATACATGCTTGAGGGGGTGGATACCCCATTTGCATGGTATGATTATTATTTATTGCATTCCTGTATGAAAACATCTCAAGTGACCCATAAATATATACACGTACTATATACACACAGACACAAAATATGTTTTTTAAAGTGGCAAAAGATATGAACAGACATTACTCAGAAGAAGACATAGAAAAAGCAAACAGGCATATTAAAAGATCCTGAACATCATTGATTTAGCAGAGAAATGGAAATCAAAACTACAATAAGAAATCATCTTATCCCAGTAAAAATGGCTTCTATCCAAAAGATAGGAAATAACAAATGCTGGTGAGGATGAGGAGAAAAGGGAACCCTTGTACACTGTTGTTGGGGATGTAAGTTAGTACCACCACTATGGAGAACAGTTTGGAAGTCCCTCAAGAAATGAAAAAAACAGCTACCATAACATCCAGTAATCCCACTGCTGGGTATATTCCCCAAAGAAAAGAAATCAGTGTATCAAAGAGATACCTGCTGTCCTATATTTATTCCAGCACTATTCACAATAGCCAAGATTTGGAAGCAATCAAAGTGTCCATCAACAGTTGAATAGATAAAGAAAATGTGGTACATATACATGATGGAGTACTATTCAGAATGAGATTCTGTCATTTGTAACCACATGGATGGAACTTGAGGACAATATATTCAGTAAAATACGCCAGACACAGAAAGACAAACTTTGCATGGTATCACTTATTTGTGGAAGCTAAGAATTAAAACAATTGAACTTATGAAGATAGAAAGTAGAATGGGTAACAGAGGCTGTTAAGGGTAGTTGGGGCTTCCGGGGGAAGTGGGAATGGTTATTGGGTACTAAAAAATAGTAGGAATGAAGATTAAGACCTAGTAATTGCTAGCATAACAGAGTGACTATAGTAAGAAACGATTTAGTTAATTATTAATTAAAACGCATCAATTAAAATACAGAGATTGTCACAGGGGGTCAAAAAAATAAGACTCAGATATAAGTTTTTTTTTTAACAAGAAAACCCTGTAAATATAAAGGCATATATAAGTGAAAAGTAAACAGATGGAGAAAGATATACCATAGCAACATGAGTCAAAAGAAAGTGGAAGAAAAAGGTAACAAAGTGGTTAACACTCACAACAGCTTGGCTCTTGGAAAAATTTTTGATTTATTTGTATAGAAAGTTCTGCTTCTGTAGCACTTTCATAGGACACATTTAATGCCATTTCCATCATTAACTATGTCACTTCATCATCTGTGACCATATGCCCAGAGGGTCTCTCACTGGTTGCTATGGTGCAACCATAGCAGACATGCAACGATGAGAAGCACACATGCGAGTCTTGCCCAGAGTATGCAGGATAAGGGAAAGGATAGTTTGTTTTTGTTTGGAGTTTTATAACATAAACAAAGAATAAAACTTCTTCCAACCATGTCACCTTTTGACTTTTTAAGGCCATGATCTCTGCTTTCCTAGAATGAAATCTCTTTCCATGTTGACCTTCACATTCCAGCAGCAGCAGGAAGCACAGGTGAATGGCACTATGAGTAGCATTAGAAGAGCAGTCACACTGTAAAAATAATATTCATTCCTCAGCTGGTGGAACCAATGGCCAGAAACAGAAAACCAGAAAATTGATACATCCATTGGAGGCAAGGAAGTACATATCTTAGAATGACACATTGAGACTGCAGAGCAACTGTGTCAAAAACGCTGGGATGAGACACGTGGCTATCTTATTAGGCTACCTTATTAGCCCTATTATTAGGACATATTAAAGCCCTATTACCAACCTCCTTTTTTCTATTTTGCCCCAAATTCTTAGTTATTACATTTCCTGTACAGATAAAAAATTTAAAGAACTCTCTTTTTACTTGACACCTGCTTTCTCTCTCTCCCTCTCTCTCTCTCTGTCTTTTGCTCTTTCTTCTGTCTCTGTATCTCTCTCTCTTTCTTCTGTCTCTGTCTCTGTATATATGTATACATATATATGTATACATATATATGTATATATGTATACATATGTATGTATATATATATATGTATATATGTATACATATGTATGTATATATATATGTATACATATATATGTATATATATATGTGTGTGTGTATATATGTATGTGTATATATATATATATCTCCTTCTTGCCCTCTCTCAACGTTTGCATTCTAACATCTTTCATTCAACTCAACATATTAATATCCACACACAAACTTAGGGTATATCTCTCCCAAAGACAGTGAGGAACTTTAAATAAGAAACCAGTTTATCTGAGGCAAATAGTTTATTTTCCTTTGTACATTTCTTCTAATTAAAAGGATAATATTTATAAAACACTGGACACAGTGCCAATACATAGAAAAAGCTCAGTGCTGGGTGGCATTTATGACTATCATGTTATTCTTGCTTTTTCTTACACTAGGGGAAAATAAAATCTTTTTTGCCTGTCCATTCAAGAAGAACTGTGTTCATAAGTGCCCAGACACATCCACGTGATGATCCCCACCTGTCCGTGGACAGAAAACACATTTCTAGGCACAGATAATGGGATAAAGGTCATCATAATGGCTCATAAAGAAAAGATTATGATCACTTGAGCTTAAGCAAAAAGGGAAGGGAAAACAATAGCTAGTATGTATCAAACACATATTTTCACATACCTGAACACTTACAACAGCCCTATGGAGATACACATTATTATATTTCATCACCACCAAACTGGCGCTCAGGAACTTGGAGGACAGAATTTTCTGTAAAAGTTTTTATTTATGGCATTCTTCAGCTCCTTGTTCCTTAGGCTGAAAATGATTGGGCTAAGGAAGGGGGTGAAGACAGTATAGGTGGTGGCCATCAAGGCGTCACTGTACATAGAATGGAGGCCCTTGGGCTTGAGGTAGATAAAGGAGGCAAAACTATAGTGCGTGACCACCACAGTGAGGTGGGATACACACGTAGAAAATGTCTTGTGCCGGCCTTCGGCAGAGGGAATCCTCAAGATGGCAGCCACAATGAAGACATAGGAGAGGATGATGAGGAATAAACAGCCTATCAGGGCTGTGACACACACCAGCATCACACCCATGATGACAGATGATGTCTTGTTTTCACAGGCCAACTTCAAGAGGGAAAGCACATGACAGAAAAAATGGTGGATCACATTAGACCCACAGAAAGTGAGGTGGAAAACTATCGTTGTCACCATCATCCCCATGACTGAGCCACCAGCCCAGGTACAGGCCACAAGATGGGCACAGTCACGGGGGCTCATGAGCACATTGTAACGCAGTGGGTGGCAGATGGCCACATAGCGATCATAGCCCATGACCAGGAGAAGGAAGGAGTGAGTGAAGCCAAACATGAAGGAGAAGAACATCTGGTTGGCACAAGCCACAAAGGTGATGGAATGATGGGTGGAAAGCAGATCAGCCAGCATGCGAGGGGTGATGGCAACAGTGAACAGAATCTCAGAGACGGAGAGGGTGCACAAGAAGAGGTACATGGGTGTGTGGAGTCTGTGTTCAATCCAGATTGTGGCCATGATGAGAAGGTTGCCCAGCAATGTGAACAGGAACATCAGGAGGTACAGCAGGAACAAGATGGGCAGGAGGTGCTGGGGGAAGGCTGAGAAGCCAAAGAGGTTAAATTCAGATATGATGCTATAGTTCTGACTAGGCATGGATACTGTATCTGGTGAGATCAGAAACAAAATTAAGTGACAGTGGTTAAAACATAGACTCTATCACAGACCAAATGGCAACTCAACAGCTCTATGCTATTCAACAACCAGCAGAATTTTCTGGGTCTCACTTTCCTCATCTGTAAAATGGAATAAATAATAATAGTTCTTAACATTCAGCAATGTGACAAAGATCAAATGAGATCACTATATTAGATGATCAAGTCAGATTTTGGCTACTAATTGGGTTTCTATTAACACTGACTAACATAAAGAAAAGGTTCAATACTTGGAGCCATTAGAGACCAGCATAGATGATCAGGGTCAGGTTCTCTTGATAATGTGCCAGTTCTAGAAAACATGTATTTTGATCTTGGGGTTTAAATCTTTTTTCCCTGGGAGTCTTTGTCTTTTAGTTGCTTATTTAACCCATTTACATTTATTTTAATACTGTTTTATTGGTACTCATTTATGCCATCTAATTTCAAATGGTGCATTTACTATTCTAAAAAAATTGAACAGAAAATTTGAAAAGAAATGGCTGGATACATACATGTCAGACAAATATGCACCAAATAAAAGCTGAGGTTGCAATCTTAATAATAATAAAAGGTGGAATCTAAGGAAACAGTGATCACAATGTCTTTAATACCATATGCCACTGCAGGGAACCAGAGTTCCTTGAGACATGGCAAATCTGTGATCTGGACATGGAAGAAAGCCTTGGATATCTTGTACCAGTGTGAAATGAAACCTTCACTAAGTAATGGGATAATATTAAAAGACTGCAAGTACTAGATTGAAAAGATGCCCACTAGTCAAAAAGAATAATCATTGTACAGAAGATGGAGGAATAAGCTAAATGACAATGTGAGGAAGCTTTCAGAAAAATTCAGAAGGTGGATAATTCCACAGAACAATTGGTCTGGTCTCATTGATAAAGGCTCATCCAAAAGATAAGAGAGATTCGGGGACATAGCAACTGGATGCAACATAGGGGACCAGTTGAATCTTCATTTCCATAACCAGCTGTAAGTATTTTTAAGGCAATGGAGAACATTTTGATTATAGTATGAATGAATGATTAGGTATGAGTAATATTAAAGCATTATTATTGATCTAATTACTAATTATTTAGAGACAGGTCTTGCTCTGTCCCCCAGGTTAGAGTAGGATCGTGATTCACTGCATCCCGGAACTCCTGGGCTCAAGCAATCCTCTGCCTCAGCCTCCTAAATAGCTGGGACTACAGTTGTGTGCCACCTCACCTGTCTAATTAAAAAAAAATTTTTTCCATAGAGACTGGGCCTCACATTCTTGCCCAAACTAGTCTCTAACTCCTGGCCTCAAGTGATCTTCCTATGTCATCCTCCCAAAGTGCTGGGATTACAGGCATGAGCCACCATGCCCAACTAATTATTTTTTAAAAGTGCAATCTGGTTATTTCGGCTGTGAAGAAAAATGTTGTTTCTTGATGCATGCTAAAATTTTGAAATCACACACGCTAAAGGATAGAGAATAATATTCATACCATTTAAAAGAACATTATAGCAATCAGCATAAATATAATGTCTACATTACTATATATCCTGGAATATTAAGGATAATAATCCTGGAATAATAACTAAATCAATGACAGATAGATATTATAGTTAGAAAGTTTAACAGAGTTCAGAAATGTAATTTATTAATTATTAATTGCAATGCAATTAATAATTACAATGCAATTAATAAATATTAGCTATTATATATTAGACTCTTCACCAGAGAATAAATATTTTTTCAAGCACATGGATACTTTTACAAAAACTGACATTTCATTAAGATATAAAAAATTCTTTAATTCCAAAGTATAAATGTTATTTAAATGATAATGCATTAACATTAAAAATTAATAGAGAAGAAATAGCTTTTCAAATCTCATATGCTTGGAAGCTAACTATATAATTGAATAATCTTCAGGTTCAACAGTAAATTATAAAAATTAAGAAAGCTTTAGAATTAAATGATTATTCAAATATTGAATGTCAACATTTTAACCTAAAATAGTACTTTGAGGGAAATACATGGCACTAAATAGATTTATCAAGAAACTGCCTCAAGAAAAGTTCATGCTTAATAAAGCCAAAATCACGCATGAGAAAAGATTGAGAAGATAGAGGGAAACAAGGAGAAGGTGCCAATAACAAAACTCCAAATTAAAAATGGTAAATAATTACAGAGAAAATGGATATGTTTAAATTAATAAGTTTTAAAAAATAATAAATTTACTTTGTAGATGAAATGACCAAATACTCAGAAAAATATAAAATTCTAAAACTGGTTCAAGAAAAATGGGGACCTTGTATGCTCAAATAAGCTTTAAATAAATTGAAATGGTAGTCAAAGATGGTCTTTCTCTAAAATCTTTGCCCCAGTGGGTTTTATTAAAGTTTAGCAATTATTATTATGTTAAGAAACAGTTAGTATCTTATACATGAGCTTCAAAAACATAGAAAAGTGTTAGGAAATCTGACCAGCACATCTCAGCAGGTTAATGCAATCTCAGTCTAAAATCAGGTAAGAATATTTGCTGAAAAAAGAGACAAATTGGCCAGGGGTGGTGGCTCACGCCTGTAATCCCAGCACTTTGGGAGGCTGAGGCGGGTGGATCACGGGAGTTCGTGACCAGCCTGAAAAACATGGAGAAACCCCATCTGTACTAACAATACAAAATTAGCCAGGTGTGGTGGTGCATGCCTGTAATCCTAGCTACTTGGGAGGCTGAAGCAGGAGAATCACTTCAACCCGGGAGGTGGAGGTTGTGGTGAGCTGAGATTGCACCATTGCACTCCAGCCTGGGCAACAAGAGCAAAATTCTGTCTCAAAAAATAAAAAGAAAGAAAAAAAAAAGAAAAAGAGACAACTATAGGCCTACTTCACCTATCCATGCAGATTTTAAATTCCAGAATAAAACCATAACCTAGTCAAATTTAATGGTATATTAAAAATGGTTTACCATAATAAAGTGGTATAGATTTATTTCACAAATGACAAGGATGGCTAACATCAGAAAACCTATCATATGATTTATCACAGGAGTTGATTAAAAAAGAAAAATCATGATTATTTCAATAAAGGCATAAATATGTTTTTCTTAAACTCTACTCCTATTTATGATTTTTAAAGAACACTTCACAACACAAAATTCAAGGAGATTTTCTTATCTAAATATAGAATATATAGCACAAAATTAGCAAATACTACATACACTAAATGAAGAAACTTTTTGATGCATTATTTTAGGATCAAGAAAAAGCCAAGGATACTCACTAACTCTGCTGTTCTTTAACATGGAGCTGAAAGTCGTGAGTGATGTTACAAGGCAAGAAAAAGAAACAAAGTATCTAAGGTATCTGAGGACTGGAAGCGAAGAGACGTGATCATCTACATATAAAAGATAAAAGAATGATGGTATAATCTATTGGAACAATAACAGAGCCCAGTGATGCAGAAGGCAAGGTCAGCTGGCAAAAATCCCAGTGATCCTCCTAGTGTCACACCAGTAACAAGCATTCAAGAAATAGAAGTTGAATACAGAGAAGGGGAAGATTCCCAACAGCAACACAAACTATTAGGTTGGTGCAAAAGTAGTTGCACTCTTTGCCATTATCTTTACATTTAATAGGAGAAAGTGTAGGATAATAACTTTGTAATCTAGGCACGAGGAAAGACTTCCTAAGCAAAATTTCAAATGCACAAAATATAAAGAAAAATATAAAGAAACATGTCTCAGGATTCCTTTACACACCCAAATTACTGAGCACTCTAAAGGGCTTTTGTTTATTGTGGCTTAGAACTATCATTGTTTTTTACCATATTGGAAATGAAAATTGAAAATCATTTAAAATATTAGTTATTAGTACATTTAAAAGAGCAATAATGAACCTATTGCATGCTAATATTGACAGAGCAGGAGCATCACTATCTTGGACAAGCCCCTCATTCTAAAATTCCCCTTAATAAAAAACCGCCTAAATCCAAAGGGTGTCAGGCTAATGGCTAAGGTCAGCACAACCATAAACCATAAATAACATCTCCAGCCAGAAATATTCCAAACTCCTCCCCAGTGAGAGACATGCTGGCCCCGAAATTTGCCTCCTCTGGCTGGGAAGATGCCAGCCTCAAGATCACTCCCACCCGGCCGGAAAGATGTCAGCCCCAAGATAACCTCCCCTCCTCCCAGAGACATTCCAACCCTGCCATAAAACTTCTCCCCCACACAGAAACATTCCAAGCTTGTGATAAGCCCCTCACCCTAAAACTAATATGTACTCTTAGTGTGTAAGAGAAACTTCTCCTGACTGAAATTGGCCAGAAGCCCCCCTCAGGTTTTATCTAAAGTAAACCTGTCTTTAACTGCCAAGCCATGTTTCGTGTTTCTTTCTTCTTTCTTTAACTCTTACAAATATAAGTAACATTTTCAGGCAAATAACCACATTAAGAAAAAACATTCCGTGAGAAGAGTAGCCTTGTTTGACGTTTTAGCAAAAACATCGTATGTCCTGGCTTGGCAGGAAACAGCTTGATGCTCACATTTCTTTCTTTATTCAGTCTGTGGCAATATGTGCCAGGCGCGGTGGCTCACACCTGTAATCCTAGGCTGAGGTGGGCAGATCACGAGGTCAGGAGATCAAGACCATCCTGGATAACATGGTGAAACCTCGTCTCTACTAAAAAAAAAATACAAAAAATTAGCCGGGTGTGGTGGTGGGAGCCTGTATGATGTCTTAGTTGAGGCATATGATGAAAATATATTCTAATATATAATTAGAAAAAATAAAGACTTCAGGGATCACCCTGCAGAGGTCCTCATATCATACTTTGAAAAATTCTACTATGAAATATCTAGGAATTAACCCAAAGCATCCCATACCTTCAAAGAGAAAAATTTTAAATCCATACTAATAAACATGTAGAAGATTATCTGAACATACGGGGAGCAGTTTACAGTCTTGGGTGGTATGGCTTGATGTATGAATGATGTCAATTCATACTCAAATTATAACCTCAATACAATTGTGTTTACAGTTCCAGTGAATCAACCATACATTTAATGAAACTATTTGAAAATTCCTTCAGAAAAATAAATGTCAGGCCAGTGTGGTGGCTTACACCTGTAATTCCAGCACTTTGGGAGGTTGAGGAGGCCAAGAGTTTGAGACCAGCCTGGCCAACAAGACAAAACCCTGTCTCTACCGAAAATACAAAAATTAGCCAGGCGTGGTGTTGGGCACCTGTAATCCCAGCTACTCAGGAGGCTAAGGCAGGAGAATCACTTGAAACCAAGAGGTGGAGGTTGCAATCAGTGGAGACGGCACCACTGCACTCCAGCCTGGGTGACAGACTAAGACTCTGTCTCAAATACATACATACATAAATGTTAGCACGAACCATACTAATATTATAAAAATGGAAACAAGAGAAGAGCTGTTCTCTCCCACATGCTGAGACACACAATAGCGTCATAGTCATTTTTAAAATTATGAAAGATGGAACAGACATAGATCTGAATAAGTTGATTGGAAATCTCAAAAAATATCCCTGCATTATTCAAAACCTAATATAGTACATGATAAATGTACTGGCACAAGTCAAGAGGAAAAGGTAGATTGTTTACTCATTGTAGTGAAAAAACTGCTCATTTTATGAAGCAAAGTAAATCTGATTTTCTGCCTAACAGCACATACAAAGGAGGAATCCAGCTGGATTCAAAAAATAAATACCAAATGTCAAAGTATAAATTTAGTAGAAGAAAGTATAGGAGAATAACTTTGTGAGCTAGGCTTGAGGAAAGACTTCCTAAACAAAATTTCAAAAGCACAAACATTAAGATGATTTTTAAAACATGAAAAAAATCAGCATTAAGGATTTCCATTCAACAAAGGGTTTCCAGGATGAAGTTAACAGGCAGATGGGAAATGGGGAAAAGATATTTGCATTGTCTAAAACCGACAGGAACACATCCAAGTAGTGTGGGGAATTTCTTAAAAACTGACAAGGGAATAACATAGAACAAACAAGAAACCGGTTATATCAAGAAGAAGGAGGTACCTTAACGCAAAAATGAGCAAAAGATGTGAGAAGATGATGCATAGGAGTTACTCAGGCAAATGAAAGAATGCTAAAAAAAAAGAAAGAAAAAGAAAAACAAAAAGGAAGAAAAGAAGAAAGGAAGGAAAGAATGGAGGGAAGGGGAAAATAAAAAACAGTAGTGGAATTTCACTGTATACCCCTGCAATTCCCAAAATTATAAAATGTCCAGGGTTGATTGGTCTATGAGGAGAAAGAAATACTTACACACTCTAGGCTGGGCATGGTGGCTCACGCCTATAATCCCAGCACTTTGGGAGGCCGAGGCAGAAGGATCACTTGAGGCCAGGAGTTTGAGACCAGCCTCGCCAACATGGCAAAACCGTGTTTCTACTAAAAATACAAAAATTAGCCAGGTGTGGTGGTGCGTGCCAGTAATCCCAGCTACTCCGAGGCTGAGGCACGAGAAATTCTTGAACCCAGGAGGTGGAGGCTGCAGTAAGTAGAGGTCACACCACAGCACTCCAGCCCGCTGGTGACAGAGGGAGACTCTGTCTCAAATAATAATAATAAAAGAAATACTTTTGCACTATTAGTGGGCAGGTAGAATGGTAGAAATTAAAATTTTTAATGGGATTCATGCTCTGTGTACCAGCAACCTTGCTACTGTGTATCTATCTTGACTTCTGAAACCTGTTTATAGGGGGTCATGTAAGAGAATGTTCCCTGCAGCAGTTATTTTAGTGGAGGTGTTGGATAAGCCTGCTTGTTCCTAATTGGAGAGAAGGCAGGTAAAATTATATAGAGGCAAACAACGGATATAGAGGAAAAAGGATATAGAGCTTTTGGCAGGAGTTAGATGCACACATAGTAATATAAGTCAACCTTTAAAATAATATTGAGTGAAAAAAACAAAAAACAGGATGAACTCTCTAGCATAATTCCATGTGGTCACATTAAAATATATGTACATGAAACTACTCTGAATGATACAGTAATAATGAATCCATGTCATTTGTCAAAATCCATATACACAATGCGAAGAGTATAACCTAATATAAACTATGGAATTTAATTAACAATAATTCATCAATATTGGTTCATCAGTTGGAACATGCATACCACAGGAATGCAAGATGTCAACAAAAGGAAAGACGACTCTAGAACTTGGTTAATAATGTGTCCATATTGGTTCATCGATTGTAGCACAGGTGCTACAGAAATGCAAGATGTCAGGAATAGGAGAGATGACCCCACATGCAGGGGTGAGGCCCCACATGCAGGGGTGAGGCGTATGTGAGAACTCTCTATACTTTCTGATCAATATTTCTATAAACTTAAAACTTCTCTAATAAAATTAAGCCCATTAATTTACCATTTTAAAATAGTCACATAAAAAATATGTGCAGATAGAATGCAATGTGTATCTTACAAAAGCATATACAAATCAAAAAGTGCATATTAAGTATGTGAAAACTCCTGTCAGAAAAGAATGGAAACAGTGAAAGAAAGGGGATAAACAAATGAAATAAGAAAAGGATCTTGCACAAACCAATGTCAATCAAAAGCCTCAAACAGGAAATATCACAGTCTGAATCCTCTGCACCTGAATTCTACCATAAAAGAAAACAAAAATATTTTTATGAATAATGTGAGCCATATTGCTACAAGAGTTTCTGAAATCCTTGGTTCTCGATGGACCCATCCATTATTACACCCCATAGTAGTCTCAATAGGACATTGTCCTCAAGTATCTGCCCTCCCAACCCCCACCATGCAGGAGGAGTCAGCCCGGCGCTTGGAGAACACAGAATCACCTGGACAATGAGGAACTTTACTGGACAACGTATCCCACATGAAAAGACCACGCTTATGACATGGAAGGAAAGTCTTCAGACCATGCAGCCTCCCTACCCAGAAACCATACTCCAGCGTCAGCCACCTTCCTCCCCCATCCCTCCCATTGCTGGGCAACCTCTCTTCTATTAAGCACTTCATCTGCTCCACTCCTCTCCATCCTCTCTCCTGGACTGCTGCCCCATCCTCCTCCTTATCTCCTCTCCTCTGCACACACTCCACTCTGGCTTCCAGAGAGAATTTTCTGAAATGTTTACAAGTTGTGGAGGCATCAGACCCAGGGTGGAAACCCCAGCTCTCACTGTGTGTCTTTGGAGAAAGGACTTTGCAGCTCTGAGGCTCCTCTCCCCAAGTGAAAAACAGGAGTAACCAGAGCACTGTGAGAGTCCACCTCGTAAAAGTCATTGTCATTGACTGATGATGATTTTGGTCTTCTGAGCTGGTTTGTTTGTATCATTCTGTACCAGATGTCACTCACTGACCCCATTCTAGATGCATGGTCTCCAACCCTAGCAGGGACCTTAGTATTCCTGGCAATGACACAACACAGTGTCTGATCCAACCAAGAGTCTGATCCAACCTTCCCCCTCTCCTCAAGCTCCTGCTTCACCCCTACATTCCACCATCCTGCCTCCTGCTTGCTGGAGCAGCCACAGCTCTCGAGGCTGCAGTCCCCCATCTCCTCTGACAGGTGGACAGAATTCTGCCTACTCTGGTATCACTGCGGATGGCTCACACACAGGTGCAGAGCAAACATCTCACAGCACTGGAATGCATCCAGCTCCATCCTACCTCTTGCAACCAGGTTAGCAAGGACACAACAGTGGAGACAAAATATACCTAGAACAGGGTTTCTCAATCTCAGCACTCGTGACATTTGGGACCGGATCATTCTTCATAGTGGGAGCTGTCCTGTGAATTGTCTGACATTTAGCGGCATCCTTTACCTCAATCCCTCAAATGCTAGTAGGAAAATCACCCCCTCCCCACAAGTCCTGACAACCAGAGTATCTCTGGACATGACCACATGTCTCCTGGGGGCCACAATCACATTCACTTGAGGACCGTTGACCTATAAGCTGCAATGGGTACCTGGGCTGGCTGAACAGCCAGGTGCTCTGTGTGGGAAAAACAGACCCCAGGCAGCCACCTAAGCCTGAGATCTCTCTCTTCCCTGTCTCCTCAGTTCTGCACCCCAACCGCCGGCTGGGCAGCTCCATCCACAACTCTCTGACTCTGCCCTTGTACCCATATCCTCTTGGTTCCCCTCCACCTGGGGCTGCCTTCAATCAAGTGGCCATAAGGCAAATGCAGAAAAAGCAGCCTTTTAAGGTGTTTTCAGGGGGTACCTGTAGGCAAGTGTAGGAGCCAGACAAAGGCCTCCTTAAACTGGTGCTGTGAGCTTTATTCCTGCAGTGGCCTTCCCAGCAGGTCATTCCCATGGGCCTCCCCAGGAAACCACCCTGGAAGGGCTGTCCTCTGGGTCTGGAGGGGCCAGGAGGAGCCTCAGGGGGCGTTCAGGAACCTGCAGCCTCCACCTCTTCCTCCAGCACACAAGGGCTCTCTGCCCAGGGAGGCTTTAGCTCCTGCAAAGGATGGGAAGATTCCAGTCTCAAAGGAGATAGGACTGGAGATAATTCTGGTTAAAGATTAATAAGGAAGGGACATACTGAGGCATAGCCGACATCCCCTCCCATCATAGCTGGGAACTCAGTTTTTAAGATTTCTTTTGGGTTTCCATGTTCAAGAGGGTTCAAGTGGTACTCCTGCCTCAGCCTCCTGAGTAGCTGGGATTGCAGATGCCCACCACCATGCCTAGATACTTTTTGTATTTTTAGTAATTTTTGTATTTTTAGTAGAGACAGGGTTTCATCACGTTGGCCAGGCTGTTCTCAAACTCCTGACCTCAGGTGATCCACCCACCTCGGCCTCTCACAGTGCTGGGATTACAGGCATGAGCCACCGTGCTCGGCCCATAAACTTCTATACTCTAAGCTTAAAAATTATTCATGCTAGAGTTTATTTATACAAATATGACAGATAGAAGTGTATGCATGTGTGCACTGTTCACCTAATTTCTGTGAAAATCTTGCAGACATACCTGCTGTTCTGTACCTCAATCCCTTAGCCTCATATCTTGCCTCCCTTGACATGTGTGTACATAGAGGAAGATGCATTTTAAATGATCCCCTTTCTCATTGATTTAGAACTGGTTGAGTTTGAGGCTCATTTCCGTAGAGTATCTACCCTCTAATATTCTGTAAAGCAGGGACCCCCAACCTCCAGGCAGCAGACTGGTACTGGTCTGTGGCCTGTTAGGGACTGTACCACACAGCAGAAGGTGAGCGGTGGGCAAATGAGCAAAACTTCTTCGGTATTTAGAGTCGCTCTACATCACTCGCATTACTGCCTGAGCTCAGTAATGCTCAGTCAGATCAGTAGCAGCATTAGATTCTCAAAGGAGTGCAAACCCTACTGTGAAATGCACATGCAGGGAATCTAGATTGTGTGCACCTTATGAAAATCTAATGCCTGATGATCTGTCACTGTCTCCCATCACCGCCACATGGGATCATCTAGTTGCAGGAAAACAAGCACAGGGCTCCCTGATTCTACATGACGGTGAGTTGTATAATTACCTCATAATATATTACAATGTAATAATAATAGAAATAAAGTGCACAATAAATGTGATGCACCTGAATCATCCTGAAACCATCTTTGCCTCTCCTCCCCCTGCTGCAACTTGTGGAAAAATTGTCTTCCACGAAACTGGTCCCTGGTGCCAAAAGGGTTGGGGACCACTGCTGTAAAGGCAGAGTGTGTGTGTGTGTGTGTGTGTGTGTGTGTGTGTGTGCTGAGGTCTCCATGTTGGGGGACATTCAAGCAGAGACTCTCATGGATGCAGTAGCTGGGCTGTGTAGAGCTCACTTCTTCACTAGATGGGAGGCTGGGCTCCACGGATTGTTCAGTTCCCAGAACCAGAACAGCTGGCATCTCCCCTGCAAGAATCCACCTGTGAGTCTGCCTTAACACCTAACAGGTGTTCAAATTTTCTGTTACTACTTCACCACAGATAACTCTTCTGGATTCAGGCCAAGCCTCCTGTGTCTAGGAGGTTGCTCCCCTAGCCATAATCTACAGCCAAAGAGAACACGTGGTGAGGACAGGCTGGACCTTTAGGTCCCTTCTCTAATACAGTGCAAGGCCATGTCTCTGCCCCCTGTGGGATCCAGGTCAAACCCCATATGCAGCTTACACAGCAACTGCAACAACAGCAGGAACAGTGAGTTGCACTTGCTGAACCTTTAGTCTGCCTTGTGCATTTTGCATGCATTGTCTTTTTAAGTATTATGACAACCATGTGAGGTGGGTGCTGCTGAAACGCCCATTTACAGACGTGAAGGAGCACGGCCCGGTGGTGAGGGTAGCACAATGTGAGGCTGGGTGGGAGGTCTGGGTGTATAGCCCGGCTCCACCAGCTGTGCAACTGTGGGTGGTCACTTAAGTATCTTCCAGGCTTAATGTTTCATTTGTAAAATGAAAAACAAGGTGACTAATATACTTAAAGGACTTAAAACAGGCTGTGTAGGTTATGTCGGCAAATGGTGGTGGCCACCATTCCTGCTCTAGGCTGCCTGCTCATCCCAGGCACACAGGTGGTCTACAGTGTGCCAAACCCCTCTAGCCACTGGGAGCGCTTTCTTCTGTGTCCCTATAACCCCGCCTGTTCATCAAACTCTGGCTTTGCTCCCTGAGCCTAACAGGGATGGAACTGCCAGTAGGTGAGGTCTGTCCTTGCAGAGGGAGTAGGGATTTTGGGGGATGCACCCTACCCCACTGAGGCTGTAGGGCCAGGAGCCTGAATCCCCTGGTTGATTGAGCTGGCAGTGGTGGTGGGGTGGGGGAGGCTTTGGGGCTCCCCAACACCCAGCCAGTGTCAGGAGCACTGTCTTCCCTGCCCTCCTGCTTAGCAGCTGTGCTAGGAGCCCCATCCTTCAAGCACCCCCTCACCCAAGTCCACCCGGCAGGGCAATTCTGGACAGGATACAAGGAGGGCCAGGAGGGGAGCCCTGGGTCTGCTGGGTGGAGCATCCGGGGTGTGGGAGGAGGAGCCAGGTGCTGATTCAAAGACCTCAAGATATTTCCCCTCTGGGACCATGACATTGCCTGAGATTCCTCCATTTATACATGTCCCTGTATTAATATGGCATTGACCCTAATGAATGGGTGCAGAACAGCATGGCAGAGGAAAAAGGTTTGGGCTTGAGGATCTCACAAACCTGGCTTCCTGTGAGCTCTGTAACTTGGGCTAGAGGCCTGCCCTCTCTGAGACTCAGTTTGCTCTTTTGTTAAATGGATGCATTCCCTTCTCTGGATGCCATCACTCAGGTCTCTCCAACAATCCCAGGGCTCTGGCTCAGAGAACCGAGGGGAGGTTGGTGTGAAGGCTTTGGGCATGGTGACGCGGGTGAGCATCTGACATGAGCAGGTGCACTTGACCTAGAGTAGGTGGAACACAGTAGGCATGCTTTACCTAGAGCCCCTGCCACATAGTAGGAGTGCTTTGTGGAGAGTGCCTTGCACACAGTAGGCATTCTTTATGTCAAGAACTTTACATAGAGTAGTTTTACTTTATGTGGAGCACTTGACACACAGAAAAAACACTTTATATAGAGCATCTGGCACACAGTAGGTGTGCATTATGTAGAGTACCGGCCACACAGAGTCAGAGTTTATGAAGAGTACCCAGCATCCAGAGTAGGCACGCTTTATGTAGAGCACTTGACACACAGAAAGAACACTTTATGTAGAGCATCTGGCATACAGTAGGTGTGCTTTATGTAGAGTACCGGACACATGGAGTCACAGTTTATGAAGAGTACCCAGCACCCAGAGTAGGCACGCTTTATGTAGAGCACTTGACACACAGTAGGTGCACTTGACATAGATCACCAGGCACGTAGTAAACATGCTCTACATAGAACATCTGACACACAGTAGGTGTGTTTTATATAGAGCAGCAGGTGCAGAGTAGGTACACTTTACATAAGTTACTCCGCACAAATTTCACTTTATATAGAGGACCGAGAACAAAGAAGCAAGATTTTCTGTAGAGCGCCCAGCACACAGTGGACACACTTTTCATAGAGCACTTGGCACACAGTACACAACATGTATACAGAGTACCTGGCACATGGTAGGTGTGCTTTATTTAGAGTCCAGTACACAGTAAAAGAACTTTGCATATTGTCTTTTGCAAAGAGCAGAGACTGACACACAGCAGCTAAAGTGCTAGCTGCCAGCCCCTTCCCTTCACTCCCTCCTCAGAATCTTTCATCTGTCCCCATCTAAGGCCCATTTTCCTGTGATCCCTCCTCTGTCCCCCTCTAAGGCCTTATCTGACATCCCATTTCCCAGATGGGAAGCCTGAGTCCAGGAGGGGCTCACTACCCACAGTTAGGGCAAGGGGAGGGCAGAATAAGGACTCCACTCAGGGTCCCCCATCTCTGCCCTCCTGTCCCTGGCCCCATCCACTCATGGCCCCTCTCAGCCTTACCTCCCATCTCCCCTCTCTGTCCTCCTATGCTGAACCTAGCCTCCAGGTATTCTCCTCCAGCGGGGCTCTTTATCTCTAAAATCTGACCGGGTAATCCCCAGCACAGTTAGATAGTTTGTTCCTACTCCTGTCAGTCATGTCTCGACCCAGGCCCTGGGTTGCCTGGAGGCAGGACTTGAACTCCTGCCAGACTGTGAAGCCAGAGGCCAGGAGCTTCTGTCTCTGAATCTCCTAAGTCTGCACTGAGAAATGGTGCATGATGAACTCCTGGACCACATGTGGAGAGGAGCTCAGAACATGATCTGGCACAATGGTTGGCCTGGCCCCACTCTCTTGCCACCTGAACTCTCAAGTTCATGACTTTATCTGCCACACTCTTGCCTTGGAAGGGCAAGGTGGCTGTAAACTTTGGGGCTCAGAGTCACCTTTGACTCTTCCTCAAGATCCCCTCCCACTCAGGTGTGAGATGTTGAGACCTGCGGATCCTGTGCCCATGCTGTGTCACCCTGAGCTGGCTCCTCTGCACCCAGCTGGCCCTACGCCAGGTTTTGGTTGGTTGCCCAGGCTTGGAAGACACACCCAGTCCATGGGGATTGGCTCGACCAGCCCAGCCCAGCCTCGCCTCCCACAGCCTTCCGGAAATCAGGGGCCAGAGGCAAAGACCTCCTAGCAGAGGGGGAGAGGAGGGTATGTGGGACAAGCTGCTTCTGATAGGAGCCAGGCTGGCAGTGGCAGGGCTGGAGGGTCCTGGCCTGGGATGGGGAGGGGACTGCCCAAGGTTGGGGTGGGTCAAGGCTGCTGGCCTGGGAGACTGGTGATTTCCTGGTAACTGGACCCCTGGCAACCTCCCAGTGATTCAGGCTGGGCCTTTTTGGATTCTAATCAGCCTCTCTCTCTCTTTCCCTTTCTGTGTAACTGGAGGCCACTTGGCTGCTGGTTTTCATTGGGCATTTCTGGACTTTAGATCTCAGCTCTTGTTTACCCATCTCAGAGCCTTCCCTGATCTGCCTCCAGCACTGCCCATCCTTGCCCCTTTCCACTGTCCTTGGAGCTTCCTGGGCCCTTCCCTGGGCCTCAGGATCCCACCCTCCATCCCGTCTGCCCTGCAGGATGCCGCAGCTGAGCCTGTCCTGGCTGGGCCTCGGGCCCGTGGCAGCATCCCCGTGGCTGCTTCTGCTGCTGGTTGGAGGCTCCTGGCTCCTGGCCCGCGTCCTGGCCTGGACCTACACCTTCTATGACAACTGCCGCCGCCTCCAGTGTTTTCCTCAACCCCCGAAACAGAACTGGTTTTGGGGACACCAGGGCCTGGTGAGTTTGTCAGCAGGACGGGTCTGGGGTCTCAGGATGCATGGAGTTCCTGAGGGGCAGGAATGGGGCTCAGGGAGCTGGGTTTTGAGGGTGGCTGGGGTGTGGGAACACAGAGAAGAGAGGGAGGCAGCTCACTCATTCCTCTGCCCACTCACTCATTCCTCTCCCCGCTCACTCATTCCTCTGCCCACTCACTCATTCCTCTGCCCACTCACTCATTCCTCTCCCCGCTCACTCATTCCTCTCCCCGCTCACTCATTCCTCTCCCCGCTCACTCATTCCTCTCCCCGCTCACTCATTCCTCTGCCCACTCACTCATTCCTCTTCTCGCTCACTCATTCCTCTGCTCACTCACTCATTCCTCTCCTCACTCACTCATTCTTCTCCTCACTCACTCATTCTTCTCCTCACTCACTCATTCCTCTGCTCACTCACTCATTCCTCTCCTCACTCACTCATTCTTCTCCTCACTCACTCATTCCTCTCCTCACTCACTCATTCTTCTCCTCACTCACTCATTCTTCTCCTCACTCACTCATTCCTCTCCTCACTCACTCATTCTTCTCCTCACTCACTCATTCCTCTCCTCACTCACTCATTCTTCTCCTCACTCACTCATTCTTCTCCTCACTCACTCATTCCTCTCCTCACTCACTCATTCTTCTCCTCACTCACTCATTCCTCTCCTCACTCACTCATTCTTCTCCTCACTCACTCATTCCTCTCCTCACTCACTCATTCTTCTCCTCACTCACTCATTCCTCTCCTCACTCACTCATTCTTCTCCTCACTCACTCATTCCTCTCCTCACTCACTCATTCCTCTCCTCACTCACTCATTCCTCTCCTCACTCACTCATTCTTCTCCTCACTCACTCATTCTTCTCCTCACTCACTCATTCCTCTCCTCACTCACTCATTCCTCTCCTCACTCACTCATTCCTCTCCTCGCTCACTCATTCCTCTCCCCGCTCACTCATTCCTCTCCTCACTCACTCATTCCTCTCCTCACTCACTCATTCCTCTCCTCACTCACTCATTCCTCTCCCCACTCACTCATTCCTCTCCCCGCTCACTCATTCCTCTCCTCGCTCACTCATTCCTCTCCTCACTCACTCATTCTTCTCCTCACTCACTCATTCCTCTCCTCACTCACTCATTCCTCTCCTCACTCACTCATTCCTCTCCTCACTCACTCATTCCTCTCCTCACTCACTCATTCCTCTCCTCACTCACTCATTCCTCTCCTCACTCACTCATTCTTCTCCTCACTCACTCATTCCTCTCCTCACTCACTCATTCCTCTCCTCACTCACTCATTCCTCTCCTCACTCACTCATTCCTCTCCTCACTCACTCATTCCTCTCCTCACTCACTCATTCCTCTCCTCACTCACTCATTCCTCTCCTCACTCACTCATTCCTCTCCTCACTCACTCATTCCTCTCCTCACTCACTCATTCCTCTCCTCACTCACTCATTCCTCTCCTCACTCACTCATTCCTCTCCTCACTCACTCATTCCTCTCCTCACTCACTCATTCCTCTCCTCACTCACTCATTCCTCTCCTCACTCACTCATTCCTCTCCTCACTCACTCATTCCTCTCCTCACTCACTCATTCCTCTCCTCACTCACTCATTCCTCTCCTCACTCACTCATTCTTCTCCTCACTCACTCATTCTTCTCCTCACTCACTCATTCCTCTCCTCACTCACTCATTCCTCTCCTCACTCACTCATTCCTCTCCCCGCTCACTCATTCCTCTCCCCGCTCACTCATTCCTCTCCTCGCTCACTCATTCCTCTCCTCACTCACTCATTCCTCTCCCCGCTCACTCATTCCTCTCCCCGCTCACTCATTCCTCTCCTCGCTCACTCATTCCTCTCCTCGCTCACTCATTCCTCTCCTCGCTCACTCATTCCTCTCCTCACTCACTCATTCCTCTCCCCACTCACTCATTCCTCTCCCCGCTCACTCATTCCTCTCCTCGCTCACTCATTCCTCTCCTCGCTCACTCATTCCTCTCCTCACTCACTCATTCCTCTCCTCACTCACTCATTCTTCTCCTCACTCACTCATTCCTCTCCTCACTCACTCATTCTTCTCCTCACTCACTCATTCCTCTCCTCACTCACTCATTCTTCTCCTCACTCACTCATTCCTCTCCTCACTCACTCATTCTTCTCCTCACTCACTCATTCCTCTCCTCACTCACTCATTCCTCTCCTCACTCACTCATTCCTCTCCTCACTCACTCATTCCTCTCCTCACTCACTCATTCCTCTCCTCACTCACTCATTCCTCTCCTCACTCACTCATTCCTCTCCTCACTCACTCATTCCTCTCCTCACTCACTCATTCCTCTCCTCACTCACTCATTCCTCTCCTCACTCACTCATTCCTCTCCTCACTCACTCATTCCTCTCCTCACTCACTCATTCCTCTCCTCACTCACTCATTCCTCTCCTCACTCACTCATTCCTCTCCTCGCTCACTCATTCCTCTCCTCGCTCACTCATTCCTCTCCTCGCTCACTCATTCCTCTCCTCGCTCACTCATTCCTCTCCTCGCTCACTCATTCCTCTCCTCGCTCACTCATTCCTCTCCTCACTCACTCATTCCTCTCCTCGCTCACTCATTCCTCTCCTCGCTCACTCATTCCTCTCCCCGCTCACTCATTCCTCTGATGTGCCATCCCAAGTCTTTCTCACCTCCCTGTCCTCCCACTCCAGCCTGCTTGGATCTTTTTCCTGCCTGTCTTCCCTGTGTTACTGCACCTCTGAGGGTCTCCTGTGGGAGTGGTATGGGTGCACAGAGCAAAGATCTCCTGGCATTTGCACCTTCTCCACTGCTGGACTTGAGGCCTCCTGAGTCTACTGTCCAGGGACTACTCCCTGCCTGGCCCATTTGCTTGTGTCTGCCCATCTCTGTGCTGCTGCTTTCTCACAGGAATTAGCTCTGAGCCCCTTTCCATACGCAGGGACACAGAGGGTCCAGAAGAGAAGTGTGGGCAGTCTCCCGCTGCCTCCTTTTCTGGAGGCACCTTCCTCCTATCTTGCTCTTCCTCACTAACATGTCCCAGTCGGCCTTGTTACCTGCCTGAATAAAAGTTGGCCACTCCCTTCTCTTTTCAGAAGCTGTCCTTGACTCCGCAGACCTTGGCCTCCGACTTAGACCTGCTCTCCCATTTGGGGGACATGGCCTTGGTCTGCTCACTTGTAAATGGCAAAATTGATGGGCGTGTCCATCGGTGCAGTGGAGGGTGAATAGGACACACTAGCACAGAGCCTGGCCTGCAGGAGGTGCTTACTGTAGACAGTTAAGAGTCACTCCTCTACGCCTGGGGGCTGCTGAGAATGGAATGTCCCCAGTGTGGGAGGAACAGCCGCTGGTGGGGACCAGCCAGGACGTGAAAGGGATGTAGGAACCAGCCTCAGGGACATGTCCTGAGGCCACACTGCTGTCCACAGACCTCCTTCCATGCGGACTTTTCCATGTGGCCATCCCCAGGTTGAAACCATTTCCAAGACGAGAAAACACATCCTCTTGAGCAGACAGCTTGCCTTCTCCCTCTGCTTTGGTATTTACTCTTGGATCTTTTATTTATTTATTTATTTTTGAGACAGAGTCTCACTCTGTTGCCCAGGCTAGAGTGCAGTGGTGCGATCTCAGCTCACTGCAACCTCCGCCTCCCAGGTTCAAGTGATTCTCCTGCCTCAGCCTCCTGAGTACCTGGGACTACAGGTGTGAGCCACCATGCCTGGCTAATTTTTGTATTTTTAGTAGACACGGGGATTTCGCTGTGTTGGTCAGGCTGGTCCCGAACACCTGACCTCAGGTGATCCACCCACCATGGCCTCCCAAAGTGCTGGGATTACAGGCATGAGCCACCACGCCCGGCCATTATCTTTGGATCTTGGAGACAGCCCCAAGAGAGAAGGAGCAGGGGTCAGCTGAGATTCTCTGCAGCTGTTCAGAATCCAGACACGATGCTCAGGGCAGAGGCTGCACCACATCTGGAGGCTGCAGGGGGAACTTGATGTGGCTCCTGGTGGGGAGGTGCATTACTCAGGGTTCTCTTTAGAAACTGAATTGACAGGATATCTTCCCGCTTATATCTCATGCATGTATGAGACAGAGAGAGAGAGAGAGAGCGTGAGAGAGAGAGTTTATTACGGAAATTGGAAAATGTGATGATGGAGGACAAGAAGTCCCATGATATAGCATCTGCAAGCCAGAAACCAGGGACACTGGAGTTGTAAATTCAGTCTGAGTCCCAAAAGGCCTGAGAACCTGGAGTTCTCATGTCCAAGGACAGGAGCAGATGGATGAGCACATCCACCCTTTCCTCTGCCTCTTTGTTGTATCTGCACCATCAAAGGATTGGATGACACCCACCCCCACTGGGGAGGTGGATCATCCTTCCTCAGTTTACCTATTCAAATGTGAATCTCTTCTGGAAATACACCGATGGACACATCCAGAAATAATGTTTTACCAGCATGTTTTATCTGGGCATCTCTTGGCTCGGTCACGTGGAATTCATGATTAATTCAGGATGCCTAGAATTAACCATCACAAGGGCTGACGGCCTCTGCCTTGTTTTCAGGTCACTCCCACGGAAGAGGGCATGAAGACATTGACCCAGCTGGTGACCACATATCCCCAGGGCTTTAAGTTGTGGCTGGGTCCTACCTTCCCCCTCCTCATTTTATGCCACCCTGACATTATCCGGCCTATCACCAGTGCCTCAGGTACCCGTGCAGAGCTTGTGGTAGTGGGGGCTGGGAAACATCAAAGGCCTTCTAGCCTCTCCCCTCCCCAAGCTTCTGTGTGGCCCCTGCAGGGCCCAGGCCCCTCTTCCTGCTTCTCTCTCAGCCATGTTCCTCTTTCCTTCATGTATTCACGAACCCCCCATGTCAGCGTCTCCTCCCTCCACTGCCATCTCTCTCTGCCTTTGTGTTCTGGGCACCACTGGGGCTCCAAAAAGCCTCAATTTAGGGCCCTGTCCTCGAGAAAGCCCCGTGCTTGAGGAAATGGATCTGGACAGAGACATCTCAAACTTCGTGGAGTCAGGAATTGGCAAGAAGGAGATGGGTGTGACAACTGGGAGAACAAGGTCTTTCCTGGGGGCAGATTGGAAGGCTTCCTGGAGGAGGAGTTGCTGGAAAAATGAGTAAAAAGATTTTAAAGCAAGGGGAAGGGTGATGCAGTGGACATCATTAGTATACAGGTACCGCTGCCAGGCCTGGCATCAGCCTTGTCTGTCCCTAAGCCTATGGTACTAGGGGGATTTGAGGCTGGTGGAGAATCTGGGCTGCTATTTATGTGATGTTCAAGTCTGGTGAGTTTATTCCTTTTACCTCATCCTGTCACTCATCCACCCTATTCATGGCTCTCCTGCTCCAGGCCCCAGCAATCTCCAGTAGGAGATCCCACCCCAGTCTGGGGCCCTTTCTTTACCTCTGCTCATCCTGTGCTTGAACAGGCCAGACTAAGCAGGGGCAGGGGAAGCATCCCACAGAAACTATGGCTATAACCTCAGGATGCTGAGTGACTCTGGGCAGGTCCTCAGCTCTCTCTGGCTGCTGAAGTCTCTTTCAGTTGCGAGTGATGGAAACTCAGACTCATGTGGTCTAAGCAAATAAAGAGAATCAATGTGCTGTAAGTCTGGGGAGAGTGGTCTTCAGGCATGGTTGGATCCAGGTGTCAATTAATCCACATCACTGGGAATCTGTCTCCTTCTCTCGATTTTACCATTCTCTGTGTCACTTTGCCTTTTCATATGGTGTCAACGATGAGTCTCAGAAGCCCAGTTCCAATCAGAAAGCCCACCTTTCTTCCAAGGGTCCCATATATAGCCTATGTTTTCTACATTATATTTGATTGTATCTGGTATATGCTTCCACCTGGGATCATATACAGAAGTCATCATGTGTGGGGCTCAGTTGTGGCTGAGGACATTTGGGGCATGTCAGAGTCTTTTTGGTTCTTGTCTGAGATGTAGTGTGAGATTGTCTTTTTATTCTACTTCAAATGTCTTGGCCATGTTTGGTGCTTGTCCAAGGTGTAGGACCCAGGGAATCTTTGAGAACTGTCTGAGATATTATTTGAGTCTTAGTATAGTTAGGTCTTAGGGTAGATTTGAATTATGCCGAAGAATAGGCTTGGTTATACCCGGGCCATGTTTAGGACATTAGTGACATCATATTTAAATGTTATCTAGGACCCTTCACTGGGATACACAGAAGTCATATCAGACCATCTCAGGTCCATGGCAGAGCATGTTGTGTCATTTAGGGTTTGTCATATGTGTTTTGGCCATGTCAGGGAATGTTAACAACTGTCGGGGCAATATTCCAGGTCCCAGATCCATGTCAGAAGATAGCAGAGAGTGCTGGGAGTAGACAGAGTGTCCTAGGTCCCTGTAAAGGCATTCTGTAGAGTGTTGAGCTATGCTCAGGTGTTGCAGAACATGTTGGACCTTGTAGGAGATATGTCACTGTGTGCTGGGGCATGCTGTGTTATTGCTCTACTCTGTCGCTGCAGCCTGGTCTGGTCTCTCCTTCCTCCACCATCCTCCCTTCTTCCTCTACCCTTGGCCTTCTTCCTGCTATGCTGGGTGGGATGCGTGGAAGTGCACACCCCTGGCTGGGAGCATTCCTCCATACCCAAAGTCCTTCTCTCACCCCTCTCCATGGCCACTGATGGTCCTCAATCATGTCAGCTGCTGTCGCACCCAAGGATATGATTTTCTATGGCTTCCTGAAGCCCTGGCTGGGTGAGTAATTGAGGTGAATGGGGTTGGGGATATCCTTTAGGGATAAGGGAGGGTGCTGCCCTTGACCACTGTCCTTGGTTGCCCTGCCAGGGGATGGGCTCCTGCTGAGTGGTGGTGACAAGTGGAGCCGCCACCGTCGGATGTTGACGCCTGCCTTCCATTTCAACATCTTGAAGCCTTATATGAAGATTTTCAACAAGAGTGTGAACATCATGCACGTGAGTCCCTTGAACTCTGGGTCCCAGCTGGAGCCTTGGGGTAGAGGGACCACAGGCATATCTGCTCTGGAATTTTGGTTGTGCTTTGGGGACAATGCTCTTCCTCTCTGAGCCTTGGTTTCCCTATCTGTAAAATGGGAATAACAATCTCTACTTAAAAGGTGGTAATGGATTCATGTCCCCAGCACATAGTATGTCTCAAAAGGTGTGAGTTTCCATGCTTCTCTCACAGAAATCCTTCAAACTCAAGAGAGTAAAGATCAAGATTGCATAGTAGCAATTGCTGAGTACAAACCGCCTGAAAACTCATTGGTTTAGAGCAATAAGGGTTTATTATACTTAACAAGTGTGTGAGACAGTTGGCTGGTTCTTCTGCATGTGGATGGGATCACTCTTGGTACATGAACAGCTGTGGGTCATGTGGGCAGCTTTGCTGATCCTGGCTCAGTTTATTCACATGTTTGTTTGGGGCTTTGCTAGCTTTAGGCTGACCTGGGATGGCCTCAGCTGTGACACCTGGACTTTTCTCCATGTGTTTCTCTGCCTCCCGGAGGCACCCTGCTGTTCACATGGCACAGACTGGGTTCTGAGAGACTGCCAGGAGACTGCAATGTCTCTGGACATTTTCTCTGCAATGTTTCAAAGTTCAACCAGGCTTAGGTTAGCACAGACTCAAAGGGTCATAAAACAGTCTCCATCTCTTAATAGAAGTTGCTGGAAATCACAGTGCAAAGGGAGAAGTGAAGAATTGGGAGTTGGGATTTTGTGAAGTGCTTAGGATGTTTTTCTTAATTGCAAGCTGATAAGCTAGTTTTGTTAATACTTCATGGATTCTGCAAGGAGATACGAGAGTCCTGGGTCAGAGACAAACAGCAATTTATTACTCACGGCATAGCAAGCAGCATGTTCTTGGTTTGCATAATTTCTCCAAACCACTTAAATCCCACGGGGTGCCATAGAGAGGTTTGAATAGTTGCCTGCTTATGCAGTACGGTGCATGGAAGGAAAGGAGCACTAGGCTTAGGGAATCTGCTTTCTTTTTTTTTTTTTTCTGGAGTCTCACTCTGTCACTCAGGCTGGAGTGCAGTGGCATGATCTCTGCTCACTGCAAGCTCCACCTCCCGGGTTCACGCCATTGTCCTGCATCAGCCTCCTGAGTAGCTGGGACTATAGGCGCCCATCACCATGCCCGTCTAATTTTTTGTATTTTTAGTAGAGACGGGGTTTCACCATGTTAGCCAGGATTGTCTCGATCTCCTGACCTCACGATCCACCTGCCTTGGCCTCCCAAAGTGTTGGAATTACAGGCATGAGCCACTGCACCCGGCCGGGAATGTGCTTTTTTAGCAAGCAGAAGCAAGCCTGATATGTGTCCAGGAGCAGTCATTGCCTTATCTCTCAATGTTGTTCTCTGCAAACACAATTCTGAGAAACGGCCCAAACAACTACAGGGTGTGTGTGTGTGTGTGTGTGTGTGTGTGTACATATATGTATATATATATGTGTGTGTATATATATATACACACACACATTTGCTTTAAGTTCTGGGATACATGTGCAGAACGTGCAGGTTTGTTACGTAGGTATAAATGTGCCATGGTGGTTTGCTGCACCCACCAACCCGTCATCCAGGTTTTAAGCCCCACATGCACTAGGTATTTGTCCTTATGCTTTCCTTCCCCTTGTCCCCAAACCCCTGACAGGACCCAGTGTGTAATGTTCCCCTCCCAAGTAATAGGGATATTTTTGAAATGAATTTATAGCAATGGAGATGAGTAAAACCAACATTTACTGAGCACTCACCATATCCCAGAAACAGTACCATTTGCCAACTCCATGATACATATTTAGGAATTTAATTTTAATAACCCCATGAGGCTTTGGTTGGTTTTGCCCTGTTGCAGACTATGAAACTGAGGTCCAGAGAGATTAGGGAGTTTGCCAAAGTTCAACCAGATAGTAAGTGAGCTACGAGTGGTGGAGCAGTGATTCTGTCCTGGTTTATCTGGCCCCAAAGCATGTTGTCCTAACTGTTACTGAAGATTTGATAGATGGGACCTATGGGAGTGCAGGAGGTTGACCAAGAGCACACAGACCATAGGAGGCTGAACTGGGACTTGAACCCAGATCTCTCGACTCCCAGCCATGAGTCTTTATCTCCTAATAGTAACAGTTTCTGCTCCTATCCAAGGCTGGTCCTTCCTGGGGATGGGTACCTGGGGCAGAGGACCAGGAGGATGATTGCAGGGAGTCCATCTTGATGTTTGGGTCTGGGAAGGTGCTCCCAGGAGGCAGTTCCCAGCTTTGGCTCTGTTTTTTCTCTGGCCAGGACAAGTGGCAGCGCCTGGCCTCAGAGGGCAGCGCCAGACTGGACATGTTTGAACACATCAGCCTCATGACCTTGGACAGTCTGCAGAAATGTGTCTTCAGCTTTGAAAGCAATTGTCAGGAGTGAGTCCTTTCCTAGGACCTGAGAACTTGGGCCTGGAACCCAAGGGAGTAGGCTGGAAAAGGATGGCTGACCGGGGTAACCAGAAGTGCCTTTCTGAAGGCACTTTCTGTGTGTCATAGCTGGGCTTTGAAGGATGGGGAGGGGGAAAGAGACAGTAGACATGAGGTTGTGGAAGTAGACAGGGGATAGATTTCAGGACATTGAAAATCAGGAAAAGTGGCATGAACTTTATCAGGAGGTTCCCAGGAATCTTTTGAAGAGGGTTGGGCCGATGACAGATGTGGTCACAGCTGAGCTCTGTGGAGGTCTGCCTGTCATGTAGACGCTACATGGAGCAGACATTGAATGCAAGTCTGTTATGGTGGGGGCTGGGTCAGAAAGAGCTGGAAGACAGTGAGGTCTGAGTTTTGTGAACAGTTTTTGGAAGGAAAAGAGTGCAGGCTGGATACTGGGTGGGAGAGACGGGAGAGAAGCATGGTGTCCAAGCTATGCTCTGGGTACCTTGGTGCATGGAGGCAGCTCTCAGAGATGGAATGCCTCAGAGAAGAGAGTTTGGAGAGTCAAGTCTCCTGGCTGTTTCTGGATACTCAATTTCCTGATGGGCAGTAGCTTCTAGCTGCTGGTGAGAGGTGCTCCTGGGACTTTGCATATGTTAAGTTGTTACCTCCTTCATGCAGGAAGCCCAGTGAATATATTGCCGCCATCTTGGAGCTCAGTGCCTTTGTAGAAAAGAGAAACCAGCAGATTCTCTTGCACACGGACTTCCTGTATTATCTCACTCCTGATGGGCAGCGCTTCCGCAGGGCCTGCCACCTGGTGCACGACTTCACAGATGCCGTCATCCAGGAGCGGCGCTGCACCCTCCCCACTCAGGGTATTGATGATTTCCTCAAGAACAAGGCAAAGTCCAAGACTTTAGACTTCATTGATGTGCTTCTGCTGAGCAAGGTAGGCTTCTCTGGGATGTGAATTCAAGTAATAGAGTGGAGATTTATGCCTCTGTCAAATGAAAGAACTTGGACTTGATCCAAAGGGCACTGGGAGCCATGGAACATGCTTGAAAAAGACAGGTCAGAGATAGGTTTGAGAGATGACTCTGTGGAATTCAGCTGGCAGGGGACTGCTAAGTTTGAAATAGTGAGGAGCCTGAGATTTTACTCTACTTACATGTTAGCAAGTTAGGCTGACATATTTTTATGCATATCTATCTATGTCTATATCTATGATGACAGATGCACCAAATCCCTGGATCACAGCAGCCTATTCATCATTCACAGCAATAGCAGCAACCAGAGTAGGATTGTAGAGCTGGCTCTCTATTCCCATATTCCTTCTAGGGTAATGCAATGTTTTTACCTGTAAATACACCAGAATGCACTGCAGAGAGGGGCCCCACAGTATACATCTTGGGGCTTATATAGGATAGCTAGCTAGCACATCTGCCCCTTCTTCCTTCCAGGGCGAGAGTGGGAATGAGAAAGAGAGAGAGAGAGAGAGAGAGAGAGAGAGAGAGAGAGAGAGGATGTTTGCTTTGTTCTGGAATAAAAACTACTCCTTTCCAGTGAGATCGACATGCCTGTAGGTTTATAGGTTTATAACCCAGATGCCTTCTGGAAAGATAAGAAGTATTCTCTGAGTTTACCACTCTAGAATGTGAGCAAATACATTCAGAGTAATACTTCAGTTCTTTCTTTCTTTCATTT
The DNA here is from genome assembly GCF_000001405.40 of Homo sapiens. Taxonomy (NCBI): domain Eukaryota; kingdom Metazoa; phylum Chordata; class Mammalia; order Primates; family Hominidae; genus Homo; species Homo sapiens. The sequence continues at coordinate 15,923,056 of NC_000019.10, read as the reverse complement.
TTTTTGAGACAGAGTTTCACTCTTGTTGCCTAGGCTGGAGTGCAATGGTGTGATCTTGGCTCACTGCAACCTCTGCCTCCCGGGTTCAAGTGATTCTCCTGCCTCAGCCTCCTGAAGAGCTGGGATTACAGGCATGCAACACCATGCCAGGCTAATTTTTTTTTTAGTAGGGACGGGGTTTCTCCATGTTGGTCAGGCTGGTTGCGAACTCCCGACCTCAGGTGACCCACCTGCCTCGGCCTTCCAAAGTGTTGGGATTATAGGCGTGAGCCATTACGCCCAGCCAATACTTAATTTCTAACCTCCAAGTGAAATTGCCATTGAAATATGCTGTAACCCAGGTTGCCAGTTAATGCTTTACTCCAAAAGTCCTCATTATTCGAAACAAGAAAATATCCATAGGTCATTGACTCTTCCCAGCAGGGCCAAATAGGAGGTGAAGAAGCCAGCGGGAAGCCTGTGGGTGGTGGGCTCTGATGGTGGTGACCAAGAGACATCTAGGAGTGCATGATGGGCTTGGGTTTCTGGAAGGAGGATGGATCTTCAGAAATTATCTTAGGTTTGACTCAAGAGCCTTCAGAGCTGGTGTGATTTGGGGCAGGGATATTGTCTTGCCTTCTCTCCAGGATGAAGATGGGAAGGAATTGTCTGATGAGGACATAAGAGCAGAAGCTGACACCTTCATGTTTGAGGGTGAGGGTCTCAGTGTGGGACTACGGTGGGGACAGGGGCCTCTCCATCCCAGGAACGTAGTGGGTGGACCCTGGATCACTTAATTCTGCCCATCCTCCTCCTCCCTACATTCTCCTGAGGGCCTCAGAGTTTGGGTGCTCTCCTCCCTCTGGTGCTGAAGCAGCCCAGAAACCCAGTTTTGCTTGGCTGCCCCTCAGGCCATGACACTACAGCCAGTGGTCTCTCCTGGGTCCTATACCACCTTGCAAAGCACCCAGAATACCAGGAACAGTGCCGGCAAGAAGTGCAAGAGCTTCTGAAGGACCGTGAACCTATAGAGATTGAATGGTGAGTGCAGGTGCTGGCCTGTTCCTGATCTTTTGTCATTGGTTCTGCTCCTCAGGTGGGCAGAGGGAGGGAGTTTTTTTGGTCAATTCTTCCATTATCGCTTAGTGGGAATCGGTGCAAATCTCAGAGGCAGGGCTTAATACACAGCCAGGCCAGCAGGGGATGGTTTGCAGGCTTTTGGGACCTGGGCTGCTGGGAGAATTTGTGACAGCATGTGAAGGCAGATGATGCCACTTAGCATGTGTTCAGCAAATGAATTTCTCCTCCACCTCCTCTTTTCACTGAATTATCATGTTTTTTCAAACATCTTCACTTTCTGAATGTTTGCTCTTCCTTACCCTAATTTCAATCCTGTTGTACAGTCCAGGGATTTATAAGAGAGACCTGAGGGTAAAAGTCATTCATTCCTATCCAGAACACCTGCATTGTTCATCCATCCAGTCTTCATTCAGCAAATGCTCCTACACTGTATTCCTATCCCCAGTTTTGTATCTAGCACCTTTCGGTGCTCTGGAGAGCTTGGAAGAATCCAGCCCTGCGATCTGTTTTCCAGGTGCTCCCAGCCTGGTGGGGGAACAGTCCCAGGACAGGAAACTCCCAGCCCACATGGGCAGGGATGAGGCTGAGAACAAGAGAAGCATGACTGGAGGTACAGAAAGTGTCTCACCCGGCCACAGTGGCTGGCACCTGTAATCCCAGCCACTCAGGAGGCTGAGGTGGGAGGATCACTTGAGGCCAGTACTTCAAGATGAGCCTGGACAACATAGTGAGAATTTTTCTCTAAAAGACATGAATAGATGAAAATAAAAGTGAGGTGTCTCAGTTGAGATCCTTAATAATGATCAGTAGATATTTGGATGCAGTAGGGCTCTAGGTCAAGAAGAGAGCCTAGGCAAAGGTCGAGGGAGGAGAGAGGGAGTGAGAGAGAGAGGGAGAGAGAGAGAGAGAGAGAGAGAGAGAGAGAGAGAGAGAGAGAGAGAGACAGAAAGAGAGAGAGAGAGAGACCAAGAGTGAGAGAAACAGAGAGAGAGAAGAGAAAGAAAAGAGGGAAAGAGAGAAGTGGCTTGTGTGCAGGGGGAGGGAGAAGGTCATAAAAAGAGAATGGAGAGAGAAGGAAAGCAAGAGAGAAAGAAAGAGAGAGGGAAGACAGAAACAGAGAGATGAATAGAGAGGGAGAAACTGAGTCATGATGAGATGATGAACCTGGAGATGGCAGCAGAGCCTGGGTGTGGAATACATGGAAAAAAAAGTCAAGAACTTCAATTTTAACTCAAGGGCAATGGGAAGAGACAGGTAGCAGGAGAATCTTTTTAGGGCTAGTGTAGAGGGCATACTGGAGAGGACCAGTTGTAGAAGGAAGTCCCAGGGAAGGACATTCTGAGGTCTGAGCCAGGCCAGGAGCTGGGGATGGAGAGGAGACATTGAGCTGGACAGGCCTTTTGAAGGTAGTGCCCTTACATCCAAGCCTTTGCTCAGCACAGGGTCCTGTAAGGTGGAGAAACATTTTTATGCTTTTAAAACCAAGATTTCAAGCAAAATTACACATTGTTTAAAAAAGTGTCCAAAAATTTTGATAAAAAATGAGCTTCCTTCTTAAGCCTCACACTCCTCACTCTGGCAGTTTCCATCATCAATGGTTTTCTGTGTGTCCTAGAAAATGGCTATCCTGATGCCCACTGTATATGAACACATGCTCTCTTTTTCTGTGTGAGTAGGAGTACATAAAATAGACACAGGTCTGCCCACTAACAATGTATCTTTACCATCTTCTGTTTTTCTCAAAATATGAGTTTTAGAAAATGAGTTTGTTTTTTAATTTGTCTTTATTTTTAATTGACAAATTTTGATTATATATATTTATGGGGTACACTGTGATGTTATGATGTACACAATGCAGAATGATTAAATCCACCTGATGGTCATATCCATTACCTCATATACTTATTATTTTAGCAGTGAGAACATTTGAAATTTTCTCTTTTAGCCGTTTTGGAAAACATAATCTATTATTATTAACTGTAGTCACCATGCATATAATAGATCTCAAAACTTTTTCCTCCCGTCTAATGGAAACTTGTACCCTTTGACCAACATCTTCCTGTTCTTTCTTCCTCCCTCCTCTGGCAACCACCATTTTCTTCTGTCTCTGTGATTTCTATGTAACCTATTTTAGCTCTCACAGGTAATTGAGATCATTTGCTATTTGTCTTCTTGTGCCTGGCTTATTTCACTTAGCATAATGTCCTCCAGAATCATCCATATTGTCACCAACGACAGGATTCTTTTCATTTTAAAGACTGAGTACCATTCTATTTTGCATTTATACATGGAAAATGAGTGTTGACTTCCAAAAGCAATGATGAGAACAGATTCTTCTTGGACTCAATGCGACACTACAGATAAGACAGGGTTTAACCTTGACATTCCCACCACCCCACCTAATATCCTCGCTTTCCCTAAAGGGGTCTCTTGAGACATCAATTTGTCATCTAACTGTCTGCTTATCTATCTGTCTATCTATCTATCTATCTATCTATCTATCTATCTATCTATCTATCTATCTATACATCTGTCCATCCGTTCATCCATCCATCCATCCATCCATCCATCCATCCATCCATCCGTCCATCCATCCTTTATCCTATCTATTCATCCTTCTTGTCTATCTATCTATCTATCTATCCATCCATCGATCTATCTATATCATCTATTTCCATATATATACTATGTATTTTATTTATATAAATAGGAGTCAATGAAATATATACATATTTATATATTTTAATATATATTAAATTTATTAACATATTTATTTAATTTAATAATTAGGAGTCAATGAAATGTATATATTTCATATACATAGAAATATATATTTCCATATATACTATATATATTCCTAATTATTAAATTATAATGTTATTAATATGTTTATTTAATTTAATAATTAGGAGTCAATGAAATGTGTATATTTCCATATACATAGAAATATGTATTTCATATATATATATACTATGTATTTTGCCCTTTGCTATTTACATGTATGCATTTTGTGGCTTATTTTTGCCACTCGACAGTGTGTCTTACAGCTGTTTTTTTTTTTTTTAGCATGGCATAACATTCCATATTTTATTTGTTTCACACCTTTGTTGAAAGCACTTGTGTATCTTTCCAGTTATTGTAGATATGGCCAATTTGCCTTCCAGAATCTCTGTACTGATTTACCTTCCAGCCTGCATTGTGTGACACAGCTAGTGACCTGTTTCCTCCTTTTTTGTAGTTGCATTGTATTCTATGGTACTAGCATTCTGTTGTGTGGATGTTTATCTAAACCTCTTTCCATCAATGTATATTTAGCTTGTTTCAGACTTTTGCTAAATTAAACCTGTTGCAGTCAGCATGTGTGTACAGTGACCATTGCTTATTTGTGTGAATATCTCTGCAGGACAAATTCCCAAAAGTGCAATTGCAGAATAAAAGGCCATTTTACTCCACAATTTTAATAATAATAAAAAATCTATTCCTATTAGCTGAGTTTGATGGCAACAGCTTTCCCATAACTTCGCCAAGAGTATTACATTATTATTATTATTTTTTTCAACTTTTATTTTAAGTTTCAGGCTATGCAGGTTGGTTACATAGGTAAACGTGTGCCATAGTGGTTTGCTGCACCTATCAACCCATCGCCTTGGTATTAAGCCCAGCATCCATTAGCTATTCTTCCCGATGCTCTCACCTCCCCAACCCCTCCCTGTGACAGGCCCCAGAGTGTGTTGTTCCCCACCATGTGTCCATGAGTTTCCCTTGTTCGGCTCCCACTTGTAAGTGAGGACATGTGGTGTTTGGTTTTCTGTTCCTGCATTAGTTTGCTGAGAATAACGGCTTCCAGCTCCATCCATGTTCCTGCAAAGGACATGATCTTGTTCATTTTTATGGCTGCATAGTATTCCATGGTGTATATGAACCACATTTTCTTTGTCTGGATTATCACTGATGGGCATTTGGGTTGATTCCTTGTCTTCACTATTCTGAATAGTGCTGCAATGAACATATGCATGCATATATCTTTATAACAGAATGATTTATATTCATTTGGATCTATACCCAGTAATGGGATTTCTGGGTCAAATGGTATTTCTGCCCCTAGATCTTTGAGGACTCACCACACTAAATTTTTGTCAGTCTGCATATTTCTTCTTTTAGTGAACGTTTCCTTAAATAAGAGTGGGATAGAACATCTCTTGCCATTTTTTTTCTTTTTGTGGAAGAGATCATCTTACATTGCTGTTTTCCTTTGGGTTATTTTCCCATATTTACTTATGAGACTATGTGTTAAAATAAATCTTTTTTTCTGTCTTTTGTTGCCTTTTGACTTCTTGGGGACACTTTTGGTTAGTTTATATGAAGCCAATTTTGTCCACATTTTCTTTTGTAGCTGTACTATCCATCCATTTCCCAGGGTTTTGTGGGGCTTCCTTTACCAGATGTGGGTTTTCACTTATTCACATATCTGTCTCTGAGCTCCCTATTCCATTCTTTGGTCTGTTTTTCTGTTCTTGCAGCTTTGCCATGCTACATTTGTTACTGTAACTCAGTAATAGGTCTTAATGTCTGGTAGAATGACTTTCTCTTCTGTTTTTATTTCAGTAATTTGGGGGTGGGGTACAGGTGGTTTTTGGTTACATGGATGAGTGCACCTGTCTCCTAAACAGTGTACACTGTACTCAATATGTAACCTTTTATCCCTTGCCTCCCTCCCAACGTCCCTCCCTGAGTCCCCAAAGTCCATTATATCACTCTGTATATTTTTGCATCCTCATAGCATAGCTTCCACTTATAAGTGAGACTATATGATATTTGGTTTTTTATTCTTGAGTTACTTCACTTAGAATAATGGTCCCAGCTCCATCCAAGTTGTTGCAAAAGACATTATTTCATTCCTTTTAATGGCTGAGTAGTATTCTATGGTGTATATATGTCACATTTTCTTTATCCACTCATTTGTCAGTGGGCACTTAGATTGGTTCCATATCCCTGCAATTGTGAATTGTGCTACTATAAGCATGCGTGTGCATGTGTCTTTTTCATATAACGACTTCTTTTCCTTTGGGTAGATACCTAGTAGTGAGATTGTTGGATGGAATAGTAGATCTACGTTTAGTTCTCTAAGGAATCTCCTTACTGCTTTCCACAGAGGTTGTACTAATTTACATTTGCAGCAGCAATGTAAAAGTGTTCCCTTTTCACCATATCCACACCAAAATCTATTGTTTTTTGACTTTTTAGTTATGGTTATTCTTGCAGAAGTAGGGGGTATCTCACTGTGGTTTTAATTTGTATTTCCCTGATGATTAGTGATGAGCATTTTTAAATATGTTTGTTCACCGTTTGTACATTTTCTTTTGAGAAATGCCTATTCATGTCTTTGCCTACTTTTTGATGGGGTTATTTGATTTTTTGCTTGCTGATTTGTTTGAGTTCCTTGTAGATTCTTGATACTAGTCCCTTGTCAGATGCATAATTTGCAAATATTTTCTTCCACTATGTGGGTTGCCTGTTTACTCTGCTGATTGTTTCTTTGGTTGTGCAGAAGCTTTTTAGTTTAATTAGGACCGATTTCTTTATTTTTGTTTTTGTTGCATTTGCTTTTGAGGTCTTAGTCATGCATTCTTTGCCTAAGCCGACTTGCTTTTCTCTAATATTTTATTTTCAGATTGACCTAGCTCTTTATGATGTTTTTCTTCCCAAAAAAGTTTAGAGTAAGTTCATCAAGTTCCTAAAAATTAGATAGATTATCATTTGCACTGAATATATTCTCTTGTTTGACTTGAATATGTGATTGATATGTGTGAAAACAGGTAACATCATAATATTGACACATAGTTTGTCATAGTAAAATGGTTATTAATGTATTCAAATAATATTTAAGCTTTTAATAGAGCTTAAAATATTTGCCTAGATATCATATGCATGTTTTGTTAAATCAATCCTTAGATATTTTGTTGCTATGGTGAAATGTATCTTTTATTCAGATAGAGGGAAATGTATAAATTCATTGGAAATACAGAGACTTTACGTCTCTTGTTAAAATTTAATTCAGATATTTTATATTATTATCATTATTATTAATATCTTATCTTTTATCTTTTTCCAGATGCTTCTTATTTTCCTGGAAAAAAAATCAACTCAATCTGGTTGCCATGTCTTATAATAGGACAATGTTTAGATTACTCAAGTATATAGTTTTTTTTAAAGGCTGTTAAAAGCTCTAGAAGAAACCATGGGAAAATTATTTTATAGCTTCAGAGTAGGGATAACCCTATTTTGATACAAGTCCCAGGAGCTACACAAGAAAAGACTGACATACTGTTAAATGAGAAAAGATATGGAATATGTGTATAGTATATGATGTACTCATATTTTTAAGATACTAAAAATTATCTCTAGAAAGATACATAAAAATAATAATAACTTAGGCAACCTGTGAGGAGAAGAAGCAGGTGACTTTGGGCCATAGGGGTAGAGGATGTTTTATAGTTTTTAAATTTAGAGCCACTTAAGTGTACAATGTATTAAAATTTTAAACAGCCACAGAAAAAGAAGAAAGATTAAGCAAACAATTCAGCTCCCTTACTGGGTCTTAAATGTTTATAAATGTTTTCCAGTGAAGTGTTCTGTTTTTCTAAGTATAAAATCACCGTCTGCCACCACCACATTTCAAATTGCATTCCTCTCTTTTTTATTCCCTTGTCTAATTGCATTTGCTACTATCGCTAATACAATGATGAATAAGAGCAAAACAGTGGATCTGGGTATTTTGTTTCTTATTCACTTGCATTTTGTGTTTGCTTTCTTACCATAAAGGATATTTACCTTTAGGCCAATATGTTAACCTTTTTAATAGCTGGCTTCAGAGTGTTGTGTTTTCCTCAGAATAATCTTTAAAAAATCGGCACCATTTTTTTCTGGTACTTTTCTAATTTTCTGCTTTTCTAATTTTTTTCTGCTTTTTAAATTCTCCAGTATTTCATCCATGTGGAATTTATTTTGTGATAGGGAGAAAAAGTCTCGCTTGGAAACAGAGAAGCTGGAGAATTGTGTCTTTGTTCCCTTGATAATGATTGGGGCTGGGGTGTTTTCTTAGGGACGACCTGGCCCAGCTGCCCTTCCTGACCATGTGCATTAAGGAGAGCCTGCGGTTGCATCCCCCAGTCCCGGTCATCTCCCGATGTTGCACGCAGGACTTTGTGCTCCCAGACGGCCGCGTCATCCCCAAAGGTGCTCACAGCCTCAGGGGGAGGAGCCTCCTGGGTAGCAAGAGGGGTCCCTCAGGCAGGGGGGCCTTGTCCTGACTGCCCTCTTCTCTCCCACAGGCATTGTCTGCCTCATCAATATTATCGGGATCCATTACAACCCAACTGTGTGGCCAGACCCTGAGGTAGTGCCTCCCTCACCCCACCCTTTTTGGAGTCCATTCCAAGGTTCCTAGAGGAGGTGACAGGGTTTTGACCAGGAAAATCCAACATCACCTCTCCTCAATGGAGACACATCTGCCAAAATGTCTCTCCAAGGCCGGGGGTCTTGGAGACAACTGGGAGACCCCACCCAACTGGGTGACCCCACCCAGCAAGCCTTCTTGGTCTCACCTGCAGGTCTACGACCCCTTCCGTTTCGACCAAGAGAACATCAAGGAGAGGTCACCTCTGGCTTTTATTCCCTTCTCGGCAGGGCCCAGGTAAGGATGGCCTGTGTCTGAGGCAGAGATGGCATGATGGGTGCAGGGGTCCAAAAAGGGGGAAGTTACAGATGGTCCCAGTTCCAGCTCTCCTTCCCTCCCTTCCTCAGGAGTTCATGGGCAACTGTTCACAGAATGGGTTTGGGAAGGTCCTAGAGGGGTCTGCGGTGTGCTCAGAGTCCCCTCCTTCATCTGTTTATCTGAACTGGGGGTAGGAGCCTGGGCCAGGTTTGGGGGATATGCAAGCACACATGGGAGTCCTGTGGACACTTATCCCCTCTTTCTGCCCCTCAAGCCTATGTGGGTGCGTTTGGGGTCCCAGGCCAGGTTCTAAGCATGATGGGGCCGGGATGGGGGTCATGGGCACAGTCAGATTCCCTCACTTTTGCCCCCAGAAACTGCATCGGGCAGGCGTTCGCCATGGCTGAGATGAAGGTGGTCCTGGCGCTCACCCTGCTGCACTTCCGCATCCTGCCGACCCACACTGAACCCCGCAGGAAACCCGAGCTGATATTGCGCGCAGAGGGTGGACTTTGGCTGCGGGTGGAGCCCCTGGGTGCGAACTCACAGTGACTGTCCTACCCACCCACCCACCTCTGTAGAGTCCCAGAAACAAAACTATGCTGACACCTCTGCTTGAGCCTCGTTGACAGCCAGCATGGGGCTCCTGGGGACTGGTGGGATCTAAGAAAGGGAGGTGAGTGGGTGGAGGCAGGGTGACGTCTCTGAACCCAAAACCCTGACGGCCTCTCTGGCTGAGCACAGGGCATCTAGGCCCTTAGTGGGTTCTCCCAGAGCCCAAGTAAAAACTTTATCCTGTGGGCAGTAGGGAGCCCTGGGAGGTGTTTGAGCAGGAGAGGGAACAGGATTAAGAATGGGTTTAAGGAGCAAGACTGAGACTCTGATTCAGCGAGAAACAACCATAGGGGCAGATCCCTTCATCTGTCCTGGGAATGTCCTCCCAAGACTGGAGTCCTCAGCTCAGAACAAAGGGAAAGGGGTGCAGCTTCCACCCTGGCAGGCTCTCAGAAATTTTTAGTTCCTTTTTCCACCAACTTCCCACCCCTGTTTCTCCCCCTCCCAGTGCGTTCTCTCTGTGACTCTCTTCCCTTACTTTCAGAGGCATAGGATCTGGAGCCAGACTGCTTGGGCTCAAGTCCTGGCTCTGCTGCGTGACTTGAGCAAGTTAATTCCTCTCTCTGTGCCTCGGTTCCCTCAACCATATAATGGAGACAACAGCATTACCTATATCAGGGTTTTCCTGAGGTCTCAATATAAGGGACTCAGAGCTGTGCCTGGCACACAATGAATGCTAAATATATGGAGCCATTATTATTTCCTGTCTCAGAAAGTCTGGCTGTTAAAGAATGTTGTCTTTCAAGATCGTTATTTCTACCACGACTTTAAAGGCTGTGTTTTGGAACTCAAAGGCAAAAATTCTAATATCTGTGCTCCTTGAACAACCTCTTCTCCTAGAGGGCTGTGCATATAAGATATGTATATATATATATATATTATATATATATATATATACACACACACACACACACACACACACATATATACATATACACACACACACACACACACACACACACACACACACATATATATATATATATATTTTTTTTTTTTTCCTGAGGATGGTGAAGGTACCTGACTGTGTGAGGTGGTAGGAGAATGAGAGAAACCTCAGTCAGTGTCTCAAAATAAAATCCTGCTACAAACATTGATCTCTTTTCATAGCCTAAGGGATGTTGCATCGCTAAACCCTGTTGACTTCTCTAATCTCTTCTGTAGCTGATCTCCTTCCCTTGCTACACTCGGTTACTCTGGCCTTGATTCTGATCTCCAAATACATTATATTTTTTATTTGGGACCATCGTATTGCCTTTGCACCTTTATCAAATATAAGTTGCCTATATTTATTTGGATCTATTTTTTGGGCTTTTAATATTCTGTTCCATTGACCTATTTCTCTTTTCTTTTACCAATACCGCAACATCTTGGTTACTGTAGCTTCACGGTAAGTCTTAAAACTTGGATATTGTCAGTCCTCCAACTATGTTCTACTCCTTCAATATTGTGTTGGTTATTCTGAGTCTTTTGTCTCTCCATATAAATTGTAGAATTAGATTGCTGATATCCATAAAAAAACTTTCTGGAGGGCCCCAGGGAGCGCGGGGCGCCGCTGCTGCTGCTGCTGCTCCTCGGCTGGGTTGTGTCTACTGGGCCCGCGGCTGCGGCGGCAGAGGGGCCTGAGCCGGGAGCCGCGCTCAGCCGAGAGTTGGGCAGAGGGAGTGCCCGCGCCGCCGCGGCGTCATGGGCCCCCTCCCCTCACCTCAGCGGGCACCAGCCGCGGGAACCCCCGGGCCTCCTCGCGCCCGAGCCTGAGCGACCCCTGGGTTCTCCGGCGCCCCCTCCCTCCCCCTATTTTTCTTTTCCTGCTCTTGCTGACCCTACCGCTTCTGTTCTCCGTTATGGCAAGAGAGCCACCATCCCCGCTCCGGGTCGAGGCGCCGGGTCCCCCAGAAATGCGGACCCCACCGGCGATCGAGGCCACCCCTAAGGGCACCCTGCAGCCGGCAGGCGGCAGACTCCGCTTCCTCAGTGGCTGTGTGCCCATCTTGCATCAGGTGGCCGGGCACAGGTATGGGAAGGACAAAATGGGTATACTGCAACATCCAGATGGCACAGTTTTGAAACAGTTACAACCACCTCCAAGGGGCCCAAGAGAGCTGGAATTCTATAATATGGTTTATGCTGCTGACTGTACCGATGGTGTTCTTCTAGAGCTACGACAATATTTGCCAAAATATTATGGCATCTGGCCACCTCCCGCTGCCCCAAACGATTTATACCTAAAACTGGAAAATGTGACCCATAAATTTAATAAGCCCTGTATAATGGATGTAAAGACAGGGCAAAAAAGCTATGATCCTTTTTGCCTCATCTGAGAAAATTCAGCAATAGGTCAGCAAGGACCCATTAATGGAAGAGATTGGGTTCTTGGTGCTTGGCATGAGGGTTTATCTTGTTCATTCCCATAGCTATGAGACACAAACCAACATTATGGAAGAAGCTTAACAAAAGAAGCTATAAAGGATGGAGTCTTCGGATTTTTTCATAATGGGTACTGCTTAATAAAAGATGCTGTTGCTGCCATTATTCAGAAGACTGAGAAAATTCTGCAGTGGTTTGAAAACCAGAAGCAGCTTAACTTTTACGCAAGTTCATTACTGTTTCTTTAGGAAGGTTCATCTCAGCCAATCACTACAAAACTGAATGACAGAAATTTGGCAGAAAAGTTTTTGTCCAAAGGACAACTGTCAGACACAGAAGTACTAGAGTGCAATAATAACTTTCATGTATTAACTTCCACAGTGAATGGAAAAATAGAGGCTTCAGTAGGCAAAAGCTTGTCCAAGATGTATGCCCATCACAGGAAAATGTATACAAAAAAGTATCACAGTCAGACTTCATTGAAAGTTGAAAATCTAGAGCAAGACAATGGGTGGAAAAGCATGTCACAGGAACATTTAAATGGAAATGTACTTTCCCAACTGGAAAAAGTTGTCTACCATCTTCCCACTGGTTGCCAAGAGACTGCTGAAGTGTGCATGATAGATATGGCTGATATGTTCCTTAGCAACACAGTAGATAAGGGATATGTTTATGGGCTAAAGCATTTAATTTCTGTACTTCGAAGTATTTTAGACAATTGAATCATCTGTTGCAGTATTTTTTTTTTTTTTTTGAGACGGAGTCTCTGTTGCCCAGGCTGGAGTGCAGTGGCGCGATCTCGGCTCCCTGCAAGCTCTGCCTCCCGGGTTCAGGCCATTCTCCTGCCTCAGCCTCCCGAGTAGCTGGGACTACAGGCGCCTGCCACCGCGCCCGGCTAATTTTTTGTATTTTTCAGTAGAGACGGGGTTTCACCGTGTTACGCAGGATGGTCTCGATCTCCTGACCTCGTGATCCGCCCGCCTCGGCCTCCCAAAGTGCTGGGATTACAGGTGTGAGCCACCGCGCCCGGCCTGTTGCAGTCTTTTTAAGAGGTGGGCCAATCATAATGAAGAGGAGCAGGCAATATCTCCGCACCTTTAATGCTATGCAAAAAATATGTATTGTGAGTCGACATTTTATTTGTCTTTATACTTTTGGAAGAAAGGTTAACTTTTTTATAATCTTACTCAGGAAAATATATGTTCATTAGAAAACTATGAAGAATAAAGAAACTTAGGAATGTTAAGCAGGGAATGTAGTGGTACATGGCTTAAACATCTTTTTTGGCTCAAGCAAAATGCAAACCATTATTCAGTCATTAAGAGTTTAGTTAGCTTTCTGTAACCAATTCATGAAATCTCTGTCCACCCAATTTGACAATGAGCCATATCTAAAATAATACATTATTAGAACACCTACCAAAATCTCAAAAGCACAGGTTGATGTCCTTAGTCTTGCTATGTATGAAGTTATTAAAACTGGAGAAAGTTCTACTTCAGAAATAAGTACTGCTTAGGTTTTATATTAAAAATTCAGACCAGCATATCAAAGGATGCTTCTTAGTGAAATGATTTAGAATTGCTGCATTCCAAAAGCAGGTTTTCTCTTTAATTTTTACAACTCTCTCTCTCTCTCAAAATATTATACTTCATGAAAAAGACAATTGACATGGATGACAACAAGAGTCTTGAAATTAAGGGCACACTCATTGTTCTTACCAGGGTTAGAAGAGAGAGGTTATTTTCAAGGAACAAATATTTTGCTTTACAACCTCTCGTTTATGAGAAAATTGGAATATAAATTTATTACATTGTGAAAAGTATCATAAACCATATACCTTTTTATCTAAATGCAGTTTCAAAAAAGTAAATAATTGAAGTTTTATTTCTCCTCTAAATAACTGGAATTTTTTTCTTTAAAAATTTATATATTTATATGTCCCCATTTAGTTAAGTGGTAGTGTAAATGTATACTGTTAAAAGTGGTTTCTCAGAATTATAGTAAGCAATGAAAGACAGTATCTAATTAGGTTGTTATCAAAAATACTATGTGTGAATAAGTCCATCATATAGGGCTGGTGTGTATCTAAATTCATGCTTCTATTTCACTGTTACTCAAAACAGTTTTATATTATGTTGAACAGTGAAATTATAATTTAATTTCATGGGGACGGGCAGTGCTATAGTTCCTGGAAAAATTAGATTTGTATTATCTTTATTTCACACCTACCACCTTAGAAAAATCAACTAGTTGTCATTGAAAACATTTAAAACTTTGAGTCTTCAAATACATTTGATGTTAATGCTGTCATTACTTGCACTTTGATTCACTAATAACATTTCTAGGTAGTTACCAGTTTTGTCATTTTTCTGGAAAATATTTTGGAGTTGTAAATTGTTTCTCTTTTTCTTCTAGAGTTACAAATTGAATTTTTAAATCCAAGCACCTTTGTTGTGGTGTGGAGAGAAGTATCACAATTTTATGTTTATTTTACCTTCTCAACCTTCTCTTGGGGTACTTTGCAAATACCTGAGTCTAAACAGAAGTACCAAATACATGCTCTATGAACTCTATCCTTAGTAAATCTATTAAACCTGAATAACTTAAAAGATCATGTGTGTTTTGTAATAGCAAAATTTGATTTTAATTTTTTATTTGGAATTGGTGTATTTATCATGGGGACTTCCAGTTTTTCTTCACTTTGCAAATGGATATTGGCTATAGTTTTATGTTTTAATGGGAATGAATTTCAAGTCAATTAATAATCAGAAAATTTTTAGTTTTACTTTTTTCTTTTACAATATGGACTTTTGTTGTTATTTGGATAGTAGTTCAATAAATCTTAAGCTCAGATAATTAAACACTATTTTGAATCTTAACAAGATACTGAGCATTTTTTTGTATGGGATGATATCAGCCTATGTACAATGAATTTAATAAACTTAAGTATTATCAGATATTTTGCACATTTTAGATCAATAAAATCTGAATTAACTGTTCAAGATTTTTTTATCTGTATTTGGAAATATAATTTTGTAAAATCAATGTCTTACCTTTTTATTACAATAGATCATGTTTTGTATTCAATAAAGCAAGAAGCCCTTTTATCTGTTGTTTTTCAGGGAAGGGAGTAACATTTAATTCTGTTTGTTTACATTTGTTTTCATTGTTATCCAATGCTCATTTTATGTTGCTTTATAAGTAAGCTTAGGTATAACAGAATAAGTATCTGTTTATCTAATCTACATGTGACTACTTTAGTCTCTCTCAGTCACTTAATATTATGCTGAAATTTACCACTGTGGGGATGAATGATCACTATCCAACAAGCGTATTTGAACATGTAAATGCTTAAGAAATAAGTATAATATGGATATAGTTTGGGTTAATAGTATTCTCATAGTTTTTTCCCTCTATGAAACATAAGTAATGATTTTAGTGTATTTCTTATGGAATACACTCATTTATAAAGGACTTTAAGAAATTGTGGATGTGAATAATATCTTTCTCTAGTAAAAATTTAAATTGTAAAAAAAAAACCCAAAACCTTTCTGATATTTTCATTGTGATTTCACTGAATCTATAGATTTAGTTGGGAAGAACTGACATCCTGACAATATTGAGCTTTTTGTCTTACAAGAAATGTTCAAGGGAGTCCTGCATCTGGAAGTGAAAAGAGGATCATTACCATCATGACAACATGCAAAAGTATAAAATCCACTGGCAAAGCAGATACACATAAGAGAAAAGAATCAAACCTTATTACTACAGAAAACTACCAAAACCACAATCGTAAACAATAAGAGAGGAAGAGAGGAATAAAAGATATACAAAACAACTAGCAAACAATGAATAAAATGACAGAAGAAGGTTCTTACCTATAATAACTTTGAATGTAAACAGATTAAATCCCCCACTTAAAATATATAGACTGGCTGAATGGATTTTTTAAATGACCCAACTATGTGCTTCCCATAAGAAACTCACTTTACCTATCAAAAAACATATAGACTGAAAGTGAAGGGATGGAAAAAGACATTCTACCCAAGTGGGAACCAAAATCAAATAGGAGTAGCTATGTTTATATCAGATAAAAATAAAACAGACAAGGGATAAATTCAGCAAGAGCATATAACAATAGTAAATATATATGCACCCAAAACTGGAGCACCTAGCTACAGAAAACAATTATTATTAGATCTAAAGGGAGAGATAGACTCCCATACAATAATAGTTGCAGACTTCAATAACCCAATCTCAATACTGGACAGATCATCTAGACAGGAAGTCAACAAAGATACATTGTATTTAAATTTCACTTTAGACCAAATAGACTTAACAGACATTGACAGAATAGTTCATGCAACAGCTGCAGAATACACATTTTTTTTCATTAGCACATGGAAAAATCTCCTGGAGAGACCACACATTGGGCTACAAAGCAAGTCTCAACAAGTTTAAAAGTACTGAAATCACATCAAGTATACTTTCTGACGGCAAGGAAATAAAGCTAGAAATCAATAACAGAAATAACTTTCAAAACTGTACAAATACATCAAAATTAACAACATGCTCTTGAACAACCAATGGATTAATAAAAAATTAGGAAGTACATTTAAAATTTCTTGAATCACATGAAAGTATAAACACAATGTATCAAAAGCTATGGGATACAGCAAAAGCAGTATTAAGAAGGAATTTTATAGCAATAAACACCTACATCGAAAAAAGTAGAAATATTTCAAATAAACAATCTAATGATGCACCTCAAGGAACAAGAAAAACAAAAGCAAACCAAACTCAAAATTAGTAGGAAAAATGAACTAATGAAGATCAGAGCAAAAATAAATGAAATTGAAAGTAAAAATAAAATACAAAAGATCAATAAAACAAAGAGTTTTGTTTGTAAAAAAATAAACAAAATTAACAAATGTTTAGCTAAACAAAGTAAGAAAAAAGAAAGACTCAAATAAATGAAATCAGACATGAAAAAGGAGACATGACAATTGATACCACAGAAATACAAAGAATCATTGGAGTCTATTACAATCAACCATGAGTCAACAAATTGGAAAGCCTAGTAAAAATGTATAATTTCTCAGGCACATACAACCTATCAAGATTGAACCAAAAAGAAATAGAGAGTCTAAACAGACTAATTACAAGTAATGAAATATAACCAGTAATAAAAACTCTCTCATCAAAGAAAAGCCCAGGACCTGATGGCTTCAATGCTGAATTCTACCAAACATTAAAAAAAATACTTAATACCCATTCTTTTCAAACTGTTCCAAAAAATCAAAGAAAAGAGAGTTCTTCTTAATTCATTCTATGAAGGCAGCATTACCCTTATACCAAAACCAGAATGGGACACAAGAAGAAATGAAAACAGCAGACCAATATCGCTGATGAATAGAAGTGCAATAATTCTCAATGACATACTAGGAAATCAAATCCACCAGCACACTACAAAGATAATTTACTATGATCAATTGAGATTTATCCCAGGGATGCAAGGATGTTTTGACATATTCAAATAAAAAAAATGACATCACATCATATTTATTGAAGAGCAACAGAGTGAATAGCAAAAACCATATAATCATCTCAATAAATGCAGGAAAAGCATTTGATAAAATTCAACATTTCTTCATGATAAAAAACACTAAACAAAGTAGGTATAGAACAAGCATACATAACAAAATAAATATATAGAACAAGTATACCTAACAAAATAAAGGATAGGCATGAAAAATCCACAGCCACCATCATACAAAATGGGGAAACACTGAAAGCTTTTCCTCTAAGAACTGGAACAAAACAAGTATGCCCACCTTCACCACTTTTATTCAGCATAGTGCTGGAAGTCTTGGCCAGAGAAATCAGGCAAGAGAAAGAAATAAAGGGCAAGGATGTCAAATTTTCCCTGTTTGAAGATGACATAATATGTGCATAGAAAACCCTAAAAGCTCCACCAAAACTGTCTTAGAACTGGTAAACAAATTCAATAAAGCAGCAGGATTCAAAATCAGCATACAAAAATCACTAGTGTTCCCATACACAAATGATGAGCTAGCAGAAAAAGAAAAAGAAAGCAATGCCATTTACAATAGGTGCATATATAATATTTAGGAATAAATTTAACCAAGTAGTTGAAAGTTCTCTGCAAGAAATGCTATAAAACACTGATGAAAGAAATGGAAAAGGTCCCTCAAAAATGGAACATCTTCCCATGTTCATGGATTGGAAGAAATAATATTGCAAAAATGACTCTACTACTAAAAGCAATATAGAGATAGAATGCAATTCCTATGAGAATACCAATGAGATTCTTCATAAAAATACAAAAAAATTCTAAAATTCGTGTGGTATCACAGAAGACCCCAAATAGCCAAAGCTGTCCTGAGAAAAAAGAACTTAGATGGAGA
This sequence comes from Homo sapiens, assembly GCF_000001405.40. Classification (NCBI taxonomy): domain Eukaryota; kingdom Metazoa; phylum Chordata; class Mammalia; order Primates; family Hominidae; genus Homo; species Homo sapiens. The sequence goes on along the minus strand of NC_000019.10, from coordinate 15,904,873 downwards.
TATTACACTGCCAACTTCAAATTATACTACAATGCTATAGCCAAAACCATATAGTACTGGTATAAAAAGAGATGCATAGACCAATGGAACAGAACAGAGAACCCAGAAATAAATCCATGAATTTAGAGCCAACTAATTTTTGACAAAAGTGCAAAGACCATTCAGTTAGAAAAAAACAGTCTCTTCAATAAATGGTGCTGAAAAAACTGGATCTTCATATTTAGAAGAAGAAACTAGACCCCTCTCTTTCATCCTATTCAAAAATCAAATCAAGATAGATGTATTAGTTAGGGTTCTCTAGAGGGACAGAATTAGTAGGATAGATGTATGAATCCCACTTCTGGTACCAAAATCTGTATTAGTCAGGGTTCTCTAGAGGGACAGAACTAATAGGATAGATGTATGAACCCCACTCCTGGTGCCAAAATCTGTATTAGTCAGTGGTCTTTAGAGCAACAGACTAGTAGGATAGATGTACATATAAAGGGGGGTTTATTAAGGAATATTGACTCACACAATCTCAAGGTGAGGTCCCACAGTAGGCTGTCTGCAAGGTGAGGAGCAAGGAAACTAGTCCAAGTCTCAAAGATGAGGAATTTGGAGTTTGATGTTCAAGGGCAGAAAGCAACCAGCGAGGGAGAAAGATGTAGGCTGGGACGATAAGCCAGTCTAGTCTCTTCACGTTTTTCTGCCTGCTTTTTTTCTGGCTGCACTGGCAGCTGATTAGATTGTGCCCACCCAGATTGAGGGTGGGTCTGCCTTTCCCAGTCCACTGACTCAAATGTTAATCTCCTTTGACAACACCCTCACAGACACACCCAGGAAAAATACTTTGCATCCTTCAATCCAATCAAGTTGACACTCAATATTAACAATCACAATAGATTACAGACTTAAATGCAAGACACGACACTTTGAACCAGTAGAAGAAAACATCTGGGAGACACCTCAGGACATTGGTCTGGGCAAGGATTTTTTTTTTGGTAAGACCTCAAAAGCACAGGCAACAAAAGCAAATAGACAAACGGGGTCATACGAAACCAAAAAGCTTCTGCACAGCAAAGAAACAAATCAACAAAGTGAAGAGACAACCTACAGAATGAGAAAAAATATTTGCAAATCATCCATCTGACAAGGGATTAGTAATTAGAATACATAAGGAACTTAAACAACTGAATAGCAAAAAAAAAAACCACCTCAAAATAATCCTTTTAAAAAATAGGCAAACTATCTGAATAGACATTTCTCAAAAGAGGAGATACAAATGGCAAACACATACATTAAAAAATGGTCAACATCACTAATCATCTAGGAAATGCAAGTCAAAACCATGATAAGATGTCATCTCACCCCTGTTAACATATGTAATTATTTTTATACATTGTTGGATTTGATTTGATATTTTCTTGAGGATTTTGCATCTAGGTTTGTGAGCAATATTAATCTGTATAGTTTTTTTGTTTCTTTCTTCTTTTCTTCTTTCTCTTTTCATTTCTTGTCATGTCTTTGTCTGTATTTGCCATTAGGTATAATGCTGGCCTCATAAAATGAATTAGGCAATATTTCCTCTGCTTCTGTCTTTCAAAAGACATGGAAGAAAATTGGTATAATTCCTTCCTTAAATGTTTAGTAGATGCAACGGCCTACAGCATTATGCTGCCCTGGGCCGCGACAGCGTGGGCGCCGCCTCAGTCAACCTGGAGCCCTCGGATGTGCCGCAGGACGTGTACAGCGGCGTGGCCGCGCAGGTGGAGGTGTTCCGTAGGCAGGACGCCCAGCGGGGCATGCGGGTGGCACAGGTGCTGGAAGCCTTCATCACCCGCAAGGTGGTGAAGCAGACAGTGATGACCGTGGTGTACGGGGTCACCCGCTACGGTGGGCGCCTGCAGATTGAGAAGCGCCTCCGGGAGCTGAACGACTTTCCCCAGGAGTTCGTGTGGGAGGCCTCCCACTACCTCGTACGCCAGGTCTTCAGGAGTCTACAGGAGATGTTCTCGGGGACCCGGGCCATCCAGCACTGGCTGATCGAGAGCGCCCACCTCGTCTCCCACACGGGCTCTGTGGTGGAGTGGGTCACCCCCCTGGGCGTCCCCATCATCCAGCCGTATCGCCTGGAGTCCAAGGTCAAGCAATCAGGAGGTGGAATTCAGAGCATCACTTACACCCACAACAGAGACATCAGCCGGAAGCCCAACACACCTAAGCAGAAGAACGGCTTCCGGCCCAACTTCATCCACTCGCTGGACTCCTCACACATGATGCTCACCACCCTGCACTGCTACAGGAAGGGCCTGACCTTCGTCTCTGTGCACGACTGTTACCGGACCCATGCAGCTGATGTCTCCATCATGAACCAGGTGTGCCGGGAGCAGTTTGCTTGCACAGCGAGTCCATCCTGCAGGACCTGTCCAGGTTCCTGGTCAGGCGGTTCTGCTCTGAGCCCCAGAAGATCTTGGAGGCCAGCCAGATGAAGGAGACACTGCAGGTGGTGCCCAAGCCAGGGGCCTTCGACCTGGAGCTGGTGAAGCGTTCCACCTACTTCTTCAGCTGACACCCGGCGGGCCTTGTGCCAGTGTGTAAATAAAGCTCTTTTGCCACCCCCTCAAAAAAAAAAAAGTCTAGTAGAATTAATCAGTGAACCAATTGGGGTCTTGGCTTTCTGTTTTGGAAGGTTATTAATTATTGTTTCAATCGATTTAATAGATATAGGCCTATTCGGATTATCTATTAGCACTTACCTTTTATTCTTTTCTTTCCCCTTCTCGTATCTTTTGGATGGATGGAAGGTAAATGATGGTATATACATGTGATTCAAAATTATGTAGCTGGTAAAAATTATAACATTGATAGAGAAATATAGGACCCATATGCATTATTTAAATACCTATATAATAATCATAAAACATGTTTATGCCATAAGTGCAAGGATTGAAGGACAATATGAAAAGTGTAGTTAGGTGAATCTTACAAATTATTTAAAGAGACTGTTTAAGGTTAGTCAAGCAGAGTGACATACAGAAAAGAAGACTACTATTAAATCATTGGCAATATCCCTCTGTATTAGGCCACTCTTGTGTTGCTATAAAGAAATACCTGGCTGGGTATGGTGGCTCATGCCTGTAATCCCAGCATTTTAGGATGCCAAGGTGGGAGAATTGCTTGAGGCTTGGAGTTTAAGACCAAAAAAAAAAAAAAAAAAAAAGGAAATACCTGAGACTGGGTAATTTGTAAACAAAAGAGGTTTAACTGGATCACGGTTCTGCAGGCTGTACAGGAAGCATAGTGGCATCTGGTTCTGGGGAGGCCTCAGGGAGCTTTTACTCGTGTTAGAAGGCAAAGTGGGAGCGGGCACATCACTTGGCAAAAGCAGGAGCAAGAGAGAGAGGGTCAGGTGCTACACAGTTTTAAATAACCATATCTTGCAAGAACTCACTAACACGAAGACCACATCAAGCCATGAGGGATCCGCCCCCATGATCCAAACACCTCCCACCAGGCGCCACATCCAGCATTGGGGATTACAATTCAACATGAGATTTGGGAAGGGACACAGACAGACCCAAACCATATCAACCCCTAATGCCAGCAGAACCACTGAGTAGCTTTAGGATCTTCAGAAAGGATTTTAAAGCTCGAATAGTCCCAGCACTGTAATAATTACAAGAGAAAATGTAACTACAATGTAGCATCTACACAATAATTGTGATTCTCTTCTCCGTTCTTGTTCAATCCAATGTTTAATATAAAAATTCAAGTGAAGGTAAATAAAAGCATTGGGGAATGACCTTGCCATGTGGTATTAAGAAGAAGATTCTCAAGCACAACTGCCTAAGTTGCAATTACCACAGCTACATCTAGAAGGAAGATGTGAGAGTTTTCATTCCACATTAACTAGAAACCTAGCATGAGGCAGATGGCTGGAAGCAGTCGAGGGAGTGTCCAAGACCTTACACAGAAAATCATGTTCAGAGAGGAAGCTTGTTGCTCATTCCTTTTTTGTGCCCAGCTGCCTGGGTTCCCTTCTCCACCATTTTATTTGGTAGTAAGCTATCTAGAGAACTTGCTCCCTACGCTGAGCCAATAAGCGAAATGTGTGAGCTTTGAAGGATACAGTTTCATTTCGAGGAATGGAGAATATCTGTGCAAAGTTGGGGCAGTTCAGAGCAGAGTGAGCTGCAGACTGTTCTGCAGGTATGGGGCTGGAAGTCTTCACACGACCTCATAGTCCTGGCACCCAAACTTACTCAGACAATGGTGTGTCCGGAATTGGTGGGTTCTTGGTCTCACTGACTTCAAGAATGAAGCCGCGGACCCTCGCGGTGAGTGTTACAGCTCTTAAGGTGGCGCGTCTGGAGTTTGTTCTTTCTGATGTTCAGATGTGTTCGGAGTTTCTTCCTTCTGGTGGGTTCGTGGTCTCGCTGGCTCAGGAGTGAAGCTGCAGACTTTCGCGGTGAGTGTTACAGCTCATAAAAGCAGTGTGAACCTAAAGAGTGAGCAGCAGCAAGATTTATTGCAAAGAGTGAAAGAACAAAGCTTCCACAATGTGGAAGGGGGCCTGAGCGGGTTGCCACTGCTGGCTCGGGCAGCCTGCTTTTATTCTCTTATCTGGCCCTACCTATGTCCTGCTGATTGGTAGAGCCAAGTGGTCTGTTTTGACAGGGCGCTGATTGGTGCGTTCACAATCCTTGAGCTAGACACAAAGGTTCTCCACGTCCCCACCAGACTCAGAAGCCCAGCTGGCTTCACCCAGTGGATCCCGCACCGGGGCTGCAGGTGGAGCTGCCTGCCAGTCCCGCGCCGTGCGCTCGCACTCCTCAGCCCTTGGGTGGTCGATGGGACTGGGCGCCCTGGAGCAGGGGGCGGCGCTCATCGGGGAGGCTCGGGCTGCACAGGAACCTACGGAGGCCGGGGGCTCAGGCATGGCGGGCTGCAGGTCCTGGGCCCTGCCCCGCGGGAAGGCAGCTAAGGCCCGGCGAGAAATCGAGCGCAGCGCCGGTGGGCTGGCACTGCTGGGGGACCGAGTACACCTTCCCGAGCAGCCGCTGGCCCGGGTGCTAAGCCCCTCATTGCCCGGGGCTGGCAGGGCCGGCCGGCTGCTCCGAGTGCGGGGCCTGCCAAGCCTACGCCCACCTGGAACTCTAGCTGGCCCGCAAGTGCCGCGCGCAGCCCCGGTTCGTACTCGCGCCTCTCCCTCCATACCTCCCTGCAAGCTGAGGGAGCCGGCTCTGGCCTTGGCCAGCCTAGAAAGGGGCTCCTACACCTATAAGTGAGAATATGCGGTGTTTGGTTTTTTGTTCTTGCGATAGTTTACTGAGAATGATGATTTCCAATTTCATCCATGTCCCTACACAATGAGAACATATGGACACAGGAAGGGGAACATCACACTCTGGGGACTGTTGTGGGGTGGGGGGAGGGGGGAGGGATAGCATTGGGAGATATACCTAATGCTAGATGACGAGTTAGTGGGTGCAGCGCACCAGCATGGCACATGTATACATATGTAACTAACCTGCACATTGTGCGCATGTACCCTAAAACTTAAAGTATAATAATAATAATAAAAAAATCCAAAAAAAAAGAAAAGAAGAGAAAAGAAAGGGGCTCCCACAGTGCAGCGGTGGGCTGAAGGGCTCCTCAAGTGCCGCCAAAGTGGGAGCCCAGGCAGAGGAGGCGCCGAGAGCGAGTGAGGGCTGTGAGGACTGCCAGCATGCTGTCACCTCTCAGTGGGAGCAGGTGTGACAAGAGTTGGGCAAATCAGACCTTTAATCCACCCTGATAGGCTGGAGTGTGGGCTTATGGCATTTCTCCTTTGACCCAATTAACCTCCACTCCCAATGTATCTCTGTGCAGAAGGCTCAGCTAGGTGTATCAGCCATTGTAAATCCTCAACATAAATTATAATTTAACCTAGAATACAGAGACTAGGTAGCAGGAGGAGAGGAAATGTAGAGATACTAATCTCTTCTCCCTTATCAGAAAGAAACCTAGCATAAGAAATTTCACGCTTAATGGGCCAAAGAGTAAATCAGAAAACTCCATGGGTGATGGTATGCTCATGGTGGTGGTGGTGGTGATGGGGAATTATTTGCCCTCCTGTGACCTCCCTTGGATTAATTTCTCCCCAGGACAATGGGAAAAATCATTTAATCCTTGGAGTTTTTTTTTTTTTTTTTTTTTTTTTTTTTTTTTTTTTTGCTTGAGAGTGACTCTGATCCTGTTTCTGATGGTCATGTTCCTCAGCATCATACTGAGTAAGTCACTGGCCTTGTAGCATCTGGAGTGATTGGAGTGATCCAAGATCCCTAGTTCCCATGTCACAAATGAGGATCCCACATATCTGGGACAGAGATGGAACATTATTTCTGGGTGTGTCTATCTAATCTATTCATCCTATCTATCTAATTTCTCATCTATATATATATTTGCCTACCCATCCATCCATCAATCCATCTTAGCTGTACGTTTATCCATTCCATCTATTTATCCTATTATCTATGTATCTATCTATCATCTATTAATAGCTATCTATCCATCTGTCTAATATATCCATTATCTATATCTACTTTATCTATCTACCTAATGTATCCATCCTATCTACTCTATCTATCTGTGCATCTACCCATCCATCTGGACCCTGAGCTGATTCCTCTGCACCCAGCTGGCCTGACGCCAGGTGTTGATTGGCTGCCCAGGCTCAGGAGACACATCCAGGCTGCAGGGATTGGTTGGCCCAGCCCAACCCAGCCAGCCCTCCCACAGCCTTTGCTATATCAAGGGCCAGGGTCAAAGGCCTCCCAGCAGACAGAGAGAGGAGGTTGTCTGGGACAGACTGCTCCTGACAGAAGGTGCCAGGCTGGGGGTGGCAGGCCTGGGGGGGGTCCTGGCCTGGGATGGAGAGGGGCACTGCCCAAGGCCCACGCAGCTCCTGGGTGCTGGCCTGGAGGATGGGTGGTTTCCGAGTAACTGAAACCAAGCCCCTGGCAACCTCACAGTGATTCAGGCTGGGCCTTTCTGGACTTTAATCAGTCTCTCTCTCTCTTTCCCATTCTAAGTGCTTACTAGGGAACTGGAGGCCACTTGGCTGCTGGTTTTGGTTGGGCCTTTCTGGACTTTACCTCTCAGCCCCTTTTTACCCATCCCTGAGCCCTCCCTGCTCTACCTCCGGCACTGCCCGTCCCTGCCTCTCCACTGTCCCTGGAGGTCCCTGGGCCGTTCTCTGGGCCTCAGGATCTCACCGTCCATCCCGTCTGCCCTGCAGGATGTCCCAGCTGAGCCTGTCCTGGCTGGGCCTCTGGCCAGTGGCAGCATCCCCTTGGCTGCTCCTCCTGCTGGTCGGGGCCTCCTGGCTCCTGGCCCATGTCCTGGCCTGGACCTACGCCTTCTATGACAACTGCCGCCGCCTTCGGTGTTTCCCACAACCCCCAAGACGGAACTGGTTTTGGGGACACCAGGGCATGGTGAGTGTGGCAGCAGGATGGGTCTAGGTCTCAGGATGGATGGACTTCCTGAGGGGTACGAGGCTTAGGGAGTGGGGGTGAAGGGGTGGGCTGGGATCTGGGGTGGCAGAGAAGCAGAGGAGGCATCTTACTCATTCCTCTGCTTATTCATTTCTGTGAGGTGCCTACGCAAGCCCTTCTCACTTCCTTGTCCTCCCACTCCAGGCCTGCATTGAATCCTTTTCCTGCCTGTCTTCCCACATTAATGCACCTCTGCGGGGCTCCTGGGCAGAGGGTTGGCTGCACAGAGAGGCGAGTCCCTGGCATTCCCACATTCTCCATTGCTGGACTCGAGGCTTCTTATGCCCACTGTCCAGGGTCCTCTCCTTGCCTGGACTATTTCCTGTTATGAGGGTACAGCTGGGCCAGAGGAGAGGCATGGGCCGTCTCCCACTTCCACTACACCCGAAGGCACCTTTCTCTTATATTCTTCTTCTTATCTCCCTCTTATCAATGAGACCTGTTGCCAAACCCAGATAAAAGTTGGCCACTCACTTCACCTTTCAGAAGCTTTCCTTGGCCTTTCTCCTCCCCGTGACCTTGCCCTCTGACTTAGACCGCTCTCCTCTTTGGGGAATGTGGTCTTAGTCTGCTCATTTGCAAATGGCAGGATTGATGGATGTGTCCACAGATAAAGTGGAAGGGTGCACAGGACACACTAGCACAGAGCCTGCTGCAGAAGCTGCTCCCAGGTGGGAGCCATTGTCCTGATGGACAGTTAGAGTCACCTCTGCTCCACTAGTGGCTGCTGAAAAGGGAAGGTCTCCCATGTGCAGAACCTTCTCCATGGGAGGAACTGGAGCCTCTGTGGATCAGCCAGGACATGAAGGCATGTGGGGACCAGCCTTAGGGACATGTCCTGAGGCGATACTGCTCCCCACAAATCTCCCCTGTGAGGACCTCCCCATATAGCTGCCTCTGGGCTGAAATGACTCCCAGAAAAAGAAAATCCTTCCTCTCAAGATAACTGGGCCTCTGTGAGTGGACAGTGCGTCTTCTCCCTCTGCCCTGGGATGCACCCTTGGGACTTGGAGATGGACCCAAGAGAGATAGAGCAGGAGGAATGTGGATAGATAGATAGATAGAGCAGGAGGAATGTAGATAGATAGATAGATAGATAGATAGATAGATAGATAGATAGCTAATAGGATAGATAGATAGATGCACAGATAGGATGGATAGATGGATGGATGGATGGATGGACAGGCACGTAGGTAGATAGATAATAGAATAGATGGATGCATGGACACATGGATGCACAGATAGCATGGATGGATGGATGGATGGATGGATGGATGGATGGATAGATAGATAGACAAATAATAGGACATATGGATGCATGGACACACGGATGCACAGATAGGATGGATGGATGGATGGATGATGGATGGATGGGTAGATAGAGTAGATAGGATGGATAGATTATGTAGACAGATGGAGTAGATATATATGATGGATAGATTAGACGGATAGATGGCTATTAATAGATGATAAGCAGACAGACAGATGAATATATGGATGGATGAAAGCACAGATAAAATGGATTGATGGATAGATGGGTAGGCAGATAGATATATAGATAGAAAAATTAGATAGATAGGATGAATAGATTAGACACACCCAGAAATAATGTTTGACCAACTACCTGGGCATCCCTTAGCCCAGTCAAGTAGACACCTAGAATTAACTATCACAGAAGGTAATGACCCCTGCCTTGCTTGCAGGTCAACCCCACAGAGGAGGGCATGAGAGTTCTGACTCAGCTGGTGGCCACCTACCCCCAGGGCTTTAAGGTCTGGATGGGACCCATCTCCCCCCTCCTCAGTTTGTGCCACCCCGACATCATCCGGTCTGTCATCAACGCCTCAGGTACCATCTGGAACAGCTGGTGGGGCAGTGCATTTGAGGCCTGCACTTCCGCTATCCCCAAGCTCCTGTGTGGGCCCTGCAGTACTCTGGCCTCTCCTTTCCTTCCCTCTCAGCTATCTTCATCTTTCTTTCATGTATTCATCAATTTCCATCTCAGCGTCTCCTCTCTCTATTGCCATCTACCCCCTGTTCTGGTGTTCTGGGCTGCCCTGGAACCCTAAGAGACCTCAACCCAAGGCCCAGTCCTGGAGGAACCCCCAACTTTAAGGAGATGGACCTGGATAGAGATATCCCCAACTTCATGGGATCAGGAAAGGGCCAGAGGGAGATGGATCACAGCCCAGGGAAGAACAAGGTCTCTGCTGGGGCAGGCTGGAAGGCTTCCTAGAGGAGGAGTTACTGGAGCTGTGTCTGGAACAATGAGTAGGAATGTTTGAAAGGAGAGTGCAGGGTGAGGCAATTGGACATCGTTAGTATTCAAGGCCCCTTGCCAGGCCTAGCATCACCTTGCCTGTCCCAAAGCCTAGAACAATGAGGAGGACTTGTGGCTGGTGGGGGATCTGGGCTGCTACTTCCATGATGTCCACCTCTGGTGGGTCAATTCCCTTTACCCCATCCTATAGCTTGTCTGCCCTAAGTTCGTTGCTCTCCTGCTGCAGGTCCCGGGGATCTCCAAGAGGAGACTCCACCCCAGCTTGGGTCCCTTTCCTTGACCCCTGTGCTTCCCATCGTTGGACGGGCGAGGCTGAGCAGGGGGAATGGGCAGCATCCTACAGAGACCATGGCTCTGACCTCAAAATGCTGAGTGACTCTGGGCTGGTACCCAGCTGTCTCTGGTTATTGAAGTCTCTTTCAGTTGTGAGTGGTGGAAACCCAACCTGGTGTGGTCTAAGCAAAGAAAGATAATCTATTGACTTTAAAGTCCAGGGAGGGTGGCCTTCAGGCATGGCTGGATCCAGGTCTCACACAAGGTCACTGGAAATCTGTCTTTCTCTCTTGGCTTTAGCTTTCTCCATGTCGCTTTTCCTATCAAGGTGGCCTTTTCCTCATGATGTCAACGATGAGTCCCAGAAGCTCAGTTCTTATGGGAAAGGCCACCTTTCCCCTAGAGTTCCCAGAAATGGCCCATGGTTTACTTCTCCTGGCCTGGATCACAGGACCAATTTTTCACCCAATCCCTGTGTCTCTGATTGCCCAGTCTTGGTAGGCCTGGGTCTTCCAGAGCTACTGTTTTGGGGGCACAAAGAAGTTTGTTGGTTAAGGATTCAGGCCATGGGTGCAGACAGACCTAGTCTTAGGCCTCAGGCTTGCCGTGGTCTGGGACTGTGGGCAAGTGACTTTATTGTTCAGAGCCTCAGGCTCTTCATCTGGAAAATGGGATGAATGAGAGCCCAGGGAACATGGTGTGTGGATCCACATGGGGAAAGACCTTTTCTGTCTGTGTAACTGAAGGACTGGAGAGTCCTGCATGGAGGATGTGAGGAGGCAGGGGGTGCTCAGCACTGACAGGAGGATGAGATGCTGCTTGAAATTCTCAGGGAGAGGGCTTCGACCTCTTCCCTGCAGATCCTTCTCTCTCACAGCCTAGGAGAGCATGAATTGGGTCCTGTGTGTTTTTCTCCAGATTCACAGCTCAGAAGAAGGTCTCCTATACACACAAAGCCTGGCGTGCACCTTTGGGGATATGGGCTGCTGGTGGGTGGGGCCCTGGCAGGCAGTCATCCACATCTTTCTCCCCACGTGCATCAAGCCTGTGCTCTTTGCTCCAGGTAGACATCGCACTGGCCAAGCTTTGCCCACAGCTGGGGTTGCTGTGCTGCCTCCAGCTGAACACGTGACCGATGTGCAGACAGGAGGGGCTGTGGTGGAGATGCCATTGCCTCCATCGCCCCTGGACTTCCACCTGTCTAACCTCTGTTGCTGTTTGCTCATGTCTGGGGCGTGTCTCTACAATGGCTGTTATATGGCCAGGTCTGCCTTGTATATTTACACCTGGGTCCTGGTTACACCTGAAATATGTTATACCTGGTTACATCTGGTATATAATTCCAACTGGGGTCATGTAGAGCTGGTCAAGTTTGGGGCTTATCTGTGGCCAAGGACATTTGGGGCATGTGAGGGCCTGTTTGGTTCTTGTCTCAGGTGCTGTTTGACACTGCCGTTTTCTCCTGGTGGTCCAAACATCTGGGCGTTGTGTGAGGTCTGGGGGTTGTGTGAGGTCTGGGACCCAGGGTCCCTATGTGAACTGTCTGAGACATTATTTGAGTCTTGTCTGAGGCATGTGTTATAGTATATTTGGGTCATGCCTGAGGAACAGTCTGGTTCACATGTTGGCTATGTCTGTGACATTAAAGGTACCATATTTATATTCAACCCAGAGCCTGTATGTGGAACACGCTTTTAAGATCATGTTAGACCATCTCATGTGCATGTTAGAGCACACCATCTCATGTTAGGAATTGTCATGTATTTTGTGGCCATGTCAGGACATGTGAACACATGTCAGGGTCATGTCTCATGTCCAGGTCCATGTCAGAAGATGCCATATCAGAAGATGTCAGAGAGTGCTGGGACAGACAGGGTGTCCTAGGTCCTTGTGAAGCATTCTGTAGAATGCTGAGCTGTGCTCAGGGGTTGCGGAACATGTTGGATCGTGTAGGAGGCATGTCAAGGCATGCTGGAACCCTGACATAGCTCCTACACGCCATGTTAGGCAGTGTCATTGCTGTACTGTGCTGCTGTAGCCTGGTCTGGTCTTCCCTCCCCTCCCCATCCTCCCTTCTTCCTCTGCCCTTGGCCCTCTTCCTGCTATGTGGGGCTCAGAGTGGGAGAAGTGCAAACCTCTTGCTGGGAGCCTCCACCCACCCCCAAAGTCCCTCTTTCACCTGCCTCCATGGCCCCTGATTGTCCTCATTTATGTCAGCTGCCATTGCACCAAAGGACAAGTTCTTCTACAGCTTCCTGGAGCCCTGGCTGGGTGAGTATCTGCAGGTGAACAGGGTTGGGAAAAACGTTGGGGGGCCAGGGGAGGGAGAGGTCCTTGCCCATGGCCCTTGGCTGCCCTGCTAGGGGATGGGCTCCTGCTGAGTGCTGGTGACAAGTGGAGCCGCCACCGTCGGATGCTGACGCCTGCCTTCCATTTCAACATCCTGAAGCCCTATATGAAGATTTTCAATGAGAGTGTGAACATCATGCACGTGAGTTATTTGAAGCCAAGGTCCCACTTGCAGCCTTGGGGTGAAAGGACAACAGAGAGATCTAGTCTGGAGTTTTGGCTCTGCTGGGTGCCATTGGGCCATTGCTCTTTCTCACTGAGCCTTGGTTTCCTCATCTGTAAAATGGGGATAATAATCCCTACTTAAAAGATGGTCAGAGTAATGTAATGGAGTCACGTCTCTGGTGCATAGCAGGTGCCCAGAAGGTGTCTGTTTCTATGTTTCCATCACCAAAGCCCTGTAAACACAAGAGGGTCATGACAACAATTTCATAGTAGCTGTTGCTGATAAGAAACCACCTGAAAACTCATTGGTTTAAACCAATAAGTGTTTATGTTTGCTAATAAGTCTTTGGGACAGTTGGCAGGTTCTTCTGTATATGGAAGGGACCACTCATGGTACATGAGCAGCTGGGGGTCAGGTAGGCAGCCTTGCAGGTGTTGACTGAATTCTGCCACATGTTTGGGTTTTGGCTGGGACATGTTTGGGTTCTCTCACGTGTCTAGGTTTGGCCTCATCTGGGACCCCTGGATGTTCCTCCCTATGATTGTCTCCTTCCAGAAGGCGCGCCATGGTTCACAATGCAGGCAGGGTTCCAAGGAGTAAGACAAGGCTTAGCTTCGTTAGTTATTAACTCATCATTTTCACCACATTGTATTTTGACATCGAAAGCCAAAAGTCCAACACAGAATCAAAGGCAGGGGGATAAAATAGGCTCTGTCTATTAATGGGAGTTGCTGAAAAATCACATTGCAAAGGGTGTGGATATGGCAGGAAGGGAAGAATTGTGGCAAAGGTTTTGCGAAGTATCTAGGATTTTTTTTTTAACTTGCAAATTGATAAGTTAGCTTGTTACTGTTTCATAAATTCTTCCAGAAGGACGAGAGACTCCTGGGTCAGAGACAAAGGATAGTTTACTACTCATGACACAGACAGCAGCATGTGTTTCTTGTTAGATTGCCTTTTTTCCCTCCAAGCTTCCCAAATCCCATGGGCTGACACAGGTGGGCTTCTATAAGTGCCTGCTGACATCATATATTGCATTACAGAAGAGGAGCTTTAAGCTTAGGGAATCTGCTTTTATAGAAAGCAAAAGCAACATGTCTAGAGGGAGTCTTTACCTTATCCCTCAAAGTTTTTCTTCGCAAACACAACTCTGAGAAATTTTCCATGTTAAGGACATCAGTGTCTTGCATTCATGACATGCCCAGAAAGAATGCTCAGGACTCAACGAAGGACTACCTCCCCCAAAACAGGGATATTTTTGAAATCAATTTATAACAATGCAGACGGGGAAATCCAACATTTATTGATCACATACCATATGCCAGAAACAATGCCATGTGCCCATTCCATGATACGAGTATGTATTGTCTAATTTGATTTTAACAGCTCTGCGAAGGAGAGATTATGTATTTTTGCCCCATGGTAGATGATGAAACTGCAGGTCTGAGAGATTAGGGAACTAACCCAAGTTCACCCAGCTAATAAGTGAGCATGGCGAGGTGGAGCAGAGTTTCTAATGTGAATTATATGGCTCCAAAGCACATCATCTTAACTGTTTCTGAAGATTTGACAGGCAGGATATAGGGGAGGGTAATGAGTTGACTAATGGCACACAGAGCACAGGGGACAGAGCTGGAACTTGAACCTAGTTCTCCTAACTCCCAATCTTGGGTCTTCATCTCTTAATAGTAACAGCTTTTGTTTGCACCATAACCTGGTGCTCCCTGGGGAGGGGTCCCTGGGGAGAAGATGAAGAGGCTTATTCTGGGGAGCCCATCTTGGCAGTTGGGGTTGGAGAGGTGCTCAAGGGAGCAAGGAGCCTGCCCCAGCTCTGTCCCCTTCTCTGGCTAGGCCAAGTGGCAGCTCCTGGCCTCAGAGGGTAGTGCCTGTTTGGATATGTTTGAGCACATCAGCCTCATGACCTTGGACAGTCTACAGAAATGTGTCTTCAGCTTTGACAGCCATTGTCAGGAGTAAGTTCTTGCCCAGGATCTGGGATCTTGGGCTGTGGACCCAAAGTGGGTAGGTGGGAGAGGGAGGACTAAGCAGGGAAACCAGACAAACCTTCCTGGAGGAGTTTTGTTATACCTGATCATTGAAGGACTGGTATGAACTTTATCTTGAGGTTTCCAGGGAGCCATTGAAGGGGTTTGAACTGGTGGGTGTGGTCAGAGCTCTGTAGGGGACTGACTAATGTAGCACTAAATGGAGTTAACACTGATGCAAAGAGGCTAGGGTGAAAGCTAGACCATGGACCAGTTGCAGGAGGATAAAGTCTGAGCTTTGTGGACAGTTTCAAGGAGACGGGTCAGGACTGTATACTGGGAGGGAAAGAGAGAATAGGAGAATAATGTGCAAGCTATGCTCTGGGTGCCTAGCGGCATGGAGGCATCTCACAGAGATGGGATGCAGGGAGAGAAGAGAGCTTGGAGAATCAATCTCATGCTGATCCCCACCCTGTATCTGTGGGGTCATCTGTTCCTGGATACTCTGTTTACTGATAGGAGGTAGATCCTGGCTGCTGGTGGGAGGTGATCCTGGGGCTTCAGGTATATTAAATTGTTGCCTCCCTTTCTGCCCTTATCCTGCAGGAAACCCAGTGAATATATTGCCGCCATCTTGGAGCTCAGTGCCCTTGTATCAAAAAGACACCATGAGATCCTCCTGCATATTGACTTCCTGTATTATCTCACCCCTGATGGGCAGCGTTTCCGCAGGGCCTGCCGCCTGGTGCACGACTTCACAGATGCCGTCATCCAGGAGCGGCGCCGCACTCTCCCTAGCCAGGGTGTTGATGACTTCCTCCAAGCCAAGGCCAAATCCAAGACTTTGGACTTCATTGATGTACTCCTGCTGAGCAAGGTGGGCCTCTCTGGGATCTGAATTCAAGAAGTAGAAGGGAGCTTCATGTGAAATGTCAGATGAAAGGATTTGAACTTGATTAAGAGGGCACTAGGGAGCCATGGAAGGTGATTGAGGAAGGGAGGGACAGGTCAGAGATAGGTTTTAGAGATGACTGTGGAGTGCACCTAGCAGGGAGCTGCTAGGCTTGAAACTGACAAGTCTGAGAGTTTGCTCTATTTACAAACTAATGAGTTAATTGTCCACATTTAACTCCATACATCTACATCTATATCTATGTCTGGTCTATGTTTATGTTTTTGCCTATGTCTTTCTATATCTTTGTCTCTGTTTGAGTTTGTGTCTCTATGACTGTGACTATGTGTATGTCTTTGTCTTTGTAATTGGCCATATCTGTATGTCTTTTTATCTATGTCTTCATCTTTGTCTATGTCTACGCCTTTGTCCTGTCTTTTCTATGTCTCTGTTTATGTCTTTGTCTCTGTCTATATTTTCATCCATGTCTATGTGTATGTGTATATCTGTGTCTGCGTCTATGCCTTTGTCTTTTTTCTGTGTTTGTGTCTTTGTCTCAGTGTATGTCTATGTCCATGTTTTTTGTCTGTGTCTATGACTATGTCTTCGTCTATGGCTATGTCTATGTCAATGCTATGTCTATATCTTTGTCTGTGCCTGTGCTTGTGTCTGTTTCTGTCTATGTCTATGTTTATGTCTATCAGTAGTTGTGTCTGAGTGTGTGTCATGTCTATGTTTATGTGTATTTTTGTGTCTGTGTTTCTAAGTCTGTGACTTAGTCTATGTATGTGTGCGTCTGTGTCTATATCTGTGTCTATGTCTATGTTTATGTGTACTTGTGTGTCTGTGTTTCTAAGTCTGTGACTTTGTCTATGTGCGTGTGTGTCTGTGTCTATGTCTATGTGTATTTGTATTTGTGTGTCTGTGTTTCTAAGTCTGTGACTTCATCTATGTGTGTGCGTCTGTATCTATATCTGTGTCTATGTCTATGTTTATGTGTACTTGTGTGTCTGTGTTTCTAAGTTTGTGACTTTGTCTATGTGCGTGTGTGTCTGTGTCTATGTCTATGTTTATGTGTATTTGTGTGTCTGTGTTTCTAAGTCTGTGACTTCATCTATGTGTGTGCGTCTGTGTCTATCTGTGTCTATGTTTATGTGTATTTGTATTTGTGTGCCTGTGTTTCTAAGTCTGTGACTTTGTCTATGTGTGTGTGTCTATGTCTATGTTTGTTTATGTGTATTTGTGTGTCTGTGTTTCTAAATCTGTGACTTCATCTATGTGTGTTTGTGTCTGTGTCTATGTCTGTGTTTATGTGTATTTGTGTGTCCATGTTTCTAAGTCTGTGACAGTCTATGTGTGTGTGTGTCTGTGTCTATATCTATATCTGTGTCTATGTCTATGTTTACGTGTATTTGTGTGTCTGTGTTTCTAAGTCTGTGACTTTGTCTATGTGTGTGTGTGTCTGTGTCTATATCTGTGTCTATGTCTAGGTTTATGTGTATTTGTGTGCCTGTGTTTCTAAGTCTGTGACTTAGTCTATGTGTGCGTGTGTCTGTGTCTATGTCTATGTTTATGTGTGTTTGTGTTTCTAAGTCTGTGATTTTGTGTATGTGTGTGTATGTCTGTGTCTATATCTGTGTCTATGTCTATGTTTACGTGTATTTGTGTGTCTGTGTTTCTAAGTCTGTGACTTAGTCTATATGTGTGTGCCTGTGTCTATATCTGTGTCTATGTCTATGTTTATGTGTATTTGTGTGTCCATGTTTCTAAGTCTGTGACTTAGTCTATGTGTGTGTGTGTCTGTGTCTATATCTGTGTCTATGTCTAGGTTTACGTGTATTTGTGTGTCTGTGTTTCTAAGTCTGTGACTTTATCTATGTGTGTGTGTCTGTGTCTATATCTGTGTCTATGTCTATGTTTATGTGTATTTATGTGTCTGTGTTTCTAAGTCTGTGACTTTGTCTATGTGTGTGTGTGTCTATGTCTATGTTTATGTGTGTCTGTGTTTCTAAGTCTGTGTTTTTGTGTATGTGTGCGTATGTCTGTGTCTATATCTGTGTCTATGTCTATGTTTACGTGTATTTGTGTGTCTGTGTTTCTAAGTCTGTGACTTAGTCTATATGTGTGTGCCTGTGTCTATATCTGTGTCTATGTCTATGTTTATTTGTATTTGTGTGTTTGTGTTTCTAAGTCTGTGACTTTATGTGTGTGTGTCTGTGTCTATATCTGTGTTATGTCTATGTTTATGTGTATTTGTGTGTCTGTGTCAGTTTCTAAGTCTATGACTTTGTCTATGTGTGTTTGTGTCTGTGTCTATGTCTTTGTCTATGTGTAGGTCTATTGTGACAGATGCATTAAACCTCTAGATCAGAGCAGCCCATGTCTTGCTCACAGCAATACTGTTAGCCAGAGTGGGATTGTGGCACTGGCTCTTCATCCTCAAGTCAAATTTCTCCAAGGGTAATGTTTTCACTTGTATGTGCAGCAGAGTTTGCATCCTAAGAGAGGGGCCCTACATTATGAGTCTTGGCACATTTTCTATTTCTTCCCAAGAAAGAGAATGAGAGAGACAGAGAAAGAGAGAGAGAGAGATTGAGTGAGAATGGTAGCTTTGTGAGAGATGGTGTGCTTTGTTCTGGAGCATAAACAAATCCTCTTCAGTGAGATGCCATAGTCCTTAGCCTTACAACCCAAACGTCTCCAGGGGGATAAGATTCTCTAGATTTATCACTCTAGAATGTGGGCAAATCTTTGAAGCAATACTTAATCTCTAATTTCCAAGGGAAATTGCCATTTAATTCTCCTGTAACTCAGGTTGCCAGTAACTTTTTCTCAGAAACTTTTCATTAAAATATTCATGGGTCATTGAGTCTTCCCAGTAGGAACCCAAGAGGAGGCAAGGAAGCCAGAGAGGAAGGCCATGAGGTGAGGGCTCTGGCCATGGTGACCAAGAGGGGTCTAGGAGTGCAAGATGGACTTGGATTTCTGGAAAAAGGATGAATCTTCAGAGACTGTCTCAGATTAGACTCAAGAGCCCTTAGAGCTAGTGTGACTTTTTATGGGGGTGGGGGTTGGGGGGGGTTACTGCCTTCTCTCCAGGATGAAGACGGGAAGAAGTTATCTGATGAGGACATAAGAGCAGAAGCTGACACCTTTATGTTTGAGGGTGAGGGCCCCAGTGTGGGGCTAGAGAGGGGACCGGGATCTCTCCCTTCCAGGAACAGGGTGGGTAGACCCCCACAACCTTCCCATCCCCCTTCCCCCATCCTCCCTGAGGCCCTCAATGCATGGGTGCTGTCTACCTTCGGGTGCTGAAGCAGCCCAGAGACCCAAGCCTGCCTTGCTGCCCCCCAGGCCATGACACCACGGCCAGTGGTCTCTCCTGGGTCCTGTACCACCTTGCAAAGCACCCAGAATACCAGGAGCGCTGCCGGCAGGAGGTGCAAGAACTTCTGAAGGACCGTGAGCCTAAAGAGATTGAATGGTGAGTGCAGGTGCTTGTGGCCTCTTCCTGAGACCTTCTCATTGGCTCTGCTCCCCAGGTGGGGAGGGGAGGAAAAGCTGTTTTTGTTGATTCTGCCACTATTGCCTAGTGGGAATAGGAGCAGAGGACCACAGGCAGGACTTAGTACCCATCCTGACTGTCTGGGGAAAGGTTATAGGCCCTTAGGACAGAAAGACCTGGGCTTCTGAGAGAGTTGGTGATGATATGTGAGGACAGATAACGCCACTTAGACGTGTTCAGCAAATGAACTTCCCCTCCACTCTCTTCCTTTCCTCCCAGAAATATCATTTTTTTTGAACATCTTCACTTCTTGAATGTTTGCTCTTCTGTTCCCTAATTCCTACTCTCCAGTCGAGTCCAGGGTTTTATAAGGGAGACCTAGGGGTAAAATTCATCCATTCTTGTCCGGAACACTTGCACTGTTCATCCGTCCCATCCTTATTCAGCAAACACTCCCACACTGCATTTTCACCCCCACATCTGTGCACAGCATCTTTCTGTGCTCTGGAGACCTGGGAAGGAACCAACCCAGGGATCTGTTTTCCAGGTGCTCCCAGCCTGGTGGTGGAGCTGTCCCTGGGCAGGACACTCCCAGCCCACATGGGCAGAGATGGGATTTACAGTAAGAGAAGCAGGACTAGGGGGTATAGAAAGTGTCTCAGTTGAGAGCCTAAATAATGATCAGTAGATAATTGGGTACAGTTGGGGGGCAGTGCTCTAGGTCAAGAAGACTGCCTGGGGTCTTTGGGGGAGGAAGAGAGAGGGAGGAAGAGAGAGAGGAGAGCGAGGGAGAGAGAGAGAAGGAGAGAGAGAGAGAGCAGGGTCAGGACAGAAAGGAGGAGAAGGGGAGAGAGAGGGAGAGACTGAGTTGTAATGAGATGATAAAACCGGAGATGGTAGCAGGGGCTGGCTGTGGAAGCCTTGGGGAAAATGTTAATGGCTTCAGTTTTAGCCCAATGGCAATAGGGAGCCATGGGAAGTGTTTGAGCAGTGTAGGGACAGGTCACATCTGGGTACCAGGAAGATCTTTCTAGGGCTAGTGTGGAGGGCGTACTGGAGAGGACCAGCTGTAGAATGAAGGCACAGTGGGGACATTCTGAGACCAGAGCCAGGCCAGGGGCTGGAGGAAGGAGAGGAAGCATTGGAATGGACGGATGTCTTGGATTCAGTGTCCTCTCGTCCACACCTTTGCCCAGCACAGCAGTCCAGTGAGGAGGAGAAACATTTTTCTGCTTTTAAAACCAATAATTTTTCTGCATTTTTAACAAACAATTTTTTATTGCTGCATAAATAGATGCACATAGATTTGAAATACATGTGATAATCTAATACATTCATATAACTGGTAAAGATCAAATCAGTGTACTTGGGATATCTGTCGCCTGAAATATTTAGTCTTTTCTTTATGCTAGAAACATAACTAACATAAGCTAACTATTTAGGAATATACAGTACATATCGTAAACTATAGTGAACCCACTGATCTATCAAGTGCTAGGTTTTATTTCTCCTATCAAACCTCTTATTTATGCCCGTTAATCAACTTCTCCTCACCCCTCCCTCCCTTCTACCAATCTACCTTCTACTTTCATGAGATCCACTTTTTCAGCTCCCACATGTGAGTGAGAACATGCGATATTTGTCTTTCTCTTTTTGGCTTATTTACTTACCACAGTGACCTCCAGTTCCATCCATGTTGCCACAAATGACAAAATTCCAGTGTTTTTAATGGTGCATAGTATTCCATTGTGTATACATGCCACATTTCCTTTCTTCCTTCCTTCCTTCCTCCCTCCCTCCCTCTCTCTCTTTCTCTCTTTCTTCTTTCCTTTCTTTCTTTCTTTGAGACAGAGTCTTGTTCTGTCGCCCAGGCTGAAGTGCGGTGGCACGATCTTGGCTCACTGCAACCTCTGCCTCCCGGGTTCAAGCTATTCTTCTGCCTCAGCCTCCCAAGCAGCTGGGACTATGGGTGCACACCACCATGCCTGGCTAATTTTTGTATTTTTAATAGGGCTGGGGTTTCACCATATTGGCCAGGCTGGTCTCGAACTCCTGACCTCATGATCTGCCTGCCTCGGCCTCCCAAAGTGCTGGGATTACAGGCATGAGCCACCGCACCCGGCCGCCACATTTTCTTTATCCATTCAGTTGATGGGCACTTAGGTTGATTCCATATTTTGGCTGTTTTGAATAGTGCTGCAATAAATACGGAAGTATAGATATCTCTTCAACAGTTTTATTTTCTTTCTTTGGGATAGAAATTTCTTCTCTTTCTTTTCAGTAGTGGAATTTCTGGGTTATATGTTAGTTCTACTTTTAGTTTCTTGAGGAACCTCTGTGCTGTTCTCTGCAGTGGCTGCGCTAATTTATATTCCTGCCAACAGTGTGTGAGAGTTCCCCTTTCTCCATATCCTCACCAGTGTCTATCGTTGCCTGTCTTTTTGATAAAAGCCATTTTAACTGGGATGAGATGATATCTCATTGTGGTTTTGATTTGCATTTCTCTGATGATTAGTGACATTGAGCATTTTTCCATCTATCTGTTGGCCATTTGTATGTCTTATTTTAAGAAATGTCTATTCAGATCTTTTGACCATTTTTAAATAAGATGATTTGAGTTCTTTTTCCCCTATTGAGTTATTTGAGCTCCTTATATAATATATTCTGGTTATTAATCGCTTGTCAGATGAGTAATTTGAGAATATTTTCTGCCATTCTGTAAGTTGATTCTTCACTTTGTTGACTGTTTCCTTTGCTGTGCAGAAGCTTTTTACCTTGATGTAATCTCATTTGTCTATTGCCTGTGCTTTTGAGGTCTTAACACAGAAAATCTTTGCCTGGACCCATGTCCTGGAGTATAAAATCCAGATTTCAAGCAAAATTATGGATGTGGTTAAAAGAAAGGGTCCAAAAAATTTTATGATAAAAATGAGCTTCCTTATTAAGCTCCACCTTAGCAGTGACTATGGTCAACAGTTTTCTGTGTATTCTTCCAGAAAATGGCTATCCCAATGCCCACATTTATATGAATTCACACTGTGATTTTTATTTATATGAACACATACTGTGTTTTTCTTTGTAAAGAAAACTATACAAAATAGACGCAGTTCTGGACATTATCTCTGAGATCTATTTTTCTTAAAATACGAGTTTTCAAAAATGAGTTTGTTTTTAAATTGTTCTTTCATTGATAAATTTTAATTATATATATTAGAGGTACAATGTGATGTTATGATGTATGTATACAACCTGAAATTATTAAATCAAGGTAATGAACAAATCCATCACTTCATATATTTATCATTTTTATGTTGAGAACATATATATATTAGAGGTACAATGTGATGTTATGATGTATGTATACAACCTGAAATTATTAAATCAAGGTAATGAACAAATCCATCACTTCATATATTTATCATTTTTATGTTGAGAACATTTGAAATTTACTCTCTTAGCAATTTCAATTAATACATTGTTCACTAAATCACCATGCTGTGCAGTAGATCTCAAAAACTATTCCTCTTGTCTAACTGAAGCTTCTATCCTTTGACCAACATCTCACCCTTCTCTATCCCTCCCTCAGCCCTGGCCTCTGGTAACCATCATTCTGCTTCTATTTCTTTTCTTTTCTTTCTTTCTTTTTTTTTTCATTTTTGAGATGGAGTCTCGCTCTGTCACCCAGGCTGGAGTGCAGTGGCACGATCTCAGCTTACTGCGACCTCTGCCTCCCAGGTTCAAGTGATTCTCCTGCCTCAGCCTCCTGAGTAGCTGGGATTACAGGCTCCCGCAACCACGCTTGGCTAATTTTTTTGTATTTTTATTAGAGACGGGGTTTCACCATATTGGACAGGCTGGTCTTGAACTCCTGACCTTGTGATCTGCCGCCCTTGGCCTCCCAAAGTGCTGGGATTACAGGCGTGAGCCACCGCGCCCGACCTCCACTCCTGTTTCTATGAGCTTGACTATTTTAGGTCCCAAGATAAGTAAGATCATGTGTGTTTGTGTTTCTGAGCCTAGCTTACTTCACTTAGCATAAGTTCCTCCAGGTTCTTTCATGTTGTGGCAAACAAAATAAGTTTTCTTTCTTTTTTTTTTTTTAAGGCTGAATGGTATTCCATTGTATATACACACCACATGGAAAATGAGCATTAAATTATAAAACCAGTGATAAGAACAGATTCTTCTTGCACCAAATGAGATATTACAGATAAGACTAGCTTTTTCCTTGACAATCCTGCCACCCCACCTAATCCTTTCTCATTCTCCAAAGGTGTCTCCAGAGCCATAGATTTGTTATCTATCTATCTATCTATCTATCTATCTATCTATCTATCCATCATCTATCTATGTATCTATATACCTATCTACTATCTATATATCATCTATGTATCTCTGTTTCTATCATCTATGTATGTATCTGTCTATTCTCTATCTCTCTATATCTCTTATTTATTATCTGTCATCTATCAATCTATCATCTATCTCTGAATCATTAATTTCATAAATATATATTCATATACTTTTTGCCCTTTTTATGTGCACAAATGTATATATTTGTAACTTGTTTTCACTCGACAGTGTGTCTTAATGCTATTTTTTTCTGAATGCTAAATATTTTATTCCTTATTTATTCAGCTCATTCCTATGTTGAATGCACATAAACATTTTCAGTTATAGTAGATATTTCCAATTTGCCTTCCACAGTGTCTGTACTGATTTACCTTCCAGCCTGCAGAATGTGATGAGACTAGTGATCCCTATTTCCTCCTTTTGTGTAGCTGTATAGTATTCCATCGTGTGGCTGTTTATCTAAACATCTTCCCATCAATGTGTATGTGGCTTGTTTCCAACCTTTTGCTAAAAGTGGACATGAGGCAGTCAGCATGTGTGCACAGTGACCATTCCTTGCATGTATAAGCATCTCTGCAGGACAAATTCCCTGAAGTGCAATTGCTGAATCAAAGAACATTTGCACTGTACAATTTTAATTATCATTGCAAATCCTTTCCTATTAGCTGAGTTTGATGGCACAAGTTTTCCCATAACTTTACCAATACTACTAATGTATTATTAAATTTTAAAATCTATGCCAATCTTCATATTTCTTCTTTTGATGGACATTGTTTTAAATAAGAGTGAGGTTGAACATCTCTTTCACGTGTTGATGTTTGTTTCTTTTTATGGAAGTGGTTCCTTTATTTTTTTGCTCTTTTTCTTTGGATTCTTTAAAAATATTTACTTTTAAGAATGTGTATTAAAATTGATTTTTTTTTTTTGAGATGCAGTCTCTATCGCCCAGGTTGGAGTGCAGTGGTGTGATCTCAGCTCACTGCAACCTCCACCTCCCAGGTTCAAGCCATTCTCTTGCCTCAGCCTCCCGAGTAGCTGGGACTACAGGTGCCCTCCACCATACCCCGCTAAGTTTTTGTATTTTTAGTAGAGACGGGGTTTCACTGTGTTAGCTAGGATGGTCTCGATCTCCTCATGTTGTGATCCACCTGCCTTAGCCTCCCAAAGTGCTGGGATTACAGGCATGAGCCACCACGCCCAGCCAAAATTGATTTTTTTTTTTCTGTCTTGGGTTGCAAAATATTGCCTTTCAACTTTTGGAGGGTACTTTTCATTACTATCCTTTATCTGCAAAAACTACCATCTTGAGCATATTCAACTTCTGTGAAGTTAAATTGATCCACTTTTTTCTTTTACAACTGTAAAATCCATCAGTTTCCCAGGATTTTGGTTTGAGCAGGGGCTGTCTTTATCAAATGTGAAGTTTTCACTTATTCTCATGTCTTTTTCTGAGCTCTCCCTCATGTTCCATGGGTCTGTTTTCTCATTTTTGCCACAGTGCCACACTATTTTTATTCTTGCGACTTTGTAACAATTCTTGTTAAAAGTTTATTTTATTGCGGGGAGAAAAGGTCTCACTTGCAAACAGAGAGAAGCTGGAGAATTGTGTCTTTGCTCCCTTGATAAGGATTGGGGCTGGGGTGTTTCCTTAGGGACGACCTGGCCCATTTGCCCTTCCTGACCATGTGCATGAAGGAGAGCCTGCGGCTGCATCCCCCAGTCCCGGTCATCTCCCGCCATGTCACCCAGGACATTGTGCTCCCAGACGGCCGGGTCATCCCCAAAGGTGCTCACAGCCTCACGGGGAGGAGTCTCCTGGGTAGGAAGAGGGGCCCCTCAGTGAAGGAGGCCTTCTCCTGACTGCTCCCTTCTCTCCCACAGGCATTATCTGCCTCATCAGTGTTTTCGGAACCCATCACAACCCAGCTGTGTGGCCGGACCCTGAGGTGCGGGGCCCCTCTCTCTGTTTTTGTCCATTCCAAGGCTCCTAGAGGAGGGGGCAGGGTTTTGATCAGGAGTATCCAACATCACCTCCCTCAAAGACACACACAACTGTCTGTCTCTCCAAGGCTGGCGGACTGGGAGACCCCACCCAACAACCCTTCTTGGTCTCACCTCCAGGTCTACGACCCCTTTCGCTTTGACCCAGAGAACATCAAGGAGAGGTCACCTCTGGCTTTTATTCCCTTCTCGGCAGGGCCCAGGTAAGGGCGGCCTGTGTCTGAGGTGGGAACGGGTTGATGGGTGCAGGGGTCTGGGCATGACAGTGGGGAAAAGGGGGACATTGTAGATGGTCCAAGTTCCAGCTCTCTTTCCCTCACCTCCTCTGGAGTTTATAGGAAAAGGTCCATAGAGTACGGTTGGGTTGGTCCTAGAAGGGTCTGTGGTGTGCTCAGAGCCCCCTCCTACCCCACCTTGGTCTAGGCTGGGGGTTGGAGCTCGGCTAGGCTTGCAGGATATGCAAGCCCGCATGGGGATCCAGGCACGGATACCCCCTTCTCTATTCCTCAAACTGCTCTAGGTGGGGTTGGGTGTCCCAGGCCAGGTTACCGGCTTGATGGGGCCAGGATGGGGCTCCTGGGTGCAGTCAGAGTTCCCACCTCCCTCCCCTAGGAACTGCATCGGGCAGACGTTCGCGATGGCGGAGATGAAGGTGGTCCTGGCGCTCACGCTGCTGCGCTTCCGCGTCCTGCCTGACCACACCGAGCCCCGCAGGAAGCCGGAGCTGGTCCTGCGCGCAGAGGGCGGACTTTGGCTGCGGGTGGAGCCCCTGAGCTGAGTTCTGCAGAGACCCACTCTGACCCCACTAAAATGACCCCTGATTCATCAAAAGTGAAGCCTAGAATTACCCTAAGACCCTGTTCCACAGTCCTGTATTCCATCCTAGATATCTACTCAAAATAATTGAGACAAGTGTTCAAACAGAAAGACGCTTGTGCGTGAATGTTCATGGCGGCCCTATTCACAGTAGCCAAACGATGAAAACAACCCCAAGCTATATATTACCAGATGAAAGGATAAACAAAATGTGGTCCATCCATACAATGGAGTATTACACAGCCATAAAAAGGAATGAAGCAGTGATCCCTACTACACTGTGGATGAACCTTGAATGCATGATACTGAATGAAAGACGTCAGATGCAAAAGGTCACATAGTGTACTGTCCTTTTATACGAAATTTCCAGAACAGGCCAATCTGAAGAGATGCATAGCGGATTGGTGGCTTTCAGCAGCTGTGGGGAGGTGGGACTGAGGAGCGACTGCTAATCAGTATGGGGTTTCCTCCCGGGATGGTGAAAATGTTCCGGACCTAGATAGTGACGAAGGTAGCACGACACTGTGAGTGCACTAAATGCTATTGAATTGGACACTTTGAAATGGTGAATTTCGTGGTATGTGAATTCTACCTCAATCAAAAAAATTTGCTATTTTATCTCACATACATTTTTTTTCTGTCCAGGTTGTTCATATAATAATATGCTGTGAGCATCTTTCCATGACATTAAATCATCTTAGGAAACATTATTTTGTGGTCCTCAAAATGTGTGTGTTAAGTGTTCAAATCAGTCTTAATTTAAAAAAAGACATCATATTAGAAAATAAAAGTGTTTTGTCTCACTTTGTAAGAATTAGCTTCATATACATTGACTATTAGTAACAAATTGAGTTATTCTTCATCAAGTAACTTTTGGGGTAGAGATCTCATTTTCACAGCAATAGATGCACAAATATTCATGTAAGATACAGGTGTGGTTAGACACCTTTCATAGAACAGTTATGATCTGGAAATTCCACAGACACTGAATATTTTGGTCGTATTAACAGAAGTAGATCACTGAGAAGGGAGAAGGTGACTTTTCAGCTCCCCCAGGTAAATGCTGATTTCATCCTCACATCGATCTTACAGATTGTAGATGAACTCACTTGTTCAAGGTCACTCAGTGAAGGGTGGAGTCAGGGGTGAATCTGAGCAGTTGGCATCAGAGGTCATGCCTTATCGTATCAAGGACATGATTTTCAAAGCGAGTCTCAGCCCTAGGCACATCAGATTACCTGGGAACCCCTACAGACTCTAGACTGAGTAGATGAGACTCTTTGACAGGTGGTGCCTACATTTGCTTTGTTTTGTTTTTTGTTTCTTTTTCTTTTTCTTTTTCTTTTTTAATTCATTTTGTCTTTTTGAGACAGAGTCTCCCTCAGTCTCTCAGGCTAGAGTGCAGTGGCACAATCATAGCTCACTGCAACCTCAAACTCCTGGCCAAAGTGATGGCATTAAAGGTGTGAGCCCCTCCTCCCAGTCCCGATTTTTTTTTTTTGAGATGGAGTCTCACTATGTCGCCCAGGCTGGAGTGCAGTGGCACAATCTTGGCTCACTGAAACCTCTGCCTTCCGGGTTCCAGCGATTCTCCTGCCTCAGCCTCCCGAGTAGCTGAAATTGCAGGTACGCTCTACCGCACCCAGCTAATTTTTTGTATTTTTAGTAGAGACGGGGTTACACCATGTTGGCCAGGCTGGTCTTGAACTCCTGACCTCAGATGATCCACCTGCCCTGGCCTCCCAAAGTGCTGGGGTTACAGGCGTGAGCCACTGCACCCAGCCCCAAGTTTTTAAATATAATATTGTTGACCAGAAGTACATTCACTCGTGTAAAAAATAAAATACCCAGTGAGAAGTAATGGTGCTACATATGCCCTTCATCTGCCCAGTTTCTTCATGTGTATAAAGGTAAATACTTTCACACCTAGTGCATCCTTTCATAGTATATTTAGCCAAACAATATATGTAATTAGTCACCCTAATTACATATTAGCATGCCTACATTACAATGAGTGTGCTTACTTGCCACTCCTGTATTTTCATGGCTCATCTTAAAATCACATTAAATTTTCAGAATTTGTTTTCTTTGGTGCTTAGTTCAGTTTGTTTTTTGAGACAGAGTCTCATTCTGTCACCCAGGCTGGAGTACAGTGGTGCAATCTCAGCTCACTGCAACCTCCACCTCCTGGGTTCAAGCGGTTCTCCCGCCTCAGCCTCCCAAGTAACTGGAATTACAGGTGCACACCACCACACCCGGCTAATTTTTGTATTTTTAATAGAGATGGGGTTTTGCCATGTTGGCCAGGCTGGTCTCAAACTCCTGACCTCAGGTGATCTGCCCCCTCAGCCTCCCAAAGTGCTGGGATTACAGGCGTGAGATAGTTCAGAGTTTTGACACATGGCTAGAGTCATGTAACCACTACTGCCACAGCCACCCTTGGTGGTCAAAAACCTCCTTCCACTCCTGACCCCTGAAAACCACTGCTGTTTTCTGTCTTCCCATAGATTTGCTTTCTTCCTATAGTTGTGTGAATGGGGTTATGCCATTGGGAGCCTAGGAGTCTTGCTGCTTTCACTTAGTATAAAGCATCTGAGAGTCTCCCATGTTGTCTGTATCAAAACCTTGTTTCCTCTTATTGCTGGGTAGAATTTCTGGGCATGGATAGGACACTCTTTGTTCAGTGGCTGAAGGGCAAGTGGATTGTTTCTGGTTTTTGGATATTATGAATAAAACTGTTATGGATATTTGTACACAGGTTCTTCAGGGAAACTAAATTCCCATTGCTGTTAGAATGGGATGGCTGGGGCATATTATCAGTGTATGTTTACCATGATGAGAAACTATCAAACTGTTTCCAAAAGGTCCATGTCATTTTTAATTCCTATCAGGAATGTATTGAAGTGGCGTTGTTGTCTGGGGTAAATACCCAATGTTCATCATCTCACATCAAGGAAATCAAGGACACCGACACACAAGAAGTAAGCTTAAGAGTTGAGGTTTAGGCTGAGCGCAGTGGCTCATGCCTGTAATCCAGCACTTTGGGAGGCTGGGGCAGGTGGATTACCTGAGGTCAGGGGTTCGAGACCAGCCTGACCAACATGGCAAAACCCTGTCTCTACTAAAAATACAAAAAATTAGCCAGGTGTGGTGGCGCACACCTGTAGTGTGCTACTCGGGAGGCTGAGGCAGGAGAATCACTTGAACCCAGGAGGCAGAGGTTGCAGCAAGCTGAGATCGCACCATTGCACTCTAGCCTGGGCAACAAGAGCAAAACTCCATCTCAAAAAATAAAAATAAAAAAAAGAGTGGAGGTTTAATAGGCGAGAGAAAAGAGAAAAGCTCTCTCTTCTGCAGAGAAAGAGGGGCTCCTGAATGGGTCTTGTGGTTTTGTGGTGAAACGCATGGGGTTTTATAGACAAGCTTGAGGAGGCAGTGCCTGATTTACATAGGGCATGAAAGATTGGTCAGACCAGGTGTGCTGTTTGCATAGCATGGGAGGAAGCTGGCTATCCCACCCTGATCTTTTATTATGCAGATAGGGGTCTCTACCTGGCCGGTGCTTTTTCTACCTGTTGCCTGCTTTTCACTACACACATGGTGACAAAGAAAAGGGAAGAGGAAACCTCCAAGTTGAATACACCTGGCTTCCAGATATCCCTTTTCTATTGGCACAGCTGCCGGCATTTACCCATGTAAACTTCCAGCTTGCTTATCTGTGCTTGCAGCTTGATATTTCAGGCTGCTTTTTGTTAGAAAAGAAATGACTTGGGGGCTGCTTTTTATGAAAAGGAAACCTTACTGATAACTGTCTTATCCTCACTATCTGCCAAAATAATTTCTTTCTAGCTCCTGTATTGGTATGAGAATTCTAGTTCCTCCAAATACTCACCTGTACTTGATAGTGTCAGTTTTTTTTTCCAGTCTTCCTTGTGGGTATGCTGCGGTATGTCACAGAGATTTTAGTCTGCATTTCTCCATCTTTTCATGTGCCTTCTTTGTATTTTCTTTGGTAAAGTGTCTGTTCTAATCTTTTGTCCATTAATTTTCCTTGGGTTGTTTGCTTTCTTATTTTTGGATTTTGAGAGTTCTTTATAGATTATATTTTGCAGACAAGTCTTTTGTCAGATGTGTGATTTGCAAGTATTTTCCCCTAGTCTGCGGCTAGCCTTTTCATTATCTGTTTTTTTTCTTTTCTTTTTTTTTTTCCTTTTTAAGACAGAGTCTCACTCTGTCGCCCCAGCTGGAGTGCAGTGGCGCCATCTTGGCTCACTGCAATCTCCATCTCCTGAGTTCAAGCAATTCTCCTGTCTCAGCCTTGGGACTATAGGTGCCTGCCACCATGCCCCGCTAGTTTTTGTATTTTTAGTATAGACGAGGTTTCACGTTGTTGACCAGGCTGGTCTCGAACTCCTGACCTCAGGTGATCCACCTGTTATAAGTAAAGTTTTGGTGCCGCAAAAGAAATATCACTCGAATATAAAATTTTCTTTTTAATTCTCAGCAAGGAAAGGTACTTCTATAGAAGGGTGCGCCCTTACAGATGGAGCAATGGTGAGCTCACACTTGGACAAGGGAGGGGAAGGGGTTCTTATCCTTGATGCATGTGGCCCCTGCTGCTGTGTCGTTCCCCTATTGGCTAGGGTTAGACCACACAGGCTAAACTAATTCCGATTGGCTAATTTAAAGAGAGTGGTGGGATGAGTGGTTTGGCGGGAAAAATGGTTATGACAGAGCAGGTAATCAGAATGAGTCACGGTGGAGTAGGTAATAGGAATGAGTCAGGGTGGAACAGGTAATCCGAAAAGGCTGCTTTATGAGGAAGTTAAATTTAAAAGTAGAAGGCAAAGAATTGAACATCCTGACATATTGATTCTTTGAAAAGAAATTTAGAACTCATATCTAACACACCTGCCTCAGTCTCCCACAGTGCTGGGATTACAGGTGTGAGCCACCGAGCCCAGCCCTGAAGTTTCTTTTATAGAGCGAAAGGTTTTAATGTTTATGAAGTACCCTTTATCAATTTTGTTTTTTGTGGATTACTTTTACGCCATTATATTTAAGAACTCTTTGCCTAATCCCTATGTCCCGGGGGTTGAAATATTTCTGTATCCCTGGGATATACAGGTTAGGCAAACAGGTTTTTGTTTGTTTGTTTTTTTGTTTGTTTGTTTTTGTTGTTGTTGTTTTGGTGTTTTTTTTTTTTTTAAGACAGATTCTCGCTCTGTCACCCAGGCTAGAATGCAGTGGTGCAATCTTGGCTCACTGCAACCTCCACCTCCCAGGTTCAAGCAATTCCCATGCCTCAGCCTCCTGAGTAGCCGGGATTACAGGGGCATGCCACCATGCCCGGCTAATTTTTGCATTTTTAGTAGAGATGAGGTTTCACCATGTTGGCCAGGCTGGTCTTGAACTCTTGGGCTCAAGTGATCCGCCAGACTCGGCTTCCCAAAGTGCTGGGATTACAGGTGCGAGCCACCATGCCCGGCCAAAGAGTTCTTACCTGTAACAGTGAAATATGTGGGATGTAGAAATATAATTGAGTTTTGTTTATTGACCGTGTATCCTACACTCTATTTGATCATTCCTGTTGGAATACATATAATGCTATATTTCCTCAATCTTAAAACAGTTCTTCTCTTAGCCTCACTTTCATACTAGCTGATGTTTGTTATTTTCCCATGTTTAGATTCCAGCCATCCTAGGGGCTGTGAAGAAGCATCACACTGTGGTTCTGATTTGCTTGTCTCTAATGACAAATAATGTTGAGCACCTTTTCCTGTGCTTCCCAGTGTTTAAAACAGCATTTTCAGGCTGAACGCAGTGGCTCACACCTGTAATTCATTTTGGGAAGCCGAGGTGGGTGGATCACTTGAGGCCACGAGTTTGAGACCAGCCTGGCCAACATGGCGAAACCCTGTCTCTACTAAAAATACAAAATATGTAGCCAGGCGTGGTGGTGCATGCCTGTAGTCTCAGCTGGTTGGGAGGCTAAGGCAGGAGAATCACTTGAACCTGGGTAGTGGCGGTTGCAGTGAGCCAAGATTGCGCCACCACATTCCAGCCTGGGCAACAGAGTGAGACTGTCTCAAAAAATAAAATAAAATAAAATAAAATAAAATAAAATAAAATAAAATAAAATAAAATAAAATAAAATAAAATATAAAATAGCATTTTTTGTTTTAGATAGAGTCTCACTCTGTGGCCAGGTTGGAGTACAGTGGTGTGATCTCAGCTCACTGCAACCTCTGCCTCCTGGGTTCAAGCGATTCTCCTGCCTCAGCCTTCCGAGTAGCTGGGACTACAGGAGTGTGCCACCACACCCAGCTAATTTTTGTATTTTTTGTAGAGACGGGGTTTCACCATGTTGGCCAGGATGGTCTCCATCTCTTGACCTCGTGATCCACCTGCCTCAGCCTCCCAAAGTGCTGGGATTACAGGCATGAGCCACCACACCCAGCCTAAAATAGCATTTTTAAACAAAAATATTGCACGTAAATGTAATAAATTTAGATATTAATAAGCATTTTCCCAGATAAAAAGATTACATATAAATAAAAAACCTGGACGTGTGAGAGAATATTTACAGTGCTTATTTTGACATGGGATTGTGGATAACTTCTATTTCTTACTTTTGCTTACTTGTCTTTTTTATGGGAATATTCATCATTTTGGAATGAAAAATTTAACTATGAACTCTAAAGGCAAAGAGAAATGAATGTGACATAACTTAGGCTATATATCTAATGTATATTTATTTCATTTTGCAGCATTGCTTTTCTATTTTGCAGACAGTAATCCTCTCAGAGCTGTGCCTGGTTTGGGGGATGGTGCCAGGATGGGGCCAGGATGCGGGTCTTGGGCACAGTCAGAGTCCTCTCATCTGCCCGCAGGATCTGCATGGGGCAGGTGTTCGCCGTGGCCGAGATGAAGGTGGTCCTGGCACTCACGCTGCTGGGCTTCCGCTTCCTGCGGCACCACATGGAGCCCGGCAGGAAGCCAGAGCTGATCATGCATGCGGAGGGCGGACTTTAGCTGCTGGTGGAGCCACTGAGCTGAGGCCTGCAGGGATCCACCCTAACCCCACCCACCCACCTTTGCAGATTCCCAGGAATAAAATGTTTGTCACCTCTGCCTGAGTCTCATCTAAAGCCAGCAGGGGCTGCTTGGGGACTGCAAGGATCCAGGGTGTGTGTGGGTGGAAGTGGGGCAGGGTCTCTGAAGCCAAGACCCTGACTGCCTCTCTGGCTGACCACATGGATCGCAGGTTCAGAGCCCAACAATGGACTTTATCATGTGGGCAATAAGGAGCTATGGGAGGTGCTTGAGCAGGAGAGGGACCAGGTTTTAGGATGGATTTAAGG
Source organism: Homo sapiens (assembly GCF_000001405.40). Lineage (NCBI taxonomy): Eukaryota > Metazoa > Chordata > Mammalia > Primates > Hominidae > Homo > Homo sapiens. Next base: position 15,871,368 of record NC_000019.10, on the reverse strand, counting down.
GGCAATATTGAGGCTCTGAGTCCCTTTCTCTTCTGGGTCCCTGATGCTGCACAGGCAGCCTGTCCAGCAGATGCTACCTGAGCACCCCTCCCTCCCAACTGTGTGCCAGGTGCTCTCATAAGAGTGTCGGGGGGAAGGTGCATCCCCATCCTTTCACCTCTAAGTTCCTCCTCCATTCCCAGCACAGGCCTCCCTGGCCCATTTTTGGGGGGGTCAGGGTCAGGGTCATCCCTTTTGGCTCTAGAGATTCAAAGCCAGACCACTGGATGCAAACACCACCCAAAGGCATGGGATCTGGAGCCGGACTGCTTGGGCTCAAGCCTCAGCTCTGCTGTGTGACTTGGGCAAGTTAATTCCCTTCTCTGTGCTTTGGTTTCCCAACCATATAATGGAGACAACAGCACCTACGTCAGACTCATCCCAGGGACTAAATATAAGGGGCTCAGAGCTGTGCCACTTTATAGAAAATGCACTATAAACGTGGCCATTATTACTTCCTGCCTCAGAAAGCCTGGCTCTTGCAGATCTCAAAAGGTCTTTTGAGACTGTTATTTGTGTATCTTGGAAATCAATGGCAACAATTTTTTTTTTTTTTTTGAGACAGAGTCTCACTCTGTCACCCAGGCTAGAGTGCAGTGGTGTGATCTCGGTTCACTGTGACCTCTGCCTCCCGGATTCAAATGATTCTCCTGCCTCAGCCTCCTGAGTAGCTGAGATTACAGGTGCACACCACCACGCATGGCTGATTTTTGTATTTTCAGTAGAGATGGGGTTTCACCATGTTGTCCAGGCTGGTCTCGAACTCCTGGCTTCAAGTGATCTGCCTGCCTTAGCCTCCCAAAGTTCTGGGATTACAGGTGTGAGCCACCATGCCTGTCCGGCAAGAATTCTTTTTGTTTCTTTGTTTTGTTTTGTTTTTTGTTTTGAGACAGAGTCTTGCTCTGTCACCCAGGCTGGAGTACAGTGGCACAATCTCGGCTCACTGCAACCTCCGCCTCCTGGGTTCAAGCCATTCTCCTGCCTCAGCCTCTGGAGTAGCTGGGATTACAAGCGCGTGCCACTACGCCCGGCTGATTTTTGTATTATTAGCAGAGACGGGGTTTTGCCATGTTGGTCAGGCTGGTCTCGAACTTCTGACCTCCTGATCTGCCTGCCTCGGCCTCCCAAAGAGTTGGGGATTACAGGCGTGAGCCACTGCGCCTGGCCAAGAATTCTAACGTGTGCTCATTGAATGAGCTCTGCCTGCCCTCTCTGCTGTGCATATAGGAGGCGCTTCTTTTTTTTCTGAAAGCGATGGGGGCACATGGAAGTGCAAGGGGGTGGGAGCTGAAGGAAACCTCAGTGAATGTCTCCCAATAAGATCCTGCTACAAACATTTATCTCTTAGCATAAGGGACTCGGCACCACTGATCCCTGCAGACCCCTCAAACCTCCTTCCCAGCTGCTCTCCCTCCCTCTCTGCACTTGGCCGCCCTGGGCTCAATTCTGATTCCCTAATAGACTCTCTGTTCTTCTCTCACAGCCTTTGGATTTGCGGTTCCCTGTGCTTGGAATGCTTTTCTCCCAGCTCTTTTGTGACTGAGTCTCATCTGATTCCAGGATTGGCTGAAATGGCACCTTTTCATCCAAGCTCTTCCTCCTCTATCTAAACAGCCCCCCATCCCAGATAATTTTTATCCCATGATCAGTTTTTGTCATAGCATTTTATTGCTCTGAGAGAGTGTTTGTTTCCTAGTTTATTGAAAGCAGATAGGGTACGCAATCCTTTATCGTTTGTCTTCTTCATCGAGCTGCAAGTTCCATAAGGCAGAGAGATCTCTTTTGTCCTGTCTGTTCTTGTTCTGTTTATTCAATTATAGTAGATTCTGTTAGAGCTCTGCCTGTAACTCTTTGCATATTGCTGTTGCAATATTTACTATCCTGTCTTCCAACTGCCAACGTCTCTTTGCTGCAGAGCTTCCTGTAGCTGGATCTCACTCTGCCTCTCAGACAAGCCCAGAAGTGTTGGGAAATTAACCTCTCATTGATTGGTTCTTAACCAAGGACTGATGGTTGCTGGCAGATGAATCCTTCAACCCCCCACCCTCCAGCCCTTTTCCTGGAATAACTCAGTGCATTCCCTACACTGTCCTCTAGAGGTTCCCAGTGAACCGCACCCCCTCTCCGATTAAGGCTCACACTTAACAATAGGCCCAACACCAGGCTCTTTATCTCAATCTGCTTCTGGAGACCCATCTAAGACACCTGCTTGAAGAGAGCCTAGACATAATTCAGTAAATATTTCTCCTTCTCTCCCCTCCCCCGCCCCTTCCTTCCCCTCTCTAATGACCAATAATGTTGAGCATCTTTTCCTGTGCTTCCCAGTGTTTAAAACAGCATTTTTAGCCTGGACGCGGTGGCTCACACCTGTAATCCCAGCACTTTGGGAAGCCGAGGTGGGTGGATCACTTGAGGCCATGAGTTTGAGGCCAGCCTGGCCAACATGGCGAAACCCCATCTCTACTAAAAATACAAAATATGTAGCCAGGCATGGTGGCACACGCCTGTAGTCTCAGCTCCATGGGAGGCTGAGGCAAGATAATCACTTGAACCTGGTTGGTGGAGGTTGCAGTGAGCCAAGATTGCGCCACTGCACTCCAGCCTGGGCAACAGAGTGAGACTATCTCAAAAAATAAAATATAAAATAGCATTTTTTTTTTTTAGATGGAGTCTCACTCTGTCAACAGGTTGGAGTGCAGTGGCGTGATCCCCCTCCACTCCCCTCCTTTTGTTTTTGCTCTTTCTTTTTTCCTTCCTTTCCTTTCCTTTCCCTTTCTTTCTTTCTCTTTTTTCCTCTTTCTTTCTTCTTCTATCTCTAGCTCTCCTTCCTTCCTTCCTCCCTCCCTCCATCCATCTCTCCCTTCTTCCTTCCTCCCTCCTCCCTTTCTTTCTTCTTTCTTTCTCTCTTTTTCTTTCTTTTTTCTTTCTTTCTTCCTTCCTTCCTTTCTTTTTCTTTCTTCTCTCTCTTTCTTTCCTTCTTTCTTCTTTCTCTCTCTCTCTGTCTCTCTCTTTCTCTCTCTCTCTCTCTCTTCCTTTCTTTTCATCTCACTCTGTCGCCCAGGCTGGAGTACAGTGGTGCAGTCTTGGCTCTCTGCAACCTCTGTCTCCCGGGCTCAAGAGATTCTCGTGCCTAAGCCTCCTGAGTACCTAGGATTACAGGTGTGTGCCACCACGCCTAGCTAGTTTTTGTATTTTTAGTAGAGACGGGGTTTCGCCATGTTGGCCAGGCTAGTCTCAAACTCTTGGTCTCAAGTGATCTGCCCGTCTCAGCCTCCCAAACTGCTGGGATTATAGGTATGAGCCATCACCCCCAGCCGGTTCAGTAAACATTTCTGAATAAATGACAAACACGATCAACACTAGTACCACACGATATCGCTATTTATTTGTCAGAAATATTGCTTCTAAACTTCTCCCCAGACTCACCCCCAAGAAGTTGGCTAGAACTTGAGCAGTTGTCCTTTAATTGCGATTTATTTCATGAACAGGTAACATATGATTTTAACGTGGTTGTCATAAGGAAGTGCTGATAGGCAAGGTATCTGGGAGTGACGCTGACACAGTTGGGTCCCAGTCGGACTGTGCTTCTGTATGATAAACTCCAATTGTATAGTTCATTTGTGCTTTCAAAAGGTACTTATTAAGGCCAGGCACACTGCACTCCATCTTGGGCAACAGAGTGAGACCCTGTATCTTAAGAAAAAAAAAAAAAAAAAGGACTCACACCTGTAATCCCAGCACTTTGGGAGGCCGAAGCGGGAGGATCACTTGAGGTTGGGAGTTCAAGACCAGCCTGGCCAACATGGTGAAACCTCGTCTCTACTAAAAATACAAAAATTAGCCGGGTATGATGGTGCATGCCTGTAGTCCCAGCTACTTTACTAGGGAGGCTGAGGCAGGAGCTTTGCTTGAACCCGGGAGGTGGAGGTTGCAGTGAGCTGAGATCATACCACTGCACTCCAGCCTGGGTGACAGAGTGAGACTCTGTCTCAAAAAAAAAAAAAAAAAAGATATTTATTAAGTGCTTAAGCCTGTGTAATAGTTGTCTATTACTATGTAACAAGTCAGCCCCCCACCAAAACATAGTGACCTAAAACAACAAATATCAGGATTAGGGCATTATATTTCAATACATTGGAATTATTTAGAAGACTGTGATACTCAATATAAATATGAGAAAGAGTCTCACTCTGTTGTTTTTGTTGTAATTGGTTTTTGGGATTTGCCAAAAATTATTTGCCAAGGCTGATGTCAAGAAGGATGTTTCTTAGGTTTTCTTCTAAGATTTTAATACTTTGAGGTCTTACATTTAAATCTGTAATTCATCTCGAGTTAATTTTTGTACATGGTGAAAGGTCAGGGTCCCGGTTCATTCTTCTGCACATGGTTAGCCAGTTATCCCACGAACATTTATTGAATAGGGAAGCAGCCAACAAACAAATGAAAAAATGTTCCTCTTCGTTAATCATCAGACAAATGCAAGTCAAAACCACAATAAGATTCCATCTCACACCCGTCAGAATGGCTGTTACTAAAAAGTGAAAAAAAAAAAAAACAACCAAATACTGGTAAAATTGCAGAGAAAAGGGAACACTGCTGGTGAGAATGTAAATTGGTCTAGCCACTGTGGAAAGCAGTTTGGAGATTTCTCAAAGAACTTTAAACAGAGCTACCATTTGACCCAGCAATCCTATCAGTGGGTATCTACCCAAAAGAAAATACGTTATTCTACTAGGTAGACACATGCACTTGTGTGTTTACTGCAGCACTACTCACAATAGCAAAGATGTGGAATCAGCCTAGGTGCCCATCAACAGTGGATTGGATATTTTTTTCCTTTTTTGAGATGGAATCTCTCTCTGTTGCCCAGGCTGGAGTGCAATGGTGTGATCTTGGCTCACTGCAACCTCCGTCTCCTGGGTTCAAGTGATTCTCCTGCCTCAGCCTCCCGAGTAGCTGGGACTACAGAGACCCACCCTCACGCCCAGCCAATTTTTGTATTTTTAGTAGAGACAGGGTTTCACCATGTTGGCCAGACTGGTCTTGAACTCCTGACCTCAGGTGATCTGTCTGCCTCGGCCTCCCAAAGTGCTGGGATTACAAGTAGGAGCCACCGCACCTGGCCTGTATTCATTTTTTTAAAATATCATTTTACGTTCAGGGGTACATGTGCAGGTTTGTTACACAGGTAAACCTGTGTCACGGGAGTTTGTTCTACAGATTATTTTTGTTACCCAGGTATTAGGCCTAGTACTCATTAGTTATTTTTCCTGATCCGCTCACTCCTCCTACCCTCCAGCCTCCAATAGGCCCCAGTGTGTGTTGTTCCCCTCTATGTGTCCGTGTGTTCAAATCATTTAGCTCCCACTTATAAGTGAGAACATGTGGTATTTGGTTTTCTGTTCCTACGTTAGTTTGCTTAAGATAATGGACCCCAGCTCCATCCATGTTCCTACAAAGGACGTGATCTTGTTCTTTTGCATGGCTGCACAGTATTCCATGGTGTATCTGTACCACATTTTCTTTATCCAGTCTATCATTGATGGGCATTTAGGTTGATTCCATGTCTTTGCTATTGTGAATAGTGCTACGATAAATATTCTCATGTGTGTGTCTTTATGGTAGAATGATTTATATTCCTTTGGATGAATACTCTATAATCAGGTTGCTGGGTCAAATGGTAGTTCTGTTTTTAGCTCTTTAAGGAATCGCCACACTGCTTTTCACCATGGTTGAACTAATTTACACCCCCCACCAACAGTGTATAAGGATTCCGTTTTCTCTGCAACCCCCTGCCCCCAGCATCTGTTATTTTTTGGCTTTGTAGTAATAGCCATTCTGACTGATGTGAGATGGAATCTCATTATGGTTTTGATTTGCATTTCTCTAGTGACCGGTGATGTAAAGATTTTTTTTTCATATGCTTGTTGGCCACATTAAAACTACAAGTAGCTACCTAGCTGGGGAGATGAATGAAAGCTGTTGGGAAATGTCATTGTCCTCGGTGTCCAAGAAAAGAGTCACACAAATCATTTCCTCGGTTGAAATGTCCACCACTTCATCGTGAGAAGCCAAGAGCACTTTTCATGCTAAGCTGTGAGAAGCAGAGAGTGGCGGTGGGGGTGTCAGTACAGGGATCTGAGATTCCGTTCTCTGTTGCTTTGTGTTTCAGTCACCTTGGACAGAAATCAGCTTTGCAGAGGAGACTTGGTGCCCACTGCCTCCTGAGCTCAGAGACCCAGGTCCTCTTTCCGGCTGTGTTAACAGATGACCAGATATCTCAGGATCTCGGGCCACACTCTAAGCCAGGAAGGAGGAGCAGTGTAAGAGACTTGAAGGGGAGTGTTTCCTTCCAAGGGCTGGGTGGAGTTTCCCAGAAATAAGCATGTAGAGTAGGAGCATCTCAGAGCAGAGTGAGCTGCGGTCATGATTGAAGGCAGGGATGCTAGCAGCAAGGACCCCAAAGAATTATCAGCATTGGGGCCCAAACTTCCCCCCAGGCTGGGGGAAACTGGTGAGTCAAGAAGCTGGGACCAGAAACCCTTTTATGTGCAATTAAGAGCTTGGTGGGCCAGGCGCGGAGGCTCACGCTTATAATCCCAGCACTTTGGGAGGCCGAGGTAGGTGAATCACAAGGTAAGGAGTTCAAGACCAGCCTGGCCAACAGGCGAAAACCCGTCTCTACTAAAAAATACAAAAAATTTAGCTGGGTGTGGTGGCGGGCGCCTGTAATCCCAGCTACTTGGGAGGCTGAGGCAGGAGAATCTCTTGAACCCTGGAGGCGGAGGTTGCAGTGAGCTGAGATCGTGCCACTGCACTCCAGGCCGGGTGGTAGTGCGAGACACCATCTCAAAAAAAAAAAAAAAAAAAAAAAGAGCTGGGTGCTGGGTTGCCCCTGCACTCTAACCATAGGCAGGAGAAAGAGAGGGCATGGAGTTCCCATCTTTCTGAGGCTTCCTCCTCATTACTCCACATCCCAGAGGGACAGGCTTCTTTTTCTAGTCTTTTCTGAGTCCTCAACATCCGGTGCATTCAGCAGGGGTCCCAGAAGAGCACGGGGGATTCAGCGATTTCCCTGCAGCCTGAGAGGAGTCTCGGGCATCTAAGGAAAAGAGAGTGGGTATCCCTGAAGGGAGGGGAAGCTGACCTGGTTTCCACCCAGGGCAACGGGCACAGAAGCCCCATGACAAGACCTGGAAATGCCGGGCGCGGTGGCTCACGCCTGTAATCCCAGCACTTTGGGAGGCTGAGACGGGTGGATCACGAGGTCAGGAGATCGAGACCATCCTGGCTAACACGGTGAAACCCCATCTCTACTAAAAATACAAAAAATTAGCCGGGCGCGGTGGCGGGCGCCTGTAGTCCCAGCTACTCGGGAGGCTGAGGCAGGAGAATGGCGTGAACCCAGGAGGCAAAGCTTGCAGAGAGCGGAGATTGCGCCACTGCACTCCAACCTGGGCGACAGAGCAAGATTCCGTCTCGGAAAAAAAAAAAAAAAACAAAAACAAAATAAAATAAAAAATAAAAAAAGACCTGGAAGTATCTCTGCCCGGTGGTGTCTCTGATCCTGCTTCTCCTGGTTGTTCTCCTCAGTGTGCTTCTGTCCAGAGGTAAGGCGGCTGAATCAGGGGGACCAGGTGGCCCCGGGACAGCAGCCATGAGGGCTCCCAACCTGTAGGGTGGGTCGGATTCGGAAACGCTGGGATAGGGGTGGAGCCGGAGGGGCTGCTGGTCGTGTCCCTGGGGGTGACCATGGTGACACAGGAGGGAGCTGACCTCCTCACCAGCCTCAGAGGGAGGCATGCGGGGGTGTGTATGAACTGAAGGAGCAGAATCATTAGCGAGCAGGTTTGAGTCATTGGTGAGCACCTCCCCTAAGCCCAGCCCTGAGCTGGGATTAGAACCTCCAGGCTGCCTGCATTCCCTAAACAGTCCAGACACACTGGAATGAAATTCCCTCCTTACTACTCACTAGCTGGTTGCTTTTAGACAAGAAACTTTATGTCCCTGGGCCTGGGTTTTCTCATCCGCAAAATGAGTGGAACATTTCAGAGCTCCAAAGTGCCTTGCCCTGGGGCTGGAAGAAAGTCTTGGACTCTGGGAGTTGGGGGAACACAGAGAAACCCCAGGGAGGTTCTTTGAGTGAGGGGAGCGTCTAGAACATGCTGCTGGCGTCTCTCCCCAGTCTTGAGGATGACGAAGGATGTGCGGGATGAAAAAGGTGAGTGGGCGTCCAAGGAGATGCCCCGCCCCCCGACCCTTAATCACATCTCCCAACCCGCAACTCTGCCAAGACCTTTACCAGCGCGTTCTCTTTGGGTCTCTCAGTGACACCGGGGCTGGCAGACACCGGACATGACCGGGACTTCATTCGGGGTGAAATGTTCAGGCAAATAAAGGTTGTCCAGGCACGCAATGGTGAGGAGTGGGGAAAGGGAGGTGGGGGAAGGGCGGGGACTCTGCTCCTTTCGGCACTGGTGACGGGGGCTTCCTGTAGCAGGGATCTCGGAAAGGCAGCCCAATGCCCGGGGGATTCTTGGGTCTTTTTAGTGCTAGCGGAACATGGAGAAAGTTGAGGTGACATGGTCAGACCAACGGATAGTGAAGGGATACCAGAAAAGTAAGGCTTTGAGGACAGTGAGACCTGCTCTGCAGGTGTGGCTGTGTGCAACCGCGGGGACAGCCCCTTTAACCTCTCTCAGCCTCAGTTCCCTCAGCTGCAGAATCGGGGGGAAATGAGCAGTGTCATTCTCAAGAGTCATTGTCAGGATTCAGAGCCTCCTCTTTTCTTTTTCCCTCCCCTCCCTTCCCCCTTCCCCTCCCCTTCTTCTTCCCCTCCCCCTCCCCCTCTCCCTCCCCTCCCCTCTCCCTCCTCCTCCCTTCCCCCTCCCCCTCCCCTTCCCTCCCCTCCTCTTTCCCTGGACTATGTTGCCCAGCCTTGTCTCACATTCCTGGGCTCAAGCGATCCTTCCACTTTGGCCTCCAAAAGTGCTGGGATTACAGGTGTCTGCTGTAAATCTACCTCTGACCGGAGCCTCCACTTTAAATCACCACATCAGTGTGCTGCAAAATACAGTGGGTCCTCTGCAGCCTGTCAGATGAATGCAGCGAGTTTGCTAAAATGCAGATGCCTGGGTTCCACACAACCCTATTGGATCACATTCCGTTGTAGGTGGTACCTTTGTGCTACATATTTTAAGTAGAACTCTTTTCCTTCCCAAAACTAAAAAAAATTAAGTCGATATCAAAAAGTTAATAAAACTTTGAAAAATATTTAATTGACTTTAATGCAAGTTTAATTTAAATTTAAATGAACATTTAATTAAATGAAATGTTTTATAAAATTTCAATGGATAATTGTATAGATCCATGAGGTATAATGTGAGGTTTTGATAAAGGTACACATTGTGGGCCAGGCACAGTGACTCACACCTGTAATCCCAGCACTTTGGGAGGCCAAGGAAGGCAGGTGGATCACTTGAGGCCAGGAGTTTGAGACCAGCCTCGGCACCATGGTGAGACCCTGTCTCTACTAAAAATACAAAAATTAGCCAGTCGTGATGGCCTATGCCTGTAATCCCAGTTTCCTGGGAGGCCGAGGTACAAGAATTGCTTGAACCCAGGAGGCAGAGGCTTCAGTGAGCTGAGATCATGCAACTGCACTGCAGCCTGGGTGACAGAGAAAGACTCTGTCTCAAAAAAATAAAAATAAAAATAAAAATTTAAAATGCATACATTGTGGAATAATCATTCCACAAGCTAATGAACATATCTATCAGCAAATCAAGCTAATGAAACTATCACCTCACCCACATATTCTTTTGTGTGTATGTGGTGAGAACAGTTAAAATCTACTCTTGGCTGGGCGTGGTGCCTCATGCCTATAATCCCAGCACTCTGGGAGGCTGAGACGGGCGGATCACCTGAGGTCAGGAGTTCGAGACCAGCCTGGCCAACATGGTGAAACCCCTTCTCTACTAAATACAAAAAATTAGCCGGGCGTAGTGATGGGAGCCTTTAATCCTAGGTACTTGGGAGGCTGAGGCAGGAGAATCCCTTGAACCCCGTAGGCAGAGGTTGCAGTGAGCCAAGATTGTGCCGTTGCATTCCAGCCTGGGCAACAGGAGTGAAACTCCGTCTCAAACAAACAAACAAAACAAAAAGCAAGAAAGAAAGAAGGAAAGAAAGAAAGAAAGAAAGAAAGAAAGAAAAGAAAAAATAAAATCTACTCTTTGAGGAATTTTGGAATAGAGATGACATTATTATTAACTATGGTCACCATGCTGTGCAGTGGATCATGACCAAACTTACTTCTCCTGTCTGATGGAAACTCTGCATCCTTTGACCAACATCTCCTTACCCCACCCCCCCTCCCCCATTCCCTGGTAACCACGGTTGTACTCTCTGCTTCTACGAATTAGATTTTTTAGATTCCACGGATAAGTGAGATCATGCAGGATTTATCTTTCTGTGCCTAGCTTATTTCACTTAACAGAATGTAAATAGAACTTTTGAATGACAGGATGAGATATGCTGTATATGCCGTTGAGTCTTAGTATCCACCATTGCTACACACTATGAAGTCCAGAGAGAACTGATTTCATGAATCCTGAACCACAGGTCCCAGGAGAAAATACAGTTAGGTTCCAGCGAGACTCTCATCACAGCATTTTGTCAACTGATCATTACGTAGCCTTGTTTGTGTGTGTTTCTGTTTAAATACATTTTTTTTTGAGACAGAGTCTCCCTCTGCCACCCAGGCTGCAGTGCACTGGCATGATCTTGGCTCACTGCAACCTCTGCCTCCGAGGTTCAAGTGATTCTCCTGCCTCAGCCTCCCAAGCAGCTGGGAATACAGGCATGCACCACCATGCCCAGCTAATTTTTGTATTTTTAGTAGAGACGGTGTTTCGCCATATTGCCCAGGCTGGTCTTGAACTCCTGGCCTCAAGTGATCCACCCAACTTGGCCTCTCAAAGTGCTGGATTACAGGCTCTGTTTAAATACGTGTTATATATATTGTTAATTCATTCACTTTGAATTATGGTCAACAGCACTATAGCTCAAGCCTGAATGAAGCTGCTCTAATACACATATTTTCTCCACGAGGCACATCACAGCCTTCTTGCATTTAGGAACACTAGACAGTGCTTCAGCATTATGCCAGGGCCATTTTCAACAACAAAGTCATCGACAAAAAGCACAAGGTCAGGAGTTTGAGACCAGCCTGGCCAACATGGTGAAACCCCATCTCTACTAAAAATACAAAAATTAGCCGGATGCGGTGGCGTGTGCCTGTAGTCCCAGCCACTCGGGAGGCTGAGGCTGGAGAATCACTTGAACCCCGGAGGCAGAGGTTGCAGTGAGCCGAGGTCGCACCACTGCACTCCTGCCTGGGCGACAGAATGAGACTCCGTCTCAAAAAAAAAAAAAAAAAGAAAGAAAGAAAGAAAAGCACAAAAATGTGAAAAACATGGCACTTAATAGTCCATGAAAAGGACACTTGTTTACAGCAGGAAAGCTGAAACAAGACAGCAGAGAGTTCTTTTCTTCTATCTCAGACTCAAACTTTTCACTACTCTGCTTATCCGCACAAATGACCCCCAAAATGACATAAGTATCTGCTCTGGGGTTACAAATACATTTCAGTGAGTAGGTGGATTTGTAAATATGGAACCCACAAGTAATGATTGATGGTGTATGTGTTCTGTAGATGGATATAGATAAAATCAGTGAGAATTTTCCCTCCCACTCCTGAAACCTCATTGCCATGTTCCCCACCTAAGCCCCAACACAAACTCCCAAGAACTACTGGAATTAGCTGGGCTTTATTCCTTTAGGGCAGCCTTTCTCAAACTCAATACGATTGACATGTGGGGATGAATCATTCTTTGCAGTAAGGGGCTGTCCTGTACATTGCAGGGTGTTTAGCAACACCCTTGGTCTCTACCTTCTCCATGCCAGTGGTACCTCTCCGCTAGTTGTGGTGAACAAAAATGCCTTCAGACATTGCCAGATGTCCACTGGGGACAAAATCGCCCCTGACTGGGGACCACTGCTTTACACTTTCTTTCTTTTTTTTTTTTTTTTGAGACGGAGACTCGCTCTGTTGCCCAGGCTGGGGTGCAGTGGTGCAATCTCGGCTCACTGCAAGCTCTGCCTCCCAGGTTCAAGCAGTTCTCTGCCTCAGCCTCCCAAGTACCTGGGACTACAGGTGCCTACGACCACGCCCGGGTAATTTTTTTTTTTTTTTTGTATTTTTAGTAGAGACGGGGTTTCACCATGTTAGCCAGGATGGTCTCGATCTCCTGACCTCGTGATCTACCTGCCTCGACCTCCCAAAGTGTTGGGATTACAGGCGTGAGCCACTGTGCCCAGCCGTAGAGTTTCTTTAAGAAAACAAGGAATGTCAAACATATGCTTTTCTATTTTATTTAAAGGTAGTATATTATTCACATTCTCTCAGGCTGGAGTGCAATGGTGTGATCTCAGCTCACTGCAACCTCTGCCTCCTGTGTTCAAGCAATCTCCTGCCTCAGGGTCCTTAGTAGCTGGTATTATGAGCACCCGCCACCACACCCAGCCAATTTTTGTATTTTTAGTAGAGATGGGGTTTCACCATGTTGGACAGGCTGGTCTTGAACTCCTGACCTCAAGTGATCCACCCGCCCCGGCCTCCCAATGTGCTGGGATTACAGGCGTGAGCCAACCGCGCCTGGCACATTATTCCTACAGTTGCCTTTTCCACTTAATAGGATATTTATGGCATTTTTTTTTTTTTTTTGAGACAGAGCTTCACTCTGTCACCCAGGGTGGAATGCAGTGATGCCATCTTGGCTTACTGCAATCTCCAGCTCCTGGATTCAAGCAATTCTCCCACCTCAGCCTCCCAAGTAGCTGGGACTAGGTGCGTGCCACCATGCCCAGCTAATTCTTGTATTTTTTTTGGTAGAGATGGGGTTTCACCATGTTGGCCAGGTTGGTCTCAAACTCCTGACCCCAAGTGATCCACCTGCCTTGGCTTCCCAAAGCGTTTGGATTACAGGCGTGAGCTAACACACCCAGTAGGATATTTATGGCATTTTAGTATGTCCTTCTGATATGTTTCAGTAATGTCAAGCACCAACTGTCTAGGTAGTGAGTTCCCCATTGTTGGGTGTATTCAAGTGGAAGCCATTAGGAATGTGGCCAGAAGCGAGTGGGTGGGCAACTGGGTGGAAAGCTGGATACACTAAATTTGCTAATGGCTCCATCCTCACAGAATCCTCCTGCCTGCCCTGCCCCAAGAGCTGGAAGGCCTTCCAGGGCTCCTGTTACAGCTTCTTTTCAGACAACCTCACCTGGCCCCAGGCCATTGATTCTTGTGCCCAGAAGCAGCTCACTTGGTTGTCATCAACAGCTGAGCAGAATAGGTGGGAAACGGAAAGTTAGGACCCTAGTGGAGGTGGAGGAAGGATTCTACAAGAATTTTGGGATTCCTATCCTTATCCCCTTTGGGATCATGTACAGTACTCTTAGTAGGATCTTGAAGATCTGCCTTCCCTTGCCCCAGCCCAATCTCACTGCTCCGTCATTCAGGGAACGGACCCTGTGCACTGTAGTCTTGTCTCGAAGCTCTGATTCCTGTGGGTCACTCTCTGGACAGTCCTTTCCTTTGCCATCTGCATGGAGAAGTCTTATTCATCCCTCAAAAGCCCAACACAAACATCCCTTCCTCCACATCCTCTTGTAGCATCATCAGAGATTTTTTTTTTTTAAAGATGAAGTCTCACTCTGTCGCCAGGCTGGAGTGCAGTGGCGCAATCTCAGCTCACTGCAACCTCCATCTCCCAGGTTCAAGCGATTCTCCTGCCTCAGCCTCCCAAGTAGCTGGGACTACAGGCGCCCGCCACCACGCCCAGCTAATTTTTGTATTTTTAGTAGAGATGGGGTTTCACTATATTGGCCAGAATGGTCCCGATCTCCTGACCTCAGGTGATACACCCTCCTCTGCCTCCCAAAGTATTGGGATTACAGGCATGAGCCACCGTGCCCGGCCCATCAGAGATCTTTATCCCAGAACTTCATGCTGCATTGGGGTTGCCTGGTATCCACTGACTCTGGGGCTAGATCTGAATCATGTCTGGGTCTCCTAGGCCAAAAACAAGGCTTGACCTAAGATAGGGTCTCAAGATTGTCCCTGGGATTGAGTCTCCTGACAGAAGTCTTCCTACGGCCTATAGATCAAACTGCTTGCTCTGACATGCACACTCACAGCCAATATTTATCCAGGGGGTCTTCCTAGGTGCACACACTTCTCACAATTGACTTGTGAGAATATATATATATATATATATATATATATATATATATATTTTTTTTTTTTTTTTTTTGAGACAGAGTCTCGCTCTGTTGCCCAGGCTGGAGTGCAGTGGCGCGATCTCGGCTCACTGCAACCTCCGCCTGCAGGGTTCACACCATTCTCCTGCCTCAGCTTCCCGAGTAGCTGGGACTACAGGCACCCGCCACCATACCTGGCTAAATGTTTTTTTGTATTTTTAGTAGAGACGGGGTTTCACTGTGTTAGCCAGGATGGTCTCGATTTCCTGACCTCGTGATCCACCCACCTCGGCCTCCCAAAGTGCTGGGATTGCAGGTGTGAGCCAACGTGCCCGGCCGTGAGAATATATTAAGAGCTGGGGATCTCCATTCTTTTGTTTGTGCTGATGGGGAAACTGAGGGGTGGCTGAATTGTTGGAGGCCATTGCAACGTGTATTACTTTCAATGGCAAAAACTGCGATTATTTTATTTTTTATTTCCATAGGTTTTGGGGGAACAGGTGGAATTCCTTGGAAGCTGAAATGATGGAGGCGGGGGTGTCCAGAGGGCGAGAGGAGTAAGATGCAGAGACACAGTTAGATGGGAAGACAGACAGAGGCAGGCAGGGAATTCACTGCCCTCGAATCCTGACTTTGAATCCCAGATCTACTATGTATTAGGTTGGTGCAAAAGTTATTGTGGTTTTACCACTATAGAAAACAGTGTGGAGATTCCTTAAAGAACTGAAAATAGGGCCGGACACGGTGGCTCACGCCTGTAATCCCAGCACTTTGGGAGGTGGAGGCAGGTGGATCACCTGAGGTCAGGTGGTACTTGGTTACATGAGTAGGTTATTTAGTGGTGATTTGTGAGATTTTGTGCACCCATCACCTGAGCAGTATACACTGAACCTAATTTTATCCCTCACCCCTTCCCACCCTTTACCCCCAAGTTCCCAAAGTCCATTGTGTCATTATTATGTCTTTGCATCCTCATAGCTTAGCTCCCACTTATGAGAGAACATACGATGTTTGGTTTTCCATTCCTGAGTTACTTCACTTAGAATAATGGTCTCCAATTCCATCCAGGTTGCTGCAAATGCCATTAATACATTCCTTTTTATGGCTGAGTAGCATTCCACTGTGTGTGCATATATACATACATATACACATATATACATATGTATGTATGTGTATATATACACACGTGTATATATGTATATGTGTATATATACACACGTGTATATATGTGTATATATATACACACATATTATATATGTATATATGTATATATACACACATGTATATATGTACACATACACACATATGTGTATGTGTATATATATCTCACAGTATACATATGTGTATATATTATATATGTGTGTATATATGTGTATATATATATCTCACAGTATATATATATCTCACAGTATATATCTATCTCACAGTTTCTTTATCCACTCATTGATTGATGGGCGTTTGGGCTGGTTCCATATTTTTGCAATAGTGAGTTGTGCTGCTATAAAAGTGCTTGTGCAAATATCTTTTTCGTATAATGACTTCTATTCCTCTGGGTAGATACCCAGTAGTGGGATTGGTAGATCAGATGGTAGTTCTATTTTTAGTTCTTTTTTTTCTTTTCTTTTCTTTTTGAGACAGAGTTTTGCTCTTGGTGCCCGGGCTGGAGTACAATGGTGTGATCTCGGCTCACCGCAACCTTCGCCTCCCAGCTTCAAGCAATTCTCCTGCTGCAGCCTCCCGAGTAGCTGAGATTACAGGCATGTGCCACCATGCCCAGCTAATTTTGTATTTTTAGTAGAGACGGGATTTCTCCATGTTGGTCAGGCTGGTCTCGAACTCCTGACCTCCGGTGATCCACCCGCCTTGGCTTCTCAAAGTGCTGGGATTACAGGCGTGAGCCACCGTGTCCGGCCCTATTTTCAGTTCTTTAAGGAATCTCCACACTGTTTTCTATAGTGGTAAAACCACGATAACTTTTGCACCAACCTAATACATAGTAGATCTGAGATTCAAAGTCAAGATTCAAGGGCAGTGAATTCCCTGCCTGCCTCTGTCTGCCTGCCCATCTAACTGTGATCTCTGCAACTTACTCCTCTCGCCCTCTGTACACCCCTGCCTCCATCCTTTCAGCTTCCAAGGAATTCCACCTCCCAAATGTAACTTCTTCCTTCCAGGACTTCCTGACATCAACTAACCAGGCGACATCCTGGATAGGCCTCTTCAAAGATGGCCAAGGAAGTGCCCACAGGTGGATGGATGGCTCAGCCCCCACCTACATGTGAGTATCTCCTTTGACACCAAAGATAGTCTCCCCTAAGAGGCAGGCATGGCTTTCAGGCAGTAAGTTATGACCACTGTAGGTGTTTCTCTTTCATTCATTCACAATGAAGTACCCGTAGTAGCTCCCAAACTGCCTGATATCCTTTCTGTTTTTTGTTTTTTTTAAGATGGAGTTTCACTCTTGTTGCCCAGGCTGGAGTGCAGTGGTGCGATCTTGGCTCGCTGCCACCTCTGCCTCCTGGGTTCAAGCGATTCTCCTGCCTCAGCTTTCTGAGTAGCTGGCATTACAGGCACCTGCCACCACACCCAGCTAATTTTTTGTATTTTTAGTAGAGACGGGGTTTCATCATGTTGGCCAGGCTGGTCTCAAACTCCTGACCTCAGGGGATTCGCCGGCCTCGGCCTCCCAAAGTGCTGGGATTACAGGCGTGAGCCACCGCGCACAGCCGACATCTTTTCTATTATCCTAGTTATAGTTATTTTGTTACTTGACAAGAGTGTTCCCAGTTTGGTGCTTGAGAAATTATGGGTTCAATGTCAAACTCTTTTTTTTTAAATTTAAATATACTTTATTGATAAAAAGTGCTAACAATCATCTGAGCCTTCAGAGAGAGTCATAATCTTTTTTAAATTTTATTTGAATTTTAATTTCTGGGGTACACGTGCAGGATATGCAGGTTGGTTACATAGGTAAATGTGTGCGATGATTGTTTGCTGCACCTATCAACTCATCACCTAGATATTAAACCCAGCATGCATTAGCTATTTTTCCTAATGCTCTCCCTCCCCCAACCCCACCTCCTGACAGGCCTCACTGTGTGTTGTTCCCCTCCCTGTGTCCATGTGTTCTCATTGTTTGGCTCCCACTTATAAGTGAGAACACGCTGTGTTTGGTTTTCTGTTCCTGCATTAGTTCACTGAAAATAATGGCTTCCAGCTCCATCTATATCCCTGTAAAGGACACGATCTCGTTCCTTTTTACGATTGCATAGTGTTCCATGGTGTATACGTACCACATTTTCTTTATCCAGTCTATCATGGATGGTCATTTGGGTTAATTCCATGTCTTAAATAGTGCTTCAATGAACACAGGCGTGCATGTATCCTTGTAACAGAATGATTTATACTCCTCTGGGCATATACCCAGTAATGGGATTGCTGGGTCAAATGATATTTCTGGTTCTAGATCTTTGAGGAATTCCACAATGGTTGAATTAATTTACATTCCCACCAACAGCGTAAAAGCATTCCCGTTTCTCTGCAACCTTGCCAGCACCTGTTGTCAAACTGCTTTCTTTGTTGCAGGACTTTTCAGAGCCCTGAATGTGCTAATGAGCACTAAGCCTACTCAGAAGGAGTGAAACAATGTAGCATTTGCCAACTGTATGACTTTCCCATGGCTGCCATAGCAAAGTACTGCAAACTGGGTGGCTTAAAACAACAGAAATGTGTTCTTTCACCGTTCTGGAGGCCAGAGGTTTCCAGTCAAAATGTCGGTAGGGCCATGCCCCTTCCAAAGGGTCTGAGGAAGAATCTTTCCCTGTGTTTTCCAGCTTCTGGTGGCTCCAGGCATTCCTTGGCTTGCGGCGGCATCACTCCACTGTCTGCCTCTGTCTTCTCACGGCCTTCTCCTCACCTCTGTGTCTCCTTTTTTCTGTCTGTTATAAGGACACTCAACATTGGATTTAGGGCCCACCTGACAAACCCAGGATGATCTCATCTTGAGAGCTTTCATTTAATTACAGCTGTAAAGACCCCCTTTCCAAGTAAAGTCACATGCACAGGTGTTAGGGGGTTGGACATGGCATATATTTTTGGAGAGGACACTTTAATTCACTATACCTCTTGGCATTGTCTTGCATCCTCACACTGTATGCCTTTTTCTGCGACATTTCCTACCTCCTGCATCACCTTCCCTGACTGGCAAGCTGCTCTGCATGGGGCCAAGCTTAGGGCAGAAGTTGTCTCATTGGCAGATTGATCTGCAATCTGAGCACCTTCCGTATACCTTATGTGCACTGGTCATCATATCCTCAGAATGAATTTCTATTTTGTGAAACAGGAAACGGCAGCTCATAGACATTAAGACCGTAGTCAAACAGATACAAGTGGCAGAGCTGGAATTTGAATGGGGTCTGTCTGGTTTCAAGCGGAATGGACCTTGGAGAAGGGGAGAAGCCCAGAGGGATGGGGCAGTCGGATGGTGGCCCAGGAGCTGGAAGACTTTCAGCTTTTCTGAAGACTGTGGCCTTGTTGCTACTCCTATCTGAGCTCCACTTGGAAAAAAAGAGGGAAGGGGTTGACCAGATGGTTACCATACAATGGGCTCAATAAGTGGCCATACAATGGGCTCAATAAGAGGCCCCAATAACTGGGGGCCTCTTGAGCTTCAGGTGGCAGATCCTGACTCACAGAGGGCAGGAGTTGGGGCTTCAGGCTCTGGTCCCATCAGAAAGGGATGTGGTGGGCATCTCTTCACAGAAACTGGGACTCCAGGAAATTGGATGATAATGGAACCACCCCAGCCTGTGTGATGATGCTCTACCAGGGACACTGGAGCAACTCCTCTTGCAAATCAGAGTCTCCTGTTTACATCTGTGAGAAGAGGCAGAGCTGCTGACCTAGGCCCCTACCCCATAAGATTGGTGTAAACCTCTTGTTGTGCATCCTCAACCTCCATCCCTGCCCTCTCTGGGCTCTGAATCCCCAGAGGCAACAATAAAGGACGTTTCTCCAAAGCCTAGAGTCTTTCTTGGCACAAGGCTTACTCACTTTTCATGTCCTTTTCTGATTTCTGCTGAGTGGAAGAAACGCCCCAGGAGCAATGTTGGGTCCGTCTATCCCTGCAAGGGGATTGTAGTTCCCACTCCCATTAAAGCCAGGCTTGGCCATGCTCCTGCTTGAGGTAATGAGATGGAACAGGAATTGGCATGTACCACCACTGAGCAGGAACCTTAAGAGCCTTATGTGGTTATATTATTTTTGCTTTTCCCTTGCTACAAGAACAGCCCATCCCAGAGAGAGGCCACTTTTTCACACTTGGTCCTGCAAGGAAGAAGACCCTGCAGAACAGAGCTTCTGTGGACCCACTATGGATATAAATGTAGCCAAGAAATGAAGCTTTGTGGTTGTCAGTTGTGTGAATCCGAAAATATCTGAGACAGGTCTCAATCAATTTAGAAAATTTATTTTGCCCAGGTTAAGGATGTAACCCTGACACAGCCTCAAGAGGTACTGACAACATGTGCCCAAGGTGGTTGGGGTACAGCTTGGCTTTATACATTTTAGGGAGACATAATACACCAGTCAATACATGTAAGATTTGCATTAGTTGAATCTGGACGTGTGGGACGACTTGAAGCTGGGCAGCGATGCAGGGTTGGCAGAGTGGGGGCTTCCCAGTCATAAGTAGATTTAAAAATTTTCTGATTGGCAGGCCAGGTGCGGTGGCTCATGCCTGTAATCCCTGCACTTTGGGAGGCTGAGTTGGGTGGATCACCTGAGGTCAGGAGTTTGAAACCAGCCTGGCAAACCTGGTGAAACCCCATCTCTACTAAAAATACAAAAAAATTAACTGGGCGTGGTGGTGGGCACCTGTAATCCCAGCTACTCAGAGGCTGAGGCAGAAGAATCACTTGAACCTGGGAAGCAGAGGTTGCAGTGGGCCAAGATTGTAACGTTGCATTCTAGCCTGGGCGACAGAGGAAGACTGTGTCTCAAAAAAAAAAAAAATTTTTTTGGATTGGCAATTCGTTGAAAGAGTTATTACCAATAGAAAGGAATGTCTGGATTATGATACAGGGTTGTGGAGACCAAGGTTTTATTATGTAGATGAAGTCTCCAGGTAGCAGGCCTCAGAGAGAATAGATGGTAAATGTTTCTTATCAGACTTAAGGTCTGCATTGACGTTTATGCTGGTCTGCTTTTCCTGAATACCAAAAGGGAGGAGGCTGTAATGAGGCATGTCTGGCCCCTTCTACTTCTACCTTCTCTTCCCATCATGGCCTGAACTAGGTTCAGGTTTTTCAGGTTAACTTTGGAATACCCTTGGCCGAGAAAGGAGGAGTCCATTCAGATGGTTGGGAGGCCTTAGAATTTTAGTTTTGGTTTATGGTTGCTAAAATTTCAAGGTCACTACTTGTTACTGCAGCATTCCAAACCTAGGTTGACCAATACAGGGGACCAACTTCTATTTCACTAAACACCCAGATCAGAGGCTTTCTTCTGATGCAATTAGCCTGAAGCTTTCAGGAAAAAGATAGCTGAGGCCCTCAGGTCCTGATATAGTTTGGCTGTCTGTCCCCACCCAAATCTCATCTCGAACTGTAATCCCCACTCGTGGAGGGAGGGACCTGGTGGGAGGTGATTGGATCATGGGGGTGGTTTCCCCCACGCTGTTCTCATGATAGTGAATGAGTTCTCATGAGATCTGATGGTTTAAAAGTGGCAGCTTTGGCCAGGTGCAGTGGCTCATGCCTGTAATCCCAGCACTTTGGGAGGCCAAAGCAGGTGAATTGCTTGAGGCCAGGAGTTTGAGACCAGCCTAGCCAACATGGTGAAACCCCGTCTCTACTAAAAATACAAAAATTAGCTTGGCATGGTGGCACGTGCCTGTAATTCCAGCTACTCAGGAGGCTGAGGCAGGAGGATCACTTGAACCCAGAGGTAGAGGTTGCAGTGAACTGAGATTGTGCCATTGCACTCCAGCCTGGGCAACAAACACCTTGTCTCAAAAAAAAAAAAAAAAAAAAAGAGTGAGTCCATCGAGAGAAACACGTCATAGTGCAGATGGTTCTTAGTGAAAATTATTAAGGCAGTAAAAGACCAAAGTCTGTGAGGCAATGGTGGATCAATGTGAGGAACTGGCTAAGGGATGTGATCCTCCCAGTCCTGTTGCTGCATCCAAGCCCAGTTCAAACCCATCAGAATACTTGCTCAATAAATATTTATTGAAAGAATAAAAAAGAATTAGGCATGATCGTTCCTTGAACCTGGCTCAAACTCACATATTTACAGGAATATCACTCACAGCCAAACAGTCATGGCATAACAAGGTCACGATCCGTAGGAACACTTCTTCCCCAACAAATATCATTTTGGATTAGGCCATGGTCAGTGGCTCATGCCTGTAATCCCAGGACTTTGAAAAGCCGAGGCGGGCAGGTCGCTTGAGCCCAGGAGTTCAAAACCAGCCTGGGAAACATGGTGAAACCCCATCTCTATAAATAAAATAAAATATAAAATAAAATACTAAAGTTATCCAGGCATGGTGGCACTCACCTGTACTCCCAGGTACTCAGGAGGCAGAGGCAGGAGGGTTGCTTGAGGCCAGGACTTTGAGGCTGCAGTGAGCCTTGATCGTACCATAACACTGCACCCCAGCCTGGGTGACGGAGTAGACCTTGTCTCAAAAAAAGGAAAAAAAAAAAAAAAGGAATTAGGTCAAATAGGAACCTGGTCTGGTTCTTGCTCTCACTGCCCTGAACCTTAGGACTGCAAGGGAACTGAACCTGGAACTGTGTGGGAATGAGATAGATGCCTGCATCCTTGCTGCAGAGAAAAGAAACATAATGTTTGATTTTTCTTCCAGGGTCATGGAGACAAGCTATCAGAAACTAAGAGTAGTTTCTTGCTCCTGGTTCAGAAACTTAGCTTCAGATCAGGGTTATGAGCTGAATGTGTGTATCCCCAAAAATTCATGTGTTGAAGCCCTAACCCCCCATGTGATAATACTTGGAGATGGGGCCTTTGGAATGTAATTAGGTTAAGATTAAGCCAAGAAAGTAGGGTCGCCCAGTGGGGTTAGTGTCCTTAAAAAAAGAGAAATCAAGACCAGATCGGGAGTGGCAGCTCACGCCTGTAATCTCAGCTCTTTGGGAGGCTGAGGCCAAGAGTTTGAGACCAGCCTGGCCAACATGGTAAAACCCCATCTCTACTAAAAATATAAAAAATTAGCCAGGCGTGATGGCAGGCGCCTGTAATCCCAGCTACTCGGGAGGCTGAAGCAGGAGAATCGCTTGAACCCAGGAGGCAGAGGCTGCAGTGAGCTGAGATCACGCCATTGCACTCCAGCCTGGGCAACAGGCTCTGTCTCAAAAATAAATAAATAAAATAAAATAAAATAAAAAGGCAACAATGGGGTCTGAGCTTCATGGGGATGCAGCCGCACTCTAGAAAGTCATTTAATTACAGTCCGCCCTGATTGTGACATAATATCCATTTATTTGTTTACTCTGATGCTAAATTTGACCCAATATTTACAATCACAGATCCATTTTCTTGAAATTATTATTTTATATGTCTGATGCAGTAACTCATATTTTAATACATTTTCTCCCCACGAGAACAAAAAAAACACCAGGAGGGCAGAGGATCTCATCTTGCTTGTTCTCTTGTTTGAGCTGCAGGCAGACAAGGTTTGGTTCCTACAGCCTGGAACACAAAAAGTGTTGAATAAATCCTTAATACAGGCATGAATAGATGAGTTTTAAAGGCGTGGGGGTGAGGTAAGTAAAGCCATGAGCTGGCTCCATCAGTTGTACCCAGATCCCTACAAGACTCTACTGGGTGACACAATCATACTGTCTAGCACGTATTGAGGATTTATGAAATGCCAATACGTTTACAGGCATCATGCTGTGGGGCAGGTGCTATTATTATTGGCCTCCCCATTTGCAGACACAGGTTCAGAGAGGTCAATTCACTTCACTAAGGTCACACAACCAGGAAATAGGTAGGCCAGGATTCGAGTCAAGTTTATCTGATGTGAGCCAGGGTCCTGAGGCATGAAGCCACTTAGACTATTATACAAGTCACCCTCTGCCTGTTAATCTGTGTTTAAGAACCCAAAGAGAAATCCACAATTCATACGTCCAGTGGATCTCTGCTGAAACAAAGAAAACAATGGCTGGGTGCAGTGGTTCATGCCTGTAATCCCAGCACTTTGGGAGGCCGAGGTGGGAGGATCACTTAAGTTGAGGAGTTCAAGACCAGCCTGGCCAACATGGCAAAATGCCATCTCTACTAAAAATACAAAAATTAGCTGGGTGTGGTAGCAAGTGCCCGTAATCGCAGCTACTCAGGAGGCTGAGGCCGAAGAATCACTTGAACCCTGGAGGCAGTGGTTGCAGTGAACCAAGATTGTGCCACTGCATTCCAACCTGGGTGACAGAGTGAGACTCCATCTCAAAAAAAAAAAAAAACAAAAAAACAGAAAACAAACAAACAAAAACAAACTCCCAGAGAATTCAGTTGAAGTGATGTCATGGGGTCCATATACCAAGCAATTAGTAGAATTCATCTGAACCCGCCACCTCCAGCCCTCCTCCAAAACTCCCCGTGCTCATCAGTCAAAGCCCCTGGACACCCTTCCTGGAGGACACATCAGAGATGCGCTTGGCTAGAGCCTTGAGTGGCATCAAACAGCCCAGTGGAACACCTGCCGGCACGATCTACCAAACTCTATTGTCATAACAATCCCTGGGAAGCCAATTCTAAGTTTCATCAGTGAACTAGCCATGGGATTTTTCAATGACCCTTGAGGGCTCATTAAAAGTTGACACACAATTCTTATCTACACTTCATTTGTGTAAATGAAGGAGTCCCTCAGGATCAACCACAGAGCTGCAGGCAGCCGAGGTTTGATCCATAGCTCGGGGCTAAGATGAAGACAGAAACACAGGCTCACTCCAGTCCGGAGGAATGGTCCCCAGGTAGTATCCCCCTTAGCCTCTAAACTTAGATGTTTAATTAGCAGCAAGAGACATAGGTAGGAATTAGAAGTGGTCCTTCAGCTGGGCGCAGTGGCTCATGCCTGTAATCCTAGCACATTGGGAGGCCGAGGCGGGTGGATCACCTGAAGTCAGGAGTTCAAGACCAGCCTGGCCAACATGGTGAAACCCCATCTCTACTAAAAATACAAAAATTAGTCGGGTGTGGTGGCAGGCGCCTGTAATCCCAGCTACTCAAGAGGCTGAGGTAGGAGAATCACTTGCACCTAGGAGGCGGAGGCTGCAGTGAGCCGAGATCATTCGCTGAACTCCAGCCTGGGCAAGACAGAGCAAGATTCTGTCAAAAAAAAAAAAAAAAAAAAAGTGGTCCTTTCTTCCCCCAAGACACAAGAGTCCCAGAGCTCCACACAGTTAAATGCTACAGAAAGCACCATGGCATCTTGGCCCTCAGAAGCAAAGCGTGGAAAACACTTGGTGCCAGCTGTGGCCCCCGTGAACTTCCCATGCTGCTGGAGTAGATGGAGGGGAAGGTTTCCAGAGCTCTGAGAGGGGCCGAGGCTTCTACTTCTACTGTAATGCTAACTGCATTATGTCATATAAGTTACTTAATAGACATATCCCTTGTTCCTTCCACTAGACTGGCCACCTGAGGAGGCAGGACCACTTTGGACTCGCTCATCATTGTGTCCCACCACCCAGCATCTAATAGGTGCTCAATAAATACTTGCTGAGAAAACAAGCAAATGACTCTCTCATTCCAATGCTATGGAGATTTGTGAGTTGCAAAATCCTTTTGAAATGTGAATGGCTATTCCTGAGTTTATTTGAAATTCATTTTCCAGGTGTGATTGACCTCATTTGAACCCACTGTTCCTTCTGTGTTTATCATGGACAGACAGTATCACCCGTGTAGATGAGTGTAATCTTGGGGCTGTTGGGACCCTTTGAAATCAGACCCCTGACTGTCTATTTTGGCTCCATGAGCCACTCCCCACTCCTTGCTGCCCAAGGCCCCTGTCATATTGTTTGTCTGTCTTTCTTTCTTCCTCTTCTCCTTCTTCTTTTTTTCTTTTTTGAGATGGAGTCTTGCTCTATTGCCTAGGTTGGATGATCTCAGATCACTGTAACCTCCGCCTCCTGGGTTCAAGAGATTCTCCTGCCTCAGCCTCCTGAGTAGCTGGGATTACAGGCATGCATCACCACACCGGGCTAATTGTCCTACTTTCAGTGGAGACGGAGTTACACCATGTTGGCCAGGCTGGTCTCGAACCCCTGGGCTCAAGTGTTCCACCCACCTCAGCCTCCCAAAGTGCTGGGATTACGGGTGTGAGCAACTGTGCCCGGCCCATATTGGCTTTCTTCTCCTTCTTCTTCTCATCCTCCTCCTTCTTCCTTCTCCCTCTTCTTCCTCTTCTTCTCCTTCTGCTTCTCCTTCTTCTTCTCCTTCTCCTTCTCTTTCTCCTTCTCTTTCTCCTTCTCCTTCTCCTTCTCCTTCCCCTTCCCCTTCCCCTTCCCCTTCCTCTCCTTCTCCTTCTCCTTCTCCTTCTTCTTCTCCTTCTTGAGATGGAGTCTCACTCTGTCGCCCAGGCTGGAGTGCAGTGGCACAATCTCAGCTCACTGCAACCTCTGCCCCCTGGGTTCAAGCAATTCTCCTGCCTCAGCCTCCTGAGTAGCTGGGATTACAGGTGTGCATTAACATGCCTGGCTAATTTTCCTATTTTTAATAGAGACAGAATTTCATCATGTTGGCCAGGCTGGTCTTGAACTCCTGACCTCAAGTGATCCACCCATCTCGGCCTCCCAAAGTGCTGGGATTACAGGCATGAGCCATCACACCCGGCCCATATTGTCTTTCTTCTTTTCCTTGGATGGGCAATCATCTTCCCACCTCGGGTCGTTGGAACATGCTCTTCCCTCTGCCTGGTGCACCCTTTCCTCTCCCTCTGCTCCTGGAGCAGAATGTCTTGGCTGAAATGCCATCTCCTCCCCGAAGTCCCAACCAGGTGTCCTGATTTCTGAGGATGAGGTTGTTCATCCCCCATAGCCACTGCCATCTCTTCCTCACACTCCTCATGCTCTTTTCTAAAACTCAGCCAATAATTCATCCTCCACCTTCTCCGTCCAGTGTAAAGTCCACAAGAGCAGGTATCATGTCTGCCCTGGCCACTGCAGTCATCCCAGCTCCTGGCTCAGTGATGAGCTCAGATGTTCTGGGAAGATCTGTTAAATGTGTGGTAGCTGGGGCGGAACTTCCTCTAAGCTGGAGATAAGTTATTTCATGCACAGTCTTTATGTACTGAGGATGGTCATTTTTATCATCTTAAGCAGCTACTGTGGTGGTTTTGATGTCTTCTTGTTATCAAGCAGCAGATCAAACATGAGGTTTCCTGCCTCTATTTACTGTCAAGCAGCCGTTTATCTCAGGAAGAGGAGACCTCTTTAGCAAGATGTTTTTCTTTAATTGAAAAAAAATTTTTTGTAAAGTTGGGGTCTTACCATGTTGCCCAGGCTGGTCTTGAACTCCTGAACTCAAGTGATCCTCCCATCTTGGCCTCCCAAAGTGCTGGGATTATGGGTGTGAACCACTGTGCCTGGAGCTTTTATAACTTGTTTTTTTTTTTTTTTTTTAATTTAGAGGCTGGGTGGGGTGGCTCACGCGTAATCCTGGCACTTTGGGAGGCTGAGGCAGGTGGATCACCTGAGGTCAGGAGTTCGAGACCAGCCTGGCCAACATGGTGAGACTCCGTTTCTACTAAAAATACAAAAAACTAGCCAGGCGTGGTTGTGTGCGCCTGTAACCCCAGCTACTCGAGAGGCTGAGGCAGGAAAATCACTTGAACTCGGTAGGTGGAGGTTGCAGTGAGCCGAGATCACGCCATTGCACTCCAGCCTTGGCAACAAGAGCGAAACTCTAGCTCAAAAAAAAAAAAAAAAAAAAAAAGACAAGCTCTCAGTCCATTCCCAGCCTGGAGTGCGGTGGCGCAATCACAGCTCACTGCAGCCTTGACTTTCCAGGCTCAAGTGATCTTCCTGCCTCAGCCTCCTAAGCAGCTGGGACCACAGGCAGATATTTCACCTTCCCTGTTAGCTGTATTCCTCAGTATTTTATTTTTTTGTGTGGCTATTGTGAATGAGATGGTGTTTTTGATTTGGCACTCAGCTTGGACATTGTTGGTTTATAGAAATCCTATTGAGTTTTTGCACATTGGTTTTTATTCTGAAACTTTACCAGTTGTTTATCAGATTGAGGAGCTTTTGGGCAGAGACTATGGAGTTTTCTAAGTATAAAATCGTATCATCTGCAAACAGAGATAGTTTGACTTCCTCTCTTCCTATTTGGATGTCTTTTATTTCTTTCTCTTGCCTGATTGCTCTGGCTAGGACTTTTAGTACTATGTCGAATAGGAGTGATAAGAGTGGGTATCCTTGTCTTATTCTGGTTCTCAAAGGGAATACTTCCAGCTTTTGCTCATTCAGTATGATGTTGGCTGTGGGTTGACCATAGACGGCTCTTATTATTTTCAGGTATGTTCCTTTAATGCCTTATTTGTTGAGGGTTTTAACATGATCTCTTCACTTTCTTGCCAACACTTGTTATCGTTCATCTTTTTGATGTTGATCAAAGCACACACAATTTCAGTTAGGCAGGAGGACCAAGAGATCTAGTGTACATGATGGTGACTATAGTTATAACAACCTATTGTATATTTGAAAATTATTGAGAGTAGATTTTAAGCATTCTCACCACCAAACGAAATGATAAATGTGTGAGGTAATGCATATATTAACTGGCTTGATGGAGCCATTCCACTATGTATACATATATCCAAATGTGTTGTGCAGCATAAATATATACAAATAAATAAATATATTTTTATTTCCAATAAAATACACTTATTTCATGTATCTGATCCCAAACACATGAAATCTGGCAGATACTCTTTTTTAAGTTGACATATTCGATAAATGGCACTGGGTTAACTGGCTAGCCACATGGATATTTTATTTATTTATTCATTCATTCATTTAGAAACAGAGTGTCGCTCTGTCACCCAGGCTGGAGTGTAGTGGCGTGATCTTGGCTCATTGCAACCTCAGCCTCCTGGATTCAAGTGATTCTCGTGCCTCAGCCTCCCAAGTAGCTAGGAGGCGTGCACCACCATGCCTGGCTAATTTTTGTATTTTTAGTAGAGATGGGGTTTCGCCATGTTGCCCAGGCTGATCTCGAACTCCTGGCCTCAAGTGATCTGCCTGCCTGGGCCTCCCAAAGTGCTGGGATTACAGGTGTGAACCACTGCCCTTGGCCCATGTGCATATTTTCTTTGTCAATTTAAAAATGAGCATCTGCCAGATTTCATGTGTTTGGGATCGGATAAATGTATTTGGGATCAGATTGAATAAATGAGGAAAATCGTATCATAGTCCCTGACTCAAGGGCAGGGTGCAGTGAAGGGAAGTAGATGGAGAAGATGTTTCTTGAGGGAGGGATGGGTCTCATCCACGCCTCTTTGCAGCTGTGAGCACAGGTTCTGGTGCAAAGGAAGGGCTGATGCTCGTGTGGGGAATGTATCTTCTGGAACTCATATTTTTTGATCATCCCTGGGTGAAGCCCAGTGGAGAGATTCAGAAATGCAAGGGTCCTGCCTGGGAGAAAAGCTGAGTGGAGCCACAAGGCTGAGGTTCAAAGGGACTTTTTGCTTATTTGCCACCCACTGCTGCGTACATAGCAGGCGCTCAACAAATATTTGTGGGACAAATGAAGGAATAATGTGCACAGTTCAAGAGAAAAATGAAATGGGGAAAGACGAAGGGGCGTTCACCCCAACCAAGCACCTACTCTGGGCCAGCATCCTCACACATAGTGTGTCTCTTACTGGAATAATCCAGGCCCACTTTACAAAATGGAAAATGAGGTCCAGAGAGGCCAAGCTGCTGGTCCAGGGTCACAGCGCCCCCACCAGGTAGGGCCGCAAGATGCAGCTGAACTGCCACCTTAGTGTCCCCACCCCAGCCCCTGTCTCACAACTCACCTCGTTTCCTGTGAACCCAGCCCCATGTCTCATTTCTCTGGGCACCCAGAAGCAGCAACAAAATACTTTTCTCTGGCCAGGCACGGTGTCTCACGCCTGTAATCCCAGCATTTTGGGAGGCCCAGGCGGGTGGATCACTTGAGGTCAGGAGTTCAATACCAGCCTGTCCAATATGGTGAAACCCCGTCTCTACTAAAAATACAAAAATCAGCTAGGCGTGGTGGCGGGCGCCTGTAATCCCAGCTACTCGGGAGGCTGAGGCATGAGAATCACTTGAACTTGGGAGGCGGAGGTTGCAGTGAGCCACGATAACATCACTGCACTCCAGCCTGGGTGACAGAGCGAGCCTATGTCTCAAAAACAAAAAAAAAAGAAAAAGAAAGAAAGAAAGAAAGAAAAATGATAGCAGCATCCAGAGGGTAAAAAACACATCAAGTAATAGAATGTATAAATTAGTTATACTTGTTTTGGCCGGGTGCGGTGGCTCATGCCTGTAATCCCAGCACTTTGGGAGGCTGAGGCAGTAAGATCCCTGAGGTCAGGAGTTTGAGATCAGACTGGCCAAAATGGCCAAACCCTATCGCTACTAAAAATACAGAAGTTAGCTAGGCGTGGTGGCGCGTGCCTGTAGTCTCAGCTACTGAGGAGGCTGAGGCAGGAGAATCGCTTGAACCCGGGAGGTGGAGGTTGCAGTGAACTGAGATGGTGCCACTGCACTCCAGCCTGGGCGACAGAGCAAGACTCCATCTCAAAAAAAAAAAAAAAAAAAAAGCTGCCAGCCAAAACCCACTAAAACCAAGATGGTGACCAAAGTGACCTCTGGTTGGCCTCACTGCTCATTATGCATTAATTATAATGCATTAGCATGCTAAAAGACACTCCCACCAGCACCATGACAGATTACAAATGCCATGGCAACGTCAGGAAGATACCCTATATGGTCTAAAAAGGGGAGGAACACTTATTCTGGGAATTGCCCACCCATTTCCCCAGAAAACTCATGAATAATCCACCCCTTGGTTAGCATATAATCAAGAAATAACTATAAAAATAGCCAACTAGCAGCTCTCGGGCTGCTCTGCCTATGGAGTAGCCACTGTTTCATCCTTTTGCTTTCTTTTTTTTTTTTTTTTGAGACAGAGTGTCGCTCTGTCTCTAGGCTGGAGTGCAGTGGCACGATCTTGGCTCACTGAAACCTCTACCTCCCGGGTTCAAGCGATCTCCAGCCTCAGCCTCCCGAGTAGCTGGGATTACAGGCGTGCACCACCATGCCCAGCTAATTTTTGTATTTTTAGTACAGATGGGGTTTCACCATGTTGGCCAGGCTGGTCTCGATCTCTTGACCTTGTGATCTGCCCGCCTCTGCCTCCCAAAGTGCTGGGATTTACAGGCGTGAGCCACTGGGCCCGGCCCATCCTTTTGCTTTCTTAATAAACTTGCTTTCACTTTATGGACTTGCTCTGAATTCTTTCTTGCACAAGGTCCAAGCACCCTCTCTTGGGGTTTGGATGGAGACACCTTTCCAGTAACAACAGTTTTTGAATTTGACAGTTTATTCAGGTCTGAATCTTAAAATGAGTCTGTCAGAGGCATGTGAACCAGAGCAACTCCTTCTTGAATAGGAGCTGGGTAAAATGAGGCTGAGACCTACTGGGCTGCATTCCCAGGTGGTTAAGGCATTCTAAGTCATTGGATGAGATAGGACGTTGGCACAAGATACAGGTCATAAAGAGCTTGCTGATAAAACAGGTTGCAGTAAAGAAGCTGGCCAAAACCCACCAAAACCAAGATGGTGACGAGAGTGGCCTCTGGTGGTCCCCACTGCTACACTCCCAACAGCCCCATGACAGTTTACAAATGCCATAGCAACGTCAGGAAGTTACCATATATGGTCTAAAAAGGGGAGGCATGAATAATCTACCGCTTGTTTAGCATATCATCAAGAAATAACCATAAAAATGGG
This sequence comes from Homo sapiens, assembly GCF_000001405.40. Lineage (NCBI taxonomy): Eukaryota > Metazoa > Chordata > Mammalia > Primates > Hominidae > Homo > Homo sapiens. The sequence goes on along the minus strand of NC_000019.10, from coordinate 15,840,007 downwards.
CCACCAGCAGCCCTTGGGACTGCTCTGTCTATGGAGTAGCCATTCTTTTATTCCTTTATTTTATTTTTTTTTTTTGAGAGACAGAGTCTCACTCTGTCACCCAGACTGGAGTGCAGTGGCGCTATCTCGGCTCACTGCAACTTCATCCTCCTGGATTCAAGCGATTCTCCTGCCTCAGCTTCCCAAGTAGCTGGGATTGCAGGCGTGCACCCCTATGCCAAGCTAATTTTTGTATTTTTAGTAGAGACAGAGTTTCACTAGATGTTAGTCAGGCTGGTCTTGAACTCCTGACCTCAGGTGACCTGTCTGCCTCGGCCTCCCTAAGTGCTGGGATTACAGGCATGAGCCACCATGCCCAGCCCTTATTCCTCTACTTTTTAAATGAACTTGCTTTCAGCTTAGGGACTCACTCTGAATTTTTTCTTGTGTGAGATCCAAGAACCCTCTCTTGGGGTCTGGATCAGGACCCCTCTCCTGTAACAACTCCTTGTGAGAATTTTCTGTTGGCAAAAACCAAGGCATTGAAGGAGGGAAGCATTTCCACACTGTGAGAATGGGGCAAGAGAACATGGTAGGCTGACAGAGTTAAATCCTTAGGTTTCCCTGCCTCGTCACCCCTGGTCTGGTCCACCCTGGGTCTCCACTTCAGCAGAACATGGCTCTCAAGCTTGGGAATAAGTTTAACCCCTTGAAGGCGATTTTCTTTTTGAACTGTGGGTGTGGCACCCTGCTTATCTGAACAAGCTCATTTTTTGCCTTTTTGTGTTTTGATTCCTTTATGGAATATTGCTGTCATATAACTCTGTTTTTTTCATGCATTTAATAATTGTTCTTGCTGCTGTGTCTTTATCTTCTTGTATGAAAAGGAATAGATTGAATGATAAGGTATGAGAAACCCTTACTTTCGTTGCCAACAGCCTCACCCCAAAGGTCCTCCCTCCTGTTCCAGTCTTGCCTGGCCTGGCCTCCCCTCCTGCTCTGACGCCACGGGATCCTTGGCTCCACTGGGCCCCCAAAATCACTGAGCTAAAGGGAAAATTCAAGCTGGGAACTGCTCAGGACAAACCTGCCTTCCATTCTATTCGAAGTCATCCCTCCAGCTCACTGAGATAGACGCATATTCTGATTGCCTCCTTTGGAAAGGCATATTGGAAACTCAGGAGAAGGCAACCACTTGTCTCTCCGTGACCTGGAAGCCCTCTCCCTGCTTCGAATTGTCCCCATCTTTCTGGATAGAACCAAATACTCCTTATATATATTGACTGATGTCTCATGTCTCCCTAAAATGTATAAAACCAAACTGTTCCCTGACCACCTTGGGCACATGTCAGAACTTCCTGAGGCTGTGTCAGGGGTGCATGTCCTTAACTTTGGCAAATAAACCTCCTAAAATGATTGAGCCTTGTCTGGGCATTTTTCTTGATGGACAACACTGTGTGGAATTTCCCCTAGTCCAGGAGGAAGAAAGAGGAAGGGCCCAGTGAGTACTGATGAATGCCAGTGTCCACTTGCAAATGTCACCCCACCCCCACCCCCAATCCCCAGAGGTCCTTGTTTGAAATGCTTGTTCTCGGGCGCTGTAAAGAATAGCACTTGAACATGAATTTAATTTCTTCAGCAAGGCCAGTTTCTTACTTTCCGCAGAAAAGATACACTTGCTAGCAGTTTTTGCCACGAGAGTACACTGAACAAAAGAGACAAGGTCATTTACAACTTGACGCGTCTACCCTACTGCTGTGTCCAGTTACCATTAGCTGGAACAAGACCTCACACTCTGTATTTATCCCAATCAGCTAGCAACTTAGAACTTTTTTTAAAAAGGCAAAAGCAGAAGAAAACAAAAGAAAGAAGTAACTTGTAGAACGCTAAGAAAAGTAAAAACACCTTCAAATAAAGAACAAGCTACGACCTAATACTTGGTTAGACTAGTATAAGCATGCCAAAGCAAATATTTAAGCTAAAATGTAAAAGCTAGGAACATAAAGTACATTGATTTCTTTATTACAGCTAGCAAATATTTAAGAATATTAGTACAAGTCTTTAAATAAATGTTGCTTCTAAAACAAGTTATTGTTTGTAAAAAGTAAAGTAGAGGTTCCTCTTCAAAAATTTTCCTTCCCATTCGATTAGGAATAAATAGTAACTTCTCTTAAAAGCAAAATTTATTCAAAGACCTGTGCTAACATTCTTAAATATCTGCTAGCCATAATAAAGAAATCAATATACTTTATGTTCTTAGCTCCCACAATTTAGCCCAAATATTTGCCCTGGTATGCTTATACTGGTCCAAGCAAGCATTAAGTCATAGCCTCTTCCTCTTCCTTATTTGAAGGTGTTTTTACCTTTCTCAGCATTCCACAAGTTACTTCCTTCTTCCTTTGTTCTCCTCCACCTTTGCCTCTTTTAAAACGTTCTAAGTTGCTAGCCAATCAGGACAAACACAGAATGTGAGGTCCCGTTCCAGCCAATGGAAACTGGACACAGCAGTAGGGTGGACACCTCAGGTTATAAATGACCCTGTCTCCTTTGCTCGGTGTACGCTCGTGGCAAAACTGCTGGCGAGTGTACCCTTTCTGCAGGGAGTAAAAATGGCCTTGCTAAATAAATTAATGTTAAAGTGCTATTTCTTTATGGCACCAAAAACCAAGCATTTCAAACACTATTTATTCTTAATTAGATGAAGAAGGAAGTCTTTGAAGAAGAACCTCTACTTTTCTTTTTACATCCTGACACGAGGAAGACAACAAGCCCAGTTGCCAGGAACCGCCCATTTGGGCTCCACGCAGCCAAGTGTCTTCTCGGGTCTCCTGTCTTTCTAACCCCAGGGGGCGGGACCTGAAGCGGTATCCAATCAGGGGCACTAGGGGCCGTACTAACTATCCAATCAGGAGCGTAGCCGTAGCCGGGGGACGTGGCGGGCTGTGGAAGCTTCAGTTTCTGGCGGTTTCTTTGTTTTTTGGGGTTTGGGGTCTTTGCTGCTCGCGCAGGCCCTCCTCCCCTCTAATCCCCGTCGCCGCCCCTCTGCGACGTGAGCAGGCCCAGGGGAGGACGCCGGGACACCCGGAAGCCGGAAATGCTGAGTGTGCGGGGCCGGACGTCCCGAGACCGGAGGAGGAGCTGGTGGAACCAGCCGGATCTGGCTGTGGCGGGACCCGGGCCTGTCCGCTGCGACTCCGGGGTCTGGGACCCGAGTTCCCCTGGAGCAGCTCGGCCCTCGGTCCTCTCGGCCGCAGGGTGGGGCTGGGCCGGCAGCTGGGACTCCGGGAGTCCTGTCCTGTCCCTGCGCAGTGACTGTCGCCCCAGAGCCCTCTCTGGGCAGCTCCGCATCTCCCCAGATTGTGCGGGGGCCACGGGAGGATCATGGGGGGATCCCGCCTCCGGCCTGGGGATCCTGTGGGAGGAGCCATGGCCTGTGGGCTCCCCAGTCCCGCCTTTCCCCCCGAAGGCGGCCCCCGCTTCTCCCTGAGTCTTCCAAAAGGTGTGCGAAGCCGGGTCTCCGCGACCCGGTCCCCCAGCCTCGCTCCCCCTTGGGCTGGCCGTAAATCTTGTAATGAACGTTTCCCTCCCCGCATTCTCTAACGCCAGCGTCTCCACTGCAATCCACATGGTTCTCAACTGTTAGTCCCTTTGTTGTACGTTTCAAATCGACGTGGCATTTAAATGATCATCGTTCCACAGAGCAGTGGCTGACTCTTTTAGGAAGATTTCTTTTCTGTCACCTTTTCACATATAAGGAAAGGAAAGGAAAACCACATGAAACGCCTCTGTTTACAAAAGCCTTTGTGCCGCTACTTTTATCTTAGACACCTCATCAGACTGCCTTTGGGTTGAGGTTCCTGTCACGCGTGTCCGTATAGAAGACACCCAATCAGGCTTTGTGTGAGCAACAAGGCTGTTAATTCACTTGGGTGCAAGTGGGCTGAGTCCGAAAAGAGAGTCAGTGAAGGGAGATAGGAGAGGGGCAGCTTTATAGGGCTTGGGTAGGCGTGGAAAGTTACAGTTAAAGGTGGTTATCCTCAGCAGAGGAGGGGGTCACAAGGTGCATGGTGGAGAGATGATGGGACTCATTGTCCAGGAGAAGAATGTCACAGGGTTGATTGATCAGTTGGGGCAGGGCAGGAACAAGTCATAATGGTGGACAAGTCATAATGGTGGAATGTCGTAAGGTGGGTTAATTAGTTAAGGCAGGAACTGGCTGTTTCACTTCTTTGTGGTTTTTCGGCTGCTCCAGACTTCTTGGCTCCTGCAGGCCACCTGGACGGATATGTGCAGGTCACAGGGGTTACAATGGCTAAGCTTCAGCTCACAGGCCTGACATTTTTGTCTTTTTATTTATAAAATATGAAGTTGTAGGAAAAGATTAAAAAAAAGTGTAAGTTCCTTCTGGGGATTACTGGGGTAGGGCTGATATTTCTCCGGACTGCTTCAAGTGTGACCAGGGACTGCGTGGACACCTTAAAGAAAATTTTATAATGAGTCTAGTAAGTTTCGGGTCTAGGGTGCATTTTTATGTAGCTAACAAGGTGCCAGTTAGCGTATTTTTGAGCTTGGAACTGCCCTAATAAAATAAGTTCTCTAAAAACAGTAATCAGGCATATTAGCTTTAATGTAGGTGGCGATGAGTTTTTAGGCCAAGGAAGGAATAATGTTTTATGTACCAAAGCCTTTTGTCCCCATTTTCCATCATACGAATAGTATTCCCTGTTGCTAAGCCGATGATACATTACCCTTTTCCCATAGGTGTGAGTGGCGGTCTGAATGGAGAAGTTCAATAGTTCTGATTGCAGATCCTATGCAGAAGAGATAATAAGGAAAATAATCTTTGTCTCCTGGATTAAGCTGAGGCTGGCAAAGAGTGAAATGTCCCAAGCCCTCTAACAACAAACAACATACTTTGTGTTGTCCTGGATGCTGGTCTGGTTGCCAAATATGTGGAACTGGCCCCATATGCGTGTACTGTTGTCCATTTCATGAGAGTAGGCTTGAGGACACCATGGGCAAGGATCTGATGGTTGCCAGCCTAAGCGTTTTAGACTTTTGACCCAGAGATTTTTTGTTTTGGGTGTGGAAAAAATTTTAGAGGATAGGGTCTCAAGATATAATCCTTTTTATAGGCGGCAGGTCTTAAGAGATGAGGGTCCAGAGGAACGGATGAAGCCTGCTTGGAAGCATGCTGGGATGGCCATTTGGAAGGAGTGTTGCAAGGAAGCATGGCCTTGGCTGGGCGCTGCCAGGAGCTTAAGGGTTGTAGGTTGTTTGTCTGATCGGCTCTCGGCCTAATCTTGTGGCTTCCAGGAGGAAGAGGAGAGATCAAGCTGGCTGTCTGATGGGCATGGCTTTATTCTGGAATGGTGAACCCAATGGAGAGGGTCCTGCAGATGGACGGCAGTTGGTGTGCTATAAATGACCGGGTAGGGTCTGGTCCATTGAGGCTGTAGAGTTTGAGGGGTCAGACTTTTGACAAGGACTGATCGTCCAGCTAGGGTGTCTTCATATGGCTGGGAATCTGGAGTAGGCAAGAGAAGATTAGCAGCTTGGCAAATTTCCTGTCTAGCCTGCTAGAGGACTGGAAGATAGTTGCCCAGGGGGCTGGTGTCTGGAACAAGATTGTGGCTGAGTAAGAAGGTGCATCCATATAAAATTGAAATGGGTTGTACCCTGTGGCTTCTCAAGGACAGGCCCTAATTCTGAGGAGGGCAAGTGGTAAAAGTACTGTCCAGTCCTTTTTAAGTTGGAGGCTGAGCTTGGTGAGGTGTGTTTTTAAAAGACCATTCATCCGTTCTACCTTTCCTGAAGATTGAGGACGGTAGGGGGTATGAAGTTTCCACTGAATACCAAGAGCCTGAGAAACTGTGGAAGTAGGGAGGCCAAATTGGGGGATTATATCTGTCAGAAGGGAAGAAATGACTGTAGTAGCCTTTCAGAGCTAGTGGGAAAGGCCTCGACCCATCCGGTGAAGGTATTGGCCCAAACCAGGAGATATTTAAATTTACAGACACGCGGCATATGAATAAAGTCAATTTGCCAATCTTGTGTCGGAGGAAATCCATGAGCCTGATGCGTAGGAAAAGGAGGAGGCCTGAGAAGACCTCGGGGGTTGGTGGCATGGCAGACAGAGCATTGAGAGGTGATGGTTTTAAGGATGGATTTCCATGATGGGATGGAAATGAGGGGCTGTAGGAGGCCAGCCAGAGGCTTATATCCTATATGGAAATGGTCATGAAGGGAAGAGAGAGTAGACTGGGCTTGTGAGGCAGGAAGAACGAATTTTCCATGATCTAAGAACCACTTGCCCTGAGTTGGAAAAGACTGGTAGAGCAGGTTTTTTAGAAGAGGAGTAGGTGGGGGTGATAGAGAAGAAAGAAAAGTACTAGCCTTTTGGGGTGAGGGCTAGAATATTTGCAGGCGTGGAGGCATTTGCTGTTTCTTTTGCTGTCCTGTTGGCGTAGGCATTTCCTTTAGCAATAAGATCAGTTGGTTTCTGGTGTCCTTTACAATGAATGAACCCAGCTTTGGCCAGCAAGAGAGCAGCATTAAGGAGGGCCTTTATTAGAGAGGTATTGATAATGGAAGAGCCTTGTGTGGTGAGAAAACCTCTTTCAGTCCAAAGGGTAGCATGGTTGTGGAGGATGTGGAAAGCATATTAGGAGTCAATATAAATTTTAATGTGCATTCCTTTGGCGACAGAGAGTGCACAAGTTAAAGCAATCAGTTTGGCTTGTTGGGAAGTAGTGGAGGGAGGAAGTGCAGCAGCCTCAATAATAGAGGTATGGGACACGACAGCATAACCAGCTTTAGCTGGCGAGATTTGACTGGGTTTAGAGGAACTGCCATGAATAAACCAAGTGTGGTCTGGATTTGGGATTGGAAAAATAGAAATATGAGGAAAGGGGGAAGATGCTATGTGTATTAGGGAGATACAATCATGTTGGCCAGGACTTGTGTTGGGTGCTAAGTGAGAAGCTGGGTTGAAATCGGGCCCATGGGCAGTAGTTATTGTTGGGGTTTCAATAAAGAGTGAATAGAGCTGGAGATGTCGAGGGGCAGACAGCAAGTGTGAAAGGTGTGAGGAGGATATTAATGCTTGAAGGTTGTGAGAACTGTAGAGGGTAAGTGGAGCATAGCCTGTGATTTTGAGAGACTCTGGAAGTGTTAAAGCGGCAGCTGCCACCACATGTAGACATGAGGGCCAGCCTAGAATTGTGAGGTCAAGTTGTTTGGATAGAAAGGCTATAGGTCGTGGGCCTGGCTCCTGTGTGAGAACTCCAGCAGCACAGCCTTGTGTTTCAGCTGTGTGTAAGGAAAAAGGTTGGGACAAGTCAGGGAGTGCTAGTGTGGGAGCTGTTTCTAGGGCCTTTTTGAGAGAATGAAAGGAAGCATGGGGAAAGGACTTATGGTCTATGGGATCAGCTAAATTACCTTTAGTGAGTTTGTAAAGCAGTTTGGTTAGAATGGCAAAACCTTGGTACCCAGAGTCGGAAGTATCCAACAACGCCTAAGAAGGAAAGGAGTTGTTGTTTGGTGGTGGGGAATAGGGTCTGGGAGATTAACTGAACACAGTCTGCAGGAAGAGTGCGTGTATGTTGATGGAGGACTATGTCGAGATATGTAACACTAGGGGAGGAAATATGAGCTTTAGAGGGGGATACTCAGTACCCCTTTGAGTAGAGATATTGAAGAAGTAGGATAGGATAGTGTCCTGCTGGGAAGATTGGTAAGAAGGGCTGCAAAGAAGAAGGTCTTCAACATATTGAATAAGGTGGGAGGCAGATGGGCAGAAAGAAAGTCATGAGAGAGGGCCTGACCAAAGTAGTGTGGGCTGTCCCTGAAACTTTGGGGTCGGACAATCCAGGTGAATTGCTGGGACTGGTGGGTGTCAGGGTCAGTCCAAGTAAAGGTGAAAAGAGGTTGGGAGGAGGGATGCAAGGGGATGGTAAAGAAGGCATCTTTGAGGTGGATAACAGAATAATGAGTTGTGGAAGGGGGTGTCGAGGAGAGGAGAGTATAGGGTTTGGCACAACAGGATGGATGGGAAGGACAATCTGATTTATGAGGTGAAGGTCTTGAACTAGCCTCTAGGACTTGTCCGGTTTCTGGATGGGTAGGATAGGGGAGTTGTAAGGAGAATTTGTAGGCTTCAAAAGGCCACGTTGTAACAGGCAAGTGATAACAGGCTTCAGTTCCCTTTAAAGCCTGCTGCGGGCTGGGATACTGGTATTGAGCAGGGTAAGGGTGATTAGGTTTTAATGGAATGGTAAGGAGTGCATGGTCAGTTGCCAAAGAAAGAGTAGAAGTATCCTATACTTGAGGATTAAGGTGGGGAGATACAAGGGGAGGATGCGAAAGAGGCCTTGAATTGGGGAAAAGGACAGCAATGGGGTGTGGCTGTAGCCCAGCAATAGTCAGGGAAGCAGATAATGTGGTTAAAATATCTCAGCCTAATAAGGGAACTGGGCAGGTGGGGTTAACTAAAAAGGAGTGCATAAAAGAATGTTGTCCAAGTTGGCACCAGAGTTGGGGAGTTTTAAGGGGTTTAGAAGCTTGGCCGTCAATACCCACGGCAGTTACGGGGGCAAAGGAAACAGGCCCTTGAAAAGAAGGTAATGTGGGGTGGGTAGCCCCCGTATTGATTAAAAAGGGGATGGACTTACCCTCCACCGTAAGAGTTACCCGAAGCTCGGCATCTGTGATGGTCCAAGGGGCTTCTGAGGCGATCGGGCAGCATCAGTCTTCAGCCACTAAGCCGAGGAGATCTGGGAAGGAGTCAGCCAGAGAGCTTTGAGCCAGAGCTCCAGGGACCCTAGAAGGGGCTGTGATATTAGTTGGACAGTCCGATTTCCAGTGGGGTCCCGCACAGGTGGGACAGGCTTAGGAGGAATCCCGGGCTGCAGGCATTCCTTGGCCCAGTGGCCAGTTTTGCGGCACTTGAAGCAAGGTCCATGAGATGGTTTTAAAGGAGTGCCTAGAGGCTGTGGTTTGGTTGCTCTGAAGTTTTTGTGTGCTGAAGGCATGGCTGGGGTTTGTCTTACAGCAGAGGCAAGCAATTGCAGCTCTGAAAGACGTTGCTGCTTGGCTGCCTCTTCTCTATTGTTGAACACCTTGAAGGCGAGATTGATTAATTCCTGTTGTGGGGTTTGAGGGCCAGATTCCAATTTTTGAAGCTTTTTTTGTAATGTCAGGAGCTGACTGAGTGATAAAATGCATATTGAGAATAAGATGGCCTTCTGGCCCTTCAGGGTCTAGGGCTGTAAAGTTTCTAAGGGTAGCCACCAAACGGGCCATGAACTGGGCTGGATTTTCATCTTTACCTTGGGTGGCTTCTTAAAGCTTGTCATAATTAACAGCTTTGTATGCTGCCTTTTTCAGCCCTTCAGCTAGGCAAGAGACCATGTAATCTCGCCTAGCTATACCTGGGGAGCCTGTCTGGTATTCCCATCAAGGATCCTCTCAGGGAACTGCCCTGATGCCTTCTTGGAGGTCTGGCTCATGATGCCGGCGGGTGTTAGCGTGAGATTGGGCTAGGGTATAAACTCTTTCCTGCTCATCTGGGGAGAGGGTAGAGGTCAGGATGACATTTAGGTCACTGCAGGTTAAAGTGTAGGACTGAGTCAAATATTGGAATTCCTGTGTATATTTAGTGGGGTCTGATGAGAAAGAGCCCAGACGCTGACTGATTGGGAAAGGTCTGATAGAGAAAAAGGTATATGAACCTTTACTGTGCCCTCAGCTCCAGCCACCTCTCTATGAGGAAATTGTTGGGCAGGTGGGGGAGAGCTAGTCATGGAATGAAACTAAGCCTGACCAAGTTTGAGGAGGGGAGGTGATAGAAGAATTATAAGATGGGGGAGCGGAGGCTGAGGAAGAATTGGGACTTGATTCAGCCTGCCAAGGAGTGGCCTGGGGAGGGGGAGAGAGGTCAGAGGGGTCTGCAGAAAAGGGGGATTCAGGGGACTCTGAGGTTGGGGTAGAGACTGAAGGAACGGACGGGAGAGAAAGAAGAAAAATTTGGGATGAGTCACATTGGGAGCAGAGGCTTGGGAGGGAGCGAAGTGTAAAAAATGCCTGGACGCAAGGCACCTCAGACCATGTGCCCATTTTTTGACAAAAATGATCTAGGTCTTGTAGGATGGAGAAATCAAAAGTGCCGTTTTCTGGCCACTTGGAACCATTGTCAAGTTTATATTGCGGCCAAGCAGTATTGCAGAAGAAAATAAGACGTTTGAGTTTTATATCAGGTGTTAGTTTAAGAGAAGTTTTTAAGTACACAGGCTAAGGGGGAAGAGGGAGGAATGGAGGGCGGAAGATTGCCCAAAGTGAAGGAGGTAAGTTTAAAGAGAGAAGTAGAGACACGGAGAAGGGCGGGGGTGAGCAGCCAAAGCAGGCGTCCCCGCAAATGACTTGCCACCATGGGAATGTGGGTGAATGACCAAGGCAGGCATCCCCAAGGTGATCAGACACCAGTGGAATGTGGGTGAATAATTAGGCAGGCGTCCCCGCAGTGATTAGACACCAAGGGAAGACTGTCTTCCTGAGTCTGTGACCAGCGCCAGAGTTTTGGGTCCACGGATAAAATGTGTCTCCTTTGTCTCTACTAGAGAAGAAAAAGACTGGACAGGGAGATTGGAGGGTAGCGACAGAGGCTGGAGAAAAGAGTGAAGAGACCACTTACCCGATTTGAAATTGGTGAGATGTTCCTTGGGCTGGTCTGAGGACCCGAGGTCGCAGGTGGATCTCTTCACGGAATGAGGGCCAGGACAGGGGGCCGGTCTCACGAAGGAGTCCCCCTGGCCCAGATTTTGGCACCAAGTGTCAAGCATGTCCGTATAGAAGACCACCTAAACAGGCTTTGTGTGAGCAACAAGGCTGTTAATTCACTTGGGTGCAAGTGGGCTGAGTCTGAAAAGAGAGTCAGCGAAGGGAGATAGGAGAGGGGCAGCTTTATAGGGCTGGGGTAGGCTGTGGAAAGTTACAGTTAAAGGTGGTTATCTGTTGTCAGCAGAGGAGGGAGTCACAAGGTGCATGGTGGAGAGATGATGGGACTCATTGTCCAGAAGAATGTCACAGGGTCGATTGATCAGTTGGGGCAGGGCAGGAACACGTCATAATGGTGGAATGTCGTAAGGTGGGTTAATTAGTTAAGGCAGGAATTGGCTGTTTCACTTCCTTGTTTTTCAGCTGCTCCAGACTTCTTGGCTCCTGTAGGCCACCTGGACATATATGTGCAGGTCACAGGGGTTACAATGGCTGAGCTTCGGCTCAGAGGCCTGACAGTTCCCTTTTGGAAACGTTACAGGGTGATGTGACCTCAGCCCACCCTCTTATCTTTTCCTGGTCCTGGGTTTCAGAACTGCCTGGGGCTCATCTGAGATGCCCACAAGCTGCCGGGTCTCTTGGAGGGTCATGAATATCAGCTCCTGGGTCATTTCTTCCCAGAGGACAGCCTGAGATGTGCCTGTGGGGCCTCTCAGGGGAGCCGCCGGGTGCACCCCCTCCCCCTACCTCCCGGGAGGGAGGAGTCCCCTGGTATCTCCCTCCGTCATCTAAAAGGAAACCCCTTAGGACATTTAGCTTTTCTCACCCCAAGCCCAGTTTTCACTTCTTGGAAATACCTCTCTGGTCAGCCACTCAGATGCTGCTATTGAAGGGAAAAGACTGGAATGATCCCTGTCCTTTGAATCCTCTTAGCCTAGTGAAGGGAGAAAACTATGGCTAAGGACAGGAAAACCACCTTCACTGAGGTGACGCAAAAAGCTGAAACGCACACAATGCAGTGTCTTCTGGGAGGGTGGTCACTGAGTATATATGTGAGCAGCACAGGGTTTGGGGCATGTCTGAGGTTATATAGGATGACCTGATCTGACACTTGAGTCAGACTTGCCGGTATTCCAGTTTGCCCTACCCCTCCCTGGGTTTGTCACCTTGAAAATTTTTTTTTCACTTACTTACTTATAATAGAGTCAGGGTCTCACTACATTGCCTAGGCTGACCTCAAACTCCCGGGCTCAAGCGATCTTCCTGCCTCAAACTCCCAAAGTGCTGGGATTACAGGTGTGAGCCACTGCACCCAGCCTGAACCTCAGTTTTTAAAAAATTAAATATCAAATGGATTTTATTAGTAGAGTTTGATAGACAAGATAGAATATATCCAAGGAGGCAAGAAAGAGGTGTATTTCAGAAAAAAAAGAAAAAAGAAAAGAAATGTCTAGCCTTATATTTCATCCATTAATTTTTTTTTTTTTTGAGACAGAGTCTTGATCTGTTGCCCAGCCTGGAGTACAGTGGTGCCATCTCGGCTCACTGCAACCTCCGCCTCCCAGGTTCAAGTGATTCTCCTGCCTCAGCCTCCGGAGTAGCTGGGATTACAGGCACCTGCCACCACACCTGGCTAATTTTTGTATTTTTAGTAGAGATGGTGTTTCACCATGTTTGCCAGGCTGGTCTCGAACTTCTGACCTCAAATGATCCACCGGCTGGCCTCCCAAAGTGCTCGGATTACAGGCATGAGCCACCCATCATCCGATAAAGCTTTTAATTTACATTTTGTCTTACCCAGATGGCGTGTGATACATTTCTCATATTTGTTCTTTTCTTTTGGGTGATTTCAAATGGAATTCCAGGGCTTAGCCTTGAGAAGGCTACTGGGGCTGAGAATCTCAGCAAAGTAAGGAAAATCACTCTTCCATTATGGCTGCAGCGAAATGAATACATTTCCACAATAAAGTGTCATAGTTAAATTGGTAAATTACAAAGATTCATTAAAACATCCATTTTTCTCCTTTCCAGAGTGAGAACTTGTGACGGTGAATAACTCTTCTCTTTCCTGGTACCTGGACTTCAGAGATTAATACAAAACCCTGTGGGTCAGGACTTGGCAACACCAAGAAGCATTCAAATATAATGATTTATTCAACTGTGTATTGTCATGGAAATAATAATTAAATGGCACATCTTTGTTGTCTGAAAGGGATAGATACTTGTGCTTCTCTTGTTGAGCTATATAAAATACAAGCGCCTTACAATTTGTCTTCCCTGCCTATCTATATGGACACTGAGTTTGAGGGATTTTGTTGGTTTCTTCAAACGCTGAGTATTTTCTTTTAAAAGTAAGTGAATTATCTTGACTCGAGAGCCGAAACCCTCACACAGTGACTTCATGTTAAGGCGACTCTTGAAAAAGCATCTCAGCTGGGCGTGGTGGCTCACGCCTGTAATCCCAGCTCTTTGGGAGGCCAAGACGGGTAGATCACTTGAAGTCAGGAGTTCAAGACCAGCCTGAGTAACATGGCAAAACTCTGTCTCTACTAAAAATACAAAAATTAGCTGGGCGTGGTGGCAGAAACCTGTAATCCCAGCTACTCAGGAGGCTGAGGCAGGAGAATTGCTTGAATCCCAGGGCGGGCAGAGGTTGGAGTGACCTGAGATCACGACGTCACTGCCTCCAGCCTGGGCGATAGAGCAAGACTCAGTCTCAAAAAAAAAAAAAAAAAAAAAAAAAAGAAAGAAAAAGAAAAAACACCTCAAAGGTTAGGAATGATTCTTTCACAGGGAGGAGCAAACAAGATTAGAGAGAAGGTGATGGTGGTGGTGGTGGTGGTTGGCAGGGAGATGACAGAGACCAGAAGAAAGCTTTATCCTAAGGTCTGCCTCTTCTTCGGAGGGAAATAAAGAAGGCCTTGTATTTTGGCTAAGGGTGGGTTAAACATTTGCCTTAGGTTTAAAAAAAATTAAAACAAATTTAAAGATCTACTTAGCTTTTATTCGCAATTCCTGAACCGAAGAAGCATCCCATTCTATAAAATAGAATAAGAACTCCTGCTTTGTATAATGGAATAGGTGATTCTTGTAAGAGGAACAACAAAACAGAACAATTTAAAAAATCATTAGGTTCCTTTTTTGTAAGCGGCCTTATTATATATTATGCCAGCTCAGGTTGGCTGGGTTTTATTTTTGTTTTTTTTATTGGTTGCTGTGACTCTCCTGCTCTCAGGAAAAACTGGTGCATTTGAGGATTTGCCTCCTTCCTTAAAGGTTCAGTTTGATTATGTGGTACTTAGCCTGAGTGACTCCATTTTGGTTTGTTCTGGTCTGCTGGGGCCTAGTGCAGGAGCTCAGTCCAAAACAGTGGCCTCTCATAAGTTTTGTTTAACACTTTCTTCTAAGAGTTGTTTGGTTTGAGCTGGTCCCTTTAAGTCTTTAATCCATTTTTATTTCATTTTTCTATGTTATATAAATTATGGGTCCAACTTTATTTTTTCACATGTGGCTATCCAGTTTTCCCAGCACCATTTTTTAAAATAGAGCAGCCTTTTTCCATTGCATTATCTAAGCATTCTTGTCAAAAATCACTTTACCATATATATATGGGTATCTTTCTTGGCCCCTGTATCTATTCCAGTGATGTATATCTCTGTCTTTAGGCCAGTACCACACTGTTTTGATTCCTGTACCTTGGAGTATTTATTTGAGGATTGTTGCGTCAATAATCATAAGGGATATTTGCAAATCAAATATTGTATCATTGTCTTTATTGTCAGCACAATTTCAGGGCCTCAAGGAATAAACTAGGATATGTTCCTACCTCCTAAAGTTTTTGGAAGAGTTTGAGGAGAATTGGTGTTAATCTTCCTGAAGTGTTTGGTCTGTTTCATCGCTGAAACTGTATGGTGCTGGGCTTTTGTGAGTTGAGGGGTTTTGATTACTGCATCAATCTCCTTATTAGTTGTAGATCTGCTCCAATTTTTTCTTTCTTTTTTTTGAGACGGAGTCTTGCTCTGTCTCCCAGGCTGGAGTGCAGTGGTGCGATCTTGGCTCACTGCAAGCTCCGCCTCCAGGGTTCATGCCATTCTCCTGCCTCAGCCTCCCGAGTAGCTGGGACTACAGGCGCCCGACACCACGCCCAGCTAATTTTTTTGTATTTTTAGTAGAGACGGGGTTTCACCGTGTTAGCCAGGATAGTCTCGATGTCCTGACTTGTGATCCGCCTGCCTCAGCCTCCCGAAGTGCTGGGATTACAGGCATGAGCCACTGCGCCTGGCCCAATTTTTTCTTTCTTTATGACTTAGTCCTATGTTGTGTGTTTCTAGAAATATGCCAACTTCATCAATGTTGTTCAGCTTGTATGTGTGCCCGTAGTGACTTCGTAAATGTGGCATAAGGCATGCAGCTGTCTCACTTGTTTTCTGCTGTTGTAATACAGAAGCCCTCTTGAAGTGGCAGTAAGGTGTGGGGTGTGGGGAAGCATTCCATTGACCTATGCTTTGGCCTCATTTTTTGGAATCCTGTGTTTCTGGGTTGTAGCTTTCTTAAGTACTTCTCATTCTCACCCTTCCCTAGTTGTGGCAGGGAGATTGAAGTGGGTGGAATTGGGTATTTCTCTTGCTTCAGGAGGTCAGCTCTGCCAGCATCCCAGTTGGTAGGCTTTGGGAAATAGTTTCTTTTGAAGGCAGGAGATGTTAAGAAGAATAGCATTCTCTGGGCATATTTCAAAATGGCTAATCTTTCACATCTTCTGCCAAAAGCAGGAAGCAGTTTTTCTCTCATCTTCACTGGAAGAGCTGGTAGGATTTCTGGAGGTGCATGTCACTAATTAGTGGGGACCCCTTAGGTCTGGGCCTCCTGGCATTTTTAACTCTCAAATTGTCCACACTATCTCCAGCAATTCGTCAATTAAAATTTAGGTTTTCCTAAATTTTACTGCTTCCAAAGAGGTTTTTGCTTATTGGTTTCAGTTTTAGGAAATTATACGACTCTTTTATCAGTTGGGTTCATGGTATCCCATCCAAATTTCATATCCCATATGTTATCAAAGATCAAACTTTGTGAACAAACATTTCTAAGGATACAGAGTTTCAGGACTCCTAATGTTAAGTCTCTTCTGCACACTAGGTGGTAGGAGGACTTTTATGACAGGTGCTATAGACCCACTGTGTGAAGAGAAATTAGGGTGACCCAGGCAGTACATCCTACTCCCTGGACCCACCAAGGAGAGCTGTATTTGTGTTTCATGGTTGCTTTACCAAATAATTCTAGCATCGGAATTGCTATGTGAGAGGAAGTAAGTATACACAGCGTAAGAGGTGTGATAACCAAGTCATAGAAGAAATGTTTGGAGAACATGGAATCATGTGAACTTATTATGTGGTAAGTACAGATACCCAGGGCTGTCAGTCTCACCATCCTTTTCTACACATGTGGATGCTTCAGGACTCCAGCCTTTGAGGATGTGGCTTTCAACTTCACCCTACAGGAGTGGGCTTTGCTGGGTCCTTCCCAGACGAAACTCTACAGAGATGTGATGCGGGAAACCATCAGGATGCTGGCCTCTGTAGTTAAGGGTGACAACATTTCTTTTCTTAGTCATTTAGAGAACAAGTCTTTCTTACTCATCAATTGAGCTGCTCAATGATTTGGAATGTAGAAAAGAAATACTTTGATAAATATATAGGCAAAAAAATTAGCTGGTGTGCTGGCACACACTTGTAGCCCCCCCTAACTTGGGAGGCTGAGGTGGGAGGATTGCTTGAGCCTGGGAGGTAGAAGTGGCAGTGAGCCAAGATTGTGCCATTGCAGTCCAGTGTACCATGGTCATGGTGTACCATGAACCTAGAATTCAATAATTTTAAAATAATTTTGTAATAATTCATAATGATTTTTCTCTACCTGCATTTTAGGAAAGAAATGGGGAGATAAGAACATTGAAGATCTGTACCAAAATCCTGGGAGAAATTTAAGGTAATTTTCAAGAGAAAGCAGTGTCCATCAAGAGAATCGTAGACTGTCAGGAAATTCTAAAAACAAGCCCAGTTTCAATCTGTTTATTCTTAGAAAACTTTCTCTATAAATATATACTTAAATGAGACATATATATGTTTGCAAAAAAAGTTTACATGGAAACACTATTATGAAACCACATATAGGCTAGGTGCAGTGGCTCACACCTATAATCCCAGCACTTTGGGAAGCCAAGAAGGGTGGATTGCTTGAGGTCAGGAGCTTGAGACCAGCCTGGGCAACATAAGGAGATCTATTCTCTACCAAAAAAAAAAAAAAATTAGCTAGGTGTGCCAGCACACACCTATAAGTCCCCCTTACTTGGGAGGCTGAGGTGGGAGGATTGCTTGAGCCTGGGAGGTAGAGGTTGCAGTGAGCCAAGATTGTGCCATTGCACTCCAGCCTGGGTGACAGAGCTAGACCCTGTCTTAAAAAAAAAAGAAGAAGAAACCCCATGTTAATATTTCTATTTTCATAGCAGCTGTAGTTGGGCGCTCCTGCAGACCATTCAATCCATTCATGGCCAAACAGTGGAAACAGGTTAGAAATCCTACCTATGCTTCCACTGATGATGTTAAAAACATAAATCCAGGAGGTTGAGGCAGGTGGATCACTTGAGGTCAGGAGTTTGAGACCAGCCTGGCCAACATGGTGAAACCCCGAATCTACTAAAAATACAAAAATTAGCCAGGTGTGGTGGCGGGTGCCTGTAATCCCAGCTACTTAGGAGGCTGAGGCAGGAGAATCGCTTGAACCTGGGAGGCGGAGGTTGCAGTGAGCTGAGATCGCACCACTGCACTCCAGCCTGGCAACAGAGTGAGTGAGACCCTGTCTCCAAAAAACTCCACATAAATCCAATACCCATCAATAACAAATAAATTATTTATAAAAATACTTAATAATGTACTTATTTTGTACAGAAATCATATGGTAGAGAGACCCTGTGAAAATAAAGAAGGTAGTCAATGTGGAGAAGCCTTCAGCCAGATTCCAGGTCATAATCTGAATAAGAAAACGCCTCCTGGAGTAAAGCCACCTGAAAGCCATGTGTGTGGAGAGGTCGGCGTGGGCTATCCATCCACTGAAAGGCACATCAGAGATCGCCTTGGACGCAAACCCTGTGAATATCAGGAATGTAGACAGAAGGCATATACATGTAAGCCATGTGGGAATGCCTTTCGTTTTCACCACTCCTTTCACATACACGAAAGGCCTCACAGTGGAGAAAACCTCTATGAATGTTAGGAATTTCAGAAAACATTCACTTCCCCCCCAAACCTTCAAAGATGTGAAAATGCATAGTGGAGATGGACCTTACAAATGCAAGGTGGGTAGGAAAACCTTTGACTCTCCCAGTTCATTTCGAATACATGGAAGATCTCATTCTGGAGAGAAACCCAATGTGTGTAGGCACTGTGGGAGCACCTACAATCATTTCAGTTTTGTGTGTGTGTGTGTGTGTGTGTGTGTGTGGCAAGGTCTCACTCTTGTCATCCAGGCTGGAGTGCAGTGGCACGATCTCAGCTCACTGCAGCCTTTGCCTCCCAGGTTCAAGTGATTCTCCTTCCTCAGCCTCCCAAATAGCTGGGATTACAAGCGCGTGTCACCACGGCCGGCTATTTTTTGTATTTATGGTAGAGACGGTGTTTCACCATGTTGGCCAGGCTGGTCTCAAACTCCTGGCCTCAAGTGATCCGCCTGCCTTGGCCTCCCAAAGTGCTGGGTTTAGAGATGTGAGCCACCACACTTAGCTGGGATTCTTCTTAGCAAGAGCTGAAAGACTAGGGTAAAAGGACTCAAGGCCCCAACAAGCCTGTCTTGAAGCTCTTTTTGATGGTAGGAGCACCCGGTGGCCAAAGATACCCATACATCACAAACATCTGGATAGAAGTAAGAGGTCTCCCTCCCATGCTGTGTCATTGAGTGCACACCAAGTTTCTTGGGTTATATATTTGGCATTTCTGTAATTCCATAGAGATAATCATCAACGGTTTTCCCCAAGTGATACCTCCTTGGGGGCATCCTAATCCTTGAGCACTGGCATACCGTTTCAGTGCCAGTCTTGTGGCCATTTCTAGGCCTAAGTTTTCCAGTTTAAGTCCCCTCTCTGAGCCTTCTGGCTGGAAAATGTCTTTGTGAATCCACATCCACCCATGCTTTCGAAGAGTCAACAGAGATCCCAAGCGGCTGTGATGTGAGATGGTGGAGGAAGCAGTGGCAGAACCCAGGTCATGAGTGTGAGTGACCTCAGTTACTCCAATCCCTGCAGCTACATAAGAGCTCAGTCACCCACAGACACGGTCACAATAGTCTCACAACTGAAGAAGACGCCAAGGTTATTTTTCTTCTTCAGCACTGGTTTTGTTGTGTCCCATAAGACAGGGGTTCCCCAAAACGCCCAGCTGGTAGCGGTCTGTGGCTGTTAGATCTGGGCCACACAGCAGGAGAGTGGCGGAAGGGGTGGGGTGGGGTGAGCATTACCACTTGAGCTCCGCCTCCTGTCAGATGGGTCAATGGTGGCATGCTGGTATTAGATTCCTATAGGAGCGTGAACCCTATTGTGAACTGTGCACACGAGGAATCTGGGTTGGGTGCTCTTTATGGGAATCTCATGCCTGATGATCTATTACTGTCTCCCATCACCCTCAGATGGGACAGTCCAGTTGCAGGAAAACAAGCTCAGGGCTTCCACTGATTCTACATGATGGTGAGTTGTATAATTACCTCATTATATATTACAATGTAATAATAATAGAAATAAAGTGCACAACAATAAATGTCATGTGCCTGAATCATCCCAAAACCATCCCCCAACCCCAGTCCGTGGAAAAATTATCTTCCATGAAACTGGTCCCTGGTGCCAAAAAGGTTGAAGCCTGCTGATGTGCTACTAGTATATGGAGTATTTCCACAGTACACGTGCAATAGTCATAAACTCAAAAGCACAGACAATGGTAAAATATATATGAAATAATTAAGAAGTGATACATTTTAAGCAGTTATTACAGCTTTAAGCTTCTAGAGTTCATTACTTTCTCACCTGCTTAATCTTTAAGAAAATTATTTGTCTCTAAGAACTTCTGAGACTTTCAGATAGAAGAATCAATCTCCTTATAATCTGTATTTACAGAAGACCTGCCATCAATTGGTAGGTGCTGAAAATAACGCTAAGAGTCATAGATGAACCTTTCAATCATGACAGAAGTGAGAAGACAGAGCTCACTCCTAGATTCCCTTAATTTATTTCACTGTAATTTCATACAGTTTACTTTTAATCAGAGCTGTGTTTAACAACCAGGTTGCAACAATTTTCAGAAGTTGACAACTGGCTGTTCTGAGTTGGTTGAAGCTGTTCAGTCATCACCTCCCCCGATCCCATCCTCCCTCAGGTGGCTGAACATGTCACTCATAGGATTTATTTATTTATTTTTAATTTGTAAATAATTGTTGGTAGAGATGGGGGGGTCTCATTATGTTTCCCAGACTGGTCTTGAACTCCTGGCCTCAAGTGATCCTCCTGCCTCGGCCTCCCAAAGTGCTGGGATTACAAGGATTTAAACCCTCTGGTGACTCTCCAGACATCAAGAGGAAGCCACAGCTCCTTCGACCACCCTCCAAGTCTCCTTAAGCTGTCCTTGGCCACCTCTCCAGACCCTCTTCCATCTTTGTCCTCTCCTTGCCTCATGTCCCTGGCTTACTAGACTGCATTCAGGCTCGTTCCACCATATCCCTCTGAAGCCATCTTCAAGACTCTGTTCTGTCTACTTGTAGCACCTTTTCTCTGATCTTCTGACTGGCTGAAGTCTACTCATCCTTATGACTCCCATCACCAATTTTGATGGACTTTTCCTGGTCCTGCCACCCCTCCTTGCTAGCTCAACATCGATCACACCATGACATATTTTTTTTTTTTTTGAGATGAAGTCTAACTCTATCACCCAGGCTAGAGTGCAGTGGTGCGATCTTGGCTCACTGCAACCTCTGCCTCCTGGGTTCAAGCGATTCTCCTGCCTCAGCCTCCCAGGTAGCTGGGATTACAGGTGCCTGCCACCGCGCCCAGCTAATTTTTGTATTTTTAGTAGAAACGGGGTTTCACCATGTTGGCCAGGCTGGTCTCGAACTCCGGACCTCATGATCCATCCGCCTCGGCCTCCCAAAGTGCTGGGATTACAGGCGTGAGCCACCGTGCCCTGCCACCGTGACATAATTTTAACTTTAATATTTGTGTCTTTCCTGCCACTGTGTACTCCACAGGAGAAGGTTTCCAGCTTCATTTATCTTTGTACCTTGGTGCCAGGCACACAGTTGTCGCTCCATAAATGTCTGCATATTAGTTACTTAGTGTGAGCATGTTTTATAATCCCGATTAGTCTGTTTATGTGCTCCTGGAACAGATAAGTTAGAAATGGCTAAGTTCAAAGTTCTTCATTATATTTATATCATTCCAAATTTTGAAAAATCTCTCCAAAAATTTTAAGGCTTTAATTTGTATACGTGCTGCCATATCTTATTTCTGCGGGTCCCTCCAGTGTATCTAAATTCCTCCAAGACAAAGATGCCAAGAACATACACTGGGGAAATGACACTGTCTTCAGTAAATGGTCCTGGGAAAACCAGATATCCATGTACAGAAGAATGAAACTAGACCCCTATCTCTCACCACATAAAAAAATAAAGTCAAAATGGATTAAAGACTTAAATCTAAGACCCCAAACTATGAAACTACTAAAATAAAACATTAGGGAAACTCTCCAGGACATTGGTCTGGGCAAAAATTTCTTGACTACGGGCATAGACAACGAGAGCAAAAATGGGTAACTGGGATCACATCACGTTACAACCTGCACAGCAAAGGAAACAATAAACAAAGTGGGCTGGGCGTGGTGGCTCACGCCTGTAATCCCAGCACTCTGGAAGGCCGAGGTGGGCTGATCACCTGAGGTCAGGGGTTCGAGACCAGCCTGGCCAACATGGTGAAACTCCATTTCTACTAAAAATACAGAAAACTAGCTGGGCATGGTGGCGTGTGCCCATAATCCCAGCTACTCAGGAGGCTGAGGCAGGAGAATTGCTGGAACCCGGGAGGTGGAGGTTGCATTGAGCCAAGATTGAGCCACTGTGCTCCAGCCTGGTCGACAGAGCGAGACTCCATCTCAAAAATAAAAAATAAAAAAAAATAAAAGTAAATAAAAAATAAACAAAGTGAAGAGACAATCACAGAATGGGAGAAAATACTTGCAAACTATCCATCTGATAGGGGATTAATAACCAGGATACATAAGGGGCTCAAACAACTCAATAGGAAAAAAATTAATGATCTGATTTTAAAATGGGCCAAAGATCTGAATAAACATTTCTGAAAAGAAGACATACACATGGCAAACAGGCATATTAAAAGATGCTCAACCTCACTGATCATGAGAGAAATGCAAATCAACACTACAAGATAATGTCTCAACCCAGTTAAGATGGCATTTATCCAGAAGACAGGCAATAAGGAATGCCTGGGAGGATGCTGAGAAAAGGGAACCCTCATGATTTTTTGGTGGGAAAGTAAATTAATACAACCACTATGGATAATAGTATGGCGGTTTCTCAGAAAACTAAACATAGAGCTATCATATGATCCAGAAATGCCACTACTTAAGTATATACTCCAAAGAAAAGAAATCAGTGTATCAAAGAGATATCATTTGTATGGAATTATCCATAAAATTAAAAGCCTAGCTCCTTTCACATAGCACATGTTTTCAACGTTCATCTCTACTGTGGCCTGGACTGGGATGTTATTCCTTTCTGTGGCTGAATAATAGCCATTATATGATTATACCACACTTTGTTTATCCATTTATTTATTAATAGACATTTGGATCTGCCATTGATAGACGTTTGGATCAGGCCATGTCCAGTGGCTCACACCTGCAATCCAAGCACTTTGGGAGGTCAAGGCAGGAGAATCGCTTAAGCCCAGGAGTTCCAAGAGCAGCCTGAGAAACAAAGTGAAATCCTACTCTCTACAGAAAAATTAAAAAATACCGTTTGGCTACTGTGAACAGTGCTGCTATGCACATTTGATGTCCAAGGATTTGTTTGAATCCTTTTCCATTCTTTTGGGTGTATACCTAGGAGTGAAATTGCTGAGTCCTTTGATAATTTCTATGTTAACTTTTTGATAAACTGTCAAACCATTTTGTGTGTTTTTAAAATGCAGATCTGATTCTCCCGTAGATATCTTTCCGTAACTTGGTTTTTCACTCAGCGTCTTAGAGTGAACTCTGTGTGAGTTTATGCAGACCAAAGTTTCTCAGTCTTGGCAATGTCGACATTTTTGTGTTGACAAAATGGCTGGAGTGCCGTGGCTACTCACAGGGGCAATCATAATGCATCGTTATATATAGTAGTATATAGTCCCATTTATATGAAATGTCTAGAATAGGTAAGTCCATAGAGCCAGAGCCAGAAAACAAATTGGTGGTTTTGAAGGACTGGGTGGGGTAGGGGAGTGGCTGCTAATGGGTATTAGGTGATGAAAACATTTTGGAACTAGACAGAGGCGGCGGCCACACAACATTGTGAATGCATTCAATCCCAGGGAATTGTATACTTTAAAGTGGTTGATTATTTTATGTGAATTTCACCTCAAAAGCAGAACGAAGCGAAAGCAACAATAATGCACAACAGAACTCTGATTTTATGGGTTTGCATTGTTTTCACATCCTACATGCTCATGAAGATCTGAAGGGATACCCATTAAATTCACCGTCACGATTGCCTGGCTGGCCATTGCATGGTTTGCTGCTTTGTATGTAGCATTTCAATTACATAATAAGAAGAAACAGGCCAGGCATGGTGGCTCACAGCTGTAATCCCAGCACTTTGAGAGGTCAAGGTGGGAGGATCCCTTGAGCCAAGGAGCTCAAGACCAGCCTGGGCAACAAAGCGAGACCCCATCTCTACAGAAAAATTAAAACTTAGCCCAGGTGTGGTGGCAAGCACCTTTACTCCCAGCTGCTCAGGAGGCTGAGGCAGGAGAATCATTTGAGCCTGGGAGGTTGAGGCTGCAGTGAGCCATAATCACACCACTGCACTCCAGCCTGGGCAACAGAGCTAGACCCTGTCTCAAAAAATAAAAATAAAAACAAATACGTGTGTGTGTGTTGGTTTTAAAAAATTATTTTAAAGGACATTTAGTTGGGCAAATGACCCAGTTGGAGAAGAATGAAGGTGACGGGGCATATCAAGGCAGCCTCTGCAGTCCCTGGGGGCAATGGCAGGGCTGCCCTCCTGTCAATTTCAACAGTCATGGGCCCAAACCCCAAATCTGTAGAGCACTAGACTCTGCTCAAGCTCTTGACAAGCTCAGGGAATTGACTCACCCCTGGCAGGCGGGGGGAATGGGAAAGTGAGGATACAGATTCCCTGAGGTTGCCTCCTCTCTGGCAGGGTCCCTGGGGTCCCAGCATCCCTGTAGCGGAGACAGAGACAGTAGGACCACAGCGAGGGAAGCCGGTGGGCAGGGAGTCAGGGAGGGATAAATAATCGCATTTGGGCTCAGTCAAGCCCCCGGCTCAGCTGGTGTGGCTGCTTGGTGCAGCCCACACCTGGTCAGCTCCCACCTGTGGAGAAACTCCAAACTAGAGCCTCCTACTGGGATGAAGCAGAAGCAGATGCCTGGAGTCCCAGGTGAGTCACCTCCCCTCTCAGCCACCTGACCAGGAGAGACCTGGGGAACCAGCACCTGCCAGGGACTCCAAGAAACCACCTGTTTATATTACTCCTTTAGCAATGTGAGTCTACAGGGCAGTGGGTGACAGGCAGAGGCCACTCACCACGTCTTAGTCAGTGTGCTGTTTGCTTAGCAGGACTTACCTTCTTCTATTTTTTTTTTTTTTTTTTTGAGACGGAATCTCGCTCTGTAGCCCAGGCTGGAGTGCAGTGGCGCAATCTCGGCTCACTGCAACCTCCGCCTGCCAGGTTCAAGCGATTCTTCTCCCTCAGCCTCCTGAGTAGCTGGGACTACAGGTGCGTGCCACCATGCCTGGCTAATTTTTTGTATTTTTAGTAGAGACAGGGGTTTCACCATGCTGGACAGGCTGGTCTTGAACTCCTGATCTCGTGATCCACCCGCCTCGGCTTCCCAAAGTACTGGGATTACAGGCATGAGCCATCGTGCCCAGCCAGGACTTGCCTTCTTTAGAGCTCCTGCTGCCTCATGAGGTAGGTCCCTTGGATGGGGGAGGTAACAGGTGCAGAGAGAAGACAGCCAATGCTCAATGTGACCCAAGGTGATGGTTTGATTTTAACCTCTCTTCTCGGTCTGTCCAGGCAAGAAGTCTACGGAAAAAGGATTGGGAAGAGGCGGAGAAAAGAGAGAAAGAGGATTCAGGGTTCAGAAGCTCCAGCCACCACCCCAGGGTGTAAAGAATCAGGGTGGGCCGGGTGCAGTGGCTCATGCCTGCAATCCCAGCACTTTGGGAGGCCAAGGTGGGAGGATCACTTGAGTCCAAGAGTTTGAGGCCAGCCTGGGCAGCATAGTGAGACCCTGTCTGTACAAAAAAATACAAAAATTGGCCAGGAATGGCAGGCACCTGTAGCTACTCCAGAGATTGAGGTGGGAGGATTGCTTGAGCCCAGGAAGTTAAGGCTGCAGTGAGCTGTGATTGTGCCTCTGCACTCCAGCCTGGGTGACAGAGGGATACCCTGTCTCTCTCTCTCTCTCTCTCTCTCTCTCTCTCTCTCTCTCTCTCTCTCTCTCTCACACACACACACACACACACACACACACACACACAAGGGAGGCGTCAATGGGAGCAGGTGGTGAGGGAATGGTTAGGAGCTGGGGATGAGAAGATGGAGAGAAAAGAGAGGGAAGTGGTGGCTTAAGTGGAAGAGAGGGGAGGCCAGACAGCTTCACTAAGAAGAGAGAGCCAGGATGGGTGAGAGTTAAGGCCAGATGGGGTCTCAGAGACAAGACAGGCCTGGCCCATGGAGTGATGCTGTCACCCAGGAGACACGTGACAACGTATAAGGACATTTCTGATTGTCGTGACTGGGGAGTGCTGCTGGTATCTATCTGGTGGGTGGAGACCAAGAATGCTGCTCAGTCTCCTGCAGTGCACAGGACACCCCTCTGAGAGAGAATGATTCGCCCCTAGCGTCCCTAATGCTGAAGGCAGGAAACCCTGCTCTAGGGATGTCTGTGGCAGGACTTGTCCACAGCCACGCTTAGCCCTAGAGTCTCTGAGTGGAGAACTGGCCCCACCGGGTGTTCCTGTCAGTGCTAGACAGTGGGCTTGCTTGCTCTCTCTCTTTCTTCTCACCTTTTTCTTCTCTTTCCCCTCTGTCCTCTCTTTCTCCCTACCTCTCTTTCCTCTCTCTGTTTCTCTTCCCACCTCCCTCTCTCTCCACTTCTCTCTCTCTCCCCACCCTTCTCTCTGTCTCTCTCTCTCTTTCCCCAACCCTCTCTCTCCCCACCTCCCACACTCTCTGTGTCTCTCTCCCCACTTCTCTCTCCCCACCTCTCTCTGTGTCTTTCTCCCTGTCCTTCTCTCTCTCTCTCCCCCCACCTCCCACTCTCTATCTCCCCACTTCTCTCTCTCCCTCCATCTCTCTCTCTCTCTGTGTGTGCTCTTTCCCCACATCTCTCTGTGTCTCCACCTCTCTGTCTCTCTCTTTCTCTCTCCCCACCTCTCTTTCTTTCTCTCCCCACCTCTCTCTCTCTGTTTCTCCCTCGCCTCCTCTCTCTCTCTCTCTCTCTCTCTCTTCCCCTGCCTCTCTCTCTATCCCCATCTCTCTCTTTCTCTTCCTACCTTTCTCTCTCTCTGTTTTACCTACAGAGGAACCCACTGGATGTTCTGCTGGTGAATCAATGCCCAGAAGCTCTAAATCCTCCTCGCTGCTATCCTAGTCCCACATCCACCATGGGTTTGGTTTTGTTTTACTTTTTAAAATTAATAGACTTTATTTTAAGAGCAGTTTCAGATTTACAGAACATAGAGCAGATAGATACTGCAGAGAATCTCCATATACCCTCTCTCCGCCTGCACACAATTTCCCCTATAATTAGCAACTGGGATTTTTTTTTTTTTTTACCATTAATCTGTTACAACTGATGAACCAGTGTTGACACATTGTCATTGACTGAAATCCACAGTTACATTAGAGTTCACTCTTGGGGCTGTACATTCTCTGGGTTTTGACAAATGCACAATGTCCTGTATCTACCATGACAGTATCACACAACATAGTTACACTGTCTTAAAAACCCTCTGTGCCCCACCCATTCATCCCTCCCTCTCACCCACTGGTCCCCTGGAAGCCACTGATCTTTTGCTGTCTCCATGGTTTTGATTTTTCCAGAATGACTGGACTACCCTTTTAGCTGCATTCTGCATCCCATCATTCCAGACGGTGTTACATGCAGCCCTCAGCTACCTCCTACAGACGTGATCGGCTCCTGTCCTCTCAAGGTTTCTCCCTCCCTCCCTTCCTTCCTCCCTCCATTCCTCCCTCCCTCGTTTCTTCCTATCTCACTCTCCTTCTTTCCTCCCTCACTCTCCTTCCTTCCTTCCTGCCTCCCTCCCTCCCTTTCTTCCTTCCTTCCTCACTCTCCTTCTTTCCTCCCTCACTCTCCTTCCTTCCTGCCTCCCTCCCTCCTTTCTTCCTTCCTCACTCTCCTCCTTTCCTCCCTCACTCTCCTTCCTTCCTTCCTTCGTTCCTTCCTTCCTCCTTCCCTCCCTCCCTCCTTCCTTCCTCCTGCAGTCCCCATCCTTCCTTCCTTTTATCCTTCTTTCCTTCCTCCCTCCCTCCCTCTCTTTCTTCCTCCCTTTTTTCTTTCTTTTCCTCCTCCTCCTCCTCCTCCTTTTCTCTCTCTCTCTCTCCCCCCACCTTGTTCACTCACTCGCTGTCGATTCTTGTGATCTGAATTGATATGAACAAGAGTGTGTAGACGGTCAGTCATGGGGAAGCAGCATCTCCTAGTGGCCTTTGAAACAGCCACCAGCAACTGGTGAGTATAACAAGAGGTTAGGAAAAGACAGGCTTTGAGATCAATCAGACCTAAGCTCAGACCCTGGGCCCCCACTTCAGACTCAAGGCACCTAAGGCAAGTGATGTGTCGTGGGTTTCAGTTTCCCTGTCTGTAAAATAGGGATCAGAGCAGATGACTTCTAATGTGGGGGTAAATATTCAATAAGAATAGCATGAGTGATGTGAGTGCAGTGCCTGGTCTGTAGGACATATCCAGTAAAGGGCAGCTGCTCTCATCGGTGTTGTTGTTGAGTACACAGCACTGGTGCTGTAGACACAACAGTCCTTGGCTTCAGGGATTCACAATCAGGTTCCAGGGATAGACACAGCTCCAACATGACATATCACGGCAAACATCATAACAAAGTCATGAGCAAGGAGCTTTAAAGTTACTTGTAGGAGGCACAGAGCGAGAATTGAACCAATGCCTGCTGTTACCATTAACTGGGAATCATTATTTTGAAAGCACCCAGGAATGGGTGGCTTAATATGCCTTGGGAAGAAATATCCAGGAGGACTGCATGGAAGAGGTGACATCTAAGCTGAATCTTAACAACAAACAGGGGTTTGCCAGGTGAAGAAGTGGAGGAATGGGGATCCCAGCAGAGGGAGGGTGTGAAGGAGTTGCGGCTGCACTCTCTGGATCAGCGGTTCTCAACTGGGGGTGACTTTGAGCCCCATGGAGACATGGGTGTTTTCTGGAGACATTTTTTGGTTGTCATGACTGAGCAATGGCTGCTGGCATTGAGTTGACAGAGACCAGGGA
Source organism: Homo sapiens (assembly GCF_000001405.40). Taxonomy (NCBI): domain Eukaryota; kingdom Metazoa; phylum Chordata; class Mammalia; order Primates; family Hominidae; genus Homo; species Homo sapiens. The sequence continues at coordinate 15,811,443 of NC_000019.10, read as the reverse complement.
TGCTACTAAACATGTTATGAGACACAGAACAGCTCCCCACAGAAAGAATGACCTGGCCCTAAATATCAACAGTCCCAAGGTTGAGAAACCCTGCCTTAGGCACTGGGGAGCCACAGAGGGTTTGTGAGCACCACCCCAGGGCACCAATCTCGCCCATTTGGCCTCTTCTTGGAGGTTCTTGTTTCCAAGTCATTTACTCCTCTAAGATCTCAGAGTGGCGGGACATGGTGGTGCTGTGGGGGCCACTATTCTGTGGAGCTACGGGCAAGTACTGACCCAGAAGTGGGGCAAAACGAGAGTGATTCCAGGAAGAGAGACCAAGAAACTCTGGAGACCAACGATGTTTGGAGAATGCAGCCTCTGCTCACCAAAGGAGCTGGTTCTTCCTTCATCTCTCACTATAAATCTGCCAGGGCTTGACTGAGGACCTGAGCCCACTTAAAGGGAAGTGAACTACCCTTTCTAAAATGATCTTTTTATTGTAATAACATACATACAACCTGAAATTTACCTATTTATTTATTTATTTTCTTTTCTTTATTTTTATTTTATTTTATTTCTTTATTTTTATTTTATTTTATTTTTGAGAAAGCCCACTGCATTTGCCTTTTATTACTGGATTTCCACATAAACACTTAAAAGTATACAATTCAGTGGCATCAAGAACATTTATGCTGTTGCACTAACACCACCTTTGCCTAGTTCCAGACAAAGGTAATAATTTTTTATTAGCCCAAAAGGAAACACCGTATCTATTAGCAGTCACTCCCCATTCTCCCCTCACCCCAGCCCCTGGAAACCACTGATAGGTTCCAAATGCTACAAGCATTTTCATTGCAGCATTGTTCACGAAGGCCAACAGGTGGGGCACAACCCTCATGTCCATGAAAAGATGACGCATATTCATAAAATGGAAAATCGTTCAGCCATAAACAGGAATAAAGCTCAGACGCATGCTGTGGTGTTTTAATACTGTTACAATTGCATGCTACAATGCAAATGAACCCTAAAACATTATGTTCAGTGAAAGAAATGAGACACAAAAGGCCCCATCTCGTATGATTCCATTTATGTAAAATGTTCAGAACAGACACATCCGTAGAAACAGAAAGCAGAGTGGTAGTTTACTCCTTTTTTTTTTTTTTTTTTTGAGAAGGAGTCTTGCTCTGTCACCCAGCCTGGAGTGCAGTGGTGTGATCTTGGCTCACTGCAACCTCCATCTCCCAGATCAAGCGATTCTCCTAACTCAGCCTCTTGAGTAGCTGGGACCACAGGCCTGTGCCACCATGCCTGGCTAATTTTTGTATTTTTAGTAGAGGCAGGGTTTCACCATGTTGCCCAGGCTGGTCTCGAACTCCTGATCTCAAGTGATCTGCCCACCTTGGCCTCCCAAAGTGCTGGGATTATAGGCGTGAGCCACTGCACCTGGTCACACATTGCCAAATTTTTTAAAAAAGAGATTAACTAAGCATGGTGGTGCATGCCTGTAGTCCCAGCTATTTAAGGGGGCTGAGAAGGGAAGATCGCTTAAGCCCAGGAGCCGAAGGCTGCAGTGAGCTATGATAATTGTGCCACTGCACTCCAGCCTGGGTGACAGAGCCAGACCCTGTCTTTTGAAAAAAAAAAAATTGAATATATTTAATTGTTTCATAAAGACACATAGAAATCTCATGAAATTAAAGTTACTGAGCAAAGACCATGTACAGTCACTCATTTACTGTATTAATTATCATATGTAGCATCTACTGCATGCCAGGTCACTTAAGAAAAGCTCATTTCCTTCCCACAACAACCCTTTGAGGTAGGGAGGTACAGAGAGATAAAGGAATCTGCTCAACTTTACAAAATATTGGCCAGATGCAGTGGCTCACTTCTGTAATTCCAGCACTTTGGGAATCCCAGGCAGGAGGATGACTTGAGGGGTGGAGTTCCAGACCAGCCTGGGCAACATAGCAAGATGCCATCTCTATAATAAAAAATAAAACATTAGCTGGGTGAGGTGGTGTGTGCCTGTAGTCCCAGCTACTTGGGAGGCTGAGGTAGGAAGATTGCTTGAATCCAGGAGTTTGAGGTTGCAGTGAACTATGATTGCACCATTGCACTCCAGTCTGGGGAACAGAATGAAACTCTGTCTCTACAAAAATAAATAAATAAATACATAAATAAATAAATAAATAAATAATCATTACACAACAGCCAGAGGAGGGATTTGAACTGAGCCCTGCTGATTCCCACGCCCTTCTTTCTGTCTGATGGCTACATTTCATTGCCTCAGAACATAGAGGCATACCTCATGGGAGCTGGAAAACAACCAAAGCATGATTTCTGGCTCCTTCCTTAGAGCAACACAGTCTCCTGCCTCTGCTTTCCTACATGGATAACCCCAGAGGAAGTCTGGTTGGTTCAGATTTAGAGACGCGCCCTGTTCCAAGGAGTTGCAGCCATGGGTGGGAACGTCTCATGATACCTGGAGCTGGGGGATGAACGTGATTTATCAGAAGGGAGTAGGAGGGCAGAGAAGGAATGAATGGAAGTTCCAGCAAAGGAATATGTTTTTCTTCTTCTTCTTTTTATTTATTTATTTTTTTTTTTTTTGAGACAGAGACTCGCTCTGTCGCCAGGGTGGAGTCCAGTGGCGCCATCTCGGCTTACTGCAACCTCCGCCTCCCAGGTTCAAGAGATTCTCCTGTCTCTGCCTCCCGAAGAGCTGGGACTACAGGTGCGTGCCACCATGCCCGACTAATTTTTATATTTTTAGTAGAGATGGGGTTTCACCATTTTGGCCAGGCTGGCCTCCATCTCTTGACCTCGTGATCCGCCTGCCTCAGCCTCCCAAAGTGTTGGGATTATAGGCGTGAGCCACCGTGCCCGGCCATTTTCTTCTTTCTTTAAGAGATAGAGTCTAGCTCTGTCACCCAGGCTGGAGTACAGTGGTGCCATCATAGCTTGCTGCAACCTCAAACTCTTGGGCTCAAGCCGTCCTTCCCCCTTAGCCTCCAAAGTGCTGGGATTACAGATGTGAACCACCATGCCAGCCTGGAGCATTTTCGTTTGGGGGCAGGGGGCAACATAGAGAAATAGTGAAGGGTACAGGTTTTAGAGCCAGCCCAGCTATGGGTTCCAGTCTCTGATCTACCGTTTCAACAGCTTGGCCTTGAGCAAGCTCTACATTTCAATATTCTCAATGACTATGCTCAAGGTACTTCAAAAGGGGGTTGAAAAAATAGTACCGTTCTCACTAGGTTGACGAGAGTATTAAATTATAGGAGGTACAGAGTGGGAATGGAACCAAACCATTTATCAAGAGCAGTCCCTTGGGCAAATCCAGGTATGGGGAAGGCTGAGAACTTTTCTTCATGCAGTAACTGACATCTCCCTGTCACATCTCACCCCAGGCACAGCCTCCATGCAGAGAGCCAATCACTCCACAGTGACCCAATTCATCCTCGTCGGCTTCTCTGTCTTCCCCCACCTCCAGCTGATGCTCTTCCTGCTGTTCCTGCTGATGTACCTGTTCACGCTGCTGGGCAACCTGCTCATCATGGCCACCGTCTGGAGCGAGCGCAGCCTCCACACGCCCATGTACCTCTTCCTGTGCGCCCTCTCCGTCTCCGAGATCCTCTACACCGTGGCCATCATCCCGCGCATGCTGGCCGACCTGCTGTCCACCCAGCGCTCCATCGCCTTCCTGGCCTGTGCCAGTCAGATGTTCTTCTCCTTCAGCTTCGGCTTCACCCACTCCTTCCTGCTCACCGTCATGGGCTACGACCGCTACGTGGCCATCTGCCACCCCCTGCGCTACAACGTGCTCATGAGCCCGCGGGGCTGCGCCTGCCTGGTGGGCTGCTCCTGGGCTGGTGGCTTGGTCATGGGGATGGTGGTGACCTCGGCCATTTTCCACCTCGCCTTCTGTGGACACAAGGAGATCCACCATTTTGCTTGCCATGTGCCACCTCTGTTGAAGTTGGCCTGTGGAGACGATGTGCTGGTGGTGGCCAAAGGCGTGGGCTTGGTGTGTATCACGGCCCTGCTGGGCTGTTTTCTCCTCATCCTCCTCTCCTATGCCTTCATCGTGGCCGCCATCTTGAAGATCCCTTCTGCTGAAGGTCGGAACAAGGCCTTCTCCACCTGTGCCTCTCACCTCACTGTGGTGGTCGTGCACTATGGCTTTGCCTCCGTCATTTACCTGAAGCCCAAAAGTCCCCAGTCTCTGGAAGGAGACACCTTGATGGGCATCACCTACACGGTCCTCACACCCTTCCTCAGCCCCATCATCTTCAGCCTCAGGAACAAGGAGCTGAAGGTCGCCATGAAGAAGACCTTCTTCAGTAAACTCTACCCAGAAAAAAATGTAATGATGTAGGAGAAATTCACTGGGAACAACTAAATTGGATTACCGAAGGCTATTGTTAAAAATTACGTTCCGTGGTGACTCATGCCTGTAATCCCAGCACTTTGGGAGGCCGAGGCAGGCGGATCACCTGAGGTCAGGAGTTTGAGACCAGCATGGCTAACATGGCGAAACCCCATCTCTACTAAAAATACAAAAATTAGCCAGGCATGTTGGCACATGCCTGTAACCCTAGCTACTTGGGAGGCTGAGGCATAAGAATCGCTTGACCCGGTAGGTGGAGGTTGCAGTGAGCTGAGATCACACCACTGCACTCCAGCCTGGGCGACAGAGTGAGACTGTCTCAAAGAAGAAAGAAAGAAAGAAAAAAAGAAAATTACGTTCCAGCCAAGCACTGTGGCTCACACTTATAATTCCAGCACCTTGGGATGCCAAGGCAGGAGGATTGCTTGAGGCCAGGAGTTCAAGACTAGACTTGACAACATAGCAAGACTGCATATCTACAAAAACTTAGAAAAAAATAGCTTGGCATGGTGGTACATGCCTGTAGTCCCAGCTACCTGGGAGACTGAACTGGGATTACTGCCTAAGTCCAGAAGTTTGAGCTTACAGTGAACTATGACTGTGCCACTGCAGTCTAGCATGGATGACAGAGTGAGACCCTATCCCTTCCCCCCTAAAAGAAAGACAATCCATGAACATATAGTAACCTCTATTTGTCATGCTTTAAGGTTTACAAGGGACCTTGTAGACGACATACAATTATAAACACAAAGGTTAATCAGCATCAGGGATGTATTTGGAGTGGAAGTGTGTGTGAGATACTAACACAGAGAAAACCAGGTTTGATTATTTCTATCTGCTGCAAGAAACTGTGTCAGTTAGCACCAAACCTCCATCTAGACTCCTCTTGCCAAAAGCCAGGGTCATCTAATACCCCCAATAATGCAAACCAGCAATGCAAAGAGAGAGGGAAGATTTCATGCCCCACTCTCTATGAGTGCCGCACCAGGTAGCTACAACTCAGATTTTGTAAGGCTACTCCAGATTATAGCAGAGGAGAGAAAAGTACCCTAAATTTCAGCATTGCACAGATCTATGCAATAGAAGTTAGAAATAGCAATAAACAGACTCTCTTTAAACATCAAGGAAACCTTAGAATTTCAAGTGTGAGTCTTGAATAGTTGTGGAGAGACTGAGATGTCTTCATGGTTGGATCAAGGAAAAAAGTCACACTGTGAGATACCGAATGCTGTGTTAGAAGTTGACACGGCTCATGGGCCAGCCAGGAGCTCTCTGTTGAATCTGGACATTGAGTGTAGACCCCAGGATGAGTTTATCTCATGGCCAGGCGCAGTGGCTCATGCCTGTAATCCCAGCACTTTGGGAGGCCAAGGTGGGTGGATCCCCTGAGGTCAGGAGTTCAAGAGCAGCCTGGGCAAATGGCTGAAACCCCATCTCTACTAAAAATATAAAAATTAGCCAGGCGTGGTGGCAGGTGCCTGTAATCCCAGCTACTCAGGAGGCTGAGACAGGAGAATAGCTTGAACCATGGAGGCAGAGGTTGCAGTGAGCTGAGATCACACCACTGCACTCCAGCCTGGGTGACAGACTGAGACTCCATCTCAAAAAAAAAAAAAAAAAAAAAAAAGAAAGTTTACCTCATGGTCTCTTCCCAATGGGCAGGGATTTAAGATTGACCCTACTGTATAGTATTTATATATTTATTGACAATAGGTCTTCCTGTGTTTGAGCTATGCATCATTTTTTTCTAAAGTGTGAATTCTCCATCATTCAAGCAGTCAAAACAACCCACAGTCAAAACATCCCATATTACAAAAGCCAAAATTGACAAATGGGATCTAATTAAACTAAAGAGCTTCTGCACAGCAAAAGAAACTACCATCAGAGTGAACAGGCAACCTACAGAATGGGAGAAAATTTTTGCAATCTACTCATCTGACAAAGGGCTAATATCCAGAATCTACAATGAACTCAAACAAATTTACAAGAAAAAAACAAACAATCCCATCAAAAAGTGGGCAAAGGATATGAACAGACACTTCTCAAAAGAAGACATTTATGCAGCCAAAAAACATATGAAAAAATGCTCGTCATCACTGGCCATCAGAGAAATGCAAATGGAAACCACAATGAGATATCATCTCACACCAGTTAGAATGGCAATCACTAAAAAGTCAGGAAACAACAGGTGCTGGAGAGGATGTGGAGAAATAGGAACACTTTTACACTGTTGGTGGGACTGTAAACTAGTTCCCCATTGTGGGAGTCAGTGTGGCGATTCCTCAGGGATCTAGAACTAGAAATATCATTTGACCCAGCCATCCCATTACTGGGTATATACCCAAAGGATTATAAATCATGCTGCTATAAAGACACATGCACACATGTTTACTGCAGCACTATTCACAGTAGCAAAGACTTGGAACCAACCCAAATGTCCAACAATGATAGACTGGATTAAGAAAATGTGGCACATATACACCATGGAATACTATGCAGCCATAAAAAATGATGAGTTCATGTCCTTTGTAGGGACATGGATGAAGCTGGAAACCATCATTCTCAGCAAACTATCGCAAGGACAAAAAACCAAACACCACATGTTCTCACTCATAGGTGGGAATTGAACAATGAGAACACATGGACACAGGAAGGGGAACATCACACACCAGGGACTGTTGTGGGGTGGGGGAATGGGGGGAGGGACAGCTTTAGGAGATATACCTAATGCTAAATGATGACTTAATGGGTGCAGCACACCAACATGGCACATGTATACATATGTAACAAACTTGCACGTTGTGCACATGTACCCTAAAACTTAAAGTATAATAATGATAAAATTTAAAAAAAAATCCCACATTAGCATGAAAAGTGAGGATGTGGGAAACGATTTCAATCAAAACTTGGAAACTCAGAGAAGCTCCCTTTGCAGAATATGTGCTACAGTTCATGCATCTTGTTACCCACCAGGCATGTTGTATCATTAGCGCCTCACAAGGTGGGAGTGAGAGCAGATATAATCACAGTCCCTCTGTTTGATAGAGGGGGAAACTGAGGCACAAAACATGCATGGCTCATCAGAGACCAACCAACTTGGAAGAGCCAAGCTTCAATGTCAGTCTTTTCTGATTCCAAGTCTTCTCCATTCAACACTTCAAGCATTGCCTTTTTACAGTGGGATCCTAATTTCTGGAGGACTGGTCCTTCTTCAAATGAAACATCTCAGCATCTTTAGAGTCTTTTGTGGCACAGGAAGACAGTTGCAACCCTCTGCAAACCCTGAAGCGTGCATCCTTGGAACACAGATGGAATATTTCTACAAATTCAACAGTCCTTCATGATTTTAAAATAAGTTTTAGTCTTGTAGAAATTCTTGAGTAACTTCTATGCACTGAGCTAAGATGCTCCCCTCTCCTGACAACAGAGCCATCTGGGCGGGAACATAAGTCAGGTCTTTTCTCTTTTCTTTTCTTTTTTTTCTTTTCTTTTCCCTTCCCTTCACCTTCCTTTCTCCTTCGCCTCTCCTTCCCTCCCCCTTCCCTCCCCCTTCCCTTCTCCTTCCCTCCCCCTTCCCTCCCCCTTCTCCCTCCCTCCCCCTTTCCTTTCCCTCCTCTTTCCCTTCCCTTCTCCTTCCCTCCCCCTTCCCTTCCCTTCCATTCCTTTCTTTTCTCCTTTCCTTTCCGTTCCCTTCCCTCCCCTCCCTTCCCTTCCCTTCCCTTCTTTTCTCTCTTTTTTTTCTTTTTTTCTTTTCTTTTCTTTATAAAAGACCCCACTGGCCTCTGATCCTGCTGGTATCCAAATGGATAGAGACCCTGGAAAGAGGCTGGATATCCACTATGAGTTGGGCACTGGATGTCTTATGCTAACTTATTGTGATCCTTTAAGCTGCCAGCTGCATGTGGTCATGAGGTTTGATCATCTCGTACATTATCACATCCAGCATCAGCATGGCACTTGGACGATATATCAATTCTTAACAAATATTCCTAAAGTGGACTAATTTAATCCTACAACACTGAACAATCCAGAATGTTGACTTATGTATTTCCTGTGAGAAAGAAACCTCATTACCCCCCAGGGCAGTGGGTAAGTGTGTGTGGGGAGTCGTGTTTGAGTGAGAAGGACCTGGGTTGAAATCCTGCCTCCTAATTTCCACCAATTTGATTGACATCTTATAGACATTCCATGTCAGTGTAAACAAAAGGATGTTTAGAGCAGTGACATTTATGATTGAAAAAGCACTTTGGGAGGCTGAGGCAGGTGGATCACTTGAGGTCAGGAGTTCAAGACCAGCCTGGCCACCATAGTGAAACCCTGTTTCTACTAAAAATACAAAAGTTAGCCAGGCGTGGTGGCGTGTGCCTGTAATCCCAGCTACTCCGGAGGCTGAGGCCTGAGAATTGCTTGAGCCTAGGAGGTGTACATTGTATTATATCTCCTCTACTAAGAACCTTCCAATGACTCCGTCTCACTTACAGGGAAATCCGAAGTTTTGTTTTTTTTTTTTTTGAGACGGAGTCTCGCTCTGTTGCCCAGGCTGGAGTGCAGTGGCGGGATCTCGGCTCACTGCAAGCTCCGCCTCCCGGGTTCACGCCATTCTCCTGCCTCAGCCTCCCAAGTAGCTGGGACTACAGGCGCCCGCCACTACGCCCGGCTAATTTTTTGTATTTTTAGTAGAGACGGGGTTTCACCGTTTTAGCCAGGATGGTCTCGATCTCCTGACCTCGTGATCCGCCCGCCTCGGCCTCCCAAAGTGCTGGGACTACAGAAATCCGAAGTTTTTACAGTGCCAACAAAGCCCTACACATCTGGGCCCTGCTGCTGCTTCTCTGACCTCACCTCCCTTTTCTCCTTCCCTCAGTCACTCTGCTCTAGCCTCCCCACTGTCCCTCAAACACACCAAATATGCTCCTACCTCAGGACCTTTGCACATGCTGTGCCCACTACCAGGAATTCCCTTCTCCCCACAAGATGTCCACATGGCTTCTCTCTCACTGCCTAAAGGTTTCTGCTTGAATATCAGAAAGTCATTAGATATACCCATTAATAAAGGACAGGCTTGGTGGGTTTTTTGTTGTCATTTGTTTTTGTTTTGTTTCGTTTTTTTTGAGACAGGGTCTTGCTCTGTTGCCCAGGCTGGAGTGCAGTGGTGCAATCATGGCTCACTGCAACCTCAAGCAATTCTCCCACCTCAGCTTCTTGAGAATCTAGGACCACAGGCATGTGCCACCACAGCTGGCTAATTTTTGAAATTTTTTGTAGAGACAGGGTTTCACCATGTTGCCAAGGTTGGTCTTGAAATCCCCAGCTCAAGCAGTCTGCCTGCCTTGACCTCCAAAAGTGCTGGGATTACAGGCATGAGCCACCACGCCCAACCAATAAAGGACAGGCGTAAGCCACCATACCTGGGCTAAGATTAGTTTAATAATTATTTGTGGCCTTCTTTGTCTCCAGACTTGTGCTAATTTTGGGGATATAGACAAGCGTTTGTTTCTGTTCCCAGCTTTTGAGGCATTTGCATGTTACCTGGTGCAGTGATACACAGAGAAATATCAGGGCTGTGACCAAGATACGGATTGTATTAGTCAGGGCTCTTCATAGAAACAGAACCAATAAGATATAGACAGATAGATAGATGATAAATAGGTAACGAATAGGTAGATAGATAAGGTAGATGGATATATATATATTATAAGGGCCGGGTGCAGTGGCTCACGCCTGTAATCCCAGCACTTTGGGAGGCCAAAGTGGGTGGATCACTTGAGGTCAGGAGTTTCAGACCAGTCTGGCCAACATGGCGAAACCCCATCTCCACTTAAAATACAAAAATTAGCGGGGCGTGGTGGCGGGTGCCTGTAATCCCAGCTGCTCAGGAGGCTGAGGCAGGAGAATCACTTGAACCGGGGAGATGGAGGTTGCAGTGAGCCAAGAGTATGCCACTGCACTGCAGCCTGGGTGACAGAGTGAGACTCCATCTAAAAAAAAAATTATATATATATGTATATATATGGTATTGGCTCACATAATTATGGAGGCTGAAAAGTCTCATGATATGCCATGTGCAAGGTGAGAACCAGGAAAGACAGTGTTGACTCGGCCAATAGCTGAAAACGAATGGTGTAGAGTCCAACCTGGGTCTGAAGGCCTGAGAACCAGGAGCAGTAAGAGCAAGAAGATTGCCAGGCAAAGGGAATGTGAGTCCAACCTCCTCTGCTGTTTTCTTCTATTCGGACCCTCCACAGATTAGAGGATGCCCTCTCACACTGGGAAGGCCCACCTGTTTTACTCAGTTCACCAATCCAAATGTTCATCTCTTCCAGAAACACCTTCATAAACATACCCAGAAATAATATCCAATCAGATCTCTGAGCATCCCTTTGACCCAGTCAAGGTGACACATAAAACGAACCATCCCATGAGCAAAGTTCTAAGGGAGCCAAGAGGGGTAAGACGCAGCTGGAGCTCTATTAGCCCAGTCTCTGCATTCCCATGCTTCTCTGCCAATGGTGATTTTGCTCCCCTTCCCAGGGCACATTTGGAAATTTCTAGAGACAATTTTTGGTCTTTGAAACGAGGCAGAGGATATGTATGTTACAGCACCTAGTATGTCAAAGTCAGTGACGCTGCTCAACATCCTACAATGCACAGAACAGCCCCCACCACTGTCCCCAAATGTCAGCCGGGCGCAGAATGACAAACCCTGCTGTATTCACTCAAAAAGCATTTATTGAGCACCTACTGTGTACCAGGCATTTTTCTAGGCACCACTGGGAAGACAGGGTTGAACCAATTAGATAAGACATCCCGATCTCAATGTCTGCCCTAGAAAGAGGAAGACATAAATAAACAAATAATTGCACCAATTAATATATATGGGAACTTGTGATAAAAGCTCTGAGGGACCTAAGTGAGTTGCTATGAGGGCTTGTAATAGGGGTGGTGACCGAGTGTGGAGAAGTCAGGAAAGAGCTTTCTGAGGAGGTGACCCTCAGGAAGACCGAAGGGAGTGTGCGAGCAGGTGGGGGAAGGGTATTACAGGCAAAAGCAAGAGTAGATGCAAGGGGCCAGGCGTGGTGGCTCATGCCTGTAACCCCAGAACTTTGGGAGGCCAAGGTGGGCAGGTCACTTGAGGCCAGGAGTTTGAAACCATCCTGGGCAACATGGCGAAACCCTGTCTGTACTAAAAACACAAAAAAAATTTAGCCAGGCATGGTGGCACGCCTGTAATTCCAGGGAGTCTGACACAGGAGAATTGTTTGAACCTGGGAGGTGAAGGTTGCAGTGAGCTGAGATCATGCCACTGCACTCCAGCATGGGTGACAGAGTGAGATCTTATTTCTCTCTCTCTCTCTCTCTCAAAAAAAAAAAAAGACATTCAATGAACATATAGTAACCTCTATTTGTCATACTTTTAAGGTTTACCTTGTAGACAACATACAATTATATACATAACGTTTCATCAGCATCAGGGATGTATTTGGAGTGGAATTGTGTGTGAGATACTAACACAGAGAAAACACAGATGTGGCTGTGTTTTCACTGAACTTTTGGCACTTAATCCTGTTTTAAATTAATGATGGCTTCCATTTTTTAGTCTTTCGAGGGAAAAAATGCAAGAAAACTGATTATTTCTACCTGCCGCAAGATACTTTGTCAGTTAGCACCAAACCTGGAATCTAGACTCCTCTTGCCAAAAGCCAGTGTCTTCTAATACCCCCAATAATGCAAACCAGCAATGCAAAGAGGAATGGAAGATTTCATGCCCCAATCTCTGAAGAAAAAAAAAAGAGTAGATGCAAGGTTCCTGGGGTCCGGGTGTGCTTGGTTTACTGCCGGGACAGCAGGGAGCCCATTGGGCTATAGGGTCAAAGAATGAATTTGGGGATGAAGTATAGACCTGGCCACGCAGCCCTGATGATCACACTAGAGTCTATACTGTATCCTAAGAGAAACAGAAGGTTTAAGTAGAGGGATGATTTTTCAGAGTTTCCCTTTAGAAAGATCCTTCTGGCTGGATGTGGTGGCTCACACCTGTAATCCCGGCACCTTGGGAGGCCGAGGTGGTAGTATCACCTGAAATCAGGAGTCCGAGACCAGTCTGGCTAACATGGCGAAACCCCGTCTCTACTAAAAATACAAAAAATAGTTGGGTGTGGTGGCATGTGCCTGCAATCCCAGCTACTTGGGAAGCTGAGGCAGAAAAATCGCTTGAACCCGGGAGGCAGAGGCTGCAGTGAGCCGAGATAGCACCACTGCACTCCAGGCTGGGAGACAGAGCTAGATTCCATCTCAAAAAAAAAAAAAAAAAAAAAAAGCTCCTTCTAGCTGCTTGGCAGACAGAAACTGGAGGATTTTGGGGGTGAAACAAGAGGGACAACCTCCATGAGGAGGGGATTGAATTTTTATCCACATGCAAGGAGGTTAGGCCAGCACCGGGGAAGAAAAGAACAAAAGAAGTGAAGGACACAGATCACATCTTTCAAGCTGGCCTTGGTCTCTAGCAATTAGGACTACAACACTGGGCTCCAAGGAACTCAGGGAGCAGGTCCCTGAAGCCTGGGATCTCCTGCCCCTTAATCACCTCTCTGGGCTCTGGTCCTGCCTTGGGGATACCAATCACAGAGGGGACCATTATCAAGGCTTGGCAAACAGTGAGGAATGCAGGAGGTGTGAGACTTCAGAAAGTGAAGGCTGATTAATGGGGGGAGATGAGGACAGGGTCCCGGGGGAGGGGGCTGGCCAAAGCTAGCAGGCAGAGGGGGACTGTTTCCACACCTGGGGCATGGAGAGTTGACACCCCCAGACCTGCTGTGTTCTCACTGAACTTTTGGCACTTAATCCTATTTTAAATTAATGATGGCTTCTATTTTTTAGTCTTTTGAGGGAAAAATGCAAGCGTTTTGTTTTTCCTTTGTGGGGAGATAAGGCAGTCACTTTGAGCACCCAATGTAAGGGGCCATCAAAAAATTCAGCAATCAAGATAAATTACGTTTATGCTTTTTTTTTTTTTTTTTTTTTTTTAGATGGAGTGTCACTCTTGTCGCCCAGGCTGGAGTGCAGTGGCACGATCTTGACTCACTGCAACATCTGTCTCCCCGGTTAAAGCAATTATCCTGCCTCAGCCTCTCGAGTAGCTGGGACCACACACGCACACCACACCCAGCTAATTTTTGTATTTTTAGTAGACACAGGGTTTCACCATGTTGGCCAGGCTGGTGTCGAACTCCTGACTTCAAATGATCCACCTGCCTCGGCTTCCCAAAGTGCTGGGATTACAGGAGTGAGCCACCACACCCGGCCTAATGCAATATTTTAAAAAACCAAAATGAATGCAAAAAAAATCCACGGTGAACAAAATGTCAACATTTTAAATAATGTTTAAAGGAGGTGAGGTGTCTCCCTCACCTCACCCTGACCTGGCCCTCAGGGTCTAGAATATGCCATGTATAAAAACAACACTAAGCCCAACTTCTCCGGTTGTTTCAAATTTACACAATGACTACTACTAAATAAAGTGAAGGAGTAATCACAAAGCTTATTTTAATTTCAGAATGCATGGACATTGGTCAACCAAACTACAGCAAGCTGGCTCGCTTTTCTGATCACCACGGGGAACCACAATGACACATCTTGGATATAACCCAGAAGCCACCTTTCCTGCACTCTTTCAAACTCACACAGTCTGATTTTTACCTGTTTCCCAGCCTATTCCAAGGTATCTTCAGAATCATGATCAGCTAGAAAGCACTAGCTACACCCCAGGACACGTGGGGTATAAACAGGGTATAACATTCTCTTTTCCATGACAACTCGAGGTGATGGGGGTGGAAGTTTAACATTTGGGATCCCTTTACATTTTATAGGGGAGGCAAAGAATGCCCCCCCAGATATTAGTAGTTAAGTGCCCTAGAACTTCTTCTTCTTTTTTTTATTGTTTTTTTGAGACAGAGTCTCGCTCTGTCACCCAGGCTAGAGTGCCATGGCCCAATCTCGGCTCACTGCAACCTTCGCCTCCTGGATTCAAGCAATTCTCCTGCCTCAGCCTCCTGAGTAGCTGGGATTACAGGCATGTGCCACCACGCCCGGGTAATTTTTTGTATTTTTAGTAGAGACGGGGTTTCACTATGTTGGTCAGGCTGGTCTCAAACTCCTGACCTCGTGATCCACCCACCTCAGCCTCCCAAAGTGCTGGGATTATAGGCATGAGCCACTGCACCCGGCCGGAACTTCTAATATAACCCAGGAACCCGGATTTAATGGGTAGTTTTTTTTTTTTGCAAAGCGTTTAATTTAATTTAATTTAATTTTTTGGGACAAGGTCTCACTCTGTCACTCAGGCTGGAGGGCAGTGGCACAATTACTGCTCACTGCAGCCTCAACCTCCTGGGCTCAAGTGATCCTCCCACCTCAGCCTCTTGAGTAGCTGGTACTACAGGCACATGCAGCCATGTCTAGCTAATTTTTTAATTTTTTTGTAGAGATAAGGTTTCACTTTGTTGCCCAGGCTGGTCTTGAACTCCTGGACTCCAGTGATCCTCCTGTCACGGCCTCCCCAAATTTTGGAATTACAGGTGTGAGGCACTGTGCCTGGCCCAATTTAATATTTGAATGTGACACACTCTTTCGTATTAACACGTCTACTAAAAAACACAGAAATACTACAGCCAGTTTGGCCAAACTCATAAGGTGTATCCCTAATTCTCTGACACTGGGTGATTCCTCCTAAACCCATAGAGACAGCATATTTCTAGTTCTGGGCTCACTCCATTGGTGCTAGCTAGAATGTGTCTCTTGTTTTCAATCCAGCTCTTCCTCCCTTTCTGGAACAGACTGACTTCCCCTCTTCACAGGCCCTGAGAAATGTGTACTTCTTATCCCCAGCTCTAATTTAAAGAATAGGTTCAATTCTAGCTTTTCCATGTCAGTGACAAGACCTTTGGCTAATTAACTTAATCTCTTCATAACTTAGCTTCCTCATCTTCAGAATAGAACTTGGCCGGTGTCACGGCTCATGCCTGTAATCCCAGCATTTGGGGAGGCCGAGATGGCAGGATTGCTTGAGGCCAGGAGTTCAAGACTAGCCTGGGCAACATCGTGAGATCCTGTCGCTACAAAAAATACAAAGTTACCCTTGTGGTGGCATGCATCTGCAGTGCTAGCTTCTCTGGAGGCTGAGGTGGGAGAATTGCTTGAGCCCAGAAGTTGACGCTGCACTTAGCCATGATTGGACTACTGCACTCCAGCCTGGGCAACAGAGCAAGACCGTGTATAAAACCAACCAACTAACGAACAAACAAAATGGAGTTAGTAATCCTATCTTCCCTGTGAAGTAAAATAACTCACATGTGTTAAGCACCTAAAGCCTGTCATTAGTCATTGGGGAAATGCAAATCAAAACCCCAATAAGAAACCACTGGGATGTCTACAGTAAAAAAGTCAGGGCTGGGTGTGGTGACTCACGCCTGTGATCCCAGCACTTTGGGAGGCTGAGGTGGGCATAATGCCTGAGGTCAGGAGTTCGAGACCAGCCTGGCCAACATGGTGAAACCCCGTCTCTACTACAAATACAAAAATTAGCCAGGCATGGTGGTGTGTGCCTGTAATCCCAGCTAGTCGGGAGGCTGAGGCAGGAGAATCGCTTGAACCCAGGAGGTGGAGGTTGCAGTGAGCCGAGATTGTGCCAACGCACTCCAACCTGGGTGACAGAACGAGACTCAGTCAAAACAAAAACAAAAACAAAAACAAAAGAACAAGGAGGGAGAAAGAGAGTGACAGAGACAGAGAGGTATAGAAACAGAAAGAGACAGAGAGAAGGGAAAGAGGGAAGTAGGCAGAGAAGAAGGAAGGGGGAGGGAGGGAGGGAGGAAGGATGGAAGGAAGGCAAGGAGGAGGGGGGAGGGAGGGTGGACTGTAGGTCAGAGAAGGAGGGAGGAAAGGAGGGAGGGAGGAAGGAAAGAAGGAAGGAAGGGAGGGAGGGAGGAAAGGAGGGAGGGAGGAAAGGAAAAGAAATAAAGGAGGAAGACTAAAGTGTTCCCATTCGCTACATCTCTTGAGAGAAAGTCAGCCATTTCAGCAGTTCTGTGGAAAGAGTTTGGTGAAGCAAGTCTTCTTCATGGCGACCTTCAGCTCCTTGTTCCTGAGGCTGAAGATGATGGGGCTGAGGAAGGGTGTGAGGACCGTGTAGGTGATGCCCATCAAGGTGTCTCCTTCCGGAGACTGGGGACCTTTGGGCTTCAGGTAAATGACGGAGGCAAAGCCATAGTGCACGACCACCACAGTGAGGTGAGAGGCACAGGTGGAGAAGGCCTTGTTCCGACCTTCAGCAGAAGGGATCTTCAAGATGGCGGCCACGATGAAGGCATAGGAGAGGAGGATGAGGAGAAAACAGCCCAGCAGGGCCGTGATACACACCAAGCCCACGCCTTTGGCCACCACCAGCACATCATCTCCACAGGCCAACTTCAACAGAGGTGGCACGTGGCAGAAGAAATGGTGGATCTCCTTGTGTCCACAGAAGGCGAGGTGGAAAATGGCCGAGGTCACCACCATCCCCATGACCAAGCCACCAGCCCAGGAGCAGCCCACCCGGCAGGTGCAGCCCCGCAGGCTCATGAGCACGTTGTAACGCAGGGGGTGGCAGATGGCCACGTAGCGGTCGTAGCCCATGACAGTGAGCAGGAAGGAGTGGGTGAAGCCGAAGCTGAAGGAGAAGAACATCTGACTGGCACAGGCCAGGAAGGCGATGGAGCGCTGGGTGGACAGCAGGTCGGCCAGCATGCGCGGGATGATGGCCACGGTGTAGAGGATCTCGGTGATGGAGAGGGCACACAGGAAGAGGTACATGGGCATGTGGAGGCTGCGCTCGCTCCAGACAGTGGCCATGATGAGCAGGTTGCCCAGCAGCGTGAACAGGTACATCAGCAGGAACAGCAGGAAGAGCATCAGCTGGAGGTGGGGGAAGGCAGAGAAGCCAACGAGGATGAATTCAGACACGGAGGTGTGGTTTAGCCCCTGCATGGCGGCCACCCCTAGTTGGTGGAGAGAGGAAAGAAGACCCAGTGGTTAGGAGCACAGGGGTGTCTAGTGACTCCCACCTGGGAGGACATCTGAGAGCGCCTTCTTCATCTGTCCAAGCCATGGTTACTCCATGTGCAAAAATATGTTATTTATTTTTAGTTTTAGTTTTTGAGATGGGGTCTCGCTCTGTCACCCAGGCTGGAGTGCAGTGGTGTGATCTCAGCTCACTGCAACCTCTGCCTCCTGGGTTCAAGTGATTCTCCTGCCTCAGCCTCCAGAGTAGCTGGGATTACAGGCATGTGCTACCACGCCAGCTGATTTTTGTATTTTTAGTAGAGATGGGTTTCAGCATGTTGGCCAGGCTGGTCTCGAACTCCTGACCTCAGGTGATCCACCTTCCTCAGCCTTCCAAAGTGTTGGGATTACAGTCTTGAGCCACCACGCCTGGCCAAAAATATGTTAATAATAATGTGCTGAAGTTTAGCCTGGGAATGATGGCTCACACCTGTCATCTCAGCACTTTGGGAGGCGGAGGCAGAGGGGGGTCACCTGAGGCCAGGAGTTTGAGACCACCCTGAGTAACATAGTGAAACTCCATCTCTACAAAATAAAAATTTAAAAAAAAATTAGCCAGGCATGGTGGTGCATGCCTGTGGTCCCAGCTACGTCAGAGGCTGAAGCAGAAGGATCACTTGAGCCCAGGAGCTTGAGACCAGTCTGGGCAAAATAGCAAGACCCCCATGTCTACGAAGTATAAGAAAATGTGCCACACATTGTGGTGCATGTCTGTGGTCCTGGCTAGTTGAGAGGCTGAGGTGGGAGGATCGATTGAGCCTGGGAGGTCAAGGCTGCAGTGAGCTATGACTGAGCCACTGCACTTCAGCCTGGGTGATAGAGCGAGATGCTATCTCATAAAACAAAAACAAAAACAAAAACAAACTGTGTAAAGGTTTAAATAAGATCATGCATCTTACTTGCTTTGCACAAGTCTTGGCCCGTAGTAAGAACCTCACAAATAGTAATACTGATAAAAATAATAATTATTATTCCTATTTTTAAATCTCGGTGGTCTCTATTCAGCCACACCTGGGTTGGATCCCCACTTCAGAGCTAGGGGACCGTGGGTTGGTCCCTTGATTGTTGTGAGCCTTAGTTTTCTCATCCCTAAAAGAAATGGATAATAATCCCAAATTGACAGGGTTGTTATGAGGATTTAATAAGATTATGCTCATAATGTACCTGCCACAGGGCCTGGAATAAACACTTAAGAATTTAAGGTTAAGGGCCGGGCACAGTAGCTCACTCCTGTAATCCCAGCACTTTGGGAGGCCGAGGTGGGTGGATCACTTGAGGTCAGGAGTTCAAAACCAGCCTGGCCAACATGGTGAAACCCCGTCCCTACTAAAAGCACAAAAATTACCTGGGCATGGTGACATGCACCTGTAATCCCAGCTACCTGAGAGGCTGAGGTGGGAGAATTGCTTGAGCCAAGGAGAGAGAGGTTGCAGTGACCTGAGATCACGCCACTGCACTCCAGCCTGGGCGACACAGTGAGACCCTGTCTCAAAAATAAACAAACAAACAAAGAATTTAAGATTGAGGGCCGGCATGGATGGTCAGACTAAAGTTCTCTTAATTTGTAGCAAGTGCTAATAAAAGAAAGACCCAGGTTTTCTGAGCATTCTGAAATAAAATTGGAAATTACTAAGATGAGGACCCTTAAAACTACCTATATATTTAGAACATAAATATCAGGTTGAGTTACGTGATATTGCCACAGTAACATATCACATAATAATCTTTAGAATAAAAGGAAAATTAAAAAATGCGAATAAAAAAATGATAATGAAAAATAGAAATAACAACTAAATGAAATGAATTGTGCCCTAGAACATAAAGAGGGAATTAGCTGACAAACTGGCAAAATTCCAGTAAGATCTGCAGCACTGGTGGGTGAATATGGCTAATTGTAACTTATTGCATATTTTCAAAAAAGCTAAAAGAGAGGATTTTTTTTTTTTTGAGACCAAGTGTCACTCTGTCACCTAGGCTGGAGAATTTAATAATAATTCATGCACCTGTAATCCCAGCACTTTGGGAGGCTGAGACGGGCAGATCATGAAGTTAGGAGATCAAGACCATCCTGGCTAACATGGTGAAAACCCGTTTCTACTAAAAATACAAAAAAATTAGCTGGGCGTGGTGGCGGGGGCCTGTAGTCCCAGCTACTCGGGAGGCTGAGGCAGGAGAATGGCATGAACCCAGGAGGCAGAGCTTGCAGTGAGCCGAGATGGCGCCACTGCACTCCAGCCTGGGCCACAGAGCGAGACTCCGTCTCAAAAAAAAAAAAAAATAATAATAATTCATGCAAACAAAGGGATACACTTTGAACAAAATGGAACAGCTGTCTGTGGTGGGGGCAGGGAAGGGAAGTAGAAGTGAGACATGATGATAAATGGGAATAAATAAAATGAGATCACCCCTGTTGTTCATATCAATGATGATCAAATAAGGATGATAAAATATCACTGAGGAGTTGCGGAGTACATCTGTAGTTTAAGTCCAACAAAAATGTGTGTGTGTGTGTGTGTGTGTGTGTGTGTGTGTATGGTATCTATATAACTATATAGATATCTTTGATTAACTGAAGACTACTGTTTTTAAATTTTATTTGTATTTACTTATTTTTGTTTGTTTGTTTTGAGATGGAGTTTTGCTCTCATTGCCCAGGCTGGAGTGCAGTGGCATGATCTCGGCTCACTGCAACCTCTGCCTCCCGGGTTCAAGTGATTCTCCTGCCTCAGCCTCCCGAGTAGCTCGGATTACAGGTGCCCGCCACCACACCTGGCTAATTTTTGTATTTTTAGTAGAGACAGGGTTTTGCCATGTTGGCCAGGCTGGTCTCGAACTCCTGTCCTCAAGTGATCTGCCTGCCTCGGCCACCTGAATTGTTGGGATTACAGGCGTGAGTCACCATCCCTGGCCTCTATTTGTAATTTTGTATCTTTTAGCCAATTTCTCCCTATCTCTCCCTTCTGCCTACCCTTCCCAGCCTCTAGTATCCTCTGTCCTACTTTTTACTTCTATGAGAAAGCTACTGTTGTGATAGCACGTTTTCGAATACTTACCTGGGACCTGGTTCACCCCAATATTACACTTCCTCCTAGCCCTACCTAGAAGATTGTCACTAACTATCTCTCAGAGCCAAGGTTAGCCCAATGCTTGGAGGACTCAGAATACCACCTGGAAAATGGACAGTTTGGCTCAAGTTAGGAATGATCATTCCACACAGAAAAGTAGCATGTGTGGGCTGGAGGGGACCCAGCCAGCCAAGCCAACAACTGCAGCATAGCCTCAACTCCCTCCTCTTCTTCATCCCTCCTCTCCCTCATCTGTCATCTCTGAGCCTCACTCCCTCCCCCTCTATAGCAGGGACACAACCCCAGCTCTGGCCTCACGCCCTCTCTCTCAGCCCACGGTGCTTACCAATCTCCCCTCCTCTGCCCCATCCCTCTTCTGACAGCCAGAGACAATTCTCTAAGACATATCCAGGCCGTGGAGTCACGCAGACCCATGGTTCAAATCCCAGGTTCTCACTGTATGCTGGGATAACCAGAGACCTGCCCTGGGGGTTCCCTGGGCGACGGGATGCCAAGTGCTTAGCACACAGTTCTCAAGGCTGCCAGCTGACGTTGTCGTGATCATCTCTGTCATCATTGCTGTTTGCTGTCTGCTGAGCTGGTTGCCACTCATCCTTGCCTGCCAGGTGACTCACATTGGCACTGTGACAGTCAGGGACTTCAACCCCATTCCAGATG
The DNA here is from genome assembly GCF_000001405.40 of Homo sapiens. NCBI lineage: Eukaryota > Metazoa > Chordata > Mammalia > Primates > Hominidae > Homo > Homo sapiens. The sequence continues at coordinate 15,790,230 of NC_000019.10, read as the reverse complement.
AACCTTCTTCTGTCACTGTAAATGCCTCCTACCCTCCAGCACTCCCTCCCTTGTGCAGCTCACCTCTTCCTCTCTCCTGGCTACCAACAGGCTCCAAGGTCCCTGCTCCTAAATGCACAAATGTTACTAAAAATTACAGAAAGGGGCCATGCCCAGTGGCTCACACCTATAATCCCAGCACTTTTGGAGGCTGAGGCAGGAGGATCACTTGAGGCCAGGAGTTTGAGACCAGCCTGGGCAACATAGTGAGATCCCATCTTTACCAAAAAAATTGTTTTTAAATTAGCCAGGCGTGGTGATGTGCACCTGTAGTTCCAGCTACTCAGGAGGCTGAGGTGAGAGGATTGCTTGAGTACAGGAATTCGAGGCTGCAGTGAGCCATGTTCATGCCACTACATTCCAGCCTGGGTGACAGAGCGAGACCCTGTCTCAAAAAAAAAAAAAGAAAAGAAAAGAAAAAAAAGAAAAGAGAAATACAGAAAGGGCTCTCTCAGCTCTCTGGCACATTCTGTCCCACTCTTTCCCAGAACAGCACCTTAGCAGAAATCTCCAAGGGGGCTCTCCAACTCCCCTGCACAAGTCTAGACCTAGGGAAGGACAAAGGTCAGGGTCCTTCTCCCAGCTGAGGGCTCCCAGGCAGAACCCCAGACTGGTGCACACGCAGAACCTCAGGCTTCTGCACACACAGAACTCCAGAATGATGCACACGCAGAACCCTAGGCTGGTGCACACACAGAATCCCAGGCTGGTGCAAATGCAGAATCCCAGGCTGGCACACACGCAGGCTCCCAGACCCTGCTCCAGTGCCCTCTCTCCTCAAAGGAGACACAATTCAACTCATCCAGCTCTTTCTGCTTATGCACTTTATCATACAACTGAACACACAGATGCAAAGGCAGACAGATCTGAGCAATGCCACACAGTCGCACTGGCTCTGAAATGCACACTGGCGGTGACACCCCCAGCCAGAACCAGAGACACCACCACTCATTCTGCACACACCTATGGAGCCCTTGCCAAATGCCTGGTGCTCATCTGGGGCTGGAATAAACTGGAGACACACAGCCATTCCATGTGTGAGGGCACTGTGTGTGTTGAATCATGTCCCTCCAAAACTCATGTTCATTCAGAACCTCAGAATGTGACCTTTGGACACAGGGAGGGGAACAACACACACTGGGGCCTGTTGGGGTAGGGCAGGGGTGGGGAGAGCCTCAGAAAAATAGCTAATGTATGCCAGGCTTAATACCTAGGTGATAGGTTGATAGGTGCAGCAAAGCACCATGGCACACATTTGCCTGTGTGACAAACCTGCACATCCTGAGCATGTACCCTGAAACCAAACTAAACTAAACTAAAATAAAATAATGTGACCTTAGGTGGCAATAGAGTCTTTTACAGATGTCATTAAGGTAAGGATCCAAAAATGAGATCAGCTGGGTGTGGTGGCTCACACCTATAATCCCAGCACTGTGGGAGACCAAGGTGGGTGGGGCGGGGGATTGCTTGAATCCAGGAGTTCGAGACCAGCCTGAGCAACATGGCAAAACCCCATCTCTACAAAAATTAGCTGGGCGTGGTGCTGTGTGCCTGCGCTAACAGCTGCTTAGGAGGCCAAGTGGGAGGATCAGTTGAGCCTGGGAGGTCGAGGCTGCAGTGAGCTGTGATCGTGCCACTGCACTCCAGCCTGGGTGACAGAGCGAGACCCTGTCCAAAAAATAATAATAATAAAAATAAAAATGAGATTATTCTGAATTAGGTTGTTTACTAAATCCAACAACTGGTGCCCCTCAAAGACGAGGGGAGGACACACAGAGGAAAAGGTCGCGTGAAGAGAGAGGCAGAGATTGGAGCGATGCAGCTACAAATCAATCAATGCCTAGAGCACCCAGAAGCTGGAAGAGGCAAGGCATCTTCTCCCTTAGAATCTTCAGAGGGAGAGTAGCTTTGTAGACGTCTTGCTTTAAGACGTCTAGCCTCCAGAACCCTGCAAGAATGCATTTATCTTGTTTTAAGCCACAAGGTTTGCGGCACTTTGAAATGGCAGCTACAATAATCTCATACAAGCGCACACAACTGCACACACACACACACAGTGAAGGCAGGAGTACACATGGGTGATGCCTAAGTACACCCACATGCATGGTGACACACTCAATGTCACCCGCTTGGCTCAGAACCACCCTCCTCCACAACTTAGTATAGAGACCACTCCCCACCCCAGCATGGACCCTGGTGGCCACGACTGCTGTGGAAAGGGGGCTGCTCTAGGCAGTAGGTGGACTCTATGGGGGACTTGGAGTGAGGACAGGCTGATCCAGCCTGGAGTCAGGTGGCTGAGGCTATAGAACCCCTACTCCATATCATCCCATGCTCCCTCTCGTTTCTTTTCCCAAACCTGTGCCTCCCTCTGTTCCAATTTTCCCTGCTTCTCTTGCCTTCTCCCTTCCACCTCCCAGTACTCTTGCCACTTCATCCTGGAAAGCAGGTTTGGAAATAGACGACTCCACTTACCTTCATCAGAGACCTTTAGGGACGCCTTGCAGCCAGGCCTGTAATGGCCCTGGGCACAGTGCACCCAGGGTGAGAGCTTCATCTCTGCAGGCGTCTTCCCCAGTGGCACGTTCCCAGAGGTGTCTTGAGGAGCCTGCCTGGGATGCAGGATGCAGGGTAATCGAAGTCCAAGGAGGGAGGCGGGGGACCTTGGGATTGCCCTCTCCATTCCTGCCTCCCTCCTTCCTTTGCTGCTTCCCTCCCTCTTTTCTTCCTTCTCTTCCTTCCTTCCTCTCTTCTTCCCTTCTTCCATCTTTCCTCCCTTCCTCCTGCCTGGGACCCCTTCCACCACTACTCACTCTCACTTATCTCAGTCCTGTTCTCATTTGAGGTTTCAGTTTTTACATCACCTCCTCCCTAAAGATCTCACCATCAAACCCTGACACCACCATCAAACCCTGACACCACCACCACCACCACCCCCTGCGGCTAGCGAGGCTGGGCTGGGCTGCCCCAATTCCAAGCATTTTGGAAAAATGGGACTGGATTCTGGGTGATGTTTCCCAGGATGGTGTCTCTTCTCAACAGATATCAGGAAAGGGATCTGGAGAGACACAGAGGTGTGATTCTCAGAAGAAGCATCCTCTATGGTTGCCTCTGGGAACACAAAGCCCACAGAGGGCAGGGAACAAGGCCAAGGTCACACGGTAGGTTCCTGCAGCAAGCCCAGATGGAGTGGAGGGGCCAAGAGCTCCAGCTCTGCCTCTTCCTCCCCATAAACTTGACAGGGTGCATCATGACCCAGGTATCAACACCTTCAGAATCTCCCAGTTCCCCATAACTCCAGAAACAGTCCAACAAAGATTTCAGATACTGGAATTATCAGGCAAGGACTATGAAACAATATTGCTTACGAAGTTTAAATAACGAAATGTAATTTTGGAAATATCTTCAAGGATAAAGCATTGTAAAGAGCGGCAGGGTTGATTTGAAAAAAAAGATATATAATTTTTAGAACCAAAGCTACAATATTAATATCCCAGGAGAAGTTTAATGCATGTCAGACACAATTGAAGAGAGAATTAGTGAGTTGGGGGCCGGGCGCGGTGGCTCATGCCTGTAATCCCAGCACTCTGGGAGGCTGAGGCAGGTGGATCACTTGAGTTCAGGAGCTCAAGACCAGCCTGGCCAACATGGCGAAACCCCATCTCTACTCAAAATACAAAAATTAGTCAGATGTAGATTCTGGATATTAGCCCTTTGTCAGATGAGTAGATTGCAAAAATTTTCTCCCATTCTGTAGGTTGACTGTTCACTCTGATGGTAGTTTCTTTTGCTGTGCAGAAGCTCTTTAGTTTAATTATATCCCATTTGTCAATTTTGGCTTTTGTTGCCGTTGCTTTTGGTGTTTTAGACATGAAGTCCTTGCCCATGCCTATGTACTGAAAGGTATTGCCTAGGTTTTCTTCTAGGGTTTTTATGGTTTTAGGTCTAACATTTAAGTCTTTAGTCCATCTTGAATTAATTTTTGTGTAAGGTGTAAGGAAGGGATCCAGTTTCAGCTTTCTACATATGGCTAGCCAGTTTTCCCAGCACCATTTATTAAATAGGGAATCCTTTCCCCATTTCTTGTTTTTGTCATGTTGTCAAAGATCAGATAGAAGGACCTCTTCAAGGAGAACTACAAACCACTGCTCGATGAAATAAAAGAGGATACAAACAAATGGAAGAACATTCCATGCTCATGGGTAGGAAGAATCAATATTGTGAAAATGGCCATACTGCCCAAGGTAATTTATAGATTCAATGCCATCCCCATCAAGCTACCAATGACTTTCTTCACAGAATTGGAAAAAACTACTTTAAAGTTCATATGGAACCAAAAAAGAGCCCACATTGCCAAGTCAATCCTAAGCCAAAAGAACAAAGCTCAGAATCTACAATGAACTCCAACATATTTACAAGAAAAAACAAACAACCCCATCAAAAAGTGGGTGAAGGATATGAACAGACACTTCTCAAAAGAAGACATTTATGCAGCCAAAAGACACATGAAAAAATGCTCGTCATCACTGGCCATCAGAGAAATGCAAATCAAAACCACAATGAGATACCATCTCACACCAGTTAGAATGGCGATTATTAAAAAGTCAGGAAACAACAGGTGCTAGAGAGGATGTGGAGAAATAGGAACACTTTTACACTGTTGGTGGGACTGTAAACTAGTTCAACCATTGTGGAAGCCAGTGTGGCAATTCCTCAGGGATCTAGAACTAGAAATATCATTTGACCCAACAATCCCATTACTGGGTATATACCCAGAGGATTATAAAACATGCTGCTATGAAGACACATGCACACGTATGTTTATTGCGGCACTATTCACAATAGCAAAGACTTGGAACCAACCCAAATGTCCAACAATGATAGACTGGATTAAGAAAATGTGGCACATATACACCATGGAATACTATGCAGCCATAAAAAATGACGAGTTCATGTCCTTTGTAGGGACATGGATGAAGCTGGAAACCATCATTCTCAGCAAACTATCGCAAGAACAAAAAACCAAACACCGCATGTTCTTACTCATAGGTGAGAACTGAACAATGAGAACACATGGACACAGGAAGGAGAACATCACACACCAGGGACTGTTGTGGGGTGGGTGGAGGGATAGCATTAGGAGATATATCTAATGTTAAATGACGAGTTAATGGGTGCAGCACACCAACATGGCACATGTATACATATGTAACAAACCTGCATGTTGTGCATATGTACCCTAAAACTTAAAGTATAATAAAAAAAATTAGTCAGATGTGGTGGTGAACACCTGTAATCCCAGCTACTTGGGAGGCTGAGGCAGGAGAATCGTGTGAGCTCGAGAGGTGAAGGTTGCAGTGAGCGGGATGGTGCCACTGCACGCCAACCTGGGCAACAGGGTGAGACTCTGTCTCAAAACAAACAAACAAACAAACAAATAAATAAAAATAAAAGAGAGGGAAGAAAACATTAGGGTCAGAATGAGAAAGTGTAACCTTTGTTTAATTAGAATTTCAGAAGTAAAATAAAAAATAGGGCACAGGCATTGTTTGAAGAAATTGTGGCCAAGATTTTTCTAAAACTGATTGAAAACAGTTTAGATTCGAGAACCTCAATGAACCCCAAGCAACCATAAAGAGAAATCCACACCGTAACACATTGTGTTAAAACTTCAGAAAAAAAAAGAGAGAAAAAAATAACAGTAGTTAAGAAGAGGGGAGTAAAGAGAGAGATTAATTCTAAGGAGATGGACAGCTAACTTTTCAATGCCAAAAGTAAAATCTGGAAGACTATAGATGTCCTTTTCCATGTGCTTAAAGAAAGTAATTGCAATCTAGATTTTTTTTTTTTTTTTTTTTTTGAGACAGTGTCTCACTCTGTCACCCAGGCTGGAATGCAGTGGTGAAATCTCGGCTCACAGCACCTCTGCCTTATGGGTTCAAGCGATTCTCCAGCCTCAGCCTCCTGAGTAGCTGGGACCACAGGCACATGCCACCATGCCTGGCTAGTTTAGTTTTTGTTTAGTTCAGTTTTGTTTTTTGTGAGATGGAGTCTTGCTTTGTCCCCAAGGCTGGAGTGCAGTGGTGCGATCTCGGCTCAGTGCAAGCTCGGCCTCCCAGGTTCACGCCATTCTCCTGCCTCAGCCTCCCAAGTAGCTGGGACTACAGGCACCCGCCACCAGGCCCAGCTAATTTTTTTGTATTTTTAGTAGAGATGGGGTTTCACAGTGTTAGCCAGGATGGTCTCGATCTCCTGACCTCGTGATCCGCCTGCCTTGGCTTCCCAAAGTGCTGGGATTACAGGTGTGAGCCACTGCGCCCGGCCAGTTTTTGTTTTTGTTTTTTGTTTGTTTGTTTGTTTGTTTGTTTGAGACCAGTTTTTGTATTTTTTATAGAGACACGGTTTTGCCTTGTGGATCAGGCTGGTCTCCAACTCCTGGGCTCAAAGCAATCTGCCCACCTGTTCATGAAACTCTGGCCTTGCTCCCTGAGTCTGACAGGAATGGAACTGCCAGCAGGTGAGGTCTGTCCTTGCAGAGGGGGTGGGTATATTGGGTGATGCACCCCACTTACTGGGGGCTGTAAGTCCAGCTGCCTGATGTGGGGAAAAGAAAGAGAGATCAGACTGTTACTGTGTCTATGTAGAAAAAGGAAGACATAAGAAACTCCATTTTGATCTGTACAAAGAAAAATTGTTCTGCTTTGAGATACTGTTGTTAATCTGTAACTTTAGCCCCAACCCTGTGCTCACAGAAACATGTGCTGTATTGAATCAAGTTTTAAGGTATTTAGGGCTGTGCGGCATGTGCCTTGTTAACAATATGTTTGCAGACAGTATGCTTGATAAAAGTCATCGCCATTCTCCATTCTCTATTAACCAGGGACACGGAAAGCCACAGGGACCTCTGCCCAAGAAAGCCTGGGTATTGTCCAAGGTTTCCCCGCACCGAGACAGCCTGAGATATGGCCTCGTGGGAAGGGAAAGACTTTACTGTCCCCAGCCCGACACCCGTAAAGGGTCTGTGCTGAGGAGGAGTAGTGAAAGAGGAAAGCCTCTTTGTGGTTGAGATAAGAGGAAGGCCTCTGTTTCCCACATGTCCCTGGGAAGGGAATGTCTCAGTATAAATCTGACTGTTCATTCTATTCTGAGATAGGAGAAAACCGCCCTGTGGCTGGAGGCGAGATATGCTGGTGGCAATACTGCTCTGTTACTCTTTGCTACACTGAGATGTTTGGGTAAAGAGAAACATAAATGTAGCCCATGTGCACATCCAGGCACAGTACCTTCCCTTGAACTTATTCATGACACAGATTCTGTTACTCACACGTTTCCCTGCTGACCTTCTCCCCATCATCACCCTGTTCACCCTCTTCTCCCTCGCACTCCCCTTGCTGAGACAGTGAAAATAGTAATCAATAAATATTGAGGGAACTCAGAGACCGGCACCGGTACAGGTCCTCGCATGCTGAGTGTGCCAGTCCCCTGGGTCCACTGTTCTTTCTCTATACTTTATCTCTGTGTCTTATTTCTTTTCTCAGTCTCTCGTACCACCTGACGAGAAATACCCACAGGGGTGGAGGGGCTGGCCCCCTTCAGCCTGAATCCCCTGGCTGATTGAGCTGGCAGTGGTGGTGGGGTGGGGGAGGTCTAGGGGCTCCCCAACACCCAGCTAGTGTCAGGAGCACTGTCTTCCCCACCCTCCTGCTCAGCAGCTCTGCTAGGAGCCCCATCCTTCAAGACCCCCTTCTCCCGAGTCTACCCCATAGGGCAATTCTGGACAGGATCCAGGGAGGGCCAGGAGGAGAGCCCTGGATCTGTTGGGTGGAGCATCCTGGGTGTGGGAGGAGGAGCCAGGTGCTGATTCAACAGCCTCCAGATAGCTCCCCTCTGGGCCACCACGCTGCCTGAAATTCCTCCATTATAAATGTCCCTGTATTAATATGGCATTGACCCTAATGAATGGGGGTGGAGCAGCACGGCAGAAGGAAAGGATTTGGACTTGAGGGTCTCATAGACCTGAGTTCCTGTGAGCTCTGCAACTTGGGCTAGAGGCCTGGCCTCTCTGAGCCTCAGTTTGCTTTTATGTTAAATGGACATCTTCCCTCCTCTGGATGCCATCATTTGGGTCTCTCCAACAATCCCCGGGACTCTGGCCTAGAGAGCTGATGGGAGGGTAGTGGGACAGCTTTGGGCGTTGTCATCCAGCTGGGCATCTGATACAAGCAGGTGTGGTTTACGTAGAGCACCTGACACACAGTAGGTGCACTTTATGTAGAGCACCTGGCACACAGTAGGTGTACTTTACGTGGAGTACCTAACACATAGTAGGCACACTTTATGTGGCATACCTGGCACACAGTAGGTGGTCTTTATGTAGTGTACCTGGCACATAGTATGTGTGCTTTATGTCAAGTATGTTGCACAGAGCAGTTTTATTTTATGTACGGGGCCCAACATACAGGAGGAACATTTTATGTAGGACATCTGGCACACAATAGGTGTGCTTTATTTAGAACACCTGGCACACAGCAGGCATGGTTTATATAAAGGACCAGGGACTCAAGATACAGGATTTGTGAAGGGCGCCCAGCATACAGTAGACACTCTTTATGTGGAGCACCTGGCACACAGTAGGTATGCTTTATATATGGCATGTGGCACAGAGTAGGCACGCTTTGTATAAAGTACTCTGCACAAAGTAAGCTTACATTATGTAGAGCATGCTGCACACAGTAGGTGAGGTTTATGTGGTGTACCTGGCACATAGTAGACAGAATTTATGTAGAGTACCTGATACACAGTAGGTGCACTTTATATAGTGAGACTGGCACGCAGTAGGTACACACAGTAGTGTTTTCCATACAGTCTTTCGCATGGAGTAGAGACAGGCACACAGCAGCTCAAGTGCTAGTTGTCATCCCCTTCCCTTCAGTCCCTCTTTTTGGAGCTCTCTCTTCTTAGGAGCCTTCCTCTGTCGCCCTCTAAGGCCTCATCTGACATCCCATTTCCCAGATGGGAAGCCTGAGCCCAGGATGGCCACATTGCCCACAGTCAGAGAAAGGACAGGTCAGAACAAGGACTACACTCGGGGTCCCCTCGCTCTGCCCTCCCCTGCCTGGACCCCGTCTGCTCACAGCCCCTCTCAGCCTCATCCCCTATGCCTCTGCTCTGTCCTCTAAGCTGAGCCCAGCCTCTAGATTTGCTCCTCCAGCTGGGCTCTTTATCCCCAGACTCTGACCCAGGTAATCCTCAGCAGGGTTGGGACTGGATTCTTTCTTCCTGCTTCAAGCAGTCAGGTCTCAGCTCAGGCCCTGGGCTGCCTGGAGGCAGGACTTGAACTCTTGCCAGGCTGTGAAGCCAGAGATGAGAGGCTTCTGTCTCTGAATCTCCTAAGTCTGTACCAAGATGCAGCACCTGACATCCTCCCCGCCCATGTTTGGAGAGGAGCCCAGATGATCTGGGACAAGGGTTGGCCTGGCCCAGCTCAGGTGGCTGTGAACTCTCAAGTTCATGCTTTTACCTGCCACATCCTTGCCTTGAAAGGGCAGGGTGGCTGTAAACTTGGGGCTCAGAGTCCCCTTTAACCACTCCCCAACTTCCCCTCTAAACTGTGAGGGAGATGCTGAGACCTGAGGATCCAGTCCCCATACTGGGGCACCCTGAGCTGGTTCCTCTGCACCCAGCTGGCCAAACCCCAGGTTTTGGCCGGCATCTCCCAGGCAAGGGAGATGCACCCAGGCTGTGGAGATTGACTGGCCCAGCCCAGCGCAGCCCAGCCTCCCACGACCTTTCCCTAAATCAGGGGCCAGAGGCAAAGAACTCCCAGCAGAAGAGGAGAGGAGGTTGTGTGGTACAAGCTGCTCCTGACAGAAGGTGCCAGGCTGGGGGTGGTCAGACTGGAGCCTCCTGGCCTGGGATGGGGAGGGGCACTGCCCAAGGCTGGGGTGTCTCCAGGCTGCTGGCCTGGGAGACTGGTGGTTTCCTGGTAACCGGACCCCTGGCAACCTCCCAGTGATTCAGGCTGGGCCTTTCTGGACTCTAATCAGTCTCTCTCTCTCTTCTCCTTTCTGGGTGGTTACTAGGCAACTAGAGGCCACTTGGCTATTGGATTTGGCTGGGGCTTTCTGGAATTTAGCTCTCAGTCCTTGTTTATTCATCCCAGAGCCCTCCCTTTCCTGCCTCCACCCACCCCTTCCCTGCTTCTCTCCACTGTCCCTGGAGCTCCCTGAGACTTTCCCTGGGCCTCAGGATCTCACCCTCCATCCTGTCTGCCCTGCAGGATGCCGCAGCTGAGCCTGTCCTGGCTGGGCCTCGGGCAGGTGGCAGCATTCCCGTGGCTGCTCCTGCTGCTGGCTGGGGCCTCCCGGCTCCTGGCCGGCTTCCTGGCCTGGACCTATGCCTTCTATGACAACTGCCGCCGCCTTCAGTACTTTCCACAACCCCCAAAACAGAAATGGTTTTGGGGTCAACCAGGACCTCGTGAGTGTGGCAGCAGGATGACTCTGGGATCTCAGGGTGGATGGAATTCCCAAAGGGCAGGAAGGGGGATCAAGGAGCTGGGTTTAGAGGGTGGCTGAGGTGTGGGCCGGCAGAGAAGCGAGGGAGGCGGCTCATTCACTCACTCCTCTACCCATGCACTCACTCCTCTCCTCACTCACTCACTCCTCTACCCATGCACTCACTCCCCTCCTCACTCACTCACTCCCCTCCTCACTCACTCACTCCCCTCCTCACTCACTCACTCCCCTCCTCACTCACTCCCCTCCTCACTCACTCACTCCCCTCCTCACTCACTCACTCCTCTCCTCACTCACTCACTCCTCTCCTCACTCACTCACTCCTCTACCCATGCACTCACTCACTCCTCTACCCATGCACTCACTCACTCCTCTACCCATGCACTCACTCACTCCTCTCCTCACTCACGCACTCCTCTCCTCACTCACTCACTCCTCTCCTCACTCACTCACTCCTCTCCTCACTCACTCACTCCTCTCCTCACTCACTCACTCCTCTCCTCACTCACTCACTCCTCTACCCATGCACTCACTCACTCCTCTCCTCACTCACGCACTCCCCTCCTCACTCACTCACTCACTCCCCTCCTCACTCACTCACTCCCCTCCTCACTCACTCACTCCCCTCCTCACTCACTCACTCCCCTCCTCACTCACTCACTCCTCTCCTCACTCACTCCTCTACCCATGCACTCACTCACTCCTCTACCCATGCACTCACTCACTCCCCTCCTCACTCACGCACTCCTCTCCTCACTCACTCACTCCTCTCCTCACTCACTCACTCCTCTCCTCACTCACTCACTCCTCTACCCATGCACTCACTCACTCCTCTACCCATGCACTCACTCACTCCTCTCCTCACTCACGCACTCCTCTACCCATGCACTCACTCACTCCTCTCCTCACTCACTCACTCCTCTACCCATGCACTCACTCACTCCTCTACCCATGCACTCACTCACTCCCCTCCTCACTCACGCACTCCCCTCCTCACTCACGTACTCCCCTCCTCACTCACTCACTCCCCTCCTCACTCACTCACTCCCCTCCTCACTCACTCACTCCCCTCCTCACTCACTCCCCTCCTCACTCACTCCCTCCCCTCCTCACTCACTCACTCCCCTCCTCACTCACTCACTCCCCTCCTCACTCACTCCCCTCCTCACTCACTCCCTCCCCTCCTCACTCACTCCCTCCCCTCCTCACTCACTCCCTCCCCTCCTCACTCACTCCCTCCCCTCCTCACTCACTCCCCTCCTCACTCACTCCCCTCCTCACTCACTCCCCTCCTCACTCACTCCCGTCCTCACTCACTGACTCCCCTCCTCACTCACTGACTCCCCTCCTCACTCACTGACTCCCCTCCTCACTCACTCACTCCCCTCCTCACTCACTCACTCCCCTCCTCACTCACTCACTCCCCTCCTCACTCACTCACTCCCCTCCTCACTCACTCACTCCCCTCCTCACTCACTCACTCCCCTCCTCACTCACTCACTCCTCTCCTCACTCACTCACTCCTCTCCTCACTCACTCATTCCTCTGTAGTTCCATCCCAAGCCTTTCTCACCTACCTGTCCTCCCACCCCAGCCTGTCTGGATCCTTTTGCTGCCTGTCTTTCCTACAATAGTGCACCTCCAAGGGGCTCCTGCAGTACTGTGGGGCACAGAGCAGGGCTCTCCTGGCATCCCCACCTTCTCCACTCTGGACTTGAGGCCTCCTGAGCCCACTATCCAGGGGCTGCTCCCTGCCTGACCCATTTCCTTGTGTCTGCTCATCTCTGGGCTGCTGCTTTCCCACAGGAATTAGCTCTGACTTCCTTCCCCTATGGAGGGACACTGCTGGGCCAGAAGAGAAGTGCAGGCAGTCTCCCACACCTTCCCCTTCCAGGGGTGACGTGCTCTTCCCCACTCAGATGTCCCAATGAGCCCTGTAGCTCAACCGGGATATAATTTGGCCACTCTCTTCCCCTTTCAGAAGCCGTCCTTGACACTCCCAAACCTTGCCCTCCTACTTGGACTTGCCCTCCCCTTTGGGGGACGTGGCCTCCGTCTGCTCACTCATAAATGGCAGGATTGATGGGCATGTCCACAGGTGCACAGGAGGCACTAGCACAGAGCCTGGCATAAGGGGGGGTTCTCCCAGGTGGGAGCTGCCATCCTGAGGGACATTAGAGTCACCTCTGCTTCCCTGGGGGCTGCTGAGAATGGGGGGGTCCTCAGTGTGCAGACCCTTTATCTGTGGGGGGAACCAGAGCCCATGTGGACCAGCCAGGACACAAAAGGATGTGGGAATCTGCCCTAGGGATATGTCCTGAGGCCACACTGCCGTCCCAAACCACCTCCCATGGGGACCTTTCCCTATAAAGCAATCCCCAGACTGAAATCATTCCAGGATGAGAAAACACATCCTCTTGAGCAGACAGCTTGTCTTCCCTCTCTGCTTTGGTATTTACCTTCGGATCCTGGGACAGCCCCAAGAGAGAAGGAGCAGAGGTCAGCAGAAACCCCCTGCAGCTGTTGAGAATCCAGACACGCTGCTCACTGCAGAGGCTGCACCACATCTGGTGGCTGCAGGGGGACTTGCCGTGGCTCCTTCTAGGGAGGTGCATTAGTCAGGGTTCTCCCTAGAAATGGAATCTCCTTAGATGGGAATTTCTTCTTACCTCTAATGCATGTATGTATGGAGACAGAAAGAGACAGAGAGAATTTATTATGGGAATTGGATAATGTGATGATGGAGGCCAGGAATTCCCATGATATACCATCTGCAAGCCAGAAACCAGGGACGCTGGTGGTGTAAATTCAGCCTGAGTCCAAAACGGCCTGAGAACCTGGAGTTCTGAGGGCAGGAGAAGACGGATGTCCCAGCTGCAGAAGAGAGAGCAAATTCCCCCTTTCCTCTGCCTTTTTGTCCTGTTCATGCCCTCAATGGATTTGATGACACCCACCCACATAAGGAAGGGCAGGTCTTCCTTCCTCAGTTTACCTTCAAATGCTAATCTCTCCTGAAACACAGACGCACACAGAAATAATGTTAGACCAGATATCTGGGCATCCCTTAGCCCTGTCAAGTGGACACCTAGAATTAACCATCACAAGGGGTGATGGCCCCTGACTTGCTTTCAGATCATTGCTACAGAGGAAGGCTTGAAGAACTTGACCCAGATGTCAGCCACCTATCCCCAGGGCTTTAGGATATGGCTGGGTCCCATCTTCCCCTTCATCGTTTTATGCCACCCTGACATCGTCCGGTCTATCACCAATGCCTCAGGTACCCATGCAGAGCTTGTGGTGGTGGGTGCTGGGGCTTCCATCCAAGGGCTTCCAGCTCCTTCTCCCCTAGGCTTCTGTGAAGCCCCTGCAGTTCCCAGGCCCCTCTTTCTCTCTTCTCCCTCCATTGAAAGAAGAAGAGGCATCTTCTGCTTTCCTTCATGTATTTGCCAAATTTCATCTCAATGTCTTCCAACTCCTTTGCCATCTGACCCCCTGCTCTGGTGTTCTGGGAACCACCAGGGCCCCAGGAAGCCTCAATCCAGAACCCTGTCCTGAAGGAACCTCCACACTTGAGGAGATGGATCTGGACAGAGACAACCCCAAATTCATGGGGTCAGGAATGGGCAAGAGAGAGATGGGTGTGAAAACCCACAGGAGAACTAGGGTTCTGCTGCGGCAGGCTGGAAGGCTTCCTGGAGGAGGAATTGTTGGAGCTGGGTCTGGACCTATGAGTAGGAATTTTTTTAAGTGTGGGGTAGGATGATGTAATGAGCATCATTGGTATTTGGGGGCCCAGCCAGTCCTGGCACCAACCTTGTCCATCCTTCAGCCTAGAGCGGTAGGAGGACTTGTCGCTGGTGGTGATTCTGGGCTGCTATTTATGTGACATCCATCTATGATGGGTCAGTTCCTTCTACCTTATCCTGTCACTCATCCACCCTACGCTCACTGCTGTCCTCCTGTAGGCCTCAAGAATCTCCAGTAGAGATCCCACACCAGCTTGTTGATCTTCCCTTATTCTCTGCTCTTCCCATCCTTGGACAGACCAGGCTGAGAAGGGAAGGAGCAACGTCCCACAGAAACTATGGCTCTGACCCCAAAATGCTTAGTGACTCTGTGCAGGTCACCTGCTCTCTCTGGCTGCTGAGGTCTCTTTCACCTGTGAGTGATGGAAGCTCAACTTTGTGCACTATAAGCAAATAAAGGGAATCAACGGAGTGTAAAGTCCAGAGAAAGTGGTCTTCAGGCATGGCTGGATCCAGGTGTCAATGTACAGCATCAGGAATTTGTCTCCTTTTAATTTCACCATTTCTCTGCATCACCTTTTCTTTTTTTTTTTCTTTTCTTTTATTATTATACTTTCAACCATTGTGGAAGTCACTTTTTCTTTTAAGGCAGCCCTTCTCTTATGGTGTCAACCATGGGTCTTGGAAGCTCAGCTCTTGTCAGAAAGCTCACCTTTCCCCAAGGGGTCCCATAAATAGCCTACGATTTCTATATTATACCTGATTATATCTCGTATGTTTTACCTGGGATCATATGGAGAAGTCATCATGTGTGTGGCTCAGCTGTGGCCAAGGACACTTGGGGCATGTCCCAGCCTTTCTGGTTCTTCTCTGACATGTGGTTTGAAATTGTCTTTTCTCCTTCTTGTCATCTCTTGGCCATGTTTGTGGCTTGTCCAAGATCTGGGACCCAGGGTCCCTTTGAGAATTGTCAGAGTTATTATTTTAGTCTTCCTGAGCCAGGTCTCAGAATCCATTCCAATCATGCTTGAAGAGAAGTCTTGGTTACACCTGGGACATGTCCAGGACATTTAATAAATCATATTTAAATCCTATCTGGGGCCTGTCAGGTACACAGAAGTCATGCAAGACTATCTTAGGTCCATGTCAGACGATGTGTCATTTAGGGCTCATCATGTATGCTGTGGCCATGTCAGGCATGTTAACATTGGAGACATGCCCCAGGTCCCAGGTCCATTTCAGGAGATGACAGAGAGTGCTGGGGCAGACAGGGTGTCCTAGGCTCCTTTAAAGATATTTTGTAGAGTGTGGAGCTGTGCTCAGTTGTTGCAGAACATGTTGGGATATATAGGAGCCATGTCAAGGCGTGCTGGGGAGTGCTGTGCCCTGTTAGGTTGTGTCATTGCTCTACTGTGCTGTTGCAGCCTGGGCTGGTCCTTCTTCCTCTATCCTCCCTTCGTCCTTTGCCCTTGGCCCCCTTCCTGCTATGCTGGGCATGGAGTAGGGAAAGTGCTGGTAGGGAGCCTTGCCTTATACCTGAAGTTCCTCTCTTGCCCTCTACATGGCCCCTGATGGTCCTCATTCATGCCAGCTGCTATTGCGCCCAAGGATGATCTCTCCATCAGGTTCCTGAAGCCCTGGCTGGGTGAGTACCTGCAGGTGAAAGGGGCTGGGGACAACCTTGAGCAGGGGTGGGGAAGGTGCTGCTCTTGCCCACTGTCCTTGGCTGCCCTACTAGGAGAAGGGATACTGCTGAGTGGCGGTGACAAGTGGAGCCGCCACCGTCGGATGCTGACGCCCGCCTTCCATTTCAACATCCTGAAACCCTATATAAAGATCTTCAACAGGAGTGTGAACATCATGCACGTGAGTTCCTTGAACTCTGGGTCCCAGCAGGAGTCTTGGGGTGGAGGGACCATGGACAGATCTGGTCTGGAATTTTGGCTCTGCTGGGTAGCATTAGGCCATTGCTGTTCCTCTCTGAGCCTTGAGTTCCTCATCTGTAAAATGGGGATGATAATCCCTACTTAAAAGGTGGTAAGATAATGCAAACGAATCATGTCCCTAGCACATAGTAGATACTCAGAAGGTGTCAGATTCCATGTTCCTTTCACAGAAGCCAGGTAAATGCAAAAGTAAAGACAAAGATTGCATAGTAGCCATTACCAATTACAAACCACTTCAATACCCATTGGTTTAGATCAATAAAGGTTTATGATTGCTAATGAGTCTGTGAGACATTTAGCTGGTTCTTCCGGATGTAGATGCGATCAACTTTGGTACATGAGCAGCTGTGGGGCATGTAGGCAGCTTTGCTGATCCTGGTCCAGTTCATTCACATGTTTAGGGCTTCACTAGCTTCAGGCTGATCTGGGATGGCCTCAGCTGTGACACCTGGACTTTCCCCCATGTGATTCTCTGCCTCCAGAAGGCACCCTGTTGTTCACATGGCAGAGACTGGGTTCCGAGAAACTGAGAGGAGGCTGCAATATTTCTGGACATTGTCTCTGCAATCTTCAAAGTTCAACCAGCCTTGGGGCTATTCGAGTTATTACATCATCATGTTCACCACACTGTATTGGCCAAAGAAAATCAAATGTCCAGCACAGACTAAAAGGGATGTAAAATAGAATCCATCTATTAATGGAAGCTGCTGAAAAATTACTGCGCAAAGGGTGTAAATACAAAGAGAAGTGAAGAACTGGGGGTCAGGATTTTGTGATATGCCTAGGATGTTTCTTTTACTTGCAAGCTGATAAGTTAGCTTGTTACTGTTTCATGCATTCTAATAGAAGACACAAGACCCCTGGGTCAGAGACAAAGGGTAGTTGATTACTCAGGCACAGCAAGCAACATGTATGTCTTGTTGGTTTGTATCCTTTTTCGGAGTCAACCTAAATTCCATGGGGGTGACACAGTGGGCCTTGCTAGTTGCCTGCTCATGCAGTACATTGCATGACAGACAATGGGCATTAGGCTTAAGGAATCTGCTTTAATAGTAGCAGAAACAAGCCTGATATTGGTCCAGGGGGATTCATTGCCTTATCTCTCCAGGTTGTTCCCTGCAAACACAACTCTGAAAAATGGCTGAAGTAAGAACATCATGGCCTTGCATTCTTGGCATGCCCAGCAAGGATGCTCAGGGCTGATGAAGAAGTGCCTCTTCCAACACAGGGATATTTTTGAAATGACTTTGTAACAATGGAGAAGAGTGAAGAGAACATTTACTGAGCACTCACCATAGGCCTAAAACAATGTCATGTCCCCGTTCCATGACATATGTGTCTAATTTAATTTTAATAACCCTGTGAGTTATGGTTATTTTTGCCCAATTGCAGATGATGAAACTGAGGGCCAGAGAGGTTAGCGAGCTGGAAACAGTTCAACCAGTCTCCAGCTAGGAGACTGATCTAGGGGTGGTGGAGCAGAGATTCTGTCCTGGTTTATCTGGCCCAAAGCAGATCATCTTGACCATTATTGAATATTTGACATGTGGGACCTAGAGGAGGGCAATAGATTGACCAAGGGCACACAGAACATAGGAGACAAGGCTGAGACTTGAATGCAGGTCTCTTGACTCCAAGCCATGGGTCTTCATCTCCTATACTAACAGCTTCTGCTCGCATCCAAGTCTGGTCCTCACTGGCAATGGGTTCCTGGGGCAGAGGACCAGGAGGCTGGTTGTGGGGGAGTCCATCCTGATGTTTGGGACTGGGGAGGGGCACAAAGGAGGCAGGGCCCAGCTCTAGCCGTCTTCATTTCTCTGGCCAGGACAAGTGGCAGCACCTGGCCTCAGAGGGCAGCAGTCGTCTGGACATGTTTGAGCACATCAGCCTCATGACCTTGGACAGTCTGCAGAAATGCATCTTCAGCTTTGACAGCCATTGTCAGGAGTGAGTTCCTTCCCAGGGCCTGGGATGTGAATCCATGGACCAAAGGGAGAAAGTTGGGGAGGGAGGAATGAGCAAAGTAACCAGAAGTACCTTTCGGGAGGATTTGTATCATAGCTGGGCTTTTAAGGTCAAGGAAGGGGAGAAAGTGTTGTCTTTCCAGGTAGGTAGAAATATTTGAGTAACAGTAATAAGGTTAGGATGAGCCAAGCATATGCAACAGACAGTAGAAATGTGGTTGTGGAAATAGGATTAGATATTAGGGACACTGAAAATCAGGAAAAGTGGTATGAAGTTTATCAAGATGGTCCCAGGGAGCTTTTGAAGGAGTTTCAGCTGATGATGGCTGTGGTAAGAGCTGAGCTGTGTGGGAATCTGACAGTAGTGTAGACACTACATGGAGCTGACATTGGGTACAAATTGGTTATGGTGGGGGCTGGAGTCGGGCTGAAGTGGAAGAGGATGAAGTCTGAGTTGTGTGGACAGTTTTGGTAAGGAATATGATCAGTACTGGATACTGGATGGGAGATGAGAGAAACATGGTGTCCAAGCTACACTCCGGGTACCTAGGTGCATGGAGACAGCTCTCAGAGATAGGATGCAGGGAGGGAATAGAGTCTAGAGAGTCAATCTCAGGACAGATACCCATCATGTATCTCTAGGACCATCTGTTTCTAGATACTCAGTTTCCTGATGGGAGGTAGCTCCTGGCTGCTGGTGGGAGGTGTTCCTGGGCTTTGCATATGTTACATTGTTGCCTCCCTTTCTGCCCTTGGCCTGCAGGAGGCCCAGTGAATATATTGCTACCATCTTGGAGCTCAGTGCCCTTGTAGAAAAAAGAAACCAGCATATCCTCCAGCACATGGACTTTCTGTATTACCTCTCCCATGACGGGTGGCGCTTCCGCAGGGCCTGCCGCCTGGTGCACGACTTCACAGATGCCGTCATCCAGGAGCGGCGCCATACCCTTCCCACTCAGGGTATTGTGATTTCCTCAAGAACAAAGCCAAGTCCTAGACTTTGGATTTCATTGATGTGCTTCTGCTGAGCAAGGTGGGTTTCTCTACGATCTGAATTACAGTGATAGAATGGAGCTTTATGTCAAATGTCAGATGAAATAAATTGGACTTCATCCAGAGGGCACTGGGAGCCATGGAAGATGCTTGAGAAAGGGAAGGTCACAGATAGGTTTTAGAGATGATTCTGTTGAATGCAGCCCGCAGGGGACTGCTAATTCTGAAACTGTGAAGAACGTGCGATTTTACTCAACTTACAAGTTAGTAAGTTAGTCTTTCACATTTTTATTTATGTCTATGTCTTCGTCTATGTCTATATCTATGATGACAGATGCACCAAACCCCTGGATTACAGCAGCCCATTAATTATTTACAGCAGTAACAGTGGGAGGAGTAGGATTGTTGTGCTGGCTCCCCATTTCTAGGGCAACACAATGTTTTTACCTGTAAATGTACAAGAATTTGCACCATAGGAGAGGGGCCCCCACATTATGAGTCTTATATCTTATATAGGACAGTTAGTTCATATGCTCCTTCTTTTTTACAGGGTGAAAGAGAGAGAGAGAGAGAGAATGCTTTGTTCAGGAGTATAAACTACTACTCTCCAGTGAGATGGCAATTTCTATAGGTTTATAATCCAAATATCTTCTGGAAAGATAAGATTCTCTGAGTTTACCACTCTAGAATGTGAGCAAATATCTTTAAAGCAATATGTAATTTTTAACCTCCAAGGCAAATTGCCATTTAAACTTCCTGTACCCCAAGTTGCCAGTATCTTTTTCTCTTAAAGTCTTCATTATACAGAAATATGAAAATATTCGAGTCATTGATTCCTCCCACCAGGGACCAAAGACAAGGCAAAGGAGCTGGGGGGAAGACCTTGGAATGGGGGCTCTGGTGATGGTGAACAAGAGAGATCTAGACATTCAGAGTGGGTTTGAGTTTCTGGAAGAAGATCGGACCTTCAGAGATTGTCTCAGGTGAGACTCGGGAGTCTCAGAGATAGTAAATTTGGGGGAGGGTTTGTCTTGCTTTCCCTTCAGGATGAAGATGGGAAGGTGTTGTCAGATGAGGATGTAAGAGCAGAGGCTGACACCTTCATGTTTGCAGGTGAGGCTGCCAGTGTGGGACTACAGTGAGGACAGGGGTCCTTTCATCTCAGGAACATGGTGGGTGGGCCCTGGATCACTCAATTCTGCCTATCTTCCCCCTCCCTCCATCCTCCCTGAGGGCCTCAATGCATGGACGCTGTCCACCCTCTGGTGCTGAAGCAGCCCAGAGACCCAAGCCTGCCTGCTTCCCCTTCAGGCCATGACACCACAGCCAGTGGTCTCTCCTGGGTCCTGTACAACCTCGCGAGGCACCCAGAATACCAGGAGCACTGCCGGCAGGAGGTGCAAGAGCTTCTGAAGGACCGCGATCCTAAAGAGATTGAATGGTGAGTGCAGGTTCTTCTGGCCTGTTCCTGAGCCCGTCATTGGCTCTGCTCCCCAAGTGGGAAGGGAGAAAGTTGTTTTTGTCAATTCTTCCATTATTGCTTAGTAGTATTAGGAGCAGAGCCCAGAGGCAGAACTTGATATCCAGCCTGGCTAGCAGGGGAAAGTTTTCAGGCTTTTAGGACAGAGAGTCCTAGCCTGCTGAGAGAGCTGGTGACAATATGTGAAGGCAGATGATGACACCTAGACATGTTCAGTCAATGAATTTTCCCTTCACTCACTTCTTATTTTCTCTGAATTATCATTTTTTTCAAACATCTTCACTTCCTGGATGTTTGCTCTTCTGTTCCCTAATTCCTACCCTCCAGTCCAGTCCAGGGAGTTGTAAAGGAGACCTGGGGGTAAAAGTCATCTATCTCTTTCTAGAATACCTGCATCATTCATCCATTCAGTCTTCATTCAGCAAACTCTTCCACATGTCTTACCAATGCCAGTTCTGTTCCCAGCACCTTTCTGTTCCCTGGATACCTGGAAAGAACACTGTCCAGGGATGTGTCTTTCAGGTACTCCCAGCCTAGTGGGAAGAGTCTCAGGTAGGACTTCTCTGTCCACATGGACAAGGATGGTATTGAGAACAAGAGAAGCAGACTGAGAATATAGTAAGTGTTTCACGCCAGATGTGGTGGCTGGCGCCCATGATACCAAGTACTAAGGAGGTTGAGGTGGGAGGATCACTTGAGGTCAGGTTTAAGATGAGCCTGGGCAATACAGAAAGAATCCATCTCTAAAACAGTAAAAATAAATAAATAAAAGTATTCTAACTGAGATCCTGAATGATGATCAGTAGACGTTTGCATGCAGTAGTGGTCTAAGTCAAAAAGACAGCCTTGGCAAAGATGCAGAAAGAAGCAGGGGTGGGAGAGAGGGAGAAGAGGGAAAAAGAGAAGGAGTTGTTTGTGTAAGGGGGAAGGAGAAGGTTATAAAGGGAGAAAGAAGGAAGAGGGAGGGAAAGTGAGGGACAGAGAGAGATAAAGAGAGGAGGGAAGAGAAAACGAGACAGAGAATGAGAGAGGGAGAAACTGAGTCATGATGAGATAATAATAATGGAGGTGGCAGCAGAGCCTGGCTGTGGAAGACATGGAAAAAATGTTAATGACTTCCATTTTAACCCAAAGGCAATTAGGAGCCATAGGAAGTGGGTGAGCAGGGGAGGGGTAGGCCAGATCTGGGCAGAAGGAAGATCCTTTCAGGACTACTGTGGAGAGCATATTAGAGAGGATCAGCTGTAGAATGAAGTCCCAGTGAGGACATTCTGGGACCTGAGCCAGGCCAGGGGCTGGGGATGGAGAGGAGGCAATGGACTGGACAGGTGTTTTGAAGGCAGTGTCCTCCCGTCCAAGACTTTGCTCAGCCCAGCAGTCCTGTGAAGTGGCAACACATTTCTATGCTTTTAAAAACCTAGCTTTCAAGCAAAATTGTGCACTCTGTCAAAAAAAATCCATAAATTTATGATAAAAAATGAGCTTCCTTCTTAAGTCTCACACTAGCGGTTTCTACCATCAATGGTTTTCTGTGTGTCCTTCCAGTAAAATGGTTATCTTGATGCCCACTTTATATGAACACAGACTTTTTCTATACAAATAGGAGTATATAAAATAGACACAACATTTCTTTTCCAAGATGATGAATTGGAGGCAATGTCAGTGTGTCTCTCCCCTGTGGAAGGACAAAAAAGTATGTAGAGATTCACACTGTGAACTTTCTTTCCCCAAAAAACAACACAGAGGCTTAACAGGAAACCCAAAAGAATCCATAGACCCTTCAAAAGAAGCTGCAGGCTGCATCCTACTCTGTGAGACAGGTGAAAAACTGTGAATCCCCAGAGTGTGAGAGGGGGAGAGACTGCCTCCAGGGTACACATCTTCACTGGGGAGTCTGAAAAGCCAGACCACAGGGGGAGGCCTTAACTCTACCCAGAGCTGGAACTGATTTAGGGAGTGGTAAGAAATATAAAAATAGAAGCAGCAGCAGAAAGTGCCTTGCAGGCATTCCCAATCTCCAGCATGGACTGAGGGAAGCCATTCCTTATTATATCTCACAGGAGACCTTGCAGAAGCCAGCCAACTAGCTCAGGCAGGGGTCACAGGTTGAAATGCCCAACTGAATTTCTTGATATAACCTCAAGTGGGGATGAACTCCCTTGACCAGAACCCAGGGGGCAAGCGGGAAGTGTACTGCAGACAGGAGTGCAGGAGCTGGGTGCCTGGCCTTGGACAGGGACAAAAAGGGGCATGGCCTAAAAGTATTGCTATCTCTGGGGGAAAAGCTTATGGCCTGGGGCAGGTCTGAGTTCTGTGCATAGACTACTTGGATCTAAATCCAGTGCTATGGGTGGAGCACTGCAGGAGTGAGATCAGTCTTGCCAACTGCATGGGAGCCGGATGAGGCTTACTGCCACCTGCTACTCTCCACTCCCTTTGCAAGCTCTTTTGCAAGGCAGAGGCAGTTATACTCACCTCTGGAACATTACCCCAGTGACCTAAGAACTGCCCTCTGACTCACACAGCTGCCAAAAAAATAGTTCCAAAGATAAAATACCTAGGAATATATTTAACTAAGGTGGTGAAAGATCTCTACAAGGAGTACTACAAAACACTGTTGAAAGAAATCGTAGATGACACAAACAAATGGAAACACATCCTATGCTCATGAATTGGAAGAATCAATATTGTGAAAATGACCATACCATGCAAAGCAACCTACATATTTTAATGCAATGCCCATTAAACCACCATCATCATTTTCACAGAACTGGATAAACAATTCTAAAATTCATATGGAACCAAAAAAGAGCCTGTGCAGCCAAAGCAATAACAAACAAAAAGAATAAATCTGGAGGCATCACATTACTGGACTTCAAATTATACTACAAGGCTATAGTTACCAAAACAACATGGCACTGGTATAAAAGTAGGTACTTAGACCAACGGAACAGAATAGAGGACCCAGAAATAAAGCCAAATACTTACAGCCAACAGATCTTTCACAAAGCATACAAAAACATAAATTGGGAAAGGGACACCCTATTCAATAAGTCATGCTGGGAAAACTGGATAGCCACATGTAGAAAAATTAAACTGGATCCCCATCTCTCACCTTATACAAAAATCAACTCAGGATGGATCAAAGACTTAAATCTAAAACCTGAAACCATAAAAATTCTAGAAGATAACCTTGGAAAAACTCTTCTGGACATTGGCCTAGGCAAAGGATTCATAACTAAGACCCCAAAAGTAAATGCAACAAAAACAGAAACAAATCAGTGGGACCTAACTGAATTAAAAAGCTTCTGCACAGCAAAAGAAACAATCATCAGAGTAAACAGATAACTTACAGAGTGGAAGAAAGTATTTGCAAACTGTGCATCTGACAAAGGACTAGTATCCAGAATCTACAAGAAACTTAAATCAGCCAGAATAAGACAAATAATTCCATCAAAAAGTGGGCAGAGGACATGAATAGACAATTCTCAAAAGAAGATACACAAATAGCCAAGAAACATATAAAAAATGCTCAACATCACTAATCATCAGGGATATGCAAATGAAAAAACCACAATGAGATACCACCTTATTTCTACAAGAATGGCCATAATTAAAAAGTCAAAAAACAATAGATGTTGGTGTGCGTGTGGTGAAAAGGGAACACTTTTACACTGCTGGTGGGAATGTAAATTAGCACAACCTCTATGGAAAACAGTAAGGAGATTCCTTAGAGAACTAAAAGTAGATCTACCATTCCATCCAGTAATCCAACTACTAAGTATCCACCCAAAGGAAAATAAGTCATTATATGAAAAAGATACGGGCACATGTATGCTTATAGTAGCACAATTCACAATTGTAAAGATATGGAACCAACCTAAGTGTCCATCGACCAACGAGTGGATAAAGAAAATGTGACATATATATATATACCATGGAATACTACTCGTCCGTAAAAAGGAATGAAATAATGTCTTTTGCTGCAACTTGGATGGAGCTGGAGGCCATTATTCTAAGTGAAGTAACTCAGGAATGGAAAACCAAACACTGTATGTTTTCACCTCTAAGTGGGAGCTAAGTTGTGAGGACACAAATACATACAGAATGATATAATCAGCTTTGGAGACTTAGGGAGCGAGGTTGGGAGGTGGATAAGGGAGAAAAGACAACATATTGGGAATAGTATACACTGCTCAGGTGATGGGTGCACTAAAACCTCAGAATTCACCGCTGTAGAATTCATCCATGTAACCAAACCACTTGTACCCCAAATGCTGTTGAAATAAAAAGAAATAAAGTGTCACAGATCTGCACATTAACACTATATCTTTTGAGATCTTTCCTTTTTTTTTTTTTAATTTTTTGAGACAGTTTTGCTCTGTCGCCCAGGCTAGAGTGAGTGCAATGGCGCGATCTCGGCTCACTGCAACCTCCACCTCCCAGGTTCAAGCAATTCTCCTGCCTCAGCCTCCTGAGTAGCTGGTATTACAGGCACCCGCCGCCATGTCTAGCTAATTTTTGTATTTTTAGTAGAGGCGGGGTTTCACTGTGTTGGCCAGGCTGGTCTCGAACTCCTGACCTTGTGATCCACCTGCCTCGGTGTCCTAAAGTGCTGGGATTATAAGCGTGAGCCACTGTACCCAGCAAGATGTTTTCTTTTCTTTTCTTTTTCTCAAAATATGAGTTTTGGAAAATAAGTTTATTTTTATTTATTATGTTTATTAATATTATATATATTTATGGGGTACAATGTGACGTTATAATATATGTATACAATGTGGAATGATTAAGTCAATCTGATAAACATAACCACCATTTCATATACTCATCATATTTATGGTGAGAACATTTGAAATTTACTCTCTTAGGAATTTTGAAAAATATATTATTATTAACTGTAGTCACCATGCATGTAATAGGTCTCAAAACTTATTCCTCCTGTCTAACAGAAACTTGTACCCTTTGACCGTCTTTCCACTCTTTCTTCCTCCCTCCTCTGGTAACCACCATTCTCTTCTCAGTTTCTCTGATTTCTATGTTAACTATTTCAGATCTCACAGGTAATTAAGGTCGCGTGCTATTTGTCTTCTTGTGCCTGGCTTATTTCACTTAGCATAATGTCCTCCAGGTTCTTCCATGCTATCACAAATGAAATAATTTTCTTCTGTTTTAAGGCTGAATAGCACTCCATTTTGTATATATACCACATGGAAAATGAGTTTATAATGAGAATTACAAAAAAATGAGTTTGAATTACAAAAGAACAGGTTCTTCTTGCACTCAATGAGACATTACAGATAAGACAAGGGTTATCCTTGACATTCCTGCTACCCCACCTAATATCCTCCCTTTCTCCAAAGGGGCCTGTAGAGATACTGATTTGTCATCTGTCTGTCTGTTTGTTTATCCATCTATCTACATAACTTTCTATCATCTATCTCCTTATATATTCCATATATATTTTGCACTATGAGATATATATATAGACATTTTGGAACACTTTTTTTTCCACTCAACAGTGTGTCTGATAGCTATTTTTTTGACTGCTGAATAGCATTCCATACTTTATTTGGCCTGTCCCTTTCTTGAAGTCACTTGTGTAAACATTTTCAATTATTGTGGAATTGTCAATCTGCCTTTCAGAGTCTCTGTACTGATTCACCTTCTAGCCTGCATTGTGTGACAGGACTAGTGATCCTTATTTCCTCCTTTTGTGTAGCTGTATACTATTCCATTGTGTGGATGTTTATCTAAATATCTTCCTATCCATGTATATTTGGCTCATTTTAGCCTTTTGCTAAATTAAACCTGTTGCAATTGGCATGTGTGTACAGTGACCACTGTTTATATGTGTGGGCATCTCTGTAGGACACACTCCCAAAGGTGGAATTGCTGAATCAAAGACCATTTGCATTCTACAATTGTAAAAATGAGTGCAAATCCATTCCTATATTAGCTGAGTTTGATGGCATAAGCTTAAACTTCCCCATAAATTCACCAATAGCATTACTGTATTATTAAATTTTAAGTTTTTGTCAATTTTAATATTTCATCTTTTAATGAACATTTTCTTAAATAAGAGGGAGAAGAACATCTTTTGCCCAAGTTGATACGCCATTTGTTTTCTTTCTATGGGATTGGTCATCTTACATTTTTTTTCTTTTTTTTGCTGTTTTTCTTCGGGTTGTTTTTTCATACTTACTTAAAAGGATGTGTATTACAATAATCTTTTTTTCTGTCTTTTGTTGCAAAAGATTGCCTTTTGACTTGTTTGAGGGTACTTTTGGTTAATTTTTATGAAGTCAAATTCGTCTACATTTTCTTTTGCAGCCATAGTACCCATCTATTTCCCAGAGTTTCGTTCGTCTACATTTTCTTTTGCAGCCATAGTACCCATCTATTTCCCAGAGTTTCGTAGAGCTTCCTTCAGCAGATGGGAAGTTTTCATTTATTCACTTGTCTGTCTCTGAGCTTTCTAGTCTTTTGAATAGGTCTGTTTTTCTGTTCTTACAGCATTGCCAGACTATTGCTATTACTGCAACTTCTTAATAGGTTTTAATAGCTGGTAGAGTGACTTTTTTTTAAATCACCCCTTACATACATTTGTTGCCATGGTAAAGTGTATCTTTTATTTGGATTGAGAGAAATTTATAATAAAATACAGAGATTTCATGTTTCTTTTTAAGTTTAATCCAGGTATTTTATATTATTATGACTAGCATCTTTTATTATCATCTTTTCAGTTGGTGGTTATTTCTACATGAAAAACTAATGATTTATACATATAAATTCTGTGCCCAATGAACACAGTACATGCTAAAGATGATGCTGTGTATCAAGAGAAAAAATAAGTAAAAGCTCTTGGGACAACTGGAAAGCCTTCTGGAAAAAAGGCAACAAGCTGGTTCTCATGTCTTATGACAAGATAATGTCCAGATTAATAAAATTTTTTTAAAAGAGTCTTAAAAGCCCTAGATGAAACCATGAGAAAATTATTTCATAGCTCCAGAGTAGGGATAACCTTATTTTGACGTAAGTTCCAGGGGCTAAGAAAAAGTGATAAACTGTTAAATGAGAAAAAGATATAGGCCAGGCACGGTGGGTCATGGCTATAATCCCAGAACTTCGGAAGGCTGAGGTGGGCTGTGGTGGGCAGATCATCTGAGGTCAGGGGTTCAAGACCAGCCTGGCCAACGTGGTGGAATCCCATCTCTACTAAAAATCAAAAAAATTAGCCAGGCATGGTGGTGCAGGCCTGAAGCCCCAACTACTCAGGAGATTGAGGCAGGAGAATCACCTGAACCTGGGAGGTGGAGATTACAGTGAGCGGAGATTGCACCACTGCACTCCAGCCTGGGCAACAGAGTAAGATTCTGTCTCAAAAAAAAAAAAGATGCAGAATACTAGTGTATAGTAGATGGTGTGCTCCTATATAATTTTTTTAATATACTAAATATTAGCACAGGAAGGACACATTAAAAAAATAATAACCTGGGCAACATGTGGGGAGAAGTAGATGGCATTGGGCCATAGGAGTGGATTATATTTTACAGTTTTCAAATTCTGAATCAGATAGGTTTAGATGGTATTAAAATTTTAAATAGCCAAGGCAAAAGAAGAAAGATTAAGCAGATAATTCAGCTCCTTTACTGGATCTTAAACGTTTATAAACGTTTTCCAGTGGAGCTTCCTGTGTTTTCTAAGTATAACATCACTATCTGCCAAAATGATACATTTACTCCCACATTTCAAATTGCATGACTCTCTTGTTTTTCCCTTGCCTAATTGCACTTGCTGGTATCTCTAGTTCCATGCGAAATAAGAGCAAAACATTGGATCTGGGTATTTTGTTTCTTATTCATTTGCATTTGAGTTTGCTTTCTTGCCATAGACAATATTTATTTTTATGCAAATTTGTTAACTTTTTTCAGCTGGCTTCTGGGTGTGTTTTCCTCAGAGTATATATTTTTAACTACTTGGCTAAATTTTCTCTGGTACTTCTAATTCTCTGTTTTTCTAATTTTTTCTGTTTTTCTAATTCTCAAACTTTTGATCCATGTGGAGTTTATTTTGTTACAGGGAGAAAAGGTCTCACTTGGAAATAGAGAAGCTGGAGAAGTGTGTCTTTGCTCCCTTGATAATGATTGGGGCTGGGGTGTTGCCTTAGGTACGACCTGGCCCAGCTGCCCTTCCTGACCATGTGCGTGAAGGAGAGCCTGCGGTTGCATCCCCCTGTTCCGTACACCTCCCGCCACCGCATCTGGGACATTGTGCTCCCAGATGGTAGGGTCATCCCCAAAGATGCTCACAGCCTCATGGGGAGGAGCCCCCCGGGTAGGAAGAGGGGTCCTTCAGGGGGATCCTTGTCCTGACTGCCACCTTCTCTCCCACAGGCATTATCTGCATCATCAACATTATAGGAATCCATCACAACCCAACTGTGTGACCGGATCCTGAGGTGCTGCCTTTCCCATCCACCCCCGACCCCCTGCCCTCTTTGTCAATTCCAAGGTTCCTAGAGGAGGAGGCAGGGTTTTGATCAGGAAAATCCAACATCACCTCGCCCCAACACACACACAACTGTCTTTCCAAGGCTGCTGGACCTGGGAGACCCCACCCAGCAGCCCTCTTGGTCTTACCTCCAGGTCTACAACCCCTTCCGCTTCAACTCAGAGAACAGCAAGGAGAGGTCACCTCTGGCTTTTATTCCCTTCTCTGCGGGACCCAGGTAAGGGCCACCTGTGTCTGGTATGGGGATGGGGTGATAGGTGCGAGGGTCGAAAAAGGGGGAAGTTTGCAGATGGTCCCAGTTCCAGTTCTCTTTCCCTCCATTCCTTCACAGTTTATGGGAAAATGTCCATAGAATGGGGGTGAGTAGGTCCTAGAGGGTCCGCAGAGTGCTCAGAATCCCCTCCTCCATCTGCTGGTCTGAGCTGGGAGCTGGAGTCTGGCCCAGGCTCTGGGGGACATGCAAACCCACAGGGGGGTCCCACGCATGCTCAGCCCCTCTCTATCTCTCAGGCTGATCTGGGTGCGGTTGAGGATCCCGGGCCAGGTTTCCGGCGTGATGGGGCCCAAATGCGGATCCTGGGCGCAGTCACAGTCCCCACTCCCACCCGCAGGAACTGCATCGGGCAGGCGTTCGCCATGGCGAAGATGAAGGTGGTCCTGGCGCTGACGCTGCTGCGCTTCCGCTTCCTGCTGGACCACACGGAGCCCCGCAGGAAGCCGGAGCTGATCATGCGCGCTGAAGGAGGACTTTGGCTGCGAGTGGAGCCCCTGAACGCGGGCTTGCAGTGACCCTCTGACCCATCCACCTGCCTTTCCAGATTCTCCGGAATAAAACTGTGCCTGGGCCTCTACTGACAGCCAGCAGGGGGCTCTTGAGGACTGGGAGGCGTCAGGGAAGGGGCATAACCTGGGCGGGTTAGGTGGGGTGTTGTCACTGAACCCAAGAACCTGACTGCCTCTTTGGCTGATCATAGGGCCTCCATGCTTTGGGAGTGTCCCAAGACCGAGGTCCTTAGCCAGCTCAGAACACAGGGATAGAAGGGTGCAGCTTCTATCCTGGTAGGCTTTTAGGAATTCTTAGCTCCCTTTCTTGCCAGCATCCCACCCTACGTCTCCCCCTTCAAGTTGATCGCTTTTGTGAACCCCCTTCCCCTACCTTCAGACAGCTCCATTTTTTTTCCTCTTTTGAACCCTCTGACTCTGCCCAGGCAGCCTGGCCAACAGATACTACCTGAATCCTCCCCCTACTCTCCTCTGCTATGTGCCAGGCACCCTCACACATGTCAGGGGTTCAGCACATCCCCACCCTTTCACCTCTAGGTTCCTCCTTCATTCCCATCACCTGCCCATGTTGGGGTGGGGTGCAGTCAGGGCCATCCTGTTTGACCCTTGAGATCCAAAGCCAGATGACTGGAAGCAAAACACCATCCCAAAGGCATGACATCTGGAACCAGACTACTTGGGCTCAAGTCTCAGCTTTGCTGTGTGGCTTGGGCAAGTTAATTCTCCTCTCTTTTCTTCAGTTTTCTCAAGCATATAATGGGGACAACAATGCTACCTTTGTCAGGGTTTTCCTGAGGACAAAATATGAGAGACTCAGAACTGTGCCTGGTGCACATTGAATGCTCAATAAATACGGCCATTATTACCTGCTCTCTGAGAAAGTCTGGTTAATAAAGCATGTTGCCTTTCAAGATAGTTTTTTTCTACCATGACTTTAAATACTGTTTTGGAACTCATAGGCAAAAATTCCAATATCTGTGCTTCTTGAATAATCTCTTCATTTTTAGAGGACTGTACATTTAGGAGACAATTTTTTCCAAGAGTGGTAAAAGCACCTAAAATGTGGCAGGGTGGTAGGAGAAGGAGAGAATCCTCAGTTAATGTCTTAAAATAATGTCCCACTAGTAAAGCTGACCTCTGTTCATAGCTTAAGGAATTCTGCATCTCTGCACCCTGCTGACTTGTCAAATCTCTCCAGCCGATATCCCTCCCTTGTTACACTCAGTCGCCTTGTCCTTGATTCTGATCTCCAAATACATTATATTTTCTTGTACAGGACCATTGCATTTTCTTTGTACCTTTGTCAAAGATCAGTGGTGCCAAGAATATTCAATGGGGAAAAGACAATCTCTTCAGTAAATGGTGGTGAGAAAACTGGATGTCCATATGCAGAATAATGAAACTGAACTCTTATCTCTTATTGTATTCAAAAATCAAATCAAAATGGATTAAAGACTTAAATGCAAGACCTGAAGCTATGAATTACTTGAAGAAAACATTGGGGAAATTCTTCAGGCCATTGATATGGGCAAGAACTTTTTTGATAAGAACTCAACAGCACAGACAACAAAGGTGAAATAGACAAACGAGATTACAAAAGACAAGCACAAATCCCACTGCTACCACTGCAGCTAGTGCTCTTTTGCAAGCTTCACATCCTGGCTGTAGGCCAATTGACAGAGTCCATTATAACCTCTGCAGGCACATAACAGCAACCAGGAAGGAGAAAACTTGTGTGTGACCTCGGTTATCACCATTGCCTGCATCAACTTGGTTAATCAGGAGGTTCTCAGTCTGTCCACATGACCAGTTCATTACTACTACAACTGGCATTTGAGAAAGCCAAATTAAGCCTATTTATAACCAAACAATATCACAGAATCTACGTCACCCCTCTGCCACCCCCATCAGAGCTGGTGCTGTTACCCACTGCTGGGAGTCTTGAGGATAGATCACATCATTGGACCCCTGAAAGCACCCAGAGCCATAGGTTAAAATAAACTATAAACATTAAAGTCACATCCTCAAGGAGAAAAAGGAAATAAGAAAAATCACAGTTGAATAAAAAATAAATTCAAAAATAATTAGAAGAAATAGTTTAACCAGATTAGAGGAAATCAGAAAAATAATTCTGTCAATATGACAAAACAGGGTTCTATAACATCCATTAGCTCTCCAGCAATAGATCCAAACCAAGGTGAAATCTTTGAAATACCAGATAAGGAAATCAAAAGGCTAATTATTAAGTTATTCAGGAAGATACAAGAGAGAAGTGAAAATCAACATAAAGAAATTTAAAAATTAGTTCAAGATATAAATAAAAATTTTCTAAAGAGAGAGATGTGTTAAAGAAAAATCAAACAGAACTTCCGGAAATGAAAGACACATTTAGAGACTTACAAAATGCAGTGGAAAGTTTTAAAGTAGTCTAGACCAATTAGAAGAAAGAATTTCAGAGCTTAAAGACAAGGCTTTTGAGCTAACCCAACTGGACAAAAATAAAGAAAAAAGAACTATAAGAAATCGACAGGGTATCCAAGAAATATAAGATTATGTACAATGGCCAAGTATAAGAATCATTGATGTTCCTGAGGGAGAAGAGAAAGCCAAAAATTTGGAAAACTTATTTGAGGGAATAATTGAGGAAAACTTTCCTGACCTCACTAGAGATTTAGACATCTAAATATAAGAAGCTCAAAGAACTCCTGGGAAATTCTTTGCAAAAAGGACATGGCCAAGGCACATAGTCATCAGGGTATCTAAAGTCAACATGAAGGAAAAAAATGCTAAGGGCAGTGAGACAAAAGCATCCGGTAACCTATAAAGGAAAACCTATCAGACTAACAGCAGACTTCTCAGCAGAAACCTTACAAGCCAAAGGGATTGAGGTCCTATCTTTAGCCACCTTTTACAGAAAAAAACTGTCAGCCAGGAATTTTGTATCCAACAAAACTAAGTTTCAAAAATGAAGGAGAAATAAAGTATTTTTCTGATGAGAAAATGCTAAGAGAATTTGTCTCTAACAGACCAGCCCTACAAGAGATGCTAAAACAATTTCTAAATCTTGCAACAAAAGGTTGATGTGCACCAGAATGGAACCTCCTGAAAACATGAAACTCACAGGGCCTGTAAAATAATAATGCAACAAAGAAAACAAAGTGTCCAAGTAACAACATGATGACTGGAACAGTACCTCACATCTCAGTATTAATGTTGAATGTAAATCATCTAAATACTCCAGTTAAAATATATAGATGGTCAGAATGGATAAAAAAAATTACAAACCGAACATCTGCTGTCTTCAAGAGACTTACCTAACATGTAAATATTCTTAAAGACTCATGGTAAAGGGGATTGAAAAAGATATTCCACTCAAATAGAAACCAAAAGCAAGCAAGAGTAATTGTTCTTATATCAGATAAAACAGACTTTAAAGCAACAATGTAAAAAAAGACAAATAAGGACCCTATATAATGATAAAATGATGAATCAACAAGATTGATCTTCAAAGAGGAGATATTACAACCCTAAATATATATGCACCTGACTATGGAACTCCCAGATTCATATAACAATTACTACTGGAACTACGAAAAGAGATAAACAGCAGCACAATAATACTGGGGGATTTTAACACTCATGGACAGATCATCAAGGCAGAAAGTTAGCAAAGAAACACTGGACTTAAACTGCACTCCATAACAAAGGACTTAACAGATATTCACAGAATATTCTATGCAAGAACTGCAGAATATACATTTTTTCATCAACACATGGAATATTCTCCAAGATAGACCATATGATAAACCACAATAAGTTTTTAAAAATCCAAGTCATATCAAGTATCTTCTCAGACTACAGTGAAATGAAACTAGAAATCAACTCCACAAGGAACTCTCAAAGCTATACAAATACACGAAAATTAAACAATCTGCTCCTGAATGATGTTTGAGTTAACAATGAAATCAAGATGAAAATTTTAAAAATTCTTTGAAATGAGTGATAATAGTGACACAGGTTATCCAAACCTCTGGGATACTGCAAAACAGTGCTAAGAGGAAGGGTTATCATGCTAAATGCCTATATCAAAAAGTCTGAAAGATCAGAAGTTGGCAATTAAAGGTCACACCTGAAGAAACTAGAGAAACAAGAACAAACCAAACCCAAAGCTAGCAGAAGAAAAGAAATGGCAAAAAGCAGAGCAGAACTAAATGAAATTGAATTAAAATACACAAAAGATTAGTGAAACAAAAAGTTTGTTCTTTGAAAAGATAAATAAAATTGATAGATCATTAGCTAGATTAACCAAGAAAAGAAGAGAGAAGATTCAAATTAGCTTGATTAGAAATAAAAATGGAGGCATTGCAACTGACACCACAGAAATATAAGATTACTCAAAACTAATATGAACTCCTCTATGCATACAAACTAGAAAAGTTAGAGGAAATGGGTAAATTCCTGGAAACAAAACTCCCCTAGCTTGAAATAGGAAGAAATAGAAATCCCAAACAAACCAATAACAAGCCGTGAGATTGAGTCAGTAACTAACGAATTGCCAAAAACAACTAAAAACCCCAAAGCCAGATGAATTCACAGTCAAATTCTACCAGACACTCAAAAAAGAATTAGTACCAATCCTACTGAAACTAGTCCAAAAGATTAATAAAGAGGGAATATTTTCTAACTTATTTTATTAATTCAGTGTCACTCTGATAACAAAACCAGGAAAGGACATAACAAAATAAGAAAACTACAGACCAATATCCTTAATGAACATAGATGCAAAGATCCTCAACAAAATATTAGCTAACCAAATCCAACAGCACATCAGAAGGATTATATACCATTGTCACGTGGGTTTCATCCCTGAAATGCAGGGATGTTCAACATATGCAAGTCAATAAATGTCATTAACCACATAAACAGAATTAAAAGCAAAAACCATATAATCATCTCAACAGACACAGAAAAAGCATTCTATAAAATCCAGCATCCCTTTATGATAAAAATCTTCAACAAACTAGGCATAGAAGGAGTATACCTCAAAATAATAAAAGCCTTATGTGACAAACCCACAGACAACACCATCCTGAATGGGGTAAACTTGAAAGCATTCCTCCTAAGAACTGAAACAAGGATGCCCACTTTCACCACTTCCATTTGACAAAGTACTGGGGGCCAGGCGCAGTGGCTCACACCTGTAATTCCAGCACTTTGGGAGGCTGAGGCAGGCAGATCACTCGAGGTCAGGAGTTCGAGATCAGCCCGGCCAACATGGTGAAAGCTCATCTCTACTGAAAATACAAAAATTAGCCGGACTTGGTGGTGTGCTCCTGTAGTCCGAGCTGCTCAGGAGGCTGAGGCTTGAACATGGCAGGTGGAGGTTGCAGTGAGCCAAGATTGCACCACTGCACTCCAGCCTGGGTGACAGAGCGAGACTCTGTCTAAACAAACAAACAACCACCAGAAAAACAAAAACATAGTACTGGAAGTCCCAGCTACAGCAATCAGGCAAGAGAAAGAAATAAAGAACATCCAAATTATAAAATAGAAAGTCAAACTATCACTGTTTGCTGATGATATGATCGTATACCTAGAAAACTCTAAGAACTCCACCAAAAGACTCCTAGATTTGATAAGTTATTTTAGCAAAATCTCAGGTTACAAAATCAATGTACACAAATCAGTAGCACTGGGATACACCAACAAAAACCAAACTGATAATCAAATCAATGACATAATCCCTTTTATAGTAGCTGCAAAAAATAAAATGTTGAGAAATATACTTAACCAAGAAGGTGAAAGAGCTCTAGAAGCAGAGTACTACAAAATACTGCTGGAGAACATCACAGATGACACAAACAAATGGAAATAGATTCCACACTCATGGATTGGAAGAATCAATATTGTGAAAATGACCACACTGTCCAAAGCCATCTATAGATCAATCCAATGCCCATCAAAATGCCATCATTATTTTTCACAGAACTAGAAAAAGCAATCCTAAAATTTATACAGAAGAAAAAAAGAGCCCAAACAACCAAAAAAGTCCTGAGAAAAAGAACAAACCTGAAGGCATCATATTACCTGACTTTACATTATATTGCAAGGCTATAGTAACCAAAACAGTATGGTACCGGTATAAAAGTGGATATACAGACCAACGGAACAAAAAGGAGACTCCAGAAATAAAGCCATATACTTAGAACCACCCGATCTTTGACAAAGCATACAAAAACCTAAACTGGGGAAAGGATACCCTATTCAATAAATCGTGCTGGGAAAACTGGATAACCACACGTAGAAAAATGAAACTGGATTCATTTCTCTAACCATGTAAAATAATCAACTGAAAATGGATCAAAGACAATTATAAGGCCTGAAACCATAAAAATTCTAGAAGAAGACCTAGGAAAACACTTCTGGACTTTGGCCTAGGCAAATAATTTATGACTACCATTCCAAAGGCAAATGCAACAAAACCAAAAATAAATAAATAGGTCCTAATTAAACTAAAAAGCTGCTACACAGCAGAAGAAATAATCAGCAGGGTAAACAGAAAACTCACAGAATGGGAGAGAATATATTTGCAAACCATGCATCTGATGAAGGACTAATATCCAGAGTCTACAAGGAACTCAAACAAATCAGCAAGAAAAAAATATCCCATCCAAAAGGGGGCAAAGGACATGAATAGACATTACTGAAAAGAAGGTATACAAATGGCAACAAACACATGAAAAAATATTCAATACCATTAATCATCAGTGAAATGCAAATTAAAACCACAATAAAATACCACCTTACCCCCGCCAGAATGGGCATAATTAAAAAGCCAGAAAACAATAGATGTTGGTGTGGATGTCACGAAAAGCGAATGCTCCTACTCTGCTGGTGGGACTGTAAATTACAACCTCTATGGAAAGCAGTATGGCGATTTCTTTAAAAACTGAAGGTGGATCTACCATTTGATTCAGCAATCCCACTACTGGGTATCTACCCAGAGGAAAAGAAGTCACTATACCAAAAAGACACATGCACATGTTTATTATAACACAATTCACAATTGCAAAGATGTGGAACCATCCTAAGTGCTCATTAATTGATGAGTGGATAAAGGAAATGTGGTATAGATACTCCCACAGAATACTACTCAAACATAAAAAAGAATGAAACTTGAATGGAGCTGGAGGTCATTATTCTAAGTGAAGTAACTCAGAAATGGAAAACCCAATACTGTATGACCTCACTTATAAGTGAGAGCTAAACTATAGGTATGCAAAGGTATACACAGTGGTATAACAGGCATTGGAGACTCAGAAGAGGGGAATGGTGGTGAAGGACAAAAAACTATATATTGGATGCAGTGTATGCTATACAGGTGATGGGTGCACTAAAATCTCAGACTTCATCGCTGTAGAATTCATCCTTGTAACCAAAATCCACTTTTACCCCAAAAGCCATTGAAATAAAAAAATGTATTTAAAAATAGAAAAAATAATGGATGCTGTCAGAGAAGCAGAAAGAAGGGAACACTCATATCCTGCCAGTGGGAGTGTAAATTAGTACAATCGCTATGCAGAACAGTATGGAGGTTCCTCAAAAAAAAAAAAAAAACCCTAAAAATGCATCTACAATATGATTCAACAATCCCATTGCTTGGTATATATTAAAAAGAATGGAAATCAATATATCAAAGAGATATTTCCACCTCCCCACCCACATTTACAGCAAAACTATTCACAATAGCCAAGATATGGAATCAGTCTAAGTGTCCATCAAGAGATGAATGGACAAAGAAAATGTACAAATACACAGCAGAATAGTCTATAGCCATTACAAAGAATGAAATCCTCTCCTTTGCAGCAAAATGGATAGAAATGCACATAATTATGTAAAGTGAAATAAGCCAGGCACAGAAAAACAAGTATGACATGTTCTCACTCATGTGGGAACCAAAAAAGTTGATCTCAAGAGATAAAGAGTAGAATAATGGTTACCAGAGGCTTGGAAAGGTTGAAGTTGAATGAAGATCAGTTGGTTAATGATTGCAAAAATACAGTTAGATAGAAGAAATCAGTTCTGTGTTCAATAGTGCAGTAGGGTGACTATGGTTAACAATAACTTACTGTATATTTCAAAATAGATAGAAGACAATAATGAAATATTCCCAACATAAAGAAATAACAGATGTTTGAGGGGAAGGATATCCCATTACCCAGATTCAACCATTACACTTTGTATATTTATATCACCATATCACATGTAACCCACAGATACGTACAATTATTATGTATCAATAAAAAAGAGAAAAACGATATAAAAAATAGATACTGAGTTTTTCTACCCAGGAACATGGAATATGTCTACATTCAATTCTTTGATTTCTTTCATTAGAAATTTGCGATTTTCCACATATAAATCTTGTACATTTTTAAAATTTATATGTAAGCATTTTATGGGGATACTAATGTCAATAGTATTGCATTTTTAATTTCCAATTTCACGTTTACTGCTGCTATGTAGTGTTTGACTTTTATATACTAACATTGTATCCTTCAAACTTGCTATAATGTCTTATTAGTTCCAGGAGGGTTTTTGTTGGTTCTTTTAGATTTTTTACATAGACCATCATCCCATTTGCAAACAAAAACAGTTTTATCTCTTCCTGCCCAATCCAAGTATTTTTTATTTCTTTCTCTTGTCTTATTGCATTTAGTACTTCCAGTGCAATATTGAAAAGTAGTGACAAGAGGGGAAATTCTAGTCTGGTTTCTAACCTTAGTGGGAAAGCTTGTCGTTTCTTTCCATTAAGTATGATGCTATCTGTAGGTTTTTGAAGATATTCTTTACTAAGTTGAAGGCATTCTCTCCACTTCCACCTTACTGATAATTTTTAATTATGAATGGGTGTGGGATTTCGTCACATGCTTTTTTGCATCTATTGATATAATCATGTGATTTTTCTTCTTTAGCTTGCTAATGTGATGGTTTACATTATTTGATTTTCAAATATTGAACCAGCCTTGCATACCTGCAATGAATCCCATTTGGTTATAATGTATAATTATTTTTATATATTGTTGGATTCAATTTGCTAATATTTTGCTGGGAATTTTGCATGTATGTCCAAGGTAGATTTTAATCTGTATAGTTTTACCTCTCCCTTTCTTCCTAATTTTTTTCTTTTATTTTCTTCTTCTCTTTTCTTTTTTTTTTTTTTTTTTTTGCTGGTAATGTCTTTGTCTAGGTTTGCTATTAGGGTAATGATGGTCTCATAAAATGAGTTAGGAAATATTTCCCCTGCTTCTGTCTTTTAAAAGATAAAGCAGAAAATTGGTAAGAATTTCTTCCTTAAATATTTGGTAGAAATCATCAGTGAACCAGTCTGGGTCTGAGGCTTTCTGTTTTTAAATGATATTAATTATTAATTCAATTGCTCTAATCGATACAGGCCTATTCAGATTGATCGCACTTTCCTTTCATTCTTTTCTTTCCCCTTCTCATAGTTTTGGGTAGATCAAAGGTGAATGAATGATAGTATATAACTATGATTAAACATTATGTACCTGATACAAACTAACACAGGAACAGAAAACCAAACACCGCATGTTCTCACTCATAAGTGGGAGTTGAACAATGAGAACACATGGATACAGGGAGGGGAACATCACACACGAGGGCCTGCCGGGGGGTGGTGGGGAAGGGGAAGGAGAGCATTAGGATAAATACCTAATGCATGCAGGGCTTAAAACCTAGATGATGGATTGATAGGTGCAGCAAATCACCATGGCACATGTATACCTATGTAACAAACCTGCACATCCTGCACATGTATCCCAGAACTTAAAATAAAAAAATTTAAAAAATTATGTAGCTGATACAATTAAAAACTTCATGGAGAAACATAAGATCTATATGTGCTATTTTGTATACTTACATGATAAGTACGTAAAATATTTATGCAATAAGTATAGTATTGAATGACATTATAAAAATGTAGTTAGGTAAATATCACAGATATTTTAAAGAGATTATTTTAAGGTTAGTCAGGCAGAGTGGTATACAGGCAAGAAAACTAATTTTAAACTCATTGAAAATATATGTCAAATGCCAGCCAAACCACTTACTACCTTCAGAATCTTGAGAACAGATTTTAAAGCTCTGGTAGCCCTAGTGCTATAATAATTACACAAGGAATTGCAATTACAATATTTGGAAGTAGAATCTACCCAATAATCATGATCCTCGCCTCTCTTTGTGCTGAGTTCAATGTTTAATTTAAAAATTCAAATGAAAGTAGATAAAAGTGTTGGGGAACTCCTTTGCACTGGACCTTGCCCAGTAGTCCTGGAGGAGAAGATTCTCGAGCACAACTGCCTAAACAGGAACCACCACAGCTCCATCTAGAAGGAAGCTGCTGAAGCTTTGCATGCTGTTGTGCTGACCAGAAATCTAGCATAAGGTAAATGTAAGCAGACCAGGGAGTGCTCATGACCTTGGACGGAAAATCATGTTTGGAGAGGAAGCTTGTTGCTCATCCCCTTCTATGCTCAGCTGCCTGGGTTTTCTTCCCTACCATTTTATTTAACAAGAAGCTATCTAGAGAACTTGCTCCCCGTGCTGAGCCAGGAGGAGAAACTTGTAAGCTTTGAAGGGGGCAGTTTCCTTTCAAGGACTGGAGAATATGTGTGCAAAGCTGGGGCAGGTCAGGGCAGAGTGTCCTGCAGACTGGTCTGAGGGCATCTATGGGGCTAAAAGTCTCCACACAAGTTCCTCGTTCTATGGTCCAAACCTTCACCTAGATTGTGGCAGTAGGTGAGACAAGAGTAGGGCAATGTAGACCTCTGATTCACCCTGATAGGCTGTAGTGTAGGTTTAAGGCTCTTTCCTTTGACCCAATTAGCCTCCACTCCCAATATTTCTCTGTGCAGAAGGCTCAGCTACATGTGTCAGGCGTTATAAATCCTTAAAATAAATCATAGTTTAACCCAGAATACAGAGTCCAGGCAGGAGGAGGAGAGGAGAGGTGGGAGTAATAATTTCTTCTCCCTTATCGGAAGGGGATGCAGTATCAGAAAATTCATGCTCAATGGGCCAAAGAGTAAATCAGAAAACTCTAGGGGTAAGGGTATGTTCATAGTGGGGGTGAAGGGGAATTCATTACCTCCAATTAAATTTTCAAAAAATTTTTGTACAGATGAGATCTTGCTATATTGCAAAGGCTAGTCTTGAACTCCTGGTCTCAAATGATCCTCCCTCCTTGGACTCCTGAAATGCTAGGACTAGAGGCATGAGCTACCACACCCAGCCCATCTGTCTTGATTTGTGATCTCATGACAATTCCCTGACTTCTCTCCAGAAAGAGATAAGTCCAAGTTCTCTTGTTAGCATCTCTGTCTTCTCCTTCCACTCTTAAATTCTACTGCGAACGTGTGAAATGACGCTGTCATGAAACAACGTGCTAATATAGCTTGTATGACTTTCTATAAGAAAATAATAATCTAGACTATCTCAAAAACAAATGTCAAAAATTGAAGGAGAATGAGGATTATAGAATAAAAGTCCCTAAAAGACATAACTGAATTAACATGTAGTTCTTGTTTGCATTCTGATTAGAAAAATGCTCTTTAAGTAATCCCGATATTAGAGCATTTATTGGATGTCAGGACAAACTAAGGCACTTGTTCTTTTTAGTAAGTTATAAACAAAACTTAAGTTGATATGGTAGTTATATAAAAAATGAACTTATATTTGACTTCCAGTTTCTGATCTGGCATGTAAGAAGCTGAAAGTTGCTGCTGGATCCCGACAATAAGTAAAAAGCTGAATAAACTGAAAACTCAGCAGTCTTGATTGGTAAAAGATGTCACAGGGCAAACTGCAGCTCCCCAAATTGGAAAGACCAACAGGCAAGTAGAGGGAATCACAACTTATTGTAAAAGAAATCCATCCATTGCAACCTCTGGAGGAACCAATATCAGAGAAGGGAAATGTTTACTGTAATTGAAGAATTACTGAAGGCTTGGTATAGACAAATCTGAGAGGTCAAAACTCCTGGGGACCCAGTTATTGGAGGGGGTTCCCACACTTTTGTTGGTTTTACCTCTAAGAGGTCTGTCAAGTCCTCATTGTAAAAGCAGGAGAAAAGACCCCTCATACTTCTGTTAGGGGAGGAGGAACAATGACCCATTTTGAAATACGCCAGAGTATTCTGTTCTTCCTATGAAGATCTACCCTCAGGAGGAACAATTTTCCTCTTTTCAACTTTTATTTTAGATTCAGGAGGTGCATGTGCAGGCTTGTTACATGGGTAAATTGCATGTTGCTGACGTTTGGTGTACAAATGGTGCCATCACACAGGTAGTAAGCGTAGTAGCTGATAGGTAGTTTTTCCACCCACGCCCCTCTCCCTCCCTCCCCCACCGAATAGTTTCTAGTGTGTGTTGTTGCTATCTT
The DNA here is from genome assembly GCF_000001405.40 of Homo sapiens. Taxonomy (NCBI): domain Eukaryota; kingdom Metazoa; phylum Chordata; class Mammalia; order Primates; family Hominidae; genus Homo; species Homo sapiens. The sequence continues at coordinate 15,747,789 of NC_000019.10, read as the reverse complement.
TGTGTCCATGTGTAGTCAGTGCCTAACTCCCACTTACCAGTAAGATCATGTAGCATTTGGTTTTTCTGTTCCCGCATTAGTTTGCTTAGGACGATGGCCTCCAGCTGCCTCCATGTTGCTGCAAAGGACATGACTTCATTCTTTTCAACATATGCAAATCAGTACATGTGATTCAGCACATAAACGGAATTTTTTATGCATTTTTTATGGACAAACATTAATTTATGTAGCCTGTGTTTGGGTGTTATGTTCTAGGTGAGGTGTTTTACATGTATAAATTTATTTAATTCTCACCAGTATCATTGTATCTATCTTTTATATAAGAAAAGAAAGATGAGAACTTTTTTTCTTACTTTAAGTTCTGGGATACATGTGCTGAACGTGCACATTTGTTACATAGGTATACATGTGCCATGGTGGCTTGACACAGGGAGGGGAACATCACACACCAGGGCCTGTTGGTGGGTGGGGGAAAGGGTGAGGGAGAGCATAAGGACAAATACCTAATGCATGTGGGGCTTAAAACCTAGATGATGAGTTGATAAACAGAATTTAAAACAAAAACCACATCTCAATAGGCACAGAACGGGCTTTCAATAAAATTCAACATCCCTTCATGTCATAAACCCTCAACAAATTTGGCATTGAAGGAACATACTTCAAAATAGTAACCATCTACGACAAACCCACAGCCAACATCATACTGAATGGGCAAAAGCTAGAAGCATTCCCTTTAAGAAGTGGAACCACACAAGGATGCCCACTCTCACCACTGCTATTGAACATAGTACTAGAAGACCTAGCCAGAGCAATCAGGCAGGAGAGAACAATGAAAGACTCCAAATGAGGAGAAACAATTGAACCAGAACCTAACCTACTGGAGTTTTATTACAGTTTCACTGGAAAAAGAAAATACCCAACTCTTGCCAGCTCTAGTCATCCTGTTCCACCTAAGGGAGGTGGTGTCAGGGGATCCTGATTAGCACATCTGCTGATGGGGGCTGATATCTAAGCATAGGTCTATAGAATGATTCCCCTCCCCATACCTTACTGCCATATTGCTAAAGGCTTATTTAAAACAGTTCTTTTACCCAAGTACTTCATGTCTGGGTATCAAGAAAAAAATTACAAGGCATACTAAAAGACTGTTTGAAGAGAGAGAGAAGGCATCACAAACAGACCCAGATAAGGTGGGCATGTCAAAATAATCAGACTGGGAATTTAAAACAACTATGATTAATGTGCCAAGGGTTCTAGTAGACAAAATAGACAGCAAGGAAACACAGATAAGCAATGTCAGCTGAGATGATAATTCTAGGAAAGAGACAAAAGAAATGCTAAAAGTCAAATCGATTGTAACAGAAATAAGGAATGGACTGGTGGCCCACACCTGTCATCTCAGTGCCTGGGGAGATTGAGGTGGGAGGATTGCTTAAGTCCAGGAGTTTGAGACCAACTGGGTCAAAATATCAGGACCCCATCTGTACCAAAAAAAAAAAAATTGTTCAGATGCGGTGGTGCACACCTGCAATCCCAACAACTTGGGAGGCTAAGGCCAGTGGATCGCTCGAGCCCAGAAATTCAAGGCTGCAGTGAGCTGTGATTGCACCACTGTAGTCCAGGCTGGGTGATAGAGTGAGACTCTGTCCCTATTTTAAAAAATAATCAGAAGAAAAGGAGGAGGAGGAGAAGAAAGGGAGAAGGAGAAGAAAGAGAGGAGGACGTGGAGGAGGAAGGGGAGGGGAGGGAGAGGGGTAGGAGGAAGATGAAACGAAGAATACTTTTCATGGGCTTACTAGTAGACTGGACATGGCTGAGGGAAGAATCTCTGAGCTTGAGGATATATCATAGGATCCTGCAAAATTGAAAAGCAAAGAGAAAAAAGAGTGGAGGGAAACAAGCAGAAGAGAATATCCAACTGGGACAACTACAAAATGTTAACATAGGTGTCATGGAAATACCAGCAAGAGAAGAAAGACAAATGAAAAAATTGAAACAATAATTACCGAGAATTTCTCCAAATTGATATCAGAAATTAAATCTCAGATCCTAGAAGCTCAGACCACTCCGAGTATGATAAATGCCAGAAAAAGTACACGTAGGCATATTATTTTCAAACTACAGAAAATCAAATATACAATGAGAACACACGGACAAGGCAGGAGAAAAATACACACTGGGGTCTGTCACGGGGTGGGCTGGGGAGTGAGGGAGCGTTAGGAAAAATAGTTAATGCACGCTGGGCTTAATACCTAGGTGCTGCGTTGATAGGTGCGGAAAATCACCATGACACACGTTGACCTATGTTACAAACTGCACACCCGGAACATGCATCCTGGAACTTAAAAATTTTAAAAATATATATATAAAGAAAAAAATCCTTATAAAAGCTGAAGGGAGAGCCTTACCTATAGAGGAGTAAAGATTAAAATTACATCCAATTTCTCTTCAGCCCATACAAGAAAGAGGAGAATGAAGTGAAATATTTAAAGTGTTGAGAGAAAAAAATTCACCAACCTAGAATTCTGCACCCTATGAAAGTATCCTTCAAAAGTGGAGGAGAAATAAAGACTGACTCAGATAAAAGTTAAAAGCATTTGTTATCAGTAGACTTGCTTTGCAAGAATTGTTTAAGGAGGTTCTTCAAAGAGAATGAAAATTATATAGGTCAGAAATCTGTGTCTACCTAAAGAAAGGAAGAGCATCAGGGAAGGAATAAATGGAGATAAATAAAAGCATTCATTTTTCTTATTCTTAATTGATCTAACAGATTACAGTTTAAAATAATAAGATAAACAAAGCATTTTACCATCTGTGCACATGTGTATGTTATACATATGTTATATACATTTTTATGAATATATGATATAGTGACAACAATAATAAACGGGATAGAAAGAAGACATCAGAATTGTGTTATTATTAGAAGATACTTGCACTACCTGTGAAATCATATAATGTTATTTGAAATGGATTTGGATTAGTTATAAATGTATATTTCAAAACTCTAAGAAAACTACTAAAAATATTTTTAAAGTAGAATTGATATGCCAAGAAATAAGAGAACATGGAAGTATATAAAATGCTTACTTAAAAGCACCAAAGGCATAAAAAGAATGAAAGACAAAAATAGAAATAAAGAACAAAAGCAACAAACAAAAAACCGTAACAAATTTGGTTTATATTAATATCAGTGTATCATAAATTACTTTGAACATCAGTATTTTTAATGCATGAATTAAAATACAGAGATCATTAGAAAGGATTAAAAAATAAGACCTGGATAAAGTGTTTTCTTTTTTTTCTTTTTTTTTTTTTTTTTAGACAGAGTCTCGCTCTGTTGCCCAGGCTGGAGTGCAGTGGCGCAATCTCGGCTCACTGCAAGCTCCACCTCCCGGGTTCATGCCATTCTCCTGCCTCAGCCTCCCTAGTAGCTGGGACTACAGGTGCCCGCCACCACGCCCAGCTCATTTTTGTGTGTGTTTTTAGTAGAGACGGGGTTTCACCATGTTAGCCAGGATGGTCTCAATCTCCTGACCTCGTGATCTTCTGCCTCGGCCTCCCAAACTGCGGATAAAGTGTTTTCTAACAAGAAAATCACTGTAAATATAAAGACATATATAAATTAAAAAGTAAATGAATGGAGAAATATATACCATACTAAAACTATTCAAAAGAAAGCGGAAGAAAGAGGTAGCAAAGTGGTTAATACTCACAATACCTTGGCTCTTGGAAAAATTTCTGATTTATTTGTATAGAAAGTTCCACCTCTGTAGCACGTGCATAGTGTTTACTTAATGCCCTTTCCATCATCACTCATGTCGCTTTATCATCTGTGACCATATTCCCAGAGGCTCTCTCACTGGTTGCTATGGTGCTTCACTGATGATAACCACATATGCAAGTCTTGCCCAGAGTATGCAGGATAATGCCAAGAAAAGCTTGCTTTGTTTGGAATTTTATAGCATAAACATACAATAAAACCTCTTCCAACCATATCACCTTTTGACCTTTTAAGGCCATGATCTCTGCTTTTCTAGAATGAAATCTCTTTCAATGTTGACCTTCACATTCCAGCACCAGCAGGAAGCACAGGTGAGGACTCTCTGAGTAGCATTAGAAGAGTAGCCGCACTGTGAAAATAATATTCATTCCTCAGCTGGTGAAACCAATGACCAGAACCAGAAAACCAGAAAACTGATGCATCCATTGGAGACAAGGGAGTACATATCCTAGAATGACCCATTGAGACTGCAGAGCAACTGTGTCAAAAACGCTTGGATGAGACACGTGCCTGTCTTATTAGGACATATTACAGCCCTATTATTAGGACATATTAAAGCCCTATTTTACCAACCTCCTTTTTTTCTCTCTTTTTCCCTTTCCCAGATTTTGCCCCAAATTCTTAGTTATTACATTTCTTGTACAGATCAAAAAATGTAAAGAACTCTATTTTTACTTGACTACTTGACACCTGCTTTCTCTCTCTCTCTTTCTCTCTCTCTCTTTCTCCTATCTCTGTATCTCTCTCTCTCTCTCTCCTTCTTGCTCTCTCTCCACTTTTGCATTCTGATATCCTTCACTCAATTCGACATAATATCCACACACACACTTAGGGTATATGTCTCCCAAAGACAGTGAGGAACTTTAAATAAGAAACCAGTTTCAGTGGCTGGGTGCAATGGTTCATGCCTGTAATCCCAGCACTCTGGGAGACCAAGGCCAGCAGATAAAGAGGTCAAGAGATCCAGGCCATCCTGGCCAACATGGTGAAAACCCATCTCTACTAAAAATACAAAAATTAGCTGGGCCTGGTGGCACGCGCCTGTGGTCCCAGCTACTCGCGAGGCTGAGGCAGGAGAATCACTTGAACCCGGGATGGGGAGGTTGCAGTGAGCCAAGATTGTGCCATTGCACTCCAGCCTGGTGACAGAGCAAGACTCCATCAAAACAAAAACAGAAACCAGTTTCTCTGAGACAAATAGTTTATTTTCCTTTGTTCATTTCTTCTAATTAAAAGGATAATATTTGTAAAACACTGGACACAGTACAGGATACATAGAAAAACTTCAATGCTTGGTGGCATTTATGACTATGATGTTATTCTTGCTTTTTCTTACACTAGGGGAAAATAAAATCTTTTTTGCCTGTCTGTTTAAGAAGAACCATGTGCATAAATGCCCAGACACATCCACGTGATGATCTCCACCTATCCACAGATAGAAAACACATTTCTAGGCACAGATAATGGGATAAAGTTCGTTACAATGGCTCATAAATGATCACATGAGCCTAAGCAAAAAGGAAGGGGAAAACAATAGCTAGTAGGTACAAAACACATATTTTCAGGTATTTTCACATACCTGAACCCTTACAACAGTCCTATGGAGATACACATTATTATCCCCAGCCCTTCTATTATATTTTATCACCACCAAACTGGCCATTAGGAGCTTAGAGGGCAGAACCTTCTGCAAAAGTTTTTATTTATGGCATTCTTCAGCTCCTTGTTCCTTAGACTGAAAATGATTGGGCTGAGGAAGGGGGTGAAGACAGTATAGGTGGTGGCCATCAAGGCATCACTGTACATAGAATGGAGGCCCTTGGGTTTGAGGTAGATAAGGGAGGCAAAACTATAGTGCATGACCACCACAGTGAGGTGGGATACACAAGTGGAGAAAGTCTTGTGCCGGCCCTCAGCAGAAGGAATCCTCAAGATGGCAGCCACAATGAAGACAAAGGAGAGGATGATGAGGAACAAACAGCCTATCAGGGCTGTGACACACACCAGCATCACACCCATGATGACAGATGATGTCTTGCTCCCACAGGCCAACTTCAAGAGGGAAAGCACATGACAGAGAAAATGGTGGATCACATTAGACCCACAGAAAGTGAGGTGAAAAACCATCATTGTCACCATCATCCCCATGACCGAGCCACCAGCCCAGGTCCAGGCCACAAGATGGGCACAGCCACGGGGACTCATTAGCATGTTGTAATGCAGTGGGTGGCAGATGGTCACGTAGTGATCATAGCCCATGACCATGAGAAGGAAGGAGTGAGTGAAGCCAAACATGAAGGAGAAGAACATCTGAATGGCACAAGCCACAAAGGTGATGGAACGATGGGTGAAGAGCAGATCAGCCAGCATGCGAGGGGTGATGGCAACAGTGAACAGAATCTCAGAGATGGAGAGGGCACACAAGAAGAGGTACATGGGTGTGTGGAGTCTGCGTTCAATCCAAACTGTGGCCATGATAAGAAGGTTGCCAAGCAATGTGAACAGGAACATCAGGAGGTACAGCAGGAACAAGACAGGCAGGAGCTGCTGGGGGAAGGCTGAGAAGCCAGAGAGGATAAATTCAGATATGGTTCTGTAGTTCTGACCAGGCATGGATACTGTATCTGGTGAGATCAGAAACAAAATTAAGTGACAGTGGTTAAAACTTAGACTCTAGCACAGACCAAATGGAAACCCAACAGCTCTATGCTATTCAACAACTGGTGGAACTTTCTGGGTCTCACTTTCCTCATCTGTTAAATGGAGTAAATAATAATAGTTCTTAACATTCAGCAATGTGACAAAGATCAAACGAGATCAATATATTAGATGACCAAGTCAGATGTTGGCTACTAATTGGGTTTCCATTAACACTGACTAACATAAAGAAAAGTTTCAATACTTGGAGCCATTAGAGACAGGCATGGATGATCAGGGTCAGATTCCCCTGAAAATGTGCCAGTTCTAGAAAACATTTATTTTGATCTTGAGCCTTAAATTTTTGTTCCCCAAGAGTCTTTGTCTTTTAATTGCTTATTTAACCCGTTTACATTTATTTTAATACTCATTTATTGATACTCATTTATGCCATCTTATTTCAAATTACACATTTACTATTCTAATAAATCTGAATAGAAAATTCAAAAATAAAAGGATGGGTAAATATATGTCTGAAGAATATGCACCAAATGAAAGCTGAGGCTGCAACCTTAATAAAAAAGTGGAATTTAAGGAAACAATGATCGCAAGGTCTCTAATACAATACACCTCTACAGGGAAGTAGAGTTCCTTAACACATGGCTGATCTGTGGTCTGGACATGGAAGAAAGCCTTGGACATCTTCTACCAGTGTAAAATGAAATTTTCACTAAGTAATGGGATAATATTAAAAGCCTGCAGGTACCAGATTGAAAAGATGCCCACTAGTCAAAAACAATAATCATTGTACAGAAGATGGAGGAACAAGCTAAATTATATAATGAGAAAGCTTTCAGAAAAATCCAGAAGGTGGATAATTCCACAGAACAATTGGTCTGGTTTCACTGATAGAGGTATATTGAAAGGATAAGAGAGATTCCAGGACATAGTAACTGGATGCAACATAGGGGACTAGTTGAATCTTGATCTACATAACCAGCTGTAAGTATTTTAAGGCAATAGAGAACATTTTGATTACAGTATGAATGAATGATTACGTATGAGTAATATTAAAGCATTATTATTGATCTAATTGTGAATTTTTTAGAGACAAGGTCTCACTCTGCCCCCTAGGTTACAGTGCAGTAGTAGGATCATGACTCACTGCATCCTGGAACTCCTGGGCTCAAGTTATGCTTCTTCTCAGTCTCCTAAATAGCTGGACTACAGATGTGTGCCACCTCACCTGTCTAATTAAACATTTTTTTTTTTTTTTTGTAGAGACAGGGCTTTGCTTTGTTGCCCAAACTGGTCTCTAATTCCTGGCCTCAAGCAATCTTCCTGTCTCAGCCTCCCAAAGTGGTGGGATTATACACATGAGCCACCATGCTCAGCTAATTATTTTTGTAAGTGTTATCTGGTTATTTTGACTATGAAGGTAAATGTTTAGTTTTTCAATGCATACCAAGATTTTTACATCTCACACACACACACATGCACACACACTAAGGGACAGAGAATAACATTTATACCCATTAAAAGAACATAGCAAACAGCATCAATACTATAAATCCATGTAACTATATATCCTGGAATATTCATTAACAAATAATCAATACAACTTCAGTGAGATAGATAGAAATAGCCAAATCGACGGCAGATTGATTATTTTTTTTTTGAGACGGAGTCTTGCTCTGTCACCCAGGCTGGAGTGCAATGGTTCAATCTCGGCTCACTGCAACCTCCCCTTCCCAGGTTCAACTGATTCTCCTGCCTCAGCCTCCCTAATAGCTGGGATTACAGGCGCGTGCCACCACGCCTGGCTAATTTTTGTATTTTTAGTAGAGGCAGGGTTTCACCATGTTGGCCAGGCTGGTCTCAAACTTCTGACCTCAGGTGATCCGCCCACCTCAGCCTCCCAAAGTGCTGGGATTACAGGTGTGAGCCACCACACCTGGCAGATAGATTATTATAGTTAGAAATTTTAACAGAGTTCAGAAATGCAATTTATTAATTATTAATTACAAAGCAATTAATAATATCCAGACATTAGCTATTATATATATTAGACTCTTCACCAAAAAGAAAATTAACACTCTTTCAACCACTCAGCGACTTTTACAAAAATGGACATTTCATTAGAATATAAAAATTTATTTAATTCCAAAGCATAATAATATGATATAGATTATAATGAATTAACATTAAAAATCAATAGGGAAGAAATAGCTTTACAAATCTCATGTGTTTGGAAGATAACTATATAATTAAATAATCTACAGTTTCAACAGTAAATCATAAAATGGAGGAATATTTAGAATTAAATGATAATTTAAATATTGAATGTCAACATTTTAACCTAAAATAGTACTTTGAAGGAAATATACAGCTCAAAATACCTTTATCAAAAAACTGCCTCAAGAAAAAAATCATGCATAATAAAATCAAAATCAAGTTATTGGAAAAAATTAATAAGATAAACAAGGAGAAGGTACCAATAACAGAACCCAAAATTACAAATGGGAAATAATTACAGAGATAATTGATATTTTTAAATTAATAAAAATAGTAAAAGAAATAACAAATTTACATTGTAGATGAAATGAACAAGTACTTAGAAAAATATAAAATTCCAAAACTGGTGCAAGAAAAAAGGGGATGCTATATGCTCAAATAAGCTTTAAAGAAATTGAAACGGTAGTCAAAGATCGTCTCTCTAAAATCTTTGCCCCAGTGGGTTTTATTAAAGTGCGGTAAGTACTATTAAACTGTTAAAAAAAAAAACAGTTGGTTAGAATCTTACACATGATCTTCAAAAAAATAGAAAAGAGTTAGGAAATCTGACAAACACATCTCCTCAAGTTAATGCAATCTTTGTCTAAAATCAGGCAAGAATCTTCACCGAGAAAAAGAGACAATTATAGGCCTACTTCACCTATCCAGGCAGATTTAAAATTCCAGAATAAAACATAACCTATTCAAATCTAATGGTGTATTAAAAATAGTTTACCATGATCAAGTGGCATTGGTTTATTCCATAAATGACAAGATTGGTTAACATCAGAAAACCTATCATACAATTTATCACAGGAATCGATTTAAAAAGAAAAATCATGATTATTTCAATCAAGGCATAAATACATTCTCTAAAACCCTACTCCTATTATGATTTAAAAAAAAACACTTCACAACACAAAATCCAAGGAGACTTTCTTAACTAGATATAGAATATATAGCACAAATTAGCAAATACAACACTGAAGAAGAAACTTTTCCATGCATCACTTTAGAGTCAAGAAAAAGCCAAGGATACTCACTAATTCCGCTGTTCTTTAACATGGAGCTGAAATTCGTGAGTGATGGTATAAGGTAAGGGAAAGAAACAAGTTATCTAAGGTATCTAAGGACTGGAAGGGAAGAGACGTGATCATCTACCTAGAAAAGATGAAAGAATGATGACATCATGTATTAGAACAGCAACAGAGCCCAGTGATGCAGAAGGCAAGGTCAGCTGGCAAAAACCCCAGTGATCCTCCTAGTATCACACCAGTAACAAGCATTCAAGAAGTATAATCTGAATACAGAGAAAGAGAACAGTCCCAATAGCAACACAAACTATTAATATAAAGAAACATCGCTCAGGATCCCTTTACACCTCAAAGTTACTAAGCACTCTAAAGGGCTTTTGTTTATGTGGTTTAGAACTATCCATTTTTACCATATTGGAAATGAAAATTGAAAATTATTAAAAATATTTAGTTATTAGTATATTTAAAAAAGCATGCCCAGGCACGGTGGCTCACGCCTGTAATCCCAGCACCTTGGGAGGCCGAAGTTTGTGGATCACTTGAGGTCAGGAGTTTGAGACCAGCCTGGCCAACATGGTGAAACCAGGTCTCTACAAAAAATACAAAAATTAGCTGGGCATGGGGGCACGCGCCTGTAATCCCATCCACTTGGGAGGCTGAGCCAGAGAATCACTTGAACCCGGGAGGCGGAGATTGCAGTGAGCCGAGATCATGCCACCGCACTCCAGCCTGGGCAACAGAGTGAGACTTCGTCTCAAAAAAAAATTTCTAAAGAGCAATAGTAAGTCTATTGAATGCTAATATGGGAAACATTTTCAGGCAAATAATCACATTAGGAAAAAAGCATTTCATGAGAAGAGTGGCCTTGTTTGACATTTTAGCCAATACCTCATATGTCCTAGCTTGGCAGGAAACAGCTTGATGGTTTCATCTGCCTCTTCATTCAGTCTGTGGCAATATATTGAAGCATATGATGAAAATATATTCTCACATGTAAATTTGAAAAATAAGGATTTCAGGGACCACTCTGCAGAGGTCCTCATGTCACACTTTGAAAAAATCTGCTATAAAATATCTAGGAATTAACCAAAAACATGACATAGCTCCAAAGAAAAAATTTTAAATACATACTAATAAAAATGTAGAAGATGATCTGAACACATGGGGAGCAGTATAGAGTCTTGGCTGGGATGGCCTGATGTGCTAATGGTGTCAATTCATCCTCAAATTATAACCTCAATACTTAATAATACTCAATAATATAATATTGTATTATATTTACAATTCCAGTGAATCAACTGTAAATTTGATAAAACTATTTGAAAATTCCTTCAGAAAAATAAATATCAGGCCAGGCACGGTGGCTCACACCTGTAATTTCAGAACTTTGGGAGGCCGAGCTGGGCAGAACACTTGAGGTCAGGAATTCAAGACCAGCCGGAGCAACATGGCGAAAGCCCGTCTCTACTAAATATACAAAAATTAGCCAGGTGTGATGGCCCACTTGTAATCCCAGCCACTTGGGAGGCTGAGGCACAAGAATTGCTTGAACCTGGGAGGCGGAGGTTGCAGTGTGCTGCCTGGGTGACAGAGTGAGACTCTGTCTAAAATAAATAAATAAATAAATAAATAAATATGGAATCAAGGGAAGAGCTGTTCCCTCCCACGCGCTGAGACACACAATAGAGTCATAGTCATTTTTAAAATTATGAAACGTGGAACAGACCTAGGTCTGGGTAAGTCGATTGGAAATCTCAGAAAATAACCCTGCATTATTCAAAACCTAATATAGTACACGATAAATGTACTGGCACAAATCAAGAGGAGAAGGTAGGTTGTTCACCCATTGTAGTGAGAAAACTGCTCATTTTATGAAGCAAGTCAATCCGAATTTCTGCCAAACTCTACATACAAAGGAGGATCCAGATGCATTCAAGAAATAAATACCAAATATCAAGGTGTAAATTTAAGAGAAGAAAGTATAGGAGAATAACTTTGTGATCTAGGCTTGAGGAAAGACTTCCTAAACAAAATTTCCAAAGCACAATCATTAAGATGATTTTTAAAACATTAAAAAAATCAACATTGAGGATTTCCATTCAACAAAGGATTTCCAGGATGAAGTTAACAGGCAGATGGGAAATGGGGAAAAATTATTTGCATTGTCTAAAACCGACAGGAGCACATCCAGTGGTGTGGGGAATTTCTTAAAAACTGACAAGAGAGTTATATCTAGAACAAACAAGGAACCAGTTATATCAAGAAGAAGTAGGTATCTTAATGCAAAAACGAGCAAAAGATGTGAGAAGATAATGCACAGGAATTACTCAGGCAGATGAAAGGATGCTCGAAAAAAAAGAAAAAAGAAAAAGAAAACAAAAAGGAAAAGAATGGAGGGAAGGGGAAAATGAAAGAGAGAGTGGAATTTCACTGTATACCTATGCAATTCCCAAAATTATAAAATGTCCAGTATTGGTTGGGCTATGAGGAGAAAGAAATATTTACGCACTATAGGCTGGGCGCGGAGGCTCACGCCTATAACCCCAGCACTTTGGGAGGCCGAGGGAGGAGGATCACATGAGGCCAGGAGTTTAAAACCAGCTATGCCAACATGGCAAAACCCTGTCTCTACCAAAAAGACAGAAATCAGCCAGGCTGGAGGTACACATCTGTAATCCCAGCTACTTGGGAAGCTAAGGCATAACAATCACTTGAACCCCTGGAGGTGGAAGTTTCAGTGAGCTGAGATGCCGCCACTGCACTCCAGCCTGGGCCACAGAGTAAGACTCCATCAGAGGAAGAGGAAGAGGAAGAAGAAGAAGCAGAAGGAGAAGGAGAAGGAGGGGAAGGGGAAGGGGAAATACTTACATACTATTAGTGGGCATGTAGAATGTTGGAAATTAAAATTTTTAATGGGATTCATGCTCTGTGTACCAGCAAATTTGCTACTGTATATCTATCTTGACTTCTGAAACCTGTTTATAGGGGGACATGTAAAAGAATGTTTCCTGCAGCAGTTATTTTAGTGGGGGTGATGGATAAGCCTGCTTGTCCCTAACTGGGGAGAAGGCAGGTAAAAGTATATAGAGGCAAACAACGGATATAGAGGCAAAAGGATATAGAGCTTTTGTCACGAGTTAGATGCACACATAGTAATATAAATGAACTTTTAAAATAATATTGAGTGAAAAAAACAAAAAAACAGAATGAACTCTTGTGGACACATTAAGAATATATGTACATAAAACTATTCTGAATGATATAGTAATAATGAACCCATGTCATTTGTCAAAATCCATATACACAATGCAAAGAGCATAACCTAATACAAACTATGAAATTTAGTTAATAACAATGCATCAATATTGGTTCATCGAGTGTAACACAGGTGATACAGAAATGCAAGATGTCAATAATAGGAGAGACAATCCCACATGCAGGGGTGAAGCGTATGTGAGAACTCTCTATACTTTCTGATCAATATTTCTATAAAGTTAAAACTGCTCTAATAAAATTAAGTCCATTAATTTACCATTTTAAAATAGTCACATTAAATTTTGTGCAGACAGAAAGCAATGTGTTTCTTACAAGAACATATACAAATCAAAAAGTGCATACTAAGTGTGTGAAAATGCCTGTCAAAGAACGGAAACAAAGTGAAACAAATGAAATAAGAGAAGGATCTTTCGCAAATCAATGTTAATCAAAAGCCACAAACTGAAAATATCATGGACTCAAACCTTTGCACCTGAATTCTACCATAAAAGAAACAAATATTTTTATGAATAATGTGAGCCACATTGCTACAAGAGTTTCTGAAATCTTTCTTTCTGGATGGGCCCATTCATCATTACATCCCCCTAGCAGTCTCACTAGGATATTGTCTGAAGTATCCCCTGACCAAAGCAGGAGTCAGTCAGGCGCTTGGAGAACACAGAATCACCCGGACAGTGAGGAACTTTACTGGAGTGAGGATGACGTATCCCACATGAAAAGACCACACTTATGACACGGAAGGAAAGTCTTCTGACCACGAAGCTGCCCTACCCAGAAACCATACTCCAGCATCAGCCATCTTCCTTCCCCATCCCTCCCATTGCTGGGCGCCCTCTCTCCTACTAAGCACTTCTCCATCTGCTCCCTTCCTCTCCATCCCCTCTCCTGGGCCACTGCCCCATCCTCCTCATCTCCTCTCCTCTGCACACACTCCACTCTGGCTTCCAGAGAGAATTTCCTGAAATGTTTACAAGTTGTGGAGGCATCAGACTCAGGGTGGAAACCCCAGCCATCACTGTGTGTCTTTGGAGAAACGACTTTGCAGCTTCGAGGCTACTCTCCCCAAGTGAAAAACAGGAGTAACCAGAGCACTGTGAGAGTCCACCTTGCAAAAGTCATTGTCATTGACTGATAATGATTTTGGTCTTCTGAGCTGGTTTGTTTGTGTTGTTCTGTTACAAATGTCACTTGCTGACCCCATTCTAGGCTAATTCTCTGACCCCAGCAGGGTCCTTAGGATTTCTGGCAATGACACAACACAGTGTCTGATCCAACCAAGAGTCTCATCTAACCTTCCCCCTCTCCTCAAGCCCCTGTCTCACCCCTACAGTCCAACATCCCACCTCCTGCTTACTGGAGCAGCCACAGCTCTCAAGGCCCGGCTTCCCCATCTCCTCTGACAAGTGGACAGAATTCTGCCTACTCTGGTATCATTGCAGATGGCTCATACATACAGGCTGAGCAAACATCTCACAGCACTGGAGTGCATCCTGCCCTCCCACAGAGCCTTGCCCCCAGGTTAGCAGGGGCACAACAGTGAAGACAAAATATACCTAGAACAGCGTTTCTCAGTCTCAGCACTAGTGAGGTTTGGGACGGATCATTCTTTGTGCTGGGAGCTGTCCTATGCATTGTCTGACATTTAGTGGCATGCTTGGCCTCAATCTCTTAGATGCTAGTAGGAAAATCCCCCCAACCCCCATACACAAGTCCTGACAACCAAACCGTCTCCAGGCACGACCAATTGACCCCTGAGGGCCAGAATCACGTCCAGTTGAGAACTGATATGAGTGCCTGGGCTCACTAAACAACCAGGCATCTTGAGTGGGCAAACACAGAAGGCCCCAGGAAGTCAACTAAAGTTGAGATCTCTCTCTTTTCCTCGTCTCCCCAGTTCTGCACCCCAACTCTAGGCTGGGCAGCTCCATCCACAGCTCTCTGACTCTGCCCTTATACCCTCCTCCTCTTGGTCCACCTCCACCTGGGGCTGCCTTCAATGAAGTGGCTCTAAGGAAAAGGCACAAAAAACACCCTTTTTAGGTGTTTTCACAGGACACCTGCAGGCAAGTGTAGGAGCCAGACCCAGGGCCTCCTTGAACTGGTGCTGTGAGCTTTATTCCTGCAGTGACCTTCCCAGCAGGTCATTCCCATGGGCCTCTACAGGAAACCACGCTGGAAAGGCTGTCCTCTGGGTCTGGAGAGGCCAGGAAGAGCCTCAGGGAGCATTCAGGAACCTGCAGCCTCCACCTCTTCCTCCAGCACACAGGGCTCACTGCTACCTCTCTGCCCAGGGAGATTTTAGCTCATGCAAAGGATGGGAAGATTCCAGTCTCAAAGGAGACAGGGATGGAGAATTCTGGTTAAAGATTGATAAGGAAGGGCCATACTGAGGGATAGCCAACCTCTCCTTCCATCACAGCTGGGAACACGGTTTTTAAGATTTCTCTGGGGTTCTTATGTTCAAGAGGGTGTCTGTTCAGTTGGTTGGGGGCCTTAGGATTTTATTTTTATTTCTCAAAATCCAACAGACCTAATGGTGCTCTGAGCAACTGGAAAATGAGGATGTTGTGTAAAACCTTGCAGAGCTCAATAGGAGATCCACAGTGGAAATGTTTAATATGTTAGAGCAAGAAATCACTATTCTTTCCTGGGACAATAAGGCTTCACTCACTTCTGAGCCCCATTAAGGACACAACCCAATATGCTTATCCTGGACTAGGCACGTTCTGTTCACAAAGCCATAAAATTAGATGCACAATCCAATTTGTCAGCAAGTACAAGTAGTATATAGCAAACTAGGCTCGAGGCAGTCTTTTTTTTTTTTTTTTTTTTCTGAGACAGGGTCTCATTCTGTCACCCAGGTTGGATTGCAGTAATGTGATCACAGCTCACTGCAGCCTCAATCTCCTGGGCTCAAGTGATCCTCCTGCCTCAGCCTCCTGAGTATCTGGGACTAGAGGCTAGTGCAAACATGCCCAGCTAATATTTTGTATTTTTTTTTTTGTAAAATTGGGGTTTCCCTGTGTTGCCAAGGCTGGTCTCAAACTCCTGGACTTAAGTTAACCTTCCACCTAAGCCTCCCAAGTAGCTAAGATTGCAGGCATGAGCCACCATGCCCACTTTCCACAGCTTGTATAGAGAAATCTCTTTCTAGAACTCAATCTCCCTCAAAACCTTTGAGAAATTAAAAATAATAAGCAATTTTTGCTGGCACACTTGTCTTTTTACCTGTTACACAGTTTTAGAAATGAAGAGATGATCTATGAAGGGTGCTGGACATAGTATACAGCTCAACATACAGTAGACACTCATACAGTGGCTACCATTATTATTTTACTATTGCTGTGCAACAGCATGGGAAGCAACCTAGTAGCTGGGAATGAAGTGTGTTTACTAATTCAGTATGAATGATGTGTCTGCCTAGGGCCATGTGTGTGTGTGATGATTATTTCCTCATCCTCACAAACTTATATAATCACAGACATAGGTCACTGATGGAAGTTCACAGACAGGATTCATTCAACCACACTGAACCCAGCCAAAACTAAGATTAGGCCCCTACCTCACACCATACACAAAGTTTGACACTCAAAATATATCAAAAACCCAAATGTAAGAGCTAAAACTACAAAACTCTTATGAGGCAACGTAGATGTTCATGACCTTAGATAAAGCAATACAATGTTTTTTTAGATGTGACACCAAAAGCACAAGCAACAACAAAAAAAAATAGGTACACTGATGTTATCAAAATGTAAATCTATTGTGCTACAGAAAGACACCAAAAAGACCATGAAAACACAACCCACAAACTATAAGGAAATAACTGAAAATCACAGATCAGATAAAAGAGTCTTAACTAAAAATATAAAGCATTCTTACAACTTAACAACAAAAATACAAACAACCCAATTGGAAAATGGGTGGAGTATCTCAATAGCTATTTCTCCAAGAACATATCTAAATAGCCAATAAGCACATGATGAGATGTTCAACATCCTTACTCACTAGGGAAATGCAGATCAAAACCACAATGAGATACCACTTCACACCCACGAAGATGGCTGTGATCAAAAAGACAGTAACAAGTATTGGTGAGGTTGCAGAGACCTAGACCCCTGCAGCATTGCTGGTGGGAATGTAAAATGGTGCATAGACTTTAGGAAACAGCTTGGAAGTTCCTAAAAAAATAAACATAGAAATACCACTTGACCCAGCAATTTCACTCCTAGGTATATATCCCAAGGAAATGAAAGCATATATTGCAACACTTGTACTGATCACTCATAGCAGTATTACTCAAAATAGCAAAAATTAGAAACACTGAAATGTCCATCAATGACAAATGGGTAAATAAAATGTAGTGTTTCCATACAATGGAATATTATTTGGCAATCAAAATGATATACTGGCTGGGCACGGTGGTTCATGCCTGAAATCCCAGCACTTTAGGAGGCCGAGGTGGGTGGAGTGTTTGAGGTCAGGTGTTCAAGACCAGCCTGGCCAACATGGTGAAACCCCGTCTCTACTGAAATACAAAAATTAGCCAGGCATGGTGGCAGGCATCTGTAATCCCAGCTATTTGGAAGGCTGAGGCAAGAGAATCACTTGAACCTGGGATGCGAAGGTTGCAGTGAGCCAAGATCATGCCACTGCACTCCAGCCTAGGTGACAGGGTGAGACTCTGTCTTGAAAAAAAAAAAAGATGATGTACTGATACAAGCTACAATGTAGGAGAACTTCAAAAACATTATGCTCAGTGAAACAATTCATCTGAAAATAAAAGAATTATATTTACAGTTGTCCATTGATGTGAAACGTCCAGAAAAAGCAACTCTAACCAGACAGAAAGATTAGTGGCTCCCTAGGGCTGGAGGGCATGGAGATTTGGAGGAAACAGAGAGTGACTGATAATGAGTATGGGTTGTTTGTTTGTTTGAGACAAGGTTTGGCTCTGTTGCCCAAGTCAGAGTTCAGTGGTGATCATGGCTCACTGCAGCCTCGAACTCCTGGATGCAAGCAATCCTCCCACATCAGCCTCTGGAGTAGCTGGGGCTACAGGAATGTGCCACCCCATTTAGCTAATTATCAGAATTTTTGTGTGTGTCAGGAAGGGGAACATCACAGACTGGGGCCTGTTGTGGGGTAGGGGGAGTGGGGAGGGATAGCATTAGGAGATATACCTAATGTTAAATGACAAGTTAATGGGTGCAGCACACCAACATGGCACATGTATATGTATGTAACTAACCTGTACGTAGTGCATATGTACCCTAAAACTTAAAGTGTAATAAATTAAAAAAAAAAGAACTTGTGTGTGTGTATGTGTTTGTGTGTGTGTGTAGATGGCATCTCACTATGTTGTCCAGACCGATCGTGAATTCCTGACATCAAACAATTCTCCCACTCAGCCTTCCAAAGCACTAGGATTTGGGTTTCTTTTTTGGATGACTAAAATACTCTAAGCCAGATTGTCATGATGGTTGCATAACTCTGAATACGCAAAAACCACAGAAATGTGCGCTCTAATGGGTACATTGTATGGTAGGTGAATTACATCTTAATAAAGCTACTATAACTCAAAAATTAAAACTCAGATAAAGACATACAGATCAAGAGTTGTGGAAGTAAACATGCTTTTAACATTTACTGAGCACCTACTATGTGATGAGTGTTGTCATATACAGAAATCTTTACACCTGCCTTACAAGGTAAGCATTACTAGCCACACTGTGCAGACAAGGTGATGGTCATCCTCCTATCATATTCTATCAGCACTTCCACACCAGCTACTCAGGTGCCTGAGGAATAGAGTGTGCTGAGGAAGGTCCTCTTCATGGCAACCTTCAGTTCTTTGTTCCTGAGGCTGAAGATGATGGGGCTGAGGAAGGGCGTGAGGACTGCGTAGGTGGTGGCCATCAGGGTGTCACCCTCCTGAGAGTGGGGACCTTTGGGCTTGAGGTAGATGACAGAGGCAAAGCCATAGTGCACAATGACCACAATAAGGTGAGAGGCACAGGTGGAGAAGGCCTTGTTCCGACCTTCAGCAGAAGGGATCTTCAAGATGTCGGCCACGATGAAGGCATAGGAGAGGAGGATGAGGAGAAAACAGCCCAGCAGTGCCATGATACATACCAAGCCCACGCCCAGGGCCACAGCTGGTACATTATTTCCACAGGCCAACTTCAACAGAGGTGGCACATGACATAAAAAATGCTGGATCTCATGGGATCCACAGAAAGTCAGTTGGAAAATGGCCGAGGTCACCACCATCCCCATGACCGAGCCACCAGCCCAGGAGCAGCCCACCAGGCAGGCGCAGCCCCGTGGGCTCATGAGCACGTTGTAGCGCAGGGGGTGGCAGATGGCCACGTAGCGGTCGTAGCCCATGACGGTGAGCAGGAAGGAGTGGGTGAAGCCGAAGCTGAAGGAGAAGAACATCTGACTGGCACAGGCCAGGAAGGCGATGGAGCGCTGGGTGGACAGCAGGTCGGCCAGCATGCGCGGGATGATGGCCACGGTGTAGAGGATCTCGGAGACTGAGAGGACGCACAGGAAGAGGTACATGGGCGTGTGGAGGCTGCGCTCGCTCCAGACGGTGGCCATGATGAGCAGGTTGCCCAGCAGCGTGAACAGGTACATCAGCAGGAACAGCAGGAAGAGCATCAGTTGGAGGTGGGGGAAGGCAGAGAAGCCGACGAGGATGAATTCAGACATGGAGGTGTGGTTTAGCCCCAGCATGACGGCCACCCCTAGTTGGGGAAGAGAGGAAAGAAGACCCAGTGGTTAGGAGCATGGGGGTGTCTAGTGATTCCTGCCTGGGAGGACATCTGAGAGCGCCTCCTTCATCTGTCCAAGCCATGGTTACTCCATCTGCAGAAAGGCATTAATAATAATGTATTGAGGTTTAAATAAGATCACTCACCTTAAGTGCTTTGTGCAGGTCCTGACACAAAGTAAGAATTTAATAAATTATAAATGTTGATAGTAATAATTATTCTGCTATTGTTATTGCCATCACGATTATTAGATCCATGCACCACCACCTACACCTTGCTTTTCTGCCTTTGTTCATGCTGGTCTTTTCATGCTTTTCCCTATCTTTATGGGTCCAAATCCTACCTGAATTTTATGAGCAAGCTGCTCCCTGATTGCCACCTTCAGCTGGAAGTCATCTCTTCCCTATGTCATGGAAACGTCCAGACTCTGTTTAATTCTCGGCACCACTGCTTTCTAGCTGTGAGATGCAGGGCAGGTTGCTTCCCCTCTCTGAGCCTCATTGCTCCCCTGGAAAATTGAAACCACCTTTGCAAAATTATGACTGAGACAGCGAAAGAGATCTAACTTAACCAACTCCATCTTGCTTCTAACCTCCAAGCTGTCCTTGTTCATTCCAGGACATAGGGTGAACTAACTTTGGGGGAAATTTAGTTTATAGTTTATAGTTTATAGTTTGGAACAAGGACGATAACAGCCCTTTCCCAAAGCAGACCTCCTTCTTGTCTGGGGATTAGATTGCCTTTGTAGAACTAACATTAGCCACAAGATTAGAAATTATGGTTTAGGAGTCATGCAGCTGGAGGCTACAAGATTCTGACCCTCCCTAAATTGCTCCCAAGATCAGTGCTTGAGATATTTTGCAGATCCTGCACTTGATGGATCAGCTGGCACCACCCAGGTCGATAAACTGGCTCAACTGATCTTGTGGCCCCCACCCAGGAACTGACTCTCCGCAAGAAGACAGCTTTGATTTCATCTCTGACCAATCAGCACTGCTGGCTCACTGGCTTCCCCTCCACCCACCAAGTTGTCCTTAAAAACTCTGCTCCCCAAGTGCTCAGGGAGACTGATTTGAGTAATAATAAAACTCCAGTCCCCTGCAGAGCCAGCTCTGTGTGAATTACTCTTTCTCTATCACAATTCCGCTTTTTTTTTTTTTTTTCTTTGAGACAGAGTCTCACTCTGTCCCTGCTGGAATGCAGTGGCATGATCTCGGCTCACTGCAACCTCCGCCTCCTGGGTTCAAGCAATTCTCCTGCCTCCGCCTCCTGAGTAGCTGGGATTACAGGCCCGCATCACCACACCTGGCTAATTTTTGTATTTTTAGTAGAGATGGGGTTTAACCATGTTGCTCGGGCTGGTCTTGAACTTCTGAGTTCAAGTGATCAGCCTGCCTCAGCTTCCCAAAGTGCTGGGATTTATAGGTGTGAGCCACCATGCCCAGTCAAAAACTTCTTAGCAGAAAATGGTTATGGTCCACTGACCTCTAGGCTATGGGCCCAGCATGCTTCCACTACGTGACTCTGCTGGTCTCCTCCTCTTTTTGACCCCAACCCCAATCCTCCAATCCCAAACCTAACAGCAAAAACCTAGGCTATCAGCCATGGCTTCTCTCATCACCTTCCCTGAGTGGCCACAGAGTCAGATCTGCCCAATTTCTCTGCCAGGGCAGCTCTCCTCCCTGCACCAATAGGAGCCCTTCTACTTTATTTAGTTTATGGAAGTTCCCCAACAAACTAAACTAGGAGGCTGTGACTCCTCTCCCACTCTCTTTCTTGCCAGTCTGCAAACAGGCTAGATGCAAAATACAAAAGTTTATGTTACAATGCAAACTGGATCAATGAATGAATGGATAAACAAAATGTGGTCCGACCACACAATGAAATATTATGCAACCACGCAAAGATTGAATCAGTGATACATGCAACAGCGTGGATGCACTTTGAGAACATGAGGCTGAGTGAAGGAAGCCAGACACAAAAGGCCACATAGTATATAATTCCATTTATAAGAAATGTCCAGAATAGTTAAATCCACTGAGAAAGAAAGCAGATGTGTGGTTGTCAGGGAATGGGGCTAGCGTGGGATGGGGAATGACTGATGAATGGATATGAAGTTCTTTTTGGAATGGTGACAATGTCTTGTAACTAGAGGTAGTAGCTGCACAACATGTTAATGTACTAAATGCCACTGATTGTCCACTTTAAAATATTTAAAGGATAATTTCAGGTTAAATAAATTTAATCTAAATTTTTGAAAGCTCATGCCAGTTAAAACAGCTTTTATCTAAAAGATAGAAGACAATAAATAGCTTTGTCCAAAAGATAGAGAATCCAGGTGAGAACACAGAGAAAAGGGAATCCTCATACACTGTTGGTGGCGATGTAAATTAGTACAGCCACTATGGAGAACAGTATGGAAGTTTCCCAAAAACTAAAATAGAACTACCTTACAATCCAGCAATCTCACTGCTAGGCATATACCCTAAAGAAAGAAAATCATAATTTTATTTTTGAGACAGTCTCACTGTATTGCCCAGGCTGGAGTGCAATAGCATATTCTCACCTCACTACAACCTCCACCTCCTAGGTTCAAGAGATTCTCCTGCATCACCCTCCCACTTAGCTGGGATTACAGGTGCCTGCCACCACACCCAGCTAATTTTTGTATTTTTAGTAGAGAGGGGTTTCACCATTTTGGCCAGGCTGGTCTCAAACTCCTGACCTCAAGTGATCCACCCACTTCAGCCTCCCAAAGTGCTGGGATTACAGATGTGAGCCAGGAAATTAGTACATTGAAGAGATTTCTTCACTCATGCTTACTGCAGCACTATTCACAATAGCCCAGATTCGGAAGAAACCTAAGTGTCCATCAACAGAGAATTAGTTAAAGAAAATGTGGTACATATACACAATGGAGTATTACTCAGACACAAAAAAGGAATGAGATCCAGTCCTTTGCAACAAAATGAATGGAACTGGAGGTCATTATGTCAAGTGAAATAAGCCAGGCACAGAAAGACAGACTTTGCATGTTCTCATTCATTTGTGGTAGCCAAAAGTTAAAAGAATTGCTTTCAGGGACATAGAGAGCAGAAGGATGTTTATTAGAGGCTGGGAAGGGTAGTGCACATAGCTGGGGGGGAGTGGGGATGATTAATGCGTAAAAAAGTATAGTTAGACAGAATGAATAAGATCTAGTATTTGATATCACAACAGGGGGATTACAATCAACAATAATTTAATGTATATTTTATAAGAGCTAAATATAATTAGTTAATATAATAAGTATAGTTGGAGGCCGGGTGTGGTGGCTCATGCCTGTAATCTCAGCATTTTGGGAGGCCAAGGCGGGCAGATCACAAGGTCAAGAGATCGAGACCATCCTGGCCAACATAGTGAAACTCCGTCTCTGCTAAAAATACAAAAATTAGCTGGGTGTGGTGGCATGTGCCTGTAGTCCCAGCTACTCGGGAGGCTGAGGCAGGAGAATCACTTGAACCTGGGAGGTAGAGGTTGCAGTGAGCCAAGATCATGCCACTGCACTCCAGCCTGGGCGACAGAGCAAGACTCTGTCAAAAAAAAATTATATATATATATATATATATAATTGGAATGTTTGTAACACAAAGAAACAACAAATGCTTGAGGTGATGGTTGAGGTGATGGATCCTGTATTTACCCTGATGTAATTATTACTCATCGTATGCCTTTGTCCAAACAGCTCATGTACCCCATAAGTATACACACCTACTATATACCTATAAAAAATAAAAAGGAATAAAGCACTGACCCATGCAACACGGATCATGACCCATGCAAAATGAGGAGCCTTGAAAACACGATATTGAGTGGAAGAAGCCAGACAAAAGAGTCACATATATTCTGATCCCATTGCTATGAAATGTCCAGAACAGGCCAATCCATAGAGACAGAAAGCAGGTGTTGGTTGACAGGGGCTGGGAGGGGGGAATGGGGAGTGATTGCTCATGGGTACGGGTTTTTAAGGGTGGGGACAAAAATATTCTGAAACTAGATAGAGGTGGTGGTTGTACAACCTTGTGAATGTACTAAACACCACTAAATTGTACACTTTATACTATTTAATTCAATATTATGAGAATTTTATTTCAATTTTTAAAAAGTACACCATGGGGCCGGGCACGGTGGCTCACGCCTGTAATCCCAGCACTTTGCGAGGCTGAGGCAGGTGAATCGCCTGAGGTCAGGAGTTCGAGACCAGCCTGGCCGACCTGGTGAAACCCTGTCTCTACTAAAAATACAAAAATTAGCTGGGCGTGGCGACACATGCCTGTAATCCCAGCTACTCAGGAGGCTGAGGCAGGAGAATCACTGAGAATCACAGGAGAATCACTGAGACAGGAGAATTGCTTGAACCCGGGAGGAGGAGGTTGCAGTGAGCCGAGATTGCGCCACTGCATACCAGCCTGGGTGACAGAGCGAAACTCCATCTCAAAAAAAAAAAAAAAAAATGGACCGTGGGCCACCCTCAGCCTTGTTCTACCTCTCCCTGTCTCTGCACTGTGTTCACAGCCTAGCCTGTGCTCAGGAAGGGAGAGGGTCCTGGGGTGCCCAGGGTCAGTCCGGAGCTAAGGGAGGCAGAACCCACAGCGCTGTCCCGGCTCAGCCTTCCTGCTCCCGCCCAGGACAGCGCTGAGCCCCACCCCAGCTGTGTCTGAAAGCAGAGGGGGAGGCTCCTCAGGAAAGCTCAGGGATGGGCGGCTTCCGCCTCCACAGACTGAGACACGGGTGCCCACTGTGTCCCTCACACACCTGTCCATGTACCTGCATCCGCCTGCCACCTCTCCCCACGTGCTGCAGGCTCTGTCGCCAACACCAAGCGTGCACCCAACCGGCACGCGCGCGCACTAGCAAGAATGTTCAGACCTGAGCCCTCACAGAGGCAGAGACCCTGCACGCGGAGGTGGACACGCACCTGCAGAGCGTCCTGGCACCATGCACACCTGGAGATGCGTGCAGACATGCGCACTCGCAGCACCACTCACGGAGACGCGCCGAGGATGGTACACGACGGTGTTCCCCCCACGCAACTTTCACCCGGGATCAATCAAATCACTGCACTCCAGCCTGGGTGGCAGAGTGAGACTGTATCTCCAAAAAAAGAAAGAAAGAAAGAAAAGAAAGAAAGAGAAAGAAAGAAAGAAAGAAAGAAAGAAAGAAAGAAAGAAAGAAAGAAAGAAAGAAAGAAAGAAAGAAAGAAAGAAAGAAAGGAGGAAGAAAAGAAAAAGAAAAGAGAAAGAAAAGAAAGAGAAAAGAAAAAGAAACATCTTCTCCATCTACTTCCTTTCACTGCATTCTGCCCTTGAGTCAGGGACTGTGCGACAAATTCCTCTGTTTCTTCCATCTGATCCCAAATACATGAAATCTGGCAGATACTCATTTTTTTAATGTGTATGTATTTATGCTGTACAACATGACGTTTGGATATCTGTATACACTGCGGAATGGTTCATTCAAGACTGTTAACATGTGCATTATCCCACATAGTTATCATTCTTTTCTGTGATGGCAATACTCAAAATCTACTCTCGTTAATTTTCAAATATACAATAGATTGTTATTAATTATAGTCATCATGATGCACTAGATCTCTTGGTCTTCCTGTCTAACTGAAATTTTATGTTCTTTGACCAACATCAAAAAGATGAAAGATAAAAAAAATGTTGGCAAGAATGTGAAGAAAAGGGAACTCTTGTAAACTGTAGGTGGGATTGTAGATGAGTACAGCCATTATAAAAAACAGTATAGAGGTTCCTCAGAAAATTAAAAATGGAATTATCATATAATCCAGCATATAATATCCAGCATATCATATAATCTGGGTATAGTATATACCCAAAGGATATGAAATCAGTATATTAAAGAGATATCTTCACTCCCACATTCATTGCAGCACTATTCACAAAAGTCAAGAGATGGAATCAACCTAAGTGTACATCAACGGATAAATGGATGAGGTAATAAATACACATGGAATACTATTCAGCCTTGAAAAAGAAGGAAATCCTCTCATTCACGACAACATGGATGAACCTAGAAGACATTGTGTCAAGTGAAACAAGCCACGCAGGTTCTCTTTAGTATTAATGGTAATTTATTCTAGATGAATTCCTTTTTTGGATCTTTTCACCTCAATGAGTTTCAGAGAAGGGAAAAGGGCTGTAAGCAGGAGCCTGCAGCATTTTCATTGCATTTATCTTGCGGTATCTGAATGACTGATGCACTGGTCTGTCTCCCTTCTTTGCCCAGAAGCTCTTAGAGGTGGAATCCAGGTCGCAGTCACCATTCTAGCACATATTAGGTGTGTCATAAATATTCATAGGATAACATTTTCACTAAAGATCGGAAGGCTGAGTTGGGTTGAAGGGCTCTTCAATGTCTTGGTCAACTTCTTGCTCAAGAGGTCTCCTCCATCTGAGATAAGCACTGCCTGACAATAAATATTAGTAGAAACAGGTAACCTCATGCTTGATCTGCTCTTTGGTAACAGGGAGAAATAGAAAGAGCCACACTGGCTGCTTAAGATGATGAGAGTGATCAGCCTCAACCCCTAAAGACTGTGCATGAGATAACTCTTATCTCCAGCTCAGAGGAAGTTCAGCCTCAGCTACCACACACTTAACAGATGTATCCAGAGCATTGGAGCTCATCACTGAGCCAGGAGCTGTGGACACTGCAATGGCCAGTGCAGACTTAGTGCCTGTTCTTGTGGACTTTACAGTGGAGGAGAGAAGGTAGATGATGAATAACTGAATTTCAGACAAGAGCAGGAGGAGCATAAGGAAGGGATGGTAGTGGCTACAGGAGTAGGCAAATGAATCCTCAGAAAGCAGGACAGGCTGATAGGAGAGAACTTCACGGAGGAGGTAGCACTTCATTTGAGTCATTCTGCAGAGGGAGAGGAAAGGTTGTGCACCAAGCAGAGGGAAGGGCATGTGCAAAGGACTTAGGGTGGGAAAATGACTGCTCATCCAAGGAACCGAAGAAGGCCAATATGGAAGGGGCCTTGGGCAGCTAGGAGTGAGGAGTGGCTCAAGGAGCCTAAAAGACAGGCAGAGGTTTGCATCCAAAGGACCTTTCCCCATAATCCATCAGACCTGAGTTGACACAGGGGATACACACATAAGGGCAGGTGGGTTCAAATGATGTCAACTACATCTACAAAATGAATTTCAGATTAACTGGAGAATAGCCATCCACATTTTAGAAGGGTTTTGCAACTCACAGACATGGAATGGGGTTGCAATGAGAGAGTCATTTGTTTGTTTTCTCTGCGATTATTTATTGAGCATCTATTAGGTGCCAAGCAGTGAGAACACAAGGTTGGGCAAATCCAGTGTGGCCTTATCTTCTTGGGGGGAACGTTGAGTAGAGAAAGATAGTAGGTATTGAACAAGTCATTTATATAATAAGGAGAGTGTGGTAAGTATTAGGATGGAGGAAGCAGAAGCCTGGCCCACCTCGGAGCTCTGGAGACCTTACCCTCCATCCCATCGGGCAGCACAAAATGCTCACAGGGGCCACTCTTGGCACCAAGTACTTTGCATACTTTGGTTCTGATGTCCAAGATGCTGTGGTGCTTTCTGTAACATTTGGCTATGTGGAGCTCTGGGACTATAGTGTCTTGGGGAAGAAAGAGCCACTTCCAATGCCTACCTATGTCTCTTGCTGCTAATCAGACACCTAAGTTTGGACCTGAGGCTAAATGGAAAACTCTCTGGGACCATTTCCCCAGAGTAAGATGAGCCGTGTTTCTGTCTCCACTTAATCCCTGAGCTATGCATTCAAACCTAACCTCCCTGCAGCTCTGTAGCTGATCCTTAGAGACCCTTTCATTTGCAAAAAAAAAAAAAAGAAAAAAAATGAAGTGGAGATGGAAATTGTGTGTCAACTTTTAATGAGTCACCAGGTGTTAGTGAAAATCCCATGGCTTGTTCACTATCAAAACTTAGAATTGGCTTCCTGGGGATTGTTATGCAGTGGAGTTTGGCGAGTTGTGCAGACAGTTGTCCCATTGGGATCTTTAATACCAATCAAGGCTCTAACCATGTTCTTCTCTGCTGTGTCCTCCAGAAAAGATACCTGGGGGCTTTGAACGATGTGCACTGAGAGCTTTAGAGCAGGGCTGGAGGTGGCAGGTTCAGATAAATTTTACTAATTGCCTGGTTTGGAGACCCCATGACATCACTTTGGTTGAATGCTCCAGGGGCTTGTTTTCTTCTTTAAACAGAGACCAGCTGATCACCATTGCGAATTGTTTGTTTCTCTTCAGTTTCTTAAACACAGATTAATGATTAAGGGGAGACTTGTAGCATAGCCTGGATAGCTCCTTGCTTCACAGCACTGACTCATCTCAGACAGACTAAGGTTCAAATCCTGGCTCATCCACTTCCTGGCTGTGTGGCTTTGGTAAAGTGAATTGATCTCTCTGCACCTCCATCTGCCAATTGGGAGGCTAATGTTAACAGCACCTGCTTTCATTTCAGGATGCAACTCTGGACTGTGCTGTCAGATCACAGGTGCATCACCCCACACATGAGCAATCTTCCAGGGGCAAGGGCTTGATCTGACTCACCTTTGAGTCCATAGTGCCTGGAACTTGAGTTGACACTCAGCAGGACTCCATATATGTCAGTGGACTAGTTGATTCACCTAACCATTTATACTGGGTAGAGCCAAACTCCTTACCTTTTTATCAATACCATTTAATAATATTCTTAATTACCACTTATCCCACACTCAGCTAGGCACTACACTGTGCCCTTATTTCTTCACTGAGCCTTTGAGGCGAATGTCATTGTTTTCTCCATTTTCAGACAAGGTGCTTGAGTGTCATATGTGTCTGAGTTGAATGATCACATACGCCTTAATAATGGTTCTGATGGATGTCAAGCCAGAGCATTCAGCCAGTACATTCAACTGTGACATTGACAATGGCCCCTGTCTGTGGGGTCCACTGTGTCTTGTTCTTTTTAGAAGACGACCCAACCCCTGGTCTTAGCTATGGTCCCACATATCTCTTGACTATATCTTTTTCTTAGGCAGAATTTCATCACTCCAACTAAAGATGGTGACTATTATTGCACTGACCTCAGGAGATGGTACCTGAAGGACATTTACAAGTGGAAAGATGGCTCAGCTTCAACTTTCACATGAAACTCTTTTTGGGCTTTGAGAATACTTGAGACCTTGTAAATTCCCCTTTCTGGAGCTTGGAGAGGTTTTCCAACAAGACAATTTCTCAACTGCCTCAAGGGTCTAATTTTGGCATAAACCAAACTGGCTGTCATTTCTCCTATTGTCATGCCTACTGTTTTTTTTTAAATTGCAAGTGTGTGTGTCTGTGTGTGTGTCTAAATTATGGATCAAGCAATATGAAACAGGAAGTTCTTTATTGCAGGGAGTCATAGTACTTTTAATATGTTATAATAATTGTGAATTTTTAGGAGGATAATGGACAATGTGTCATTTTGCCAAGCTTAGTGATATCCAGAGTCCTCTGAATATATATTATCTGAGGTGTCTAGCATCCCAAAGGGCACACTGGCAGAAACACTGTCTAGAAGATTTAGTCCTAATTCCTCAGCAGGACATTCAATGGCACCCATATTCTGGCTCCCTTCTGTCTTTGAGTTTTCCTTGATTTCCATTCCCTTTACCAGAACTTCACTCCATCCTTCTGGGGGATTCTTGAGTACATTTGCCTTCCTTCAGCACAATGCTTCTTCCTTAACTCTGGTTCCATGGTTTCTGGACTGGACATTTGCTATATATCCTAGCTGTGGTCCTGTCCTCATCAACTCATGCTCTGCTCCAGTCCATGGTGTCATCTTTCCTCCCAAGCCCCCACTCTGTGGGACCCTGCAAGGTGCTCACGCCTTGGACTCTGAACTGCAGGAGTGTATGGGATGCACCTGAGCCAGTGTCCCTGCAGCCACAGAGGCCAAGGAGTCCGGGGTCGATCGCTGTCCCTGGTGCTGAATGAGGCAGACCCTCTATGACCCCTGCACCCTCCTCTCACTTCCCAGAATACTTGGCACAGGATGAAGTCTGGGTTGCACTTCACATCAGCCTGTTCCTAGGTCACTGGGAGACCCAAGCAAGGAGCTGTCAGGGGCCGGTGAGGACGACCTGGGTCCCTAGGATGGTGTCTCCTGAGTCTCCAAATTATGCTCATTATTGCTACTTAGCTCTTCCCGCAGCTATGTCAGTGTCTCAGAGGCTACTGGGTGGTGGAGGAGGTCAAATGCCTGATCCCCAGTCCTCAAGCGGGCTCCAGGCTTCTCTAAACTTGGAAACCCTCCCAGGTCCATGTTTTGACACAGGCTCCTTCCAGCTCCTGTTTCAGCCCCCAAGGATCAGGGGATTTGTCCAGCTCCCACTGCAGCACACTGCCCCCAGGACCAGCTCTCCTCACCCCTGACATCAGGCCCGCTATCCCCTGACTCAGAATGCCAGAAGCACCCCCAGTGAGCTCAGCTGCACTGCGGTGGCTGACTCTAGGGGTTTTGAGGGTGAGGTGGTCAAGACAACCTCAGAGGTAGGAGAGGGCCATGCAGTCAGCGTCTGGGATGGGGTCCAGCTCTGTGGGCCTTTGTGACAGTTAATACTGAGTGTCAACTTGATTGGATTGAAGGATGCAAAGTATTGGTCCTGGTTGTGTCTGTGAGGGTGTTGCCAAAGGAGATTAACATTTGAGTCAGTGGACTGGGAGAGGAAGACCCACCCTCAATCCAGGTGGGCACCATCTAACCAGCTGTCAGAGTGGCCAGAATAAAACGCAGACAGAAGAATGTGGAGAGATTAGACTGGCTTAGCCTCCCAGCCTACATCTTTCTCCCATGCTGGATGCTTCCTGCCCTTGAACATCGGACTCCAAGTTCTTCAGCTTTGGGACTAGGTCTGGCTTCTTTGGTCCTAAGCTTGCAGACGGCCTATTGTGGGACTTTATAATTGTGTGAGTTAATATCCCTTAATAAACTCTCCTTTATACATACATCTATCCTATTAGTTCTGTCCCTCTAGAGATCCCTAATACAGCCCGTCAGCTGCTTTTGTAACAAGAGTAGCTACCTTCAATTCTAGAAGTTCTCCTCACCTCTCTTCATCTCTCACCACTCCCTCACTTCCTGCCCCAAGCCCACACTACATTCTACACACACCTGATGCCCTTCCTCCTAGAGGTGACCATGTGCCACCTCTTGAGACTGTCCACATCATCTCATTACTGCCAACAGCAGCCTCAGAGGTGGGATACTGTGAACATGGTGCAACTGAGGTTTGGTGAGGTTAAGGCTCTAACCAAGAGATGTGCATCTTAGAAGATGCAGAGCCAGGACTTGAACCAGCTCTGCCTGACCCCAGAGCCTGAGTTCTTACCACCAGGCCACTCTGCCTCCAGCAGACCCTGGTGTTCTCATTATGTTCACATTGAGCTGTTTGTAAGAGGGCACTCACCATTGAATGTTGCTCCAACTTCAGCTGACAAAGCACACGTGGTTCCTCCAAAGCTGGGGATAGAGAGGAGGGACACAGCTCCCTCTGCATCCTCTCCCATCCCAGCAGCAATTAGCCTACCCTAACCCTCCAGCCATGCCTCCTTTTCCATCGCTGCCCCAGATGTGTGGGATCCTCATTTGTGACATGGGAACTGGGGATCTTGGATCACTCCCATCACTCCAGAAGCTACAAGGCCAGTGACTTACTCACTACAATGCTGACGAACATGACCGTCAGAAACAGGATCAGAGTCACTCTCAGGCAAAAAATAAATAAATAAATTTTTAAAACTCCGAGGATTAAATGTTTTTTCCCATTGTGCTGGGGACAAATTAATCCAAGGGAGGTCACAGGGCAAAGAATTCCCCACCACCACCACCACCACCATGAGCATACCATCACCCATGGAGTTTTCTGATTTACTCTTTGGCCTATTAAGCATGAAATTTCTTACGCTAGGTTCCTTTCTGATAAGGGAGAAGAGATTAATATCTCCACATTTCCTCTCCTCCTGCTACATAGTCTCTGTATTCTAGGTTAAATTATAATTTATGTTGAGGATTTACAATGTCTGACACACCTAGCTTAGCCTTCTGCACAGAGATACATTGGGAGTGGAGGTTAATTGGGTCAAAGGAGAAATGCCATAAGCCCACACTCCAGCCTATCAGGGTGAATTAAAGGTCTGCCTTGCCCAACTCTTGTCACACCTGCTTCCATGGTCTGAATAAAAGTTTGGGTCCCAGGACTATGAGGTTGTATGAAGCCTTCCAGCCCCATACCTGCACAACAGTTTGCAGCTCACTCTGCTCTGAACTGCCCCAACTTTGAATAGATATTCTCTATTCCTCGAAATGAAACTGCACCTTCAAAGCTCACATATTTCTCTTCTTGGCTCAGCACTGGGCTCAGCAAGTTCTCCAGATAGCTTATTATCAAATAAAACGGTGGAGAAGGGAACCCAGGCAGCTGGACACAAAAGGGAATGAGCAACAAGCCTCCCCTCCGAACATGATTTTCTGTGTCAGATCTTGGACACTCCCTGGACTGCTCCCAGCCATCTGCCTCATGCTGGGTTTCTAGTTAACTTTGAATAAAAAATCTCACATCTTCCTTCTATATGCAGATTTGGTAATTTCAACTGAGGCAGTTGTGCTTGAGAATCTTCTCCTTAATACCACATGGCAAGGTCATTCCCCAGTGCTTTTACTTACCTTTAGTTGAGTTTTTATATTAAACATAGGATTGGACAAGAACAGAGAATCACAATTATTGAGTAGACGCTACTTCCAAACATTGTAGTTACATTTTCTCCTGTAATTATTACAGTGCTGGGACTATTTGAGCTTTAAAATCCTTTCTTGAGATCCTGAAGCTAGTCAGTGGTTCTACTGGCATTAGAGGTTGATATGGTTTGGGTCTGTGTCCCTGCCCAAATCTCATGTTGAATTGTAATCCCCAGTGCTACATGTGGTGCCTGGTGGGAGGTGTTTGGATCATGGGGGCAGATCCCTCATGGCTTGGTGCAGCCTTCGTGTTAGTGAGTTCTTACAAGATCTGGTCATTTAAAAGTGTGTTGCACCTGCCCCTGCTCTCTAGCTCCTGCTTATGCCATGTGATGTGCCTGCTCCTGCTTTGCCTTCTAACATGAGTCAAAGCTCCCCGAGGGCTCCTCAGAACCAGATGCCACTATGTTTCCCGTACAGCCTACAGAGTCATGATTCAATTAAACCTCTTTTCTTTATAAATTATCCTGTCTCAGGTATTTCCTTTTTGTTTGTTTGTTTGTTTTCTTTTTAAAGATACAGTCTTGCTTTGTTGCCCAGGCTGGTCTTAAACTCCAGACCTCAACCTATTCTCCCGCCTTGGCCTCTCAAAATGCTGGGATTACAGGCATGAGCCACCATACCCAGCCAGTTATTTCTTTTTTTTTTTTTTTTTTTTTTTTTTTTTTTTTTTTTTTTGTGCACCAACCTCAGCATTAGTTTAATGTTTATATTCTCTCCTTGTCTTTCTCACTTGGACAATTCTCTTTTTTTTTTTTTAAATTATACTTTAAGTTTTAGGGTACATGTGCACATTGTGCAGGTTAGTTACATATGTATACATGTGCCATGCTGGTGCGCTGCACCCACTAACGTGTCATCTAGCATTAGGTATATCTCCCAATGCTATCCCTCCCCCCTCCCCCGACCCCACCACAGTCCCCAGAGTGTGATATTCCCCTTCCTGTGTCCATGTGATCTCATTGTTCAATTCCCACCTATGAGTGAGAATATGCGGTGTTTGGTTTTTTCTTCTTGCGATAGTTTACTGAGAATGATGGTTTCGAAGAAAACCTAGGCATTACCATTCAGGACATAGGCGTGGGCAAGGACTTCATGTCCAAAACACCAAAAGCAATGGCAACAAAAGACAAAATTGACAAATGGGATCTAATTAAACTAAAGAGCTTCTGCACAGCAAAAGAAACTACCATCAGAGTGAACAGGCAACCTACAACATGGGAGAAAATTTTCGCAACCTACACATCTGACAAAGGGCTAATATCCAGAATCTACAATGAACTCAAACAAATTTACAAGAAAAAAACAAACAACCCCATCAAAAAGTGGGCGAAGGACATGAACAGACACTTCTCAAAAGAAGACATTTATGGAGCCAAAAAACACATGAAAAAATGCTCATCATCACTGGCCATCAGAGAAATGCAAGTCAAAACCACTATGAGATATCATCTCACACCAGTTAGAATGGCAATCATTAAAAAGTCAGGAAACAACAGGTGCTGGAGAGGATGTGGAGAAATAGGAACACTTTTACACTGTTGGTGGGACTGTAAACTAGTTCAACCATTGTGGAAGTCAGTGTGGCGATTCCTCAGGGATCTAGAACTAGAAATACCATTTGACCCAGCCATCCCATTACTGGGTATATACCCAAATGACTATAAATCATGCTGCTATAAAGACACATGCACACGTATGTTTATTGCGGCATTATTCACAATAGCAAAGACTTGGAACCAACCCAAATGTCCAACAATGATAGACTGGATTAAGAAAATATGGCACATATACACCAGCCAGGTATTTCTTTATAGGAACACAAGAGTGGCCGAACACAGAAGGATATTGCCACTGATTTAATACTAGTCTTCTTTTCTGTATGTCACTCTGTTTAACTAGCCTTCCACATTCTCTAAATAACTTGTAAGATTCACCTAACTACACTTTTCATATTGTCCTTTAATCTTTGTACTTACTGCATAAACATGTTTTATGCTTATTATATAGGTATTTAAATAATGCATATAGGGCCTATATTTCTCTATCAATGTTACAATTTTTATCAGCTACATAATTTTGAATCACATTTATATACCATCATTCACCTTCCATCTATCCAAAAGATATGAGAAGGGGAAAGAAAGGAAGAAAAGGAAAGTGCTAGTAGATAATCCAAATAGGCCTATATCTATTAAACAATCATTAATAACCTTCCAAAACAGAAAGCCAAGACCCCAGTTGGCTCACTGATGAATCCTACCAAACATTTAAGGAAGAAATTATACCAATTTTCTTCTGTGTCTTTTGAAAGACAGAAGCAGGGGGAATATTCCGTAACTCATTTTATGAGGCCAGCGGTACCCTAATGCCACATACAGACAGAGACATTACAAGAAATCAAAGAAAAGAGAAAGAAGAAAAAAAAGAAGAAATTAAGAAACAAAAAATTATACAGATTAATATTGCTCACAAACCTAGATGCAAAATCCTCAACAAAATATCAAATCGAATCCAACAATGTATAAAAAGAATTACACATGTTAGCAGCAGTGAGATGATATCTTACCATGGTTTTGACTTGCATTTCCTGGATGATTAGTGATGTTGAGCATTTTTTAATGTATCTATTTGCCATTTGTATCTCCTCTTTTGAGAAATGTCTATTCAGATAGTTTGCCTAATTTTTTTAATAGAATGATTTTGGTTTTTTTTTTTTTGTTTTTTTTTTTTTTTTTTTTTTGCTATTGAGTAAAGTTCTTTATATATTCCAGTTACTAATCCCTTGTCAGATGGATAATTTGCAAATATTTTTTCTCATTCTGTAGGTTGTCTCTTCACTTTGTTGATTTGTTTCTTTCTTGTGCAGAAGCTTTTTAGATTCATATGATCACATTTGTCTATTTGTTTTTGTTGCCTGTGCTTTTGAGGTCTTACCCAAAAAATCTTTGCCCAGACCAATGTTCTGAAGTGTTTCCCAAATATTTTCTTCTACTAGTTCAAAGTGTCATGTCTTGCATTTAAGTCTGTAATCTATTGTGATTGTTAATATTGAGTGTCAACTTGACTGGATTGAAGGATGCAAAGTATTGTTCCTGGGTGTGTCTGTGAGGGTGTTGTCAAAGGAGATTAACATTTGAGTCAGTGGACTGGGAAAGGCAGACCCACCCTCAATCTGGGTGGGCACAATCTAATCAGCTGTCAGTGCAGCCAGAATAAAAGCAGGCAGAAAAATGTGAACAGACTAGACTGGCTTAGCCTCCCAGCCTACATCTTTCTCCATTGCTGGATCCTTCCTGCCCTTGAATATCAAACTCCAAGTTCTTCAGCTCTGGGACTCGGGCTGGCTTCCTTGCTCCTCAGCTTTCAGATGGCCTACTGTGGGACCTCACCTTGAGATCGTGTGAGTCAATAATCCTTAATAAACTCCCCTTTATGCATACATCTATCCTACTAGTACTGTCCCTCTAAAGAACACTGACTAATACAGATTTTGGCACCAGAAATGGGGTTCACACATCTATCCTATTAGTTCTGTCCCTCTAGAGAACCCTGACTAATACATCCATCATGATTTGATTTTTGAATAGGGTGAGAGTTAGGGGTCTAGTTTCATTCTTCTAAATATGAAGATCCAGTTTTTTCAGCACGACTTATTGAAGAAACTGTTTTTTTCTAACTGAATGGTCTTTGCACCTTTGTCAAAAATTAGTTGGCTCTAAATTCATGAATGTATTTCTGGATTCTCTGTTCTGTTCCATTGATCTATGCATCTCTTTTTATACCAGTACTATAAGTTTTTGGTTACTACAGCATTGTAGTATAATTTGAAGTTGGTAGTGTAATATCTCCGTCTAAGTTCTTTTTCCTCAGGACGGATTTTGCTATTTGGAGTCTTCTGTGATTCCACATAAATTTTAGAATTTTTTGAAATTTTGTGAAAAATCTCATTGGTATTTTCATAGGAATTGCATTCTCTCTATATATTGCTTTTAGTAGTAGAGTCATTTTCACAATATTATTTCTTCCAATTCATGAACAGGAGATGATGTTCCATTTTTTGGTGACCTTTTCCATTTCGTTCATCAGTGTTTTATAGTATTTCTTGCAGAGATCTTTCAACTACTTGGTTAAATTTATTAAGAAATTTTATATATACACACACACACACACACACACACACACATATATATAAACACATATACATATCTACCTAATGTAAATGGCATTGGTTTCTTTCTTTTTCTGCTAGCTCATCATTTGTGTATGGAAACACTAGTGATTTTGTAGGTTGATTTGGAATCCTGCTGCTTTCCTGAATTGGTTTACTAGTTCTAAGAGACTTTTGGTGGAGCACTTAGGGTTTTCTATGCACATATTATGTCATCTTCAAACAGGGAAAATTTGACATCCTTGCCCACTCTTTTCTTTCTCTTGCCTGATCTCTGTGGCTAAGACTTCCAGCACTATGTTCAATAAAAGTGGTGGAACTGGACATACTTCTCTTGTTCCCGTTCTTAGAGGAAAACTTTCAGTGCCCATTTTGTGTGATAGTGGCTGTGGATTTGTCATGCCTATCCTTTATTTTGTTATGTATGCTTTTTCTATACTTACTTTGTTGAGTGCTTTTTATCATGAAGAAATTTTGAATGTTATCAAATGCTTTACCTACATTTATTGAGATGATCATATGATTTTTGCTATTCACTCTGTTGCTCTTCAATAAATATGATGTTATGTCATTTTTTATTTGAATGTATCAAAACATCCTTCATCCCTGGGATAAAGCTCAATTGATCATAGTAAATTATCTTTGTAGCGTGCTGATGGATTTAGTTTGCTAGTATGTAACTGAGAATTTTGGCACCTCTATTGACCAGAGATGCTGGTCTGTGGTTTTCTTTTCTTC
The DNA here is from genome assembly GCF_000001405.40 of Homo sapiens. Taxonomy (NCBI): domain Eukaryota; kingdom Metazoa; phylum Chordata; class Mammalia; order Primates; family Hominidae; genus Homo; species Homo sapiens. The sequence continues at coordinate 15,710,269 of NC_000019.10, read as the reverse complement.
TTGCATCCCATTCTGGTTTTGGTATAAGGGTAATGCCGGCTTCATAGAATGAGTTAAGAAGAATTCCTTCTTCTTTGATGTTTGGAATAGTTTGAGAAGAATTGGTATTGAGTCTTTTTTTTTTTAATGTTTGGTAGAATTCATCTTTAAAGCCATCAGGTCCTGGGCTTTTCTTTGATGAGAGAGTTTTTATTACTGATTATATTTCATTACTTGTAATTAGCCTGTTTAGATTTTCTGTTGTGTCTCCTCCTTTTTCATTCCTGATTTCATTTATTTGAGTCTTTTTGTTCTCACTTGGTCTAGCTAAATGTTTTGTTCTCACTTGGTCTAGCTAAACCCAACTCTTTGTTTTATTGATCTTTTGTATTTTATTTTTTACTTTCAATTTCATTTATTTTTGTTCTAATCTTTATTACTTCATTTTTTTCTACTAATTTTGAGTTTGGTTTGCTTTTGCTCTTCTAGTTCTTTGAGGTGCATTATTAGATTGTTTATTTGAAATCTTTCTACTTTTTTGATGTAGGTGTTTATTACTATACACTTCCTTCTTAATACTGCTTTTGCTGTATCTCATAGCTTTTGATATATTGTGCTTATACTTTAATTTAATCCAACAAATTTTAAATGTACTTCCTAATATTTTATTTATTCATTAGTTGTTTGGGAGCATGTTGTTAACTTTCATGTATTTGTACAATTTTGAAAGTTATTTTTGTTACAGATTTCTAGGTTTATTTCCTTGCCAGCAGAAAGTATACTTAACGTGATATCAGTACTTTTTTTTTTTTGGGACGGAGTCTCTCTCTGTCACCCAGGCTGGAGTACAGTGGCTCAATCTTGGCTCACTGCAAGCTCTGACTCCTCAGTTCAGGCCATTCTCCTGCCTCAGCCTCCCAAGTGGCTGGGACTACAGACACCTGCCACCACACCTGGCTAATTTTTTTGTATTTTTAGTAGAGACGGGGTTTCACTGTGTGTTAGCCAGGATGGTCTCGATCTCTGATATCAGTACATTTAAATTTCTTGAGACTTCCTTTGTAGCCCAATGTGTGGGCTACATGTGCTAATGGAAAAAAAGTGTATTCTGCAGCTGTTGCACAAACCATTCTGTCAATGTCTATTAAGTCTATTTGGTCTAAAGTGAAATTAAATTTAAATACAATGTATCTTTGTTGACTTTCTGTCTAGATGACCTGTCCAATGTTGAGAGTGGCTTATTGAAGTCCACAATTATTATTGTATTGGAGTCTATCTCTCCTTTTAGATTTAAAAATATTTATTTTCTATATTTAGGTGTTCCAGTGTTGGGAGCATATAGAGTTACTATTGTTATATGCTCTTGCTGAATTTATCCCTTGTCTGTTTTATTTTTATCTGATATAAACATAGCCACTCCTATTTGCTTTTGGTTTCCACTTGGGTAAAATGTCTTTTTCCATCCCTTCACTTTCAGTCTGTATGTTTCTGGATAGGTAAAGTGAATTTCTTGTAGGAAGTACATAGTTGGGTCATTTAAAAAATCCATTCAGCCAGTCTATATATTTGAAGTGGGGGATTTAATCTGTTTACATTCAAAGTTATTATAGGTAAGAACCTTCTTCTGTCATTTTATTCATTGTTTGCTAGTTGTTTTGTATATCTTTTATTCCTCTCTTCTTCTCTTATTGTTTATGCTAGTGCGCTGCACCCACTAACTCGTCATCTAGCATTAGGTATATCTCCCAATGCTATCCCTCCCCCCTCCCCCCACCCCACCACAGTCCCCAGAGTGTGATATTCCCTTTCCTGTGTCCATGTGATCTCATTATTCAATTCCCACCTATGAGTGAGAATATGCGGTGTTTGGTTTTTTGTTCTTGTGATAGTTTACTGAGAATGATGATTTCCAATTTCATCCATGTCCCTACAAAGGACATGAACTCATCATTTTTTATGGCTGCATAGTATTCCATGGTGTATATGTGCCACATTTTCTTAATCCAGTCTATCATTGTTGGATATTTGGGTTGGTTCCAAGTCTTTGCTATTGTGAATAATGCCGCAATAAACATACGTGTGCATGTGTCTTTATAGCAGCATGATTTATAGTCATTTGGGTATATACCCAGTAATGGGATGGCTGGGTCAAATGGTATTTCTAGTTCTAGATCCCTGAGGAATCGCCACACTGACTTCCACAATGGTTGAACTAGTTTACAGTCCCACCAACAATGTAAAAGTGTTCCTATTTCTCCACATCCTGTCCAGCACCTGTTGTTTCCTGACTTTTTAATGATTGCCATTCTAACTGGTGTGAGATGGTATCTCATTGTGGTTTTGATTTGCATTTCTCTGATGGCCAGTGATGGTGAGCATTTTTTCATGTGTTTTTTGGCTCCATAAATGTCTTCTTTTGAGAAGTGTCTGTTCATGTCCTTCGCCCACTTTTTGATGGGGTTGTTTGTTTTTTTCTTGTAAATTTGGTTGAGTTCATTGTAGATTCTGGATATTAGCCCTTTGTCAGATGAGTAGGTTGCGAAAGTTTTCTCCCATGTTGTAGGTTGCCTGTTCACTCTGATGGTAGTTTCTTTTGCTGTGCAGAAGCTCTTTAGTTTAATTAGATCCCATTTGTCAATTTTGTCTTTTGTTGCCATTGCTTTTGGTGTTTTGGACATGAAGTCCTTGCCCATGCCTATGTCCTGAATGGTATTGCCTAGGTTTTCTTCTAGGGTTTTTATGGTTTTAGGTCTAACATTTAAGTCTTTAGTCCATCTTGAATTAATTTTTGTGTAAGGTGTAAGGAAGGGATCCAGTTTCAGCTTTCTACATATGGCTAGCCAGTTTTCCCAGCACCATTTATTAAATAGGGAATCCTTTCCCCATTTCTTGTTTTTGTCATGTTGTCAAAGATCAGATAGAAGGACCTCTTCAAGGAGAACTACAAACCACTGCTCAATGAAATAAAAGAAGATACAAAGAAATGGAAGAACATTCCATGCTCATAGGTAGGAAGAATCAATATCGTGAAAATGGCCACACTGCCCAAGGTAATTTATAGATTCAGTGCCATCCCCATCAAGCTACCAATGACTTCCTTCACAGAATTGGAAAAAACTACTTTAAAGTTCATATGGCACCAAAAAAGAGCCCGCATCGCCAAGTCAATCCTAAGCCAAAAGAACAAAGCTGGAGGCATCACGCTACTTGACTTCAAACTATACTACAAGGCTACAGTAACCAAAACAGCATGGTACTGCTACCAAAAGAGAGATCTAGATCAATAGAACAGAACAGAGCCCTCAGAAATAATGCCATTTATCTACAACTATCTGATCTTTGACAAACCTGAGAAAAACAAGCAATGGGGAAAGGATTCCCTATTTAATAAATGGTGCTGGGAAAACTGGCTAGCCATATGTAGAGAGCTGAAACTGGATCCCTTCCTTACACCTTATACAAAAATTAATTCAAGATGGACTAAAGACCTAAACGTTAGACCTAAAACCATAAAAGCCCTAGAAGTAAACTTAGGCATTATCATTCAGGACATAGGCATGGGCAAGGACTTCATGTCTAAAACACCAAAAGCAATGGCAACAAAAGCCAAAATTGACAAATGGGATCTAATTAAACTAAAGAGCTTCTGCACAGCAAAGGAAACTACCATCAGAGTGAACAGGCAACCTACAAAATGGGAGAAAATTTTCGCAACCTACTCATCTGACAGAGGGCTAATATCCAGAATCTACAATGAACTCAAACAAATTTACAAGAAAAAAACAAACAACCCCATCAAAAAGTGGGCAAAGGATATAAACAGACACTTCTCAAAAGAAGACATTTATGCGCCAAAAAACACATGAAAAAATGCTCATCATCACTGGCCATCAGAGAAATGCAAATCAAAACCACAATGAGATACCATCTCACACCAGTTAGAATGGCAATCATTAAAAAGTCAGGAAACAACAGGTGCTGGAGAGGATGTGGAGAAATAGGACACTTTTACACTGTTGGTGGGACTGTAAACTAGTTCAACCATGGTGGAAGTCAGTGTGGCTATTCCTCAGGGATCTAGAACTAGAAATACCATTTGACCCAGCCATCCCATTACTGGGTATATACCCAAAGGACTGTAAATCATGCGGCTATAAAGACACATGCACACATATGTTTATTGCGGCACTATCCACAACAGCAAAGACTTGGAACCAACCCAAATGTCCAACAATGATAGACTGGATTAAGAAAATGTGGCACATATACACCACGGAATACTATGCAGCCATAAAAAATGATGAGTTCATGTCCTTTGTAGGGACTTGGATGAAATTGGAAATCATCATTCTCAGTAAACTATCGCAAGAACAAAAAACCAAACACCGCATATTCTCACTCATAGGTGGGAATTGAACAATGAGAACACATGGACACAGGAAGGGGAACATCACACTCTGGGGACTGTTGTGGGGTGGGGGGAGTGGGGAGGGATAGCTTTAGGAGATATACCTAATGCTAAATGACGAATTAATGGGTGCAGCAGACCAGCATGGCACATGTATACATATGTAACTAACCTGCACATTGTGCACATGTACCCTAAAACTATAATAATAATAAAATAAAATAAATAAAAAAATAAAAAAAAAATTTGAATAAACCCAAATGGATATTTTGGTAATAGAAAAAAAAAAAGAAATCCTCTTAGCAATTAGTAATTAGCAATCATTGGTGGTGGGGATAGAAGGATCCCAGTGGTTTCATTCATACTTTTTTTTGGTTTAGTTTATCTCTGTGCTCGTTGTGCATAAATGTAGTTTAGCAAAACAGGTTTTAGCTGGTGTAGGACTGGTCTATTAGGACAAATTCCCTTAGCATTTCTTGTCTGAAAAAGATGTTATTTCTCCTTCTGTTTTTACTTAGTTTTGTTGGATACAAAATTCCTGGCTGACAGTTTTTTCTGTACAAGGTAGCTAATGATAGGACCCTAATTCCTTCTGGCTCATAAAGTCTCTGCTGAGAAGTCTTGTTAGTCTGATAGGTTTTCCTTTATAGGTACCTGATGCTTTTCCTCACTGCTCTTAGCATTCTTCCTATGATGTTGTCTTTAGATATCCTAATGACTATGTGCCTTGGTCATGTCCTTTTTGCAAATAATTCCCCAGGAGTTCTTTGAGCCTATTATATTTAGATATCTAAATCTCTAACAAGACCAGGAAAGTTTTCCTCAGTTATTCCCTAAACTAAGTTTTCCAAACTTTCTGTTTATCTTCTTCCTCAGGAACATCAGTGATACTTATATTTGGCCATTATAGATAATCTTGTATTTCTTGGGTACACTTTCCATTTCTTTTCTTTTTTTAAAAAAAAGAAAGAAAAAAGTTAGTTCTTTTTTCTTTATTTTTGTCTAATTGGTTTAACTCAAAGCCTTGTCTTTGAGCTCTGAAATTCTTTCTTCGACTTGGTCAAGCCTACTTTCAAAACTTTCCCCTGCATTTTGTAAGTCTCTAAATGTGTCTTTCATTTCTAGAATTTCTGATTGATTTTTCTTTAAAATAGCTATTTCTTTAGAAAAGTTTTATTTATATCCTGAATTAATTTTTAAATTTATTTATGCTGGTTTTCAGTTCTCCCTTGTATCTCCTTGAGTAACTTAATAATTAATCTTTTGAATTCTTTATCTGGTATTTCAAAGATTTCTTCTTGGTTTGGATCTATTGCTGGAGAGCTAATGGTTGTTATAGAACCCTGTTTTGTCATATTGCCAGAATTATTTTTCTGATTTCCACTCACCTGGTTAGACTGCTTCTTCTAATTATTTTTGAACTTATTTTTGATTAATTGTGATGTTTCTTAGATCTTTTTTCCCTTTGAGGATGTGACTTTGATGTTTAGAGTTTATTGTAACCTATGGCTCTGGGTGCTTTCGTGGGTGCAGACTCTGTATGAGTTCCTTGGTTATACGGAGTCTTTGTATGGTGGCTTTCTCAGATGCTAGTTGTAGTAGCAATGTGCTCAGTGTGAGGGCAGGTTCACTGTTTCTGTTGGTGTTGGAAGGGCAGAGGTCTCTTGAAGCTTATCTCATTCCCCAGTAGTATGCATTTATTTATTTATTTATATCCCCCCAACCTTTTTTTTTTTTACCTGGATGAACAGTTCAGGCTTTAGGCCACTCAAGGGAGGTATCCATGAATAAAAACCAGCTGTGGTTAAAGCAGTTTGGTCAATGCAGTTCCCAGTGGGGGGCAAAGGTGCCATCCTTGACAGATGTGGTTGGGGGAGCTCTCAGGGAAACACATGGAGGTCTTTTCAAGGGGAAGGGAGGGAGCCTCCTCAGCTCCCCTGCCAGGACAGCAGGAAACCTACCCACCTCCCAGATACACTCCTGACCCAGTGATCTGACTAGTCAGATCAGATAGGCACCTCTTTTCATTTGCAGGAATGCTGATATTCCCTGTAGAGAGGGACTGGGGCTCTGCCACTCATGCAAGCCTGAACCTGGAGAGTGCTCCTCCTATAGAATGCAGTCACTCTGAACTATTCCAGAGAGAATGAATGTCTACATGTGTAGCCATGCCAAGCTGTCATGGGAGAAGCTGCAGCTGTGTCTGCAGTAGTGGACAAGGGGAAGAAAAAGTCCCCTTCTCTAAGACCCTTCATTGATCCCCAGAAGTGCCTGACTGTTGAAGTAGATCTGCAGACATTTCCGCCACTGAACCCAGCACTGCACCTATGCCTCTGCTGAAAGAAACTTCTTGCCAGGCACAGCGGCTCAAGCCTGTAATCCCAACACTTTGGGAGGCTGAGGCGAGTGGATCACGAGTTGAAAACTAGCCGGCCAAGATGGCAAATCCTCATCTCTACTAAAAATACAAGAAGTTAGCTGGGCACGGTGGCAGGCGCCTGTAACCCCAGCTACTCAGCAAGCTGAGGCAGGAGAATTGCCTGAACCCAGGTGCAGTGAGCCGAGATTGCGCCACTGCACTCCAGCCTGGGGGACAGAGCGAAAGTCTGTCTCAAAAAAAAAAAAAAAGAAAAAGAAAAGCAACTTCTCATATGCGGAAAGTGGGACTCAAGGTCTACCATCTGGAATCTTTTGTCCCATGGTGTGCTCCATTGATACGGTGCACTCCCCTTCCCCCTAGAAGTAGGAGTCTCAGAGAGCCAGACTACTATGAAGGCTGCGGCTCCTCTTGGTCTAGCCACCCAGTGGGGCTGCCACAATTTATGCTGGTGCTGGAGAATATCTGCAAGGGGCCAATCAAGTAACGGATCCTCAAAACCCCCAGCAGTGGTACCAGCCCCAGCTCTGATGGGGGAAGAAGGGGAGTGATGTAGATTCTGTGAGATTGCTCAGTTATAAGTAGCCTTAGTGTGTTGGCTTTCTCAAATGCCAGCTGTGGTACTAACAAACTGGTCATGTGGACAGACTCAGAACTTCCTGATTAACCAGATGGATGCAGGCAATAGTGATAGCTGAGGTCATGCACAAGTTTTCTCCTTCCTGCTGGCTGTTATTGTGCTTGCAAGCAGATACTATAATGGACTCTGTCAATTGGCCCACAGCCAGGAGGTGGCGCTTGCAAAATAACACCAGCTGTGGTGGTAGCAGTGGAATTTGTGTCTGTCTTATGTTACCCAGAGGAGGTACTCTCGCGTCTCAGGCAGTGGCGGGCCGGGCGGGGGGGCCATAGGGCTCCCAAAAATTTCTGCCCTACGTATTAATATATCAGGGCAGGTGGAGGGGCAAAGCCAAGTGAGAGCTCAATCAGGCAAGTCCGCACTCTGGCTCTCCACCTCTGGACAAAAGCAGTAGCCCCACTGGGGATCAGAGAGTGGTTCTCTGGTTGCAGGAATAATGTCCAGGGAGGAGCACAGCTGCCTCTGCTTCACAGAAGAGTCTGTATGGGGAATGGGGAGTAGCAGGTGGCAATAAGCCACACCCAGCTCCTACACTCTTGGCAAGACAGGTCTTGCACCCACAGTGTTCCACTAGCAGCAGCTAGCTAGGTTCCAGGCAGTCTGTGCTCAGAATTCAAATGTGCCCCAGGCCATACGCCTTCCCTGAGGAGCCAGTATCTGCAGCTTTCAGGCCACACCTCTCCAGGTTTGCCCATTAAGCAGGGACACAAAAGTCCAATGCTGAGCCAGTATCTGCAGCTTTCAGGCCACACCTCTCCAGGTTTGCCCATTAAGCAGGAACACCAAGCTCCTGTGCTGGTTGCTGCAGCTCACTTCCCACTTGCCTCTTGGTCTGACCACGGGGGAGTTATCCCTACTTGAGATTATATTGTGAATCTCAGTTGGGAGTTTCTCTCAACCTGTGACCACCACCTGTGTTAGCTGGCAGACGTCCATGAGGTCCCCTGTGAGGTAGGATCAGGAATGGCTTCCCTTTGTCCTGCTGGAGACTGGGAATGCCAGAGACTGGGAATGCCTGCCCTGATGCCACTTCTCATATACTCCCACCACTTACTAAGTCAGCTCCAGTACTCAGAAGGATTAAGACCCAGCCACCCAGTTGGCCTGCCACAAGGAAGGATTAAGACCTTCCCTGTGGCCTGGATTACCAGGTTCCCCGGTGGGACTGTATATCCTGGAGGCACTTTACCCTCTCTCACACTCTGGGGACTTACAGTTGTCCACCTGGCTCGTGGTGTAGGCTGCAGCCTGATGCTTCTTTCAAAGGGTGGTTTCTTTCAGTTTTCCTGTTAAGTTCCTGTGTCACTTCTTGGAAAAAACTTCACAGTGTGAATCTTTACACACTATGTTGTCTTCCAAGTGGGAGAAGCATGCTAACAATCCCTCCAATCCACCATCTCAGGAAAAAAATAAATAAACTGTCTTTTCTATAATCCCCATTTCAATGGGGGTGAGATGTTATCTCACTGTGGTTTTGATTCCCATTTCCCAGATGGTTAGTAATGTTGAGCAACTCTTCATATACCTATTGGTATGTCTTCTTTTGAGGAATGTCTATTCAGATCATTTGCCCATTTTTACTCGAATTATTTTTGGGTTTCCTTTGCTATTAGTTGTCTGAGTTCCTCATATGGTCTGATTACCAATCCTTTGTCAGACTGAAAACGTGCAAATTTTTCTTCTCATTCTGTAGGTTGTCTCTTCACTTTGTTGATTGATTTCTTTGCTCTGAAGAAGCTTTTTTGTTGGATTTAATCCCATTTCACCATTTTACCTTTGTTGCCTATGCTGTTGAGTTCTTATCAAAAAACTTCTTGCCCGTATCAGTTTCCTTAAGCATTTCCCCAATGTTTTCTTCGAGTAATTCATAGTTTCAGGTCTTGCATTTAAGTCTTTTATCCATTTTGGTTTGATTTTTGAATATGGTAAGAGATAAGCATCTGGTTTCATTTTCTGCATGTACACATTCAGTTCTTTCACCATCATTTATTGAAGAGATTGTCCTTTCCCCATTGAATATTCTTGGCAACTTTGTTGAAATTCAGCTGGGTGTAAATTCATGGATTTATTTCTGGGTTCTATGTTCTGTTCCATTGGTCTTTTTCCATTGGTCTCTCTTTATGCCAGTATCATACTGTTCTGATTACTATAGCTTTGTAGTATAATTTGAAGTCAGATAGTGTGATTCTTCCAGATTTCTTCTTTTCACTCAGGATTGCTTCAACTCTGTGTAGTGTTCTATGATATCATATAAATTTTAGAATCTGTTTTTTTCTATTTCTCTAGAGAATGTCACTGGTATTTTGGCAGAGATTGCATTAAATCTGTAGAATGTTCTTGGTAGCTGAGTCATTTTCACAATATTAGTTCCTCCAACTAATGTTGGAATAATGTTCCTTCCAACATGGAATGTCTTTCTATTTTTTTTTGTGACCTCTTCAGTTTCTTTTGTCAGTATTTTATAGTTTTCCTTGCAGAGCTCTTTCATCTGCTTAGTTATTTTTATTTTTAAGTCATGTATATACACTATACTATTTCTTAGTAATCTGTATTACTTAGAAATATTTTTTTTTGAGATGGAATTTCACTTTTCTAGCCCAGGCTGAAGTACAATGGTGCGATCTCGGCTCACTGAAATCTTCGCCTCCCGGGTTCAAGCGATTCTCCTGCCTCAGCCTCCTAAGCAGTTTAGATTACAGGCACACACCACCACGCCCAGCTAATTTTTGTATTTTTAGTAGAGACAGGGTTTCACCATGTTGGTCAGGCTGGTCTTGAACTCCTGACCTCAGGTCATCCAACTGGCTCAGCCTCCCAAAGTGCTGGGATTACAGGCATGAGACACAGCGCCCAGCCACTTAGAAATAAATTTAACTGAGTAAGTTAAATTTATTTCTAAGTTATATATATATAATATATATACACATATGTATTATACTATTTCTTAGTAATATATATTGCATAGAAATTAATTTAAATAAGTAGGCAAAAGATCTCTGCAAGGAAAACTATAAAACACTGATGAAAGACACTGAAAAGATCACCAAAAAAAGGAAAGACATATTATAATATATATTAATTAATATATGTATGTATAGAATACCAATCCGATGCATGTTAGGAACCAGGCTGCACAGCAGGAGGTGAGTGGTGGGCAAGCAAGCAAAGGTGAGCTCCGCCTCTTGCCCTGCTGATCGGATGCAGATCAGCAGCAGCATTCAATTCTCATAGGAATGTGAACCCTACTGTGAACTCCAAACATGAGGCGTCTAGTTTACACACTCCTTATGAGGATCTAATGATAAGTGTAATGTGCTTGAATCATCCCAAAACCATCCCCTACCTTCGTCCATGGGAAAATCGTCTTCCGTGAAACTCGTCCCTGGTGCCAAAAAAGATGGAGACTGCTAGTCTAGATGAACTGTCCAATGCTGACAGTGGGTTGCTGAAGTCCCCAGTGATTATTGTATCACAGTATATGTCTCTCTTTAGATCTAATAATGTGTGCTTTCGATATCTGGGTACTCTACTATTGGGTGTAAATAATATTGTAAATATTTACAACATTTGCAATTATTTCCTCTAGTTGAATTGATCCCTTTATTATTATATAATAAACATCTTTGTCTCTTTTTACAGATTTTAACTTAAAGTCTATTTTACCTGATATAAATATAGCTACTCCTGTTTGCTTTTGGTTCTCAAAAAACGTAAATCAAAACCACAGTGAGATAACACCTCACCCCCATTGAAAAGGGGATTACAGAAAAGACAGTTTATTAATTTTTTTCCTGAGATGGTGGATTGGTGGCATTGTTAGTATGCTTCTTCCACTTGGAAGACAAAATAGTGTGTAAAGGTTCACACTGTGAAGTTTTTTCCAGTTTCTGCCAGATAATTTTATACTTTTGTATGTTGTCATGATGGTAGTTATCCTATTTTCACTTCCAGATGCAGGACTTCCTTGAGCATTTCTTATAAGGCAGAAAATATTCTCAGGATGTCAGTTCTTCCCAAGTAATTATGTAGATTCAATGCAGTCCCAGTAAAAATTTAAGAAGGCTTTTTTAATGGATATCAACAAACTAACTCTAAAATGCACATGGAGAGACAAAAGACCTAGAATAGTCAACACACTGTTGAAGAAGTGGAATATTGTTTGAGGAATGACAATATCCCACTTCAAGACTTACTGTAAAGTTACAGTAATCAAGATGTTGTGGTATTAGTAAAAGACAAATAGGTCAATGGACCAGAATACAAATCCCAGAAAATAGACCCACGTTAAGTATAGGCAACTGATCTTTCACAAGAGTTCCAAGGAAGTACAATGGCCCTAAACAAGAAAATATAATGTATTTGGAGATAAGAATCAAGGACAAGGTGACTGAGTGTAACAAGGGAGGAATATGAGCTGGAGAGAAGATTTGACAAGTCTGCAGGGTGCAGCGGTGCAGAATTCCTTAGGCTATGAACAGAGGTCAATGTTTGTGGCAGGACATCATTTTAAAACATTAACTGAGGCTTCTTTCCTTCTCCTACCACCTTGCACTTTCAGGTGCCCGCAACCAGTCTTAGAAAAAATTGCCTCCTAAATGCACAGCCCTCTAAAAGGCAAGAGATTATTCAAGGAGCACAAATATTACAATTTTTGCCTGTAAGTTCCAAGACAGTCTTTAAAGTCGTGGTAGAAAAAAACTATCTTGAAAGGCAACATGGTTTATTAGCCAGACTTTCTCAGAGAGGAGGTAATAATGGCCACATTTATTAAGCATCCAATATGCACCAGGCAACAAGTTCTGAGTTCTCCACATTTTGTCCTCAGGACAACCCTGAGTTAGGTAGTGTTGTTGCCCACATTATATGTTTGAGGAAACTGAAGTGCATAGAGGGGAATTAACTTACTCAAGTCACACAGCAAAGATGAGACTTCAGCCCAACAGTCTGGCTCCAGATCCCATACCTTTGGGATGGTGTTCTGTTTCCAGTCATCTGTCTTTGAATCTCAAGGGTCAAACAGGATGTTCCTGACTGCACCCCACCCCAAGATGGGTCAGTGATGGGAATGAAGGAGGAATCTAGAGGTGAAAGGGTGAAGACGTGCCCAACCCCTGACACTTGTGAGAGTGCCTGGCACATAGCAGAAGAGAGTAGGGGGAGGATTCAGATAGCAGCTGATGGACAAGCAGCCTGGGCAGAGTCAGAGGGCTCAAAAGAGGAAAAATAGGAGCTGCCTGAAGTTAGGGAAAGGGGTCACAAAAGCGATCAACTGGAAGGGGGAGACATAGGGTGGGACATTAGCAAGAAAGGAAACAGAACTCCTGAGAGCCTGCCAGGGTATAAGCTGCACCCTTCTATCCTTGTGTTCTGAACTGGCCAGGGACCTCGGTCTTGGGACACTCCCAGACCAAAAGAAAGGATCTGCCCCTATGGTTGCTTCTCACTTAGCCTCAGTCGTACCTCTTAAATCCGTTCTTAATCCTGGTCCCTCTCCTGCTCAAAAACCTCCCATGGCTCCACATTGTCCACAGGATAAAGTCCATACTTGGGCTCTGAGAGACCCTGCTATAAGCATGGAGGCCCTATGCTCAGCCAAAGAGGCAGTCAGGTTCTTGGTTTCAGGGAAAACATCCCGCCTAACCCACCCAGGTTAGGCCCCTTCCCTGAAGCCTCCCAGTCCCCAAGAGCCCCCTGCAGGCTGTCAGTGAGGCCCAGGCAGAGGTGACAGCACCGTTTTATTCATGACAATCTGCAAAAAAACAGGTGGATGGGTCAGAAAGTCACTGCAAGCTTACATTCAGGGGCTCCACCCGCAGCCAAAGCCCGCCCTCGGCGCGCATGATCAATTCCAGCTTCCTGCGGGGCTCAGTGTGGTCTGGCAGGAACCGGAAGTGCAGCAGCATCAACGCCAGGACCACTTTCATCTCCGCCATGGCGAACGCCTGCCCGATGCAGTTCCTGCAGGCGGGAGTGGGGACTGTGACTGTGCCCAAGACCCGCATTTGGGTCCCATCAACCCAGGAACCTGGCCTGGGACCCCCAACTGCACCCAGCTCAGCCTGAGAGAGAGAGAGAAAGACTAAGCGTGCCTGGGACTCCCATGTGGGCTTGTATGTCCCGGAGACTGGGCCTGACTCCAGCTCCCAGCTCAGACCAGCAGATGGAGAAGGGGATTTTGAGCACTCCGCGGACCCCTCTAGGACCTACTCATCCCCATTCTATGGACGTTTTCCCATAAACTGTGAAGGAATGGAGGGAAGGAGAGCTGGAACTGGGACCATCTGCAACGTCCCCCTTTTTTTAACTCCCGCACCCATCATCCCATCCCTGCCTCAGACACAGGGCGCTCTTACCTGGGCCCTGCGGAGAAAGGAATAAAAGCCAGAGGTGACCTCCCCTTGCTGTTCTCTGGGTCAAAGCGGAAGGGGTCGTAGACCTGCAGGTGAGACAAAGAAGGTTTGCCAGTGGGATTTCCTATGTCCAGCAGCCTTGGAGAGACACTTGTGTGTGTTTTGGGGTGAGGTGATGTTGGATTTTCCTCATCAAAACCCTGCCCCCTCCACTAGGAACCTTGGAATTCACACACACACACACAAAAGTAGAGGATGGGGGTGGTGGTGGTGAATGGGGAAGGCAGCACCTCAGGATCCGGCCACACAGTTGGGTTGTGATGGACCCCTATAATATCGATGAGGCAGGTAATGCCTGTGGGAGAGAAAGGGGCAGTCAGGACAAGGATCCCCTGAGGGAACCATCTTCCTACCCGGGAGGCTTCTCCCCCTGAGGCTGTGGGCACCTTTGGGGATGACTCGGCCATCTGGGAGAACAATGTCCTGGGTGCAGCATCGGGAGATGAAGGGAGCTGGGGGATGTAACCTCAGGCTCTCCTTCACGCACATGGTCAGGAAGGGCAGCTGGGCCAGGTCGTCCCTAAGGAAACACCCCAGCCCCAGTCATTATCAAGGGAACAAATACACAACTCTCCACCTTTTCTATTTGCAAATGAGACCTTTTCTCCCTATCACAAAATAAACTCCACGGGGATCAAACATTTGAGAATTTTAAAAAGCAGAAAACAATTAGAGAAGCAGAGAATTAGAAAAGTACCAGAGAAAATTTAGCCAAATAGATAAAAATAAATACTCTGAGGAAAACACCCAGAAGCCAGCGGTAAAAAATTAACAAACTCACATAAAAATAAATATTGTCTATGGCAAGAAAGCAAACTCAAATGCAAATGAATAACAAACAAAATACCCAGATCCAATGTTTTGCTCTTATTTAGCGTGATGCTAGAGATACCAGCAAGTGCAATTAGGCAAGGGAAAAAAGGAGAGTCATGCAATTTGTTTTTTTTTTTTTATTATTATTATACTTTTAGGGTACATGTGCACAATGTGCAGGTTAGTTACATATGTATACATGTGCCATGCTGGTGTGCTGCACCCATTAACTCATCATTTAGCATTAGTTATATCTCCTAATGCTATCCCTTCCCCCTCCCCCCACCCCACAACAGTCCCCAGAGTGTGATGTTCCCCTTCCTGTGTCCATGTGTTCTCATTGTTCAATTCCCACCTATGAGTGAGAACATGCGGTGTTTGGTTTTTTTGTCTTTGCGATAGTTTACTGAGAATGATGATTTCCAATTTCATCCATGTCCCTACAAGGGACATGAACTCATCATTTTTTATGGCTGCATAGTATTCCATGGTGTATATGTGCCACATTTTCTTAATCCAGTCTATCATTGTTGGACATTTGGGTTGGTTCCAAGTCTTTGCTGTTGTGAATAGTGCCGCAATAAACATACATGTGCATGTGTCTTTATAGCCGCATGATTTATAGTCCTTTGGGTATATACCCAGTAATGGGATGGCTGGGTCAAATGGTATTTCTAGTTCTAGATCCCTGAGGAATCGCCACACTGACTTCCACCATGGTTGAACTAGTTTACAGTCCCACCAACAGTGTAAAAGTGTTCCTATTTCTCCACATCCTGTCCAGCACCTGTTGTTTCCTGACTTTTTAATGATTGCCATTCTAACTGGTGTGAGATGGTATCTCATTGTGGTTTTGATTTGCATTTCTTTGATGGCCAGTGATGGTGAGCATTTTTTCATGTGTTTTTTGGCTGCATAAAGTGTTGGAAGTTCTGGCCAGGGCAATTAGGCAGGAGAAGGAAATAAAGGTTATTCAATTAGGAAAAGAAGACGTCAAATTGTCCCTGTTTGCAGATGACATGATTGTATATCTAGAAAACCCCATTGTCTCAGCCCAAAATCTCCTTAAGCTGATAAGCAACTTCAGCAAAGTCTCAGGATACAAAATCAATGGACAAAAATCACAAGCATTCTTATACACCAATAACAGACAAACAGAGAGCCAAATCATGAGTGAACTCCCATTCACAACTGCTTCAAAGAGAAGAAAATACCTAGGAATCCAACTTACAAGGGACGTGAAGGACCTCTTCAAGGAGAACTACAAACCACTGCTCAATGAAATAAAAGAGGGTGCAAAGAAAGGGAAGAACATTCCATGCTCATGGGTAGGAAGAATCAATATCATGAAAATGGCCATACTGCCCAAGATAATTTATAGATTCAATGCCATCCCCATCAAGCTACCAATGACTTTCTTCACAGAATTGGAAAAAACTACTTTAAAGTTCATATGGCACCAAAAAGGAGCCCGCATCGCCAAGTCAATCCTAAGCCAAAAGAACAAAGCTGGAGGCATCATGCTACTTGACTTCAAACTATACTACAAGGCTACAGTAACCAAAACAGCATGGTACTGGTACCAAAACAGAGATCTAGATCAATGGAACAGAACAGAGCCCTCAGAGTTAATGCCACATGTCTACAACTATCTGATCTTTGACAAACCTGAGAAAAACAAGCAATGGGGAAAGGATTCCCTGTTTAATAAATGGTGCTGGGAAAACTGGCTAGCCATATGTAGAAAGCTGAAACTAGATCCCTTCCTTACACCTTATACAAAAATTAATTCAAGATGGAATAAAGACTTAAACGTTAGACCTAAAACCATAAAAACCCTAGAAGAAAACCGAGGCATTACCATTCAAGACATAGACATGGGCAAGGACTTCATGTCTAAAACACCAAAAGCAATGGCAACAAAAGCCAAAATTGACAAATGGGATCTAATTAAACTAAAGAGCTTCTGCACAGCAAAAGAAACTACCATCAGAGTGAACAGGCAACGTACAAAATGGGAGAAAATTTTCGCAACCTACTCATCTGACAGAGGGCTAATATCCAGAATCTACAATGAAGTCAAACAAATTTACAAGAAAAAAACAACTCCATCAAAAAGTGGGCGAAGGACATGAACAGACACTTCTCAAAAGAAGACATTTATGCAGCCAAAAAAACACGAGAGTCAGGCAATTTGAAATGTGGTAGTAAATGTATCATTTTGGCAGATAGTGATTTTATACTTAGAAAACACTAGAGGCCCCACTGGAAAACGTTTATAAACATTTAAGATCAAGCAAAGGAGCTGAATTCTCTGCTTAATCTTTCTTCTTTTGCAGTGGCTATTTAAAATTTTCATACCGTCTACAATTATCTGGTTCAGAATTTGAAAACTATAAAACATAATTCACTCCTATGGCCCAATGCCATTTACTTCTCCCCACACGTTGCCAGGTTATTATTTTTTTTAATGTATGCTTTCTGGGCTGATTTTAAGCATCTTAAAAAATTATATAGGAGCACACCATCTACTGTAGACACTATTCTGTATCTTTTTTGATGGGGGGAGGGAATGGAGTCTCTGTTGCTCAGGCTGGAGTGCAGTGACACAATCTTGTCTCACTGCAACCTCCACCTCCCTGGTTCAAGTGATTCTACTGCCTCAGCCTCCCAAGTAGCTGGGACTACAGGCATTCACCACAACAGCCAGCTAATTTTTTTTTTTATTTTTAGTAGAGATGGAGTTTCCCCAATTTGGCAAGGCTGGTCTTGAACTCCTGATCTCAAGTGATCTGCCCACCTTGGCCTCACAAAGTACTGGGATTACAGTCATGAACCACCGTGGCTGGCGTGTATCTTTTCTCTCATTTAACAGTTTATCACTTTTTCATAGCCCCTGGGACTTACGTCAAAATAAGGTTATCCCTACTCTGGCGCTATGAAATAATTTTCTCATGGTTCCTTCTAGAGCTTTTAGGACTCTTTTAGAAAAAAATGATTAATCTGAACATTATCTTGTCATAAGATATGAGAACAAGGTTCAGTTGCCTTTTTTCCAGAAGGCTTTCCAGTTGCCCCAAGAGCTTTTACTTAATTATCTATATTTTTTCTCTTGATACAGATACCATCTTTAGCATATACTATGTTCACTGGGCATAGAATTTATATGCATAAATCATTAGTTTTACCATATAGAAATAACCATCAAATGAAAAGATAATAAAAGAAAAGATACTAGTCATAATAATATAAAATACCTGGATTAAACTTAAAAAGAAACATGAAATCTCTGTATTTCATTATAAATTTCCCTCAATCCAAATAAAACATACACTTTATCACACAATAAATGTTTGCAGGGGTTGATTTAACAACAAAAAAAGCCACTCTGCCAGATATTAAAACCCATTAGAAAGTCAGAGTATTGGGAGGCCGAGGTGGGTGGATCACTTGAGGTCAAGAGTTTGAGACCAGCCTGACCAATGTGGTGAAACCTCATCTCTACCTAAAACAAGAATTAGCCAGGCGTGGTGGAGGGTGCCTGTAGTCCCAGTTACTCGGGAGGCTGAGGCAGGAGAATAGCTTGAACCAGAGAGGCAGGAGGTTTCAGTAAGCTGAGATCGCACCACTGCACTCCAGCCTGGGCGACAAAGCTAGACTCCATCTCAAAAAAAGAAAAAAGAAAAGAAAAGTCACAGTAAGAAAAAATAGTCTGGCAATGCCATAAAAACGGATGCATTCAAAAGACTAAAAAGGTCAGAGACGGGCATGTGAATAAGTGGAAACTTCCCATCTGCCAAAGGAAGCCCCACAAAACTCTGGGAAATAGCTGGGTAGTGTGGTACAAAAGAAAATACGAACAAATGTAACTTCATAAAAATTAACCAAAAGCACCCCCCAAAAAAGTCAAAAGGCAATCTTTTGCAACAAAAAAACAGAAAAAAAAAACATTAATTGTGATACACATTCTTATAAGTAAATAAGAAAAAAGAACCCAAAGAAAAACAGCAGAAAATATCAGATGACCACTCCCATAGAAAGAAAATAAATGGCTTATCAACTTGGGCAAAGGATGTTCTTTCTCACTCTTATTTAAGAAAATGCTCATTAAAAGATGAAATATGAAGATGGACAAAAAATTTAAATTTAATAATACAATAATACTATTGGCAAATTTGTGGGAAAGCTAGTGCCATCAAACTCACCTAATATAGAGATGGATTTGCAATCATTATTACAACTGTAGAATGCAAATGGTCTTTGGTTCAACAATTGCACTTTTGGGAATTTGTCCTGCAGTGATGTTTATACATATGAGCAATGCTCACTGTACACACATGCCGATTGCACAAGTTTAATTTAGCAAAAGGATGAAACAAGCCAAATATACATGGATGGGGAGATGTTTAGATAAACATCCACACAATGGAATAGTATACAGCTACACAAAAGGAGAAAAAAAGGATCACTAGTCCTGTCACACAATGCAGACCAGAAGCTAAATCAGTACAGAGACTCTGGAATGCAAATTGGCCATACCTCCAATGATTGGAAATGTTTACGCAAGTGTCTTCAACAAAGGGATGGGCCAAATAAAACATGGAATGCTATTCAGCACTCAGAAAAAATATCTGTCAGACACAGTATTGAGTGGAAAAAAACATGTTCCCAAATGTCCATATATGTAAATACCATAGGACAAAAAATATAAGGAATATAAGAAGAGATCGATGATAGAAAGATATGTAGATAGATGTAAACAGACAGACAGATAGATGACAAATAAGTATCTCTACAGGCCCCCTTGGAGAAAGGGAGGATATTAGGTGGGATAGCAGGAATGTCAAGAATAACCCTTGTCTATCTGTGATGCCTCATTGAGTGCAAGAAGAAACTGTTCTCATCATTGCTTTTGTAATTCAAAACTCATTTTCCGTGTGGTGTATATATACAAAATGGAATGCTAGTCAGCCTTAAAACAGAAGAAAATTCTTTCATTTGTGGCAATCTGCAAGAACCTAAAGGACATTATGCTAAGTGAAATGAGCCAGGCACAAAGAGACAAACAGCACATAACCTTAATTAACTGTGAGATCTGAAATAATTAACACAGAAATCATAGAAACCAAGAAGAGAATGGTGGTTACCAGAGAAGGGAGGAAGAAAGAATGGAAAGACATTGGTCAAAGGGTACAAGTTTCCGTTAGAAGGAATAAGTTTTGAGATCTATTGCATGCATGGTGACTACAGTTAATAATAATAAATTTCTCAAAATTGCTAAGAGAGCAAATTTCAAATATTCTCACCACAAAAATGATGAGTATATGAGATGACGGGTATGTTTATTAAATTGACTTAATCATTCCACGTTGTATACATATATCATAATATCACATTGCACCCCATAAACATATATAATTAAAATTTGCCAATTAAAAATAAAAACGAACTAATTTTCCAAAACTCATATTTTTAGAAAAAGAAAAGCTCCCAAAGATATATTGTTAATGTGCAGATCTGTCTCTTCTTTACTTCCTTTTATTTCAATAGCATTTGGGATATAAGTGGTTTGGTTACATGGATGATTTCTATAGTGGTGAATTCTGAGGTTTTAGTGCACCCATCACCCATGCAGTGTATACTGTCCCCAATATGCAGTCTTTTCTCCCTTACCCGGCTCCCAACCTTGCTCTCCGAGTCTCCAAAGCTCATTATATCACTCTGTATGTATTTGTGTCCTCACAGCTTAGCTCCCACTTATAGGTGAAAATATATGGTATTTGGTTTTCTATTCTTGAGTTACTTCACTTAGAATAATGGCCTCCAGCTCCATCCAAGTTGCGGCAAAAGACATTATTTCATTCCTTTTTATGACTGAGTAGTATTCCATTGTGTATATATGCCACATTTTCTTTATCCACTCATTGGTCAATGGGCAGTTAGGTTGGTTCCGTACCTTTACAATTGTGAATTGTGCTACTATAAGCATGCATGTGCATGTGTCTTTTTCATATAATCACTTTTCCTTTGGGTGGATACCTAGTAGTGAGATTGCTGGATGGAATGGTAGATTTACTTTTAGTTCGCTAAGGAATATCCTTATCGTTTTCCACAGAGGTTATGTTAATTTTCATAGCAGTGTATGAGCATTCACTTTTCAATACATCCACAACATACATCTATTGTTTTTTGACTTTTTAATTATGGCCATTCTTGTAGAAACAAGATGGTATCTCATTGTGGTTTTAATTTGCATATCCCTGATGATTAGTGATGTTGAGCATTTTTTCATATGTTTCGTGGCTGTTTGTGTATCTTCTTTTGAGAATTATCTGTTCATGCCCTTTGCCCACTTTTTGATGGAACTAATTGTTTGTTTGTTTTTTTTCCTTGCTGAGTTGTTTGAGTTCCTTGTAGATTCTGGATACTAGCCCTTTGTCAGATGCATAGTTTGCAAATATTTTCCCCCACTCTGTAGGTTGTCTGTTAAGTCGGCTATTATTATTATTATTATTTTGTTGTGCAGAAGCTTTTTAGTTTAATTAAGTTCCACTGATTTATTTTTGGTTTTGTTGCATTTGCTTTTGTGGTCTTGGTCACGAATTCTTTGCCTAGGCCAATGTCCAAAAGAGTTTTTCCAAGGTTATCTTATAAAATTGTTATGGTTTCTGTCTTAGATTTAAGCCTTTGATTTTTGTACAAGGTGAGAGATGGGGATGCAGTTTCATTTTTCTACATGTGACTGTCCAGTTTTCCCAGCACCATTTATTGAATAGGGTGTCTTTCCCCAATTTATGTTTTTGTATGCTTTGTCAAAGATCAGTTGGCTGTAAGTATTTGGCTTTATTTCTGGGTCCTCCTTTCTGTTCCATTCATCTAAATGCCTACTTTTATACCAGTACCATGCTGTTTTGGTAATTGTAGCCTTGTAATGTAATTTGAAGTCCGGTAATGTGATGCCTCCAAATTTTTTCTTTTTGCTTGGTATTGCTTTGACTACACAGGCTCTGTTTTGGTTCCATATGAATTTTAGAATTGCTTTTCCCAGTTGTGTGAAAAATGATGAAGGTATTTTCATAGGCATTGCGTTAAATCTGTAGATTGCTTTGCACTATGATCATTTTCACAATATTGATTCTTCCAATCCATGAACATGGGATGTGTTTTCATTGGTTTGTGTCATCTATGGTTTTGTCCAGCACTGTTTTGTAGTTCTCCTTGTAGAGAGCTTTAACCTCCTTGGTTAAGTATATTCCTAGGTATTTTTTTTTTTTTGCAACTGTTTTTTTGTTTGTTTGTTTTGCCCTGTGAGAGTCAGAGGGTGGTTCTTAGGTCACTGGGGTAATGATCCAGAGGTGAGTATAACTGCCTCTGCCTCACAGAAGAGTTTGACAAGGGAGTGGAGAGTAGCAGGTGGCAGTAAGCCTCATCTAGCTCCCATGCAGTTGGCACAAGGTGGGTCTCACACATGCAGTGTTCCACTCATAGCACTGGATTTAGATCCAGGCAGTCTGTGCACAGAACTCAGCCCTGCCCCAGGCCATAAGCTTTTCCCACAGAAATAGCAATGCTTTCAGGCCATGTCCTTTTTTGTCCCTGTCCAAGGCCAGGCACCCAGCTTCTGAACTCCTGTCTGCAGCACACTTCCTGCTTGCCTCCCGGGTTCTGGTCAAGGGAGTTCATCCCCACTCGAGGTTATATCAAGAAATTCATTTGGGCATTTCGTTCAACCTGTGACCTCACCTGAGCTAGTTGTCTGACTTCCCCAAGGTCCCCTGTGAGATACAATAAGGAATGGCTTCCCTCAGTCCATGCTGGAGATTGTGAATGCCTGCAAGGGACTTCCTGCTGCTGCTTCTACTTTTATATTTCTTACCACTCCCTAAATCAGTTCAAGCCCTGGATAGAGTTAAGGCCTTCTCCTGTGGTCTGGATTTTCAGATTCCCCAGTGAAGATGTGTACCTAGGAAGCAGTCTCTCCCCCTCTTACTCTGAGGATTCACAGTTTTTCACCTGTCTCACAGAGTAGAATGCAGCCTGTAGCTTCTTTTGAAGGGTTTGTGGATTCTTCTGGTTTTCCTGTTAAGTCCCTGTGTTGTTTCTTGGGAAAAGAAAGCTTACACTGTGAATCTCTACACACTATTCTGTCCTTCCACATGGGAGAGGCACACTGACATTGCCTCCAACCCACCATCTTGGGAAAAAGTACTGTGTCTATTTTATACACTCTTATTTGTATAGAAGAAGTCTGTGTTCTTATAAAGTGGGCATCAAGATAGCCATCTTCTGGAGGGACACACAAAACCATTGATGGTAGAAACTACTAGGGTGACAGTTAAGAAGGAAGCTCTTTTTTTTTTTTTTTTGAGAAAGAGTCTCACTCTGTTGCCCAGGCTGGAGTGCAATGGTGCCATCTCAGCTCACTGCAAGCTCCGCCACCCGGGTTCACGCCATTCTCCTGCCTCAGCCTCCAGAGTAGCTGGGACTACAGGCACCTGCCATCACGCCCGGCTAATTTTTTATACTTTTAGTAGAGACGGGGTTTCACCGTGTTAGCCAGGATGGTCTCGATCTCCTGACCTCGTGATCCGCCCGCCTCGGCCTTCCAAAGTGCTGGGATTACAGGCATGAGGAAAGCTCATTTTTATAAATGTTTTAGACACTTTTTTTTGTTTACAAAGTGCACAGTATTACTTGATATCTTGGTTTTTAAAAGCATAAAAAGTGTTGCCACCTTTTAGGACTGCTGTGCTGAGCAAAGGCTTGGACGGGAGGACACGGCCTCCAAAACACATGTCCAGTCCATTGCCTCCTCTCCATCCCCAGCCCCTGCCCTGGCTCAGGTCCCAGAATGTCTTCACTGGGACTTCATTCTACAGCTGGTCCTCTCTCCACAGTAGCTCTGAAAAGATCTTTCTGGTGCCCAGATATGACCTGCCCCTCCCCTGCTCAACCACTTGTTATGGCTTCCCATTGCCTTTGGGTTAAAATGGAAGCCATTACCATTTTCCCATATTTTCCACAGCCAGACTCTGCTTTCACTACCATAGTTATTATCTCATCACAACTCAGTTCCTTTCTCTCTCATTCTCTCTCTGTCTCCTTCTGTCTTCCCTCCTCTCTTTATCTTGCTCTCCCTCACTTTTCCTCCCTCTTACTTCTCCCTCCCTTTATAACCATCTCCTTCCCTGACACACAAACCTCTCTTTCCCTCTTCTCCCTCTCTCCTGCTCCCTCTTTTTGCATTTTTGCCCAGACTTTCTTTTTGACCTAGGGCACTACTGCATCCAAACACCTACTGATCACCATTCAGGGTTTCAGTTGAGGCACTTTATTATTTTGGTTTTTTACTTTTTTAGAAATGGGTTCTTTCTATATTGCCCAGGTTGATCTTAAACCTGACCTCAAGTGATTATCCCACTTCAGCCTCCTCGGTACTTGGTATCACAAGCGACAGCCACCAGATCTGGCTTGAAACACTTTCTATCACACTTTCTGTACTCCCAGCCATGCTTCTCTTGCTCTCAACTCCATCCTTGCCTATGTGGACTGGGAATGTCTTGTGGGGGACTGTTCCTACTAGGCTGGGAGTACCTGGAAAACACATCCATAGGCAGGGTTCTTTCCAGGTCTCCAGAGCACAGAAAGGTGTGGGAACAGAACTGGCAATGGAAAGGCATGTGGAAGAGTTTGCTGAATGAAGACTGAATGGATGAACGATGCAGGTGTTCTAGACAAAAGATAGATGACTTTTACCCCCAGGTCTCCCTTAGGACTCCCTGGACTGGACCGGAGGGTAGGAATTAGGGAACAGAAGAGTAAACATTCAGGAAGTAAAGATGTTTGAAAAAAATATGATAATTCAGAGTAAACAAGAAAGGAGTGAAGGGAAAATTCATTGACTGAACATGTCTAGATGTCATCGTCTGCCTTCATATATTGTCCTTAGTTCTCTCAGCGGGCTAGGACTCTCTGTCCCAAAAGTCTGAAAACTTTCCCCTGCTAGCCAGGTTGGATACCAAGTTCTGCCTCTGTGCTCTGCTCCTAGTACTACTAAGCAATAATGGAAGAATTGACAAAAACAACTTCTCCCTCCCCACCTGAGCAAACATTCAAGAAGTGAGGATTTTCGAAAAAACTGATATTTCTGGGAGAACAGAAACAGAGTGGAGGGGAAGTTCATTTGCTGAACATGTGCAAAGTAGCATTATCTGTCCTCACACATTGTCACCAATTCTCTTAGCAGCCCGGGTCTTTCGGTCCTAAAGGCCTGCAACTTTTCCCCTGACAGCCAGGCTTGGTATCAAGCCCTGCCTGTGGTCCTCTGCTTTTATACCCACTAAGCAATAGTGGAAGAATCCACAAAACAACTCCTCCACCCCTCCTCACTTGGGGAGCAGAACCAATGATGGGCTCAGGAACAGGCCAGAAGAACTTGCACTCACCATTCAATCTCTTTAGGATCGCGGTCCTTCAGAAGCTCTTGCACCTCCTGTCGGCAGCGCTCCTGGTATTCTGGGTGCCTCGCAAGGTTGTACAGGACCCAGGAGAGGCCACTGGCCGTGGTGTCATGGCCTGAGGAGCAGCCAGGTAAGCTTGGCTTCAGCACCGGAGGGTGGACAGCGCCCAGATATTGAGGCCCTCAGGAGGATGGAGGGAGGGGGAAGATGGGCAGAATGGAGTGATCCAGGGTCCACCCACCCGGATCCTGAGATGGAGGGACCTCTGTCTCCACTGTAGTCCCACACTGGGACCCTCACCTCCAAACATGAAGGTGTCAGCCTCTGCTCTTATATCCTCATCTGACAATGCCTTCCCATCTTCATCCTGAAGAGAAAGCAAGACACACACACACACACACACACACACACACACACACACACACAAATTATACTATCTCTGAGACTCCGGAGTCTAACCTGAGATAATCTCTGAAGCTCTGATCTTCCAGAAACTCAAATGCACTCTGCACGTCTAGATCTCTCTTGTTCACCATCACCAAAGCCCCAACTCCAAGGGCTTCCCCCAGATCCTTTGCCTCCTCTTTGGACCCTGGTGACAGGAATCAATGGTTCTCGAATATTTTCATTTTTCTGCATAATACAGACTTTCAGAGAAAAAGATACTGGCAACCTGGGGTACAGGATATTTGAATGGCAATTTGCCTTGGAGGTTAGAAATTATGTATTGCTCCAAAAATATTTGCTGACATTCTAGAGTGGTAAACCCAGAGAATCTTATCTTTCCAGAAGATATTTGGGTTATAAAACTCTAGAAATTGCCATCTCACAGGAGAGGGGTAGTTTATACGCCAGAACAAAGCATTCTCTCTCTCTCTCTTTCTCTGTCTCTAACTTTCACCCTGTAATAAAGAAGGAGCATATGAGCTAGCTGTCCTATATAAGCTATAATACTCATAATGTGGGGGCCCCTCTCCTTGGTGCAAATTCTTGTGCATTTACAGGTAAAAACATTGTGTTGCCCTAGGAATGGGGAGCCAGCACTACCATCCTACTCCACCTGCTGTTACTGCTGTAAATAATTAATGGGCTGCTGTGATCCAGGGGTTTGGTGCATCTTTTATCATAGATACAGACATAGACAAAGACATAGACATATAGATACACATAAAAATGTGAAAGACTAACACACTAACTTATAAGTTGAATAAAATATCATGCTCCTCACAGTTTCAGAATTAGCAGTGCCCTGTGGGCTGCATGCAATAAAGTCATCTCTAAAACCTATCTGTGACCTTCCCTTTCTCAAGCATCTTCCATGGCTCCCAGTGCCCTTTGGATCAAAACCAATTTATTTCACCTGACATTTGACATGAAGCTCTATTCTCTCACCTAAATTCAGATCATAGAGAAACCTACCTTGCTCAGCAGAAGCACATCAATGAAATCCAAAGTCTTGGACTTGGCTTTGTCTTTGAAAAAATCATCAATACCCTGAGTGGGGAGGGTGCGACGCCGCTCCCGGATGACAGCGTCTGTGAAGTCATGCACCAGGCGGCAGGCCCTGTGGAAGCGCCGCCCGTCATGGGAGAGGTAATACAGAAAGTCCATGTGCTGGAGGATATGCTGGCTTCTTTTCTCTACAAGGGCACTGAGCTCCAAGATGGTGGCAATATATTCACTGGGCCTCCTGCAGAGCAAGGGCAGAAAGGGAGGCAACAATGTAACGTATGCAAAGCCCCAGGAACACCTCCCACCAGCAGCCAGGAGCTACCTCCCATCAGGAAACTGAGTATCTAGAAATAGATGGTCCTAGAGATACATGGTGGGTATCAGTCATGAGACTGACTCTCTAGACTGTCTTCTCTCCCTGCATCCTATCTCTGAGAGAGCTGTCTCCATGCACCTAGGCACCTAGAGTATAGCTTGGACACCATGCTTCTCTCCTCTGTCTCCCATCCAGTATGCAGTACTGATCATTTTCCTTACCAAAACTGTCCACACAACTCAGACTTCATCCTCTTCCAGTTCAGCCCTGCTCCAGCCCCCAGCATAACCAACTCTCTCTCTCTTTCTCTCTCTCTCTCTCTGTCTCTCTGTCTCTCTCTCTCTCCCTCTCTCTTTCACCCTGTAAGAAAGAAGAAGCAGCTGGGCACAGTGGCTCATGCCTGTAATCCCAACATTTTCTGAGGCCAAAGAGGGCACATCACCTGAGGTCAGGAATTTGAGACCAGCCTGGACAACATGGTGAACCCCCTCTCTACTGAAAATACAGAAATTAGCTGGGCGTGGTGGTGGGCTATCAGTTTCCCACACAGCTCAGCTCTTATCACATCCATCATCAGCTGAAACTACAAAAGGTCTCTGGAAATGTCTTGATAAACTTCATACCACTTTTCCTGATTTTCAGTGCCCTTAATATCTAGCCCCTACTTCCACAACCTCATTTCTACTGTCTCTTGCACATGCTTGGCTCATCCTAACCTTCTTGCTTTTACACACATATTTCTACCTGGAAAGACAGCACTTTCTCCTCTTCCTCGACCTTCAAAGCACAGCTATGATACAAATCCTCCCGAAAGGTACTTCTGGTTACTTTGCTCATTCCTCCCTCCCCAACTTTCTCCCTTTGGTCCATGGATTCATATCCCAGGCCCTAGGAAGGAACTCACTCCTGACAATGGCTGTCAAAGCTGAAGATGCATTTCTGTAGACTGTCCAAGGTCATGAGGCTGATGTGCTCAAACATGTCCAGACGACTGCTGCCCTCTGAGGCCAGGTGCTGCCACTTGTCCTGGCCAGAGAAGGGAAGAGAGCTAGAGCTGGGCCCTGCCTCCTTTGTGCCCCTCCCCAGTCCCAAACATCAGGATGGACTCCCCCACAACCAGCCTCCTGGTCCTCTGCCCCAGGAACCCATTGCCAGCGAGGACCAGACTGGGATGCGAGCAGAAACTGTTAGTATAGGAGATGAAGACCCATGGCTTGGAGTCAAGAGACCTGCATTCAAGTCTCAGCTCTGTCTCCTATGCTCTATGTGCCCTTGGTCAACATATTGCCCTCCTCTAGGTCCCACCTGTCAAATATTCAATAACGGTCAAGGTGATCTGCTTTGGGGCCAGATAAACCAGGATAGAATCTCTGCTCCACCAGTCCTAGCTCACTTCCTGGCTGGTTGAACTCTGTCCAGCTCCCTAATCTCTCTGGCCCTCAGTTCATCATCTGCAATAGGACAAAAATAACCATAACCTCACAGGATTATTAAAATTAACTTAGACAACTTATATCCTGGCATTGGGACATGACATTTTCTCAGGCATATGATGAGTAAATGTTTGCTTTATTCATCTCCATTGTAATAAATTCATTTCAAAAATATCCCTGTGTTGGAAGAGGCACTTCTTCATCAGCCCTGAGCATCCTTGCTGCGTATGCCACCAATGCAAGACTGTGATGTTCTTACCTGAGCCATTTCTCAGAGTTGTATTTGCAGATAACCACCTGGAGAGATAAGGCAATGACTCCTCCTGGACCAATATCAGGCTTGTTTCTGCCACTATTAAAGTAGATTCCCTAAGCCTAATGCCCATTGTATGTCATGCAATGTACTGCATGAGCAGGCTAATGTAGAGGCCCACCAGTGTCACCCCCATGGAATTTAGGTTGACTCAGAAAAAGGATACAAACCAACAAGAAGTACATGTTGCTTATTGTGCCATGAGTAATCAACTACCCTTTGTCTCTGACCCAGGAATCTGTTAGAATGCATGAGACAGTAACAAGCTAACTTATCAGTTTGCATATTTAAAACAAATCCTAGACACTTCACAAAATCCTGACCCCCAATTCTTCACTTCTCCCTGTATTCGTACCCTTTCCACAGTAATTTTTCAGCAACTCCCATTAAGAGATGCGTTCTATTTTACACCCCTTTGAGTCTGTACTGGACTTTTGACTTTCGACTTTCTTTGGCCAGTACAATGTGGTGAAATGATGATGTAATAACTCTAATAGACTCAAACCTGGTTGAACTTTGAAGTATTGCAGAGACAATGTCCACAGACATTGCAGCCTCCTCTCAGTTTCTCGGAGCCCAGTCTCTGCCATGTGAACAACAGGGTGCCTTCTGGAGGCAGAGAATCACATGGGGGAAAGTCCAGGTGTCACAGCTGAGCCCATCCCAGATGAGTCTGAAGGTACTGAAGCCCCAAACGTGAATGAACTGAGCCAGGATCAGCAAAGCTGCCCCCCGACCCACAGCTGCTCATGTGCCAAGAGTGATCCCTTCCACATCCAGAAGAACTGGCCAGCTGTCTCACAGACTCGTTAGCAATTGTAAACCCTTATGGCTCTAAGCCAATGAGTTCTGAAGTGGTTTATAATCAGCAATGACTACTACACAATCTTCATTTTTACTCTCTTGAGTTTACAGGGATTCTGTGAGAAAAACACAGAAACTGACACCTTCTGAGAACCTACTGTGTGCCAAGTAAATGACCTTTCAAGTAGGGATTATCATCCCCATTTTACAGATGAGGAAACCAAGGCTCAGAGAGGAAGAGCAATGGCCCAGTGCCACCCAGAAGAGCCAAAATTCCAGACCAGATGTGTCCATGGTCCCTCCACCCCAAGACTCCATCTGGGACCCAGACTTCAAGGGACTCACAAGCATGATGTTTGCACTCTTGTTGAAGATCGTTATATAGGACTTCAGGATGTTGAAATGGAAGGCGGGCGTCAGCATCCGACGGTGGCGGCTCCACTTGTCACCGCCACTCAGCAGTATCCCTTCTCCTAGTAGGGCAGCCAAGGACAGTGGGCAAGAGCAGCACTTCCCCTACCCTCCCCGCAAGGTTGTCCCCAACCCCTTTCACCTGCAGGTACTCACCCAGCCAGGGCTTCAGGAACCTGATGAAGAGATTATCCTTGGGTGCAATGGCAGCTGACATGAACGAGGACCATCAGGGGCCATGTAGAGGGCAAGAGAGGAACTTCAGGTATAGGGCAAGGCTGCCTACCAGCACTTTCCCCACTCCATGCCCAGCATAGCAGGAAGGGGGCCAAGGGCAAAGGACGAAGGGAGGATAGAGGAAGAAGGACCAGCCCAGGCTGCAACAGCACAGTAAAGCTATGACACAACCTAACAGGTCATAGCACACCCCAGCACGCCTTGACATGGCTCCTATATATCCCAACATGTTCTGCAACAACTGAACACAGCTCCACACTCTACAAAATACCTTTAAAGGACCTCGGACACCCTGTCTGCCATAGCACTCTCTGTCATCTCCTGACATGGACCTGAGATAGTCTGACATGACCTCTGTGTACCCCACAGACAGGCCCCAGATAGGGTTTAAATGTGATTTCTTAAATGTCCCAGACATGTCCCAGGTGGAACCAAGAGTTTTCTTCAAGCGTGATTAGAATGGATTCCGAAACCTGGCTCAGGGAGACTAAAATAATAACTCTGACAATTCCAAAGAGACCCTAGCTCCCAGACCTTGGACAAGCTACAAACATGGCCAAGAGATGACAAGGAGGAGAAAAGACAATTTCAAATCACATGTCAGAGAAGAACCAGAAAGTCTCTGACATGCCCCAAGTGTCCTCGACCACAGCTGAGCCACACACATGATGACTTCTCCATATGATCCCAGGTTAAACAGAAAAGATATAACCAGGTATAATATTGAAACTATAGGCGGCTATTTATGGGACCCCTGGGGGTAAGGTGAGCTTTCGGACAAGAACTGAGCTGCTAGGACCCATGGTTGACAGATAAGAGAACGGCTGCCTTAAAAGAAAAAGTGATGCAGAGAAATGGTGAAATTAAGAAAAGGAGACAGATCCCTGATAATGTTCATTGACACCTGGATTCAGCCATGCCTGAAGACCACCCTCCCTGAAATTTACACTCCTTTGACTCTCTTTATTTGCTTAGAGCACACGAAGTTGAGTTTCCATCACTCACAACTGAAAGAGACCTCAGCAGCCAGAGAGCTGGTGACCTGCACAGAGTCACTAAGGATTTGGGGGTCAGAGCCATAGATTTTGTGGGATGCTGCCACTTCCCTAGCTCAGCCTGGTGTGTCCAAGGATGAGAAGAGCAGAGAGCAAGGGGAGGTCAAGCAGCTGGTGTGGGTTCTCCTATTGGAGAATCCTGAAGCCCATAGGAGGAGAGCAGGAAACTTAGGGTGGATGAGTGATAGGATGAGGTAGAAGGAACTGACCCATCATAGGTGGATGTCACATAAATAGCAGCCCAGATTCTCCACCAGCCACAAATCCTCCTACCGCTTTGGACTGAGGGATGGGCAAGGCTGGTGCAAGGACTGGCTGGGACCCCAAATACCAATGATGCCCACTGCATCATCCTGCCCCACACTTAAAAAATCCTACTTATTGGTCTAGACATAGCTCCAACAACTCTTCCTCCAGGAAACATTCCAGCCTGCCCCAGCAGACACCCAGTTCTCTGTGTTGTCATACCCATCTCTCTCTTGCCCATTCCTGACCCTATGAGGCTGGAAATGTCTCTGTCTAGACCCGTGTCCTTAAGCATGGGGGTTCCTTCCAGAAAGGGCCCTGAATTGAGGCCTCTTGGAGCCCCAGTGGTGCCCAGAACACCAAGACAGGGAGCAGATGGCAATGGAGGGAGAAGACATTGAGAAGGAAGTCTCAATGAGGGGCACGAGTACTCAAGGAGGGACGTGGGTACTGCAGAGACCACACAGAAGCTTGGTCTGGCACCCACCACCACAAGCTCTGCATGGGTACCTGAGGCATTGGTGATAGACCGGATGGTGTCAGGGTGGCATAAAACGATGAAGGGGATGATGGGACCCAGCCATACCGTAAAGCCCTGGGAATAGGTGGCCGACATCTGGGTCGAGTTCTTCAAGCCCTCCTCTGTAGGAGTGATCTGAAAGCAAGTCAAGGGCTGTCACTTCCTGTGATGGTTAATTTTAGGTGTCCACTAGACTGGGCTAAGGGATGCCCAGATAGCCAGTCAAACATTATTGCTGTGTGTGTCTGTGAGGGTGTTTGAGAAGAGATTAGCATTTGAAGGTAAACAGGATGGAAATAGTAGTGCAGAGGAATGAGTGAGTGAGGAAAGGAATGAGTGAGTGAGGAGAGGAATGAGTGAGTGTGGAGAGGAAGGAGTGAGTGAGGAGAGGAATGAGTGAGTGAGGAGAGGAATGAGTGAGTGAGGAGAGGAATGAGTGAGTGAGGAGAGGAATGAGTGAGTAAGGAGAGGAATGAGTGCATGGGTAGAGGAATGAGTGAGTGAGGAGAGGAATGAGTGAGTGAGGAGAGGAATGAGTGAGGAGAAGAATAAGAGTGAGCAGAGGAATGAGTGAGTGAGCGAGCAGAAGAATGAGTGAGTGAGGAGAGGAAGGAATGAGTGAGGAGAAGAATGAGTGCATGGGTAGAGGAATGAGTGAGTGAGGAGAGGAATGAGTGTGTGGGTAGAGGAATAAGTGAGGGAGGAGAGGAATGAGTGAGTGAGGAGAGGAATGAGTGAGTGAGGAGAGGAATGAGTAAGTGAGGAGAGGAATGAGTGAGTGAGGAGAGGAACGAGTGAGTGAGGAGAGGAATGAGCGAGTGAGGAGAGGAACGAGTGAGTGAGGAGAGGAATGAGCGAGTGAGGAGAGGAATGAGTGAGTGGGTAAAGGAATGGGAGGAGGGGAATGAGTGAGGAGAGGAATGAGTGAGTGGGTAGAGGAATGAGTGAGTGGGTAAAGGAATGAATGAGTGAGGAGAGAAATGAGTGAGTGAGGAGGGGAATGAGAGAGTGAGCAGAGGAATGAGTGAGTGAGGACAGGAATGAGTGAGTGAGGAATGAGTTGAGTGAGGAGAGGAATGACTAAGTGAGCAGAGGAATGAGTTGAGTGAGGAGAGGAATGACTAAGTGAGCAGAGGAATGAGTGAGTGAGGAGAGGAATGAGTGAATGGGTAGAGGAATGAGTAAGTGAGGAGAGGAATGAGTGAGTTGGTATTGGAATTAGTGAGGAGAGGAATGAGTGTGGGTAGAGGAATGAGTGAGTGAGGATATGAATGAGTGAGTGAGCAGAGGAATGAGTGAGTGAGGAGAGGAATGAGTGAGTGAGGACAGGAATGACTGAATGAGGGGAGGAATGAGTGAGTGAGGAGAGGAATGAGTGAGTTGGTATTGGAATGAGTGAGTGAGGAGAGGAATGAGTGAATGGGCACAGGAATGAGTGAGTGAGGAGAGGAATGAGTGAGTGGGGAGAGGAATGAGTAAGTGAGGAGAGGAATGAGTGAGTGAGGAGAGGAATGAGTGAGTGGGTAAAGGAATGGGAGGAAGGGAATGAGTGAGGAGAGGAATGAGTGAGTGGGTAGAGGAATGAGTGAGTGGGTAAAGGAATGAATGAGTGAGGAGAGAAATGAGTGAGTGAGGAGGGGAATGAGTGAGTGAGGAGAGGAATGAGTGAGTGAGGAATGAGTTGAGTGAGGAGAGGAATGACTAAGTGAGCAGAGGAATGAGTGAGTGAGGAGAGGAATGAGTGAATGGATAGAGGAATGAGTAAGTGAGGAGAGGAATGAGTGAGTTGGTATTGGAATTAGTGAGGAGAGGAATGAGTGTGGGTAGAGGAATGAGTGAGTGAGGATATGAATGAGTGAGTGGGCAGAGGAATGAGTGGGTGAGGAGAGGAATGAATGAGTGAGAAAAGGAATGAGTGAGTGAGGACAGGAATGACTGAATGAGGAGAGGAATGAGTGAGTGAGGAGAGGAATGAGTGAATGGGCACAGGAATGAGTGAGTGAGGAGAGGAATGAGTGAGTGAGGAGAGGAATGAGTGAGTTGGTATTAGAATGAGTGAGTGAGGAGAGGAATGAGTGAATGGGCACAGGAATGAGTAAGTGAGGAGAGGAATGAGTGAGCCGTCTCCCTTGGTTCTCTGGGTTCCCAGACCCCAGCCACCATCAATACACAGCTCCCTGAACCCCTACTGGAAGTCCCACCCCTCTGGAAGTCCACCCACCCTGAGACGCCAGACCCCATCCAATCCATTGAGGGCATGAACAGGACAAAAGGCAGAGGAAAGGAAGAACTTGCTCTCTCTTCTGCTGCTGGGATATCCGTCTTCTCCTGCCCTCAGAACTCCAGGGACTCAGGCCTTTCTGGACTCAGGCTGAATTTACACCACCAGTGTCCCTGGTTTCTGGCTTGCAGATGATATATCATGGGACTTCTTGGCCTCCATCATCACATTATCCAATTCCCATAATAAATTCTTATCTCTCTATCTCTTTCTGTCTCCATACATACATGCATTAGAGATAAGAAGAAACACCCTATCTGTTTCTAAGGAGATTCCGTTTCTAGGGAGAACCCTGACTAATGCACCTCCCTAGATGAAGCCACAGCAAGTCCCCCCACAGCCACCGGATGTGGTGCAGCCTCTGCAGTGAGCAGCGTGTCTGGATTCTCAGCAGCTGCAGTGGGTTTCTGCTGACTTCTGCTCCTTCTCTCTTGGAGCTGTCCCCAAGATCCAAGGGTAAATACCAAAGCAGAGAGAGAAGACAAGCTGTCTGCTCAAGAGGATGTGTTTTCTCATCCTGGATTGATTTCAATCTGGGGATTGCTATATGGGAAGGTCCCCATGGAAGGAGGTTTGTGGGCAGCAGTGTGGCCTCAGGACATATCCCTAGAGCTGGTTGCCATATCCTTTTGTGTCCTGGTTGGTCCACATGGGCACTGGTTCCTCCCACAGACAAAGGGCCTGCGTCCTGAGGGCCCTCCATTCTCAGCAGCCTCCAGGGGAGCAGAGGTGACTCTAATGTCCATCAGGATGGCAGCTCCCACCTAGGAGAGCCTCACTTATGCCAGGTTCTGTGCTAGTGCCTCCTGTGCACCTGTGGACACACCGATCAATCCTGCCTTTTGTAAGTGAGCAGACAGAGGCCACATCCCCCAAAGGGGAGGGCCGGTCCCAGTCGGAGGGAAAGGTTTGGGAGTACCAAGGACGGCTTCTGAAAGGGGAAGGGAGTGGCCAAATTATATCCAGGTTGGGCTACAGGGCTCACTGGGACATCTTACTGGGGAAGAGCACATTGTCCCTGGAAGGAGAGGGTGTGGGAGACTGCCTGCACTTCTCTTCTGGTCCAGCTGTGTCCCTCCGTGGGGAAGGAAGTCAGAGATAATTCCTGCGGGAAAGCAGCAGCCCAGAGATGGGCAGATACAAGCAAATGGGCCATGCAGGGAGCAGCCTGTCTATCGGGGCTCAGAAGGCTTCAAGTCCAGCAGTGGAGAAGGTGGGAATGCCAGGAGAGCCCTGCTCTGTGCACCCCACAACCATACAGGAGCCTCTGGGAGGGGCACTACGGTAGGGAAGACAGGCAGGAAAAGGATCCAAGCAGGCTGAGGTGGGAGGACAGGGAGGTGAGAAAGGTTTGGCATGGAACTGCAGAGGAATGAATGAATGAGGAAAGGAATGAGTCGGTGGGTAGAGGAATCAGTGAATGAGGAGAGGAATGAGTGAGTGAGGAGAGGAATGAGTGAGTGGGGAGAGCAAAAAGTGAGTGGATAGAGGAATAAGTGAATGGGTAGAGGAATGAGTGAGTGGGCAGAGGAATGAGTGAGTGATGAGGGGAAGGAGTGAATGAGGAGAGGAATGAGTGAGCAGAGGAATGAGTGAGTGAGCAGACGAATAAGAGTGAGGAGAGGAATGAGTGAGTGAGGAGAGGAATGAGTGAATGAGAGGAATGCGCGAATGAGAGGAATGCGCGAGTGAGGAGAGGAATGAGTGAGTGAGGAGAGGAATGAGTGAGTGGGTAGAGGAATGAGTGAGTGAGGAGAGGAATGAGTGAGTGGGTAGAGGAATGAGTGAGTGAGGAGAGGAATGAGTGAGGAGGGGAATGAGTGAGTGAGGAGAGGAATGAGTGAGTGAGGAGGGCAATGTGTGAGTGGGTAGAGGAGTGAGTGAGTGGGTAGAGGATTGAGTGAGTGGGTAGAGGAGTGAGTGAGTGGGTAGAGGAATGAGTGAGTGAGGAGAGGAATGAGTGAGTGAGGAGAGGAATGAGTGAGTGAGGAGAGGAGTGAGTGAGTGAGGAAAGGAGTGAGTGAGTGGGTAGAGGAATGAGTGAGTGAGGAGAGGAATGAGTGAGTGAGGAGAGGAGTGAGTGAGTGGGTAGAGGAGTGAGTGAGTGGGTAGAGGAGTGAGTGGGTAGAGGAATGAGTGAGTGGGTAGAGGAATGAGTGAGTGGGTAGAGGAGTGAGTGAGTGGGTAGAGGAGTGAGTGAGTGGGTAGAGGAGTGAGTGGGTAGAGGAATGAGTGAGTTAGCAGAGGAATGAGTGAGCCATCTCTCTTGCTTCTCTGGGGTCGCAGACCCCAGCCACCATCAATACCTAGCTCACTGAGCCCCATTCCTGCTCCTCTGGAAGTCCATCCACCCTGAGACCCCAGACACATTTTGCTGTCACACTCACCAGGCCCAGGTGACCCCAAAACCAGTTCCGTTTTGGGGGCTGTGGGAAACACTGGAGCCGGCGGCAGTTGTTATAGAAGGCATAGGTCCAAGCCAGGATGCGGGCGAGTAGCCAGGAGCCCACAACCAGCAGCAGGAGTAGCCATGGGGACGTTGCCACCGGTCTGAGGCCCAGCCAGGGCAGGCTCAGCAGCGACATCCTGCAGGGCAGAGGGGATGCAGGGTGAGGACCTGAGGCCCAGGGAAGAGCTCCGGGGACAGTGTATAGGGGCGAAGTCAGGAACTGCTGGGGGCAGGGCAGGGAGGGCTCAGGGGTGAGTAAACGAGGGCTGAGATCTGAAGTCCAGAAAGTCCCAACCAAAACCAACAACTAAGTGGCCTCCAGTAACCTGGTAACCACACAGAAAGGGAAAGAGATGGGCCGATTAGAGTCCAGAAGGGCCCCACCTGAATCCTTGGGAGTTTGCTAGGAGTCCAGTTACCAGGAAACCCCCAGTTTCCCATGCCAGCATCTTGGAGCCACCCCAGCCTTAGGCAGTCCCCTCTTCATCCCAGGCCAGGACCTTCCAGCCCTGCCACCCCCAGCCTGGTACCTTCTGTCGGGAGCAGCTTGTCCCACACAACCTCTTCTCCTCTTCTGCTGGGAGGTCTTTGGCCCTGGCCCCTGATCTAGGGAAGGCCGTAGGAGGCGGGGCTGGGCTGGGCTGGGCTGAGGCAGCCAATCCCCACAGCCTGGGTGTGTCTTCCGTGCCTGGGCAGCCAGCCAAAACCTGGGGTTGGGCCCACTGGGTGCAGCTCAGGGTGCCCCAGCACGAGCACTGAATTCTCAGGTCTCAGTACCTTCTTGGGAGTTTGCAGGGGAAGTTGGAGGGTGGTTAGAGGGGACTCTGAACCCCAAGTTTACCTCCACCCTGCCCTTCCAAGACAAGGGTGTTCAGATAAAAGCATATACTTATCATGACAGTTGGCAGCCAGCTGAGCTGGGCCAGGCCAACCCTTGTCCCAGATCATCTGGGCTCCTCTCCAAACATGGGCGGGGAGGATGTCAGGCACTACATCTTGGTGCAGACTTAGGAGATTCAGAGACAGAAGCCTCTCATCTCTGGCTTCACAGCCTGGCAAGAGTTCAAGTCCTGCCTCCTGGCAGCCCAGGGCCTGAGTTGAGGCCTGACTGCTTGAAGCAGGAAGAAAGAATCCAGCCCCAACCCCGCTGAGGATTACCTTCGTCAGATTCTGGGGATAAAGAGCCCAGCTGGAGGAGCAAACCTAGAAGCTGGGCTCAGCTTAGGAGGACAGAGCGGAGGCACAGGGGATGAGGCTGAGAGGGGCCTTGAGCTGACGGGGTCCAGGCAGGGGAGGGCAGAGCAAGGGGATCCCGAGTGGAGTCCTTGTTCTGCCCTGTCCTTTCTCTGACTGTGGGCAGTGTGGCCATCCTGGGCTCAGGCTTCCCATCTGGGAAATGGGATGTCAGATGAGGCCTTAGAGGGCGACGGAGGAAGGCTCCTAAGAAAAGGGAGCTCCAAAAAGAGGGACTGAAGGGAAGGGGATGACAACTAGCACTTGAGCTGCTGTGTGCCTGTCTCTACTCCATGCGAAAGACTGTACGGAAAGCACTACTGTGTGCACCTACTGTGTGCCAGTTTCACTATATAAAGTGCACTTACTGTGTATCAGATACTGTACATAAATTCTGTCTACTATGTGCCAGGTATGCCACATAAAGCTCACCTACTGTGTGCAGCATGCTGTACATAATGTAAGCTTACTTTATGCAGAGTACTTCATATAAAGCGTGCCTACTCTGTGCCATGTGCTGTATATAAAGCATACCTACTGTGTGTCAGGTGCTCCACATTGAGCATGTGTACTACGTACCTGGTGACCCACAGAAAGCGCACCTACTCTGCATCAAGTAATCTACATAAATCTTGTCTACTGTGTGCTGGCTATTCTACATATAGTGCACCTACTGTGTGCCAGGAGCTCCACATAAATACTGTCTACTGTATGCTGGGAGCCCTTCACAAATCCTGTATCTTGAGTCCCTGGCCCTTTATATAAACCATGCTTGCTGTGTGCCAGGTGCTCTAAATAAAGCACACCTACTGTGTGCCAGATGTTCCACATAAAATGCTTCTCCCGTGTGTTAGGTCCCCTACATAAAGTAAAACTACTCGGTGCAACATACTTGACATAAAGCACACATACTGTGTGCCAGGTACACTATATAAAGTGTGCCTTATTGTGTGCCAGATATGCTACATAAAGAGCACCTACTGTGTGCCAGGTATGCCGCATAAAGTGTACCTACTATGTGCTAGGTACGCCACATAAAGTACACCTACTGTGTGCCAGGTGCTCTACATAAGGTGCACCTACTATGTGCCAGGTGCTCTATATAACGTGCACCTGCTTGTATCAGATGCTCACCTGCATCACAGTGCCCAAAGCTGTCCCACCACCCTCCCAACAGCTCCCTAGGCCAGAACCCTGGGCATTGTTGAAGAGACCTGAGTGATGGCATCCAGAGGAGAGAAGGTGTCCATTTAACACAAAAGCAAACTGAGGCTCAGAGAGGGCAGGCCTCTAGTCCAAGTTGCAGAGCTCATAGGAACTCAAGACTATGAGACCCTCAAGTCCAAATCCGTTCCCTCTGCCATGCTGCTCCACCCCCATTCTTTAGTGTCAATGCCATATTAATATAGGGACATTTATAATGGAGTAATCTCAGGCAGTGTGATAGCCCCAAAGGGGAAATATCTTGAGGCCCTTGGATCAGCACCTGGCTCCTTCTCCCACATGCAGGATTCTCCTCCCAACAGATCCAGGGCTCCCCTCCTGGCCCTCCCTAGATCCTGTCCTGAATTGTCCTGTGGGGTGGACTCAGGTGAGGGGGGCGCTTGAAGGAGGGGGCTCCTAGCAGAACTGCTGAGCAGGAGGGTGGGGAAGACAGTACTCCTGACACTGGCTGGGTACTGGGGAGCCCCTAGACCACCCCCACCCCACCACCCCTGCCAGCTCAATCAGCCAGGGGATTCAGGCACCTGGTCCTACAGCTTCATTCGCGTAGGGTGCATCCCCCAAAATCCCCACTACCTCTGCAAGGACAGACCTCACCTGCTGGTGGTTCCATCCTTCTTAGGCTCAGGGAGCAAAGCCAGGGGTTGATGAACAGGCAGGGTCCTAGGGACACAGAAGAAAGTGCCCCCAGTGGCTAGAGGGGCTCAGCTCACTGCAGACCTCCTGTGTGCCTGGGATGGGCAAGCAGGTTAGAGCAGGAATGGCGGCCATCGACATTGCCAACATGAGTCATGGAGCCTGTTTTAAGTCTTTTAACTATATTAACCATTTTGTTTTTCCATTTTACAAATGAGAAATCCAGTCTGGAAAATATTTGAGTGACTACCCACAGTCATAGAGCTGGTGGATCTGGGCTGTGCACCCAGACCACCCACCCAGCCTCACATTGTGCCCCCCTCACCACCAGGCTGTGCTCCTTCACGTCCGTAAATGGGCGTTTCAGCAGCAGCACCTCACAAGGTTGTTGCAATAACGAAAACAGATTATGCATGCAAAATGACATTTCAGGGATAAAAAGAAGGGAGTAAAGGGGAAGTTCATCTACTAAACATGTGTTAAGTGGCATCATCTCCCCTCACATGTTGTCACCAATTCTCTCAGCAGAGCAGATCTTTGCTGTCCAAACAGCCTGCAACTTCTCCCCTGATAGCCAGACTGGGTATTAAGCCTTGCCTGTCATCCTCTACTCCTACTCCCACTAAGCAATAGTAGCAGAATAGACAAAAACAACTCCTCCTCCCATCCCCACCTGGGGAGCAGAGCCATCGGCATTGCCAACATGAGTCATGGAGCTCAGGAACAGCCACCAGCACCTGCACTCACCATTCAATCTCTTTAGGCTCCCAGACCTTCAGAAACTCTTGCCTTTCCTGCCCGCAGCGCTCCTGGCATTCTGGGTGCATTGCAAGGTTGTACTGGACCCAGGAGAGACCACTGGTCCTGGTGTCATAGCCTGAGGGGCAGCCAGGCAGTCTTGGGTCTCTGGGCTGCTTCAGCACAACAGGGTGGACAGCACCCATGGATTGAGGGCCTCAGAGAGGATGGGGGAAGGGGGATGGGAAGGGTGAAGCCATCCAGGGTCCACCCACCACGTCCCTGGGATGAGACATCTTGGTCCTCACTGGGATCCTCTCCCTCAAACATGAAGGTGTCAGCCTACACTCTTATGTCCTCATCAGACAACTCCTTCCCATCTTCATCCTGGAGAGAAGGAAAAACACCCTTGAAAACCACACAAGCTCTGAGGACTCCTCAGTCTAACATGAAATAAACTCTGAAGATCCATCCTCTTTCCAGAAACCCAAGCCCAGCTTGCACTCCTAGATGTCTCTTGGTCACCATCACCAGAGCCCACACCATGCAATCTTCCTCACTGGCTTCCTTCCTTCTTCTTTTGTCCCTGGTGGGAAGAATCAACGACACATGAATATTTTCATGTTTCTACATGTTGAGAACTTTCTGAGAAAAAGTTACTGGCAAATGAGCTTACAGGATAATTAAATAACAATTCGCCTTGGAAGTTAGAGATTAAGTATTGCTCCAAAGATGTATACTCACATTCCAGTGTGGTAAATGCAGACAATCTTATTTATTTCCCCTGAAGACATTTGTGTTGTAAGTCTACAGACTATTACATCTCACTGGAGAGAATTGGTTTATGCTTCAGAATAAAGCACTCTCTCTTGCTCTCGCTCTCTCTCTCTCTCTCTCTCTCTCTCTGTCGAGAAAATAAATAGAAAATGTGCCAAGACTCGTAATGTGGAGCCCCTCTCCTAGGGCGCAAACACTGTTCCACATACAGATAAAAACATTGCATTGCTCTTGGAGAAATGTGATTTGGGAATGAAAGCCAATGCTACAATCCTACTCCGGCTGCTAGTGTCACTGTGAGCAATAAATGGGCTGCTGTGATCCAGGTGTTCAATGCACTTGTTACAATAGACATCTGTCACAATAGAAAAAGTCATGGACAGAAAAAGACATAGACATAAACATAGAGAAAGACATAGATATAGACATAGACACAGACACAAATATAGACAAAGATATAGACATAGACAAAGGTATAGACATAGGCAAAGTCATAAACGTAGGGAAAGATGTAGATGTAGACATAAATAGAAACAGACAAAGACGCTGGGCACCGTGGCTCACTCCTGTAAT
Organism: Homo sapiens; assembly: GCF_000001405.40. NCBI lineage: Eukaryota > Metazoa > Chordata > Mammalia > Primates > Hominidae > Homo > Homo sapiens. The sequence continues at coordinate 15,668,484 of NC_000019.10, read as the reverse complement.
CCCTGCACTTTGGGAGGTCAAGGCAGGCAGATCACAAGGTCAGAAGATCTAGCGCACCCTGGCCAACATGGTGAAATCCCATCTCTACTAAAAATACAAAAATTAGCTGGGCGTGGTGGCGGGCACTCGTAGTCCCAGCTACTCAGGAGGCTGAAGCAGAATCACTTGAACCCAGGAGGCAGGGGTTGCAGTGAGCCGAGATCATGCCATTGCATGCACTCCAGCCTGGCAACAGAGCAAGAATCTTTCTCAAAAAAAAAAAAAAAAGAAAGAAAGAGAAAAAGAAAAGAAACAGACAAAGACACAGACATAGACAAAGATGTAGACATTGACAAAGACCAAGAATTAGACAAAGACAGACACAGACATAGAGAAAGATATAGACATGAGCATATACAAAGGCATAAACATGACATAGACATAGGCACAGACATAGACAAAGACAGACATTGACAAAGATGTAGATAAATACATAGACAGACATCGACAAAGAGAAAGAGATAGACACAGACATAGACATACACATACACATACACATACACATAGACAAAGAGACACAGAAATATACATAGACATAGACAAAGACACAGGCACAGAAAAAGACAAAGACATAGATACACAGATATGACATGAACAAAGACACATAGATCTAGATATAGACATTGACACAGAAAAGACACTAAACATAGACATAAAGACTGAGATGAAGACATACATAAAGATATAAACAGACATACACAAAGACATAAACATAGACATTGACAAAGATATAGACAAAGAAAAGACAGACACAGACATAGAAAAGACACAAAGACATAGATATAGACACAACGAAAGAAAAAGAAGCAGATACAAAGACAGACACTCGCAATGACAAAGACAAAGACACAGACATAGTCATGGACACAGACACAAATTCAGGCATGGACAATGACCTAGACATTAGATATAGATATAGATATAGATATAGATATAGATATAGATATATTAATACTTATATAGACTAGCTTATTAATGCATAAATAGAGTAAAATCTTATACTTGTCAGTTTCACATCTAGCAGTCCCCTGCTAGGTGCATTCAGCAAAGTCATCTCTAAAACCTATCTCTGACCTGTCTCTCCCTTCCTCAAGCACCTGCCATGACTCCCCAGTGCCCTCTGGATCAAGTCTAAGTTCTTTGATCTGATATTTGACATTAAGCTCCCTTCTGCTTCTTGAATTCAAATCTCAGAGAAGCCCACTTTGCTAATCAGGAGCACATCAATGAAGTCCAAGGTCTTGGACTTGGCTTTGGCTTGGAGGAAGTCATCAACACCCTGGCTAGGGAGGGTGTGGCGTTTCTCCTGGATGGCAGCGTCTGCAAAGTCATGCCCCAGGCGGCAGGCCCTGTGGAAGTGCCGCCCATCATGGGTGAGATAATACAGGAAGTCCATGTGCAGGAGGATCTGCTGGTTTCTTTTTGCCACAAGGGAACTGAGCTCCAAGACAGAGGCAATATATTCACTGGGCTTCCTGAAGGATAAGGGCAGAAAGGGAGGCAACAACTTAACATGTCTGAAGCCCCAGAAGCACCTCCCATCAGCAGCTAGGAGCTACCTCCTATCAGGAAACAGAGTATACAGAAACAGATGACCCCACACATACAGAGAGGGGGTCAGCTATGAGATTGATTCTCCAAGCCCTTATCTCCCTGCATCCCATCTCTGTGAGATGCCTTCATGCCCCTAGGCACCCAGAGCATAACTTGAACATCATGCATTTATTCTCTCTCCCCTGCCCCCGGTATATAATCCTGCCCCTTCTCCTTCCTGAAACTGTTCACAAAGATCAGACCTCATCCTCTTCCAACTGTCTCTACCCTACCCTAGCCTCCCTGCATCCAATGTCAACTCCATTTAGTGTCCACACTACAGTCAGTCCCTCACAGAACTCAGCTCTGACCATGCCCATTAGCTCAAACCCCTTCAATATCTCCCTGGAAACCTCATGATAATGTTTATACCAGTCATTCAAAGACTGTGACACAACTCCTCCAGGTAGGCACTTCTGCTTGCCCTCATCAGTTCTCTCTCCCCCAGCCTACTCCTTTGGGTCCATGGCTCAAATTCCCAGCCACTGGGCAAAGACTCACTCCTGACATTGGCTGTCAAAGCTGAAGACACATTTCTGCAGACTATCCAAGGTCATGAGGTTCATGTGCTCAAACATGTCGAGACAGGCATTGTGCTCCAAGGTCAAGAGGTGCCACTTGGCCTAGCCAGAGATGGGGACAGAGCTGGTGCTTGTCCCTGGCTTCCTTGAGCCCCTCCCAAACCCAACCACCAAGGCACACTATTCCAGCCTCTTCATTTTCTCCCCAAGAATCCCTCCCCAGGGGTAACCAAATTGCAGTGAGAGTAAAAGTTGTTAATATTAAGAGATGGAGATGCAAGACTGGGAGTCAGGAGACCTGGGTTCAAGTTCCAGCTCTGAATGTCCTTGGTGAACGAACTCCTTATCCTTCCCTATGTTCTACCTGTCAAATCTTGAGGAACAGTTGAGATGATTGCCTTGGTGCCACATAAACAAGGTTAGAAACCCTGTTTCACTACTCCAAGCTCACTTATTAGCTGGGTGAACTTGGGCAAGCTCCCTAATCTCTCAGACCCACAGCTTCATCCTCTACAGTGAGGCAAAAATATCTCCTTCAAAGAACAGTGAACATCAAATCAGTCAATATACACTCATACCATGGGATGGGCACATGGCATTGTTTATGGCATATAGTGAGGGTTCAATAAATGTTGGCTTTCCTTATCTGCCTTGTTATAAATTGATTACAAAAATATCTCTATGTTGGGACAGGAAGTCCTCCATGAGCCCTGAGTATCCCTTTTGGGTATGCTAAAAATGCAAAACACTGAGTTCTTAACTTCAGCCATTTCTGAGAGTTGTGTGTGCAGAGAACAGTGTTCAAGAATAAGGTAATGACTCCCTTTGGACCCGTATCAGGCTTACTTTGCTTGCTATTCCCTAAGCCTAATGCTCCTTCCCTGTAATGCAACATACTACCTGAGCAGGCATTTATAAAAGCCCAACAATGTCACCCGAAGGGATTTGGGTATCCTGGAGAAACAATGCAATCTGACAGGAAACACATACTCCTTGCTGTGCCATGAGTAATAAACCACCCTTTGCCTCTGACCCAGGAGTCTCCTGTCTTCTGGCAGAATCCATGAAATAGTAACAAGCTAACTTATCAATTTGCAAGTTTAATAAAACCTGGAGACTTCACAAAACCCTCGCCCCAATTCTTCACTTACCCCCATATCCACACGCTTTGCAATGTGATTTTTTAGCGACTTTCCTTAAGAGACAGAGCCTATTTTACTCCTCCTCTCCTTTTCTGATTGTGTGCTGGGATTATGGCTTTCAATGATGAAATGCAATGTGGTGAAAATGATGAGGTAATAACTAATGAAGCTAAGCCTCGTGCCACTCCGTGGAAACCTGCCTGCCTGCATTGTGAACCACGGGGTGCCTTCTGGAAGGAGAGAATCACATGGAGGAACATCCAGGGGTCCCAGCTGAGGCCATCTGTATCAGTCTGAAGCCAGCCAAAACCCAAACATTGAGAGAACTCAGCCAACACCTGCAAGGCTGCCTACCTGACTCCAGGTTGCTCATGTACCATGACTGATCCCTTCCACATAGAGAAGGACCTGCCAACTGTCCCATAGACTTATTAACATTCATAAACCTTTATTGTTTTAAACCAATGAGTTTTCAAGTGGTTTCTTATCAGCAACAGCTACTGTGCAATTGTCGTCATGACCCTCTTGATTTTATAGGGCTTGGGTGACAGAATCATAGAAACAGACACCTTCTGGGCACCTACTATGCACCAGGGACATGACTCCATTACATCACCTTGACCACCTTTTAAGTAGGGATTATTATACCCATTTTACAGATTAAAAAAAAACAAAACAAAACTAGGGATCAGAGAGGAAGAACAATGGCCCAATGCCACCCAGCAGAGCCAAAATTCTACACCAGATCTGTCTGTGGTCCCTCCACCCCAAGTCTGCAGCTAGGACCTTAGCTTCAAATAACTCACGTGCATGATGTTCACACTCTCATCGAAAATCTTCATATAGGGCTTCAGGATGTTGAAATGGAAGGCAGGCATCAGCATCCCACGGTGGCAGCTCCACTTGTCACCAGCACTCAGCAGGAACCCATCCCTTAGCAGGGCAGCCAAGGGCCATGGGCAAGGTCATCTTCCTCCCCTGGTCCCCCAACTTATTTCCCAACCCTGTTCACCTGCAGATACTCCCCCAGCCAGGGCTTCAGGAAGCTGTAGAAGACCTTGTCCTTTGGTGCAATGGTGGCTGACATGAATGGGGACAATCAGGGGCCATGGAGGTGGGTAAAGGAGGGACTTTGGGGTTGGGGGAAGGCTCCCAGCTAGAGGTTTGCACTTCTCCCCTCCAAGCCCCACATAGCAGGAAGAGGGCCAAAGAGAGAGGAAGAAGAGAGGATGTGGGAGGAGAGAGGAGACTAGACCAGGCTATAGCAGCACAGTGCAGCAATGACAGCCTAACATGGCACAGCATGCTACAGTACGACTTGACATGGCTCCAAAATAGTCTAACATGTTCTGCAAAACCTGAGCATAGCTCAACACTACAAAATGCCTCTACAGGGACCTAGTATACTTCGTCTTTCTTGGCACTTTCTACCATCTCCTGACATAAAGCCGGAACATGTGACATAGCTCCAATATATCTTAACATGTCCTGACATTCAACATCACTGATCATATAAAAATGCAAATCAAAACCACAATGAAACGCCACCTAACACCAGTCAGAATGCCTCACATATGCGCCTGTATGCACGCACACACATGTGCTGTTACGACACTGCACACAGTCACACAAACACATAGAGTCACATACCCACACACTCTGTCTTCTCTTGCTCTCTCACATACATACAATGAAACTAATAAAGACTCTATAGGGCCAGTTGTCCCCAAACCGTCCAGCAGAGAGTGCCTCCTTCACACTCACTCAGGAGAAGATGGAGGTCTCATAGCAGCCAGTAACAAGACCAGGCCTGAGTGTGTTTTGAGAATTACATACACAGATGTAGCAGAGTCCTGTGGGTTTATGTCTCATTTATAAACCCTCACTCCCCTGAGAGGATTCTCAAAGCCTGTTTGGAGTGGGAGAGGAGACATTTGACACCCACATGTGGGTCACTCTTTGAAGGAGTTTGCTGCATAGTGGGGCAAAGAAATGGAGCATCGACTGGTGTGAAAATGAGGCCAAGAGGGGAAGTGTTTTAAGACTGAGGAAATAACAGCATTATTGTATTCCAATAAGAATGATCCAATATACAGACAATATACAAAAATCAACCATATTCCTATATCCCAGGGTCAGCAAACCATGGTCTATGGATCAAATATGGCCTGTGTACTGTATATGTATGGCCTATGAGCCAAGAATGGTTTTTATATTTTAAAAGGTGGCACAAGGAGAAGAAGGAGAAAGAGAAGAAGAAACCAGATAGGGCATGCAAGACCTAAAATATTGACTATGTGGCCTTTTACAAAAACAGGATACAAACTTCTACCATGTATTAACAATAAACAACTGAAGAACACATCTTTTAAAGCACCATTTTATTAGCATTGTACACCAGAAAAAATTAAATTCTCAGCTGTACATTTAACAAAATATGTGCAAGACTGTCATGGTGAAAACTACAAAACAATGATAAAAGAAATTCAAGAAAACAAATAAATACAGGGGTATACTATATTCATGAATTGGGAGAATCAATATCATTATTAAGTCTCCTCAGATTGATCTATAGATTCACAGAAATCCCAATTCAAACCCTATCAGGACTATTTGTAGAAATAGACACACTGATGATAAAATTTACATAGAAACACAAAGGAAGCAGAATAGCCAAAAATTATTGGGGAAAAAATGTAGTTGAAGGATTCCCATTACTCCTTTAAAGATATACTATAATGCAACAGTGACTAGGGCAGTGTGGTATTGGTCCAACATGGAATAGAATAGAAAATCCAGAAATATATCCACCCAAATTTCAACAATTGAGTTTTCTACAAACCTGCAAGGCAAGTTAAAGCAAAAAGGATTTTCTTTTCTTTTCTTTCTTTCTTTCCTTTTTTTTTTTTTTTTTTTTGAGAGAGAGAATCTAGCTCTTTCACCCAGGCTGGAGTGCAGTGGCACAATCTCGGCTCACTGAAACCTCTGACTCCTGGGTTCAAGCGATTCTCCTGCCTCAGCCATCCAAGCAGCTGTGAATACAGGCACACACCACCACGCCTGGCTAATTTTTCTATTTTTAATAGAGACGTGGTTTCACCATATTGGCCAGGCTGGTCTCAAACTCCTGACCTCATGATCTGCCCACCTTGACCTCCTAAAGTGCTGGGATTACAGGTGTGAGCTACCGTGCCCTGCCAAGGATATTCTTTTCAAAAAAATTGTGTGAAACAATTGGATATCCATATACAAGAAAACAGTCAAACCACAGTTCACACCCCATACAAAATTTAACTAAATGGAGATTATGGAATTACATGTAAACTCTGAAACTATAAAACTTTTAAAAGAAAATGTAGGAGAAAATCTCCATGACCTCCAGTTAAGCAAAGAGTTCCTATATATGGCAGTATAAACATAATTCACCAAAAATAAAACTGAGAAGTCTTACTTCATAAAAATTTAAAACGTTTGCTCTATGAAAGAAAGAAACTTCAGAGACTAGGAAGAAGACTTGCAAATCACACGACTGACAAAGGACTTGTACATAGAACTCTCAAAATCCAACAATAAGAAGGCAAACAACCGAAGGAAAATTTAATGAGCAGATGATTGAACAGACACTTCACCAAAGAAAATATAGGAGTGTCAAATAGGCACAGGAAGGCACGAGTGGTTCAACACCCTTAGTCACTGGAAAATGCGAATTAAAATCTCAGGGATATGCCACAGCATACCCATAAGGAAGGCTGAAACAAAAACTGACACTACGAAGGACTGCTAATTATTTGGAGGACCTAGAATTCTCATACGTTACTTATGGAAATTAAACACGATGCAGATGCTTTGGAAACAGTTTGGCAGTGTTTTGTTTTGTTTTGTTTTGTTTTTGTTTTGTTTTGTTTTGTTTTGTTTTGTTTTTGAGACCGAGTCTCGCTATGTCCCCCTCCCCCAGGCTGGAGCGTAGTGGCACCACCTCAGCTCACTGCAACCTCCGCCTGTGGGTTTCAAGTGATTCTCCCGCATCAGCCTCCCGAGTAGCTGGGATTACAGGCCCGCACCACCATGACCAGCTAACTTTTGTATTTTAGTAGAGAGGGGAGCCTAAGTTCTCATTGCTGTTAGAATGAGATGGCTGGATCATTATTCTAAGTGTACGTATAACATGATAACAAACTATCAAACTGGACCGGGCCTGTAATCCCAGCACTTTGGGAGGCCGAGGCGGGTGGATCACCTGAGGTTAGGAGTTCAACACCAGCCAGTGCAACATGGCGAAACCCCGCCTCTATTAAAAATACAACAATTAGCTGGATGTGGTGGTGGGTGCCTGTAATCCCAGCTACTTGGGAGGCTGAGACAGGACAATCACTTGAACGCAGGAGGCGGAGGTTGCAGTGAACTGAGATCATGCCACTGCACTCCAGCCTGGGCAACAGAGCGAGACTCCATCTCAAAAAAAAAAAAAAATTAGGCACCCCTGTCAAAGTCTTGTCTACTCACTCTGGAGTGGTCCCCAGGTGATCTGATGTGCCTAGGGCAGAGACTTACTTTGAAAATTACTTCTGTGGTAGGAAAAGTCATGGCCTCTGATGCCAAACGAACCAGATTTATCCCCACTCTTCCACTCAGAGTGACCTTGAGCAAGAGAGTTAACGTCCAGTCCATAAAATTGGTGTGAGGATGAAAACCACTTTTACCTGGGAAAGCTAAAATGTCACCTTCTCCCTTCTCAGTGGTCTACTTCTTAATAGGACAAAAACAGTCAGTGTCTGTGGAGTTTGCAGGGCATGCCTGTTCTAGAAAAGTGTCTAACCACACCTGTATCTTACAGGAATATCTGTGCATCTATTGCTATAAAAATAAAATCTCTACTCCAAAAGTCATTTGATGAAGAATAACTCAATTTGTAACTGATAATGATACCTCAAGCCATTAAAGTGCCAGAAAAGAAATCTTACAAACTGAAACAAAACCTTTTAAATTATTTTCTAAAATTACATATTTTTAAAAATTTAAGACTGATTTGAATACTTAACATGCACATTTTGAAGAACACAAAATAATGTTTCCTAAGATGATTTAATATCATGGAAAGATGCTCACAACATATTCTTTTGTGAAGAATCCAGATGGAAAAAGTATATATGAGCTGTAATAGCATGTTTAGGTAGAATTCACATAAAAATCACTATTTCAACCATTCTAAAGTGTCCAATTCAATAGCATTTAGTGCACTCACAGTGTCGTGCTACCTTCATCACTATCTAGGTCCGGAACATTTTCACCATCCCAGGAGGAAACCCCATCCTGATTAGCAGTCGCTCCTCAGTCCCACCTCCCCACAGCTGCTGAAAGCCACCAATCCACTATACATCTCTTCAGATTGGCCTGTTCTGGAAATTTCATATAAAAGGACAGTACACTATGTGACCTTTTGCATCTGATGTCTTTCATTCAGTATCATGCATTCAAGGTTCATCCACAGTGTAGTGGGGATCACTGCTTCATTCCTTTTTATGGCTGTGTAATACTCCATTGTATGGATGGACCATATTTTGTTTATCCTTTCATCTGGTAATATATAGCTTGGGGTTGTTTTCATCGTTTGGCTACTGTGAATAGGGCTGCCATGAACATTCACGCACAAGCGTCTTTCTGTTTGAACACTTGTCTCAATTATTTTGAGTAGATATCTAGGATGGAATACAGGACTGTGGAACAGGGTCTTAGGGTAATTCTAGGCCTCACTTTTGATGAATCAGGGGTCATTTTAGTGGGGTCAGAGTGGGTCTCTGCAGAACTCAGCTCAGGGGCTCCACCCGCAGCCAAAGTCCGCCCTCTGCGCGCAGGACCAGCTCCGGCTTCCTGCGGGGCTCGGTGTGGTCAGGCAGGACGCGGAAGCGCAGCAGCGTGAGCCCCAGGACCACCTTCATCTCCGCCATCGCGAACGCCTGCCCGATGCAGTTCCTTGGGGAGGGAGGTGGAAACTCTGACTGCACCCAGGTGCCCCATCCTGGCCCCATCAAGCCGGTAACCTGGCCTGGGACACCCAACCCCACCTAGAGCAGTTTGAGGAACAGAGAAGGGGGTATCCGTGCCTGGATCCCCATGTGGGCTTGCATATCCTGCGAGCCTAGCCGAGCTCCAACCCCCCAGCCTAGACCAAGGTGGGGTAGGAGGGAGCTCTGAGCTCACTAGGGATCCTTCTAGGACCAACCCAATCCTACTCTGTGGGCCTTTTCCCATAAACTCCAGAGGAGGTGAGGGAAGGAGAGCTGGAACTCGGACCGTCTACAATGTCCCCCTTTTCCCCACTGTCATGCCCAGACCCCTGCACCTATCTCCCCGTCCCCGCCTCAAACACAGGCCGCTCTTACCTGGGCCCTGCTGAGAAGGGAATAAAAGCCAGAGGTGACCTCTCCTTGATGTTCTTTGGGTCAAAGCGAAAGGGGTCATAGACCTGGAGGCGAGACCAAGAAGGGTTGCCGGGTGGGGTCTCCCAGTCCGCCAGCCTTGGAGAGACAGTGGTGTGTGTCTTGGAGGGAGGTGATGTTGGATTCTCCTGATCAAAACCCTGCCCCCTCCTCTAGGAGCCTTGGAATGGACAAAAACAGAGACGGGGGGCCCGCACCTCAGGGTCCGGCCACACGGCTGGGTTGTGATGGGTTCCAAAAACACTGATGAGGCAGATAATGCCTGTGGGAGAGAAGGGGGCAGTCAGGACAATGCTCCCTGCCTGAGGGGCCCCTCTTCCTACCCAGGAGGCTCCTCCCCCTGAGGCTGTGGCACCTTTGGGGATGACCCGGCCGTCTGGGAGCACAATGTCTTGGGTGCAGCAGCGAGAGACGGCAGGGACTGGGGGATGCAGCCTCAGGCTCTCCTTAATGCACATGGTCAGGAAGGGCAGCTGGGCCAGGTCGTCCCTAAGGAAACACCCCAGCCCCAATCCTTATCAAGGGAGCAAAGACACAACTCTCCAGCTTCTCTCTGTTTGCAAGTGAGACCTTTTCTCCCTGTAACGAAATAAACTTTTTAAAAGAATTGTTACAAAGTCGCAGGAATAAAAACAGTGTGACACTGTTGCAGAAACAAGAAAATAGACCCATGGAACAGCATAAAGAGCTCAGAAAAAGACATGAGAATAAGAGAAAACTTCACATTTGGTAAAGGGGCCCCCACCCACCCTAAACAAAATCCTGGGAAGTTGATGGATTTTACAGCTGTGAAAGAAAAATGTGGACCTACTTAACGTCATAAAAATTAATCAAAAGTACCCTCCAAAAGTTAAAAGGCAATATTTTGCAACACTAGGCAGAAAAAAATCAATCTTAATACACATTCTTAAAAGTAAATACTTTTAAAGGGTCCAAAGAAAAAGAGGAAAAATAATAAGAATACCAGTTCCATAAAAAGAAAGCAAATAACATCAACACGTGCAAAAGATGTTCAGCCTCACTCTTACTTTTTTTAAATGTCCATCAAAAGAAGAAATATGAAAATTGGCCAAGATTTAAAATTCAATAATACAATAGTACTATTGGTAAAGTTATGGGAAAGTTTGTGCCATAAAACTCAGCTAATAGTAAAGGATTTGCAGTCATATTGTATGGTGGCTCATGCCTGTAATCCCAGCACTTTGGGAGACCGAGGCAGGCAGATCACCTGAGGTTAGGAGTTCGAGACCAGCCTGGCCAACATGGTGAAACCCCATCTCTACAAAAAAAATTACCCAGGCATGGTGGGGGGGCACCTGTAATCCCAGCTACTCAGGAGGCTGAGGCAGAATTGCTTGAATCTGGGAGGCAGAGACTGCAGTAAGCTGAGATCACACCATTGCACTCCAGCCTGGGCAACAAGAGTGAAACTGTCTCAAAAAAATAATGATTATACAGTGCAAATGGTCTTTGATTCAGCAATTGCACTTCAGAGAATTTGTCCTGCAGAGATGCCTATGCATGTAAGGAATGGTCACTGTGCACACGTGCTGACAGCTTCATGTCCAGTTTAGCAAAAGTTTGGAGACAAGCCAAATATACATTAATGGGAAAATGTTTAGATAAACAGCCACACAATGGAATACTATACAGTTACACAAAAGAAGGAAATAGGGATCACTAGTCTCACCACATACTGCAGGCTAGAAGGTAAATCAGTACAGACACTCTGGAAGGCAAATTGGAAATATTGACTATAATTGAAAATGTTTAATGTCCTCTTCAACATAGAAATGAGCTGAATAAAATATGGAATAAAATATACAGCACTCAGAAAAAGATAGCATTAAGGCACCCTGTTGAGTGAAAAAAAGTGACAAATATATACATATGTACATGTAAAACAGCAAGAAGCATATGGATATATATTTATAAAAATGAATGATTCATAGATGGTGGAGAGATAGATCATGGATGGATGGATGATAGATAGATAGATAGATAGATAGATAGATAGATAGATAAATAGATGATATAGATAGATACATAGATAATAGGTAGATAAATAAGTAGAGAGATAGATAATAGATGATGGAGACATAGTTACATAGATGATAGATACAGAGATACATAGATGATAGATAGATAGACAGATAATAGAGATAGATGATAGATACATTGATAGATGATAGATAGATCAATGATAGATACATTGATAGATGATAGAAATAGATAGATAGATAGATAGATAGATAGATAGATAGATAGATAGATAGATAGATAAACAAATCTATGGCTCTAGAAACACCTTTGGAGAATGAGAAAGGATTAGGTCAGGTGGCAGGATTGTCAAGGAAAACCCTAGTCTTATCTGTAATGTCTCATTTGGTACAAGAAGAACTCTTTTTTATCATTCATTTTGTAATTTAATGTTGTTTTTCCATGTGGTGTATATATATATATATATACACAATGGAATCCCATTTAGCCTTTAAAAAAGAAAAAATTATCTCATTTGCCACAACATGGAAGAACCTGGAGGAACTCATGCTAAGTGAAGTAAGCCAGGTGCAGAAGAGACAAACACACATGATCTTACTTATCTTGGGACCTAAAATAGTTGAGCTCATAGAAATAGGAATAGAATGGTGGTTACCAGAGGCCAGGGGTGGGGGAGGGACAGAGAAGGGTGAAATGTTGGTCAAAGGGTAGAAGCTTCAGTTAGACAACAGGAATAAGTTTTTGAGATCTGCTGCCCAGCCTGGTGCCTTTAGTGAACAATGTATTGTATTAGTTGAAATTGCTAAGAAAGTAAACTTCAAATGTTCTCAACACAAAAATGATAAACACATGAAGTGATGGATTTGTTCATTACCTTGATTTAATAATTTCAGGTTGTATACATATATCACAACATCATACTGTGCCTCTAAACATATATAATTAAAACTTGTCAATTAAAGACAAAGAACAAATTTAAAAACAAACTCATTTTCCAAAATGTATATTTTGAGAAAAGCAAAAGATCTCAGAGATAATATGCAGACCCGTGTCTATTTTATGGACTTTCACTTACAAAGAAAAGCACAGTAAGTGTTCATATAAATAAAAGTCACAGTGTGAGTTCATATAAATGTGGGCATCGGGATAGCCATTTTCTAGAAGAATACACAGAGAACTGTTGACTGTAGTCACCGCTAAGGTGGAGCTTAATAAGGAACTTCATTTTTGTCATAAAGTCTTTCGACCATTTTTTTTAAACTACACGCATAATTTTGCTTGAAATCTTGGTTTTATACTCCGGGACATGGGTCTGGGCAAAGACTTTCTATGTAAGACCTCAAAAGCAGAGCCAATAGAGAAATGAGATTATATCAAGCAAAAAAGCTTCTGCACAGCAAAGGAAACAATCAACAAAGCGAAGAATCAACCCACAGAATGGCAGAAAATACTCACAAACTACTCATCTGACAAGCGATTAATAACCAGAATACATAAGCAGCTCAAACAACTCAATAGGAAAAGTAACCAAATATCTGATTTTAAAATGGGCAAAAGATCTGAATAGACATTTCTTAAAATAAAACATACAAATGGCCAATAGGTAGATGGAAAAATGCTCAATGTCACTAACAGTCAGAGAAATGCAAATCAAAACCACAATGAGATATCATCTCATCCCAGTTAAAATGGCTTTTATCAAAAAGACAGGCAATGATAGATGCTGGTGAGGATATGGAGAAAGGGGAACTCACACACACTGTTGGTGGGAATATAAATTAGTGCAGCCACTGCAGAGAACAGCACAGAGGTTCCTCAAGAAACTAAAACTAGAACTGCCATATAACCCAGAAATTCCACTACTGAAAAGAAAGAGAAGAAATTTCTATCCCAAAGAAAGAAAATAAATATATGGAAGAGACATCTGTACTTCTGTATTTATTGCAGCACTATTCACAACAACGAAAATATGGAATCAACTTAAGTGTCTATCAATAGATGAATGTATAAAGAAAATGTAGTGTGTATACACAATGGAATACTATTCAGCCATTTAAAAGACTGAAATTTTGTCATTTGTGGCAACATGGATGGAACTGGAGGTCATTGTGGTAAGTAAATAAGCCAAAAACAGAAAGACAAATATCGCATGTTCTCACTCACGTGTGGGAGCTGAAAAAGTGGATCTCATGAAAAAAGAAGATAGATTGGCAGAGGGGAGGGAAGGATAAGGAGAAGTTGATTAATGGGTACGAATTTGAGTTTTGATAGGAGAAATAAAACCTAGCACTTGATAGATCAGTAGGTTCACTGTAGTTTACAATATGTACTGTACATTAGAAAGTAGTTTGCTTATGTTAGTTATGTTTCTAGCATAAAGAAAAGACAAATATTTCAGGCAATGGATATCCCAAGTACACTGATTTGATCTTTATCAATTATATGAATGTATTAGATTATCACATGTATTTCAAAACTATGTGCATCTATTATGCATCAATAAAAATGTGTTTTAAAAAATAAAATTGCAAAAATATTCTTTATTTTAGAAGCATAAAAATGTTTCTTCCCTTCCCAGGACTGCTGTGCTGGGCAAAGGCATGGACGGGAGGACACTGAGTCCAAGACACCCGTCCACTCCAATGCTTCCTCTCCTTCCTCCAGCCCCTGGCCTGGCTTGAGCCTCAGAATGTCCCCACTGCGCTCTCATTCTATAGCTGGTCCTCTCCAGTACACCCTCCACACTAGCCCTAGAAAGATCTTCCTGGTACCCAGATGTGACTTGTCCCTCCCTGTTCAAACACTTCTCATGGCTCCCTATTGCCCTTGGGCTAAAACTGAAGCCATTAACATTTTCCCCAAGGCTTCCACAGCCAGCCCCTGCTACCATCTCCAGTTTTATCATCTCACCACAAGTCAGTCTCTCCCTCTTTCTCCCCTTCTCCTCCTTTCTGTCCTGACCCTGCTCTCTCTCTCTCTCTCTCTCTCTCTCTCTCTCTCTCTCTCTCTCTCTCTCCTCTCTCTCTTCCTCCCCCGAAGACCCCAGGTGGTCTTCTTGACCTACAGCACTGCTCCCCAACTGTACCCAATTATCTACTGATCATTATTCAGGCTTTCAACTGAGACACTTTCTATACCCCCCTAGTCCTGCTTCCCTTACTGTAAACCCCATCCCTGCCCACGTGGGCTGGGACTGTCCTGCCCAGGGACAGTTCCCCCACCAGGCTGGGAGCACCTGGAAAATAGATCCCTGGTTGGGTCCTTCCCAGGTCTCCAGAGCACAGAAAGATGCTGTGCACAGATGTGGGGGTTGGAATGCAGTATGAGAGTATTTGCTGAACGAGGACTGGATGGATGAATGATGCAGGTGTTCTGGACAAGAATGGATGAATTTTACCCCCAGGTCTCCCTTATAAATCCCTGGACTGGATGGAAGGGTAGGAATTAGGGAACAGAAGAGCAAACATTCAACAAGTGAAGACATTCAAAAAAATATTTCTTGGAGAAAAGGAAGAGAGTGGAGGGGAAGTTCATTTGCTGAACACATGCTAAGTGGCGTTATCTGTCCTCACATATCATCAACAATTCTCTCAGAAGCCCAGGTCTTTCTGTCCTAAGGGCCTATAACCTTTGCCCAGACAGTCAGGATGGGTACTAAGTCCTGCCTGTGGTCCTCTGCTCCTATTCCCACTAAGCAATAGTGGCAGAATCAACAAAAACAACCCCTTCTCCCCTCCCTACCTGGGGAACAGAGCCAATGAGACAGGCTCAGGAACAGGGCACCAGCACCTGCACTCACCATTCAATCTCTTTAGGCTCACGGTCCTTCAGAAGCTCTTGCACCTCCTGCCGACAGCGCTCCTGGTATTCCGGGTGCTTTGCAAGGTGGTACAGGACCCAGGAGAGACCACTGGCTGTGGTGTCATGGCCTGGGGGGCAGCAAGGCAGGCTTGGGTCTCTGGGCTGCTTCAGCACCCGAGGGTGTACAGCAACCTTGCATTGAGGACCTCAGGGAGGATGGGGGAAGGGGGATGGGAAGTGCGAGGGGTCCACCCACCCTGTTCCTGGAATGGAGATATCCAAGTCCCCACTCTAGCCCCACACTGGGGCCCTCACCCTCAAACATAAAGGTGTCAGCTTCTGCTCTTATGTCCTCATCGGACAACTTCTTCCCATCTTCATCCTGGAGAGAAGGCAATAACCCCCCACCCCCACCCCCATAAAAAGTCACAGTACCTCTGAGGGCTCTTGAGTCTAATCTGAGACAGTCTCTGAAGATTCATCCTCTTTCGAGAAACCCAAGCCCATCTTGCTCTCCTAGACCCTTCTTGGTCACCATGGCCAGAGCCCCAACCCCATGGGCTTCCTCCCTGGCTTCCTTGCCTTTTCTTTGGTCCCTAATGGGAAGACTCAATGACCCATGAATGCTTTCATGTTTCTGCTTGATGAAAACTTTCTGAGAAAAAAATCACTGGCAACCTGGGTTACAGGATAATTAAATGGCAATTTGTCTTGGAAATTAGAGATTAAGTATTGCTTCAAAGATATTTGCCCACATTCTACAGTGGTAAATGAATCTTATCTCCCTGGAGACATTTGAGTTGTAAGTCTATGGAATATGGCATCCAGAACAAAGCACATAATCTCTCACAAAGCTGGTGCCCTCTCTCTTTCTTCCTCTCTCTCTCTCTCTATAGAAAATGTGCTGAGACTCATAATATAGGGTGCCTTTCCTAGGGTACAAAGTCTGCTGCACGTACAGGGGAAAACATCGCATTGCCCTTGGAGGAATTTGACTTGGGAATGGAGAGTCAGTGCCACAATCCTACTCTGGCTGATAGTATTGCCGTAAGCAAGACATGAGCTGCTCTGATCCAGAGATTTAATGCCTCTGTCACAACAGACATACACATAGACAAAGACATAGACACACAGACATAGACACAGAAACACATGGAAAAAGTCATAGACTTAGACACAAACACAGACACACAAATACACATAAACATAGACATGGACATAGACACAGACACAAATACTCATAGACATAAACATGGACAGACAAAAACAGACACAGGCACAGGCAAATTCAAAGACAAAAATATGGCCGGGTGCAGTGGCTCACACCTGTAATCCCAGCACTTTGGGAGGCTGAGACAGGCAGATCACGAGCTCAGGAGTTTGAGACTAAAAATAGTGAAGCTCCGTCTGTACTAAAAATACAAAAAATTAGCCAGGTGCCTCTAATCCCAGCTAGTTGGGAGGCTGAGGCAGGAGAATCATTTGAACCCAGGAGGCGGAGGTTGCAGTAAGCCGAGATCGCACCACTGCACTCCAGCCTGGGTGACACAGCGAGACTCCATCTCAAAAAAAAAAAAAGACAAAGATATAGATATAGCATTGACATAGACATAATCATAGACACAGACAAAAAAACATGGACATAGACATACACTGAGACAAAGACACAAACACAGAGAAAAGAAAAAGACATAGACACAGACACATAGACATAGACAAGAACGAAAATATAGATATAGAAAAAGACATAAACACAGACATAGAAAAGACATGACAAGGTGGGGCACAGTGGCTCACGCCTGTAATCCCAGTACTTTGGGAGGCCAAGGTGGATGGATCATGAAGTCAGGAGTTCAAGACCAGCCTGGCCAACATGGTGAAACCTCGTCTCTACTAAAAATGCAAAAGTTAGCCAGGCATGGTGGCGTGCCCCTGTAGTCCTAGCTACTCGGGAGGCTGAGGTAGGAGAATCACTTGAACCCGGGAGGCAGGGGTTACCAGTGAGCCAAAATCATGCCATTGCACTGCAGCCTGGGTGATAGAGCGAGACTCCGTCAAAAAAAGGAAAGAGAGAGAGAGAAAAAGAAAGAAAGAAAGAAAGAAAGAAAGAAAGAAAGAAAGAAAGAAAGAAAGAAAGAAAGAGAAGAGAGAGAAAGAAAGAAAGAAAGAAAGAACGAAAGAAAAAGAAAGAAAGAAAGATGGAAGGAAGGAAAAGAAAGAAAGAAAGAAAGAAAGAAAGAAAGAAAGAAAGAAAGAAAGAAAGAAAGAAAGAAAGAAAGAAAGAAAGAAAAAGAAGGCAGGGAGGGAGGGAGAGCACAAAGGCATAAACATAAACAAAGATGAAGACACAGATGCAGACAAAGACATACAGATATGGCCAATGAAAAAGACAAAGACATAGACATAGTCATAGTCATAGAGAGAGACACAAACTCAGAGACAAAGATACAGAAAGACATAGGCAAAAACATAAACATAGACCCAGACATAGGTATAGATGTAGATATATAGATTAAAAGGTGGCCAATTAGCTTATTAACTTATAAATAGAGTAAATCTCAGACTCATCACAATTTCATTTAGCAGTCCCCTGGTAGGTGCTAGTCCACAGAGCTATCTCCAAAACCTATCTCTGACCTGTCCCTCCCTTCCTCAATCACCTTCCATGGCTCCCCAGTGCCCTCTGGGTCAAGTTCAAATTCTTTCATCTGACATTTCACATGAAGCTCCCTTCTACTTCTTGAATTCAGATCCCAGAGAGGCCCACCTTGCTCAGCAGGAGTACATCAATGAAGTCCAAAGTCTTGGATTTGGCCTTGGCTTGGAGGAAGTCATCAACACCCTGGCTAGGGAGGGTGCGGCGCCGCTCCTGGATGACGGCATCTGTGAAGTCGTGCACCAGGCGGCAGGCCCTGCGGAAACGCTGCCCATCAGGGGTGAGATAATACAGGAAGTCTATGTACAGGAGGATCTGCTGGTGTCTTTTTGTCACAAGGGCACTGAGCTCCAAGATGGCGGCAATATATTCACTGGGCTTCCTGCAGGATAAGGGCAGAAAGGGAGGCAACAATTTAATACACCTGAAGCCCCAGGATCACCTCCCACCAGCAGCTAGGAGCTACCTCCTATCAGTAAACGGGGTATCCAGGAACAGATGGCCCCTCAGATGCAGGATGGGGATCAGCATGAAATCGACTCTCCAGGCTCTCTTATCTCTCCCTGCATCCCATCTCTGTGAGATGCCTCCATGCAGCTAGGCACCCAGAGGATAGTTTGCACATTATGCTCCTATTCCCTCTCTCCCTCCCAGTATACAGTCTTGCCCCTTCTCCTTCCTGAAGCTGTCCACAAAGCTCAGACTTTATCCTCTTCCAACTGGTCCATGGTCCAGCTTCCACCCTAGCTTCTTTGCATCAGTGTTAACTCCATTTAGTGCTACATTACAGTCAGTCCCTGAGAGAGACCCACTTTGACCACACCCACCAGTTCAAACCCTTTTAATGAGTCCCTGGAAACCTCAAGATAAAATTCATACCAGTCCTTCAACGATCAGGTATAACAACTCCTCCAAGAAGGTTTGTCTGATTTCCCTGCTCAGTCCTCCCCAGCCCCCCACCTACCAACTTTGTGTCCACGGCCCAGGATCCCAGACCCTGGGCAAGAACTTACTCCTGGCAATGGCTGTCAAAGCTGAAGACACATTTCTGCAGACTGTCCAAGGTCATGAGGCTGATGTGCTCAAACATGTCCAGACGGGCACTACCCTCTGAGGCCAGGAGCTGCCACTTGGCCTAGCCAGAGAAGGGGACAGAGCTGGGGCAGGTCCCTTGCTCCCTTGAGCAGCTCTCCAACCCCAACAATCAATATGCACGCCCCAGAATAAGCCTCTTCATCTTCTCCCCAGGGACCCTTTACCCGGGAGCACCAGGTTATGGTGCAAGCAAAAGCTGTTACTATTAAGAGATGAAGACCCAAGATTGGGAGTCAGGAGACCTAGGTTCAAGTTCCAGCTCTGTCCTCTGTGCTCTGTGTGCCATTAGTCAACTCATTACCCTCCCCTATATCCCACCTGTCAGATATTCAGGAACAGTTAAGATGATGTGCTTTGGAGCCATATAATTCATGTTAGAAACTCTGCTCCACCATGCCAAGCTCACTCATTAGCTGGGTGAACTTGGGTTAGCTCCCTAATCTCTCAGACCTGCAGTTTCATCATCTACCATGGGGCAGAAATACATAATCTCTCCTTTGCAGAGTTGTTAAAATCAAATTAGACAATATATACTCGTATCATGGAATGGGCACATGGCATTTTTTCTGGCATATTGTGAGTTCTCAATAAATGTTGGGTTTCCTCATCTGCAGTTATAAATTGATTATAAAAATATCCTAGGTTTGTAGAGGTAGTCCTCCATGAGTCCTGAGCACCCTTTCTGGGCATGTCACAAATGCAACACGCTGATGTTCTTAACTTGAAAAATTTCTCAGAGTTGTGTTTGCAGAAAATAACTTTGAGGATAAGGGACACCCCCTGGATATGCTGCTTCTGCTTGCTATAAAAACAGATTCCTAAGCCTAATGCCCCTTCCCTGTAATGCAATATATGATGTCAGCAGGCATTTATAGAAGCCCACTTGTGTCAGCCCATGGGATTTGAGAGGCTTGGAGAAGAAGTGCAATCTAACAAGCAACACATGCTGCTCTCTGTGTCATGAGTAGTAAAACTATCCTTTGTCTCTGACCCAGGAGTTTCTTGTTCTTCCAGAATAATTTATGAAACAGTAACTAGCTTAACATCAATTTTAAAGTTAAAAAATTCTAAACACTTCACAAAACCTTCGCCCCAATTCTTCCCTTCTCCCCATATCCACACCCTTTGCAATGTGCTTTTTCAGCAACTCCCAATAATAGACAGAGCCTATTTTACCCCCTGCCATTGATTCCGTGTTGGACTATTGGCTTTTGATGTCAAAATACAATGTGGTAAAAATGATGAGGTGATAACTAATGAAGCTAAGCCTCATCTTATTCCCTGGAACCCTATCTGTATTGTAAACCATGGGACTCCTTCTGGAGGGAGAGAATCAGATGGAGGAACATCCAGGGGTCTAAGCTGAGGCCATCTGTATCGGTCTGAAGCCAGCCAAAACCCAAACATGTGAGAGAACTCAGCCAACACCAGCAAGGCTGCCTACCTGACCCCAGGCTGCTCATGTACCATGACTGATCCCTTCCATCCACATCCAGAAGAATCCACGAACTGTCCCACAGACTTATCAGGATTCATAAACCTTTATTGGTTTAAACCAATGAGTTTTCAGGTTGTTTCTTATCAGCAACAGCTATTATGCAATTGTTGTCATTACCCTCTTGAGTTTACAGGGTTCGGGTGACGCGAACATAGAAACAGACACCTTCTGGGCACCTACTATGCGCCAGAGACATGACTCCACTACATCACCTTGACCTTCTTTTAAGTAGGGATTTTACAGATGAGGAAACCAAAGCTCAGAGAGGAAGACAATGGCCCAGAGGCACCCAGCAGAGCCAAAATTCCAGACTAGATCTGTCTGTGGTTCCCCCCAACCAAAGGCTGCAGCTGGGACCTTGGCTTCAAATAACTCACATGCATGATGTTCACACTCTCATTGAAAATCTTCATATAGGGCTTCAGGATGTTGAAATGGAAGGCAGGCGTCAGCATCCGACGGTGGCGGCTCCACTTTTCACCAGCACTCAGCAGGAGCCCATCCCCTGGCAGGGCAGCCAAGGGCCATGGGCAAGGGCATCTCCCTCCCCTGGCCCCCCAGGTTGTTCCCAACCCTGTTCACCTACAGATACTCACCCAGCCAGGGCTTCAGGAAGCTGTAGAAGACCTTGTCCTTTGGTACAATGGCAGCTGACATAAATGAGGACAATCAGGGGCCATGGAGGCAGGTGAAGGAGGAACTTTGGGGGTGGGGGGAGGCTCCCAGCAAGAGGTTTGCACTTCTTCCCTCCAAGCCCCACATAGCAAGAAGAGGGTCAAGGGGAGAGGAAGAAGGCAGGATGGGGGAGGGGAGGGAAGACCAGACCAGGCTACGGCAGCACAGCACAGCAATGACACTGCCTAACATGGCACGTAGGAGCTATGTCAGGGCTCCAGCATGCCTTGACATGCCTCCTACATGATCCAACATGTTCTGCAAACCCTGAACACGCTCAGCACTCTACAGAATGCCTTCACAAGGACTTAGGACACCCTGTCTGTCCCAGCACTCTCTGACATATTCTCACATGGCATCTTCTGACATGGACCTAGACATGAGACATGACACTGACATGTGTTCACAAGTCCTGACATGGCCACAAAATACATGACAATTCCTAACATGAGATGGTATGCTCTAACATGCACATGAGATGGTCTAACATGACCTTAAAAGCGTGTTCCACATACAGGCTCCAGGTTGAATATAAATATGGTACCTTTAACGACCCAGACATAGCCAACACGTGACCCAGACTGTTCCTCACGTATGACCCAAACATACTACAACACATGCCTCAGACAAGACTCAAATAATGTCTCAGACAGTTCACTTAGGGACCCTGGGTCCCAGACCTCACACAACCCCCAAACATGGCCCAGATGTGACCAGCAGGAGAAAACGGCAGTGTCAAACAGCACCTGCGACAAGAACAAAACAGCCCCTCACATGCCCCAAATGTCCTTGGCCACACATGAACTCCACACATGACCAGCTCTACATGACCTCAGTTGGAATGATATACCAGATGTAACCGGGTATAACATATTTCAGGTGTAACCAGGACCCAGGTGTAAATATACAGGTGACAAGACGTAGCCGTACAGCAGACTTGACCATATAACAGCCACCATAGAGACACTTCCCAGACATGAGCAAACAGGAACAGAGGTCAGACAGATGGAAGTCCAGGGGAGATGGAAGCAGTGGCATCTCCACCACAGCCCCTCCTGTCTGCACATGGGCACGCGACCCGCTGGAGGCAGCACAGAGACCCCAGCTGTGGGCAAGGCGTGGCCAGTGCAGTGTCTACCTGGAGTGGCCAGTGCAGTGTCTACCTGGAGCAAAGAGCACAGGCTTGATGTAGGTGGGGTGGAAGATGCGGACGATTGCGTGCCAGGGCCCCACCCACCAGCAGCACATATCACCGAAGGTGCATGCCAGGCTTTGTGTGTATAGGAGACCTTCCTCCGAGCTGTGAATCTGGAGAGAAAGACACAGGACCCAATTCATGCTCTCCTAGGCTGCGAGAGAGAAGGATCTGCAGGGAAGAGGTGGAAGCCCTCTCCCTGAGAATTTCAAGCAGCATCTCATCTCCCTCTCAGTGCTGAGCCCCCACTGGGCTTCCTCCTCACATCCTCCATGCAGGACTCTCCAGTCCTTCAGTTACACAGACAGAAAAGCTCTTTCCCCATGTGGATCCACACACCATGTTCCCTGGGCTCTCATTCATCCCATTTTCCAGATGAAGAGACTGAGGCTCTAAATGATAAAGTAATTTGCCCATAGTCCCAGACCATGGCAAACCTGAGGCCTGAGACTGGGTCTATCTGCACCCATGGCCTGATTCCTTAACCATCAAACTTCTTTGTGCCCCCAAAACAGTAGCTCTAGAAGGCCCAGGCCTGCCGAGACTAGGCAATCAGAAACACAGGGACTGGGTGAAAAATTGATCTGGTGATCCAGGCCAGGAGAAGTAAATCATGGGCCTTTTCTGGGAACTCTGGGGGAAATGTGGGCTTTCCCATGAGAATTGAGCTTCTAGGACTCATTGTTGACGTCATGAGGGAAAGACTGTCTTGAAAGCAAAAGTGGCGTGGAAAAAGCTAAAGCCAAGAAAGGAAGACAAGCCAAAAGTGGCGTGGAGAAAGCTAAAGCCAAGAGAGGAAGTAACACTGTGTGAGACCTGGATCCAGCCATGCCTGAAGGCCATCCTCCCTGGACTTTAAAATCAATAGATTCTCTTTCTTTGCTTAGACTACACCAGGTTGGATTTCCACCACTCACAACTGAAAGAGACCTCAGTAACCAGAGACAGCTGGGAACCAGCCCAGAGTCACTCAGCATTTTGAGGCCAGAGCCATGGTCTCTGTAGGATGCTGCCTGTTTCCCTGCTCAGCCTGGCCTGTCCAAGAAGGGAAGCACAGGGGTCAAGGAGAGGGCCCCAAACTAGGCTGGAGTCTCCTTTTGGAGATTCCCAGGGCCTAGAGCAGAAAAGCAATGAACTTAGGGCAGACAAACTACAGGATGGGGTAAAAGGACTTGACCCACACCAGAGATGGACATCACAGAAATAACAGTCCAGATCCTCCACCAGCCACAAGTCCTCATTGTTCTAACCTTTGTGACAGGCAAGGTGACGCTAGACCTGGCAAGGGGCCTTGAACACTAACGATGCCCAATTGCATCACCCTGCACTCTCCTTTCAAACATCCCTACTCATTGTTCCAGACATGGCTCCAGTAACTCTTCCTCCAGGAAGGCTTCCAGCCTGCCCCAGCAGAGAACTTGCTCTTCTCTGGGCTGTCATCCATCTCCCTCTGGCCCTTTCTTGACCCCATGAAGTTGGGGATGTCTCTGTCCACATCCACCTCCTTAAGCTTGGGGGTTCCTCCAGGACAGGGCCTTGGGTTGAGGTCTCTTGGGGCCCCAGGGCAGCCCAGAACACCAGGACAGGGGGTCAGATGGCAATGGAGAGAGGAGATGCTGAGATGGGAATTAGTGAATACATGAAAGAAAGATGAAGATGGCTGAGAGAGAAGGAAAGGAGAGACCAGAGTACTGCAGGGGCCACACACGGCTTGGGGATAGAGGGACTTGCAGGCCTCAAATGCACCATAGCACCCACCACCAAGTATTCCAGGTGGTACCTGAGGCGTTGATGACAGACCGGATGATGTTGGGGTGGCAAAAACGGATGACGGGGAAGATGGGGCCCATCCAGACCTTAAAGCCCTGGGGGTAGGTGGCCACCAGCTGAGTCAGGACCCTCATGCCCTGCTCCGTGGGGGTGACCTGCAAGCAAGGCAGGGGCCGTCACCTCCTGTCATGGTTAATTCTAGGTGTCCACTTGACTGGGCTAAAGGATGCCCAGATAGTTGATCATCCGTCTGTGAGGGTGTTTCCAGAAGAGACTGGCATTCAATTTGGTAAACTGAGGAAGGAAGAATCACCCTCCCCAGTGTGGGCAGAGCTCATTCAATCTGTTGAGAGCCCAGGTAGCACAAAAATGCAGAGGAAAGGCTAATTTGCTCTGTTGTGGGGCTGGCACATCCATCTTCTCCTGCCCTTGGACACCAGAACTCCACCGTCTCAGGCCTTTGGACTCAGTTACACAACCAGTGTCTGTTTATCCAGCCTGCAGACAGCAGTCCATGACGCATCTCAGCTTCTATAATCCTGTGAGCCAATTCCCGAAATAAACTCCCTCTTCTATCTATCTATCTGTCTGTCTGCCTGTCTGTCTATCTATCTATCTATCTATCTATCTATCTATCTATCTATCTATCTATCTATTTACCTATATATATCTCTACATATCTACCTATCTATGTATCTATATATGTATGTATGTATGTATCTATCTGTCTATCTATCTATCTATCTAATCTATCTATCTACCTATGTTTCTATGTATCTATCCATCTATCTAATCCATCCATTCTATCTTATATATCTGTCTATCTATCCATTCATCTATCCTATCTGTGCATCCATTCATCCATCTAGCCTATTATCTATCTACCTACCTATCTATCTATTCATTTATCTATCTAATCTATTCATCCTATCTAACTTTTCTATCTATATATCTATCTGCCCATCCATCCATCCATCCATCCATCTTATCTGTACATTCATCCACTCATCCATTTATCCTATTATCTATCAATCATCTAGCTATCTATCCATCCATCTAATCTATCCATCCTACATATCCACTCTACCTATCTATCCACCTAATGTATCCATCTTATCTACTACTTTATGTATGTATTATCCATCCATCCATCCATCCATCCATCCATCCATCCATCTTATCCATGCATCCATCTGTCCATCCATCCATCTATCCTGTTATCTATCTATCTATCTGTCTATCTACCCACCTACTTATCCAGCCAGCCAGCCATCTATTCACCCTATCTGTGCATCCATCCATCCATCTATCCTATTACCTATCTATCTGTCTACATTCCTCCTGCTCTATCTCTCTTGGGGCCACCCCCAAGTCCCAAGAGCGCATCCCAAGGCAGAAGGAAAAGACACACTGTCCACTCACAGAGGCCCACTTAGCTTGAGAGGAAAAATTTCCTTGTTCTGGGAGTCATTTCAGCCCAGAGGTGGGCATATGAGGAGGTCCTCACAGGGGAGGTTTGTGGGGAGCAGTGTGGACTCAGGACATGTCCCTAAGGCTGGTCCCCACATCCCTTCATGCCCTGGCTGGTTCCTCCACCAGCCACACAGGTTCCAGTTCCTCCCATGGAGAAGGTTCTGCACACAGGGGACCTTCCCTTCTCAGCAGTCACTAGGGGAGCAGAGGTGACTCTAACTGTCCATCATGACAGTGGCTCCCACCTGGGAGAAGCTTCTGCACCAGGCTCTGTGCTAGTGCATCCTGTGCACCCTCCCACTTCACCTGTGGACACACCCATCAATCCTGCCATTTGCAATGAGCAGATTGAGACCACGTTCCGCAAAGGGGAGAGCAGGTCTAAGTCAGAGGGCAAGGTCTGGGGGAGGAGAAAGGTCAGGGAAGGCTTCTGAAAGGGGAAGTGAGTGGCCAACTTTTATGTGGGTTTGGCAACAGGACCCCATTGGGACATCTTACTGGGGAGGAACAAGATAAGAGGAAGGTGCCTCCGGATGTGGTGGAGGTGAGAGACAGCCCACACCTCTCCTCTGGCCCACCTATACCCTCATAAGAGGAAATAGGCCAGGTAGGGAGAGGACCCTGAACAGTGGGTACAGGAGGCCTCGAGTCCAGCAATGGAGAATGTGGGAACGCCAGGGGTTCACCTTTCTGTGCACCCAACCCCCTGCCCAAGAGCCCCGCAGAGGTGCATTAATGTGGAAAGACAGGCAGGAAAAGGATTCAACACAGGCCAAGAGTGGGAGAACAGGGAGGTGAGAAGGGCTTGGGTTGGCACCTCACAGAAATGAGTAAGCAGAGGAATGAGTAAGACGCCTCCCCTGCTTCTCTGCCACCCCAGACCCCAGCCCACCCCCTCTCACCTGAGCCTCATTCTTACCCCTCAGGAAGTCCATCCACCCTGAGACCCCAGACCCGTCCTGCTGCCACACTCACCAGGCCCAGGTGACCCAAGAACCAATTCCGTTTCGGGGGTTGCGGGAAACACCGGAGGCGGCAGCAGTTGTCATAGAAGGTATAGGTCCAGGCCAGGATGCGGGCCAGGAGCCAGGAGGCCCCAACCAGCAGCAGGAGCAGCCACGGGGATGCTGCCATTGGCCAAAGGCCCAGCGAGGACAGGCTCAGCTGTGGCATCCTGCAGGGCAGATGGGGTGGTGAGTGAGGTCCTGAGGCCCAGGGAAGGGCCCAGGGAGCTCCAGGGACAGTGGAGAGAGGCAGAGACGGGCAGTGCTGGAGATAGAACAGTAAGAGTAAACAGGGATGGATAAACAGGGGCTGAGGGGTAAAGTCCAGAAAGGCCCAGCCAAAACCAGCAACCAAGTGGCCTCCAGTTACCCGGTAAGCACTTAGATTGAGAAAGACAGAGAAACTGATTAAAGTCCAGAAAGGCCCAGCCTGAATCATTAGGACGTTGCCAGGGGCTTGGTTTCAGTTAGAAAACCACTCATCCTCCAAGCCAGCAACCAGGAGCTGCCTGGGCCTTGGGCAGCAATGGAGAATGTGGGAAGGCTGGGGCTCCCCTATGTGTGCGCCCAATCCCTTGCCCAGTGCCCATCTCCATCACAGGCTAGGATGCCCCAGGCCCACCACCCCCACCCTGGCACCTTCTGTCAGGAGCACCTTGTCCCACACAACCTCCTCTCCCCTTCTTCTGGGAGGTTTTTTCCCCTGGCCCCTGATGTAGGGAAGGCTGTGGGAGGCTAGGCTGGGCTGGGCTGGGCCAGCCAATCCCCACAGCCTGGGTGCCGCTCCCATGTCTGGGCAGCTGGCCAAAACCTGGGTGTGGGAGACCAGCTGGATGCAGAGGAACCAGCTCAGGGTGACACAGCACAGGCACTGGATCCTCAGGTCTCAGCACCTCCCACATAAGGTGGAGAGTAAGCCGAGAGGGGTCAGATAGAGTTTCCACTGTGTGACACCTGCTCTTAAAGAGCACCTACTGAGTGTGTGGCAGATAAAAGCATGAACTTGAGAGTTCAGGTGTCAAGCGAGCCAGGCCAGGCCAAGCCTTGTTCCAGATCATCTCCTGTGCTCCTCTCTAACCCTGGGCCGGTAGGACACCGTGTACCACTTCTGGATGCTGAATCAGGCAACCTGGAAGAGACAAGCCTCTATCCCCCTGCTGCTGGATGGAGTTCAAGTCTTGCCTCCAGGCAGTCCAGGGCCCTGTTGGAGACCTGACTGCTAGGAACGGGAACAAAGAATCCAGCCCCACTGAGGATTACCTGGGTCAGATTCTGGAGATTAAGAGCTCAGCTGGAAAAGCAAATCTGGAGGCCGGACTCAGTATAGGAGGACAGAGCGGGGACGTGGAGGGTTAGGATGAGAGGGAACGGATGGGGTCCAGGCAGGGGAAGGGCAGAGCCAGGGAACCATGAATGGAGTCCTCATTCTGCCTCATCCTTGCTCTGACTTTGGTCAGTACTGCCCCTCCTGGGTGCAGTCTTCCCATCTGGGAAATGGGATGTTCGATGAGGGCCTTAGCGGGGGACAATGAGGGCTCCTAAGAGGAGGGAGCCCCAAAAAGGAGTGAAGGGAAAGGGTGGCAACTAGCACTTGAGCTGCTGTGTGCCAGTCTCTACTCTGCACAAAGGCTGCATGGAAAGTACTTCTACTGTGTGCCAATACTCTAAATGAAGGGCAGCTACTGTGTGCCAGGTGCTAAATCCTGTCTACTCTGTGCCAAGTGCTTTCCATAAAGTGTGCCTACTGTGTGCCAGGTGCTCTACATTAACCCTGTATACTCAGTTCCTGATATTCCTCATAGAGTGCCTACTGTGTGCCACCTGCTCTACATAGTGAGTGCCTATTGAGTGCCACCCCCTGTATATGAAGAGTGCCCACTGAGCACCAGTTGCTGTCTACATAACACATGCCTACTGAGTGCCAAGTGCTCTACATAAACAGTGCCTACTGATACCACCTGCTCTATATGGTGACTTCCTACTGAGTGTTTCCTGATCTACATAAAGAGGGTCTATTGAGTGCTGCCTGCTCGAGTGTTGCCTGTGCTCCATAAAGTGTACCTACTGTGGGCTGCCTTCTGTACATAAAGGGTGCCTACTGAGTGCTGCTTGCTCTACATGAAGAGTTCCTACTCTTGCCTGCGCTACATAAAAAGTGCCTACTCAGTACCACCTGCAATACATAAAGAGTGCCTACTGGCCAGGCACAGTAGCTCATGCCTGTAATCCAAGCACTTTGGGAGGCCAAGGCAGGCAGATCATCTGAGGTCGGGAGTTCAAGACCAGCCTGGCCAACATGGTGAAACCCCATCTCTACTAAAAATACAAAAATTAGCCGGGCGTGGTGGCGGGCACCTATGATCCCAGCTACTCGGGAGGCTGAGGCAGGAGAATCTCATGAACCCGGGAGGCAGAGTTTGCAGTGAGCTGAGTTCATACCACTGCACTCCAGCCTGGGCAACAGAGTGAGACTCTGTCTCACAAAAAAATAAAAAAGAGAGAGAGCCCATTGAATGCCACTTGCTCTAGATAAAGAGTGCCTACAGATGCCACCTGCTCTATATAAAGAGTGTTTACTGAGTATCATCTGCTCCTGATAAAGAGTGCCTACTCACTGCTGCCTGCTCTACATAAAGAGTGCCTACTGCTGCCACCTGCTCTTCATAGTGTGCCCACTCTGTGACTCATGGTCTACATATGGTCTACATAGAGTTTCTACTGTGTGACACCTGCTCTTAAAGAGTGCCTACTGGGCCAGGCACAGTGGCTTACACCTGCAATCCCAGCACTTTGGGAGGCCGAGGCGGGCAGATCACGAGGTCAGCAGTTCGAGACCAGCCTGACCAACATGGTGAAACCCTGCTTCTACTAAAATTACAAAAAATTAGCTGGGCATGGTGGTGTGTGCCTGCAATCCCAGCTACTCAGGAGGCTGAGGCAGGAGAATTGCTTGAACCCAGGAGGCAGAGGTTGCAGTGAGCTGAGATCATGCCACTGCACTTCAGCCTAGGAGACAGAGCGATACTCATCATCAAAAAAAAAAAAAGAGTGCCTACTGAGTAAATGTTTTTTTGGTTTTTTGCTTTTTTTTGGTTTTGGTTTTTTTTTTTTTTTTTTTGAGACGGAGTCTCACTCTTGTTGCCCAGGCTGGAGTGCAATGGCCCTATCTTGGCTCACAGCAACCTCCGCCTCCGATTCTCCTGCCTCAGCCTCCCAAGCAACTGGGATTATAGGCATGCAGCACCATGCCCAGATAATTTTGTATTTTTAGTAGAGACAAGGTTTCTCCATTTTGGTCAGGCTGGTCTCCAACTCCCAACCTCAGGTTATCCTCCTGCCTCGGACTCCCAAAGTGCTTGGATTATAGGCATGAGCCACTGTGCCTGGCCGTAAATGTAATTTTAAGATGAGTGGGGCTGTCCACAGGCAAGGACAAGGAGAAGGAGTTTGAGACCATGCAGGAGGCATGCGGTATTGTGGATGTTCACCAGGCCTAGGTTTGGATACAGTTCTGCTATTTCCTGGCTGTGTGACCTTGGGCAAATCTCTCAACCTGTCTGCACCTTACGTATCTCATCTGTAGGAGTCATATGGTGGATGAAATGGCTGGTGGAGTTGACCCTGAATACAGCTAGAGCTGTGAGGGTTTTACAGTTGTGCCCCAGGGAGGTGAACTGACCATCGTGGGGGGGGGGGGCAATTCATCATCCTGAACAAAGGAGATTAATTACATGTATTATTTGCCTAAATATACTATGAAAGGATACAGAAAAAGTAAAAGTGTTTACCTTTGTAAAGACGGCGAGACTGGATAAATGAAGGGCATAGGTACAAGAAACATTTTTCACTGTGCATTTTATTTTTTACATGAGTGAATATATTTTCTGCCAAAAATATTGCATTTGAAAATTTAGCCACCAGCTGTCAAGGAGTCTCATCTGAATCACAAAAAGGAGGAGGTAGAGCAAGATGGCAGAATAAAATGCGTCATTGATCGTCTCCTCCACAGGAACGCCAAATACAACAAATATCCACACAAGAAAATACCTTCATAAGAACCAAAAATTAGGTGAGTGATCATGGTATCTGGTTTTAACATCATATCAAAAAAAGAGGTACTTTGAACTCATGGAGATAGAGAGTAGAAGGATGGTTACCAGAGGCTGGGAAGGGGAGTGGAGGAGTGAGGGGAAGTTAGGGATGGTTAATGGGTACAAATAAAGATAGAAAGAATTAATTAGACCTATAATAAGACCTACTATTTGATAGTACAACAGGGTGACTATAGTCAATAATAACTTAATCGTACATTTTAAAATAATGAAAAGAATGTAACTGGATTGTTTGTAACACAAAGGATAAATGCTTGAGGGGATGGATAATCTATTCTCCATGATTTGATTACTGTGCATTGCATGCCTGTATCAAAATATCTCATGTACCTCATAAACATATATACCTAGTATGTACCCACAAAAATTAAAAATTTAAAGAGGCACTAAAGAATGTACAAAAGACAGGTTTTTTTTCTTTTTTCTTTTTTCTTTTTCTTTTTTTTCTTTTTTTTTTTTTTTTTGAGACAGAATCTTGCTCTGTCACCCAGGCTGGAGTGCAATGGCACGATAGCTCACTGCAACCTCTGCCTCCCGGGTTCAAGCAATTCTCAAGCCTCAGCCTCGCAAGTAGCTGGGACTACAGGCTCATGCCACCACGCCCAGCTAATTTTTGTATTTTTAGTAGAGACAGGGTTTCACCACGTTGGCCAGGCTGACCTTGAACTCTTGACCTCAGGTGATCTGCCTGCCTCGGCCTCCCAAAGTTCTGGGATTACAGGAGTAACCCACTGTGCCTGGCCAAAAGAGTCTTAAATTGCCTACACTAACACTTCCCCATCTCCCAGAAGTGGCCTCATGGCTGGAGAGAGAATCTGGGTGCTTGAGTGGAGGGGAGAGAGCACAGTGATCATGGGACTTTGCATTGAAACTCAGTGCTGCCCTGTCACAGCAGAAAGCAACATGGGGTAGAATTTAGCCAGTGCCGACAGAGGAAGCATTTAGGCCAGCCCTAGTCAGAAGGGAATTGTCCATCCCAGTGGTCAGAACCTGAGTTCCAGCTAGTACCACCATTGCAGGCTAAAGTGCTCCAGGGTCCTAAATAAACTTGAAAGGCTACCACCTATGTTTGTTAAAGGCCCAAGGGCTCTACAATCAGTATGTGGTAAATCCAGCTACAAGGACTGCAATTCTGGAGCAAGTCCTGGTGCTGCGCTGGGCTCAGAGCCAGAGAACTTGGGGTGCACACAACCTAGTGAGGCACCAGCCAGGGCAGCCAAGGGAGTCTTGGCAAGCATCATCCCTCCCACAACTCCAGGCAGCACAGCTTGCTGCTCCAGGAGAGACTTCTTCCTTCTGCTTGAGGAGAGGCAGCTTGGATACCAGCTCAGCCACAGAAGAATAGGGCACCAGACAGCATCCTGAGGCTCCCATTCCACGCTCTAGCTCCCAGACAACATTTCTAAACACACTCTTGGACAAAGGAAACATGCTGCCTTGAAGGGAAGGACCCAGTCCTGGCAGGATTTACCACCTGCAGATTAAAGAGGACATAGGCCCTGAATAATCATCAGTGGTAGCTGGGTTGTACTTGTTGCAGGCCTTGGGTGAGACTCAGTGCCATACGGGCTTCAGGTGTGACCCAGCACATTCCCAGCCGTAGTGGCCACGGGGAGAAGCTCCTTCTGCTTGAGGAAAGGAGAGGTAAGAGTAAAGGGGACCTTGTCTTGCAGCTTGGGTACCAGCTTAGCCACAGTGGGATGGAGCACCTGGAGTCCCTGATTCCAGGCCACAGCTCCTGGACAGTATCTCTGGACCCACCAGATATGTGGGGAACTCACTGCACTGAAGGGAAGGTCACAAGGCCTGGCTAGATTTACCACATGCTGATTATGCAGCCCTTGGGCCTTGAGTCAACACAGGTGGTAGCCAAGCAGTGGTCACTGTGTGCCTTGGGCAAGACCCAGTGCTGTGGTGGCCTCAGGTCTGACTCAGCACAGTCCCAGTGGTAGATGCCACAGGGGTGTTTGTGTCAACCCTCCCCTAGCTCCAGACAGATCAGCACAGATCGAGAGAGAGACACATTTGTTTGGGGGAAAGTAAGGGAAGAGAAGAGTCTCTGCCTGGGAATCCAGGGAATTTTCCCAGATCTTACCCAAGACAACCAAGGCAGTACTTCTACTAATCTGCAAGAGTCCCAGCATTACTGGGATTGAGGTGCTCCCTGTGTAGATACAGCTGTGGTTATCAAAGACTTAGATTACTGCACTCAATTCCCTTTGAATATTTGGAAAGCTTTCCCAAGAAGGACAGGTACGAACAAGCCCAGACCACAAAGACTACAGTAAATGCCTAACTCTTCAATGCCCAGACATCAACAAACATTCACAAGCATCAAGACCATCCAGGAAAACATGACTTCACCACATGAGCTAAATACAACACCAGTGATCAATTCCAGAGTGACAAAGATATGTGACCTTTCAGGCAGATAATTCAAAATAGCTGTTTTGAGAATGCTCAGTAAAATTCAAGACAACACAAAGAAGGAATTCAGAATCCTATCAGGTAAATTTAACAAAGAGATCGAAATAATTAAGAAGAACCAAGATTGAAATAATTTAAAAGAACCAAAGAAATCCTGGAGCTGAAAAATCCATTTGACATACTGAAGAATGCATCAGAGTCCCTCAACAGCGGAACTGATCAAGCAAAACAAAGAATTAGTGATCTTGAAGACAGACTATTTGAAAATTCACAGTTAGAGAAGATAAAAGAAAGAAGAATTTTAAAATGAAGTAGGCCTACAGGATCTAGAAAATAGCCTCAAAAGGGCAAATTTAACAATTCTTGGCCTTAAAGAGGAGGTGGAGAGAGATCAGGATAATAACAGAACTTCCCAAACCTAGAGAAAGATATCAACATTCAAGTACAAGAAGGTTACAGAAAAGCAGGCAGATTTAATCCAAATAAGACTAACTCAAAACATTTAATAGTTAGGCTGAGCAGGGCGGCTCACACCTGTAATCTCAGCACTTTAGGTTGCCGAGGCAGGTGGATTGCTTGAGCCCAGGAGTTTGAGACTAGCCTGGGCAACATGGCAAAACCCTGTATCTACCATATATATATATTAGCCGGGCATGGTGGTATGCATCTGTAGTCCCAGCTACTTGGGAGACTGAGGTTGAAGGACGGCTTAAGCCCAGGGGGCAGAGGTTGCAGTGAGCTGAGATCATGCCTCTGCACTACAGCCTGAGTAACAGAGCCAGATCCTGTCAAAAAAAAAAAAAGATTAATAATTAAACTCCCAAAGGCCAAGGATAAAGGATCCTAAAAGCAACAGGAGAAAAGAAACAAATAACATACAAAGGAGCTCCAATATGTCTGGCAGAAGACTTCTCAGTGGAAACCTCATATGCTGAGAGAGTGGCATGACATATTTAAAGTGCTGAAGGGAAGAACTTTTATCCTAGAATAGTATATCCAGCAAAAATATTCTTCAAACATGAAGGAGAAATAAAGATTTTCCCAGACACACAAAACCTAAGGGATCTGCAGACCTGTCTTAAAAGAAATGCTAAAGGGAGTTCCTCACTGAAAGAAGAAGATGTTAATGAGCAATAAGAAATCATCTGAAGGTACAAAACTCACTGTAAGTACATAGACAAACACAATACTATAACACTGTAACTGCGGTATGTAAACTACCCATATATTGAGTAGAAAGACAAAAAATAGTTGTTATCTATTGCTTTGAAAATGAAATCTTTACCCCAAAACTTATTTGATGAAGTTACTCAATTTGTAACCAATGATACCTCAAACTGTCAACTTGTATGAAGACAATTCTTGCAACGTGAGACAAAGCACTTTTATATCATTTTGTAACATCACGCCATTTTTAAGAAATAGAGTGGTTTGAATACATAACCCAAATATTTGTTAAAACCACAAAATAATGTTTCATAAAATGATTTGATGTCATGGAAAGATGTTAACAGCATATCGTGTGAGTAGCCCAAATTAACAAAAATTTGAGATAAAATAGCATTTTTTGTTTGGGTAAAATTCACAAAACATAAAATTCACCATTTTAAAGGGTACAATTTAGTAGCATTTGGTATATGCACAGTGTTGTGGAAACTTCACCACTATCTAGGTCCAGAACATCTTCACCACCCAGCAGGAAATCCTGACCCCATTAGCACTTCCTCTTCCCACTTCCCCACAGCTCCTGACACCACCAATCTCCTTTCTGTCTCTATAGATTTGCCTATTCTGGACATTTTTTTTTTTGAGACAGAGTCTCACTCTGTTGCCCAGACTGGAGTGCAGTGGCGTGATGGCATGATCTCAGCTCACCACAACCTCCACTTCCTGGGTTCAAGTGATTCTCCTGCCTCAGCCTCCCAAGTAACTTGGATTACAGGCATATCCCATGACGCCCAGCTAATTTTTCTTGTATTTTTAGTAGCGACGGGGTTTCACCCTGTTGGCCAGGCTGCTCTTGAACTCCTGACCTCAAGTGATCTGCCTGCCTGGGCCTCCCAAAGTGCTGGGATTACAGGCATGAGCCACCACACCCAGATGGACATTTCTTATAAATAAATCATACACTATGTGACCTTTTGTGTCTGACTTCTTTCACATACTATAATGTATTCAAGGTTCATCCAGGTGGTAGTATGTATCAGTACTTCATTCCTTTTAATGGCTGAGTAATATTTCATTATACGAATAGATCACATTTTCTTTATCCATCCATCTGTTAATGGATATTTGAGTTCTTTCTACCTTTTGGCAATTGTGAATAGGGCTGCTATAAGCACGAATGTACAAGCTTTTTTGTTTGAACAACTGTTTTCTATTCTTTTGAGTATATAGCTAGGAGCTTAATATGATATCGTGGAATTGCATCATATAGTAATTCTATGTTTTAGTTTTTCAGAATCTCCAGACTGTTTTCCACAGCAGCTGCACCATTTTTACAGTCACACCAGGAATGGATGAGGGCTTCGATTACTCCATATCCTCTCCAACATTTGTTATATTCCCTTTTTTAGATGCTAGCCATCCTGTAGGTGTTGAGGTGACATCACGTTGTGCTTTTGGTTTGCATAATGGGAATAATGTTTAGCATCTTTTCATGTGCTCATTTGGCAGGAAAATAGCACTTGTAAACAAAATTACATGCAAATGTGATATGACACAGCTATATAGATGTAAATAAACATTTTCATATGTAAAAAGATCACATATGAATTAAAAACTGGAAGCATATGCAAGAAAATATAAACAGTGATTATTCTGACATTTTGAAATTATGGATGATTTTTATTTCTTGCAATTTCTTCTATAAGCATGCATTATTTATGAAACTTAAACTTTAAAGGGAAGAAAAATTGACTTTCAGCATAGAATATATTAAATAGTTATTTATTTCGTTTTGCAATGTTCCATTCTTATTTTGCAGCCAATAATCCTTCCAGGTTCCCAATCTATGGGCCCCTGAAAAGCGCTCAGTCCTTGGACTCTGCGCCCCGCAGGAGCCCCCTACAGTCAGACAGGGGAAAGTCCAGGTGCAGCCGCTGTCCCTGGTGCTGAAAGGGGCGGCCCCTCCCCCCCCCCGCCCGCCCCCCGCCCAGCCCACACCCTCTACCTTCCTCTCACTTGAAAACCTTCATGACCTGAACTTTTTAGACAGGAATAAATTCTGAGTCGTGCCTCTCTGGAAAAATTAATTTTTTCCGTTCTAAGCTTTGGGCCAACCTTTCACCAAAGTCCACTGTAGATTCTCGGATGTAATAACGGATATTTTGAGCACACAAAACATTCGAATGAATTTTCCTCAAGAGAAGGTTGCCATGCATCCCAAAGCTTGAAGCAACCTCTTGCGATTTTTTAAAATGTCAAAACTTCAAATGTGATGCAAAAAGAAGAGAAAGAGAGGCAATTAACCCTCATGGACCGCTAATACCCAACAGATGTGGCTCAGGGATGTTGTAGATACTGGCTTGTTCAGTCTTCCAGCAGCCCAATGAGGTGAATACTATTAAGTGGTAAACAAAACCAGGGCTACAGAGATAAACAAGTTTTCCCCAAGCCAATCAGCTAGTGAATAGCAGACTGGGATTCTGACATTTATAATACAACTTCAAGGTGATGTTTAGTACAATTCCAAGGGGATATGGATTATCTTAGCCCATTCAGGCTGCTATGACAACATAACTTACACTAGGTAGTTTATAAACAACAGGTATTTATTGCTTACAATTTTGGAGGCTGGGAAGTCCAAGATCAAGGTGCCTGCAGGTTCAGTGTCAACTAAGGGCCTGTTCCTCATAGATGGCACCTTGCACGTGTCTTTACATGGTGGAAGGGGCAAACAAGCTCCCTCAGGTCTCTGTTATAAGGGGTAATCTCACTTACGAAGGCAGAGCCCTCACAACTTAATCACCTCCCAAAGGCCTCCCCTCTTAATACCACCATATGCAGACTAGGCTTCAATGTATGGATTTGGGGGCTACATAAACATTCAGGTCACAGCATGGATCTAGGGTCATAGACCCTGACTGCTTCTAGCCATCTGCCCCATCTGCCCTAAATAGCAGTCCCTGTCCTCATGAGCCAAGATGGAGCTCCAGAGGCCACATCAATCTTGCAAGCAATTTGTTAAAAAGTCAAAAAATAGCAGATGTTGCCAAGGCTATGGAGAAAAAGGAACATTTATACACTGTTGGTGGAAATATAAATTAGTTCAGCCACTAAACTAATGGAGTGTGGAGAGCAGTTAGGATATTTCTCAGAGAATTGAGAGTTGAACTACCATTTGACCTAGCAATCCCACGACTGGGTATACACCCAAAAGAAAATAAATCATTCTGCCAAAAAGACACAAGCATCCACATGTTTATCGCAGCTCTAATCACAATAGCGAAGATGCTGAATCAACACAGGTGCCCATCAATGGTGGAGTGGATAAAGAAAATGTGTAGAAATACACCATGAAATACTATGCAGTCATTAAAAAGTACAAAATCATGTCGTTTGCAGCAACATAGATGCAGCTGGGGGCCATTATCCTAAGCAAACTAATGCAGGAACAGAAAACAAAATATTGCATGTTCTCACTTATAAGTGGGAGGTATGCATTGGATACACATGGTAATAAAGATGGGAACAAC
Organism: Homo sapiens; assembly: GCF_000001405.40. NCBI lineage: Eukaryota > Metazoa > Chordata > Mammalia > Primates > Hominidae > Homo > Homo sapiens. The sequence continues at coordinate 15,630,348 of NC_000019.10, read as the reverse complement.
AGATCCTGGGGACTACTAGACAGGGGAAGCAGGGAGGGGGAAAAGCTGAAAAACTGCCTATTAGATACTATGCTCACTACATGGGTGATGGAGTCATTCATACTCCAAACCTCAGCATGATGCAATATACCTTTGTAATAAATTTGCATGTTAGCACCTGATTCTAAAATAAACATTGAAACTCAAGAATTTTTATTCTCACACCTGCAATTCTGGCACTTTGGGAGGCTGAGGTGGGCTGATCACTTGAGGCCAGGAGTTTGAGACCAGCCTGGCCAACATAGCAAAACCCCATCTGTACTAAAAATACAATTAGCCGGGTGTGGTGGTAGGCGCCTGTTATCCTATCTACTCAGGCGACTGAGTCAGGAGAATCACTTGAACCCAGGAGGTGGAGGTTGCAGTGAGCCACTGCACTCCGGCCTGGGCGACGAGAGACACCATGTCTCAAAAAAAAAAAAAAATCTTCCAAGCAGCAGGAAGGAAGAGGGGAGGACTGAGCAGACAGACTGTAGCAGCTTTCTCTTAAGAAAGGTTACCAGAATTACCACATAATCTTTGGCTTCTACACATGGGACAGCCACAGTCACTTAACCAATTGAGCTTCAAGAAAGGCTTTCAAATGTGATCTGTATTTCAGGCTGCTATGCACCTAGCTAAAAAACAGGGATTCTAAATTGGCAAAAATTTATATCAGAATACACAATTATTTTGGGGGGGAAAAAGTCTTTACTTAGACTCTGGGAGATCCCACCCTCAGCACGGGGCTCCTGTGCTCACCCAGAGAGGCAGTGAGTATCTTGGGCACAGAGACATCTCCCCGCCTCTTCCCAGCCAGGCCCTAGATCCCCGCAGTCCTCCAGCGCCCCCTACTGGCCATCCGCGGGACTGAGGCACAGGGGCCAACACAGATTTATTACCGGAAATCTGAAAAGGTAGTTGGTGCAAAGGTAGGTGATGCAAAGGTAGGTGGGTGGGTCACTGCAGGCCTCAGCCCAGGGGTTCTACTCGCAGCCAAAGTCCGTCCTCCGCACGCAAAACAATCTCCGGCGTCCTGCGTGGCTCCCTGTGGTCGGGCAGGATGCGGAAGCGCAGCAGCGTGAGCGCCAGGACCACCTTCATCTCTGCCATCGCGAACTTCTGCCCGATGCAGTTCCTGGGGGCCAAGGTGGAAGGTCTGACTGCACCCAGGACCCAGATCCCGGCCCCACTGCGCCAGGAACCAGGCCCGGAACCCCCAACCCCACCCAGATCACCTTGGGCAGACAGGGGGGAAGCTGGGTCTGGGACCCCCATGTGGGCTTGCATATTCCCAGAGCCTAGCCCAGACCCCAGCCCCAACTGAAACCAGACGGGGCAGGAGGCTCTGAGCACACCCTTTTTCCTAGGATCTTCTTTAAAACCCCTATCACAGAAACACGTGGTCCTACAAGTCAGGCATCTGACAAGGCAGCCATCTGTGCCACCCTCAGCCCATGCCCACCTCAGACACCCCCTGGCCTCACCTGGGCCCCGCCGAGAAAGGAATAAAAGCCATAGGTGACCTCTTCTGGGCGTTTTCTGGGTCGAAGCGGAAGGGGTCATAGACCTGGGGTGGAGGCAAGTTAAGGCTGCTGATGGGGCCTCTCAGGACACCCAGCCACCCCCACATAAAACAGATGTGGGTGGAGTAGAGAGGGAGTATCTGGTTTTCCGGGACAAGACCCCTCCCCCGACCAGGCCCGGGGGATGGAGAAACAGGGAGGGGCAGCACCTCAGGGTCTGGCCAGACTGAGGGGTTGTGATGGATTGCGAAGATGTTGATGTTACAGACATTCCCTGTCGTGCAGGAGAGGACAGTAAGAACAAGGTCCGAGCTGCCTGCTGGGACCACCGCCCTGCCCAGGACCCTCCTCCCCTGCCATGGAGGGCACCTTTGGGGATGACTCGGCTGTCTGGGAGCACCACGTCCTGGGTGCAGCCGCGGGCGAATGTAGGGATTGGGGGATGCAACCGCAGGCTCTCCTTCAGGCACATGGTCAGGAAGGGCAACTGGGCCAGGTCGTCCCTAAGGAAACACCCAACAATTATCCAGAGAGCATACACGGCCCTCCTGCTGCCCCTGGAGACCCTCTCACCACCTCCCTCTGACCCTCAGTCCTATAACAAAATTAATTCCAGAAGCAACAAAGATGTAAGCATTAGAAAACCAAAGTCACAAAACTACTAGAAGAAAAGTTGACCTGGTGTTTTTAGAGGTATTTCTGAGCAAAACAATATTCAGAGGGTGTCTCTTAAAAGTATTCATTCCGGCGGGGTGCAGTGGCTCACTCCTGTAATCCCAGCACTTTGGAAGCCTGAGGCAGGAGGATCACTTGAGGTCAGGAGTTCCACACCAGCCTGACCAACATGGTGAAATCCCATCTCTACTAAAAACACAAAAATTAGCCACGCATGGTGGTGGGCACCTGTAGTCCCAGCTACTCAGGAGGCTGAGGCAGGAGAATCCCTCGAACCTGAGAGGCAGAGGTTGCAGTGAGCCGAGATCACTCCACCGCACTCCAGTTTGGGAGGCAGAGCAACTCCATCTCAAAAACAAAAGTGTTCATTTGTTTGTGTGAAAAAGTATTTAAAATTATATAAAGAGGTAACAAAAGCAGGAAAAAAACATCTCTACAAAGGGCTTATAAAGTTATTTGAATAAATAATCTCCACTCCACACTGTAGGGTGGGATGACCATATGTTGTAAAGGTGTCAATTATTTCTAAACTAATCAATATACTTCATGCAATTAATAAAAATCTAGCTGGATTCTTTTTGGAACTTTGAAATCTTATTCTAATTGAAGGAATTTTAAAGTTCATCAAGGGCTAGGTCAATTTTTTTTTTTTTTTTGAGATGGATTCTCACTCTGTCACCCAGGCTGGAGTGCAGTGGCCTGATCTCAGCTCACTGCAACCTCCACTTCCTGCGTTCAAGCGATTCTTGTGCCTCAGCCTCCCAAGTAGCTGGGATTACAGGTGTGCACCACCACACCCAACTAATTTTTGTATTTTTAGTATAGATGGGGTTTCACCATGTTGGCCAGGCTGGTCTCAAACTCCTGACCTCAAGTGATCTGCCTGCCTCAGCCTCCCAAAGTGCTGGGATTACAGGCATAAGCCACCATGCCCTATCCAAGCTAGGTCAATTTTTAAATAAAAGATTGAAGAAGGAGAACCCAAGCTTCCAGATATTAAGAGATATTACAAATGCATACTAATAAAAATAAAATAATTTTAAAAAAACTGTGGGACTGCTGCAAGAACAGAAAAACAGATCCATAGAACAGAGTAGAGAGCTCAGAATCAGGCCTGTGAATAGGGGGAAACTTAACATCTGCTAAAGGAAGGTCCACACGCCCCTGGAGAATGGATAGTGTGGTGGAAGTTGTTCAGACCACTGGAAATGTGGGAACAGAGAGAAACAGGTTCTTGTCTACTGCATATACAAGGTGGAGTCTTTTCCTTTATGAGAAAGGTAAAATTATAATGTTAAAAGATGATAACATAGGAGAAATTTTTGTGACTTAAGAGTAGGAATTCTTAAAACCCCAAAAGCTTAAACAAGATAAAATATAAAGGATAAATACGCATGCAAATTAAGGATTTCTGTGCAGTAAAAGATACAGTGGACCCAATTAACATTCCAATGAGAGATAAGAGATTCAGAGAAGATGCCTAAGATAGATAGATAGATAGATAGATAGATAGATAGATAGATATCCAGAACAATATCTGAATATGTTAGGAATTCCTGCAAATCTACAAGAGAACGAACAGGTAACCCAAGTGAAAAGTAGACAAAGGATTTGATCTAAGAATTCATGGATGCTCAAACATGAGAAATGTAAGAGGAGATGCGCAAAGTCACTAGCTGTCATAGAAATGGAAGCTAGCTGACAACGAGGTACCACTTCACATCTATTCGAGGCTAGAATGGCCAAAGGTAGGTGTTGCCAAGGGTTGGCTGAGGTGTGGGTAGAGGGGTCACATGCACTGACAGTGGGGTGCACAGAAGCTGCCAATATGGAAGGCAACCTCCAGGACATGGCCAAGGAAAGATGTGTGTTTTACAGCCCAGCAAGCTGGTTCCCAACTGTAGATCCCAGAGAAATTATCAGACATGCAGATAAAGAGATATGCACAAAGATGGTCATTGCACTGGAGAGATAGAAGCAGTCCAGGTATCCACTACAGAACTGAAGAGAAAAGGACTAGATCATAGCTAAAAGCAAGAGAATAAATGTACTTAGAACCACGGTGCTGCAAATCATAGTGCTACATTTATATAGCACAAATCATAGCATGCAACCACGGTGCTGCAAACGTAGCACAAATCATAGTGCTATATTTCTGAAAAGGTAAGAACCAGCACAACATCTGTGAAATAAAAACATATATAGAATTTTAAAATGTATCCACCCCAACAACAAGTTTTACAGATAAAAGTATCCACCATTTTGTAATCATACTGATGGAGAGCTGGAAGGAGAGATTTGAGATAAATGGGAAGAAATACGTATTGTATAGAAAAATGACGAGAATTTGCCATGAATTGAAGAGCATCGTTAACTCAAACATTAGCACCTAAGGTCCAAAAAATTTATTAATTAACATTTTCAAAAGTATTTGTCAAACTGGCTAACCTGATCACAGAGTTCAAATGGAAAAAAATAGGAACTCGAGGGAAAAAAAACTGTAAACACAAAGTAATGAGACAGAACAAACTCTACCAAATATTAAAGTGTTTTTAAAAGTAGACTTCATGCTGCTCATGTAGGACTACATAATAAATGGAACAAAATGAAGGCAACAAATAAAACCATATATATACATACATGCCTAAGATAGGCATATATATATATGGTTTTATTTGTTGCCTTAAAATACATATATATATAGTGTATACACTATATATAGTATGTGTGTGTGTATATATATATACACAAACACTATATATATATACACTATATATATACACTATATATATATATATACACACACATAGTTTCTTGTGAATTTGTTGTTATTTAGAATCATGACACAAGGACAAAATATTCATTAAACTTGGTTGGGACAATTAGACATTTGGAGAAAAAATAGATTCCAACATAGATTTCAAAGGGAAAAATTTCTAAATGTGAAAAATATTGATAAAATGTTAAACTTTTAAAAATATATAAGCCTATTAAAATAAGTCAAACAAGAGTTTTGCATTTTACTATTAGAGTATAAAATGGTTTTTAAATATTTTTTTAAGAAACACAAACAGGAATTATAAAAGAAAAAATTAATAAATTTGGTGACAAATAAATGAACCAAAAATAAAAATAAAGTCCAAGACAATGCGAGGCAACATTTTGCATAACAGAAAAAAGAAATAATTTTCTTAATATGTAAAGAGTTTTTATAAGTAAATAAGAAAACTAGTACGACCCAAAGTAGAAAAAACAAATTACGCAAAAACTGACTTCACAGAAAAATAGATATGGATGGCTCATCGGCAGGTGAAAACAGTGCTCAACTTTACCCACATTTAAAGTTATGTTCATTAAAATAACAAAATATTATATTGCATCTATCAGATTGGCAAATGTTTTAGTTTCATAATAGGCACTTCTGGGGAGGTTATGAGGAAATTTGGTATTCTCAAAATCTGTGTATAGCAGTAGATTTCCCAAGAGCTATTGAATTGTAAAACTCAAATGGTCTTTGGCTCAGCAGTTGCACTTCTAGGAATCTGCTCTACAAAGATGACATGTCAGCAATGATCATCGTACACCGATATTCAACACATCATGTCTTTTATACCAAAAGGCTGGAAAGTATAAAAACACGCGTTGATAAGAGAATGTTTTGATAAATCATAATATTAGATTGGTCCAAAAGTCATTGCGGTATTTGCCGTTAATTCTCCAAGCAGCCCTGTGGGACAGCAATTCCCCACACCCCCAATTTACAAAGGAGAAAAGTTGTTCAGAAAAGGGAATTGATTTTACTAAGCTTGCATAGCAAGTTAGTGGGGAAATAAATATGGACTCCCAGACCATTCTGTCCCCAAAGCATGCAATGTTACCCTTGCTAGCCTGTTTCTGGGCTCTACTCCTATTCCCACTAGGCAACAATGGCAGAATCATCAAAAAGATCCTCCCCTTTTCCCCCACCTGGGGAGAAGAACCAACGAGAAGGACTCAGAAAGGCAGAAAGGCAGAGCCACCAGCACCTGCACTCACCATTCAATCTCTTTAGGCTCACGGTCCTTCAGAAGCTCTTGCACCTCCTGCCGGCAGCGTTCTTGGTATTCTGGGTGCCTCGCGAGGTTGTACAAGACCCAGGAGAGGCCACTGGCCGTGGTGTCATGGCCTGAGGGTCAGCCAGGCAGGCTTGAGTCTCTGGGCTGCTTCAGCACCCAGAGGGTGGACAGCGCCCATACATTGAGGCTCTCAGGAAGGTTGAGGGGAGGGGGAGGTTGGGCAGAATGAAGTGATTCAGGGCCGGCCCTCCACTTCCCTGGAGTGGAGAGACCCCTGTCCCCACTGTAGCCCCAGACTGGGACACTCACCTCCAAACATGAAAGTGTCAGCTTCTGCTCTTATGTCCTCATCTGACAACTCTTTACCATTTTTATCCTGGAGACAAGAACCCCAATCACACTAGTTCTGGGGTCACTGGAGTCTAAACTGAAACAGTCTCTGAAGACCCATTATCCCAGAAGGATCCCTCCCTTGTCACCTCCAGATCTACCCCCACATGCTTCCTTCCGACCTCCTGTTTGTTCTTCCCAGGAAGCTTTCTATGCAATCACCTCTAAAATTTATCTGACTTGTCCCTCCCTTCTTCGAGCACCTTCCATGGCTCCTTAGTGCCCTCTGTATCAAGTCCGGTCCTTCAATCTGACATTTGACCTGAAGCTCCATTTTACCTCTTGAATTCAGATCCCAGAGAGGCCCACCTCGCTCAGCAGGAGCACATCAATAAAGTCCAAAGTCTTGGACTTGGCCTTGGCTTGGAGGAAGTCATCAACACCCTGGCTAGTGAGGGTGCGGCGCCGCTCCTGGATGACGGCATCTGTGAAGTCGTGCACCAGTCTGCAGGCCCTGTGGAAGCGCCGTCCACAGGGAGTGAGGAAGTACAGGAAGTCCTTGTACCGGAAGAACTGGTTATTCCGTTTCACTACAAGGGCACTGAGCTCCATGATCGCAGTAATATATTCACTGGGCTTCCTGCAGGGCCAGTCCAGAGAGAGGAAGCAGCTCCTTACCCACATGAAAGCCTGGGAGCACCTTCCAGCCAGAATCCCAGGACCACATTCCATGCAGAAAGGGGTGTCCTGCAAGCGCACTTCACTCTCTGCCTCCCACTCTCTGTGAGCTGCCTCCTGCCCCAGGTCCCCAGGGCACAGCTTGGCCATCATGGGCATCTCCTCTCTCTGTCTTATAAAACATCTGCTCCTGCCTATTATTACTCAGTTTCTCCCAAATCTGCCCCATTTTCTCCACCAAACTCAGACCTCCTCTCCCTGGCATCCTTGCATGCTGTGTCTACATGACAGTCAATCTTCCATAGAGTCCCATAGAGTCCAGTGTCCAAGCTCAGTACTGACCATGTCTCTCATCTGCTCAAACACCTCCATGGCTCCTTAGGAACCTTGGATAAAATGCATCTCCCTTTGTCTGACTTTTCAAGATCCTTAAGATCTAGTTAACTGCCAACCCCTCCACCTTCATTTCCAAGTGTCTCCCAACTGCCTGTTGCACATGCTCTGTTCATCTTAGCCTCCTTGCCTTGACCCAAACAGTTCCACTTGTTTGGAGGAAACTTCTCTTTCTCTCGCTCTCTCTCTCTCTCCTTCTCTCCTTCTTTGTCCTTCAATGCCTAGTTCTCATCATCTCTCCAGGAAGGCTCTTCTTGTCTCCCTGGGCTTTGCTCTCCCCACACCCACACCCCCACTCCATCCCATGTTCCCAGGCCCTGGGCAAGAACTCACTCCTGACAATTGCTGTCAAAGCTGAAGATGCATTTCTGCAGACTGTCCAGGGTCATAAGGCTGATGTGCTCAAACACATCCAGACAGGTGCTGCCCTCCATGGCCAGGCGTTGCCACTTGGCCTGGCCAGAGAAGGGAGCAGGGCTGGGGCCAGGCCTTGGCTCCTCTGAGTCCCCCTGCAACCCCAACCACCAGGATGGACTCCCCCAGAGGCATGCTCCTGGTTTTCTGTCCCAGACCCCCATCCTCAGGGAGGACTACGCTTGGGTGAGAGTGGAAGCTGTTACTATTAGGAGATGAAGATCCCATGGCTGGGTTCAAGCCCCAGCTGTGATTCCTAAGCTGTGTGTACCCTTGGTCAACTCACAGCCCTCCTCTAGGTCTCACCTGTCAAATCCTCAATAGCAATCAAGATGACCTGCTTTGATGCCAGGGAGCCAGGCTAGAACCCCTTTTCCCCCACTCTTAGACTCACTGACAAGCTGGGTGAACTTGGGAAATCTCTCTAACCTCTCTGGCCCTCAGTTTCACCATTTGTCATGGCATGGGGGAGAGGGTGGAAAATATCCTCTACTTCACAAGGCGGTGTAAATTAAATGAGACCACATACACCATGGAATAGGCATATTACATCATTTCTGTCATATGATGAGTTCTCAATAAATATTATCTTGATTCATCTTCATTGTTATAAATTGATTACAAAAAGTCCCTGTGATCCCCCTGAACATTTTTTTCTGAGCATGCCAAGAATGCAAAACTCTGAAGTTTTGTTGTTGTTGTTGTTTGTTTGTTTTGTTTGTTTGCTAGTTTTTGAGATGGAGTCTCGTTCTGTTGCCCAGGCTGGAGTGCAGTGGCACAGTCTTGGCTCACTGCAACCTCTGCCTGCTGGGTTCAAGCAATTCTCCTGTCTCAGCCTCCTGAGTAGCTGGGGTTACAGGCACGCACCACCACGCCCTGCTAATTTTTGTATTTTTAGTAGAGACAGGGTTTTGCCATGTTGGCCAGGCTGGTCTCGAACTCCTGACCTCAAGTGATACCAATGTGCTGGGATTACAAGCATGAGCCACCACACCCGGTCAACCCTGAGGTTCTTAATCTGGGCTATTTCTCAGCATTGTGTTTGCAGAGAACAGCCTTGGGGTATAAGGTAATGGCTCCTCTGGGACACACGTTAGGCTTATTCTGCTTGCTCTAAAAGCTGATTCTCTAAGCCTAATGCTCCTCCCCATCATGCAAATATACTACATGGCAGGCATCTATAGAAGCCCACCTTATCACCCCAGGGAATTTGGGTGGCTTAGAGAAAGGATCCAAACCAACAAGATGCACATGCCACTTGCTGAGACATGAGTAATAAACTTTTGTCTTTGACCCAGAAGTCTCGTGTCTTCTGGCAGAATCCATGCAAAAGTAACAAGCTAATTTATTAGCTCACAGGAGAAAAAAAAATCCTAGTCGTTTCACAAAACGCTTGGCTCCATTTCTTCTCTTCTCCCTGCATCCACATCTTTTGCAATGTGATTTTTTAGCAACTTCCATTAAGAGATGGAGCCTATTTTGCCCCACATTGATTCATGGTGGACGTTTTACTTTTTTTGGCCAATAGAATGTGGTGAAAATGATAAGGCCATAACTAGTGAGAAGTTGACTGGGTGCAGCAGCCCATGCCTGTAATTCCAGCATTTTGTGAGGCCGAGGAGGGCAGATCACTTGACGTCAGGAGTTCAAGACCAGCCTGCCCAACATGGTGAAACCCTGTCTCTACTGAAGATACAAAAAATTAGTTGGGCATGGTGGTGGGCGCCTGTAATTCCATCTACCCACGAGGCTAAGACAGGAGAATTGCTTGAGGCGGGGGTTGCAGAGAGCCAAGATCGCACCACTGCACTCCAGCCTGGGAGACAAAGCGAGACTTCATCTCAAAAATAAAATAAATAATAATAACTAGTGAGAAGCATTGTATCCTCCTCTCACTGCCTTGGAATCCTGTCTCTGCCATGTGAGCAATCCTGGGGTGTCATCTAGAGGCAGAGAATCACATGGAGAAAAGTCCAGGTGTCCCAGCTGAGGCCATCCTAAATCAGCCAGAAGCCAGCAAAGCTCCAAATATGTGAGAGAACTGAGCTGGCACAAGCAAAGCTGCCTACCTGACCCACAGCTGCTCTTATACCATGAGGGATCCTATCCACATGCAGAAGGGCTGGCCAACAGTCCCACAGATTTGTTAGCAAATATAAACCCTTATTGCTCTAAACCAATTAGTTTTGAAGTGATCTGTACTCAGCAATGACTACTATGCACGTGTCATCATTCCTTTCTTGAGTTTACAGGGCTTCTGTGAGAAAAATGTGGAAATTGACTCCTTCTGACCACCTACTAAGTGTCAGAGACATGAGTCCATTACATGCTCCTACCACCTTTTAGTGAGGATTATTAGCCTCATGGGGAAATCAAGGCACAGAGAGGAAGAGCAATGGCCCCAAACCCACCCAGGAGAGCCAACATTCCAGACCCAATTGTATGTGATCCCTCCACCCCAAGGCTGCAGCTGGGATGCTGAGTTCAAGGCACTCACATGCATGATGTTTGCACTCTTGCTGAAAATCTTTATATAGGGCTTCAGGATGTTGAAATGGAAGGCAGGCGTCAGCAAGCGACGGTGGTGTCTCCACTTGTCACCAACACTTAACAAGAGCCCATCCCCTAGTACGGCAGCCAAAGGCTGTGGGCAAGGGCAGAATCTTCCCCTGGCCACAAAAGTTGGTCCCCGTCCCGTCCACCTACAGTTACTTACCCAGCCAGGGCTTCAGGGTCTTGTAGAAGACTATGTCCTTGTCTGTAATGGCATCTGACATGAATGAGGACCATCAGGGTCCATGGAGAGGAATAGAGGAGGGACTTTGGGTATGGAGGGTGGCTCCCAGCCAGAGGTTTGGACGTCTTTTCTCCAAGCCCAGCATAGCAGGAAGGAGGCCATGGGCAGAAGAAGAAAGGAGGGTGGGGGGCATAAAGGGGACCGGACTAGGCTGCAACAACACTATAGAGCAATGATACACCCTGACATGGTACAGCACACCCAGCATGTCTTGACATGGCTCCTACATGGTCCAACATGTTCTGCAACACCCAAGCATAAGTCAACACTCTACAAAACACATTTACAGAATAAGAGTTAAAGACAGAATTCTGATGATATTAGGTGAGACCTGGATCCAGTTGTGCCTGAAGGCCAACCTCCCTGGATGTTGCAGTCAATAGCTTCTCTTTAATGGCTTAGACTGCGTGGGGTTGAGTTTCTACCACTCACAATGGAAAGACACCTCAGCACCCATAGAGAGCCGTGGACCTGCCCAGAGTCACTCAGCATTTTGGGGCTTGAGCCATGGTCTCTGTGGCGTGATACCCCTTCTGCTGCTCTCCCTGGCCTGTCCAAAGATGGGAAGGGCAGAGGGCAAGGGTACGGCTCCAGGCTGGGGTGGTGTCTCCTATTGGAGATTCCTGGGGCCTGGAGCAAGAGGGCAATGAACATATGGTGGAAGTGCCACAGGATGGGATTAGAAGGAATCGACCCACAAGAGGTGAATGTCATGGAAATAGCAGCCTAGATCTTCCACCAACCACAACTCCTTCTCATCTTCTTGTCCTTGCTCTGGGCCTGCAGAAGGACAAGGCCAATGCCAAGCCTGGCCCGGAGCCTTGAATACTAACAATGCCCACTGCATCACCCTGCCCCTGCTTTAAAAAAAAAATTATCACTCATCGTTCCACACCCAGCTCCTGCTACGCCTCCTCCAGGAAGCCTTCCAGCCTGCCCCAGTAGAAACCTTGTTCTCCTATGCTCTGTCACAGCCTATCTCCTCCTGGCCCATTCTGAACCCCATGAAGTTGGGGATGTCTCTGTACTGCTCCATCTCTTCAAGTTTGGGGATTCCTCCAGGACAGGGCCTTGGATTAAGGCTTCTCGGGGCCCCAGTGGTTCCCAGAACAACACGGAGGTGGGGAAGATGGCAGCAGAGAGAAAAGACACTGAGGTTGGGGTTGGTGACTACAGGAAGGAAAGAGGAAGGTGGCTGAGAGAGAAGCAGGAAGGAAGGGGCTGAGTACTACAAGAGCTGCACAGAAGCTTTGGGGATGAGATCTAGAAGCCCTCCAATGTTCTCCTGTGCCCACCACCACAAGCTCTGCAGGAGTACCTGAGGTATTGATGACAGATCGGACGATGTCAGGGTGGCACAAGTTGATGATGGGAGTGATGGGGCCCAACCACCTCACAAAGCCCTGGGGGTAGGTGGCCACCAGCTGGGTCAGGACCCTCAAGCCCTCCTCTGTGGGAGTGACCTGCAAGCAAGGCAAGGGCCATCACCTCCTGTGTCCACTTGACTGGGTTAAGGGATGCCCAGATATCCAGTCAAACATTATTTCTGGGTATGTCTGTGAGAGTGTTTCAGGAGAGATTAGCATTTGAAGGAAAACTGAGGAAGGAGGATCTCCCCTTCCCAGTCTGTGTGGGCATCATCCAATCTGTTGAGGGTCCACGTAGAATGTAAAAGTGGAGGAAGGGTGAATTTGTTTTCTCCTCTGCAGCTGAGACATCCATCTTCTCCTGCCCTTGAACATTAGAACTCCAGGTTCCCAGGGCTTTGGACCCAGACGGAATTGCACCACCAGTGTCCCTGATTCTCCAGCTTGCAGAAGGCATAGAGTGGGACTTTTCAGCTTCCATAAACATGAGTCAATTCCTATAATAAATGCCCTCTTCTGTCTCTCCATAGATTAGATAGATCATAGACAGACAGACGGACTGATAGATAGATAGATAGATAGATAGATAGATAGATAGATAGATAGATAGATGTAGATATTGATATCCTATTAATTCTATTACTCTGGAGAAATAAATACATTTCCCAGGAGGAGCCACAGCAGGTCCCACTGCAGGCTTTAGAGGTGGCACAGCCTCTGCAATGAACAGCATGTCCAGATTCTGCGCACATAGGGGTAATCTCCACTCCCTCCTGCTCCCTTCTCTTGGGGGCAGTATCTAACTTCCAAGGCTACATCCCAGGGAACAGGGGGAAGACAAACTGTCTGTTCATGGAGAAGCCCACCTTGAATAAAGAGGATGGATTTTCTCATCCTGGGAGTGGCTCCAGCCCACGGAAAGTCACGTGGGGTGGGCTCCACAAGTGTGGTGTGTGGGCAGCAATGTGGCCTCAGGACATGTCCCCAGGGCTGGTCCCCACATCCTTTTATGTCCTGGCTGGGCCTCAGGGGCCCCAGGCCCTCCCATGGAGAAGGTCTGTACACGGTGGAACTTCCTTTCTCAGCAGCCCCCAGGGGAGAAGAGGTGGCTCTAACTGTCTGTCAGGAAGAACAGCGGCTCTCACCAGGGAGCACCTTTTGCACATCAAGCTCAGAGCTAGTCCGTCCTGTGTTCCCTCACCCTGCACCTGTGGACACACCCATCATTCCTGCCATTTGCCAAAGAACAGACTGATGCCAAATCGCCCAAAGGGGACAGCAGGTCTAAGTGAAAGGGCAGGGTCTGAAGGGTCAAAGGTAACTTTAAAGAGGAAGTCACTGGCCAATTTTTATCCAGGTTGGGCAACACAACTCATTGGGACAGCTTAGTGGGGATAAAGAAGATGCCCCTGCACGGGGGAGGGTGGAGATGGCACACATCTCTCTTCTGGCCCAGCTGTGTCATGATGTGAGGGTAGGGGGTGTATAGCTACTTCCTATGGGAAAACTCCAGCCCAGAGATGGATGGACACAAGCAAATGGGCCAGGCAGAAAGTGGGTTCTAGACAGTGAGCCCAAGAGGCCTCCAGTACAGCAGTGGATAATGTGGAAATAATGGTGAATACCTGCTGCGTAACCCCCACTCTGCCACAGGAACCCATCAGAGGTTCACTAGTGTACTGAAAACAGTCAGGAAAAGAATTCAAAACAGTCTAGGGGTGACTTCCCCTAGACAAGGAGATGAGAAAGGCTTGGCATGGCAAAGCAGAGGAATGAGTGAGCAAGGAGAGGAATGAGTGAGCGAGGAGAGGAATGAGTGAGCGAGGAGAGGAATGAGTGAGCGAGGAGAGGAATGAGTGGGTGAGGAGAGGAATGAGTGAGTGAGGAGAGGAATGAGTGAGTGAGGAGAGGAATGAGTGAGTGGGAAGAGGAATGAGTGAGTGAGGAGAATGAGTGAGTGAGGAGAGGAATGAGTGAGTGAGGAGAGGAATGAGTGAGGAGAATGAGTGAATGAGGAGAGGAATGAGTGAGTGAGGAGAGGAATGAGTGAGTGCGCAGAGGAATGAGTGAGTGAGGAGAGGAATGAGTGAGTGAGGAGAATGAGTGAGTGAGGAGAGGAATGAGTGAGTGAGGAGAGGAATGAGTGGGAAGAGGAATGAGTGAGTGATCAGAGGAATGAGTGAGTTTCTCTGCCGTCCCAGACCCGAGCCCACCCCCTCAGCCTGAGCCCCATTTCCACCCTTCCACCCTGAGACACTAGATCCATCCTCCTGCCACTCACCAGGCCCAGGTGACCCAAGAACCAGTTCTGTTTCCGGGGCTGCGGGAAACACCGGAGGCGGCGGCCGTTGTGATAGAAGGCATAGGTCCAGGCCAGGATGCGGGCCAGGAGCCAGGAGGCCCCGACCACCAGCAGGAGCAGCCACGGGGATGCTGCCACCGGCCTGAGGCCCAGCCAAGACAGGCTCAGCAGCGACATCCTGCAGGGCAGACGGGATGGAGGGTGAGGTCCTGAGGCCTAGGAAAGGGGCTGGGGAGCTCCAGGACCAATGATGGGTAAACATGGTTAAGAGCATGGAGGGAGATTCAGGGAATCTCAGGGGAAGAGGCCAAGGGAGAGGGGAGAGGAGAAGTGACACAAAATTAGAGATCAAGGAAACTAGAGACCAGAAACCAGACAGCCTCATCTAGAACCACCAGCCAACTTGACCTCTGGTTACCTGCAAGCACCCATCACCAGGGCCAGCTCCCTGGAGCCATCCCAGTCTTGGGCAGTGCCCCTCCCTATCCAGCCCTGCCACCCCCAGCCTGGCACCTTCTGTCAGGAGAAGGTTGTCCCGCACAACCTCCTCTCCTCCTTTGCCAGGAGGTTTTTGCTCCTGGCCCCAGATCTAGGAAACACTTCAGGAGGCTGGGCGGGGCTGGACTAGCCAATCCTCACAGCCTGGATGCCTCCTTTGTGCCAGGGCAGCCAACCAAAACCCGGGGACTGGTGGGGACCATAACTGTAGAAGAACCAATTCAGGGTGACCGAGCATGGCCACTCAGTCCTTGGTACCTCTCATGTAAGGCAGAGGGTAAGTTGGAGGGCAGCCAATGGTGATCTGAGCCCCAAAATGTGCAGCCACCCTGCCTTTCCAAGACCAGGGGAAGGTAGGTAAAGGAATGAAGTGTTCAGATGCCAGGTGAGCTGGGTGAGGCCAAGCCTTCTCCCAAAACATCCCCCAAGTTCCCCTCCAAATGTGGGCCAGGAGAATGCTGTGCACCATTTCTCAGTGCAGATTTAGGAGATTCAGAGACAGAAGCCTGTTGCCCTCCACTGCCAGCCTGGCAGGAATTCAAGTCCTGCCTCCCAGCAGCCCAGGACCTAGGCTGAGACCTGACTGACAGGAGCAGGAACAAAGAATGCAGCACCACTGGGGATTACCCAGGGTCAGATTCTGGAGATAACGAGACCAGCTGGGAAAGCAACCTGGATGCTGGGCTCAGCATAGGAGGACAGAGGGGGCCTGTGAAGGGTAACGCTGAGGGAAGCTGAGAGCAGACGAGGTCGAGACAGTGGAAGGCAGAGCCAGGGGACCCTGAGTGGAGTCTCCTTCTGCTCTGTCCTTGCTTTGATGATGGGCAGTACTGCCCCTCCTGGGCTCAGGCTTTTTTTTTTTTTTTTCTTGAGACGGAGTCTTGCGCTGTCACCCAGGCTGGAGTGCATTGGCGCGACGGGATGGAGGGTGAGCTCGGCTCACTGCAAACTCTGCTTCCTGGGTTCAAGCGATTCTCCTGCCTCAGCCTCCCGAGTAGCTGGGATTACAGGCGCCCACTACCACGCCCAGCTAATTTTTTGTATCTTTAGTAGAGACAGGGTTTCACATGTTGGCCAGGCTGATCTCGAACTCCTGACCTCGTGATCTGCGCACCTCGGCCTCCCAAATTGCTGTGAGCTCAGATTTTGCATTTGGGAGATGGGATGTGGAATGAGGGGCTTTAGAGGGGGACAGAGGAGGAGTCTTCAGAGGAAAGAGCCTCAAAAAGAGGAGGTGAAGGGAAGGAGCTGGCAACATGCACTTTAACTGTAAGGCTCAGTTACTCAAAGTGTGGTCCAGGGACCTGCGCCATGAGCATTACCTGAGAGCTGGCAGGAAATGCAGAATCCCATGCCCCAATCCAGAAATACTAACTCAGGATTGCATCTTAATAGAACCCCAGGAAATCCCTATACAATCCTTCAAGTTTAAGTAGACTTGTTTTAAGATTCCTGGCTCCAGGCTTTGCAGGGATGCTGGGAGTTAACCCCTTAACCTTTCTGATTCTCAGGGCTTCTTTCAGTTATAAAATAAAAAGAAAAATCTATGCCTCTCAGGGCTGTTCATGCAACTATATGTTTCTTGAGCACCTACTATGTGCCAGGCACTGGGGATGCAACAGTGAGTGCTCAGCTGTCAAAGGTATCACATCACGTAAAGAGACAGGCAATGATCCAATAAATCAGACAATCCAATAAATCAGAGAATCAGGGAGGGCTTCCAGGAGGAGGTGACCTTTTAGCAGAGACATGAATGAAGAGGGAGACCCTCCAAGGGCAGCCATGGGATGCGGCACCCAGCTGCGCAAAAATGCACATGAGTTCTTCTTCCTTTGCAGTTCATGCTGAGATCACCAACACATGGGACCACACAATTCATCCTTGGGAAGGCCAAGGTGGGAAGTGAAATCTGGCCCAATATTGAAGCCATAAGCATATGTTGAACTTTCATGAGCCATGAGCAAGGACTCACACCCCAGCAGGACTCTGCAGCCTGGGAGAAGCCAAGTTTCATCACTGAGGTCCTGATTCCTGGACCAGGTAGCAGAACAGGAAATTGAGGCCAAGGGCAGGAGAGATAGTCCAGAGGGAGCTCTCTACTCTGGGAGTTTTGTGCCTGAGAAGGCTGGAGTCTCCCCAAGATTTCTCATCCAACCAGGAATATCTCAGGGGCCAAATCACACAGCCTGGCTTATGGAAAGTCCCCTAGTGAGTATTGGAGGGAGGGGAGTCACTCATGGGAAAACAGAAGCTGGTGCTTCTCTGCAGGGGCCCTTCCACCCCTACCCAGAGTGGGGCAGTGGGAAAGTGCACCAGACCACAGAGTGACCAGCCTCAGTCACCACCCATCAATTCCTAAGCCTAAGTCTTCACATCTGACAAATGTGTCTCCTAAAGCATCACAAAGCATTGCCAGCATTCTATCAGACACAGGGAGAGAGAGCAGAGAATAAGTTCCAAATTAAAGATGTGAGTAATGGTCCCATCAATATAAAAAACGTACGAGTGTATGTGTATGTGTCTGTATGTACACATGTGTATGCACACTGAAAAAAATCCAGAAGAATGCACATACCACGATGGAATTGGAGAAATTACAATTGGAGTAGAAACCTTTTAACTTTCTACACGTCTCTGTTGCTTCGTTTTTCAAGCTGGGATGCTATAAATGTAATAATTAAAACAATTTTTTTTTTCCTCTGAAGTCCTTGTCCTTTATTGGGCAAGGGGTGAGGGAAGCAGACAGACCGGTTGGACACAGTAGATGGGTGTGTGAGGACAAAATGCTACCAGAAAGCCAGCCAATCCACACTCCCCTGAAATGGATGCTAACGCCCTTCAAACCCTGGGCATTGGTTTCATACACAGCCTCTTCCAGGGATAAAAGGGGTTCTTGTACAGCTTCTTGTTACCCTCAACCATGGAGGCAAGTTCTGAGTTCTGGTTTTCCTAGGACACTAACTCTAGTCACAAAGATCTCTGGAGTGATCACACATGGTGGAGTGGCAGGGTGAATATTTCAAAAGGATAAGTAGAACAGGAGTCTTGCCCAAGCCCTGTCATGTCAGTGTCTGTGTGTGGCCTCCCAGCCCAACCAGAAATTGACAGAGAGGCATGTATATGGTGAAAAGATATATATATATATATTCAGAATTAGGCAGCTGCACTCAGTTTAGATAATCCCAATTTTGTTGGCAACATCCAAAGCATCGTAATCAGGAGTCAGTCGAACATATACCTTCTTCTCTCCATCAGGCCGAATCAGGGTGTTGACCTTGGCCACATCAATGTCATAGAGCTTCTTCACAGCCTGTTTGATCTGGTGCTTGTTGGCTTTAACATCCACAATGAACACAAGTGTGTTGTTGTCTTCTATCTTCTTCATGGCAGACTCAGTGGTCAGCGGAAACTTGATGATAGCATAGTGGTCAAGCTTGTTTCTCCTGGGAGCGCTCTTCCGAGGATATTTGGGCTGTCTCCGGAGTCGCAGTGTCTTCGGCCGCCGGAAGGTGGGTGACGTGTGGATCTTCTTTTTGTGGCTGTGGACACCTTTCAACACTGCCTTCTTGGCCTTTAAAGCCTTCGCTTTGGCTTCGGCTTTAGGAGGGGCAGGAGCTTCCTTCTTCACTTTCGGCACCATCTTGTGAAAAGGGTCCAAAACAAATTTTTTTAAATAAATAAGGATTTGGTACAGTGGGGACACAGTTGATCCACAACATAGGTGAGTAGTTCTGTTTCGTTTTGTTTTGTTTTGCTTTGCTTTGTTTTTTGAGACAGAGTCTCACTTTGTCACCCAGGCTGGAGGGCAATGGTGCCAATCTCGGCTCACTGAAACCTCCGCCCCACCAGGTTCAAGCGATTATCCTACCTCAGCCTCCCGAGCAGCTGAGATTACAGGCATGAGCCACCACACCCAGCTAATTTTTGTATTTTTAGTAGAGACAGGGTTTCACCATATTGGCCAGGCTGGTCTCCAACTCCTGACCTCAAGTGATCCAACCACCTCGGCCTCCCAAAGTGCTGGGATTACAGGCGTGAGCCACTGCGCCCAGCCAATAGGTGAGTTGTTCTTACTGTGTCACCATGAAGACCCAGCTCCCAGGAATCGGCCTGCAGTCTCCCTAGAACAAGCACACGGGCTGCCCACTAGCTGGAGTTTCACCTTCCCTGTCCTTGAATGCTCAGGAAGGAACACATTCTGGCTTCAGCACAACTGAGTTCAAGTCCAGGCTCTGCCACTCACTAGCTGTGTAACCCTCTGAGTCTCATAGCCTCCTCGATAAAATGCAAAGGTCAAGTTCTAACTTTTAGGTAATTAGTTTCTCAACAACAAACTTCACATGAACACTTAAATGGTAGCAGGCATGGTGCTAGGACCTGGGACACAGGTTGAACAAGACAGACGTGGTCTCTGCTGATAACCTACCAGTCACATTAGTCCCAATTAGCCCCCGGAAAAGATCTCTTGATGCATGGGTTACATCCTGTTCCTGAGTAAAGAATCTTGTGAGTTCCTCAAATCTTATCTTTAATTACTCAGATCTTATGAGTTCTTCCAACTGTTGATGTTCTGATTTTCCACTGATATGGAAAAGCACAATCCTTTGTTTCTAAACCATGAAGTTTTGCTTTATATTTATAAATCATAAAGTTTTTCTTTTCTTTTCTTTTTTTTTTTGAGACAGGGTCTTTGTCACCCAGGCTGGAGTGCAGTGGCGCAGTCTCATCTTACTGCAACCTCCATCTCCTAGGTTCAAGCAACCTTCCTGCCTCAGCCTCTCGAGTTGTTGGGATTGCAGGCATGTGCCACCATGCCCAGCTAATTTTTGTATTTTTAGTAGAGCAGAGTTTCACCATATTGGCTAGGCTGGTCTCGAACTACTGGCCTCAGGAGCGATGAGCTTCTCCTCAAGGGATCTGCCCGTCTCAACCTCCCAAAGTGCTGGGATTACAGGCATAAGCCACTGTGCCCTCTCTTATAAAGTTTCACTGATGGTTTTACATACAAAATGTTTTAGCCTGTATGTTATAACCTGTATCTAATCATTATGACCTCTGTATTATACCCTCCAATAAAAACAGACAATTCTGATATAAGAAGTTCCCTTCTCTTCTCCTAAACTTTCTTATAAAAACATTCCAAATTGTAAAAGATTCTGGCACACATCCAAATGTGTTGGTGCATCTTTCTGGGTTGATCCTCACCTTTGGCTTCAAATAAACCCTTATCAAAGTATTTCTGCCTCGGCAGCTTTAATTTCACTCCACAAAATGATGTAGTCATCAGTGTTTCAGAGTGGCCTCCCTGGTCACCCTGGACCTTCCTGAGCAGGTTTCAACCTTCATGCACGGAATCCATCGTGTTCCCCCAACTGGGATGCCCCTGCTGGATGCAACAGATAAGTTTCTCCTGAAATCAACGAACTTCCTGTTTTAGGCAAAGTTCTGCCTTATTGAAGCTGCTTTCCCCCTTGGCTAGGAGGTGCAGTGATGTTCTCAGAATAAGAGCTACTGCTACAAATTTAAGGTAAGGGTTTTTGTTGAATTCTAGGGCAGGGTAAAATAGGATCTTTGTGAATGGTTTCTCTAGGGGGTTGGGGAGAGACAAACTTTCCTTCGTTTTATCATTTTTTGATCACATTAGGGCACTCTTGCTCCACAACATAGCTTGTCTCACTCAAAACAACCAGGATGGGAAATGGGTCCTGTTAAGACTGACTGTACATCAGCCAGTGTTTATACATAAAAGTTATGGAGAAAGTTGTTTGTTTGTTTGTTTGTTTTGAGACGGAGTTTCGCGCTTGTCAGCCAGGCTGGAGTGCAATGACGTAATCTCAGCTCACTGCAACCTCCACCTCCAGGGTTCAAGCGATTCTCCAGCCTCAGCATCCCAGCCTCCCGAGTACCTGGGACTACAGATGCCCACCATCACGCCCAGCTAGTTTTTTGTTGTTGTTGTTGTTGTTTGTATTTTTAGTAGAGACAGGGTTTCACCATGTTGGCCAGGCTGCTCACGAACTCCTGACCTCAGGTGATCCGCCTCCCTCGGCTTCCCAAAGTGCTGGGATTACAGACATGAGCCACTGCGAGAGGTGACAGCGTGCTGGCAGTCCCAACAGCCCTCACTCGCTCTCGGCGCCTCCTCTGCCTGGGCTCCCACTTTGGCGGCACTTGAGGAGCCCTTCAGCCCACCGCTGCACTGTGGGAGCCCCTTTCTGGGCTGGCCAAGGCCGGAGCCCACTCCCTCAGCTTGCAGGGAGGTGTGGAGAGAGAGGCGCGAGCGGGAACCGGGGCTGCGCGGGGCGCTTGCAGGCCAGCTGGAGTTCCGGGTGGGCGTGGGCTTGGCGGGCCCCGCACTGGGAGCAGCCAGCCGGCCCTGCTGGCCCCGGGCAATGAGGGACTTAGCACCCGGGCCAGCAGCTGCGTAGGGTGTACTAGGTCCCCCAGTAGTGCCAGCCCACCGGTTCTGCGCTCAATTTCTCACCAGGCCTTAGCTGCCTTCCCGCGGGGCAGGCCTCGGGACTGCAGCACGCCATGCCTGAGCCTTCCCCCGTCTCCGTGGGTTCCTGTGCAGCCCGAGCCTCCCCGACGAGCGCCGCCCCCTGCTCCAGGGCGCCCAGTCCCATGACCACCCAAGGGCTGAGGAGTGCGAGCACATGGCGCGGGACTGGCAGGCAGCTCCACCTGCAGCCCTGCTGCGGGATCCACTGGGTGAAGCCAGCTGGGCTTCTGAGGCTGGTGGGGCCTTGGAGAACCTTTATGTCTAGCTCAGGGATTGTAAATACACCAATCGGCACTCTGTATCTAGCTCAAGGTTTGTAAACACCAATCAGCACCCTGTGTCTAGCTCAGGGTTTGTGAATCCACCAATCGACACTCTGTATCTAGCTGCTCTGGTGGGGCTGTGGGGAACCTTTATGTCTAGCTCAGGGATTGTAAATACACCAATCGGCACTCTGTATCTAGCTCAAGGTTTGTAAACACACCAGTCAGCACCCTGTGTCTAGCTCAGGGTTTGTGAATGCACCATGGACACTTTGTATCTAGCTGCTCTGGTGGGGCCTTGGAGAACCTTTGTGTCCTTACTCTGTATCTAACTAATCTGATGGGGACGTGGAGAACTTTGTATCTATCTCAGGGATTGTAAACACACCAATCAGCGCCCTGTCAAAACAGACCACTGGGCTCTACCAATCAGCAGGATGTGGGTGGGGCCAGATAAGAGAATAAAAGCAGGCTGCAGGAGCCAGCAGTGGCAACCCACTCAGGTCCCCTTCCACACTGTGGAAGCTTTGTTCTTTTGCTCTTTGCAATAAATCTTGCTACTGCTGGCTCTTTGGGTCCACACTGCTTTTATGAGCTGTGACACTCACCGCAAAGGTCTGCAGCTTCACTCCTGAAGCCAGCGAGACCACGAGCCCACTGGGAGGAAGGAACAACTCCAGACGCACTGCCTTAAGAGCTGTAACACTCACTGCGAAGGTCTGCAGCTTCACTCCTGAGCCAGCGAGACCACGAACCCACCAGAAGGAAGAAACTCCAAACACAGCTGAACATCAGAAGGGACAAACTCCAGACGCGCCCCCTTAAGAGCTGTAGCACTCACCACGAGGGTCCGCGGCTTCATTCTTGAAGTCAGTGAGACCAAGAACCCACCAATTCCAGACACAACTGCACCCAGCCATGAAAAGTTATTTTTAAAAGTCTTCATATTTACAAGTGCTGAGGTAAGTGGTCCTGCCTAACCCACGATGGTTATAAGCAACAATAGCTGAAATGGAGATCTTTTTGAAATGCCTTAAGTGATTTATTTGTGTGGGCAATTAAAAAAGATGCTAGTCTTGGCTGGGTGCGGTGGCTCACACCTGTAATCCCACACTTTGGGAGGCCGAGGCGGGAGGATTATGAGGTCAGGAGATCGAGACCAACCTGGCTAACACTGTGAAACCCTGTCTCTACTAAAAATACAAAAAAAAATTAGCCGCGCGTGGTGGCAGGTGCCTGTAGTCCCAGCTGCTCCGGAGGCTGAGGCAGGAGAATGGCGTAAACCTGAACCCAGGAGGCAGAGCTTGCAGTAAGCCGAGGTAGCGCCACTGCACTCCAGCCTGGGCGATAGAGCGAGACACCCCTCAGGAAAGAAAAAAAAAAGTTGCTAGTCTTAGAACCGGAAAAATTAAATGAGAGACTTTCAGTGGGACTTAGAAGCTTCTAAACCTCCAACTGTTTCCCCTCCTCTTACCCCGTGTGCTATTGTGGCAGTAGAGTTCTCCCTGACAACCACACAACCAGGCCTACATGACAGTCACACAGACAGGCCTGCATAGCACTTGTGTTACACAAACAGATTTCCACAGAGCTGCCTTAAAAATTGAGCAAATAGTCCAAACTAGGGAAATAGGTGCCCAGACATAAAAGCTAGAAATGAAACATATGGTCAGTAGGAGCCTTGCACAGGCTTCTCCCTAACCTGGAACAAGTCAAAATAATAGAGACAGTCTTACATTCCTAGTGCCAGGACCCATCTCGGGTAACAAAATCTGAGACAAGTCAAGGTAACAGAGGCAGCTGTTTGAATAGATTCATTGGAGAGTCTAAGGCAGCTCTCTGGGTCAAGCTGTAAAGGAGATAAGATAGAAATAATCACTCCAGGCCAGGCGCGATGACTCACACCTGTAATCCCAGCATTTTGGGAGGCTGAGGCAGGCAGATCACCGGAGGTCAGGAGTTTAAAACCAGCCTGGCCAACATGGTGAAACCCCCATCTCTACTAAAAATACAAAATTAGCCAGGCATGGTGGCACACGCCTGTAATCCCAGCTACCCAGGAGGCAGAGGCAGGAGAATCACTAGAACGCAGGAGGCAGAGGTTGCAGTGAGCCGAGATTGTGCCACTGCACTCCAGCCTGGGCGACAGAGTGAGACTCCGTCTCAAAAAAAAAAAGAAAAGAAAAGAAAGAAAGAAAAAGAAATAGTCACTCCAGTACCACAGTAGACAGGCCTTGAAGGTACTAGGACCCTTTTAATCAGACTTAGACAGCATTTTTTGCCTCTGACCTTCTAGTTGAAACAAAATTAGTTACCAGTAGACTTAAGGCGAATGATATACGGCACATAGGCACATAACCCCAACCTATGTAAGCACTAAGAAAATTGTAACTCTTTGAGTTGGTCTGTTTGAATTATCTCTGGCCTTCTCCCTGTGTCTGGTTACAGTAATAAATTCCTTTCTTTCCTAGTTTGTCTGCTTCTCCTTATCGGGCCTCAAGAAAACGCAGCCAGACCCAGTTTGGTTCCGGAAACAATATGAGTTCATCCCTTTTTCCTTGTTCACTCAGCTCCCATATATCTCTTAGGCAGAGATTTTTAGGAGTTCACAATGCACACATTTCCTTCCCTCAAAAGGGGAAAATATATATAAATGTAAAACGAAAAGAGCAAATGGAACAACTACAAAAAGAAAATGAAACTTAAGATTAAAAAATGCAGATCCAAAAATTTTTTTCTAAACTGGGAGATTAAGAAACAAAATAAAATTCTCAAACATTAATATATGCCAGGTTTTTTTGAGACTACAGCTGGCTATGTATCATGGCTGGTTCTTCTGTACATTTTAAATTGATGGACAGATTACACTAAAACAATTCAGGGCCGGGCGAGGTGGCTGAAGCCTGTAATCACAGGACTTTGGGAGGACGAGGCGGGCGGATCACTTGAGGTCAGGAGTTTGAAACCAGCCTGGCCAACTTGGCGAAACTCCATCTCTAATAAAAATACACAAATTAGCTGGGTGTGGTGGTACACACCTGTAGTCCCAGCTACTTGAGAAGCTGAGGCAGGAGTATCACTTGATCCCAGGAGGCGGACGTTGCAGTAAGCCGAGATCGTGCCACTGCACTCCAGCCTGGGTGACAGAGCAAGACTCCTTCTGAAAAAAAGAAAAAGAAAAGGAATTCAGAGCTCAGATGGTCAACTTATAACTTTAGAGTTAGCACACAGAGCCTTCTAAGTTCTCTGTTTTTTTTTCTGCCCACTTTAAATCTGCTAACTTTTCTACTGGTATTGAGATAAAGCTCACTGTTTATGGTATTGCTAATGCAAAATTACTTAGAGATTTTGTGTGTGTGTGTGTTTTTGACAATTCAGACAGTTCTAACTAAAATATAAACATTAAAATGTTAACCCTAAGATCATTTAGAACTAAAGAAAAAAGGGGCAGAAGATGTTTTTAAAATCAAACTGCCATAAGAATTGCTTTACCCAAAATTTTGATCCACAGCCTTCATTAAGTTATCTGTTGAGACAAAGTTTAAGCCATGTAAACAAGTTCCAATTTTGTCATCTGTAATATGGATCCAACTGTCTTTTATAAACTAGTAAGTTTATGCTACTCTCTCATGACTAAAATTCTAAAATAAATACTATAAAGTCTTTATGTGTGTGTATATGTTTGTTTAGATGTGTTTAAATATATGTACATATATTGTTATATGTTGTATCTATATGCTACAAAACTGACTTATAAATAGATGAGTGCTCATAAATTACTAAACCCAAGTATGTTCCAAGTTTATATGACTTAAAGAAGTCTTTAATAAATAAGTTGATGTTCAAATTATTGATAAGATAAACATTTAAATGTCTTTAAAATTGTCAACGTACATTTTTGTCTGAGTTTACTGGTCAGAAAGTTTTGTATTTCTCTCCACTAGATATTTTAAGGTGCCTGGGTTTGACACAAAGGTTATAA
The DNA here is from genome assembly GCF_000001405.40 of Homo sapiens. Classification (NCBI taxonomy): domain Eukaryota; kingdom Metazoa; phylum Chordata; class Mammalia; order Primates; family Hominidae; genus Homo; species Homo sapiens. The sequence continues at coordinate 15,604,548 of NC_000019.10, read as the reverse complement.
GACTATAAATCTGGTCAAAACCAAATGATCTTTGTTTGTGCAATTTTAATAAATAAGACATTTAATATTGTTAGCTTAATAAAAACAGCTAAATCTTCTGAGTTGTTGACAAAATACCCATATTTTAATTTAAGTTTCTCACTCGGGTGAACACCTGATAATCACAGGCTATAAAAATGTTTAACATAACCATACATAACTTTTGATAATGACTAACTTTGTCTAATATCTAAGTTTTCATAAATAGTCTAGTCAACCTATTAAAAATAAATAAATTGGGTAAGCATAAATGAGATAAATGCTTATTAAAAACTTTTTGTGTAATTCAAAATCTTAAAGTTATGTTAAATTAAATAATAGATACTCATTAAACATCTGGGTCATTTCTAATTAAGAAAAAATTATGTCCAAGCTGAGAGCCAGATCAAGAATGCAACCCCATTCACAATAGCCACAAAAGAATAAAATAACTAAGAATGCCGTTTTTTTGTTTTTGTTTTTGAGACAGAGTCTCGCTCTGTCACCCAGGCTGGAGCGTAGTGGTGCGATCTAGGTTTACTGCAAGCTCCGCCTCCCAGGTTCACACCATTCTCCTGCCTCAGCCTCCCGAGTAGCTGGGACTATAGGCGCTCGCCACCACACCCAGCTAATTTTTTGTATTTTTAGTAGAGACAGGGTTTCACCGTGTTAGCCAGCATAGTCTCGATTTCCTGACCTCGTGATCCGCCTGCCTCGGCCTCCCAAAGTGCTGGGATTACAGGCATGAGCCACCGCGCCTGGCCCAATAACTAAGAATACTGTTAAGCAAGGAGGTGAAAGACCTCTACAACTAGAGTTACAAAACACTGCTCAAAGAAATCAGAAATGACACAAGCAAATGGAAAAACATGCCATGTTCATGAATATGAAGAATCAATATTGTTAAAATGGCCATACTGCTCAAAGCAATTTACAAATTCAATGCTATTCCTATCAAACTACCAATGACATTTTTCACAGAATTAGAAAAAACTATTTTAAAATTCATATGGAAACAAAATATAGCCTGAGCAGCCAAGGCAATCCTAAGCAAAAAGAACAAAGCTGGAAGCATCACATTACCCAACTATACTACAGGGCTACAGTAACCAAAACAGCATGGTACTGGTACAAATACAAACCTATAGACCAATGGAACAGAATAGAGAGCCAAGAAACAAGTTCACACACCTACAACCATCTGATCTTTGACAAAGCTGACAAAACAAGCAATGGAAAAAGGACTCTCTATTCAATAAGTGGTGTTGAGATAACTGGCTAGCCATATGCAGAAGACTGAAACTGGACCCCTTCCTTATACCATACACAAAAATTAACCCAAGATGGATTAAGGACTTAACTGTAAAACCAAAAACTATAAAAACTCTGAAAGATAACCTAGGATATGCCATTCTGGAAATAGGACTGCAAAGATTTCATGATGAAGACGCCAAAAGCAATTGTAACAAAGCAAAAACAAAAATCAACAAATGAGACCTAATTAAACTAAAGAGCTTCTGCACAGCAAAATAAGCCATCAACAAAGTAAACAGACAACCTACAGAATGGGAGAAAATATTTGCAAACTATGCATCTGACAAAGGTCTAATACCAAGAATCTATAAGAAACTTAAATTTACAAGGAAAAACCAAGCAACCTCATTAAAAAAGTAGGCAAAAGATAAGAACAGACAGTTTTCAAAAGAAGACATACACGTATCCAAAAAGCATACAACAAAATGCTCAACATCACTAATCATTAGAGAAATGCAAATCAAAACCACAATGAGATACCATCTCACACCAGTCAGAATGACTATGATTAAAAAGTAAAAATTATATATATAGTAATAACATGCTGGAGAGGTTATGGAGAAAAGGAAATGCTTATACACTGCTTGTGGGGATGTAAATTAGTTCAGGCATTGTGGGAAGCAGTTTGACAATTTCTCAAAGGACTTAAAACAGAATTACCATTTGACCCAGCAATCCCATTATTGGGTATATACCCAAAGGAATAGAAATTGTTCTACCATAGAGACACATGCACATGTATGTTCATTGCAGCACTAGTCACAATAGCAAATACATGGAATCAACCTAAATGTCCATCAACTGGATCAAGAACATGTGGTACATATACACCATGGAATACTATGCAGCCATAAAAAAAGAATGAGACCATGTCCTTTGCAACAACAAGGATGGAACTGGAGGCCATTATCCTAAGCAAACTAACACAGGAACAGAAAAGCAAATACTGTGTGTTCTCACTTATAAATAAAAGCTAAACATTGAGGACATATAAACACAAAGAAGGGAACAACGACACCAAGGCCTACTTGAGGGTGGAGGGTGGGAAGCAAGGTGAGGACCAAAAACTACCAACTGGGTACTATGTGTATTACCTTAGTGATCAAATAATCTGTACACCAAACTCCTGCAATGTGCCATTTACCTGTGTAACAAACCTGCACATGTACGCCTGAACCTAAAATAAAAGTTAAAGAAAAGAAAAAATTATATTATAAAAAAACATGTTTCTAAACATTATAAAGTAGCTCATCTCTTTAACATACTAATTTGTGACAGACAACTCAAGATCTTACTTTCTAAGTTTCCACTAAAATTTAAGGTTACTAAAAATAAAAATTCAGGCCAGGCGCAGTGGCTCACACCTGTAATTCCAGCACTTTGGGAGGCCAAGGTGGGTGGATCATCTGAGGTCGGGAGTTCCAGACTAGCCTGGCCAACTTGGTGAAACCCCATCTCTACTAAAAATACAAAAACAAATTAGCCTGATGTGGTAGCACATGCCTGTAATCTCAGTTACTAGGGAGGCTGAGGCGGGAGAATCACTTGAACCCGGGAGGCAGAGGTTGCAGTGAGCCAAGATGGTGCCACTGCACTCCAGCCTGGGTGACAGAGCAAAATTCTGTCTCAAAAAAAAAACCACAATCACACTACAAGAGGTTTGTCTTTACATTTTGGTCATTGGCCTTAAAAACAAAAAGTTTACATGTTATTGAAATAATTTCTGTGTTATCTTTATCAGATTTTTAATTACTTACTAAGACTAAGCTGCAAAAGAGTTAGGACAGGCCTGGTGCCTCACGCCTATAATCCTAGCACCCTGGGAGGCCGAGGCAGGTGGATTGCTTGAGCTCAAGAGTTCAAGATTAGCCTGGGCAACATAGGGAAACCCCGTCTCTCCAAAACAAACAAAAAAAAGCTGGGTGTGGGGAAGTAAATCTGTAGTCCCAGCTACTCAGGAAGCTGAAGCAGTGGGATAGATTGAGCCCAGAAGGTCAAGGCTACAGTGAGCTATGGTCGCACCACTGCACTCCAGCCTGGGTGACAGAACAAAACCCTGTCTCAAAAATAAATTAATAAAATAAAACAGTTAAGATTTTCACGTCCATATAATTTTCTCTATTGCTTGTAAAGTCTTTTGATCATCACTCTAGTTAAATAAATATTATTTTACAAAGACCTGTGATTTTAATTTGTTTTGTTTTGTTTTTTTTGTTTTGTTTTTTTTTTTTGAGACGGAGTCTCGTTCTGTCGCCCAGGCGGGAGTGCAGTGGCACAATCTTGGCTCCCTGCAACCTCAACCTCCTGGGCTCAAGCAATCCTCCCACCTCAGCCTCCTGAGTAGCTGGGACTACTGGTGTGCACTACCACACCCAGCTAATTTTTGTATTTTTTGTAAAGATGGTGTTTCACCATGTTGCCCAGGCTGGTCTTAAACTCCTCAGCTCAAACGACCCACCCGCCTTGGCCTCCTAAAGTGCTGGTATTGCAGATGTGAGCCCCCATGCCTGGCCTATGATTCTAATTTGACAAGGTGTTTAGATCTTTTTATATCTTTTACAGGTTTCTCCAAGATCAAAATCCTAAAATAAGTCTTTATAGATTAAATAATTAGATTTGAAAAATTATATTAAAAATGTTGTCAAATGATAAATAATACTAGATCCTTCAGTCATGTTTATAAATATGTTATTGATATAAATGTTCCAAAAATTATTTAAATTTATAAATATCTAATATATTTGCAGTCATAATTTTAATTATGTTAATCCTTTCTAAAATTAGATTTATATAAATGTTATAAATATAAATATCCTAAAGATTATATAAAATTTATAAAAGTCTGATGATTCTGATGTGATGCTGCTGCCCATGATAATTCTGGTCATTATCTTTTTTTTTTTTTTTTTTTGGAGAAGGAGTCTCACTCACTCTGTCGCCCAGGCTGGAGTGCAGTGGCGAAATCTCAGCTCACTGCAACCTCCACCTTCCAGGTTCAAGCGATTCTCCTACCTCAGCCTCCCAAGTAGCTGGGAGTACAGGTCCCCGCCACCATGCCCAGCTAATTTTTGTATTTTTCGTAGAGATGGGGTTTTGCCATGTGGCCCAGGCTAGTCTCAAACTCCTGACCTCAGGTGATCCATCCGCCTTGGCCTCCCAAAATGCCGGGATTACAGGCATGAGCCACCATGCCTGGCCCAAAAACATTTGCAACCAACTCTAGTATAAAATTACTTTTTTTTTTTTTTTTTTTTTTTTGAGACAGAGTCTCATTCTGTTTCCCAGGCTGGAGTACAGTGGCATGATCACTGCAACCTCCACCTCCCAGGTTCAAGTGATTCTCCTGCCTCAGCCTCCCTAGTAGCTCGGACTACAGATGCACACCACCACCCATGGCTAATTTTTGTATTTTTAGTAGAGACGGGGTTTCACCATGTTGGCCAGGCTGGTCTGGAACTCCTGGCCTGAATTGATCCATCCGCCTTGGCCTCCCAAAGTGCTGGGATTACAGGCATGAGTCACTGCACCCAGTCCAAAATTACTTTTCTTATAAAAGACTCTACAACACAGATTTCCAATAATTTAATGATCTATAGACTAAATAAAAACGTTCAAAACTCCAATAAAAACTTATGCATAAAGATTATTAATCCAACATCAAACACAATAAAAATTATAGGAGACCGAAATGATAAAAGACTAAAATGATTTATATGACCTTCTTTTTGTTGTTGTTGTTGTTGTTGTTGTTATTGTTGTTGTTTCCTGACCTTTTTTTAAATTTTATTATTATTATACTTTAAGTTTTAGGGTACATGTGCACAATGTGCAGGTTAGTTACATATGTATACATGTGCCATGCTGGTGTGCTGCACCCATTAACTTGTCATTTAGCATTAGGTATATCTCCTAAAGCTATCCCTCCCCCTCCCCCCACCCCACAACAGCCCCCAGAGTGTGATGTTCCCCTTCCTGTGTCCCTGTGTTCTCATTGTTCAATTCCCACCTATGAGTGAGAACATGCGGTGTTTGGTTTTTTGTCCTTACGATAGTTTACTGAGAATGATGATTTCCAATTTCATCCATGTCCCTACAAAGGACATGAACTCATCATTTTTTATGGCTGCATAGTATTCCATGGTGTATATGTGCCACATTTTCTTAATCCAGTCTATCATTGTTGGACATTTGGGTTGGTTCCAAGTCTTTGCTATTGTGAATAGTGCCGCAATAAACATATGTGTGCATGTGTCTTTATAGCAGGATGATTTATAGTCCTTTGGGTATATACCCAGTAATGGGATGGCTGGGTCAAATGGTATTTCTAGTTCTAGATCCCTGAGGAATCACCACACTGACTTCCACAATGGTTGAACTAGTTTACAGTCCCACCAACAGTGTAAAAGTGTTCTTATTTCTCCACATCCTCTCCAGCAACTGTTGTTTTAATGATTGCCATTCTAACTGGTGTGAGATGATATCTCATTGTGGTTTTGATTTGCATTTCTCTGATGGCCAGTGATGGTGAGCATTTTTTTCATGTGTTTTTGGCTGCATAAATGTCTTCTTTTGAGAAGTGTCTGTTCATGTCCTTCACCCACTTTTTGATGGGGTTGTTTGTTTTTTTCTTGTAAATTTGTTTCAGTTCATTGTAGATTCTGCATATTAGCCCTTTGTCAGATTAGTAGGTTGCGAAAATTTTCTCCCATTTTGTAGGTTGCCTGTTCACTCTGATGGTAGTTTCTTTTGCTGTGCAGAAGCTCTTTAGTTTAATTAGATCCCATTTGTCAATTCTGGCTTTTGTTGCCATTGCTTTTGGTGTTTTAGACATGAAGTCCTTGCCCATGCCTATGTCTTGAATGGTAATGCCTAGGTTTTCTTCTAGGGTTTTTATGGTTTTTAGGTCTAACGTTTAATCCATCTTGAATTAATTTTTGTATAAGGTATAAGGAAGGGATCCAGTTTCAGCTTTCTACATATGGCTAGCCACTTTTCCCAGCACCATTTATTAAATAGGGAATCCTTTCCCCATTGCTTGTTTTTCTCAGGTTTGTCAAAGATTAGCTAGTTGTAGATATGCGGCGTTATTTCTGAGGGCTCTGTTCTGTTCCATTGATCTATATCTCTGTTTTGGTACCAGTACCATGCTGTTTTGGTTACTGTAGCCTTGTAGTATAGTTTGAAGTCAGGTAGCATGGTGCCTCCAGCTTTGTTCTTTTGGCTTAGGATTGACTTGGCAATGTGGGCTCTTTTTTGGTTGCATATGAACTTTAAAGTAGTTTTTTCCAATTCTGTGAAGAAAGTCATTGGTAGCTTGATGGGGATGGCATTGAATCTATAAATTACCTTGGGCAGTATGGCCATTTTCATGATATTGATTCTTCCTACCCATGAGCATGGAATGTTCTTCCATTTGTTTGTATCCTCTTTTATTTCATTGAGCAGTGGTTTGTAGTTCTCCTTGAAGAGGTCCTTCACATCCCTTGTAAGTTGGATTCCTAGGTATTTCATTCTCTTTGAAGCAGTTGTGAATGGGAGTTCACTCATGATTTGGCTCTCTGTTGGTCTGTTATTGGTGTATAAGAATGCTTGTGATTTTTGTCCATTGATTTTGTATCCTGAGACTTTGCTGAAGTTGCTTATCAGCTTAAGGAGATTTGGGGCTGAGACGATGGGGTTTTCTAGATATACAATCATGTCATCTGCAAACAGGGACAATTTGACTTCCTCTTTTCCTAATTGAATACCCTTTATTTCCTTCTTCTGCCTAATTGCCCTGGCCAGAACTTCCAACACTATGTTGAATAGGAGTGGTGAGAGAGGGCATCCCTGTCTTGTGCCAGTTTTCAAAGGGAATGCTTCCAGTTTTTGCCCATTCAGTATGATATTGGCTGTGGGTTTGTCATAGATAGCTCTTATTATTTTGAGATATGTCCCATCATTGCCTAATTTATTGAGAGTTTCTAGCATGAAGGTTGTTGAATTTTGTCAAAGGCCTTTTCTGCATCTATTGAGATAATCATGTGGTTTTGGTCTTTGGTTCTGTTTATATGCTGGATTACATTTATTGATTTGAGTATATTGAACCAGCCTTGCATTCCAGGGATGAAGCCCACTTGATCATGGTGGATAAGCTTTTTGATATGCTGCTGGATTCGGTTTGCCAGTATTTTATTGAGGATTTTTGCAGCAATGTTCAACAAGGATATTGGTCTAAAATTCTCTTTTTTTGTTGTGTCTCTGCCCGGCTTTGGTATCAGGATGATGCTGGCCTCATAAAATGAGTTAGGGAGGATTCCCTCTTTTTCTATGGATTGGAGACAGATCAACGAGACAGAAAGTTAACAAGTATACCCAGGAATTGAACTCAGCTCTGCACCAAGCGGACCTAATAGACATCTACAGAACTCTCCACCCCAAATCAGCAGAATATACGTTTTTTTCAGCACCTTACCACACCTATTCCAAAATTGACCACATAGTTGGAAGTAAAGCTCTCCTCAGCAAATGTAAAAGAACAGAAATTATAACAAACTGTCTCTCAGACCACAGTGCAATCAAACTAGAACTCAGGGTTAAGAAGCTCACTCAAAACCGCTCAACTACATGGAAACTGAACAACCTGCTCCTGAATGACTACTGGGTACATAACGAAATGAAGGCAGAAATAAAGATGTTCTTTGAAACCAACGAGAACAAAGACACAACATACCAGAATCTCTGGGACACATTCAAAGAAGTGTGTAGAGGGAAATTTATAGCACTAAATGCCCACAAGAGAAAGCAGGAAAGATCCAAAATTGACACCTTAACATCACAATTAAAAGAACTAGAAAAGCAAGAGCAAACACATTCAAAAGCTAGCAGAAGGCAAGAGGTAACTAAAATCAGAGCAGAACTGAAGGAAATAGAGACACAAAAAACCCTTCAAAAAATTAATGAATCCAGGCGCTGGTTTTTTGAAAGGATCAACAAAATTGATAGACCGCTAGCAAGACTAATAAAGAAAAAAAGAGAGAAGAATCAAATAGGCGCAATAAAAAATGATAAAGGGGATATCACCACCGATCCCACAGAAATACAAACTACCATCAGAGAATACTACAAACACCTCTACGCAAATAAATTAGAAAATCTAGAAGAAATGGATAAATTCCTCGACACATACACCCTCCCAAGACTAAACCAGTAAGAAGTTGAATCTCTGAATAGACCCATAACAGGCTCTGAAATTGTGGCAATAATCAATAGCTTACCAACCAAAAAGAGTCCAGGACCAGATGGATTCACAGCTGAATTCTACCAGAGGTACAAGGAGGAACTGGTACCATTCCTTATGATTTATATGAGCTTCTATTTAACACAATGCTAATTATTTTTATATTGTTTTCCAAAATAAAAAAATTTTTTTCTTTTAAACTATGTATGTCTTACAACAAATGGATAAAACACAATTTTATAAACAAAATTAAAACATTTACCTTTCTCTCTACCTAAATTCTCTAGAATTTTAAAACTATTCATCAACAGCTAACACCAAAATAATGGTTGCCCAACAACTAGATATGACTCGCAATTCAAAAGAAAACACAGAGCCTCAAGTCATGACCTGCCCCATGTCACTAACAATTTCACCTGCCTGCAATAACAAAATTATTTATCTCCTCAGCCTGGAAAGACATGACTTCTTACAAATGAGCCTTCCCAATGGCGAAAGATAAATAACCCCTGTTACTCTAACCTGAACAGAGATTGGTCATCACTGCTTCCTTGAAAAGATTCTCTATCCAAAGAACTAATAATCTACAAGTCACCTTTGGCAGGCTTCCAAAGTAACCGTCCCAGGAAGATCTTATGATTCGTCGTTTACCTCCTGTCCCTGAATGAAAAATAATGCATGGCAGAACCAGCCGTCCTGCACACCTACCCGTGGTGCTGATAAAATTTGGCCTGATAGTCAAGCCAAGTGCTTACTCAGTGCCATTTACCACAATAAAGGTCATGAATCATAGCCAGCCTCAAATTTTATCCTGAGTTCCTCAAACTGTCGACATGCTTAATATGTAACCTACTGACATTGAAAAAGACACAAATTTGTTTCTAAATCATAAAGTTGTACAGATTGTTTTACATATATTAATGTTCTAGCCTATATGTTGTCATTTGTAGCCAATAATTATAATCTCTATATTATACCCTGCAATGAAAAAGACAACTCCAGCTAGGCACAGTGGCTCATGCCTGTAATCCCAGCATTTTGGGAGGCTGAGGTGGGAGGATTGCTTGAGCCCAGGAGTTTGAGACCAGCCTGAGAAACAAAAGGAGATCCTGTCTCTACAAAAAAAAATAATTAACCTTGCTTGGTGGTGCACACCTGTGGTCCTAGCTACTTGGGAGGCTGAGGCAAGAGGATCGCTTGAGCCCAGGAGGTTGAGGCTTCAGTGAGCTGTGATTGTGCCATTGCACTCCAGCCTGGGTGACAGAGTGAGACCCTGTCTCAAAACAAGAAAGAAAGAAAGAAAGAAAAAGAGAGAGAGAAAGGAAGAAAGGAAGGAAAGAAGGAAGGGAAAGAAAAACATACAACTCCTGTTTGAGTTCCCCTCCCTTCTCCTAAACCTTCTCACAAAAACATTCCAATTTATAAAAGGCTTTAAAGCATGCTCAATTTCATTACTGTGTCTTCCTCAATCAATCCTCACATTTGACTTCCAATAAACCTTTATTGAATTATTTCTGCCTCAAAGCCTTAATTTCAGTCAACACTGCCAACCTGGTGTTCCTGTCTGATGGAGGAAGCCAACAGATCATAAGACCAAATCCAATGGTGACGGTGATGAAAGAAATTACAAGAGTGAGATGAGATAGAAAGGGACCAAGGGGGCCGTTCTGGACACGGTGATCAGGCAGGGGACCCCCAGGAGGTGACCTTTGAGCAGAAACCTGAGTGACGTGGAAGAGTCACCTGTGGATAAGAACCAGCCCATGAAATCATGCCAGGTGTGTAAAGACCCAGCACCAGGAGGAGTAAATGAGTGGCCAAAAAGTTTGTCCATTCTTGCATCCTTCTTTAGTTGTACCAAGATAAACAGAAACTTCAGCAATTTCCCTTGGGGTGCATGGGGTAAACAGGAACGAGTCGTCCTGCAAACTTGCCCGTGGTGCTGATAAAATTTGGCCCGATAGTCAAGCCAAAGTGCTTCCTGAGTGCCATTTACCACAATAAAGGTCATGAATCATAGCCAGCCTCCCAAGGCATGTCCAGAGCTAGACTGACTGGCTAGCACCTTGCCAGAGGCAACAGGAGATCAGATGAGCTGGAGAAAAACAGCCCCAGGAAAGTTTCAGAAAAGTCCAGATGACCCATAAGAGTTGGTATCAACCCCTCATGGGTGGGATCTATTGGGTGGTGCTGGTCCTGAACAGCTGACCCCAGCACCCTCACCAGTGACCCATCCCTATTGTATTAGTCTGTTTTCATGCTGCTAATAAAGACACAGGGTAATTTAATAAGGAAAAAGTTTTAATTGACTCACAGTTCCACAAGGCTGGGGAGGCCTCAGAAAACGTACAATCATGGTGGAAGGGGAAGCAAACATGTCCTTCTTCACATGGCAGCAGCAACGAGAAGTGCCAAGCAAAAGGGGGAAAAGCCCCTTATAAAACCATCAGATCTTGTGAGAACTTACCCACTATCATGAGAACGGCATGAGAGTAACCACCCCCATGATTAAATTACCTCCCGGGTACCTTCCACGACACATGCGGATTGTGGGAACTACAAGAGGAGATTTGGGTGGGGACACAGCCCAACCATATCACCTATACACTTTATAAAATTAATCATGGAAGAAGGGAGGAGGAAAAAAAATGAACCAAGTCTGCAGCACATTCAGCATTAATCATTACGTCAGCTTGTTCTCTGACTGCTCCCTCATAGCTGTTTGCTGCTTCTTGCCTTAGAATCACATAGACCCTGTCACAAAATTATAGACTTCTTCAACTGCCCTAGAGACAGCGTCTCAAGCATTGTGAAATGTGAGTTCTCCATTTGAGATATTCTTTCAGGTTTTGCATATCAGGGAAACTACTGACATCAGTTAATCTGCAGGAATAGATAGAAAGGGACCAAGGGGGCTGTTCTGGACACGGTGATCAGGCAGGGGGCCCCCAGGAGGTGACCTTCGAGCAGAAACCTGAGTGATGTGGAAGAGTCACCTGTGGATAAGAACCAGCCCATGAAATCATGCCAGGTGTGTAAAGACCCAGCAGCGGGAGGAGTAAATGAGTGGCCAAAAAAGTTTGTCCATTCTTGCATCCTTCTTTAGTTGTACCAAGATAAACAGAAACTTCAGCAATTTCCCTTGGGGTGCATGGGGTAAACAGGAACGAGTCGTCCTGCAAACTTGCCCGTGGTGCTGATAAAATTTGGCCTGATAGTCAAGCCAAAGTGCTTCCTGAGTGCCATTTACCACAATAAAGGTCATGAATCATAGCCAGCCCCCCATGAGGGGCTCACTCACCAAAGAAGGAAGTTTCCACATCTTGATGATTTCATCCTCCTTTCTTCAACCAATCAGTGACCCCCATTTTCTAATCCCTCATCCTCCATGGAGTCCTTAAAAACTCCAGCCCAGAACTCCTGGGGGAGATGTATTTGAGAGTTCCTTCCGTCTCCCAGCTCGGCCACCCTGTGATCATTAAACTTTTTCTCTGCTGCAAACACTTCTGTCTCAGTGTATTTTCTGTTATTGCACAGCAGGGATATGAACCTGGTGGTCCTGTAACACCAGCCACCAGCCCTAGATGGAGGGACTCAGGACATGAACAACAGAGACCCTCCCTGTGACAGGGAAAAGAGGAGAGTACAGGGAGAGACAGAATATTGTTCCTCATTCAAGTGCCTGCCTAGTCAGTGAACAAGGGGGCCACCCAAGGCAGAGAAGCTGAGTGGATCTCAGTCTGTGGGATCGGGGGGACCAGCACTGACCCGTTGTCAGGAATGAACCACAACAGGAGGCTTTGGACACCTGCCTGCAGCCTCTCCAGTCATATAAGCAGATGGCAGTTTGGTCAATGGGAGATCCACTGATGATCAGTGGGGAGAGCAGAATGAGGTCTGTCCTCTGCCCTCCTCTTTCAGCCACAGATCTTGGTTCCAGGAGCAGCTGTTTCCTGGCACCACCAGCCTGGGAGTGGTGACAGCTCTCGGTGGATGGTAACCTCCAGGGTGCTGCACCATCCCTCATGGTTCCCCTTGGCCCTGCCCACACCTTTGCAAACGGCTCCTCCTTAAACCCCCTCCTTTAGCCCCTGTGGGTTCCCTGCCAGGACCCGAGTGTTACGTTCCCCAAAAAGATGGGACCTCTCAACACACCAGTTATGTGGGTGCTGAAGTTTACATAAGCACATCATAAGCATTCTCCCAGCTGTCGGAATGGGAGCAGGGGGTTGAAGGGAGAATTCTTGTTCTCAATGCTTACACTTAGCAATTGTTTCCTTTTATTATATGAGGTTGTACAGCATGTTTAATTATAATTACTAATATATATAATTACAAATTATATTTTAAAAGAAATTGCTGGTCGGGTACGGTGGCTCACGCCTGTAATCCCAGCACTTTGGGAGGCCGAGGCAGATGGATGACCTGAGGTCAGGAGTTCGAGACCAGCCTGGCCAACATGGTGAAACCCCATCTCTACTAAAAATACAAAACTTCACCAGGGGTGGTGGAGCATGCCCGTAATCACCACTACTTGGGAGGCAGAGGCAGGAGAATCACTTGAACACAGGAAGCGGAGGATGCAGTAAGCCAAGATTGCACCACTGCACTCCAGCCTAGGTGACAGAGCGAGACACTGTCTCAAAAACAAAAACAAAAAAGAAATTGCTTAGCATCGTGCCTGACATTTAGTAGAACTCCATCTATATGACTTGTGAGAAGCCAGAGAGTGTCGTGGTGAAGAACAGGGACTCCAGGTGCAGGCTGCTTCGTTCAACTCTCAACCAGCTGTGTGAATTTGGGCCAGTCTCTTTATTTCTCTGTGCCTCAGTTTTCTTGCCTGAAAACCAGGAGTCATAGCAAGGTTGTTGTGAAAATTAAGGGAGTTTAAAAGAGTAAAGTGCTTACAACAACATTCCCTGGCACATAATCAGCCACAAGCATGTGCATGCCATTATTACTCTAATGACAGGACAAGGACACAGACACCAGCTATGAGCCTTGGTTCCCTCTGGCACATGCAGCAAAGCCCTTGATGGCTTCGAACTTCCTATGTTGTTTCCGCTGGCCTTTAGTAGGGTGGAGTCTCTCAGGAGAGGAGCAAGCACCAAGCTTGGGATTAGGTGGCCCATGGTCAAACCTGGACCTGCCACTAATCAGCTGTGTGACTTTGGGCAAGTGACTTGTCTTCTCTGAATCTCATGTTCCTCTTCAGTACAAAGGACACAGTGATAAGCCTATTGAGATGGGAGAAGCCAGCAGACATGCTTGTCTTAGTTTGGGTTTCCTGGAAGTAGACCCTGATGCAAGGATTCAAGTGCAAATAATTTATTTAGAGGTGACCAAATTTCAACTGCCAGTTGTTTGTTTGGGAGGTAAGTCCAGGAAACACCAGTAGGACAGCTGAAAACTGAGACAGGAAAGGAAATGTAGCAATTAAAAGGAACTTATTTAAAATAGTTTCCACCATGGGCAGCCAAGGCTCAGCCCTCCATGGCACCTCTGGGAGACAGCATAGAACATGCACCTCAGAGTCATCCCACTCAGGGAAAAGGAGCTGGGGCATTTACCCACCAATACTCACCACCCATTGTTGAGGGCTGCTTCCAAGGACATGAGAATGTGCTGCCTGCACTGCAAGGGTCAGACATGGGATCAAGGGCATGAAAATGTGCTGCCTGCACTGCAAGGGCCAGATGTAAGGTCAAGGGCATGAGAATGTGTTGCCTGTATTGCAAGGGTCAGATGTGGGGTCAAGGGCATGAGAATGTGCTGCCTGCACTGCAAGGGTCAGGCCTGGGGTCAAGGACAGTGGCTGTGATAGTGGCTCCAGTCATGAATAGGAACACAGCCTGGTGTAGACAGCTACAGTGGCTCAGTGACAACAACATACACACACTCACACATGCATACCACACTCAGACACTCAGTCGCCAACACGGTGTAATACAGACATATGCACATGTGATCACAGCCACCCATGCACACAATTACATACACTCACAAACACACTTGCACACGCTGTGAATGCAGTCCCACAGATACAGTCACACACACACCTACAATCGCACACCCACACACATCCTCTCTCTCTCTCTCTCTCTGTCACACACACACAAACAAACACAGAGACAAACTAATAATCCAGACACCTGGGAGTCTGTTCTCCCCAAACTGTCCAGTGGTGCCTCCTTCACATTCAAGAGAGGAAGGAGGCCCCACAGCAACCGATGACAAGACCAGGCCTGAGCAGGCCTGAGTACGTTTTGTTGTTGCTGTTGTTGTTGTTGTCGTTGTTGTTATTTATTTTTATTTTTATTTTTTTTAGGTGGAGTTTCACTCTGTTGCCAGCCTGGAGTGCAGTAACAGGATCTCGGCTCACTGCAACCTCCGCCACCCAGGTTCAAGCGATTCTCCTGCTTCAGCCTCCCGAGTAGCTGGGACTACAGGCGTGCACCACCACGCCTGGCTAATTTTTGTATTTTTTAGTAGAGACGGGGTTTCACCATGTTGGATGAGCTGGTCTCGAACTCCTGACCTCGTGATCCACCCGCCTTGGCCTCCCAAAGTCCTTGGATTACAGGTGTGAGCCACTGCGCACAGCCCTGAGAATGTTTCTAGAATTACATACACAGGTGTAGCAGAATCCTAGAGGCCCACTGGCCCTCTGCCTCCCCACTCACTCTCTCTTTCATAAACCATCACTCCCCTTAGAGGAAGCTGAAAGCCTAGGTGGAGTGGGAAAAGAAACCTTTGACTGGCCGGCCGCGGTGGCTCACGCCTGTAATCCCAGCACTTTGGGAGGCCGAGGCTGCTAGATCACGAGGTTAGGAGATCGAGACTATCCTGGTTAACACGGTGAAACCCCATCTCTACGAAAAAATACAAAAAATTAGCCGGGCGTGGTGGCGGGCGCCTGTAGTCCCGGCTGCTCGGAAGGCTGAGGCAGGAGAATGGCGTGAACCCAGGAGGCGGAGCTTGCAGTGAGCCGAGATCGCGCCGCTGCACTCCAGCCTGGTTGACAGAGCAAGACTCCGTCTCAAAAAAAAAAAAAAAAAAAAAACAACCTTTGACTCTGCAAAGATAAGTCACTCTTTGAAGGAGTTTGCTGCAACTCCATGGATAGATCTAAAGGCAGAGGGTGAATTTGCTCTCTGTTCTGGAGCTGGGACATCCATCTTCTCCTGCCCTTGGACATGAGAACTCCAGGTTCTCAGGCCTTTGGACTCAGATGCAGCTACCCCACCAGGCATCCCTAGTTCTCCAGCTTACAGAGAGCATCTTGTAGAACTTCTCAGCCTCCCTAATCACAAGAGACGATTCCTGTAATAAATTCCCTATTCACTCTACCTCCCTTTCCAGATAGATGGATAGATACAAACATAGATAGAGATATATTCTATTGATTCTGATTCTAAGGAGAACCCTAAGATCGCAGGTCTGCCTGCAGCCTCTGGCTGTGGTGCAGCCTCAGCAGTAAACAGTGTCTAGATTCTGCATGGATAAAGGGAAGCTCTGCTTCCTCCTGTTCCTTCTGTATCAGGGACATCTCCAAGCCCCAAGGGTGCATTCCAGGGCAGAGGGAGAAGACACACTGTCTGCCAACAGAGAGGTCTGTTTTGGCTTGAGAGGAAATGTATTCTTTTCCTGAGAGTGGTTCCAGCCCATGGAGAGTCATATGGAGTGGGCTCCACAAGGGCAGTTTGTGGGCAGCAGTGTGGCCTCAGGATATGCGCTAGGGCTGGTCCCCAAATCCTTTCATGTTCTGGCTGGTCCACCCGGGCTTCAGTTCCTCTCATGGAAAAGGGTCTATACATAGGAACCTTCCCTTCTCAGCAGCCTGCAGAGGAGCAGAGGTGACCCTAACTGTCCATCAGGATGGTGGCTCCCACCTGGGAGCAGCTTCTGCACCAGGCTCTGTACTAGTGTGTCCTGTGCACCATCCCACTGCCCTTGTGAACAGGCCCATCAATCTTGCCATTTACAAATGAACACACCGAGGCCGCATCCCCCAAAGGTAAGAGCAGGCCTAAGTCAGAGGGCAGGGTATGGTGGAGAGAAACGGACAAGAGTCGGCTTCTGAAAGGGGAAGTGAGCGGCCACCTTTTATCCGGGTTGGGCAACATGGCCCGTTGGGACATCTTAGTGAAAGGGAGCAAGAGGAAGGTGGCTCCAGAAGGGGAAGAGTTGGGTTGCATAAGTGCAAGTCAGATGGTGGCAGTAATGAAAGACATTAGCAGAGTGAGAGGAGCTGGAACGTGACCGTGGGGTCTGTTCTGAAAACAGAGATCAATCAAGAGGCCAAATCAAATCCAAATTCCATCTGCTCCCTCCTGCCAGCTCAAAGTCCAGGATTTCTGGGTGATGTGCAGTTCTTTTTTTAATTTTTTTTTTTTTGAGATAGAGTCTCGCTCTGTTGCCCAGGCTGGAGTGCAGTGGTATAGTCTCAGCTCGCTGTAATCTCCACCTCCCAGGTTCAAGCAATTCTACTGCCTCAGCCTCCCAAGTAGCTGGAACTACAGGCACGTGCCACCATGCCCAGCAAATTTTTGCATTTTTAGTAGAGATGGGGTTTCGCTATGTTGGTCGGGCTGGTCTCCAACTCCTGATCTGAAGTGATCCACCCACCTCGGCCTCCCAAAGTGCTGGGATTACAGGAATGAGCCACTGCACTCGGCCTTGATGTGCGGTACTCTGCTTCACATTTTGATGTGGGCTTGTGTGGTGTGGAAATCTATAAATTTAATAGCAATTATCAGTTCTAACGCATCCCAGAGTGGAGCAATCACTGGATCATGACAATTTAACATTCTGTTTTACACTTGTTGCTTCCATTAATAGCAAACTAAGTTATTTGGATCAAAATTCCAGCATTTTTAAAAAGCTGGATGCAGCTGGGTGTGGTGGCTCACGCCTGTAGCCCCAGCACTTTGGGAGGCTGGGGTGGGCGGATCACTTCAGGTCAGGAGTTCGAGACCAGCCTGGCCAACATGGTGAAACCCCATCTCTACTAAAAATACAAAAATTAGCCAGGCATGGTGGCAGGAGCCTGGAATCCCAGCTACTCAGGAGGCTGAGGCAGGAGAATCACTTGAATCCGGGAGGTGGAGGTTGCAGTGAGCCGAGATCAAGCCACTGCACTCCAGCCTGGGCAATGGAATGAGACTCTGTCTCAAAAAAAGAAAAAAAAAAAAGGTAGATGCTTCTTCAATTCTTCATATAAATAAATGACATGAAAAGACAGTGAAACAATAGCGAAGACATGTAATCAACCCAAATGCCCATCAGTGATAGACTGGTTAAAGGAAATGTGGTACATATACACCATGGAGTATTATGCAGCCATAAAAAGGAACAAGACCAGGTCCTTTGCAGGGACATGGATGGAGCTGGAAGCCATTATCCTCAGCAAACTAACACAGGAACAGAAAACCAAACACTGCATGTTCTCACTCATAAGTGAGAGCTGAACAATGAGAACACATGGACACAGGGAGGGGTACAACACACACTGGGGCCTGTGGTGGGGGCAGGAGGAGGGAGAGCATCAGGACAAACAGCTAATGGATGTGGGGCTGAATACCTAGGTGATGGGTAGGTATCACCATGCAGCAAATCACATTGCTGCAGTCACATTGCAGCAAATCACCATGGCACACATTTACCTATGTAACAAACCTGCACGTCCTGCACATGTATCCCAGAACTTAAAATAAAATAATTTTTTTAAAAAAAGAAGAGTGAAAAATCACAAAAACATGATTCAAATAATAACAGAAACCTAGAGATAAAGTGAATATAAACTATACCTTCTCTCTGAAGGCACTTCTCAAATCAGGAAAATTTGAAACTCTTTTAACGGTTTTGTGATTGCAGGAAAAAAAAAATTCTAAGCCTAGGTGTGATACAAGGAGGGAAAATGGTAAAAATCCCCTCCTTGCATATGTGGAGACCTCAAAGGGCTACATCTCTCAGAGTGAGAAAAAAATAAAGCAAAACAGCTTGCAAGTGTGATTTCAGCTTAAATTTAAACCTCCTGGGTGACCTTGGTCACCACAAGCCTAGAGGGTCATGAACATAAACCTCAACCAGCAGTCCTCCAAAGACTGCTCCCTAGACAAAGCTGCCTTCTTCTGGCTGAGCACAGTGGCTCACGCCTGTTAATCCCAGCACTTTCAGAGGCCAAGGCAGGCGGATCACTTGAGGTCAGGAGTTCGAGGCCAGCCTGGCCAACATGGTGAAACCCCGTCTCTACTAAAAATGCAAAAAATTAGCCGGGCGTGGTGGCGGGCGCCTGTAGTCCCAGCTACTCGGGAGGCTGAGGCAGGAAAATGGCGTGAACCCGGGAGGCAGAACTTGCAGTGAGCCGAGATCACGCCACTGCACTCCAGCGAGGGCGACAGAGTGAGATTCCGTCTCAAAAAAAAAGAAAAAAAAAATTAGCCGGGGGTGGCGGCAGTCACCTGTAGTCCCAGCTACTTGGGAGGCTGAGGCAGGAGAATCGCTTGAACCCAGGAGCAGAGGTTGCAGTGAACCGAGATCTTGCCACTGCACTCCAGCCTGGGTGACAGAGCAAGACTCTGTTTCAGAAAAAAAAAAAAGAGAGAGAGAACTCTGCCTTCTTTAAATCCTACGAATATTATTTCTAATATGCAAATATGGCAGCCAATACCAGGCAAAGATAACCGAAACACTGACCCCATGACAAAAATGACAGTCATTGTAATAGATACAGGTACTTTCAATGATCAGACACACTGTAAAACAACCAGGCTTATTATTGTTTAATAAGTGCAGTCGTTTAAGAACAATGAAAACGGTGAAGAACCCTGAGGTGAGAGGAAAAAAAACAACTGGATGTATTAGGAGATGAGAATTGAGATCGAGGGGCGGGGATGTAGTGCCGCTCTGGTTTTCCTCAGTGACTCAGAGCCTCAAACCTGCCCCATAGGTGCCTCCTCAACCCTGGTCCCTCTCCTGCTCAAACACCCGCCATGGCTCCCTATCGCCCACAGGATACTGTCCCCACCTGCGCTCTGGGACAACCCGCCCTCAGCACGGGGCCACTGTGCTCAACCAGAGAGGCTGTCAGGGTCTTGGCTCAGAAATACTCCGCCTTCCCCTCGCCAGGCCCTGGATCCCTGCAGTTCTCCGACGCCCCCTGCTGGCTGTCTGTGGGACTCAGGCACAGATTGATTCCCCGGAATCTGCAAAGGTGCCTGAGGAGGGCGCGGGTGGCTCTGAGACCTGACAGTGGTGGGTCACTGCAGATCCGCGCTCAGGGGCTCCACCCGTAGCCAAAGTCCATCCTCCGCGCGCACGATCAGCTCCAGCTTCCTGCGGGGCTCCGCGTGGTCCGGCAGGACGCGGAAGCGCAGCAGCGTGAGCGCCAGGACCACCTTCATCTCAGCCATGGCGAACGTCTGGCCGATGCAGTTCCCGGGGGAGGGGGTGGGGACTCTGACTGTGCCCAGGACCCCCATCCCGGCCCCATCGCGCCGGGAACCTCGTCTGGGACTCCCAACCCCACCCAGATCCGATTGAGGGGCAGAGAGAGGGACTCTGTGCCTGGGACCCCCATGTGGGCTTGCATATCCTCCGAGCCTGGCTTAGACTCCAGCCCCCAGACCAGCAGACGTAGGAGTGGGGAAGTCTGAGAACACACACCCCCTTTTCCTGGGATCTTATTAAAACCCTCGACTCCCTGAAACACGTGGCCCCACAAGTCAGACCTTGCCTCCACCTGTGGCACCCTCACCCGATGCCCGCCTCAGAAGCCCCTTAGCCTCACCTGGGCACTGCTGAGAAGGGAATAAAAGCCAGAGGTGATGTCTTCTGGAGATTTTCTGGGTCGAAGCGAAAGGGGTCATAGACCTGGTGGGTGGGCAAGTTAGGGCTGTTGGGTGGGGGTCTCTCAGGACACCCAGCCACCCGCATATAAGACAGATGTGAAGCCGGGCACGGTGACTCATGCCTGTAATCCCAGCACTTTGGGAGGCTGAGGGGCGAAACTCCTGAGGTTGGGAGTTCGAGATCAACCTGACCAACATGGAGAAACCCCGTCTCTGCTAAAAATACAAAATTAGCCGGGCGTGGTGGCACATGCCTGTAATCCCAGCTACTAGGGAGGCTGAGGCAGGAGAATCACTTGAACCCGGGAGGCAGAGGTTGCAGTGAGCCGAGATCGCTCCATTGCACTCCAGCCTGGGCAACAAGAGCAAAACTTCGTCTCAAAAAACAAAACAAAAAAAAAGTACACATGTGGGTGGAGTAGAGAGGGAGTATCTGCTTCCCTGGGAAAAGACCCCTCCCCTGACCAGGCCCCGGGATGGAGAAGGCGGAAGGGGTAGCACCTCCGGGTCCGGCCAGACTGAAGGGTTGTGATGGATCCCAAAGATGCTGATGGTGCAAGTGTTCCCTGTCGGGGAGGAGGTGCAGTCAGGACAAGGACTCCACTACACGATGGGACCTCCACCCTGCCCAAAGCCCTCCCCGCCTGCCCAACTGTGGGCACCTTTGGGGATGACCCGGCCATCCGGGAGCACCCCGTCCTGGGGGCAGCAGCGGTGGATCCTGGAGACTGGGGAATGCAGCCGCAGGCTCTCCTTCAGGCACATGGTCAGGAAGGGCAACTGGGCCAGGTCATCCCTAAGGTAACACCCAACAATTATCCAGGGGGCAAACACAGCCCTCCTGCAGTCCAGAGAGACCCTCGCACCAACTTGTAACCGCCCAGTGAATTCACCTTGCCTGCTGCCTAGAAAGAGCCGATTTATCAAGACAGGGGGTGTTTTCAGGAAAGGGCTATTATCAATTTGGTTTCAGACTCAAACCAAGAACTGAATTCCTTCCCAAAGTTAGTTCAGCCTATGCCCAGGAATGAACAAAGACAGCTTGAAGGTTACAAGCAAGATGGAGTCGATTAGGTCTGTTCTCTTTCACTGTCATGATGTCCTCAGTTATAATTTTTGCAAAGGCAATTCCAACCTCCCTCTGACCCTAAATCCAATAACAAAATGAATTCCAGAAGAATCAAGGATTTAAGCATGAGAAAACCAAAGTCGCAAAAGTATTAGAAAACTTGATATGGTATTTTTAGAAGCATTTCTAAGCAAAACACAACATATAGAGGGTCTCCTTAAAAGTGTTAACCTATTTGCATTAAAAAATGTTTTAAAATATATAATGAGGCCAGGTGCTGTGGCTTATGCCTGTAATTCTAGCACTTTGGAAAGCTGAGGCGGGTTGATTACTTGAGGTCAAGAGTTCAAGACCACCCTGGCCAACATAGCAAAACTCCGTCTCTATTAACAATACAAAAATTAACCGGGTATGGTGGCATGCACCTGTAATCCCAGCTACTCAAGAGGCTGAGGCACAAGAATCACTTGAATCTGGGAGGTGGAGTTTGCAGTGAGCGGAGATCATGCCACTGCACTCCAGCCTGGGTGACAGAGCAAGACCCTGTCTCAAATTAATAATAGAATATACTAACAAAGACGAGGGGAAAATCTCTATAAAGATTACAAAATTGTTTCAATAAAATCCCCTCAACACTCTAGAATGAGATGACTTAATATTATAAAGGTCTCATTTCTTTCTAAATTAATCAACATATTCAAAGCAATTCAATAAAAAATCTAGCATTTTATTTTGTAGGAACTTAACCATCTTATTCTAATTGGAAGAATTAAAGTTCATCAAAAGCTAGGTCAATTTAAGAATAAAAGATCCACCAGGCCTGGTGGTGCATGTCTGTGGTCCCAGCTACTCAGGAGGCTGAGGTGTGAGGATCCCTTGCGCCCAGGAGTTCAAGGCTGCAGTGAGCTATGATCATGCCAATGCACTCCAGCCTGGGCTATAAAGTGAGATCCCATCTCTTAAAAAAAAAGTTAAGATAAAATTAAAATAAAAGATTGAAGAAGATAAATCCAATTTACCAGATATTATGATCTATTACAAAGGTATAGCATAAAAATGAAATAAAATATTTTCTAAAAGATAAAGTGGCCAGGGGTGGTGGCTCAAGCTTGTAATCCCAGCACTTTGGGAGGCCGCCACGGGAGAGCCATGAGGTCAGGAGTTAAGATCAGCCTGGCCAACATAGTGAAACCCCGTCCCTACTAAAAATACAAAAACATAGCTGGGTGTGGTGGCAGGCGCCTGTAATCCTAGCTACTCCGGAGGCTGAGGCAGGAGAATCACTTGAATCCGGAAGGCAGAGGTTGCAGAGAGCCGAGATCACGCCACTGCTCACCAGCCCAGCTGAGACTCCGTCAAAAAAAAAAAAAAAAAGGTGATAAATGCGCTGGGCAAGGTGGCTCACATCTGTAATCCGAACACAGTGGAAGGCCAAAGCAGGCAGACTGCTTGAGCCCAGGAGTTCACAACGAGCCTGGGCAACATAGTGAGACCTTGTCTCTACTAAAAATACAAAAAATTAGCCGGGTGTGGTGGCATGTGCCTTTACTCCTGGCTACTCGGGAGGCTGAGGTGGGAGGACCCCTTGATCTTGGGAGGTGGAGGTTGCAGTGAGCCATGATCACACCACTGCACTCCAGCTTGGGAACACAGCAAAACCAAGAAAGAAAGCAAGAAAGCAAGAGAGAGAGAGAGAGAGGAAGGAAGGAAGGAAGGAAGGAAGGAGAAAGAGAGAAGGAGGGAGGGAAGAAAGAGAGAAGGAGGGAGGGAAGAAAGAGAGAAGGAGGGAGGGAAGAAAGAGAGAAGGAGGGAGGGAAGAAAGAGAGAAGGAGGGAGGGAAGAAAGAGAGAAGGAGGGAGGGAAGAAAGAGAGAAGGAGGGAGGGAAGAAAGAGAGAAGGAGGGAGGGAAGAAAGAGAGAAGGAGGGAGGGAAGAAAGAGAGAAGGAGGGAGGGAAGAAAGAGAGAAGGAGGGAGGGAAGAAAGAGAGAAGGAGGGAGGGAAGAAAGAAAGAAAGAAGGAAAGAAAGAAAGAAGGAAGGAAAGAAAGAAAGATGGAGGGAAGGAGGGAAAAGGAAAGAAAGGAAAAGAAAAGAAACGAAAAGAAAAGACTGGTACTGCTACAAGAACAGGAAAACGGACCAGAGGAAGAGAGAAGAGAGCTTGCAGTCAGGCACAGGAATAGGTGAAAATTTAACAACTTCTGGTAAAGAGGGGCCCACACACCCCTGGGCAATTGATAGATGATTTGGAGGAAGATGTTCAAACAATTGGAAATTTGGGAACAAAAAAACCAGATCCTTGTCTACTTCATATACAGGATGGAATCTCTTCCTATATGAGATGAATAAAGCTATAAAGTTAAGAGAAGATAACAGAAGAAACACTTTTGTGACTTAAGGGTGGGAATTCTTAAAACCTCGAAAGGACAAAGTAGAAGATCAAAAAGAAAAAGGATAAATATGCATGAAAATTAAGGAATTATGTGTAACACAGGATACCATGGACCAAATGAACATTCAGATGAGAGATTCAAAGGTTTCTACAATATCTAGAATACAAGGAATTCCTGCAAAATAACAAGAGAAAGAACAGGTGACCCAAGAGAAAAGTAGAAAAGAATATGATCTAAGAAATCATGGATGCCCTGAGGTCTATAAGAGATTTAACCCATTTATGCCTGAGGTTTCAATTTTTTGAATTTTGAAAATCAGACCTTGGCAATGACCTGGAGCAGTAGAATATGAATAACTCCCACATGCTTAGCATTCCAATAATGGAACACTAGGCATAAGTGGGACAATAAGAAGAGGTGCTCAGGTCAGGTGCAGTGGCTCACACCTGTAATTCCAGCACTTTGGGAGGCCGAGGCAGGCAGATCACCTGAGATCAGGAGATCGAGACCAGCCTGGCCAACATGGTGAAACCCTGTCTCTACTAAAAATACAAAAAAATTAGCCGGGCGTGGTGGTGGGCACCTGTAATCCCAACTACTCAGGAGGCTGAGGCAGGAGAATAGTTTGAACTCAGGAGGCAGAGGTTGCAGTGAGCCGAACTCAGGAGGCAGAGATTGCACCACTGCACTTCAGCCTGGGTGACAGAGCGAGGTTCCATCTCAAAAAAAAAAAAAAAAGAAAAGAAAAGAAAAAAAGAAAAACTTGTAAAAGCAAAGTAATAAAATAGGATCACCTTTATCAAATATGAAAGTGTTATTTAAAGTATAATGATGAAGACATCTTGATGCTTATGTATGACTATATAATTAACTGGGCCAGGCGTGGTGGCTCACGCCTGGAACCCCAGCATTTTGGGAAGCCGAGTTGGGCGGATCACTTGAGATCAGAAATTTGAGACCAGCCTGGCCAACATGGTGAAACCCTGTCTCTACTAAAAATACAAAAATTAGCCGGGTGTGGTGATGTGCACCTCTAGTCCCAGTTAGTCGGGAGGCTGAGGCAGGAGAATCGCTTGAACCCAGGAGATGGAAGTTACAATGAGCTAAGATCACACCACTGCACTCCAGCCTGGGCGACAGAGCAAGATTCTGTCTCAAAAAAAAAAAATAAAATAAATAAATAAATAAATAAATAAATAAAATTAAGTGGAACAGAATAAAGCCCAAGAAACAGACCCAAATATATAAATAAATTTCACTTATTGTGAATCTGCTGTTATTTAAAATCGTAAGACAAATACAAAATATTCATTAAATTCTGTTGGGGCAACTAGCCATTTGGAGGAAAATGAATACATTCCTACAACAATTCTTATACTATCATAGACTTCATAGAGAAAAAAGTAATAAATATTTTTAAACTAAAATAATAAATAAAATATTTTAAAAACAAATAAACCCATCAGAGGAAAACAAACATGAGTTTTACATTTTAATTTTAGAGCATGAAAGAATGTCCCATGCATGATTTAAAAAAACAAAAACATGGCCAGGCGCAGTGGCTCACGCCTGTAATCCCAGCACTCTGGGAGGCCAAGGTAGGTGGATCACCTGAGGCCTGGCCAACATGGTGAAACCCCATCTCTACTAAAAATACAAAAATTAGCTGGGCATAGTGGTGGACACTTGTAATCCCAGCTACTTGAGAGGCTGAGGAGGAGAATCACTTGAACTCGGGAGGCGGAGGTTGCAGTGAGCTGAGATGGTGCCACTGCTGTCCAGCCTGGGTGACAGAGCAAGACTCTGTCTCAAAAAAAAAATAATAAAAATAATAAAAAAAACAAAAAACGGCACGTATAAAGGAAAGAATTTGACTGCAAATAAATTAATCAAGCCAAAATAAATGAATGAAAACCAACAATTAATTCAAAGACAATCTGAAAAAGAACTTTGCAAAACAGAAAAAAAGAACTAGTTTTCTTAATCTGTGAGCAGTGCTTATAAATCAATAAGAAAAAAACTACAAAACCCAAACTAGAAGGAACAAATTGTGCAAACACTTCACAGAATAAGAAATACCCATGGTCAGTAAGTGAAAACAATGCTCAACTTTACCCAGGCTTAAAGTGATGTTCATTGAAGTATTATGTTGCATCTATCAGATTGGCAAATGTTTTAAAGTTTCATAATAGACACTTTAGGGGAGAATGTGAGGAAGGCATTCTCAAAATGTGTGTGTAGGAGCTATTGAATTGTCAATCTCAAATGGTCTTCAGTTCACCAACTGCACTTCTCAGAATTGGTACTGCAAAGCTGCTCACAGATGTAAGCAATGGTCAGTGTACATGGGTGCCCACTACATCATGTTAGTTATAGCAAAAGCCTGGAAAGCACACAAATATCCATCAATGGAGAAATGTTTTGATGAATTACAGTACATCCTTATGAGAGAACACTATGCAGCTATCAAAAAGGAGGAAACAAAGAGAACTAGTTCTACAACACACTGGAGAGTTAATCAGTGCAGAGACTCTAAAAGGCAATTCGGCAATATCTATTAGAACTGAATAGGTTTGGCCAGGCGCTGTGGCTCACACCTGTAATCCCAGCACTTTGGTAGGCTGAGGTAGGCGAATCCCCTGAGGTCTGGAGTTCGAGACCAGCCTGGCCAACATGGTGAAACCCCGTCTCTATTAAAAATACAAAAATTAGCTGGGCATAGTGGCGGATGCCTGCAATCACAGGTCCTCAGGAAGCTGAGGCAGGAGAATCACCTGAACTCAGGAGGCAGAGGTTGCAGTGAGCAGAGATTATGCCACTGCACTCCAGCCTGGATGACACAGTGAGACTGTCTCAAAAAAAAAAAAAAAGAAAAGAAAAAAGAAAGAAGTAACAAAAAAGAAAAAATAATTGAATGAGTTTAATTGCAATAGATAGTAAAGGCAAAAATCCTGCAACATTTCCTTTGCTCCAGGCTGAGTACCAGGCCCTGTTTCTGAGCTCTGCACCAATTCCCACTAGGCAGTAATAGCACAATCACCAATAAGACCTTCTCCCTTTCCCACCTGAAGAGCTAAACCAATGAGAGGGACTCAGGAACAGGTCATGAGGACCTGCACACTCACCATTCAATCTCTTTAGGATCACCGTTCTTCAGGAGCTCTTGCACCTCCTGTCGGCAGTGCTCCTGGTATTCTGGGTACCTCGCGAGGTTGTACAGGACCCAGGAGAGACCACTGGCCGAGGTGTCATGGCCTGAGGGGCAGCCAGGTAAGCTTGGGTCTCTGGGCTGCTTCAGCACCCAAGGGTGGACAGCACCCATGTATTGAGGCCCTCAGAAGGAAGTGGGGAAGGAAGATGGGATGGGGTGATCCAGGGTCCACTCACCACATCCCTGGAATGGAGACACTCCTACCCCTAGTGACATCACACCCTGGGACCCTCACCCCCAGACATGAAGGTGTCAGCCTCCGCTCTTATGTTCTCATCTGACAACTTCTTTCCATTTTCATCCTGGAGACAAGACAAGACCTCTAAATTACACCAGCCATGAAGGCACCTGAGTCTAACCTAAAACAGTTCATGAAGATCCATATTCCAGGCAAGATTCCTCCCTTATCATCATTAGACCTGCCTAGCAGGACTCTTTCCCAGTCTCTTGCCTCCTGTTTGCTCCTTCTAGGAACTCTTCTACAGAGTCACCTCTAAAATATATCTTACTTGTCCCTCCTTTCCTCAAGCACCTTCCATGGCTCCCCAGTGCCCTCTGGATCAAGTCCAAGTTCATGGATCTGACATTTCACGTCAAAGTCCATTCTACTTCTGAAATTCAGATCCCAGAGTAGCCCACCTTGGCCAGCAAGAGCACGTCAATGAAGTCCAAAGTCTTGGACTTGGCCTTGGCCTGCAGGAAGTCATCGACACCCTGGCTAGTGAGGGTGCGACGCCGCTCCTGGATGACAGCATCTGTGAAGTTGTGCACTATGTCACAGGCCCTGCAGAAGCGTCGCCCATTGGGAGTGAGGAAGTACAAGAAGTCCGTGAGCAGGAAGATGTGCTGGTGCCGTTTCAGACTGAGGGCACTGAGCTCCAAGATGGCATCAATATATTCGCTGGGCTTCCCGCAGGGTCAGGCCAGGAAGAGGAAGCAGCTTCTAAACACACATGAAAGCCTGGGAGCACCTTCTAGCCAGAATCCCAGGACCACGTTCGGTGCAGAAAAGGGTGCCCTGCAAGCACACTTCACTCTCTGCCTCCCACTCTCTGTGAGCTGCCTCCTGCCCCAGATGCCCCAGGGCACAGCTTGGCCATCATGGGCATCTTACACAACATCTGCTCCTGCCTATTTCTCCTTGGTTTCTCTCAAATCTGCCCCTTTTTCTCCACCAAGCTCAGGCCTCTTCCTCTCCATGGTCTCCTTGCTTCCTCTGTCTACATAACAGTCAATCTTCCACAGAGTCAAACGTCCAAGCTCAGCACTGACCATGACCCTCATCTTCTCAAATACCTCCCATGATTCCCTGGGAGCCTTGGATGAAGTTCATACCCCTTTGCATGGCTTTTCAATGTCATTAAGTTGTAGCTACTGCTGACCCCTCCA
Source organism: Homo sapiens (assembly GCF_000001405.40). NCBI lineage: Eukaryota > Metazoa > Chordata > Mammalia > Primates > Hominidae > Homo > Homo sapiens. The sequence goes on along the minus strand of NC_000019.10, from coordinate 15,576,085 downwards.
ATCTCATTTCCAAGGTGTCCCCTTGATGGCCATTGCACGTGCTCTGCTCATCCTAGCCTCCTTGCCATTACCCAAACACTTCTACCTACCTGGAGAACTGATCTTTCTCTCTCCCCTTCCCTGTACTTCCATGCTCAATTCTGACTCATTTTCTCCAAGAAGACACTTCAGATGCCCTGATCAGTCCTCTCTCCATAACCTACTCCTGTGGGTCCATGGCCAAGATCCCAGGTCCTGGGGAAGAACTCACTCCTGACAATTGCTGTCAAAGCTGAAGATGCATTTCTGCAGACTGTCCAAGGTCATGAGGCTGATGTGCTCAAACATTTCCAGACGGACACTGCCCTCCAAGGCCAGGCGTTGCCATTTGGCCTGGCCAGAGAAGGGGACAGAGCAGGAACTGAGCCCTGGCTCCCCTGAGTCCCTTCCCGTCCCCAACCTCCAGGATGGACTCCCCCAGAACCAACTCCTAGTCGTCTTTCCCGGGTACCCATCCCCAAGGAGGACCAAGCTTGTGAGGGACAGAAGCTGTTACTATTAGGACATGAAGGCCCAAGGCTGGGGTTCGGGTGACCTGGGTTCAAGTTCCAGCTCTGCTTCTGTGCCCTATGTACCCTTGGTCAGCCCACTGCCCTCTTTAGGTCCCCCCTGTCAAATCTTCAGTAATAGTTAAGATGATCTGCTTTGGGTCAGGCACAGTGGCTCACACGTGTAATCCCAACACTTTGGAAGGTGAGATGGGCAGATCATGAGTTCAGGAGATTGAGACCATCTGGGCCAACATGGTGAAATCCGTCTCTACCAAAAAATACAAAAAATGGCTGGATGTGATGGCAGGTGCCTGTAATTCCAGCTACTCAGGAGGCTGAGGCAGGAGAATCGCTTGAACCCAGGAAGCGGAGGTTGCAGTGAGCTGAGATCATGCCACTGCACTCCAGCCTGGTGACAGAGTGAGACTCCATCTCAAAAAAAAAAAAAACAAAAAAAAAAGCAAAACAAGATGATCTGCTTTGGTGCCAGATAACCAGGTTAGAACCCCTTCTCCACCACTTTTAGCTCACTTTCTAACTGTGTAAACTTAGGCAAGCTCCCTAATCTCTCTGACCCACAATTTCTTCATCCATAATGTGGCAATTATGATCATCTCTACCTCAAAGGATTGTGAATATTAAATTAGACAACATAGATCATGGAATTGGCATATAGTTTCTGGTATACACTAAGTGCTCAATAAATGTTAGCTATCATTATCATCCTCATCATTAGCACAGAGGCAAGTGATTGCAGAAATGTCCCCAACTTTTTGCCCCTCACCCTTGGCGATGAGACTTGGCACCTCCTTCCATTTGCAGGCAGAGCCTGAGTCTCCATCTCCTGGATTTGAGCTGGTCTTGAAACTGGCTTTCACCAGGAGAATGTGGTAAAAATGCTAGTGTGCTAGTTCTGAACTAAGCATCAGGAGGTACTAAAATGTTTCTGCTCACTCTCTTGAAACTCAGGCTCCATGGTGGTAGTGAACCCAGGCTAGCCTCCTGGAAAATAAGGGACAAATGGAAGTGTCTGGTTGGCCCACCAGGGCCAGTGAGTTTTAAAGTGGTTTGCTATGCAGAAAAAGCTATATGCAATTTTTTTTTTTTTTTGGACTTGTAGTCTCACTGTCGCCCAGGCAGGAGTGCAGTGGCACAATCTCAGTTCACTGCAACCTTTGCCTCCTGGATTCAAGCAATTCTCCTGCCTCAGCCTCCCAAGTAGCTGGGATTACAGGCATGCGCCACCATACCAGCTAATTATTTTTTTGTATTGTTAGTAGAGATGGGGTTTCACCACGTTGGCCAGGCTGGCCTCAATCTCCTGGCCTCAAGTGATCCACCTCGGCCTCAAAAGTGCTGGGATTACAGGAGTGAGCCACTGCGCCCTGCCATTATCCAAATTTCATCATAACTGTCTTTATTAGTTTGCAAGGTTTCTGTGAGGGAGACTAGTAATTAATGCCTTCTGAACACCTACTATGTGCCAAGAACATGACTTCGGTACAAGATCTTGACCACCCTTTAAGTAGAAATTATTATCCACATTTTACAGATGAAGAAACCAAGGCCTAGGGAGGAAGAGCTATGGCACCAAAGCCACCCAGCAGAGCCAGCATTTCAGACCAGATCTGTCTGAGGTCACTTCTCCTTTTCCAAGGGCCCAGCTGGGATCCGAGTTTGTGGCACTCACGTGCATGATGTTCGTGCTCTCATTGAAAATCTTCACATAGGGCTTCAGGATTTTGAAGTGGAAGGCAGGTGTGAGCAGGTGGCGGTGCCATCTCCACTTGTCACCGGCACTAATCAGGAGCCCATCCCCTAGTAGAGGCAGCCAAGGGCCATGGGCAAGGACAGCACCTTCCCCTGGCCCCAGAAGGTTGTCCCCATCCCCATTCATCTAGTTACTCACCCAGCCAGGGCTTCAGGAAGCCATAGAAACTCATATCCTTGAGTGCAACAGCAGCTGACATGAATAAGGACCATCAGGGGTTATGGAGAGGGGCAGGGGAGGGACTTTGAGTGTAGGGGGAGGCTCCCAGCCAGGGATTTGCACTTCCACCCTCCAGGCCCAGCATAGCAGGAAGAGGGTCAAGGGCAAAGGAAGGAGGGAGGACAGGGGAGGAGACTGGGGACCAGACCAGGCTGCAGCGGTGCAGTAGAACAATGACACAGCCCAACATGGCACAGCACACCCCAGTACGCCTTGACATGGCTCCTACATGGTCCAACATGTTCTGCAACACCTGAGCATAGCTCAACGCTCTACAAAATGCCTTTACAAGGACCTAGGACACCCTAGCCGGGCACGGTGGATCACGCCTGTAATTCTAGCACTTTGGGAGGCTGAGGTGGGCGGATTGCCTGAGCTCAGCAGTTCAAAACCAGCCTGGGCAACATGGTGAAACCCCGTCTCTACTAAAAAATACAAAAACATTAGCTGGGTGTGGCGGCGGGCGCCTGTAGTCCCAACTACTCGGGAGGCGAATTGCTTGAACCAGGGAGGCGGAGGTTGCAGTGAGCCAAGATCGTTCTACTGCACCCCAGCCAGGATGACAGAGTGAGACGCTGTCTCCAAAAAAAAAAAAAAAAAAGGACCTAGGACACCCTGTCTGCCCAGTACTCTCTGACATCTTCTGACATGGACCTGAGATATGTGGCATAGCCTGAGATGCGTTAACATGTTCTGACATTGACACAATATACATGACCTGTCCTGATGTGGCATGCTCAGACATGGACCTGAGAGAGTCTAAAATGACTTCCACATGCCCTATAGATGGGCCCCAGATAGGATTTAAATCTGGTCCTATTAGCATCCCACATGTAACCTAGGCTTGATTTAGGCTTCCTCAGTATCCTGCCACACTCCACAATAAGCATTAATGAGTGAGACCCTGTCTCAAAAAAATTACAAAAAGAACTAAGAGGGAGGCCTCGATATGCTGTGTGACCTTGAGAAGTCATTGCACCTCTCTGCACCTCAGTTTTCTGACTCAGGAAATGCCTATCTCACAGGGATGCTGGTGAATGGATGTCTGGTGAATGGTGGTATCTGCCCGTCCAGCATCCATCCTCCTCATGCCTTCCCCACTCTCAATCCAAGTAGTTGAGTGGGTTCTCATCCCCTGCTCCAGAGCTAAGCATATGACCTTAAACCTATGCAATCAAGCTGCAGTGACTGGATAAGAAATTGGTCCTGTGACCCAGGCCAGGCAAATTTAGGGGAATCCTGGAAATTTTCCTGGAACTACAGGGAATTTTCCATGGGGGTTGAGCTTCTGGGATTTATCTTTAGCAGCATGAGAGTGAAACCATCACAGAGGGATACAAAGCTAAGAGATGAAGACTGGCATTATGATGGCCTGGATCCAGCCATGCCTGAAGACCACCCTTCCTGGACTTCACTTTTACTTCCTGACTTTTACTTTACAGTCAATGCATTCTGTTTCTTTGCTTAGACCACACAGGGTTGAGTTTTCTTCATTCAGAACTAAAAGAGGCCTCAGGAGCCAGAGAGCACCAGGGACCTGCCCAGAGTCACCCAGCAGGTTAGTGGCAGAGCCATGGTCTCTATTGGATATGTCCATTTTTCTGCTCAGCATGGCCTGTCCAAAGGTTGGGAAGGCAGGGAGCAGAGGCAGGGAAGATGCTGCAGCATAGCCTCCTGAGAAAGATACCTGAAGCCTGGAGCACAGGGGCAGTGAACGTAGGGTGGACGAGATGCAGGACAGGGTAGAAAGACCCAAGCCACCAGAGTTGGACATCACGGAAGTAGTGGCCCAGATCCTCCATCAGCCTCATGTCCTCCTCATTGCCCCGCATCTGGGGATAGACAAGGCTGACACCAGGCTGGCAGGGGGCCTCAGATGCTACCACTGCCCATTGCACCCCCCTACCCACCACACACCCCCAAACTTCTCAGCCCTTTCACCTGAAATATTGGTCTCTGCCTGTCTCTTTCTGTGTCTGTGTCTATGTGCTTCTCTGTTCCCTCACTCTCTTCCTCTCTCTGTGTCTTTCTCTAGATAGATATGTAGATGATGGATGGATGGATGGATAGATAGATAGATAGATAGATAGATAGACAGACAGATAGATAATAAGATAGATGGTTGGATGGACCCGTAGATAGGATGGGTGGATGCATGGATGGATTGGTAGGTAGGTGGGGAGGGAGGGAGGGAGATGATAGATAGATAGATTAGATAGATAGATAGATAGATAGATAGATAGATAGATAGATAGATAGATTAAATGGACAGATGGACACACAGATAGGATGGATGGATGGATCGCTGGATGGATGGATGGATAAATGGGTAGGTAGGTTGGTCAGTCGGTAGATATACAAGCAGATAGATAGAAGATAGATAGATAGGCCAGGTGCGGTGGTTCATGCCTGTATTCCCAGCACTTTGGGAGGCTGAGGTGGGTGGATCACGAGGTCATGAGTTCAAGACCAGCCTGACCAATATGGTGAAACCCCCCTGTCTCTACTAAAAATACAAAAATTAGCCGGGTCTGGTGGCGCATGCCTGTAGTCCCAGCTTCTCGGGAGGCTGAGGCAGGAGAATCACTTGAACTCAGGACGTGGAGGTTGCAGTGAGCCAAGATCACGCCACTGCACTCCAGCCTGGGTGACACAGCGAGACCCCATCTTGAAAAAAAAAAAGTAGATAGATAGATAGATAGATAGATAGATAGATAGATAGGATACATGGATGGATGCACAGATAGGAGGGATGGACGGATATGTAGGTAGGTAGGTAGGAGGTAGGTATATAAGTAGGTAGGTAGGTAGATAACAGGATAGATGGATGGATTGATGTATGGATGCACAGATAAGATGGATGGATGGATAGATGATAGATTAGATAGATAGATAGATAGATAGCTAGATAGATAGATAGATAGATAGATAGGATAGATAGAAGGATGAATGGATGCACAGGCAGGATGGATGGATGGATAGGTAGGTAGGTAGGTAGATAATACGATAGACAGATAGATGAGAGAAAGAGAAAGGTAGGTGACAGATCGATAGATGATAAATAGGATAGATGGATAGAGAGATAAGAGAGACAGGTATAGATGAGAGAGATGTATGAGTGATGGCTACATAGATGACAGATATGATCAATGACAGATTTAGATATGTGTGTCTATGTGTTTCTTTTACTTTCTGTTTATGTGTCACTTTCTCTGTGTCTTTCTCTCCCTCTCCCCTCTCTCTCCCTCACTCTGTCTCTCACTGTCTCTCTCTTTCTCTGTGTGAGCATCTTTTTCCCTATCACTGTCTCTCCCAAGTCCAACTCTCCATCCCTCTCCCTGTCTCTCCCCACCAACACTTGACCATTCACCCCACTTGCTGTTTATCCCAAATTCATAATGAATCTCAGTCCATTGAACTTTCTCTCCTGTCCCCTAGTCCCAGCACAGCCTCCTGCCCCTAGCTCTAGACAGGTACCCCCAGCTTTGCAGCAAGTTAGCAGGGGGAAGATGTAGACACAGCCCCTTCTCCCAAGCCTGGCTGCACCACCCCCAGACCAGGCTCCACATCCCACCCCAAGGATAGCCCTGAATTTGAGTTCATGGGAGAATGTTCTGTCTCATACTCCCATCACTCCCACAACTGTGCCCAGGCTGGAGCCAGCTGGGAAAGACTGAAGGAGATGCCCAGAAGAGATCCAGAAGGAAGTGGAAGAAAATGGGTAGAAGCCAGTCAGAGAACAAGAGCAGAGGTAGCAGGTCAGTGGGAGAGGAATGACTGGAGAATCATAAGGCCCTGTCTTAGTGTGGGCTCTCTAGAAGCAAAACCTGAATTGCAGATACTTCTGCAAGGGTTGCTATAGAAAGGAGCTTGATAAAAAGGGAGAGAAACCAGGTGGGGCAACGGAAGGAGCCAGTCAGCTGATATTGCCCCTCTCCTGTTCACACACCCTCCAGGGCTCCCCATTGTCCTCAGAATCAATCTCCTCCCCTCCCTCTTTCTTCTGCCTCTCATCCTAATTGTTCTGGTGGCACCAAGCTCTTTCTTGCTGCTCAAAAGCCAGGTGCTTGCTCTCACCTCCAAGTCTTCGAGTTGGCCCAACCTCCACATGAAATTATCTTTCTCTTTCTCTTCTTTGCTTAAAAAAATTCCTACTCATCATTCCAGACCCACTTCCACAAACCCCTCCTCCAGGAAGCCTGCCTGCCTGCCCCATTGGCAAAAACCCTGATTCCCCTCAGGGGTCCTACAGTCCATCTCTCCTTCAAGCCAGCCCTGACCACACAGGATGTGGAGTGTCTCAGTCTAGTTCTGTGGCCCCAAGATTGGGGGTGCCTCCAAGGTAGAACCTCAACTGAGTCTCTCCAAGGATCCCTAGGATGGAGATTGGCAAATAAATGAAAGAAATAAAAGATGACCAAGGGCGTCCAGAGCCACGGGGACCTTGGGTCCTACAGGATCAACACATAAGCTGGGCAAGAAGGGGCTCACAGGCTTTGGACACTGCCATAGCACCCACTTCCAGGTGTTCTGAGTGAGCACCTGTGGTGCTGATGACAGATCGTATGATGTTGGGTGGCACAAACCAATAAAGAGGAAAATGAGACCCAGCCACTTTTTTTTTTTTTTTGAGATGGAATTTCACTCTTGTTGCCTAGGCTGGAGTGCAATGGGGCCATCTTGGCTCACTGCAACCTCCGCCTCCCAATAAGTGGCTCAGTCTATCAAAAAAGTCTGTCCAGGTCTCATCTTTTTTTTTTTTTTTTTTCTGAGACAGAGTTTTCCTCTTGTCACTCAGGCTACAGTGCAATGGATAGATCTCAGCTCACTGCAACTTCTGCCTCCCAGGTTCAAGAGATACTGCTGCCTCAGCCTCCAGAGTAGCTGAGATTATAGGCGCCCATCAGCACACCCGACTAATCTTTGTATTTTTAGTAGAGATGGGGTTTCACCACGTTGGTCAGGCTGGTTTCGAACTCCTGACCTCAGGTGATCCACCTGCCTCGGCCTCCCAAAGTGCTGGGATTACAGGCATGAGCCACTGCACCAGCCATCTCATCTCTTTACTTCATTGCAAATAACAAACTTTAAAACCTGAGCTCTCATTCTATAAGATCTGTGTCATGTTTTCATGTAGCTTGATGTTTTAATTATTCTTCAATCAGTCTTCACAAGCATAATGATTAATGTTTTCATACAGTTCCTTCAACAAATAGTTATTCAAGATAGACTGTGTGCATTCTACATTCAGGTGATAGAGCAGGGGATAGGACAGGTGAAGTCACTTTTGCTCTCAGGGAACTTGCAGTGGTCCATATGGCTTTACCATAATTAATTCACTAGTTTTGAAAACATGTTTACTATTTATTACTAGCATAACAAATGCAATGGAAGTCTCATGTAATTATGTTACATATACCTGATTATCAACTGAATATAGTGTCCTCAAAATAAGTCATTGGTATAGTTTGAAGTTTTTGATATATACTGCAAAATTACTTTGAAGAAGAATTTTATAAATATCCACATGCATATCTGCTCCGTATGAAGGTGGACAGCATTACACACTGAAGGCCTTATATGTTTTTAAAAAGCCTTTATCAATGTAATAGTCAAGAAGTAACATCTTGGCCGGGTGTGGTGGCTCACACCTCTAATCCCAGCACTTTGGGAGGCTGAGGCAGGCGGATCACCTGAGGTCAGGAGTTTGAGACCAGCCTGGCTAACATGGTGAAACCCTGTCTCTACTAAAAATACAAAAAAAAAAAAAAAAAAAAATTAGCTGGGTATGGTGGTGCACGCCTGTAATCCCAGCTACTCCAGAGGCTGAGGCAGGAGAATCACTTAAACCCAGGAGGCAGAGGTTGCAGTGAGCCGAGATCATGCCACTGCACTCCAGTCTTGGTGACAGAGCAAGACTCTGTCTCCGAAAAAAACCATATATATACATACAAAAATTAGCCGGGCATGGTGGTACATGCCTGTAGTCCCAGCTACTAGGGAGGCTGAGGCAGGAGGATCATTTGAACCCAGGAGATGGAGGTTGCAGTGAGCCGAGATCATGCCACTGCACTCCAGCCTGGACGGCACAATGAAACCCTGTCTCAAAAAAATAAAAAAATAAAATAAAAGGTCACATCTGAAATTGTCTTTATTGATTATGAGATTGCATCGATTTTCTTAAATTTGTCGATAATCTCTGTCTCTATTTATTCAAACTGTGTAGGCAAAACTTTTGCCTGTTAGCCAATTGATAGTATCTCTAATGGATTTGTAGTGTAATTTGTGTGCTTTTGTCTGTAATTTTTATAAATGGTTTCCTTTTTTAGACAGAAAAAGAAAGAAAGAAAGAGAAAGAAGGAAGGAAGGGAGAAAGAAAGAGATAGAGAGAAAGAAAAGAAAGAAGAAAGAAAAAGAAAGAAAGAGAAAGAAAGAAAAGAAGAAAGGAAAGAAAGAAAGGAAGAAAGAAAGAGGAAGGAAGGAAGGAAGGAAGGAAGGAAGGAAGGAAAAAGCCTGTCCGGGACTGAGGAGAGAGTGGAGGAAAGGATTGGGCACGGCAACAGGGAGACCAGGGAGGCGCCCGTGGGAGGCATCCAGGAGAGAGGTGGCAAGGGATGGAGCCAGGGGAGGCAGGAGGACTCAGAGAAGGAATTGACGGAGGAGAGACTGTGCCAGGCAGCACCAGCAGACGTGCTGAGGGACAGGATGTGCAGATGAGAGAAAGAGAACATCAGGAGACCCCAAAGCGTGGGGTCTGGGAAACTGAAGGACTAGACCAAAATGGGGGACAGTGTAGGGAGGGGGGCCATGAGTTCAGATTCAAACCGATCGGAATGGAAGTGTTTCTGAGACCACCCCCACCCCGAGAGGAGAGAAGCAATGACCTCCAGCTCAGGAGATGTAAACTCAGAGCTCACTTCTAGAGGGAACCGATGGTCAATTTAGAAGCTGGAGCCCTGGGTAAGGAGGTGACCTCAGGAGAGAGGCAAGAGGGAGGAATGACTAGGACCATGGGGGATCTCCCCATAGTGAGGAGCCAACAGCAGAGACACGGGAGCACACGAAGGTCAGAGGAGACCAGGGAATGGCAACGTCCTGGAACCAAGAAAAAAGGAGGTACTGGGAATGACTGAGTAGTCACAAATTCAGAGAGCTGCTGGGAGGTAGATGAGTTGGGGCTGGGAGGTGTCCATGGGATTTGGGGGCTTGAGGGTCACGGTCACCTCAAGACAGCAGGATGGGGTGGAGAGCAGGTGAGGGGCGATCAGAGAAACAAAGGGAGTGAGTGAAGGCAACTCTGTCTTTGAGGGGACAGCAGAGCAAGCAGGCTGAAGGTCTGGGCGCAGAATGTGGTGCACAGGAGGTGGGTGGGAGGGAATTTACATATCACCCATCTGACCTGCTTTGTGACCTTCTCTAATATTGTTGTAGAGAAGAAATAAAGAGAACACGGGTGGCCAGACACCATGGCTCATGCCTGTAATCCCAGCACTTTAGGAGGCTGAGGCAGGTGGATTGCTTGAGCCCAGGAGTTCAAGACCAGCCTGGGCAACATAGTGAGACCCTGTCTCTATAAAAAATGAAAAATAAAGACAGAACATGGGCGATTGAGCTCATCTAAGGCAAAGGTCTTCCAAATGGCCAGGAAAGAAAGTCCCATTGGCCAGAAACCAGCCCATGAGCAAATAATAGGAACTATGCCTAGGAAGGACTGGAAGAAGCTGCTAGACTGGGGTGTAGAGAGAACTGGAAGTCCCAACAGGGTGTAAGATGAGAAGCAGTGGGCCAGGTGCAGTGGCTCATGCCAGCACTTTGGGAGGTCAAGGTGGGCAGACCACTTGAGGTCAAGAGTTTGAGACCACCCTGGACAACATGATGAAACCTCATCTCTACTAAAAATATAAAAATTAGCCAGGCGTGATGGTGGGCGCCTATAATCCCAGCTACTTGGGAGGCTGAGGCAAGAGAATCACGTGAACCTGGGAGGCGGAGATTGCAGTGAGCTGAGATCACGCCACTGCACTCCAGCCTTGGTGTGCACGAGTGAGAACGAGACGACATCTCAAAAAAAAAAAAAAAAAAAAAAAAGGTTGAGAGATAGTGAACAGAAAAAGCTAGAAGGAGAGAAGGGATTGTGGTCAGAGAAGGCAACACTTGAATCAATGGCATTGGAGTGGCGCCTTTACAGATAATGACCAACCCAAGGTATGATTCTGGCAGTAGAGGGCCAACACAGCATGGAGAAAAGTCCTCTAGGGGGGAGGCTAGGATGAGGGAGATGAGGAATCTCCTCCCAGGGAATTTGGCTGTTAGGGCAGAGGCCAGAATGATCCCTTCTGAAAGGAAAAGTAGTCAACTGTTATCCAAACTGAGCAATGGGGCCCATTGACATATCTTAGGGGTGGAGGGAAATATAAGAAAAAAAGGTGCCTGATTAAAGACACGGAGGGAGAAACCAGCCACATCTTTCCTCTGGCCCAGCTGTGCCCTGTGGGTGCGGTAGGGAGAAATAGCAAATCTTATGGGGAGGCAGCAGCCCAGAGAGGAGTAGACACCAGCCTGAGGCCCACAGAGATGGGCCAGGCAGAGAGTGGACTCTGGACTCTCCCCGTGAGGAGACCTCAAGTCCAGTGATAAGGATTGTGGACTAAGCTAAGTGCAGTGGTTCATGCCTGTAATCCCAACACTTTGGGAGGCAGAGATGGGAGGATTGCTTGAGGCCAGGAGTTTGAGACCACTCTGGGCAACATAGTGAGACCCTGTCTCTACAAAAAAAAAAACTAGCAGGTCTGGTGGTGCACGCCTGTAGTCCCAGCTACTGGGGAGGCTGAGATGGGAGGATTGGTTGAGCCCAGGAGGTCAAGGCTGCGGTGAGCTATGATTGCACCACTGCACTCCAGCCTGGGTGATAGAGCGAGACCCTGTCTCAAAAAAAAAAAAAAAACATGGGCAGCCAGGGAGTACCTGCTCTGTGCAGTCCACCCTAGAAGCCCCCAGTAGAACAAGGATACAACGATGCATTAATGTGGGGAAGACAAGTAGGAACTTGAGCCAAAGCAGGCTTAGGGTGGGGAAGAGAGAGAAAGAAAAAGGCCTGGGGCCATGGAGTGGACAGAGAGGAGGAATGAATCCGGTTGGGGCAGTGAGGAAATAGGGGCTCCCCTCGGCCTCCCTCACTCCTCTGATGTCCCAGACCCCAACCCACCCTCAATATCCAGCTCCCTGAGCCCCATTCCCACCCCTCTAGAAGTCCACCCACCCTGAGACCCCAGACCCGTCGTGCTGCCATACTCACCAGGCTCAGGTGACCTCAAAAGCAGTTCCGTTTTGGAGGCTGCTGGAAACACTGGAGGCGGTGGCAGTTGTCATAGAAGGCGTACGTCCAGGCCAGGACACGGGCCAGGAGCCAGGAGGCCCCGACCAGCAGCAGGAGCAGCCATGGGGATGCTGCCACCGGCCCGAGGCCCAGCCAGGACAGGCTCAGCAGCGACATCCTGCAGGGCACACGGGATGGAGGGTGAGGTCCTGAGGCCCAGAAAAAGAGCCCGGGGAGCTTCGGGGACATTGGACAGGGGCAGGGATGGGAGGTGCTGGAGGCAGGGAGAGCTCAGAGATGAGAAAACAAGGGCTGAAAGCAGAGAGGGAAACCCAGGTACAGCCAGGAGAAGAGGCGGAGAGAGAAGAGAGTAAAGAAGAGAGAGGGAAGAGAGAAAGAGAGAGAGGAAGGCTGATTAGAGTCCTGAAAGGCCCAGCCTGAATCACTGCAGGTTGTCAGTGGCTTGGTTTCAGTTACCAGGAACCCATCAGCCCCACCAGGACCAGCTCCCTGGAGCCACCCCAGCCTTGGGCAGTGCCCCTCCCTCTCCCAGACCAGGACCCTCCAGCCCCGACAGTTCCAGCCTGGCACCTTCTGTCAGGAGCAGCTTGTCCCACACAACTTCCTCTTCCCTCCTCCTGGGGCTTCTTTGTCCCTGGCCCCTCACCTAGGCAAGGCTGGGCTGGGCTGGGCAGTCAGGGGCAGCCAATCCCCGTAGGCCATAGGCCTGGCTGCCTCCTCCCTGCCTGGGCAGCTGGCCAAAACCTGCAGGCAGTATCAGCTGGGTGCAGAGAGGAACCAAGTCAGTGTCACAGTTCAGAGTGGAAACTGGATCTTCAGCCTTCAGTATCTCCTGCTTGAACCTGGGGCCAAGGTGACTCTGGGACCCCAAGTTTACAGCTGCCCCTGCCCTTCCAAGGCCACGTAAATCATGAGGTTGGGAATTCAGGCGTCAGGCAAGGAGAACCAGGCAGGCCAAGCCTTGCACCCAAACATCTCCCACAAGTGGGCTGGGAGGACACCATGCACCATTTCTCGGTGCAGAATTAGGAGACTTGGAGAAGGGAGTCTCTGGCCTCTGACTGCACAACCTGGCAGAAATTCAAGTCCTGCCTCCAGCCAGCCCAGGGCTGAGGTGACACATGATGGCCAGGAGCAGGAACAAAGAACAAAGAATCCAGCCCCGCTGAGGATTACCCAGGTCAGATTCTGGGGATTAAGAGGAGAACTGGAAGAGTAAACCAGGCAGCTGTGGTCGGTTTTGTTTGTTTTAATTAATGCAAAACAGATTTATCTGCATGCACAGCAGTGAGGATTAGGAAACTAGATAGAAAGGAAAGAAGCCTTCAGCAGCAAGTGAAACTCATCAAGACTCTTTTTTTTTCTTTTCTTTTCTTTTCTTTTCTTTTTGGAGGCGGATTCTCGCTCTGTCACCCAGGCTGGAGTGCAGTGGCGTGATCTCGGCTCACTGCAAGCTCCGCCTCCCAGGTTCATGCCATTCTCCTGCCTCAGCCTCCCAAGTAGCTGGAACTACAGGTGCCCACCACCACGCCTGGCTAATTTTTTTGTATTTTTAGTAGAGACGGATTTCACCCTGTTAGCCAGGATGGTCTTGAACTCCTGACCTCAGGCGATCCACCCGCCTCAGCCTCCCAAAGTTTTAGGATTACAGGCGTGAGCCACCGTGCCCAGCCAAGACCTTTAAGTAGCTGACTCTAGGATCTCTATAATGGGAAGACTTACTCAGTCTAGAAGGTGGGGTGGGAGGCACAGGGGGCAAGAGTGAGAGGGGCCATGAGCGGACAGGGTCAGGCATAGGAGGGCAGAGCCAAGGGACTCTGGGTGGAGTCCTCGTTGTGCCCCGTCCTTGCTCTGACTGTGAGCAGTGCTGGGTCTCCTGGGCTCAGTCTTCCTATCTGGGAAATGGGATGTTGGCCTTAAAGGGGCACATCTTGTCCAGATACTGTCCTGAAATCCCCTGTTGGGTGTTCTCAGCCCTCAGCCACTAAGATGAGGGTGAGTGGGGTTTTTTCATTTTTTTGATGTTTGTTTTATTTTGTTTTGTTTTTGAGACAGAGTGTCGCTCTGTTGCCCAGGCTGGAGTGAGGTGGCGTGAACTCAGCTCACTGCAAGCTCCGCCTCCAGGTTCAAGCTATTCTTCTGCCTCAGCCTCCCAGGTAGCTAGGATTACAGGTGCCCACCACCACACCCAACTAATTTTTGTATTTTTAGTAGAGACGGGGTTTCGCCATTTTGGTCAGCTGGTCTTGAACTCCTGACCTCAGGCAATCCACTCGCCTCGGCCTCCCATAGTGCTGGGATTACAGGCGTGAGTCACCACGCCTGGCCAAGACTCTTAAGTAGCTGACTCTGGGATCACTATAATGGGAAGATTTATTCAGTGTAGAAGGTGGGGTGGGAGGCATAGGGGGCAAGAGTGAGAGGGGCTGTGGGCGGACAGGGGGCAGGCGTGGGTGGGCAGAGCGGAGTGACTCTGAGTGGAGTCCTCATTCTGCCCCGTCCTTGCTCTGACTGTGGGCAGTGCTGGGTCTCCGGGACTGGGTCTTCCTATCTGGGAAATGGGATGTTGGCCTTAAAGGGGCACATCTTGTTCAGATACTGTCCTGAAATCCCCTATTGGGTGTTCTTAGCCCTCAGGCGCTAAGATGAGGGTGAGTGGGGTTTTCTGTTTTCTTGGTGTTTGGGTTTTTTTTCGTTTTTTGTTTGTTTGTTTTTGAGGTGGAGACTTGCTCTGTTGCCAAAGCTAGAGTGCAGTGGCGCGATCTCAGCTCATGGCAAGCTCCACCTCCAGGTTCAAGCTATTCTTCTGCCTCAGCCTCCCAAGTAGCTGGGATTACTGGCACCCGCCATAACGCCTGGCTAATTTTTGTATTTTTAGTAGAGACAGGGTTTCACCATGTTTACCAGGCTGGTCTTGAACTCCTGACCTCATGATCTGCCCGCCTCGGCCTCCCACAGTGCTGGGATTACAGGCGTGAGCCCTCAAGCCCAGCCCCAAGATGAGAGTAAGTTTGAAGGATGGAGCTGCTGAATGAGAAAATCAGGATAGGTGTTCCTCCTGTAATTGATCGAATGTTGGGGAGATGTCCAAAATTTCCTTCCCCCACTAAGAGCTAACTACATACCATGTAGCCCTGCCTGATCCAGCTTCAGGTCCTAGAGCACGTTGGAGGGCCCTGGAGCTGCCAGCAAGCTGAGATGTACAGATTCTCCTTCTTCTCTACTGGGGTGGCTCCACCTGGTCCACCCCACAGACGAGCCAGGGGCAAGGCCAGGGCCCCCTGGAGTAGGTGGGAGGCAACAGGGTAGGTGCCCAGCTAGGTCTGGGGAGAAGAGGGAGGGGGAAAATCAAAAACAGAGAGGTGCCGAAACTTGCTCCAGCCACACAATGAAGTAATTAAACATTAGCATGGGTGAAAATGAATCCTGGCACGTAGTAGGTGCTCATTAAATATTTAGGGAAGAAAGGGACTTTTCTAGCCATGAGCTATAAGAAGTGGACACTCAAGATGTGATCCTTGGATCAGCAGCATCTTGGAAATGCAGAATCTCAGATTCTAACCCAGACCCCTTAAAGGTGATAGCCACAAAGTCTTTGTCACTGTCTTCAGCAAGAGGGAGAGCTTAATTTCTTTCCCCTTGAATCTGGACTGGCCTGGGATTGAGAACAGAAGTGGCATGTCACCACCTCCACCACACACTATTGGTTGCTTAACCTATAGTGCCTGGGTGACAGTGAGACCTCATCTCTGCAAAAAAAATACAAAAATACAAAAAAATTAGCCAGGTGTGGTGGCACATGCCTGTGGTCCCAGCTACTTGGGAGGCTGAGGTCCCAAGCTACTCAAGTTGCTTAACCAATAGTGCATGGTGATGGTGACATGCCACTTCTCTTATGGGAAATTAACAGAATGAGACAAGCTAGACAGCGACTGAGGGGGCTGTTCTGGACTCAGTGATCAGGCAGGAATGTCCCAAGAGGAGACCTTTGAGCAGGAACCTGAATGACATAAAGGAGGGGGCTCTGCATAAGGGCCACTGTATAAAGACCCAGCACCAGGTGGGACACACATGTTCATTCTCACTTCCATCCTCAAATGCACTGAGATAATCAGAGCTAGAGGGGTGCCTGCAACCAAGAGATGCAGGAGAAGCAGGGTGCACTGGAGACCCATGTGGTGACCGATGAAATCTCACCCAACGCTCACACCAGAAGCCAGTGTTGAAGTTTCATTTAACACTCTCAAGAACTCAAAACCCAGCCAGGCACAGTGGCTCATGCTTGCAGTCCCAACACTTCGAGAGGCCAAGACAGGTGGATCGTTTCACCCCAGGAGTTCGAGACCAGCAACACAGCGAGACCCTATCTCTGAAAAAGTAAATTTAAAAAAAAAAAAAAATATATATATATATATATATACATATATAAATACAAAGAATTAGCCAGGTGTTGTGGCACATGCCTGTGGTCACAGCTACTTGGGAGGCTGGGGTGGGAGGATCGCTTGAACTCAGGAGGTTGAGGTTGCAATGAGCTAGGATTGCACCTCTGCATTCCAGCCTGGTGACAGAGTGAAACCCTATCTCAAAAAAATAAATAAATAAATAAAAATTAAAAAGATGATGAAGAAGAAGAATTGCAAACCCAACAAGCCCCTTAGTCCATATTGAGGGCAGGACCAGCAGGTATAGCTATAACTGCCACATTTGCAGCCCGGGTGACAGAAGACCAGATGAACTGGATTGGGAGACAGAAATCCTAGAAGGGAACTTTGGAAAAGTTCAGAGGTCACACAAGAGCTAGGAACCACCACCAGAGCATGTTACTCGATGTTACTCAGTGATTTCCTCTCTTCTTTTTCTTTTTAATAAACTTTATTTTTTTAATGTATTATATATTTTGGCCAGGTGCAGTGGCTCACGCCTGCAATCCCAGCACATTGAGAGTCCAAGGCAGGTGGATCACTTGAGGTCAGGAGTTTGAGACCACCCTGGCCAACATGGCGAAACCCTGTCTCTACTAAAAACACAACAAACATTAGCCAGGTGTGGTGGCATGCACCTGCAATCCTGGCTATCCAGGAGGCTGAAGCACAAGAATCACTTGAACCCAGGAGGCAAAGATTGCAGTGAGGTGAGATCGCATCACTGCACTCCAGCCTGGATAACAGAGCAATACCCTGTCTCAAAAAAAAAAAAAAAAAGAAAGAAGAAAGAAAATAAAAGAAAAAATAAAATGGTCAGGGCATTGTGGCTCATGCCCGTAATCCCAGCACTTTGAGAGGCCGAGGCAGGAAGTCGGTACCAGCAAATAGGAAGCACCAAATTGCCAGCCATGAGAGTGAGCCACCTCAAAGTATCTCTTCCAGCCTCAAATGAGCTGCCCACACTGATGCTGTGTAGGACTGAGAAAGCCATCCTGGCTGAGCCCTGCCCAAATTGTAAACTTGTGAGCAAACTAAAAGTTGTATATATTCTGATACAGATAGGAGTTCATACACACATACCAAAAAAAAAAAAAAAACTTGTATATCTTTTTTATTTTTTTGAGATGGAGTTTCGCTCTTGTTTCCCAGACTGGAGTGCAATGGCATGATCTTGGCTCACAGCAACCTCTGCCTCCCTAGTTCAAGCGATTCTCCTGCCTCAGCCTCCCAAGTAGCTGGGATTACAGGCTCACACCACCGCGCCCGGCTAACTTTGTATTTTTAGTAGAGACAGGGTTTCTCCGTGTTGGTCAGGCTGGTCTCGAACTCCCGACCTCAGGTGATCCGCCAGCCTCGGCCTCCCAAAGTGCTGGGATTACAGGCATGAGCCACCGAGCTTGGCCTGTATATTGTTTTAACCTACTAAGTTTCCTGGTAGTTCAATATACAATAATAGATAATTGAAACAGATATATTTCCCAACAAGTTTGGAGTCATCAAAAAACTGATAATGGACTGGGTGCAGTGACTCAGGCCTGTAATCACAACAGTTCGGGGGGCCAACATAGGCGGATCACTTGAATCCAGGAGTTCCAGTTCAGCCTGGGCAACATGGTAAAACCCCATCTCTACAGAAAATACAAAAAAAAGCATCTGGATGTGGTGGTGGGAGGATTGCTTGACCCCAGGAGACAGAGGTTGCAATGAGTTGAGATTGAGCCACTGCACTCCAGCCTAGGCAACAGAGCAATACCCTGTATCAAAAAAAGAAAAAAAAAAAAAGGCCGGGTGCAGTGGCTCACCCCTGTAATCCCAGCACTGGGAGGCCAAGGTGGGTGGATCATTTGAGGTCAGGAGTTCAAGACCAGCCTGGCCAGCATGGTGAAACCTCATATCTACTAAAAATAACAAAAAAAAAATTAGCCAGGCATGGTGGTGTGCCTGTAATCCCAGCTACTCAGGAAGCTGAGGCAGTAGAATCACTTGAACCCAGGAGGCAGAGGTTGCAGTGAGCCGAGATCATGCCACTGCACTCCAGCCTGGGTGACAGAGTGAGACCCTGTCTCCAAAAAAAAAATTTTTTTAATAAACAAAAAAAACCCGGTAACGTGTGCATAAATGCTTTTATATACATTGGAAAACGTTCATATATATATGAACGTTTTTTAATTTTTAAAAACTGAAAAAAGAGCACACCAAACTGCTGGGCCAGAGGTAGAAGCAGAAGCAGAAAGCGGAAGAATTTCCCTTTCAAATTTTACACTTATAACTTATTCCCTGCTCCTTCCATGTCCTTGAGGAGGGAGGAGGCTGTCAGGAGAGGAGTGAGCACCCAGCTTGTGGTCAGACAGCCCATAGTCAAAGCCAGGCTCTGCCACTCCCTCACTGCCGTGTGACCTTGGGCAAGTGATTTGCCCTCTCTGAGCCTCACATTCATCGTTGGTAAAAAAAATAAATAAAAGCGCACACTGACAGGCTTCTGGGGATTGGAGGAACCAGCACACATGTGTGTCTTAATTTGGGTTCCCTGGAACTAGACCTTAATACAAGGAGTTGAGTGCAAATCCTCTATCAGGAGGGTGACCATAAGACAAGAGTTCAACTGCCTGTTGTTTCTTTGGGAGGTGATCCCTGGAAACACAATTAGGGCAATGGAGAAGAGGGATGGGGAAGGGAAGGCAGCAGCAGTTAAAGGGACCTTTATTGAGGAAGTTTCCACTGTGGGTAGCTAGGGCTCAGCCCTGCCTAGTACCTCAGGGAGACAGAATAGAACATGCACCTCCCAGAACAAGGGAGTCTTCACCCCCAGAGAGAGGGAGCTGGGGTATTTATCCACCAATACCCACCAGTCATTACTGACAGCTTCCTCCAAGGGCATGATTTCTCCAGAATGTCCTGCCTGCACCGCACAGGTCAGACCTGGGGACAGAGGCAAGGGCTCTGACAGTGGCTCCAGCCATGAGCAGGAACACAGCCTGGTGTGTGTGGATAGTTACAGTGACTCAGTGAGTGGAGTTCTCCTCTCCTCTCCTTCCAACACACCCATCCATATGCGCACACACAGTCACACCGACACATACACGTTTACACACACTCGTGTGCACACTACAACACATGCACACACTGTTACCCAAATGCACCCAAACACATACGCGGTCACACATGCACGCTCAAACGTGCACGGACACAAAATTGAACGAATAGAGAATGGATCTCCAAATTGTCCAGCAGAGGGAGCGTTCTTCACACTCAGGAGGAAGGAGGTCCCACAGCCGCCAGCGACAGGACCAGACTTCGGTGTTTTGAGAATTACACTTGCAGTACGTGTAACAGGGCTCCGGGGACCCAGGGACCTTACTCCTCCCCTTCTCATTCTCATTTATTCACCCTCGTGGCCCTTGGCGGAAACTCAGTGTGCATTACAAGCATGATGATACCGGACTATTCGCATGACAAGAAAAAGCCGAGGTGCAGAGAGGGACAGTCACGTGCCCAAGGCCGCCCCTAGGAAGGAAGAGCCTAGATTGAGCCCACATATGTCGGATCTCAAGGCTAACTTCGTTTGCTAGTGGATGGCGAGGTTGCGCCGAAAAGGGCCCAGGAGATGTTTGGCAAAGGATGCGCTCTTGGAGACCCTCGGTTGGGAGGGGGGTGTAGGAGAGGCAGCACCTGCAAGATCCGGGTGGCTCACGTAGGGTCTGGGACTGTCTGTTTCCCATTCAGCCCCGGAGTACGTCGAACAGGGGATCCCGGCCGACGACCCCAGCACAGGCCACCGGGGGGCGCCCCAGGACACACGCCGCTGCTACTGCCTCTCGCACAGCCAGCCCCGCTTTAGCTCATCTCCTCCCCGCTCCAACTCTAGCCCAACCCCCGTCGACGCCCCCTTCTACGCTACGTGGCTAGGGATCTAGACCAGGACTGGGAGCCTGAGGGGTGGGGCAGAAGAGGACTCAGCGCCAGCGCTGAGGCCGCACCGAATGATCTTGGGTAAGTCACTTCATTCGGGGGCTCAGTTTCTACCTCTGTTAAACGGAATAATAAAAAGTGATCTTACAAGTCAGTATGAGGATTAAATGGGAATATATGGAAAGAGCACACAGGAAGCACTCAATCAAAAAAAAAAGTTTTGTTTTTGTTTTTCAGACCGAGTCTCGCTCTGTCACCCAGGCTGGAGTGCAGCGGCACTATCTTGGCTCACTGCAACCTCCGTCTCCCGGGTTCAAGCGATTCTCCTGTCTCGCCCTACCGAGTAGCTGGGACTACAGGCGCGTGCCACCACTCCCGTCTGATTTTTTTTTTATTTTTAGTAGAGACAGTGTTTCACCGTGTTAGCCAGGATGATCTCAATCTCCTGACCTCGTGATCCGCCCGCCTCGGCCTCCCAAAGTGCTGGGATTACAGGAGTCAGCCACCGCGCCCTGCCCTAATTTTTTGTATTTTAAGTAGAGATGGAGTTTCACCATGTTGGCCAGGCTGGTCTGGAACTCCTCGCCTCAACTGATCCGCCCACCCCGGCGTCCCAAAGTGCTGGGATTACAGGTGTGAGCTACCACGCCTGGCCTCATAATTGTTAGGTTAACTTTGGAGACCACCCCCAGGGCTCCCTTAAGCCCTTACTCCATACACACACACACACACACACACACACACACACGCGCGCGCGCGCGTGCGCGCACACACACACGCACACATGAGATCTCACCCAGTCTTAAAGTTTTGCTTTCTTTTCTGTTTTTTTTTTTTTGTTTTTTTTTTTTTGTTTGTTTTGGTTCTCCAGTTCATGGTTTTTAATTAGCAGAACTGTTGCCTTTGGGACTGGATAATTACTTGTTTTATTGAGCTAGGTATCCTTTGTCTTGTAGAATGTTTAGCAGAGTGCTGGGTCCCTACCCTCTAGACGCAAATAGTAACCACCGGTTGTGACAACCAAAAATGTTTCCAAATAACAACGAATGTCATCTGGTAGGAAAAATCACCCCCATTTGAAATCGCTTCACTAGCTTTTGGAAAAATATATAAAATATTTATACTAAGGCTTCCCAAATATACATGCCCAACCCAAAACTCTTGAATTGGAGAACCGTTTATTCGACTGACATGTCCAATTCCTCTGAACCAAAACTGACATCCTGACATCTCCCACAAAACAACTTACTCCACTCAGCATTCCCCACGTCAGCTGATGGCAGTTCCATTTTTCCAGATGTTCAAGCCCAAACCTAGTGTCCCCCACTTCTTTCAAACTTCACGTTTTATCCACCACCAAGCCTGACAGCACTGCCTTTGTGAACAGTCACTCCTCCTTGGAATCCAATTGCTCTTGATCACATCTAAAGACCCCGGCTTGGTTGAAGCCACCATCATGTCTCACCTGGACGAATGCAGTCACCCCTAACTGATCTGCCTAGTCCCATCTTTGCTCACACTGTCTCTGTTTAACAGAGCACACAAAGTCCTGTGGAAGTCCTGGCATGGTGGCTCACACCTGTAATTCCAGCACTTTGGGAGGCTGAGGTGGGAGGATCGCTTGAGACCAGGAGTTCAAGACCAGCCTGGGCAACATGGTAAGACCCCCGTCTCGATAACAAATACAAAGCTTAGCTGGGCATGGTGGTGTGTGCCTGTGGTCCCAGCTACTCAGGAGGCTGAGGCAGGAGGATCGTTTGAGCCCAAGGAGGCCAAGGCTGCAGTGAGCTATGGTTGCACCCCTGCACACCAGCCTGAGCAACAAAGCATGACCCTGTCTCAAAAAAAAAAAAAAAAAAGTTCGTATGACAAAGCTTGTCCCTCCTCTGCTCAGAACTCCCCATTTCTGTCACAAAAAAAGTCACAGAAAAGGCCCTGTGTGAATTTACTTCTTTCTTTACTTATTTATCATTTATCATATCTCCTCCCTAGAGGTAAACTCTGGGAACCTAGGGCTCAAACAGTGCCTGTCTCACGGCAGATTGCCCAAGAAATATTTGGTAAATTAATTTTTTTTTTAGACAGAATCTCACTCTGTCGCCCAGGCTGGAGTGCAGTGGCACAATCTCGGCTCACTGCAACCTCCACCTCCCAGGTTCAAGCGATTCTCCTGCCTCAGCCTACTGAGTAGCTGGGATTACAGGCACCCGCCATCAAACGTGGCTAATTTTTGTATTTTTTAGTAGAGACAGGGTTTCACCATGTTGGCCAGGCTGGTCTCAAACTCCTAACCTCAGGTGATCCACCTGTCTCAGCCTCCCAAAGTGCTGGGATTACAGGCATGAGCCACCGCACCCGGCCTGTTGAATTAATATTATTGTCTCTAGTGACCTAGATGGAAATAGTCTACAGGCAAATGCTACCTAAAAGGAAGATGATACCACTATTATACCACCACTATATATATAATGATGGCATATATAGTGCATATATATATATTATATATGTGGTATAATAGCAGTATCATTTTCCTTTAGTGTAGCATTTTATATGTATAAAATTGCTGACATTGTCATTGCCCACCTTTTTTTGTTTGTTTGTTTTTGGAACAGGGTCTTGCTCTGTTGCCCCAGCTGGAGTGCAGTGGTGTGATCATAGCTCACTGCAGCCTCAAACTCCTCAGCTCAAGTGATCCTCCTGCCTCAGCCTCCCAAGTAGCTGGGACTACAGATGTGCACCATCACACCTGGCTAATTTTTTATTTTTTGTAGAAATGGAGTCTCACTGTGTTGCCCTGGCTGGTCTCTAACTCCTGGTCTCAAGCAATCCTCCAGCCTCAGCCTCCCAAAGTGCTGGGATTACAGGTGTAAGCCATCACGCCTGGCCCCCATCTTTTATATTCCCATATCAGGGACTACTCTACCATCAAGTTCCCTCAGCCAAATACCTGAGCATCACCCTTACCACCTCCCTCCCCTCAGCCCCCACTGCTAGATAGTCACCCCAATCCTGGCCCTTCCTGTTGTCTGGACCTCAGCTTCCCTCTTTCCCAGGGTCCCAACCCCGCAAGTCACCTCCCTGCCAGCCCTAGATCTGGCCATGTCCTGTCCTGATCCCGCTCACACACTCTCCATGGCTCCCTATTGCCCTCAGCATAAAGCCTGTGCATTTGGCCCCTTCCTTCATTCTGCCCCCACTTCCCAGATCCAACCACCTGGCCCCTGGTGAGTTCCTCAAACACACTCTGTTCTCCCTCAGCTCAGGGTATTCTCAGATGTTGTTCCTTCTGCCTGGAATACTCTTCCCTCCCCTTGTCACCCACTCAACTTCCATTCCAGCATCGGAGAAGCTCTCCCTGACCCATCCCCATCCCTCTGCTATATTCATCCAGCACCCGGGGCCTCTCCTTTGGAGCACCTGTCCTGGGTTGTAAATAAACCTTTACACGTGGAATTATTTGTTCAACATCTGTCCCCCACCCCCTAAGAAGGCAGAAAACAGGGCCTGCCTGTGGTTCTGAAGCAGTGCCAGCAAACAATATGTGATCTGTTGATGAAATAAATGAACACACAAACTGACCCCCAAAATCTGAGTTTATGTCCTAGGATAAATGGCTTTCCAGCCTCCTAGCCCGCAGCTTCGCTCAGTTGCAGAGCCCCTCATTCCCATGCTGGGGGCTCCACGTGTAAGGATCTGGCTGAGCTAGGGGTGGAGGGTGGGGTAAGTCTGCATCCTTTGCTTTTATTCTGCAAAAACAGAACACTCAGCAAAGGATCTTTGGGCAAGGGAGGAAGGAAGGGGCTTACAAGGGTCTGAGTTTACAAAACAACAACAAAAGCAAGCAGCCTCGAACCCTACGATCCAGCCTCACGCCTGAGCAGTCTGCCCGTATGAGCTGAGGGCCTCAGGAGGGTGATGTCCGAGTTAAAAGCTCTGACGTCAGGCTCCAGCTTTCCTCAGTTTGGAAGCCTGCCAGGGGTTCAGCCAGTTGGGGGGGGGTGGGGTGTGGTGGGCCCTGAGTCATAGGTGGGTCTTAGGTCCTCTGAAGGCTCAGTGGGCAAGGCCTGGAGACCTGGATCTGCAGGGGCGTGGCCTGAGGACCTCAATCCGTAGGATCCTGGGGGCGGGGCCTGAGCCCAAGGGGGCAGGGTCGACCCTGGTCCCTCAAACAGGACAGGTGCGAGAAGTCAGGGGGCGGGACCTAAGCCTCAAGGGGCGGGATCAGGCCCCCTAAGGGGAGGAGCCTTGCCTTGAGGGGCGTGGCCAGTACCACCAGGCTGCTCAACAGCGGTGCCTGGTCATCCAGGAGCTGAACCTGAACTTCGAGGGGGGTGGCCTATGCCCTCGGGATCTTTGGGGCGAGTCCTGGTCCTTTGGGGGCGGGGCCTGGACCCTCGGGAGCCGCAGGGGCGCGCCCACGCTCAGGCCCGCGGAGGCAGCGGCTCCACCTTGAGCCAGAGCCCGTTCTCCGTGCGCAGTATGAGCTCCGGCTTCCGCCGCACCTTGCGCGTTCGGTCCACGCTCAGGCGGAAACGTAGCAGTGTTAGTGCCACAACCACGCGCAACTCGGCCATGGCGAAGCTCTGTCCGATGCAATTCCTGGAGGAAGAGGGGACAGGGCTCAGGCCCAGCTTCTGTGTGAGCACTGGTCCCCGGGGGTCACATGCCTCCTTTGAAAATGAAGCAAGCATCCTGGGCTGGCTGAGGGTTAAAGTGAAACCCCACGCTGGGTGAGGGTTAAAGTGAGACCCCACGGATCGCTCAATTAATGTGACCTTGGGGTTGAGTGTCTGAATCCCAGTACAGCCTCTTACTAGCTGTGTGTCCTGGATACACAGCGCCCCCTCTGAGTCTCAGTTCCTTCATCTGTAAAAACGGGGACAAAGGCATCATAGAGCCAATGGGAGCGTGGGAGCCCAGAACTCAGGGCCTGACACACCGTTGGTGCTCAATACCCAGGATGCTATTGCAGAGTCTGATTTGGGGGCCTCCTGGCGCATTGGGGAGAGGGTGCTGGGTCTTCAGAAAGGACGCCTGGGTGCCATCTGATCTCTGCTCCTGAGAGGCACATTCCTGATCTTTCCCTGCCTCTGTTCCTACACAGCTGGCTTGGACTAGGGGAAATAGAGGGGTTACCTGGGTCCTGCAGAGAAGGGCACATAGGCCAGTGGAGAGCGCTGCTGTGGGTTGTCCGGGTCAAAGCGGTAGGGGTTGTACACCTAGGGAGGAACAGCCTGGAGATGAGTCTGGGGGCTGCCCCAGACATCCCAGCCTGGCCCCCTTCCCTGAGCCTCTGGGGGTCAGTAAAGATGGATGGGGAGCACCCCAGGGCCACCTCTTCCATTCCACCTTGCACTTCCTGCAATGCAGCCACACCTGCCTCCTTCTGTTGTTCACACGCACCAGTGAGATTCCACCTCAGGGCCTTTGCACTTGCTGTTTCCTCTGCCTAGAACAGGCTTCTCCCTGATCCTTCATCCCCTAAGTTCTCAGCTCAAACATCTCCTCGGCAAGGCCTTTCATAACCACTCGAGCTAAAGTGCCCCCTCCACCTGTTTTTCTTTTTTTTTGTTTGTTTGTCTGTCTTTGTTTGTTTGTTTGTTTGTTAGAGTCAGAGTCTCACTCAGGCTGGAGTGCAGAAGCGCGATCATAGCTCATTGCAGGCTGGGCGCGGTGGCTCACGCTTGTAATCCCAGCACTTTGGGAGGCCAAGGCAGATGGATCATCTGAGCTCAGGAGTTCAAGACCAGCCTGGCCAACATGGTGAAACCCCATCTCTACTAAAAATACAAAAAAATTAGCCAGGCATGGTGGCACACACCTGTAATCCCAACTACTCAGAAAGCTGAGGCAGGAGAATCTCTTGAACCCAGGAGGTAGAAGTTGCAGTGAGCCAAGATCGCACCACTGCACACGCTCCAGCTTGGGCAACAGAGCAAGACCCAGTCTCAAATAAATAAATAAATAAATAACCATAGCTCATTGCAGCCTCAAACTGCTGGGCCCAAGCGATCCTCCTGCCTCAGCCTCCCGAGTGGCTGGCACTGCAGATGTGCATCACCATGGCTGGCTAACTTTTTTTTTTTTTAGAAATGGGGTCTCACTGTGTTGCCCAGGCTGGGCTGAGCTGGAACTTCTGGCCTCAAACAATCTTCCCATCTTGGTCTCCCAAAGCACTGGGATTACAGACACAAGCCACCACATTGGGCCAACTTTTTCCTTTTTGGTAGAGATGGGGGGTCTCGCTGTGTTGCCCAGGCTGGTCTCAAACTCCTGGGCCCAAGCGATTCTCCCACCTTAGCCTCTCAAAGTGCTGGGATTACAAGTGTGAGCCACTGCACCTGTAAACCGGAACTGGCCCAGTTTTTCTTTCTTTTGTGCATGTATCAATACCCAAAATCTTATTTATTTGCTTATTGTCTTCCCCAAAACTTCACTGTGAGCCCTGTAAAGGCAAAGACAGTATCATCCTCTATTTTCAGAGCCCAGCACACACTCTGGCACACAGTAGGTGCTCAATAAATATTTTCTGCCCTAATGAATTAACAATCAGTGGGTGAATAAATGGCTAAATGCGGAGTGGGGAGGGGTGTGCGCACTCAGGCCCTGCAACCAGCCCTGCTCGCTGGCTCCCTGGGGCGCAGGGGAGGGGAGGACCTGAGGGCAGGGAGGAGTGGGGCAGGCACTCACCTTGGAGTCAGGCCACACTGTGGGGTTGTGGTGGGTTCCATAGATGCTGACCAAGCAGATGATTCCTGTGGGGAAAGATGGGATCAGTGGGGCCAAGGGGAGCCAGGGCCTCCTCCAGAAACATCCCCCAACTTGGGTCTCCCTAGAGCCATGATGTTCCCATGAGCCATCTGCCACCACCTTCTGTCCATCCTTCTCTAAAAAATTCTGCTGCCCCATCCACTCTTCCCACCTTTCCCTAAGAGGAACCTATCATCTTCTTTCTGGCTGCCAAGCTGGCCACATAGGGATCTTTCTTACTCGCAGATCTGACATTGCTCCTCTTCAGCTCAAACACCTACCTTGGCTCCCTGCTGCCCCCAGGATTGAGTTCAAGCGCCATCACCTGGCACTCAAGGCCTTTCAAAATCTGCATCCTGAGGCTCTACTCCATAAACATGCTCACTCTTTCACTTCCACACTCCAAGCCTCACCTCCCACATTCCCTCCTCCAGGCAGCCCTCCCTGCATTCCTCTCCATATTGGAGCTACTCCAGCCCCTGTCTCTCCCTTTAGCCCATTCCTGATTCCATACGCCTGGGAATGTCTGCACCCTGCTGTATCTCCCCCAGAAAGGGCAATACTCAAAACCTGAGCCAGGGTCCCCTGTATCAACCAAGGCAGGGCTTGGTCTCCAGGGAGTAACTGGCAACTGAATGAAACTGACCCTCCCCAACTGCACCCTCACAGGCCCATCCCTGCGACACTGCCTCCTTCCTTTCCACCTGGACTCACCCGGCTCTATCTCCCTGCACACACAACTGGGTTTTCTCCAACACCCCAGAAGCAACAGGCACACAGAGAGCTATCCCATCTGCAGGGATAGTGCACCTGGGGCAGGCATAGCCAGGCCCCTGTGGACAATAGAGCAGCTACATCATTGGAGGCAGTGCACCAGCAGCAGGCGGAACATGGTAGGCACCTTTGGGGATGATGCGCCCATCTGGGAGCTTGATGTCCTCCGTGCATTGGCGAGAGACAAGAGTGACAGGTGGGTACTGGCGCAGGCTCTCCTTAATGCACATAGTTGTAAAGGGCAGCTGAGTCAGATCGTCCCTGGGGAGAATGGAGATATAACTAGAGGCCGAGCCACCATGGCACCACCTCCCCAAAACACACACACACACACACACACACACACACACACACACACACACACACTCTCTCCCTCTCTCTCTCTCTCTCTCTCTCTCTCAGGGGCAGCTGGGCAAGAAACCAGTCCAGGATTTTAGACTTGCCCCAATTTCTGCCATTTGCAGTTGTCTCATGCACAGGTGGGAAGTACTAATATTTAGTGGTTTTTTTGTTTTTTCTTTTCCTTTTTCTTTCTTTTTTTTTTTTAAGACCGAGTTTCGCTCTTGTTGCCCAGGCTAGAACATAGTGGCGCATCTCGGGTCACTGCAACCTCAGCCTTGCAGGTTCAAGCAATTTTCTTGCCTCAGCCTCCCAAGTAGCTGGGATTACAGGCATGCGCACCCACACCCGGCTAATTTTTGTATTTTTAGTAGAGACAGGGTTTCTCCATGTTGGCCAGGCTGGTCTCAAACGCCTGACCTCAGGCAATCCACCCACCTCGGCCTCCCAAAGTGCTGGGATTACAAACGTGAGCCACAGTGCCCGGCCAGTACTAATACTTAGGATGCAAAGTATCTGAGCACCAACCGCTCAGAACAGCACTAGCACTGGGCCCTCTGCTGGGCCCAGCATTAAGCCTTTAATTGATGAATTATGTGGAGGTCCAGGGGCACCTAGGCGAGGTGCCAGGACAGCCAAGGGGACTCACGGCAACAGCAATATGCCAGTTTATATGGTCCATTTCTGTACTTAAAAAACTGCTGCAGGACAGGTGTGGTGGCTCTCGCCTGTAATCCCAGCACTTGCAGAGGCTGAGATGGGCGATCGTCTGAGGTCAGGAGTTCAAGATCAGTCTGGCCAACATAGCAAAACCCCATCTTTACTAAAAAACACAAAAATTAGCTGGGTGTGGTGGCGTGCACCTGTAGTCTCAGCTACTTGGGAGGCCGAGGCAAGAGAATTGCTTGAACCCGGAAGGCGGAGGTTGCAGTGAGATGAGATTGCACCACTACACTCTAGCCTGGGTGACAGAGTGAGACTCTTGTCTTAAAAAAAAAAAAAAAAAAAAAACTGGTGCAGGCCAGGCATGGTGGCTCATACCTGTAATCCCAGCACTTTGGGAGGCCGAAGCAAGTGGATAACTTGAGCCCAGGAGTTCGTGACCAGCCTGGGCAACAAAGAGAGACCCCATCTCTACCAAAAGTTAAAAAATTAGCTGGGCATGATGGCACACACCTGTGGTCCCAGCTACTCAGGAGGCTGTAGTGAGCTATGATCATGCCACTGTACTCCAGCCTGGGCCACAGTGTGAGAGCCTATCTCAAAAAAAGAAAGAAAGAAAAAAAGAAAAAAGAAAGAAAAGAAAAGTGCATTATCTCCTTATAATATCATTTACTTAATATTTTTTCCCTTGGACTTTAGGGCCCAAAATTGGGCTAATGATAACTCTTGGTTCATGTTCTAGATTAGATTAGTTTCTTTAAATTAGCAGGTTCTCTTTCTTTTTTGATGGCGTCTTGCTGTTTCATCCAGGCAGGAGTGCAGTGGCACAATCTCAGCTCACTGCAACCTCTGCTTCCCAGGTTCAAGCAATTCTCACGCCTCAGCTTCTCAAGCAGCTGGGATTACAGGCACACACCAATACGCCCAGCTAATTTTTGTATTTTTAGTAGAGACAGGGTTTCACCATGTTGCCCAGGTTGGTCTTGAATTTCTGGCCTCAAGTGATCCACCCGCCTTAGCCTCCCAAAGTGCTGGGATTACAGGCATGAGCCACTGCACCTGGCCCAGGTTCTCTTTCAAAGAAACTTTATGGCTGGGCACAGTGGCTCACACCTATAATCCCAGCACTTTGGGAGGCCAAAGTAAGAGGACTGCTTGCACTCAGGGATTTGAGAGCAGCCTGGGCAACACAGCAAGTCCCCATCTCTTAAAAAAATGTTAAAAATTAGCCAGTTGTGGTGGCACACTCCTATAGTCCCACCTACTCAGGAGGCTGAGGCAGGAAGATTGCCTGAGCCCAGGAGTTTGAGGCTGCAGTGAGCTATGATTATGCCACTGCACTCCAGCCTGTGTCTTAAAAAAAAATAAACTTCATGTTGCTATAAAGGGCAAACAGCATCCCTGGCATAAAGGTATTCATCCATACAAACACCACTGTGAAAGCAGTAGTGTGTTATTAAATTGTGTCTACACACCAACTCCCACCCAACTCTCTCAACCTGAGACATCTTCTCCACTTGTTTAAAAGGAAGATTAGCAAAGTGTTCAGGACACAGTAGCACCCCACTGAGCATGTCCCCCTGAGGCCATAAGGCAAAAGGTTGAAATAGAACCGAAAGGAACCTCCTCACTGTGTGAGTTGATGCTATTTAATGTTGCGGCTGTGTTTTTCTTCTTTTCTTTTCTTTTCTTTTCTTTTTTTTTTTTTTTTTTTTTTTGAGACAGGGTCTCACTCTGTCACCCAGGCTGGAGTGCAGTGGCGTAATCTTGACTCACCACAGCCTCCACCTCCTGGGTTCAAGCAGTCCTCCCACCTCAGCCTCCCAAGTAGCTGGGACTATAGGCATGCGCCACCCCACCCAGCTAATTTTTGTATTTTTTTGTAGAGACAGGGTTTCGTCATGTTGCCCAGGCTGGTCTCAAACACCTCAGCTCAAGCAATCCACCCCCCTCGGCCTCCCAAAGTGCTGGAATTACAGGCATGAGCCACCACGCCCAGCCTAATGCTGTGTTTTCTTTTCATCACCCAGAATCAGCTCTACATAGCATGAATCTGGTAGAGACTGGGTATGTGTTCTGATTCTCCACTTCCTCCCTGAATTAGAATTATATACCTGTACCCTTTGTCATATGATTCTTCAGTGCCTTCTGCTCAGGTGAGTGGAGTATATGTCCTGCCCCATTCATGCTGGGCTTGGTCACGTGACTTGTTTTAGCCAATGCAATCTTCTAGTGCAAGCACAGCTTTTGTTTTTTTTTTTTATTTTATTTATTTACTTATTTTATCTTTTTTTGTGGGGGGGTGGGGACAGAGTTTCACTCTTGTAGCCCAGGCTGGAGTGCAGTGGTGCAATCTCAGCTCACTGCAAACTCCACCTCCCAGGTTCAAGTGATTCTCCTGTCTCAGCCTCCCGAGTAGGGGGGATTACAGGCACCCATGACCGTACCTGGCTAATTTTTGTATTTTTAGTAGAGATGGGGTTTCACCATGTTGGCCAGGTTGATCTCGAACTCCTGATCTCAGGTGATCCACCCACCTCGGCCTCCCAAAATGCTGGGATTACAGGCGTGAGCCACCCCACCCGGCCCAAGCAAAGCTTTTAAATTTCATGGCTTTTTGTGCTTCTGGAATCTGCCTTGAGAAGAATACGACCCAGGGTAGCCTCTGGTCCAAAGAGAACAGAAAGGGAGTATATGAAGCAGATCTGAACCCAGCTCTTAGTTTTGAAGCAACTCCACTCCACTCAGCCAAGTCCAACAGCAATTAGAGTAATGAGCAGACAAGAGCAAGAAATGTGTGCATACAAAAGCAAGAAACAAATGCTTGCTGTAAACCACTAAGTTTGGGAGCTGTTCATTATGCAGCATCATTGCAATAATTGCTGACTAGGACACTTTGAGAACTTCTGCATTATGAGGTGGGCATAGGCACTATAACCACCCCCATTTTGTAGCTGAAGAAATTGCAATTCAGGAAGCTAAAGTGGCTTGTCTGAGGTCACACAATCAGTAAGTGGGAGAGCAGAGGCTTACACCCAAGGCTCTGGCCTCAACCTGCCCCCTCCATTCCCCTGACCCCACACTCACCACTCCAGCTCCTCCAGCTCCCGGCCTTTCATGACTTCCTGAATCTCTTCTCGGCATTTCTCCTGGTATTCCGGATACTTTGCCAAATTGAACAGCATCCAAGAGATCCCACTGGATGTTGTGTCGTGACCTGCAGGGAGATGAGGGTATCTGAATGGAGGCTGCCTGAAGAAAGCAGAGATGCTGTCTACAGACAATGATGTCCCTTCCTGCCCTCCTCCAGCCTCACCCCACATCCTCACCCTCAAACATGAAGGTGTCTGCTTCGGCTCGGATATCCTCGTCTGACAGTTCCTTTCCATCTTCATCCTGGAATGGGCAGTAGAGGGTGCTCAGCCCACTTCATCCCACCCTCCGCATCCTAGGGGCTCCTCAAAACTCAGATATCTCCCCGCCCCCATCTTTTTTTTTTTTTTTTTTTCTGAGATGGAGTCTCGCTCTATCACCCAGGCTGGAGTGCGGTGGCACAATCTCGGCTAACTGCAGCCTCCGACTGTCAGGTTCAAGTGATTCTCGTGCCTCAGCCTCCTGAATAGCTGGGATTACAGGCACATGCCACCACTCCAAGCTAATTTTTGTATTTTTAGTAGAGATGCAATTTTGCCATATTGGCCAGGCCGGTCTCGAACTCGTGGCCTCAAGTGATCTACCTGCCTCATCCTCCCAAAGTGCTGGGATTACAGACATGAGCTACCACGCCTGGCTCCCCTCTCTCTCTTAAGCCAAGCTGTGGGGGGAACTAGTCCAGGAAGATGGAAGTATGCAACTTGTCTAATAAAGATGGAAAGTGCCCAGCATGGTGGCTCACACCTATAATCCCAACACTTTGGGCAGCTAAGGTGGGAGGATCACTTGAGCCTAGGCGTTCAAGACCAGCCTGGGCAACATGGTAAGACCCCATTTCTACAAAAAAAAAATCAGCCAGGTGTGGTGATGCATGCCTGTAGTCCCAGCTACTGGTGAAGCTGAGGCAGGAGGATTAAGCCCAGGAGATCAAGGCTGCAGTGAACCATGACCGCATCACTGCACCCCAGCCTGTGTGACAGAGCAAGACCCTGAGTGAGAGATGCTGGTGAGGCTGTGGAGAAATAGGAACGCTTTTACAAGGTTGATGGGAACGTAAATTAGTTCAACCATTGTGGAAGACAATGTGGCAATTCCTCAAAGACCTAGAACCAGAAATACCACTTGACCCAGCAATCCCATTACCGGGTATACAACCAAAGGAATATAAATTATTCTATTATAAAGATACACGCACACATATGTTCATTGCAGCACTATTGACAATAACAAAGACATGGAATCAACCCAAATGCCCATCAATGAAAGACTGGATAAAGAAAATGTGGTACATATATACCATGCAATATTATGCAGCCATAAAAAGGAACAAGATTATGTCCTTTGCAGGGACCTGAATGGAGCTGGAAGCCATCATCCTTAGCAACCTAAGGCAGGAACAGAAAACCAAACACCACATGTTCCCACTTATAAGTGGGAGCTGAACAATGAAAACACACGGACACAGGGGGGAAACAACACACACTTGGGGGGCCTATCAGGGTGGCAGGAGGAGGGAGAATATCAGGATAAATAGCAAATGCATGCAGGGCTTAATACCTAGGTGATGAGTTGATAGGTGCAGTAAACCACCATGGCACATGTTTACCTACGTAACAAACCTGCACGCCCTACACACGTATCCTTGAACTTTCCATTTAATTTAAAAAAAAATTTTTTGAGATGGAGTTTCTCTCTTGTTGCCAGATTGGAGTGCAGTGGCGCAATCTTGGCTCACTACAACCTCTGCCTCCAGGGTTCAAGCGATTCTCCTGCCTCAGCCTCCAGAGGAGCTGGGATTACAGATGCATGCCACCACGCCCGGCTAATATTTTTTTTTTATTTTTAGTAGAGACGGTGTTTCAATATGTTGGCCAGGCTCGTCTTGAACTCCTGACCTCAGGTGATCCTCCCACCTCAGCTTCCCAAAGTGCTGGGATTACAGGGGTGAGCCACTGCGCCCGGCTTATCCTGGAACTTTAAATTACATTTTTAAAAAACAAGAAAAAAGAAAAGAAAGATGTAAAGAGGGACAGAAAGTCAACAGTGAGGAGAAGAAGGAAGTTCATATTTCTTGAGCAGCCTCCAACACCAAGCATCCCACTGGATGCCTGACAACCTTGTGATCAGGTTTTATGATCACCATGGTATAAATGGAGAAACTGAGGCTTGGGAAGAAGAGTCAATGACTAAGGTCAAACATCCACTAAGCGACAGAGCCAGGACTGGAATCCAGGACTATTTGAATCCAGAACCCAAAAGGTCCACAGACACACCAATGAGTGACCATAGAAGTGTCTCATCTCTTCAAGGTCATGTATTTCTTTTTTTTCTTTTTTTTTTTTTTTTTTGAGACGGAGTTTCACTTGAGTGCAATGGCATGATCTCAGCTCACCGCAACCTCCGCCTCCCAGGTTCAAGTGATTCTTTTGCCTCAACCTCCCGAGTAGCTGGGATTACAGGTGTGTGCCACCACGCCCGGCTAATTTTGTATTTTTAGTAGAGATGGGGTTTCTCCATGTTGGTCAGGCTGGTCTCGAATTCCTGACCTCAAGTGATCCACCTGCCTTGGCCTCCCAGAGTGCTGGGATTACAGGTATGAGCCACCACGCCCAGCCCAAGGTCATGTATTTCATTTTTGCAATTGTGATGAGCTGAATGGTTCCCTGCCCACCCCCCCTCCGCTAGAATTCATAAGTCCTAACTTCCAGTACCTCAGGCTATGACCGTGTTTGGAGAGAGGTCTTTGCAGAAGTAATCAAGACAAAATGAACTCATTAGGGCAGGGCCCTAATCCTTATACAAAGAGACGAAGACAGAGACAGGCACAGAGGGAAGATGATCCGCAGACATAGGGAGAAGACAGCCTTCTGCAAGCCAGGGAGCAAGGCCTGGAACAGATTCATCCTTCATGGGCCTTAGAAGAAACCAGCCCTGCAGATACCTTGATCTTGGACTTCTAGCTTCCAGAACTGTGAGAGAATAAATGGCTGATGTTTAGGCCATTTAGTTTGTGGTACTTTGTAATAGCAGCCCAAGAAAACTCACGCAGTAAGTCTTACATGTTCTGACCCCATCCCAGACCCATGTGAATTTCTTTTTGTTTTGAGCATGTGTATTGTTTTGTTTTGTTTTGAGACAGAGTCTCGCTTCTGTTGCCCAGGCTGGAGTGCAGTGGCACCATCATAGCTCACTGCAGCTTCCAACTCCTGGGCTCAAGCCAGACTCCTGCTTCAGCCTCCCAAGTAGCTGGGACCATAGGCATGCGGCACCACACCCAACTTATTTGTTTTTTGTAGAGACAGGGTCTCCCTGTGTTGCCCAGGCTGATCTCCAATTCCAGGGCTCAAGCGATCCTCCCGCCTTGGCCTCCCAAAGCGCTGGGATTACACGTGTGAGCCACCACGCCTAATGGAGTTTTAACACTTATCATTTTACATGCAATTCCTCGGGAGGCCAGCCCTCGGGAGGCCAGCAATTCCAGGGGGCCCAGCCTCACCCTGGCCAGGAGCAGCACATCAATAAAGTCCAAGGTCTTCCCCTGCTTGGCCTTAAGCCAGGCCTCGGCCCCCTGCTGACGCAGTGCCCGCCGCCGTTCCTGGATGACTTCAGTGGTGAAGTGGTGCACCATGTCACAGGCCTGCCGGAACCTCCGCCCATCCGCCGAGCGGTAGTAAATGAAGTCGAGGTAGTGGTGCAAGCGATACTGGCGCCGGACAGACAGAGCGCTCAGTTCAATGATAGCGGAGATATAATCACTCATCTTCCTGCCAAGGAGAAGGGGATCCATGAGTGTAGCCCCTTCCCCTAGCATAGCACAGCCCTGGCTTGGCTAAGATAAGCCTCCTGTCCCCATTGAATAGATAACAAAGAGAAGCCCTATATTAACTCTATTTTTAAATTCATTTATTTATTTTTTTAGATAGGGTCTTGCTCTGTCACCTAGGCTGCAGTACAGTGGCACAATCATAGCTCACTGCAGCCTTGAACTCGTGAGCTCAAGTGATCCTCCAGCCTTGGCCTCCCAAAGTGCTGGGTTACAGGTCTGAGCCACCACACCCAGTCTCGGGTATATTTTTGAACAGGCCCAAAGAGGGATAAAGACTTTCAACATAGGCATAGTCATTGTAGCATCACTAAAACTAAATGGTTACACTCCTCAGCATGGGAGAAAATATTTGCAAATTGTCTATCTGATAAGGGATTGGTACCTAAAATAAATAAAGAATTCTTAAAACTTATTTTAAAATGGGCAATGGATATGAATAGGCATTTCTCCAAAGAAGACAGAAATTTCCAATGAGAATGTGAAAAGATACTTAACAGCACTGGTCACCAGAGAAATGCAAATCAAAACCACAATGAGATACTACTTCACCCCACTAAGGTGACTAAAATCAAAACTTATAATAACAAGTGTTGGGCTGCACTCCAGCCTGAGCAACAGAGCAATATCCTATCTCTAAAAAGCAAACAAAACAACAACAACAAAAAAAAGCAAGTGTTAGTGAGTATGTGGAAAAACTGGAGCTCTCATACATCACTGGTTGGGAGAGCAAAATGGTACAACCACTTCATACCATGTTGAAACCCACTGAAATAAAGTTTAGCAGTTCCTCAAAATGTTTAAAATGGAATTACCGTATGACCCAGCAATTCTGCTCCTAGGTATATAGCCAAAAGAATTAAAAATGTATGTTCACACAAAACTTTGTGCATGAATGTTAATAGCAGCATTATTCATAAAGGTCGAAAAGTGGAAACAGTGTCCATCGATGGGTGACTGGATAAACAAAATGTGGTATTATGTGGTAAATGGAACATTATTCATCAATGAAAAGAAATACATAACTGATACATGCCACAATATGGATGAGCCTTTAAAACATTATGCTGGGTGAAACAAGCCAGACACAAAAGTCTGTATGATTCCATCCGTGTGAAATATCCATAACAGGCAAATCTATAGAGATAGAAAATAGATTAGTGATTGCCTAGACTTGAAGGAGAAAGGGAAGTGCACGGGTTGCTAAAGTGTATGAAGTTTCTTGGGGTGGGGGAGGATTGATGAAAATATTCTAAAATTGATTATAGTAATGGTTGCACAACTCTGAATATACTAAAAGCAGTTCAGGTGTATTCTTTAAATGAGTAAATGGTATAGTATGTGAATTGTGTCTCAACAAAGCCATTATTTTTTAAAAACTAACAGGTGAAGCAGGCTTGAAGGGAGCTGTCCTCAGTCCTGAAGTGGGCTTGTTTTCATGCACTTATTGCAGTCTGTCGTTTTCTTGTTTGTTTACTTGTTCATGGTTATTACCTGTCTTCCTACTAAAATGGAAGCTCTAGAAAAGCAACATCTTGTCTTTCTTGTTGAATATGGTGTTCCCAGCACCTAGTTCAGGGTTGGCACTTACTAGGCACTCAGTAAATATTTCTTGGATGAATTAATTATTTAATTTCTAAGACAATCTCTGCCTTATCCAACTGGAACGTGCCCCTATAATGCCTAGAGTAACGAAGTCATTAGCTTGTTACTGAGGACCTACTATGTGTTGCAAGTTTTGCATTAATTATCTCCCTTATTCCTTATGTCCCCACTTAGACTATAAACTTCACAGAACTGTGACTGTCTGTTGTTCACCACCCTGTTCTCAGCAGCAATATCATGGTGCCAGGCACGTAGTAGGTGCACAATGAATATTTGATGAATGAATGAATTAATGAAGCAAGGCATTGGTTATTTGATTCATTTACTCAACAAATATTCTCTGAGCATCAACTATGTGCCAGGGCAGTGCTGCATCATTTTATCCTTAAAGCATCTCTCAGAAAGTAAGAGATTGTCATCCTTTTTTTACAAACAAGGAAACTGAGCCTCAGAAAGTGGGGAGGACACTGTCCAAAGACCACATACTCTTCCTAGTGGAATGAAAAAATACTAACATTTACTAAGCACCTACTTTATACCAAGCCATTGATTCACATTATCTCATTTAATTCTCACACAATGACTATGGGGAAGGAATTATGATGCCCATTTTTTTGATTAAAAAAAAAAGTGAAGCTCAGAGAGATGGTCAGTTTCCCGGAAGCACATGGCCCATCCGTGGCAGAGCTCCCATAGGCCAGAGTTGTCTAATGCCTGGGAGTTCCCTTTCTCCTGCCACCATCTTGCTCCTAGAGCAGCTGGCTCCATCTTCCCAAGAAGGGTCACACTCACTCTTGGCAGTTGCTGTTGTAGCTGAAGACACATTTCTGAAGACTGTCCAGGGTCATGAGGCTGATATGCTCAAACATATCAAGGGAGACCGCTGAGCCCTCTGCCAGATGCCGCCATTTAGCCTGGAAGAGAGATACATGGTGACTGTGCATGGAAACCACAGAGAGGGAGTCAGCCTAACAAGGACCCGACTGCGTTTTCACTACAAGCTCATTTTATAGATAAAGTCAGTGAGGGCTCCTGACATCACATGGCTTGCCCATGCATGAGTTGGAGCCTGGACCAGCCTCACTCCCAAGACACCCTCTTCCCTCAAAGCCTTAGGACTCACATGCATAATGTCAGCGCTCTGGTTGAAGATCTTCATGTAAGGCTTCAGGATGTCAAAGTGGAAGGCGGGTGTCAGCAGGCGACGGTGCCGGCTCCACTTGTCACCTTTGCTGAGCAGCAGCCCATCCCCTGGGCCCAGAAGACTGAGGTTAGGGACCTCTCCTGTTACTCTGAAACCTTCCAAGGAACCCCATGCTCTTCCCTCTCTTCTCTAAAGCCCCAGCCCCAGCCTACCCACTGGGCACTCACCTAGCCAAGGTTTTAGGAAGCCATAGAAGAGGTCATCCTTGGGGGCGATGGCAGCTGTGGAGGGCAAAGGGAAAATGGTGACTCAAAACAGAGTTTTTTGGTTTTTTGTTTTTTTTTACGGAGTCTTGCTCTGTCATCCAGGCTGGAGTGCAGTGGTGCGATCTCCACTCACTGCAACCTCCGCCTCCCAGGTTCAAGCAGTTTTCCTGCCTCTGCCTCCTGAGTAGCTGGGATTACAGGTGTCCGCCACCATGCCCGGCTAATTTGTTTGTATTTTTAGCAGAGACAGAGTTTCACCATGTT
This sequence comes from Homo sapiens, assembly GCF_000001405.40. Lineage (NCBI taxonomy): Eukaryota > Metazoa > Chordata > Mammalia > Primates > Hominidae > Homo > Homo sapiens. The sequence continues at coordinate 15,537,111 of NC_000019.10, read as the reverse complement.
GGCCAGGCTGGTCTCGAACTCCTAACCTCAAGTGATCCACCCACCTCAGCCTCCCAAAGTGCTGGGATTACAAGCACGAGCCATCGTGCCTGGCCTCAAAACAGAGTTCCAACCCTTGACCTTTGCTTATGACTTCCTTAGTCCTCCTCACTGGGCTCCAACCTCCCACTGTATTCACCCAGTCCGTCCTCCACACCTACCCGAGAAAAAATCCTTATAAAACACTGATCTGAACATGAGCCTCCCCTGCTCAGACACCTCCCATGGCTCCCCATTGCACTTGTAAAAAGTTCAGGCTCAGCCTGGCATTGAAACCCAATTCCATCTGGCCCCTGTATGCCTCTCCCACCACCTCATCCTTCAACATACACCAGATAACCCTATTCTCATCGCCTGCTGTGGATCACCTCTGAACCTTTGACCAGGTTGAGCTGTCTATCCAGAATGGACTTCTTCACCTGAGTCTTCCCCTAATCCACCCCCTTATTTTCTGCCAGCTCAGGCCATCTGAATCACACCTCCTGTGCTCCCAGCCTCCAGCCTCACCCTCTCCAGTGTGTCCCTCATGAATGGCCCCAGGAGAATCTCATCTGACTATCAGATCTGACCACGCCCCTTCCTGCTCACACACCCATCACCCTCACATACCAGCCCATTTTCAAAGCCCTGAATCATTTGCCTTTGTCCAAATCTCTCTCAAGACACCTCTGTCTTCCACCCCCTATTCGACGTCACAGAACTAACACCACATAACTTTTTGTTTTTTGTTTTTTTGAGATGGGGTCTCACTCTGTCACCCAGGCTGGGGTGTGTGGTGAGATCATAGCTCACTGCTGCCTCCAATTCCTGGATTCAAGCGATCCTCCCACCTCAGCCTCCCGAGTAGCTGGGACTACAGGCATACGCCACCATGCCTGGCTAATTTTTTAATTTTGTGTATGGACAGGGTATCGCCATATTGCCCAGGCTGGTCTTGAACTCCTGAGCTCAAGTGATCCTCCAAGTTCAGCCTCCCAAAGTGCTGGGACTACAGGCATAAGCCACCATGCCCGGCCACACCACAGAACTTTTCTCAGCTCCTTAAAAAGACCACGTGCTCTCTCTTCTCTGAGACTTTCCACCAGCTGTTCTCTCTGCCCCAAACACTCTTCCCTCATCCTGTATGAGAACTTGAATGCTTCTCCCCACCCCTGACCCAGCAGTCACTCTGGATTGTATCCACTTAGTTACAAGCCCCTTAACAGGAGGGTTCGTGTTGATTACTGATATGTTGTGCTAGATAAATTTTTATTAAATGAATAAATAAGTCAATCCAAGGATGGATGAATGAAAGAATAAATGGGTGGATGGATGAGTAGAGGGACAGATGAGTACATGGATGGATAAATAAGTGGATGGATGAATAGCAGATGGATAGATGGTGGGTGGGTGGATGGATGGATGGATGAATGGATGGATGGGTGGATGGTGGATGGATGGATGAGTGGATGGATGGATGAATGAGTGGATAGGTGGAAGGTGGATGGATGAATGAATGAATGAGTGGATGGATGAATGGATGGATCCTCCTTCTATATACTGAACAGATTTGGGGCTGAATGGGCAGAGGCCCAGGAAGGAAGTATCTGAAATTCGAGTGATATCACTTTTACCTGAATGCGACTCAGCCACCTACACCGACACAATCCCTAGGAATTGGCCAATTGCCTACACAATCATCCGCCCACTCATCCCCCCATTCATCACACCTCTTATGCTGCCTTTCTGTGCCCAACCCAAGCTGGGTGATGCTGGGGACCCACAGATGGCTCAGCTCTATGCCCTCCCTGGAGGAGCTCCTGAGTGGGGCAGGAAAGGGAAGCAGAGACACACCATGCAATTACCAAGAAGGTAGAAAGTGTGCTAGGTGCTAAGGAAGGCTCAGAAAAAGGGCTGTTGGAAGTCAGGGCAGGCTTCCTGGAGGAGGCAGCATTGAAGAGGAAAGCAGGAGTCTAGTCACTCCTCTCCTCTCTGCACTCTGGACTCCAAGATAGGCTCCACAGGGATCTTTCTGACACCAGGATCTGGTCAATAGCTGTCTTGTTCAAATACTTCCCGTGGCTCCCTATCACTCCCAGGATAAAGTACAAGTTCATTCACTTTGCTGTCCAGTTCCTGCTTAACTGTCAGTCTCATTTCCTATTCCCCCCAACATATCACCTTCACTCCAGCCACCCTAAATCACCTGAATTCCCCTGGAATTTTCACACATCTGCATCAAGGCACTGGCAGGACCTTCCATCTGGGACTCCTTCTCTGGCAAGCTCCTAGGCATCCTTCGGGGCCCAGCTTCACTGACACCTACTCCAGGAAGCCTTCTCCAAACCCCCTTCTCAGCTGAACCATTGTTCTCTCATCCTCAGGTTCCTTTTCCACTCCAACTCTGACCACAATGCCAGGAAAGTCTGTGTCCACGCTCCTCACCAGTTTTCCCCTCCAGCAAAAAGGAGATGGTAGGCCAGGTGCAATGATTCACACCTGCAGTCCTAGCACTTTGGGAGGCAGAGGCAGGAGGATCACTTGAGCCCAGAAGTTCAAGACCAGCCTGGGCAACACAGCAAGACTCTGTCTCTACAAAAATGTTTTTTAAAAAGAAAAAAAAAAAGAGGGAGAGATGGTAATGCCTACCATGGATGAGACGGTGTACGAAATACCCCCACATGGTGCCAGCATGGAGAAACTCATGCTCAGAAAGCTGCATATCACTATGTTTGAGAGCTTGGGTTCTGGGCCAGCCAGGTCTGAGTTCAAATCCCAGCCCTGCCACTAACTAGATATGTAAGCCTGGACATGTTACCACTGCCAAAGGAGAAAATAGAACAATCTTGCCTCATGGCATCCCTATAAGACTCAACAAGCTCTTGTGTTCCTGGCACATGGTAGATGCTCATTAAATACGTGCGTAGGTAAATGAATAATTGACCAACTGTTGGCTATTTTTATTACTATGGTTAAAATGATTATTTATTGGCATCAAGAACTTGTGAGATAAATAGTTGTGTTTCCTGTTAGTAGAAAATTAATGCACACCCTCTGTGGAAAACAGCAAGGTGGCTCCTTAAAAAGTTAAGTACAGAATTCCATATGACTTGGCAATTCTACTCCTAGGTATCTACCCAAGAGAGAAATGAAAACATATGTCCACCCCAAAACTTGAACACATATGTTCATAGTAGCATGATTCACAACATCCAAAAGGTGAATGGGTAAACAAAAAAAAATCCATACAGTGAAATGAATTCAGCCCTAATGACCAACCTGGACAACATAGCAAGACCCCATCTCTACAAAAATAAAAATAAAAATTAGCTGGGCATGGTGGTGCGTGCCTGCAGTTCCAGCTACTCGGGAGGCTGAGGCAGGAGGAGAATCACTCGAGCCCAGGATTTCAAGGCTGTAATGAGTTATGGCTACACCACTGCACTCCAGCCTCTGGGTGACAGGGTAAGACCCTGTCTCAAAAAAAAAAAAAAAAAAAAAAGAATGAAACTGATTCCTACTACAACGTGAATGAACTTCAAAAACATTATGCTGAGTAAAAGAAAACAGACACAAAAAGATCACATTTTATGTGGTTCTCTTTCTATGATGTACCCAGAATAGGCAAATACATAGAGACAGAAAGCAGATTCGAGGTTACCAGCGGATGGGAGGAGGAGGGAAATGGGAAGTGATTACTCAATGGGTACAGAGTTTTTTTATGAGGTGACTAAAAATTTTGAAACTGGAAAATGCTGGTGGTTGCCCAACATGGTGAATACACTAAATACCACTGATTGTTCACTTGTAAATGGTTAATTATATGTTACATGAATTTCACCTCCATTTTAAAAAGATGATATAAAAGCAAGCTACAATTATATGTCTATATATCATCATGTTCTCTATAAAGCATGTTTATCTACTTTCTCTCATTAAAATTTCCTAGTCCAAAGGCCCATAAGATGATGGGGAAACTGAAGCTCCAACAGGAGCTGGGCCCTCCTCCAGGCTCAAGGGCTGTGCAGCTCCAAGCTCAGAACAGCAAGCCACTCCCAGGTGTGGCCCCAGGAGGTCCTGATCCAGGGTGGTGTCTGTGACTGGAGCCTGATCTGTGTAATTCCAGGTGGGGGCACCCTGGGGCCAAGAGGCCTCACTCCAGGCTGACTCACAGCACCACCCTTTTTTCCATCCTGGAGTTCCCTATCTGGCTTCTCTGATGGGGTACACAGAATATCCCCTCCCTCCACTGGATGAGGGGAGGGCAAGAGGCTTAAGCATCTACTACATGACAGCCCCTGCTGGGGCACTACTCCTCGGTCTGTTTGGAGTCTCAGAACCAGGCAGGATGGTGCTCAGGAAACTGATGCTCTGAGGGGGAGGAGAAGGGAGGAGGAAGGAGAAAAAAGAGAGACCAGGCGCTGTAGCTCACGCCTGTAATCCCAGCACTTTGAGAGGCCAAGGCAGGAGAATCACTTAAGGTCAGGAGTTCAAGACCAGCCTGGCCAATATGGTGCAGCCCCGTCTCTACTGAAAAAAAAAAATACAAAAATTAGCCAGGTGTGGTGGTGCACACTTGTAGTCTCAGCTACTCGGGAGGCTGAGACAGGAGAATCACTTGAACTCGGGAGGCAGAGGTTGCAGTGAGCTGAGATCATGCCACTGCACTCCAGCCTGGGTGACAGAGTGAGACTCTGTCTAAAAAGAAGAGGAAGAAAAAGAAGAAGGTGGAGGAGGAGGAGGGGGATGGGGAGGAGAAGAAGGAGAAGGAGGAGAAGGAGAAGAAGAAAGAAGTAGAAGGAGGAGGAGAGAAAGAAGAAGAGAAGGGAGGAGGGGGAAAGAGGAGTAGAGAGAGAAGTAGAAGGAGGAGGAGAAGAGGGAGGAAGAAGAAAGGAAAGGAGGAAAAGAGAAAGAAAAACATATATTAAAAAGGCAGAAGAGAAACCCTTACTAATGCCTATCCATATTATTTTTTTTTTAATTTTTTTAGAGACAGAATCTCACTCTGTTGCCCATGCTGGATGCAATGGCACAATCATAGCTCTCTGCAGCCTCAACCTCTTGGACTCAAGCAATCCTCCTACCTCAGCCTCCTAAGTAGCTGGGACTATAGGCACGCACCACCACACCTGGCTAATTTTTTAAATTTTTTGTAAAGATAGAGTCTTGCTCTGTTGCCCAGGCTGGTCTTGAACTCCTGGGCTCAAGTGATCCTCCTGCCGTGGCCTCCCAAAGTGCTGAGACTGCAGGCATGAGTCACTGCACGTGGCCTCTTATCCACATTATATTATTCAGGCTTCACAACTGCACCCATTTTACAGATCAAAACCTGAGATCCAGAGAGGCTAGATAAATGGCTGGGGTCTCACAGCAAGCATGTGCCAAGGCCAGAATTTGAAGCCAACCCACCTCAGTCCTGGCCCAGGGCTCTTCCCACAAGTTGGTATTCATCCCTCAGAAGAGTCAATTCTCCCTCCCAAGGTCTAGGTTTTCCCCTTAGTTCAACAGGGATCGTCATCCCTTCACAAATGTAATAACGGGAGACAACAAGGCATTGAGAGGGAATAGCTGTGGAAGGGGAAGATGGCAGCTTCTTTCACAGCTCCTGGGTGGCAGCCCTGGAGATGGTCCCCAGATGCGTGTTTGTAGAGGCAAAGCTGGGACAGAGATCCTAAAATTCCTGGAATCTCCCACTTTTTTTTTTTTTTTAAGAGACTAAGCCTTGCTCTGTCACCCAGGCTGGAGTACAGCAGTGGTGCAATCATAGCTCACTGCAGCCTCCATCTGCTGGGCTCAAGCAATCCTCTCACCTCAGCCTCCTGAGTAGCTGGGACTGCAGGCATGCACCACAACACCCAGCTAATATTTTTAAATGCTTTTGTACAGATGGGGTCTTGCTAGATTACCCAGGCTGGTCTTAAACTCCTGAGCTCAAGTGATCCTCCCATCTCAGCCACCCAAGTAGCCGAGACTACAGGTGCACATCACTGCCACTGGGTAATTATTTATTTTTTTCGAGAGACAGGGTCTTGCTGTGTTGCCCAGGCTAGTCTCAAACTCCTGGCCTCAAGCAACCCTCCTGCCTCAGCTTCCCAAAGTGTTGGGATTACAGATGTGAACCACCATGCCTGACCTACTGGAGCTCATTGGTTCATTTGAGAGTGAGTTCTCTCAGATGTCCCGATACCTCTGGAGGTGCCCAGGTAATATGGTTTGGCTGTGTCCCATCTAAATTTCATTTTGAATTATAATTCCGATAATCCCTATGTGTCATGCGAGGGATCCGGTGGGGGGTAATTGAATCATGGGGGCGGTTACCCCCATGTTGCTGTTCCCATGATAGTGAATGAGTTCTCACGAGATTTAACGAATTTCCCCCTTTTACTTGGCACTTCTCCTTCCTGCTGCCATGTGAAGAAGGACGTGTTTGCTTCCCCTTCCGCCATGATTGTAAGTTTTCTGAGGCCTCCCCAGCCCTGCGGAACTGTGAGTCAATTAAACCTCTTTCCTTTATAAATTACCCAGTCTAGGGTAGTCCTTCATAGCAGCGTGAGAACTGACTAATACACCAGGTACACAAGGCCACACTGAGGATCCAGAGTCCCGCTCATGAGGAAGATAGAGCTGGACACAGACATACCCAGGTCCAAAGGGTTAGGACTGAGAATAGGTCTGTCTGGGAAGCCAGGGAAAGATTCCTGGAGGAGGCGGCCATTGGAGCTGGGTGTTGAAGGCTGAGCAAGAGCTTGCCAAGCAGACTTGGAAGTCTCACATCTTGGGATAGGTGTGGACTGCACGAGGAAGAAGGAATTCTTCCACATCTCCCTCCCTGCCAGTCAGAGTCAGCCCAAGTGATGACAGCAGGCTGCAGGCTGAGTCACCAAGAGTCCTGGCCATAATGGGAATGTCAGAACCAAATGATGGGCGTGCCACGGCCAGGGATTGAGTAACACTTACTTAACAAAACCATAAGGAACAACTGCCTATCCAAACGTGCCTGGCTCTGACTGCCAGATGGATGGACATTCCCTCGAAGTTTCTGGAACTCTTAGTCATTGCCACATCTTTGCCCATACTGTTCTCACAATCTGGATTGCCATGCTTGCTTTGCCAAACTCTTATTCATCCTTCAAAGCCCTATTCAAATGACCCTTCCTCTGGATATCCCACCTGCCTAGAATCTCAGATAGGCTCTGGGAGTTGAGGACTCAACCATAGATCGGAGGCCCAGCCCACGTACCTGAGGCTCCCAAAAGGGGTTTGATGTAATCAGGGTGCACCAGAACCAACAGCGGCAGGACAGGTCCCATCCATACCAAGAGTACATGGTGCATGTTGTCCAGTACCTTCTTCTCATCTTGAAGGCCCGCCTCATTTGGAAGGTACTGCAAGAGGTAAGGGAGGAGCAATGAGGAGGTACCCAGCCCCAGCTTCCCCCACTGCCTTCCTCCTGCCACCTCCTGTAGTCTCAAAACAAGCCCAATAGTGCTACATTATGATTTCAGGCAGTTGGCTGCACCTCCCTGGGCCTCCATTTCCTCATCTGAAAAAATGGAGGAGAATCAACTCTCCCTCTGAGGGCAGTAGAAAGGATTCATGAAATAACAAAGCAAGAGCCCCAGCATGGGCCTGACCCATGGCTGATGTTCAATAGCTAAAAATAGTAGCCAAGTGTAGTGGCTCACATCTGTAATCCCAGCACTTCAGGAGGCCAAGGCAAGCAGATCACCTGAGGTCAGGAGTTCGAGACCAGGCTGGACAACATGGTGAAAGGCCATCTCTACTAAAAATACAAAAATTAGCTGGGCTTGGTGGTGGGCGCCTGTAATCCCAGCTACTCAGGAGACTGAGACAGGAGAATCGCTTGAACCCAGGAGGCAGAGGTTGCAGTGAGCCGAGATCATGCCATTGCACTCCAGCCTGGACGACAAGAGCAAAACTCCACCTCAAAAAAAAAAAATAAAATAAAATAAGAAGATAAAATTAGCCAGGCTTGGTGGGACATGCCTGTAGTCACAGCTACTCATGAGGCTGAGGCAGGAGGACCACCTGAGCTTGGGATGTCAAGGCTGCAGTGAGCTATGATCACCCCACTGCACTCCAACCTGGGTGACAGAGCAAGACCCTGTCTCTTAAAAAATAAAAATAAAAATAGTAATGATAAACACAATAATGATCATGGTTGGCATTTATCAAGTACTTGCTATGTGAGTAATAAGATATTACTACTGTTGCTATCTTTACCACATACAGGTGCCTGCACTGTGTTGGTCACTGTGGTGGAGACTTTTCATGTACTGGCATATTTGATCAGTACAAGAACCCTATGAGACCGTTGCTATTATTTTCCTCATTTTATTTTGTTCAGCAAGGTCGAATGGTTTTTCTGAAGTTGCAAGTTAAGTAGGTGACTGTTCTGGTTGAGGCTCCCCCAGAAGGAAGTCCTGAGACAAGGGTTCTAGGGCAGGTAGTTTATTTGGGGCATGATCCCCAAAAACATGGGTCATGAGATAGGGGAAGAAGACCACCAGTAAAGGATGAGTTGTCAAGGAAATTACCACCAAGGGCAACCAGGGCTCGGTCCCACTGGGGAGCTTTGGAGGGCAGAGTAGCGCATTGCACCTCAGAGTCACTCCACCTGAGGGCAAGGGAGCTGAGGTATTTATACACCAATGCCCATCAGTCATTGGTTGAGGGTCACTCCTGGGGGCGTTAATTCCCAAGCTCACAGAAGCGACAGTGGCAGGACAGGCACTGGGACTCTAGGTATGCACCACCAAGCCTGGCTAATTTTTAATTTTTTTGTAAAAACTGGGTCTTGCTATGTTGCCCAAGCTGGTCTCAAACTCCCGGGCTCAAGCAATTCTCCTGCCTTGGCCTCCCAACGTGCTGGGATTGCAGGTGTGAGCCACTGTGCCCAGCCTTTATTTCACTTGCAGAGTGGGCTCCAGCCACCAGAGACAGCCCCTAGAATGCAGGAGCTGGCAGCTGGACGTCAGGCCACTGCATCCAAAAATGGGTTGAGAGGAATATGGGCAAGCTTTGGCATCATCTGCAAAGCTAGTACCTGAACCCAGGCCACCTAGCTACAAAACTGCACTTCCTCACCTGCTGTATGAGGCAGGAAAGCTTCAGGCTCAACGTCAGAAAAATCCAAGTTCAAACCCACCCTCAGCGGCTGTGTGACTTTGAGCAAGCCACTTAACCTCTCTGTGCTCAAATCCATAAAAGTGTGAATCCATGAAATAGGACAGATCCATCCCCACTTCACAGGCTATGAGAATTAGAGAAGAGCTCAGCTACAAAGGAGCCTAACCCAGTGCCTAGCCAGTGATAAGGCTCAGCAATTGCCAAATGATTCAACCAACAAATGACTCCTTTCCAGCTCCTGTGTCTCCTTCCCCGTCAGGCTCAGCCTTGATCATGTCCACACCCAGGGCTCAATTGCAGCCTCACCCAGCCCCCGTGGGCCCAGGAGCTGGGCAGGACAACGTCAAGGCTGGGCTTTAGAGCTGACCCTGGCCAACTCCTCCAGGCACTAGAGCCTGGCCACTCCCTCTAGGACAACCATCAAACCCAGAGAGGGCTTTCTAGAGTAAGGGCACTGGAGATGGGGCATGAAAAATGAGCAGAAGTTGATCTAGCAGAGAAGGATACCTGGACAGAGAGTACAGTTTTGGGAAAGGCCTTGGAGGTGGGAGCCTTGTTACAGGAGTGGGAAGTGATTCTATGGAGCTAGGGAGGGATGGTGGAACAAGTGAGGAGGATGGAGGTTGGAGCCAAAAGGGCCTTGAACACCAGCCTTTTTCTGAATGGCAATAGGGAGCCATGGAGGGTGTGTAAGCAGGGGCAGGGATGTGGTTGAATCCAAGAATCCCTCTGGGGCCAGGATGGGAGACGGACCGAAGGGATGAAACTGGAGGTAGGAACTCAAGGAGGGGGCTGGACCATGGACCAGCAGTAGAGGGTAAGGCCTGAGCAGGGGTAAGGGATGGAAGAAATGAAGGAGAAAAGTCCAAAAGGGAAAGTCCAGCCTATCTCATCCAGAAAGTAGAGGCATCAGAGAGTAGAACTAAAAACAGGGAGGCTGAGCACGGTGGTTCACTTGAGGTCAGGGGTTTGAGATCAGTCTGGCCAACACGGTGAAACCCTGTCCCTACTAAAAGTACAAAAATTAGCCAGGCGTGGGGGCATGCACTTGCAGGCTTGCAGTCGCAGCTACTTGGGAGGCTGAGGCAGGAGGATCCCTTGAGCCCAGGAGGTAGAGGCTGCAGTGAGCCATGATTGTACCACTGCACTCTAGCCTAGGTAGCAGAGAAAGACTGTCTCGAAAAAAAAAAAAAAAAGGAAAAGTCTAGCCTATCTCATCTAGAAACTAACTACAGAAACTAGAGGCATCAGAGGGTAGAACTGAGATCAAGGAGGCTAGAGCTTGACAGGCTGGGTTTGAACCCCAGCTCTGCCACTTACAAGCTGTGTGACCTAAGGTCAGCTACTTAACCTCTCTGTGCCTCAGTAATCTTCCACGCAAAATGGGGCTAGTCATGGGACCTACTTCCTAGAATTGTCAAGAGAACTGAATGAGTTAATATTTGCCTGGAAAAATACTTGGCACATATCTGCAAAATTAAAAAGGACTCAGCAGGCTGAGGCCAAAGGATTGCTTGAGCTTAGGAGTTCAAGATCAGCCTAGGCAACATAGCGAGACCCTGTCTCAAAAAGAAAAAAATTCAATGCAATAAAAGGGTAAGAGTCCTCACCTAGGACCACAGCATTCAAGGGAGAAGAGTGGAACCACATTGGGAATAGGATGTGTTCCCCTCTCCTCCTCCAACCCTGCCCTGGGATTCCAAACTCCAAAGGTAAAGGTACCTATTGTACAGTGATAGCTATAAAATTATAGAGAGAGTTCTTTTTTTTTTCCTTAGAGAGACAGGGTCTCCCTAGGTCACCCAGGCTAGAATGCGGTGGCACAATCATAGCTCACTGCAGCCTCAAACTCCCAGGCTCAAACAATCCTCGCGCCTCAGCCTCCCAAGTAGCTGGGATTACAGGTGTGTGCCACTGCACTCAGCTAATTTTTGTAATTTTTCTTATAGAGATGGGGTCTCACTGTGTTTCCCAGGCTGGTCTCGAACTCCTAAGCTCAAGTAATCCTCCTACCTCAGCCTCCCAAGTGGCTGAGACTACAAGTGTGCACCACCACACCCATATAATTTTTGAATTTTTTGTAGAGAGGGGGTCTCACTATGTTTCCCAAGCTGGTCTCAAACTCCTGGCCTCAAGCAATCCTCTCACCTCAGCCTCCCAAAATAATTCATCTTTAAAGTTAGTTCTGCCTCCTCCCACCTGTGTGACCTTGGGTAAACTGCTTGCCCTCTCTGAGCCTCAGCCTCATACCCCATCATATAAATCTGCTGCTAGCCCCAACCAGATTCTTGGGAGGCTGTGGGAAGCCAGCAGGCCCACCATCCCTACCTATTACCCTGCACATGCCCAGCCCAGCCCAGCCCAGTCCTGCCTGGCCACACTTACCATGCCCAGGTGGCCCAGCAGCCAGTTGCGCCGGGGAGGCTGGGGGAAGCAGCGCAGCCGGCGGCAGGTGATGTAGAAGCTCCTGCAGAGCCTCAGGAACCGCAGCAGCAGGCGGAACAGGAAGAAGAGCAGGAAGAGGAGAAGGGTGGACACCGCGTATATGCGGAACGCCGTCTTCTCCAGCCCCAGGAGGTGCAGCAGGCGGTCTGTGATGGGCAGCATCCTGGGGACACACAGGGTCAGGGGGTCGGTGCCATGCACAAGACGATGACCCATGGGGTAATGCATGGTGTGCCTAGTGCACAGAAGGTTCCCAGCACACGTGAGTTCCAGACACCAAGGATACCTCTTCATCCCCCAGCCATGATCTCCAACCAGCTGGACAGATGGATGCACTCGGGGCCCTGCTCGTATGCTCTCAGCCTTGACTTTTACAAGGCCACCCTCTTGACTTCTCTACCATAGGGCATTCTCTGCCCAGGCATAGCCGGTCAGGCTGGGAAACCAAGACACCCCTCCCAAAGGAGCAGCTCTCAACCAATGACTGAGGCTCATTGGTGGATAAATACCCCAGCTCCCTCACCCCTTGGGTGCAATGACCCTGAGATATAGGTTCCACACTCACTCTAGGCTTCCCCAATGAGATTAAACTCCAGCTGCCCACAGTGGAAACTCCCTATTGGCCACGTCCTTTCCCCCTCTTTCTTTTTCTTTTTCTTCTTTTTCAGTTGAGATGAGATTCGCATAACACAAAATTAATTATTTTAAAGGGAATAATTCAGTGGCATTGAGTACATTTACATATAATGCAACTACCACCTCCATCTAGTTTCAGGACTTCTTTCTTTCTCTCTCTCTTTCTTTCTTTCTTTCTTTCTCTCTCTCTCTCCTTCTTTCTTTCTTTCTTTTTGAAAGAAGGTCTCCTCTGTCACCCAGCTGGAGTGCAGTGGCATGATCACGGCTCACTGCAGCTTTAACCTCCCCAGCTCAAGCAATCCTCCCACCTCAGTTTCCCAAGTAGCTGGGACTACAGGTGCATGCCACCAGGCCCAGCTAATTTTTGTATTTTTTTGTAGAGACAGGATTTTGCCATGTTGCCCAGGCTGGTCTCGAACTCCTGGGCTCAAGCGATCCTCCCGCCTTGGCCTCCCAAAGTGCTGGGATTACACGCATGAGCTACCTCACCCAGCTAGTTTCAGAACATTTTCATTATGCCAAAACAAAACCCCATCCCTGTTAGTAGCCACTTCCCATTCTCCCTCCCTGGAGCCCCTGGCACCACTAATCTGCTTTCTGTCTCTATGGATTTAAGTATTCTGGATATTTCATATAAATCTATTAAATGCTATGCAGCCTTTTGTGTCTGGCTTCCTTCACTCGGCATCCTGTTTTTGAGGTTCATCCACATTGTAGCATCAATCAGAGCTTAATTCCTTGTACTGCTGAGTAATATTCCATTGTATGGATATTCCACATTTCCTTTTTTTTTTTTTTCTTTTGAGACAGGGTCTGGTTCTGTCACTCAGGCTGGAGTGCAGTGGCATGATCACGACTCGCTCCAGCCTTGACCTCCCAGCCTCATGTGATCCTCCTGTCTCAGCCTCCTGGGTAGCTGGGACTACAGGTGCATGCCACCACACCTGGCCCCACATTTTCTTTATTCATTCATCTGTGGACAGACATTTGGGCTGTTTCTACATTTTGGCTATTATGAAATATGCTACTCTGAACATGTGTGTACATGTATTTATCTGAGTACCTGTTTTCAATTCTTTTGGGTTCACTGTCTTCTTCCTTGCTGGTATTTTCTGTTATTACTTCCCAAAAAAATTACTTGCACTCAGGTCCTTGCTTTAGGGCCAGCTCCTAAGGAACCAAAACAAAGCAGTCAGGTAACCATAATGTTAATAAAACAGTGAGCAGGCAGGAAGGGCTTGTCATCTGCCGTGCACCACCATGCTCCGGGCAGTACCAGCCTCATCTCAGAGAATCTGATATGGTTTGGATCTGTGTCCCCACCCAAACCTCATGTTGAACTGGAATCCCCAGTGTTGGAGATGGGGTCTAGTGGAAGGTGATTGGATCACGGGGCTGGTTTCTCATGAATGGTTAACACCATCCCCTTGGCGCTGTCTTCCAGATAGTGAGTGAGTGAGTTCTCATGGGATCTTGTTGTGAGTTTTTTTGTTTTTTGTTTGGAGACAGAGTCTTGCTCTTGTTGCCCAGGCTGAAGTGCATTGGTGCGATCTCAGCTCACTGCAGCCTCTGCCTCCTGGGTTCAAGCGATTCTCCCACCTCAGCTTCCCAAGTAGCTGGGGTTACAGGCACCTGCCACCATATCCAGCTAATTATTTTTTGTGTATTTTAATAGAGACGGGGTTTCACCATGTTGGCCAGGCTGGTCTTGAACTCCTGACCTCAAGTGATCCGCCCACCTCAGCCTCCCAAAGTGCTGGGATTACAGGCATGAGCCACCACACCACGCCTCACTTAGGTCTTCTGCCAGCCAACGCCAAACCACATTTTCCATGCAGAAGTGAAATTTGTTGGCCGGGTGCAGTGGCTCACACCTGTAATCCCAACATTTCGGGAGGCCGAGGTGGGCAGATCACTTGAGTTCAGGAGTTCAAGACCAGCCTGGACAACATGGTGAAACCCCATCTCTACTAAAAATACAAAAATCAGCCGGGCGTGGTGGCGTGCGCCTATAATCCCAGCTACTCGGGAGGCTGAGGCAGGAGAATAGCTGGAACCTGGGAGGCGGAGGTTGAAGTGAGCTGAGATCGTGCCACTGCACTCCAGCCTGGGCGATAGAGTGAGACTCCGTCTCGAAACAAAATAAAAATAATAAAAATAAAGAAGTGAAATTTCTTTTTGAGACAGGGTCTCACTCTATCACGCAGGCTAAATAGTGACCCTAAAGAGTACTATCACGGCTCAATGCAGCCTCAACCTCCCAGGCTGAAGCAATCCTCCCACCTCAGCCTCCAGAGTAGCTGGGACTATAGGTGCACACCATCATGCCCAGCTAATTTTTTCTATTTTCTGTAGAGACAGAGTCTCATGACGTTACCCAGGCTGATCTCAAATTCCTAGGCTCAAGCAATCCTCCCACCTCTGCCTCCCAAGTGCTGAGATTTACAGGTGTGAGCCACCTCGCCCAGCTGCAGAAGTGAAATTTTTATTAGTTAACACTTCCTGGGAAAACAGCTGGGTGGGTCATCATCAGATTTGGAGATCCCAATTGGGATGGATATTATGACTTAAAATACAGACTACATGACCAGTCTTAAGATGGTTGCAACTGAAACAAAAAAACAGAAAATAAGTGTGGTTGAGGATGTGAACAAATTGGAACTGTTGTGCACTGGGGAAAACCATATGGTGTTTCCTTTTTTTTTTTTTTTTTTTCTGAGACAAAGTTTCGCTTTTGTTGCCCAGGCTGGAGTGCAGTGGCACAGTCTCAGCTCACTGCAACCTCCGCCTCCTGGGTTCAAGCAATTCTCATGCCTCAGCCTACCGAGTAGCTTGGATTATAGGCACCCGCCACCATGCTGGGCTAATTTTTGTATTTTTAGCAGAGACAGAGTTTCACCATGCTGGCCAGGCTGGTCTCGAACTCCTCACCTCAGGCCATCCACCCACCTCCACCTCCCAAAGTGCTAGGATTACAGGCGTGAGCCACCACGCCCGGCCACTGGTGGTTCCTTTTAAGATTAAACAAGCTGAGCATGGTGGTGCATGTCTGTGATCCCAGCTACTCTAGAGGCTGAGATGGGAAGATTGCTTGAGCCCAGTTGTTCGAGGCTGCAGTGAGCTATGATCGTGCGACTGCACCCCAGCCTGGGTGACATAGGGAGATCCTGTATCTTAAAAAAAATTAAAATTAAACATAGAATTACCCTATAATCCATCCATTCTACTTCTGGGGATATACCCCCAAAGAATTGAAAGCAGTGTCTCGAAGAGATATTTGCACACTCATGTTCAGAGCAGCACAAGTCATAATCACTAAAACGTGGAAGTAGGCTGGGCGGGGTGGCTCATGCCTGTACTCCCAGCACTTTGGGAGGCTGAGGGGGCAGCTCACCTGAGGTCAAGAGTTCGAGGCCAGCCTGGCCAACATGGCGAAACCCCGTCTCTACTAAAAATACAAAAAATTAGCCAGGTGTGGTGGCAGGTACCTGTAATCACAGCTAATGGGGAGGCTGAGGCCCAGGAATCGCTTGAACCTGGGAGGCGGAGGTTGCAGTGAGCTGAGATCGAACCACTGCACTCCAGCCTGGGTGACAGAGCGAGACTCCGTCTCAAAAAAAAAAAAAAAAAAGGTGGAAGTAACCCAAGTACCCACCAACAAATGAATGTATAAACAAAATAGGGTCCATCCACATAATGGAATACTATTCGGCCTTCAAAAGCAAGGACATTCTGACACATGCTACACCAGGGTTGAACCTTGAGGGCATCCTGTTCAGTGAAATAAGCCAATCACAGCTGGACGTGGTGGCTCACACTTGTAATCCCAGCACTTTGGGAGGCCAAGGCAGGCAGATCATGAGGTCAGGAAATCGAAACCATGCTGGTTAACATGGTGAAACCCCGTCTCTACTAAAAATACAAAAAATTAGTCAGGTGTGGTGGCGGGCACCTGTAATCCCAGCTACTCAGGAGGCTGAGGCAGGAGAATTGCTCGAACCCAGGAGGCGGAGGTTGCAGTGAGCCGAGATCGTGCCACTGCACTCCAGCCTGGCGACAGAGCGAGACTCTGTCTCAAAAAAAAAAAACAAAAAAACAAAACAAAATATTAGCAGGGCATGGCAGCATTCGCCTGTAGTACCCGCTACTCGGGAGGCTGAGGCAGGAAAATCGCTTGAACTTGGGAGGCGGAGGTTGCAGTGAGCCGAGATCGTGCCACTGCACTCCAGCCTGGGTGACAGAGCGAGATTCCATCTCAAAAAAATAAAAATGAAAAAAGAAGTGTGTGCACTGAGGCTCTGTGTGTGGTCCGTATGGAAAGCCTGGTACCCCTGTGAGTGAAGTATTGCCTCCATTCATTGTTTACGCTGGAGTTTTTCTCCTCATGGAATGCAAGTAAAACTTAGTGTTTGTCACCAATAAATGGTGACAAGAGCAAAACTCCGTCTCAAAAAAAAAAACAGCAAAAAAAGGGAAAGAGACTTTCTTTTTTTAGTTTTTGTTTTTTTTTTTTTTTTGAGATGGAGGCTTGCTCTGTCGCCCAGGCTGGAGTACAGTGGCGCGATCTCAGCTCACTGCAAGCTCCTCCTCCCGGGTTCATGCCATTCTCCTGCCTCAGCCTCCTGAGTAGCTGGGACTATAGGCGCCCACCACCACGCCCAGCTAATTTTTTTTGTATTTTTAGTAGAGACGGGGTTTCACCGTGTTAACCAGGATGGTCTCGATCTGCTGACTTCGTGATCTGCTCGCCTCGGCCTCCCAAAGTGCTGGGATTACAGGCTTGAGCCACCACGCCGGGCTGAGACTTTCTTTTTAAATGCATGCATGTACTTGTGCACGCGCACACACACACAGACACAAACATACACGATGAACATCTGGATTCTATGTCTGCCTCCTCACCAATTGGCTATGTGGCCTGGTCCTCAGTTTCCCTGTTTGTACCTCGGGGTGACTATAAAAAGATGATCTCTGGGTCCACACCAGTGTGACCTTTTCGTCTGCAGCCCGGTCAGTGGGTGTGGGGTGGGTGTTACCATCTTGGCAGGCCCAAAAGTGCTGAGAGGGAGTCAACATATTCAGCCAACAGGGGTCACATGAATCATCACATCCACCCCCAGGAGCCACCTGGCTGCAGTTCAGTCCCATTCCAGCCACCACAATCCCCTTTCTAACAGCCTGTGACTCCTATGCTCTAACACCCTGCATGGCTCCCTACTCCCCTCAGCCTGGCATCCAAAGCCCTTCAGGAACTCACTCCTGCCCATCCTCCACTTCAGCCTCAAAAAGTCCCCTCCTCTGGCTGAGCACAGTGGCTCACATCTGTAATCCCAGCACTTTGGAAGGCCAAGGCGGGTGGATCACTTGAGGTCAGGAGTTCGAGACCAGCCTGGCCAACACGGCAAAACCCCATCTCTACTAAAAATACAAAAATTAACCAGGCATGGTGGCGGGCGCCTGTAGTCCCAGCTACTCGGGAGGCTGAGGCAGGAGAATCGCTTGAGCGTGGGAGGCAGAGGTTGCAGTGAGCTGAGGTCGCATCATTGCACTCCAGCCTGGGTGACAGAGTGAGACTCTGTCTCAAAAAAAAAAAAAAAAATCCCATTCTCAGTCTGCTTTGAGCCCGTCTTTCTTCACCCGGTTTGTAAATGTTGGGGCTTCTAAGAGCCACGTTGTCCCCCCTTTCCTCTGTGCCCACATCCTGAGGATCTCACCCCTCCCGTGGTTTCAGAAATCCTATCTCAAAGGCAATTCCCATGTCTCAGTGTCCAGCACTGCCAGGTCCAGCCAGCTCCTGAACATCCCCCTGGGGGCATCTCCTAGACTCTCAGATTCACCTCACCCTCTTCCTCCCCCTTTCAGCCACATCCAATCTGTTGCCGGGTCCTGCTAGTTGTCCATCCTAAACATCTTCAGAATCCATTCATCATTCTCCATCCCCATCATCCCAACCCACAGCAGGCCAGCACTGCAGTGGCCCGTTCCCACTGGTCCCCTGAGTTCCATCCTTTCTCCCTGCAAGAAGTCCATTCTGCACACACAGCCAGAGGGATCTTCCTCAAATTAAATCAGATCATGAACCTTCCCTGCTCAAAATTCTCCCATGGCTCCCCACTTTGCTCTAAATGAAATTTAGACTCTTTTGTTTTCACGGTTTTTCTTTTTTTTTTTTTTCTGTGTTTTGTTTTGTTTCTTTTTTTTTTTTTTTTTTTTTTGAGACAAAGTCTCATTCTGTCGCCAGACTGGAGTGCAGTGGCGCGATCTCGGCTCACTGCAAACTCCGCTCCCCGGGTTCACACTATTCTCCTGCCTCAGCCTCCTGAGTAGCTGGGATTACAGGCGCCTGCCACCACGCCCAGGTAATTTTTTTTTTTTTTTGTATTTTTGGTAGAGATGGGGTTTCACCGTGTTAGCCAGGATGGTCTCGATCTCCTGACCTCGTGTTCCGCCCGCCTCGGCCTCCCAAAGTGCTGGGATTACAGGCGTGAGCCACCGTGCCCGGCCTTTTATCACGGTTTTTCTTTTAGAGGCAGGGTCTTGCTGTGTCACCCAGGCAGAAGTGCAGTGGTGCAATCATAGCTCACTGCAGCCACAAACTCTTGAGCTCCAGAGATCCTCCTACCTCAGCTTCCCCAGTAGCTGGGACTACAGGCATGCACCACCATGCCCAGCTAATTTTTAAATTCTTGGTAGAGATGGGGTCTGGCTATGTTGTCCAGGCTGGTCTTGAACTCCTGGTCTCAGACAATCCTCCCACCTCAGCTTTCCAAAGTGCTGGGATTCTAGGCATGAGTCACCTCATCCAGCTAAATTTAGACTTTTTGTCATGGACCACAACAACCTACATGGCTTACCCCTGTTGATGCCTCTAGCCCTGTCTCCCACCACCCTCCTCCTCACTTGCTCACCTCAGGCTGCTCCAGGCCACTCCTTCCACAGGCCAAGCAACTTCCCGTCTCAGAGCCTTTGCACATTCTGTTCCCTCCATCCACATTCCTTTCCTCAGCTGTGCCCACACCAGCTCCTCATCCTCCAACCCCAGCTCTGCCCTGATGGTCCACTCCTTTGCACCACAATCAGCCACCTCCCCTAGATCACTCTCCAAAGAATCATTGAGTGCCTGTTATGTGTGATGATTTTCACTATCATTCACTCCATCTTCCCAGTAAGCCTTAAAGAGAGCTGGAAGACTTCTGAGTGAAATCACAGCTAGAGCCCCCAACTCGCACCCAGGAAAATCCCAGCTGAAATCTCAACAAAGGAAATGTCTTCTGGAATGAATGAAATGGGAAAGAATTGGGATAAGAGAAGGTGCCAGCCCTAGAGAGGGATCCCTGCTCCAGGTGGCTGGGTACATGGGGAGATGGGTGCTTGGGGAGGGTGAGAGAGGGGAGTTGTGGAGCCCTGTGTCCGCTTCACCTCCCCGTCCCCCTACCAGACATGGGCTGAAGTCCTTCCCAGGACAAACAACCCCTGGCTCTGCCCCCAGGCAGGACCACATGTTGTGAGTCCCCAGTTGGGACACTCTCTGGAAGCCTCCAGTTTCTCCACTACAAAATGGGAATCATGACAAGAGGTCCACCAGATGCCCATGGGAAGACCACCATGAAAGGTACATTGGGGAAGTCCTATACTTTCCACAGCTGGGGTCCTCCTGTCCCTCAAACAAGAACACTTCTGTCTGGCACCCACAAAAAAAAATAGTGCAGCCACTGTGGGGAAACCCTAGAATTATCATTTGAGGTCGGGCACGGTGGCTCACACTTGTAATCCCAGCACTTTGGGAGGCTGAGGTGGGCGGATTGCCTGAGGTCAGGAGTTCAAGACCAGCCTGGCCAACATGGCAAAACCCCTTCTCTACTGATAATACAAAAAATCAGCCATGCGTGCCTGTAATCCCAGTTGCTTGGGAGGCTGAGGCAGGAGAATCGCTTGAACCAGGTAGTCAGAGGTTGCAGTGAGCCAAGATCGTGCCACTGCACTCCAGCCTGGCAACAGACTCCGTCTCAAAAAAAAAAAAAAAAAAAGAATAACATCTCTTCAGGCCACGTACCCCATGGACCTCTCATGAGATCCTCTGAGCAAGTGGACTATCTTTCCAGAGTCCAGGGATTCCAGGTTGAATACAAAGACTTCCCCAAAAACAACAAGAATGAATTTGTATCTCTTATCCATTGCTCCTCTCAGCCGCCTCTGATCAGCCATAGTGTTATAAGTAAAATGTTTATTCAGAAATAGAATGCTTGTTCCTCGGTACTGCAAGTAAAAATCAGCATTCAGATAATAAGTTTTCTCAGCAAGGCAATTTTACTTTCTGCATAAAGGGTGCTCCTTGCAGATGGAATAATGGCGAGAGCACACCTGAACAAAGGAGGGAAGCAATTTTTATCCCTTATGCAGTTTGTCCTTGCTACTGTGTCCTGTCTCCATTGGCTGAAGCAAGACCTCACAATCTAAATTAAACCTGACTGGCTAATAATTTAAAACTTTCCTAAATAGGTAAAGGCAATAGAGAGCAAAGGAAAAGAGGAAGTTGCTTACAAAAGGACTTAGAAAAGCAATAATATTTCCAAATAAGGAAAGGGCATGGGCTGCGAGCTGGGACATGCCTGTGAGCACATCCAGCACAGATATCTTGGTTAAAGTACAAGGACGTAGAATGTACTATGTGCCTGTGAGCATGTCTAGTACAAATATCTTGGTTAAAGTACAAAGACATAGAATGTACTTATTCTCTTATATCTAACACATAGTATTGGCAAGGATGTTGAGTCCTGCTATGATATGGCTGCACTAAACATCTTTTTCTTTTTCTTTTTTATTTTTCAAGACCGAGTCTCGACCGGGCGCGGTGACTCATGCCTGTAATCCCAGCACTTTGGGAGGCTGAGGCGGGCAGATCACGAGGTCAGGAGATCAAGACCATCCTGGCTAACATGGTGAAACCCCATCTCTACTAAAAATACAAAAAATTAGCCGGACGTGGTGGCGGGCGCCTGTAGTCCCAGCTACTCAGGAGGCTGAGGCAGGAGAATGGCGTGAACCCAGGAGGCAGAGCTTGCAGTGAGCCGAGATCGCGCCACTGCCCTCCAGCCTGGGTGACAGGGCGAGACTCCATCTCAAAAGAAAATAAAAAAAAGACAGAGTCTCGCTCTGTTGCCCAGGCTGGAGTACAGTGGTGCTATCTCAGCTCACTGCAGCCTTTGCCTCCCGGGTTCCAGCAATTCTCCTGCCTCAGCCTCCTGGGTAGCTAAGATTACCGGCATGCGCCACCACACCTGGCTAATTTTTGTACTTTTTAGTAGAGACGGGGTGTCACCATATTGGCCAGGCTGGTCTTGAACTCCTGACCTCAGGCGAACCATCCACCTCGGCCTCCCAAAGTGCTGGGATTGCAAGCGTGAGCCACCGTGCCTGGCCAGCTGCACTGAACACCTTAAAGTTGCTGTCTGAGTTGGACCAACAAAGTACAGAGATGCCAAGAACAGGAAATGGATCAATGTCTGTGTGTGGGAGGTGCTGAACCTTTTCTGGCCATGAACCATTATAAAATCCCAACATATACACTGAAAATATTAAAACTGCTTTGAAAATTTGGAATTTCTGATACCTCTAGTGGGCCGAGAGACGGTGGGTAAAGGATGTGGGCAGCAGCAGGGAACACAACAGGGGAGGTGGCTGTGGCCGGGCTGGACTGTGCTGGGGTTTGTTGTGACGGCCACTCGGTGACCTGGCTGTCCCTACGCAATACCAGCTGCCTTTGGGGAAGAAGGGCTGCCCAGCCAGCTGGCTCTCCTGGGGCACCAGCAGATCCACGCCCTGGGCACCTTCCTGTTTGGTCTTTTTTTTCCCGTGTGAAAGAAGAAACTGAAAGCATGACCCCTTCTCAAGCTGGCTTAGTTGGGACAAACCCTGGACAGCCACACCAGAGAGAGGCCTTCAACCAGCCCCAGAGCTAAAAGCACCAGAGAAAGTCAAATGCTTCCTATTCAGCATGACCTAACTTCTAGTGTGCCACGGCCCCACCACTTCCTGCAGTGCCCACACCATCACCACTGCTTTCTCTTCCAACAGTGATCTGTATTCTTAGTTTCATTATTTCCTTTTTATTGGTATGACACTATATAAAATTTTCCTCCTTCCTGCCTTCCTTCCTTCTTTCTTTCTTTCTTTTTCTTTCTTTCTTTCTTTCAAGACAAAGTCTCACTCTGTCACCCAGGCTGGAGTGCAACGGCACAGTCTTGGCTCCCTGCAACTTCTGCCTCCCAGGTTCAAGCAATTGTCTGCCTCAGCCTCCCGAGTAGCTGGGCCACCACACCCAGCTAGTTTTTGTACTTTTAATAGAGACGGGGTTTCACCATCTTGGCCAGGCTGGTCTTGAACTCCTGACCTCGTGATCCACCCGCCTCGGCCTCCCAAAGTGCTGGGATTACTGGCATGAGCCACCGTGCCCGACGACACTATATAAAATTTTCATTTGAGAGTTTCTCAACTGTATCTAATTATATCGCACAGTTTGGAAACTTTTCTGAGACTGACTTTATCAATAATCTAACCGACAAAGATCATATCCACGTGTATGTAGTTAGACATTTTTATTTCATTGACTAACCCAGCACCATTTCAGTGATGCAAATTACGTGCCCTATGGTTCAGCTGAAACAGTCCTGGACTTTCAAAAACCTTGAATAAGTCTCCCACAGTTGTATAAATTGGACAATTTAGGAATTTTAAACTTTAGATGATCATTTGCTTCCATTTTTATTTTATTTTTATTTTTGTTAATGCAAACAGGACTTAAACAAATGAACTTTGATCTCCATTTTAAATATTCTTTAAGAAAATCATGTGTCTATACATACGGCTCTTGAGGACTTAGCTTTCACTACACTACAGGATATGATCTCCACATAGTTCACATAAAACTGCAGACTGATTTTCCAGAGTGCTCGATACTATTAATTACATCTCGATTAGGGCTGAAAAGTATGACCTATGTTTCTTTATACAGTTGTGTTGCTTTTGATGTTGTGTTACTATACACAGAAGTGTGTGCACTGGGCCGGGTGCGGTGGCTCACGCCTGTAATCCCAGCACTTTGGGAGACCGAGGGGGGTGCGGATTGCCTGAGCTCAGGAGTTCGCAACCAGCCTGGACAACACGGTGAAACACCATCTCTACTAAAATACAAAAAAATTAGGCTGGGCGTGGTGGCTCACGCTTGTAATCCCAGCACTTTGGGAGGCCGAGGCGGGCAGATCACGAGGTCAGGAGATCGAGACCATCCTAGCTAACACGGTGAAACCCCGTCTCTACTAAAAATAAAAAAAATTAGCCGGGCGAGGTGGCGGGCGCCTGTAGTCCCAGCTACTCGGGAGGCTGAGGCTGAAGAATGGCGTGAACCCGGGAGGCGGAGTTTGCAGTGAGCCGAGATCGCGCCACTGCACTCCAGCCTCGGTGACAGAGTGAGACTCTGTCTCAAAAAAAAAAAAAAAAAAAAATATATATATATACAAAAAATTAGCAGGGCGTGGCAGCATTCGCCTGTAGTCCCAGCTACTCAGGAGGCTGAGGCAGGAGAATCGCTTGAACTCGGGAGGCAGAGGTTGCAGTGAGCCGAGAACATGCCACTGCACTCCAGCCTGGGTCACAAAGCGAGATTCCGTCTCAAAAAAATAAAAATGAAAAAAGAAGTGTGTGCACTGAGGCTCTGTGTGTGGTCCATATGGAAAGCCTGGTACCCCTGCGAGTTAAGTACTGCCTCCATTCATCGTTTACACTGGAGTTTTTCTCCTCATGGAATGCGAGTAAAACTTAGTGTTTGTCACCAATAAATGGTAATACAAAAAAGAGAGAGAGAGAGAGAGAGAAAAGCTTTGAGGACCCAGGAAAAATGGTGGCAGCCTCTGGAAAGGGCCTGAAAGAACTCGGGACAGGGGTGGAAGGGAAACTTAAGTTTACTATCCACTTTTCCAGTCGTTTTGGTTTCCTATACCATGAGCACATGTCACCCATTCAAAAAAAATTGAATCAATTATAAAAATTCATTAGTTTACTGCATGACACAAAGAGTGAATCCTAATGTAAACTATGGAGTTTAGATAATGGAGGAAAGGTATCAGCCAGGTGAAGTGGCTCATGCCCGTAATCCCAGCACTTTGGGAGGCCAAGATGGGAGGATCACTTGAACCAAGGAATTTGAGACCAGCCTGTGCAACATAGTGAGACTCCGTCTCTACTAAAAAACAAAAAAATCAGGCCAGGCATGGTGGCTCATGCCTGTAATCCCAGCACTTTGGGAGGCTGAGGAGGGAGGATCACTTGAGGTCAGGAATTTAAGACCAACCTGGGCAACATGATGAAACCCTGTCTCTACCAAGAAAAAAAGAAATAGCTGGGCATGGTGGTGGATGCCTGTAGCCCCAGCTACTTGGGAGGCTGAGGCAGAGGTTGCAATGAGCCAAAATCTTGCCACTGCACTCCAGCCTGGGGGACAGAGTGAGACTCTATCTCAAAAACTAAAATTAATTTAATTTAATTTAATGTTCACTTTTGACTTCAACAGGCCTGGGTTCAAATCTCAGCTCTCCTATTCCCTAGGTTAGCAGCCTTGGGTGAACCCAGTCCCTGCCATCAGCCTCCCTTTGCCAATCTGTGAAATGGGTTGATAATAACAGGACCTACCCCCTAAGGTTTTTGGGACGGCTCAGTGAAATGAGGCATGGAAAGGCCTTGTCACGTAGCTCACAAAATGTTAGCCATGATGACTACTCCTATTATTGCTATTTGATAGAAGTGAGAGCAATTCAAAGGTGACACCCTCAGAATGTTGTGGGCGGCTGGCATGTCCACTCCCTATCTACACCGGCCCCCGATCTCATCCAGCAGGCCCGCCTTGGTAGAGGTGGCCCTGCCCTGCCAGGGCCCGCATTATCTGGTGGTGGTGAAAGCCAGCGACTGGCTCCGTGTCCCGGCCCACGCCCAGGTCGCGCTGGTTTGTCAGGTTGGCCCAGCCGTTCACCCACTGAGGACTTGTTATACAAGGTGTGTGGGCTCCCAAGAAGGAGTGGAGGGCACGGACCCAGGCCGACGCCAGGTACGAGATACATGCCTCTTCTTGAACTGCAGGGGCTGGGACCAGCCAGGAGCCTGATGGAAGAGCACCCCAACGCTGGCCCCATCACCCCAAATCCCAGCCCTCCTTTTCACTCCAAGCCTGTAGTCAAGGCAGCCTGCCCCCGTCCCCACTGATTCATGGTGCCACCTTGGCTTCCTCAACATCAGAGGGCTGGCTTACCCCAGAGACTCACATATTCCCCCAAAGTGCCAGACCCCAGAAGGCTGGAGCTGAGAGGGGACTTCTAAGTTGTTTTGTTGTTGTTGTTGTTTGTTTGTTTTGTTTTTTAGACATGGTCTTGCTGTGTCCTTCAGGCTGGAGTGCAGTGGTGTGATCTTGGCTCACTGCAACCTCCCCGTCCTGGGCTTGAGTGATCCTCCCACCTCAGCATCCTGAGTAGCTGGGACTACAGGCGCCTGCCACCATGCTCAGCTAATTTTTTTTTAATTTTTTTGTTAAAAAAAATTAATATAGTGCTGGGCGCGGTGGCTCATGCCTGTAATCATGCCTGTAATCTCAGCACTTTGGGAGGAGGGAGGATCACCTGAGGTCGGGAGTTCGAGACCAGCCTGACCAACATGGAGAAACCCCATCTCTACTAAAAATACAAAATTAGCCAGGCATGGTGGCACATGCCTGTAGTCTCAGCTACTCAGGAGGCTGAGGCAAGAGAACAGCTTGAACCCGGGAGGCAGGGGTTGCAGTGAGCCAAGATCACGCCATTACACTCCAGCCTGGGCAACAAGAGCAAAACTCCATCTCAAAAAAAAAAAAAAAAATATATATATATATATATATATGGTATCCCTATATTCCCCAGGCTGGTCTCAAAGTCCTGGGCTCAAACCATCCTCCAGCCTTAGCCTCCCAAAGTGCTGGGATTACAGGCATGAGCCACCACACTCAGCCTGGCTTCTAGGTCTTCAGTCTCCACTCAGCACTCTAAATTTCTAAGGTTCTGAGAAAGAGCTTCAGAGTCATTTATGACTAATGAGGGCAGGGCCAAGTTGGCAAATGTGGTAAAGGAGACAGTCCTATCGCAGCTTTGATCATATTCAAACCTTTTGCTAATAATTTCCTTGGCCCAAAGGGGATCCTGGCAGAAAAAGAAGTTTTAAAACCACTAATAATCTAGACCATTGCAGGGTTGTAATTGTTTCTGCCCACCATCCCAAGTGTGGCCACACCTGGACATGAGCCTCAGAAAAGATTCTATAAAGGTCTGCCTCTTTGCTGTGCGACCTCGGGTGAGTGTCTGCACCTCTCTGAGCCTCAATTTCTTCATCCATTAAGACAGAAGCCCTATTTACCCACCTCATGGGGCTGCAATCTTCCAGGCACATAGTAAGCCTTTGATCAATGATATCTCTCATTACCGTTGGTGCTGCCATCACGTTCATTATTGTGACCTGGCCATCTGGGGTTTGGAGAATCAGGTCCAAGTTTTATCAACAAGGAGAGATGAGTCAGGCGCAGTGGCTCATGCCTGTAATCCCAGCACTTTGGGAGGCTGAGGCGGGTGGATCACTTGAGCCCAAGAGTTCAAGACCAGCCTGGGCAACATGGTGAAACCCCATCCCTACCAAAAATACAAAAAGTAGACAGGAGTGGTGGTGCATGCCTGTAGTCCTCCATACTCAGGAGGCTGAGGTAGGAGGATTGCTTGAACCCAGGAGATCGAGGCTGCAGTGAGCTATGATTATGCCACTGCACTCCTGCCTGGGTGACAAAGTGAGACCCTGTCTCAACAACAACAACAAAAAAAGAAAGAAAGAAAGAAAGAGAGAGAGACAGAGAAAAGAAAGAAAGAAAGAAAGAAAGAAGGAAGGAAAGAAAGAAAGGAAGGAAGGAAGGAAGGAAGGAAGGAAGGAAGGAAGGAAGGAAGGAAGGAGAGATGGGTCCCATTCCCTGAATGCCTCTCAAGTCATCCAAGCCCCTCTGCAGATACCAACCTGGGTCACCGCCAGACACCAGGCCAGAGTTAATGTTACTGTTCAGAAACCCAAGCTGGGCCATTTGGTGATGCCGGGGACATCGGAAAGTGGACTGAGGCTTTGGGGTCAAACAGGGCTTGTTTTTTCAAATCCCAGCTCTCCCACTGGGCACTGGGTATCCACAGGCACAGGCTTCTTCTCTCTGGCCCTCAGTTTCCGTGCCTGTAAAATGAGGGTGGTAGGGAAGATTTGGGGAGGTTCCTTCTCTTTGGGGTTTGGAGTTACACAAGAAGGAGTTTGATGCTGCCAGCCCTGGCTGGGCACAGCTCCAGGACCTAGAAATAAGGGGTGGAGCAAGGGGCACAGGGTAGGAGGAATTTCGGGTACGCAGCCAGCCCTGGCCATCTCCTTTGCCTACAGGGCGGTGAGACTCACAATGAGTGCATGAATGAGCTGTGAGCGGGCAGATGAACCAGGAGAGATGCCCTGAGCCTAGGCCTCTCCAGCCTGCGACTCCCCAGGTGGCCAGCCTCGGCCAACTTGCATACCCAGGCTGGGCCAGGCCCCTGGGAGGCCAGAAAACATCTTCCTTCCAGCATCTATCAGACGAAGATCACCTGGGACCAACCCCAGGACCTCACACAACCCTCAGAGCCAACTCTCGGGGCCAGAAGAACACCGTCTTTTCATAGAGGGGCTCTGCGTCTGGCATGGATGGGCAGAGGGTTCCTGATAGCAGTTGAACCACAAGCCTAACCCCATCGGTTGAATGTACTACAACCTCCCCGTCAAGACAACGTGCAGTGGTGAAATCTCAGGGCGAATCCCCATTCAGCCCCAAAGAGGCGTCCCAGGGCGGGGCTTGAACCCATCTGGGATGTCCTGACTACCAGAGGGGTCTTTTGGAGGCCCCCTGCCCATCACAGATACCCAGAGAAAAGGATGCGCCTAGGACTCCGAGGCGCACACAGAAAAAAAAAAAAAGAAAACAACTCACAAATGCAGCAAACGTCGGGGACACACCCACGTGCCCCTCTCCCCACGAGTGCCCCGGGCATGCAGCCCCGTCCTGGGTCCTGGGGGGGTCCCCGTGGCCGGCTGCGCCCCGCCCGCCGCCGCGCGCAGACCTTCGCCCTTGCCCCGCCAGCACCGAACCGCGCGAGCCTCGGGTTCCAGCGCAGCGCCGCGGCCGCGCTCAGGTTACAGCCCTCACCACGCGCGCACTCACCCGCGGGTCTCAGCCTCCTGCCCTCGATCCGGATCCACCGGCGCCACTACCTGGGATCTGACCGCGCCGTCCCACGGCCCAACCCTTTAACCCCGCCCGGCCGTGCCGAGGGGTCCGCCCCCGGACATCCCGCCCCGGGCTCCCGCAGGGTTCTGGGCGGGGACTCCAGCGCTGCCCCCTAGAAAAGGAGAGAACAAGAAATAGGCGTGTGGAGGGGTGGAGAGCGATGGAAAGAGAGAGAGACTGAGACTGAGATGGAGAGATGAAGAGAGACAGAGACTTGGACACCTAGAAGTCCCAAACCATCAGGCTCCCCGCCCTCCTGCCACTGCTGGGCCGCATTAGCGCCCAAGTCCCGCTCTGGACCACACTCCTCCCACACCAACACCCCCCATGGCCCTTACTTCCAGGTTTGCTCCCAAGCTTGGACAGCGATCTCTAAACCATCACCCCCTGGGGCCCCACTGACCCCCCCGAGAAGCCTCCTCTGGGGCCCTCAGGAATTCTCTGGCTCCACCAGCCCTTGGGAACCAGCCCTTCCCCTCTCTCTGGATCCTGGGCCTAAGCTTCCCCGGCACCCACCCCTGGAGGCTCTGCAGCCTCTTCCTCCAGGAAGACCTCCAACCTCAACAAGCAGCACCAGACTGGTTCTGCTCCCCGCCAACCCGCCCTCCGCCACTCCTCCCCACCCACTGCCAGACACCTTGACCCTCTGACCAGGATGTTGTCCTTGGCCAACCCGTCTACTCCAGATGTGTGGAGACAGAGTCAGCTCCGCCTCTGGATGTGTCTGTCCTCCGGAGTCGGTGGGTGGATGTGTGGCTGACCTTAGCACGTGGGCAGACAGATGAGAAGACAAGAATCTCCACTTGCCCCAGCAGGTGGTAAACTTAGAAGACTTCCTTATCCCTCTTTTTTCTAAGAATACGCTCTCATTTGGTGCTGGGCCCTTGGAAAGAGGGCGTGGGAGGTGTGGGGCATGTCTCCTGGTGAAGAAGAGGAGACACAAGTAATTGAAGTTTTGCTGCTTGGAGGAGGCAGACATGAGGTCAGGGAAGGCGACGTGGAGGATGTGACACTTGAGCTGGGACTGCATGGAGAGGTTGGATTTCAACAAGTGCAGGAGAGGGGGTAGAGCTCAAGCACAGAGAAACTGGAGGGTGTGACTTAGCAGATGGCTTTCCCTGGCCTTGGAGTGTGAGAGGTGTGGAGGCTGGAGGGATGCAGGAGTTGACTGTGAAGGCCAGTTTGAATGGCTGGATCTTGATCTGGTGGGCAGTGGGGAGCCATGGATGGTGCTTGAGTAGGGGAGGTGCCCCCTGTTAGTTGATTGGTCTCACTCTGTCATCCAGGCTGGGGTGACTCCTGGGCTCAAGCCATCCTCCTGCCTCAGCCTCCTGGGTAGTTGGGACTACAGACACGTGCCACCACACCCAGCTAATTTTTTTTTTTCATTTTTTTAGAGACAGGGTCTCACTATGTTGCCCAGGCTGGTCTCAAACTCCTGGGCTCAAGCCATTCTCCCAGCTCCTAGAACTTTTAAAAAAAAATATTTATATTTATTTGTGTCTTTAATCTTTTTTACTTCTGAGGAAGAGCTTATTTTATTAATTTTTTATTCATAATTAACGCAGCATGAAAGCCTATTTTTTAGGGATATGAATTTTGTTTTGCCAGTAATTCTGGCCAAGGGGGAGCTTACTAGAAGCACTTTGGAAAATGCAGAGATCCACATAGAGTGAAGTTTGAGAGGGACCCCTCCAGTGGCTGCAGGGGACAGAGACAAAGGGTGGGGGTAGCTGAGACCCAGGAAGGGGTTAAGGATGAGGTCCCGGAGGTCATCTCCACTGACCACTGGCTAAATACGGGGTTCTAGGGAAGAGAGAAGGAAAAGAAGCCATCTGCCTGGCTTCTCTGCTCTCAAAGAGCTGGAGACCAGGAAGGAGGAGTAAGTGAAAGGGCCTGGAGCACTAAGAGTGGGCTTCGTGGATGTGTGGCCTTGAGCTAGTCACATGGCTGCTCTGAGCCTCCATCTCCCTATGCATAAAATGCAGAAGAAGCCCATGTGATGAGGTGGTGTTCAGCCCCACTCCTGGCACAGGGCACAGGCTGGACAAACATCAGCTGTTTGAGTTTGCAGTTGATTGGGGCCATCCCAGCAGAGTAGAGTTTTCCGCCAGGGAATGTTTAGCAACATCAGGAGATCATACTGCTGGGTGGGGGGTAGAGGTGGGGGTGGGGGAATTCAGGGTGGTGCAACTGACATCTAGTGGGTGAAGGCCAGAGATATTATTCAACATCCAGAACACCCCCACCCCCAAAGAATAATCCAGGCTCAAATGTTGACAGTGCTAAGATTGGGAAACCGTGGGTCACCTTCAGTCTAAAAGTCTCGTGGGTCTCATGGGATGACATTCAGGGAGACATCCAGGAGGCAGTTGGGCTCAGCGTGAGGGCACCTCCTGAGAATTGCATCTGTGAGTCACCTGCCTTGGGAAGACGGTGGATGGCATGGCAGTAGGTCAGCGAGATCACTCAGGAGGGAGGTGGGCAGAGAAGAGGAGGGGAGGGCAGAAGTGGGGATCACAGCCACTTTTTTTTTTTTTTTAAGATGGAGTCTCACTCTGTTGCTCTGTTGTCCAGGCTGGATACAGTGGCACAATCTTGGCTCACTGTAACCTCCGCCTCCCGGGGTCAAGCGATTCTCCTGCCTCAGCCTCCCGAGTAGCTGAGACTACAGGTGCCCACCACCAAGCCCGGCTAATTTTTGTATTTTTAGTAGAGACGGGGTTTCGCCGTATTGGCCAGGCTGGTCTCAAACTCCTGACCTCAAGTGATCCACCTGCCTTGGCCTCCCAAAGTGCTGGGATTACAGGCATGAGCTGCCGTGCCTGGCCTTTTATTTTATTTTTTAATCAAACAGAGTCTTGCTCTGTCACCCAGGCTAGAGTGCAGTGGTGCTATCTTGGCTGACTGCAACCTCCACCTCCCGGGTTCAAGCAATTCTCCTGCCTCAGCCTCCTGAGTAGCTGGGATTACAGGCTTGCACCACCACGCCCGGCTAATTTTTGTATTTTTAGTAGAGACAGGGTTTTGCCATTTTGGCCAGGCTGGTCTCAAACTCCTGACCTCAGAGATAATAGCTACATTTATAGAGAGGACAGGCAGCAGCACTGAGCTGGAGCTGGAGATGGAGTTTGAGAAGAGTGGTAGTAGGGACCATCACTGGCACCTAGACGTCAAGGAACCCAAGCTCTAGAGCTGTGTGGTTCCCATGCCACCAGAGCCCTCAGCCTGCCACAGCCCAGGGCTCAGTGGGGTGAGGTTGAAGTGGGAGGGGAGGAAGTGGAGGCTGTGGCTGGACTTGGGAAATGGTAGTAGAAAGCTGTCTGGGAGTGGATGTGGCAGGTCATGGCAGGGAGTCAAAGATAAAAAGAAGAGGGATCTCGCCATACCCTGCTGGTGGCAACGTAAAATGGTTCAGCCACAGTGGAAAACAGTTTGGGAATTTCTCAAAA
The DNA here is from genome assembly GCF_000001405.40 of Homo sapiens. Classification (NCBI taxonomy): domain Eukaryota; kingdom Metazoa; phylum Chordata; class Mammalia; order Primates; family Hominidae; genus Homo; species Homo sapiens. The sequence goes on along the minus strand of NC_000019.10, from coordinate 15,505,065 downwards.
AGCTAATCAGAATTACCATAGGACCCAGATATTCCACTCCTAGGTATACACACACAATAACTGAAAACAAGTACTTGCCAGGTACAGTGGTCTACAGCTGTCATCTCAGCACTTTGGGAGGCTGAGGCAAGAGAGCATCACTTAAGCCCAGGAGTTCCAGACTAGCCTGGGGAACAACATAGCAAGACTTCATTTCTACAAAATATAAAAAATTAGCTGGACATGATGTGCGTACCTATAGTCCCAGCTACTTGGGAGGCTGAGGTGGGAGGATAGACAGCTTGAGACTGGGAGGCTGAGATTGCAGTCAGCTGAGATTGTACCACTTCACGCCAGCCTGGCTACAGAATGAGACCCTGTCTCAAAAAAAAAGAAAAAGAAAGAAAGAAGAGACAGAGAGAGAGAGAGAGAGAGAGAGAGAGAGAGAGAGATAAAGAGAAAGAAAGAGAAAAGAAAACAGTTACTCACACGTAATTGTAGAGGAGTGCTCGGGATAGCACGATTTATTATAGCCAAAGGTGGAAACAACCCAAATTCCACCAACAGATGAATGGATAAACAAACTGTGGTCCATCCATACAATGGAATATTACTCAGTCATAAAAAAGAATAAAGGCCGGGCGAGGTGGCTCTTGCCTGTAATCCCAGCACTTTGGGAGGCCGAGGCAGGTGGATCACCTGAGGTCAGGAGGTTGAGCCAGCCTGGCCAACATGGTGAGACCCTGTCTCTACTAAAAATACAAAAATTATCTGGGCACGGTGGCGGGCACCTGTAATCCCAGCTACTCGGGAGGCTGAGGCAGGAGAATCGCTTGAACCCGGAAGGCAAAGATTGCAGTGAGCCAAGATCGCACCACTGCACTCCAGCCTGGGGGACAGAGTGAGACTCCGTCTGAAAAAAAAAATACAAATAAAAATAAATAAAACCCTGATCCATGCCGCAATGTGGATGAGCCTCATAAACATTGTGCTGAGTGAAAGAAACCAGACACAAAAGGTCACACAGTGCATTATTACATTTATATGAAATATTCAGACTAAGTGAATTCACAGAGACAGAAAGTGGAGTAGTTGTTGCCAGGGGCTGGGGGAGGGGGGATGGAGAGAGAAGCCCATACCCAGGGGGAGTGGTTATAGGACCTCCTTTTGGGGTGACAAAAACACTGGAACTAGATAAAGGTGATAGTTGCACAACATTGTGAATGCACTAAATGTCACTGAATTCTACACTTTAAAGGGTTAATTTTATGTTATGTGAATTTCACCTCAATTTTTTTTTTTTTTTTTTTTTTTTTTTGAGACAGAGTCTCACCTGTTGCCCAGGCTGGAGTGCAGTGGTGCGATCTCAACTCACTGCAAACTCCGGCTCCTGGGTTCAAACAATTCTCGTGCCTCAGCCTCTCAAGTAGCTGGGATTACAGGCCTGTGACACACAGCCAGCTAATTTTTTTATATTTTTAGTAGAGACGGGGTTTTGCCATGTTCGCCAGGCTGGTCTCAAACTCCTGGCCTCAAGTGATCCTCCCTCTTCAGCCTCCCAAAGTGCTGGGATTACAGGCATGAGCCACTGTGCCCGGCCTCACCTCAATTAAAATAAATACTTTATATATATATATATTATATATATATAATAATTATATATATATAATATATAATAATTATTATATATAATATATATAATAATTATATATATAATTATTATTATTGGGAGGTCGAGGCAGGAGGATTGCTTCAGTCCAGGAGTTCAAGACCAGCCTGAGCAACATAGCCAGACCCCATCTCTAAAAAAAATAATTTTTTGTAAAAATTATAAAAAATAACAAATTAGGCATAGTGGTACATGCCTGTAGTCCCAGCTACTCAGGAGGCTGAGGTGGGACGATTGCTTGAGCTCAGGAGTTTGAGGTTTCAGTGAGCTACAATTGCACCACTTCACTCCAGTCTGAGCAACAGAGTGAGACCCTGTCTCTAAAAACAAAAGAGGGCCAGGCGCGGTGGCTTATGCCTGTAATCCTAGTACTTTGGGAGGCCGAGGCGGGCAGATCTCCTGAGCTCAGGAATTCGAGACCAGCCTCGTCAACATGGTGAAACCCTGTCTCTACTAAAAATACAAAAATTAGCCGGGCATGGGGGCTCACGCCTGTAGTCCCAGCTATTCGGGAGGCTGAGGAAGGAGAATCACTTGAACCCGGGAGGCAGAGGTTGTAGTGAGCCAAGATCGTGCCACCGCACTCCAGCCTGAGTGACAGAGTGAGACTCCATCTCAAAAAAAATAAAAATAAAAAAGAACTCGGCAGGAAACAGACCGAACACTTAAGTGGAGTAATTTGTAGAGAGTTTAATAAAAAGCACTATTTTCAAAGGGATAGTGCAGCACACCAGGGGCTGGTAACAGCTGAAATTAGTTACCACCCCTAGGACCTGGGGCCAAGGAACTAAAGTTGCTAGAACCTGGACCAGACAGGGCTATGCAAAGAGGTCCACCTGTCAAGAGTTCTGAACCTCCGGTGGAGGGACACAGCCAGCCTGCATGGAAAGAAGATGAGTTACAAATAACCTAACCTCACTTTCCTCCCTCCCTCCAATGCCTGCTATGGCTCCCTGCTGTTTCAACCCAACTGGAAGCCACAAGACAAAGGAGCTCATTGAGTGGTCCATATACATCAGCCTCCTGGGACACAAAAACAGTGAGGCAGAAAAGTGGAAACAGAACAGGTGATATCAGAGATTTCAAACAAAGAAAGCAACACAGCTGGGCATGGTAGTTCATGCCTGTAATCCCAGCACTTTGGGAGGCCAAGGCAGGCAGATCACCCGAGGTCAGGAGTTCGAGACCAGCCTGGCTAACATGGTGAAACCCCGTTTCTACTAAAAATACCAAAAAATTAGCTGGGCATGGTGGCACGCACCTGTAATCCCAGCTACTTGGGAGGCTGAGGCAGGAGAATTGCTTGAACCTGGGAGGTGGAGGTTGCAGTGAGCCAAAATCATGCCATTGCACTCCAGCTTGGGCAACAAGAGCAAAACTCCGAAAAAAAAAAAAAAGAAAAAAAGAGAGAGAGCGAGAGAAAGGAAGGAAGGAAGGAAGGAAGGAAGGAAGGAAGGAAGGAAGGAAGGAAGGAAGGAAAGCAATTCAAAGGTGAGAGGCAAGTGGGGTGTTAAATGGCCCCTTTTAACATGTGCTGGCCACTTTCCTTCTCCCCATCCACACACAAGCCACTTGGGACCATTTTTGCCAAACCCATCAAAGACCATCTCTCCAACTTTAAATCCTTTGCACATGCTCTTCTCTCTGCTTGGAATTATCTTCCTCTCACCCACCCAACTAACTCCTACTTAAGGCCATTTTTTCTGAGGGCTTCCCCAGTCACTGGGCTTAGTTCCAGCCCATACTCAATGCAGCCACAGCCCCTGAGTGTCCTCGCTCCCAGTAAAATTGCTCTTGGAATGATTTTTTTGTTTTGTTTTTGTTTTGTTTTGTTTTGTTGAGATAGAATTTTGCTCTTGCTGCCCAGGCTGCAGTGCAATGCGCGGTCTTGGCTCACTGCAACCTCCACCTCCCGAGTTCAAGTGATTCTCCTGCCTCAGCCTCACAAGTAGCTGGGATGCACCACCACACCCAGATAATTTTGTATTTTTAGTAGAGACAGGGTTTCAGCATGTTGATCAGGTTGGTCTCGAACTCCTGACCTCAGGTGATCTACCCGCCTCGGCCTCCCAAAGTGCTGGAATTACAGGCATGAACCACCGTGCCTGCCTCTTGGAATGATTTGTTTAGCCCTGGATAGGGCTGTAAACTCCACGCAGGTAAAAGGGATCTTTCTCTTTCTCTGCCTTGTCCCCAGCCCCAGCTGTCACATAGCACATATTCATTCAACAAATGCCAAGTTTGCACATGGTACCAGGCATTGCTCTGCAGTGAATAAACAAAAACACATAAATTAAAAGTGTATAATCTATGTGATATGTGCTATGGGACAAAACCTAGCAAGGTAAGGAGATGTGGAAGCCCTCTCTGAGGAGTTGATATTTGAACAGGGATCTTAAGCATTCCAAGCAGAGGGCACAGCCTGTGTAAAGGACCTGAGGCTGGACCATGCCTTAAAGAACAGTCAAGAGGCCAGTGAAGCTGCAGCAGAGTGAGTGAGGGGGATACCGGGAGGAGATAAATGCAGGGAAGTGACAGGACAGGTTGTCTAGGACCTGGGGGACCACTGAGAGGGCTTAGGTTATTACTCTGAGGAAGGTGGGAGCCATACAGGGTTCTAGGCAGAGAAGGGATGTCCCCTGAGAGGTTTTAACAGGCTTCCTCTGGCTGCAATATCATGAACAGAGTAAACGGGGAGCAAGAGCTTGCTTCCTCACTGCCCAACCCTGAAGGAACTTAGAGTTGTGAAAGGTGGTAGAGTTTGGGATTTGTTTAATAAAAGGTGGAGCTGATGGGATTTGCTGACAGACTGGATGTAACTCCAAGGTTTTCCACCTGGGCATCATTTAGGCTGGAGGTTTTGTTCTGTTTTTGAGATAGGGTCTCACTCTGTCATCCAGGCTGGAGTGCAGTGGTGCGGACATAGTCCACTGCAGCCTCGACCTCCTGGGCTCAAGCAATCTTCCCATCTCAGCCTCTCAAGTAGCTAAAACTACAGGCGCTCACCAACACGCCCAGCTAATTTTTTAATTTTTTTGTAGAGATGGGCAGGGGGGATCCCACTATGTTGCCCTGGGCTCAAGCCTCAGCTTCCCAAAGTGTTGGGATTACAGGCATGAGCCACCGTGCCTGGCCTAGGCTGGAGTTTTTAACGGAGTGAGTAGAAGAGAAGAAGAAGGGTGAAGGAAGAGAGATAAAGACAGTCAAACAGGAAGATTGGGGTGGAGGAAGGGAGGGGAGAGAAGCTCCCGGTGGAGGAAGACAATAGCGATAAAAACGCAGTGGGGGCCGGGCGAGGTAGCTCACGCCTGTAAACCTAGCACTTTGGGAGGCCGAGGCAGGAGGATCACAAGGTCAAGAGATTGAGACCATACTGGCCAACATGGTGAAACCCCGTCTCTACTAAAAATACAAAAATTAGCTAGGTGTGGTGGCAGGCGCCTGTAGTCCCAGCTACTCGGGAGGCTGAGGCAGGAGAATCGCTTGAACCCGGGAGGCGGAGGTTGCAGTGAGCCGAGATCACTCCACTGCACTCCAGCCTGGGCGACAGAGCGAGACTCCGTCCCAAAACAAAAAACAAAAAAACTCAGTGGGTGCAAGAAGATGCCTTTGGGCAGGCAGGTGGAGGGAGGAGAGGTCCTTGTCATCAGAAACTAGAGAGATGAAGAGTGTGGTCCCCTAGGAAGGGAAAGGATTGGGGAGAAGGGGTTCTGCTGGGGAAGGGGAAGGAATGAAGAGGACCCCTGCTTCCTCCCTGGGAATTATAGAGGGGCTGGGTGACACCTCTCTCTTCTGGGCCATAAATCCTAGTGGTCACTCTGCAGGAGGCGTGATGGGAGGTGGAGAACAAGATTCTTTCTCAGCAGGTATGGTTGGGGAGGTGTCCTCTCTGGCCTTTGCCTGGAGTGACTCAGCCCCCTCCCCTCCTCCACACACATCTGCCTCCATTTCCCCATAGTCCTAGGAGATTAATCTCCACCTCCTTCTACCAGGGCCCAGAGACACGGGATTTGTGAAGGAGAGCAGAAATGACATTGCTAACACCCCCGGGGAAACTTCATGCTGAGTTTCCCCCAGCCAATCAGATTCCACCCTCCCACACCTCAGCAAATTAAATGCTCTCATATCCCTCAGTCAATCAAACCCCAGTCTCCTGTTTTTCATCCGATTAGACTCCGCCCTCTTCCCCCTCCCGCAACTAAACGCTGCTCTCCAACCCCTCAGTCAATCAGAGTCTGCCTTAGTCAATTAAACTACTCTCTTAACTCTCACCCAATCAGACTTCCATATCCTACTTTCCAGCCAATCAGACTTTGCTTGTCTACCCACCCTACCAACTACTTCCACTTTTTGGTTCCTCGGCCAATCAGATTCTTCCCTCCCCTTCCCCCCACCCCCACCCCCTACTGCACCCCGGCTCCTACAGCCTATCAGAAGCAACCTTGTCCCTCTGTTAATAAGAATTCCCCTTCAGGAAAAGCAGGCAGGTAGGTATCTAGGCCTGGCTCTGACACCAGCTCTGTGGCCTTAGGTACACATCTTAGCGTCTCTGTGCTTCATTTTTCTCAACTGTAAAATGGGAGTGGTCCTCCTCCTTCCCTCTTAAGGTGGTCCTGAGGCTCCAACAGGGAGGTAGGTGTGAACGTGGTCTGTCCTCAGGAAAGTGTTGTGTAAATTCCCTTATTAATCTCAGCCTCCCAGATTGTTGGGATTCCAGGCTTGAGCCACCGCGCCCAGCCAGAGGTGGGTTTTAAAGAATATATAGGAGTCTGCCAGGTCAAATGAAAAGGCTTGGGAGTATTTTACACACTCACATGCTTAACTAATGGAGAATGCAAAGTAATCCCTGGGGAGAGAAAACTGGCAATATCTGGCTGAATTATATATGCGTTTATCTTATTATAGGAAAGTGAAATAAGCCAGTCACAAGGACAAATATTGTATGATTCTATTGATATGAAGTAACTACAGCAGTCAAATTCATAGAGACAGAAAGTAGAATGATGGTTGCCAGGGGCTTGGCGGGGAGTAGGGAATAGGAAGTTAATGTTTAACGGGGACAGAGTTTCAGCTGGGGAAGCCAAAAAGTTTTGGAGATGGCTGGTGGTGATGGTTGCACAACGTGAATGTACTCAGTGCCCTAGAACTGTACGCGTAAAAATGGCTAAAATGGTAAATTGTATGTTATGTGTATTTTACCACAGTAAAAAAGTAATGTGGTATTACTTCGTCTGAATGACCCAGTAACTCAAAGCTGCATGTGGTAAGGTACTATATTTATTTATTTTTTATTTTTATTTTTTAATTTATTTATTTATTTTGAGACAAAATCTCGTTCTGTCGCCCAGGCTGGAGTGCAGTGTCACGATCTTGGCTCACTGCAACCTCCCACTGCTGGGTTCAAGCGATTCTCCTGCCTCAGCCTCCAGAGTAGCTGGGATTACAGGCATGCACCACCATGCCCGGTTACTTTTTGTATTTCTAGTACAGGCGAGGTTTCATCATATTGACCAGGCTGATCTCAAACTCCTGACTTCAGGTGATCCACCCCCCTCGGCCTCCCAAAGTGCTGGGATTATGGGCCTGAGCCACTGTGCCTGGCCTAAGGTACTATATTTATAATGACATTTTTAAATGGGGGTGGGGGATGGAGGTAATAGGTGAAGTTTGCAATAGTAACAGATTAATATTAACGATAATATTAATAATAACAGGCTGGGCACAGTGGCTCACGCCTGTAATCCCAGCACTTTAGGAGGCCGAGGCAGGCAGATCACCAGAGGTCGGGAGTTTGAGACCAGCCTGACCAACATGCAGAAACCCCATCTCTACTAAAAATACAAAATTAGCCAAGCATGGTGGTTGCATGCCTGTAATCCCAGCTACTCGGGAGGCTGAGCAAGGAGAATCGCTTGAACCTGGGAAGCGGAGGTTGTGGTGAGCCGAGATCGTGCCATTGCACTCCAGCCTGGGCAACAAGAGCGAAAACTCTGTCTCAAAAATAATAATAATAAATAATAATAGATTAATGATAATTGTTATTATGACATTATTAATCCTGTTATTTGACGTATTTTCTTTTCTTTTTTTTTTTTCTTTTTTTGAGACGGAGTCTTGCTCTGTCGCCCAGGCTAGAGTGCAATGGCTCAATCTCGGCTGGCTGCAACCTCCACCTCCCAGGTTCAAGCAATTCAGCCGTCTCAGCCTCCTGAGTAGCTGGGATTACAGGCGCATGCCGCCAAGCCCCGCTAATTTTTTGTATTTTAGTAGAGATAGGGTTTCACCGTGTTGCCCAGGCTGGTCTCGAACTCCTGAGCTCAGGCAATCCACCTGCCTCAGCCTCCCAAAGTGCTAGGATTATAGGCATGAGCCACTGCACCCAGCCCTATTTCAGGTATTTTCTAATTGAACAGTGGTTCTATTAATAGTTGCAGTTATAATGCACAATCTTATTGTGAGATGTTGTTTTTATTGTTGTAGGTAATTTTTTTTTTTTTTTTTTTTTTGAGACAGAGTCTCACTCTGTCACCCAGGCTGGAGTGCAGTGGCGCGATCTCGGCTCACTGCAACCTCTGCCTCCCGGGTTCACGCCATTCTCCTGCCTCAGCCTCCCGAGTATTGTAGCTATTTTTAAAGTAAATACTTTCTACACTCAAAAAAAAGGCCCTAGAAATTAAACACTTCTGGTTACCGGCATAACCAATCAGAAAGAAAGTATTTTAGCTCAGTAATTTAATGGTACATCCCTAGTGGAATATACCAAAATGAAAAGGGACAGGGGAAAAATGTTAAACTGTTTCCCATAACCATATCACTTAAGATACTGTTGGTGTGTTCTTCTGGGATTAATGTGTGTGTATTGTGGAATAAAGCAAATGAGTGAATGTGTTGGTGGTGGTGAGAATTTGGATTTTCAGTGTGGGAAAATAAAAATGCAGGTATCAAATTGATCAGGCTAAATAAAAGGCATTTAGTCCAAAATATGAATTGGAAGCATCAATACAAACTCATTTCATATATATATATATATCTTGAGGCTCCTGAGTAGCTGGGATTACAGGTGCCCACCATCATGCCCGGCTAATTTTTGTATTTTTAGTAGAGGTGGGGTTTCACCATGTTGGCCAGGCTGGTCTCAAACTCCTGACCTCAGGTGATCCACCTGCCTCGGCCTCCCAAATTGCTGGGATTACAGGTGTGAGCCACCACACCTGGCCCATGTTATATATATTTTTAAAAAATTAAAAAAAAAGGTAGTGGGAGACCAGACATGGTGGCTCACACCTATAATCGCAGCACTTTGGGAGGCTGAGGTGGGCAGTCACCTGAGCTCAAGAGTTCAAGACCAGCCTGGGCAACATGGTGAAACCCTGTCTCTACAAAAGATACAAAAATTAGCTGGACATGGTGGCACGCCAGTGGTCCCAGTTACTTGGGAGGCTGAGGTGGGAGGACCACTTGAGCCTGAGAGGCAGAGGTTGCAATGAGCCGAGATGGGACCACTGCACTCCAACCTGGGTGATGGAGACCGCCTCTCAAAAAGAAAAAATAGGTGGGGGGCTGGTGCAGTGGCTCACGCCTGTAATCCCAGCACTTTGGGAGGCCTAGGTGGGCAGATCACGAGGTCAAGATATCGAGACCATCCTGGCCAACATGGTGAAACCCCGTCGCTAATAAAAATACGAAAATTAGCTGGGCGTGGTGATGCACACCTGTAGTCCCAGCTACTCGGGAGGCTGAGGCAGGAGAGTCACTTGAACCCGGGAGGTGGAGGTTGCAGTGAGCCGAGATGGCGCCACTGCGCTCCTGCTTAGGCAACAGAGCAAGACTCCGTCTTTAAAAAAAAAATAGTGGGGGATTTTCTATTTGTGTCCAGTGAAAATACCTAGAAACAAAACTAACTTATTAGCCATGAGCACTTCAGCTCCTTGATTGTGGAGCTGATTCCTCATTTTCCAATCAAAGGAATAAGGGTTCCTGGGAGAAATTGCTGATCCCAGGCCTGTGGCAGGAAATGAACAAGATGTTCCCACAGCATCTGGTTAGAACATCTTGTTATGTCATGAAGCAAGAAAGCCACCTAGGACTCTGAGCCATGCCAAAAGAACACAGGAGTCAACATAAAGAGACTCCCACCAGCCAAAGAAGGAAGCCAATTTGATTATCAGTAATGATAAAAACTGCAATGTATTGACATATTTCATTAGTTTAATGAGATCGTAAATCTATAAGGGAAAAAAAATCTCAGTGTTTACTTTTTGAGGATATTAAGGGACCCAAGGCTGGGCGCTCATGTCTGTAATCCCAGCACTTTGGGAGGCCGAGGCGGGTGGATCACGAGGTCAGGAGTTCAAGACCAGACTAGCCAAGATGGTGAAACCCCATCTCTACTAAAAATACAAAAATTAGCCGAGGTGGTGCGCACCTGTAGTCCCAGCTACTCAGGAGGCTGAGGCAGAGAATTGCTTGGACCCGGAAGGCAGAGGTTGCAGTGAGCCGAGATCATGCCACTGCATGCCAGCCTGGGCGACAGAGCGAGACTCCGTCTCAAAAATAAATAAATAAATAAAAATAAATAAACGGGCCAGGCGCAGTGGCTTATGTCTGTAATCACAGCACTTTGGGAGGCCGAGGCCGGTGGATCACCTGAGATCAGGAGTTCGAGACCAGCCTGGCCAACGTGGTGAAACCCCGTCTCTACTAAAAATACAAAAATTAGCCGGGTGTGGTGGCAGGTGCCTGTAATCACAGCTACTCGGGAGGCTGAGGCAGGAGAATCACTTGAACCTGGGAGGCAGAGGTTTCAGTGAGCCGAGATCATGCCACTGCACTCCAGCTTGGGCAACAGAGCGAGACTCTGTCTCAAAAATAAATAAATAAATAAATAAATAAATAAATAAATAAATAAATAAATAAACGGGCCGGGCGGGGTGGCTCATGCCTGTAATCCCAGCACTTTGGGAGGCTGAGGCGGGCAGATCACCTGAGGTCAGGAGTTTGAGACCAGCCTGGCCAACGTGGTGAAACCCCGTCTCTACTAAAAATACAAAAATTAGCCGGGCATGGTGGCGGGCACCTGTAATCCCAGCTACTCGGGAGGCTGAGGCAGGAGAATCGCTTGAACCTGGGAGGCAGAGTTTGCAGTGAGCTGAGATCATGCCATTGCACTCTAGCCTGGGCAACAAGAGAGAAACTCCATCTCAAATAAATAAATAAATAAATAAACTAGAAAAGAACAAGAATCAAGTGCTCATCTTGCCTTTCCCATATGAATGGTACCACTGGGTAACCAAATGGAAGATGAGAGACTGTTTCTTTCCTTTTTTTTTTTTTTTTTTGAAATAGAGTCTCGCTCTGTCACCCAGGCTGCAGTGCAGTGGCGTGATCTCAGCTCACTGCAACCTCCACCCACCAAGTTCAAGCAATTCTCCTGCCTCAGCCTCCTGAGTAGCTGGGATTACAAGCATGCACCACCACACCCAGCTAATTTTTGTATTTTTAGTAGGCCATATTGGCCAGGCTGGTCTCGAACTCCTGACCTCAGGTGATCCACCCACCTCGGCCTCCCAAAGTGCTGGGATTACAGGCGTCAGCCACCGCACCCAGCCGAGACTGTTTCTTTCTATAGAACTGCATCAACTAATGAGCAAAATAACCAGCTAACATCATAATGACAGGATCAAATTCACACATAACAATATTAACCTTAAATGTAAATGGGCTAAATGCTCCAATTAAAAGACACAGACTGGCAAATTGGATAAAGAGTCAAGACCTATCAGTGTGCTGTATTCAGGAAACCCATCTCACCTGCAGAGACACACATAGGCTCAAAATAAAGGGATGGAGGAAGATCTACCGAGCAAATGGAAAACAAAAAAAGGCAGGGGTTGCAATCTTAGTCTCTGATAAAACAGACTTTAAAGACCAAAAGAAGGCCATTACATAATGGTAAAGGGATCAATTCAACAAGAAGAGCTAACTTTCCTAAATATATATGCCCCCAATACAGGAGCACCCAGATTCATAAAGCAAGTCCTTAGAGACCTAAAAAGAGACTTAGACTCCCACACAATAATAATGGGAGACTTTAACACCCCACCGTCAACATTAGACAGATCAACGAGACAGAAAGTTAACAAGGATATCCAGAAATTGAACTCAGCTCTGCACCAAGCAGACCTAATACACATCTACAGAACTCTCCACCCCGAGGCTGGGCGCGGTGGCTCATGCCTGTAATCCCAGCACTTTGGGAGGCCAAGGCGGGTGGATCACAAGGTCAGGAGTTCAAGACCAGCCTGGCCAAGATGGTGAAACCCCGTCTCTACTAAAAATATAAAAAAATTAGCCGGGCGTGGTGGTGAGCACCTGTAATCCCAGCCACTTGGGAGGCTGAGGCAAAGAATTGCTTGAACCTGGGAGGCGGAGGTTGCAGTGAGCCGAGATCGTGCCACTACACTCCAGCCTGGGCAACAGAGCGAGACTCGTCTCAAAAAAAAAAAGAAAAGAAAAGAAAGAAAGAACTCTCCACCCCAAATCAACAGAATATACATTCTTTTCAGCACCGCACCACACCTATTCCAAAATTGACCACATAGTTGGAAGTAAAGCTCTCCTCAACAAACGTAAAAGAACAGAAATTATAACAAACTGTCTCTCAGACCACAGTGCAATCAAACTAGAACTCAAGATTAAGAAACTCACTCAAAACCGCTCAACTACATGGAAACTGAACAACCTGCTCCTGAATTACTACTGGGTACATAACGAAATAAAGATGTTCTTTGAAACCAACAAGAACAAAGACACAACATAGCAGAATCTCTTGGGACACATTCAAAGAAGTGTGTAGAGGGAAATTTATAACACTAAATGCCCACAAGAGAAAGCAGGAAAGATCTAAAATTGACACCCTAACATCACAATTAAAAGAACTAGAGAAGCAAGAGCAAACACATTCAAAAGCTAGCAGAAGGCAAGAAATAACTAAGATCAGAGCAGAACTGAAGGAAATAGAGACACAAAAAACCCTTCAAAAAGTCAATGAATCCAGGAGCTGGTTTTTTGAAAAGATCAACAAAATTGATAGACCACCAGCAAGACTAATAAAGAAGAAAAGAGAGAAGAATCAAATAGACACAATAAAAAATGATAAAGGGGATATCACCACCGATCCCACAGAAATACAAACTACCATCAGAGAATACTATAAACACCTCTATGCAAATAAACTAGAAAATCTAGAAGAAATGGATAAATTCCTCGACACACACACCCTCCCAAGACTAAACCAGGAAGAAGTTGAATCTCTGAATAGACCAATAACAGGATCTGAAATTGAGGCAATAATTAATAGCTTACCAACCAAAAAAAGTCCAGGACCAGATGGATTCACAGCCGAATTCTACCAGAGGTACAAGGAGGAGCTGGTACCATTCCTTCTGAAACTATTCCAATCAATAGAAAAAGAAGGAATCCTCCCTAACTCATTTTATGAGACTAGCATCATCCTGATACCAAAGCCTGGCAGAGAGGCAACAAAAAAAGAGAATTTTAGACCAGTATCCTTGATGAACATTGATGCAAAAATCCTCAATAAAATACTGGCAAACCGAATCCAGCAGCATATCAAAAAGCTTATCCACCATGATCAAGTGGGCTTCATCCCTGGGATGCAAGGCTGGTTCAACATACAAAAATTAATAAATGTAATCCAACATATAAACAGAACCAAAGACCAAAACCACATGATTATCTCAATAGATGCAGAAAAGGCCTTTGACAAAATTCAACAACCCTTCATGCTAAAAACTCTCAATAAATTAGGTATTGATGGGACGTATCTCAAAATAATAAGAGCTATCTATGACAAACCCACAGCCAATATCATACTGAATGGACAAAAACTGGAAGCATTCCCTTTGAAAACTGGCACAAGACAGGGATGCCCTCTCTCACCACTCCTATTCAACAAAATGTTGGAAGTTCTGGCCAGGGCAATCAGGCAGAAGAAGGAAATAAATGGTATTCGATTAGGAAAAGAGGAAGTCAAATTGTCCCTGTTTGCAGATGACATGATTGTATATCTAGAAAACCCCATCGTCTCAGCCCAAAATCTCCTTAAGCTGATAGGCAACTTCAGCAAAGTCTCAGGATACAAAATCAATGTGCAAAAATCACAAGCATTCTTATACACCAATAACAGACAAACTGAGAGCCAAATCATGAGTGAACTCCCATTCACAATTGCTTCAAAGAGAGTAAAATACCTAGGAATCCAACTTACAAGGGATGTGAAGGACCTCTTCAAGGAGAACTACAAACCACTGCTCAATGAAATAAAAGAGGATACAAACAAATGGAAGAACATTCCATGCTCATGGGTAGGAAGAATCAATATCGTGAAAATGGCCATACTGCCCAAGGTAATTTACAGATTCAATGCCATCCCCATCAAGCTACCAATGACTTTCTTCACAGAATTGGAAAAAACTACTTTAAAGTTCATGTAGAACCAAAAAAAAGCCCACATTGCCAAGTCAATCCTAAGCCAAAAGAACAAAGCTGGAGGCATCATGCTACCTGACTTCAAACTATACTACAAGGCTACGGTAACCAAAACAGCATGGTACTGGTACCAAAACAGAGATATAGACCAATGGAACAGAACAGAGCCCTCAGAAATAATGCTGCATATCTACAACTATCTGATCTTTGACAAACCTGACAAAAACAAGAAATGGGGAAAGGATTCCCTGTTTAATAAATGGTGCTGGGAAAACTGGCTAGCCATATGTAGAAAGCTGAAACTGGATCCCTTCCTTACACCTTATACAAAAATTAATTCAAGATGGATTAAAGACTTAAATGTTAGACCTAAAACCATAAAAACCCTAGAAGAAAACCTAGGCAATACCATTCAGGACATAGGCATGGGCAAGGACTTCATGTCTAAAACACCAAAAGCAATGGCAACAAAAGCCAAAATTGACAAATGGGATCTAATTAAACTAAAGAGCTTCTGCACAGCAAAAGAAACTACCATCAGAGTCAACAGGCAACCTACAGAATGGGAGAAATTTTTTGCAATCTACTCATCTGACAAAGGGCTAATATGCAGAATCTACAATGAACTCAAACAAATTTACAAGAAAAAAACAAACAACCCCATCAAAAAGTGGGCAAAGGATATGAACAGACACTTCTCAAAAGAAGACATTTATGCAGCCAAAAGACACATGAAAAAATGCTCATCATCACTGGCCATCAGAGAAATGCAAATCAAAACCACAATGAGATACCATCTCACACCAGTTAGAATGGCAATCATTCAAAAGTCAGGAAACAACAGATGCTGGAGAGGATGTGGAGAAATAGGAACACTTTTACACTGTTGGTGGGACTGTAAACTAGTTCAACCATTGTGGAAGTCAGTGTGGCGATTCCTCAGGGATCTAGAACTAGAAATACCATTTGACCCAGCCATCCCATTACTGGGTATATACCCAAAGGATTATCAATCATGCTGCTATAAAGACACATGCACACGTATGCTTATTGTGGCACTATTCACAATAGCAAAAACTTGGAACCAACCCAAATGTCCAACAATGATAGACTGGATTAAGAAAATGTGGCACATATACACCATGGAATACTATGCAGCCATAAAAAATGATGAGTTCATGTCCTTTGTAGGGACATGGGTGAAGCTGGAAACCATCATTCTCAGCAAACCATCGCAAGGACAAAGAAACAAACACCACATGTTCTCACTCATAGGTGGGAATTGAACAGTGAGAACACATGGACACAGGAATGGGAACATCACACACTGGGGACTGTTGTGGGGTCGGGGGAGGGGGAAGGGATAGCATTAGGAGACATACCTAATGCTAAATAACGAGTTAATGGGTGCAGCACACCAACATGGCACATGTATACATATGTAACAAACCTGCATGTTGTGCTCATGTACCCTAAAACTTAAAGTATAATAATAATAATAAAAAGAAGTATTTCAGCTAATACATGAAGGAGGAATATTATCACTCAAATGTCATTATGTTATTCCTACTAATGAATTAATAGATCCTGGCAATGATCGTCAACAGCAGATAATATCACAAAAGAGAGACAATGGGTGGAGTATAGAAGAAACAAGATGAATTGTGATTTGAAGATGTCAATTCGGTGATCGGTATGCGTAGGGGTTTTTTACAATTCTCTCTACTTTTGAATATGTTTGGGATTTTCTATAGAAGATATGTTTAAAGCCCTTTGCCCTGTGTCATTCTCTGAAGCAGGGTGATGACAGCTAAGAGCCCGTGTGTGCTCTGTAAATATTCCACCAGGAAGCGCTAAGATATGGCCCCATCCCCCCACACTCAGTCTTGGCCCCTCGCATACTGGCAAGAGCTAAGCTCACCATATCTCTACAGTATCCCACATCTCAAATTACTAAACTCCGTCCTCCCCAGTTCCAGGACCAGTTGCCTGAGAGATTAAATCTCACCTCTGATGTCCCAGAAAGATGCAATTGAAGTCAACTTCTGCCCACTGGGAATGGCAGAAAAGCCCCAGCTGGGGGCCGCACGGTCGCTGGCTCATGTCATGACTTGAGTCTCTTTTTAGTGAATTGGGCTCGACTGATTTGGGGGCTGGCTGACCTTGGCTTTCATGATTTGGCTGTGGTTCCAGATCGGCTCCAGGCCCAGCCCTAAGGCCCAGCTGGCTACTGGAAGACCAGGGGCCAGCAGGGAAGCCTTGGGCTTGGACAGGTGCCCCAGATGGAGAAATAATGCATGACTATGAGTCTGGACTCCTCTAGGAGATGGGAATCCAGCCATGACAATAATTAAATGGATTTTTCCCATGGGCTGGGCTAAACATTTGCTGGGGAGGCTGGGGCAGGCGGGTGGGACAACAGGAACCGAGGACATCACCATCCTCTACTCCCTACTCATCAAGTGCATTCCACGTGTTTTTGTGTGTGTGTGTGTGTGGGATTTTTGTTGTTTTTGCTGTTGTTGTTTAATTTTGAGACAGAGTTTCACTCTTGTTGCCCAGGCTGGAATGCAGTGGAGTAATCTCGGCTCACTGCAACTTCTGCCTCCCGGGTTCAAGCAATTCTCCTGCCTCAGACTCCTGAGTAGATGGGATTATATGCACACACCACCACGCCTGGCTAATTTTTGTATTTTTAGTAGAGATGAGGTTTCACTATGTTGGCCAGGGTGGTCTCGAACTCCTGGTCTCAGGTGATCCGCCCACTCCAGCCTCCCAAAGTGTTGGGATTACAGGCTTGAGCCACCACACTCAGCCATGCTAGGCACTGTTTTAAGCACTTTATACAAGTATCAACTCATTTAACCCTAACAGTCACCCTTTGCAGTTGGTACTATTCTTCCATTTTAGAGATGGACAAAATGAAGACTAGAGATAAAGCCACCTTCTCCAGCCAGTAAGCAGCAGCATAGGCATTTGAATCCAGGCGGGCTGGCTCGGCAGGGGTCAGCAAAGTTTGTATTAAAAGGCCAGATAGGCCGGGCACGGTGGCTCATGCCTGTAATCCCAGCACTTTGGGAGGCCAAGGCGGGCGGATCACGAGGTCAGGAGATCGAGACCATCCTGGCTAACATGGTGAAACCCCATCTCTACTAAAAAAAATACAAAAAATTAGCCGGGCATGGTAGCACATGCCTGTAGTCCCAGCTACCTGGGAGACTGAGACAGGAGAATCACTTGAACCCAGGAGGTGAGGTTGTGGTGAGCCGAGATCGTGCCACTGCATTCCAGCCTGGGTGACACAGTGAGACTCTGTCTCAAAAAAAAAGAATTAAAAAAAAGAGCCAGGCTGAGGCAGGGCAGGAGAATTGCTTGAACCTGGGAGGCAGAGGTTGCAGTGAGCCGAGATCACACCACTGCACTCCAGCCTGGACGACAGAGCGAGATTCCATCTCAAAAAAAAAAAAAAAAAAAAAGCCCAGATAGTAAATAAATATGTTTTGCTTTGTGACTCAGCTGTTATAGCAGGAAAACAGCCACCATAGCTACGTAAATGAATGGAAGGGAATGTGTTCCAATAAACATTCAATCACCTAAACAATTTGTGATCCTTTCATACAATGGAATACTATGCAGCCCTGAAAAGGAATGAAGCACTGATCCAGGCTATAACGATGAAGCTTGAAAACATGATGCTAAGTGAAAAAAAAGACAAGCACAAAAGGCCATAGTGTGAGATTCCATTGATCTGAAATGTCCAGAACAGGCGAATCCATAGAGACAGAAAGCAGATTTGTGGTTGCCAGGGGCTGTGGGAGGGGGAATGAGGAGTGACTGCTGATGCGGACAAGGCCAGATAGTCAATAGTTTCTGCTTTGTGACTCAGCCATTATAGCAGGAAAACAGCCATAGAAATGTAAATGAATGGAAGGAAGTGTGTTCCAATAAACATTCAATCACCTAAACAAATCGTGATCATTTCCCACAATGGAATATTATGCAGCCCTGAAAAGGAATGAAGCACTGATCCAGGCTATGATGATGAACCTTGAAAACATGATGCTGAGTAAAAAAAAAAAAAAAAAAAGACAGACACAAAAGGCCATAGTGTGACATTCCATTGATCTGAAATGTCCAGAACAGGCGAATCCATAGAGACAGAAAGCAGGTTTGTGGTTGCCAGGGGCAGGGGAAGGGTGAATGAGGAATGACTGCTGATGAGGACAGGGTTTTCTTTTAGGGGTATGCAAATTCTTTAGAACTAGATAGAGGTGACAACTGCACAACACTGTAAATATGCTAAGTGCCTCTAAACCACACAGTTTAAAATGGTAAATTTTGGCCAGGTGTGATGGCTCACACTTGTAATCCCAGCACTTTGGGAGGCCAAGGTGGGAGGATCACTTGAGCCCAAGAGTTCGAGACCAGTCCAAGCAACAAAGCAAGACCCCATCTCTTCAAAAAATCAAAAAATTAGCTGGATGTGATGACACACATCTGTAGTCCCAGCTACTTGGGAGGCTGGGGGCGGGGATCCCTTCAGCCCCAGAGGTCGAGGCTGCAGTGAGCCATGATCCCGCCACTGCCCTCCAGCCTGAGCAACAGAGTGAGACTCGGTCTCAAAAAAAAAAATAAATAATAAAATGGTGAATTTTGTGTTAGGTGAATTTCACCTCAAAAAACAGTTTTACAAAAACAGACATCCAGTTCATAAGCTGAGGTTCTCTGACTTCTGCTGTAGAACATTGCTTAACAAATCCCAGTGATTAAAAAAAAAAAAAGGAAAAAAAAAATAACCACAGGCACAGGCACATAAAACCTTAGCTCAGAGCCCCACACACAGCACTTTTTATTAGTAGTGTCAGAGGCCTGTGAACCAGAGCAACTCCATCTTGAACAGGAGCTGGGTGAAATAAGGCTGAAACCTGCTGGGCTGCATTCCCAGTTAAGGCATTCTAAGTCACAGGATGAGATAGGAGATTGGCACAAGATACAGGTCATAAAGACCTTGCTAATAAAACAGATCGCAGTAAAGAAGCCTGCACGGCCGGATGCAGTGGCTTATGCCTGCAATCCCAGCACTTTGGGAGGCCGAGGTGGGCAGATCACCTGAGGTCAGGAGTTCGAGACCAGCCTAGCCAACATGGTGAAACATTGTCTACCAAAAATACAAAAATTAGCTGGGTGTGGTGGCGGACGCCTGTAATTCCAGCTACTCGGGAGGCTGAGGCAGGAGAAACACTTGAACCCCGGAGTGGAGGTTGCAGTGAGCCAAGATTGCGCCACTGCACTCCAGCCTGGGCGACAAAAGTGAAACTCCTCCAAAAAAAAAAAAAAAAAGCAGCAGCAGCCAGCCCAACCCATCAAAACCAAGATGGCGACAAGAGTGACCTCTGGTCATCCGCACTGCTACACTCCCCAGCGCCATGACAGTTTGCAAATGCCATGGCAATGATAGGAAGTTATCCTATATGGTCTTAAAAGAGGAGGCATGAATAATCCACCCCTTGTTTAACCTATAATCAAGAAATAACCATAAAAATAGGCAACCAGGCTGGGCGCGGTGGCTCACGCCTGTAATCCCAGCACTTTGGGAGGCCGAGGCGGAAGGATCACCTGAGGTCAGGAGTTTGACACCAGCCTGGCCAACATGGTGAATCCCTATCTCTACTAAAAATACAAAAAATTAGGCCAGGCACAGTGGCTCACGCCTGTAATCCCAGCACTTTGGGAGGCCGAGTCGAGTGGATCACGAGGTCAGGAGATTGAGACCATCCTGGCTAACACGGTGAAACCCTGTCTTTACTAAAAAAAAAAAAAAAAAAAAAAATACAAAAAATTAGCCGGGTATAGTGGTGGGCGCCTGTAGTCCCAGCTACTCGGGAGGCTGAGGCAAGAGCATGGCATGAACCAGGGAGGCGGAGCTTGCAGTGAGTGGAGATGGCGCCACTGCACTCCAGCCTGGACGACAGAGCGAGACTCCGTCTCAAAAAAAAAAAAAATAGCCAGGTGTGGTGGCACATGCCTGTAATCCCAGCTACTCAGGAGGCTGAGTCAGGAGAATCGCTTGAACCCAGGAGGCAGAGGTTGCAGTGAGCCGAGATCATGTCATTGCACTTCAGCTTGGTCAACAAGAGCAAAACTCCGTCTGAAAAAAAAAAAAGGCAGCCAGCAGCTATCAGGGCTGCTCTGCCTATGGAGCAGTCATTCTTTATTCCTTCACTTTCCTAATAAACTTGCTTTCACTTTACTCTGTGGACTCACCCTGAATTCTTTCTTGCGCGAGATCCAAGAACCCTCTCTTGGGGTCTGGATCGGGACCCCATTCCTGTAACAGTAGTAGCGAGCGGGGTCTTCATTATTAGCATCATTAGTGCCACCATAGTGAACGCTGTCGACTCTGACGTTGAGCCCAAGCCCAGCCCTGCCCCAAGTTCCTTCTCCTCTGGCCTCATCCCAGCCTTGCTTAAGATCTAGGGCCAGAGGCTCTGCCTATCTGTGCCAATGCTACAACTCATGAGAGCCGGCCCTGCTCCATAATCAGTGGCTACTCTTGTGACCCCTCTAGTCTCTCTGCAGCCTGGAGGGGCCTTGATTTTTTTTTTTTTTTTTTTTTTTGAGACAGAGTTTTGCTTTTGTTGCCCAGGATGGAGTGCAATGGCGCGATCTCAGCTCACCGCAACCTCTGCCTCCCGGGTTCAAGCAATTCTCCTGTCTCAGCCTCCTGAGTAGCTGGGATTACAGGTGCATGCCACCACACCAGCTAATTTTTGTATTTTTAGTAGAGACGGGGTTTCATCATATTGGTCAGGCTGGTCTTGAACTCCTGACCTCAGGTGATCTGCCCGCCTTGGCCTCCCAAAGTGCTGGGATTACAGGCGTGAGCCACCGCACCCGGCCAAGGGGCCTTGATTTATCTGACAAGTGGGCCTCCTGAGGTTGAAGGAAACCTGGGGTAGAGGTGATTCATTGTGGGATTTCCAGCCTTCTTTCTGCCTCCCAGGCCCAGCCCAGCCCTGATGCATTGGTGTGTGAGTGCCTGAATGTGGGTGTACATGTGTGTGTTTCAGATCCTGACCCCAAACTGGCCCCACATCATTCATCAGGCTTTTTGTGCATTTAGCAATCCCTCCCTGACACTCACTTGGTCTTGAGTCTGTGCTGGGCACTTCTGGACAGCCCCAAAAACTCAGCATCTCCTAGATTTGGGGAGACAAAACTGGACAAAGAACCTTCCAGCACTGTAAGCACAGCCTAGGTTGAAGGGAAGAACAGCAGGTCAGGGAGCTGGGAGGAGTAAGGGGAGCAAGGGGTAACCACAGAGGCTCCCTGGAGGAAGGGTCCTGCCCCAGAAGGTCACAAATCCTACATAGACCCTAAGGAAAGAGCCTGCCATCCATGACATGCCCCTGGCTTAAAACAAGGCAGTCTCTGCCCCAACTCCAAGCTTTAAAGGGAAATCAGGTGGGGTGCAGTGGCTCACGCCTGTCATCCCAACACTTTGGGAGGCCAAGGCAGGTGGATTACCTGGGGTCATGAGTTCAAGACCAGTTTAGCCAATGTGGTAAAACTCCATCTCCACTAAAAATAGAAAACTTAGCTAGCCTTGGTGGTGCATGCCTGTAGTCCCAGCTACTCTGGAGGCTGAGGCGAGGGAATCACCTGAACCTGGGAAAAAAGAAGAGTTACTAAGAAAATCGTATGGAAGAGGAAGTATGTTTACTATTCATTAAGTAGAAGTGTGTCATCATAAAGGTCTTCATCTTCATCGTCTTCATGTTGAATAGGCTGAGGGGGAGGAAGGGAAGGGGTTGGTCTTGCTGTCTGAGGGGTGGCAGAGGTGGAAGAGGTGGAGGAGGTGGAAGGGGAGAGAGGAGAGGCAGACACACTCCATGTAACTTATTGGAAAAAATCCACGAGCCAGGTGCAGTGGCTCATGCCTGTAATCCCAGCACTTTGGGAGGCTGAGGTGGATGGATCACCTGAGGTCAGGAGTTCGAGATCAGCCTGCCCAACATGGTGAAACCCCATCTCTACTAAAAATACAAAAATTATCCGGGCATAGTGGCAGGTACCTGTAATCCCAGCTACTCAGGAGGCTGAGGCAGGAGAATCGCTTGAACCCAGGAGATGGAAGCTGCAGTGAGCTGAGATTACGCCACTGTACTCCAGCCTGGGGGACAGAATGAGACTCTGCCAGAAAGAAAGAGAAAAAGAGAAAGAAAGAGAAGAAAGAGAAAGAAAGAAAGAAAGAAAGAAAGAAAGAAAGAAAGAAAGAAAGAAAGAAAGAAAGAAGGAAGGAAGGAAGGAAGGAAGGAAGGAAGGAAGGAAGGAAGGAAGGAAGAAAGAAAGAAAGAAAGAAAGAAAGGAAGAAAGAAAGAAAGAAAAAAGAAAGAAAGGAGGGAGGGAGGAAGGGGGGAGGGAGGGAAGGAAGGAAGGAAGGAGAAGGGAAGAAAGGAGAAGGAAGAGAAGGAAGAAAATATGGAAGAGGAAGTATATTTACTATTCATTAAGTAGAGAATCATCATAAAGGTCTTCATCCTCACCGTCTTCATGTTGAGTAGGCTGAGGAGGAGGAAGAGGAGGGGTCTTGCTGTCTCAGGGGTGGCAGAGGTGGAAGAGGAGGAAGGGGAGAGGAGAGGCAGGCACAGTCCATGTAATTTTTATTGAAACAAATCCAGATATAAGTTGACCCTCACAGGTCAAACCCATGTTGTTCAAGGGTCAACTGTACTCCGTATGACACTCTAGTGGTGGACATATGTCATTATACATTTGTCCAAACCCATAGAATGTACACCACCAAGAGCAAACCCTAATGGAAATGATGAACTTTGGGTGATAATGATGTGTCAGTGAAGGTTCATCGATTGTAACAGATATACCATTCTGGTGCTGGATAGTGATAATACGAGAGTCTGTGCATGTGTCAAGGCAGGGAGTAGAACTCTCTGTAACTTCTGCTCAATTTTGTCACGAACCTAAAACTGCTCTAGGCCAGGCATGGTGGCTCACGCCTGTAATCCCAGCACTTTGGGAAGCTAAGGCAGGAGGATCCCTTGAGTCCAGGAGATGAGACCAGCCTGGCCAACATAGCGAGACCCTCATCTCTATAAAAAATTAAAAATAGAGGCCGATGCGGGTGGATCACCTGAGGTCAGGAGTTCAAGACCAGCCTGGCCAACATGGTGAAACTACATCTGTACTAAAAGTACAAAAATCAGCCGGGAGTGGTGACGGGGACCTGTAATCCCAGCTACTCGGGAGGCTGAGGCAGGAGAATAGCTTGAACCTGGGAGGCAGAGGCTGCAGTGAGCCAAGATTGTGCCACTACACTGCAGCCTAGGCAACAGAGCGAGACTCTGTCTCAAAAAAAAAAAAAAAAAAAAAAAAAGCCTGTAATCCCAGCACTTTGAGAGGCCAAGACAGGTGGATCACCCGAGGTTGGGAGTTTGAGACCAGCCTGGCCAACATGCTGAAATCCCGTCTCTACTAAAAATACAAAAATTAACTGGAAGTGGTGGACGGGCACCTGTAATCTCAGCTCCTTGGGAGGCTGAGGCAGGAGAATCACTTGAACCTGGGAAGCAGGGCTGCAGTAAGCCAAGATTGCACCACTACACTCCAGCCTGGGTGACAGAGGGAGACCCTGCCTCAAAAAATAATAATAATAAAATAAAAAATAAAGCTGGGTGCAGTGGCTCACGCCTGTAATCCTAGCATTTCGGGAGGCCGAGGCAGGAGGATTGCTTGAGGCCAAGAGTTTAAGACCAACCTGGCCAGCATATCAAGACTCCATCTTTAAAAATAATAATAATAATAAAACTGTTCTAAAAAAGTCTTAAAATTATTTATCGGCCGGGCATGGTGGCTCACGCTTGTAATCCCAGCAATTTGGTAGGCCAAGTTGGGTGGATCACCTGAGTCAGGGGTTCAAGACCAGCCTGGCCTACGTGGCAAAACCCCGTCTCTACTAAAAATACAAAAATTAGCCAGGCATGGTGGCGCATGCCTGTAACCTGAGCTACTTGGTAGGCTGAGGCAGGGAGGCAGGAGAATTGCTTGAATCTGGGAGGTGGAGGTTGTAGTGAGCTGAGATCGTGCCATTGCACTCCAGCCTGGGTGACAGAGCGAGACTCCGTCTCAAAAAAAAAAAAAGTTATTGATGACTTAGATTTTCAACACTGCCTTAAATTTTGCGGCAAAGAGGATGCCTCAACCTAGTCCCTGCCTCAGCCCACAACCTTCATATGGTTCTACCAGGCAAAGCTCCTATCCCCAAATCCTGGGAAACGAGCTTGGAGGAGGACATTGTCTCTTACTCCCATGGGAAGTGTCCCCCATTCACTCTATCACTTAGCACCCTACATCCTGAGCTTCCACTATGTGCCCAGCTTTTTTCTGGGAGGTCCCCAGAAAGAGGACACCTGAGGAGGCCCCAGGGGTGGCCCCCAGGGGAATCCCAGGCCTGGCTCAGGCTGGACATTCCCAGGCCTGCCCTGGCTGAGTCTCCAGCTGGTGGGTCTCCTGGAAACTCCCCGGGCTGGTTTTGAGGTGGGAGCCCCACAGGGAAGCAATTTACATACACAACAGCCCAGTCATGTCAACCTGCCCCATCTGATGCCAGAATAAAGGGGAGATGGGTCCATTCTGCAGGTCTCAGTCATGGGCACCCGGAGAAGAGGAAGGACATTTCACTGTCAGCCCAGGTGAGTCCAGAAGCCAGCTCCTGGAACAATGCCAGGGTCCTGAACACTCAAGCTCAACCCCTGCTCTCAGCTACTGCTGGTGGCTTGAAATCAAGGGCTGGAACTGGATGAGAGGTGACAGCCCCTGGTCCCCATGGGCTCAGAGCAGGCCTCAGCAAACACTGTCCTCGGCCCCTGCACCCATGCTCTGCCTGAGCCTGAAGTGTTGGTTGCAAAAAAAAGCAGGAGGCAGTGCCAACTTCAGGCCTCAGCAAACACTGTCCTCAGCCCCCGCACCGATGCTGTGCCTGAGCCTGAAGTGTTGGTTGCAAAAAAAAGCAGAAGGCAGTGCCAACTTCAGGCCTCTGCTTCTCTCCTCTCCCTCAACACAGCCGGTCTTACCAGTACAGCAGGCGGCAGCTGAGAGTCCCCTCTGGTGGCCAGCAGCGGCTACAGAGCCGTCACTATGGGGAGGGACAGGACTTGAGGGGTTGCCTCGGTCCACCTCACTGGAGAATGGGCAGAGTTTATGGAGTCTGAACCACCTGGTCTCCAGGCCCCTCTGGGGATGGGCCTGGCTTACTGACCACTGACCTCAGCCTAGGAGGGACAGAAGAGACTGGGGGAGACCAGGATGCCCAGATGACCTTGACCCAGGGTACGCTGCCCCATGTCCCTGCTGCCTCCCGCCCACAGCTCTACGAGAGGCAGGTCTGTCATTCGCCGCTGGACTTTGACAGTGGTCAAAGGCTCTGCTCAGTTCTCTGTGCCTGTCTCCCTCCAGCACTGCCGAGGTTCTCTGCCGAGGCCAACCAGAAATACCCCTTGGAAGCTGGAATCCTGCAACAATGGCCCAGGGTGTCCTCTGGATCCTACTCGGATTGCTACTGTGGTCAGACCCAGGGACAGGTGAGTCAGGGGGCAGAGTCCTGGGACCAAACCTCTTGGCTCTGCAGAAGGCGTACTGCTGTCCCATCTATGTCTTGCCCTGCATGGAGTGAGGCTGGAGACTCAAGCTCTCAAAGAAGCTCCAGCATGGGGACATAGATATTCCCAGCTCCACAGAGTCAAGGCAAGGATAAGGGAAGGAATCTGGGGCCTGGAGAGCAAAAGTAGGGAAGGCTTCTTGGAGGAGGAGACATAAGAGCTAGGCTAGGAAGAAAGAGAAATGATTTGGGGGAGAAGCCAGAAAGGGCATTTTTTGCAGAGAAGAGCAAAGCTACACAGGTTAGGTGGTGGACTGGAGAAGAACCTAGATTCTAGACCAGGAGAGTGTGTCGAGTAAGACTTCCTGGATTCAAATTCTACTACTGGCCAGGCCTGTAATCCCAGCACTTTGGGAGATCAAGGCGGGCAGATCACTTGAGATCAGGAGATCGAGACCAGCCTGGCCAACATGGTGAAACCCCATCTCTACTAAAAATACCAAAAATTAGCCAGGCGTGGTGGCAGGCACCTGTAATCCCAGCTACCCAGGAGGCTGAGGCCAGAAAATTGCTTGAACTCAGGAGGTTGCAGTGAGCTGAGCACTACTGCACTCCAGCCTGGATGATAGAGCAAGACTCCGTCTCAAAAAAAAAAAAAAAAAACAAAGGCAAATCCTGCCTCTGCCACTTCCTTCCTGTGTGACCTTAGGCAGGTAACTTAACCTCTCTGTGCTTCAGATGCCTCATCTGTAAAGGGACACCATCTTAGTCCCTTTGTGCTTCTATATAGGCCAGGGTACCTGAAACTGAGTAAATTTGTAAAGAAGAGAAATTTACTTTCTTGCAGTTCTGCAGGCTAGGAAGTCCCAAATGCCAGTGCTTTGATCTTGGACTTCCCAGCCTCTAGAACTATGAGAAATAAATGTCTGTTCTTTTTTTTTGTTTTTTAGACAGAGTCTGACTCTGTCGCCCAGGCTGGAGTGCAGCAGCATGATCTCAGCTCACTGCAACCTCCACCTCCCGGGTTCAACAGATCCTCCTGCCTCAGCCCCCCAAGTAGCTGGGATTACAGGTGCCCGCCACCGCACCCGGCTAACTTTTGTATTTTTAGTAGAAACGGGGTTTCACCATGTTGGCCAGGCTGGTCTCAAACTCCTGACCTCAAGTGATCCGCCTGCCTCGGCCTCCCAAAGTGCTGGGATTACAGGCATGTGCCAGCACACCTGGCCAAATTTCTGTTTTTCATAAATTACCCAACCTCAGAGATCTGTTATAGCAGCACCAATGTACTAAGACAGGGGCTAAAAGGACCTACCTCACAAGAGTTGTGAAGACTAACTGCGTTAAATTATTAATATATAAGTCACCTAGACTAGTAGCTAGCACATAGTAAATGTTTACTGAAAGTTAGCTATTATTTGATAACCCATCTCTGAACCAGCTCTGAGCCTAACTTAGCATTTCTAGGTTTGCAGTTCAGCCACTGACATTTCCCCAACATGGCACAAGCCCATCCTGCTCTTCCCCCTGCCTCCCAGGCTATTTTATTTTATTTTATTTTATTTTAATTTAATTTTATTTTATTTATTTTATTTTATGATGGAGTCTCACTCTGTCACCCAGGCTGGAATGCAGTGGGGGGTTCTTGGCTCACTGCAACCTCCACCTCCTGGGTTCAAGCAGTTCTCCTGCCTCAGCCTCCTGAGTAGCTGGGGTTACAGGTGTGTGCCACCATGCCCAGCTAATTTTTGTATTTTTAGTAGTGACGGAGTCTCGCCATGTTGATCCGGCTGGTCCTGAGCTCCCGACCTCAGGTGATCCACCCGCCTCTGCCTCCTAAAGTGCTGGGATTACAGGCGTGAGCCACTGCGTCTGGCATTTTTTTTTTTTTTTTTTTTTTTGAGACAAAGTCTCACTCTGTCACCCAGGCTGGAGTGCAGTGGCGCAATCTCGGCTCACTGCAACCTCCACCTCCCATGTTCAAGTGATTCTCCCGTCTCAGCCTCCCAAGTAGCTGGGATTACAGGCACACACCACCATGCCTGGCTAATTTTTGTATTTTTATTAGAGATGGGGTTTCACGGTGTTGGCCAGGCTGGCCTTGAACTCCTGATCTCAGGTGATCCACTCACCTCGGCCTCCGAAAGTGCTGGGATTACAGGCCTAAGCCACCACAGCCAGTCCCAGGCATCTTTCAAAATACCTTTCCCTCTAACATCCCCAATTTTTAACTTCAATTCATCACAAAAGACCATCCATCTCTCCCTCTCACGATCTGGGGACTCTTCCACTTTTGTCCACTGCAATGTCACTACCTACCTTCTGCCACCTTCATCTCTCACCTCCACACTGTCTCCCCTTTTCTATCCTGGCACCCCAAAAATCCATTTCCTTATGGCAGCCAAACAAATCTAAGCCTAAGAAAGGAGTCTTAGAATGCCAGGTTCGTCACACCTCTGTCCTGCTCATAAATCTGCCATGGCTCCCCAGTACTCACAGACAGTCTGAGCTCCTTAACCAACAGGCAATAGTCTGTGTACCTCACTTTCCTCATCTACACAAGGATAGTGTTGGGGGTCATGGGGTTATCAGATGGAGGGCTGGGAGCATTGGGTAGATGTGGAATCAATACAAGGAGGCTCAGGAATGGGTGGGGCTGGGCTAACACATTCTTTCCTCCTGCAGCCTCCCTGCCCCTGCTCATGGACTCTGTCATCCAGGCCCTGGCTGAGCTGGAGCAGAAAGTGCCAGCTGCCAAGACCAGACACACAGCTTCTGCGTGGCTGATGTCAGCTCCAAACTCTGGCCCCCACAATCGCCTCTACCACTTCCTGCTGGGGGCATGGAGCCTCAATGCTACAGAGTTGGATCCCTGCCCACTAAGCCCAGAGCTGTTAGGCCTGACCAAGGAGGTGGCCCGACATGACGTACGAGAAGGGAAGGAATATGGGGTGGTGCTGGCACCTGATGGCTCGACCGTGGCTGTGGAGCCTCTGCTGGCGGGGCTGGAGGCAGGGCTGCAAGGGCGCAGGGTCATAAATTTGCCCTTGGACAGCATGGCTGCCCCTTGGGAGACTGGAGATACCTTTCCAGATGTTGTGGCCATTGCTCCAGATGTAAGAGCCACCTCCTCCCCAGGACTCAGGGATGGCTCTCCAGATGTCACCACTGCAGATATTGGAGCCAACACTCCAGATGCTACAAAAGGCTGTCCAGATGTCCAAGCTTCCTTGCCAGATGCCAAAGCCAAGTCCCCACCGACCATGGTGGACAGCCTCCTGGCAGTCACCCTGGCTGGAAACCTGGGCCTGACCTTCCTCCGAGGTTCCCAGACCCAGAGCCATCCAGACCTGGGAACTGAGGGCTGCTGGGACCAGCTCTCTGCCCCTCGGACCTTTACGCTTTTGGACCCCAAGGCATCTCTGTTAACCATGGCCTTCCTCAATGGCGCCCTGGATGGGGTCATCCTTGGAGACTACCTGAGCCGGACTCCTGAGCCCCGGCCATCCCTCAGCCACTTGCTGAGCCAGTACTATGGGGCTGGGGTGGCCAGAGACCCAGGGTTCCGCAGCAACTTCCGACGGCAGAACGGTGCTGCTCTGACTTCAGCCTCCATCCTGGCCCAGCAGGTGTGGGGAACCCTTGTCCTTCTACAGAGGCTGGAGCCAGTACACCTCCAGCTTCAGTGCATGAGCCAAGAACAGCTGGCCCAGGTGGCTGCCAATGCTACCAAGGAATTCACTGAGGCCTTCCTGGGTGAGGAAGTTCCCCACACCCTGTGATCCTTCCCATTACAGACACAGACGCCCCCACCCCGTATATTCAGGGAAGTTGAGGACTAGGAGAGTCCAGAGGGGGCAATAAGGGATCTGGTCGGGGGTGGGTGGGACAGCTGCACAGGTGAGGAAATGCCAGAGTTGGGCCTTGAAGGATGAATAGGAGTTCATCTCATTTTGTTTTGCTTCATTATATTTATTTGCATTAATTTATGGGGTACAAGTGTAACCTTGTTTCTCGCATAGATTGCATAGTGGTCAAG
This sequence comes from Homo sapiens, assembly GCF_000001405.40. NCBI lineage: Eukaryota > Metazoa > Chordata > Mammalia > Primates > Hominidae > Homo > Homo sapiens. Next base: position 15,475,254 of record NC_000019.10, on the reverse strand, counting down.
TCTGGGCTTTTAGGTACCCATCACTCCAATAACATACATCCACCCATTAAGCAATCTGTCATCATCCTCCCTCCTCTCTCTCCCTCACCCTTCTGAATCTCCACTATCTATCTTTCCACACGCTACATCCATGCATACACATTATTTAGCTCCCATTTATAAGTGAGAACTTACGGTATTTGTCTTTCTGTGTTTGACTTGTTTCACTTGAGATAATGGCCTCCAGTTCCATCCATGTTGCTGCAAAAGACATTCTTTCTTTTTTTTTTTTTTTGAGTCTCTCTCTGTCGCCCAGGCTGGAGTGCAGTGGCACGATCTCAGCTCACTGCAACCTCCGCCTCCTGGGTTCAAGCAATTCTCCTGTCTCAGCCTCCTGAGTAGCTGGGACTACAGGCATGTGCCACCATGTCTGGGTAATTTTTTGTATTTTTAGTAGAGACGGAGTTTCATCATTTTATCAGGGTGGTCTCGATCTCCTGACCTCGTGATCCACCCACCTTGGCCTCCCAAAGTGCTAGGATTACGGGCGTGAGCCACCATGCCCAGCCAACATTATGTCATTTTTTACAGCTGAGTAGTATTCCATTTCCTGCCGACCACTGTAGACAACCTCCTGGCAATCACCCTAGCTGGAAACCTGGGCCTGACCTTCGTCCAGGGCTCTCAGACCCAGAGCCATCCAGGCCTGTAATATATATCATATTTTCTTTATCCAATTCTCTTTTGATGGACAGTTAAGTTAATTTCTTACCTTTGCTATTGTGAATAGTGCCCTGATCAACATGTGAATGCAGGTATCTTTTTAATATAATGATTTATTTTCCTTTGGGTAGATATCCAGTAGTGGGATTGCTGGATTGAATGATAGTTCCAATTTATTATTATTTTTTTTGTTTTGTTTTGTTTTGTTTTGTTTTTAGACAGAGTTTCACTCTTGTCTCCCAGGCTGGAGTGCAATGGCACAATCTCGGCTCACTGCAACCTCCACTTCCTGGGTTCAAGCGTTTCTCCTGCCTCAGCCTCCTAAGTAGCTGGGATTACAGGTGCCTGCCACCATGCTCGGCTAATTTTTGTATTTTTAGTAGAGACAGAGTTTCACCATGTTGGCCCAGGCTGGTCTCAAACTCCTAACCTCAGGTGATCCACCCACCTCAGCCTCCCAAAGTGCTGGGGTTACAGTCGTGAGCCATCACCCGGCTTTTCTGTCTTTTTAATAATAGCTATTCTGATTAGAGTAAGATGATATCTCATTGTGGTTTTAATTTGCATTTCTCTGATGATTGGTGATGTTGAGCATGTTTTCCTTTGCCTATTGGCCATGTGTATATCTTCTTTTGAAAAATGTCTATTAATGTCTTTTGCCCGCTTTTTAGTGGGTTTCTTTCTTTCTTTCTTTTTCTTTCTTTCTTTCTTTTTCTTTCTTTCTTTCTTTCTTTTCTTTCTTGAATTGTTTGAGTTCCTTGTAAATTCTGGGTATTAGTCCCATACCAGTGCATAGTTTGCAAATATTTTCTCCCATTCTGAAGGTTGTCTGTTCGTTCTGTTGATTATATCTTTGGTGTGCAGAAGCTTTTTGGTTTAATTAAGTCCCATTTGTCTACTTTGTTTCTTTTGCTCTGTGCTTTTGAGGTCTTAGTCATGAATTCTTTGCCTAGCCCAATGTTCAGAAGCGTTTTCCTTAGGTTTTCTTCTGGTATTTTAGAGTTTCAGGTCTTACATGTAAGTCTTTAATCTATCTTGAGCAATTTTTTTTTTTTTTTTTTTTTTTTTTTTTTTTTTTTTTTGAGACAGAGTTTTTGCTCTGTTGCCCAGGCTGGAGTGCAAAGATGTGATCTCAGCTCACTGCAACCTCTGCCTCCTGGGTTCAAGCGATTCTCCTGCCTCAGCCTCCCACATAGCTGGGATTACAGGTACCTACCACCATGCCCGGCTAATTTTTGTATTTTTAGTAGAGACGGGGTTTCACCATGTTGGCCAGGCTGGTCTCAAACTCTTGATCTCAGGTGATCCACCCACCTCAGCCTCCAAAATTGCTGGGATTACAGGCGTGAGCTAGCGCATCTGTCCTTGAGTTAATTTTTGTATATGGTAAGAGTTAGGGGTCCAGTTTCATTCTTCTGCATATGGTTGGCCAGTTGTCCCAGCACCATTAGCACCATTTACTGAATAGGCAGTCCTTTTCCCATTGCTTATTTTTGTCGACTTAGTTGAAAATTATTGTTTGTAGGTGTGCAGCTTTACTTCTGGGTTCTCTATTTCATTCCATTGGTCTATGTGTCTATTTTTGTAACAGTACCATGCTGTTTTGGTTACTATAGTATTGTAGTATAATTTGAAGTCAGGTAATGTGATACCAGGCTCGTTTTGCTTAGAATTGCTTTTGCTATTTGGGCTCATTTTTGGTTCCTTGCGAATTTCAGGATAGTTTTGTCTAATTCTGTGAAAAATGACTTTGATATTTTGATAGAGATTGCATTGAATCTGTAGATTGCTTTGGGAAATCTGATTTCTCTTTTTCTAGAAAATGAGGTCTCACTATGTTGCCCAGGCTGGTCTTGAACTCCTGGGCTCAAGCAATCCACCCACCTCGCCTCCCAAAGTGTGGGATTGATTACAGGAGTGAGCCACCATGCCTGCCCCCACCTCCAATTTTTTTTTGGGGGGGACAGAGTCTTGCTCTGTCACCCAGGCTGGTGTGCAATAGCACAATCTCGGCTCACTGCAACCTCCACCTCCCAGGCTCAAGCAAGTTGTCTCATGCCTCAGCTTCCCAAGTAGCTGGGATTACAGGCATGTGCCACCATGCCTGGTTGATTTTTGTATTTTTAGTAGAGACCGGGTTTCACCATGTTGGCCAGGCTGGTCTCAAACTCCTGACCTCAAGTGATCCACCCACCTCGTCCTCCCAAACTGCTGGGACTACAGGTGAGACCCACTACGTCCGGCCCACCCCCAATTTTTTTTAATAAAAATAAAATAGATTTAGTTGAGTATAGTTAGTTGGTCCCCAGGGAGGACCAATGTGGGGTGAGACTGGACCCTTTCCAAATCTGAGAGGAGGCTGAGGGATGGTCTGTATGTGCGCTTTAATGCGGGTGGAGGAACAGGCAGAGAAACAGTTCCTGACCCCAGCCTTCAACCCCCTTGCCTGTAGGATGCCCGGCCATCCACCCCCGCTGCCGCTGGGGAGCGGCGCCTTATCGGGGCCGCCCGAAGCTGCTGCAGCTGCCGCTGGGATTCTTGTACGTGCATCACACCTACGTGCCTGCACCACCCTGCACGGACTTCACGCGCTGCGCAGCCAACATGCGCTCCATGCAGCGCTACCACCAGGACACGCAAGGCTGGGGAGACATCGGCTACAGGTAGGAGGGGCCCGACCGGGGAGGGGGCGGGGCCCACGTTCGGGGATGGGGTCTGAGTGGGCGGAGCCTGATGCAGGGGACCGGGCTTGAACCCGAGGAAAGCTGGCAAGACCAAGGAGGAGTCCTGATAGGTAGAGCAAAGTTGGAGAGGTGGCGTGGCTTAGGCTAGGGGCGGGGCCTTAATAGGGACCGGGAATAGCTAAATCATGGGACTCCAGTCAGGGTAGAGAACTAGTACAGGAGGCGGGATCTGGGAGAGGAGCGGGACCTGTGGCAGAGTCTGGGTCTGGGGCCAGGCAGAGATGGCCTAAAACAGACAAGGAGGCCTGGTGCGGTGGCTCCCGCCTGTAATCTCACCACTTTGGGAGGCTGAGAAGAGAGGATCGCTGGAGCCCAGGAGTTCGAGACCAGCCTGAGCAATATAGGAAGACACCCCCCCACACCACCCATCTCTACAAACAAAAAAAACTTAAAAAGGCCAGGCGCAGTGGCTCACGCCTGTAATCCCAGCACTTTGGGAGGCCGAGGCGGGAGGATCACGAGGTCAGAAGATTGAGACCATCCTGGCTAACACGGTGAAACCCCGTCTCTACTAAAAAATACAAAAAAATTAGCCAGGCGTGATGGCGGGTGCCTGTAGTCCCAGCTACTTGGGAGGCTGAGGCAGGAGAATGGCGTGAACCCGGAAGGCGGAGCCTGCAGTGAGCCGAGATCGCGCCATTGCACTCCAGCCTGGGCGACAGAGCGAGACTCCGTCTCAAAAAAAAAAAAAAAAAAAAAAAAAAAGCTGGGCATGGTGTTGCGCGCCTGTAGTCCCAGCTACTCGGCAGGCTAAGGTGGGAGGATCGCTGGAGCCCAGGAGTTCGAGGCTTGAGTGAGTTATGATCGCATCTCTGCACTCTAGCCTGAGTGACAGAGCGAGAACCCGTCTCGAAAAGAAGAAGGAGGCCGGGAGCGGTGGCTAACGCCTGTAATCCCAGCACTTTGGGAGGCTGAGGCGGGTGGATCACCTGAGGTCGGGAGTTCCAGACCAGCCTGGCCAACATGGAGAAACCCCGTCTCTACTAAAAATACAAAATTAGCCGGGCGTGGTGGTGCATGCCTGTAATCCCAGCTAGTCGGGAGGCTGAGACGGGAGAATCACTTGAACCTGGGAAGCGGAGGTTGCAGTGAGCCGAGATCGCGTCGTTGCACTCCAGCCTGGGCTACAAGAGCGAAACTCCGTCTCCAAAAGGGAAGGGAAGGGAAGGGAAGAAGGGAGGGGTGGCGAGGGGAGGGGAGAAGGCTGGGCACAGTGGCTCACGCCTGTAATCCCAGCACTTTGGGAGGCCGAGGAGGGCAGATAACCTGAGGTCAGGAGTTCGAGACCAGCCTGGCCAACATGGCGAAACACCGTCTCTACTAAAAATAAAAATTAAAAAAAAAATTAGATGGGCGTGGTGGCGGGTGCCTGTAATCCCAGCTACTCCGGAGGCTGAGGCAGGAGAATCGCTTGAACCCGGGAGGTGGAGGTGGCAGTGAGCCGAGATCGCGCCCTTGCACTTCAGCCTCAGCGACAAGAGTGAAACTCCATCAAAAAAAGAAAGAAAGAAAGAAGGAAGGAAGGAAGGAAGGAAGGAAGGAAGGAAGGAAGGAAGGAAGGAAGGAAAGAAAAAAAACCCAAAAACAGAAAAGCTCTCTGAATTGGGCAAGAACTGGGCTTGAGAAAAGGCAGAGGTGGGGAGGAGAAGGGCAGAAAGGGGCGTGCCAGTACTGAAGGGCGGATCCAGAGAAACCGAACGGTCCTGGAGTGGCAGCTGGTGTGAGAGTGGAACAGAGCTGGATGGGACACAGGCAGCGCGACCGCGCGGGTCTTGGGGTCGGTGGCCCTTGGCACACCAACAGAATCGGGGAGGGGAGCGGATAAGGGCCCGGGTCCCCCTCACGCCGCATGGTGCTTGCTTCTCCCTCCCCTCTGCAGTTTCGTGGTGGGCTCGGACGGCTACGTGTACGAGGGACGCGGCTGGCACTGGGTGGGCGCCCACACGCTCGGCCACAACTCCCGGGGCTTCGGCGTGGCCATAGTGGGCAACTACACCGCGGCGCTGCCCACCGAGGCCGCTCTGCGCACGGTGCGCGACACGCTCCCGAGTTGTGCGGTGCGCGCCGGCCTCCTGCGGCCAGACTACGCGCTGCTGGGCCACCGCCAGCTGGTGCGCACCGACTGCCCCGGCGACGCGCTCTTCGACCTGCTGCGCACCTGGCCGCACTTCACCGCGGTGAGTCTTCGCAGCCTGCACTACACGGCCCGCCGCCCCTCCGTCTACACAAGCTCCACGAGGCCCCTGCCCCCTGCCTGTAACAGCTGTGCCCGCACAGCCTCAGCCAGGCCCCCAACTTCCCGGCGGCACGTCTATTCAGGAAACCTAGGCCCAGCCTTTGCGGGTCACTCTGCGGGCAACATCCCTGATCCTGTGACTTCTGCCTATGCAGCCTCAGCTCAGCCCCAGACCCAGCCAGCCTGTCCTTTCCCCAGCTCCTAATACCTCTACCTTTCCAGCCAAGGCATGGACCCTGACACCTGCCAACAGCCCCTCTGCCCTCACAACCTCAGCCTGGCCTTCATGACTTCTCTACCCAAGTCACAACCTGTCAGGCTGCACCACCTCATCCTGGCCCGCCGAACCTTGACCTCACCCCTGCCCCTACCCGAAGGCCCTCTGTCCACACAACATGAACCTAGGCTGTGACCTTTTGCCTTCACAACCTCTGTCCAGTCCTTAATCCTGTGTTGCAATTCTCTGTCCAGACAATCTCAACTCTGAGGTTGCTTGTTTCGTCCCTGACTCCTTAACCCCTGATGACAACTCTTATGCCAGCACAACTTTGACCTGATGACCTCATCCCAGCCCTTGATCGCCATCACTAAAACAATTTTAGAATCACACCTGGACAATCTCGTGCTACCTACATACTGCCACTCCATTTCATTAAGCTATTGACTAGCACATCCATCTCGGCCTATAGTTGGCTTTGTCCTCACTCTCTCACTTTGGGCCACTGTCCCCTCCCTGATCCAGGGTTCCACCACCAGGAGGGCAGACCCAGCCACATACCACAACCACCCCCAAGCCTCACACTCCCTTGTCTTTTTCCAGACTGTTAAGCCAAGACCTGCCAGGAGTGTCTCTAAGAGATCCAGGAGGGAGCCACCCCCAAGGACCCTGCCAGCCACAGACCTCCAATAAAGACAGCATGGAAACAAAGTCTCTGTTCATGCATCATCATGCATTGTCTTAGTTTGGGTCTTCCCAAAAGCAGACCTTAAGACAATAATTCCAGTACAAGTAGTTTATTGAGAGGAGATCCCAGGGCAGGGCACGGCAGCTCACATCTGTAATCCCAGCACTTTGGGAGGCTGAGGCGAGGGGATCACCTGAGCTCAGGAGTTCGAAAACAACCTGGGCAATAGAGTGAAATCTCATCTCTGCAAAAAAAAATTTTCAAATTATCCAGGCATAGCCAGGCACGGTGGCTCATGCCTGTAATCCCAGCATTTTGGGATGCTGAGGAGGGTGGATCGCCTGAGCTCAGGAGTTCAAGACCAGCCTGGCCAACATGACAAAACCCCGTCTCTAACAAAAATACAAAAAATTAGCCAGGAGTGGTGCCACACACTTGAGGTAGGAGGATCACTTGGGCCTAGGAGGCAGAGGTTGCCGTGAGCTGAAATCACACCACTGCACTCCAGCCTGGGAGACAGAGCAAGACCCTGTCTCAAAAAAAGAAAAAATTATCCAGGTACAATGTTGTGTGCCTGCAGTCCCAGCTACTCCGGAGGCTGAGGTGGGAGGATTGCTTGGGCTGGGAGGTCGAGGCTGCAGTGAACCATGATTGCGTCACTGTACAGCAGCCTGGAGAAGAGAGTGAGAGCTTGTCTCAAAGAAAAAAAAAGAAAGAAAGGAAGAAAGAAAGAACGAAAGAAAGAGGAAAGAAGGGAGAAAGGGAGGAAGGGAGGAAGGAAGGAAGGAAGGAAGGAAGGAAGGAAGGAAGGAAGGAAGGAAGGAAGGAAAAAAAAAAAAAGAAAAAGAAAAAATAGAGAGGTGAACAACCCAGGTACCGATGCAGGGAACTGGAGGCAGCCAGGGAATAATGTGTTTTCAAGCAAGTTTCCACTGTAGGCAAGAGAGCTCAGTCTCACTTCGAAGCCCTGAGGGAGAGCATAGGACACATACCTGAGTCATCCCACACAAGGGTTGAGGGAGCTGGGGTATTTATACACTAATTCCCACCAGTTATTATGTGAGGGCTGCTCTCAGGGACATGTTAATTCACTGGCACTTTTGGAATGCTTGTTACACAGACATAGTGGACTCCATCTGCTAGATACAAATGGCTGCAAATGTCACCTCCTCAGGGAAGTCCTCCCTGATTTTTCCAGCTCAAAGAGTGGCATTTTTGCTCAGCATTCACTGCAGCCTATTTCCTTCTAGGTCCTCCTTACCAGCTAGAAATGTCTCATGTATGAGTTTAGGATCTTATCTACCTCCATCATCTGTGAGCTCCAGGAAGGCAGAAACCAAGTTTGGTTAGTTCTCTGCGGCCTCTCCAGCACCTAGCATGTAATAGGCACTCGGGAAACATTTGTTGACTAGACAAAGGCTTACATGAATCTTTTGAAACTGATATTATCGTCTTGTACAAATAAGGAAAACGAGGCTCAGAGAGAGGAAATGACTTGTCTGAGGTCACACAGAGGGAGAGGGGCCAGCTGGTACTCGGCTCCTGGACCGGATTTATGCTGACTCATTTATTCCTCAGAATGGCATTTACTTACCTCTGGCTTTCAAGTAAACATCTGTGGAAGCCTAACAGAGATACAAGAAAGTGCTCCCAAGGGCACAGCTTGATGAATTTTCACAACAGCACACAGCCATGTAACCAGGACCCAGCTCAAGAAATAGAACATGTTAAGCCAAGCGTGGTGGCACACATCTGCAGTCCCAGCCACTACAGAGGCTGAAGCAGGAGGACTGCCTGAGCCCAGGAGTAGGAGACCAGCCTGGGCAACATAGTGAGACCCTGTCTCTTTACAAAAAAAAAAAAATTAAAATTAGCCAGGCATGGTGGCATGCACCTGCAGTCCCAGCTACTCAGGAGGCTGAGGCAGGAGGATTGCCTGAGCCCAGGAATTCAAGGTTGCAGTGACCCACAATCATGCCTGGGAATAGCCACTGTACTCCTGCCTGGGTGACAGAACAAGGCTTCGTCTCTCTGGGCACAGAGGCTGATGCTATTCCTGTATTCCCAGCACTTTGGGAGGCTGAGGCATGAGGATTGCTTGAGCCCAGGAGTTCAAGACAAGCATGGGCAACATAGTGAGGCCCCATCTCTACAAAAAACAAACAAACAAAAAGTTAAAAATTAGTCAGGTAGCATGCACCTGTAGTCCCAGCTACTCGAGAGCCTGAGGTAGGAGGATCGCTTGAGCCCAGGAGGTTGAGAATGCAGTGAGCTGTGATTGTGCCACTGCACTCCAGCTTGGCCAACAGAGCAAGACCCTGTCTCAAAAAAAAATCTTATTAAAAAAAAAAGAACATGCTAAATTTGTGTTATATGAATTTTACCTCAATTAAAAAAAAAATAGGCCAGGCATGGTAGCATGTGCCTATTATCCCAGCTACTTAGGGGGCTGAGGTGGGAGGATCACTTGAGGCCAGGAGTTCAAGAACAGCCTGGGCAACAAAGCAAGACCCTCATCTCAACAACAACAAAAAAATTGTTTTTAATAAGCCAGGTGTGGTGGCATGCAGCTGTAGTCCCAGCTACTCAGGAGGCTAAGGCGAGAGGATCTCTTGAGCCCAGGAGTTAGAGGTTACAGAGAGCTATGATGGCACCACTGCACTCCAGCCTGGATGACAGACCTCATCTACAAAAAATAATAATATTCATATTATGTATAATGTAATATTATTTATATTACTATGTAATATAAATATTATATTTTTATTTTATGAGATCTATATTATTTTTATAGACCTCATTTATAAATAATAATAATAATAAGGGCCGGGCACGGTGGCTTACGCCTATAATACCAGCACTTTGGGAGGCCAAGGCGGGCAGATCATTTCAGGTCAGGAGTTCAAGACCAGCCTGACCAACATGGTGAAACCCCGTCTCTACTAAAAATACAAAAAAATTAGGCAGGCATGGTGGTGAATACCTGTAGTCCCAGCTACTCAGGAGGCTGAGTAGGGAGAATCACTTGAATCCGGGAGGCAGAGATTGCAGTGAGCCAAGATCGTGCCACTGCACACCAGCCTGGGAGACAGAGCGAAACTCCTTCTCGATAAATAAATCAATTAATAATAATAAGAGTAATAATAAATCTTGCCATCTTCCAGAAGCCCCCCTTGTACCCTCTTCCCAGCCACCAGTGCCTCCAAAAGAAACTGATACCCTGCTTGTTAGACATGGTTTTGCCTGCTTTAGGACTTTATGTAAATGGAATCACAAAGTGTATACTCTTCATTGTTTTGGGGTTTTTAAATTTATTTATTATTGCTTTTTAGAGATGGGGTCTCCCGAGGGCAGGGAGGGGAAAAAGAAAAAAAAAAGTTAGATATGAGGTCTCCCTATGTCACCCAGACTGGAGTGCACTGCCTATTCACAGGCATGATCACAGCTCACTGCAGCCTCGAACTCCTGGCCTCAAGCGATCCTCCTCCCTCAGCCTCCTGAATAGCTCAGATTACTGGCATTTTATGGCTTTGGTTTTGGTTTTGGCTCAACATTGTTTGTGATTCACCCAAGTTAAATCATTCTTTAGTTTGTTCTCACTGCTGTATGATATTCTGCTGTGCGAAGAGATCACAATTTATTCCTTCTCCCACTAATGGGTACTTAGGCTGCTTCCAATGTGGGGCTATTATGCATTGTGCTGGGGGGGCATATCTATTGGACGTCTACCTAGCAATGGAATTGCTGAGTCAGAGAAGATCCAGCTAGTAGTGTTAGTAGATCCTGCCAAACCGTTTCCCAACATGAGTGAATGGGTCTACACTCCGGCCAACTGTGGATTAGAGTTCTAGGTGCTTTGTATTCTCGCCAGCATTTGTTCAGCCTGTACTCATTTTGCAGAGAAGGCAACGGAGGCTCAGAGAGAGGGGCAAGTGCTGCCTCCCCGTCAGGGAGGCAGTCTGGGTCCTTCTTGCTAGAAGCCTGGTAACCCACCTCCTCTCTTCTCCTCCCTCGAACCTCCAGCAACCTGCCCGCACTGTGCCCTCCCAGCCTGGCTGTGGGGTGGGGTGGGACAGAGAGGGTCACGTGGAGTTGGGTTCCGAGGGAGGAAGCCAGGCGGGGTGCAGACGGCTGCTGATTCTGGGGCTGGTCAGGAAACCAAGGTAAGGGAGGGAGTGGAGGTGGGGGCAGGGGGATTCCTGGAGGCAGAGCTGAGGGTGGGGAGGGGGCCGAGATGAGGGCAGTATGTGGACAGACACTGGGCACTACTGTCACTCTCTCGTCCCCCAGGAGACCCCCCCCCCCAACCATGGACCCACCGTCGCCAAGCCGGACCTCCCAAACCCAGCCCACAGCCACCTCTCCGCTGACTTCCTACCGCTGGCACACAGGGGGCGGTGGGGAGAAGGCGGCTGGAGGGTTCCGCTGGGGCCGCTTTGCTGGCTGGGGCAGGGCCCTGAGCCACCAGGAGCCCATGGTCAGCACCCAGCCAGCCCCTCGCTCGATATTCCGTCGGGTCCTATCTGCGCCTCCCAAGGAGTCACGGACCAGTCGCCTTCGACTCTCCAAGGCCCTCTGGGGGAGGCATAAGAACCCACCGCCGGAGCCAGACCCGGAGCCGGAGCAGGAGGCCCCAGGTACATGGTTCCCCCACCCTGAGCTTGGGCCGGGCTGGGAAGCCGGATGCTTGGGTTTTGTCTGCCTCCGGAGCATCAACCATACAGACACAGGAAGTTGTGGGGAGTGCAAAAGCCCAGCAGGAAGCCGCTGGGGCCCAGCTACCCTGTTCCCTCTTTCCCCCTAAAGAGGGTAGGAGGAGTTGCCGGGGTCCTGTGGGCAGAGGGTCCATCTGAGGAAGGAACAGTGAATGTAAACCCGTGATAGTATTGTCCAGAGGCTAAACGGCTCTTGGCCCCAACGGGTCTCTCCTTCAATGGCTCAGGCCCATCCTTTCCTACCTGGATATCCATCTTCAGCCTGCCTCCTACTCTCCTACCTTCTAGCTTCCGTGTCTTTGTTCTGAGCCCTTAAGCCTCAGCCTCTCCATCAGTTCAGTGAGAATAATGATCTCCATTTTGGAGAGTATATAATTTTATTTGCTCATATTCATTCATTTATTCAAGCAGAGGTTTGTTGAGCTTCTATTGTATGTGCCAGGCCCTGATTTAGGCACTGAGGACACACTAGTGAAAGAGACAGATGACCCTCCCTGCCCCATGGAGCTCACAGTGTAGTGGAATTGACAGGAAATCCATCAACAAGAAAATGACAGATGGGCCAGGCATGATGGCTCACACCTGTAATCCCAGCACTTTGGGAGGCCAAGGTGGGTGGATCACCTGAGCTCAGGAGTTCGAGACCAGCCTGGCCAACATGGCAAAACCCTGTTTCTACTAAAAATACAAAAAAAAAAAAGTATCTAGGCATGGTGGCACATACCTGTACTCCCAGCTACTCAGGAGGCTGAGGCAGGATAATCGCTTGAACCCGGGAGGTGGAGGTTGCAGTGAGCTGAGATTGCACTACTGCACTCCCGCCTGGGCGACAGAGGGAGACTCCATCTCAATGGAAGAAAAAAAAAAAAAAGAAAGAAAAAAAATGACAGATGGTGCTAAGTGTCACACAGGGGGATCTAGAAGAGTAATGGATATCACAAGAATTAGGGCTCAGGAATGTAACACTAGCCTAGGGCCCAGCATTTTTTTTATTTTTTTTTTGAGATGGAGTCTCGCTCTGTTGCCCAGGCTGGAGTGCAGTGGCGCGATCTCGGCTCACCGCAAGCTCCGCCTCCTGGGTTCACGCCATTCTCCTGCCTCAGCCTCCTGAGCAGCTGGGACTACAGGAACCCGCCACCATGCCCAGCTAATTGTTGTATTTCTAGTAGAGACAGGGTTTCACTGTGTTAACCAGAATGGTCTCGATCTCCTGACCTCATGATCCGCCCGCCTCAGCCTCCCAAAGTGCTGGGATTACAGGCGTGAGCCACCGCGCCCGGCCCCAGGCCCAACATATTTTAAGTGATCCGTTAATAAGCGGGAGTTATCATTTATTGCTCCTGGTGGTAAAAACAAGGGAACAGACAGGCAATCTGGGAGGGCTAATTCAGCCCTCCTATTTCCTGGAAGCTCATTTAATTCTCACTGCTTATATTCCCATTTTGTTTTTGTTTTTGTTTTTGTTTTGAGACACAGTCTCACTTCCTTGCCCAGGCTGGAGTGCAGTGGCGGAATCTCAGCTCACTGCAACCTCTGCCTCCCAAGTTCAAGAGATTCTCCTGCCTCAGCCTCCTGAGTAACTGGGATTACAGGCATGTGCCACCACGCCTGGCTAATTTTGTATTTTTAGTAGAGACGGGGTTTCTCCATGTTGGTCAGGCTGGTTTTGAACTCCCAGCCTCAGATGATCCACCCGCCTAGGCCTCCCAAAGTGCTAGGATTACAGGTGTGAGCCACAGAGCCCAGGCACATCAGGCTATTTTTTAAAGACAGGGTCTTGTTATGTTGCCCAGGCTGGTCTCAAACTCCTGGTCTCAAGCAATCTGCCCCACCTCGGCCTCCCAAATGTTGGGATTACAGGCATGAGCCACCTTGCCCAGCCCCTGTCCTGTTTTTTAACCTCTTGGACCCACATAATGTCTTGGTTAAGAGAAGAATGCAAAAAAAACAAAAAAACAAAAAAAGAGAGAGAGAGAAGAATGCTTGTGACTGAAGCCCAGCCCAACCACTCACAAACTGTGTGACCCTGAGCAAGTCACTCAACCTCTCTGAGCCTGTTATCATAGCCCTTTGAATGGCTTTTGGAGGATTCAATGCAAGAAGGTGTGTGGAGTGGTATACAGGGTACTGGGCACATGGTAGGTGAGTTGTGTCTGCTACCCATGGTTAGTGGGGACAAGGCCCAGACAGCGATGAAAGCTTGCCCAAGGTCATACAGTCTGATACGGCTGCTGGGGTGGGGGGCACCTAGGAGGGAACCCACCATGAGCCTTCGGGAATGGAAAGGGTAGCCTGAGGGAGAGAAAACGTCTCTTAAGTCCCCCAGTGCCTCCTCTTCTTCCCAGAGCTGGAGCCGGAGCCAGAGCTGGAGCCCCCTACCCCACAGATCCCTGAGGCCCCCACACCCAACGTGCCTGTCTGGGACATTGGGGGCTTCACCCTGCTTGATGGGAAGCTGGTGCTGCTTGGAGGAGAGGAGGAGGTGAGAGGGGGCACCTGGGAAAGGGGAGGAGGGAAGAAAGAAAAAGGAGGAGGGCAGAACAGAGGCAGGGGCTGGAGGGAGGATAATGGGAAGGTGTCTGCCTCTCCCTCGGTCTGCCTGCCTGCCTGCCTGCCTGCCTCCCCTCTCTGACTACCCACTCCTGCGGGAGAACAGGGTCCTCGAAGGCCCCGGGTGGGAAGTGCTAGCTCCGAGGGCAGCATCCACGTGGCCATGGGGAACTTCAGGGATCCAGGTAAGCTTGAGGGGTGGAAAGGCCTGGGGCATTTGGGAGGCTCTAAAAGTGGGGCAGAATCCAACCCCCCAACCTGCCACCCATAACGACCCACAGATCGGATGCCTGGAAAAACAGAACCGGAGACTGCTGGTCCCAACCAGGTCCACAACGTTCGGGTAAGGCAGCCAGTGAAGGTGGGAGGTAGAGGGGAGAGCCAAGACTCTCGGACCCTCAAAGCTGAAAGGGCACTCTTGCTGGGTGATCTGGAGCAGGTTGCTGACCCTCTTTGGGCCTCAGAGTCCCAGTCTGTCAAATGAAGCTAATGAAATAACCTTTCTCTAGGGGTTGTTTATGGGAAGCCAATAGAGAGTGCAGGAGCCAGGCAGGGCAGTGCGCAGCTATAGTCCAAGCTACTCGGGAGGCTGAGCAGAGAGCACTGCTTGAGGCCAGGAGTTCAACACCAGCCTAAGCAACATGGGGAGACTTCATCTCTTAAATAAATAAATGAATAGTATAGGAGAATATATGATTGATGCTTTACAAATGGGAGTTTGGGCCAGGCACAGTGGTTCACACCTGTAATCCCAACATTTTGGGAGGCTGAAGCAGAAGGATTGCTTGAGACCAGGAGTTCAAGACCAGCCTGGGCAACATAGCAAGTCCCCAATTCTACATGGTAACATTCACCTGTAGTCCCAGCTGAGGCAAGAGGATCACTTGAGCCCAGAAATTTGAGGCTGCAGTGAGCCATGATCGCACCACTGTACTCCAGCCTGGGCGACAGCACGAGACCCTGTCTTAAAAAAACAAATGAACAAAGAATTAGGAGCTGCTGATTGCTCTTATTATTCCTGCTAATACAGCCTGAGCTTGGTGTTGGTCCTCCAAGACCAGTAGATCCTCTGGGATGTCTTGGGAGGGAAGGAGCTGAGGAAGGAGCACAGATTTCTGTCCAGCTGACATTCCCTTCCCCACAGGGGTTGCTCAAGAGGCTGAAAGAGAAGAAAAAGGCCAGGTTGGAGCCCCGGGATGGGTAAGGGTGTATGAGAGGCTGGAGGGGCTGGGGTTCAACACTGGCCCCTCCTCCTCCACCTCCTGCATATCATTCCAATCTACACCAAACACCCCCTGTGGCCTCTGTGTTCTGCCCCACATCAGTTGATGCTGGGGACATTGAATGATCTAGCACAGAGCCAGGGTGGGGGCAAAGTCTGACACAATAACTCTAAAATGGGAGCTAAGTCAATCAACTGGTCTGGGAGGGTTAGGGAAGGTACCCTTGAGCTGAGATCTGAAGGGTGGATGGAAGTTAACTAGGCCAACAGGGGGGTGGAAAAAGCATTCCAGGCAGAAGGAACAACAAGTGCAAAGGCCAAGAGGCCGAAAGAAGCAACTAAAACAAGGCCAAGAGGGCTGGGTGAAGTGGCTCCCAGCACTTTGGGAGGCCAAAGTGGGCAGACTGCTTGAGTCTAGGAGTTCGAGACCAGCCTGGGCAACATAGTGAGACCCCATTTCTACAAAAAATACAAAAATTAGCTAGGCATGGTGGCGGGCACCTGTAGTCCCACCTACTGGGGAGGCTGAGTGGGAGGATTGCTTGAGCCTGGGAAGTTGAGGCTGCAGTGCACAGAGATCATGCCACTGCACTCCAGCCTGGGCAACAGAGCAAGATTGTGTCTCAAAAATAAATAGGGCTGGGTGCGGTGGCTCACACCTGTAATCCCACAGTTTGGGAGGCAGAGGCAGGTGGAACATTTGAGGTCAGGAGTTCAAGACCAGCCTGGCCAACGTGGTGAAATCCCATCTCTACTTAAAATACAAAATTAGCCAGGCATGGTGGCGAATGCCTGTAATCCCAGTTACTCAGGAGGCTGAGGCAGAAGAATCGCTTAAACCTGGGAGGTGGACATTGCAGTGAGCCAAGATTGTGCCA
This sequence comes from Homo sapiens, assembly GCF_000001405.40. Taxonomy (NCBI): domain Eukaryota; kingdom Metazoa; phylum Chordata; class Mammalia; order Primates; family Hominidae; genus Homo; species Homo sapiens. The sequence goes on along the minus strand of NC_000019.10, from coordinate 15,459,302 downwards.
CTGCACTCCTGCCTGGGCAAAAGGGCAAGACTCCATCTCAATAAATAAATAAATAAATAAATAGGGCTGGGCACGGTGGCTCACACCTGTAATCCCACACTTTGGTGAGGCTGAGGCGGGTGGATCACTTGGGATCAGGAGTTCAAGACCAGCCTGGCCAACATGGTGAAACCCCACCTCTACTAAAAATATAAAAATTAGAAAATTAGCCAGGCATGGTGGTGGGCACCTGTGATCCCAGCTACTTGGGAGGCTGAGGAAGGAAAATCACTTGAACCTGGAAGGCAGAGGTTGCAGTGAGCTGAGATCCAGCCACCGCACTAAACAAGACTCTGTCTCAAATAAATAAATAAATAAATAAATAGGATAAAATAAAACAAGGCCAGGGAGGCTGGAGCTCAGAAAGTGATGGATTAGGTGGAGGGAGATGAGGTGACAACATCTGGACCCAGCTTGGTCATGTAGGTCACCAGGAGTTGAGTTTATCCTAAAAGCAAGGAGGTGCCATGGCGGGGGGTGGGGGGGGCACGGGGGAGAAACGGGATCCGAATTGGGTTGAAGTCCTTCCTGGCCTTCCTCTACCCTTCAGGCTATGGGGGATGGGGAAGAGGCAGGAATGACGGTGTGCTCACCCACCCCCTTCCCAGACCCCCCAGTGCTCTGGGCTCTAGGGAGTCGCTGGCCACACTCTCTGAACTGGACCTGGGTGCCGAGCGGGATGTGCGGATCTGGCCACTGCACCCCAGCCTCCTGGGGGAGCCCCACTGCTTTCAGGTAAGTGTAGACAGTCCACCTCGATTCCACCTCAGTCCCACCTCCCACCCTTTGGCTTCACCCTTGGCCTCGATCACACCGTTGGATTCTCCATCCCAACAGGTAACCTGGACGGGTGGAAGCCGCTGCTTCTCTTGTCGCTCGGCCGCTGAGAGAGACCGCTGGATCGAGGACCTTCGTCGCCAATTCCAGCCCACCCAGGTCATTGCCCTCAGAAAAGCGGGACACGGAGACCCCGCCCACAGGCCTGGCCCGCCCCTTCCACTCTACCCAAAGCCAGCTCGCTCCATAACCCGCGCCCCCAACACACCTGCCCCGCCTGCATCGTTGCAACGGCTCCAAGACTCCCCTTCCATCTATTACCAGCCCCGGGAATATCAGACCCGCCCCTTCTGTCCACTCCCGGCCCCATATGCACCCAAAGCCCTGCCTGCCAGGCAATCGCGAAGTCTTTACTCCAGTACTACTCTTGTATGCCCTGGAGCCCCCAACTCTCCCGGAGAGCCCAGAAAAGCTAGAAGACTTCCGCGTAACCGCCTCCGGACTCCCGTGGCTCCACTTCTTTCCCCAAAGGCCCAGCAATCTCCCTAGGGACCCGACGCAACAGGTTTGAGGCTCCACGCTTCACTTGCGGTGCCTTCTTTGGGGTGCCAACAAACCAAAACGCTTCCCCCCATCCCACTCCCATCTGCAGGACAACGTGGAGCGGGAAGAGACATGGCTGAGCGTGTGGGTGCACGAAGCGAAGGGGCTTCCCCGAGCAGCGGCGGGGGCACCCGGCGTGCGCGCCGAGCTGTGGCTGGATGGCGCGCTGCTGGCACGCACGGCGCCTCGGGCCGGCCCAGGCCAGCTCTTCTGGGCCGAGCGCTTCCACTTCGAGGCGCTGCCACCGGCACGTCGCCTGTCGCTGCGGCTGCGCGGCTTGGGCCCGGGAAGCGCGGTGCTGGGCCGCGTGGCCCTGGCGCTGGAGGAGCTGGACGCCCCACGCGCGCCTGCCGCCGGTCTGGAGCGCTGGTTCCCGCTGCTCGGGGCGCCGGCGGGCGCAGCGCTGCGGGCGCGGATTCGGGCGCGTCGCCTGCGCGTGCTGCCGTCCGAGCGCTACAAGGAGCTGGCGGAGTTCCTCACCTTCCACTATGCGCGCCTCTGCGGGGCCCTGGAGCCCGCGCTGCCTGCGCAGGCCAAGGAGGAGCTGGCGGCAGCCATGGTGCGCGTGCTGCGGGCCACCGGCCGGGCGCAGGTGCGGCACCGCGACAGCGCGGACCGGGGCTACCAGGGGTAGACCGATAACGCGCTTCGGGCAGGAGTTGGGGCGCAGGACCTGAGTTGCACCTGTAATGGGGGAGACACCTTGAAGGGGTGTGAGGGGCGTGGTCCAAGTGTCACCTGTAAGCGGCGGGGCACCTAGAAGGGCGGGGCACCTAGAAGGGCGGGGCCTGAACATCACCCGTAAGGGGCGGGGCACCTTGAAGGGCGGGACCTGAGCGTCAGCTGTGAGGGGCTGGGGCTGAGCTGCACCTGTAAGGGGCGGGGCACCTTGAAGGACTGGGCCTGAGCTTCAGCTGTGAGGGGCGGGGCCTAATTATCACCCATAAGGGGCGGGACACCTTGAAGAGCGGAGCCTAAGCTTCAGCTGCGACAGGGGCCTGAGCATCACGCGTGAGGGGCGGGGCCCAGGTTGCACCTCAGCGCTGAAAGGCTTAAATTTCTGCTGTGAGGGTTAGAGGTTCCGGCCTCGGTTATGAGCCCCAGCAGTAAGGACTGGGCCTAAGCATCAGCTACAAGGGGCGGGGCCTGTGCCTCTGGTGTGAGGGACCAGCCAAGGATCCGAATTCCCTTGGACTCTGTCTGCATCTGGTGCAACCTGACCTCCTGCCCTTCCTAGGCGCTGGTGACTGACCTGGGCACTGCGGAGCTGGCGCGCTGTGGAGGCCGTGAGGCGCTGCTGTTCCGGGAAAACACATTGGCCACCAAGGCTATCGATGAGTACATGAAGCTCGTGGCACAGGATTACCTCCAGGAGACCCTGGGTGAGCTGGGGGAGAGTCCATGTCAGCGGCCTGCTGGTGAGCTAGGGGACCTGGGTGAAGTTCTAAGAGTCCTTGAGCAACCTGGATTCTGGTAGTGAGTGGTGTTTTGGGGGTGCTAGGATCCTGGGGACAATTGGGAGCTCCCCAAGATGTTGGGTGCCTCCGGAATAACCTGAAGACAAGGTTGGAGGATGGGTGTGGCAGGTTTTGGTGGTCATGGCCCCAGCCCCTATCTGGCTGTGCTGGGCTGCAGGACAGGTTGTGCGGCGTCTCTGTGCTTCTACTGAGGACTGTGAAGTGGACCCCAGCAAATGTCCAGCCTCGGAGCTGCCAGAGCACCAGGCCAGACTTCGGAACAGCTGCGAGGAGGTCTTCGAAACCATTATCCATTCCTACGAGTGAGAATCAGGGCCCCAGCAGCTTAGCCCACCCCTGCTTACCATGCTAGCCCCGACCTCCAGTTTAGGGTGGCCAGATAAAATACAGGAGACACTCAGTTAAATTTGATGCAATAATTGGGACCATGCTTATACTAAAAAATTACTCATTTGAACCAGGCATGGTGACTCACGCCCGTAATCCCAATGCTTTAGGAGGCCGAGACAAGAGGATTGCTTGAGCCCAGGAGTTCAAGGCCAGTCTGGGCAACATAGCAAGACTCCATCTCTCCAAAAAGCTTTTTAAAAATGAGCTAGGCATGGTGGCACACACCTGTATTCCCAGCCGAGGCTGGAGGATCGCTTGAGCGCAGGATTCAAGGCTGCAGTGAGCTATGATCATGCCACAGCACCCCAGCCTGGTTGACAGAGACCCTGTCCCAAATAAAAGTAAAAATATAAATAAAAATCACTCCGTTATCTGAAATTCATGTTTAACTGGATGTCCTGAAGTTTCGTTTGCTGCATCTGGCAACCCTATCACCATGCAACCCTATCACCACTGACCCCAAGTAACCTGAGACCCAATTCCTTGTCCTGTAACCACAGTTGATTCCATATCCCCAATTTCATGCCACTGGCTCCAGTTAACATAGGACCTCAATCCTATGACCAGATGATGCCCCAAGTCCATGATCCCTGGCTTTAAGTGACCCTCCACCTCAAATCCCATGCAACTGATCACAGGAGACCTGGGATTCCAATCCCTTGACCTCTGACCCTAGGTTAACCTGCATACCTAATCCCTGACTTCAATCAAGTGACTTCTGACCCTAGGTGACCTCCAGAGCCCCAATCCTACTTTATATCTTGTACTCTGGCCCACCAGTCTCATGTCTAATTATAAGTACATCCAAGCTCATAACCTCTGTCTTCATGTGACCCTGTATCCCCAACTATAAGAGTATTATCCCCAGCGATTGCCATAGCTACACCATAAGCCATGGCCCCATGCTGATTCATAACCCCAAGCATTGTTATCTCAGATATTCCCAATCCTAGAGCCCAGACCCCAGGTTCAGTGAGAAGGAAGCCTGCATGGGCTTCATGAATAGCTCTCTGGAGGATCATGGACCAATCATGCAGTGCTTCTGGGACTCCCAACCTTATGACTTTAACCTTTATGCCCATAGCCTCCCCGTCTGACCATTCATTGCCTCTTCTGCACCAGCTGGTTCCCTGCGGAGCTGGGCATCGTGTTCTCAAGCTGGCGAGAAGCATGTAAAGAACGTGGCTCTGAGGTGCTGGGCCCCCGACTGGTGTGCGCCTCCCTCTTCCTGCGGCTCCTGTGCCCTGCCATCCTGGCACCCAGCCTCTTTGGTTTGGCACCAGACCATCCAGCACCCGGCCCAGCCCGCACCCTCACACTGATTGCCAAGGTCATCCAGAACCTCGCCAACCGTGCCCCGTAGGTGCTGGGAAGCTAGGGGTGGGGGGACCATGCTGGGAGTGTGGGGGTGGCAGGTGCCTGACCTGACCCACCCAGCCTGGCCCTGATCCAGGTTCGGTGAGAAGGAGGCCTACATGGGCTTCATGAATAGCTTCCTGGAGGAACATGGACCAGCCATGCAATGCTTCCTGGACCAGGTAGCCATGGTGGATGTGGATGCTGCCCCCAGTGGTTACCAGGGCAGTGGTGATCTGGCCCTCCAGTTAGCTGTCCTGCATGCCCAGCTCTGTACAATTTTTGCTGAGCTTGACCAGGTATGGCCTGAACCCAGAGTAGGGAGGCAAGAAGGCTTGGGAGACTCTGACCCTGGAGACTTTGCTCAGTCTCTGTCCTGCATGCCTCACCAGACAACCCGAGACACCCTGGAACCACTGCCCACCATCCTGCGAGCCATTGAGGAGGGCCAGCCTGTGCTTGTGTCAGTGCCAATGCGTCTCCCACTGCCCCCGGCCCAGGTCCACTCCAGGTAACCTCAAGTCTGGTCTGGGGTCTGATGGGTGGGAACAGGAAGGAGCAGGGCTCAGACAGGGGTCAGAGGTGAAGTTGGATCATTGTGAGCAGAGGTCAAGCCCAGGGTCAGACGGGAATCACAGGTTATAGAAAGGGTTGGGTCAAAGGTCACAGTGTGTTTGAGGTCGGGGATGAGAGGAGAGGTTAGGGTGGAGAGATGTCAAGGGTCATAGAGAGGACAGTATTATAGTCAGAAGTCAAGGACAGGAGCCAGGCTCAGTGGCTCATGCCTGTAATCCCAGCACTTTGGGAGGCTGAGGCAGGAGGATCACTTGAGGCCAGGAACTTAAGACAAGCCTGGGCAACATAGGGAGACCCCATCTCTACCAAAAAAAAAAAAAATTACCTGGGTATAGTGGCATGTGCTGGTAGTCCTAGATATTTGGGAGGCTGAGGCTGGGGAATAGCTTGAGCTCCAGAATTCAAGGCTGCAGTGAGCTATGATCTAGCCACTGCACTCCAGCCTGGGCGACAGAGCAAGACCTTGTCTCAAAAAAAAAAAAGAAAGGACAAGTTCACGTGGGGGGTGAGGTCACTTCTGGTCAGGTCGGGATGGGGTCGTCTCAGGGGCCAGTGGAGGGTCTAAGATCCTCCATCCCACCCCTAGCCTCTCCGCAGGGGAGAAGCCCGGCTTCCTGGCCCCCCGGGACCTCCCCAAGCACACCCCTCTCATCTCCAAGAGCCAGTCTCTGCGCAGCGTTCGCCGCTCAGAGAGTTGGGCCCGGCCACGGCCGGACGAAGAGCGGCCCCTGCGGCGGCCCCGGCCGGTGCAGCGCACGCAGAGTGTCCCGGTCCGGCGTCCTGCCCGCCGCCGCCAATCTGCGGGGCCCTGGCCGCGACCCAAAGGCTCCCTGAGCATGGGACCAGCGCCCCGCGCCCGGCCTTGGACCCGGGACTCCGCCTCGCTGCCTCGGAAGCCGTCGGTACCCTGGCAGCGCCAAATGGACCAGCCGCAAGACCGAAACCAGGCACTGGGCACGCACCGACCTGTGAACAAGGTAAGGTCAGGCCCAGGTCCGCGCCTGGGGAGTGGGAACAGGGACGCGACTGGGGAAGACTGAAGGGCCAGGCAAGTCTGGGTTCAAGTACCCAGCTCGCTGTGCTGTGTGACCCCAGGCCTAGCCCGACCCTCTCTGAGCTTCAGTCTCCCCAGCTGTACCGCAGGAGGGATGTTCCCCAACTAGGCAGGCCGGTGATGACGCTGAGCGCTTGGGCCTGGGAGGTCAGGGTCTCCGGGGAGACACAGGGGCGGGACAACGGGTCAGATTACAGCTGCTCTCCCACCACAGTTGGCAGAGCTGCAGTGCGAGGTGGCCGCTCTGCGTGAGGAGCAGAAAGTGCTGTCCCGCCTCGTGGAGTCGCTGAGCACCCAAATCCGGGCCTTGACGGAGCAGCAGGAGCAGCTGCGGGGCCAGCTGCAGGATCTGGACTCCAGGCTCCGTGCTGGGTGAGCCCAGCCCTCTCCATTAGCTCCGCCCCCAGGTGGGCCCGATCCAATTAGATCTGACCAGGCCCTCCCCCCCCCCCCCAAACCACGCCTAGCACGGCCAAGCCCCACCCTGGCCCCGCCCCAATAAGTCTGTCCAGGCCCTGCCTCTTGGCAAGCCCCGCCCCCAGGTGGACCCACCCAACGAAGGTCGGCCTAGGACCCTGGCAGATTCTCTCATCCAGGCCCCACCCCTCCATCAGCCCCTCCCAACCTGGCTGGGCCGGGCACTGAGATATCTCAGCCTGGGCACTCCCTCCAGCTCAGTCACGACCCCACCCAGGACTGGCCAAACCCCACCTCCAAGGGATGATTGATAGGTCCTGTCATTCCAACCATTCCCGTCTCTGGTCCGACCCTTCTTCAAGCATATTTAGGCCCCGCCCCTCAGTCTGGACAAGCTCCGCCTCCACTCCAAGCTCCGCCCCCGGAGTCCCTGGCACTCCCACCAGGAGCTGGAAGGGACTTCCTTAGCCTCTGCCCTTCGCCCCAATCCCCCGACCCCCACAGGAGCTCAGAGTTTGATTCAGAGCACAACCTAACAAGCAATGAAGGGCACAGTCTGAAAAACCTGGTGAGATTGCCATCTGAGCCCTGGGGCAGGTCTGGGCGGTGGAGGAGCAAGGGTTGCGGTGCAGCCCTCTCCTGGTTTCTGAACCCCATCACCACTGCCTCCCCAGGAGCACCGCCTAAATGAGATGGAGAGAACTCAGGCTCAGCTGAGGGATGCTGTCCAGAGCCTGCAGCTTTCTCCAAGGACGCGGGGGTCTTGGAGTCAACCCCAGCCCCTCAAAGCACCCTGCCTCAATGGAGACACCACCTGAGCTGCCCATCCTGCCTCATCACACGTGGTCTGGGAGCAGAGAGATAGCCATCTTAGGGGGGGTGTCTGACTTTGCCTTAGCCCTACTTGGCCTACAGTGGGGAGTGGAGCTGCTGGTCCCAACCACTCTGGCAGTATGAAGTTGCCCAGTAAAATCTTGATTTCAGTGAAATTGGTGGTTTCTTTGCCCACTAAGAATTGCCAATTCTTAGGCATTTGCCCCGCAAGCCCTATTCATCTCTCCCAAATTCTCCCCTAATTAGAAGTCTCATGGAGAGGGCCATGTACACAAGTTCTCACCAGCTGTGTGACCTTAGACCTTCATTCTCTTAAGAGCCCGTTTTCTTATCTGTGAAATGGACGTAAAGTTCCCTACACAGTGAGAGGACCCATAGTTAAAGGCATTCGATAAAAGGTATTCACCATTGTTATAGGCAGCACCTGCTTCTCAATGAAGCATGGATTCCACCCCTGGCAACCTCCCAATCCCACAGTGAGAGCATCTTCCTAGGCCCTCCTCATGTCACGGAGGCCATGGGTCTGGGAGGCGGATAAAGGAAGGGGGTCAGGTGTGGAGATGGTTGGATACTGTGTATGAATGATTGGGTAAATGAGTCATTCAAATCATGGGTGAGTGGATGGGTGAGGGGTAGAGTGGGTGGAGCAAACGGCAGACGGATAGGTTAGCATTTGCTGGATGTTTGACCTGGTAGGTGAGTAGCTGGGTAGTTGGTTAACCAGGTTGGGTATGTCTGCCTAGAAAAGGCCTGGTTCATAGTAAGAAAAAATTTTTTTCAATGTTGTGATTATATATATCATATGTACATATGTTGAGGTCTCCTGAGACGCCTGAGAACTGGGCAGTGGAGAAACAATAATGAACTAGACAGGACTCCTGGCCTCATGGAACTTACATGTTAGTGGAGGGACCAAATCAACAGACAAACTGGTGGATGGATGTTTGGGGGGCTGGGCGGAAAGATGTGTGTGGGGATGGTTGGGTACTTGCTTGGTTGTATGGATAAATGAGTATTTACTTGGGTGCTGGATGAATGGGTGGGTAGATGGGAAGTGAATGGGTGGGTTGAGTGGGTGTTTGGGTGAATTAATAGGTGGTTGGAGGGGTGGGTGGATAGGTGATTAGTTCATTGGATAGGTAGATGAGTGATTGATAGATTGAGGAAGTGGATGAGATAGCTAGGTGGTTAGATATCTGGATACATGGTGGATAAGACAAGACAACAGGCCATGATGTGTGTCTGATGGGGTAGTCCTGGAAGCTGTGATCCTGGGAACTGGGTGGAGAAGGTGACTTAGGACTGAAGACCTAGGGCAACTCTAGGGACATGGAGGTGCTGAAGTCCAGTGTGGATGATTGGGAAGGAGGGAGTGAGCTTGTGGTTGGAAGGTAGCTGATGGGGGGCAGGGGACAAAAGGCTAAAAATTGGCTGGGTGGAGTCTTCAATGACCTATCAATGACCCATCAATGACCCATGGGGGAACTTCTCTGCACCCTCCCCACTCTTTTAGTGCTTTTAGCGAGCCTACCATTGGAAGTACCAGTGGGACGATAAGGAGCCATTGGGGTGTGGGACGACAAGGGTGTTGTCATGGTAACGGGGCCTCTCCCTGGACTCAGGCCGTGCGGGCCCTTTAAGGGTGACCCGCTTGGCCACTCCCAACATGGCGGCGCGCCCGCTGGCCGCCCCCCCCGGGGCGGCGAGGGGGGGGGGGGTGGGGTGGGGGGGGCGCCCCGGACCTCCCCATCATGGCGGCGCGGCGGGGCTGTCGCGCTGAGGTCACGGCGGCGCGCCGGGGGGGCGGGGCGGCGGGGGGAGCGATTTAAAGGGACAATGTCCCCCGAGCGGTGGAGGCGGCGGCGGCTGCGGAGGCCGCGGCACCGGCACCGGGAGCGGCAGCGGCGGTAGCGGCAGCGACGGCCGCACCAAGGAGGGGAGCTCCGAGCCCCGGCACCTGGCCGGCGGCGCCGCCTCCCCGGTGAGGCCCGGCCCGGCCTGGGGAGCCCGCGGGTGGGGCGGAGCCGTAGCGGGGCGGGGGAGGCCCCGGGCCGGGCCGGGCCAGGCGGGACCCCCCGGGGCGGGGGCGGGGGCGGGGCCTTCAGGGGCGGGGCCTGGCCGGGGGCGGGGCCGTGCAGGTGGGGGGAGGGGCGGGGGTCTTGGGGCAGGTGTCCCCCCTACCTCGGCGCGTCCCGCGGGGTCTCCTGCCCCGGGGTGCACGGGCGGAGGGCTCATCCCCCGGACCCTGGACCCCCGAGGAGTGGGCCCGCGCGGCGCAGCCCCCACCTCTGCGACCCCTGGGGGGCGTCCGGGTAGGAGCCCCCTCCCCACGCTGCCAAAGTGCTCCGAAGTTGCGGTCCCGCCCGTTCCCCGCGGGCAGTGCCCACCCAGTGGACAACCGCAGGTGCTTCCTCCGGGCCTGGGTAGGGACCCCCACCAAGACTGCCAGCCCACGGAGGAGCCCCCTGGGAATCCCCAGGCCCCCGAGGGCAGCGCCTGCAACCAGGCCTGGCGCCCCGGCCCCGCCCCGGTTGCCTGGGCCCGGCCTCCCCACCATCTCCCTGGGGAGGGCGCCTCATTCCTGCCCTTCACTTTCCGCCGTTACCTTGAAGGTATTTATAGGTAGAGAGGACAACCCCCGCTCCCCAGGGTCCTCATTTCTGGACCAGGAGCCCTATCGTTTTCTTTCGCCCGAGGACTAGAGCAATCTTGGTTGGGGGGTGGGGGGAATGGAGGAGCCCAAGCTGGGTATGCATGAGGGATAATGTTGGGGAGAAGCGAAAGGGTTAATGCTGGGGTCACTTGAGGCTGTGTGTGTGGAGGGGGGTGAAGGGGTTAATGCTGGAGAACCCTAAGGTCCTGTGTGGGGGAAGGGTTGGAGTGTGGGAAAAGTGCAGGGATCATTGGTATGGGACAACCCAATGGAGAAAAGTAAAGGGGTAATGATGGGAGACTCCTGACGGTGTATAGGATCAGAGTGTACAAGTGGCTGGGATTCTTGCCGAGGAAACGAAGGCATGGCAGTAGGATGTGCGTGTGCATGGATGTGAGGGCAGGACTGGGGAAAGTGCAGCTGTGTGTGAATGAAGGGAGGCGTCTGGAGAAATGGTAAGATTGATGGAAGAAGACCAGGTGGCTGAGTGTGCATGTGTCAATATGGGTAAACTGAGGCAGTGCAGGATCTGTATAAAGGGGAGGAGTTATTGATGGGGAGACGGAGGCATGCTGAGGGTAGGGGCCATTGGGATAGAAGGTGTGTGGAAAAGGTCTGAACACCATTAGCTCCCCTGGGCTGGGAGGTAAACTGAGGCAGTGAGCTGCAAAGTTGAGGACTGAGGTTTTGAGGGATGGGAAACTGAGGCAGATTCCCTTTCCTCCATCCCCTAAGCACTTCCTTCTCTCTATCCCCAGGCCCACAATGCCCCGCTGAGCCGGTGCAGCAGCTGAGTGGATCCAAGCAGAGAAAATCCGATGGAGGGGTCTCTGGCAGGCAGCCTGGCTGCACCAGATCGTCCCCAAGGCCCAGAGAGACTGCCTGGCCCGGCGCCAAGGGAGAACATCGAGGGTGGGGCCGAAGCTGCTGAGGGGGAAGGTGGCATCTTCCGGTCCACCCGTTACCTGCCTGTCACCAAGGAGGGCCCCCGAGACATTCTGGATGGCAGAGGTGGCATCTCTGGTAAGAGAATGGGCCGTGTGGCCCCCAGGGAGCATCCAGCCCATTCCCCAAGGCTCAGAGAGAGTCAAGTCACCCAGCGCAGCAGCGGCTGAGCTGGGATGCTGATTCCGCTTGGGTCCAGAGCCTTTTCTTTGTACTCTGTTTAGTTTCTTATTTGACAGTTGTGAAAACAGGTGTCCTGGGAGCCAGTGACCAGACCAAGGCTCCCCACTGGGTGGTATGGAGCTGGGACTTGAACTCAGGTCAGCCTGGCTTCCTCCTCTGAGCATACTAATTGGGTCCAGAGGCCCATCTCAGCACCCCAGACTCCCTGCCCCCAGCCCACTTATTCCACAGGTATTCCCCACTCCCATCAGTCTATCCCAGCTCCCTCTGGCTGTCTGGGTGTATCCTGTTCCTGAACCACGGGCCAAAACAGCTTCTGTAGTGGCTAGGGAGAGGCTGGGTAGTCAGCGATGCTGGCTACCCCTTGGTTTACCCAGCAAAAAGGTATCTCACACTCTCCCCACCTCCAGACGTGTTATTCATTCATTAAATACTGAGCACCTTCGGTGTGCCAGGGTATGTGCTAGGCACTGGGAAGACAGCTGTAAACCAAAGAGGCAAGAATTCCTGCCCTCAAGGGGCTGACACTCTAGTAGGGGAAATGGACAACAAGCAACTAAACAAATATCAGAAGGACAGGTAGTGACAGATGCTGTGAAGGCATTAAACAGAGTGCCAGGATCATGCCTGGGAGACCTGGGAGACCCTCCCTGATAGAGTGGCATTTGAATGGAGCATGGAGTGAATGGTGGGACGGGCATTCTGGGTGGAGGGAACAGCCAGTGCAAAGGCCCTGTGGTGGGGAGGAGCCTGACGTGTCCAAGGACCTGGTAGGAGGCTGGTATGCCTGGAAAACAGTGGGCTGATGTATCACACCCCCCACCCCCATCTCCAAACACCTCATCAAGGGCTTCCTCCGTGCCAAGGCTTTTGCAAGATCATCTTCTGTCATTCTCCAAAGAACCCTGTGGAATAGCCTTCATTATTATTATCCCGTGTCAGAGATGGGGAAACTGAGACCCTGAGCGGTGACATAAGTTGCCCAACGTCACCTAGCCAGGGAGTAACATGGCTTGACAGCCCTCACTCTTAACCACCCTGCTGCATCCTCACAGATCCTTGACCTGCTCTGGCCACCTTTACAACTCATGATGCTCGGATATTTATAAATACACAGCATCTTCTAGGGGCCACGCCCTGGGGCACAGCGGTGACTGAGCACACACCATCCTCGCTCTCATAGACCCCACCATCTGAGGCTGGGGAGACAGATGTTATGATACCGTGTTATGACCCGGTGTTATGTCACCAGGTGTTATGACACAGCGGCTGGGGCTGTGATGAGGAAAGCACCTGGTGGGGAGCAACCAGGAGTTCCTGCAGGAAGTGAGAGGTAGGATGAGGGACAATGAGCCAGACCAAGGGGGAAGCAAGCATCTAGGCAGGGGGCTGTGTACATGCCAAGGCTTAGAGGTAGCTGGTGGCATCTGCAGGTGTCAGGCAGTGGGGTGGCAAGGTGAGACCCCTGAGGGCAGAGGGTACACCCAACTCCAGAGTATCAGCACTCAGGGAAACTTTAGCAATCCCCTCCTCTAAGCCATTAATAACTGAGTTAATAACTGAGGCTCAGAGAGAGGCAGAATCTTGTGCCAGGTCGCACAGCCGGCCAGGGCTGGGCGGGGACTTTGATTTTGTGGGAGCCTGAGGGTACAGGCTCTAGGGATCCCAGGGTCCTCTCTGGGTCTGGTTCCGAGGGATTGGACATCTCTTCTCTACCTCGCAGATGCCCCAGGTCTGGGGAGAGGGGAAAAGCAGGCAGGTAGGTGCATCCTCACTCCCACTGGGGAATCACCCAGGGTCTCATACGTGCATCTGTTTTATAGCTTGGGGAAGAGAGAAATGTGGCTGCTGAGGGGGGCCAGGCCCACCCTTGAAGGTTTCCCTCAGCAGCTGGGGGCAGGGATAGGAATGGCTTGACTTGGAGTGAGGTCATGGCCTGAATGTTGGAAGAATGCCTGGGTTTGGGACACCACGTCTCTCCCACTGCCCTCTCTGCCCGCTTGATCTCCCCCTCCGGGACACGGGCACCTGCCCTACTAGTCTTGTGATGCCTATAAATAGGAACAGGCTCTGGGGCTGCTATTCCACCCCAAAGCCTGGGCCTTCCTTTATCCCCACTCAGCCCTCAGAGCCCCCCAAGAGCACACTGGAGTGGCCACCTCCAAACTTCCCTGCCTGGGCAGGGGTGTGCCCGCTGCCTCCTCTGTCCCCCGTTACGGCTGTTTACCCAGAGCTCCCACACCCCCTCTGCAGCTCCTGCCTCTCTGGTTGGGCCTCCCAGGTTCAGAAAAGACTCAGGGGCTGAGGTGGTCTGTATGGATCGATGAAGAGTCTGGTACATGCCTGGCATTGTGTTGGGGACAGGGCACCCAGGGACAAATGACATATCATTTCTGCTGTCTTGAGGCCCCAGCCTGGGGAGAAAATCAGAGCATGGAGTGACCGGACCTGAGGCTCTGGGGTCTAGCCTCAAGCTTCCCCCTTGAGACATCGCTGAACCAGCCCTGATCCCCCAGGCCTCCCACCAGCCTTCTTCCCCTCCACCGCCACTTCTCTGGATGGAGCATTTACTACAATCTTGCTGGCACCCATTGCTGGCCCTGCGAGACTGGGTCGGTGGCTGTTCCCATTGCACAGCGGAAGAAACCAAGGCTCGGAGTGGGAGAGGCACGCCCTTCAGGGCACCCCTGGGGTATTGAACTCGGATCTGTCTGGCTCCAGAATCTAGGTTCTTGGCCACTCTACCAAGTTGAACCCCAGGCTTGGAGTTCAGGCTGCTTATGGACACCCCTTGCCATCAGCATTTGCAAACTCTCTCGGGGAACCCAGATGGCAGGAGCCAACAAGGGCCCCTTGGCATGGCCACTGCCTAAGGGCTGCGACCTAGCGCCTCATCTGACCCGTAGGGACTCCTGGATCCCCATCAACTGTGGAGGCCTCTGGGTGAAGCCCCCACCCCCAAGGTGTCTTGGACACAGGGCACTGCTTGGCCTGCTTCCTCCAAAGTCACTGCCACTAAAAATAGGAGCCTCGCTGGAATTGCTCAGACAAAGAGGCCACGCGGTCCCCTGGCTCTTGGAATTCTTAGACAACAGCAATCGCAGAATCATCAAATCTGGGACGCCCGGAATCTTGGGAGCTTGGGGTCCTAGAACCTCAAAAGCAGGATGCCCGGGACCCTCAGACCCACACCTCTAGGTCATGCTAGGGCAGGTTATATGTGAACCGGCTGCCCTCTCCTGAAAAAAGTCAAATCTATGACTCACATGTTCTCTAGAGCCCCTGTTTCTTGGCTGGGCCAGGCCTTTCTTTCCCAACTCTGAACGCCCTCTCCAACACCCCCATCCTAAAACCAGCCCTTGCACCCAGGCACAGCTCTGCTGCCCATCAGTGTATCCTGGTGGTTCTCAAATGGGGGTGATTCGCCTCCCCCTCCAGGGGACACTTTGGTAATGTTTGGTGACAATTTTGGTTGTCATGACCGAGGGCTGGGGAGGTGTGGAGGCCAAGGATGCTGCTCACCATTCTGCAATGCACAGGATGGACCCCACCCCAGAAAATGATCTGGCCCCAAATGCCAATGGTGCTGATGTTGAGACACCTTGCGCTGTAGATGATGCAAATTTCCATACCCCCACCACCCCTTCCAGAGGTCACACAACAGTCACAACCCTTTTCTTGGGTTCAGAAGAAGGACCCTCAGCCAGTGACCACACCTTTCTGGTCAACACCCTCTCCCCACCCTACCTCCACTTTTATCCCTTGACTCTCAGCAGTCAGCTCTCAATTTCTCGGGCCAATTGGATGATGAGGGATTGGAAAAAGAATTCGCCCCAGCCCTATCCCTTTTTCTGGACCATCCTCAAATTGAGGCTAATCCAACAATTGCATCTGTCGGGCTCTGGACGGGGCACAAGTTCCCCCAGTGTGTTAACCTTGGCCCGGGCAATTGGCCTGCTCCCCGATTGGCAAGCTTACCCACGTCAGGCAAGTGTGGCGGGCAGAGATGCAGGCCAGGATTCCTGTGGTCGCTCCAGGCATTGGCTCCACAGGCGGATAATAGAGAGTTGGCTCCATCTGTGTTGGTGGGGAGGGGGTCCCAGGAGGGGATTGGATTTCAGGACATAGGCCTGGGAGAGGGTGCAGAAGGCAGGGATGGGCTCTCTGCAGCTCAGGTTAGAACAGGTGCCTCGTTCATCATCTGGCAAGGATTTGCTGAGCACTTGCTCCATGCCAGGTGCTAGAATGCTGCAGTGAACGAAGCCGACAAAGTACCTGGTCTACTGTGACTACATGCTAGTAGGGGACCCAGCAAGCAGTCATCCCAAGAAAGAGCCAGGTGATTTCAGAAAGTTCTAAGAAAGAAATGAAACAGGTGCTGAGAGAGAAAATCATAGGGGCTCATTTGAGTTAGGCGGTCAGAGATGAGTGCCCTGGGCAGAAGGCATAGCAGGTGCAAAGGCCCTGAGGCCCAAAAGAGTTAGGTGGGCTTGGGGCTTCCTGAGGAGGCCCATACAGTCAGAATGGAGGCATTGAAGGGCCAGGAGAGAGAGGGGAAGTTGGAGAGACCAGCAGAGGTCTGACCTCATAGGGCCTTGTAGGTGGCGGCTAAGAGTCTGGTTTTTAGGCCGGGCACAGTGGCTCACACCTGTAATCTTAGCACTTTGGGAGGCCGAGGTGGGTGGATCGCTTGAGGTCAAGAGTTTGAGACCAGCCTGGCCAACATGGCGAAACGCCGTCACTACTAAACATAGAAGAATTACCCAGGCATGGTGGCACACGCCTGTAATTCCAGCTACTCAGGAGGCTAAGGTAGGAGAATCGCTTGAACCCAGGAGGCAGAGGTTGCAGTGAGCCGAGATTGTGCCATTGCACTCCAGCCTGGGCAACAGAGCAAGACTCCGTCTCAAAAAATAGAAGTCTGGTTTTTATTATAGGTATAATGAGAAGCCAGGTGAGTTTTTACCAGGGTGAGGCTTGTAAAAAACCACCCTGGCTGCTGGGTTGGGGGAAAGAGAGGAGGGTTGGAAGGCAGCAAGGCCCTGGGGTCCCCCAGGAGAGCCAAGGGGACTCTTCCAAAGAAACCCCTTTCAGGGCTCAGGACCACAGAGGCCACGGGCCTCTCAGGGAGAGGAACTGGGAGCCAGCAGGGCCTTTCTGAGGCACCTGGCAGGGCTCCTGGAGCTGGGGTGTGGAGGGCCCCGGCCAGGGGGACCCCAGCCCCTCAGGGTCTCCCCTCTCTGTTGCAGACGGGCAGCCCCATCCCGGCCTCAGCGAAGCCCTCCCCCGTGTCACCTCCGCCACCCATCGGATCAGCAGCTGGTGAGTGCCATGCTGGCCCTGACCTCAGGGAGGGCAGGGGGGCAAGCAGGACATGCCCAGGCCTCAGATAAGCCCCTGGGGAATGAGAAGGGGACAGGAGGGAATCAGGAGGCCAGGCAGGAGGAGGAGTCAGCTCCCGGCAGGCAAGCCCCTGGGCGTGTGCTGGGGTTGGGGGAGGTCTGGAATGAACACAGAGGGTCAACTCTCATTATCCCTGCCAGGAGCAGGGCCAGAGGGGCAGGAGCCTGGATGTTGGACCCTTCAAGTCCTCTCTCTGCCAGGTGACCCTTAGAATGATACTAGGCCTCTCTGGGCCTCAGTTTTCTCATCTGCAAAATGGAGTCCATAAGATGCATCTCATGAATTCGCCTTGAGGATCCAAGGGGCATTGGGTGAGAGCAGGAATCAAGAGCAATGCTGATGGTCCCTACTCTTTATTAAATGGCTTGGCAGGTGCTAATAAGTCATAGTCATCTTTTTTTTTTTTTTTTGAGAAAGTCTCACTCTATCGCCCAGGCTGGAGTGCAGTGGCGTGATCTTGGCTCACTGCAACCTCCACCTCCTGGGTTCAAGCGATTCTCCTGCCTCAGCTTCCCCAGTAGCTGGGATTATAGGCACCTGCCACCATGCCCAGATAGTTTTTGTATTTTTAGTAGAGATGGGGTTTCACCATATTGGTCAGGCTGGTCGAGAACTCCTGATCTCAGGTGATCCACCCACCTCAGCCTCCCAAAGAGGTGGGATTACAGGCATGAGCCACCATGCCTGGCCAGGTCATAGTAAGTTTATCAGGATTACTAATAGCTCTCAGAATGAGCAAGAATATTATTAATTAATTAATAATAGCTGCTATGAGCTACACTCTGAACATGTGTTTATCCCCACTGAATCCTTGCCACAGCCCCAGGAGGATGGTCCTTTTAGTATCGCATGTCAGTGATGGAGCTTAGAAAGGTGACCTTATGGTCTCCACCCAACATCTGAATGGAACATTTCCACATCTGTTCCATAAGCGTGATTGGCATCCCCTGATGGAGGCAGGATCTTGAAAAGGAAGGGAGAACCGATCTCAAATGGTCATAATAAGAACCCACACTGGGCCAGGCATGAGGTGAAACAAAGCATTTCTCAAGCACTGAGTTGTGTCATCTTCACCCTACACCCTGCGGGGTCATTGAAAGGTTGTGGTTGTGAGCATTTAAAGAAGCACCTGCCTTGTGTTGCAAGCACCTTTTGTTGATGATGGCTATGAGAAAGCTCCACAGATGTTGTATAAGGACAAAGGGGTTCCCAGTTCTTGGGAATTACCCCCAATTTCAGGATTGGAAAACTGAGGCCCAGAGTGGTTACCTTGCCTCCCCCAGCCCCACTCCCACCCCTCTGCCCAAGAAGGTCAGGATCACTGGGGCCAAAGGCTTAGCAGGGACCTTCAACCTCTCCTGACTCTGCCTTTCTGGAGGGGGAGATGCAGGGAAAAGGAACATTCCTTTGAACTGTTCTGCCACAAAGTTAATCGCCAAATCTGGGGGAGAGGTGAAACTAAATTAGCAAAATCACCCCAGTTTGGGGAGAACCAAGACAGAAGCAGCCTGGAGCACAGATGAGAGGCTTGGGTCCTCCCTGGGGAGAGATGAGAGTTGACTGTTGCCACCAGACTTCTTAGAGGTGGCCACATCCCCGTGTGGCCCAGGGGTGGTCTCCGTACATTCCCCCACAATGCAGCGGGGCTAGGCTTTGTGGACAGGTGCATCCTAGGAGTTGAACCTGGCTTTTGACCCGATAGGTCCGGAAGGATCCACGTGGACTCCCCCTACCTCCCACCCTCACCCCCACACCCCTGTCACCCTCGGGCTGGATCTCCGGGGCCTGCTTCAAACGGCCTGGGAGGACCCCCATCACCACCCTAGGAAGGAAAACTGCAGCCCATGGCTAACCTGTCCCCATTGGCACTTCCTTGCAGCTGCTGGGATGGAGGCAGCCTGGACTTCCGGCCGGGCTCCCCACCACCCCATCTCCTGGGCCATTTCCCAGGTACCCCTGATGGCCGGGGGCCCTGGGAGCACCCCCTTGTCCAGGAGGCTGGGGAGGGCATCCTATCTGAGCGGAGATTCGAGGACTCAGTCATTGTGAGAACCATGAAACCCCACGCTGAGCTAGAGGGCTCTAGAAGGTTCTTACACCACCGGGGGGAACCAAGGCTTTTGGAGAAACATGCCCAGGGCCGCCCCAGGTTCGACTGGCTCCAAGATGAGGACGAGCAGGGATCCCCCCAGGACGCAGGGCTGCACTTGGACCTGCCTGCCCAGCCGCCACCCCTCGCCCCCTTCAGGAGGGTGTTTGTGCCAGTGGAAGACACCCCGAAGACGCTGGACATGGCGGTGGTGGGTGGCAGAGAAGATCTGGAGGACCTGGAGGGGCTGGCCCAGCCGTCCGAGTGGGGCCTACCCACGTCAGCCTCGGAGGTAGCCACACAGACCTGGACAGTGAACTCGGAGGCTTCTGTGGAGCGGCTGCAGCCGCTACTGCCCCCGATCCGGACCGGGCCCTACCTGTGTGAGCTGCTGGAGGAGGTGGCCGAAGGGGTGGCCAGCCCAGATGAGGACGAGGACGAGGAGCCGGCCGTGTTCCCATGCATCGAGTGCAGCATCTACTTCAAGCAGAAGGAGCACCTCCTGGAGCACATGAGCCAGCACCGCCGAGCCCCGGGCCAGGAGCCCCCTGCGGACCTGGCCCCGCTGGCCTGCGGGGAGTGTGGCTGGGCCTTTGCTGACCCCACTGCCCTGGAGCAGCACCGGCAGCTGCATCAGGCCTCCCGGGAGAAGATCATTGAGGAGATCCAAAAGCTGAAGCAAGTTCCAGGAGACGAGGGCCGGGAGGCACGGCTGCAGTGCCCTAAGTGTGTCTTTGGCACCAATTCATCCAGGGCCTATGTGCAGCATGCCAAGCTGCACATGCGTGAGCCCCCAGGCCAGACCACCAAAGAGCCTTTTGGAGGCAGCAGCGGGGCTGGCAGCCCCAGCCCTGAGGCCAGCGCCCTCCTCTATCAGCCCTACGGAGCTGCCGTTGGCCTCAGCGCCTGTGTCTTCTGTGGTTTCCCCGCGCCCAGCGAGAGCCTGCTCAGGGAGCACGTGAGGCTGGTGCATGCCCATCCCCACTGGGAGGAGGATGGCGAGGCTTATGAGGAAGACCCTGCCAGCCAGCCAGGCACTAGCCAGGATGCTCACGCCTGCTTCCCTGACACTGCTGTGGACTACTTTGGCAAAGCTGAGCCGTCCTTGGCCCCCATGTGGCGGGAGAACCCTGCTGGATACGACCCCAGCCTGGCCTTTGGCCCAGGATGCCAGCAGCTGAGCATCAGAGATTTCCCGCTGTCAAAGCCACTCCTGCATGGCACGGGCCAGAGGCCTCTCGGAAGGCTGGCCTTTCCCTCCACACTAGCATCCACCCCCTACTCCTTACAGCTCGGGAGAAACAAAAGCACCGTCCACCCACAAGGGCTGGGGGAACGGAGGCGCCCTTGGAGCGAAGAGGAGGAGGAGGAGGAGGAGGAGGAGGATGTAGTGCTGACCTCCGAGATGGATTTTTCCCCTGAAAATGGGGTCTTTTCACCCCTAGCCACCCCCAGCCTCATCCCGCAGGCGGCCCTGGAGCTGAAGCAGGCATTCCGAGAGGCCCTGCAGGCAGTAGAGGCCACCCAGGGGCAGCAGCAGCAGCTCCGAGGGATGGTACCCATTGTGCTCGTGGCGAAGCTGGGGCCGCAGGTCATGGCGGCAGCCAGGGTGCCCCCAAGGTTGCAGCCCGAGGAGCTGGGGCTGGCAGGCGCCCACCCCCTGGACTTCCTGCTCCTGGACGCGCCGCTGGGCGGCCCGCTGGGGCTGGACACACTCCTGGATGGGGATCCGGCCATGGCACTGAAGCACGAGGAGCGGAAATGCCCCTACTGCCCCGATCGCTTCCACAACGGCATCGGCTTGGCCAACCACGTCCGGGGCCACCTGAACCGCGTGGGCGTCAGCTACAATGTGCGCCATTTCATCTCCGCTGAGGAGGTGAAGGCCATTGAGCGCAGGTTCTCCTTCCAGAAGAAGAAGAAAAAAGGTAGGGCAGCTTCACTTTTAAAGGCCCAGGAGACACATGGCTGGGCAACCCACCGTTGATCTAAATTCTCTCCCTTAGCGCCAAGCAGGGGGACACTGGGGCCTCTGCTCCTGAGAGACTTGAGAGCCACAGTGAAGGCCACCTGGTCGGTGGATGTGTGGAGACGCCCCAGTCCCCTGGCCATTCCAGCCACTGGAGGAAGGAGTGTGGGTAGAAGAGTCAGCCTCAGGCAGAGAATTTCATTCATTCCTCCATTCAACAAATATTTACTGAGCAAGGTTCCCCTCTGTTCTGGGGACCTGGGGACACAGCAGTGGACAGAATAGCAGTTCTTGGACTCTTGGAGTTCATGGCCCAGTCCAGGAGTGGTGGGACCCCCTCCACCCCACACTGGCCAGCTTCAGAACCCCCTGGGGCTGCCTGTAAGGTTTGTCAGTTCCCACAGTACAAGGCTCTGATTCCAGAAGTCTGTTTCCAACAGGAGCACCCTGGGTGGTTCTGACATTGGCAGACACAAAGCCCACTTGGGGAGGTGCCAGTATGGTGTTTGAGTGTGTGTGTGTGCGTGTGTGTGTGTGTGTGTCTACGCACTAGGGGTTGGGGGCAAGGGGTGACAACCAGGAAACCAGGCAGTGACGACACCGAGTGAGCAGGGCTGAGATGCGGGGAAAGCTGGGAGAACCAGGAGGCTGGGGAAGCTGAGACAAAGTCCCTAACTCCAGTTGCAGGGCTCAGAGAAGGCTCCCAGCAGAGGGCATTACATCCATTTGTCCATTTCTTCATCCAACAAATATTTAATTTACAGCACTTGCGTGATCATGAGTAAAAATAGTCACGAGAAGGCTATTAATCAAATACTCTCATAGATGATGGCAGGTCCACAACTGGAGAAGCATTTCTTTTTCTTTCTTTCTCTTTTTAAGAGACAGGGTCTTGCTCTGTTGCCCAGGCTGGAGTGCCATGGGGCAATTATAGCTCACTGCAGCCTCAAACTCCTAAGCTCAAGCAATCCTCCCACCTTAGCCTCCCAAGTAGCTGGGACTACAGGCACGCACCACTATGCCCAGCTAATTTTTTTATAGAGATGGGGTCTCACTATGTTGCCCAGACTGGTGTCAAACTCCTGGGCTCAAGAGATCTTCCCGCTTGGCCTCCCAAAGAGCTGGGATTACAGGCGTGAGCCACCACACCTGGCCCTGGAGAAGGGTTTTTGCAGAAGAGGTCCCTCCTTGACGTTGCCAGATGTGGGAAGGGGGTATCTGGGAGGGTCAGGCTTCCTGGAATGGGGTGGGAGGATGCACGAGCTGAGAGCTGAGGAGCAGGCAGGAGCAAAAGGGACAGCCACGGGGAAGAAAGGCAGTCCAGGGTGAAGCCCTGAATATGGGGAGGGGTTGGGGCTGGGGAGTAGCCCCCTCTCCACCTCAGGCAGTCCTGTCCTCTCTCCACAGTGGCCAACTTTGACCCAGGCACCTTCAGCCTGATGCGCTGTGACTTCTGCGGGGCTGGCTTCGACACACGGGCCGGCCTCTCCAGCCACGCCCGGGCCCACCTACGTGACTTCGGTATCACCAACTGGGAGCTCACTGTCTCACCCATCAACATCCTGCAGGAGCTGCTGGCCACCTCTGCTGCTGAGCAGCCCCCCAGCCCCCTGGGCCGAGAGCCTGGGGGTCCGCCTGGCAGCTTCCTGACCTCCCGTCGGCCCCGCTTACCTCTCACGGTGCCCTTTCCACCCACCTGGGCTGAGGACCCTGGGCCAGCCTATGGAGATGGTAAGGGGAGGGGACGGGCTGTGCTGGAGCCCCATCCTTCCCAGGGGCCCAGAGCATTGGAGGGGCGGGGCTGGAGGGGCAGCCGCTCAGCTTTCCTGGAAGCATTTTGAGTCACTTTACAAAGTATGTTGATGACTTTCCTTACAACCACCCTGCTATTTAGGTGTCCTTTCTGTTTCACTCAGGATCTGGGCCAGGTCTCTTTCTGGATCCAGTTTTTCACTATCTTTCCTGCCAGTGACTTTGACAAATGCTTACTGAGCTTTTACTGGGAGCCAGGCATCGTTCTAAGCACTTTACAAACATGAACTCATTTACATCCTCACAACAATCCTATAAGGCAGGTGTTATTATTTCTTCCACTTTACAGATGAGGAAACTGAGGCACAGAGTTTAATTAACCTGCCTGAGGTCACACAGCTGGAAAGGGTGAAACAGGGATTTAAAACCCAGGCAGCTGGGCCCCAGATTCTTTGCTGTTAATGACATCTTCTATCTTGAGAAGCATTGTTGTATAGAACTTTCTGAGATGATGGCTGGAAATATTCTCTAGATATCTGCACGTCTTACAGGGACACCATTGGTCATGTATGGCTGTTAAGAAGTTGAAATGAAGCTAGTGCCAGGCTAGTGGGGATCCTATTGGATAGTGCAGATCTAGAGTCTAGATTTTCTTTTTTTTCGAGATGGAGTCTCGCTCTTTTGCCCCGGCTGGAGCTCAGTGGCACAATCTTGGCTCACTGCAACCTCCGCCTCCGGGGTTCAAGTGATTCTCCTGCCTCAGCCTCCTGAGTAGCTGGGATTACAGGCGCTCATCACCACGCCCAGCTAACTTTTGTATTTTTAGTAGAGATGGGTTTTCACCATGTTGGCCAGGCTGGTCTCAAACTCCTGCCTTCCAGTGATCCGCCTGCCTCAGGCCCCCAAAGAGCTGGGATTACAGGCGTGAGCTACTGTGCCCAGCCTAGAGGCTAGATTTTTTCTGAGATGAAGTCTCACTCTGCCACCCAGGCTGGAATGCAGTGGTGCGATCTCAGTCACTGCAACCTCCAACTCCCAGGTTCCAGCGATTCTCCTGCTGAGTAGCTGGGATTACAGGCGTGCACCACCACGCCTGGCTAATTTTTGTATTTTTAGTAGAGACGGTTTCACCACGTTGGCCAGGCTGGTTTCAAACTCCTGACCTCAAGTGATCTGCCCGCTTCGGCCTCCCAAAGTGCTGGGATTACAGGCGTAAGCCACTGCACCCGGCCTAGAGTCTAGATTTTCAACCAATGTTTGCTTTATCCGGCAGACCTGATATGCTACTCCATTATCAAATGCTTGCTATGTACTAAGGTTTTTTAATTTTAATTTTTTATTTTTTTGAGACGGGGTCTTGCTGTGTTGCCCAAGCTGGTCTGGAACTCCTGGGCTCAAGCAATCCTCCTGCCTCAGCCTCCCAAAGTGCAGGGATTTAGAGGCCTGAGCCATCACGCCTGGCCCCTGTACTAAGATTTTAACGTGTTAAATCTCATTTATGCCTCAATGTAAGTCTGTACAACTAAGATTGCTGTGTTTCTGTTTTTTTTTGTTTGTTGGTTGGTTTGAGGCAGAGTCTCACTCTGTCGCCCAGGCTGGAGTGCAGTGGTGCCATCTCGGCTCACTGCAGCCTCCGCTGCCCAGGTTCAAGCGATTCTCCTGCCTCAGACTCCTGAGTAGCTGGGATTACAGGGCGTGCCACCACACCTGGCTAATTTTTAGTAGTGACGAGGTTTCACTATGTTAGCCAGGATGGTGTCTATCTCCTGACCTCGTGATCCGCCTGCCTCGTCCTCCCAAAGTGCTGGGATTACAGGTGTGAGCCACCGCACCGGCCATGTCCCTGTTTTAAGGATAAGGAAACCATAGGTCATCTTCTTTGCCACAGCCACACAGCTGTAGAGCTAGACTTCTGAGCAGCTTGTTTGGTGGTGTCTCTAGTGGAGGATGGCTTGGAAATCCATAAGTCCTATTTGGTGAAGGAGCCCAGGACTGGGCACTGCAAAGGGAGTGGACAAGTGAAGGGCCCAGTCTTGCACAGCCTGGCTTTGCACGAGCCTTTACAAGGCAGAGAACTTGGCTACAAAAAGTAGTTGGGCTCTGAGGAATGGAGAGTGTCTGAACAGGGGGTATCGCCCCTGGGACTGCTGGAGGCTGGGGCTTCCTTTGATACTATTCCTTCTTTTTTTTTTTTTTTTTGAGATGGAGTCTCGCTCTGTCTTGAGATGGAGTATCGCTCTGTCGCCCAGGCTGGAGTGCAGTGGCACGATCTCGGCTCACTACAAGCTCCACCTCCTGGGTTCACACCATTCTTCTGCCTCAGCCTCCCGAGTAGCTGGGACTACAGGTGCCTGCCACCACGCCCGGCTAATTTTTGTATTTTGTTTAGTAGAGACAGGGTTTCACCGTGTTAGCCAGCACGGTCTCGATCTCCTGACCTTGTGATCCGCCCGCCTCGGCCTCCCAAAGTGCTAGGATTACAGGTGTAAGCCACCACGCCTGGCCCTTTTTTTTTTTTTTTTTTTTAAAGATGGAGTCCTGCTCTGTCGCCCAAGCTGGAGTGCAGTGGCACGATCTTGGCTCACTGCAACCTCCGCCTCCCGGGTTAAAGCAATTCTCCTGCCTCAGCCTCCCAAGTAGCTGGGATTACAGGCGCCCACCACCATGCCCAGCTAATTTTTTTTGTATTTTTAGTAGAGATGGGGTTTCACCATGTTGTCCAGGCTGGTCTCAAACTCCTGACCTCAAGTGATCCACCCCTCTTGGCCTCCCAAAGTGCTGGGATTACAGGCGTTAGCCACCGCACCCGGCCCCTTCGGTACTATTCCTACTTGCAGCTGCTGGGGTCCTACCTAGATCTGTACTCTGGGCTCAGTCAGACCCACTCACAAGCCCACTTGAAGGGCATTCATGAGCCTGCAAAGGGGAGGGTGGGGCTATCAAAGCCCCCTCTCCTTGGAGGTTCAGAGAGGACAGGGGCTGGTTGAGGTGACACCTCAGGAAGGGGCAGAGTGGGGACTTGACCTCAGGCTTCTTGCTTCTGCTAAAGGCTGCTCCCCAGGCACTCAGCTCACCCACGTCTGGCTTGTAGTGTCTCAGGGGTGGCTGCGAGACAGAGCTGGCTCTGAGGATGGCTAGGGGTGCAGGAGGCACTGGGGTATAAGGAATCAGCCTACGGATGAGAGGAGCCAGGTTTGGCACTGCCCTGGCCTTGTCCTTGGGAGGGAGAGCTATGACCAGTCTTTCAGTGAATAACTGCGAGGCAGAGGGTTGGCGGTTAGGGAGTGATTGGGAAGATCTTGGAAGCCTTGCCTTAAGTAAGGATATGCAACATTAGGGCTAGGTCTGGGCACTGGCGCTGCAAGGCTGTCGTTAGAAGCCTGCCCCCTCTCCCTAAGTGGGCAGGAGGGGGCGGGTGCCAGGTTGGGGGCGGGGCAATGTTCCGATTCTAGCCCCACCCAACTGTCAAGGAACAGCTGGGGACAATCGGAGAGAGAAGCAGGCGGTGATTGAAATGTGTTGCCGGCCTTGTGGGGTTCCCTAGGTCTGCGGAACGGCACCGTCGGGGGACGGTTGGATAACAGGATGATACTGGAGGGATTCTTGTGGTTGGAGATCAGGTGTTTTCCAGGATCCCCGACTCGGAGATGGAGACTTTCCGGAAAGGGAATGGGGCAGGGTCCTAGGGCAGGTCCTAGCTCCGCCCGTCGGGGCTCTTAAGAGTTTTGACGTTGTTTAAGGGGGTCTGAGTGAGGCCGGAAGATTCCCATCCTAGGGATAGAGATGTCCGGGGACTGGGCTGGGGCGGCGGTTAGAGGCCGCTGGGCGCCCAGCGTGGGTGCATCCGCTAGCCAGGGCGCGCGACAAGCTTCCAGCAGCTGCAGCCGTCCGCCCTCAGGGCCCAGACGAACGGTTTCGCTCGTGGCACTCGGCGCTCGGCGCTCGGCACTCGGCAGGCCAACCTGGGCGCGCCCTGAGGGGCGGGGCGGAGCGGGTTTGGCGGCGGCGGCAGCGGCACTCGGCACTCGGCGCTCAGCTGCTCCCGCCTGGGGCGGCCGCCCCGCGTGCGCCGGAGCCAAGATGGCCGCCTCCACCGCCCAGTGCCGAGTGACAAAAGCGGAGAGCAAGGCGGCGGCGGGGCCGCGCGCGGGGGGCGCCCGGGAGCGCGCGCCCGCGGGGGCGCCCCCGCCCAGCCCCCCGAGCCCGGGCCCCGCGGCACCCCCCGCGCCGCCGCCGCCGCCCCCACCCCCGCCGCCGCCGCCACCACCACCGCCACCGCCACCGCCGCCGCGGGACGGGCCCAAGGCCGAGCCGGAGCCGGGGCCCGGGCCCGCGTCCGCTCCCGCGCCCGGTAAGAGCCCGCGCTTGGGAGGGTGTGGGGAGGGGAAGGTCGGAATCCCGCCTGCCGGTGCCGCCGCCCCCGACGCCTTCCGTCCAGTCTGCGGGACCCCCCCCTCCCCCAGGCCCTTTAGTTGTGTGGGCCCAGGGCCTTCTGTCGCCGCTCGCAGGGTCCCAGGCCTCAGAAACACTCCTCCGCCGCTCCTCGAGACCTTTGCCCCGTCTGACAGATGTCCCTTGCCCCCTTTGGAGCCCCGGGAGCGTCCCTTGCCACGGTTCCGGTCCGTCCGGTGCGGAAACTCACTTCAGCCCTGCCCCATCTGACAGACGCGCCCACCCGACCCGGAGACTTTGACAAAGTCCTCGGTGCCCCAGTCCTCAGCGCCTACTCTTTGCTTCTGCGAGACTCAAACTGAGCATAGAACCTACATGGCCCCCTGCCCCGTTACATCCCACTGAACGCCTCCAAGGCCCCATTTGGCACAGTTCCTTCATCCTTTGCTCTGAACTCTAAATTTGGAGTTCAACTGGCCTCCCAGGCCCCTTTGAACAACTAGACGTGAAAATTCACCCTTGGTTCCCTCTGCCACACACTCCTCACCCAGGGATGCTGCGGGCCTGATAGATGTCTCAGAAACTTAACACAAAGTTCTGTGATTCCAACTCTTTCTGTCCGAAGTCAGATAGCTGTAGGTGCAGACACCTTACCCCACTTAGGGCCCAGCTTGTGATCAGTAGGCCACCCCTGGTCCCCCATTGTCTCTGCAGCCCCAGCTGTCTTGTCTGGTGGAGATTCCTCACAAGTGCTGTGAAGCCACCTCCCTGTCCCTGGCTCCCTGGCTCCCTGCCTCTGTGTGGCCTCTCCAGCCTCCTGACCCTGGTGTTGTGTTGAATTCCCTCTCTGAGTGCCTCCCACCCTCACCCTCGAGACAGGCAGACGTTCCCCCTCACAAGTTCTGCCCAGAGAGATCTTTTCTTTGAGATCCCCTGGGATGGGAGTTTGGGCTCAGATTTGCATTAGACCCCAGACCTGTCCATGCTGTAGTGTGTGGAAGCAGCTGCTGGCGTCTGCTGTCAGTGGCAGCCTCAGTGTCCCTGCACTGGACTGGTGCTGGGGGTTATGGTGGAACCTCAGCTTTCCTGGGGTGAGTCGCTTCGCAGAGTGAGAGCGGACATCAAGGATAAGGAAGAAGGCCATCTTCTTAGTTCTGGGTATAGACAGCCTGAAATTTGTCTGGGCTGAGCCTGTCTCCCCAACCCACAGGCCTGGGTTCTGAGGAAAACGCAATGGTGGCCATGGACTTGGGCTCTCCCTCGCTCCCTAAGAAGAGCCTGCCTGTCCCTGGGGCCCTGGAGCAGGTGGCCAGTCGGCTGAGCAGCAAAGTGGCTGCAGAGGTTCCTCATGGCAGCAAACAGGAGCTGCAGGACCTCAAGGGTGAGTGGCCCAGGTGGCATGGCAGGGGATGCTGGCCAGGCTGGTTACACTCACAGGAGCACTCTCGTGCCTTGGGGTTAATGTGGGGCCCAAGGTTGCCCGCAGTTTTCCCTCTGGCACCTTGAGGCACCAAGGTTGGCACTCAGCTGTCTTCTCTCTTGAACTTCTACTGTCCTGGGCATGCGTGGCCCTGAGCTGCACCCTCACGGGGCGAGGGACAGCATCCAGAAGCAGTGGGTGTGGTGGTCCAGAGCTCATACTCAGACCCAGCTCATTTGCTGAATCTGGCCTTTGCTAGCTGTGCAGTCTCTCGCATGACACCATTTCTTCGTCTGTTGATCCTAAGGTTGTTATTGACTAGTGACGGGCCCTGGGGTGGACTCCAGGGAGGTGAGAGGAGCAAAATGAATTTGGCCCTTGCTCTTGAGGGCCATTCAAGTTGGGGAACGGGGAGACAGAGAAGCAGATAGGCAAGGATAAAGGCTCTGTGGAAGAGGGTGCAGGAGACTGCAAGGACCAGTGTTTCGGGCAGGAGTTGAGCCACAGAGGGTGGTTAGAACTTAGTTCAGTGAGGCATGTGGCTGTCAGGTCAGCGTTTGTGTGAACCTGTTGCCAGGGCACCCCGTAGGCCTGAAAGGTTGTGAAAGGTGTCCCACTGGCTGGATGACAGAAGGGCTCTATCTCCTGCTGTGTGCCCTTGGGCACAACTTTTCCCTCTCTGAGTCTCAGTTTCTAACCCTTATTGGCAAAGCAGCCAAGCTATTCTCTGCGTTGTTAGGGTCATTGTGAGGTTTGGGGGGCCTGACGGAGGCAAAACACTTCCATGGAGCCTGGGTGAGTGGGACTCTCAGGGGAGGAGAAGCGGGAGAGCTGGGCCGTGGGCCTCACAGCCTGCTCTCCCGGCCTCTGTGTTGCCCTTCAGCCCAGAGCCTGACCACCTGCGAGGTCTGCGGTGCCTGCTTTGAGACCCGAAAGGGCCTGTCCAGCCACGCGCGCTCCCACCTGCGGCAGCTGGGAGTGGCAGAGTCGGAAAGCAGCGGCGCACCCATCGACCTCCTCTACGAGCTTGTGAAGCAGAAGGGTCTGCCTGACGCCCACCTTGGGCTGCCCCCAGGCCTGGCTAAGAAGTCCAGCTCACTGAAGGAGGTGGTCGCCGGGGCCCCCCGGCCCGGCTTGCTCAGCCTGGCCAAGCCCTTGGATGCCCCTGCTGTCAACAAAGCCATCAAGTCGCCTCCCGGCTTCTCGGCCAAGGGCCTGGGCCACCCGCCCAGCTCTCCACTCCTCAAAAAGACACCACTGGCCCTGGCGGGCTCCCCTACCCCTAAGAATCCTGAGGACAAGAGCCCCCAGCTGTCCCTGAGCCCCCGGCCGGCCTCCCCAAAGGCACAGTGGCCTCAGTCTGAGGATGAGGGGCCCTTGAACCTCAGTGAGTGTGGGTCCCAAGAGCCGAGGGAGGTTCTGGCGCTGGGAGGGTCGGGACCTCAGGTTGGGCTGTAGCCCAGGGACAGGGCCCAGGGTGGGTGGGGGCGGTGGGGACTACAGCTCCCATGTCCTGGGCCAGCCAGGCCAGAGTATTGGTCAAGCCTCTGCATCTCCTTTTGGGCCGCCTTGGATGTGGATCGTGCCTCCCACTTTACTTTGCTGATCTTCCCCTGAAAGCCTCACTGCGGCTGATGAGCCTGCCAGGGTCATGCTCGCCACTGAGGGGCAGCTCTTGGCTTTCTCTGGGCCTGTGGGTAGGGGCGGTGAAGGTAACCAGGGTTCCTGTGGCCTAGCTTTCTCAGTGGTAGTTGGAAGCATCTTGGATAGACAGGGGATCACCTGATGGGAGGTGCCCACGATTGGTCCTGTCATCAAGTCTTCCTGGCTGTCCACCACGCAGAGGCAGCTCTCTGCGCCTGCCGGTGAAGCCCCACCTCCTGGGCTGCCTGTGGGCACGGCAGGCAGGGTTTGGGAAGAAACCCTCCAGGTGCAGTGAGCAGGTTTAACAAGGACGTCCCTTACAACATCAGGCTTTCCCATATCTTTGTGGACATTAGAGTCTGGGGGTGACCCCAGGGTCTCACCCCCTGCCCAATGGAGCCCCCCATTTGGCACCTTATGTTCCCTTGAAGTTGCTTCCACTGAGTCTGCCGTGCTTCCAGGGGCAGGGCCTTGAGCAGGTGTGCCCTTGGCTGCGTGAGCCCAGCAGCCACCATCGCCCCCAAATAGCTCCCATAGCAGGGATCCTAGGGGAGAGGGTCTGGGAGTATCTGATTACCTAGAATTTGGTCACTGCCTGTCTACCCAAAGTCCTTAAGCTCTCTACACTCCCCTCGATGCCAAAGGGCTAGGCAGGAAACAGGATGTCCTGCTTCCCAAACTTCAAAAGAAATCTGCGGCCTGAGTCTTGGACCCCCCAACTGCCTGAGCAGCCAAAAATCACACCAGACCCTCCTACCTCAGGCCCCCAAGGCCGGCCAAGGTGGCGGCCGTGAACCCCCCCTGTGTTTTGTCTCCGCAGCTTTAGATAGTGACGGGGGCAGAGAGCTGGACTGCCAGCTGTGCGGTGCCTGGTTTGAGACCCGCAAGGGCCTGTCTAGCCACGCCCGTGCCCACCTGCGCCACCTGGGCGTCAGCGATCCGGACGCCAAGGGATCCCCCATAGACGTGCTCCACGGGCTCATCAGGAGGGACGGCGTCCAGATCCGCCTCCCACCCAGGCGCGGCGCCCTGGCCCACCCGGGGCGGCCGCCTCCCACCTCCGCGGCCCTCTCCTTGCTTCCCCCCCCACCGCCGGCCAAGAAGGCCAAGCTGAAGGCCGCGGGTATGGCCAGCCCCTGGGGGAAGCAGGACCTCTCGGCCGCCGCAGCCGCCGGCATTTTCTGGGCCTCTGATGTGGAGCCGTCTCCTCTCAACCTCTGTAGGTTCTCGCTTCAGCTGCCCCCTCCTCACTGCGGGCCCTGGAGCCCCTCCCGGGGGGGGGGTCACAGCCCCCTCCCTGCTGGGGCAGGGAGTAGACAGGGGCCCTTGGCAGTGGGCCGGTTCTGCCCAGAGATCTTGTTGGCAGTGGGCTGCTAGGCCCTCTCTCTTGGCCTTTGACCTCCATGACCCTTCCTGAGAATGAAGGCCAAGGTGGGGAGATCCTGCCTTTTAGTGTGCAGAGCACCCACATCTGCCCCTGTCTGGATGGCACATAGCACCTAGGCTGCCTCCCTGCCTCACCCTGTCCTTGTTGGGACCCACAGAGCAATGGAATCTTGGTTCCATCCTCCTCCGCCAGGACTGAGGGCCCATGTGCTCTCTGGAGCCTCCCCTCACTCCTGCCGGGTATCTGGCCCCCAGCCCCGCTCCTCCACTCCCTTACCTGCACCTGCCCTCACCACCCTAACCTGTGGGCGTGCTGCTGCCGCCCACGCCCAGCCGACCAGGACACTCCTGCAGGTGACCATGCTGGCAGTTCCACGATGCTAACTGCCCCTTTCTCCTCCTGCTGCAGCCTCAGGCCCAGAGCCAGCACGAGACATCCGCTGCGAGTTCTGTGGTGAGTTCTTCGAGAACCGCAAGGGCCTCTCGAGCCACGCGCGCT
The DNA here is from genome assembly GCF_000001405.40 of Homo sapiens. Classification (NCBI taxonomy): domain Eukaryota; kingdom Metazoa; phylum Chordata; class Mammalia; order Primates; family Hominidae; genus Homo; species Homo sapiens. Next base: position 15,427,443 of record NC_000019.10, on the reverse strand, counting down.
CCCATCTGCGGCAAATGGGCGTGACCGAGTGGTACGTCAATGGCTCGCCCATCGACACGCTGCGGGAGATCCTGAAGAGACGGACCCAGTCTCGGCCTGGTGGACCTCCCAACCCACCAGGGCCAAGCCCAAAAGCCCTGGCCAAGATGATGGGCGGCGCAGGTCCTGGCAGCTCACTGGAAGCCCGCAGCCCCTCGGACCTTCACATCTCACCCTTGGCCAAGAAGTTGCCACCACCACCGGGCAGCCCCCTGGGCCACTCACCAACTGCCTCTCCTCCTCCTACGGCCCGAAAGATGTTCCCAGGCCTGGCTGCACCCTCCTTGCCCAAGAAGCTGAAGCCTGAACAAATACGGGTGGAGATCAAGCGGGAGATGCTGCCGGGGGCCCTTCATGGGGAACTGCACCCATCTGAGGGTCCCTGGGGGGCACCACGGGAAGACATGACACCCCTGAACCTGTGTAAGTGTGACCCTGCAGTAGGGCAGGGAGAACAGTTGGAGGGGTCTCCTCCCTGCCTCCCCTTGGGGGTATCCAGAGTGCCTAGGGTTGAATTGGAAGGGAGGACACGCAGGTAGAGAGGACACAGGGTTAGCTGTGTATTCCTGCTATGCAGACCCCTGCAACTGAGCTGCTGCTCAATTGTCCTTTATTCATTTGAGAAGCAGGATTGTGTCATTCAGTGACAGCAGAAAGATTCCATCTCTTGTGCCATTTCAATCGATTGGTAGTGGCTGCCAGCCAGACTCCTAGGGAGAAAGACTGCGGGGATCCATTAGTGATGTCTGCTACAGCAGGAGCGTAGGGACTGGCAGTGAACGTCTGAACTGTGTCTTTCTGACATTTTTGGTAATTAAGTGCTTGACATTGGGAGTCAAGTGTGAGTTAAGATCTCTGTTCCTCCACAGTCTAGCTTTATGTGACCTTGGGCAAGTTTCCTCATTTGGAAGATGGAGATCAGCATAGTCCCAACTCTGTCTGGTTTTCTTGAGGATTAAGTGGGATAAAGCACTTAGCACAGCACCTGGTTACAGAAAACTCTGTATGCCATCATTGTAATGTCACTTGCTCGCTTGCCTGTCACACCAGCACTGTGTTCATTCTGCTCAGGTTGATTGGATGCCCACTGTGTGCTGAGCAGGTGAGGGCAGCCCAGGCTTGTGCCTTAGCGCTCACGTGTGTTGTGTACCAGCTCTGTGCCCCATGCTGAGAGCTGTTCCCATTTTAGACCGTCCCAAAGTAACACTGGGAGGTAGGGGTTTTCATCTCCATTTTGCAGCGGAGGAAACAGGCTCAGAGAGGGAAAGTGACTTGCCCAGGATCATACAGGGAGGTATCTTGAAGCCAGCTAGAATTTGAAGTGACAGAACAAGCAGAAGAGCCAGATGTTAAAAGGGCCTCTGGAAGCCCAGATGAGGGAGCAGGTTGTTGCGGTCTGGTGGGTGGTGTGGACAGGGGTAGCTAGGCAGCTGGCACTGATACGGGGGCTTTGAGCTTGGAGGCTTCCTGCCCGCAGCCGCCGCCTCCTTCTCCTCCTCCTCCTCCTCCTCCTCCTCCTCCTCCTCCTCCTCCTCCTCCTCCTCCTCCCTCCTCCCTCCTCCTCCTCCCTCCTCCTCCCTCCTCCTCCCTCCTCCTCCTCCTCCTCCTCCTTCCCCCTACCCTGGATCCCCTGCAGCGTCCCGGGCAGAGCCGGTGCGCGACATCCGCTGTGAGTTCTGCGGCGAGTTCTTCGAGAACCGCAAGGGCCTGTCGAGTCACGCGCGCTCACACCTGCGGCAGATGGGTGTGACCGAGTGGTCCGTCAATGGTTCGCCCATCGACACACTGCGAGAGATCCTCAAGAAGAAGTCCAAGCCGTGCCTCATCAAGAAGGAGCCACCGGCTGGAGACCTGGCCCCTGCCCTGGCTGAGGACGGGCCTCCCACCGTGGCCCCTGGGCCCGTGCAGTCCCCACTGCCGCTGTCGCCCCTGGCTGGCCGGCCAGGCAAACCAGGTGCAGGGCCGGCCCAGGTTCCTCGTGAGCTCAGCCTGACGCCCATCACTGGGGCCAAGCCCTCAGCCACTGGCTACCTGGGCTCAGTGGCAGCCAAGCGGCCCCTGCAGGAGGACCGCCTCCTCCCAGCAGAGGTCAAGGCCAAGACCTACATCCAGACTGAACTGCCCTTCAAGGCAAAGACCCTTCATGAGAAGACCTCCCACTCCTGTAAGCAGCGGGCGGCAGGGTCCTGGGAGGGCGACCGCCAGGGCCTGCCAGGCCAGGCAATGCCACAAGCGTGCACACTGACCCCAAGTGGGGCCCCCATGGCTGGGTCTGTGTGGGAGGCGGGATTGGCACCTGGCCTGGGCAGGGCCATCTGGGTGCACCTGCCCCCTTTGGGCTGTGACTCAGCAGCACCCCCTCCGCCCCGCAGCCACCGAGGCCTGCTGCGAGCTGTGTGGCCTTTACTTTGAAAACCGCAAGGCCCTGGCCAGCCACGCACGGGCACACCTGCGGCAGTTCGGCGTGACCGAGTGGTGCGTCAATGGCTCGCCCATCGAGACACTGAGCGAGTGGATCAAACACCGGCCCCAGAAGGTGGGCGCCTACCGCAGCTACATCCAGGGCGGCCGCCCCTTCACCAAGAAGTTCCGCAGTGCCGGCCATGGCCGTGACAGTGACAAGCGGCCGTCCCTGGGGCTGGCACCCGGGGGCCTGGCCGTGGTCGGCCGCAGTGCCGGAGGGGAGCCAGGGCCCGAGGCTGGCCGGGCAGCCGACGGTGGTGAGCGGCCTCTGGCAGCCAGCCCGCCAGGCACCGTGAAGGCTGAGGAGCACCAGCGGCAGAACATCAACAGTGAGTGCTTGGTGGAGGAGGGTCGGGAGCGCAGCGGGCACCTGTCAGGCCCACCCAGCCACTCCCCAGGCGCTCTGCTGTGGCCCTTAAGTCCTTTCTCCAGTTGCTTACCCATTCACCCATCCATCCCCCATCCCACCCATCCAGGTAGCATCAGTCCTCAGCTCTTGTGTATTCCAAGTCTCTGCAGCATCCACCCCTCCCACTCATCTCCCGTCCCCCTCTCCACCTTAGAATTTGAACGCCGACAAGCCCGCCCTCCAGATGCCTCCGCAGCCCGGGGAGGCGAGGACACCAATGACCTACAGCAGAAGCTGGAGGAGGTGCGGCAACCCCCACCCCGAGTCCGGCCAGTCCCCTCCCTGGTGCCCCGGCCCCCCCAGACATCACTTGTCAAGTTCGTGGGCAACATCTACACCCTCAAATGCAGGTAGGCTGCCCCTGGGGGAGGGAGGGAGACCACCTGAGTGGACCTTGGTCACCCGGAGCCTTGGAACAGGATAGGGTTTGGTGGAAGCTGGGAGGTGTCGCCTCAGTGGCTGCCCTTGGGTGTGGTGGGGCTCAGGCTAAAGGCTGACACCCTGAGCTTTGTAGCCTGCGAGACCTGGGTTCAAATCCCAACTCTGCCACTTACCAGCTTAGTGACCTCAGGGAAGGACTTACCTGCTCCTTACCTCAATTTCCTCACTCATAAAAGCGGGTTGATAACAAACCTACCTTACAGATTTGTTACGAGGAGTAAGTGAATTTAATATTTATAAAGCACTCAGAACTGCCTGGCACATGGTAAGTAAGCACTCAACTAGTGTCTGGCTCAAGAAAAAAGTAGATCTTAGTTAATTCTTACCAAAGTCCACAAGTACATTGAAGAGCAGCGAACTGGGACTCTGAGACGTGAGGTGACTTGCCTGAGGCCATACAGGCCAAGTCAGAAGTCAGAGTCAAAGCCACGTCTTGAGCCATGGAGCTTGGGCTCCAGGCCTCTGTGCTGTGAGGCCTTTTTAGGTGCCAGGAAGACAGGAGGAGGTGGGGGGCTTGGTGCGTTGGGTAGGATTTGCTTCTCTGTGCCCTCTACTGTCTCAGATTCTATGTATCTGCCAGATGGCAGGGGTACCTGGAAGCCAGTAGCCCTTACCTGGCACCAGTGACTTCTGAGCACAGAGGCAGGGGTCTCTGTGAGACCCTGCCATGACCCCATGGTGAGTGGAGGTGGCTGTCCATGGGAAACGCCTGACTTCTGGGTCCCTCTTCCCCCGCCTCCTGGGCTGGCTCTGTCCACACTGAGTAGCAGCAGGTGTGCCCAGGGATGCTGGCAAGGCTATGCTTCCGCCTCTCCTCACAGCACTGGCCACTCCCTCTCTCTGTTCCCCCATGCAGGTTCTGTGAGGTGGAATTCCAGGGCCCCCTCTCCATCCAGGAAGAGTGGGTGCGGCACTTACAGCGGCACATCCTGGAGATGAACTTCTCCAAAGCGGACCCCCCACCTGAGGAGTCCCAGGCCCCGCAGGCACAGACAGCGGCGGCAGAGGCTCCCTAACACAAAAGCATTCCAGATCCCCTCTCGTGCCACCTCTGTCTCCTCTTCTTCCTCCTCTGTGTCCTTGTCCCTCTTCCTCTTTCTTTCCGTTTCCAAAGGAGCAAGCCAAAACCTCAAACCGGCGCCCCTTGGGGGCCGGGCACACTACAGCCAGGGCGCCGGGAGCCAGCTAGCTGCCCTTCCCCCAGCCCGAGGACTCTGGGGCCACAGGGTGTCTTCCTTCAGCCCATGCCCACCTGGTCCAGCAGGGGCAGCAGCCAGGTCTCTGATGGCAGCCGGTCTGGTCACAGGGGAGGACAGCACTCCCCCGTCTAGCAGCCAGGCAGGGCGATGTCTGCCATCCGTGGCCATTTGCAAAGACCCCAAAGACCCCTGTTCTGGTTCCCTCTCTCCCCCATGAATATCCTCTCACACACATGTACATGCGAACACACACAACACGCACCTCGTGAGACCCGGGACCTGCCCCGGACCCCCAGTTCCTGGGTTGAACGACCACATCATGCCACGGTGCTTGCTCAGGGGAAGCCACGCTCCCTCTGTGGGGCCTGCTGGGGCCTGGGAGCCCCCCACTGAGCCCACAATGCCACGGAAATCCTTGTTGGCTGCCCCCGAGAGGGGCCTTCCCAGCTGGGAAGAGCTCAGAGCTGACAGCTGCCTCCTGCCATGTCAAGGCCCCCCAAAGAGCCTCAGGGGCTCTGGGGCCCTGGAGGGTGGGGTTGGGGGGTGGGACTCTCCTCCCCCACTCCTGCTCCCTCTCCCTTTTCACTGTTGCTTTCTATGTATAGCTCCCTAGACCTTTCACTTTTTTAAAAACGCGTTTTGTGTAGAGAATAAGGAACGTGGATCTTTTTATTTTGCAATCCTGGGCCAGCTAGAAGCCAGGAGCTGATTGACCTTTTAACTTTTTTCAGTGGCCACATTTTGGTTATCGATGTACCTAGAAGTATGTAAATTAGATTAAATTTCTCTTCTGGAAACACCCTGGGGCAGGCGGCCAGCGTGTGTTTTTCTGTCAAGTGGACAGGCTGGCATTGGCTGGCAGCCGGGGCTGGGATCGGGGCCTCCTCTGTCCAGAGCGCCATGGAGGCCCTGGGTTTTCCAGTTGGCCGCCAAGCCGACCAGACGCAGCTGGGGATGAGCCCAAGTTCCCAGCTGTTGGCTCTTTAGGCCATGGCTGGGAGGGGGTCTCTGGCTGGCTGGCAAAGCGGCTCCAGTGAGCAGATGAACCAGGGTTCTGGGCAGCCTGTCTGGGAAGGGAGCCAGGATCAAGAAGCAGTTGAGGCTAGAGGAGCTTATCAAAGGCAGGAGCTACCAGCGAGGGTGTCAGGGACCCGTTGGGAGCATTTGGGTGGGGGCCAGTGGGGTTGTAGAGAGCTGGAACTCACCTGCTTTTAATACATGTGACTTCTAGTGAGACACATGCACCCCTGACCCAAGGAACATGCGGGGAAAAGAGGAGCCACTGGCTCCTTTGCGATGTTATTTATTTTCTCGCTCTGCAAATGTTTATTGAACATTTCTGAGATTTTAAGAGATTTTGTTGGCTGCTCCTTCTTGTTTATTGCATGTGGTTTTTCAGCTCATCGTTTTTACTAAACGGTCAAGTGCTGGAGAGTGGGAACGACCTCATGGCGTGTGGACAGAAGGGGCCACCTCTACCCCCAGCCCTGCTTTCTGGGCCCTCCCACCATACCCCTTCCTGGGAAGGAGGGATTAACAGGCTGCAATAACGCCCACAAGGGTGGTCTTGGCCCACACGTCTGCTCCTGTGGGGTCAGGACGCACATCTCGCCTGGTGGCAGAAGGCCGCAACCACTTCTCTCCATCCTGTGCTGTGGGTGGGTGGATGTATCCAGGACTTAGGAAGCAGGGAGAGCATCTTGTGAGCTGACTCAAAGGTGTTTCTTCCTCTTTCAACTTTTCATAAGTCAGTTTTTATTTTTTTATTTTATTTTTTGAGACAGGGTCTCATTTTGTTGCCCAAGCTGGAGTGCAGTGTAGGGACCTCGGCTCGCTGCAGTCTCTGCCTCCTGGGTTCAAGTGATTCTCCTGCCTCAGCCATCCAGGTAGCTGGGATCACAGGCATGCACCACCACCCCTGGCTTATATCTGTAATTTTTGTAGAGACGGGGGTTTCACCATGTTGCCCGGGCTGGTCTTGAACTCCTGAGCTCAAGTGATCAGCCTCCCAAAGTGCTGGGATTACAGGCGTGAGCCACTATGCCCGGCCCGTAAGTCAGTTTTTGAAATATAAAAGTGGTATAGGCTAGATGTGACAAAAAACAGTCAAATGATACAAGAGCTTATAAAGTCATATGGCAAGTTCCTCCCCACCAATCATGCAGTGAAGTGAGGGTCATGTGTGTCCTTGGAAGAGTCACCTCCAGTTCTTGCAGGGGGATGTTTTCCTAAAACTTTCTGAGCATTGCTCTTCTCTGCTCAAGCCACTTCAATACACCTCAGGCAGCAAAGTCTCAGCTTTTGAGCCGTGGTCTCTGAGGGTGTTGGATGTGAACGAAATCAAATCGGTACAATGATGACTGTGGCAAGTGCGATGAAGGAACGAACCTGCAGGGCGCAGAAGACGTGTCCTGGGGCCCTGCCTTGGTTTGGAAGACAGGCAGGCATCCCTGAGGCTGATGGGGAGATGAACCCCGAAGCCAGAGTGCTTATCCGTCAGATCTCTGCTTCATGTTTGGAGTTTGCTCACTTAACACATCAGAAGTGGCTTTGTTCCGTATGGCAGCAAGTTCTGCAGAAGCCTCATTTGGGTGGGGGGAGTTTTATTAAAACAGTTTATCATGGAGAATTCCAACTATACAAAAGTAGAGCAAACAGTAAAATGGACTCTCATCTATCCATCACCAACCCATGACCAATGTCTTCAGCTGTCAGAGATTTATCTTATAGCTCCTTGCTTCCTCCTCCTCTCTCTACCTGTCTGAATTGTGTGAAGCACATCCTGGCCATAAGATCAGTTAACTTCTTAGTATTTCAGTATGTTTCTCTCAACGTTGTAAATGCCACTATTACACCTAAAGAAATCAACAATATCAAAAAGAAACAGCATACCTTAAAAAAAGTTTTAAAACACACGAAGCGTAGAAGTCGTAATTGCGCAGCTTAATGAGTTTTCACAAACACACGTGTTAAGTACTCTTCGGTGCAGCTCTGTCATCTCTAGAAATTATGAGTTGTCCCTGGCAGGGTTTCCATATGCCCAGGAAACAGACTGAGGACATGACTGGTGCCCGGCTGCACTATTGCAGGATCTCTCGAGCCCAGAGTGAATCAGGAGGGTTTTAGAAGCAAAGCTCCCATTTTAACACGTAACTGTCAAGGACCTTGAGCAAATCATGAGTTCCAAGCTTCAGTTTTAAGTGAGGATTAAAAGCTTTTTGCAGGTTTGAAGGAGCATTCGAATGACACACAATACAAACGGAATTATTACACATATAAGCATATGCCATATAAATATATTATCGTTTTGTTACGATTAATCACATTTATTCAGTGCACTGGCACCAGAATGATTTCTTTACACACACTTTGTCACGTAATGTTGAAACGTGTGTCCAGCATCTTGTTTGGTGCTGTTTTAATTTTCTCTTCTCAACATGGCTTTGCTATGCTTGTTTTGGAGCCGAAGGCCAGAGAATTTGAGAGACTTAGCTAGGTCCCCTACCCAGCACCTCGGTGGCGGAGTTGGCATCCCAGCCCTGCCCTGAGCCGTAGACCCGACTCCCTCTGGCGGGTCTCCAGGGTACGGGCGCTCCTCCAGCCCGACCATGCTTGGGCCTTGGGCCTTTCCGTAGTGCACAGCTCCGCCCCCTCAAATTCTATAGGACTCCGCCTCTCTGCCGGCTTCTGTAGGCCAATCACTGAGGCCTTAGAATAACAGAAGGCGGGGACAAGGCGGGGCTCTCACGAGATTGCCAGCAGCTTCCAGCCACTGATATGAGGAGGCATAGAGATAGACAGCGGTTCCTTCCAATAGACGTGAAGCCGAGGCCGGTATGAGCCAATGCGGTCGGGAGGCGGGGCTCGGGTGTGTGTGGAGGGGACCCTGTGGTTAGCAGCAGCTATCGCAGCGTCGGATGTTCAGAGCAGCAGAAGCCGGCGTCGTCGGATGTTGTGTTGCCCGCCACCATGAGCTACACAGGTGGGCCTGGCAGGGTGGGGTCGGGCTCTGCGTGGGGGATGGGACAGGGACGTGCGGATGCCGCACCAGGCTTGCCCGCACCTCCCCTGGGGCCCCGTCACTGCCTTCCCTGCGGTCACAAAATGGCGCCGCTGGCCCGTCGCCTCAGGGTCGCTGCCCTCACGCCTCGTTGCCTCAGCTCTCTGTGTCTGCAGCCGGCGTCCCGGCTCCCGGCCGCCTGATGTCTTGGCTTCTGTCGCCTGTGTCCGTGGGTCCGGGCCTCAGCGCACGAGGTCTCCGCCCCCACCACCTCCGTCCCTGGCCTGCGCTCCTGGACCTCGACGCCTTAGGTTTCCCTTTCTCAGGCCTTGGTCCTTGCGAGCAGGCAGCAGGCTCGGCTGCCGTCGCCATTGTCGCGTCCTCCCCCGCGCAGTTTCTCTGCAAAAACGCCGCAGCTCTACACCCCCATCCCGATCCCACCCACCACCCCCTTTTGTCTATTTCAGAACTGGGAAAGGCGCCAGGCCCTAGGGGGATAAGTAAATATTGGAAGGGTTTGGGCTGAGCGGGGAGCCTTGGGCCCCTAGGGGCTGAACTGCAAGGAATGACAAGGTTCCATGTTAATTCCCTCTGCGTCTGTCAAATGAACCGTGTCCGGTACAGACTGGGTATTGGGAATACAGACAAGAATTCCTCAAGCAGCTTAGAGGCGAGGATCTTAATAGGCAAATAAGCGAGTGTAGGATATATTTTAGGGTGGTCAGTACCGTGCGGGGGTCGCTCCACTACGTGGAGTGGTTGGAGCCTTCTGTAAAGAGGTGACATTTGAGCAGAGACCTAAATGGAGGGAGCGAATAAAGATATCTGGCCCAGGGAGCTTTTGCTGTAAAAGGCTTACGGGCAGGAACTGCCTGGCTTGTTAGAAGATCAGCCAGGGAGGCCAGTGGGAGGCCAATGGGATTTGAAAGGGAGAGTGGGTGACAGATCCGAGAGCCCCTCTCCGCCCCCCGCAATATGCTTGGGCGACTGTAAATCATCACTGGGTGAATTGCCAAGGCCTCCTGGGTTTGCCTTGGCAGTGACTGATGAGGCTTCTCGGCCAGGAGACTTACACTAGGCCTCCCTGTTTGGTGAGGGTATTATAGGCTTGAGCGTGTGTGGTTGCCAGGTAACCTGCATTCTACTTGGAATTTTGAGAACTGAGAATGCAACGTGAGTCTGTGGGGCTCCTTTGTAGACCACTTTATGTTGGCATAGGCAAGAAGGTAGTGCCAGTCCCCTCTACCCTGGCTGCCAGGTCAGGAGCTTTCCAAGAACCCCAGTTTTTCTAGCAACCATCCCCCAGCCCAGTGGGTTCTCATCCAGGGGTGATTCTGCCCCAGATGACATCTGGCAATGTCTGGAGACATTTTTGGTTGTCACATATGGGAGTGGGAGTGCTGCTGGTATCTAGTGGATGGAGGTTTGGGATGCTGCCCTGCTACGGTATACACAATGACACCTACCGCAAAGAAGTATCTGGCGTCAAACATCAGTAGTGCCCAAGTTGGGCAGCTCTGCCAGAGCCTTTCTGTAGCTTTCCTAGTTCAGGAGGAAAGACTATGGGGTTGTTACTGACATCCCTGGGATTGGAATATAATTCTCACCAAGTCTTACCAAGAACTGGAAGACAGTTTCATGGTTTTTAAAAACAGGACTCTTGAAGAAACCAGAAGATGAATGGTTGGGTGCTGTGGGGTAGCTGAGTAATGGAGCTCTTTTTTTTAATAGATGAGGAAACTGAGATACAAGGTCACTAATGACCAAACCTGAATTCCAGCTCTAGGTCTTGTAGGCTGTAGTTCTGGGTTTGGGTGGGCACTGAGATAGCCAAGCTAAAAAAGTAATGATTAGTTTTTCCTTTATCTTGATAAACTGAAAACCACAGTAATTTACAATGTGAGTCTTCCCCTTATTTAAGAAGTAGGGCACTAAAGTCAAAGGCATTTTAATTCACATTTCAGACAACTAATAGCTTTAAGGGTAAGTCCTAGAGGCCTCGAAGCAAATGTTAGCATTATTAAACATAAAAGGTGACTGATAAATCTTTTTATTAACTCGCCCTGCTTTTGAACCCTGTTACCTTATTTATACGTGGGAAAGGAAGCTGCATCTCTAGCACTGAGAGGGGAAGAGGAGAGCAGTGGTAAACAGCACAGAAATATCCAGAATCAGGCCCTCAAACAAAGGTCTGAAATGCTACTGTACTTGTCATAGAAACATTTATTGTCTCACACAGTTTCTTTATGTTTGGAATGGATAGGTGATTTCACTGGGTGGTTCTAGCTTGGAATATCATGAGGTTACATTTAGGATCTCTATGTGGACTAGAGTCATCTGAAAGCCTGACTGAGGCTGGAGGTCCCACCTCCAAGGTGACTTAAACTCCCATGCCTGGCAGGCTGATGCTGGCCAATAATTCTTGGCCCCATGGATCTCTCCCTAGGGCTGGCTGCTGGAGTATCCTCACAACATGGTGGCTGGTTTTCTCCAGACTGAATGATCCCAGAAAGAGCAAGGCGAAAATCCCAGAAGTCACACTCAGTCATTTTCATAAATCTTATTGGTTGCACTGGCTAGCTCTATTAGTTGGGAGGGATCTACATAACGTTAAGAGGCAGGAATGGAGACCATCTTTGAGGATGGTTGTCACCCTACTCTTGGCTCAGATAATAAAGATTGAAGGCAACCTAACCTAATTCCAGTTATCTTTTAATTTTTGGTACTCTGTGTTACTCCTTCAAATAAGACTCTTTTTTTTTTTTAGATCAGGCACGGTGGCTCACACTTGTAATCACAACACTTTGGGAGGCCGAGGCAGGAAGATTGCTTGAGGCCAGGAGTTTGAGATGAGCCTGGGCAACATAGCAAGACCCTTTCTCTATAAAAATTAAAAATAAAAAAGTTAGCTCTGCGAGGTTGAGGCTGCAGTGAGCCATGATTGTGCCACTGTGCTCCAGCCTGGATGACAGCGAGACTCTGGGATTTTTTTTTTGTTTTTTTTTTTGAGACGGAGTCTTGCTCTGTCACCCAGGCTGGAGTGCAGTGGCGCCATCTCGGCCCACTGCAAGCTCCGCCTCCCAGGTTCATGCCATTCTCCTGCCTCCGCCTCCCAAGTAGCTGGGACTACAGGTGCCCGCCACCACACCCGGCTAATTTTTTGTATTTTTAGTAGAGACGGGGTTTCACCTTGTTAGCCAGGATGGTCTTGATCTCCTGACCTTGTGATCCGCCCTCCCTGGCCTCCCAAGGTGCTGGGATTACGGGCATGAGCCACTGCGCCCGGCTGACTGGGAGGTTTGCTGGAGCCCAGGAGTTCAACATTGCTGAGCTATGATCATGCCATTGCACTCCAGCCTGGGCAACAGAGCAAGATCCTGTCTCAAGAAAATATATACTCTTTTTTAAAAAGGAGAAAGGAAAAGTATAAAACTGAGAAGCATTTGTTTTGTTTTGTTGAGACAGGGTCTCACTATGTTGCCCAGGTTGGAGTGCAGTGGCACAAAATCATAGCTCACTGCAGCCTCGCCCTCCTGTGCTCAAGTAATCCTCCCACCTCACCTCAGCCTCCCAAGTAGCTGTGACTACATGTGCATGCCACCATGCCTGGCTAATTTTTTATTTCTGAGATGAGGTCTCACTATGTTGCCACGCAGGTCTTGAACTCCTGGGCTCAAGTGATCCTCCCAACTCAGCCTCCCAAAGTACTGGTATTACAGACATGAGCCACAGCATTTGGCCTGCTTTTGTATTTTTGAGCAAAAAAAGTTGACGAGAGATTGGTTAAAAGCAAGGAGTGTTGCTGCAGAACTAGAAATCCATGGTCTCAAAGTGAGAGGATTGCTTAAGCCCAGGAATTCAACACCAGCATGGGTAACATAGTGAGACCCTGTCTCTCAAAACAAAAAAAGAAAAAGAAAACAAAAATTAGCTGGGCCTGGTGGTGCGTGGCTATAGTCCCAGCTATACAGGAGACTGAAGTAGGAGGATCACTTGAGCCCCGGAGGCTGAGGCCACAGTGAGCAGTGATTGTGCCACTGCACTCCAGCCTGGATGACAGTGAGACCCCCTGTCTCTAATAAAAATAGAAAGAAAGAAATCCGTGGGCTAGGCGTGGTGGCTCACGCCTGTAATCCCAGCACTTTGGGAGGCCGAGGTGGGCGGATCACGAGGTCAGGAGATCGAGACCATCCTCGCTAACACAGCGAAACCCCATCTCTGTGAAAAATACAAAAAATTAGCCAGGCGTGGTGGCAGGTGCCTGTAGTCCCAGCTACTCAGGAGGCTGAGGCAGGAGAATGGCGTGACCCCAGGAGGCGGAGCTTGCAGTGAGCCAAGATCGTGCCACTGCACTCCAGCCTGGGCGACAGAGCGAGACTCCGTCTCAAAAACAAACAAACAAAAAAAAAAAGAAATCTGTGATCTAACATTTAGCTTTATAGGGCCATATAGGGCATATTTTATTTTTTTCAACCAGCGCTAATCAGGCTGATAAATTGTACCAAGAGAACACTTTACAAACCAGCTAAGAATTTAGGCCGGGCGTGGTGGCTCACGCCTGTAATCCCAGCACTTTGGGAGACCGAGGCGGGCAGATCTTCTGAGGTCGGGAGTTTGATACCAGCCTGACCAACATGGAGAAAACCCGTCTCTACTAAAAATACAAAATGCGTAGTGGCGCATGCCTGTAATCCCAGCTACTCGGGAGGCTGAGGCAGGAGAATCGCTTGAGCCTGGGAAGTGGAGGTTGCGGTGAACCGAGATCGCACCATTGCACTCCAGCCTGGGCAACAAGAGTGAAACTCCGTCTCAAAAAAAAAAAAAAAAAAAAAAGAATTATTCATAATAGGAGCCAAAACTGGCTACAGAAGGGCCTGCTCTGCGATCTTTGCAGATGGTATTGTGGAACAGAATGTTAATGTGGTGCAGGGTATAGAGTTAGAGCAGAGATTGCCATTGATCTTGGAGGGTTTGATGGATCGTCTTTCCTTCCTAGGGAAGCACCAGGGCCCCTCTCGCCTGAACAGACACAGATATTTTGCTCAGCAGCTTGCTGACTGTATCTTGTGAGGGTGTGGTAGGCTGTCATTTGCAGTTGCAGTACTCACAGATCACATTACCTAAAGTCTGAGGCCATTTTACTGGTGGCCCAATTGCTGAAAGAACAAGTTTCCAGAGGCCAGTTGAGCAAACAGTGGAGACCGCAGGGGCTGGGTATTCCTTACATTATAAGGCTTTCCCCTGGGTGAACTCTTCAAAGCTGCTCTCAGTGTTTCTTATGGACAGCTATTAATCAACAATGCCTGGATTTTAGGCATCTCAGGAAGGTCCAGATCCCTGGAAGGAATCCATTTGAATGGATTTCTAGCCTCTTTACTTAGGGAAGGTAGAAGACTGGATCTGTATACCCTCGGTTTTATCCTGCCTCAAGTCCCAGTCCCTACTCTGGAAAGTGAAGATGAAGCTGGGTTCACAGCTCCGTCTTTGGAACCCTTGGAGCTAGATGTATTTTGGAATTCTAGCTTAAGAGAAGTCACGTGGGGTCTGGGGAAGCACCTTGTATTTAAATAGATTAATTCTGCACTAAGTAGGACAAAGAAAGATTATAAATGTCCTTACAGGTGAAAACAGCTCCAGCGTGAGTTTTGGCACCACACTGGTAGAAAACACTTGGTGTTCAGACCCTTTTGGACCTGGGGGAATTGCAGAGTAAGGAATCTTGCCCACCTGCCCTTATTGTCTGTGGTGAGGATGAAATGAGATCATTGCAGATAAATGTTCTTAGCACCCTGCAGGGAAAGCACTTGTTTGCTGTTGGCTGCTGCTGCTGTGGTCTTAAGAGATAAAATAGAGACACTGTCAACAAATAAGAGAACGCTTACCCAGGGGGAAGGCACTTCTGTAGGTTTTTGATGTAAACAAGCTGTTAAAGGCATAGGCTTTAATTTTCAGGTCATGAGTTGGCTCTGATGGGAAAGGCAAATACTGCCTCTTATGGTATCTGTCGTAATTTCAGTGCTGAGAGAAAATTATTCAAAAATATGTATTTCTGGCCGGGCGCAGTGGCTCACGCCTGTAATCCCAGCACTTTGGGAGGCCAAGGCGGGCGGATCACAAGGTTAGGAGATCGAGACCATCCTGGCTAACATGGTGAAACCCCATCTCTACTAAAAATACAAAAAAATCAGCCGGACATGGTGGCACGCGCCTGTAGTCCCAGCTACTCAGAAGGCTGAGGCAGGAGAATCGCTTGAACCCGGGAGGTGGAGGTTGCAGTGAGCCGAGATCGTGCCACTGCACTCCAACCTAGTGCGAGACTCCGTCTCAAAAAAATATATATGTATTTCTAACTGTAGAGTTGTTGTTTTTTCTTTTTTTAATGTAGTTTTAAAGCAAGTGTCAGGATTAGCATCAGTCATAGTCTGTAGGAGCACTGGTTTCTGATAGAGGTAGAAGTTTTCCTTACTTGGCACTAACTCATTTTATTTTATTTCATTTATTTATTTATTTTGAGATGGAGTCTTGCTCTATTACCCAGGCTTGAGTGCAGTGGCACGATCTCCACTCACTGCAATCTCCGCCTCCTGGGTTTAAGCAGTTCTTCTGCCTCACCCTCCCAAGAACCTGGGATTACAGGCAGGTGCCACCACACCCAGCTAATTTTGGGGTTTTGTTTGTTTGTTTTGAGACGGAGTCTTGCTCTGTCGCCTAGGCTGGAATGCAGTGGCATGATTTTGGCTCACTGCAACCTCTGCCTCCTGGGTTCAAGCGATTCTCCTGCCTCAGCCTCCTGCGCAGCTGGGACTACAGGCACACACCACCACGCCCAGCTAATTTTTGTATTTTTAGTAGAGACAGGGTTTCACCATATTGGCCAGGCTGATCTCGAACTCCTAACCTCGTGATCCACCTGCCTCGGCCGCCCAAAGTGCTGGGATTACAGGCGTGAGCCACTGTGCCCTGTAATTTTTGTATTTTTAGTAGCTAATTTTTGTATTTTTAGTAGAGATGGGGTTTCACCATGTTGGCCAGGCTGGTCTTGAACTCCTGGCCTCAACCAGTCCACCCCCCCTTGGCCTCCCAAAGTACTGTGAGTACAGGCATGAGCCACTGCATCCAGCCCTAATTCATTTTATGTTGAGAAATAGTTTGAAAGTTGAGAAGATAGGAAATTTTATGTATATATAATAATACTTATTTCCATATGACCATGCCACCCCAAATAATTACTTTTAAGAAATAATTGTTTTTTGTTTTTGTTTTTGTTTTGAGACAGGGTCTTGCTCTGTCACCCAGGCTGGAATGCAGTGGCGCAATC
This sequence comes from Homo sapiens, assembly GCF_000001405.40. NCBI lineage: Eukaryota > Metazoa > Chordata > Mammalia > Primates > Hominidae > Homo > Homo sapiens. The sequence continues at coordinate 15,411,574 of NC_000019.10, read as the reverse complement.
ATAGCTCACTGCAGCCTTGACCTTCTGGGCTCAAGTGACACTCCCACCTCAGCCTCCCAAGTAGCTAGGACTACAGGCACATGCTGCCACAGCTGGCTTTTTTTTTTTTTTGTAGAGACAGGGTTTCACCCTGTTGCCCAGGCTGGTCATCTTGGCCTCCCAAAGTGTTGGGATTACAGGCATGAGCCACTGCCCGGCCCAGAAATAATTGTTATAATTGTTATACACACTTTTTAATGGGAAAACCAAAATAAAAAGCAGTTTCTGTTTCAGATTTAGAACAGGGAGGGGGGTATTATTTGCTTTAACATGGTTTTGAAGCTAACCTCCATCCTTGTTTGAATTCCAAGTGGCTCACCCTTCAGGGATTTGAATAGTTTCCTCATTTAACAGAATGATAACTTGGGTGTTCATTTCTCAAAATAGGCTACTGGCTTAAATGTTTAAAAATTTTTATTTGGGGCCAGGCTCTGTGGCTCACACCTGTAATCCCAGCACTTTGGGAGGTTCAGGAGGGTGGATTGCTTAAGCCTAGGAATTAAAGACCAGCCAGGGCAACATGATGAAACCCCATCTCTACAAAAAAGTATAAAAATTAGCTGCGAATGATGGCACGAACGTATAGTCTCAGCTACTTGGGAGGCTGAGGCAGGAGGATTGTTTGAGCCTGGAAGGTCGAGGTTGCAGTGAGCCGTGATCATGCCACTGCGTTGCAGCCCGGACAGAGTGAGACCTTGTTTTTAAAAAGTAAATAAATAATTTTTTAATCTAGTCCTCCTGGTATAGCAAGTTAAACATAGCCTGCCTTTCCATTGGGTAATATTTTCTGACGGTCTAATTAAACTGTGGAATCTAGAGGTTTTGGTGGCTTTTCGTTGAGAGAAGGGCCTGCTGGCAATCCTATACCAAAGGTTAGGTAGTCTCAGGTCATTTCCCTGTGACTTGCTTGTGGAAATTAACCCCACTGTCTTTATGTTTAGGCTTTGTCCAGGGATCTGAAACCACTTTGCAGTCGACATACTCGGATACCAGCGCTCAGCCCACCTGTGATTATGGTAAGTGTGGACTTCTGGTGGGAACCAAAGTGTTCTGCAGAGCAGTTCCTTGTCTTCTTAGTTGCCTTTGGCTTTGCTGTCACCCTGTCATGCTTTTTTAAACCTAAACTTGTGTGAAATGGTGTGGCCATTTGAATAGCTAGTGCTTCCCTTTCAGGCAATTATGGGAAAAGTAGCTGTGTTCCTGAGCAAGTTAGGCTCTTTGATAAAAGGCCTGGCTTCAAATCCCCATGGGGGAGGGACTGGGAGTCACAGTGGCCAATTAAAGTCCAAAGGAGGCCAGGCGCGGTGGCTCCTGCCTGTAATCCCAGCACTTTGGGAGGCCGAGGCGGGTGGATCACTTGAGGTCAGGAGATCGAGACCATCCTGGCCAACATGGTGAAATGCCATCTATACTAAAATACAAAAAATTAGCCGGGCATGGTGGTGTGTGCCTGTGGTCGCAGCTACTCAGGAGGCTGAGGCAGGGGAATCACTTGAACCCGGGAGGCAGAGGTTACAGTGAGCCGATATCATGCCACTGCACTCCAGCCTGGCAACAGAGCAAGACTCTGTCTCAAAAAAAAAAAAGTCCAAAGGATTGGTCCAGGAGAAAGCAAGCTATTAACTTAGTCCCAGCATAGTGCATGTCCTTGCTGTGGGAGAGAGGCTGAGTGTGTGAATCTGGCAGCTTTTGGAGACTCAGCCAGGCCACCTCAAGCCAGCAGGCTCCACACACACAGAGTTGAGTGAAGATCTCTGATTGAGTTTTCCAGCGTGGACAGAAACACCTAATTAGCTAATTCAGAAGTAGCCACCAGTAGGATTCACAGATGCTGTTTTGTTTGTGTGCTGTGGCAGCCCGGACTGCTGTTAAAGCTGGTTTTTGGTTGTCTGTGACTCTAGGGGTATCTGTTGAGAAGGAGCCCTCTTTGGAATTAACAGGGATAATGTCTTAGTTACTGAGATGGGTAATTTCTTTTACTACCAAGATCTGGGGAAAGACTGATCCTACACAGCTAACATGCCTTCAGGGGTCACTGCATAAAGAGACTTAAGTAAGCTCCCCAAGTAACAGCAGCTAGTCCCAGGAAAAGGGAAGACTTAAAATATTTTGAAATTGAGTGAGAAGGTATCAGGTGTCTCATAAATGAGGAGAAACTTGGTTTGCTTGACTTCCCTGTGCTGCCCTCCCTGCCTCTCCCTTTTCATCAAATGTAGTCCCTAATTGCACATCCTTTTGAATTATTTTCCCTCTGGATTGCATATTCTGAGTACAAGCCATTTCTCGGATATGCCATTTACAAATATTTTCTCCCAGACTGTGGCTTGTCTATTCTCTTGTCAGTGTGTCTTGTCTTGTGTCAGAAAGAACACAAGTTGTTAATTTTGAAGCCCAATTCAATCTTTTCTTTAATAGATGATGGTTTTGCTTTTATATCTAAGAAATCTGTAATATTTTCTTTAGAATTTTCTTTTAGGTGTTTTAGTTGTGGGTTTTACATTTAGTCTGTGATCCATATTGAGTTAATTTTTCTACAAGGTGTGCAGTATAGGTTAAGGTTTCTTATTCTTCTATGGCATATAAATATATAATTGTTCCAGCACCATTTGTTTAAAAAACAAAAACAAAAACAAAACCATTTTTTCTTTCTTTTTTTTTTTTTTTGAGACAGAGTCTCACTCTGTCCCCCAGGCTGGAGTGCAGTGGCGCGATCTCAGCTCACTGCAAGCTCCGCCTCCTGGGTTCATGCCATTCTCCCGCTTCAGCCTCCCGAGCAGTTGCCCGCCACCACGCCTGGCTAATCTTTTTGTATTTTCAGTAGAGACGGGGTTTCACCGTATTTGCCAGGATGTTCTCGAGCTCCTGACCTCGTGATCCTCCCGCCTCGGCCTCCCAAAGTGTTGGGATTACAGGCGTGAGCCACCGCGCCCGGCCTCTTTCTTTCTTTCTTTCTTTCTTTTTTTTTTTTTTTTGAGATGGAGTTTCGCTCTTGTTGCCCAGGCTGGAGTGCAATGGCGCGATCTCAGCTCACCACAACCTCCACCTCCCAGATTCAAGCTATTCTTGTGCCTTGGCCTCCCAAATAGCTGGTATTACAGGCATGTGCCACCACGCCTGGCTAATTTTTGTATTATTAGTAGAGACGGTTTCACCACATTGGCCAGGCTGGTCTTGAATTCCCCATCTCAGGTGATCCACCCGCCTTGGCCTCCCAAAGTGCTAGGATTACAGGTGTGAGCCACTGTGCCAGGCCTATATTTTCTCTATTGAATTGCCTTCGTACCTTTACTGAAAATCAGTTGACCATATACTGTGGGTCTATTTCTGGACTCTTGGACTCTCATTCTGTTCCATTGGTCTGTACATCTAAATTTCGTTCAGCAGCACGGTCTTTTTGTATTTTTAGTAGAGACTGGTTTCACCATGTTGGCCAGGCTGGTCTCAAACTCCCGACCTCACATGATCCACCTGCCTCGGCCTCCCAAAGTGTTGGAATTACAGGCATTAGCCACTGCGCCTCGCCCAGCAATGCAGTCTTGATTACTGGTTAATAGTAATCTTGAAATATGAGTCCTCCAGGTTTGTTCTTTTTTCCAAAATTGTTAGTTTCTTTGCTTTTGCATATAAATTTTAGAATCAGTTTATGAAGTTTTTTAAAAAATTCATGCTGAGATTTTGAGTGAGAGAGCCTTGGATCTATAGATCTATCAAATCTGTAGAATCTATAGATTAGTTTGAGAAAATTGACATCTTAACAATATCAAGTCTTCTGATTCATGAGTGCAGTATGTCACTTCACTGATGTAGTGTTTTGTAGTTTTCAACACAGATCCTACACATACTTTGTTAGATTTACGCCAAGTTTTTCATGCTTTTAGTGCTATAGGAAATGGTACTTTTAAAAACTTTCCATTCATTGCTGATATATAGAAATTTGATTGCTATTTGATTTGTAGGTTTACCTTGTAATATTTGAAATTTGACTTACAGATTGACCTTGTAATAAACCTTGCTAAGCTCACTTATTCTAGTAGCTCTTTTGTAGATTTGTTTGAGATTTTTTTACATACACAATTGTGAAAGAATAGAGATGGATTTATTTTTCCTTCTGGCTTGAATTGCAAGAACAATATAACATTTAAATAACATTTTGAAAAACAGTCAACCAAGATCCTACCATATTAATGTTTAATTTTTATCAGCTTACTGATTTTGTGTAGTTTAATAATTTATAGGTGGATAGAATTGTGGGTACTGCTCTTATTTTATTTTATTTTTTTAAGATATGATCTCACTCTGTCCCCCAGGCTGGAGCACAGTGGCACAATTTCAGCTCACTGCAACCTCCACCTCCTGGGCACAGATAGCCCTCCCACCTCAGCCTCCTGCATAATTGGGACTACAGGCATGCCCTACCATGCCCAGCTATTTTTTGTATTTTTTCTAGAGATGGGGTTTTGCTATGTTGCCCAGGCTGGTCTCAAACTCCTGGGCTCAAGCGATCTGCCTGCCCCACTTCCCAAAAGGATTACAGGTGTGAGCCACTGCGCCTGGCTGGTCCTGCTTTATTTTATGTTAGAAGCATTTCCTTGTGCCACATAAGGCATAGTAAATTCTTTTTATATGCTTACATGATATGTCACCGAGTAGGTAGGTGTAATCTGATTAACTATTACGTTAAAGTTGAGTGTTAAATTGTTTTCTATTTTTGGTCCATAAATATCACATACTGTGACCATGTCCTTTTTTCTTTTAAAAATTATGTCCTTGGGGCCAGGTGCAGTGGCTCATGCCTATAATCTCAGCACTCTGAGAGGCTGAGATGGGAGGCTTGAGCCCCCAGGAGTTTGAGACCAGCCTGGGCAACATAGTAAAACCCTATCTCTACAAAAATAGAAAAAATTAGCTGGGCATGGTGGCACATGCCTGTTGTCCCAGCCACTCCGGAGGCTGAGGCAGAAGAGTCACTTGAACCCAAGAAGTCGAGGATGCAGTGAGCTGTGATCACACCATTACACTCCAGCCTGGAGGACAGAGCAAGACTCTATCTCAAAAATATATATGTACATATATCTTATTTTTACATATATATGTATATATTTAATAATAATAAATATATAAATTTTAAGGATCTCTCTCTCTCTCTCTCTCTCTCTCTCTCTCTCTCTCTCTCCTTAAAATTTCTTTTGTCAACCATGATCTCATCCCTTCTGGGGATGGAAATGAGTTGGGGTGTTCTTTCAGAAAGGGCAGGTCTTGGGGAGTCCCTAAACGCCAGTCTAGATGAAGGCTTCCTCCTGAAGGGACCCAGCTGGGATGTCCATCAAGGAGTCTGGGTTGCTCCAGGCATAGCAAGTGGCATGTAGTGAGTGTTTGCCTGGAGGGACTCCTGAGAGTTGCCCATCGTGGGAGGCCCTGCTTGTCCTTAAAACGTAAAGTGGTGTTCACGGAGTTGATGCTGCTTCCTTTCGTTGTGCCTCCTCACTCTGTTGTGGCAGATCCTCAGCAGGTGAAGCTTGCAGTGACCACATTGTAGCCTCCCAAGCAGAGCCCTGATGGATCTGCTTTTGCCTCCATATCCTATTTTCTTTTTCTTTTCTTTCTTTTTTTTTTTGAGACAGAGTCTCGCTCGGTCGCCTAGCCTGTAGTGCAGTGGTGCAATCTTGGCTCGCTGCAACCTCCACCTCCCAGGTTCAAGTGATTCTCCTGCCTCAGCCTCCCAAGCATCTGAGACCATAGACGCGCACCACCACACCTGGCTAATTTTTGTATTTTTAGTAGAGATGAGGTTTCACCATATTGGCCAGGCTGGTCTCGAACTCCTGACCTCGTAATCCACCCACCTTGGCCTCCCAAAGTTCTGGGATTACAGGCATGAGCCACCACGCCCAACTCCTATTTTCTTTAGAATAGCTAGTGCCCACTGTCCCTGGTACAAACAGTCACTTGGCCAGGTGTACAGTAGCTGCCTGGGCTACCTGTGTGTTGTTCTATTTTTTTTTTTTTGAAATGGAGTTTCACCGTGTCGCCCAGGCTGGAGTGCAGTGGCGCGATCTCACCTCACTGCAAACTCTGCCGCCTGGGTTCAAGCAACTGTGCCTCAGCCTCCTGAGTAGCTGGGACTACAGGTGTGCACCACCACGCCTGGCTAATTTTGTATTTTTGGTAGAGAAGGGGTTTCACCATGTTGGCCAGGCTGGTTTCAAACTCCTGACCTCAGGTGATCCGCCCGCCTCGACCTCCCGAAGTGCTGGGATTACAGGCGTGAGCCACTGCACCCAGCCTTGTGTGTTTTTCTTTATGTGGCTCTGCCAGCCTCTCTTGCCTCTTAGAATGGCTCCATTCTTTCCTCAGCTACCACTCCTGACTTACCCATGCTGCTCTCTGGCTGTTAGCATCTCTCTTACCAACAGGCAGATCTCCATGCCTGAGCAGTGCCTGGGACTGCAAGCCTCTGTTCCCTGTGCTCAGGGGATACATAAACAAATGGATGAGAAGCCTGTTTTGGTTTCTCCAGCCCAAGAGTTTTTGTTTTGTGAGCTCTCTTGTTAAACATAGTGGTCATCAGCAGTTCCTCAGCTTCTCTCTGATTTCTTCCCATTCTTTTTGTGCACTGGGTCGTGGAGGAACCCAAGTGCAGGACGACAGCCTGCCTGTTCTCTCTGGCTCATCTTTTCAGTTGACTTACACTCTTCCTGCTGTGGTCTGGCTTCTGCCACTTATTGCCCTGCTGTCTGTCTCACTGAGCTTCGGTCCCCTGCCCTGGGATGAGCATGTCCTCTGCGGGGCAGAGATGACATGGAATGGGAAACAACTGTTGGGTCTCACCAGAGACCCAGGGAAAGGGGTCACCTGCTCTGTGCCCTCCTTTGGGGAGGAACTGTGTGTTTGACTCAGAGTTCCCAGGGGACTTTACACTTTGTCACTTCTCAGTGGCTTTATGTTACTGAAGGAATGAGGTTTTATCATGTGTTGTGATTGAATCCAGAGCATATTAAGTTGATAATCCAGATTGTTCTCTCCACAGCTTTTCTCAAGCGAGGGGTTGCTTCTTGGGCTTCTCTCACTGATGTGTTCCAGCACAGCACAGTCAACAATTCAAGGGCTTGTTGGCCCTCCCTTTTAAGGCAGACTCTTGGGAGACTGGGGTTGGGTTTTCTGCTATAAACTGATTAGCACTTAGCTTGGGGTGTGGAGGTCACCTTCTAATTCTGGCTCTTAAAGGGAGGAGTATAGGAGCCAAGTTCCTTAGTTGAGAGTGTTGGGAACAGAAGGATCCTTAAATAACAGATGCTCAGAGCCACAGGCAGCCAGGCACCAGGGCAGCAAGTGGCCTGGGTCATTTGCGCAGTGCTCGCGAGCTCAAGGCTTCTCGGTTAGGGGAGGTGCAGCCTGCTCTGACCAGTCAGGTCCTGGGAATAATTGTCTGCGCCTGAATTATGGCCTTGTATTGTAAGCAAGTATAGATGTAACTGCCCTTTTACTTTTTGTAGGATATGGAACTTGGAACTCTGGGACAAATAGAGGCAAGTGTCATTCCTGTGATTGCTGTCCTGTCCCTTGGGGTTGTCCTGGCTGTGTTTCTCTGCCACTGCCCTGCTTGGCCAAGGTTGGGAGTGGGGAGGGGGCATGTTTCTGGGGTTACCTACTCCTTAACAGGAGGCCCTCATCAGAATGACCAGGGCCCATCTAGCTTCAGTGGCTAGGGTCTTCTCTCTCTGTGACAGAAGATACCCTTGTATCTGTGTTTGTCTCTGTCTCTGTCTGCCTCCCCTCTGCCTGCCCCCACCATCTGTCTGTCTCTGTCTCCCTCACTGCAGGCTACGAGGGCTATGGCTATGGCTATGGCTATGGCCAGGATAACACCACCAACTATGGGTATGGTATGGCCACTTCACACTCTTGGGAAATGCCTAGCTCTGACACAAATGCAAACACTAGTGCCTCGGGTAGCGCCAGTGCCGATTCCGTTTTATCCAGAATTAACCAGCGCTTAGATATGGTGCCGCATTTGGAGACAGACATGATGCAAGGAGGCGTGTACGGCTCAGGTGGAGAAAGGTGAGTGGACACCTGCCTAGGGGTTGAGACTCTGCAGGGGCGGCTCCTGCCTGCTGCCCACTGCGTTTTCCTCTCTGAGTGCCCCTCTGTGTCTGCTTCCTCCCCGCTGCTTGGTGCTGCTGTGGCTCCCAGCAGGGTCCGTTGCACTTCCCGTCTCTGACTTGTGTCTCCTCTCACCCACCCTCAACCCCTGCCGCACTGCCTGGTGGTCAGCCTTTCCCAGCTTGCGGTGAGAGGAACAAGCCCAGACTGGGCAGACTTCACTGTGCCCTCAAAAACAGAGTGTTCAGCCACCCCTCCCTCCAAGGACAGCCATTTGGAATTCTCTCGAGACTTTGCCTCCTGCGTGGTGTCAGGGCAGGACAGATGGAGTTTGGTGTGAAGGGTGGGACGAGCGTTTGGGGCTGATCACTGCGAGCTGGGCCACCCCCACGTAAGGGTCGGGGCAGGTGTGGGCATTTCCTGGTTACTCTCCTGTGCCTTACAAACATGTACCTGATGGAAGCACTCCTGTGAGGAACTGCTGCTGTCCTCATTTTGCAGGTGGGGATACAGAAGTGCAGGCAGGTCATACCCTGAAGGCACGCAGCAAGTACTTGGTGGGGCTGGGCCTCGCCTACCAGATCTGCCCTACTCCAAAGCATCATGCTGTGGGCATTTGTTATTAACTGAACTGGACTTGGCCCAGGAGTGCTTATGCCCAGTGCGAGGCTTTGGTGAGGAGCGTGGGTGTATCTCTAACATGGGATAGAGTGGAGCACCAGCTAACAGATGAGTGAGAGCCAAGAGTAAGGAGTTGCCTGGCTGAGCACTGATAGGGCCAAGGGAGGCCCCAGGGCTGTGGTGGCAGGGTGTGGAACAGGCACAAGGGGATTTGATGCCATGGGCTCTGTAACTCCTGGCCCAACAGCTGCAGCACTCAGAGCTGAGGGCTTGGCATGTGAGGCTTGGCCTTGCGTTGCTGCTATGCACCTTCTTACCACAGCCTGGAGCCTGGGATCGGGGTAAGCAGAGCAGCGGCAGCACCAACTGCTGCTCTTAGAGCTGCCGGTGCCTCTTGGTGGCCCAGGTTTAGGGAAGAGTGTGCAAGGGGAGCCCCTGTGCCTGTGAGGTGTGTGGGGTCCAGGCCTGTAGGGGTGTGGGCTGCGGGCTGCAGTCACGGTTAAAAGAGCTCTCTGCGGTGCCCTCTGTGTCCTGGGAGGAGGTCTGGCCTGCCTTCCCAGTTGCAATACAGGGTATATAGAGTTTGGTGTCTGGCTCTGGGCTCCAGGGTTGATGTAATACAGCTCTTTTTCTTGTCCCTGGGCAAGCTCTCAGTGTCTTCCCTGGGAAATACTCCCCCTTTTGTCTCAGTTGTTTTGGTAATGAGGGACTTTGCAGAGTTTGAAGGTTCCCCAGCCATGAGGGACAAGAACAGTGTTTCCCATGGGTATCATCAGCCTCACTGGCTGCGCATTCATTGTGCTGGACCTGCCTGCATCCTGCAGGGTGCTGGGGTGCTCAGCCTTGCCCTGTGAGGAGCAGCCTTGGGCGTTGCAGCTCCCACAGATGGTGTACATGTTCCCAAAGGGCTGTGGAGCAGCTCTGCCCCTTGTTGAGACTCACTGGACTAGAGCCTCCACCCCAGTTATCAGTCCTTCAGTCCTTCTTAGGGTCCCCAAGCCAGTGTGTGGCTACATTCAAGTTTGGGGCAGTGGTGCCCCTATATCAGCTGAGAGGCTGGAACTCTTTAATCGGCATTTCTGAACATTGAGCCTCCCAACCAGGGCAGGGTGGGTGCTGGACTGGGAGATTGGGGAGGGCAGGAGCAGTTGCCTGGAGGTGAGGGATCCTGAGGGGCTCCACCTGATGCTCACCCCATGCCTCTGCAGGTATGACTCTTATGAGTCCTGCGACTCGAGGGCCGTCCTGAGTGAGCGCGACCTGTACCGGTCAGGCTATGACTACAGCGAGCTTGACCCTGAGATGGAAATGGCCTATGAGGGCCAATACGATGCCTACCGCGACCAGTTCCGCATGCGTGGCAACGACACCTTCGGTCCCAGGGCACAGGGCTGGGCCCGGGATGCCCGGAGCGGCCGGCCAATGGCCTCAGGCTATGGGCGCATGTGGGAAGACCCCATGGGGGCCCGGGGCCAGTGCATGTCTGGTGCCTCTCGGCTGCCCTCCCTCTTCTCCCAGAACATCATCCCCGAGTACGGCATGTTCCAGGGCATGCGAGGTGGGGGCGCCTTCCCGGGCGGCTCCCGCTTTGGTTTCGGGTTTGGCAATGGCATGAAGCAGATGAGGCGGACCTGGAAGACCTGGACCACAGCCGACTTCCGAGTGAGTGGAGGCAGCCTTCCCCTCTGGGAAGCTTAGTTCCCACTGGGGCGGAGCTAAGGGCCGGGTGCCATGCACCCTGACACGGCTTCCCCCCCTTATGACCCAGACCAAGAAGAAGAAGAGAAAGCAGGGCGGCAGTCCTGATGAGCCAGATAGCAAAGCCACCCGCACGGACTGCTCGGACAACAGCGACTCAGACAATGGTGAGCCCACTAGGTGGTACTGGGCGGCTGCCCCCTGCCTCTGGGAACTCCTGGGTTGAGCTTACCTCCTTTTCCCTTTCAGATGAGGGCACCGAGGGGGAAGCCACAGAGGGCCTTGAAGGCACCGAGGCTGTGGAGAAGGGCTCCAGAGTGGTAAGTGGCTCTGGCTGGGCATTTTCTGTCTGCAGGCAGGGCGAGCTGGCCTAAAGAGTGGTGCTCTCCCTGGGGGCCAGAGGCAATGCTGTGTCAGCTCTGCGTGCATGGTGACCAGCATGGGGAGGCAGTGTGGTCTGGCAGAAAGCACAGGCTGCCTAGCTGGAGGCACAGTTTCCTTGTTGGAAAATGGGATGAGCCCCTGTGCACCAGGTAGTGGGAGGATGTGAGGTTTCTGGCACATAGCCGGGCCTTGTCATTTAAAGCCATTGTAAATAACTGGGCTACTCTGGGCCACCCTGCCTATAGGATAGCCCTGCTCTGTCTATGGAGCAAGCAGCTGTTTTACTATATACCGTTGCTCTAATAAACTTGGTTTCTTTTAAAAAAAAAAAAAAAGGCACCTGTTTTAAAGTTGGAATTTGAAATTGTTAGGACGGAGAGGATGAGGAGGGAAAAGAGGATGGGAGAGAAGAAGGCAAAGAGGATCCAGAGAAGGGTGAGTTTTCCTGGGGTGCCTGGTGCTAGGGCGGCTCTTCCAGGGGCTCACAGTGGGAGGGACCCAGCTGAGGGCAGGGTTGCGGCAGACATGCGGCCAGTTGGGGACCTCCCTTGTGGGCCCGAGTGTGTGCTGGCAGGGGGCTTTCTTTTCGCCGCCTCCACCCCCTTCCCACTCTTCCTCCTCCTTCCCAGGCGGAGGCTGTGGATGGTGGTGACCCCTGCCTAGCACACTGGTTTTGCCTTCAGATGGGGGCAGCTAGTAAAAGTGTGGGGAACCCCAGGCACGCCCCCTGCCCTCGGTCCCTCAGTAACGCGCAGTTCCAAGTCCTCAGTGGCTGGTGTCCGATCTGGGACCCTCGGTGCAGTTTTTACGGCTCTGGTGTGCGTATCCTCTCCCTTAGCACCTCTCCAGCCCCTGTTGGGATTCCGTGTCCCCCCACCTGAGTGATGAGCGCCAGCAGGTACCTAACAGCAAATCCAGCGTCAGCCCACTGTTGCCGCGGTGCCCGGTTGGGGGTGGGCAGGGCCATGTGAGCAGCCTCCCTGCATCCCACCACCTGGCCCCTCTGAACATGTGCCAGTGTCCCCACAAAGATACCCCCTCTTTGCTTTCCAGCCTCCTCCTGGCCCACTGCACAGAGAGCATGGGTGTCCTGGAGAGTGGAGGGGTCATCGCCTGGCCCCCACTCCTTGGGGCCTAGGCCAAACCCACTCCCTGCACAGCCCAGGATACCCAGCCCTGCTCATGGCCAGAGGCCTTGCTTGGACAGCTATTCTCGATGGACCCTCTGGAGTGGACAGTGGGTGATTCAGCCAGAGGCCGCAGGGCCTGCCCTGTCCTGGCAGAGCCAAATTGGTGACAGTGCCCATCTGCTCCCACAGGGGCCCTAACCACCCAGGATGAAAATGGCCAGACCAAGCGCAAGTTGCAGGCAGGCAAGAAGAGTCAGGACAAGCAGAAAAAGCGGCAGCGAGACCGCATGGTGGAAAGGTAACCAGCTTCCCTCCACCCCTCTGCCTCTGCCTCGCTGTGGGGCTGCCGCCAGGAGAGCAGGGCCATAGCTCTGCCAGCTCGCCGCCCTCTGGCCTCCCTTGGGAGCCGCCACCTGCTCGGCCGTGCATGGACCCTGCTTCCCGCCAGGCCCAGCTCCCAAGGCCTGACTCATCCCCTGCCCCTCTGCGGCCGCCTGGCGACCGCTGGCGTCTGTGGGCCGAGACCTGACACCGCTCGGCACCGTTGCTCAGAAGCTCTGGCGCTAGGTCACTCGGCGCACGAACCCCAAGGTGCACTGGGGGCCTGATGCCCCTGAGGGAGGGGGCCAGCTCATCAGAGACTCAAGGTCCAAGGCGCCTGTGCCGCCCCAGCTAGCTGCCAAGAGGCCACCGCCGTGCCCAGGAGAGATGGCAGCACCTGTGGGCTGTGGCAGCCTCGGGCCTGCCTTCTGCCCTGCCCGCCGGCCCTGTCAGGCCGGGCCTGTCTGCGGCTGAGCCCTTCACGCCCCTTGGTCGGGTCTGTCTGCCCTCAGGGCTCCCGCACTGGCGCTTGCCTCCTCCGCCTCAGACTCTTGCTCTTGCTGGACCTTCCTCAGCCTCGCCGGCGCCCGGCCCCTGGGCTCTCCAGACAAAGCTGACCCCGTGGCCCAGATAAGGACGTCCGGCAGAGGTAGGGACCCGCCCCGAGGTCTCGGTGGCGGCTGGCCTCCTCCGCCCCTTGCCACGGCGGCCTGCTCCGGCCCAGGCCCCAGACCCCGGGCTTCTACTGTGGACACCAGGCCCAGACAGAGCACCTCGCCCAGGTGACTCCAGGCTGCCCTCTGGCAGGCCGAGCGGGCGCCCTCCTTCCAGCTCAGACTGGTCTCTTCTTGGAAGAGGAAGATGAGGCAGCAGGTGCCCAGGCCTGCTGCCTCCCATCCCTCCCGACACCACCCCCAAGCATTCTGAGCAGAGGATGGGCTGGGCCTTTGAGTCCCCCAGATCCCAGAAGGAAGATGCAGCACCTTTTCGGGCCCTGCCTCGGGACTGCGTACTCCACTCTGCACCTCAGGGCCACCTGGCTCACGCCAGGGCATCCTTCCTTCCGGTCCCCACCTGGGCCAAGTGCACACGCTCCTGCCCAGCCTTGGTAGCGAGGCCCTCCAGCAACTTTCCAGCGACTCGTTGCCTGTTGCAGCAGCTGCTGTCTCAGGCTTCAGCCTCCTGCCTGTGGGAAGGAAGAGCTCCTCCCCTGTCCCCTACGTTGCAGTAACTGCAGCCTGCAGACTTTCTGGCCCTTTCTACTCCCGACCCCACTGGTCCCAGCCTGTCCCTCTGCTGGGACCGTACTTCAGAGGCCCGTGAGCAAGGCCTGTTTCAGGGCTTGTGTCTGGGTTGGGTGAGGCGGCAGCACTATCCCCTGGGACACTTGCAGCCTCAGCCCCTCGTTTCCTTCCTGTGGCAGGATCCAGTTTGTGTGTTCTCTGTGCAAATACCGGACCTTCTATGAGGACGAGATGGCCAGCCATCTTGACAGCAAGTTCCACAAGGAACACTTTAAGTACGTAGGCACCAAGCTCCCTAAGCAGACGGCTGACTTTCTGCAGGTGAGCCTTGGAGTAACACAGCCGCTCTTAGTTTCTTGGACCCCTGAGAACATAAGGCGGCCCACATGAACCTTTATATTCCTTGCAGGAGTACGTCACTAACAAGACCAAGAAGACAGAGGAGCTCCGAAAAACCGTGGAGGACCTTGATGGCCTCATCCAGCAAATCTACAGAGACCAGGATCTGACCCAGGGTGAGGAGATTTTCAGCCCACTCCCACCAGGCAAGGCCTCAGCCTGCACTCCTGATTTTCGGTGCAGGGTCAGGACACCCTTCTGTTCCCCCAGGGAAGGTCAGGAGACCAGCCTTGGCTCAGGCCCAGGTGGAAGTGGCAGGGCGAGTTGAGGAGGAGCTGGTGTGGTTTTTTTCTCGAACACCTGGGTCTATCTTAGGCACCTGGGCCCAGTGGTGACTCCCTCCTCCCCACTACAGAAATTGCCATGGAGCATTTTGTGAAGAAGGTGGAGGCAGCCCATTGTGCAGCCTGCGACCTCTTCATTCCCATGCAGTTTGGGATCATCCAGAAGCATCTGAAGACCATGGATCACAACCGGAACCGCAGGGTGAGTGGCCACAGTGCTCTCCCTCTGTCCTGTGGGTAGATTGAGTGAGGCCTCTGGGGAGGTTGTGCAGTTGGAACCTCTGCCAGCCCGTGAGGGACTGCAGTGGAGGCAGGAGGAGGTGGATATGGACATTTCCAGCTCAGTGCAGGCAGCACAGCTACAGAGAGAGGGGTGAGAGATGGGGACTCTGCCTGGGAGAAGGTGATATATTCTGTGGGATATGGGGACCTCCATGTTCATAGGGGCCAGCGCCAGATTAGGTTCAGAAACCAAATGGAGATGATACAGTGCAAGTGTTGCTGGAGGAGGGGGTTGGGCTTGAGGCTCAGGAGAGCTGCACTGAGAGGCCTGGGCTTGTTCCTGTAGGCAGTTAAGTTTCAAGTGTGGGATTAACAGGTTAGAGTTGGTGTTGAACTAGAGACTTCAGGCCTGCACCTGGGTGGGGTGGTGGGGGCCAAGGAGGAGCTCCTGCAGTCTCCAGACAAGAGGAGACCCCACCTTGGGAGTGAAGGGGAGAAGAGCAGTTGAAGGAAGGGAGCCGGGGGCTGGCATGTGGGAGTGATCAGAAGCCTGGGGTGACTCTGGTTTCTGACTTGGGGAACTGGGAGGACAGCGGTGCTGCCAAGATTGTCAGGGAGCAGGGAGCAGTAGGGAAGTGTGTTGTGCGGCATGGAGAACATAAGGCAAGAGAATGAGCAAATTCTGTCTCATTTTCCAGTGTTGCTCCAGTGCCTAGCATGGAAGCCAGAGTAGGTGTTTTTTTGATTGAATGGATGACATGCTGTGTTGCAGGTGGGGGTGAAGGGGCTGTGTATGGGCAGAGAGCAAAGAGGCCCAGGACCAGGTCTGGGCCAAAGAGGGGCTTGGCTGTCTTCACCCTGGAGGAGGGTGGTGGGGTTTATGAACAGATGTTCGCATCCAAGGTGAGCATGGGAAGCAGCATTTCTCCATCTTCTTCCATGCTCATCACAATTCCTCTCTGGTCTTTTTCGGTGTGATGATTCTGAACGGTGGACAGGGTCAGGGGTCTCTCTGGTTGCAGAGACTCAGGATTGGGAAATGCCACCAAGAGTTCTGGGAAGAAAAGGAAAATGTCAGTTGGCTTTGGCAACAGAGAAGCTTTAGGGAACTTGCCAAAAACAGATTCTTTTTTTTTTTTTTTTTTTGAGACGGAGTCTCGCTCTGTCGCCCAGGCTGGAGTGCAGTGGCGCGATCTCGGCTCACTGCAAGCTCCGCCTCCCGGGTTCACGCCATTCTCCTGCCTCAGCCTCCCGAGTAGCTGGGACTACAGGCGCCCGCTACCACGCCCGGCTAATTTTTTGTATTTTTAGTAGAGACGGGGTTTCACCGTGTTAGCCAGGATGGTCTCGATCTCCTGACCTCGTGATCCGCCCGCCTCGGCCTCCCAAAGTGCTGGGATTACAGGCGTGAGCCACCGCGCCCGGCCTAAAAACAGATTCTTATGCTAGGAACTAGTAGGGGTTAGAAGACTGCAGAGGGTGGAAACTATATGTCATTAATGAAAGTTGGAAAATCTGGCTGGGCGTGGTGGCTCACGCGTGTAATCCCAGCACTTTGGGAGGCTAAGGTGGGCAGATGACGAGGTCAAGAGATGGAGACCTTCCTGGCCAACGTGGTGAAACGCTGTCTGTACTAAAAATACAAAAATTAGCTGGGCGTGATGGCGGGCACTGTAATCCCAGCTACTCGGGAGGCCAAGGCAGAAGAATCGCTTGAACCCAGGAGGCAGAGGTGGCAGTGAGCCGAGATTGCGCCACTCGCAGAGCAATCTGCGAGACTCATCTCAAAAACAAAACAAAACAAAACAAAAAAACCAAAACAATGGGCACGGCACTTTGGGAGGACAAGGTGGGCGGATCACGAGGTCAGGAGATTGAGACCATCCTGGCTAACATGGTGAAACCCGTCTCTACTAAAAATACAAAAACAAAATTAGCCAGGCGTGGTGGCAGGTGCATGTAGTCCCAGCTACTCAGGAGGCTGAGGTGGGAGAATGGCGTGAACCCAGGAGGCAGAGCTTGCAGTAAGCCAAGATCGTGCCACTGCACTTCAGCCTGGGCGACAGAGCGAGACTCTGTCTCAAAAAAAAAAAAGTTGGAAAATACGGGAGAGGTGATAGCAAAATATAAACTCAAACTTGATCCTAAAAGAAGTTAAAAAAAAAAAAAAGAACAAGCCATAGCAGCTGGTAACCGTAGAGAGGTTTGGAAGGATGATGAAAGATATTTAGAAGGCACCAGAAGTCATTGGTTTACAGAGATAATTTGAATACAGTCTAAATACTGTATTTTTTAGAATTCTAGACTGTAGAGATTAATGGAAAGCTTCTAATTATTGTTATCTTTGGTAACAGCTTTACTGAGATAGAATCACATACTGTACAATTCACGCATTTAAAGTATACAATTCAGTAGTCTTTGGGCTGGGCGTGGTGGCTCATGCCTGCAATCCCAGCACTTTGGGAAGCCAAGGTGGGAGGATCGCTTGAGGCTAGGAGTTCAAGGTTACAGTAAGTTATGATTGCACCACCACAGTCCAGACTGGGCAACAGAGCAAGACCCTGTCTCTAAAAAAACCAAACAAATGAAAAAAAAAACCAATTCATTGGTTTTTCACGTATTCACAGAATTCTGCAGTCATCAACCAGTCGATTACAGAATATTTTCATCACCTTAAAAAGAAACCCTTTAGCTATCAGCCCCCCCAACCTCTTGTCCTCCTCCAGCCTTAGGCAGCTACTAATCTATCTCTCTCTATTTGCTTATTCTAGACACTTCATATAAACAGAATCACATAATATGTGGTCTTCTGTGATTGGCTTCTTTCACTAAGCATGATGTTTTTGGGGTCCAGCCACATTGTAGCATGTATCAGAACTTCATTCCTTCATATGGCTTCATATTATTCCATTGTGTAGATAGATGTGGCACATTTTGTTTATTTATCTTTTTGGGTGTTTGGGTTGTTTTCACCTTTTGGCTATTATGAATAATGCTCTTAGAAACATTATTGTGCAAGTTTTTATGTGGACATATGTTTTCATTTTTCTTGAGTATATGACTAGGACTGGAATGTCTTGATCAAATAATAACACTTTAACTTGTGAGACTATTTTCCAAAGTGACTGTGCACCATTTTACATTTCCACCAGCAACATATAAGGGTCCTGATTTCTTCACATACTCACCAACACTTAGTTTCTGACTTTTTTTTTTTTTTTTTTTTGAGACAGAGATTCGCTCTTCTTGCCCAGGCTGGAGTGCAATGGCGCGATCTCGGCTCACCACAACCTCTGCCTCCCGGGTCCAAGCAATTCTCCTAGCTGGGATTACAGGCATGTGCCACCACGCCTGGCTAATTTTGTATTTTTAGTAGAGACGGGGTTTCTCCATGTTGGTCAGTCTGATCGCGAACTCCCGACCTCAGGTGATCCCCCTGTCTTGGCCTCCTAAAGTGGTGGGATTACAGGCATGAGCCACCGCGCCCGGCATTTTCTGACTTTTTGATCTAGTCATCCTAGTGGGTGGGAAGTAGTATCTCATTGTGGTTTTGATTTGCGTAGCCCTGATAACTGACTAATGGCATCTTTTCATGGGCTGGTTGGCCATTTTTGTATCTTTGGAGAAATGTCTATTCAAGTTCTTTGTGCATTTTTTAATTGTGTTGTCTTTTGTAGAGTTCTTTTTGTAAAGTCCCATATTTGATATGAGTTACAAATATTTTCACCCATTCTGTGGGTTTTTTCACCTTCTTGATGTGTCCTTTGTAGCACAATAGTTTTAATTTTTATAAAGTCCAATTTTCTTTTATTGCTTATGCTTTGGGTGTCATAACTAAGAATCTATTGATAAATCCAAGGTCACGAAGATTTACCCCTGTGTTTTCTTCTAAGAATTTTATGGTTTTAGCTTTTGCAGTTAGGTCTTTGTTCCATTTGAGTTAATTTATTTATATCGTATGAGGTAAGGTTCTAACTTTATTTTTTGCATCTAGATATTAAGTTGTTCCGGCACCATTTGAAAAAGAAATGAAAGAGACTGTTTTCCCCCCATTGAATGATCTTGGCATCTTTGTTGAAAGTCAGTTGACCATAGCTATTAAGTCTTCTAATCCATGAATATGGGATGTCTTTTCATTTACTGAGATCTAGTAAATGAATTAATTTCTTTCAAAGGTTTTGTAGTTTTCAGGGTGTAAGCTTTGTTCTTTATTGTTAAGATTTTTTTTTTTTTGAGACAGAGTTTTGCTCTTGTTGCCCAGGCTGGAATGCAGTGGTGCCATCTTGGCTCACTGCAACCTCCGCCTCCTGGGTTCAGGCAATTCTCCTGTCTCAGCCTCCTGAGTAGCTGGGATTACAGGCACGCACCACCACGCCCAGCTAATTTTTTGTATTTTTGGTAGACAGGGTTTCACCATGTTGGCGAGGCTGGTCTTGAACTCCTGACCTTGGGGGATCCACCCACCTCAGCCTCCCAAAGTGCTGGGATTACAGGCATGAGCCACCAGGCCCGGCCTGTTAAGATTATTTATAAGTATTTTATTCTTTCTGTTACTATTATGAATGGAATTGTTTTCTTGATATTTTTGGATTTTTTTTGCATGTGTATAAAAATACTTTTTTTTTTTATTCTTGAAATAGGGTCTCACTCTGTTGCCTAGGCTGGAGTGCAGTGGCACCATCATGACTCACTACAGCCTCCAACCTCCTGGGCTCAGGTAATCCTCCCACCTCAGCCTCCCAAGTAGCTGGGACTACAGGCATGTGCCACTATGCCCAGCTAATTTTTGTATTTTTTGTAGAGACAGGGTTTCACCATGTTGCCCAGGCTGGTCTCAAACTCCTGGGCTCAAGCAGTCCTCCTGCCTCAGCTTCCCAAAGTGCTGGGATTATAGGCATGAGCCACTGTGCTCAGCCAATATATTGATATTATACCCTACAACCTCACTGAACTATTTGTTTTTAATATTTCATAATTTTAATAATATTTCAGCTATGGCTAGGCATTATAGCTCATACCTGTAATCCAAACACTTTAGGAGGTGAAGGTGGGAGGATTGCTTCAGTCCAAGAGTTTGAGACCAGCATGGGCAACATAGTGAGACCCTGTCTGTATAAAAGAAACAAGTTAGCCAGGTGTGGCGGCAAGTGCCTGTAGTCCCCGCTACGCAGGAGGCTGAGGTAAGAGGATGGCTTGAGCCTATGAGGTTGAGGTTGCAGTGAGCTATGATCCTACCATGCACTCCAGCATGAGTGACAGAGCAAGACCCTGTCTCTAAAAAATAAAAACATAAGGCTGGGCGCAGTGGCTCATGCCTGTAATCCCAACACTTTGGGAGGCTGAGGCGGGAGATCACGAGGTCAGGAGATCCAGACCATCCTGGCTAACATGGTGAAACCCCGTCTCTACTAAAAATACAAAAAATTAGCCAGGTGTGGTGGCGGGCACCTGTAGTCCCAGCTACTTGGGAGGCTGAGGCAGGAGAATGGCGTGAACCCGGGAGGCGGAGGTTGCAGTGAGCTGAGATCGCACCACTGCACTGTGCCTGGGAGACACAGCGAGATTCCATCTCAAAAAATAAATAAATAAAATAAAATAAAAATAAAAACATAAAATAATGTTTATTAGTTCTAATAGTTTTTAGTGGATTTTTTTTTTTTTTTTTTTTTTTTGAGACAGAGTCTCACTCTGTCGCCCTGGCTGGAGTGCAGTGGTGCAATCTCGGCTCACTGCAACCTCCACCTCCCAGGTTCACGCCATTCTCCTGCCTCAGCCTCCCAAGTAGCTGGGACTACAGGTGCCCGCCACCACGCGCAGCTAATTTTTTGTATTTTTAGTAGAGATGGGGTTTCACCATGTTAGCTAGGATGGTCTCAATCTCCTGCTCATGATCCACCCGCCTCGGCCTCCCAAAGTGCTGGGATTACAGGCATGAGCCACCGTGCCCAACCTAGTTTTTAGTGGATTTCTTAGGGGTTTCTTTGTACAACATCAGTCATCTGCAAATAGAGTTAGTTTTACTTCTCCTTTCCAATCTAGATGCACTTTATTTCTTTTTCTTACCTAATTGCCCTGGTTAGAACCTCCAATACAGTATTGAATAGAAGTGGTGAGAATGGATGTCCTCATCTTTCTGATCTTACAGGGAAAGCACCAGTCTTTACCATTAAGTGTGATGTCAGCTGTGGGTTTTTCATAGGTGCCCTTGATTGAGTTGAAGACGTTCCCTTCTAGTCCTGTTAAGTGTTTTATCTTAAAATGGTGTTGGACTTTGTCAAATGCTTTTTCTGCCTCTGTTGAGGTGATCATGTGGCTTTTGTCTTTAATTGTGTTGTTACAGTATGTTAGATTATTTTATTTGGATATAAAACACCCTTGTGTCCCTGGGATATATCCTGCTTGGTCATAGTGTGTAATTATGTTTATATATTAGATTGGTTTTGCTGCTATTTTGTTGAGAATTTTTGCATCTATATTCATAAAAGATAATAGTCTGTAGTGTTTTGGTGATATATTTGTCTGGTTTGGGTATCAGGTTAATTAATACTGGCCTCATACAGTTGTCATTTTTCTTCCTTTTCTGGTTTCTTGGAAGAGTTTGTGAAGAACTAGTATATACTAGTATTAATTCTTCAAGTGCTTCGTAGAATTTGCTTATGAAGCCATCTAGGCCTGGCTTTTGTTAACTAGATTTTTTTTTTTTTTTTTTTTGAGACAGGGTCTCACTCTGTCGCCTAGGCTGGAGTGCAACGGTGTGATCTCGGCTCACTGCAACCTCCACCTCTCAGGCTCAGGCGATCCTCACACCTCAGCCTCCCAAATAGCAGGGACTAAAGGCATGTGTGACATCATGCCCGGCTAGTTTTGGTAGTTTTTTGTAGAGACGGGGTTTTGTCATGTTACCCAGGCTGGTATCAAATTTCTGGACTCAAGCGATCTGCCTGCCTTGGCCTCCCAAAGTGCTGGGATTATAGGCATGAGCCACTGTGCCCAGCCTGTTAACTAGTTTTTTTTTATTATTATTAATAATTCAGTCTCCACTTGTTATAGGGTATATTCAGATAGTCTGGGGTTTTTTTTTAAGTCATTTTTAGTAATTTGTGTCTGTCTACAGAGTTCCCTTTTTTGATTAAAAAAAAATAAATAGAGACAGGGTCTTGCCACTACAGGCATGAGCCACCGTGCCCCGCTGAGAAGTCGGCTTTAACCTAATATTGGGGTTTCCTTGTGATGATTTGTTTTGTCTTGCTGCTTTCAAGATTTTTCCCCTGTCTTTGACTCTTGGCACCTTCATTATGTCTTTGTGCATCTCTCTGTGTTTATTCTACGTGGAGTTTGTTGGGCTGGTTTTTTGTTTCTTGAGACGGAGTCTTGGTCTGTGGCCAGGCTGGAGTGCAATGGCACAATCTCAGCTCACTGCAACCTCCGCCTCCCAGGTTCAAGTGATTCCCCTGCCTCTACCTTCTGAGTAGCTGGGATTACAGGTGCACACCACCATGCCCGGCTAATTTTTTGTATTTTAGTAGAGATGGGGTTTCACCATCTTGGCCAGGATGGTCTCGATCTCCTGACCTCGTGATCTGCCCGCCTCGGCCTCCCAAAGTGCTGGGATTACAGGCGTGAGCCACCACGCCCGGCCTGAGCTGCTTTGATGTATAGATTACAGGTTTCATCAACCTTCCAAAGCTTTCAGCCATTGTTTCTTCAAGTATTTTGTTTTCCTACTCCTTTCTCTCTTTCCTCTTCTAATGCTCATTACCCGTATGTTGGATCACTTAATAGTGTGCCATGGTTGTCTGAGACTGTTCATTTTACCTCATTTTTTTCCCTCTGTTCTGCAGATTGTATAATCTCTTTTGATACACAAGTTCACTAATTCTTTTTTTTTTTTTTTCTTTTTTTTTTGTGATGGAGTCTCGCTCTGTTGCCTAGGCTGGAGTGCAGTGGCGCCATCTCTGCACACTGCAAGCTCCGCCTCCTGGGTTCATGCCATTCTCCTGCCTCAGCCTCCCAAGTAGCTGGGGACTATAGGCGCCCACCACCACGCCCGGCTAATTTTTTGTATTTTTTTTTTTTTTTAGTAGAGATGGGGTTTCACCGTGTTAGCCAAGATGGTCTCCATCTCTTGACCTTGTGATCCGCCTGCCTCGGCCTCCCTAAGTGCTGGGATTATAGGCGTGAGCCACCGAGCTCGGCCAAGTTCACTCTTTTTTAGAGATGGAGTCTAGCTCTGTCGCCCAGGCTGGAGTGCAGTGGCGCGATCTCGGCTCACTGCAAGCTCCGCCTCCCAGGTTCATGCCATTCTCCTGCCTCAGCCTCCGGAGTAGCTGGGACTACAGGCGCCCGCCACCACGCCCGGCTAATTTTTTTGTATTTTTAGTAGAGACGGGGTTTCACCATGTTAGCCAGGATGGTCTCGATCTCCTGACCTCATGATCTGCCCGCCTCGGCCTCCCAAAGTGCTGGGATTACAGGCGTGAGCCACCGCACCCGGCCCAAGTTCACTAATTCTTAAGTTCAAATCTGTTGAGTCCTTCAAATGGATTTTTGGTGTCCGTTATTGTACTTTTCAGCTCTAAGATTTACCATTTTATTATTATCATTTCTATCTCTGTGTTTAAATTGTTTCATGAGACAGTGTCATTATACCTTCTTCTACTTGAGTTTTCTTTAAACCTATTTACAATTGCTACTTTAAAATGTTTGTTGAATTTGACATCTGTTCACTGTCACAGGAAGTTTCTATTGTCTGCTTTTTCATCTGTGCCTGGGTCAGAGTTTCCTTTGGATGTCTCATAATTTTTCACTGTTAACTAGACATCTTAGATAATTTGTTGTGGCAACTCTGGGCACTGATCCCCCACCCACCCTCCCAGGGTCTTGTTACTGTATTTGCTTGTCTATTTGTTTAGTGACTTGCTAGATTTTTTTAGTTAGGTCTCTTTCATTCTCACACAGTATGAAACTGGTGGTGTGTCTTGGAGGGAGGAAGCCATGGGCTCGCTCTTTTTCCCAGACCATACTCAGCTGTTAAACTCTACCAATTGCTGGCTGATTGCTTTATTGTTTTCAACAATGTTTTGGGGCATAGATTGCTGCCCAATCTGATCCAATTAAATTTGGGCTCCTTTATAGGGATTTTTTTCCCCTCCCCTCCCCGCCCCCTCTCCCAGACAAGAGTCTTGCTCTGTTGCCCAGGCTGGAATGCAGTGGCGCGATCTTGGCTTGCTGCAACCTCCACCTCTCAGGTTCAAGCAATTCTCCTGCCTCAGCCTCCCGAGTAGCTGGGATTACAGGCATGTGCTACCACGCCCGGCTAATTTTTGTATTGTTAGTAGAGACGGGGTTTCACCATGTTGGCCAGGCTGGTCTCGAACTCTTGATCTTATGAGCCACCCACCTCAGCCTCACAAGGTGCTGGGATTACAGGCGTCAGCCACTATGCCAGGCCCAAGAGGGATGGTTTTTGAGGTGGTTGTTTGAGATTTATTCTGAACCCAGGGAGTCTGTTCTTAGCTATTTCACTGGTCCTTGTCCTCTTTGGTAACCTAGTTAGCCTATGGGTTAGCTAATATCACTGTCAAATCTACCGGTCCTTCTTTTTTATGGCTGTGTGGTGGGGGAAAAAAAAAAGGACAAAGCTATCAGTGTTTAACTCCAATAAATATTCAGAAAGAAAAAAAAAAGCTATCAATGTCCTTTTAATTTTTTTCCTCCCTAGTCTCCATTGTTTTTGAGAGAGGCCCTAGTCTTGCACTTCCCAACACTCTTGCCAGTGAAGTCAGTCAGTTCCTTTGAGATTGGGAGTTTACTGATTTAAGGCCGTGCTCTCACTGTGGGCAGAATCTCTGAGCCAAGGCTCTGGGGATGGAGACAATGGAGTACCTCTCTCTGAGTGACTCTGCCACTTTAGGAGAGACATGGGAGGAGGTACAGTAGGCTGTAGCCTCCGGTCTTGGTTTGCCTTTCCTGGCATGGGACCTCTGCTTTATGAACAAGCCATGGGTATGTGAGCCCTTATATTCTTAGTGTGCCATGCCCAGGGTCAAGCCTCCATTCCACGTGCGTGTGGCTGGGTAGAAGATAGGAACCGTTCTCTCTCAGCTATGCTTGTCTAGAACTTAGCCTCATCAGCAGGTAGCTGGGGGCGGGATGAGAGATACTGACATCCGGCTGGGTACAGTGGCTCACGCCTGTAATCCCAGCACTTTGGGAGGCCAAGGTGGGCAGATCACCTGAGGTCAGGAGTTCAAGACCAGCCTGGACAACATCGTGAAACCCCATCTTTACTAAAAATACAAAAATTAGCCGGGCTTGGTGGCGGGCACTTGTAATCCCAGCTACTCGGAAGGCTGAGGCAGGAGAATTGTTTGAACCCGGGAAGTAGAGGTTGCAGTGAGCCGATATCACGCCATTGCACTCCAGCCTGGGCAACCAAGAGTGAAACTCCAACTCAGAAAAATAGATGCTGACATTCTGTTCCTCCTGGGAAGATATCATACCCCTTAACTGAGATGATCTGGGTAGATGCGGGCAGACCTGTCTTCTTGGCTGTACTGTCTGGAGTGGAGTTTCCATCACACTAAGCTGGGGGAGGCAGGGATGCAATAGGTTGTGTTTCAGACATCACAACTCTTCATGGAACTGAGTTTTAGTAGCTTTTCCTCATTAAATCTTTCTCATAGGGCTGTATGTCCTTAGGAACATTTTCAGAGACTTTAAATGGTTGTTTTTTAATACTTTTCATCAGTTTCACTAGGGAGTGTTCCAGGGAACGCCTCAGACTGCTATGCTAGAGTCTGTCCTCTCAATATTTAGGAAGCTTCTTAAACCTTAATTCCAAAATTCTGATAAAGATGATACCAAAATGAAACTGTAGATTAGTTTACTATTATTAAAGATATGAAAGTGGGCTGGATTGGCCGGGCGCGGTGGCTCATGCCTGTAATCCCAGCACTTTGGGA
Source organism: Homo sapiens (assembly GCF_000001405.40). Classification (NCBI taxonomy): domain Eukaryota; kingdom Metazoa; phylum Chordata; class Mammalia; order Primates; family Hominidae; genus Homo; species Homo sapiens. The sequence goes on along the minus strand of NC_000019.10, from coordinate 15,386,165 downwards.
GGCCGAGGCAGGCGGATCACGAGGTCAGGAGATCAAGACCATCCTGGCTAACACGGTGAAACCCCATCTCTACTAAAAATACAAAAAATTAGCCGGGCGTAGTGACGGGCGCCTGTAGTCCCAGCTACTCGAGAGGCTGAGGCAGGAGAATGGTGTGAACCCAGGAGGCGGAGGTTGCAGTGAGCCGAGATCGCGCCACTGCACTCCAGCCTGGGCAACAGAGTGAGACTCCTCAAAAAAAAAAAAAGAAAAAAAAGAAAGAAAGTTGGCTGGATATAGTGGCTTATACCTGTAATCCCAGCACTTGGGGAGACTGAGGTGGGAGGATCATTTGAGCCCAGGAGTTCAAGACCAGCCTGGGCAATATAGTGAGACACTGTGTCTATAAAATTAAAAATAAAAAAATTAGCCAGGTACTGGGGCCTGTGGTCCCAGCTACTTGGGAGGCTGAGGTGGGAGGATCACCTGAGCCCAGGAGGTTGAGGCTGCAATGAGCTGTGATCGTGCCACTGCATTCCAGCCGGGGCAACAGAGCAAGACTCTGTCTCAAAAAAATAAATAAAATGAAGTGCTAAATAAAATATTAGTAACTATCAATCTAGTAGTGATCCCTATGTATGATACATTATAAGTAAGGTTTGTTTCTGGAATGGAGGGATGGTTCCCTAAGAAATCTAGCAACAGTTGCCGGGCGCGGTGGCTCATGCCTGTAATCCCAGCACTTTGGGAGGCCGAGGTGGGTGGATCACGAGGTCAGGAGATCGAGACCATCCTGGCTAACACGGTGAAACCCCATCTCTACTAAAAATACAAAAAATTAGCCAGACGTGGTGGCGGGCGCCTGTAGTCCCAGCTACTCGGGAGGCTGAGGCAAGAGAATGGCATGAAAGGCCGGGCGCGGTGGCTCACGCCTGTAGTCCCAGCACTTTGGGAGGCCGAGGCGGGCGGATCACGAGGTCAGGAGATCGAGACCATCCCGGCTAAAACGGTGAAACCCCGTCTCTACTAAAAACACAAAAAATTAGCCGGGCGTGGTGGTGGGCGCCTGTAGTCCCAGCTACTTGGGAGGCTGAGGCAGGAGAATGGCGTGAACTCGGGAGGCGGAGCTTGCAGTGAGCCGAGATCCCGCCACTGCACTCCAGCCTGGGCAACAGAGCGAGACTCCGTCTCAAAAAAAAAAAAAAAGAGAATGGCATGAACCTGGGAGGCGGAGCTCGCAGTGAGCTGATATCGCGCCACTGCACTCCAGCCTGGGCGACAAAGCGAGACTCCGTCTCAAAAACAAAAACAAAAAATCTAGCAATATTATTGGTATAATGCAAACTCTCTTTATGTGCAAATAATGTGATTATGCTCTTAGAAAAGCTGAATGATCCCAGCAAAATGTTCTTAGAATTAATAGAATTTGGTAAGGGGATGGGATTCAAAATAGCGTACAAAAAGTCGTAGTGTTTCTCTATTCTAGTATTAACCAGTTAGAAATTTAAATGGAAAAAAAACTACTTAAAATAACCACACAATGTATGAAATAGCTAAGAATACAGATTTAAGAAGAAAGACTTGAGGGCCAGGCATGGTGGCTCATGCCTGTAATCCCAGCACTTTGGGGAGGCTGAGGCGGGTGGATTGCCTGAGGTCAGGAGTTTGAGACCAGCCTGGCCAACATAATGAAACCCTGTCTCTACTAAAATACAAAAAATTAGCTGGGCGTGGTGGTGGGCGCCTGTAATCTCAGCTACTCAGGGGGCTGAGGCAGGAGAATCGCTTGAACCTGGGAGGCGGAGGTTGCAGTGAGCCAAGATCGCGCCATTGCACTCCAGCCTGGGCAACAAGAGCAAAACTCCGTCTCAAAAAAAAAAAAAACAGGGAGGGAAGAAGAAAGGCTTGAGATCTTTTAAGAACTGCAAATACTCCAAGGATATGAAATAAGACCTTAGCCGGGCACGGTGGCTCACGCCTATAATCCCAGCACTTTGGGAGGCGGAGGCAGGTGAATCACTAGGTCAGGAGTTCAAGACCAGCCTGGCCAAGATGGTGAAACCCTGTCTCTACTAAAAATACAAAAAATTAGCCGGGTGGGGTGGTGGGTGCCTATAATCTCAGCTACTTGGGAGGCTGAAGCAGAGAATTGCTTGAACCTTGGAGGTGGAGGTTGCAGTGAGCTGAGATCATGCCACTGCATTTCAGCCTGAGCAACAGAGCAAGACTCCATCTCAAAAAAAAAAAAAAAAAAAAAAAGAAATAGACCTTAATGAATGGAGGAATGTTCTGTGTTCTTAAATAGGCAATTTAATAGTGAAACAAAACAAAAACCAGTTCTCTCCAAATTAATATAGACAGCACATTTCTAGTCAAAAATATCAGTCGGGGAGTAGGACTGAATGAAATGAAATTATTTTAAAGTTTTACATTGTAAAATTCAGTCTAACAATAGCTGAGAGATTGATTTCAGAAATACTAAAACTTACTACAAAGCTGCTGCAATTAAAAAACAAAAAAAGTGATAATTAGCACAGTAATGAAACAGTGGAACCAGAATAGAGAGTCTAGCAAAAGATCTCAGTATATTTCAGACTTAGTAATTTGTTAAAGTTAGTACAGATATTTTATCTGAAACCTTAGGGCCAGAAGCCTCAGAATTAATTTTTCAGCTTCAGAAAACCAATATGCAAGGCTGGGGGCAGTGGCTCACACCTGCAATCCCAGCACTTTGGGAGGCTTAGGTGGGATTGCTTGAGCCCAGGAGTTCCTGACCATAGTGAGATCTCGTCTCTACAAAAAATAAAAAATTAGCCAAGCATGGTGGTGAGTGCCTATAGTCCCAGCTACTCAAGAGGCTAGCATGGGAAGATCACTTGAGCCCAGGAGTTTGAGGCTGCAGTGAGCCGTGATCACACAATGGCAGTGCAGCCTGGGCAACAGAGTGAGACTCCTATCTCTAAAATAAAATAAAAAGAAAGACAATATGGTATTAGCACTAACCTCTCCAACAGGATCTGGGGAAAGCGCCTTGTAGTTGAGTCACAAATAATTCTTCACATGACTTACATATAAATGAAAAATGTAATGTCAGTTCACATTTAGCCACCAAATGAATTTTGGGGGAAGACTTGTTTTCTAGAGCCTTTTGGATTTCCAGTTTATAGATAAGGGATGGTAGACCTATATGCCAATTTGGTAGGGAAATAAATGGTGTGTTTTGTACATTTCTGGAAAAGAAAATTTTGGACCCTCTACCTCATAACATATACAGATTGAGTTCATCCGTCATCTGAAAATCCGAAATGCTCCGAAATCCAAAACCTTTTTCTTTAAGAAAAAAGAATTGAGTCTTGCCATGTTGTGCAGGATGGAGTGCAGTGGCTGGTCGCAAGTGAAATCATTGCACACTATAGCCTTGAACTCCTGAACTTGAGCAATCCTCCTGCATCAGCCTCATGAGAGTAGCTGAGACTACAGGCACGAGACACTGTGCCCAGTAAAATCTGACTTTTTCAGCACAGACATGACAAAGTAAATGCTCATTGAAGCATTTCAGATTTTGGGTTTTTGGAGTAGGGATGCTCAACTGGTAAGTATAATGCAAATCAAAATCTGAAAGACTTCTGGTCATAAGCACTTTGAATAAGGGATACTCAATCTGTATCAAATTCTAGAAAATTTGGCTGGGCGTGGTGGCTCACGCCTGTAATCACAGCACTTTGGGAAGCCGAGATGGGTGGAGGTCCTGAGCTCAGGAGCTCAAGACCAGTCTGGGCAACATAGGAAAACCCTGTATCTACTAAAAATACAAAAAAGTAGCTGGGTGTGGTGGTGCGTGCCCGTAGTCCTAGCTACTCAGGAGGCTGAGGCATGAGAATTGCCTAAACCTGGGAGGCGGAGGTTGCAGTGAACTGAGAGCCCCTGCACTCCAGCCTGGGCGACAGAGCGAGACTGTCTTAAAAAAAAAAAAAAAAAATTTAAATGTGAAAAATGAAAACCAAGATCAGAAAATAGTTAGAAAATTATAAACTGTGGGCGGGTGTTCCAGTGTGCTTACCAGAGCACTCACTCGCCGGTGGGCAGGGAAATGCCGTGGGAGGCAGCAGCACAGATTCTTCTGTCTTTTATCCACAGCAAAAATACCCAACAGTGACAACATCCAGTGCTGATGGGCAGGCAGGAGGACCAGGTCATTGTTTTAACACAGGTGGAAGAAGCATGACTTGCAAATGTTCTGCAGTTAATTGGGCACTATCACTTTGAAACCAAACCTGGTTAGAATGAAAAGCACCAGCATGGAAGTGTACAAGTTTATTCTAGTGTTGCTGGGTTATTGTGGAGAAGATCTGGAAGCAACATAAATGTGCCTCACTTGGGAGAATTTATGGTGTGGTTATCTGGGCATCTAGAACCAGGAGGATAAACTGTTGGCAAGTGAGAGTCACTGGGGGAACGGTCTATAGTAGTATCCTAATTGTGTATCTTTAGTTTATTGTGAGCATGTATGATGTCTGTTAATATTTTCCTCCAGTAGTAGAGAAAACGTGCTAAGGAAAAAAAAAAATGAAGATGGAGAGAGTAGAAACAGCAAGTGAGAAGGCTTTCTGAAACATGTAAATGGAGTGGGAAGGACTCAATGGGCTCTCCCACCCCACCAAAAATATCCTTCTTTTACCTTATGGTTTTTATAATGATCAAAGTGAGATTTGCCTGTACTCCCACCATGAGATGGCCCAGCATATTGATGGAAATCCTTCCAGACAAAATGGCTCTGGCATGCTCTGCAGACAGTACTATATTATACACCTTTCTTATGCCAGTGCAGAGATGAGCCCGATTTGAAGGGCTGCATGATGTTCTTTTGAATGTACGATTTATTTAACCTCTTCTGCACTGAGGAACGTTTAGGTGTTTTCCCATTTTTCACCACTACAATCAGTGTGCACGCATGTTTCCAGTTCTTAAATTTAGGATACGTTCTGGGAAGGGATTAATGAGACAGATTTTTACTTTTCATACATTGTGTCAAACTGCTTTCCAAAAAATACGGAAACAGTTGATCCTCCCACCAGCAGAGAAGACTCTCTTCACCCTTGCATGACTGGGAATAATTCTTCATTCTTGGAATTCTGTGGGTTAAAAAAGACGTTTCATTAAATATCTGTTCCTGTTTTTATATCTTCCCCGTTGGCCCCAAAGTGCTCCTTGCCTATTAGCCTAGTTGGCACCTTGTTACAGGTTGCACCCACCTTTGGCTCTTAGTTTCTTAATTGTTCACTGCTTATAGCTTTTTTGTAAGCAAATCAGATTTCTGTAATACAGCCGTAAAGTTAGAGATATATAGATCTGTATTTTTATTTACCTACAGTAAGTGTGGTGTGGAAGGAGAGGGAATTTGAACAAAGATCAGATAGGTTGTGGTTCCATGCTTGTGGAGTGGCCCTCCGTTGGTGGGGCTGGAAGTGCGTGGGTGCAGGGGCGGGGTGGGGTCCCTCTAAGCTGGCAGGGTCGGGGCAGCAACTTGTAGGGCACTCAGAGCAGCCTCTCCAGCTCCTTCTGCCCTGCCCGCAGCTCATGATGGAGCAGTCCAAGAAGTCCTCCCTCATGGTGGCCCGCAGTATTCTCAACAACAAGCTCATCAGCAAGAAGCTGGAGCGCTACCTGAAGGTGAGGCACTGGTCCGGGCCTGCCCTGTCCCCAGCTTAGTCCCCGCCTGTGCTCCCTCCCTTCAGTGTCCGCGCCCCTCCCCACAGGGCGAGAACCCTTTCACCGACAGCCCCGAGGAGGAGAAGGAGCAGGAGGAGGCTGAGGGCGGTGCCCTGGACGAGGGGGCGCAGGGCGAAGCGGCAGGGATCTCGGAGGGCGCAGAGGGCGTGCCGGCGCAGCCTCCCGTGCCCCCAGAGCCAGCCCCCGGGGCCGTGTCGCCGCCACCGCCGCCGCCCCCAGAGGAGGAGGAGGAGGGCGCCGTGCCCTTGCTGGGAGGGGCGCTGCAACGCCAGATCCGCGGCATCCCGGGCCTCGACGTGGAGGACGACGAGGAGGGCGGCGGGGGCGCCCCGTGACCCGAGCTCGGGGCGGGCGGAGCCCGCGTGGCCGAAGCTGGAAACCAAACCTAATAAAGTTTTCCCATCCCACCTCCGGGTTTCTCTGTTACTGTGCCGCGCGGGCGGGGCGGGGTGGGCAGAGGGGCGGGGTGCGCATGCGCGCGGGCCGGGCCGTCGGGCACCGCGGTGGGACCACAACTCCCATTAGGCCACGGAGCTGGATCGTAGCAGCCCGAAAGGCCAGCTGGGACGGCGAGGGCGGGCCCTCGTGAAGACCAGCCAATGGGGGCGCGCGGAAGTAGTGACGTGTGCGCCTGGTCTTCCAGTAGTCGATGGCGGAGGTGCGCTGAACGCATGCGTGCTGTGGTCGCCTAGTAAACGGGGCTGCTGGTGGGCCGCGTCGAAGACATGGACCAGGGCTACGGAGGTTTGTGTTGGCTGCTGGGTGCGGAGCGGGGAGGGAAGGCTCTGTGCGGGCGACGCAGCCGCTGCGCAGACTGCCGCCGGCCGGGCCTTCGTCCCGAGCGTGGTTGCCCCAGCTGGGCCCTCCGGAGAGGCGGCCAGGGCGCGCGCGCGCCGCTCATTGGGCTTTGGCGCCGTCGCTCCCGGGGCTCTGCGTGCGGATTGGCCGCCAGGCCCCGAGGAGGCGGGCGGGACTCGGGGTTGGGGCAGACGCCGCGGTGGGCTTCGTGGGGGCGTCTTAGACAGTGTGGGCCGTTTTTGCCCCTCACCTTCGGCGGAGTCCTTCCGGCCCCCAGCGACCCCGGGGTTTGCACTCCCGGCTTCCTCTTCCGAAGACGCCACAAAATGGCGGCGCTAGGGGGGCGGAGCTACAGCGTGGGGTTGTGAGGTCGGACCCGGGGAGCTGGGTCTGGGGCCGCGGGCGGACCGCGGGGGCCGCCTCTCTCCCGACCTGCCCTAGGCCCGCGGGGCCGTGTAGGGTCTCCGCTGGGCTCACGTGGCCCAGGGCGCCTGTCCCGGAAGCCGTCGGGCTGCGCGGGGTCGGGCCTTTAGTCCCCGGTGCAGCGCGGTGGGGCCGAGTGCTGCCGGCGCGAGAGTCAGCCTCGCCGGGCTCCAGCTCTGTACCCGGCGCGTGCTGGCTTGGGACAGGATGGTGAGGGGCAGATGCTGAGTGTTCGTATAAAGCTGGAAACCTGATGTGCCCTGGGGCTGGTGACATTGGCAGTTCTCCTTTAGGCAGTCTGTTGTGGTGGCCTGGAGGGGCCGAGGGGCTGTGCAGGAGGGAACGTGTCCTTTCCCCACTAGGATTTAGCGCTTGGCCTGCAGTAGGGCCGATCTTCTCGAGCTGCCTGCTCCCTGCTTCTGGAATCAGAGCCTTTTGGGAGCAAAGTTTGCCCACAGGGGATAGTTGGGACATGCTGGGTGGAGCTCGACTGGTTGTAGAGAAGCTAGTGGTCTGATCCTGGCTGCAGGAGCTCGAGAAGTTGTCGATCTTGAGAAGTGGCAGGGCAAAAGTATCCCAGCACCAGAAATTGCAGAGAGAGGTTTCGGTCCTGAGGCGGCAGCGTGCGCGGTGTGCTTTGGTGTCTTCCGGGTCCTAGCGAAGGCTCAGCCTGGCTCTCCTGGTCTTCCGCAGCCTGGGTAGATTTCACCATTCTTTCCCTTCTTTCCCATCAGATCTTTTCTGCAGGTATTGTATTCCTTCTTTTCATTCTTAGTTTGGAGAGGTTTTTTTTACCCCCTCTTCCTACCTGCCGAAAACCTTTCAGACACACTGGAGATAGTTAAGCTTCCCTGATTTCTTGTGTTTCCGGGAGCGTTTTAAGGTTAATAGTGCGTGCCACTTACACTAGAGCTTCACAGAGAAGCAGTCTCTCGAGGTTGGTTACTTGCTGTTGGAATCTGCAGTCTGCCTTTCTGCTGCACGGATGCGAATTTAGAAGGTTTTGCGGTATGACGGAGGGGAAGGCGTAGCATAGCAGAGGGCAAAACTCAGCAGTATGACTGGGTCAAGTCTCGTAACCCATGAGCCTAGCTCCCTTGTCTCTGAATGGCATTCCGGACAACAGGGTTTGCTGGGTGCTTGCGGTGTATCGGCACGCACTAGGCACTTAGCCGGGGGCGGGGGAGTTGTTCTGGTGAGGGAGACATGGATATGTTCCTGCCTCATCAAAGTGAAGTCATTTAACAGGCATGGTGGCCACCCGCGCGCAGCTCAGTGCTGGGCCCCAGGGACACAGAAATAAAGAGAACACAGTTCCCATTCTCCTTCCTGGAGGGACCAGACAGATGCCATAGTGGGCGGGGGGTGTGGAGGGGTGAAGAGTGCTGTCTGATGCCTTAGGGCCAGGCGAAGGCTCTGGGACTTAAAGGTCCAGGGGATCCGTGGAGGCCTTAAAAGTGGCAGGAAGGGCCTGGCGCGGTGACTCACGCCTGTAATCCCAGCACTTTGGGAGGCCGAGGCTGGCGGATCACGAGGTCAGGAGATCGAGACCATCCTGGCTAACATGGTGAAACCCCGTCTCTACTAAAAACACAAAAAATTAGGCGGGCGTGGTGGCAGGCGCCTGTAGTCCCAGCTACTCGGGAGGCTGAGGCAGGAGAATGGCGTGAACCCAGGAGGCGGAGCTTGCAGTGAGCCGAGATCGCGGCACTGCGCTCTAACCTGGGCAACAGAGCAAGACCCCGCCTCAAAAAAACAAAAAGTGGCAGGAAGTGCAGCTTAGAAAGATGCAATTTATGTCACTAAATTCCCATGCTTGTTTTCAGTTACGAAGTACTTGTGATGGCACTCTGAACTGGTTTCCTAGCTGTGTGGTGGGTGGGGGAACGTGTCCTCATGCTGAGTGGATTGTCTTGTGTTAGCCTCAGTTGTGGATGAAATCTTGGAGAGGTGAGGTCCTTGGCCAAGGTCCCTCTGCAGGGCGGAGCTGACTTCCAAGCCCACTTCCCACCCTTCTTTTTCTGCTTTGATCTCAGCCAGGTGGAATGCGATGACGCCATTAGCCAGTTGTGTGATGGCTTTTTTTTGGTGGGGTGGGGGGGAGTCTTCCTTCTTCTAAGGCTGGCACTGAACTGTAAGGAGATCCCTTTAGGAGTACCCCCAAAAGGACCCGTTCTCTGGTGTGACAAATAGAATTTTAACTCACGGGGTCTTCTTGCAGGCTACGGGGCGTGGAGTGCTGGACCTGCCAACACCCAGGGTAAGTGGGCTCTGCTTTGCGGGTGAGGCGTGGGCTTCCCCTAACTCAAGGCCCTAGCATGGCAGAGCTGAACTTGGGTCAAGGGAGAGTAGTAGCCCAGGGGTCAGCAAACTTTGTGTAAAAGATCAGATAGTGAATATCTTTGTGGCTTTATGGGCTCCACAGTCTCTGTAGCAGGAAAGCAGTCATAAATGTGTGAAAGAGTGGATGGGACAATGCCAGTAGTTACTTACAGACAATACAATTTGAAGTTCCTAATTTTTGCGTGTTAGTGAATACTCTATTTTGGCAAAATATTTTTGTTATTCTGAGTAAATAGCTGAGGGTATATCCGAGGTGTTTTTTCTCTATAATTACCAGACTTTTTAGTACAGCTTTAGATTGAGTAGTGGAGTTTCATACGCCCACCCACCTCCACTCAGGTGTACTGAGTGTACACTACACCTGTAGTGAGTGTACTAAAAATCTCATTAGTATGATTTTTTTTTCTTTTGATACAGAGTCTTGCTCTGTTGCCCAGGCTGGAGTGCAGTGGTGTGATCTCGGCTTACTGCAGCCGCAGCCTCCCGAGTAGCTGGGATTACAGGCACCCACCACTGCGCCCAGCTAATTTTTGTATTTTTAGTAGAGACAGGGTTTTACCATGTTGGCCAAGCTGGTCTCGAACTCCTGACCTCATAATCAATCCCATAATCAAAGTGCTGGGATTACAGGCGTGAGCCACCACGCCTGGCCTCATTAGTAAGATCTTTCATTAGCTGGGCGAGGCAGCACACGCCTGCAATCCCAGCACTTTGGGAGGCTGAGGCAAGAGGCTCACTTGAGCCTGGGAGTTCGAGACCCGAGCTCAAGTGATCCTTTTATCCAACTAATGAAAAATTAGTGGGGCGTGGCAGTGCGTGCCTGTAGTCCCGGCCACTCAGAAGGCTGAGATAGGAAGATTGCTTGAGCCCAGGAGGTAAGGCTGCAGTGAGCTGTGATTATGCCACTGTACTCCAGCCTGGGTGACAGAGCACGACCCTGTCTCAAAAAAAAAAAGGCCAGGCACGGTGGCTCACGCCTGTAATCCCAGCATTTTGGGAGGCCGAGGCGGGCAGATCACGAGGTCAGGAGATCGAGACCATCCTGGCTAACACAGTGAAACCCCGTCTCTACTAAAAATACAAAAAAAATTAGCCGGGCGCGGTGGCGGGCGCCTGTAGTCCCAGCTACTCCGGAGGCTGAGACAGGAGAATGGCGTGAACCCAGGAGGTGGAGCTTGCAGTGAGCCGAGATCGCGCCACTGCACTTCAGCCCATGCAACAGAGCGAGACTCCATCTCAAAAAAAAAAAACAAAAAAAAAATCTTGCATTGGTGTGATGCATTTGTTACAATTAATCAGGCAATGTTGATGTGATATTATTCACTATAGCTCATAGTTTTTGTTAATTTGTATAGTTCTCTGAGTTTTGATCCAGTGTGTAAGTGATGTATCTCATGTCAAAATTTGTCATTGAATACACTTTAGAAACTTTACCCCAACCATTTAAAAACGTAAAATTCATCCTTAGCTGAGGGCAGAGCCTGAGAGCACAGGGCTACGGGCAGTGTGCTGGTACTTATTTATGGGCACCGAAATTCGAAAATCCTAAGGGCTGTGCCAAGGCGGGAAGTGGGCTGGGTGTGGCTGGACTTTTTGCAGATCCCTGCTTTAGAGTCAGGGCCATGATGCTAGGCTTGTGTGGCGAACCAGTGCATGCTCTCTGCTGGCGAGGCTTTCTCCTTTCTGCCAGCCCGTGTTTTAGGGCACGAGGGCTTCCTTTGTTTTCTGAGCCTGAGATCTGACTCAGGCAACATGGGGAGTGGGGCTGCTTTTGAGCCACCACCCGGTGTTTCAGGAGGAGGCCTTCCAAGTCGCTCGTGGCACATAACGTCCTCTTTTTCGCTTGAGTTGAGGACGTGACTTTGCACCAATGCTTCGCTGTGCAGTTGGCAGCGCCTGCACTCTGGCTTCTGATGGGAACTGACCCTTTACGAGGTCTCTGCCTGGGGCCTGGCCTGGCCAACCTCTTGGCCAGCAGCCCACAGTGGACGAGCTTCCTGGGGAGCGTGCGGCGTCCCTTCCCTTGCCCTGACGGACGGTTGGCCTTGCCCGGGATAGAGGGCTTGCTTGTGCTCAGCCTCTCAGCCTAGTGCTCTGTAGGAGTTGAGTGAGCTAAAAACACCCAAGGGTGTCTCCCTGAGCGCTGCGGAGGGAAGCCCTGGCCCTGGGGCTGTGGAGGGTGGAGCAAGGTGACAGCTGGGGTGTCAGTGCCTTCGTTCTGCAAACAGGGCTCTTGTGTGTTTCTGTTTCCCCTAAGGTGCATATGGAACTGGTGTGGCCAGCTGGCAAGGTAAGCCCTTCTGTGGGGGGGGTCTGTGGGCGGGCAAGTGGGCCTCTGATCTGAAGGCCAGGCGGGTCAGCCCGTCAGGGAGGTCTGGCGTGGACTTTCTGGCTCTGTTCCTGAGGACGCAGTCAGCCACGGCTGCTGTTGTGTATATGGGGGGACTGCAGAGGGCTGTGGTGGGCGGCCTCAGGGGAGCATGATGGGGAGGACTGCGACCGTGCTTTGGGAGCAGCGGTCCTTTGTGGGGCCTGTCAGCAGCCGGAACTGCTGTTCCCAGGCTCTCAGTCACCCGGCTTTGAATGGGGAACAGGTCCTAGCGTCTGGCATGGAAAACCCGCCGCTCGGCACTGAGGCTGCCCCTTTCTCTGGCCACCTCCTGCTGCCTCTTGGCAGGTCACAGTGCAGTGTGAAGTGATGCCAGCAGCACTGGGTCCCACACCCGTTTTCCTTCTCCGTGGCAGCGGGTGCCCCTCCCCGGTTGTGTCCACCATGGACAGGCCTCGTGGCTGCTGAAGTCTGACTTGGCTCCTCCCCCTGTGACAGGTTATGAAAACTACAATTACTATGGCGCCCAGAACACCAGTGTCACCACAGGCGCAACCTACAGCTACGGCCCAGCCTCGTGGGAGGCCGCCAAGGCCAATGATGGCGGCCTGGCGGCCGGGGCCCCTGCCATGCACATGGCCTCTTACGGCCCAGAGCCATGCACCGACAATTCCGACTCCCTCATTGCCAAGATCAACCAGCGTTTGGACATGATGTCCAAGGAAGGAGGCAGGGGCGGGAGCGGCGGCGGTGGGGAGGGCATACAGGACCGGGAGAGGTGATTATGGACCCAAGCCCTCCCCCGGGACCCCACACATCCCCACCTTTGTGCGCATGGGAGTGGGCACCCACTCTTGAGGGAGGGCCTGTCCCCGCCTCCCTCTTGGGTGTGGCATTGACGAGTTGGGCTCGTGGGGGGTCAGTGATGTTACAGTAGGACTTCCTTGCTTTTCTTCATGGCGGGGCTTGGGCGTGGTTGTTGGCTAAGCTCCCCGAGACTCCTTTTTTCTACATCATGCTATTCCTGTGGCCAGGGGCTCTGTCCCCTGCTCAGCAGTGTTCCAGGGAGGGTGTTGGTCAGTTTTGGTCATCCCAGCACTTAGGTGGGATGCAGGGTGGTTTGGTTTGCTGTTTTGAATGTAGGGGCGTCGAGGTTATACTGAGGGAGTGTGGCAGTGGGTGATCGGGGTGACCGCCCCTGATGGGCTGTGCTTCTGTTGCAGCTCCTTCCGCTTCCAGCCGTTCGAGTCCTATGACTCCAGGCCCTGCCTGCCGGAGCACAACCCCTACCGCCCCAGCTACAGCTACGACTATGAGTTCGACCTGGGGTCCGACCGCAATGGCAGCTTTGGGGGGCAGTACAGTGAATGCCGAGACCCAGCCCGGGAGCGGGGCTCCCTTGATGGCTTCATGCGGGGCCGGGGCCAGGGCCGCTTCCAGGACCGGAGCAACCCTGGCACCTTCATGCGCAGCGACCCCTTCGTGCCCCCCGCTGCGTCCTCTGAGCCCCTGTCCACGCCCTGGAACGAGCTGAACTACGTGGGTGGACGGGGCCTGGGAGGGCCCTCCCCCAGCCGGCCACCTCCGTCCCTCTTCTCCCAGTCCATGGCTCCCGACTACGGCGTGATGGGCATGCAGGGGGCGGGCGGCTATGACAGCACCATGCCCTACGGATGTGGCCGCTCGCAGCCTCGGATGCGGGATCGGGATCGGGTAAGCCCTCGCAAGGTTCCTTCCGGCCGCCTTCGCTTCTCTTTTTAGCAGCTTTATTGAGGTAAAATTTCCCCATCTCAACATTCACTTAAATGTTTTTAAGTGCGCAGTTCGACTTTTAGTTAATTTACAGGATTGTGCAACCATCCCCACCATCACAGTCTAATCTTAGCATTTATGTCAACCAGAAGAGAAACTTCTTCTCATTAGTCACCCCTGTCTCTTCCCCGCCCCCACCAGCCCCCGACAACCACCACTGGTCTCTGGATTTGTGTGTTCTAGACATTTTGCACAAATGGAGTCGCGAAACGTGTGGCCTTTTGTTCCTGGCTTCTTTTCACTCAGCATGATTTTCTTTTTAGTTTCAAATTATGTTGTCTCTTTGCTTTTTGAAAAGACCTTTTGTGCCTGTGTTGTCTGATCCTACAACCTCCTTGTTCTTTTCTGTGGGGCATCTTCATGGCCCTCGTAAGTAGCTCATGGGGTGTGCTTGTTGTCTGTAGCCCAAGAGGAGAGGGTTTGACCGCTTCGGACCAGATGGCACGGGCAGGAAACGGAAGCAGTTCCAACTTTACGAGGAGCCAGACACCAAACTGGCCCGGGTTGACAGTGAAGGAGATTTCTCCGAAAATGGTATGTCCTGGGGGCCAGGTGGGCCAGACAGATGTAGGATGGGTCGGCTGCCTGCTGGGGGCTCTGCTTGCCCCATCTGTGTCGTGGACACTCGCAGGTGGCATGTTTCAACCCCACTGTGGTCAGGGCAGACTCACCCTGGATGGCGAGCTTGGGAGGGCGGAAACCGGATGGGACCGTTCTCCGGGGACTGACTTTTCCTTTCTTTGTGTCTGGCAGATGACGCAGCTGGTGACTTCCGCTCAGGAGATGAAGAATTCAAGGGTGTAAGTCCACCAGGCAGCCCTTTTGCCTCTAGTGTGGGATTTCTTCTTTCTTTAATCACCCTTCCTCACAAAGGGGCAGGAGCAGCTGCCATGGTAGATTTGACTACCTCTGAGTGGATTCAGGACCCTGACTTTTAGCTAGATTTCTAAAAGTTTTCCACCTTAGCCGGCACGGTGGCTCACACCTGTAATCCTAGCACTTAGGGAGGCTCAGGTGGGTGGATCACTTGAGGTCGAGAGTTGGAGACCAGCCTGGCCAACATGGTGAAACCCCGTCTCGATTAAAAATACAAAAATTAGCCAGGAGTGGTGGCACTTGCCTGTAGTAGCAGCTACTTGGGAGGCTGAGGGAGGAGGATCACTTGAACCTGGGAGGTGGAGGTTGCAGTGAGCTGACGTTGCATCACTGCACCCCAGCCTGGGCGACAGAGGGAGACTCCGTCTCAAAAAAAAAAAAAAAGTTTTCAACTTACAACAAACATTCCTTTTCTGAAAAAAGCTCCCAGTTCCTCTCCCTGGTCTCTAGGCCAGTAAGTGCAGGGACTGTGGGCTGAAGCCTCCAAGCACAGGCTGGAGGCTCATTTGCCGCCAGCTCCGTGCCGGGTGCCGCTGACTGGTGTCCTCATCCTTCCATCCTCACAACAAGGCACAGGCAGGCAGCACGTGGGGCCAGTTCATAGCCGGGACCACCCCAAGCTCTTGGGGAGGTGCCTCAGCCACCCCAGTGTAGATTCTGATCCAAGTTGGAGGTGTAGGGCCTGGAGGTCCAGAGTGGGAAGGAGGGCCTTCCCCAAGTCCTTAGAGTCACACAGGCAGGGAACAGGCAGGAGATGGTGGCTTTTCAGGTTTTCAGAGTCTCACTTGATCCCTATTTTGCTGGTCTTGAGATTAGGAATCTCTGTAAACCTGCTGATTGTTAATTTAGCCGTATGTTCACTGCCTAAGGAGTCAGCTCTGTTCAGATTCTCAGTTGAATCGTTTTTATCTATACGTGATTGTTATTAAGACATCGGGTAAATATAGGCCTGGCGCGGTGGCTCACACCTGTAATCCCAGCACTTTGGGAGGCCAAGGCGGGTGGATCACGAGGTCACAAGATTGAGACCATCCTGGCCAATATGGTGAAACCCCGTCTCTACTGAAAATACAAAAATTAGCTGGATGTGGCGGCATGCGCCTATAGTCCCAGCTACTCGGGAGGCTGAGGCAGAGGATTTGCTTCAACCCAGGAAGCAGAGGTTGCAGTGAGCTGAGATTGCATCATTGCACTCCAGCCTGGGAGACAGGGCGAGACTCCGTCTCAAAAAAAAAAAAAAAAAAAAAAAAGACATTGGGTAAATATAAACAAAAGCTCGGGAAACGTGGTGGAACCCATTTTCTATGAAGAATGCCAGAACTGGCATCCCCCAAGTGAGACTCTATCTCCCTACGGTTGGTGAACAGGCTCCATTCATAGAATTGTACGGGTGGGTCTTTGTCATGGGGCAGGCAGTTCTGCAGCTTAGGAGGAACCGAGAGAGGGTGGGTGAATGGCTTTTTAGCAAGGTGATTGTCACAGAATCTCTGAAGGCAACTAGGAGTAATAACAGGACACACAGGCCCTGTCCTGAGCCCCGGAGGCTGGTCCTAACACACTGTGGCTCATTCTTGGTGGCATAGCAACCTAGGTCTTGGGTGAGACTGCCCACCAGGCAGTGGCCAGGGACTGGGCTGGTTGTGGAGAGTCTGGACACACCAGCTCACTGCCGGACTTTGTGTATACTCTTTTCCAGGAGGATGAACTCTGCGACTCTGGGAGGCAAAGAGGTAGGCATCACCGTGTCCCTTGCAGCTTTCCTGTGTCTTCCCAGCTGCCCCGCACTTACTGCCCAGCTTCTGAGCAAGCCAGGGGCCTGGATGGAGGGGCCCGTGGCTGTGGGGGAAGAGGGGCTGCAGCCACCAGATGGGCCTTGACCGTGGCGATCAGCCAACACTTTGCTTCAAAGTGTCTGGGGCAGCATTTACTGGAAACGGGTCTGTCTGCCTGACCCGATGTGGGCTGCAGTGGGGATGGGGGGCAGCCTTGGGTGTCCACCACAGTCGAAGTTTGTAGGGAAGGAGAAACATGAGAGAAGAGGCCCCCAGCCCATCTTCTGTGCCCTCCTCGGCCAGTGCATTTCCCTGAAGTGTTTTCTCTGGGGCTTCCTTTTGTCCAGTTCCTTCAGTCGCCTGCCCTGGGCTGTGCTGTGGGCCTCTGTGGTGGGGATACTGGCAGCTGCACTGCACATTGCTTCGTGCCTGCGAGTGTGTGACAGCAGACACCTGCGGGGTCGGGAGCACCCAGGCCCACTGGGTCTTTGAGAGGCGGGCGCCCTTCAGCAGGTCTCTTCATGTCCAATGCAGGAGACCAGAGGGTCTGCAGCAACAGCAGAGCAGGCTTAAATCCCTCATGGCAGAGCGGCCTGAGGTGCCGCGGCCTGGAGCTCACCCTGAAGCCACTCGTTTCTTTACCTGTCCTGTGGGTCTTTCCGTAGCTGGTTACCCCAAGGATCATAGGCTGGCTCCTCAGTGGCCCTGCTCCCATCCATTCTGAAGGCCCTTGGCTTAGATGTTCCTCCTGTTCAGGCTTTGCCAGCCCTCTGCGGTCCTCCCCCCCGCGACCCGCAGCAGTCCTGTCCATAGCACGGGGCGCCCCGAGCGCTTAGCGGCACAATGCTAAAGCAAAGGTGACATGTCTGTTGCGCGCAGGTCCTGCTACCTACCCGGGATGACTTTGCTATTAAACAGCAGTCATAGTTTCAGGCAGTGACCTCTTGCCAAAAATCCCACACGCCCTTTTGAGAGGCTTCTGAGCAGCGCACGCCGGTCGCCATCTTCGTGGGACAGTCTCGGGACTGGCATCAGGGGTAGGGGTTACAGTTCAGATGCTTCTCCAACCTTTTTTCAGCGTCCGTCCCTGGCCTCATGCTGGGATGATGGCCGCGTGGCTCTCCGAGGAGCTCCTCTGCTGGCCCCGGGGGACGGACGGGAGGACCAATTGGTCTCTTCCCAAATTTTTTTCTAGGATTGCTTCCCACGCAGCCCTGGGAAAGCCCTAGATTGACGGTTTTTGTGAGTGGAAGATAGAGGTCGGGCCAGCAAGGACTGTCAGACCTGCTGAGGCCCTAGTTCAGACGGGGCCGCCAGGACGCTCGTCACAGTCCACCTAGAGGTGGGATAGAGGGCGGCGGAGCAGCTGCTTCACTTCCTGAGGCCTTCAGCTGCCGCCTCTTCATCCGGGGAGAATTGGCTTCTCCTGTGATATTGGGAGAAGACCCCATCGCAGGGCATGAGATTGGACAAGCAGAATGGGGAGGACAGAGGGAGCAGGGGGCTGTGGTGCACATGGGGTGGGCAGGCTGTGTCCCTAGCCCATCCTGGCCGCCTCAGGCCATGTGGGGAGTTTGGTGACTACTCCGGGCTCTCACTCCAGGCCCGTGTCCACCAGGAGTCTCTGACAGTGCCTTGGGGCATCCTGGACCCTGCCGCGTGGTGCAGGCAGTGGCAGGGCACAGGGTGCGGTGGCCAAGCTGCAGCCCCCCGACCAGGCCCTGGAGCTCAGCTCCTTTGCAGGCCACTCAGAGCGTCTCGAAGGGACTTGTCTGTTACAGGAGAGAAGGAGGACGAGGACGAGGATGTGAAGAAGAGAAGGGAAAAGCAAAGGAGAAGAGACAGGACGCGGGACCGTGCAGCCGACAGGTGAGGCGCGGGCACACGACCCCACAGGAGGAGGTGGACTCGTGCGGTGGAGGCGCTGCCGAGCTCACCTGTCCTCGCTCCACAATGCTGGGGGCCTGGTGGCCTGACTCCTCTGGCCAAACCAGTGGGAGGCAAAACAGTAAACAATTGGGAGTGCAGAAAAGACCATCACTCGTGCTCCCAGCACACGAGCTACCTGTCTTCTAGGATGGCTGGGACGTTGCTTTGGTGGTTAGGTTTCTGTTCTTGCTTTAGAGGATTGGTGTTTGACTCCTGTGTCTCTATTCCTCTGGAATCCCAGCCTTGCTGGTGGGTCTGTGTGGTCCATAACTGCTCAGCAGCGGGCTCTGTTACTCTCCTGCAGGCCTGAGGGGCATCCCTGCCCCCTAGCCTGGTGTCTGGCATCTCAGACACTGTCCTGTGTTCACCTTATCCAAATCCAGACCACCCCTGGAGTTTGACACAGCTAGGAGACAGGTAGAGAGATGATCCTACCATCAAGATTTTGTCCCACAATAGAAAAGGATTGCAAAAATGTTGAGCCCAAAGGATGTCATTGTGAGCACACCATGTGCCTGCCTCTCCCTGCCAGGAGTTAAGTGGCTTCTGACTAGAAACTGAAATCACCAGTGATCATGTGATGCTGGGGAATCCTTGACCTTAAGGTTCACATGGGACAGTGATTTTCTTTTTGTTTGTTTGTTTCTGAGATGGAGTCTTGCTCTGTCGCCCAGGCTGGAGTGCAATAGCATAATCTCGGCTCACTATAACCTCTGCCTCCTAGGTTCAAGCGGTTCTCCTGCCTCAGCCTCCCGAGTAGCTGGGATTACAGGCGCCTGACACCACGCCTGGCTAATTTTTGTATTTTTAGTAGAGGTCGGGATTCACCGTGTTGGCAAGGCTGGTCTTAAACTCCTGATCTTGTGATCTGCCCGCCTTGGCCTCCCAAAGTGCTGGTATTACAAGCGTGAGCCACTGCGCCCAGTCTGGGCAGTGATTGTCGTGTTCAAAGAAATGCTTAGTAAAAGGGGCCAGATGCCGTGGCTCACACATGTAATTCCAGCACTTTGGAAGGCTGAGCTGGCGGATCGCTTGAGGCCGGGAGTTCAAGACCAGCCTGGTCAATATGGTGAAACCCATCTCTACTAAAATTACAAAAATTAGCCAGGCATGGTGGCAGGTGCCTGTAATCTCAGCTACTCGGGAGGCTGAGGCAGGAGAATCACTTAAACTGGGGAGGTGGACTTTGTAGTGAGCCAAGGTTGCACCACTGCACTCCAGCCTGGGCGACAGAGCAAGACTCTGTCTCAAAAAGAAAAAGAAACGGGCTGGGGGCAGTGGCTCACGCCTGTAATCCCACCACTTTGGGAGGCCAAGGCAGGCGGATCACCTGAGGTTGGGAGTTCGAGACCAGCCTGACCAACATGGAGAAACCCAGTCTCTACTAAAAATACAAAATTCGTCCGGCATGGTGGCGCATGCCTGTATTCCCCGCTGCTCGGGAGGCTGAGGCAGGAGAATTGCTTGAACCCAGGAGGTGGAGGTTGCAGTGAGCCAAGATCACACCACTGCATTCCAGCCTGGGCAACAAGAGCGAAACTCTATCTCAAATAAAAACTCCATCTCAGTGAGCCGAGATTGTGCTACTGCACTCCAGCGTGGGCGACGGAGCAAGACTCCATCTCAGGAACAAAAAAAAAAAAAGAAAATCACTGTTCCATGTGAACCTTAAATCAAGGATTCAAAAAAAAAAGAGAGAAATGCTTAGCAAAACGAAGCCAGGAACCAAACGCAGAACTGTTTCTTCTTAAGTGGTACAGGAACATTGAAACCCTTGTTATTTTAAACAGATAAATGGATAGAGTAGATGACTTTTCATGTCACATGGAAACTGAGATGACATTTTCTTTTTAATTATTTTTAAACTTAAATAATCTAATAAAGAGATAGGGGTCTTTCTCTGTTGCTTGGGCTGTTGAACTAGCCTCAAGAGATCTTCCTGCGTTGGCCTCCCAGAGTACTGGGAGAAGGGTATAGAGATGACATTTTTTTTTTACTACTTTTTGCTTTTTTTTTTTTTCTTTTTGCTTTTTTTTCATCTTGTATGTTCTTCCAATGAACAGGTGACTTTTTTTAAAAAAAAAAAAAGAAACCTTCAGAGTGTGCGCTAGTGACTGAGGATCTTTTTCTTTTTTTTTTTTTTTATCCTTTGAGATGGAGTCTTGCTGTGTCACCCATCCTAGAGTGCAGTGGCACGATCTCAGCTCACTGCAACAGTCCACCTCCTGGGCTCAAGTGATCCTCCTACCTCCGCCTCCCAAGTAGCTGGAATTACAGGCGCCCGCCACCACACCCAGCTAATTTTTGTACTTTTAGTAGTGACGGGGTTTCACCATGTTGGCCAGACTGGTCTCAAACTCCTGACCTCAGGTGATCCACGCACCTTGGTCTCCCAAAGTGCTGGGAGTACAGGCATGAACCACCGCGCCTGGCCATGACTGAGGATCTCGAAGGGACTTGGAGGAATTCTCACGGGGAGGCAGAGGTGTAGCAGGGAAGCACACAGCTCATCAGTAGCTTCCTGACAGTGCTGTGTATGAGCCCCGGGAGATTGTCCCCTCCCCGCCTACGTAGGGGCTGTCTGCAGAAGCGGAGGTGTCTTCATGTTGCTTGTCAGAGGTCAGAAGCCAGGCATGTGGAGTTGGCAGAGGTGAAGTCCTGAGTGCCACAGGGCCTGCACCCCTACACCAGAAGGGGCAGGAGCCTCCAGGAGAGAGCCAGGGAGGGAGCACCCCAGTGTGGTGGCCTGGGGGCCTGCAGGCTGCTCTCCCTTGCCATGCAGCGTGGTTGCATTTGGGGAGACTTTGAAAGCCTGTGACAAAGAAGCCTCACTTTTTATCTGTAGAATTTGATGTGACATGTCTTTACGTGTAGTCTCATGGCAGAACTGATACTGGGTTTTGTGTTTTGAATTGTGCGAGGTGTTTTGTCTGCACGTAAAATGAGGTTGCCTTATGTCATCCCAGTTCCTGCAGAGAGGAACTCATCTGAGAAGCTGTGAAGCTAGATGCTGGGCCCCAAGAGCTGCCAGCCAGAGCCTAGGGCGTCCCCAGTTCCAAGCAGTTGCAGCTTTCTGGTGTTTTCTCAGGGGCTTTGGGGCCAGAGGGGCTGCAGTGCCAGCAGATTACTATGCGAGTCATTTTCCTGAGATACCTGCAAGCCTGTGTTCCCATTCTTCAGCTGGGGAAGTTTGGGTAACTGCCATTCTGTTGCCCTTTGGGAAGTCGGAACTCTTGGTTCAGCAGCCACTTTCCCTGGCTGAGTGCGGTGGCATGCACCTCTAATCCCAGCTACTTGGGAGGCTGAGGTGGGAGGATCGCTTGAGCCCAGGAGTTTGAGAACAGCCTGAGCAATACAGTGAAATCTCATCTCGAGAAAAAGAAAAGTCTGGGTGCGGTGGCTCACGCCTGTAATCCCAGCACTTTGGGGAGGCTAAGGCAGGTGGATCACCTGAGGTCAGGAGTTCGAGACCAGCCTAGCCAACATGGTGAAACCCTGTCTCTACTAAAAATACAAAAAAAAAATAGGCTGGGCGCGGTGGCTCACGCCTTTAATCCCAGCACTTTGGGAGGCTGAGGTGGGTCAATCACGAGGTCAGGAGTTCGAGACCAACCTAGCCACCATGGTGAAACCACGTCTCTACTCACAATACAAAAATTAACTGGGAGTGGTGGTGGGCGCCTGTAATCCCAGCTACTCGGGAGGCTGACGCAGGAGAATCACTTGAACCTGGGAGGCGGAGGTTGCAGTGAGCCAAGATCGCACCACTGCACTCCAGCCTGGGCAACAGAGGGAGACTCCGTCTCAAAAAAATAAATAAATAAAATAAAATAAAAATACAAAAATTTAGCCAGGCTTGGTGGCGGGCCCCTGTAATCCCAGCTACTCGGGAGGCTGAGGCAGGAGAATCGCTTGAACCTGGGTGTTAGAGGTTGCGGTTAGCTGAGATCGCACCATTGCACTCCAGCCTCGGCAACAAGAGCAAAACTCCATCTCCAAAAAAAAAAAAAAAAAAAGGAAAGAAAAAAAATTACTGAAAATCCTGTTTCTTTTTTTTTTTTTTTTTGCCCACTGCCAATTTATTTATTTATTTATTTATTTATTTATTTATTTATTTTTATTGATCATTCTTGGGTGTTTCTCGCAGAGGGAGATTTGGCAGTGTTTGTGTCCCTGGGTACTTGAGATTAGGGAGTGGTGACGACTCTTGGCATGCTGCCTTCAAGCATCTGTTTAACAAAGCACATCTTGCACCGCCCTTAATCCATTTAACCCTGAGTGGACACAGCACATGTTTCAGAGAGCACAGGGTTGGGGGTAAGGTCACAGATCAACAGGATCCCAAGGCAGAAGAATTTTTCTTAGTATAGAACAAAATGAAAAGTCTCCCACGTCTACCTCTTTCTACACAGACACAGCAACCATCCGATTTCTCAATCTTTTCCCCACCTTTCCCGCCTTTCTATTCCACAAAACCGCCATTGTCATCATGGCCCGTTCTCAATGAGCTGTTGGGTACACCTCCCAGACAGGGTGGTGGCTGGGCAGAGGGGCTCCTCACTTCCCAGTAGGGGCGGCCGGGCAGAGGCGCCCCTCACCTCCTGGACGGGGCGGCTGGCTGGGCGAGGGGGCTGACCCCCCCACCTCCCTCCCGGACGGTGCGGCTGGCCGGGCGGGGGGCTGACCCCCCCCACCTCCCTCCCGGACGGGGCGGCTGGCCGGGCAGGGGGGCTCCTCACTTCCCAGTAGGGGCGGCCGGGCAGAGGCGCCCCTCACTTCCCGGACGGGGCGGCTGGCCGGGCGGGGGGCTGACCCCCCCCCACCTCCCTCCCGGACGGAGCGGCTGGCCGGGCAGAGGGTCTCCTCACTTCCCAGTAGGGGCGGCTGGGCAGAGGCGCCCCTCACCTCCCAGACGGGGCGGCTGGCCGGGCGGGGGGCTGATCCCCCCACCTCCCTCCCGGACAAGGTGGCTGCCGGGCGGAGACGCTCCTCACTTCCCAGACGGGGTGGCTGCTGGGCGGAGGGGCTCCTTACTTCTCAGACGGGGCGGCTGCCGGGCGGAGGGGCTCCTCACTTCTCAGACGGGGCGGTTGCCAGGCAGAGGGTCTCCTCACTTCTCAGACAGGGCGGCCAGGCAGAGACGCTCCTCACATCCCGGACGGGGCGGCAGGGCAGAGGTGCTCCCCACATCTCAGACAATGGGCGGCTGGGCAGAGACGCTCCTCACTTCCCAGATGTGATGGCGGCCGGGAAGAGGCGCTCCTCACTTCCTAGATGGGATGGCGGCCGGGCAGAGACGCTCCTCACTTTCCAGACTGGGCAGCCAGGCAGAGGGGCTCCTCACATCCCAGACGATGGGCGGCCAGGCGGAGACGCTCCTCACTTCCCAGACGGGGTGGCGGCCGGGCAGAGGCTGCAATCTCGGCACTTTGGGAGGCCAAGGCAGGCGGCTGGGAGGTGGAGGTTGTAGCGAGCCGAGATCACGCCACTGCACTCCAGCCTGGGCACCATTGAGCACTGAGTGAACGAGACTCCGTCTGCAATCCCGGCACCTCGGGAGGCCGAGGCTGGCGGATCACTCGCGGTTAGGAGCTGGAGACCAGCCCGGCCAACACAGCGAAACCCCGTCTCCACCAAAAAAATACGAAAACCAGTCAGGCGTGGCGGCGCGCGCCTGCAATCGCAGGCAGTAGGCAGGCTGAGGCAGGAGAATCAGGCAGGGAGGTTGCAGTGAGCCGAGATGGCAGCAGTACCGTCCAGCTTCGGCTCGGCATCAGAGGGAGACCGTGGGGAGAGGGAGAGGGGGAGGGGGAGAGCTGAAAATCCTGTTTCTATTTCAGCTCTCCTCAGAGGTGAGCTGATGCCCCCTGCTTCACTCGCTGATGCTCCCTGCTTCACTCCCCTCCTTGTTTTCCTTCTACAGAATTCAGTTTGCCTGTTCTGTATGCAAGTTCCGTAGCTTTGATGACGAAGAGATCCAGAAGCATCTGCAAAGCAAATTTCACAAAGAGACCCTGCGGTTCATAAGCACCAAGCTGCCCGACAAGACCGTGGAGTTCCTCCAGGTAAAGGAAACCTGGGCCCCGTCACCGCGTCTCTTGCCCATCCCGCAGGTGCCGGATCCCTTGAAGGAGGAAGGGAAATCAGAGGCTATACTTGGCCAAGGTTTCCTTTCCCAGATAGAGTAGCTGTGTAAGTCCCTGAGTCACAGGGACAACCGGGAGCTCCAGCCATCGTGCTGTGCTGCCCCACGCAGCTGCTCTGATAGCTGCCTGCCTAGCCCTGGCAGTTGAGAAATGCCCACATGCGCCCACCTCTCATTTTACTTTATGCCCTCTCCAATCCCACCTAGGAATACATTGTAAACAGAAATAAGAAAATTGAGAAGCGGCGTCAGGAATTGATGGAGAAAGAAACCGCAAAACCAAAACCAGATCCTTTCAAAGGTGAGTTGTCATCCCAGGATGAGTGCTTTCCTGGATGGTAGTAAGGCATGTGACAGGACCCGTAAAACGTGGCACGAGGCCGGGCACGGTGGCTCACACCTGTAATCCCAGCACTTTGGGAGGCTGAGGCAGGCGGATCATGAGGTCAGGAGATCAAGGCCATCCTGTCTGACACGGTGAAACCCCGTCTCTACTAAAAAAATACAAAAAATTAGCCGGGCGTGGTGGCGGGCACCTGTAGTCCCAGCTACTTGGGAGGCTGAGGCAGGAGAATGGTGTCAACCTGGGAGTCAGAGCTTGCAGTGAGCCAAGATTGCACCACTGCACTCCAGCCTAGGCGACAGAGCAAGACTCTGTCTCAAAAAAAAAAAAAAAAAAAGTGGCATGAAGCCAGCCCAAGTTGGCTGAGAAGGTGATGACGAGACCCGTGGGAAGAGCGCTCAGCAGCAATGGAAAGAAACCTTCGGATGTGGCCTTGCATAGATTGCAGCTTATATCAGTGACATTAAGCACTTTCATATCTTTTCCTCCTTGGTTTGAAAAGAAACAACCAGGAGGAACAGAAAAGCTGAAAAGTGCAGAATTCACAGCTATAGAGGCCGATGTGCTGACCCATACTCCCCATAGAAAGGCAGGCTGTGCCCTTCTGATTCCTTAGAGTTGCAGGGAGAAAACGTGGGCCCAGATGGGGAGTAGGAGGAAAGCATCACTTGCTGTCCCAGATCCTACAAGACATGCGTTTCCTGGCAGGGATTGGCCAGGAGCACTTCTTCAAGAAGATCGAGGCTGCTCACTGCCTGGCCTGCGACATGCTAATTCCTGCACAGCCGCAGCTCCTCCAGCGGCACCTGCACTCCGTGGACCACAATCACAACCGCAGGGTGAGTCTTCCTCCCCACACTGCCTGGGGTGCTCATTGCAGGGCTGCGGCTCAGAGCCTGCTGTGTCTTATGGGGAATAACAACATCTTTAGGGGTTCTTGCTATGTTTCAAGTCTATCACTTCCATCGATGGGTCGTAAGATTCGTCTCAATTTTTATAAAAATGTGAGAAAATGTGTTGCTTAGACTCGATTAAATGCAGTAGCTGAGATTCTCCTGATAGTGTTTCCACGTTGGTCAGTTTTCCCACTAGCGGAAGGCCTGGGGGCTTCCATAAGCTGAGACCGAAGGGCCATTGAAAGCTGAGTGGCCCAGGGGACTTGGACTAAAGGACTGGTTCTGTCCTTACCTAGCTGCTGGGGCTTCAGGCTAAATGTTGAGCCCAGGGGTCAAGTGTTGAAGATGCTGGAAAAATACCTTATTTTGTAAAGAGTCAGATCATGAGTATTTTTAGCATTGCAGACCATAGAGGCCCTATCCAGCAACAGCTCTACCTGCTGTCAGTGCAGAAAAGCAGACAGTGAAGAGTGCCTGTGGCTGCGTTTGCTCTGCAGCCTGTCACTTTCTGGCCCTGGGTTAGCAGCTCTCTCCTTAGTTTACTCAGCTATTAAATGGGGAGGTCAAGAGCTGCTCACCCATCTCACAGTACTGTGTTTTGGTTTTGGTTTTGGTTTTGGTTTTTTGGTTTACGTTTTTGTTTTTTTGTTTTTTTTTTACGGAGTTTCACTCTTGTTGCCCAGGCTGGAGTGCAGTGGCACGATCTCAGTTCACTGCAACTTCTGCCTCCCAGGTTCAAGCAATTCTCCAGCCTCAGCCTCCTAAGTAGCTGGGATTACAGGCGCCCACCACAATGCCCGGCTAATTTTTTGTATTTTTAATAGAGACGGGGTTTCACCATGTTGGCCAGGCTGGTCTTGAACTCCTGACCTCAGGTGATCCACCCGCCTCAGCCTCCCAGAGTGCTGGGATTACAGGTGTGAGCCACTGCACCCAGCCCCAGTACTGTTAAAGATCAGCTGAAAAGCAGTATACAAACAAGGGACCATTGTGCAAACAAGTCAGGCTCTAAAACAGAGACTTGGTGCAGTCATGGTTGTGTGTTTGTTTTTTGTTTTTGTTTTTGTTTTTAATTTTATTTTTTGAGACAGAGTCTCACTCCATTGCCCAGGCTGGAATGCAGTGGTACAATCTCAGCTGATTGCAACCTCCATCTCCCAAATTCTCATGCCTCAGTCTCCTGAGTAGCTGGGATTACGGGTGTGCACCACCACACCCAGCTAATTTTTATATTTTGTAGACAGGGTTTCACCATGATGGCCAGGCTTGTCTCGAACTCCTGGCCTCAAGTGATCCACATGCCTCAGCCTCCCAACGTGCTAGGATTACAGGCATGAGCTGCCACACCCAGCATATTCATACTTTTGTTGTTGAACTTATGAAATCAATGTAACCCCAAAAACTGAAAAGAAAGAGCTTGTCCTTTTCCTCCACTGAGTCCACACAGCCTTTCATTTGTAAATGCTCTTGTTTCACCCCCAATTCTGCATGTGCTACATGGGTATCAGTGGTGCATCTTTGCATTTATCTCTTAAGATTGCCTAGCTTTTCCAGTTTGTTAGTCTTGGTTGCACAGTCTCTGGAGCCTTCTATTCTTGGAGGCTGGCGTTTTGAGATTCGCTTCTCTGCATAGGGCTGATCTCAGGATGACTCGGCAGAGCCTGGCTGGTTTATTCTCTTCCTTAATCTTTGCCATTTTTAAGAGCTCACATTTGGTTCCCTTTGCAGTTGGCTGCTGAACAGTTCAAGAAAACCAGTCTCCATGTGGCTAAGAGTGTTTTGAACAACAGACATATAGTGAAGATGCTGGAAAAATACCTCAAGGTTTGTGCTTGCAAGTACCACAGACAGGAAAAGCTTTCAAAAGGGAAGATGAACCCCAGGAGCAGGGAGTTGAATCCAGAGTGCAGCATTTAGCATTTCTGAGTCTTTTGACAGTTGAGGGACACTGGAATGCATCAAGCTCAGGAACATGACAACTGGGATTTCTAATGAGTCAGTGCTTGCCTGGGGACTCTGGGGATGTGGCGCTGCTTGATTAATCAGTGCGTAATGGATTTTTACCATGAAAAATCCTGATTGTTTAGCCTTAAAATTCTGAGCAAATGATGGTTAGGTGATTTTTTAAGAAAAACCCAAGGCTAGCCCTACTCGGGAAGCTGGGATGGGAGGATTGCTTGAGCCCAGGAATTTGAGGCTACAGTGAGTGATGGTGTTACCACTGCACTTCAGCCTGGGTAACATAGCAAGACTGGTCTTGAAAATAAAGGAAAGCGGGGAACCGGGAATTATGGCTCATGCCTGTAATGCCAATAGTTTGGGAGGCTGAGGCAGGAGGATCCCTGAGCTCAGGAGTTAGAGGAGTTAACGATTGCGCCACTACACTCCAGCCCAGGTGACAGAGTGAGACCCCATTTCAAAAAAAAAAAAAGAATCCAAGGTACATGAGAATTTTCCAGGAGAGAAGCTAAAAAGAGATTTCATTGATAGAGCCAACTGACAGTGAGGTTGAAGGTGAGGGGTAGTGAAGAACCAGAGCCTTCATGATGGGAGCAGCATATCGAAGTCCCAAAGTGGGTGCTCATGGAGAGAAGGCTGGTTGGAAGAGCTCCCAGTTCTTCCTTGTGAAACCCATTTTGCTCAGTGTTCATCCCAGGACTTTAGCATTTGGGGCAGGTGGCTAAGTCCCAGCCCACAACCTGACTTCAGGACCTTTGCCCTCCTCTCAGTTACTAAACACTTCCATATTTGACAGTTCCATCTATTAAAGGCACAGAATCTAAATAACCAATTGAAGAAACATGACTGGGCCGGGCGTGGTGGCTCACACCTGTAATCCCAGTACTTTGGGAGGCTGGGGTGGGCGGATCACTTTGAGTTCAGGAGTTCAAGACCAGCCCGGACAACATGGTGAAACCCTGTCTGTACAAAAAATACATAAATTAGCCAGGCGTGGTGGCATGCGCCTGTGGTCCCAGCTACTCAGGAGGCGGAGGTTGCAGTGAGCCAAGATCGTGCCACTGCACTCCAGCCTGGATGGCAGAGTGAGACCTTGTCTCAAAAAAAAAAAAAAAAAAAAAAAGAGGGAGGAAACATGACTGATGTATATTTTACCTTTGCAGCTTAAGCAAGGTAAAAGTTTCCAGAGTCAAGTGTGAGCTCAGGCTTCTAAGCGTCTTTTTTTTTGAGTCAGGGTCTTGTTCTCTTGGTACCCAGCCAAGAGATTCCTGCAGAGATTCTCTGCAGCCTCGAATTCCTGAGCTCAAGAGATCCTCCCCACTCAGCCTGCCAGGTAGCTGGGACTGCAATAGTACACCACCACACCTGGCTAATTTTTTTTTTTTTTTTTTTTTTTTTTTTTTGAGATGGAGTCTTGCTCTGTCACCCAGGCTGGAGTGCAGTGGTGCGATCCCGGCTCACTGCAAGCTCTGTGTCCTGGGTTCATGCCGTTCTCCTGCCTCAGCCTCCTGAGTACCTGGGACTACAGGCGCCCACCACCATGCCTGGCTAATGTTTTGCAGGGGGATGGGGTGGCCGGGCGTGGTGGCTCACGCCTGTAATCCCAGCACTTTGGGAGGCCGAGGCGGGTGCATCACGAGGTCAGGAGTTCAAGACCAGCCTGGCCAAGATGGTGAAACCCCATCTCTACTAAAAATAAAAAAAAAATTAGCCAGGCGTGGTGGCGGGCACCTGTAATCCCAGCTACTTGGGAGGCTGAGGCAGTGAATTGCTTGAATCCGGGAGGTGCAGGTTGCAGTGAGCCAAGATCGCGCCATTGCACTCCAGCCTTGGCGACAGACCAAGACTCCGTCTCAAAAAAAGAAAAGAGAGATGGGGTTTCACTGTGTTAGCCAGGATGGTCTCCATCTCCTGACCTTGTGATCTGCCTGCTTCCGCCTCCCAAAGTGTTGGAATTACAGACGTGAGCCACTGCACCCGGCCACATGCTGGCTAATTTTTTAAGACAGTCTTGCTCTGTTGCCCATGCTGGTCTGGCCTCAAGTGATCCTCCCGCCTTGACCTCCCAAATTGCTGGGGTTACAGGCGTGAGCACCTTGCCCTAAGCATCATATTTTAAAACATGTTTCCTAATCTGGTAATGATAACTTTTAGTTTGCTTGTTTTAGACTACAGATAGTTTTCTATCATATACTTAGGAGAATTTTGACTTCTGAGGGAGTCAGACTTGGATTTGAATCTTGATTCGCCACGTTGCCCAGGCTGGTCTCGAACTCCTGAGCTCCGGCAGTCCTCCAGCCCCAGCCTCCCAAAGTGCTGGGATTACAGGCGTGAGCCACTGTACCTTAATGAAACTAAAATATTACGTAGTGTTAACTTCCTATTACATGCCCTTTATTTTATTTTATTTTATTTTTTTGAGATGGAGTCTGACTCTGTCGCCCAGGCTGCCAGGCTGGAGTTCAGTGGCGTGATCTCGACTTACTGCAAGCTCCGCCTCCCAGGTTCACGCCATTCTGCTGCCTCAGCCTCCCGAGTAGCTGGGACTACAGGCGCTCGCCACCATGCCCGGCTAATTTTTTTTTTTGTATTTTTAGTAGAGATGGGGTTTCACTGTGTTAGCCAGGATGGTGTCCATCTCCTGACCTCGTGATCCACCCATCTTGGCCTCCCAAAGTGCTGGGATTACAGGTGTGAGCCATCACGCCCGGCCTCATGCCCTTTTTTAAAAAACATCAAGTTAAGGCTGGGCTTGTGAACTTTTCCTCGCTGGTACATGCTTGATTAAAAATTGCAGGCCAGGCACGGTGGCTCGTGCCTGTAATCCCAGCATTTTGGGAGGCCAAGGCAGGCGGATCACCTGAGGTCTGGAGTTCCAGACCAGTCTGCCCAACATGGTGAAACCCCGTCTCCACTAAAAATACAAAATTAGCCGGGCGTGGTGGCTCCTGCCTGTAATCCCAGCTACTCAGGAGGCTGAGGCAGGAGAATCACTTGAAACCAGGAGGCAGAGGTTGTGGTGAGCTGAGATCGCGCCATTGCACTCCATCCTGGGCAACAAAGCAAAACTCCGTCTCAAAAAAAAAAAAATTGCAGAATGGGCCGGGCATGGTGGTTCACACCTGTAATCGCAGCGCTTTGGGAGGCTGAGGTGGGTGGAAACCCCATCTCTACTAAAAACACAGGAGGCGGAGGTTGCAGTGAGCCGAGATCGCACCACTGCAGTCCAGCCTGGGCAACAGCGAGACTCCATCTCAAAAAAAAAAAAAATTGCAGAATATCTCCCCGAGGTGTTTTCTGAATCTGTAGGCTCTGAGAACATGTAGGATTCACTCCTGTGGCATAATTTACAGAAGTGTTTCCCTTGTGGACTGCTGGTTCTGAAAAGCTGACATCCCCGCAATCATGGGCCTCCTGAGCTCTGCTTACACCACGCTGACCGGTGTTTCCTCTTTGGCCAGGGTGAGGACCCTTTCACCAGTGAAACTGTTGATCCAGAAATGGAAGGAGATGACAATTTAGGAGGTGAGGATAAGAAAGAGACACCTGAGGAGGTGGCCGCGGACGTCTTAGCAGAGGTGATTACAGCAGCAGTGAGGGCCGTAGATGGGGAAGGAGCGCCCGCTCCAGAGAGCAGCGGGGAGCCGGCTGAGGACGAAGGCCCCACGGACACAGCGGAGGCCGGTAGTGATCCTCAAGCCGAACAGCTGCTGGAAGAGCAGGTGCCCTGTGGAACGGCACATGAGAAGGGCGTCCCCAAGGCCAGAAGTGAGGCTGCAGAGGCTGGAAATGGCGCCGAGACAATGGCAGCAGAGGCAGAAAGTGCCCAAACCAGAGTTGCTCCTGCCCCAGCTGCCGCGGATGCTGAAGTGGAACAAACTGATGCAGAGTCTAAAGACGCTGTTCCCACAGAATGATGCTCATTTCCCTGTTCCAGGGAAGGCGTTGGGATGATGGATGCGTTGGTCTTTCTCCCTTGGTTTGTAAGCAGTACAAGGGCGTGTGCTCCCAGAATATGCTGTAATCTAATTTTGGTGAAGAGACCCAGCGTTTCCTCCTGAGCAGTGCCTCTCACGGCTTGTCTCATGCAGTCGTGTGGCTTCTTGCCCAGGTTTCAAAGCTGAAGTACATTGTCCTTAGCGGCTGTAACATGTCTCTTGACAGTAGTGCACTTGGAATAATAAAGGTTGGGTGATTATATCTTGATGATACATTACTTGTTCAATACAGCCACTGATGGAATGCTTCCTTTTTTATTTTTTTCCTTAATTTTTTTTTTTATTTGGTTGGGAACAGCTGAATACTAGGAATATATCTTGCTCTATAGAGGATTTTTTTTTGTATGTTTCAAGCTTCAGCCTTTAACCTATACCTTTGTAGTGCACCATATGGTGTGTGACTTTCACAGGACTTCGCAGCACCTGGTTCACATGTGGCACTGACCGCGTCACATCCACGCACTCCCAAAGGCCAGAAGTATCTGACCGACCTACGCCACTGGAAACACACCCACCGCAACCTCAAGAACCAGACTGTGCAGAGGGCATTGCGTCCCAATCTTTAGTCCTTGCTGAATCAGTTCTCTAATATTTTACCTCATTTGTGTTCCACCTCTAGATTACTTCAGGTTTTTTTCCTTTAAAATTAGTTACTACCACTCAAATGTATTTACAAAGAGAATTTGGCCAGGCACGGTGATGCATACCTATAATCCCAGCACTTCGGGAGGCCGTGGTGAGAGGATAGCTTAAGCCCAGGAGTTCAAGACCAACCTGGACAACATAGCAAGACCCCATCTCTTAAAAAAAAAGGAAAGAAAACTTGATGTGATTGCCATAGGTGGAATAATCCAACATAAATTGCCATAGATAGAAGGTATCTGTAATATATATATATATATATAAAATGAAATATATGTTTCATTTTAGAGAAATAACTATTACTTTAGATCTTTCCAAATCTGAGAAAGGGAGGCTAGCATGTGTTCAAGGTTAGCACGCAACAGAATTTCCTAAAATCAGAAGAATTGGAAGATCCTCCCCTTTTGAAATGGCCCTGCTGTGTCAGTTTCCCTGTGGCCTTTTGAACTGTACATCTCACATGTTGGGAAACGCTGGCCACTGGGAAATCATTAGAAAGGAGGCTGTAGAATATTTGCCGAGCCTCTACTGTATACCAGGGGCTAACTCACCAAGCACATTCTAGGAATTGGGCCCTGCTCATGAGGAGCCTTAGTGGAGATTCCAGGTGAATATTTATGAAAAAGTCAACATTAGAACTGAAAATGGAAATAAACTGCTTGAAAAGACGATGGTGCCTCTGGGTCATTTCTGCTCAGCATCCGTTTGTGTTGTGTAGATGCGTCTTAATCGCAGGGTGAGCATGCCTTTTAAGCTTGTTCTCTTAAGGCAAAAATGTCGGTAGCATTAAACAGTAGTGCAGAAAAACATCACTAGTGGAACTGCTTTATTTCCTTAATTTTCTTTTTTTTTTCTTTTTTTTTTTTTTTTTGAGACAGTCTTACTCTGTTGCCCAGGCTGGAGTGCAGTGGCGTGATCTTGGCTTACTGCAACCTCTGCCTCCCAGGATTACAGGCATGAGCTACTGCACCTGGCTCTCCCCTACCCCACACCTTTTTTTTCTTCTTATAAAAATCCAAGACCCGGCCAGGCATGGTGGCTCACACCTGTATTCCTGGCACTTTAGGAGACCAACGCAGGTGGATCAGTAGAGGTCGGGAGTTCAAGACCAGCCTGGCCAACATGGCAAAACCCTGTCTATACCAAAAATACAAAAATTAGCTGGGTGTGGTGGCACACACCTGTAATCCCAGCTGCTGGGGAAGCTGAGGCAGAAGAATCGCTTGAACCAGGGAGGCAGAGGCTGCAGTGAGTCGAGGTTGCGCTACTGCACTCCAGCCTGGGCAACAGAGCAAGAATTTGTCTCAAAAAAATAAAATATCAGGCCAGGTGTGGTGGCTCATGCCTGTAATCCCAGGACTTTGGGAGGCCAAGGCGGGCAGATCACAAGGTCAGGAGATCGAGAGCATCTTGGCCAACGTGGTGAAACCCCATCTCTACTAAAAATACACAATTAGCCAGGCGTGGTGGCAGGTGCCTGTAGTCCCAGCTACTCTGGAGGCTGAGGCAGGAAAATCACTTGAACTCTGGAGGCAGAGGTTGCAGTGAGCTGATACTGCATCACTGCACTCCAGCCTGAGCGACGAGCAAAATTTCGTTTCAAAATATGTATATGTCAATCCAAGACCTGTCATTAAATTGGTCTGAATGTCAGTGAGGCTCTTCCACCTTCCACCTCTTGGTGAAACTACATAATTCTGTTGTTGTTGTTGTTGGTTTTACAGGCAGGATCTCACTGTTGCCCAGGCTGGAGTGCGGTGGCACCACAGCAGCTCACTGCGGCCTCCAAATCCTGGTTTCAAGTGATCCTCCCACTTCAGCCTCTTGATTAGCTGGGACTACAGGAGTGCACCACTATGCCCAGCTAATTTTTAAAAGCCTTGTAGCCAGGCATGGTGGCTCATGCCTGTAGTCCCAGCACTTTGGGAGGCCAAGGCAGGTGGATGGTCTGAGGTCAGGAGTTCAAGACCAGCCTGGCCAGCATGGTGAAACCCCGTCTCTACTAAAAATATAAAAATTAGCTAGGCATGGTGGCAGATGCCTGTAATCCCAGCTACTCGGGAAGCTGAGGCAGGAGAATCGCTTGAACCTGGGAGGTGGAGGTTGAAGTGAGCTGAGATCACGCCACTGCACTCCAGCCTGAGCCAACAGAGCGAGATTCCATCTGGAAAAAAAAGTCTTGTAAGCCGGGCGTTGTGGCTCATGCCTGTAATCCCAGCACTTTGGGAGGCTGAGGCGGGTGGATCACCTGATGTCAGGAGTTAGAGACCAGCCTAGCCAACATGGTGAAACCCCGTCTCTACTAAAAATACAAAAAATTAGCCAGGTGTGGTGGCAGGTGCCTGTAATCCCAGCTACTCAGAAGGCTGAGGCAGGAGAATTTCTTGAACCCAGGAGGCGGAGGTTGCAGTGAGCCGAGGTCATGCCATTGCACTCCATCCTGGGCAACAAGAGTGAGACTCCATCTCAAAAAAAAAAAATTACTTCTATGTTTTATTCCAATAATTTAATAATGTTAGCTCATATTTAGGTCTGTAGTTCATTTTAATTTTTGTTTGTTTTGTTTTGTTTTGTTTTGAGACGGAGTCTGGCTCTGTCGCCCAGGCTGGAGTGCAGTGGCGCGATCTCAGCTCACTGCAAGCTCAGCCTCCCGGGTTCACACCATTCTCCTGCCTCAGCCTCCCGAGTAGCTGGGACTACTGGCGCCCGCCACCACGCCCAGCTAATTTTTTTGTATTTTTTAGTAGAGACGGAGTTTCGCCTTGTTAGCCAGGATGGTCTTGATCTCCTGACCTCGTGATCCGCCTGCCTCGGCCTCCCCAAAGTGCTGGGATTACAAGCGTGAGCCACCGCGCCCGGCCAATTTTTTTTTTTTTTTTTTTTTTTTGAGATGGAATCTCATTCTCTTGTCCAGGCTGGAGTGCAGTGGCGCAGTCTCAGCTCACTGCAGCCTCTGCCTCCTCAGTTCAAGTGATTCTCACGCCTTAGCCTCCCGAGTAGCTGGGATTACAAAATTGTGCCACCACGC
The DNA here is from genome assembly GCF_000001405.40 of Homo sapiens. Lineage (NCBI taxonomy): Eukaryota > Metazoa > Chordata > Mammalia > Primates > Hominidae > Homo > Homo sapiens. The sequence continues at coordinate 15,351,163 of NC_000019.10, read as the reverse complement.
CTGGCTACTTTTTGTATTTTTAGTAGAGACAGGGTTTCATCATGTTGGCCAAGTTGGTCTCGAACTCCTGATGTCAAGTGATCCTCCTGCCTCGGCCTTCCAAAGTGCTGGGATTATAGGCGTGAGCCACTGCCTCTGGCCAAGTTAATTTTTATATACGTGTAAGGTAAGGGTCCAACTTCACTCCATGTGGCTTATCGCGTTGTCTCAACAGTATTTGTTGAAGAGACTGTTCTTTCCCCCAATGAATGGTCTTGATACCCTTGTCAAAAGTTAGTTGACCATATAACTACATGGTTTACTTCTGGACTGTCAGCTCTATTCTATTCTACGTATCTATCCTTATGTCACTGTGCTTTGAAGTAAGATTTAAAGTCAGGCAGCGGTTCATGCCCATAATCCCAACACTTTGGGAGGCTGAGGCAGGCAGATCAGGTAAGGCCAGGAGTTAGAGACCAGCCTGGCCAACATGGTGAAACTTCATCTCTACTAAAAATATAAAAATCACCTGGACAGGCCAGGAGCGGTAGCTCACGCCTGTAATCCCATTTACTTTGGGAGGGCGAGATGGGTGGATCACCTGAGGTCAGGAGTTCGAGACCAGCCTGGCCAACATGGTGAAACCCTGTCTCTACTAAAAATACAAAAAATTAGCTGGGCATGTGGTGCGCACCTGTAATCGCAGCTACTCTAGAGGCTGAAGCAGGAGAATCGCTTGGACCCAGGAGGGAGGCAGAGGTTGCAGTGAGCCGAGATCATGCCATTGCACTCCAGCCTGGGCAACAAGAGTGAAACTCTGTCTCAACAACAACAACAAAAAAAATTAGCTGGACATGGTGACATGCACCTGTAATCCCAGCTACTTGGGAGGCTGAGGTGGGAGGATCGTTTGAGCCTAGGAGGTGGAGGGTGCAGTGAGCTGATACCGTGCCACCTGTAATCCACCCAGCCTGGGCAACAAAGTGACGACACTCTGCCTCAAAAATTAAATTAAAATAATAAATAACTCAAAGTCGGCCAGGCACAGTGGCTCATGCCAGTAATCCCAGCACTTTGCGAGGCCGAGGCAGGTGGATCACCTGAGCTCAGGAGTTGGGGACCAGCATGGGCAACATGGTGAAACCTCTTCTCTACCAAAAATACAAAAAATTAGCTGGGCATGGTGGTGGGCACCTGAAGTTCCAGTTAGTGGAGACACTGAGGTGAGAGTATCACCTGAGCCTGGGAGGTAGAGGTTGCAGTGAACTGAGATCATGCCACTGCACTCTAGCCTGAGTGACAGAGACTGTGTTCAAGAAAAATAAATAGGCTGGGCATGGTGGCTCACGCCTGTAATCCCAGCACTTTGGGAGGCCAAGGCGGGTGGATCATGAGATCAGGAGTTCAAGACCTGCCTGGCCAAGATGGTGACACCCCGTCTCTACTAAAAATACAAAAAAATTAGCTGGGCATGGTGGTAGGCACCTGTAATCCCAGTTATTTGGGAGGCTGAGGCAGAGAATTGCTTGAACTGGGAGGCAGAGGTTCCAGTGAGCTGAGATCGTGCCACTGCACTTTAGCCTGGGTGACAGAGCCAGACTCCATCTCAAATAAATAAATAAATAAAATAGATGAATAAATACAAGCTCAGGTGCAGTGGCTCACGCCTGTAATCCCAACACTTTGAGAGGTCAAGGCAGGTGGATCCCCTGAGGTCAGGAGTTTGAGATCAGCCTGGCCAACACCCAACATGGCGAAACCCTATCTCTACTAAAAATATAAAAATTAGCCAGGTGTGGTGGCGCATGCATATAATCCCGGCTACTTGGGAGGCTGAGGCAGAACAATCACTTGAACCTGGGAGGCGGAGGTTGTACTGAGCTGAGCTTGCACCACTGCACTCCAGCCTGGGCGACAGAGTGAGACTCCATCTCAATAACAATAAAAACATGAATAAATAAAATAAATAAGGAACTGTGACTCCTCCGACTTTGTTCCTCTTTTTCAAGATTGTTTTGGTTATTCTGTGTCCCTGTTTTTTGTTTTTTGTTTTTTTTGAGACGGAGTCTCTCTCTGTTGCCCAAGCTGGAGTGCAGTGACGTGATCTCGGCTCACTGCAAGCTCCGCCTCCCAGGTTCACGCCATTCTCCTTCCTCAGTCTCCCGAATAGCTGGGACTACAGGTGCCTGCCACCACACCCCACTAATTTTTTGTATTTTTAGTAGAGACGGGGTTTCACTGTGTTAGTGAGGATGGTCTCGATCTCCTGGCCTCGTGGTCCACCCGCCTTGGCCTCCCAAAGTGCTTGGATTACAGGTGTGAGCCACCGCACCAGGCCTTTTTTTTTTTTTTTTTTGAGACAGAGTCTCGCTCTGTCAACAATGCGGAGTGCAGTGGCGCGATCTCAGCTCACTGCAACCTCCACCTCCCACGTTCAAGCGATTCCCCTGCCTCAACCCCCAGAGTAGCTGGGATTACAGGCACGTGCTACCACAACCAGCTAATTTTTGTTATTTTTAGTAGAGATGGCGTTTTGCCATATTGGTCAGGCAGGTTTTGAACTCCTGACCTCAGGTGATCCGCCCACCTCGGCCTCCCAAAGTGCTTGGATTACAGGCGTGAGCCACTGCACCTGGCCCCAGCCCTTGAGTTTTTATATGGACTTTAGGGTCATCTTGTCAAACCCAGCTGGTACTCTGACAGAGATATCAGACAGGAAATCTACAGATCAACTGAGGTAATATTGCCTTTTTTTTTTTTTTTTTTTGAGACGGAGTCGCGCTGTCACCAGGCTGGAGTGCAGTGGTGCGATCTCAGCTCGCTGCAACCTTGGCCTCCCAGGTTCAAGCCATTCTCCTGCCTCCGTCTCCTGAGTAGCTGGGACTACAGGCGTGTGCCACTGTACCCACCCAGCTGATTTTTGTATTTTTAGTAGAGATGGGGTTTCGCCATGTTGGCAAGGATGGTCTCGATCTCTTGACCCTGTGATCCACCCGCTTCAGCCTCCCAAAGTCCTGGAATTACAGGCGTGAGCCACCGTGCCCAGGCTTGGACCTCTTTTGTTCCTAAGTATTTTTTATATGTTTGATGCTATTGTAAAATGAAGTTTTAACATTTCTTTCGTTTGTTTTTTTTTTGAGACAGAATCTTGCCCTGTCGCCAGGCTGGAGTGCAATGGTGCAATCTGGGCTCACTGCAACCTCCGCCTCCCGGGTTCAAACGATACTCCTGCCTCAGCCTCCAAAGTAGCTGGGACTACAGGCGCACGCCCAGCAAATTTTTCTATTTTTAATAGAGACAGGGTTTCACCATGTTGGCCAGATGGTCTCGATCTCTTCACCTCATGATCTGCCCTCAGCCTCCCAAAGTGCTGGGATTTCGGGGGTGAGCCACCGTGCCCGGACTAAAAAAATTTTTTTTTTGAGACAGAGTCTTGCTCTGCAGCCCAGGTTGGAGTGCAGTGCCAGCATAATCTTGGTTCACTGCAACCTCTGCCTCCTGGGTCCCAGTTAAGCAATTCTTCGCCTTAGCCTCCCGAGTAGCTGAGATTACAGGCGCACACCACCATGCCCAGCTAACTTTTGTATTTTTAGTAGAGACGGGGTTTCACCATGTTGGCCAGGCTGGTCTTGAACTCTTGACCTCGTGATCCACCCACCCCGGCCTCCCAAAGTGGTAGGATTACAGGTGTGAGCTACCATAAATTTTTTTTTTTTTTTGAGACGCAGCCTCATTCTGTTGCCCAGGCTGGAGTGCAATGGTGTGATCTTGGCTCACTGTAACCTCAGCCTCCCGGGTTCAAGCGATTCTCCTGCCTCAACGTCTGAGTAGCTGGGATTACTGGTGCATGCCACCACACCCAGCTAATTTTTGTATTTTTAGTAGTGACAGGGTTTCACCATGTTGGCCAGGCTGGTCTTAAACTCCTGATACCAAGTGATCAGCCCGCCTCGGCTTCCCAAAGTGCTGGGATTACAGGTGAAAGCCACTGAACCCAGCCTATTTAAAACATTTTTAATTAAAAATTTTGGGCCGGGTGCGGTGGCTCACGCCTGTAATCCCAGCACTTTGGGAGGCTGAGGCGGGCGGATCACGAGGTCAGGAGATCATAGACCATCCTGGCTAACACGGTGAAACCCCGTCTCTACTAAAAATACAAAAAAATTAGCCGGGCGTGGTGGCGGGTGCCTGTAGTCCCAGCTACTTGAGAGGCTGAGGCAGGAGAATGGCGTGAACCCGGGAGGCAGAGCTTGCAGTGAGCCGAGATCGCGCCACTGCACTACAGCCTGGGCGACAGAGTGAGACTCCGTCTCAAAAAAAAAATTTTTTGTTTGTACTCAGGGGGTCTGCCTGATAATTTTTTTGTTGTTGTTGTTGAGACAAAGTCTCACTCTTGTCGCCCAGGCTGCAGTGCAATGGCACAATCTCGGCTCACTGCAACCTCCGCTTCCCGGGTACAAGTGATTCTCCTGTCTCAGCCTGCTGAGTAGCTGGGATTACAGGCACCTGCCACCACGCCTGGCTAATTTTTTTATTTTCAGTAGAGACAGAGGTTCACCATGTTGGCCAGGATGGTCTCGAACTCCTGACCTCAGGCAATCTGCTCGCCTCAGCCTCCCAAAATGCTGGGATTATAGGCGTAAGCCACTGCATCTGGCCGAGAATGTTTTTAATTTCATTTTTGGGTTGTTCGTTGCCAGTGTACAGAAATACAAGTAAGAGGTTTTTGTGTGTTGATCATGGATGCTAATTTTGTGGAATGTATTAGCTCTAATAAGTTTGTGTGTGTATGTGTGTGTGTGTGTGTGTGTTCTTCAGGATTTCGTATCTATAAAATCACATCATCTGTGAATAGATACAGTTTTACTTCTTTGATTACTGTCTTCCAGTACAGTGCTGGCATTGTTGTAACACTTTTATTCTTTTCTTTTTTTTATTTTTTTGAGACAGGGTCTTGCTCTGTTGCCCAGACTGGAGTGCAGTGGCACAACCATAGCCCACTGCAGCCTCAATCTCCTAGGCTTAAGTGATCCTCCCATCTCAGCCTCCTGAGTAGCTGGGACTACAGGCATGCACCACCACGCCCTGCTAATTTTTGTATATTTTGTAGAGACAGGGTTTCTCCATGTTGCCCAGGCTGGTCTCAAACTCCTGGGCTTAAGAGAAACTTCTCCCAAGGTGATGGGATTACAGGTGTGAGCCATGGCACCCAGCCTCTTTTTTTTTTCTTTTCTTTTCTTTTTTTTTTTTTTTTTTTTTGAGACGGAGTGCTGCTCTGTCTCCCAGGCTGGAGTGTAATGGCACGATCTCGGCTCACTGCAACCTCCGCCTCCTGGGTTCAAGCGATTCTCCTGCCTCATCCTCCCGAGTAGCTAGGATTGCAGGCACATACCACCATAGCCAGCTAATTTTTTTGTACTTTTAGTAGAGATGTGGTTTCGCCATGTTGGCCAGGCTGGTCTCCAACTCCCGACCTCAAGTGATCGCCTGCCTCAGCTTCCGGAAGTGCTGGAATTTCAGGTGTGAGCCACCGCGAGCCTGTGTTTAAAGCATATTTACATCCCCAGTAATATTCCTCTCAACTGAATTCCATTATGTTGATGTGGAAGACCGTTTATTCCTACAAATCCTATATTTCCAGCCAACTCATTCAAGCTGGATTATTTCAATAAAGAACAGAGTGTATATAACATCTCCTTTTCGGGTCTAAGTCTGAGTCACAGGTCAACAAGTTGGGCATTTGTGTCTGCAGGGCCTAGGCATTGTGGGTGCACAGATCACCATGTTTTCACTTAATAGGCCACCCAGCCCATCGCTACCCACTCAAAACGACAACCGATCCTGCCCTGTGGGAAATGCCTGGGGATTTTGGCTTCTCAGATGCCTACAAAGACTTGGGAACATTTCTCTAAATAGATGTGAAGAGGCAGAGTTCAAAAATGCATGCAAGTTTCCCATATTTGCTGGCAGAAAATTATCTCTGAAATAACTGCTAAATACTTGTTGTCCTCTTTAGAGATTACCCACATGGGCCGGTGACTAACTTTAGGGAAATGAAATGTGTGAATGTGAGAATTCTCTACTACAATGGTCCCCAAAAGGAAAACTGTAGCCTCCCTAGAGAGACATAAGTTCCTAATTCCTCCTCACAAGAGGACAATGAGAATGACAATACCGATTACCCCAAATGAATTAAGACCACAACAATTCTCCGCAGTGTTTGAAATACACTTTGTCGGCCAGGCGCAGTGGCTCATGCCTGTAATCCCAGCACTTTGGGAGGCTGAGGCGGGAGGATTACCTGAGTCTGGGAGTTCGAGACCAGCCTGACCAACATGGAGAAACCCCGTCTCTACTAAAAACACAAAATTAGCCAGGTGTTGTGGCACATGCCTGTAATCCCAGCTATTCAGGAAGCTGAGGCAGGAGAATGGCTTGAACCTGGGGGGCAGAGGTTGCAGTGAGCCAAGTTCACGCCACTGCACTCCAGCCTGGGCAACAACAGTGAAACTCTCTCTCAAAAGAAAAAAAAAGAAATAAACTTTGTCAACTGGATGGGCACGGTGGCTTACACCTTTAATTCCAGCACTTTGGGAGGCCGAGGTAGGAGGATCACATGAGCCCAGGGGTTTGAGACTAGTGTAGGCAACATGGCGAAAATCTGTTTGTAAAAAAAATGCAGGCTGGGTGCAGTGGTTCACGCCTGTAATCCCAGCACCCTGGGAGGCTGAGGTGGGTGGATCACTTGAGGTCAGGAATTTGAGACCAGCCTGGTCAACATGGTGAAATCCCAGTTCTACTAAAAATATAAAACTTACCCTGGCATGGTAGCGCATGCCTGTAATCCCAGCTACTTGGTAATCCCAGCTACTCCGGAGGCTGAGGCAGGAGAATCGCTTGAACCCGGGAGGCGGAGGTTGTGGTGAGCCAAGATCACGGCATTGCACTCCAGCCTGGGCAACAAGAGTGAAACTCCGTCTCAAAAACAAAACAAAACAAAACAAACAAACAAAAACAACGGCAAGCAAGCCGGACGCATGGTGGCTCACGCCTATAATCTTTGCACTTTGGGAGGCTTTGGTGAGGATCACTTGAGTCCAGGAGTTTGAGACCAGACTAGGCAACATAGGGAGACCTCATCTCTACTAAAAAAAAGAAAAAAATTGCCAGGCATGATGGCACACACCTATAATCCCAGCTACTTGAGAGGCTGAGGCAGGAGGATCGCTTGAGCCCAGCAGGTTGAGGCTGCAGTGTGCTGCGACCATGCCACTGCAGTCCAGCCTGGGCAACAGCGCAAGACCCTGTCTCAAAGCAAAACAAATAAACAAACTGGCAAGCATAATAGTATATACATGTCTTTATTTTCACTTTTTGAGACAGGGTCTCACTCTATTGCCCAGGCTGGAATACAGCGGTGTGATCTTGGCTCACTGCAGCCTGGACCTCTCAGGCTCAGGTGATCCTCCCACCTCAGCCTCCCAAGTAGCTGGGACTACAGGGATGTGACACCATAGCTGGCTAATTTTCTGTATTTTTGCAGAGATGAGGTTTCACCATGTTGCCCATGACGGTCTCGACCTCCTGGGCTCTAGTGATCCCCCGTCCTCGGCCTCCTAAAGTGTTAGGATTACAGGCATGAGCCACCATGTCCGGCCTACATGTGTTTATACATTTGTCAAAACCCATAGAATATACAACACAGAGTGAATGAACCCTAATGTAAAGTACAGGTATTAGTTAATAATGTATCGGTATTGGATCTATACTGGCTCATCAGCTGTAACAAATGTAGCACACTAATGTTAATGCTGAGATTGGGGAAAATGGGGTGGAGGGTAGTAGTAAGGGCATATATGGGAATCGTACTTTCCACTCAATTTTTTTTTTTTTTTGAGATGGAGTTTTGCTCTTGTTGCCCAGGCTGGAGTGCAATGGCGCGATCTTGGCTCACTGCAACCTCTGCCTCCTGGGTTCAAGCGATTCTCCTGCCTCAGCTTCCTGAATAGCTGGGAGTACAGGTGTGTGCCACCGCACCTGACTAATATTTTTGTATTTTTAGTAGAGACGGGGTTTCATGTTGGGCAGGCTGGTCTCGAATTCCTGACCTCAGGTGATCCACCCGCCTCAGCCTCCCAAAGTGCTGGGATTACAGGTGTGAGCCACCACGCCCAGCTTCAATTTTTTTTTTTTTTTTGAGATTGAGTCTCGCTCTGTTGCCCAGGCTAGAGTGCAGTGGCGCGATCTCGGCTCACCGCAACCTCCTCCTCCTGAGTTCAAGTAATTCTCCTGCCTTAGCCTCCCAAGTAGCTGGTATTACAGGTGCGCGCCACCATGCCCGGCTAATTTTTTGTATTTTTAGTAGAGACAGGGTTTTGCCATGTTGCCCAGGGTGGTCTCAAACTCCTGACCTCAGGTGATCCACCTGGCTCAGCTTCCCAAAGTGCTGGGATTACAGGCGTGAGCCACTGCACCTGGCCTCAATTTTTATGTAAACCTAAAACTGCTAACAAAATAGTCTATTAATTTTTTAAAAATTATAGCAGAGTAGCTTCTGTATCATTACAGAAATGAGACTTGTAGGCTGGGCACAGTGGCTCATGCCTGCAAGCTCAGCACTTTGGGAAGTTGAGGTGGGAGGATCTCTTGAGCCCAGGAGTTCAAGACCAGCCTGGGCAATATGGTAAAACCCCGTCACAATAAAAAATGCAAAAGTTAGCCCATTGTGGTGGCATGCACCTGTGTATGGTTCCAGTTACACAGGAGGCTGAGGCAGGAGGATTGCTTGAGTCCAGGAGGTCAAGGCTGCAGTGATCGTGCCACTGCACTCCAGCCTGGGTGACAGAGAGACCCTGTCTTTTTTTTTTTTTTTTTTTGAGACGGAGTCTCACTCTTTTGCCCAGGCCGGACTGCAGTGGTGCTATCTCGGCTCACTGCAAGCTCTGCCTCCCGGGTTCATGCCATTCTCCTGCCTCAGCCTCCCAAGTAGCTGGGACTACAGGCATCCGCCACCACGCCCGGCTAATTTTTTGTATTTTTAGTAGAGACGGGGTTTCACCGTGTTAGCCAGGATGGTCTCGATCTCCTGACCTCGTGATCTGCCCACCTCAGCCTCCAAAGTGCTGGGATTACAGGCGTGAGCCACTGTGCCCAGCCGAGAGACCCTGTCTTAAACAAACAAATAAAAAAGATGCATGTAAAGAAATTTCTGCTTCTCTAGGCTTGAGAGTCTAGAACTGGGACGAGCAAACTATATGGCCTACAAGACAAATCTCAGCCACCGTTTTTGAACAGCCTTCCAGTGAGGAATGGTTTTTATATTTTTTAAAAGGCTGACAGCCGGGCGCGGTGGCTCATGCCTGTAATCCCAGCACTTTGGGAGGCCGAGGTGGGCGATCACCTGTGCTCAGGAGTTCAAGACCAGCCTGGCCAACATGGAGAAACCCCATCTCTACTAAAAATAAAAAATTAGCCGGGTGTGATAGCGCATGCCTGTAATCCCAGCTACTTGGGAAGATGAGGTAGGAGAATTGCTTGAACCCGGGAGGCAGAGGTTGCGGTGAGCCGAGATCGCGCCACCACACTCCAGCCTGGGCAACAAGAGCGAAACTCCGTCTAAAAAATAAATAAATAAATAAATAAATAAATAAATAAATAAATAAAAGGTTGACAAAAGTCAAAATAATGACATTTTGTGACTCATGAAATGTATACGAAACTCTCATTTTAGTATCCGTAACATTTTATTGCCAGTCATGCCATATGTTTACATATTATCTATGGCTGTTTTTGTGCCACAATGGTACAGCTACAAAAATTAACAGTGTAGCTGGACTCAGTGGCTCACACCTGTAATCCCAACACTTTGGAAGGCCAAGGCAAGAGGATCATTTGAGCCCAGGAGTTCGAGACCACACTGGGCAACTTAAATGAGACCCCCATGTCTACTAAAAATAATGAAAAAAAAAAACAGCTGGGCACAGTGGCTCCTGCCTGTAATCCCAGCACTTTGGGAGGCCGAGGCAGGCAGATCACGAGGTCAGGAGTTCAAGACCAGCCTGGCCAACATAGTGAAACCCTGTCTCTACTAAAAATACAAAAATTAGCTGGGTGTGGTGGCACACGCCTATAGTCCCAACTACTCCAGAGCCTGAGGCAGGAGAATCATTTGAACCCGGGAGGCAGAGGTTGAAGTGCGCTGAGACACACGCCACTGCACTCCAGCCTAGGTGACAGAGTGAAACTCCATCTCAAAAAAACAAAAACAAAAACAAAAACAAAACAGCCCAGCATGGTAGCATGTGCCTACAGTCCCAACAACTTGGAAGGCTGAGGCAAGAGGATGGCTTGAGCCTAGGAGGTTGAGGCTGCAGTGAGCCCTGATGGTACCACTGCAACTGCAGCCTGGGTGAGAGAATGAGACCCTGACTAAAAGAAAAAAAAAAGGCCGGGCGCTGTAGGGCTCATATCTGTAACCCCAGCACTTTGGGAACCTGAGGCGGGCAGATCACCTGAGGTCAGGAGTTCAAGAGCAGCCTGGGCAACATGGTGAAACCCTGTTTCTAATAAAAATACAAAAATTAGCTGGGCATGGTGGCACATGCCTGTAATTCCAGCTTCCTGGGAGACCACGGCATGAAAACTACTTGAACCTGGGAGGCAGAGGTTGCAGTGAGCTGAGATCACACCACTGCACTCCAGCCTGGGCAACGCGGCAAGACTCTGTCTCAAAAAAATTTTTAAAAAATTGGCCATGTTATAGAGATTGTATGGCCCTCTAAGCCTAAAATGTTGAGTATTTGGCTCTTTCCAGAAAAAGTTTGTCAACCCCTGGGCTAGGGGAAAAAAATGCAAGCAATCTTTACAGAGTCAGGATATCTAGGTTCTCAACTCTGTGTAAATGTGTGACCTTGGGTGACTCACTTGCCTTCTCTAGGTCTAACTATAAATTCTAGAATGTAACTTTGTGGGCAAGTTCCCATTGGAAAGTGGGCATTGATACAAGACACAAATCCTCCAGCTCCTTTTTTTTTTTTTTTTTTTTTTTTGAGACGGAATCTTGCTCTGTCTCCCAGGCTGCAGTGCAGTGGTGCGATCTCTGCTCACTGCAAACTCCACCTCCCGGGTTCAAGCGATTCTCCTGCTTCAGCCTCCCAAGTAGCTGGGATTACAGGCACACACCACCACGACCGGCTAATTTTTGTATTTTTATTAGAGATCGGGTTTCACCATGTTGGCAAGACTGGTCTCGAACTTCTGACCTCAGGTGATCCACCCACCTTGGCCTCCCAAAGTGCTGCAATTACAGGTGTGAGCCACGGAGCCCGGCCTCTTTTTCCCTTTTTTTTTTTTTTTTTTTTGAGACAAGGTCTCACTCCATTGCCCAGTCTGGAGTGCAGAGGCTCAATTGTGGCTCACTGCAACTTCTACCTCCCAGGCTCCGATGATCCTCCCACCTCAGCTTCCCAAATAGCTGGGATGACAGGCATGCACCACCATACCCAGCTAATTTCTTTTGTATTTTCTGTAGAGGTGGCATTTCGCCATGTTGGCCAGACTGGTCTTAAACTCCTGGATTCAAGTGATCCACCCTCCTCGGCCTCCCAAAGTGCTGGTTTTACAGGTGTGAGCCACCACACCCAACCTTTCTGATGTTTTCAGAGCTGAACATGCTATATAAATTTATCCTTGTTTTTTTTTTTTTAAACAGTCTATTGATCTTTTATTTTTTATTTTTATTTTTTGAGACGGTATCTCGTTCTGTTGCCCAGGCTGGAGTACAGTGGCGTGATCTTGGCTCACTGCAACCTTCGCCTCCCAGGTTCAAGTGATTCTCCTGCCTCAGCCTCCTGAGTAGCTGAGATTACATATGCCTACCATCATGCCCACCTAATTTTTATATCTTTAGTAGAGACAAGGTTTCACCATGTTGGTCAGGCTGGTCTTGAACTCCTGACCTCTTAGAGTGAATAATGTGCTCAATACGTACATGAATTCTCTTGGCAAGAATTTTGCCCTTAACTTGTCCGTTTAGAAGAATCCCAACAGCATGCTTGGTAATACTGTAGACTCTTCCAGTTTTGCATGATAACAGTTGTGGGGCATTCCTTTGTGAACAGTACCCATTCCCTTGATGTCTACAACATTACTTTTCTTACAGATTTGCATGCATGTGGCCAAAGGAACAACTCCATGTTTTCTTTTTCCTTCGTTTTTTAGTTTAGTGTTTTTTTTGTTTTTTTTTTTAAACGGAGTCTTGCTCTGTCTCCCAGGCTGGAGTGCAGTGGCGCAATCTTAGCTCACTGCAACCTCCACCTCCTGGGTTCAAGTGATTCTTGTGCCTTAGCCTCCCGTGTAGCTGGGACAACAGGTGTGCACCGCCACACTTGGCTAATTTTTGTGTTTTTTTAGTAGGGACGGGGTTTCACCATGTTGGCCAGGCTGGTCTCGAAATTCCTGACCTCAAATGATCCACCTGCCTCAGTCTCCCAAAGTGCTGGGATTACAGGCATGAGCCACCATGTTATCTGAGATAGATAACATACTGTATGTGATCCTGACATCATCTCCAATAAGGCAGATCTCAGAGTATTCACGTGAAATGACTTCCAGCCAGACACAGTGGCATGCACCTGTAGTCCCAGCTATTTGGTATGCTGAGGTGGACTGGGAGGATCGCTTGAGTCTAGGAGTTCTGGGCTGTATGTATTAAATTAAAAAAGCTGGCTGGGTACGGTAGCTCATGCCTGTAATCCCAACACTTTGGGAGGCGGAGGTGGGCGGATCATTTAGGGCCAGGATTCTGAGACCAGTCGGGCCAACATGGTGAAACCGTGTCTCTAGTAAAAATATTAAAATTAAATAGCTGTGGTGGCGCATGTCTGTAGTCCCAGATACTTGGGAGGCAGGGGCATGAGAATCGCTTGAAGCTGGAGGCAGAGGTTGCAGTGAGCCGAGATCGCACCACTGCACTCCAGCCTGGGTGACAGAGCAAGACTCTGTCTAAAAAAAAGAAAACAGCAAAAAGCAACAGATATAGGATGATCCCTTTTGTTTAAATAACATAACTATTTCTATACATTGATACACATTGATGCATAGAATTAAAATCTAAGCTGGGCAGGCAGCTATAGTCCCAGCTACTCAGGAGGTTGAGGTAGGAGGATTGCTTGCGCCCAGGAGTTCAAGGCTATAGTCAGACATGATTGTGTCTATGAATAGCCACTGCATTCTAGCTTGAGCAATATAGTGAAACCTTATTGCTACAAAACACAAACAAACAAAAAAAATAAATAAAAAAAAAAGCCAAGTGTGGTGGGGCATGGGTGTAGTCATATGTACTCAGGAGGCTGAGGTGGGAGAATTGCTTGAGTGGAGAAGGGTGAGGCTTCAGTGAGCTATGATTATGCCACTGCACTCCAGCATGGGTGACAGGGTGAGATCTTGTCTTTATAACTTAATAAATAAATAAATAAGCCAGGTGCCATGGCTCAAGCCTGTAATCCCAGCACTTTGGGAGGCCGAGGTGGGCAGATCACTTAAGGCCAGGAGTTCGAGACCAGCCTGGCCAACATGGTGAAACCTCGTCTCTACTAAAAATACAAAACAATTAGCCGGACGTGGTGGCACATGCCAGTAATTCCAGCTACTCAGGAGGCTGAGGCACGAGAATCTCTTGAACCCAGGAGGTGGAGGTTGCAGTGAGCCGAGATCATGCCATTGCACTCCAGCCCAGGCGACAGAGTGAGACTGTTTCATAAATAAATAAATAACATGTGAACCATGAGGTAACAAGACTATTTTTATTAAAGTGACTCAACCAGATAAACATTTTCTGAGTTTGAGCTATCTTCGAGGAGTTAGGCAAAGCACCATGGAAGACAAAAAGAATGAGACATTGTTGTCCCAAACGATTTTTGGAGACAGCTTTTGGAACTGCCTTTACAGCCTGAATATTTTTTCCAGGTTGGATTTAATTTGTAGCAATGGCCAAAAGCCACCTAGTTCGGTCTAGTTATCAATCTAGATATATAGTTTTGTCTAATGTTAAGTGTGACTCTACAGTAAAGTGAGGGCTTTTATTATGTGATTTGCAAACCAACAGTTCCAAATTACTTCCAAAAACATTTATTGTCAACAACAATGATAATTTTTTTTTTTCGAGATGGAGCCTCGCTCTGTCCACCCAGGCTGGAGTGCAGTGGCACGATCTCGGCTCACTGCAACCTCCACCTCCCGGGTTCATGACATTCTCCTGCCTCAACCTCCCGAGTAGCTGGGACTACAGGCACTCACCACCATGTCTGGCTAATTTTTGTATTTTTAGTAGAGATGGGGTTTCACCATGTTAGCCAGGATAGTCTCGATCTCCTGACCTCGTGATCTGCCCGCCTCAGCCTCCCAAAGTTCTGGGATTACAGGCGTGAGCCACCGCGCCTGGCCAACAATGATAAATTAAGTGGATAATGCAGCAAGACAAGATAACTATAGGGAAGGAGAGCTTAAAATAGATACATTCTGGTTTCCTTAAAAAAACAAACAAACAAAAAACCCAGTAACAACAAACCAGTTGTTAATACCTATTCACAAAGCCCTGGGTACCCTCCTGCTCTTTTTCCATTTCTGATCATCTTCTGCATAATTGCCAGGGGTGCAAAATTAGGAGCCAGAAGATATTCACAAATTTCAATATTCTGTAATACAGAGTTAGAAGGAAGTTTCAATGAAGGAGTTACAATTACATCCTTTATTTCTTGCAGCTAATAACTTGTTTTCTCATGCTTTGTTAAAAATAAAGGGTTAGGCCAAGGCAGAAGAATCACTTGAGGCCAAGAGTTTGAGATCAGCTTGGCCAAGACAGTGAGATCCTATGGCTACAAATTTTTTTTTTTTTCGAGACAGAGTCTTGCTCTGTCACCCAGGCTGGAGTCCAGTGGTGCGACCTTGGCTCACTGCAACCTCCACCTCTTAAGCAGGCTCAAGTGATTATCCTGCCTCAGCCTCCCAAGTGGCTCAGATTACAGGCATGCAACACTATGCCTGGCTAATTTTTTTTTTTTTTTTTGAGACAGAGTTTGACTCTTGTTGCCCAGGCTGGAGTGCAATGGCGCGATCTCCGCTCACTACTGTATCCTCCACCTCCGCAATCTCTGCTCACTGCAACCTCCGCTTCCTGGGTTCAAGTGATTCTTCTGCCTCAGCCTCCTGAGTAGGTGGGATTACAGGCACCTGTCACCAAGCCCCGCAAATTTTTTCTATTTTTAGTACAGATGAGGTTTCACCACCTTGGCCAGGCTAGTTGTGAATTCCGGACCTCAGGTGATCCACCTGCCTCGGCCTCCCAAAGTGCTGAGATTACAGGCATGAGCCACTGCACCCGGCCTTTAATTTTTGTATTTGTAGTACAGACTAGTGTGTTCACCATGTTGGCCAGGCTGCTCTCAAACTACCGACCTCAGGTGATCCACCCGCCTCAGCCTCCCAAAGTACTGGCATTACAGGCGTGAGCCACTGCGCCCAGCCAACTACAATTTAAAAACTTAGCTGGGTGTAGTGGCACATGCCTGTAGTCCCAGCTACTCGGGAGGCTGAGGTGGGAGGATTGAATGAGCCTAGGAGGTCGAGGCTTCGGTGAACCATGAATGCAACACTGCACTCCAGCCTTTGGTGAACCATGAATGCAACACTGCACTCCAGCCTGGGCAACAGAGCAAGACCCTGTCATAAATGAATAAATTAATACATAGATACATGAATGAATGAAAAAATTTAATTTTTAACTTTGCTTAGGACCCATTAGTGATTTATGATTGCCCCTGGTTAAGCATGAGCAAACACATGATAGAAAAGAACTATTTTACTGGTATCCTATTATATCCATATATTCTGAAACCATGGGCCATCAGGAAATGTTTCATTACTTGGACTTAAAAAAAAAATACCACGCAGACTTTTTTGTTTTTTTTTTTGAGACGGAGTTTTGCCCTGTCACCCAGGCTGGAGTGCAGTGGCATGATCTTGGCTCACTGCAACCTCCACCTCCCAGGTTCAAGCGATTCTCCTGCCTCGGCCTCCTGAGTAGCTGGGACTACAGGTGCCCGCCACCACACCCGGCTAATTTTGTTTGTATTTTTAGTAGAGACGGGGTTTCACCATGTTGCCCAGGTTGGTCTCAAACTCCTGACCTCAGGTAATCTACCCGCATTGGCCTCCCAAAGTGCTAGGATTACAGGTGTGAGCCACTGTGCCTGGCCCCATGTAGACTTTTTAGAACTGAGTTTGCTTTCCTTTTTTTTTTTTTTTTTTTTTTGAGATGGAGTCTCACTGTCGCCCAGGCTGGAGTGGAGTGGCACGATCTCAGCTCACTGCCACCTCTGCCTCTTGGGTTCAAGTGATTCTCCTGCCTCAGCCTCCAAAGTAGCTAGGATTACAGGCACCCGCTACCATACCTGGCTAATTTTTATATTTTTAGTAGAGTCGAAGTTTCACCATGTTGGCCAGGCTGGTCTAGAACTCCTGACCTCAGGTGATCCACCTGCCTCGACCTCCCAAAGTGCTGGGATTACAGGTGTGAGCCACCGCGCCCAGCCTGCTTTCCATTTTTAAAAGATGGGAATACAAAATGCTAAGAGAATGGCCTGGGTGCGGTGGCTCACGCCTGTAGTTCCAGCACTTTGGGAGGCTGAGGGAGGTGGATCGCTTGAGCCCAGGAATTCAAGACCAGTCTGGGCAACATGGTGAGACCTCCTCTCCACAAAAATACAAAAATTAGCTGGGCACGGTGGCGCACACCTGTGGTCCCAGCTACTAAAGAGGCTGACGTGGGAGGATCACTTGAGACTGAGAGTTTGAGGTTACAGTGAGCTATGATCCAGCCACTGCACTCCAGCCTGGGTGACAGAGCAAGATCTTGTCTTAAAAAAAAAAATATATATATATATAAAAGGAAAGAGAAGTGGTTGTTTCCAGGTTTGAAAAATTTCACAGTATTATTTTAAGCTACAAGAGACATATGCCTAACTTCCTCCTTTTAGCAATCTCAAAACTACCCCATGTTTACTAAGCTCTTCCGTGGCCAGGTGGGGTGCTTTGGAAGCCCTAGAAGAGGTCATATGATGTTTTTTCCCCTCGGACTCACACATGTAGAGTAGGCACATACGTCCTGGAGCTGACTTAGGGTTGAGTCTTTTTCTTTTTTGGAGACAGAGCCTTGCTCTGTCGCCCAGGCTAGAGTGCAGTGGCACAATCTCGGCTCACTGCAACCTACGCCTCCCGGGTTCAAGTGATTCTTCTGCCTTAGCCTCCTGAGTAGCTGGCATTACAGGCATGGGATTACAGGCATGCGCCACCACACCCGGCTAATTTTTTTTTTTTTTTTTTGAGACGGAGTCTCGCTCTGTCGCACAGGCTGGAGTGCAGGGGCGCGATCTCCGCTCACAGCAAGCTCCGCCTCCCGGGTTCACGCCATTCTCCTGCCTCAGTCTCTCGAGTAGCTGGGACTACAGGCGCCCACCACCACACCCGGCTAATTTTTTGTATTTTTAGTAGAGACGGGGTTTCACCGTCTTAGCCAGGATGGTCTCGATCTCCTTACCTCGTGATCTGCCCGCCTCCCAAAGTGCTGGGATTACAGGCGTGAGCCACTGCGCCCGGCCCACACGGGGCTAATTTTTGTATTTTTAGTAGAGGCGAGGTTTCACTCTGTTGGCTAGGATGGTCTCCAACCCCTGGCCTCAAGCCAACCTCCTGCCTCTGCCTCCCAAAGTGCTGAGATTACAGGTGTGAGCCACCGAGCCTGGTCTGACTTGGGGTTGAGTCTTAAGGATGGGAAGGAGCTGGGCGCGGTGGCTCACGCCTGTAATACTAGCACTTTGGGAGGTCGAGGCAGGAGGATCGCTTGAGTCCAGGAGACAGAGACCAGCCTGGCCAACATCGTGAGATCCCATCTCTACAAAAAATAGTTAGCTGGGTGTGGTGGTGCACACCTGTAGTCCCAGCTACTTGGGAGGCTGAAGCAGGAGGATCGCTTGAGGCCAGCAGGTTGAGGCTGCAGTGAGCTATGACTGCACTACTGCACTCCAGCCTGGGGGACAGAGCAAGACCATGTCCCTTTTTTTAAAAAGGTGGGTTGGAAGAAGATCAACAGGGGGGCATAAGAGGAGAAAGGTGCTACCTCCCTGCCCAGGGGCAGCCAAGGAGGATCCGCCTCGGCCTTGCTCGCAGCCTCCTCTCACCTCCTTTCCTCCACTTCACCCCAGCCCCGGCGCCCCCATCGCAGCTCTCTCGCCTCAGCCTCCCTACCTGGGGTCCCCCCTTAGGGCTCTCTCCTCCGCCTCCTCCATCAGTCTGTGGGGTCCCTCCTCACCATCCTCCCTCCCTGTGAGGGTCTGTCTTCAGACCTTTCTTAGTATTTTGGATGTCTCTCTCAGCCTTCAGATCTTTTCCCGCAGGCCCAGCCTGCAGTCCGCCCGTTTCCCCCAGCCCGCTCCTTCGCTCTGCGGGGTCTCCTCCCTCAGTCCGCGGTATCCCCCACTCACCTCGCAGCCACTGTCTCTCCAGAGCTCGTTCGCGCTGGGCGCGGGGGCGGGGCGCGCACACCGGGCGGCGGCGGCGCGGGGCCGCGCGCGCAGCGTGCGCGGTGACGTCAGTGCGCTGGCGGCGGCGGCGGCGGCGGCGGCGGCGGCTGGGCTGTTTGTTCTGGTCTCCCGCAGCCGAGGAGCCGAAGCAGTGGCGGCGGCAGCGGCTGCGGCGGCTGCCGGCGGTGCCCGCGGGCGAGCGCGGCCTGTGAGCTCGGCAGAGCGGCGGGCGGGCCCCGGCGCCGCGCAGGCAGCTCGGGGAGGGGGCGGCGGCAGCGGGCGGACGGCCGGCGGGGGCGGCGTGCGGCCTAGCGTCTCAGGTGAGGACTGGTGCCCTTTGGGGCGGCGGACGACACTGGGCGGCTGGCGGAGGCTCGCGGCGCGGTCCGCGTAACCTGCATTGCGTAATGGGGCCGGGGCGCCGCCACCTACGCCATCCGCGCGGCGCGGGGGCGGGGAGGCCGGGGCTACGCGGGCTCGGGCCTGCGGGCCTCCCGCGCCGTTCGTTCCGGGCCGGGGCGGCCTGCGCCGTTGGTGTCGGGGCGGCGGGGTCGCTCGCGGCTGTCCTGCCTTTGGTGCCGTCGGACCCGGGCTTGGGCTGGCCGGCGGGGCGCGGGTGGGGGGCGCGGGCGCCGCGGCGGGGCCGGCGGTCGGGGGCGGGCGGGGGGCGGGCCGAGGCGCCCGGCACTTCCTGCCGCCGCCATTTTGTTAAGTGAGGAGGAGGAGGAGGAGGAGGAAGCGGCCGCCGCGGGGTCCGCGGCGCGCCCGGCCCGGGTAAGTCCCGGCCTGGCGCGGGGGCCGCGAGCGCAGCTGTCCCGGTCCGCGGTCCTCTAGGCGGGCTCGGCCGCGGCGCTCACGTGGGCCGGGGCCGGCGCGCTCTCCTTCTGGCACCCAGGTCGTTTTGCCTGGGCCGGGGCAGCGCGCCCCCACCCCCATCTCTTCACCTTCCCGGCGGTCCCCGGAGTGCTGCGGAGAAAGGGGCAGGTCCCCTGCGGAGGGAGGTGGCTGCGGCTGCACGCCGGTCTGAGGCCAGGCCTCAGGGCGGGAGCGGTGCCCTGGAGGCGAGCTTGGCCCGCTTGACGCACCCACTCTCAGCCTGGCAGCCCCTTGCTGGGCGCTTTGTTTTGCTCGGTCCGTGCTCGCCGGCGTCCTTGCAACGGCCTATTTTATTTGCAGTGTTGTGTGGTGGTGGTGATTGTGGTGATTTGGGGTGGGGATGTGGGGGAGTTGTGATTCAGCGAAATAAAATGATCCCCCTCCTCCCAAACGGAAATAGCATGGCTTCACTCGGCTGAGATGCCCCCAAGGCTTGGGTTTGCTTGAAGATGGGAAACCCCACTCTGTTGTAGTGGACGGTGTAAATACTTTAGTTCAGGCCGGTGCATGAGTCATGTGCTTCTCCTGGGTGGCTGACCTCCCTTTTACTCAAGACTACGCTTTGTTTTTTTAAGATTTTTATTTGCTTGTTTACTTGTTTACGTTTCGTGCAGCCTGGTGGGGTGTCTGGTCTTGGGTTCATTTCTCTGCGTGTGTGTTGGATGCTAGTGACCCCTTGGAATGTATGCCTCACGAGAATTGGAATGTCTTTGCTTACCTTCGACAGGGCTCTACCAGTCCGTGGTTCCAAAAACCAAGTCGCAGTTTACCTCGTAAGCCAGTGGCTCTTTGGGGCTGTAACAATGGTCGGGAGTTTTTTGTGAATGGAGCTGTCAAGTTCCCTACCGTCTTTGGAAGTTGTAAAGAAAGCGATACTCAAAAGGATTTATGAATGTGTTTTTAATTTCAAGAAAGTTTTTGATGGCACAATCTGTTTTATGATCTTGCCAATATATACATATACTTTTAGATGGAGTCTCGCTCTGTCGCCCAGGCTGTAGTGCAGTGGCGCGATCTCGGCTCACTGCAACCTCTGCCTCCTGGGTTCAAGCGATTCTCCTGTCTCAGCCTCTCGAGTAGCTGGGACTACAGGCGCCCGCCACCACATCTAGCTAATTTTTGCATTTTTAGGAGAGACGCGGGTTTCACCATGTTGGCCAGGCTGGTCTCGAACTCCTGACCTCAGGTGTTCCATCCTCCTCGGCTTCCCAAAGTGTTGGGATTACAGGCATGAGCCACCGTTCCCGGCCGCCAATAATTTCATAAAGCATTTATTTCGGTTTAATTTGGGTGGGGATTATGTTTTTTATCTTTTTATCTTATCACTGATGCGTTGTAGATAACCAAGCGCTTCCCCCCAAAAACTTCAGCCAGGGAAAGATAAACCACTCAGGGTTTCCATTGATCAAATGGAGAAGGCAAAGCCTAATCTGAAACAAAATGTATTGCTGCTCTGTTATCCACCATACCTCTTTCTTTGGTAGGAAACATAGTATCTTAAAGGCTCAAACTGGAGTTAGCCGGTCTCAGAATGGCTTTAGTTGGTCTTAATTGGAAGGAGTCGAGTCCACCTCCGAGTATCTTGCTAGCAGTCAGCCCAGTGGAATTGCTGAAGATAAGGAACTTTGCCTACGGATGAAAGATAAGAAGGTAGCTGCTGAGTTTTAAGGATTGTTTGGCTGTTCTGGGGTGCTATATGCCTAGCTTCGCTAGTCTGGAGGACAGCGAGGGAAAATTTTTAGCTAAGAATAACGAGAATCATTGGCCACTTAGTAACATTTCCACTAAATTATTGAATTGTTTAAAGGAATTTAGACTTTGTTTCTAAAAGTTGCCTTTTTGAGCCAGTTGTTGTGATCTTTGTACTAAATTGCACTTTTGCTTTAGGAGGTGGGGGTAACAATATTTTCTTGTTTCACAATTCAGGTTATTGAATGACTTCAGATTTACAGATTTAAGAGATTGAATTTTGTTTTGTTTTTATTTTTTATTTTTTTGAGAGAGTCTGAAGTCAGTCGACAGGCTGGAGTGCAGTGGTGCGATCTCGGCTCACTGCAACCTCTGCCTCCTGGGTTCAAGCGAGTCTCCTGCCTCAGCCTCCCGAGTAGCTGGGATTACAGGCACGCGCCGCCACGCCCAGCTAATTTTTGTATTTTTAGTAGAGACGGGGTTTCATCATATTGGCCAGTATGGTCTCGATCTCCTGATCTCGTGATCCGCCAGCCTCGGCCTCCCAAAGTACTGGGTTTACAGGCATGAGCCACTGCGCCCGGCCTGTTTTGTTTTTAAAGCAAAAAACCATTTGGCACCTCAGTGATTTGAAGACCCTGGGCTGTTAAATCTGCTTCTGACAACCTACTGTATAGTGTGTTGTATTTTGTGAATGTAAAATGTTTTGGTTTCTGATTTTGAATAAACTTGTAGAGTAGACCATGTTTGTCTTTATGTTCCTGGCAAATCTGTAAAAAGGAAAGATAAGCTTGTCATTGGAGCTCCTAATGTTTCATAAATCTTTGTGATTTTTGGTGTCTAGAAAAGAGTGTACATTTGCGAGGTGAGAATTGTGGGGAATTCCTTGCTGGTGCTGACATTTAATACATAAGAGATGAGTTTGGAAAGATAAAATTTCCTTGTTAACTTAAAAAAAAAAAAAGCAGAATGCGCCGGGCGTGGTGGCTCACGCCTGTGATCCCAGCACTTTGAGAGGCCGAGGCGGGCAGATCACCTGGGGTCAAAAGTTCGACACCAGCCTGACAAACATGGAGAAACCACGTCTCTATTAAAAATACAAAATTAGCCGGGCATAGTGGCGCATGCCTGTAATCCCAGCTACTCGGGAGGCTGAGGCAGGAGAATCGCTTGAACCCGGGAGGCGGAGGTTGCGGTGAGCCAAGGTCATGCCATTGCACTCCAGTCTGGTCAATAAGAGCGAAACTCCGTCCCAAAACAAAAAACAAAACCAGAATGTAAGTTGGATGAGGGCAGGGTTTTGTTTGCTTGGCTTTGCCTGTTTTATTCTGTTGTATCTTGTGCCTAGAAGAGCACCTTAAATAGTCTCAATGAATAAACGGGAGAAGTAATTGAGCAAGAATTTTGCATGCCGTAATGCCAAATGCAAATAATCCCGCTTTAAAAATGTTGTTAGCCGTGGACATAATTGTTCGGTAGTGACTTACAAGGAATGTGAGTTTCAACTAAGATAACGCTGGGGTCCCTCGGTGTTGTAGTAAACTTATTAGTCCGAGCAGCCTGGCATGCAGTGTGTTTCCATGCACTACTGGACATTTCCCACTTAGCAGTTTGAAGTGCGGTGAGTGGCTTTGCGCTGTGGTTCAACCCTGACCTGCCAAAAGTATTTTCAAGAGGGATATGAAGTGGGCAATAAACACATATGGGTAGCATTTCTTAATGTGAATCTCATGTTGTCAATAAAAACCTGTTAAGTTTTTTTTTAAACATTGAACACATTTTTAAATATTTTGATTTTATGTGTGCATGATTGGCCAATCTGTCTCTACAATTAGTCCTTGAGCCCTTACTATGTACAAGGAAAGACTGAAAGATATTTGTATAATGACTTTAATATGCGTAGTCTTTATTATTAGCGTGTTCATCCTCCACGTTTATTGAATATCAATTATGTATAATTTGAGCATACTATTATTGTAAAATCCTACCAAACATCTTTTTAAGAAAATAATAGCTTTGAGATAAACGTTGTTATACATGATACAATCATCAGTTTTTAAATGTATTTACAGAGATTTGCAGCCATCACTGCAACCAATTTTAGGACATTTCCACCCCCCCCCCCCAAAAGAAATCCATTACCTATCATTCCCCATGCTCCTGCCCACCCCCCGCCACTTTTGCCCCTGGAAGCCACTCATCTACTCTCTGTCTCTATGGATCTGCCTGTTATGGATATTTCAGGAATCCTACAATATGTAACCTTTTGTGCCTGGCATCTTTCACTCACTGTACTGTTTCCAAAAGGTTCTTGCTGTGTAGCATGAATCAGTACTTCATTCCTTTTTATAACTGAATGATACTCCATTATATGGCTATGCTACATTTTGTTTACCCATTCATTAGTGGTGAACATTTGGGTTGTTTTCACTTTTTGGCAATTGTGAATAGTACTGTTAAAAATACATTTGTGTACTTTTTTTTCTCTTTTTTTCTTTTTCGAGACGGAGTCTTGCTGTGTCGCCCAGGCTGGAGTGCAGTGGCACGATCTCAGCCCACTGCAGCCTCCACCCCCCGGGTTCAAGCACTTCTCCTGCTTCAACCTCCCAAGTAATTGGGATTACAGGCACCTGCCACCATGCCCGGCTAATTTTTGTGTTTACTATTTAGTAGAGATGGGGTTTCACCATGTTGGCCTGGCTGGTCTTGAACTCCGGAGCTCAAGTGATCCACCCACCTTAGCTTTCCAAAGTGCTGGGATTACAGGCGTGAGCCACCGCGCCTGGCCTTTTGCGTACAGGTTTTAGTTTCTCTGGGACAGATATCTGGGAGTGGAATTGCTGGGTCATATATCTATGTTTAAGTTTTTGAGGGTGCACAGCGACTTTTTAATGGCATTGATGTTTCTAGTACTTAGGTAGAATGGTTAAAAGCTTAGTGGGATACTGAGTAACTGTTTAAATGAATGAGGAAGTGGAACTGCAAGGATATCAGCATGTTGACATGTTGTATTCTGCCTTCATGGTTTGGTCACCGTTTGGTTTTTTACATTGTGCATGGTTACAGAACAGTTTGAAATGCTGCTCCATAGAGAACAGTCTCGGAGATGCACCCCAAACTTGCAGTTCCTTTATTGTAAAGGGTGATGTTTTAAAGCAGTTTGTTTTCAGTCTCGACAGGCTACCAACCTCAATTAAACCACGTGCACATGTCCTAGCATAATTCATGGAATGTAGTCCACTCTGAAGAAGCAGAGGAAGAGAGTTCTGAGTCAGGGTGAGGGCAGAGCAGCCGTCTGTCCCATTCTTGTCCTCGTCCTGAAGAGGAATAACATTGGTTGTTCCACATCATTTGAAAAGGAGATTGTAAGGCTTTTTCTTTAAACAAAAGTAGTGCATGGTCATTTTAAGGAATTTGGAAAAAGTAGAATGTTAAAATGATGGTTAAAAATGATCTCTTAATCCCATTTTCTTTCCTTCCAGTTATTTGTCTTTGTCTGAGTAACACAATTTGGTTGTAGTGAAGTTCTTTGTTTTTAATTTTAATTTTTATTTATTTATTTATTTTGAGGCAGAGTTTTGCTCTGTCACCTATGCTGAAGTCTTTGCTCTGTCACCCATGCAGAGACTGGCTCATTGCAACCTCTGCCTCCCCGGTTCAAGCCATTCTTGTGCCTCAGCCTCCCAAGTAGCTGGGACTACAGGCGCCCCATGCTGCCACACCTGGATAATTTCTTGTAGTTTTAATAGAGATGGGATTTTGCCATGTTGTCCCCACTGGTCTTGAACCTCTCGCCTCAAGTGATCTGCCTACCTCGGCGTCCCAAAGTGCTGGGATTAGGATTACAGGCATGAGCCACAGCGCCCGGCCTTTTTTTTTTTTTTTTTTTTTAATGCTACATTGTGAACATTTCCAAAATGTTTCGTTTTAACTGGCTGCTTAGCTGTCGTATGAATGTACCATAACTTAATTCTGCTATTTTTGGACATTTGGACATGATTTCCAAGTTTTCTTTTTCTTTCTTTCTTTTTTTTTTTTTTTTTTTTTGAGACGGAGTCTTGCTCTGTTGCCCAGGCTGGAGTGCAATGGCACGATCTCAGCTAACTGCAGCCTCTGCCTCCCGGGTTCAAGTGATTCTCCTGCCTCAGCCTCCTTAGTAGCTAGGATTACAGGCATGCACCACCACGCCCAGCTAATTTTGTATTTCTAGTAGAGACGGGGTTTCTCCATGTTGGTCAGGCTGGTCTGGAACTCCCGACCTCAGGTGATCCGCCCGCCTCAGCCTCCCAAAGTGGTGGGATTATAGGTGTGAGCCACTTCATCTGGTGTTTTCTCTTTTTTCATCTTTGAATTGGGAGGTGTATATTTTTGAAAACTTGATTTAACTTATTTTCTGGAAAGGTTGCATGTATTTCCATTTCTCCAATCAGAGCTTGACAGGGTCTTGTTTATAGGGGTGAGATTTTAAACATTTTTTCCCCCACAAATGATGATGTATGAAAACAAAATGTGTCTTTTTTAATGTGGTGAGAAGTAGAAGTGTCTCTAGGCTCTTGCCCTTTGACTTTTCTACCCTCTCCTGCCCAGAGTTGGACTTTGTTTCCTGAAATCAAGTCTCCTGACCCGGCAGTACGAGCCCAGTCCAGTCTTAACTGGAATGCTCTAGGGAGGGTGACCTTGGAGGGCTTGGGCAGCCTCTTGGCATCCAGTCCTATCTCATTTTTGCTGCCTTGCTCCAAAGACTGATAACACCAGTACGGCACATTCAGGCCTCGGTTAGAATCCTGGCCCTGCTACCTGCTGTGTAACATTCATTCTGTCACTCAGCCTTCCCAGAGCTTCATTGGCCCATCTTTCAGATGAGGTTAAAATGAGACAGTGCCTTAGAGGACACACAGCACAGGGCTTGGCAGCAGTGCTGTGCCCTCTCAAGGTTAGCTACTGCCGTCCTTGCCCAAGGTGAAGAATAGAAGTGGGAAGAGGAAGCCAGGGGTCAGAGTAGAGCTGCTGACAGCCAGGAGGTGCACCAGCTGATCCAGGGCATGGTACTGGGTGACACTACAGCCCACCAGGTGCCTTCCAGAGGTGCCACGTCTTCCAAGTGAGCTCTGAGTGGAGACCAGTGGAAGAGGTGCTTGAAAGAGGGATTGTGTTTGTTTTTATCTGATAATGAGATTAAGAGCAGTGATAATGGGATTAGTGGAGGTGCAGCAGCTTTGGGGGCATCCACCCTGGGATGTTTGCTGCAGAGTTTGGGGAAATGATCCAGCAGGGGAAGCTGGCTCAGTGTATCCTCAAGCCTAAAATGTAACTTACCCATCTTATGAAAACCTGGTTATCTGAACACAAAGACTTGGTCAGGGAGCCAGAAGGCACTGGTGGGCCAAAGTTTTTCCAGAACACTGGAACATCTTTCCATACCTTTCTGGCCTCCATTGGCTCTGATTCTGATTGTATTGGCATCTGGGCTTGGTGAAAGGATTCTGGTCCCCAGGAAGGTGTAAGGTCTCCCTGGAAAAGTTTGGTAGAGTAATTTTGGCAGCTGGATGTGTGGAGGTCCTGACTGGGAGTCTGGCATACTGCCGATCGACTTTGGGCCTTTTGACCAGAAGAACCAGTTAAGTCCAGTTACTTACTAGGCGTCATTGGGATCCGGTTCCACAAAGGTTGCCTTTTGCTTGTGTGAAATGCAATTGAAAGATATATTTTCTTTAGAGGTTGGTCACATAATCTAAGCATTAGCTTCAAATTAAGAGAATGTGAATAAATTTGACATTTGTTCTATTTTTCGTTTATCCTAGGTGTAGACAGTTGTGTGATCCTTCCCCTTCCCCCCTCCCCAGGCATGTGTTAGCCTGTTCTGCCCAGTGTAGGAAGTTTCTGGGACCTTGGGCTGTGGCAGACAGCATTGGTTGGGCTTGGGTGGAGCCGTGTACCAGAGCAGGAGAGGAGAGAGAACACCATGGAGTTCACTGTTGGGTGCAGTCCCAGCCCCACCCCCTTCTGGCCTTGACCTCAGGGGAGTTACATCGTCTCCATAAGCCTCAGTTTTCTCTTCTGTAAAATGGGATCAGTGTGCCTGCACAGTGACAAAAGGGGGACCATGTGGGTACTGACCTGGGCCTCATGTCTAATTGTATAAAGATGCCTGGGACTGTTGAGAAAGATGGGGGCCGAGGAGTGCTGGCTTTGCTTTCTGCCTGAAAAAGTGTGAGAAATGCTATCCAGGCCCTTCCTACTTAGTATGTGTGGTCACCTTCCTTGTCTTGGTCTCCACTCAAGGCTGAAACTCTTTATTTGTTCCTAGCTGCTGTTAGTCAGGAGACACTGGTACATTGTCAGCCAGCACCAGGGGAGAGGTGTTGGGCTTGGTATTACACAATTTTCAGAAACGTGAATTAGTAATTCTCGTGTCCTTGTGTGTTGCTAATGTCTGCAGTTGTTCCTTCTCAGGCAGTAACACATACATGTCTATGGGTGGATTAGCCTTCAAAGTTTTGTTTTGTGTAAAGAAAAGGGAAGAGGGTGAGAAAAATTTGGGGACTTCATACTTGAAAATTTTCCATGCTGTTTGAGGAAACATATTTTGTGGGAGCAGATCATTATCATGAGAGTTGAAACAAAAAAACTACATGGAGGTGGAACCTGCCAGCCCAGTGGTGGATGCCAGTCTGGGCCATACTGGGCTGCTGGGGCACACTCAGCAGGGGACATCTGCCTGTGTCCTTGGACCCGTTGCCTAACCACTCTAGCCTCAGTTTTTCATATATAAAGTAGGGCGCATAGGTTTTGATTCCAGAGAAATTTGATCAGAATCTGGATTTTAAGAGAGAGCAGTTCTTTTTTTTTTTTTTTTTTTTTTTTTTAAAGAGATGGAGTCTTGCTGTGTTGCTCAGGCTGGACTTGAACTTCTGGGTTCAAATGATCCTCCTGCCTCAGCCTCCCAATTAATTGGAAGAAAATAATTCTTTGTATTTTTGTTTGTTTGTTTGTTTGAGGCAGAGTCTCACTGTGTCACCCAGGCTGGAGTGCAGTGGTATGATTTCAGCTCACTGAAAGCTCCACCTCCCAGGTCCACGCCATTCTCCTGCCTCAGCCTCCCAAGTAGCTGGGACTACAGGCGCCCACCACCACACCCGGCTAATTTTTCTTTTCTTTTCTTTTTTTTTTTTTTTTTGGAGACAGAGTCTCTCTCTATCTCCCAGGCTAGAGTGCAGTGGCGCAGTCTCAGCTCACTGCAAGCTCTGCCTCCCAGGTTCACGCTATTCTCCTGCTTCAGCCTCCCAAGTAGCTGGGACTACAGGCACCTGCCACCATGCCTGGCTAATTTTTTTTTTTTTTTTTTTTGTATTTTTTAGTAGAGATGGGGTTTCACTGTGTTAACCAGGATGGTCTTGATCTCCTGACCTCGTGATCTGCCTGCCTCGGCCTCCCAAAGTGCTGGGACTACAGGCGCCCGCCACCACGCCTGGCTAATTTTTTTTTTTTTTGTATGTTTTAGTAGAGACGGGGTTTCACCGTGTTAGCCAGGATGCTCTCGATCTCCTGACCTCGTGATCCACCCGCCTCGGCCTCCCAAAGTGCTGGGATTACAGGCGTGAGCCACTGCGCCTGGCTTTCTTTGTGTTTTTAAAACCATGGGTCATGGCATGGCTTGAGGGAGGAGAATGGCGTGAACCCGGGAGGCGGAGCTTGCAGTGAGCCGAGATCGTGTCACTGCACTCCAGCCTGGGCGACAGAGCGAGACTCCATCTCAGAAGAAAACAAAACAAAACAAAACAAAACCATGGGTCATGAAACAAATATGGTGGATTGCAATTGGTGTATAGGGGAGAAAAGGGAAATGTCAGAGGGTGTCACAATTTTCAAGGATATTTCATAAAACCTTTGCTTTGATCTTAGGTGTTGTGTACATGATAAAATGTGTTTCTTATGGGGGGGTCATGTCAGAGGAGTTGAATTACATTGGTTTCCATGCTACTTGATGGCAATTGTGAATACCTTGATTTGTGTGTGTGTGTATGTATGTGCCATTTTGTGATCTGTTTCTTTGTCATTTGCCCAATGATGACTGTCCTGGATATGCTTTCTAGTAGCAGGTGAAAGCATGGATCTTTAGTTTCGTTTCTTCCCTGTACCCACTGTGTTTTAGAAGCTTTGTAGGGGGTAGGGTGAGGGAAGTTGGAGAAGCATGGAGTGGTGAAGGTCTAGTAGTTTGCCACAGGTGAAACAAGAAGTATGTAGAGTGTCATTTGTGTGCATGTGTGGTAAGCTACTTGTCGATTATTCTCAGATGTTATTCTCCTAACTTTATTCAGATGACTGTGAGGAAATGGTTGTATTACTTATGTCTTTCTCTGGTATAAATAAACAAAATTAGCTGAAACAGAAGGGAGTTTGTTGCCTGATGCAACATGAGGCTCAAGAGTAGTTGAATCTAAGGGCTCCACAATGACTTCAGTACTTGTTCTTTATCACTAATGTTCTGACCTCAAGGTCAAGAGTGAGTCTTCCCAGTAGTGCTTTCTGATGGCAGTGGATTCTAGGTTGGATCATTGCCCATCTCTGACCATGTGCAGAATGGGAATGCTTAACTGGCTTGCCTCAAGCATGGCGCCTGTAGCTGGTCTCTGCCCTCCATTCCCTCAACCCAAGTGGTAGCTCCAGCAGCATCTCGCTTGTTGATAAGAGGCATGCTAGATGGGATGCTTTGTCCAATGGACAGAGTCCCCTCCCTCTTTCCCTTCCTTCCTTCCTTCTTTCTCTTTTTCTTTTTTCTTTGTTTTCTTTCCTTTCTTTCCTTTCCCTTTCCCATTCTTTCTTGATGGAGTCTCGCTCTTTCGCCCAGGCTGGAGTGCAGTGGCACCATCTCGGCTCACTGCCTCCTGGGTCAAGCAATTCTCCTGCCTCAGCCTCCCGAGTAGCTGGGATTAGAGGCATGCGCCACCATGCCCGGCTAGTTTTTGTATTTTTAGTAGGGGCAGGGTTTCACCCCGTTGGCCAGGCTGGTCTCAAACTCCTGACCTCAGGTGATCCATCCGCCTTGGCCTCCCAAAGTGTTGGGATTACAGGCGTGAGCCACTATGCCTGGCCCAGAGTCCTATACTAAAAGTAAAATGTACCCCCGAACTTGGAGCAAGAAATTATGGATGGCTGAAAGGAGGTTTCCATACTAGTTTGTAAACCAGAATTAGTGGAAAACAGTTCAGAATTGAGTTACTCACAAAGGGTAGAATGAAGATAGTTAAGGATGTGTGTATCCCAAATATTTTCGTAGAAGATGAAATGAAAGACACTGTGTATCTTACCTGTGTCAGGCATAGAAGGAGCTCTGGGAGAAGTCAAGCCAAGTCTCAGGAGTTACTTGGGTGGGCTGAATGATCCAGTTTGGCGGGAAAACAGCCCTGAAGGGAGCACAGGAGTGAGACCAGCTTAAAGTGTTCAGGAAAATCTTGGATAAGAGACCAGGTAGATATAAAGTTTAAATAAATGCTTACAAGATTGAAATTGTGTTTATCACATTAGGTCTCTCTTCCATATAAATAACAAGTTGTTATTTATATAACTTATGTAATCTGTATGGTATATTGTTATTACTAGTAACTATTGTTAGTTCAGGAGACTGGATTCATCTATCTTCCGTGCCTGCAAAAGGTACAGTTGTAATTTTGCTATTTGCTAAGCTATTTCCATACTCAAGTTCTCGTAGTCTGCTGCTTGGCATTCCTCAAGCATTACGAAAAGCCTCCTCAGATTTCCATAATCAAAAACAAGTGTTAAGTTCTACTGTAATAATCGTTTTCCTACAGTTCTCACTGTTGGAAATATTATTCCTTTAGGAGACACAAAATAATTGAGTCTAGTGGCTAAGAATGGGACTGACCCTGCTTCTCTCTAGATCATCACTCCTTAAGAGGAGGCTGGAGGTCTCCTTGAGTATGCTACAGATGCTTTGGATCCTCTCTCCACAAAAATGCACATAGGCATAAACATTGAACTCTAAAGACCAGGTACCAGAATGAATTTCCTGATTTTACTCTGTGGAAGAAAAATTTATTACGATGTTGGTTAAAGGGCTATTGATGGCTTTTTTGTTTTGTTTTGTTTTGGAGGTAGAGTCTCACTGTGTTGCCCAGGCCGTAGTGCAGTGGCATGATCACAGCTAACTGTAGTCTCAGCCTCCCCAAACTCAGGTAATCCTCCCACCTCAGCTTCCTAAGTAACTGGGCTACAGGTGTGGGCCACCACACTCATCTAATTTTGGTATTTTTTTGTAGAGACGGGGTTTCACCATGTTGCTTAGGCAGGCTGGTCTGGAGTCCTGGGCTTAAGCAGTTCATCTGCTTAGGCCTCCTAAAGTGCTGGGATTACAGGCGGAGCCACTTCACCCTGCCTCTTGATGGTTTTGAATACTTTTTATTTTTATTTTTTAAGACAGGGTCTTGCTCTGTTGCCCAGGCTGGAGTGCAGTGGCATGATCTTGGCTCACTGCAGCTTTGACCTCCCAGGTTTAAGTGATCCTCCCACCTCAGCCTGCTGAGTAGCTGCAACTACAGGTGTGTGTCACCATGCCTAGCTTATTTTTATTTTTTGGTACGAGGTCTCACTTTGTCATCCAGGCTGGAGTGCAGTCATTCACTGTAGCATCGGCCTCCTGGCCTAGGTGATCCTCCTACTTCAGCCTCCCAGGTAGCTGGGACTACAGGTGTGAGCCACCATGCCCAGCTAATTTTTTGTATTTTTGTGGAGATGGGGTTTCACCATGTTTCCCAGGCTGCAACTCCTGGGCTCAAGTGATCTGCCCACCTTGGCCTCCCAGAGTTCTGAGATTACAGGTGTGAGGCACCGCTCCCAGCCTTTTTTTTATTTTTTGAAGGGACGAGGTCACACTATGTTGCCCAGGCTGGTCTTGAACTCCTGAACTTGAGCAAGCCTCCTGCCTTCTTTGTCTCCCAGACTGCTGGGATTACACAGGTGAGCCACTGTGCCAGGCTGGTTTTCACATGTATCTTACTTTTCTAGACATTTACAACTTTATGACTTGGAAACAGGGTGGATCACCCATTTTGGTTTGTCCTTGCAAAAATCCTCCAGAGGTTTCACAGAGTTGTCAGGTAACGTGTCAACAGTGATGTGAACCTTCCCAGGGCCCCTGTGCCCCCAACTTTGTCAGCCTGTGCTCTTTCCTGGGGATAAGGAATTTGAGAATGTACCAGAATGGGTCTGTTGCAAAGGCCGCAGATGAGGGTCTTGGAACTAGGGCTCTACACTGAAGCTGCTGCTGTTTGTAAACTGTCTCCATGATTTGCTGTTGGTATGGAGCCTTTGCTCCAGAAGGTAACTGAATGGTTCCTAGCCAGCCTCATTATTTATGTGGTAGTGTTGGATGTGGGTAGGCTTACAAGATTTATGCTGTGGTCCCTTACGTGGCTTAATGTGTGCCCTGTGCTGCGGGACATTTGCTTACGCATGCACTGGAACCTGCAGATTGAGGAAGAAAGCTTGTGGGAAACTACCATTCTTCAGCATGACATGCTTACGTTTAGGGATATCGACATGCTACACCAAGCAGTGTACACAGTGCCACTCTCTTTCTCCTCACATCCTTGTCTGGTGGAAGGAATAGGAAATATAATACCATAAACTTGAATAATTCATACTTCTGTAATTGGGGCAGAGTTGAGTCAGAGGATGGAAAAGAACTCTTATTACTTCTAAGAATAGCACCTATTACAGACTCCTTCACCCCCCCGCCCCAATCTCTATAGTTTGAAGATTAAACTTGTATGTGCCAATGGATGTTTTCCCTCATTCATGTACCATTGGTCTTGGCTTTTATTAATCCCATTTCTCTGCTCAGTTGAATTGCAGTCTTACTGTACAGGCATGATTTTTGTAACTTAAGCAGTTTCCCCTTTCTATTTTGTAATTAAGAGAAATAAGATCATGTGCGTGAAAGAGTTCTGTGAAAGGTGGTGCTATCTGTGTGTAGGTTGTTTTCATTTGTAATCTTCATTAAAAATTACTTGGCTCTGAAGCACTTTCAGTTATAAAAAGCTGCCAAGTAATAGAGTTGTGTGTGTATGAGACTCTTCATATGTTTTCCTTTTGACAGTAGGAAACCATTCAGCTGACAGATTAGCTGCCTGGAAATAATACCACCTTCGTGTTCATCTTTTTCAAAATAATAGCTCAGCTATCTGTAATCCCAGGAATGCAGTTTTAAATTACCAGTGTTAGAGCGGTCTCTCTATTGGGCCCTTTTGAGTTGCGTAGCATGCTGCCTGCAGCTTGCTTATCCTCAGTCTTTAGGCCTGTCTGCTCTGGTAACTGATGTCCTTTGCACTTGTGAGAGCTGGTTTACCCTTTCTGGCCTGTGTCTCTTTCCCCTGACCTTCCTGACCACCACCACCACCACCACCACCCCTTGCCCACCACCCCCCACTCCCATTGTTCACCTTAAAGCAGTCCTTATCTTTGTTGACTCTGAAAAGTTCAGGGTTTGTAGCAAATAGCTGCCTATGAATAGGCTTCCCTGTAAAGTATAAAACTACATTTTCTGACTGGATGCTTGACATCTTCCTTAATTTTTTTCTATTGCTTACTGCATGCCTGTTTTAAAGTGGTGGAGCCAGACATCCATCAGTCCAGTTTCTGTGTCAACCATGATGCTGTAGGGAGCTGCAGACTTGGTCACTTCACTGCCACATTGCCCTCCCCAGACCCTGAGCTTGAGCACACTGCTGCTGATTGTTCTGTTTTAGCGAATATTTCTAAGCCTCTACGCATTCCTTAAGTCCTCAGAAAACAACCATATACACTGGGCACTAGTATCATCCCGGTTTGCAGATACGGAAGGTGGTGCTTGGAGAGCTGTCACTTGGGCAGGGTTGCAGGGTCACAGAGTTGGTAAGTACTTGGAGCACTTGTGTCCAGAGCCCACTAGCTCTTGTCTGCTGTGGCATAAGCTGTGGGAGTCCACCATATTCAGCTTTGTTCTCAGTGAACTCAGATGGTTTGGATGATACGTAGTGAGCACAGGGTAGAGCTCAGAAGTGCTTTCCAAGATGTCCAGGCAAGGCAGCCTGAGAGGGAGGAGACCTTCCAACTGGGAGCATAGGAAGGGGGCTAGCATTGAGTCTGGTTCTTCAATGAGGACAGCAGAGGTTTGGAAAGAGACCTGGACAGGTCTGAAAGCAAGTACCTGTCCCTTGGAGGTGCTCACCAGTGTGAGGGGATGATCAGAAGAGGGATGCAGAATGCTGACTGGACAGGTCTCCTTTTCACCCAGACATCTGGTCAGTAAAAACAGTGCTTCCCTCCTGAGGAGTTTCTCATGAAGACATTCACAAGAGTGGAATTTAACCTCATCTTCAAAAAGTTTCCGCTAGAGAACCAAGTTGCCTTGATTTGGTTTCACTTCTATTTTTTCTTTTTCTTTTTCTTTTTTTTTGAGATGGAGTTTGGCTCTTGTTGCCCAGGCTGGAATGGAATGGTGTGGTCTCAGCTCACTGCAACCTCCGTCTCCCAGGTTCAGGTGATTCTCCTGCCTCAGCCTCCTGAGTTGCTGGGATTACAGGCATGCGCCACCATGCCCGACTGTTTTTTTGTATTTTTATTAGAGACAGGGTTTCACCACGTTGGCCAGGCTGGTCTCGAACTCCTGATCTCAGGTGATCCACCGCTCCGGGCCTTCACTTCCATTTATCCTTTTGCTACTCAGAGCAAGTCTGGGAATATAGAAGCGGGATGGTTGGGGGGAAGTAAGTAAACTGGAGTGTGTCTTTAGTCCAGGTGCCCCAGGCTTGTTAAAATTATGGTGTGAACTGGATACTCTTTCAGGATTATGGTGAGCTTCTCAGTCTTTTTTTTTTTTTTTTTTTTTTTTTGAGACGGTGTCTCGCTCTGTCGCCCAGTCTGGAGTGCAGTGGCGCGATCTCGGCTCACTGCAAGCTCTGCCTCCCGGGTTCACGCCATTCTTCTGCCTCGGCCTCCCAAGTAGCTGGGACCACAGGCGCCCGCCACTACGCCCGGCTAATTTTTTGTATTTTTAGTAGAGATGGGGTTTCATCGAGTTAGACCAGGATGGTCTTGATCTCCTGACCTCGTGATCCGCCCGCCTCGGCCTCCCAAAGTGCTAGGATTACAGGCATGAGCCATGGCGCCCGGCCGCTTCTCGGTCTTGAGGTGCTTTTTTTTGAGACAGAGTCACCCAGGCTGGAGTGCAGTGGTGTGATCTCAGCTCACTGCAGCTTCCACCTCCCGGGTTCAAGTGATTCTCATGCCTCAGCCTCCCAAGTAGCTGGGACTACAGGCGCCGGCCACCACGCCCGGCTGGTTTTTTTGTATTTTTAGTGGAGATGAGGCTTCACTATATTTTCAGACTGGTCTTTAACTTCTGATCTCAAGTGATTCACGTGCCTGGTCCTCCCAACATGCTGGGATTACAGGCGTGAGCCACCATGCCCGGCCCTTGAAGTGCTGCTTACTGTAGGGTAGAATTGAGTTCTAGCTCATGGGTGCTTCCCCCCCCCAATCCCCTTAAGGATTCTGTTTCCAAGAGAATTTCCTGCCTGCCTCAGGCACACCAAGTGGAACTCGGTCAACATCCATGTCCAATGCGTGTGCTGGATGTACTTGGTAATCAGACACTGTTCTGCATTCACTGCAGACATGACAGTGAGTGAGGCAGGTGTTTCAGGGATCCTAATGTCTCCGGTGGTGATTGTTGCACAAGATCCTAATACCCCTGTGCTAGAAAGGTGGTGATTCATTTAACAGGTGTGCCCTGAAGGATTTTACTTTTACATCTTTTCTTTGACTTCGTAAAATGACACGTGATCTCATTCAGTAGGAAATTGGCTCTGAATACCTGTGGGGGGAAAAAAAAAACAAAGCCAGTCCAGAGAAAATGGTAGAAGTGGTTAAACTCCACGCACAGTGCTACTAGTAAGCTAGTTGAAAAGTACACAATCAAAATAGAATAGATGACTACAGCATGATTATGCTACCCTGAAACCGCACTGCATATAGGATAAGACCTACACTCCTGTCATGTAGCACCCTGGGCTCCTGGGTTCTGTGACACACTGTTGCCTCATTCCGTTCATTTGATTCTTCTTCCAGACATCCCCCCAAACTCCATTTCCTCCATCTTCCAAGGTCTGGTCTAGACCTTACTTATTTTACAGTGTATTACCCAATTTCCAAAGCAGTGCTGTCCAGGGGGACTTTCTGCAGTGTTGGGACTGTTCTGCAGCTGGGTTATCCAGCCTGGTAGCCACTGTCCCCTGTGGTAAGTGGGCCTTTGAAGGGGGCTTGGAACACTCAGTAGGGCTGTTGTCACCCTGTTTTGACAGGTTTTAGAGAAAATGGGGTCACTTTAGTTCCTTGACCATGTGGAGCTTGTCGACATCCTCATGGATGCTGTCATTGAAGCGGTTGGATGTGCAAGCCTGGAATGCAAGGGTGGATCTAGACCAGACTTGGGGGCATTGGGCATCTCCAGGAGGATGGATGTGAGGGCTCCTCCCAATAGGACGTCGGAAATAAGAGTCCCAGCAGGGTCCCAGACTTGAGAAAGCCAGGCCCCTGTGTAGTAAGAACACAGATTAGTGAATTTGCTTTAATCTGGGGAATGGTGAAGGGCTTTTCTTTCCAAAACAATGTGTCCTAGAGTGAACTCTAGTGACCTAGATAAGTATCATGTTTAATAGTTTTGTCCTCTGTTCTTGGAGGCTAGAAAATTTCCCACTTCTCTTTGGAATTTGCTTTGTCTGACATCTTTCATTTCATTCATTCTATGCGTCCACACCCTCACGTCCTCCATTTTGTGAGCAGGGTTTTGGGAGCAGGACTGGCTCATTTTGGCACATTATATTTGTGTGTGGAAAATGTGAAGTGCGAACGAAAGTTCAAGCACATACTCAAGGCTGAGCTGTGGTACTAGAAGGTGCCAGTGGTGGGTCCACCTGGAGTGAGTCAAGCAGTGGTTGAGGTGACTTGAAAATATCCCCTATCGATGGTTCAGGCAGGATAGCCCCTGAGTTCCTAAGGCAGAGATTCTTAAATTTGGTCTGTGTAATCTTCCCTCTCCCTCATCATGGAGTTTTTCCGGCAAGCACTTGATGTTTCTGGTTATTGAGCAGTTACTTGTGCTGAGTGCCAGGGATTGTCTGGGTGCTGGAGGTCAGCGGTAAGCAAGGTGGATGATGCACACCCTCCTGCCTGCCCATTAGTTCATGTGCTAGGAGACTGCAGGGCAAGTGATGCAGCCTGCTTGGCTTTTACTCCATGATTACAGATTATGAAATATAAATATTAATACATTAAACAGTTCTTACTAAATCATTACATTCACACTTTTTTTGAGATGGAGTTTTGCTCTTGTTGCCCAGGCTGGAGTGCAGTGCGCAATCTCGGCTCACTGCAACCTCCGCCTGCCGGGTTCAAGCAATTCTCCTGCCTCAGCCTCCTGAGCAGCTGGGATTACAGGCACCCACCACCACGCCCGGCAAATTTTTTTGTATTTTTAGTAGAGACAGGGTTTCACCATGTCAGCCAGGCTTAGTCTTGAACTCCTGACCTCAGATGATCCACCCGCCTCGGCCTCCCAAAGTGCTGGGATTACAGGCATGAGCCACCGCTCGGCCTTTTTTTTTTTTTTTTTTTAAAGATGGAGTCTTGCTTTGTTGCCCAGGCTGGAGTGAAGTGGCACGATATTGGCTTACGGCAAGCTCCGCCTTCCGGATTCACACCATTCTCCTGCCTCGGCCTCCCAAGTAGCTGGGACTCTAGCTGTCCGCCACCACGCCCGGCTAATTTTTTGTATTTTGAGTAGAGAGACGGGGTTTCACCGTGTTAGCCAGGATGGTCTCGATCTCCTGACCTCGTGATCCGCCCGCCTCAGCCTCCCAAAGTGGTGGGATTACGGGCGTGAGCCACCGTGCCCGGCCACAATTCACACTTTTTTTTTTGAAGACAGGGTCTCCCTCATCCAAGCTGGAGTGCAGTGGCACAGTCTTGGCTCATGGCAACCTCCACCCTCCAGTCTCAAGCTATCCTCTCACCTCAGTCTCCTGAGTAGCTACGCCTGACATCTTTGTTTTGTTTTGAGAGTCTCGCTCTGTCACCCAGGCTGGAGTGCAATGACATGACCTCCGCTCACTGCAACTTCTGCCTCCCGGCTTCTAAGCAATTCTCTTGCCTCAGCCTCTGGGGTAGCTGGAATTACAGGCACGCGCCCCCACGCCCGGCTAATTTTGTATTTTTAGTAGAGATGGGGTTTCCCCATGTTGGCCAGGCTGGTCTAGAACTCCTGACCTCAGGTGGTTCACCTACCTCAGCCTCCCAAAGTTCTAGGATTGCAGATGTGAGCCACCGTGCACAGCCTGTTTTTGGTTGTTGTTTGATTTGACGGATTTTCACTCCTGTTGCCCAGGCTGGAGTGCAATGGTGCGATCTCGGCTCACTGCAACTTCCGCCTCCCGCGTTCAAGCAATTCTCCTGCCTCAGCCTCCTGAGTAGCTGGGATTACAGGCGCACACCACCACGCCCAGCTAATTTTTTGTATTTTTAGTAGAGACGGGGTTTCACCATGGCCAGGCTGGTCTTGAACTCCTGATCTCAGGTGATCTGCCCGCCTCGGCCTCCCAGAGTGCTGGGATTACAGGTGTGAGCCACCGCACCTGGCCCCTTTTTTGTACTTTTAGTAGAGATGGGGTCTCACCACATTGCCCAGGCTGGCCTTGAACTCCTGAGTTCAAGCAATGTGCCTGTCTTGGCCGCTCAAACTGCAGGGATTACAAATGGGAGCTACAAGCTACTGTGCCTGGCCGATGCTTGCTTTTATTAGTAGTAGGTGTTTATTGAACACTTGCTTTGTGTGGCATTTCATTTGACCCAGCCCTGTGAGGGCATTTTCCCATGTTAGTATTGAGGAATGTCGGCTGAACCCATTTGCCTACATGCACACGCATGTGTTTCAAAACATAAAATGCAACATCCTAACCATTTTACAGTGTAAACTATATGCATATTGTCGTGCAGCAGATCACTAGAAAGTTTTCATCTTGCAAAGCTGACACTGTATCCTTCGAATAACTTCCTTTTCCTTCTTTCTCCCAGCCTGTGGCAGCCAGTCTTCTACTTTCTGTTTCTATGAGTTTGACTACCATAGTTATTCATATAAGTAGAATCAGACAGTATTTTTTGTTTGTTGAGTATTTTTCGTTTGTTTGTTTGAGATGGAGTTTCATTCTTGTTGCCCAGGCTGGAGTGCAATGGCGCGATGTTGGCTTACTGCAATGTCTGCCTCCCGGGTTCAAGTGATTCTCCTGCCTCAGCCTCTCAAGTAGCTGGGATTACAGGCACCCGCCACCATGCCTGGCTAATTTTTTTTTTTTTAATGTATTTTTAGTAGAGACAGGGTTTCATCATGTTGGCCAGGTTGGTCTTGAACTCCTGATCTCAGGTGATCCACCCACCTCTGCCTCCCAAAGTACTGGGATTACAGGCGTGAGCCACTGCACCTGGCCGATTCAGACAGTATTTAGAATTTTGTTACTGGCTTACTTCACTAAGCATAATAACCTGTTCTCCAGGTCCATCCGTGTTGTAGCATGTCAGAATTCCACTCCTTTGTTGATGGAGTTGGGTTGCTTCCACCTCTTGGCTGTTGTGAATAATACAGCAGTGAACATGAGTGTGCAAATATCCACCTGCCTACTGTTTTTTGTTTTTTTGTTTTTTTTTGAGACAGAGTTTCGCTCTGTTGCCCAGGCTGGAGTGCAGTGGCACGATCTCGACTCACCGCAACCTCCGCCTCCTGTGCTCAAGCAATTCTCGTGCCTCAGCCTCTCAAGTAGCTGGGACTACAGGCCCCTTGCCACCATGCCTGGCTAATTTTTGTATTTTTAATACAGACAGGGTTTCGCCATGTTGGCCATGCTGGTCTCAAACTCCTGGCCTCAAGGGATCCACCTGCCTCGGCCTCCCAAAGTGCTGGGATTACAGGCATGAGCCCCTGCTCCTGGCCATCTTGCTTACTTTTTGAACACATGTTAGAACTAAGAACGTGGGTGCGGAAGCCTGCTGAGGGGCTTTAAATTCCCCATATCCTGCCTCCACACGGAAACTGATTTTGGGGATGGATATTGGGCATCGGTGAAGAGTAGGCACAAAGGTACGGGAGATGGTTCAAACAGTGGTGCAGCCAGGTGTCTTTCAGGACTGCCTAAAGGACTGTTTAAGGCCAGGCACGGTGGCTCATGCCTGTAATCCTAGCACTTTGGGAGGCCGAGGCAGGTGGATCACCTGAGATCAGGAGTTTGAGACCAGCCTGGCCAGTATGGTGAAACCCCGTCTCTAATAAAAACTATAAAAATTGGCCAGGCGCGGTGGCTCACGCCTGTAATCCCAGTACTTTGGGAGGCCGAGGCGGGCGGATCACGAGGTCAGGAGATTGAGACCTCCTGGCTAACACGGTGAAGTCCTGTCTCGACTCAAAATAGAAGAAATTAGCCAGGCGTGGTGGTGGGCACCTGTAGTCCCAGCTACTGAGGAAGCTGAGGCAGGAGAATGGCGTGAACCCGGGAGGCGGAGCTTGCAGTGAGCCTAGATCGCGCCACTGCACTCCAGCCTGGGCCACAGAGTGAGACTCCTTCGGGGGGGGGGGGGGGGGGGGGGAATCCAAAAATCAGCCGGACATGGTGCCATGCTCCTATAGTTCCAGTCACCCAGGAGGCGGAGGTTGCAGTGAGCTGAGATCACGCCATTGCACTTCAGCTTGGTCAACAAAGTGAGACTCTCTTTCAAAAAAAAAAAAAAAAAAGGACTGTTTAAAAATGGATTGGATCTCACCCTTTCATCAGCTCCCAGGGGACTCATCCTATCAGTGGGCTTCTCACTCCTACCCACTTTGTACAATGATTTCCACAGCAAGTAGTTTCTGTCTTGATGTCACCTTGAAAAGGCTCACAGAATTAACATTTCTCTATGCATTGCCTCAGAATGTAACCACAAAAGCTTGGGTTTTGGAATGTTTTAAGTGCGAGGGTGCTTACCAACTCTTGAGCAGACAGAGAACAGGTGAGAGGAGCCCCCGGTGAAGCCAGATTGGCAAGCTCTGCCTCTCTCCGCACTCAGTGTTCTGTGACTTGTGCCTGGATGACTTGATTGCTTTGTCCTTCACTCCGGCACAGT
Source organism: Homo sapiens (assembly GCF_000001405.40). NCBI lineage: Eukaryota > Metazoa > Chordata > Mammalia > Primates > Hominidae > Homo > Homo sapiens. The sequence continues at coordinate 15,309,842 of NC_000019.10, read as the reverse complement.
GATTCTTGGGTACAGTACCTCAGTCCTTGGAAGGGCAGCATGGAGCCTCAGAATTGATTGCCACACTACCCGGTTTGCTCCTTGAGAAGGAAACATCTTTGATTCCCCTCCCCTACCCCCAATTTCAGAAAATCTGGTTGTATCCTTAGAAATGACACTATCCGTTCATCAGTTCATGGATATTTTGGTTTCTAGTTTTTGGCTCTTATGAATAATACCTCTGTGAGTGCCCACACACACTTTTTATGTAGAAATGTTTCCCTTTCTCTTGGCATATGCGTAGGGGAGGAATTTCTGGGACATTCATTATTTATGTTTTAACCTTTTGGAGGAACTGCCAGACTGTTTTACAGTGGCTGCCCCATTTTACATTGCTGGACATATGAGGGTTCCAGTTTCTCCACATCTTTGCCGACAATTGTTGTTTGTCTTTTAGATGATAGCAAAGATTCCTTTTAAACCTACCAGAGATTGACAGTTTGTTGGTTTTTTTTTTTTTTTTTTGGAGGTGGAGTCTTGCTCTGTCGCCCAGGCTGGAGTACAGTGGCACAATCTCTGCTCTGCTCACTGCAAGCTCCACCTCCTGGGTTCATGCCATTCTCCTGCCTCAGCCTCCCGAGTAGCTGGGATTACAGGCGCCCACCACCACGCCTGGCTAATTTTTTGTATTTTTAGTAGAGATGGGGTTTCGCCGTGTTAGCCAGGATGGTCTTGATCTGACCTTGTGATCTGCTCGCCTCAGCCTCCCAAAGTGCTGGGATTACAGGTGTGAGCCACCGCACCCGGCCCTAAAGTTTTTATTTTTGTTTGTTTGTTTGTTTGTTTGTTGAGATGGAGTCTTGCTCTGTCTCCCAGGCTGGAGTGCAGTGGTGCAATCTTGGCTCACTGCAACCTTCACCTGCTGGGTTGAAGCAATTCTCCTGCCTCAGGCTCCCAAGTAGCTGGGGCTACAGTCGTGTGCCACCATGCCCGGCTAATTTTTTGTATTTTTAGTAGAGACGGGGTTTCACCATGCTGGGCAGGCTGGTTTCAAACTCCTGACCTCGTGATCCTCCCGCCTCGGCCTCCCAAAGTGCTGGTATTACAAGTTTGAGCCACCGCGCCCAGCCCAGATGTTTAAAGTTTAAGGAGTTTCAGCTTATGTTTTTTGCCCCCTTTTTAAAAATTTATGTCCTCAATTTTTTTCTTACAAATTTTTATTTTTGCCACTTTCTTCATCCAGTGTCACAGCTTATACTATTACTTTTTTTTTTTTTTAGGTAGACTCTCGCTCTGTTGCCCAGGCGGGAGTGCAGTGGCGCAATCTTGGCTCACTGCAACGTCCGCTTCCTGGGTTCAAGCGATTGTTCTGCCTCAGCCTCCTGAGTAGCTGGGACTACAGGTGCACGCCACCACACCCAGCTAATTTTTGTATTTTTAGTAGAGACAGGGTTTCACCACATTGGCCAGTCTGCTCTCGAACTCCTGACATCGTAATTCACCCGCCTGGGCCTCCCAAAGTGCTGGGATTACAGGGGTGAGCCACCGCGCCCAGCCAACCTACCGTTTTAAGAGACGAGGTCTCCACTGTGTTGCCCAGGCTGGAGTACAGTGGTGAGTCACATGCATGACCCCACTGCTGATAGGTATGGGAGTTTTGACTTGCCCCCTTTCTTTTTTTTCTTCACTACGCGACCCACCCCCCCCCCCCCCCCCGGCCCCGCAACTTTTTTTTTTTTTTTTTTTTTGAGACGGAGTCTCACTCACTCTTTTGTGCAGGCTGGAGTGCAGTGGCACAGTCTTGGCTCACTGCAGCCTGTTTCCCGGGTTCAAGCAGTTCTTGTGCCACAGCCTCCTGAGTAGCTGAGATTACAGATGCCCGCCACCATGCCCAGTTAATGTTTGTATTTTAATATAGTTGGGGTTTTGCCTTGTTGGCCAGGCTGGTCTCGAACTCCCGGCCTCAAGCGATCCGCCCGCCAGGGCCTCCCAAAATGCTGGGATTACAAGTGTGAGCCACCACATCTGGCCGACCTGGGCTGGTTCACCCCTTCTTAGGCAATCTGGTAGTACCCACTCCTTGGAGGTCACCACACTGATGCCAAACGTAGTGCGGCCACCTGATTGGCACCATGCAATATAGCCCAGAACTCCTGGGCTCAGGACATCCTCTTCCCTCCTCAGCCTCTCAAGTAGTTGGGACTATAGGTGCTCACTTCCGCGCCCAGGCTTTTTTCCTTTTTGGCATTGTCTTGTCCTGGAAAGGGCATGAGATAGACTCAGTGTTGCATTTTGTGCTTAAAGATCTCTGTACCTCTGATGTGTTTTATATGGGCAATTAGAACTTGCTGAAAATGGAATATACTACCTAAGCAGGTGCACAGATGAGTACCACTGTGACTAGTGGTACTGAAGCTCAAAATGGACATTCACCCACTGGAATTTGGAGACATTGGCAGTGATCTGGAGCAGGTTGCTTAATCTTTGATCCTGTTTCCCTGTCAGTGAGATTGGGTAGCAGAAGCACTCCATCCACCTGTCAGAGTTAGCTCTGCTTGTTACTGATGAGGGTCAAGCACAGCAGAGGGAATTGCTCCTACCCACCCTGCAGCGCTCTTACTTCACTGAAGGTGCTGTAGGTGATTGACGGTGCAGTGTTTTGGTTAGCCTTTCAATTTTGAGTGATTCTGATTTGTGTCACTCAACTTGAGGAGACTTGGCCTGACCAGTTCAGTCACCTCTGCTTCCTGTGTGTGTTCCTTTCCCTACTTCATTTCCTTGCCCATCCTGAATTTTGAGTTTACCGGTTTTGTGTTTGTTGCATGTATAGGTATACCTCGTTTTATTGTGCTTTGCAGATAATTGCGGTTTTTTTATTTACAAATTGAGAATTTGTGGTGACCCTGCATTGAGCAAGTCTTTTATCAGTGCCATTTTTCCAACAGCGTGTGCTCACTTCATCTCTGTGTCACATTTTGGTAATGTGACCAACGTTTCAGACTATTATATCTGTTATGATTCGTGATCAGTGATTTTGGGTGTCATTATCATAGTTTTGGGGAACCACAAACCATGTCCATCTAAGAAGGTGAATTCAGTCTATAAATGTTTGTGTTCTGACTGCTCCAGCTACTGACTATTTCCCATCTCTTTTCCTCTCCTCAGACCTCTCTATTCCTTGAGACACAACTGTCTTAAAATTAGGCCGGTTAATAACCCTATAATAGCCTTTAAAGTGTTCAGATGAAAGGAAGGGTCTCGCGTCTCTCACACCAAGTCAGAAGCTAAAAATGGCCAGGCGTGGGGTTCATGCCTGTAATCCTAGCATTTTTTGGCAGGCGTAGGTGGGAGGATCGCTTGAGGACAAGAGTTTGAGACCAGCCTGGGCAACATAGTGAGGCCTCGTCTTCATAAAAAAAATGGAAAAAGTAGCCAGGCATGGTGGCACACGCCTGTGGTCCCAGCTACTTGGGAGGCTGAGATGGGAGGATTGCTTGAGCCTAGGAGGTTGAGGCTGCAGCGAGCTGTGATCATGCCACTGCACTCCAGCCTGGATGACAGAGCAATACCCTTTAACAACGCTAAAAGGCCAATAACATATTTTGAAAGCCAAAAGCTAGGCTGCTTAAGCCAGAGAGTTAGCCAGATTGTGAATGCAAAGGAGTTCTCGAAGGAAATTAAAAGTGTGACTCCAGTGAATGCCTGAGTGATAAGAAAGTGAAACAACCTTATTGCTGACATGGAGAAAGTTGTAGTGGTCTGGATAGATCAGGTCAGCTGCAATATTCCCTTAAGCCAAAGCCTAATCTAGCAAGGCCGTAGTAACTCTATTCAATTCTTTGGAGGCTGAAAGAGGTGAGAAAGCTGCAGAAGAAAAGTTTGAAGCCAGCAGAGGTTGGTTCATGAGGTTTAAGGAAAGAAGCCATCTCCAAAACATAAAAGTGCAAGGTGAAGCAGCAAGTGCTGATGGAAAAACTGTAGCAAGTTATCCAGATCTAGCTAAGATAATTGATAAAGGTGGCTACAGTAAACATTTTAGTGTAGACAAAATAGTTTATTGGAAGAAAATGCCATCTAGGCTTTTATAGCTGTAGAAAAATCAATACTTGGCTTCAAAGGACAGGCTGCCTCTCATTAGGGGCTACTGTAGCTGATGACTTTAAGTTGAAGCTACTGCTCATTAGCCATTCTGAATATCCAAGGACCTTAAGAATTATGGTAAATCTAAATTATGCTAAATCTACTCTGCCTGTGCTCTGTAAAGGGAAAAACAAAGTCTGGGTGACAGCACATCTGTTTACAGCATCATTTGCAGAATATTTTAAGCCCGCTGTTGAGACCTACTGCTTAGAAAAAATATTTTTCAAAATATTACAACTCATTGGTGATGCACCTTGTCACCCAAGACCTCTGATGGACATGCACAAGGAGGTGAATGTTTTCGTGCCTGCTAAAACATCCATACAGCAGCCCATGGATCAGTTTCACCTTTCAAGTCTTATTATTAAGAAATAACATTTCAGGCTGGGTGCTGTGGCTCATGCCTGTAATCCCAGCACTTGGGTAGCCAAGGCAGGTGGATCACCTGAGGTCAGGAGTTTGAGACCAGCCTGACTAACATGGAGAAACCCTGTCCCTACTAAAAATACAAAATTAGCCAGGCGTGGTGGCTCCTGCCTGGCTACTTGGGAGGCTGAGGTGGGAGAAATCCCAGCTACTCGGGAGGCTGAGGCGGGAGAATCGCTTGAACCCAGGAGGTGGAGGTTGTGGTGTGCTGAGATCGCGCCATTGCACTCCAGCCTGGGCAACAACTCCGTCTCAAAAAAAAAAAAAAAAAAAAGATGGTCTTAATTTTAATGTAGGTGAATTTATGAATCTTTGTTTTACGGTTGGTGGGAAGAACACTATCCTGAAGTGAAATATATTTTATATTTTCTTCTGGAAGTTGTAAGGTTTTGCCCTTCCAATTCATGCCCTTGATCCATCAGGAAATGATTTTTTGGGGGTATAAGGTGAGGAGTCAGGTGTGACCTTAGATGAATTACCGATTTCTTCTCGCATCAGCTTCCTTGGCTGCAAAACTGAGACCCTAATCCCTGCCCTGTGCGAGGTTCTTGTGAGGTCGGAATACAGCATACAGACACATTGAGCCCCATGTCTCAGTAAGCATTCAGTAATTGCTTGTTGGTTTAAGTCCAACCTTCTTCCCTAAGCATGTGGACACTCAGGGAAAGTTGGCGCTTAACTGGGAAAGTTGTTGCTCGTACATTGTCTGCCAGCTTACTACAAGCATCATGGCCAGGCTGGGTTTGGCTGCTCAGCACATCCCCTGGCAGGGCACTGGCGGCCTGGAAAATGTATAGCAGGCAGGTGCTCAGTCAGTCCTAGAGCTGATTTCATGTGATATCTGATGCATTTATTATAGAAATGAAAGCATAAAAATGTGTTTTAACTGTTTCCTACTCCCCCGGCACAGTGACAAGGCTGATTCCAGGCACAGCTTGGTTAGGCCAGCACTTGTAACTATGGTGGGGAGCCTCGAGGCACTGAGTGAGCTCAGCCTCCTTGGGCAGAAAAGCTTGTTTAGTTATTGCCAGCACACACTGTGTGTTCCTGTGGGCAAACAAACAGACGGCTGGAGATCCGGGGGACCTGGTAGTCGTCAGCATTTATGTCACCACCGTATGCCTTCTCTGAATGACTTGCGGAAGAATAGAGTGGGTTGGGATTATGTGGTAAGTGTAAAAAAGTTAGCGATCAGAGGGACTTTGGGTTTACCTCTGGAGAGGACATAATGAAGGTAATCCTTCACTGTGACGGATGAGTGGATATTTCTTTGTACCCTGAGCTCTTTCATCCTACCTTGGTGGTCAAATGTGAGAGCAAGTGCTTTGGGGCTCAGAGGGCATCACTCCAAGCATTCTGCATGGAGTCTGTTGTGGTGAATGTTCTTGCTGGCATCTTGATCAAGGACTTTGTCATCATTAGCCATCAAATGCTTGTTGGTCCTTCTCAACCCTGTAATGTTGATACTTAAAAAACTGGAAACATCCTGACAGAAACAGTCGAGAAGTGGTTGTGTGAGCTCTGGTTATCGCATTACAGTTAAAGTTGGCAGATAGGTTCTGTATTCAGTGCCCCATCAAAAACAGAACACAGACTATATAAGGGGAATATTGTTTGTAAGTAACTCTGTGGGCTAATTGTGCAAATAGGTGCTAGAATGCTGGGCAGCCTTTTTCCTTCTTCGTGGCTTTGTTGCATTTTATTGTATTGTTGTATTGCATTTTATTGTAATGACAGTTACTCCTTTTGATAAGATGATCTCAGTAGATAGGCTGAATTGTCCTGTTTAAGGCTACTTTTCTCCTCTGAATCTAAAGGTGTTCGCTGTCAGAGCTAGTACGGAGTTTTGAATTTGGCACTGTGTTGCCTAACCGTCTTCTCCCCCCGCCCCATCCCCGCATAGGCAAATAGTTTTACTAGTTTGACATTTAATCAAAATTTAAACATGGGGCCAAGGAAGGTCCTCCAGGAAGCATTAGTATGAAAAATATTGTAAACAGTAGCTTTGTTCTAGCCACACAATTTGGATTTCTCAAGATTAACTGTCTGTACATAAACACTCTTGAATAGCTATGTATTAACTTTCCCCTACTTTGAGCTGGAAATAGCTTCTCTTCTCCAGTTGATGTGAATGCAGGGGTAGTGTACCCTACATGGACTGTGTATTACTCCTTTAAGATTGTTGGTCTTGCTGCTTTGTTCTCTCAGTGTAAAGCACAAGTCACAGAACCATGGTTTACCTTAACTAGAGCCCTCCTTTCAGAAAAGCACTTTTTTTTTTTTTTTTTTTGCGACGGAGTCTCGCTCTGTGGCCCAGGCTGGAGTGCAGTGGCGCGATCTCGGCTCACTGCAAGCTCCGCCTCCCGGGTTCACGCCATTCTCCTGCCTCGGCCTCTCAAGTAGCTGGGACTACAGGTGACCGCCACCACGCCTGGCTAATTTTTTTTGTATTTTTTAGTAGAGACGGGGTTTCACTGTTTTAGCCAGGATGGTCTCGATCTCCTAACCTCGTGATGCGCCCGCCTCGGCCTCCCAAAGTGCTGAGATTACAGGCGTGAACCACTGCGCCCGGCCCAGAAAAGCACTTTTTAATTTTTTAATCCTTTTTTTTTTTTTTTTTTTTTTTTTTGAGTCGGAGTCTTGCTCAGTTGTCCAGGCTGGAGTGCAGTGGCACGATCTCAGCTCACTGCAACTTCCGCCTCCTGGGCTCAAGCAATTCTCCTGCCTCAGCCTCCTGAGTTGCTGGAATTACAGGCATGTGCCACGATGCCTGGCTAATTTTTGCATTTTTAGTAGAGACAGGGTTTTGCCATGTTGGCCAGGCTGGCCTTGATCTGTTGACCTCGTGAGCCACCGTGCGTGGCCGAACTGCTCTGTTTTACAGACAGGAAACACAAGGCTGAGAACATCTGTTACTCAGAGTCCCCCAGGTTAGCATGGAAGCTCGTGGTTCAGACCAGGCTGTCCTTGCCTGCTGCACTTGCAGGTCTGTCTGCCTTCCCTGCAAAGCAGCATCTCCCAGTCCTGGGGGGTCTCTGTACCAGGTCTAAAGGGGGTCAGGGTGGTGTACTGCATGTGGTTTGTTTATTCTCTTAAGTTTATATGCAATAAAATTCCCCTTTTTTTTTTTTGAGATGAAGTCCCACTCTGTCTCCCAGACTGGAGGGCAGTGGCGTAATCTTGGCTCACTGCAACCTCTGCCTGCTGGGTTCAAGCAATTCTGGAGTCTCAACCTCTCAAGTAGCTGGAATTACAGGCCTGCGCCACCATGTCCAGCTGATTTTTGTATTTTTAGTGCAGATGGAGTTTTACCATGTTGGCCAGGCTGGTCTCAAACTCCTGACCTCAAATGATACTCCTGCCTCATCCTCCTAATGTGCTGGGACCATAGGCGTGAGACTCAGCAACTTTTTTTTTTTTTTTTTTTTTTTTCTTTGAGACGGAGTCTCGCTCTGTCGCCCAGGCTGGAGTGCAGTGGCACAGTCTTCGGCTTACTGCAACCTCTGCCTCCCAGGTTCACACCATTCTCCTGCCTCAGCCTCCTGAGTAGCTGGGACTACAGGCGCCCACCACCATGCCTGGCCAATTTTTTGTATTTTTAGTAGAGATGAGGTTTCACTGTGTTAGCCAGGATGGTCTCGATCTCCTGACCTCGTGATCTGTCCACCTCGGCTTCCCAAAGTGCTGGGATTACAGGCGTGAGTCACTGCACCCAGCCTTTTTTTTTTTTGTTTTGAGACGTAGTCTTGCTCTGTCGCCCAGGCTGGAGTGCAGTGTGGTGCGATCTCGGCTCACTGCAACCTCTGCCTCTCGGGTTCAAGTGATTCTCCTGCTTCAGCCTCCTGAGTACCTGGGATTACAGGTGCGCACCACCATGCCCGACTAATTTTTGTATTTTTAGTAGAGGCGGGGTTTCACCATGTTGGTCAGGCTGGTCTTGAACTCCTGACGTCGTGATTTGCCCGCCTTGGCCTCCCAAAGTGCTGGGATTACAGGCGTGAGCCACCGTGTCCGGCTCCTCAGCAACGATTGATCTGTTTTCTGTGTCTATGATTTTGCTTTTTCTAGAATGTCATATTAAATGGAAAATGGCATCATACAATGCAGGGGAGGTAGAGGTTGAGTCAGGCTTCTTTTCGTTAACATAGTTTATTAGAGTCATCTGACTACTTAGTGGGAGTGTTTCAGTTGTTTCTTTTCATTGCTGAGTAGTGTTTCATCATATGGATAGACCCCAGCTTTTTCTGCATTTCTCAGTTGAAGGACACGTGGATGGTTTCTAGTTTTTGGTGATTCTTAATGAAGCTGCTAAAGCTATTCACATGCAGTTCTTTGTGTGAACATGTTTTTCTTTCTTTTGGTTAAAGACCTGCAAGTGAGATGGCTGGGTCATTGGAATAAATACATGTTTAGCTTTACAGGAAACTCTCAGATGTTTCTGGAGGGTTGCATCATTTTTCGCCCTCATCAGCAGTGGATGAGAGTTTTAGTCGTTGCTCATCTTCACTAGCACTTGGTATTGTCAGGGTTTTAGGGGTGGGAAGCAGTGGATTCACATAGTCTTGCAGTGGTATCAGTGTGGCTGTGATTTGTATTTCTTCATGACTAGTGACGGGGAGCATCTTCCCAGGTGCATTTTCTTTCTTTTTTTTTTTGGTATATATTTATCTTTTTATTTTGTCTTACGGGTGATTGCCCTACCCCACACATGGTTTTGTTTGATTTTTTGTTTTTGTTTTTGTTAAGATGGAGTCTCCCACTATCACCCAGGCTGGAGTGCAGTGGCACGATCTCTGCTCACTGCAACCTCTGCTTCCCAGATTAAAGTGATTCTTCCACCTCAGCCTCCCAAGTAGCTGGGATTACAGGCACCCACCGCCACACCTGGCTTTTTGTATTTTTTTTTTTAGTGGAGACAGGGTTTCACCATGTTGGCCAGGCTGGTCTTGAACTCCTGACCTCAAGTGATTGGCCTGCTAAAGTGCTGGGATTACAGGGGTGAGCCACCACACCCAGCCGACACATAGGTTTTTATTTGTTTTTATTTATTTATCGGATCAGGGTCTTGCTCTGTCGCCCAGGCAGCAGTTGCAGTGGCTGTGACGTCTCACTGCAGCCTCTGCCTCCCGGGTTCAAGCGGTCCTCCCTCCTCAGCCACCAGAGTAGCTGGAACTACAGGCACACACCACCACACTCAGCTAATTTTAAAATTTTTTAGTAGAGGTGGAGTTTCACTATGTTGTCCAGTTGGTCTCCAGCTCCTGGGCTCAAGTGATCCTCTCACCTCAGCCTCCCAAAGTGCTGGGATTGCAGGCATGAATCACTGTGCCTGGCCAGGTGCAAACTCCAAGGGATTCTCTTTGTAGATGGAGAGGCAGCTCTTCATACGCTCTCTGTAGAACAGCAGTTCTGTGGAGCAGCAATTAAGTCGTGTTTTCCTCGTGAACCTTAACAGGCCTGGGTGGGTGAAGTGCAGAAGTGGGTGGCCACTTGCCGTAAGGACACATAGCACTGGAATGTTGAGCCCCACTCTCCTGAGTGAAGCCAGCTGGTTAATGCAGACTTGCCTTAGGGAAAAGGAAACAGAACGTCATACCAAGGAATCCACTCATGCTGGGCCACTGAAGGAACCATGGAAACATGTCCCTGTAAATGTGTCCCTGTTCTGTGTGTGTCTCTACATGTGTCCATATTGAGAGTTATGCTTGAAGCTGGGGATCACAAAATCGAAAATTGTGTCGACCAGCTTCTTAGCTGGGCTTGGCCATGGCGGGGATGTCCCAGGCCTTACCTGTCTTCTTCATTCACCCCCTACCCACCACCACCACCAAGGGACTCTTGAGTTGATTACTTTGCTGTGGGCATAGCATAGCAATCTGTGTGCGGAATGTGTGGAAGTGTGTCAGGCTTTGATGGGTAAAAGACTTTGATGGGTATATGAGCACATATATCATGAGAAAGGAATTGTGTGAGTTTCTGTGAAAGTTACAGAACTCTCCAGCAACCATTAGTCTTGGGGAATTCTTTTTAAAATGGCAGGGGTCATTCTGTTCATTCTCTATGTGATGGTCACTTCTCATAGAGTGATGGGGCCTTCTCCCTTAAGACAGACACGTGGATCAGGAATAGACAGGACTGACAAGAGCCCCTCTTCTTTCCCAGATGGAAGACACTGCCTATTTCTACAAAATGGGGGATACCTAGCCACCCCGGTGGGCAGCCATGATAGCTGAGCATGTTTGCTCCCCATGTGCCCACTTACTGCAAGTGTTTGTGGTGCCACCATGACTGGGGAAGGGCTCTGTGCCGGCAGAAGAGGGTTGTTGCTACACCTGGGGTGTGACCTGTAAAGGTGACACGATGTGCCAGCAGTTACCCAAATGCCAGAATCCTAGGAAATTATCCTGGGCTGCTTGGGGATGTCTTAGTGTGAGACCTGTTTTCTTTCTTTGGGTCTTAGGCGGAGTCGGATTGATATTTGAATGATTGGGCATTCTTTCTGTTAAGCTGATTTTCTGGTTGTGGGAAGTAGATTGTTATAATTTTGGCTTAGTTCAAAGTGTTAGGGAAGCTGTATAGAATTTCTTTCATCTCTTTTTCAGGGTGGGGTGAGGAGAGAAGGGATGTGACCACAAGCTTTTTTTTTTTTTTTTTTTTTTTTTTTTTTTTTTTTTTTTGAGTTGGAGTCTCGCCCTGTTGCCCAGGCTGGAGTGCAGTGATGCAATCTCTGCTCACTGCAACCGCTGCCCCCCGGGTTCAAGTGATTCTTCTGCTTCAGCCTCCTGAATAGCTGGGACTACAGGCGCCTGCCACCGTGCCGGGCTAATTTTTGTATTTTTAATAGATACTGGGCAGGCTGGTCTTGATCTCCTGAGCTCGTGATCTGCCCGCCTCAGCCTCCCAAAGTGCTGGGATTACAGGCGTGAGCCACCGTGCCCGGCCAACCACAAGCTTTTATATTAAGAATGCAAAGAAAGCATTTTGCATTTTTCTTGAAAGCCGTTGAGTTAACTACAGTCCTGTACATACTTAGCTAAGATTCAAGGCAAAAACAGGCCAAATATTCCATCAGTGCTTACGCTAAGTGTTTTTGTTTGTGGACCTCCACCCGTGTTTGTGCCTTTTGCAGAGCCCACCTTAATAAACTGTTGCTTATAATAAAGTCCAAATTTGGCTATGAGTCATTGGGCCTGCAGAGGCAGGCACAGAGGGATCTTTTCTCAGGATTGTTGGGTGCTGCTGTAACCCTTGTGAGGCAGGCCATCATCTTGTGCCTCATAGTGGCTCTCCCAACTGCAGATTCCACTGGTTGTAATAGAATCTCCTGTAATGCTTCCTTTTCTTTCATCTTGCAGGCAGGATTGCAGAAATGCTTGAGGTTGTGGATGGGCACACATGTAGGCAGCACTCTTTCACCGTGCTGCACCTGGTCCCTTGGGTTTCCTGGGCATGGTCCTTATATGCTGCCATTACCATTTCACCTGCAATTTTCCAGCTGGTTTCTGCCTCTTACATCATCTGCTGTGACGAAGGCTGGCTTCATACAGAGGAAGTGAGGACGCCTGGTTAGAGTCCACAGCTGTATTCCATTTGCCAGCAGGTGGGGCATCTCCCACTAAACCTGATCCCTGAGCAAAGGCATGTCCAAAAGCAGATGAGATGTCAACTTGCTGTGAAAGAGGCCCATTAGCTCTGTAAATACAGAGCGTATCTTAGTTCTTTGCACTTGTCCAGTAAACACTACAAAGGAATGTGTGGAAGTGCGTCAGGCTTTGATGGGTAAAAGACTTGAAAAGCAACCGCAGTACCCCAAGGCGATTTTAAAACTCTGTGAAGCCAGGGTTTGGGGGGGTTCGGTGGCAGTGGCTCAGTGCTTCTCTGTATCGTGTGTACGTTGTTTATTCAGGAAGGTAGGGAGCAGCAGTATAGTCCATCTGATGTTTTCTTAGCAGCGGCTCTCAAGTAGATTTAGGACTGCAGAAGGAGCAGCTTGGAAGGCTCTGCAGTCTGTGCAGCCTGGTCAACGGGAGGGCACAACTGGAGACCATGCCAGGCCTGGCTGCCATGCTATGTTGTGTCTTTTGTTAAGAATGTAGCTGAGGGCTAATGTAACTGAGGGCTACTGCTGTATCACATCCTGTGACTTTGTGTGTCAAAGGGGAAGGAACTTTTAAACGTCTATCTGTTAGAAGCTATGCTGGCTGCTTTTATGTATCTTTTGTTTACTCCTCACAGATACAAGGTAGATGTTACGAAATCCACCTAGAAGATGGACCTGGGGCTGAGGTGCCTGCCCAGGGGCAGGATCTGAACAAAGATCTTCTGGCTTTGAAGTATCTGTTTGTTTCATGTGGTGGCTGTTGGTGGGGGGGGCTTCTGCCGTCAGAGCCTACTCTCCATGAGAGGTGGGCAGAAAGGGTTATATGCCTAGAGAACCAGGGAGAAACAGTTGCTCTTCAGATTAGAGAAGTCTCTGTCAACACAACTCCTTTGTTAAGGGAATTTTCAGAGGATTTAGAGTAAGTTGATTTGTCTCCCTTTATGCCCCTGGATTTTCCAACTTAAAGCTCTGCCGCTGGACGGAGTGGTGCTTCAGAATCTCAGTGTGGCTGGACGGTCAGGAGACTGCACTTTGGGATGCTGCCTCACATCCAGATCCTTTTGGCTCCCTGTCCACTTCAGCGGCCATAGTTTACTCTCCGCGCCACTGCTCTCTAAAGACACACTGGCTGGTCTGCGGACATCATGTGCTAGCCTCTGCCTCAGGCTTTGGGCCTTGTGTGGCTGACCATCGTGGCTAATCTCTGGCTTTCTTCAAACACACATTGAGGCCTGTCAACCTGCGAAGCACTCACTAGATACTATCCATGCCAATATGCACTTGGAAGAAGGGGAACAAATGCGGCCACAGCATTACAGTGTGGTAGATGCTGTGGTTGCTTGTAATTGTGCATTACTGGTATATAAAGAAGCAGTTGATGTTTGTGTATCTCGCAGCCTTGCTTCTTATCCAGGAGTCTTCGGGATTCTTTTTTTTTTTATTTTGAGATGGAGTCTCGCTCTGTCGCCGGGCTGGAGTGCAGTGGCACGATCTTGGCTCACTGCAACCTCTCTCTCCCGGGTTCAAGCGATTCTCCTGCCTCAGCCTCCTGAGTAGCTGGGACTACAGGCGTGCGCCACCACCCCCAGCTAATTTTTGTATTTTTAGTAGAGACGGGATATCACCATGTTGGCCAGGATGGTCTTGATCTCCTGGCCTTGTGATGTGCCTGGCCGGAATTCTTTACCTAAACAATCATATCTGTGAACAAAGACAGTTTTTTTTGGAGACTGAGTTTCGCCTTTGTTGCCCAGGCTGGAGTGCAGTGGCACAATCTCAGCTCACTGCAACCTCCACTTGCCGGGTTCAAGCAGTTCTCCTGCCTCAGTCTTCCGAATAGCTGGGATTACAGGCGTGTGCCACTATGCCTGGCTAATTTTTGTATTTTTAGTAGAGACAGAGTTTCACTATGTTGGCCAGGCTGGTCTTGAACTCCTGACCTCAGGTGATCCACCTGCCTCGGCCTCCCAAAGTGCTGCGATTACAGGCGTGAGCCACCGCACGCAGCCCCCACAAAGGCAGTTTTATTTCTTCCTTCCCAATCTGTGCCTCTCTCATTTCCTTTTCTTGTCTTATTACATTAGTTCGGACTTGAAGTATGATTGAAAAAGAGTAGTAAGAATATGCTTGTCTTGTTCCAGATGCAGGGGGAAAGCATCTAGTTTCTCAGCATTAAGTAGATACCCTGTGATTGTGATAAGGCAAATTCTGGCCACAGCAACAGTTGGGAAAGCCACCCAAGGCAGGCTTGAAATTAGCAAAAATGGAGGACACACGGAAAGCCTTTTGAAGGAAAGATTTTAGCCAGATGGAGTGTCTTGGAGAACAAGGTATTCCCGGCAGAGAAAGCCTAGTGTATTGATAGAAGAAATCGAGGGTCAGGAGGCCACATGAGCTAGCAACAGCAAGTGCATCCGTGAGAGAGATGCGGGAACCTGTCTCTAGTCCCTGGGCTCTTGTTAGATGCCCAGTGCCATGAGGTGCTAGGGATACAGTATGCATAGACACCAGACACACACCGTGGCACCCCCAGGCTGCAGTGGGACATGGCACAGGTTTCTCCAGCAAGCTGGTTTTCTGGGATGGGCAGAGGTTCAACTTCAACAATATGGTTTGTTTTCTGGGCTGTTGCCCCCTTTTATGGAACCTTTTATTTAATAGCAGGCTAGGAAATTGTAAACAGCACAAAGTAGTAGTATGGTGTTGAGTGTTTAGACGGAAAACATTCATAGCTGAACTGTAGTTTTTATCTTCATTTTGGAGTTAGTCATGTTCTTTGGTCTCTGAATGGCCTTCTGGGCGTGGGGTCTGGGACAGCCTGCACACCTTTCAATATCCTTGACTGCCTGCTACTTCACTGCACAGGGCTCCAGATGCCCCTCACTGGCTGTCTGTGTCCCAGGCACCTTGGATGTTGGCCAGGCCCTAGGGACCCAGGCTCTGAGGAGATAGCGATTCTGTTCATTTTGGATTAGCCATGGCACCCAGCCATCATTTACAACATTCTTCCCTGGGAACCTGGCAGAGAAGTCCCAATGATTGGCTCGATGAACATTTGGAGCACGATCCTCTCCTGAGCTGTTGGCTGCCTGTGGTATATTGAGATTTCTGCAAAAACAGTGGGAAAGGGGAACAAAATTAGCCCTGGATTTCTGGGCCAGTTCTTTTAGTGTCATCCTCCCACACCTAACCTTCCAGGTGGCAAGATAACCAAGCTTCGCTTGAGTTCAGTGCTTGCTGCAAAAATCACATACCAACATTCCTCTTCTCATCCCCTTTTGGAGTGGAGAGGAAGCAAATGGGCCCATTCACATGAGGTGTTTCCACCTAGCTGGCAGACAGCATCTTGAGGGCTGGGTGCCTGTCGTCCAGATGTGTCCAGAGCAGCCACAGTCTCTCTCCTCTGCTGTGAACTGCACGTCCAGACCTTTATCAGTTACAGCTGCAGAAATGCAAGGGAACAAGAACATTTCGCCTTGGCGTTTATGTTTTGCTCAACACAGAAATGTTTAGTTTCAGAGTATGAGAAAATCATTACATTTGCGAAAACTCAGACTCATGGTATGTCCTAGCATGGTGCTCCATTTCTTAATTGTTCCTGATTGTGCTATCCAGGAGCCCCCAGCCCTCAGTCTACTCATTAGCCTACAAAAAGACACTTAGCGTTTTGGGGATTCCAGGGAATCGTATGCCAGGAAACGGTGAAGACCAAATATGTATTTCACAATATCACATGCTACAACTTGGATGAATCTTAAGACATTATGCTAAGAGAAAGAAGTCAGACACAAAAGGGCAAATATTGTGATTCAACTTACATGAGATACCAAAAATGGTCAAATACATACACAAAAAATAGTGGTTACCACGAGCAGGAGGATTAAGGAGTTACTGTTGAGTGGGTAGAGTTTCTTTTTGGAATGATGCAAAAGTTCCAGAGGAGGATAATGATGATGGTAGCACAACAGTGTAAATGTACTTAAAGCCACTGAATTGTACACCTAAAAATGGTTAAAATGGCGGATTTTAGGTTCTGTGTATTTTACAATAAACATTTAAAATATAGGTGTGCTTTACCCCTTCCGGGTCGCTAGCTTGGGGACACCTTACTATCAGTCATATCCACTAGAGACTAACGAGTGGTGCCTGCACGAGTCGGCTAAAGCTCTTACACTCTGCCATGGCGGTTAAATTTTTGGCTGATTTTTCTTTTGGCAAGAGGACATAGCTGTCTGCTTTCCTGCTATCGAGTTGCCAGCTGTTGCTTCCTGTCTTGTACCTTTAACTGCTACTCTCCTTTTAATGGTCTGCTTATGATCTGGTGTCCTGGGAACTGAGATAAGCCTGCCAGTGGCCTTACCCGGTGCCACCCTGCTGGGTCTACCCAGTGCCACCCTCCTAGGACTTCTGGTTTGGGCTCAGGTAGCCAGGAGCCCTTAAAACAACCACTCTAGTGTCTTTAACAAGCGAAACTGTATGGTTTCAGGCTTGTTTTTTAGCTTCGGTTTTTATATTGGCACCTGAGGTTCAGCTAATCTTTTTCTGAGTTAAAGATGAGCTTATTTATTTATTTTTTTCTTTCAGCCTGGATGTCACTGTTTTGAGTGGTGCTGCCATTGGCCTCCTTGAACTTTTAGCATCGACAGTAGTCGGCTGTTGTGGAGACACCCAGGTGTGCACTTGGTGTGGTCTGGCAGGAAGCACCCTTTCAGGGGCACTTAACTCCAAGAGGAGTTAAGAGAGTAGGACATTAACTACCAGCAGTGTGAGCAGAGTTACCCTCCTTCTGTTGCTGCAATCCTTTCACATCCGAAATTGTGAGACCTAAAACTAGACTTTTGGTTTGGGGATGTTTCAGGCTTTTCTTTTCTTTCTTTCTTTCTTTTTTTTTTTTTTTTTTTTTTTTTTTTTTTTTTTTTTGAGACGGAGTCTTGATCTGTCACCTAGGCTGGAGTGCAGTGGCACCATCTCAGCTCACTGCAAGCTCCGCCTCCCAGGTTTATACCATTCTCCTGCCTCAGCCTCCTCAGTAGCTGGGACTACAGGTGCCCGCCACCACGCCCAGCTAATTTTTTGTATTTTTAGTACAGACGGGGTTTCACCATGTTAGCCAAGATGGTCTCGATCTCCTGACCTCGTGATCCGCCCGCCTCGGCCTCCCAGAGTGTTGGGATTACAGGCGTGAGCCACTGCGCCCGGCCCAGGCTTTTCAACGAAACATCTACAGTTGTTTTCTCATTTGCTCACGATGCCCTATTAGGCAGGTAGTTTTCCCCGTAGTCCATTGTGTGGTCCAAATTAGTGCCAAGGGCTTCTGGGTCTAGCATTTCCAGCAGCAGAGGCAGACCCTTTGGGGTGTAGATAAGTCATCTGAGTCTGCAGCCGTAATTGAGTGTCATGAAGGCACCTCCAGATGGCTGTGAAATGAAGCTCTTTTGTTTTTGGCCTATGAGAGTTGTATAACTTCTGAGAATTCCAGGATACAGAGAACACCAGGGTGGGATCATTAAGTATGGTGGGATGTTGTGATAACTAGGGGGTCTCCTTTTGGCTTGCTTTCCCAATTAAAGGTGGAACATATTTGTAAAATGAAAAATGTGGCTTTGATTAGCTGAGTGGCTATCATTCAGCACTGCTTACAGTTTATTTAGGGAATCATTTTGTCACTACGTAGCAAAATAACTGGTATAGTGGAAGGAATTACCATCCTTTTGGCTGTAAGAATGTAAACCTAAGGATTGCTGACATCATAACCTGCCTGAAGGGTAGAGTCAAGGATGACTGAACCTTCGTTTGACTCAGGAAGATATACATAAGCTTCTTAAAATCAATGTCTAGGCAAAGTAGTACAGCATGC
Organism: Homo sapiens; assembly: GCF_000001405.40. NCBI lineage: Eukaryota > Metazoa > Chordata > Mammalia > Primates > Hominidae > Homo > Homo sapiens. The sequence goes on along the minus strand of NC_000019.10, from coordinate 15,291,840 downwards.
AAACCACTGAAGTCGTATGGGATTGCTTAATGAGCTGCTCTTTTACATATGTACATTAATTCTCAAAGGCATATTCAGTCGTTTTTCATTATCTTTAAAGATGATAGTATAAAGATGCTATCACCAAATGGAAGCTGTGGTTTTAAGTAAGCCACAAGCCCCTGTGTTCAAAATAGTTATATATCAGGGGAACCAGCTTTAGAGCAATTTGCACATAAATGAGATGTTCCAGTGGAGAATGTGTATTCTCTGGGTGGACTGTTATCCTGTTCAGTGCATAATACGGAGGCAATGAGAAGAGATTAGGAACCACAGAGCCTCACTTGTGAAAGTCATAAGGAGTAGGAATTTTTAAAGTGCCATCCCATCTGCCACCTACATTTCTTTTTTCCATAGGGTTTACCATCTCCTAATTTTAGTTGTTATTTTCATTCTTGATTGTCTATCTGTTCCTGTGAACCCACAAGGGCAGATGTCTTTGTGTTGAATCTCCTGAGCCCACAGTCTCCCAAGAGATGTAGTAGGATGAGTCAGAACTCCCAGTATTTTCACCTAAACCAGGAAAATTTCAAATGATGGGGATACTGAGTCATCCCCAGGCACCTGCTGTTTGGCTAGCCTCAACTAGGAGCTGATTTGCAGTCTGTTCTTCACCTTAACACCATCTCCTTATAGGCCTACTCCAGGAGCAGGGCATAACAAGTCAGGAGCAGGCCCAGTAGACACATGTTAGGAACAGGATCGGGGTGGTGGTGGTGGGTGATAAGCAATGGTCAGGTCACAGTTACCATAACCCATTGACTTGGGGGTTTTGCAGGGTCTGAAGTGCCATCATACCCACTTCTTTCCATCTGGGACCAGTAAAAAAAATACCATATGCGTCTTTAATGCAATAGAGTTTTTTCTTTTCTTTTTCATTTATGAAGAACGCTTTTTAAAACCTCTCAAATGTTTCCTTGGGTTGAAATCAAATTTATAATAGCCTGTATATCATCCCCTAGAGATAGCAAAACCAACTCATGAGGGAGCCTGTGTTTATGAGGGAAGAGGGGGTACACTTAGGTTTTCGTACATATGGGTATGAGATGGAACACACTGGAAACATGAAAACTGCAGGCTTAGATGAGAAGCGGGTGTATATGTTGTGAGCTTTACCATCTGAGGCAGAGTCCCAGCCTGGCCAGATTAGCTGTTTGCCTAGAGCATCTTTCTAGGGGTTGGTGTTCTGTATGTTGAAATGAATGAAATTGCTTCCCCAGGGCTGGAACACATCTGTTTGGGTGGTGTTCTAGGTGTATACTTGCACCCATTTATTATTAAAGGGGTGGTTTGAGTTTGTACTGGATTTGATGAGAGTTTTTCTTTTTCAGTACTCGTGATGCATTTCTTCACCTGAAAGTATAATGCATTTTGATTTCTATGGCAACCAGTGAACGCCAAGGGAACAAATTCTATTTCTGTTTTCTAACGTAACAGGATTAGTGGAGGCGCATCAAAAATTCCATTCTAAGTCAGTGCTGCGTCTTGAAGAGAATTGAAATGGTCTAGTACTAACTTTTTAACATTGACTTTGAATACACTTTTAATAATCCACATGTCAGTCAGCTTACTCTTGGTGTTAAATGTCACTCGAGCAGGAGGAGGCCTCGATGGGAGCTTCTTTTTAATCTCCAATGGATCCTCAGTGAAGTCCTTAGGGATTTCATTTTCTGGGTTTCAGAAGTACACACACCTGTCATTAGGGCTTCATATGCCTAGCGTGTGACCCCCTGCCCTACCCTTAAGCCTAAGGCAGTCATATGGTTTTTAATGTGTCTATCCTGCCTTGAAACCAAACCTCTCCAAGAACTAAAACAAAAATGTGAATTACTCCTTGCCCTTCAGGCTGCTTCGTTGGAAAGCCTTCCCTCACTTGAGCCCCTTGCTGAGAGCCCTGTAGCACCCTGTGAAGTGGCCCCGTTTTCCTTCCTGTCTATGCAGGCAGGGACCTGGCTGTGGGTGGTGCCCCGTGGGCAGAACCCAGAGGCTGGGGGGCTCCAGTGTCCTTACAAGCACACTTCTCCCATTGCTTGTGAGCCACATCTTTCCTAGCTTCCATTCTCCTGGTTTCATCAGATCTATTAGGATGGTGCAAAAGTAACTGCTGTTTTGGCTTTTTTTTTTCTTTTTTTTTTTGGATCAAAACCGCAATTACTTTTGCACTAACCTAGCTACCTTGAGAGTGGTTTTGAGTGGGAAGTAATACCCATCTATTTTCTGATTTATTTTATTTATTTATTTATTTATTTTAAGATGGAGTTTCGCTCTTGTTGCCCAGGCTGGAGTGCAGTGGCGCGATCTCGGCTCATCGCAACCTCCGCCTCCAGGGTTCAAGTGATTCTCATGCCTCAGCCTCCTGAGTAGCTGGGATTACAGACATGTGCCACCATGCCCGGCCAATTTTATATTTTTAGTAGAGACGGGGTTTCTCCATGTTGGTCAGGTTGGTCCCGAACTCCTGACCTCAGGTGATCCACCCGCCTCGGCCTCCCAAAGTGCTGGGATTATAGGCGTGAGCCACCGCACCCAGCTGTTTTCTGATTTTAAGTAGCTAAGGAGTCTGGCTTTCTGCTGGAATCATTTGGAAAGGTCGTGGGAGAAACATCTCAAGCCTGCCTAGGTTGTCTCTTTAGGGCCTGGCCTCTGGCTTAGGGCACTAGTTGTCAGAACCCAGAAAACAGAGCTATGGGGCCTGTGTCGGGGAGTGGGGTTACTAAACAAAGGTATTTTGAGGTAAAAGACGTGAAGCATTTCTAACGTGGTTCTGTAGTTTGCTTTCCCTAGGTTGTTATGGACCAAGAGACTGTAGCTGACTTTGTTTAACTCTCATGTTCAGGAGTGGAGGAGGGGACTTGAGTATTAACAGCCGCCTTGACACAGTGGGGACCTGGTGGCTGTGGAAGCCTGAGGAGTCGGTGCCTGCTCCTCTGAACTTTCCCTCCCCTCAGCAGATGGTACTGTTGCGTGTTCTCTCTGGTGCCAGTGAAAGAGCTCATTCATGCCATTCACAGAGTAGTGTGCTTAGAACTCAGCCCTCCTCCATCTGCAGGGGCAGGCACCCGCCACGGCTTAGTGGCCACCCTCGGGCGTTGACTTCCTCCCTTCGGCGGCCCTGTGTGTCTGCTGGGCAGTGCACCAGCCTGTGTAGCACCAGCTGCTCGGCTGCTTTGGTAAAAACAAGGGAAGACTGTGAAGCTGTTCTGTGCTCTGCACACCAGCAGGAGAAGCCAGCGGAGGGTGTGGATGGGCTTAGGGCAGTGTCTGCAGTTCCGGATGAATTCTGCCTGTGCCTTATAAACATCTTCTGGGAAGGAGCTGATTTTTGATGGGTGATTGTCCAAGTTTATAACTGGATCCTGTGTTTCACTCCTCTTCTTCTATTTATTTTTATTTATTATTTTTTGAGATGTGGTCTTGCTCTGTCACCAGTCTGGAGGGCAGATCATAGCTCACTGCAGCCTGAAACTCCTGGCTTCAAGCGATCCTTCCCAGCCACCCATAAATCCTTTTAATAAGTTGCAGATGTGATATTACCTCTGTGTACTTCAGCAAACATTTCTTAAGGGCATTCTCTTTGAAAGCAGGGACTGAAACATGTATTTGTACGCCCATGTTCATAGCAGCCCTATACACAGTAGCCAAAAGGTATTATAGAAGCAACCTGTGTCCATTGATGGATGGATAGATAGGCAAAATATGAAGTATTAATCAGCCTTAAGAAGGAATGAAATTCAGGCCAGGTACAGTGGCTCACACCTGTAATCCCAGCACTTTGGGAGGCCGAGGTGGGCAGATCATCTAAGTCAGGAGTTTGAGATCAGCCTGACCAAGTTGGTGAAACCCAGTCCCTACTAAAAATACAGAAATTAGCCAGACGTGGTGGCACGTGTCTGTAGTCCCAGCTACTCGGGAGGCTGAGGCACAAGAATCGCCGAACCCAGGAGGTGGAGGTTGCAATGAGCCTAGATCGTACCACTGCACTCCAGCTTGGGCGACAAAGGGAGACTGTCTCAAAAAAAAAAAAGAAATTCAGAGGTGCTACAATGTGGATGAACCTAGAAGACGTTATGCCAAGTGAAATACGACAACCACAAAAAGACAAATACTTTGTGGTTTCACTCACGCTGGGTACCTATAGGAGTCACTTCCACAGAGACAGAAAGTAGAATGGTGGTTGCCAGAGGCAGGGATTGGGAGTTAGTGTTTAGTGGATATATGGGTTACAGAGTTTGTTTTACAAGGTGAAAGCGTTCTGAAACGCCCAGTTGTGGTGGCTCATCTGTAGTCCCAGCACTTTGGGAGACTGAGGCAGGAATATTGCTTGAGCCCAGGAGTTTGAGACCAGCCTGAGCAACATAGCAAGACCCCATCTTTAAAGAAAATAAATACATAAATTAAAAAGTTCTGGAGCTAGATAGTGATTGCATAGTAGCGTGAATGCACTTAATGTCACCAAACTATACAGTAAAAAATGGTTAAAGTGGTAAGTTTTATGTTACATATATTTTACCATAATAAAAATAAGATTATTAAAGTTTTTACTGTGTCTTAAAAAAAAAAAGAATAAAGGCACTGTCCTCTAAAACCGCATAAACATTTTTTTGCATACAGGAAACTCAACAATGATTGTATCCTGTGTTGAGATTTCCCATATGTTTCCCCCATTCACACAGGTGATGTGTTAATACTAATGCTATGTTAATGTTTTCTTTTAAATAGATATATTTTAGTTGAGCAGGTTGATTTAAAGCACAGGTGGATCTGTGGGTGATAAAAGTGGTAGGTGTGGAAACTGACTGGGGTCTAACCAGCCTGAATGTGTAGTATTCCCCATCCCTGTGGCCCCAGAGCAGAGTTCCTAAAATGCCTGCCCTTGGCCTCCTAGCCAGTGAAACCTCTTAGATTTTCACAGTGAGGTCAGCACTAACCCCACGTGGCTCTTGAGCATCAAAAAATGTGGCTAGTGCTACCGAGGAAATGAATTTTTACTTTAATCAAATTCTAATTAATTTTCAAAGCTGATGCTCAGTTTAGTTAGTGAAAAACATCCAGATATGTTGGGGACACCTCGGGTATGTGAATCTACTTTTTCAGCTGCAAGTTTTATGGAATCTAAATACAGATCACATATTTTGGGTGAAAATTTAGCACCTGAATTGTGCTGTGACTGTGGGGCATGCACACTTAGATTTCACAGATTTAGTAAGGAAAAAAATGTTACACGTTTATATGTCGAAATGGTATTTTGGGTAAGCATACCTGCTTTCTCTGTTAATGTGGCTCCTAGAAATTTTAAAATGGCATGAGTAGCCACATTGTATTTCTGTTGGACATGCGCAGATGTGCAAGTATGGAGTTTCACTTCCTCCGTGCAGCAGCCACCTTCCTCTCCCATGCCCTCCACCTGATGTCCCTATTACTTCCCTGTCTCTGCTGCTGAAGTCTCTTTCTCGTCTTCTGTGCTAATAAGGCCTCCAGCCTGTGAGTACCACGGTGCCTGATTATGGTCTTGCTGCAGCACTGTGTTGGCTCCTCCATGTTAGGCCGGTGCAGGGGAGGGGCTATGCTCCTTTTCTCATCTGCTCGGGGTGGAGGGGACTGGACTGATTTGTGTTACTGGATACCTGAGGAAAGACCTTTGTCCCCCTTTGTCTGGCTTTTGGCCTTAGGTCCATAGGACAGAGGCGTGGGAAGAATTGGTGGGAGGGTATTGGGACTTAGGAGAGGGTAATGGGGCACCTCCTTGAGGTGGCTCCCTCCCTGGACGAGGCAAGCCTAGCATGGCATCTGGGAGAACCTGGGAATAACTTAGGGAGCTAGGGAAGGCCAGTGGGTCTCATGCTGCCAGCATGTTGCTCTCTGGCTCTCCTCACACACGCCTCCTAAAGCAGTTACTAAACTCAGAGTGGGCACCATCCTAACTAAGCCAGGTGTCTCTCCTGCTGTGCTTCGTGCCCCCACCCACCCCTGGCCATTTAAGTCCTCCTTAAAGTATTTTTTCCCTTTAGTTCCTGATTGATAACTATGTTGATGGTATTTCAGGGAGTTGGGAAAAACAAATGTAAAAAGTAGTAATAAAAATTAGCCAAAGTTTTATGTTATCTTGCCATCTCTTTTCTACTCAGGGATGTGCACTTTTTAAAATTTTTTCATTCTGTATGCTAGACCCTAGTCTAAGGCTTTATTTATGTGTGATGCACCTTATTTCTACATCCTTAGATTTTTTTTTCTTTTTTTGAGATGGGGTCTCACTCTGTCACCCAAGTTGGAGTGCAGTGGTGTGATTTCGGCTCACAGCAACCTCTGTCTCCCAGGCTCAAGCGATCCTCCCTCCTTGGCCTCCCAAGTAGCTGGAGCTGGGCAGAGTAGCTGGGACCACAGGCGTGCACCACCAAGCCTGGCTAATCTTTTGTATTTTTGGTAGAGACACGGTTTTGCCATGTTGCCCAGGCTGGGCCTGAACTCCTGAACTTAATCAGATTTTTAGTAGAAAGGTGGTGAGGCGTTCCTAGGGACTGCCACAGGTTCCATACGAGTGTGATAGTCGCTGCCCTGGGTTTTGGTTTCTATTGGTCTGAAAATTCCTTACCAGTTAAGTGGCTGTTACTCCTCAGTGGACTCAGAGGACAAGCTGGCCACATCTGCAGGGGAGTGAACTTAGGTTGTGTGATGGACTCTTGAGTCTGCAAGATGCCAACTTGGCTGCATCCAAGGCTCCCTTGTGGCACAGCACCCAGGGCTGCTCTGTGAGTGGCTGCTGCCTGCAGGGGCTGGAGAGAGGAGGAAGGGTGTGCACAGTGAGGAGATGAGGCATGCTCTGTGTCTTTTCTCTCCAGCACCTCCATGTACTCGCCTGTCAGTGTAAGAGTTGGGCTGCTTGACTTCTGTGGGTTATTTACTTTGTGGAAGTTAGGTGGAATTAGGGGCAAACAAGAACATGGTTCTCACAAAGTGATTATGCCTGCCAAGTTTTTTGCTTCCTTAGCTGTAGTCGTCTGAAGTGGTGTGGGTTTCATTTTATTCTGCTCCTTTATATTCTGAAAGTTACTGAGATGAGAGGGTGACAGCTATTTACTTCCAAGCATCCCTCTCCAGCAGATTCAGTTCAGTTGTCTGGACAGAAGTAGACACTGAATGTGTGTGGAGGGCCTCCCAGCAGTGCATGGAATGGGTTATCTGGGTGGCTTGCTTTTACCTGAGGGAAGAGAAGCTTGAAAGTGAAGTTAATGTTGCCTGGAAGGTGGGGACCCCTTGGCCTGTTTACCTAGGACGGCATTGACCATCAAAGGCTTCTGTAAAGTTGTAAGAATGGCCTTTTGTGTACCCTTGGGGGTGTGTATCAGATATAAATCCAGCACTTGAGACACTGTCAGCTCTCACTGACTGGTCATCTTTGGGTCTTGGGTCAGTCTTCAGTTCCTGCTTTGTCAGCCAGGGACTTGGGGTCTTTGGAAGCTGGAAGCTCTGACGTTAATTTAGTGTCACATTCTGCGTTCCCTTTTCTTCAAGAAAAGTGATGCCGTTCCTCCTCCTGATCCCCATAGATTGGATTCTGTACCTAATGAGTGGTGAGGGCAAGATGAGAAGAAAAGTCTTCTTGTCTGAAGCCATTTCTTGAGCGTGTCTAGATACTGACAGGTGTAACGTTTTTTCCAGATCTTTCTCTTAAAATCACAATGAAGTGCCCAGGGTAATATCATTGAAGAAAAGATCATCCCATTAACGTCAGCTCTTCATCGAGATACCCAGGCTTTGATACCTCTGGACCCTGAGTCATTGTGTGCTATTGCCTTTCATGCATGTGTCTGTTCCTGGCTCCATCTCTCCTCGTGCCCATCAAAGGTCTAGTTTGGCTTTCCCACCCAGCAAGGGCTCTTGCTAGTCATGGCTAAAATGTTGCTGGTGGGGGTGTTGGGTCATGGTGTCTCTGAAAGCACTTGTGCCAGCCCTGTTCCCTTTTGTGTCCCCAGTGAGTGTGGGCAGGTTCCAGGGACACCTTGAGTCAGCCGCTGCTCTGCTGCTTTGAGAAGAAACTTAAGAGGCGTGATACACTCTTGCTTACTCACCCGGGCGGCTTCCCAGTGGGTGAAATTAGAGCAGTTGATTGGAATGTCACCATTCCCACTCGTGGATCTGTTTCAAGAGTTCAGTGTTGTTTCCACTTACACATAACAGGACTGTGTGTTAAGCTGGTGTGTTTTGGAACATTTCAGCCACAGGCATTGTGGTCATGAACCATGCAGATTGTTGTTTGCATTTCACTCATCTCTCTCTTGGCTTCCCAAATTCCCAAAGGGCGTGATCTTGACCACTCACATAGAAGCTGTCATAACATGTTTCCCTGGTGTTTGGTATATAGGAAATTTTTATAGTTTTAAATTTAAATGAGGATTATAAGCTTAGTTTTTATGCTTTTGTTTGCAATGGGAAAATTTCAGAAGACCGGTGTGATGTCATCCGGAGAAATTTTCTGATTGACACCAGGGGCAGCCCAGGAGTGTATTATCAGCTGAGTTTAACTAAACCTGTCTTTCACTCTTAAACTTTCTTCTCATTTTAATTCTTCGTGCCCTCTAAGAAGTGAACTTCCTCTCCCACTCTTGCTGTCTTTGTAGTCTTTCATTCTCCAAGTGTGTCCCCCGTATTTCCTTCCTCCTAGGAAACACCCCTCTTAAGCAGAGCAAAGTGCCCAGCTCACTGCCAGCCCCTACTTTGTGATCTGCATTGCTCCCTGGCCATCTTGGAGTCTCTCTCAAAGCAGGGTTTTAATCCATAAATTCACAGTCATGTCACATTGCGTTTCATAATTTAATTATTTAATTTATTATTATTTTTAAAGACAGAGTCTTACTCTGTCGCCTAGGCTGGAGTGCAGTGACATGATCATAGCTTAACTGCTGTAGCCTTGCTGAGCTCAAGCAATGCTCCCACCTGAGCCTCCTAAGAGCTGGGACTGTGTGTGTCAGCACTTCCAGCTGTGTTTCATATTATGGTGTGGATGAATCTCAGTGCCACATACCCCACAGCTCTGTTGAAAAAGATGAATAGCTGAAAAGGTGTAAAGTGAAGACAGGTAAAGGAGATGGGGAAATGGCTTTAAAGGAGTCAACAAGGAGAAAATGCCACTCTTAACTGTGAAGGGCACAGCTGAGTCAGTGGGAATGCATAGCTTGAATTAATGACATTTCTATCATAATCTTTCAGCCTGTAATTTGGCCAGGTGTAGTGCCTGAAGGGCCAACTTACCAGGTAGAAGTGGACAGACACCAAGAGGCCAGTATGGGCTTGTCAAAGGGGATAGATTGCATAGAGGCTGAGTAGTTTTTACATGTGTGGCCGAGTGGTTGGTTGGTTTTCAGTGTAAGTAGGTGTTGTCATCCACACACCTGCCACCACCTCTGGCTTCATTCTGTGGGTCTTTGTGCCCACCCACCTGGCATTGTTACCTAATTTCATCTGTAATTTTGCATCCTGCATTTCTGATGTAACATCACATTCTCTTACCTTCACAAAGTCTAGAAATCTATGGAATGGGCTGCAAACTATGGCCTGCAGGCCAGTCAGTTTTTTTGGCACACAGTGAGGCTCATTTGTTTCAGGATTATTTGTGGCTGCTTTCATTTTATGATGATGGCAGAATGGAATATTTTAACAGGCTGTTTGTCCTGCACAGCTGACAATATTTGCTCTCTGGCCCTTTACAGGAAAAGTTAGCCTAGCCTGCCCCTGCTGGAATACATTTTAACCCAACAGTTTTTGTTTGTTTGTTTGTTTGTTTGTTTTGGAGATGGAGTCTCGCTCTGTTGCCCAGGCTGGAGTGCAGTGGCACAATCTCGGCTCACTGCAACCTCTGCCTCCCAAGTTCAAGCAATTATCCTGCCTCAGCCTCCTGAGTAGCTGGGACTACAGGTGCACGCCGCCATGCCTGGCTAATTTTTTGTATATTAGTAGAGATAGGGTTTCACTGTGTTGCCCATGGTGGTCTTGAACTCCTGAACTCAGGCAATCCACCCGCCTCGGCCTCCCAAAGTGTTGAGATTATAGACGTAAGCCACCATGCCTGGCCAACCCAACAGTTTTGATCTTGTCCATGTCAAAGTTTTGTTTTTGCTACATGCTTCTCACAGGAACATTTTACATTTCATGAATCCATCCGCCCAGATTTAACAATCAGCAACATGATGTAACCCACATGTAACAATGGATCCTTTCACTGTACCTGAGCCACTTGTCCCTCCAGTTGCTGGCAGCTTTTGCAGTGAAAAGATGCTGCAGCATTTTCAGTGCTACTAGTTTAATTAGCCTGCTGATGAGTTTCAAAAGCAGAGAGACTGGAATTCTGGTTGGTGAGATTGTGTCCCGCCCAGTTTCCTGGCCTCCTGACTGCAAGATCCTTGTGTGCCTGTGTCCCCTCCAGTGGGGAACAGAGAGCTTGAGTGTGGCTCACACTCTCCCCTAGCAGCAAGGCCAGTATATCTCTGCCTTGGCTTGTCTAATCCAAGGCAAGTTGCAGGGTCTGGGGTACTGCAGAGTCAAGAGGTAATGGGGCCCCACCACTTGGCTGGTCCAAGGGGTGGGGGGCAGGGTGTATACACACTGCGTGAAGGAGGATTAAGGCCTCTAAGAGCTGCCTCGGCGCACGGCCACTGGCCCGGCTCCAGGCGGCGCAGTCTGGCTGATGACACGAGCGCTGTTCTCACCAGCTGCCTGAGCCAGTCAGATGGAAAAGTAATCCTATTTGTGCTTCCCCACTGACACAGATTGCACAATTAAAGAAGCCGCTGTCAGGAATTTGAAGTAGATGCCACTCTAGCACCTAGGAGGGGAACAGACCTTCTGATATTGATGTTGTGTAATCAGCATTTCAGCAAAGATGTTTCTAGGACAAGATAAGATGTAAATTGCTGTAAATTGAATTGTATTGAGAAATTACCAGGTTTTTACCAGTCAGGGTCCCTCATCCTCTTGTTTTTGTCCCTGGGCAGAATCTAGCATTCCCTGAAAATAATTGTTTATTCAAGAGCCTTGGAGCGGTGGAGAGGTGACCTCCTCTACCTGAAGGGTATGTGTGACTGTGAACTTGTGATTTCATGAGGGGCTGTAGTCAGTTGGCATTGGCTGGCAGTCTGTATGGAATAAAACAAATTTAAGCCATGTCCCCTCAGGCATCTTACTGCTTGGGAAGCATAAATAACAACTTGGTGTCCCTTCCCCTTGCCCCCACACCTCATGACTTCAGCACAGTGGTATGTTTTAGATTTCACCTATGACACGGGATATATCTCATTGTAAGCAGATGGCCAGGTGCTGCAGGGAGAGGTCTTGGCTCTGATTTGTTTACGAGGATGAAATTCTTTGGAATACTACTGCTAGAAGTCTGACTTAAGACCCAGCTTATGGGCCACATGGCACCCAGCTGCTTCTGCAGAGAAGGCAGGCCACTGATGGGTACAGCAAAGTGTGGTGCTGCTGGCCAAGCCAAAGACCCGTGTAGGATGACTGGGCCTCTGCCCCTTGTGGGTGTTGCCACTGTGCTTGGTGAGTGGAGACAGCTGTGGAGCAGAGGACTTGAAGCACACACTGTTCCAAATGACGTCCAGCCAACCAGGCCACCATCCACTCTGCCTCTGTCCCCATGGGGATGATGATGAAGATGATAAAGTCGCAGCCTGCTTTTTAGGGTTGTTGTGTGGATAACTAAGCCAATACAGATGAAGTGCTCGATAACAGCATCAGCTCAAGAAGTGGCAGGTACCTCCTGTGGAGCTCTTCTAGGCCCTGGTGCAGGTCTGTGTGATGATGGCTTGCATAAAGCTCTGCTAAGTGTGGTTTAACCAGCCATCGTCTTGGCGACTGCTTCTGCCTTCCCTGGCGTCTTTCTACCTGTGTGCTCCATCACTTTAGGAGAGGGGTGAGTCTGAACAGACCAGACAGAATGAAGGCAGGATTACTGGGTTTCAAGAGGTCCGCTGGGAGGCCAGGACTTCAGGTAGAACTGCAAATACAAAGTATAGCTGGTCCCAACCCATTGGTTTTCTCAGTGACTTGTGATGGACGGAACTGGGAACTGAATCTCCAGCAATCAGCAGATTCTGGGCAGTTGTTTGTGGTCTTTCTCTTTTCCTCTCTGGCTTGCCTTTAGAGTCCCAGAACTAAGCCTGCCCTGCATGTCTGTATCTATCTATATCCTGCTTTCTAATCTCCTTTCCTGGTCTGGGAACAGGTTGCTTGGGGCCAGACTGCTTTGTGATGAGTGGGTTCAGAACAAAGCCTGTCTGGAGACCCTGAAAGCCCCTTTGAAGGATAGGAGCTAATTGGGACGGGCGATGGAGAGAACTATGACTTGATGGAGGATACCAGTGAAGAGGGCTTGCTGCCATCCACTTTGCAAGTAGGGACTCCATCATTGCAGAAAGTGTTCAAACTTTCTGAGCTGGTTTTGGATTTTTTGTTTTCTATATCTTTTGTTAGATTTCTAATTTGTCTGAACTATTGACTAGATTGTAAATAAAGTTAGTCCAAGGAAACAGTTTGTTTCCTGTTCAGAGTTATAAAACATTACAGTTGTGTTCTCTGTTAAGTACTGTCTATCCCTAATATTTTCCCAAAATTCACTTAAATATTATGATTGCAAAGAACATCTTTGAAAACAGGCATGCTTAGCCGGGTGCGGTGGCTCACGCCTGTAATCCCAGCACTTTGGGCGGCCGAAGTGGGCGGATCATCTGATGTTGGGAGTTTGAGACCAGCCTGACCAACATGGAGAAACCCCATCTCTACTAAAAATACAAAATTAGCCAGGCGTGCAGGCGCATGCTTGTAATACCAGCTACTCAGGAGGCTGAGGCCGGAGAATTGCTGGAACCTGGGAGGCGGAGGTTACAGTGAGTCGAGATCACGCTATTGCACTCCAGCCTGGGCAACAAGAGCAAAACTCCGTCTCAAAAAAGAAAAGAAAACAGGCATGCTTAATCAGAGGTCTATGAATTTAGAGGGAAAATTTACATTTTTATTTTCATTAACCCAGAAGTTCCCAAATTTTCTTGGTTCACAACATCCTTAAACGTCTCAGTTTTTTCTGTGATGCCTCAGGCCAGAGGAAGTAGCCAACAATATTGTTTATTAGGTGGTTAAGCACAAGCAGCAGAATAAGTACCAATGTCTCAACAACTGTGTAGCTGTCTGAAAAAAAAAAACAGGAATATATATTTTATTCTTACATAACCATAGTTATTTCTTTTTTTTTTTTTTTTTTTTTGGCGGGGGTTGGGCAGAGTCTTGCTTTGTTGCCCAGGCTGGAGTACAGTGGCACAATCTCTGCTCACTGCAACCTCCACCTCCCGGGTTCAAGTGATTCTCCTGTCTCAGCCTCTGGAGTAGCTGGATTACAAGCATGCGCCACCATACCTGGCTGATTTTTCTGTATTTTTAGTAGAGATGGGGTTTCACCAGATTGGCAGGCTGGTCTGCAACTCCTGACCTCAAGTGATCTGCCTACCTCGTTTTCCCAGAGTGCTGGGATTACAGGTGTGGCCCGCCATGCCTGGCCCATAGTTACTTTCTAATAGGATGTGTCTGCCTGTTGGATGCTGCACAAATCCTCAAACCTTAGAACCAGGTTGGATGTCACTACCTGCATCTCCTGTTGATGTTGATTTTGATTTTTTTTTTTTTTTTTTTTTTTTTTTTTTTTTTTGAGACGGAGTCTTGCTCTGTCTCCCAGGCTGGAATGCAGTTGTGCTATCTTGGCTCACTGCAGGCTCCACCTCCCAGGTTCACACCATGCTCCTGCCTCAGCCTCCCAAGTAGCTGGGACTACAGGCGCCCGCTGCCATGCCTGGCTAATTTTTTGTATTTTTAGTAGAGATGGGGTTTCACTGTGTTAGCCAGGATGGTCTCGGTCTCCTGACCTCGTGATCCGCCTGCCTCGGCCTCCCAAAGTGCTGGGATTACAGGTGTTCATGTTGATTTTTATATGACCTTTGCTTTTTGTTTTGTTTTGTTTTGTTTTGGAGACGGAGTCTTGCTGTGTTGCCCAGGCTGGAGTATAGTGGCGCCATCTCTGCTCACTGCAACCTCCACCTCCTGGGTTTAAGTAATTCTCCTGCCTCAGCCTCCTGAGTAGCTGGGACCACAGGTGTACACCACCATGCCTGGGTACTTTTTTTTTTTTTTTTTTTTTGGTAGAGATAGGGTTGCACTGTGTTGGCCAGGCTGGTCTCAAATTCCAGACTTAAGGTGATCCACCTGCCATGGCCTCCCAAAGTGCTGGGATTACAGGCGTGAGCCACTGTGCCTGGACAATCTTTGTTTTATTACAGCAACTTGCTGATCAAGTGTTGCAGGCTGTGACACTGTTGAATATAGTGCAATCTGGTGTTGAAATGATCAATTGCCTTGTGCTGATAGTTCCTGCAATGCCATCTGAGTTTACCATGACATCCCCAAGGCACCTGGGCACTCAGTTTGGGAACTACAGCATTGTCTAACCTTGCTTCATCCTTTTCTTCTACACTGGGAACATGATATAGGGTTTCTGTTGGAAGTAGATACAAAAGTAGGACATCAAGTTCGATTATGTAGCCGCCTTTGGATTGGAAACAATAAGCGAAATTCTTTTCCTTTTCCTTGACCTTCAGCTAACTCTTAACGTGGTGAATGGTGGCTCCTGCTTTTTGGCCACAGGTCAGTATGAAAATGGAGAGGGAGCAGCAGTTTTTAATCTTTTCAACGGAAAACTTTGAAGATGTTGTCTCCTGTTATCTATGCCAGGCATGCCTTCTCTTGCCACTGCCTGCCTGACCCCCACCACAGAAGCGCACACACTCTTCCCCCGCCTCTGGTCTCATTCTCTGTCCCTTCTTCAGAGATGCCGCCTGTCCCTCGGGTCAGTGCAGATCCCTCTCCCCGTCCATGGCCAGAGCAGCCCTGCCCTTCTCCTCCACAGTATTCACCCCATGTATTGCCTAATCACTCGGGAGAATGCCATGTCAACCGCTGAGTCCTAGGGCAAGGCATGTTAGGACCTGTTGCCTGAGCGAGTGACTGAGTCTGGTGGTCTCCACATTATCCATGTGAGAGTGTGAACTGTTTTGCTTTTCCAGAGCTTTGAGATTGAGCTGGAAGCCCCAGGATGACAATGTGGGTATGGTCACTAAGGGTTCACCTCCTGTGTGCTGGGAAGATAAAAGTGAAATAAAGATGAGCCTGCCTTCAGGTTCCTAGGGGGCTGACCATGGAACTCAGTAGATGGAGATGAGGGAAGCACCAGATGCTATGGGCCAGAGAGAGAGAGAGAGAGAGTCTGTGAGCCTATGTCTGCATCCATCCATCTGTCTGGCAGTAGGGCTAGCAGATCAAAGGCTGAAGGTGACAGGGTTGGCTGACTTGTTGTTAGAGCCTAGATGCTAGGGGCCTGGGGCAGTGTGGGGTTGGGGGGAACCGCTGTGGGAAGAATTCGCCCAAGGAGGCTGACCTCATATCAAATCTGGGCCTTAGAAAAGTCATCTGGGTCTCACATAGGACTTCTCACTGTACCTCTCTTTCTTGCCCCATAACAGACTAGAAGTGGTTGGTTTTCCTCATGTTTCTTGTCATTGCAGTAAGAGTGGGCTCTTGAAGTTTCCCAAGGGTCTTACTTTCCTGTAGTCATGGGAAGGCTGTGGGCATAGCAGTAGGTCAGTGTGGTCCCTTGAGGTGCAGGTGCTGCACAGGCCCAGAGTGGGTGCAGGAGTCCCAGGTATCTTATGGTGATCTCCCTTGTGGGGCCATGGATATCACTTTCTTTTCTTTTCTTTTTCTTTTTTTGAGATGGAGTTTTACTCTTGTTGCCCAGGCTGGAGTACAGTGGCACAATCATGGCTCACTGCAGTTTCCGCCTCCCAGGTTCAAGGCAGTTCTCCGGCCTCGGCCTCCCGAGTAGCTGGCCACCATGCCCGGCTAATTTTTTGTCTTTTTAGTAGAGATGGGGTTCCATCATGTTGTCCAGGCTCATCTCCAATTCCTGACCTCAAGTGACCCACCCTTCTTGGCCTCCCGAAGTGCTGGGATTACAGACGTGAGCCACCGTGCCCGGCCAGATGTCACTTTCATTGGTTATCTTCAGAGCCTCCTTAAAGAAACTTTGGGGTACTGGTAGCTACCAGGTTTGTCTTATGTGTCGAACATGTCATACCTTCACATTTGAACAGACAACCTCCAGCAGTTTCTTTCCTCAGGGGCCTGGGTGTGTGTGTGTTAAGGATGGCCACTGTGTCACGACCATCTGTGTTGGACACTTCTGATGTGTGTGTGTGCAGCTCACTAATGAGGACTTCCTTAATTCAAAGGCCAACTTAACTGCCCAGGAATCAGATGCCAGGTTTTGGGCCACTCTATCTGCTTAGACCTGGTGTTTCCACTCCTGGGTCAGGTACTTCTCTCTGCCTTGGTTTCCCTATCTGTAAAGTGGGGATGAGGCCAGAAGCAATGTTAGCATTTTTGAGGATTTAACTGTTACTGTGCATCACTTGTGAGCTGGCTGGCTAGGGAGGGGTGTTTTGGCTTTTGCAATGGCTTAAAACACCAAATGAGGCAAGGTTCAAGAGTCAGGTTTTCTGTAGAAAACTGTTTTTTTCCTCTTGTGAACAGAAAATTCAGCTTCTGTCCGGGCATGGTGGCTCACGCCTGTAACCCCAGCAATTTGGGAGGCCGAGGCAGGTGGATCACCTGAGGTCAGGAGTTTGAGACCAGCCTGGCCAACATGGTGAAACCCCATCTCCACTAAAAATACAAATATTAGCCAGCCATGGTGGCACACGCCTGTAATCCTAGCTACTGGGGAGGCTGAGGTGGGAGAATCACTTGACCCTGGAAGGCAGAGGTTGCAGTGAGCCAAGATTGCACCACTGCACTGCCTGGGCGACAGACCCTGTCTCCAAAAAAAAAAAAAAAGGAAAATTCAGCTTCCTCGGCTCAAGGGCCTATCTAGGCCTGGTGAGAAGGTGAAGAAGAGTGGTCACTGGCCTAGAGCACACATGAGTTTTTGTCCCTTGGCTTTGCTGCAAGTCTTTTTGGAAAGAGACAAGCATGGCCCAGCCCAGAAGTTCTAGAAGTCCTTGGCCTCATCTTGCCTCAAGGGCATTGCTTAGAGATTTCCAGAATGTCATTACTTAATGGAAAATTTATAGGGTCTGCTTCCTTTTGGGACAGCTTGGCTCTGCACCCTGGCCGCCTGTGTCCTTGTGGCTGGGCTGCTCCTGCCCCTGCCTGCCATCACTTACCTGGCGTGTGCTTGGTGCGCAGCATCAGCTATATGTTTCTGGAGCTGCTTTCTAGGAGAAATCTAATCATAGAAACCAAACTGAATGGCATTCCTTGGCCTCACTCTTTGTACCCTCCATCTTGGGATCCAGGCTTCCACAGTGCCTTTAGGCCTCCCCTCCCCTTGACCCCATCACACTTGTCCCCATTGGTCACTTTGGACTTGCTGGTCCTGCTGCATGGAAGCCCTCTCCAGCCTACTCCACATGTGAGTGGGGTTTAAACCCCACTGACTTGTTTCCTTGTCTGTGATGCTGTCCTTCTACCAATACTTGTGTCCAGTCACTTGGTGTGTCCTGTAATCTATCTGTGTCTGGACCAAGACTGGTACACTGGACCCAAGGTTCCCAGCAAGCTGATATGTGGCTTGTGTCATTTGTCCCTGTGTCTTCTCCTATCTCACTGGCCTCCTATCTCCACAGCCTAGTCCATGGAGTTGCTTTATGTAGCAAATTCTCCGTTTGGAGCTTTTAAAATAGGATTATTTGCCAGAACTGCATTTACAAAAAAAGTTTGTGTAATCCTGGTTTAAATAAATTACACAAAGTAATTCACTGGCAGCTAGGGTGCCTAGTGTGTGCTAGGCATAAAGCTGCTTCTGAACCCACTAAAAGTTCATCCCAGAATGATATCTCCACTGAGTTCTTAGGTTTATTACTAGAGATGAAAAAAAAAAAAAAAAAAGAAAATGGTAGGTCTAGTATGGATTCATTTTTATTTTATCGGCAGTAAACATGCAGATTCTTTCCTCAGCAGACCTGCATTATTTAAGTTACCAAGAAAATATTCTTAGTAGGTTTGTGGCTTTGCCCTGAGCACTTGGCAGTGGACTGGGTGGGCCATCCATGGGTGGGCAGACCCAGCCTTCCTGCTTCTCCTTGCCTGGCCCACCAAATGAAATGATTGACTTTGCTCGATGCTTTGTGTGTGATAAATGCAAGGAGTTTTAATGTAAATGTCATATGTGGGAGCCTGCACATCATCCCCTTCCACACACAGGCAGCATCTCCTAAAAACTCACAGGTGGGAAAAGGGATGTGCAGGTTTGTGAGACGTGGCTTCATTGTACATCCTTCCCCATGACCTTCATAGTTCCCAGAGCCTTTGCTGGCTCCTAGTGGGCTCTCACCACCTCACTCTGCCTCCTCTGTTGGTTTGTGGTCTCCTCCCTGCTGGAGGGTAAGTCTTTGGGGAGAGGAGACATTGGAACCCTTTCAGTCAAAGCATGGGGTGGTCCCTCTGGCCAACTTGGCTAGCTACCGCCAGGGAACTCAGTCCTTGGAGACCACAGCCAGAGGGACTTGTCATTCTGAGCGGTGCCCATCTGCTGACTGATATCTCACGGGGGCTCTTCTCTTCCTTTGTAGAGTGCCTGGTGAAGAATGTGATGGGATCACTAGCATGTCTGCGGAGAGCGGCCCTGGGACGAGATTGAGAAATCTGCCAGTAATGGGGGATGGACTAGAAACTTCCCAAATGTCTACAACACAGGCCCAGGCCCAACCCCAGCCAGCCAACGCAGCCAGCACCAACCCCCCGCCCCCAGAGACCTCCAACCCTAACAAGCCCAAGAGGCAGACCAACCAACTGCAATACCTGCTCAGAGTGGTGCTCAAGACACTATGGAAACACCAGTTTGCATGGCCTTTCCAGCAGCCTGTGGATGCCGTCAAGCTGAACCTCCCTGTGAGTAGTGTGGGCAGGGCCCAGGGTGGCCGTCCTGGAGGTCGTCTCCTGCATGTCTCCTGGTCAGGGCAGTTCCTGGGGGGAGGGTAGGAGATGCATTTGGAATCATGGTGAGAGCTGCAGGGCCCTTGAGTGAGTGGTTTCAGCAGTTCTGATCAGTTGAAATCAGGGAGAAAGAATGAGCTAATTGGCTTAACAATAACTGGTTTCTTAGATATTGGAATCCTGGGGAAAATTGTGTAGAGGTTGAAGCAGTGGGAGAAAGGAAGGCCCACAGATCTACTTCCAGTTCCATGGTGAGTTGAAGTCAGAGCACTTGGCCATCCTAGCCCCTTCATTTCTCAGGTGTGGACATAGTTGATCAAGGATAAGTAGACGTAGTTGATCAAACTATGCTAGAGGGGAATTGGCTTGCTGCAGTAGTGGTCACCTAGCATCATCGTCACTGTCACCCGGAGCACACGGTGGGGAAAGATAGTGGGATTACCTCGCAGGGAGTGCAAGTACATGGAGGCGTCCCCAGTTGGAGAAAGGTGGCTGTGGCTGCAGCTGCACAGGTGGTGTTGCCCTCCCTCCCTCTGGCTACAGCACACTTGCTCTTGTGCTTTTGTGAGCCCGCCCCTCTTCTCTTTCCCTGGAGAGTTTTCCATATGCCCATGTCCCTAGCAAACTGTTCTGCAAGCAAACCTGTATCTCCAGCTGAACCTCAGGGAGCAGATGGAATAAATGCTTCAGTTTTTTTTTCTTTAAAGCACCAAAGACTAATTGTCTTTAAATTGTCCTTTGCTGTTTGCCAAGTCCTGTACACCCCCTGGCAAGTGCATTAGGTGGTTGCAGCCACTGACCCAGACTGGTGTGTGCACACCAGAGCCACTGGTGTGTGCACACCAGAGCCACTGGTGTGTAGGAGCGGCCTTAGCCTCTGCCAGGCATCCTTACTCCCAAGTTTAAAGTCATTGTGTCTGTAAGAACTGTCTGGTGCTATTGCTTCACTGAATACGTGTCAAGCACTCGGGGGAAGATAATCAGAACAGGGCAGTACGTGTCTGGGTCTTGAAATGGCTCAGGAAAGGTATGGAGGCAGAAGAGGCGCCACGCTCTCCATTGACCAAGATGAGGAGTGGAGGCAGTCAGCTGTGTTGGCCTGCGGGAGGGAGACTGTTGGGGGAGCTCACTGCACCAATCTCTAGCTGGGCTGGACAGGGTCCATAGTTGAGAGTGAAATTCTCAGAGCAGATGCACAGAACCAGGAGAGAAGGAACTGGGGACTGGAGTGGAACCCAGAGCGTTGTGAGGCCCTTAGGGGTTGGAGGGAAGGCAGAAGGCCTACAGAAGAGAGCATTTCCCCAGATTCCAACATCAGAAGCTACAGGGAGGTCAAAGAGATGAGGATTCCGACCTGATCATCCTGTTGACCTTTAGGAGGGCATTGGTGACCTTAGGAAGACGTGACACAGAAGTAGAAACCAGATTGCGACGGTGTGAATGAGAAGGTGAGGATGTGAAGCCACCATTTCAAGAAGCTTGGCTTTGAAGGGAAACGCATCAGTGCCAGAATAGCAGAGGGGTCAGCTTGTTACAAGAAAACGCAGTGGGAACTGAAGCAGGGAGGGCTGAGAAGGTGAAGACAGGAGAAGGAAGGGCTGGGGGACTTGAGATTGCCGAGAAGCAGCAGCATCCCAGTTGAGGTTGAGGGAACAGTGCTGGCCAGCGGGACAGACAAGTATGGGTGATTGGTTAGGCCATGGGGTTTGGGAGTTCAAGGTCAGTCTCTGAAGTGCAGGCTGGAGAGTGGCCAGGACGTTCTTGGTCCAGGCAGAGTGTGAATCTACCTGTCCCTATGACTGTTGACGTCGCCCTCATTAGCTCTGACATAAGAAGAAGGGACTGATCCATGGTGGCCCTGATCTGATGTCTTCAGAGATGGGAGAGTGAGGAGCTGAGGAAGGAGCTTGCTGAGTGAGAGTGGTCTCAGGGCATTTGGTGGGGGCTGAGCCAAAGGGGATGCTTGATCAGGAGCATCATCATGCTAAATCTGTATTCTGGGGACTTCCTTCTTCAGGAGATGTTAATAAGGCCACCCTAAAAAGTATTCCTTGTCTGTTTTCTGATGCCTTCTAGGTCTTCACCCGCATTTTGATCTCCTATCATGGCCCCAAACCGTACTATCCAGGCTGGCAGTTCCTCTTCCCCCACCGTTCTCTCTGCCTTCACCCCAATTCCTCTTCACTATTCTGTTGGCCATTGAGACATGTGACACACTGTGGCCAATTCAGTGGCCTTTGGCCATAGAATAAAATTTAAATTTCCACTGGGATAGATCTATTCAGACTTGGTTCTCTTGGGAAAGGAGGTCAGAGCATAGAAAGTGGCACCGATAGTCTGCTTCCAGTCTCCCCTCTTGACCACTTGCCTAAGGTGCCTGGGTGTGCACTTGTAGCCCTCACCCCCAGGGCAGTTCCATGAGCTGTGCCAAAACCTTACATGTAAGCAGGTGGCCCTTGACTCTTTCTCGTGGATGTCAGAACATCTCAAAAACCCCACACCCATACCCTGTGCTGGCCTTTCCAACGCTGTCCACTACCATCCCGAGCAGGGCCTCAGTGCTTGCTGTTAGTATACCTGCTCTCTTCTCCCTGCAACAGCCTCTCCACCTGCAGCCTGTGCCTCTACCGTGGGACTCCACTTGGATTTGGTTCTGATACACCACTTGAACTTAATTACAGGAGCACCTGTCCTCAGTCAGAGTGATGACTCAGAAAGTTTGGCTATCGGTGGGTCAGGCCAACAGCCTGAGCTGGTCTAGTCATTGGGGACTTGCTGTCTGGGTGCAGCCCCCTGCCTGGCCCTCTGTGATCCTCACACCTGGAAACCCAGGCACTGCTTGATCTGTCCGCACATTCCTTCTGTGGTTGTTTTTAAAAATGAACTTAGTTTTAGAATAGGTTTAGATTTAGAGAAGAAGTTGTGAGAATAACGTGGTTTGATTTCGGGCACTTTAAGACGTTTACATCTGTTATCTGGCTCCTTCTGTTTGGCACTTAGTAAGATCTGAAAGTTTGAGGGTTGGGATGGTGGATTTTTTATTTTTATTTTTTTAAACTAAGGATTGTGAAGGCTGTCCAGATTTGTCATTTGGCAGTTAACCTGGTCAGTCAGCAGTATCTGGATACTAAAGAATCCTTAGTGGTAGACTGTGTGCAAATGAAAGAAACGTTAAGTCCAGTGAATTTGACTAGGGGTGGAAACTTATGCTCCGCAGCTCTTCATGGTGACAAGGAGGCAGGAGTGCCAGGGTCAAGGGTTACAAGTGGACTCCAGCATTGGCGCCAGGGGAATTTGCATTTTATGGACATGTAAAATTTCAAATGGGACAAGTAGGACCTGCCATGGGTTGTCTTACTAGGTGAGGATTGCTTTTTAAAAGGCTGCCTGGTTTCCCCCTTATTTATTAAAAGTGAAAGAATATTTTAGTATCCATAAAAAGAAAAAATGTGCATTTCAATGAAGGCAGCCTATTTCAAGATAGAGTGGTTGGAAACTTGTACGTTTCCCTCTGAATTACTCCCCAGCATCCAGGAACCCTTCCCCGCTCCACTTTATTTTGGTGTTCCCCCTCAAGATCACTTGCTGATGCCAGTAGGAGCTGTGGCTCCCGTGGATTTACCTGTGGAGCAGCCAGGGGTGAGGTCCCCAGGCCAGCCTGGCCAGCCCAGCGTTTGTGCTGCCTGGCTGCCTAGGTGACACTGGACTTTTGCTCTCTGCTCTCCAGGATTACTATAAGATCATTAAAACGCCTATGGATATGGGAACAATAAAGAAGCGCTTGGAAAACAACTATTACTGGAATGCTCAGGAATGTATCCAGGACTTCAACACTATGTTTACAAATTGTTACATCTACAACAAGGTGAGATGTAGGGGTGGGTGTCCAGCTGCCCTGGGGAGAGAGGAGGGGAGGCGACGGCAGTGGGCATGTCAGGAGCCCGTGGGCAGGGGTGTTGGGTGTGGCTGGGCTTGGAGTCTGGCAAGAGGAGACCCTTGGAGGTAGAGGTAATGAGACCTGTGGTTGTTCCTGTGACTGGGTGTGGGCTTTTTTGCTGGGAGGAGGGTGCTGGCCATGTTGAACTTGCAAGCTGTCCTTGTTAGCCTGAAGCATGTGCTTCTGGTGCCCTTGGGATTTTGGTTCCTGAGCATGTCTAGTAGAGAAGGTGTGAGGAGAATAGTGGCGACTCATGACAAAGTCCATTTGGGTGATGTAAATTGTTAGGAAAGAGCCTGCTAAAATGTAGTTGTGCAGAGGTGTGCCCAAACAGAGACCTCCACGTGAGAGAGGGTGTGATGGGGCCGGCGCAGAGCTCAGTTGCTCTGTGGGTGATGGTCTGCTGGAACTGTGGACATGACTGTCAATAACTCTTGGCCATAGATGAAGTGTCCCCCCGATCCTACATGTAGACCTGAAGGTCACTTCCTAACCCCGTAGCCAAACCTTTCGGCTCGGCTGTGCCATGAAGCCAGATCATTTGTTTACAGTTCAGACCACAGATGTGATTAAAATCAACCCTTTCAAATAGAACGACTCTGGAGGGAGACACTATACAGAACTCAGCTTTTGACCTCTGCTGGTGTAGTGGGTAAAAATGCCCAGAAGAGATGGGTAGGTGAGTTTCTTGAAGTTTACTGTGTTTTTTAAAGTCTCAGCTCTCACCACTTAGGTTTGAGCAAAATGTGCAGACCAGGCTCTCAGTTTAGAACTGAGTGGGAACAGCATGTTATAGATGAGGTGACAGAGTGGGACCCCTCAACTAGTGTGAGATGTGCAGTGCCCAGAGTCCTGGTGAGCTGCCATGGGGGTACGTTGGGGAGCATTGCTGGGGCCCTGCTAATGTATCATGGCAAGAAATCCTGTGTCATTCACGTATTTCTGGTGAAATTGAATTGTGTCAAAGGAGGGCCCCTTTCAGTGATTGGCTGAGCTTGGTAGATGCTTAAGGCATTAGGATGGCTTCTCAGATAGGCCAGAGCTTAAAAGATGAGGGAGGTGCAGGTAGACAAGTGTAGGCTCAGCACACCTGTGGGAACACAAGCCTCTGTGATACCTGGTAGTGTAGCCATTGTGGCTCCTTTGGGTGCAGATCGGGGAAGGACCCGGAATACGACGCTTCATGTTTTGGGGGCAGGGGGTGGGTGGCATGGGGTGCCCTGTCTACAGAGGTGGGGAGGGGAGGGCCCTCTGACTCTACCCCTGTGTCTCCTTATCCAGCCTGGAGATGACATAGTCTTAATGGCAGAAGCTCTGGAAAAGCTCTTCTTGCAAAAAATAAATGAGCTACCCACAGAAGAAACCGAGATCATGATAGTCCAGGCAAAAGGAAGAGGACGTGGGAGGAAAGAAACAGGTAGAGTACTGAAATAGCAAGTAAATTGGCTTTCTCCCCGACCTTTGTCCCTTTTCCAAGTTTGGTGGGGGGCTGGGAGTGGCAGGAGGATGTGACATTATATACTGCATGCCGTGTTGGTGTTTGGACATGTGAGATTGGGTTTGGTGTTGGATCCATCCCATAGGGTCATGTGGCCCTGTGGCCTCTTCTAAGCAGAAATAATTGGGCCCTGCCTTTTCTGAGGGTAGGTGATGGACTTAGGGTAAAAGGAAAGTGTAACTTCTCAAAGCACTTTGACGTTTGTTGAACACTTCACCCTGCCAGTATCATAGGTGGTTTTTACTTTTCCATTTTAAGGACATTAACATGACCAGAAATCATTTTAACTAACATCTCAGTTCTAAACTTTGAGGTTTGTGATTGGAATTACCTTAATGCACTGGTGTCAGAGTTATCCCTGCTTCTGATGCTCAGTCATCTGAAGTGAAAGCCCTCCTCATCCATCTCTGCCTGTCACCACCCCCAACTGACACAGGGTTCCAGGGGCCAGCTGGCAGAGCTGCCCACTCTAGGAAATGATTCTGTCTAGGAAACTCTCCAGCAGCTACTGGCTACATCTTGTCCTTTGCAACTCCATGCTGCAGAAGGGTGACATTTGCGAGGTGGTCCCTGAGTGTGAGTTGTTTGCTTCTCTGAGCAGCAGCCTTTCACCTGGCCTCCCATGCTGTTCTGAAGTGGTGGCAGAAAGGGGGTTGCTACATCCCCTGCTGCACCCAAAGGTAACCAAGGAGAACTAGTCTCACGTGTCACCCTGTGGCTCTTGTACCTATCAGATCACATTCCTGATCCTCATGTAAGTCACATCCCTTATCCTTACATGAGGATATTGGTCCTCACTCCCTGGGACCAGGGGTTTGGGCTGCACGCTGGGCAGACAGACGTGGTGGCATCTCCTATTCCAGTCTGGGAGAAGCCCAGGAGTTGTGCCTGAGGAAGGAGAATTGGGAAACTCAGCAGAATCTCACCCTTGCTCCTTGAGATGCACAGGGAACATGGGTGCTGCTTGAGCTGATAGATGAAGGCACTGGGTGTCTTTGTCCATTTTCATGGCAGCCAGCATGCACACGAAGGATGTGGTGACCCAGGTTATGCTCCTAGACATTCTCACCCTGGTCCACCCAGTTTTGTTAGAGCTCTGGCCATAACCCCTCACTTTTTGCAGCTGGTTGGGTGTGCCACGTGACCATTGTGTGTTCGGACTGCCTGCACAGCTGCTGGGAGGCAGCGCTCGAGCCAGTCATGAAGGGCAGCAGTCCAGCTGCCCCCTGTGGTTCCAGGAGGTGGGGGCCTGCCAGTTTCCAGAAACCTTGGCAAGGGCGGCTACTGCCGGCTCCCTGCCAGAAGCTCTTACTCAGAAGGCAGTGCTTCTGGGAACAAGGGCAGCTGTGCCTGGAAGCTCTGAGGAGTGTTTTCCCGCTCTCTGTCCCCTGTCAGCATGTGCTTCCTGCTCCTTGAGCCTGGGCCTCCAGGCTTCATGAAGGGGTCTTTGTGCCTGAGTTGGGAGTTGCAGCCAGGACGCCCTAGGAAATGGGAAGTGCGGTTTTCTGCTGTTCTTTGAGCCCCAGGGACAGGTGGAAGGGTTTGGCAGAGTGGAGTCTGGGATGTTCGTCTCTCAGGCAAATGCAACACGCGAATGTGCGTTCACTGTGTGTGGTGTATGTCCCCACGAGGTCAGCCAGCATGTGGATGTCAGCATGGTCTCTAACTCGCCGTCTTATTATGATTTGTAGGGACAGCAAAACCTGGCGTTTCCACGGTACCAAACACAACTCAAGCATCGACTCCTCCGCAGACCCAGACCCCTCAGCCGAATCCTCCTCCTGTGCAGGCCACGCCTCACCCCTTCCCTGCCGTCACCCCGGACCTCATCGTCCAGACCCCTGTCATGACAGTGGTGCCTCCCCAGCCACTGCAGACGCCCCCGCCAGTGCCCCCCCAGCCACAACCCCCACCCGCTCCAGCTCCCCAGCCCGTACAGAGCCACCCACCCATCATCGCGGCCACCCCACAGCCTGTGAAGGTGAGTCTCCTGGACTCTGGAGGGCTGCTTCACCAGGGAGGAGAGCGGCCCTGTCCTTGCCCGTGCTTTACACAGAGCCTGTCCTGGGTCCCGGGCACTGGTGGGTGTTTCTGGGGAGATCTTGCTGTGTTGAAATTGCAGCCCAGAAACAGCCGCCCCACTGACTCAAAGGTCCCATAATTGTGTCACACCTCCTAGTGGGTTCCTGCCCCCTGCACCTCTTTTATTTAGACTGTGCATATTTGCAGATGGGCCATCTAAATAGTCTCTGAATTGTGCCTCCCCTGGGCACTTGGGGAGAGGCCCTGGTGTTAGGTACTAAGCAGCCTCCAGAGGTCCCTTGGCTTCCAAGTGAGCACACAGTTTTATGCTTTCTCCTGCCACAGGCAGGTCCTGTCCCAGCTGCAGAGCAGAGTGGTGGGACACGATCTGCCTGTCCTTGGCCCTTTGCCTGTGCAATTATCTTTGGGTCCATTCTGTGTGAGCGATGGGCCCCAAGACAGGGCCTGGCTTTGGGGGTGACCCTGAGGGCAGCTGTGCCGGCTGCCACTTCTGACTGTGCCTGTTGGCGTCCGTGTTCTTGGCAGACAAAGAAGGGAGTGAAGAGGAAAGCAGACACCACCACCCCCACCACCATTGACCCCATTCACGAGCCACCCTCGCTGCCCCCGGAGCCCAAGACCACCAAGCTGGGCCAGCGGCGGGAGAGCAGCCGGCCTGTGAAACCTCCAAAGAAGGACGTGCCCGACTCTCAGCAGCACCCAGCACCAGAGAAGAGCAGCAAGGTCTCGGAGCAGCTCAAGTGCTGCAGCGGCATCCTCAAGGAGATGTTTGCCAAGAAGCACGCCGCCTACGCCTGGCCCTTCTACAAGCCTGTGGACGTGGAGGCACTGGGCCTACACGACTACTGTGACATCATCAAGCACCCCATGGACATGAGCACAATCAAGGTTAGCGGGATGTGCCTGAGGGAAGGGACAAGGTGGGCAGGCTGTCCCTCCACATCAGAACCTTCCTAGACCTTTTAGTCCAAGAGGAAGCCCAGGCCCTGGAACGGTGGCTGCGTGGATTTTTCCCGCCAACTCGAAGAAACTCAGCGCCCCCTGCTGTCTGCTGTGGGACGTGCTCTGAGACCTGGTGCTTGGCCATTGTGGCTACAGATGCCTGTGCTGCCCCTTCCCCTAGTCTGAGGAAAAGCAAGACAAGCCCTCTGGCCTTGGGGGCCCAGTGCCCCAGGTACCTTGCCCACACAGTAGATGCTCCATGGGAGTTGGGGCTTGGCGGCCTTGCCAGCCTCTTTGTGGTGGAGAAGGCCTTGCTGTCTCCTCTGTGTTGGAGGCACGCTGTAAGTGCCGACATTTTCACCATAGTGTTTTGAGGCTTTTTTAGTTTTAAGACTTGTTACGTGTTTCTTCTTCTGGGAGTGGAGTCCCAAGCATGGGGCAGGCAGAGCAGGGAACAGTGCTGTGTCCCTTTGACCAGCTCCTGTACTGTGTCATCACGATGAGCTGGGCCCAGCCCTCTCCATCAGTTCTCCCCGTCATTTCTGGCTCAGGCTCCGCCTCCTGTGGGTTCTGAGTCCACCTGCCTGCGAGCCAGGCAGGTGAGCTGGGATGTTGGCAGGGCCAGTCCCAGCCCTGAGGCTGAGAACTGGGGTGATGGCCTGTCCCCCCACTAGAGTCTTGACCAAACTGAGAGCCAAGAAACCAACTTGCTCTTCTAGGCATCCCTTTCGTCTGCTGCCAGCCACTTCTCCATGGTCACATGGGCAGACACAGCTAACAGGGACTTGTCTTGTTTTCCAGTCTAAACTGGAGGCCCGTGAGTACCGTGATGCTCAGGAGTTTGGTGCTGACGTCCGATTGATGTTCTCCAACTGCTATAAGTACAACCCTCCTGACCATGAGGTGGTGGCCATGGCCCGCAAGCTCCAGGTGAGGCTTGGGAGGGCGCAGCCACCCTCAGCAGAGCAGGCTGAGGTCCTCGTGGGAGCAGACTTCTGTGGGCCTTGGCAGAGTTTTTTTTTCTGTCACTTTCCTTGGGATAATGCCATGTTGCTTTAGAAAAGTGCCTAAAGTCAGCCTAGTGCATACATTTTAAGTTGGGGTTATTCAATTAAAGCAGAGTGGGTGTTCCACTGCAAGCCCCCTCCACCAGCACTCATTTGCTTTTGGCTGGAAGACCGGGTGTGTGCTGTGCATGGCCCAGTCTCTTCTACAAAACACACCTGTCTCAAGTGGGTTGGGGGTGGGGGGCACTCTTGCCGAGAAGTCGCTGTCACAGTCGTGAGCTGAGGACATCTGCACTGTGGACATCCCTCCACCAGAGCCGTAAGAGCCTTCTAGCTGCAGAGTGGTTGTTTCCACATGGCCACAATTCTGATTGGGGGTCCTGGGTCACTTCCTTCAAGTTGAGAGCCTGGGTGGTGCACAGTGTGAAGTACACGTGTGGGCGGGGAGGGGAGGTTACAGCATAGATGTGTAAACTTAATTTTTTTAAAAAAGGAAAAATACCTAAGTTTAAAAAATGACTTTCTTTGAATAATAAGATTGGGTTAAAAATTTTGGAGAATAAAGTCAATATTTAGTACTATCATCATCATCTTTTCTATTTTTTTTGTTTTAATTATTGGAGACAGGGTCTCGTTCTGTCACCCAGGCTGGAGTGTAGTGGCACAGTCATAGCTCACGGCAGCCTCTGCCTTCCAGGTTCAAGCGATCCTCCCACCTCAGCCTCCCGAGTATCTAGGACTACAGGCTTGCACCACCATGCCCAGCTAATTTTGCCTCGTTTATTTTCTTTTTTTTTTTCTTTTTTTTTTTTTTTTTTAAAGAGATGGGTTTTGCCATGTTGCACAGGCTGGTCTGGAACCCCTGGGCTTAAGTGATCCACCTGCCTCGGACTCTCAGAGTGCTGGGATTAGAGACTCATCTTCTTTTTTAAATTCTTTAAGACTGTAGATAAATGATCATAAAAATTCCCAGCATCTTCTCCCCAAGGCCATGGGTTGCTTCTGTTCTCAGGGTCAGAGCCATCATGAGGTGCTGATGTGCTCATTGTAGGCCTCAGCGGGCTTCTGCACACCTGGCTGTCGCAGCCATCTGCTTCCAGGGCAGAAGTGAGGACTTGGAAAGCCTTTGGTGACCTGTGGATCGGTGCCAGGCAGAGCCCCACTGCCTGCCTGCCTCCCAGCTGCACTAGTTCTCATGTTGTCCTAGACTCCCCAGCATAGCAGCCCGTACCTGCTCCCACTGGACCTAAGGCACTGTCTCTCCTATTCTCTGTGGATCAGGGGCTGCCTTGGGTTCAGAGGACATGTGCTCAAACTCTTGAGGTAGGATAAACACTTCCCTTGTGAAGTTTGTTGGTCTCTTTCTTACTAGTGTGGATGTGGCTCTTGTTATTTAAATGCATGCTCAGGCTTGGAGCTTTTTATTTCTACTTTTTTTTATTTATTTATTTTTGGAAACGGGGTGTCATTCTGCTTACTGTAGCCTCAACCTGCTGTGCTCAATTGAGCCTCTCAGGTAGGACAGCAAGCGTGTGCCACCATGCCTGGCTAATTTTTGTATTTTGGTAGAGATGGCATGTCACTGTATTGCCCAGGCTGGTCTCAAACTCCTGGGCTTAGGTGATCCACCTGCTTCAGCCTCCCATACTACCAGGATTACAGGCATGAGCCACGGCACCTGGCCTGTTTCTTAGTTTTATTTTCTGTGACTTGGGGAATTGTTGCCCTCTCTTCACTTTGGTGTTGTCTGTGTGCCTTCTTCACAAACAACATTGCCCCTTCATCATTCATGTTTGCATTTCCCATCCTTGAAGGAGTTCAGGCTTTTTAATTTCTTTCTTTCTTTCTTTCTTTTTTTTTTGAGATGGAGTCTCTTTCTGTCGCCCAGGCTGGAGTGCAGTGGCACGACCTCAGCTCACTGCAACCTCCGCCTCCTGGTTCAAGCAGTTCTCCTGCCTCAGCCTCCTGAGTAGCTGGGATTACAGGCGCACGCCACCACGCCCAGCTAATTTTTGTTTTTTAGTAGAGAGGGGGTTTTGCCGATTGGTCAGGCTGGTCTTGAACTTCTGACCTCATGATCTGCCTGCCTGGGCCTCCCAAAGTGCTGGAATTACAGGCGTGAGCCACCGTGCCCGGCCAGACTTTTTAATTTCAATGCAGTTTTTGTTCAGGGCCACCCGGTGGCAGTGGCGCCCTCAGATTGGTGCCTTCAACTCCTCCACCGCTCCCTCTCTCCCACTCTCTTGAGAAGACAGGGGCGCAGCTTTTGCCCACACTGCTCACATTGATACCCATGCCCTTCATCTACTCTCATAGGAAGAACTCAGCAGAAACAAATTCTCTTCCAGCACCAAAGGTGACTGTTTTGAGCTACTTTACTAAGAGAAAGAAAAGAAAAAGCACCCTCTGATGTGTTCTAGCCCTTCCTTCCTCATTTTTGTCTCATTTTTTCTGTCCTCTCCTGACACCCTGGAGCCACCTCCTTTTCGCAGATTTTCTCCAACAAAGATTTTTGGGTTTTAAGTGGTTTTTTTTTTTTTTTTTGCATTTTTCTCCTTCTGAGAGGGGAGTAAGCCTGCCTGAATGTAGAGTTTACCAAGGCCACTGGATGTCTGTCACACCACAGACACTGCAGCAGTAGAGTTTCTTCCTACACACGGGCTCCAGGTGCCGGACTGGAGTGGACACAGGCCTCAATCTCAAGGGGGCCTAGTGCAGGCAAGGGGTGGGGGGTGCTGTAGGTGGGCTGCCTCTGGCCCAGCCTGTTTCGCCTGCCCTTGGGAGGGACACCTCTCTGCCAGTGCTTGGTAGAGGTGTTTCTGTTTGAGCAACAGAGTTGATGGTGGAGGGTTCCAGAGCAGGCTTCTCTTCAGTGGGCAGTTGTGTTTGTGGCATTTCAGGCTTTGTTTTTCTTACTTCTCTCTACTTTCTCTGCATCAGCAGGTAGAGAGCAAATTCTCCATCAGGGAAGGGGAGGGACAAAGCTTCCAGCCCTTGCTCACTTCTTCAGGAGCTATTGGGACCTGCTTAATTGGGTCTCTTAATTTGGCTGGGCCCAAGAAGTGGGATTATCTGGAAAGTTACTTGGAAAAGGAGCCACTTTATTTTTCTCTCTGAGCCTCTAAATTCTCGGGTCATTGAGAAAACCTGTGTTCCACAGCCTGACAGCTGAGATACTTGTCTGAAACCAGTGAGGTGTGCTGAAACTGAGAAGCATGACCTCAGACCCAGACCTCCAGAGGAGTGAGGTGTAGGTCTGTGGGATGCCGGGCAGGGGGCTGGGCCTCAGCTGGGTCTCAAGAGACTGTCAGCCCAACAGAATGCCTGCACTCGGTGTTCCCTGGCGGGTGCTGGTGCCTGCTACCCCTCACCATCACCATCCTCCCTTGTGAGAGGCTTGCCTCGGTGCATCTTGAATTGGGCTTTACTGTCCTCTTGCTGGCCCCATAGCACCCCTGACTGTGTTCTTTTCACTCTTAGGTCTCAGCACACTTCCAGTTCATGGCAACCCCTTGCTGCCCATGTGTTCATTCACCTTTCTGTTTCCAGCTAGACTGAGCTCCTTGAACAGGGAGCTCGTCATTCCTGTCTACCATCAAGCTGGTACTTGGAGACTTGTGACTGTTGAAGCCACACAGCAAGGTTTTCCTACAGCAGCCCTGGGCCCACTGGCTTGTGGGTTTCCCAGGATGCCCCCCACTCAGGCTACAACAAGAGTTCTCACATCCAAGAGACAGGGAAGGATGACAGGGTCACACAACTGGACACGCCAGGAAGCTGGCAGTTCCCAGTCCCACCAATGTTAGTTTCTCATCTTAGCTGACTTTGTGTCTTGTATTTTTTGCTCTTTGTTGTTGGGGCCTTTGGAGAGCCAGGGCCATGAGCACCCAGGGAATGGAAGGAGGCCTCAGAGTGAATGCCACACACCCCCACCCCAGCATTTACCCAACAGTCATCACCTGGTGGGGAGGAACAAGGACATCCTCAAGTCTTGAAGCTGGCCCAGGCTTACAGACCAGTTCGCTGAGGTAGCTACCACTCAGTAGAGGGCACTCCCTTTGTCCTGGGAGGCATAGCTGATTATCTCCCTTCATGATGTCCTGGCACTTCTGAGGCCCACTTCTCTAACCTGCTTCCTGCTGCTTGGCAGCAGGCCTGGCTCTTCCAGAAGCTCATGTGGCCCCAGCTGCCTCTTGGAGTCATTTTGGGACCTGAGCCCACCCACATCCAGGGCACTACCCACCTGCCACGTAGCCGGGTGCTGCAGGGCTAGGGATCTGTCTTACTCTCTCACTGGGGCCTCCACTCTGATGTGAAGCCCCCCACCTTTTCCTCCCTGGGCCCCACTCCTGGGAGGCTAACTGGTGATGGCCTCTGGTCGTCCCTTGTTGTGTATCTTCTTCCTTGTCTCAGACCTGCTCAAGGAGTTATTTCTGAATAAAGGTATTTGCTGGGTGCAGTGGCTCATGCCTGTAATCCTGGCACTTTTCATTGTAGACCACCTTGTGGGAGGATCCCTTGATCCCAGGAGTTGGAGACCAGCCTGGGCAACATGTCAAAACCCTGTCTGCACAAAAATTTAGCTGGGCATGGTGGTCTCAGTTCTCAAGGAGGCTGAGGCAGGAGGATCTCTTGAGCCTAGGAGGATGAGGCTGTAGTGAGCCATGATTGAGCCATTGATTGCATTCCACCCTGGGCAACAGAGCAAGGCCCTATCTCCAAAAAGAAGAAGAAGAAGAAAGAAAGAAAAAAGTTATTGGGCCAGGCGCAGTGGCTCACGCTGGTCATCCCAACCCTTTGGGAGGCTGTGGCAAGTGGATCTGTTGAGGTCAGGAGTTTAAGACCAGCCTGGCCAACATGGTAGAACGCTGCCTCTGCTAAAAATACAAAAATTAGTTGGGCATGGTGGTGTGCACCTGTAATTCCAGCTACTTGGGAGACAGAGGTTACAGTGAGCTGAGATTGCGCCACTGCACTCCAGCCTGGGTGAAGACTGTCTCCAAAAAAAAAGTTATTGGCTAAAAGAAGTCATACTCCGGGTGTCCTGGAGGGGAGGGAATCAACACCACAGTTATATGGGATGCCTGCTCCAGCAGCGTGGGAGAGGAAGCCTCAAGGAGTGTTTCCTGAGCCATCAGGAGGGGATTCCAGGGCCGTGGTCCTCTCTGAAGCACTGACACACATTTGGGGGAAGGTCTTTGCCATGGTGTGTTTCCACGATGATCAGTTTATTCCTGGTTTGAAGCGGGTCCCAGAATCCTGCTGGGAAGCCAGGCCTGTGCTTCTGCCTCTGTCTTGAGCCATCACTGGATTGAGCACAGCGCCCCCGGGGTAGGGCAGGGACTTGACAGCTGGCTGGCAGTATGTGTGGCCAGACCCCAGTGTCCATGCATGGCTGCTGTTCCCTGAGCTCCATGACCCCACGTGGTTCCATCTGATTGCTGGATCTTAGGGTTGAAAGGTCTTAGGGTCTCCTGCGCACAGTGGCTCCCTCCTGTAGCCTGTCCTCAGTGCCCCACACCTGCTGCCTAAACCTCTCTTACCTTGTCCTGTGTGTGCTGGAGATGCCTCCTCCAGTGGTGCAGCCCTGCTTGGTTAAGTGCTGCAGGGGCTATCTGAGGAATGAGGAGACCGACTTAGAACCGTGTCTGCTACAGCAGAGCCTAGTCCCCTAGAGGAGGTGCGCTTGTGGCAGGTACATTCCCACCGGGGACCTCTGCGTGTGCTGTGTCCTCTGCCTGGAATGCCCTCTCAAACCACAGACAACTCCTGCTCCCCCGCACGCATCTGGTGGGAGCCTCGGCTAACTGTTTTGGGGTTTGAGGATGCCCTTGGTCCAGTACCATCTCAGACTTCAGTGAGCTGGCTGTCTTAGTGGCCTGGGTCTCATGTCCTTGCCTGGGCGGTGTCCTCCAGGGAGTGAGTGCCCCGCTATCTCTGGACCACCTTGTTCTTCAAAGTGAGATTTGAGAGAAGAGTGTT
Organism: Homo sapiens; assembly: GCF_000001405.40. Classification (NCBI taxonomy): domain Eukaryota; kingdom Metazoa; phylum Chordata; class Mammalia; order Primates; family Hominidae; genus Homo; species Homo sapiens. Next base: position 15,257,360 of record NC_000019.10, on the reverse strand, counting down.
GCAAGAGTTGTCAGAGGCCCTTGGCTGGCCCTTGCCCCTGTCTCGGCAGCAAAGAGACAGGATCACCATCCTCTTTCGCCCTCGGTTGCTTTCTGTTGAGTTGGCCCCAGCAGCCAATGAGGGCAGGTGATGCTAGGCCGCGGCCTGGGTACCCAGCAGCCGTCACAGCATGTCTTTCCCTCACCAGGATGTGTTCGAAATGCGCTTTGCCAAGATGCCGGACGAGCCTGAGGAGCCAGTGGTGGCCGTGTCCTCCCCGGCAGTGCCCCCTCCCACCAAGGTTGTGGCCCCGCCCTCATCCAGCGACAGCAGCAGCGATAGCTCCTCGGACAGTGACAGTTCGACTGATGACTCTGAGGAGGAGCGAGCCCAGCGGCTGGCTGAGCTCCAGGAGCAGGTGAGGGCATTGGTGGCTCCATTCTTAATCCCCAGAGTCCGTGGACCAGGGTGGCCTCCCCAGAAGTTTCTAAGAGATGTTCTTGGTTCTGAGTTCCCAAGGGAGCATAATTCCCACTGGACCACCTGTGGCCTTTTCCCCTTTGCTAGGTCAAATGCATGTTGATCATACACGTATGTATGATATATGTGTTGAGCTTGCGGTTGGGGATGGGGAGGGACATGGCCATTTTCTGGGCAGAGAGGAGGTGGCTTGATCCTTTCAGTATCTGGAAGGAGGAGGTTGAGCCAGGATGTTCGTCTCTCCTGGGGCTACCTGTTTGCTCCTCTCCCTATAGCCAGTCATCAGGCCCTTCGTGCCTGACGTGTCCGTGTGCTCTTACTTAGATTCTTAGGGGCCCTCCTTCTGCGATCAGGATGGCCGTGAGACTTGGTGTCTGTCGGCTTGATCAGCTCCTCTGGTGAGGAAGACACTGGCAGTCTTTGGAGTTGAGTGAATGGGTGGAGATAGTCTTGTTAGGAATCTGGTTAACATGACAGGCGCAAAGCTGGGGGCCTTCCCTTCCCCTGCCTCCCCTATGCCCACACCCTGATGCCCCAGGTGCATGCTGTCGCATGTTTTTTGGAGCAGACGCCTGGGTCTTGGGTGACAGGAAGGTGGTTTCAGCCCTGAGTGTGTGTCTTGCCTGTCTGGTCTACAGCTCAAAGCCGTGCACGAGCAGCTTGCAGCCCTCTCTCAGCCCCAGCAGAACAAACCAAAGAAAAAGGAGAAAGACAAGAAGGAAAAGAAAAAAGAAAAGCACAAAAGGAAAGAGGAAGTGGAAGAGAATAAAAAAAGCAAAGCCAAGGAACCTCCTCCTAAAAAGACGAAGAAAAATAATAGCAGCAACAGCAATGTGAGGTCTGTGTCCCCTGAATTTGTCCTGGGTGGGGACCCTCCTTCCAGGGCTTGCTCTGAGACTGTGTGGGCCACTGCCCCTCCCTGTCCTCATTGGGTGCGGAGGCTGCCCCTCTGCAGCCGTGGCTTCACAGGCCAGGCTGGTGGCCACTTGCACACAGGACTTAGCTGCACTGTCTCTGCCTCTTTCTGTAGGATGAGCCTTCGGAGCTCACCATGTTTGGTTGGGGAGGATAGGCGGCAAGGATGGGGCTGTAGTGCATCCCCCACTTGGGCAGCCTCCAGTCACAGTTTGCTTCGGTCTCCACTGGGTGCTCCCAGAGATTGAGTTGCCCATGCCCCGTTTCCTGTGAAGGCTGGTGGGTGGGGGGTATGGGAAGGGCACCCCTTCCCCCCAACATACATGTGGAGGAATGAGTGCCTGGCTTCCTCAGGGGGCCCGTTCTTGATGGTGTCTGCATCGTCCCTTCGTAGCAAGAAGGAGCCAGCGCCCATGAAGAGCAAGCCCCCTCCCACGTATGAGTCGGAGGAAGAGGACAAGTGCAAGCCTATGTCCTATGAGGAGAAGCGGCAGCTCAGCTTGGACATCAACAAGCTCCCCGGCGAGAAGCTGGGCCGCGTGGTGCACATCATCCAGTCACGGGAGCCCTCCCTGAAGAATTCCAACCCCGACGAGATTGAAATCGACTTTGAGACCCTGAAGCCGTCCACACTGCGTGAGCTGGAGCGCTATGTCACCTCCTGTTTGCGGAAGAAAAGGAAACCTCAAGGTGTGCTTGGGCCCCCTGGGCATGGGGTTCCTTCTGTGGGCACCCTCAGAGTAACTTTTCCCTCCTTGCTCAGTCCACTCTTTCTGCGCCCCCCCCCTTTTTTTTTTCCAATTATAATATCTGTGTTCTTGACACAGAAACCTCCGAAAGGTTGTGACATTGCACTCACCCCTAGGCTGTCAGTGCCTTTCTACATATCTGACTGGTGGTGTCTGGGGCCTCTCTGCACCTTGTTGCCTGCAGCTGTGTTCTAAGCCGGAGCTGCTTTCAACCCAGGCTACCTGCTGCTGAGTCTTCCTCCGGCCTCTTTGGGGAAGGAGGAAAGGCGGGTCTGCAGGGTCCCAGGACCTGTGTACCGATACGTTATGCAGCACTGAGCCAGCCTCTGTCCCTCTCTAGCAGGGACAGTTCGGTGTGGCATCCTTTCTGGACTCTTCCAGGCAGCTCTTTTGTGTCACACAGCTCATCCTGGCCTACGGCTTTCCTCTGAGGATCGGTGTCAGGGCATTGCACACAGTCTTTGTCCCCAGCCCTGACTAGCTCCTGGGGTCCTTGGGCCCCTACCTGGGGCACACCACATGATGATTCCAGCGTGCGTCTGAACAGCTGTGCTGAGAGACCCCCGGGGGTCTCTCCCTGCCTTGCGTTACCTTTTGGCAGCATGTTCCTTTTGGATCTTCTTCTTCCCCTGCTAGAAGAGTAACTGGGAGAATCCAAGCCTTATGCCCAGCGGTACCTTGTGTTAGGAAATTATCCTTCTGCCTGGTCTCTTGAATCCTTGATAAACCCCCCAAAGGAGACTTTTTGAGAGATTGAAGGAACCTTGAAATTCCATTGTAAGCAGTCTACCCATGGGAACTGTGGGACCACGTGGGTTCTGGGAGTGGCAGCTGGCAGTTGGGAGCAGCCCCTGGGCCCACCGTGCACAGGCTCCTCACTGGTCCTTCCTCCAGATGGATGGGGTGTGCCCATGGCTTAGAGCGGCTTCCTGGGCCACAGCCCTGCCTGACCAGCTCCCATTGCTTGGATTGCAGCTGAGAAAGTTGATGTGATTGCCGGCTCCTCCAAGATGAAGGGCTTCTCGTCCTCAGAGTCGGAGAGCTCCAGTGAGTCCAGCTCCTCTGACAGCGAAGACTCCGAAACAGGTTAGGTGACTTGTGTTCTACGTGTCTTACCAAACTCTTCCCACCTGTGCCTGGCACTAGCTCGGTCCTGTGTCCAGGATGCTAGAGCCCAGAGACGGCACTCCCAGAACTTGCTGGGTTCCTCTGTCTGTCTGTCTCTTTGTTAACTGTCTCCCTGGGGCCATGAATAGCCCTGCACTCTGTGCAGTAGTGTCCATTCTCTCGGCCTGGCCGTTATGCTCTCCCTGCCAGGGTCTGGTCATGGAGGATGAATGGCCAAGGGCGTTGACACTGCGGAGCCCTGGATGGTGGGCGGGGAAGCTGGGCCATGAGGACTGTGGGCGTGGGGGTCCAGGCTGTGCTGTTGACCTTGATGTGACCACACCCAGCTTTCTGCACCAGTGGAGACTTCGTGTCCCCAGGGCCTTCCCCGTATCACAGTCACGTGCAGTGCGGCCGCTTCAGGGAGATGCTTCGCTGGTTTCTGGTGGATGTGGAGCAGACTGCAGCTGGCCAGCCGCATCGCCAGTCTGCTGCTGGCCCTGCCATCACCTGGGCCCCAGCCATTGCCTACCCCTCCCCAGAGTGTGCTCGTTGCTGTGTTGGCTGCTCCTGAATCTGCCCTAACTCCACACGCACCTGGACTTGCGTGTCCCTCCTGCAGTTCTAACTAACAGTCCCTTCTTTTCAAGCCCCGTGGGTCTGCACGTTGGACCCTGGGTTCCCCATTAGAGCCCACCTTCTGAGCAGCAGCCTCAGTGGGAGGTGGAGGCAGGTAGTGATGCTGGGTGCCAGGTGGGAGTGGAGAGGGGACTGCTCTCCTCCAAGTGTGCACTTTCCTCATTATTCTCAGGGGCGCAGATGCTCAGGCTGGCGCAGGGGAGAGGCTAGGGAGGGAGCCATGGTGCCCAGAAGGCCTGGCGACCAGCCCCTGCTGAGAGATGGAGCTAACATCCTGTGTTTACGGCCAACGGGGTTGCCGCTAGGCTGGTGCAGCTGTCAGTGAGCTGGCGTGCTGCAGACCACCTGAGAGCTGGCCCTAGGGTCTCAGGCAGACTGGGGAGTGGGGATCCACAGTGGGAAACCTGTGTTTTGGCAGTAGACTCCTGCATGTTCTCCCACGGGCCTGTCCCATCCCTGGGATTTTATTCTAACTAGAAATAAATGCTAACCCTCAATAATCAGTGCATGTAAATAACTTGATCGTGCCAAGGAAGATTGAGGACCCTTCACGGCAGCTGGGGAGAGCCATGTTGCTCTGAGGTGTGTGTGCACAGATGGGGTGGGGGTAGGTGGCACCTCGGGCCTTGTCAGTATTCCTCTTCCCTTGGACAGCCTGGTGCCCTCTGCTTCCCAGGTGAGTGAGGAGACTTGCCTTGAAGTGGGCTGAAGGACCCTCCAGGACTCCAGATGCCCACATTCTCTACCACAACTGCATGCAGAATGCCGTGGGCAGCTCACTGGCCTCCTGGCCTTCCCTGTCGCCATCCTTCACCCTTTCATCTCTAACCGTTACTCTCCCCACACTGCTTTTGTAATCCATCAGCCAGCAGGAGGCACTGCACCCCATGGCTGCCCAGGAAGGGCTGGCTTTGCCACCCGAAGCTAGGGCCCCCACTCGCAGCAGAGTGACTGGGGTGAATGGCTGTATTCTTGGATCCAATTAGCATTCCTGGTGGCCGCTGACTTTTCACTTTCCATGCCAGCCAAGCCTCCAGCTTGCCTTCCTCTGGGTTTTTGCACCTCCTGTTTTCTAGTTGACTTCTCCTACCAGGGGTTTTGTAGTCTTCTCATCTGAGGATCTGAGTGACCAAGTGGAAACCCCAGATGCTGAAATTGTCAGGGGACCTGATTAACTAAAATGACATGACGTGGTCGTGGCAGTGTGCTGCTTTAGCCCTCACAAGACAAGACACCTTAGAGGGCTGTGGCCATCACATCCTGATTTCCAGTGTGTGATCATGGCCTTTGCCCTTGGCCTCTGCGTCCCTCTTCTGGGCTCCTCTGCTTTGGGAGAGGAGTGGGAATGCTCCTGGTTTCCTGAACGAGTGCCCCACACCCCTCCTGCCGCTGCCGAGATTTTATTATTTTTTCACTCCCCCACTTTAAAAAAAAGTGGAAAGATTGTGCAACAAGTAATCTGAGAGTCCTGGGAACAGCTGTCCTGGCGGGAAGGAGGGCGAGATTTACAGTCTCAGAGCCGCTGGCTCCCAGGCTCCCAGGCTCTGGCGGTCCAGCCCTGGCCGCTCATGCAGCTATCTGGGCTCTGGCCTTCCCCTCTTCCCAGGCGCCCTCCCCACCTTGGGTTTTGCCTGGCTCCCTTTTGTCTTCCCAATCCTGGCCAGCAGGGGCTTTCCTTTGCCTTCTGTGTGCACTGAGTGAGCTCTGTCGTGGGCCGGCAGGGTGCTTCTCCTCTCAGGAGGGGCCGCTGCGAGGGTTTCGTACGGCAGATCCCGAAATGGGAACCCACACCCTGGCACCAGTAAATACAGCCTTCTGCTGCCCTGTCCCGCACAGGACTCTGCACTCTCAGGGCGGGGGGCAGAGGGGGCGTAGCTCCTTCAGCAGCTGCTCTCCTGGGTCCAGGAATCCCGGCAGCCCTGATGTCCATGGCCCGTTACAGGCAGCTCTGCCTTAACGGGAGTGGGTCAGGGTGGGGGAACATTATTTCCCTTTGGTCTTTTGGTGCCTAGTTGATTTGCAGGCCCGCGCCCCCGCCCCCCCCCCCCCCCCCGTTCTTGTGTTTCCATTTGGATTGGAGCCGAAATTCCTGAAAGGGCCTATTTTTGTCACTTATACTACGGGGTTAGTTCCGCTGACAACGGCCCTGAGACATGAATCACCAGAAGAAAACGAATGGAGTCACTAGATTGAGGCTGGGGGGTGTGATACATGAACACCCCTCTTGGTAGCTATCCATAGACCGGGATGCTGTGGACTGATGCAGGCGTGGGGTGGTCCTCTGGGGCCAGGCTCTAGTTCAGGGAGCAACGGAACACAGGCAGGAGGAGGATGGCGGGGGTGGGTGCTGCTTTCCCAGCTGTGTCCCAGGCCACCATGTATTCCCCACCCTCTGCCCCAGCAGCATGCAGTGCAGTGGGCCAGCCCTACCACTTCCTCTGATTCCAGCTATTGCTTGGGCTGTGGTCTTCCATTGAGCTGTGATTCCAGCTAAAGCCTGGAGCTGCTTGAGGATTCTGTATTGAGACAGGCAGGGGTAGGGCACAAATGCCACTCTCCCACCACCCCTAGGGCATCTGCAGACCTGGGTGGAGCAGGCTGGAGGAAGACACTGTCCCAGGTGGGCTGTGGACAGTACTGTGGCTTTGCTGTCATTAGCACTGGGGTTAGGTCTGCCAAGCACATGGGGCAGGGCATGTCCTAGGAATCTTCTAGCTTTCACTTGTCACATAGCTGACATCTGGTTCTTCCCAAGTGTCATGCACAGGTCTTTGTGAGCAGAAGTGTCCCCACAGCTTATGTCCCTCTTAGGAATACCCGTTTAACCTCAGCTACCTGGGCTGGGACAGGGTCTCAGGGAGGTGTGAGAGATCCTCCTGGGCTTTGGTCTGGTCGTCTAGTTGGAACGGGAGCGCAGTCCAGCTATTTTAGTTTCCTGGCTTCCTTTTCCCAGGATTGGAGCATGTGGGTGTTTCTTAATAGCTCCAGGGGAAAAAGGAATGCTTGATGTTTTGGAAAGATTTGAGCTGGGAAGTGCAGACAGAGGCCATGGGGCGTTCTTACCACACAACCAGCCTCAGCTTCCTGACCCCCAGGGTCTTTGAGGGACTTAGTCCATCTCCAGGCCTGCTGCTTGCCTGCTCCAGAGTGTGGCGCTTACCTAGGGGAATGGTGAGGACCCTGGAGGTGGGGGAGTAGGAAGAGACTTGAAGATAGGGCAGTAGCCTTTCTGTCTGCACAGCCAGGTGACTCCCCCCACAAACAGCCAGCATTTGCAGCTGGAGGGATTCTGGGGCTTCATGGGCGGGTGAGGGCGAGCCTTGTGGAATGTGGCCCAGAGTGAGAGGCCGCCAGTGGGCGGGTTTTTCCCATGCCCGCACTCAGGGGCCAGGGAGTAGCACGTCGGTTGCATCCGTGACTCCAGCAGAGGCATCCGCTCTGCTACGTGGGTGGGAACAAGCCCAGTGCCCCTCCCTGGTCCAGGGAGCCATGTTGGATACCCCAAAAAAGGAAAGAAAGGACAAGACTTTATTCCTTAGCCTGTTTCTTTTTCTTTTTTTTCTCCTCCTCAACAGTGTATATAATAGGTTCTGCTTTTTAGAGTTTGAGCTTTTTGTTTGGGGGATCTGGAGGAATGCAGAGATGAGGCTGTTTGCTCTTTCCCCTCCACTGGGGGTCCTGCATTCTGGTACCTCCTTTCTTGTAGACCCAGGAGGAAGGGCTGGCATCGCCTTCCTGAGACTAGACAGTGCACAGCCCCTGGGTGAGATGAGCTCAGAGTCAGCAGGGGCCTGGTGGGCTTGCCACACCTGGCTGGTGGGACAGGGCAGGGGCATCACTCAAATTCAAAAGAAGCCACTTGAGGGCAGTAAAGGAAATGCCGGCGTGCGCTCAGGCAGGGCACACGTGGAGCTTGCTAGTGGGAACCAGGGCCACTCTCTAGAAGCTGAGCAGGCTGGGGGCGGTTTCCAAGGCATCCATGCATTCTGCCTCTGTGACCTTTCTAAGCGGGCGGTGGGTCTGTCCCTACCCAGGGTTAGCCAGGCACGGGGCAGGGCTCCAGTCTCCAGTGCCGTTCTTGTGCCCATCAGCCACCAGGGCGCAGGAGGTTGGCTCAGTCTGCGGTTCTTCTGTTCTTGTGACTTAAATGGTACATTCCACACCATTTCTCTCACACTGGTTTCTCTCTCCCTCTACGTAGGTCCTGCCTAATCATTGGACACGGACTCTTAATAAAACGGTCTTCAGTTCCAGATTCCTTCCCAGCAAGCTATAGCTTAAGTCCATTTTCTTCCGTGAAAGGGACAGGACTCCATCAAGTTATGGAATTCCTCAGAGCCCTGGGCCTGTCCCCCGGGGTGGATTAGTCATGTCCAGCAGCACACGCCTAGTCCCGCCTTCGGGAAGGCTGCCTGCCTGGCCAGCCGCCCAGGCCTCTCTGTGTAAAGACTGCCTGGCTGTCCTGCCCAGCCTTCCTGGTTCTCTGGGGTCCTCTGGGTGGGTGGCATCTCCTGGAGGGTGATGACAATCCCCAACACATGCATTCATGTGGTGCTACTCTGTGTGCAAAGCCAGACCCCAAGTATGTTTTCTCTCTTTGTCCCATCCCTCTTTTTCTGGGACTTTGGACCCTAACTACTTCCCTCCTGAACCTTGCAGTGACATCAGTCCAGGAGAGCTCTCGTTCAGTGTGCGGAAGAACACTCTGACCTCTAGAGCTGTCCTAGATAAGGAGTGGGAGCTTTAGAGGCAAGGCCTCTAGACCCTGGAAGGCTCAGTGAGGCTCTTCCCACAGCATGCTTCTCACTGGTGCCCTGTAAGGCTCGAGCCACCGCTGACTCTGAGCCTTTTGGAGTCTTTCCTCCTTCGTCTCCATTGTTCCCGTGCATTTCCAAAAGCTTAAGTTGCCTGGTGGGCATTTCCCCAGTTTCTTTGGCCTCCGTCTTCTCAAGTCACATAGGGAAAGTACCTCCTGGAACCAGGCTGCAGTATGCAGGACCTGCCAGGCAGGCACTGGTGAAGGGCCTTGGGCCTATCATCCCCCCAACCCCACCTCACCCCACCCGCCTCCTCTAGTGGGGTGAGTCTGGGCTGGTGGACCAGAGAGGGTGTCACAGACCCTCAGGGACTGCCCCATGGACACCTCTGACTGGTGTTAACAGTGTGAACATTTTCCCCGTCTTCAGTCCCTTAGAATGACGACAGCCCCTGGGGTTGGGGCAGGCGAGTGTGGCCACATCATCCAAGCCCTCCCAGAGACACAAATAGGCTTTTTTGCTCTAAAAATAAATACCAGCCCTTTTTTGGTCACAAATCCAGCATCTCAGCAGAAAACTGCCTGACATGAAAAGTCCCCTGAGGAACTGCATCTGCGTTTCAGGGGCTTTTCATTTTTTCTCCTTTTTTAAAGTGTAGATTGTGGGTGCTTCCTAGAGGCCTGCCTTCTTCTGGAACTGGAAGTGGGCTATCACCATGGGCAAGCCCTTGGGTGCAGGCTCCCCACCTGCCTGGGAACTCTGGCAGCTCTCCTCAGCTCCTTGGGCTTGAGCAGCTGCAACTGCCCCAGATTTGCTGTGGAAGCAGGGGCTAGCCCTGGCCTCACCAGGGCCTCCCGGGGCCCTGCATTGATGCTCAGGAGTTCCTGGGCTGCTCTTGATCCTTTCTGGGCATCCAGCTTCCAGTTAAGCTCTGTTTGCCAAACAAACTATTCTCAGCTGCCCTTTGGCCTGCGCCTGATGTGTTCCTGTTGCAGTCCCGCCTGCCTGAGACAGGAGCAGGCAGGAGAGCCTTCATGCCCAGATTCCCACAGGACAATTGGGGAGCTGCTGGCATTGTCTTTCTGGGAAGATTCTGCTTTCTTGGACCAAATGGCAGCCTGATTACCAGTGTCGGGCCTGCATGCTGCCCCCGACACACGCACGCACGCGCACACACGTGTGCACATGGGCCATAGCCACAAGCCAGCTCTCCTCCAGGGTCCTTTCAACCTCGCTGTCCAGGGACCCTGTCCTTCTTGCCCGTGGGGCTTCCATCTGGCAGAGAACGTTCAGGGCTTGTTGAACTTGAAAGCTCATTAGACTTAAGCTGTCACCTGTGCTTGGTGCCCCAGGAACAGCCAGAGAGGACAGTGCCCACTCACTTCTTGTTGGCAGCCTCCTGTGCAGGAAGTGCCAGCCGGGCCTCGACGCACCAGCTGGCTGTGGGTCCTGAGGAGGGGCGGGAGGCGGCCGCTCAGTGCAGATGGGGACTCCTCTCCTCTGCCCTGACCTTACCCTCCATTACCTCCTTCACTGGAGTGGGGCTGGGGGGTGGGTGGAATCAGTGTTTTAATCGGATTTTTAAAAAACATTTTATTTCTTTGTACAATTACCATCCTATGTAAAGATGAAATTTGTGTTGAGTTGAAGATTGTCATGGAATAAAGATCACACCGTACTTGAGGCCATCTTCATGTAACCCTTTCTAGAGAGTTTTGTGTGGGGGTGTCTTGGGGCTGGTGTGTTGTGAAGCTGTGCACTTCCTGTCTTGTCTTTTACTGGTAACTCTGACACAAGGCTCAGACCACATGGGCCAGAAGGGGGTACCTCTACCACCAGCCCCTTTAGGCATCTGGTCCTGGGGGTCTGCCGTGCACATGCCGCCTTCTCTCCCCCACTTTTTAGGCCTGCCTTGCCTGGGGGCCCCAGCACTTGCAAGGGGCCCTGGAGACAAGTCCTCAGGATATTCCCTGTGGCCTTTCCAAGGCAGCTGAGACATGCCCCCTGGAACCCCCCACAGGCCCTGCTGCGCTTTGTCCCTACATCTTCTCCTATGGGCCTCTGCTCACAGCCTGCAGGCTGTGAGGGGTTAGAGTGACCATCCCTCTTTTACAACCAAAAAAACAAGGTTTCTTCCAAGGCCACGAGACAACAGGCGAGCCCCAGCATATCCTTCCCTTGCACACACACTTTTTCCCTCAACTCTATATCTGGACACATCCCTGAGGCTTCTCCTAGTCGGACTTCACACGGTGGCCCTGCTGCTTCCCCCTACCTTCCGCCTTCTGCCCCGGGTCCCCTCCAAGGTGTGCCCAGCATGCCCCCAGACAGCGCGGCTCCATCACCTCCTTGTGCCAGGAGAGAAGCCCTGGCCTTTTCTTCCCAGTTCCCTAGTGTGCAGGGTCCCCCTGGTCCTGTGGCTGCCAACCTCTGCAGCCAGCGCTCCTCCCCCCACCACCACAGCAGTCAGACTCCCTGTTGCCCTGACACTGCAAATCTACTCAAGCTTTCCCTTCTGGCATGTCTCACCCACAACAGTATCTCTCTCATCAGATGTCATACTCTGACCCAGAGCGTCCTGAGCCCTGTATGCAGGTTTTAGGCGGGGCCCCAGGTTCCCCCGTGTCCCCAGTTGCAGCCCCTGGTCATTTGTACGAGGACGTGTGTCTGTAGCTGCTGAGGTCTGTGTCTGTGTCTTGTCTGGCGTGGAGTGGTGAGCTCTTACAGGGCACAAGGTCCTTCCCCATCCCTTTTGGTGGCATGCTGCACTGAGGGCCACGTGCCTCACAGAAGCTTAGCGTGGCCCTCCACGAAGCAGATCCAAGTGGAAGGAGCCTGGATTTGGGCAAAGCATGTGTCCTCCAACACCAGCAGCAAGAGGCAGCACCCTGACAAGGAGCTCAGGCGAAGCCAGGCAGTGCCATGAGGTGCTTCTCAGTGACAGGAATCCAAAAGGCGCCATACCATGGGCCCGGCCTCCCATCTGGTGGCAGGCGACTGTGACCTGCCAGCCCATGAGCACTGGCCAGGGCTCATGTCCCCCTGTGGGGCTTGTACACCATCCATGTTTGGTGAGGGGACATCCAACTGGCAAAAGTCCCTTAGTGTAAATCTCTGGGGTGAGGACAGAGGTGGGCACGCTGGCTCTCGAGTACACCTCTCAGGGGCAGACACACCCTGGACCCATCCACCCTACTGTGGTGCCAAGCCGTCGGCCCACACGAGTGGGGGCGTATGCTGCCTTCTGTCTGCAGCATGGTGACTGTGTCCCAAAGCAGGGACTTCTGAGGTCCATCTACCTCTTTAGTAGCTGGTCATTCCCAGGAGGCCAGCCTGCTCCTTTTTTTTCTCCCGGAGTGGGCTCTCTGTGTTTTCCCTTGCCGATATGTTCCTCACCGTCCTGTGGCTCTCAGCCCCAGCTGAGCCTCTCTGCTTCCCTTTGGAGGATGGAAAGGAGTGGGCCTTAGAGGGCCATGCAGTTGGAGGCCCCCGAGAAGCTGCTTTTTAGCCATGTGACCCTGGACAAGTCCCCTCCCTTCTGAAGCCCCACTTTTCTCAGCTGTAAGATGAATGTGACCATTGCAACCATCACAGGTTGTTGGAAAACTGAGCAGGTTGCTGTCCAGGCCATGCACTCAGTCACTATAGTGAGTGACTGACCCTTGAGTAGTGGGAGGCGTTGGGCAAGCTCTCAGCTTCCGGTGCAACCGTGGTGATCTGAAGCTTGGCAGGGGAGGCTTTTTCAGGCACAGTCCCTGCTAGGAAAAGCAGCAGGCAAGTGGGTAGGTGATGCCTCGCATGTCTCTCCCTCTCCCGTGATGACCAACTCATCCCTCATTGAACTCGGCTGCCCTTTCTCAGGGTCACTGGTCCTTCTCCTGAAAGTGCCCTGTTTTCTCGTCTTTCTTCATCCAAGGCCAGCTCACTCACCTTCTCCCCCAGAGCCTCACTACCTTCTCTTTTCCTCTGCAGAGATGGCTCCGAAGTCAAAAAAGAAGGGGCACCCCGGGAGGGAGCAGAAGAAGGTACATGGGCTCAGGGGCATCCTTCATTAGGTGGGACGTTGGGTCTGGCCCGGGCCAGTTCTGCCTGCCTGACATCAGCCTGTCTGTCTGTCTGTCTCTCTGTCTGCAGCACCATCATCACCACCATCAGCAGATGCAGCAGGCCCCGGCTCCTGTGCCCCAGCAGCCGCCCCCGCCTCCCCAGCAGCCCCCACCGCCTCCACCTCCGCAGCAGCAACAGCAGCCGCCACCCCCGCCTCCCCCACCCTCCATGCCGCAGCAGGCAGCCCCGGCGATGAAGTCCTCGCCCCCACCCTTCATTGCCACCCAGGTGCCCGTCCTGGAGCCCCAGCTCCCAGGCAGCGTCTTTGACCCCATCGGCCACTTCACCCAGCCCATCCTGCACCTGCCGCAGCCTGAGCTGCCCCCTCACCTGCCCCAGCCGCCTGAGCACAGCACTCCACCCCATCTCAACCAGCACGCAGTGGTCTCTCCTCCAGGTGAGCCGTGGCCTGCCCCAGTGTGGGTTGAGACCCCTTCCTGCCTCGGTTTACCCATGTGGTGTCCGAGCACTCTGGCTGGGCAGCTTCTTAGCCTCAGCTGCTCTGGTCTCTAGAGGGAAGATCTGTGGCTTCTCGAGGCCATCTTGGAAGTTAAAGGAGATGCCTCAAGACAGGTCATGCATGGAGTTATTAACACGTTGATTCAGAAGATTTTTGTTTCTAAAACACTGACATCATTTGAGTAACAATCTAGATGATTTTGACTTATTTCTGCTGCTGGGCCAGGCGTCATGTTAGATGGGAAAAGCTGGGACCCCTCTGCAGCTTTTCTCATCAGGGGTTGGGGGATGCACTCATGAGATGGGATTCCTCCCATGGAACCTGGACAGCACTCACCTGGGGGATATGGGGACAGGGCCACCTTCCTGGGGGCCTGGGGAATGGCCGGGCAAGTGAGAGACCGAGTTCTGCACTGAGGCGTGAAGGGCCATTGTGAGCATGGGGAGCAGGAGCTGGGGACACAGAGCATAGGGCAGGATGACACCGCCCTAAAGCTCTCTCTGGAAGCTGTTTACTGCTCTGGAGTTTGTGGGAGGCCACGGTAGGTGGGGAGGGAGTGCCAGTTTGAGGGAGGCCAGTAGGAGAGCACTGGAGTCCAGATGAGGTCAGGATGGAGCAGAAAGGCCAGGCTGGGGCCACAGGTGCTCAGGCCTCACCGCCTCGGTGTTGTGTTCTTCCAGCTTTGCACAACGCACTACCCCAGCAGCCATCACGGCCCAGCAACCGAGCCGCTGCCCTGCCTCCCAAGCCCGCCCGGCCCCCAGCCGTGTCACCAGCCTTGACCCAAACACCCCTGCTCCCACAGCCCCCCATGGCCCAACCCCCCCAAGTGCTGCTGGAGGATGAAGAGCCACCTGCCCCACCCCTCACCTCCATGCAGATGCAGCTGTACCTGCAGCAGCTGCAGAAGGTGCAGCCCCCTACGCCGCTACTCCCTTCCGTGAAGGTGCAGTCCCAGCCCCCACCCCCCCTGCCGCCCCCACCCCACCCCTCTGTGCAGCAGCAGCTGCAGCAGCAGCCGCCACCACCCCCACCACCCCAGCCCCAGCCTCCACCCCAGCAGCAGCATCAGCCCCCTCCACGGCCCGTGCACTTGCAGCCCATGCAGTTTTCCACCCACATCCAACAGCCCCCGCCACCCCAGGGCCAGCAGCCCCCCCATCCGCCCCCAGGCCAGCAGCCACCCCCGCCGCAGCCTGCCAAGCCTCAGCAAGTCATCCAGCACCACCATTCACCCCGGCACCACAAGTCGGACCCCTACTCAACCGGTAAGTGGTCCTCACCCGTAGACTCTGGGGAGGCTGGTGCTGGGCCTATAGTTTTGTCCTCAGGAAGCCAGAAGGGTTAACTCATGCTTCAGGCTGCAGTGGGTTCAGAGCTGAGCCTCAGCTTGGAGGGGGACCTGGAAGGGTCATTGGTGCTTCCTACAGTGTGTGTTTATCAGGTGTCTCTCTTGCTTGTGAGGTGAGATCACTCAGAATAAGGCCCCTCTGGTCCCTCTCTTGAGTCAGGAGCACGACAATGCTAGGTGACTTCTTGCTAGGTGGGGAAGCTAGGAGCCCAGGGGAGGTACCTGATGCACCTCAGGGGGTCAGGATATGCTTCCAAGAGGCAGTGATCGCAGACAGGTAGCAGCTAACTTAGCAGAGTGAAGAATGAAGTTCAGGGAGAGCCAGAACCATGGTGTGGGGAGCACTGAGCTGGAAGCTCAAAAGGCAGCTCAGAGCCCGCCCAGGACCTGTCCTCATCGCCTGTTACCAGCCTCCAGCCCAGTCCACGCCACCCTTTTCCCATTGACAGCATTGGTCAGGCCACACCCTTTCACTTTTCCTGGGCGCTTAAGTGTCAGTAACCAGAATGTCCTGGCTGGCTCCGGCAGGGGATGTTCTGGTCAGTGCCTCCTGATGTGGTGCTGCAGGGTTAGGGTGGAGGGTCCTGGCCTCAGCAGTGTAGATGGTGCTGCCTGTCTTGGGTGTGTACCGGGTGCTGCCTGCAAATCAAGCAACGAGGCAGGGCTGTGATTACTCCTAACCCAGCAAAAGCTGCTGGATGCAGGCCGGGCGCGGTGGCTCACGCCTGTAATCCCAGCACTTTGGGAGGCCAAGGCAGGTGGATCACCTGATGTCAGGAGTTTCAAGACCAGCCTGACCAAGATGGTGAAACCCTATCTGTACTAAAAATACAAAAATTATCCAGGCATGGTGGCAGGCACCTGTAATCCCAGCCACTTGGGAGGCTGAGGCGGGAGAATCGCTTGAGTCTGGGAGGCGGAGGTTGCAGTGAGCTGAGATCGTGCCACTGCACTCCAGTCTGGGCAACAGATGGAGACTCTATCTCAAAAAAAAAAAAAAAAAAAAAAAAAGTCAGGTGCCAAGTGGATCTCTGCATGCCCTGAGCCAAGAACAAGCTGCCTGTCCTCCCTGGGAAATACTGGTGTTGGGCCTGGCAGCTGTGCGGCTGTGCCTGTTCTCATGCGAAGCAGGGCTGGACTCCTGTTGGGGGTGATAGACAGGGGATGCAAGGCATTTAGAAGAGCCAGCACTCGGGTGCACCAGGCACCTATCGGGGCTGAGGCAGGTCTTCTCCAGCCAGCTCTACTTCAGGTCCCTGGCCGTGACCCAAGCCCCAGCAGGCTAGGATGGGGCATCAAGAGCAGTGTGGATTGGGATCCTGCTAGGGGCTTTGTAGGCCAAAAGCCAAGTTGTTAGACTCCCAAAGAGACTTAACAGGCATCCCTGGGCCCCCAGCCAGCTTTCAGGAGTCATCCGTGAGCCATCCTCTGAACCCACCAGCAGGCAGGTGGTTTCTATAAACCACAGCCCCTGGAGCCTACCGTTGCCCAGGTCAGCCTCAGCAGGTGCTGAAGGCACTGCCCTAGTTGGGTGGGAGGCTGTTGCAGTCATGTGCCTGTGGATCCCTGGCAGGCCAGACCTGGGGCCCTCCAGCACTGAATGGAATTGGCAGTGCCCAAAGTGGTCCCGATGTGCTAGAATTGGAGGAGATGTCAACGCCAGGAAAACCAGCCACACACAGCAGTGGGCTGCGGGGACAGGATGGGCCTGGCCACCATGTGGGCTCCAAGCAGCTGCAGTGTCTTCTGGCGTTAGGAGTGGGTCCTGGCTCTAGAGAGGATCTACCACACCTGGGGCATTGTGGTTTGCTCCAGGCCTATGAAAATAGATGCCTCCAGCCAGCAGGGCTCCTGGAGAACCCAAGGGTGCCTGTGCTGACAGACAGTGGAAGGAGATGGGCATGAGGCTAGGCTGGGAGCAAAAGCGTTGCAGAGGGGCAGCCTCCTCTGTGGACAGTGTGGCTTGTCCCGAGCTGCAGCTAGCCAAAGAGCGGTGAGGCCCCTTGCCTGCAGGGATTCCAGCAGAGAGAGGCCACATGTTGGATGGGTAGGACTCAGCTGCTCCAGCTGCACAGTCCCGAGGTGCTGGCTCACTGTGATTGAGGGCCCAGTAGTCCCTGTGGCTGCTGGATCCTTCCCAGCCTTGGGTTGGATGCAGGTGTCAGGCTGGCCTGTTTCCTAAGAGACAGCTCCAGGCCCTTTTCCGCCTGCTCCCCACTCGGCGCAGGTGGAGGCCAATTCCAGGCTTCTCTCTTCCGTGGGGGCGTGCAGGCTGAGTGGGGAATAGGACTGTGGGGAGGGTCCTGAGCATCCCCACCCCCAGGACTGGGTCTTGCACCCCCTGCAATCATCCAGGTGGGCCAGGCTAGTTGGCAGGAACCCAGGCTGAGCTTTGTGGGTTTAAAAAGTATTAGGGCCCAGGCCCTGCCAAGCCCACATGTGTCAGGATCTGTGTTTTCCACAGTATCCCAGATGATTCTGATGCACACAGGAGGGTCAAACACCAGGACTGGTGCCACAGGGCCCTAGAAAGCTCTGCTGCACACTGAGTTATGCCCCACATGCAGGGGGACACAGGGCACTCAGCCCTTTCGGGGAGGGGTCATGTCCTCACCAGGCCCAGTCACTTGTGTGGGTCTTCACCCTTTTTGAGCTGGGCTAATGGACCCTTGTCCCAGGGCCTGGGCGGCACATGCAGTTTCTCCATACAGCCCACGTTTTCCTTCCCGACAATTCTCTCAGGGCCAGCAGTTCTAAGCCAGCCCCTTGACACATTCCTTGTCCCTTCTCCTAGGTCACCTCCGCGAAGCCCCCTCCCCGCTTATGATACATTCCCCCCAGATGTCACAGTTCCAGAGCCTGACCCACCAGTCTCCACCCCAGCAAAACGTCCAGCCTAAGAAACAGGTAACTGGCAGGGCTGGGCCATAGTCCTGTGGGCTAGGGCCGGGGGTGCCTGCCCACCTCACCGGCCGCTGTGCCTGTGCCATCCCAGGAGCTGCGTGCTGCCTCCGTGGTCCAGCCCCAGCCCCTCGTGGTGGTGAAGGAGGAGAAGATCCACTCACCCATCATCCGCAGCGAGCCCTTCAGCCCCTCGCTGCGGCCGGAGCCCCCCAAGCACCCGGAGAGCATCAAGGCCCCCGTCCACCTGCCCCAGCGTGAGTGCTCTCCCTGCCCACAGCCAGGGCTCAGGCCCCCCGAGGCCCGTGTTGGACATAAGCTTGCTGTGGGGCTGGTGGACCATGCCCCACTGGGGTGAGGTGGGCCAGGGCCCACCGGCTGTTTATGTTCCAGGGCCGGAAATGAAGCCTGTGGATGTCGGGAGGCCTGTGATCCGGCCCCCAGAGCAGAACGCACCGCCACCAGGGGCCCCTGACAAGGACAAACAGAAACAGGAGCCGAAGACTCCAGTTGCGCCCAAAAAGGTTGGGATGGAGGTCCATGGGTGTCGCTTGCCCCTTGGCCCTGGAAGGTGCCATGCTGGGCACACCCCCAGCTATGCCCTTTAGGCACAGCAGACCCCTCACCCACCCCAACCTCTCTGTTCTGCAGGACCTGAAAATCAAGAACATGGGCTCCTGGGCCAGCCTAGTGCAGAAGCATCCGACCACCCCCTCCTCCACAGCCAAGTCATCCAGCGACAGCTTCGAGCAGTTCCGCCGCGCCGCTCGGGAGAAAGAGGAGCGTGAGAAGGCCCTGAAGGCTCAGGCCGAGCACGCTGAGAAGGAGAAGGAGCGGCTGCGGCAGGAGCGCATGAGGTGGGCGGGTGTCTGGGTGGGGCATGGGGACTCTTGGGGCCACACCAGTCCCCAGGCTGACTGGGACCCTCTGCCCAGGAGCCGAGAGGACGAGGATGCGCTGGAGCAGGCCCGGCGGGCCCATGAGGAGGCACGTCGGCGCCAGGAGCAGCAGCAGCAGCAGCGCCAGGAGCAACAGCAGCAGCAGCAACAGCAAGCAGCTGCGGTGGCTGCCGCCGCCACCCCACAGGCCCAGAGCTCCCAGCCCCAGTCCATGCTGGACCAGCAGAGGGAGTTGGCCCGGAAGCGGGAGCAGGAGCGAAGACGCCGGGAAGCCGTGAGTCTGGAGGCCTGGTGGGGACCCTGGTCTAAGGATTAGCTCCTGAGGGAGCTGGGAAAGGGGGACTGGAGCCTGGACAGGGAGGGGCAGCGGGGGAGCCCCGTCCCTGCTGGTCGGCATGTGGTCCTCTGGACTCAGCTGTAGGGCCCTGAGTGCTGTGTGGACGGGGTGAGCGCTATGAGGGGTCAGCCACGGGGAGGGCTACGGGGCTGACTGCTGGTAGCGGGTATGAGGGCTTGTAGCTGCAGGGTGGCTAGGTCATCCTCCTGACTCCCTCCTTCCTTTCTCCTCCAGATGGCAGCTACCATTGACATGAATTTCCAGAGTGATCTATTGTCAATATTTGAAGAAAATCTTTTCTGAGCGCACCTAGGTGGCTTCTGACTTTGATTTTCTGGCAAAACATTGACTTTCCATAGTGTTAGGGGCGGTGGTGGAGGTGGGATCAGCGGCCAGGGGATGCCTCAGGGCCTGGCCCTCCTGCATGCTATGCCCGGGGCAGGCCTGACGGGCAGCTGAGGATTGCAGAGCCTGTCTGCCTTACGGCCAGTCGGACAGACGTCCCGCCACCCACCACCCCTCACAGGACGTCCGCTCAGCACACGCCTTGTTACGAGCAAGTGCCGGCTGGACCCAAGCCCTGCATCCCCACATGCGGGGCAGAGGCCCTTCTCTCCGCCAAATGTCTACACAGTATACACAGGACATCGTTGCTGCCGCCGTGACTGGTTTTCTGTCCCCAAGAACGTGACGTTCGTGATGTCCTGCCCGCCGGGAGTCTTTCCCCACACCCCAGCCATCGCCGCCCGCTCCCAGGAGGCCAGGGCAGGCCTGCGTGGGCTGGAGGCGGGCGAGGCCGGCCCACCCCCTCGCTGGCACTGACTTTGCCTTGAACAGACCCCCCGACCCTCCCCCACAAGCCTTTAATTGAGAGCCGCTCTCTGTAAGTGTTTGCTTGTGCAAAAGGGAATAGTGCCGTGGAGGTGTGTGTGTCCATGGCATCCGGAGCGAGGCGACTGTCCTGCGTGGGTAGCCCTCGGCCGGGGAGTGAGGCCACCAACCAAAGTCAGTTCCTTCCCACCTGTGTTTCTGTTTCGTTTTTTTTTTTCTTTTTTTTCTATATATATTTTTTGTTGAATTCTATTTTATTTTTAATTCTCTCTTCTCCTCCAGACACAATGGCACTGCTTATCTCCGAAATGGTGTGATCGTCTCCTCATTGAGCAGCGGCTGCCACCGCGCTGTGGGTAGTGTGTGACCGTGGCTGTACTGTATAGTGAACATAGTTGGCATATCTTTGTTTGAAGTTTGTTGGTGACTCCACCAAACTGGTGTGAAAAAAGAAAAAAGCTCAAAAAAATCCACAAAAAGACAAAACACACAAAAAAAATCCTGCCTATATTTTACTCAGTTTCAAACTTTATTAGTCTATTTTTAATTATAAAACCAGAAAGCTACAATTTCTTTTCTTTCCCCTCCACCCCCCCCCCCCCCACCCATTTGTTGGCTTTTTTGTTTTTTAATGTCAGATCTGTTGAGTTGGTTTTTTTGGTTTTGGTTTTTGTTTTTGTTTTTGTTTTTTACTGAGAAAGGAAGGGCCAAGGGATGAGGTGGGAACCGGGCCCTGGGGGCGCCACAGACTAAGGCAGAGACTCCCCTACCTGGCGCCCAGCCCCAACCAGCTGGCCGCTCCTGCCCATGCTTTTTTTTTTTTTTTTTTTTAATTTTTATAATTGGAGCCCCTGGTGAGGTTACGCGTGCCATGAGAACCCACTCTACACCACGACGCTGGTGCCTCAGTGTTGGCCAAACTCTGGAGTCACTGACTGGTTTGACTTTCATACGGTGAATATGCATTTGGTCTGTACTGATCATGGAATAAACACATCTCTCTTTTTTTAATGCTGGCGTCTCCCTGACATTTCTTTGTGAACCAACTGTTGCCTAGGCTAGGCCCAGGGGACCCCCTGGACCCCAGACCACCTCTGTACAGGAACTACTGCCAGGGATTACCTAGCCCCTCTCCTGTGACCTGTCCCTGTCTGCCCTGGGCGGGAGCCACGCAGACTCATAGCAACCACCCCAAGCTGAAGCTGTGACGCAGAGCCCGGTACCCATCCTTGTGGACCCTGGCTGAGGTGGAGGGTGTGCTCTAGCAGAACCCTGGCCAGACTCCAGACAGTATTCTTCCCCTCCACCCTACTCCATCCTGTCCCCCCTACTCCATCCTGTCCCCCCACTCACCAAAGGACTTGGGCCACTTCTCCCACCTTGCCTGCCTCAACCTAACTCCTCCTTTCATTTAAGCTCAGGGTTAACCAGATACTCTTAGATATAAGTCTACATCCCCCAAAATAGGATCCTCACCCCCCATGCACATACACACACATTCCTGTCCAAGAAAGCCCACAGGTGGCTGCTCTGCCTGTGTGTCCACTTGTGTATGTACATGCCCCAGCCACAAGGCACGGGTGACGCCCAAGAAGAGCCCCTAAGATGTAAGATACAAGTATATAATTTATATGTATGCAGAGACAAACTGATTGAAACATTTCTAGCACTGTTTATTCTCCTACATCCCCTCTTTTTGACCTGAAAGGTCCTTTATTGTCTTTGGATCTGCCAAACCTCCCTGTGAGGGTGTGGTTCAGGCATCCAGCCAGAGGTCCCCCCACTTCTTCGATGTCCATGCCCACTCAGGCACTTTCTCATATACCACTGTGCCACTTCAAGTGTGACGTATTTAGGTTCTTTGGGGTTTCTTCCATCTCATCCCACCCACTCATTTTTGTTCCTTGTTTTGTTCAGACACTTCCCCAGCCTGGGTCCAACTGCTGAGCTGGATAGTTTTCTCTGCAGCTTCCTGCTGAAGATTTAACTCAGCCATGGCCTTCTCCACACCTCCCTGATGGGTGTCTCTCTACCTGGGTTGTAATTAGAACTGGGATCTATTTAATTTCTCCAGCCATTTCCCAACCCTTCCCACAGTACTAGAAATCTTAGTCCTATACCAGAGTAAGAGGTGTGTACAAGCCCCCACTGTACTGTATGCACGGATCGCTTGGCCAATAATTATGTCAGTGAATCTGAGACTTGTATTAAACACTTTAGACATTTGTAGAAGGGAATTCGTAGACTTTTCACTTACATACGAAAGGTTTTTTTTTTTTTTTGTGCAGTTCTCATTGCAAAAATAAACATTTGTACTGAGTATAAAGTTACTCTCCTGTGATGGCTGCTTTTTGTTTGAGGGTAGACTTGGGAGAAGCGGGGAGATGAGGGCGGGGGGTCAGTGATGTGTAGGAGAGGAAGAAGGGAGGTTCCCCAGACACCCACCACCCATGCGTCCAGATTAGCGGAGTCGGTTGGGAGAGATCCTGGGAACATCAAATTGTGAGATAATTGATTTAATGGAAGGTGTAAAAGAAAAAGCTGCCAGGCACGGTGGCTCACATCTGTAATCCCAGCACTTTTGGGAGGCCGGGGTGGGAGGATCGCTTGAGGTCAGGAGTTAAGAGACTAGCCTGGCCAACATGGTGAAACTCCCATCTCTACTGAAAAATACAAAAAATTAGCGGGGCGCGGTAGCACACACCTGTAGTCCCGGCTACTCCGGAGGCTGAGGCAGGAGAATTGCTTGAACACTGGAGGCGGAGGTTGCGGTGAGCCGAGATCACACCACTGCATTCCAGCTTGGGTGATATGGTGAGACTCCCATCTCAAAAAAAACAAAAACAAAAAAACCCCCAAAGCTTTGATGTAGGCTAATCACACAACAAAAGAAAGGTAGTGGTTAAGTAGTCCAGGGAGAACAAAAGTTTGTACACTATGGGCAATGTAATCATAGTGGTCTATTCGGCTCTTGAGATGCATTGTTCACTGAGGCAGAACATAAACCACTATTCACCTTTAAGTGGCAACTTCATGGACTTAGTTATGGTCCCAGGACAGTATAATGTTTAGCAGCCTTGACAGTACAAAGGTATATGGATAAAAGTGGGAGGTGGAAAGGGGCAAGAGGTGACAAGTGGAGTGTTTTTAAAGGAAACTAACAGGGAAACAAAAAACGGCACGTCCGGGGTAGTGATGTGAGCAAGTCAGTGGCTGATGTCATACATTGGTTAAGTCAAGAAATAAAGGTCAGGCACGGTGGCTTGCATCTGTAATCCCACTTTGGGAGGTGGAGGCTTGAGGATTGCTTGAGGCCAGGAGTTTGAGACCAGCCTGGACAATATAGCAAGTCGTCTCTCTGAAAAGTTTTTGAAAAATTAGCTGAGTGTGGTGGCACAGGCCTGTAGTCCCAACTACAGGTTGTAGTGCTTGAGCCCAGGAGTTCGAGGCTGCAGTGAGCTATGATCGAAACTCCATCTGAAAAAAAAAGAAAAAGCTAAAAACGTTCCAGTGGCTGCTTCCGGGAGGAAGGGGAGGTGTAGCCACAGATCGCTGCCTTTTTCCCTACATCTTTGCGGATGGCTATTTTACAAGATGTATGTCTTCAGGCAAATGACTTCATCCTCGAATTTCAGGTTCATGATCTATACTACAGGAATGTGATTATGCTACTTAGACTTAATAGGGTTGCTCTATGGTTAAGTGATGGCTGTCCCTAAAATGTTCAAGGATATCGGGAGAAGGTTGCAAAATAGGAGGAAGAAGCTGGCTGCTTTTTTTTTTTTTTTTGAGACGGAGTCTCGCTCTGTCGCCCTGGCTGGAGTGCAGTGGCGCAATCTCAGCTCACTGCAACCTCCGCCTCCTGGGTTCACGCCGTTCTCCTGCCTCAGCCTCCCTAGTAGCTGGGACTACAGGCGCCCGCCACCACGCCTGGCTAATTTTTTGTATTTTTAGTAGAGACAGGGTTTCACCATGTTAGGATGGTCTCGATCTCCTGACCTCGTGATCCGCCCGCCTCGGCCTCCCAAAGTGCTGGGATTACAGGCGTGAGCCACCGCGCCTGGCCAGAAGCTGGCTTCTTGCAGGGACAGCAGGGCCGCAAGGCTCTGTGACTCTAGGCCCCATCACACCCGGCCCTGTCCCACTTCCTCTTTCGGCCAGAACCCCAGAACTCCAGTCATTCATAGGCCGGGTCCTCCTCGGGGGAACCAGGCCTGCCCCCTAGGAATCAGGGTATCCACGCCTCCTCGGCCCGCTCTCGGAGCCTGGGCCTCAACACCTGCAGATTGGCTCCCGGGCCAGGACCTGTCGCTTGAACATCAGTGGCCGCCGCCGTCCAATCACAGACGTACAGGGGCGGGCTGGCGGGCCTGTTGGGCCAGCAGGAGGACGGCGCCGGGCCGAGGCCGCTGGACCCGCCGTTGGAACCACAGCTGGGTGAAGTCAGTGCTGCTAGGTCTTTGGAGCCAGACCGAAGGGAGGGTCGCGCGCCCCTGGGTGGGTAGCACCAGGCGGCGGCCGTCGGCCGGGCCTCCCGAAGCCTCCTCCAGCCGCTAATACCGCCCGCGCCTCCCTCCTAGTCCTAGACCTGGCATTGCCTGTCCCTCTTCTTCGTCTTCCAGACCCTCCTGACCCGCCATATTAGGTCCCGGCCCCGCCCTCCGTCTCATTGCCCATTGCCCACCCCACCCCACCGCCCCCTCCCCGGCCTACCGTCAGCTCATTGGCCCAGGCTCCCGCCTTCTTCGCCCAATGTTAGGCCTCACCTCCTCTAGGATCCACCCTCTCCCCGCCCACCCGCATAAGCCAGGCCCACCATTCCAACTCTTTCTCCTTTTTGGCTTGTAGGCCGCACCTACTCTGCATATGCCCCGCCCCTCACTCCAGGTGTCGCCCACTTAACTGAAGATCCAGGATCCCCTCCTTAAGGTTTGTCTGGGCTCGGAATTGCCTTTTTTTTTTTTCTTTTTTGAGACGGAGTTTCCCTGTTGTGACCCAGGCTGGAGTACAGTGGCGCGATCTCAGCTCACTGCAACCTCCACGTCCCGGGTTCAAGCGATTCTCCTGCCTCAGCCTCCCAAGTAGCTGGGACTACAGGCGCCCGCCACCACGCCCAGCTAATTTTTGTATTTTTAGTAGAGACGGGGTTTCACCACGTTGCCCAGGCTGGTCTCGAGCTCTTGATCTCAGGTGATCCGCCCGCCTCGGCCTACCAAAGTGCTGGGATTACAGGCGTGAGCCACCGCACCCGGCCCGGAATTGCCGCCTTTAGACCCTCACCCACCCGCTGCTGAGTCTTCCTGGGCCCCGCCCCGGCCCTAAGCCCCGCACAGGACCTGCTAGGCCCCGCCCATTTATTTCCCCCCTTTCCAACCTCTTCCTCCCCAGCCTCCGCACCCTACCCTTGTTTCCTGTCCCTGTCGCGCCCAGGTGTTTACCTGGCACTCAGGTGAGTGGTGCGCTCTGGCTGTTTTCTGTCGGAGCCGCCCGCCTCTTCCTTCAGCGCGTCCCACAAATCCCGACGGCACGGAGGGGCCCCAGGCCAAGGGCGATGGGCCCCTGAGCCCTGACACCGCTTCGCCGCTGCTGCAGGTGCCCCTGGCCGGCAGCGCCGCCGTGGTCCCGGAGCGCGGCGACATGCCGGAGCTGGTGGTGACCGCGCTGCTGGCGCCGTCGCGCCTGTCGCTGAAGCTGCTGCGCGCCTTCATGTGGAGCCTGGTGTTCTCGGTGGCGCTGGTGGCCGCGGCGGTCTACGGCTGCATAGCGCTCACGCACGTGCTGTGCCGGCCCCGGCGCGGCTGCTGCGGGCGCCGTCGGAGCGCGTCCCCCGCCTGCCTGAGCGACCCCTCGCTGGGTGAGCACGGTTTCCTGAACCTCAAGGTGATCGCACGGGGGCGCTATCGGGGCTGCGGGGTCGCGTGGGGTCGAGACGGTTCAAGCCTCGGGAGAGAGGGTTCCCCAGGCTTCAGGCTGTGCCCTCCCCCTAGAGCTCGGGCCTGCGTCTGCACTATGTCTCGGCTGGACGAGGTAACGGACCCCTCATGCTGTTTCTGCACGGCTTCCCTGAGAACTGGTACGTCTGGGGCCAGGGGCCTGAGGCCCACGGGACTCGGGGGCAGGTGGAGCTTGGGCTCCCAAGAGGCAGGGAGGAGGGCTGTATAGATCGGGACAAGCTGAACATAGATGGGGATAGGGGTACTGAGCCAGCATACCCAGGATCCCTAGGCCCTGAAGGGACAGGACAAAGGGGTATTGAGGTTGATTGAAGTTCCCTGGATTCAGGGTGTAGCTGGCTTCAGCCTCAGCCTCTGCCTCTGCCTGGGATTCCCCATCCTCCTTTTAGGGGAAGTTTAGAGCAGGAAGGAGGGTTTGCCAATGGTTGCTGATGTGCGTAGGGTGCAGGTGCAACCTGAGGGCCCTGACTCAGCCTCCCTCCCTCGCCCGCCTGGCAGGTTCTCCTGGCGTTACCAGCTCCGGGAGTTCCAGAGCCGCTTCCATGTTGTGGCTGTGGACTTGCGAGGCTATGGCCCCTCGGATGCACCTCGGGATGTGGACTGCTACACAATCGACCTGCTGCTGGTGGACATCAAAGATGTCATCCTAGGCCTGGGTGCAGACATACCCCCATCCTAGGCGTGGCCTCCCTCATCCTGCACACACGCATACCCCCGCTTTCTCCTTGCTGGAACCTACTTCCCCCATCCCTGCTTCAGTCCTACTGGGCACCTCACTTATGCGAGCTCCTTGAATTCCCACAGGTTACTCGAAGTGCATCCTTGTGGCCCATGACTGGGGTGCCCTCCTTGCCTGGCATTTCTCCATCTACTACCCATCCCTGGTCGAGCGGATGGTTGTGGTCAGTGGTGCCCCCATGTCGGTGTACCAAGGTGTGTGTGGGAGTCCGGGACACTGGGATGTACTTATGTGCAAGGGGGCAGGGACATGTGTCTGTGTTTTCAATTCTCTGTATACCTGTCAACACATCAGGGGCTGAGGGTGCAGCAATCAACCCAGGTCCCTTCGGTTGTGGAACTCCTCATTCGGAAATTAATGACACGCCAGACCCAGTGGCTCACACCTGTAATCCCAGCCCTCCGGGAGGCTGAGGTGGGAGGATCACTTGAGGCCAGGAGTTCAAGACCAGTCTGGTCAACATAGCAAGACCCCAACTGTCTCTACAAAAAAAAAAAAAAAATGTAATTAGCCAGGCATTGGTGGTGCATGCCTGTAATCCCAGCTACTCGGGAGGCTGATGCAGGAGAATCTCTTGAACCTGGGAGGTGGAGGTTGCAGTGAGCTGAGATCATGCCATTGCACTCCAGCCTAGGCAACAAGAGCAAAACTCCATCTCAAAAAATAAATAAATAAAATAAAGTATGGCCAGGCGTGGTGGCTCCTGCCTGTAATCCCTGCACTTTGGGAGGCCAAAGCCGGTGGATTGCTTGAGCCCAGGGGTTCAAGACCAGCCTGGCCAACATGGTGAAACCCCGTCTCTACTAAAAATACAAAAAAATCAGCCAGGCATGGTAGTGCACGCTTGTAGTCTCAGCTACTCGGGAGGCTGAGGCAAGAGAATCACTTGAACCTGAGAAGTGGAGGTTGCAGTAAGCCAAGATCGCACCACTGCACTCCAGCCTGGATGACAGAGTGAGACTCTGTCTCAAAAATAAAATAAAATAAAATAAATCACAATACACTTAGGAGTAATCCACATTTTTTTATAGCACTTACAGTAACAAGGAATATGCACACAGTAACCTACTTAAGGCTCCTGGGCTTATGAAGGTTGTATTATCCCCATGTTCCAGCTGGAGGAAACTGAGGCTGGGGAGGTTAACAATGTCTATCATATCACCTGATGTTAATATGCAGCACTGTGGTCATAACTGTGCTCTCTCTCTCTCTTTTGTTGTTTTTTTTCTTTTTCTTTTCTTTTCTTTTTTTTTTTTTTTTTTTTTTTTTTGAGACAGAGTCTTGCTCTGTCGCCAGGCTGGAGTGCAGTGGCGTGATCTCAGTTCACTGCAACCTCCGCCTCCCAGGTTCAAGCGATTCCCCTGCCTCAGCCTCCCAAGTAGCTGGGATTACAGGCCACCATGCCGGGCTAATTTTTTGTATTTTAGTAGAGACGGGGTTTCACCATGTTGGCCAAGATGGTCTTGATCTCCTGACCTTGTGATCTGCCCACCTTGGCCTCTCAAAGTGCTGGGAGTATAGGCGTGAGCCACCACGCCTGGCCCCTTTTTTTTTTTTTTTTCTTGAGATGGAGTCTCACTCTGTGCAGTGCAGTGGCGCAATGTCGGCTCACGGCAACCTCCGCCTCTCAGGTTCAAGTGATTCTCTTGCCTCAGCCTCCTCAGTAGCTGAGACTACAGATGTGTGCCACCATGACCGGCTAATTATTTTGTATTTTTAGTAGAAATGGGGTTTCAGCATGTTGGCCAGGCTGGTCTTGAACTCCTGGGCTCAAGCGATCTGCCGGCCTCAGCCTCCCAAAGTGCTGGGATTACAGGAGTGAGCCACCCTGCCTGGCAACCTCTACCTCCTGGGTTCAAGTGACTCTCCTTCCTCAGCCTCCAGAGTAGCGGGGACTGCAGATATGCCCCAACACGCCCAGCTAATTTTTGTATTTTTAGTGGAGACGGGTTTTCACTATGTTGCCCAGGTTAGTGTCTAACTCCTGATCTCAAGTGATCCACCCGCCTTGGCTTCCCAAAGTGCTGGGATTACAGGCGTGAGCCACCGCACCCAGCCTATTATTGTTTACTTGTCTGTCTCCCCATCTAGACTGTCAGCTCCCTGAGGGCAGGGAGTTTTTTGTCTTTTGGGGGTGTCTTTTTTTGTGTTTTGTTTTTTTTCCTTTGAGACAGTCTTGTTCTGTGGTCCAGGCTGGAGTGCAGTGCTGTAATTGCAGCTCACTGCAGCCTCAGACTCCTGGGCTCAAGCGATCCTCCCACTTCTGCTTCTCAAGTAGCTGGGACTATAGGCACACACCACCACACCCTGCTAATTTTTAAAAAATTATTTTTTGGAGGCCGGGTGCGGTGGTTCACGTCTGTAATCCCAGAACTTTGGGAGGCTGAGGCGGGTGGATCATGAGGTCCGGAGATCGAGACCATCCTGGCTAACACTGTGAAACCCTGTCTCTACTAAAAATACAAAAAAAATTAGCCGGACGTGGTGGCGGGTGCCTGTAGTCCCAGCTACCGGGAGGCTGAGGCAGGAGAATGGCGTGAACCCGGGAGGCGGAGCTCGCAGTGAGCCAAGATCACACCACTGCACTCCAGCCTGGGCGACAGAGCGAGACTCTGTCTCAAAAAAAAAAAAAAAAAAAAAAAAAAAAAAAAATTATAGATACAGGGGTTTCCTTAAGTTGCCTAGGATGAACAGGGAGTTTTGACTGTCTCATTCACTGCTGTGTCTAGAACAAGGCCTGGCATGCAGTAGTTGCTCAATAAATGTTAGCTGAATAAAGCAGAGGAAACGCACCCTGGCCTGGGCAGAGGAAGCACACCTTTGGATATGGGGGTTCCCAGGAGATGCCCCCATCCTGTGGATAGTGAAACATGGCAGGAGGGAATGTAGCTGGTGCCCAGGCCAGGAGGGGTATCTAGTACCTTCACAGACCCAGGCAGGCAGCAGTGGCATTCCTGAGGCTTGTGTCCCTGACCTGGGTATGTGTAGGGGTGCAGGTGTATGGGGCCACCCCAGGAGCAGGCCTTATATCTCTCCCCCAACCCTCCCACCCCAGACTATTCCCTGCACCACATCAGCCAGTTCTTCCGTTCCCACTACATGTTCCTGTTCCAGCTGCCCTGGCTGCCCGAGAAGCTGCTGTCTATGTCTGACTTTCAGGTACAGAGGGTGCAGGTTGAAGGGAGGAGGGAAGCAGGTCGGGGCTGGGCAGGCTGGGCACTGAAGCCAGAGTCCTGCTGTGTACCTAGATTCTGAAGACCACCCTCACCCACCGCAAGACAGGCATCCCATGCTTGACCCCCAGCGAGCTCGAGGCCTTCCTTTATAACTTCTCACAGCCTGGTGGCCTCACTGGGCCCCTCAACTACTACCGAAACCTCTTCAGGTGAGACCAGTTGCCAAGCATAAGCTCAGGAGATTTGCAGGGGCAGGGGGGTGGGAGGCAACCATCCTTCTGCCTGTCTGTCTGCCTGTCTGTCTGTCCTGGCCACAGGAACTTCCCCCTGGAACCCCAGGAGCTGACCACACCCACATTGCTGCTGTGGGGGGAGAAGGACACTTACTTGGAGCTGGGGCTGGTGGAAGCCATCGGCAGCCGCTTTGTGCCGGGCCGCTTGGAGGCCCACATCCTGCCAGGCATAGGGCATTGGATCCCACAGAGCAACCCCCAGGAGATGCACCAGTACATGTGGGCCTTCTTGCAAGACCTGCTGGACTAGTGGTCCTTGCTGGCCTGCCCAGGAGGCATGGATACTCAGGAAGGAACACACACCCATTATCTGTGTGTGCCTGGGAGTCCATACAATGTCCATACATGGGTGAACTCTTGAATCGCTCATAGGCATGGGACTCCTGGATCCCACACAAGCGCACCTATGGGTGCCTCGGGACACACCAACCCCTATACTCACACACAGGCATGGATGCATGTGTGTGTAACAAACACTTTGACCCTGGGAACTGGGTATACCTCTCTTCCAGTGGAGCCAGATGCCGAGACCGAGTGTCCCACCTCCTCCCTTCCTGGGGCCTCACTCTGCGCTTTGCCAAAGTCGCTTCTCTGCCATAGCTGCACAGACCTTAAACCCTGACCTTCCTGTCCCTGCCTTCGACCTCCTGCCTGGGTCTTCAGCTCAGTGCTACTCTGAATACAATACTGCTGACCACATTTGGCTACTTCAGCTTAAATGTATGTTAATTGAAATGAAATACAATGAAAATGCAGTGCTCAGTCCCACCAGCTGTATTTCATTTTTTTCCCCTTGAGACAGAGTCTTGCTGTGTCGCCCAGGCTGGATGGAGTGCAGTGGACGCAATCTAGGCTCACTGCAACCTCCACCTGCCGGGTTCAAGCGATTCTTGTGCCTCAGCTTCCCGAGTAGCTGGGACTACAGGAGCGTCACCAGGCCTGACTAATTTTAGTATTTTCAGTAGAGATGGGGTTTCACCATGTTGGCCGGGCTGGTCTCGAACTGCTGACCTCAAGTGATCTGCCCACCTTGGCCTCCCACAGTGCTGGGATTACAGGCGTGAGCCACTGTGCCTGGCCATACCAGCTGTATTTCAAGTGCTCAATTGCCGCATCAGTGAAGAAAGTTGTGTGTGGCAGCGCTGATGAGGGTAATCCTAGCTTAAGAGTAGGGGTCAGGGCCGACCACAGTGGCTCAAACCTGTAATCCCAGCACTTTGGGAGGCTGAGGTGGGCGGATCACGAGGTCAGGAGATCGAGACCATCCTGGCTAACCTGGTGAAATGCTGTCTCTACTAAAAATACAAAAAATTAGCCGGGCGTGGTGGTGGGCGCCTGTAGTCCTAGCTACTCAGGAGGCTGAGGCAGGAGAATGGCATGAACCCGGGAAGTGGAGCTTGCGGTGAGCTGAGATCGCGCCACTGCACTCTAGCCTGGCAACAGAGCGAGACTCCATCTCAAAAAAAAAAAAAAAGAGCAGGGGGCCTCCCTGCCTGGCCCCTGGCAACCTCCCCAAGGGCAGACCCTCATGAGCAGGCAGGTGGGTGTGCAGATTCCTCATTCCTCTCCAGCCAGTCCCAGGAGAGCTCCCACAAGCCCCTTCCCTCACCCCCCGTCATGACCCCAGGCCTGGTCAGGTCAAGTTCTCTTGCCCCAGCCTGGGCTGGCCTGTCTCAGATCCCTGGGAAAACAGCTCTCGTCTCTGTTAGGACAAGTGAGATTCTGGATTCCGGGCAGGAAGGGACCAGCTCCCAGAAAAGCCATCTGGGATCTGAGGCCTGCCTCTCCAGCTCCTGGAAACTTCTGCTCCAAATTAGCCACAGTTTCCGCTGACTCTGGAGCCCTCTGGGGTGGGGATGGGTGGGGGGTGGCGGTTATATGTGGAGGGTGCGCCACCCAGTCTCAGGCTGACCGTAGCATCAGCTTGTATCTCCCTGGCTTGTGCCTGGCTTTTTGGGGATGTTGCCATCATCACCTGTACCATGAGGACTGAGAGGCCCTGAGAAATACATTCTCCTGTCTCTGAGATAGGCCTGCCTGCTGGTCATCCCCCTCTGTCCTCCCTTATCCCCAGCACAATATCCTTTTTTTGTTTGTTTGTTTGTGAGATGGAGTCTTGCTCTGTCGCCCAGGCTGGAGTGCAATTGCGCGATCTCGGCTCACTGCAGCCCCCTCCCAGGCTCAAGCGATTCTCCTGTCTCTGCCTCCTGAACAGCTGGGATTACAGGTGTCCGCCACCACACCCAGCTCATTTTTGTATTTTTTTTTTTTTTTTTTTTTTTTGAGACGGAGTCTCGCTCTGTCCCAGGATGGAGTGCAGTGGTGCGATCTCGGCTCACTGCAAGCTCCGCCTCCCGGGTTCACACCATTTTCCTGCCTCAGCCTCCCGAGTAGCTGGGACTACAGGCGCCCACCACCACGCCCGGCTAATTTTTTGTATTTTTAGTAGAGACAGGGTTTCACCGTGTTAGCCAGGATGGTCTCGATCTCCTGACCTCATGATTCACCCGTCTCGGCCTCCCAAAGTGCTGGGACTACAGGCGTGAGCCACCGCACCTGGCCCATTTTTGTATTTTTAGTAGAGATGGGGTTTCACCATGTTGGCCAGGCTGGTCTCGAATTCCTGACCTCATTATCCGCCCACCTCGGCCTCCCAAAGTGCTGGGACTACAGGCGTGAGCCACTGCGCCTGGCACAACATCTTTTTACTCAACATAGATACCAGGC
This sequence comes from Homo sapiens, assembly GCF_000001405.40. Taxonomy (NCBI): domain Eukaryota; kingdom Metazoa; phylum Chordata; class Mammalia; order Primates; family Hominidae; genus Homo; species Homo sapiens. Next base: position 15,224,959 of record NC_000019.10, on the reverse strand, counting down.
AGTGTTCTAGGTCCTAGTGACAGAGTGTGAGCCAGAAAGAGTTTAAGGAGGAGAGAGCTGACAGGGCTCAGGGAAGGCTTCACTGAAGACTCACAGGTGGGACCCTAGCTAGAGGATGCACTTATTTGTTGTTGTTTTGAGACAGGGTCTCACTCTGTTGCCCAGGCTGGAGTGCAGTGGTGTGACGTAAGCTCACAGCAGCCTCTACCTCCTGGGCTCAATCAATCCTCCTGCTTCAGCTTCCTGAGTAGCTGGGACTATAGGGGCACACCACCATGCCAGGCTAATTTTTAATTTTTTTTTTGAGAATGGAGGCTTGCTCTATTGCCCAGGCGGGAGTGCAGTGGCGCCATCTCAGCTCACTGCAACTTCCACCTCCTGGGTTCAAGTGATTCTCCTGCCTCAGCCTCCCCAGTAGCTAGGATTACAGACACACGCCACCACACCTGGCTAATTTTTGTAATTTTAGCAGAGACGGGGTTTCACCATGTTGGCCAGGCTGATCTCCAACGCCTGACCTCAAGCAGTCCGCCTGCCTCGGCCTCCCAAAAATTTTTTATAGAGACAGACGTCTCACTATGCTGCCCAGAGTGGTCTCAAACTCCTCGGCTCAAGTGATCCTCCCACCTCGGCCTCCCAAAGTGCTGGGATTCCAGGCATGAGCCACCGCGCCCGTCTAGGATGCACTTTTTGGTGGAGTGGGAAGTAGTGACTAGGAAGGTCCCAGGCGGGAAGAAGCTTGGGTCATTGGAGTTACAACACGCAGGCCAGGGCCTTGCTAAGGCAGAGTGAGCGAGGAGGCTTCAGAGAAGAGGCCACACAGCCAGATCGCCAGGGGCTGCGAGGAGCTTGGATTCGATTCTCAAGGGGAGCCAGGGGAGGGTTTTCAGCAGGGAAGGGACATGGCTTGCATTTTGAAGAGCTCCCTGTGGCGGTTGGACAGTCCCACGCAAGAGTGCGAGCGCCGAAGCCTGCGGGGGGCTGCGCGCGGCCACAGCACAGGGCGGTCCCACTGTCCCGACCGAGCAGGGACCCCCAGAGCCGGGTCCAACCCGGGGCCCCCCTGCCAGGGGAGGAGCAATGCCCCCCGCCCCGGGGAGGCGAGAAGACGGGCAGGAGGAGGAGGGAGCCCCTGAGACGTGGGGTCGCGGACGTCGGAGCCCGCGGCGGAGGTTTGGGGCGAGGAGGCCTGCGGACAGGACCAGGACGGCGTCCAGGGGTAGGTGGGTCCGGCGATGGTTGCCGGGGTGACGGGGGACGGGTTGATGGTTGACCGGAACGGGTAGCGGTTGTCCGAGTGACCGGAGGGGCCCAGGCAAAGGCTGACGGGAGGCCTGGGACAGTTGCCCGGGCGACGGAGATCCGCTGACGGTTGCTAGGGCGACGGAAAGGCGCCTTCTTCCGCCTCCGCGGCCGCCGGCGGGAGGGAGGCGGGGGTCTTCTGGGGAAGACGATCGCGTCGATTGGGCAGAGTCCTGGCGAGTAAGCCAATAGAAAATCGTGTCTCGTCGTAGACCCGCCTCCCCCAGCCTGAGCCAATCCCGGCCCGTTTTTTTTTTTTTTTTCTGGCCCAAGGGCTTGGCGCGTGCATCTTTTAGGGCGGGAGCGGGGACCTCGGGGGCTTGGGCTGGGATTCCTCGCATGATCGGCCTGTCCCTCTCCCTGCCTCCAGACCACTTTCCATCACTCACTCACTCACTCACTCACTCACTCACTCATTCCGAGGGCTGCATTGATGGTCCAGTAGTAGAATTCTCACTTCCCATTCATTCATTCATCCATTCATCTGTCCCTGCCACCAGTTCTAGGAGGGGTGGTGGAAGACAAAGCCGGGCTCTGACACTGCCAGCAGGGTGTGATCAGGCCCTGGTGGAATGAGCAACTGGGGAGGAGCACTTACCTGGGGGAAGGGAGGGAAGGCTCCCTGGAGGAAGCAGTCTTGGAGCTGAACCTTGCAAAGCTGCGCCCCGACCCACAGAAGCCTCCCACGCCGGGATGATTTAGCATTTCCGTGAGACTGGGAGGAAAGTTTGGGCTAGGAAGACGTGAGACTATAAAAGGCTTCACATGCCAGCAGGGGAGGGTCTCGGACAGATCCGTGTGTCTGGAATGTTACTTGGGGGATGGTGAGAAGGCCGGACCAGAGGACGGGAAGGCCTCAGAGGAGGATGGGCGTGGTCCAGGCAGTGGAGAACGAGACTCAAGTCCAGGCACTGGAAGAGGAGCAGATACGCTGAGAAGGTACAGAGGCAGGTTTGGGATATATTCAGTCTGACGGCGCTGGATCCCGGGGTAGGGACTTAGAAGCATGTTATGGGCTAAAGACAAAAATAGCCCAGCAAGCATCGGTGTATTGTGGGGCAGAGAGGCTCTTAAGCTGGGAGCGAGGGTGAAGTCTCCCTAGAGCAGAATGGAGAACAAGACTGGAGACTGAACCCTGAGGACCCCCAACACCTCAGAGACAGGCAGAGGAGAGAGGCCACAAAGGTAGGAGGTGAGGCCAGGCACGGTGGCTCACGCCTGTAATCCCAGCACTTTGGGAGGCCGAGGCGGGCAGATCACAAGGTCAGGAGATCGAGACCGTCCTGGCTAACATGGTGAAACCCCACCTCTACCAAAATTACAAAAAATTAGCCGGGCATGGTGGCACATGCCTGTAGTCCCAGCTACTCGGGAGGCTGAGGCAGGAGAATCACTTGAACCCGGGAGGCAGAGGTTGCAGTGAGCCAAGATCATGCCACTGCACTCCAGCCTGGGCGAGAGAGGGAGACTCCATCTCAAAAAAAAAGTCTAGGCACAGTGGCTCACACCTGTAATCCCAGCACTTTGGGAGGCCGAGGCGGGAGGAACACGAAGTCAGGAGTTTGAGACAAGCCTGTCCAGCACAGCGAAACCCCGTCTCTACTAAAAATACAAATATTAGCCAGGCGTGGTGGTGGGCGCCTGTAATCCCAGCTACTCGGGAGGCTGAGGCAGGAGAATCGCTTGAACCCGGGAGGTGGAGGTTATAGTGAGCCAAGATCACACCACTGCACTACAGCCTGGATGACAGAGCTAGACTCCATCTCAAAAAAAAAAAAAAAAAAAAAGGTAGGAGGTGAACCAGGCAAAAGTGATGCCCCAGCAATGGAGGAGGGAGGAGCGTCAAGGAATAGGGATGTAGTTCCTGGCGTCACAAGCTGCTGAGAGACAAGCGTGGTGGTTCATGCCTTCAATCCCAGCACTTTGGGAGGCCGAGGAAGGAGGATCACGGCAGACCAAGAGTTTTGAGACCAGCCTTGGAAACATTGCAAGACCCCTTGTCTCTTAAAAAAAAAAAAAAAAATTTAACTGCTGGGCATGGAGGCGTGTGCCTGTAGTCCTAGCTCCTCAGGAGGCTGAGATGGGAGGATCGCTTGAGCTTGTGAGGTCAAGACTACAATGAGCTGTGATCATGCCACTGCACTCCAGCCTGGAGACAGAGCAAGACCGTGTCTTAAAAACAAACAAACAAAAACCCAGGCCGGGCGTAGTGGCTCACTCGTGTAATCCCAGCACTTTGGGAGGCCAAGGTGAGCAGATCACTTGAGGCCAGAGTTCAAGACCAGCCTGGCCAACATGGTGAAACTCCGTCTCTACTTAAAAAAAAAAAAACACTTAGCTGGGCGTGGTAGCGGGTCCCTGTAGTCCCAGCTACTCAGGAAACTGAGGCTTGAGAATTGCTTGAACCTGGGAGGTGGAGGTTGCCGTGAGCTGAGATCGTGCCACTGCACTCCAGCCTGGGAGACAGAGCGAGACCTTGTCTCAAACAAAAAACAAAAAACCCTAAAACAAAACAAAACAAAATAAAACAAAAACAACCTCTGAGATAATCAAGTGAGAGCTATACAAATCTCCAAGTTATGAGGGAGGAAAGCCAGGAGTGAGACTGAAGGCAGAGGGCTTGGCTGCTCTGAATGAGGTTAAGCAGGGAGGGGCAAGGAAATATTGGAGGCTTGGGGAAAAACAACTGAACACATTCAAACAGAGTAATGCGGTCAGGCACCCGGGCTCACTCCTGTAATCCCAGAGCTTTGGGAGGCTGAGGAGAGATAATCGTTTGAGTTTAGGAGTTCGACACCAGCCTGGGCAACACAGTGAGACCCAGTCTCTAAAAATTAAAAAAAAAAAAAATTACAAACCGGGAAATTTGAGGCAGGTTTGCTGCAAGGACTATACACAGTGGTGTGGGCAGAGTTTGGGGAAACCAACAGGAGTTGCTGAGGCAGCCAGGGCAAGCACCCTTGGAGATCCTTTATCATTTCTGGATGCTCCCGATGGGGCAAGGGGAAGGATGTTAGCAGAGCCTAGGGAGAGAGTCGTGTGGATGATGGACACAGCCAAGTTGAGGCGACCCCGCAGGGAGGGATCCGGGAGGATTAGTGTCCCCAATTCACTTTCCTCTGACATCTTTTTTTTTCTTTTTCTTTTTCTTCTTTTTTTTTTTTTTGAGATGGGGTGTCGCTCTTGTTGCCCAGGCTGGAGTGCAGTGACGTGATTTCAGCTCACTGCAACCTCTGCCTCCCAGGTTCAAGTGATTCTCCTGCCTTAGCCTCCCAAGTAGCTGGAATTACAGGCACCCACCACCACGCCCGGCTAATTTTTGTATTTTTAGTAGAGACGGGGTTTCACCATGTTGGCCAGGCTGGTCTCGAACTCCTGACCTCAAGTGATCCGCCCACCTCGGCCTCCCAAAGTGCTGGGATTACAAGCATGAGCCACCAAGCCCGCCCTACATCTTCTGCTAGTGCCTCCAGTTGTCCAAACCCACCGGAAACTGGAGGACAAGAACATCTGTAGAATGCACAGAGTGGAGTGGAGAAGGGAGAGGTGGAGCCAGGGGTCTGGGGAGGTGCAAAGCAGGGAGAGGCGACCAGAGCTGGGGCCGGGCAGATGTGGGATGAGCATTTGCTGTGGATTTTACTTTAGTATTTATTTATTTCTTGTATTTTTTTATTTTTTTGAGATGGAGTCTCGCTCTGTCTTCCAGGCTGGAGTGCAGCGGCACAATCTCGGCTCACTGCAACCTCCAACTCCCAGGTTCAAGTGATTCTACTGCCTCAGCCTCCTGAGTAGCTGGGATTACAGGCTCACGCTGCCACGCCCGGCTAATTTTTTGTATTTCAGTAGAGACAGGGTTTCACCACGTTGCCCAGGCTGGTCTTGAACTCCTGAGCTCAGCAATCTGCCCACCTTGGCCTCCCAAAGTGCTAGGATTACAGATGTGAGCCACCAGACAATCTGCCCACCTTGGCCTCCCAAAGTGCTGGGATTACAGATGTGAGCCACCAGGCCCTGCCTATTTAATTTTTTGTAAGATGGAGTCTCACTCTGTCACCCGGGCTGGAGTGCAGTGGTGAGATCTAAGCTCACTATAACCTCTGCCTTCCTGGGTTCAAGTGGTTCTCCTGCTTCAGCCTCCTGCGTAGCTGGGACTACAGGCTCACACTATCACCTCCAGCTAATTTTTGTTTGTTTGTTTGTTGTTTATTGAGACGGAGTCTTGCTCTGTCACCCAGGCTGGAGTGCAGTGGCACAATCTTGGCTCACTGCAACCTCCGCCTCCCGAGTTCAAGCGGTTCTCCTGCCTCAGCCTCCCTAGTAGCTGGGATTACAGGTGCCCGCCACCACACCTGGCTAATTTTTGTATTTTTAGTTGAGAGGGGGTTTCACCATGTTGGCCAGGCTGCTCTCGAACTCCTGAACTCAGGCGATCTGCCCGCCTTGCAAATTGCTGACGTTAGAGACATGAACCACCATGCCTGGCCAATTTTTTTATTTTTAGTACAGATAGGGTTTCACCATGTTGGCCAGGTTGGTCTCAAACTCCTGACCTCAAGTGATCTGCCCTCCTCGGCCTCCCAAAGTGCTGGGATTACAGGTGTGGGCCACTGCACCTGGCCAGATTTTTACTTCATCATGGAAGAGATTTCAGCCTATGGCTAAGGAAGGAGGTAATGAAAGCCTAGGGGAGGAGGTCCCCTTCTCTCAAGTAGGAGGGAAGGTAGTTGGGACAGTGGGGACAAGTGTCACCCCTACAGGAAGGAGGACAAACTTCTGGGGTCAGGGAGCAGTAAGGGCAGGGGTCCTCAAACCTCAGGCCACAGAGAAACAGGGCCATACAGCAGAAGCTGAGTGGCGGGAGAGCCAGCGAGGCTCCATCTGTATTTACAGCCCCTCCCCCTCCGCAAATTACCACCTGAGCTCTGCCTCCTGTCAGATAAGCAGCAGCATTAGAGTCTCATAGGAGTGCAAACCCTACTGTGAACCGCGCATGTGAGGGATCTAGACTGCATGCTCTTTATGAGTATCTAATGCCTGATGATCTGTCACTGTCTCACATAACCCTCAGATGGGACCGTCTAGTTGCAGGAAAACAAGCTCAGGGCTCCCACTGTTGCTACATTACGGTTGTATCATTATTTCATCATATAGTACAATGTAATAATAATAGAAATAAAGTGCACAATAAATCTTATGCGTTTGAGGCTGGTCGCGGTGGCTCATGCCTGTAATCCCACAACTTTGGGAGGCTGAGGTGGATGGATCACTTGAGACCATGTGTTAGAGACCAGCCTGGCCAACATGATGAAACCCTGTCTACTGAAAATACAAAAACTAGGTGGGTGTAGTGGCGCACACCTGTAATCCCAGCTAATCAGGAGGCTGAGGCACAAGAATCACTTGAACCCAAGAGGCAGAGGTTGCAGTGAGCCGAGATCACACCACTGCATTCCAGCCTGGGTGACAGAGCGAGACTCTGTCTCAAATACATAAATAAAAATTAAAATGTAGGCCGAGCACGGTGGCTTACGCCTCTAATCCCAGCACTTTGGGAGGCCAAGGCGGGCGAATCACCTGAGGTCAGGGGCTCAAGACCAGCCTGGCCAACATGGTGAAACTCTGTCTCTACTAAAAATACAAAAATTAGCTGGGTGTGGTGGTGCACATATATAATCCCAGCTACTCGGGAGGCTGAGGCAGGAGAAATGCTTGAACTCGGGAGGCAGATGTTGCAGTCAGCCGAGATTGTGCCACTACCCTTCAGCCTGGGCAACAAAGTGAGACTCCATCTCAAAAAAAAAAAGAAAGAAAGAAAAAAAGAAAGTGTCCAGTGTCCAGGCACGGTGGCTCACACCTGTAATCTCAGCACTTTGGGAGGCCGAGGTGGGAGGATAACCTGAGGTCAGGAGTTTGAGACCAGCCCGACCAACATGGAGAAACCTCATCTCTACTAAAAATACAAAATTAGCCAGGCATGGTGGCACATGCCTGTAATCCCAGCTACTCGGCAGGCTGAGGCAGGATAATCGCTTGAACCCGGGAGTCGGAGGTTGCGGTGAGCCGAGATCACGCCACTGCACTCCAGCCTGAGCAACAAGAGCGAAACTCCGCCTCAAAAAAGTAAAAAATAAAAAAAGTAATGCACGTGAATCATCCCGAAACCACCCCCTACCCCGGTCCGTGGAAAAATTGTCTTTCACAAAACCAGTCCCTGGTGCCAAAGAGGTTGGAGGCCACTGAGTTAGGGGACATCAGAATATCACAGTTCAGAGGTGAGCAAGAGGAGATAAGATCCAGGGTGAGGCCATGGGCATGGAAGGTTGCTGTGGTCCGGAGCCCAGGGCCTGAGAAGACAGGACAGAGAACAGGGCGTCAGACCCAATGGAAGCTTCTGGGGTGGGGAAACCAGCACCCCCAGAAGGGGTTGAGAATGGCCTCCCTTCTACCCTTTCCCAGAGCCACAGAGCTGCAGACGCTCCATCGAAGTGAATTCCAGGCTGGGCATGGTGGCTCATGCCTGTAATTCCCGCACTTCAGGAGGCTGAGGCAGGAAGATTGCTTGAGGCCAAGAGTTCAAGACTGTATCTCTACAGGAAAAAAAAAAAAAAAAAAAAGGGTGGGCGCAGTGGCTCACGCCTGTAATCCCAGCACTTTGGGAGGCCAAGGCGGGCAGATCACGAGGTCGAGAGATCAAGACCATCCTGGCCAATATGGTGAAACCCCGTCTCTACTAAAAATACAAAAATTAGCTAAGCGTGGTGGCACGCATCTGTAGTCCCAGCTACTGGGGAGGCTGAGGCAGGAGAATCGCTTGAACCTGAGAGGCGGAGGTTGCAGTGAGCTGAGATCATGCCACTGCACTCCAGCCTGGCGACAGCGAGAATCCGTCTCAAAAAAAAAAAAAAAAAAAAAAAAAGACAAAGAAAAAAAAATTAGCCGGGCATGGTGGTGCATGTCTGTAGGTCCTAGCTTCTTAGGAGGCTGAGGGGAGGATCGCTTGAGCCCAGGAGTTTGAGGTTACAGTGAGCTACAATTGCACCACTGCACTCCACCTGGGTGACAAAGAGAGAACCTGTCTCTAACTCCAAAAAAACAAACAAAAAAAAGGCTGAGGCGGTGACTCACGCCTGTAATCCCAACACTTTGAGAGGCAGAGGTGGGCCGATCACCTGAGGTCAGAAGTCCAAGACCAGCCCGACCAACATGGTAAAACCCGTTCTTTACAAAAATAAAAAAATTAGCTGGGCATGATGGCTGGTGCCTGTAATTCCAGCTACTTGGGAGGCTGAGGCATGAGAATTGCTTGAACCCAGGAGGTGGAAGCTGCAGTTAGCTGAGATGGCACCATTGCACTCCAGCTTGGGCAACAGAGTGAGACTCCGTGAAAAAATAAAAATAAATAAATAAAAATGGCGGGTGCAGTGGCTCACGCCTGTAATCCCAAGCACTTTATGAGGCCGAGGTGGGTGGATCACCTGAGGTCGGGAGTTCAAGACTATCCTGACCAACATGGAGAAACCCTATCTCTACTAAAAATACAAAATTAGCTGGGCGTGGTGGTGCATGCCTGTAATCCCAGCTACTTGGGAGGCTGAGGCAGGAGAATAGCTTGAACCCGGGAGGCGGAGGTTGCAGTGAGTCGAGATCACGCCATTGCACTCCAGCCTGGGTGACAAGAGTGAAATTCTGTCTCAAAGAAACAAAAAAATTACCTGGGCATGGCGGTGTGCACCTGTAGTCCCAGCTACTCGGGAGGCTGAGGCACGAGAATCACTTGAACCCGGAGGCAGAGGTTGCAGTGAGGTGAGATCATACCACTGCACTACAGCCTGGGCGACAGAGTGAGACTCTGTCTCCAAAAAACCAAAAAAACCCAAAGTGATTGTTTGCAAACTAAATCAGATCAGCTTCTTGTGCTAAAACCCTCCAGTGGCTTCACTGTGCTTGGGCTAGAATCCCAGACCCTCTGGCCCCTTGGGAGTCAGCCCCACCTGCTTCCCTGACCTCCTCACCTTTGCTCATTCAGCACCAGGCACCCAGGCTTCCTCGCTGTTCCTCTCGTCCACCCTCTCCTTCCTCCTCTGGGCCTTTGCACTTGCTGTTCACTCTGTCTGGAACACCCTAGCCCTGGATGTTTGCCTCGCTGGCTCCTCTCCTTCTTTAGGTGACTTCCCCCTCTCTCCCTCACATTTAACCATCTTGTCTCAATGGCTCTGTTTTGGTTTCTTTTCTTTTTTCTTTCTTTTTTTTTTTTTGAGATGGAATCTCCCTCCGTCACCCAGGCTGGAGTGCAGTGGTGCAATCTCAGCTCATGACAACCTCCGCCTCCCGGGTTCAAGCAATTCTCCTGCCTCAGCCTCCTGAGTAGCTGGGATTACAGGCACCTGCCACCGTGCTCGGCTAATTTTTGTATTTTTAGTAGAGATGAGGTTTCACCATGTTGACCCAGACTGGTCTCGAATTCCTGACCTCAGGTGATCCACCCAACTCAGCCTCCCAAAGTGCTGGGATTACAGGCATGAGCCATCACACCCAGCCTCTTTATTATTATTTTTTTAAGACAGGGTCTTGCTCTTTTGCCCAGGCTGAAGTGCAATGGCACAATCATAGCTCTCTGCAGCCTCAAACTCTGGGCTCAAGTGATCCTCCTGCCTTAGCCTCGGGAGTAGATGGGTCTACAGGCATGCACCACCTATGCCTGGCTAATTTAAAAAATTTTCTTAGGCCAGGCATGGTGGCTCATGCCTGTAATCCCAGCAGTTTGGGAGGCCGAGGCAGGTGGATCACGAGCTCAGGAGTTCGAGACCAGCGTGACCAACATGGTGAAACCCTGTCTCTACTAAAAATACAAAAAAAAAAAAAACTAGCCAGACGTGGTGGCGCATGCCTGTAATCCCAGCTACTCAGGAGGCTGAGGCAGGAGAATCACTTGGATCCGGGAGGTGGAGGTTGCAGTGAGTGGAGATGGTGCCACTGCACTCTAGCCTAGTGACAGAGCGAGACTCTATCTCAAAAAAAAATTTTTTTTTTTCTTCTGAAGAGACAGGTGGGGTCTCGCTATGTTGACCAGGCTGGTTCTGAACTCCTGGACTCAAGTGATCCTCCTTCCTTGGCCTCCCAAAGTGCTGGGATTACAGGCGTGAGCCACTGCACTCAACCTTGATGGTTCTTGTTTGCCTATTTGTTTCTTGTCTGCTTCCCTTCTCAGGGCAGGAACTGGCTCTGTCTTGGGTCACCTCTGTCTACAATAAGGCCTGGCACCAAGTAGGTGTCCAGTAAATGTTTGTTGAATGACTGAATGAAGGTGAGAAGAGCTGGAGGTTCAGAGTGAGCAGCCAGGGGAAAGGAGCCTTTGTAGTATGAGAAGCATTTTCCTACCAGTGGGAACTCTGCATGCAAAGGCTGACAAGGCTGAGAGGCAGGGAGATGAAGCTGATGAGGTGGGGAGGAATTGTGTCACTTCAGGCAATGGGGAGCCATGGAAGTTTCAAGCATCGGAGTGTCCCAGGGAAGCAGTGTCCAGGGGACATGGCTGGGTCCAGCCTCCCCACACTTGCCGAAGGCCCACACTCAATTGCCCTCACTCCTGCTGGTTCTCACTAGGCTCCCACAGCCCACTGCCTGGCTCGAGAACCTGGCCCCAGCTTCCGCGCAGAGGGCGGGACTGTAGTCCCAAGAGGAGAAGCCAAGGGCACATTCTCAGGTTCCCGGTCAGCGGGCCGGCAGCTGTGTCTTGGCCTGGCCCCAGGTCCCGCGTCCCCAGGGACTGAGCTCATGGAGGAGAAATGCAGTCCCCAGCCAAGGCAGCCAGCAGGGGCCGGGGAGGGGGCTCAAGCCCACCCCCACCATGTTGGGAACTGTGCGGCCGCAGCTGCAAGGCCATGGGAAGGGTTGCTCCGACTGCCCAGTCCCCTAGGGATCTGGACACCTTGGGTGGGTCCCACCACCGTGGCTGGAGGGCAGTGGCAGGAACCCGCAGCTGAGACCCCATCTTCGGCTGAGCGGGTGCTTTGTAGATGGGTCTTTCTTCTTCTTCTTTTTTTTTTTTTTTTGAGATGGAGTCTCGCTCTGTCTCCCAGGCTGGAGTGCAGTGGCACAATCTCTGCTCACTGCAAGCTCCACCTCCCAGGTTCACGCCATTCTCCTGCCTCAGCCTCCCAAGTAGCTGAGACTACAGGCGCCCGTCACCACACCCGGCTAATTTCTTTTGTATTTTTAGTAGAGTCGGGGTTTCACCATGTTAACCAGGATGGTCTCAATCTCCTGACCTTGTGATCCGCCCACCTCGGCCTCCCAAAGTGCTGGGATTACAGGCTTGAGCCACTGCACCCGGCGGGGTCTTTTTCTTTTTTTCTTGAGATAGAGTCTTGCTCTGTTGCCCAGGCTGGAGTGCAGTGGTGCGATCTCGGCTCACTGCAACCTCTGCCTCCTGGGTTGCAGGGATGATTCTCCTGCCTCAAGTGATTCTCCTGCCTCAGCCTCCCAAGTAGCTGGGATTACAGGCGTCTGCCACCAAGCCTGACTAATTTTTGTATTTTTAGTAGAGATGGGGTTTCACCATATTGGCCAGGCTGGTCTCGAACTCCTGACCTCAAGTGATCCGCACGTCTCAGCCTCCCCAAGTGCTGGGATTACAGGCATGAGCCACCGCTCCTGGCCGGGTCTTTCTTCTTTTAGTCTGTATTCCCCCGTGAAGTCCTCTGCCTGGGTTTTCACCGTTACTTCCCCCTCTCCCACAGATCAGGGTGTGCTGTATCAGCAGTCACAGACTCTGAACTTCCTGCCTAGTGAAATGTGTGTCCAGGGTCCTTGGTTGCTCCTAGTGATGAGGAGCTCAGCACCTCCTACAGCATCCATTCCAGCAGAAAGCCCTTTCTCAATCGCTTGAACACCGGAGGCGGAGGTTTCAGTGAGCCGAGATCGAGCCACTGCAGCCTAGCCTGGGTGACAGAATGACATTCTGTCTCAAAATAAATAAATAAATAAATAAAATAAAGAAAAAAAAGAAAGAAAGCCCCTTCTCAGATGGGCCAAGGGAGGAGCTGGCCTTTCCTTGAGGGCCCTAACTTTGCCCCTCAATCCCTAGACCCTTCTGTGGAACCATAGACCACCCCCGCCTGCAAAATTATACTGAACAGAGTGGTTTGAGGCCCCTGAAGTGGCTAAGTGGCTTTTTTTTCGGGGGACAGGGTCTCACTCTGTCACCAGGCTGGAGTGCAGTGGTGCGATCTTGGGTCACTGCAACCTCCACCTTCTGGGTTCAAGTGATTCTCCTGCCTCAGCCTCCCGAGTAGCTGGGACTACAGGCACCTGCCACCACGCCCGGCTAATTTTTTGTATTTTTAGTAGAGATGGGGTTTCACCATGTTAGCCAGGATGGTCTCGATCTCCTGACCTCGTGATCTGCCCACCTTGGCCTCCCAAAGTGCTGGGATTACAGGCGTGAGCCACCTCGCCCGGCCCTGAAGTGGCTCTTCTGGGCTGGGCTTCCCAGCTCCTTCAGCCCCTTCCTGAGTCACCAAACCGTCCTACGTCACCTGCTTTTTGCTCACTCCATGCTGGGGGATGCTGGGACCCTCAAGAAGCCTCATCCTCTGTCTAACCCCCAAGGAGCCCTCAGTCCTTTGTTTGTTTGTTTTTTGTTTTTGTTTTGAGACAGGGTCTCAGTCTGTCACCCAGGCTGGAGTGCAGGGGCACGATCTCAGCTCACTGCAACCTCCACCTCCCAGGATCAAGCAATCCTCCCACCTCAGTCTTCTGAATTGCTGGGACTACAGGTATGCACCAGCATGCCCAGCTAATTTTTGTGTTTTTTGTAGACACAGGGTTTTACCATGTTACCCAGGCTGGTCTGAAATGCCTGTCCTCAGGTGACCCACCCCCCTCGTCCTCTCAAAGTGTTGGGATGACAGGCATGAGCCCCTGTGCCCAGCCAGCCCTTAGTCTTTAAATAGGGGACAAACCAGGGTACAGACACCCCCAACCCCTTGTGAACAAGGCTGAGCCATGGAGAAAAAGGGCACCGGGAGAGCGGGGGTGTCGGGGAGAGAGCAGCGCAGACTGAGGGACAGGGAGGACTTCCCGGAGTGGTATCCCTGAAGAATGGATAGGAGGTAACCAGAAATAGAAATAAGGGGCCAGGCACAGTGGCTCAGGCCTGGAATCCCAGCACTTTGGGAGGCCAAGAGCAGGAGGATCGCTCAAGCTCTGGAGTTTGAGACCAGCCTGGGCAACATAGCGAGACACTCATCGCTACAAAAAATACAAAAATAAGCAGGGTGTGGTGCTGAGCACCTGTAATTCCAACTACTCGGGAGGCCAAGGTGGGAGGATCACTTAAGCCTGGGAGGTCAAGGCTGCAGTGAGCTGTGTTCACGCCACTGCACTCCAGCCTGGCCTATAGAACGAGACCCTGTCTCTATTAAAAATAAGTAAATAAATAAATAGAAAGAAAGAAAGAGAGCAGGCCAGGCGTGGTGGCTCACGCCTGTAATCCCAGCACTTTGGAAGGCTGAGGCGGGCGGATCACTTGAGGTCAGGAGTTCGAGACCAGCCTGGCCAACATGGTGAAACCCCATCTCTACTAAAAATACAAAAATTAGCCGGGTGTGGTGGCCCGCCCCTGTAATTCCATGGGAGGCTGAGGCCGGAGAATCACTTGAACCTGGGAGGTGGAGGCTGCAGTGAGCCGAGGTCACACCACTACTGCACTCCAGCCTGGGTGACAAGAGCGAAACTCTGTCTCAAAAAAAAAAAAAAAAAAGAAAAGAAAAGAAAAAAATAAAGAGAGCGGCATGGGCAAAGGGGTGGCCTGTGTGAGAACTGTGTGAGAAACAGCAGAACATTCCCTCTAGCTGGAAGAAAATGAATTTTTGAAGAGGTCACACTGGCTGTGAGTTCCTGCTTGGGGAGGAAGCAAAAGGGTGTTTCTGTGCAGCTGGGTGTCTCAGGCAGAGGGAAGCACCCAGGCAAAGACCATGGGAGCACAAGGCCTGCTGGTTGCATCTGGGGTTTGACATGGTGTGACAATGGTTTTTTGTTTGTTGTTTTTGCTGGGGGTTTGGTGGGGAGGGTTAGGAAGGAGAGGGTCAGTCCCGGCCCAAGGGGCCCAAATGCAGGACTGAGGGCCTTGGATTTCCTTCCTGGGTGGTAGGCATGACGCAGGACTAGATCTGTGCCTGTCCCCATGGGCCTCTTGACTCAGCACAGTCACCGTGAGTCAGTGTGTGCCCCTTCTTAGGCAACTTCTGTTATTCCTCTGCCCAACCCCTACCCCGCCCCTGTACTCCATGTGGCCGGGAGTCACTGAGACCCAGGTTCATTTTTTTTCTTTTTCTTCCTTTTTTTTTTTTTTAATAAGGTCACTCTGTTGGCCAGGCTGCAGTGCAGTGGTGCGACTCGACCATGGCTCCCTGCAGTCTGGAACTCCTAGGCTCAGGTGATCCTCCTGCCTCAGACGCCCACATAGCTGGGACTACAGGTGTATGGGGTCTCACTGTGCTACCCAGGCTGGTCTCGAACTCTAGGCTCAGGTGATCCTCCTGCCTCAGCCCCCTGAGTAGCTGGGACAACAGGTGCACACCACCACACCCAGCTAATTCTTTCTTTTCTTTTTTTGTAGAGACAGAGTCTCACTATGTGGCCCAGTCTGGTCTCAAACTCTGAGCTCAAGTGATCCTTCTGCCTCAGCCTCCCAAAGTTCTGAGATTACAGGTGTGCTACACTGTGCCCAGCCAGTTTTTTTTTTTTCTTTTGAGAAAGTCTTGCTCCAAGGCTGGAATGCAGTGTCATGATCATCTGCAGCCTGGAACTCCTGGGCTCAAGCGATCCTCCTGCCTCAGTGTCCCGAGTGGCTGGGACTATAGGCGTGCACCGCTACACCTGGCTTGAGACTTAGCTTCAAACCTCAACTTTTCTTCCAGAAAGGCTGCAGTGAGTCACTGTTTTTTTTGTTTTTTGTTTTTTTTGAGATGGAGTTTCACTATTGTTGCCCAGGCTGGAGTGCAGTGGTGCGATCTCGGCTCACTGCAACCTCTGCCTTCCAGGTTCAAGCGATTCTCCTGCATCAGCCTCCTGAGTAGCTGGGATTACAGCCACCCGCCACCGTGCCCAGCTAAGTTTTGTATTTTAGTAGAGACGGGGCTTCACCATGTTAGCCAGGCTGGTCTCAAACTCCTGACCTCAGGTGATCCACCCACCTCAGCCTCCCAAAGTGCTGGGATTCCAGGCGTGAGCCACCGCGCCTGGCCTGTCTTCTCTAAGTTATATGGCTGTACCTGTAAGATGGAAATGATTGAACATCTTCACCTCCTGCCCTCTGAGAAGCCAGGGCAAGACCAGGGGTTGTCAGTGATGCTAGCCGCTGGTCAGTCATTCAACTTTCTTCTTCTTCTTTTTTTTTTTTTGAGACAGAGTCTCGCTTTGTCACCCAGGCTGGAGTGCAGTGGCGCGATCTTGGCTCACTGCAACCTCCACTTCCCGAGTTCAAGTGGTTGTCCTGCCTTAGCCTCCTGAGTAGCTGGGATTACAGGCATGCGCCACCATGCCCGGCTAATTTTTGTATTTTTAG
Organism: Homo sapiens; assembly: GCF_000001405.40. Classification (NCBI taxonomy): domain Eukaryota; kingdom Metazoa; phylum Chordata; class Mammalia; order Primates; family Hominidae; genus Homo; species Homo sapiens. Next base: position 15,209,088 of record NC_000019.10, on the reverse strand, counting down.
TAGAGACAGGGTTTCACCATGTTGGTCAGGCTGGTCTGGAACTCCTGACCTTGTGATCTGCCCGCCTCGGCCTCCCAAAGTGTTGGGATTACAGGCGTGAGCCACTGTGCCCGGGCCTCAACTTTCATCCTTAGCACTCTCTCTCTCTCTCTCTTTTTGAGACAGCTCTGTCACCCAGGTTGGAGTGCAGTGGTGTGATCATAGCTCACTGCAGCCTGGAACTCCTGGGCTCAAGCGATCCTTCCGCCTCAGCCTCTTCTTTTTTTTTTTTTTTTTTTTTTTTGAGATGGAGTCTCGCTGTGTCGCCCAGGCTGGAGTGCAGTGGCACGATCTCGGCTCACTGAAAGCTCTGTCTCCCAGGTTCACACCATTCTCCTGCCTCAACCTCCCGAGTAGCTGGGACTACAGGCGCCCATCACCACGCCCGGCTAATTTTTTGTATTTTTTAAATAGAGACAGGGTTTCACCGTGTTAGCCAGGATGGTCTCGATCTCCTGACCTCATGATCCGCCCGCCTCGGCCTCCCAAAGTACTGGGATTACAGATGTGAGCCACCGCGCCCAGCCCCTCAGACTCTTAAGTAGCTGGGACTACCAGTGTGTGCCCATGCCCAGATAATTAATTTTTTTTTTTTTTTTTTTTTGTGACGGAGTCTCACTCTGTCACCCAGGCTGGAGTGCAGTGGCACAATCTCGGCTCACTGCAACTTCTGCCTCCCGGGTTCAAGCGATTCTCTTGCCTCAGCCTCTGAGTAGCTGGGACTACAGGCACGTGCCACCATGCCTGGCTAATTTTTCGTATTTTTTAGTAGGGACGGGGTTTCACCATGTTAGCCAGGATGGTCTCCATCTCCTGAACTTATGATCCTCCCGCCTTGGCCTCCCAAATGGTGGGATTACAGGGGTGAGCCACCACACCCGGCAATTTTAAAATTTTTTATAGAGATGGGATTTCACTATGTTGCCCAGGCTTATCTGGAATTCCTGAGCTCAAGCAATTCTTCTGCATCTGCCTCCTAAAGTGTGATTACAGGCATGAGCCACCATGCCCGGCTGTCTCTCTTTGACAATCCTTCTCTGTCTCCTTTGCTTCTTTCTCTTTCAGCCTTTAAAAATCATCCATCCAGCCAGGCGTGGTGGCTCACGCCTGTAATCCAGCGCTTTGGGAGGCTAAAGCGGGCAGATCACAAGGTCAGGAGTTTGAGACCAGCCTGGACGGTATGGTGAAACCCTGTCCCTACTAAAAATACACAAAGTTATCTGGGCATGGTGGTGCACCTGTAACCCCAGCTACTCAGGAGGCTAAGGCAGGAGAATCTCTTGAACCTGGGAGGCAGAGGTTGCAGTGAGCCAAGATTGCGCCACTGCACTCCGGCCTAGGGAACAGAGCAAGAGACCGTCAAAAAAAAAAAAAAAATCCATCCAGCCAGGCACAGTGGTTCATGCCTGTAATCCCAGCATTTTGGGAGGCCGAGGCGGGTGGATCACAAGGTCAGGAGTTCGAGACCAGCCTGGCCAAGATAGTGAAACCCTCGTTTCTACTAAAATACAAAAATTAGTCAGGCATGGTGGTGAGTGCCTGTAATCCCAGTTACTTGAGAGCTGAGGCAGAGAATTGATTGAATCCAGGAGGCGGAGGTTGCAGTGAGCTGAGATCACACCACTGCACTCCAGCCTGGGTGACAGAGTGAGACTCCGTCTCAAAAAAAAAAAAAATCATCCATCCAAAGTATTAATGGACCACTGGATAAGTAATGTGTGGTATAGCCATTCAATGAAATATTACTTAGCCATAAAAAGGAAGGAAGGCCGGGCACAGTGGCTCATGCCTGTAATCCCAGCACTTTGGGAGGCTGAGACCAGCCTGGCCAACATGGTGAGGCTCTATTAAAAACATAAATTTTTATATTTTTACAAAATAACTAGGATTATTAACTACTAAAAATACAAAAATTAGCTGAGTGTGGTGGCAAGTACCTGTAGTCACAGCTATTCAAGAGGCTGAGGCAGGAGAATCACTTGAACCCAGGAGATGGAGGTTGCAGTCAGCTGAGATCGTGCCACTGCACTCCAGCCTGGGTGCAACAGAGTGAGACCCTGTCTTGAAAAATAATAATAATAATAATAATAATAATAATAATAATAATAATAATAACTAATAAAATAAAATTAAAAGGAAGGAAGCCAGGATCCATGCTAAAACATAGAACAACCCCAAAAACATGATGAGAAGCCAGACACAAAAGGCTACATAGTGTATGATTCCATTGACACGAAATGCCCAGAATGGATAAATTCATAGAGACAGAAAGTGGATTAGTGGGTTCGAGGGCCTGGAGGAGGGAGAATGGGGAGGTTTCCGTTTGCAGGGATGGAAATGATCTGTAACTAGAGGTGATGGTCACACAGTATGAACACACTTTAAAGTGGTCAATGTTTAATTTTACGTTATGTGAATTTTACCTCAATTAAAACAAAAAGCACCAGAGAAGGCCAGGAGTTGTGGGGCGTGTCTATAGTCCCAGCTACTCGGGAGGCTGAGGAAGGAGGGTCACTTGGGCCCAGGAGTTCGAGGCTGCAGTGAACTATGATTGTGCCACTGGAACCCTGCCTGGGAAACAGAGCAAGACACTGTCTCAAAAAAAAAAAAAAGAAAGAAAGAAAGAAAACAACAACAACAACAACAAAAACAAACGAACAAAAAAAGAAAGCAAAACAATGATCAGGAGAAATAATCAAAAGATGCTAAAATCTATGGGGGAAAGCTTATTGGGCAGTAGGATATTCACACGGTCTCAATGTATCTCCCTATAGGGTAACTGTTCTGCGATGCTAGCCCCTGGTCAGTCATTCAACTTTCATCCCCCTTACAAAGGGGGAGGATGGAAAGGGAGGAAAATGGCACCCTTATAGCAGGGAAACTTGACCAACTTTGCCCCGGTGATGACAGCTGAACATCACCAATGCTGGGAACTGATGTCAGGAACCTCCTGATACGATGCACCCAGGAGGACCCAGCAATGCTTCTGTGGTTTCTGCCGAAGATGCACAGCCTGAACCTGATCACGAGGAAATGGCAGGCCAGCCATTCCTGCACAACTGCTGGCCATTCTGCACAACTGACCTCAGCTCTCCAAAAACGTCAGTGTCATGAAAGACAAAGAAAGACTGAGGAACCAATTCAGATTAAAAGAGACCAAGAGATATAAGGATTAGAATTAGCCGGGTGTGGTGGCTAGCTACTTGGGGGGCTGAGGCAGGAGAATCCTAGCTACTTGGGAGGCTGAGGCAGGAGAATCCTAGCTACTTGGGAGGCTGAGGCAGGAGAATCAGTTGAACCTGGGAGGTGGAGGTTACAGTGAGTCAAGATCATGCCACTGCACTCCAGCCTGGGTGACAGTGCGAGACTCTGTCTCAAAACAAAAGGATTAGATGCAACTCATGATGCAGCATTAGATAGATCCTGGGCCAGCAAAGAAACATTGCAATAAAAGATTTAATTTTTTTTTTCTTTTCTTTTCTTTTTTTTCTTGAGACTGAATCATGCTCTTTTGCCCAGTCTGGAGTGCAGTGTCGCGATCTCGGCTCACTGCAAACTCCGCCTCCTGGGTTCAAGCGATTCTCGTGCCTCAGCCTCCCGAGTAGCTGGGATTACAGGCACTTGTCACCATGCCCAGTTAATTTTTGTATTTTTAGTAGAAAAGGGGTTTCACCATGTTGGCCAGGCTGGTCTTGAACTCCTGACCTCAGGTGATCAGCCGGCCTCAGCCTCCCAAAGTGCTGGAATTACAGGTGTGAACCACCGCGCCCGGCCACTAATTTTTTTGTTTTTTCCCCACAGGGTCTTGCTCTGTTATCCAGACTGGAGTGGAGCAGGATGATCACAGCTCACGGCAGCCTCGACCTCCTGGGCTCAAGCAACGCTCTCACCTCAGCCTCCTGAGTAGCTGGGACTACAGGTACGCGCCACTATATGCTGCTAATTTTTTCTAGTTTTGTAGAGTCAGGAGTCTTACTATGTTGCCCAGGCTGGCCTTGAACTCTTGGCCTCAACCAATCCTCCCTCCTTGGCCTCTCAAAGTGTTGGGATTACAGGTGTGAGCCACTGTACCTGGCCCAATAAAGGATATTATTTGGGCAACTAGCAAACTTTGAATACAGACTGGGGCAAAAACTGTAGTATGTTTATGAAAGAGGATACCCTTGTTCTCAGGAAACACACAGCAAAGTATTTGAAGGCAAAGGAACATCATATCTACAACTTACTCTCAAATCATTTAGCCAAAAAATGCATATATGCATATGTGTATAACGTATATGTACACATATATGTCAAATGTGGCAAAATGTGGGTGGTTGGTGAATCTGGACAAAGGGCTTATACAAGTTGTTCACGCTATTCTGTAACTCTCAGTTTTTTTTGTTTTTGTTTTGAAGTTGGTTCTTGCTCTGTTGCCCAGGCTGAAGTGCAGTGACATCCAGGCTCAAGTGATCCTCCCACTTCAGCCTCCCAAGTAGCTGGGACTACAGGCGCTCACCACTACACCCTCTTAATTTTATTTTAATTTTTTATAGAGATGGAGGTCTTGCTATGTTGCCCAGACTGATTTTGAACTCCTGGCCTCAAACAATCCTCCTGCCTCAGCCTCCCAAAGTGCTGGGATTACAGACATGAGCCACCACGCCCGGCATGCAACTTTGTGTGTTTTAAATTATTTTCGTCTTTTTTTTTTTTTCCTTTTTGTGGAGAATGGGGTCTCACTATATTGCCCAGGCAGGTCTTGAACTTCTGGGCTCAAGCTATCCTCCCGCCTCTTGCCTCCCTGAGAGCTGGGATTACAGGCATGAGCCACCGCGCCCGGCTTAAATTATTTTCAAATAAAAAGTTAAAAAAACTGTGGCCAGGCATGGCGGCTCACGCCTGTAATTCCAGCACTTTGGGAGGCTGAGGTGGGTAGATCACTTGAGGTCAGGAGTTCGAGACCAGCCTGGACAACATGGTGAAACCCTGTCTCTACCAAAGACACAAAAATTAGCCGGGCATGGTGGTGTGGGCCTGTAGTTCCACCTACTTGGGGTGGCGGGGGGAACTGAGGCAGGAGAATCGCTTGAACTCAGGAATGGAGGTTGTAGTGAGCCGAGATGGCACCACTGCACTCCAGCCTGGGCCACAGACCGAGACTTGGTCTTAAGAAAAAAAGAGTCCGGAAGTGGTGGCTCATGCCTGTAATCCCAGCACTTTGGGAGGCTGAGGCAGGTGGATCACCTGAGGTCGGGAGTTGGAGACCAGCCTGACCAACATGGAGAAACTCTGTCTCTACTAAAAACACAAAATTAGCCACACATGGTGGCACATGCCTGTAATCCCAGTTACTCGGGAAGCTGAGGCAGGAGAATCACTTGAACCCAGGAGGCAGAGGTTGTGGTGAGCCGAGATTGCGCCATTATACTCCAGCCGGGGCAACAAGAGCAAAACTCCATCTCAAAAAAAAAAAAAAAAAAAAAAAAAATTGGCCCGGCGTGGTGGCTCATGCCTGTAATCCCAGCACTTTGGGAGGCAGAGGAGGGTAGATCACCTGAGTTCAAGAGTTTGAGACTAGCCTAGCCTACATAGTGAAACCCTGTCTCTACTAAAAATACAAAGCCAGGCATGGTGGTGTGTGCCTGTAATCCCAGCTACTTGGGAGGCTGAGGCAGGAGAATCAGTTGAACCCGGGAGGCAGAGGTTGCAGTGAGCCGAGGTCGCGCGCCACTGCACTCCAGTCTGGGTGACAGAGGGACTTTGTCTAAAAAAAAAAATTGTCTGAAGATTTCTGGGATACCCATGTGACTATCTCCTACCAGAATGGTTCTCCCATGCTCAGCCATACCTGCCTTGTAGGTGACCCCCTCAAACCCAGCATCTCTCCTCCACCCAACCCATTCCTTCTTCCAGCATCCTTATCACCAAGCCAGATACCAAGGAGTAAGCATGGCTCCTTTCTCCTCTTAACCTCTGGCCTGTACACGTTCCCTTCCAACTCTGTCCCTTCCTGTTGGCATGGGCCAGTCCCTCTGCTGGGATGACTTCCCTCCAGCTCAACTTTCAGGGCCAAGCCCCACTGGACGTCCTCTTGGACGCCCTCCAGGGTGCACCCCCAGTCCATAGAACAGAGTGTGATACAGGGCTGGAGCCTTAGCCATACTTGTTGAATACATGAATGAACAAATAAATAACCCTCCCAGGCAAAGTCCTCACCCACCACCCGTGTACCCCAGGCCCTTCCCAGATTCCATGCCTTTCTCTGGCCCAGCCCTGAGCCCTCCACACTGGGTGTGTGTGCGTCTAGCTTTTTCTTCCCCAGACTGGAAGTTCCTCCAGGGCTGGGCTCCAGGCCTCTCAGGGTCCCCATTCTTTCCACAGGAACAGAGGGAGCTGCAGGAAGCCTGTGCAGCATGACTGATTTGGGAAAAGGCAATTGATCAAGGCTGGGCGTGGTGGCTCACGCCTGTAATCCCAGCACTTTGGGAGGCTGAGGCGGGCGGATCACTTGAAGTCAGGAGTTCGAGACCAGCCTGGCCAACATGGCAAAACCCAGTCTCTACTAAAAAAATAGAAGCTGGGCGCGGTGGCTCACGCCTGTAATCCCAACACTTTGGGAGGCTGAGGCAGGCAGATCACGAGGTCAGGAGATCGAGACCATCCTGGCTGACACGGTGAAACCCCGTCTCTACTAAAAATACAAAAAAAAAATTAGCAGAGCATGGTGCCAGTTGCCTGTAGTCCCAGCTACTCGGACGGCTGAGGCAGGAGAATGGTGTGAACCCAGGAGGCGGAACTTGCAGTGAGCGGAGATCATGCCACTGCACTTCAGCCTGGGCAACAGAGCGAGACTCCGTCTCAAAAACAAACAAACAAGTAAACAAAAACCCAGAAAAAATTAGCCACGTATGGTGGCGCACACCTCTAATCCCAGCTACTTGGCAGATTGTGGGGGTGGGGGCTGAGGAAGGAGAATCGCTTGAACCTGGGAGGTAGAGCTTGCAGTGAGCCAAGATAGGGACACTGCACTCCAGCCTGGGTGACAGAGCGACACGCTGTCTCAAAAAAAAAAAAAAAAAGAAAAGAGAATTAATCAAATTGAGCCAGATAGGCTGAGGCCCAAAGCTGTGTGGGGTATGGGGGTGGGACTAGGGGGCTGGGGTGACCCTTTGAGAGTCACAGAGGAAGTGGGTTGCTTTCTGGGAGGGCTGAGAGCAAGAAGAGTTTGTGTGTGCATGTGTGAACACACACACATGCATGTGACTCCTAGTACGTGTCTGAGGTCTGAGGCTGCAAATGTAGTCCTAGGCTCCTGGCCTGGCTGAGTGAGTTTTAGCGGTTTTTTGTTTGTTTGTTTTGTTTGAGACAGGGTCTTACTCTGTTGCCCAGGCTGGAGCGCAGTGGTACGATTTCGGCTAAGTGCAACCTCAGCCTCCTGGGTTGAAGCGATTTTCCTGCTTCAGCCTCTCGAATAGCTGGGACTACAGGCGTGCGCCACCACGCTCAGCTAATTTTTGTATTTTCAGTAGAGTCCGGGTTTCACCATGTTGGCCAGGCTGGTCTCCAACTCTTGACCTCAAGTGATCCATCCACCTCTGCCTCTCAAAGTGCTGGGATTACAGGCCGGAGCCACCGCGCCCGGTCCGACTTTTAGGTTTGTGAATGTTTTAGATCAGAGTCCTGGGGAAGCTTGGTGCATGGGCTTGCATTTGTGCGTCCGTGGCTGTGGGTCCATGAGCCTCTCAGGACGTGACTGGCCTCAGTTTCCAGAGTTTCTGGGAGGCTGTGTTTTTTGTCCCGGCTCCAGAGGTGTCCGGCTCTGGGTGTGTACTGGGGGATGGGGATGGGGTGCGTGGGCGTTCACGAGGTTGGGTGTGCCCGCCACTCCGGGTTCTGCCCGCGTCTCACTGCATGCTCGGCCTGGGTTTCCGAGGGTCCGCGCGTCCCAGGCTGTGCGGGTGGAGGGTGGGCAGGGACCCCGGGAGGCCGGGCGGGGGGCGGGGGCGCGCTGGGCCGGCCCCGGGGCGGGGCGAGCCTTCGAGGGCTGGGGGCGGGGCGGCCCGGCCGCCTCACTTCGGCGAAGTTGGCGGCGCGGAGGCTGGCCCGGGACGCGCCCGGAGCCCAGGGAAGGAGGGAGGAGGGGAGGGTCGCGGCCGGCCGCCATGGGGCCGGGGGCCCGTGGCCGCCGCCGCCGCCGTCGCCCGATGTCGCCGCCACCGCCACCGCCACCCGTGCGGGCGCTGCCCCTGCTGCTGCTGCTAGCGGGGCCGGGGGCTGCAGGTGAGGGGCCGGGACCTGGCGGATGGGACGAGGGCGGCAGAGGGGGAGTGCAAGAACCCCCAAGGCCGGGGCTGGCGGGGGTTCATGGGAGGCAGGAACCAGGGTCGGGGAAGGGGCGCAGGAGCCCCGGGCTTCATGCCAGTCCTGGAGGACCCAGAGATTCAGAATGGGGAGGACCCCAGAGGCCCAAGGAACAGGGACCCTTGAGCGATTAGAGCTGAAGATGAAGGGACCCAGGAGTCCGAGACTGGGAGCTCGAGGTGCGGGGATCAGGGACTCGAGGTGGGGGGGTGCGTACAGAGTTCGGGACTCGTCCCCATCCAACTCACGCCTGGAGTCCTGGGTAGGTTATGATTGGGGGCCCAGGTACTTCTAGGCCGGGGACCTCTCGCACAAAAGCCCCCCCACCCCGCCCCCGACACCCCGGGCGGGCTGGGCCAGGCGGGGGGTGGGGAGGGGGCGCGAAGTTCTGGGAGCTCTGAACTCGGAGAAAACTTCCCAGGCCGGCGCGCAGCAAGACCCGGAGCCGGATTCCGAGCCGGAGCCTCGGCGGCGCGCGCGCCCCCTCCCCCGCCCGCAGCCCGCCTCTCTCCTCTGGCCGCGGGGACCCGGAGGCCCTGGGACCCCGCCCCTGCGCGGGGAGGGGAAGGGGCGAGGGCCCACGTGCTCCCCTTCGGCTCCAGCGCCCCCTCCCCGCGGCCAGAGCCCCTCCCCAGCCGGCCAGGGGCCCCCGCCCCTCCTCCTCTCCTCCCTCCCCTCCCCCGCTCGGGACAATGGCCGCGCCGTCTAGACACCCCCTCCCTCCGGCCGGCCTCGCGCTTTCTTTGCCAGACAAAGCGGGACCCGCGGCTGGGCCGGGGAGGGGGCTGCGGGGGCACCCCCCTCACCGCTACGGGAGGCCTGGTGGGCGGGGGAGGGGCGCGGGCCAAGGCCCCTGGCCAGGGGTCCCAGACGCCAGTGTGGGGCTTGGCGCTGGGCGGGGTGGGGGTTTCGGGAGTGAACGGCCTCCCCAGCCCAGCCCCGGGGCCCGGACGGGGCAGGACCAGGCAGGAGCCGCCGCCTCCGCCGGACCAGCGGCGCACACACATGGCCTGTGACACACTCGCTGGCACACATAGCTCTAGGTCACGTAACAGAGATGCAAACCTGCACACACACAGCACACTCGCAGACTTGCACACCTGGCTCAGGAAAGACACACCCAGCTGCACGCACACAGCTCACACATTGACATACATACACACACAAATATGATCACACAGGTGTGGCACACACGCTGCCTGCACACACTCAGACAGCACATAGATGAAGACTCAAGGACATGCTTACACCCAGCTCACACATGCAGATGGACAGACACAGCCAACCCATACACAGACACAGCGGTGCACACACAGGTCACACCAACACACAGCTGTACACCCATTTACACGGTTCACATACACAGACGCACAACAGACACAACCTGCATACAGACAGCACACACATCTGTGCATTCCCGTATGGGTGTGCAGCTCATACACACACGGGCACACCCACGCTGACATGCATGTACAGATAGACTCACATGTAGCTGCAACTGAGACACAATAGATGCATGCCCAAATCCACATACAGACACACAAGCCCGTGCACGCACACACATGTGGCTCACATTGCCTACAGCTCAGGGTGGCCCATAGCCCATGTTATGGGACCCACAGTGTGAGTTCACGAACACCCACAGGTCCTGGTGTGGGTGATGGTGTCCAGTCGGCTTGTCCTGTGAGGAAGGGGCATATACTATGTAGGCCCATGCTCAGGTTCAGCTCGACAGATTCTGTAACTCACCCTCTTGTTTTCTATTTCTTTCTGTCCTTCTCTCTCTCTTTTTTTTTTTTGAGACAGTCTCACTCTGTTGCCAGGCTGGCATGCAGTGGCGCAATCTCGGGTCACTGCAACCTCCGCTTCCCAGGTTCAAGCGATTCTCCTGCCTCAGCCTCCCGAGTAGCTGGGACTACAGGCGTGCGCCACCACACCCAGCTAATTTTTTTTTGGAGATGGAGTTTGGCTCTTGTTGCCCAGGGTGGAGTGCAATGGCGTGATCTCGGCTCACTGGAACCTCTGGCTCCTGGGTTCAAGCGATTCTCCTGCCTCAGCCTCCTGAGTAGCTAGGATTACAGGCACCTGCTACCATGCCCAGCTAAGTTTTATATTTTTAGAACAGACTGGGTTTCACTGTGTTGGCCAGGCTGGTCTCGAACTCCTGACCTCAGGTGATCCACCAGCCTCGGCCTCCCAAAGTGTTGGGATTAGAGGCGTGAGCCACCATGCCTGGCCGCTTTCTATTTCTTTCTGTCCTTCTCTGTCTTCTCCTGGTCTATCTGCTTCTAGTTCATTCTCACGTCTTTGTGTTTTTCTCGATCTTCCTTCCTCTCTCCATCACCCTCTCTCTGACAAGAGCATGCATGGACACACGCACTGTGTCCCCACACCTGATCGCATGCACACAGTTCTCCACTAGCTCAGACCCAGCCACACCCTGGACCCTTCTGGCAGGACAGTTAGACTATGCCACACCCTAGAGGGACACAGCCCTTAGGGATGGCGATGTTGGACAGGGCAGCACATGCCTTGTGCCAGTTGCCCCTCCCTTCAACACACACCCTATTCCAGCAACGCCCAGCGCTGGCTGCTTCTGGAGATGCTGTGCTCACTCGTGGGTACATGCCTTGGTCCCTCTCCCAAGAGCACCACGCAGGCCTGCCTGGCTGGAGTAGATGCCCATCAGGGAAAGGAAGACCCGTGGCCCTAGGATCCCCTGCCCCTTCCCCTTCTATTACCCCTGAACCTGGGCATGAAGCCCCAGACCTCCCTGTAACACTCAGCACCCTTACTTCCTGTCTCAGCACACCCCATTCTGCACATCTTAGCTCTGGCAGCTTCCCGAGCCCCCACATCTGGCATAAGACAGCCCCTCCTCCTGCCTTCCCCTGCTTTGTGGTTCCCAGGGCTCGAGCTGGCAGGGACAGCTGCAGCCTCAACAGCTGGGGCTGGGGCGGGGGGGGGGGGGGCGTGGGAACTGTGGATGGGGGGACTCCCTGCACCCGCAGAGACGCCCCCATCCCCATGCAGCTGTTGCCTGGTGGAGGGAGGGAGGGGGTTTGTCACTTGGGCCTGGGGTTCCTGGGCACCTGGCTGATCCTCCACCTTCCTTCACCCCCACACAGCCCCCCCTTGCCTGGACGGAAGCCCGTGTGCAAATGGAGGTCGTTGCACCCAGCTGCCCTCCCGGGAGGCTGCCTGCCTGTGAGTGCCTGGCTCAGAGCCACCAGTGGGCCCTGTGTGTGGGGGCGGGGGGGAGGGGCGATTTGTCTTCTCCCTCTGCCTCTGTGTTCACCATGGATGTCTCTACCACTTCCTACATGTGTGTGGCTTGGGCAACCTCTCGTGTTTCCCCATTGGAAACTGAGCAGGGGCTCTGCACTCTTCTTGGCATGGGTTCAAGTCCCACATCATGTTGCTGACCGGCTAGGAATTAAACTCTTTACATCTCAGTGTCATGGTCTGCAAAATGGGCCCAGTAATCCCAGCTTCACAGTTCTTGGCCACCTGAGGTCACATGTAAAGCCCCCCATGAGGTAGGTATTATTCAATCAACAAACTATCAGGGACCAATCGCAGTGGCTCACACCCTCCACACCCCTCCCATCTCTCAACATTTAGTGGAGGGGGACATAGGAGGCCTATAATACAGTCCCACACTGCCACTTACTTGCAGTGTGACTTTGGGCTAGTCACTTTCCCTCTCTGATCATCATTGCACCTGTGAAATAGGGAATGCTTCACTGGCGACTGTGAAGGGACTTAACAATTTAGTTGTTAGATATCACAAGGAAAGGCAAGAGGTTGCAGGGAGCAGAGCAGAGGCTGGGAAGGAGCTGAGCAGAGACAGAAAGAGCTCAGCTTAAATTCTGGGGTCTGGGACACCTTGAGCATTCAAGCTTTTTGAGCCTCAGTTTTTGCATCTGGAAAATGGGGCAATAATAACTCCTGTATGCACTCAACATACATTAAGTGCTCAGAATATAGTATGTGCTCAACATAGGCATTATTATAAATAATAATGGTAGGGAGGCAGGAAACAGGTGCTCTAAGGAGAAGTCTCTCAAGGTTATGAGGAAATGCTTGGCTCCTTTCATGCTATCATTAATAACAGCAGTTCACGCAGTAGCCATTGATTGACTCATTAATGTATTCATTTATTCAGCATCATGTGTGCCAAGTACTGGGTCAGGCCCAAGCTGGGTGGGTCTGGGGTGATTTTAGACCAAGAAGAGCCGCTTTGAAGTTACACCTACATTTATTTTGGCTGGATCTCCCACTCGGGCTCACCTTTGTGGAGGGCTGAGCCTGACTGAGAGGGTTTCCTGGGGCTGGGGGGTCTGCGAAGGTGGGGCGGGATGGGGAAAAGTGTGACCTTACCTGGAGCCACACACCTGGGAGGGCGAGCGGTGGGGCCGGGCGCCTGCGCAGTGGAGCTCCGCGCCTGGAATACTGCCGACAGGTGAATGAGCCCGCGGCTGCCCCGCCCTTCGACAGGTGAATCACCGGCGCGCGCGGCGCCCGGAGCCCGGATCGCCCGGAGTGGAGCGGGCTCAGTCCTCCGAGTTGGGCTGTGGGAACCACTCCCTACACGCCCTCCACCCCCCACGAGTCTCTTTCACGGTCTCAAATACTCAAGTCCTTTCAAGGATGCCCCCAAGCTGTCACCCCACCCATGGATCCCCCAAGACCCCCCCACCGGCAGCAGACGTTTCCATAGACCTCGTCCCCATCTCCTAGTCCTCGCCTCACCCGCCGTGCCCCCCCTAACTAGGTCTGCGCTCCCCCCTCCGTCTCCCCCAAAGCTTAGGCCGTGGGGCGGGGCGCGGGCTGGGGCTGGAACCGGCCCGACCGGTCGGCGGGGGCGCGGGACGCAGAGCGTGGGAACCCGCCCGGGGCGTCGGGAGGGGGCCCGCGCGGGTCGCGCCCTGCCTGGCGGTGGGACCAGCTATCCTCGGCGCCCAGCGCAGCGCGCCCCCTCCCGACGCGCGGTCGGGGCCGCAGTGGTCGCCCTGCGGGCCTTGGAGGAGGGGACGGGAGCTGTGCCCTCCCCTCCCAACGCCACCCGCACCCTTGCTTGCTCGGCCGTGCCCCGACCTGTTTCGCTGGGGGCCGGGGTGGGGGGGATCTTGCGGGTGACGCTAAGGACTGAGTCAGCCGCTTGTTGAGTTCAGTCTCAGGCGTCTGGGACAAGCCGGAGGGAGGACAACCGCGCCAGGGGCGGAGGGTGGGGGGATAGAGGGGGGTGAGGGTTGGCAGCGTCGGGGGGCGGAGCTTGGACTCTCTGGCTTCTCTAAGCCCCTCCCTCTGACCCCGCTAGTGCCCCTTGGAGATTTCCAGTCTTAAGACCAACCCCTCCCAGTTCCAATTCCTCACACTCCTTGGTGGGCTTGGGGAGGGGGCTGCAGGTTGAAGGACCACCCCCCCAAGATGAGGGTACCAACAGTGGTGTCAGTACCCCAACCCTCCACCCTCCCATCCCTGCATAAGAGGCTATATAAGTCCCAGAGAAGGGACTTGAGGGTTTGTGGGAGCCCTGCTGTCTGTCCCTGTGAGTGAGAGTTGCTCATTTCCGCGTGGGATGCTGTGGGTTGGTGTCTTGAGTGCTGGCCAGGCCATGGCGTCCAATTGGTGTGTCCCTCTGTGTGTGTAGCTGTGGTTTCTGGGCCTGTCTGTGTGTGCCTGCGTGGTTGTGTCCTGGGGTCTGAGACTTCTTTTTTTCCTTTTCCTTTTTTTTTTTTTTTTTGAGATCGAGTATCGCTCTTGTTGCCCAGGCTGGAGTGCAGTGGCTCGATCTTGGCTCACTGCAGCCTCTATCTCCTGGGTTCAAGCGATTTTCCTGCCTCAGCCTCCGGAGTAGCTGGGATTACAGGCATGTGCCACCACACTTGGCTGATTTTTTGTGTTTTTAGTAGAGACGGAGTTTCTTCATGTTGGTCAGGCTGGTCTCGAACTCTTGATGTCAGGTGATCTACCTGCCTCGGTCTCCCAAAGTGTTGGGATTACAGGCGTGAGCCACCGCGCTTGGACATGGGTCTGAGACTTTTCATTTGCTGTTCCCTCTGCCTGGAATGCCGTTCCCCAGAAAGCCCCATGGCCCCCTCCTTACCTTCATATGTCTGTGAAAATAGAATTCCACCTCCTTGACCCCATCATTCTATCCCCCTTAACCCTGTGGTTTAGCTTCCTACGGCTGCTCTAACAAATTACCATAAACTGGGTAGCTTGAACAATAGTAATTTATTCTCTTGAAGTTCTGGAGGTTGGAAGTCTGAAATCAAGATATCGGCAGGGCTGAGCCTCTCCATGGGGACCCAGGGGAGAACTGACTCTTGCAGCTTCTGGTGGCTCCAGACGTTTCTCAGCTAGTGGCTGTCTCACTCCAGTCCCTGTCTCTGTCTTCTTCTCTTCCTTCTCCCACCCAAATCTCCTTTTGGCTGCCTCTCTCTTTTTTTGAGACAGAGTCTTGCTCTGTCACCCAGGCTGGAGTGCAGTGGTGCAATCTTAGTTCACTGCAGCCTTCAACTCCCAGGCTGAAGCGATCCTCCCACCTCAGCCTCCCAAGAAGCTGGGACTACAGGTGTGAGCCACCACGGCCAGCTAATCTTTTATTTTTATTTTTTAGGTGGAGTCTCTCTCTGTCACCCAGGCTGGAGTGCAGTGGCACGATCTCGGCTTACTGCAACCTCCGCCTCCCAGGTTCAAGCAATTCTTCTGTCTCAGCCTCCTGAGTAGCGGGGACTACACGAGTGCACCACCACGCCCAGCTAATTTTTGTATTTTTAGTAGCGACGAGGTTTCACCATATTGGCCAGGCTGGTCTTGAACTCCTGACCTCGTGATCCGCCCACCTCAGTCTCCCAGAGTGCTGGGATTACAGGCATGAGCCACTGCGCCTGGCCTGTTTGTTTTTTTTGTTTTTTGTTTTTTTTTGAGATGGAGTCTCCCTCTGTCAACCAGGCTGGAGTGCAGTGGTGCAATTTCGGCTCACTGCAACCTCCGCCTCCTGGGTTCAAGCGATTCTCCTGCCTCAGCCTCCAGAGTAGCTGGGATTACAGGCTCCTGCCACCATGCCCGGTTATAATTTTTAATTTTTTTTTGTGGAAAAAAAGTCTCCCTATGTTGCTCAAGCTGATCTTGAACTTCTGGCTTGAAGTGATTATCCTGTCTTGACCTCCCAAAGTGTTGGGATTACAGTTGTGAGCCGTTCTCTTGTATGAACACTTGTCACTGAATTTAGGGCCCAGGTGGATAATTCAGAATAATCTCATCTTGACATCTCTCATTTAATTACATCTGCATAGCCAGGCCTGGTGGCGTGTGCCTGTACTCCCAGCTACGCAGGAGGCTGAGACAAAGAATTGCTTGAACCCCGGGAGGTGGAGGTTGCAGTGAGCCAAGATCGCGCCACTGCACTGCAGCCTGGGTGACAGAGCAAGACTCCGTCTCTTAAAAAAAAAAAATTACATCTGCAAAGAGCCATTTAAAAAAAAAGTAAGGTCCTAGTCACAGGTTCTGGGACATGGATGTCATCTTTTCAGGGGCTGTGACCCAACTGACTACATCCTTCATGGTTCTGATGGCTTTCACCGCCCCCTGCCAGCATGTTGTATATTAATTTGTTATTCGTATATGTTCTCCTTGCCTGGACCTGGCTGCAAGGATCCAGAGGGATAGGGACCCCTTTCATTGTGTTTGTTGCTGTATTTGTATTGCTCAGAACGTAGTAGGTACTCAGTAAATATTCGTTGCATGAATGAATGTGTGTTTTGTTTTGTTTTGTTTCTTTGAGACCGAGTCTTACTCTGTCACCCAGGCTGCAGTGCAGTGGCGCGATCTTGGCTCACTGCAACCTCCACCTCCCGAGTTCAAGCAATTCTCCTGCCTCAGCCTCTTGAGTAGCTGGGACTACAGGCACGCACCACTATGCCCAGCAAAGTTTCGTACTTTTAGTAGAGACGGGGTTACACCATGTTGGCTAGGCTGGTCTTGAACTCCTGACCCCAAGTGATCTGCCCGCCGCAGCCTCCCAAAGTTCTGGGATTACAGGCGTGAGCCACTGCTCCCAGCAAATGTGTGTTTGCTGCTCTGTTTCCCTGCGTGTTTCTTGCCTGTCTTGTGTGTATCTTTGTGTCTGGGGCCATCCTGCCCTGTGCTGCCCAACCAAGCCATCTCTGCCCACAGGTGCCCGCCTGGCTGGGTGGGTGAGCGGTGTCAGCTGGAGGACCCCTGTCACTCAGGCCCCTGTGCTGGCCGTGGTGTCTGCCAGAGTTCAGTGGTGGCTGGCACCGCCCGATTCTCATGCCGGTGCCCCCGTGGCTTCCGAGGTGAGAGGGGAAGAGTCTGGAGGGGAGGTAGTCGGGGGTGTGGTCAGTCCTAAACTCACCCTGTCCTGGTCCCTCCAGGCCCTGACTGCTCCCTGCCAGATCCCTGCCTCAGCAGCCCTTGTGCCCACGGTGCCCGCTGCTCAGTGGGGCCCGATGGACGCTTCCTCTGCTCCTGCCCACCTGGCTACCAGGGCCGCAGCTGCCGAAGCGACGTGGATGAGTGCCGGGTGGGTGAGCCCTGCCGCCATGGTGGCACCTGCCTCAACACACCTGGCTCCTTCCGCTGCCAGTGTCCAGCTGGCTACACAGGGCCACTATGTGAGAACCCCGCGGTGCCCTGTGCACCCTCACCATGCCGTAACGGGGGCACCTGCAGGCAGAGTGGCGACCTCACTTACGACTGTGCCTGTCTTCCTGGTGAGTGAGCCCTACTCAGGAGAGTCAGAGGGGTGGGCGTGGGGACAGCAGGCCAGCCCGGCGGTGACCATCCTTGCCCCCTTCCCTGCTAGGGTTTGAGGGTCAGAATTGTGAAGTGAACGTGGACGACTGTCCAGGACACCGATGTCTCAATGGGGGGACATGCGTGGATGGCGTCAACACCTATAACTGCCAGTGCCCTCCTGAGTGGACAGGTGGGCACTGCGGCCAGAGGGAGCGGGGAGGCAGGCCTCGGGTGGACATGCGCCAGGTGGCTGGACTGCTGCATCTGTGTGCCACAGGCCAGTTCTGCACGGAGGACGTGGATGAGTGTCAGCTGCAGCCCAACGCCTGCCACAATGGGGGTACCTGCTTCAACACGCTGGGTGGCCACAGCTGCGTGTGTGTCAATGGCTGGACAGGCGAGAGCTGCAGTCAGAATATCGATGACTGTGCCACAGCCGTGTGCTTCCATGGGGCCACCTGCCATGACCGCGTGGCTTCTTTCTACTGTGCCTGCCCCATGGGCAAGACTGGTGAGTGGCCGTTTTCTCTGCAGGGAGCCATGGATGGTTTTTAGTGAGGGCAAATAAGAAGTCTGACTTGAGTGTTAGAAAGATTATGCTAGGCTGGGCACAGTGGCTCATGCCTGTAATCATAGCACTTTGGGAGGCCCAGGCGGGCGGATCACTGGGGTCAGGAGTTTGAGACCAGCCTGGTCAATATGGTGAAACCCCATCTCTACTAAAAACACAAAAATTAGCTGCGCGTGGTGGTGCACACCTGTAATCCAAGTCTCTCAGGAGGCTAAGGCACGAGAGTAGCTTGAACCCAGGAGGTGGAGATTGCAGTGAGCCAAGATTGCACCACTGCACTCTAGCCTGGGTGACAGAGTGAGACTCCTTCTCAAATTTAAAAAATAAAAAAAAGATTATGCTAGGCCGGGCACAGTGGCTCATGCCTGTAATCCCAGCACTTTGGGAGGCCAAGATGGGAGGATCGCTTGGGCCCAGGACTTTGAGACCAGCCTGGACAACATAGTGAGTTTTTGTCATCTCTACAAAAACTTGGTAGGCTGGGTGTGGTGGCTCACGCCTGTAACCCCAACACATTGGGAGGCCCAGGCGGGTAGATTGCTTGAGCTCAGCAGTTTGAGACCAGCCTGGGCAACATGGCAAAACCCTATCTCTACCAAAAATACAAAAAATTAGCTGGGCATGGTAGCGCATGCCTGTAGTCCCAGCTACTCTGGATGCTAAGGTTGAAGGATGGCTTGAGCCCAGAAGGTGGAGGTTGCAGTGAGCTGAGACTGAGCCACTGCGTTCCAGCCTGGGAGACAGTGTAAGACCGTGTATAACAAAAAAGAGAGAGAAAAAAAGATGATGCTGGAGGCAGCTTTAGTGGGGAAGTGTAAGCCTGGGAGAGGCTTGGGAGGAGGCTGACATTGCACTGATGCATGGCTCAGGGCAGAAGCCATTGGAATGGGGAACTCCTGGGAGTTACCTTTGGAAGTGGCAAAGATCAGAGAACATGTTTAGGAGGGGAACGTGGATATAGAAAGAGGGCATACATGGCAGAGGGTATTACAGAAGCAAAGGCTGGAGTGTAGGACCCTTTTGTAATCAGAAGAGTCAAAAGGTTTTAAAACAATATGTGGATGTTTGCAATTTATTTTATTTTATTTTTGAGACAGAGTCTCACTTTGTCACCCAGGCTGGAGTACAGTGGCATGATCTCAGCTCACTGCAGCCTCGACTTCCTGGGCTCAAGTGATCCTCCCACCTCAGTCCCCCAAGTAGCTGGGATTACAGGCGTGCGCCACCATGCCCGGCTAAGCTTTGTATTTTTTGTAGAGACGGGTCTCACTATATTGCCCAGGCTGGTCTTGAACTCTTGAACTCAAGCGATGCACTCACCTTGGCCTCCCAAAGTGCTAGGATTATAGACGTGAGCCACTGTGCCCGGTCTGCAATTTATTTTTAAATGGTTTAGAAAAGAAGATTGGTAGATTAAGCTAACAATAGTTGAATCTAGGTGGTGGGTATATGAATGGTCAACTTTTCTGTATGTTTGATAGTTCTCATAATAAATGGATTAAAAAAGCAGCTACTAAATACTGTTTAGGTTTAATAAAAACAACAGGCCGGGCGCGGTGGCTCACGCCTGTAATCCCAGCACTTTGGGAGGCTGAGGCAGGCAGATCACCTGAGGTCAGGAGTTTGAGACCAACCTGGCTAACTTGGTGAAACCCCGTTTCTACTAAAAATACAAAAAATTAGCCGGGCGTGGTGGCACATGCCTGTAATCCCAGCTACTCGGGAGGCTGAGCAGGAGAATCGCTTGAACCTGGGAGGTGGAGGTTACAGTGAGCCAAGATCGCGCTATTGTACTCCAGCTTGGGCAACAAGAGCGAAACTTCGTCTCAAAAAACAAAACAAAACAACAACAACGACAAAACAATACTCAAGGGGTGTGGGCCTTTTGGGCAGAGCAGGAAGATCTGCCTATGACTTCTGCTTACCACTTCCCAGGCCTCCTGTGTCACCTGGATGACGCCTGTGTCAGCAACCCCTGCCACGAGGATGCTATCTGTGACACAAATCCGGTGAACGGCCGGGCCATTTGCACCTGTCCTCCCGGCTTCACGGGTGGGGCATGTGACCAGGATGTGGACGAGTGCTCTATCGGTGAGGGGAGCTCCATCGTCTGTGAATGGGCTGGGAAAGAGGGGAGAGGAGGGGGTCCCGGCCAGCCACGCCCACACCGATCGCACTCCATCCGGCAGGCGCCAACCCCTGCGAGCACTTGGGCAGGTGCGTGAACACGCAGGGCTCCTTCCTGTGCCAGTGCGGTCGTGGCTACACTGGACCTCGCTGTGAGACCGATGTCAACGAGTGTCTGTCGGGGCCCTGCCGAAACCAGGCCACGTGCCTCGACCGCATAGGCCAGTTCACCTGTATCTGTATGGCAGGTGGGTGGTGGGCGTGGCCTGGGCGGGTCCTGAGGCAGGGGGCGGGGACAGAGAAGCCCGCGGATGGGGAGCTGAGCAGAATGGGGTGTAAGTGGGTTTGGAGTGGGACCCTTAGAGACTGAAGCCTGGAAGGAGGTGGGGTCAGGACCAGAAGGGAATACTGTGTGATTCTGGGGGCTTGGTCAAATGGAGTCAGTAGAACCTCAGGTGGGCTGGGAGTATTCTTGGCCTTAGGACCCACTCGGGAAGGGGTTGGGGATAGAGAGGCAGAGTCGGGGCTGCTGTGAGGTCAAGGTGAAGCCTGCAGACAAGCTTGCAGTAAGCCTGGGCAAAGGCTATGGGGGGCCCTGGGGCTGGGGGCTGGGGACTGGGGAAAGGGCTTAGTCTGAGGACTGGGGAGAGGAGGAGGGGTTTGAAGGCAAGGCCTCTGCGGACACCCATGAGCCTTGGGCCAGTTGGGACCACGGCTGGGTGACAGTCCAGCCTGTGGCTGAAAATTAAGGTTGGGCTGGGAGTGTAGAGGTGGGGACGAAGGCTCGGGGGATTTGTCGATGAGTAGGAAGGGAAGTACCTCCTTCCTTGCACCCCGTTCACACCATAGGGTAGCCCCCGCTTTCCTAAGCCCTATTCCCTGCCCCAGGCTTCACAGGAACCTATTGCGAGGTGGACATTGACGAGTGTCAGAGTAGCCCCTGTGTCAACGGTGGGGTCTGCAAGGACCGAGTCAATGGCTTCAGCTGCACCTGCCCCTCGGGTGAGGACCTCAGGAGAGGGAGCCCGAAAAGACATGTCTGGGAAGGGGCAAAAACTCCAGGGTGGGAACCTGTAAAACCACGTTAGCGGATAACTTACAATAGAAACCATATGTTATGAAACATTGAAGTTAATTTAAATCCAAGTAAATGGGTTTTTCCACCCAAACAAGGCGGGGCTGGAGAGGGGTGTACTGCTCTCACCCTTTCTGGGCCTCTGCTCATCCCACTCCCCACCCCAGGCTTCAGCGGCTCCACGTGTCAGCTGGACGTGGACGAATGCGCCAGCACGCCCTGCAGGAATGGCGCCAAATGCGTGGACCAGCCCGATGGCTACGAGTGCCGCTGTGCCGAGGGTGAGGCGGGCCAATGACAGTCCGACAAGAATCAGGAGGCGGGGCTTGTGGGCGACAGGGCCAATAACAGACTTGGGGAGAGCTTGGGGGCGGGGTTGTAGCAAGGCAGGACCCAGTGACAGAGTTGGGGGGTGGAGCCAATAATGCATATAGACTGACATAAGGCTACGTGTGGAGCCAAAGTGTTGGGCTGGGCACAGGGTGCCTGTAACTGAATGGGGAGGGCCCAATACCTTCCCCTGGCACCTGCCATGTGCTCCCATCTCCAGTGGAGGGTGGGGCAGAAACAGGGCTGGAGGTGGGGCCACAGCTGGGGGCGGGATTTAACTGTGGGAGAGTCTTGGCTAGGGACAAATTCTGGAGCTTGTAGTGGGGTGGAGTGGAAGTAAGTGGGGGGTGGGGGGTGGGGCCTGTATTGAGCTCGCCTCCTGACAGCTTGATGGGCAGGGCCTCAGATAGAGCTGAACCAGGATTGGTCCGAGGCCTCACTTGTGGGCAGGCCCCTGGCAAGTGGGCGGAGCCTGACCCTCTTGGCCCCACAGGCTTTGAGGGCACGCTGTGTGATCGCAACGTGGACGACTGCTCCCCTGACCCATGCCACCATGGTCGCTGCGTGGATGGCATCGCCAGCTTCTCATGTGCCTGTGCTCCTGGCTACACGGGCACACGCTGCGAGAGCCAGGTGGACGAATGCCGCAGCCAGCCCTGCCGCCATGGCGGCAAATGCCTAGACCTGGTGGACAAGTACCTCTGCCGCTGCCCTTCTGGGACCACAGGTGGGACCGGGGGCTGGGGCAGAAACAGCACACCTGGAGGGGCACAGAGGGTTTGGGAATGGTGCATCTAGTGGGGCACAGTGGTGGCCACTCCATGCCATGTTCCTGGCCCCTAGGTGTGAACTGCGAAGTGAACATTGACGACTGTGCCAGCAACCCCTGCACCTTTGGAGTCTGCCGTGATGGCATCAACCGCTACGACTGTGTCTGCCAACCTGGCTTCACAGGTGGGCAAGTGGCTGCCATGAGAGGGGGTCCTTAGATCGAGGGTGAAGTCACTCGTCTCTGTGGGCCTGTTTTGCCCGTATCTTTGCAGACTCTTGTCCAACGAGGTTGTCCGTGCTTTGCCCTGAGTCTGTGCTGTCTCATTGGCATAAGGTTGTTTCGAGATTATTCTGCAGGCTGGGCGCGGTGGCTCACGCCTGTAATCCCAGCGCTCTGGGAGGCCAAGGCAAGTGGATCACTTGAGGTCAGGAGTTCGAGACCAGCGTGGCCAACGTTGCGAAGCCCCATCTCTACTAAAAATACAAAAATTAGTCGGGTGTGGTGGTGGGCGCCTGTAGTCCTAGCTACTCGGGAGGCTGAGGCAGGAGAATTGCTTGACCTCAGGAGGCGGAGGCGGCAGTGAGCCAAGATTGTGCCACTGTACTCCAGTCTGGGCGACAGAGTGAGACTTCATTTCAAACACACACACACACACACACACACACACACACACACACACATACAAAAACAAACAAAAAGATTATTCTGGAACATAGATGAAAGTGTCCAAACTCAGTGACTAGGTTATTTCTGAATGGGTCTAAACTAATCCTTAGTGGAAATGAATGTGACTTTGCTAGGTGTGTTGGCTCATGTCTGTAATCCCCCAGCACTTTGGGAGGCTGAGACATGAGGATCACTTGAGCCCAGGAGTTCGAGACTAGCCTGGGCAACATAATGAAACCCTGTCTCTACAAAAAATAAACACACTCCCAAAGCCAGATTAGTCAATACGTAGATAAACACGCACACACATGCACACACAATTAGCCAGACGTGGTGGTGCGCAACTGTAGTCCCAGCCACTCGGGAGGCTGAGGTGGGAGAATCGCTTGAGCCCAGGAAGTGGAGGCTGTGGTGAGCTATGATCATGCCACTGCAGTCCAGCCCGGGCGACAGAGTGAGACCCCATCTCAAAAAATAAGAAGAAGAAGAAAAGAAAAAGAAAGGGACTTCATGGAAGTTTGGGGACCAGAATGATCTGGGGCAAGTCAGCTCTTGGTTGAGGAGGCGGGTGTCCTAATCTGCACAAGAGCTGATGCGTTATGAAAAAGAGGTCATTGCTCGGGGGTGTGGGTGTGCTAAGTGGGGTCACGTCGTCCCTCCCTGGTTGTCCCTGCTGACTTTGTTCTGAGATGAGATTGCTTGTGTACTCCCCAGGGCCCCTTTGTAACGTGGAGATCAATGAGTGTGCTTCCAGCCCATGCGGCGAGGGAGGTTCCTGTGTGGATGGGGAAAATGGCTTCCGCTGCCTCTGCCCGCCTGGCTCCTTGCCCCCACTCTGCCTCCCCCCGAGCCATCCCTGTGCCCATGAGCCCTGCAGTCACGGCATCTGCTATGATGCACCTGGCGGGTGAGGGCCCTTCTCAGCCTCAGACACTGCCCCCTCTCCCTGGCCCACCTCCCTGGCCTGACTACCTTCCCCTGCCAGGTTCCGCTGTGTGTGTGAGCCTGGCTGGAGTGGCCCCCGCTGCAGCCAGAGCCTGGCCCGAGACGCCTGTGAGTCCCAGCCGTGCAGGGCCGGTGGGACATGCAGCAGCGATGGAATGGGTTTCCACTGCACCTGCCCGCCTGGTGTCCAGGGTGTGTACCTCACCTTCCCTCTGCAGCCCCACCAACACCATGGGCCTTCTCATCTCTCTTCTCCTCTACTCTCTCCTCCCGCTATGTTAGCTTCTTTTTTGCTTTCAATCATTTCCCTCCAGGAGCTTGGGAGGTGGGTATCAAGGTGGGGACCCTGGGGTTGGGGGAGGTGGGGGGAGATGGGATCAGGGAGTCCCTCAAGGCTATCTCTGCTTCCCTCTCTTCCACCCCCAACAGGACGTCAGTGTGAACTCCTCTCCCCCTGCACCCCGAACCCCTGTGAGCATGGGGGCCGCTGCGAGTCTGCCCCTGGCCAGCTGCCTGTCTGCTCCTGCCCCCAGGGCTGGCAAGGTATGCCACCTGCTTCTCTTCCCTCCTCCTCTCCATCTCCTCTGCCCCCTACCCTATCAGGGATGATGCTGGGGATCCAGAGAGGGACCCATCCCCAGCCCTGCCTTTGAGAGGGGCTTCCTTCTTGGAAGGACAGAGCTGGACACTGATATGCAGCCTGTGTGGGTCAGCCCTTGGAAGAGGAAGAGTTATGGGGCTAGAGATGCTGGGACTTAGGGCGGGGTTTAGGGTACAGCTTCCTGGAGGAGCAGACCTCATAGTAGGTATTTGCCACCTACTGAGACAGGGAGACGGCCATTCTGAAACTGCATATGCAAAATGCCCAGACACGAATGACAGCACGGCTTATTTTGCCTTCACCCATCTCGGCCTGCAGGTTCTTCCTGAGCCCCAGGTCCCTGAGACCCTGCTCTGTACCCTGTAACCCTAGGTGTAACCTTGCTCCCTACCCCCAGGCCCACGATGCCAGCAGGATGTGGACGAGTGTGCTGGCCCCGCACCCTGTGGCCCTCATGGTATCTGCACCAACCTGGCAGGGAGTTTCAGCTGCACCTGCCATGGAGGGTACACTGGCCCTTCCTGCGATCAGGACATCAATGACTGTGACCCCAGTGAGTGCAGGGGAGCTCTTGGGGGTGCTGCTCTGGGGAACACAGTCATTAAGCTTGAACTGTGTGCCTGGCACTGTGCTGTCATTTCATCTTCACAGTTATCTTACTTTTCCCGTTTTATTTATATGGAAACTGAGGCCCGAGGAGGTTGAGTGACTTCTTGTGCAAGCCCATGGAACGAGTTAGGGAATGAGCTGGGCTTAGAACCTTGGAGTCTGTGTGCTGCCTCTTTTTTTTTTTTTTTTTTTTTTTTTTTTGAGACAGAGTCTTAGCTCTGTCGCTGGAGTGCAGTGTTGCAATCATCGCTCACTGCAACCTCTGCCTTCTGGGCTCAAGCACCTCAGCCTCCCCAGTGGCTGCGACTATAGGCGCACACCACAGCGCCCAGCTAATATTTTGTGTTTTTTGTAGAGACGGAGTTTCGCCATGTTGCCCACGGTGGTCTCCAATTCCTGGGCTCAAGCAATCTACCTGTCTCCACCTCCCAAAGTGCTGGGATTACAGGCGTGAGCAACCACACCCGACCTAAGTGCACTGTCTTTGAGAGCAATCGAGTTAATATCATGTGCAAAGTATGAGATAAAAGGCCCCCCAGAGGCCGGGCGAGGTGGCTCACACCTGTAATCTCAGCACTTTGGGAGGCCAAGGTGGGCGGATCACCTGAGGTCAGGAGTTTGAGACCAGCCTGGCCAACATGGAGAAACCCCATCTCTACTAAAAATACAAAATTAGCAGGGCATGGTGGCGCATGCCTGTAATCCCAGCTACTTGGGAGGCTGAGGCAGGAGAATCACTTGAACCTTGGAGGTGGAGATTACGGTGAGCTGAGATTGTGTCATTGTACTGCAGCCTGGGCAACAAGGCATAACTCCGTCTCAAAAACGAACAAACAAACAAACAAACAAACAAAAAGGGGTGCTGCCAAACAGATAAATAACACAAGCCACATATGCAATTTTAAATTTTCTAGTAGCCACATTAAAAAATAAACAGAAATGGGAGATATTAAATTTAATATTTTATATTTATTTATTTATTATGTATTCAGAGTGAGGCTCTGTCGCCCAGGCTGGAGTGCAGTGGTGCGATCTTGGCTCAGTGCAGTCTCGAACTCCTGGGCTGAGGCATTCCTCCTGTCTTAACCTCCTGAGTAGCTAGGATTACAGGCACTCACTACATGCCTAGCTAATATTTTTATTTTAATTCTGTAGAGATGGGGTCTCACTGCGTTGTCTAGGCTGGTCTCAAACTCCTGGCCTCAAGCCATCCTCCTGCCTTGGACTCTCAGACTGCTGCCACTGTGCCTGACCAAATTTAATATATTTAAATTTAATTTATTGAATGTATATAATCGGCTGGGCGCAGTGGCTCACACCGGTAATCCCAGCACTTTGGGAGGCTGAGGCAGGTGGATCACCTGAGGTCAGAAGTTTGAGACCAGCCTGACCAACATGGAGAAGCCCCGTCTCTACTAAAAACACAAAATTAGCTGGGCGTGGTGGCACATGCCTGTAATCTCAGCTACTCAGGAGGCTGAGGTAGGAGAATCACTTGAACCCGGGAGGCGGAGGTTGTGGTGAGCTGAGATCGTGCCATTGCACTCCAGCCTGGGCAACAAGAGCGAAACCCCATCTCAAAAAAAATAAAAATAAAAATAAAAGTAAATAAATAAATAAATAAATAAATGTATATAATCTATTTAACCCAATATATTAACATATCATTTCAACATGTAACCAGTATAAAATTGTTAATGAGATATTTTACATTGTTTCCTTTTTTTTTTTTGAGACAAGTTCTCACTCTGTCGCCCAGACTGGAGTGCAGTGGTGCGATCATGACTCACTGCAGCCTTGACCTCCCAGGCTCAAGTGATCCTCCCGTCTCAGCCTCCCCACTAGCTGGGACTACAGGTGTGCACCATCATGCCCAGCTAATTTTTGTATTTTTTATAGAAATGGGGTCTTGCCATGTTGCCCAGGTTGGTCTCGAACTCCTGAGCTCAAGTGATCTGCCCACCTCGGCCTCCCAAAGTGCTGGGATTACAAGTGTGTGCCACCACGCCCAGCCTATTTTTTTTTTCATACCAAGTCTTCAAAATCTGAAACCCAGTATGTATTTTACATTTATAGCACATCTCCATTTAGTCACAATTTCAAGGACTCAGTAGCCACATGTGGCTAATGGCCACTGTCCTTGTCCTGTTCCAAGCACAGGAATTAGATCAGGCACAATTAGCAGCGTTTGCTTGGCAGCTTAAAGGGACCTTTTGGTTTTCCCAACATCCTGCCCTTGCCACATAGGTGAGGTTTCCAGATAAAGGAGGGGACGAGGCCACAGAAGGGGATGGATTTAGATTCCTCTGACCAAATGCACCCCATCCCAGTTGAACCTGGTTTCCTCCTGAATTCTTCTCAATCCAAGGCATATCCCAGTCAGACTGGGCTAATGGGGGCAAGGTAGGTGACCAGACCGCCTTCCTCCTGTCCGCAGACCCATGCCTGAACGGTGGCTCGTGCCAAGACGGCGTGGGCTCCTTTTCCTGCTCCTGCCTCCCTGGTTTCGCCGGCCCACGATGCGCCCGCGATGTGGATGAGTGCCTGAGCAACCCCTGCGGCCCGGGCACCTGTACCGACCACGTGGCCTCCTTCACCTGCACCTGCCCGCCAGGCTACGGAGGCTTCCACTGCGAACAGGACCTGCCCGACTGCAGCCCCAGGTGGGCGGGGCCTCTGCTTGGAGAGCAGGGACTCTGGCTTGGGATGGGGCCTGGGACCTGGGACGAAGTGGGGACAGCAACGACTTGGGGGAGTCCTCAGCTTGGTACCCACTGCGGACTCTGATGACTGATGGGGCAGGGCCAGGGAAGGAGCAGGGCGTCTGTTTGGAGCTCACCTTGGAGTCTCTGGTGCCTGAGAGGGCATGGCTTCCAGGTGGCTCTCACCTTAGGGCTGAAGTCCCTGGTGAATTGGAGCTAAGGGACCTGATTGGCTTCTGCTGGGGCTGCAGCTTCTTGCCGAGATAAGGGTCAGGGAGTGGGACGTCCCCAGCGCTAACAGCGGGACTCAGGAAGGAGGGCAGGGCCTGTGAGGGGGCGGAGCCTGATCCTCCCTCCCACTCCTTCCGCTCCAGCTCCTGCTTCAATGGCGGGACCTGTGTGGACGGCGTGAACTCGTTCAGCTGCCTGTGCCGTCCCGGCTACACAGGAGCCCACTGCCAACATGAGGCAGACCCCTGCCTCTCGCGGCCCTGCCTACACGGGGGCGTCTGCAGCGCCGCCCACCCTGGCTTCCGCTGCACCTGCCTCGAGAGCTTCACGGGCCCGCAGTGCCAGGTGGGTGGAGTTACTGGGGACCTGGGGGAGGAGCCTGCCTGGGATCCTAGGAGGGAGAAGCCAAGTCGGGGCACAGTTTCTCCCAGACTACCCCCCACCCCACAGTACTGACTCTGAGTGCTTCCCCTCCAGACGCTGGTGGATTGGTGCAGCCGCCAGCCTTGTCAAAACGGGGGTCGCTGCGTCCAGACTGGGGCCTATTGCCTTTGTCCCCCTGGATGGAGCGGACGCCTCTGTGACATCCGAAGCTTGCCCTGCAGGGAGGCCGCAGCCCAGATCGGTGAGTGGGAGCATGTGGGCGGGCGTGTGGGGCCTTGGGAAGGGGCTCATGCACGTACCTCCTGCTAGTGTGAGCCGAATGGGGGTGCCACAGAGCCTATGGGGCATGATGGGGTGTGTGGCTGAGTGGTGTGGGTGTGTGAGCATGTGACAACTGGCCGGGATGGTGTGTGTCTGTCACTGTGAGACAGCAGGGATGGTGTGTGTGCTACAGGGTGTGACCGAGCTGCTGTGAGCGTTGAAGGCATGTGTGTGTATGTCAGTGATGAGACCTTGCCTGCTGGGGGGATGTGTGACAACCTGATGGAGTGTGGGTGCGATCCTGGGGACTCATTCCACCAAGGATGTTGAATGATCTGTGTGATGGAGGCAGAAGGGGGATGTATGGGGTTACCTCTGTTCCTGTGCCACTCTCCTCTTTGCAGGGGTGCGGCTGGAGCAGCTGTGTCAGGCGGGTGGGCAGTGTGTGGATGAAGACAGCTCCCACTACTGCGTGTGCCCAGAGGGCCGTACTGGTAGCCACTGTGAGCAGGAGGTGGACCCCTGCTTGGCCCAGCCCTGCCAGCATGGGGGGACCTGCCGTGGCTATATGGGGGGCTACATGTGTGAGGTAAGGGGGCGCTCCCCAGGAGAGGGAAGAGGAGGTGGGCATGCTTGGGTGCGTCTGGGCACACATTTCTGTGTGGCTTGGTATGGGTATGTCTCTAGATATGTCTGAGTTTTTGCTTTTGTGACTCTTGGTGTATCTGTGGGTGTCACTCTGGGTAGATCTGGGGTGTTTTTTTATTTGTTTGTTTTTTTGAGACAGGTTCTCACTCTGTCACCCAGACGAGTGCAGTGGCGCGATCTCAGCTCACTGCAACCTTTGCCTCCTGGGTTCAGGTGATTCTTCTGCTTCAGCCTCTCATTATAGCTGGGAGTACAGGCACCCACCACCACGCCCAGCTAATTTTTGTATTTTTCATAGTGACAGGGTTTCACCATGTTGGCCAGGCTGGTCTCGAACTCCTGATCTCAGGTGATCTGCCCACCTCGGCCTCCCAAAGTGCTGGGATTACCTACTGGTAGTGCGCTGAACATCTGTGTGTGTCCTTTTGTGCTGGGGTTCTTTGCGTCTTCATGGGTATGTCCAGGTGGGTCTGTGTCCCACTAAGCTGAGTGGGTCCCTCTCTTACCCCACTGAAGTGTCTTCCTGGCTACAATGGTGATAACTGTGAGGACGACGTGGACGAGTGTGCCTCCCAGCCCTGCCAGCACGGGGGTTCATGCATTGACCTCGTGGCCCGCTATCTCTGCTCCTGTCCCCCAGGAACGCTGGGTATGCCAGGGCCAGGGTTGGGGGGACAGGATGAGAGGCTGTCTTCATTCCCTCTTGACCACCCCTCGTTTCTTCCCCCAGGGGTGCTCTGCGAGATTAATGAGGATGACTGCGGCCCAGGCCCACCGCTGGACTCAGGGCCCCGGTGCCTACACAATGGCACCTGCGTGGACCTGGTGGGTGGTTTCCGCTGCACCTGTCCCCCAGGATACACTGGTTTGCGCTGCGAGGCAGACATCAATGAGTGTCGCTCAGGTGCCTGCCACGCGGCACACACCCGGGACTGCCTGCAGGACCCAGGCGGAGGTTTCCGTTGCCTTTGTCATGCTGGCTTCTCAGGTAAGCGTTGGCGAAGGGGCTGGCCTGGGACCCCGCCTGTCATTCCCCCATTGTGGCTGATCTACATGCTCCCGCTCGCTCAGGTCCTCGCTGTCAGACTGTCCTGTCTCCCTGCGAGTCCCAGCCATGCCAGCATGGAGGCCAGTGCCGTCCTAGCCCGGGTCCTGGGGGTGGGCTGACCTTCACCTGTCACTGTGCCCAGGTAGGTGTGGGTGGCGGCCTTTGGAGGAGGAGTAGGGGCGTGGCCTCTGGAGTAGTAGGGGCGTGGCGTCTAGGAGGAGGATGTGGCTTTAGGGGAGACATCGAAGGGAAGGGAGTTTCTGGAAAATGCTGACATTTCCGCCGGGTGTGGTAGCTCACACCTGTAATCCCAGCACATTGGGAGGCCGAGGCGGGAGGATCACTTGAGGCCAGGAGTTAGAGACCAGCCTGGGCAACATGGTGAAACCCCGTCTCTACTAAAAATATAAAAATTAGCCGGGCGTAGTGGCAGCTGCCTGTAATCCCAGCTACTCGGGAGGCTGAGGCAGGAGAATCACTTGAACCCGGGAGGCGGAGGTTGCAGTGAGCCATCACGCCATTGCACTCCAGCCTGGCGACTGAGTGACACTCCGTCTCAAAAAACAAAGAAACAACCCCCTGCCCCGACATTTCCTGGAGGTTTGAAGGGAAAAGGGTGAGGATGGTGATTGGGGGGCGTGGCCTCCTGGGATGGCAGGGCTTATCTGCCAGGTGGGGTCTCCAGTGTGGAAAGGGGAGCGGTTGGGTGGGACATGGGGAGGTTGAGGGGGTCTCAACCTTCCTTAGTCTTGACCTCTTCTCTTCCCCCTCTCTCCCCTTGACTCTTCTTTTCCCCACTCCTCCATTTCTTCTCCTCCTTCCCTCCACTCCCCACCCTCATTTTTATCCCTCCCTCCCCAAACCCGACCCCCAGCCGTTCTGGGGTCCGCGTTGCGAGCGGGTGGCGCGCTCCTGCCGGGAGCTGCAGTGCCCGGTGGGCGTCCCATGCCAGCAGACGCCCCGCGGGCCGCGCTGCGCCTGCCCCCCAGGGTTGTCGGGACCCTCCTGCCGCAGCTTCCCGGGGTCGCCGCCGGGGGCCAGCAACGCCAGCTGCGCGGCCGCCCCCTGTCTCCACGGGGGCTCCTGCCGCCCCGCGCCGCTCGCGCCCTTCTTCCGCTGCGCTTGCGCGCAGGGCTGGACCGGGCCGCGCTGCGAGGCGCCCGCCGCGGCACCCGAGGTCTCGGAGGAGCCGCGGTGCCCGCGCGCCGCCTGCCAGGCCAAGCGCGGGGACCAGCGCTGCGACCGCGAGTGCAACAGCCCAGGCTGCGGCTGGGACGGCGGCGACTGCTCGCTGAGCGTGGGCGACCCCTGGCGGCAATGCGAGGCGCTGCAGTGCTGGCGCCTCTTCAACAACAGCCGCTGCGACCCCGCCTGCAGCTCGCCCGCCTGCCTCTACGACAACTTCGACTGCCACGCCGGTGGCCGCGAGCGCACTTGCAAGTGAGCCCATCCACCCGATCGATCCGTCTGTCTATGCATCCATCCCAGTCTGTTTGTCCGTGGGCCCTGCCTCTCTTTCCACCTGCCCATCCACTTGCCCCGTCTGTTTCTCTGTGCACTCTATCTGCCCATCGGTGTGTCCCACGTGTCTGTCCGTGTGTCTGTTCATCCATGTGCTCTGTCTATCTTGTTCTTGTTTCTATCTGCCTATGCACTTCTCTGCCCCGTTTGTCTGCCCTTTTCTCCATCCAATAATTACTTTTTTTTTTTTTTCCCGAGATGGAGTCTTGCTCTGTGGCCCAGGCTAGAGTGCAGTGGCGCGATCTCGGCTCACTGCAACCTCTGCCTCCCGGGTTTAAGCAGTACTCCTGCCTCAGCCTCTGGAGTAGCTGGGATTACAGGTGTGAGCCACCGTGCCCAGCCGAATTCCTTTTTTTTTTTTTTTTTTTTTTTAAGACGGAGTCTCGCTCTCTTGCCCAGACTGGAGTGCAATGGCTCCATCTTGGCTCACTGCAACCTCCGCCTCCCGGGTTCAAGCGATTCTCCTGCCTCAGCCTTCCGAGTAGCTGGGACTACAGGTACCTGCCACCACGCCTGGCTTTTTTTTTGTATTTTTAGTAGAGACAGGGTTTCACCATATTGGCCAGGCTGCTCACGAACTCCTGACCTTGTGATCCGCCCGCCTTGGCCTCCCAAAGTGCTGGGATTACAGGTGTGAGCCACCGCACCTGGCTCCTTTTTTTTTTTTTTTTTTTTTTTTTTAAGACAGGGTCTTGCTCTGTGGCCCAGGCTGGAGTGCAGTGGTGTGATCTTGGCTCAGTGCAATCTCTACCTCCTGGGCTCAAGTAACCCTCACACCTCAGCCTCCCTAGGAGCTGGGACCACAGGTGTGAGCCACCGCGCCCGGGTAACTTTTGTGCTTTTTCTTAGAGATGGGGTTTCGCCATGTTGTCCAGGCTAGTCTTGAACACCTGAGCTCAAAGCAATCCACCCAGCTTAGCCTCTCAAAGTGCTGGGATTGTGGGCCTGAGCCACCACATCTAGCCTAAAAATTCCTTTTATTGGCCGGGCACAGTGCTCACGCCTGTAATCCCAGTACTTTGGGAGGCAGAGGAGGGCAGATCACCTGAGGTCAGGAGTTTGAGCTTGGGCAACATGGTGAAACTCCGTCTCTACTAAAAATACAAAATTAGCCGGGTGTGGTGGCACATGGCTGTAATCCCAGCTACTCAGGAGGCTGAGGCAGGAGAATTGCTTGAACCTGGGAGGTGGAGGATGAGGTGAGCTGAGATCGTGCCATTGCACTCCAGCCTGGGCAGCAAGAGTAAATCTCTGTCTCACCAAAAAAAAAAAAAAAAAAAAAAATTGCTTTTGTTCCTCTGTGTACCCAACTGTCTTCCTCCACTCCTGTTTGTCCATCCTTGGGCCGAATCTGTCCATCCATGCACTCTTTTTGCTCCTCTATATGGCTATCTGTGGGTGCCCCTGACTATCTCTGCCCCTCTTCTGCCCCTCTCTCTGTCTGTCCTAGGCAGTCCATCTGTCCATCCCTACACCCTGCCCCTTCTGTCCTCTGCGTACCTCTCTGTCTGCTTGGAACCCTCCACCCCCTTAATCTCCACATCCTCATCTTCTCTGCTTTCCCCTCACTCACTCTGTTCCAGCCACCCTGGCCTCTCTGCTGTTTCCCAGATACCCCAGGCTTGATCCCATATCAGGGCCTTTGCACAAGCTGTTCCTACTGCCTGGCTGTTCCCTTCCCCCACATGGCTCCTCCCTCACCTCCTTCAAGTCTTTGCTGAAATGGTGGTACCTTCTCAGTGAGCACCTCCCTGGTCACCCCCAGCCCTTCCTCTGCTTTATTTTTCTGCTTAGCATTTAATTCCATCCAGCACTATGTGTGTGCGTGCGTGTGTGTGTGTGTGTGTGTGTGTATATACATATATATACATATATATATATATATATGTATTTTTTTTTTTTTTTTTTTTAGACAGGATTTCTCTCCCATTGCCCAGGCTGGAGTGCAGTGGTGTGATCTTGGCTCACTGCAACCTCCACCTCCTGGGTTCAAGCTATTCTCCTGCCTCAGCTTCCCGAGTAGCTGGGATTACAGGCGCCCGCCACCATGCCTGACTAATTTTTGTATTTTTAGTAGAGACGGGGGTTTCACCATTTTGGCCAGGCTGGCCTAGAACTCCTGACCTCAGGTTATCCGTACACCTTGGCCTCCCAAAGTGCTGGAATTAGAGGCATGAGCCACCGCACCCAGCCTGTATTTTTATTTTATTGATGAGTAATGGAGATGCTGTATATTTGGCTCATGTATCTCCCTTACTATCTGTCTTCACCCAGTGGAATGCCAGCTGCACGTGGACCAGGAATTGTGGCCGGGCCTTATCCTTGTGCCTGCAGCAGTGCCCAACACATGGTAGTCAGTTAGTATTTACTGATTAATTAATAGTTAGCCAGTGAGGCCGGGAGTGTGGTGTGGGTTTGTAGTCCTAGCTACTTGGGAGGCTGAAGAGGGAGGATAATTTGAGTCCAGGAGTTTGAGATTGCAGAGAGCTATGATTGCACCACTGCACTCCGGCGTGGGCAACAGAGCAAGACCCCATTTCAATCAATCAATTTAAAAAAATATTATCAAGGGCTGCGTGCGGTGACTTATGCCTGTGATCCCAGCACTTTGGGAGGCCGAGGCAGGTGGATCACCTGAGGTCAGGAGTTCAACAGCAGCCTGGCCAACATAGTAAAACCCCGTCTCTGCTAAAAATACAAAAATTAGACGGGCGTGGTGGTGCATGCCTGTAATCCCAGCTACTTGGGAGGCTGAGGCGGGAGAATCGCTGGAACCGGGGAGGTGGAGGCTGCAGTGAGCTGAGAGATCATGCTACTGCATTCCGGCCTGGGCGACAGA
Organism: Homo sapiens; assembly: GCF_000001405.40. NCBI lineage: Eukaryota > Metazoa > Chordata > Mammalia > Primates > Hominidae > Homo > Homo sapiens. The sequence goes on along the minus strand of NC_000019.10, from coordinate 15,174,604 downwards.
GCAAGACTCCGTCTCAAAAAAAAAAAAAAAAAATTATCCAGTGAATGGCAAGATTTGCAGAAAGCCTGGCATGGGTCCGTATATTCCAGTCCCCTGTGCAAGCCTTGTCTGGAGTCTCTGTACTCTACGGTGTGAATGCATGGAAGGGGATTGTCTCCTCTGACCCCTGACTCCGCCCCTCTCTGCCTCACCCTTCCCCACCAGCCCGGTGTACGAGAAGTACTGCGCCGACCACTTTGCCGACGGCCGCTGCGACCAGGGCTGCAACACGGAGGAGTGCGGCTGGGATGGGCTGGATTGTGCCAGCGAGGTGCCGGCCCTGCTGGCCCGCGGCGTGCTGGTGCTCACAGTGCTGCTGCCGCCAGAGGAGCTACTGCGTTCCAGCGCCGACTTTCTGCAGCGGCTCAGCGCCATCCTGCGCACCTCGCTGCGCTTCCGCCTGGACGCGCACGGCCAGGCCATGGTCTTCCCTTACCACCGGCCTAGTCCTGGCTCCGAACCCCGGGCCCGTCGGGAGCTGGCCCCCGAGGTGATCGGGTGAGTGACCCCACCTGGAAAAGCCGTGGTGGCTGGGGAGAGGAGAGATGCTGTTGATCCAGGTCTTGTGTGTTTCATTTCACTTAATGCCTTTACCCACCAGATGTCAGGAGCACCGCCTCCTGGCTGTGACAAGCAAAAAATGCCTCCAGATGGAGCTAGTGCTTCTGGGGTAGAATTGCCCAGGTCTAGTGCTGGCTTGTGGGGAGGCAGGTTGCTAAGTGGCTTGGCAGAGTGGTTAAATACATGTGTAGGGTTTTTTTCTTCTTCTTCTTCTTCTTCTCCTTCTCCTTCTCCTTCTCCTTCTCCTTCTCCTTCTTCTTTTCTTTTTTTTTTTTTTTTTGAGACGGAGTCTCTGTCGCCCAGGCTGGAGTGCAGTGGCGTGATCTCAGCTCACTGCAACCTCTGCCTCCTGGGTTCAAGCAATTCTCTGCCTCAGCCTCCAGAGTAGCTGGGATTACAGGCATCCACCACCACACCGGGCTAATTTTCTTCTTCTTAAAGACATAGAAGATAAAGCCGGGCACAATATATTCTTGTAGTCCCAGCTACTTGGAGGATCACTTGAGCCCAGGAATTCAAATCTAGCCTGGGCAACATAGCAAGACTCCCATCTCTCTCTCTCTTTTTTTTTTTTTTTTTTTTTGAGACGGAGTCTCGCTCTGTCGCCCAGGCTAGAGTGCAGAGGCGCGATCTCGGCTTTCTGCAAGCTCCGCCTCCCGGGTTCATGCCATTCTCCTGCCTCAGCCTCCCGAGTAGCTGGGACTACAGGCGGCCGCCACCATGCCTGGCTAATTTTTTGTATTTTTAGTAAGAGACGGGGTTTCAGTGTGTTAGCCAGGATGGTCTGGATCTCCTGACTTCGTGATCCACCTGCCTCGGCCTCCCAAAGTGCTGGGATTACAGGCGTGAGCCACCATGCCCGGCCTCCGATCTCTTAAAAAAAAAAAAAAAAAAAAAAAAGAAGAAGAAGAAGAAGAAGAAGAAGAAGAAGAAGAAGAAGAAGAAGAAGAGGGAGGAGGGAGGGGGAGGGGGAGGGGGAGGAAGAGGAAGAAGAAGGAAGAGGGGGAGGGGGAGGAGGAGGAGGAAGAGGAAGAAGAAGAAAGAAATAGGAGGGGCTCGGTGGCTCACGCCTGTAATCCCAGCACTTTGGAAGGCAGTTCATTTGACGTCAGGAGTTTGAGACCAGCCTGGGCAACATGGCAAAACCCTGTCTCTACTAAAAATACAAAAAATTAGCCAGGCGTGGTGGTGTATGCCTTTAGTCCCAGCTACTCAGGAGGCTGAGGCATGAGAATCACTTGAACTCAGGAAGTGAAGGTTGCAGTGAGCCAAGATTGTGCTACTGCACTCCAGCCGGGGCAACAGAGCCAGACTCTGTCTCAAAAAAAAAAAAAAAGAAAAAGAAAAAATATAGAAGTATCCTGCTAGTGGCCTGGTAGAGGTACCAGAAGGGAGGTGTAGCTATTGTTGAGGAGAAGGCAGAGACCTGAGAGGGGTGGGTCTCTGATACAGAGAGGAGGGTTGGGTTTTGCAGATATTGGGATGTGGGTGGTGGAAGGGGAGGGGTAGAGGGATGAAGGAGAGTGGTTGGTGTACCAGCCCCTGGCTAAGCTGAGTGATAGGGCCACAAAGTGAAAAACAGGTCATTTTGGAGCTTGCAGAGTCTGAGGGACCTGGAAGTATTGGGAAGGCCTCCAAGGAGATACCTGGGGGCTAAAGACACAAACAAGAAAGATATAAAAGTGTTGATGATCATTGAAGCCATGAGAGGGACTCAAAGGAGTGGGGAGAGAAGGAACAGAAGAATTAATCTGGGGACACGGAGACCTAAGGATTGGATGAATGGAATTAGCTCAAAAAAGAGGAAGAGGCCAGGTGTGATGGCTCACAACTGTGATCCCAGCACTTTGGGAGGTTGAGGCGGGTGGATCACCTGAGGTCGGGAGTTCAAGACCAGCCTGACCAACATGGAGAAACCCTGTGTATACTAAAAATACAAAATTACTGGGGCGTGGTGGCGCATGCCTGTAATCCCAGCTACTCAGGAGGCTGAGGCAGGAGAATTGCCTGAACCCTGGACGTGGAGGTTGTGGCGAGCTGAGATAGCACCATTGCACTCCAGCCTGGGCAACAAGAGTGAAACTCTGTCTCAAAACAAGCAAACAAACAAACAAATACAATGTCCTGGCCAACACGGTGAAACCCCGTCTCTACTAAAAATACAAAAATTACCTGGGCGTGGCAGCGCGTGCCTGTAATCCCAGCTACTCAGGAGGCTGAGGCAGAGAATCACTTGAACCAGGGAGTCGGAGGTTGCAGTGAGCTGAGATTGCACCACTGCACTCCAGCCTGTCGACAGAGCAAGACTTCATCTCAAAAACAAAAAACAAACAATGTCCCTTGGCTGGGCGTAGTGGCCCAGGCCTGTAAACCCAGCACATTGGGAGGCTGAGGTGGGAGGATTGCTTGAGCCCCGGAGTTCAAGACTAGCCTGGGCAACATAGTGACACCTAATCTCTATGCCTCCACCCCCAACCCCCCCCAAAAATTAGCCAGGTGTGGTGGCACATGTCTGTGGTCCCAGATCTTTGGGAGAATGAGGTGGAAAGATTGCTTGAAGGCGGGAGGTCAAGGCTACAGTGAGCTCTGATTTCGCCACTGTGCTCTAGCCTGGGCGACAGAGTGAAACCGTCTCAAAAAACAAAACAGAACAAACAAACAACAAAAAAAACAGGCCAGGCACAGTGGCGGCTCACGCCTGTAATCCCAGCACTTTGGGAGGCCAAGGCAGGGAGGATCACTTGAGGTCAGGAGTTCAAGACCAGCCTGGCCAACGTGGTGAAACCCCGTCTCTACTAAAAATACAAAAAAATTAGCTGGGCATGGTGGCACACGCCTGTAATCCCAGCTACTTGGGAGGCTGAGGCAGGAGAATCGCTTGAACCCAGGAGGGGAAGTTGCAGTGAGCCGAGATCGCACCACTGCACTCCAGCCTCGGTGCAAGATCAAAAAATAATATCCATTGGATTCATGGCTCTGGGGGGACTGCTGACCACAGCAAGACACGTTTTAGGGGTGCAGTGGGGTTGGATGCCAGGTGGATGCAGGTGGGCCATGGAGACCTGTGGGTGGAGATGGCGCTTCAGAGCCAGGCGCTGGGGAGGGAAAGTGGGGCTTGGTACCAGGGGGTGCATCGGGCAATTTTTGAGCCCTCTGGTCCCTCCCTGCTGTCCCTGCAGCTCGGTAGTAATGCTGGAGATTGACAACCGGCTCTGCCTGCAGTCGCCTGAGAATGATCACTGCTTCCCCGATGCCCAGAGCGCCGCTGACTACCTGGGAGCGTTGTCAGCGGTGGAGCGCCTGGACTTCCCGTACCCACTGCGGGACGTGCGGGGTGCGGCCCTGCCTTGGGGAGGGGGTGGCGGGGGCGGAGCTGGGGGCGGCCGAAGCCCCGCCTGAGGCCAAAGCCCCGCCCTCGGCTGAAGCCCCGCCCTCTGCTTCCTGCTCTTAGGGGAGCCGCTGGAGCCTCCAGAACCCAGCGTCCCGCTGCTGCCACTGCTAGTGGCGGGCGCTGTCTTGCTGCTGGTCATTCTCGTCCTGGGTGTCATGGTGGCCCGGCGCAAGCGCGAGCACAGCACCCTCTGGTTCCCTGAGGGCTTCTCACTGCACAAGGACGTGGCCTCTGGTCACAAGGGCCGGCGGGAACCCGTGGGCCAGGACGCGCTGGGCATGAAGTGAGAACCCTGCTCGCTCCCTGTCCCTGACTACGGGGACCTTGTGAACCCTGGACCCCGCCTTGACCTGACTCAGACCTCTGACCCCACCCCAAATCCTCCTTCCCAGCTGGACACCTCTAGTGTCCCCCTCACATCCCCTCTTCCCATTGTCCGCCAGGAACATGGCCAAGGGTGAGAGCCTGATGGGGGAGGTGGCCACAGACTGGATGGACACAGAGTGCCCAGAGGCCAAGCGGCTAAAGGTACTGCCCCCCCTCTGACCTTTGCCCCCTCCTCTGACCCCTCCCCTCAGGGTACTGGGTGGGGTCCCCAGTGGATGATGGGCGTGATCAGGGGATGGCACCGCTGTCCCCACCTCCCTAGCTCCAGAGAATAGTCCCAGCTTTGCAACCCTTTCTTCTCAGTGTGGTTCTGTGACCTCAGAGGGAGGAAGATTTGCCACTGGGGCCCCAAGGGTCCCTCCGGGCAGGTGGAAAATCCTCCCCTCCATCCTGCCCCTCCCCAGCCAGGATCCTGCTTCCTGGCCAGCCTGCACTCTTCCTGGAGGTGTCCCCCCAGCCCAGAGAGCGAGTCTGCCTTATCTCTGTCAGTTCCTATTTTGTCCAGCATGGACTTAGCCTGAAAGTGCTCTGAGCCGGTTCTGAGCTCATGGAGTCATGCCCCTGGGTTCAGTATGAGTCAGCTTTGGCTGCCATTAAAAAATCCCACAGAGGTGGATCACCTGAGGTCAGGAGTTCGAGACCAGCCTGACCAACATGGTGAAACCCCGTCTGTACTAAAAATACAAAAGATTAGCTGGGCATGGTGGCGGGCACCTGTAATCCCAGCTACTTGGGAGGCTGAGGCAGGAGAATCCCTTGAACCTGGCACTCCAGACTGGGCAACAAGAGCGAAACTCCGTCTCAAAAAAAAAAAAAAGTCCCACAGCATGGGTGACCTAAACAACAGAAATTAATTTTTTCACGGTTCTGGAGGTTGGAAGTCCAAGCCCAAGGTGCTGTCAGGGCTGGTTCCTGGTAAGGGCTCTCTTCCTGGTGTGCAGATGGCCGCCTTCTCACTGTAGCCTCACATGGCCTTTCCTCTGTGTACACAGAGGGGAGAGAGAGAGAGAGAGAGAGAGAGAGAGAGAGAGAGAGAGAGACAGATTTGACATCCCATCCTCTTCTTGTAAGGATACCAATCCTATTGGATTAGGGTCCCACATTTATAACCTCATATAACCTTAATTACCTCCTTAAAGGCCCTATCTCACCAGGCTTGGTAGCTTGCACCAGTAATTTCAGCTACTTGGGAGGCTGAGGCAGGAGGATCACTTGAGTCCAGGAGTTGGAGCCTGCAGTGAGCTATGACTGCATCACTTCACTCCAGCCTGGGTAACAGAGCAAGACCCTGTCTAAAAATAAAGTCCTATCTTCAAATGCAGGCACATGGAAATTTTATATATTATTTAGGGTTTTAGTGTATGATTTCTGTTTATTTATTTATTTATTTTTTGAGACCAGGTCTCACTCTGTTGCCCAAGCTGGAGTGCAGTGGCGTGATCTTGGCTCATTGCAGCCTCCACCTCCCAGGTTCAAGTGATTCCCCTGCCTCAGCCTCCCGAGTAGCTGGGATTATAGGCATGTGCTACCATGCCCGGCTAATTTTTGTATTTTTAGTAGAGATGGGGTTTCACCATGTTGGCCAGGCTGGTCTCAAGCTGCAGACCTCAAGTGATCCACCCGCCTCGGCATCCCAAAGTGCTGGGATTACAGACGTGAGCCACCGTGCCCGGCCATTGTATGATTTTTAGAGGGGGCACAATTGAGTCCATACAGATCCTGCTAGCATTACTGAGGCACCCGCTGAATGTCTCTAATGCACATAAAACATCTTATTTCATCTCTCTGAGGACGCTGTAAAGTAGCTATTGACATATACTTCAATTTACAAACTCCCTTCCTCTGTCCATATTTTAATGTTGTGAAATGGAATCATCTATTACAGTGGACAGATAAAAAAACCTGCTCAACCCAGACTTTTCCTTCTGCCTTCCCATCCCAAAGTAGGTATTAGAGGTATTAAAGGGGTGGCCCAATGTAATTGTGGTGGTATCTTAGCATGGTGGAATGGCTGCGTCATCCTGATTTTGCCAATGAGAAGCTCAGAGCTTCAAAGTGATTTGCCCAGAGCCTTCCAGCTACTAAGGGGTGGGGTTGGAACTTGAACCTGGATCAGATGCTATCCCAATCTGCTTATACTGTGTGCTTATAGTCCCAGCTACTTGGGCCGCTGAGGTGGGAGGATCATTTGAGCCCAGGAAGTTGAGGCTGCAGTGAGGTATGATTGCAGCACTGCACTCCAGCCTGAGTGACACAGTGAGACTCAGTCTCTAAAAAATATATACATAAATAATTAAAGCCATTTATTACTCAAAAAGACCAAAAAAAAAAAAAAAAAGAAACCTTGTGTCTTCCTTTTATTACCTCCTTGGGCTATGGCACACATTGATTTCCTGTTAATCTCAGCACTTTGGGAGGCTGAGAGGGGCTGATCACCTGAGGTCAGGAGTTCGAGACCAGCCTGGCCAACATGGTGAAACCCCTTCTCTACTAAAAATACAAAAAATTAGCTGGACACCGTGGCATGTGCCTGTAATCCCAGCTACTCCAGAGGCTGAGGCAGGAGAATCACTTGAACCCGGGAGGCGGGGGTTGCAGTGAGCTGAGATCATGCCACTGCACTCCAGCCTGGGGGACAGAGCGAGACTCTGTCTCAAAAACAAATAAAACACCAAACAGATGGTAAATGATTTCCCAGGGCTCTGTGTGTATCTCCTAAAGAGAAACCTGTAGGAATGCCCAGCCCCATCCCTGGCAGTGGCTCTCCCCAGCACCAAAGGGTGAGATCTGAGATCCAGGGTGCCTGCCCCTCCAGGTAGAGGAGCCAGGCATGGGGGCTGAGGAGGCTGTGGATTGCCGTCAGTGGACTCAACACCATCTGGTTGCTGCTGACATCCGCGTGGCACCAGCCATGGCACTGACACCACCACAGGGCGACGCAGATGCTGATGGCATGGATGTCAATGTGCGTGGCCCAGGTTAGTGACAGTGCCCCTCCCAAAGGGATGCCCCTCACCCATCCTACCTGTGAGAGGTTATTTCTGACTCTGTGTTTTGGGGAGAACTGGGGGAGTCTCTAAGCTTCTGTGAAGGGTGTGTGTATTCAGCAACACTCTTGGTTGGAAGTGACAAAGGTCCAACTCAGACTAGCTTAAGTAAAACAAGGGATTTATCAACTCATTTAACTAAAAGTGGCACATTTGGATCCAGGACTCAGTTTTCCCCTCTCTACCCTTTGACTCCAATCTTACAAAACCTTCTTAATGCTCCAGAAAAGTCTCAGGATGCATTCTGATTGGACAGACTAGGGTCACGTGCTCATCCTTGAGCCAATCAGTATGACCAGGGGGCTGGAATATGCAAATTGACCAAGCCTGATTCACATACCTGTCTTTGAGCTGGTGGGGGTCGGGTCTGCTGGTGGAGCGGGGAGGTCAGTCTCTACCCAGGGCTTGAGAATGGAGAACCGGATGCAAGTGGCTCCCTAAGAAAAATGAGGACAAGTGCTTGTGTACAGTGTGTGCAGTGTAGCGGACTATGTTGTTTGATCCTCTTAGATCCATCTTTGTTATGTTTCAGGGCATTCCTGCCTTAGCTTCATTTTGCTTATGCTCCAAATGGCCTGTACTTATGGCTCTCTTTTGAAGTCCCTCTGGCTGCTGGGGCCTGAAGTGCCTGGGATTTTATGTCCCTGGGGGCAGCTCTTTTTTTCCCCCCCCCTTTTAAAACACTCAAATGAATTGGCAGAAAGGGGCAGCTCCTAACCAGTGGGTGCAGGAGTATGAAGGGGATGGTTTCTTTGCCTTGAGTTGGATTAGAACTCTGGGGTACAACACATGTTCCAGAGTCCCTTTGGAGGATCAAGGTGGAATAACCCTTTGGGAATTTACTGGAGGTTGCACACTTGCTTGACTCCCAGAGTCCCTTGTCCTGTGTTCCCTGTGCCCTAGGAGTAGTTCTGTGACAAATCACGTGCCCACGAATCCTCATTCTGGGTGTGGGTGTGCAGACAGGAGGATCTGCTAATTGTCATTTTTCCATGTGTCCCATTAGCTCCTAATGGGGTACCCTTGATAACATTTCCTGGAAAAGGCCCTGTGTTTACCTTCCTGCTGACACACTCCTGTCCCTGCAGATGGCTTCACCCCGCTAATGCTGGCTTCCTTCTGTGGGGGGGCTCTGGAGCCAATGCCAACTGAAGAGGATGAGGCAGATGACACATCAGCTAGCATCATCTCCGACCTGATCTGCCAGGGGGCTCAGCTTGGGGCACGGACTGACCGTACTGGCGAGACTGCTTTGCACCTGGCTGCCCGTTATGCCCGTGCTGATGCAGCCAAGCGGCTGCTGGATGCTGGGGCAGACACCAATGCCCAGGACCACTCAGGCCGCACTCCCCTGCACACAGCTGTCACAGCCGATGCCCAGGGTGTCTTCCAGGTGAGATAGGCACACACTTTGGACCTCAGAGCTGGGGCAGGCATTAGACTTACCTGGGTTTGAGCCCCAGTTCTGCCTTTCAGACTCATTTTTTCTCATTTGGAAAATGGGGATATATGGGAATACAGTATCTGTCAAGCAGCTGCTCCCTGAACCTCACCAATTTCAGGGGTTGGGGTATGGGGGTTGGGGACTTCATGGGACTTAGGGGTGCTCCTGATTCCTCTGTTCCTGCCATGACCCCTCCTGCTGCATCCACTCTCTGTCCTAGATTCTCATCCGAAACCGCTCTACAGACTTGGATGCCCGCATGGCAGATGGCTCAACGGCACTGATCCTGGCGGCCCGCCTGGCAGTAGAGGGCATGGTGGAAGAGCTCATCGCCAGCCATGCTGATGTCAATGCTGTGGATGAGCTTGGTAGGTTGGCAGAGGAATCAAGTCTAAGCTGGGTTGGTGTCACCTGGGCCCTGAGGGTCATGTTGGTGCAAATTCATACCCATGTTGAGACCCAATCACTGAAGCTCACGCACACATAACCAGGCTTCATGAAGCCTGCAGGGTCATGCAGGGTCACCACTAGTCCTTAGGGTGCCTCAGGGATTTAGAAAAAGGTGCCTTTCCCCTAGATACTTCATTTCCACCTGCTTTGTTAGACGGACACACTGTACTTCCACCTGCTGGAAGTTATTATAATAAACGTACACATCAGGCCATGTGTGGTGGCTCATGCCTGTGATCCCAACACTTTGGGAGGCTGAGGCAGGAGGATGACTTGAGGCCAGGAGTTTGAGACCAGACTGGGCAACATAGTGGGTTCTACAAAAGTTTTTTGAAAGATTAGCCATGTGCGGTGGTGCATACCTGTGGCCCTAGCTACTCCAGAAACTGAGGTGGGAGGGTCGTTTGAGCCCAGGAGGTTGAGTCTGTGAGCCGTGATTGTGCCCCTGCACTCCAGCCTGGGGGACAGACTCCATCTCAAAAAAAAAAAACAGTCTCCAGACGTTGCCAAATGCTCTGGGGGCTGGGGGCAGGGAGTTTCTCCTAGTTGAGAGCCACAGTTCTAGGGCAGGGCTGGCCAATAGGACTTTCTGTGATGATGGAATTATTCTCTGCACTGTCCAGTATAGTAGCCACTGGCCACATATAGTGACTTGAAATGTGACTGAGGCAAATGAAGAAGTAAATGTTTTAGTTCATTTAATTTTTTTCTCCTTATGTTGCCCTTTTTTTAATTTTTTTTTTTGAGACAGAGTCTCACTCTTGTCACCCAGGCTGGAGTGCAATGGTGTGATCTTGGCTCACTGCAACCTCCACTACCCAGGTTCCAGTGATTCTCCTGTCTCAGCCTCCCAAGTGTCTGGGACTAAAGGTGCCCATCACCATGCCTGGCTATTTTTTTGTATTTTTAGTAGAGACGGGGTTTCGCAATGTTGGCCAGGCTGGCCTCAAACTCCTGACCTCAGGTGATCCACCTGCCTTGGCCTCCCAAAGTGCTGGGGTTATAGGCATGAGCCACTGAGTCCATCCTTTTTTTTAAAAACAAAAAACAAAAAACAAAAAACTGCTTTATTGAGATATAATTAACATGCCATACAATTCACCCATTTAAAGTGTACAATTCAATGGCTCTTAGTATAATCAGAGTCATACAACTATTACCACAATCAATTTTAGAACATTTCATCACCTGAAAAATAAATTCTCACCACTTGGCCATCATCTGCCAAGCCCCTCATCTGTCCAGCCCTGTGCAACCACTGATTTGCTTTTTGTCTTCATGGATTTGCCTGTTCTGGACATTTCATATAAATGTAATCATATGATACGTGGTCTTTTTTGTCTGCCTTTTTTTCAGTTAGCATTATGTTCTCAAGGTTCACCCATGTTGTAGCATAGTTCAGCTGAATAATAATCCATTGTGTCGATGGACCACTTTTTTTTTCTTTTATTTTTAGACATAGGGTATCACTCTGTCACTCAGGCTGGAGTGCAGTGGCATGATTACGGCTCTCTGCAGCCTCAAACTCCCAGGCTCAAGTGATCCTCCCATCCCACCCTCCTGAATAGCTGGTATTACAGGTGTGTGCCAGCATACCTGGGTAATTCTTAAATTTTTTGTGGAAATGGGGTCTCACTTTGTTGCCCAGGCTGATCTCAAACTCCTGGCCTTAAGCAATACTCCCACCTTGGCCTCCCAAATTGTTGAGATTATAGGCGTGAGCCACTGTGCCTGGCCAAAAGTTTCAATTTTGATCATGTCCAATTTATCTGTTTTGTAGTTGTTATTGTTATTTGTGGTTTTGGTGTCACATCTAAGAATCTTGGCCTAATTCAAGGTCATGAAGATTTACTCTTATGTTTTCTTCTAGATGTTTAGTTCTATAGTTGGAGCTCATATATTTAGGTTTCTGATCCATTTTGAGTTAGTGTTTGTATAAAGTGTGAGGTAGGGGTCCAACTTCATTCTTTGAATGTGAATATTCAGTTGTTCCAGCACCATTAGTTGAGAAGACCATTCTTTCCCCATTGAATGGTCCTGGCACCTATTTTATTAAATTTAAATCTAAAGAACCACATGTAGGTTGGGCACGGTGGCTCATGCCTGTAATCCCAACACTTTGGGAGGCCAAGGCTGGTGGATCACTTGAGCTTAGGAGTTTGAGACCAGTTTGGGCAACATAGTGGAACTCTATCTCTATCAAAAATACAAAAAATCAGCTGGGCATGGTGGTACATGCCTGTAGTCCCAGCTACTAGGGAGGCTGAGGCAGGAAAATCGCCTGAGCCCAGCAGGTAGAGGTTGCAGTGAACTGAGATTGTGCCAATGGACTCCAGCCTGGGTGACAGAACAAGACACTACCTCAAAAATAAATAAATGGATAAATAAAAACCACATGTGACTGACTACTGTATTGGATGTCACAACCCTAGGTTCAACTGAAGGAGGTCCACACAGCACCCCCTGTGTATAAACAGTCATGCACATGCACGCACACACACACACACACACAAACACACACACACAGACACAAAGTGCTTCCCCATTGCACAGAGTCATTTTGCAGATTTGCACACACATGGATCCAGACACAAGTACTTGGATATTCACGGCAGGCCTGCCTCCTCTACCCCTAGGCCACATTCTAGACAATTTCTGCCTCCCTGACATGGGGGCCCCAGGACAGGTGCCTGGTCCTGACCTCTCTCCCCTTCATCCTCCAGGGAAATCAGCCTTACACTGGGCTGCGGCTGTGAACAACGTGGAAGCCACTTTGGCCCTGCTCAAAAATGGAGCCAATAAGGACATGCAGGATAGCAAGGTGAGCCCCAGCCCTTGGTCCACTGGGTGTCAGCAGTGGCACAGTGCCATTGCAATCCAGCCTGGGCAACAGAGTGAGACTCTCTCAAAAAACAAAACAAAATAAAACCCCAAACATTGGATTAAAATATAATTTACTTTGGTGACTAAAGTTTTTGGGGGCCCCTTAAATTTTGTGCCTAATGGCTGGGTGTGGTGGTTCATGCCTATAATCCCAGCACTTTGGGAGGTCGAGATGGGTGGATTACTTGAGTTCAGGAGTTTGAGACCAGCCTGGCCAACGTAGTAAAACCCTGTCTCTATTAAAAATACAAAAATTAGCTGGGCGTAGTGGTGCACACCTGTAGTCCCAGCTGCTCGGGAGGCTGAGGCAGGAGAATCGCTTGAACCCGGAAGGCTGAGGTTGCAGTGAACTGAAATGGCGCCACTGCACTCCAGCCTGGGCGACACAGTGAGACTCTGTCAAAAAAAAAAAAAAAAAAAGACAAGAAAAAAAAAGTTATGCCTAAGGTGAGTACCTCGCTTAACTCACCCTAGTCCTGGCCTTGACCTCTGGCACTTAGTAGGTGATGGATGAATGTGGTTTAGAGGAAAGAACTTGTCCAGGCTCCCCCAGCACAGCCGGGATTTAACCCAGGTCTGTCAAGCTCCAGTGTACAAACTCATAGCTCTCGGGCTCCCCCAAGAGGCTGGAAGACTTTGCTACTGTTAGCTGGGGTTTCGCTGACCTCTGTGGGTTCTGGCCCCCCAGGAGGAGACCCCCCTATTCCTGGCCGCCCGCGAGGGCAGCTATGAGGCTGCCAAGCTGCTGTTGGACCACTTTGCCAACCGTGAGATCACCGACCACCTGGACAGGCTGCCGCGGGACGTAGCCCAGGAGAGACTGCACCAGGACATCGTGCGCTTGCTGGATCAACCCAGTGGGCCCCGCAGCCCCCCCGGTCCCCACGGCCTGGGGCCTCTGCTCTGTCCTCCAGGGGCCTTCCTCCCTGGCCTCAAAGCGGCACAGTCGGGGTCCAAGAAGAGCAGGAGGCCCCCCGGGAAGGCGGGGCTGGGGCCGCAGGGGCCCCGGGGGCGGGGCAAGAAGCTGACGCTGGCCTGCCCGGGCCCCCTGGCTGACAGCTCGGTCACGCTGTCGCCCGTGGACTCGCTGGACTCCCCGCGGCCTTTCGGTGGGCCCCCTGCTTCCCCTGGTGGCTTCCCCCTTGAGGGGCCCTATGCAGCTGCCACTGCCACTGCAGTGTCTCTGGCACAGCTTGGTGGCCCAGGCCGGGCGGGTCTAGGGCGCCAGCCCCCTGGAGGATGTGTACTCAGCCTGGGCCTGCTGAACCCTGTGGCTGTGCCCCTCGATTGGGCCCGGCTGCCCCCACCTGCCCCTCCAGGCCCCTCGTTCCTGCTGCCACTGGCGCCGGGACCCCAGCTGCTCAACCCAGGGACCCCCGTCTCCCCGCAGGAGCGGCCCCCGCCTTACCTGGCAGTCCCAGGACATGGCGAGGAGTACCCGGCGGCTGGGGCACACAGCAGCCCCCCAAAGGCCCGCTTCCTGCGGGTTCCCAGTGAGCACCCTTACCTGACCCCATCCCCCGAATCCCCTGAGCACTGGGCCAGCCCCTCACCTCCCTCCCTCTCAGACTGGTCCGAATCCACGCCTAGCCCAGCCACTGCCACTGGGGCCATGGCCACCACCACTGGGGCACTGCCTGCCCAGCCACTTCCCTTGTCTGTTCCCAGCTCCCTTGCTCAGGCCCAGACCCAGCTGGGGCCCCAGCCGGAAGTTACCCCCAAGAGGCAAGTGTTGGCCTGAGACGCTCGTCAGTTCTTAGATCTTGGGGGCCTAAAGAGACCCCCGTCCTGCCTCCTTTCTTTCTCTGTCTCTTCCTTCCTTTTAGTCTTTTTCATCCTCTTCTCTTTCCACCAACCCTCCTGCATCCTTGCCTTGCAGCGTGACCGAGATAGGTCATCAGCCCAGGGCTTCAGTCTTCCTTTATTTATAATGGGTGGGGGCTACCACCCACCCTCTCAGTCTTGTGAAGAGTCTGGGACCTCCTTCTTCCCCACTTCTCTCTTCCCTCATTCCTTTCTCTCTCCTTCTGGCCTCTCATTTCCTTACACTCTGACATGAATGAATTATTATTATTTTTATTTTTCTTTTTTTTTTTACATTTTGTATAGAAACAAATTCATTTAAACAAACTTATTATTATTATTTTTTACAAAATATATATATGGAGATGCTCCCTCCCCCTGTGAACCCCCCAGTGCCCCCGTGGGGCTGAGTCTGTGGGCCCATTCGGCCAAGCTGGATTCTGTGTACCTAGTACACAGGCATGACTGGGATCCCGTGTACCGAGTACACGACCCAGGTATGTACCAAGTAGGCACCCTTGGGCGCACCCACTGGGGCCAGGGGTCGGGGGAGTGTTGGGAGCCTCCTCCCCACCCCACCTCCCTCACTTCACTGCATTCCAGATGGGACATGTTCCATAGCCTTGCTGGGGAAGGGCCCACTGCCAACTCCCTCTGCCCCAGCCCCACCCTTGGCCATCTCCCTTTGGGAACTAGGGGGCTGCTGGTGGGAAATGGGAGCCAGGGCAGATGTATGCATTCCTTTGTGTCCCTGTAAATGTGGGACTACAAGAAGAGGAGCTGCCTGAGTGGTACTTTCTCTTCCTGGTAATCCTCTGGCCCAGCCTCATGGCAGAATAGAGGTATTTTTAGGCTATTTTTGTAATATGGCTTCTGGTCAAAATCCCTGTGTAGCTGAATTCCCAAGCCCTGCATTGTACAGCCCCCCACTCCCCTCACCACCTAATAAAGGAATAGTTAACACTCAGTGTTGTTGGTCTGTGTCTAGGTAAGGTGGGGAGTGGTGGCAGTGGGACTTCTATCTCCCCCACCCAGGGCTAACTTGAGCTCCCATCTTGGGGTAAATACATTTGACTTGCCAGTCTACTTATGCTTCCTCTTTTGGCAGATGACTACCGATTGGATTAGTGGTTGTCACCTGACTTAAGCTGAGCCAATCAGATTCTTTTGCTCGAGAACTTTCTTTAATGGAGAGGCTAAGAAAGTTGTCAGTTGGTGGAGCTCTTAAGGTCACAATCAGATTTAGAAATATCAGTGGCCAATTCGAGGTGGTGGGCAAAGAGACAAGCAAACAGGGCAGAAGAATGAAGCTAATATTCAGGGAGAATCAGAAATGAGAGCTCAAATGGCTCCTTGAGGGCTGGGGGGGTTATCTCGGCTCCCAGTGCAGTTATCAATTCCAGTTAATTGAGTGTTCATTCCATTGAGATCAACAGGTATTTATTAATTGCTTTCTAAGTATCTGATCATGGTTCTGCATGAATTTCACTTTTACTTCATGCTCCTATGGGTTTTGGAGATAACCTTGGACCCATGTAATAAATACTTCTTTACTTGTGCCAGCTTCGGTGGGTTTCTGTTACTCGCAACCAGTCGTGCTCCAAGACAAGGTTCTGTTTACACTGGTGTCTTCAGGAAAGGAGGATAGGATTTAATGTTCGTTGATTCTGTCAGTTGGAGTGCTCCTGGTTGCAAATGACACAAAAGTCTACTGGCTTAAACAAGAAAGGGGTTTATTAGCTCATATAAATTAAAAGGACCTACTTCAGGGGAGAATTGATCTAGTGGCTCAAATGTGGTCAACAATGGCTCAGTTTCTCTTCATCTCTACAGCTTTCTCTGGGCATCAGTTTCATCTACATGCTCCACATGGCACCCAGTAGAACCTCTCTTCCCGACATCACACAGCTCCAGCCTTCTCTCTGTGTTATCAAAATAGGTGCCATATTGCTCCTTCCAGGGAAGAGAGAAACTCCTAGTATTGTGATTGATTTTTCTTTTACTTTCTTCCTTTTTTTTTTTTTTTTTTTAAGATAGAGTCTTGTTCTTGTCACCCAGGCTGGAGTGCAATGGCACAATCTCGGCTCACTGCATCCCCCGCCTCCGGGTTCAAGCAATTCTCCTGCCTCAGTCTCCCAAGTAGCTGGGATTACAGGTGTCCACCTCCATGCCTGGCTAATTTTTGTATTTTCAGTAGAGACAGGATTTCACCATGTTGGCCAGGCTGGTCTCGAACTCCGGACCTCAGGTGATCCATCCACCTTGGCCTCCCAAAGTGCTGGGATTACAGGCATGAGTCATCGCACTCGACCTTGTGGTTGATTTTTCTATTGACTCCAATTGGTTCACGTATCCACCCTCTAACCTAAGGTTTCTTAATTTCGGCATTATTGACATTTGGGGCCAAATCATTCTTTGCTGTGGGGAGCTGTCCTGTGCATTGTAGGATATTTAATAGCATCTCTGGTCCCTACCCATTAGCTACCAGCAGCACCCCTTTTCCAGTTGTGACAACCAATATAACATGTCTCCAGACATTGCCAATTGTCATCTGGGAGGCAGATTCACACCTGTTGTTGTCTTAAAGCATGTCTTAAAGTCTCTTCTTTGGAACTACTGATGTGCTAAATTTAGGGGCAATCAGGTTTGCAGAAGCATGAATTCTGTGGAAGCTTCTAATAAATGTTTACTCCTCTCCCACCCCCTTTAGGCTAAGTCTTTGAAGATGAAACAGTCTCTTTTAGGTTTGTCTCAACTTTATTTTATGTTTATTCCCTTACCCTCTAACCTGTATTGGGCACCTACCGTGTGCCAACTCCCGGACAAGTTGTTGAGAATAGAATGGTGAATTATATAGGCCCAGTCTCTGCTTTTATGGAATTTCAGGCTAGTTGAGGGATGTATGGGGGGTGCACCCCTGTATACCCTTGGAACTTACCATTCTAGTGCTTGCTGACAGCATCTGACTGAACACCTGAGACTCTCCACCTGGGAACTTTCTCTTGTGTGGGGCAGGAGCAACCCTCAACATATGAGGGATGAATGAGAGATGGTGGATAAATACCCCAGCTTCCTCGCCACTCTCTGTGGGAATTCATGGATATGATCCACAGAGTCTCCCAAAGGATGCTCTTTGGGATTAAGCCCCAGTTGCCCACAGCAGCAACCTACTCTTCCTCACTCCTACTAGAGCTTTCTGGAATGATCTTGCGAATAAATTCCTTGCACTTGAATCATTGGCCCAAGAGAAGTCCATCTTAGCTTTATGCATGAGTAGATTCTTGGGAATAAAAAATAAAATATCTACTGGGGCTTAAGCAAGTTTGGGTATTCTTCTTCCCAAGTGCTGTACAAATGAGGAGAAAGTCCTTCTCCCTACCCATTTTGTCCACTCTATCATGCAACCTTGGCTTCATGTCAACAGAATATTGAAGAAGAGTGTCCCACAGCGGGAACCCACTTTCGTACCTGGTGGAGCTGACTTATTTGTAAGCACATGTGAGACTCACCCACACTGGGAGCTCCCTGGAATGATTGCAGAAAGGATGTTAGGTTGAGGACTAGGAAGCCTGCACTGGTGATGGAGGAAAATTAACTAATGAGATTCAAGGATTCATATGTATGTGATTTCATTGGCATGCTGAAGTTGGGAAGGGTTGGGGACTTTGGAATTGACATCCTAGTTGGTTTTTTGACTGAAAGGACAATGATAAAACAGCTGAGTGTCTGCTTTTTGCCTCCAGATCTGCACTGATCTTCCTCAACTCTTCTCTGTGCTCTGGGAGAATGACCCAGGTAGATGGCATCAATGGGTTTCCTTACTCTCTGGCTTCCACTTGGGTTTGGCCAATGAGAGACACAGGTGAGGGATTAGAGGGTGGAATGTATTTGTCTCCCTGGCTCCCTGCCTGCAGGGTACCTGCAGTGCTCTCCCTCCAGCTACCTACCCTCTGTGGGTCTGGGTTATTGTTTCCTCTGCTTGGCCCTTTTGGCATAGAAGCGATAAAGGCTCTCCACCATTGTGAGCCCCAAGGTATAGTAACATTCCTTGCCTACATTCTGCGCATGCCTCATCTGTCTAGAATGTCAATCATTTATTTATTATCTATCTATGTCTATCATCTATCGTTTATCTTTCATCCGTCTATATCTATCTTATGCTTCTCTGTCCTCTGTTGTCTATTTATATCTATGAATCTTTCTATTTTTCTATCATCTATCATTTATATATCTTTCTCTCCATCCATCTACCAATCTTTCTTCTTCTTTTTTTTTTGAGACGGAGTTTTGCTCTATTTCCCAGGCTGGAGTGGAGTGGCGAGATCTCGGCTCACTGCAAACTCTGCCTCCCGGGTTCATGCCATTCTCCTGCCTCAGCCTCCCAAGTGGCTGGGACTACAGGCGTCCACCACCGCGCCTGGCTAATTTTTTGTATTTTTAGTAGAGATGGGGTTTCACCATGTTAGCCAGGATGGTCTCGATCTCCTGACCTCGTGATCCGCCCGCCTTGGCCTCCCAAAGTGCTGGGATTACAGGCGTGAGCCACTGTGCCCGGCCTCTTCTCTTTTTTTTTTTTTTTTTTTTTGAGATGGAGTTTCACTCTTGTTGCCCAGGCTGGAATGCAATGGCGTGATCTTGGCTCACTGCAACCTCCGCTTCCTGGGTTCAAGCAATTCTCCTGCCTTAACCTCCTGAGTAGCTGGGATTACAGGCATGCACCACTACGCCTGGCTAATTTTTGTATTTTTAGTAGAGATGGGGTTTCTTCATGTTGGTCAGCCTGGTCTCGAACTCCCGACCTCAGGTGATCTGCCTGCCTTAGCCTCCCAAAGTGCTGGGATTACAGGCATGAGCCACTGAGCCTGGCCTAATTTTTGTATTTTTAAGTAGAGACAGGGTCACCATGTTGGCAGGCTGGTCTTGAACTACTGACCTCGTGATCCACCCTCCTTGGCCTGCCAATGTGCCGGGATTACAGGCATAAGCCACTGCACCCAGCCTTATCTGAGCCTTTCAAAGCCTCTATAGACAGCTCCTTCCCTAGCTTTTGGTTTAGTCTATTTGTCTCAACTGTCACTCACTGCCTCAGGCATCCATGAAGCTAAAATACCTTCCTGTAGCTGTTGTCAACAAAGGACCCCCAGAGTGAAGGCTTTTTGCATGGTTTATCTCAGAGCCAGGTCAAATACAGAGAGCTTTGCCAGTGGGATCTTGCAGGGAACCATTAGCTTGGTAAATAATGACAATTCTTGGCCGGGTGTGGTGGCTCACACCTGTAATCCCAGCACTTCGGGAGGCCGAGGTGGGCAGATCATTTGAGGTCGGGAGTTTGAGACCAGCTTGGCCAACATGGTAAAACGCTGTCTCTACTAAAAATACAAAAATTAGCCAGGCGTGGTGGTGCATGCCTGTAATTCCAGCTACTTGGGAGGCTGAGGCAGGAGAATTGCTTGAACCTGGGAGGCGGAGGTTGCAGTGAGCTGAGATTGCACCACCGCACTCCAGCCTGGGCGACAGAGAGAGAGAGACTCCATCTCAATAAATAAATAAATAAATAAATAAAATTTAAAAAATAATGACAATTCTTTGGGAATGAGGCTTGAAAGTGCTCTAGTTCTGTTTTGCTCTCTCTGGTGGATGCCAGGCTGCACCAGAGTTTGGGCTGGTATTTTTCAAGACGACCACGGAGCTGGAGAGTGGGGGAGAAGACCAGAGATGTTAAAATGCCGAGTATGCTGTTCTCACTGATATTCAGTAATTTTCTGAATACATTTTCTCTGAGTTGCTGCAAGACTTTAGTTAATTTCTAGAATTCCCAAAAATTTAGTCTAACAATTTTTTCTAGCTTTTTCATTCTTTATGGAGGACATAATTTATGGAGGTCCTTACTCTGACATTTTTTCTGACATTCCACCTCACATTGGTTGATGATTGATTGTTGGATTATGCATCTGGAGCTCAGAGTGGTTGGCTGATCTAAGATGTAGATTTGGGGAATACTGGTAAGGAAGTGGTATTTAAAACCATATGATTGTACTAATCAGTTAGAGAGAAGAGAGTCAAGGTTGAAGCCGTGAGCTACTTCAATATCAGAACAGTAAAAGTAAAGAAAGAGAGTGACAAAGAATGGTCAGAAATGAAGTGGACAAACCACATGCAGCAGATGGTGTCAGTCCCCTGCCCGCATCCACTTTCTCTGACAACTTCACTGCATATTGGCCTGATTTCCAACACTCGGTGCTTGCATCTATTTGTCTGAGGGCTTTCTCTGGACATTAAAGCTTACTCCATCCACATGTACAGCAGGACAGGAGTATTGGATAATTAATGCACTCAGGAGCAACCCTCAACAATAACCAACTGGAGTGGGTGTATACATACCTCAGCTCCCTTACCCCTCTGCAGTGAATGTTCTATGCTGCCACCCAGAGGTCTCCAGTGGGATTGACCCCAGTTGCTTACAGGGATAAGTTACTTGATAGGACATGCTTTATAAACTTCCTTTTGTTCCTACTTTCACTTCTTCAGATCTGGTATCACCTCCCAAATAAACTTACTTCCACTGGAATCCTTGTCTCAGAGTCTGTGTCTGGGGGAAACCCAAACTATGCAGGCTTTTTGGCATAGATTGGGTACACAGAATCATGAGTCTATATTCATCAGCTAGGGAGAGATAAGAAGGTCTAGGACTGAGCCCTGGGGAATTATCATATTAGGGGTCAGAAGAGGAGGAGACTAAGGAAGAGTGGCCAGAGAAAAAGCATATACCATGAAAAGAAAGAGAAAGGAGCATTGCAAGGAACAGATTTATCATCTAAGTTTAATGCTCCTGGAGAAAGGAATAAGATGAGGCCAGGTCCGACAGCTCACAGGCTAACAGGAGACACAGAGGAACACAGACAATATGAAGAGACAACCCAGGACTTCTGGTAGCCCAGATACTGCATATGACTAGCTTGGGGGTTCTTACAGAAGGCTTCCTGGAGAAGGTGATGCTGGTGGTGTGTTTTTAGTAAAAGTAGGAGTGAGTGTTGTTATGAGTGGAGCAATGGCTGTATTTAGTAGTAGAGGAGGTGGCAGGGGTCATATCACAACAGTCTTGGATGTGAAGATGGAGGGATTTTAAACTTTGAAAGCAATGGGGAGCCATGGAAGGTGCTTGCGTAGAGGAGGAGCACAGCTTGAGTTTTCTGTCCTGGGGTCAGTGCAGAGGTCAGACTGGAGGGAGTTGACACTGCAGGTTCTTGCAACAGGTAAGAATAATGCAGTCCTGAGTTGGGGTGGAGGTGAGGGGATAGAGAGAATTTTGGGAGGAAGAATGCTGATTTGGTAATTAATGGTCTAGGGAAGGAGGGATGGAGAAGGCTGAGGTCACCAAGAGATGTTAAACCTGGGCAACATTGGTAGAACAACATCAAATGATCCACTCCTTCCTCCCTCTCTTGAGGGCAGGGCCTGGGGGTGCATTTCCTCAGGAAGCAGCCTTGCCTAGCGCAGGTGGGTACTAGGAGCATGAATGAATGCTCTGCCATTCATTAATGAATTTCTGCTTGTTATCCACAAAAAGAAATAGTAATTAGTCCTTTTCCCGCTCTGTGCATGCAGGGTCTGTGGGCTTAGGAAGCTGACCCAGGGGTCTTGAGTTTCCTGGAGGGAAAATCCCCTCAGGGTGCCACCTGCCTGAGCTCCGTGGGACTTCTTAGTGTTCAGGGGGCCTGTGGGATGGCAGCTCTGGGGACCCTCAGCATAACAGGAGCTGTGTCCTCAGCCCCTCCCTTTTTAGGTGGTGAACAGAGCGATGCCAGCAGGCACTGCAGGAGCCTCCCTTGGCAATGGTGAGTGTGAATTCAGAGGCTTTTCCTGGCTGAAGGAGCCACCCCGGCCCATCCCTGGCCTTAAGGTTCAGATCTACAAATAAGTGGGGAGAGAGAGAAACTGTAGAGGGACTATGCTAACCCAGAAAAGGCTAAGCAGTGACACACTTGAATGGAGTTTCCCAGAAAGGTGTTCGATCTGTTTTTTGCCAACTACAAAGCATGGGCTGGAGAAGAATATAAGATTTTCCCAGAAAGGCAAGGAGGCGCATCTGGGGGAACCAAAAGAGACCCTTGAAAAGTCACACACATGCAGACACTGCATCATGGTGTGAACAGGTGTGCAAGCAGACAGGGAAGATATGGGGTGTGGACACGCATGTGCCCTAGAGTCTCATGAGTGCGCGCGCACACACACACACACAGAGTCATTTAGGGTGGGGCTGAAAGGGGCGGAGAAGGGCCTTTGGGGGTCTTCCTGATGAGAAGAAAGAGGAAAAGGAAAGACTCCAGACCCCAGTCCCATGCATTCCTCAGCTTCCCGGCTCCAGACAGCTCTCAGGAGTGTCACCTGGTCCCCTCTCCCCTGCACTGTGGAGGTGGCATTGGCTTGGTCCTTGAACTCAGCACCAACTGGTTCCCTGTAACTCTCTCACTAAGCAAGCAACCAGCCTGGGCGCTCTCAATGGGTGCAATTTTCATGGGTTCCAGGTAGGCAAATAAGGAATATTCTACTCCTGTGAATTGACCTCTTTTTGGGTCAGGCCTGGAATCTGGACACATTGCAGCAAACTCAGTCACAGCTCCTCAGCTGTTGCAGAGTTAATGTTCAGCCACATTTGGGATTTCCTCCTTTCTTCTTCCTTCTGTCTGGGGTGGGTGCAGGGGGTTGGGGCAGACGCCACCTCCAAGATGAGAGCGGAGAGGGGCCAGGTTGTCGGTTTGAGAGCTCTAGACACTGTGGGTCCCCACCCCCAGCAATCCTGAGATGGACAGAGTCCTCGCTGAACTCCAGCTGGGCTGGCCCTGCCCCTATCCCCCAGTGTGACTCTGCCAGCTCCTCCACCAGCTCTTTCTTTGAGCCTATTTCTGTTTTTAAAACAATAAATTTTTTTTTTTTTTGAGACAGAGTCTCACGCTTGTTGCCCAGGCTGGAGTGCAATGGTGCGATCTCAGCTCACTACAAACTCCGCCTCCTGGGTTCAAGTGATTCTCCTGCTTCAGCCTCCCAAGTAGCTGGGATTACAGGTGTGTGCCACCACACCCGGCTAATTTTTGTATTTTTGGTAGAGACGAGGTTCCACTATGATGGACAGGCTGGTCTTGAACTCCTGACCTCAGGTGATCCACCCACCTTGGCTTCCCAAAGTGCTGGGATTACAGGCGTGAGTCACTATGCCCAGCCAAAAAAAATTTTTAATTAAAAATATTTAAATATTTGTTCAATGAATACATGAATGAATGGAAATGGTTAAGGTTTTTTTTTTTTCTTTTGAGACAAGATCTCGCTGTGTTGCCCAGGCTGGAGTGTAGTGGCATGATCACAGCTCACTGCAGCCTCAACCTCCTAGGCTCAAGCAGTTCTTCCACCTCAGCCTCCAAAGTAGCGGGGACCACAGGAGCACACCACTGCACCTGACTTATTTGTTTATTTATTTAATTTTTTTGAGATGGAGTCTCACTCTCTTGCCCAGGTTGGAGTGTAGTGCCATAATCTCAGCTCACCGCAACCTCCGCCTCCCGGGTTGAAGCGATTCTCCTGCCTTAGCCTCCCAAGTAGCTGGGATTACAGGCATGTGCCACCACACCCAGCTAATTTTTGTATTTTTAGTAGAGACAGGGTTTCACCATGTTGGCCAGGCTGGTCTTGAACACCTGATCTCAAGTGATCTGCCTGCCTTGGCCTCCCAAAGTGCTGGGATTACAGGCATGAGTCACCATGCCCGGCCTGTCTCTAAACTCACTTCTAACCCATCAAAAAATTCATTGGGCTTCACCTTCACAACCCATCCAGATGGGCAAGTCCTCACCACCTCCATGTGCCCACCATGGCAAGCCCACTTCCAATGGCCCACGTGGTCCACACTGATCCCATTATCATCGGCCTGGACCAGCCTAGTCACCTCTTAACCTGCTGTGTCCAATGCCTCACGCACAGTTTTCCCATAGCCACCAGAGGGCGTCTGGGAACACCTGAGCCTGGGGATGTCCCTCTTCTGCTTAGACCCCTCCATAGTCCCACCTCATTAGGAGTAAATGCCAAGTCCTCCCCTTGATCTACAAGGCCTACACAACATCCCTCTGTCCCCTCCCTGTGCTTACCTGCTCCCTCTCCCTCACTGTCTCTCCCTCACTATTCCTCCTTGCTGCTCCTGTACCAGGCATGGTGCAGCCACAGGGTGTTGCCTCTACCTGGAATGCTCTCCTCCGTCTTGACTCATTCCCTCATTCTTTTTCAATTGTGAATTTGGGGTCTTTGCCTGGCTGGAGAAGCCACGCTGATCCATCTCTAGCCTAGAGCTGAGATCAGAAAATTGGGGCAGTCAAGGAAGGAGAAATTGGAATGCTCTCCTCCGTCTTGACTCATTCCCTCATTCTTTTTCAATTGTGAATTCGGGGTCTTTGCCTGGCTGGAGAAGCCACGCTGATCCATCTCTAGCCTAGAGCTGAGATCAGAAAATTGGGGCAGTCGAGGAAGGAGAAATTCTGAGCTGACCGTGATTAAACATCAACAAGGACTTTTCTGACCATCCCATTAACAATGGCAACTCTCCCCTGATTTCTCAATTCTCCCTTTAGGTCCTCTTTTCTGTTTCTAGCACTTAGCTCTGATGTAACTCACTTGTTGAGTTATCCTGTTTGTGGCTGATTGCGCGGCTGCCTCCCTTAGTACCTTCTGCTCCTCCAGGGCAGGTATCTCTGCCCATTTAGTTCCCTGCTGTGTCCTCATGCCCTCAGAAGCACCTGTCACAGAGGAGCTGTTCATGAAGATGTGTGTAATGAAAGGTGAGTCGCTGAAACTCACACTCCTGAAAGCACAGCCTCCAGAGACAGACTCCTGGGTTCCAATCCTGATGCCAGGACTGAGAATGTGAGCAAATTAAACCTGCTATACTCTGCCTCTCAAGCAGTGCAGAGCAGAGAATAAGAATCCCAGGCGTCCTCATAAGAAGTTAGAGACCGGCTGAGTGTGGTGGCTCATGTCTGTAATCCCAGCACTTTTGGAGGCCAAGGCAGGCAGATCACCTGAGGTCAGGAGTTCGAGACCAGCCTGGCCCATGGCCAACATGGTGAAACCCCGTCTGTACTAAAAATACGAAAACTTAGCCGGGCGTGATGGTGGATGCCTGTAATCCCAGTTACTTGGGAGGCTGAGGCAGGAGAATTGCTTGAACCCAGAGGCAGAGGTTGCAGTGAGCTGAGACTGCACCACTGAACTCCAGCCTGGGTGACAGAGCGAGACTCAGTCTAAAAAAAAAAAAAAATGTAGTTAGAGACCAAAAGATTCCTAACACTGTCAGGGCATCTTCCTATTACCCGTGACTTCAGAAGATCAATCTCCACTTTCATAGATGAAGCTCAGAGGAGCAAAATTAGCTGACCAAGGTCACCCTGTTCCTGGTAAGGCACCAGCATTCAAATCTAGGCTTGTGATATTACAGAGCTCTACTTGGTATTGCTGCTGGTCACTGAGGGGCTGTCCTTGAGCATGAAATTTCTGCTCTAGGTAATGGGCATTTTTTTGCAGCTAGTGATCTTCTCATCACTGGAGGCAAGCAAGTGGAGGCAGGATAATTGTGGTAGAGGACACTCCTACACTGAGCAAATATCAAGGGGGGTTTCCTTTCCAATTCCCTTCCATGTGATGCCCAAGAGGGTGCTGACTTATACCTGAAGGGAGCCTGTGATAATACCTTAAAGGGTCTCTTCCACAGTCACTTGCTCTTCAGATTATTTCTTAAAACTTTAATTACAAATGACAGCCAGGCTTGATGGCAGGTAGATGCCTGTAATCCTACCTACTCGGGAGGCTGAGGCAGGAGAATCATTTGAATCCGGGAGGCAGAGGTTTCAGTGAGGTGAGATTGTGCCACTGCACTCCAGTCCAGCCTGGGCGACAGAGTGAGACTCGATTTCAAACAAAACAAAACAAAACACTTTAGTTACAAATGGCTTTAGCATGTTTTGCATTGTTTATCTCAACCCTTGGCTTCCTCTGTCAAACTAGATTGATTAAACAGGAAAAGGGTTTATCAAGAGAAAAAATATCCTCTAAGAAATGTTATTTTTCTATTGATACAAATTAGCAATTGATGTAGAATATTTGGGAAATTCAAAAAAGTATAAAGAATGTATGCGAATGTCATCACAGAATTTTTACTGTTTCGTATCCCACTCTCACACAACCCATATATGAGAATTCTTCCCATGTTATTATCCATTCTCAAAGATACGACTTTAATAATGTCTTATTATTTTTGTGCTTTGTATCTTTTTCAATTAGAATGTCAGTATTTTGTTTTACCCTTGTTTGTAAGGGCATTTCGACTATAGAACACTTTAGGTCATGTCCTCTTTAAAAATTTAAATAATGCAGTTATGAACATTCCTATATATCTAAGTGCAGTTATTTTTCAATGAGAAAAATCTAGAGGTGAAATTATCTAGACAGACACATAATAATTCTATGTATTTATGGAGTACAGTTTGATGTTTCAATCCATGTATACATTATATCATAATGAAATCAGGGTCATCTGCTGATTTTATACTGGGGTGTTAGAGGACTACTGTTAGCCTTGGGCAAGAGGGATTCTGCCCTGGCACTGATGCATCTGAGGACTCGACTCTACCCCATCCCAAGGGGTGAAGAGTTTACAAAGTCAAGAGTATGTCTTTACCTTGAGCTTGCACCTCATTGTAGATGATGCGCTACATGACCCTAGAATTCCCTGCCCAGGTGGCTCCAAGCCACTAGCAGGGCCAAAAGTAGGACTTCTTTCTTCTGATATGAACCACACTGCTGGCGTGTATTTCCTTAGGTGTGGTTAAGCAGTGGTGTAGTTAAGGAGGGTGTTGCTGCATCTTGAAGGTGCATGGTTGGGATATCTGTACACATACATACAAGGCCCCTCGCAGTGCTAAGTGGCACCTGGGGTGGGAAGAGAAGGGGATAGGACATGGGCTAGAAACTAGCACACGGTGCTCTCCACAGCATCACATTCTGGAGTGGAACTCTAAAGAGTCCAGAAATCCTAAATTGAATTCTGTTTTTTCATGTCATTATGAAGGCTGTCAGTGTGATGAGTTAGAGCATATTTTACTTAACTGTTTATTAGCTTCACTTTTAACTTTAAATAATCAGTCACATGGTATATGGGTCTTTATTTGAGCTCCATGAATGTTGGGGAGTGGTCCTATACATTTTCCCTTCCCTTCCCTTCCTTCCTTTGTCTTTCTTTCTTTCTGTCTCTTTCTTCCTTTCTTTTTCTTCCTTTCTTTCTCTTTCTTCCTTTCTTTCCCTTTCTTCCTTTCTTTCCCTCCCTCCCTCCCATCTTTCCTTCCTTCCTTCCTTCCTTTCTCTCTTTTTCTTTCTTCTTTCTTTCTCAGGGTCGCTCTCTGTTCACCTAGGCTGGAGTGCAGTGGTGCAATCATGGCTTACTGTAGTTTTGATCTCCTGGTCTCAAGTGATCCTCCCTTCTCAGCCTCCAGAGTAGCTGGGACTACAAGCACATGCTATTATGGCTGGCTAATATATATATACATATATACATATATATATATATATATTTTTTTTTTTTTTTTTTTTTTTTTTGTAGAGATGAAGTTTCACCATGTTGCTCAGGCTGGTCTCAAACTCTTGGGCTCAAGAGATCTGCCTGTCTTGGCCTCTCAAAAGTGTTGGGATTGCAGGCATGAGTCACTGTGCCTGGCTCACATTTTTCTTAATTTGTAAGAGGTAAACATTTATCACAGCTTTGTTCTAGTTCGTGATTTGCCTATAAATTTGTTTCAATTTAACAATGTTTTGTCATGTTAAGTAATTATACTTCTTAAATAGTCATATCTCATTATTTTTTCACTGTGAAGTCTTCCATGTTATTGAGTTTCTATCACGGTCTCTATAAAGGGTTCTGTTCTTCCCTTTGATGTTGTTTACTTCACCATAAAAAGGCCTGTTTCAGACATATTTAGGGCATGTCTGCCAGTATGCTTTTTATTAGATCTGGATTTTCTTTTCTTTTCTTTTGAGATGGAGTCTTGCTCTGTTGCCCAGGCTGAAGTGCAATGGCTTGATCTCAGCTCACTGCAACCTTTGCCTCCTGGGTTCAAGTAATTCTTCTGTCTCAGCTTCCCGAGTAGCTGGAACTACAGGCGTGTGCCACCACACCCGGCTATTTTTAGTAGAGATGGGGTTTCACCATATTGGCCAGGCTGGCCTCAAACTCCTGACCTTGTGATCTGCCTGCTTGGCCTTCCAAAGTGCTGGGGTTACAGGCATGAGCCATCGTGCCGGGCCTAGATCTGGATTTCTTAAGTAGAGTCTGAGTTTCTTGGCTTGGGGTTTCATTTTACTTCAGTTTCTGAAGATTTGAAGTAAGGCCTTGTACTTTTTCATGGCATGAATCCCTCAGGGAATATGTGTTTTATACATTTATGTTTTCCATTGTTGGTTGCATATATATTTAAAATTGTTGTATCCTGTACTGAATTGATTCCTTTATCATTATATAATGTTTTTCTTTGTTTCTTTATAGTTTTTTATTTAAAGTTTATTTTCTTTTCCTGACATAAGGATTGTAATCCCTGCTCTTTTTTTGGCTTCCCTTTGAGTGGATTATATTTTTCTTTCTTTTCTTTTTCTTTTTTTTTTTTTGAGATGGAGTCTTGCTTTGTTGCCCAGGCTGGAGTGCGGTGGCGCGATCTCAACTCACTGCAACCTCCGCCTCTGGGTTCAAGTGATTCTCCTGCCTCAGCCTCCTTAGTAGCTGGGATTACAGGCACACACCACCACGTCTGGCTAATTTTTGTACTTTTAGTAGAGGTGGGGTTCCACCATGTTGGCCAGGCTGGTCTCGAATGCCTACCTCAAGTGATCTGCTCACCTTGGCCTCCCAAAGCATTGGATTACAGGTGTAAGCCACCATGCCCAGCCCTAGAATATCTTTTTCCATGCCATCTCTTTCATTCTGTGTTTCTTACAGGTGAATTAAGTCTCTTTTAGGCAGCACATGATTGGGTGCCTCTTTCTATCTATTCCTTCACCCCATGTTTTTTGATGGAGAATGTAATTCGTGTCCATTCAAGGTAATTGTTGACAGGTGAGGACTTACTATTGCCATTTTGCTGATTATTTTCTAGTTATTTTATGTATTCTTTTTGTTTCTTCCTCATTTACTTTTTTTTCTTAGTGCTTAAATGCTTTCTTCTAGTGATATGTTTTGATTTATTCCTTTTAAAATAAGTTTTATGTTGGGATGCTTCAAGAATGCGCATGTCATCTTTGTGCAGGGGCCACGATCATCCCTGTATCATTCCATTTCTAGTATATGTGCTGCCAAAGCGAACACTGACTCCTTCCTTTTCATTGTTGTGTATCTATTATAGGCCTTTGCTTTGTGCTTGCCATGAGGCTTGCAAAATACATCTTATAGTGTTAAAAGATTATTTTAAGATGATAACCACTTAACTTTGATCACAGAAATAAAGTATCTCTACACTCTTAATCCTACTTTGTATCAAACTTTTTATTTAGGTTATTATGTTTTTTTCTTCCTAGGATTTCTATTTGTGCTTTTAATTGTTTCTACTTCTTTGCCAAACTTCTAATTTTGTTTATAAAGTTTTTTCAAATTTCATTTAATTTTCTATCTGTATTTTCTTTTAGGCTCCTGAACTTTTAGAGAATCATTGTGAATTCATTTTCAGTCATTTTATAGATTACCTTTTCTTCTGGGTCTGTTACTGGAGCTTTATTATTTTTTTCTAGTAGTGTTATGTTTCCTTGTTTTTTTATTTTTTTGTTTGTTTTTTAAAACATAAACCTGTGTCCTACGTAGTTGCTTTTACATTTGAGGAGACAGCCATCCTTTCCAGCCTTTGCAGGTGGAATTTGGTTGTGATAGACCTTTATTATTTAGTTTAGTTTGGAATTCTGGGTGGGCTGGCTGGTTGAAACTCCAGACAGGCAGACTTTGCTGTGGGGTTCTCTAACTGGGCTGAGTTGCTTCCTGTTCTCTGAGGTTGAGTGGTATTTCTGAATGTGTTCCACAGTCTGGTAAGGGCACCTGGCTGGACTCTGCCATCATGTGGGGCGGCTGGCTGGGCTCTGCAATTGTCTCTGATCAGGCATGGTTGGATGTTGTTTTCCCTGGCTGGGTGGTAATGTTGTTAGGAAAAATAACATGCACCATGTTTCTTGCACATGATGCTGTTTGCTAGTTTCTATGGTGTGGCAAGTGTAGCAAGCCATTCTTGGCATTGCTATAAAGAAATACCTGAGACTGAGTAATTCATGAGGAAAAGAGGTTTAATTGGCTAAGAGTGCTGCAGGCTGTACAGGAAGCATGGTGCCAGCATGCTTCATGGTGTCATCTGCTTTGCTTCTGAGGAGGCCTCAGGAAGCATTACTCATGATGAAAGGCAAAATGGGAGCAGGCAATTCCCATAACAAAAGCAGGAGCAAGAGAGAGAGAGTGGGGTGGAATAGCTCCACACTTTTAAATGACCAGATCTTGCAAGAACTCACTCACTATTGTGAGGACAGCACCAAGCCATGAGGAATCTGCCTCCATGACCCAAACACCTCCCACTAAGCCCCACCTCCAACATTAGGGATTATAATTCAACATGAGATTTGGGTGGGGACAAATATCCTAACCATATCGGCACTTCTGCTGGTGGGGATGCAGCGCAAGTACCAAAACTTGTGAACTGGTTCCTGTGAGCCCCTCGTCCGCTGTTCTTTGACCGAACTGACCCCTGGTGTCCAGCCATGCCGGCATTCTCAACATTTCAAGTGGGACGAGATAGGAGCAAGCTACCCGTGAAGAATCCCAGAATGATGGAGAAGCTGAATGTTCACTTCCAACTCATCCCTTCCACTGCAAAAACCATGGGTCCAGGAGAACTCTCAGCATATGGTGTCCTGCTGGCCTCAGGGAGGGACAGTGTAGTCAGAGAGAACCATTCCTCTTACTGTTTCACCATGAATTTTTTTTTTTTATTCTTCAGTCCAAGGGGGCATCTCAGCCTCACTCCTAAGGTCTTGATATTAATGATAGCATTCTTCACTTTGAACAGTTGCCAGCAATTTCCAGTAGCTGAAGGAAGTAAAGGCAGAAAACTTCTATTCCACAATCTTGCTGACCTCATTCTCCTGAAAGTGTTATTTGGTTTATTTCAGGTATCAATTTTGCAGTCTTTGCCTTTGCCTTCCTAAGGTTTTTGGTTTTTTTGAGACAGAGTCTTGCTTTGTCGTCCAAGCTGGAGTGTAGTGGCATGATCCTGGCTCACTGCAACCTCCACCTCCTGGGTTTAAGCAATACTCTTGCCTCCGCCTGCTGAGTAGCTGGGATTACAGGTGCACACAACCACACCTGGCTAATTTTTGTATTTTTAGTAGAGACAGGGTTTTACCATGTTGGTTGGGCTGGTCTCGAACTTCTGGCCTCAAGTGATCCACCTGCCTTGGCTTCCCAAAGTGTTGGGATTACAAGCGTGAGCCACTGTGTCTGGCCAGATATTCTTTTTCACATGGACTATAGCAGACCCTGTAAAATTCTCACCTACATCCCCGTTGCTCCTATTTTTCTTGCTGAGCCAGACTTTGAATTTTCTGTACACATGGCAAGCGGCATGTGCTGGCACTTTAATGCCTCCTGAGAGAAATCTTCAATCAGTGGCTAATGGGACTGAGTGGATATATCCCCAAGCTCCCTCATACCTTGGGTAAAAAAACATAGAAGTGTATATTCCTGGACACGTCCCACGGTTCTGCACATAAGATTAAATTCCAGTGGCCCACGGCAGTACCTTCCTTGGTGATGTACATTGTATTGGTTATCTACCTTCCTTGTTTCACGTCCTACTTCCCTATGTATGTCACTTGAAATCATCTTTTATATAAAATATTTCTCTTGAATTCTTATCAAGCATCTGTTTCTAGAGAAATTCAAACTTACCATCTTCCTTCCACACACCAAATATCATTTTCTCATACATTCCTCTGATTTTCTTATCTGTGGAAGAGTCACTTGCTAGTTGTGTGACTCTTAGGAAAACAAAGGGCTTATTGTTTCTGAGTACCCCTTTCAGTTTTTGCAAAACAGGAATTATTATTATTATTTTTCTGAGATGGAGTTTCACTCAGTCCCCCAGGCTGGAGTGCAGTGGCGTGATCTCAGCTCACTACAACCTCCGCCTCCTGGGTTCGAGTGATTCTCCCGCCTCAACCTCCCAAGTAGCTGGGATTACAGATGCATACCAATACGCCCAGCTACATTTTTTGTATTTTTAGTAGAGACGGGGTTCCGCCATGTTGGCCAGGCTGGTCTCGAACTCCTGACCTCGGGTGATCCACCCGCCTTGGCCTCCCAAAGTGCTGGGATTACAGGCGTGTGCCACCGTGCCTGGCCAGAAATGATTTTCTTTCCACACTGCTACCTGATGCATCGCAGACCCTTATTAATCACTCTATTTTACCTATTCTGTTGCCTCCTCTCTGTCTCTTTACAAGCAGCAGGAAAATGGGACCTGTCTGGTGACAGAATTCCTGATGATGGGATTCTCCAACCTCCCACACCTGAGGAACACACTCTTCACCCTGTTCTTCCTTACCTACCTGGTCACCCTCGGTGGCAACGTCACCATCATCACCATCACCCATGCGGATAGGTCCCGCCACACTCCCATGTACCACTTCCTGGTGGTGCTGTCCCTCTCGGAGACCTGCTATACACGCTGGTCACCATCCCCAGCATGCTGGCTCATCTGCTGATGGAGACCAGGCCATCTCCATCCCTGGCTGTCAGGCTCAGATGTTTTTCTTCCTGGGTCTGGGATGCAGCCACTGCTTCCTCCTTACCCTGATGGGTTATGACCGCTATGTGGCCATCTGCCACCCCCTGCGCTACTCTATGGTCATGAGACCCACCGTTTGCCTCTGCCTGGGAGCCCTGGTTTTCTGCTCTGGGTTCTCGGTGGCCTTGATCGAGACCAGCATGATCTTCTCATCGCCCTTTTGCGGCGGAGACCACGTGGAGCACTTCTTCTGTGACATCGCCCCGGTGCTGAAGCTCAGCTGCGCCAAGAGTGCCAGCAAGGCGCTGGGCATCTTTTTCCTGAGCGTCCTGGTGGTGCTGATGTCCTTCGTCCCGATCCTCTTCTCCTATGCCTTCATCGTGGCTGCCATCGTGAGGATTTCCTTGGCAGCCGGCCGGCGCAAGGCCTTCTCCACCTGTGTGGCCCACGTCACCGTGGTCGTAGTACATTTTGACTGCGCCTCCATCATCTACTTGCGTCCGGAGTCCGGGGCCAACCCCGACCAGGACCGCTTGGTGGCTGTGTTCTACACGGTGGTGATGCCACTGCTGAACCCTGTGGTGTGCACTCTGTGGAACAAGGAGGTGAGAGTGGCTCTGAGGAGGACCCTGGCGTGGAGCCGTGGGGTTTTTAAATAAGAATCTGCTTGGCTGGGCACGGTGGCTCACACCTGTAATCCCAGCACTTTGGGAGGCCAAGGCGGGCAGATTACCTGAGGTCAGGAGTTGGAGACCAACCTGGCAAATGTGGTGAAACACCGTCTCTGATAAAAATACAAAAATTAGCCGGGCGTGATGATGCAGGCCTGCAATTCCAGCTACTGCGGAGGCTGAGGCAGGAGAATTGCTTGAACTCAGGAGGTGGAGGTTGCAGTGAGCCGAGATCACCCCATTGCACTCCAGCCTGGGAGACAAGAGCGAAACTCCATCTCAAAACAAAACAGAAACAAACAAACAAACAAAAACCTGCTCTACGTTTCAGGCTATTTTAGTTTTTTGTTTTTTTTTTTCCTTTCGGAGACAGGGTCTTGCTCTGTTGCCAAGGCTGGAGTGCAGTGGTGCAATGATGACTGACTGCAGCCTCCAACTCCTGGGCTTAAGTGATCCTCCCTCCTCAGCCTCCCACATGGCTGGGACTACAGGTGTTCACCACCGTGCCCAATTAATTTTTAAAATTCTGATTTTGTACAGATAGGGTCTCACTCTGTTGCCCAGGCTGATCTCAGACTCTTGGCCCCAAGTAAGCCTCCTGTCTTGGCTTCCCTAAATGCTGGGATTACAGATGTGAGCCACTGAGCCCAGCCACTCTAGGGTTTTTATTAGCATGTGTACCTCCACAGACTCAGTTGTCCCATCTGGTAAACAGGGTTCACTCCCATGCCTTAAATGAGATAGGCTTTGTCAACTAATAGTGCCTGAGACTTGGCATAAGCTCAGGAATGGATGCTTTTTCTTTCGTCTTCATTTCCTGGACTTGGCTGCGATGCACGGTGGTCTGCAGTGTCTGATGTGCACCAGTGGAGGATGCCATTAAGGCAGCCCCTTGAGGGTGGGCTGTGGAAGGTTGTGTCTAGTAGCATTGATCTGGACTGACACCGTCCTCAGCATTCTTTTATTTTGTCACACTAAGAAGTAGGTTTTTTTTAATGTTTTTTTTCTTTGAGACAGAGTGTCGCTTTGTTGCCCAGGCTGGAGTGCAGTGGTGCAATCTTGGCTCACTGCAGGGTCCACCTCAAATGATTCTCCTGCCTCAGCCTCCTGAGTAGCAAGACTACAGGCACGTGCCACCATGCCCGGCTAATTTTTGTATTTTTAGTAGAGACGGGGTTTCACTGTGTTGGCCAGGATCATCTCGAACTCCTGACCTCATGATCTGGCCATCTTGGCCTCCCAAAGTGCTGGGATTATAGGCGTGAACCACCGTGCCTGGCCTATTTTGTGTTTTTAAAAATCATATCAATCCTAATAGATGTAAAGTGGTGTCTCACTGTGCTTTAGTAATTAACTTTTGTTTAATTAGATGCTGGTGTTGGATTGAAATAATCCAAAGTATCTTTGACTACAATGGAATAAAGTAAGAAATCAGTGACAGAAGAAAACTTTACAAGTATGCAGACATTAAGCAACATGCTCTTAACCAGGAGGTCAAAGAAGAAATTATGTTAGATTGGAAAGTACATTGAGATGAATGAAAATGAAAACAAAACACACTAAAACTTATAGGATGCAGCAAAAGCAGGGCTCAGAGGGCAATTCATAGCTGCGAATGCTTACATTGAAAAAGAAGAAAGATCCTAAATCAATAACCTACCTTTATACTTTGTGGAATTAGGAAAAGGGAAGTTTGCTGAACACAGGTGATGAAGCTGACACCATAAAATTCTCCAAGAAAATATGATATGGGCTGTGCTTTATGTGCTGTGTTTTCTATTTGTCCCAAAATGTCTACTTTGCTTGTTGTCTCGGGAGACCAACCTATATGGACCACACTGATGGGCTTGGCACCCTCTGGTTTCTGGTTGGGTTTGGCCAATTGGAGGCATTGTCAGGAGATGGAGGTCAGAAGGAAAGAAATGTCAGGGAGACTATAGAGATACCAGATGCTTGGTTGCTGTAGTTGGCTGCTCTCTTTATTAGGGGCCATAGGCCCTTCCACACAGCCACTTTTTCTGGTCATCTGTAAGCATTCTCTTCCTTGCACCATCAGGCATTAATAAGTGTTAACAGCTCCCCAGTGTTGCTAGCTCTGGGATGCCACACCAGCCCTTAACTTTGCCCACATCATTACAAACAGACCCTTTGAAAAACTTCCCCTAAATTACCCAGAAGCAATGTGTCTTCCATTTCCTGTTGAATCCAGTTGATACACTTACAAGTAGAATTGCCTAAGAATAAAATAGGCCAGGCCTAAGGGAAACTCTCCCCATCAATACTCTTCTGATCATGCTGGGGAAACTGAGTCATTATCTCATATAACTCTAACTTTTCATGTAGACATCTGTGCCTTGCCTTTTCAATGCTTCTCCTTGCATCTCTGTTTTCCATTTCTGCTGCTCATTCTGTGTATTTAAACATATACATGATTATATGACTCACAAGGATACTATTTTGAAAATTCTAAACAGATTTTTTTTTTTTTTAAGAGACAGCGTCTCACTCTGTCACCCAGGCTGGAGTACAGTGGTGCATTCATAGCTTGCTGCAGCTTCAAACTTCTGGGTTGAAGGACTCCTCCTGCTTCAGCTTCCTGGGTAGTTAGTTGGGACTACAGGCACACAACACAACACCTGGATAATTTTTTTTAAAAAAGAGATGGCATCTCACTATGTTGCCCAGGCTGATCTGGAACTCTTGGGCTCAAGTAATTCTCCTGCCTTGGCCTCCCAAAGCACTGGGATTACAGGGGTGTGCCACTGCACCCAGCCTAAACAGATGTGTTTGTTGAAATCCTTGCCACTTTCCCATAAATCACGTTCCGCTGAAATGATTCTGTCATCATGGTCACATGGCAAGAGAGGGTAAAGCTTACTATAAGGATATGATGGGAGGAGAATGCCTTTCTAGTACTAGAAGGGGAGAAGGTGTTGCTAGAAGTTGGGGAAGCAAGTGGTCAGGCACTGGAGCCCTAAAATACAGAAGAGGAGACAGTATGGCAGGGAACCTCTAAGATGGCTCCCAGTGATCCCACCTCCTGGTACTCATGACCTCATATAATTTCCTCCTCTTGAGTAACTTGCTTCTGACCAATAGAATATCAAAATGTTGAGTGGATGCCATTTCCATGATTGTGTTACAAAGATCCTGGCATCCTTCTTGGCAGCAAAATCTCTCTCTTGCTGGCTTTGATGAAGCCAACAGCCTATTTGGAGAGGCAAGAAACTGAGTGTAGCCTACAGCCAACATCCAGTGAGCAACAGTGGCCCTTAGTCCAACAGTTTTCAAGTAACTGAATTCATGCTAAAACCACATAAATAAACTAGAAAAAGGGTCCTTACTCACTTGTGCCTTCAGATAAGACCGCAGCTCTGGCCAACCTTTTGATTGCAGCCTGTGAGTAGCTGTGCCCCAACTAAGATTCCTGATCTATAGACACTTTGAGATTCTAAACCTGTGTGGGTTTTTTTTTTTTAATGGAGTCTCACTCTGTCACTCATGCTAGAGTGCAGTGCCGCAATCTCAGCTCACTGCAACCGCCACCTCCTGGTTCAAGTGATTCTCCTGCCTCAGCCTCCCGAGTAGCTGGGATTACAGGTGTGTGCCACCACACCTAGATAATTTTTGTATTTTTAGTAAAAACGGGGTTTT
Source organism: Homo sapiens (assembly GCF_000001405.40). NCBI lineage: Eukaryota > Metazoa > Chordata > Mammalia > Primates > Hominidae > Homo > Homo sapiens. The sequence continues at coordinate 15,137,438 of NC_000019.10, read as the reverse complement.
ATCAGGGGTTTCTACTTTTGTGTCTTCCTCATTTTCTCTTGCCGCTGCCATGTAAGAAGTGCCTTTTGCCTCCTGTCGTGATTCTGAGACCTCCCCAAGCCATTGGAACTGTAAGTCCAATTAATGCTCTTTTTCTTCCCAGTCTCAGGTATATCTTTATTAATAGTGTGAGAACAGACTAATACAGGTGGTTCCTCAAAAAGTTAAAAATAGATTCAGCATATGATCTAGCAATTCTACTTCTGGGTGTAATCCAAAAAGCCTGAAAGCAAGATCTTGAAGAGATATTTGCACACCCATATTCAGAGCAACATTATTCACAATAGCCAAAAAAGTTGGAAGCAACACAAGTGCCCTTCAGTGGATGGATGAATAAACAAAACATGGTATAGCACATACCACCATACAACAGAATATTATTCATTCTTAAGAAGAAGGAAATTCTGACACAACATGGATGAGCCTGGAGGATAGTATGCTAAGTGAGATAAGCCAATAACAAAATAAGAAGTACTGTATAATTCTACTTCTATGAGGTACCCAGATAATTCAACTTCTGTGAGGTACCCAGAGCATTCAAATTCATAGAGACAGAAAGTAGAACACTAGCTGTCATGGCCTAAGGGAGATGAGAATGGAGAGTGAGTGTTTAATGGGTATGGAGTTTCACTTTTGCAAGATGGAAAAGTCCTGATAATGAGTGGTGGTCATGGTTACACAACAGTGTGAATGTACGTAATGCCATTGAGCTGTAGACTTAAAAATGACTCTACTGGTAGTGTTTATGTTGTGTGTATTTTGCCACAATTAAAAATAGAAATTAAGTTAAAAGAGATATGCAATGAAATGCAGCCAGTTAGCAACATTGAGTTGGCAAGAGAAGAGTTTATTTGTCTTGTAGATATCTTGGTTCTGAAATATCTAAATCACCTCCCTAAACAGGCAGAGCTAGATGAACTGGTGCCACTGCATACAGTGTACATGCACCTCCTTCTTCTCATACACAGACCATCCCTATCCAAGAGACATAGCCTAATGACTCATCCACTCGCTGGTCTGGTTTGAAATATAACATTCCTCCATTGAGCTCTGGTATGGTTTCTCATGGTCTGGTGGCCTACAAACTTAAAAAGCTCCCTCTAGTCTACATGCAGTATAAGTGGTAAAACCATAGTCAAACAAACAAACAAACAAACAAACAAACACCTCTGCCCCCAATTTCCCAAACAATAAAAAACCTCCACTTCAATGGAAGCGTGGGAAACACACAAAAGTCAATGAACCGCAATATGAAATTTTCATTATGCAGAAATTAACTAGGTGTGCAGTGGTTCATGCTTGTAATCCCAGCACTCTGGGAAACCGAGGTTGGAGGATTGCTTGAGGCCACGAGTTTGAGACCAGCCTGGGCAACATAGTGAGACCCCATCTCTACAAAAAAACAAAACATTATCTGGGTGTGGTGGCATGTGCCTGTGGTCCCAGCTACTCAGAAGGCTGAGATGGGAGGATTGCTTGGGCCCAGGAGATTGAGACTGCAGTGAGCTATGATCGTGCCACTGTACTCCAGCCTGGGCGACAGAGAAAGACCCAGTCTGTAAAAAACAAAACAAAACAAATGCAAATTTTATCAGGCAGAAATTGTGAAGACTCCTTGAAGGGCAGCCTTGCCAGAGAGTAAGTTGTTTGTCCATTGTCCTCCATGGTCCTTGGTTTTGCCCGCTAGTGGGGCCCTTCATTGTCTTCTATGCCCCAAAGCCATTTCTGAAGTTTTCTCGTTTCTTGCTGGTACAATTTTGAGGGGGTTCATGATACAGATTTTTTTTTGAGACAGGGTCTTTCTCTGTCACTTAGGCTGGACTGCAGTGATGTGAATATGGCTCACTGCAGCCTCAACCTTGTGGGCTCAAGGGATCCTCCTACCTCTGCCTCCCATGTATCTGGGACCACAGGCATGCAACCCCATGCTCGGCTAATTTTTTTAATTTTTTGCAGAGATTGGGTCTCACTTTTTTGCCTAGGCCAGTTCTCAAACTCCTGGGCTCAATTGATTCCCCTGCCTTGGCTTCCCAAAGTGCTGGGATTACAGGCATGAGCCATTGCTCCTGGCCAAGATTTTTTTATTTTATTTTATTTTATTTTATTTTATTTTTCTGAGATGGAGTCTCCATCTGTAACCCAGGCTGGAGTGCAGGGGCACAATCGTGGCTCACCGCAATCTCTGCCTTCCGGGTTCAAGTGATTCTCCTGCCTCAGCCTCCCAAGTAGCTGGGATTATAGGCATGCGCCATCACGCCAGGCTAGTTTTTGTATTTTTAGCAGAGATGGGTTTTCACTACTCGGCCAGGCTGGTCTTGAACTCCTGATCTCAAGTAATCCACCCGCCTCAGCCTCCCAAAGTGCTAGGATTACAGGCATGAGCCATTGCTCCCCACCAAGATTTTCTTTTTAATGTCAAATAATCACAGTCAAAAGACTGTGCCAAAGCAGTCCAGACTTATATAGTTTCTTTGACAATGCAGATCTCAAAAATTTAGTAGACTTTCCATCCTCTTGTCTCCAGGCAGGCCCATATGCAAGGAGCGAGAGCCAATTATCAATATCTTCTCTGGCATAGTTCTTAAACCTTAACTCTGTCCTCCTTTATTTCCTAGCCTCTATGCCTGGACCTTGGTACTCTCTTATCTTTTTTTATTTTCTTTCTTTCTTTTTTTTTTTTTTTTTTTGAGATGGAGTTTCGCTTTTGTTGCCCAGGCTGGAGTGCAATGGCATGATCTCGGCTCACCGCAACCTTCACCACCCAGGTTCAAGCCATTCTCTTGCCTCAGCCTCCCGAGTAGCTAGGATTACAGGCACGTGCCACCACACCCAGCTAATTTTTGTATTTTTAGTAGAGACGGGGTTTCAACATGTTGGCCAGGATGGTCTCGATCTCCTGACCTCGTGATCCGCCCGCTTCGGCCTCCCAAAGTGCTGGGATTACAGGCATGAGCCACCGCGCCCGGGGATATTCTCTCATGTTAGTGACAGCTACTCTTAGCTTTTTGAAAGGCAGAGTTGAGAGGGGAGGCAGTACTCTTGCTCCTGGGCTGACTCTCACAGTCTAGAAGAGACTTCCAAGTGGGAAGCTGCTGAGAACCCGTTGCCTCATCAGAGCCATCTTGCATGGATGCTTCATTTTATGGGTGCAGGAGGTGTTTTGCTTTGAAGCCCTGTGAGGCCCTGAATCACCACCGTCAGTTCATTTCAACTGTAGCCTGCATGGAGAAAGAGCCTCCCTTGATATAATTCTTTTTTTTTTTTTTTTTTTTTTGGAGACAGAGTCTCGCTCTCTCGCTCAGGCTGGAGTGCAGTGGCGCGATCTCAGCTCACTGCAACTTCCGCCTCCCAGGTTCAAGCGATTCTCCTGCCTCAGCCTCCTGAGTAGCTGGCACTACAGGCGCCCACTGCCATGCCTGGCTAATTTTTTGTATTTTAGTAGAGACAGTGTTTCACAGTGTTTCCTAGGCTGGTCTCGAACTCCTGAGCTCAGGCAATCCGCCCACCTTGGCGTCCCAAAGTGCTGGGATTACAGGCGTGAGGCACCACACCCGGCCTCACTGATACAATTCTATTCCTTTCCATCTCCACTTCTACAGTACATATCTCTCTCTTTATTAATAGTAGCCAGAAGTAGTCAACACACACACACACACACACACACACACACACACACACACACACACACAAATAGTCTGGGTTCTTCCAATGACATCTCCAAAGCTTGGAGACTCCATCGGTGCCTGCTCTGTCATTCAAGACATCACAGTTTTACCTAGTGGTCTGCCATAATGTAACATAGATCACCAGATCCTCACCTTGTATCTGTGTCTTCATGACCTGCTGTCTGATGGTCAAGTTAATGCCTTACAGTTCAGGTTTTTACTACAGCAGAACCCCAGTTCTGGTTCTTAGTAGGGCAAAACCCCACATCTGGTACTTATTAGGGCAAAACCCCACTCTTGGTGCTAACTTTTAAATTATTGTACAGTATGAGCTGCTGTAACAACGAGAACCTAAAATAGAGTAGTTTAACCTGGATAGAAGTTATATCTTGCTCATGTACAGGTCTGGAGGTGGGTAGTTTAGGGCTGGTAAAGTGCTTTCCTTAAATCATAGCTTCCATGTCTGAGTCCAAAGTTGCTTCTTTAGCTCCAATCATACTTTTTTTTGAGACAAGGGTCTTGCTGTGTCGCTCAGGCTGGAGTGCAGTGGCATGATCTCAGCTCACTTTAACCTCCGCCTCCCAGGTTCAAGTGATTCTCGTGCCTCAGTCTCCTGAGTAGCTGGGACTACAGGCGCACGCCACCATGACTGGCTAATTTTTGTATTTTTAGCAGAGATAGGGTTTCTCCATGTTCGCCAGGCTGATCTTGAACTCCTGGCCTCAAGTGATCCACTCACCTCGGCCTCCCAAAGTGCTGGGATTACAGGTGTGAGCCACTGCGCCCAGCCCAACCATACATTTTTATCCCAGGCTATAGGAGAAACTTAAAGGCTCAAAGGAACATATACATTTCCTTTAAAGGGCACGATGGGCTGAGTGTGGTGGCTCATGCCTGTAATCCCAGCCCTTTGGGAGGCCGAGGTGGGTGGATCGCCTGAGGTCAGGAGTTCAAGACGAGCCTGGCCAACATGGCGAAACCCTGTCTCTACTAAAAATACAAAAACTAGCCAGACATGGTTGTGGGCGCCTGTAATCCCAGCTACTCAGGAGGCTGAGGCAGGGTAATTACTTGAACCCAGAAGGCAGATGTTGTAGTGAGCCAAGATCGTGCCATTGCACTCCAGCCTGGGTGACAAGAGTGAAACTCCACCTCCAAAAAAAAAAAAAGTATGACATAGTGGACTTTGGGGTACTTATTATACCCAATGGAGTACTATTTAGCCATAAAAAAATGAGATCCTGTCATTTGCAACAATTTAGATGGAACTGGCATATTCTCACTTATTTGTGGGAGCTAAAATTAAAACAATTGAACTCTTGGAGATAGAGAGTAGAAGGATGGTTACCAGAGGCTGGGAAGGGTGGTGGGGGGTGGGACGGAAGTGGGGATGGTTAATGGATACAAAAAAAAAATCTTGTGTTCCCCATAAATATATACACCTACTATGTACTCACAAAAATTAGAAACTAAAAAAAAAAAAAAAAAAAAAAAAGTTACATCAGTGCAGCATGGGAAGTAAAAAAGAAAAGAAAAGAAATGTGTCTAATATCAAATGCAACTGAAAGGCAAAACTAGGATTCAGCCCCAAGCTGTCAATACTCTTCACAATCTTAGCCAATTCACTGGGAGCCAAGATCCTGCAGTTAGTACTAAAAAAAAAAAAAAAAAACCAAACCCAAAGGAAATGAGGGATAAGAGAAAGGAAAGGAAAGGGAGACAGGAGCGAAGATCTCCTTCCCAGGTAGTCTGATGGGAGCCTCAAGAGAAAAATAAAGGTTTTTTTGTTTGTTTGTTTTGTTTTTGAGACGGAGTTTCACTCTTGTTGCCGTGGAGTGCAATGGCACAATCTCAGCTCATTGCTACCTCCGCCTCCCAGGTTCAAGCGATTCTGCTGCCTCAGCTTCCTGAGTAGCTGGGATTGTAGGCACCCGCCACCACAGTCAGCTAATTTTTTGTATTTTTTAGTAGAGACGGGGTTTCACTATGTTGGCCAGGCTGGTCTCGAACTCCTGACCTCAGGCGATCCACCCGCCTCAGCCTCCTAAAGTGCTGGGATTACAGGCGTGAGCCACTGCGCCCCACTGAGAAAAATAAAGTTTTAGAACAATTTCTAGATTCTGTGTATTTATGATTAGCTAATATAACTTTCTCTCTAGGAAGGAAATAATAATTATTAAGGGAATAATAATTCTTATACTATGTTCCATTAGGCATGACTAAAGAGGTCCATATTTTGGAGGATGACTCTCTTCTCTGCCAATGATAATTGCCTTTCTTTTTATAATACATAAAGTATAATATCGAATAAATGCTTATTACATTGCTGAGTAGTATTCCATGGAATGGATGTGCCGTAGGACATTTAACCATTCACTTCTCGAGGAGTATTTTGGTTTTTTCAGTTTTTGGCTATTACCAAAAAGCTTCTGTGGGTCAGCTCATCCCAGGATGTTGGATTTCAATTTCAATTTTTCTTTTTTCGAGACAGAGACTTGCTCTGTCGCCCAGGCTGGAGTGCAGTGGCGTGATCTCAGCTCATTGCAACCTCTGCCTCCCAGGTTTAAGCGAATCTCCTGCTCCAGCCTCTTGAGTTGCTGGGATTACAGGCGTGTGCCACCAGGCCTGGCTAATTTTTGTATTTTTGGTAGAGACAGGGTTTCACCATGTTGGTCAGGCTGGTGTCGAACTCCTAACTTCAAGTGATCTGCCTGCCTCGGGTTTCCAAAGTGCTGGGATTACAGGCGTGAACCCCTGTGCCTGGCCTCAATATTTCTTTTTTTGAGAAAAGGTCTTGCTGTGTTGCCCAGGCTGGAGTGCAGTGGTGTGATCATAGTTCACCACAGCCTCAAACTCCTGGGCTCAAGCAACATCTCAGCCTCCCAAGTAGCTGGGGCTACAGGTGCGCACCACCACACCTGGCTAATTTTAAAATTTTTTTGTAGAAACGGAATCTTTCTAAGTTGCTCAGGCTGGTCTCAAACTCTTAAGTGATCCTCCCACCTTGGCTCCGCCAAAGTGTTGGGATTACAGGCATGAGCACCCAGCCTCATTTTCAATTTTAAGGGGCATGTTAAGCACATTGAAAGTTGTGTAGGATGACTCCATTTTTCTTTTTAAATTTTGGGAATCTGTTCATTTATAAATTACTGACAACTCCTTTAGTAATGTTTTCGTGGTTTCTGTGGATGGTTAATTTTCCCCAGTGGTGAGAGCTTGTTGGTTTTCATTTATTTGCTTGAGTGGATGGAAATACCGGTTCCATCACTCCCTGTTAGGCATTACCTCCTACAGGTGTGGAGGCCGGTATGACTCACACCTCATGACGACGGTTGGAAGCCTACGTGATGCTGTCCTTGGCTCAAGGAGATGAAAGCCAGGATTAGGGGCCTGCATCAGTTTAGAAGGAGCTCTAAGTGCCTTAGGAGCCTTCTCGAAGGCTGTAGGAGCGTTTAGAAACACAGGGATTTCATGCCCACCGGGAAGAGTCAGGAAATCTGGGAACCAGTTTAGTACTGAACCACTTGCTGAGACTTGCAGAGATCACCCCGCTCTGTGTCTCACAAGTCATCAAAGAGAGGACTTGACATTGATGATCGCTTCCCTCTGTGACATTTCCAGACTCTATACTTACTTCGAAACTCATAAAAATAAGCATTGACAAGGATATGAGGGTGTGGTAAGCGCATTGCTTCCCCAGACTTGAAACACTTAACAGCAGCGTTTCCTGCGAGTAACATCAAAGACACCTTTGAATTGCACAGGCAGAAATTGAGTCCCTTTTCCAGTTCTCTTTCAAATCTTCTGGTTACTTCAAGGGATCACTTTGGTTTGGTGCCAGTGTGTCTTTAAACAATTCTATTTATTTATGGACGGTGTGTGTGTGCATATAATTATCTATTTATTTACACATATATGTATAAAATTATATGTACGTAATTTTAGTTTTTAAAGGATCATGCAGTAAAATTGAAATTTTTAGAGTTCAGTTCAATAAAAATTTTAACATAGGTAACCACTATCATAATTAGAATTTTAACACATGCAGCCACCATAATACAAAACAGTTCTATCACCCCCAAAACCTTCTATGCTACCCCCTTTATTCTAACACCCTTCCCTAACCCCTGGCAACACTGATCTTTCCTCCCATAGTATGGTTTTGTCACTTTTGGAGAATATCATATAAATGGATCATATTAATGGTACCTTTGAAATTGGCTTCTTTCTTTTTGTTTTGAGACGGAGTTTTGCTCTTGTTGCTCAGGCTGGAGTGCAATGGCACAATCTTGGCTCACTGCAAACTCTGTCTCCTGGGTTCAAGTGATCCTCCTGCCCCAGCCTCCTGAGTAGCTGGGATTATAGGCGCCCACCACGACACCTGGCTAATTTTTTATGTTTTTTGTAGAGACGGGGTTTCACCATGTTGGTCAGGGTGGTCTCGAACTCCTGACCTCAGGTCATCCACCCGCCTCCGCCTTCCAAAGTGCTGGGATTACAGGCATGAGCCCCACGCCCGGCCAAGATTGGCTTCTTTCAATCAGGCTACTTATTTTGAGATTCATCCAAAGTGTTGCGTGCTTCTTTGCTTTTCTGTTTTGTTGTATTTTATGTTTTTAGCAAGACAGAGGGTCTTGCTCTGTCTCCCAGACTGGAGTGCAGTTGCACAATCATGGCTCACTGCAGCCTCAAACTCCTGGGCTCAAGAGATCTTCCTGCTTCAGCCTCCAGTATCTGGGACTACAGCTGCATGCCACCATGCCTGACTACATACATATATATATATATTTTTTTTTTAGATGGAGTCTCGCTTTATTACCCAGGCTGGAGTACAATGCCACGATCTCAGCTCACTGCAACCTCTGCCTCCCGGGTTCAAGTGATTCTCCTGCCTCAGCCTCCTGAGTAGCTGGGATTACAGGCACCCACCACCATGCCCAGCTAGTTTTTTATATTTTTAGTAGAGCGGGGTTTCACCATGTTGGTCTGGCTGGTCTTGAACACCTGACCTCAGGTGATCCACCCGCCTCAGCCTCCCAAAGTGCTGGGATTACAAGCGTGAGCCACTGCACCTGGCCTGTCGTGTTTTAGTAGTTTGCCCTCTTTATTGCTGAGCAGTGTTTCATGGTATGGGTGAATCACAGTTTGTTTAACCATTCCTCTCTTAAGGGATATTTTTTTTGTTGTTTTTTGTTATTTTTTCCAGTTTTCAGCTATTGCAACTAAAGCACCTATGAATAATCATGTGCAGATTGTGTGTGGTTGCATATTGTTCAAAATCCTCTCTGGCTTTCCAATTCACTTAGAATAAAATTTGCAGTCCTCATGCAGTCTGTAAAATCATACCTGTCTGGCCTTTGTCCAGCCTTTGATAGCGTCTCCTCCCTGCCTCCTCTGCTCTCTTCCTTCTAGCTATCCTGGCTTTCCTGACTTTCTCTGCACATGCAAAGCCCATCCCATTTGTAATGAGTTGAATGACAGACCCTAAAATGTACATTCAGAACGTGCAAATGTGACCTAACTTGGAAAATGTGTTTTTGCAGAAGTAGTTAAGTGAGGGGTCTCAAGATGAGCCTATCCTGGATGAGGGTGGTCCCTAAATGCAATGACAAGTATCCTTGTAAGACGTAGAGGAGGAGGGCCGGGCCCGATGGCTCATGCCTGTAATCCCAGCACTTTGGGAGGCTGAGGCAGGCGGATTGCCTGAGGTCAGGAGTTCGAGACCACTCTGGTGAATATGGTGAAACCCCATCTCTACTAAAAATACAAAAAAATTTAGCCGGGTGTTGTGGTGTGTGCCTGTAATCCCAGCTACTCAGGAGGCTGAGGCAGGAGAATTGCCTGAACCTAGGAGGTGGAGGTTACAGCGAGCCGAGATTGCGCCACTGCACTCCAGCCTGGGCGAAAGAGTGAGACTCCGTCTCAAAAAAAAAAAAAAAAAAGATACAGAAGGAGATGCAGGCACAGGGAATAAGGCCATCTGAAGATATACGGAGAAATTGGAGTGACGCAGCCATAAGCCAAAGAATGCCTGGAGCCTCTTGAAGTTGGAGAAGGTAAGGATCCTCCCCAAAGATCTCGAGAGAGTGTATGGCCCCACTGATGCCTCCATGCTGAATTTCTGGCCTCCCGAAGTGTAAGAGAATTAATTCCTGTTGTTTCAAGCCACCCAATTTGTGGTAATGTGTTATGGCCATCAAAGGAAATTAATAAAACACCTCAGGGCCTTTGCATGTGCCATCTTCTCTACCTGGATTACTCTTTCTCCAGATCCTTGTGGGGCCCATGTCCTCACTTCCTCCTGGTCTCTCTGCTCAACTGTCACCTCCTTAGAGAGTCCTTCTGCTTGTCCTAAGAGAGGCCCTTACTGTATCCCTCTAACTCAATAATTTGTTGCACTTCTCTTTAAATTTCGATCAATTTAGATACATGGTATTTGTTTCCTCCCCTGCCCCACACCCACCCCCTTTTTTTTAGAGACAGGGTCTTGCTCTGTTGCCCCAGCTGGAGTGCAGTGGCACGATCACAGCTCACTGTAGACACAACCTCTTGGGTTCAAGCAATCCTCCCTTCTCAACCTCCCAAGCAAAAGGGATAACAAGCACGTGCCACCATACTCAGCTAATTTTTTTTCTTTTAAAAAAAATTTTTTTTAGACAGAGTCTTGCTCTGTTTCCCAGGCTGGAGTGCAATGGCGTGATCTCAGCTCACCGCAACCTCCACCTCCCGGGTTCAAGCGATTCTCCTGGCTAAGTTTGTTTGTTTGTTTGTTTTTTGGAGAGACTGGGTCTCACTTTTTGGCCCCGGTTGGTCTCAAATTCCTGGCCTCAAGCGATCCTCCTGTCTTGGCCTCCCAAAGTGCTGGGATTACACACATGGACCACCATGCCAGGCTTGTTTCCCTTTTTAAAAAAATCACTTGTCCTCTGTGTATATTTGTTTCAGGGACTGTTGAATAATCCAGCTTTCGGCTGAGAAGCTTTTTGGACATTTGCCTAGTGACAATCTTTCTTTATCTGGGGAGAGATTGGTCAGATAATTAGTCTTGGAGCATGTTAAAGCTTTGTCTCCCAAGAAAGAATTTACATCTATTACAACATCTTTCTCTCTCTCTGGAAAATTGTATCCTTGTTATTAAGACTTTTTTTTTCTTTTTTAGCTTTACAGAAAAGCTGCAAAGATAGCAAGATAATTTTTGTCTACTCTTTATCCAGCTTCCCTGAATGCTAACATCTTATATAACCATAATACATTTACTGAAACAAAAAGATTAACACTGGTTCATTACTACTAACTCAACTCCAAACTTTATTTGGATTTCACCAACTTTATCCACAAATTTGTCCTTTTTTTGATTCCTGGATCCAGTCCAGGGTACTATATTGAATTTAGTTGTCACAGCTCCTTTCCCTCCTCTAGTCTGTGGCAGTGCCTCAGTCTTTGTTTTTCATGACCTTGACAGTTTTGTAGAGGTCTGGTTAGGCATTTTGTAGAATGTGACTCAGTGTGAATTTCCTTTGCTTACTACTATACCTATTATACAAAAAATATACACATATATATATATACATGCACAAATATTTATTTATAGTGTGGAAAATATACATAACATAAAATTTACCATTTTTTAAGTATTATTATTATTTTGTGAGACATGGTCTTGCTCTGGTACGGCCCCGCTGGTGTGGAAAGCGAGCTGTGTTCGGAGGGCCTGAACCTACGGGCTTCCACCGTGGGGCCAATGGAAAGCTGCGGAAGGTGGGCCCCCAAAGGTCTGGGCTCCTGAAGCCGCTGAGGGGCGTGGCCTCCTGGTTTTAAAACATAAAATGGGTGTGAGGTCTGCAGTGCGAGCCAATGAAAGGCAAGGGGAGGCGGGGTCTATGAGGGAGGCGGCCAGTAGAGGCAAGGCTCTTTCGGGTGGCCCCGGAGCGGGGCTCCGACTGTGCGCATGCGCATCGGGCCGGACTACGGGGCGCCGCTGAGCCAAGTGGGCCACCCGGGCACGGCCACGCTCCCGGGTCACGTGACACGGAGGGGGCCGAATTCTGCTGGAGGCAGCGCCATATCCTGGAGGTGAAGGTGAATAGCGTCGGGGGTCGAGCTGGTGTGGGAGAACCACATCCTGATGCGATGTGACCTCGACCCAGCCTGGCCCGGGGTCGGGGATCAGGCTCGGGCCCGTGCGCTCTTTAAGGGAGAGGCGTGGGTTGCGTGGAGGGTCGCGCCCGCTAACCCGGGGGCGTGACCTCGTGCCTCTTGGTGACGTAACATGGGGCGGGCTCACTACTGGGGCTGAGATTTGGGGTCCGGTTGTGGAAAGAGAGGCGGGGCTTCCGCCTGTCCATTGACAAGTAGGTAAGTGGAAGATAACTGTGTGGTGCTGTCGTCGCCACCTTGACTTGTGGTGGCTAGTTTGGGTGGGAGTGGTGGTGATGTAAAGGACTGGGGCTAGCCCCGCGAGGGGCGTGACCTTGTCACGGAGAGGCATGGCTTCACCCCGAGCCTAGGCGCACAAAGGGCGTGGTCTGGCAGGGTTGGGGGCGTGGCCGCACAGAAACTGGCGGCAAGGGTCGTGGCCCTGGATCCTGCTGCGAGAAGGGGCGCGATTTCTTCCGGAGAGGTTCCCTGTCGCGCCCAAGTCTGGGAAGTGCCCTTTCTCTCTTAGGTACCACCTCATGGAGACCCCCGCGGCCGCCGCCCCCGCTGGGAGCTTATTCCCCTCCTTCCTGCTCCTGGCCTGCGGGACGCTGGTGGCCGCCTTGCTGGGCGCCGCTCACCGCCTGGGGCTCTTCTATCAGCTGCTGCACAAGGTGCGGGGCACAGAATGGGAGGTGGGCTGGGGGCAGTCAAAGAGGGAGGGGCCTCGTGGTGCTGCTTCCAGCTCACTCATTGTGCAGGGTGGGAAAGCGAGCCCCGACTAGTCCAGAGGGACTGGTAAGAGGTTCTGTCCAGGGCCCTGTCTCCATTGCCACGCTGTGTATGGAGGCCTGGACTTTGCCACTGGTAAGAGAGAACACGGAAGCTGCCGCTGCCGGGGCACTCGCACCCCACCTACCTCCTTCCCCAGTGACTCTTTTCACAGAACAGATGGACAGCACTCTGTGCTCCCTAACCTGGATGGGATAAATGGGGCAGAGGGCAGGCTCCAGCGAGGGGGTGGCAGTGACAGTTTCATAACAGTTGCCCTCTGCTGAGCTCAGTACTGTAGACTTTCTTACCTACCCCTTACCTTTTCCTTGAAAGTAGGTGCTGTTCTTTCTGTCTTCATTTTCTGCAAGAGGAAGCTGAGGCTCAGAGAGATTGTGTGGTGGTTTGCCCTAGGTGACATGTTTGGAGAGAGCTGACCCCACAGGTGTCCCCCTAAACTCCTTGCACCTCTGTTTGAAATTTACCCCTTCTCCAGACCCCTTCCTCAACCCTTTCTCTCCTAGCAGGGACCAAGCTTGACCTCTCCCTCCCCAAACCCTTCTCTACTGCTTCCTCTGCTAGCCAGGAGTGATGCCACTGACCTTCAGGACTTAGGAGATTTAAAGCAAGCCTTGGATGTGTAGGGCTGTGAGGCAGCTGGAGTTGGGAGGCCTCGGCACAGTCTGTGCCAGCAGCTCACTCCCGTGCCAGGCACATGGTGGCTGGCAGCCTGTCAACTAAGCCCTGGGCCTGTTTAGCGTCCATCAGGAGGGCATCAGGGAGGCTGGGATCAGGAGCCCAGCTGCCAGGCTCTGCAAGGATACTGGAGGGCAGGGAGGAGTCACAGCAGATGGCTCCCTGCCATCTGCTCTGCGTGCGTTGTGCCCCTGGCCAAACCCCCTGGGTTATATAACCCTCTCCTCTCTCCCTGATTGCCCTGCCATCCTGGAGACAGGCAGTGTAACAGTGGGGCACTTAAGAGCGTGGGTTCTATTGAACTTTCAGTCTTACTTGGGCAAGCCTTGATGTCCTCAGCTGTAAGAGGGATGTAATGACAAGAGGATCTGATAAGATGTTATGCCTTGGTTTGAGCCTGGCATGTAGTATAATATATGCCTAACCAAGACCAAGCTTCTCTTGACCTCTCACCCTGCTCCTGCCCCCTTACCTGGGGCAGGGGGATTGCCCCCTTTCCCAGCTGCCCTCTGCCCTGGCCTTTAACTTTATTGCTCCACCTGTCCTTGGGCCCAGGTGGACAAGGCAAGCGTCCGGCATGGCGGAGAGAACGTGGCCGCTGTGCTGAGGGCCCATGGTGTGCGGTTCATCTTCACGCTGGTCGGTGGGCACATTTCCCCGCTGCTGGTGGCCTGTGAGAAACTGGGCATCCGTGTGGTGGACACACGCCATGAGGTCACGGCCGTCTTTGCTGCTGATGCTATGGCCCGCCTGTCCGGTGAGGGCATTGCAGAGAGGGCTGGGGACTGGTTGGACTGTGGGCTAGAGTGTCTGTGAGGGTAGGGGTTTTTCAGAGGTGGAAGAATGGCCAAGAGAGTGGGCATGGCTGTGATGGGCTCTGTGTTCCAGGGACGGTGGGCGTGGCGGCAGTGACAGCAGGCCCTGGCCTCACCAACACGGTGACTGCGGTGAAGAATGCTCAGATGGCTCAGTCCCCAATCCTGCTTCTGGGTGGGGCTGCCAGCACTCTGCTGCAGGTACCCAGTCCTTGGGGGCCAGTGGGGGCCTAGGGGGGCTTGAAGGGCTCATGCGATAACCCTGCCACACCTCTGTCTTTGCCAGAACCGGGGTGCGCTCCAGGCTGTTGATCAGCTGTCCCTTTTCCGGCCACTCTGTAAGTTTTGTGTGTCTGTGCGGAGGGTGCGGGACATTGTGCCCACCCTGAGGGCCGCGATGGCTGCCGCCCAGTCGGGCACCCCAGGTAGGTGGAGGATGGTGATGCTGAGCAGTGCTGGGGCCGAGGGGCTGGGGACATGTTATGGACTCAGCGTCCTCCCTGTCCCTGCAGGTCCGGTGTTTGTGGAGCTGCCCGTTGACGTGCTGTACCCCTACTTCATGGTCCAGAAGGAGATGGTGCCAGCCAAGCCACCCAAGGGCCTCGTGGGCCGAGTGGTCTCCTGGTGAATAGCCCCACCCCTGCCATTCCCTCCTTTATCCCCCGTTCTCTCCTGCAGCTTCCAGCCCACACCCATCCTCCTTTGATTCACATGTGGACTGGGAGGAGACAGCTGGGGGGAGAGCATTCCAGGTAGAAGGAACAGCATGTGCAAAGGTCCTGAGGCAGGAATGAACTGGGTGGGTAGGGAAAGCAAGGCGGCCCTCGTGGAGGCAGCAAAGGGGAGAGGCTCAGGACAGCCCTCCTCCTCCTCCTTTTCCCTTTCTTCTCCTCCTCCATCATCTCTTCTTCCTCCTCTTCCTCCTCCCTCTTCCTTCCTCTTCTCCTCCCTTTCCCCCACCACCTTTCCCATCGTCCTCTCCGTTTTCCTCCTCCTAAAGGATGATCCTTGAACCTCGGAAGGGAGGTTCATTCTTACATTTACAGAGGAGGAAGCTCAGAAAGGTGAAGTCACTTGCCCAAAGTCACACAGCTAAGAAGTGGCAGAGCCCAGGCCGGGTGCGGTGGCTCTCACTTGTAATCCCAGCACATTGGGAGGCCGAGGTGGGCAGATCACGAGGTCAGGAGATCGAGACCATCCTGGCTAACATGGTGAAACCCCATCTCTACTAAAAATACAAAAAAAAAAAAAATTAGCCGGGCGTGGTGGCGGGCGCCTGTAGTCCCAGCTACTTGGGAGGCTGCGGCAGGAGAATGGCGTGAACCCAGGAGGTGGAGCTTGCAGTGAGCCAAGATCGTGCTACTGCACTCCAGCCTGGGTGACAGAGCAAGACTCCGTCTCAAAAAAAAAAAAAAAAGTGGCAGAGCCCAGACTCGAGCCCTCTCCTTCCTCCTCCTTTCCTTCCCTCACATCTTTGTCCTTTTCTTTCTTTTTTTTTTTTTTTGAAACAGATTCTTCGTTCTGTTGCCTAGGCTTGAGTGCAGTGGCGTGATCTCGGCTCACTGCAACCTCCGCCTCCCCCTGGGTTCAAGTGATTTTCCTGCCTCAGCCTTCTGAGTAGCTGGGACTACAGGCGCCCGCCACCACACCTGGCTAATACTTGTATTTTTAGTAGAGACGAGGTTTCATCATGTTGGCCAGGCTGGTCTTGAACTCTTAACCTCAAGTGATCCACCCTCCTCGGCCTCTCAAACATTACAGACATGAGCCACTGCGCCTGGCCTCTTCTCTTCTTCTTCTTCCTTTCCTTTCTTCTCCTCCTCCTCTTCCTCTTCTTCCTCCTTCTCTCCCTTCCCCTCAGTCCCTTCCCTTTGCCTGTCCTTGGCCCTTCCTTTCCATACATTTAGCGAGCGGCAGCCATGTGCCAGGTTCCAGGACAGGCACGGGGCATCATCAGTGGACAAGGTAGTCAGGCTCCTGTACTCCGGATGTGTGTGAAGCGCCTGAGGGTCAGCTCAGGCAGTAGTGATTTTGTTCTATGGCCTCTTTATTTTTTTTGAGACGGAGTCTCGCTTTGTCCCCCAGGTTGGAGCGCAGTAGTGCGATCTTGGCTCACTGCAACCTCCACCTCCCGGGTTCAAGTGATTCTCCTGCCTCAGCCCCCGGAGTAGCTGGGAATACAGGTGCAGTCCACCATACCCAGCTAATTTTTGTATTTTTAGTAGAGATGAGGTTTCACCATTTTGGTCATATAGCCTCATTCTTAATGCACTTTGCCCCCTGGCTTCCCAGTCAGTCCCTCCCCTTGTTCTCCTTGCCCCTCTCTCTTGGGCTGCCTCTCACAAGGCTATCTCTTATCTTGCCTTTTTTGTTTTGTTTTGTTTTGAGACAGGGCCTCACTCTATCACCCAGGCTGGAGTGCAGTGGTATGATCATAGCTCACCACAGCCTTGAACTCCTGGCCTCGAGCAATCCTCCTGCCTCAGCCTCCCTTGCCTTTTCTTTACTTGCGGGGCTTCCCACGGTTCCATCCTGGGCTGCTTCTGTGCTGTCTTGGCCTGTCCTTAACGGTGAAAGCAGAGGCTTCTGACTCTGAGCTCCGACTGTTTCCTGCCAATGCCCATGTGTCTGTCTTTCGCTGGATAGAGCGCCCCCTGAGGGGAGGGCTGGGCAGGATCTATCTTTGTGTCTCCAGGGCCCTGCACAGGTCCTTCAGGAAAGTTGGGGCCCTGGGGCCCAGTGAGCAAGGAGACCGAGAAGACCCTGTTTGAAGCAGGAGAGGACAGTGTTCAGAACTCCCATGCAAAGCGCCTCATGTCCTAAGTGGACAGATCCTTGAACCTGGGGAGGGAGGTTCATATTTACATTGACAGAGGTGGAAGCTCAGAAGGGTGAAGTCACTTGCCCTAAGTTGCACAGCTAGGAAGTGACAGAGCCAGGACTTGAGCTCACATCTGTTGGACCCACAGGCTTAATCCTGGCATGCTGAGCCTGCGTTCCTTGCTTCTGGGGGGCTACGTGGAGTTGGGGTGGACCCCAGAGGCTACCGAGGGCAAACAGGCAGTTGAAGACCTGGCCACTAGGGTTCGTCTGTCCCTGAGGTGTCACTCATCCACCCTGTCCCCATGCCACTTTGCTCCTGGCTTTTCTCCCGGCCCCTTTCCTTGCTCAGATCCTGGAATCCTTGTAGTTAGTTAATTCTGGCAACTTGGTTTCTTCCCCCTCCCTTTTGCAGGTATTTAGAGAATTACCTGGCCAACCTCTTTGCAGGAGCCTGGGAGCCTCAGCCCGAGGGACCGCTGCCCCTGGACATCCCCCAGGCTTCCCCGCAGCAGGTGAATTGCCTCTCTTTTGTGTCTGAGGACCCTACCCTCTCCCTGAGGGGAGAGGGCCCCCTGACCCTCTCCCTGAGTCAGTACTGGGGCCTTAATCTTGGGTGCTCATGGCGACTCAAGGGCGGCCCTTTGGCTGGACGCGGTGGCTCACAGCAGCAATCCCAACACTTAGGGAGGCCGAGGCAGGCGGATCACTTGAGGCCAGGAGTTCAAGACTAGCCTGGCCAACATGGTGAAACCCTGTCTCTACTGAAAATACAAAAGTTAGCCAGGCATGGTGGCACGCGCCTGTAATCCCAGCTACTCTGGAGGCTGAGGCGGGAGAATCGTTTGAACCTGGGAGGTGGAGGCTGCAGTGAGCTGAGATCATGCCATTACACTCTATCCTGGGCAACAGAGTGAAACTGTGTCTCAAAAAAATAAATAAATAAAAAGACAGCCCTTTGATCCCCACCTCTCGCTCCAGGTTCAGCGCTGTGTGGAGATCCTGAGCCGGGCCAAGAGGCCTCTGATGGTGCTGGGGAGTCAGGCCCTGCTCACCCCAACGTCTGCCGACAAGCTTCGGTGAGAAGCGCCAGCCCTGCCCTTGTTTTCACGTTCCCAGTCCCCAGTCCTCGGGTGCTCTTGGGGAGGCGGGAGGCCCCGGCCACACTGACCTCTGCTCTGCCTGGACTCCCAGGGCTGCCGTGGAGACCTTGGGTGTTCCCTGCTTCCTTGGAGGGATGGCACGGGGGCTGTTAGGCCGCAACCACCCCCTCCACATCCGGGAGAACCGCAGTGCGGCCCTGAAGAAGGCGGATGTCATTGTCCTAGCAGGTGGGCCTGAGCCTCTTCCTTTCCCTCCTTCCCCCAGGAACCCCCTCACCCTGTTACCCAGCTTCACACGAAGGAGGAGGAAGGTCTAGTGGGCACCTATTGTACTTGATACACATTTTCACATAAAGCGCTTTGAACCCAACCAGACGCATAATAGGTGTATCAGATAGCTACTGCCCTGTAACAACCATCCCCAAACTCAATGGCTAAAAATGCATTTCTGATTTCTCAAGATCCACCTATAAGGTAGGTGGTAGCTGTGGTTTTGGCTGGGCTCATTCATGAGTCTGCACTTGGGTTAGGCAGGAAGGCAGCTGTGCTGATCCAGGCTGGGCTTGCTCACCTGTATGGGGATTGGCTGGCCCTGCAGCTCGTCTGGGATGGCCTCAGCTGGGGTCATAGAGTTCTTCACCCCTGTCTCCATGGCCCCCTTGTTTCTCATCCTCCAGTAGGCTAGCCTGGGCTGGCCGACTTGGTGAAGGATGAGAAAACTATGGGGCTAGGAGAGTGCGGTTATTCAAGAGAGTGAGTGGAGGCTGTGTGGCTTCTTGAAGTAGAGTCTGCAGGAATGGGGGGTGGGGGTCCTGAATCATCTGGAGGTGTCTTCACTCAGAGGTCTTGCAATTGACGCCAGCTGTTGGAGGGGCTGTGGACTAGGGCAACTACACAGGTCTCTATGTGTGGCTCCGGTTTCCTCCCAGCATGATGGCCTCAGGGTAGTCAGACTTCTTAGACAGAGAGCACATTCCTTGGCCCCACCCAGGCCTCTAAAAGTGAACAAGGAAGAAACTGCATATCTTCCTTGTTGGGTGTCATGGTGTGTCACTTTCAAGGAAAGGGGACCTAGGCTGCACCTCTCTCCATGGGAGGCATGTCAAGGTGACCTTGTACAAATGGATGTAGGGTGGGAGATATTATGGCCATCTGGGAAAATATAACCTGCCTCTGCCCTATCCTGTTGGCCAAAGCATGTCATGAGGCCAGTCCCGATTCAGGGGGTGTGGGGAGCTGCAAGGTCACTGTAGGTGGCACAGGTGCAGGGAGACTCGGTGAGGAACAGGGACTCATTTGCATCCAGTCCACCACAGTGGATCAAGTAAGGTAGACGACATGGGGCCTCTGCCTACTGCATTCCTGTCCCCCACACCAGGAACTGTGTGTGACTTCCGCCTATCCTATGGCCGTGTCCTCAGCCACAGCAGCAAGATCATCATCGTCAATCGTAATCGGGAAGAGATGTTGCTCAACTCAGACATCTTCTGGAAGCCCCAGGAGGCTGTGCAGGGTGAGCCCCTTAATCCCCCCGTACACATATGTGCTCCTCCCAGTCCCTCTCCTCCTGGTTTCTGCTGCAGCTGGCTTGAGCCTGGTACAGTGATTGAGGCCCAGACCTTGCCCTAGGGGTAGCCAGTCAACCAGAGACAAATAGTTGGCTCTCAAACTGATGAATGCTTCTTTCTTTAAATTTTTTTTATTTTTATTTTTTAGAGACGAGGTCTCGCTCTGTCACCCAGGCTGGAATGCAGTAGTGCAATCACAGCTCACTGCACCCTCAAACTCCCAGGCTCAAAAGCAATCCTCCCACCTCAGCCTCCTGAGTAGCTGGGACTACAAGTATGCACCACCATGCCAGGCTAATTTGTTAATTTTTTTTTGTGGAATCAGCATCTCACTGTGTTGCCCAGGTTGGCGTGGAACTCCTGGCCTCAAGTGATCCTCCTGCCTCGGCCTCTCAAAAGTGCTGGGATTACAGACCAGAGCTACTGCGCCCGGCCTGATAGATGCTTCTGTAGGAACAAATGGTGGGGTGGACACAGAGGGAGGCTTGAAAACGTGCATGTGATCACGTTCCCTCCCACACTGCCCACTGCCCTCAGGACAGAGAGCACACTCGTTGGCCCCTTAGCCTGTCTTCCTGCCGTATCTCTCCCCTCCCCTTATTTTAGTCCCCTTGGACTTGAACTTGGTTCATCATTCTGAGGATGTTGACTCCCCTGCAGCCTAGGCGACAGGACACTCTTGTATTAAGCAGAGAAGTAGCACCGTTGCATCTGTGTTGGGAAGGTCCACTCAGCAGCCATGGACGGCAGGCCGGAAGGGGGCTGGGTGGAGGCCAGGGGGGCTGCTCAAAATGGCCAGGACAGAAGCGAGGAGGCCTGAACTGGAGATGAACAGCGGCAGAGCCTCACCTTCTCAGAGCCTCCATTTGATCATTTGAAAAATGGGGTGGTGAAAGATACATCACGGGGCTGTTTGTTAGTTCACTTCAGTAACGTTCGCTGTGCGCTTCCACGTGCCTGGATTTGAGAGATGTGCTTGGTGGATGTAGCTCTTTTCATTGAGTGTTTCCCAGGCAGAAGGAGGTGGAGGGAGGGGACGAGGCCAGCTTGGGTTTGTCACCTGCCTTGTGCTCCTTAACCCTTGTTTCTTGGGCCTTGTCTTCCCTTTTCACCTGGGCTGCCCTCCCCTGGTTCTGGCAGGTTCTGGGGTGTTTCACCTGTTTTTTTTCTAGGAGCACCCCTGGCCTGCTTCCCGTCTGCCTGCTCGGATGCTGCTGCTGGCTTCCTGCTGTTTTGAGGCCTCTGATGCTGGAAGAACAGGAGGAAGCCAGCTCCCCACAGCTGTGTCCTCTTCCTTCCCCAGGAGATGTGGGTTCCTTCGTGCTGAAGTTAGTGGAGGGCCTTCAGGGCCAGACCTGGGCCCCAGACTGGGTGGAGGAGCTGCGGGAAGCCGACCGGCAGAAGGAGCAGACCTTTCGGTGGGGCCTGGGTGGAGTGGATGTGGGAAGGGGGTTCCCGGCAGACCCTGCTGCCAACCCTGGTGACCTTCGCTGTCCTGTCGCAGGGAGAAGGCAGCGATGCCTGTGGCCCAGCACCTGAACCCAGTGCAGGTGCTGCAGCTGGTGGAGGAAACGCTACCTGACAACTCAATTCTGGTGGTGGATGGCGGGGACTTCGTGGGCACTGCTGCCCATCTGGTACAGCCCCGCGGCCCCCTGCGCTGGCTCGATCCTGGTAAGGAAGGGCCCCCGCCTGGGGCAGTGGGCACCATCCATCAGGACGCCTTCACACCCACCTGCTCTTGGTCCTCTTAGGGGCCTTTGGGACTCTGGGAGTTGGTGCAGGATTTGCACTTGGGGCCAAGCTGTGCCGGCCAGATGCTGAGGTGAGGCACTGGAGTTGGGAGACTTGCTGCTCTCTAGGTCCTGATCCACCCTAACCATCCTGGGTCCCCTCCCGACTAGGTCTGGTGCCTGTTTGGGGACGGAGCTTTTGGCTACAGCCTCATCGAATTTGATACATTCGTCAGACACAAGGTGACTGGGCTGGCCTGAGGGAAGCTTAGGGCCTGGGGTTCTGGGAGATGTCACCAGGGGTGGGCTGAGGTGGGGAGGGAGCCTCCTCTCTGGCAGAGGCCCTATCCCTGTCTCTGTCCTCTGGCTGGCCAAGCCATGGGGCTGAAGGCTGCGGCCTGCCTTCATCATCTTCCTGTAGATCCCAGTGATGGCCTTGGTAGGGAATGATGCTGGCTGGACACAGATTTCTCGGGAGCAGGTGCCCTCTCTGGGCAGCAACGTGGCCTGTGGCCTGGCCTACACTGGTGAGGGGGCCTCAGCGAGGTTGGGAGGACAGGAGGCTGTTTCAGTCCCAGCTGGGCTTGTGTTCCTCTCCTGGGCTGGCTGCATGTGCGGTGGGCTGAGTCCTTGCCACTATCCGACTTAATCTCTTCTTTTAGATTATCACAAGGCAGCCATGGGTCTGGGGGCCCGGGGCTTGCTGCTCTCACGGGAGAACGAGGATCAGGTGGTCAAGGTGCTGCACGATGCCCAGCAGCAGTGCCGAGACGGCCACCCGGTTGTGGTCAACATCCTCATTGGGAGGACGGACTTCCGCGATGGCTCCATTGCTGTATAGGGCCTTGTGGGTCAGGACGCTTGGCTGCCTTCCTGCCCCTGGACTGTGTCCAGCTGGTTTGGAGTCTCATCATTGCTTGCCCTGGGCCTATCCCATGAGGCCCAGTGACTCCACAACCTCCCTGAGGAGGGGATGGAGGGGTCAAATCTCAGAGAGGCTCTCTTGTGAGCTCTTGGACCCTCCTCTTCACGGACCCAACTGTGCCGTTTGTCCCCTCTCTTATGGAGACTGAATAAACCACCTCTGGCCCATGTAGGCCCAAGTACTCAGTCTCAGAACCTGTGCATATTTATTTATTATCCACAAAGATGGAGGTGCGGAAAAGAAGAGGGAGACAGGAGGGAACCGTACTCTCCCACTGGAACTCTGGGGCCCACTGAGGCACCATTATTGGGGATTTCAGGGTGGCTGGGCACTGCAAACTGCTCCCTCCTCTGTGGTCCCTGAAAGAGCCCCACACGCCTGCTTCAGACGTGTCCACGCACACCAGTCCTCACAGACACACACACACATGCATGGAGGCAATAAATATGTTCCGTACCAGACTGCCCCCAGCCTGACGCTTCAGGGGGCCCCCTCCAAAAGGGAGGGGTTTAAGTGCTCAATTTTTTTCGGGGGGGGGGGCAAGGGGGGGGCAAGGAGATGGGGATTGGAAAGGCCAGACTCTGTTATCTCCATTTGCTGACTAGAGGCCAATCGTGGGGACTTCCCCGGAAAAGGGTAGGGGAAACCAGCTGTTTCTCTATAAGCCCCAGGCTACCCCTGTGTCCATGCTGGAACCCAGGATAGGGGCTGCCCCCCACAAACAGTGCCTCATGCTAGTCTTTGTGTCGTCCAAGGGAGGGAGAAACAGTGCAGTGCTCAAAGCTAATACTGATTTGGTTGGCAGCAGCAAGAGGGCCGACTAGAGGTGACTCACCACACCAGGGTGATGCTCACAGTAACTGGTGTTGCCCCGGCCAAGGGGAGGCAAGAGAGGCCAGCCTAGCAAGCGCGAGAACTACCTTTTTGGCAACAAAAGGGGAAGCCCTTGGTGCTCAGGAAAGATGGTCACAACCGCTGGTCCCTAAAATCCCCAGGCCCCAGACTTGGCAACTAGTGTCCAAATACCGGGCCCTGGAAACTGGGAATGAGTCTCAGCCATACACGCGACTGGTCCCGTGGTAACTCGCTGGCAACCAGGAGCTCGGCCTGAGCAACAGGTCTGGCTCTCCTTGGTCACCAGGGCACCGCCTTAGCCACTGGGCGCCCGGTCCTTACTAACCGGGGTCCCACCCCGTCATCTGGCTCAGAGGCACACGTTGATTTGCTTGGAGAGCTCTCTCTCCAGATCCAGGATGAGGGCGTCGAAGTCTTTGAGATTCAGGTGCGGGTTGAAGGGCGCATCGAAGTCGTCTTCGAAGTCACCGGTGACCCTCGGCTCGCCGACCTCCTCGTCCTCGTCCTCGCTGTCACTGCCCGTCACGTGGTCGTAGTCTGGCCCGGACAGGAAATCCCGCCCACAGGGCAGGAAGTCCCGCCCGCAAACGCTCCAGTCGCCGGCGTAGCGGTTGCTCGGGGGGCTTTCGGGGCCTCCTCGACCGCGGGGCCGAGTCACCACTTCGGGGTCTGCCAGCGGCAGGTGCAGAGGTGGCTGTCGTTTGGGTCGCAAGTAAGGCGCGACATCTGGAGATTGTCGGGGCAGGCGGGGATCTGAAGGGAGACAGGGTAGGTCATAGAAAGAGGCGACAGCCGACCTCTGATTGGCTGCTTAGGGAACTAGGCTCCTGATTGGCCTGTGGAAAGCGGCCTTCGACCCTTTCAGGTTTTCACTGGCAGAGCTAGGACTGGTTGCTTACGCAACTAGGCCTCTGATTGGCATGTCAAGAGGCAGGGCCTCTGACTGCATCAAAGATGGGTAGGGGCAGGTCTGTGGATCATGCCTGGATCATGCCTGTAATCCCAGCACTTTGGGAGGCCTGAGGCAGGCGGATCACTTGAGGTCAGGAGTTCAAGACCAGCCTGGCCAACACCGTGAAGCCCCATCTCCACTAAAAATACAAAAATTAGCTAGGATTGGTAGTGCATGCCTGTAATCCCAGCACTTTGAGAGGCCTGAAATGGGTGGATCACTTGAGGTCAGGAGTTCAAGACCAGCCTGGCCAACACAGTGAAACCCTGCTCTACTTAAAATATAAAAATTAGCCAGGACTGGTGGTGCGTGCCTATAATCCCAGCTACTCGGGAGGCTGAGGTGGGAGAATCCCTTGAACCTGGGAGGCAGAGGTTGCAGTGAGCTGAGATCATGCCACCACACCCCAGCCTGGGCTAGAGAGCAAGACTCCATCTCAAAAAAAATAAAAAATAAAAATAAAAAGATGAATCAGCTCTGTGGGGCAAGGTGATTTGGTTTATAATCCCAGTACTTTGGGAGGCTGAGGCGGAAGGATGGCTTGAGATCATGCGTTTGAGACCAGCTTGGGCAATATAGAGAAACCCTGTCTTTACAAAAAAATGAAAATAAAAAAAGACAAAACAGACAGATTGGTTGGATCTGAACTGGTTGCTGAGGCAACCAGGTACCAGTTTACTCCATGAGGGGGCGTAGCTTCAAGCCTAAGACACTGATTGGTCCCTTAAGGTGGCATCACTGTAGCAGCCTGGCTCAGATTGGTGGTGCAGGCCCTGGGCATGAACTCACCTGGCCAAGACTGCAGCAGGTAGTGCAGCACCTCGATGTGGTGCTTGAAGTCCACTGCACTGGCAAGGCCTGGGCCGGAGCTGCGGGCACGAGGCCTTGTGGGCGCCTGGCGTGCCGGCAGCAGCACAGGCCCGAAGCACACGGCCAAGTTCTGTGGGGTCATGCGGTTGTAGGCATGGAAGGAGGAGACGAGGCGCAGGTGGTCCAGGAGAAGCGTCAGCGTGGCCTGGGAGAGGGTTGAGAGGATGTAAGTCAGACAAAGTCAGGCCCCTGTGGCACCTACCTGCAAGAGACTAAGGTGGCTAGAGTAGGGAAGCAGGTTCACAGTCTCATAGCTGGGATGTGGTCGGGTTAAGACTATTAATCATTAGATGTTAGTATTATGAGCCTATTTTGTTGGAGGGAAGACTGAAGCCAAAGGCAACTAAGCATTGGAAAAGCAGAGCTGCCATGAATCTCATTTTACAGATGAAGATATTGAAGCACAGAGAGGGATGGGACTTGTCTAGGTTCCCTCAGCCAGGAACCTCCCTTGTAGGTTGAAAGATCAGCGTTCAGCCTGCATTTTTGACACATCCTGGCTGTGTGACCTTGGGCAACTGTCACCTGCTTTGGGCCTCAGTTTCCAAATCTATGAAGTGGGATGCTAATAGCACCTATTTCTTGGGGATATGATGATGCTGCCAGCTCATGCCCATCTCAGGCCCAGGCATGGGTGAAACATTCTATTGGTATCAGCCCACTCTCAAGTCCCATCACTCCCACCAGGCCCAACTCACCCTTTCCACATCTGGCAGGCAGCTGAGGAGCCCTCGGGTGCCCTCAGTGGTGGGGGGAACTCTGTTTGGGGGGTCCCGGGCCATGGCCTCCAGTACCACCTTATACAGGGGCTGGGTGATGAGTGGGGTGGGCAACTCTCGAAGATAATCCTTGAGGATGCCTGTGAACACAGGGTCCCCTCTGGTCAGGGCACCACTGGCTTCTAAGGCTAAGGAGGGCACAGCTAAGGGGGAAGAGGAGGTGGGTGAAAGCAAGGTCAGATAGGAGGACTGAGGTCCCAGAGGAGCCCCAAGGCCTTGAAGTGAGGCATTGAATGGGGGTGAGCAGGCAGGGGAGAGGGGGCCATGCTGACCAGTGATGACATTGATATCGGGGTACAGGTCCTCAGATAGGCAGACCGCTGCACTGTCCCGCTCAAAGGCATCCCGAAGCTCTTTCTTCACTGCCGCTGAGCCACAAAGACGGTACAGTCCCACTACCTGGGGGTGGGAAGAGAGAGTGAATGTCTTCTTGCCGGGGCCACAGACTAATCAGGGCCCAGTGGGGTGAGCACTGGAATTCTGGGCCAGGCAGCAATGGGCATTGTGGGCTGGGAGGTTGGAACTACCTTGACAACCTGGCCTTGTAAACCCTCTGCTTGGACTACTTGTCTTGGCTGCCATCTCCTTTGACTTAGGAAACTGACACTTCTTTGAGGAGGCTTTCCATGACTACCCCAGGTTTTGTTTTAAGCTCTCCCAGACCCTAGGTACACCCCACCCCAACTCCAGTCCCAGTTATAGTTTTACATTTGTGAATGACTAGAGTCGTATCTTTTCCCCCATCAGACTCTGAGCCCCAGGAGGGCTTGGATCCTGTTTTTAAATCAATGGATGACCCATGGGTTCTGCCCAGGGTGCTACAGTCAAGGGGGCGCCTTCTGCCCTTGTCTAGGTTGGGATTGGAGCTAGGAGTGGCTCAGGCCTGGGGGTAGGGGTCTGGCATCTGTACATAGGGTGTCCTGAAGAGTGGTCTGAGGTCTGGGGGCCAGAGGGTTGGGGTGGGGTGGGTGCTCACCCGCAGCCCTCGGCGCTCGATCTGCCCAACGCACTTCTGGATGATGAGGGGCACCTGGCCGGGGGGCCGCTCCCGCTCCACCAGCAGTGGCAGGGGCAGCCCAAAGACGCGGGGCTCAGCTGTGGCAGGGGCTTCCTGCTGCTCCGACAGGGTCAGCTTGGCATACAGCAGCCCCTGAGGCTCCAGGCGCACGGCCAGCTGTTGGGCCTGGCACCCTGAGGACACAAGGGGGCCTGAGCCGGGTGTGCTCTGAAGCTTCATGTACCCTGGCCTCGCTGCTCCAGGCCACACCTTCCGCCCGGAGCCCAGCCCCCTAGGCACTCTGCGGGGGGTGGCGGTGGGGTTTGGGGGTCCCTGCCCCTCCTCCCCTGCAGCCGCATGTCCTACCTCGGAAGACCGTGGGCAGCAGCACGGTGCCCTGGGCACAGGGCCGGTGCCTTCTCACGCCAGGGTCCCACGCAAGCACCAGGGCGCGCAGGAGCCTGGCGGCCTCCAGCTCCAGGTGGAAGGTGTGGTCCAGCCGCAGGAAGTCCGGCCCCCCTCGCAGTGGCCCTGTTCGGGCCCTGGCCTCCCCATCCACTTGCAGTAGGCAGCAGAGGTCCCTGGGGGTGGCCCCCGGCGCTGGCCGCAGCCCCCCGAGACCGTACAGGTGCAGGCTGAGGCGGCCCCAGAGTGCGGCCGGGGGTGCCCGGGCTGCGGGACCCACCTCGTAGGGCCGGAAGGAGGTGGGTGATGGGGGCCCAGCTGGGCGCTCCGGTGAGTCCCCGTCGCTGAGGTAACCGGCCCTCGGGCTCCGGGTGCCCCCAGGCCCTGCTGCCGGCCCGGGGCCCCCCACGCTGCTGTCCAGGTGGTAGCGGCTGATGACGGAGCCCGCAGGGGCAGCCCTCTCGCGCTCCCTGCCAGCCCGGGGGCCTCGCAGGCTCAGGCGGCGCCGCAGTTCCGGCAGCTTCTTCATCTTTATGGAGAGGCGCCTGGCGGGGCCCGGGGACTTGGTGCGGGAGGCTTTGGTTGGGGGGCTGGCGGGGGCTGCACCTGTGTGGAGAGCAGACTTCAGGGTCCAGGAACCTGGGCTTAGGGGAGGGGGGTGAGGCTGGTGCTCCCCTGAAGGGAAGGAGTGTGAGGCTGGTGTTCCCCTGGCGGGGAGGAGGGTGTGAGGCTGATGCTCCTCTGGGAGCATCTGACGGGGTGGGGATGTGAGGCTGGTGCTCCCCTGAAGGGAAGGAGTGTGAGGTTGGTGCTCCTCTGGGAGGAGGGAGTGTGAGGCTGGTGCTACCCTGAAGGGAAGGGATGTGGAGCTGGTGCTCACCTTGGGGAAGGGGATGGGAAGCTTGTTCTTACCTTGGGGGGCCAGGCCCTCTGACTCAGCTGAGCCAGGCTGTGGCCCCGGGGGCTCAGGTGCTGGAGGTCTGGGGTCTTCCTCAGGGATGGGGTTGTACCAGATCTCGCCGGCGGGCTCCCCAGTGCCAGGTACCCCAGGCCCTAAAGAGGTGTCCTCAGCTGGCTTGGCCCCACCCAGCACCCATCGGCGGCTACTGGGCTCCAGGCTTTGCAGGTAGGCTCCCCGTGCAGGGCTCCTTGATGCCTCGGGGCTGGAGGGCCCCTCTGCTCCGGCCTGGGACCCTTCGGGAGCCTGGGGCTCTGGCTCTGGAGGGCTGGGCTCTGGGCGCTGGGCTGGGTGGCCTGGCAGAGAGCAAGGGGAGTGAGACCCACCCAGCCCCTCACTGCCTGCAGAGCAGCCCTGTGCAATTGATCAGTGGGTGGGATGCTGTGTACGGCCCTGGCCGGCCCCTGATAAGTCATGGTTCCTTGGATCCTGCTGTTTTGTTTGGAATAGGCAGCCACAGGCTAGCGATCTCAGTTATCAGCTTAGAGCACCCCCTACTCAGTCCCTGGCATCCCAAAAGGGGACTCCATCCCTGCAGCCTCAGGGTTCTAAGTCAGGCTTCCTGGGGCCCGTAGGTACTGCGTTCCAGTCTCCACTTCCTCTACCCTCTCAATAACCGTGGCATGGAGCTTTGCACCTGCGTGGCCTTGGGCAAGTCGCTTCCCTCTCTGAGGCTCAGTATCCTCCTGTGAAATGGGGGGATGTGATTTCCATGTCCAGGGAGGCTTCCAGGAGCCTTTTGGAAAAGTATACAGCCCACAGCAGGCACTACGTGCTCAGGAGTGAGGAGCTGGGTTTTCTATTCCCTGCAGCACAGTCACTCCCAGTCCCCTGCCCCTTTTACCCTCCCTCCTGTCTTCCAAACTCTGTCGCCATCCTGGGATGGGCCCTTGTCCCTCAGCCCAGGCCAGACCCCCCACGCTCAATGCTTTGGGACTTCCCCTTCCCTCCCTCCTCTCCTGTCTCATGTCCTGGGCTGTTTCCTGTGTGTGTTTGTGTTTGGGCATCTCTGTCCCTTCTCCCTTCCCTGGGAACATTGGGAATCTTTGGGAAGGCCTGGGGGGAAGGGGTACGTCCATGGAATGGTCTGGCCTTCCTCCTTTAACTCCTTCCTTCCTGGGTCCCCCTATCCCACGCAGCTGTTTCTCTAAGGTTTTTACTTGCTACCCTGCTGAACTCCTCCTCTGGCCACCTCTGATGTCCACCCTCTAGGGTCTCTGTTTGTAGCATAGTCCAAAGAGCTGTTTAAGTCGATGGCCCTGGGCACATGACCCAATTGCTCCGTGCCTCAGTTTCCCCATCTGTATAAAAGGGACAGTTTCCTGGGGCTAAGGCAGGCGCAGTTGCCGTCACTGTTAGTAGGTGGGAGGCGGAGGGGGCAGCTACTCTGATTGACGGGCCGCCCCTCTCTTTCCTTTGCAGGAGTACGCCTCCCATCTCCCATCCTGCGCCTCCAGGGCTCCCGATGCCCCTTGCCCAGCCCGACTGGGCCCCAGTGTCCCGGCCTCCCAGCCCCTCCTCCCCTCCACCCTCCAGGCCCTCAGTCGCGGCCCCATTTCCTGTCGTGGGCGAGGCCCCCTCCCGGGCCTCCCAAGGAGCCCGCAGCGCTGGCATCCCCGGCCAGCAGCACATAACGGTCCGCGCCCCCCTCCCTCCCAGCCCCTTCCTTCCAGGACCCCTACCCTCCCCTGGCTGGAGGCACCCCAGTCTGCAGCGGGGTGCGGGGGGCTCCCCCTGATCCCCCCCACCGTCTGTCCTCGGGGCCCTGGGACCCCGCTCCCAGGCCGGGTGGGGCTCGGCGCCCCCTGTTCCCCACCGATCTCCGCTTACCGCGCTCCTTGGCGTCCGACTTTTTCCGGGGAAGTTTCTCCCGGCCCCGCAGGCGGGAGAAGGTTTTCCTGAGTAGCGGCTCGGCCATGCTGCGGCCCGGGCCGGGCCGAGCCGAGTGCGCGCCCCGGGCTCCGGCCGCGCCGCCCCGCGCCCTCCCCGCCCCGCCCGGGCCTCCCCGCCCGCCCCCCGCCCCGCGCCAGCAGGAAGCACATTCCGGGAATGCTTGGCCCAAACTTTTTTTTTTTTTCCCCTTTCCCGCGGCCCGAGCGGGCGATGCTGGGAGATGTAGTTGCCTGGGGCCGGGAGGGGTTGGAATGGGGGCTCCGGGTGCCCGGATCCGCTCCAGCTTCGATGGGACGTGACGATCGTGGCGCAGGCCCGATCCCTTGTCTTCCACCTCACCCACCCTCCCTGGATGGGACTCTGGGTGATGGCATCCAGGAAGTTCTCTTGGGTCTGTCTCCAAATCGCAGCCTCCACGTATCCTCTCTCTCCTTGCCAGGTACTGCTTCAACCTGGTGCAAGCCGTAGTGTCATTCGTTTCAATGACCGTCCCCACTACCCACCCCACCCCAAGCTTCTTCCTTGGTCTCCCCATGCCACTCTTTCCCCACTCAATTCTCTCACCTCCAAATTCCAATTACTACTGCTGTTTGACAAACCATCCCCAAACGTAATGATGTAAAACAACCATGTCGTGATTGTGAAAGGAAAATAAATCTTGAGACCTCCAAATCACTGAGCCAAAAGGAAGAAGTCAAACTGGTAACTGTGTAGGACAAACCTGCCTCCCATTCTATTCCTAAGTAAGATAGCTACAAGGTTAAAAAAGCTAGCTGGGCGCGGTGGCTCACTCCTGTAATCCTAGCACTTTGGGAGGCTGAGGCGACGGATCACTTGAGGTCAGGAGTTCGAAACCAGGCTGGCCAACATGGTGAAACTCCATCTCTACTAAAAATATGAAAAAGAAAAAAAATTGGCCAGGCATGGTGGGTGGGCACTGGTAATCCCAGCTATTTGGGAGGCTGAGGCAGGAAAATTGCTTGAACACGGGAGGTGGAGGTTGCAGTGAATCAAAATTGCACCACTGCACTCTAGCCTGGTCATCAGAGCAAGATGCCGTCTAAAAAAAAAGAAGAAAAGAAAAGAAAAAAAAAGCTACATACCTCCCCCACAATTTGCCTACAAGGAAATTCCTTATGGATGAAGGACAGGCAGAACTCAAAATTGTCCCTCTGCTCACATGAGACAAACACATATCTGATCGCTTCCTTACCTATTTGTTTCACTAAGCCAGACTAAGGCATAAGTGACTATCTCTGTAAATTGCATATTCAGAAAGGCTAGTCAGAAACTCGAAAGAATGCAATTGTTTCTCTCTTATCCACCTATAACCTGGAAGCCTTCTCCCTACTTTTGAGTTGTCCTGCCTTCCCAGACCAAACCCATGTGCATCTTACATATATTGATTGCTGTCTCATGTCTCCCTAAAATATATAAAACTAGACCAAGGTGGAGTGCAGTGGTACCACCACAGCTCACTGCAGTCTCAGCCTCTTGGGCTCAAGTGATGCTCCTGCCTCAGCCTCCCGAGCAAGTGGGACTATAGGCATGTGTCACCATACCTGGCTAATTTCCCTACTTTTTGTAGAGATAGAGTCTCATCATGTTGCCCAGACTGGTCTCAAACTCCTGGGCTCGGCTGGGTGCGGTGGCTCACGCCTCTAATCCCAGCACTGTGGGAGGCCAAGGCGGGCGGATCACCTGAGGTTGGGAGTTCGAGACCAGCCTGACCAACATGGGGAAACCCCTTCTCTACTAAAAACACAAAATTAGCTGGGGGTGGTGGTGCATGCCTATAATCCCAGCTACTCGGGAGGCTGAGGCAGGAGAATCTCTTGAACCCGGGAGGCGGAGGTTGCAGGGAGCCAATATTGTGTCACTGCATTCCAGCCTGGGCAACAAGAGTGAAACTCCGTCTCAAAAAAACAAAACAAAAAAACAAAACAAAACAAAAAACCCTCCTGGTCTCAAGTGATCTGCCCGCCTTGGCCTACCAAGTAGCTAGGATTACAGACCTGAATCAAGGTAGTGGCCCTGACTACCCTAGTTTATGTTGTCAGGAGCTTCTAAGTCTGTGTCACAGGCATGTCCATAACCTTGGCAAAATAAGCTTTCTAAATTTATTGAGACTTATCTGAGATACCTTTTGGTTTACATGATGCTCACAGATGCTGTGGTTCAGTTTGGACAGGGGAGACTTAGGCTAGAGGGTGACTAAAAAATGGCAGGGTCCTGAGTCATCTGGAGGTGTCTTCACTCAGAGGTCTTGCAACTGACGCCAGCTGTTGCTGGGGCTGTGGACCAGGGTAGCTACACAGGCCTCTCCGTGTGGTTCGGGTTTCCTTCCAGCATGGTGGTCTTGGGGTAGTCAGACTTCTTAGACAGCCACCCAGCCCTCTAAAAGTGAACAAGGAAGAAGTTGCATCTCTTCTGACCCAGCCTTGAGTGTCATGCTGTGTCACTTCTGCCACCAGATTCAAGGAAAGGGGGCACAGATTATACCTCTCTACATGGGAGGCATGTCAAGGTGACATTGTACAAGTGGATGTAGGGTGGGAGATATTGTGGCCATCTGGGAAAATATAACCTGTCTTAGCCCTACATTTCATTCTCCATATATTACCCACAGTGGACTTAAAACTGAAATCAGATTGTGGCACCATCCTGCTGAATAGTGTTCCTATGACTGCTCACCTCACCTAGAATAAAATTCAGATTCCCAGCATGGTCTCACAAGACTTCCAGCCTCATCTCTTTGGCTGTCCCATTCACTCACCATGGCCTCCTTTCTGGTTCTCCTTCATATCAAGCTATTTCTGCCTCAGGTCCTTTGCACACATGGTTCCTTCTGCCTGGGAAGCCCTGGTTCTTCTGAGGCCACCTCTCTCTCATCCTTTAGGTCCAATGGCACCTTCTAGGGAGACCCTTTCTGTCCACCACCTCTGTCTAGTCAGTATCACATTACTCAGTTTCCTTTCTTCTAACACTTGCCACAACTTGAATTTAACAGTCCCAGTGGTTTGTTCTAGTTTATCTGCCTCCTCGTCCAGACTGGGTCTCCACCAAGTGATCAAGTGATGCTTGTCTATGTTGTTCACTGCTGAATATTCAGGTAGGAGATCAGGTGTCAGGTGATGGAGGTCTGTATAGGAGGGGGTGTCCAAGAGGCCTGGACGAGGAGGCTGTGTGTGTTTGGTTTTAATGTGTCTTTGTGTGGTTCTCTGTGTTTATTGTACTTGGAGTTTGTTGAGCTTTGTGGATATGTAGATTCATGTCTTTCATCAATTCTGGGCTTCTGGGAAGTTTTTTGGCCATTATTTCATCAAATATTATTATTATTATTTTTTGAGATGGAGTCTCACTCTGTTGCCCAGGCTGGAGTGCAGAGGCATGGTCTTGGCTCACTGCAACCTCTGCTTTCTGGGTTCAAGTGATTCTCCTGCCTCAACCTCTCAAGTAGGTGGGGTTACAGGTGCCTGTCACCATGCCCAGCTAATTTTTGTATTTTTAGTAGAGATGGGTTTTCGTCATGTTGGCCAGGCCGGTCTCAAATTTCTGACCTTAAGTGATCTGCCCACCTTGGCCTCCCAAAGTGCTGGGATTATAGGCATGAACCACCATACCCAGCCTCATCAAATATTCTTTCTGCTCCTTTCACTTCTCTCCTTCTGGGACTCTCATTATGCATATATTGGTATACTCATTATACAACTGTTGATATACAGTTCTCCTAGGTGCTGTTCACTTTTCTTGGATATGTGTGTTTGGGGGGCATCAGTCTGTAAAAGGGTGGAGTGCACCCTCCTCCCTATGAGATCCCTGCGCAGATGTCTTTGAGGCAGCTATTGACAATGGGGAAAGAAGTCAGGGGTCAAGACAATACCTGTTTACAAGTTGAGGGTAGAGGCTGCAGGACTAAGGTCCCAATGGGGTATTTCAGAGTCTCAGAGGAGCTGGGGTCTGACATGGGAGTGAGAGCAACCCTTAGCCCCACCCATATGACACCCACATACCACATAAATATTTATTATTATTATTTTGTGTAAATCTTTTTGAGTTTTTGTACTTTTCCTGTTGTCTTTATTTGCCTGCATGTAGCCTATTTAATTCACCATTGGCTCTGATTCTTTCTTAGCAATCAGAAATTTCCATAAGTGAGAACAGATTATCTGCAAATTGTATGTAATGAAATGGTTATGAATTCTAAGTTTCATAATGATGTTTGTATGCTTATTCCTGTGGATTTTGCTAGTTGCTGTACAGATTTTAGAGCCTGTATGCGTACATTTTCTTTTCTTTTCTTTTATAGAGACATAGTCTTGCTTTGTTGCCCAGGCTGGAGTGCAGTGGCACGATCTTGGCTTACTGCAACCTGTGACTCCCTGGTTTAAGCGATGCTGCTGCCTCAGCCTCCTGAGTAGCTGGGATTACAGGCACACACCACCACGTGCAGCTAATTTTTATATTTTTAGTAGAGATGGGGTTTCACCATGTTGGCCAGGATGGTCTCGATTTCCTGACCTTGTGATCCATCCACCTTGGCCTCCCAAAGAGCTGAGATTACAGGGGTCAGCCACCGTGCCTGGCCCATTTTCTTTTCTTTTAAAAAAATTTATTTTCATGGCCGGGCACTGTGGCTCATGCCTGTAATCCCAGCACTTTGGGAGGCTGAGGCGGGTGGATCACGAGGTCAGGAGTTCAAGACTAGCCTGGCCAAGATGGTGAAACCCCGTTTCTACTAAAAATATAAAAATTAGCTAGGCATGGTGGCAGGCACCTGTAATCCCAGCTACTCGGGAGGCTGAGGCAGGGGAATCGCTTGAACCCAGAGGGTAGAGGTTGGAGTGAGCCAAGATCGTGCCACTGCACTCCAGCCTGGGTGACTAAGACTCTGTCTCAAATTTTTTAAAAATTATTTTCATGTTATTTTTATTTACTTTATTATTATTATTTTATTTATTTTTCTTGCTCTGTTGCTCAGGCTGTAGTGCAGTGGCACTACCACAACTCACTGCACCCTCAACCTCCTAGGCTCAAGTGATGTTCCTGCCTCAGCCTCCCAAGCAACTGGAACTACAGGCATGTGCCACCATGCCACAGGCTGATTTTTCTATTTTTTTGTGGAGATAGGGTCTCATCATGTTGCCTAGACTGTTCTCAAACTTCTGGGCTCAAGTGATCTTCCCACTTTGGCCCCCCAAGTGGCTGGGATTACAGGTGTGAGCCACCGTGCTTGGCCTTATTATTTTTAGAGACATAATCTCCCTCTGTCACCCAAGCTGGTGTGCATTGGTGTGATCATAGCTCACTGCAGACTTGAACTTCTGGGTTCAAGCAATCCTCTTGCCTCAGCCTCCTGAGTGGCTAGGCCTATAGGCATGCACTGCCATACCCAGCTAGCTTTTAAATTTTTTTTGTAGAGACAGGATCTTGCTATGTTGCCCAGGCTGGTCTCAAACTCCTGACCTCAAGCGATCCTTCTTCCTTGGCCTCTCAAAGTGCTGGGATTACAGGTGTGAGCCACTGCACCTGGCCACGTGTGTGTTTTCTTTCCCCTAAATGTTCTCATTGGCTGCAGGTCTGATGTGCTGTGCTTTTGGTACCTGGTGGATTAACCAGCCCCAGACACATATAGACCAATTAGTTGAAAGACCAAAAGACCATTTCCTGTCAGTTTTGGGCAGAGCTCAGCACCTCTGTGGTAGTCAAGGGGAATTGATGGATAAATACCCCAGCTCCCTCACCCTTGTGTTGGATGATTGAGGTTCATGTTCTACACTGACCCCTAGTGTTCACCCACGGGATTGAGCTCCAGCTGTCCACTGTAGAAACCTGGTTATCAATACACTCTTTGCTGACTTCCTTCCCTTCCCTCTCCCACATATCCACCCCACTTACAGTATTTCCTGTTTATTTCCTAAATACTTGAATCCTTGTCTCAAGGTTGGCTTCTGGTGGACTCCAAACACAGACATTCTGTCTAGGCCTCTGTTTCATGTGCAAAGGGAATAATAAATTAGGCTGTTTTCAAGGCTATGGGCATGGGGCGTGGTTCTGTGGGGCTACATCTCCATTCTACCAGCTCCCTGGGGTGCTCAGTTCCTGGGGGATGGGAGATAGAGAAGGTTTTGGGGAGCAGGACCCAAGCTTCCTCCACCCGCTGTGGTCATTCCCATTTGTTTCCACACCTGAGGCTTGCGTCTATCTGGCATCTTCCAGGAGAAGAAGGTGAATACCTCAGCCTGCCTAGGCCTCCCTGGCTGGAAGTCAGACCTCAGAGGAACCAGCAAAGGGGTGGCTGCCCAGAGATATCCATCACAGTAGCATTCAGGAGCTGGAGGGAGAGGGGATGATTGTATATAATGAAATGGTTATGAATTCTGTTAGCATAAAGCAGCTTCCTGAGGCAGGGCACAGTCTCACCTGGGTGACAGTCAGTGGTACAGCATTGCTTGACCAGAGCCTCCCATTGACCCTTGGAAAAATCTGGCCAGACAGCTATAGAGCTGAAACTGAGGTGCAGGAGGGGTCCATAGTTGCTCCATGCCACCTCCAGAGTGGTCTCTGTTTATCAGCTGCAAGGCTGTGGAGCTTTCCTGCTGGCTAGGCCCCTGCACAGCCTCAGGGATAGACTCAGCAACTGGCCACTGCAGCCATGCCAAGAGCTCTCCAAGCTGGACATGGTGGTTCACACCTGTAGTCTCAGCTATTCTGGAGACTGAGGCAGGAGGATCACTTGAGCCCAGGAGTTTGAGGCTTCAATGAGCTATGACTGCACCACTGCCTCTAGCCTGGGCAACAGAGCGAGACCCTGTCTCTCCCCGTCTCTCTCTCTCTTTTTTTTTTTTTCTTGAGACAGGGTTTTCACTCTTGTTGCCCAGGCTGAAGTGCAGTGGCGCAATCTCGGCTCACTGAAACCTCCGCCTCCCAGATTCAAGCGATTCTCCTGCCTCAGCCTCCTGAGTAGCTGAGATTACAGGCGCCCACCACCATGCCTGGCTAGATTTTGTATTTTTTAGTAGAACTCCTGACCTTAAGTTATCTGCCCTCCTTGGCCTCCCAAAGTGCTGGGATTACAGGTGTGAGCCACCGTGCCCAGCTGAGGCCCTGTCTCTTAAACAAAGCTTATCTGATGTCCAGCTCCCAGACCTGGTGTGCTGGTGTGGACCCCCTAGACTCTACAGGCTGGGTGTACCAGAGGAAGCAGGAGCAGCCTGCAGAGAGGTGGCTGATCAGGTGAGGACAGGTGGCTGGGTGGGCAGGGCTTTGACAGAGATCCCACATCAGGCTTAGCTCCTGCCTCCTTCCTCCCATGCTTCTGGGCTCTCCTGCACATTCCAAAGTAAAGTCTAGCCCTTGTCTGGCTCCTGAAGAGTTGCCTTCAAGCTGGTGGAGTATCCTGTGTGATGAGAGTCTCTTTGTATACCTGGAGGTCACACCAGAGAGTTTATGCCAAAAACGTGTTTTATGGTGGAGGCCTTGGGCCTCACTGTGTCAGTTTGACCTCTCGAGGGGCTTGAGGCTGAGTAGCTAAGGTCAGTCACACAAATGGTCAGCCATACTATGTGGCTGTTATGGGCTAAATCAAGCTTGTTTAACCCGCCACCCACAGGCTGCATGTGGCCCAGGAAGGCTTTGAATGTGACCCAACACAAATTCGTAAACTTTCTTAAAACACTATGAGATTTTTTTTTTGCGATTTTTAGCTCATCAGCTATCTGTTAGTGTTAGTGTATTTTATGTGTGGCCCAAGACAATTCTTCTTCCAATGTGGTCCAGGGAAATGAAAAGATTGGACACCCATGGGCCAAATTATGTCCCCTTCAGTCCCTTGCCAAATTCCTATGTTGAAGTCTTAACTCCCGGTCCCTTAGAATGTGACTGTATTTGGAGATAGAGTCTTCTCTTCCTCTTTGGTCTCCCAAAGTGCTGGGATTACAGGTGTGAGCCACTGCTCCTGGCCATGTATGTATTTTCTTTCTTCCTTCCTTCCTTCCTTTCTTTCTTTCTCCTTCCTTCCTTCTTTCTTTCTTTCTTTCTCCCTCTCCTTCCTTTCTTCTTTCTTTCTCTCTCCTTCCTTCCTTCCTTTTCTTTCTTTCTTTCTCTCCTTCCTTCCTTCTTTCTTTCTCTCTCTCTACTTCCTTCCTTCCCCTTTCTTTCTTTCTCTTTCTTTCTTTCCTTCTTTCTTTCTTCTTTCTTTCCTTCTTTCTTTCTTCCCTTCCTTTCCTTCCCTTTCCCTTTCCCCTTCCCCTTCCCCTTTCCCTTTCCCTTTCCCTTTCCCTTCCCTTCCCTTCCCTTCCCTTCCCTTTCCCTTCCCTTTCTTTTCTTTTTCTATTTTTTTTTTCAGGGTCTCTCTCTGTCGCCCAGTCTGGAGTGCAGTGGTGCGATCTTACAGGCCTGTGCCACCACGCCCAGCTAATTTTTGTATTTGTAGTAGAGACAGGGTTTCACTATATTGGCCAGGCTGGTCTTGAACTCCTGACCTCAAGTGATCCCCCGACCTTGGCCTCCCAAAGTGCTGGGATTACAGGCATGAGCCGCCACACCCAGCCCCACATGTATGTATTTTTCTTCCTCCAATTTTCTTTCTCGTTGGCTGCAGGCCTGATACGCTGTGCTTTTGGTACCTGGTGGGTTAACCACCCGCAGGCACATACAGACCCATTCGTTGAAAGACAAAATGCAGGTGGAGGGACCGGTCAGGTTTGGGCAGAGCTCAGCACTTCTGTGGCAGTCATGGTGAGTTGGCGGAGAAATACCCCGGAGCTAGAGACAGAGGTAATTACGTTAAAATGACGTCTTTAGGGTGAGTCCTAATCCAGTAGGACTAGTGCCTTACGAGAAGAGGAAATTTGGATACAGATGTGTGCACACATAGAAGGAAGACAATGTGAAGTCTCAGGGAACAGCCAGCCACTTACAAGGCCTGGAGAGAAGCCACAGAACAACCCTACCAACGTAACTTGACCTTGAACTTCCAGCCTCCAGAACTATGAGAAAATAAATTTCTGTTGTTTAAGCCTCCCAGGCTGTGGTATTTTGTTATGGTAGTCCCAGGACACTAGTGATCCTCCATTATCTGCAGGGAACATGTTCCAAGATGCCCGGTAGATTCCTGAAACCGTGGGTAGTACAGAACCCTAGCTATACTGTGTTTTGTCGATCTCATAACTGCCATGGCTAGTAAGGGACTGATGGGTGGGGTGTTTACAGTGCAGATGTGCCAAACAAAGGGAGGATTGACATCCCAGCTGGGATGGAGTGGAATGGTGCAAGATTTCATCACACTACTCAGAATGGCACGCACTTTAAAACGTATGAGTTGTGGCCAGGCGCAGTGGCTCATGCCTGTAATCCCAGCACTTTGAGAGGCTGAGGTGGGCAAATCACCTGAGGTCAGGAGTTTGAGACCAGCCTGACCAACATGGTGAAACCCCATCTCTACTAAAAATGCAAAAAAATTAGCTGGGTGTGGTGGCGGGCACCTGTAGTCCCAGCTGCTCGGGAGGCTGAGGCAGGACAATTGCTTGAATGCAGGAGGTGGAGGTTGCAGTGAGCCAAGATTGTGCCACTGCACTCCAGCCTGGGTGACGGAGTGAGACTGTCTCAAAACCCAAAACCAAAAACGTATGAATTGCTAGCACAACAGGGTGACTGTAGTCAAAAATAATTTAATTGTACATTTGAAAATAACTTACAGAGCATAATCAGATTGTTTGTAAAACAAAAGATAAATGCTTGAGGGGATGGATACCCATTTTACCCTGATGTGTACATCCCTGTATCAAAATATGACATGTAATTCATAAATATATACACCTACTATGTACCCACAAAAAAACTTACTAATTGTTTATTTTTTTTTCTCTCTCTTTTTCTTTCTTTTTTTTTTTGAGATGGAGTCTCACTCTGTTGCCCAGGCTGGAGTGCAGTGGTGTGATTTTGGCTCACTGCAAGCTCTGCCTCCCAGGTTCACGCCATTCTCCTGTCTCAGCCTCCTGAGTAGCTGGGACTACAGCGCCCGCCACCACACCCAGCTATTTTTTTTGTATTTTTATTAGAGATGGGGTTTCACCATGTTAGCCAGGATGGTCTCAATCTCCTGACCTCGTGATCCGCCCGCCTCGGCCTCCCAAAGTGCTGGTATTACAGGCGTGAACCACCATGCCCAACCCAAAGTGTTTATTTCTCAAATTTTTCATTTAGTATTTTTGGACTGCTGTTGACAGCAGGTAACTGAAACCTCATGAAGAAGCGGGAACTATTGTAATACAGTGGCCAACCTCCAATAAGAACCCAGAACACCTCCCAGCACTTTGGGAGGCCGAGGCGGGTGGATCACGAGGTCAGGAGTTCAAGACCAGCCTGGCCAAGATGGTGAAACCCCATCTCTACTAAAAATACAAAAAATTAGCGGGGCATGGTGGTGGGCGCCTATAATCCCAGCTCCTCGGGAGGCTGAGGCAGAGAATTGCTTGAACCCTGGAGGCAGAGGTTTCAGTGAGCCGAGATCGCACCACTGCACTCCAGCCTGTGTGACAGAGAGAGACCCCGTTTCAAAAAAACAAAAACAAAAACAAAAAACAAACAAACAAAAACAACCCAGAACACCAAGGCTTGGGTCAGCTCCTTGGTTAGCAACACTCTGCACCTGTTGTTACACATTGTGGCTGTGAGAATTCAGCATTGTCTATGTCTGTACAACTCCACTGGGAGGGAACAGCTGGAAGCTCATGCCTGGTGTCTCCTAGATGCTGCTCTATCTGCCTTTTACCTTTGCAGATTTTTTTTTTTTAATGGGGGCCAGGTGTGGTGGCTTACACCTGTAATCCCGTTGCTTTGGGAGGCCAAGGAGGGAGGATCACTTGAGCCCAGGAGGCAGAAATTGCAGTGAGCTGTGATCACACCACTGCATCCCAGCCTGGGTGACAGAGCTAGATGCTGTCTCAAAAAAAAAAAAAAGGGGGGGGGGTTACTCTGTTGCCTCATCTGGAGTGCAGTTGTGCAATTCTAGCTCACTGCAACCTTGAACTCCTAGATCTGAGTGATCCTCCGACTTCAGCTTCCCAAGTAGCTGGGACTACAGGTGTGCATCACCACGCCTGGCTAATTTTTACAATTTTTTGTAGAGACAGGGTCTGGCCATGTTGCCCAGGCTGATCTCGAACTTCTGGCTTCAAGTGATCCTCCTGCCTCAGCAGAGTCCCAGTCCCACAAGGCACCTGAGTGTGGGACAGGCATAATTGAAGGTTGGGGGTATCAAAGGAGGAGTGCATCTCTCACTTAAAGTGTTGGGATTATAGGCATAAGCCACTGTGGCTGGCCCTTTGCAGATTTTAATCTGTATCTGTTTACTGCAATAAACCATGAGTATAATAACATTACTGAGTTCTGTGAGTCTTTCTAGCAAATCATTAAAGGTGAGGGATGCCTTTGGGATCCCCAGCCACAAAGGTTTACACAAACAAAACCACCTCCATTTCCTGCCAAGTTCCTGGCAAATGGACAGTTGGGAGGATTGTCCCAATCCATCTCTGCGAACTTCAGCCCAAATCTTAGTGAATCTTTCTTACACTTTCCAGAAAGTGGCCACTCCTGCTGGCTTGTCCGCTTTTCACTCCCCAGAGTCCCACACAGGGGCTGCTCCCTCCTCCCGGGACAGGCCTTGAGTTGCTCCAAGCTGCAGTGTGACCTTGGGCAAGTCACCCACCTGGGAGGCTACCAGCATCATGAGGGAGGGAGAGGCTGGGTTTTGAGGTCACACCAGCCTGGGCTGGATTCCCCCACTCTGCCCCAGATCTGGCATGTGGCCTTGGGGTGGTCACTTTTCGTCTCTGAGCCTCAGTTCCCGAATCTCCAGATTTGCTTTGAATCACCCAATAAAATTTCACATGGAGAGAAGGAAGTGTTCTTGTACTTTTTTTTTTTTTTTTTTTTGAGACAGAATCTTGCTGTGTCACCCAGGCTGGAGTGCAGTGGCACAATCTTGGCTCACTGCAACCTCCGCCTCCCAGGTTCAAGCGATTCTCCTGCCTTAGCCTTGAGTAGCTGGAGCTACAGGTGCATGCCACCACGCCTGGCTAGTTTTTGTATTTTTAGTAGAGATGGGGGCTTCACCATGTTGGCCAGGCTGGTCTCGAACTCCTGACCTCAGGTAATATACCCATCTTGGCCTCCCAAAGTGCTGGGATTACAGGCGTGAGCCACTGTGCCCGGTCTGTTCTTGTACTCTTAATATAGGCTTGGGCCGTGTGCAGTGGCTTACACCTGTAATCCCAGCGGTTTGGGAGCCAAGGTGGGAGGATGGCTTGAGGCCAGGAGTTCAAGACCGGAATAGGCCACATAGTGAGTCCTCGTCTCTATAAAAAAGTAAAAAAAATTAGCCATGTGTGGTGGTGCGTGCCTATAGCCCTAGCTACTCAGGAGGCTGAGGTGGGAGGATTGCTTGAGCCCAGGAGGTCGAGGCTGCATTCAGCCATGATCACACCACTGCACTCCAGCCTGGGCGACAGAGCGAGACCCTGTCTCAAAAAAAAAAAAAAAAAAAATTTACTGGATAAGATTGGCTCAAACCTCTTCCAGCATGCTTGCTAAGATTTTAGAGAATTTCCAGATTATTTTCTGTCTTTTGTTGTTGCTGAATTAAGGAGTCCCGCCATCTTGCTGGTTTTGCTCTGTGGGATGAGGCCCCTGGCTTCTTAATTTCAGCAGAGTCCCAGTCCCACAAGGCACCTGAGTGTGGGACAGGCATAACTGAAGGTTGGGGATATCAAAGGAGGAGTGCATCTCTCACTTAACCTTGACTGCAGGTATCTTTGTTCCAACTCAGCAGCCTACTTTGGCTGCCCCATCCGGTATTCCTAAAACCTTTCCATCACACTGCCTCATTCATTCATTCATTCAGAAAATATATTTTGTGGCTGGGTGCGGTGGCTCATGCCTATAATCCCAGCACTTTGGGAGGCTGAGGTGGGTGGATTATTTGAGGTCAGGAGTTCGGGACCAGCCTGGCCAACATGGTCAAACCCCGCCTCTACTAAAAATAGAAAAATTAGCTGGGCATGGTGGCGGGCACCTGTAGTCCCAGCTACTTGGGAGACTGAGGCAGGAGAATAACTTGAACACGGGAAGCGGAGGTTGCAGTGAGCCAAGATCACACCACTACACTTTAGCCTGGGCGACAAAGTGAGAGTCCATCTCAAAAAATAAAATAAATAAAATAAAATAAGATTAAATTAAAATAAAGAAAAAAAGTGTTTTTTGTTTTTTTTTTTCTTCTGAGACAAGAGTCTTGCTCTGTCGCCCAGGCTGGAGTGCAGTGTCATGATTTTGGGTCACTGCAACCTTTGCCTCCCGGGTTCAAGCGATTCTCCTGCCTCAGCCTCCTGAGTAGCTGGGATTACAGGCACGTGCAACCACGCCTGGCTAATTTTTGTATTTTTAGTAGGGATGGGGCTTCATCACGTTGGCCGTGGTTGGCCAGGCTGGTCTTGAACTCCTGACCTCAGGTGATTGCCCGCCTTCACCTCCCAAAGTGCTGGGATTACAGGTGTGAGGCACGGTGCGTGGCCAGAAAACATACATTGAGTGGCTACCGTACTAATCATAGGGGCACAGAGGTGCAAAGATAAACAAGATAACACTATTTCAGGTCCCAGCTCCCAGCTCAGTCAAATGGGTGAAACAGACATTAATCAAAGGGTTACACAAACTAATATAAAACCACTGCAGTGAGGAGGCCGGGTGCAGCAGCTAACACCTGTAATCCCAGAACTTTGGGGGGCTGAGGCAGGTGGATCACTTGAGGCCAGGAGTTCGAGACCAGCCTGGCAAACACGGTGAACCCCGTTTCTACTAAAAATACAAAACATTAGCCAGGCATGGTGATGCGTGCCTGTAATCCCAACTACTCGGGAGGCTGAGGCAGGAGAACCATTTGAACCCAGGAGGTGGGGGTTACAGTGAGCCGGGATCGCCCCACTGCACTCCAGACTGGGAGACAGAGCAAGACTCTGTCTCAAAACAAAACAAAAGACCCCACAAAACCACTGCAGTGATGAAGAGATCACTAATGATGAGTGATGATGAGAGAGGGGATAGCGAGTGTAACATTAGGGCAACTGATGTAGCTGGGCAAGGGATGGAGGTTAGGGGAGGCTTCCTTGAGGAAGTGGAGTTTGTGCTGAAATCTCAATGCCAAGCAGGAATTTACTCAGGAGGGGTCAGGAAGAGGGAACAGCATTTGCAAAGGTCCTGTGGCACCAGCTCCTTATCTTCTGATGGTTTTCAGCCCACTTCACCTCTCACTTTTTGGTCTTTCTTGGTCCCCTTAACTCTTGTCACTCCCATCCATCTATACGAGGATTGGCAACCTATGGCCCATAGGCTAAATCCAG
The DNA here is from genome assembly GCF_000001405.40 of Homo sapiens. NCBI lineage: Eukaryota > Metazoa > Chordata > Mammalia > Primates > Hominidae > Homo > Homo sapiens. Next base: position 15,093,062 of record NC_000019.10, on the reverse strand, counting down.
CCCTTGAAATAAAAATAGTTTTGCATTTATTTTTATTTATTTATTTATTTTTTAAGTTTTTTAGAGACAGTGGTCTTACTCTATCCCCCAGGCTGGAGTGCGGTGGTGCAATCATAGCTCACTGCAGCCTTGACCTCCTGGGCTTAAGTGATCCTCCTTCCTCAGCCTCCTGAGTAGCTGAGACTACAGGCATGCACCACCATGCCCAGCTAATTAAAAAATTTTTGTAGAGATGGGGGAGGTCTCACTATGTTGCCCACTCCAGTCTCGAACTCCTGGCTTCAAGCAATCCTCCTCCCTTGGCCTCTCAAAGTGCTGGGATTACAGGCATGAGTGAATGCACCTGGCCTAGAGTAGTTTTAACATTTTAAAAGTGGTTGAAAACAAACCCAAAGGCTACAAGGTATGACATGTACTATGATATGAAATGGAAGCTTCTGTGTTTATAAACAAAGTTTTAGTGGAACACAGCCAAGCCCATTCGTTGATGTCTCATCTATGGCTGCTTTCGCCAGACAGCAGCAGAGTTCAGTCATTGCAACGGAGATGGTAAGGTCCCTAAAGCTGACAATATTGACGACCTGGACCTTGACAGAAAAAGTTTGCTGACTCCAGATCTATGGCATGGATAACTGGCAGGTTCGTTCTGAAGCACAGCCCCACCCCCTATCCTCCTTAAACCTTGTCATGGTCCCACTCCCCGTGGTCCACACACCGTGTTACTCCCAGTGCCCTCCACGGGCCCCCTGCAAACCCAGCTTCCCTGTCACTCTGGGCTCAGGCCACACCAGTCTCCGTGATTTCTTTAAACAACACAGGCTCCTTCTCATCATGGAAACTTTGCACCTGTTGTGCCCTTCCAGGGGGAGATTACACCTAAGGGCCATGGACCTGGGCCAGTTCACAGCTAGAATACAAGTTTCCGGGGAAAAAAAAAAAACAACCAAAAACCAAAAAAAAAAAAAAAAAAAAAAAGCGTTTTAAATCCAATTTGTGAAATGACATTATTGCCACCTAGTGGCCACTTCTCTAACTGTAGTTTTCAGAGCTTTTAGGGCGGTTGGGAAGGTTCCCTCCTGGACACAGTGGCTAGAGCGGCACCCCAAATCTGGTTCTCCTGTATCTCTGTACCTAAAGCCTATTTGGGTCCCGGTTATCTACAGGACCCCCATCTAGCCCAGTGATGCTCAAACTTTTAAATTACAAACTTTTTTTTTTTTTTTTTTTTTTTTTTGAGACAGAGTCTCGCTCTGTCACCCAGGCTGGAGTGCAGTGGGGCGATCTCGGCTCACGCAAACTCCGCCTCCCGGGTTGACGCCATTCTCCTGCCTCAGCCTCCCAAGTAGCTGGGACTACAGGTGTGGGCCACCACGCCTGGCTAAGTTTTGTATTTTTTTTTAAATTGAGGAGGAGTCTCGCTCTGTCACCCAGGCTGGGGTGCAGTGGCGTGGCCTTGGCTCACTGCAAGCTCCGCCTCCCGGGTTCAGGCCATTCTCCTGCCTCAGCCTCCCGAGTAGCTGGGACTACAGGTGCCCGCCAACATGTCCGGCTAATTTTTTGTATTTTTAGTAGAGATGGGGTTTCACCATGTTAGCCAGGATGGTCTTGATCTCCTGACCTCATGATCCGCCCACCTCAGCCTCCCAAAGTTCTGGGATTACAGGCATGAGCCACTGTGCCCGGCCTAATTTTCGTATTTTTAGTAGAGAGGGGGTTTCACCATGTTGGTCAGGATGGTCTCGATCTACTGACCTTGTGATCTGCCCGCCTCGGCCTCCCAAAGTGCTGGGAATACAGGTGTGAGCCACCATGCGCAGCCTGCTGTTACTTTCAGTGGCAAAACCACAATTACTTCTGCACCTACCTTGTAGGGGTGTTGCTTAACACTTATTGAGATTGTGCATATAAAGGAGTTAGCATTGTTCAGATAATAAATCTCGGTTGTCATCATCATTATTGTCATCATGCTGATACCCAGTAAGTGAATCCATGCAATCTAAATCCTTCATCCTTTTCTCCAGTTCTAGCCCAGGGTCCCTTGGCCAGAACACATGGTCAATTGTAAACTTGAGAGGATGTACTGGGACACTTTGTAGGTTTTGTAGGTTGCTGACATTTCTTAAACTAACTGCATTTGTTTTCTAGCAATGTTGCAACAAAGTACCACAAATCAGGCCGAGTGTGGTGGTTTACACCTGCAATCCCAGCACTTTGTGAAGCCGAGGAGGGCAGATCTCTTGAGGCCGGGAGTTTGAGACCAGCCTGGGCAACATAGTGAGACCCTGTCTCTACAAATATATATAGCTGATTGCAGTGGCATAGGCCTGTAGTCCCAACTACTCAGGAGGCTGAGGCAGGAGGATTGCTTGAGCCCAGGAGTTTGAGGTGAGGTTGCACTTTAGCTATGATTGCACCACTGTACTCCAGCCTGGGTGACACAGTAGATCCTGTCTGTCTCTAAAAGAAAAAAAAATTTAAAAATTACCATGAACTAGGTGACTTAAACAATAGAAATTTGTTGTCTTACAGTTCTGGAGGTTAAGAGTCCGAGATCAAGGTGTTGGGCCAGGTGCAGTGGCCCACGCTTGTAATCCCAGCACTTTGGGAGGCTGAGGTGGGCAGATCACTGGAGGCCAGGAGTTTGAGACCAGTCTGGCCAACATAGTGAAATCCCATCTCTACTAAAAACACAAAATTAGCTGGGCGTGGTGGTGGGTGCCTGTAATCCCAGCTACTTGGGAGGCTGAGGCAGGAGAATTGCTTGAACCTGGGAGGTGGAGGTTGCAGTGAGCCAAAATCATGCCACTGCATCCAGCCGGGATGACAGAGCAAGACTCCGTCTCAAAAAAAAAAAAAAAAAAAAAAGATCAGTTGTCAGCAGCTTTGATTCCTTGGTTCCTTCTGAGGGCTGAGAGGGATAGCCTGTTCCACGCCTCTCCTGGCTTCTGGTGGTCTGCAGGCAGTCCCTGGCATTCCTTGGCTTGTAGGAGCATCACCCCAATCTCTGCCTCCATCTTCATGTGGCGGTCTCCATGTGTGTGGGTGCCTGTGTCCAAATCTCCCCTTTTCATAAGGACGCCAGTCGTATCAGATTAGGGACCAACCTAATGACCTTACTGTAATCTAATGACCTCTGTAAACACCCTATCTTCAAATATGGTCACATTCTGAGGTCCTTGGGGTTAGGACTTCAACATATCTTTTTTATTTTATTATTATTACTTTTGCAGACAGGGCCTTGCTCTGTTTCCCAGGCTGGAGTGCAGTGGCAGGAACATAGCTCATGCAGCCTCGACCTCCTTGGCTCAAGAGGTCCTCCTGTCTCAGCCTCCCGAGTAACTAAGATGACAGGTGCACACCACCACACCCAGGTAATTTTTTCTTTTTTCATTTTTATTTTTTGTAGGGATGAGATCTCACTATGTTGTTCAGGCTGGTCCTGAACTCCTAGCTTCAAATGATTCTCCCTACTCAACCTCCCAAAGTGCCAGAGTTTACAGGTGTGAGCCACTGCGCCTGGCCTCCCACGTATCTTTTTTTGGGAGCCACAGTTCAACCCATAACACTAACTTTTTAAGTGCCCCGGGCCACCTGATCTGCTGTGGCTGACCCTGCGTGTAGAATCATACTGGGTTCAGAGTCAGGCGATGAATGTCACAGGAAACACATAGATTTTGGAGCTAGGCTAGGGTCTGTGTTCCCAAACTACGATTGATGGACCGTCTGCATCAGAGTCCCCTTGACTGGGGGTTGTGGGGAGACAGGAAGCCTGTTGGGAATTGAGAAAGTAAGCCCCAACCACAGTCATAGTTACAAGTGGAGGTCTCAAGACCCCCCAGGAGGCTGAGGCTTGCTGGCTGACTAAGCGAACAGCACGTGAGCTAATCTCACTTGCAAATATTTTCAAAGTTCTTCCACAACACTTAGGAAACACTGGCTAATACATGGGCTGTCTGTATCTACCTATCTATCTATCTATCTATCTACCTACCTCCTCTATCTCTATCTATCCATCCATCTATCTATCATCTATCTGTTGATCGATTGATCAATCGATCGACTGACCTACCTACCTATCTCATCTATCTATCTATCTATCTATCTATCTATCATCTATCTACTTATATGATCTATCTATCAATCAATCATCTATCTGTCTGTCAATAGATAGATCTATCGATCGGTTGACCTACCTACCTACCTACCTATCTATCCTATCTATCTATGTATCTATCTGTATATCTATCTATCTATCTATCTATCTATCTATCTATCTATCTATCTATCTACATATCTTATCTATCCACCCTATCTACCTATCTTATCTTATCCTCTCTATCTATCTGTCTGTCTATCTATCTATCTATCTATCTATCTATCTATCTATCTATCTATCTACCTATGAGTGACAGATCTTGCTCAGTTTCCCAAACTGCTGAAGTGCAGTGGTGCAGTCATAGCTCACTGCAACCTTGAACTCCTGGGCTCAAATGATCTGCCTGCCTCAGCCTCCTGATTAGCTGAGACTACAGGCGTATACCACCATGTCTTGCTAAAGTGATTTTGTGTGTGTGTGTGGAGATAGGGTCTCTGTATGTTGCCCAGGCTGGTCTCAAACTCCTGGCCTCAAGTGATCCTTCCACCTTGGCCTCCCAAAATGCTGGGATCACAGGCTTGAGCTTCCACACCTGGCCTTTGTCAATACTAAAATGAGTGTAGCTACGTCTCTTGTTTTCAACTACTCTTATTCACATAGCAATCCTAAAAGGCTGATCCTCCAGGAGGGCTAATTTCAGGCCAGTTTGATCCTTGCTATTCTGATCTTTTTGGGGAAGATAAATCCTGGGGAAAATGCACACCTTTCCTTTGGGTGCTCATACACTTTGTTCATCTCTTTATGACACATTTATCACGTTGTACTGGAAGGATTTATTCCATGTCTCTGTTCCCAGCTAGACTCTGAACTCCTCCAGGGTAGGGGATGGGATGCATCTCTGTGTCCCTAGCAGCCAACAGTGATCCTGGAACATGATAAACATCCAATAACTGTTCTGGCCTAGGACAGGGGACGGCCACTTTGCCGATGAGCTTCCCCAGGGCTGCCTTCATATCCTTGTTCCGTATGCTGTAGATAAAGGGGTTGAGCATGGGGATGAACACCCCACACATTAGGGCGGCTGCCTTGTCCTTCTGGGAGGAGCTGGGGGATGTGGGCTGTAAGTACACAGCAAAGATGGTCCCATAGGACAGTGACACCACAGTGAGGTGTAAGCCACAGGTGGAGAAGGCTTTCCACTTGCCCCGAGTAGAAGGGATCTTAAAGACTGTCCAGAAAATGCGGATGTACGAGAGAAGGATGCAGGAGAATGGGCTGGTGCCCACGACAATGCCAAAAGCAAAGATCACCAGCTCGTTGGTGTGCGTGTCTGAGCCGGAGAGCTTCAGCAGGGGCATGAGGTCACAGAAGAAGTGGGAGATTTCAGAGCCGGCGCAGAAGGTCAGTTGAGCCATGAGGCAGGTGTGTATGAGAGACTGGAGGTTGGTGATCATCCATGATGCTCCCAGCAGCAGCCCACAGACAGGGGAGCACATGAGAACCAAGTAACGCTGTGGGTGGACAATGGCCACGAAGCGGTCGATGGCCATTACTGCCAGGAGAAAGCTGTCCATGGTCCCGAACAGGTGGAAGGCATACATCTGGGTGAGGCAGCCCACAAAGGGGATGGCTCTGCTCTGAGCCTGGATGTTCGCTAGCATCTTGGGGACGGTGGTGGAGGATAATAGGGTGTCAACGAGTGAGAGGTTGAAGAGAAAGAAGTACATGGGTGTGTGGAGGTGAGAGTCCGTGATGATGGCCAGGATAATGAGGGCATTTCCAATGATGGTGACCAGGTATGTGGAGAGGAACATTGTGAAGAGGAGGGTCTGATGCTCTGGCTTTTCTGAGAGTCCCTGGAGGAAGAATTCTGAGATTTCGGTTTGCTTTTCTGGTTCCATGTATGGTCTGTGACTAGTGGGAACAAAAAGGGAGAAAAACCACACAGAGCCAGGTGTCAGAGATGCCATTCTGGTCCCAGCTTCCCACGGAAACCTATACTGTTCTGTGAAAATTCCATCAAATCCATCAAATTCCTTTGTGTTCAGTTAACCTCAAGCCATCTTCAGTGGGCTTCTGTTGCTCCTCAAGCCAAGTCATTCATGCCTGAGACAGTCAGGGTCTCAAGGATCTAACGGAGTCGCTCATAGTCAACTTGGATGTTCTCTATAAACACTTTTGCTTCCTTCAGTGGAGCAAAGCTTCATAGAAAACAAAACCAAGTGGCCCGCGCCTGTAATCCCAGCACTTTGGAAGGCTGAGGCGGGCAGATTGCTTGAGGTCAGGAGTTCGAGACCAGCCTGGCCAACATGGTGAATCCCCGTCTCTACTAAAAATACAAAAAAATTAATCAGGCGTGGTGGTGGGCGCCTGCAATCCCAGCTACTCTAGAGGCTGAGGCAGGTGAATAGCTTGAACCCGGGAGGCAAAGTTTGCAGCGAGCAGAGATTGTGCCACGGCTCTCTAGCCTGGGCTATAGAGCAAGATTCTGTCTCAAACAAAAAACAAAAAACAAAAATAAAAAAAGAAAATCAAGCAGAATCAAACCTCAACAAAAACTCTATACAGTAAAGGGAACCTGACCATCTTCTGTTTTTCCTTCTCTTCCTTTCCTGTGTTCTCTCCCTGTTTTCTTTTTCCTTTTTCTTTTTTTGAGACAGAGTCTTGCTCTGTCACCCAGGCTGGAGTTCAGTGGCACGATCTCAGCTCACTACAACCTCTGCCTCCTGGGTTCAAGTGATTCTCGTGCCTCAGCCTCCCAAGTAGCGGGGATTACAGGCACGCACCACCATGACTGGCTAATTTTTGTATTTTTAGTATAGACGGGCTTTCACCATGTTGGCCAGGCTGGTCTCAACTCCTGACCTCAAGTGATCTACCCGCCTTGGACTCCCAAGGTGCTGGGATTACAGGCATGAGGCACCGCGCCTGGCCATCTCCCTCTTTTCTTTCCTCCCCCCTCAACCCTCCTTCCCCTTCATCCTTCCACCAACAATATGTAATCTTTAACATCAGTTTTGTGTTAAAAACCGATGAATGGATAAAGAAAATGTGGTAGGAATATACAATGGAATACTATTTATTCAGCCATGGAAAAAAGAGGAAATTCTATCATTTGCAACCATATAGATGAAACTGAAGGACATTCTGTTACATAAAATAGCCAGGTACAGAAAGACAGATACCACATGGTCTCACTTATATGTGGAATTTAAAATGGCCAATCTCATAGAAGCAGAGTAGAATGGTGGTTACCAGGGGCTGGGGGCGGGAGGTGGGTGTTAGGGAGATATTGATCAAAGAATACAAAATTTCAATTAGATGGGAGGCATAATTCAAGAGATCTATTGTACAGCATAGTGACTATAGTTAATAACAATGCATTGTATACCAGAGAAACTCAGAGTCAATTTTATGTTCTCACCACCAAGAAATGATAGGTACAGATGTTCTGAGGCTGATAATGGGGTCATACATTGAAAATGTCATAAGTCAGACCTGGCGTGGTGGCTCATTCTTATAATCCCAGCACTTTGGGAGGCCGAGGCAGGGGGATCACCTGAGGTCAGGAGTTTGAGAGGTCAGCCTGGCCAACAAGGTGAAGCCCCGTCTCTACTGAAAATACAAAATTAGCTAGGCGTTGTGGTGCATGCCTGTAATCCCAGCTACTTGGGAGGCTGAGGCAGGAGAATCGCTTGAACCTGGGAGGCAGAAGTTGCAGTGGGCTGAGATTGAGCCACTGTACTCCAGCCTTGGCAACAAGAGCGAAACTCTGTCTCAAAAAAAAAAATATATATATATATATATATATATATATATATATATATATATATATAAGTCAAAAATGCATTGAACATACCTAACCTACCAAACATCACAGCTTAGCCTAGCCCACCTTCAATGTGCTCAGAACACTTACGTTAGCCTACAGTTAGGCAAAATTATCTAATACAAGATCTATTTAATTTAATTTAATTTATTTTGAGACAGGGTCTCACTCTGTCACCCAGGCTGCAGTGCGGTGGCACAATCACAGCTCACTGCAGCCTGTACCTCCTGAGCTCAGGTGTTCCTCCCACCTCAGCCTTCCTAGTAGCTGGGACAGGTGTTTTTATTTTGCCCTCAGCAATAATGATATCTGTAATGGGTTAAACCTTCTTAGGAGCCAGTTTCTTTCTTTTTTTTTCCCCCAGCTATTGGCTGCTCAGCATGATTTTTATTTTATTTAATTTTATCATTTTATTTTAAGTTCCAGGATACACGTGCAGGACGTGCAGGTTTGTTACATAGGTAAACGTGTGCCATAGTGGTTTGCTGCACCTATCAAGCCATCACCTCGGTATTAAGCCCAGCATGCATTAGCTATTTATCCTGATGAGGAGCCGGTTTCTTTCTTTCTTTTCTTTTTTGAGATGGAGTCTTACTCTGTCACCCAAGCTGGAGTGCAGTGGCGCGATCTTGGCTCACTGCAACCCCCGCCTCCTGGGTTCAAAAGATTCTCCTGCCTCAGCCTCCTGAGTAGCTGGGATGACAGGCGAGCACCACCACGCATGGCTAATTTTTGTATTTTTAGTAGAGATGGGGTTTCACCATGTTTGTCAGACTGGTCTTGAACTCCTGACCTCATCATCTGCCCGGCTTGATCTCTCAAAGTGCTGGGATTACAGGCGTGAGCCACTGCAGCCAGCCAGGAGCCAGTTTCTTAATGCATAGGTCTTACAATAACTCCCACAGGGAGATTGTGTTAGCTACAATTTACAGTGAGCAGACTGGGGCTGAGCGAGCTGCCAGGGGCACTCAGCTTGCAAGTGCCTGATCTCGCCTTTGAATTTAGACTTATTTTCACTCTCATACTCCACTGCCTCCCTAAGAATGGCCACTCTCACCTCTTTATGAGGCATTTCGAAGCTAAATTCTGTGCTGTCAACACGTGCAAGGGAAAAATATTCAATTACAAGCATTTACACGTGTTTCTTTTCGAGACAGAGTCTCACTCTGTCACCTAGGCTAGAGTACAGTGGCACGATCTCGGCTCACTGCAACATCCGTCTCCTGGGTTCAAGTGATTCTTGTGCCTCAGCCACCCGAATAGCTGGGATTACAGGTGTGCATCACCACGCCCGATTAATTTTTGTATTTTTAGTAGAGACGGGGTTTCGCCTCTACTAAGCCTGTTGGCCAGGCTGGTCTTGAACTCCTGACCCGGTGATCCGCCCACCTTGGCCTCCCAAAGTACTGAGATTACAGGCGTGAGCCCAGTAATCTCATCATTTCAGCGCCCAGCCGATGAAAGGGGTTTTTAGGAAGGTTAGCAGCATAATCTCCTTGGTAACCCCAAGAGGCCTTCAGCAAAGCCCTATGTTAACTTTTTGAGGCTTTTTAGTGTTGGACTTGAGGTTTTTGCAATGCAATGCTTGGTTTTCTCTAGGCTGGATAGAATACTGCGATTCCCTTCCTGGCAACATATTTGTAACAGTCCTCAGTTGTTGACTTGGGTTGCATAGAGCAGCGGTTCTCAACCTTGAGCACGCTTCAGGGTCACCTGGAAGGCTTGTTAAAACACAAAAAGCGGGCCAGGCATGGTGGCTCACACCTGTAATCCCAGCACTTTGGGAGGCTGAAGTGGGAGAATTGCTTGAGGCCAGGAGTTCAAGACCAGCCTGGCAGACAAAGTGAGGCCACCCCACCCCCAATCCCGCCCTGGATCTACAAAAAATAAAACAATCTGCTGGGCATGGTGGCATGCTTCCATAGTCCCAGCTACTCAGAAGGCTGAGGTGGGAGAATCCCTTGAGTCCAGGAGTTAGAGACCAACCTGGGCAACACAGTGAGACCCCCATCTCTACAAAATAAAAAATTAGCTGGACATGGTGGCACACACCTGTTAGTCCCAGCTGCTTGGGGGGCCAAGGTAGGAGGATCTCTTGAGCCCGGGAGTGTGAGACCATCCTGGGCAACATAGGAAGATCCCTGCCTCTACGAAAATAAAATTAGCCAGGCATGGTGGTATATGTCTGTTATCCCAGGTACCCGGGAGGCTGAGGAGGGAGGATCACTTGAGCTTGGGAGGTCGAGGCTGCGATGAGCTATGATAATGCCACTGCACTCCAGACTGGGCAACAGAGCGAGACCCTGTCTCAAAAACAGAAAGAACAAACAAACAAACAAAACAATCCCCCCGCCCCCTCCCCCCCGCTCCCAAACTCATCATACACAAAAAGCTAAGCCCTTTCCCTGAAATGTCTGGTGTAAGAACCAGCACTTCTAGATAGTTTCCAGAGGATGCTGGTGCTTCTAGCCCAGGGACCACACTTGGGGAGCTGCTGCATTGGAGAAACTTGTTTCTCAAGACCTCTCCTATCTGTGCAGGTGTCCTGCAGCTGCAGACCCTCAGTGCTTTTCCTCCACATATCCTGCCACAGAGGGTCTGCCGTCTGCGTGCTTTGTCCACTCAGAGAGTCTAGACTTGGTCTCAGTCTCTTCTCTCTCTCTCGGCCTCTAGGAAGGAGACAGATTCCTCTCCCACAACCCTCCACCCCCACCCTCAGCTCAATCCTTTCCCCATCCCTCACCTGCTCACCAGGATGGCATCACCAAGGGGAGGGTCCCGGGAAGCCTCCTTCTCCACCAACTGCTAGAGGATCCCGAGGTCAGCACTAAACCCCTAGGAAGGGCATGGGGGCTACTCACCTGTGATCGCTGGGGTTAGCCTGATGTCTATGGGAAGGATTCATATGTGTACCCCCCCGCCCCCAGACTCTGCAGGTGAGTGGGGGAGCCAGGGGAACATCAGGGTATTTATAGTCTGGGGACTCTAGGAGACTTCGTCCCCATAGCTCCTTGTTAAGGAAGCGGATGCTAATTATTTTGTTTCTCCTCTGCCACATGTGACCTGTTCTTTTGGAGATGGGTGTGCTTTGGGATCATCGAGTGGGTAAGAAGAGGAAACAGTGACTAGGGATTCACTCTCACTAGGACATCTCCCTACGGTCTCCTTCCAGCTCAGGCTGAGCTTCATGGAAGCTCCCAGGCAGAGAGGTCTGGGGGGTCCCAGACTCCAGTCGGGCACTCAGATGCCTGAATCTGAGAGGTCCTTTCATTCATTGCATTATGGAAGAAACTGGCTCATTAAGGAAAGCTCCGAAGAGTATCAATCAATCAATAAATCGGTATTAAATAAATAAATTTATCAAACACTTTTTTTTGAGATGGAGTGTCACTCTTTCACCCAGCCTGGAGCACAGTGGAGCAATCTCGGCTCACTGCAACCTCCACCTCCTGGGTTCTAGCAATTCTCCCTCCTCAGCCTCTTGAGTAGCTGGAATTACTGGTGCCCACCACCATGCCCAGCTAGTCTTTGTATTTTTAGTAGAGACAGGGTTTCACCATGTTGGAAAGACTGATCTCAAACCTCAAGTGATCTGCTCTCCTCGGTCTCCCAAAGTGCTGGGATTACAGGCCTGAGCCACTGTACCCGGCCTATCAAACACTTCTTGATCACCTGCTTGGCACTGGAGTTGGACACGGTGGCTCATGCCTATAATCCTAGCTACTTGGGAGGCCAAGGTTGGAGAATCCCTTGAGCCTAGAAGTTTGAGACCAGCTTGGGCAAAACAGCAAGACCTTATATCTACAAAAAATTTAAAAAAATTAGCCAGGATTGGTGGCACATGCCCGTGGTCTCAGTTACCCAGGAGGCTGAGGTGGGAGGATCACTTGAGCCCTGGAGGTTGAGGCTGCAGTGAGCTGTGATCGCACCACTGCATTCCAACCTGGACAACGGAGTGAGACCCTGTCTCTTAAAAAAAAAATCCTTCCTATCAGCCACACAGAACGTGTGTAGGATACTTGTTGAAATTCTCCTAGGGGCTTTAGTAAATATTAGAATTACTTTCCCTAATAATATTGGCTGTTGGACTGTTGGCTCTTGGATCGTAACTCTGTGGGGAGGTCAGCTTCAAAGCAAGAACAAGGTAGACCAACTTCGCGTTGGACATATGGGGATATGAGTAGGTGCCAATCCCACTGTCATTATTTTTTTAAAATTAAAATTATTTTCAGAGGCTGGGCATGGTGGTTCACACCTGTAATCCTAGCACTTTGGGAGGCCGAGGCAGGTGGATCAATTTAGCTCAGGAGTTTGAGACCAGCCCGGCCAACATGGTGAAACCCTGTCTCTACTAAAAATACAAAATTAGCTGGACGTGCCTATAGTCCCAACTACTCAGGAGGCTGAGGTGGGAGGATCCCTTGAGCCCGGGAGGTGAAGTTTGCAGCAAGTTGAGATCATGCCACTGCACTCCAGCCTGGGTGACAGAGTGAGACCTTGTCTCAAAAAAAAAAAAAAAATCAATTTGAGCCCAAAGGTTGGGGAAAAACCCACCTAAAAAGTCCATAAGGTGGCCAGACATGGTGGCTCACACCTGTAATCCCAGCACTTTGGGAGGCTGAGGCGGGTGGATCACTTGAGGTCGGGAGTTCGAGACCAGCCTGGGAAAAATGGTGAAACCCAGTCTCTACTAAAAGTACAAAAATTAGCTGGGCATGGTGGGTGGGCATCTGTAATCCTAGCTACTTGGGAGGCTGAGGCAGGAGAATCACTTGAACCTGGGAGGCGAAGATTGCAGTGAGCCGAGATTGTGCCACTGCACTCCAGCCTGGGTGACAGAGCAAGACTCCATCTCAAAAAAAAAAAAAAAAAAAAGTCCCACTGGGTGAACAAACTTTTGCCACTGTCCGTGGTTCTGAAAAAAAATTATTTTGCCCAAAGCCATGGTAGGTAGGACATTGGTGTCTCCCATCCGAACTCTCCTGGGAATTCTGAAACCAGTTATAGAAGGAAGAGTGAAGAGAGATAAGGAGGAATAAAAGATATATTCAGGAAGAAAAAAGCCTTTCTTTTTGATATGACTCTATAGAAAATGTTATCAAAAATAACATTTCCCCCCCTGGGAAATTGGTATAAGGCAGGGCCAGTTATACACTCCCAGAGTCCAGTTTTCTAGTCATGTTGGTTTGGAGTCCAGTGCTGATTGCTTTGGGAAAATCTTAGAGTCTTTATGTGGCAATGAGTCTGGTACCAGGAAACCATCAATGAACATTGGGAGGGAGGAAGAAGGGGGTGGTCTACTTCATTCTATCCTCTCTAGGAGTGAGGTCCAGATTTCTTCTCTCAGCATCTTGGGCTTCAGCCACTCTCCACCCATTCTTCCAAGCACAAATGCTTTTTTTAAAATCCAACACCTAAAAGGTTTTTATATAGTCCCTGATTTTCTTCCTTGATTAGAATCTAGGAGAGATGGGGATTCCTGAATTCTGGCAAGGGTCAAGGGCTCCTGATGTGGCAGTGGTCAAGTAGAACGGACAGTCTTTTAAATTTTTATATGTACTTAGTTATTTATTATTTTAATTTAAGTTCTGGGATACATGTGCTGAACGTGCAGGTTTGTTACGTAAGTATACATGTGCCATGGTGGTTTGCTGCACCTATCAACCCATCATCTAGGTTTTAAGCCCTGCGTGCATTAGATATTTGTCCTAATGCTCTTCCTTCCCTTGCCCCACACCACCTGACAGGCCGTGGTGTGTGATGTTCCCTTCCCTGTGTCCATGTGTTCTCATTGTTCAACTCCCACTTATGAGTGAGAACATGTGGTGTTTGGTTTTCTGTTCCTGTGTTAGTTTGCTGAGAATGATGGTTTCCAGCTTCATCCATTTTCCTGCAAAGGACATGAACTCATTGTTTTTTATGGCTGGAGAGTATTCCATGGTGTGTATGTGCCACATTTTCTTTATCCAGTCTATCACTGATGGGCATTTGGGTTGGTTCTAAGTCTTTGCTATTGTGAATAGTGCTGCAATAAACATACATGTGCATGGGTCTTTAGAGCAGAATAAATAGCAGAATCCTATTTATTTATTTTTTGATAGAGTTTTTTCAAAATATTATTATGTTTTTATGTTCCAGGGTACATGTGCAGGATGTGCAGATTTGTTACACAGGTAAATGTGTACCATGGTGGTTTGCTGTACCCATCTACCCATCACCTAGGTATTGAGCCCAGCATACATTAGCTCTTTTCCTTAATGCTCTCCCCACCCTGCCCTCCCCCAACAGGCCCCAGTGAGTGTTCTTCCCCTCCCTGTGTCCATGTGCTCTCATTGTTCAGCCCCCACTTATAAGTGAGAACATGTGGTGTTTGGTTTATTTATTTTTGAGACGGTCCTGCTCTGTCACCCAGGCTGTGAGTGCCATCATAGCTCACTACAGCCTTGAACTCCTGAGCTCAGGTGATCCTCCCACCTCAGCCTCCCAAGTAGCTAGGACTACAGGTGTGTGCCACCATGACAGGCTAATTACAATTTTTTTTGGTAGAAATGAGGTCTTGCTATGTTGTCCAGGCTGGTCTAGACCTCCTTTCTCAGCTTCCCACATTGCTGGGATTACAGGCATGAGCCACTGTGCCCAGGGGAACTGATAGTCTTGATTTGGGTTCAAAACAGGCTCTAATCATAAAGCACTTGGGTGCAGATGGTTTATTTGGTCCCAGAAGTGGGGAAAATGAAGCAGGAAATAAAGTATGTTAATAAACACATTATATTCCGTTTGTAGGAAACAGGGCTCCATCCTGCTGGGGGAACTCTCTGGGGTATCACATAGACCGCACCTTCAGAATTATTCCATTGAGGGAAGAGGTATGTGGGTATTTACCATTGACTCCTTTATTTGTTGAGGGTGGTACTTGGGGATGTTAAATCCCCTGCTGAGCACACTCCCACGGTGCTGGAGAAGATGTCCAGACAGTAAAGACAGAAGTAGCGGGGCTTCCACCAGCATATGTGAAATTGCCCACTGCTGCTGTAAGGTGAAATCAGAGGTGAGCCAAGGGGCTATGGGTTGAGGCATCTTCAGTATCTGCTCGGGGACCTGCTGTTAGGTGAGGAAAAGAGTGAGGTTTGTTTGTTTATTTATTTATTTATTTATTTATTTATGCTCTGTCTCCCAGGCTGGAGTGCAGAGGTGCGATCTCCGCTCACTGCAACCTCTGCTTCCCAGGTTCAAGCAAGCCTCCTGTCTCAGCCTCTTGAGTAGCTGGGATTACAGGTGTGTGCTAATTTTTAATTTTTGTATTTTTAGTAGGGATGGGGTTTCACCATGTTGGCCAGGCTGGTCTTGATCTCCTGACCTCAAGTGATCCACCCACCTCAGCCTCGCAAAGTGCTGGGATTACAGGCATGAGCCACTGCGCCCGGCCTCATTGTGGTTTGATTTTCATTTCCCTGATGATTAGTGATGTGCATTTTTTCATATATCTCTTGGCTTTTTGCATGTCATTGGATAAATTTCTATTCAAGTTTTTAATCGATTTTGCAATCGAGTTGTTTCTTGGCTGTGGAGTTGTAGGAGTTTATTTTATATTTTGGTTATTAACCCTTTATCATTTATATGGTTTGCAAAGGGTGGGTGTTTCCTCCTCTCTCTTCCCATCCTAATTTCAATTAGGCTTCTTTTAGGAACATCCTTTCCATTTCAAGTCTCTCTAATTGGATACTATATTATTTTCTTAGGTCTTCTGTAATAAAATAACATGAACTAGGGCAGGGGTCCCAATCCCAAGGCCATGGACTGGTAGTGGTCTGTGGCGTGTTAGGGACTGGGCCACACAGCAGGAGGTGAGCAATGGGGCAGGCAAACAAATCTTCATCTGTATTTATTTATTTATTTATTTATTTATTTATTTATTTTTGAGATGGAGTCTCACTCTGTCACCCAGGCTGGAGTGCAATGGTGCTATCTCAGCTCACCACAACCTCTGCCTCCTGGGTTTAAATGATTCTCCTGCTTCAGCCTCCTTAGTAGCTGAGATTACAGGTGCCCACCACCATGACCAGCTAATTTTTGTATTTTTAGTAGAGATGGGGGTTTCACCATGTTAGTCAGACTGGTCTCCAACTGCTGACCTCAGGCGATCCGCCCGCCTTGGCTTCCCAAAGTGCTGGGATTACAGGCGTGAGCCCCTGTGCCCGGCCTGTATTGCCTATTTCAAGATAGCTAGAAAACGGAGGATCTTGAATGTAACTACCACAAAGAAATGATAAAGATTTGGGTGATGGACATGCTCACTATCCTGATTTGATCATTATGCAATGTACATATGTATTAAGACATCACAGGTACCCATAAACATGTACAATTATTATGTGCTGATTATAAAGAGAATTAAAAAATGCATTTAGTGTATGCTAAGTGTACAGTAGCAACACATTCACTCATCACTCTCTCGCTAGCTCACTCAGGGCAGCTTCCAGTGCTGCAAGCCTGGTAAGCATTCTATATAGATATATCATTTTTTGTTTTATATCTTATGTTTACTGTATTTTTTTTTTTTTTGAGACGGAATCTCACTCTGTCGCCCAGGCTGGAGTGCAGTGGCGCGATCTTGGCTCACTGCAACCTCCGCCTCCCGGGTTCAAGCGATTCTCCTGCCTCAGCCGCCCAAGTAGTTGGGACTATAGATGTGTGCCACCACGCCCAGCTAATTTTTGTATTTTTACTAGAGATGGGGTTTCACCATATTGGTCAGGCTGGTCTTGAACTCTTGACCTCATGATCCACCCGCCTCGGCCTCCCAAAGTGTTGGGATTACAGGTGTGAACCACTGCACCAGGCCTACTGTACCTTTTCTATGTTTAGATACACAAATGCTTACTGTTGTGTTACAGTTACCTACAGTATTCAGCACAGTAGCATGCTGTACAGGTTTATAGTCTAGGAGCAATAGACTAGAACGTATAGCCCTGGTGTGTAGTAGGCTATGCCATTTAGGTTTATGTAAGCTCACTCTAGGTTACTGGCACTATGATGAAATTGCCTAATGAAGCATTTCTCAGAAAGAATCCCTGTCATTAAGTGACACATGACTGTATATGTTTCTCTGAAACCTACTTATTTATCCATTTTTTAAAAAACTTGGCAGCACGTACATCATGGAATTCCTCCAGGCGAATAGATAGATATCTAACTCATTATTTTTAATAGCTACCTAATGGCTCATGATAGGAGTGTACTCTGATTATCCAACCCTTCCACCATTGAGGGCACACAGGTTATTTATAGTTTGTTTTTTGTTGCTACTACAAATAATCCCTTGATAAATATCGTTCTATAGGGTGGATTCCCAGTGTGGAATTTCAACTAGGTGTTGTTCTAGTAACTTCCCCCAAATGCAATAATAAATCACATTCCCACGAACAACACACAGGTGTGCCCTTTTCAACACATAGTTGCAAGCACTGGGTTTCATTGCATTATTAGTTTTTGAATGATTGCCAGTCTGATGAGTGAAAACTAGTAAGTCATCTTTACTCTCATTTTCTTTTTTTTTAAAAATATATATATTTTTATTATACTTTAAGTTCTAGGGTATTCATTTCCCTGGCTGATAGTGAAGTTGACCTCTTTTTCTTTTTCTTTTTTCTTTTTTAACTTCACTAGCAGGAAAGACCTCTTTTCATTATTTTATTTTATTTTTATTTTATTTTATTTTATTTTCAGATGGAGTCTCACTCTGTCACCCAGGCTGGAGTGCAGTGGTGCGATTTTGGCTCACTGCAACCTCCGCCTCCCAGGTTCAAGCGATTTTCCTGCCTCAACCTCCTGAGTAGCTGGGATTACAGGCACGTGCCACTAGGCCCAGCTAATTTTTGTATTTTTAGTAGAGACAGGGTTTCGCCATGTTGGCCAGGCTGGTCTCGAACATCTGACCTCAAGTGATCCACCCGCCTCAGCCTCCCAAAGTGCTGGGATTACAGTCGTGAGCCACCGGGTCTGGCCCGTTTATTTTAATTTTTTAAAGAGCTTCTCACCTGTGGCTGCCCATTTCAAAGATTATCTGCATATTTGGACACATTTAGGTTATTTGTGTCTTATTTGCAGAAGATCTTTGTATCTTAGGTGTATTGACCTTTTAGTTGTAACAGCTGTTATCTGGCCCAGGACTTGTACAAAATATCATTAACCCTGACACATCTGCATGCTTGAACTGGTCTCTAGACCCCAGTACTTCAACTCTTGCTGCCTACTGGAATCACTGGGGCAGCTAGGGTTGATATTGTGGAGGCCTGGTGGCAGGGCCCAGCTCCCCAAGATTTAGCTTTCAATGGTTTGGGACACAGAAATCAGGATATTTTTATCACAGTAAGATTCACATAATATAAAAGTCATCATTTAAACCTTTTTAAAGTGTACAATTCAGTGGCATTTAGTACGTTCACAAGGTTGTACAACCCCACCTCTATCTAGTTCTAGAACACTTTCACCCCCTCAAAAGGATACTCTATCCCCATGAGCAGTCACTCCCCATTCCCACTCCCTAGCCCATGGCTACCTCTAACCTACTTTCTACGTCTGTGGATTTATCTATTCTGGACACTCATGCAAATGGAATTATGCACTATGAAGCCCTCTTTGTCTGGCTTCTTTCACTCAGCATCATGCTTTCTTTTCTCTTTCTTTTCTTTTTCTTTTTTAAGACAGGGTCTTTCTCTGTTGCCCAGGCTGGAGTGCAGTGGTGTGATCATGGCTCACTGCAACCTCCACTTCCAGGCATCAAGTAATCCTCCCACCTCAGCCTCCTTAGTAGCTGGGACTAAGATGCACACCATCATGCCAGGCTAATTTTTGCATGTTTTGTAGCGATGTGGTTTCATCATGTTGCCCAGGCTGGTCTTGAACTCCTGAGCTCAAGTGATCCTCCTGCCTCAGCCTCCCAAAGTGCTGGGATTACAGGCATGAGCCACTGAGGCAGGCCTGTTTTCAATGTTTATCCACATTGTAGCATGAATCGGTACTGCATTCTAATTTTTTTGTTTTTTTTCTTGTTTCTTTTTGAGACAGAGTTCTGCTCTGTCACCCAGGGTGGAGGGCAGTGGCGCGATCTTGTCTCACTGCAACCTCCACCTCCCAGGTTCAAGTGATTCTCTTGACTCAGCCTCCCGAATAGCTGGGATTACAGGCACACACCACCATGCCCGGCTAATATTTTTGTATTTTTATTTTGTATTTTTTAGTAGAGAAAGGGTTTCGTCGTGTTGGCCAGGCTGGTCTTGAACTCCTGACCTCAGGTGATCTGCCTGCCTCCAGGGTTCCCTAACATGTTATTCCTAACATAGGGAATCTTCTTTCCTTTCTGGATCTTTTCCCTGATCTAGGAGAGAATTAACTAAGAGTCTGGTACCTTTTTAAGTCTGATAATATTTATAATCTATTCTCTCTGAAGCCTGCTACCTGGAAGCTTCATCTGCATGATAAAACTTTGGTCTCCACAATCCCTTATCTTAACCCAGACATTCCTTTCTGTTGATTCCAGGTCTTTAGATAATAATTCTTTTCAACCAATTGCCAATCAGAAAATCTTTGAATCCGCCTACGACCTGGAGGTCCCTGCTTCCAGTTGTCCCGCCTTTCCGGCCTGAGCCAGTGTACATTTTACATGTATTGATTGAGGTAAGCTCTCATTGTTGAGAGCCTGATTCTGTCGCTGTTCGGGGCACCACTATGTAACCTACCACGACCCCTGGTGGACTGAACAAAGGGGGCGAACGCAAGAATAAAAGACAAGAGACAAAAGAGTATATTTGGAAGAAGGGGTCGGGGGCACCTTGCCTCTAGTGGACAAGGGCCCTGAGCTTTACACAGCCCTCCGTATTTATTAGGCAAAAAAGATAGTGAGAAGCGGGGTGGAAGAAGGAGTCCAGGGGCTCAGTCCAGAGTAGGCTTGCAAGACTGCATTCCTCGAACAGCAGGCTCTAGATGTTGCAGTAGATAACCTCCACGCCAGAGATTGCCTCCGGCAAACCTTCTGTCGGCAGGAGCAGTCGTGAGTTTGCTCACATCCTGCATTCATGGTACACAGTTTGCTGTTTGATCACGTAGCCTCCGGTGGAATGCTGAGTTGGTCACGTCCCACGGGTCTTCGGCTCCCTACATCTCACGTCTCCCTAAAATGTATAAAACCAAGCTGCACCCTGACCATCTTGGACACATGTTCTCAGGATCTCCTGAGGGCTGTGTCATGGACCATGGTCGCTCATATTTGGCTCAGAAAAAATTTCTTCAAACATTTTATAGAGTTTGACTCTTTTCAATAACAGATGGTACTTTATTTTTTTAAATTGCCAAATAATATTATATTCTATGGATAACTGTACATTTATTTATTTGTTTATTTATTTATTTTGAGATGGAGTCTCGCTCTGTTGCCCAGGCTGGAGTGCAGTGGCACAACCTCGGCTCACTGCAACTTCCACCTCCCGGGTTCAAGCGATTCTCCTGCCTTGGCCTCCCAAGTAGGTGGGACTACAGGCCCCCACCACCATGCCAGGCCAATTTTTGTATTTTTAGTAGAGACGGGGTTTCACCATGTTGGTCAGGCTGGTCTTGAACTCCTGACCTCAAGCAATCCACCCACCTCGGCCTCCCAAAGTGCTGGGATTACAGGCATGAGCCACTGTACCCAGCAGGTAACTGTACTCTTAAGTAAAGAGACAGACTCGCTTTAAAGGAAAATATGAACGAAATAATAGTACAGGAGTTTGTTGATATGGGGTGAAGGTGGTATGCAAAGAAGATCAGATCTTGACATGGCGCTCACTTGCTCTTCCTTCAGATTCCCGTTCAAATGTCACCTCCATGACCTTCTGTCTGGGTGTAGAGTTTCCTTTTAGGTAATAAAAATATTCTGGGACGAGACAGAGGTGTTGGTTGCACAGCACTGTGAATGCACTAAATGCCAGTGCTTGAATATTTTAAAATGGTTAAAGCGCGGCCGGGCATGGTGGCTCATGCCTATAATCCCAGCACTTTGGGAGGCTGAGGTGGGAAGATCACCTGGGGTCAGGAGTTTGAGACCAGCCTGGCCAACATGGTGAAACCCCGTCTCTACTAAAAACACAAAAATTAGCCGGGCATGGTGGTGGGCGCCTGTAATCCCAGCTACTTGGGAGGCTGAGGCAGGAGAATCGCTTGAACCCGGGAGGTGGAGGTTGCAGTGAGCCGAGATCATACCACTGCACTCCAGCCTGGGCAACAAGAGCAAAACTCTGTCTCAAAACAAAAAACAAAAAACAAAAAACAATGGTTAAAGCGATACATTTGATATTATGTGTATTTTGCCACAATAAAAAAGCATCTTGCTCCCATGATTCTGTAACCCACTTACGATGTTTTATTTTTCTCCATGACACTTAGCACTAGCAAAAATATATATTGCAGTGCTATGTGTTTGCTTATCACAGCATTTCCGTACACAATGTCAGTTCCATGAGATCAATGACTTTGTCTTTGTCGGTGATGCTATTTCTAGCACCTAGTACAGCATTTGGTATTTGACAGAGATTCGATAAATTATTTTAATGCAATGAATGAGTGAACAAATCTATTGAAATTAAAATGCTCATACACTTTTTTTTTTTTTTTTTGAGATGGAGTCTCGCTCTGTCACCCAGGCTGGAGTGCAGTGGCGTGATCTCGGCTCACTGTAAACTCCGCCTCCTGGGTTCACGCCATTCTCCTGCCTCAGCCACCCAAGTAGCTGGGACTACAGGTGCCCGCCACCATGCCCGACTAATTTCTTTTTGTATTTTTAGTAGAGACGGGGTTTCACCGTGTTAGCCAGGATGGTCTCGATCTCCTGACCTCGTGATCCGCCTGCCTCGGCCTCCCAAAGTGCTGGGATTAATTGCTCATACACTTTTAACAAGCCATACTACTCCTGGAGAAATGTTTGTACATAGTATGTGAGACTCACACTACTGGTGGTACATCGAGATGACTTTTAGTGGATCATAAATGAACACTTAAGATTTTACTCGTATATCCTTTTTTTTTTATCTTTTTTTTTTTGAGATGGAGTCTCGCTCTGTCTCCAGGCTGGAGTGCAGTGGCACAATCTCAGCTCACTGCAACCTCTGCCTCCCAGATTCAAGTAATTCTTCTGCCTTAACCTCCCGAGTAGCTGGGACTACAGGTGCACGCCACCACGCCTGGCTAATTTTTATATTTTTAGTAGATATGGGGTTTCACCTTGTTGGCCAGGATGGTTTTGATCTCTTGACCTTGTGATCCACCCTCCTCGGCCTCCCAAAATGCTGGGATTACAGGCGTGAGCCACCACGCCCGGCTTTACTTGTATATTCTTATTGGTATGGTTATGGTCAGGCCTCTGAGCCGAAGCTCAGCCATTGTAACTCCTGTGACCTGCACATATACGTCTAGATGGCCTGCAGGAGCCAAAAAATCTGGAGCAGCCGAAAAACCACAAAGAAGTGAAACAGCCAGTTCCTGTCTTAACTAATTAACCCACCTTATGACATTCCACCATTATGACTTGTTCCTGCCCTGCCCCAACTGATCAATCAACCCTGTGACATTCTTCTGGACAATGAGTCCCATCATCTCTCCACCATGCACCTTGTGACCCCCTCCTCTGCTGACAATAGACAACTACCTTTAACTGTAACTTTCCACGGCCTACCCAAGCCCTATAAAGCTGCTCCTCTCCTATCTCCCTTTGCTGACTCTCTTTTTGGACTCAGCCCACTTGCACCCAAGTGAATCAACAGCCTTGTTGCTCCACACAAAGCCTGTTTAGGTAGTCTTCTATACGGACACGCGTGACAGTTATTTCCTATTGTGGCAAGTGATACTAACTTTCCTTTTATAATAGGTACATTTTCCTTTTTTAAAACAACAGCTTTATTGATGTATAATTCACATACCATAAAATTCACCCTTTGAAAGTATTCAATTCAGTGCAGGGCCTGGTGTCTCCTACCTGTAATCCCAGCACTTTGGGAGGCTGAGGCAGGAGGATCACTTGAGCCTAGGATGTGGAGGTTGCAGTGAGCCGAGATTGTGCCACTGCACTCCAGCCTTGGCAGCTGAGTGAGAACCTATCCCCCCCAACCCCCCCAAAAACGAAAGTATACAATTCAATGGTTTTTGATATATTCAAAGAGTTGTGACACCATCACCACTATCCAATTCCAAAAGTTTTTTTTATCACCCCAAAAGGAAACCTGTAGTCATTAAATAGTCACTCCTCGTTTCTTTCCCATCAACCCCTGGCAACTGCTAATCTGCTTTCTGTCCTTTTCTTTCTTGAGATGGAGTCTTGCTCTGTCGCCCAGGCTTGAGTGCAGTGGCACGATCTTGGCTCACTGCAACCTCTGCCTCCTGGGTTCAAGCGATTCTCCTGCCTCAGCCTCCTGAGTAGCTGGGACTACAGGAACGCACTACCATGCCTGGCTACTTTTTGTATTTTTAATAGAGACGGGGTTTCGCCATATTGATCAGGCTGGCCTTGAACTCCTGACCTTGTGATCCACCTGCCTCAGCCTCCCAAAGTGTTGGGATTACAGGCGTGAGCCACCATGCCTGGCCTCTTTCTGTCTTTATGGACTTTCCTGTTCTGAACATTTCATAGCAATGGAACTGTGTAATATGTGGCTTTTTGCAATGGGCTTTTCCCACTTCGCATAATGTTTTCAAGGTTCATTCAGGTTGTAGCCTGTATTAGTCCTTCATTCTTTTTCTTATTTTCAATTTAATTATTTTATTTTATTTTATTTTATTTTATTTTGAGACAGGGTATTGATCTGTTGCCCAGGCTAGAATGCAGTGGCATGATCATAGCTCACTGCACCCTCTAATTCCTGGACTCAAGTGATCCTCCCACTTCCGTCTCCTGAGTAGCTGGGACTATAGGCAGGCACCACCACACCCAGCTAATGTTTTCTTCTTCTTTTTTTTTTTTTTTTTTTGTAGAGACTGGGTCTCCCTCTGTTGCCAGGGCTGGTCTTGAACCCCTGGCCTTAAGCAATTCTCTCATTTCAGCCTCCCAAAGTGCTAGGATTACAGGTGTGAGTCACCCCACCTGGCTCTTTATTCCTTTTTATTACCAAATAATATTTTATTGTATGGATAACAGTTCCCCACCCCCACCCCCCCGGCCACTTTTTTTTTGAGACTATGTCTGCAGTGGTGCGATCTCGGCTGACTGCAACCTCTGCCTCCTCAGCTCACTGCAACCTCCGCCTCCCGATTCTCCTGCCTCAGACTCCCAAGTAGCTGGGACTACAGGTGCGCGCCACCATGCCCGCTAATTTTTGTATTTTTAGTGGATATGGGGTTCCACCATGTTGGACAGGATGGTCTTGATCTCCTGACCTCGTGATCCACTCACCTCAGCCTCCCAAAGTGCTGGGATTACAGGCGTGAGCCACTGCGCCTGGCTAACAGTTCCCTTTTTAAAGCAATTTTAAAATTTCAATAGCTTTTGGGGGTGCAAGTGGTTTTTGTTACATAGATGAATTATATAGTGGTGAATTCTGAGACAGTTTCATTTCGAATTAAAGAAAATAGAATTATTTTAAAGAAAAATATTAACGGAACAATCACACAGGGTTATGCAGATATGAGACGAAGTTTGCATGTAAAAGACCAACATTTGGGAAACTGTAGTATAGAAATCCCATTTGGATATATACACAGTCAACGTGAACAACCAGGGGTGTGCCTTCTGGGTGTGCAAACATTCTTTAATTCCGTGGTTTGCATGGGGGGATCATTTATTCTGTCTTCCCACCAATGCTGGTTTCTACAGAATAATCAATGGGAAAATGTTGGGCATGGTCAGGAAATACTCAATATCTGTTCCCTAATCTCTTTCAACCCACTTCTCACCAAGAGTCTATCCAAAGGAATAGATATGTTGCCTAAAAACCTAAACCCACCCAGAATCCTGTAGCTATTGAATGACACAGTACTATTCTAACCCCCAGCACCAGGTACAAAATCCAAACACTTCTCAAATTAAGTATAAATCAAAATTTATGATTTGCCAATTGGATATTACATCATATTCATTTAATAGCAACAGATGACAACTGACAAATTCGTTTACATGGATTAGATACTTTAGGTTTGTTTCTCCTACTTGGTAATCAATGATGATTACACCCTGTTGCAATCAAGGTTAATGAAAACTACCACAGTTATTTTTTTGTTTGTTTTAGATAAACTTTGTTTATTTCCAATTGACAATAACAATTGTGCACACTTAGGGGGTACAATGTGACATTGTAACATATGTTTACATTGTGCCATGATTAAATCATTGAAATCCGTGTATTAAAGAGATACCTGAACTCCCATGTTCATTGCAGCGCTAAATAAACTTACTTTGGGAAATAATTCTAAGTTTACAGAAAAGTTGCAAGAACAGTACAGAGAATTCCTACACTGTTCCTTCATCTGGTTTCTTTTAATGTTAACATTTTACATAACCGGGATACATTTGTCAAAACTAACATTGGTACAGTATTACTAACTAAACTCCAGGTTTTATTCATATTTCACCCTTTTTCCCACAAATGTCCTTTTTCTGTTTCTAGAATCCTGTCCAGGATCTGACAACGCATTTAGTCATCTTGTCTTCTTAGTCTCCTTTGGTCTGACAGTTTCTCAGCCTTTCCTTGTTTTTCATGATTTTTTGACAGTCTTTTTTTTCCTCTAGATTTTTGGAAGAGATCGGGGGATTCTCGCTAGGTTGCCCAGGCTGGTCTTGAACTCCTGGGCTCAAGCAATCCTCCTGCCCTCACCTCCCAAAGTGCTGGGATTACAGGTGTGAGCCATCATGACTGCCCGTTTTTGATAGTCTCGAGGAAGACTGGTCAGGTATCCTTTAGAATGTTAACCAATCTAGGTTTGTCAGATATTTTTCTCATGATTAGATTGGGGTGATGAGTTTTTGGAAAGAAGACTGCAGAGATGAAAGGGCCCTTTATCACATCAAATCAGGAGCTTCGTGAAATCCACTTGACCTTCTTGGTGATGTTAACCTTCTTTCCTTGGTAAAGGTAGCTTTTGCCAGTTTTCTTCATTGTAAAGCACGCAAGTTATTTTTTTGAACAGCTTTATTGAGATATAATTCACACACCATACAATTCACCCATATAAAGTGTATAATTCATTGGTTTTTGATATTTTACATAATTAATTTTAAAACATTGTGGTAGATTATATAACATAAAATTTGACATTTTAACTTTTTTTGAGACAGAATCTCACTCGTTTTAACTTTTTTAAACTTTTTTATTATTATTATACTTTAAGTTTTAGGGTACATGTGCACAACGTGCAGGTTTGTTACATATGTATACACGTGCCATGTTGGTGTGCTGCACCCATTAACTCGTCATTTAGCATTAGGTATGTCTCCTAATTTATTGTGGCACTATTCACAATAGCAAAGACTTGGAACCAACCCAAATGTCCAAAAATGATAGACTGGATTAAGAAAATGTGGCACATTTTAACGTTTTTTTTGAGACAGAATCTCACTCTGTCACCCAGGCTGGAGTGCAGTGGCATGATCTTGGCTCACTACAACCTCTGCCTCTCAGGTTCAAGTGATTCTCCAGCCTCAGCTTCCCGAGTAGCTGGAATTATAGGCGTGTGCCACCAGGCCTGGCTAATTTTTGCATTTTTAGTAAAGATGGGGTTTCACCATGTTGTCCAGGCTGGTTTCAAACTCCTGGCCTCAAGTGATCCACCTACCTTGGACTCCCAAAGTGCTGGGATTACAGGTGTTAGCCACTATGCCTGGCCACTTTAACCATTTTTAAAGTGTGCAGTTCAGTGGCGTGAATTACACTCACAACATTGTACAGCCATCACCACTATTTCCAAAATGTTTTCATCACCCCCCAGATAAAACTCAAACTCATTAAGCAATCACTCCCTGTTCCTCCTTATCCCCAGCTCTTGAAAACTTCTAATCGACTTTCCACCTCTATAAACTTACCTATTCTGGGTACCTTCTAAAGTGGAATCATACAATATTTGTGCGTCGTGTCTCTGGCTTATTTAACTTAACATAACGTTTTCAAGGTTTATCCATGTTGTGGGAGGACTAAAGATATTTTAACAGAGAGAATTTTTTTGTATGTTAATTATTTTTTTATCTTTTGAGACAGGTTCTCACTCTGTCACCCAGGCTGGAGTACAGTAGTGCCATTTTGGCTCACTGTAACCTCCACCTCCCAGGATCAAGGTGATCCTCCCACCTCAGCCTCCCTAGTAGCTGGGGCTACAGGTATGCACCACCATCCCAGGATATTTGTTTTTGCATTTTTAGTAGAAATGGGGTTTCACCATGTTGCCCAGGCAGTCTCAAACTCCTGAGCTCAAGCTATCTGCCCACCTCAGCCTCCCAAAGTGCTGGGTTTACAGATGTGAGCCGCCACACCTGGCCTGTATGTTAATATTTATTATTTACTAGATTTACGGAATGTAGACACCGAAAGCTCATATTCTGTCATTTATTTGTGTTCTACTTGTAGTTTCTTATAGATGACATTTTCCAGAAGCTACCATTGAAAAAATTTTGCACGGGGCCGGGTGCAGTGGTTCACACTTGTAATCCCAGTGCTTTGGGAGGCTGAGGTGGGTGGATCATGAGGTCAGGAGATGGAGACCATCCTGGCCAACATGGTGAAACCTCGTCTCTACTAAAATACAAAAAATTAGCCAGGCGTGGTGGTGGGTGCCTGTAATCCCAGCTACTTGGGAGGCTGAGGCAGGGGAATTGCTTGAACCCGGGAGGTGGAGATTGCAGTGAGCCAAGATCGCACCACTGCACTCCAGCCTGGTGACAGAGCAAGACTCAGTCTCAAAGAAAAAAAAAAGTGCATAAATTTAAGGAGTACAAGGCCAGTTTTGTTACACGGATGTGTTGCCTAGTGGTGAAATCTGGGCTTTGAGTGTAACCGTCACCCAAACAAGGTACATTGTACCCATAAAGTAATTTCTCATCCTCCATCTCCTCCTACTCTCTTACCCTTCTGCCTCTCCAGTGTCTATAATTCCACACCCTATGTCCTTGTCTACACATTATTTGGCCCCCACTTATAAATGAGAACATGTTGATATGGTTTGGCTGTGTCCCCACTCAAATCTCATCTTGAATTGTAGTTCCCATAATCCCCATGTGTCATGGGAGGGACCTGGTGGGGGGTAATTGAATCATGGGGTCAGTTACCCTCATGCTGTTCTCGTGATAGTGAATAAGTGTCACGAAATCTGATGGCTTTATAAAGGGCAGTTCCCCTGCACACGCTCTCTTGCCTGCCACCATGTAAGATGTGCCTTTGCTCCTCCTTCACCTTCCACCATGATTGTGAGGCCTTTCCAGCCATGTGGAACTGTGAATCCATCAAACCTCTTTTCTTTATAAATTACCCAGTCTTGGGTATGTCTTTATTAGCAGAATGAGGATGGACTAATACACATGTGCTATTTGACTTTCTGAGACATGATTTCACTCTTTTTTTTTTTTATGGCTGAATCATAGTCCATTCTGTATATATACCATATTTTCATTACCCAATCATCTGCTGATGTCTTTTAACAGAAAGAATTTAACATGGGAATTAATTAAATAGGTAGTGAAGGACCAGAAAAGCAAGAAGGCAAGACTAGTTAACAAGGACCTGGTTAACACTAGTGCTAACCCAGAAATAATTTCTGTGGAATCAGCTGACAAGCTGAGGCCTGGGAAACGCTGGGAAGAGTTGACGTTATCAGACTCTAGAATCTTAGAAGAGGAAGAAGACAGTGCCATGTGCATATCTGTGCATATATCTGAGACGGGGCTGCTGGCCAGCTGATGCACGTATATTTCAGGGGGCACAATGATGCCGGTTTTGTGTGTGGGGCAAAAAAGTTGCAAACTGGAATGACGTGATGCTACTGGCAACTCCAAAAGGAAGAATCCTCTTTTTTTGTCCTCTTCCCATTTTCTCTCTCTCTCTTGTGACTTGTACTATCAGAAGCTAACAGCAAGCCAACTGGGTGTATCAAGATAGCCTTGAGGCCATGGGTATGGACTGTGGGTGAGCATACACAGCAATAGGGTGATTGGCTTACTGAATTGGCCAGGGTGAAGGTGACCTCATTCTTATAATTGATCATCTGTAAGAGCAACTTCACAAACAGCCGACATATTTTATTCCCACATAACCCGACCAATCAGAATGAAGGTGAAGAGTTCAGGTTCCAAATTCTCAAAGCTAGAACTCCCTTTCCTTTTCTTGTGTCTCATGCTAAACTGGGTGCTACACTTTGGAACCTTTGGAAATTGCTTATTCATTCTTATTAGTGAATAAAATTTAAACATGATTAAATAGAAACTGCTCATAGGTAAAAGAAGTGGATTTATTTTTATCTCATAGATTCTGTACATTTCCTAGGTAGCTGGTAGAATGAATGTCATTCATTCCAATGTGCTGTTTTAACCTGGCTGGTCTCATGTGTCAGTCAGCACAGATTAGGTTATGCTGCAGTAACACATGACCCCAAAGCTCACTGGCTTATGACAATTGATGTTTAATCTTGGATCCATCAGGTAGAAGAGCCAGATTTTGAATAAATAATCATATCGCAAAAGACATAATTTTAAAGTGTGATTTGTGGCTTGGAGAAAAAGTCTACAAAGAACTCTAAACTCGGGTCTTGTCTGAGGTGATGGACAAAGAGACTTCCCTTCAGAAATGTATTTGAGCTACAGTATAAAGGATAACAAGGTGGTTTGGAGGAGTGATCTAAGTAGAGGTAACTGAGATAGGAAATAGCCTATCTTGGAAAAGAAAGAAGTCCAAAGTGACTTCAGAAACACTGAAGGAGGGGGGAGGGGAGAGGGGGGAGGGATAGCATTGGGAGATATACCTAATGCTAGATGACAAGTTAGTGGGTGCAGTGCACCAGCATGGCACATGTATATATATGTAACTAACCTGCACATTGTGCACATGTACCCTAAAACTTAAAGTATAATAATAATAAAAAAAAGAAACACTGAAGGAGTAGAGATAAAAAGATGTAGGGATCTAGAAGTTAAGACTTTTTTCCTTATCCTAAGGGCAGTGGGAGGTCACAGAAAGATTTTAAGAAGATGCACAGCAGGTCATATTTGCATTTTCAAAGATTTATTTCACATTTATTATTGTTATTCTTTTAGAGATAGTTCTGTTGCTCAGGCTGCAATGCACAATCATAGCTCACTGCAGTCTTGACTTCCTGGGCTCAAGTGATCCTCCCACCCCAACCTCCCAAGTAGCTGGAACTTACAGGTGCGTACCACCATACCCGGCTCAGATCTGCATTTTAAAACGACTGTTTCTGCTGCTATCGGAGAGCGTCTTGGAGAACAGATAAACAAAGGGGGACTTGCCTTGGAGCTGATGTGGCAAAAGCTACAGGATCCCCACTTTTCTGGGCCTCTGCATGGTCCGAGGAGAGACCCTGACAATGTGCTTATGTGGCTGTACTAATTCTGCGTTGCTGTTTGTCCTCTTCTTAAAGAGGGACTCTTTCTGCCCAACTGTACAGGTCCTACAAAGCCTGGATCAGTTCCTGATGCTGAATATGAAACTTCCAGGCTAAACCTACACATCCTTGCTTAATAATTGGGGAAAACCTTTAGTCGCAGGTCTTGAAGAACAAAGCCATTGATATGGTTTGGGTCTGTCTCTGCTCAATCTCATGTCAGATTGTAATCCCCAGTGTTGGAGGTGGGATCTGGTGGGAGGTGATTGGGTCATGTGGGCAGGTTTCTCCTTTGGTGCCGTTCTTGTGCTAGTGAGTGTGTTACCGCGAGATCTGGTTGTTTAAACGTGTGTAGCACCTCTCCACCTCCCTTCTGCCTGCTCCAGCCAAGTAAGGCGTGTCTGCTTTCTCTTCGCCTTCCGCCATGATTGTAAGTTTCCGGAGACGTCCCCGGCCATGCTTCCTGTACAGCCTGTGGAACCCTGAGCCAATTAAACCTTTTTTCTTTTTGAGACCGAATCTCTCTCTGTCACCCAGGCTAGAGTGCTCACTGCAACCTCTGCCTCCTGGGTTTAAGTGATTCTCCCATCTCAGCCTCCCGCGTAGCTGGGATTACAGGCATGCGCCACCATGCCCAGCTAATTTTTTTTGTATTTGTAGTAGAGACAGGGTTTCACTGTGTTGGCCAGGCTGGTTTTGAACTCCTGACCTCAAGTGATCCGCCCACCTCGGCCTCCCAAAGTGCTAGGATTACAGGGGTGAGCCACGGCACCTGCCTTCACCTTTTTTCTTTGAACATTACCCAGACTCAAGTATTTCTTTATAGCAGTACGAGAACAGACTAATACAACGGTAGATTTCAATGCTGGCTTATTCCATCTAGCATAATATACTTTAGGTTCATCCATGTGATGGCAAACGGCAGAATCTCATTTATTTATTTGTTTTAAAGCTGAATAACATTCCATTGTGTGCGCACACACACACATGCACACACACACAGTCTCTCTCTCTCTCTCACAGACACATACACACACACACACGCACGCACAGTCTTTTCCTTATTCATTCGTCCGTAGATGGACACTTCGATTTTTTCACATTTTGGCTATTGTGAATAATGCTTCAATGACCATGGGAGTGAAGATATCTTTACTAGATTTAATTTCATTTCCTTTGGATATATATCCAAAAAGTCTAATTGCTGGGTCATATGGTGGTCTGTTTTTTTTTTCTTTTCTTTCTTTTTTTTTTTTTTTTTGAGACAGGATCTTGCTCTGTCACCCAGGCTGGCGCACAGAGGTGCAATCTCGGTTCACTGCGGTCTTGACTTCCTGGGCTCAAGCGATCCTCCCACCTCAGCCTCCCAAGTAGCTAGGACTACAGGCACACACCACCGCACCTAGCTAATTAAAAAAAATTTTTTAGTAGAGACTAAGCCTCACTTTGTTGCCCAGGCTAGTTTAAAACTCCTGGGCTGAAGTGATTCTCCCGCCTTGGCATCCTGAGGTTACAGGCGTGAGTCACCATGCCTGGACAGTTCTGTTTTTTTATTTGATATATCATAGTTGTACAGATTTTTGGGGTGGTGATCAAATTAGGGTAATTAGATATCCATCACCTTAAACGTTTATCTTTTCCTTGTGTTGGGAACACTGCTATTCTTCTCCTCTTGCTATTTTGAAATATACAAATAATTACGGTTAATAATAATTTTCCTACTGTGCTCTCGAATACAAGAACTTATTCATCCTACCTAACTGTACTTTTGTACCCAGTAACCCATTTCTCTTCACGTCTTCTGCCCGCTTCCCTTCCCAGCCTCTGGTAATTACCATTCCAGTCTCTATCTTCACCAGATCTACTTTTTTAGCTTCCAGATAATGAGTGAGAACATGTGATGTTTGTCTTTCTGTGCGTGGCTGATTTTACTTAATACAGTGTCATCCAGGCTCATCCACGTTGCTGCAAATGACACGATTTTGTTCTTTATTATGGCTGAATAGTATTCTATTGTGCATATATACCGCAGTTTCTTTATCCATTCATCTATTGATAGACACTTAGGTTGATTCTATATCTTGGCTATTGTGAATAGTGCTGCAATTAACATGGCAGTGCAGATATCTCTTTGATATATTGATTTCCTTTATTTTGCATATATACCTAGGAGTGGGATTACTTGATTATTTTGTAGTTCTGTTTTTTTTTTTTTTGAGATGGAGTCTTGCTCTGTCGCCCAGGCTGGAGTGCAGTGGCGTGATCTCGGCTCACTGCAAGCTCTGCCTTCAGGGTTCATGCCATTCTCCTGCCTCAGCCTCCCAAGTAGCTGGGACTACAGGTGCCCGCCACCATGCCCGGCTAATTTTTTGTATTTTTAGTAGAGACGGGGTTTCACTGTGTTAGCCAGGATGGTCTCGATCTCCTGACCTCGTGATCTGCCCACCTCGGCCTCCCAAAGTGCTGGGATTACAGGTGTGAGCCACCGCGCCCAGCCTCTTCCTTTTTTTTTTTCTTTTTGAGACAGCGTCTCACTCTGTCTCCCAGGCTGGAATGCAGTGGCACGATCTCAGCTCACTG